>NC_000020.11:46314719-51314719 GCF_000001405.40 Homo sapiens | reverse complement strand
CCCACGATCGTGCTATGCGGCACAGCTGACCTTAAGACAGGGAGGGAAATTTTCTGGATGACCCTGATCTATCACACAGCCGTGAAAAGCAGAAAACTGTCTCTGGCTAATGGCGGAAGAGGAAGCCAGAGAGATCCAAAGCATGGATGGACTCGGTGCATATTTGCCGGCTGTGCAGCTACGCGAGGCCCCTGGGAGCAGAGTGTGGCCCCCGGCAGCCAACCAGCAAAGACACAGGGACCTCAGTCCTAAAACCACCAAGAACCGGACTCTGCCAACAACCCGTATGAACTTGGAAGTGAATTCTTCCCCTGAGTTTCCAGATGTGAGTGCAGCCCGGCCAATACATTCACATCAGCCTGGTGAGACCCTGCACAGAGAACCCAGCCAAGCCCACCTGGGAATGGGGACAGCCTGTGGGGCTGTACACATGATAATGTTAAATGAACCTGAAGGGTAAGCTATGGCTCCAGCGCGGGCCAAACTCACATTTGCAAAATTAGTAATCAAATGGGTGAGGACGCCAAGGCTGGAGCGTGCCCACATATGCCCCTGTTAGGGTCCTGGATTGCCCTTGAACACCAGCTCCTGAGCTCTTGGTGACCAATTCAGGCTGAAAGAGCCATCTCTTGCCCCCAGGCTCCCACATATGGCAGGCCACTCATAAGAGTGGATTGGGCAGGTGTTCTCTGCAGACAGAGCTCCGGAGAAGCTGCCCTTTAGAAGATACTTCTAATCCCTGATGGGCCGTTTGCATGTCCTGGATGGGATGTCAGCTCCTCCAAGAGGTTTCTCTCCCCTAGGTCCCCTCTAAAGGGCCTCCACCTTGGCGCTATTGACATTTTGGACCAGATAATTTTTTGCTAGAGGGCCTGTCCGGTGCATTGTAGATTGTTCAGCTGCATCCCTGGGCTCTACCCACTAGATGCCAGTAGCATCTCCTGAATTCTAACCATCAAACATATCTCCAGAGTTTGCCAAATGACTGCTGGGGGAAAAAAATTACCCCTGGTTGAGAACCAGTACTCCAGCACTTGCTTGTAGGCCCTGTCACTTTTCCTCCTGACAAGCTCAGAGAACGAACCTCCACCCTCATGCTGATGAATCATCGTATTTCAATCAATGCATCGCATCCATCAAAACCAGCAGGATGCTGTTTGCATACGTGTGTGTATGTGTGAGTGTGTGTTCCACTATTCCAGCCCATGTCAATTCCATCAGCAGGAAGGAAGTGCTGGGGGAAGGAACATGCTTCCTGGTCAGGCCATCCTGCAAATCCCTGATGCTGCTGACTTAGCAGAAGCTTCCCACACACTGGCTTCTCCAACACCATCACATACGGTTGTTCTCAGGCCTCTGCTCCTTGCAAAGGGCTAGAGCTCCCTTTCCTGGAGGGCCTGTGAACAGCCATCATTGAGCCATGAGGCTGGCATTATCCTCCCCATTAGAAAGATGAAGAAACTGAGGCTCGGAAAGGTAACGTGAAGAGCTTAAGACAGCAGATCTATCTTATTCTGAAGCCTGTTTTTACTATAGATTTCCCATCATAAAGCAACTGTCTAGATATGCGGCCAGGTCACTGTGAACAATAAACCTTTAGTGGTCTCACTTTGCAGCCAGGCCACTGCCGAGCATTTGTAGATTCATTGGATTTCATTATTGAGTATTTTAAGCCTACAATAAAGAGCAGAGGATAATGCAGGGTGAGTATCCTTTATCCAACATGATTGGGACCAGAAGTGTTTCAGATTTCAGAGTTTTTCAGATTTGGGGATACTTGTATTACACTGAGCAGCTGAGCATCCCAAATCTGAACACTTGAAATGTTCACTGTAGCACTTCCTTCGAGTACAGCATCAACACTCACACCATTTTGAGTTTTGGAGCATTTTGCGTTTCAGATTTCAGATTCGGGATGCTCAACCTGTGTACCAGAAAGGCTGACATCTACTACCCAGCTTGGTTCAAATTTGTTTTATGACTGAAGTTATTTAATACATGTCATAGAGACAGGAGACAGCCAAGGGTCCCCCCACAAAACTCCGCCTTCAAGCCTAAAATGGCCTGAAGGCTGAAAAACCCGGACTGCAGGTCCTGGAGAATCTCTGACCTGCCTGAGCACTGGGAGGATGGGGTGGAGTCTCAAGAAGTTTGTGCCGTTTGCAAGGGAAAGGAACCTGGCCTCTCCTGTTCCTGGATAGTAAACTGGGATTCAAACTATGAGGTGGGAAGCCTTCTAGCAGGACTCTCTCCTGCTTTACTGAGATTTATTTTTCCTTTTCGCCTAATAAATTCCATTTCCCCTCACCCTTCAAAGTGTCTGCAGGCCTAATCTTTCCTGGTCATGTGACAAGAACCCTTTTTTTTTTTTCCCCCTACAACACATGTATTAGGGCATTCTTGCATTGCTCTACAGAAATACCTGAGACTAGGTAATTTATAAGAAGAGAGAGAGGGAGAGGAGGTGCCACACACTTTTAAATGACCAGATCACGCATGTAAAGCAAAAATAAAATTCTAAGCCGCACAACCTGCTGATAAACCCTCCCCTTGGCCAAGAGCATTCTAAAATTAACTGGAAAGACGAGTTCGGGTTATCATGGGAAGTGAAAGTCAGACATGCCTCCTTATACCCTCCTCCCCCTCCCTTTGGAATTCAAGCACAGTTGACCAACATTAACATTAAAACAGAGATCTTAAGACAGATAGAACAGACTTGAAGTCTGATAAACATTTACAATCTATTCTCTGTGAAGCCTGCTTTGGGAGGCTTCATCTGCATGATAAAACCTGGGTCTCTACAACCTATTATCTTAACCATTCCGTCTGTGATTCCAGGTCTTTAAATAATAACTCTTTAAGCCAATTGCCAGTCAGAAAGTCTTCGACTCCGCCTATGACCTGGAACCCCGCCTCCTCCAGTTATCCAATTGTCCCGCCTTGCCAGACGAAACCAACATGTATCTTACATGCATTGATTGACATGTCTCCCAAAAATGTATAAAATCATTTTGTATCCTGACTACCTCGGGCACATATTCTCAGGATTTCCTGGGGCTGTGTCATAGGGCCACTGGTCCTTCATACTTGGCTCAGGATAAACTCTTCGGATATTTCGCAGAGTTTGACACTCTTCATTGACACTCACTATTGCAAAGACAGCACCAAGCTATTAGGAATCCACCTCCATGACCCAAATACTTCCCACCAGGCCCCACCTCCAGCATTAGGGATTACAATTTGACATGAGATTGGAGCAGGGACAAATATCCAAATTATATCAATAGATTTGTATTGAAAAGTCAGGCCACATGCAGTGGCTCATGCCTGTAACCCCAAAACTTTGGGAGACTGAGGCAAGATGATTGCTTGAGGCCAGAAGTTCAACACCAGCCTGGGCAACATAGTGAAAGCCTGTATCTACAGACAGTTTTTTTTTTTTAATAGCCAGGCATGGTGATGTGGGCCTGTAGTTCCAGCTACTCAGGAGGCTGAGGAGGGAGGATCACCTGAGCCCAGGAGTTGGAGGCTGCTGTGAGCTATGAGCATACCACTGCACTCCAGCCTGGGTGACAGAGCAAGAATCTGTCTCAAAAAAAGAAAAAAGAAAAATTACACATGTGCAGAGAACTATACGTATCATAAATGATTGGCTCAATGAATTTTCCCAAATTGGAACCAGCCTCCAGATTAAGAAATCATCTGTTACCCTAGGGAGCCCCTCATGTGCCCATGGTTGATTTTTTTAGGAAACAAAGCATGGCAGATAAAATTGGTCCCTGTGAATAACCTGCCCACTCCATTCTTCTCTCTCTCATCCCAGAGGTTTCATAATCCTAAATACAATGCTTGTTATTCCCATATTTGCCTTTACATTTATAGAACATATGCACATATATCCCTGTGCAACAGACACTTTTGCTTTCATGCTTAAAACTTTATATAAGTAAGATACTATGCTTTTCTCATTCTAAAATGATGTTCTGAGGTTTGTCCATTGTCGTGGGTTGCGACTCTCTGGGGTTGGTGTCATATAGGTGGTGAAAAGAATGTACCAAGATAGCTGTAGGTAAAGAAAGGCAGATTTACTCGAGAAAGCGCTGCAAGGAAGCAATGGGCAGGTCAGCAAGAGGGGAGCTGACTGCAAAGGGACAAAGCTTGCTGGAGATTTTATACGCTGGTTCTTGGGCTGGAGAGGGCTACGTGCTGTACTGATAACACCAAGGTTGCAGGGAGCTAACTTGCATTTTTCTATCAGCCAAGAGTCTGGTAATAGCTGGGCACAGGAAGACTGTGAGTTATATTGTGCAAGAGGTCCATGGTCCTGCATTGTGTCCTGGAAAGGCAGACTTACAGCTTATCTGCTTTCTCTTTTTGCTTTCCCTTTGTCCCACCAGCCTGACTCCTCCTCCCTAATGAGAACTCCACATCCATGTACATCAATGAAGCTGTAGTTGTTTTTGCTGCAAATATGTCACAAGGCATTTCTCCACTCTCCCATTGATGGACACTTTAATGGTTCCTAATATTTCTCTGTTACACACAGATGCTGTTATGAGTCTCCTTGAGTATGGCTCCAGCATGCTGGAATGGGAGATTGTCTGGAGTAAAGATACGTAGGGGTGGAACTGGTGTATCATATGATGTGGGTATGTACAGTTTTGCTCTCCACAGGGGTTGTATCAGACTCATAGGAATTTTAAACTGGGGACAGTATCAATGACTACTGTACAAAAGCCACAAACCATAAGCCCATGGAGCTAAAAAAGCTTGAATAATATTTGAATCACCAATGCTAACATTTACAAATAGGAAGAATTCATACAAAATCCATATTTGTAGCTTTTTGTGAAACGCTGGGCAATTCTGGGCCCAGGCAGCTGCAGAGGTGCTTCTTGAGGCAGAAAGAGAGGGGGAGAAACACCCCAGCCTCTCTCCTGCCCTCCGAATTCTGCCTCCCATGGCCAAACCCAGCTGGCTCAGAGGCCTGCAGGGGTCAGCCCTCCTGGGGTTGACCTCATCCCTTTTCTGTGCCACTTAAACATGGCACAGTGTTCTCACCGACTTGATCTCAAGCTTCTTGAGGGCAGGCAGAAGTTCCTGGGCATCAATCTGTCTCCAGAGCCAGGCTGATAGCCTGGTCCTAGCAGGAGCTAGATCGGCTTTATGTTACTGGAAGAAATGCAGACAGTGACCCTTAACCAGTCTCTCTAACTAGTCTCTCACAGATTCCAGGCAGTTCATTAAAATGTTGAATTATAAATGGACAGAGAGTCAATATTTTAAGTCTATGGACCATATGGTCTCTGTCACAACTATTCAGCTCTGGAGTTGTATAGCGTCAGGGGCCATATACAATGAGTGAGTGAATGGGTGTGGCTGTGTTGCAATAAAACTTTATTTGCAAAAACAGGCAGTGGGCCATATTTGGCGGTGGGTTGCAATTTGTGGCCCCCTGCTATGGACCATGATGTAATTGGTACAACCTGGGTTTACATTTGCACAGCTGTTAGCAGTAACCCTGGGAGTCAGGCCACCAAAAGAGTGCTGAACTGCTCTTTGCTAGAAGTAAAGAGGAATTTTGAAGAGGGAACACTGCAAAGAGAGGATGGGAGAGGAGAGGGGATGAGGAGGGGAGGAAAGAAAGATGAGCTGGACAATAGGACAAGGGGCTGGAGCCAGATGGTGAACATAGCCGGGAGGCTTTTGAAGATGAGGGAGATGCAGCTTTCAATTGTAAGATGTCTTTGGTTACTGATCCAAACCTTCAGTAAAGTCTGCTCTGTCCCCACATGCCTTTGTGAGTGGTTTGTGTGTGTGTATGAGAGTTAACAGAACGTTCTGTCTTCCCAAGCACCAGGCAGCTCCCCAGCACTCAGCCCCGCTCAGTGCAGGCAGAATGAACCTCACTGATTGCTACAGCTACCTAGAAAGGTAGCGAAGAATCTGAAGGTCAGAGAGGTTAACCCAAAGTCACACAGCCAAAGAGAGAAACAGAAACCAAATCCAAAGCCCTGATTATTTCCTTGATTGCCCAAACAGCTGGAAACTTGAAATCAGTTTTTCTGTTTCCTGGAATGAGCTTTGGTGTATCCCTTTGAATGTGGGTTGGATTCCTGGGGATTTAGCCTCAAACCAAACTCTGAGGCCAGAGTAAGGTGAATTAAACCTGGGGAGGTGCAAGGGAGGTTATCTTATGCTCCTTCTTCCCTCCCCTGGACCTGGCCCCTGCCTTGGGTACTTCCCCACTACCCTGAGGCACCTGCTTCTGGTGGGGGTTGGGGCGGGGTGGCGAGGGAAGGGGTGACCTGGGCTCTGTCTGCTTCTCTGGGAATTAGAAAGGGGGTGGGGTGTTTTGTCATCTCTGAAGCCAACACCTGGGTTGACATCATCCAGCTACCTGGCACCTTTTATGGCAGAAGGATAATTTGGCCCGGGCCATTTATTCACAGAATCCTCCAGTTTAGACTTTTGACATTATCTATAAACAAACTTAGATGTATCATCATTGAATCTTATGCAAAAAGCATTACTTTGTTAAACATAAACACTTATATTTTACCACAATTCTGACATCCCTTTTTGCCTTAAACTTTTTTAAAAATATGGGATGGCTTTGGCTTTCCTCAGCCTCTGAGAGACTCTCATTAGGTGTCAAACCCAAGAGCTAAACAAAAGCTGATTTATGCAAAATGTAAGCTCGTCACAAGTCAATTAGGGCTCAGACAGGCTTTTGTGACAAGCACTTTCTAATCAATTCCATCCGGCTCTCTCTGAGAGTCTATGAGAGAATAAACACAATAATGACATTAAAATGGGCAGTGGGGCTCTTCACCTTCTTGGGGTTCCCATACCTTTGCCCTCTGACAGCTGCTCTAGGCCTTTACCCAAGGAAATGTACAGACATGAATGCAGCATTTTGTTTCCAATTTCAGGGATGTCTAAACTACATCCACGGACTCCTTAAGTCCCCACATGAAGAAATTTTGGGGCTGGGCATGGTGGCTCACACCTGTAATCCCAGCACTTTGGGAGGCCAAGGCAGGCAGATCACGAGGTCAAGAGATCGAGACCAGCCTGGCCAACATGGTGAAACCCCGTCTCTACTAAAAATGCAAAAATTAGCTGGGCGTGGTGGCGAGTGCTGGTAGTCCCAGCTACTCAGGAGACCGAGGCAGGAGAATTGCTTGGGCCCGGGAGGCGGAGGTTGCAGTGAGCCGAGATCGTGTCACTGCAGTGCAGCCTGGGCAACAGAGCAAGACTCTGTCTCAAAAAAAAAAAAAAAAAAAAAGAAAGAAAGAAAGAAAAAAGAAATTTTGGTGGAGCCTTTTTAAATACACAAATTAAAAACAGTAAAGAAATATAATTCCTGATCGATGCAATTGTCCCCCAGGCGTAGTCTTTAAGCACACATTCTACAGCTCCCAAATTCAGGAGCTGGAAGCACAGCCTTGCTATGAGGTGGACTTAGCTTCAATCTCTGCCCGGATGATATTGGGCAAATGGCCCAATCATTAAAACGGACACATGAATGGGACCAACCTGGCCGAGTTAAGAGGATTGAATTAATATTTGCGAAGTGCACAGAAGGGCGCCTGGTATACCAGAGGTGCCCAATCAAGGTTAGCTCTCACCAGCATCGCTGGTTCTCTTCCCCTTCGAGGCCTGCGCAGGGCTGGGGAGGAGGGATCACCCCTGCCTGCTTGAGACCGGCTGCCACATCGCTGGGAGGACGCCGGGCTGCCCTAGAGTGGCCACAAGAGGGAGCAGTTGCCTTTCCTAACGCCGAGGCCCACCTGCGCCCAGCCTTCCACTCAGGCAGGGGCAGACGACGTGGGCTCCCTAGACCTTGGAGCCTAACCCAGAACCTTCTCTCCCCACCACAGCTGGAGGTGGGGTGGGGTAGGGTGAGACGGGCCCTGCTCGCAGCTGTTCTCTGTGCACTTGGGACAGGGCTCTAATTTATGCCTGAGCACCGTGGCCTGAGGTTTCTTCTCTGCCAGCCTCAAGGGCTGGTCCTCACTTTGTCTTGCCCTTAGCGCCCCAATTCCTTGCAGCAGGTCCACATGCCCCGCTGTGAGATATGTTAGGACTGGCAAGGCCATGTCCCTTGCTGGGTGCTTGATCCCTTGGCCTCCCCACAGCTGGGTGTCCGCACGGCCAGTGGCGTGGATGCGGGAGCTCTCTGGGGTTTCCGGAAAAGGCTGTAATTTCTTGTCTGTTCTGTGGGTGCAGCACATGTGCCTCCAGCCCCATGCTCCTGCTTCAAATGCAGCAGCTGTGGTGGCCATCCTGAGACTGGAAGGTGACAAATATAAACCGAAAACAAAATTCTAAGCCCCCAGCTAACTGAATGGTCCCCTCCTCTTGGCCAAGGGTATCCTAAAGTTAACCTGAAACACGAGTTCAGGCCATGATGGGAATGCGGGTCAAACAGGCCTCATTATACCTCCGCCCTTTGGAATTCAGGCACGGCTGACCAGCATGAACATTAAAACAGAGACCTTAACACTGACAAAGCCGACTCTACCAATAAGATGCCAACGTGACAGATAGCAGGCTCTGAACGAAATTGAAGTATTTTACCCCAAAATATGTTTCTTTGACATATTTTGAAATGGCCTTGCAAAGCTGTCACTTGTGGGTAAAAATCTACATTCTGTAGAGAATCCTCTTCCCTTTCCAGGCCTTTTTTCCTGATCCAGGAGAGAATTAACTAAGTCTGGCACCTTTCTAAGCCTGATAAGACACATTTACAATCTATTCTCTCTACCTGGAGGCTTCATCTGCATAATAATAAGAACCTTGGTCTCCACAACTCCTTAACCCAGACACTCCCTTGTATTGATTCCAGGTCTTTAGATAAACTCTTTCAACCAGTCACCAATCAGGAATTCAGGAACTCTTTGAATTCACCTATGACCTGGAAGCTCCCCTCCCTGCTGTTCCTGCCCCCAACCCCCACCTTTGTGTTATCTCTGCCTTTCCAGAGGGGACATTTTCCTCTAGCACATGTAAGATGTATAATATATGTCAACCTCGGGACCCCAAAATAACTAAGACAAAGGGAAAAGTCAAGCTGGGAACTGCTTAGGGCACACCTGCCTCCCGTTCTATTCTATGGCTACTAGGGTAAAAAAGCTACATACCTCCCTCACAATTTGTCCACGAGGAAATTCCTTGCAGACAAAGGACAGACAGAACTCAAAGTCATCTCTCTGTGCTCACTGAGATAAATGCATATCTGATGGCTTTCTTTGGAAAGGCTAATCAGAAACTCAAAAGAATGCAACTGTTTGTCTCTTATCTACTTATGACCTGGAAGCCCCTCTCTGCTTTGAGTTGTCCCACGTTTCCAGACTGAATCAACGTACATCTTACACACACTGATCGATGTCTCATGTCTCCCTAAAATGTATAAAACTAAATTGCCCCGAGCACCTTGGCCACACGTCAGGACCCCCTGAGGCTATGTCACAGGCACATCCTCAGTCTTGGCAAAATTAACTTTCTAAGTTGATTGAGACCTGTCTCATATATTTGGAGTTCAGACATGTATTGACTGATGTCTTATGTCTCCCTAAAATGTATAAAATGAAGCTGTAACCCGGCACATATTCTCAGGATCTCCTGGTGCTGTGTGACAGGCTATGGTCACTCATATTTGGCTCAGAATAAACCTCCTCAAATATTTTACAGAGTTCGACTCTTTTTGTCAACACAAGCCAAAGGCACAGAAAGACAAGCTGGGGAGCAGAAAGACAGCCTGACCCACCCAGGCCTCCTGTCCCTCCTGGGGATACCCTAACATGCACGGGCTGCTTTGCCCCTCCAAAGGCTGTCTGTGGCTCTCAGGAGAAAATCCAGATGGTGGCCTCAAGGCCTGCCCCTGCCTGGTCTCCCAAATCTCCTGCTTGCTAACTTCCTCCTGCTGCCGCAGCCTTCTCTTCTGCTGCTGCACCATGCAAAGTCCTGCCTCAGAGCACTTGTACTTGCTATTCCCTGCTATTCCCTCTGTCTGGAAAGTCTTCACCCAAATTTTCAAACAGGGTGGCTCCATCATTCACACAGCTCAGCTGTTACCTCCCCAGAGGCGCTTCCCTTGACCTCCTCCTGTTTCATGCCTCCTCTGTTGTGCATTACTGTGTTTCGAACTCTTCACAGCAC
This sequence comes from Homo sapiens, assembly GCF_000001405.40. Classification (NCBI taxonomy): domain Eukaryota; kingdom Metazoa; phylum Chordata; class Mammalia; order Primates; family Hominidae; genus Homo; species Homo sapiens. The sequence continues at coordinate 51,304,552 of NC_000020.11, read as the reverse complement.
CTTGTGCTATCTGTGACAGTGGCAGGAGGCAGACAGGGGTGGGTCCCTGGTGAAACACCACCTTCAAGCCAAAACAGCCTGAAGGCTGAAAGACCGGACTGCTGGTTCCAGATGAAACCCATGACTCAGGACAGAAGAGTGAGAATTTCTGTTCCTGTTTGCCCATCCTTTCCTGATTCTTTCTGAATGCTTTTTAACCAATCAAACGTGGCCTTTTTCAATAGTATCTATGGCCCGCCCCTCCCCCATCCTGTGCCTATAAAAACCCCAGACTCAACCACACTGAGAGAGATGACCTGACTTAGGGTGAGAGACTACTTGCCCATCCCCTCTCCACTGAGAGTTGTTTTATCACTCAATAAAATTCTCTGCCCTCATCACCTTTCAATTGTCAGCATGACCTCATTCTTCTTGGATGTGGGACAAGAACTTGGGACCCACCAAATGTGGGTACTCAGAGGGCTGTAACACTGTGGCTCTCAGCCCTCTGCTGGCAGAGGGCAGCCACCCCATGTGACAGGAAGCAGTAATGGGACCAGAGCTTCCCCCGGAGCTGTGGGCTGGAGCGGGGCAAGGGGCTGACCAAGCTGTTAACACACCGCTGTCCGTTGGACTGTGGACGGGAGTACTGAACGAGTTAATTAGCACATTTAAAACCCCTTCTGGGGCTTTGGGGTTGTGGGCACCCCTGGCTGGGTGCCACCACATTCCCCCTTGGGGTGACATGCCTGGTCCAGCCACAAGCCCAGCAGGGAGCCTACCCCTGTGCCAGCTTTTGGAACAGCTGGCTGGACCCCACACTTGCTTGCTCACACACCCCTTCCCACCAGGGGCTAAGCATGCAGTTGTGGTGGCCATGGGATCCACGGAGTGCAAGCCAGACACAGCCTGGTGGGCCAAGTAGATGGAGCACCTCCTGCTGCAAGCCAAGCAAAGGGGCCCGAGAAAAACCCTGTCATCTGCAATTACCTTGTTTATTCCCAGTAAATTTTCAGAGGGCACAGTGTGTGGCCCAGAGTACATAGGTAAGTATGTTTACTAAATGAATGAACATATTTTCTTCTTTGCATAAGGTAACATATTTTCCTCTTTTGAGTAGGTTCTTTGCAACCATGAAACTCCTGAGCAAGGTAATGGGACAGAGAAATTAACTAAAGCCAAGCCCCACAATGAACCGATTCTGCTATGGCTGCTGCAGGGTGAGCTCTCGTCTCTCCTTCCCAGCTGTTCCCCTCTTGGCAACAGCACACCGTCCCCCCTTGCCCCAGAAGTCACCCATTCACCTTACGTTTGGACATCATTCCTGGCATTAAGACTTCTCTCCTGGGGAGGGGTCTTCTACCGAGGTAAGCGGTTGGCATCAGCATCCCTCACCTATCGACAAAATGGATGCGGGTGATGGCCACCCACTGTGTGCTCTCAGATGAACCTGAATCGCCCCCCAGATGGCTTCTGGGAGAGGGTATTAACTGCAAACGTTTGCAGAGCCATGTGCTGAAATGTGGCAAAGTGTGTGCTTTTAAAGGAGAAGGCTCGCAGAGGAAATGTGGATCGTTGCCCCATCCTGCAGTTTTGTGAATTTGGAACGTGTTCACTAGGGTCTCTGGAAGTTCACGGTAGCCAGCATGTCCACAAATAAGGCCAAGCAGCCAGTTACAATGTCCCCACCCTGCACTGTGGCTGAGAGGCCAAGCCCTGCAGCCGCACAGACCTGGGTGTGAGAACAGCTACGCTGACCGTGTATGAGCTGCATGACACTGGGCCGCTCAAACGCTCTGTGTTTCACTTTCCTCATCTGTAAGTGCACATTACAACTGGAACGACCTGATGCACTCCTACAGAAGAAATTAAAATTACGTATGGAATGCAGGCACATCTTGAATGCAATAAATGTTCACTTTTATTGAGGTCAGGAGGAGCATTGACCACCAGAGGAGGAACCCAAGTGGCTGTGTGGAAATGCTCCCAGCTGTCACACCCAGGAACCTGAGCTCTGATGGATACCACCTTTGCCCTCCTCTTCCAAGCCCCACAGTCCACTGGGTTGCTCTTCGTGCTCACAGACTCTGCACATGCATGCTGTCACCAAGTGTTTTTTTATTTTATTTTATTTATTTTTTGTTTTTTTATTTTATTTTATTATTATTATACTTTAAGTTTTAGGGTACATGTGCACAATGTGCAGGTTTGCTACATACGTATACATGTGCCATGTTGGTGTGCCGCACCCATTAACTCGTCATTTAGTATTAGGTATGTCTCCTAATGCTATCCCTCCCCGCTCCCCCCACCCCACAACAGTCCCTGGTGTGGGATGTTCCCCTTCCTGTGTCCATGTGTTCTCATTGTTCAATTCCCACCTATGAGTGAGAACATGCAGTGTTTGGTTTTTTGTCCTTGCGATAGTTTGCTGAGAATGATGGTTTCCAGTTTCATCCATGTCCCTACAAACCAAGTGTTTACTTGGTGTTTACTGAGCACCCTCTGGGGGCTAGACACTAGGCCTCAGTAGGTGGGTGGCTTAGTAAACACTAGTGCATGTGTTTACTGAACACCTCTGGGGACTCGACACTATGTCAAGTGCAGCAGAGTCTAGGAGTTAATAGCAGAGTCTGGAGAAATCCAGCCTAGATTTGAATGCTAGCTCATAACTCACTAGCTATGGTACCTTAGGAAGATACTGAGCCTCTCTGTGTCTCTGTTCCCTCTTTTTTCAAATGGGGATAGTACTTACCTCTTGGGGTGGTTTTGAGGATTAAATGAATTGCTCTATATACAGGAGATGGGCCAGTGCTCAGGACATGGTGAATCCCATCCAATTATTAGTAATTAACATCTACTTTAAAAGTATGCTTGACCTTCTTGAGGACTACATGTTAAGGCATTGAGGATAACTTAATTCCTTCAGAATTGAAACAGCACTAGTTAATATGGATTGAGCCCTTTTTCTATGCCCACGTGCTTTATATCAGGGTTAATACACTTTTTCTTAAAGGGCCAGGTAGTAAAGAATCAAGGCTTTCCAGGCCAGAGGCAAAAATGAGGCTATTATGTAGGTACTTATATAACCATTTAAAATGTAACCATTTCAAAATGAGAAGGAAGAAAACATTCTTAGCTCATGGGCTTTAAGAAAAACTAGTAGCTGGATAGATTTGGTCTGCAAGCTGGAGTCTACCTATCTCTGCTTTATATCATTCAATCCTTACAAAAACACAAGTAGCATTATTATCTCCACTTTAAGACCCGGAAGCTTTGTCTCAGAGAGGTTGAGTGACTTATATTGTCGTCAGTCTCTCCCTTCTGTTCCGTTAATATCTGCTTTATATATTTAGGTGCCTTGATGTTGGTTCTGGCAGATGTCCACTCCTTAATGGATTTTTCTTGGATGCCTGAATGATAGAATTGGGACATGAGGCATCTAGGTGTCTGACTTCCTAAACAGCATTTCGATGAGAAAGAAGAGTTCCATGATTTGGGGGCTTGATACATAGAGATATAGAGTAGGATATAGAGTAGGAGTTCTCTTGAGAATAAGGGGGAGCTCTTCAGACTACAAGACAAGCAAGGCTCCTCCATGGCCCCTGCTGAGCTCCCTGTGAGGCCAAGATAATAATTCAATGACCATAATGAATGAGCTAACTGTTGAGTGCTTTAAAATAGCTCGAAAACACAGCCGTTTCACATAGCCACTTCCTGCTTTATATCCCCTATTCCATTAGCTTGTGTTCCAGAAGAGGCCTGTGACAGAGCAGGAGCATTACCATCTTGGACAAGTCCCTCATTCTAAAGATCACCTTAATAAAAAAAATCGCCTAAATCCAAAGGGCATCAGCCTGATGGCTAAGGTCAGCATGACCGTAAACCACAAATAACATCTCCAACCAGAAACATTCCAAACTCTTCCCCGACCAGAGACATGCTAGCCCCAAGATAAGCCCCCTCCAACTGGGAAGATCCCAGCCTTGAGATATCCCCCTCTGGCTGGAAAGATATCTGCCCCAAGATAACCTCTCCTCCTCCCAGAGACATTCCAACCCCACCATAAAACTTCTCTCACACAAAAACATTCCAAGCTTGTAATAAGCCCCTCACCCTAAAACCAATATATACTCTTAGCCTGTAAGAGAAAGTGCTCCTGACTGAAATCGGCCAGAAGCCCCTCTCAGGTTTTATCTAAAGTAAACCTGTCTTTAACTGCCAAGCTATGTTTCATGTTTCTTTCCTCTTTAACTCTTACAGCCTGTAGCATCACTTCTGTCCTAGAGGGATCTTCTCATCTTAATTGGCTGGCAAGCCACACACAACTGACCTCACAAGGGGCCCGGAGAGCCACACAGAATAAGCACTTGTGTGATGCCCATTGGCTCACCTGACACACACAGCCTTAAGGCCTTTGCACTTGTGGTTTGCTTTATGTAGAGTAGAAGTCAGCAGACTTTTCCTACAAAGGACCAGAGAGCATATACTTTAGGCTTTGTTGGCCTTATGGTCTGTTGAAACTACTTAATTCTGCTCTCGTAATAGGAAAGCAGCCATAGATAAGATAATGCATAATGGCAGGGTGTGGTGGTTCACGCCTGTAATCCAAGCACTTTGGGAGGCCAAGATGGGCAGATCACCTGAGGTCAGGAGTTTGAGACCAACCTGGACAACATGGTGAAACCCCATCTCTACTAAAAATACAAAAATTAGCCAGGTGTGGTGGCTGGCGCCTGTAATCCCAGCTACTCTGGAGGCTGAGGCAGGAGAATCACTTGTACCTGGGAGGCAGAGGTTGCAGTGAGAAGAGATTGCGCCACTGCACTTCAGCCTAGGCAGTAAAGCAAGACTCTGTCACCCCTCAAAAAAAAAAAAAAAAAAAAAAAAAAGATAATGATGCATAATGAAAGTGCATGACTGTGGTTGTGTTCCAATAAAACTTTATTTATAAAAACAGGTGGTAGGGCAGATTTGGCCTGTGGCCCTTAGTTTGTCAACTCATGACCTAGAATATTCTCCCCCCAGGAAGCTGAAAGGCTCCCTCTTTCACTGCTTCCAGCCATCTGTGTAGCTACCACCCTATCTCAACAGCCACACCCCTGCCACCCTGTTCCTCAACCTTCCTTTACTTCCCCACAAAGTCCTTACTATTATGTGAAATTACATTATATATTAATTTATCGGTTTATCATCTGGTACCCTCCTTTGGGAATGTAAAATCAATGAGAGGTACCCAGAGCTTGTAGAAACGTTTGGTATATAGTAGACACACAATAAATATTTGTGGAATGAATAAATCTCAAAGAACAATAACCATAAATACAAATAATAGCAAATACTTTCTGCACATGTATTAATATATTCCTGGCACTCTGATACACATATGCAAAATACTGAATTCTTTCAATAGCCCTATAATGCAGGATCTTTTATTAAGCCCGTTTTACAGAAGAAGCTGGGGCTTGGAGAGGTAAATTACTTGCCCAAATGGTGATGTTTGCCATCACAGGAAAACATCACAGAACATTAGAGCTGGCTAGGACCTTCAAGATCAATCTTATTCCAACCCTGGCATTATACAAATGCAGAAACTGCAATTTGGCAAGAGGAAGCCACATGCCAAAGGTCACATAGCAAGAAAGGGACAAGGTAGAATAAAGACCAGTGTCCTTGCCTTCCTGGCTGTAGGATGCACAACCTCCAGCGCACTCTGAGTAGTGTCAGTTCCCTGCGTGATCTGTCACTGGGGGGACTGTGACCTGCTTGTGGCCTGTGAGCAGTGGAACCAGAGCTTTCTCTCTCGTCCCATCGGTTACTTCAGGGACGAACTGCATGCCAGGCTTCCTCCCTGACTCATCCAATGCAGGTGAAGCCAGGTTATCTCAGCACCTGCATCCCCCAAGAGGCTGCAGATGCAAAGCCTCTATAAAGAAGGCAATAAAGACTGCCAGGCAGCCATCCTAGGAATACTAACCAAGATCTCTCTCCGCCCTGGTGCTGGGCGCTATCCCCACACATAACAGTTTGCTCTAGGGGAGGGAGAGGCTGTCTGTGTTTTATAAGTGCTCTTAGTCACGTGTTTTTTTGTTTTTTTTTTTTTTTATGGAAAAAAAATCACTAGAACCAGTTTCCTCTTTCCTAAATTAATCCCAGTGTTTCTGTTTTCAAAGAGCATTTAAGGACCAAAGGCCAGAGCCCTCAAAACCGGCACACACCTCCAGCTTGTGCGGGGCTGGGCATAGTTCCAGAGGGCCTGGCTGTGCCCACGACAGAGGTTTCCTGTCCAGACAGAAGGGGACATATTAGTCGGCTAGGGATGTCACAACAAAGTACCACAGAATATGTGGCTTAAACAAAAAGAACTTATTATCTTACAGTTCTAGAAGCTAGAAGTTCAAGAGCAAGGAGTCGGCAGGGCTGCTTTTTTCTTTTTTAATTGTTATTTATTTATTTATTTATTTATTTGAGATGGAGTCTCTCTCTGTCACCCAGGCTGGAGGACAGTGATGCAATCTCTGCTCACTGCAACCTCCGCCTCCCGGTTCAAGCAATTCTCCTGCCACAGCCTCCCAAGTAGGCGGGATTACAAGTGTGCGCCACCGTGCCTGGCTAATTTATTTATTATTATTTTTTTTTTCAGTAGAGATGGGGTTTTACCATGTTGGCCAGGCTGGTCTTGAACTCCTGACCTCAGGTGATCCACCCCCCGCGCCCCCCGGCCTCCCAAAGTGCTGAGATTACAGGTGTGAGCCACCGCACCCTCCCAGGGTTGCTTTTCTGAGGCCTCTCTTCTTGGCTTGCAGGTGGCCACCTTCTGCCTGTCCTCACATGGTCTTGCCTCTGTGCATATCTGAGTCCTAATCTCTTCTGCTAAGCAGACCAATCATTGGATTTGGGTCTACCCCAATGACCTCATTTAACCTTAATTACCTCTTTAAAAGCCATATCTCCAAATACAGTCACCTTCTAAGGTACTGGGACTTAGGACTTCAACATATAAATTTGGGGGCAAGGAAATAATTCAGCCCCTAACAGTGGGCTTATTTGCAAATGCTCCTTGGCTTGGTGATGTTCAGCCCCTAGCAAACCCCCACCTAGCCACAGAATGCCTGACATTGGGGCCAGGGCAGTTCTTTTTTGGGCAACGCTGTCCAACACACTGTGGGGCATTTAGCATCCAGGCACCCCCTACCCCAACAACATCACCAGGGCTCTGGAGTCAGGACCCAAATCCAGCGCTACCCATTACTAGCTGTGTGTGTGGCCTTGGGCCAGGCATGCCCTCCCTGCCCTCAGCTTAGTGTGCAATGTAGGGTTGTCACAGTGACTGTTTATTACATAATAAAGTGTTTTCCAAAGGGTAGCTTGTGTGCTCCCGAAAGGAGATGATTTCGGGGAGAACAACAACCAATGCCTTCTATTTCATTTGTGTGTATAATAATGTATTAGAAAATATAAAAGGAGATGATTTCGGGGAGAACAACAACGAATGCCTTCTATTTCATTTGTGTGTATAATAATGTATTAGAAAATATAATTAGCCCAAGTGAAGGATTTCTCTATAAGTGTTTCTTCTAAAAGTAAATTGATTTAAAACGCATAATTAGCAAACAGAAGGCATGATGGCAAACACAATGAAAGCGGCACAAGAATGACCGGCATGGAGAAACAGGAAATTGACACGGGGTGCCATCTGCACAGCCCTGGGCTCGTTGGCCATGCTTGGCACAGAGAGGCCACACGGGTCACAGTCCCTGCAGGAAGTCAAGAGTACCCTCAACCTGAGTGATCTGAAGAGCATTTCATAAGAGAGGTCTCTGACATGATTGTTGTAGAATGAACCGACTGTGCCTCGCCCATCCCTGCTCCTCCTGAGGTGTCAGGCCCCTATGACCCGCCCCTGCAGAGTCCCCAGCTTCCTCCCTCACCACTTTCCAACCCAGAACCTATGCCTCAGCCATGTGAGCCTTTTTCATTCCTCCCATAAGCTGTGCCTTCTCTTGTCTCCCTGCCTTTGCATGTGGAATCCTAATTCACGTGGCTGATGTCAGGATCCCCCAGTTCTTAGACATGTCTGAGAATCCAGCTGCTCATCTGTTCGCTGGGGGACAGGGCCAGCTGCAGATGCACCACCTCCTTCAGGAAGGGCTCCGGCCCCCCAAATACATCACAGATGTGTACTGAGAGCTCGCCGTGTGTCGCACTCTGCATGAATGGATATATGCTCATTGCCTTATTTAATCTTCAGGATTACCCATTTTACAGATTTATTTGATCTTCATGCCCCCATTTTACAGACGAGGAAGCTGAGGCTGGGAGAAGTGAGATGCCCCTTAGAAACCCAGCAGATGGCCACCCGCACACAGGGCCGCTGACTCAAAACCACCTCGCACAAGACAGTTCCCCATACCCCTCCACCTCCCTTCTCCAGGACGAGGGCCCGGCAACTCGACCAGAATCTTTTCTCCCAAAGACTCAGGGGAGGGACCAGTTTGAGGATGCTCAACATAAACCCAACTGCAGCCCATCAGTCCTCAAGCTCATGAAATCCACTTCAGCAGCACATGGAGGGATAGCTGCAATGTCTCTTGTGGGCACCAACACCCGAGCCTGTTACCTTTTGGGAAATCATCTGGGCACTGCGGCCACCCAGGGAGCTATGAACAGGCTTCAGTGCTCTTCTTTCAGGAAGGTTTCTGCCAGTAGCAGGCAAAGGCCAGGCAACTCTGGTGGGGCAGTTTATGTGTGTGTGTGCGTGCGTGCGTGCGTGTGCGTGTGCGTGTGTGTGTCAAGGTCTAGCTTTGTCACCCAGGCGGGAGTGCAGTGGCGTGATCTCAGCTCACTGCAACCTCCCACCTCAGCCTTCCGAGTAGCTGGGATTAAAGGTGCATACCAGCATGCCCAGCTAATTTTTGTATTTTTCATAGAGATAGGGTCTCACTGTGTTGCCCAGCCTGATCTTGAACTCCTGGGCTCAAGCACTCCTCCCACTTTGACATCCCAAAGTTTAGGATTACAGGCGTCAGCCACTGCACCTGGCAATATTTTTTAAAGTAGTGATTTGTCTCACTTTTGGACAGCTGAGTTTTTTTTCTAGATTCAGGGCCTCCAAGAATAAACCACAGAGTAGAAAACAGGAAAAATGGGAAAGGAATCAATCTATGGCTTTTTTTTTAAGCAATTATCTATTTTACTTTGTTTTTATTGTGGTAAAACACATATAACATAAAATCTACCATTAGCGACATTTACGGCATTCACAGTGTTGTGCAGCCTTTATCACTATCTAGTTCCAAAACATTTTTATCTCCCCCAAAGGATGATACCACTAAATGTAACTCCTCATTCCCCCTCACCCCAGCCTCTGGCCACCACTAATCTACTTTCTGTCTCTCTAGATTTGCCTATTGTGGACATTGTATATAAACGGAACCATAGACTCAGTGTCCTTTGGGACTGATTTCTTTCACTTAACATAGTGACTTCAAGTTCATTCACGTTGTAGCGTGTATCAGTATTTCATTCCTTCTTGTGGATGAATAATATTCTGTTTTATGGAGAAACCGGACTTTGCAATCCATTCATCAGTTGAAGGATGATAGGCTATTCCTATCTTTTGCCTCTTATAAGGAATGCTGCTATGAATTATCACATACAAGATTCTGCTTGAACACTTGCTTTCAATTCTTTTGGGTATATACCCAGGAGGAGAATTTCTGGGTCTTATGATATCTCTGTGTTTAACGTATTAAAGACTCAATCACTGCCTTTTGAGTTTCAAATAGCCATCATTTTTGGAAAAAGGAAGGCCTTTCAGTTATAGTCACTGCATTTGGGAGCACGCTGATAAGTGAGGAAGGATGGGTCCCCTGCAGCCTAGGAGAGAAAGGATTCCTTGGGCCAGGGTTGGAAGAAAGAGGAAGGGAGAGATGAGTTGAGTGAGGCAGGTGAGTGGGGCCCCAAGCCCAGGGCTGGAGCAGGAGGAACCAGCCAGGCTCCTGCTCCACCTGCAAATCAGAGAAAAATTTCCATCAGCTCAGAAGAAAAATGAAACAAGTCTACAAATGGGCAATTAGAGAAGAAACTCACATAGCTAAAAATATGTAAAAAGTCAAGGCACACTCATCATTCAAAAATGCAAATTCTGACATTGAGTTACCAGTCTCCAAGAAAATCTAACAAATTGGCTAAAACGTCAAAGATGGAGCATATTCCATGTTTGTTTTGGAACTGTGAAATGACAACCCAGATACTCCACTGGTGGAAGTACAAAATGGTACAGCCATTTTTGAGAGTGATTTGACAGAATCCATTTAAATGAAGACAACTTTATCCCCCAAATTTCACTATTAGGAAATCTATAGAAATAAAGGCCCAAGTAAGTGAAGATTTATGTTCAAGGATGTTCATGTAACATCATGTGCAATATGTGTTACACGCACACACACATTTACACACAGAAACAACCTAACATCCATCAATAGGGGGTTGGGTTAAATAAGTTATGATACCTAAAGGAATCAGAAAAGTATAAAGTCATGAAATGAACAATGTCACTCTCTTTGCAAGACTCAAGTGAGAGATGCAAGTTTTAGGAGAATTTAGGATAATGTGATGACATAATTTGTGTGTGTGTGTGTTTTGTAAACTCTGTGTGACATGTTTATAAATAGCTGTTGTTTAGGCCTATGCTATCCAGGCTCCATGTCCTTGATCCTAAGCGGCAGAGGTGGTGATGTCCCTGCACAGAACAGGCACACACCACCCACTTGGACAGACAGATATTTGGGTCTACTGGTCTCCTCCAGCACTTGCTGCTGATTGGAGGTGGGGTGGGTGGGTGGGTGGAGGGGAATTGTGCTCCGTCGATGATGCTCTTCAAACAATATTCTAACAATATTCTGTTGTTTCTTTGCCACAGATCCACAAAACAGAATCCAAGCTTACTGAGTCCATGAGGGAGATGGGGATTTCGGAGCTGCTTCCCCTTCGGGGGCTCCATGGGCTGGCACAGGACTTGGCTTCTAGAGTCTTTGGAGCCCTCAGGGCTACACCCTGGACCCTCTTCCTGGTGTCACTTTTCCTCCTCAGTGGTTTGAATGCTTTCCCTCTGCCCTTCCCCTGGGTTTCAACCCCCCTTTTTCTGGCTCGCATTGTGGGTTGCTGTTGGATCTCTGCTTTCTGTTCTAGCCTAGCCTAGGGGATGGAATGGGGGAGCCTTGAATTTTGAAGGTGGAGAAGAGAAAAGAAGGAAAAGCCCATGATGATCAGGATTGAGGATGGAGGAATCTAAGAAGAGCTGATATCTCACTGCTAAGGCTTGGCTCTGTGGCCCCACCCAAATCTCATCTAGAAATGTCATCCCCATAATCCCCACATGTTGAGAGCAGGACCTGGTAGGAGGTGACTGGATCATGGGGGCAGTTTCCTCCATCTTGTTCTCATGGTAGTGAGTGAGTCCCCATGAGATCTGATGGTTTTATAAGTGTCTGTCATTTCCCTTGCTTGCACTTCTCCCTCCTGCCGCCATGTGAAGAAGGTCCTTGCTTCCCCTTCACCTTCCGCCATGATTGTGTTTCCTGAGGCCTCCCCAGCCTTGTGGAACTTTGTGTCACTTAAACCTCTTTCCTTTATAAATTACCCAGTCTCTGGCAGTTCTTTACAGCAGTGTGAGAATGGACTAATATACTTACAGAGGGTGACAGGTTGATCAGTTGTGAGCAAGGGAGATAGCACCTTACTATGCCAACAGAAGTCTTTCCTCCATCTCCTTCCAGCTTTGAGCTCTATTACTTTTGTCCTGGGAAACTCCAGACCCCAGGGAAAAGGAAAGGCTAATGGAAAGGAGGAAAAGATGAATCCCACAGCATAGGCTGATGTTAGGAAGGAATATGCTGTGCAGTGGATACCTCGAGGGGGGACCAGATTTGAGCAGGAGGGCAATGGGTTGAGGTAGTGGGTGATGAGGATGTCTCTGCAATGTCTCATCACTCCAGTTTTGGAGACTTCATGTTCTAAACCAAGATCCTGATTTGGTCCTTGTAACTTCTGTTTCCTATTGATGGGTTTTGTTTTAGGGGACAGGGTCTCACTCTGTTGCCCAGGCTGGAGTGCAGTGGCTTGATCAAAGCTCACTGCAGCCTCGGCCTCCTGGGCTCAAACAGTCTTCCTGACTCAGCCTCCCCAGTAGCTGAGACTACAGGCAGGTACTGGCTATTTTATAGAAAACTCATCTGTAGAGACAGGGGTCTCCCTGTGTTGCCCAGGATGGTCTTGAACTCCTGGGCTCAAGTGATCCTCCTGCTTTGGCCTCCCAAAGTACTGGGATTACAGGTGTGAGCCACTGCATGCAGCCTGTTTTTGGTTTATAATTGCTAAAGGTGTCAAAGAAAAGAGTGTAATGAAATGAATCCTGCTGGGGCCAGAAGGTAGTTGCGATTCTGAGCTTGAGGCCTGGTTATCAGACTCCCCAACATGAGAGGGAACCGAGTCATCCACAGGACCTTTCACCAGTGTAGACCAAGGGCTGGCAAACTTTTCCTGCAAAGGGCCAGACAGTGAATATTTCAGGCTCTGTGAGCCAAGAGGCAAAATTGAAAATATTATACAAGTAGTTACAAGATAAAAACCAAATTTCCACACATTTTTTTATTGATGAAATTCAAAATATAATAGTAATAACTAAGTGTGGTCTTTGAAAAAGTAATATAGGTTTACTAATTAGAGGAATGGAATTTAGGGGGAGGATAATACTTGCTTAATTGGGGGTCAGAGTTAGTGTTCTCTATCACTGAAATCAATCGCAATTGTCTGATTATTTTTTTTCAACCACATAAAAATGTGAAAACCATTCTTAGCTTTCGGAGAGTACAAAAGCAAATGGGAGGCTGGATTTGGCACTTGGGGTGTAGTCTGCAGAGCCCTGGAGTAGAGCCCCCTGGGGCCCTCATGGACATCCAAGGAAACCTGTACACTTTTCTGACCACCCAGGTGGACCTTCTGGAAGGTTCCCAACACTGTAGAAGTGTATGGAGGAAAGCAACTACTCCAAGGACTTTCTGTTGGCAGAAAATGAAATTCAAAGTGAATAGAGTTCGTGGCTGTGGTTTGAAGAAAGTGCCCCAAATTGGAGGCCTGCTGCCTTTGAAAGGGGGACTGTTATCCGGTCTGTAAAGTGCAGGCCATCCTCACCTGCTCGGTGTCTCTGGGTGAGTCCCTGAACCTCTCTGGGTTCTTGGTTTCTTCACCCGAAAAAGTGAGAGTAATCAATGTCTGATGCCACAAGTTCCCACGTGCTGAGAAGATAATTGATCATGGGTATCCTATTTTTTAAAATACCAAATGTTATAAACCAAGCTTGTCCAACCCACAGCCTGCAGGCCACATGTGGTTGATGATGGCTTTGAATGTGGCCCGACACAAATTCGTAAACTTTCTTAAAACATTATGGCCGGGCGCGGTGGCTCATGTCTATAATCCCAGCACTTTGGGAGGCCAAGGCGGGCGAATCATGAGGTCAGGAGTTTGGGACCAGCCTGGCCAATATGGTGAAACCCCATCTCTACTAAAGATACAAAAATTAGCTGGGCGTGGTGGTACATGCCTGTAATCCCAGCTACTTGGGAGGCTGAGGCAAGAGAATCACTTGAACCAGGGAATTGGAGGTTGCAGTGAGCTGAGATCACACCACTGCACTCCAGCCTGGTGACAGAGCGAGACTCCATCTCAAAAAACAAACAGAAACAACAACAACAAAAAATGGAATTTTTTTCTGATTTTTTTTCTTTTTTAGCTCATCATGTATCATTAGTGTTGGTGTATTTTATGTGTGGTCCAAGAAAATTCTTCTTCTTCCAGTGTGGCCCAGGGAAGCCAAAAGATTGGACAACCATGTTACAAACACTCTTTTGTCATTAAAATTGTTTTATGATGGTTAAACCCAAAAATCCTCAGTGGTCAATGAGAGAAATAAATGTTTATTTACATGCTCATTCAGGATGAATATGATTAGACCAAAAAAAAAAAAGTGACATTTCAAGAAATATCTAATGACTTGGAAAAGTGCTCACAGAAATTTATGCAGCTAAAACAAGATAGAAATTTACTTCCCAATTTTGTTTCTATGTATGTGTGCCTGTGTGTGCATGTGTCAAACTGAGAGAAAACATTGAAAAGTAGCTCCGGCTGCCTTGGGGTGGTGTTATTTGTGATTGTTATTTTCTTTATAAAAGTGCATGGCCTGCATTTACTATAATATTCATGTATTACTTTTATTATCTACAAAAAAAAGATAGCTATAATTCTAAGAGAGAGAGAACAGGTCAAGGTGCTTGGTCTATGAAGAGCTGAGTGAGGAACTAAAATAGTGATTCAAAAGAGAGAACAGGGTCCCTGGGCAAGGGCTGCGGTGAACAGTGCAACTATGAGGCTATGGGGAAGGAACACGGGGCTGTGCAAAGGCAGGCAGCTGCTCCTGTCACTGCTGCCTTGAACCTGGAGGGCTAATGATGCACCCCGGTGTGGGCATTGATGATGATGAGCCTCCATCTCCTCTCACCTGGGACTTCCATCCCACCCAGTCCTGCTGTGAGGTCCAGTGGGGTGGGAAAAGAGAGCAACAGACCTGAGTTCTAGGTGAGGCTTGGTCCCTTACCTCTCTGGGAGGACCTTAAGCTGGACGCTTCCCCTCTATGTCTGCCTTCCCCCCACATAAAGTGGGGGGCTGTATGAGGGAACATTGCCCTGAGCCCAGGGTGTGCCTGGAAAGAAAGGATGGTGTGTCTCACAGATAGGCATTGGAGTACACTTGATTCTGTTATGCATGGTAGTTACGTCCTATAAAGTCATTGTGAACACTGAATTAGCAAATATTGAACAACAGCTCCTAGGGGAAATACAGGGTTAGGTTCCTGAGAGCCTCTGGTCACATTTTCACCAACCAATCAACATGTAGCCTTATTTGATGAGTATTTCTGATCGAAGATGCCTTATTCAACATATATTATTGATTCCTTAACACTGAGCTCCCAACGAATGGCTCTACAACTCAGGCCTGAAGGAAGCTCATCTGAGACATGCAGATTCTCTGTACTAATTCCGACAAATGTATCTAACACCCATGTACTTATCTAACACATGCATTTTCTCTGACACTAAATAGACCATGAAAAGGACACTTGCTTATATTATGAGGCTGAAACAAGAAGGCAAAGCATCACCATGTTCCACCAGTTAGATACGTGCAAGTCAGGTGACTCAAAGTTTTCACTGCTCTGTGCATGTCTGCAAACAATCTGGAAAGTGTTGTGAGTACTAATTTAGGGCTTACAAATAAATTTTAAGTGAGTAAATAAATCCCCAAATTCTCAAATAATGAGACTCGACTGTACCTTGAATCACAGTGACAAAGGGATGCTCTTCAGCCTCTTTACATCTTCCTGATTATGTTAAGAGATGTGTTCATTGGTGCAAATAGGTTTTTAACACCCCTGCAACACTCCACACAACCTGGTTAACACAGAGCAAGGGGATTCAGGCTCAAGGCCTTGGCAGACATCGGGTCCACCCTCAAGTAGAAGCAAGGTTGCATTTTCACTGTGTATTGTTAGATTTATGGCAAGTCATGGATGTAATATAAATGAGGGCTAGAAACGTACTTAGATATTTTAAGTGAGTTAAAGAAAAATATCAAATAAATAAGTAATGGAACAAGGAGGACAATATAGCCAACAGTGGAACATTAAATTCTGAGAACCACTGACCTATATGAAAAATCGGGTCCTCCTGACTCAACTGCACTGAGAGACAATGTCCACGGTCATGGAAGTGACCTCCTGGCTGACTTTCCTTTCCCCATCTTGAAAACTGAAGTTCAGTTCCAGAAAGCAGCAGAAGGCAGGAGGCACCCCAAAGCCCTCCCCCCGCCCCCATCAACCCTGTCTGCCTCATCATCCCCAAGTTCAGCCAGCCCACCTACCAGCTACAGGAAGCCAGGGAGGGGCCATAGAGGCCCTTCAAGGGCTGAAACCGGGTCAGTGCTAGGACCACGGGCAGGGGATGACCCAGGCCACTGTGCAAAACAATCACCAGGGAGATGGTGAAATGCAGATTCTGGATCCATTCCCAAGAGTCTGACTCTAGGGTCAGTGAGAGGGCCCAGGAGTCTGAATTTTAACAAGTACCACCTTCCCCTATCTAAGCAATTCTGTGCTAGGTGGCCCAAGGCTCCTTCTCAGGGAAACACTAGATGGAGGGAAAGCGAGATGAGATGAGACAGGACAGGAAATGTCAGAGTCCTGCATAATTAACAGCAGCAGCTGTGATCATAGGCCACCACTGGGCACTGACTGCCTTCCTGGTACTGCCTGTCTTAGGGAATGTCCACTCCAGCAGCCCCGAGCCAGGATCTGTCACCCACACACATCAGCATGCAAAGATGAAGGGACTGGCCCGAAGTCACCAGCCAGCAAGTGGTGCAGCTGGCATGACAGCAAGACGGCCTCACTCCAGAGCCCACTCTCTTTACATCTAAAGCTTATTCTTAAGTGGTTTCTGGTGACAAGTGATTCACAGAGCCATTCTCAAAGCTTAACACTTTGGCAACACATAGCAAAAAAACCTCACAAAATCAAGGTATTGAGAAGCTACTATATCTCAAGCACTTTAGGCACAACATCTGGTCATTCTCACCGTAGCCCTGCAGGGCAGGGATGATCATACCCATTCATCACAGGAGGAGACTACAGAGGAAGCACAGAGGTTAAGCAGCCTGCCTAAGATGCAAACTATTAAGTACAAAATCCTATCAGGGTCAAACCACATTTGACCTGATCATATCTCAGGGTTCTTACTCCAGTTTCACTCATGCTCATTGCTACCACAGTTTTCCTGAATCTCACAAGCCTTCACCTTGTGTCTGTCAGCTTTTGCTATGTAAGAGACCATCCCAGAACTCAGTGGCATACAATAAGCATTTATACTCATTGATATGGTTTGGCTGTGTCCCCACCCAAATCTTACCTTGAATTGTACTAATCCCCATGTGCCAAGGGCAGGGCCAGGTGGAGATCATTGAATCGTGGGGGCAGTTTCCTCCATACCGTTCTCATGGTAGTGAATAAGTCTCACGAGATCTGATGGTCTTATAAATGGGAGTTCCCCTGCACAAACTCTCTCTTGCCTGCTGCCATGTAAGATGTGTCTTGCTTCCCCTTCACTTTCCGCCATGATTATGAGGTCTCCTCAACCATGTGGAACTGTGAGTCAATTAAACCTCCTTTCTTTATAAATTACTCAGTCCCAGGTATGTCTTCATTAGCAGCGTGAGAACAAACTAATACACTCATCCTCAAACTAATACACTATACCTCAAAGGTATACGGGAAAACAGCTTTTCTCCATGTGTTTTTCTGGGGTTCAGGATGAAAGGGCAGCAGCTACCCAGGAGTATGTTATTCTTATGGGTAAAGTCAGAAGTTATCAGAAGAACAAGTGGAAATCTGCAATCCTCTTAAGGCCTAGGCTCAGAATTGCACACTCTTGCTTTCTTCCACATTCCATTGACCAAAACGAATCACAAGGCCAAGCCCAGCATCAATGGGGCAGAGAATGTACTCCTTCAATAGGGGGTGGGGGAAGGAGGAAGAAAGTGAACATTTGCTAACAATAAACCAGTGTTTCCCTCCTTTTTTTTGCTATAATAGAACTGCTGTTTCCCTGAGGGTAGGCAACCACTCTCAGTCTATGGGGTTTGGGTGGTGCTTGCCCCACCCTGAGGTCCTAGGCCAATCAGAACTGAAGGTACCACCCCTAAAATCTGAGCTGCACCCTTTGCTCCTGAGTTTGTGGGGTGTACGTCTGGAATTGTAGACAGTCTCCTTGTCATTCTATGTGAAGAGCTTGCCTGAAATCTAAGCTAGCAGAGAGGAAGGCAGAGCCCAGATACAAATGATTTCTTGAGAAAATAATATAAACACCTGGATTCAATCATGCCTGAAGCCAAACGTACCCTTGACTTTTCATTGAACTATAAACTCCTTTCTTGTTAGGTCAGTTTGAGTTGATTGGTTGAGCTGATGGACGCCCCCCTCCCCTGTCTGGCTTTCAGAGGTAATGATATCAGAATGCAAAAAGCTTAGCCTCAATGCAAAGGAAGAAAGAGATATTACTCATGCAATAGCAAGTCAGGTAATAGAAATGAATAAAGTAGACAGGATGTCAAACAATAGGGAGTGGTGGGGACTGTGGCAAACTGGTGAGCACAGATGCTGGGCAGGTGGCAGCTGCTCCCCAGCCCCTGCAGACTGTTGGTGGAAGGGTAATCTCACCACCAACTGTTGCCATCCTCGCCATCTTGGTCCTGTCTCCCAAGCATCCTACTTGCCCTCATAGGAAAGGTGAGATTCTCAGGAGCAGTGTTCTAGAAGAAGCTGGCTGCAGTTCTTGCTGTTTTGCACACAGAGACTTTCTCAATACTGCTGGGTGTCTAACCCCAAATTCCTTATTATGTCTTGCTGGCTTCTTCCCCAGGAAATGGGAATGAGTTCTTTCCTCCCCCAGAAGCCTTTACTGTGGGGAGGGACTGAGATGCAAACCCATTCATTATCAGTGCACAAATAGGTCTGATCAAAGAGATTTGAATGATAACTAATGGGCCTGGCAGTTCAGCAAGATTGCTTTGAGGAGGAAGGGGAGGAGGCGTGAGTACAACGTAGCCAATGATGAAACAGGCTTGAGCAGAAGTAACTGACTAGAGAACTAGGGCTACAGAGGACCTAAGACCCAGCTGCCTTGGAGGCTTGTGCTAGCCTGGGGACATCAGGAAGGATCTCTGGCCAAAGTCGGGCTCTGTCCCAAGCCTGGCCCTCCACCACTGGAGCGAGGGTCCTTAAGATTAGCCACTGCCCACTTGCAGTAGAGTCTGTGCCGTTTGCATATTTAACACTCAGTCCTCTTTTTATAATTGAAACAGCACCTCAACATTTTGGGAGGTGCCATCCTTCCCAACTGTCCCTGCATATGATCCAGTGAGGAGTACCTCCGCAGCTCTGCTTGCCTTTCAGAGGGGAGGCGTCCTCTCCGCTGAGCTTGTTGGAAGAGGCTTCAGGGGTCACCTCTGCCACCTGAAGGGGCACCTGCTTGCGAATGCAGCCAGCACTGGGAATGCAGTCCCAGCACCAGGCCAGGCCCCCTATGACAGTCTGAGCAAAAGAAAAAATCAGCCAGAATAATCCTGTTTTCATTTGCAAACATAATATTTTGCCTCATGGATATTTGCCATGGATCCTTTTTGCATTAATTTTGATTTTTTAAAATAGTGCATTCAAATATAATTTATCTTGATGACTGGGCTTTTAGGCCCCCTTACATTTTGCAGGTGGGGCTGGTGCCTCACTTGCCTCCCCCTGGGGCTGGCCCTGGTAGTTGCCATTGGAAGGCTGGGCTCCAGTCCCGGCTCTGCTATGACAGATCTATGCAGCCTTGAGCAAACTGTGTGGCCTTTGCAAAGCCAGTTAATTCATCTGAACAATAGGGATGACAGTACCAGCTGGGCTGGGTTAGATGAGCTGATGTATGTAAAGCCTTGTAAGTAGTGCCTGCGTGAATACAACGCACTTTCGTGGCAGAACATGCAACTCCTCGTCCTCCCAACAGCAGAGATGAGAAGCTCCCTCAGGGTCGGGCACTGGGCTAAGGGGTGAACATGCATATTCTAATTGAATCCTCCCTACAGCACCCTGAGATTTTAACCCTGGGAAATAAAACCTATTGTTACAGGTATCCCAGGTTTACAGATGAGGAAATAGGCATAGACCTCTACGTCTCTTGGCAAGGGCCACTCAACAGTAGCTGCAAGATCTGGGCAGAAGGTACCTGATTCTAACTTAGGTGAAGAAGAAAGCAGCAAGCTGCAATTATCACCCATTACCAAGCACCCCACACGAGATCAAACTCCAGAGCTGAGCTCACTTTACCGACATCCCTGATCATGAGATTTTGAGGCTGTTGAATTTTCATTGCTTGTGCTGCTTTGGGCCAGCTTTTATACCTAATATAACTGTAAAATCACCATCACTGATGTGTGCTTAGTCATGTTGACATTCTATGCAAATGGGGCAATGAGACCTTGGGACCTCTCTGGCCAAACCCAGAGCAGAAGAAGCATGGAAACAAGGATGTTCTCAACACACATCTAGCCTAGTGTGTGTGTCACCAAGCAGAGTCTGTCAGCTGCAGGAAGGACAGCTGAAACCTCCTGGGACTAATCGTTTGTTGATGAATCACTAGGACTTTCTCACCTCTTTAAATTCTCTTCTGTAGAGAAATCACATTTTTTCCCCCACCCAGTGTTTATCCCTCCTTTTTTGCTAGAACAGAATTGCAGTTTCCCTGCAGGTAGGCAACCACTCTCAGTCTATGGGGTTTGGGTGGGGCTGACCCCACCCTTAGGTCCTGGTGAATGCAGAACTCAGGCCCAGCCCATCAGAACTGAAGGTACCACCTGAGCTGTACAACCTGAGCTGTGCCTATTGCTACTGAGCTTGTGGGATGTAGGTCTAGAATTGTGGACAGCGTCCTTGTCACTCGATGAGAAGAGCTTGCCTAAAAACCAAGCTAGCAGAAAGGAAGGCAGAGCCCAGAGATGAATCTTTATTTTTTTATTTTTTGAAATCGTATAAATACCTGGATCCAGCCATGCCTGAAGCCAAATGCACCCTGGTTTTTCATTTACATGAACCTATAAACGCCTTTCTTCTTAGGTCAGTTTGAGTAGAGTTTCTATCCCCTTGCACGGGAGACAGTCCTGATAAAACCACCTCCTTGACTGGAGGACTTGAAGGTGGTGAATGTTTCTTATACTTTTTTGAATCCCTTAGAAAGCCTAACACAGTGTTTGACTCCCAAGAGGTGATCAGAAATGTTTGCTGGTATGGCAGGCAAGGTTCATTGTCTGCCCTGTAATCATTCTCCCTCCGTCCTTGCTAACAGTACCCTCACTTTGTCAGGGAGACAATGTGCTTAGCCATCCCCCACCCCCAAAATAGGTTGTGATTAACTTAAGCCAGTTGTGACAATCATGCCCCCTAAATTTCTCAGAATCCTTTGCAGTTAGGGGTGGTCCCATGACTTACTTCTGACCAAGAAGACCAAGGGGAAGTCTGCTGTGGGGCCTTCTGGGAAAGGCTTTGCCCTTGTAATGGAAAATGTAGCTATGCTAAGGCTGCCTTTTCTTCTTTTCTCCTTCTTGCTTTGAGCATAGTTGTGAGGTCTGGAGCTACAGGAGCCATTTTGTGATCATGAGGCAAAAAGCTAAAATGCTAAAGAAGGCAAAGTAGAAAGACATAAAAAAGAAAATGCCTAGGTTCCTCACATCCTATTCGAGCAGCTGAATTAAAACCAGTATTGCCCACCTCTGGACATCTTATGTGAAACAACAAATCTGTCCCCAACTCCAACATACATCTATTTGTTTAAGCCACTATTAGTCAGGCTTCTGCTGTATGTAGCCAAACACAGTTTTTTTGTTTTGTTTTGTTTTGCACTGTGCATAATTCAGTGGCTTGAGCAAAGTTTTTGTTAGAGTAAGAGTTTCTGGTCATTAGTCAATGGAAATATATCTGTATATACATTCGTTCATTCATTCATTTTTGAGACAGGGTCTCACTCTGTTGCCTAGGCTGGAGTGCAGTGACATGATCATGACTCACCATAGCCTCAACCTCCCAGGCTCAAGTGATCCTCTTGCCTCAGCTTCCCATGTAGCTGGGACTACAGGTGCATGCCACTGTGCCTGGCTAATTTTTATTTATTTTTTGACCAGATGGGGTTGGGGTGTGTGAGGGGGTCCCACTATGTTGCCCAGGTTGGTCTCAAACTCCTGGTTAGAGTGATCCTCCTGTCTCAACCTCCCAAAATGCTGGGATTACCAGGGTGAGCCACCACGCCCTGTCTGCATACACATTGAATATGCATCAAATGTACAGACTAACTTTTGAAACTAATACCCTTATAGTCTGTCCAACAGACACTTCCATGAACATGTGCTAAGGTCATAGAAACTTAATATTAAAATAGAACACAGAAAACTTCCTGAAAGGAGGAGCAAATCTCATTTGTGTGTATCTGACTGGCCCAACCTCAATAACATCTTGAGGCCCAGCAGCAAGAGGCTCTGGGACATGTAGTTGGTCACTTTCTTGCCTCTACAGATGGGAAGACCGGCTAGGATGAAGGTGAAATGGATGGTGTATGCCAGCTCACCACACCTGCCATGCCACCTTATTGTACCAACCCCAGCAAAAGATGGACCTTGTTGTATTTCAAAACTCTTTTAAAATTTAATCCTGGGGGTCAGGTGCAGTGGGTGGCTCACGCCTATAATCCCAGCACTTGGGGAAGGCAGGTGTGGGAGGATCACTTGAGGCCCAGAGTTTGAGACCAGCCTGGTCAACATGGTGAAATCTCATCTCTACTAAAAATGCAAAAATTAGCTGGGTGTGGTGGCCCACACCTGTAATCCCAGCTACTTGGGAGGCTGAGGCATGAGAATTGTTAGAACCCAAGAGGCAGAGGTTGCAGTGAGCTGAGATCACATCACTGTACTTCAGCCTGGGCAACAGAGTGAGACTCTGTCTCAAAAAATTTTTTTTTAATCCAATGCTTATTTGTCAGCGTTCTCCAGAGAAACAAAACCAACAGGATATGTATAGATATATAAGAGGAGATTTCTTATGGGAATTGGCTCACATGATTATGGAGGCCAAGAAGTCCTGCCATCTGCTGTCTGCAAGCTGGAGCACGAGGAAAACAATTACTGGTGTAGTTCAGTGTGATTCCTAAGGCCTGAGGTCCAGGGGAGCCAGTGGCATAATTTCCAGTCTGATTCCTGAGGCCTGACAATGAGGAGGTCCAAAGTTCAAAGGCAGAAGACAGGTATTCCTGTCTTCAGGAAGCGAGAGCCAGTTTGCCCTTTCTCTGCCTTTTTGTTCTATCTGGGCCCTCAAGGAATCGAATGAGGCCCATTACATAGTGAGGGTGGGCCTGGCGTGGCGGCTCATGCCTGTAATCCCAGCACTTTGGAAGGCCGAGGCAGGCCAATTACTTGAGGTTAGGAGTTGGAGACCAGCCTGGCCAATACGGTGAAACTCTGTCTCTACTAAAAATACAAAAAATTAGTCGGGCGTGGTGGCACATGTCTGTAATCCCAGCCACTTGGGAGGCTGAAGCAGGAGAATCGCTTGAACCTGGGAGCCGGAGGTTGCAGTGAGCTGAGGTCACGCCAGTGCACTCCAGCCTGGGCAACACAGTGAGACTCTATCTCAACACCCAAACAAAAGCATAACGAGGGTGATTTTCTTTCCTGGGTCTACCTATTCAAATGCTAATCTCTTCCTGAGACACCTCGCAGACACACACGGAAATAATGTTTTCCCAGCTATATCTAGGCATCCCTTAGTCTAGTTAGGTTGATACATAAAATTAACCATCACAAGTACCTGCACAGAAAATAAAACAAAGAAATGAATAACAACAACAAAATCCTACCATAAAACAGAAATTTAAAACTCCACACTAAAAATCAGAGGCTCACATAGCTCTGACATATATTTGTAAACCTTATTCCAAACTTCAAACAATTGCCAAAAACTATAAATAGTGCCATAAATTCCCTAGTTGATCTTCAAGTTGAAGACAACAGCATAATAACCAACAAGGTGAATGGGCTCATATTGAGTGGAATGATCCATTCAGATACATGGCTATGGAGTAAGGAGCAAGCTTGGAGAGCTTGAATCAACAGAGGGTAGCACAGACACAATTCTGGGAGATTAGAAAAGAGTGGGATCTCATAACCCTGGTCTAATTATAAGAAAAACAGACAACATCAGATTGGGGAACATCCTCCAGATGCCTGGCAGGTACTCCTCAAAACTGCCAGGGTCGTGAGAAACAAGAAAAGACCAAGAAACTGCCACAGACCAGAGAGACAGGGGGACATGATGACCAAATGCAACGTGGCACCCTGCTTGTCCTAGAACAAACAGAGAACATTAATGGGAAAACTGGTGAAATCTAAAGAAAGTGTGCAGTTTTCGTTTTTAGTAATGTACTGTATTCATTCATTGTTGCTGCTGTAACAAACTGTCAAGGACTTAACGGCTTAAAACAACACAAATGTATTGTTATAGTTTTGGAGGCTTGATATGGTTTGGATTTCTGTCCCTGCCCAAATCTCATGTCGAATTGTAATCCGCATTGTTGGAGGAGAGGCCTCGTGGGAGGTGATTGGATCATGTGGGAGGACTTCCACCTTGCTCTTCTCATGAGCGTGAGTTCTCACGAGAGCTGATGGTCTAACAGTGTGTAGCACCTCCCTCTCTCTCCTGCTCTGCCATGTAAAGATGTGCCTGCTTCCCCTTTGCTTTCCACCATGATTGTAAGATTCCTATGGCTTCCCCAGCCATGCTTTCTGTACAGCCTGTGGAATAGTCAATTAAACCTCTTTTCTACATAAATTATCCAGTCTCAGTAGTTCTTTATACCAATACAAGTACAGACTAACACAAGGCTGAAATGGGTCTCACTGGCTAAAGTCAAGGTGTCAGCAGGGCCAGTTCCTTCTGGAGGCTCCAGAAGAGAGGCCATCTCCTTGCCTTTTTTATAATAGCTTGTGTAGACCACCTACATTCCTTGGCTTGTGGCTCCTTCCTCCATCTTCAAAGCCAGCAGCTGAACATCTCTCCTCTCTGACCTGTTTCATTTCCATCTTTACTTCTTCTCTTTCTGACCCTAAGTCTGTGGTCTCCCTCTTACAAGGACCCTGGTGATTATTCTGGGCCCACCCAGGTCATCCAGGATAATCTACTCATCTCAAGATCTTTAGCTTAATCATATCCTCAAAGTCCCTTTGCTACGTAGGGGGACGCATTTGTAGCTTCCAGGGATTAGGACATAGACATCTTTGGGGGGCCTAATTATTCAGCCGGCCTCATGTAGCAATGTTTGTTTCTTAGTTGTGACAAACGTACCACAGTGATATAAGATGTCAAAAGGGAAAACTGGGTGAAGGGTATGTGAGGACTTTTTGTACTATCTTTGCAACTTTTCCATACATCTAAAATTATTCCGAACGCTTATTTTTTTTTGAAAAAAGGCATTTACTGTATGATCTTGGGCACTTAAATTCTCAGCTGTTTTGTTCTTTTATCTCTAAAATAGGTGCCATAATATTCATTCGACTTACTACCTGGGGTTTCTGTGAAGACAAACTGGGATACTGCAAGGGAGAGCATTTGGTAAGATGTACAGGGGCACAGAAAGATAAATGTTTGCTATGATTCCAGGAGAACTTGGAGGATCAGTCCTGTAGCTAAGAGTTGGGATCAGTATTTGGGGAGGAAAAAAAGAGAAAATAAGACAACAGTTGATCAAGGCAAAACATGCCCAGATATGGCAGATTGGCTGAGAAAGATGAGGCTAATTTGGGGAGAGATGATGTCAGCATTTAGAGTTTCTGGTAAACAACCCATCATTCTATAAGACATATGTGATGTGTCTCAAATCATGGTCCTGGGAAGCCACGGACCGGAGCGGAGTGTGGTGCTTTGGTGTTTAGTCCACTCCCACATACCCCAGGCTCTGCCCCTTACTTCCAGACTGTCACCTCTGCCCGGTTTTGGACCTCACTACCATTTGTCCCGGTGCACCAACACATCTCCCCCTCGCTTCCCCTCCAATCTTCCTACAAAACAGTGTCTAGGTGGACTCCTAAAGCTCAAATCTAATCATGCTGCTCCCTTATTAGAAAATCCTCTAATGGGGCTGGGCTCGGTGGTTCACGCCTATAATCCCAGCACTTTGGGAGGCCGAGGTGGGCAGATCACAAGGTCAGGAGATCGAGACCATCCTGGCCAACACGGTGAAACCCCATCTCTACTAAAAATACAAAAAATTAGCCGGGCATGGTGGCGCATGCCTGTAGTCCCAGCTACTCAGGAGGCTGAGGCAGGAAAATCGCTTGAACCCAGGAGGTGGAGGCTGCAGTTAGCTGAGACTGCACCACTGCACTTCCAGCCTGGGTGACAGAGCGAGACTCTGTCTCAAAAAAAAAAAAATAATAATAATAATAATAAAAGGAAAAAAGAAAGGAAAAGAAAATACTCTAGTGGATCCCACTGCCCTCAGGATCCACCCCAAACTCTTCCCATCCTATTTCCCGGCCAGTCTCTCCAATCTCACCCTCTCATGCTCATTCCATCATATCCCACTGTCCAGTAACAACATCGGGCACAGTTCCTGTTCATGCCGTGGCTCTAAGTATTTATCCCTGCTATGCTGCTAAACATACACATTTCACTCTGCTAAGCATCTTCCCTCTCTGCGCCAACTCCTATTCAATCCTCAAGACTCAGCTCAGCAGTCACTTCCTCCAGGAAGCCTTCCCTGAATATCACTTTGTGGTCAGACACCTCTCCTTCTGGGCTCCTAGAGCTGCTTGGACTTGTGGCTTATGCTCACTTATCATCAACTATACAACATAAAAAATCTTCTGTGCATATAACTCTCCCCCTTTAAAACTCAAGCCACCTTCCCCTCAAAAAAACACACATACACAAGAGGACTGGGATTATTCCACCTCTGGAATAGTAATGCCGGTGAATGCTCATGGTTGCTTACTGTGTGCCAGACTCAGGGCTGAGCACTGAGTCCTCCTGACAATCCCTGGAAACAGACTATATTGTTATTCCCATTCTACAGATGAGGACTTGAAAGCTCCAAGAGGTTAGGGACTGTGCTCAACACCACACAGTTACTAAGGGGCAAAGATGGAGTACCCAGACCCAAGCCTGCCAACTCCCAGTGCCCAGCACAGTTCTCAGTAAACATTTGCTTAGTCAAAGTGCAATTCTGGGAGTGGATTAGCAGAGTGACAGTGCTTGTAAGAGCCCCCTGATATAAGCAACCTGGGAGGGCTGAGGCCCCTATGTTAAAGCAGGGGAGGGGGCCACTGGAGGCCTCTTCACTCCGTGGCTTCCAGAATCCAGCCCCTCCTCCCCAATTGCCAACTTTGTCCCAGCAGGTTGCTCTAAATTTTTTACTTTGAATATCCTTCTCAGGGATCCCCAGAGAGCAGATGAACCTCTGAGAGAGGGCCCCCACGGAGTCTGCATGGGTGGGAGGGAATGATGTCTGTCTTGATCACAGCCTTCCTTCTTGCTATGAGCTATACCTTTGCAGCAACAAGTGAGGGGGTTGAACTCAGCGACAAGATTGCTTTATGCAGCCAAGATCATGCCAATAGGCATTAGTCAATACCCTTGCCATCAAACCAAATTTATGAACTCATAGAATCATCAGGTCCAATCATCCAGCTTCAGGAATGGCTGATTCCAGGTGCTCAAGTGATACCATCAGAACCCATCTTTCCCTCACTCTCCTCTAAGTCTCAGCTCTGCTTTCCTCTGTGTCAGCCTCATTAAAAAGGAGGCTCTCCCCTAGGACACTGGCCACCAGTAGCTCCTGGTTTCCATCTTAATCATTCAACCACTTCCTGGTAGGACAAACTTTTCTCTCCTGGTAATTTTCATAAAAGTCTCCAAATCAAATCTTGCTGGCCTGGCTGGGGTTTCTTGTTCACATGTGAATTATCAAGGTGGTTCAGGGAAAGAATATGTTGACTGGCCAGACCTGGTTAATTTGCCCACTCCTAAAAATTGGAGGAAGGGGTGAATTTCCTCCCCGCCCAAAATGCATGAACCAAGGGTAGAGGCGGCAGCAACACCTCACGGGAATTGAGATTCTATTTTCAGAAGCAGCTGGACAGGAAAAATCAACAGACACTCACTACAAAACGTCCAGGTGAAACAGAAACTCTTCCGCATGAAATCTCTCAAGCTTGAGCTGATTTCAGAAACCTGTGTCCAATCCTAGAATTAGGGATTCCCTTGAACGGGCCCTCAAAGTTCCCATCATGCAGGACACATGAGATGCTTATGATGGCAATCTTCCACTTCCCCTTGCACGTGTCTGGCTCAGATGGCATCAGGATTCAAAGATGCCGGGGAGAGCAAGCTGTAAAAATAATCTGCTATTAAACCCTGTGTCGGTCCCGACTGTGATGGCATTTGGAAGATGAAAGCATCACGGTTCCTTTGGAGATAGCAGCCACTTTCCAATCGCACTGATAAAAAAAGGAAGGCATGGAGTAAAGTGACATTTACATGCTAGGAAAAGCATACCTTCTCTCCTGCTTCGAAACCATTTCAGGAGCTGGGGAAGTGGGGTACCTTAGCGTGTGCTCCCTCCTCTCCACCTTTTAGGCTGAGGGTGGGGGAACCTGGCCTTGGGGGCTCAGCCAGCTTCGGCAGGCAGGTGGGTCCAGCCTCCATCATTCGTGCTCTGAGGGGCCAAGGCTGCCCCACCCCCACCCCCCATCTGCTACTGGCAAGTTTAAATACCAGCCTGTTTCAGCTCAGAAATGTGGAAATTAAGAAAGGAAACGAACGGCAGTGGGAAGGAAAGAGAAGCTATGAATCACTTTTGGACCGCTGCCTCATTCGAACGCCGCGTGGGGTTTATTTTGGTCGTCACCATCGCTTGGTGAGAGGCAGTTCAGTGTGGGAGAAAGAGTTTGGGAGTTGCAAAGACCTGAGTTCAAATACGAGCTCCACTACAGGCTGGCAAGAGGCCTTGGGCCTCTCACGTCTCTGAGCCTTGGTTTCTTCATCTGTAAAACGGGGACTGTACCCCTCCATGGGTCATTCTGGAAGGGAAGGGCACATATACACCACGGTACATGGCAGCTGGTCCAGAGTTGGCACTGAAGGTCTTTAGTTCTCCTCCTTCTCCTCGGTGAGGATGGGCCCATATCCTCCCTGCCCATCATCCAGACCAGGAGGCAGCAATGATCAGTCCCACCCAGTG
Organism: Homo sapiens; assembly: GCF_000001405.40. NCBI lineage: Eukaryota > Metazoa > Chordata > Mammalia > Primates > Hominidae > Homo > Homo sapiens. The sequence continues at coordinate 51,275,647 of NC_000020.11, read as the reverse complement.
GCCCTGAAACTGACTGTCACCACTGTGCCACTGCTCAGCACTACTCCAGGCTCCAGCACCTTCCGCATCCCCAGGCTCCACCCATGTGGGCTGAGGCCAGTCTCTTGAGTGCCCAGGCACTTTCCTAGCTTGAGATCACCAGCTCACTGTCCCTCCCTCCCCCACGCAGGCTCTTCCAGGGCTGGCTCCTCCTCATCAGTCTCTACCCAAATGTCACCTCCTCGGAGAAGCCCTCCATGACCACCCTAGTGAATGCACTGACCATACGTGAGTCAGTGCTAGCTCATCTCTCTAAAATAGTCTCATTTATTTGTTTGTGTGCTTATTATCTAGCTCCCCCAGGAATATCAGCACTAAGAGGCAGGGAACGTTTCCATCTGGCTCATTTCTGTGTCCCTGGTGGTGAATGGTGTACCTGGCACAGAACAGGCACTCCGATATTTGGGGAGAGAGAGAAGAAAAAGAAAGGAGGAAGGGAGGGAAGGAGAAGAGAAGGATGGGAGAGGGAGGTGAGTCCCCTCCACCCCCCGCCCTCACCCCCAGGTTCTGGATCCTCTATTCCCTGCACCCCAGCCCCCTCCCACCCACAAGCCCTGCTGGTCTAACTGTGCAGCTAGCTTCCTTGTTTGTGACATTCCACATAAGCTTCTTCATATGTGACTTCCTACTTTTGTGTGTCTTGGGAGCCAGTCCACTTCACAGGTGACATTTGCACATCATGATTCTCAGAGGCACCAGGCATAACATCTGTCTGTTATTTCTGCCTGCCCATCACACCACTCCTGGTAACACAACCCTAATGCCGCCTCTGAAGAGCCACGCCTCCCCCATACGCAGTCCCGGCCGTTCAGATGGAGTTGCCCCCACCCCCAGTGAGAACACAGCATTTTCTTGGCCATAGGGACTGGTCAGCAATGGCCATGTGACTCCAGCTGGGGCCATGGACATTGAATCCCAGGACTTTTGTGGCAAGTTAATTAGCAGAGATGCTGTCTTTCTGTTAGCAACACCAAGTGAGGTAGATATAAGCCAGGAGGTGACAGCCATCTCCTCACAGCATGGGGACAGCCTGCCTGAGAATGAAGCCAGCACAGATGACAGCAGAACCCAGAGACAGAGAGAGACAGATCTCTAATGGTCTGGATCCAGCTTTACCTGAAGTACCCACTACCTCTGAGATGTTCAAAGACCCAAGCCAACAAGTTCCCTCTTGTGCCCTCTGACTTGTAGAGCAAGCATCAGTCAGTAGCTGATTAATGGAACCTGCAAAGAGGCAGCCAGTGGGGGAGAAGGGGTGGAGAGTGCCCTCTGTAGGGAGAGGGGTACCTTTCCCCAACTTTCCAACTCTGCTGAGGACAGAGTCTACCAGCCCCACCACCATCTTTTCCCACACTGTCCCATGGCAGATAAAAGCAACATTCTCCACCAGAAGGAGGAGAGCCCACAGAACTCCAGGGTAGACTAGACCAGAGAGCCAGCAGGGCTTTCTCTAGAAAAACCAGCGTGTTCCCAGATGGGGGGGTTCTCTCTGGAGGTACCCATCTGCTTTGAGAACCCTGCTTCCATTCACCCCAAGACTCAGGCAGCCTTAAAAATCTTTCAAGGCAAAAAATAAACCTAAGCTACTAGTCATATCTCTGGAGGAAAAAGAAGACTTCCTTAGCCTTCTCAAAGGTGCAAAACATTTCCAGCGTGCGGGATGCCTCCCACTTGCCATCCGTCCCCAGGCCTGCACCAGGCCCGCCTTCTGGATGCTGCAAACACCTAAGATGGTACCCAGGGGCCATATGGGGACTGCTCCTGTACTCTCCACTGTCAAGTGCTCACCTGAGCCCACAAAAAGAAACAGCATCAGAAAAATGGCCCTGTGGGGGTGCAGCCCAGCTCCCCAGGGCCACCTTCAGCGCAGAAACACAGCTGGGGATGCGAGGCACCAAAAAAGGCCTCATCCACATGACAGGTGTCAACTTCTCGGGAAGAGTGACAGCTCCAGCTCTCCTGGGATCTTTGACTTGAGACAGGCTCTCCCTGCTGCTGAGACCTGGGCTAGGGCCTGGCTGTTTGTAGGCTGAGTTGGAATTTGCTTGGCTCTCAACTCCCCTCTGGCTACAGCTCAAGAGATGCTCAAGAGATGGTCAAGAGATGGTCTCAAGAGGACATGAGGGCAAGCACCAGGCGAGAGCTGCCAGAATGTGGGTTTCCAAAAAACAGAGCCCAGCTCTGAATCTCGCCCAGGTGTTCAGCTCATCCTGGGGACATCTCTCTGCTGGCGAATCCTCAATCTCCACCTTCCTATGCACACCTGTCCCTCCAAACCCACAGCCCCACTTCCTCCTGCTGTACATCCCTGCAGAGACATCCTACAGACACCTCCAACTCAACACCTCCCTCACTAAACTCCCCGCTCCCCACACAAGCTCCTGCTCCTCCTCCTCCTGTGTTTCCTAGCTCAGTAACTGACATTTCTAATCACCCCCAAGTTTAGATAATTTCCCTGATTCCCCTCTCCTCACCTCTGAGTAGCAGTCATCAACTGCTGACTCTCCTTCCTAAATCTCTCATCCCACTGTGACTTCCAGCCCAGTCTTCTCTCGCCTGAATTGTTTCAGCAAGCTCCTCACGGGTTTCCCTGACTCCACGCATGCTTGCTCTCTGAAATTCTCCACTCAGTGGCCACACTGGATGTCCTGAAACACAGATCTCCTCCTGTCCCTGCTCTGTGCAAACCCCTGCAGCTGCAATCCTTTGCCAGCAGAACAAGTCTCACATCCTCACCATGGCTTGCAAGGCCTTTCCTGATCTGCTTTCTAGCCCGACAAAGAGAAGGTATTCAAACATTTCTTCTAAATCAGGCAAACTTTTTCTGTAAAGGCCCAGATCGTAAATATTTTAGGCTTTGTGGGCCATACGGTCTCTGTCGAAACTACTCAACTCTGCTGTTATAGTGAGAAAGCAGCTGTAGATGTTATGTAAGTGAATGGCTGTGGCTGTGTGCCAATAAAACTTTATTTATAGAAACAAGTAGTGGGCTGGATTTGACCCACAGGCTGTAGTTTGCCAACCCATGCTCTAAAGGAATGAGCCAATGACTCATCATCTCCACATCTCAGTTGCCTCGTCTAGAAAATGGGATAATGTTACCCCCATTGAAGGGTTGCTGGAGGATTAGAAAGAACACATCAAGTGCCTGGCAAGAGTCCAGCAAAGAGTCGGTGCTCACAGGGGATCACTATAATTAACACTATTATCATTGCTCTCCCTTCTGTATGTATAAAAATCCGTCAGCCCTGACTCCATAGAAAGGAGGATGGAAGGGTAGAGACCGTCTCTTCTCTGGAGTCTGATGGTTCACAACGTGTTTAAGGAGGATAACCAAACAGCTGAGCACCTCCTATATGCCAGGCACTGGGTTTCATGATGGAGAATGATCAAAATAAATCCTAAGGCAGTAGTAACCCCCGGAAGTCAAGTCTTAGAAGTCTAAGGAGTGGGAAAAAATTGCAAGAATTTGTTCAAACACCACTGCATGCCTGCTATGCGCCAGGCCTTGCGCAGGAACTAGGCTGCCCAGTGGAATACAAAGCAAGCTCTGTCTTTAAAGAGGTGTTGCCTAGAGAAACGATTTTCTCTTGCTTCCAAATTTCTGCCTGTCCCTGTCCCAGAAGCCACATTTTCGTCTCAGAGAGGAAACAGAGGCTCAGTGCCCCCTTGGGTTCCTCCAGAGCTCTCTAGGGAAGGCCTGAGTTACCCCCATCTTTTGTTTTTAACTTTTAAAAAAGTTTAAAAAGCAGTTGTGTTATATAGGTAAACTTATGTCATGGTTTATATAGGTAAACTTATATAGGTAATTTTATTTATAGGTTTATATATAGGTAAACTTTTATTTGTTACACATATTATTTCATTGCCCAGGTATTAAGCCTAGTAACCATTAGAAATTTTTCCTGATCCTCTCCCTCCCCCCACCCTTCAACCTCTGACCGGCCCCAGTGTCTGTTGTTCCCCTCTATGTGTCCATGTGTTCTCATCACTTAGCTCCCACTTATAAGTGAGAAAATGCAGTATTTTTCTGTTCCTGCATTAGTTTGCTAAGGATAATGGCCTCCAGCTCCATCCATGTTTCTGCAAAGGACATGACCACATTCTTTTTCATAGCTGCATAGTATTCCATGGTGTATCTGTCCTACATTTTCTTTATCTAGTCTACCACTTTAGGGCATTTAGGTTGAGTCTGTGTCTTTACTATTGCGAATAGTGCTGCAGTGAACATTTGTGTACATGTATCTTTATGGTAGAATGATTTATATTCCTCTGGGTATATACCCAGCAGTGGGATTGCTGGACCAAATAGTAGTTCTGTCTTTAGGTCTTTGGAGAATCACCACATTACTTTCCACAATGGTTGAACTAATTTACCCTCCCACCAACAGTGTATAAGCATGCTTTTTGTCCACAACCTCACCCCCCAATCTCCTTGATGGGAGGTAGGGTCCGACACTGAATGAAGCTAGCTCTCTCTGTTACCCAGGCAGGGCCTTTGCAGGGTCATGAAGCTGAGGAGCAAGAAGGGTGGGGATCCTGGGGTCCTGGGTCCCAGTGGCCCCTGACAGAAGGGCAGAGGCGATGTTGGCTTGTGAATGAGAACCTTCCCCATTGCTTTCCTCTAGCTGAGGGACACCACTCTCTGAGCCAATCCCAGCTCCCCTTTTGTCTGGGTTCTTTTCCCCCCATAAGGCAGTGCTCTAGCCCTGGGCACAGACTGCTAATTGTGCCCCTATATCCATTCTCTACTTGTCCCTCAACAGAGTCCCCAGTGTTTGCTGGAGCACACAGACACTCAAATCAAACTCACACCGGCCAGCCTCCTTGGCAGCCAGGCCTGGCCACGTGACTAAGTTCTGCCAGTGGGACGGCTTTGAGGGGAAATAATGCACCTCTTTACCATCTCCCTCTCCACTCTGGAGCACAGACGTGTGGGATGCCATCTTGAGCCATTCAGATGACAGAAGTACCCCAGGCAGCATGGAGCCACAACTGGGAAGGAGTCTGGGCCCCGACGCCATCAAGCCATTGTTCGAGCTCTGGACTGTCTCATCCAGACTCTCAGGTGACAGAGAAATAATCAACTGATTCAGCTACTGTTTTTCTGGTTTCTTTGTAACAACGACTGCATTTAAATCCTAACTAATGTTAAGTATCAAGAAGGGTAGCCTGTGTTCACCAGCCCAACAGAGGGTCCCATCCATTGCACTGTGCAATACTTTACGGTTTCATGAAACTATTGCTCACTGAGCACCTCCTACATGCTGGGCACTGAGTCAGATGGTCAGGAAGCTACTGATAAATCAAAGTCTTGCTTCCCAATTAGGAAGGACGGAAAGAAGAATAACAATGAAGATATACAGAGTATTTCACTATGCACACACACACACACGTGCACACACACACACACACACACACACACACACAGGCTTATGGGATATAGTCTATAAATATTCCCATTGGACAGATGTGAAAACTGAGGTCTAGAAAGGTTAAGGTGTCCAATAGCTAATAAGTGGTCGACTATAAATTCAAAACCAGACAGTCTGACTCCAATTGCTTCCCCGTCAATCCTCCAGTAACTATGTAAAGAAACACATTACAGGCTGATTTATCCTCCATACTATCACCATTGCCCCAAGGAAACATAATAGAGTTAACATGTGTTGAGCCCTCACTTGGAACCTGGTGCTATGCTCAGTGTTTTCCACGCATTGCATCTTTTCTCCCCATCTATAGCTCTGGGAGACCAGAGCCATTATAATCCTGATGTGAAAGATAACAAAACCAATGCAGAAATTACAAGAAGCTGGCCCAAGTTTACCAAGCAAGTTCGCGCCTGACTGTCATAAGGGCTGGAGGGATTTTTGTCTTCCTGCTTTTTATATCTGTAGACTAGGGGCTAGGGCACACCAGAGACCCAGCCCAGCTCTGTGCCTCATCCTTATTCCAGGCCAAACAGGAATAAAGCTCATACCTGTCCCCTGGGCTGAGCACTCCTTAAAGCCAGGCCCCGTCTATCGTGTGTCCTTGTGTTCCCAGCACAGGGCCTTCCCCAGCGTGTGCTGTGAGAATGGGGTAACCTATTTGCTTCCATTCTTCCCATCCATGGCCAAGTGCAGTGGACACCTCTGTGTGCTGTAGACAACTCTTGCTTTTGTCCCAGCAGCCCCTCACCTTTCTTCTGGTGACAGTGTCTTCAGTGTCTGAGTAAATCAACAATTGGGCTCAACCAAAGAGATAAAGCAGGCCAGCTGTGGTGGTTCACACCTGTAATTGCAGCACTTTGGGAGGCTGAGGTGGGTGGATCACCTGAGGTCAAGAGTTTGACACCAGCCTGGCCAACGTGGTGAAACCCTGTCTCTACTAAAAATACAAAAAATTAGCCAGGCGTGGTGGTGGGCACCTGCAATCCCAGCTATTCAGGAGGCTGAGGCAGGAGAATTGCTAGAACCTCAGAGGTGGAGGTTGTAGTGAGCCGAGATCGCACCACTGCACTCCAGCCTGGGCAACAAGAGCGAAACTCCCTCTCGAAAACAAATATGATCAAAGCCCAAACTAATCAAAACATAACATCCCCCTTGGCCACAGCGGTTGGTTCTGAGATTGGCCACCTGAGCCAATGACACAGAAGGACCCCACAGGTCGTTCTCACTTACTGGGCACATACAAGGATGTGCAGGTGGGGGTTGCTGTCCTCATCTTTCTCCCAGGCAGAGCAAGGGATGGAAGCCAACCCCGAGAAAGGCAGGGCAGAGGGATGGTGAGAAGCTGCTCTTCTGTTCACATCATCTGTGTCCCTGAAGAACACATCCTTGGGGGTTTTCATGCACATAAAGCAATCAATTCTTTCTTTTTTTTTTTTTTTTGGCATATGCAATTTTGCAACCACTTTTCTGTCCCATTTGAACCAAACATGTTCTAATGGATACTCTGCTTGGAGCCCGTCTCCTGCTTTCAATAATGATGCCAACTTACCTTTTAAGGAAAAAAGCTTCCCCTCCTCCCTATGACTTTTGTATACCAAAGCCCAGTTGGGCCTATGAATAGGTTTGTCATCTGGTATTTTGACCTGTTCATTCACAGCCGCATTGCTTCAAGGAGGAGGATTAAGTATGACAACACTGTCTGGAGAACTAGCGTTGGGGTTTAATCACAGCTGGCCTCACATCTTATTCAGATTCATATCCACGCATCTCATTTTTCAATGAGATTGAAGGTTCTATGAGGTAAGAGTCATGTCCTATAGATTCGACAAACAATAATTAAGTGCCTGAGGTGTCCTAGACACTGACTGGAAGCTGGGAACACAGAGGATAATAAAAGAGGTCACTGTCCTCTCTAAGGCAGATATGAAAGCAGATCATTGCAGATAGAAATGCATCGTGACAGGAAGTTTTGAGTTCCAAGTGGCCGAGAAATGCAACTTAAACTGGCTGGGGCAATGTAGAAGATTTGTTTCATGCAAATAGAAAGAGCAGGTAAGATCCAGCTTCTGGACTGGATGACCCAATGGCTTAACAATGCCATCTGTGATTTTAACGCCAACTGTGACCATCTCTCAGCACAGCCATGCCAGCAGCCTCCTCAGCAGGGCCAGCTGCATCCCAGGGGCGACACCTTTCCCCATCTACATCCCGGGAAACGGGGGCCCAAACTAGATGCACCCTGATTAGACCTTCAAGGTCACATGCTTGCTCATGAACCAGTGACTGGGCAGAAAAATGAACTGCGTGGATGCCTGTAAACCAATCAGGGCCTACCATGGAAGCAAGGGGGTGGAGTCAGCTTGCTCCAAAGCAAGTAGGTTACATAAGCCCACTGTCTACCCTTAGAGACAAAAATGGTACCAGATTCCCCTGAGCTGACACCAGAAGCCTCTCCTGTGTCCATCACTGGGCTGCACCGGTGGTGCGTACTGTCACTTCATGGTCACAATAATATCGGCGGAAGCAGCACCTAATGTTTATGAAACGCTTCCCAGTGCCAGATTCTAGTGTTCCGCATTCGCAATCTCATTTTACCAGAGTTAGGGAGCATGGTTACCTCCCGTTTTGCAGATTAGGAAACTGAGGTCTGGAGAGGGAAAGTAGGCTGGCCAAAGTTATTGGCCTGAAGTTTTTTTGTTGTTTTTTTTTTTTTTTTTTTTGAGATGGAGTTTCGCTCTTGTTGCCCAGGCTGGAGTGCAATGGCACGATCTCGGCTCACCGCAACCTCTGCCTCCCAGGTTCAAGCAATTCTCCTGCCTCAGCCTCCCGAGTAGCTGGGATTACAGGCATGAACCACCACGCCCGGCTAATTTTGTATTTTTAGTAGAGACGGGGTTTCTCATGTTGAGGCTGGTCTCGAACTCCTGACCTCCAGGTGATCCGCCCGCCTCGGCCTCCCTAAGTGCTGGGATTACAGGCGTCAGCCACCCCGCCCGGCCGGCCTGAATTTAAAAATCAAAGTGGCAGCCTGTTGTCCTCGGTTCCTTAGTGTTGGAAAGGGTCTAGTCACATCCTTGTGCTGGGTGCTTGGCTGGGTGGATGGGGCTTTAAGGGAGACAGAAAACAGAAACCGCCTCTCCACTGCGCATCACATTTGCTGTTAAAAGAATTCCGCATGCTTCACAAGGGCTGCCTCCAGAGTCCTTTGCAAATCCCCAAATTGGCAATTCCTGCTACTGTATTTAATTTCCCACTAAACTGCAGAAAAATTTAACAGAAAAACTTCAGTGTCCCCTTCAGACTGCACGATGCTCTAAATGAACATTAATTCTGCCGCAAAAATAAGCTCAACACCACCTTACATTGCACTATTTGCATGAGAACACTGAACATTACTTTCTAGAATCTACACAGTCAACTCTAGCTGTTGACTTTCTCCAGGGGCGTGGGAGAGGTATGTTTCACCAACGATGTCACTTTAGGGCAGGTACAGCGTGCATGACTGCATGGCCCACAGAAGCAGGACCCAACAATGACAGTGGCTCAGTGGATCCAGGAGCAGTCCTCTGGCCACGTGGCCTTCTCTCTTGCTTTCCTATTGAAACCTGCACGTGCCCATGTGTTAGAGACACGAGTTTGCAACTCTGGCCTTGGATAAATTCTTAGCGTCTGCAACCTCAGCTAGGTCTACATCTTTTCTGGGACAAAAATTCCAAGGAGTCCCTATTCCCTCAGTAAATACCTCCCTCTAATGGGTGGGGGCTAGGGTTGGACAAGGGTAGGTTTGGGGGAGAGTGAGGAAGAAGTTCCACAGGACAGGTTTCCACCTAACAGAGCAGGGCACTTTGTATTGGAAGGTCATGGAAGCTGAGGCTGGAGGTTCGCTTGCTCTCCTCTTTCTGGACTCGAATGAGTTGTCATTTGCCTCTGCTGGAAGCAGTTGGTCTCACTTTCTGCTGAATTCCTGGACTCATTTATCGGCCTTGCCTCCTAGAGTGTTTTATTTTCTTCGTAAACTGCCTTTACTTTATTAAGATTCATCTCTAATTGATCTTTTCTGTACAGAGGCTACCCATGAGAAGCTGCCCAGCAGAGCTAATAAATAAAGGCAGGAGGAACATGAGTTGGGATATCGGTAGCACCCAGCAAGTGGCCACCATTATTATGACCTTGTGTACATTTTTAAATCTCTGTGCCTCAGTTTCCTCATCTGTAAAGTGAGGATAGCAATAATGCATGATCTCATAGGGTGAGGCTTAAATAAGCTGTTGTAGGAAAAACACTTAAAACAATGGCTGCCCCATAGAAAAGACCCAGGAATGTTAGCTATCAAATAATTCAGTACTGAAATAATGGAATAATGAAGAGACAGTATGGCATGATGAAAACGACATGGTCTGTAATTTCATATAATCCATGTCTAGGTTTTACCACTTATTAGCTCTCAGCAGAAAAGTTCTCCCCACTCTATGAGCCTAAGTTTCATTTTCTCCAAATGGGAATAATGATTGTACGGCCTCCTGGGGTTGCTGGCAAGGTTCATTAACTTTAAATGTCTCACTGTGCAAAAGCCAGTCACCACAGCAGGCCTGACTGCAAGGCTTGGCCTGGGGCTGGCATCTGGGAAGGTGGATTTCAAGAGAGTTCCCACCACTTCCTGACAAGAGTAGTTCACTGTGACTAAACCATTTGCACAAACAGCATGGTTTATGCTGGACACCTGCTTTCCTTCTGGGAATGTTGTCACATCCCAGGCAGATGGTGTCTATGTGACCAGCCCCCAATAAAAACCCTGGACACTGAGTCTCTAATGAGCAGTTCACAGGTGTTGTTACAATTCATTGCTAAGGAAATCCTGTGTGTCCTGGGCAGCTCTAGGGGGAGAGAGCTCTGTAAGCTTCCACCTGGCTTCTTCTGTACTTAGTTCTCAGTGCCTTTTCCATGTACTGATTTTGCTCGGTATCCTTTCACTATAAAAGTCATAGCCATGTGCAAAACTATATGCTGAGTCTTATGAGCACTCCTGGAAAATAACAGAATCTGGGAGGGTTCTTATGGATACCCCGACACTCACCTGTGCCATACTTGTCCCATGATGAGTCCTTGGTGAGTGGAAGCATTAAATGGAAGTGTCCACAGTGGTCACTGACTCATTGTCCTTACTTGTGAGGCTCAAATAAGAGATGTCTCCTCTAAAAGCAACTTAATTTTTGTTTTTTTAAAAAATGCAAAAAGAAATGTACTTGCATGGACCCAGAACGTAAGGGTGACAAGGATGAACATATGCAAGAGAGGACTCATAGCCTCTTTTATCTTAAATACCAAAGACAATCCTACCAGCTTTGTCTTTTCTCTCATCTTCCACCCTCTGAGAAGGAATCCTGTCTGATTGATTACTGGACCTTTTCTTTATCAATTGAGATAGTCAATAAGGGAGATGAGATGAGGAGGGACTCGTGGGAATTACAGTAGAAAACGAGAAAACTAAAAACTACTAGGGGGAGAAGAATAGATTTAGGGAAATAAGAAAGAGGAATCAAAAATGAAAGAGCCCATGAAGGTTGGATTAGAGATAGGGTTTTTGTTTGTTTCATGTTGTATAAATGTGGAAATGAAAAACAGAAAATAACTTCGTGGCAGCTATTGTGTGTTGAAGAAAGAAGAATTGGAAAAGAACTTTTAAAAAGAGGTTTTATTATATATTATGGATGGGTTCCTTCTTTGATATGCTATTCAGAAGGCTCCAATAAAGATTCAAATTACCCTAAATTAGTTTGGGGTTGGTAAACAATTTTTTTTTTATAGACTGTGTATCAGGCTGGACCACAGGGCAAACAGGCTTTATATGCATTGCAGAATCCATAGTTATATGACAGCTATCAGTCACATTCTCAATCTCTCAATCTCTCACTCTCTCTCTCTCTCTCACACACACACACACACACACACACACACACACACACACACACACACACACAGTAAGTGATATGGTTTGGCTGTGTTCTCACCCAAATCTCATCTTGAATTGTAACTCCCATAATCCCCATGTTTTGCATGTTTCGTGGGAGGGACCCAGTGGGAGGTAACTGAGTCATGGGGGCGGGTTTTCCTGTGCTGTTCTCGTGATAGTGAATAAGTCTCATGAGATCTGATGGTTTTATAAAGGGCAGTTCCCCTGCACATGTTTTCTTGCTGCCCCCATGTAAGATGTGCCTTTGCTCCTCCTTCACCTTTTGCCATGATTGTGAGGCCTCCCCAGACATGTGGAACTGAGTCCATTAAACCTCTTTTTCTTTATAAATTACCCCATCTCAGTTATTTCTTCATAGCAGTATGAAAATGGACTAATACAGTAAGCTACTTCAGAATCTGCCAAATTATATTTACTATTACTAATTAATTTTCTTCGCTCAGCCAGATTTATTCTCAACCTGCCCCATTTGAAAATTTTCTCTCCTCTGACTAGTATAACTTGCCATTATTCATTGAGGATCTTCAGAACCCAGAGCAAGAAGAGAGGGAAGATAGAGGAATGAGGTTACTCTCACACCTAGACTCAGATGCCTGGGCTGGTTCAGTGATGTCAAGTTCAAGTTCAGTGATGGCCTGTTCAGTGATGTCCTCAGTGTATATCCTCAAGCCCTCTTTGTCTGAGGCTCAGAAAGGCTCTCACCTTCTAAACTCTGTGAAACCGTGATTTCTGAAAGTTCAGGCCTCTTGGATCTCTGAATTTCAAAACAGTTAGTGACACATGCAAGAACAAGATCAAAATTTCTTAAGGGGAAAAAGAACCTGAAACAGACATTGAGAGGGCAAACATCTCACATTAGATTCTGGAATTAAAGAAAAAGTAGTAACATATGCACAACATCATCCCTTAAAAGCTCCTAAGTTTAGATAAGAAAGAAGACCAAACGCTCCAAAGGAGACTGCCAGATTTATTTTCAAGGCAGAATGTAATTTATGCAAGTTAAAGGTATCAAATGTTATTGGAACAGGCATTTCACAAAGCCAATACCCCAAATGGCTGTAAACATATGAAAAACTGCTCAGCTTCATTATTTATCAGGGAAATGCAAATTAAAACCATAAAATGATACAAGTACACATCCACCTGAAAGGTTAAGGTGAAAACATCACACATTAAGGAAGTGAAGCAACTGGAACATGCATCCACTGCTGGTCATGGGGAGGGAGAGATGCAACTGGTACCACCACTTTGCAAAACTGTTTGGCAGCATCTTCTAAAGCTGAACAGATGTATAAGTTTCAACCCAGCAATCCTACCTCTTGGAACATACCCAACAGAAATGTGGACACGTTCAACAAACACACGTACAAGAATGTTCACGGCAGCACTATGCGTAAGTCGTCCCAAACTAAAGCCTACCTTGAAGTTCATCAGTAGATGAGATGAACAAATGGTGGTATATTCACACAACAGAATACTGTAGAGCACGGAGCTGGCAAACTATGTTTGTAATCCAGGCTGCCAATTTTTGTAGATAAAGTTTCATTCATCGAAACTTTATTTACAAAATAAAGTTCATTCGATGAATGAGACTTACAAAATTTTATTTACAAAATTCAGCTCCATTCATTGATTTAAATATTTCCTATGGCTGCTTTCATGTCATAACAGAAAAATTGAGCTGGGACAGAGATCAAAGGACCAGTGATGCTTCAAATATTTACTGTCGCTCTTTACAAAAAGAGTTTGCTGACCCCTGCCTTATATCAATGAGAGCAAACGACGTACAGCTACGTGTGTTGTTGATAAGGACGCATCTCACAGTGTTGAATGAGAGAAACCAGGCACTAGAGAGCACAAGTTATTTGGTTCCGTTTCCATGAAGTTAAAAGTAGGCAAAATTACGCCCTGAAGTGGGTGTGAGAAGTCAGGATAGACATTGCCCTGGGAAGCACGGTGACTGGAAAGGGACCTGAAGGTTCACGGGTTCCTGGTTGTGTTCTGTTTCTGGATCCATATGTGTGTGACCTGGATGTGTTCTCTTGGTGAGAATTCATCGAGCTTTGTACTTAGGCCACGCACACTTGTCTCTATGTTTATGATATTTTAGTGGAAAATCTTTTAAAAATGCTATTGGACTCCCTGCACTCTACCTTAAAACTCCAAGCCATTTCCCCTGCTCTCTCATTTGTGTCTTCCTTCACACAAGCTGATATTCCCCTGAAATGCACTCCTCCTGCTCCCTTTGATAAAATGTGATGGAGCAAGTGAGGGAAGAGAGAGACCCTCTCATATTGTTTTATATTGTTTTATACTCAGTACCTGTTTTAAGAAAAAAACAAGGAAGTGAAATCAAAGACAGGCAGCCCCGCGCCAGGCCCAAAACCGGACCTAGGCCTGCCTGGCCTAAACCTAGTAGTTAAAAATCAACTCATGACTTAGAAACCGATATTATCCATAGATTCCCGACATTGTATGAAGGAACATTGTGATACTCCCTGCCCTGTTCTGTTTCACTCTGACTACCAGGGCATGAAACCTCTGTCACATATCCCCTAGATTGCTCAATCAATCACGACCCTTTCATGTGAAGTCTGTAGCATTGTGAGCCCTTAAAAGGGACAGAAATTGTGCACTTGAGGAGCTCGGATTTTAAGACAGTAGCTTGCCGATGCTCCCAGCTGAATAAAGCCCTTCCTTCTACAACTCAGTGTCTGAGAGGTTTTGTCTGTGGCTCGTCCTGCTACACAAGGACCCCTCTTAGGAGCCCGCTGGGCTTCCCCAGGCATGGAATGAAAGGAAAACCTTGAGTTCCTTCAAGGGAAATTCCAGGCACCTCACTAGCTTTGAAAATTAAATGAGCAACCTGATACGTGAGAAGGTAATAATAGCTGAAAATAATAGCCCAGGAAGTTAGAGCCACAAAATGTTCGGCTTCCTATAGAAACTAAGGATAACATCTCCATATATGTCCCTGAATTATTTTTCAGAAACCCAGACCCCCATCACATGGAAGATGGCATCTGCTGGCACAGAGACCTCAGATAAGAAGGAACCAAGGACTGAATGGTGACCCTCCCATTCTTTGTTCTAAATTTCTGCCCGAGAGGCCTGGAGGAAGTCATATTCAGAGCCCAGGGCTTAACATTCCTTTCTGTTGACCCCAACTTTTTAGAAAAACTTTTGCTTCCTTAATCAAACACAAATGAAAGAATCTTTGAATTCACCTTTGACTTGTAGACCCTGCTGGAGATGCTTTGCTTTTTTAAGTTAAACCAATGTGCAACTTCCATGTGTCAGTTTATGACTTTGCCTGTAATTCTGTCTCCTCACCTTGAAAAACACTTACAATGTAAGCCATGGGGAAGTTCAGGTTTTAGGCATTAGCTGCCTCATTCCGCTTGCCTGGAGCCCTGCAATCAATGCCTCACTTTCTCTCGCTGCAAATCCTGATGTCAGGGTTTGGCTTTGCTGCACCGAGGTGGGTGGACTCAAGCTTGGTTCGGTAACAAGAACAATGCAGACTCATCCTTCAAATCTCAGTGCGCTGTCTCCTGCTCAGGTCACCTTCCTGCCATGCCCCAGGGCTCATAGGTAATCCAGGGAAGCGGGCAGAGAGATCTCCAAGAGGGTGACACTGGACCTTAAGTGAATTTGGAGAAATAAAAGAGGTGTCACTGGTTGAATCTTGAGTGTCTGTCACACAAGAGAGGCTAGGTTGGCCACTCTCGAGGAATTCAGCTGTTTGTAGCTTAGTTTAATCCAGGCTTAAGCCATCAGTTGGGGGCAGCTTAGTTTGGTGGGCAGAACATCAGGCAAATCTGGAAAAAAGAGCTGCGTAGCAGCCAGGACATAGTGAAATTAAAGGGACTAAGGTGCCACCTCTAACTGGCTGCAGAAAAGTGAGGAATTCATCGTTTGGCATAACTGAGAAACCCAGGGGGAGGTGATTGTAACCATAATAGGTTCATTGCCCTACACACACAACCAGTCCATACACCAAGACACCGGCTTGCAGCAGAGAAAGAGGTTTCATCATAGGGTCATTGAATGAGGTGATGGGAGAAAACCTCAACTCCACCTCCCCTAGGAATCTGGGGTTCAGGTTTTGGAGTAGGCCAAAGTACAGGTATCATTGATTGGTCGAGGAGTGCAGGGTGAAGTCATGGGTGAGGGAGAGGAAGAAGCTGTATTCTCACGTGGATCCCTTTCTGTAACCACCCAATGGGTTCACCTTGCCTGCTGCCTAGACAGAACCGATTTATCAAGACAGGGGAATTGCAATGGTGAGAGGGTAATTCACACAGAGCTGGCTGTGCAAGAGACCAGAGCCTTGTTATTACTCAAATCAGTCTCCCTAAGCATTTGGGGATCAGAGTTTTTAAAGATAATTTGGCAGTTAGAGGCTTGGGAAGTGGGGAGAGCTGATTAGTCAGGTTGGAGATGGAATCAGCGGGGGTCGAAGGAGGTTTTCTTGCCGTCTTCTGTTCCTGGGTGGGATGGCGGAACTGGTTGAGCCAGTTCAGCTGATCCATCCAGTGCAGGGTCTGCAAAATACCTCAGGCACTGATCTTAGATTTTACAATAGTGATGTTTTCTCCAGGAGCAATTTGGGGCAATTAAGACTCTTGAAGCCAGAGGCTGCATGAGCCCTAAACTGTACTTTCTAATCTTGTAGCTAATTTGTTAGTCCTGGAAAGGCAAACTAGACCCCAGGCAAGAAGGGGGTCTTTTCAGGAAAGGGCTGTTACCAATTTTGTTGCAGAGTCAAACCACGAACTGAATTCCTTCCCAAAGTTAGTTTAGCCCACGCCCAGGAATGAACAAGGACAGCTTAAAGGTTAGAAGCAAGATGGAGTCAGTCAGGTCTTATTTCTTTCACTGTCATAATTTCCTCAGCTATAATTTTGCAAAGCCGATTTTGTTTCTTCTCTGGGGGTCTTCAAACTGGTCGCTGGAATTCAGGTCTGAAATACATCTGAATTAAATAAAAGCCTTATGATTCTAATGTCCGGGATCTCGCCTATAGGAACAATGGTATGCAAATGATCAGTATCTAGTGCTAAGTGACTTTTAGTAACAAGGAAGTGGGCCTAAGGGCAGCCTGATGAATGCTTAATTATAATTATTTCTGTCCAGAACCCAGGATGCAATTGTCAACCCTGTGGAGACAGTTTCACAATGGTTTCAGTTGGGGCTGGATCCAGCATTGTGAACGATGTCATCAAGAATTCCAGGAATCAGTCTTTTCTCTCTTTGTGGCTCTGCCTGCCGCAGGTTTCATTCTCTGACAGGAGTTGACTATGGTAACTCCAGCAGCCCCATGCTTATGTCTTTAAGTCCAATGGAAAGAATGGGTTTTCTCTTTCCTAAAAGTTCAAGAGAAGAGGCAGAACCAGGCTTCCTTTGTTTGGATCACATGCTACCCACCACTCCCCACCATGGAATCTTTGTAATCAGGGGATGGAATGCGGTGCTTGCCCAGGCCTGAGTCAAGCCTTGCCTTGCCCTGAAGCAGGTGATGAGAAGAGTCAGACCCATCAACCCCTGTACACAACTCCCCACATCCTTGGGATCTCCAAGAGGATGAGTGACTTTCTGTATGCTAATGAGTTGACTGATGGCAGGGGGATCCTGGACAGACTATGGATGGGGGCTGGTTGCCGGGGGTACCAACCATGTGATTAGAGGGTTGACAGTTTCAGCTCCACCCAACTGGACCTCTGGGGAGGGCTGGGGAGGGGGCTGAATGTTGAGTTGAGTTGATCACCAAGGCCAAGAAGGTAATGAATCGTGCTTCCATAATGAAGCTTCCGTAAAACCCCACAAGGACCGGGTTCAGGGAGCTTCAGACAGCTGAACACATGGAGGTCCCTGGAGGGTGGTGCCTGGAGAGGACATGAGAGCTCCACATCCCTTCCTTATACTCCACCCTCTGCATCTCATTATCTGTATCCCTTGTAATATCCTTGTAATACACTGGTAACGTTAGCGGTGGAAGAGATCCGAGTTACCCCGAGTTACTGGTGGCAAATCTGTAGGGGTCTGCAGGAACTTCAGTCCTTGCCTCTTCAGAAGAAAGAATTAGACTGACGTGCATAAAGCAGAAAACGAGACCAAGGCAAGTTTCAGAGCAGGAGTGGAAGTTTGTTTAAAAAGGCTTTAGAACAGGAAAGCAAGGAAAGTTCACTTAGAAGAGATCCAAGAGGGTGCCTGAAGGTCAAAGAGAGAAGAGAGCATTTAACTTTCATCCTAGCACTTTCTTTTTTTTCTGAGACGGAGTCTCATTCTGTCACCCAGGCTGGAGTGCAGTGGCACAATCTTGGCTCACTGCAAGAGCCACCTCCCAGGTTCACACTATTCTCCTGCCTCAGCCTCTCGAGTAGCTCGGACTACAGTAGGTGCCTGCCACCACACCTGGCGGATTTTTTGTATTTTTAGTAGAGACGGGGTTTCACCGTGTTCGCCAGGATGGTCTCATCTCCTGACCTCACGATCCGCCTGCCTCGGCCTCCCAAAATGTTAGGATTACAGGCATGAGCCACCACGCCCGGCCCATCCTAGCACTTTCCAGGCTTGCCTCTTTCCCATGATTCTTTCCTTAGGGTGGGCTACCCGCATGCGTGCAGTGTTCTCCCTACCCTTGGGAACTGAGCATGTGCAGTGTGTTTAGGAAGTTGTATGCGTGCCCATCTGAGGTTTTCTTCCCTTTCCCAGTGGTAAGCTCCTGGAACATCATACTTTGCCATCTTGTCTCGTAGTGAGCATGCCCAGGAAGTTTCTTCTCCCTGGTGTCTATATTCAGTTAACACTTTCAATGTCAATAGTTGTGGATCATCAGGAGATTGTGTCTCCCTGTGGCTGCAAATGATCATTTTTAGTGATAAAATGATAATCATCAGACCATCACCTGATATTCCTAGTGGGTATGGGGAGAGCCCTCTCCTGCCCCACTCATGCCTATCTAACTACCTGTAACAGTAAACATAAGTAAGTGTTTCCCTGAGATGTGTGAGCTACTCTAGCAAATTAATCGAATCTAAGGGGGAGGGGAATCTCAATTTATAGCCAGTGATCACAAGCAAAGGTAAAACACCAGGGGCTTGCAATTGGTATTGAAGTGAGGCAGGCACAGTCTTGTGGGACTCAGCCCTCAACCTGTGCAATCTGACACTATCTCCAGGTAGTGTGGGAATTGAACTGAATTAGAGGACACATAGCTGGTGTCCACTGCAGAATTGGTTATTTGCTTGCTGTATGGGGGTAAACCCACATACATTTGGTGTCAGAAGCCTTTTGTGTTGTAAGAGCCAAGGATAGGAGAAACTGAGTTTTATTTTTCCTATATTCTCAGAGTCCAAGCAGGTCAAAACTACAGCCCCACCTTGCACTGCTTATTAACTGTTGAAACTGACTTTGCAAAACTTATAACAGTGAGAAAATTATGATACAGAAGAGATCTGACCTAACCAACTCCATCTTGTGTTTAACCTCCAAACCACCCTTGGTTGTTCCTGGGTGTGGGCCAAGCTAACTTTGGGAGAAATTGAGTTTATAGTTTAAATGATAATAGCCCTTCCCAAAAAACTAACCCCCTTTATAACACTAATGAAAGGCCACCAAGGTTAGGAGGATGAGAAGGGCCTGAATCTGTGGTTAAGTGATGACCAGTCATTATTCCAGCCATTGCAAGATTTGTTACTTCCCCAATTACTCCTGCAGATAACATCATCATTGTAAAACCTAAGATTGGCCTTTAGAGATGTCTTCTCAGGCTTTTGCATTTCTGAGGACCAGATGGCCCCACTAGGACCAGCAACTCTTGACTCAACATGACCTGTGGCCCCCACCCAGTAGTGGACTCAGCCTCAAGGACTGTTTTCCACACCCCTGTGATTGCATGCCCAACCAATCAGCAGCATCCATTCCCTAGCCCCTGCCCACCCAAACTATCTTTGAAACACCCTAGTCCCCAAATTTTCAAGGAAGCTAATGTGAGTAATAATAAAACTCTGATCTCTCATTTACCCAGCTCTTCATGTATTAAACTCTTTCCCTTGTTTTAATAAATCAGCTTCATCTGGGCAATGGGTAAGAAGAACTTGTTGGGCAGTTACACTGTGACCTTCAAGAACGAAGTTTCTTGATCTGTGCAAGGGTGATGGGTGTCCTCACTGCAAGGGGATATTGCAAGATGGCATGTATCTCCCAGGGACCAAGTACCTGGGCTTAATGTGTGCCTGATGAATGGTGGAGCCCTCTATACCATTCTGCTTTTCAGGAAGGAAAAAAGTCCTCTGTTTAGGCTCTGGGCCAGGGATGAGGATCAGGAGTGTGGGCCACCCACTCTGCAGGCTCTACAGAGCCACTGTGTGGGTGCAGGGCCCTGTCAATCACAGCCACTTTATCTGATAGACCCCAAGGGAGAATCATCATCATTGTTTTAATCACACCGTTGAAACAAACAAGAATCAGGGCGTCAATTAATTCAGCACACAAGTGGAACACATTTTATAATTTGCAAGTCAGATACAGAGCTGCAGACCGCACTCTCACCCCAGTGACAAGTCACATCCTCAGAGGGTTAGGTGGGGAGGAACAAGGTAGGAGATAGGGATCTGGCTTTGGGTTGTGGTTCTGACACTGACAATTAGTGTGACCTCCAACAGATGCTGAAATACTCTGGGCCTGAGTTTTCTCACCTGTAAGAAGGAATCAGTGTTGGTGTAAAGAGTACAGGCATGATCTAAGTCACCTGGGTTCACTTACAAGCACAAAGAGCTGTTGCTTTACTTATTCCAGAAAGGAAAGAAATTAGCACGAGGCATCAAGTGCTTACAAAAGCCACTGGAAGTTCATGAGGAGCAGGCTCTGGACCGGGTCTGTGCAAAAACATGGCAGAACTGGCCTCCCAGGAATCTGGCACATCTGCCTCCATCAGGAAAGCAGAGACCCAGAGGCTGCTGAAAGTATTAGCTTCCAGAACACGCAGCAGAAGCTGTGACCCTGCAATCAAGAAGCCCTCACCAACGTAGAGACCCCTTGTCTCCCACAAAGCTAATGGCTGGTCACTGCAGTGCAGAATGGAAAAGCTCGATGCAGCAGGGGGACGACTTGGCCTCACCACCCTCAGCTGGAGGAGCAGAATTGCATCTCAAATATCCCAGGTGCAAAGGAATTGGGGAAATTGCTTTTTTGGGGAGGGGGGCTGCTCTGCAGTGCAGGAAGATGCAGAAGAAGGCACAACCAGATGGCAACAGCTGAGAAAAAGGCAACATAGGATGAGGCACTGAAGGGTTTGGGATCCAACGGCCGGTCCTAGGAGCAGCTGGACTCATGTGCCCACAGCCTCCCTTCTAAGCCAGTCTTCTGAGCACCAAAGTGTCCTGAAGTCACCTGGTCCGTGGCTCTGCCCAGCCCAACCACAGCCAACAATCACCTGACCTCCCATGGGGCCTTCTGGTTCCAGACCCAGGATGGGGAGAAGCAGCTTGGGGTTCATGACGAAGCATTGTCCCTGAGCCCTACACCCACCCTTCTGTGCTCTGCCCTGTGATGCTGAGACTGGGATTCTGAAAACCATGTTTCTGTTAAAATAGCTGACATGGCTCTGTCTCAAGATGAGACTTGAAGTCACATGCAGGGGCTTCAGAGTCAGACACAGACCCATCTTCCCTGTTCAGGGACTGTGACCCGGACAAGTGGCTTAATCTTTCTCAGACACGATTTCTTCCTCTCTAAAAGAATAGTCTCTCCCCACAAAGTTGATGTGACAGTGCATGTCTGTGTGTGTAAAACGCCCAGCACAGGGCCTGACAAATGCTAAGCTCCAGCCAGTGTCAGCGGATAGCATCCTGCAGGGGGACCACAGCCTTCCACTTCCCACAGGTGTAAAGGTCTCTGGGAAGGTGCCTGGACCCTCCTCTGATAGCCATCAAGGCAGACGCTGTGGGGCACATACGCTACAGCCATCTCCTCCTCGCCTGCTGCCGCCTTCTGGAAAAGCAGAAGATGGCTGACACTCCATTCCAGAATGTTCCCTCTGCTTGGCACACTGGCTCTCCCAGGCTCAGCTCACTCTCAGGTCTTTCAGGCTTCAACTTCAGCCCCAGGTCTTCAGGGAAGCCTTCTGTGATTGTGCAAAGCATCTCCCCTGGGCTCCGCAGCCTCCGTTGGGCTTACCTACAAGCTGGCTTGTCTATTTCCCTACCCCACTCAGCGAGCTCCTTGGTGGGGTGGGGGATGAAGGGAGGTGGGCTCACTGCTGAATTCCCAAAGCTTACATAAAGCTTGGCACAAACGCGCTCCCGATGGCTGGCTGTGGAAATGAATGGGTGAGTTCCTGATTTACGAGGGATAAAACAGAGGCTCAGAGACGCTGCACAGACTGGCTTAGGATGAGGCTCATACTCGACCCCAGGTCCCACTACACCAAGCTGCTTCAAAGCAAGTTCAGAATCCAGAGCACCCTTCCCCAACTCAGCCTCCGAGCTGTTACTTGGCAGGAAGGGGAGATTTGTGCAGAAGTCCACAGAGGGTCTGTCTGTAAACCTCCCTCACTGAAGTCACAATAAGGAGCTTGTGAAGAACCTAACCTCTCAGCCCCACCCCAGAGCCACAGAGTCAAAAGCTATGAGGTGAGGCCTGTTAATGGTCATTTCTCACCAACTTTCCACGTGGCTCTGAAGTTCACTAATACTGAGAAGCCCTGGGGCTCCTGAGAACATGACTGGGAAGTTTTGCTGCTGGTTCTTCTTACCCTGTTTTCCAAGTCTCTCCTAACACTGCCCTGGGATGAAGGGGCCAGGTCATTGGAGTCCCAGCCCTCTGAATATTCCTTGCTTTACTTTTTTGAATATATTAACTTTTTAAAAAGTAACAATAAAACCACATTGCCCATGGGAATTTCAGCTTGAAAGCAGATACTTTAAGCAGTTACTATAAAAGGGAGTCAAAATGCACACCCTTTAGTGGCAGAGAGAGAATTGAAAAGATCCCTGAGCCCAGGCTTCTTGGGGTTTCCAGGAGGGAGGTCCTAAATCTGAGATATGCCCTGATAGACAGGTCCAAACTTGACTGCTACTGCCTCTCTGTGGGGTCTTCAAGTTCCTTCAAGTTGCCTGTGAAACAGAAATAACAGCAGCTCTGCTGCCTCATGAGAAGAGTGTGTGAGTATGCAAACCCCTGGCACCCAGAGGCCAGATAGCAATGTATCAGTTACTTTCATTCATTATTCCTATTACATTCAACATGAGATAGACTGTTGGGTGTTTCTCAACACTCATATAAACCTCCTAAAGTAACCTAAGGAATAGCTTTCTCTGAAATTGTCTTGTATTTTGCAGCAGGGTTAAATCCTTATTCCACCTTTTCCTCTGCATTGGTACTGTAGTCAGGGTATGTATGTCTATTAATCTCTGTGTTTGATAATTTCTAAGAAGTTGCTTTTGTCAAGGATAGCAAGGATCCGGAGCCAGTGTCACGGGATGTAAAGGAATTTACCAAGGCAGTTATAGGTAAAGATTTATTAGAGAAAGTATGAAAAAACGTTGCAAGATTGCAACGGGAAGCACAGCAGCAAAGGAGCTGTCTGCAAAGAGGGAGGGCCTGGAAGGAAGTTTTATAGGGTGGAGCTGGAAGGGGCTACATGCAGAAGGAGGTCATTGTACCCTTGGGTTGTTTGTGATTAGCATCTCAGGTGTCCTTTCCCACCTGAGGTCCTCCTCAACCTGGGGACCCTTCCTCATTGTTGCTTACTTATCAGGACTCCACAGCTTTTGCCCAGAGATTCTTTCTACCATTTGGGGCACAAACTGAACTTTCTGCCTCTGAAAAGAGAGGCCACAGCAACCAATGTCAAAAGGAAGGATTCTTAGGTTGACAGTCTCAAAATACAGGCTTTAGAGTTTCAACTGAGATAATAATGTATCAAGAGGAAGGGCAGAAGCCAATGTTTATGTCCTAAACAATAATATGCCACACACATCAACAATATATAAACATAAATAACATTTAGGAAGGGTGAATGATGATTTAAGAGGCAGTATATTTCAATACAGGAAAAATAAGAAACTTTAAGATTCATGTTATAGAGCTTAAAATGACATGGTTCCACAGGCTAAGTGGATAAGGGGGATTTAGAGAGAAAAACAAGGTTGTCAATTGAGGGGACATTTCCCCTACCCTTCCTCTCTCAACCAAGACCTGGTGGTGAGGGAGAGAGCAACACCACTTGATGAGTTTATGGACATGATCACAAGCGACCAGCAAGGCCCTGGAGGTTTCCTTCCCTACCAATATGGCGGCACCAGCAGGCCTGTGAGCTGCTATCTCTGTGGCCCCAGAGAGACCCAGGGGGCATCTGAAAGTTTCCCAAGCCCTTGAGGAAAGCAAGGAAGTACCATAAGGGTGGGTCAGTCTAAGACAAGGCTGTGGGGGGAGGGAGAGTGCATCAACCAGAGTCCAGTGGGACTCACACATCAGCTGCTGGAGCCAGCCGGGAGGAATGCCGAGGGCAGAAAACAGATTCTCCCTCCTTCCTGTCTCCAGCTAACATTGCTGTAGGACTTTCTCCTTAGCTAAAAATGGGGTCCTTGTCACACGACCATGAAAAATTAGGCTTGCAGACACTTTGAAGGGTGAGACGGGCAGGGTTTACTGGGCGAAAAGGAAAAAACGGGAAACAGGGACTCTCTGCAAAGTCAGAGTCCTGCTATGGGATTCCCGCCTCTCAGGCTGAATCCCAGGCTCCAGCCTGGAACAGGAGAGGACAGGCTCCTCCCCCTGCCAAGGGCATGAACTTCAGTGACTCCACCCCATTCTCCCAGTGTGCAGGCCAGGGTTTCTCCGGGGACCCCTTCATACTTGGCTGTGTCAACATGAGCCCTTCCAAACATAGGTGTCACCCTGGGGTGGGGGTGAGGGAATCTAAAATGGTGAGCTTAAACCTGAAATGACCAAGAAAAAAATCTAGAAATGACTCCATTGACTTGATTAAAATTTCCATCTTTGGGTAGAATGAGAGATTGAAGTCAAGTGTAGGGAAAAAAATGTCAGTTTTTTACATATCTGAATTTGTGTTTTGAAAAATGGTACTTTCTACATGAGCATCTGAATTAATGCAGTTGACGGGACTCGACTCTGCCAGTGATGAGTACTGTCCTGTGGCTGAGTCTTAGCTCAGTGTCTTTCCATTTCTTCATCAGTAAAAGGGGGACGTTCACCACTCTGCCTGTGTTTCAAGACTTATTGGAAGGGTCAGGAAATGTGGTCCACTCCTGAAATCAAAGCATTTTGGGAGGCTGAGGCAGGAGGATCATTTGAGACTAGAAGTTTGAGGCCTGCCTGGACAACATGTCCAAGACATTCTCTGTACAAAAAGAGGACAAAAATTAGTTGGGCATGGTGGTGCGGACCTGTAGTTCCTAGCTACTTGGGAGGCTGAGGCAAGAGGACTGCTTGAGCCCAGGAGTTTGAGGCTGCAGTGAGCTATAATTGTACTGCTGCATTCCAGCTTGGGCAACAGAGCTAGATACTGTCTCTAAAAAATATATGATAATAAAAAAGACTTATTGAGAGGCTTGAACAAGGTAACGTGGTAAAATACTCTGAAAATATAAAGTGTCATAGATGAGCAACATGGTGATGACTACCGCAGCAACAACAATGATGACAATGATGCCATGGTGAGACATGTGCTTAAAAAACCAGGGAGGACACAGTGCCTGCCTTCAAGATGCATAACATTTAAGGAATGTGCAGAAGAGCTGGAAGAGTTAAACATATTCTTAAAAAAGATTCAGGTGGGCAGATCATGAGGTCAGGAGTTTGAGACCAGACTGACGAACATGCTGAAACCTCATCTCTACTAAAAATACAAAACTTAGCCAGGTGTGGTGGCGCATGCCTATAATCCCAGCTACTCAGGAGGCTGAGGTGGTAGAATCGCTTGAACCCGGGAAGCGGAGGTTGCAGTGAGCCGAGATCGCACCGCTGCACTCCAGCCTGGGTGACAGAGCAAGACTCTGTCTTAAAAAAAAAAAAAAAAAAAAAAAGAGTTCCAGTAAGCTGTAAAAATACAACCACAACATAAAAGGAAAAACAAATTATCATTTGATAGACAAGTTTTGTTAGAATGACAACTTGAAAACAATTCAGTAACCCTTTGAAATCACACAATGATGGCATTTGGCTTTGACAGCTGTGTCAGGATACGAAACTCACCAAGAATGTGAAAACGTGGCCTCATCCCCAGAGCTCATGAGCTGCTGCGTTTGCTGGGGACTGGGGACATGGGAAAGAGCAGGCCTTGAGGGGTAACTGCCTCCTGATGGTGAGAGCCGAGTGCTGTGACATCGGGATCGTAGGACATTGAAGCAGAAGGCCAGCATGCATGCCTGTGCTCACTTAACAACTGGTATCTTCTGTGATTTACTATGTCAGGCAGTGGGAACACAAAAATAAAGTGAGTTGGGCCTCAGCCTTCAAAAAATTAGAGTTCAAATTGAAGACTCATGAGGATTGGGAGGAACTGGAATTCTCCTATGTGGCTGGGAGAGTGAGAAGTGATACTACTACTTGGGAAAATGTTGTGGCAGAACCCATAAAGCCAAACCTATGCACACCCTATGACCTAGTGATTCCCTCCTAGGTACCTACATGGCAGAAACGCATGCCTAGATTCCCCCAAAAGACTTGCACAAGGATAGTCATCACAGTATCACCCATTGTAATTCCACAGTGGAAAGGAATCTAACAGCCATCTGCAGTAGACTGGGGAGTGCGTTCTGGCAGCCTCACATACTGAGGTCATCTAATGCTGCAGTTCCCAGCCAGGGGGATTTTCCCTCACCCTATCCTGCCTTGATATTTGGCAACGTCTGGAGATATTTGGGGTTGTCAGGGCTACGGGGTGCTACTAGCATCTAATGGGTCAGGGTCACTAAACCTCCTCCAGTGCACAGGAGAGCCCCTACAAGCAGGAAGGATCCCATCCAAAATGCCACTCAACATGAATGAGGTGGAGAATCCGGTCCTGCAGCAGTGGGAAGGAAAGAGCTACCCACACACAAACCATATGGATAAATTCAAACCTAAGACTAAGCCTGTTTGTGGAAGTAAAGTTTTCTTAGAAAGTCAATGTTTGGGAAAGAAAGGATCACCTGCTGACTGGCTCTGGAGAGTTTGGTGATAATACCCTGCTGTGCGACCAAATGCAAATCCCTGGCCCTCTCTGGGCCCATGTGCTTAAATACTGAGCATCAACCTTGCACAAACACCTCCACGGGCTCTGGAAACCACAACTCTGAAAACCTCTCCCCTCCCAACCTCAGCTTTATCATCTATAAAATGGGCACACCATACTGCCTCCTCCACAGGGTTTTGGGAGATGAGATGATGTGTATGAAAGGGTACCAGGAACTGTGAAAAACACTGCCCAGAATTGAGGAGTTCTTTTCATTACTCAAGATCACACAGTACAGAGGTGGCAAAACGAATTTCCCAGGAGAAAACACCATCACCCCTAAAAAAGCAACCTTTCCTGGGTGCTCTGAAAGGGAACCAGAAGTGATAAAACAGCTTCCAAACAGAAGCTTAAAAGAGAGAGACAGAGAGAGAGAGAAAGCCACTGCACATCTAAGCTTTGTGTATCTAAGCTTTGTGTATTGAGCCACCGTTCTTGTTTGGAGGGGCAGGTGAGGGTGGGGAAGGAGTGGGAGAATGAGTTGCAGGGGTGATGCTGAAATGCACTACCTGTGTAGGGAGGCTGCCAGCTCTGCTGTGTGCTCAAATGAGTGGGCCAGAATCACTCCCTTTCTGTCCTGGAAAAATGTTGGAGAGCCCTCAGATACGTGACCATCGGGCAGCTTTCTGTCCCCAGGCTGGCCCTTCAGGACATGAGGGTGAGGGAGGTGGGAGGCAAAGCTTTTCTGCAGCATCTTAGGACTCAGATAGACTTTTAGAGCTGGAGACACCACACCCTTTCTCTACCCCTAGGCCCCTCCATTTTGCAAACAGGAGACCATGTAGGGCAGGAAGAGGAGCCTGGGCATGAACCCTGGGTCCTGCTCTTCCTAGCTGTGTCCTGGGACAAATTACTCATGTTCTTCAGCTGGTGAAATGGGGCTGCCGCCACCTGCCTTTCTGCCCAGCAGTGCAGATGGAACGGATGGAGTGCAAGTGTGGAGAGCAGGGCCTCTTGCGCACGAGGCGGGCAACGCGGGGTAGCTGTTTTATTAGGAACGTCCATCGCCTCAGTGCCAGGTGGGAGTCTGCATGGTAACCTTGCTGCTAAGCATGGTGCTAAACCTTATGTATGTCAACAAACTTATTTAATTTTCTTTGCATTATTATCATCATCACTCAACAGGGAGGCTTGTGAGGTCAAAGAGCTTGCCCAAGTCACCCAGCAGAAATGGCAGCGCTGGGACCCCAGTGCAGGCTTCAGCCTCCAGACTCCCCTCCTTTGGTCACTCTGCTCTCGTGCCCCAACAATGGCTCTGGCAGCTGGTGTTGTCAGGTAGAAGTGCGTCCTCAAGGAAGTGCCACCAGCAAGAAGGGCAGGGATGAAATGACTGGTCTGTCACCTACAATTTTCATCAAGGCTCTGGGACCAATAACAGGAACTGCGGCTTTTATTTCTTGTCCAGAGGATTGCAAACTCAAAAGTTTTCATGAAATCTTCAAATTTATCAATGTTGGCAACCAGTTTAAGTGTTTTTTCTTTTCTTTTTTTTTTTTTGGCGGGGGGTGGGGGTGGTAGGTGACAGGGTCTCACTTTGTGGCCCAGGCTGAAGTGCAGTGATTCGGTCGTGGCTCACTGCAGCCTCGACCTCCTGGGCTCAAGCAATCCTCCCGCCTCAGCCTCCTGAGTAGCTAGGACCACAGGCATGTGTGACCACACCCAGCTAATTTTTTTTTAAAAAGTTTTTGTAGAGACAGGGTCTTCTTGTGTTGCCTAGGCTGGTCTTGAACTCCTGGGTTCGAGCAATCCTTCTGCCTTGGGTTCGAGCAATCCTTCTGCCTTAGCTTCTCAAAGTGCTGGGATTACAAACATGAGTTTCTTTTTTAATCTGTGAAAAATGTCAGTGTGTGGCCAGGCACGGTGGCTCACGCCTGTAATCCCAGCACTTTGGGAGGCCAAGACGGGTGGATCACTTGAGGTCAGGAGTTCAAGACCAGCCTGGCCAACATGGTGAAACCCCATCTCTACTAAAAATACAAAAATTAGCCGGGCATGGTGGCTCATGCCTGTAGTCCCAGCTACTGGGCATGAGAGTCACTTGAACCTGCGAGGCAGAAGTTTCAGTGAGCTGAGATTGCGCCACAGCACTCCAGCCTGGGCAACAGAGCAAGGCTCTGTCTCAAAAAAAAAAAAGTCTGTGTGATGTGGCTCACAGACCACCAGTTGTCACCCCTCTCCCACAAGGCTGCAACCCCTGTAAGAAATTTATGTGACCAAGCCTCCACTGCAAAATGGGAGTATCATAGCCTGGTTTAGGATCAGAAGAGATTAAAGAAAGTGAACGCCAAGTGTCTAATACAGAGTAAGGCACACGTCTTAATCTGCTTGGCTGTTACAACAAAATACCACAGACTGAGTGGCTTAAACAGCTGAAATTTATTTCTCACAGTTCTGGAGGCCGGGAAGTCCAAGATCAAGGTGCCAGCCAAATTCAAGGGGCCAGCCAATTCAGTCCCTGATGAGGGCCCACGTTCTGGCTCGAAGACAGCCACCTCCTTCCTCCCTGTGTCCTCATGTGGCCTTTCTCTGTGCTCATGTGGGGGGGTGAGGGGCACAGGTGAGAGCTCCGACCTCTCTTTTAAGGACCCCAATTCTATCAGATTAGTTCCCCACCTTTAAGACCTCATTTAACCTTAAATGCCTCCTAAAGATCCTGTCTCCAAATATAGTCACACTGGACATCAGGGCTCTAATATTGAATATGTGAATTTTGTAGGGGACACAACTTAGTCCATAGCAGCACTTTAGTCTGTAGCAGTCAGAGGCACTTGACAGATGGGAGATTTAATAACAACTACCTAAATGATTGTAAGAACCCCAGACCAAAAAAACCTCACTTTCCCTCAATTATTACCAATAACACTTGCAAGTTAGGAATTCTTTACATTTTTACTCAAATGAGGAAAGTGAGATTAATTAATACCCTTTCGGCATTAGAAGAATTATGTGGCAAGATTCCAACCCACACGCGCTTGATGCTGAAAACACAGCATGTTATCACTTGACGCTACTAGTGTGATGGATTCGTACCCACACCCCACTTAACACACACCAACAGCAGACACGAGTGAGAGGCAGGGAGGAAGGGAGGAGGGCGTTCTGTTGGACACATGGTGGGGGATTTCAGTAAAGACAGAGGGCTCGCTTTTCACCTTTTCCTAATTAGGGTTGCCAGATCAAATCCAGGAAGCCCAGGTAAGTCTGAATTTGAGATAAATAATGAATCATGTTTTTAGTGTATGTCCCATGCAGTATTTGAAATTAAAATATAACAGGGCATCCTGTGTTGTTTTGTTTTTCTTTGTTTTCCTAAGTCTGTTGACCCAAGAATGCGCCATTGTCTTCGTCTGCTTGGGATGCTATGACAAATTATCATGGACTGGGTGGTTTAGATGGCAGAAATTGGTATCTCGTAGTGCTGGAGGCTGGGAAGTCCAAGATCAGGGTGCCAGCCAACTCAGTTCCTGGTGAAGGACCTGCTTTCTGGCCTGTAAACAGCTGCCTTCTCATTGTGTCCTTGCGTAGTGGAGAGAAAAATCATTTCTCTTGTGTCTCCTAAGGGCACTAATCCCATTCCATTCATAAGGGCTCTATCCTCAAGACCTCATTGCGTCTCAGAGGCCCCACCTCCAAATACCCTCACATCAGGAGTTACACTTCAACATGTAAATTTCTGGGGAACACAAACATTCAGTCCATAACAGCCAGGCTCTGCTTCTCCCCACCCTGCCTTCTTCCCCCAACCACCTATGGGATTCAGCTAAAGTCCTTTTCTTTCCCTCCAGTTCCTGGTGGCACTTCTACAGGACCAGGGTCTTTACTATTGGAGGATTCACACCCCAGGCCCCACAGTCACAAGCTTGCTAGACACAGAAGCTACAGTAGCCCTATCCTGAAAACACTCATCACCCAAATTCTGTCTTCCTCAGGCCCCCTGCCCACTTCATTCAGGGTCCACCCCCAGCCACCTGTCAGTGGCTTTCCTGGTCAATGTTTCACCAAGACTGTCTCATGTACACCTTAAGAAAGAATCATTTAAATATCAAAGGATTCAGAGAGGCCTTTGCAAGAAGTGGTGAATATTTTTGCAGAAATGACCTCTTTAAGCTTATGCTGTCAAGGTGAAGTGTGGAGGTGAGAACCTTGGGCCGTTAGGTCATGCTCACCTTCCCCTCTGAGGGAGGAGGGTGCAGACAGGCAGAGCCAGCAGCCGACTCCTCCCCTTAGCATGTGGTGGCGCGCGTCGCTCCAACTTTCACATTCCAGAAGAAAATGATGTTCCACATTTTCAGAATTTCATTTTTGAGATTTTTTCCTCCTTACCTAACACTTTTCGTTGTCAGTCTTTCTGACTCCAGTGCCCATGTTTAACCTGTACTAGTCCTAAGTGCGTCCTTAGCTGGAAATGAAATCATTGCTAACTCGATCAGCAGAATGTTGGAGGTGGGAGATTCCCGGGTTTTCTGTTAAAACTATCATGAGAAATTATCTCACAGGAATTGTATTTACACTTGTTGAAATCAAGTCTCCTTTCCAAAGGAGAATAAGCATATTAGAAAAGGACCTCACCAATAAATGAAGACAGGCTGTCTCCTGGACAGGCCTGATTCCTTCGGACCAGTTTTGCCAGTGAGGCCTTCCTTGCATCCATTTCAGTCACTGTTATACTAAGAGAAAAAATCACACAGGCCTGGCTGCAAATGCTGATCCTGCCCCTGGCTGAGGGATTATGGGCCTCTCCTTTAATAGAGCTAAGTTTTCACTTTATCACCTGTAAAATGGGAATAACTGCACCTACATTGCTGAGAGGATTAGAGACAATGTGTGGAAAGAGCTTAAAAGAGCTTCTATTGCATAACGAGTGCTCTATAAACAGCAGCATCATTATCATTGTTGTATAATGAGAAGACAAAGCAACACAGCACATGACCCTGCACTAAGTTCTGGGGTAAGGACTGTGAGCCGAGTATAGTTCATAGGCAGGCAAAGGCCTTGTAGTGTTATGATCTATACTGGTTTTTGTCCAGCATTCCCGGATGATAGAGTTTGCGTATTTGTCTCCACCCAAATCGCAAGTTGAATTGTAATCCCCATTGTTGGAGGTAAGGCCTGGTGGGGGGTGATTGGATCATGGGGGTGGATTCTTCATGAATGATTTTGTACCATCCCTTGGTGCTGTCCTCATAACAGTGAGTTCTCATGAGATCTGGTCATTTAAAAATGCTCAGCACCTTGCCTCCCACCTCTTGCCCCTGTTTCCTCATGTGACACGCTTGGTTCCCCTTCACCTTCTGCCATGATCGGGAGTTTCCTGAGGGCTCCCTAGAAGCCAAGGAGATGCCAGCACCATGCTTCCCATAAAGCTTGTGTAACTGTGAGCCAATTAAACCTCTTTTCTTATAAATTACCCAGTCTCAGGTACTTCTTTATAGCAATGCAAGAACGGCCTAATACAGGCTTCACAAAGGAAATGCGGGGCAGATGGAGCTCTGGAGGACCAGCAGACTGTGTAGGTAGCAAAGAGGAAGGAAAACCTGGAGCACAGATAGCTTTCCTGAAGAACAGAAGGTGCTAGAATTGAAATAAGAAGAAATAACTCGAAGAGACCATTTTTTTCCTTAATTAACATGGTAGGACTTCTGCTTCCAGCTACAACGAAGTGATGCTAGCAGACCCATGCACTCACCAAGAACAATTAGAAAAGCCAGATGAAATTTAAAACAACAGCAACATCTTTTTGGAGGCTTTAAAAAGTGACTGAGGAGCCAGCGCTTGACCTCAGAACGAAGGGTGGTTTGTTGAGGTGAGTCCAACTTTCTGTGTTCTGTTTTCTCCTGAGAACAGTTGCGGAGGTAGAAAGGCTGAGAAGCCACGCAGAGGGCAGCTGCTGTGGGCAGTGAAGCCAGCAGAGCTTCCTGCAGTCTCACAGAGCTAAGAGTCAAAAGGGGAGTTCTGAGCTGCCAGAGCATTGAGGCAAGATCCCCGCAAAAAGGAAGGTGCAGAGAAACGAGCCCAATACTATGCAGTTTCTCCTTGAGGCATTTCTGAGACCTTAAGCTGCCCATGGCAGGAGTCCTAAGAAATAGCCTGAAAAACAGGGAATGATTTGGGGCAGCCTTATAGTATTGAAGGGGCAAATCGTTGAGTTCAGGACCTGCCAAGAAGGATGGGTTCTGGACAGCATCACAGGGTGGGTGCCTGGAGGATGACACCCTAGAGGTGGAGGTACAGTGGATTCAGTTCAGTCTCTGATTGCATTGAAGTGACCATTCTAGACTAGCTTCCCACCAAAGGAGAGGGTCAATCACCTCTGGAGGAAAATGCAGTCCAGAGACTCTGTAATTTTTCTTACACTATGTCCCATATTCAATCAAAAGTTACCAAGCTGACCAAAAAACAAGGGAAAAAACAGAATATATAAAGAGACTCACAAATGACCCAGATAATAAACTTAGCAGACATGGATTTTAAAATAACTTGGAAAGTATGTTCAAGAAAATTTTAAAATGGTATTTAAAGACTTCTCTTCTCCCTCCTCAAAAGCCCTAGACCCAGATGGTTTTGTAGGTGAGTTCTACCAAAACCAAACATTTAAGGAAGAGTTAATCCCTGTTTCATACAAGAAATTAGACAAAGTAAAGAGTCTTCTGCTTCACTCCCCAAATTAGACAGAATGAAGAGTTGCAAGCTTATTCTATGAGGCTAGAGAAGGAAAAGGTGGCAGATGGAAAAAGTGATGAACCAAGTTCAAGATGAGCACAAACTGGAGTAAGGACCACAGAGACAGTTAAATTGGAAAGAAAGGAAGAGACAGGTAGGAGAGGGCTGGATTAGAGTGGCCTTCAAGACCAAGCTGAAGACTTTACAGACTTGACACTGTGAGTGATGCGAGCTGATTTCAGCTCCTGGCTGAGGGAATAACACAGCTTAGCTCAGTTCAGCTCTGGCATTTCTGCCCCATTGCATGGAAAAGGCTCTACCCTTCTTCAGAAGCCTCATTCATGCCAGGTGACCCTAGTACACCATGCCTACAAGAGACCCAATAGGAATCTCTCAAATGGGAGCTGGACTAAGGGATTAAAAAACAAAAACAAAAACAAAAAAACTGTAGATTTTGGGATTTTGAAGCTGTACGTTCATTTATTCAACAGCTACTTACTGAGTACTTGTTATGCGCCAAGCAGTCTTTTGAAGACTGCTTCACTATGATGAATAAGGCTGACATGATCCCTACCTCTACAGCCCACAGTCCAGGGGTGGGAGAGAATAAATAAATAGAAAATAGACAGAATCATTCCCTTTAGTGGCAATAATTCCCATTTGTCTATCCTTAATTTACTTACTACTATAAACAGAGTAGTAATATTTCCTTATTTGTGATAGCAAGTGGGGTGGTCACTTTTATTTAGGTGATCATAGACAGCATCTCAGAAGAAAAGGTATTTGAGTAAATATTTGAAAAAAAAAAAAAAAAGAAGGATAAGCCTGCCACATGGAGAGACGAGGGAAGAGTGTTTTCGGCAGAAGGAACAACAAGGGCGAAGGCCTGGAGGTGGGAACAATCTTAGCACATTCAACAAATAGAAGAGCAGTTGGGGCTGGGTGAGGTGGCTCATGCCTGTAATCCCAACACTTTGGGAGGCCAAGGCAGGCAGATCACCTGAGGTCAGGAGTTCAAGACCAGCCTGGCCAACATGGTGAAACCCCGTCTCTACTAAAAATACAAAAAATTAGCTGGGCATGGTGGCGGGCGCCTGTAATCCCAGCTACTCAGGAGGCTGAGGCAGGAGAATCACTTGAACCTGGGAGGCGGAGGTTGCAATGAGCCAAGATCACGCCATTGCACTCCAGCCTGGGTGACAGGGTGAGATTTTGTCTCAAAAAAAAAAAAAAAAAAAGGGTAGTGTGGCAGGAGCACAGTGACCAAGAGGCAGGTGGCAGGAGGTGGTAGCCACTTGTCGGGCACAGCCTTGCAGGTCATGGTAAAGAGCTCAGATTTTATTCTAAGTGCTTCTGAGAAGATTCTGGAGGGTTTTAAACAAGGGCCATTTCATGATCAGACTTATAGTTTAAAATGCAAAACTGAGGTACACTGAGGAGAGGAGACTATGGTGAAAAAAGAATAGAAGTGGAGAGAAACTTCTGAGGCTACTGTGGCTGCCTTGGTAGAGATGGTGGCTTCAGCTATCAGAGCAGAGGAGAGATGATGAGCATGGAATGAACTTGAGAAATATTTTGGAGGTAGAACTTCAGAACATGAGAGCAAGGGAGAGAGTTTTGGGCTGAGCACCTAGAGGTGGGAGTTAGGGTCATTTTCACATGGAGCCTGAAGTTTGGGGGAGGAGGAGCTAGGAGACTTTCTGAAGAGGCCATTACTCAGACCGCAGATTGCAGACAGACACTGTCTGACAACTTTCCAAGAGGGCAATGCTACCTCCATGCACTGGGTTCTATAGGATTTCCCTGTATCCTTACAATCAATTTCGTTTTCATTTGAGAGAAGTTAATTGGGTTTCTGTTGCTCATAACCATATCTATGACAGCTGAAGAGTTTAGGAAGATTCATGCATTGGGCGTCTACTTTCAAAGGCACAAAACATTTTCTTTATATTTTTCATTTGTTCTTTTCAAAGCTTTCGGGAGAAACCGTTCTTCCCCATTTCTGATATTTCCTTCCAGATGAAGGGGACTCAGAGAGGATGAGACTCCTGCCCTCTGTCCGATGCTTTCCATCCCACCCCAGGGAGAGGAATATCTGGCTGCAAGTTTTAGAAAACCAAAGTGGGTGTGGTTGGCTCACACATTGCTTTTACCCTGCGGTGGGTCAGCCTGCCCACAGGAAGCCACGAGTCCCCTACTCCTGTGTGCAGCGTCCCTCGTCCTCACGGGGGCCACTCCAGGGCCAGCACACGACAGGGAGGCTGGGGGCCAACCCCAGACCAGGACCAACTTCACCAAGTGTTTAATTCTGTCCAACTCTAGGGTATGGTTTTAGGAAGTCACATTGACCCTCATCTGGGCTACAACTTCCAACTGAGCATTTATTTGTAAGAAGTCAGAGGTAGTAGAGTGTGGAGGTTTCGCGTGCTGTTTCCAGAGCCACAGGGTTAAAATTCAGGCTGGCCATGTACCCGCTGCGTGGCCTCAGCAAGTTCATGTAACCTCTTTGTGACTCAACTTCTCTATCCATCCAATGAGATAAAAATGGTAACTGCCTGTCAGGGTTGTTATGAGAACTAAATGTATTAACACATATAAAACACTTAGAGTAATGCCTGGCCATATATTAAATAAATACTCTGTATGCATTAGCTGGTGCAGTATTTTGGTTTCCATCTGTTACTCTTATTCTTGATTTTTAATCTGTTTAGACAAGCGCTGCCCAATAAAACATTCTGTGATGAGGAAGCGTTGTGTCTGTGCTGCCCAGCACGGCA
This sequence comes from Homo sapiens, assembly GCF_000001405.40. Taxonomy (NCBI): domain Eukaryota; kingdom Metazoa; phylum Chordata; class Mammalia; order Primates; family Hominidae; genus Homo; species Homo sapiens. Next base: position 51,239,524 of record NC_000020.11, on the reverse strand, counting down.
GCTGGTAGCCTCGGGCACCTGGTAGCCTCATGGGCTCAGTGGGTACTTGAAATGTGGCTACTGAGATAGAGGAACTGCATTTTAAAATTGGTTTCCTTTTAATTTGTTAAAATGTACTTTTAAATAGCCACATGTGGCACATGACTCCTACATCGGACAAAACAGGTCTCGAACTGAGTGGAGAAGAGGGGTACGATTGGTTGATGTTTCTCAGAGATCCCCACCAGAAGGAATTATTGTTGGAAATCCTGCATAGTTACAAGACTTGTGACAAGTGAACACAGGACTGGCATTTACAGACCTGCTGCGGCTGCTGCTTCCTGTCCTGATGTTTCTGACTGTCTCACCCAGGGGTCCCTTCCTCTGCGCTGTTTGGCTGGGTGCTCAATGATGTCTATGGAAGATGGGTTTTGGAGATAAAGATACCGAGGTTTATCCAGGGGCATGCCTGCCTCTGGGCCCCACAGCCCATTAGTGATTGCAGCACAGTGATTGGGAGACTAGAAACAGATCCGCAAGCCAGCAGATGACTGACACAGGCCACCTAAGGTGGCCAAGCTTTTACAAGCTCCTCCTTAGAGAATAGCAGTTAAGTGTGTGGGTTCTGGGGTCAGACTGCCTGGGTTCAATTCCCAGCTATGCCGCATTCCTGCTGTGTGACTGTGGACAGGTGACTTGCCCTCTCTGTGCTTTAGTTGCTGAATCCGTTGCAGATTCTTTACCACTCATAACTGTCTGGCTAGAGAGAATCATTACTCTCAGCAAGGCTTCCTAACTTGCCTGAGCTCACTTGCCCAGTAAGTCAGTCATGGAATGGCAGGCCAGGTCTCACTAACGCAGGCCTCCGTAACAACTGTTTCAGTGCTGAGTGCTGAAGTGAAATATTAAAAGCTGAGAGAGCCAATGCCCTCATACAAAGGCTGGAATGTAACAAAGCCCCACCCAGAGTTTTGCCTAGGCTCTTCCTGGGCCTTAAAGCATGGCAAAATAATGAAGGAATTCTTAACAGGACCCGTTTAGGATTAAACAAGTTTTAATGGGGGTCTGAAGAAACTTCCCAGGCCTTCACAAACAAGTTGACTGGGGCTCTGAAGGAACTCCCCAAACCTCCATGTTCTAGCAGGGGACAAGATAAGGGTAATCACCCCAGCACCTGGACGCATTGAAATTAAGTAAATTTACTGAGGCTCCAGAGGAAGGTCTTCGGGACTCGGGCCTTCATTGTAGATTAAAAGAAGTTAATCACTTATGTCTTTAGACGAACGCACACTTACACGTAGACATATAGCTTAGAAGGTATATAAGCTCTGGCAAACTTTATCATTTTGAATTGTTCTGGGGATCATTTCCAGGCCTTCTCCCTTTAACCGGTTACAGAAATAAAAACTCTCTTCCTCCCCAGTTCATCTGCATCTCGTTTTTGGGTGGTGAGAAATTGCAGCCCAGCCCTCAGTTTGGTCCGGGAACGATGGGGCTGGAGTTTGGAGTCAGGATCCCCAGAGTCCGGACTTCTTGCCAGTCTCCCAGACAGCTGCTGCTTCCTGCCCTGGCGTTCCCAGCAAGTCAAAGGGAAGGTGGCCCGGCTCGGTGCTGCCTGTAAAACTCCCTTCCCCAGTACACAGGACCTAGTTTTCTCTTCTAATAAAGCTCAGCTTCGGTTTAAAAAACAAATCCATTTCCAAAGCAACCTGAGGCTCTGACACCATGCTCACAGGGAGGGCGGCTCGGACCCTGCCTACTGGGAATCACTCCTGCACCAGAGAACATTGTTAGGAGTTTGGGGACGGCTGGGTTTTGTTGATTTTTTTCCCCTCTCAGAATCCGGACCACAAAAGTTTCCAGCTTTCAAGTGCCTATTTCCCCCCATCGAGATGCTTGGACATGCCCCACCTTTGGGCAGTTTTAAAGACTCCCAGGCCATCTTCCCCTCTGCTGCCCAACTCGCCCCTGCCCGTCTGCTGCAGCCACCTTCCTCATCGTGGCTGGAGGAACGTAGAAAAGGCAGCCACAGGCCCCACAGTGTCTGCACTGAAAACCCTGGCAGGGGGTGGAGAGAGGAAGCAGGATGAAGCAATGCTTGGCCCCAAGGGCTCTCATGGTGACTTCAGGCAGCAGCAGGACTCAAACTTGGGAGCTCAAAGAGTTCTGGAACATTCTTCCACTTCTCTAGCCTAACAGACTCCTCTTTAGAGGACTGGCATAATCCTTAGACTTTTTTTTCTTTTTCCTATTGAGATAATATAACGCTCTCCACAATTCACAGAATAGTAGAAAAGAACCTTCTTCCAAAAGACTCCCCCAACTTCTGAGCAGGCAGCTCCCTCCTCTTTATTATGCATGTTCCAGAAAGCCCTTAGTAGGTGGATCTCCGAGCTCCCCCAGCTCCTCCAGAAGATCCTAACATTGCAACAGGATGGGCTCAGGTCCTCCTCCACCTCCAGGAGAAGACAATGGGAAGGGAATGAAAGGGAAGCCCCCAGACTGCCCTCCTGGCTCAGGCCCCCAACTTCTCCCCCGGACTCTTGCAGGAGCCTTCCTCTTCCCCAGTCCTCCTGTCCTCACCTTCGTACAGCCAGAGTGACCCTGCAAATTGCAGGGTCAGGTCATGTCCCTCCTCTGCTCAGAGCCCTCCAGTGACTTTCCCAGCATACTTAAATAAAGTCCAGCTCCTTACCAGGGCCTGCAAGGCCTCACTCAGCCTGGCCTTGCTGCCTCCCCCAAGGGCCCCATATAGCCCAAGAGAGATGGGTCCTGCCAGAAAGCATTGGCAGGGATCACTAGAGCTCTGTGCATTCTCTGGGCTATCAAACACATGAACAATTCTGTATGCAAACAACCTCAAACAAGAGCAAAGCATCCTGGCTTCAGACAGCAGCACAAATGCCGCACCACCAACAGGCTAAATTAGACTTAGAAGTAATGTGTTGGTTTGGGTCTGCCTGTACTAGGCTGGGAATAGGATTTTAGAAGCATGGTTAAGAGCTGAATCATGATTCAAGCACAACATAAAAGTTCAGCAGCACTGTGAAGGGAAGAATAAGAAAACAAGCAAAATGAGGTGCGGTAGGCTCTCTGTGGTAAAAATAATAATAATAATAATAAAATTAGTTTGCAATCATTCCTTACCTGAGAATTATTCATATATTGAGGAGGCAAGAAAGTCGCCCGAAGTCAAACTTTCTATCAGCCTGACAGACTGGGGATGGGATCTGCTGCCCTCACGGCCCCTCCTTGCCAGGGGGCTTCCACCTGAAATCTGCACCCATAGGAGCCAATCCACAGCACCCAGGGTCTGGGAAAATGGGCCACGTGGGAGAGAGGGGCCAGCAGTTTAGTTTGGAGTCCCTCCAATCAGCTGGCTAAACCTCCACTGGCCCTCACAACTCCCAGCATGGAGGCCTCACTCCTCCTGTGGCCCACGAGGTCTTAGCAGTAGCCCCTGCCCACCCCTCTGACTGCATCTCATAGGCCACCTCCCTTTACCCTCCCCTCCTCAGACACCTGTTCCCAGTTCTGTGAATATGTCCAGCTCCTTCCAGCTCTTTTACCCTCACACGTGCTGATGCCTCAGCCTAAAGCATTCTCCCCTCTTTGCTTAGTGAACTCCTATCATTTCTCACCTGCCTCCCCGCTTTCACCTTGCCCTCCCTCCATCCCCAACAGTCTATTCTCCCACAGCAGAATCGTCATTTCAGAATGTAAGCTGACCACGGTGCTTCCCTCCTTTGTTCTAAGTCCTCCAGGTAGCTACTCTCACCTTATCTTACAGTGAGTGCCAGTGGAATATATAACTATTCCCCTACTTGCCCCCTTTCTCCTACAACACGTGGATTCAGTTATGTGACATTACCCTCCCTCCTTCCCCTCCAGCCTCCTTGTCCCCTTTGTATATTAAAGTCCTCAAAATCGTCTTTGGAGAAAGGCACAGACCACAGACTGTTTCTGTGATTTTGTGTTTCTTCCAAGTGTGTCCTTAACCTTGGCAAAACAAACTTCTAAGTTGATTGAGACCTGTCTCAGATACTATTTAATTAAGTTTACAACATACTAGATTTCAAAGACTTAGTACAAAAAGAAGTAAAGTATCTCAATCATAAAGTTTATATTGATTGCACATTGAAATATTTTTGATATGTTGGATTAAATAAAATGTATTATTAAGATTAATCTAATCTGTTTGTTGGTCGCATAAATGTCTTCTTTTGGAAGTGTCTGTTCATATCCTTTGCCCACTTTTTAATGGGTTTTTTTCTGGTAAGTTTGTTTAAGGTTCTTGTAGATTCTGGATATTAGACTTTTGTCAGATGGGTAGATTGCAAAAATTTTCTCCCATTCTGTAGACTGCCTGTTCACTCTGATAATAGTTTCTTTTACTGTGCAGAAGTTCTTCAGTTTAATTAGATCCCATTTGTCAATTTTGGCTTTTGTTGCAATTGCTTTTGGTGTTTTAGTCATAAAGTCTTGCCGATGCCTATGTCCTGAATGGACTTACAATAGGAAAGACTTGGAATCTACCCAAATGTCCATCAATGATAGCCCGGATAAAGAAAATGTGACACACATACACCATGGAATACTATGCAGCTCTACAAAAGAACGAGTTAATGTCTTTGCAGGGACATGGATGAAGCTGGAAGCCATTATTCTCAGCAAACTAACACAGGAACAGAAAACCAAACACCACACGTTCTCACTCATAAGCGAGAGCCAAACAATGAGAACACATGGACACAGAGGGGAACATTACATACTGGGGCCTGTCAGGGGGTGGGGGGTAAGAGAAGGGAAAGCATTAGGACAAATACCTAATGCATGTGGGGCTTAAAACCTAGGTGATGGATTGATAGGTGCAGCAAACCACCGTGGCACATGTATATCTATGTAACAAACCTGCATGTTCTGCACACGTATCCCAGAACTTAAAAAAAAAAAAAGATTAATCTCACTTTTAAACTTTTTCCATGTGCCTACTAGAAAATGTAAAATTATATCTATGGCAACATTTACTCTTGTATTATATTTTCATTGGGCAGCACCACTCTAGAGTTGCTGGTAAATAATACATAAATCATCAAATAAAATTAATTGAGGTCATTTTAGAAAGTGATAGTGGTTCTGAAGCAGATAGAATAGGATGTGGCTAAAGAGTGATAAGGCAGAATGTTTGGGGAGGGGGGGTCTTTCGATAGAATGGTCAGTATTGTGAGCCAAGTTGTACCCTTCCAAAATTCATGTGTTGAAGTCCTAACCCCCAGGACCCCAGAATGTGACTGTATTTGGAGACTGGGCCTTTAAAGAGGTAATTGGATTAAAATAGCGTCACTAGGATGGACCACTAATCGAATAAGACTGTTGTTCTTATAAGGAGAGGAGATCAGGACACAGACATGCACAGAGGCGAGACCACACGAAGACACAGAGAGAAGACGGCACCTCTCTCTGTTGAATGAGACCTCAGAAGAAACCAACCCTGCCAGCACCTTGAACTTGGACTTCCAGCCTCCAGAATGTGGGCAATACATTTCTGTTACTTAAGCCACTCTGTGGCCCCCTACCAAACTATATAGTCAGAAAGGGCCTTTCTCAGGAGGTGACATTGCAATTGAATGACAAGAATGGCCCAGCCTCCTGGAGGTCTCTGGGAAGATTCTTCTAGGTTACAGAAAACAGCAAGAGCAGAGGCCTGAGGGTGTAGGCAGAGAAAGAGCTCAGTGCAGCTGGTTCATGGTGGAGGGGGGTGGGGTGGGAGACAAGGGCATGGGGTATACAGGGTCAGAGCATACTTGCAAGACAACAAACTTTCCTCGCCACTCCTCTTACCACACACTGTACATTTAAAGCTTCACCTTGGGAAGATTCTCCAGGGTGCCTTTAGGAAGGTCTGTATCCTGGAACCCACTTATAGCACCTTTCACTTTGAATCTGTCAACCTGCTGCAAGCCAGATGCATCCAGACAGTCATGTTCCCTAAGAACAGCTGGTGAGTCACTGCGGCAGAAGGCCCCAGGGCCTCCGGGAACTGAGGTCCTCGAATGAGGACGCTCACAGGTATTTTTAACATCACCTGTCCTGGGGACCAGAAAAAGATTTCGAGAGGTGAACAAAGAGAGTGTGAGAGCTGGAAGAATAATGCAGGTCAGAGCCATGAAGACCACCAGTAGGCAAGGGTTGAGGGTATGGGAAGATTTGCCAGTTGGCTGTGCAGCACCCTAGACTCCCACCAGGGTGGGCTGAAGTAAGAATCAGCAGTGGGGACCAGCAAAGCCTGTGCCCCAAAAGAGGACTGCTCCCTGCCATAGGAAAGAGCATCTAACCCACAGCCACTTCCTCCCCTCCATTCATTTTAAAAATTACCTGCTATATTAATTCATTCTCCTTTAAAATAATAATCAGTTGTACCCTCCTCCCTAGATAAGCACTGTTATTGTTTGTATGTATTTGCTTATTTGGGGGGGGTGGGGGAAAGAATAGGTACAATAACCAAAGACTAAGGAAGCTGGTTACTTGCAGAGGGTGGGTGAGAACATGGCAGAGGAGAGAGCGGAGGGGTGGCACCTTACTGGGTCTATTGTTTTACATAGCTTAGTCTTCTGGAATCTTGTCAATGTTTTATGCATTCAACAAATAAAATTAAGTCAACAACAATATAGAGAAAAGCCTAAAATTGAATAAAAACAAAAATGAAGAAACCTATCTGTATTTCAAATGAATTACATAACCACACAGACGTTCTAGAGGTTACTAACTCGAACAACTTCTAAGCCTAGTACTTGGACTATCAACCCTCAGTTTGATGACAGAAAAAGAACTGCAACTTTGGGAGGCCGAGGCAGGCAGATCACGAGGTCAGGAGATCAAGACCATCCTGGCTAACACGGTGAAACCCCGTCTCTACTAAAAATACAAAAAATTAGCCGGGCGTGCTGGTGGGCGCCTGTAGTCCCAGCTACTCGGGAGGCTGAGGCAGGAGAATGGTGTGAACCTGGGAGGCGGAGCTTGCAGTGAGCCGAGATCGCACCACTGCACTCCAGCCTGGGCAACAGAGTGGGACTCCATCTCAAAAAAAAAAAAAATGCAAAGGAATCCTGAACTCTGTTTCGTAGATTTATTGTTGCAGTGGTTGGGATATAGCAATTCTAAAATTATTTTGTATGTGGTATAGGAATAAACAAATGAATACATGTTTTGATTGTGTTGAGAGCCTGGGTTCCAACACCCAGGATTTCTTTTGCCTTCTATGGCAGAAGGAGGGAAATACCAATGGAGAATGTGGAAAGGGGAGAAACAGCCCTGTGGTATTAGGCTGGAATTCCATACATCAGTGTAAACTCATATTATGGTCTACGTAGACACACACAAACACACGAACATGCACATATGTTCTGTTCACTGAGAGGCTAAGAAGCATGAACATTCTAGCAGTAATGAGCACACCTAGCACTCCAGCTTGGTTTCTAAATACCAGTCCCCACTAAAAGGAACCAGGGCTCCTTCAGAAATGACCATTTCCCAGGGCTGGGCAGGGAAATAACAACATGAGCCTAAAACAGCTTGCTGTGCAAAGTGAGGAACTGCTCAAAACATGATGGGATCCTATTAAAAGGACCCAGATGAAAGACAGAGGGAGTTCATTTCAGCGCTGGTGCCCAGACAAGACCATCAAGCAGTCTTGCTACCAAGAGTCTCCTTGGACCTGTGAGACCCGATTTTTTTTTCCAAATGTCACTTTCCAGTCTTTCCTTCCATCCTCTGAGCACCTTCATCTGTTCCCATTCCTTACACTTAGAGTGATTTCTGTTGCACACAGCCAAAGAACCCTGGGTGACACATGGAGTCTCCTTTCCTCCATTCAGAAACTCTTCCAGTCTTATAAGGAGAAGTGCAGAATGCCCAGTAAGGACTTTCCTGGCATTCCCTAGCCAGCATCTCTCCTCTGCCTCCCATACTGGGAGAATCAGGTAGATCACATCCCCAAAGCGTGTTGAGGAACAGGCTTATGAGGAACCACTTCCCCGGCATCCAGAAGTCATTGCCAGCAGCTCCACCCTCCAGAATTGCTCAGGTACGCTCAGGGGAGAGACTGTGTCATTGTGTTTCAATGGAGTGCTGGTTTCTATAAGCAGGAATGGGGTTTAATTTGCCCAGGGGACTCCAAACAACACAAGTGCCTCTCTGGAACTGGTTCCATTACAATCAGGAGATGGGCAAAGTTTTAGACTCCCGCTCCCCCAAATTGCTTGTAAAACAACAAGGAAAGATGGGAGCCATTTCATCATGCTGTATAATGAGCACAAGCATCATACAGGGCTTAGGGAGCGAAGTATGTGTCTTTCCCACTTATTATGAGGGTGACATGGGACAAGCCACTCGTCCTCTCTGTGCTTCTGTTCCTCATCCAAACCTGTCCAATCCACTGTAAAAAGCAAAAGCAGGAATAAAGCTCAGGCACACATTCCAGAAGCAACACACGCCGTGCAAACACCAGGGAGGAGACGCACGCACGTGTTTATCTCCCTGCTTGCTCTCTCCGAACTCCCCCAGCACCTAGAAAACATGCACGTCCTGGGAAGGCTGTTGACAAGCCCAGGCTGATTTCATAGGAGACGGAGAGGCATGGCTCATAACACACAGCTTTTCAGAGAATGTGCCTCGGCCGAGGTCTGCAGGCTGTTGCTTTTCTGCTAGCATGTGCTGAACATTGACTCAGAGTGCCAGGCACCAGGCTATGTGCCCTGCACACATGAGCTGATCAAATCATCACGACTCCATGAACTAGTTTCTTAATTCCATTTTAATGCCACTGAGACGGATTTAAACCGGTAGAGCGATTTGCCTGAGGTCAGACAACCAGAAATCATCAGAATTGGGATTTGAACCCAAGTCTGACTGTCCTGAGGCCTTTCCCTTTGCCTTTGGTTGACTGAATGGTGGCCCCCGAAGGATATGTCTATGCCCTAATCCCTGAAACCTATATGCTCCCTATGGCAGAAGAGTAAATACTCCTTATAGAACAAACGATGCAATTAAATTGAAGGTCTGGAGAGGAGGCGCTGGTCCTAGATTGTCCAGGTGGGTCATAAAAGAAATCCCAGGTGTCCTTAGAAGAGTGAGGCAGAGGGAGGCAGACACGTGGAGGATGGACGGGAAGAGGAGGAGGCTGTCTGCCCACAGAGGCAGAGATTGGAGGCTGTGGCCACAGTGGAGGAACCCGGGAGCCACCAGAAGCTGGAATGGACCCTCCACTAGAGCCTTGAGAGAGACAGAGCAGCCCTGGTGACACCTCCGTTTCAGGCTTCTGGCTTCTAGAACTGTGGGAGAAGAATTTTCTGTGGTTCTAAGCCACACAGATTGTAGTCTTTTGTTATAGCAGCCTCAGGACACTCGTCCACCCCTTATGCTATCCAACTCCACAGTGGGGTGTGGCAGTTCAGGGGACAGGCACACAGTGGGTGCCAGTCCTCTGGGCAGATCATGGGCCATGCCACGACGCAGACGGATCCTGGTTCTTTCACCTTTGGGTCTGCAGAGGGACTGAGCACCAAGGCTTGGAGGTCTGGGAGGAGAAGCACGTGCCCACGATAGGATATTTTTTTTTTCTTTTTTAGACGGAATCTCACTCTGTCACCCAGGCTGAAGTGCAATGGTGTTGTCTCGGCTCACTGCAACCTCCACCTCCCGAGTTCAAGCGATTCTCCCACCTCAGCCTCCCAAGTAGCTGGGACTACAGGCACGTGCCACCACACCCGGCTGATTTCTGTATTTTTAGTAGAGACAGGGTTTCACTATGTTGGCAGGTTTGTCTTGAACTCCTGACCTCGTGATCCACCCGCCTCGTCCTCCCAAATTGCTGGGATTACAGGTGTGAGCCACCACACCTGGCCCACATGATAGGATATTAATATTCTCTTCAGCCCTTTGCCCTCTGTTCGTCAGCAAAGATGACTGAGCACAGCCGTGGTGCACTGTGCCCTGGGAGCCACAGAAGTGGTGCGCAAACCCAGAAACCTGAAGGGACACGGAGGAGGGGGAATGAGAGAGCTGGGCAGGGAGGAGCAGTGACAGTGACGAGCGGGAGGGCACTGTCCACCTAAAAGGGCAAAAAAGGTACAATGCAGAATTGAAAAGATATGGAACCAACCTAAGTGCCCATCAGCCAATGAGTGGATAAGAAAATGTGGTATATATACACCACGGAATACTACTCAGCCATAAAAAAGAACAAAAGAATGTTTTTTGCAGAAATGTGGATGAGCTAGAGGCCATTATTCTAAGTGAAGTAACTCAGGAATAAAAAAAACCAAATTCCATATGCTCTCAATTATAGGTGGGAGCTAAGCGATGAATACACAGAGGCATACAAAGTGGCATAATGAACTTTAGAGACTCAGAGGGGGAGAGTAGGAGCAGGTGAAGGATAAAAAAAACTACATATTGGGTACAATGTACACTAAACAAGTGATGGGTGTACTCAAATCTCAGACATCACCATTATGCAATTCACCACTATACACACACACACACACACAATTTATATATAAATATATTTTACATAATATATAATTAATATATGTTATATATAATTATAGAAAAATATATAATGTATATTAATTACATATAATAAATATAATTTATATAATTATATAATTAATATTTATTATATGTAAGATAAATTTTTAAATAATATATATTATATATTGATAACATATTATGTTAGTAATATATAACACACATTTATATATTATATGATAGATATTATATATTATATAGTATCAATTTATATATTATATATTATGTAATTAATATGTAATAAATTAATATTACATTATATTAATACACTATCACATATCGATATATTATATATTATATATAATTAATATAGTATTACCTATTAATTATATGTAAATATGTTACTGTATATTATATATAACACATATATGTGTATATAAATATATATTATTACATGTTATATATTATATAAATACAATATAGATATAATTATATATTATATAAATTCATATTGTATATGAATACGAATATATTATATATTAATGTCATGTATATATAATTTATATTATATAGAACATTTATATTATATAATAGATAGTAATATCTTCTATATTATATATTAATTATAATTTATATATTAATTATAACATATATAATATATAAAAATTGTATCTATCATATAATTTATCTATTTTCATATAATTTTATATTTTAATATAAATGTATACATATACATTACATATAATAAAATTTTAAAAATAAAAGAGCATGGAGGCTCACTGTGACCCATCAAGTTCTGGTGGGAACCAGGCCTGGTGCGACCAGAGCTCTTTATGTTTGCAAAAGCCAGGACAAGCATCTTCTTGTGAATCTGCCTATTTCAAAACACTGACAACTGACTCAGAACTTTCAAATCATCTTATGAGCCTAATGAAACATTTGCGTGGGCCATGCAACCATCAGATCCCTCCTCTAGATGAGGCCAGCTCACCAAGGGTTCCTACCTGTTCCTCCCAGGGGAGAATGTTGTGCTGAGCCCCCATCCACTCTAATGGGGATGGCACCAGGTTCAAGAGCCCAAAGAGACCCAGAGCCAGCAAAGGAGCCATGGAGTTTCACTGGGGGCTTATGTACAGGGGAGAGAGTCTAGTCGTGGTGGGCTGGACAGCAGAACCCCCAGTCCAGTGGCAGCAGCCTGGGCAGAAAAACCGCAACTGCTTGCCAAAGGCATGTGGTTGATACAGCATTTTCACTTAGCATCCTCCTCCTAACAACCTCCACTTGGCAATCGTCATTCAACCCAAAACACAGGGCCTCTATCCATGTTCCAACGGATGGGACGGAGGAGCTCAGGTGTTCCTCATAGACCAGGAATGGATCTCCAGGTTGGCCACATCTGGATTCCTTAGCTGGTAACTCAGAACACACATCCAGGTGCACTATTCTCAGAGCATGCCTAAGGGATCGCTGTCAGGTGCATCTGCCATAGAGAGGGATACTGTCCGAGGACTGCTTCAAACTCTTTATTTAAACTGCATTTCATTCCCTGATTTTTCACTCACCTTGCCTTTCCAACTCCTGAAGTCATGGGAGGTAGGGGGAGGAGTGGAAAAGGAATTTGAATAGAACCTTTCTTTCCCACGTCACAGCCAATGTCACACGAATGCAAGTCGATGGAGATCATCTCAGCCCCCTACCAGGGATCCACCTGCACTACAGGTGATGCACCAGAGATGAACAGAAACAAGGTCTACTGACCAAGCCCGTGGTGATTAAGAGGCTTCCTGTAGGTTTGTAATGTGGGCACGTGGCCTGCCTACTGCTCCTGCCCACTCACACCTGGAAGAAAATGGATTCTGAGAACTTTCTCTGTGGCCCCAGAACCACTGGGAGAGCTGGCTGCCATGGCCAACGGTGTGGGGTGAGACAGCAGACACAGGACTACAGGGATGGACGTGTGTGCATGTGTGCGTGTGCATGAGTGTACATGGCTGCATGCAACACACAGACACAGAGCCAAAGACTTGGAGACAGTGGCAAAGAGGCTTATGCAATCTTCCACAGGGCCAGCACTTTCCTTCTTCTCTTGCTTTACAAAAGAATAACAGGATTTGGCCCAAAGACATGTTCTGTTTGGACCACATGCTGTTTCTTCCAATAATAACTTCCCAGTAACAGAATCCATAATATCAACTAGAATTCATTGAGTTCTTACAGTGGATCAGGCACTGTTCTAAGCTACTGACATGCTTTTCCATCTAATTCTTAAAGCCACCATATCCCTTATAGGCTGTTAATATCTATTAGAACACCAATACTATTTTAAAAGAAGATTTCTCATACTAAGTTCCCTTTTCTCCGGCCCATGCCTAGGCTAGTGCTTGCAATACACAGGTGTTCAGTAAGTATTTTGAGGCAGGAGAAAAGGGTCTGGAGGCAGGGAACCTAAGGCTATTTCACGCTGACTTCCTAGAACTAAATAGAAAGGAAAACCCTAACTTTCCACGCCTAATAACAAAAGGACCAGAGGCAACTCCCTTTGCAAATCCCCACCTTTTTTTTTTTTTTTTTTAAGACAGAGTCTTGCTCTGTCACCCAGGCTGGAGTCCAGTGGCTCAATCTCGGCTTACTGCAAGCTCCACCTACCCAGTACAAGCGATTCTTCCGAGTAGCTGAGCCTACAGGCACGCGCCACCACGCCCAGCTAATTTTGTAATTTTTAGTAGAGATGAGGTTTCACCATATTGGCCAGGCTGGTCTCAAACTCCTGACCTCGTGATCCACCCACCTCAGTCTCCCAAAGTGCTGGGATTGCAACCAATCAGATGTTTGCACAGGAGTGTAACTTTGTAACTTCACTTAAGCCTTTAATTGGTTGTTGTCTACAACCAATCAGACTGATGGTGGGGCACCGGGAGCCAAGTCTTAGTTTGCATAGAAGTGCAGCTTTGTAACTTCACCTTAGCCTCTGACTGGTTGCTTTCCGCAACCAATCAGATGTTTGCATAGGAGTGTGGCCTTTGTAACTTCACTTCAGCCTCTGATTGGTTGCTTTCTGCAATCAGACAGATTGTGAGCCACCACTTCATTTACATGGGGTAAGCACCAAGTGGCCAATGGGAAACCTCTAGGGGGTACTTGGACCTGAGAAAATTTGGTATCTTGGCCCTTGAGCAGCTGCATGGCCCACTGCCACCCTGCGGAGTGTACTTCTGTTTTCAATAAATCTCTGCTTTTGTTGCTTCTTTCTTTCCTTGCTTTGTTTGTGCGTTTTGTCCAATTCCATGTTCAAAACACCAAGAACCTGGACACCCTCCACTGGTAACAATTTGATGAATGAATGGGTCATGTGGCCTGATGAGAGGGACAGATCAGTCACACAAATAAATAATCATACCCAGCCTCAGTAGGGCCATGGTACAACCACAGGACAGAATATATGCTGGGGTGGAGGTGGTGTCAGGAAGGCTGTCTTGACTAGGAGAGCTTAATTCTGAAAGGCAGATGGGGTGGGGTATCAGTGCTGGAAACAATAGCCAGGGACAGTGTGGGGGAAGGCACAGTGGGGAGAACATGGGAAAGAACTGGAAACTGCCAGGCCAGGCGTGGTGGCTCATGCCTGTAATCTCATCATTTTGGGAGGCCAAGGTGGGCAGATCACCTGAGGTCAGGAGTTCGAGACCAGCCTGGCCAACTTGGTGAAACCCCATCTCTACTAAAAATACAAAATTAGCTGGGCATGGTGGTACGCGCCTGTAATCCCAGCTACTCAGGAGGCTGTGACAGGAGAATGGCTTGAACCCAGGGGCAGAGGTTACAGTGAGCTGAGGTCATGCCACTGCACTGCAGCCTGGGTGACAAGGAAACTCCGTCTCAAAAAAAAAAAAAAAAAAAAAAAAAGAAAAGAAAAGAAAAAAAAGAACTGGAAACTGCCAGAAATCCATCCATTTTGGCTGACACATAAAAGTGACAAGGGAATGGGACAAAATGAGACCAGGGAGATTTAGGCCTAAAATACTGGATTCATCTCTTAAGGCCATCACAGCAAACTTGCAGGGATTTAAAATATCAGAAATTTAATTTACTCTCTCACAGCTCTGAAGGCTAGACATCTGCAATCAAGGTGAGGTGCCAGCAGGGCCACACTCCCTCCAAAGACTCCAGGGAGAATCCTGCCTTGCCCCTTCCAGCTCCTGGTGGCTTTCAGCAGTCCTTGGCTTGTGGCAGCCTCTCTCCAGGCTCTGCCTCCATCTTCACACAGCTTCTGCCCTGTGTTTCTCTCTCTGTGTCCTCTTGTCTTCTTATTAAGGATGCCAGTCATTAGATTTAGGGCCCACTCTAACTCCAGGAAGTATTAGTGTGTTTTCACACTGCTGATAAAGACATACCCAAGACTGGGTAATTTATAAAGAATAAGAGGTTTAATGGACTTGCAGTTCCACGTGGCTGGGGAGGCCTCACAATTGTGGTGAAAGGCATGTCTTACATGGTGGCAGGCAAGATAGAGCTTGTGCAGGGGAACTCCCCTTTATAAAACCATCAGATCTCGTGAGACTTACCCTCACGAGAACAGCATGGGAAAGACCCACCCCCATGATTTAATTACCTCCTACCAGTCCCTCCTACAACATGTGGGAATTATGGGAGCTATAATTTGAGACTTAGGCGGGTACATGGCCAAACCATATCAGACATTATCTCAGTCCTTACCATAATTACCTCTGCAAAGACCCTATTTCTATAAAGGTCACATTCACAGAGGCCTGGGGTTAGGACTTGGACCCATCTTTCAGAGGGACAGTATTCGACCCACTACCAATATTTTCCCACAGCGTTTCCAAAACTAACCTGTTTTGGAGGCTGAGGACCCTGGGAAGTCCTCTGTTGGCAACATGCTTGAGCAAACAAATGATAACAACAAAGGGCTTGTCCAGGCTCTAGAAACATCACCTGATTATTAAACAGGCTCCATCCTGTGGCTGGGTGCCATGTAGAAGACCACTAGGCCAACAGGAATGTCACTCAGACAAGGCCTCCAAACCCATATGTTGCCCCTCACCACTTTTCTTAGTTGTGCTTCCATTGATGAACACTACAGCTAAAATCAGGATCCCAAAATAAAAACCCCAAAAGGATCTAGAATATTTAGGAAAATCATCTTTGAGTTAGAAAACATCCTCCGTGTTTGGTCTCGATCTGTCTTTTGTTAGGTCCGTCCTCCTTGCCACTTAACACTTTCCTTTGCACCTCTTCCTGACACCAACAGACACCATGCAAGCCCCCAGTGAGGGGGCCTTCCTCAGTCAGCCTGGGGGAAGCATGAATTAGCTGAGAAGAGGACTAGCCTCTTCTGAATGGCATGCTAAATCACTCCTCATCTTTTTCCAGTCTATGCTACATTTAGACTGACTTTTCTTTCTGTCTTCTAAAGGGCCATGCATTATGGATGAGAACTATTTCTTATTCAGCAGCCGAGAATCACTCTTCTATCAAAAACATCTCTTTCACTGCATTCTCAGATATCAAAGCCCCTCTCTGAACTCAGCGTTTCCTGGCCTGGTTCCCTGAAGGGGTCTGTTGGACAATGCTCTTGAGTGACAAATGTTTGAAATGTAAAATGCACAGGCGAACACACTCCCGCTGTGAATCCACACCGCATTCTTGCTGAAGATGGTGAACTCCACGCATCATGGGACCCCTGGAGTTATGGTCATTCTCACCTGAGAGAAGGGGGTCATTTCAAACCTTAGAACAAGTCATTTCTGTCCCGGGTGGATTGGAATGTATTGAAATTTCTGCTCCTGACTCTGCTTGGCATGTTCGTTCATACACTTGCCCCCTCCTCTTTCTTTCTTCTCCTAACCCTGCTTTAAAATAAGGGGGAATGAAACAAAAGAGAACCACCGCTGGAAAGAAATGGTCCCAAGATAGCAACAGTAATTACCTAGGGTAATTTTCTTCTTCTATTTCTAAATTTCTATGATTAACATATATTAGCTAGTTTTACTAGTGAGCTACTTTTTTTAAAACCTCCTTTAAAACTCTACTCATGGAGACATGGAGACGGGGAAGCATGCACAAATTGTTAATTACTGCATTGTGAGTTTTTCCTCGTTACGATGAAAAAATCACAATACTAATACTGATCATTAATACTTACTGAGCACTATGTCCCAGACACTGCTTTATATCCCTTGAATGTATTATCTCTGTGAATTCCCTATAAGATAGGTGCTACGACAATCCCCACTTTACAGATGAGAGAACTGGGGCACAGAGAGATTGAAGGACTTTTTCAAGATCACCCAGCTGCACCTGCTGGAGCTGGGATTTGAAACCAAAGGCTCTTAGTCGACATCCCTGGCAATAGCCAGCACCAACCTGTCTGCCAGATTTTGACAGCAGACACTCCCTTCCCCAGAAAAGCCTCCCTGGCTGATGCTGTGAGGACAGAGATGAGCCTTCCCCCACGGAACCTGGCCCAAATAGCCTATTTGTAAGCCAAGTAAATGATGGTTGCTATTTAAGCCCCTAAATTTTGGAGTGGTTTGTTAATGGGCCATGGATCATGGGAGCAATGGCTAGACTCAGGCAGCCCAGGAAATCTTCCCGGGCCTCCTGAGGGCAGGGGAGGTTCTCTGCCCTGGGCAAGGGTGCTCTCTCAGCACAGGGGCCAAGCAGTCTCTTGCTGCAAGCGACCAGGGCAGCAAAGATTGCTGATCTCATTCACAGCAGGACAGTGTGGGGAGGCAGGATTCATGACAGGCGTGTCCACAATCCAGCTGGGAGGGTGGAGAAACAGGTTGTCCCGCGCGGGTTGGAAGTCACATCCTCGCTGCAAGGCACTTCCTAGCTGAAGCAATCATTGCCGGGATTGCCTCAGCTATTGTTTCTTTTCCCTTTCTCCATCTGGTTAACTCTCTTTAAGTAGGCATTAGTAGTGTCCTCCCCTCCTCCCCCTGGCTCTCTCTCTCTCTCTCCCGTCCTCTCCAAATTGGAACCAGCAGCAAATCCTATCAGCACTCCCTTCAAAATGTATTCACCACCTTCCTCCCTGGTCCCAACCACCGTCCTGTCTCACCCGGATTGTTGCGGTCACCTCCTCACGGGTCTCTCTGCTCCTGCCTTGCAGTTTATCCTCCACAAGCAGCCAGGGACATCCTATCGGAACGCAGGTCAGATTATATCAGAGCCCCACAGTGGCTCTCTCTCACTCAATGTCCTTCTGGTGCCCCAAGACCCTGTGAGACCCAGCCGCCTTTTCCCCTCCCACCCCTTGCTCCCTCTGCTCCCGCCACCCAGGCGTCCTCGCTGTTTCTTGCACGTTCAGGTGCCCTCCACTGCAGGACCCTTGCACTTGCTACCTCCCTTTTCTGAAATGAGCTTCCCCTAAATATCTCACAGCTCTTCTCCTTTCTTCACATTGTTACTTCAGCCAACTTCTCAGTAAGTTTGTCCTTCCCACCCACTCCAAAACTTCACCTCACCTCAACACTTCATGTTCTACTTATGTTTTCTCCCTAGCATCATTTGACACTCTATAGATTTTGCTTATCTTCTTTAAATAAAGAGTAAATACTTCTTTTTGCTTATCTTCTTTAAATAAAGAGTAAATACTGTCTCCCCCACTAATAAATCATGCCCATGAGGGCAGTGATTTTTATCTGTTTTGTTCACTGCTGCATCCCTAGCACCTGGGACAGAGCCCGGCACTTAATAAGTGCTCAATAAATATTTGTTGCACACATGATTGGAGTCCTTCAAGACTTAGCCTAGGCCTCCATTGCTCTAGAAAGCCCTTCTTATGAATACGCACCCCTGCTTCCATCCTGGGGTGCGCATTCATCAGAATTAAAGTCATCGTCACCCTCATCATTGTCCCTGGCACTTACTGTGACCTCAGGCCATGCCTTGTGTTAAGCTCCTTATGTTCAAATTGCCAGATTAAATACAGGGTACCCAGTTAAATTTGAATTTCATACGATAATTCATAATTTTTTTTAGAGTAAGTATGTCCCATGCAATATTTGGTACACACACTTTAAAAAATCGTTGTTTATCAGACACCTTAAACCCAGGTGTCCTGTATTTTGATTTGCCGAATCTGGCAACCTTACTTATTGTAGACATTATCTTGTTTGGGCATCATGAGGTATGGATTATGATTGCCATTTTATAGTCTAGGGCAGGCGGTGTCGTGGGGCAGCGGGGCTGGTGGTGGGAGAGAGAAACTGGGAGAGCTTTGTAACGCAGCCAGAGAGTGTTCCGTAAAACCTGGGAACACAAAAACAAAAAGTCGGAACTGTCTGCAATTTCAAATGAAGCAATAAAAAAGAAGTAACAAGAGCGTCTTAAATCCAAGGAAGGAGAAATGAGCCTCCGCTCCTGAAAAATAGATGAAATAGAGACTTCGGGAAAAACGGATCTTCTCTTGTTGAAGATGAAATGCACCTTCCACAAGAACTACCTAGGCTTTGGGTGGGGGTTGGGGGAGGTGGGTCCATGCCACCAAGAGGACCCCAAGGAGAACAGCGTAATGGGCTTTCAGAGCCCCAGGCAGGCCCCCAGTGCGGCAGCGTGCTTCACCTTCCGGAGAGGCTGCCGTGCACGGGCTCAGGCGCGCCACCTGCAGGACGGATGGAGCATGGCGCTCCTGGGTTGTCAGTCACACCCTCGCTAAACCTTGCACCCTCCTGCTAACCAGCAATGACAATCCATACTCTTTAATTAAATGCAAAAAGTCCCCCCACAGCCCGAGCACCCTTCCTGCGCCGGAAGTTCCCTAAGATGTAAGTTTCCTCTTTTTCAGCAGTTTTCACACCACCTGGAATATGCGTTGTATTTCCCTATTTGATTAACGTCTCTCGGTCCCCTCACCTCCCATAGGACACTCCACAGTGGCAGGGATTTTTGTAAGTCCTGTTCATTGTCACATCCCCAGTATCTAAAACAGTTTCTAGCATGTGAAAAACACCCCATGAATATATGTTGAACGAATGAATGAGTACAGCTTCCTGCCATGTCCTTAAAGGAAAGAGGCAAGCCCTCTTTTTTTTTTCTCCCCTTTCCCCATCCCACTGGCTGGAGTTTCTGACTTGGCAATGGTGTCTGGGTCCATACAGATAAGGGCAACCCCTAGGAATGGTGGAGCAATGGACTAGCAAGTGCCTGCTTCCTTGGCACTAGGGACTCCAGACCAGCCCTGGACTACTTACTCCTGTGATTTGAGAGAAAATGAGTGTACCTAGCTCAAGCCATTGCTGTTTGGAGCATCTGACCTTAAAAAAGTTATTGCAACATCCCGCAAGAGGTGCCATGTTGTATACACCCAGAAGAGTGAGTGCTGGATTCTGCATGGGGTGGGCATCAGAGAAAGACCCCAGACAATGTGATGACTGGATCTTGATAAATGGGCAAAGGAGGTGATGGCATCCCCAGCAGAGGACACAAACCATGCAAAGGTCTCAAAGCATGTGAGGCCACCTTCTGTGCAGGGACTAGCAAGCCAAACTATGGATTGCTGGGGCAGGGTAGATAGGTGAGATACACAGCTGGCTGCAGGCAGGGTCTCATTTGAAGCCTTGAGCAGGCTCAGCTTCAGGCAGTGTGATTTCTGGCTCCAGATGTGCTGGCCTGGGTGAAAGTTCTGTGGGCTCCCTCTTGCATGGAAACTGATAAGCCCTGAGATTCGGGTTTGAGGAGAAGGTGGCCCTTTGGGTATCTGGTCCCTTGCATCTCACCTGGCAACTGAGTTACCAGAGAGGAACTGGAAACCAAAGCCACCTGATCCCTCCACTAGCAGGGCTTTGTTCCCTGCCTCTCTCAAAGAGGTCACATACCTGGAGAGGACCTGGGGACTCAGAAGTAACCTGGCCATCCCACCACCAGCAGTCATTTCTGTCTCCCTCTCATTTCCAAATCCACCTTTGTCAGTCTCCAACCTCACACTGCCTTCTGGCTGTGTAAGGGGCATGCAGATTCTCAGCTAACCACATGACCTGACTTTTTGTTCAGGAAATACAATTATTCTACCTATAATCTCCAGAAAGAAATTTTAATGTTCTTATAATGGTTTGAGTCCAAAGAGCTCAGGAAGAACTTATACTTAGCCCGCTAAAAACAAGTGACCAAAATGGCCTGGGAGATGTCACATGATAGCCCTACCCAAGAGCATCTTTTGTTCTTTAAAATGTGCTTTTCAGTGTACATTCTGGGGGAGAATTGGCCTGGTTCCTGAAATCCTGCTCTAATTATATATAATTTTTATAAATATAGTAATTACAACTCACTATGCCTTGCAGTTTAAATTGAATTGGATTTTTATGGAAGCAGGAGAATTAGGAGGAAAGCATTCTAGCATCTTTGAATTTATTGACCTCACTCCTCATAAGGAAACTGGCTGTTAGCATCTCAAAGACATATCCAGAAACCACTGCCCCTTTGGTGGCCACTTGGGAGTAGAAAAGAAAAGTTCTGCCAACCTCAGAAATCCAAACTTAGAGAACAGACATTATAGTGTGGTGGCTGGCCTATAGTTCATTTCCTACCTGTCAATGGATTTTGTTTGTTCAACATTTTAAAGTTAGAAAATTTCACATAAAAATCTGAATTTTTAGCCTCTATTGACATCTCAAAGTCCATGTTATGCTGAGCCTGTGTTCCCATCTAATATGAGTAGTTCTTTATACCAGTGTGAGAATAGACTAATAACAGTGTGAGAAGGGATTAATACAGAAGATTGGTACCAGGAGTGGCGTAGTCATCAGATTTCATCTTGATAGTCCAGGTCAATTACCCCAGCCAACACTGTAAGTCCCCTCTTAGCCTGTTGACTTAGAGGCAGGAAGAGCCCAAAGTGGCTAGGCAGCAATCTTAACTTCCAGTTTAATGGAATCATTGTTGTGTCTCCTGGTGGCAGCATTCCTCCCTCTGGAACTAAGACCTCTAGGCCAGCAGAACATAATGTCGTGGTAACAAGCAGCAAAAATTTTGCTAGTGGGTTCCTTGGGGTGATGGTGAGTGGGGCCACTTCCATTTCTACCCCTTGATTCCTGGACCCATGAATCCTGGCTATGGGAGAAAAGTACCATATAAGATGCTGAATGTTAACAGCCAAGACAATAGGGGAAATGCCTCCAGGGCATGTCAGAGACCTTTGAGGCAGCCCCTCCCATCACAGGCTTGGAGGCCTGGGGGAAGACATGGTTTCCTGGGGCAGGACCAGGGCCCTGCTACTGTGGGTAGCCTCAGGACATGGTATCCTGCATCATGGCCACTTCAGCTCCAGCCATGGCTAAAAGGAGCCAAGGTACAGCTCAGGCTGCTGCTCCAGAGGCTACAAGCCCTAAGCCTTTGCAACTTCCATGTGGTGTTAAGCCTGTGAGTGTGCAGAGGGCAAGAGTTGAGGCTTGGGAGCCTCCACCTAGATTTCAGAGGATGTATGGAAATGCCTAGATGTCCAGGCAGAAGTCTGCTGCAGGGGTGTAGCCCTCATGAGAACTTCTACTAGGGCAATGAGGAAGGGAAATGTGGGGTTGGAGTCCTCACACAGAGTCCCCACTGAGGAACTGCCTAGTGGAGCTGTGAGAAGATGCAAGACATGTAGTCAAAGTCCTTTCCACCTTGCCTCGTCTCAGATGAGACGCTGGACTTGGACTTTTGAGTTAATGCCGAAATGAGTTAAGTCTTTGGGGAACTTTTGGGAAGGCATACTTGTGCTTTGAAATGTGAGAAGGACATGAGATATGGGAGGAGCCAGGGGTGGAATGATATGGTTTGACTCTCTGTCCCCACCCACATCTCATGTTGAATTGTAATCCCGCGTATTGGAGGTAGGGTCTGGTAGAGGACTGGATCATGGAGGTGGTTTCTAATAGTTTAGCCCTATCTCCTAGTACTGTCTCAGGATACAGTTTTCACAAGACCTGGCTATTTAAAAGTGTATAGCACTTCCCCTTTCACTCTCTCTTCCTCCTGCTCCTGCCAAGGAGATGTGCCTGCTTCCCCTTCACCTTCTGCCCTGATTGTAAGTTTCCTGTGGTCTCTCAGTCATGCTTTCTGTGCAGCCTGTGAAACTGCAAGTCAATTAAACGTCTTTTATTTATAAATTACCCAGTTTTAGGGAGTTCTTTATAGCAGTGTGAGAATGGACTAATATACCATCTGACAAGAATGGGCTGAAATCAAGGGATAGCTGTACCTTTCAGACAAGGTATTTTGGTTTCTGCTTTGCCACCCCTCTTGCTACTCCTTATTGCCTCTCTAGCTCTGCCCATTGTCAATACTCTTCGTATTCTTAAGGTAGAGAGGTCATTCTCTGCATCCATGTCTTCATCAGAAGTGGGAAAATGTAAGATTGTGGGCCAAATATTTCCAGAAAATGGGGTACATTTTATAAGTCTCGTGATTGTGATAAACATGCCTGTATTTTTATGAACTCAAAATATCTCTGCATCAATCTGATCCAGCATCTTTACTTGTGTATCATGCTTTGCTTGGTCCTAGTAGGCATGAGAATGTGTTATGCCTTCTTCTGTAGATTACATTATGGTTCTCAGTTCATCACCATTCCCTCTGTCCATGTGACTTTGCTGTCCCTCCACTTGAAGAGGAGGGTATTTTCCCACCCTTTGACCTTGGGCTTAGCCATGTGCCCTGCTTCAGCCAGTAGGACTTGGGCAGATGGAACACAGGCAGAGGCCAGAGCAGTTAGCCTTCTGTTTCTGGATTTTTGCCATTGCTGTGACATATAAACTTCCAAGTAGCTGCTGGTTCAAAAAGAAAGCAGCTTGGAGCCAAGGCCAAAAGAACATAGCCTTGGTCAGGCAACCCACAGACACCTGAGCAAGAATAAATATTCATTCCTATAAGTCACCAAATTTTGGAAGGGTTTATTATGCAGTAGCATTGTGACAATAGTTGACTTAGTCATTTGCTATAATAGAATCTCATAATACCCCATTAAGTTAGTGACCTAGACCTTTGAGGCCCCAAAATAAAAGATTTCTTTTCCTTTTTGAAATCTTACAATGTTGCGGGCTCATGAAATTAAAATAGACAGCATTTCCTCCCCATGAGGTATGAAACAAAACAAGTTAATTATGGGCTTTTCATGCCAGCCAGTGCCCAGTGACCCCAGCCACTGCTCCCTCTGGCATCTCAATTTGGAAGAACTCCAACTGAGTCCCAGTCCATCAGCTTCTTACTCAGGATTTCTGAATGTCTTCAGGGCTGGGGAAACAAATGGCACACACAGATTGGCTTTATCTTGTTTTCAAATACAATGCAAAAATGCTAAATGTTATAAACATGCAACTCTAGACAGCCAATCAACCAATACACATTGAGCCCTTACCATCTGCCAGGAGAATACACTGGTCCTTGACAAGCCACAGTGATGTATTCATCACAGACCTGCATCCAAGACTTTACCACTGAGTCAGGGGATGTGATGTATATAAATGGCAGTGGGGAGGACCAGTGGGCCCTCTCACCCTGCCTGACCTCTAGATGCCAGGATTCTATATGCCTCAGGCCTGCCTTCTTCTTCTAGCCCTCTGTACCCTCTTTCCAGGAGACCTCATCCATTCCTAAAGCTTCATGTTGGGTCTCTGTGTCTATGTCTATATCTACTTTCTAAGCCCAGACTCACAAATCCAAGTACATTTTGGACATTTCTACTTTGATCTCTTACAGTCATCTCAAACTTAATATGTCCAAGGTTGATTTATTGACATTTCTGCCCATACCTGATTTTCCTTCAGTCTTCCCCATAGCAATAAATGGGGTCACCCAGTTATGCCAGGTAGAACCTGAAAGGTGTCCATGACATCTCTAGGTGCTATTTCCAGGATCTATGTATTCTCCCTAATCCTCTGTGGTTCCTATCCTAGTTCCAGCCATCATTACATCTCACCTCAATGACTACGGCAGCTCAATTGTCCCCACCTCTATTTTTGTTCTCTACCCGCATCTACTCCCCATCCACAGCATGAATGAGCATTCTGGAAACCTAGAAAGGTATCAAATACCAAATTGTGGGGAAACTCTACTGGTGATTGGGGTAACAAGGATGTTATATGGCCTGCAGTAAGCAATAAAGCATTGTCCCAAGTCCCACACAAGTCTGCAATGTTGCACCTGACATTCATGTAGGTGAAAAACCTGTTTGAAATTAACTGCTAGAACTTAACTCTGGTTTATATATTGTAAAAAGTATTTTTTGCAAGACTTGAACAAATCCTGGATTTTCCAGGGATGTAACTACCATGTAAATATAAATTGAGGGGACTGCATTTCTCTGTTTTAAACTTTTAAGAAGCAATATTCACCATTTTGCAAAATCCCATCACCTAGAGAAATGCCAGTGGTGCTGAGTGGCCACTGCTACACATCTGGATCTTTCTGCATTCATAGCTGTTGTCTTGTTTTTCCAGTGTTATGGATGGGTGTCAGCAGGAGTACTGCTTTTTATCTTCTCTCAGAGTTTTACAGGAACATTTGTTCAGTGACATATATATTTTACTAGAGGCCGGGTGCAGTGGCTCATGCCTGTAATCCCAGCACTTTGGGAGGCCGAGGCGGGTGGATCACCTGAGGTCAGCAGTTCGAGATCAGCCTGGCAAACAGCCTGGCTGTTTAGGGTTTAGTGGAACCCTAAACTGAACGGGGTTTAGTGGAAACCCCATCTCCACTAAAAATACAAAAACTTAGCCAGGCATGGTGGCAGGTGCCTGTAATCCCAGCTACTCAGGAGGGTGAGGCAGGAGAATCACTTGAACCCGGGAGGTGGAGGTTGCAGTGAGCCAAGATCGTGCCACTGCACTCTGGCCTGGGCAGCAAGGGCAAGACTCTGTTTCAAAATTTATATGTGTAAAACGAGAAATCCATCTCGTTTTATTTCTCCTATACATTACACTCAGGGCAAATGTACACACATACACTTCCCTGAAATTGTATGTATAGGTAGGTCTTATTAGCTGTTAATTCTATCACGATGATAAAACATACATTATGAAATATGTTATAAACGTGAGCACTGGGCCTACTATGACAGGAACCATCAATTTAGATGAAAATATCTCTGGGAAGATGTACAGGAGGAAAGTAGGCTTTCTAGTTATGGGGAGAAATAGACATTGTGGAAAATTAACAGGTCACTTGCAGCAGGAAGGTATTTAAAGATAAAGCAATGGGAAAAATCTTTTAAAAACCTTTAGACACTGAAATGATTTTTGTTCAGAAAACTGAGAAGAAAAGACTTCCTTTATGGTCACAGGACTTTGTTTTTCATCTACATTTTCAAAAGAGAGTTAATGATCCTGGGCTGCCTCCTTGAGATGTCAGTGCCCTCGACTCAGCCTCTAGGTCTGTTTGGGTTTCCCAGCCTGCCTGCTTCTCTTGGGGCTCAGAAAGAGAAACAGAGAAACAACCAATTTTTAATGTTTCATCAGAGAATCAGGATAACCTGGTCATGACTTCCATGAGGGGCTGGGTGAGCTAGGAGCCTGTGTTTCAGGAAGGCGGTTTTATAGAGAAGCCCATTCAGAGGCTTAAATGTTCCTTTTTTCTTTTTCTTTTGCCTAAGGACTAATATATGTTAAAACCAGCTGTTTTGTTGCATGAAAAATACACTGAAAACATATGAAAACAGACATGTCTCAACTAATTACCCCTTTATCCAAGACTATCATAGAAATCAGAGCACTGGGGTTGCTGAGAAGTGGGGATACCAAAATCCCCCACCTTACCCCAAACTGGCCAATCAGTCAAGAAATAAATTGCATCTTGAAGGTGAGGAGGCATATAGGAAAATGATCAACAACTTAGATATAAGGCAATTTCTGTTTGCTCTTTTAAAATCATACAAGAACAATTCTGCCTAAGGATTACCCACTGCTCTGGGACAGTGGTTTTCAAAGCGTGGTCCCTGTACCAACAGCATCAGCATACCCTGGGAATTTGCTGGAAATGCAAATTCTTGGGCGCCATCTCAGACTTACTTAATCAGAAATTCTGTAGGAGGGGCCCAACAAACTGTTTAACAAGCCTTTCAGGGGGTTCTGATACTCCCTGAAATTGGAGAACCACAGCTCCAGGAGAAAAGTAGCTTTGACTTCCTGCTTTGTCTTGATTGAAGCCAAGGTTCTGAAAAGTTCGAATGTAGATAAGTTTGCAAATAACTTTTATTCATAGTGACACATATGATTTCTGCCCAGTAGGAAAGATAACCTAAACATTATGGTTTAGTGTTCTATAGGACATTAACCAGGTGTCTATTGGACAAGTATTTAACTTTGCAATTTTATTCCAATATTTTTTCACTGACTATATATATACACTTCATTCTCTCACATCCTGATTTAAGCCAGTGAGTCTGCTAGTTCACTAATGAGTCAAATAAATCTGACACATGATCACTATATGTTTGCATAAAAAACATATCTTTAGCTTTTTGAAAATTAAACTTTGATTAAGAGGACTCTAAGTCATCTTTCTTCTCTTTTTTCCCCTCAGTGTCATCTTGGACCATATTCTTTTATACTTACAGGCTGGTAATAATAATAATAATGATAGGGCTAACATTTATTGATACTGTCTGAGCTCTTTACCTGTGTTACCACTGCTTTAGTCTTCATAATCCCCCTAGGAGGTAAGCTGTATTATTTCCCCCACTTTACAGATGAAGAAACTGAGGCACAGAGAAGTTGGAGAAGTTGTTACTTGTCATGCAGCTACTAAATGGTAAAATCAAGTTTGGGCCCGAGCTTCATGGCTCCACAGCTCAGAATCTAGCAACTAGCTATTCCCTTCCACCACCAGAGGAAAACGGAAGTTTCTTAGGGAAGGCACTGATTGCATTTGGGACAGGACAGAATTTTGCCACACAGGGCTGCTTCTTTCAAGGTAGCCTGTTGAGTGTCCCTAATCCCTGCCTCTAAATGCCAGCAGCATCTCCCTCATTGTAACAAGCAAAAATAACCTCCCTCCCTCTCCCACTCTCAACAAACACACAATTGCCTTAAGGGCTTGAGAACAGCTGTTTTAGAAACTGTTGCAAACACCTGTGTTCGTGATAGCACAGGCTATTTGCTATCCTTTGAAAAGGTGTTTACACTTTAAGAGCTCAGAGGGGCTGGGCTAATCCAAAGGAAAGAATCTCCTGTGCTACGAAGCTAAATTAGGGAGCAGAAAGTGGGGGGACCCTCCCAGTGCCCCTTAAAATACTAGTTCGGGGCCTGATGAAGCCATTCGGAAGACCTAACACTGACAAACTGTGGTACACCTTCCTCAATATGTGTCAGCTTAAGAACACTAAATAAAGCATAAAACACAGACATACATCTCCTCTCCAGGTTATAAAATTCCAGGTAAGTTCATTAAGGTGAACTTTTTATTTTATTTTGGTGGGTAATTAGCATATTTTAGATGGCTGTTGGGTGATTTGAGACTGTCATATTCAATTTATCTGCAAAACCACTGAGGTTTGATAGGAAAATACAGTTTCCCAAGTCCTAACCTCTAAGGGAATCCAAGTTTATAGGTTCTAGGAAGAGTCCAGGAACTTGTAACCATAAAATACTCTGCATGTGGCAACAGGAATTGTCATATGACTGCTGAGCTATAAACAGGTACAGCTGCTCTGGGCAACTGTTTAACAATAGATGTGAAAGCTGAGCATGGGCCGGGCGTGGTGTCTCATGCCTGTAATCCCAGCATTTTGGGAGGCTGAGGTGGGAGGATCACTTGAGCTCACAAGCTCAAGACCAGCCTGGGTAACATGGCAAAATCCTGTCTCTACAATAAAATACACAAAAGTAGCCAGGTGTGGTGGTGTGTATGCCTGTAATCCCAGCTACTCAGGAGACTGAGGTGATAGAATCACCTGAGCCCAAGGAGGTTGGAGCTGCAGTGAGCCGTGATTGCACTGCTGCACTCCAGCTTGCGCAACAGAGCAAGATTATATATATATATATAATTTATATATATATATATAATTTATATATATATATAATTTATATATATATAATTTATATATATATTAGATATATACACACATACACATATATAGATAGAGAGAGAGAGAGAGAGAGAGTATTAGTCCATTCTCATGCTGCTATTAAAGATATACCCGAGACTGGGTAATTTATAAAGGAAAGAAGTTTAATTGACTCACAGTTCAGCATGGCTGGGAGGCCTCAGGAAACTTACAATCATGGTGGAAGGGGAAGGAAACATTCTTCACATGGCGGCAGCAAGGAGAAGTGCAGAGCGAAGCAGGGGTAAAAGCCCCTTATAAAACCATCAGATCTCGTGAGAACTCACTCACTATCATGAGAACAGCATAAGGGTAACCACCCCCATGACTCAGTTACCTCCTACCGGGTCCCTCCCACAACATATGGGGATTATGGTAACTATAATTCACAATGAGATTTGGGTGGGGACACAGCCGAAACATATGAGATAGATATATATATATACCCTGTGTATATGTATGAAGGGAGGGAATGAAGGAAGAAGGAAAAAGACAGAAAGGAAGACAGAAAGACAGAAAGAAAGCTGAGCATAAACAAACCCTGTGATCCAGGATGTCCATTCCTAGATATGTACTCAAGTTGAGTATTTACACATACTTAAGTTCACCAAAACATGTAAAATAATGTTCATAGCAACACTATTTGTAATAGCATGAAACTGTAAACAACCCAAATGTCCAACTACAGAGGAATAGACAGTGTTATATTTGCATAGAGTAGAATATTACACAAACTATGCTATAACATGCAACCACATGGGTGAATCACAGAAACGTGGTGGATGAAAAAAGCCAGAAATGAAAAAATACTTACTGTATGATTTTGTTATGAAATGCAAGAACAGAAAAAAAATTAGTCTATGCAACAGAAGTCAGAAAGAGGCTACCCTCTGGGGAGGTATTATTGACCAGGAAGGGACATGCAGGAGCTTTCAGGAGTGCTAAAATGTTCTATATCTTGATCTATATAGATGTATACATATGTAAAAATCATTAATACACTTAAGATTTATGTACTTACAAAGTAAAAAAAACAAAAATAAAGCTCCACAGGTGATTCTGATGCCCCACCAACACTGGAAAAAGCAACCTATTTTACCCACACCAAAAAAAAATTTATTATTCTTAATATTGCTAATTAAGAGCTAAAGCTTCCAACAGCTCAATCTGCTTTGTTCTGAAATCATAATCGGCAAAAAATTGAGCTTGTAAAATAAATTAGTTGGTGATTATTTGCTTTGCAGAAGTGTTCACCATAGGGTTTCTTTAAATGACGGACTCCCTTAAGTACATTTAAAAAATAAGATCTAAGTTGCCAAAGGCTATTTATTCACAAATGTTAACAGATGTATGAAGTGATCCTGACTGTTTCAGTGTTTGGGTGGGTGGGGAGTGGATGAAATCTTAATACTCCAGACAGAAGTCAGAGCTTCTCAAAGCTATAAGAAAGTGCCATCCTGAAACTGCTCTGTGTTTTGAGTATTGTTTTATATGGGTGGAGGGAACACACTCAGAGAATGTTAGAAAAGGACCACAGAAAATCCAATTGTCTCAAAAATGTAATGGGCTCAATGTGGAAGGATGAAGGTGGCATAACACAGTACATTTCAAACTGCAACATGCATTGGAATCACCTGTGATCTCGCTGCCATGCAGATGCTGAGAAGGAATGAGATTCTGCATTTCCGACAAGCTCCAGGGTGAAGCTGATGCTGCTGGTCTATGTACCACATTTTGAGTAGGAAGAACACAAGGGAGCTAACTCACATGGATTAGCTTACTTAATCCTCACAACCATGCTCTAATTATAGGCTATTATCCCCATTTTATAGATAAGGAAGCTGAGACAGAGAATGGCTAAGTCACTCAGCTAAGGTGGGATTTGAATTCAGGCCTGTCTGACCCTTGTTTTTGCTGCCAACACAACAAGGGTCAGAGCAAAGCTTGAGCTGACAAAGCCTTTCTTCTCCACCCTGTCCTCCCAACCCTCACGCCTCTTCCTCCCATCATCCCACAGCTCTGAAGGTAGACAGTCGGCTAGCTTTCAGCCAGCCAGCTTGACTGTCTCCGATTATATTCAATTAGAATCAGTAGGCTATTCTTGGTGATCAAATATAAATGAGTACCTTGGTAATGTCCTCTCCCCTGCCTGTAGCCCTCTACACCCTTGTTGAGGCTCAAACTCCAGAAGAATACCAATAATTATGAGACGGCCAGATGCCAAGATGCAGAATTTACCCTCACTCCTTCAGGAATGACCTTGGTCCCAATTGCCTGTGTAAGTCCTTCTTGCAATGTTGCAGGTCCTTCATGCATCTGTTAACATTTGAATCTTGCAATGTTTCCCCTTCCCCTCCAGGCCATCCCACAATTACACAGCAGTGGAGAGTATAAAAGTGCTTCTTTTTAAAACATTGCATTTACAGCTAAATTCTCTACTTTTCCTCTTGTGCACGCACCACATGCCATTTTAAAAGGTCAGTTCCCAGGGTGTCAAATGGTCTCCATGGTGAAAAGAGGTTGTAAACACAGAGTGATTAAACTTCCAAGGTACAACAGCATCCAAAACTGTGGTGGCCACCCACCACTCCTGTCTCACTCTGAGAACTCTAACCACAGACATAACAGTGCCTGCAGGTGGCTGTGAATCTCAAACAGGTGCTGGTTCCACCGGCAGTGCTGGGCGTCACTGGAGGCTCTCATTCCAGGTTCCCATATTGCAATGCACAAGGTTCTGAGTTGACACCACTGCAAAGGCATTGGCTGTATAATGTTTAGAAAAAGAGATTCCTCCCTCTGCTTCCCCTGGGCCTTCTTGGTAGGTACATACATCGAGGGTACCAGAAACATACCAACCAAAAACAAAAACAAAAAAACCTGGAGTAACTATATTAATTTCATACAACACTGACTTTAGAACAAAGTTTCATGGAGAGAAATAAATCAAATGGCTTTGCATAACAGTAGAGGTGTCAATTTTCTAAGAAGGCATAACACTTCTAAACATGTATGTACCCAGTAACAGAGCATCAAACTACACAAGACAAAAAGTAACAGAGTTGAAAGGAGAAATAGACATATCCCCATATAGTTGGACACGTCAGCATTCCTCTCTTAATGACTGATTCAACAAATAGGCAAAAAATCAGTATTGACAGAGAAGACAAACAATATCACCAACCAACTGGATCTAATGAACATTTATAGAACACTCTGTCCAACAACAGAAGAATGCACACTTGCCTCAAGTGTGTGTGAAACACCCACCAAGATATACACATTCATCATAATCTGGTCCATAAAGCAAACCTTAACAAATGTAAGAGAATTGTAATCATAATAATTATGCTCCAGAATTATAACAAAACTGGTCTAGAAACCAATAAGAGAAAGACAGCTGGAAAATCCCCCAAATATTTGAAAATTAAACAATACATTTCTAAATAACTCACTGAGACTCAAGAGAAAATGGCAAGGGAAATTCAAATATATTTGGATGGAATGAAAATGAAAATAAAACACCAAGATTTGTGGAATGCAGCTAAAGCCATGGTTAGATGGAGATTTACAGCATTAAAATGTTTATATTTGAAAAGAAGAAAAAGCTAAAAACAGTAACCAAAGCTTTTACTTCAATAAACTAGAGAAAGAAAAGTAAATTTAAACTCAAAGGAAGCAGAAGGAAAGAAATAATGAAGAGAAAAGCAGAAATCAATAAAATTGAAAACAGAAAAGAATGAAGACAAATAATAAAACCAAAGCTCATTCTTAGAGAAGATGGATAAAACTGATAAATCTCTAGCAAGAGTGACCAAGAAAAGAGACAAAGGAAACAAATTAGCAATACCTGAAATTAAAGAGGGCACATCACTTCTGAAGCCACAGACCTAAAGAGATAATAAAGGAATACTGTGACCAACTCCACTTCCTTAAATTCAACAACTTAGATGAAATGAAACAGTTCCTCGAAAGATACCAAATATCAAAACTCAAGAAGAAACGGATAACCTGAATTGTCCTATGTCTATTAAAGAAACTGAGGCCAGGCACGGTGGCTCATGCCTATAATCCCAGCACTTTGGGAGGCCGAGGCAGATGGATCATGAGGTCAAGAGATCGAGACCATCCTGGTCAACGTGGTGAAACCCCACCTCTACTAAAAATACCAAAATTAGCCAGGCGTGGTGGTGCACGCCTATAGTCCCACCTACTCGGGAGGCTGAGGCGGGAGAATTGCTCGAACCCTGGAGGCGGAGGTTGCAGTGAGCCGAAATTGCAACACTGCACTCCAGCCTGGTGACAGAAGGAGACTCCATCTCAAAAAAAAAAAAAAAAAAAAAAAAAAGAAAAAGAAAAGAGAAAAGAAATTGAATATGGAGTTTAAAACCTTCCAGAAAAAAAGAAAAGAAAAGAAAAAAAAAAAACTCCAGGCCCAGTTGGTTTTACTGGCAAATTCTTCCAAAAATTTAAAGAAAAAAATAATACCAATTCTATAAAATCTCCTCCAGAAAACAGAAGAGAATATTTCCCAACTTGTTTGATAAGGCCAGCATTACTCTAATAAGAAACCAGACAAAGACATTGTAAGAATACAGACCAAAAAAACAAAACAAAAACAAACAAAAAAAAACCCCAAAAAAACCCAACATTATTCTCTCAGCACGGCGTGTTCTCTCAGCATTCCTTGTGGCTGGGGCCTCATCACGTGACACAGACTCCACCAATCAGATAGCACCATGTGATATTTCAATTGAGAAGTGAGCAAATGGCCCGGCACAGTGGCTCACACCTGTAATCCCAGCACTTTGGAAGGCCCAGATGGGTGGATTGCTTGAGCACAGGAGTTCAAGTGCAGGAGTTGCTTGGGCAATGTGATGAAACCCCGTCTCTACAAAAAATAAAAATATTAGCTGGGCATGGTGGTGGCACTTAACATGGTGTAGTCCCAGTTACTTGGGAGGCTGAGATGGGGGCATCTCTTGAGACCAAGAGGCAGAGGTTGCAGTGAGCTGAGATGGCGCCACTGCATTCCAGCCTGGACAACAGAGTGAGAACCTGTCTCGGAAAAAAAAAAAAAAAAAAAAAAAAGTGAGCAAATGAAGACATTGGTGTCCAGAGAATCTAATTCCTATGGAGGATGTATGGCTTTCAGGGGCAGCAAAGGCTGTGGTATTCAGTGAAACTGTAGCTTTATTCCTGGTTGCATAGTTCCCAGGCTGACTCTGATACTCCTGCAGATGCTGTGAGCTACGTAATCTCCTTTAGTTCTCTTCCTGCTTAAGTGCTAGAGTAGATTCTGTTATTTGCAACTAAGAAGCCAGACTGACAAGAGGGAAAAGACAGTGAAACAGAAAACTATGAAACAGTGTGATAAGGAATTTAAGAAGGGGATGTTCAGGCTATAGATGAAGAGAATGGTCCCCCGTGAGTCACTGCAGCAGACTGGTCATGAGCACGGTTCTTAAGGTCAAAGTTCTGGATTCAAACTCTGGCTCTGCTATTACTTAGCTGTATAGTATTAGCTCAGTTGCTCAACCTCTCTGAACATTAGTTTCCTTTTCTAAAATGGGACAATGATACCTAACTCAGAGGAGGATTGTAATAATAGAATAACCTTTGTAAGGCAAAGGCTTATTAACCATGGTTAAAAACCCATTAAATAGCAGTTATTAAATAGCATTATCACCAACCCAGTTAGCAATGCTGGGGAAAAGTCAGGGAAGGAATGTCAGAGGAGAGCACATTTAAGCCAGTTATTGAAGAATCAGCCTAAGAACACAGCACATGACTGACAAGCCTATGGCATTGGATTATCTGGGAAAAGGAGATTGGTATATGGATGCAACAGAACTAAATCTTATCTTAAAAACAACATGAATCACAAAAGCATTTATGCTGAATGAAAGACGCCAGATACAGAAGAGTACATTGTGTATGATTACATTTATATGAAACCCTAAAACAGGCAAAATAGATTTATACTGATAGAAAGAGCATGGTAGTTGCCTAAGGCAGTTTGCAGGGGGTGACACAGAGCAAGAGGACTCTTTGTGGAGTGACAGACCAGCTTCACATCTTGATCATGGTGGTGGTTACATGGGTGTATGCATTTGTCAAAACTCAGCCTGTGCAAGTAAATGGGCACATTGTATTGTATGAAAATTATACTAAAAACCCAGAATCCTCTCACCTCTATCCCTTGACAACCCCTACCAATGGCAGTTACATTTTCACTTCTGCCCTCTCTACCAGCAAATTGATAGCTCCAAGCTACACAGTTCCCAGCACATCATTACAGCTTGTTAACTTGGAGTCACCCAGACAAATTTCTCTCCCTCCCATTCAATTTTGAATTAAGTCAGAAAAAGACAGATTAGCAAAACATTACCAGAGATAGAATTTATGACAAGCAGCTAATTTTTCCAGGACTTTCACTAACATCTCCCCTCAGAGATGACTCAATAGAAGCACTCACCCCCTGGCTGCCTGCCCCCAACATCTTCCCCGACTGCATCAATCATAGTTTCACTCCATAAATGCTTTGTAGAGCACCTACTATGTGCCAGACACTAGAGTCTGGGGATGCAGTGGTGATTAGTGGGTGTTTGGGGTACAGTGGGGCACATGGACAAGTTAAAACTGAGATTATAGGACAGCATGGGAATTGTTGTGTTAGAGAACAGATCAAAGCATTGAAGGAATGCAGAGAAGTAGGGGGAAAAGAAATCAAGGAAGCCATCTGGAGGAGGTGACCCTTGAGGTAAGTTTTGAAGGAGGAGTAGGAGCTGGATAGGTCCTGCTTTTTGAGAGACTACGAATAACTATTCTTTGGGGAGTTCCTACGATGTGCCAAATTCTGGACTGGGCTCTTTACATAGTTTATCTCATTTCTATGATCACAACTACTCTCCCCATCTTCCAGATGAAGAAACTAATTCTCAAAGGAAAAATGGCTTCTTCAAGGTTACTCAGATGATGAAGATTAGTACTTACGGCTAACAATTTCAAACTACTTTCTCTTTGCCATGTCCTGGCTGGGCACAGTGGCTCACGCTTGTAATCCCAGCATTTTGGGAGGCCAAGGCGAGTGGATCACTTGAGGTCAGGAGTTCAAGACCAGCCTGGCCAACACGGTGAAGCCTTGTCTCTACTAAATATATAAAAAATTAGCCTGGTGTGGTGGTGCATGCCTGTAGTCCCAGTTACTTGGGAAACTGAGGTGGGAGAATAGCTTGAACTTGAGAGGCGGAGGTTGCAGTGAGCCAAGATCATGCCACTGCACTCCAGCCTGGGCAACAGAGGGAGATTCTGTCTCAAAATAAAAATAAAATGAAATAAAACTAGTTAGAAATGTTTGCCAGGTCCCAATCTGAGTTATTGCGCAAAATGCTTTTGACAGTCCTGCAAGGTAGATATTATTATTAGAGTCTTTTTATACGTGAAGAAACTGAGGCTCAGAAAGGTTAAGTGATTTACCCTAGGTTCTGTGGCTAAAAGCAATGGATCTGGGGCACAAACTCAGGTAGTCTAGCTCCAAAGCACACATTCTCAAGCATGACACTATACTGCCAGACTTACTCCAGGGTCTGTGTTCTCAGCCATGAAAATAAATCTCTTAGGAAGGTGATGTACAGGTTAAATGAGGTAGACCCTGTAAAGCTCTTAGCATGCGTGTGGCACCCCACAAGCACCCTGTCCTCCTGGCTGCTGTTACTAAGGATTGATACTCAGCTACTAAAAGTGACCCATCCATCCAACACATGCTTACCGAATGCCTGCCACATGCCAGGCACCATGCTAGGTACTGCAGGTGCAGCGATGGAGAAGAGTCCAAGAGCCAGGGAGCTTGCAGTCCACAGAGTGTGTGCAACCCCATCCAAGATTGCTTGCATCCTAAGGATGAACCAACACTCACTGCAGGAGGTACAACTGGATTCCTACTCTGGTCTCAAGATACATTTTTTCAAAAAAGCTCAGCAGAGAAAAAAGTCTGGGAAAAGAAATACTGCAAAATGCTAATAATGATTGCCTTTGGGTGGCAGGACGATGGATGAGTTTTTTTTTCTCTTTAACGCTTTCCTGCATTTTACAATTTTTCTCCAAGGGAAAAATGTCAAAAAGGTGAGAAATGAGGATAGTCTAGGAGCAAGGACAAAAGGGCCTGTGGGCATGTCCCTGATTGCCTATCTGACCTGCTCTGTCCTCACAACCCTGCTACTGGCATCAGTTCTTGGAGGAGCCGAGGCCACTTCCCCACCCA
The DNA here is from genome assembly GCF_000001405.40 of Homo sapiens. Classification (NCBI taxonomy): domain Eukaryota; kingdom Metazoa; phylum Chordata; class Mammalia; order Primates; family Hominidae; genus Homo; species Homo sapiens. Next base: position 51,202,721 of record NC_000020.11, on the reverse strand, counting down.
AGCCCCCTTCTCTGGTCTTCTGCAGTACGAGTGACACACTTGCCTCGTGTTCCATCTCCAAGTCTCCCCCTTCCCTTTAGTTTTCTCCCTTTCTTGACATTCAATTTCATCCAGAAAAATAATGAGACACGGGTTTCTAAATTGGAATGAATAAATGACATTCCTATTCATTATTTAATCTGCTCTCAGACTTGAATGAACACTTCCAGGGGTAATTACTGCAAGACTCCAAATTCATTTCTAGGAAGCAGTTGCCGGCGGCCTGCGCAGAAGGTACCGACGCCATTCAATATTTATGAAGCAACATTCCCCAAGAATATCAGGCCAGGAAGGCAACTGTAGAAACATCACCCAGTGAATATGAAAACCATTTGCTCGGGGTTTTTTTTCCCCCTAGTGTTTCGGCAAAGAAAAGGACTTAGTTCTCTCCTCCCCTCTCCCCACGGCAAACACACAAACACACTGATTTGGGCTCTTCATCAGCCTGGCTCCTAGTGTGTTAGGGGACCAGAGTTAGGAGCAGCCATACAACATGGACCCCAAATACCAAAGAGAGTCCAGGGAGGTCATCTCTTCATAGGTTGTCGCACCATAACTACTCTGATGGAATTCAACCACTCAAACATTTCCTGATTATCTACACAGCAGGTGCATAGTATGTTTTAAAAACATGACATAAAAGCACCAACCATAAAAGAAGAAATGGATAAATTGATCTTAATGAAAATTAGAAACTTCTGTTCATCAAAAGGTCCCATGAAGAAAATAAGAAGGCAAGCCACAAACTGGGAGGAAACATTCACAATACATTTATCTGACAAAAGACTTGTATCCTGAATATCTAATGAAGTCTTGCAACTCAATGAGAAGACAAAATACCAATAGCAGAAAAAACATTTGAACAGACGCTTCAAAAAAGAAAGTGTACAGATGGCCAATAAACACATTGAAAAGATGCTCAGTATCTTCAGTCATCAGGGAAACGCAAGCTAAAACTGCAATGAAATACTGCCATATATCATTAGAATAGCAAAAGTTTTAAAGATACCTGACAATACCAAGTGTTGGTGAAGATGTGGGGCAACTGGAACTTCCATACATTGTAGGTGGAAATGTAAAATGGTAAATCCACTTTGGAAAACAGTTTAGCATTTACTGTAAAGGTAAATATATACTTATCATATAACCAAGCAATTTCACTTTTAAGTATTTATACTAGAGAATGAAAATATATGTCCACAGAAAGGCTTGTCCGTGAATGTTCATAGCAGCTTTACTCATAATAGCCAATAACTGGAAACAATAAATAGAAATCAGCAGTTTGAGATATAAGATGGAATATGACTTAGTAATAATAAGGAACAAACTACCAGTATAAGCAGTAACATGAATTATGCATGAAACATAATGCTGAACGAAAAAAGCCCGATAGAAAGAGCCCAAGTGGTAAGACTCCATACATATAAACTTTAAGAACAGGCAAAACTAACATATAATGACAGAAAATGGATTGGTGGTCAGGTGTGGTGGCTGATGCCAGCACTTTGGGAGGCCGAGGCAGGAGGATTGCCTGAACCCAGGAGTTCGAGACCAGCCTGGGCAACATGATGAGACCCTGTCTCTCTTTTTAAAAAAGGAAAATGGATTGGTGGGTGCCTGGAGTAAGGTGGGGGATGGGGGTTGTCCACCAGGGGATACTGGGGAATTTTTCTGGAATGATGGAAATGTTCTACATCTTGATTGAGATGATGGTTACAAGAGGGTTGACATTTGTTAAAATTTATCAAACTCATATTTAAAGTGTGTGCCTTTTAGGATATATGCATCATACCTAATAAAGTCAATAAAATTTCAAAAAGAAAAGCCATTTCCTCCAGTTCTAAGATTTAATAATTTTTTTTTTTTGAGATGGAGTCTCACTCCGTCACCCAAGCTGGAAAGCAGAGGCGCAATCTCAGCTCACTGCAACCTCTGCCTCAGCCTCCTGAGTAGCTGGGGTTACAGGCGGGTGCCACTACGCCCGGCTAATTTTTGTACTTTTAGTAGAGACAGGGTTTCACCATGTTGGCCAGGATGGTCTTGAATTCCTGACCTCCAGTGATCCGCCCACCTCAGCCTCCCAAAGTGCTGGGATTACAGGCGTGAGCCACCACACCCGGTCAGATTTAATAAATTCTAAGAGTTATCTAGTATTCTCCTTATAAGAAAATGAAGTGGGCTGTACACACAGACCAATACTTTCCAAGCATGCCCAAGCCCAAAATCTATAACTCAATACTCTATGAGCTTTTGTTAAATCCTAACTGTGTGTTGCGTGTCAGGAAGCAACGCAGCAAAACAGTGAAGAGCACAGTTTTGGGAGCAGATAATTCTGCATCCAATTTCTGCTTTTCACAATACTGGTGGGCAAAGAACATTGAGATTATAGGAGTCCCTTCTGGTATGCAGTAGTTGTTAAGCCTTCTTCTATGGTAACAGACCACTAAACTTTGGCTGGGAATATGGCTTCCTAGAATGAAGACTACATTTCCCAGGCTTCCTTGCATCTTAGCGTGGCCCTGCACTATTGGCCAGAATTAGTGAGAAGTAGAGTTATATCAGGCCTCTTCCGGAAGCCTTTTTAAGAGATGGTGTGCATGTCCCCTTGGTCCTCGCCATTCCTTTCTCTGTCTCGTGGGCCTGGAATTCACATGCTTCCATACTGGGTCAAGAGGCCACACACAGCAGGGCAAGAGTCAAGGTGTCTATGGCATTGACTCTGAGAACCGCCAGACCTCCCAGCCCTGGGTTCCTGCACTCGGATAATTGCAGCAGAGAAATAAGCATCCCTTTTCCTTGTTTTGAATTTCTGTCAACTTGAGCTCAACCCAATCATAACTGAAATGCCTGTGTCTCTGCAAATTTGTATGTGTAAGATCTGGGTTTATAAAGGCATGAAAGGGCTTAACAAGCTGTTTAAGGAGTTGAAAGCAGCTCAACCTGTCTGGAACATGGCATTTGAGGGAGGAAGTAAGGAGGATAAGGGGAGAAAGGCAACTAGGGAGATTGGCAAAGACAATCCACCCAGGGCCCTGCGGGCAGGTTAATGGTTGGATCTTGATCTGAAAAGCAATGAAAAACAGCAGCTGACTAATCAGCATTTTTAGACCAATCCCTCTATCTGCTCCATGGAGAACCAACTGTAGGGAGTGATGTAGGGAGTGATGCAGGGAGGCAGGGAGGCACGGAGTCTAGGCAGGAGGCTCCTCCAGGGCCCAGGTGGCCTTGGCCAGGCTGCCCTCTTGTCTTCCATGCAGTGTGGCAGCTAATGAAAGACCTCATTTACCATTCCTTAGGGAGGCAGACGTCTCAAACCCACATGCCCACAGAGGCCCTGTAGAGAAAGCAGGTAGGAGGAAGGACAAGGTTGAGGGTCTGGGAGCATTAGTTGCTGGACAGCCTGCACCCCTGACAAGACAGCCCCCCTGGCTCCCACCCACCCGTCAGTTGTTGCCCTGCAGAAGACAGTCCTGGAGTCCCTGAGGCTGCCAGTTTTTCAGAGAAGCTCAAAAGATGGATTATTATGGGAACCTAATTTTTTTTTTTTTTAAGGCAGGCAGACCGTTCCTGTGAGTAGCAAAACAAACTTGTCCTTGGGCAGAAGCTGACCGGCAGGCTGCCAGTTTAGGCCTCAAACTACCTTCCCTTCTCTCTCTTTCTGCTTCTCCCAAGCCCACCTCCAAAATTTCAATGGGAAACTCTAAAACTTGCCGCAGGGGCAGTAAATGCAGATAACACTTTCTTTGAGATCAACAACTCCAGGGTTCCATTCAGTATGCTGGATAACTTCTTTTTTAGGAAATTAACACAAAGGAGAAATTGATATTTCCCTCTGAAATTCCAAGGATGCTCAGAAACCCTGGGAATGTGCTATCTGCTATACAGGAGGCTTGGCCCCCAGGAACAGGGACGCCGGCCCTGCCTAACCCACACTCTCCACCTGAGATCTCTCTGCTCCCTTCCTCTCTCACTGAACGGGTCCCTGAAGGCAGTTAGCTGAGGACAGAGGTGATGCTTTGTCGATACATCATGATCTCCTGCAACTGCCTGTGGGAACTACCTGCGCCAGACACAGTCTGATAACCCTCTTGTTCCAGATGTATTACGACAAAACTGAAAACATGGGCCTCTAGGGAGACTCTAATCCAGCTGAGCAGATGGAGAAGTAGCACACAGACATTCCATGGGTATAGACCCGGGATCAGGCCACAGGCCAAACCTGGCCTACTACCTGATTTTGCAAATAAAGTTTTATTGGCACACAGCTGCACCTTTGTTACGTGTCATCCATGGCTGCTTTCTTGCAACAACGGCAGAATTGAGAAGTGGCAAGAGAGGCTGGCAATATAGCCCCCAAAGCCTAAGATATTTGTTATCTGGTCCTTTATAGAACATGTTTAACCTGGAATAGAGCAAAGAACAACAGGTATTCAGGGTGGACTGTGTGCCCATTGCTGTGTTAGGGATAGCACACACATTGGATCATTTAACCCTCAAACAATTCTTTAGAGGGAAGGTTTATTATTTCCCCCATTTTATTTTACTTATTTTTGTTTTATTTGTTTTTAGAGATGGGGTCTTGCTCTGTCACCCAGGCTGTAGTGCAGTGGTGCTATCACAGTTCACTATAACCTCAGACTCCTGGGCTCAAGCGATCCTCTCACCTCAGTCCCAGAGTAGCTGGGACTACAGGCATGCACCACCACACTTGCTCATTTTTTAATTTTAATTTTGTAGACCTGGGATCTTACTATGTTGCCCAGGCTAGTATCATGCTATCCTCCTACCTCAGCCTCTCAAAGTGCTAAGGTTATATATGTGAACCACCATGCCTGGCATATCCCACCATGTTAGAGAGAAGAGGTTCGGTGAGGCTAGCTGACTCAAGGATGACACAGGGTATCAGTGGAGGGTTCATACTAAGCCCAGCCTTTCCACTACACCAGTGGGCATCAACAGAAATGGAACTGCCCCCAATAGGGCATTTTGAAAATTCACAGGAGCATTTTAGGGGCACCATTGGCATTTAGAGGGTGAGCGCGAGGGCTATCGACTGCCCTGCCATGCACATCACAGTCCTGCGGAAAAGAGAATTGCCCCAAGTCCCCCATACTCCCCAAGTAAAACACATGTTTAGAAGTATCTGAGGCCAAGTCTGAATCCGTTCTGCACAAAGTATTCTGGGCATGGTTTCTATCCACATGATTCTCCCAGGAATGCAACTCCCATTACCATGTAAACAAGCGAGTATTGTACTTTCTTTTGCTCAGAATTTTACCAAAATTTACTCACCATTTCATCAAATCATGTCCCTGTCAGCAACATCGCTTGTGGTATTTGAGCCACAGAACACACCTGTGTTAAAGCAACATTTCTAAGCTGATTCTAATTCGGTAGACCTGGAGTCTGGCTTGGGGGTTTATTATTAATGTTTTAGTGGCCCTCTACTCCTGAGTCATTCTGGTGCTGCTGGACAATGGACCACACTTTGAAAAAATGCTGTTTTAAGGATGCCAGACTAGTGTTTTGATTCGTTTTGGTTTTGCTGGAATGTCAGGATCTCTCTGGGTTAAGAAAAGAAGGGAATGTCATACACAGAAAGAGCTACTGAGTGACAGGGAGAGGGTCTTTAGCTAGGTTAGGATTTCCGTCAAGGCCACCGTGGTCCATGCTTGTTATCCTGGAGGGTCAAAGGGGAAGGAGCAATGCCAGCCTGTCCAAGAAACCTGCTGAGTAAAAGCCATCCTTGAAATTTGCCCCTCGTGTTTGGTGGAGATTATTCAACACCAGTGCCATCAGACAGGCTCTTTGCCACCATGAGCTGGAGAGAACTGGAATCCCTGGGACCAGAACTCAGTGTCCAGAACAAGCACATCTCACTGAGACTTCACAAAACGACTTTCCATGATCCTTGCTTGTACCCAGGAGCCATAGACCATTTGGAACTTCTCTGAGGACAAACTCAGGCTTAATGATCCATTTTCCTTGGAAAATGGTCTCAAGGCACACAAGAGTCAATTAAAATCAGAGTCCACCAACTTGAATGAAATAGCCCTGGGCCACCAAGACAAGTCCCAAGCCTGGCTCCTACCCCAGGCAGAGCAAGCAGTAGCCTCGGGAGAAAAGCAATTATTTAGGGTTGCAGCAAGGACGTGTGCTACTATCGAGGAGCCTCTAAGTTCCCTCCCCATCCCAGCAGCCTCTGCAAACATCCAAGCTCCCGGATACTGAATGCCCAGGCGGGAGATCATTAAACCATGTTCCCCATGCTGGCCTCAGCTTTGAAGAACAGTCCACAATCACACTAATACCCAAGGTCCAGCCAGGACATAAGCTGGTCTGCTCAACCCTGACTCTCTCCCTGCGACAGGAACTGATATTTAGTGAAACTCCCAATGCACCAGCTCCACACACACCATCTCATTGAACTCTCAGGATAATCGTTTCAAGTGGGTACAGCACTGTCCCCATTTTATGGATGGTCACACTGAGGCTCAGACAGGTTAAACAATATTTCCAGGGTCATAGGGCTCGCAAATGGCTAAGCCTGGGCTCTTCAACAGCCTGCTATATTGCTTATTTCAGTGGACAAGGGCATGAGATCTAGAGGCAGGATGCCCGCACTCAAAACTGTGGCTCTTACGTTGGCTCTGTAACCCTGGGCAAACTACTTTCCTTCTCTGTGCCCCAGTGACCTCAACTGTAAAGTGGGAATCATCTTACACACGTCATAAGTATCACGTTGATTGAATAACCCACATATACTGCTTGGTACAGAGCCCAGCACTTTCTAAGGACATAATAAATATGAATTGGATATAGTTTGGGTGTGTGTCCTCTGCAAACCTCATGTTGAAATGTGATCCCCGATGTTGGAGGTGGAGCTTGGTGGGAGGTGTTTTGGTCACGGGGGTGGATTCCCTCATGAATGACTTGGCGTCCTCCCTGCGGTAATGAGTCAGTTCTCACTCTATTAATTCACATGAGAGCTGCTGTTTAAAGAGCCCGGCACCTCCTCCCTTTTCTCTTGCTCCCTCTCTCACCATGCTACACACCTGCTCCCCGTTCACCGTCCACTATAATTATAAGCTTCCTGAGGCTCTCCCCAGAGGCAGATGCTGGTGCCATGCTTCCTGTACAGCCTGCAGAACAGTGAGCCAAATAAACCTCTCTTCTTTGTAAACTACCCAGCCTCAGATATTGCTTCATAGCAATGCAAAACAGACGGAGGCAGTTCTTGCGATAACAGGGGTTCGACTGCTAGAACCCGTTTATGCCAAATGCAGCCCTGACTTAGAAGAGGAAGGCCTGGAAGTGGCCAGCGCCGTCAACACAGAGCCATTCCTCTCATCTCACCAGACCAACTAAGCGACAACCACGAAGTGTTCCCAGCTCTATGAAGGAGAGGAAGGGCACATGGCACGTTCCTGGATGTGCACACGGTACACTGGTTGCAGTCATTTAATTAAACAGTGCTACAAGGGGGCACTTTGTTTGACGGGGCAAGCTGTCCTAGGGGAAACATTTTTAAGAAAATGGCAGGAGGGCTTTTACTTTAAAAAGTCATCCTCCCTCTACTTCTACGTAAACATATATCCAAAAGAACTGAAAGTAGGGACTGGAACAGATATTTGTTCGCCCAGCACTTTGAAAGCCTGAAGTGGGCAGATTACTTGAGCCCAGGAGTTCGAGACCAGCCTAGACAACATGGTGAGACCCCATCTCTATAAAATTTATACAAAGTTAATACAAAAATTAGCCAGTGCGGTGATGCATGCACTTATAGTCCCAGCTATTCAGAGGCTTAGGTGGGAAGATCACCTGAGCCTGGGAGGTGGAGATTGCAGCGAACTGAGATCGCACCACTGCCCTCCAGCCTGAGCAATGATAGTAACAACCACCAAGTTAAGATGGTAAATTTGACGTTACATGTATTTTACTACATTAAAAAAATACAAATAAAAAACACACTTGCTAAGTAAAGAAGCCAGTCACAAAGACTACGATTCCATTTATGTGAGATGTCCAGATAGGCCAATCCATAGATACAGAAAGCGGATCGTGGTTGCCAAGGGTTGAGGGAGTTGGCACAACGGAGTGTGACTGCCAATGGGCACAGGGTTTCTTTCTTGGGATACCGAAAAATGTTCTGGAATTAATAGTGGCTATGTCTGCACTACTGTGAATGTACTAACAACTCCTGAATTCTATACTTTAAAGGAGGGAATCTTATGGCATGTGAATTCTATCTTAATATAATTGGCTATGAAAAGGAAAGTTGCTGTCGGGAAAAAAAAAAAAAATCATCCTCTCCTCTGCTCACTTTCCCCCCAGCGGTCCCTGAGCTCTTGAGGCTTGAGGCCTTTGCAAACGCCATTCTCTCTGCCTGGAACGCCTTTCACTCCCGGTCCACACCTACACCATGCGTGGTTCATACTTTCTCATCCTTCAAGCGTAAGCTTCATTTCCAGGAACCTCCCTGTCTCCGTGGGACCTGGAGTGCCTGGAACTCCCCTTCAAAGACTCACAGGCTCATATGTGTTCCCTCCTCCCAGCAGCAACACCAAGGCAACATCACGCTCCACAAATGAATGACTCCACCTCTCAGCAATTACGGGGCTGGAGGGCAAGTTACAGGATTCCCTGGCCTCGTTCTTCCTCACCTGTAAGATGGAGCTAACACTGCTTTTCTCATGGAAGTTTATGAGCGGTGGCCAGGCGTGGTGGCTCACTCCTGTAATCCCAGCACTTTGGGAGGCCAAGGTAGGTGGATCACTTGAGGTCAGGAGTTCGAGATCAGCCTGAACAACATGGTGAAACCCCATCTCTAATAAAAATACAAAAATTCACCGGGCATGATAGCCCATGCCTGTAATCCTAGTTACGTCAGGAGGCTAAGGCAGGAGAATCGCTTGTACCTGGGAAGCGGAGGTTTCAATGAGCCGAGATCATGCCACTGCACTCCTACCTGGGTGACAGAGTGAGACTCTGTCTCAAAAAAACAAAAAACAAAAACCGGTGGAGCCCTTCTCAAGTATCTGCAGTTGGTGACTTCATAAACAGCAGGAAAAGAGCCCCATTTGGTGATGAACCCGAGAGGAAATGAGCAACGTATAAGTCAGTCAAGGCTGAATTCCGGGGTCAAGTGGGGCTGGATGTGCGTTTTTAATTCAACTTGTCTTTCAAGGATTATCTATTGAGCAAACATTATGTGCCAGACACGGTCTCAGGTACTGGGGGCACAGTAGTGAACAAAACAGACAGGACAGATTGCACAGGGGTGCGGTGACGGGCGAGGGCAAGGGATGTTCATCCACTCAACAATACTGCTGAGCTCCCACTCGGTCGGGGCCCTGCTCTAGGCACTGGGGAGCTGGCAGTGGCCAAGAGAGGGAAGAGCTCCTGCCCTACAGAGCTGGCACCCAGTGGGAGGACAGATGACACAGCAGCAAGTCCACTTCAAATTGTGTCAAATTCCACGAAGCAAGTGAACAAAATGACAGTCAGAAAATAAACCGGAGCAGTGGAATAGCTTGCAAAGAAACAGCCTTTTGGAGGAGTCTCACTGAAGCTGAAGTAAGACCCGGGCATGTGAAGAGATGGGACAGAGAATTCCAGGACAAAGAAACAGCCAGTGCAGAGGTCCTGAGGCACGAACTGCTTACTTTGATGGGGGCAGGAGATGTTGTTGGAAAAGTGGGCAGAGTGCAGATGCCATCAGCCTGAAAAGACATGGTGAGGAGTTTGAGTTTTATCCCAAGAGCAATGGGAACACATTAAAAAAGTTAAAATGAAAAGAACTCAGGGTGTTCCGAGAACAACAAGATCTGCCTTCTCCGAGACAGCATATGTCTGGGGAAATGAAGTGAACTGAGGCCTGGTCATTTATATTTTATGCTTGCAGAACCAAAGACACTAGTGTTCTTTAGCAGCACGAGCAATGCCGGATTTCAACATTACTAAGCAGGATGAATAGGGGCAGGGAGAGACTGGAGTCAGGGAGGCTGGGGAGGCACTTCTATTAGATCAACTGAGAATTGATGGAGACCTGGATGAGCGGGGGTGGTGGGTCGGCTGGAGGGGAAGGGAGGGAGCAAAGCCTGGACTAAGGGATTAAAGAATTGGGAAGAACTGAAGATGGAAGCCAGGGACAGGTTTGGTCACCAGCAAACGAAAAAGCCCCAGATACCCCTGGCGTCCTGGGGAGGGTGTGTAGGACTGGACTCATCTGGAAAGAGAGACTCTCATGTCTCCTTTTACTATCAAAACACACGCACAGACCAAAATGCACAGATGCATGGGACATACTGGGCTGAAATAAAGATTCTGGGAATCTCTCAATTATTTAAAAGTATTTAAATTATTTAATTATTCCTTAGCAACAGGGGAAGCCTAGATGGAAATGTGTACTAACACACCGTGATATGTTATTTAAAATCCCAGGCAGTCCTTTCCTTTCCCTCTGTGACCAAATCAAGCAACGCCAGATGCTTTCTGTAGGTCATATCTTTTCATCTTCACAGTAACCAAAAATTAGGTCTTAGAGGCTATTTCTGCTCCTCTTCCTCTCCAGCCCAACTCTGCATTCTCACTTCCAGCTGAAAGCTTTGCCTGCCATTTAAAAAATCCTTGCCAGACCCATGTGAACCCTCAGCTACTATCCTACTTCTCTGATCCCATTGACAGATGAACACCTTATCACAGCGGACTCTATTTGCTGCCTCCTGGTCGCCTCCCCACATTGTGTCTTGGGCCCACTCCCATTGGGCATTCTTCCCCATTCACAAGGAGACAGCCTTAGTTAAGGTCACCAGTGACTTCTGTGTTGCCAATCCAATGGTTCCTTCTCAATGATAAGAGGGGGGTAGTCGATGGTTCAATTAACAGAGTTGTCCTGGGCCAGGTGTGGTGGCTCATGCCTATAGTCCCAGCATTTTGGGAGGCCAAGGTGGGAGGATCACTCAGGCCCAGGAGTTTGAGACCAGCCTGGGCAACATAACGAGACCCCACGTCTATTTAAAAAAAAAAAAAAGAGAGAGAGACAAAAGAGTTGTCCTGTGTGTTGAGCACATGAACAGTGACAGTTATGCCCATTTGACAAATGAGGAAACAGAGGTGACACAGAGATAAGAAGGCATTTGCCTGAGATTGGACGTCGAATGAGTTCTAGGCACCAAGGGAAGCAGGGAAGGGAGTGATACCCAATGCATGAGGTGCAGACCTGACCCCAAGGAAGTTTCCAGCAACCTTGCTGCAGGACAGGCAGGCCATAACCCCATACAGATTCCCCAGTAGTGTTCAAATCACACCACAGGCCCAACCCGTGCTATAGCAGAAAAAGCAAGGGGCAGAAGACTGTGGCTTAAGTCCCAGGACCACTCATGTCACTGCCTCTTGATGTGGGGACCCTGGGCAAGTCACCTGGCATCTGAGTCTCGGTTCTGGAATTTGCAAAATGAGATGTGACTTCTGGTCCTGCCTTCCTCACAAAGGGGCTGTGACAGTCCAGGGAGATGACGCGAGTGATGAGTGTTTGGCACACTAGGAAGTGGCGGAATATGACTATTTCCGCGCCGGCCCCATCTGCCGCTCTGCTCAGCACCCACAGCGGCAGATATGTAACATGACGTTTCCATGAATTCTTGCCATTAGGAATTCCCAACACCCACGCTTTTTCCCTTCTGAAAGTTCTGCTGCATAAAAGAGGCAGAGAACAAGCCACCCCCTCCTCCGCTTCTCTGGATAATTCTACACCACTCCCCCCTGCCCATCAAGTGTCTGTGGAATTCCAGCTTCAAGCCACCCCCTCCTCTGCTTCTCTGGATAATTCTACACCTCTCCTCCCCGCCCATCAATCATCTGTGGAATTCCAGCTTCTCAAACATACAAACAGTTCATACCAGAGATGACCAGTGGTTTGGAAAAGCCAGATCATTTGCCATTTCTCCTTTTTAAAAGGTCTTTGGGGACATGATTAACAAAAGCTAAGATGGGAGGAAAGGACAGAAATGAGAGCCTCAAGGTTTGTTTTTTTTTTTTTTAATGTTTTCAACGAGCTGTGACTTGAAACAAGAGGCCAGACCTGGGCAGCCAGCAAACTATGATGAATAATGCTGCCAATGAGAGTGCTTTTTTTGTTCATTAACATCCCGCTTGTGCCCTAAGACCAGGGAGTGATGTATGGCAATTGTATCAATGTTCCCCACAGGGCAGGACACCACGTGGTTTAGTAAGTGGCTAGAGTCATCCCACCCAAGCTGGCCATTTGCTCCTGTGTGCAGACTGCACCTCTGAACAGGCCTCAGTGCCTCTCAACAAACTCCATGACAAGAGCCGATATTAATGGATCACCTCCGAGGTGCCAAGCGTGGTTAGAGGTACCTACCACGTGTTAGTGTATTTAATAAATCTTCACCAATTTCTCTTTCAGGTCGGAATATCGCTCCCATTTTATCGCTGGAGAAACTGAAGTCTGGAGAGGGGCAGTCACAGGGGCCAGGGTCATGGGGTTACCATCAGTCAAGGCTGGGACTTAAACCCAGGTCATGTGCCTCCAAAAACCATGCTGCTGTCAAATACTCCACCAAGGGAATTCAGACTCCAGTGCTCTCTGGAACAGGCAGGTAAAGTGAAGACCAGGTGGGGACTGTGGTGAACTGATGACACACACCCATCTAAGGGGAAACGCAGCCACTCTGAGGCACCCACAATGATTTGCATGAATCTCAAGTGCATTCAGCCACAGGTGAAAGAAGCCATCTTGCAAAAGCAAAACTGTATGACCCAAAAACAGATGAAGTGGCTGCTAGGAGCTGAGGGTCGGGGAGAGCTTGACCACAAAGAGGCAGCAGGAGGGAATTTGGGGGATGGTGAAAACACTCTGCACCTTGGTGATGGTTGCACAATGGGATGTTCACCAAAGATCCCATGACCAAAAGCTAAAAAGCCTGAAATTAACCATATGTAAAGTAGATCTTAAACAAAATGGGACGAAACAGCAAATCTGTGGACTGGGTCCAAGCTGTGGGCTGCTGTTTTGTAATCTCTGCCCCACCTTCCACATCATTAATACCTGTCACACACAGCGATGAACATGCAGGGCTGGTGGGTGTGACTGATAGGGGAAGAGGTGAGGGGAAGGTGCTGACTCGCCGGGACTTGAACCCTTTCTAGTTCTATCACTTACTGCTGGGGTGACCCTGGGCAAATAGCTTTCTCTCTAAGCCTCAGTCTTCTCTGTTTCAAACAGGGGTGAGGACACTTTTCTTTGCATTGCTGTTGTCAAAATTAGATGAGATCCTAGAGATAATACTCCCAGCACACGGCAGATGCTCAATAAATTCTCCTGTCCTTGGAAATGTCCATGTCCTCCCAGGAGTCACGTGGGCCCAGCAATCATCCCCTTTTATGACCAGATTTCGCAGGGGCCCCTCCTAGGTCATCTTAGCCCACCTAGAAGCTGGGAAAAAGCCAACTAGGCCCAGGACTTGCTCTTTCTCCTCCTAGCTCCCCTGGGGAGTCCCTAGCGTGGCCACCCACAGAGACCAGGTGGGATACGTCGCTGCCCACCCCCAGCCCACATTGCTACAGGTGAGTTCATCGGACCAGCTGGCTGTGGGACTTAACAGGAAGACAGAACGGCAAGTAAGAGCGGGGGCTCCGGAGGCAAACAGACCTAGTGGGTTGAAGTCTTTTTTCGTTTTGGTTTTTGGATATAGAGTCTTGCTCTGTCACCCAGGCTGGAGTGCAGTGGCGTGATCTCGGCTCACTGTAACCTCTACCTCCCAGGTTCAAGCAATTCCCATGCCTCAGCCTCCCGAGTAGCTGCGATTACAGGCATAAGTCACCACACCCGGCTCATTTTTCCGTTTTTAGTAGAGATGGAGTTTCGCCATGATGGCCAGGCTGGTCTCCAACTCCTGGCCTCAAGTGATCCGCCCACCTCGGCCTTCCAATGTGCTGGAATTACAGGTGTGAGCCACGGCACCTTGCTGGGTTCAAGTCTCAACTCTGCCACTTGTTAGCCAAAAGACATTGAACAATTGGCTTATGCTCCCTGAGCTTTGATTTCTCATCTATAAGACAGGGATGCAAGGAGCACCCGGTTCTCAGACCTGTGGAGAGGATAAGTGTGATGATGCTGCCATGTCCGGGCACACCATAGAGCCCAGACGACTTACCCGGATCTTCCAGATCAAATGCTGCTGAGTATTACTCTGCCCAGGAATCCCTCTGTGGATGAGTATTTACAAGGATTACATGAGACAAAGTTCCCAGTGAGGTATGTGGCACTTAATAGATGCTTGATAAATTGCAGCTATTTTTATGATGATCTTGTTGCTACTAGTGAAAGATCACGCTCCAGAGGCATCAGAGCAGGCACAGGCCATGTCCAAATGGGATAGCTGGCTGGGCACAGTGGTTCACATGTGTAATCCCAGCACTTTGAGAGGCCAAGGTGGCAGATCATGAGGTTAGGAGTTGGAGATCAGCCTGGCCAACATGGCAAAGACCCATCCCTACTAAAAATACAAAAATTAGCTGGGCATGGTGGTGGGCACCTGTAGTCCCCACTACTTGGAGGCTGAGGCAGGAGAATTGCTCGAACCCGGGAGGTGGAGGTTGCAGTGAGCCGAGATTGCGCCACTGCATTCCAGCCTGGGCAACACAGTGAGACTCCATCTCAAAAAAAAAAAAAAAAAGAAAAAAAGGGATAGCTGGATTCTTGAATCCAAAATGCCAGAAACACAATTACTACAGAAACAAAAAGTACCTGGGCCTTATCACAGTCCCACATATGAATCAAAAGAGACCTGGGGCCTCCAAATATCCAGCAGACACTAAACATTGATCCCCCCAAGAATGAAAGGACAATATTCCAGAAACAGACTCCCCCTTACAGGAGGTCACTGAGTGAGTCAGAAACAAAACCCACAAAAGGAGATGGGGTCCCTGACTTCCCGCAACAGGAGAGAGCCTCAGTTTCTTGACTGAGGCACAGAGTACAGCCAGCTCCTCCCAGATTGTCACAAGCAGGCCACCCCTGCCCTCATGAAGGGAATCCATAATCATAGTAGGTAGGATAATTAGGCAGTCGCAGAAAGGAAGCCTGGGAGAAAAAAATCAGATTATCAGCTGCACCGACTGCCAGGAAGGAAATCTTTCTCCTCCATCTTGGGTCGTTAACCAGCTGTGTGTGTTCAACTCGACACTCAGCAGGAGCCCATCTGGGCAATAGTATCACTGTATGTTCTTTTCTAACTCAAACAATATTATGCAAGCTTGAGTAGAGGTCTCTAGGGTCACGCATGGCATTAGGACGATGGATGGATTTGGGTTTTACTACTTAGACTTCGTTGGCTGAGCATTTTTCTCCCGGACCGAGGGAGGGAAATGTCTAACACTCTTCCACCTTCCTTGCTGAAGTTATTTCTATCTCTGCAATCAACGCACCCCTGGGCTGCACCCTTCGCACCCCCAATACACACACACCAGCTGGGAGGGAACAGGCGAGAACAATAAGGAAGGCTGCTCAGTACACAGGGACTCTGTCCAGTGCCTCCCTTACTTGTCACAAGTCAGGTGGGGAAGATGAGGGAATATTTGGTTTTAAGCCACTATGCTCTCTGACCATCTAAAAATATTCCTTTTTCTTATTTGCCAGTCTCCTGGGCAACCCTGGGATAAGCCAAACTCTCTCTGGCTGTCTTTTCTGCTCAGTCTAGCGCTCATCATTCAAGTCTGTCCAAAAACCTCCTCCTCCAAGAAGTCCTTCTTGACTCTTTCACTATGGATCTCATCTTTCCTTCAAAAATATTTTTTTTCAAGATTTTCTAAAAACCGTTGTACAAGTGTCAAGATCTCTGTGTATAACAATGAACAAGACACATCCCTGCCCAGGAGGTGCTTTCTGAAAATTGGGTCCCATGTGACTCAGCCTCTGGTTCCATCCCATCTTATGGTGTCTCCATCTGGCACAGGTGGTGTGGGTGAGCAGGAGAGTCAGGAAGATCCAAGGTTCAAGTATTAGCTCTGCTTCCTCCTTCCTGTGTGACTTTAAGCAAGCCTCTGAGCCTCTCTGACTCTCTCTCCCTCGCTTGGAAAAATGTGGATAATAGTAATTACCACTTAGGGTTGTTGTAACCAATGGGTTAATGCAGGTCAAAGGCTTAAAATACTGCCTGGTACATGATAAGTGCTCAGTAAGTATTATCCTGCTATCCTTGTAACAGCTGCTTGATACATTGTTAATACTTTTACTAGTAAATTTCAATTTAATAATAAATGATTCCCTTCAACTGTCTTGTCAATTCCTTATCAGCAGTAACAGTCCTCTGTCCCCTACAATGCCTGCCAGCAGAAAACACAGCCATTTGGAGTTTAATATTTGTTGATGGTAAATGAGCTTTTGCTCCAGTTTAAAGATTAATAGCTGCAAGTGTTTTCCTAATAATAAGCAGCCAGTCTTTGTTAACATGCGCTGGCTTAGCATGTGGTTTGTTATTTACAGACATCATGTCACGGAGCCCTCAAAGTGGTCCTAGGAAGTTTGTTCCTGGACTCCAGGTCCGAGGCCAGAGGGACACTTCCTCTCTTGCACTCCCACAACCTTTCCTGCCTGGGCCTCTCAGTCTTCTGGAATTTTTATGTCCCCCTTCCCCAACCCCTTACCTGGATAAGACCACAGGCTCTGGAGTCAGGCAGACCTGGTTGGAATCCAGCTCTAAGCATGTTTCAAAGGGAGCTATCCAAATGCTTTCTCTAAAAAGGTAGCTAAAGATGATATGACTTAACGCATCAGTGAAGCCTGGTACATAGTAAATGCAATAAATGTTAACTGTCATTATTGGTGTCATTGCCCTAATTGGTGGTGTCAGTAGTATTTACAGAATTAAGGCCAAGGACTGCGTCTTGTTTCTCTGTAAGACAAGGCATTAAAGACTTTTCTCTATAACCCACGTCTGCATGTTGACACGGTCCCCAGGTGATTCATGTGCATGTTCAAGTTTAAGAAGCACTGACACAGAAGGCCAAAGTTGCAAACTCATATGTCTGCAGCGGCTAGAAGCAGCTGGAATAAATTAATGAAGTGATCACTGAGGGCTTTGAGCAGATTAAGCAATGTGACTCCTCACAGCTCCTTCAGATTGGACTAAAGGTAGGCACCTGACTTAAAGCCAGAAAATCCATTGGCTGGCCTGGAGCCAATCAGATTGAGTCTCTTGTTCAACTCTGGGAGAGGAGGAGAGGGATGTTGTTGGTCAGACCCAGGTGGGCCTGAGATTGAGATGAGTAGGCTTGGGCCCTGGGCATTCCCACGGTCTGGGGAAATCAAGCCAGAGACAGGAGCAGGCCCGCAGGTAGCAGCAGAAGTGGGCAACCATGTAGCCCCCTGGAAAGACAGATAACAGGCTCTGCTGACCTTCATTCCTGAGATGGAGCACCTGATTCCTAGGAGTGTCCCTTGGTCCCATTCAACCAAACAATCTCTCCAAGCACTTCAAAATACCCTTCAGGCGTGAGAAGGTGGGAATTAAATAAATCCCTTAAATAGAAAATTATTCAGTGGTTAAAAGAGATAAGGATAATCCTCGCATACTGGCACACAAAGATCTTAAAGGCTTTATTTACAAGTAAAAAGTTGGCCCCCCATAGTGGCTCACTCCTGTAATCCCAGCACTTTGGGAGGCTGAGGTGGTCGGATCACCTGAGGTCAGGAGTTCAAGACCAGCCTGACCAACATGGCGAAATCCTATCTCTACTAAAAATACAAAAATTAGCCAGGCATGCTGGCAGGAGCCTGTAGTCCCAGCTACTCAGGAGGCTGAGGCAGGAGAATTGCTTGAACCCAGGAAATGGAAGGTTGCAGTGAGCCGAGATCGCGCCACTGTACTCCAGCCTGGGCAACAACAAGACTCTGTCTCCAAAAAAAAAAAAAAAAAAGAAAAGAAAAAGAAGAAAAATACTTTATTTACTTTATAACCTCAGGGGCCGACAGTTGAGGTAAGCACATTCAACAAGTATTAAATATATGTGTTAATATATGCATTAAAAATATTTTTTAAATTGGCTTCAGTGATTGAGTTACTCCAACTTCTTCAAACTCCTTTCTTCTCCACAGGAACCATTTTCAATCTCTTTAGTCATCTTGGCCACACCTCCCTGGGCCCCTATCCATGTCTTAGCATTTTTTTTTTTTTTTTAAACAAGTGACCAAAGCAGGGTTTGGAATTCCACTGAAAGCCTGCCTGGTGCAGGGTATGGCTTTATTCATCACGATCTTTGGAACACGCCCCCAGAATCTTGCTGACTCCATTCAGGGACAGTCACCAATGACCATCACCCCCAATTTCAATTTGGGGGGATTTTGTCTGATCCATCCTCTTTTATCCTGCCTCCGGATTGCATGAGCTTTGTTGTGGCTCTTTTCTGGGCACTTGGGGATATTATTAAAATTAAGTGACATTTATCGAGTCCCTTCTATGTGCAAGAACTGTGCCACACCCTTCACGTATATAAACTCGTTTGGTCCTTCCAGCAACAACTCTGTGGGGGGTAACATTATCTGTTTCCTAGGTGAAGAAACTGGGGCTCAGTGAGCTGTGACATGTCATTGGTCACACAGCTGGGGAGGGACAGAGCCGGGGTTTGAACCCATGTTCTTCCCACTCCACGTGGAAACCACTGTTTTTGTTCATAAAACACTATAAATTCATCTCATTCTGTTTTTAGAATATCATTTTCCTCAGTTGTTCAAAGCTCTTTGAATTCTATTTCTGTCTTCCAGGATATTAACGCTGCCTCTTAAATATCATCTACATGTTTAATGAAGCAGATTCTCAAATCCTTCATCCAGGTTGTCAGCAAGAACATTAAGCGGAAGAGTTCCCAGGAGTTTTTGGAGAGTCAATTACTATTTGGTTGAGATTTTCAAACCACTTGTTCACTAACCTATCAATCACTTTGTAATATTTATTGACCACTTCCTGGGCCTCTGCTAGGAGGTGTCAGGAGTAGCCCTCAGCTACAAGAATCTCATAGTCTAATTGCACAATGCAGTGTGGTTAGGACCACATTTGCCCACAGGGCCAATAAAAATGACAGGGAAAAATGTTCACTGTAACATTATCTATAATAGTAAGCTCTCTAAATATCAAATTAGTAAACTATGGTATGCCTATTTCATGGAAGGTTAGACAGTCATTATGATATTTTTGCAAGCATTTGAAACATGGAGAAAAAAATGTTAAGGCAACAGTATTATTTATATGGTATGTTTGCAGGCACCTCCTGTAATACTGAGCAATGGTCGAAAGTAAAATCCCAGTGTTAAAATATTAGATTACAAAAGTAAAATACATAAGGTAATTAAATACCTTGACAAACTTTAAGTATATAAAACCCAACAAAATGTAAAAGCTGTGTGATAGATAAAACTTTGGTGAGATGGTGTTTAGGTGAGCTGGGCTGAGACTTAATATATCAATTCAATGAAATGTGGACCAAAGATATCCTTTCTGCCAATTTCCCTAAAGCGAGCAGAAGCATTCATCAATGTTTCAGAGAATTTCCGTTTGCATTCAAAATTAGTGTCAGCTGTCTCTAAAATTATCTTGACCAATCAAGCCACATTTTGAGTAGCAAGATTCCCTATAAGGCACATAACCTTGGCCTTAATATTGTAATAACAACAACATCACCAATTAGAATGATAACAAGGTCTTCTCTGATCGCGCTTTTAAAATTGCAATCCCCCAAATGCTTCCCCGTTATCCCTGCACTGTGTTTCCCCAAAGCACTTACCACCTCTGTCACATCACCATTTTTCATTGTCTCTTGAGATGCCTGTTGCTGTGAGACACACCATTATTTTATGTACCACTAACAGTGAAAACAAAAATGCCATTTAAATGACATGAAGCCTTAACAATAGTAGCATTGTCCTGAATCCAAATGAATCAGTTCCATCAGCCTCTCAATGTTTTAAAAGTTTTTTCATCTTTCCAAGGGATTTGATCATTTCCCTTGTCTTTACTCATGCTGATGGGCTAATGGTAAGCGAGCGTTCTGCACTATTTATCTCAATAATCAAATGCAACGCAGTTGCATCTTCCTTGAGTACCTTCCTTGCTTATGTCTTACAAAGTACATAGGTGTTGGTTTACAAGAAAAAAATGGAATTATGATTGGCACTCCAATGATAAACATTGGCTTCACTAACATCAGACAAATGCCCTGCTGTCTGTTCCCCTGCCCTTCTGCATACATAGTACCATTGCTGAGTCAGATGGGTATAGCGTTAAGATATCTTAAATGGAAATTAAAATTCCCACACATAATAATTCTAACAGTGCATTCAGCCCAACAAAAGCAACAGCCATCTGAATGACCTTAATGATGATTTCACAGGAACATGCGATGACAACCATAACTTGACTACTGCCCCCACCATGAGCAGGCATGAGACAGCAGCAGTTCCATCGACTGCAAAATTATCCCAGTTTCAAAGATATTACAATGGGGGATGGGGCTGCATTTCAGAATTTATGAAATCCGCCATTTATGTTATTTGTTTTCATTCCCTGCCCCAGCTTAGAACGGAAGCTCTATGAGGCAACGGATTTTCATGTCTTCTATTCTCTGCTATATTTTCAAACCCTAGAACAGCAACCGGGACAGAGCAGTCAATATCTGCTGAATGAATGGCTCAATTTTGCCCTCGATCTGGCCCACTGTCAGAACTGTGTCTGTTCAGATTGTATTCTATGGACAGTCCTACATTCAAGCTTTGCTCCCTACCGTGCAAATCTTGTTTATAATAATTTGGCACATAGATACCTCA
This sequence comes from Homo sapiens, assembly GCF_000001405.40. Taxonomy (NCBI): domain Eukaryota; kingdom Metazoa; phylum Chordata; class Mammalia; order Primates; family Hominidae; genus Homo; species Homo sapiens. The sequence goes on along the minus strand of NC_000020.11, from coordinate 51,181,840 downwards.
TGCATCAGATGTCGTGTAAGATTATGCCAACATAAAACTTTTACATACAAATAAAATTTGAAGTTTATTTTACAAGGTTTGCATTTTGACCTCGAACACAATCATTGACCAACATTTGTTGAATGCGGTTGTTATATTCAGGATGCAATACTACATTCTCAGGGTGTAAATGGCACAAGCAAGTGAGAGAGTCAAAGCATGTTTGTAAAAATACATGGACTGGCACAACTCCCGTTCTGTGCTGACCCAAGCCAGCACTGGCCACACCTGTTGTCCTTGCTGTTCTCCCTAGCCTCATACCCTCAAAAGAGGACCTTGAAATCCCCCCTCCAAACAGCCACTGCCCCTGTGCCAATTGCAGGGGAAGGATGTGGAGGGTGAAGGCCAATGCTGAGCAGACCCAGCTATCATTTCTAGAACCATCCTCTGCTTTTCAAAATGTCAAGTCTGTTCTACTGGAATAGAGTCACAGCCTTTTCCATTCCCCACCCGACATTTCTCCTAAACCCAATTTGCATTTTATAATTACAAAAACAATGCAATCTTGGGAGTCTATAATTATTTCAAAATTAAAAAGTGACACATGCTCATTGAATTAAAATTATAAAAATTAAACAAGCAAATATGAAGTGAAAGTTTCCCATCCATCTCTCAGAGGCAAACCCTGTTTCATTTGTTAAATGTCCTTCCAGACTTCTTTCTATGTGTACCCAATTTGTGTAAGTTCTCCTGTTGTGAAAGTGGAACCATTCTATACGCACTATTCTGGAATAAACTCTCACCATTTATTGAAGGCATCACATCCATATTCATATCCATGTCTATAGTACAGATATATCTGTACTATATCCGTATCTATACTATAGCTATCTATATCTACAGCCATAGCTACAGCTACCTCATGTTTTTCCTTTATACATCCTTCATTGGGAAGCTCTGTAAAACTTGTATTTCTGTTGTATGCCTGTACCCCAAGTTTATTCAAGCAAGTCTTCTGTATGGATCATTTCCACAGGAGGCGATAAATCACATATACTCATATAAATTTTGCCTTTTGTATTTCTGTAAAATACATTTCTAGAAGTAATTTCTAACGTGCATTTTTCAATTGATGATACTGATCAATCACCCTCCAAAAAAACTGCACTGTGAGGTCCCTTTTTTTTTTTTTTTTTTTTTGAGATGGATTCTGGCTGTCACCCAGGCTGGAGTGTAGTGGCATGATCTTGGCTCATTGCAACCTCCGCCTCCCAGGCTCAAGCAATTCTCCTGGCTCAGCCTCCCGAGTTACTGGGATTATAGGCACATGCCACCACGCCCAGCTAATTTTTGTATTTTCAGTAGATACGGGGTTTCACCATGTTTGCCAAGCTGGTCTCAAACTCCTGATCTCAAGTGATCTGCTAAAATGCCTCCTAAAGTGCTGGGATTCCAGGCGTGAGCCACTGTGCCCAGCCTAGATCCCCATTCTTTTCATGTGCATTGAAATACCAATGGAGTACCTTCTGTGTGCCAGATTCTCTTCCTGGTGCTGGGGAAAACAGCTGCGAACAAAAGGAAGTCCCTGCCCTGGTGGAGCTTGTCGTCTAGAGAAGGGAACTGGACAGTGAACAAATACAGAAGCTACAGGTCACATGATGATAGAAGCTATGGAAAAAAAGCAGAGTAAGGGATGGGGAGTAGCTGGGAGAGTGGGGGCCATTCAGATGAAAGAGCCAGGATACCTCCTTGAGAAGTGAAGGAACTGGGGCTGGAGAGATGCAGGTATCTGGGGGAAGAACATTCCAGACAAATGGAAAGCATGCCCACCAAACAAGCCAAGGCTCTCTACCAAAACTCTCACCAACGTGGCCATAGTCGTGACTTCTCTATCTTCAGAAGTTGGAGGTAAAATAGATACATATGATTTGAAGTAAAACATTTTTTTCCTCATTTCGTGATCATTTATAATCTGTTTTTGGGAATTGCCTGTTTGGTGACCTTTGCCATTTTTCTCTAGCGGTGTCTGATTTTCCCTCACAGATTTCTAAGAGTGCTTTCTACTTGAAGGATATTAAGACTTTGTCAATTAGGGTGCAAATATTTCCCAGATCTGCGATTTTTCTTCTGACTTGATCCTCATGCCTTTTTCCATAGGGAAATTGAAGTTTTATGTAAACAAATTTGACAATCTTGGATTATTTGGGATTTTGTGGTTTTTTAAATGGCCTTTCCCAGCCCAGAATTATATGAATGCTTTCCAAAAATTTGAGTCCTTTTGTATTTTAATACAAAAGGATTAAACTCACCACAGGTAGTTCTAATGTGTGTTAATATGTTTAAGACTGGAATTTTTTGTGGGGGTTGGTAGAAGTATATGGTATGAGGTGGGAAATTTCACTTTTTTTCAGGGGATATGCCAATTATTCTAACTTTGCTTCTCAAACAATAACTGGGTGGTTTGAACTCTGAGGCTGGGTTATCTCAGCTAGAAAATAGCTCCACCCTTCACCAGCTTTGGGACCTCAAAGATGTCCCTTCACCTCTGTATCCCAGAACTCTCATCTGTAAAATGGGTTAATACCAGTATCTGCTCCTTAGGTTGTACCTACCTACAATGGACCTACAATAACGTGGGACTCCAGTGAGGCTCAAAGTGAGCACAAGGTGAGTCTTGCAACTTGCATCAGTGCAGGACACACGTCCTATTGAAGTCAGAGCTTGCTTCAGACTCAGAAAGCAATGCCATTCTAAGAAACATGAACAATCAAAGCTGTGTTAATCGCCTGTATTAGCCAACCATTTATGCTGAAAATGATCCTATAGAAGGGAAGGGAAAGACAGGGCACTCCAGGGTTCCTTTTCCTCTCAGTCCTTCCTTAATCATCAGCAAGCCGAAGATGGGGAGTTGGTAACATGTGAGCACAGCAAGAAGTGAAATAAAGGCAGTTGTTAGTTTTGGACAAGTGTTAACTCTTCTGCTAGGAATGAAATATATATCCATGTACAGACTACACAATAGGAAGTGTGTGTTTTCAATGATTCCATATATGAGTTAACTCCTTCTATATTTGCGTTCTTAACGGGCGTATAATATAAAGATGAACAGTAAAATTCATGCTAAACATTGTTTCTTTACTTGGAAGGACACTAAATAACAAAAAACTCTATGATGAGAGACAAAAAGAGAGACTATGAAAGAAAAAGAAACAATGTTTTCGTACCTTTAGTGATACCTTTTTTTGCTTTTTGATCAAGAGTCTTATATTTTCATTTCACACTGGCCCCTACTAATTATGTAGCCAGCTCCATCCTGGCACATAGCAGGCACTCCATAAATGTCTGAATAAATCAATGAATGCCCCTGCAGTAAATACTGATAAAGCCTAGGGGAATGGGGGAAGTAGCTGGCACAAGTAAGGTGAATGTGTGCATCTCTGCCAGCTCTCAGACAGCAGCACAACCATTAACCCAGCTCCATGCTCTGTTATCAGCAGAAGTCCACGTGGGGCAGGAACTTCTCTAACAAGAGCATTTTCTATTTATTTATTTATTTATTTATTTATTTATTTATTTATTTATTTATTTTGAGACAGAGTCTCACTCTGTTTCCCAGGCTGGAGTGGAGTGGCGCAATCTCAGCTTACTGTAATCTCCGCCTCCCAGCTTCAAGCAATTCTTCTGCCTCAGCCTCCTGAGTAGCTGGGACTACAGGCACGTGCCACCATACCAGGCTAATTTTTGTACTTTTAGTAGAGACGGAATTTCACCATGTTGGTCAGGCTGGTCTCGAACTCCTGACTTCAGGTGATCCACCCACCTCCCGAAGTGCTGGGATTACAGGCGTGAACCACTGTCCCTGGCTCAAAGCCTTTTCTATCCATTGCCATTCTCCTTGCAAATCCCCACAGGCCAACAGGAGCTACTTACAGAGCTCGGGGGCTTAGACGTGAAGAACACCTTCCTGGTAAGATGCTCCCCAAGATTTGTCCCCATCTCTGAACTCCCTGTGCCTCGTGGCTGTTCACTGTAGCCTTCAATTCCCAGGCCCGCCACTCTGCAGACTGCTTCCTATCTGCTCCTCTGAGTCAAGGACTGCTCTTGTGCGTTTTCTAAAAGGGCTAAAAGCCACATGATGGCCTGGGCATGGTGGCTCACACCTGTAATCCCAGCACTTTGGGAGGCCGAGGTGGATGGATGGCTTGAGTCCAGGAGTTTAAGACCAGCTTGCGCAACACGATGAAAGCTCAACTGTACAAAATTATATATATTTTGTATATATGTGTGTATGTGTGTGTATATATATACACACACACATATACACACACATATACATATGTATATACACACATATATGTACACACACATTTATACTTATATATATGCACATACATATATGTACATATATGTGTGTGTATATATATACACACATACATATACGTATATGCGCGCGCGCACACACACACACACACACACACACTCAAAAATTAGCCAGGCGTGGTGGTGCAGGCCTGTAGTCCTAGCTACTTGAAAAGCTGAGTGGGGAGGATCACCTGAGTCCAGGGAGGCAGAGGCTGCAGTGAGCAGTGATTGTGCTGTTGCACTCCAGCCAGAGTGACAGAGCAAGACTCTGTCTCAATTTAAAAAAAAAAAAAAAAAAAAGTGAAAGCCACATGATGATCTGCCCAATTCATTGAGCAACCTGGAGACGCCATGGACTTCATGCTTTCAACCTCCTGTATCTTTAACCAGATCCCATTATCAGCCAGCCGTCTAGCTGGGAAGTGCTCCAGCCAGCTATTTGTGGCTTATCTTTGCTGAAAAGACTAAAGAAAAGAAAATAGACTCCTTCAGACTCTTCACTTAGTGGTTTCCCCTTCCAGACACAGAGGAGCAGTCTTTCCTCCCACTTCCCTCTGTTCCTCCACCCAGCATCGTGGAACAATGTGCTTTTGTGTTCTTTCTGTCCTTTGCAGGTTGTAGCTTTGGCCTTTCTAATTTACCCTCCCAGAGGAGTGCTATTTAGTTAGGAGCATTTCTAACAAAAGCCAGGTTTCTGTCCACTTCCCCTGGCATTCTGGTTTGCCCTTGAACTCAGCATCAAGTTCTGGGGTTAGCCCGTGTGGCATCTTGCTCGCCTCCTACTGATCTTCTTGCACCACCATAGTGAGGACCACATGTGCACAGGCACGCGCAGAGAGATCCTATCAGTCGCAGCAACCATGGGCTGAGCCTACTGAGTGCCTGGCTGTCTACACGCATCATCTCATTGTTTTCTCAGAACAACCCCTATGAGGGGAAAGATTATAATCCCCATTTCACAGAAGAACGAACCAAAGCTCAGAGCCATTAGGAAACTGCTCGTGAGTGATGGGTGGGAAACAAATCCAGGACCCTGACTCTCAAGTCCATGCCACTCCACTCCCCATGCTGTTCCATCCACACCTGGGCACATGCACGCCTGAGCATCCCCAGTGGCCAAGCACGAGGTCTCCCTTAACAGTAGCTCCTCCTGGCCCCGAAATCATTCTGCATTCTTCCCAGTATCCTTGCATTCTCCTTTACCTAGTGACACTCACTAGGTGCAGATTTAAGAATTCGTCTTCCTTGTGTTAGATTTTCCCTTCCATCCCATAAATCTGTTTGAATCCAACCCTCTCCAGCACTTTCCCAGACCAGGAAGTGCCTCAGAGCACACGGGGAACCCCATCACACCCCAATACGGATCCCTGGAGCCCCAGATCCACTGAGTGGGGACCTCAAGGTGAGCCCAGGAATCTGCATTTTAACTCACATCAAGGACTCTGCCCCAGCAGGTGCACATACACTGGCGTTTGGGAACCACTGAGTCCTTTACCTCATTGGTGCTACGCAGGAATCACCTGGAGTTCTTACTGAAATGGAGATTCTGGTTCAGCAGGGCTGGGGCTGGGCCTGGGCCTGAAATTCTGTTGATGCAGCAGATTCCGGGGCCACACATTGAGTAGTGAGGGTTTAGGTTAGTGGTTCTCAGCCCTGACTAAATATTGGCATCACCTGGGGAGCACTTCGATCTAAGCTGCCGGGGCCCTGCCCCCAGGAATCATACAATTGTTTTAGAATCAAACCAGTGTCCCCTTGCTCAATGTGCTGAATCTGACTTGTGCTGGCTTGGGAAAGCCTAATGTTACATTTTTAGGAATTGTGTGAACCAGTTGATAAACAGAACCACTATTAACCATCAAATTATATAAACAGAATTAAATAAGGTATATTTAAAAGAAAGATAGTACATAATTACAACCCAGCACTTCCTAATCATTTTACTACATTTCACTCCTTCTATGCTCCTAAGGTTATTTGTGTCTATTTGATTATTTGCGTACCTGTGTGCTGGAAGGGCTACTTCGTCTTTCTTCCCAACTCTGCGCCCAGTCAGTGACATCAGCCTTGGTGGGAGCGTTTCTGCCTCGGAAAACTGCAGACGCTACGGATCAGGGTTTACTTCCCCAGAAAGCTGGTTGTTAGACATTTACCAGTGCACCTGCAGCCCTCATCACCCACAAACACCACAATCACCGGCGGTGCTTGATAAAAGTGCAGACAGCTGGCATCTACCTAAGACTCCCGAATCCAACTCTCTGGGCATGGGAAATGGGGATCTGGGAAGTTTTTAGAATAAGTGACCCAGGTGATTTCTTATCTACAGTGAAGTTATTTTAGAATAATGATCAAATCTTCCTAATTAGCAAAACTCAAGTTGGATTAAGATACTCACTGGGCACCCATTTGTTTTTGCTCTAAGAAATCATTTCCAAGGCCTTTTGAAAGCCTTTTTATCTGAAATCCTTATTCCATCAAAATTCTGGGCAGAGCACTTTTTCTCCCCCAGACATGAGCAGGATGTTGTATCAGGAATCTCAGTGGAGGCCTTGTCACCTGGTTGTCCTTCCATCTGACCTCACACCCAAAAGCATTGGCCTCTCAGTTTTCCCTAATAAAGATGGTGTGTTGGCCAGAATTTTCCATGCTCCAATGTCTCATCAGGCTTGTGTCCAAGCTCAGACCCTTTTGAAATGGTTAGAAAGAACCAAGTCAAGAAACTAGGCTATTAAATAAAAGTTCTGCCAGCCAGGTGTGGTGGTGGATGTCTGTAATTGCAGATCTTCAGGAGACTGAAGCAGGAGGATTGCTTGAGCCCGGGGTTTAAGGCTGTGCTGTGATGGTCCCTGTGAATAGCCACTGAGCTCTGGCCTGTGCAATATAGCGAGATCCCATCTTTAAAAGATAAAGAAGTTCTGCCAAGTTGTATACTGTAAATCTTAATTGAAATTTGTCAAGGTTTGCCCATCCCTGGGATCGTGAAACTGGGGAAAAGTGGTGGGAATGATCCTATAACCCTTGTGTTCTAACCAACAGTTACTAAGCCCAATATTTCCCTCACTTTAGGTAAGAATTTACATTTATTTCCTCACTTGTTCCTCCAGCAAACTGACAAATGGGTATTACCATGTTACAAATGAGGAAATGGTTTAAGAAATTTGCCAGGTGAGTGACATTCCTCAAGTCTTAACCTTTAACTATATATATATCAGTTTTCTATTTCTACATAACAAATTACCACAAACTCAACAACTTAGAACAACACATATTTAATATCTTATAGTTTCCACAGGTCTTGGGTCCAGGAAAAAAGGGTTAATTGGATCCTCTGCTCTGGGGCTTCCCAGGCTGAAATCAAGGTGTTAGCTGAAGTTGCAATTCCCATCTGAGTTTCTGCTAAAGCCAAGTACCACTTAGATTATTATTTACTTAAATTTTTCATTAATAAACTCACTTTTTATAAAACTCAGTCTTGCCCTAAGCAATAATATCCATTAAATTGCCAAGTTTGATCGTCAAATTTTCCTTTTTTTAATATGCTCAAATAAACATATCACTATTTAAAAAGTTTTAAGTGTTGTCTCTAAAATTGTGTGCACTGATTGTACCCACACCACACTTTACAATTATTTCCCATACCACACCTGGACTTCATGACCCTACATCCTACACTAACAGCCTCAGGTACCTTACAAATGATTTCTGTTGCCAAGCAGCTACAGAGAATCTATAAGGTCCAGGACCCAGGTAAGTGGGGAGCCTGCAGACAGGTGCATGCTTTTTCATAAAGAGACCTCCATACATTTGATACACACATTATCAGCATCGGAAATTAATTTTCGCAACGTGTCCTCAAGTGTATGCAGACGTTTTGAGAAACTTAGAAGGTATCTTCCAATATGCCATGTCATTTAATCTTCACAAATTGTGAGGTAGTCACCATCATCCCCACCTCATAGGTAAGGAAATTGAAACTTGAGAAAGTTATAGGACAGACTGAAGTGCAAACTTATAGGTCCTCTGATTCCATTCGGCAATGTTTTCCACAGCATCATCACTCTTTCCAAACAACCTGCTAGTTCTCCACCAGCGACCATTTTTCTTTCTTTCTTAGTGACAGAGCTCACATTCCTAGCAGCTATGCGTTGTGGCTGAGCACATGGCCACTAGGAATAAAGACTGCATTTCTCAGCTTTCTTTGTAGCTAGGAGTGGTCATGTGACTCAATGCTGGCCAATAGGGATGTGAGTGGAAGAGATGCCTGCAACTTCTGGGAAGAGTCCTTCAAGTGAGTGATCTGTCTTTGTCCTTTCTCCTTCCTGATGGCTGGAATGCAGCCATGATGGCAGGAGCTGTAACAGCCCTCTTGGACAATGAGGTGACCTTGGGAAATGGAAGATATGCACAGGGAAGCAACAGGCCACCTGGAGACTTTGTGGAGCAGAACTGCCCTGCCAGCCCTACACTGCCTCCCTCTGGACTGTTACAAGAGAGTGAGATAAACTTCTACCTTATTTCAGCTACTGTTATCTGGGTCTCTGTTATTCACAGCCAGACCTTTTCATAACAAATATAAAGTCGTAATGAGGAAGGAAAATGCCAAAGTTTCAATGTCCCCATTTTACGGAACAAGTCCCTTTTTTCTTTGAAACAGAACACCTGCCCCACAGTGGGACTGTGGGAGAAGAGAGGTGACTTGAGTCAGGACCCCCCGATGGCACTCGGTAAACATTTACCCACTCAGGTAGAGCCTGGACCCAAGGCTTCAGCACCTGCCACCTACAAGCAATCTGGGGCCACAAAGCAGTTTGTTCTGACAGCTCCTCTTAATGATGTGTTTCCTGCAAGCCAGCTCCTCACCAGGAACTCAGAAACACAAAATCAAAGCAGCCCAACCAGGCACTGGCAAATATCTATCAAAGCCAGTGAGGCTGGCAGAATTCTGATACCTCCTTCCCTGAGCTTGCCTGAGAATTTGGGAAATAGTACATGACAATAATAAAGAGCAATTGAAACTTCATTAGGGGATGGAGGGAAAATGAGCCCAAGCCAAATAATGCCCCCCAGAGATGGCAGGGAGACAGGGAGTCATTTTTGGCAGGAACATGTTGGACAGGCATGGAAGTTGATGTTGGATAGAGGAAGGAAAGAATGGACGTTTCTTGAAGGACCTTCAACGTTGACTCAACTTTATTGGGTCTGTAGAGCTGGTCCAGCCCCTGGAGTTCTACTGTGGCATTTTCTCACTTCTCAAGTTGTTATTTCGCACATCAACAACAACTGGATGTGGAATCCTTCCCAATAGCAGCCACCTCTAGTCCCAGATCCCCACTGAATTCCTCCCAGGCAGCTTTCCATGATGCTGCCAATATGTGATTTCTATATTATTGATTCTCACTGCCATTTTCCATTAGCTCCAACAAGGGAGATGAGACTGGTGACCTGGTAGAAAGAAAAGCAATCTACTGGATATCAGTATTCAGAACTGGGGAAATACCTATGCTGTTTGACTTAGGATGGGGTTACATCGTGATAAACCCACTGTAAGTTGAAAATACTGTAAGTCTAAAATGCATTTAACACACCTAAGCAACTGAACATCATAGCTTAGCCTAGCCTATCTTAAATGTGCTCAGAACACTTACATTAACCTACAGTTGGGCAAAGTCATCTAACACAAAGCCTATTTTATAACAACATCTTGAATATCTCATGCAATTTATCAAATACTGTACTGAAAGTGAAAAACGGAATCGTTGTATGGGTATGGTTTCTTCTGAATGTAAATTGCTTTTGAAACATCATAAAGTCATAAGTCAAGTGGTCATAAATCAGGGGCCATCTGTAATGGTAACCATTACATTACTATTTATTTATTGCTCACAATGTGTCAGTCATTGTGTTGGGTAATTGATATCTTTATTGGCTAATGTTTATGAAGTATTTACTATATGCCAGACCCTTGTTAAACACACATTTTGCATGTATTAACTCATTTAATCCTCTCAATAGCCCTAAAAGGTAGGTACTATTCTTATCCCTATGTTACTGATGAGGAAACTGGGGCATAGCAGTGGGGGAATTTCTCAATCACAAAGCTAGGAGGTGGATAAAGTCAAGACTGACCCATACAAAGCACTTCCTGCCACCTGAGGGGCGTAAAACATGAACAAGTACAGAACTGTTCATTCAGTGAAAAATTAGCTTGGGGCTGAGCGAGTAAGACATAGAAACATTTGCACACCCATGACTACATCCTCTTACCCAGCCTTATCTTTCTCAGAACTTACCACTATAATATGAATTGTTCATGGTCATGATCCTACCTTCACATATCAACTCCATGAAGGCAATATTTTTTTTCCTGTTTTCTTTTCTTTTCTTTTTATTTTTTATTTTTTTGACAGAGTCTTGCTCTGACACCTAGGCTGGAATGCAGTGGCGCAGTCTCGGCTAACTGCAACCTCCACCTCCCAGGCTCAAGTGAGTCTCGTGCCTCAGCCTCCCAAGCAGCTGGGATTACAGGCGTGCACCACCATGCCCAGCTAATTTTTGTATTTTTAGTAGAGGTGGGGTTTCATCATGTTGGCCAGACTGGTCTCGAACTCCTGGCCTCAAGCAATCAGCCCACCTTGGCCTCCCAAAGTGCTGGGATTATAGGTGTGAGCCACTTTGCCCGGCCTTTTTTTCCTGTTTTCTTCAGTGCTATTTCCTCAGCTCCTAGGACAGTGCTAAGCACATAACTGAGCACATTGAGATGCCCAGTTAATGTTGGAGGAAGGAGAAAGAAAGAGGGTTGGAGGAAGGGGAGAAAATGTCAAAGAATGTTTAAGAGCATGAAGAAAAAGAAGCTCTGAGGACAGACAGCATTATGGGGAAAGGGGATAGGCAAGTAGGTCACAGAATAAGCCACTGGGCCCACACTTGAGTGGGGGTACAAGAAAAAACTCTGAAATAGGCTTTGATTGGAAACAGTGGCCCATAAAACCACATTGAAAATGATACAAAGAAATTGACAGTTGGCCTTAGCTAGGGTAGACAACAGGGCATCAAACTGGAAAAGCCATGCTTTTCCTGGTGGGGTGATGCTGGGGGAGGCCAGGGGGCTGTGTTTGATTCCAATCAATTTGTCACATTGGAAAAATTTGATTTTTTGCAGCCTCCAAATCATATTTTTGTGAAATATTTCAACTTTTTATGTTGGCCTCAAATTCCAAGTTATTGTAAAATGCTATAGGAATGAGATGGGAGTCGAGGGGTTGGCCTAACCAACCTACACATAATTATAAAATCTGCGCCACATATTTTTAAAAACAACTACTTGAAGGCTCTGGAGAACAACCAGAAACAGAGAAACTGTTTAAGGGTAGAGAGGAGACTCTACCCTTAAAGACAGGAAGCTAAGTGTGGGATTTGCATATTAGTGACTTTTTGCCTGAGGGTACTCGCCAATCCACAAGCAGATAAGAGTGACAAAAAGCTGCAGTTTACTGGCTGGAGGTGTCAAAGGTAGAGCACTGGAAAGCAGCTGGAATGTTGGGTGGTCAATCCTGGGAGAGGAGGAACTGCCACTGGAATTAGCTGTGACATCTCTATATAAAATGCACCCAAATTCTTAGCTGACTACAAAACTACACTGGTCAGGGAAAACCTAGGAACTGCAGTGAAAAAGCAGCAGCAGCGAGAAACTAAAGAACTGAGTCAGAGTTCCTGCTGACGTTGAGGGAGGCAGAGTTTGGAGGATGAGCCTATCCAAATTAACTGCCTGCTAGAAAAAAATGATAACTCTTCAAAGGAGCACAACAGAACCCAGAATCTCTACAACATATCATTCATGAAGTCTAGTAGCGAATCGTAAGTCACTAAACATACAAAGAAGCAGGAAAAGGTGGGTCATCATCAAGAAAAAAAAAGCATTTAATGGAAAATGATCCCAGATGCTGCAATAATTTCAGGCAAGAAATTTAAGGCAGCTATTATAAACAAGTTCAGAGACTTAATGTCACCTAATATAAATGTAACTGGAGTCTCAGAAGAAGAGGAGAGATTGCATGGGCAGGAAAAAATTTGAAGAATTAATGGCCAAATGCTTCCCAAATTTGGTAAGAGACATCAACTTACAAGTCCAAGAAGTTCAGCAAACCTTAAATAAGATAAATACGATTAAAGCTCTACAGAGGCACATTACAGTCAAATTCCTGAAATCCAAATATAAAGAAAAAAACCTTGAAAGTAGTCAAAGAAAAGCAGCATATTATATACTGGAAGATAATGATAAGAATTATGGCTGACTTCTCATTAGAACCAATGAAGGCCAGAAGAGGAGGGAGTAACATCTTCATGATGTTCAAAGAAAAAAAAGAAGAATCCATAATTCTTTATCAAATGAAACTATCCTTCAGAAATGAAAACAAGGCTGGGCACAGTGGTTCATGCCTGTAATCTCAACACTCTGGGAGGCCAAGGCAGGAGAATCACTTGAGCCCCGGAGTTTGAGACCAGCCTTGGCAATGTAGGGAGACCCTGTCTCTATAAAAATAAATAAATAAATAAAAACTAGCTGGGCATGGTGGTACATGCCTGCAGTCCTGGCTTCTTGGGAAGCTGAAGCAGGAGTATCGCTTGAGCCCAGAAGTTAGAGGTTATAGCAAGCTACGATTGAGCCACTGCACTCCAGCCTAGGTGACAGGGCAAGACCCTGTCTCAAAAAAAAAAAGAAAGGAAAGAAAGAAAGAAGGAAACAAAGAAAGAAAGAAAGAAAGAAGAAAGAAAGAAAGAAAGAAAGAGAGAGAGAGAAAATGAAAGAAAGAAAGAGAGAGAGAAAGGAAGGAAGGAGGGAAGGAAGGAAGGGAGGGAGGGAGGGAAAAGAAAAGAGAAAGGAAAAGAAAAGAGAAAGCAAAATAAAGATATTTCAAATAAAAAAAGATGGAGCAAATTCATCACCATAATCTTCTACTATAAGAACAGCTATAGAAAGCTTTTCATTCTGAAGAGAAATGATATCAAATGGTAATTAACCTACAGGAAGAAATGACAATCACCAAAAACAGCATATGTTTCAAATTGCTCCATCATCTCATGAAATATGTGAAAGAGAAACCAGATAAAAGAGGCACGCATGTGAAATCTTGTCCCTCAAACAGTAGAGCTTTAAACATCTCTGATGTCTGCCTCCCAGGTGTGAAGGCAGTGGCGTGCTCCAGGACAGGGGAGAGAATCCTATGAGGGTCTTTTCCTCTCCCTTCACTTTTTGGTCCCTGCAGAAAAGTTTTGAGGGGCAAACCCTGAGGTTTTGTAATCTAGGCCATGCTGAAGACTCACCTGGCATGTCCATAGCCCCTGAGCACTGGGGGTGAGGCTGGCTTGGGAAGTTTCACAGATCCTGCTGCCTCTGTGCTTACAAGCAGGTCGAAAATCTCGGCTGGGCGCAGTAGCTCACATCTGTAATCCCAGCACTTTGGGAGGCTGAGGCAGGTGGATCACTTGAGCCTAGGAGTTCAAGATCAGCCTGGGCAACATGGTGAAACCCCATCTCTACAAAAAATACAAAAAGTAGCCAGGCATGGTGGTGCAGTGGTGGCTCATGCCTGTAATCCCAGCACTTTGGGAGGCTGAGGTGAGAGGATCACTGGAGTCCAAGAGATTGCGGCTACAGTGAACCAAGATTATACTACTGCACTCAGCCTGGGCAACAGAGCAAGACCCTGTCTTTAAAAAAAAAAAAAAGAAAAAAGTAAAAATAGTCTCGGCCGGGCGCGGTGGCTCACGCCTGTAATCCCAGCACTTTGGGAGACCGAGGCGGGTGGATCACGAGGTCAGGAGATCGAGACCATCCTGGCTAACACGGTGAAACCCCGTCTCTACTAAAAATACAAAAAATTAGCCGCACGCTGTGGCGGGTGCCTGTAGTCCCAGCTACTCAGGAGGCTGAGGCAGGAGAATGGCGTGAACCCGGGAGGCGGAGCTTGCAGTGAGCCGAGATCGTGCCACTGCACTCCAGCCTGGGCGACAGAGCGAGAAAAAATAGTCTCCTGAGCCCAAGCCCAAGGCAACACAACTGGGAACAGGGAACCCGTAGGTGGCAACCTGCTTGCTCTAGGAAAAGGCTCGAGGAGGTCAGGAGACCTGAGTTCTAGTTTGGAATCTCCCAGACTCACTGAGCTGTTCTTCAGCCTCTCTTTCTCAAAAAGGAGAGATTGATTGAGAGAAAAAAACAGTGGTCTCAACCTTTTCTACCCTGCTGTACTGTTGTGAAGTTCAAACATGCATCAGCTCACTGGAAATGTTTGAAGATCTTTAGAAATACAAAGAATTTTTATGAAGAAGGGCCCCTCCCATACATACGCTATACTGTTTTCAGTGTGTAAAAATCCAAAGGACAGCTGGGTTAAAAACACTTCGGACTGGTGAAGATGTGAAGAAATTGCAACCCTTATGCACTGCTGATGGGAATGTAGAATGGTGCACCCACTGTGGAAAACAGTACAGTGGTTTCGCAAAAAAACTAAGCATAGAGTTACCATATGACCCAGCAATTCTGATGCTAGGTATCCACCCAACAGAACTGAAAGCAGGGTCTCAAACAGATACATAGACACTAGTGTTGATAGCAGCATTATTCACAATAGTCAAAAGGCAGAAGCAACCCAAATGCCCATCAGGAGATGAATGTATAAACAAAATGTGCTACATCAACACAGTGGAATATTATGCAGCCTTAAAAAGGAAGGAAATTGTAACACATGCTACAACATGGATGAACCTTAAGGACATTATGCTAAGTAAAATAAGGCCGTCACAAAAGGACACATATTGCGTAATTCCATTTATATGGAGTACTGAAAGTAGTCAAATTCATAGACAGAAAGCTGAATGGTGGTTTCCAGGGGCTGAGAGGAGGGAGTTCATGGGTACAGAGTTTCAGTTTGGGAAAATGAAAAGGCTCTAGAGACGGATAGTGGTAATGGTTGCACAACAATACAATTATACTTAATGCATTGTACACTTAAAATGGTTAATTTTGTGTTGTGCACAAGGGTGTAAATGTACTTAATGAATTACACACTTAAAGTGGTCAATTTTGTGTATATTTCACCATAATTTTTTTAACTTTTAAAAAATCACCTGGAAGCCCCTGGGACACAATGGATTTTTTAAACTGAAATTTCCCTGGGGTGTAGACTCCAATGTTCCAGGTATGGAGGCCAGTCCAATGTCACTCACAAGCCTTGGAGCAGTAGGGACAGCAATTGTGCCTGGGGTCTAGAAAGAAGAGAGGCATAGCCAGGCACATGTGGTCAATTCGTCCATCCAGAGCCTCCCTCTCACTCAATGTTTCTCCAAGGCACAATTTCATTTTGGTAGTTTCTAAGGTACCCTTTCCCTCCTACACCAGACTGGCCATGTGTAATATTAAAAGTAGTGGCAGAAACAGCAATTACTTTTGCACTGACCAAATAATATTTATTAATAAAGCCATTTATTGGGTGAACTCATTTAGTCCTTGCAACCCCAAGAGGTGGGTACTGCCATTGCCTTCATGATACAGATGAGGAAACTGAGACACAGAAGTGTTCAGTCATCTGCCCAAGGCCACTTACACATGCAGTGGGGGACAGAGATGAGACACAAAAGCAGAGGGGCTGGCTCTATAGCCACCCTCTCAATCTTAACTCTTGCCACCATTCTAAGACAAGCTGCATATCTCACTCAGGAGTGAAGGGTCTTCCAAAGGCAGGTGAGTTTCCGCTGTTGATTTGTTTGAGTTTTTTTGAAGTCAGTCCTCATCAGAGAAGCCACGGGCTATGAGGATGCCAAAATCAATAGCAGCTTTCTCGTATTGAAGCTTTCCATGTCCCAAACACCGTCTCCTCTAACCCTCACACCAATGGTGCCAGATGGGAAGTATTGGCCCTATTTCATAGATGGAGACGGAGAGGTTCATGGTCATTAACTAATTTGCCTGAGTCTATGCCTAATCTGGGATTAAAACCAGGTCTGGCTGATTTCAGAGCCTCTACACCTAAACCCAATGATGGCCCACAGGGCCAATTTTGCACTTAGCTCTTGGCAATATCCAGAGACATTTTTGGTTGTCCTATGAGGGGCGCCACTGGCATCTGGTGGGTGGAGGTCACGGATGCCGCTAAACATCCCACAGTGCACAGGACATTGCCACGACAGAGAACCATCCGGCTCAGAATGTCAGCCGTGCTGAGGCTGAGACACCCTGCCGAAGCCCCAGGCTGTGATCAAAGGCAGTGCAGGAAATCTCAGTTTTAAGTTTTTAAAATTTCCCTCAAGGCCTTAAAATACACACCACAGCACGTCAGCCGTGACTATCTCTGGGTGGTGAGAGTGCTGGTGAGTTTTATTTTCTTCTTTTGGCAAAATTGCATTTTCTAAATTATCTTCAATGAATATGCATTAGTCTCGTAATCAAATAAGTTTCAGCTTTTCCAAGAAGTCCATGGGCTCTGGGAGTTGGAGAACCCTTCTGGGTTGGCATTTCATGATCTGATGTGAAGTTTCAGGAAGGTGAACCTCAGCATAGGGGCCAGGGGCAAGGTCTGGCTCAGCTGGTTACTGGATACCCACCCTTGGACTTTGCCCCTGGGAGCCTGGTTCCTTGTTGGTAACATGGAGATGATATCTCTTGGGTTGTGTCACCGTAGTTTTTCTGGGTGCCTGACCAGGTGTCAGGCACTATGGAGCTAAGCATTTTATCCACATCTGCTCATTTCAACTCCCCACAAGCCCATGAGATTGGCCACTGAACCCAAGAGGGAGAAGCAGCTTGCCCAAGGTCATGCACATGGTAGGTGGCAAAACTGAGACTCAAACCAAAAGACATTTGACTCCCAAAAGCCTGCCATAAAAAACAGACCTAAACGATGGTAGTGTTTGCTATTCCTGCCCATGGAGGGGGCGCTTTGCAAAGACTGCCCTCGTAAGACAGTTGAAGAATCTCGCGTGCAGCTGGCATCCTTCAGCTCCCAGGGCACAAAGAGCTGTGTCTTATCTGTTCAGCATCTGAACTGACTCAAGGAAGCTGCCTGGCTTAAGTCCTCCCAGGCAGGGGAGAAAGACCCTGGTCAGCTGGAAAAGAGGAAAGAAGTAAACCTGGGGGCCCGAGGAGGCCGGCAGAGCTCCTCTGTCTTCTCTCTGACTCATCTTGCAAAGAAAACGTCCCTGGTGTTAGCCCTGTCCTCATCCGGCTGTAGGCTGAGCTCAGGTGAACACTCTGAAGTAACTGGCACTCCACCAAATGCTGCCCGTCAGCTCTCGGATGCGACCCCATGGAGGTAGGCTGACCAGCGTTAGCAGGTGTTTTATATAAGCATGTCTTGTGCAATATTTGGGACAGCCTCATACTAAAAAATTATTTGTTGTTTATTTGAAGTCCAAATCTAACTGGGTATCCTGTATCTTATATGGCAACCCTTCCGATGGGCCCTGGAGGTCTGAGAGTGAGGGAGGAAAAGGGCTGAGGGCTGCAGTTTTGGCCTTTATCAGGACAACTCTATTAGGACTAGGCCAGGATGACACCCTTCACATCTGTGCTGGGATCTGGGATCTGGGATCCTCTCTGATTCAGCCTTCACATCTTTTTTTTTTTATTTTTATTTTTTAAGAAGCTGTCTTGTTCTATTGCCCAGGCTAGAGTGCAGTGGTGTGATCATAGCTCACTGCAGCCTTGACCTCCTGGCTCAAGTGATCCTCCTATTTCAGCCTCACAAGTAGCTGAGAGTACAGGCATGCACCACCACACCCGGCTAATTATTATTATTATTATTATTATTATTATTATTATTATTATTTGTAGAGATGGTGGGGGGTGGGGTCTCACTATGTTTCCCAGGCTGGTCTTGAACTTCTGGTCTCAAGCAATCCTCCCACCTTGGCCTCCCAAAGTGCGGGAATTAAAGGCATGATCGTGCCTGGCCCTCCACATCTTTCTCAAAGGCATATTTTTTCCTTTTGTTCCCTGCACAATATCCCCCCCTTGGCTCCCCATTACCCTGAGCTAAGCCCTTAGCTGAGTCCTGTGCACTAGTGTCCCCCCAGGGCCTGGTTGTAGAAGGTGCTCGGTAAACCTCTGTTGAAAGAACACATAAGAAGATGGTCCCAGCCATCTGCAGCCTTGGTGCTTATTGTGCTGCCTCACGTATCCCGCGGGGGCCATGCAGAGCTTCTTTCTTTCTCCACCATCACCTGGCTCCAGCCCACCCCACCCCACCCCTGTGCCTTCCCCCAACTCATCCTTATCTCAGCCTTCCCTTGTCTTCCACCTGGGGGGTTGGCAGTGAAAAGAATGCCTAACCCCTCTGGCAATGCGGAGTGGTATTGCTCTAAGCATGCTGGTGTTCAGTTCCTCCTCCCGACATTGGGTGAGGTGGGTAATTCCTGGTGCCAGTCCCGTTTTTACAGCTAATAAGGGTGAGGCGAGAATTCTGAGCCAAGCCAGTCTGGCTCCTCGGCCCACATTTGTGCTGGCTCCCTCTTAATCTCCTGCGTGTAGAACTTTCTACCCGGGCTTTGATTGCTCATTTACCTCTCCTGCTCCTCTGCTCCCCGTGTGCTCCACGGGGGGAGGAACCACTCCATCCTCCACACCTGTCGTTAGCATCTGACAATAACAAGAATCATATCAACCAACATTTATTGAGCACTTATTATATTCCAAGGACTTTCTAAATGTTTGATGTGTTTAACACAATTCCCACAACAACCCCGCGAGTCATAAGTACTGCTGGGATCCCCATTTTACAGATGAAGAAACTGAGGCACAGAAAGGCTGGGTTAGCAGCTCCAGCCACACAGCCAGTGGCACAGCTGGGAGTCCAACTCTAGCAACCCAGCGCCAGAGCTACCCTCACAGCCTGCACACCAAGCATTCAAGCACACCAAGCTCGCGGTGTGCTTGAGTAAAGAAACGAGATTTTGTAGTTACTTCACAGGACCTCGAGAACAAACTTGTGAAATAAAGAGAGGGTCATTGTGGAGGTGAAGGAACTGAGGGCCCCCCACCAGCTAGCTGTGGAATCAGAACGCACTCCCATCTCTAAATGCCAGCACAAGCTGCATTCTTTAAAGGATTCTTTAAGCCCCAATACTAATATGGTTTGATCATTAGAAATAATAAACCATCATACCAAGAACTGATGCTCACTGAGAGCATGCAGTCTACCTGCCGGGTGCTGAGGGCTTCACATGCCCTCTTCGATGAGACTTCGAAGCAGATACTGTTATCATCCCCATCTGATCAGCAAGGTTCAAAATGGGGAAGTGACTCTCCCAGGGTCCTGTGGCTTCCTGGTGACAGGGCTGGACTTGGAGTCTCAGCCTGCGTTACTCTAAAGGACAGGCAGGGATGCAGCTTCCTTCTCTGTCCTCAGGAAACAGCCACGTGTCATCAGGAAGCTATGTTTTTTTTTTTACAGACGGATCTCTAATGAAACTTATTTACCTCTCTTCATTCCATATTTTCCAAGATACGGATTTAAAGCAACTGAAATAAACATTTATTCACTGCTTTTTTTTTTTTTTTAATCAACTGATGGTCATTGGGTTCCTACTCTGTGTGAGACACTGCCCTGGATGCTGGGCATACACGGTTAACAGCACCAAGGCATACCTTGTGGGCTAGTGCGGGAGAGCCAAGGAAACAGATAGATAAAATACCGGGTGATGAGGCGTCAATGGTGTACATGGAGGGGGTGAGGGGAGCCCACCGAACACACCCGATCCCCTGAACGGAAGGGAAAACACAGAACCCAAGATGAGCCATGAAGTGTTGGAGTTGGCGTTCACCAGAGAAATGGAGCCAACAGGATGCAGACAGATTTATAAGAGGAGATTCATTATGAGAATTTGCTCACGTGATTCTGAAGGCCAATAAGTCCCGTGATGTGCCCTCTGCAAGCTGGAGATCCAGAAAAGCCAGTGATGTAATTCAGTTCAAGTTCATAGCCTGGGGTGCAATTCCCAGTCTGAGTCTGGAGGCCTGAGAACCAGGAGCACCAGTGTCTGAGAGTGGGAGAAGATGGAGGTCCCACCTCCAATGGAGGAAACAGATTCATGCTTCTTCCACCTTTTTGTTCTACTGGGGCTGTCAGAGGACTGGATGATGCATGCCTACATTGGGCAGGGTGGTCTTCTTTACACAGTCTATGGATTCCAATGCTCAGCTCTTCCAGAAACTCCCTCACAGATACACCTAGAAGTCATGTTTAACCAGCAATCTGGGCTTCCCTTAGCCCAGTCAAGTTGACACATAAATAACCATGACATGAAGAATGAGCAGGAATCACCCAGGAGAAGGGGAAGGGACAGAGGGACAGCATGTGTGAAGGCAAGGAGCGAAGCTTGCGGAAAGCCTGCTGTGAGTACTGAAGTGCCTCTGTGTCCCTGAACCATGGGCTGTGCAGTGGGGATTGGGGAAGCCTGAGAGGTTGGGGTAAGGACTTGACCTTGAGGGTGGCGGGGAGCCATACAGGGCAGGTGTGGAGCCACGGTTCCCACTCCCATCCATCCATGCACTCCTCCTCGTGGGCTGGTCCCTTGGAGTTAGGTGGGGCCATGTAACTACTTCTGGCCAATGGGCTGTGAGCAGAAGGGAGCTGTGTCCCTTCCCGGCTGAAGCATTTAAGAGCCAGTACATAAGCCTGTGGGTCTCCTCCCCTGCCACAGGGACCCTGGAGCCACGTATAGCTATAAGATGGAAGCCCTTGGAGACTGGAGCCACCCATCTGCAGGGAGCTTCCATGGAGAGGCTCTAGATCCACAGTAGCCTCTGTGTGCATGAAAAGTAAACATCCAGGTTCAGCCACAGAGATCCTAAAATTTGTTGACAGCAGTGTTGTCTAGCCTGACTAGATCCGAGGGTGGAGAGCAGGTCAAGTTTGGTGACTCATGCCTGGGGAGATGCTTTGGTTAGACAGGCTTAATGGGTATCAAATATTTAAGTTTGGAGATAGCGTCTGCAAATTAGTTCATTCCCACTGGGATTCAATTCTAGCCTCTGCTCCACAAACTGAAACCTCTGTCTTGTACTTTGTGGGTACATGGTGAGCAAGTGGTCAAACCAAGAGAAGAATCGGGGACCAGACAATCTGTAAGCCAACCTCAGACTCAGCCCCCAGTGGAGAAACATATGGGAGGCCCCTCCTAGGGCTTATGTTCATCCCTGTTCTGCCTTGGTCCACCATCAACCACCTGATCAGCCCATTTCTCCTCTGCCTCTATGCACTAACACTTATCCCAGGCTCTTTACAGCCTGGAGTGGGATGTGTCCCTCCATTCTGGCCGATGAGTTGTATAAGCAGGTCTCTTCAAAGGCTACTAGAAAGTGAATGTTTCAGATCAAAAGGCTTCGGCTTACAAAGAGAGCCTCTCACCTATGCCCTGCCTCCTCCCTAGGATGCAGAAGAGGATCAGAGACACAACACCTGGAGCTGTGGCAACCATCTTAGGGTTGGAGATAACAAATTCAAGGACAGAGGGTCAACCCAGAAAGGAGACTGGGAAAGGGCCTAATTCCCTGATGACATTTTTATGACGTGCGGTATCTTGGTACTTCTGCCCAGACACCTTGTTAAGACAGGAGTGATATTCTTATCCTTTTAGCTGCTGTTACTCAGGGGTTTTGGAGCCAAACAGACCCTAACAAATATGCTTTTCACCTTTAGAAATCAATCAGTCAATCAATAGTGTAAATGGTTATCTCAGCTCAGGAGGATCGGTTCCACCAGAGATTCAGGGGAAAAAGCCAGTTGCCTCTCTAAGCTTGTTGTCATATCCTCCTCTGACATGTCTGGAGTCTGAGAGGCAGAGGAGACTGAGCTGGATGTTTTTGCATCTCCTTAGTTTAGAACATTGGCCACTGTTCCTGTGGGTCACGGGCATTCAAGGTCTGTGTTAAAAGCTTCAATCCCCATGCCACTATCTGGGGCTGATCTGAAGCCAACTGCTCTTACTTTTCTCATCTCCTTCCCCGCGCTCCGGGTACAGCCCACAGCCATCTGTGAAGGGCGCTTTGCAGGCATCATCCTTATCAATGTTTTACGCATCTGCAGGAGGCAGCAGAACCCATGGCCAGGCTGCTGCGGCCTCCCATACACAAATCCCGGCTCCTCCTTCCAGTCAGGTCCTAGGTCCTTCTCATTTCTGCATCAACAAGCAGAATGCTGAGGCTAGCGGAGGGCACATCAATGTTTTCTTGGTTTCTCATTATTTTGTCTCCAGCCATCCCACAGATACTAATCTTAAATTCCTAGTATATAACAGTGAAAGGGGCTGGATGCAGGGGCTCATGCCTGTAATCCCAGCACTTTGGGAGGCCGAGGCGGGTGGATCACCTGAGGTCAGGAGTTCAAGACCAGCCTAGCCAACATGGGGAAACCCCATCTCTACTAAAAATACAAAAAATTAGCTGGCTGTGGTGGCACGTGCCTGTAATCCCAGCTACTCAGGAGGCTGAGGCAGGAGAACAGCTTGAACCCAGGAGGCGGAGGTTGCAGTGAGCCAAGATCGTGCCACTGCACTCCAACCTGGGCAACAAGAGCGAAACTGTGTCTCAAAAAAAAAAAAGAGTGGAAGGGACTTGGCTTTAGGGAGCAGAGAGCCCAGGGCATTCATTTCACAGATGGGAAGACTGAGGCTCAGAGAGGAAGTGGTGTTGGCCCATGTTCACACTATGACTTAGAGTCAAAGCCAGAACTAAAATCCAGCTCTTCGTGAGTATAGGATAATCTCTTAAACATAGAATAATCTCTTAAACATAAACAGATGTATATACCTATATGCACATGCAAGTATAACAATCAAGTAGAAGGCTATTCCTTCTTGTTTTTTTCGGTGAGATCATAAACTCCTTGTGGTCAAGTGTGCATATGGTAGAAACTCTATTCAAACGGGGTTGATTATTTAAAGGGGCTTACTGCCTCTCATAAGTGAAAACTCTAGGGACACATCTAACTGGATCCAGTAGGCTAAGAGATCCCCTCTGGATGTTGCATCTCCAAGCTCTGCTGCCTTCCACACAGGCTGACCCACCCCGGAACTGCTAACCTTGGTCAGAGGACGCGGTGCTCAGCCCCTCCTCAGCCACCTGAACCGGAGTGGGTACGTCCTCCAAAAGAGCACTGGTGCTGTTATCAGAAGAGGCGGGAAAGAGGGATTTACAACATCAGATGCCCACCACAGTAAGGAATGTACCTTAGCATCCCTTCATTTCCCCCATAGGTCCCTGTAAACCCTAAAAACAAAACATACCTGACTCCCACATATGTACGAATGAATGAATGTGTGTTGAATAAGCACTCACTGAGCTGCTGATTATTAGCACTGGTGCTGTACACTTATGCTGCCATCCCCAAGGACTGCCCTGTGTCTCTTCATCTTTCCCCACTCCCACCCCACGCTCTCTGCAAGATACTGGAGCAGCCCACGGGTAGGAAAGGCAGCAAGTTACACATTTGGATTGCTCTAGTGAGTCAAGAAATGCCCCTGTCGAATGCTGGCCAAAAGCTGCTCTCCCAAGCACTCTCTGCTGTGTGGGAAGGCCAACTTTAGCTGCACAAAGGGCTATTGCACCATTGGTAAGGCCACAGGTTGAATCTGAAAGACCTAGGTTCGAGTTCCAGCTCTGAACCTCATTAGCTGAGGGTCCTTCTGCACATTCCCTCCCTCTCTGAGCCTCAGTGTCCTTATTCAATAAAGTGAGCATAATACCAGACCCTACCTGGGAGGAATCGCGTGAGGGTCACATGGCTGTATGGCAAGCCCGTGGCTCAGTGCTTGAAACATATCACAGATGATCATTATTAGCTATCCTCAGTTTCACAAGGATGCTCTTAACCCATCGGCACCCAACATGCTTATTAGATGAGCGCTCACTTTGCAAGGAGCAGACCACTCCTGCCCTGGGGTGACTGGGCCACAGACACACCTTAATAATAAGGGAGACAGGGAGGGGTACCAAGTAGAAGATAAAGCAAATCCATGGGGCTATCACAGTTGATAAAGGACTTCTGCAAACATTAGCTCATTTAATCCTCACAATCATCCTATGAGAGAGAGCCTGCTATTGTTTCCTTTATGCAGATGAGAAAAACAGGTTCAGAAATACTAAGTCATTTGCCTAATTCACCCAGCCAGCAAGTGACTCCAGGACCATTGCTCTTTGTGGAGCTGGAGGTGTGAGCTGAGGCAGGGACAGAGGTCATCTGCCATTCTTTCCCCCTGTCATTGCTGAGAGGAACCCATTTCTGAGTTTGTGCAACTGTGAGTAACTCAACCCACCCTCTCTGTCAGAGAGGTGGCATATGTCCCGTGTCCACCCAATTACCAGTCAGAGTGCCCCATCTCCCAGCCACAGAGACTGGGGCATGGACAGGTACATGGCCCAGACAGGACCAATCCAAACCTCCCAGGAACCTCATGGAACTGAACCCCCAAACTTCCCACTCAGTAAGCCCCACTTCTCCCCTGGAGAGGAACCTCCATGATTCCCTGGAAGAGAATTAAGGCATCTGTGAAACAGGACACAGATACACATGTAGCCAGATGCTGAGCTGCCTTTTACAGCCTCCTCTTCACTGTTTTAAGAGCACCACTCTGCCACTTCCTGCTGTGATCTGGGACGAGTGCCTAAGCCACTCTGTGCACCCCCTTCTTCTCTGCAGAGTGAGGCTAGCACTAGTGCCTTCCCCGTAGGCTGCTGTGAGGGGTAAATGAGACGATGCCTGCAGAGGGTTCAGCACAGAGCAGGGTGTGCAGGAAGCATCAATAGCTGTCAGCTGCTGCGATCTTTTTATCTTACCCAGGCCTGCCTGCATCTTGTCACTTGTCACCCAAGTTATAATCAGCACCTAAAAGCTTCTGCTCTCTCAGCATGTATCTGTCGCTTTACTGTTGGACCAGCTGGGGGAAGGGCTGCAATCATTGAGTCCCCAAAGGCTCGCTTCCCTAGCTCCTCTCCATTCCAAAGGGGATGGATAAAAACTTAAAATGATCCCAGCTGCCATCCTTTGAGGAGTGCCTTCTTGGCTTCCTTTCTCCAAAGCATTCTCAGCAAATGGCACCTCTCAGAGGGCCCCGAGCTGAGGCACCAACCACGGCGTTCAGTGATCATTCACAAAAGTCCTCCCGGAACTGGGACCGTTCCCTGCTGAGTCTAATTCATCGGAGATGTTTTTTACATTTTCACCTTCCTCGGACTATGTGTTCTGGAGCCCTGAAAATAAAGCCTTTTTGGCATTCCATCAGTAAGGATTTCTCAATAGCCATGAACAGAAGCCAATTCTGGAAAACGTAAGAGAAAAAAAAATGTACTGAGAGAACGTGAGCCTAGCAGCACTATTCACAACAGCCAAAAGGTGGAAACAACCCAAATGGCCATCAGCTGACGAATGGTTACGTAAAATATGGTCTATCCATACAAGGGAATATTCTCCAGCCTTAGAAAGGAATGAGGCATTAACACAGGCTACAATGCAAGTGACCCTCAAACACCATTTGTTAACCAAAAGAAGCCAGGCGCAAAAATTCATGTATTGTATGACTCCATTTACATGTAATATCCAGAATAGGTACATCCAGAGACAGAAAGCAGTTTTGGTTGCCAGGGTCTGGGGAGAGACAGGAAGAGGAAGCGATTGTTTCCCGGGTAAGGGGTTTCCTTTCCGGGCGATGATAATGTTTTGGAACGGGATAGAAGGGCTGGTTGCACAGCATTGTGAATATACTAAACGCCACTGAATTGT
Source organism: Homo sapiens (assembly GCF_000001405.40). Classification (NCBI taxonomy): domain Eukaryota; kingdom Metazoa; phylum Chordata; class Mammalia; order Primates; family Hominidae; genus Homo; species Homo sapiens. Next base: position 51,155,732 of record NC_000020.11, on the reverse strand, counting down.
ACGCTTTACAATGGTTAGTGTAATGTGAATTTTACCATAATTTTTCACAAAAAGAAAGATCAAAGGGTTAAGATTTTTTTAAAAAAATAAAAGGAATATGGGCTGGCCCAAAAGATAAAAGGAAAGCTAAAAAGCCGGGTTTGGGAAAGGGCAGGAACCAGGGCAACCCCGTGGGTCTGGGTAGCGTGGGTGGAAAGTCGGCTAGGCGTCATCCTGCCCCAGGCAGCACCCGCCATTTTTAATCCTTGAGTCAAAGACCCACACAAACCTCAGTCCCAGGCCCAGCTCCTGACAGAAGAGGGCAGGAAGCCTGGACCAACGGTCTCTCCAAGCTGCACAAGAGAAGAGAGATGGGAAGATTCATATTTTGTTGTCAAAAGAAGGGAGACAGCGGCTGGGAAGACAAAAATATACGAATTTGTGGGGAAGGAAGCTGGAGATGTGAACTGGGGCAGGGATAGAGGTCATCCGCCCTCCTTTCCCCTGTCATTGCTCGGAGGAACCCATTTCTGAAAAAGATATCATTCGATAGCTGCCCTGTTGCCCTCGTGCAGCTGTGAGTGACTCAACGCACCCTCTCCATCGGAAGGGTGGCATATGGCCCCTGTCCATCCAATCACCAATCAGAGTGCCCCACCTCGAAGCCACAGAAACTGGGTCATGGATGGGCACATAGCCCAGGCGGGACCAATCCAATCCTCGCAGGAACTTCATGGGAAGACCCCTCTTTCTGCAGGAAGCCCCCACCTACCATCTGCAGTGCAGTGGAGCGGGAGAGTGGTGTCAGATCCATCTGAGCCAAGTGGACTAAGAGTGAGGAAGGGGAGGTTCCCCACACACACACCAAAACAAAAAAAACAAAAAAACAAAAAACAAGGTGCTGCTTCCAGAAGAAGGAATGTGAGCTAGGTTGGTCAAAACAACAGATGGTCATCACAGACATTGCCATCAGGAGGTTCACAGGACTGTGCTGACCTGCTGCCAATATCAGATCATGGGTCCCCTGGTGGTCCCAAATTACCCAGACCACTTAACCCTCAATTCCCAGCTTCTGGAAGGGGGGAGTCCAGGTCAGCAGGTGATTCAAAGATCCCCAGTTGAAGCATAGAGTATTTGAATTAGCCCCCCAGGTTGGATGCAGCACTCGGATTATTTAAATTTTATTTGCAACTCACGGCTGTCTTGCTGACACTGTAATTATTTTGTCAGGATGCTTCTTTAGTGCCAGGCTTTGCTTTCCCCCAGCAGCCTCCCTAGGGCTTGGTTCTGAACAGAAGGTTGGATGTAGATTAGCCAGAAGCAGCAGGACTGCAACGGTGCAGCAGCCGAAGCTGCTGTGTGGTGAATGCAAGATGAGGCTTGAGGGTCTCTCTCGGCTGGGCCACCTCCGTCACCTGCTCATCTCCAGCAAATCTTGTTGGAAATGACTTGCTACTGCCCAAGTATTGACAGTCAGCCCCACCACCTCTCAAGCCAAGCCAGCACCTGGTCCTGTCTATTCTTCTTCCTAAACCTTTCTCAAACTCCATCTTTTTCTCACCCATTCTTTTCTCTGCTACCATTCCTTTGCCTCCTCTGAGCATCCATCTCACCATTCTCTGTTCCTCCACCCTTGACCATCCAGAAGCCATCATTATCCCTTCAAGGATCATCTGACCTTATTATCCACTCCTTTCACCCATTATTATCCTTGGACAGCTCCCTATTGCCCTCAGAAAAAAACTCCAGCCTCCCAGCCTCCTTGGCATGGTTTAGAGGAACCTTCATGATTCAGCCACTGCCTAACTCTTCTACCTTTCTGTTACTTTCTCACAATGAACTTCTTTGGGTTCTTTAAAAGTGATGTATGTTCTTTTACCTCTATGGAGCCTTTGCATATGCTATTCCCTCTGCCTGGAGTGCTGTTCCTTCACTTCCTTTACCTGCTTAACTCTCCTTTTTTCCTATTTCTTTTTCAGCTACTGCAGATCAATACCTGCTCAACTCTTAGTCATCCTTCAGTTCCCATCAGAGAAACCACTGCCTGCAGAAACGTCAGGTGCCCTTTCCACAGGCTCCCATAGCACCCTGCTCTTTCCCAGTCAAGAGTAAATTATAATTCTTGATTTGCTGCAGAACACACACACACACATGGGGTAAGCACCTTATGGGAAGGGACCTTGACCAACTTGTTCACTGCTTCCTCAGCACAGTGCTTGGCACATCAGAGCCATCCGCTAATTGTTTGCTAAATGAAATTACTTTTCCAAATATTTATTATTTCTAGTTTGCACTTTTAAACTTTTTGTTGATGCATAATGCACATATAGAAAAGTGTGGAAGTCCTAAGTGTACAGCTTACTGAATGATCACAAAGCAAGCTTACCTGTGCAACCCCAACCCGGGTCAAAACTGGAACATCAAAGGATCCCAAAAGACTTGCTGGGCCTGCTAGCAATCATTCTTTCCTGCCCCCTCTTCCAAAGGTAATCACATTATTGACTTCTAAGACAACAATTGTTTTCCCAGTTTTAAAACTTTATATTAATAACTTCAAATTTATATGTTTACATATTAACATTATATGAACGCAATAGGACTCTTTCACGTCTGGTTTGTTCGCTTAACATTGTTTCTGAGATTTACTTATATTGTTGCAGTAGTTGTAAGTTGTTCTTTTTTTGACTGTACAATATTTCACTGTGGGAATGTACTATGATTTTTAATCCATTATACTATTGCTGGCCATTTGGATACATTCTAGTTTGAGGATATTTATGTCTTTGGTGTGCAGATATACACAATTCTGTTGACTACATACTAGGAAAGGAAACAATGGGCCAGAAAACATGTGTATGTTTATCTTTAGCAGATACTTTAGCCAGTTTTCAAAAGTGGTTGTTTAGACTCCCAACGGCAGTGGGTGAGAGTTCCAGCTGTTTTACATCGTTAGTATTGTTGGTCCTTTTAATTTCAGCCATTCTGGTGGATCTGTAGTAGCATCTCATTGCAAATTTCATTTGCATTTCCCTGACAAACATTGAGGCTGAGCACTAGTTCATTGAATATCTTCTTTCGTGAAGTTTATTTATATTTTTTTCCTATTCCTTTTCTTATTGCTTTGTAAAAATTCATGACATATTGTGAATATGACCCTTTTTTCAGTAATTTGTATTGCAAACACCTCACTCATTCTGATTGTCATTTTCTTAACGTGACTTGATGAACAAAAGTTCTTAATTTTAATGTAATCCAATGTATAGGTCTTTCATTTATGGTAAGTGCTATTCGTGCCTTACTTAAGAAATCTTTTCTTGCCCCAAAGTCGTAAAGATATTCTCCTATCCTCCAGTGGCTTTATTGTTTTACCTTTCATATTTAGATTTAAAATCCACCTGGGGCTGGGCGCAGTGGTTCATGCGTGTAATCCCAGCACTTTGGGAGGCCAAAGCGGGCGGATCACAAGGTCCAGAGATCGAGACAACCTGGACAACATGGTAAAACCCTGTCTCTACTAAAAATACAAAAGTTAGCTGGGCGTGGTGGCAGGCACTGGTAGTCCCAGCTACTCGGGAGGCTGAGGCAGGAGAATCGCTAGAACCCGGGAGGCGGAGTTTGCAGTGAGCTGAGATCATGCCACTGCACTACAGCCTGGCAACAGAGTAAGACTGTCTCAAAAAAAAAGAAAAAGAAAAAAAATCCACCTGGAACTGATTATTCTCACGTAGGAGTCAAGTTTCACCACTTTTCCTTATGGATAGCTGATTGACCCAGCTATATCTGTTGAAAGGACCACTCTTTCCCCATTACTCAGAAAGGCCACCTTTGTCATAAATCATGTTACTTTATATTTGTGGGTCTGTTTCTAGAAACTGCTATTCTTTTTTGCTGGTCTGCTTGTGTATCCTTGCACAAATATTACACTCTCCTCGTTATTGTCATCTGTTACTAAGTCTTTCCTCCAACTTTGTCCTTTCTGTGGTTGTCTTGGTTGTCCCTGGACTTTTACATTTTTGTATAAATTTAAGAATCAGTTTATCAATTTCCAAACACAAAAAAGAAACCTGTTGAGATTGTGAGGATTGCACCGTACCTGTAGATTTCGTGAGAACTGATAGCTTTACAATATCGAACCTTCCAATTCATGAATATAGTATCTCTCTGCATTTATTTATGTCTTTTAACATTTCTCTCCCTAATATTTTAGAGTTTTCTGCAGAGACTCTTACATATCTTTCAGTGGATTCATTCCTAGCTATTTGATTTTTGATACTATTGTAAATAGCATTGCTTTTAAAACCTCATTCTATAATTGTTTCCCTTTGTTATATAGAAATGAGATCAACTTTTTTAATGTTAAACTTGTATCTAGGGACTTTGATAAAATTAATTTATTATTCCCATAATTTATTGGCAGATTCTTCCAGATGTTCTAATTACTCAAATATGTCATCTGTTGATCATTTTATTTCTTCCTTTCTAACCTTTATACATTTTTTGTCTGTTTTATTGCACTGACTAGGACCTTCAGTACAACGTTTTGTACCAGTCATATTTAGCAGGCATCCATTCTTTCAACATTTTACCAAGGTTTTTACAAATATACCCTTTTAGACTAAGAAAGTTCCCCTCTACTCCTGGTTTGCTAAGAACGTTCCCCTTCTACTCCTAGTTTGCTAAGAATTTTTATACTAACGAATGTTGGAATTTATCAAAAGCTTGTTCTGTTTATATTGAGATAATCAAATAATTTTATGCCTTTATTATATTAATATGGGAAATTGCATTGATGAATTTTAAATGTTAAACTATCTTTGCATTTCTAAAATATATCCAACTGGTCATGACGTATTACTTTTTCTTAATTTCTTGCACAAATTAACATATTACTCTTAATATATACCAGATTTTAAAGTGTGCTAATATGTTTAGAATATTTGCGCCTATACTTAAAAGAGGGATTGGTCTAAAATTTTCCTTTCTTACAATGTTCCTGTCAGATGTTGTTATCGGGGTTATAATAGCTTCCTAAAATGAGTGAGAAAGGAGTCCTTATTATCCACTGGAAGGATTTGTCTATTTGTATTATTTCTTCCACAGATGTTTAAAAATTTTTTGCCAGAGAAACCATCTAGACCTGCTTGAAGTTTTCCTTGTTAAATGGTTTTAAATTAGATTCAATTTTCTTAATAGATAAAGGACTCTATATTTTTACTTTTTTCTTGTATCAGATTTATGATGTGTTTTTTAAAGGAATTTGTTCATTTTATCTAAATTTACTGTCATAAAGTTGTTCATAATATCCTCTTATTATGTTTTTTCATGTTCATTTGACCTATAGTGATGCCCTTTTTAAATTCTTGATCCTGATCATTTTAGGCCTTCTCTGTTTTTCCTGATCAATTGCTAAGGATCAAAAATGAGTAAAAATGTTATTCATCTTTTCAACAAGCTTTGGGCTTTGTGAGCCTTTCCTTCATATATTTGTTTTCAATTTCATTATTTGTTACTCCTAACATTATTATTTCCTTCTTTTTATTTTGTGTTTAATTTGCTGTACTTTCTCAAATTTATGAAAACAGATGCTTAGATCTGATTTCTACTTTTTATTATTTTCTTAATATATGTATTTAAAGCTGTATATTTCCTTCTAAGCACAGCTTTAGTTATCTCTAATAAGACTTTTCTTTTTTTTTTTTTTTTTTTTTTTGAGATGGACTTTCGCTCTTGTTGCCCAGGCTGTAATGCAATGGCGCAATCTTGGCTCACCGCAACTTCTGCCTCCCAGGTTCAAGCAATTCTCCTGCCTCAGCCTCCTGAGTAGTTGGGATTACAGGCATGCGCCACCATGCCCAGCTAATTTTGTATTTTTTTTAGTTACGGGGAGGGGTTCTCCATGTTGATCAGGCTGGTCTTGAACTCCTGACCTCAGGTGATCTGCCCATCTCGGCCTCCCAGAGTGCTGGGATTACAGGCATGAGCCACCGCACCCGGCCTTTTTCCCATTTTTTATGAAGGTATAATCTACATAAAATAATTCCACTTTTTAGTGTTCAGCTCCAAGTTTTGACAGATGTATACAGTTGTGTAACTACCACCATGGTGAAGACAGAGAAGAGCTCTGTCACTTCCCAAAAATAACCTTATGCCCCTATATACAGGACAATAATTTTCTCTTCAGCTGCATCTAAGCGGCTATCAAACCTATCCACTGAGTTCTCATTTTGGTGCACTTGTTTCTGTTATAGAAATTTAATTATTCATATAATCACCATTATATGTGATCATATATGTTGTTTCATTTGTCTGTCTACTTTTTAGTAGCTTAAAGCAGAAGGGTAAATCCAGCCCCTGTACTTCATCTTGATCAGAGTAAAAATTCCGACAAGTTTTTATAGGTAATCTTTTCATTATCATTTGGTTGAAAATATTTTCTAGTTTCCACTGTAATTTCTTCTTTGACTCATCAGTTATTTAAAAATGTATGGTTTATTTTCCAAACACATGGGCAATTTTCTAGTTATCTTTGGATTAATTTCTCGCTTAAATCTACTATAGCCAGATAACATATTCTGTGTGATTTCAGTTCTTTGAAATTTGTTGAGACTTGCCTTATGGCCTAACATATGGTCTGCTTTGTTAAATGTTCCATAAGCTCTTGAAAATAATGTGTATTCTGTAGTTGTTGGGTGCAATGTTGTAGGTATGTCAATTAGGCCAACTTATTAATCATGTTGATCAAATATTGTAAACCTATACCTTTTTATTTCATCGGATCATATTAAAATCCCTTAATGTGATTGTGGGCTTATCTATTTTCTTTTAGTTTTGTTGACTTTGAGATTACATTATTTGATATAAATGAATTTTAAATTTCCAAATCTTCCTTATGAATTACACTTTTTATCATTATGAAATATCTCTTTTACCAGGCACTGTGGCTCATGCCTGTAATCCCAGGCCTTTGGGAGGCCGAGGTGGGCAGATCACCTGAGGTCGGGAGTTCGAGACCAGCCTGGCCAACATGGAGAAACCCCGTCTCTACTAAAAATACAAAAAATTAGTTGGGTGTGGTGGCACATACCTGTAATCCAGCTACTCAGGAGGCTGAGGCAGGAGAATCCCTTGAACCTGGGAGGCAGAGGTTGCGGTGAGCTGAGATCACGCCATTGCACTCTAGGCTGGGCAACAAGAACAAAACTCCATCTCAAAAAAAAAAAAAGAAATATCCCTCTTTACCTCTAGTAATATTTTTGCCTGAAATTATACTTTGTCTGATATTAGCAAAGCTATTTCAGCTTTCTTTTCATCTATCTTTTTCTATCCATTTATTTTCAATCTATCCTCCTGTTTATGATAGTCCCTTGTAAGCAGCATATTGTTGACTTTGTTTTTCTAAACAGTCTAATAATCTTCATCCCTTAATTAAAATATGTAATTCATTCGATTTTAAATATATTATCATCTTGTTACCTTTCTTTTGCATCATCTAGTATAGGCTCCCTTTTTCCCATCTTCATTATTTTCTTTTTGAAAATATTCAATATGTATTATTACATAACACTCTCAATTATCTTATTATTTATACATTCTTTTACTGTCTTATGGATTTACCTAGAGATTGCAACATACATCCCTGATGTACCAGAAAAAATAAGTCTAGCCTGGGCAGCATGTGAGATCCTGTCTCTACGAAAAAATTTTAAAATTTGCTGGATGTGGTGGCATGCATCTGTGGTCCCAGCTACTTAGGAGGCTGAGTTGGAAGAAGCACTGCTTGAGCCCAAGAGGCCGAGGCTGCAGCGAGCCATATTTGTGCCACTGCACTCCAGCCTGGGCAACAGAGCAAGACCCTATCTCAAAAAATAGTATACACACACACACACACACACACACACACACACACACATAAACACACACACACCCCTACACACATTTATTTCATTCTGAATCCCTAAGTTTCCATCTACACACACACACACACACACACACGCACATATGCATATATATGTGCGTGTGTGTGTGTGCTTTTACCATTTGTCAGAAAACAAAAGGTCCTTGGAACACTTTAACTCCACTTACTACCTCCTAATTTAAATGTTTTTATTGTCATGTGTTTCAATTCTATGTATAGTTGACCCTTGAACAACGTGGGTTTGAACTGCATAGGTCTACTTACACATAGATTTCCTTTCACTTCTGCCACCACTGAGACAGCCAAGACCAACCCCTCCTCTTCCTCTTGCTCCTCAGCCTACTCAGTATGAAGACGGCAAGGATGAAGACCTTTATGATGATCCACACACCACTTAACAAATAGTAAATATATTTTCTCTTCCTTATGATTTTTTTTAATTTTATTATTATTATACTTTAAGTTTTAGGGTACATGTGCACAATGTGCAGGTTCCCTAGCTTACTTTATTATAAGAATATGGCATACAATCCATGTAACTTATAAAATATGTGTTAACTAACTATTTGTGTTTTCAGTAAGGCTTCTGATCAGCAATAGGCTATTAGTAGTTAAGTTTTTGAGGAGTCAAAAGTTATACATGGATTTTTGGCCAGGTGCAGTAGCTCATACCTGTAATCCCAGCAGTTTTGGAGGCTGAGGTGGGTTGATCACTTGAGCCCATGAGTTTGAGACCAGCCTGGGCAACATAGCAAAACCTATCTCTTAAATTTAAAAAATTGTAATTAAAAATAAATCAATAAAAAGTTATACATGGATTTTTAACTGTGCAGCAGGTCACCACCACTAACCCCAGTGTTGTTTAAGAGTCAACTGTATATTATCTTAATGTAATAATTATAAACATGTTACCACAATAATAAACCTATTATCATTACAAACCCTATCATATAAAAAGATAAACATATTAATTTATGCAATCAGTATTCATTTAGATCTATCCATTTATTATTTATCCTCTACATTGTTCTTTATTTCATCCTGAATTCCTAAATTGCCATGAAGGATCACTTTTCTTCTACCTGGAGAATACTACTTATTATCTTCTTTAGCATTAATCTTCTGGTGAGAAATTATCTTGGCTTTTGTCAAAGAATGTCTCCATTTTTCCTTAATTTTTAAAAGTAGTATTCTGGATAGAGAATCTAGGTTGATAGTTTTTTTTTCCTGCACTTTGAAGCTATCATTTTATTGCCTTTTGGCTTCCATTATTTTTAGCTGTTATCTTTGTTTCTTTGAAAGTAACATATCTTCTCTCTGGATGCTTTATAAGGTTTTCTCTTTGTCTTTAGCTTTAAGCAGTTTGACTATGATATGACTAGGGATGATTTTCTTTGTATTTACTGCATAAGGTTCTTATAGCTTCTTTAATATATGGATGAATGTCTTTTATCATTTTTGAATAATTCTCATCAAATATCTTTAATCGTATTTCTTCCATATTCTCTCTCTCCTCTGTGATTCCAATTCCATGTTTTAGACTGTTGCATCTTATTATGTGTCTCATGTTCTTTCATTTTCCACCTTTTATCTTTCTTTGCTTCATTTACATATGTTCTTCTAATTTATTTTTCAGATTACTAATTTTCTTTTCAGCTGCATCTAATCTACTATCAAAAACACATCCACTGAGCTCTCATTTTCAAGCATTTCTCAGTAGAAATTTTATTTGATTCTCTCCTACAGTTTGTTATTCCCTGCCAAAATTCCTCATCCTGTCACCTAGTGCTTTGAGTGTTTTAATAATTATTATTTTAAAGTCCCTGTCAAATAATGCCAATATCTGAATTCCCTGTAGTTCTATTTCTGTTGACTGTATTTTTTCTTGGTTTTTGTTCTAATCTTGCCTTTTTGTCTTCCCAGCATTTTTGTAATTGTGTGCTAGACCTTGTAGATTAAAAGTGTAGAATATTTTAACCCCCTATATTGTATTAGTCTTAGCCTGGATTCCTCCAGAAAGGAGAACCTGAGACCTTGATTTGTGTGCAGGTTAATTTTGTTAGTAATCCAAGCACACAGGAGTGGGATTCTGAGAAGAATGTGACAGGGAAAGAGAGAAAGCCAATTCATGAGTACACTCTTGAATCGGTCATTACTGGGGGTAACTGGGGGTTGATCCAAGCTAAGACCTCGTAAACAACAACAACAAAAATCTAATTGCGTCTCAAAATGTCCTGCCTAAAGAATGGAAGAAAGAAGCATTTATTCCCCAGCTCACATTCCCCATTGGTCAAGGGTTGCTTATGGGTGGTTAATTCCATTTCACTTCCAGGATGCATGTGCGTGATGGAAAGGTAGATTCCCATGGACAGAGGCGTCAGAGTAGCCCTGACATGGGAAGTTAGAGATAGCAAAGGCTGAGGCAGGTGATGTTGAGTTACAGCTGCACAAAATTAGTTGCGGCAACAGTGGCTGGAATAAAATACAGAGCAGTAAAATATGAGGAGGGATGGAAAAAACTTCCAGTCTCTTTCCAAAGAGGGTATATTTTGCTTCTAACAGGCAGTTAGGTTAGGAAAAGATGAACCTGATTCAATCATGGATTTTAATGGCTCAGAGCCGAGCTTCAGTCCTTCTGAAGGACGGTCTGTTTCTAGCTCTCCCTTACTGCTAAGGAGCAGCTCTCCGGGGTCCTAAATCAATCCTAGGGTGTTTACCAGGGCCCTCCTTCTGTGGCTGTCTCTGAATGCCCGTATTTTTTGCCCTAGCTCCATAAATCTGCCTTCAAATCAATGAATGCCTTAGGGGGAAAAGTGGTTTGAAATATCAGACTCAGCGTTAACGGTTTCTTTTCTTTCTGGGATCTTGGCCCCTTGAATCCTGGTTGCCTTTGGTAGCTTTCCAAAGCCTTTGATCAGATTTTGTTTTTTACGCCCAGGTTTTCTAGTTGTTCTCAGCAGGAAGATTTGTCCAAAACAAGTTAGCTGCCATTGCCGAAAGCAAAACCTTCCCATTTGTTTATGAAAAGTTTTTGGAGGTAGACATGTACCTTCAAGTGCTAAAAACAGCCTTAAAAAACAATCGCCTCAAAGTCTGGGTTGGGCTTTGCATCCATGCTCTCCTCCTCTTTCTAGGACCCCTGCCCCCGGCCCTGCCATAGCTGTCACAATGTCTGGCACCTGGCACACACTTAATATGTGTTAAGTGAATGCACACCCTGCAGAGTTGCTTGCTGTGTCCACGGAGGATGCTGTGGGGGTTGGGAAGACCATCCTCTTCCTTCAAAGTCCGTGTGGGGCTGACAAGAAGCTAAGGTGGGGATGAAAGGTCCCACAGACTTTAACACTCATAAGACCCCCTGGGAGAAGACTGATATGAGCTCATTTCTAGATCCCATCCTGGAGTTTTAATTTAACTCTAAGGCCAATGTCTACTGGGAAAATATGCACTAAGCAACAATGGCTCCAGCACTAATAATTGCCCAAGACCTGGAATTCCTAGTTCAAGGGTGGCCCAATTTGGGGACCCCTTATAGAGGATCTCCAGGCCAGAACAAGCTGGGCCTGAAGATACAATATCTACTGGAATGGTGTCTCCCAAAGCGTGTGACCCCAAGTGACTTTGGATGGTAGAGGGGCCACCGCTTGAAACAGCATTGAATCCCAGAGTAAGTGACTCTTTTTCTATCCTCATTCAGTCCATTCAATTAAATCAAGGAGAAAGGCTCAGGATGGTGCTAGGAGGTCCTTAACCCTTCTCCAACACATGTCCATCTTCCTTTTTAACAAAAGACGGGCAGTTCTCGGGTTAAGAGCCTTCTTAGGCACAAGTATCAGCTAGCAGACAATAACATGATTCACTGTATTTCTCTTTACTTGTAAAGTCTATTTATAGAACATTATATTGGCTTTCCATTTACCTTAGTGACATAAGTTTAAGTAAACTTTTATGTCAACAAAAATATTAAGTTAATAGTAGCTTTAATTGTACATAGCTGGAGCAAAAACCATGAAGGTTGTGTGCAAAGAAGTGAAATTTGAGAAACAGTGTCCTGAAGCAGTTCTCCTTCACTGGGAACAGACAGATGATGATGAGAACAAAAGATGTGACCTCAGGGAACCTAGGAAGCCAGAAACCCACACCAAGGGGCCTGGCCTGTTAGTTCCTACCACCCAACCAGGAAGGAATGAGGGTCAGTCGGGAGCAGACGGGTACCAGCCTCTCCGACCTCCGCCAGAGATAAGTTGCTTGGGGTCAGGACCAGCCATTTCCTAGTGATGCTGGTTTCCAACATAAACACTCCTTTAAGGAATCCAGCATTTTTTCTAGCACCTCTTGAGACTGAAAGAGATGCATGTGAGACTCTGAAGGAGAAGGTGAGGAGCCGGTGGGGGCAGTGAAAACTTTCACATGGGACTCAAGAGAAGTGGAAAGAAGTTTGTAAAAGGAGCCAGGTGCGTTTAAGCATTCACAAGACGTTTTCTATGGGCTCTGTTTCTCTCTCTCTCTCTCTCTCTCTCTCTCTCTCTCTCTCTCTCTCTCTCTCTTTCTCTCTGTGTGTGTGTGTGTGTGTTGTGAGACACAGTCTCACTCTGCTGCCAGGCTGGCATGCAGTGGTGCAATCTTGGCTCTACTGGAACCTCCACCTCCCCGGTTCAAGAGATTCTCCTGCCTCAACCTCCCATGTAGCTGGGACTACAGACGCCCACCACCATATCCAGCTAATTTTTGTATTTTTAGTAGAGATGGGGTCTTGCTGTGTTGTCCAGGCTGGTCTTGAATTCCTAACCTCAAGTGATCTGCCCACCTCGACCTCCCAAAGTGCTGGGATTACAGGCATGAGCCACCGCGCCTGGCCAGCATGGGCTCTTGAACCTTCCTAAAGGGATATCTAATACTCACCAACAGTGGGGCAAGTAGTCCCACTTCCAAAACCTTCCTAGATTGCCTGACATGAAGGCCACTGATTGGTTCATTACAAATTTGCTGCAAAAACGTAAGGCCTGCATAGGCCACTGCCATGAGAAGGCAGCCCATAGGTGACGGAAAGCCAATGGTCCTGCCTGTCACATTTGCCTGAGATGAATGGCTTTCATTTCCCCAAGCCACCGAGACATCATCACCCACAGCACCTCTGCCCGAGTTTAATTTCACATCATGCAGCTTTCACAAATGAGTGACTGTGGGCAGTGTTTATCGAGGAAATCTTTTTGTAGCCACCAAACCTGTGGAACCACTTTCTTCTTTAATTTCCGTCCCGTACTTCCTGCAGAAACAAATAAGATTGAATTAGGGAGCCACTCTGGGAAGGCAGGAAATAATGTATGTATCCAAACCAAGAAACATCCCATCCATTATGTAAGTGAGAGGGGCTGAGAAGAGTGAGGAAAAAGTTGTAAAATGGCAGCCCGAGGGCCCACACTGGTCGGCATAAGTGTTTTGTTTGGATCACGCAGTGTTTTGTTGTTTTGCTTTTTAATGTTAAAAATATGTAAAAATTCAGAGATTTAACATAAAAATCCAGCTGTCAGGCTTCTCCTGGAAAAATCAGATCTGAACACACTGGGCCGACAATATGGCAACAACCAGATGGAACCAAATGACTGGGGCACAGGCTCTGCAGTTTGCCTCAATCCCTACCCCTGCTTTGCTCATGTGTGTTTCCCATGGAGTAACCAACTCATCTTGGGTTGGCCCCAGGTGGTTCTGGCCTTAACACTGAAAGTCTCATGTCCTGGGAGCCCTCTCGGTCCCAGATGAACTGAGACGGTCAGTTATCTTGGATGCCAACCTGGCCCCGATAAACATAGTGGACAATATTCATACTGTATGCATCTCCTGCTAAGCACAGCTCTAAGCATTGTAAGTGGGTTAACTTATTTAATCCTTGCAGCAACTCTATGAGGCAGGTACTATGTCATCCCAGTTTTACAGGTGAGAAACTGAGGCACAGTCAGCTGAAGTATATGTAGCCTAGAGGACTCAGCTATAAGTTGGGACTTCAGTCTCTTTCCCTGGGTGGGGTCTAATCCAGGGAGTCAGGGCATCTTATTTTAGGTCCATGCAAGAGGAGGAAACTGACTGATCTGCTTCTAATCTGCTTATCACCATGGCCCTCTTGGTGGCAGAGGTGGTTCCTACCCACTCAACATGTGGTCCCTCCTCTTCTTGCTTAAGATTACAGGGCCTCAATTTTGTCCTGGGCCCATCATGTACAGGGAAGGTGAGCCCCTCCCCAACCCAACCCAAAAGAATGACACTAGATGGTCCCCAGCATAGTCATTTTACTCCCCTTAGCTTGGTTTGATTGGTTTAAGATTTATGGCCCTGTTCTGAACAAGGAGACATTAAGAGGAGATGTGGTGAGGTTTTTGTTCCTTGGAAGGTTTGCACTCCCTGATAAAAGTAGCAATAGGGAGGAGACCTTCTCCTATATTCTGCCTTGAATGAGGTTGTTTAAGGATGGGATGCTCGGAGCTGTGGCAGCCATTCTGTGACCAAGGCACAAACCTAAGGATGAAAAGTCAACAGATTCAGCAGGGTGGGCCCGAGGGACAGAAAGAGCTTTGGTCCTTGGTGACACAGTGAAGCCACCAAGCCAACCCTGGAGTAACCCACCTCCAAACTCCTTTACTGATTGCTTAGGTCACTGTTAGTTCATTACATTGTAACTTGCAGCTAAACATATCCTAACTGATATGCCGTGGGACCCTTGAGAACACCTTTGCTTTTCCTATAAAGTCTAGAGCAGCCCATGCCCTATTTTCCTTCTGTCTGAGCCCTCCCCTGATCCTGTAGGGACTTCCAAGGTTTAGGAGGCACCTCCCAAGCATGAGGCACACACAGGCCCAGTCTCACCATGTCGGCCACATGGAAGTGAACAAAACAGAGAAATATCAATTGGCTGAGGAGCCAGAAGCTCACCTTGTGGAAAAGAGCCGGGTCAAGAGAAGGGGCGTGTTTCTCCCAGTGTATTCGGCAAGTAATGGAGTGAGCACTAGTGAGGGTGAGACCTGTCCCTGCAACGATTCCTTCCCATCTCCTCCAAGTGCTCTCCCCCACCATAGCCTCTGCAGGTCCTGGCTTTGACATTCACTCGCCGTGTGACTTTAATGGGGTCCTTTGCCTTTCTGTGTGTCAGTTTTCCCATCTTTAAAATGGAGATAATAATAATGTCATCCTTGTAGTGTTGTGTGGTAATTGAACAAAATGATAACTGTAACATTTTCTCCAAGGTGCCTGCCACATAGGCGCATTCTGTAAATGTTTGTGATTATCTTTATTATGGAGGTGGGGAGATGGAGTAAGTGAGAAGGAGTTAGGCACCAGCATTCCCATTTTGTGGGTAAGGAACCTAAAACTTTGAGGGGTTAAAACGGATTGTCCTCAAGTCACCCAAATAATAGGTAAATAACTAAATTTGAATTTAAACCTGGATCTATCCCATTCCAAAATCTGCTCTAGAAAGGAGAGTATTATTTTGAAGCAGGTACTAAAGGCAAGGAAAAAACCAAATATTTCTATTCACATTTGGGATACTTTCAATAAAGAAAAGCAAAGAGGTTTTCTGGATGGCAGGCTAACCTATTTTTACTGAGACCTTTAATTAAAGACAATTACCCTTGGTGATAGAATGGCTGATCTCAGCTCTCAAGAAAATTACCCCAAATGGCAAATGGAATTAAATATCCACTCAGTTACTGACAGATGCTCTCCGAAGCAATAGAACCATAGGACTTGATTACAATGACAAGAATAGGGTCTGGGCCCCAGATTGGAGGAGAACAAAATCCACTTTCAAACAATTCTCCAATGATTTCAATTAACCGTGGGCTAAACCAGGCAGTTAGTTGTATAAGCATAGATCTCTTTGTGGTTCAAATTAAATTTCGTCTAGTACAAATGCTGCTTTGAGATTTTTGGAGAGAAAACACAATACTCAGGAAATGAATTTGGATCTCGTCTGCGTGTGTTGTGTAATTAGAGATCAGGTGGGCTCTCCCTATTCCCCAGGGCATGTTTAAGTTATTTTGTTTGATGATAATTATTTATAATTATTATTAGCAACATCCTCATAATACTCCCATTCCTACTTACCTGTCCAATTCCCATCTACCGTAAAAGAATCAGCAAACTCTAGGCTCTGAGCCAAATCCGGCCAATGCTCATTTTTTCGTAAATACATTTTTTAGAGCACTGCCATATTCATTCCATTTACTTATTGCCTCGGGCTGCTTTCCTGCTGCAAGGGTAGAGCTGAATCGTGGGGTAAGTCGCAACAGAAACTGTAGGTAGCCAGCTAAGGTGAAAATTTCTTTCAGGCCCTTTAAGAAAACATGGCTCATGCCTGTAATCCCAGCACTTTGGGAGGCCGAGGCAGGCAGATCATCGGAGGTCAGGAATTTGAGACCAGCCTGGCCAACATGGTGAAACCCCGTCTCCACTAACAATACAAAAATTAGCCGGGCGTGGTGGCATGGGCCTGTAATCCCAGCTGCTCAGGAGGCTGAGGCAGGAGAATTGCTTGAACCAGGGAGGCGGAGATTGCAGTGAGCTGAGATCGTGCCACTGCACTCCAGCCTGGGTAACAGAGTGAGACCCCATCTCAAAACAAAAAAACAAAAAAACAAAAAAAAGTACAAACCCCTGCAGAGAGTAGAGAGGAAGACTTTCTGAAGGAAAGTCCACGCTCAGAAGTTCAGACTTTGCCCAGAAGGTGATAGGGAGCCCCTGGAAGGTTAGAAGGAGGGGAAACACAGCCCCTGCAGCAGATGCCATCAGTGCCTCATCCTGTCCCCTGGTCATCTCCTCTGCGAGGATAAGGTCACCTACTGCAAACGCCTGTGAGCATGCAAGCCCTGCCCTGTCCATGCTCACATTAGTGATCCAGGGGCTCTAACGTCCCCAGAGCCCAGGCTCAGGAGTCAGCTAAACCTGTATTCAAATTCCAGCTTCTCACATGTCCTACTGAGTGACCTTAAGCAAGTTGCTAAACTTTTCTGTGGCTAGAGAGATGGGCAGGCCAACTTTTCAGGGCCTTGGGGGACATGTGAGGAGAAACAGGCAGCACAGATGTTAAGTTCGATTTGTGCTTGTTTAAAAGACAAGGAGGAGGACAGGCACAGTGGCTCACATTCAAAATCCCAGAACTTCGGGAGGCCAAGGCAGGAAGATTGCTTGAGCCCAGGAGTTCAGGACAAACCTGGGCAATGTAGTGAGATCCTGTCTCTACAAAAAATTAACAATTAGCTGGGCATGGCGATGTGTGCCTGTGGTCCCAGCTACTTGGGAGGCTGAAGCAGGAGGATCACAGCTGCAGTGAGCTGTGGTCATGCCACTGCACTCCAGCTAGCCTGGGTGACAGAGCCAGACGCTTTTTTTTTTTTTTTTTTTTTTTTTTTTTTTTTTTTTTTTGAGACAGAGTCTGGCTCTGTTGCCTAGGCTGGAGTGCAGTGGCACAATCTCGGCTCACTGCAAGCTCCACCTCCCGGGTTCATGCCATTCTTCTGCTTCAGCCTCCCAAGTAGCTGGGACTACAGGTGCCCACCACCACGCCCGGCTAATTTTTTGTATTTTTAGTAGAGACGGGGTTTCACCATGTTAGCCAGGATGGTCTCAATCTCCTGACCTCGTGATCCGCCCGCCTCAGCCTCCCAAAGTGCTGGGATTACAGGCGTGAGCCACTGCGCCCGGCCAGACACTTTCTTGGAGAAGAAGCAGAAGAAAGAAGAAAAAGAAAGGAGGAAGAGGAAAGAAAACAATAAAGAAAAAAAAAACTGTTGTAAGAAAACAGTATAACTCCTGATAGTGTCCCCTGTCCAACACAGTGGCCAGCTCAGAGAACGGAAGTCTGTGTCTCATCTTTCCTCTGGGATTTGAATAAAGTCAGTTCCACCTGCTTAAGATCCTAGAAAATGGGGGCCATTTTTATTATGTTTTGATTTCAGCAAATTACCACTTTCCTCAGGAAAGTCCACCAAAATAATGGACAGGAAGTTGTAGAAATTCAGGAGAGAGACCAATTTTGCTCGAATGACAGCAAACCACATTTGAATTTGAGCTAATTTAATTCTCTGCTCCAGTTCAATATTTCCAGCGAAGATTTTGAGAAACAAATTAGATTTTCAGTAATGAAGATGCATTTCAATACATGCCACAGCTGGGCAGATTCAACTTGTTGCACCAAAGGCGCTATTTCCTGGCCACATTGAAGAGTAAAATCTGAAACTCACAGTTTAAATGAAGCCAGGAAAGAAAATAGACCCTTTAGCACTAGGCAGGATGGAGAAGGTTTTAGCCAGGCCCTTGAACTACTTCATTCACAGTATCTTACTGTGCTGGAAGAAATAATGACCCAGCTCTCAGGAATATAGACAGTTTGAGCTGGAACAGTTTTTAGAGGTTACCTAGAGCAACTAAGATTCCATAAAACAAGAACCATAAGATTTTTTTTGTTTTTTTTTTTTTTTTTTTATAAAACACGGCCAAGCACGGTGGCTCACGCCTGTAATCCCAGCACTTTGGGAGGCCGAGGTGGGCGGATCACAAGGTCAGGAGATCGAGACCAACCTGGCCAACATGGTGAAACCCCGTCTCTACTAAAAATACAAAAATTAGCCGGACGTAGTGGCACGTGCCTGTAATCCCAGCTACTCAGGAGGCTGAGGCATGAGAATTGCTAGAACCAGGGAGTCGGAGATTGCAGTGAGCCGAGATGGCGCCACTGCACTCCAGCCTGGCAACAGAGCGAGACTCTGTCTCAAAAAAAAAAAACCCCAAAGAAACAATATTTTGCTCTGTTGCCGAGGCTGGAGTGCAGTGGTGGTGGTGCAATCATAACTTACTGCAGCCTTGACCTCCTGTCCTCAAGTGATCATCTTGCCTCAGCCTCCCGAGTAGCCGAGATTATAGGCACACACCACCATGCTCAGCTAACTTTTCAGTTTTTAGTAGAGACGAGTTCTCGCTATATTGCCCAGGCTGGTCTCGAGCTCCAGGACTCAAGTGATCCTACAGCCTCAGCCTCCTAAAGTGCTGGGATTATAGGCACGAGCCACCACGCCCAGCCCACCATGAGATGTTTCTAAGAGTACAAGAGCCCAGCAATTAGTAACAAAATCTTTAAATCCACCTATTGAGAAAGATATTCCCTTTTCAATTCATCTTTCCCATTACATCAATGAAGGAGTCTCTGTTTGGTGTTACTAGTTCTTTAACACTTCCTTTTGAAACAATAGGCCTTAGGTCAGTGGCCACACTGCCCGGCTAGAATTTTCCTTATAGATCAGGAGTCAGCAAATACTTCCTGCAAAGGGCCAGAGAGAGACTATTTCAGACTCTGTATGCCGCGTGGTCTCTGTCACAATTAAAGGCAAAGGCAGCCATAGATAAAAAGTCATAAAGTTTATAGACAAAAAGTCATAAAGTTTATAGACAAAATGTCATAAAGTATGAGTGTGGTTGTGTTGCAATACACCTTTATTTATGGGTACTGAAATTTGAAGTATTCTTCACATATCATGAAATATTATTCTTCCTTTGATTTTCTTCCCAACCATTTAAAAATGAAAACATCTTTCTTACCTTGGGAACAGCAGAGAAACAGGTGGCGAGCTGGATCTGGCCATGGCCATAATTTATAGACTTTGTTGTAGAGTAGAGTGGTGGCCAGAGAAGAGGAGTTCACGGTGCTCGTCACCAGCTTGGACTCTGGAATTCCAACTCCTCAGTTTATCACTTCTGTGACCCCTGAGAGTTGCCTTGCTTCTTTGAGCTTCAGCCTTCCCCTCTGTAAAGTGGGAATAATAACAGCACCTGCCTCAGCAGGTTGTTATGAGCATGAAGTGAGTGCTTAGAACATTACATGGATGCAGTGTTAAATCGATATTAGCTCTTGTTATTGTTTATTTTTACTTTTACTTTCTCTTTAGAGCAAGCAATACTGATTTTTCAACCATGGTGATAATATAATTTCCTTTTTACCTAAACTTATTTAGGTAAAAAGTCAATTTAAAGGGAAATATCATTTGAATGCAAATAATCTTATGCAAATAGGGCAAAAATTATAAATGGAACACTCAAATGACCAAAGGTTCAGAAATACTTTGCCAGTTCCTTACCTTCACTATACAAGGTTGAGAAATAAATATTAATGATCAGACAGAGTCTTCATATAAAAGGAGAATTAGCCCAGGTGCGGTGGTTCACACCTGTCCTCTCAGCCCTTTAAGAGGCCAAGGCAGGCAGATCGCCTGAGCTCAGGAGTTTGAGACCACCCTGGGCAACATGGTGAAACCCTGTCTCTACTAAAATACAAACAATTAGCCAGGCGTGATGGTGGACACCTGTAATCCCAGTTACTCGAGAGGCTGAGGCAGGAGAATTGCTTGAGCCCTGGAGGCAGAGGTTACAGTGAGCCGAGATGGCACCACTGCACTCCAGCTTGGGCTACATACAGAGTGAGACTCTGTCTCAAAAAAATTTTTTTTAATAAAATAAATAAATTTAAAAAATAAATAAAAGAGAATTCGAGTACATTCCCTTGTCTGTGACTTTTAACTGTTAGAGTCATGTGTGTACATTGTCTTCCCGTCCCTGCTATACCACGAGCTCCTAGAAGGAAGGGACACATGGCTTCTGAACCCCTAATCCTCAGATGTGGAACATAGCCCACAGACAATGACCACTGATCGTTGTTTTTTGAATTGAGGTAAGATGTATTATTCCATCTCAACTGAGAACTAAAAATAAAATCCTAAGCCCCCCAACCAACTGAATGGACCCCCTCTTGGCCAAGAGAACCTCAGAGAAACCATAAAAACTGAGTTCTGGGCCAACACGGGACAGGAGGTCAGACTCACCCTGTTATAAACCCCTTCCCTTTTGTGGCTCAGACACAATAACTGACCAACACTAATGTGAACATAGAGATCATAAGACTGATAGAATGGACTCTTTGTGGCAATAAGATACCAAATTTTAAACAGGATCTAAGGCCATGCCAAACAAGGGTTAAGTCACACATCCCCATCCTTAAAGAAACTACTGTTGTCAGGTAACGACCACAAGGTTTCTCTTTTTCTCTAGCATCTAAACAAGCACTGACCTCAAGATCAGCAACACTAAACAATTGCAACTTACGCCTTATGCTGACTAACTGCCCCCTGTTCCACAAGCCACATCTTCAGCTTTAATGGGACAGAAACTGATTTCATTAACTTCCTCCTGATAAGAGACTGACAGCCGTAAACAGGTTCTGGCCAGTTTATAGAGGCTGCACACTGAGTGCCTTCACGGCCCTGCTTCACCTTTTGACCTATAGAGCCTAACTAGAATGCATTTAAACAATGTCTCCTTCCCAAAGAGAACACAGGCCACACGTAACACACGTTTGTTCCTGCATACATCAGAACCCCTTTCATGAATATTCATAGCTCCTCCTGTAACCCATTGAATATATCTACTTGGCCAACCCATTCATGAATTCCTGTCTCATCTTTCCCTCCCTCAAAGTGCCTACTAACGGCCTCCTCCAGAGGCGATGCTTCCCATTCTGGCAGAATGGCCACCTTCCAGGCTATAATCCTTTATAAGAAATAGTCTCCCTTCTAAATTTATAAATTTGTGATTTTTTTTTCAGTTGACACAACACATATGAACTTTCAAGTTGCTTCCAGCCTGCCAAAAGACTAGGAGTCCGATTTCTTGATTCATTCATTTCACAAACACTTAAGAACCCCAGCCAGGAGCAAGCTCTGCTCAGAGAACCCTGAGACAAGGAATAAATAGCCATTGCTCCTGGTCTTTGATGGTTGGCTCTGAATTCTTTGATCATGCATTCCTAACTTTAAAAACTGCTAAACACTCACCTTTAATATGTATCAATTATTAATATGTATTCATTATTATTTATTATTATGGTATTATATAATAATAATTATGTTATTATATAGTCATAACTTTTTCCTTTTTTTTGGAGACAGAGTCTCAGTCTGTCTCCCAGGCTGGAGTGCAGTGGCATGATCTTGGCTTACTGCAACCTCTGCCTCCTGGGTTCAAGCAATTCTCCTGCCTCAGTCTCCTGAGTAGCTGGAATTACAGGGATCTACCACCACACCCAGCTAATTTTTGTATTTTTAGTAGAGATGGGGTTTCACTATCTTGGCCAAGCTGGTCTTGAATTCCTGACCTCAAAGTGACCCCACCTCAGCCTCCCAAAATGCTGGGATTACAGGTGTGAGCCACTGCACCCAGCCATATAGTCATAATTACACATAATAATATATTTTATTACAAGATATAAAATATAATTATAAAATATAACATCTGTTATTATAATTAACAACATAGTATTTATTAATTAGGAATAAAAAGGAAGAAATGACCATAGCTCCTGAGCTGCCCCTGGTGTGATGAACCAGGAGCAGCTCAGAAGCAATGATCATTCCTTTTTATTCCTAATTAATAATTGAATTATTAATTATATATGTATTTATTTATAAATTGCATGTGAATACCACCTTTTTTTTCTTGACACAGAGTCTCTCTCTGAAGCCCAGGCTGGAGTGCAATGGCACGATCTCGGCTCACTGCAACCTCCGCCTCTTGGGTTCAAGCGATTCTCCTGCCTCAGCCTCCCAAGTAGCTAGCTGGGATTACAGGTGTCTGCCACCAGGCCTAGCTAATTTTTGTATTTTTACTAGAGATGGGGTTTCACCATGTTGGCCAGCTGGTCTTGAACTCTTGACCTCAAGTGCTCCACTTGCCTCAGCCTCCCAAAGTGCTAGAATTACAGGCGAGAGCCACTGTGCCCGGCTGTGGATACCACTTTTCCAGTCTATCCCGCACATTATAAAACAGGCAAAAGACTGTGAAACCAAAGTTCTAAGGTCCCCAGCACTGCTACTGTCTTTCCACACACCCCAATTTGAACAGGACCCTGGGTGTGGCGGAGGCCAAGCTGACACCTGCACACAGTCATAACGCAGGGGTAAGACCCCGGTCAAAGTGTGACTGTGTTTGCTGGATGGGGAAAATGGGCCAAGGTTGGGGACATCTGTGACAGAGACCTGAAGCTGAGCTGGAGCTGAGATAGAAGTAGACTTAGGGAGGCAGAAAGTCCAGAAGGAACAGTCCCTCCCAAGCCGGGTCCCCGTGGTTTCAAGCTCTCTTCCTCCTGCCACCTTCACAGCTCGGGAATTGGAGGGGGAGGAGGGAAGAGGCAGGGAGAGCTGAGATGCCCTTTATCCCGGCACATTATCTTAGCATGGCCGGAATAACTCCCCCCATCATGAAACTGGCCATGGGGGTTTTCTTATTTCCCTCCTTGTGTTCAAGGAAGCATGCACGTTGCAGCAAAACTTCCTGCTGTCTTTCTGGCAAGGAGCCTAGCTTCATCATCACTGAGCACTGCCCTTTGGTGCCTGTGCAGAACACGACAATAAAGCCTGACAGTGGGATTAGGATTCTGCAGACCCTCGACAGCAGGTCTGTGGGGCTTGGGAGCCTTCCAGGGGCCCTGCCTGTTACAGAAGCTGGGCACGCTGCTCCATAGATATTTGTCTAGTGAATGAATGCAGGCACAGATGAATGAATGGAGGAATATTTGCTCAAGTCCTAGCTCTGCTATTTTCAGAACAAAAACACTAATAGAGTGGGAGCTAGATTGCATTATTTCCAATTCTTACAACTGTACAGCAGAAATTATTTTAGCCCTGTGAATACTGGGACTGAGAGGAGAGAGGTCTGCCAGCATCCCACCTGCTAGGAAAGCGGCAGAGCTGCTGCAAGGCCCCAGGTTGCCTGATCCTGAGCCAGCTTCTCATCCCCTTTGCCAATGGCTTCAATGTGGGGACTGAAGGGGATGCCACTGGCTAGGTCAACCCAATCATCTGACTCTCAGATATCACCTCCCATACCTCTGCCATCTGTTTACCCACAAGCTACTGGAATACTTCCAGGGATGGGGCTCCCATTTTTACCTGTGGAAAGCTAGAAGATTTTTCTTAATTTGGGGTGGACATTGGTCCCCTGTGATGCTGTGATGCTGTCCCAAGGAGTCCATCCTCGGGAGTTTTAGAAAACAAGTCTACTCGCTTTCCCTGCTACCCACAGAGGGGTCCATACAGTGTGGTTCTGGATTCCCGTCATAACTTAAAGGGAAACTTTCACAATGTCCACAGCCCTTGATGTCCTGCAAATGAAAGAGGAGGATGTCCTTAAGTTCCTTGCAGCAGGAACCCACTTAGGTGGCACCGACCTTGACTTCCGAATGGAACAGCACATCTGTAAGAGGAAAAGTGGTGGCATCTACATCATAAATCTAAAGAGGAGCTGGGAGAAGCTTCTGCTGGTGGCTCCTGCCATCGTTGCCATTGAAAACCCTGCTGATGTCAGTGTCATATCCTCCAGTAGCACTGGCCAGAGGGCCATGCTGAAGTGTGCTGCTGCCACTGGAGCCACTCCTATTGCTGGCCACTTCACTCCTGGAACCTTCACTAACCAGATCCAGGCAACATTCCCGAATCCACGGGTTCTTGTGGTTACTGATTGCAGGACCGGCCACCAGCCTCTCGCAGAGGCATCTTATGTTATAACCTACCTACCATTGCTCTGTGTCACACAGATTCTCCTCTGCACCATGTGGACATTGCCATCCCATGCAACAGGAAGCTCACTCAGTGGACTTGATGTGGATGCTGGCCCGGGAAATTCTGCCCATGCAGCGGCACAATTGCCCGCAAACACTGGTGGGAGGTCATGCCTGATCTCTACTTCTACAGCGATCCTGAAGAGATTGAAAAAGAAGAGCAGGCTGCTGCTGACAAGGCTTTGACCAAGGAGGAATTTCAGGGTGAATGAACACTGCTCCAGCTCCTGAGTTCACTGCTACTTGGCCTGAGGTTGCAGACTGGTCTGACAGTGTGCAGGTGCCCTCTGGGCCTATTCAGCAGTTCCCTACCCAAGACTGGAGTGCTCAGCCTGCCACGGAAGACTGGTCTGCAGCTCCCCCTGCTCAGGCCACCGAATGGGTAGGACCAACCACTGAATGGCCTTACACTGTTCTTGCACAGGCTCTTAAACAACATGGAAATAAGGTTGACAGAAAATAAACATCGGTTTCTAAAAATTTTTTTAAAAAGGAAAGGAAAACCAGTCCACTCTTTTAGATATGTGGATTAACGTGTGTGTGTGTGTGTTTAGAGAGGTAGATAGTGCTAGCATTCAATATTGATAGAATATTTATATATAATTAAGATTTATTAGGTGCTTATCATGTGCCAAGTACTTTACAGAAATTATCCCACTTAATCCTCACAACACAACTGTGAAGTAAGTATCATCCGACCCCCTTCTTCAGATGAGGACACCAAGGTTCAGAGAGCTTGCACCACCTGCCCAGAGCCCCACAGACAATTCCTGTCTGAGCAGAAGCTACACCGAGGCCCACAGTAACCCCAGCACCCTCCTTTCAGCTGCCATGCCACCCTCTTGCAGGCCTTACTAGCCTGGTCCCTCGCCTCTAAAGACAGTCCATTTGTGTTATTCAAGTAATCACTTTCCCTTTTACAAATGTTAGAAAGCACAGGATTCATCCATAACCCCATCACCCAAAGATAACTATTGTTAATATTTCCATGCATTTTTCACATCTAGATATAGACAGTTTGGGTTTTTTTTTTTTTTACAAAAATGAGCTCATACTATACATATTATTTTGTAACCTATATTTTCTACTCAATTATATATCTGGAACATCCTTCCATAACATAAAAGCCAGCATCATTTTATGACTGCCTGGAATTTCATTCTATGGATATACCAAAATATATTTAACTACTCACCTCTCATTGCGCATTTAATTTTCTCCAAATATAAATCCTCCAACACATATCCTGGCACATGGATCTTTGTGCGTATATCCCAGTATTTCGTAGGTTATTGCCTGTAAGGAAAATTGTTTGAGTCCAAGGTTATGCTCACTCAAAGGTGTTGCTACAGAATCCTGGCACCCCTCACCAGTGTAGGAGAGGGCTTGTCTCTCCACCCTCTAGCCCACAGAGCTGTCATCTTTCTTAACCTTGGCCAATCTAAAAATTATAATAAAATGGCCAGGGAAAATTATAGTAAAATGACATCTTGTTTTCATGCACTTATCTTTTATTACCAGTGAGGCTAAATTTATTCCAATATCAGACAGTTTCAGTCCATCTTAGGCATATTACATCAATTACTATGGTGTCCCTAAGAGCACAAAATACCCCAGGGGGGGTTCAAACCAGCATAGATTTCAGAGGCATCTGCTCAACGGGTCTCAGCTAAGTGGTTAACGGTCCCCACAGGGTGCTGCCCAGCCACCAGGGCCTAAAATGTGCTCAGACTCCAGACATGGAACAAGACTGTCTGGTTAATAGCACATGTGGCCCAGCCACCCCAGTGTGGCATTTACAGCTCTCTGGTTTCTGTCAATGCTGCCCCTGCTAAACTACATGGCTGTCTAGTCTGCACTAAGTGCAAAGCTGGCTCCTGTGCGGGGCACCTCACCCACGCCCACAGGAAAGGCTGCCTTGATTTGAACCTCTCCTTGGGGCCTGCAGGGCGGGGTGCCTGTGTGTAAACACACGTGTGGCTTTTTGTTCTCCTTCCTGCCGATTATTTTAAAGCTAGGAGTTAAGTAAGATTCAGCTTGGTGATCAATTCACTCATGATGCTGCCTAACCTGTTGCTGTTTTATAAACTCAGGAAATTCTTCTCATTGATGGGTCTCAGTGTTGAGGGTGTGACAGGCCAGCCCCCTCCCACAATGCTGTGCATGCCTGGAGGAGGGGATGTGGCGTGGCAACCTCAGCTGTGTCCCGATGACCAGCATCCCTCCCCCTTTCTCAGGGGAACTGCACCTCTATTCTTCTTGCCCAAGTCCATCCACGACCCGCTTCCTATGCCCTACCACCAGCCTATGGAACAGGCGGAGTTCCAGACCCCGGTTCAAGTTCCCCACTGCCAGGTGCCAGATGAGTTATCTTCTCAGAGCCTCAGTTTGCTCATCAGTAAAATGTGGACAATAAGAATACCTACCTCCTAATGTGGTTGTGAAGGTAAAACAAGAGTACCTCCATTAACATCATCTTGGAAATGACAGCATGTAGAGCTGATTTCGTTTTTATTTTACAAATACTGATTGTATGGCCAGTTGGATTCCATTGTAATCATGCTTCAAATATAAGCGAGGCATAGGAAAACTTACAGAGAAATTATAATTATTGGATCTGGCTGCCCCCAGGACTTTCTGTGGCTTCGGGTATGGGCCCTGATGCAAGATACATGATCACTAATATTTGCTGACTTGAATTGAGCTAAGGTGGTCAAAGCCAGTGTTTATGAACCGCTGAGTTCCTTTCAGCTTGCAATAGCTCAGTGGTGCATGACTCAGTGGCTGCAGCACGTCTTTTATTCACTCATTCAGGAAGCACTGATGAGCTCAGATGTCAAGTCTTGCGCTGGGGAAGGCCCAAGAAGAGCAAAAAAGGGCACTGTTGTTGAGCTGTTTATCATCCAGAGGAGAACAAACACCCACATATACTACTGTCCAAAGCCAGTGGCCAGAACATATATGATGATACACTCTGACCTGCACCCTCTGCAGCAGTCAGCCCAAGATGGTCAGGATTTGGCCGATGACTGCCAGCTTCCCAAATCAACCCTTGGGTTCCCTTTCACAGTCCTCTCATAGCACATGCTTCCATAAAGGTATCACTGCTAATGGTGAGATCGCGAGGCAAATCCAGAGGAGATGCTCTAACCACTGAGCTGTGCTGCCTGGCCTGGGAGGAATGAAGAAAGAGAAGAAGGAAAATGAAAGGAGAGAAGAAGAAACCTAAGTCCTAAACACAGAGTGACACATTCTCTCCCACAAAGGTTATGAACAAGCCACATCTTCCTTACACTAAAATTAACTCATTCTAGCCTGTCAAGCTTCAGTGTGTTTGAATCACCTAGGAGGCTCGTTAAACACTTGGATCCTGGGACCAACCCTTAGAGGTCCTGAAACCGACAGTCTGGGCTTGGGCCTGGGAATCTGCAATTTTACCCTAAGTTCTCAAAGTCCTTGAACCTCAAAGCATGGTCTTCAAACAGCATCTTGGCTATCACCTCCGATAGTCGCTGCACCTGCCAATGCAAACTCCCAGGCCTGCCCTTCAACCTATTAAATCGGAATGTGTACTTAAAGGAGATCTCTAGGTGTTTTATGTGCACATTAAAGTTTGAGAAGCCCTGCTTTTGGTGATTCTCATTTAAGAAGTCCAAATACCACTTGGAGCTTAATAAATAATACTAACAATGAACTAGGCAGTATTTGGAGTGCTTAACGCGTAATAATTCATTTATGAGTCAAAAGAATTCTATGAGGTAGAGTCGTTTATTATCCCATTTTACAGATGAGGAAAATAAGGCACAGAAAGCTGAAGTAACTTGCCAAAGTCTCAAAGCTGGCACGTATGAAGGATGAGGTTGAAACCCAAGCTGACCAGCACCTGCCGCTCCCACTTGCCTGCTGAATTCACCTGGAAATTGACAAGCCCTGCATCATCCTGGCTGCCTTCCTGGGCCCTGACTTCTCAAACAAGGCGATCAGCAGCTCTTCAAAATCAACAAGAGCTGCACTGCTCTATTGTCCTGTGGCCGAATAACACATGCAAATTACATTGATTCTCTGGGAAGAAAATGGCTGTGTGGGTCTGGGCAAAGTTATTACATTTTCAAACTCAACCAGTTTAGAAAAAATAATTGTGCATACACAAAGACATGCTAGGGGCTCAAATGAGCCCTGCAATTAAATCAATTCATTGCCTCAAATCTGCACTGGATATTAGGTTGGTGCAAAAGTAATGGCAGGAAGAAAAGCTAGGGAAGAAACTTAAGAAAATTGCAAGGAAGAGAAAATATATTTACTATTCATCAAATGGAAGTGGATCGTTAAAAAGATCTTCACCCTCTCTTCATGTTGAACAGGCTGACTAGGAGGAGAAAAGGGAAGGGTTGGTCCTGCTGTCTGAGCAGTGGCAGAGGCAGAGGAGGTGGAAGGAAGGCAGGTGAGGCAGGCACACTGAGTGTAACTTGTGTTGAAAAATATCCTTGTATAAGTGGACCCATGCAGTGACTTAATATATTCCATAAGGTTCTGGGGCAAAAATGATGGCAAAGCAGGTAAAGAGCCACTCATAGTGTCTTCCACCCAGAAGAACTTGTTTGGAGACTTTTGTGCCCTCTGTCCTCTGGACTGAAACTATTTTATAAAACCAAGCTATGTTCTCTGAACTTAAAATGTCAAAACATTAAGAAAACCTGTACAGCAGGACTGATTGCTTCAGTGTGCCTCGCCTCTGCCTGTAAGCGCCCTTCTCTCCAGGACGTTGCTTGTATTTGGTGGCTCTGTTCTCCCACCATTGCTGCAACTGAGTTATTGGGTAGTCATGTTCCCAAGTGAGATCAGGCAAGGCTGGAAAAGGCAAACTCAGCAGCGGAAGCTTCGGGGCTTTCTGATGGATTTTTAAGGATATGAGGACTTCAGAACCTTGGAAGGTTTTTGGTTTGGTTTTGTTTTTCCAGTTCCATGAAACAAGAAAGACAACGACAATCAACGGAGATGGCACGCATGCAGCCAGGAACAGAACGGACTGAGTCCCAAGGCTAGAAAAGGATCTCCCCTTGATCAAAAAGGATTCTGTGTTTGTACATTTCAGCAGAGAGCCAGCTCCACTTCCAAAAGACAGAGAGTGACAAAATGGGCCTCTGAGCAGCCCTGGGCCTACCCATCAAGGCTGAAATCCATTTGTCTTGGGTTTTGGCAAGGCACTCTGGCAAAAGCAGCGGCCAGGCAGCCAGAAACACAAACCAGAAGACCATGCTTTGAGACAGGCTTCAGAGGGGCCGACTGAGCTCTAGCGCAATGTTTAATAAAAGATAAAGAGCTCATTGCAGTACTATTTATAATAGCAACAAAAACTTGGATGATCAGCATAAGATTGGCTAAATACATTTGTCTATATCTCTACAGTGAAAATTAGATTTTCAAAGAATATCTAACAACTTAGAGAAATACTTATTCAGTTGACACTTGAACCATGCAGGAGTCAGAGACACTGATCCCCACGCAGTCAAAAATTTTCACAGAACTCTGGACTTCCCCAAAACATTAACTAATAGCCTAATACTGACTAACACCTTACTAATAGCCGAGTAATACATATTTTTGTATGTTGTGTGTGTTATATGCTATATTCTTACAATAAAGTAAGTTAGAGAAAAGAAACTGTTATTAAGAAAATCATGAGGAAGAGAAAATATATTTACTATTCATCAAAGGGAAGTGGATCACTATAAAGATCTTTATCCTCTTTTCATGTCGAACAGGCTGACAAGGAGGAGAAAAGGGAGAGGTTGGTCTTGCTGTCTTGGGGGTGGCAGAGGCAGAAGATGGGGAGGAGGTGGAAGGGAAAGCAGGCAAGGCAGGCACGCTGGGTGTCACTTGTACTGAAAAAACTCCTTCTATAAGTGGACCCGCGCACTTCAAACCCATGTTGTTCAAAGTTCAAATGTCATATAATGTTAAGTGAAAAAAAAAAAAAGCAGGACCCACAGCACAA
The DNA here is from genome assembly GCF_000001405.40 of Homo sapiens. Classification (NCBI taxonomy): domain Eukaryota; kingdom Metazoa; phylum Chordata; class Mammalia; order Primates; family Hominidae; genus Homo; species Homo sapiens. The sequence goes on along the minus strand of NC_000020.11, from coordinate 51,125,195 downwards.
AACTATTCTGTACAGAGATAGATAGATACATAGATATAGATATAGATTGTTTTTTTTTTTTTGAGACGGAGTTTCACTCTTGTTGCCCAGGCTAGAGTGCAATGGCGCGATCTTGGCTCACCACAACCTCTGCCTCCCAGGTTCAAGCGATTCTCCTGCCTGAGCCTCCTGAGTAGCTGGGATTACAGCCATGTGCCACAACGCCCAGCCAATTTTGTATTTTTAGTAGAGATGGGGTTCCTCCATGTTGATCAGGCTGGTATCAAACTCCTGACCTCAGGTGATCTGCCTGCCTCTGCCTGTCAAAGTGCTGGAATTACAGGCATGAGCCACCATGCCTGGCCAGATACAGATATATTTTTAAGGAAAAATACTGGAAGAGTAATCAGCAAACGTTAAAAATGTGAGTAGATTTTCTTTCTTTCTCGTATCTATCTGCATTTTCTAATTTTCCATAATATACATACATTCTTCTTATAGACAGAATAAAAGGAATTTATAATTCTTATCATTATAAACCAAAAATACATTGCTGATATTGTTTCCTGATACAGTAAATATAATAACAGTTACCATTTATCGAGCACTTAGTATGTACTTTAGATAGATGATTCTATTTTACAGTTACAATAACCACAAGAAACAGGTACTATTATTATCTGTATTTGCTTATGGGAAAAGAAGCATTTACCATTCAAAAGTTAAATGTCTTGCCTGCAGCTCAGTTACCACTTAAGGGACAGAGCTGGGTTCCAAGGAGGATGTCTGTGGTGTTAATGTCCATGCTATTAACTCTGAAGTAGCCCCAGAAAGTGAGACCCAGGTAGGGTTGCCAGATAAACTGCAGAACACTCAGGTAAATTTGAATTTCAGGTACACAATAAGTAATTTTTTTTTTTTACTGTATCATGCAATGTTATTCATTGTGTAGCTACATTTCTAATTTAACTAGGCATCCTGTTGGTTAGTTGGTTGGTTTTTTAATTAGAGAAATGACTTATTTCACAAATTGCTATAGGAAGGGGTTGAAAGTAACATAGCAGACCAACAGTTTTAGGAGAAGTCAGGTTCAGGCCCCAAAGCTAGCTAGCTATTTATTTATTTATTTATTTATTTATTTATTTATTTATTTAAGACAGAGTTTCACTCTTGTTGTCCAGGCTGCAGTGCAATGGCATGATCTCGACTCACTGCAACTTCCACCTCCCAAGTTCAAGTGATTCTGCTACCTCAGCCTCCCAAGTAGCTGGGATTACAGACATGCACCACCATGCCCAGCTAATTTTGTATTTTTTGTAGAGATGAGGTTTCTCCATGTTGGCCAGGCTGGTCTCGAACTCCCAACTTCAGGTGATCCGCCTGCCTCAGCCTCCCAAAGTGCTGGGATTACAGACGTAAGCCACCATGCCTGGCCTCTTTCAATAAGATCTGGGAACAGTCAGCCCCCAGACAAGCACAGAGAAAATATCTATATGTCTTGGGTTCCCTTTTGTTACACCCTCCTATGAAGGAGAGGGAGCTTTCGCTAATACAAATTGGATGCCTGGAGCAGACAGCCCCATAAAAGTGAGGGATGCTTGTGATTTGAAGACTCCACCAAGCAATATTGCTGAGCACTTGAAAGCCACACTCCAGGCATGCCCACACTGGGTGGTAACAGATTTCCGAGTCTCCTCTATGAAGTGACTTGTCTGGCTTTGCTGTCAGTAGTCAGAGTAAGAAGTGCCTCACAGCCCCCATCCTCAAGTCCTAGCCCCAGTCCTGGGGCTCACTGTGACAACCACACAGTCTTTCACATCCAAACTTAGACCATTTGGCTGGTCTATTAGGATCATCTAGGGAGTTTTAAAAAATACTGATACCTGGGCCTTTCCCCAAAAATTCTGATTTATTTGGCTGGCCGGTGGTGGGAAGTGTGGGTATTTTACAGCAACTCCCCAAGTAATTCTAATGCCCAGGCAAGGGTTAAACATCACCGCACTGAATCAACCACAATAAACCAGGTGCTGGGATACCCATGACAGGGGAGAATGTCACATTCATCTGTCAAACTGAAATACGAAAGTAAACCTCACCGGGTTGCTAAAAGGATTAAATGAGCGGCTCAGTACATGCCCTGCACAGAAAATACTTGGCAAGTGTTATTTCTTTCCCAGAATCAAACACACTCACTGACATTTATTGAGCCTTTTTTTTTCACCCAGACTTATGTTATCTCATTTAGTCCTCAAAACAGTTCTATAAGGTAGAGATCATCATCGTCTCATTTGTAAGATGAGAAAACTGAGTCAAACAAAGGTGACCTCATTCCCAAGGTCATCAGCTAATAATAGTGGAGCCAGGACTTGAACCCAGGGCCTTTGACTCAGAACCCCACGCTCTCAGTCCCTTCCCTGTATTGTCTTCTTGCTGACAGAGCCCTGTAGGGCAGATGAAGCCACCTACACACCACCTCCCAGCCTTTGCCCTGACCGTTCCTTTGCCTTGAATGGCAATCTCTTCTCTGCCTCTGCAAATTATAACCTGCCGAGGAAACATCCCGCTCCTTCTGGGCTCTTGCAGACCTCACGGTGAGTGCTCAGTCATCCATTCATTTATTCTTTCTCTGACTAAGCAAACATCTATTGAGCACCTACTGTGTGCCAGACACTGCGCTAGACACTGGATATAAACACTAGAGAGTCTTTGTTGGGCCTGCCATTCCGGGATGGAGACCAAAAATAAACAAAACAAACAAATGTATAACTGCACATTGCAGAGATTGCTCTAAAGGGAACTGGGAGCTTTAGCCTGACCGTGAGCACAGAAAACCATGGGGTGGTTTTAAGCAGAGGGTTGGTGTGACCAAACTTGTTTTTCTGGCTGCTGTATGGAGGATGGATTGGCTCAGGGGTGAGGGTAGAGGCAGGGAGGCCAGAGAGGAGGCTAAGGGAAGAATCCAGGTGAGACGGGAAGAGGACTGGCTCAGTGTGGAGGTGGCCTGAGAAAGAGGATGGACATCTTCCAGAGAAGCAGCTTGCTGCCCATCAGATGGGGTGGTGGGGGGGTCATTGCCACTTGCTCTAGCCCTTATGACAGACATTCTGCAGCATTTTTTACTGTGGCTTGTTTCATGACTGTATACATTGCCTCTGGAGTAATGTTCTGAATATTTAACCATCGGTGTCATGAGGGAGAGGCCAGTATTGACTAAATCAGAACAAACTGTGACTCCAGCTTTGGGCAGCATCCCCTGCTGGGCTAGGCATTAACCCTTTAGTTGCTGGATATCAGTGAGGTCCAAGGGATCCCAGGTGAACAGCCTGGGTGGAGGCAGAGGACTCTGGGGGTTTAGGATGACACTATTTGTCAGCAATATTAAAACCAAACAGCACATGCCCCCTCAGGATGCCTCCCTACTCGATTTTAAACTTCTAGGAAGCAAGGCTAGACTTAAGAAAATCAATTAGCTAGAAATTTGTCCAACAGGTATCCCATCCCTTGCAAAGACCTGGACTTCCCTGGGAAGATGTCCAGGCTGACATTTCAATTTTGCATTTCTGCAAAGAGATGCAGAGTCCTCCAGAATCAACCCCTGAGCCTATGAGGGCTACATGTTCTGTGAGCCCAGGACTCAGGAAGAGAACGTGTTATCTGCGGGGGATTGCTGCTGGCAGCCCTGGAGAGACTGTTCTGTGCTAGGGCACACCGCCTCAAGGATGCGGGGATCTTGGCAGACAGTCCTGGGGAGCCCAGCCAGGAGGACACAGCGGGAGGCAGAGTGAGCCGAGCCACTCCTCCCCAGGGTTTGTCCTGAACTTTGTCATCTTGAAATTCTGACATTTTTAATGGTGGAAAGAAATTTTAAAAGATCATGATTAAGAACAAAGAAGCAAAGAAATCTATGTGAGTGAGCACAGTTTGTTCTGGAAGGCTTTCCCTTTGCACATTCAGGTTCTCAGTTCTCCACCTGCAAAGGGGTTAGATTTGCTTTTTGTGCTCTTTGTACTTTAGAAGGATGTTCTGAAGATTGATGAGGGCCTATTAATAGCCACCATGTTAATGGTTCCCTCCCCTCTTCCTCGCCTTCCCTCACTTCCTTCCAGAGATGTTCTACTGATTTAGATAATGGAACATGCAGGCACATTGTGGAGTCTGAACTCTTCTAGCAGCCTCGTTACTATCTGCCTTCATCTTGACATCCTGGGGTGGGGCTGTTATTGTCATCTTACGGGGGCTGAGAGAGGAGTATGACCAGCTGTGGCCATGCTGCTGGTGAGAGGCAGATCTGGAAATGGAACCCAGACCTCTCTGACTCCCCAGTCCAAGTTTTGGGCTGGCTATAGATGGTCCCTAGCTCCCCCTCCCATGAGAAAGTCCATTTTAAAAAGGAAGATGCCCTAGAATTTAAAACCATGGTCAGTCTAAACTGCTTAGAAACGAAGCATGGAAGGAAAGCAAGCATGAAGTCTGGACATGCACCAGCCTGGTTTTGAATCCCCTTTTCCCACTCACCAGCTGTGTGACCTCAGGCAGAGTGTTTAACCTCTCTGGTCTCAATGCCTAGTGAAGGAACAAGGATGCTCTGGCTTTGAAGGCCATAGAAAGACAGCCCCACAGCCTAAAGGTTTCAGAAAAACAGAAAAGCCCAGTGGCTGACGTGAAGAAACTGCAACAGCTTTGGTCAGTCCCGGAGTCCAGCCTAGTTTGGTAGCCTAGTAGCTGTGGGGCTTTGGACAAGGTGCATAACCACTCTGTGCCTGTTTCCTCATCTGTAAAATGGGGACAATCACAGCCCTTGCTGTAAAGGGTGGGCATGAGAATCAAATGTGATCATTCACACCAAATCCCACCATCAGGCTGGTTCTGGGTGTCCATCCTCAAGGATGAAATAAGGTCTAGGCTGCCTGCAAAGGCCTCCAAGCATTTTGGCCATTGCAGCAACTTTATATTGCCACAGCCATCAGGATACCAGACAGTGGCGCCCTTGGTCCCTGACCTTGAGCGGTGGTTAAGAGCAAGGACTTGGAGTCAGATGTTCAGTTCCAACTCTGGCTCTGCTGCCTTCTGGCCCATGACCTTGGGCAAGTAATTAGCTTCTCTGTGCCTTAGTTTTCCCAGCCATAATATTAGTACATACCTCCCAGGGTTGCTATCAGAAGTAAACAAATGAGTATATGTAAATGCCTTGGAACAGTGCCTGGCATATAAAAAATTCCATCAAGGTCTTTCCTGGTATTATTGTTTTTCTCCTCACTTCACATGTTGGTAATCTCCAAAAGAACCAGCTATCTCTGCCGTGGGAAGATGCTCTCTGGACCGCCTGACATTGCCACTAATGACCGAGGACCCCAGCTGGATCTGAAATATCCATCTCCTCTCACCCCTCAGAGCCACCGCAAGCTTGGACTGTGACCTGCTGGGTTCCAGAGAGGGCAAGTCTTCCTCCAGTAGAAGTCCGTGGCTCCATGTCAGTGGTTCTAAGAGGCTTCTTCCAAAGGCTACATTTCTTCTCATAACTATCCCAGTGCGGGCTCTCTAGGCCTGCCTATTATATATAAATACACTTAACTTTTATGGGGGTATGCAGTGCTCTCGGCATAAACCATCTCCTCTGTCCCAAAGGACTAGGGGAAGGGCTGGAACATGGAGCATGTGCACATGTGACAACACCAGGACAGATTCTGAGACCCAGATGATTGGAACCTACACCACAAGGTATCACCCTAGAGACATAAAACATCACTGAAGTCTTTCAATCTCCCCCCACTGCATGTGTGCAATTTGGGCGTGATCCTCCCAGCATGGATCAGCGCATCCCATCTCTCTCATCCTCCTCTGCCACCACTGTGCTTATTAGACCACTGGGGAGGCCTCCTGGCTCCCGGTCCTGCTTCTGTTCTGGCACCTCCTTCACTCTGTGCTGCACACAAGCTGCGCGGGTGATATGGTACAGCAGAACCCCACTGGTCACGGCCTTGCCCCAAAGGCTCCTGAGGCCCTTAGAGCTGCTCTTACAGCCAGCCCAGCAGGGCCCTCCTAGGCGTCTGACTCTCTCTTTCAACCTTAATGGGTAACTTGATCTCAGTCATCAATGGTTAGATGCATGTATTTTGTTTCTGGTTTGCAGATGAAGTAGCAACTGAAGCCATCAGTTCATTCATTCATTGATTCATTCAGTCAACAAATATTCATTGAGGGCCCACTATGCATCAGGCTGTGTCCCCGATGTTCAGGGGACAGTGGTCAGCAAGACAAAGTCCCTGGCCTGGGCCAGTTGCCAGGCCGTAGGGACGTGCAGAAGCACAGCAGCCGGGCCTCAAGAGGGCCCGAGCTTGCTTTAAGGCTCTGCTGTGGCTGTCTGGAAACTCTTAACTGTTTTTAGACAAGGACCCTGATTTTCATCCTGCGCTGGGTCCCACAGATTGTATAGCTGCTCTGTCCCTGCCCTCAGGGAGCTCACATTCCACTGGGAGACAACGGACACTCAGTGAATCTTAAACATCAAGCCGCAGAGGAGAAGTGCTGTGAAGAAAGTGAACCAAGGTGGTATGTGCCAACCAGTGAGGGTGGCCTGGCCAAGGCTGTCAGGGAAGGCTTCCCTGAGCGGGTGCCTAGAGGGAGCCAGGCAGCCAGGCAGTGGTGGGAGGTGGGTGGGGAGAACCTTCCAGGCAGGAGGAGAAGAGCAAGGGCTGAGTCCCTAGGGCAGGAGGGTGTTTGCTAAGCTGAAGGGACAGGGAGGAGTCAGTGTGGCTGCAGCTTGGAGAGTGAGTGAGAAGGCACTGACCTAAGCAAAGCAGGGGGCCATTCAGTGCAGCTTGAGGGGAGGATCCAGAACCCCTACCCACCAGCTCATGGTCTGACCTTGCCCAGATTCACTGCAAGGCCTGAGGCTGGTCCTGAAACCCAGATCCTCCCCAGCGGGATCTCTGCAATGAGAAGGGCTGGCTGGACAATGTTCACCATCCCTTCCAGCTGCAGCCAAGTTGGGACAGCCCTGGGGGGTTTCTCTTGTCCACATGCTATGGATACAATGCTGGGGTGGAGGGGGCAGCCACCATATCTTCCCATGCTGGGGTTGAGGGGTTCCCAGCTCCCCAGCACAGCCCTCAGCTTTCAGGGAGCTTGTCTACTCTTTCTGAGAATCTGCTACCACTTTTTGCAGACCCCAAATGTGAGTTCCAGCCACATCATTCCCCCCACTTCTCTCATTCAAGAACCATGTTCCTGATACTGCCTTATCCTTACACTATTGTGCTGTTATTTACTTCAGGGTCAGGAATCGGATTAGGACTTTTTCTTAAATGATCTTATTTTAAAGGGAAACATTGTACCATTGCTATGTAATACTTGCCATAAATACAAAGTAACCATGAAATAAACATTCTGCAATATCCATGTTATCAAATTCTAGCTAGATAGCATCCTAGCCTCAGGCGTGCTCTGTCTTTGTTTAAAATGGAAATTTGCAAGTGCTAGAAATGGCTTAAAGGAGTTAAGGACTCTAGAAGCAAACAGAGACTTTCTCCTAAATAAGAAGAAAGTCTGAGAGAGAATGAAAAAAGGACCATTTCACCCCGTGACTCAATTTTGTTTAACATCATGTATGAGTATATCTTAAAATTATCTTCCTAACAAAACCAAACAAAACCTAAACCCAAACAAAATGAAACAAAGCCCAAGCCTGTCTGACTTAAGGAAAGACAAGAGGCTGTAAAGAAGTGAACAGGGAGCTCACCGAGACTCCGAGACTCCCGGAGGGCCAGAGACTCAGGGGTGGGGCTCAAAGCATCTTGCAGAACTGGCCCAGGGAAGGTTCCTGGAAGCTCGTGCTGGGCACAGGTGTCACCACCACCATCAGGACTGCTCACCAGCCTCTGACAGCAGAACTGCTGCCATTGCCACCACCCCTAGAAACAGAATGTAGCTGCTGCAACCCCTCACTACAAGTGTGCTCCCAACTTCTTTTTTTTTTTTTTTTTTTTTTTTTGAGACAATTGTCTTGATTTGTAGCCCAGGCTGGAGTGCAGTGATGTAATCATGGCTCACTGCAGCCTGGATCTCCTGTGCTCAATGAATCCTCCCACCTCAGCTTCCCAAGTAGCTGGGACTACAGGCGTGAGCCATCACTTGGGCTAATCGTTGTGTTTTCTATAGAGACAGGGTTTTGCCATGTTGCCCAGGCTCCACCTTCTTTATGTTACTAGCTTCTAATTCAAAATCTGAGTGCTTCATCTGATTGGCAGGACTGGGATCATGTGACTGTCCTCTAGCTGCAAAGCTGGCTGGGAAAACGAGTGACATTTTCAGCTTCTATCATGAGAGGTAGATTTTTGTCTCAAAATATGGGAGATTCCCCAGGCATGGGAAGGGAGGTTGAATACCCAAATGTCAGAAAAAAAATGAGAGACGACCATTACATGCACCACCTGTGCCAAACAGAGTTAACACAGCAAACCCGGCCACCATCCTTTGGAAGGCAAGAAAAAGTCCCTATGAGGTTGACCCTTGGCTAGAGTCTGGGAACTCAGATTTCATGAGGGTCCTACCCACCGTTAACTGGTAAGAGTGGCTTCTGTGCCTAAAATACCTATACAAAGAATAGTGTTTGTGATGAACACCTGAGCTCCTTCTGGGAGTCTGGAATTTTGGTACCTGCCAGGCTGAGGTTGCCACATGATCTGCCTCCAATAAAAATCCCAGGCCCCAAGTCTCTAGTGAGCTTCCCTGGTGGACAACATCTCACAAGTGCGGTCACAACTCATTGACGGGGGAATTAGGTATCCTGTGTGATGCAGTGGGAGAGACTCTTGGAAGCTTGTGCCTGGTTTCCGCCTTCACCTATGAGCCTCTTCCTTTGCTGATTTCAGTTGTTATCTTTTCATCATAAGTCACAGCCAGGAGGATGACCGTATGCTGAGGCCTGGTGAGGCTTCCTACTGAACCGTAAATCCTGAGGGTGGTCTTGGGGCCCCTCCAGCATACCACCAATGTGACAGCCTTTGAAAAACACCCATTCACCCTCACTCAGCAGCTCTCAGAGAGGAGAAAAGTCTAGACACTCTTGGGATTTGTAACTGCTAAACAGTGACAATGACCCTTCAAGGCATGTTTGTGAACTGGGTAAGGCAAATCCGGACAACCCTGTTCACAGAGGGGGAAGCTGAGGCTCAAAGAGCAGAGTGGCCTGCCCAAGACCCCAGGTCCAGTAAGCTGAGAGTGGAAATGAGAGCCTGAGCGTTTCAGACTCCTAACCCAGGGCGCCTGCACTGGGTCACTTCCCCAAAGCCCTCTCCAACCTTATGAAGCCTACATAGGATTCATCCCGCCAGTTGAGGGCTCCATATTGTACAAGATTATTCCAGGCAACCGGAGCTTTATTTGTTTGTTTGTTTATGAGACAGGGTCTCACTCTGTTGCCCAGGCTGGAGTGCAGTGGCACAATCATGGCTCACTGCAACCTTGACCTCCCAGGCTTAAGTGATCCTCCTACCTCAGCCTCCCAAGTAGCTGGGGCTACAGGCACATGTCACCATGCTTGGCTACTTTTTGTTTGTTTTTTTTGTTTTGTTTTGTTTTTGAGATGGAGTCTCACTCTGTTGCCCAGGCTGGAGTACAGTGAACACAATCTCAGCTCACTGCAACCTCTGCCTCCTGGGTTCAAGTGATTTTCCTGCCTCAGCCTCCCGAGTAGCTGGGATTACAGGTGCCCACCACCATGCCCAGCTAAGTTTTGTACTTTTAGTAGAGACGGGGTTTCACCATGTTGGTCAGGCTGGTCTCGAACTCCTGACCTCAAGTGATCTGCCCACCTCAGCCTCCCAAAGTACTGAGATTACAGGCATGAGCCACCGTGCCCAGCCTAATTTTTGTATTTTTTGTAGAGATGGGGTTTTACCATGTGCCCTGACTGGTCTCTAACTCCTGGGCTCAAGTGATCCTCCACCTCAGCCTCCCAAAGTGCTGGGATTACAGGTGTGACCCACCACACCTGGCCAACCTGAGACTTCTTGCAAATGTATATGTAGTTATTTCAATTGTGTCTGCCTCAAATGGAGTATGAGGCCAGAATTTTTTTCCACCACCACTGTCTAGTAATTAAACATGCATCACCCACCCCCTAACATCAGCATTTCTCCACCTGTCATTCTCAGACCACCTGCATCTGAAGCAGAATCACCTGGTGTGCTTGTTTAAAATGCAGATTTCTGGCTGGGCGTGGTGGCTCACGCCACTAATCCCAGCACTTTGGGAGGCCAAGGCGGGCAGATCACATGAGGTCAGGAGTTCGAGACCAGTCTGACCAACATGGGGAAACCCTGTCTCTACTAAAAATACAAAAATTAGCCGGGCGTGGTGGCAGGCACCTGTAATCCCAGCTACTTGGGAGGCTGAGGCAGGGGAATCGCTTGAACCCGGGAGGCGGAGGTTGCAGTGAGCTGAGATCGTGCCACTGCATTCCAGCCTGGGCGACAGAGTGAGACTCCGTCTCAGAAAAAATAAAATTAAAATAAAATAAAAAATAAAAAATAAAATAAATAAAATAAAATAAAATGCAGATTTCTGGGCCTCCCCCAGACACGTCCAATTAGAATTCTCAGGAGGCACCTGAGAGCATGCACTTAACAAGCTCCCCAGGGAACGTTTATGTTTAGCACAGTGTCCCCCAGAGTCCTCAGTAAATCAAAACAGGACCAGAGAAAGTGCAGGCTAGGGGGACTTCAGAGTTGGGCATCCGTATTTCAGCCTGCGCTGCAGGGTCCCCAGCGACATATTTAGGTCTCATTCTACATATTTATTTACAGCCAAAATCGTCGGCAATGTCTAACATAACTGGATACTGTGCTTGCAAGTTCAACTCAAAACGGAGGCCAAGTTTTGCCTTTTATTGTTGCTTTTAGTGTCCAGAACCTGGCACATCTTCCTAAGCCATAAGAGTGGGGTGGCCCCAAAAAGATATGTCTATGTCCTAATCCCTGGGACCTGTCAAAATTACCTTGTAAAGAGTGGATATTACCTTATATGGTAAAATATGTGATTAATTTAAGGATTTTGAGTGGAGCTGCTTATCCTGCATTATCTGGGTGGGTCCTGTATCCACTGACAAGTGTCCTTACTAGAGTGAGGCAGGCAGGCTGGGTGCAGTAACTCATCCCTATAATCCCAGCACTTTGGAAGGTCAAGGTGGGAGGACTGCTTGAAGCCAGGAATTCGAGACCAGCCTGGGTGAGACTCCCATTTCTACAAAAAATAAAAAAATTAGCCAGGGGCTGGGCACGGTGGCTCACACCTGTAATTCCAGCACTTTGGGAGGCTGAGGCAGGTGGATCACCTGAGGTCAGGAGTTCGAGATCAGCCTGGCCAACATGGTGAAACCCTGTCTCTACCAAAAATACAAAAATTAGCTGGGTATTTTAGTGGGTCCCTGTAATCCCAGCTACTTGGGAGGCTGAGGCAGGAGAATCACTTGAATATGCCAGGAGGCAGAGGTTGCAGTGAGCTGAGATCACACCATTGCACCCAGCCTGGGCAACAAGAGTGAAGCTCCAACTCAGAAAAATAAAATAAAATTAGCCAGGCATGGTGGTTCATGCCTGTAATCCCAGCATTTTTGGTAGCTGAGGCAGGAGGATCACTTGAGCCCAGGAGTTCAAGACCAGACTAGGCAAGACTCTCATCTCTACAAAAAATAAAAAAGTAACTGGGCATGGTGGTGGCACGCCTGCAGTCCCAGCTCCTCGGGAGGCTGAAGTGGTAGGATCACTTGAGCCCAGGGCTTCGAGGCTGTAGTGAGCTATGATTGCATCATTGCACTCCAGTCTGGGTGACAGAGTGAGACCCTGTATCCAAAAAAGAAAAGAAAAGAAAAAAGAGAGAGAAGGGGAGAAAGGGAGAAAGGAAGGAACGAAGGAAGGGAGGAAGGAAGGGAGGGAGGGAGGGAGGGAGGGAGGAAGGCGGGCGGGCAGAGGGAGACTGACAGAGAGGTGGTGAGGTTGGAGTGATAGCAGCCACCAGAGGTGGAAGAGGCAGAGAACGGAACCTCCCCCGGAGCTTCCAGGGGGACTGCGGCCCTGCTGATGCCTTAATTTCAGACCCTGGCCTGCAGGGCTGCAAGAGAAGAAATTCCTGTTGTTGCAAAGCCACCCTATTTGTGACTATCTGCTACAGCAGCAGCAGTTTTCGGGGAAACTAATATAACCCTGAAAAGTACTCCATGCTTTGAGAAGGAAAAGTAAGGCATCAAACTTGCCTGACCCCAGGGCCCTTGCACAGGCTGATGGTTCAGCCCGCGTGCCAGCTTGCCACATGCCCAGCTCGCCGCATGCCCAGTTCCTCACAGGTGCTTTCCTTGACACCCCCACCCACCATAGAAGGAGCTGCCAATCACTCTCCAGCCCCTTACCCTGTGTTAGCGTTTCCTTTGCGCTCACCATGACATGAAACGGTCTGTTCATTGGTTGGCTTGTTGGTTGTCTCCATGAGAGTGGAAACCTTGTCTTGTTCGTTGCTGCCTTTCCAGTGCCAGGCACTGAGTGGGAGCTAAAGAAACATGTGTTGAGTGAAAGTAATTGCCGTTATGTTACACTAAAACATCGAGAAATTCAAACTCTGTCTGATAAAGCTTAATATCCCAAAGGATTTTTCAGCTGCAAAGGATCTTTTGGCTGCACCCAGTCCCCAGGGTATGCTGTTACTCCCTTCTGCCATAAATTCACTTAAATGGGAAACTGAGCACCTGACCTTTGCCCTCTTGCTGCTAGTCATGGCTGTGTGACCTTGGGCTTATGTCCTTCTCTGAGCCTCAGTGGCCTCATTAGTAAAATGAGGACTTTGATTTACTGTTAGCGATGGGTCTCTATTTAGGGAGCAGTTTCCACCTGCCCCACCCTGTGCTAAACCCTTCACAGGTGGACTTCCATGGGGTCCTCATGACAATCCTATGACATAGGAACTATTATTGACCCCACTTGACAGAAGAGGAAACTGAGGAACAAGAAAGTGTCATCACTTGCCCAGAGTTGCATAGCTAACAAGACAGAACACATGCGAGGCTACTACGCCACTCAAGATGCCCTCCGCTCTCAAGCCTGCCACTCAGTTTGAACAGTAGGCCAAGGGTGACCTAAATTGCTAACAAATTTATATGTACATAACTGCACACTTGCTCGTCTTTAATCACAGTGGATGTCTGAGGAAACTGTTTTCTTCTCTCACTTTAAAAAATATGTAACCGGCTGGGCGCGGTGGCTTACATCTGTAATCCCAGCACTTTGGGAGGCCGAGGTGGGTGGATCACTTGAGGTCAGGAGTTCGAGACCAGCCTGGCCAACATAGTGAAACCCCATCTCTACTAAAAATACAAAAATTAGCCAGGCATGGTGGTGCGCACCTGTAGTCCAGCTACTCGGGAGGCTGAGGCACGAGAATCATTTGAACCCTCCTGGGTTCAACAGTGAGCCAAGATTGTGCCACTGCTGCACACCAGCCTGGGTGACAGAGCAAGACTCCTGTCTCAGAAAATATATATATGTAACAAAAGCCAGCACGCTGGAAGTCTGACCGGCTGGACACCTAAATCAAAGAACAATTGCAAATGATGTTGCCCACTGCACTCTGTAAACTTGCATGGGGGAGAAGGTTCTGGTTGTGATGGCCCTCACATTCATTCATGTAAGACTCCTGCTTCTCTCCTGACACAGGAAGATATATTGCTGTATCGGTGGGAGGGATGCCAAGAGCCCTTGAATTATTTACTATTAAAAGGCACTGAGCTGCTGGCGCCCTCTCTGAATTATTTAGCACTGTCAGGTAGTTCTGTATGTGCAATATGCATACATTGTGTTCGCATTCACTCTGTTAAAAGTGACTTCGTTCTAGGCAGTGTTGGGAACGTCCCTGTGTCTGGCATCCGTTACTCAGTCCATCCTGAAGTCAGGAAGAGCTAATGGTGTTTGCTAGGGGCACAGAGGTTCAGAATGAAAACCAGGAGGAAACAGAGGGATTCATGTCCCCCATAAAGGTAAGATGACAGGGTACCTCTCTCAGGGCAAAAGGCAGAGCAACACAGACAATGAGGTTTTAGCTGTCCCTTGACTGAGAGCGCACTGGATGCCTCATGCCAAGTCTTTCTCTCAAAATGTAGGATATCTATCCTGCCTTTCCTACGGTAGCCGGTAGGTAAGATGCATGTATATGACAACGGAGGAGAAAGCAAAACGGTGTTCATCTAACCTTCACCTCTTATATCAGGCGACCTCTGACTGTTACCCCTCAGAGTCTTGGATCCTACATCTGTAAAATGGGAGTGATGAGACGTTCCTCGTGGCACAGAGCTGAAGAGCAGGTGAGTTTCAGGCAGAATCCGTACACGCTCATCTGTCTACACCTGACACTGTATAGGCACCAATAAGTGTGCGGGGGATCTGGAAAATGAATGAATGTGAAGAGAGGCAGTTGCTGTCTGATTGGATAAAAGGAGACAGAAGAACCCGCCGTGATTGAGTCCTGGACAGCAGTGATATTGGGGGAGCTGGGAACCAACTTTCCTTCCTACTTTATCCTTTTTTATCTTAAATTTTAATTCTTATGGGTATGTAGAAGGTATATTTATGGGGTACATGAGATACTTTGATACAGGCATGCAATGTGTAATCATCACATCAAGTAAAAGGGCGTATCTAACCCCTCGCTTCATTCTTGCAGGTCCCAAGTCCTTCTTCTGTGCTAAGGACTGCAACATGTGTGGGATGCAGAGATGCATTTAATAAACATTTATTGAGCATGTACTATGTGCTGGGCACTGTTTAAAGCTGTGGGAATATATTCATGAATTAAAAACCGGGCCAAAATACCCATCCACTCTAGTATAAAGAAAATAGAGTTGCTGTCCTCGAGGAGTTTAGAAACAGAGATGGGTAAACGAATCATAGCATAAGGTGTCACAGGTGCAAGGAGCAGAGAAGGAAAAAGGCAACAGGCATGGGGATAGGTGGGCGGGGTTTCAAGAGAAGCGTCATAAAGGAGGTCACATCTAAGCTGAAGTGAGGGGCTGTCAAATCCTCACCTGCACTATACACAGAGATGCTTGGGAAAGATGCTGGGCTTTGGCTAATAGTGGAATTCTCAACTCATAAAAGGGAAGTTTCAAAGTTGGGGACTTGTGCTGCCATAACAGATGAATTTCTGTGTTAACTTGAGGAGATAATAAAAATTTTAATTAAACATCTGCTGGGTTACAAAAGGCAGCCTCATGAAAAAGTAATCTCTGTCATTTCCTCTTGAAAACGTCTAGTGGAAAGTAAATGGGGAAAGGAGCCTGATAAAATACAAGGCAGCATCTCAGCCAGGCTGGAGATCTAGCATGGAAAATTGGGAGAGCTTTTTCTTCTCCTTTCTCTCCAACCTCTTCTTGAAGGTATCTGTTTTCTTAAGGGCTGCCTGTAAAAGAACCTGCAGTCAGCCCATTAACAGGATTCAGGCAAATCCCAGCACTTCTGGTGGGTGGGAGGAGAAGAGATTGAAAGGAGCTTCAGTGTCAAGGTCAGCCTTGGGGCTCATTTGGTTGCAAATGATGGAACCTCAATCTGTCTTCAGGCATGGATGGATCCAGGTACTCATGATGCAATCAGGAATTTGTCTCTGACCATCTCTGGTCTCTGTCTTCCTCTGCATTGGCTTCATTCTTAGAGGGCATCCCCCATGTCCTAGCAAAATGGCCTCTGTAGTCCCAGGCGTACATCCTACCAGCTGAGCACCCACAGCAGAAAGATCATCTCTCGTTTAATAATGCCCGCAAAAGTCCTGGGATTGGCTGTGAGTTGCCCGACTTGGGTCACATGCTCATCCCTAAACCACTTTCTGTGACCAGAGGAGCATGCATATGCATTCTCCTATGTCAGGGATGGGTCACACATCCCCTGTCAGCACCAAGGGTCTGGAGTCAGACCTTCTTGAACCACAGGGTCTGAGAGCGGAGAACTGCTAACTCATCAAAGTCAAACTAAGGCTCAGTTACCAAAATAAGGGGGGAAGTGATACCAGTCAGATCAGAACCACCATCACCCAGTAGAGGCTCCTGGGAGAGTTTATCTCAAGGAGAGATGACTTAATGCTGCCACTGTGTGAGCCTGGGATCCCAAAGGAAGGCGTGATTCTCAGTATACATTGGTGTCTAAACCCTGAGCCCCACCTTAACCAGGTGACCTTGACCATGTGTGCTCACCCCGAGGAGGAGCAGCTGTGGGTATAGTGTATAAAGCCTAATCCCCAAGCACTGTGCCGCATCAGGGTCCCAGCAGCCCACTGCAGTAGCCCGCCACGAAAGCATATGGCAAAAGTCAGGAACCATCCCCTCCTTAGCTGCTGTGCCGATCGGTTACCACGAGCTTAGGAAGCGCTGGCGGCTGGGTGACCAAAAGGACCTGCTCCCCAGCACAGGCAGAGCAGCAGGACTTAAAGGCTTGTCTCAGGGGAGGCATCAGAAACTGTGGCCACGGAAGCCACACGTGGCTGGGGCTGATATGTGTGCACATGTGAAACCCCTGGATACAATCAGAAGTGTCTGATGAGTGAGCAGATCCAGGCAGGAGTAACAATAACAACCATAAGCCACCTCGTACCAGGCAGGCACTGTACTGAGCACCTGAGGACATCATTTCTTTTCATCCTAACAGCAACCCCAGGAAATAAGAATCACAACCCTTCTTTCATGGATGAGGAAACTGAAGTTGAAAGAGATTATTTCACTTGCCCAAAGTCACACAACAGTAAGTGCCAGAGCTGGGATTTGAACCCAGGACTCCTGTACCACATAGGTCCTGCTATTCTCACTTCAGTATGGAACCCCCCATACACACACACACAGACACACACACACACACACACACACAATATGGAACCCCTCCATACACACACACAGAGCAGGTAAACACTTTGCACACATCCACAGTGAGGTACCAGATCGTGCAGGTTACAGAGAAAATGAAGAATCATCCATGGTCCAGAAGTAGACATTTTAGTGCTGGGGGCTGGGTTCTGGTCCTGATTGCAACCGTTTTAAGCTTCTGGCCTCTTGCAAGTCACCTAAGTCTCTCCTAGCTGTTTTATCCCCTGTAAAAAGGGAATGATAGTATCCTGACCACCCCGAGAATTCCATAGGTTCATGCACATGGATGTGTTTGAAAACCGTGAAGTGCAGCATAGATGTAAATAATCGTAATAATATTCTGCAAAGAGGAGGCCAATTAATGTATTAAATATTTTTGAAGGAGAAAATGGTTTGTGTTGATACCACAACAGTTTCTCAGCACGAACAATACCATCTGCCTGCAAATATTGTGATGTGGGAAGAAAGAAACAATCTTTACCCAATTATCTTCCTTATAAAGATATACTGAAGTACAATTAATTCTCTAACTCTTCTATAATATTCTCTTAATTAGTGGTAAAAATAGGCATTTCTTCCCAAAGCTTCTGCTGTTATATACTAAACGCTGCTTCCTCATTCGTAATATGCTAATATACTAGTAATTAAGAGCGTTGAGATTCTGTTTAATGACTGTGTTTGGTTTGTTGAGGATAATTGCATCTCCTACCCACTATTCTGGAGTTCCCAGGCACAATCTAGGAGCATAAATGGGCACAAAAGGAATAAGGGGAGCCCCTCCCCTCTCTGGGTGGTGGCCCCTTCCAGACCTGTCTTCTCTAGACTCTGAGGGGCACGAGCTTGAGCACTTTCCCTCCTCCTTCCTGCAAAGCGCAGTGTTCTCATGGCACGCGCATTTCCTCCTGTCCCTGCCTTTGGACTTGACATCTCAGTCCCTCCAGACTTCTCACCTGCAGCCTGCAGCCTGAAGACACCACCTAGCGCAGGCTTCTCAGCCTCAGCCCTGCTGACATCCGGGGTGGGAAAATCGTCTCTCGTGGGGGCCGTCCCCTGCACCATAGGATGTCCAGCAGCATCCCTGGCCTCCACCCACTAGTGAGTAGCACCCCACCTCCCAGCTATAACAATCAAAAATCTCCCCAGGCACTGCCAAACATCTCCTGGGGCAGGCGGGGCGCAAAATCAGCTCCAGTTGAGAACTGCTGACCTGGTGTAAAAAGATTAAGAACAATGGAAAAGTCTATTCATGGAGGGTCAATTAAATAAATCATGGCACATTTCTCTAGTGAAATTTCTTCAGCAGTTAAAAAGAGTAAGTCGGCCCTATGCAAACCGATAGAACAACCTCCAAGCAAAAAAGTCAAGGAGCAGAACAGCATCTATAGGAAGCTGATTTTTATGTTCACTATATTTGCATTCCGGAGAAGGACACAAGAAGATTGTAACAGTTGTCACCTCCTTGGAGGACACTTTAGTCTGTTCTGACTACTATAACAAACTACCATTGACGGGGTGGCTTGTAAACAACTGAAATTTATTCCTCACAGCTCTGGAGAGTGGAAAGTCCAAGGTCAAGGTGCCAGATAGATTTGGTGTCTGGTTGATATGGTTTGGCTGTGTCCCCACCCAAATCTCATCTTGAATGTAGCTCCCATAATTCCCATGTGTTATAGGAGGGACCCAGTGGGAGGTAATTAAATCATGGGGGTGGTTTCCCCCATACTGTTCTCGTGGTAGTGAATAAGTATCATGAGATCTGATGGTTTTATACAGGGAAATATCTTGCACTTGGCCCTCATTCTGTCTTGTCTGCCGCCATGTAAGACGTGCCTTTCACCTTCTGCCATGATCGTGAGGCCTCCCCAGCCATGTGAAACTGTGAGTCCATTAAACCTCTTTTTCTTTATAAATTACCCAGTCTCAGGTATGACTTTTTCAGCAGCATGAAAATGGACTAATACGCCAGTAAGGGCCCATTTCCTGGTTCATGGTTGGCCGTCTTTTTGCTGCATCCTCACATGGCAGAAGGGGAAAGGGAACTCTCTCAGGCCTCATTTATAAAGGCACTAATCCCATTCATAAGCTCTCATGACCTAATTACCTCCCAAAGGCCCCACCTCCCAATTTCAACATGAATTGCAAAGGAACACAAACATTCCATCCATAGCAGAGGGTAACCAGATAGCTGGACATCAACACAGAAGAAAGCCTTGACATGTCTCAATTTTTGTATGAATTTTGTTCCACGGACATGCATTACTTATTTAAAGAGTAAATATAATTAAAAAAAAAAAAAGACACCTAACACATTGTTTGACTTGCAACACCCTCAAATTCTACTTTGGTTCACTCCTCAGGGAGCCTCTCAGACAGGATTTTTTTTTTTTTATACTTTAAGTTTTAGGGTACATGTGCACATTGTGCAGGTTAGTTACATATGTATACATGTGCCGTGCTGGTGCGCTGCACCCACTAACTCGTCATCTAGCATTAGACAGGATTTTTTTAATGTCACATTCTGTCATCTTGAACATAATCAACAACTCACATCTTGAAAGCAGTTTCCAAGCCAGGCAGACTGACGTGTTCTGTGTGAGGCCAGGCCACTGCTAGGTTTTCAGAGAGAGAAACTGGGGTCTAAGGCTTGGGAAGGTCAGGTCCCTGATTCGGAGATGACCTCGAGTCCTCTGTGACATTTCACAGCCAGGATTGATGAGAAAGCTGAAATATAAAATCCAGAGATACGAAGGATCACCCTGGAGGGGGAAGTTTGATTCATTGCTTTATGAAAAGAATTTAAATGGGACTGCTTCAAATAGTGAGCCCCTTTGGCAGAAGAAAAATACATCTTGCCTGAAAAGAAGTGTGATTTATTTCACCCTCTTTAGCACTGTCTCTGATGAGAGACGTTTAAGCCCCGCCTCATACATGGGTCAGATTATGGGTAATGAACATGGCATAAGAGACTTTAAAAGCCATTTTATCTTTCTGGTATCAGTCTCCTCATTTGTCAACCTCTCAAGTCATTGAGCCAGACCAGTATTTTCCAGTGTGTTTGCTACAACTCTGCAGAAAAGTATGAGTTGTTATGCAAGAGACAAGGCCTCAAGAATAACTAAGCTTGAGAAAAACTGGCTTAAAGGAAGTTAGGCAAGTTGCTTTTTGCAGGACTTCTCAGAGCCTTTATTGAGAGGGACAATATTTTTTCTTGAAAAATTAATGTGTGAGGTTTCTTTCCTTCCTACATTTTCCAGGGTCTTTTTCCTTGAAGGCATGGAGACCCATCTCTGCTTCCCAGCCCTGGGAACTATTGCAGGATAGGCAGAGAAGCCGCCTCAAATCAAAGTTTCTTTCTGCCTTTAATAAGTCAGGTGAAATAGCACGGGAATGTGACATGTCTTCCAGCAGCAGAAAAACAGTGATGAGTTTCAAAGGCAAGGAGAGAGATAAAAGAATCTGCAACACTAGAGACAGAAGATATTCTGGGGCTTCACTGCCCTGCAAAGTGGTACTCTCCAGCCCCCTCCCCCGTCACAGGCCCCCACCAATCAAGTAGATAACAAGACCCAGAGAAGTCGCTGGCAAAGAATTCCATTTGTCAGAGGCAGCAAAGCTTCCAAACAAAAAGAGTGATCACTCAGAGGATGCTTGATAACTGGAAGAGCCCCCCCCACCACCCCATGCCTTATTGCTTTCTGAGATGCCCCTCCTGAGACTTTGTACAACACCAGGTGAGGAAACGCCTGTGATGACCGAGGCTGAATCTTCCAGTAGCCCGGGGGAGAGCAGCTCAGAGAAGCACGAGTGGGTTTAAAATGTATTTTTTTAAAAATCAATGACAACAACAAAATGCAGGATTTGGGGCACACCTGAAGTTTGCCAGCTGAGACTCATGTCTACAACAAGGGCTAAAGGGCAGAATGAATCTCTAAGAGGGAACACATGCCTTCCTAAACTTCTCTTTCTGTTTGTGGGTCATAGACGTCGTGATGAGTCTATGAGGATGATAAAGAAACAACATAAATTGCCGAGACTAATGGAACACCCAATGCATTCTACTGGATGTCCTATAGTTCTACCAACTAATAGACCACCCCAGCCCTTTGGGGCTCAGAGGAGGACTCGATGGAGGAGACAAAGAGAAGATATTAGGGAGCAAAAGTAAGCTGCTTAGATGGTGCCCAGAAACTGAAGGGTAATTTAGCATTTCTATCAAGAGCCGCAAAAAAAGTGTGTGCCTTTTGGTCTAGTAATTCTTCTTCTGGGTAACTGTGATAAGGATTTAATATAGAATGCTAGGGGAATCTTTAGGTAAAAAAAAAAATAAGTTATTCATAATTGGGGATGCAAGGGAAGGAAATAAATTGAAGTCCAAGAATTGGAGAATGAACAACTAAATTACAGCACCTCCATCTGATGAACTATTACGCAGCCATTAACAGTAAGGCTTATGGAAAAACGTTAGTGATATGAAAATATTTAATGTAAGGGAGCAAAGCAGGATACAAGTTGGTACATTTTGCACATCTCAACTGGGAATAAAATGCACAGAAAAAAGCCCTGAAAAGAAATGTACCAAAATGTTAACTGGAGCAGGCAAGCAGGGAAGGATGGAAAAACCAGAGGAAATGGTTTTATAGCAACCGAGGGCAGCGTGTAAGGTGCAGGTGGGAATTCGCTCTATATCACGATGTCAGGCTGCAACAGCCCACCTGGAAAGGAGAGATGGGCTGGTCAGAGGAGGGCAGGGGACAATGAGAAGAAGGCACAGCATACGTCCTCTCCCAGATTCTGAAATAGGGCCCTGTATTAGTTTTTTACGCCTGCCATAACAAAAATGCCACAAACTCAGCAGCTCAAAACAACACAAATGTATTGTCTTACTGTTACTGTAGGTCAGAAGTCCAGGAGGGCTTGACTGGGTCCACTGCTTAGGGTCCACAAAGCCAAAGTCAAGGTGTCAGCAGGGCTGTGTTCCTTCCTGGAGGCTCTAGGGGAAAATCCACTTCCAAGCTCATTCATGCTCTGACTCAATTTTGTTTTCTGTGGTTGTTGGACTGAGGTTCCCATTCCTTGCTGGCTGTCATCCAAGGCTGGTCTTTGCTCCAAACAGCTGCCTGCATTCCTTCTCGGGTTTTCCATGAGACACTCTCTACTTCCAATCCCTCTGACTTCACCTTCTGTCCCATTTCTCTGCCTCTGGCTAGAGAAATTTCTCTGCTTTTACGGGCTCTGGTAATTAGACTGGGCCCACTCAGATAATCCCGGAGAACCTCCCTATTTTAGGGTCCATCCGCAAAGTCCCCTTTTCCATGTGACATATGGTATTGGCAGGTTCCAGAGATTAGGGTGTGGGCATCTTTGTGGGCCATTCTGACAACTACAGATCCCACCTCCCTTGCCGCCTCATTTCAAGAGCACCTGACCTCACTTTCAATCACCCGACACCACACATCAGACTAGGCCTGCCATCCTGCATCCAGTCTAAATGAACCACAGCTGTCTGTCTCCAAATGTGTGCCCAGAGCTGGAACACATCTAGCAACTCCAGCAACCTGAACAGGGCACCGCACAGCCATGATTGGTTGTCTTCTCCTCAAGAGCCTCGAGAGATTGTTACGTAGCCAACACTAACCAGGCTGCACCTACTCAAATCAAACATTTATCAGGTGGCTGTAAAAAAAAAAATGTGAGACAGGGCTAGGCATGGTGGCTCATGCCTGTAATCCCAGCACTTTGGGAGGCTGAGGCAGGCAGATCACTTGAGGTCAAGAGTTCAAGGCCAGCCTGGCCAACGTGGTGAGACCCTGTCTCTACTAAAAATACAAAAAATTAGCTGAACATGGTGGTGCCTGCCTATAATCCCAGCTACTTCAGAGGCTGAGGCATGAGAATCACTTGAACCCAGGAGGTGGAGGTTGCAGTGAGCTGAGATCTCACCACTGCACTCCAGCCTGGGTGATACAGTGAGACTCTGTCTCAAAAAAAAATGTGAGAGAGAAGGAGGAATGACAGTTCCTGTGCTGCCCTCATCACTCTGCCAAACTCCCAGCCTTGGCTGAATGCTCCTTGGAGTCGCCTGGGGAGCCGTCCCCGAGAGAGGCTGGTTCCTGAGCCCACCTCCTCAGACCAGCTGAATCAGACCTTCTGGACAGCGAGGCCCTGGAATCTGCATTTTCAATGTGTCCTCGCTCTCCCCCCGGTAATTCCTATGCACACTGTTTAAAGGGGTGTCTCTAACTTGAAAGACTGAAGCTAATAATGAGAAAGGTGCATGCCTTGAGCGAGAGACAATCAGAGGGCGGTTGGACTCTTTTCTCAACTCTGAAATTAATGCAGCATCAAGGGGAAGCCTTTTGGGAAACAGTGAAGAAAAAGAGAGACTGGAACTGCAAAGCCAGACAATGGGGTTCTGCTGAGGAGAGTTCATGGTGCAGGGCACGTAGGAAGATGGACAAGCCGGCCTGAGTGGTGGTGATCTTGGCAGCTGGGTTGGAGGATGAGCCTCAAGTAGAGCTAAGCTGAAAAGGTGGCACAGCACCACTGCAGTGCCCAGGTCTCGGGGCCAGGCGGACCTGGGGTCAACAAGTTCCCCAGCTGTCTTATGCTGGGAAATAGCTCAGTCTCTCTTAGATTGCTTCTTTATCTGTGAAATGGAGATAATGATAGTCCTTTCTGGATAGGGTTCTCAGGGAGGTGGTTCCCTTAAGGCTGTTTTGCTTGTATCAGTGAAGAATGCGCTTGGCTGCAAGTAATAGAAAACCAATGACAGAAGTCCCAGAGGTTGGTTCTTATTGGCAAGGGTTCTTCAGCAGCTCCACAAGATCAGGACAGAGGTCTCTGGCTCTGTAGGCAGGGCCTCCCAAATGTACACACTGGTCACCTGGAGACCCAGGTGCAAATTTGAGTGCAGTAGGTCTGGAGTGGGGTCCACATTTCTAACGATCTGGCCCACAGACCACACTCTGAGTAACTTTTTTGAGACAGAGTCTTGCACTGTTGCCCAGGCTGGAGTGCAGTGGCATGATCCCGACTCACTGCAACCTCCACCTCCCAGGTTCAAGTGATTCTCCTGCCTCAGCCTCCCAAGTAGCTGGGATTACAGGCACCCGCCACCACACCCAGCTAATTTTTTTTTTTTTTTTGGTATTTTTAGTAGAGACGGGTTTTACCATGTTGGCCAGGCTGGTCTTGAACTCCTGACCTCATGATCCGCCCGCCTCAGCTTCCCAAAGTGCTGGAATTACAGGCATGAGCCACCGTGCCCAGCCTGGAGCCTTTCTTTCATGGCTACAAAACTGCTGCTTTGCTCCAGCCATCACAATTTCAGGCAAGGCACAAAGAGGCACAAAGGGGCTATGCCAGCCATATCTGCTCCTGTTATCTAGGGGAAAAAAAAATGGAGCTTTTTCACGAGCTACCAGAGCAGACATCCTTGTGGGTTTTGTTGGTCTAAAATGGGCCTTGCAGCTAGCCACAGCTACACAGGAAGCTGAGAAAATGAAAAACAAGATTGTTAGGATGGGCTTAAAGTTTAACCCTTAAATCAATCACAATTCACCCAGAGCTGGGCACTCTGCCACCCAGTGTAAAATCAGGTTTGTTTGGCAAGAAGGAAAGGATGGATGCTGGGGAGCAAACGGCAGCATGCTAGCCACACTCCACTGCTTGTTTCATGAGTAAAGCACTTCACATAAACTCTCAATAAATGGTAGCATTTTATCAGCAGCATCTCATTATTAACATGTATTAAGAGGACAAAATGCCAGTTGCCTTCCACACTCCCAAATAACCTCATGCAGAACAGGGGAGGGGGTATGAGGCCTCCTGGACTGCGCAGAGCCTACAGGGTCATGGGAACCACCTTGAGCAGCCCAAGGAAAGTGTCTACACAAGTCAATATCTAAGCTCCCTGGGATCTTGGGTTACAGAGGTAAATCCTGGAGCACACGGCCAGGTTTCCTCCGCTTCTCTGTAGCTCACACTTCCACGAGGGGCGATTTCCAACTCCACCCTTGCCCTCTTCCTGAATCACAGCCCGAGATTCATAAAAAGAAAATGCAGGGCCTTTCCTGAGGTTGTATCAAAGTAAAGCTGCTGCCTTCTTTTGAGTTGCAAGGAGGGATACATGGATCAGACCCACCTCGTGAATTCAGCCAACAGAAGAAAGTATCTTCATGGAGAGTCTTGAGTCTCCTTCTGTTTCCAGGGTCAGAAAGGAAGAAACCCCAGAGAACCTGGAAGCCCTGGAGACAAAGCTTCAGCTGCCGGCTTCCTATTGGAATGTACAGGGTTGGAGCTCCCCTCCAGCTGGAAGCCATCTGACCTTCCAGGGCCCAGTGGCCAGGGACCTGGTTAATTCTAACCTCCCTGCAACTTGTCCCCTAGATTTTGTTTTTAACCGAGTTTCTGCCATGAGCAATGTTACATCATGGTTGTTGTCGGAGTCCATTTTACAGACAGAGAAAAAAGCAAAGAACCAGAAAAGTGAGCTCTGAAAACTCAGTCTAAAGTTGTCTAACCTTGAAGGATGTTGTGTTTAGATCTCGTTAACAAGCTATCACCGGTGTTAGAGTTTTTACAAATGAAAAAGGCCCTTCATTTTTCATTTGTAAGGAAGGAGTTATGGGCATAAAGAAAATTCAATGAGATTTGGAGTCCAAAAGCCTGAGTTTAGATCCTGGTTTTTTCCACTTAGCAGTTCTTTCATGAAACTGAGCCAGTTTCACTGAACTTCATCTATATGGATATCGGTAATAAGAATGGAGATATTAATATAATCATTATAACACTTGAGAGGATGCTTAGTGGCACGGTTCTAATTGCTTTACATGTATTCACTCATTCTGCCACAATACTGAAGTCGATGCGGTTTATCATCCTCCCCATTTTTCAAATGGGGAAACGGAGGCACAGAGAGATTAAGTAACTTGCCCGAGGACACGCAACTGATAAGCGGCAAAGCTATGACTCCAACCCAGGTTTATTTCCACTCTATACCACTGCTGTTTGCAGCCTTGAAAATGCTAGACCACATGGGGTAAGATTTTGATACTCAGGTATCATTATCCCCATCTTATACAGAAAGAATATATGACTTGCCCAAAGACACAGAGACCACCCACCTCCAGAGGCCCAGGGAGACACAAGAAGGTAGCTTCTCTGTGGGTTCCCTCCTCCCTCCCCTTCTGCAGCCCAAGTCCTCACAAATGGCCCCCCTGATGGAGCCTCATCCTCAGTCCTCACAGTCCCCACCCACGCTGAGCACAGCCCTGCAGCCCATGGCCTCAAATCAAGAGCACCAGCCCCCTATTCATCCCACTGGCAGGAAAACCAGTTAAGCATTTTGCTATTTTTATTTCTGCCAAAGCCATCGGGTGATGCAAAGAACAATTTCTTTTCCTTTTTCTCTTTTTTTTTTGTCTTTATTAATACATAATTACCCTTCCTCCATCATTCTACAGAATGTGTGCTTTTCTGTCTAACATTGAGCCTATTTAAAAGCTGGGGTGAGACGTATTTTCAATGCCCAGAAAAAAAAACTTGTTTGGTCCCTGGAGGGGAGAATGAGCAGAGATGAATATAATGTTTGTGTTACTGACTGTTGTTCCTCATGAAAGGCTGTAACAAATAAGAAATAAAAGGCAGGGGGTGGAGGGAGGGGCAGAAAGATGGAGCTGTGTAACTGCAGGCTCCTGGCCCTTTCTGAAGCCACTGGCCTGGCTAAGAATCAGCCTTGAGTCTCCACATTACTCCATCGTGGTGGGTCCAGGGTACAGGGTATTCCATGCCAAAACTCCACTGCTCTTGACCAATGAGTTCATTGCTATTCAGGTCTTCCTTTGAAAATGATGAAAGTGTACCTAATCCATGGAAAGAGAAAAAAGCACACAAAACAAATATTCCCAGTGGTATTAGCACAGCAGATCTGACAGGGGCTGGCCTGTGCAGTTGAATCTCAATTGAAGGAGATTAGTGGGAAGGGGAGCATCACTAGGGGATTTATAAAGATGAAGAGAGAAGCTTGCCTACACAGTGCATGTTATATATAGATTGATAAGATTAACGATACAGAAACCTATGTAGGAACTATACTAGAAGCATCAAAATAACGATGGTGAGGAGTAAGTCAGAAAATGCACATACCAGACCAGGCACTGTGGCTTTCTCCTGTAATCCCAGCATTTTGGGAGGCCAAGGTGGGAGGCTCATTTGAGGCCAGGAGTTCAAGACAAGCCTGGGCAACATAGTAAGACTCCAACTCTATAAAAATTTAAAAATTAGCCAGGTGTGATAGCACGCGCCTGTGGTCCCAGCTACCCAGGAGGCTGAGGTGGCAGGATTGCTTGAGCCCAGGAGGTCGAGGTTGCAGTGAGCTGTGATCATGCCACCACACTCAAACCTGGGTGACAGAGCAAGAACCTGTCTCTCTAAATAAAGAAAATGTACGCCTGGTTACATGTTAACTATCAGCCACCACGATGCAACTAGCTTGCTGATATGAATGGTTATGATGTCACTGTGTAATAGAGTCATTATAACCACACCTAACATTTATTGGAGAGATACACTGTTCTGAGTGCTCCACTGCCCACAACAGCCCCCAGAGATAGGTACTCTTATTGTCTCGATTTTGCCAGTGAGGAAACTGAGGCACAGAGAAGTACATTACTCAGGTCACTCACTAGAAAATGACAGAAAATAACTCAAAGACTCTGGCTCCAGAGTCCCTGGTTTCAGTAACCATCAGAACAGCAGGGCTTTAGCACAGTGGCTAAAAGAAGACTTTAGACTCAGACTGACCTGGGTTCAAAAGACAGATCTGTGACTCTTATTTCCCCTACAGAATCACAGTACTTTTAAACCCTGGAGAACCATGAAGATGGCAGATTGAAACTCCTTGATTTACTTGGGAGCACAAGAGAAACCTCTCCCCGAGCTCATGCAGCTGGACCATTGACGGCCTGCTCTGGACTGGGCCATCATCATTTCCTGCTTACCTGTCTGGGAGATGACCAATGGGGACTGCTCCTCACCACCCCAGTGCAACCTGTGCCTCAGCTCTGGGGTTCTGCAGCCTGCTTCCCCCAGATCCGGAGAGGGGAGTTGAGAGTGCAGGGGCCTGAGAACTCCCTGAATGTCATAGCCACCATCGAGGATCCAAGGAATCTGCCATCATCTGGTGTCTCCCAGAAAGCCTCCCAAGAGTGAACCGCAAGTGCTCCTCCCCAGATGGACACTTCCCTGCACTTTGATACTTGGTTTGATCAAAACCTACTGAGACGCCAAGGAGGGAACCATAAAACAAAGTTACATACAGCTCCAAGGAGGCTATTCACAAATGCGTTACAAGATTGATCTTTTCAGTTTAAAACATCAACTCTTACTCTTTTCCTCTGCAGGTTCCCCATTGGTGAAAGGGAGACAATAATAGTACCCAGCTCTGGAGTTGCTATGGACATGAAATGAGCAAAGACACGGTGCTCAGAACAGTGTCAGTCTCCGGGAAATGTTAGGTGTGGTTCTAATGACTCTATCACACGGTAACATCAGAACTGTTCATATTAGCACGCTGGTGCCTAGAAAGGCTGAAACGATTAACATGTAGGCAGGCGTAGGTAAAGTGTGCTCTGTAGGAGGCCCTGGCTTTACGATGATGGCTGATATTATAGAGTGCTGGTGCCACGCCAGGGATCCTTCTAAGGGATCTAATGAATAGATCCTAACCCTCACAGCACACCTATGGGGAAATTTAACTCTTTCTTCCCATTTCCTCCTCATCTGGCGGCTGTGGGAACTGAAGCACAGCCAGGTTAAGTCACTTGCCTGAGGCCAAACAGCTAAGAAGCTGCAGAGACAGAATTTGAACCCAGGCAGCCTGACTCCCGAGTCCCAGTGTGTAACCACTACACCACACTACCTCTCAGATCCACAAAGGAATTTATGTTGCAGGAAACAGTCACCAGTGACATCCCTTCAGCCATGCCCACACCCCAGCCATGACCACCACACTCATTGCTGGCTCCATGCCAAACTGATTTTCTTTTTCCCTCTTTGTTTTCATTGTTCTATCTGTTTTTCTGATTTTTTAAAGGAGAAAAAATTAATCCTGAATGAAACCAACTTTCATTGCAAATGAAACTGAATTGTCCACAACTGAAAGCATATAATTAGAGAATGCTAATCTCCTGGCGATTCTTCTCCCCACCCCACCCCAAACCAAAAATACATGAACATTTGCAAAAAAGAATTCATCTTTACCTAAAACTATAATTAAACGGCTGCTGGCGGTTACCTTGGTGACATTAACAAAAAAAAAAAAATCCTTCACTACAGCTCCCCACTCTGGATAATACAAACTTGGCAGCCAAATAAGTCAACAGGTTGCCCAGGAAACTGTTTCCTTGACAACCATGAAGATGGAAGGGGACGAAAGAGTTAGGGAAATGTCAGGGTAACAATGCTATATTAAAGAAGAAAGAGCCCCTTTGGCATGCTGAGAAGCTTCCCAACTTGTACTGAGCAGCAGAGCAGAGAACACAAATGACTCTGAACATGACGAAGGCAGCTGGAAGAATGGCAAACCCCAATTCTCCCTTCAGTGGCTCACCCACCAGGTGGAGTTCCAGTGGTGGGCATGGAGCAGCTGTGCATTGAGCACCTACTACATGCCAGCATCGTCCATGTCCCCTGGCTCTAGTCTTGGATGGTTCTCTCCACTTTGGAAACTTGGCCAGGTGGGCCTGGATGCTGGGGATGAGAAATAAATGGCAGGACTGTTTTTTGAAATGTTAGTGTCTGGGGTTCTCCCTGTGTGTTCACTTTCTCATCCTCTGTTTTAGCCAGGCTAACTCTGTGCTTTCTGGCCTGGTCTGGAGGGGAGAGAGTGTTTGCAGGATTGGGAAAGCTGAAACTTTGTTTTCAAAGGACACATAGCTCATGGGTGGGATTGGTCACACGTCCTGAAATGCCAGGAGAGCAGACATGAGCGTCCCTGAGGAATACAAGAAGGGAGAGGGAGGGGTGACCCCAGAGCATACAAGGATTCCTCAAGCTGGGATCCTGGGCCCTGATCCTTGGCCATGCTGCAGGTGGATGGGGCAGTGTCATGCCCTTGGGAGGGAATATGGCCACAGGGTCTCAGTCTGACCAAGAGTGGCTAGGAAGGAAGCAGCCAACCTGGGACATTATATGGGCTGGGACAATATATGTCTCCAACGTGACCCATGTGGACAGGTGACCATCAGCGCCTGGCCAGGCATTTGGGGCTATGTAAGGTTCCAAATCTTTCTGTACCCAACCAAGAACAAGTGAGGGAGGCTTCAAGTCAATTTAAAGAAAATAAAGGAATGTTCTATTTCTTGTCTCCCTAAGTGTGTGGACAGAGAGCCATACTTGCCAGGTATAATTTTCAGCTGTGTTTTCCAAACAACTTGAGAAAGTCCTGCGGCTGAATTCTGCAAAGACGGGAGAGACGAGAGATGATGCAGAGGCTTCTAGAACCGAAAATTCCAAACCTATTTTCTCTTCCACAAAACTCTGTCACCTCTGGCTGGCCCTGCCATTGCCGTTGCTTTGCACCTTGTCCAAACAGGCTTTTAATCAAATTATTCTCTGACCATAAATGAGAATGCAATGACATACTGCTAATCCTCACAGAGCATATGGTAAACTCAGGACTGTCTCTTGTCATAGGTGAATCTGACACTGGCAAAAGGAGAAATTGATCTGACAATACACACATGTCAGTAGCATACACAAAAAAAGCTTGCACTGGTATAGCACTTTCACAAAAGGCAATTTCTTTGCTCTTTGCAACAAACCCTGTGTGGCAGGTGCTCATCTTACAGATGAAACCAAGGCACAGGAAAGGCGAAGTCTTGCCCAGGGTCCCCTAGCCAAGTCAGCCGCAGGGCCCAGGACCAAGGCCAGGTCTAGTCAGTCAAACTCCGCCCATGTCTGTTTCCCTCTGTGCTACACTTCTTTTCTCCCTGCGTGATTCTTTCCTGTTTTCTTTTCCTTTCCCTGGGTTTTTTTCTTTTCTGTTTTGTTTTTTTTTTTTGAGGTGGAGTCACTCTGTCACCCAGGCTAGAGTGCAGTGGTGCAATTTTGGCTCCCTGCAACCTCCACCTACCAGGTTCAAGTGATTCTCCTGCCTCAGCCTCCTGAGTAGCTAGGATTACAGGTGCCTGCCACCACGTCTGACTTTTTTTTTTTTTTTTTTTTTGTATTTTTAGTAGGGATGGGGTTTCACCATCTTGGCCAGGCTGGTCTCGAACTCCTGACCTCGTGATCCACCCACCTCGGGCCTCCCAAAGTGCTGCGATTACAGACGTGAGCCACCGTGCTCGGCCTCCCTGATGTTATTTCCGGAAAGGGGTCCCGATGCAGACATGAAGAGAGGGGTCTTGGACCTTGTGCAAGAAAGAATTCAGGGCAAGTCCATAGAGTACAGTGCAAGCAAGTTTATTAGGAACGTAAAGGGATAAAGAACGGCTACTCCATAGGCAGAGCAGCGGCATGGGCTGCTCAGCTGCTTATACTTATAGTTATTTCTTAATTATATGCTAAACAAGGGGTGGATTATTCATGAGTTTTCCAGGAAAGGGGTGGGCAATTGCTGGAAGTGAGGGTTCCTCCCCTTTTCAGACCATATAGGGTGACTTCTGGGTGTTGCCATGGCATTTGTAAACGGTCATGGTGCTGGTGGGAGTGTCTTCTAGCATGCTGATACATTATAATTAGTGTATAAGGAGCAGGGAGGCTGACCAGAGGTCACTTTTGTCACCACCCTGGTTTTGGTGGGTTTCGGCCGGCTTTTTTACTGCAGGCTGTTTTATCAGCAAGGTCTTTGAGACCTGTATCTTCAGACCTATCTCATCCTGTGACTAAGAACGTCTTAACCTCCTGGGAATGCAGCCCAGTAGGTCTCAGCTTCATTTTACCCCGCCCCTATTCAAGATGGAGTTGCTCTAGTTCGAATGCCTCTGACATTTTCAGTCTACTTTTTTTTTCCTTTTGCCTCCCCAAATACTCCAGTGGTTCTTAACTGGGGGGTGACCCCCTCCATCCTTGCCCAGGGTCCATTCGGCAATGTCTGAAGAAATTTGAGGTTGTCATACAGAGAGGGGGATGCTCGTGGGTAGAGTAGAGACCAATGATTCAGCTCATCATCCTGTAATATTCAGGAAAGCCCTGCACAGCAAAGAATTGCCAAGTGCCCCACATATCAACAGCCAAGGCTGAGAAACCCTGCCCTCAGAGGGGGATAAGAGGCTGCACATGGGAAGCAGCCGGCCAGGACCTGCGCCATCGGAGTGATTGCCAATGATGCCATTCAAGTGCTATTGCAATTGGGAAGTCCGGCTTATTCATGATAAGGAAAGAAGAAAAAGTACACCGAACACTCGCGGGCTTTGGTTCTGAAGTTTATTCCTTTAGTAAGAATTCATCGACTTCCTTCCATGGGAAAGCCCCTGGGGTCCACAAAGGAACGAAACGTCTTGTTTTGTGGACAAGGTCACACAGAGGCCGTTAAGCCTAAATGTACAACCCGGGACGTAAACCCCAAGAGCACTGGGTGAGGGTCCCAGGAGGTCTATTGCCACTGGCTCTCTCTGTAACCCTGGGATCAACTGGAATGTTGCTAAATTCTTTCTTCCCAAATGCCAATAGGCATTTACTAGAGGGTGAGAAAAGGCATTCAGGAAGTGCAAACACGAGCCACTGCTTACACATCGGAGAACCTCAAACCTCAAAAACAGCCAAAGATAAATTATTTTCCTCAACCACTTCTCTCCCTTACAGCCACCACCACTGAACAAAGAAAAAGTCTGGAAGGTAAGGGAGAAGAATGCGGTTTGCATATCTAACAGCCCCTTGGAAGGTGAAACTAGCAGAATCACAGAGGATCAGCCTGAAAGGGGTAACAAGGTCGGGGCAGGGGGGTGGGTGGGGAGGTGATAAACTGTTCAGCTTCTAAAAACATGAGCTAAAAATACCCTGCACATGTCATTTACCAATTCCCGGGGCTGTTTAGACAATACTGTGATCAGACTGCAATTGATACGTTTTCCCCTCAGTGATTAAACACAGCCTGATTTTTAAGCACCAAACAGCTGCCTCCAGGTTTGTCTTGAAAAACCAATCTTTCATTTCTGTGTTTGATTGGCACACCAGGAGGTCCCAATCACAGCTCCTTTATCCCCAGCGCCTAAAATCAGGTGATATTCGGCTTCGGGAAGGGGCAGCTGAAAGGAGGCAAAGGGGAAAACGAGCGGAAGCAAAAGCTCCAATGAGAGAGGCTTCTAATCACAGGCAAGGAAGATACCAGCACCTTCTACCCAGCAGCTTTCTCCCGAAACCATGAAGGGCGGTAGGGGTGGAGATCAAGGAGATAAAATGACAACAGCCTGTGTCTCTGGAAATAATTAAATACTCCCCCTTCACACTGAGAGGGAGGGCAATAAATAGTTCAATACAATCAGGCAAAGCTTTTTAGGGACCTGGAGATTTTCAGTGAATGTGAGCAAAATGATTCTGCTTAAGAGCCTCCCTCCCCACCTACCTGTAGGGGCAGTGGGCTGAGCTGCAGGTGGTTTCTGCAGAAGCTGAGAGATGGATGTGTCCAGAGCCTCTGCATTTCTTTGAGAAGAGGGGGCGTCTGGGTTTTCTTTTGGGGCTGATGGAAAGGTTCTAAAGTTAGATAGCGGCGATGGTTGCACAATTTGGGGAATGTACTAAAAACCACAGAATTTCCCACTTTTGAAAGATGAATTTTATGTATGTAAATTACATTTCAATAAGGCTATTTTAAAAAGAAAATATATAAAATCAAGAAGCTACTCTACATAATTGTTTTTTTCTTTCGAAAAAGGGGGAGGGTGGTTTAGACACAAAGACTCTGGATTCGAATCCTGACTCTCCTGACTTGTAGCCGTGGGATTCTGGGGACCTACTCAGCCTCCCTGAAACCCAATTGTTCCATCTGTAAAGTGGGGATGTTAAAAATGTCCTTTCCTCGCAGGGCTGCTGTGAGGACGAGTGTGATGCTGTTTGTAGGAGCCCGACACAAGGGAAGTGCTCGCTGAGCTCTGCAGAATGAGATGAATGGATGGTTTGTAGGAGGCTGGAAAAGCTCCACTCACAGGTGCTTAGGTGGAAAAATGGGCTGGAAATGGGGTGAACCAACAACTTTCAGATGACAGGACTAGGGAACCCTGTGGTGACAGCGTAGTCTCCTCAGACCCTTGCATGATCACTTGCCCTAGAGCTGTAGCACCCGTAACAGCTGGCACTCATCGAGCACTTACTGTATGTGAGATACCTCACATGCACCTCATCTCATTGAATCTTTATTTCAACCCTAGAAGGCAGGTACTGTTAGATCCCCTTATTACCAACAGACAGAGCGTAGTCACTTGCACAAAATCACCGAGACAGTAAAAGGCGGGGCCAGTTCAAACCCAGGCAGGCAGGTACCTGAGCTAAGTCAGGGGAACTAGAACTGGCTCCTACCAGCTTGAGAAAGCAAGTTGTTAAATATCCAGGTGTTCTAGTGATTAAATGTGGGAAAATGGAGGGTCTGACATGCCTCATCATACCCTGTAGCTGTAGCTGTGGGACCTGTAGCTGTGGGACTCTGGGCACATACTCAGCCTCCCTCCCTGAATCTCAATTGTTCCATCTGTAAAGTGAGAATGTCAAAAGTGTACCTCCTTCATATGGGTGCTGTAAGGTCAAGCATGATGCTGTTTGTAGGAGAATTCTACAAGTAGGTTGTTAAATCATTGGTAGCAACCTTGATAGAAATCAGCCATGATGTATTTACACCAAGGAAATCAGCAATCACTCTAATCCTGGGCTCTTCCCCGGCCCTTCCCACATCCAGTTTCCCAGCACATCATCGATGACCACGCTGGGAGAGAACTTTTGGCTTCTCCTTCCTACTTGTAATAAACCCTGACATGCTCATGGCTCTTTAGGGTTTACAATATGCTTCTAAATCCACCTAAACCAAACCAACGAAACTGTGAGGGAAAGATTATTTGCATCCTCACTTATTTGTGGGATCTAAAAATCTAAACAATTGAACTCAAGAAGATAGAGAGTACAGGGATGGTTACCAGAGGCTGGGAAAGGCAGTGGGAAATTGGGGAGGTGGGGATGGTTGATGGGCACAAAAAAATAGAACAAGACCTAGTATTTGATAGCACGACAGGGTGACTATAGTCAATAATTGTGCATTTTAAGATAACTCAATTATTTATTTATTTATTTTATTTAAATAATTACTTTAAATAATTTTAAATAATTGAGTTATTTTTAAATGTACAATTAAATTGTACATTTAATTTAAAATGCACAATAATTAATTGTACATACTGTTTTATTTTAAAACAGTATAACTGGATTATTTGTAACACAAAGGATAAGTGCTTGAGGGGATGGATACCCCATTTTCCATGTTGTGATTATGACAGATTTCATGCCTGTATCAAAACATCTCATATATCCCATAAATACATATACCTACTATATACCCACAAAAATTGTTTTTAAAAATTTTAATTATTTGCATTGATGATGATGATCAAAACAGCCTCCATGAGGCGATCAACCCAAGGGCCTAAGAGGACAGCAGACCTTCTGAGTTCTAGCCAGGCCCTTTCATCTTGCAAGGCAGCCGCCCCAGAAGTGGGTAGCAGGTAGGGTCTGTTTAAAGCTATCCAGCATCTCCATGGCAACAGGCAGTAGCTGCCCTGTGGGCGTTGGGGAGGGGACCCTCTGCCTCATTCCACAGAATGATTCCACAGGTCCCACGGGCCCCGCTGAGGAGTCAGCAAAAGCTTTCTGCAGTTTCCACATGGAGACGATCTGGAGGTGGAAGTTAAGTGGGTGTAGATCTCAAGGCAAGTAAAACTCCGAAGTCAAGTCTGACTGAGCCCAGTGCTTTGCATAAGAGAGAAATAATAAATGTTTCATGAATGAACGAATGAATAAGTGAATGAATGAAAAGTTTTGTCTATACTCAGAGATTTACAAACTCAGTCTCAAGCATTAAGAGAGGGGCTTGTTCATTCCTGAATTTCACTAATGGCTTCCCTGCATTCATGCTCTTTGCTTCAGCTTTCTGGTCCCACACTCCCTGACTCTGGGTTCAGGCATATGACTTGCTTTGGCCACTGGGGTATGTTAGCCCATCTGATGCCAGCAGAGCTTGAAAAGCCTGAGGGTATTCCCACTTGTCCTCCTGCATGATTGGGATACTATAGCTCTCTCAGGGACCACTGCCACCGCCATGGGAACGTGTCAGACTGTGACGAATGTGGTGGTAGGTGGAAGAGCCAAGTGGTCCCAGCAAAGACCATGCTAGACCACCAGCCCCCAGCGGAACCACCAGCTGACCATGGACAAATCAATGGGACCAACTGGGATCAGCACAACTGCCCAGCCTACACATCAACTCATGAGAAATAATCATGATAATAAAAGGTTATTGGGGCTTTTTCATTTTAAAAAATGATTTATGTTTTAAAAATAAATGTTATTGTGTATATTTGAGGTTTACAACATGATGTTATGGGATACATATGGATAGTATAATGGTTTAAAAATTATTGCTTGAAAGGACATCAAGATGGAAATAATAGGCACTGGGGACTCCAAAAGGGGGAAGGGTGAGATGAGAGTGAGGTTGAAAAACCACTTATTGGGTAGAACGTTCACTGTTTGGGTGATGCGTCCACTAGAAGCCCAAACTTCACCATTACACAATATATCCATGTAATAAACTTGCACAGGTACCCCCTGAATCCATAATAAAAAATATTCTTAAAAAGGTTATTTGTTTGAAGCCATTACGTTTTGGGGTTATTTGTTATATGTCAGTAGCTACCTGATACAGGCTGCCTGCTTTGCAATTCTCCAAAAAGCTCAGAAGGGCCTGCTTCTTTCTTCTCTCTGAGTCTGCTGCCTCATTGAGAATTCTGATGAAAGGCTTCAGTGTAGCTGCTTCTTCACTAAAGACTCAGGTACAAGATCATCTCCCATTGAGGGAAACAGGGAAATCTGCCTTCAGCTAAATGAACAAGGACATCACCGAATACCACCACTCCCTTGGGAAATATACTTTAATAGTCCCCGTAGCTGAGAATGACACAAAGAAATTCTGAAGAAACAATAAGCTTCATTTATCATTTCTGCTTTAGAAGAAAAGTTTTGCCTGAATCATTGCTGATCTGTCTCCCCTGCAACCACCATTTACCTGCAGCCAGATTCCTTGCCAGGATTAGAGGACATCAGCTAGTCTAGAACTGATGACTTAAAAGGTGTTCGGGCTTTACCCTTCTTAGGGGATCCCTTTTTCGGGGATGACATAAAGTCCCAAGATACACCAGAATCAGCGCTGCTAAGGACTGGCAGGATCCAAAATGTGATTTTCGGTCTCTTCCCAGTGGAGGTGAAACGAAGTGGTCTGTACTCTCTCTACTCCACGTGTGGTCCAGGGACCAGCAGCATGGGGATGGAATTATCTGGGAGTTTGTCACAAACACCAAATCCCAGGCCCCATCCTTAACCTCCTGCATCAGAACCTGTGCTTTGACAAGATGCCAGGTGATGCAACTGTACATTTTGTGCAGGAAACTCTGCTCAACAACACCCGTCTCTGCTCGTGGAAGTTCATGTAAGTTACAGGGGTTTTAAACCAGAACATCACCCTCATTCTCAGTGTTATAAAGGACACCCTCCACTAACAGAACACAAATTTCCCAACCCCCAATGCGTGCAAGGCACACACACACACACAGGCATGCACACACTTCCCTCAACCAGGCTGGTCAAAGTCCCTCACTTGTGAGTCCTACTTGAAAGATTATGTCTTCTGAAACACAGCGCTTTGTACCTTAAAGGGCCTCTCAAATGTCCCACTGAGACCCAGGGGTTCATTCACCAGAAGCACTTAGTCTTGCTAGGAGATTAAAGGTTTCAAATGATTCCTTTCTGATCCCAACAGGATAGCTGCTTGCCTAAAATACAAGAGCCTCGTTGGAAGTAATCTCCATGGAAATCATTAACCCAGTTTATTAACAAGGAAAAAAATCCTAAGGATATTTTAAACTTTTAAAATATCTTTGCAAGCTAATGGCGATGAAAACAAAGCATTTTTAAGGCAAAAGAGTCCCTATAGCAGAAGTTAAAGTAAAACGCTCTCTGAATTTTAGCAATTCTATTTTAGGCTCTTAAATAAGCCCCGGAAATCCTGTTAATTTAAATTACTGACCACTCACCAACACCTTCCCTGAAATAATTCGCACCTTAATCGTCTCACGAAATATTTTTTTCAAGAAAAAAATATATGGACTGGGCACGGTGGCTCATGCCTGTAATCCCAGCACTTTGGGAGGCAGAGGCAGGCAGATCACAAGGTCAGGAGATCCAGACCATCCTGGCCAACATGGTGAAACCCCGTCTCTACTAAAATACAAAAATTAGCTGCGTGTGGTGGCGCATGCCTATAGTCCCAGCTACTCAGGAGGCTGAGGCAGGAGAATCTCTTGAACCCGGGAGGCGGAGGTTACAGTGAGCCGAGATCGCGCCACTGCACTCCACCTGCGACAGCGGGACTCCATCTCAAAAAATAGAAAATAAATTTAAAAAATAAACATATGTATATGAGGTTACTTATGTGCTGCTAACACATTATTTTCTCGAACTCTCTGAACTATGGGATGAAAAGACAATTGAAAAACAGACCTAGGCTATGTTTCCAAATGATTTTTCATCCCCTGTTCACGATAACCTTTTCAAGAGAGAGCTGGCGAGGCTGAAGGTAGCTATAATTATATAGCTACCAGCCCTGAAAAGACAAGGTTGTTCAGTGGTACTGATAAGACACGGGTTCAGAATGTTTTAGGCAGCATGCAAATGTATTCTGATTTTTTTCAACTCCCTTTAGAAGGGGGAAAAAAATCTTGTTTGAAGTATATTCTTGAGGTGGAGCTGGTAACAGATTAATTAGAAAAATGAAGTGATGGGAAAGGGAAGCCCTAACTGGTCAGCTCCCTCTCTCTGTCCAGCTGGGATAAAGCAAGCTTTTAAGGACCAGCCCCCTAATTTGAGAATATGGTCAAATGGGTCCTCTTCAGCCATTTGGAATCAGTCACTGGAATGACCAACTGGTGCCTGGATCACATCCATCCCCCTTTTAGCTGCCTCCACCTTCTGATTCTCCACTTTAGAAACATTCCTCCATCTCTTAGTCTGTGGGGACTGGGAGATGCTGAACTCGCTTCTGACTCCAAAGGGAAACACCTGACCTAGGTCTGGCCAATCAGCTCATCTCCTCCCTTCCCGGTCCCCAGTGATTGGTTCAGGGGTGGGCATGTGACCTAAGTCAATCCACTTAGAACTTTTCCGGGAACTATTGGAAAAGAGGTCCTGTCTTTCCACTGGAAGCTGTAGGGGGTAGGACTGGAGCTTCTGGAGCGTCCTAAGAAGAGCCTGCCTGGGAATGAAGCCAGCAGAGTGGAAGGCAGAGCTGAGGGAGGGAAAAGCTACTTTCTCCATAAGCCCTGGATCCAGCCATACCTGAAACCTCTAGACTTCTAAAATCCGAGAATTAACAAATTCCCCTCTTTTGTTTGTTTAATAGTTTTGAGTTGAGCTTCTGCTGCTTACATCCAAAGCTGTCTACCTTGTTCTATTCAAAACCCCTCAGGATTTTCACAGCAACGTCAAGAAAAACAGCATATTCCTGGGCCAAAAAAACAAAACCCCTCAAGAGATCATCTAGTCTATCCCTTGTATTTGAGTATGCAAATAATCTAAACTTTTTAAAATTTTGTATTCTTAGTCAACATCCCAAGGGACTGAGACTCTGCAACCTCCATCCAAAACCAATTTGAGAAAACACTAGGAGATGAAATTTTGAGCTTAAAGATGCAACATACGTCTGTAGGTGGCTTGGGAAATATTCTTCTGGCTGACAAAAAAAAAAAAAAAAAAAAAATCCACCAACAAAACCAAACTCCTAATATTAGATTTCATGTGCTACCAAGTAAACTTTTTCTCATATAGAACAAATTGTTTCTATAGAAATGAATGCTTTTCTAGCAACCCAATCTCTATTAGGGTTGCTATGGGAACAGATTGAGAAAATTGGGGAAATGTAGAAAAAGGTAAATGACTGTTCAGTTTCTTTCTTTTCTTTTCCTGGAAACCCACAGAGGGCAAAGGCCTTTTTACTTCTGAGTACCTTAATACTTGGGGCTGACTCCAGGAACACTTAAGAATATAATTTTAACTCTGTTGAATTCTCATTCCCCAGCAAGGGTGTCATCAAGTCTTTAAAATTTAATTCAGAATATGGCAAGTTTCAGTAAGAACCACCCTCCGAAGTTTGCTTTTAAGGACCAAGGGTAGGCAGGACTGTGGAGTAAGAAGCTACAAAGCTATGAACGTAAATGTATAATAATAGGTGCTAACGACCACACACGTGCTACAGATACCGTCTTTTGGAGAGCAACCCTTCATTTGGAGAAGCGTAAGCACACATGCTTTGTGAAAGCTTCATTGTACACAGTAAAATCAGCAGGTTGCCCGGCTCTTGTAATGCAAATGAGGAATACACGGGTGAATGTTTTCCGTTCTTTACCTAGAAGTGGAAGGGAGTGCAAACCCAAGTTAGACGGTCTCTTCACCATTACTCTGTTTCTGAAATCATCTATTTACAAGTAGGGTAATATATCTGTCTGATAAAGGAAGAGAATTCTCTCTCAACTCTCACTAGCTGTAAGGCCGGTAGGATGGAGTGGAGAGACATTAAAAACCAGAAAGCCACAATCACCAGTTTAGAACCGCATGACCTTGGGGTAGTCATTTCATTGCTGAGCCAATTAAGTTGCTCTCCTCTGTGAAATGGGATTAACAAGATCTGTGAAATGGATATCTCGGTTGGTACAGAGTGGAGTTACCAGCCCTGCTTCATACGAACCTCGCATGTCTTCTGGAGCCAGACGGATAATACAAATGTGTGAAACCGGAAGTGTTTGGCAAACAAGAGAATAGTGAGGTCTGTGGCAAAACCAGAAAGCAGTATGCTCCTATACAGTTCAAAATGGGTTTAACACCTTGCCTGCAGGTTAGATTCACCTTGGAGCCTGCCAGCTGAAACCCCCACATCTGCATCCACTGTGTAATATGGGTAATGTGACACAGATGTGATACCACTGATGAAGTAGAGCCTACCCCCACAGAAACTTGACTGCTGAGGGAGGGAGATATATGGGGCCACCGGGAATGCCTTCTGGGTGAGAAGAGAAGAGTCCATCCTGTGAAAGTACAGCTCCTCACCTCCTCCTCTGCCTCCACCCTGATCCAAGCTGTGGTCACCTCTCACCTGGGAGAGGCAGTAGCTTCCTCACTGGAGTCCCTGCTTCTACTCCCGCCCCTACAACCAGTCCTCAACACACAGCAGAAGGAATCCTCTATAACAGAAGTCAGATTGTACCCCCTTCTCTGCCTCTGACCCTCCGAGGGCTCCCCACATCCTTCACAATAAAAACTGCACCTCTGGCAGTGACCCTATGTGACCATATTATTTCCCACTCTCTGCCAGCCACACTGGCCCCCTTGCTGTTC
Organism: Homo sapiens; assembly: GCF_000001405.40. NCBI lineage: Eukaryota > Metazoa > Chordata > Mammalia > Primates > Hominidae > Homo > Homo sapiens. Next base: position 51,083,689 of record NC_000020.11, on the reverse strand, counting down.
TTCGGCACATTGGGCATGCTCCTGCCTCAGGGCCTTTGCACCTGCTGTTCCCTGTGCTTAGACATGTTTCCTCTGGACGTCCACACGGCTGGCTCCCCCAGCCCCTGCAGGCTTTTGCTCCACTGTTACTGCTTCTTAGCCAAGCCTTCCTTTGGCCATTCTATATAAAATGAAGACACTCAACCCCAGAACTCAGCCCTTCCCTGCTTCAGTTTTCTTTACACCTCATATCACCAGCTAGCCTCTTTACTTGTCTCACTCCTCTGCTGGAGATAAACTCCATGTAAGCAGGGATTCTTGTCTGTGTTTATCACTGAATTCCCAATGCCCAGAAGAGCACCTAGCACAAGGAGGCTCTCAGCCCCCTTTGCTGAAACACCATGAATGAAGCAGGAGAGCTGAAGAGCGGGAGGAAGGTGCCACAGCCCATGCTGGTCTAGCCTACCCAGGGCCAGGGGGAGATGTTTCTGCATCAGGGCCACTCTTTCAGCAAGTGTGAGCACCCACCACAGGCCAGGCAAGAGGTGCTGGAGACAGGATACCGTGATGAACAGGACAGGTACATCCCTGCCTCCCAGACAGCTTACAGCCTGGCAGGCCAGGCAGACAATACATGAATCCACAGAATCGCAAGCAGTGAAATGTGCTGTAAAGAAAAAATAACACAAGGTGAGGAGTCAGGGAGTGGGAAAGGAGGCTTGATGTTGAGTTTTGGGGGTCAGGGGTGGCTTCACCTAGCAGGGTATACTCGGGTGGCAGCCTGATGGAATGAGGAACCCAGAGGATGGGGCACAGAGATCACACCTCTGCCTGATCCCTCCACTCTCCCCTTCCCGACCCTCTGACTTGACAGGAGCCCCACCTGTGCCTGTTTGTCCTTCCCCCTTTTGGAACTGATGGAGCCTCACACCACAGGTGAGACGCCTGGCTGGAGAACTTAGTCTGTCAGCTCACTCCGTCTCCCTCTTCCTGTCTGTCAAGGGGCTTGCCAGAGAGAGCTAGTATCTCCTTCTTTCTGGGTTGTGTGATCTGGCCTTGTTCTCACCTTCTTTGGTATAAACCCACCTTGTATCTGGAAAGGCAATGCGCCCGGCTAAAACATTACATGTCCCGGCCCCCCTTAAAGCTAAGCTGCAGCTTTGTGACCAAGTTCAGTGTTGTGGGGCAGAATGTTCCTTAAAGAGAGGTGCCCCAGCTGGGAAGTGGGCTCCTTTTGCCCGTTGCCCCTTTTTCCTTCTGATGCCTGGAATGCAGACACAGTGGCTAAAGCTCTAGCAGCCATTTTGGTCCATGAGGCAAGCTTGAGGGAGGTGGTGCGAAAAAATAGGACCTTAGAGACCAAGGAGTGGCCAGACCTGTCTCAAACTGCCTGCCTACTTCTGAACTTATTTTGTGTGATTAAAAAATATATCCTCCCATTTGATACACTCCAGGGCTATATTATGACTTTCATGAGCCCTAGGTACATTTGCCTTCATGGGCTCCTCCCTCTATATAAAATTATATTATAAAATTATTTTAATTATATATTATATAATTATAATCTAATTATATAATATATAATTATAATTAAAAATATTTTGTGACTATGTTGGTATAAAAGACAAATATAATCTAGGCTGGATTCATTATTATGCATTCATTATTACTATATTCATTTTTTCCTTCTGATCTTAAAAGAATTTTTTTTTTTGTTTGAGACAGAGTCTCACTCTGTCACCCAGGCTGGAGAGCAGTGGTGCATCCTTGGTTCACTGCAACCTCCACCTCCTGGGTTCGAGCAATTCTCCTGTCTCACCCCACAAGTAGCCAGGACTACAGGTACCCGCCACCACACTCAGCTGATTTTTTTTTTTTTTAGTAGAGATGGGGTTTCGTTATGTTGGCCAGGCTAGTCTCGAACTCCTGACCTCAGGGATCCACCCGCCTCGGCCTCCCAAAGTGCTGGGATTATAGGTGAGAGCCACTGCACCCAGCCAAAGAAACCAAAACAGAAACTTTTTTGTGGGCCCCTGAAAATATCACGGGCCCTATACCCTGGGCCACCAATGCCTGAACAAGTGCATCCCACTCCACATGCCTTACCATGCTGTTAAGGCCTTTACAACCTGATGACGTAGGTCCTTTAATTCTTCCCATTTTTTCAGATCAAGAAACTGAGGCCAGACAGGTAGAACATCTTGCACATATTTGAATCCTGATCCATTCAGCTGCAAAGTCTAAGTCCTTAACTTTTTGTTTGTTTGTTTGTTTTTGAGATGGAGTCTCACTCTGTCACCCAGGCTGGAGTGCAGTGGCACAGTGCTGGCTCACTACAACCTCTGTCTCCCAGGCTCAAGTGATTCTCCTGTGTCAGTCCCCTCAGTAATTGGGACTACCAGTGCCTGCCACCATGCCCGGCTAATTTTTGTATTTTTAGTAGACATGGTTTCACCATGTTGGCCAGGCTGGTCTTGAACTCCTGACCTCAAGTGATCTGCCCGCCTCAGTCTCCCAAAGTGCTAGGATTACAGGCGTGAGCCACTGCGCCTGGCCTAAATTCTTAACTTTTGATGCTAGAAAAGGAGCTGATTCTTGATAAAGCTATTATTATGAATGCAAACAGCTCTGACAACTTAAGAAAATAGACTTGATAGATGGTAACAAAGTGTATTGGACACACAGACCTTCTGGTAGCTCCTTTTTATTTTAATCTATAAGATAAACCCAGCTATGAGCTCTCTGCAGGAAATGTTTTAAATCCTCATTTTCTTAGGACTAGATTTACTCATCCAACTCCACAAAGAAAATAACTCCATTTAGCTTGACAGACTCCACAATGAAACAAATTATTTTTCTGGAAATGATCCTAAAAATAGCATGGAATGGGTCTGCTTACAGATACCAGAGGCAGTAAGACTGAATATGTTAGCTTTAAGGGTGCAAATGTGTTTTGAAACAGACTCTTCTGTGGTCCCAAGAAGAAAAAATTGATTTTCCAGATAGCACAATAAATCATGCAGGGAAACAACTTTGGAGCAAAAACAGCGTGAACTTTGAGAGGATGGCACAGAACTCAATTCATCTTCCATGCCTCCCCTAGTCGGAGCCAAGAAAAAGGCTTTCCCCACCTCATCACTATATGTTTATTTCCCTTCACGTCCTCTTACCACAAATTAAAAGGCAAGGAAATGTTGATGAAACAAAGACCAAAGTATTGCTTATGCTCTGCAAAGGCACTGCCGCACAGAAGAGATGAGCAATGGTTGGTTTCTTGAGAATAACTGCATCCTACAGAGCTTTTTTCTCTCCAAGCTGTGATCTAAGTAAACAACTTGACCCTCAAACAATGCTTTTTGTTTAATCATCCATCCATTCAGCATTTATTAGGTGCTTCCTGGATGGTCTGCACCATATCAGATACCAAAGAGCCACCTATGAGACTCTGCCTTTGGAGAGCAAAGCTAGCGTCTAGATGAGGGCAGAGACCGTACGCAGAGGAATCCAGTGCCTGACACTGTCCCAAACTAGAGGTTAAGAATAGGAATGCTGGGGTTACGGGTCCGAATCCTGCCATTACTACTTACCAGCTGTATTAGTCCATTCTCACGCTGCTAATAAAGACATACAGGAGACTGGGTAAGTTATAAAGGAAAAAGGTTTAATTGATTCACAGTTTAGCATGGCTGGGAGGCCTCAGGAAACTTACAATCATGGCCGAAGGGAAAACAAACACATCCTTCTCCACATGGCAGCAGCAAGAGGTGCTGAGCAAAAGGGGGAAAAGCCCCTTATAAAACCATCAGATCTCATGAGAACTCACTCACTAGCACAAAATTGTGGAGGTAATCGCCCCATGATTCAATTACCTCCCACTGGGTCCCTCTCATGACACATGGAGATTATGGGAACTACAATTCAAGATGAAATTTGGGTGGGGACACAGCCAAACCATATCACCAGCAGAAAAACTTTGGGCAAGCTGATTAATCCAGGTCTCAGTTTCTTCATCTGTAAAATGGGAACAATAAGAATACCTTCCTCTTAGAGTTGATAGGATGATTAAATGAGATCATACATGAAAAGCGCTTAGCACACAGTAAATATTCCCACAATACTTGCTGCATTCTATATGCAAAGTGCATGGAGAAAGGAAGAATTGAAGAATTTGGAAGTTTTTTTGTTTTTGTTTGTTTGTTTGTTTGAGATGGAGTCTCACTCTGTTGCCAGGCTGGAGTGCAGTAGTGCGACACTCGGCTCACTGCAAGCTCCGCCTCCCAAGTAGCTGGGTTTACAGGTACCCGCCACCACGCCCAGCTAATTTTTGTATTTTTAGTAGAAATGAGGTTTCACCATGTTTGCCAGGATGGTCTCTATCTCGTGACCTCGTGATCCACCTGCCTCAGCCTCCCAAAGTGCTGGGATTATAGGCATGAGCCACAGCACCCAACCTGGAAAGGGCTTTTTAGTTTTGGGGGCCTTGTGGGTGCTGGAATGTTCTATCTCTTACTCTGGGCACTGGTTACATGGATGTGTTCACTTTGTGAAAATTCATCAAGCCGTGCATTTATGACTTACTTTCTGTATGTCCTCGAATAGAAAGTTTACATATAACAACAGTAGAATGCCTAATATTCAATTGAAAATTGTTGGAATCTCAGCCACATAAACTATTTCTTTATCTTCTCCTAAATTTTCTGTAAAGCCCATTTCATGCATCAATGCCTGGTGTGAGTCGGGGTTATTCTGTGGGGAACAGAGGAAAAGGTCTGAATCAACATTGTGCGGCACAGAGAAAGTCAGCCAGAAAAGTCAAAGGCCAGCCCAGAGCAACAGAGACGAAAACCTCCAGGGGCTTCTCAGAAACTTGAGCTAAATTCTCAAGCTGAAAACTTGAACTGTAATTCTCACCTGCACAGGAGGAGTCGGTATCCCTCATCTTACAGATGGGGCAACTGAGGCTTAAAGGTGTGAGACTTGCAAAAGGTCATCTATGGGGTAAACCACAGAACCAGCCAACCTTCCACTGGTGTAAAATGGGGTTGGAGACAAACTCTAACTAGACCTGAAGAGGCGAGGACACCACAGCCAAGGGATGGGGATGCTGAAGGCAAGGGCTGAGGACTGCACTCCTCTGCTCTCCCCAAGAACAAGTCAACCCTAGAGCTGGGTTGACTTGTGGGGGAAAGGACGGCATGATCTACCAGCGCAACACGCAGGCTCAGATTTCAGGTAGACCCTGGGTCTAATACTGATTCTGCAATTTACCTCAAAGATGACCTTGTGCAATCTCCTATCACCTTTAAGCCTCAGTCGCTCCATCTGTAAAATGGAGGATACCAACTCCTTCTGCGCAGGTGAGAATTACAGGAAGTGTTTAGAACACAGGAAATACCCCCAGGAAAGGCAGCTGTTGTTATTGAACTGAATTGAATCTGGCAGAAGACAGCTCCTTGGCAGCACGGAGAGGTTGGAGCCTGTTAAAACAACTTTGCTCTTTTTCCATATTTCTGGTAGAAATGTCCACAAGTAAAGACATGACCTTTAAGCTGATCGTTGGAGGAGAGCCGTTATTCCCACACGCACAGCTCTGTCTTCTCCGAGAAGTGGGCTGTGGCAAAGGGGATGTACCAAATCCAGGGCCATGGGTTGCAGGGGCTGGAGCCCAATGGGGTGCATAATGGAGCCACAGATATAATTAAGAGGCGGTTGATTTGCAATAATTATGCACTGTTTGGTTAATTCTTTCAAGATGCTAAACAGCCCTTTCCTGGGGCCGCAGTAATTGACTCTGTCAATGGCGATGCATACTGCTGTCTGGAGACGTCTGCTTGGACGACCTGCCGACTCATTTCAACACACGCACAGCATACTCGCTCACTTTCTTTGCTCATTGACTGACAGGTCTGAGCAGAAGTGCCAGGGTGGAGAGTCTGCTGTGGAGTGATGAGGAAGAGAGGGCTGGGGAAAGATTTAAATGGAAAGAAGTGCTGTCTAAACAGAGAAAGAGGAGGCAAGATGGGTGCTCTCTCACACTGAGCTCAGATGGCCTGGTTGCAAACCTGCTTTTACCCTCACCAGCTGTGTATGCTCAAACAAGCCCCTCCAGCTTTTGGAGCCTCAACTCTGCATCTGCAGAAATGGGATAAATGCCCTCACCTCAAATGGGTTGTTGCAAGGATTTAGAATAACATAATGAACAGTGCCTGGCACCGTGAGGTGTTGAATAAACATTGGCTATTATACTTGCAGAGGGACGTAAACTGAGCAGTGAAAACATATCTGGGACAAAATTAGAAAAGTTTGCAGCTAGTCCGGAAGAGGCAGTATAGGCTTTGCCTGCTGCACTGGGAATTTGCTGTGTGACCTGGGGCAAAGTCCTTAACCTCTCTGTGCCTTGCTTTCTTCTATTAAAAATGGAAATAATACTTCCCTGGGAGGATTGCACGAGGATTAAGTAAGATGGTGCCGGGCACATAACAGATCCTAAAGAAACAGTGGATCTATGTCTTTCTGCATCTTCAAATCTGGCTCTGCCTAAAAGCCAGCTCTCCTGACACCAGTGGGCAGGCAGCTGTTTACTGTGGATTTCACAGGTACTTAAACTAGCAGCTGATCTGCCAGAGAGCAACAACCTGCTTTGAATGCTTAATAAACTCCATTGATTGCCTTTCCTGGCTCCATCCCAAACTTCTCCCAACCTGGCTCTACCCTGAGCAGCTCGACAGGCTTGCAGCACGTCAGGCAGGATGAGCCACTGTATCTGGGGGAGCAGGGGGGAGGATTTCCACCCAAATGAGCCCATCTGGTCACGCGGATGACAGCTAGGGTGATGGCGAAGCCCTCTCACCAGTTCCCACTGGCACTGGATGCCCTGCCTCGAGTTATCCTTCATGATGGAGAAAGGGCTAACACATTGGTGGGTGCCACCATCCAGCTTCCTGCCCCAGGAATTGGGAGGAAGGATGGAAATTTGCTTCCAGTCATATCACAATAAGCATTAACATCCTTCCAGCCCCGCCTCCTCTGCTGACTCCACCCCCTCCAGTCCACCACCCCCAGAGTCTCTTTTTTTTTTTTTTTTTTTTTTGAGATGGAGTCTCGCTCTGTCACCCAGGCTGGAGTGCAGTGGTGCCATCTTGGCTCACCTCAGCCTCCACCTCCCAGGTTCAAGCAATTCTCCTGCCTCAGCCTCCCAAGTAGCCAGAATAACAGACATGCACCACCATGCCTGGCTAATTTTTGTATTTTTAGTACAGACAGGGTTTCGCCATGTTGGTCAGGCTGGTCTCAAACTGCTGACCTCAAGTGGTCTGCCTGCCTTGGCCTCCCAAAGTGCTGGGATTACAGGCATGAGGTACCATGCTCAGCCTCAGAGTCCTCTTTCCACAACCACAAATCTCACCATCTCATCCATCTGCTCACAAAGATCCAGTGCCTTCCCATGCCCCTCAGAGCGAAGATCACAGTCAACACAGCTTATGAGATCCTTTTACACTGAACTCTGCCAATCCCTTTGGCTTTATCTGACACCACTGCCTGTCCCTGCTCCTAACTTATTTCTCCCAGACTTGCTACACAACTTATTCTACAAGCATATTGTTCTCTTCCACACCTTTGTGCATTTCCACCTGCTATTCACTCTCCCGGAAATACCCACCCTCTTTCTCCATCTGGAAAATTCCTACTCATCCTTTAGTATCCAACTGACATCAGATCCCTGCATGAAACTTACCTACACCTCCCCAAATGCATAGCTACTCCCTCGGCATTTCCATTGTGCTTTGAAAATCTTCATTCATTCTTTATATGATTATTAGGTGATATATGATAATGAGCCTCTGCTGTGCACCAGACACTGGGCTAGATCCTGAGGTCAGAGAGCAACAAAAAAGGCCAGCCCCTGTGTCATGAAGCCTATGGTCCAGCTTCTAGGCTCCAACAGAAAAGACAAGCGTGTCAAGCAGCCTTTGGGGTACATGGTGATGATGGAGAAAGACAGAGTGTGAGGAAAGCCTGAGAAGAGGGTCTCAGCCTAGTCTGGGGAGCAAAATAGATCCCTCCTGGGGATGTGCTATTTTAACTAGAATGCACAAAATGAAAAGCACTAGGCAGCGGGAGAAGGCGGCTGGGAAGAGAGAGAGTTCAGAGCTGAAAGAAAATCACAGTCAAAGCCCTGAGGCAAGAGAGAGACTGACTGGGCCCTTTTAGGAAGAGTAGGGGGAAAGATGGGGGAAATGGGGTGGGAGGGAAGGCTGAGGCCGCATGGTGAGTGGTAGGAGGCATCTTGGGCCAAGAACAGGATCCTATCCTAAAGGCAAAGGGAAGCCAGGAGGGTTTTTTAATGCAGAGAAAAGAGATGCTCAATGCTGTCATTTATAAAGGTCACTCTGGCTGCAGTGGGAAAACCAGACCAGGTTGGGGAAGGTGGAGGTGGGTGACAGGTGGTGAGGCACAGTTAAAAGACCATCCCAGTCATCCAGGAGGCTTGAAGGATGGTGCTGGCTTCCGAAGTGGAAAACAGTAGATGGAGCTGATCTAGAGAAGAGGAAGGATCCGTAGGACTTGATGAGGGATCCCATGAGGGAAGAGGGAGAGGTGGAAATTGAGTAGGACACCCAGGTTTTATGCTGGCTGCTGGATGAATGGTGATATTCTCGTTCACTGAGATGGGGAGATGAGGTGGGGAGCAGGCTGGGTAGAGGCAGGGAGCTAGGCCCTGGGTTCCGTTTTGTACACTTTGCCTCTGCTGTGCCTGTGGATATCCAAGGGGCATCCCAGAAGCCTCTGGGTGTAGGAGTGTTTGTAGGTATTTATCCTGCATTCAGCACCTGCCTCGGATGTCCACAGGCCAGTGAGGGCGGCCCTCAGGGATGTGCGACATTTTCTGCTTTCTTCTCAAGCACACCTGCTGCTTCTTGTCCCTTGGCACTCCGTGGACATGCCAGATGCCACTCCTGTGTCCCACACAGCATAAAGGGAGAAAGCCCCTCCTCAACTCGCTATTGAACTATGACATTAGAGGCCCAAGGTGGCACTCTCAAACCCCAAGTCTACCCAAAGAGCCCCTTCAGCTGCTACCACTAACTTCTCTCTTCCAAAGAGACGCTCAGGCCTGCTGGAAAGCAGACAGCATTGGTTGCCTACCTGACAGCCATTTCTCCTTCCTCTTTGGTAACTGAACCTCAGTTATGTTCAGGTAGCAATGTGCCCAGCACCAGGGGTGAATCAACAACAATCTAAGCCAGCCACAGTAATCCTTTTCTATTTTGCCAACAAATGGTCATCGCCAGGCACATGACCTGCTTTTAGCCAATGAGCTGCAAAGGAAAGTTTGTGAAGGGCTTCTGGGCTCCCTGATAAAAGGGAGAGTCACAGGAGGAGGAAGGCCCTTTGTTTCCCTTTTTGCCTTCCTTCATGGGTCATGATCATGGGCAGAAGAGATGTCAGGAGCTGCAGCAGCCATTCTGTGCTCATGAGGCAACAAGGCTAAATGAAATCCAACCCACTGAGGAAACTAGAGCTGAAGGATGGATGTATTGAGGGTCATCAGTGCATCCCTGAGTGCAAATCCTGAGGCTATTTATTCTTCTTGTTAAGAAAATAATAACTGACTTTACAGTTTAAGCTACTGTTGATTGAGTTTTCTCTTACTTGCAGCTGAAAGCCACACAGCCAAGTCTGTATATAAATTTATTCATTTGGGCCAGGTGCAGTGACTCACACCCATAATCCCAGCACTTTGAGAGGCCAAGGTGGGCAGATCACTTGAGGTCAGGAGTTCGAGACCAGCCTGGCCAACATGGTAAAACCCCGTCCTACTAAAAATACAAAAATTAGCTGGGTGTAGTTGTGGGTGCCTGTAATCCCAGCTACTCAGAGGCTGAGGCAAGAGAATCACTTGAACCTGGGAAGCAGAGTTTGCAGTGAGCAGAGATTGTGCCACTGCACCCCAGCCTGGGTGACAGAGTGAGACTCTGTCTCAAAAATAATAATAATAAAAATAAATTTATTCATTTATATCCATACATCTCCATAACCCTACTTACTTATCTGTCATGTCACAAACTAGAATGTCAGATACATGAGAAAAGACTTTTGTCTATTGTGTCCCCAACTGTGTCCCTAGAGCCTGGAACAGTGCCTGGCATGCAAGGGCACTCAACAAGTGTTCGATCAGTGGATGACTCTGCACCTGTTTCTAATCACCAGTCTCTTACCACATTCCTTCAGAAAACCAACTCCATGAGCACATCAACTACTAGTACTACAACAAAACCTGCCATCTCCTGAGTGCTTACCCCATGCTAGTCCAAACCTTTTATATGTGTGATCTCATTTAATCCTCCTGTTCTCTTCCCTTTCATAGATAGGGAAACTGAGACTCAGAGAGGACAGGTGACTTGCCCAAAGGCAACCAGATGGAAGAGCTGGGATTCAAACCCAGGTTGTTCACTCCGAATCATGAGCACTCAACTGCCATGCTATCCAGCCTGCTAAATAGGTGACAGCCCCCACACCCATGAGCCATTTGGGGCAGCTGGGCCAGTGTCAAGAGAGACAGAACAGGGCAAGGTCCAGAGGTGTGGAAAAATGTAGTCACTAGAAGGAGGTGGTCACCATCATTAATTCAAAGACAGCTGAACATTAAGAGGAAAAGACAAGAACTAGAGCTAGAAGGTTATCGCAGGGTGCAGGAGAAATGGAGAGAGCCAGGGAAGACCCCATGGCACAGATTTGGTGAGCTCCATCCTCCTTACTTTGCCTCTTCCCACCCAGGCCAGGCCCCTGCCCTATTACCCAGGAGGTCTTCAGTGGAAGAGAATACTGTTGTTACTGTGACATATGAAGCACCCCCTCTTTACCCACCCTCTGGACACGTTTCAATCCATGGTCCCAGCCAGCAGAGGGTAGCCCGGCTTCCTCTACTCATCCATCAGGCTCCAGGTAAGTCCATGGAGCCAGCAGGAAGAGGTACCAATCTCTGCCAGTCCACCAATGTGTCTCCCCTTCTCCCCTACTATATGTTTCTCTGTAGCATCTATCACACTCTGAGATGCAATATGTTTGCTTCTCAATGACTATTTTTGTCTACCTTCCCCCTCTCAAACCCAGAAGGCTGAGGTACAAGGTCAGGGAATTTCATCAATGTTCTTCTCTGCTGTATCCCAGCCTCTAGAACAAGATATGGTGCTTTGCAGAGGCTCAGCTAGTACTTGCTGAATGAAAGATGAGTACATCTGCATGTGCATCTTCCTAGGCAGAGGATTTTCATCAAGTTCTCCAAGAAACTTGTAACCTAAAACAGATCATGAACCACTGACCTAAGTAACCAATCTTCTAGATCCCTTCCCAACTCCAGCTTCTGGGAACCCAGCCATAAGGAAAGTGTACTTTGCTGGAGAGTGAGGGATGTTCAGTACAAGTCCCAGGAGACAGACTGGCCCATTCAAGATGGCAGACCCAATTCACCTGACCAATGGAACCACTGCCAGTGGACAGAGACTGTTACTGTCTTTGGATGGAGCAGCTCCTTGGAGGAACTTGATATATTGAATTGAGTCCTAATTTGAACAAATACAGTTTCCATAGCAATCAGCTACAAAGGTTTGGACATAATTGACCTCTCAGAGGCCTGAATAAAAGTAGATTTATTTACTACTTGAGCCCTACGATGCTTATAGTTACTACCTATACAGACCTACGATGAGCCCAGGCTGATGCTTATAGTTAGGAGAGGAAGATGAGGGGCATGAGGGGGAGCAAGACCCTTTTCACAATGGAGTGGTTCATATGGACATGACCAGTAAGGGGGTGAAAGCTTCACAAATGGGCCTGTGTAACCAGCCCAGAACAAAGCTGGAGTTAAATAAACAATGTCCCAAGTATTTTAAAAACCGATTTCATGAAGCGATGCATGGCACATTGCAGAGACGGCGCATCGCAGCCTGGGTGGTATCCAAAAGAGATTATCAGCCAAAATTTTCAAGCCAACTAGATTTATATCATGCAATCAGAAAAGCACACCAAGGTATGCAAGAATCTGGTGAACATGGAATCACTACAAATGATGAACTCTGCATACCAGCCTTCTTGGCTGCGAAGCTTACTGACATCTGAATTACTTAGCAAGGAAAGAAGTGACACAAAGTCTTATGGTGCCACTAGGAAATCATTCACTGGAGGTTTCCTGAGGCCACTTGCAAGGTCAAACTCAATTCCAAAGGAACAGCAGAAAAGCCAACTTGCCCCTACTCCTTCCCCACTCTTCGGGTAATATTCTTCAAAACAAACATCCACTCCCGGGCCCCATCGGTTCCTTCTGGGTAACCTCACAATGCCTCAGAAAATAAATGAAGATGCTTCCACGTCGCAGTTCCCACTGTTTCAGTTTACTCTTCCAGTTGAGATGCATCAAAGGAGAAAAGCATTCCAATGAAATGTGAATCTGAGCAGCCTGCTTTCTGACTCCGGGCCTCCGGGCTCCTCACTTGGGTTTTCCTCGGCTGGTTTTACCTCTCCTGACCTTGCTGCAGTGAGATCCATTTTCGGCCGTCAAAGACCCTTGCTTCCCCACAAAGGAGCCCTGTTTCATCAGACATTCTACACCCCACACTCCAGCGATGGCTTTTATCTTCCAGCAGAGAAAACACCTTCTTCACAGAGGAAGGGAAAGAAGGGACCCACCATTGGTTGAGGAAGCAGTCACATTGACATACATTCTCATTTAACAATCACAGTCGCCCCCAGAGGTAGACAATGGCATTCTACTCTTAAAGACATGAAAACTGAGGTTCAGAGAAGTGAATTATTTAACTGAGATATAAATTCAGGTTTGCATTCTAGCATCTGAATGCATTCTCTTTCTCATCCACCAGGCCACCGCTTAAGACTATGATCTGAGCACTTTGCCCACCGAAAGTCTTCTTGGGATTAACGGAGCACAGATAAGAATCTGCTATTAGGAATTTAACACTGAGGAGAGATAGAACACTGCTAGTGGCTGGATAACTGTGGATAGCTAGTGGCTGGAGTACAATGCCAGGGGAAAATGACAAGTTTTGTTTGTTTGTTTGTTTTGAGATGGAGTCTCACTCTGTCACCCAGGCTGGAGTGCAGTGGTGCAATCTCAGCTCACTGCAAACTCTGCCTCCCAGGTTCAAGCAGTTCTCTGCCTCATACTCCCAAGTAGCTGGGATTACAGGTGCCCACCACCACACCCGGCTAATTTTTGTATTTTTAGAAGAGATGGGGTTTCACCATCTTGGTCGGGCTGGTCTTGAACTCCTGACCTCATGATCCACCCGTCTCAGCCTCCCAAAGTGACAATTATCAGCATTTTAGTATCTAATACTGCTGTTTTATCAAAAAGTGCACAGCATTCATGAAATTGTTTTAAATCACTTAAACTAATCACAATGTATTTTGAAGACATAGATTTATAAACATTACAAAATATTAAGCACTACAATGAATTTACAAAATATATAGTACAATTTATATGTTTAATACAAATTAGTAGCTGATAAACTAATAAAGCATTACAAAAATAACCAACTCAACATGGAATTAAAATATAGGGATAGTCCGGCATGGTGACTCACACCTGTAATCCCAGCACTATGGGAGGCCGAGGCAGGCAGATTACTTGAGGTTAAGGAGTTCAAGACCAGCCTGGCCAACATGATGAAAGTCCATCTCTACTAAAAATACAAAAATTAGCCAGTCATGGTGGCGCACCCCTGTAATCCCAGCTACTCAGGAGGCTGAAGCAGGAGAATCACTTGAACCCAGGAGGCAGAGGTTACAGTTGGCCAAGATCATGCCACTGCACTCCAGCCTGAGTGATGGAATGAGAATCCATCTCAAAAATAAATAAATAAATTATAGGAAACTTTAAATAAGAAATTTTAAAAATAAAACATTATTTGATTCTTTAACTGTAATCATTAAAAATAAAAGCGTGTATCAATGATGTCACAGATGAGTTCCAAGCATTTTGTTGCTCAAATTTTTCCAGCTGTTAAAAAATGTTTGTGCCCCATATTAGTCAGAGGAATGAAGAGGAGAGAGTTATTTACCAACCCAAACATTTTCCTCTGGAATCCCCATTTTCAAATAACTTCGAGACCCTTTGGAAGAACTTATTTCTTTATAGAGACTCCAATATTGTTCCTGACAGGAACCTGGAGTTTTTGTTTTAAGGCTGTTGTCACCAGTTCAGCTTCGAATTTTGCATGTCACCATTTATAGTTACAGAATCACTTGCCTATTGCTGTTGCAGGCTAATCTGTACCAGTTTCAAAACCACCATGTGCATATACCATTTATAGGGAATTCTTATTAGGATAATCTTTGCAATACAAGTTTTGTTTCATCGAATATATATTTTTTTATTTCTCTTTAGGATAATGGAAATGGAAAAGATGTTTTCTAAATAAGGGATCTTTTGTTCAATTAGAATTTTTAATGCAGCATAAAATGCTCTTGGAATGTCTCAAGATATAAATGATTCAGATTTCAGACTTCTTAGAATACCAAAATAGCAGTATTACATTTTTTAAAATACAGTATTTTGATACTTAAAAATAGCGTCGTACACTGGAATACCAAAAAAAATTATTTTTTACTGCAATCATTAGCCCAGTTGCTAGGAAACCTGTGAACAAGCCAAAAGCTAGGGTATAGGTAGGTAAAAGGGCACTTCTTTGAGCAAAATAAGGAAAACCAGCATTAATTTTAGCAACCGTCAGTAATAAAGAATGAAAGGTGACAAGATAATACTTAATTGTATTTAGGAGTTTATATTTTTTTAGAACATGCTCTTAATTGCATCCGTCACTAGGTATGCAAATACTAATCATTAGAAATAATTAGGACAGGCGCAGTGGCTCATGCCTGTAATCCCAGTATTTTGGGAGTCTGAAGTGGGTGGATCGCTTGAACCCAGGAGTTTGAGACCAGCCTGGGCTACGTGGCAAAACCCCATCTCTACCAACAAAAATACAAAAATTAGCCAAGCGTGGTGGCATGCACCTATAGTCCCAGCTACTTGGGAAGCTGAGGTAAGAGGATGGCTTGAGCCCAGGAGACAGAGGTTGCAGTGAGCCGAGATCGTGCCACTGCACTCCAGCCTGGGTGATAGAGCCAGACCCTGTCTCAAAATAAAAATAATAATAATAATAATAATAATAATAATAATGTAGACATGGTACTTGTTATTCTTCCAAATACTATATTTTCAGACAGCACATGAATATTTTCATTTTCTATGGTTAAATAAAGACTATGTTGTTGGGTCTCAACCCTATGTAAAGGCACCACAGATTAGAAAACAGGAACCCAAACTGTTTTGAGTATTTTAAAGTTCTAGCCCTGCTCATCCTGACCAATAAAATACGACAAGTAAAAGAGGAGCTGGTTCTTGACAAAAAAGGGAAAAGAGAAAAGCGTTTTTAAAAGATTAATTGGAGTTCTGCTCTTTGCTGAGTGAGCTCCTATTGGACTGACCCTCCCACAGATAACAATGATAAACTCGGGGGTGAGGGGCAAAACTACATGAAGGTACTGGAAAGCCAACAAAAGCAGGCAAGCTCTAACGAAGAGCTGATACTTGGAAGAAAGGAAAGGCAAGAGGTTAGTTTCCTGAATTTTTGTGGCTTTTAGCCAGAGGTCAGGCCACAGTCAGCGCTGCATGAGCAGCTACAATTCTGATAGAGAACCCATAGTCTTTGTAGCCTGACCAACCAGTGGACAAAGTTCAAAGTAACCACAAAGTGAGGGAAAACCTGGAGGAGAGAGATCCAAGATGGCATGGTAGGGAGTGGGATTCTGTGTATAAACGTTGTCCAAATCTCGGTCTAACCCCTGAACTGCATGGGGCAGATTTCAAGCAGCCTAAATGAAGGTTAAAAAAAAAAAAAAAAAGCTGAACTGAGATATTAGCTGTCTCACTAGAGACAGACTTTGCAGTTTTCGTTCAACCAACTCAATTATCTGCTTAAAAAATCTGCACTCTTTGGCAAATAAGAATCTAAAGTCTCTACCACATAATATTCAAAATAGGAAACCTCAGCAGGAAAAGAAAAATATAACTAGAAACCAAATGGAAATTCTAGAACTGAAAAATACATCATATGAAATTTAAAATTAGGGGACAAGTTTAACAGCAGAATGTAAATGACGTGGGGAAAAGTTACACCTTAAAGATAGGTCCATGTAAATTATCCAATCTGAAGAAAAGAGCAAGAAAATGTGTTTTGGATTTTTTTGGTTTTTGAGACCGGGTCTCACTCTGTCACCCAGGTTGGAGTGCAGTGGTGCGATCATGGCTCACTACCTCCGGGGCTCAGGTGATCCTCCCACCTCAGCCCCCTGAGTAGCTGGGACTACAGGTGTGCACCACCATGCCCAGCTAATTTTTGTATTTTTTGTAGAGACGAGGTTTCACCACGTTACCCAGGCTGGTCTTGAACTCCTGGGCTGAAGCGATCTGCCCGCCTCAGCCTCCCAAAGTTCTCGGATTACAGGCGTGAGCCACCATACCCAGCCTCTCAGGTTCTGTTAAAAATGAACAGAAAATACAAAAAATACAAAAATTATCCAGGCGTGGTAGCACATGCCTGTACTCCCACCTACTCAGGAGGCTCAGGTGGGAGGATTGCTTGAGCTTGGGAGGCAGAGGTTGCAGTGAGCCAAGATCGGGCCACTGCACTTCAGCCTAGGTGTCAGAGAGAAACCCTGTCTCAAAAAAAGAAAAAAAGAAAAAACAGAACCTCAGAAACTTGCAGGACAATATTAACAGGACTAAGAAGATCATTCGGGTAGCAAAGGGTCAAAAAACCTGGAACCAGGAGAATGAAACTCATAGCAATGTGGGCAGAATGGCCAGGATGTTAGCCATGAATCTGTGGAAAGAAAAACCTCACATTCAAGAAATATTACGAAAAAGAAAACATCAGATCTTGGTAATTAGTTGACTATAGGCATGCAAAAGAAAGAAATCTCAAAACTGACTCCAGAGTTTCGAAACTACAAAACCATGAATTAAAATGACGGATTATGACTACATTAACAAAGTTAAGCAAACTCAGAAGACAAGTAGAAAACAGGAGAAAGTATTTGCAATTAATTTTCTAGCTAATAATATATTACACATAGATAAAGAGAGTGAGCGGGATGCATCTGTATCTATATGTATACTTACATATAGATACAGGCTAATCTCTCTACTTTATAAAAAACCCTCAAAAATAGAGGCGAGAGGCTGGGCGCAGTGGCTCACGTCTGTAATCCCAGCACTTTGGGAGGCCAAGGTGGGCAGATTGCCTGAGGTCAGGAGTTCGAGACCAGTCGAGCCAACATGGTGAAACCCTGTCTCTACTAAAAATACAAAAACAATTAGCTGGGCATGGTGGCATGCGCCTGTAATCCCAGCTACTTGGGAGGCTGAGGCAGGGGAATTGCTTGAACCAGGGAGGTGGAGGTTGCAGTGAGCCAAGATTGTGCCACTGCACTCCAGCCTGGACAGCAGAGTGAGACTCCATCTCCAAAAAAAAAAAAAAAAAATAGAGGGGGGAAAAGACCAAAAACATATTAGAAAAATTGATAAATGGTACTTAAACATAGGAAAGATGCTGAACATCATTCATAAGAAAAGAAATGAAAATTAAAACTACCTGGATATGAACTACTATTTGACCCAGGAATCCCATTACTGAGTATATACTCAAAGGAGTATAAATCATTCTACCATAAAGACACATGCACACGAATGTTCACTGCAGCACTATTCACAAAGCAAAGACGTGGAAGCAACCTAAATGCCCACCAATGACAGATTGAATAAAGAAAACGTGGTACATATACACCATGGAATACTATGCAGCCATAAAAAAGAACGAGATCATATCTTTTCCAGGAACATGAATGAAGCTGGAGGCCATTAGCTTTAGCAAACTAACACAAGAACAGAAAACCAATACCACTTGTTCTCACTTGTAAGTGGGAGCTGAATGGTAAGAACTTATGAACACAAAAAAAGAAAACAGCAGACACTGGGGTTTACTGGAGGGTGGAGGGTGGGAGGAGGGAGAGGATTAGAAAAAATAACTATTGGGTACTAGGCTTAGTACTGGGGTGATGAAATAATCTGTACAACAAACCCTCGTGATGTGACATGAGCTCACCTATGTAACAAACCTTTACATGTACCCCTGAACACAAATGTTTAAAAAAAAACTACCCTGATATATCATTTCTCCTTTATCATATTGGCAAATTCAAAAGCTTGCCACTGGCCAGGCACGGTGGCTCATGCCTATAATCCCAGCAATTTAGAAGCTGAAGCGGGCGGATCATTTGAGGTCAGGAGTTCAAGACCAGCCTGACCAACATGCTGAAACCCTTTCTTTACTAAAAATACAAAAAAATTAGCCGGGTGTGGTGGCACATGCCTGTAGTCCCAGCTACTTAGGAGGCTGAGGCAGGAGAATCATTTGATCCTGGGAGGCGGAGGTTGTAGTGAGCCGAGATCATGCCATTGCACACCAGCCTGAGGGACAGAGTGAGACTCCATGTCAAAAAAAAAAAAAAAAAAAAAAAAAAGAAGCTTACCACCCAACTCTGCTGACCAGGCAGTGGGGAAAAAGACTCTTCACACATTGTTGGTAGGAGTGCATAATGGGTTAATCCCTAAGGAGGGAAATTTGGCCAGATCTATCAAAATCACATACGTATTTACTCTTTGACCCACCAATCCAACTTTTAGCAGATTATCCTGCATATCAATTGCTAAACAATTATGAAAAAAGGATATACACAGATTATTCATTGCAGCAGCATTGATAATAACAAAAGACAGGAAGCAATCTAAATGTCCATCCGTGACAGACTGATTGAATGAAATATGGTACCTCCACACCAGAAACTAATGAAATTATTTGCTATAGTGTATGGATAAGAATAGGGTGAAAGGGAAAAAGATGGGAGGGAGACTTCTCCAAGCATATTTTTATGTAGTTTTGCTTTTGAACCATGTAAATTATATCAAAAGGGGTAGAAAGAAGCTATTCCTAGAATTGAATGCAAGCAGAAACAAATAATTCTAACAGTACAGCAAATATAAATAA
This sequence comes from Homo sapiens, assembly GCF_000001405.40. Lineage (NCBI taxonomy): Eukaryota > Metazoa > Chordata > Mammalia > Primates > Hominidae > Homo > Homo sapiens. The sequence continues at coordinate 51,064,580 of NC_000020.11, read as the reverse complement.
TGTACTCCACAGGGAAAATAATTGATTCAAGTAACTAAAGCTTACTTCTAGATCTTTGGGGTGGAGAACTAGGTGGAGGACACACCAAGATAATGGTAAGGAATGTGTGTGTGTGTGTATATGCATATAAAAAAACCTATATATATACCTTTATATATATACACACGTATAGTTGCTAAACTTGATTTAGTAGATTTATTGTTGATAGTGGTAACAGTACAGTAATTCTGGAAGTATCTTGTGTGTTGCATGATAGAACAAATGAGTCAATATACTAATTTTACTAAAACGAGGATTTCCACTGTGGGTGAATGAAGATATAAATATGGAATGGGGGAGATGGGCAAGAATTACCCAATCTGAAGAATGAAGGGGAAAAAAATGATTCTTAGAAAATGAACAGAAACTCTGGCTGGGCGCGGTGGCTCACGCCTGTAATCCCAGCACTTTGGGAGGCCGAGGCGGGTGGATCACAAGGTCAGGAGATCGAGACCATCCTGGCTAACACGGTGAAACCCCGTCTCTACTAAAAAATACAAAAAAAAATTAGCCGGGCATGGTGGCGGGCACCTGTAATCCCAGCTACTCAGGAGGCTGAGGCAAGAGAATGGCATGAACCCAGGAGGCGGAGCTTGCAGTGAGCCAAGATCGTGCCACTGCACTCCAGCCTGGGTGACAGAGCGAGATTCCGTCTCAAAAAAAAAAAAAAAGAAAAAAGAAAATGAACAGAAACTCAGTGTTACTCAGAAACAAATAGTGGTCTCACTATGAGGTCATAGTTTAAACAGACATATACCCTGGCTCTCCATCCAGAAGAACTAAAAGTAATGACACTCCAATGTCATGAAAGCTTACCCAGCACCCAGATCTGGGTTTCTAAATACTATGCACCCCTTAAAAGGAGACATAATTGATTCCATTTCTGGGCAACACCTTGTGCCAGAATGTAAGGAAGTGCCCCAAAACTGATGGAGGCATGTCACAAGGTCAAAGAAGCCAGCTCGAAGGGACTCCCACTGGCCAAATCTTGGGGAAGTGGGGAGAGTCCATAAGACCAGTGATACTAAAACTAAGAAATTTTAAAGTGAGGAGGAGGGATGGGGCAGCGTCAGGGGGGTAAATGAAGTGCTTCTTTGCACAGTACCAGCTAATAAGTGTAAAATGAATGACATAACTAGAAAATTGTTACCACCAAGACAATAATTATTCAGGCAAGGATCATCAGTGGATGCTAAAACCACTGGGGAAAGGCAGTTGGGAACAAAATAGAAACGTAGCCTCACTTATTACTTACAAAAGGAAAAAAGTACCTTTGTGGTTGAGAAATCCCACAGATTTCTTTAAAAAGTGCTCAAATGTAGCATCGCCAATAATGGATCATTATTGACATTATATGCCTCCCAACATGATGAAATGGGGAGAAAAAAACTTCTCTGTGTATTACACCTGCCAAAAAACGTTTATCCTAAATCTAATCACAAGAAGTAATCAGACAAATCCAAATTATTGAACATTCCAGAAAAGAAATGGCCAGTTCTTCAAAAATGTCCATGTTGCCAGGTGTGGTGGCTCACGTCTGTAATCCCAGCACTTTGGGAGGCTGAAGTGGGAAGATCACCTGAGCCCAGGAGTTCAAGACCAGCCTGGGTAACATGGTGCAATCATGTCTCTACAAGAAATCCAAAAATCAGCTGAGTGGCAGCATGCGCCTTGTGGTCCCAGCTACTCAGGAGGCTGAGGTAGGAGGATCACTTGAGTCTAAGAGGTAGAGGCTTCAGTGAGCTGTGACCATGCCACTGCACTCCAGCCTGGACGATAGAGCAAGACCTTGTCTCAGAAAACAAACCAGAAGAATGTCAATGTCATGAGGGATGGAAAGAAAAAAGGCAAGGGGAGGGAAGTGTGGGGAACATTCTAGATTAAAGAACTCTAAGAGACATGACGACTAAATTCAATGGTGATCCTTGATTCATACTGGATCAAGGCAGAAAGTGTATTTTCAAAGACTGATAATGAGATAGTTGGGGAAATTTGAATATGGACTTTATATTAGGTAAAATTGCTGTATCAGTATTAACTTGTTGGGTGTGATAATGGTACTGTGGTCATGTAGGAGAATGTCCTTGTTCTTAGGAGATGCAGGATGAAGTTTTTAGAGGTAAAAGTTCATTGGGTCTGCAACCTACTTTCAAAGAGTATATTAGTCTCTTCTCGCACTTCAGTGAAGAAATACCCAAGACTGAGTAATTCATAAAGAAAAGAGGTTTAAATGACTCACAGTTCAGCATGGCGGGGGAGGCCTCAGGAAACTTACAATCGTGGTGGACAACGCCTCCTCACAGGATGGCAGGAGAGAGAATGAGAGCTGAGCGAAGGGGGAAGCCCCTTATAAAACCATCAGATCTCCTGAGAACTCACTCACTATCACGAGAACAGCACGGGGGAAACTGCCCCCATGATTCCATTATCTCCACCTGGTCCCAACCTTGACACATAGGGATTATTACAATTCAAAGTGAGATTTGGGTGGGGGCACAAAGCCAAACCATTTCCAATAGCTTCAGAAAAAAATTTTTTGAATTTTAATGTGGAAAAAATGTCAAATGCCAACAAATTATGAGTATAAAGGAAGGATGTAAGGGCGGTTATTGTACTATGGTTTTACCTTTTATATAGGTTTGAAATGTCTCAAAATAAAAGTTGGGGAAAATGATGAATCGGGCATGAAAACGAAATTTTGCATGTGGATAAAGGGGGCCCTCATTCATCAACAGGCGTGAACTTCGTTAAAATAACAACAGGTACATTCTGAATGGTTCTGTTGTGAAAAACTAGTTACTACTTAGCCACATCAGTGGAAAATACTGTTAATTTATATTCAGGATTGGAAAAGCAGGAAAGAAAACCATTTATAACCAAGTGATGCAGATGAATGAAACTCCAGCTGTCTCTACTCAGACAGAAAGTGAACAATTAGATCTTACTGATGTTTGATTTCTATGAAGCCACTTGGCAGAACTTTTCAAAGCCTGTGGCTGTGATTATCTTCACTCACTCAGGTTCTTGGAAGATGCATGGCACACCTGAAGCTTGCCTTAACTGGCACAGAAATGCCATCTGTGTCTTTAAGGCATGCTGAGAGCAAGACACAGCATAGAAGGTATAGGTTGCTACCGTGTGTACACAGGTATGCTTGTGTGTTCACAAAATATTTCTGGAAGGAACTAAAAGAAACTAACAACTGTTTCTCTCTAGGGAGAAAAACAAAGTGACTAAGATCTGGGACTTACTTTTTATCCTTTTCTTCTATTTGAATTTTTCCACATGAATTATTTTTTAATGTTTTAAATTAATGGTAAGGAATGGATGGGTGGGTGGGTGGGTGGGTGGGTGGATAGATGAATGGCTGGATGGGTGGGTGAGTGGATGGATGGATGGATGAGTGGGTGGGTGGGTGGATGGATGGATGGATGGATGGATGGATGGATGGGTGATGGGTGAGTAGATAGAAAAATGAGTTTAAACACAGCCTCCATTCCAGACACTGACTCCACTGTGCCCCACTCCTCCATGCCCCAATTATAAGGATCAGCTGCTTTCAAGCTACTTCCTCTCATTTGAGGATTGCTGGCTGTGTGCCCTGATTGGGTCTTTAACTCCTAAGACACAGCTTCTCTCAGGCCTGCATCTCCTCTGATTCCAGGGTCCCTCCTCCCATCCCAGCCCTGAGACACTCTTCTATCTCATTGCCATCGCATCCCGAGCCAAAGAGACTGCATCCGTCAAACTCTAACATCCACTTTATCTGCAAGGACAGAACCGAATTATAACAAATCTCCTGAATTGAAAATGCTCAACCTCTAGCACAGAGCCGCATTCTGTTCACACCCCTGGGAAGTCTTCTGATGGGCTTCCAAGACCCCACACTTCCCTGGGGACTGCCTGGTGATATCCTTTTCTCTGTCCCCATGGCAATGTGCTTTTTACAGTGATTTCTCGCACGACTGCTAGGATCTCATCTCTTTGGCCTCTGCGCAGGCAGTGTTTCTGGCTGCTTTCATTTCCGGCAAAGGACAGAAAGGACTATGCAAAGGGCTGAGACATCTTCTCATTTCCGCTGCCTGATGCTGCCAGGGCTGTAGAAATGAAGAAAATTCAACTCTGGGTTAATGATACCACTTGAGGCCTGAGGTAAGTGAGCAATATGCCAAGCCACTGCCCCCATCACAGGCCAGGAACCCATAAAAGTTTGCCTAGAAACAGCAAACACCATGATGTCTCAGTCTTCCAGGAATAAAGAAGTGTAACAGTTCTGTTCATGCCCCATCCAGATCCTGTTCACCAGGCAGATGCCCATCCCTAGGTCCTGTGGGTGTGGAAGCATTGGCTTCTAAAGGCTCTTCACTGCCCTCTTCTCCAATAAATTGCCTTCTTCCAAAAGGGAGGCCCCATTTCCACGCCAGGAAGCAGCCCATGAGCAATGACCTAGGGGTCAAACCACTTCTGTGCAATTTACACTGCAGACCCCACCCACCACCCACTCATTCCATGGGCTAAGTCTGAAGCTCAACACCAGCTGAAACCACAGCCTTATTCTGCTCCTTCCCCTGCTCCATCCTGCTTCTCTCATTCCATTGATCCTGAGAGCACACCCTCAACACCTCCCAAGTGTTGGGGTCCCTGTTGCAGGGGACTTTGAGGAGCTCCTCAAAGAGACAGTTATCCTCCCACCATCAGTACCATTGCTGTTTACTGAGCTCCCACTATGTAGCTGCCACTTTGCCAAAGCTCTTGAGAACCGTCAGATATAACCCCCACAACAATCATATGAGATGGGGATGATTATTAGTCCCATTTTACAGATGATGAAATAAAGGCTAAGACAGGTGAATCCACTTGCCCAACATCATAGAGCCTATAGGTGTGGAATCAACACAGCTGCTTGAGCTGGAATGGGGCTATACACCCTGAGAGAACAGGACAGAACACCCTGGAGCCTCATACAGTGGCCAGATTCCCACTACAGAACTCTCCATCATATCTCACCTGTTAGCCTCTGGTCAGAATTATCGCTTTAAGGACAAACAAAGTGAAAATCTCACATTCAGAAACACACACAGACACACACGCACACCCACATCAAGATGGATCTTTCATTTCAAACCACCCAAGAGAAATACAAACCAGTCTAGTTTCCTTAATCCCCAACCATAGGTTCCTGGACAATATCACACATACTTGAATGACCTTATTACTATCAATTATTGTCCCTCATAGAAAACAAACAAGACAAAAACATTCTGATTTTGGGGAAGGCCCAAGAGCTGGTGTTCTTAGGAGGAAGTCCAGGCTTTGGGGTGAGCAGAGTGAGATTAGTGGGCATGATCTTCAGGGATTACAGGGTTTACTCTATCTCATCCTACCCAGCTACTCTCCCCCACAGTCTCTACTTGCATCAGTATTTTGCTAAGGTTTTTGGAGTGCTTTGTGTATGCCAGGTCCTATGTCAAGTGCTTTATCTGAGACATCTCTTCTAATCCAGGCTGGGCGTGGTGGCTCACAACCTGTAATCCTAGCATTTTGGGAGGCCAAGGCAAGAGGATAGCTTGAGCCCAGCAGTTCCAGACCAGCCTGGGCAACATAGTAAAACCCCATCTCTACAAAAAGTACAAAAATTAGCCAGGTGTGGTGGCTTTTACCTGTGGTCCCAGCTACTTGGGAGGCTGAGGTGGGAGGATCTCTTGAGCCCAGAAGGTCGAGGCTGCAGTGAGCTGTGATTGAGTCACTGTACTGCAGCCTGGGCAACAGAGCAAGACCTTCTCTCAGGAAAAAAAAAAACTCTTTTAATCTTTACAACCACCTGCTTGATGCACACTACCATTTGACAGGTCAGGAAACTGAGGCTGAGAAAAGTCCAGTAACTTACCCAGGTTCACACCGCTAGAAAATGCCAGAACCATTGCTGGCATCTAGGCCTGAGTCCAAAGTCCCATCTCTTGCACTCTAGTGATCACGCCAGGGCCTTGCAGAGCCCCTCAGCAACTGACTTTAGATCTTATCTAACACAATGGCCACAGGAAGCCAAAGAGATGGAGAGGACCTAGAATGCAGGTCCATGCAGAAACATGAAACGAAACCAAAAATCTTAGCCTGAGAAGTGTGTCCTCTGCATCCCCGTTGCAGAAATACAGAGAAGAAATCAACAGAGCTAGGACTCACAAACCAGCCAGCTATTTCCATATGAAGAGAAGAGACTGATGGGACCAAGCCTTTTTTAATTTTTTTTTTCTTTTTCTGGAAGGCCATTGGTGGGTGTTTCCACCCTTGCTGGTGATAAAGTGTTCCTTTAATTATCAGTGTCGGGCTGAGTCCAGAAAGCTATTTTCCTCTGCTATTGTCACAAGGAAATGAAAGGCGTGAGACTCCCAGGCGGCTCTCATTTGGGGGCCGCGGGTGGCCGCAGAGAGGCTGCCTGTGGGGGAGAGGGGGGTATGTGTCGTGACTGAGCCACTGCAGTGACTATCCAAGCTCAGATATTCCCCTCGGGTCTCTGTTACTATCACCAGAAAACAGTCGGCACCCTGACACAGCCCCCTCCTCTCCTTGCCCGCTCCCTGAAGAGGCATTCCTCTTCAAAACATCCTGGTGGAAGAAAAGCAAGGGGGTATATTTTTTTCTGCCTCTCACCTTCAGTTCAAGTCCTCAGAACACTCCAAGGTCTTAGCCTCATGATTCCGATGTCCCTGCCCCGAGGCTGGCCCTCACGGCTGCAGCCTAGATGTTCGGTGCAGGAAGACATGGGCTTTTCTCTTATCCCACATCATGCCTGTAAACCTTCACTGACTTCCCACTGCTGTCTCAAAAGGAGCTACACATATGTGTTAAGCATTTTTTTTTTCTTTGAGACAGGGTCTCGCTCTGTCGCCCAGGCTGGAGTGCAGTGGTGCAATCTTGGCTCACTGCAACCTCCACCTCCTGGGTTCAAGCAATTCTCATGCCTCAGCCTCTGGGGTAGCTGGGATTATAGGCATGTGACACTATACCTGGCTGATTTTTGTAATTTCAGTAGAGATGGGTTTTCATCACGTTGGCCAGGCTGGTCTCAAACTCCTGACGTCAGGTGATTCACTCACCTCAGTCTCCCAGTGTGCCAGGATTACAGGCATGAGCCACCACACCCAGCCTGCATCAAGCCTTTAAGGCCACTGTGATCAAGACCCTAGAGGCACAAAGGGTGGTGCTAAAGAGACTTGAGCTGGGAATCAGCACACCTGGCTTGAAATCTTAAATATGTAACCTCAGACAAGTCTCTCCACCTCTCTGAGCCTCTCTGTTTCTGTATTAGTTCTCGACTACTGCATTTTAAAATCACCTCAAAAGTTAAAGGCTTAAAACAACACACAGTTACTATCTTACCATGTCTGTGGGTCAGGAATCCAGGCATGGCTTCCCTGAGTCCTTGGCCCAGGTTCTGTCACTAGGCTGCAATCAAGCTGTCAGCCTGGGACATGGTCTTATCTGAAGGCTCAACTGGGAAAGGGATCCACGTCAAAGCTCACTCCTGTGGTTTTTGGCAGGATTCGGGACCCAGGATTTGGGTCCCTTCGGGTACCTGTCGGACTAAGGGCCTCGCTTTCTTGCTGATGATTGGCAGGACATGCCCTCAGTTCCTTGCCACATGGGTCTCTCCTGCTTGCTTTGTTGGAGCAGCCACAGCAGAAAAGCCAGAGAGACTGTGCCAGAGGAGCGTCACTTACATGATCAGGTTATAAAGGAAATCAGTCTTTATGACTTTATCATAGAAGTGACATCTCATAACTTCTGCCATCTTCAATTTGTTAGGAGCAAGTCACCAGGCCCAGCCCACACTCAAGCAAGGGGAATTATATAAGGCACACACAAGGAGAGGGGGTCATTCAGGGCCATGTCAGAAGAAGCTGCCAGAAGCTGCCCACCCATTTCCTTCTCCATCAAACACAGACAATACAAAGATTGTTGCAGAATTGCATGAGGTGGCGTACGTACACTGCTTAACACAGTGCCCGTATGTTATAAATATTCAATAAATGGTTCTCTGACTTCTCTAGAGCAGTGTTTTTCTCAACCTTCTTTCATGATCACCCCCACCCTAAAATGCCTTTTAGATGGGTTTTGTCAATTGACCCTCTCTCCCTCATGAAATCTTTTTTTTAATTTTTTATTTTAATTTTTGTGGGTCCATAGTAGGCATATATATTTAGGGGGTACATGAGATGTTTTGATACAGGCATGCAATGCATTAGAAACACATCATGGAGAATGGACTATCCAGCCCCTCAAGTATTTACCCTTTGTGTTACAACCAATCCAATTATAATCTTTGAGTTATTTTTTGTATACAATTACTTTATTACTGACTATTATTGACTGCTGTGTTAGCAAATACAAGGTCTTATTTTTTCTATTTTCTAACTTTCTAACTATGTATGCAGAACTGCGTATGTGTGCACACACAAGCACACCACATGCCACAAACATGCACACACGCACAACCCACATAGCCACACTGTCTTCCCCTGATGCTGCGTGTTTTCTTCCATGTCTGGGCTCCCGCTGGCTGGCTTCTTGCCACCCAGAACCACTTATTATCCTTACTCATCTGATGAACTCCTGGTCATGCATAAAAACTCAGTTGAGGCCGGGCACAGTGCTCACGCCTGTAATCCCAGCACTTTGGGAGGCCGAGGCGGGCGGATCACGAGGTCAGGAGATCGAGACCATCCTGGCTAACACGGTGAAACCCCATCTCTAGTAAAAATACAAAAAATATATATATATTAGCCAGGTGTGGTGGCGGACGCCTGTAGTCCCAGCTGGTCAGGAGGCTAAGGCAGGAGAATAGCATGAACCCGGGAGGCGGAGCTTGCAGTGAGCAGCGATCACGCCACTGCACTCCAGCCTGGGCAACAGAGCTAAACTCTGACTCAAAAAAAAAAAAGAACTACTCAGTTGAAGAATCAGGGTAGCAGGTAGCTAACTCAGTTGAAGAATCAGGGTAGCAGGTAGCTCTAGGATGTCCCTCAATGGTCCTTGCCCTGCTAGCGTTCACAGCTTTGTGCAAGTCCCACCCCTTGAGTATGAGCTGAACCTACCAACTCACTTCTAACAAATAGAATATAGTGAAAGTGATGGAATGTCTGTTCGAAGTAAGGTTACCTAACTACGCTGGGTCCATGTTGCTCACCCCATCTTGCTCTCTCTATCTCACTTGGTTTGTTGGAAGCTGGTGCCCACAAGAAACTGAATCCTGACAATAACCACGAGAAAGTTTGGAAGTGGATCCTCCTCTGCCAGCCAGGCTTTCAGATGAGACCTCAGCCTTCACTGCAGACTTTTGAGGGGCGAGGTAGGGTACTCAAGGAAGCCTGGAATCTTGACCCACAGAAACTGTGAAATGACAAATATGTGTTGTTTTAAGTCGCTAAGTTTTGAGTAATTCATTACACAGCAACAGATAATACAATCAGCTTCTTTAGGAAGACCCTCCTGATAAAACCATTTAGGTACAGACACACAGAGGCAAGCACACATTCATCTAAACACACACGCTCACATACATGCACTCACATGTATACACACACACAAGCATCAAGCACCCTCACTCTGTGATGACTTGACCTTGGAAAGAATCACACTTTCTCATAGCTGCATTTCATCTCCCAGTCTCCCCACTGTGATTCCTTGAGGTTGGGGACCGTGTCATTGTCCACATCGTTGGATACGTGATCCTTACAGGTATCAAAACATTTTCAATACATGAACATTCATCAAGCTCTCCTTCAGAAATGAGGATTGAGGACTCGTTCTGCCTCTTGGTTTGGCTGTGTCTCCTTGCCTCTTTTTCACAAGCAGAGAGATTGCCTTTACAACACCCCTTTTCCATCACTGCTTCTGATGACAGGAAATTATTTACCTTTTGTTCCTGGAAAACAGCCTGCAGGTTTCCTCACAGAGAGTAATGAGACCAAGAAGTCAAGAGCATTTGCTGGGCACCAGCTGCGTGCCTAGAACACCAGGAAGGGAAAGAGCGCAGCTCTTGAAAAGGGTATCGACCTCACTGGGAGTTACAGGCACTGCCAGGCGGTTTATGATGGTGTGACAAAGCGAACGGTTCAGACGGCCAGCAAGGCAAACGCAGGACACTCGGAGCCTGACTGCGTGAGCTTGGAACCAGCACTGCCACTTGACAGCAAGGTAACCTGGGGAAAGTTACTCAACCTCTCTGTGTCTGTTTCTTCTGCTGTAAAATATGAAAAACCGTAGCATGTGCCTCTCAGGGCTTCTGTGAGGATTCAAAAAGGAGCACATGTGCATCTCTCAAATAGGACTCAATAAAGAGTAACTATTATTTATTATTATTGTCATTATTAAGTCCAGAAAAGAAAGAGAAAAGAATGGGTGGTAGTAAGCAGGGCAGGCATCCTGGAAGAGGTGGAACTGAGGCAAGAATAACTGGTTGGGTGGCATCGATTAAGCAGACACTATCGAGGGTGATGCCTCTGGTGGCAGAAACTGCACAAACTGTTTGAATGGAAGAATGAGCATCAGGTTGCCGATACTACAACTCAAGGAGGGAACAGTGGAGCTTGAGTGTTATTCTCGCAAGACAGCTCAGGACAGACAAAGAAAGCTGGAGCCCAGCTCAGCTGTGGGGTTCGTGTTCCTGCCTCTCGATGGGTAGGAAGTAGGAATGTGAAGGGAAGTGGTTCCCCCCTGCTCTGGGGAGAGACACTGGGGCGCACCAAAAGCAATGGAAGACTGAGATCGTGGGAGATGGTGGACTTGGCACCGAAGACTAAACCCCTTGTAAAGTGAAATTAAACATGGTAATCCAGACTATTGTTGACCCAATACCATTGATGTGGTCAGTGCTTACCTTAGAGAAATACTCACCTGTGTGCACATGGAGACAAGTCCAGAGACGGTCACTGCAGCATTGGTTGTAAGTGAAGCCAAGTGAAATGAAATACTGTACAGTATCAGACAGCAATATAAAATGAATGAGGTGAGGAAAACAATAGGGCATCTCCCCAGCAGACTAAACATGGAGTTACTATATGTTCCAGCAACCCTACTTTTGCGTCTATACCCAAAATATTCTGAAGCAGGGTCTCAGATATTTGTACACATGTTCACAGCAGTATTATTCGCAATAGTTAAAAAGTGGTAGCAACCTGCCAATGAATGAATGGATAAGCAAAATGTGGAAAATACTTAGAATGCAATATTATTCAGCCTCGAAAAGGAAGGGAATTCCAACACATGCTATGACATGGTTGAACCCTGAGGACATTATGCTAAGTGAAATAAGCCAGTCACAAAAAGACAAATATGGTACGATTCCACTTCTACGAGGTTTCTAGAGTAGTCAACATCAGAGACAGAAAGTAGAAGCACGGTTGCCAGGGCCTGAGGGGAGGGAAGATAGAAAGTTGTTGATTAATGGGTACGAAGTTTCAGTTTAGGGAGATGAAAAAGCTCTGGATATGGATGGTGAGATGGTTGCATAACAGTGTGAATGTTCTTAATGCCAGTGAACTGCGCACTTAAAAATGATCAAAATGGGCCAGGCACGGTGGCCCACACCTGTAATCCCAGCACTTTGGGAGGCCTAGTGGGGCGGATCACCTGAGGTCAGAAGTTTGAGACCAGCCTGGGCAACATGGTGAAACCTCGTCTCTACTAAATATGCAAAAGTTAGCTGGGCGTGGTGGCTGGTGCCTGTAGCCCCAGCTACTCGGGAGGCTGAGACAGGAGAATTGCTTGAACCTGTGTGGAAAAAGTTGCAGTGAGCCAAGATTGCGCCATTGCACTCCAGCCTGGGTGACAGAGCAAGTCTGAAAAAAAACAAAGATCAAAATGGTAAATGTTATTATGTTATGTATAGTTCACCACCACCACCACAACAAAAAGAATATATGGGTCTGCATGTATTAACATTGGTTTTTTAAAAAGAGAGCTGGGCACAGCAGCTCACACCTGTAATCCCAGTGCTTTGGGAGGCCAAGGCAGGAGAATCCCTTTCCTCATCTGTAAAAAGGGAATAATAACACAGCTATCTCACAAGCTGCTGGGAATGTTAAATGAGTTCAAACCCATAAAGGCTTTAAAACTGTGCCAGGCACATAATCCCTTAGTAAATATTAGCTATTATTGTTATTATTAGCCTGAGTCCTAAATAATTGGAAGAATTTTAAAAATGTTTCAGGAGATGAGGCTTGCTTGGAACAGAGGCAGGCAATGTAGGTCCCCAAATGCCGGGCTTGCAAAGGGAGTCCAAGTGAATTGTGACTGTGGGGCTTATGCCTCTGGGGTAGCAGGGAGACCCTTTTCTAAACAGTGTCATCCTGGATTCAGATCCCTAACTCATTTCACCTCTCTTCCCAGGACAACTGACAATGAGAACGTCTATTTCTTCAAATGTTACTCCTACCCACCTCGGCTTCAACTGACAGTCACAAAATAATCCAAAGTTGATACGTTTCCCAAAGTCTGAGTAATTCAGGTTTATGTTTATTCAAGGGCAAGTTATTATACATATATTCTTGAGTTCCTTCTCTCCAACCTAATTCATCATCCTCACACACTGGCACTTCATTCACCCCCAAGACCCTCTAATGGGGCTTAATTGTGTTTACCTTGCCTTTCCCCAGCTTCTTATCTGCAAAGCTCCTGGCTTCCCTCAATGTATCAACAAGCCTGATGAATCCAGCTGGACTAAGGCACTCTCTGAAAAAGAGGCCAAGGTGGGGCTAAATCAACACAAATAGGAAACAGGATGGAACAATATGGCTTCACATCCTGTCTCAGTCCCTAGCCAGCACGACGGCTGTTCATTCAATGATGGATTTTTTGAGTAGGTATCAGGCCAGGTGTCAACAGCATCAAACTGGAGACCAGGTGCCCATTCAGAGAGGTCTCACACAAAACTCCAGATCTCAGGCTTCTCTTGGAGAAACATGGGCTGCGGCAATGCAGAATTCTCTCCTGGCAACAACTGGCTGAGCCTAGTGGCAGCTTCTTCCCTCCCCTTTTGTTCAGTGGAAGCATGACCTCTCTAGCTACCCATAGCTCCCTACTGTATCTTAGCCAGACCCCTTTCCTGCTCTTTTTCCCTATCATCATTCCAACTAATCACCCCTGTAATCACAAGATATGCCGAAGTAAATCACAAGTGCTATCTATACCCGGGAAGCTTGGAGACTAGCTGGAGAAACTCTCAGAGATCCACTAATGATAATTGCACAGGGTAGCAGGTGAAAAGATTCATCAAAAACAGGACAAGAATGAGGAGTCCAGGAGTCTTCCTGTAGGACATGACTATTAAGCTCAACCTTGAAGGACCTGTAAGATTGACAGAGGAGTATCCCAGGGGAAGAAATGACAAGGACAAAGGCAAAAAATAAGAAAGTGGGGCTGTGTTCAGAGAACAGTGTACATGTTCAATCAGCAGCCAGGTGCAAAAGGTATAAGGACAGAAGGTCAGAAACATATTGTGGATAACCTCAAATACAAAACTGAGCTCAGACTTTTTTTCAAAAGGAAATACTAGCGACGGAGTCTGTGTTGCAATTTAAGGAGAAGGATCTGACAACATCGTGCAGAATGCATTTGGTTCAGGGTGGGAGGCACCGTCTGGGAAGCAATTGCAATAATCCAGGCAGCACATTCAGGGGAAGCTATAGTAACAGAGAGAAACAACCCCCAATTCCCAGGCAAATCTTCTAAACCAGGCCACCGTGCCAAAGTCAGCCAACAATGAACAGGGAGGCCCTCCTCACGCTCCAAAGGAGACGGTGCCTCCAGCACTGATTCCATGGGGGAAGGAGCCTTCTAACTTCAAAGTCTTCTGAAATCCAATTATTTAGCTCCTCCAGGCATTGGAGAAACAGCTGGCCCACTGCTGGATGAAGATGTCTGCACCAGCCCTGACCCCCACAGGTCCAACAAGAGCTCTTCCATCAAAACTTCCCTGGGAAGACTCTTTCCTTTATGGTAACCAACACGTTTCTAGTCTGTAACCATAAAGCCAAGTCATATTTTCTTCAATATTTGAAGTGCAGTGGCCCTAAGCCATCAGCTGCCCATATTAGGAGGGAGTTCAGTAATTTCCCAGGGGACCCTTTCCATATTCTTTTCTTTTCCCTTGTGATAAATACATATAACATAACATTTACCATCTGACCCATTTGTAAGTGTACAGTTCACTACTGCTAAGCATAGTCACGTTGTCACCACCATCTATGTCTAAAATCCTTTTCATCTTGCAAAACTGGAACTCTATAGCCATTAAACAACTCCCCATACCTCCCTCCACCCAACCCCTGGCAACCACCTTTCTACTTTCTGTATCTATGAATTTTGACTACTCTGGGTGCTTATATAAGTAGAATCATACAATATTTGTTGTCTTTTGCTTATTTCACTTAGCGTAATGTCCTCAAGCTTCATCCACATTGTGGCGTGTGTCAGGATTTCTTTCTTTCTTAAGGCTGAATAATATTCCATTGTATGTATATGTCACATTTTGTTTATTCTTTCATCGATCAATGGACATTTGAGTTGCTTCCACCCTTTGACTATTGAGAATAATGCTGCTATGAACATTAGTGTATTAACATCTGTTCAAATTCCTGATTTTATTTCTTTTGGGTGTATATCCAGAAGTGGGAATGTTGGGTCATATAATTCTATGTGTAATTTTTTGAGGAACCACCAAGGTAGTTCCACCATTTTAAATTTCCACCAACATTGCACAAGGGTTCCAATTTCTCCACATCCTCACCAACACTTTTTATTATTATTTTTTTAATAGTAGCCATCCTAATGGATAGTGGTGGTATCTCCTTGTGGTTTTGACTTTCATTTCCCCTAGGATTTGTGACATAGAGCATCTTTTTATGTGCTTGTTGGCCATTTGTGTATCTTCTTTGCAGAAATGTCTATTCAAGTCCTTTGTCCATTATTTAAACCAGGTTGGTTGTTCATTTGTTGTTGAATGGTAGAAGTTGTTTATATAGTCTGGCTACTAACCCCTTATCAGATGATTTGCAAATGCTGTCTTCCATTCTATAGTTGCCTGACCCCTCACATTCTTGAGGACTACCACCTCCAAATTGTTTATATTGACTCGTAAATCTTACCTACCATCAAACTACCCTTTTCTAAACAGCATCATCCTGGATTCAGCCCCCTAACTCATTTCACCTCTCTTCCCAGGACAACTGTCAGTGAGAATGTCTATTTCTTCAGAACCTACTCCTACCCATCACAGCTTCAACTGACAGTCACAAAATAATCAAACTTGATATGCTTCCCAAAGTCTGAGTAATTCAGGTTTACATTTATTCAAGGGCAAGTTATTATACATCTGTTCTTGAAATTGTAACTGTGTGTTGGATATGAAGCAAGGAGGGTGAACCTTTTGTCAGTGATTTAAAAGTGTTGAAATCTTCAGTGATTTTTGCAAGAAAGTGACCATTAAGAGTTTTCCAGAATAAGAAAAAGAAAACAGTTTATGGCTGGATGTGGTGGCTCACGCCTGTAATCCCAACACTTTGGGAGGCAGAGGCAGGCAGAACACCTGAGTCAGGAGTTCAAGACCAGCCTGACCAACATGGCAAAACCTCACCTCTACTAAAAAACAAAAATTAGCCAGGTGTGGTGACACACACCTGTAGTCCCAGCTACTCAGGAGGCTGAGGCACGAGAATCACTTGAGCCCAGGAGGTGGAGGTTGCAGTGAGCAGAGATTACGCCACTGCACTCCAGAAACAGTTTATAACTTTGGACATAAACAGGCTGTTTCAGTCACATTTATTTTTCAGTAAGTCCACAACCTACAAAAGTTAAGTAAATATGAATGCCAATTGCAGAGTAAATCACTGTTGAAAGGCATTATTGGATTCCTATGCTCACAGTGAAATATCTTGGGGATTATGATAGGGAAATGTTTCATAAACTTGAGGGGAAAAATATTGTTAACCAGAAACCCACACTATATTTCATAGTAATTTTCCTCTAAATATGATGAAATGTCGAGGAATAATTGGGTATAATTTACACATTATTTATGTCAAACTTCTCTCTCTTTAGACCCATTGCAGCATTTATGAATCTTAGCAGGTTTTCCAACTTTAAATTTTTTTACTAAGTATTATTATTCTCTTTAGAGTTTCTGTAAGTGCAGTATAGATACAACCTGTGATGTGCAAGATGATTTTAGATTGTACACAATGAATATTTTGTTTTAATCTAATGACATTCAAGTCTTTGATTGCATTTATGTTTTGGCTATTTTTATTTATGCCAAGTGATACTGCTTTTCTGTTTACCATAATGATACCAACTTTCTTTTTAAAGTAAATCTATTAACCAAAAAAGTAAGTTGGTTTAAAGAAAAACTAAGTCAAGAATAGTACAGGTGGGCCGGGCGCAGTGGCTCACGCCTGTAATCCTAGCACTTTGGGAGGTCGAGGCAGGTGGATCACCTGAGGTCAGGAGTTCAAGACCACCCTGGCCAACATGGTAAAACCCCATCTCTACTAAAAATACAAAGATTAGCCAGGCCTGGTGGCCCACGCCTACAGTCCCAGCTATTTGGGAGGCTTAGTCAGGAGAATCACTTGATCCCAGGAGGTGGAGGTTGCAGTGAGCCGAGATTGTGCCATTGCACTCCAGCCTGGGCGACAAGAGCAAAACTACATCTCAGAACAACAACAACAACAACAACAACAACAAGAATACTACAGGTATTTGTAGGACAAAAGTAGCACCATCTTGGAAGCTAATCCACCATGTTGGCTTCTGATGAACTCCAGTTCTGAGAAGTCCTCTAAGATTTCCAGTTGATTTATTGTTCCTTGTATAAGAGCAGGTACTTACCATAAATCCTGCCCTTAAGTCAGACAACCTCGATGTTATCTTACTTCAACTATCCCACACATTCCTTCTGAACCACCCCTCCTCTGTGGCATAAGAAGCCCTGGGTCTGGGGAGTAATGGTGTGGGGACCCACCATCTTGTTTCGCTGCTGCCCAGCACACCAGCATGGCTTCTGGTCCTTATTAAATGTTTCTTTCTAAGTAACTGGATTTGTCACCCTCTTTCTTCGGCCTCCCAGCTTCTTCAGACTTTGAGATAGGTTTGCATAGGCCTGCTCACTGTAAAACAGTACTGTACAATGGCTTGGACTTGGTAAATAACTACCATAAATATAAAGACAGATGTAGACAACTAAAATTTGCAAAATACTTCTCGTAAATAGAAGAAAAATTTTTTGGGACCTAATAGACAACTTCCTGTTAAAATTAGAGGGTATTGTTTCCCTCTAATTTTATTCTTTTAAAATAATTCCCTCTCATTTCCAGTATCTTAGTATGGCAGGCTCTAATACATATTTGTTGAATAATTGAGTGAATAATCAATCAGTAGAAGAAACTTACCATAAGACCCACATTATTATTCCTAATTAATTCAGTTCATAGGGACAGTGCAAAAGCATCTACGATACATCATTGAATATTTCTTATATGCCAGGCTCTTGGTCAAATGTTCTTCATATATCATATCATTAAATGTCCACAACTTTATGCAAGCGTAAGACAAAGAGAGATTAAGTCACCTGCCTAGGTGTATTAAGTAATGGTCTAAAGACATGTGTGGCTTATTTATTTAATGAGAGGCCTGGAAGTGATGGTTACATTCAGTGGCTCATCGAGGTCAGGCATGTCTACAGCTGCAATTCTTCTGATTTACCTCTTGGTCTCAAGGTGGCTGCCACAACCCCACACACCACATCCTCACATAAGTGCCTCCGGTAAGAAGGCTATAGGACTTGACACCAGCCAGCTCTCCTCTCCAGAACACCTCAGCCAGGGAACAGTCTCTTTCCTAGAAGGCCCTGAAACATTTCCCCTGACATCTCACTCGCTGCATCACGTGGCAACTCCTAGCTGCAAAGGAAGCTGGCACAGCCAGTGTCTAGCACAAGGGTGTGGCATGATTGGCTTAGACCAGGTACCTTTCATCTCTGAGGCTGGTGAAAGACCAGCTCCTTTGAAGGGTGCCTCATCCTTCATCACAAGAATGGAAAGAGGACATTACATACAGGAAAACGTGAAGAGAGAGGTTCCCAGACTATAAAGCGTCCAGGAGTCAAAAGGCTAGGAAAATAGAGGCTTGGGAATTGTTAAGGGCAGGGCTTCCCAGCCTTGGCACTCTTGACATTTGGAGCAGGATAATTCTTTGTTTTATTGGGGGCTGTCCTATGCATTACAGGATGTTGAGCAGCATCTCTGACCTCCACCCACTAGGTGTCAGGAGCACCTCTAGTTGTGACAACCAAAAATATCTCCGGAAAAATGTCCTGGGGGACAAAATCGCCCCCAGTTGAGGACAACTGGCCTTGGGTGATGCTGTGGGATGCCCAGCCTCAGAGAATATCCTGTACCCTGAACATGGAACAGAAGCCAGGGCTTTCCTAGTGCTTTGGTATTGCTGGGACCCTGGCACACCCCTGGCAGTTGTGGAGGAAGATAGAGAGCCTTGTTAATGACTGAGGTTGAACTGGCCACCATTGTGAAATGGAAGAAAGTAAAGAAGTGTGCTCCTTCTTTTTCCTGGAGTGCCCAACTGATATGGTTTAGCTGTGTCCCCACCCAAATCTCACCTTGAATTGTAATAATCCCCATGTGTCAAGGGCGGGGCCAGGTGGAGATCATTGAATAATGGGGGTTGTTTGCCCCATACTGTTCTCGTGGTCGTAAATAAGTCTCACGAGATCTGATGGTTTTATAAATGGGAGTTCCCCTGCACAAGCTGTCTTGCCCACTGCCATGTGAGAAGTCCCTTTGCTCTTCCTTCTGCCACAATTTTGAGGCCTCCCTAGCCACGTGGAACTGTGAGTTCATTAAACCTCTTTCCTTTATAAATTACCCAGTCTCGGGTACGTCTTTATTAGCAGCATGAGAACATACTAACACGCTAACTTATACAGACGAAGATTTATACCTGCTACAGAGACCCCTGAGAAGTCAATGTGAGATGAACATTCACTAAGCCAATTGCAGGGACACCGCAATATACCACTTGATGGCTGGATGTTTCCCAGCCAGGCTGTTTACAGTCTTTGACAACCACAGATGTCCCATGCACAAGGCTGGTCACATCAGGGCATGGTTCCCCTGCCTGCCTGTCAGATTGGCCCAAGCAGCTCTGCTCACTTGGATTACAAGGACCAGTGTCCAGGACCCAAATTATGAATCTGGGTTCAAGCAGTATGGCTGGACACAGAACTGTGTGAGGACAAGTTTGGGCTGGGCCCATCCCATTGCAGCATGACATTTATAATAATGTAAGTAATTAATGTTGCATGTGGGTATTGGATGGGGGGAGTGGGTTGAGTTCTTCCTTTTTGTCAATGATTTCAGAAGCATTAAAATCTTGAGCTGAATTTTGCAGGAAACTACAGCAGTAAGAGTTTTCCAGAACAAGAAGGAGGCCAGGCGCAGTGGCTCATACCTGTATGCCCAGCACTCTGGGAGGCTGAGGTGAGAGGCTCACTTGAGCCTAGGAGTTCAAGACCAGCCTGGGCAACTTGGCAAAACCCTGTCTCTACAAAAATTAGCCAGGCATGGTGATGCACACCCATAGTCCCAGCTACTGGGGAGGCTGGGGCGGGAGAATTACTTGACCCCAGGAGTTTGAGGCTACAGTGAACTGTGATCGTGCCACTGCACTTCAGCCTGGGTGACAGAGCAAGACCCTGTCTAAAACAGGAGGGAAAAAAAAAAGAAGAAAGAGGAGAAAACAGTTTATAACTTTGGATACAAACAGGTTAGTTCAGGAGCATTTATTTTCAGGAAATGCACAACATGCAAAAGTTAAGTACAATCATATGTCGCTTAACAAAGGGGATACATTTTGAGAAATGCGTCATTAGGCAATTTTATCGTTGTGTGAACATCATAGTGTACTTTCACAAACCTGGATGGCATAGCGTACTACACACCTAGGCTATATGGTATAGCTCAATGCTCCTAGGCTACAAACCTGTACAGCATGTTACTGTACTGAATACCATAGGCAATTGTAGCACAATGGTAAGTATTTGTGTCTATAAATACAAATTACAGTAAAAATATGATATAAAAGATTTTTAAAATTGTTAATCTGGGCTGGGCACAGTGGCTCATGCCTGTAATCTAATCCCAGCACTTAGGGAGGCCAAGGCAGGTGGATCACGAGGTCAGGAGTTCGAGACCAGCTGGCCAACATGATGAAACCCAGTCTTTACTAAAAATACAAAAATTAGCTGGGTGTGATGGCAGGCGCCTGTAGTCCCAGCTGCTCAGGAGGCTGAGGCAGGAGAATTGATTGAACCTGGGAGGCAGAGGTTGCAATGAGCTGAGATGGTGCCGCTGCACTCCAGCCTGCATGATGGAGCGAGACTCCATCTCAAAAAAAAAAAGTTGATCTGTGTGGGACACTTAACCATGAATGGAGTTTGCAGAACTGGAAGTTGCTCTGGATGAGTCAATGAGTGAGTGGTGAGTGAATGTGAAGGCCTAGGACATGACTGTACTCTGCTGTAGACTTCATAAATGCTGCACATTTAGGCTACTTTAAATTTATATGAAGTTTTTGTGCTGTGACATTAGAACAGCTACGATGTCACTGGGTGATAGGAATTTTTCAGCTCTATTATAATCTTACGGGACCACCATTGTATATGTGGTCCATCACTGACAGAAACATCCCTAGGCAGCACATGACTATAAATATAAATGCCAAAAGTACAGTATATGATGGCTGAAATGCATTATTATTATATATGACATATAATTAATGTCATTTTTTTTTTTTTGAGATGGAGTTTCACTCTTGTTGCCCAGGCTGGAGTGCAATGATGCAATCTTGGCTCACTGCAACCTCCACCTCCTGGGTTCAAGTGATTCTCCTGCCTCAGCCTCCCAAGTAGCTGGGATTACAGGCGTATGCCACCACCACACCTGGCTAATTTTGTATTTTTAGTAGACATTGGGTTTCACCATGTTGGTCAGCTGGTCTTGAACTCCTGACCTCAGGTGATCTGCCCACCTCGACCTCTCAAAGTGCTAGGATTATAGGTGTGAGCCACTGTGCCTGGCCTGTTATTATTATTTATTACGTCGTAATACTAGAAAAGGAACATGAGGATCCTGGTTTATGGAGCATTTCCTTGATCTTGCCTCGGCTGGTTGGGGTTCCGGGCCAGCCTGAGCCACATGGAATTATTCCAGATGTATCCAGTTATGTTCTTTGTGGAGATGAGTGCAGCCAGGAAAATTTCCAGCTTCATTTTCGGGGCCTCTTAGCAGATCTCAGGGTTTGCCTTGGGTCTTCAGAGGAGTTAGGAGGCTGGCAAAGCATTCAGAGGAAGCCCAGGAGCAAGCCCAGGGCACCAGCCAGCCCTGAGTCTGCTGAGAGGCGGAGCCCAGTCCAGACCACCAGGGCCAGCTTCAGGGGCAGGCAGCCTGTGCATCACACGGATCCCCGGGCTCAGAACGGCCCTGTGCTTGCTCAAATGCTCTGCTGTTCCCACCTTGAAATTCTTAATATTTTTTGAACAAGGGGCCCCACATTTTCATTTTGCACTGGGCCCTGCAAACTACACAGCTGGTCCTGACCACCACTCACCACAAGGGGCAATGTCCTTTGAGAGGCAAGGTCCCATTCACTGGCCTCCAGGTGAAATCAGGGACGCGGTCTCCAGAGTCACCAGCAGACAGCAAGGCAGGTGAGCATCTGGCTTGGGAGGCAATTTGCCTGGGCTCATTTTCTGCCTCTGCCACTCCATAGTTCCATGGCTTTAAGCCATTACCTATCCTCTGTGCCTCAGTTTCCTTCTTTTTTTTTTTTTTTTTTTTTTTTTTTGGAGAGAAGGAAGGTCTCTGTTGCTCAAGCAGGAGTGCAGTGGTGTGATCATAGCTCGCTGCAGCCTTGACCCCCCTGGGCTTATCCTCCCATCTCAGCCTCCTGAGTAGCTGGGACTACAGGAATGTGCCACTACGCTCGGCTAATTTTTAAATGTTTTTATAGAGACAGGGTCTTGCTATGTTGCTCAGGCTGGTCTCAAACTCCTGGGCTCAAGCAATTCCCAAAGAGCTCAGGTGAGATCAGGAAATGCTCCACGGCAGGATGAGTAGCTGGGATTACAGGCATGAGCACCCAGCTCCACTGAATGATTTTAAGCAGGCAGATGACACGGTCTGACTCAGGCTTTCAAAAGATCCCTTCCAGCTGCAGGGAGGAGAACGACTTGTAAGAGACAAGAGTGACAGCAGGGAGCCCAGGTGAAAGGCTGCTACATTCCTCCAGGCAGGACATGATGGTGCCTGGATCAGGGAGAGAGAGCGGTGGCGTGGTGAGAAGTCGGATTCAGGATTTATTCTGAAGGGTGCCCCAATGACTGGCTGATGGACTGGATGGAACAGGGCAGAGGGCACAGGAGAATTGAAGGATGAGTCCTACAATTTCAGGCTGAAAATATTAGGGTGAGAAAGAGGTGAGGAAGGTGAGGCAAGTGTGGTCTGGGGAGGGCGTGGGGAGTCAGTGGCACTTTGTGATATCTGCATGGAGTTCTTGAATAGGTAGTTAGTACAGAGTGTACTACATAGTACAAAGGAGAATTGATGTCATAGGTGTAAATTTAGGATTCACCCAAATATAGATGGTATTTCTAAGACTTGGGACTGAATATGATCAGCACAGGCTCTATGTGGACAGGGGAGAGGAGAGGGCCAAAGACTGAACTCTGGTTTAGTCCAACATTCAGAAGTCAGGAGGAAGAGGAGGGGCCAGCAATGATGGCTGAGGAGTGGGCAGGGAGGTAGGTGGAAAGCCAGGAGTATCTGTCATCCCCAGAATCAAGAAGAATGCACTCCAGTGACATGATCGATGGTCTCAAATGCTGCCGAGAGTTTGGGTACATGGATGAGTGAGGATGGACGGCTGGATTTAACAAGATGGAGATTGTGATGATTGTCTTGGGCAGATTCAGTGGTGTGGTTCACTAAAGACAGCTGCGAAGGAACCGGAAACACAGATGTGTGCAACTCAAGAGACGGTGCAGTCAGGAGAAGCACAGAACCAGTACGGTGGTTAGAGGGGAAAGGGATGCTGGCAGAGGTTTTCCTTTTAATGTTGAAGGGGGAAAATACACAATACAGGAAGTGGAGAAGAGACAAATGCAGGAATAAAGTCCCCAAGGAGAAGGGATGCAGGCCAGTGCACAGGGAAGTTGGACTTAGGTGGAGGAGGGAGGAAAAGTGGAGTCTGTGGCACAGATGCAGGTCTGCTGAGGAAGGGCAGGGACTTCTCTTCTGACTGCTCCTATTTTCTCAGCGAAATAAGGAGCAAGTCATCAGCTGAGAGTAAGGAGGGAGAGAGTGTATTGAAGATCGACGAAAGAGGAGAAAATGCAAGATAGCAATCCCTGGGTGGAAGGAAAATTGGGGGAAGGAGGAAGTGGAGGGGGACTGTCGGCAGCGCTGAGGATCCACTTGAATTGTGCGGGCCCAAATTTAAAAACAGACCCGTCGGCACGGTTGTGTGTTCTACAGACACTGTTCAGCTTAGGCACAGCTATAAACAGCTGGATTTCATCAAGGTTTGGGTTTTGCTGGAAGAATTCAGAAAAAGGAGAAGGGGGCAAGAGAGTTGGTGCACGCAGGGGCATGGCTGTGGGTGTGGAACTAGCGTTGAAGATGGGCCCGCTTGGTACAGGCATCCCTGCCCTGGGGTTGTTACATCAGAAGCTGGGCTTACTTATTTCAAAGACTCATGAAAGCAGAAGGACTTGACCTCACTTCCCCTGGCCGGGACTAGTTCATCAGACCTGGCCTGTGTACTGGATTGAACAGAGTTCCCCCAAAGAGATAGATTTCAGTGCCTTTGAATGTGACCTTATTGGAAACAAGGTCTTTGCAGATTTAACCAAGGTAAGAGAAGGATTAGGGTGGGCCCTAACTCTAGTGTCTTTGTGAGAGAAAGGGGAGGGAGATTTGGACAGAGATACAGACACAGAGCGGAGGCCATGTGAAGAAGGACGCAGAGATGGGAACGGTGCTAACGCAAGCCAAGGAGTCCCAGGAGCCCCCAGGAGCTGGAAAAAGCGAGGCAGGATTCTCCGCTAGAGACCCGGGAGGGAGCACAGCCTGCTGACCCCTCATTTTTGAACCTCTGACCCCCAGGTCTATGAGAGAAGGTATGTCTATCGCTTTTTTGTTTTTGTTTTTTGAGACGGAGTCTAGCTCTGTCACCCAGGCTGCAGTGCAGTGGTGTAATCTCGGTTCACTGCAACCTCCGCCTCCCGGGTTCAAGCGATTCTCCTGCCTCAGCCTCCCAAGTAGCTGGTGTTATAGGCACATGCCACTACGCCTGGCTACTTTTTCTATTTTTTAGTAGAGACAGGATTTCATTGTGTCGGCCAGGCTGGTCTGGAACTCCTGACCTTGTGATCTGCCTGCTTCCACTTCCCAAAGTGCTGGGATTACAAGCATGAGCCACCGTGCCCAGCCCTGTATATCTATTATTTTATGCCACCCAATTTGTGGTGCTTTTTTTACTGTGGCCACAAGAAACTAATACAGCCTTCTAACAAGATTATCTGTTACTGAATAAATCCAACAAGTTTAGGAATTCAAAAGATTTTTTCCTGCATGGCATCTATTCTGAGGCCAAAGGAAAAATCATTCTAGTCATATCTCTAGATACTTTACTTAATCCTTAATATGCTCTGGGTACATTACTTAATAGTTGGTGTGTTAACTTTCTTTATTTTTACTTTTATTTTTATTTTTAAAGATATAGACAGGGTCTCACTATGTTGCCCAGGCTGGTTTCGAACTCCTGGACTCAAGGAACCCTCCTGCCTTGACCTCCCAAAATGCTGGGATTACAGGCATGAGCCACCATGCCCAGCCTGCATGAACTTTCTTTCTTTCTTTTTTTTTTTTTTGAGACAGAGTCTTGCTCTGTTGCCCAGGCTGGAGTGCAGTGGCTCCATCTCGGCTCACTGTAAGCTCCACCTCCCGGGTTCGTGCCATCCTCCTGCCTCAGCCTCCGGAGTAGCTGGGACCACAGGCACCTGCCACCACGCCCAGCTAATTTTGTTTTTTGTATTTTTAGTAGAGACAGGGTTTCACCGTGTTAGCCAGGATGGTCTCGATCTCCTGACCTCGTGATCCGCCTGCCTCGGCCTCCCAAAGTGCTGGGATTACAGGCGTGAGCCACCATGCCCAGCCTGCATGAACTTTCAAAATTGTTAAATAGGAAAATTAATTAGCCACCGTGAAGTAACTCTATCATGTTGTCTTTTTAAAGGTGATATGTGAAATTATCTTATTCCTTTCTGTGGTTACATGAATATTGTCCCCCTCTCCCCCTGCACCCTCTAGACTTAGAGCTTTGCGTGGGCAGGGACATGTCTGTCTTGTTTAATTGTATATTCCCAGGGTCTGGCACATAGTAGATGATCAATACGTGTGTCAAATAACTAAGGACCATGACAATAAAGGCGGTAATTTACACTCCAGAGTAATATTCAAAGGAAATGTTTCCCATAGCCTGCAAAATGTTCAGCCTATACCCTAGAACAATAGTTCCTAACCAGAGGCAATTTTGCTCCCCCAGGGAATTCTCTTTTTCACTTTTTTTTTTTTTTTTTTTTTGAGACAAGGTCTCACTGACACCAGGCTGGAGTGCAGTAACACGATCTCGGCTCACTACAGCCTCAACCTCCTGGGCTTAAGTGATCCTCCCACCTCAGCCTCCCGAGTAGCTGGGACTACAGGTGCACGCCACCACTCCCGGCTAATTTTTTTTTATTTTTTATAGATATAAGGCCTCTCTATGTTGCCTAGGCTGGTCTCGAACTCCTGGCTTCAAGCAGTCCTCTCACCTTAGCCTCCCAGTGTGCTGGGATTACAGGCGTGAGCCACCGCACCCAGTCTTATTTTTTATTGGAGTCATTTTTGTTTGTCACTACTTGTGAGGTGAGTGCCATAGACATCTAATAGGTAGAGGCCAGGGATGCTACTAAGCCCCCTGCAATGCACAGGACAGCCCCTCAAGAGAATTATTCTCCCTCAAATGTTCAAAGTACCAAGGTTGAGAAAACCCTGTCCTAAAAACATAAGGTATTTGAATTGAAAGAAGCCTCAAGTATGGCAGCACAAGACTCATTTTACTAATGCATATGCCAAGGTAGAGACAAGGAAAGAACTTGTCCAAAGATATGGAACAGGGGATTGTGGGAGCTGAGACGAAGACTCAGGCCTCCTTTGCCCAGGCTGGAGTGCTGGCTGCTGACCGCGGGACCCCCCAGGCCAGAAATGAGGATGGATTCAACACTGCCCAGTGGAGAAAAAGAGGGCCTCTTTCCCCACCCCCAATAACAAACAGGATTCTTGACTTGGTATCAAAGCCAGAGAGTGACAGCAGGCAAAGGCGGCTGGCTGAGAACTGCCTCTAACCCCTGAGCTTGGTACAATGCGCTGTACTCCGCATATGAGTGCCAAATCACAGCAATTAGCCAGCGTTGTGCCCACCTGCCAACTTCACACTGGGCTAGTGGCCCAGATTGCTAAAGAGACATGCCCGCTGCAGCTACATGCCTTGGCAACCACAGGCAGTGTTCTCTGCTCTCCTTGGAGCTGGGACCACGGGGCTCCGGCTGCGGGGTATCGCGTACCTGCTATAGAACGGCTTATGAGCTCCCAACAAAGAAAAGAGGGCCTGCAGTTTCCCCCACACTCTTCCTACAGCTTCTCAGGAAGCATTCGGCCCTGCCCACCACCCACCCATCTGTCCTCCCTCGCCCCAGGAGAGGTGCTCCCTTTGGCTGGAGTAAGGAAGGGAGGAGGAAGGAGAACCAATCGCCACTTGAAGCATTTAATAAGCTGGAATCAAGATCTTGTCTACAGCCCCCCAGCAGACACTGGGTGTCTTACATATGGATGGGTAACAGAACTGCTACCCACACCTGGGATCTTAAAGGAGTTTATGGATTTTTCCATCAAGGACCAATTTAAGTGGATGGGTTGGGCTGAAAACAGCTTTCATTCCCAGGTCCTCATGGCGACCAGTAACCTATTTTGCATCTAGACTTGGAATTTCTAAATCAACAATGGAAATGGGAGCTGGCAGCTGATTAAAAAAACCAATTTTGTCCAAGACTCAGCTGTTTACGCAGCACTTCTACATCCTGAACCTCATCGACTCTTCACAACCATCTGGAGAGGGATGCAGAGCAGGGATTTTTAGCTTCACGGAACAGATGAGTATCTGGGCTCAGAGGGCACGGTGACTTGTCCAAAGTCATACAGCTGGTAAGCAGCGGAGCTGAAATTCAAAGTCAGGCCTTGTACCTTGTGGAAATGTTGGTGGAGTGATCAAAGTCCAGCCCAGTGCATCCTTGCAAGACTGTGCAAAACTCTTTAATAAATCCCTAGGGGTCCAAAGAATACTGTTTGGAGACCCTCCCCTCCACAGCCCTTTCTCCATTCTTCTCTGTGCCCTTGGACGCTGACTTGTACATGACTCATCTCTTCACTGGGCTTGGCCAATGTGGAGGCTCAGCAAGATCAGAGAGAGGAAGGAGAATGGGGTTGCATCAGGCTGCATGGGGCCTTCACCTGAAGGTCATTAGTCCTCTCAAGACAGCTCTGTGTCACAGTGTTCTCCCCTAGATACCTGCCCTTGAAGATCTTCTCATCCCATCTGACCTAAAGGTAGTGGCCACTAATTAAAACATGCAGTAGAGCAAGTGATAATAAAAAGCCAAGGAGATAAAGAAAATGGGGATGGAAAATGCAGATGTCTACACGCAGTGGTGGGTTTGTCGCAATTTTAAATAGGGGGACCAGGAAAGACTCACCACGAAGGAAACATTTGAGCAAAAACCCATAAATAAGTGAATGACAGAGCCATGCAGGTATCTTGGGGAATAACTTTCCAGATAGAGGAAATGGCACATGCAAAGCCCTGATCTGAGAGGGAGCCTGGTGTGTTGGAACAGCAGCAAAGGGTAGCCCAGGGCACGGGTGGATGGAAGGCCCCAGGGATGGACTAGACTCCCAGGAATGCAAGTGGGGCAGGAGCCAAAGGAACAGGGTGAGGACGAGGATGGCTCAGCACAGCAAATCCCTGACTAGAGGAAAAAGAACATGAGGGGCATGCTGCATAGAGAAAAGATCCGTAACTCAACTCTGTGCCTTCAAGAAGTAACCATTGAGTGAGTTGAGTGTCCTTAGCCAGGGACATCATTTTCCCACATGAGCATGAAATAGCTGCCCCTGTCACTCTCTAACCCTCACCTACTTCACTTTTCCTTTATTTATCATTGTCTGTCATTACATGCACACTTGTTCTCTTGTTTATTGCCTCTCTCACACACAAATACTTATGGCATATGAAAGCAGAGACTTTACTTGTCATGGTCAAAGTCATAGCCCCAAGATCCCAAGCCCCAACTAGAAAGCGTGGCACATAGTAGGTGTTCAGTTAATGTTTGTTTAAAGATGAATACATGAGTAGATCAACGAGTGTACAAATGACTACTATTGCTGATAACTATATTTTTCTCCAAAAGATTATTTATTACAATCCACATGAAAGGAAACGCAAGAAGAGCTACCAGCATTACCAATAAGAGTAAAGCATATCTTTTAAGCAGTCAGGGTTCATGAGTCAAGAAAGCATTTGGCACACAATAGGTGCTGAATAAATATTCACTGGGCGGACTAGGGATATAACTTGACATGCTCAGAAAAGCATTAGCCTGGGAGTCCAAATTCTGCTCCCCACATCCCCATTTCTAAATGCCACAATGAGCTGTCTTGAAATGTGAGGCTTTATGCTTTCGTTGTCTTCTCTCCCTAGCCTTCCCGTGTCACTCTTTCCTGGTAAGTCAGAGGGATCTACACTGTGTAAAAAAGAATTAAAATCGTTTCAGCAGAAATGAAAGGAGAAATTGATTAGGTTCTTTTTTTATCTTTTTCTCGCTTCAAAAGGCAGCTCTTGAAAACAAACAGGGACAGCCCCAAGGGGAGCAAGGCATAAAGTTTACACCATAATGAGGATATGAAAAGAGAACATAGAAATTGCCAGAGACCCCCATTCCCAGGGCGCTGGGGGAGACTCAGCTAGGAGGGGACCGGACTTGAAGGGACAAAGTGAATGGGATCTGAGTCAGCATCCAGAGAGCCCCAGAAGCCAGAGGCAGAGGTTGCAGTGAGCCGAGATCGCTCCACTACACTCTAGCCTGGGCGACAGAGTGAGACTCTGTCTCAAACCAAAAAAACAAAAAAGCTTAGGGCTTAAGCCAAGCCCTGCAGACCACCCACTGCCAATTAAGTATCCCCCTGAGCTCTTCAGAGCCAGACAGGGGCCTTCTATAGGCAGCTGCTCAGAGGTCTTCAAGGATCACCCAGTGGGACAGTGCCCACCTAAAACCAGGACTGGAGTGAGTGCTCACTGAACCAAACCACTGTGGGCCAACCCTCTTGTCAACAGCCTGAGATCCTTCTAAGTTCCATCTCCTGGTGTGCAGAGGGCTGCTGGTAGTGTATGGGGCAGAAGCCCCAGAACCTGGACCCATCTGAGACCAGACAGCGAGTGGCCAAACCCAGGCCTGTTTTGTGAAGCCTTGACCTCTATAAGCCTCCATGTCCTCTTCTGTAAGATGACCAGAGTGACCCTTGATCATCACAAGCAAACAGCTGGCAGATGGAGAGAAGTGGGACTTTCCTCCCCCTTGAAGTGCTCTCAGCAGCATTTGTGTAGGAGAAGCATGGGGGAGGGGGTGGTGAGGAAGACTAGAGCCAGCCTGGCACAAAAGAGAGATGACTCCTCGGGAGCTTGCTTCCAAATAGCTGTGACGGCAAGCCAGACCATCTGTTCCAGAAGTTCTCTTCTTGAGGAAGCAATGGTGGGATCAAGACAACAAGCAGTCATTCATCCATCCATCCATCTACCCAGTCATTCATTCTACAAAGATTTATTGAGCATTTTCTGTGTGCCAGGCACTGGGAATAAAACTGCAAACAAGAAAGCTCAGGGTTGGCCAGGCGTGGTGGCTCATGCCTGTAATCCCAGCACTTTAGGAGGCCGAGGCAGGTAGATCACCTGAGGCCAGCAGTTCAAGACAATCCTGGCCAACATGGTGAAATCCCATCTCTACTAAAAATACAAAAATTAGCTGGGCATGGCAGTGGGTGCCCGTAATCCCAGCTATTCAGGAGGCTGAGGCAGGGAGAATTGCTTGAACCAGGGAGGTGGAGGTTGCAGTGAGCTGAGATCGCTCCACTGCACTCCAGCCTGGGCGACAGAGTGAGACTCTGTCTCAAAAAAAAAAAAAAAAAAGCTTAGGGTTTCATGAAGCAGACAAGCATTTAAAGTTACTTAAAGACAAGTGTTTACCTACAGTTGTCAAAAGTGCTCCAAGGAAAATGTACAGAAATCACGATTGTCTACTGCGAAGAGTCTGAGATTTACACTACTTGCAAGTTAGCAAGTTTTGTGGATGCTGGCAGAAGATGCAAGACTCCTGGGTCAAAGACAAAGGACAGTTGATGACTCACAGCAACAGCAGTAGCCAGATTACTGCTACTTGCATCACTTCCTCAAGTCCCAATTCCCACAGGGCAGTGCAAAGCCATGTGGAGAGCTGCATTATAGGAGAGGAACCATAAGCTCAGGAAACCCAAAACAGCATTTGTGTCTGTGGCAAACACACACACACACACACACACACACACACACACACACACAACATAAAATTACCACCTCAACCATTTCTAAGTGGACAGTTCAGTAGTCTTAAGTATTCACCTTGTTGTGTAGCAGATCTCCAGAATATTTTCATCTTGCATAACAGAAACTCTGTATCTACTGAACAACTCCCCATTTTCCCCTCCCTGAACCCCTGGCAACTACTATTATACTTTCTGCGTCTATGAATTTGAAAACTCTAGGTACTCATGTAAGTGGAATCATATAGTATTTGTCTTTTTGTGTCTGGCTCATGTCACTTACCATAATGACCTCAATTTTCATCCATGTGGTAGTGTGTGCCAAAATTTCCTTTCTTTTTAAGGCTGAATCATATTAAGAAACCCAAATCTTTTATAACAGATAGTAAACATACCTGCTCTTTGCTCTGAAGAAAGACACCATCTCTATCTTTCAAGGCAGTTTACTATGTGAACATTCTCTAAAATGTAATCTGGAACAAAGGCAGTCAGGATGTTTGCTTGCAAGACATGCAGAAACACAAGACTCCCATGGAAAATTATCTCCCAACAGCTATCAATCCAAAAGAGACTCGTTCGTACACTCATCCATTCATTCAATTCACATTCATCCTTGCTGAGAACAGGACAGCAGTGAAACACAGTGCTACAAATAATAATGGGCTTTGTCCTCACATAATTTACAGACAGAAGACCCCAGTACAAGCAGGTAGCATAACACTGTGATTGAAGACATATAAATTTTCTTTTTTTCTTTTTTTTGGAGACAGGGTCTCACTCTGTCACCCAGGCTGGAGTGCAGTGGCACAATTATGGCTCACTGCAGCCTCAAACTCCCAGGCTCAAGTCATCTTCCTGCCTCAGCCTCCTGAGTAACTGGGACTACAGGTGTGCACTACTATGCCTGGCTAATTTTTTTTTATTTTTTAATAGAAACCAGGTCTCACTATATTGCCCAGGCTGGTCTCAAACTCCTGAGCTCAAACAATCCTCCTGCCTTGGGGATTACAGGCATGAGTGAGTGTTGGGATTGCAGGCGTGAACCACTATTGGGATTACAGGCATGAGCCACTGTTGGGAATACAGGCGTGAGTGACTATTGGGATTGCAAGCGTGAACCACTGTTGGGATTACAGGCGTGAGCCACTGTTGGGATTACAGGCGTGAGCCACTGTTGGGATTATAGGTGTGAGTGACTGTTGGGATTGCAGGCATGAACCACTGTTGATATTACAGGCTTGAGCCACTGTTGGGATTACAAGCATGAGCCAGTGTTGGGATTACAGGTGTGAGTGTGACTGTTGGGATTGCAGGCATGAACTACTGTTGGGATTACAGGAGTGAGCCACTGTTGGGATTACAGGCATGAGCCACTGTTGGGATTACAGGTGTGAGTGACTGTTGGGATTGCAGGCGTGAATCACTGTTGGGATTACAGGTGGGAGCCACTGTTGGGGTTATAGGTGTGAGTGACTGTTGGGACTGCAGGCATGAACCACTGTTGGGATTGCAGGCATGAGCCACTGTTGGGATTACAGGCATGAGCCACCGTTGGAATTACAGGTGTGAATGACTGTTGGGATTGCAGGCGTGAACCACTGTTGGGATTACAGGTGTGAGCGACTGTTGGGATTGCAGGCGTGAACCACTGTTGGGATTACAGGAGTGAGCCACTGTTGGGATTGCAGGTGTGAGCCACTGTTGGGATTACAGGCATGAGTGACTGTGGGGATTGCAGGTGTGAACCACTGTTGGGATTACAGGTGTGAGTGACTGTTGGGATTACAGGCGTGAGCCACTGTTGGGATTACAGGCATGAGTGACTGTTGGGATCGCAGGCATGAACCACTGTTGGGATTACAGGCATGAGCGACTGTGGGGATTGCAGGTGTGAACCACTGTTGGGACTACAGGAGTGAGCCACTGTTGGGATTGCAGGCGTGAACCACTGTTGGGATTACAGGTGTGAGTGACTGTTGGGATTACAGGCGTGAGCCACTGTTGGGATTACAGGCGTGAGTGACTGTGGGGATTGCAGGCATGAACCACTGTTGGGATTACAGGCGTGAGTGACTGTTGGGATTGCAGGTGTGAACCACTGTTGGGATTACAGGTGTGAGTGACTGTTGGGATTACAGGCGTGAGCCACTGTTGGGATTACAGGGGTGAGTGACTGTTGGGATTGCAGCCTTGAACCACTGTTGGGATTACAGGCGTGAACCACTGTTGGGATTACAGGCGTGAGCCACTGTTGGGATTACAGGCATGAGTGACTGTGGGGATTGCAAGTGTGAGCCACTGTGCCCAGCGGACATGTGATTTTCACCCAATGAGTTCACTCCTAAGAATTTATCCAAGGGAAATGAGTGCACTTTTCCACGTGTTCTCTGAGGAAGCAACACTTGAGCTGATCCCCAAAGGAGGGAAAGGAGGAACCCTGAAAAGGGCTAGAGGAAGAGCATTCCAGGAAGTTGGGGCATAGGGAGGTTTCCCTGAGGCTTGGCCTTCTGAGATTCTAAAGAGGCAACCTAATATAACGCAAAAGGGATGGGCCTAGGACCCAGGAACCTGTCAGTCCTGCCTCTTCCAGTCACTTGCTATGCAACCCCCACAAGTTCTTCACCCTCTCTGAACACAGAGAACCTCTGACAAAACGACCTCTAGGAGCTGTTCCAGCTATGAAGATCCAGGGGCATTTGACAGGACAATTGCAAAGCACAGACCACGCTCTCTCAAGGTTTTGAGACCAAAAGGACAAATGACCGAGGGACCAAGTCCACCCAGGCAGTGTTCTGGACAAAACAAATTGCATCTCAGGCCAAAGGGGATGACAGCTGAGGCTCCAAGGCTCTGACAGCCTTTGCTGCTACAAAATGAAGATGTTCTCCTGTCTTCCTTCCCGTCTGCAGGAACGAAACAGGGTGGCAAAATCCCAGAGCATTCCACTCAGCTGTCGACAGCCCTGCGACTGGCTGCAGCCTCGGAAATAAATGGTCCCGTCAGCTGCTAGGGAGGGTGAGCTCAGGATTTCAGATGAAAATGAAATAAGAGGGAACGCAGCCCAGAAGCAATGCAAAGTAACGGGAAGGGGACGAAAAATCTTCCACTGCAGCAAGACGGACGCTAGAATGGTGCAATGGGACGCTGACCTCAGATCCGGGGACATGGGGAATGAGCTCATCCTGGGGGACCTGGCTGGTGGGCCCTGTGCTTCTGGGATCCAGGGTCTGTCTGAGGGGACCTGGACCTGGCTGGCAGGACCACTGCTTTCTTCTCTTCCCCACCCCCACCCTTCCCTCCTCTTGCGAAAGCCATATACTTCTGCATGTGTCCAGATCAAACAGCCTACAGTAATACACCTGAGGGGCTGGCTAGCTTCAACCCCCTGCTAAGGAAGAAAGCCTCAAGCCTGACAGACTCCTAGCAGGAGGGAGACAAATTACAATCCCAAGAGATGGGACAACACAGCAATAGCTCTCTAATCTGGGGGAGGAAAGATGACAACAATAACGAAATCCAGCATCTACCAGCACCTCGGATCCTGCTGTAAAATCCAGCTTCAGGGTCTTTCTGTGTGTGTTGCCATCACAGCTTCTCATGTTCTGGCTGTGTAATCCTGAGCAAGTTATTCACCCGTGTCTCATTTACCCCATCCCAGAAACAGGGAAAATCATGTTACCCACTATGTGGGGTTGTTATGAGAATGAAATATAAAAACTTTAGAATAGTATCTGGCACATGGCACATTCTCTCAAGAAGTCAGATTCATTTTGGTTTTTATAACTGTGTTGTTTTGTATTCACATGAAATATAGCTCTACCTGTACACATAACCCACATCACATCAGCCAGGTTCAAACACCCATCTGAGTTCATTGATACTAAGTATCTATGGACTGGATTCATAGTAAGCACCCTCCTGCCTGACTCTCTCCAACCCCCAACCACTCAACAGTCTTGGGTGCTCACACATCCCCTTTTCCACGCCCACCCTCCCTTTGAGCTACCTAAGCATCTGCCAGTGTGCAGTGCTCTGATGAGCTGTCTCTCTTCTTAAGAAAGAGAAAAGTTGAACCAGGACTTAAAATCTCAGATGCCTACAGGGACCAGACAGGTAGACAGGTAAAGGGTTCTAGACTTTAAGGAGTGGTGAGGAGTGTGACAAACTGGAGAACCCAGGCCCCAGCTAAAGGAAAATGTTGCTACCAGCTCTAGCCAATTTTTGCCAGGCAGGAAAGCAGGTTCAGAATTGGCACATCTTCTAAGTTTTCAAGGGAAGCCAGAAATCTGGATTCGTATGCGAAAATCTCCTAATTTTCAAATATTGGCACATACTTCATTATTTTTAAAACATGGAAGTCCTGGGAAGATACATGAGTTTGCACCCTCTGAGTAGAGGGGAATGAGCCCTCCAGCTATTACCAACTATCAGGCAGTGCCCTCTCCCTGCAAGAACCAGAATCTCGTGGCTGGGCTGAAGCACCAAGGAACTCTAGACAGATCTTAATTAAGTGCCAGGGAGAGTACCTATTAGTTGATAAAGGCTTAGGATGAGGGTAGGGGGAAGAGTCCCCTGAGGGCTGGAGCAGTGGAGGAAAGCTGAACGCAGGAGGTGGACTTGGAAATGGGCTGTGAAAGTTATCAGGAGGCGGAAAAACTGAGGGACAAACCACAACCCAGAGGAGGGATGGAGGGAGATGGGGTTAGAGACAACTGGAAGCTTTAACTTCAAGCTTCGTCCCTTCGAGTGTGGATCCAAAATGTAACACTGCAGCACTCTCTTGAGGAGGATTCTATTAGGAAGGTGCTATACACTGCTCGGGGCTGATGGCATCTGGAGACAGCACAGAGGATGCAGGCTTCCTCCCAGGAGAAAAGACAGTGCACAGTTCCCTCGAAGTGTCCTCATCCTCCCTGGAAGTCCTCCACTGCTGCAGGCTTCTCCCGGTCCCCGGATCTGCTCATGGGCAGTCTCCTGCAGTGGAAGGTGAGCTCCTCCAGGGCTGAAAACGTGTCTTTTGCATCCCAAGTGCTTGCTCAGTGCTTGGCATATAGAAGGTCCTTAAACAATGTTTATCCAATGATCTGGGGAATGAAACCAAAAAACAAAAAAGCGGGACATCAAAGAATAAGGTACAGAACCACATTTCCAAAACAGAAATTTCCTCCAGGACAGGAAAAAGGCATGAAGGCACTGAGGCTCATTGCATACAGCTGCTGCAAAGATTTTGTGTTTGCACAGAGGAACACCTCGAGTGTAGAGCCAAGAAATAAACAGTGAGTGACACCCCATAATGGCCAGGGTCAGCAAGGCTCAAATGGCTCCAAAGCCCCCAGGAGATAGACACAATGCACCACCGGTCAGAGTTCTAGCAGATGTCTTAGATCATTCTGGAATAGAGTTAGATATAACCTTTTCCCTGAATAGATGGTACAGCTGAGGCTCAGGATGCAGGGAGATTGTGTCCAACCACACAGCTAGTCTAGTGACACAAGCTGGACCAGAACCCAGGTCCCCTGACTCTCAGCCCAGGGCTCTTGCCAAAGAACCCTGGACTAGGAGCAGGGCAGGAGCTGGGATGAGGCAGGCAGGGTACAAAATGTAAGAGGGAGCCGGATGTGGTGGCTCACACCTGTAATCCCAGCACTTTGGGAGGCTGAGGAGGGCAGATCACCTGAGGTCAGGAGTTCAAGACCAGCCTGGCCAACATGGTCAAATCTCATCTCTACTAAAAATAGAAAAATTAGCCAGGTGAGGTGGCAGGGTGCCAGTAATCCCAGCTACTCAGGAGGCTGAAGCAAGAGAATCGCTTGAACCCGGGAGGCAGAGGTTGCAGTGAGCCAAGATCGTGCCACTGCACCTCAGCCTGGGCAACAAGAAAGAAACTCCATCTCAAAAAAAATAAAAAAAGAAAAGAAAAAAAAAGTAAGGAGGTGCCCAAAAGCTCAATCATCAAGGTAAATAACATTTTGAAACAATATTTTTTAAAAATCAAAATTAGTCCACAAAAATCCACAAGAAGCAAAATATCACATTTTAAAAGAAAGACTTCAATAAAGTCACACCCTTGCATGCCTCAACCTCACCTACTGCAACCTAACCCCATCCCAGACCAGGAATCCCAAGGTGACAATGGGCTGAGACCTGCAGGAAGTGGCTATATGGAAATCTGCGGGAAGGTGACAGGATTTGGGGAATCAGAGGAACAGAAAGGGAAAGTGCCTGGGGCAGAGTGTCTGTGGAGAGAGAGAAGGAGAATGCCCCCATCCCAATCCCTGCCTTGACTCAAACACCAGCCTTCACCCCACAGACACCCAGTGGGATCCCCTGTCCAAAGAGCTAACTCCAAACCAAGAAAATCCCACCCCACCCACCACTCTCAACAGATTCCTCCCAACTCCAACCAAATCCAAGCCTTTTCATCTCAAGGAGGAGATGGGTTAAAAAAAAATGGACAGCTCTGGATAACTTTTCCTGCCCTGGAAAAACAGCCCAGAACTTTATGGCTTACTGACAGCTGGTTATGGATGGGAAGGAAGGCATATTCTTAAACTGCTGACAGTAACTCCCTTTTAAGGTATTTCCTCAGGGCCAGCAATGTCACATTCTCCTCCTGCCCGAAAAATTAACAGCAGTTTTTATTTCAGTGACAAGCTTGGGCTTTTGGGTTAGGCAGGCCTGGGTTCGGATCTGGCTCTGCCATTTACCGCGCAACCCTAGACAATCTGCCAACATGAAAAGTCACCAACTCTTGCTTCCAGGGGCCTGGCAGTAACCGAGATGGTATGATGTGGGTAGAGGGGCACACCGCAGGGAGCAGAAGCCACTGCCCAGCGCCAGCATGCTGTGTGGGTAAAGGATGTTGGCCAGATCTCCCAGTGTTTCAAAAGAAAAAATTTTACATGAAATCTCCCAGTTTTTAAAGGTCAGCAACTAATTTTAAATTAATTTTTAAAAATTTTAACTCAGTAGGGACAAATAAAACAGGTCTGCGTGCCAGAGTCCACCTCCGGGCCCAGTTGTGGCTCTGATGTCTTCAAATCACCCAGCAACCACCTGGCACCTCGTAGCTGCCCAGCAAGCACTGACGGTTCCCATTTTCTCAGGAAGCTTCCATGGGTATCATCAACATCTCTTTCCACACAACAGCTTGGGGAAGGATGCTTTTCAAGAGGAAAATGAAGATATGAGGAGAAGAGTGAAAAATCTGGAAGGCTCTAAGGGAGGGAGGAACTGCAAAGAGGGAATTCCTTAAAAGGACTTAAAAGGATTTTATTGGACATTGTTTAGCACAGTCAGGGATAAGATCAGGCAGTAATTTAACTCCTGGGTACAGCAAGTGAGTGTGTATGTTGCGGGTAGGCAGGACCGGGTGGAAGTCATTGTTCTCACTGACGGTCTCCACACAGTGTACCAGGTCTTCTGTCTGCAGGTCACTATGAAATTTGACTCAGGTGCATAGTGTTCTAATAAGCCCAGCCCCATCTCTAGAGGTGGCCATTAGTTCCTATGGATCCTACATAAGAAGAAGCTGGCTTGAGTTTGTCCCGGGACCTCATGAGGGCTCCGAAGTCAGACCCAGCTGGGTAGGCGTTCAAGTCTTCAATATCAGTGGTTCTCAAAGTGGGATCCCCAGACCTGATGCATGAGCATCAGCAGGGAACTCCTCAGAAGGACCCTACGCCAGACCCACTGAATCAGCCACTCCAGGGTGGGGGCCAGCCGTCTGGGTTTTAATAAGCCCTCAGGGGGATTCAGATGCACAGTAAAGTCTGAGAGGCCCTGCTCTGCATCCTTACCCTGTGAGCATCAGTGAGGAGTCTGACTCTCTGACGCAGTCACATCTATTCCAGAAAACTGTCCTGAATTCCCCCAGGAATCATTTCCAGGAATCATTTAAGAAGCCTGCTCTGTATGTGCCTAGCAGAGTGGGAGCTGCTGGAGAGGGGAGAGACAGCACACAGTCCTTGCCCTGATGGAGCTTGGTCCCCAGTGGGGACACAGATAATACGCAAGTAAAAAAGATAGAAACATGGCCAGGTGCAGCGGCTCACATCTGTAATCCCAGCACTTTGGGAGGCCAAGGTGGGTGGATGTCTTAAGCCTAGGAGTTCCAGACCCGCCTGTCTCTGCAAAAAATATATTTTGTTTTAAATTAGTGGTGCATGGTGGTGTGTGGTAGTCCCAGCTACTCAGAAGTCTGAGGCAGGAGGATCCCTAGAGCCCAGGAGTTAGAGGTTACAGTGAGCTATGATTGCACCACTGCACTCCAGCGGGTGACAGAGTCAGACCCTGTCTCAAAAACAAGATAGAGAGCAATTTTCTGGCTGGGTGCAGTGGCTCACGCCTGTAATTCCAGCATTTTGGGAGGCTGAGGCTGGCGGATCACTTGAGGTTGCGAGTTCAAAACTAGCCTGGCTAACATGGTGAGACTCCGTCTCTACTAAAAATACAAAAATTAGCTGGGCATGGTGGCACACACCTGTAGTCCCAGCTACTCAGGAGGCTGAGGCAGGAGAATCGCTTGAACCCAGGGGGATGGAAGTTGCAGTGAGCTGAGATCACACCACTGCACTCCAGCCTGGGAGACACAGAGAGACTATGTCTCAAAAAAAAAAAAAAAAAAAAAAATTTCAGATGGGAAAGGAAGGCAGAAGCCTGATCCACCACAAGAGGAGTGTTTCTCAATATGTAATCCAGGGACCCTCTGACAACAAAAGCCCACCCCACCCCACTCAGGCCCCTCCCCCACACTGCTGGTTGGTCTCTTTGATGTTTCTCAGACATGCCTCCTTCTCTCCTGCTTGAAGGCCAGTGCCTTTGATGTTCTGTCCACCTAGAAAGCTCTCTTCCCATCTTGCCAGATGGGCTCCTTCTGGCTCAGGGCTCCATGTAACCATCACCTCCACAGGAGCCCTCCCCCATTATTCTATCTAAAGTGGCCTCTCTGGCTTCATTCTGCAATCACGTATTTCAGCAGTTTCCCAATTCTGCCAAGCCCCCAGTAGAAGGTGAGCTCTTGGAAACAGGTCCTTAGGCAGATCCTTGTCTGTCCAGGCCTCCACCTCACCAGTAAGCCAGTGTTTTTATTCTTGTTGTTTTAGAGGCTGGATCTCGCTCAGTCACGCAGGCTGGATTGCAGTGGTGCCATCATAGTGCACTATAACCTGGAACTCCTATGCTCCACCCGGCTGGGACTGCCGCGCAGGCTAGTGTGCCCTGCGCTCATTTCTTAGGGTTAACCCTAACCCACTTAATGAGCACCCACGACTCCCCAACCCGAGCCCCACTCAAGCAGAAGGCCTCAGGCTGGTCGGCAGCAGGGTTTCTTCATGTCCTTTCTTGGTTCTCTGATGATAGGCAAAGGCAGTAGAGACAGAAAGGAAAAGAGGAACGGAGTGCAAGAGACAGAAAGGAGAAGAGGAACGGAGTGCAAGAGACAGAAAGGAGAAGAGGAACGGAGTGCAAGGCAAGCCACCCTAAGAGGCCAGCCCTGCCAGCAGCACAGATCCCTCCAAACCAATAGGTCCCTCCAACTCAGTAGATTCCTCCAACCCAATAGATCCCTCCAACCCAACCTCCAGCATCTGTGCAGCATCCTACCAACTCCGAGGCTAGGCGGCCACACTGGGAGCAAGACCCCAGGACCTGGTCCAAGTGCCCTGCACCGGCCAGGGGAGTGGACGACGAAGTGCGGCTCTGCTAGCCCGGGAGGGCTCTGGGGCCTCGGCCCCGCGGGACTGGAAGGGAAAACACCTGGCACGGTACGTACTGGCCCTAGGAATTTGGCACAGCAAGATGCTGGCAGTCCCTGGGTGGCGGTGGCAGGAAGGGCCCAAGGGCAACATTGGTCTAGGAGGTCGAGAAAAGGCGCGCGATATATGGCCCCCAGGATGTGGAAGCTTGCTTGGAGCGTTCGGCTCCAGGGCAGCAGCGCGTGGAGGGCCTCAAGGATGCAGTATTTGCCCGGGGTAGGGGGGCGAGGGACCCAGAGGCAGCAGTGCACTTGGACTTCCAGGACTTCCAGGGAAAGGCAGGAGACATGGCGCATGTGGTTCCCAGGATGTGTAAGCGCGTGGAGCGCGGCCCCGGGGCAGCGGAGAGTGGGGTTTTAATATCTAGCACATGTAGACCCTGGGGCGGTGCTGCTAGGGGCGCGGACCCGGGACCACCGGAGCACTTGCACCGCGGGGAAAGCTGACAGGGCGCGCGACCCTAGGAGGCTGCCGCGCCGCCTGGTGCGTGAAGCTCCAGGGCAGCGGAGCGCGGGGACCTTGAAGGCTGTCGCGTGCAGGCGAAGGGGCCGCAGGGTGGTCGCTCCTGGGAGAGCAGACGGGGAAGAAGGCAACGGGAGGGAGGGCGTAGCGCGAGCAGTCCCGGACGCGGGCTCAGGAACTGGCCGCGAGGAGCGCAATCCAGCAGGCGCGCCAGGGCCCCCGGATCCAAGGTGCGGGGTCCCGATTGGGCGCCTGGACGCCCCGTGACGGTGGCGCCGCTGCCACTGTCCCGAAGCGAGGCGAGGCCAGGCGCTGCGCTTTCGGCTGCCCGCCCCTTCTCCCCGCCCCGCGCTCAGTCCCCTCCCTCCGTCCCGCCTCCTGCCTCGCTCCCTCCCTCGGCGGCTGCTGCGCCGCGCTCCCGGCGCACTCGGAGCCCGGCGGGGACCGGGAGGCAGAGACGGGGCGGCCGTGGCTCCGAGGGCGGGAGCTGAGCCGGGCCCCGGGACCGAAGTTTGGCGGCGGCTCCGGGAGGCAGAGCGGGCTCCCCGGGCGACTTCCAGGCCCCTCTCGCGTCCTCGCCCCGGACCCGTGGGCAGCCGGGGGGAACGGAAGCCGCGGCCGGGCCAACTCCGAGGCGGGGACGCCGCGACGGGAACTTGAGGTGGGAACTTTGCGCGCTGCAGCCTCGCCGGGCGCCACCGAAGCGCGAACCGGACCCCGAGCCTGCAAACTCGGGCTCGGGGGCGGCTGCACGTGGCCGTGGCCCTGAACTCCCTGCGGGGGCCTCGAAACCCGCCTGCGGGGAGGCCAGGGCGACAGAGGACTCGGGAGTCACCGCTGGTGCGTGGCGGCGTGGAGCGCGCTTGTTACGGCCAAGGTGCGGGTCCGGCTTCGGTTCATCCCAAGGGGTCACCGGGATGCGAAGTCCGGGACGTTCGCCGCCGCGGTGACCCCGGCGGGGGCGCATCCCGGCTGTGGGCCGAGGTTTCTCCCCCGATCCTGGGAGGAAGGAGAGTTAGGGATTGGGGTGGGGGAGTGTGTGTCACTTGCTCATTCACTGTATCCTTAGGCACAGTATGGAGCCCCCCTTCACCCCCACCGTGGGCCTGATTGAGTCATTCATTATGAACACAGCAAGCGTTTATTGAGCGCCTACTGTGTGCTAGGCACTGGGGATACTGAGACAGTTCACTGGGCACCCCCAGGAACTGGTAGGAAGGTGGTGGTCTCAGCCTTAGGGTTTCCATGTGGGAGAGAGGCTCAGCCCGGAGGTATGGAAGGAAAAGGGTGAAGTTCATTCATTCATTCATAGATTGGACAAAGATTGGTTGAGCACCTATTGTAAGCAGCTCATCATACCAAGCGCTCAACAGTCATTCATCCAGTTCACAAACATTTATGGAGGCGCTATGCTGGGGAGAAGTGAAGAGGGATGGAATGGGGGCACCCTTCATGCAGCTTAGAGAGAAGTAAGGATTAAGACCCAGGCCCCCGCTTGGGAGGCCGCAGACTGCCGGGGTGGCCAACTGTAGCAGCCCATGTATATAGGCAGAAGTCTTGGTTCATCTAATGCATTCCTTCTCAAGGTGGGAGGTGTGGAAGCTGGAATTGGTTCTAGAATAGGAAGAAAAGATCTTTTCAAAGCTCCTTAGGGGCGGGTGATGGGGTAGGGTGGGGAGGAGTTGAGAAACACTGATCCGACATTACTGAGGAATGCAGGTTCCCACCAATGGGGTTTATGAGTTAGGTTGTCCATTCAGCAGGCATTTTCTTAAGCACTCGCTGTTATTAAGCACTTAAAGGGTGCCAGGCACCAAAGTTACCCAGGTAAATGACAGACACATAGAAGAGGGAGACAGACACAGACGCCCCCACCCCCTTTGCTGACTCCCTGAGATAAGTACAGGGGGAAGTAAGAGGAGGGAGCAGGAACTGGTCTGATTCATTGTGGGGTGGGGGAAGTTCCTGCCCTATGAATCTGAGCAGAGGTTTATTCATTAGTGTGTGTTTGATACCCCCATACCCATGATGGCAGAGTCCCTATGAAGAGCCTCACCGGCAGCACATCTCCAAGAAAAGTTTGGCACTGCTGATTGGGGCCTTGCGGTCGGCACTGTGGCTAGGGCATGCTGTCCTTCTTTGGGGGATTTTTCAGGCTCTGCCAGACCTGAGCTCTATTTGTGCCTCCCCCGGCTTTTGGAGCCCTGCAGAGTCGCCTGATAGGAGGGGAAGGAGGGAAGGTGTGTTTGAAAAACAGGCAAGCGCTGGCCCCTGGGGATCACCCTCCTCAGTCATTCTCGAAGCCAGCCCGTTCCACGGGAAAGATGTCTGTCCTGGGACACACTCCTAACCTGCAGGGAACTGCAAGCACACTGGAAACGAGGCAACCTAGGTTCTTCTCCTGAGACTTGAGAGCCCAGGCCCGCAGCCTACAGCCTGGGTTGTCAAACCTTGGGAGTAAAAAAATCAACCAAACCCCTAGTTTTGCCAAACTCTGGGTTGCCTTTTTGGCCTCTGGGAGGGAGATGTGACATGGGAGGCAGAGGTTACTTGCTTCTCCCCATCCCCAAAGACTTTCCCGAAGCTTGTCCTGGAGCCTGATTGGGGCAGATCTGAG
Organism: Homo sapiens; assembly: GCF_000001405.40. Classification (NCBI taxonomy): domain Eukaryota; kingdom Metazoa; phylum Chordata; class Mammalia; order Primates; family Hominidae; genus Homo; species Homo sapiens. Next base: position 51,020,913 of record NC_000020.11, on the reverse strand, counting down.
CACCACTTTGAATTCTCTGCACCAGACCCACAGCTGGGCTCTGGCAAGAGGTGAGGGAGGTGCCTCAGGAAACAGAAGAACAAAGAGATGTGTGCTGGATGCAGGGCTAAGCGACGCAAACCAGCTCCGAGGAACTCACCTCCTGGAGCCGCAGTAGGTACCTTGGCTCGGCTGTCCTTTCTCCACCCTGCTTTCCAATGTTGATGAAGAGTCAACATTGCCTGTTGCCAGAGGTCTAGGGGTACAGGAATCTACCCTTGGTTGTTGCATTAAGCCCAGAAATGGAGCCTGTGGGTGAAAAATGGCAGCTGGTAAAGCCCCTCTAAATAGAATTAATAAAAAGGGAGAGGCGAAGAACCTAGCTGAAGCACTCCATTGCTGTGGACCATTTTTATCATCCAGCAGACTGTATTTGATTAACGAAATCAGAAATGAAGTGACTTTGCTACAAATAGGATCTGAATTGTGCCTAAGACTGTCCGTTGCCCTGAGGTGAGTCTTCACTCTCATACCCACACCTCCCCGGGCAGGTCCGATCATGCTCTCCCTCCAGAGGACTCTGGTAAGCAGGTGTCTCCCTTCCTGCCGTCCTGAGGTCCCCACTGCTCCCCCAAGCCTGCTTCTCTGCTTAATTTTGAGCTACAAGGAGGCAAAGAGAAAAGGATCTTCTGGCTCCAGTCCCCAAACACCTCCCCGTAGAAGAAGGCAAACGCAAACGTGCATTTGGTGTTATTTTGCTTGCCTGCAGCACAGCAGGGAGGCTCCCGAGGCAGCCTGTCTTTTTTATAGGGGGGAGGGACACTGGCACTTTTTCTCATTTGGGGGCAAGGGAGGGATGGAGGGAAGAGCCTAGCTCCCAGCACACAATCTCCCCAGGAACTTGGGCCCCAGCTTTCAGGAGGCTGGGCCAAGGCCCAGGGTGGTGGGACTGTGGCGAGAACAGACAGCAGGTGGCTAAGAAAGATATATTCTCCACCAGGGCACAGCAGCTCTTGGAAATCTAACATGCCAGGACCCGGGCCAGGCTAATGGTTGGATCCATTTTGATTAACGTTTTAATTGGGGATTAATGCAGCCTGACCCGCCTCTGAGTCGGCTCGGCCAGAAGCCCTAATCCTGACAGATGAAGCTATACTGGCAGTGAAACGCTGCAGGGCCTGGGAAAGAGTGGCATGGAGAGAGACGGACGGGTCCCCGAGACACCCACTGGGAGTGAGGGAATGGCACAGGTTGAGAGGCATGGTACGAGAGAGAGAAACCAAAGCCTGCAGAGTACAGGAGAGAAATGCTTTCCTTCTGGAAAGTTGCCTTGGAAGCTGTGTTAATTTCCTCCTTTCACATACTTGCACACATTTAGTGGCTTAAAGCAATATAAATTTATTATTATTATTATTATTATTTTTGAAGACAGGGTCTTGCTCTATCACCCAGCTGGAGTGCAGTGTCACTATCATGGCCCACCACAGCCTTGACCTCCTGGGCTCAAGTGATCCTCCCACCTCAGCCTCCTGAGTCACTGGGACTAGAGGTACACACCACCATGCTCAGCTGATTATTTTTTAATTGTAGAAACAGGGTCTCACTATGTTGCCCAGGCTGGCCTTGAACTCTGGAACTCAAGCAGTTCTCTCACCTTGGCCTCCCAAAGTGCTAGGATTCCAGGCGTAAGCCCCTGCGCCCAGCCTGAATTTATTATCTCATAGTTTTTGGAGATCAGAAGACCAAATGACTCACTGGGCCAAAATCAAGGTATCAGCAGGGCTTCTGGAGACGACTCCACCCTCTGCCTCCATCGTCAACATCTCCTTCCCAGAGGCCAAAATGGCAACCCTGAGTTTGGCAAAACTAGGGGTTTTGTTGATTTTTTTTAACTCTGCTCACTTGCAAATATAAATAGTGATAAATATGTTTCCCCAGCCATGGACAATTGCCTGCTTCTCCCCATCCTCAGAAACATTCCAAAATCTCGTCCATATGAAATAGAGACTAGAAACCCAGTCCCTGACTCACTGCAAGGGGTGGAGACACCACACCAGCTCCCCGAAAGGAACAAGTGGTTCAAGGAGGCAGTAAAAGGCAGGGGTCAAAGAGGTTCGGCCTGGAGTCCCACAGATCTAGTTTAATTCTGGCTTTGTCGCTTATTGCCAGACATAAGTTTTCACTTCTCAGAGCCTCAGTTTCTTCATTTGTAAAATGGGGGTATTAGTGATAATGCCCACCTTTTTAGGAAAGGATGGAGACTCAGGCAATGAAGGCTCCTAGCACAGCACCTGGCACTTAGTGAGTTTGCAGTGGAGGGAGGCTGTGGTTGCTGCTATTTATAACACTTTGTGCAGTTAGCGCTCTCTCTGCATTCCCCGCTGCCACTCGGAAGAGGGACGGAGAGCATAAGACAGAAAGAACAGGGTCCAGAGAGGCCCGCAGCTTGTTGGAACCCCGGAGAGAGACCTGAAAGCAGTTGGGGTCAGCCCAGGACCATCTGTAGAACCATTTCATGCCCCTGATGGAATGTAGCCATGGGGACAGGAGGCCCAGTGACACTGCTCATCCCTGCAGCAAACCTCCGTTCACCAGATCCCCATAATAGCCCCGTGAGGTCAGCAATCTTATCCCCATCTTCTAGGGGAGGAGGCAGGCTCAGAGAGGCCAGCGGCTCAGTGGGTGTGATGGCCTGCCCAGGCCACAGGGTTATTAGCAGGAGCAGCAGGGACGACTAGCCATGCCTGGCTTGGACCTTCACTCCATCCCATTCCGCCCTCCCAAATCCCACCCCACAGGTCCCGCACCTGTACCCTCAGTCATGTGCTGACCTCAGGGTGGTCACGTGAGAACTGCCACTCAGAACGCCTTATGATCTCAATGATCATTTATCTTTGGAAGTATGTTCTCAGCCCTCAGCCATAGCTTATAAGCATCACCTTTTCCTCAAAGGAAAGATAGAAAAATTGCGAGGAGAGTGTCAGTGGATCTCTGGGCTCCTGAATGGAAATTTGATCAAGGCAGCCCCAACGCAGAAGATTTTTCTCACGAACCAGAAGGGATTTCATTTCTCCAATGAAGCGGGACTCACAGCCTTCCAGAGCCTCTAGGAGATTGACACGTTGGGCAGGGGAGTCCAGGTGAAAGCCCAGAGCAGCTCCTGTGCCTCCAGCCCCTGGGAGAACTCCAGGCATTCCCGGTCCCCTCTCTCACACAGAATCTCCATGAGAGCCTGTGAACATGCTCATTCCTGGGCCTCCCCTTCAGACATTCCGACTGGGAAGGGAGGGTCCCAGAAATCTGTATCTCCACCGAGCACCCCGAGCAATTCAGAAGGTTCTGTCGTTCCTGTGCTCTTCGTTTTTCTTTTTAAACCTGGGTTAAAACCCAGAGTTGTACAAACCACACCGCTTCCCAGCACGCCTCCTCATTGGCCTGTGCCAGGCTGTCTCATCTTACTCATTTTTCTTCTTTGTTCCAATCCCCGCGCTTCTTCCCCTTCCTCTGCCCTTCCAGGCACCCTCCATGTGGTTAATATAGATCCTCACATGTGCTTGAGACCTTGTAAAATATGTAATGTGTGTGTGTTCATTTACATAAATAGCACAGTGCTAGAAACTTCTGTTTCTTTTTCCACTCGGCACACTGTTTTTAAGACCTAAATGTGTTGCTAAATCTCCACTCAGTCCATTGCTTCTGATTCCTGGGCAATCTGCAGGCTTCCATAATCTGCCTCTACGAAGACTTGCCTGTCCACTCCCCTGGGGATGGATGCTAGGGGACCTCCTGGTACCATAAACAACACAGAACACACATTTTTGTACCTTGTTTGTTACTCTCTTCCATCTGGTTCCCCAGAAGCAAACCCTGAGTGAAGGATTTGAGTGCAAATAATTTATTACTGACAATGTCTGCCACAACCCTTTGTGGTCCCAGGTCTGGGAAATATACCCAGAAGTGGGATTCCTGGGTCACAGGGCAGCAGCATCTTCATTTCCCTCATTACCGCCCAGTGGCTTTCCCAGAGTGCTAGGCCAGCCCGCATACCCTCTAGCAATTGGATCCGGGGATCAGATGATGCTGGATCCAAATCCCAGTGGGTCAGGTCAGAAAAGAAGATTCTCTTGGGAAGCAGGGAGGGGGGCAGCGGACTCTAATCGTAGCTTGTGAGAATTCCAAGGCGACTATTGAGGGTTCACTCAGCGTCAGGCATGGAGCCAAGTGCATCACCTGTGCCATCTGCTTTTGTCCTCACCGTAACTCAAGGACGCAGGAGCTGTTTGTAGCCTCATTATACAGATAAAGAAACTGAGTCTCAGGGGTAGGGCACAACTTGCCTAAAGTCACAGAGCAACTGGCCTTGAACCCAGGTCTCCTGATTTTAAAGCCTGTGCGCCCTTCTGCCTCTTCAGCTTAGGGTGGTTGGCACATTGTCCCCCAAGCTGGAGGAGAACCAGAACCAGAACCAGCTTTTTTTCAACATCCCCTTTTTTTTTTCAAGACAGAGTCTCACTCTGTCGCCCAGGCTGGAGTGCAATGGCACCATCTCCGCTCACTGCAACCTCTGCCTTCCAGGTTCAAGTGATTCTCCTGCCTCAATCTTCCCAGTAGCTGGGATTACAGGTGCCTGCCACCATGCCCAGCTTAATTTTGTATTTTTAGTAGAGATGGGGTTGCACCATGTTGGCCAGGCTGGACTCAAACTCCTGGCCTCAAGTGATCCACCCGCCTTGGCCTCCCAAAGTGCTGGGATTCCAGGCATGAGCCACCATGCCTGGCCTCAGCATCCCATTTCCTATTGCAACTGTCACAAATTACCACAAACTGGGTGGCTTAAGACAGCCCAATTATATTATCTTACAGGTCTGGAGGTCAGAGGTTGGAAATGGGTCTGGCTGGGCTAATATCGAGTATTGGCAAGGCTGTGCTCCTTTCTGCAGGCTCCAGGGAGCTCATTTCCTGGCCTCCAGCCTTTGGAGGCCACCTGCATTCCTTGATTCATGGCCCCTTCCTCCATCTTCAAAGCCAGCAGTGGCCAGTGGAGTCATTCTCATGCCGCAGCCCTCTGCCGCTCCATCTCCTGCTTTCTTTTTCCACAAATAAGGACCCTGTTGATTACACTGGGCCCACCCAGATCATCCAAGATAATTTCCCATCTCAGATCAGCTGTAGCAGCCTTAATTCCACCTGTAACCTTCGTTCCTCCTTCCATGCAGTCTAACGTAGTCACAGCTTCCAGGGATTAGGATTAGGACGTGGGCATCTAGGGGAATGTGGGGACATTTTTCTGCCTACCATATGCCCTGCCCTGACCACTCTGGCCTGATGTGATGCAGCTTCAGTGGCTACCGGGCACAGGGCACAGGTGAGGCCCCCACCTCTGACTTCACCATAGCTCTACTACCCTGGCCCTCCGGCCCCTGCCAGCCTAGCCAGGTCAAAGCTGCCAGGTGACACCCTCACCCCCCGCAAACACACACCCATCAGCTCAGCATTGATGGTCTGGCACCGTCCTTGGGAGACACCCATCTCCCCCCTCTCTCCTGGATTTTGCCAGCTGCTTCTTCTGTCCATAATCCCACAGCCAGGAACAGCTTCCTCTGACTCAGCTCACCATAGCGCCACCTATCCGTCGCCTCGGTAAATGGCACCCCTGGAATCCTGATTCTTCTCTTTTCCCCCTCCCCCAGGCCCCATTCCTCAGCCAGTCCTGAGGGCTCTTCCTCCAAAGTTCATCCCAAATCCCTCCTGTTCTCTGGGACTTCCACCGCTGCAAACCTTAGTCATTTCCAGAATGACTTCCATAGCCTCCAGCCTGGGCTCCCCAGCCCACTCGTTGTCCACTGACCTGGCAGGCACACATGGACTCCTTGTCCCTTGCAGAATAAGCCCCAGCTCCTTATTGTCAGCCCCTCGGCCCTGCTGCACCTGGCCCCTGCCCCTCTCCTCTTCTCCCAGCTTCCCCTCGCTCTGTGCTCTGCATTCTCTGGTCTTTGATCATCCAAGCCCACCCCCAAGTCAGGGAGCAAATTCTTGCCACTCCCTCTGCCAGGTCCTCACGGGGCTGGATCTATCCATGCGGCTCAACCCCATGTCCCCTCCTCCAAGAAGCCCTCCTTCACCCCTCCAGCCAATGTTGCCCCACACCCCACAATAGTCATTCTCCATCTCTCACCTTGCTCTGTCAACAACACTGCAGTCGCTGCAGCCTGAAATGACTTGTGTGCTCATTTGGAAACAGTCTTCCCCACCAGAAGGTCACCTCCGTGAGGACAGGGCCTAGGTCTGTCTTGTTCTCTGCCGTGTCTCCGGCTCTAATACAGAGTCTGACACGTGGTGAGCGTTCAGTAACTACTGAATAAACGAACAAATAAAGGAATGAATGACACCTGCCTCCGGACTTCACCTCATCTCCCCCATCGCAGCCTCTGCTTCAAACAGCTTCCTCTCCCCAAGCATCCACAGACCCTCAGAGGCAAAATCACTTAAACCCACCATGCTGTAGAACTAACAGAACTAACACCACAGAGAAATAAAAAATTTCTTGTGAGGATATCAGGCTGCGTGAAAAGCAGTATTATTTTTCAGAAGGCCAGGCTTTGGGGCCTCTTTGATTTATGAACTTTAGTGTAGGGTCTAGAGGTGCTGAGCCGTCCATCTCACATCAGATCAGGTATCTGCAAGACCAAAGGCCATGGAGAAATATGCCTGTTCTTCCTTTAGCAAGTTCTGGCCTCAGCATTTCCCCAGGGGACTCTGGCTTTGAGAACAAGGTCGTTACTCTGTTTATTACCCTCCGAGTAGCATCAGCCTCTCCATACTCACCCTGCTGCCGAGACAGGATCACTTTCCACACAGGAAACTCACGTGGGGGCAGGGCGTGAAGGAAATAAATCACTAATTGGGGGAGTTTTCTGCTGGAGGGAAAGCTGGGAGGGTTGAAAGAAGAAATTCCTAAAAAGAAGAGGTGATTACAGCCATGGGGATTCACAAGAGCCCTCCAGGGCTTGTGTGAGGCATTTTCCGTTTACCTCCATCACCATTCTTGCCAAACAGAATGTCACTTTTTCTCTTTTCTGTGGTAGCAAAGATGAAACAGCAGAGCTGAAAAGAGAGATCACCAAGGAAAGTGCCTGAAAGGGATTATTCCCACGCCTCCAAAGGATCCTGGCAGGCTGTGCCTGAGGAGATGGGTTCCAATTTTAGGTGAAGTTAAAAACACTCTAACCATCTAAAATCAAATCATTTTTCTTTCAAACACAGGTGTACCCTAGTTTTCCAAACCCTGATCTCTGCAATTGTAGCCTTCCCCAAAGATCAGTGAGTAGTAGAGGGATGATGTGCTTTTGTAAAGCAGTTCCTCTTAGGAAGGAGCCCCTTTTAAGTGTGAAACACCCTCCCTCCCCTTCCAGCACCTATTAAAACATTTTCTCATTCATAGGTACATGTGTTTGTGTACGGGTGTGTTTGTGAGCGAGTATCTTCCTGAACATGTCCACAGCACCGACCCATATTTAAGTATTGGAAATGGGTTTCCGTTTGGAATTGATAGATTTTTACCACTTGATTCCATTGGGGATTTGTCTAGGGAGAGGGCTGGTGATTTTGTTTTTTTGTTTTGTTTTGTTTTGTTTTAGACAGAGTCTTGCTCTGTCACCAGGCTGGAGTGCAGTGGCACCATCTCAGCTCACTGCAACCTCCACCTCCTGGGTTCAAGGGATTCTCCTGCCTCAGCCTCCCGAGTAGCTGGGATTTCAGGCATGTGCCACCACACCTGGCCAATTTTTGTATTTTTAGTAGAGATGGGGTTTCATCTTGTTGGCCAGGATGGTCTCGATCTTCTGACCTCATGATCCACCCACCTCGGCCTCCCAAAGTGCTGGGATTACAGGCCTGAGCCACCGCACCCGGTCGAGGGCTGGTGATTTTTAAAAGCAGAGTATTTGACTCCTACTAACTTCTCTATGCATCGGCTTAATTCCAGAGAGCTCTGTGGCTATAATCTAAGGGTCTCAAACTCAAATGCCTATAGGGCCGGGAAGGAAACACACATGAGTGGAATAGAGTGGGTGTTAGGAAGACAATAGTTGGGGGTGGGGACTGTGGTGGATTGGAGCATGTGCTGCCTAAAGGGGTAGCCATTTCTCAGTTGGCGTTTGGGCCAAGTGTTGCCAGATATCCTGATTTTTTAAAAGAAGCCAAGGATATGGATTTTTACATGAAATTTCTCAACTTTCAAAAACTTCTCCAAGCCAAGCAAAATATTTGTGAACCAAATTCAGCCCATGAGCTGGTAATGAATAAGCAATCTTGTTCCAGTAGCACAAACCCTTAGCTTTGAGGGTTGGGAAGGAAGGAGTCCATGCAAGTTGATATTTTGACCTGAGTTCCCCAGAAGTCGCCTTATCATGTTGGTCTCGTCAACAAGAAATGTACTCATTTAACAAGCACCTCTTTGAGGCTTTACAGTGCTGAGCATAGGGATTCAGAGATGACTAAAGCACGTTTCTTCCCCCAGGGAGCAGGCTGCCTAATGAAGGAGCCAGGCTTGCACACAGACAATTCTAGAACTGGTGGTAAGTGCCGTGAAGACGGGTGCACCAGTTGTAAGGGGAGGGGTGCTCATTTTAGCTGGAAGAGCCAAGGAAGGCTTCCTGGATGAACATGGCTGTCCAGTTCAGCCCTGCATCCTCAAGGTGATGTTTGCTGACCCCTGAGCAAACGTGGCATTGCTTTCATAGTTGTGCATTTCTTTGTCCATTGCTTCTGATTTATGGCAAGTGGTATCTGTTTTCCATTAATGGAAACAATATTAGTTGTCCCTTTAAGATAAATAATAATAGGCCGGGCGTGGTAGCTCACACCTGTAATCCCAGCACTTTGGGAGGCCAAGGTGGGCAGATCACCTGAGGTCAGGAGTTCAAGACCAGCCTGGCCAACATGGCAAAACCATGTCTACTAAAAATACAAAAATTAACCAGGTGTGGTGGCACACCTGTAGTCCCAGCTATTCGGGAGGCTGAGGCACGAGAATTGCTTGAACCCGCGGCGCGGAGATTGCAATGAGCCAAGATCGTGCCACTGCACTCCAGCCTAGGCAAAAGAGCGAGACTCTGTCTCAAAAATAATAATAATAATAGACAATAGTTACTGAATACCTACTATGTGCCAGGCACTGCATTAAATGCTCCTATGTACATAATTCACTTAGGCCTCCCAGCAATCTTATCAAATCACGTGGCTGTACCCATTTTACAGACAAGGAAATTAAGACACATCAAGGTTGAGTCACTTGCCCAGGCTGTGTGGCTCCAAAGTCTGCGTTCATAACCATTAACCAGGCTTCTCCACCTCAGCATTAAGGACACTTGGGACCAGACAAGTGTCTGTTGTGGGGACTGTCCTGTGCATTGTAGGACATGCAACAGCATTCCCTGGCCTCTACCTACTAAATGCCAATAGCAACCCCAGTCATGACCAGCAAAAATGCTCCCAGGCATTGCCACATGTCTTTTGGGAGACTAAATCAGCCCTATGAGAACTGTAGGTCTACACTAAATTGTTTTTCCAAGCCAAATAAATACCAAAAAAAAAAAAGTTAATTTAAAATAAAATGTTAAGTAAATAACAGTACATGTGTCACCTGAAAATCCACTAGGATGTCAGCTGCCTGGGATCAGAGACCCCTTCACATTCTGCACACGGCTGCATCCCCAGTGCATAGATGGATATGGGAGAATTGTGAAGGCTGGGAGATGCTGAACAATGTTGTTGCTATTTCACTATTAGGTGAATGTCTTTGTCAGCTCAGGCTGATGTAACCAAATATTAATACCACAGACTGGGTGGCTTCAGCAACACTTATTTCTCCCAGTTCTGCCGGCTGCAAGTCTGAGAGCAGGGCGCCAGCAGCACTCTTCTCTGGGTTTCACACTTAGATGCCTCCCTGAGTGCTCCCATGGCAGAGAGAAAGCCCTAGTGTCTCTTCCTCTTCTTCTTTTTTTTTTGTTTTGTTTTGTTTTGTTTTGTTTTTATTTTTTGAGATGGAGTCTTGCTCTGTCACCCAGGATGGAGTGCAGTGGCATGATCTCGGCTCACTGCAACCTTCGCCTCCCATGTTCAAGCGATTCTCATGCCTCAGCCTCCCTAGTAGCTAGGATTACAGGTGCACGCCACCATGCCTGGCTAGTTTTTGTACTTTTAGTAGAGACAGGGTTTCACCATGTTGGCCAGGCCAGTCTCAAACTCCTGACCTCAGGTGATCCACCCGCCTCGGCCTCCCAAAGTGCTGGGATTACAGGCGTGAGCCACCGCGCCCGGCCTGTCTTCCTCCTCTTATAAGAACACGAATCCCATCGTGGGGGCGTTGCTCTCATAACCACATCTGAACCAAATGACATCTCAAAGGCCCCACCTCCTAATACCATCCCATTGAGGGCTAGGGCCTGCAACCTATGGATGTGGGGGACAAAGATTCCATCCCTAACAGTGAATATCTGCGGAATCTGCATTCTCAGCAAGGTGAAGCTAGGGGTGGTCACTGAGGGTCTTCCCTCCCTTCTCCCCACAGGCCCGAGAGGGATGTGAAGGCCCAAAATGACCCTCTTACCGGGAGACAATTCTGACTACGACTACAGCGCGCTGAGCTGCACCTCGGACGCCTCCTTCCACCCGGCCTTCCTCCCGCAGCGCCAGGCCATCAAGGGCGCGTTCTACCGCCGGGCGCAGCGGCTGCGGCCGCAGGATGAGCCCCGCCAGGGCTGTCAGCCCGAGGACCGCCGCCGTCGGATCATCATCAACGTAGGCGGCATCAAGTACTCGCTGCCCTGGACCACGCTGGACGAGTTCCCGCTGACGCGCCTGGGCCAGCTCAAGGCCTGCACCAACTTCGACGACATCCTCAACGTGTGCGATGACTACGACGTCACCTGCAACGAGTTCTTCTTCGACCGCAACCCGGGGGCCTTCGGCACTATCCTGACCTTCCTGCGCGCGGGCAAGCTGCGGCTGCTGCGCGAGATGTGCGCGCTGTCCTTCCAGGAGGAGCTGCTGTACTGGGGCATCGCGGAGGACCACCTGGACGGCTGCTGCAAGCGCCGCTACCTGCAGAAGATTGAGGAGTTCGCGGAGATGGTGGAGCGGGAGGAAGAGGACGACGCGCTGGACAGCGAGGGCCGCGACAGCGAGGGCCCGGCCGAGGGCGAGGGCCGCCTGGGGCGCTGCATGCGGCGACTGCGCGACATGGTGGAGAGGCCGCACTCGGGGCTGCCTGGCAAGGTGTTCGCCTGCCTGTCGGTGCTCTTCGTGACCGTCACCGCCGTCAACCTCTCCGTCAGCACCTTGCCCAGCCTGAGGGAGGAGGAGGAGCAGGTAAGAGCCCACGCCCCGCGGGGAAACGCGCCACCACGAGGGAAGGGACTCTGAGCATTGTCACCTCCTCCAGAAAGCCTCCTCTGATTGCACACTGGCTGAATAGCATCCCTGGTCCCTCCTGACATCAGGAATGTTTGTGTGCATGGTCTGCCTCCCTGTTAATATGTGAGCATCATGGGGGTCCACGCCTGTGCCTGTCCTGGCCTCCACTGTGCCCACCACTGCCCTCCCCCTTGCCAGTGTTTAGAACAGTGTCCAGCACAAACAGGCACTCAACCACTATTTGTTGAATGAACAAATGAGTGAATAAATGGGTGGTGTGATTTTTGACGTGCCTGGCCCTGAGCGAAGCACATTACATATATCATCAAATTTATCTCAACCATTCGGTCCTTTCTCAACGTTCCTAATCCTTTGCATCATAGTAGCCCAGACACATTTTCTGGGTCCTGAAGATAATTTTTATTGATAGGTATATGTGTGTCTACAAATGGTGAGCATTTCTTTTTGTTACATAAGAGAATGAATGGAAAGTTTATTTACTCCAGGGCCTGACACGGGGTGTGTGCTACAGTCTAAGGGCTCCCACTCATCTGGGAGTTCACGGGAGCCGGAGCTGGGCTGCATGTGCCAACTACGTCTTATCTCCCTAGGGAATGCTCCAGCAACCCTGTGGGGGAAGTGTTTTCACACCCACTAGGTATTTGAGGACACTGCCCAACCCCAGGTCTAAGTCCAGTCTGTCTTTGTAAGCATGGAAATATGGTGTCCACGTGGCAGCTTGGGGACCTAATATAGCCCCACAGGACTATGTGATTGGCCCACACAAGGTTTCCCAAAAATTTGACTTGGTTGCCAACAATAAAAGTGAAGTTTTTTCATATAAAAATTCAAAATCTCAGCTTCTTTTAAAAAAAATCATAAGATCAGGCCAGGTGTGGTGGCTCACACCTATAATTCCAACACTTTGGGAGCTGGAGGCAGAAGGATCGCTTGAGCCCAGGAGTTCAAAATCAGCCTGGGCAATGTAGTGAGACCCCGTCTTTACGGAAAAAAAAAATTTAATTAGCCAGGTGTGGTGGCTTGCACCTGTAGTCCTAGCTACTTGGGAGGCTGAGGCAGGAGGATTGCTTGAGCCTGGGAGGTAAGGCTGCAGTGAGCCATGATCACGCCACTGCACTCCTGCTTGGGCGACAGAGTGAGACTCCATCTCTAAAACACAAAATTTTTTTAAAAATTGTGAGGTTGGGTCCCTCCCCTCCCCCTGCCCCGCCACCAACATATACACCAGCCTGCGGTCCTACATGGCACCTCCTGGGGAGATCCAAGTCCACAGGGGCCCAGTTCAGTCTCCTTGTGTATGAGATCATGGGCCTTTGAGTTGGTGACTCCTTCCCTGTATATGGGGATTCTGGAAGCTTCAAGAAAGACCAAAAGTTTTCAGAGGTACAAATTGTATAGGCAGTGGAGAAATAGGTATGGCGGTGTGAACTGAACGTAAATATCATGCCAGCCAATATTTATTGAGCACTGACTGTATACCCTGCATGTGCTAAGTGCTTTACGTGCACTCTCGAATTTAACATTAGAAGTACTCACCATGTCAGGATTTTTCCACTTATGTATGTGGAGGAAGTAGCAGTAGCTGTTGCATTAATAATCCACAGAGGCTTACTGGTACTTTTGGTATACATTGAATTTATTTATTTATTTTTAAAAGATGGGGTATTGCTTTGCTGCCCAGGCTGGCCTCAAAGTCCTGGCTTCAAGCGATCCTCCCACCTCTGCCTCCCAAAGTGCTAAGATTACACTGTACTGGAGTACAGTGGTGCGATCTTGGCTCACTGCAACCTCTACTTCCCAGATTGAAGCGATTCTCATGTCTCATTTACATGCACTCTCGAATTTAACATTAGAAGTACTCACCGTGTCAGGATCTTTCCACTTATGTATGTGGAGGAAGTAGGCCCTCATGCCTGGCTTATAAGTTGAATTTTTAAATGGGTATTAAGAAAATAGCATTCAACCAGTAAGGTTAACTTTTTAAACTTTTTTAAATTAAAAAAAACAATTTTAGGCCACGTGTGGTGGCTCACGCCTGTAATCCCAGCACTTTGGGAGGCTGAGGCGGGTGGATCACTTTAGGTCAGGAGTCCAAGACCAGCCTGGCCAACATGGCAAAACCCCATCTCTGCTAAAAATACAAAAATTAGCTGGGCATGTTGGCACTCGCTTGTAATCCTAGCTACTTGGGAGGCTGAGACATGAGAATTGCTTCAATCTGGGAGGTGGAGGTTGCAGTGAGCCAAGATTGCACCACTGTACTCAAGTCTGGGCAACAGAGTGAGACCCTGTCTCAAAAAAAAAAAAAAATTTAGAGATGGGGGTGTTGCTATGTTGCCCAGGTTGGACTCGAACTCTTGGACTCAAGCATTCCTCCTGCCTCAGCCTCCTGAATAGCTGGGACTAAAGGCATATGCCATCACACCCAGCTGGTAAAATCAACTTTCAATAAGCATGAAGGGTAGTGATGAAGAGATCAGGGCTAGAGCCAGATGGCCTGAATTCAAATCCTGCTTTCTCCTCTCTAGCTGTGTAGTAGCTGTGGGCAAGTTACTTAAACTCTTTGAGCCTCTGATTTCTCACCTGTCCAGGGCGGGTATGAACAGGCCCACCTCACAGTGTTGCAAGGATTCAGTGAGTTCGCATGAAGTGATTAGAAGTGATTGGGGCTGGGTGCGGTGGCTCACGCCTGTAATCCCAGAACTTTGGGAGGCTGAGGCAGGCAGATCACTTGAGGCCGGGAGTTCGAGACCAGCCTGACCAACATGGAGAAACCCTGTCTCTACTAAAAATGCAAAATTAGCCGGACGTGGTAGCACATGCCTGTAATCCCAGCTACTCGGGAGGCTGAGGCAGGAGAATCGCTTGAACCTGGGAAGCGGAGGTTGCAGTGAGCCGAGATTGCGCCATTGCACTCCAGCCTGGGCAACAAGAGCAAAAAAAAAGAAGTGATTGGGCTGACTGAGTCCACGCCACATGAAGGGATTAGAAGCGATGCATAGTGAATGTGCAGAAAGTCCTCTCTTAAGGATTAGGGTCAAGAAGAAAAAGAAAGGAAAGGGAAAGTGCTCACCATTTGAGACCTGTCTGGAAATTGCTGTACTTAGTGTAAATTTCTTCTCAGCTTCAACATCTTTGATCGTGATTTTATCAGGAAAATACTAATAAAGCCACTGTTTTGTTCAACTTCTGATACTTGCTTTTTGAAAAGATAATAATACCTTTGCCTTTTTAAGGATTCAGTGAAAATGCTGTTCTTCAACTTCATTTTGGGGTGCAGTAGGATTCACTGCTTCACATGCTCCTTGTGCACACATTTGAGTGCCTACTGTATGCAGGCACTACAGGGGAGACAGGGTGACCAGGACAAGTCTTCCAACCTCAAGAAGCTTCAAGTCTATTGGGGTTGGGATGGAGTAGTGGCACCACCCACCCCCCCCATCACCATAAGCAGGAGACACAAGCCAAGGAGGTTCTGTATGGGAGGCCCACTGACACTGCTGGAGCTACTTAGTGGGGCACGCTCCAGGAAAGCTTCCCAGAGGAAGGGGCTTCCCATCCCAGAGGTCTAAGACCTTAAAGCCCCACCAGGTATTAGTTCATATCTCCAGCCTCTAACATATTCCTAGAGACAGAATTGTTCAAGTGGGACTTGTAGAACTCAGCTGTG
This sequence comes from Homo sapiens, assembly GCF_000001405.40. Lineage (NCBI taxonomy): Eukaryota > Metazoa > Chordata > Mammalia > Primates > Hominidae > Homo > Homo sapiens. The sequence continues at coordinate 51,005,828 of NC_000020.11, read as the reverse complement.
CCCCAGAACCTCCAAGATGCCCCAGGCTGGAACCACACTGGCCTCTCCTCTCTGCCAAAGGCCCCTTCAAGGATGAGGCCCAAATCCACTAAAGGACTGTTTACCACCCAATTATATTCCAGACCAGAGAGGCAAGCTGGCAGCCTGCATGCCAAACCCAACAAAAATATGTGTTTTAGTGGCCCATAGAGTATTTCTTTGCACTGAATTATCACCAGGACTTAAATCAACATTTTATCTATTTAACCAACATTATCACCAACATTTGTCACCAGGAGAGTTCATGTAAAACTGCACATTTCCAGCCTCTTTTGAAAGCTTCGGTGAGGCAGCCTCAGCCTAAATTTGCCCGGGGCAGTGATGGGGGCACTGAACAAGACTATTCCTCACAGTCCATCGGGAGCCGTGGAGGGTGCTAAGCAGAGGAGGAACAGGATCCCTCTGGCTATGTGTGGAAAATGGACTGCAGGGATGAGGGAGCCCAGCGGGGAGGTGAGGTGACTGCAACCATCCAGGCAAGAAAGGATGGTGGCCAGACCAGGTGGGAGCAGTGGGCAGTGGGTTTGATTCTCGCACTGTTTTAAATGAAGAGACTTCCTGGGGGTTATACGCAAGGTGGTAAGGATGACGCCAGGTCTCCTGTCCTAAGCCATTGGAAAGATGGGATTGCCTAAAGCTAGGGAGGGAAACCACCAGTGGGCAGAGGAAACCAGGATCCCATGGTGAGTTCGAGATGCCCCTCAGACACCCAGGTGGGAGCGTCAGGGAGGCAGCCTGTTGGGGGTCTGGAGTTCAGGGCTGAGGTGGGGGCTGGAGAGAGAGATGAGGAGCGGCCAGTGTAGAGATGGTGCTTAGTGCCCCAGGCCTCGGAGTGGGCACAACTAGGGAGAGGACCCGGGGCCACTCAACCTGGAGAGGTCACCTTCCGCCTGGGAAGCCCAGCAGGGCACAGGGCAGAGCTTCTGCCCTCCTTTCCTGGAGGGCCCGCTGACCCCTCCGGCGTCCCTTCCCCTCTCTCCCAGGGCCACTGTTCCCAGATGTGCCACAACGTCTTCATCGTGGAGTCGGTGTGCGTGGGCTGGTTCTCCCTGGAGTTCCTCCTGCGGCTCATTCAGGCGCCCAGCAAGTTCGCCTTCCTGCGGAGCCCGCTGACGCTGATCGACCTGGTGGCCATCCTGCCCTACTACATCACGCTGCTGGTGGACGGCGCCGCCGCAGGCCGTCGCAAGCCCGGCGCGGGCAACAGCTACCTGGACAAGGTGGGGCTGGTGCTGCGCGTGCTGCGGGCGCTGCGCATCCTGTACGTGATGCGCCTGGCGCGCCACTCCCTGGGGCTGCAGACGCTGGGGCTCACGGCCCGCCGCTGCACCCGCGAGTTCGGGCTCCTGCTGCTCTTCCTCTGCGTGGCCATCGCCCTCTTCGCGCCCCTGCTCTACGTCATCGAGAACGAGATGGCCGACAGCCCCGAGTTCACCAGCATCCCTGCCTGCTACTGGTGGGCTGTCATCACCATGACGACGGTGGGCTATGGCGACATGGTCCCCAGGAGCACCCCGGGCCAGGTAGTGGCCCTGAGCAGCATCCTGAGCGGCATCCTGCTCATGGCCTTCCCAGTCACCTCCATCTTCCACACCTTCTCCCGCTCCTACCTGGAGCTCAAGCAGGAGCAAGAGAGGGTGATGTTCCGGAGGGCGCAGTTCCTCATCAAAACCAAGTCGCAGCTGAGCGTGTCCCAGGACAGTGACATCTTGTTCGGAAGTGCCTCCTCGGACACCAGAGACAATAACTGAGCGCGGAGGACACGCCTGCCCTGCCTGCCATCTGTGGCCCGAAGCCATTGCCATCCACTGCAGACGCCTGGAGAGGGACAGGCCGCTTCCGAGTGCAGTCCTGGCGCAGCACCGACTCCCACGCACCCGGGGAAGGACACCCTCACTCCCACACCCCGGGAAGAACACTAGAACATCAGCAGAGGGGCCCTGCCCCTCCGCCTGCAGCCGTGAAAGGAAGCTGGGTCATCAGCCCAGCCCCGCCCACCCCAGCCCCTATGTGTGTTTCCCTCAATAAGGAGATGCCTTGTTCTTTTCACCATGCAAATAACATGCCCAGCAAAAACTTGCTTTATGGGTCTGCCTGGAGAAAAAAAAAAAAAATACAAACAGCAGAAACAGCATGTCTGTCTCTAATGTGGATCATGTCCAGGGAAAAGAAATTGATGAAAAAGAGAGAATGCCTTCCATGGGGCTGTCTTAAAAAAGGGAGCTGGGTTTCCCAGCAAAGCCAGCAAGTGGGGGCTGGAAGTAAAGGGCCCTGTGTGCTTGGGTTGTTCAGGCCCGGTGGGGCCCTACTGGGGTTGTAGAAAAAGAGAACAGACACTTTAAGGAAAATGACCAGTGAATACTGTGCTCCCTCTCTCGTTTCTCTTGGACTGTCCCCCCCTCTGTGCCTTTCTTTCTCCCGTTTCCCTTTTATCCTTTTTTCCTTCTCTTCCATCCTCTATTCACCTTTTTCACCCCTTAGGGCTGGTTTTTCAAACTTTCACACAAAGGCACCCCTGACAGTTGACAGGTCATCAGGGGGCCTGTCAGCGTTGTTGACTATGAGGTGAAATCAGTTCATTTTATCTTTAAAAAATCATGTGGGGTTTGTATTCTACTCTGCATTTATTTTAATCTGTGAAAAAAAAATACTTTGCATCATATACCTGCATATAAATCTAAACCTAGAGCGGGGACAGATGTTTTTGAAAGGGAGTTTACAGTTCCCTGGGCAGACTGAGAAGCACAATCTGCAGCCCCCACAGGCCTCCCCGTGCCCCCAAAGACCTGCAGAGCACCCACCCGACCTGCAGAGCATCCACCCAATCTGTGACCTGCAGAGCACCCGCCTGACCTGCAGAGCACCCACCCAACCTGCGACCTTCAGAGTACCCACCCCACCTGCAACAGGTCCCCGACTTCATACAGCATATGTGACCCACAGTAGAGAGGGCGCTCAGGCCAGTCCAGCAGATTCTACTCCAGCTGGCAGGACATAGAGCCCCTCAGTGCCAGGCGTGGGGAGGGGGCTTCCCACTCAGGTCACAGTCACAAGCTTGTCCTAACCCTCAAGCCACATCATTCCCATCCCAGCACCTTCACACCTGCCCATCCCTCTGCCAGAGATGCCCTTCCTGTGGAACACTGCATAGCTGGCTCCTTCCCAGAGAGGCCTTCCCTGACCACCTCTCAAAGAATCCACATCAGCACCACCACCACCCCTCTCCTCTTAGCCGGCTTGGTCTTCTATATCCACCCATCAACCTCTGAAATTGACTCATGTATTCCTCTTCTTAGCTACAGGACTCAGCAATATGGCTCACCATTGACCCCCAGCATCTCGCATAGGGCCTGCACCTAGTAGGTGCTCAATAAACATTTATTGAAGGAATGTTAGCCAGATGTGGTGTAGTCCCAGCTACTTGGGAGGCTGAGGCAGGAGAATCCCTAGAATCCGGGAGTTGGAGGCTGCAGTGAGCCATGATTGCACCTGAGAATAGCTGCTACATTCCAGCCTCTGTGACAGAGCAAGACCCTGACTTTAAGTAAAATAAGTAAATTAATTTAAAAAAGAAGGAAGGGAAATAGGAAAGAGGGCCAAAAAGCAGAAGGCATTTATTTTTAACATGGGATCTCGGGTTCTCCAAGCACCTCTCTCTCTCTCTCTTTCTCTCCCCTCTCGCTCCTCTTTGTCCTCCTCTCTCTCCCTCCCTGTCTTTCTCTTCTCTTCCTCTCTCTCCCTCTCTTTCTCTTCTCTTCCTCTCTTTCTCTCTCTCTCTCTCTCCTCTGCCCTCTGTGTCTGGTGGCGAGGCCACCGCGATCTCAGTACAATATACACGCGGTGATGCAGAGTGGAAATATCAACTGAGTCACGAGGGCCTCGTTAAAGGCTCCCTTGACACCTGCTTCCAATGACTCACGCCTGAAAAGTAAGTTTTCTGACTAATTAGCGCTACGTTCCCCAGCCCGGTGGGTGTCAAGCAATCGTGCACTGCCGTCATCTTTAATAATGCCTGAGATTTATGGAATGACCTTTTATTCCCCTGGAAAGGGGCTATGAGAGGCAGGAGGCCACTGAAAATGCTAAACACACAGAAATATGGTACCGAAAGAAGTATAAAATGGAGCCCTTTAAAATTCAGGGGAGGGGGGAAGTAAAGCCATGTGGGGTCGGGGAGGGATCCCTGAACGGAACAGCACTGGGAGGGAGGAGGAACAGAAGCTGGGGTTGTGCAGGGAAGCCGGGGCCCCTGAGTGGTCAAGGTTTCTGGCATCATCTTGCAGGTTCTGACCTGTCCTGGTGGCTGAGGCAGAGGCACGGACTTGGGCACCTCTCAAGACCTCACTTGAGAGAGGGACAAAGGTACTCCCGATCGTGACCCTCATGCCTGGAACGGGGCTTAGGGGCTGTTGGCCCTAAATCTGAAGCTAGGAGGCCTCTGGACACCTAACAATCTGCTTCCAGCACTGCCACTCTAAGATTGTGACTTTTCTACCTCTTTTTAGCAATGGAACCTATCTTTTGCATGGAATCTGATGCAGAAAGCCCAGATATAAATCATATGGAGTAAGAGCTGTTCTGATCAAAGTGTGGGGACACAGTTCCTTATGGGAGGTCCCTAATGGGACTCCCTTTTGACCCTGGTATGGACAACTAACTCCATACACTTAGGGGACCATCACTCCTCTGGGGGAAACAGCAAAACAGACCTTTCCAAATGTGTTTTATTTTGTAGGTCATATGGTTTATCCCCCATGTCTGATTAGCTCAGTGCTTCTCTGGGACTCACAGTTGAGGTCAGAAAGGCTGATTTAACAATACAGATTCTCAGATCCCACCTCTGAGCAGGGCTGGGAATAGTGAGGCACTTGCCTTTGCCCCAAAATGCAAGGGAAAGCCCAAGAAATCAGTAGTGGAGATCAATCATACTTTAATGTAATATTTTTAAAAATCAAAATTACTGCCAAAAAATTCACAATGCATAACATTTCAAAATTGCAAAGGATCTGTCTTTCCACTTACCTTTGTTCTGGTCTTGTCCCGACGCCCCTGGTGTGTCCTGGCAAGACAGCTCTAATCAGCCGGTCTCCAAAGAAGTACAGGTGGGGGTCTTTGGCACTGAATACCACAGCTGCTGGGGCACAGGTGTCCCATCCCATTGATAGGCATCAGGGTGGGTACCGGCGACACCCCCTCCAATGCTACAGTGAGCATTGGAGACCAGGCCCTTGCCTTCGTGGGGTCCACACAGGGATGGCAACAGAGAGACAGACAGTGAACCTGTGACCAGAAGAAAACAATTTCTGATGTTGGTGAACACAAGGGTGACCTGGCAGAGTAACCAAGTGGGGCACAGCCACTTCCGATGGTGCAATGAGGGAAGGACCTGCTGAGGAGGTGGCATTTAAATGGAGACCTGGAGGAGAGGGAGAGGCAGCAGTCCAGGCAGAGGAGACAGACAGTGCAAAGGCCCAGAGGTGGAGAAGACAGGGACATTCCACCAGCCATCGAGGGAACACGTGGGCAGAGACACAGCCCCCTGCGGGGATGCGCCCAGGGAGAGGTCTCAGAGGTGCATTTCCAGAGTCCCTACTGTGAACCAGGCCCTGTCACAGCAGCGGGGCCAGAACTGGACTCAGTCCTGCCCTGGAGTTGCTGGTAATTTGGTGGAGGGAGAAAACCGAGTGAATAAAATATTTCCACACATGTGGGATGATAGAGGGATGAGGCCGCAGAAGCCTAGAAAGACATCAGCTGAAGAAAGCAGGATTTTCACTCAGATTCTACCATTTGCTAAAATGGCCTCACCTCTGTTTTCATTCTGAAAAAAGAAACAGGATTCCCACTAATACTTATCTCTCACTCTCTTCCCTCACCCCCTCCCCATCCAGTCCTGTTAGCCTATATCCGGAATCCTACCACTCTCCTCCTGTCCTCTCCCTCCTGGATGGTGGCAGGAGCGCCTCCTGGTCTCCCTGCTCCCCTGCCTCTCCCCTACAGCAGCAGGAGGACCCCGTTAGAACCCCAGTCTGATCACACTCCACCTTTGCTCAGAGTCCCACCCCTGCGCCTCCCCAACCCCAACTCTGACAGTCTATCTTGCTCACAATCCAAGCCAGAGTCTCTCTCAGCCCCAGCCCCCGACCTGGTCTCCTTGCCTCCCCTTCACCTCTCCTTTCCGGCTACACTGACCTCTTCTCTATGCATTGAACAAACCAAGCACTATCCTGCCTCAGGGCCTTTGCACTTGCTGTACCCTCTGCCTGGAGGACCCTTCCTGAAGATAGACCCGCATCACTCACTCACTCACCTCACTCAGGTCTCTGCTCCAATGTCACCTAAACAATGAGGCCTCATCTGGCTCCTTCTTCCAGCTCTGTATAAAAGGCCACACTCCCACCATGTCCCCAGTGTATTAAACATGTCTTTTTTTCTGTACTCTGATGCTCTGTGGTCTGGGACCTTGCTGACCCTGGAGGGACTGCCCCTCCCAGAGTTGGCCAATTCCTAGAGATAGTAAACAACTTGCCTGGAATGCACCTTTCCTATGCAAGCCACAGAACCCGGAACGCACACCCCAGCCACCTCCTTTACTGAGCTCTCAGACTCCAGGCCACTGTCCACCTGGCCTAAGCACTCCAAGGCCAGGTACCAGACAGCTAAAGGAAGCCCTCATGCCCAGAACCTGCTGAAATTAGTCAAATCAGCCAACCCTAAACCTGCTCACCCTGTCCCGTGCCCATTCCTCTCCACAGAAACCACTGTAAACACTCTTGCCCATACTCTCCCCACCTCCTAACTGGCCTTGGTGTGCCCCTGTGTGTCTCAGCTCCATGGTGTGGCATGCCACCCTCCTCTTGGGAACTGTGAGTAGCAAACTATCTTTTCAATAGCAGTCCTCACCAGATATGTTAGCCTCACCAAACCTGAATGAAACCAAACCTAAATTTTAAAACACCCAGCCCCCTTACCCTACTTTATCCTTTTCTAAAATCCGTATTATCAACTGACACATTAAATACATATTTGCGGCCAGGCGCAGTGGCTCACGCCTGTAATCCCAGCAGTTTGGGAGGCCGAGGCGGGCAGATCAGTCGAGGCCAGGAGTTCAAGACCAGCCTGGCCAATATGGTGAAACCCATCTCTACTAAAAATACAAAAATTAGCCAGGCATGGTGAGGTGCACCTGTAGTCCCAGCTACTCGGGAGGCGGAGGCAGGAGAATCGCTTGAACCTGGGAGGCAGAGGTTGTAGTGAGCAGAGATTGCACCACTACGCTCCAGCCTGGGCGACAGAGCGAGACTCCATCTCAAAATGTAAATACACAAAATAAATAAATAAATACCTATTTGTTTTTGGTTTCCTCTCCTCAATTGATGATCAGCTCCATGGTCGGCTTATAGTTGGTGCTCAATAAATATTTGCAGGATAAGTGAATCTGTGAATCCCTTACTTCTGTCCAGAGCACTCCAAAATACTTACATGCATCAGCCATATTTGTTCACATATACGGTGGCATGAATTTTATTAAGATCCATGCCTATTTACAGATGCCACAATTATGGCAGGCAAACAACTCCTCCCCCAACAGATCACCTAATGATTTCTGCTGGGAAACAGCCTCCAACGTGTGAGGTTAGTCCTCCATCAACATTCTTGTATTTTGAATCAAATGTATGAAAAGATACAGCGGGACTTGTGTTTGCAATCACAAAACACAGCCTGAAAGATTTCTTATTTCTTTTCAGAAAGGAGTGTGCCTTTCACCCAAATGACCTGTAAAAGTCCAAGCTCAATTTGTTGAAATAAATGTAAAACCACCAACTGGTCTTGTTTAAAAAAAAAAAAAAAAAGCAAAAATGCCAGGACTATCTCCTGGGTCTGTGTTATTTGGTAGCTGTCGTTATTCTACCACATTTGTAATTGAGACTCAACAAAGTAGTAACAAGTCCATTTAACAGGGGGCCAGAATGGCTGCTAAATGTACGGAGGCTGCTTCTCCATCAAGATGATTAAATGGGAAATGCCTCACCTTAGAAGCTCAGGGGTCTTTTGCAATTGCCATAAAAATTACTCAGCAGTGGCACTCAACCACCCTGTCTGGAGACTGTCATGGGGAAGGGAGGGGAGGCAGTGGAAATAAAGCGAGACCTTTGTTCTGTTGCCCTCTGCTATTGAATCTCATCCCATCCAAGCTGCTGGGCTGTGGTTGGCTTTCAACAGAGACTAAATTGGGAGGTTCAGCTGAAAGCAAATCTCTGATTGATAGTCTTCCAGGAAAGACTTCCAGTAGACCTATCAGCCTCCTCCACAAGCCCAAAGCAACAGCTGGTGTTTGCCCAGAATCTCGGGGCAGGGTCTGGGAGAGCGATGAGTGTGTCTCTGCAGGAGGACCTGCCCATCTCTCCTACGCAATTCTCACATACTCACCTGCAGGAACCAGGGAAAGATCTAGAGGGGAAACAAGTAAAACCCCTTATGTCTGCAGAATTGTTATCTGCACTGGGACTTCTGGATACCCTGGTGCTTGGAGGGCAGACTCTGCTGGCTGCCTGCAAGAAACCTGTTCACCCTTCTTCCCCACAAACAGGCCCTTCGTTTGTCCCAGGTTTCAGTGTGCTCAGTCCCAGCGTTTATGCCAACTGAGGTAATCCCATTCCCTTTACCAGTGAGTCATCAGGGATGAGAAGTGACCCAGTCTCGGCTAATAAGACCTTAGAGGAAGCTGGCCTGAGATCACTAGGTGCTGGGGAAACTTTCCCTCTGTAAACAGCAAGCCTTTGCACCCCTTTCTGCCTTGGGTGCTTTTGAGAGAGGACAAGGGTCGAAGAAGCTGTGGGGACCCTGCCCGGTGCACCCAGCAGCCCCCTTCTGTGTTGTCATAACTCCCAGCAGCCTCTTCTCTGACAGGAACCAAAGCATCCAGAGATGCCTGGGATGTCAAGTCCCCACCTCACCAGGGCAGCTCATGGCAATGACTGATGGCCACAGGGGGGCAAGTCTTCAGACCCCGCCTCAAGGTGGAGCTTAGTCTGCAACTCTGATCACACTTGGTGCTCCCTGGGGATGAGGCTCCAGCGAAGCTCCCGCTGAGACCACATCTTTGCTTCACTTCTTCCCCTGCCCCATCCTGCCTCCCTCCTCCTTTACAGGATTCTCCTAAGAGCACTCCCTCAATTCACAGCATTCACTTGAATCCTCACCTAACATGCACATGAAACCCCACCCCACCCAAATCCCCAGCTAGGGGATTTGCAGAGAGTCTGACCCAAGATGACAAGAGCTGTATCTGGATAGTCACACTTGTGACTGGAGACAGCCAGTGGGAGGAAGGAAACCTAACATGCTAAGGGTGGTGGATCTGAGGATGCAAAGAGCCTACTGGGTCCGTGAAGATAGCATTGAGCTGCTGAACTCACCCAGATACTGCCCACCTCCAGACAATGCTTGTCTCTAGGATTTTAGCTACTGCTAATGAGGGAGACCAACTACCTTAGTTTGCCCAGGACTAAGAGAGTTTCCCAGGATGCTTCATCTCACATTTAATATTTCACGTGAAAATTAGAAAAGGCATACAAAAACCAGGATGAGTTGCTCACCCTACTGCTAGTCAGGCATTCTCCGCTTGTAGCCAGAGGCATAGCCAGATGATGTGAGTATGACCCCCATTTTATAGCCGGAGAAAGGCAGACACAAGAAGCCAAGTGAGCTGAGCACCAAGGATTGCAGTGGCTCCCACCCACAATCCCAGCACTTTGGGAGGTGGAGGCAGGCGGATCGCTTGAGGCCTGGAGTTTGAGACCAGCCTGGGCAACATGGCAAAACCCTGTCTCTACAAAAAATATAAAAAGGAGCCAGGTGTGGTGGTGTGCACCTGTAGTCCCAGCTCTTGGGGAGGCTGAGGCGGGAGGATCACCTGAGCCCAGGGAGGTCGAGGCTGCAGTGAGCCTTATTGCACCACTGCACTCTAGCGTGGGCAAGAGTGAGACACTGTCTCAAAAAAAAAAAAAAAAAAAAAAAGAAGCAAAGTGTTGTTATGCAACTACATAGCCAGTTAGAGGCTGGAATTCGTAATCCAATCTTTTGACCAATCCAGGGCTCTTTGTACAACAACACTCATTTCATGAAGGAGGAGCTATTAGGCCCAGGCACAACACTGACTACCAACTTTAGTGGGTGCTGTATTTGCTCTCCCCAGCATCCATTTCCTGAGTATCTGGTGATGGGCACTGTGACGGAAACTCTAGTGGCCCATCCAACCATCCACTTCCCCCTTTCTCCTTAGTAACAGAGCCCCAGTTTTATCCAGGCACACTGCCACTGGTAATAAAGACTGTACTTTCCAGTCTCCTTTACAACAAGGTGTGTACAGATGAATAAGTCCTGGCCAGGAATTTGTAAGCAAAGTCTCGCAGGGAACTTTGAGAAGCCTCCTTAGAGGAGATGGCCCTTTTTTTTCTTCCTGTTACTGGAACATAGATGTGATTGCTGGATCTCCAATAGCCCTCTTGGACCATTCATTAGGTGACCACAAGGATAAAAGACAAGGACTGAGGGTGGGAGAACAGAAAGATGGGAGCCTGGGTCCTTGAGGACACTTTAGAGCTACCAGTCTTAGACTCCTTCCTCAAAATGGGTGTGGGGATTTTTATAGGCCCAAACAGCAAAGACTCTCTCTCTCTTCCTCTGGGAATACAGAGTCAAGGAATAGAGAGAAAAAAACTAGGTTCTAATGACAACGATAAGTCCCTAGATCCAGCAGTTCCTGAAGACATCCCTTTTCTTGAACTGTTTAGTCATGTTATCTGATAAATTCTCTTTTTACTTAAATTAGTGGGGTTGGGTTTCTGTAATTTTTACTGGCTGATACATACCCAAATCCAAATTAGAAGTCCAGGCAGCGTCCTGTGAACTTCAGCATTTTGCCTTCTGGCCTATCGACACCCTTTACAATAACAGTGTCTTAAACCTGGACTTAGCAGTCTCATCGGCCAAGCACATGGGTCTTTAGGCAGAGACAATCCACAAAATTTTCTTAATTTCGTGGTTTGCTTTCAAGACAGAATAAATTGAGAGATCCAGCAGTCACATCCGTGTTCCAGTAACAGGAAGAACAGAGAAGGGCCCTCTCTCCCACTTGAAGGAGCCACACTGAACAGCCACATACTATTATGTGAGTGGGACAAGCTAGAGCAGCAGAAAGTACGACAAGTGCTGGGACAAACAGAAGGAACGTGGGCTTTGGAGCCAGAGAACTTCAAATTTGATTCCTTGACAAGCCACTGCCTTGCGGTGTGACCCTGGGCAAGTTATTGAACCTCCCTGAACTTCTAGTTCATCCTCTTTAAAAAGGGAACAATAACATCCTCCCTGTTGGAGTGATGTGAAGATTACATGAAACAAAGCAGTACAGAAAGCACCAAGTATCTGGGCCATAGTAAGTGCTCAATAAATAGTAACTATTGTTAATAACGTCACACAAGAACTCAACAGCAACAATGAAAAGGGTCTGTTCAATTAATAGCATACGTAAGATAATGGAATATGCTTTAGCCTTATTTTGTATAACATTTCAAGGGACTTTCACACATTCCTCATTTGCCTGCAAGGCGCGGCTAATTACAAATGCATTCTCACACTTCGCTACAACAGACTTGGCAGCACCACAATTCGGAGATCTTTTCATTAGCAGTTAGGTAATGAATGTGGGGGAACTGCACTGTTGTACAATTACTCGGCATACAGATTGCATCCCTGCTTTCTCCCACCGTGGCTGCCAGAATCCCTGAGCCAGGTGGACGAGTGGCTTCCACTCTGCTGCCAGCCAGCACTGAGTGGTATGATGCACTGGAGCCCGTGCCTGGATCCTGCTTCTACCACACACTAGCTGGGTGGCCTTGAGCTAGTTACTTAACTTCTCTGAGCATTGTTTTTCTCATCTGGAAAATGGAGATGATCACTTTCCTCTGAGGGCTGCGTGAGGATGGAGAGAGAAGTAAATGAGATATGCAGCAAGGTGCCTGGCAAAGAGGATAAATACAGCAATGGTTTTTGTTTTGTTTTGTTTCTTTCCTAAAGCCATTATATTCAGCAGAACTATGTTTCCACATAGCAGAAAATCCAACTGGCTTCTGTACCAAAAAAACACTGGTGAGGGGGGTGGTTGGAGAGAGGTTATCTACAGGTTCACATAGCTGAAAAGCCCAAAGGTCCTGCCAGCTTCAGGGGCAGCTACACTGTGTCATGAGAAGTCAGTTTCTCTCCATCTCACAACTTCTGCCATGTTGGCTCCACCCTTGAGTTCCCTGTGGCGATTCTTGGCAGTTCAAGACTCTCCCCTCATGCTGACAACAGGGCTGCAGCAACCCAGCCTCTCATCTTCTCAAGTTCAAGTTCAATGGGAAAGCACAAGGTATCATTTGGGTAGCTCCTACCTAAGTCCTGGGACTCACTGTGATTGGAGCAGTTTAGACCGTGTGCCCATCCCTGAGCCAATCAGTGAGGCTATGAGAAGGCAGTGCTCTGATTGGCCAGGCCTTGGCCTATTGTCTGAAAGCGGATGAGGGATGAAAACAGTAGAGACCTAGGGGGTGTTCCTCTAGCGCCCTCTACTGAGAAAACTTAACACTGCACTCACTGTAAAGGAATGACGCTTAAAAGGAACTCCGCCCATTACGCAAAGCAGATATTGAAGGGTGACTTTGGAGCTGAGAGGCAATAAATTGATAGCTGACACACACCGTCAAGCCTGGCACTGTTGAGGCATCTGCCTGGTCAGGAGCTGCAGTCAGAGAGAAACTCACAGCTGCAGCCCAGAGCAGGGAGAGAACAGGGAGTAAATTTCCCAGCACCCATCTGCTGCTGGTATCTCCCGTTGCAAACTGAACCAGAAGGCCAAAGGCAGGGCCGAAGCCGGAAGGCAGGGCCCTTGAGTGATGCAATCCCTAAAGTCGGTCTCTCAGGGTAGAGAATGGGTCGGGGGAACAAACAGGTAATATCCAGCTCTGTAGGTACAATCATTATTCCTATTTCACAGAGGCGGCCCAGATAGGATGAGAAACTTGCCAAAGCCACAGCTGACCCAGTTCCACCATGGCTGAGCCGCCCAGTCCTGGAGCCATCCTTCCCAAGCAGCAGTGGGAGGGAGCAGGCCTGGAGGCAGTGCTCCTGCTCTCCAAAAGAACATTCCTAGAAGCTCAAATGCCAACATTGTCCCTTCCGGCAATTTCGACAAACCTGCCTCTACTTGCTCAGGAGAGAATGGGGTGGGGAGAAGTGAAGTGAGTTTTTATTTCAATCTCTTTCCAGCTGGTTGCACAGCAAGAGTTTTCCTCTTCCCTGGGACTGTCTTTCATTTGCACATTGACCAGGTTGCTGCGAGGTGAAAAGAAAGTGAGATAAAAGGAGAAGCAAAAAATGCAAAATGCAAACACATGGTACCCAAGCAGGAGGGACCAAGCAATTGAAAAACAAACTAAATAGCACCTGTGATGGGTGCTGTCTGCATGTGGTGTGTGTGGATTTTTCTTTTAATTTTTTTAAATAACTAGTGTGAGAGAATGTGTGTGGATTTTAAACAAAAATACATTCAGCAGCTGATTTTCACTGCAAGCCTGAGTCCTGGACAGTTCAGTGGAGGGAAAGCTGGCTTGTATTTGCCTTAGGAAATACAGATGTGCTTTTGGGGTGGTCACAACTTCTCTCTCCTAGTTATGGCCGGAAGTAGCTGGTTTGCAATGAGCCTGAGGGTGCTGTCAACTCTTGCTACTCAAATTGTGACCATGGACCAGCGACACCTATGCTACCTGGAAGCTTATTAAAAATGCAGATTCGGCTGAACACAGTGGCTCACGCCTGTAATCTCAGCACTTTGGGAGACCAAGGTAGGAGGATGACTTGAGGCCAGGAGTTCGAGACCAGCCTGGGCAACAGAGTGAAACCCCGTCTCTAAAATAATAATAATTAATTAATTAATTTAGTTTAAAGACAGAAATGTGGCCGGGCATGGTGGCTCACACCTGTAATCCCAGCACTTTGGGAGGCCGAGGGGGGCGGATCACAAGGTCAGGAGATCTAGACCACCCTGGTTAACACGGTGAAACCCCGTCTCTACTAAAAAAAATAAAAATACAAAAAATTAGCCCGGCGTGGCAGCGTGCGCCTGTAGTCCCAGCTACTCCGGAGGCTGAGGCAGGAGGATGCCATGAACCCGAGAGGCGGAGCTTGCAGTGAGCTGAGATCGCGCTGCTGCACTCCAGCCTAGGCGACAGAGTGAGACTCTGTCTCAAAAAAAAAAAAAAAAAACACAGAAATGCAGACTCTTAGTCCCCACCCCAGACCTGAGGGATGAGAGTCTGCATTTCCATAAGAATCCAGGTGATTGGTGCACACAGCGACATTTGAAAAGCTAGTATAAATCCACACTGGTGGGACCAGGAGCTGGCTGAGAGTAAGGTAAGGGAAGCTGAGTTTTTACTAGGATGACCAACCATTCTGGTTTTCCCAGGACATTCTTAGTTTTAGCACTCAACATCCTGTGCAAACCAGGATGATTGGTCATCCCTGCTACTGACCCAACCACCTCTGCCAGCTTCTGGGGCCCTGGTGCCTAAAATTCCCAGTGAGAAGACCCTGGCTCCCCGACTGACTAAGGCCTAACAGTCGGCTGGGTGTGGTGGCTCACACCTGTAATCCCAACACTTTGGGAGGCTGAGGTGGGAGGATTGCTTTGTTAGGAAAGTAAGAGCATAACAGGGCCAGAGTAACACCATTTTAAGTTCCGCTCCATTTGAGACTAGCAAAGCACATTCCTTGCTGGTCACCACCCATAGTCATGGGATGTTTATAGTAGAGGGAACAACTAAAGCTGCCTGCAAGGACATGCCCCTATAACAACAGAGAATCCAAATGTCCCAATACCCATAACAATATATGTTTTCTAAATAATAATAGTTATGCTTTGATGTACCCACCCAAAAATGTCAAGGATAGTTTCCTTTAACTCAATAGAATAATAAATTTTGTCATGCTGTCTGCTCACCCGCATGCAGGCATAGCTTAGTTTAGTCTTTGCATAAACAAGACCTCTATATAAGCAAAGCTTAGGCTGGGCATGGTGGCTCATGCCTGTAATCCTAGCACTCTGGGAGGCTGAGGCAGGACGATCACCTGAGGTCAGGAGTTCGAGACCAACATGGTGAAACCCCGTCTCTACTAAAAATACAAAAATTAGCCAGACGTGGTGGCATGCACCTGTAATCCCAGCACTTTGGGAGGCCTAGGCGGGTGGATCACGAGGTCAGGAGATCGAGACCATCCTGGCTAACACGGTGAAACCCTGTCTCTACTAAAAATACAAAAATTAGCCGGGCGTGGTGGCACACACCTCTAATCTCAGCTACTTGGGAGGCTGAGGCAGGAGAATGGCGTGAACCTCGGAGGTGGAACTTGCAGTGAGCTGAGATCGCGCCACTGCACTCCAGCCTGGGTGATAGAGTGAGACTCCGTCACAAAAAAAAAAAAAAAAAAAAGAGAGAGAGAGAGCAAAAAAGAAAGAAAGAAGAAAGAAAGAAAGAAAGAAAAAGAAAGAAAGAAAGAAAAAGAAAGAAAGAAAGAAGAAAGAAAGGAAGAAAGAAAAAAGGAAGGAAGGAAGGAGAGAGAAAGAAAGAAAGAAAGAAAGAAAGAAAGAAAGAAAGAAAGAAAGAAAGAAAGAAAGAAAGAAAGAAAGAAAAGCAAAGATGATGCATTCCTCTGCTTGCTTTCTGAGGACACCCTACTCTGTAACAGAGTAGCTTTCAGTAAACTCTTCCTCTCACTGCACTCTCCGACTCCCCTTGAATTCCTTCCTGTGCAAGATCCAAGAACTCTTCATTGGGGTCTGGATCAAGACTTCTTTGTCCAGTAACAGCTTGAGCCCAGGAGTTTGAGACCATCCTGGGCAACATAATGAAAACTCCTCTCTACAAATAATAAAAACAATTAGTCGGGCGTGGTGACATCTGTGGTCCCAGCTACTCAAGAGGCTGAAGTAGGAGGATGGCTTGATCTCAGGAGGTCGAGGTTGCAGTGAGCCATGGTCACACCCCTGCACTGCAGGCTGACCCTGTCTCAAAAAAATAAAAATAAAAAACATAAAGTCTAAGAGGTGTAGGGAGGCCTTGAGTTCTCTGTGGCTTGGTCCCAGCTCCCCTCCCCAGCCTCCTCCTTCTCTGCCTCTCCCTTCTCTCTTGGAAGCTCCGGGCACACAGTGGGTTTGCAATCAGCACATGAGCATGCTGAGGCAGGGAGGCCCGATCCGGAGAAGCTGCTGCTGATGGTATCGTGGTTCATGTCTAAACCTTCCAGGGTCTCTTGCTGACAGACTTGTGCACATCCTGAGGTTCCTCTGGAATGCTCTTCCCTGCCTCCTCCTGACTCCCTACTGTGCTGGCAACCCCACTCTGCACAACCGCCACTCTCCTGATGCCCACCTTGTGCCCTGCTCAGTACACACTTGCAAAGACCCACAGCCAATCCAGTGAGTGAATAGCATGCAATCAGAGGACTCATCAAACTCAGCTACCCTAAGACTTTCTTAAGCTCCCCAGTGGTTCTCAGCCCTGCTCAGGCTAGAATTTTCTGAGGGCTTTTAAAATTTATGAATGCCTGGGCCCTGATACCAGAGATTCTGGTCAAGAACCACAGAGCAGAACCCTCTGAATCCGCCAGGCGTTTCTCACCCACCCCACATTGACCCCAAAGGTCTCAGGGAACTGGGGCGGTGCAGGGGGAGGGGGATGGTTCGGAAACTCAAATGTAAAGCCACTGGGCCCACACTGGCAACCCGCATGTGTGAATCGAAGGCTATCAGGAAATAGAGGCTGCCGGGGCTGGAGCCCAAAGGCTGTCAACATGGCAGCCTAAGCAATGTATGTTCAAAGGACAGCAATGCAGGTGGCTAAGAAAGAGCTGCATCACCTTTCGGAGCCTCAGTTTCCTCCTCTGTAAAATGGGCATGCAAATGATAATGCCCACCTCAGCCGGGTGCGGCGGCTCACACCTGTAATCCCAGCACTTTGGGAGGCCGAGGCGGGCGGATCACTTAAGGTTGGGAGTTCGAAACCAGCCTGACCAACGGGGATAAACCCCATCTCTACTAAAAATACAAAATTAGCCAGGCGTGGTGGTGCATGCCTGTAATCCCAGTTACTCAGGAGGTTGAGGCAGGAGAATCACTTGAACCCGGGAGTCAGAAGTTGCGGTGAGCCAAGATCACGCCATTGCACTCCAGCCTGGACAACAAGACCGAAACTCCATCTCAAAAAAAAAAAAAAAAAAAAAAAAAGTGAACCCCTCGCAGCACCAGGCCTGTATTCCCACTGGCTCAGCTGATGGGCACGGGCTGTCCCTTGACTCACTGTCCCAGCAGCTAGGGGCAGTCCCCGTCACTGCCTGCTCTCCAGCCAGTGTGTCTTTTGTAGCTGCTTAGGGCTGTGATCCTTCTTACAGTAGAAAAACCTTCCTCTATTCTTATGGTTCTAACCCAAAGTGAGAAAATGAAAGTCATTGGAGAGAGCATGTGTTTCTTTACCCCACACCTTCTTAATTCATTTACATTCCCTGTGTGACCCCTGGTTTATATGACAGAAGGAAAGAGGAGTTTCCTTGTAAATGCAAAAAAAAAAAAAAAAAAAAAGCCTTAGAGTTCCTTGGGCCACAACACATGCTATATGCATGTTCATTCACTTCCCTGCTTTAGAGCTCATGTATGCCCAGACTGGTTAATGTGCCAGAAACAGGCATTCCTATACTCCTAACTAGACTCGGGAAGCGGCTGGCTCAACCTAGATTGCAATGGCCTGGATGGCTTGGCAGAAGTAGTGTCTGTTCCTTGTCCTTCACCTCCACCTACTGGTCCTTTCAAGAACTACAACCTTGGGTCAAAACCAAGCTCTCCCCTCTGACGCTGCTTGTAAATACCCACGTTTGTACATTTCTACAAAGGAAAAAGGAAATGTTCTTTTGGACCGTCCGTATCGGCAGGAGAAAATCATTCAGGCCGCCTCTAACAGCTGGTCTATGCCATCCTTAGGCACTTGGTGGGATCTCTTCACAATAGTTTTATGGTTTCAACTTCGAATCAGAAGTCAATCCCAGCCGGACACGGTAGCTCATGCCTGTAATCCCAGCCCTTTGGGAGGCCGAGGTGGGCAGACCACATGAGGTCAGGAGTTCGAGACCAGCCTGACCAACATAGTGACACCACATCTCTACTAAAAATACAAAAATTAGCCAGGCTTGAGGGCATATGCCTGTAATCCCAGCTACTTGGGAGGCTGAGGCAGGAGAATTGCTTGAACCCGGGAGGTGGAGATTTCAGTGAGGCGAGATCACGCCATTGCACTCCAGAGCGAGACTCTGTCTCAAAAAAAAAAAAAAAAAAAAAAAAAAAAAAAAAACAGAGGTCAATCCCAAAACCTGGATCATGCAAGCATGAGAAGAATACAGCCTTTTCTCAGGTCTTCACGTGCCTGCCTGTTTCTCATTCTTCCTCAACTCAAATGTCACCTCCGCAGTAGGTTTTACCCTGGCAACCTTTTTAAAGAAGCCATCACCAGCTACCTACCCAGTCCCTCCTTACCACATCACCAGGACTGACTTCATTTGTAGCTTAAATTATTGTTTATGTGTTTTCTACCTGTTCATCACCTATTGACCCCAATAGAAAGTAAGCATCCTTCTATTTTTGGTCTAATTACATCCTCACTACCACTCTTCAGGACTAATATTATCTTTCCAAATACCCACCCCCTTTTCATGTAAACAAAATGCTTTCTTATGGCAGAAAATTGAGAGTATACATGAAAACAGCAGGGTTTTTTTTTTTTTAAGTGAAAATAACCTGCAATTCCACCAACAAAAGAATAACATTTACTGATGGGAACACTTTTAAACTTATAAAACATCACTCATAAAACAAGAATGCAGTAAAAACCTACAGTGAAAGACAATTTTTCACCTATCAGAACGGGAGAATTCATAAAGCTTTATACTTCATTGTCACCAGGGAGTAGAGAAAGAGGTCCTCTCCTGCACAATTGACACAAACTTTTTGGGACAATTTGGCAAAATTGATCCAAACATAACATGCATATGATTTCTGCCCCAGTAATTACATTTCTAGAAAATTATCCTATAGAAACTAGTGGATATATGTACAAAAATGTTTGTTGCAGCAGTTTGTAGTAGAAAAAAGCCTAGAAACTGGTTGGGATTCTTTATCTCAGGGCCACAGACTCTCAGAGGATTCATGGATAGGATTGTATTTCCGCACAGTGGTTGGTTTCCCTTGCATTGTTACGTATTTTACTTTATGGATTTAAAAACATCTTCCTGCCAGTCACAGTGGCTCACAGCACTTTGGGAGGCTGAGGCGTGAGGATCACTTGAGCCCAGGAGTTTGAGACCAGCCTGGGCAACATAGCGAGATGCTCATCTCTACAAAAAAATTAAAAAATTAGCCAGGTGTGGTGGTGTACACCTGTGGTCCCAGCTACATGGGAGGCTGAAGTGGGAGGAACAATTGAGCCCAGGAGTTCAAGGCTGCGGTGAGCTATGATCTGGCCATTTCGCTCCAGACTGAGGAACAGAGTGAAACACTGTTTTTAAAAGAAAAAAGAGGCGGGCGCGGTGGCTCACGCCTGTAATCCCAGCACTTTGGGAGGCAGAAGCGGGTGGATCACGAGGTCAAGAGATCAAGACCATCCTGGCCAACATGGTGAAACCCCGTCTCTACTAAAAATACCAAAAAAATTAGCTGGGCATGGTGGCATGTGCCTTTAGTCCCAGTTACTTGGGAGGCTGAGGCAGGAGAATCGCTTGAACCCAGGAGGTGGAAGTTGCAGTGAGCCGAGATCGTGCCACTGCACTCCAGCCTGGCAACAAAAAATAAATAAATAAATAAATAGTTTTAATACAATAAAAAATAAAAATATTTTTGGCCAGGCGCAGTGGCTCACACCTGTAATCCTAGCACTTTGGGAGGCTGAGGCAGGCAGATCACCTGTGGTCAGGGGTTCAAGACCAGCCTGGCCAATATGGTGGAACCCCATCTCTACTAAAAATACAAAAGTTAGCCAGGCATGGTGGTGGGCACCTGTAGTCCCAGCTACTCAGGAGGCTGAGGCAAGAGAATTGTTGAACGCGGGAGGCGGAGGTTGCAGTGAGCCGAGATCGCGCTCCTGCACTCCAGCCTGGGCGACAGAGCAAGATTCCATCTCAAAAAAAAAAACAAACAAACAAAAACCTTTTCTGAGCAAAGGTCCATAGGTTTCACCAGACTGCCAAAAAGGAACTAGGGCACAAAAACAGACGAAGGGCCCATTTATTAAAAGGCACCGGTTAATCTGGTTACAGTGCATGCAGACAGTGGGAGGTTAACTGAGGTGTTAAAAATGAATTCAGTTTATCTACATGTTACTGATCTGGACAATCTCAAAAGTACATTGTTAGCTGGGTGCAGTGGCTCACGCCTGTAATCCCAACACTTTGGGAGGCTGAGGCGGGCAGATCACTTGAGGCCAGGAGTTCGAGACCAGCCTGGCCAACATGATGAAACCTTGTCTCTACTAAAAATCCAAAAAAAAAAATGAGCTGAGCGTGGTGGCACATGCCTGTAATCCCAGCTACTTGGGAGGCTGAGGCACGAGAATCACTTGAACCGGGGAGGCGGAGGTTGCAGTGAGCAGAAACTGCACCACTGCACTCCCGCCTGGGTGACAGAGCGAGACCCTGTCTCAAAAAAAAAAAAAAAGGTACACTGTTAAGTGAAAAAAGCAAGGTGTAGAATGGTGTGTGGAACAGTGTGCAATGTATGCTCACATTCGTATTGAAGAGAGGGATATTTGCATATCTCTGCTTGTGTAGGCACACACCATCTTAGAAAGGAGACACAGGACTCTAGTAACCATGGCTGCTCTGGGGAAGCAAGCTGGTGGTCTAGGAGTTGGGATAGAAGGGATACTTAGTTTTTGTTTGTTTGTTTCTCACCTTATCTTATGGTACTGAGATACTTTTTACTTCTTATCTTTTTATATTGTTTGGATTTTTTTTTAACATGTACAAACATTTCTTTAAAGTTCAACTTGGTATATCTTAAAAAACTAAAAAATAGAAACAGAAAAAATAAAGTTCAACTTGGAAAGTTTAAATAAATCTGAAGTGTAATCCTTGAAGCCACAACATTTAGTAGACTCTCATTACATTTGTTGAAGAAAAAAGAAATACATGACGAATCAAGTGACTACATAATTGCTTTCTAAAAAAAGTTATACTAGGTCAAGTTCAGAGTCCTCCCTGCTCAGAATTCCCTCCCAGGTAGACAGAGCACTGCCAGTCTCTGCGCTGTCCTGTGGACACCCACTGTGGATTCCACAACACACGCCTTCTTCCTGTCGGCCTTGAACTTTTGTGTTGCACTGTCTAAATAGCTGGACCTCTAATAAGAAAAAATGTGATCCTGTCTACTTTTTTAAAAAGGTTAGCCTGATGTGCACACCTATAATCCCAGCTACTGGAGCCTGGCATAGGAAGATCACTTAAGCCCAGGAGTTTGAGGCTGCAGTGAGCTATGATCAGACCACTGCACTCCAGCCTGGGCAACAGGCTGTCTCTTTAAAAAAAACATGGCGGGGAGTATTTGCCGGGCACGGTGGCTCACACCTGTAATCCCAGCACTCTAAGAGGCCGAGAGTGGATCACCTGAGGTCAGGAGTTCAAGACCAGCCTGGCCAACATAGTGAAACCCCATCTCTACTAAAAATACAAAAATTAGCCAGGCGTCGGCCGCCACACTGTCTGGGAAGTGAGGAGCGCCTCTGCCGGGCTGTGCAACCCTCCAAGTGTGAACTGACAGCCGTGTGTGTGATCTTTCTGCCCTCCTCAAGTTTGCATTTTTCACATTAAAGTTTACTTTTTAATTAAAAAAAAAATAGCTGGGCGTGGTGGCGGGCGCCTGTAATCCCAGCTACTTGGGAGGCTGACGCAGGAGAATCAGTTGAACCCGGAAGGCAGAGGTTGCAGTGAGCCAAGATTGCACCACTGCATTCCCAGCCTAGGCAACAAGAGTGAAACTCCATCAAAAAAAAAAAAAAAGTTTTTATCTGTGGTTTAAAAAAATGACCAAAAAATTTACCATCTTAACCATTTTTAAGTGTGCAGTTCAGTAGTGTTCATACACTCACGTTGTTGTGCCATCCACCTCCAGGACTCTTCATCTTGTGTAACTGAAACTCTGTATCCATTAAACGCTAATTCTCCCCACTTCCCTAATCCCTGCAACCACCATTGTACTTTCTATCTCTGTGAATTTGACTACTCTAGGTGCCTTATGTAAGTGGAATCATTCAGTGTTTGTCCTTCTGTGACTGGATTATTTCACTTAGCATAATGTCCTCCAGGTTCATCCATGTTGTAGCTTGTGTCAGAATTTCCTTTATTTTTAAGGCTGAACAATATTCCATTATGCATATATTATACATTTTGTTTATCTATTTATCTGTCAATGGATACCAAAAAGCTGCTTCCACTTTTTGGAAACTGCAAATAATACTTCTGTAAACATGAGTGTGCAAATATCTCTCCATAATCCTATTTTCAGTCATTTTGATATATACCCAGAAGTGGACTTGCTGGAACATATGGCAATTTTACTTTGAATTTGCTGGGGAACCGCCATGCTGTTTTCCACAGCAGCCACGCATTTTACATTCCCACCCACTATGCGGCCACGCATTTTACATTCCCACCAGCGATGCACATGGGTTCCAATTCCTCCACATCCTCACCTGTTATTTTCTGTTGCTTTGATAGTATCTATCCTCATGAATGTATAATCCTGTCTACTTTTGATGGATGGGGGCATCTGAAATCTCCAAGCCTGAGGCAGCCAAATTTCGAGAAAGCATCAATAATTCAGGTTCCTCTCTGAGAAAAAGAGAAGTGAATCCCTTGTGAGGATAACTCAAAAAATAATAATATCAAAGCTGGGAGAGAAGTTACAGGTCTTCCAATTCAAGCCCTTCATTTTACAGATGGGAAAACTGAGGCCAGAGAGGAGGGGTGTTTAGCTCTGAGCACAATTTGAGCTGGGAACAAAGTGACAGCTTTCATTCCACCTCACAACACTGTGGCCCGGGTCCAAGATAAATTTGCCTCAGTATTTGACAAGAAGGTTGTTCTTTCTGTCTGAAGGCAGAGTGCCCATGTGACTAAAGACAGTATTTACAGTTGTCAGGGCAGCGGCAATGATGCAGCTGACGCCTCCGGGGCTGGGTGGGGCTCCATGGTTACAGTCAGGGTGGGGCTCTTGCTCATCCTGGTCACTGGCTGGGGCAACACTGGGGTGGGGATGGGTGGGGGGGTCTCTGTCTGAAAGTTGCTGGCACATTCAGAGCCCTGAGCAAGGACTGGTTCCAATTCCCACCTCCCTGCTGTCTGTACACTGCTGGATAGAGATCCACCTTCTTCCCCCAGACCCGGTGCCCCTCGGCAGAGAGAGGGCTACCAGGTCTTACTTATCTAAGAATCCCTGGCCCCTTGCCCCAATCCCAGCCCCAGCTCCAGGCTCTAGACATGACAGCATCTAAGAGATGCCAGGTGCATACAGCTGAGCTTAGAAAAGGCTGGCTGCACACACCTGGGAACCACAAGCCCCTCTGCTCCTCAATCCTTAGAGAGGCAACAGAGCTGAACCCTGATTCTAGAGCCTGGGTTCCAATCCCACCTCTGACACCTGCCACAGCAGGGACCGAGGCCAAGCCCAGTAACCTCTGCCTCAGTTTCTTCATCTGTAAAGCAGGGATAATAATAGTACTCACCTCATAAGCTGATCTTGTGAATTAAATGAGTTAATATTTATGCAGCTGTTAGAACTGGCTCGCAGTTCACAACAATTGCTATGGTTGCGGTGGTTGGGATGTATTTATTTTAATGTCCATTAAGGGAAAAACTAAACCAGTACAGAAAATCTAAGACTTCATAGCCATTATGCTATAAAACAAAACAGACTAAAGTTGTTTAACAACAAAAAAATGGTTTTAAAGAATGTGCCTTTTTAAAGCACAAGTGTACAGAATGACAAATGTTTTAAAGTGATCTGGCGCCCCCTCCTGGTAATGGACAGTAGCTGTCCTGCCAATCCCCCCATTCTGAAACTGCTGAGGTCAGCGCTGTCACTCACTTCCCTCCGGGGACTGACTTAGGAGAAGAGTTGGTCCCATGGGAAGATGGGATGCTCCACATGGCCCGACCTGAGAAATGCATCCCTGCCGTGCTGAAGGAGCTCACCGGTGAGCCCACCCACCTCGCTGCCACTGTTCAATAGTTAAGGAAGTGCTCAAAGCTGGAAGGCGACCCAAACTTGGCCAGCCCCGCACTGTGCCCACCCTGAAATCCCTCTCCGGTTTCCCAGCCCTGCACAGCCCTGCCACAAGCTGGTTTTCTCCCAGGAACGTCTGCAGGATTGAGGAAGCCACAGGGCCCACCGAGGAGGCCCTCCTGCTCTGGCAGGGGTGTCCTGTTGAGCCCTGCTGGCCCAGTCCCAACGGAAGGAAGGAGTGTCCTTGGCTGGACCCCTGGGCTTCACACACCGCGCCGCCCAGTCCTCAGGAAGTCCGCAGAACACAGCCCACACTTCTCACAGTGGCCTGGCCCTGCGTCCTCTAACCCTGACTTTAGCCTGTCCCCTCTCTCTCCTTTCCGGACTCCAGCCACACTGGCCCTGCCTCTTCCTCAAACGCACAGAGCTCTGTCCCACTTCGGAGCATTTGCCTTTGCCGGTGCCTCCACCTGCCTGGGCTGCCTCCACCCAGACCCCAGAGGGCTCACTCCCACCCGCATGTCTGCGCCAGGTCCCGTCTCCCTCGAGGGTCCTGTTGGTGCCAGTCCCCACCTCCCTGTGCCACTGTCCTTTCTCATTTCCTTCAAGCCGGTCCCAACAGTGCAATTGTTGTCTGTCTTTCCCGAAGTCTCGTCTATTTCTCCCACCAGCTGTGAGCTCCAAGGAAACAGGTGTCACACCTGCCCGGCTCACTCCACATCTCCAGCCCACATTGTTCCACAAATGTGTGTTGAAGAGATGAACACTAGCCTCACTTTGCACACAAGGGAACTCAGAGAAGTGAAGTGACTTAAGGACAGACAGAAGTGTCTCCGAAGGTTACACCCTTGACCTGTGCCACACAGCCCAAGTTCAGCATGGCCTCTGAGTAGGGTAGGTCACCTCCCAATGAAGTAACTTTTCCCATTTGAGGGGGTCACCACTGGCCTACGAACCCTCCCACATCACTGACTCTGGTGACATCATACAGGCGAGATTCAGTCATCGGGTCAGCTGCATATGGTGCAATCCCTCAGCCCATGATTCATTCATTCCAACTGACATTTGCAAAGAATGTGTAGACACAATATAAGTGGAACGTTTCACTCACAGGGAAGAGGAACGGGTTACTCATTCCTTTAGCCACTAAATTGGCAAATGAATTTTTACTGCCTCCGAGAGCTGGAGACAAAGGAGGGGCCTATTCTAGATGTGCTTCTAGGCATACTCAAAAACTCAGACACATCACACAGGGGTTTTTTTTAAAGAGTCATCGAATATTCCAAACCTTATTCAGACTATAAGATGGTTGCCAGAGTGATTCAATCAATCATTCCACAAATAAACAAGGAAAGCATGTACTACGTCAGATGGTGACGGAGCCATGGAGAGAAACAAAGCGGGGAAGCCCAAGAGGAGATGCGATTGTAATTGGCATGTCTTAATTTTAAATTATTTAAGTTGACCTGGCACAGTGGCTCGTGCCTGTAATCCTAGCACTTTGGGAGGCCGAGGCCAGAGGACTGCTTGAGGCCAGGAGTTCAAGACCAACTTGGCCAACACAGTGAGCCCCATCTCAAATTTAATAATAATAAAAAATAAAATAAATGAATACATGATTTAAGTTAAGTAATGAAGGAAGGCCTCCCTGAGAAAGCGACATTTGGGCAAAGTGGAAGGAACAGCCCATGCAAAGGCCCGGAGGACCATGCCTGATGTGTTGGAGGCACAGACATAAGGTGGTGGGGGCAGGGCAAGCAGGGTGGTGAGGCTGGAGAGGAAGAGGGCAGATCGGAGTCCTCTGGGCAATGTGACTTTTACCCTGAGTGAGATGAGAGCCAGCGTAGGGTGGTTTTCTGTTTGACTTTTTTCTAGAGACAAGGTCTTGCTCTGTTTTCAGGCAGAGTGCAGTGACATTCTCAGAGATTACTGCAGCCTCCAACTCCCAGGCTCAAGCAATCCTCTGGCATCAGCCCCCTGAGCAGCTGAGGCCACAGGCATGCACCACCATGCCTAGGTAATCATGTGTGTGTGTGTGTGTGTGTGTGTGTGTGTGTGTGTGTGTGTGTGTAGAGATGGGGTCTCGCTATGTTGCACAGGCTGATCTCAAACTCCTGGCCTCAAGCGGGAGTCACAGGCATGAGCCATTGCAGCAGGCCAGAAGGGGGGCATTTTCAGCACAGGCGTAAAAAGATACCCCTGAGGTGTTAACACGTTCCCTCTGGGAACAAGAGACCAGAGAGGAGGTGACTTTAACAGTTCAGCTGAGAGGTGATGGTATGTGGACCAGGTGAGTGATGAGAAGCAGGAAGATTCTGCATGTTTTGAAGGTACAGCCCATAGGGTGTTGATGGCAAACGGAATGTGGGAATAAGAAAAAGAGAGGGGCCAGGAGCAGTGGCTCATGCCTGTAATCCCAGCACTTTGGGAGGCCGAGGCGGGTGGATCACCTGAGGTCAGGAGTTCAAGACCAGCCTGGCCAACATGGTGAAACCCTGTCTCTACCAAAAATATAAAAAATTAGCCGGGCATGGTGGTGGGTGCCTGTAATCCCAGCTACTTGGGAGACTGAGGCAGGAGAATTGCTTGAACCTGTGAGACAGAGGTTGCAGCAAGCCAAGATCACGCTACTGCACACCAGCCTGGGCAACAGAGCAAGAGTGAAGAGGAAGAAGAAGAAGAAGAGGAAGAGGAAGAAGAAGAAGAGGAAGAGGAAGAAGAGGAAGAGGAAGAATAAGAAGAGGAGGAGGAGGAAGAAAGGAAGGAAGGAAAAGAAAAGAAAAAAGAAAAAGAGAGGGGTCAAGAACAATTCCAAGATTTGTGGCCTCAGCACCTGAGAGGATGGAGGCTCCACTTTTGGAGCAGGGGATGGCCGTAGGAAGAGCGGGTTTGGCAAGGTGGGCTCAGGGGAAGTTTAGTGTATCAAACCAAAATTCTGTGGACTCGAAAAGATCAAGATGATCCCAAAATTATTATTCACAGAAACCCAAACATCAGCCCAGCACCAGGGGAAACCACTCAAGCAGTCTAGAGCAGAAAGGGAAAAATGTTAAATGGGTGTGCAGAAACTCATGCTGGAACGAAAGAAGAGATAAAAACAAGCTGCTAGAGAAGAGAAAAGAATGTGCCCCAAGGACCAGAGCATTGCTGGAGGAAGGTAGCGCAGGGAGCCCTCCCTCCCTGCACACAGTCCGGGACCAAGCACAAAACCTCCTTGATTAATCAGTTCCCACTTCTGGTGCCATTAAACCAGAAAACCAGAAAGGAGGTGTCTTCTACTCTGCAGCTTCTAATGAATGCCCAGCTCCTTTGGGAAGGATCCCAATCAATAAGGAGTTGAGAACAAAAAGGGCAAAGTCCCTTAAACAGCCCAGAGTGTCTCAAAGCCTGACAGTCTCCTCTCGGCAGAAACGGTCTAAATGGCAGCTGCCTTGAACGGACGTCTCTCACATCGTACAGCGCCCGGCCCTCTAAGGTGACTAACGGTCCTGTTAACGCCTGAAGACAAACATCTCACATTGTTCAGATTAGCCCCCGCTCCTGGCGACAGCAGGCACAGTTTCTGGACAGTTTTAAATAAAAACAAGAGGGCCTGGTGCCAGAAGTGAGAACTGCAATCCCTGTCAACTGTCACTTTTGCTGACAGTGATGAGGAATGAATGGGTGGCAGCAGATGCGGCTCCTCAGACCCAGTGACCTGGGGCAGAGAAGCCCAGAGGGGACCTGGACATATCGTCAGAAGTTCCAAGATGGGACTAATCAGGAGGTGTGTGGGTGCCGTAAATCCCCAGGACAAAGAAAGATGGTCCTTCTGGGAGTGTGAAGATAAATACGGGCAAAGTTAGCAGAGTCCTCCCTTGGGGCCAGAAGCCTCTAGAATTGCATTTCTATAGGGGACATCTTTTGTTTCTAGCTGCGCAGAGTCTGCCTTGACTTCTGCACGTAAAGCCTGGATTTTATTGTGGAGAACTATGTTAATCATGTCTTTTATTATGTATTTTTGCTGCTTTGACATCTTGGGACCTTGCTGACCCAGAAAGTACATTTCCTCCCAGGGTTAGCCAGTTCCTAGAGACAGTAAACAATTGGACTGTGAACATGTGTTTCAAATACAAACCAACCAATCCAGAGCCAGCAGCACCTCCTCTACTGGGCTGTCACACTCCTAGCCACTGTGTGCCTGCCCTAAGGCCACTAACACCCTGAGCCACCGGACAACGAGGGACCAACCCCACCCCCCCCAGAGCTCACTGAAATTATTCAGATGAGCCGATCCTAAGCCTGCCTACCTGGGTCACCTATTCCTTCCCACAGCCACAGCGGGAAGCTTTCTGCCCCTGTTTTTCCCTGGAAACCTCTGCCTCCCGACCAACCATGGTACTTCCAGGTGTGGCTTCTCCATGGTGTGTCATGCCCCTTCCTCTTGGGATCTGTGTATACAACACTCTTTTCTTTCTTTCTTTTTTCTTTTCTTTTTTTTTGGAGAACGGGTCTAACTTTGTTGCCCAGGCTGGAGTGCAGTGCAGTGGTGCAATCACAGCTCACTGCAGCCTCAACCTCCCTGGCTTAAGTGATCCTCCTACCTCAGCCTCCCGAGTATCTGGGACTCCAGGTGTGCACCACCACACCTGGCTGATTTTTTTTAAGAGGCAGGGTCTTGCTATATTGTCCAGGCTGCTCTCAAACTCTTGGTCTCAAGCAATCTTCCCACTTTGGCCACAATCTTTTCTTTTTTTTTGAGACGAAGTCTTGCTCTTGTCCCCCAGTCTGGAGTGCAATGGTGCAATCTTGGCTCACTGCAACCTCTGCCTCCCAGGTTCAAGTGATTCTAATGCCTCAGCCTCCCGAGTAGCTGGGATTACAGGTGTGTACCACAACACCCAGCTAATTTTTTGTGTTTTAAGTAGAGATGGGGTTTCACCATGTTGGCCAGGCTGGTCTCGAACTCCTGACCTCAGGTGATCCGCCCGCCTCGGCCTCCCAAAGTGCTGGGATTATAGGCGTGAGCCACCATGCCCGGCAGCAACAATCTTTTCAATAACAGGGTGTCTCCTGATCTGTTGGTCTCCTCATTTCTAAATAATAATAAAACCTACATTTTAAAACAAGAACCCCCTCTCCCCAACTTGCAGGCCATGGGACTGGATGGTGCTGACCCCATTTACCCAACCCCCAGTCCAGATCCAGGGATGGGCCTATGGCTGAGGCCTGGCCAATCAGAATACCCCAGCCCTGCTCGCTACAGTGTGCCCAGTAAGAACCCATCCTGGGCCCATAGTTAGACCAGCTGGGAAAGGGTGGCTGCCAGGATGGGCTCCACTCTGCCCTGCTCTTGGCTTCATTCTCAAGCAGGCGCTCCCGGGGGGCAGCCCACAGGCCCGCTTGACTGAACAGCAACACAGTCAACTGATGTTGTTTCTCCTGCTGTGCTGAGCTGCACATTTGCAGGAATAGACTGGGAAGTTGGGTTTCATCAAGTTTGGGGTTTTGCCGAGAAACAAGGACACAGCATGAGCAAGGAAGGGATTCTAGCAGTGGGTGATGAAATCTCAGCTGGAATAGAGGAAAGTGAAAACATGGGCAGGGTGCAGAGTGCAAGTGGTGTGATGGGGGATTGTAAAGGGCAGAGTGTAGTGTGCAGGCGGTGGGATCGGGGATTGTAATGGGAATGGGCAGGGTGCAGTGAGCAGGCGGTGCGATCGGGGATTGTAATGGGCAGGGTGCAGTGTGCAGGCGGTGGGATCGGGGATTGTAATGGGCAGGGTGCAGTGTGCAGGCGGTGGGATGGGGGATTGTAACGGGCAGGGTGCAGTGTGCAGGCAGTGGGATTGGGGATTGTATGGCCCCGCGGGTCAAGACGTTGCTGGAATTAAAGCTATGGAGGGAATTCGTTGAAAGGCTAGGGGCTGGGCAAAGTGGCTCACACCTGTAATCCCAGCATTTTGGGAAACCAAGGTGGGTGGATCACCTGAAACCAGAAGTTCGAGACCGGCCTGGCCACCACGGTGAAACCCTGTCTCTACTAAAAATACAAAAATTAGTCACACACGGTGGTGGGCACTTGTAATCCCAGCTACTTGGGAGGCTGAGGCAGGAGAATCACTTGAACCCGGGAGGCAGAGGTTGCAGTGAGCCAAGATTGGGCTATTGCACTCCAGCCTGGAAGACAAGAGTGAAACTCCGGTTCAAATAAAAAGAAAAAAAAAAGGCTAGGGACAGGTAGATCCAGACTTGGAGACCCTGAAGCTTAATACTGCAAAGACCCCCTCTGGGAAAAAGGTTACAAAATTATGAATATAAGACTGAGGGAGGCTAAGGCAGGAAGATCATTTCAGCCAGGAGTTAGAGACTCCGGCCTGGATGACAGAGCAAGACCCTGTCTTAAGAAAAAAAACCTCAGTCCTGAATGTGATCCTGCTGCTAGATCTAATTACCAGTTTATAGGAAATACAGAGGACAGAAGAACATGTTAAGCTACACAGTGGAGCTGCAAAATCTGGACTGTGGGAAACGCTACAGGACAGACAGCCCCATTTCTTCAACAAACATACTGTCAAGGGAAAAGAAAAAGTGGAAGGGAAAGTCTAGAGATTAAAAGATACATAAAAGACAAAAAAAGTTAAAAAAAAGATATACAAAAGACATGTCAATCAATTGGAATGTGTGGACTTTAAATACTCATTCAAACAAACCAGGGTTTTCTTTATCCTGATATGGAGCCTATTGGAAGTTTGAGCACTGATAGGATATTTAATGTCATTAAAGAATTATTGTAGGCCAGGCTCAGTGGCTCACACCTGTAATTCCAGCACTTTGGGAGGCCAAGGTGGGAGGACTACTTTAGCCCAGGAGTTTGAGACCAGCCTGGGGAACATGGCGAGACCCCTTCTGTATAAGAAATACAAAAATTAGCCAGGCATGATGGCATGTACCAGCTACTTAGCAGGCTGAGGCAGGAGGATCTCTTGAGCTGCAGAGGTTGAGGCTGCAGTGAGCCATGTTCACACCACTGCACTCCAGAGTGGGCAATAGAGAGAGAAGCTGTCTCAAAAAATAACAAGTATTATTGTTCAATTTAAAAGTGGGTACAGGAATTGTTTTGTGATATTTGCTTTTTTTTTTTTTTTTTTAAACAGAGTCTTGCTCTGTAGCCCAGTCTAGAGTGCAGTGGTGTGGTCACGGCTCACTGCAGCCTCAGCGTCCTGGACTCAAGCAATTCTCCTGCCTCAGCCTCCCAAGAAACTGGGACCACAGGTGTGCACCACCATGCCCAGCTAATGTTTTAAAAATTTTTTTAGGGGGAGGGTCTTGCTATGTTGCCCAGGCTGGTCTCCAACTCCTGGGCTCAAGCAGTCCTCCCATCTCAGCTTCCTAATATGCTGGGATTGTAGATAAGCCATGGCACCCGTAGATAGTTGCTTTTTTAAAAAAAAATCTTGACCAGGTGCGGTGGCTCACGCCTGTAATCCCAGCACTTTGGGAAGCTGAGGTGGGCAGATCACCTGAGGTCAGGAGTTCAAGACCAGCCTGGCCAACATGGTAAAAATCTGTCTCTACTAAAAATACAAAAAATTAGCCAGGCGTGGTGCTAGACGCCTGTAATCCCAGCTACTCAGGAGGCTGAGGCAGGAGAATCACTTGAACCTGGGAGGCGGAGGTTGCAGTGAGCTGAGACTGTGCCACTGCACTCCAGCCTGGGCAAAAAGAGCAAAACTCCATCTCAAAAGAACCAAAAAACCTTATGTTTTAGAAACATTTATGGATAAAATTATGTGGCAGTCAGAATTTTAAGATGATTTCCAATTGGCCATGCCCTTGTGTGGGTGAGAATAAATAAATAAATAAAAGAAGGGCAGTAGAAAGGCTGATTAAACCAAAGATGAATTAAGATCTTTCCCTAGGAAAAATATCAACATCTTAGAAGATAGCTGGACCATATGAAGAGGCAAATAAGAGCTAAAAGACCAAAATCTTAAAGGACAACAGACTACACCCAGGTTTCTTGGCCCCTACAGGGTTATCTGAAAAAGGGAGAACACCTGACTGCTACTAGGACCCAAACAAATCCTCCAGAGGAGAAAAGGTCAGATCTTGGCAGACTGGAGCAGCCTCTGAAGATGGAGGCAAGATACGGAAAACTCTAAAAGCTGCAGAGAGAGAGAGCCCAAATAAAGAGCCAGAAGAGAACTGTCCCCTGAAGCTAGCTTGGTACTGACTGGAGAGGAGAATATCACAGTAAAATATCAAAATTATTATTGGATGATTTCCAGGTGATGATTTTTCGGGTGAGGACACAGGACTTGCCTGTGTCCAAAAGAACAGGCCTGAAAACCTTATGCAACCCCAGCTCTAATGATAGGTTCAGTAAAGATAAGACAAATCAAAGAGGAACCACAGACTGAGTCCAAGCCTGGTTCAGAAGTGGGTCTGATGGGCCAGGCGCAGTGGCTCATGCCTGTAATCCCAGCACTTTAGGAGGCCAAGGTGAGCAGATCACTTGAGCTCAAGAGTTCAAGACAAGCCTGAGCAATGTGGCAAAAGCCCATCTCTACAAAAAATACAAAAATTAGTTGAGTGTGGTGACACAAGCCTGTGGTTCCAGCTTCTCAGGAGGCTGAGGCAGGAGGATCCCTTGAGCCTAGGAGGTTGAGGCTGCAGCAAGCTGATTATGCCATTGCACTCCAGACGGCAAGACAGAATGAGACCCTGTCTCTAAAGAAATTTATTTATTTATTTATTTATTTATTTTTTGAGGCGGAGTCTCGCTCCGTCACCCAGGCTGGAGTGCAGTGGTGCGATCTTGGCTCACTGCAAGCTCTGCCTCCCGGGTTCATGCCATTCTCCTGCCTCAGCCTCCCGAGTAGCTGGGACTACAGGCACCCGCCACCACGCCCGGCTAATTTTTTTGTATTTTTAATAGAGACGGGGTTTCACCATGTTAGCCAGGAGGGTCTCAATCTCCTGACCTCGTGATCCGCCCACCTCGGCCTCCCAAAGTGCTGGGATTACGGGCGTGAGCTACCGTGCCCAGCCAAGAAATTATAAAAATTTAAAAAGTAACCTTTTCATGGGAGATTTCTCCCAATTCAGGGGTCAGGCAATTACAGGCCACCACCCATTTTTGAAACTAAAGTTTTATTGGAAATACTGCCATGCCCATCTGTCTAAGTATCGTCTATGGCCGTTTTCACAGTGTAGCAGTTGAGTTGTGTCATTGCAGCAGAGATCATATGGCTCACAAAGTTGAAAATATTTTTATTCTGGCCCTTTACAGAACAAGCATGCTGACCCCTGTTCCAACTGGATTTACATTCATGGATTGTGGACATGTGGACACAAAACACAGACTGCCTTGCATCCTGATGAAGCTGGAACCAGTATTATTTTCTGCTTTTATCTTTAGCAGTAATAAAACATGGGCCTGGATTATACCAGGAGGTGGGTTGTGGGTGTATCATTTTGCTTGTGTTAGGGGAACACGGTCTGCTCAGGGCTGAAACTGGCTTCTTCAGAAAAAGTCGTGGGCACAGGGCTAGGGCTGCTATTTCCTTCTTGCGTGATCTCTCTTTCAACCCTTTAAGAAGGCTCCTGGAGACTCATTCAGCCTTTGAGATCCTAAAGGAATCACACCTGTTTAGGGTAAACAGCTCAGGTTGCAGCTACTGAAGGGTCCTCTACCTGACCATCATAATGAGACTCCACATGGCTGAGACTGAACAGATAAGAAATCAGGGAAGATGAATTTGGACTCTAATTGTTTTGGTCTTACAGCTCATAAGGGTAAGGGGGACCAGGTATGGTGGCTCATGCCTGTCATCCCAGCACTTTTGGAGGCCGAGGCGGGTGGATCACATGAGGTCAGGAGTTCAAGACCAACTTGGCCAACATGGTGAAAACCCCGTCTCTACTAAAAATACAAAAAAAATTAGCCAGGCAAGGTAGCACATGCCTGTAATCCCAATACTTGGGAAGCTGAGATAGGAGAATCGCTTGAACCCAGGGGGCAGATGTTGCAGTGAGCTGAGATTGTGCCATTGCACTCCAGCCTGGGCAACAAGAGCAAAACTCCATCTCAAAAAAAAGGCGGGGGGGAGGTGGGCAAGAGTATTTGAGTTCAGCCTTTAATTCCTTTGGACTTCAATTGTGCCTTTGGTTACAAGGAATCTTTGGATATTAATTTGTCCCAGGGAATATAATGAAGACTTTATATTCAAATATGAAATATACTGTTGGCTTTTATTATGAGAGTATATTTAATCTCATTACCAAACCTCTGATGAGCCACACTGGACAACAAAGCTGCACATAATTTGAGATGGGAAAGAAATAGGGAATTAATTGTCAGTGAAGAGTAGCCTTTGGGTTGATTTAATGAGCATGCCTTTCCAAGCCCACTGCTGGGCCACTCTGTCTAGGAGTTTCCACAAGGAGCACTGGCTGGTATTGGAGTTCAAGAAGGCAAAGCCAGGAATGGCTTCAGAGACCACTATCGCCCCATGGAGGCAACCCACCCTTGGGTGTCCAAAGGCCTAATAGTTATACCTAATGGGTCAAGAGAACCAATGCTGGAAGGGAGATTGTGGAAGGACACCTATTTCCCATTCTTTCTGTTTCCTTGGAGAGGCACTTCCATTAAAACAGCAGTCAACTCCAATGTGGCTGCACACTGGGCTCATCTGGAATCATGGGGTCACCTGATTTAGCAACAATAAATATAAGACACCCAGTAAAATGGGCATTTCAGGTAAACAGCAAATATGTTTTTAATGTAAGTATCTCCCATGCAATCTTTGGGAAATACTTGCATCAAGAAAAAAAAAAGATGTTGTTTATCTGAAATGCACATTTAACTGGGCATTCTGTAGTTTATCTGACAACCTTGGGAGGGGGAACTCTTTAAAAAATAATAATAATACCAATGAGGCTAGCCACAGTTGCTGGCTCATACCTGTTACCCCAGCACTTTGGGAGGCCAAGGTGGGAGGATGGCTTGAGCCTAGGAGTTCAAGACCAGCTTGGGCAATATAGTGAGACCTCGTCTCTACAGAAAACAATTTTTTGAAAGTAGCTGAGCGTGGTAGGAGGTGCCTGTAGTCTCAGCTACTCAGGAGGCTGCAGTGGGAGAATTGCTTGAACCCAGGAGGTTGAGGCTGCAGTGAGCTATGATTGTGCCACTGCACTCCAGCATGGGCAACAGAGGGAGACAGTGTCTCAAAGAATAAAAAATAAATAAACTTTTAAATACCAACGTTTGACCCCTGAGATTCTGGCTTCATTGGGCTGGAATGCTGCCTGAGCAACAGGACTATTCAAAGCACCCCAAGCGGCGGGGCGCAGTGGCTCATGCCTGTAATCCCAGCAGGCTGAGGTGGGTGGATCACCAGAGGTCACGAGTTTGAGACCAGCCTGGCCAACATGGTGAAGCCCCGTCTCTAGTAAAAAGACAAAAATTAGCCGAGGATGGTGGCGCAGGCCTGTAGTTTGAGACCAGCCTGGCCAACATGGTGAAGCCCCATCTCTACTAAAAAGACAAAAATTGGCTGAGGATGGTGGTGCATGCCTGTAATCCCAGCTACTTGGGAGGCTGAGGCAGGAGAATTGCTTGAACCCGGGAGGTGGAGGTTGCAGTGAGCCAAGATCGTACTACTGCACTCCAGCCTGGGCGACAAAAGTGAAACTCTATCTCAAAAAAAAAGTGCCCCAAGCCATTTTACTCTGCAGCTGAGGTGGAGTGGAGAGTGCTGCCCCAGAGTAAGTCCTGGTGTCTCTCTGTCTTGCTCCACCTTCCCACGCCCATCCAGGAAGGATGACTGATGTGGCCAGCTGGAGAGTTTGAGAGAAGGAACTGGGCATATGTGCTCTGCCTTGCCTCTTGCCTCTTTTTAAGATTGGCCTGGGGGTGGGGGGTTGTCTGCTGAGCAGCAGGGCGGCTCTGTCCCTCTGGTGGACCTGCAGACTGGGACAGTATGTGTGTGGGAAAGGGTGGGACAGCATGTTAGCAAGACTGGCCATACCTAAACATAGTCCCCAAATATTAGGTTGGTGCAAAAGTAATCGTGGTTCTTTCCATTACTTGTTTTTTTGTTATGTTTTGTTTTGTTTGTGTGTTTGTTTTTGACACAGAGTCTCACTCTGTCGCCTAGGCTGGAGTGCAGTGGCGCCATCTCAGCTCACTGCAACCTCCGCCTCCTGGGTTGAAGAGATTCTCCTGCTTCAGCCTCCAGAGAATCTGGGATTGTAGGCACCTACCACCACACCCCAACTAATTTTTGTATTTTTAGTAGAGACAGGGTTTCACCATGTTGGCTAGGCTGGTCTTGAACTCCTGGCCTCAAGTGATCCACCCGCCTTCGCCTCCCAAAGTGCTGGGATTACAGGCATGAGCTACCGCACCTGGCCCGTGTTTTTGCCATTACTTTTAATGACAAAACCACAATTACTTTTGCACCAACCTAATAGCTTTCTTACTCATAAAGGTGGAATTTTCATCGTCTTCCTAACTCAAGCATCTCTTTCTCACTTGGTTCTGAACCTCAGTATGAAAGAAAAGGATGCGAAGCATTGGCCCTCTAAAATCCCAACATCTGCTACCTCCTTTTCCTTTTTTTGGCTTGGCTAATTCGCTCGCATTCTTCACGTCTCAGCTCAAAGGTCCTTTTCTCCAAGAGGCCTTCCCCAGACAAAGCAAGCCCCCCGGCAGTATGTATGCTTTCATAAAACCCTCAGAATTTCTTTTTTCTTTCTGGCCTACATTGAAACTGTCATTGATAAAAGCAGAATATCTCAACCTCGACACAATTGACGTTGGGGGTCCAGATGATTCTTTGCGATGGGGGCTGTCCTGGACATTGTAGGATGTTTATCAGCATCCCTGGCCTCTCCCTGCTGGATGCCAGTAGCACCTCCCCTCCCCCCGCAGTTGTGACAATCAAAATGTCTCCAGACATGGCGGAGTGCCCTACACTATATTATTGAGTTCAAGGCCAGCTGCATGAGTGCACGGCGTGTGCAGTCACAGGGCCGCATGCTCAGAGGGCCTTGTGCTTGGTTGAATGCTCCGCTGTCATCATGATATTCTTTTTGTTTGGTTGGTTTTGGTGCAAATTTAATTTTATTAAAGCAGCCTTGATGACAGCTTGATTTTAGGACTTCGACTTCCAGAACTGTAAGACAATAAAGGAGTGTTGTGACATATCATTTTCAACTGTGTGACAATTTATTGGCTGGCAATGAAATTATTAGTAGTTTTTGAACAGGGAACCTACAAATTATGTCGCTAGTTCTCACTGTGTACCTCGTTTTTTAACACTACTCTCCTCATTTCAAAGCAACGATGGGGGCTTTGGAGGAGCAAAGAATGTGTCTACCTTATTCACAGTGCTGTCTTCCCGGTGCTGGTGAAGAGAAGGTGCTCAAAAATATTTGAGGAAGGCAGGGAGTGATGGAGAAGCTCAATTTAGGCCCTGCAGCTACCCCTGGCTGAGAAACAGAAGGAAAGAATCACCTCGGTCCACTGGCATAAGCTGCTCTATTCATCAGCGAAGCCTTCCTTCCCGAGGCTGCAGGAACATTCTTCCAAACTCTTCAAGCGTGTCAAATGGCAAGTGTCCCCTGTGTGGTCTGTGGGTCTCTCCCTCGGCTCTCCATATGCCATGTCAGCTGGGCCAAGCAGAAATCCCCAGATGTAATAAGATAAGGCCGGGTGAAAGCCTTAACACTGAATTTCTGAGCTCGGCTCATTCAAGGCAGCCTTTCACTTTGCATTAATTCTGGCCAATTTAGCTTGTCCTCCCATCTGAAAATCAGTCTACCAGGATGCAATTCTCATAGCCAGGGGAGCTAAGGTCAGCTAGGCAAGTATCTCTGGCAGCAGGAAAATGCCATTTATAGTAAAGCCACTTAAAGTGGGGACCCAAATTTCAAACTAAATAATGAAGGGGAAAAAAATGTTTGATTGGGGCTGCATCTTGAAAACTGATAGTAAAATTTCTAAGAATAAGCTTATTTCCTTTCATGGCTTTCTTTTATAGGTTCACAGTTTGCAGGGCCTCCCGGGGGGTGGGGTGGGGGATGGGAAAGAGCATGAGGGAGGCTCTGGGTTCCCCTACCATTATGTTTCTTGGTCTAGGAGGGAGATGGTGACAAGAGTGTGTTCAAGTTATGAAAATTAATCAAGCAGTACACTTAGAATTTGTGCATTTTTCTTTTTTAAAAATAGAGGCAGGGTCTCACTATGTTGCTCAGGCTGGTCTCGAACTCCGGGACTCAAGTGATCCCCTCATCTTGGTCTCCCAAAGTGCTGGGATTACAGGTGTGAGCCACCACACCCAGCCAGGATTTGTGCATTTTTCTATATATAATTTGTTCAATTAAAGATTTTTTATAATGGTTCCAAATTTCAGGAATCTCGAATTACTTGCTTAGTAGGATACTAAGCCTACAAAATATAAAGTAATACTTTACTGTATACTTAAGTCTATGGAGTTGCTGTCTCCTATCTGTAGGAGTAGAAGACAATTACTTCTTGGCTTGGGTTGGTTTGCCCCTGGTAAGGAGGTTTCTTGTGGCACCAGGAAGGTTTCATGATTCTCCATAAAGAACAGATTTGGCATGTCTTGCTTGGTGCTTCTCTCATTGTGTGTCTAATGATTCCATGGACATAAAAGAATACTCTATATTGAAGGAGAAAGTATGTTTCTTACTTGCTGTCCTCAGTCCTCCCCCAGTGGCTCTCATCAGTATCCTCATCCCAGTAAATAACACAAACATCCACCCAGTCCATCCAGGTGCTCAAGCCCAACCCTGAGGCATCTTGACTTCCCCCTCTCCCTCCTCTGATCCTTCAAAGATGTCCACCTCCAAGTCACCGCGCCAATCTGTCTACTTCCCTCCTCTCTACCACCCATTCTAGTCCTAGTGTGGCCAGTTGAATAACAGCCCCCAAAGATGTCAAGCCTGAAACCCTGGAGCCTGTAAATATGTTACTTTCATGGTAAAAGGGACTTTGCAGGTGTAATTTAAGTTAGGAAGTCTGATCCTTTGAGCTGGAGCTGCAAGGTTAAAAAAAAAAATCCTGTGATGGGGAGTGTAGCTTGGATTAGCCAGTTGGGCCCTATATAATCACAAGCCCTTAGAAGAGGCAGACAAGGCTGGATGCGGTGGCTCACGCCTATGATTCCAGCACTTTGGGAGCCTGAGGCGGATGGATCACCTGAGGTCAGGAGTTCGAGACCAGCCTGGCCAACATGGTGAAACCCTGTCTCTACTAAAAATACAAAAATTAGC
Organism: Homo sapiens; assembly: GCF_000001405.40. Classification (NCBI taxonomy): domain Eukaryota; kingdom Metazoa; phylum Chordata; class Mammalia; order Primates; family Hominidae; genus Homo; species Homo sapiens. The sequence goes on along the minus strand of NC_000020.11, from coordinate 50,966,149 downwards.
CAGGCGTGGTGGCACATGCCTGTAGTCCCAGCTACTCGGGAGGCTGAGGCAGGAGAATCACTTGAACCCAGGAGGCGGAGGTTGCAGTGAGCCGAGATGGAGCCACTGTACTCCAGCCTGGGTGGCAGAGCGATACTCTGTCTCAAAAAAAAAAAAAAAAAAAAAAGAATGACAGAGTTTGTGAGGGAGAGTTGGACTGAGGGCATCACGACGGAGTTAGGGGTTGAAATTGATATACCACTGGCTTCGACGATGGAGGAAGGGTCGAGAGCCGATGAAGGCAGGCAGCCTCTAGAAGCTGGAAAAGGCCAGGAACGAATCCTCTCCCAGAGCCTCCAGAAAAAAAAGCAGCCCTGATCACACCTTGATTTTAGGACTTCTGACTTCCAGGATGGTAAGAGAATAAACCTGTGTCAAGCCACTTCGTTTGTGGTAACTTGTCACAGCAGCAATAGGAAACTGACATACTTAGGTGCCATCACTTTTCACCTGTGCCTAGCTGATCGCCTGCCTCTGTCCTTGCACCATAATCTCCCTTTTTCACAGAGGGGCCGGAAGAATCTTGGTAATTTAGAAACAGGGTCCCTGCACACCAGCACATCCTCCTTTTTTTTTTCTTTTTTTTTGAGATGGAGTTTCAATCTTTTGCTCAGGCTGGAGTGAAGTGGTGCAATCTCGGCTCACTGCAACCTCTGCCCCCCGGGTTCAAGCGATTCTCCCGCCTCAGCCTCCTGAATAGCTGGGATTACAGGCATGCACCACTACTGCCCGGCTAATTTTTGTATTTTTAGTAGAGACGGAGTTTTGCCATGTTGGCCAGGCTGGTCTCAAACTCCTGACCTCAGGTGATCCACCCACCTTGGCCTCCCAAAGTGCTAGGATTACAGGCGTGAGCCACTGTTCCTGGCCACATCCTCCTTCTTAAAACCTCCCATGGGTTTCCATGATCCTTAGAATAAGATCCAGCCTCCTCACCATAGCCCACAATGCCTTGCGCCATCTGGCCCTGGCCTCCCTCTTCCCATTCATTGTGCTCTGGCCTTAGCTGGCTTCTATGTGTATCCCAACTTGAAATGCTCTTTCCAGCCTCAGAACCCTTGCACTTGCTGTTCCCCTTGCCTGAATGCTCTTCCCAGCTCACCTCGTGGCTCCTGCCATCTCCTTCAAGCTTCTTGGCTGAAACGGCCCCTTGCCAGGGGTCTTCTCTGGCTACCACCCCAGCCCCCAGCCATTATTGCTTCTTACAAATCACAATCTATGACTGTATAACTGGTTATCTGTCCTCTCCCTCTTCTACTAGGATGTAAGGTTGTATGGACAAGACGCCCAGTCTGTCTTGTTCGTGGTTGTGTCCCTCTGTGTCAGGCATCAGTACCTGACCATTTGTAATGAGCATTAAATATTTCTTAAATGAACCCGTTGTGTTTCCTTGGCATGACCTAAATGACTTCCCCATTGCATGTCCTCTACTTATAATAAGCACTTGGGTTCTAGTTCTGATAGAATAGAAGCAAATAAATGGGAAACTCGGGCCTTTGTGCAAGGTCAGGGTTGTCAAGCCTACAGACATGGGCAGATGTTTCTCTACAGAGCAATGCGCATGAGGATAAAATACATAGCAGCTGTTGATTAATTAAATAGTCCTAAGCTGAGTTGCAGTGAGCCAAGATCATGCCAATGCACTCCAGCCTAGGAGAGAGAGACTCTGTCCCCCCCACAAAAAAAAAGGCAGCAGCAGCAGAAAAAAACACCTAGATAATTCACAACTGTTGTTTTTTAAATCGTGAATAATTGAACTAAAGATTGGAAACCAGAGTCAGTGTCAATCCACAGTACTTCATAATAAACTATCCTATTTTTCACCCAAATTCTGGGCTTGGTTTTTGTTTGTTTGAGACAGAATTTTACTCGTTGCCCAGGCTGGAGTGCAATGGCACGATCTCAGCTCACTGCAACCTCTGCCTCCCAGGTTCAAGTGATTCTCCTGCCTCAGCCTCCCAAGTAGCTGGGATTACAGGCGCACACCACCACACTCGGCAAATTTTGTTTTAGTAGAGACAGGGTTTCTCCATGTTGGCCAGGCTGGTCTCAACTCCTGACCTCAAGTGATCCACCCACCTCGGGACACTGCCTGTGTAATACACCAGTGTTACACAGAGGATTCCCCAAGATTTCACTCTGGAGTTCCACATCTAGAGAGAAGGAGGCATACCAAATGTCTCAGAGTACATTTCTATTGTATCTGGAATACACTTCCGTGATTGTCAGGACATAGATTGCTTTCTATGCCCTGACAGGGCATGAACACATATGAAGCAATGGCAAAGTTTTGCTTAGAGTCAGTATAGCATGACACTTAGGGAATGGGCTCTTCAACCAGAGCATCTGGATTCAAATCCCAAATAACACAGTAAGTGCTCAAAATATTAGCTATTATTGTATTTAGAATAAAAACCAAACTACTATGGTCTACAAAGTTTATGATGTTCCCTGCTTCTCAAACCTCACCCTGTCCCACTCTCCCTAATTGTTTGCAACCCAACTTGCCTCTGCAGTTTCTTGAACGGAACATTCCAAGTTTATTTACCTTGAGGTCTTTACAGTTATTTTTCTCCCAGTATAGAATTTTCCTCAGATCTTCTGTAACTGGCTCTTTCTCACCTTTCAGGTTTTGGGTTTAATGTCATCTCTGAGGCCTTCCATAATTAAGCTATTCAAAACAGATCCCCTCCCCCACCCTAATATGTCACAGTTTCATTTCTTTTATGGCACTTATCAGTAATTTACTTATCACCATTTAAATATAAACTCCTCTACAACAGGAAACCTCTTGCTCATTTTTATTCCAGAACCTAGAAGAACTAGTACACTGAAGGCATTTGATGTTTGTTATGAAAAGGAAACAACAAAAAAATCAAGTTCAGGCTGGGCATGGTGCCTCATACCCGTAATCCCAAGCACTTTGGGAGGCTGAGGCAGGAGGGATGCTTGAGCCCAGGAGTTTGAGATCAGCCTAGGCCACATATTCAGACCCCATTGCTACCAAAAAATTTTTAAATTAAAAAATGGCTAGGCATGGTGGCATACAACTGTAATTCAAGCTACTTGAGAGGCTGAGGTGGGAGGATCACTTGAACCCAGGAGGTTGAGGCCACAGCGAGCTGTGATCACAACACTACACTCCACCCTGGGCGACGAAGCAAGACTTCGTCTCAAAAAACAAATTATGTTCAAATCCTATCTCACCATAAAAACCTAGCTACAATCCCCAGAGAAAACCAAATTTCAAATACTAATATATGCCAGGTGCAGTGACTCATGCCTGTAATCCTAGCACTTTGGGAGGCTGAGGTGCACAGATCACCTGAGGTCAGGAGTTCAAGACCAGCCAGGCCAACATGGCGAAACCCCATCGCTACTAAAAATAGAAAAATTAGCCAGATGTGGTGGCAGGTGCCTGTAATCCCAGCTACTCAGGAGGCTGAGGCATGAGAATCACTTGAACATGGGAGGTGGAGGTTGCAGTGAGCCGAGATTGTGCCGCTGCACTCCATCCAGCCTGGGGGATAGAGCGAGACTCTGTCTCCAAAACAACAACAACAAAAAACAAATACTGAAATAGATCTGGGTTGTGTACTGGGTATCTGTTATATTCTTAACAGCCCATCTTTTGAAAAATATTTCACTATTTGGGAAAATCCCACATCATGAGTTCTGTCTTCCTATTGTAGATATCAAAACACAAATTCCCAGCCTCTCTTGCAGCTAAGATGTAGGCATGTAATTAGACTCTGCCTACCAGGCACCCTCATAAGGCTTGACTCAGAAAAGAATAATGTAGTGACTCTGTTTCTCGACACATGGACTGTGGCTGAAGTGTTGGGCTTTCTGGGAGAGTTGGGGGGGCACGTCAAGTGAAACTGGTGAGACTGTAGTGGCGTTTCCTCCGGTACTTGATAGGGCAGCACAACATAGACACTGTTCTCCTAAGGCCAGTTTTGTGCATGATTTCGGGCATCATTCCTAGAAGTACAGCCTTGAATCTGTCCCCAAAATTCTCAAAAGCACCTCCTATCACTTTAGTAAACCTTTTAACACTTAGCTAGTCAGCTTCTCTTGCCTGTCCCCTGTGACAACCAGGTTTATAGGAACTACAACTGTCTATAACTTTAGGACTTCAGTCTTTAGAATATGAAATTGTTCCTGTGTGTCGCTATTTGTTTCCTGCTATGTATCAGAATCAGTTGTCCCTGGAAGAAGGAGATGAAAAACACAGGCCAGCCATCTTTGTTCTCCACTCCAGGTCACAGTCATTTACCTCCATAACTCGTTGGCAGGAACAGTCATAAGAGACCTGCTTCATCTTTATAACAGAAGGGTATACCATACTTTAAGTATACCTGTTCAAAGAATTAGTTACAATGTTTCACAGTTAAAAAGTGATGACTAATTTTGAATTTGTTAAATACCACCCTCTTATAATAAAACAAGATTCTATATCACAAATTGCAAACTGGTAAGTAAATCTGGTCTACAAAGGGTTTTTGCTGGCTTATGATACATTTAAGCTTTAAAAAAAATGGTTAACAGAAATACAAAGATTTTATAGTTGTATCTGTGATTTCTGCCATTCTTAAAAAAACAACAGCAGCAATTGATGATTATAAGCCTGCATGCAGCAAGCAGGAGGTCACAGGCCCCCTTCTGACAAGCCATTAGTTCATCTGGCCACTGATAGGCACTCACAAATCAAATTTTTACTTATAATGTTGTTGTATATATTGGAAGTTGGTGAGACTACCTACTATTTTATGAAAATGTTAAGTAAACAAACATAAAAACATTTTACATTAGTATAAAATGCTGGAATAAAAAAACATTAAATCAAAAGAGAAAAGGCAAATTAAAGGGGGAGAGGCAAAGGGTTGGGACTTTGACTTGAAAATTCCAAAGCAAGTCAAACCATAGTATGCAATTTAAACGATGTGATATGTGTGCAACATAAGGTGGACCCTGAAGTTAACTTTAAGAAAACAGTAGCAATTTATAAGAGACACTGACAGACTACAAAGGTGGTTTCCTTTATTTTGGTAAACTTTAAAGATCTCGGGAGGGTGTGGTGGCTCACGCCTGTAATCCCAGCACTCTGGGAAGTCGAGGCAGGCGGATCACGAGGTCAGGAGTTCGAGACCAGCCTGACAAACATGGTGAAACCCCCTCTGTACTAAAAATACAAAAATTAGCCAGGCGTGGTGGCGTGCGCCTGTAATCCCAGCTACTCAGGAGGCTGAGGCAGGAGAATCGCTTGAACCTGGGAGGCGGAGGTTGCAGTGAGCTGAGATCGCACCACTACACTCCAGCCTGGGCAACAGAGAGAGATTCCATCTCAAAAAAAAAAAAAAAATCTCATTTTGATACTAATTCAAAAGGCCAAATAGAATGACCCTCTTTCTGAATAATTAAAACAATTTACATTTTAAACATGTATTTCTGTAGGATGTATTCTATCATCTGAAATATTAATAAGATCCAAGAATTTCTTAACTGAACAGTAAACAGATCCGAAGTATATAATCTGTGAAAATGATTTAGAAAGCATTTTGACTGGGGGAGGTGGAAAATAAGGACATGTAAATGATCTGCAGTTTAAAATGCAAAATCCTGTCACGTTACATCTCACATGTCCAAGACATCCTCCGTGTGCTGAAAAAAAAAATGATGGTTCTCAGAAACGGTATAATCCATTAATAAGTCATTCATCCAATACATAACAATTTTTAAAACTCCTTATAAAAAGGAGTCCACGTATTCACAGATACTGTAGAATCCCCAGCTCCTATGTATATTACCGAAAAATGCAAACAAGTGTATCTTTGAGGTATTATGGCAATCCACATCTTTCTCATCAGACTATACCAGTCACCTCAGTACTGTGGAAATGTTCCATCGATTTTGGCAGCCCAGGCCATGAGGCCCCCCACAACATCCCGAACTGTTAAAGGGTCTAACTCTTGAGCTGCTGATAAGGACTGGAGGATCTTCACGGCTTTCTGTGAGTCATTTCCCAGTTTGCAAATCACATAAATGGGGACAGCAGCCCCTTCTTGTGTGCCCTGCTTCTCTTCCCAGATTGCTTCTTTTAAGAGTTTCAGGCTCTCCGCATCCCTGCGTTCCAAATGTTTCAGAGGGATGTGTAGGGCATGAGGCAAACGACAAATGTCCACCTCCACCTGAGGCCTGACGTCCAGCAACAGGTGGAATGCCCCAGAATCCAGCAGTCGCTTATAGTCGGTGACAGAAACACGCTCCTCTGGGCTCAGTAGTTGCAGGGAGCGGCATTTATCAGTGGCTGAGGAGCCACAGAAGGCTTCATAGTCCAGCAGATCAGTCACAGTGGGCCGTTCCCCGCAAGCTGCACAGTCGAGCCTGCGGCTCCGCAGCCGAATAGAGCGGAAATGCCCTCTCAGGGCATCAAAGAGCAACAAGCTGCCACTGTAAGAGGGGCCCAGACCCGCAGCGATTTTCAGCACTTCCAAGGCCTGCAGGCAGCCCAGGACCCCGGTAACGACACCGAGCACCCCGCCGTCCGCGCAGTTGGTCACTGTCTCCGCTGGGGGTGGTTGGGGGAATATGCAGCGATAGCAAGGGCCACCGTCATAATGGTAGACTGTGATTTGGCCCTCGAAGCGCAAGGCACTGGCAGACACGAGGGGCCGACCCGCCAGCACACATGCGTCATTAACCAGGTAGCGAGTGGGCACGTTGTCCGAGCAGTCAGCCACCACATCATATCGGCGGACCAGGTCTAGGGCAGTGGCTGGCGTAAGGGCCTGAGTGTACGGCACGCATTCCACTGCCGAATTGAGGCGGCGCAGCGAGGCGGCGGCCGAAAAGGCCTTGGCCTGGCCAGCCAGTGCCTCGCCATGCAGCACTTGGCGGGCCAGGTTGCTCATCTCTACCACGTCATAGTCCACAAGGCCAAGGCGGCCCACGCCGGCCGCTGCCAAGTACTGCGCTAGTGGACAGCCGAGCCCACCGCAGCCCACGATTAGCACGCACGCGGTCCCCAGGCGCAGCTGTCCGTGCACGCCCAGCTCGGGCAGCACTAGCTGCCGGCTATAGCGCAGAATCTCATCTCGGGACAGAGCGGCCTTCGGCGGCAGCGGCGACACCGGAACCAGCCGTTCTGGCTGCGGTTCCTGCTCAGCCAAAAGAGCCGACGCCAGCTTCTGCTTCAGCGAATTCAATTCCTCCTCACGTTGGGCAACTTCAGCTTGTAAGGCGAGTACCTCCTCCCGGGAAGCCATGGCGACCTCTTCCGGAAGTTGTCGTGAAAGGCATTTCCGCTTCCGTCTTCTGTCTCCTAGCGACTGGGATAAACTAAAAAACTTTATGGAGCTTGGGAAAAGGTGATGAATAGATATTTACTTCCTGAAGAAACCTTCAGATTAAACTTCAAAGATGTATAAATCCAGAATATTTCTAATTGAACCACGCAATGGCCCTAGAAGAACTAGCGATCAATCACACAGGTCATCCCCCGCTTCCGAATTTGGTACGGTCCGACCCGTCCTTTTCCGCGCCACATTACGTAATTCCGCTTCCGGCATCTGGCTCAGTTCCGCCATGGCCTCCTTGGAAGTCAGTCGTAGTCCTCGCAGGTCTCGGCGGGAGCTGGAAGTGCGCAGTCCACGACAGAACAAATATTCGGTGCTTTTACCTACCTACAACGAGCGCGAGAACCTGCCGCTCATCGTGTGGCTGCTGGTGAAAAGCTTCTCCGAGAGGTAGCGCACCAGGTCTCCCTCCCCGAAGAATGAGATGAGCTGGCTTCCCCGGCCCGGGTGTCGGCAGCTGGCTGCGCGAAGCGGCCCTGTCCAGCCTTCTTTGCCTCACACAGGAAGGCCCGGGGAGAGGGCCACCCTGCGAGGGAAGCAGAGGCGGATGCTTGTTGGGTTTTCTTCGTGTCCTGGGTTCTCATTCCTGCCCTTGGGTTTTGTGAGACTCTCATTTATCTTTATTATGTAGTACTCCCGTCCCCCGCCTTTCCGTAGAAAGGTTGGCCACTCTTTTACTTGGAAGCGAGGCTGAAAGCGTGATCCCACTCCTCCCTCTAGGCGGTCAGGATCTGCGGCAAGAGCCGGGAGTCCAAGCGAGAGCTCTCACTCTCCGCTCCGGTGCCGAGTGCTTACATAAGCATGAGGTTTGGTGTGTGTGGGTTAGGGAGCTATTGCTGGGCACGATAACCTTTCTGGAAAGGAGAAAGCAGAAGAGCATCTTCGCTGATCACTGGTGGATGTTTGGTGTGATTGTTAGAACCGGGATGGGGGGTGGGTGGAGTTCGAATTTGGAAGTGTTAATGCAGTGTTTTTAAAAACTGCAAAAAATCCTGGAGTCAGTACGAAGTAACTTGTTTTACGATTGCACAAATGGGATCATGCTGTGAAATCTTTGAAGACTTTTTCTCATATTAACATGTACAAACATAGCAAATTACTTTGGAAGTTAGGTAACATTCCATATGGCTGTGTTATTTATTTAATCAGGTCATGGCAATGAACTGGATTATTTCCAGCGCCTTTTGGTTGTTTCTGTTTTTTGGCTTTTGCTTTGTCGATGAGAACAAGGACTTTGTTCACACCATATTTTCCAGCTAAATTTAGAAAAGTGCTTGACACATAGCGGTGCTCCTTTATTGCATCAGTGTTGGCAGCAGACGCGTTCATACTTTTACTTGTGTACTAGGGATAAATTCTTCGAGGTAGGATTGCTGGGTCGACAGAAATGTGCTTAAAATGGACAGTTACTGCCAAATTGCTCTAAAGAAAAAAAAGGTTGTACAAGTTTGGACTCTCCATTCTTCAGAGTGCCTGTTTCCCTATCAACCAGCCCGCCTGAGCATTAGACTTAACATTGTTGGAAGTACTCATTTGTGAAAACCATTGCTGTTTTGATTGTATTTCCTTGAATAACTGCCTTCATATGCCTTGCCCCTCAGAGTTTTAAAATTTTTATTTTTCCTGTTTAATCTTTTAATTTTGATTTCTATAAGCTCTAAATTAAAGAAAGTAACTATCATACAACCGATCTCGTTCAGGGCTTGTATTCTAATTTTGCAATTTTTTTTTTTGCTGTTTTAATTTTTTTATGTAGTACAATTTATGTTTCCTTTTAATGGTTTGTGAATCAATCTTTTAAGATCAAAATGAAGTTTGATAAAGGAAACAAAACTTTTCAGATGCAATCAAATTACTTGAAGTCAGCCCAGCTTGGTACCTTTGAGCTGCCTCACCCTCAGGTGGTGTAGCTGCTTTGAAGTGGTAGGGGACAGTAATTTGCTTTTAACGACCCCATTTTGTTTATGGAATTTCTCTTTCAGCACGTCTATTAAAATCACCTTACATATTTTGGCATGTAAAGGCACCAGTGCCCAGATTTAAGGCACAGTGGGAAGCCAAAGTCATTGTTCTACTCTTGGAGAATAGATAACACAGGGGTTTGCTTTCTTGTCTTCAAAGTTTGCTGGGGCTGACTTGTTAAAGCCTTTAACAGTGGAATATGTTTTCTGGTTGATTTTCTTGTATTTGTTTCTTTTTTCTTTTTCTTTTTTTTTTTTTTCTTTTGGAGACGGAGTCTTGCTCTGTTGCCCAGGCTGGAGTGCGGTGGCGCCATCTTGGCTCACTGCAGGCCCCGCCTCCCGGGTTCTTTTTAGTAGAGACGGGGTTTCACTGTGTTAGCCAGGATGGTCTCGATATCCTGACCTCGTGATCCGCCTGCCTCGGCCTCCCAAAGTGCTGGGATTACAGGTGTGAGCCACCGCGCCCAGCCTCTTGTATTTGTTTCTTAAAGCAGGACCAAGAGAAAACGGAATGTTATGTCGTAGGTATTATTTATCCACCAAGTATTGTGTTGGTTTGTTTTTAGACTAGAAACTACCACCTGAGATTAATGGGAAGTAACAGATGTTAATTCTGAAGCACAGTGGAATCTTTTGTAATGCTACTCTGCTTTTGTTTTTTTAATTTGATAATGTGAGGTAATAGGCACAACTATTTGAAATTGTGGTTTAAGATAATGTCACCATTCTAAAATCGGTTTTTTTAAAGATGAAATTAAATCAGATTTATACTTGATTATTCTATTTGGATCAGATTAACAAGAATAATCACTGAGTTACTCAGTTTGGTTTGAGTTACCATGTAAAGTACTTTTGAAATATTTTATGTAACTAAGATTTGCTATTAAGGTTCAGAATATTATTTCCAAATAGGTAATAAAATTTCATATGGCTGGGCACGGAGGCTCATGCCTGTAATCCCAGCATTTTGGGAGGCTGAGGCGGGCAGATCACGAGGTCAGGAGATTGAGACCAGGCTGGCTAACACGGTGAAACCCCGTCTCTACTAAAAATACAAAAAATTAGCCGGGCGTGGTGGTGGGCGCCTGTAGTCCCAGCTACTCCGGAGGCTGAGGCAGGAGAATTGCTTGAGGCCAGGAGGCAGAGGTAAGCCGAGACTGCGCCACTGCATTCCAGCCTGGCAACAGAGCAAGACTCCATCTCAAAACAAAAAAAATTCATATGATACATAGGTCATTACGTGATTTTCTTTTGAACTAAAAAGTTTGTTCTCTGTGTAGGAATTCTTTAATATCTCAGGACATTAGCATGTTTCAGCAACATACTGGGTTTGGAGGTAAAGTACTAAATGTTTGACATTTATTTCATTTGATAATTGAAGTTTTCCTCAACGATTAATATAGCAATACATCTCCATTTATACTTTTAAGGAATTAGTAATTTTTAAATTACTTTTAAATTTGAGAACACTGTCATCAGTCATTAATACAAATTTAATTTTTTTAGTGGAATCAACTATGAAATTATAATCATAGATGATGGAAGCCCAGATGGAACAAGGGATGTTGCTGAACAGTTGGAGAAGATCTATGGGTCAGACAGAATTGTAAGTTATAAGAACATTTTTCTGTGATATGAATTGTGATTATGTAGGGGAAAGATGAGACATGAACAATGCTTAAATTCAATCTATTTGTTTAGAAACTGAAAAGATAAAGAGCAACTTACGCATTTGGGATTTAAATGCATTTTTGTTGTCCGTAAAATTTTACATATCTTTGGTATGTTGGGTCAGTGGTCATTTTACAGCAAAGAGTGAGCTTTTGGATGAACTCTGTTTATAACTAATTCTGCAGATAAATTTTCTTGAAGGGCAAAAATTAAAGCATGATACTGAATTGACAAGGAATATTATATAATTGGGTTATAATTGGTAGTGTGTGTGTGTCTTAATCTTTCTTGCTCCCTTTCGGTAAGTATTCTCATGCTTTCATTAGAGAATACTGCCTGAAATTAAGAGCGTGTAGGTAGAAAAAGTTACTGTTTTCTTGTGAAACATTAATGACTTCTTAGAGTACTTGGCATTTTTAGTCTATAGAATAGTCTTGTGAAAGTAGATTGACTGTATTAGTCCTAAACTTTAGATTCACCCACTGTACCTTGAAACTTGTTATTCTAATATAGAAGTTACTTAGGCAAATATAGAGTTTATTTTATAATGGCTTCATGAATTTTATTTTTGGTTACCGGTTTGTATTTACAAATGTTTATGTATACTCGAGCTCTTTTATAATTTATATTCACAAATTATTGCAGACCACAGTTTTTCAGTCTTGGCACTATTGACGTGTGGACAGATTAATTCTTTACTGTGGGGGTTGTCGTGTTTATTGTAGGATGTTCAGCACCGCATCTGGACTCTTCTCACTAGATGCCACTAGAAACCCCCCTCCCCACTTGGCAACTGCAAATGTTTGGATATTGTGAGATATTTCCTTAGGGGAAAAATTACCCTTTGCCTCCAGTAGAGAACCATTGGTATAGAGAAAGAAGTCCCTTTGAGAACCTTTATTGTTATTTACAGTTCAAGAAATGGTAAATTAATCATTTTAAAAAAAAGCCACTCAGTCTAAATATTCTTGATAAATCTCAGTAATAGAAATACTTTCTACTTAGAGGTGAGTGTCAGTTGTATGAGGTCTTGGTGGCAAGAGTTTAAAGGAACTGTGTTACTACATGGTAAATGTAGTTCTAGGAATTCTTTCAGTCTGTCTCACAGATGAGTAACTCAGGTCTGTCACACCTCAAGTCTTCTCTGAAAACCTTCTAATGGATGGGAATACAGAAAGAGGTAAAAAGTTGACAAATTTTCAGGCTTCTAGCAGAGACTTTCAGTAATGCTAGGTTTGAATTTTTGGCCAGTAGTTCCCTGTTTTCTTTAGAAGCCCAGGGTGAAGGCCACTGATTCACAACACTTTTGAGTTATGTGCTGCCATTTAATCTCGGACCATCAACCAGACAACATTTTGAATACTTTTGTCATAAAACCTCAGCCTTAGGATGTGATTGATTGATTTTAGGGAATGGTTACTAAACTGACCTTTCAAATTTTGGAACAACATTGTCTTCAAAGACATTTTTTCTATCAACCCAATAAAATTCAAAATGAGAAAAAAAGTTGCATTCACTGTTACGATTTCCCTCTACTACCAGATAAAATTCCTTATTCATTCATTATTTTATGACATTTAAATAAGTTAAACTAGAAAATGACTTTTAAAAAAAAACAGTATTAATCCATGCTAGGGATGACACTTGCTTTTAGTGACAGATGTATGTTTCGTTGAGAAAATGAAGGATATTGAAACCATGTTAGAATACCTCAGATAAAGTGTTCACCACAGATGCTTTGTCAGCCTTTCAGACTGGCTGAAATGAATCTTTCAGAAAAGAAGCCAAAGAAGATATTTTTAAAAATTCTGTAGGTGACACAACTGAAGCGAGAGGTTAGGTCATTTTTAATGACCTAACTAGGTAGGACCATAGAGAAATTGGGGGCACTTACTCTGAACTATTCACAGTGCTTACAAGGCAGAGATCTGAAATTGTGAAGGACTTCAACTGCTCTGTGTTGAATGCTTTTATTATGTTTGGTTTATGTAGTTTGTTTCATCTCCCAACTTGAGATCAGATAAAGTCATTTATATTTTGTCATATTTTCTTCCAGCTTTATTGAGGTATAATTGACAAAGTTATATATATTTAAAGTATGAATACCACATTTGGGGAATGAACCTGTCCATCACCTCACGTAGTTACCCTTGGGGGCAAGTTGACAGTGATGAGGACAGTTAAGATCTGCTCTCTGTAAATTTCAACTATATAATATGATACTATTAACTATAGTCACCGTGCTGTGTGGTAGATTCTTAGAACTTTGTCTTACATTTTGTCATTATTTTATAGTTTAGTATTTTAAAAACTTACTCTGATAATAAAATGTAACACGTTTATTATTCTTAAAACATCAAATGTAAGATAAAAAGGTTTGACTACTTGAAAATATTAAACTTCTGTCCATTCCTAAATACCAAAATATTTCTAACAAGATCAGTACCCCAACCAACCAGATAATTCATAAGACCAAAACTAGAAATGGCCAGTAAACAAGAAAAAAATACTGAGCCTCACTGATAAGTGAAGATTTACAAAACAGGAGGAGAGTACATATTAGCCTTATTAGCTGAAGATTTATTTTTATTTTCTCCTTTCTTTTTAACCCAGTGTTTCTGAGAGTATTATAGAACAAGTCCACTCAAATACTGTTGATCCTAGTATAAATTGATACTGTTTTTCTGAAGTATCATCTGGCAGTAATCTCATGACCCTCAAAAATCCTTAATGCCTTTGTAATAAGTATAAAGCAGTTTATAAAACTGTATATGTACTATAGTCTCAATTCTGTTTTTAAGTAACTTTTTTCAAGATTGTCTGTGATAAGTTTTACAAAGGTTCTTGTCAAACAAATTATAGTTTCCCATAAAAGTATTTTATAAGCAGCTGTGGCAAACATGCTTCAAAAAGTATATGCCTGTCATTCTTGCAAGCACTTTATGTGAATCCACTTGCTTGTTCCTCATGAAAGCCAAGTGAGAGGGGGCTTTGTCACGCCTCTTTATATTCTCAAGATCACATGGCAAATGAGTAGTGGCCAGGATTCAAACCCAGGCATTGTGGTTCCAGGGTTCATCTTCCTGTCTGTAATGCTATCCTGCCTCACATAGAAAGGGGCCATCAGATTGATATGAAGAGGCAAAAAAGGATCAGGGGAGGGTGGAGAGGTGGAATTAAGAGTCTGAAAGTAAAGCATACCAAATAGAAATAGTTTGGATTTCCTACATAAGAAATAAACAAGCACATCCTTGTAAAATATAAATGTTACCAGTAAAACCGAAGTTGCCTTTGATGAACATTTTATTTATTTATTTATTTATTTTTTTTTTGAGATTGGAGTCTCGCTCTGTCGCCCAGGCTGGAGTGCAATGGCAAGATCTCAGCTCACTGCACACTCTGCCTCCTGGGTTCAAGCAGTTCTCCTGCCCCAGCCTCCCGAGTAGCTGGGATTACAGACCTGCACCACCATGCTGGCTAATTTTAGTATTTTTAGTAGAGACTGGGCTTCACCGTGTTGGTCAGGCTCTTCTTGAACTCCTAACCTCAGGTGATCTGCCCACCTCAGCCCCGCAAAGTGCTGGGATTACAGGCGTGAGCCACCACGCCCGACCTGATGAACATTTTCTATAGGCATCCCATTCCCTTGCACAGGGGAGACCCAGGTCAACAGTTTGGTGCGTTTTTTTGTGCATATATGTGTGTATGTGCATTTGCAGAACTAGGTAGTGTGGTGGTCTTGTTTTTTAAAACATAACTGCCATCTTCCTGTATCATCATTACTTCTAATTCTGTCTTGGCGATCTTTTGTCACCAGCTCACCTCATTTCTGTTAATGGCTCCATAATACTCTAATATTTTATATAAACCTTTGAAGATTCTGAAAATTATAAGTATCATAGTCTCCTTGTCCATGGTTTTGCTTTCCGTGATTTGTTACCTGCAGTCTGAAAAGAGGTAAGTACAGTACAAGAAGATTTTTTGAGTTAGACCAAGTTCACATAACTTTTATTACAATATATTGTTGTAATTGTTTTATTTTATTATTGGGTATTGTTAATCTCTTACTGTGCTTAATTTATAAATTAAACTGTGATAGGTGTGTATGTATAAGAAAAAGTATATATAAGGTTTGGTACTATTGGAGATTTCAGGCATCTCCTGGGGGTCTTAGAAAGTATCACTTGGGGTTAAGGGGGTGTGCAACTGTAACAAAGTTATGTTTGTTTGTTTGTTTGTTTGTTTGTTTTTTGAGACGGAGTCTCACTGTGTCACTGAGGCTGGAGTGCTGTGGTGTGATCTCAGCTCATGCAACCTCTACTTCCCGGGTTCAAGCGATTCTTCTACCTCAGCCTCCTGAGTAGCTGGGATTACAGGCACGTGCCACTACACCTGGCTAATTTTTGTATTTTTAGTAGAGATGAGGTCTCACCACGTTGGCCAAGCTGGTCTCTTAACTCCTGACCTCAAATGATTCACCCGCCTCAGCCTCCCAAAGTGCTGGGATTACAGGTGTGAGCCACTGCATCTGGCCAAAGTTATCTTTTTTTAAAAGAAAGATTTTCCAGCTAAAACAGAGTTGTAGAAAATCTCAGATGAGCTTTAAAAAATTTGCTTTTTCAGGGCAGATACCAGATGGGGATCAGTATTTTGTCAGAAATTATTCACAAAATCAAATAAAATCTAGCTGTGATCTGATATATCCTGCTCGATTTTGTTCAGTGACTTGCAATTATCATAGATGCTTATTTGAATGTCTTTCCTTCCTGTAAGCTCTTACCAGACAGCAGTGTATTTTATCCATCTTTATGCAAGATGTACTTTGCTATAGATACAAATTGTGACTTAAAATTTTTTAAATGTGGGGATAGTGGAGTAAAAGTGTAGAGGATTTCTTTTTAGCAGTTAGAGTTAGATTGTTATCAGCTTAAAATAGCCTGTTATCACTATAAGATGGGTTTTGTAAGTCTCATGGTAATCATAAAGGAAAAGCCTAAAGTAGATTCACAAAAGATAAAAAGTAAGGAATCAAAGCATAATAGTACAGAAGATAATCATAAAGGAAAGGAGAAAGAGAAAGAAGCAAAAGATCTACAAAACAACTAGAAGCAATTAACAAAATGGCAGTAGGAAGTTCTTACATTACATGTCGGTAATTACCTTGGATATAAAGGGATTAAATTCTCCAAAGACCTGGAGTGACTGAATGGATTTTTTAAAAAAGAGCCAACTATATGCTTCCCACAAAAGACTTGACTTGTAAGGATACACATAGACTCAAAGTGAAGGGATGGAAAAAGACATTCCATGCAAATAGAAACCTCCAGCAGATTGCATATAGTGAAAAAAAAAAAAAATCATCTGCTTTAATTGAAAATGCTTTGTTGAGAGATTTGCAGTCAGAGGCAACCTGCTTATATACTGGCAAGTGTAGAAGGGGACAAGATAGACAAGACATGCTCACTAATGAGTCTCCCTGAACCCCATACCTCAGAAACGTAGGGCACAGTGAGAACTTTGGCATTTGACTTTTAAAGTGTCCAGCCAAAAGGAAAAACTAAACAAGTAAAAGTCAGGCTCCAACTATTAAGCAAAAAGATTTAGGAGGACTAAGTGATTGACCAATAGTAAGAAAAGAGAAAGAATTTAATTAGGAATATGACATGTCCTTGGACCAGTAGAGGAGATGAGGTCATCCAAGCATAAGGTCAAGATAAGTTAATAGAGGAAGAGTGATATTAGTATTCAAAACCCAAAGGGAATCGAGAGAACAAACATCAGATTTCCCAAGAAGGTGCAAAATAATGAAGTAAGTCCTACATTTTTCTAGGAAGGAATCAATAGATTTAAAAGGAAAATCAAATATAGATGTAAAGACATATTTAAAATAGAGTGAGTGACACCAGAAAAAAAAGTTTAAAATTGTGATTGTAGGGTCAGGGTTAAAGAATGTTGCTTTGCTGGACGGGCGCGGTGACTCATGCCTGTAATCCCAGTGCTTTGGGAGGCCGAGGCGGGCGGATCACGAGGTCAGGAGATCGAGACCATCCTGGCTAACACGGTGGAACCCTGTCTCTACTAAAAATACGAAAATTAGCCGGGCATGGTGGTGCATGCCTGTAATCCCAGCTACTCTGGAGGCTGAGGCAGGAGAATCACTTTAACCCAGGAGGCAGAGGTTGCAGTGAGCGGAGATCACGCCACTGTACTCCAGCCTAGGCAACAGAGCGAGACTGCATCTCAAAAAAAAAAAATGTTAGCTACGTTAAACTATTTGGTTTGTTACCAAATGCTTTTTTTTTTCTTTTGGCAAAAAAATATTAAGGATACTTTGCTTTAAGTTCTAACAAGTGCAACTATATTTCTATTAAAGTGAGTATGCACTTTTGAATAAGATAAAATTTAACATGATAAGATTTCTGTTTCTGTGTGTAAAATGCTATTTCTTATTCCTACAGCTTCTAAGACCACGAGAGAAAAAGTTGGGACTAGGTAAGTCGTGTAATCTCTAACCCCTCACACCTGCTGCTTGCTTGGTGACATGATCCAGTGTGTATTTTCCCAGTTTGGAATAGGGCCAAAATACAGTAACTTCCTATGATGGTTTTTAATGATCTTAATGACATTTAAATGGTATAACTTGGGTCGCCTGTATAAGTCAAGACCCACTCAGGAAAACAGAACCACTGTAAGTCTTTCAGTGTAGGGAATTTAATACTGAGTCTCTGGTTACACCCCTGAAGGAGTTCCTGAGAAACCAAATGGAGCAGTGAGGCTACTAAGATTAGTAACAGCTGGAGGTCACTGCCACCCCTAGGGATGGAGCAACGGCAGGAAGAGATGTTAGAGCCCAAGAACCTGGGCTGCCCAGAGGGAGCTAGAATGATGGGGCAGGGGCTGCCTGGCAGGAGCTAGAACTGTGGGAAATTCCCAGTCAGAGGTAGGAGGGAGAGTAACAGAGGGAGGACCACTTAGACTTTTCCCTTTTCCCCTCCCTGCAGTCTTCCACCTGTACCTCCCAAAGCTGTTTGGCAGCCAGTTGACAAGAGAATCTGGAATATGTAGTTCACCCAATATAGCACAGAGTAGGGAAGGGCCAGAGAATGGGTCTGAGGGCAAATATCTTGGACCAGCATGCTGCAAACCTTGGAACATCCTTTAAGTTACAAGTTTAAAAAGTTACTCTTCATTTAAGGCTGGGCACAGTGGCTCACAAATGTAATCTTAGCACTTTGGGAGGCCGAGGTGGGCAGAGCACGAGGTCAAGAGATCGAGACCATCCTGGCCAACATGGTAAAACCCCATCCCTACTAAAAATACAAAAATTAGCTGGGCGTCGTGACGCGCATCTATAATCCCAGCTACTCGGGAGGCTGAGGCAGGAGAGTCGCTTGAACTCAGGAGGCAGAGGTTGCAATGAGCCGAGATCACACCACTGCACTCCAGCCTAGTGATAAAAACAGTTATTCTTTATTTTTAAAAAAGGAAGCTTTTCCAGCTTTTAAACATACAGCATTATTGAAAAGCTCATATGAGCTCAGTAATTCTGAGAGGAAACTCTGCCTTTATTTGTGCTAAAACTTAACATGAAGAAAGCACAATGCTTAACTGGAGTCTGCTATCTTGAAGACCATCAATTCCCAAGCATCAAATGTTCTCAGTATCTGAACCCAGAAGATTCTTTGGGATTCAAAAAAATCTGGAAACTGCCATGAAACCAAAAAGTGTAAATATTCACTCCTTTATCTTTCTGAGACAGTCTTACTCTGATCCCCAGGCTGGAGTGCAGTGGCACAATCTCGGCTCACTGCAACCCCTGCCTGCTGGGTTTGAGCCATTCTTGTGCCTCAGCCTCCCGAGTAGCTGGGATTACAGGCGTGTACCACCATGCCCGGCTAATTTTTGTTTGTTTGAGACGGAGTTTCGCTCTTCTTGCCCAGGCTGGGGTGCGATGACGCGATCTCGGCTCACCGCGATCTCTGCCTCCCGGGTTCAAGCGATTCTCCTGCCTCAGCCTCCCAGGTAGCTGGGATTGTAGGCATGCACCACCATGCCCAGCTAATTTTGTATTTTTGGTAGAGACGGGGTTTCTCCATGTTGGTCAGGCTGGTCTCGAATTCCCGACCTCAGATGATCCGCCTGCCTCGGCCTCCCAAAGTGCTGGGATTACAAGCGTGAGCCACTGCGCCTGGCCAATTTTTTGTATTTTTAGTAGAGATGAGGTTTTGCCATGTTGGTTAGGCTAGTCTCAAACTCCCTGACCTCCAGTGATCCACCCATCTCAGCCTCCCAAAGTGCTGGGATTACAGGCATGAGCCACCACACCCAGCCGATATTCACTTCTTAACAAAATAAGTTAGAAGAGTTCAGCCTTGCTCATAAGACACTTGTGAGGGGTCTGGACTAGAGAATGCAGGAATCCCCAAGTCCTGCTCCTAACAAGTTACCCTAGCCTGCCAAGTCCCTGTGGGACTTTGAGGCATGGAGCTGGCTGAGTAATTGTCACCTAGGCCTTTGGCCCCAAATACCAGAGCAAGGGTCTAGCGTACCAGGTTTACGGTGTAAAAGACAAGAAAAAGGGAATTGAAATGTTTTGGATGGAGAATCAATAGGACTTAATTACAGTTTAGAAGTTATGGTTAAAGGCAGGAAATCAAGAATCATCTCTAGACCTGTGGATGGAGCAGTTGGATAGTTGGTGCCTTTCCTGGAGAGGTGGCCTGTAAGAGAGAGGTAGAGAATTGGAAGATGATTTTGCAATGTTATCTTTGAGATTTCTGAAATACCCAAGTGGAGATATTAAGTAGGAAGCTGATTTGTAAATGTGGAGCTCATCAGTGTCTTAGGGGGATGCCAAGGAAACACCAGATGGGTTTTTAAAGCATGAGAATGTGATAATTGTGCTACATAATCTTAGACTTTTGAACTTATAAACTATTTCTTTGCTATACTGAAATAGAGGTATGATCTATTGTATTAAATTGACATCTGAATGGGGGTGTGTGGCCAGCTACCTTCTTGATTATATATGTAATATACATGAACTTATGTACTTAAGGTGAAAAATACCAATTTATTAATCTGACTTTTAGAGAACTAATGTGTGCTCTTCAGGTGCTAAACAATTTCCTTGATGTTCAAATGTATATGTAAAGATTTCTGTTGATTTTCTTGAATGGATCTACTTTCATTTTTAGGAACTGCATATATTCATGGAATGAAACATGCCACAGGAAACTACATCATTATTATGGATGCTGATCTCTCACACCATGTAAGTGGTATGTTTCTTTATTAGCTATTTATGGTAGTCTTAGCCTGTTTTACTGACTTACTGTTTATTCTTTTCAAATTTCAGCCAAAATTTATTCCTGAATTTATTAGGTAGGTACTATTTCTAATATTTGAAAGAAATATGACTGGAAACATTTATCTTACTGGTTTTGGGCTTATTTTCATTTTTTATTAATCAAAAATACACATACTATTTTTTCTATCAAAAATATAAACAAAGTTTGGGAAGTCAGGGTAGGAGGGTTGCTTGAAGTCAGCAGTTTGAGACCAGCCTGGGCAACAAAACAAGTACTTGTCTCTACAAAAAAAATAACAAAAATTAGCCAGACACAATGGCATGCGCCTGTAGTCCCAGCTACTCAGGCGGCTCAGGTGGGAGGATGACATGAGCCCAGGACTTCAAGGCTGCAGTGAGCTATGATCATGCCTCTCCATTCTAGTCTTGGTGACCCTGAGACAGAGTGAGACCTTGTCTCTAAAATATTTATCTGTATAGATAGTAGACACACACACACACACACACACACACACACACACACACAACACACATTTGAGACTAAATGATGTATTTTAGGAGTCCTGAGGAGCAAATCAACAGGTAGTTCGTTATCTGAATTCTTTCAGACCACAGAAAAAGGTGGAAGATGGCTTCTCTGATAAATGGAATTAAGCCTTGAGTTATTAGAATAAAACACCGTGAACAAAAGGGTTTATTCCAGGAATGCCAGAATGGCTCATTATTGGTAATCACTTATAATTCATTCATTATGTTAACAAAGTAGTGTGGTTAAGTCTGTAGATGCTAAAGGAGATATTATTTACTACCATTTTCTAGTTAAAACTTTAAGAATAGAAGGAAACCTCTTAAGCATAATAAAAATAACCCAGTCCTAATACAAATACCACACCAAATAGTGAAATGCTGAATCATTTCCAATACATGCATTAATACAGGCATGCTAGCTATCATTAAACATGGAAATGTTAATACAGTAAGATAAGAATTTAGTTAAATGTTAGTAAAATATACACAGTTATATTTGTTTGTAGGCAATATAATTAAATTCTTAGCCCAAAAGACCACAAAACCTCTGTGAATAAGATTTTGGAAGCTGTTCTGAGTTTAAGCTAGATACATAAAAACAGAATCAGATTATTGTCCCTCCAGTTCAGGGAGTTCAGGGAGTTCCCACTAACATCTAGGGAAAAATCCAAGTTCCTTCCCTTGTCCCTCAAGCCCCTATGTGTTTGTTGGCCCCTGCCTCCCTTTCTGACCTCTGCCTTGTGCTCCTTCCTTTTTGCTTTCCATGCCATAGCATGCTTCTGAGTTCACAGAGTTCCATTTTCCTTTGCCTGAAATGCTGTTTCCATGCTCCTTGATGACCATCTGCTGCTCATCCTTCAATCTCTGCGTAAAGTCACCTTAGACCTTTTTTGGTTATATCTCCAGTATACAAAAGCCTCTTTAACCTGTAGAGTAGAAAATGGGCAAAAAGATACAAACAGACCATCTATAGAAGAAATCCAAATGGCTAATAAAAGAAGACGTTCTTCCTGGGATGTAGTCAAGGAAATAAACACAAAATAACTGTGTGTGACCATTTTATTATCCATTAGTTTAACAAAGTTAAAAACTTTTAGAGCAGTAGTAATATCCAGTACCAATAAGATGGTAAAAAATGGACACACAAATATTGCTGAAGGAAGTATAAGTTGCTATAACCCTTTTGGAAAATATGTGTTCAAATTTGGGAAAATATGTGTTAGAATTAAAAATACTCAGGCTTGGCCGGGCGCAGTGGCTCACGCCTGTAATCCCAGCACTTTGGGGGGCCGAGGCGGGCGGATCACGAGGTCAGGAGATCGAGACCATCCTGGTGAACACGGTGAAACCCTGTCTCTACTAAAAATACAAAAAAATTAGCCAGGCATGGTGGTGTGCACCTGTAGTCCCAGCTACTCGGGAGGCTGAGGCAGGAGAATGGCATGAACCTGGGAGGCGGAGCTTGCAGTGAGCCAAGATCGCGCCACTGCACTCCAGCCTGGGCGACAGAGCGAGACTCCATCTCAAAAAAAAAAAAAAAAATACTCAGGCTTCATTTGGGCAATTCCAGTATATTCCATTTTGGGGAGTCTAAGCAGTAATACATTTATAAAAACGTTTATTGTGGCCAGGCACAGTGGCTCATGCCTGTAATCCCACACTTTGGGAGGCTGAGGCGGGCGGATCATGAGGTCAAGAGATTGAGAGCATCCTGGCCAACATGGTGAAACCCCGTCCCTACTAGAAATACAAAAAATTAGCCGGGCATGATGGCACTCGCCTGTAGTCCTAGCTACTTGGGAGGCTGAGGCAGGAGAATCACTTGAACCCGGGAGGTGGAGGTTGCAGTGAGCCGAGATGGCGCCATTGCACTCCACCCTGGCAACAGAGCGAGACTCCATCTCAAAAAAAAACAAAACAAAACAAAAAAAGTTTATTGTAGCACTGTTTATTGTGGTTGAGAGGGTAGGGCACCATGGAAACAACCACAGAGGTGTGTGAGTTGAATATTCTATGAAGTAGTTTTGCAATTATTAAAAAGAATGGGAAAGAGCTCTCTTGACCTGTAGGGATGTCTATGATTCCATGATTTGCATTGTTTTTGTTTTGAGATGGAATCTCACTCTGTCATGCAGGCTGGAGTGCAGTGGCGCAGTCTCAGTCACTGCAACCTCCACGTCCCGGGTTCAAGCAGTTCTCCTGCCTCAGCCTCCAGAGGAGCTGGGAATACAGGCACGTGCCACTACACCTGGCTAATTTTTGTATTTTTAGTAGAGACAGTTTCACTGTGTTGGCCAGGCTAGTCACAAACTCCTGACCTCAAGTGATCCACCTGCCTAGGCCTCCCAAAGTGCTGGGATTACAGGCGTGTGCCACCACATCTGACCCCATGATATGTATTGTTAACTGACAGAAACCAGGTCACAAAATGTACTTTTTTTGCATCCCAATTTTGTAAATGCAACCAAAAATCCTAGGGGTGTATGTTTGTCTTTATCTTTCTCTAGGCAAAGAAAAGTGTGGCAGGACATCAGGCTGTTTTTAGTATTATTTGCTTCAAAGAAGGCAAGAACAGAATGGAAGGGTATTGGGAAAATTAATTATTTTAATTTGAGAGACAAGGTCTTCCATTGTCACCCAGGCTGGAGTACAGTGGCACAATCACAGATCACTGCAGCCTGAACCTCCCTGGCTCAAGCCATCCTCCCATTGCAGCCTCCCAAATAGCTGAGACTAAAGGCATGTGCCACTGTGCCCGACTAATTTTTTTTTTTTTTTTGAGATGGAGTCTCACTCTTGTTGCCCAGGCTAGAGTGCAGTGGCGTGATCTCAGCTCACTGCAACCTGCCTCCTGGGTTCAAGTGATTCTCTGCCTCAGCCTCCTGAGTAGCTGGGATTACAGGCACCCGCCACCGCGCCAGGCTAATTTTTATATTTTTAGTAGAGATGGGGTTCCACCATCTTGGCCAGGCTGGTCTTGAACTCCTGGCCTCGTGATCCACCCGCCTCGGCCTCCCAAAGTGCTAGGATTGCAGGCGTGAGCCACTGCACCCAGCCTGTGTCGACTTCTCTTAAAAGTTTTGTTTGTGTAGCTCATGAAAATGACTGTTGAAAGCTCAGTGGCTTTTTCTAATTGACAGCTAATTTATTCTACAGGAAGCAAAAGGAGGGTAATTTTGATATTGTCTCTGGAACTCGCTACAAAGGAAATGGAGGTGTATATGGCTGGGATTTGAAAAGAAAAATAATCAGGTAGGTACATGTGTTACAACTTCTTTATTAGTATAACTACTGGAAATGTATTCATAGCAAGTATTTGGATTAGCTATCATGCTGCCCGGGATTTGTGGGATCAGGTTATAACTTCCAGTAAATACTCCCAGATAGTTTCTTACAGTTTTTCCTGTGATTAGAGCCTGGATGTTTTTTATTAAGGAAAAATCAGCATAAACCTTTGGACCTTTGGTAGAAATGGTCTCATTCAGCAAAAGTTACTGTACTGGACCTTCAGTTTTAATTTATGTGACCTGTTCTATACTTTTGGTCTAAATATGTAGGGTTTCTCCCCATAATTATAGTGTAATTTTAATTAAGATTGATTTCAGACAGACCTGGGTTAAAGTCTTAACTCACTGCAACCTCTGCCTCCCGGGCTCAAGCAATTCTCCTGTCTCAGCCTCCCGAGTAGCTGGGACTGTGGACCTGCACCACCATGCCTGGCTAATTTTTGTTTCATAGAGATGGGGTTTCACCATGTGGCCCAGGTTGCCCTCGAACTCCTGAGCTCAGGTGATCTGCCTGCCTCAGCTTCCCAGTAGCTGGGACTGCAGGCACGTACCACCATGCCCAGCTAATATATATAATATGAATATATATATATAATATGAATATATATATGAATATATATAATATGAATATATATGTATATGAATATATATAATACGAATATATATGAATATATAATATGAATATACATATTATATGAATGTGTATATATATTATATGAATGTATTTTATTTATATATATATATATATATATATATATATATATATATTCACTTTTTTTTTTGTAGTGATGGAGTTTTGCCATGTTGCCCAGGCTGGTCACTCCTGGGCTCAAGTGATCCAGCCATCTTGGCCTCCTGGGATTACAGGTGTGAGCCACCGCGCCTAGCCAGGTCTCCTTTCATTGACTAAAAATTTCTATTTTGTTCTAGATAAATAACATTTTTATGAAATTAATGTTACATTTATGAAATTAGTATAGCATTTTAACACTGTTCTTCGATGTGTTTCTCTTGTTTATAAATTGTATTTTGTAAAGAAGATCTGATTGTTTTATTTGGCAGCCGTGGGGCCAATTTTTTAACTCAGATCTTGCTGAGACCAGGAGCATCTGATTTAACAGGAAGTTTCAGGTACAGTGAAAATTTCCACTACTTTTATATAACTTCTTGGCTAACTTTCTTTACAATGGATATTTTAAAGAGACACTTTACATTTCTACCTTGTTTTTATTCTGGGATACTAAAAAGGCAGACTAAAATTCCTAGAAGTTGCTAATGAAGCCTAAACATCTCAAGGAGACATATTGTGCTTTTCCTTTAAAAAGCTGAAGGCAGTTAGGTTTGTGTGCTTGTTAACATTAGTATTAAGGCTCAACTGCTCTTTGGAATGTTGCTATTACTGATAATCTGTTCCAAAGAATAGCATGTACTTAATTTTCTGCATTTCATATGAATACCTACAGCATTGTCTACAGAAAAGGTTAAACTCTTTAATATTTATATAGAGCTCTCTCAGTTACCTTGTTCTCCATATGTTTGAGGAAATTTTTGTTGTTCAATTTGGACAAAGCTTCGGTCCCTCTGAGTTTTGCGTGTCTGTTTCTGGGTGTATGGGGTGGTGGTCTAGATTTGCTGTAGTAGATGTGAGCTGCTTTGTGTGACTGACCATGGCAAATGACAAAACTTGCCAGATTTTTTTTTTTAATCTCTGAAACTATAAAATGCCCCTGCATCTACTTTAGTGACCCCCAAGCCCCCCAAACATTACTTAATAATTTCTACTAGTTGATACTTTTTTCCACTAAATAATGTTGATTCTTGGGTCCTTTGCTTAATGCAGGAAAATCTAGGTCCTTAAATGTGAGAATTGACACACACACACACACACACACACACACACACACACACAAATTAGGACCTGGCTGTTGACAGTCAAAAAGAAAAATGAAGCCTCTCTAGAACTAAAATGCAAATAGACTGGAGAGCTGAACTTGGGGATGAAAGAGAGGGGAGGCTATACCCTAAGGCTAAAGAGTCATTTGTGATATGATTAAGATCTCTGATTGCGGATGGGCGTTGGCTGGTGGATGGGCAGTGGCTTGCGCCTATAATCCCAGCACTTTGGGAGGCCGAGGCATGTGGATCACTTGAAGTCAGGAGTTTTAAGACCAGCCTGGGCAACGTGGCGAAATCCTGTCTACTAAAAATACAAAAATTAGCCAGGTATGGTGGCGTACGCTTGTAATCCCAGCTACTCAGGAGGCTGAGGCAGGAGAATCACTTGAGACCCAGAGGCAGAGGTTGCAGTGAGCCGAGATTGCGCCACTGCACTCCAGCCTGGCGACAGAGGAAGACTGTCAAAAAAAAGCCAGGCATTGTGGCTCACACCTGTAATCCCAGCACTTTGGGAGGCCTAGGCAGGTGAATCACAAGGTCAGGAGATCGAGACCATCCTGGCTAACAGTGAAACCCTGTCTCTACTAAAAAATACAAAAAATTAGCCAAGTGTGGTGGTGGGCCTGTAGTCTAAGCTACTTGGGAGGTGGAGGTTGCAGTGAGCTGAGATCGCGCCACTGCACTCCAGCCTGGGCAGTAGAGTGGGACTCCGTCTAAAAAAAAACAAAAAAAAACAAAAAAGATCTCTGATTGCCATGTGGCAACAATGCAAAGAATAGTGGCACTCACAAAATCTCTGTACAGCGGGAAGGGCCAGTGTGGATTTCACAGGCCACAGTTTTGATGGTTTTGAATAAAAACCTAGGGTAACTGGTAACTAGTTGTGAAGATAGAGGCTGTGAAGAAAAACACAGCAGGGAGAGGAATGGGGTGAGGGTGGTTTGCTGCATCAGAACCATACAAGGATTAGTGGAGGGGATGGGGGTTGAAGGATGGCCTGGGAGTTCTGGATTTTCATGTATTGACAGCAATGATTAGCTGTGTTCTGTATAAATGACAGAGCAGCCAAACAGACAAAAGTGAACCTGTTAATTGCACAATTTTTTTTTCTTTTTTCTGAGACAGGGTTTCGCTCTTGTTGCCCAGGCTGGAGTGTGCAATGGCGCGATCTTGGCTCACCACAACCTCCGCCTCCCAGGTTCAAGAGATTCTCCTGCCTCAGCCTCCCGAGTAGCTGGGATTACAGGCGTGCGCCACCATGCCTGGCTAATTTTGTATTTTTAGTAGAGATGGGGTTTCTCCACGTTGGTCAGGCTGGTCTTGAACTCCCGACCTCAGGTGATCCTCCTGCCTCCGCCTCCCCAAGTGCTGGGATTACAGGCATGAGCCACTGCACCCAGCCCAAAAAATTTTTTAAATAGGCTGGGCGCGGTGGCTCACGCCTGTAATCCCAGTACTTGGGGAGGCCGAGGCAGGTGGATCACAAGGTCAGGAGATCGAGACCATCCTGGCTAACATGGTGATACCCCGTCTACTAAAAATACAAAAAATTAGCCGGGCGTGGTGGCGGGCGCCTGTAGTCCCAGCTACTCGGGAGGGTGAGGCAGGAGAATGGCGTGAACCTGGGAGGCAGAGCTTGCAGTGAGCCGAGATTGCACTGCACTCTAGCCTGGGCGACAGAGTGAGACTCTGTCTCAAAAAAAAAAAAAAATTTTTTTTAATAGTTAAATCTCATTGTCTTCTCATAAGAGTGGTGGTTTCTTAAATACATGCATTAAAGTTCATTTGTCGCTAGACAAAGCCCATTTTTGTCATTAAATCCCTAGATTTAGGAAGAAGGTGCTTTTTACAAAATAAGAAAAGGAATCCTGGAAAGGCTACAGTCAATATAAAGCCATTTAATAGCATAGACCACCTGGATCCTAATCGCATTTATGGGATTATATGGCTTCATGTAACATTTTATTTTACTAGCCACAGTGTTAAAGTTACCATGTGGATGGGGAGGAAGGAGGTGGCAGTGAAAAGAAATATCTTAGAAAATGATTCTTAAGGGGAATAAAGCAACTCTTAAAGAGAGGAAATATTTCATAGCCTAATCCCAATTTTAAAGGTAATGCTGGCTGGATGTGGTGGCTCACACCTATAATCCCAGCACTTTTGGGAGGCCAGTGATGGAGGATATCTTGAGCCCAGGAGTTTAAGACCCCAGCTCTGGCAACATAGTGAGTCTCCGTCTCTACAAAAACTAAAAAAATAAAAATAATAATAATAATAATAACTTTAAAAGTTATTCTAAGTTATTTAGCAATTATTTAATGGCCTTTCTTGCTTAGCCTGGCATGGTGGCACATGCCTGTAGTCTCAGCTACTTGGGAGGCTAAGGTAGGAGGATCTTTTGAGCCTGGAAAGTTGAGACTGCAGTGAGCCATGGTTGTGCCACTGTACTCTGGGCAACAGAGTGAGACCTTGTCTCCAAAAATACAAATATATAAATAAAG
The DNA here is from genome assembly GCF_000001405.40 of Homo sapiens. Classification (NCBI taxonomy): domain Eukaryota; kingdom Metazoa; phylum Chordata; class Mammalia; order Primates; family Hominidae; genus Homo; species Homo sapiens. The sequence continues at coordinate 50,937,598 of NC_000020.11, read as the reverse complement.
GTAATGTGGAAACATAGTCCCATCAGTATCATAGTTCTTCCCACCCCACAATCCCAGTGCTCCCTCCCCTAACAGCATCTGACATATTATATATCTTCATTGAGTTTTTAAGTTCACTTCTTAACCCCAAAACATAAAAAAAAAACCTGAAACCCAGTACATTGGTCAATAAATATTTATTATTGAATAAATATTGCTACCATCAGATTCTCCTCTCTCCATATTTATTCCAAATTGATTCCTTTGAATCCTTAAGGAAACTATGTGGATAAAGGATTGCACACACTAAGCTGTCAGGTTTTTCTAAGGGCTGTGCTGTCCTATACCCACTTCATAGTCAAAAGATAAGGTCGCCTTAGAAGTCTGAGGGAAAAAAAATGTGGATTCAGGGTGAAACCCTGAGGCACAGTAGGTCCAGATGGCCTTAACTTTGAAGAGAACAAAGTTACACCAAACTGCCTCTTCTTGCTTTCTCCCCTCTCCCCACAAAAAAAGGTAGAAATTGCTGCCTCCCTATGAACTGAGACACTGATCTTTAAAAAAAAAAAAAAAAAAGTGTGACTCTGAAAATACGGAGCTCCCTGCTATTTAGTTACTGAAGAAAGTGCTTGGGTCTACCCACTGGACTGCCCAACTCCGCTGTCTTTGTAAATCTGGTGTTTGGCCTGCAGTCCATCTAAAGTTAGGCTGCACATTCACCCACTGTTAAGTGTCTAACTGTGACCTCAACTGGTGATAGGTGAATCCCACCAGGATTGTTTCTATCCTGTGATGCCTCGTTCCTGTTTTAACCTAGCTTCCCAAGCTCATCCTAGAGCAACTTAGTTTATCCTGGGGAATTTATAAAGGAAATCATGAGAAATCAAAACTCATCATAAACATTTATTGGAAAATGACTGTGAATTATGAGGTTCTTTCTTGTCATCTAACATATATAGTTGCTTCATGATCATCTGTCCACCCTGTTGTTCAATATTTGGAACAGTTTCTTTCAACTTTAAATTTTAGGGAAATCTTAAATAATGGATGGTTCTGCATCAAATGATTCATTTTACCGTATTTCACTAATTTCTGATAGTATGGTGGGAAAATAATTCTATAAAAAGATAACTGAGAATTCATTTTCACAATTATTCTAAGTTATTTAGCAAATATTTAATGGCCTTTCTTGCTTAGGACAAATGTATCATAATCATCAAGTGTGCGAGCTTTTCTGTTTACCAATGGCCAGTGAAAGTTTTAGGCTTTATACATACCAGTGAACTCTTTGAAAGGTCAGGATACATAGGCATGTGTATTTATCCAGAAGTTGATATATATTTTTAATTTCTTACAGATTATACCGAAAAGAAGTTCTAGAGAAATTAATAGAAAAATGTGTTTCTAAAGGCTACGTCTTCCAGATGGAGATGATTGTTCGGGCAAGACAGTTGAATTATACTATTGGCGAGGTATGCAACTGATGCTAAATAGTGTGTCATGTTCCTGGTAAAGGAGCAGTAAGGTTTAGAATTTTTATAATAAAAAGTTTAACTTTCATAACTGCTAAATTGTGGAGGTCTTCTAGTTGTTTAGAATATTCATGCACAAAGGGTAAAAATTCATATTAGTACATTTGAACAGTAAGATTTAAAACATTAACAGTCAGCATTCTCTTTTAAATAATTAAAAGTTCCTGGTACTTTCTCAATCCTAGCCCTTTCTTCTAACTAATCAGCATTATGGACTGAGTCTCTTTGCTTCTTTTCCTTTTGTCACCGCCAATGGCCACCATACTTTAAAATGAATGATGAGTTCCATATGTCCATTTCCTGTTAGTAAGAGAAGACCAGGAATTACAGAGCAAGGAGGTGGTGATCTGTAATATTTAGGGCTCGTTAGTGAGCTCTTAGGGTAGGGAAGACTCTCCTCATTTAATAGTAAAACTCTTATTCAGAGCAAGAAAATAGCTATGGAATGTCACTTCTCTTGTGGAAGTTACAAGCTATTTTACTTAATGCTAAACCATTGTAGCTAAATTTGACAAGTGAAAAATCTACGCACAAGGCCATTTTACTTTTGGAGTATAATTTTTCCTTGAAATGCAAACTGAAACTTGAGTAAACCAAGGTAATACCTAGAATCAGTGCTTTTTAAACAGTTGCAGATTTGTTTCATGTGACCTATCTTTAGATAATGCATGTTTAATTTTAAAGACTTGGAGATACACACAGTTGCTTTCATAATCCCCTAATTTTATACTTACTTTAAGGACCTCTGTTGTAGGACTAATCCTATTTCTGTTGTGTTGGTAATGTGGTATACCGGCTAAGCTGCCTAATTGTTTTTAAAGACTAACGTTACTTTTTTTTTTTTAAACTAGGTTCCAATATCATTTGTGGATCGTGTTTATGGTGAATCCAAGTTGGGAGGAAATGAAATAGTATCTTTCTTGAAAGGATTATTGACTCTTTTTGCTACTACATAAAAGAAAGATACTCATTTATAGTTACGTTCATTTCAGGTTAAACATGAAAGAAGCCTGGTTACTGATTTGTATAAAATGTACTCTTAAAGTATAAAATATAAGGTAAGGTAAATTTCATGCATCTTTTTATGAAGACCACCTATTTTATATTTCAAATTAAATAATTTTAAAGTTGCTGGCCTAATGAGCAATGTTCTCAATTTTCGTTTTCATTTTGCTGTATTGAGACCTATAAATAAATGTATATTTTTTTTTGCATAAAGTATTGCTGCCTTCATTAGAGTATGTGAATGTAGAATTTTTTACATGGGGAATAATTTGAAATAGTCTTTTTAAAAACTGGAATCATAGATCTTTATACCTAATTGATCTCAGAAGTAAGATAATGTTAACTGATGAAATGTTTATGGCTGTGTCTGTATGAATTGAAAAAGAAATACACACCTCTGCCCTTTCCTTAAAAATGTATCTCAAATTTCTTAAACTAGAAAATACATTTAGAGCAGGCATTTACAGTTCGGTTCTTTTCAGCTGTTGAATTGATGAAACATTTCATCTATCAAAGCAGGTCTATTTAAAATGCATATTGTGAATTGGGAAACAATTTGACAGCAGTTGATTACATAGCCGTTTTTTTCTCTTTTGAGCAATAACCTCTATCAGTAAGGAAAAATATTAATGACACTGAGGCAGAAACTTAGCTGCTACAGTAATTTTTAAACATCTTACTGAATTATATAACAATTTTTTTCTCAAAAGACTTGTTTTCATATTATTTAAAGACCCTCAGCAAAGCTCACATCCCTACTAATTTGAAAAATCTCTGCCTTAAGCTCTTCTCTCCATTTAGAAAAGTGTTCTGCCAGTTAAAATTTGGGCTAAGCTATCCAATAAAGCCAGGGCAAATATTATGTTTACCCACTTTCTCTAAAGTAGGTATTTCAGAAGAGATCAGTTAATTTCTAACTGTAGCATAGGTTATGGTCATGTAGTATCTTTTAAAATTTGAGTAAGGGCATGCTTTGAGCAAGTAAGTTTAAGTTGACTTTCTTCTGGAAATAAAAGTAAGAGGTGTCTCTAAATTATTTATTGAACAGTATTCCTAATTACTACATTTTCCTGGCTTAACTTGGCTGCTGAAGAAATTGAGGCCCAGCACAATGGCCCATGTCTATAATCCCAGCACTTTGGGAGGCCAAGGCAAGAGGATGGCTTGAGCACAGGCATTTGAGACCAGCCTAGGGAACATAGGGAGATCCTGTCTCTACAAAAATATAAAAAAAGCTGGGTGTGGTGGCACTCACCTGTGGTCCCAGCTACTTGGGAGGCTGAGGTGGGAGGTTCACTTGAGTCTGGGAGGTCAAGGCTGCAGTGAGCTGTGATCATGCCTGGACAACAGAGTGAGACCCTGTCTTTTTTAAAAGAAAAAAAAATGAAAATCTGATTTTTCATTTGCATTTCTCTCTGACAGATTCTACCAGAAATGAATCCCAGACTATAAAACCTGTGGTGTCATTTCGAACATTAAAACCACCCCCTCCCACGCTTCTATAGTTGAACCCATAGTACACATTCCAATAAGGGCCACTCTTGTTCTGTTTCCCTTATGTCCAGAACTGTCCAGCTGGCCAGTGAGGGAACTGCTTTCCTTAGGGAAGAAACTTCTCTCATTCATAACAAGAAGAAAATTCATCAGTGCTTGATGTGAAATTAGTTTTAAGCTAAGATAATAGAAATGTAATATTCTCAGTTTTTTTGGAGTGGTTAGAATTTATTTTTTCTTAACCTAAACTCAAAGTTGAGTTCTCAGTGTCAAGTATGTGGAGCAGAAATTAAGTAACAACCTTAGAGAACCTAATATAGATAGTACTGCCTTCTCAGATACTCACTAGAGTAGATAATGTTTGCCTTTTAAATCTTTTTAGTTATTCACACAATCATTATCACAACACTGTCACTCTTGGAATTTACCATAGAGTATTTGAGCAGTGAAGACTCATAGCATTTGGAAGTCATTTAGAAAAGAATCTGGAATATTTAGATGCATTTTTGTAGTAAATCTGGTGCTTAAACACTGTAAAATTAAATATTTACATCTGAATCCAGCATCCCATTTTGCTTTGTAAATGAGGCCAAAGATGAAATCCAGATGTTTTCCCTTGTATTTGTATTATCACTATATGGAATCTAAGTATATCTAAGAAAAACTAAACTTAAACTTACTTTGCTTATTTCATATTAGTTTTTATCTGTCTTCTGCAGTGTGTAATTAGATTCTTTAGTTTTCTGAATCAAATGCTTTGCCCCAACCCCTTTTTCCACGACTTTTTTCAGCTGTTTTCCCTTGAAATACTGACTTGGCTTTTAAAGATACATTTTATCACAATTGCAGAAATGTGTTGTATAAAAGTTTGTTAAACAGGGCTAACTGAAGTCTTAGATGTTGAACAGCTATGTGTAACCACAATTTATACTACTTGCAGCGAACTCAGATTATTTTCGGATGTTAAGTATGGCTTGAAACTATGTTAACTTGAAATGTAAAGAAACAGCAAAAGACAGGTGTATTTACCTAAAGATCACATATTAAGGAAACAGGCTTGGTTAATTCCTCACTATTGACATCTATTACTTGTCAATACATTTAACCAACCAATGATACTTTAAATCATAATGTTACTTTGAACAACCTACTTTAAAAGGTTGGTTCAAAAATGTTGAGGAGATAATGTATTGGTTGGGATTGACCTAAATTTACAAAGCAACCATGTGCTGTCTTATGCTACCCAGATTGTGGGAGCACCAAAAGCTATGTCCCTAGGACTACAAAGTGTGTTGTTTAAGGATCTTGCAGAGAGCCAATGCCCCTATTGGCAACATCACTTCTCATCCTTAAGTTTCACCAGTTGGGTGGCCTCAAGGCACTAGGATTCCCATTTTTTTTTTTATTCAGGTCAGAGAAGAGTCCATCACTGTGACTGGGAAGAATGTCAAGTCACAGGGTAACGGCGGACCTTAATAAAATCTCGGCCCCTCTGCACCGAATACCCCACCAGGAAGGGCTAAGGCATCCATGGGGTTGTGTCTCATCTCAAGTCGCTGTGTGAAGCACGAGGCCCTCACACCTCATTTAAGGCAGGAGGCGTCAGGGGCGACCGGCCAGGTGTCCCGGCGCCTTCCCGCCGCTTCTCAGCCGTGGAAGCGCGGGCATCTGAGCACGTGGAGCCGCCCCAGGCCGCCCCGCACACCCCTCCCGCCAGATGTAGTCCAGGCCCAGCTGGGCCCGCGCAGGGATCCCCAGCACGGCCACCTGACTGAGTGCTGGGCGTGCTGCGGCCCGCTGCTTCTGCCTCCGCCGCCGGCGCTGCGGCCAGAGGAAGGCGCCCGCCGAGCACACGGGCCCCGGGAGCGCACTGCGGCCATTATCCGCGGCGCCTCCTAGTGGGTCAATGGCAAATCCGCCTGGTTCTCGCGAGAGCTCCCCCCTCAGTGGGGATTATATAATTTCCCTCAAGCGGGGGTGGGGGTGCTGAGAGCACCCTCCCTCAGGAAAAGTTAGGTGCAAGCAGGGGTGGGAGTAAGAGGAACCCCCCCTGGGGAAAAGGGGGTTAGGGGTGCTGTCCCCACTGCCCCCCCCTATTTAGCTGGACAATGAGTCCTCTTATGCTAATGAGGCACTTACGTCACTTCCGCTCTTTCTCGGCCGCCATTTTGGCTAGGGCAGGTTCGGGGACTCGGTCCGAGGCGCTTGTATTGTCTGCTGAGGGGAGACGCGGGATCAGCCCCCTCCCCCGCCCGTTGCCGCCGCCGCCTCCGCCGGCCCGGTCTCCCCTCCGCCGCCCGCCGGGATCCATGAGCTGAACTCCCGCCCCCCCCCCCCCGGCCGCCGCCATCTTGTGCCCCCTCCCCCTCCCGCAGGCAGCGCTAAGGGGGATTTTGGCGTCTTCTCAGACACAGCTCCCTCTCTCGGTCCCCGCTGCTGAGGAGCGAGAGGAGCGCGGCCGCCGCCGCCCGCGCCGGTGAAGCCGCCTCTCCCACACCCTCCGTCTCCTCCCTCCGCCCCTCCTTTGTCTGCACCGCTCGACGACGCCGCCGCCGCCCGCCGCTCTGCTGCGCCCGCCGCGCCCCCCGGCAGCACCCGCGGCCGCGGCGCGAGCCGGAGTCCGCCGAGCCGGAGCGCGACGAGGCCCCGGGCGCGCCCTCCCCGCTGCCGCCACCGCCGTGCCGCCGCCATCCGCCCGCCGCCGCCGCCGCTGTCCGGCCCCCGAGCACGCCGGCCCCGCGCGCGCCTCGAGGCCGAGTCAAGGTAAGCCCGGCGCCGCCGCGCGCGGACCCGCGGCCCTGCCCTGCCTGGCTTCCCGACCCCGGCCCGCGCGGCCGCCAGTGCAGCCTGGCCCCGGGCGCGGGCGCATTGTTGTTCGCATCGCCGCCCTCCAGCCGCACACACGCTCCTTTGCACACCCCGGCGCCGACGGGTCCCCCGTCCCGGCACGGACCGCTACCCGACTCTGCTCCGGAGGTCCAGGCGCCTCCTCCTGCAGCCCGACCCCCTTCTCCGCCCTGTGAGCCCACCGAGGCCAGCACTCTGCCTGGCCGCCCGGAGCTTTTGCAGCTAAGGGCATCTCCCCCAGCCAGAACCGAGCTTCTCCCATCCTGGAACTAATCCCGTCCGCCCCCCACCCCCAAAAGGAGCCCCCCCACGCACACCCCCATGCCTTGAACCAGCCTTCTGCCAGGTCTGCCCACCCTTACCTGGGGGAGGGGGGACGGGGTTGGGGGGGGCGGGGAGCATGCATGGCATGGAGTGAGTCTTTGCCTCCCCTGTGCAATCCTTCTTCCCCAACCTGCCAGCTTTCCTCTTATCCTGACCACAGTTCACCACCATCCCTTTTCCCCAATCTCAGCTGCCTGGTCAGCACCTCTTTCGAACATTCTGAGCCCCAACTTTGCAGTAAGGTGGTAGAAAATGGAAATCCAGAGAGCTGCAAAAAGATTTTTTTTTAATGTAATGAATGGGGAGTAGTTTTGTGAACACACTCGTATTCACCTCTTCTTTCCTCTGGGAGGCCTGCCTGCCTTCCCCTCCCCCCCAACCTTGATCCCTGTCTGCTGGAAAAGGCGCGATTGCTTCTCTTCCTCTTCTGCCCAAGACCAAGACTCTAGGTCTGATATCCTTTTTAGCCACACACACACACCCCCCACACACGAAGTCTTCTTAATCTTCTTGAATTTACCAGTTACTCTGGACACTTCTTGCCATAACCCCATTTCACAGACAAAGGCTTAGGAGGGAAAAAGAACCAAACTGTTTCTGTGTTTGTCATGTTAATGATGTCCATCCCCACACACCCAGTTCCCATCCCTGATGCTTCTTGTGCCTGTATCTTGAACCTTCAGAATGAAAAAAAAAAAAATCTCTTGGATAGCTTGATACAGTTTCTTTAGAAATCTGCATTGTTGCTTCTGGTTTATGGCCATGGAGAAAATACCAGCCCCCACCCAAAATGCACCGCAGCCAAGTCGGCTAAAGGCGATGAGTGTTGGAGTCAGTAGGGGGCGCATTCTCTGCACTGGGTAAGGCTGCAGAGGGGGGAAGGGCCCCCGAGCTAGAACAGGATGTGCTTCACAGCGCCTTCTACAGACCATGGGAAAATGGGCCCAGCAAGACACACTCGCACTCTTAGTTGGTGAGCTGACAGCAACATGGCGAAGGATTAAGTGAGTCAAGAGCAGTGATTTTACTTCTTTTAAAGAGCCCACCCTGCATTTTAGAAGTTTTCTCCTTTTACTTTTTCAAAACTGTTGGCCCCCAGTCCATATTTGTTCTTGACGAATCACCTTGGCACATCCTTGGTTCGGATTCCCTTCCTCTGGAGTTCTTCCACCTCAAGTTTTGAATGTGTCACCATATCTTTCCTAAGTCTGGTGGTAAAGGAGAAGGTTTGAAACAAAGTAACAGGTTTGGGGGCATAGCTGGTTAACTCCCTTCTTCATAGGCCAAATCTTTCCAATTCTTTGAGAGTTAAAAATCATTCTTGAGAGATGTTGGATTAAGTGTGTAGATGGGTGTCATGATTTGCAAAGCCTTGTTGGTAAACATCAAGCCCATGTTGGGTTCTTCATTGTCGAACTCAAGTGTTGATTGTAAAAATTTCGTTTCCCTCCAAATTTGGACTTGTAATTGCCATTCATTATCTCAGCAGCCAACCACCTTTACAAAAATGTTGATACCAGTCTTCTGTGAGCACCCACCTTCTTAGGGTGTGTTGATTTCCATAGATTTTACTCCTCTTGTTATTTCCATAGGTGTGAGATGCACAATGCGAAACCTAGGCCCCAGCTTTTACACCATGATGCGCAGGGTTGTACTTTTTGTACTGAACTGATAGGTGGCCTAGTGGTTATGCCCTGTACTACCATTTTGAGGATCTGGACTCCGTTTCCTGCCTTGCTCTTTGGACCACATTGTCAATTCACACCGGTGGGTATATTCATTTTGGAGGGTGGGAACTGCAGCAACAGGGAAGCCAGAGACTTCCTTCTCCTTGGTCACCACCAAAACCAACACTTCCAAAATTTCAGCCTAGCCACATTCCTCAAGGAACCGGTTAGAGCTGGTTGCAGTAGTGGGTTCTGAACACTTATTAACATAAGAAATTACTTACAGCTTTTTTAAGAGAAATTTTTACAGATGCTAATATTGTAATCATTTGCATTCTACACCCCTTTGTATAAAGTATAAGTATTCAGTTACTATTACTTTGATAACCCAATCTCTAGAGTTGCTAAGCTTCTAAAAGCCTTAAATGTCTGATGAAAACATGGTTTTCCATGAACTTGTTCTTGCTACCAAAGATTGACAGTGGTTGATGTTTGTGGGTACCTTTAAGACTTTGTATGTTACATAAATACACCAAGATAAGTTTATGGAGAACTGAATGGGTGTATTCTTTGATACCTAGTTAACCAGTTGGTGCTTAACAGGAGAATTTTTCATTGGAGAATTGCTACCAGGTAACATTTTGGTGAGTGAAAAGGAGGCCCTTTGGTACAGGTATTTGACTAGAGACATTGCTTCTACAATTTCTTAGTCATTGTGAAAAATCACATATTTAAATGGGATTATTTAAATTTTTAAATACTGTATAGTATTTGTAGGCAGGTATAGTTTTTATCTTTATTTGGTGTTTTATATGCAGTTATTTAAGTTCTGAAAATGACCATATAATTTGAAGACAACTTATTTGACGGAATGTTTGAAATGAAGTTTGTTGAGGGGCTTTTGTTTGATTTAGCGAATGGGATACAGTGTTGAATGATGTCCTAAGTGGTAACAGCCATTTTCCCTTAAAGGAAAACTTGCTGTGAGCTCTTAGAAAGCATGTATTCTACTGTTTCAAAGGTTTCTTGGTTTTAACACTCAAAAAATAAGGTGAGGCCAGGTGAGGTGGCTTACGCCTGTAATCCCAAAACTTTGGGAGGCTGAGGCAGGAGAATCACTTGAGGCCAGGAGTTCAAGACCAGCTTGGGCAACATAATGAGACCCTGTCTCTACCAAAAAAAAAAAAAAAGTGAAACAATTGGGCTTGAAGACTGGAATTTATAGTAGGTAAACTATATACTTCATTAAAGTATAGTAAAAGGTTCAATTAACTAGAGTGTGGGGAATGGGTATTCTGTTTAACTGAACTTTAAGTAGAAATTCCTTTTTTATCTTGGCCTTTGTTGAAAAATTTCCTGAGACTAGCTTATTAGGAGCTATATATTGAAACTAACCTCTTTGATTTTGGTTTTTATAGTTCCTGTATAGAAAATATAGGAGATTGGGCTGAAAATCTCTTAATGACCCTTGGCCCTTCCAACCTTGGAAGTCATTGATTTTATACATGCCCACTGTGAATTTGCTTTGCTTTGCTTAAGTTTATCTTTTTCTCCTTATACCAGAGTGCAGGAAGAGTTTTAATACTATTTATATTAAAATAAGAACTTCACAACCTTGAACAGATGGTTTTGGTACCACTTGCAAGTAACCAACCAGTAGGCTTTTATCAGGCAAAAATGGCTTATTATTTATATTTGATTATTAAAAGTATAGGTATATAAGGCATACTATGTGAAGTTGTTGCTTTCCTTGTAACTACTTACACGTTTTGAAAGTATTAAAAAGTTAGTATTTTGAAAACTAAAATACTCAAGTTTATTGATTAAATAAGATGATGCTGGCTACAAATTTTATTTTGAAAATTGCAACTTAATAAGGAAGATAAAGCTGTTTTGTAAAGGAGAAAGTAGAGATTGATACTTCATAGGGTAAAAAAAAGAAAAACTTCAGCATTTATGTTTCTTCTTTTGAGAATCATATATAAGTAACAAAACTGCATAAATTGCAATAGACCTAGGTCACTTGATTTCACAATTGGGTGTGTGTATGTATGTACACATACATATAAAATATATGTAGGTTTTCTAGAGCTGGAAATGATTGTCATATTATTAAATACAGATGAAAAGTTCAAGTATCACGTGTAGTTTGGGGAAAGTACATTTAGTTTTGAGATGTAGTTTGGGGACAATACATCTAAGTGTAGTAAAAAAATACCAGAATTAAACTTTATGTATGTATTTTTTCCAAGTAACCTATTTAAATCTTAGTGAAATAAAGATTTTTAAAGTAATATGAAAGAAAAAAATAGGAAGTTTTTATTTTACAACATTAGAAGCATTATTGTGGTTTACACCAAAGTACCCATGACTGTTGTGTAAATAAGCTACTTGTTCAACCTGGAGTTCCAAAGGAGTTTTTAAAAGAGCATCATAAAGTCAGTTATGTCTTACATAAGGTAAAATAACTTTCAGTGGGAGTTTAACCTTCATTCTCTTGACTGAGAGGCATGTACATTAAGAGAAACATTGCTCCCCTATGTGTAAATAATTTAATTATAGTTGGATTCACAGAGCTTGACTTGTTATTAGCATCGTATAAACTTAAAGTTTTTCCTCCCCTAGTTTTTGTGTGTTGTTTGTTTGTTTGTTTGAGACAGTCTTGCTCTGTCTCCCAGGCTGGGGTGCGGTGGCCCAATGTCGGCTCACTGCAACCTCTGCTTCCCGGGTTCGAGTGATTTTCCTGCCTCAGCCTCTGAGTGGTTGGGATTACAGGTGCCTGCCACAACGCTTGGTTAATTTTTGTATTTTTAGTAGAGATGGGATTTCGCCATGTTGGCCAAGCTGGTCTTGAACTGCTGACCTCAGGTGATCCGCCTGCCTTGGCCTCCCCAGGTGCTGGGATTATAGGCGTGAGCCACCGCTCCCAGCCCCTCTCCTAGTTTTGTAAGAGCTTGTGATAGTAACTGGAGTAAATGCCGTATTTTGCTGATGTACCTCACTGCCAGTTAACACCTTCTATGTTGTTAGTTTGGAAACTCGGTGTTTGAAACTAGTATAAACCAAAGCCCCATGCTAATTAACTGAATTGATACTTTGAATGTAAAAGCTGTTTCTTGTTTTTACTTTGGCACTTTCCACCTTGATTGTTGAGATACTTTATTTGATAAACCGTCCATGCTTTGCCCATTGTGGGTGGCCATTGTGATTTCATGGTTTTTTGTTGTTTGTCTGATCCTGTTTATTAGAAAGTGAGGAGAGGATGATTATGTTCCTTCATCCTCTCAGTGTCTTAGTACTCCCTACACCTGCGTTATGTTATGACCTACCTTTGCGATCTGCCAGTTTTGGGGTCAGCTTAAGTGAGAATTCATATTCTGCTTCACTGGAATGAGAAGGCTCTCCTCACATATTATCATGCTTCTCAAGTTGGTATATATGAGCCAACTTGATTATGTAGTGTGTGTGTGTGTGTGTGTGTGTGTGTATAGGAAGTCACAGATAAAAATTGAGCCAACTGTGGAAAGTGACAGTTTTGATTGCAGGGCACACGTTTTTTTATTCTAATCAATGAAAAATGCAAAATTCATATTACTGTTTTTAGTCCTGGGTCCTGTCATCTCTGTGTATTAATTCAGTCCTCTGCCTTAAGGAGTTCCTTGAGATTTCACTCACAAGCTTTGGTATTATTGATCCCTACCTTGGTTCCAAGACAGCAGCTAGAGAAAGCCTGGAACCTCTCAAGAATTTCAGCAGTGTTCTGGAAATAAAGATTTAGAAAATAAGAGGAAAGCATAGACAACGTTGGATGGAGTTTACAAAGGGAAGCCTGCTCTGAATATATGCCACAGTTTTAGATTTAAGTTAAAGATTTAATTTAAAAGCATACACGTAATCTAAAAGAGTCATGCATTATTTGACCAGCTGTTAGAATTAAAAATGAATCTGCATATCCTAATACCCTCTTCAGTAAGGGTATAGATTTGTAATTGAGTCACTTAGCTGTGGGTTGTGTTTATATGTCACTTCTCATGTGACTGTGATGACTTTAATAAGGATGTGCTGCTTAAGTGTAAAGGCCCCCTTGCTGGCCTTTATGGTATTATAGTATTGGTGGCTTGTCTGTTTTATTTTCCAAGCACTTTATAAACTATTCCCAATTTTCTCAGGACTATCCTTGTTTCACAAGTAGGGAAATCAAGGCACTACCACATACAATGATGAAATGAGCCACAGAGTATGTCTGGGCTGGTTCCCAGGCCTGTGCTTGCAACACAGGCCTTTATGGTGCTCTTGTAAGCTGTTTGGCTAATGGGGGCTCACATGAATGCTTCCCATTTCACAGTGAGGTTTTATGCTTCCATGTGAGCTTAAACCCAAGGATTCCAATGGCGTCTACATGTAAAGAAGCTAGCCACACCCCCAGCAGGGAGAGTATGGGTGTAAATTGTGCAGGTGGCAGTTAATTGGAGTAGCATATTTCTGCTGGGAAGTTAACTGTATAAGAATCTAAAAAGAAACGTTGTTTATGTTCCCTTTTCTTTTCCCAGTTTTTTAGTTTAAGACAGTCAGTCTGTCCTGAGCAGTTACTTTTTTCTTAGATAATTGCTGGCTTTTACCCTTTCTTTTTCTGAATCCTTCATGCTCCATTTAAGAGCTTGTGGAAACCTGTGCTTCAGTTGACAATCTGTAAAGCTCTGCTCTTCTGGTGGAAGCTCATGACCTGAGAACCTTTTGAGTGGTCTCTTTTGAGAAACTCCTGTCTAGTGGAAATATGGTGGAATTTATTAAAATTTTCAATTCGAATTATAAATTTAGGTTGACAGAATCCTTGCTCTTGTGAAAGAAGTGAGCTGAGACTGGGAGTATCCAAATGCAAGAAGTGCTCAGAATCCTGCTTCAAGATCAGTTACACTTAAAAACAGCAACAAGAGGATGGGTGCGGTGGCTTACATCTGTAATCCCAGCACTTTGGGAAGCCAAGGCTGGCGGGTCACCTGAGGTCAGGAGTTCAAGACCAGCCTGGCCAACATGGTGAAACCCCATCTCTACTAAAAATACAAAAGTTATCCTGGTGTGGTGGCACTCACATGTAGTCTCAGCTACTTGGGAGGCTGAGGCAGGAGAATCACTTGAACCTGGGAGGCGGAGGTTGCAGTGAGCCAAGATGGCACCACTGCACTCTAGCCTGGGTGACAGAGTGAGACTCAGTCTCAAAAAAAAATAAAAATAAAAAACAGCAACCAAAAAAAATGCAAATAAAACTTCTCTGAGGAAAGTGTGAAAACTTGAGCCATCAAGTGGCAAAACCTGGTACAAGAACGCTTTTGAAAAGCTACCTTCGGTGAAGCCTTGATCCTGGGAAATGGCTTCGAAAAACTTGAGAACATAGTTTAAATATTCTGTTACTCAAGAATAGTGAAAGAAATATATTTCCTATTGTGGGAAATTATTTCTGAGTAGTTTCGGTAGAGCATAAAAATGTATTATTAGGGGATCAAAATAACGTTTTATGTCATTTAGATACAAAGACTTGGCATGCTTCTGAAATAATTTATAAATGGACATATCTGCGTGTCCTCTTGTGGTGTTGTGATACATACTGGTTTTCATCCACCACGGTTCCTGGCTCATAACACCCATAACCCCATTACCGTGTTTTGTTATAATATAGGGTACGTTAGGTCTCAGAAAATAATCTCTGATCTTCTCCTGCTCTCCTTACACGTGTCCCAAGGCAAGATTCTGATCTTTACCCAGCTTTCTGATTGTAGGTCTTGAGATCCTCTCTAGAGAGAGGGTGTTGGCCCTATACCCCGGGGAAGGGAAGTAAGGTTTCCTATATGAAGCTTTTATAAAAACCCAGGAGGGCCAGGCGCGGTGGCTCACGCCTGTAATCCCAGCATTTTGGGAGGCTGGGGGCGAGCAAATCACAAGTTTAGGAGTTTGAGACCAGCCTGGCCATCGTGGTGAAACCCCATCTCTACTAAAAATACAAAAAAAATTAGCTGGGTTTAGTGGTGGGGGCCTATAATCCCAGCTACTCAGGAGGCTGAGGCTGGAGAATTGCTCAAACCCGGGAGGCAGAGGTTACAGTGAGGCGAGATTGCACCACTGCACTCCAGCCTGGGGGACAGAGTGAGATTCTGTCTTTAAAAAAAAAAAAAAAAAACGCAGGAGGACTGGGTTCAGAGAGCTTCCAGATAGTTGAACACACCTGGAGGGTGGCGCCCCCAGAGAGGGTATGGAAGCCCAGTGCCCTTACGCATTTCTTTATCTGTACTTTTTATAATAAACCGGTAAACATAAGTGTTTCCCCAAGTTTTGTGAGATGCTCCAGCAAATTAATAGAACTCAAGGAGGGGGTCTTGGGAACCCCAGCTTGAAGTGTCAGTCAGAAGTTCTGGAGGCCCAGACTTACAGTTGGAGTCTGAAGAAGGAGAGAGCAGTTTTGGGGACTGAGCCCCCATCTTGTGGAATATGACACTGTATCCAGGTAGACAGTGTCAGAACCAAATTAGAGGATACTCAGCTGGTGTCCGCTGCTTGGGAAAAAACCCTACACGTTTGGTCACAGAAGACAACTTCACGACTTCTGTGTGGTGTGAGGGCAGAGGAAAAACAAAGTTTGAGAGTTTTCCCCTAAAGCACCCCTTAAGGGCTACTTGTGAATTATTTCCCTTTTTCACATTGATCTTAAGCCAGATTGTCCACTTACAGCGACAGCAAGTGGCTGTATGCCTGTGGAGTTCTTATGTAGGCAGTGGAGTGCTAGAATCACTCTTTATGCTGTGTCCCTGCCTTGCTGCAATACCTGTTTAGAGTGAAGTAAACTGGGAAGTGCTCCTCACCTCACACTCTCCCTAAATCTAAATTGGTATATTATAAAGTATCCTCAGTCTGTTTTTCTTGTTTAAGTACCGAGGCATCTTCCCCCGCTTTCAAATACAATTTTAGGTGAACTCTTAAATTGATGAAGGGTCGGGGGGCCAGACCTCTGGCTGCCCAGCTTTCACCTTGTCCCTCAGGCATCATCTTCCCTCTGTTTGTATACATATCTTAAACTCTTAGAGGAGTTCAGCCTGAAAACAACTGGTTCTACTGGTGTACTGGAAATTCTGGTGGTCACTGCTAGAATTCTTGCCTGAAATCTGAATACGGAAAGTATCAGGATAAGCAGCAACACAGTAGCAGTTTTCCAGTTGTGGGCACCAGTCTTGTAGTCTGAAAATCTTCCTAAAAGACCAGTGACTCCACATATTTTTTAAAACTTAAGATACGCAAAATCTAGATGACACCTTTATGTTTCTACATAACTGTAAGTCACCTGGGTTTATTTAAGATAGTTGCAGATGTTCAGTTGCCTAAATATTTTAAGTGTCACTGAGCTTGTTAAGAATATGCAAACCTGAGTATGAATGGCTCACACAGATGTAAAATATTGTATAAAAACACTACTGTGCATGATGCATTGTAATGTGTACAGGAACAGATGTTGTTATGGCAACCACATCTGATTCTCAGTCATAATAGTTTGAGCTTTTTGGAGAGGTTATGCCCTGGTGTGAACTCAGAATTTTGAAAGTGATTATTTTAGTATCTCATCTGGTTTAAGGTGATAATGGTAACTGACTTAAGCATTAACTTGCATCATCTCATTTAATCCTTCTGCCATTAAAACAATGAGATAGTGTCCTTCTGCTTATGCCATAAGAAAACAGACCTCTAGAGGTTAAATAACATGTGTAGGATCACAAAGCTTGTAAGTGGCAGAGCAAGGATTTAAATACAGATCTGTCTAACTGTAGGGTGGACCACTGCATCTTTATTTTCTAGCAAAGAAAAGCTTTACTGTGCTATGTCACCCTACCTCTTGTTAAGGAGGTTTGAAGTTATAAGGTACAAATTTTTTACATATGGCTGATAGGTAAGTTTTTGTCCAGGAAAATAGTATTATTAGCACAAATTTTGACTTAGGCTATAAGCTTCACCTGTGAACCTTTTCTTTTCCCCTCGTTTTACTCTTACCCCAGTATCCTATTATCTCATACCTAAGGCAGTGATGGTTTCTCAGACCTCTTAGATTGAGAAGATGTGGCATGGGTGTAAGGTCCCTCAGGTAATTCTGAGGGTTGGGTAGGTCTGGTATCTACTCTTTTACTTAATTGACTTCCTCCAGGCTTTTTTTTTTTTTTTAATGGAGTCCAGGCTGGAGTGCAGTGGCGCGATCTCAACCTCTGCCTCCTGGGCGCAAGAAATTCTCCTGCCTCAGCCTCCCGAGTAGCTGGGATTACAGGCGCTGGCCACCACACCGAGCTCATGTTTGTATTTTTAGTAGAGATGGGTTTCACCATGTTGGTCAGGCTTGTCTCAAACTCCTGACCTCAAGTGATCTGTCTGCCTTGGCCTCCCAAAGTGCTGGGATTGCAGGCATGAGCCACT
Source organism: Homo sapiens (assembly GCF_000001405.40). Classification (NCBI taxonomy): domain Eukaryota; kingdom Metazoa; phylum Chordata; class Mammalia; order Primates; family Hominidae; genus Homo; species Homo sapiens. The sequence continues at coordinate 50,920,308 of NC_000020.11, read as the reverse complement.
GCTTTCTTTTTCTTTCTTTCTTTCTTTTTTTTTTTTTTTTTTTTTTGGAGGTGGAATCTCGCTCTGTTGCCCAGGCTGGAGTGCAGTGACTGCAACCTCCGCCTCCCGGATTCAAGCAATTTTTCTGCCTCAGCGTCCTGAGTAGCTGGGATTACAGGCGCACACCACCACGCCCGGCTAATTTTTGTATTTTTAGTAGAGATGGGGTTTCACCATATTCGCCAGGCTGGTCTCGAGCTCCTGACTTCGTGATCTGCCCATCTTGGCCTCCCAAAGTGCTGGGATTTCAGGCATGAGCCACCACACCCGGCCTGGATTAATCCTCTTAAAGTGCCATTAGAATCATGTCCCTTCTGTACTTCGTTACCTGCAGCATCTCCTCGGTGCCTACCAGACATGGCAGCAGACTCCAGCTTCACATTCAAGATCCCCATCCTATCCTCACCCTGCCTTTCCAATCATGTCGTTCCTTGTTACTCAGAAGCTTGACATAGCAACCATTCTGACTCAGTGGAGTTGAGCAAGAAGTTCCTAGAACACCTTGCTTTCCGGCCTCTGGAACTGCGCCAGAAGTCTTTTGCAGTAAATGCAGATTCTTCACCTAAGTTAATGGCCCCAACTCAGCAGCTGTTGCCACCCTCCCTGCTGAGAATGAACTAAACATGAAGCCTCCTAGGATTTAGTTTGTGACACATCTGATACATCGCCTCTTTTACTGCAAATATTTATTGGATGTCATATCTGTAAGCCTTTTCTAGGCAGAGATTCATTCATTCTGTCTGAATTTATTGAGTGCCTGCTTTGTTCTAGTCATTGACATAGATGATAGAGATACAGCAGGGAAAAAAACCAAAGTTCCAGGGTCTCCCTTTGTAACGCAGGCTGGAGTATAGTGGCACCATCATAGCTCACTGCAACTCAAGCCATTCTCCCACCTCAGCCTCCCAAGTAGCTGGGACTATAGGCATGCACCATCACACCTGGCTTTTTACATATATATATATATATATATATATACACTTAAATATATGTATTTTTTCAGGCTGGTCTTGAACTCTTGGGCTCAAGCAATCCTCCCACCTCAGCCTTCCAAAGTGCTGGGAGCTGTGAGCTACACCTGTGAGATGGCACCCTTGTCCTGCTGCATATTTTAAGAGTTCTGTTTAGTCCATCAATTGAGGTCAGGAAAATGAACGTGCTGAAAGATAATATGTAATGATAATAATTTGTAGACATAAATGCCAGCCGTGTCTGTTAACTATTTCAGGTGATATTGTACTAAATCTCTGAAATCACCTGTGATGAACTTTTAAAATAAATAAAACTTTTAAGTCACAGTGTGATTATAATTTTTGTATAATTGGTAGGTAATGTGATGAACCAGGCTGTTTATTTACCATTAGATTGTTGGTTTGCTATAAATGAACTACACCAGCATGAGAGAAAACAAAACTTCCTTAAAGTGCTAAAATTAAATTTTTCATCATTCTGTTACCTTTCAAAAGCTTTCCATTTCATTTTTCCCAGGACCTCTCCTCTTGTTCTTCTACTTTTGTAGCGGAAACTGAAGGTAATTTGAAATTTTAACACATGGGAATTCTCTGAAGATCTTTTCTCTACTGCCACATGCTCAAGTTTGCAAAACAAGGTAGTTGAACGTCTCACTGAAGTAACCCAGCTGTACTAAATCTATTAGTTAAGGCAGAGTGAATCAGGGCCTTCATTGCCAAAAGTAATATAATATCCTGTTCCTGGCCTCTTGGAGTGGAGCAGATTTGCCAATAACGTGAACACTCTACCATTTTTTTTTCTTTAAGTACTTAAAGGTTTTGGGGCCACCTAGGTTCCATTAATGTATTACCACTCATATTAAATGATTATAGTGTCAAAAATGGTCTGGAAATTTGTATAGACCTTCAAAATGCTGTGTTACATCCACGGTTTGTTCTAGAGGTTCTCTCCTTTTCTGGGTAATATTAACAAATGCTTAAGATTCACATTTTGGTAAAGAGATCCATCAGTGATAAATGCCCCTGATTTTGAACCCAGACCACCCTGCTGTTGAAATTATAAGCAGACTTTGTCTCCTTCCCTAATCAATACTGCTGCCTTAAATTTCCCAGTAGCCACTTTAAAAAAAAAGAATGTGTTTATTTTTAATTGTTGTAAAGTATACATAAACTTTACCATTTTAGCCTTTTTTAATCTTGCAGAACTGAAACTCTATACCTGTTAAACAATAACTCCTCTTTTCTTCCTTTACCCAGCCCCTGGCAACCACCATTTTACTTTTCTGTTGCTATGAATTTGTTTATTCTAAGTACCTCATGAGTGGAATCATACAATATTTGGCCTTTTGTGATTGATTTTATTCATTTAGTATAATGTTTTCAAGGTTCATGTTGGAACATGTGTCGGTACTTTATTCTTTTTCATGGTTCAATCATATCCCATTATGTGGATATGACCACATTTCATTTATCATCAGTTGATTTCAGTTGTTCCTATTTTGGGGGTATTATGAATAATACTGCTGAGAATATTGATACACGAGTTTATGTGTGGTCCTGTGTTCCCGCTTCCCAATTGCTTATGTAACTTTTTGGACTTTTACTGTTCTCCCAGTTTGACTGGAGCCTGGAGGTAGTTGAGAACAGACCAGGCTCCTACCAACTCCCTCCTTTGAAAAAAAGGAAGCGTCTAGTTTCCCAAGGGACTTTCAGAAGAACATGCTTAGAGTATTCACAATGGGAAGATAATAAAGGGGAGACATAGGATACATCTGTTTTTTGAAAAGCTGGCCTGTTATTTAAGAATACCAAGGTTGTGGTTTTCATTTTACAAGATATTACCATTATGATTTGCATAGAAAGAGATTCTTCAAATGTGACTATCTAGTGACTCTTGGCCTCCATGGTGATGGTAAGAGTGATTTAAGACAAGTGTCCTTAGAGCTGAATTCTTCTCTGGATGTGATGGAATCATCTGACTGACTTGAGATACGTACAGATTCTTAATTTCTGTGTTGCTGCTTCAGCTGGTTTGGCTGAGCCTTTTAATTTTTGAAGACCATTTCAACCTTGGGTATTGAAGTTCTGGCACTTTCAGATGTACGTAGGGAACATGCTGCTGTTTGTTTTTAGTGAATGCCAAAGATAGAGTTTGGTCTGCATGGGTAGTGACAGGAGTGCTGCATCTCAGGTCTGGAGGGTGGCTTCAAGACCCAGCTCGCTCATGGGCAAGCAGTTGCTTCACCTCAGCTGCTAATTTGTAGGATGAGAAGAGTTTAGATTAGGCAGCTCCTAGGTTCTTTCAGTGATTGAGAGTGCTGCTTTTTCATAACAGATTTCTGTTGATGGTGTGATTTGGAAGATGAATCTCAATCTTTTGACTTTCCTAAGGCCTGCACTGGACACTTGTTTTTTAGTTTTTGGTTTTGTTTTGTTTTTCCCCCTCATTTCAGAAACAGAATGCTTGTGTTCCTGCAGTTGAGGAGACCCTGAAGACTGGTGATTGTTACTTAGATTCCATCCAAACTATCTTTTTCCTCATCAGCTGAACAAGCTAATTCTGAAAAGGCACTGCATATTTTTAAAAATATTTTTTATGTCATATGTATGAAGTGGATGCCACTGACACAAATGTATTTTTCAGGAGCATTAATTGAAAAATAATGTCCAGAATTAGAGTATTGTTGTCTCACTCGACCATCTCCTGAATATGTCACATCCGAATAACAGTTTATCCAGGGAACTAGGGAGACTGACAAGCTGGAGCTTATCCTTTGGAGAGTGGCCTATGAGATCATGGAAGGAATGGTGAGAAGAACTGATCCTGGTTAACTGGGAGAAGAGGGGCGTGTCTTAAAGTTTTGAAAGGCTGTCATGTGACTAGGGAATTTATAGCCTGAGAGCTATGGGCAGGTTACACAGCGTTGTAAAGCATAAACTTGTGAACAGAAGCTGTCCAGTGTGGAATGAGCTGCCTGATGGGATTTTGTGCGCCCTCTTACTTGAGGTGATCAGGCAACAATCTTTCAGAGCATCTTTTTTTTTGTAGAAAGGATTCACACATGTTGATGGAAGGTGACAAAAAATATTACTTTGACTAAACGTTTTTGTAAAGAATGCTATATTTAGATAAATACCATCTTTCGCCTTGCATAAATTTACACTCCTAACTAAAGAAATAGTTATAAAAAATATAAATAATTGATAACAGTTAAAAACTTGAAGAAAATCAGTGTTTATTTTTGGAGGCAGTTTTGTATTTGGTTATCTTTTATTATCAAACTGGGAGAATAGTAAAAGTCCAATGAAGTTAGTAAGAATAGAAGAATACAGAAACTGGTTACATTTCCTGCCTGCTTATCTTTATTAAGAGTGTTATAATATGATTATCCTAGGCAATATAATTGATGTTCATTATTCAGATTTAGCTTTCAGTACATACGTGTGTCATCATTTGCAAAGTAGTTTTCTTTCTTATCTTCCTGGTTCTCTAATTCCCTCACCCCCCTTTTTAGCCTCAGTACTACTGTACATTTTCTAGTAAACTTAAGGAAAGAGGATACTAAACTTTATTTTCTTACCTCTGTCTTGCTGCACAGTTTTATCTGCTAATCCAGAAGAACATTCTGCCCCTGGATAGTCAGAATTACGTGTTTTGTGGATTGGGGAGGGAGGGGAGGAAAAGGAGGAGGCATCAGAGCTGCCTTTCTATGAAGAGTTTCCGGCATCTGGAAGCTCTTTTGCCCAAGCTTATAGGAGAATGGAAATCAGCTACCTCTGTTCAGGGCGGTGTATTTTAGAAAAAGATTGAGTGGGGTGATTGTTTCCAGTCTGGCTGTAGGCTCTCAATCTTAAAGCTGTGTAAGATTAATTTTTTAAAATGCAAATATATAAACCTTTTTGCAACTGGTTTGATTTAAATGTAGGGCTTAATGGCACATGTAAAGCAAATAAAGTATGTTCACTACTTCAGATGCAAATCCTAAAATAGGAAGAATAAGGGCTTATTGGCTATAAGAAGAAATAGGGTTTTACCGTGACCACAGTTTTTGACTCAATGAGTGATATAGACAGGTATTAAATATGTTGCTGAGGTAAAGGCAGGAAGGAAAGAAAATGCACAAATACAAGAATGATGTTTTTTTCTTTCAACATTTTATTTTTTAGTTTCTGAAATACAAATCAGAATACATTTTGTTACATAATCATTTTAACAAGCTTGACATTTTTTCAATGTAAGCTGACTCGATATAGGTACTTTAAAACTTCCTTTTTAAAAAACCATACGTTTTATCTTGGCAAATAGCTCATCAAAAAAAAAATACACGTGTACATGGGAAGTTGTTTTTCATTATTTTCTAGCACAACCCCCAACTTAAAATTTGGTCCACTGAAATACGTAAATATTCCTCCTATCACAAAAATAAAATCTCATGGTTGGGGAAAAAAACAACTGTCTGGCATAGGCCTGAGTGAGCTTGAGAAACAAGTTAGGATGTTTAACTGTATGGAGGAACATCACGGAGTCCACCTAGAACCATCTAGCAGAACGACTAGCCTGTTGCTATTGGAGCTATTCTATTTCAGAGACTGATACAAGGTGCATGCTCGGAGGTTGCTGAAGATTAACAACAGCCACGGAATCACTTACTCAGAATTAGCCGAAATTCAGTATACAAGAATATGTGACAACAGTAGAACAGTCAGCAGTTACTCAGTGCCCAGAAAGCAAGCCGTAAGTTTAGAATAAGAACCTCAGCAGGAACAATAGTCAACATGTTTATAAGACTTTGAAGGTGAGAAAACATTTGTAGATGATGTCCTGTGCCCAAGTATGTTAGTTTCCAGGACACTGGGGACAGCATCACAACATAGAAAGTAAGAAGAAATCCAAGCTGTTTAACCTTCTACCATTCTCTTGAGTACTAAACCCAGGGCACCTTTGGCCACTTGTGGGGTTTCTTTTCTTCTTTATTCTCTATGTAAATATTGCTCCTTGGGACACCAGCAGTTTTGCTTCTTCCACTCTTATCACAGACTAAGTGTGGAGGAGTGTTACCCTCAGTGTCTTGGATGATTGTGGATGCTTTGTAGTACAGAAGGATATGAATCATCTTGAAGTTACCCTTGGCTGTGGCCTGGTGCTTTGCTGTAGCCTCATAATGATCCTTACCATCTGGATTAGCCCCACCTTCTAGTAACATGAGAGCAATCTCATGCCTGTTTTTGGAAGCTGCATGATGTAGGGGAGTAGAGCCATTTTGATTGACAGCATTCACTTGAGCACCTTTTCCCAGAAGGGCTTTTACAGTCTCATTCTGGCCAGCACAAACAGCAGTCTGAAGAGGAGACCAATCTCGCATAGTCTTTATCATTCACTGGCACTCCAAGTTGAAACAAAAATTCAATAATTTATGTATGTATGGCTGAGCATGCCCAATGCAATGCACTTCTGTCCTGGTCAGTTCTCATAGCCAGGGGTTTATTGGCCAGAATCCTCTCCTTCACCTCCTCCAGCTTCCCTCTGTAGGCCAAGTTGCAGACCATAAGTTTAGACACACACCCGTCTGTTTTGCTTTCCCAGGATTGATGTTTTCTTTCTGATTAGTTTTTATCTTAACAGGTACTAAATGTTTCCACAGAGACATAACAAAATCTGTTCTTTAAATAAATAAAATTATCGTCACAGGTAGCAGTTAACTGATGCTTTGATTCTGTTCATGAGAGTCAAATGCTTGTCCCTCTTAGAAAATTGCCAGCATAACTTAACATTTTTTAGTTAGATCATTGGTTTAAGGAAACTTCAAAAATCTTACTCTTAAACCCCAGTGGGGGTTATAAGAGATATATAAAAATTCTTGCATCAGCATCAATTGGAATAATTTAAATATCAAGGATCTGAAATTCTTACATAGTAACTTGGGTTGATGTTATCAAAAAATGAAATTGTTTATATTGTAGTAGCCTGATTGTCTTCCTAATTTTTATTAACTTAGAAAATACAGATACCTTTTTTTTTTTTTTTTTTTTTTTTTTTTTTTTTTTTTTGAGACAGAGTCTCACTCTTGCCCAGGTTGGAGTGCAGTGGCGTGATCTCTGCTCACTGCAATCCCCACCTCCTAGGTTCAAACGATTCTCAGGCCTCAGCCTCCCAAATAGCTGGGATTACAGGTATGTGCCACCATGCCCAGCTAATTTTATTGTATTTTTAGTAGAGATGGGGTTTCGCCATGTTGGCCAGGCTGGTCGTGAATTCCTGGCCTCAAGTGATCACCCTCCTTGGCCTCCCAAACTGCTGGGATTACAGACATGAGCCATGGCGCCCATCCTGACAGCTGCCGTTTTCTTCACTAGTAATAGCGTCATTCCTAGCCCTTGATTCCACACTCTTCTCTTCTCCCAACCCCAGGTAAAAGATAATCCCAGAGAGACTGTGTTTTTCTTTACAACTTTAGGGTAGAAATGTTTTTTTAAAAATCACAGTGTGAACTTTATTTTCTGATCCTTTAGGTTTACTGTGGATTCCCTATCACTTCATACTTTGATCAGACTAATAATAATTGGTGAAGATTTTCAGTAAACTATCAGAATTCTGCTATAGCCATCAAACTTCATGCTTTGGTTTGATTGCCCACTAGGCCCAGATTCTACATTTCAGTAACCTGCCACTTTTGCATAAATTTGCGTCATGGGCTTAGTTTAGATGAGTAACTATTTCGTGGAGGTACTTGGGGGCAGGGAACCTTTTTTTCTTTCAACCTGAGCACCTCTAGTTTTTATCTTTTTTATATTTCACCTAAGATTCCTTTGGAAACGGGTTTCACAGCTTTTAAAAAATAAAAAGTTTGAAGCTAGGCGCAGTGGCTCACACCTGTAATCCCAGCACTTTGGGAGGCCAAGACAGGCAGATCACTTGAGGTCAGGAGTTCGAGACCAGCCTGGCCAACATGCTGAAACCCCATCTCTGCTAAAAATATAAAAAAAATTAGCCCAGCCTGGTGGCGCGTGCCTGTAATCCCAGCTACTCGAGAGGCTGAGGTGGGAGAATCGCTGGAACCTGGGAGGCAGAGGTTGCAGTGAGCTGAGATTATGCCACTGGGTAACAGAGGGAGACTCCGTCTCAAAAAAAATAAGGTTTGAAAATCACTAGTTTAGGCTAAGTGCAGCTTATGTTTAGGTGTTAACCAGGAAGAAGTAAGGATCCTTGTGTAGCTCTCAGTGCAATATTAGATATGCTTTTCTTAGTGGAAATGAAAGTTTTGCATTCACTAGTGTAACTGATACATTAGTCATCACTTTGGGTTATGTTCAGGTTTTGGTTCCCGAACATTATAAAGTAGCAAAGTTTACACCTGCAGTTGAAGGAAAGTAGGACACACTATGACACACTAGATCCTCACTTGGAGTAGTTTAAAATGTAATCTGGACAAGTTGGACTTAGAGGCTAGCTTTTTCTTCTGGCTTATCTGTGCCTGTTCAGAGGTAGCTGGGTTGTCTTTTGCTTATCTAAAACAGGCTTATCTTTTTGTTTGTTTTGTCTTTCTTTCAGATGATACTAGTAAATGCTTTTCTGCTTTTTTTCTGCCCGTAAAAATACAGACTATATGGTGCCATCCTTGATGTGGTAGCTCTGCAGAACTACCATAGACAAGCTCCACTAATTCTTGGTGTGCCAGATCCTGCAGACTTTACCTTGAGCCTGCTAAACTGGGACTGTCATCTGTTGGGTGATGCCATTGCACTCCAGCCTGGGCAACAAGAGTGAAACTGTCTCAAAAAAAAAAAAAAGAAAAGAAAAGAAATCTGGGTTTTAGTGTATCCATCACCCAAATAATGTACAAGGACATCTTTTTCAGTTAGTGTTGGTAGGAAAATTGGATTGCCATAGTGCAGAAGAATGAAACTAGACCCCTATCTCTCACCGTATGCGGAAATCAACTCAAGATAGAAAAAAGACTCAAAGTGAGACCTGAAACTAGGGAAACCTGGGGGAAACTCTCATGGACATTGGTCTAGGCAAAGAATTCATGACTAAGACCTCAAAAGCACAAGCAACAAAACCAAAAATAGATGGGACTTAAACTGAAAAAGTTTCTGCACAGATACAAATATCATGCATATGGTTTTAATTTATCTGTAGCCTAGGGCCTAGATGAATCTTAGATTTTCATTCCAGCTGTCTGACTCTTGCTTTGTAAGAAAGCACATGAATAGGATATGGGCCTGGATTAGTAAAACGTTAATGTTTGGGCCCTAATCAGTAGATGTGGGTATAATTTGCAAAGACTAATAGGAATGAGTATGGCTAGTTCACTCAACAGTGTTAGTCTCCAGAATTGAACGTTGGCTGGGCACGGTGGCCCATACCTGTAATCCCAACACTTTGCGGGGCCGAGGTGGGAAGATCACTTGAGCTCAAGAGTTGGAGACCAGCCTGGGCAGCATAGGGAGGACCCCTATTAAATTTTTTTAAAAAATTAGCTGAATGTGGTGGCGCATACCTCTAGTCTCATCTACTTGCGAGGCTGAGGCAGAAGGATTGCTTGAGCCTGGAGAATTGAGGCTGCAGTGAGCTGTGATCATACCACTGCACTCCAGCCTGGGTAACACAGAGTGAGACCCTTTCTCAAAAATAATAATAATTGAATGTTTACATGTAGTTCATCAGATGGCATGTGCTTACCAAAAAGCTAGTTACTCTCTATTTATTTAGAGGCAGGGCCTTACTCTGTCACCCAGGCTGGAGTGCAGTGGCACGATCATTGCCCACTGCAGTCTTGAACTCCTGGGCTCAAGTGATCCTCCCACCTCAGCCGCCTGTATATCTAGGACCACAGGTCCACACCCATGCTTTCTTATAGAAACATAGGTCTTGCTGTGTTGCTCAGTCTGGTCTTGAACTCGGCCCTCTAACATGCTGGGATTATGGGTGTGAGACATTGCACCCACACCTAGTTACTTTCAGTCGTAAATAAAATACTTGCAAATGTTAATTCTGTTATTAATAGGTCATTGAGCTTTCTCTGAATTCTAGAATTTAGGGTGTTTAACTCTTCTCATATAGTGTTTTTTGTTTTTTTACTTCATGAAATCAGAGTCAAAGCATTTTTTAGAGTAACTTTCATCTTTCAAACTCCTGTTCTTTCTACTAGACTCAGTTCACAAGTGTAATTATTTTGCATAAATACCCTATCTTCCCTCTTATTTATTCACTTTCTCTTCTGTGTCCGCCTGCCCAGTGGGTCTGTCAAGACTTTTGGTTGTGGGTGACAAGAACTTAGCTTAGGCAGAAACGATAATGTGTGTGTTTATATATTGGAAAAGGCTGGCATAGGGAAGTGCTGTTCTTCGGGCACAGCTGGATTGAGGACCTTAAACAATATCAATAGGAATTGTTCCCTTTGCTTCCTTCATGTGATGGCAGGTCTCAACTCTCCTTTTCAGCGTCACGTCATCCCTGTTCGGGGGACATGTCCAACTCTACTGGTCATTATCTTACATAGATGAAATATTCTTAACTAGTCAAACTGAGTCATGTGTACTCTGCTCTGCTGGAAAAGTGACTTTCTGTCTTCCATCAATCGTGGCAGAGGCGTTTCCAAGAGGAGGCTGGGCAGGCAAAAACAGGTGTCTAAACCCTACTGATTGAGGGCTGGCTATGTGTATTCTAAGCTGGAAGAAATGGACTGTTGAAGGGGAAGAAGAACCATGTCTTACTCATCTCTCTATTCCTAGCACAGTTGAGTGGCTAAGTGCAAGTGCTCTGAAAATGATTGTCTAACAGATGAACAATATATAGGTTTGTTAAATTGGATATTTTTCTTTTTTTATGTCATGAGCTGAAAGGTTCGGCTGAAGGGAGCTAGTTCTCCTTGGTGTTGGAATAATGATGCTCATCTGATTTCTTTTTTTTTTTTTTTTTTTTTTTTTTTTTTGAGACAGTTTTACTCTTGTCGCCCACAGGCTGGAGTGCAGTGGTGCAATTTCGGCTCACCACAACCTCCGCCTCTGGAGTTCAAGCGATTCTCCTGCCTCAGCCTTCCTAGTAGTAGGATTACAGACATGTGCCACCATGCCCAGCTAATTTTGTATTTTTAGCAGAGACGGGGTTTCTCCATGTTGGTCAGGCTACTCTCCTGACCTCAGGTGTTCCGCCCGCCTCGGCCTCCCAAAGTGCTGGGATTATAGGCGTGAGCCACCATGGCTGGCAAATTTTTTTTTTTTTTTTAATGGCCATCCTAATGAGGCAAAAGAGAAGGGATTAGCTATCCTTCTGCATGTCAAAACCCATCTCTGGGACAATTTTTGGCATTAGTGTTAAGGTTTCTTTCTCCCTAAGAGTAATAATTACCTGTATTTTAGTTTTTAGCTCTCTTTGCATTCGAAAGTGAGGAAAGGGCCTTGAATTTCAGGCAGAGACAATTTCTTATCTATTCTGTTCCCACCCCTCAGTTACTTAAGTATGGATCCCTTGTCCACATTTATAAAGGAGAATCAAATAGATAACTTTTTTTTTCTTTTTTTGCAGACAGAGTCTCACTCTGTCGCCCAGGCTGGAGTGCAGTGGCTCGATCTCAGCTCACTGCAAGCTCTGCCTCCTGGGTTCACACCATTCTCCTATCTCAGCCTCCCAAGTAGCTGGGACTACAGGTGCCCACCACCACGCCTAGCTAATTTTTTGTATTTTTAGTAGAGACGGGGTTTCACCATGTTAGCCAGGATGGTCTCGATCTCCTGACCTCGTGACTCGCCCGCCTTGGCCTCCCAAAGTGCTGGGATTACAGGCATGAGCCACCGCGCCCAGCCTAGATAACATTAATGAACCCTGGAGCCAGCTATTGATTTGAACTTATGTTTCTTAACAGCAAGCAGTAGCTGCAAAGAAACATAGGGTCCTTCTCTTCTTTTTCTTATCACCCATAATGATTGACTGATAGAGTTTGGTTGAAACTTTTTTCCAAAGAATTGTTTGGCTTGTTATAGTTCAAAACACTCACAAGAAAGGGTAACAGTGGCCCCTTCTGGGATGGGGAGCTGCGTGGCTGGAGGGATAAGAGTGAGAAGGAAGCCTTCTTTGCTTATATTTCTGAATTGTGTGCTTGTTTTATCTACTGAGAAAAGTATTTAAAGCAAAAAAAAAAAAAAAAAAAACAGAAAAATCTTTGCAAATGCTTTTGAAGGTGCCAGTGTATATGACTGTTACTTCAGCTGCAAATGGAGAAAATCTTAGAGAAATGATCTCCATGAACAAATGCATGGAGGGCACACTTTGTTCTGGAGAAAGGGAGATTATGGAATTTCCAAGGTTATTAGGAATGTCAGAAATACGCATATGAAGAGCATTATAATCTTTACACTGAAAGTTGTAGAATGTTCTGAGTTAATGTGAACATACATTCCTGGCCAGGCATGGTGGTGCACACCTGTAATCCCAGCACTTTGGGAGGCCAAAGCCAGCAGATCACTTGAGCTCAGGAGTTCAGGACCAGCTTGGGCAACATGGCAACACCCCATCTCTACAAAAAAAAACACACACACACACACAAAATATAGCCAGGCGTCTAGGTAGTGTGCACCTGTAGTCCCAGCTGGTGGGGCTGAGGTGGGAAGATCACTTGTGCCCAGGAAGTCAAGGCTGCAGTGAGCTATGATTACACCACTACACTCCAGCCTGGATGAAAAGTGGAACCCTGGCCAGGCGTTAACGTGAGTTAACATGAACATACATTCCTGGCCAGGCATGGTGGTGCACGCCTGTAATCCCAGCACTTTGGGAGGCTGAGGCAGGTGGATCACCTGAGGTCAGGAGTTTGAGACCAGCCTGGCCAACATGGTGAAGCCCTGTCTCTATTAAAAATACAAAAATTAGCACGATGTGGTGGTACGCGCCTGTAGTCCCAGCTACTCAGGAGGTTGAGGAAGGAGAATTGCTTGAGCCTGGGAGGCAGAGGTTGCAGTGAGCCAAGATTTGTGCCATTGCACTCCAGCCTGGGCAACAAGAGCAAAACTCCGTCTCAAAAAAAAAAAATGCCGGGCGCGGTGGCTGTAATCCCAGCACTTTGGGAGGCTGAGATGGGCGGATCACAAGATGGGCGGATCACGAGGTCAGATCAAGACCATCCTGGCTAAACGGTGAAACCCCATCTCTACTAAAAATACAAAAAATTAGCTGGGCATGGTGGTGGCGCCTGTAGTCCCAGCTACTCAGGAGGCTGAGGCAGGAGTATGGTGTGAACCTGGGAGGCGGAGCTTGCAGTGAGCCAAGATCGTGACACTGCACTCCAGCCTGGGTGACAGAGCGAGACTGTCTCAAAAAAAAAAACAAAAAAAAAAAACTGGAACCCTGTCTCAAAAAAAAAATACAGATTTCTCCTAGTTGCCAAGCCTACAGCAAGATAACATTTTTTGGTACAGCATTTCCCAGTAAGCAGTGTCACTGCTTTATTTATAAGCCTTTTAAATTCAAAATAGATAAGTAAACCCAACACCAACTCTGTGGCTGAAATACCGCTTTTTATAAATTACAAGTTTCTTACAACTAAGTTCCCTTATGGGCATACTCACTTTTTCAGAAAAAAATACCTACCAGGCAGTGAGATGCTTCATCTTAATGTCTTAAACCGACTTTTTAAGCTGTGGGTAGGCACTTAGAAGAATGGGTTTTTCTTTCCCCCAAGCTGCCGCTTGATTCTTTTTTATGTTTTCTATAGACTAATGACCCCAGTGGTGGCTGCATTTCCAAATCTTTATGTCTTTGTTTTTCTGAGATTGTTGAGCCACTCATCCAGGAGGCAGGGAAACCATTAATGGCTGGCTTCTGGACACATCTGTTATGAAGTGTGAAGCAGAGTTAACTCAGGAAGTTCCCAAAGAACTGAATTTTGGCCCATAGAGAGTTTATGAAATGAACAGAGAAACAAGATGTCTCTTCCCAGTCTTAGGTATCTGTGGGCATCCATTTTAATACCTGGTTTCTTCAGAATTAGCCTGTGACACTTTTCTGTATTTCTGAAATATTTTTCTAACATGTGCTTCTCTCTAAAAGACCTGGTTTGTAGTAACTGTATGTGTTTTTTGTTTGTCTGTTTTTGAGATGGAATCTCGCTCTCGCCATGCTGGAGTGCAGTGGTGCGATCTTGGCTCACTGCAACCTCTGCCTCCCGGGTTCAAGCGATTCTCCTGCCTCAGCCTCCCGAGTAGCTGGGATTACAGGCACGTGCCACTACGTCCAGCTAATTTTTTGTATTTTTAGTAGAGTCGGGTTTTCACCATGTTGGCCAGGTTGGTCTCGATCTCTTGACCTCGTGATCTGCCCTCCTCGGCCTCCTAAAGTGTTGGGATTACAGGCGTGAGGCACCATGCCCAGTGTGTACTAACTGTTTTAAATTAAGCAAGTGATAAAGAATTTGCTGGTTTTAAGCCACCACAAAAGATGGTTTAAAACAATTTAGCAATAAAATTTGGACAAAAAATAATTGATTTGGTCTTAATTTATATCAGAAGTGACTTCTAAGTCTGTAGTTGGCTTCACAATATGCAGATTATTAGCATAGCAGAGAGAGCAGGGGACACCATAGTCATTGCTTCATAGTGAGCAGCAATTCTATCTTGAGTATGATAAGGCCTAGAAGGTTTTTTTGAAATACTTTTCATTTTCGGCCCCAATTAGACTTTGGTACTTCATATAGAATATTTTGAGACTTCTAAGTTAGAGTAACGTACCCAGTTTCAAAATTTCTAGGGGTTACTCTTTGATTTTGGTAGATTTCACTCTTTCTCCTTTTATTTTCCATTTTTTTATAGTTAACGTTGATTTTGGATTAGAATAATAAATGAGGCAGCATTTTATTACATTTGGATTAGTTGACTTGCCATTTACAGATGATATTGGTATTACAGAGTAACAGCCTTTGTTAATTAGAAAACTGGATTTGCATATATTAAATTTTAATTCCTGGTGCTTTGTCTTTTGTTTTTGCTGTTTTGGGTTTTAGAACTACTTTATATCCTGCGAAATTGTGTTAGATTTGGATTATTAAATTGATAAATTTTTACCATATTATGGGAAGCATTTCTGATCTCATTAGAAACCATACATATTCTCAGCTGCCCAGGTTTTACTGATTTTATTTTCTCATTAAAGACAAACTTCTGTTTTAAGGAACTTGGGAAAGTTGATATGAATTTCTAATTTAATGTATTAGGTCATTAAAATAATTTTTGAGTTCCCTTAGACACATACAGGCTTTTCATTTTTTTCAAAAGTACCCTCCTTAAAGTCTGTAACAGTTAACATTTTTGAGTACCTTTGCCCAGGTACGTTGCAGGCAGGGGTGGAGTGGGGGCATGCATTGGTCGAGTCACATATCATTACTGTATTTAGTTTGGGGAGTATACAGAAACTTAAGGTTTTTTTGTTTTTGTTTTTGTTTTTGTTTTTGTTTTAAAGAATACCGTAGCAGTAGGCAGGACAGTTCCAATTCAACAAAAACCTCTTTACCCTGGCACTCAAAACTGTAATGATGATGAACTGGTAAGCATTTTTCTGTTTTCAGATGTTCAACATCAAAATGAGAAAAGCACTAACACTTGATTTAAAAATAATTGATTGCTAGTATTTCTCTAATTTTCATCTTGAAGTTCATTACTGAACTGTTGTTAAGTCTTATCAGAATTATGCCAGATTAGACTCATAGTCAAAATGTCCTGTTAAAAACTGGGAAAATCAGAGAGTACTTATTTTGCCTGCCTGCTTTAAGTATTCAAAATATAGTAGATATGTGCTCGGCTCAGTGGCTCACGCCTATAATCCCAGCACTTTGGGGTGCCAAGGCAGGAGGATGGCTTGAGTCCAGGAGTTTGTGAGCAGCCTTGGCAACATAGTGAGACCTAGTCTCTACAAAAAAATTTTAAAAATTAGTTGGGCATAGTGGCGCACTCCTGGAGTCCCTTCCTCTTGAGAAGCTGAGGTGAGAGGATCACTTGAGCCCAGAAGGTTGAGGCTATGGTGAATCGTGAGTGCACTGCAGTCAATGAACCATGAGTGCACTGCACTCCAGCCTGCGCGACAGAGTAAGACTCTGTCTTAAGAAAAGGAAGGAAGGATGGATGGATGGATATATCAAGCCATATGCACATGAAAGCAGGTGTGTGTCTGTGTGTGTACACACTAGATGAGGATATCTATGCACCTTTTTTGTCAGATGGGTAGGTTTTATGATCCTATCATCAGTGGAATTAGTAAATATTACAAGTTGTACGTGTTTTGACTTTGACTTAAATTTTTTTTTCCAATAGAAACTATGTTCCAACTTCCTGTCAACAATCTTGGCAGTTTAAGAAAAGCCCGGAAAACTGTGAAAAAAATACTTAGTGACATTGGGTTGGAATACTGTAAAGAACATATAGAAGTAAGTAGCATGTCATTTTTAAATTTTAACATGACTCAGCTTCTGATCCATTACTTTGTGTCAGTGGCCAAGATGGCTAAATCTTAGATGTGATTCTGAATTTCAGCCACAGCAGTAGCTTCACGAAAACATTCTCAATAGCATTAACTTGTGCCTTTCTCCCTAAAATGGGCTTTTTCATTTTTGCATCCTGAAGCAGAAGGCTACCATTGAGGACTTAAGCATGTCAGGCGTTGAACTAGGTGCCGTAAAGTTGTCTATACATTTAATCCTTAGAACAACCATGGAGGCGGGAGGCAGTGTAGCAGTTCTTATCTCCACTTCACAGATGAAGAACAAATAAATAGGCCCAGCCTTGCAGCTGAGAAAGTGGCAGTGTCTGTGGGACTCAAAGCCTGTTCTCATTCTGATACGCCTGAATGTTCTGGTTGACCTTCTTCTAATTGTTGAGGCGTGCTTGTGTGGGTGCTTGTTGTCTCTTTCCTTAGGATTTGAGCATTTGTTGCCCCTTTTGACCCATCATAGACTATTACTTTCCCCCTTGTATAACAGTTTGGGCTTTATGAACTGTTTTTCAAGCTGTTTTATTCTATGAGCTTTATAACAGCTCTGTGGGATAGCCATGCAGTGGTCTCCTTTTCAACATCTCACTGTTCCAGGTCTTATGGTTTGTTGGTCAGAGCCCCTGATTGAAAAGAAATGTTTGAAGCTGTTTCCCCCACTAACCTTTAAGTTCTAGGTGGCTAGGGAACATAGCTACCTTGTTTATCCATTTAGCCCCAGCACCTAGCACAGTGTTTTGCACGTAATAGGTGATCAGTAAGTGTTTGAATGGAATTGGAAGTAAAAAAGCAAATTCATTCATACAACAGGTTTTCTTAATTTGAGTTCCACTAATAATACTTGAAGAGTATGGCATGGAAACAGAAGCTGCTCAAAAGTTGACTTCTCTAGTCACGTTGTTCCAAGTGTGGAAGTAGCCCTTCTCCAACCCCAGAGTTCAGGTAGATCT
The DNA here is from genome assembly GCF_000001405.40 of Homo sapiens. Taxonomy (NCBI): domain Eukaryota; kingdom Metazoa; phylum Chordata; class Mammalia; order Primates; family Hominidae; genus Homo; species Homo sapiens. Next base: position 50,902,876 of record NC_000020.11, on the reverse strand, counting down.
GCCCAAATGAAACAGTCCATTCACTTTGCACTCTGTGGGGTCATCTTCATAGAAATAATTAATACCAACATCACAGTACATTTCTGTCATGCATTTGATTTGTTCCTCCTATGATTATTTATGTGTAGACTTCATTTTCCACCTTGAACTGTGAACTTTTTAGGAACAAGTGGGATTTTACCCTAAGACTTTTAATCTTCCTAGTCTGGAGGGAAGTGGACCATTAAATTTTTACATGAGAGTATAAATTTAACATCATACTGCTTAACTTTCTTTGAATAGCTTTCTTTCTGCCTTTTTGGGTTTGAAATTTGAGTTTTCTTCCTGATCTGATCTCCTGCCCCCTCCCCTCGAAAAAAATCTTTTTTTTGCACAGAACCAGAAATCATATTTGCAGTGCTGTAAGCAAACATTGCTATTTTAGACACCATTCCAGTACTGTAACTGACGAGTTAGAGTACAGTACTCTAATGAAAAGTGCTTTGATATTAGTGTGTGGCTGAATTTTTTACTTAATTAGAACTTCCAGCAATTTCCTTGGAAACCTGACTGACCATCAGGAAAGTGGTTGGTTGATATAAAATGTAGACTGCAACTTCCATATGCCTTTTTATATTTAAGAGCCTTATCACTCCTAGTTTAAGTCCTTGTTGACGTTGGTTTTCCTGTGCCTCTCCCCATCTTAGTTAAGAGGTGAGATTTACATGTAAGATTGGGTTAGCGTTTATACCACTATGTTTTTGTAAACTTATTTCACTGTTTTCTAGGATTTTAAACAATTTGAACCTAATGACTTTTATTTGAAAAACACTACATGGGAGGATGTAGGACTGTGGGACCCATCACTTACGAAAAACCAGGTAAGTGGCACAGGAGACTTCCTCAGATGGCAGCATGCTTGGTATACTCCCTTTTCAGCTCTAGGCCTTTTATAGCGGTGCAGTGATTGCGGGCAAGTGCCAAACATCGAAAGTGTCAAAATTGCATTTCATATTTTCCTGACCAGTGGGAAGACTAAGAAAAACTTTTTGTCCTTTTTTGTCATTGGACTAAAACTTGAGGTGTAAGAAGAAACAAAATTTTGTTACTTAAAAGTTACGAAGCCTGCTGTATCCCACCATTTCCCCTAAAAGTGCTCTGGCTCTATTTTTCTGCATCTGTGTTGCCATTCTTGTTTTTTCTGCACAGAAAAAGACAAGACCCTTCCTTACATTTAAGCTTTTCTTATTTCCCTATGTTGATGGCACCCAACTTCTATGGGAGGCCTGGGGAAGTGACTCTGTAGGATGTCAGTGACAGAGAGATAAAACTTCTTACAAATTGGCATTAAAAACAATATTAGCACTGCCAGCAAGTATCAATAGATGATGATGATGTCATATAGGTGATATTTCCTTCTGCATAGAGAGAGGTAATTGTCAATTTAATTTTTACCATTACCTATTTTAGGAGTGATTCTCATTCTGCATTAATGATCTGTTCATCTATCGGAACATACTTTTCAGGAAATTAGTACTCAGATATTTGACTTTTTTTTTTTTTTTTTTTTTTTTTTAAATACCCCAGGCAAAGTTACTAACCAGCAGTCTTAGAATGAGAATGCTTTCCAGTGGGACACATCATTTATTTAATTCAGTTTTATCAATCTGAAAGCCTCATAGCTGAATACTAAAGAAGAGTTGAGCTTTGAGGAGAAGCAGAGTATTTCATCATGGTTCAAACCAGTATCTGAAACAAGTAGGTTTCTAGGGAGAAAAGATAATCTCTTACCAAGCATGTCAGTTCACCTGCCTTCATCAAAGGACTGACTGCATAGGTGTTAACAATCATAATTCTGAAAGTTGCTCTTTGATATCAGTATATTCTATAATGTATTATTGGCTTTTAAATACCTCACCCTCCTCACAGTCTGTAGGACATTTTTATTTAACTTCTTGATTTGAATCAAAGCAGCTATTACTTCATTAGCTCTTTTGAAGTGTTCTTGGTTGAGAAGGAACAGCAAGGCTTATAGAAGAAAGCCAACTTTTCAAATCAGTCTTTCTTTTGATCAGCGCTGAATCTGATACTACACTGTACTTTAATCAGAGGAAAAAATGGAGATTTGCCTTTTTTCTATGAAAATTTATCCATAATGAGGAAAGGAATAAAAGATATAGCTTTATCTCTTGTAATTGTCTAATTGCACTAAAACATCGTGGGCCCTGAATTTTACCGCAGTCATTCACCACATAACGACATTTTGGTCAGTGATGAACTACATCTACGACAGTGGTCCCATAAGAATATAATTGAGCTGAAAAACTTGCTACCTTATGACATCATAGCGCAACATATGATTCATGTTTGTAGTGATACTAATGTAAACACACCTGTGCTGCCAGTCATAGAAGTATAGCACATACAGTTATTTACAGCGTATAATACCGTCGTGCATTGCTTAATGATGGGATGCATTCTGAGAAATGCCCTGTTAGGTGATGTCATTGTTGTACAAACATCATAAAGGGTACTTACACAGACCTAGGTGGTATAGCCTCCTATTACCCCTACGCTATATGGTATGGCCTGTTGCTCCTAGGCTACAAACTTGTATGGCATGTTACTATAAGAGAATACTATATACTGAATACTATAAGAGTGATTAACACAATGGTAAGTATTTGTGTTTCTAAACATAGTGAAGCATAGAAAAGGTACAGTAAAAATGCAATATAAAAGAAAAATTGGTACACCTATATTGGGCACTTGCGGGACTGGAAGTTGCTCTGAGTGGTGACTGAATATGAAGGGACATTATTGTACATCACTGTAGACTTTATAAACACACTTAGGCTACATAAAAAGTAAAACTTTAAAATTCTTAACTTCTGAATCTTTTGTAATAACACTTAGCTTAAAACACAAACACGGCAACCTGCCCGGGTCCCCTTCCACACTGCGGAAGCTTTGTCCTTTCACTCTTCATAATGAATCTTGCTACCGCTCCAAAAAAAAAAAAAAAAAAAATTGTACAGCTGTATAAAAATATTTTGTCTTCATATGCTTACAGGCTTTTTCCTAGTCTTAAACTTTTTTTTTTTTTTTAACTTTTTAAACTGTTGTTAAAAACTAAGACACAGACATAATTAGCCTAGGCCTACACAGGGTCAAGATCAATGGTATTACCATTGCCACCTTCACAGCTTGTCTCACTGGAAGGTTTTCAGGAGCAGTAACACGCATGGAGCCATCATTTCCTGTGATGGCAGTGTCGTCTTCTAGATACCTCCTGAAGGATCTGGCTGAGGCTGTTTTAGAGTTAACTTTTTTTTAAAAAATATAGAAGTAAGTGGTACACTCAAATAATGATTAAAAACTCATTACCGGCCGGGCGCTGGGCTCATGCCTATAATCCCAGCACTTTGGGAGGCCGAGGCAGGTGGATCGCCTGAGGTCAGGAGTTCGAGACCAGCCTGGCCAACATGGTGAAACCCCCTCTCTACTAAAAATACGAAAATTCGCCAGGTGTGGTGGCAGATGCCTGTAATCCCAGCTACTGGAGGTTGGAAGTGGGAGCGGGGAAGGCAGGAGAATCGCTTGAACCTGGGAGGTGGAGGTTGCAGTGAGCTGAGATCGTGCCATCGCACTCCAGCCTGGGGGACAAAAGCAAGACTTCATCTCAAAAAAAAAAAAAAAACCTCATTACCAAAATCCTTGCATACTTAAGTCCCACAGTTGGCCCTGGAGAACCTGCATATACCAAAAGCTAGCCCTCTGTATAAGAGGGTTTGAGCATCCCAAGAATACTGTATCTTTGATCTACATTTGTTTGGAAAAAATCCACATATAAGCAGTTCAAACCTATGTTGTTGAAGAGTCAACTGTATAGTAAATACTAGGTGACAGAAATTTTTCAGCCCCGTTATAATCTTGGGGGAACATAGTCCCATATGCAGTCTGTACTAGACAGAAAACATCAGCACATGACTTCCTGATAATGACAGTTAAAAACCGTATTGCCAGTTTATGTATTTACTATATATACTTTTTATTTTAGAGTGTACTCCTACTTTTTAAAACAGCTTTTCATGGTAACTGGTAGCAGCCTCATACAGCTTGTGTTCACTGTGTCTCTTGATTGCATCATTCTTGTGCATGGTTTAATCTCATGGTATTTTGTTCATCATGGCCCCTAAGCATACAAAATCCATAATGTTGCCAGTAAGGGGCCATGTTGAGTGATTGACCTGGAAACAGAAGTGATTAAGGACTACGAAGGTGGAGAATCAGTGATGGTTATTTCTTGCCAGTCAGGCTTGTCCCATTTTACCATAGCTATGATCTTGAAGAACAAGAACAAAGTGACAGAAGCTGTTAAAGCATCTGCTTCATTGAAGGCAATGAGACTAACAAAAATTCAAGAAGGGCCTTTATCAGACACACACAAGCTTCTGATGACCTGGATTGAAGAGCAGACACAGGTGCACACGGTGCTGTGTACCTCTCAGCACCATGATGATCCCAAAGCAAAAAGTGTGTTTGAGGTGTTGAAAGAAAAGGCTGGACCTGGCTGTGATGTTGAATTGACTGCTAGTTCTGGGTGGTGTAAACAATTCAAGAATCGTTATTCATTACATAATGGGAAAGTGGTGAGTTTGTGAGTGCTGATGTAAAGGCAGCGGAAGAATTTTGGGAAACTCTAGATAAGCTGAGTCTGGAGGAAAATCACTTGCCAGAACAAATTTTCAATATGGATGAAACCTTTCTATTCTGGAAACAGATGCCTGAAAGGACTTTGATCCATGAGGTAGACCAAAGCAATGCCAGGCTTCAAGTCTTTTAAGGACTGGATGACAGTCTTGCTTGGGGGCAATGTTGCAGGCCACAAATTGAAACCCTTTGTGATTTGGCATGTTGAGAACCCTAGGGGCTTCAAGCATATCAATACACACACACTTGGCCAGTGCACTGCAGGAGATATAAGAAGTCGTGGGTGACCCTGCTCCTCTTTCAAGATGCCCTCCTGAATAGATATGCCTGCGAAGTGGAGAAGTAGTATTGAGAGAATAACATACCCTTCAAGCTTTTGCTTATTGTCGCTGATAAGCAAATGCCTCCTTTAAGTGGTGTTTTTCATCCCAGTATCAAACACCACCTCTTTGATCCAACTGATGGAGTTACAGCAGCTTTTAAGGCGTACTATCTGAGAAAGGCCTTTGTCCTGTCGTCGCAGCTTAGGGAGACACTGAGAAGATTCTGATACAATTCTGGAAGGATTGCAATATCTGTGACTGCATTAAGAATCTTGCTTGGGCTTGGGTTGATGTCATCAAGGAGTGTATGAATGGCATCTGGAAGAATACACTCAAGAGGTTTGTCCATGACTTAAAAGGATTTGCATAAATCACAAAGTCTGTGATTGAGATGGCAAACAACTTTAACCGGGGTGTGGATGAGGACAACAGGAGCTCCTAGAGGTGATTCCTGAGGAATTGACTGGTGAGGAGCTGTGGGAACTAGAACAAGTTCCCGCATAGGTGAAGAGGAAAGAGAAAAGGAAACTGCAGGAAAAGCAAAAGAAGAACCCTCAAGAAAATTCAGTGAAGGATTTAGCAGTGCAGACCTCAGCAAGCTCCTTAAGTCTGAAAACACGTGGCCGGGCTTGGTGGCTCACGCCTGTAATCCCAGCATTTTGGGAGGCCGAGGCTGGTGGATCATCTGAGGTCAGGAGTTCAAGACCAGCCTGGCCGACATGGTGAAACCCCGTCTCTACTAAAAATACAAAAAAATTAGCCGGGCGTGGTGGTGGGGCGCCTGTAATCCCAGCCACGAGGCTGAGGCAGGAGAATCGCTTGAACCCGGGAAGTGCAGGTTGCAGTGAGCCGAGATTGTGCCATTGCACTCCAGCTTGGGTGACAAGAGCAAAAAAACTGCATCTCAAACAACAACAAAAAAGTTTGAAAACATGGATCTCAATACCAAAAGGTTTTTATTAATAGAGAAGAATATTCATGGTTCATTATCTGCTTACAATCAAATCTATGATGAAAAAAGGAAACAAAGCACCGTGGGCTTATTCTTGGTAAGTGTGAGACCTCCTCAAGAAAAGCCTAAGGCAGGTCCTTCTGCAGTTATCCAGAAGAAGGCATTGTTACCATGGGAGATGGCAGTTCCATGTGTGTTACTGTTCCTGAAGACCCTCCAGTGGGACAAGATGTAAAGGTGGAAGATAGTGATACTGTTGATTCTGACTCTCTGTAGGCCTAGACTAACGTATGCGTTTGTGTCTTAGCTTTTAAGAAAAAAAATGTTTTTAAAGTTTTTGGTTTTTTTTTGAGACGGGGTCTTGCTCTTGTCGCCCAGGCTGGAGTGCAATGGCACGATCTCAGCTCACTGCAACCTCAGTCTCCTGAGTAGCTGGAATTAGAGGCGCCTGCCACCACGTCCGGTTAATTTTTTGTATTTTTAGTAGAGATGAGGTTTCACCATGTTGGCCAGGCTGGTGTCGAACTCCTGTCCTTGTGATCCACCTGCCTTGGCCTCCCAAAGTGCTGGGAAAGTTTTTTTTTAAAACAAATTTTTTTAAGCTTATAGAATAGGCATATGAAGATAGAAAATATTTTTGTACGGCTGTACAATGTGTTTGTTTTGGGGGTTTTTGTTTGTTTCTGAGACGGAGTCTCGCTGTGTTGCCCAGGCTAGAGTGCTGTGCTGTGATCTTGGCTCACTGCAACCTCTGCCTCCTGGATTCAAGTGATTCTCCTGCCTCAGCCTCCCGAGTAGCTGGGATTACAGGTGCCTGCCACCATGTGCAGCTATTTTTTTTATTTTCAGTAAAGGTAGGGTTTCACCATGTTGGTCAGGCTGGTCTCAAGCTCTTGACCTCAGGTGATCCACCCGCCTGGGCCTCCCAAAGTGCTGAGATTACAGGTGTGAGCCACTGTGCCTGGCCAATCTGTTTGTGTTTTAAGCTAAGTATTACTACAAAAGAGTCAAAAAGTTAAAAATTTAAAAGTGTATAAACCACAGCAAGCTGAGGTTATTATTGAAGAAAAAATATTTTTTAGGGCTCGGCACAGCGGCTTGCAATCCCAGCACTTTGGGAAGCCAAAGCGGGAGGATTGCTCGAGCCCAGGAGTTCAAGGCCAGCCTGGGCAACAGAGGGAGACCCTGTCTCTACAAAATTTACCCTAGTGTGGTGGCACACACCTGTAGTCCCCAGGACTGAGGCGGAGGTGGGAGGATCGCATGAGCCCAAGAGGTTGAGGCTGCAGTGAGCCGATTGTGCCACTGCACTCCAGCCTGAGCAACAAAGTGAGACTTTGTCTCAAAATTTTTTTTTTAGTAAAACTTGTGTAGCCTAAGTGTTCATAAAGTCTACAGTAGTGTACAGTAATGTCCCAGGCTTTCATATTGACTCACCCAGAGTAACTTCTAGTCCTGTAAGCTTTGTTCATGGTATCATTTATCTTTTACATTGTATTTTTACTGTACCTTTTCTGTGCTCAGCTATGTTTAAACATACAAATATTTACCATTGTGTTAATCATTGCCTATGGTAATCAGTACAGAAACATGCTGTACAGGTTTGTAGCCTAAGAGCAATAAGCTATGCCATGTAGCCTAGGCGTGTAGTAGGTTCTACCATCTAGGTCTGTGTGAATACACACTTGAGGATTTCACACCATGATACATTTTTCAGAATGCATCCCTGTGGTTTAGCAACACATGACTGTATAGTAAACCTGAAGTCTTTAGTAACTTCCTTCATTTAGGTTATTCTTGTTATTTCTAGCTGCAAAATGTTTATCTTCAAGTCATTTGTCTTTGGTTTAGCTAAAATGTGACTTTTTTTCCCTAAACATTGAGAAAGAACTTAGCATTTTTTTAATTTACACTGACAAAAATATTTGGTTTAAGATAGCTTTTTTTTTGAGTTTCTATTTTATAAAGTTACTATACAAAAGGGGAAAACATACTAAAATCAGTGCTTTTTTTTGAGACAGTTTCGCTCTTGTCGCCCAGGCTGGAGTGCAATGGCCGATCTCGGCTCGTTGCAACCTCCACCTCCCAGCTTCAGGCGATTCTCCTGCCTCACCCTCCTGAAGTAGCTGGGATTACAGGCGCCCACCACCACGCTCAGCTTATTTTTTTGTATTTTTAGTTGAGATGGGGTTTCACCATGTTGGCCAGGCTGCTCTTGAACTCCTGACCTTGGGTGATCCACCCACCTCAGCCTCCCAAAGTGCTGGGATTACAGGCGTGAGCCACCACGCGCGGCCTAAAATCAATGCATTATTAAGAATATCCGGGGGGGATCTGGAATCTGTTAACTGCCTATCTGAAGTGGCATTCTAATTCTAGTTTTTGTGTTTACTTTAGGACTATCGGACAAAACCTTTCTGCTGCAGCGCTTGTCCATTTTCCTCAAAATTCTTCTCTGCCTACAAAAGTCATTTCCGCAATGTCCATAGTGAAGACTTTGAAAATAGGATTCTCCTTAATTGCCCCTACTGTACCTTCAATGCAGACAAAAAGACTTTGGAAACACACATTAAAATATTTCATGCTCCGAACGCCAGCGCACCAAGTAGCAGCCTCAGCACTTTCAAAGATAAAAACAAAAATGATGGCCTTAAACCTAAGCAGGCTGACAGTGTAGAGCAAGCTGTTTATTACTGTAAGAAGTGCACTTACCGAGATCCTCTTTATGAAATAGTTAGGAAGCACATTTACAGGGAACATTTTCAGCATGTGGCAGCACCTTACATAGCAAAGGCAGGAGAAAAATCACTCAATGGGGCAGTCCCCTTAGGCTCGAATGCCCGAGAAGAGAGTAGTATTCACTGCAAGCGATGCCTTTTCATGCCAAAGTCCTATGAAGCTTTGGTACAGCATGTCATCGAAGACCATGAACGTATAGGCTATCAGGTCACTGCCATGATTGGGCACACAAATGTAGTGGTTCCCCGATCCAAACCCTTGATGCTAATTGCTCCCAAACCTCAAGACAAGAAGAGCATGGGACTCCCACCAAGGATCGGTTCCCTTGCTTCTGGAAATGTCCGGTCTTTACCATCACAGCAGATGGTGAATCGACTCTCAATACCAAAGCCTAACTTAAATTCTACAGGAGTCAACATGATGTCCAGTGTTCATCTGCAGCAGAACAACTATGGAGTCAAATCTGTAGGCCAGGGTTACAGTGTTGGTCAGTCAATGAGACTGGGTCTAGGTGGCAACGCACCAGTTTCCATTCCTCAACAATCTCAGTCTGTAAAGCAGTTACTTCCAAGTGGAAACGGAAGGTCTTATGGGCTTGGGTCAGAGCAGAGGTCCCAGGCACCAGCAAGATACTCCCTGCAGTCTGCTAATGCCTCTTCTCTCTCATCGGGCCAGTTAAAGTCTCCTTCCCTCTCTCAGTCACAGGCATCCAGAGTGTTAGGTCAGTCCAGTTCCAAACCTGCTGCAGCTGCCACAGGCCCTCCCCCAGGTAACACTTCCTCAACTCAAAAGTGGAAAATATGTACAATCTGTAATGAGCTTTTTCCTGAAAATGTCTATAGTGTGCACTTCGAAAAAGAACATAAAGCTGAGAAAGTCCCAGCAGTAGCCAACTACATTATGAAAATACACAATTTTACTAGCAAATGCCTCTACTGTAATCGCTATTTACCCACAGATACTCTGCTCAACCATATGTTAATTCATGGTCTGTCTTGTCCATATTGCCGTTCAACTTTCAATGATGTGGAAAAGATGGCCGCACACATGCGGATGGTTCACATTGATGAAGAGATGGGACCTAAAACAGATTCTACTTTGAGTTTTGATTTGACATTGCAGCAGGGTAGTCACACTAACATCCATCTCCTGGTAACTACATACAATCTGAGGGATGCCCCAGCTGAATCTGTTGCTTACCATGCCCAAAATAATCCTCCAGTTCCTCCAAAGCCACAGCCAAAGGTTCAGGAAAAGGCAGATATCCCTGTAAAAAGTTCACCTCAAGCTGCAGTGCCCTATAAAAAAGATGTTGGGAAAACCCTTTGTCCTCTTTGCTTTTCAATCCTAAAAGGACCCATATCTGATGCACTTGCACATCACTTACGAGAGAGGCACCAAGTTATTCAGACGGTTCATCCAGTTGAGAAAAAGCTCACCTACAAATGTATCCATTGCCTTGGTGTGTATACCAGCAACATGACCGCCTCAACTATCACTCTGCATCTAGTTCACTGCAGGGGCGTTGGAAAGACCCAAAATGGCCAGGATAAGACAAATGCACCCTCTCGGCTTAATCAGTCTCCAAGTCTGGCACCTGTGAAGCGCACTTACGAGCAAATGGAATTTCCCTTACTGAAAAAACGAAAGTTAGATGATGATAGTGATTCACCCAGCTTCTTTGAAGAGAAGCCTGAAGAGCCTGTTGTTTTAGCTTTAGACCCCAAGGGTCATGAAGATGATTCCTATGAAGCCAGGAAAAGCTTTCTAACAAAGTATTTCAACAAACAGCCCTATCCCACCAGGAGAGAAATTGAGAAGCTAGCAGCCAGTTTATGGTTATGGAAGAGTGACATCGCTTCCCATTTTAGTAACAAAAGGAAGAAGTGTGTCCGTGATTGTGAAAAGTACAAGCCTGGCGTGTTGCTGGGGTTTAACATGAAAGAATTAAATAAAGTCAAGCATGAGATGGATTTTGATGCTGAGTGGCTATTTGAAAATCATGATGAGAAGGATTCCAGAGTCAATGCTAGTAAGACTGCTGACAAAAAGCTCAACCTTGGGAAGGAAGATGACAGTTCCTCAGACAGTTTTGAAAATTTGGAAGAAGAATCCAATGAAAGTGGTAGCCCTTTTGACCCTGTTTTTGAAGTTGAACCTAAAATCTCTAACGATAACCCAGAGGAACATGTACTGAAGGTAATTCCTGAGGATGCTTCAGAATCTGAGGAGAAGCTAGACCAAAAAGAGGATGGTTCAAAATACGAAACTATTCATTTGACTGAGGAACCAACCAAACTAATGCACAATGCATCTGATAGTGAGGTTGACCAAGACGATGTTGTTGAGTGGAAAGACGGTGCTTCTCCATCTGAGAGTGGGCCTGGATCCCAACAAGTGTCAGACTTTGAGGACAATACCTGCGAAATGAAACCAGGAACCTGGTCTGACGAGTCTTCCCAAAGCGAAGATGCAAGGAGCAGTAAGCCAGCTGCCAAAAAAAAGGCTACCATGCAAGGTGACAGAGAGCAGTTGAAATGGAAGAATAGTTCCTATGGAAAAGTTGAAGGGTTTTGGTCTAAGGACCAGTCACAGTGGAAGAATGCATCTGAGAATGATGAGCGCTTATCTAACCCCCAGATTGAGTGGCAGAATAGCACAATTGACAGTGAGGATGGGGAACAGTTTGACAACATGACTGATGGAGTAGCTGAGCCCATGCATGGCAGCTTAGCCGGAGTTAAACTGAGCAGCCAACAGGCCTAAGTGCCAGGTTCCCTGGCGTTGGTGACATGCTGCAGCCTGGAACTCTGATATCCAGTGTGACTGCAAAGCTGTCTTCTCACTGGTACTGCCTTGTGAGTACTGGTTGGACTGTGGGGCATGTGGCCGCTGCAGTTCCAGTGGTTATTTCTAAGTCTATGACAGGACAGGCTGTTCTTGCTTCAGAACCTTCTCTGACAGACACGGTAACTAAATGTGAAAAACCAATAAGCTGGTGACTCATGAATACACACGAGGAAAAGCAGAGGTTTATTTTATCTGCCTTTTCAACATTTCTTTCCCTCTGTGAAATGATTGGTCAGATGTCTTTGAGAAGTGTTAAACTAATTCACATGGTAGTGTAGGGCCAACATACAAGCTACCAGTCTAATGTGTATAGTAGACTTTGGGAAAAGCGATTTTTTTTCATGTATTCATTCTGAATAGTTGAAATGTATATTTGTACAGTCTTTTAGACCTATTCAAGTGATGCTCATGATCCTGTTACTGTGTGCCCATCATAGATTTCTTTTTTTAGTGTTGCCCTTGCTGTGTAATAAACGCTCTATCTAGTTTACCTAGCAAAAGCTCAAAACTGCGCTAGTATGGACTTTTTGGACAGACTTAGTTTTTGCACATAACCTTGTACAATCTTGCAACAGAGGCCAGCCACGTAAGATATATATCTGGACTCTCTTGTATTATAGGATTTTTCTTGTTCTGAATATCCTTGACATTACAGCTGTCAAAAACAAAAACTGGTATTTCAGATCTGTTTTCTGAAATCTTTTAAGCTAAAATCACATGCAAGAATTGACTTTGCAGCTACTAATTTTGACACCTTTTAGATCTGTATAAAAGTGTGTTGTGTTGAAGCAGCAAACCAATGAGTGCTGCATTTTGGATATTTAGTTTTATCTTTAGTTCAACACCATCATGGTGGATTCATTTATACCATCTAATATATGACACACTGTTGTAGTATGTATAATTTTGTGATCTTTATTTTCCCTTTGTATTCATTTTAAGCATCTAAATAAATTGCTGTATTGTGCTTAATGTAAATATTTGCTTTATTACACATGACAGTCCTGTGTGTCCATTATATCTTTTGCCATTTAATGCCATAACTCTTTCATCAGAGATGGCAGCCACAGTCACAGAGGAAACTTGTGGAAAACCCAAGATCTGTCATCTGCAAATAGAATGCTTTCTCTTGAGGCACCTGGTACAAAATCTGTTTTTCTTTTTTTTTTTTTTTTTTTTTTTTTTTTTTAACTGAAAAACAAACACCCTTGAGTTTTTCAGTTCACCTTTTGTTAAGGAGCAGAGCCTGCATATATATGTAAATGTCTCAATGATAAAAAAAAAAATGTAAACATGGATTGGCATTAATTTGCAAGCAGAATCTTAATAGCCTGATGGGTTTTTTGTTTGTTTTTTCTTCTAGATGAAGTTAAACGTTCGTTTTCACCTTACGATGGGAACAACTGTAGTGCAGGCGGCTCTGCCTCTATTTGCCACTCTTGGCCCTCTTGCTATTAAGGGAAAGGCTTTGAAGAGCACAGCACTGACAGGGCTGTAAAGATGGAAGGAGCTGGTATTTTTACCATGCGTAGATTCCCAAGAGAACTTGTACTAAAAAGCAGAAAGTTACAAGGAAGCAGAATTAGGCCAACATTTCCAGCAATTAAAACAATGATGGGAAACTCCAATCCATGAGGAGGCTGGTCAGTCACCTCAAGGATAGTGGCCTAAAGAAGTCTGAAGTGGCTGATGTCCATAACTTCTGAGTCTGTTTCCAAAAGAAAGACTCTTGTTAATGCTGTTACCAGAGAGTAGAGATTTGACCAGCCTCTCCCTAAAATGTAAGCTTCTCAACAACAGTACAGGAAGAAGTGCAAGAGTAGACTAGAACCTTTAAGGAATTTGGGGCTGGAACGGAGCTATGTTGCATCTGTTGTTATACAGGTAGATTATAAGTTCTACATGCACCAGCCAAAACTTAGGACAGGATGTCCCCAAATTAAGATACTACAGATTACCAAATCAGAAATAACCAGCTGGATTTAGGCCAGCTCACATTTATTTGGAAATTACCCTCCCTGATTAACAGGCTTCTGAGTTGTACGTGGAGGACTAATGAGACTTGTACAAGACACCACGGGGCTTGGGGTCCAGGTCCCAGTTGGATATCGGAACAGACACAGATAAGTGTGTTTCCTCATTAAGGTGGTGAGAGTGTGCCTTTTGGCATTCAGAAAAGGGTTTAGCCACCCTAAGAGTTGGAAATAAAGATTCCCAACTGGAAATGTTGCAGAATCCCTACAAGTGTCTCAATAAAAGCCATTTTAAAAGAATATTGTTGCTACTGTTTGCTTTTCAAATAATCTGGAGATCGTTGGCTATGGCAACGTGCTGCCACCTAATTAGAGAATGCCTGTAAATGTAGGCTGAACACTTCTAACATGAGAAAACCTAAGTATCCTACAGAGGTTTGGTGTGTTTTGTTTTTGTGGGTGTCGGGGGAAGGGGGTGGGGAGGCGTGTTTTTGGCCCTGCAGGTTTTCTCGTGGGAATGAGTTCACTCAGACAAGCTAGGACTGTGGCTTCTTTCCCTGTTCATCACATAGAGCATTTTCTCATCCTATCTTTGGTTCCTTGTCATTGTATAGGGAGAGGAGAATCTTTATCAAACAGCTTCATTCCCTCTTGCAATTCAAGCAGAAAGGGTATCTATGCCTCATATCGCTCTAGAGTTGTATGTCAGTTTGATCCCAATGCCTACTCCTTTGTAACATCCATTTCTGGCATGAACAAAATGAGTGCCAAATTTGAAAACTGCGATGTATTAAAGATGGGAGTTTCCCATCTGAGATGCTTCACGCTAGAAACAAACCTGCTTATTGCCAAATAAGTACTACCATACAGAAGTGTAGTTCCTTTACTACTTAGACCTCAGACTACTAGTACTGAGTCCTCGAGATGAGACTCAAGAATTATCACTAGGTGGTTCGTTTTTTTGTTTGTTTGTTTTTGAGATGGAGTCTTGCTCTGCTGCCCAGGCTGGAGTGCAGTGGCGCCATCTCAGCTCACTGCAACCTCCGCCTCCTGGGTTCAAGCCATTCTCCTGCCTCACCTTCCCAAGTACTGCCGGGACTACAGGCACGTGCCCCCATGCCTGGATAATTTTTTTTTTTTTTTTTTTTGTATTTTTAGTAGAGACAGGGTTTCACCGTGTTAGCCGGAATGGTCTCCATCTCCTGACCTTGTGATCGACCCGCCTCAGCCTTTCAAAGTGCCGGGATTACAGGCGTGAACCACCACGCCCATCCATCTCTACATGGTTCTATGCCACTAACATTTGAGAACCATTTAGCTTGATGGAAATTTTCTTTCCCTAATGAAATTAAGTAGAACATGTTGAACACGTGGATTTTGCAGAGTATCAGGCAGCGTTTTGTTTTGTTTTTCTGCCTGTTGTGACCCTTCCAGCCCCCCTGCTGAGCAATAATTAGGTGCCAGTTGAGGCATGTTTCACCAAAATGTCATGGAGGAACATCTCAAAAGCTTCCAGAAGACTAGAAATGAAGAGGCTGCTCCCACCATTAGGAAATGGCATTCCAACATACCAATTATCAGTGGGTCACCATGAGGTAATCTAGAAGAAAAACATCTTAGCTGATACAAACTTGACAGGTTTGAAAATAAAAGGCATTTCTCCCATCTGCTGCAAAGTTGGCTTGAAAGCTTGACCAAAGCAAGGTCCCCATTTGCTAATTCTTTGCATCCTGCTTCCCACCAACTTGTACCACTTCGGTAACGGACTACTCGCTGTAACTTGAATGTAGTGGAGCTACAGTATAGGGGGGGTTGTGTTTTAAAGTCAGCATATAAGAGTTGCATATAGTCAAAATCACCCCCGAAAGTTCTTGTCATTATTTCAAAGTGTCCAACCAAGAGGAGGGGACGCGGGAAGGAAGGTCCCTAGTCATTTCCAGAACAAATCTTCCACGCTATTTAATGAGTTTGGCTGCATGTGTGTGTTTTCAGCATACAGCGTTAATGGATCTGTGATGCAAACCCCTTCCCCATCCAGGACACCACCTAACCTTAAGGTGTAAGACCATTCGAACCTGAACTGGTTTTTGCAATTAAAAATCCTTATTTTGGCCGGGCGCGGTGGCTGACACCTGTAATCCCAGAACTTTGGGAGGCTGAGGCAGGTGGATCACCTGAGGTCAGGAGTTGGAGACCAGCCTGGCCTACATGGTGAAACCCTGTCTCTACTAAAAATACAAAAATTAGCCGGGCATGGTGGTGGGCGCCTGTAATCCCAGCTACTCAGGAGGCTAAGCCAGGAGAATCACTTGAACCCAGGAGGCGGAGGTTGCAGTGAGCCAAGATCACGCCATTGCACTCCAGCCTGGGTGACGAGTGAAACTCCGTCTTAAAAAAAAAGAAAAAAAATCCTTATTTTATTTATGTACCTTTAATGATGTCTTATTACTATAAGTGAAGCAAAATGGATACTCTAATAAGCAGAGCAGGCACCTTTTAGGAACCATAAAGCAGAAGTAAAAGGGCTTTTCCAATATACTTGATGTGAGTGCTGTACTGGCTGCCATCCTAGACTGCAGTGGGACGTGACAGCTGTGTACATGAAGTAGCCAGTCTAGGAATCAAAAGTAGAGATCCCGCCTTGGAGAGATGGAGGAAGAGACAGTGGCATGACTTAGCCATTGCCACTCCGTCTGCCAGCAAAGCTGGATCAGCATCCCCTGGGGAAGCTCAACTAGAACCCTCTCCCCCAAGGACAGGACTCCGGACAAGGGGCTCCGCTACACCCTACAAGGACAATATTGTTCCTAAAAACACCTGAATCTTAGGCATCGTGAATACACAGCTAACCAACGGGTATTTTCAGAACGGATGTGTAGTTCTGGGACTAATTGTAAAGCACTGGAATCCAAGGTATTTGAGTCCTCAAAACCGTCCAACCCCAATCCTCCGCACTCTCCTCCAAAAACCCCCAAACCTTGTATTGGGAGTAGGAACTCCAGGTTTCAGGTGCTGACATGGAGGTGCAGAGAAGCTAACTTGTCCTGACATCTCAGCTGGCAAAGGGGAAGCTGCTGACTAGGACATGGGATATCTGAGTCCACAGCCACCGGTATTTCCGGCCACACCATGCACCTGGGCCTAGGATAGAGACTGGCCTTGGAAGAAAGTTGGCTGCTGCTATGAATGAAAAGATGTGTGAGCCCCATTCTCACAGTGTTCAGTCCCTGGCTCAGCGTTCCCCAAACTGACTCACACTCCACCACCATTGTCAGTTGTGCCACATCTGCCTCACAACTGCTTTATGTTCTTAGTATGTCTCAACTCCCGCCACCACTTTTTTGGGGGGACAGGGTCTCCTTTGTCACACAGGCTGGAGTGCAGTGGCACGATTACAGCTCTGCAGCCTCAACCTGCTGGGCTCAGGCAATCCTCCTGCCTCAGCCTCCCGACTACTGGGATTACAGGTGTGAGCCACCATGCCTCACCCTCACTCCCCCTTTTAAAGGAAAACGATGTCACCAAAAAGCAAAATCACCATAATTTGCCACAAATTCAGATGACCATAAAAGTGACTATGAAAGTAAATACAAGACAAACATTAGATTTTTGCTACCTGTTATCGCATGCTGAGGCTGCAAGCCTGAGACTTGCGCTATTAAAAAGGAAAATCCGGCCGGGTGTGGTAGCTCATGCCTGTAATGCCAGCACTTTGGGAGGCTGAGGCAGGTGGCTCACCTGAGGTCAAGAGTTCGAGACCAGCCTGACCAACATGGAGAAACCCCCATCTCTACTAAAAATACAAAAAACTTCAGCCGGGCATGGTGACACATGTCTGTAATCCCAGCTACTCAGGAGGCTGAGGCAGGAGAATCGCTTGAACCGGGGAGGCAGAGGTTGTGGTGAGCCAAGATCGTGTCATTGCACTCTAGCCTGGGCAACAAGAGCAAAATTCCGTCTCAAAAAAAAGGAAAATCAGAGCAGGGTCCCAGGTCCATAAGCACCAAAATGAGCCTCAGCCCAGACCCGCCTTATCCCAGGATGACTCTGCTACCTCTAGCATGCCGGATAGTGCTGAGCTAGGGGCTGACAGATGGGCTTCAAGCCCAGCCTGGGCTCTGGCTCCAAGAGCTGCTCAGGGAACTCTGCTTCCTTTAGCAGTGACTACTCACTTTGCTTTGCCCAACCTCAGACCCTTTTATATTAATTAGGACTCTCACTGGCAGGTAACGGGAAATCCAGCTCAGACGGTGCTTAATAAAGGTGACAAGGGGGCAACTGGCTGTGTCTGGGGAGGGCAAGCTGCTCAGGGACATCACCAAGGATTCAGGTTTTCTGTCTCCATCCTGCCACCCACAGGGACACTTCATCCTAGGCAGGCACCCCGGTATTCATAGGGTGCCTTCCACTTACCTAACCTGAGAGGTTTCCCCTTCATTCAGTATTAAGAAAGAATCCTGAATTCTAAGCCAACTGGACCATTCCAGAACATCCGACTAAGCTGATGGGCTTAGTCCAAAGCTACCTGGTCAGTCACTGAGCTAGCATTACCCTGGTTGGCTTAGACTAGTCAGGACCCATCTCTGAAGCTCGGGTGAAAGCAATTCAACCCAAAACCGGAAACCAATTCAAAACCAATTCCATGCTACACTCAGAAGGTGCAGAGCGATGCTGAGGACCCAGCACTTCAAAGGAAGCCTTGTGCCATATGAAAACCAGATAAAAGGTGCAATTGCTCCAACTCAGAAGACGAAGCAAGTTCTGAAAAATCTCTTGACTGGTATTCTTTGGAAGCAAGTGATTCCCAGCCCTGGCTACATACTGAAATCACCTGGGGGGGTTTAAAGACAGGTGATCTAAGTTTCCCCCTCCCCTGCTTGGAGATTCTGATGTAATTGGTTTGAGGTGTGGCCCAGCTGATTCCCAGACGGAACTGGTTTAAAGGGATGCGCAGTGAACGTGGGCTACAAGCTCCAGCCTTCCCTTGAATAGTATGTCTGCTCCAGGCAGTTTCCTTTGAGACCACTTATTCTTTTTCCCCGCCACTCAACAAACACCTGCTAGCAGCCTAAGAAGAACCTGTACACTCAGAGATGCAACCTGCATGTAGAAAACCATTTCAAGAGTGTAGACTTGCCCCAACATCTCCTCGGTTCATCCCGGCAACAAGGAGACCGTGGCCTAAGCTGGAATCCTTACCTTCTGGGTAGAGTCCCCACTGCAGCAGCACCAGGCTTGGGGATGCCAACAGAAGACCCGCTCCTCCAGGTCTCCTCCCTTTCATTCACCTCGGCCTGGCTCCTCCAGATGAAACTCCGCCCATTACGTCTAAAACGGAGCATCTCCGTGGAAGGCCCAGTGAGAAACCCCTCCTGGTTGAAGAGGCTGGCCTCGGGTGCTCATGCCTCACTGGTTTGGTTTTTAAGGGGAACCGTATGTTCATTCTGACCAAATATAATGCTTGTGTCCCCTGCAGTCCTCCCCTTAACTGCTTCTCCAAACCCAGCATCATGAGCAGTCCTTAAAGCACACTCTGCCAGAAGGCCCAGCAAAGACTGCAGAGGCCAGCCTCAGACCTGCTGCCCTCCACTCACTCCTACTGCTGCAAGCCTGAAATGCATCAAGCTGATTATCACCTGTAAGAATTTCCAGGCTTTTGAGCCCATAGCAAGCCCAGGGAACTCAGAGAGGAGATTCTGTGACAGCTGCTTGAAATTAGAACTACTTGCAACTCCTTCCAAAGATGTTTGCACTCTTCACCATAATGCAAAGTGGGATTTAGTGGGATTTTGCTTTAAGATGGAGAGGAAGGTTCCTGGAAACCTGTAGCTGCCTGAGTCAACTAAACATCTCCAAGGAGTTGGTAAACCCTGTAAGCAGACATTGTGGGGTACCTGTCTAGCTTCTAACCTTCCCAAGAACTCCCCTTTTTACCCCAAGAAGGAGAGTTTTTATCATAAGTAGGTGTTGGATTTTGTCAAATGCTTATTTTCTGCATCTATTGAGATGATCATGTGGTTTTTGTCCTTTATTAATATGGTGTGGTACACTGATCTTCAGATGTTAAACCAACCTTGCACTCCTGGAAGAAATCCTGCTTGGTTATGGCGTATAATCCTTTTTTATATGTTGCTGGATTCTGTTTCCTGATATTTTCTTGATTTTGCATTTGTATTCTTGTGGAATATTGGTGTAGCTTTCTTACAATGTCTGACCTGGTATCAGTCACCTCCCAAAGGAGAGCCCTGGACAGCACACACTTCTCTAGTGGGACCCCATGCCTCATCCTCAGGGAGTTTGGAATTGGGGTACAGAGGTGCTAGCTAGACTGCCAATTGCTTGAACTGCAGTGACCATCTAGCTGCCATCCTCCACCACATTAAGCTGAGACCGAGATGCATTTCTTCACACACTCCATATCCTTGGAATAAATTTCCCATTGTCTGAGTCTCTGGTTCTACGGATCTCAAATGCAAATGCCCACAGGGGCTAGGCAAGTGAAATAAATTAGTGAAATAATTTGAGTATAAGAAAAGCCTGGAGACCAGGACCCCCCCCTCCAAAGCAACTTGACTTTATGTAGCTCATTGTTTAAAATTAGAATATCTGGCACTAAAAACAGTGGGCTCACATTCTTAAGGCAACAAGCAAACAAACAGGAAATTCAGTTCTTTATATGCATTCTCCTAATTTTTAATTGGTGGCAACTGATTTTAACCATTTTTTTGAATAGGCAAACACCAAAATATCAAAACTTTTAAAGAACAGTGAAAAGGATACCTCTCACCCCAGATATCCACCATTCTCAAATTTGTGTTTATCCTTCCAGAGAATAGTAATGTCTTTTTCACATAGATAATAGCATACCACATATATTTTTCTGCATTTGGCTTTCATATCTTGGCGATGTTTCCACACCAATTCATAAAGAACTCTTAACCCATTTTTACAACATTATAGTATTCCATCATATGGTTGGGCTATAAAGGAATAAAACCCAGATCAATAATCACTTGGGTTCTTTCTAATCTTTTGCTGTCTCACTGTGCAGTGACTAACCTTGTACATTTATCTTTTCTTTCTTGTGTGTGTAAGCTGGATTCCTAGGGGTGGAATTACTGGGTCTGAGGACATTTCCCCCCGCAACCCCCCCTTTTTTTTTTAAGAGATTGGGTTTTGCTTTGTCATCCAGGCTGGAGTGCAGTGGCATG
The DNA here is from genome assembly GCF_000001405.40 of Homo sapiens. Lineage (NCBI taxonomy): Eukaryota > Metazoa > Chordata > Mammalia > Primates > Hominidae > Homo > Homo sapiens. The sequence continues at coordinate 50,882,136 of NC_000020.11, read as the reverse complement.
ATCACGGCTTACTGCAGCCTCAACCTCCTGGGCTCACTCAAGCGATCCTGCTGCCGCAGCCTACTGAGTAGCTAGGACCATTTCTAATTTTGTTAGGTATGCCAATTGCCCCCCCATGAGAATGGTGTCCCACCATCAATGTACAAGAATATGTTTCTTCAAAATATCACCAGCAAGACCAGGCACAGTGGCTCAAGCCTGTAATTCCAGCACTTTAGGAGGCTGAGGCAGGTGGATCACTTGAGGCCAGGAGTTTGAGACCAGCCTGGCCAACATGGCAAAACCCCATCTTTACTAAAAACACAAAAATTAGCTGGGCATGGTGGTGCGCACCTGTAATCCCAGCTACTTGGGTGCCTGAGGTGGGAGGATCATTTGAGCCCAGGAGGCAGGGGTTGCAGTGAGCTGAGATCACACCACTGCACTCCAGCCTGGGCAACAGAGCAGACTCTGTCTCAAAAAAAAAAAAAAATTCAATAGTGTCATCAAAAATTTTAATCCTTGCCAGCCTGAAATGTGAAAAATCTCAGGGTATTTTTCCATACTTATTGGCATACATTAAGGTTGAGTATCTTTTCATGTTTTGCATTTTCTGTGAAACTCCTGTTCATAGCCTTTGCCTGTTTTGCTACTGTTTCCCTTTTTTGTAGGTGACATTTTTTAGGGAGATTATCCCTTTGTAGCATGAGATGCAAATATATTTTCCCAATTTGTCATCTATCTTTTGAATTTGCTTAGGATTTTGTTGTTTTGGGATTTTTTGGTTGAGTTTTCCGTTGGTTTTGCCATGCAGAAGTTTAAAAATTTTATATAATCAAATTGACCTCTTTTATGGCTTCTCGATTTTGTACACTTCGCCAATGTTTTTAACCTATTTCTTCAATAGATTCGTTTTATTTTACTTTCTAAGACAGGGTAACACTTTGTCACCCAGGCTGGAGTGCAGTGGCACAATCTCAGCTCACTGCAGCCTCAAGTTCCCTGGCTCGAGCAATCTTCCCACCTCCCACCAAGTAGCTGGGTCTATAGGCAAGCACCACCATGCCTGGCTAATTTTTCTATTTTTTACAGAGAAGGGGTTTTGCTATGTTGCCCATGCTGGTCTTGAACTCCTGAGCTCAAGCGATCCACCCACCTTGGCCTCCCAAAGTGGTAGGATTCAGGTGTGAGCCACTGCACCCGGCCAATAGATTCATTTTATACATTAAGCTCCTAATCGATTTACAATCCAGGTGTGCTGAGTGAGGTATGGAGCTCTATTTTTTCCAGAAGTTTACCCAATTGTCACAACATGAAAACATCTTAAAACAATTCAGGGCAAACCACACATTTCTGCCAATCAGATACAACCCCATGGGCTGCTACCTTGAAACCTCTTGCTTTGGTGAGCACGAAGTTCACATCCGCTGGGAAAGTGGGAAAGGGGGTTGACCGAAGAGCCTTGCTCTTGGGAAGAAATCTGCAGTGACCTTTCTACTGGTGTCCCTGTCCAACATCAGCCACAAAAGAAAAAGACTGGCAGGCCTCGGTGGCTCACGACTGTAATCCCAATACTTTGGGTGGCCAAGGTAGGAGGATCGCTTGAGCCCAGGAGGTTGAGACTAGCCTGGACAACATAGCAAAACCCCGTCTCTGTTTAAAAAAGAGAAAGATCAGATCACCCTTTCCTAGGCTGCAGTTACCCTTACCAAGGGGTTAGAGGCCATCAATAGTCAGCAACCGAGGACATCATTGACTGGACAATGGAAATGTCAGGCACTTTGCTTTAATGAGGACGCACATGAAGTCACCTGGCACAGGGACAGTGGAGCCGCTCAGAGGACTGAGGTTAGGGGTTGGTGATGGCAGGGCGCAGTGTCCCGGCCTTCCTTCTCCCCAGATGTTTCCAAGCGTCCCTTAAAGCTCATTGTTTGGCAGTGCAAATCCTAGGAACTTTGGAACGGCTACTTCCAGTTCACTTGTCACCTTTTCCCCATAGATTTCCTGTGCAACCTCACCCCTCCTAACAGGACAGGGAAACCCAGAGAGAGCAGCCTCCATTCTCCCATGACTTCTAACTCTGACACGTAAGGGCAGTCCCTGAGTCACTCGCTGTTCAGGCCCTCGGATGCCGCTGGTCAACTGAGAAACGCAGGACAATCAACCCTTTCCCCATCACAGCCCGGGCCCTGCAACAGCAGCCTCCCATTACTGAGAGCCCCTCGCCAGTGTGCCCAGCATGCACACAGCTCACCTCATGTCACCCTCACCACAACCCATCAGACCAGAGCCATCCTCATGTCTTACCGCAGGGGCAGCTGGACTCAGAGAGAGCAAGTGAAAAGCCCAGCTCACACAGCTAAGAGGCATGGGAGCGGACAGTGCTGCCAGGCAGGCTAACCTCAGGGCCATGCTCCTAGCGTGGGGCCTGTGGGTCCCTGCTTTAGGACACTCAACGTTGCTGCGGCTTAATCACATGGGATTTCCTTCCAACTCTCCCTGGCCCCTGTTTCAGGGGCTGGGAGGAGAAAGAAGCCTGGGAGTGCCCAACACTCAGCAGATACTCACCCTTCCGGAAATGAGTGTCCTCAACTGCTTGTCTAAAAAATTAACATTAGCTTTCTCCTTTTTCTTCTTTTTTGAGATAGGGTCTCGCTCTGTTGCCCAGGCTGGAGTGCAGTGGCACGATCTTGGCTTGCTGCAACCTCCACCTCCCAGATTCGAGCGATTCTCCTGCCTCAGCCTCCCGAGTAGGTGGGATTACAGGGGTGCACCACAGCACCTGGCTAATTTTTGTATTTTTAGTAGAGATGAGGTTTCACTATGTTGGCCAGGCTGGTCTCGAATTCCTGACCTCAAGTGATCTGCCCACCTTGGCCTCCCAAAGTGCTGGGATTACAGGCGTGAGCCACCTCACCCGGCCAACTTTCCATCCAACGTGTGCTCTCCCTGAGCACACTGGGGCATGCAGAGTGTCCAAGCTCCCTTCGATAAAAACAGTCCCAGCCAATACAACACAGCCATGGGAATGATCTACAGTGACACAGCAACAGTGACACCTCCCAAGGTAACATCAAGCCGGTGAGGCCAGAGACAAGAGATGACACACCGTAGGTACACATCCCGTGTGTCCTCTCTTTATACAGAGCACAGAAACAAGAAACTCCAGTCCATATGGTTAGATGTCAGTATGCTGTCAGCCTGGGGTGGGGGTGGGTATGGGCATGGACCAGAAGCGGGCATGAGGGGGCTGCTCAGTGCTGATAATGTTGGTTGCTCAGTCTGGTGAGGCTTAAATAGATACACTCAGTTTGTGAAAAATTTAGTGAACCACTTAGGCACCCCTTTCTGTAATATAAATTATACTTCAATAAAGGTTTGTGCCAACACTACATTTTGGGAGGCCGAAACAGGAGGGTCCCCTGAGCCCAGAAGTTCAAGACCAGCCTGAACAACATAGGGAGACCCTGTCTCTACAAAAAATAAAACAAATTTGAAAAGTTGCCAGGCATGGTGGTGCACATTTGTGGTCCCAGCTACTTGGGAGGCTGAGGCAGGAGGATCACTTGAGCCCAGGAGCTTGAGGTTTCAGGGAGCCATGATCACACCACTGCACTCCAGGCTGGGTGACAGGTGTCTCATTTAAAGAAAAAAAAAATTGTAAAAGTCACCTCAATAAAAAAATGCTGACCGGGCATGGTGGCTCACACCTGTAATCCCAGCACCTTGGGAGGCCAAAGTAGGAGGATCACCTGAGGTCAGGAGTTCGAGACCAGCCTGACCAACATGGCGAAACCCCGTCTCTACTAAAAATACAAAAATTAGCTGGGCGTGGTGGTGTGCTCCCGTAATCCCAGCTTCCTGGGAGGCTGAGGCAGGAAAATAGCTTGAACTCGGGAGGCGGAGGTTGCAGTGAGCTGAGATCATGCCACCGCACTACAGCCTGGGTGACAGAGTGAGACTCCATCTCGAAAAAAAAGAAAAGAGAATAAAAATGCTGACTTTTCCAGAAACAAGGGGTCTACCTATATCTCTGAATTCCAAAAATTGTCTAAACTATTTCCCTGCTTTTCTGTTTTTAATTTTTAAAAACATTTTTAGCCAAGATCTCACTTGGTTACCCAGGCTAGAGTGCAGTGGCACAATCATGGCTCACTGCAGCCTCAACCTCCCAGGCTCAAGCAATCCTCCCACCTCAGCCTCCCAAGTAGCTGGGACCACAGATGTGCACCAGCACGCCAGGCTAATTTTTGTATTTTTGGTAGAGATATGGTCTCATTATGTTGCCCAGGCTGGTCTCAAACTCCTGGGCGATCTGCCTGCCTCGGCCTCCCAAAGTGCTGGGATCACAGACATGAGCCGCTGCACCTGGCCTCTACTCTATCTTGCCAGATTCATTATTTTAGGCTTCCTTGAAAAACTTTTTTGGGGTGTGGGGGACAGGGTCTTGCTCTGTTGCACATGCTAGGGTGCAGTAGAACAATCACGGCTCACTGCAGTCTTGACCCTGTGCATAAGCGACCCTCCTGCCTCAGCCTCCCAAGATGCTGGGATTACAGGCATGAGTCACCTTGCCCAGGCAGATTATCTTGAAATTCTAATGCAGATTTACAGTTCAGTCCTGTATGTGCATAGGGGAATTATGTGTGTGTTCTTGGCTCTTCGAGGAATTCCAGAAATACCCATTGCAGGTTGAAGCCACAGTGAGAAATCCGGAGTGTTAGGACAATAGCAGGAAACTCATCTGCATGGGAAGAAATGTGGGTAAACAAGCCTTTGAAGACCCTGGGGGTCCTAATGACCTCTGCACTCTTGCTGGAAATCCAAAGGCCGGGACTACCCCTCCCTCAGCTGGAGCCTCATCAGCAGGTGCCCAGGATCAGGCCCTCGCAGGTGAGGCACAGGAGGAACCTTCTAGAAAACACTGCACAGGTGAAAAGGAAACTATCACTCCCCGTCATTCTCACACCAGACCAGGGCTGAGCTCTTGACACCTTTATTGGAAGGATCCTCAAGGCTGTGGGCACCGAGGTCTGGAGGCAACAGAAGCAGCATCCACCCACCCACCACAGTGGCAGAGCACACCCCGTGCAAAAACCCATCACAGAGAGAAGGACCATGGAGCCCCTGCAAAGCCATCATGGAGAGAAGGAAAGTCCCCACTGTCCATCAGCCCCGGCCAGGCCTGGTCCCTCAACCCCTGTAGAACCCCAAGCAGGCCGATGTGGGAGGCATCACCACACGTGGGTTCCAACTGCTTCTCCAAACCCTGTGGTCTCACATGAGGCAGGGAGGAAATTTGAAAATGGCAGCAGCCTGGGCACGGAGGCTCCTGCCCATAATCCCACCACTTTGGAAGGCCAAGGTGGGTGGATCACTTGAGCCCAGGAGTTTGAGATCAGTCTGGACAACATAGTGAGACCCCATCTCGACATTTTTTTAAATATTTTTAAAATATAAAATAAACAGCAATACAAAGAAAAAACCCCCAAGCTGCAGTGTGTACACAATGTCACTTTCCAGCGTTCCTGATGGGAAGACCACAAAGCTCACAAAGGCCGAGGGCAGGTGCGGGGGTGGTGCTGTGCTTCCCCGGCGTCCACAGGAAAATAGTCCTCCGTCCTATACAGTGTGGGCAGCTCGTACGTCACGGGCACCGGTGCAGGTGACTTCTGGAATGACAAGAAATGAAGCTCTATCAGCGATTTGGATCCACTTGTTCCATGACCCAGGAATTCCCGGTCTACAAGTTCATCCTGCAGGACTCACACATATGACCAAAGACTCTGAGCTCCTCTGACAGCACTGCCTGTGACAGCCAAAGCCGGCCACCCAAAGGGACCAAGGCATCCATGTCAGGCCCTCTCCACAATGGAATACTCTGTAGGCATCAAGAAGAGCCAGGCAGCCCAGGCGCAGTGGCTCATGACTGTAATCCCAGCACTTTGGGAGGCCAAGGCAGGCGGATCACTTGAGGTCAAGAGTTTGAGGCCAGCCTGGCCAACACAGTCAAAGCCTGTCTCTACTAAAAATACAGAAATTAGCCGGGCATGGTAGCGCGCACCTGTAATCCCAGCTACTTGGGAGGCGGAGGCAGGAGAATCACTTGAACCCGGGAGGCGGAGGTTGCAGCGAGCTGGGATTGTGCCACTGCACTCCACCTAGAAAACAGAGTGAGACAATGTCTCGGGGAAGAAAAAAGAAAAAGCCAGGCAGATCAATATGTTCTGGCAGAGGAGGACTAAGAAAGCAAGGTGAGAAGGGTAGACATGTGACAAAGGGACCTATACCGACACGTGACAGCTCTGCAGGGCCATCTCAGAGCCTGGGTACAGTGGCTGTGGTTGGTGGCATGACTGATTTTTTTTTTTCTTTTGAGACGGAGTCTCGCTCTGTCACCCAGCCTGGAGTACAGTGGTGCCATCTTGGCTCACTGCAACATTCACCTCCTGGGTTCAAGCAATTCTCCTGCCTCAGTCTCCTGAGTTAACCGGGATTATAGGCGTGCACCACCACGCCCGGCTAATTTTTTTTCTTTTTTTTTTTTTTTTTTTTAGTAGAGATGAGGTTTTGCCATGTTGGTCAGGCTAGTCTCAAATTCCTGGCCTCCGGTGACTCGCCCGCCTCGGCCTCCCAAAGTGCTAGGATGACAGGCGTGAGCCACCGCGCCCGGCCAGGACTGATTTTTCTTCCACTGTGTACCCATCTGTGCTGCCTGGAGTTCCTGCCATAGGCATGTGCTACTCTTTCAAAAAACAAAACCATTTTAAGAAGTGCTTCCTCGTTTCTGGTGAGGATTTTTGTGGAGGGAGGCGGAGAAGGGGAGATTTCCCATCGAGCCGCTCACTGTGCGCTGGCTGGCGGGCTCCTGCAGGCTGCTGAGCATCTCCAGGAAAAACCAGGTCACCAAGAACCACCTGGAATGACGGCTGTCAAACCTGGCCATGCGCTGGAATCTCCTGGGAGTTTTATGAACTACTGATGCCCGGGGCCCACGCCAGGGGGTCAGATGTCTCTACTCGGGGGCGTGGCCTGGGTGTGGGACATTTCACAGCTCCCAGGTGATTCTCATGCAGAGTCCAGGTTGTAAGGACCACGGCCTGCACCAGAAGAAGGAGAGGGCTCCCGGGCTACTGCTCCTGGTTGGAGCCGGTGGAGATGAGCAAGGATGCATGGTCAAGGAGGACAGAGGGAGGGGACCTTCTCACCACCCCCTAACCCTGTCCCCCAGCTCCCTGCACTGTCTCGTCTCCTGGCCACCTCTGCCCACTCTGGCTGAGACCCAGTTCTGGCTACAGCTGAAAGCTGCGTGTCAGTACAGGGATGTGGGCTCCAGACTATGGCCAATGACAGCTTCCCCACTGCCAGACACCTCTGCAGGCCCCTCCCCATGCTGCCTGCTCCCCTTCCCTCCCCTCCCCCTGCACTTGACACCATGACCCCAGTGCAGAGGGGGAGATCAAGACTCAGGAGTTGCCCTGCCCCAAGTCACACATCCTCCAAGCATCTGTCCACCAGCCGGCAACTCACAGTGCACCAGGCCAGCCCTGTCCTGTGCACTGAGGACACAGCTGTGAACAAGACAACCATCCCAGCCCTCATGGGGCATGGCACTTAGTGGGGACACAAATGAACCAGGAGAAACAATGCCACCCTATGATGCGGGCTGATGGCAGGACAGGCACAAAGGCCTGGGGAACCCAGATGGGGCCTCAGCTCATCCTAGAGGGTTGGGGGAGTTTCCGGGTGCTGAGCCGTGTAGGACCTTCACAGCCTCAGCAGCAACTGGCCAGGAGTCAGGAGAACAGGGGTATAGAGGTACCAAGGGCCGGTGTTCCAGGCCGAGGGAACAGCCTGTGCTGAGTGGGTGGAGTGTGGGGGCTGCGGGGATCAGCGCGTAGACAGGGAGGAAGCCAGACAAAGGGCTGGGGTCCACCTGGGATCTTGCAAGCCAAGCTATGACCTTGATCCCATGAGCACTGAGGGCCTTTGCAGCTCGTAAGCAGGAGGCTGTGTGTGTGATGAGGTCTGCACTTCAGGAAGAGCAGGAGAGAGAATACACTCTAGGGGCGACAGTGGAGACAGCAGGAGGCTGTTTCATGTGTCCCCCAAAAGTGAGAGTGGCCAGGTAATCACGTCTGGGCTCCAGGGCCTTGACTTACCACCACATCACACCGAGCCTGTTGCAGAAGGGAACCATCAAAGGATCTTAAATAAGCTAAAACATGCTCTGACATCTAGGGATCTCATACCAGCCTGCGTCACCACCTTCACATCTGGAAAACCAGGACAAGTGACGCACCTGGCCAAGGGTGAACCTCAAACACGGCGAATGGAACGTTGTGCCCAGCCAATCCTCAGTCAGCCACTCTTGGCTCAGCCTGCTCAGGGGATGACTCGGGAGACAAGGTCTATTCCTGCCTGCCCCTCCTCTCCTAGCACGTTCCCCAGCTGCCCCTGCCTCTGTGGGTCAGTGGACACACGTCCCCCTGATGGCACTGCAATCAGAACACAAACAGGAGCTGAGCCACAAGATACATCTCCAGCCAGAGGGCTGCCGCTGGTGGGTAACCCACAGGTGTGGAATTTCACCTTCTTTCTTTTTAATGATGGCCTGAGATCTGGCTGTCATGATATCTAGAAAATGCAACATTCAAGTGAATCATGGGAGTTCAAAGACCGCCCCTCTCATCCTGACACATGACTAGGGGCCAAAGAGTGTTCTGTGATCTGAAAAGACACGGCCCTTCTTCTCCTGGTCCTGAGGACCCAGGCAAGGGTCAGTGACCAGGCCAGGCCAGAGCCAGTGTTCGGCCCAGCCAGGCGGCCTCTCCTAGGCCAGCTGGGCCTCATCCCAACCCCCTGTTCCTTTTTGAAATGGTTCTGTGCAGAGGGATGGAGTTTCTGTCTCCTCCCTCAAGGAGATGGATTCTAAAAATGGAGGAAAAATCAATATCATTATGAAGAAGCCAAGGAGAGGGAGTGGCGAGAGGCCGCCGGCAGCTCTAGATGTGATGGCGTCTTTAGGCCTGGAGAGAACTAATGTAAGAAACCCCCAACAATTGCATCCTTCCTGGTCACAGAGGGGAAAGGTCATCCCTGCATTTGGACAAGGGGGTCGCAGGGAGACAAGCTCTGTCGGTGTCTGGCCAAACGTCACAATGGATTATTGAACAGCTGCTTCCCGTGCACTCAGAAAGGAAGTCAATCACTAGGAGCCCCCAGGGGCTCCAAGGAGAACAAGCATGCTTTCCTTTTTCAGGAGGGCCACTGGCCTGGAAGACCAGACAGAAGGCTGCAGAGGCTGGTGCCGCTCCACATCCACTCAGGCCCAAGCCTGACACCTTGGAGGACACGCTGGAGACACGTGGGTGAGTAACCCACAGCTCTTTGGAGAACTGGGCTGAAGTCAGCCAGGCAGGGGCAGAGGGGCATGAGCCAGGAAGCTCAGGTGTTTCCTCTTCAGACCAAAACACAGTCTTGGAGAGTGGTGGGCATGGGTGGGCGCTGTTTCCGCCTGTCTGTCCATTTCCCCTTGGGGTGCTAGCATCTTGATTTTTTTCTTTTTTTTTTTTTGTTCCTTTTTTGAGATGGAGTCTCGCTCTGTCGCCCAGGCTGGAGTGCAGTGGCGTGATCTTGGCTAACTGCAAGCTCTGCCTCCTGGGTTCACGCCATTCTCCTGCCTCAGCCTCCAGAGTAGCTGAGACTACAGGCACCCGCCACCACGTCCAGCTAATTTTTTTGTATTTTTAGTAGAGATGGGGTTTCACTGTGTTAGCCAGGATGGTCTCAATCTCCTGACCTCGTGATCCACCCACCTCAGCCTCCCAAAGTGCTGGAATTACAGGCGTGAGCCACCATGCCCGGCCCCTCTTTTTTTTTTTTTTTTTTTTTGAGACAGAGTCTCGCTCTGTTGCCCAGGCTGGAATGCAATGGTGCAATCTTGGCTCACCGAAGCCTCTGCCTTCCGGGTTCAAGCGAGTCTCCTGCCTCAGCCTCCTGAGTAGCTGGGATTACTAAAGGCGCCCACCACCACAACCAGCTAATTTTTTTGTATTTTTGTAGAGATAGGGTTTCACCGTGTTGGCCAGGCTGGTCTTGAACTCCTGACCTCAAGTGATCTGTCTGCCTCGGCCTCCCAAAGTGTTGGGATTACAGGCGTGAGCCACCATGCCCGGCTGCATCTTGATTTTTCTAAGGGATCCCCTTGTGCCCAACTCCCCATCCGAGCAGCTCCCCACCTCCCCCACAGCTCAGGCTGGGGCCAAGAGCAGGCCTAGCCCATGTGAGCAGCTCACCCTCCACCCACAGAGATCAGTCCAGGAGTAAGCATGTGACAGGGCCACTGCGATTCTTGCTACTGGGACAGGGATGCTCTCCCCAGAGGTTCCTGGGAGTTCAGGTGACAGGCCACTCCTGCCACCCCACCAGGGGCCCGCCTGAGAATGAACCCCGCACAGAAGGATGCAGAGTTAGAAGACGCGGCAAGACAGAGTCCTGCCAATATCACTTGGAGCGCGTGAACCCTATTTTGCTGAAGGCTGGAGTTACCCTGGGGCTTTTCCTGTTCATGAGCCTCAAAATTCTCTTCTTTCTTTAAGCCACACTGACCAGGGTTGCTTGTAACTAAGAGTCCTGCCTGAAATAGATAATAAACCCCCAGGGGTGGCAGCAAGTGCTTTGAAACCAGCCGCCTGAATCAGCAGGTAAGGGCTGGTGTGTGAGGCTGAAAACAACCAGATGCCCGCAGGGCTGTCCGGCTGCAGACGCCCTGGCGGGTGGACAGGACCATTTCCCAGAGGCAGACCCCCTCACCGGCACACCCGCATGCCATGGAAACCACTTTCACACCCGTTCTCTCTTGGACTATCATGGCAGCCTGCAAGGGAGGAGTCGCTATGTCTCAGGGGTCCCGGGAGGGAGGGAGCACTGGAGCTGGGGTCCCCTCGGCCTGTCCAGCTCCAAGACCAGCCCTTGCCCATCGCCCTCTAGGGCTCCTTGAGGATGGAGCAGCAAACTCAAACCCTGGGGTTTTCACCTTTGAAAATCTCAGAGAAGACTTCAGAGCTCTCCACGTCCCACCTCTCGCCCTCCGGCTGGGAATGAGTCCCCGCTGGGGTCCAGGAGGTGCGTCCAACCCTTTGGAATCCAGCTCCCCACCCCCTCCTCCCGGGCCGCAGGCAGGAATGTTCTCTGCTCTGGGATAGGATAGGTCAAGACACAGAAACCTGACACGGCTGTGAGCTCCTCCGCAGCCCACCCCCAGCCCAAGGCCCGCCTCTGCCACAGGGAGTGCTGGGGCGCAGGGCCTGGCTGCTTTCAGAGTCTCCCCACACCCCCGCAGCTCCCTGCGTCCACCCTGCGCACCTGAGTTCCCAGACCTGCAGGGCACAGGCCAAATGCATGTGTGCTGGGTCGGCTTTGTGATTTTGTAAAAATGGAATTAACTGCAAACATGTAAAAATCAGATTTCCCGTGAAAAGCAGACTGCCGGTTTCTCTTGGAAAATCAGACCATTGGGCAACTCCGGGCCCACAGTCCCTCATGGCTGAGGGTGGCTGAGCTGAGGAGCCCCAGCCTGAGATCCCCACGGTTCCTGTAACCTGCTGCGTCTGGCCGAAGCCTCAGAGTTGGCCCCGGCAATCCGCAACACCCAGCAGCTCCGTTTCTCACAAAGACCCCAAATGGCTGTCACAGCACGTGACAGGGTGAAGCCTCAGGCCCCGGCTGGGTTCACAGCCTCTCCTCTGAAGCCCCCCAGTCAGAACAAGCTCTGCTCTAAAGCCAAGCCCACCACCTCAGGGCCTCCGTTTGCCCTGTGCTGCCCTGTTTCTACAAACCCGCCGCAGCCCCTCGCCAGTCTGGGCCCACCCGCATCTCCCTCTCGGGAAGCCCTAATCGCACATCCCTGACCCTGCCTGGTTTTTGGGTCAGGGTCAGCAAAATGTTTTCTGTAAAGAGCTAGATAGTAAATATTTTAGGCTTTGCAAACCACACAGTCTCTGTCACAACCACTCAACTCTGCCCAGGTAGTATAAATCCAGCCATAGATATGTAAACAGAAGGCATGGCTGTGTGCCAATAAAACTTTATTAGAAAAGCAATGGCAGGCTGGGTGTGATGGCTCATGCCTGTAATCCCAGCACTTCGGGAAGCTGAGGCAGGCAGATCACCTGAGGTCAGGAGTTCGAGACCAGCCTGGCCAACATGGTGAAATTCCATCTCTACTAAAAATACAAAAATTAGCTGGGTGTGGTGGCGGGTGCCTGTAATCCCAGCTACTTGGGAGGCTGAGGCAGGAGAATTGCTTGAACCTAGGAGGCAGAAGTTGCAGCGAGCTGAGATCACGCCACTGCACTCCAGCCTGGGCAACAGAGCGAGGCTCCATCTCAAAAAAAAAAAAAAAAAAAAAAAAGCAGTGCCAGGCCAGATTTGATCCCTAGACCATAGTTTGCCTCTGAATTCAATCTGTTCTCCCAAATAGAACAGGAACAACAAACCCTTCCCTATATCTCCCTTCCAAGTGAGCACTGAATAGTAGGTCATCAGACATGGCTACCCAGTTGCAAGGCCAGGCCCACCTCAGTGACTGTCCTTGGGCCTGACTTTTATGTGGTTGGCTGTTCTTGGGTGACCACTGCAGCCCCAGCCAGTCCTGGCTTGCCCAGAACAGGCAAGAGGCACAGGTCAACAGGGCTGCTGGGCCCAGCATCCTCCACCCCAAAAGGGGGGGTGGACACACTGTACCTGTACTCACAGGCTGGGATCCAAGGTTGTCCAGGGTCTGCCCCAGCCACCCACAGCCCCACCAGAGCCTGGGCCAGCCCCTCTGAGCCTGAAGCCTCAGGCCGGCCAAGTGGAGGAGCTCAGGTGCCTGCTGCTAGAGGCCCACCTTCATCCCCCAGGGCACTGGGCACCCCCAGTGCCAGGGAGCTTGAGAGAGGCCCATCCTACTGTGAAAACAACCATGCCTACTACACACCAGGTGACACTACTTCTAACCTCACAGCACTCTTTAAGGCAGGGTTTCTCATCCTCCTCTGCCTCACTTTCTTCCTCTACAAAACGGGGATAACGCCATCAGCTTCGCTGAGTCCTGCCTGGAGCATGGCAGTGAGGCTAGAGGTGCTGCAGCTACCTTGGGACCAGGAAGACAAAATCCACATGCTACGGATGGCAGAATAGCAGCCAGGAGAAGCCTGGGTCCCTGACTACTTCCTTGAGACGCCCTGTCAGCTCAACGGGCCACCTTAGTACTTCTTGTCACAAGTAGGAAAAAACACCAACCTATTTGCTCAAAGCACCAGGTGCAGCCTGTTGTATACATCCTCTTGTTCTCATGATCCCTCTGTTAATAGTGAGTCACCCAGGTCACACAGAGAGTAAATGTGCTGAGCTAGGACTCAAGCCCGGGTTATTTAGATAATGAAATGAAAGGATCAGGCTGAGCATGGCAGCCTGTAATCCTAGCCTTTGGGAGGCCAAGGTGGGAGGACTGCTTGAGTCCAAGAGTTCAAGGCCAGCCTAGGCAATAGAACGAGACCCCCATCTCTATAAAAACAAAAACATTAGCTGGTCATGGTGGCACACACCTGTAGTCCCAGCTACTCAGGAGGCCGAGGTGAGAGGATCGCTTGAGCCCTGGAGGTCGAGGCTGCAGTGAGCCGTGATTGTGCCACTGCACTATAGGCTGGGCAATAGAGCAAGACTCTGACTCAAAAAAAGAAAGAAAGAAAGGATCACCCAAGAATTGACAACTGCTAGATGCAAAAGCAAGCAGACAAGGAGAAGATACAAATCTCAAAATCGTTCCAAAACAATTCCAAATTGTTTGTCTGCATCTGCCCCTCCTCTCTTGAGTAGGGCTGCACTTAGTGACCTGCTTTCAAAGAGCAGGGTATGGAAAGTGGGGAAAGAAACTGCACAGTGGAGAAACCTGGCAAACGTCACTTCGGCCAGGTGACCCACGTCCAGCAGCATCAGTGCTGAGCCATGTTGAGTATCCTTGCTATGATGTGAAGGGCGCCTTACCTCTGCGGTCTTCCTCCCCCAAACCCACAGCCCTGGTCTAAGCATGAGAAAAACATCAGATAGGCCCTAATTAAAGGGTATTGTTCAAAATACCTACCCGATATTCTCAAAACTGTCAAGGTCATCAAAAACAAGGAAAGTCTGAGGCTGGGCGTGGTGGCTCATGCCTGTAATCCCATCACTTTGTGTGGGTGTTTTTGTTTGTTTGTTTTTGAGATGGAGTCTCTCTCTGTCATCCAGGCTGGGGTGCAGTGGCATGATCTTGGCTTGCTGCAACCTCTGCCTCCCGGGTTCAAATGATTCTCATGCCTCAGTTTCCCCAGTAGCTGGGATTACACGCGTGCGCCACCACACCTGGCTAATTTTTGTATTTTTAGTAGAGACAGGGTTTCACCATGTTGACTAGGCTGATCTCGAACTCCTGACCTCAAGTGATCTGCCCACCTTGGCCTCCCAAAGTGCTGGGGTTACAGGAGTGAGCCACCATGCCTGGCCAATCCCAGCACCTTGGGAGGCCAAGGCAGGAGGATCCCTTGAGTGCAGGGTTTCAAGACCAGCCTGGGCAACACAGGGAGACCCCATCTCTACAGACAAAACCCAAAACCCAAAAAAATTAGCTGGGCATGGTGGCATGCACCTGTAGTCCTAGGTACTTGAGAGGCTGAGGTGGGAGGATTGCTTGAGCTCTGGAGGTCAAGGCTGCAGTGAGCCATGATCTTGCCACTGCACTCCAGCCTGGGCAACAGAACGAGACCCTCTCTCAAACACAACAACAACAACAAAAGCCCAAGACCAAAAACACCAAACCAAACCAAAACAAAACAGGCAGGTCTGAGAAACTGTCATAGGCCAGAGGAGGCTGGGGAGACATGATGACTGAATGTAGTATGGGATCCCGGAACAGAAAAAGACTTTAGGGAAACAGAAGCAACTGTGGACTTGAGTTCATAATGTGTCAGTGTTGGTTCCTTAGCTGTGACAATGCACACAGTAAAATGTTAACAACAGAAGAAGCTGGCCAAGGAGTACAAAGAGAGTCTCTGTACTATCATAGCAACTTCGCTCTAATTCTATAATTTTTTTTTTAAAGTCAACAGAAGAAACAGATCAGTCTCACTCCATAAACCAAGCCCCAGCCTCTCTTAATTCAACCTCAGTGACCGAGAACGGAGCATTTACAGAGTGCCCGGCCCGCGATGGGACCTGAAAGGTCACAGAGCATTCATCCTCACAGCGGCTGAGAGAGGCAGGGAACCTCCATCTCACTTTGCAAAAGGGGAAACTGAGGCTCAGCGAGTCACTTGGCCATAACCACTCAGCTGGGAATTGGCAGAGCTAGGGTTTGACCCCAGGCCTGCCCAGCTCCAGCATCTGCACTGTCCCAGCACACAGGCACCCCCGGAGCTGTGTGGGGCTGGGGGTGAGCTCTCAGTCAGGAACCAGGATGTCCCTTCAGCATCTGCCCTCCAACCTCAGGACCCTCAGGGGTTGCCTGATCTGGCCCACTCAGAGAGCACAAACGGGTCACCTTTGGTCAGCATCCGGCTTGCAGACAAATTTAAAAATGAGTTCATTGCCAACAGTGAAGAACTGGGATGTTCAAATAAACATTGAGTGCCTATTTCTCTAGAAAAACTGAGCTATCTGGCCACCGCAGGCCCACATTCCTGCAGGGTGCAGTGAGCTGCCCCATCAGCCACGACATGCGCTGTCTGGTTTGTCACTGTCCCCGCCTGGCCTGCAGGACCTGTGAAGCCCTATGGGCATCCAAGCTGGCAGTGGCTCCAGGCTCACACCACCAGGCCAAGGCTCCGTAAGGCTGAAGAGGATGCCAGTGGAGAGGCCTCTGCTTACCCTGAGCCCTACAAGTAAGGGACTACTGACCTGGGGCCCCCACCACGGCCGGTGGCTGCTGTCCCTCCCCTGCTGTCTCCTCCAGTGCTTACAAGAGCCGTGAGTGAGGACCTGTGATGATGCCCACTGTACAGATGAGAAAGCGGGCTTGGAGAGAACAGGGCTAGGCCACGTGCCCAGGGTCCCAGCTGGTCAAAGGCTGAGGAGAGACTCAACTGGGCTCTTCTGAGCTCTTGGTGGCAGCCCCCACTACCGCCGGCCCCCAGGTCCTGTCCCCTAGGTCCTGGGTGCCCTGCTATGTCCTGGCTCCGGGCTTTCTGTACCTCAGCCTGTCCTGCCTGCAATGTTTGTGTCTGCTCCAGGGCCCTGAGTCTTCCAGAACACTCTGACAGCTGTGAGCAGAACCCCTCCCATTTCTCTGTGGGCAGCCCCTGCGTGTCCAGTCCTGCCCTTGGGGTTGGGCTGGACAGCCTTGCAGAGCTTGTGTGGGCACCGGCCCCTTCCCATCTGAATCCTCCTGCCCAGTCCAGCCCAGCCCTGACCCCAGCCTCTGCCGGCCCAGTGACCACAGCAGCTGGTGGACATGGGAGGCTGCCGAGGCCCTAGTGACAGAAGCACAGGGCTTGGGGCTGCTGGAGCTGGCAGCCGGTGTCCAGGGCGAGCCAGCAGCAGGGACAAGCTGGTGCAATCTTGTTAAGGTGATGCTGACCCTAGGGGGCAGCTCTGGAAGGTTCCTGGATTCCCACAGATTCTGCTTTTAGCTGGAGGAAAAGCGTTAACATGGAAACCAGCAGAGGAGTGGCCCCAGAAGTCTTGCCAAGCTGCTGGCTACTAAATCCAAGCTCACACACAGGGACAGCAGGTGGGGGGAGTCGGTGTCACGGCACCCTCCAAAACCAGGGCTCCATGGGGCACCAGCTCCTGATCGAGTCTGGTCCCTCCAAACTTGGCCAACAAACTCTGCTGTCCATGGGCCAAGTCCCCTCTTTCCTCCTGCCCCTCCCCATCCCTCTGTCCTAGAGTCCTGACTCCCTCCTTCAATTGATGGTTTGTGCCGGAGTCATCCTACTTGAGCACCAAGGCGCCTGGGCTTTGCTCCTGTCACATGGCCACTGACTGTAAGTGTCTCATCACCATAGACACACAAGTATATCTTTATTTTTATTTATTTATTTATTTTGAGATAGAGTCTTGCTCTGTCGCCCAGGCTGGAGTGCAGTGGTGCGATCTCGGCTCACTGCAACCTCCGCCTCCAGGGTTCAAGTAATTCTGCTGCCTCAGCCTCCAGAGTAGCTGGGATTACAGGCATGCGCCACCATGCCTGGCTAGTTTTATATTTTTAGTAGAGACGGGGTTTCACCATGTTGGCTAGGCTGGTCTCAAACTCCTGACCTCAAGTAATCTGCTTGCCTCGGCCTCCCAAAGTGCTGGAATTACAGGCATGAGCCACTGCGCCCAGCCAAAAAGTCATTTAAATATAAATAAAGCACACAGAAGGCGGCAGATGCAAAGTGCCGGGGGAATAACACAGACAACAATTGCTGTTAAATGGTATCAATAATGCTACTTTGAGAGGCCGAGGCGGGCAGATCACCTGAGGTCAGGAGTTAGAGATCAGCCTGGCCAACATGGCGAAACCCTGTCTCTACTAAAAATACAAAAAAAATTTAGCCAGGTATGGTGGCGTGCACCTGTAGTCCCAGCTACCCAGGAGGCTGAGGCAGGAGAATCTCTTGGACCTGGGAGGTGGAGGTTAGAGTGAGCTGAGATCACACCACTGCACTCCAGCCTGGGTGACAAAGAGAGACTCTGTCAAAAAAAAAAAAAAAAAAATCAATCATGATCAATAGTAAGGACAATAGCAGCTCCCCCTTACTCTATCTTGATGATCACACACAACAATCCTCTGCAGGGATATGAATGGTGATCCCATTTTATAGCCATGGAAACTAAGACTCAGTGGGGTTTAGGAACTCACTCCCCGGCGTGATGCTTGTACAACAGACCAGGCCGGCCTCTGGAGTGTGCAAACCCATGCAATCAGGCCCCGGGCGTGGGCTACCGCTCTGCTATCCCTGTCTTGAAGTTCTTAGTAAGTTTGACAAAGGGGCCCTGCCTTGGCATTTCAAACTGTCACCTGAGATCTGTGTGCCCTCAGGATGGTGTTCTTCATCCTGTGCTATCAGTCAAAAGGATGACTCGAGGAAGGCGCCACAGATGAGCCCTGGGCACGGAACAAGGGACAGCATGGTGCTGGCGCTCCTGGCTGAGAAAACACCATGGGGCAAAGGCCAGGGGTGGCAACGGTGGTAGAATTTGGGGGGGCACATGAGCAGATGGATTTGGCTGGAGCTGGGATTGACCCACTTGCAGGACAGAGCAGCAAATGGAAGAGTCCTTCGTAGCCCAGGGCAACAAACCAACAGCTGTGCCCAGTGGCCTCGCTGGGTTCAGGGGTCCCCCATCACACTGAGATCCACCTCCCCAAGGGAGGCAGCTTTAGGCCCAGACGCCTGCAGTCAGTGTCCAACCTCCAGATCCGTCCCCTTATCCCATACCAACAGCTGGCTACAGTCCGGCCACCAACTGCTGTCACATCAGAGTCATACATTTCTCACTTTGATGCTGAATTATCAATAGAATCCTTGAAGGTTTTGTTGGCCGGCCTGGAAGGTGGTTGGCTCCACAAAAAAGTATTGAAAATAGCACCAACTAGGCCGGGTGTGATGTCTCATGAATATAATTCCAGCACTTTAGGAGGCCGAGACAGGCGTATCGCTTGAGGTCAGGAGTTCAAGACCAGCCTGGCCAACATGGCGAAACCCCATCTCTATTAAAAATACAAAAAATAGCCAGGCATAGTGGCACGCACCTGTAATCCCAGCTACTGGGGAGGCTGAGGCAGGAGAATTGCTTGAACCCTGGAGGCAGAGGTTGTAGTGAGCCAAGACTGCACCACTGTACTCCAGCCTGGGTGACAGAGTGAGACTCCGTCTCAAAAAAAAAAAAAAAAAAAAAAAAAAAGCACCAGTTAGCTCTGGGAAGAAAACCTGACCTACCATGTTGTCAGGTTGCACAAATACTACTCTAAGGAGCCCAGTTCCTGATGCAGGCAGCTGTTATCCATTCAAAAAACAAGCCCTCGCCAGGCATGGTGGCTCATGCCTGTAATCCCAGCACTTTGGGAGGCAAGGCGGGCAGATCACTTGAGCTCAGGAGTTCGAGACCAGCCTGGCCAACATGGTAAAACTCCATCTCTACTAAAAATACAAAAATTAGCCTGGAATGGTGGCATGCGCCTATAATTCTAGCTACTCAGGAGGCTGAGGCACAAGAACCCGGGAGGTAGAAGTTGCAGTGAGCTGAGATTGTGCCACTGCATTCTAGCCTGGGTGACAGAGTGAGACTCTGCCTCAAAAACAAACAAACAAACAAAAAAAGCCCTGAGTGCAAAACGAGAGGCAGCCTGGAACCAGCAGGTGCTCAGATGCCTCCTCCAGGCCCCTGCCAGGCCTGGAGAAATTCCTTCCCTAGAGCTATGCCCCCTCCCTACAGAGAAGCACAGCCCAAGTGCAGCTGAAGGACCTGCTTCAGAGACAAGGCCTGGACTGTCCCCTGTGCCCCTTCTCCCCCATTCCAGGCCTCCAGGGAGCCCTGGCAGCCTCTTCTCAAACTCCCCCTTTCCTCAGACATGAGGTGTCCTTGGAGGTCTGGCTGTGCCCGTGCATCTCAGCCCAGGCCCGTCCTTCTCCCCGGCAGCACTGCCGGGCCTGCACATGCACCTGCGACCCCTCTCCTGCACTGTCCTTGCCTGATGAAGACATTTTCTTCCATCCAGGCCCCTGAGAGTGAAAAGGGATGGATGGTTTTCAAGGTCTGGGGAATAATTTTTAAGAGGGAGAGAAAGGAAAAGAGGGAGAGACGGAGACAGCACAGTGGAAACAGAGATGAACATCATGAGACAGGAGGAGACACAAAGGGAAACAAAAGGCGGCTTGAGAAAAACGTAAAAGAGAGCAAGTGCCAAAAACAAGAGGGCAGAATCCAGAGAGCGGAAACAGATGGAAAGGAGGGGAAAATGAGGGGAAGTGGGGAAGAGAGAAGGAAAACTAGAGGGATAAGGAGGAAAGAATGAGGCAAAAAGAGAGAGAGAGGCCAAGGCGGGAGGATAGCTTAAGCTCAGGAATTCAAGAATCCAGCCGGGCAACACAGCAAGACTCCTGTGTCTAGTAAAAATAAAAAATAAAATAAATTAGCCAAGCATGGTGGCATGTGCCTGTGGGCCCAGCTATGTGGGAGGCTGAGGCAGGAGGATCGTTTGAGTCTAGGAGGTGGAGGCTGCAGTGAGCCATGATTATGTCACTCCACTCCAGTCTGGGCAACAGAGCAAGAACCCGTATCTAAAAAAAAAAAAAAAAAAAAAAAAGGAGAAGAAGAAGAAAGAAAAGAAAGAAAGAAAGAAAAAGAAAAGAAAATATGAAGGAACAGCCTAGTGGCCCTGATGCAAACATGAAGCAGCCACATAGGGGGAGGGAAGCAGGGATGAGCGGCCAGGCTGGGGAAAGGGGCTGGAGCGGGGGGAGATGGGAAAGGGAGCTGGGGTAGTCGCTCCAAGGGTTCCAGGACTCTCTGCGCCCAAGCAAGGCAGGTCACCTGCCCCTGGCATGGACACACAAAACAACTGCACCCCCCTCACCTGCCAACCCCATCCCTCTGTGAAAGCTATGATATTCTAAATGTATAAAGGACATCTCAGAAGACAGGCCGTCCGTGCTGGACGGAGGCCATCTCGCCTTCAGGGAAACACCGCACCCTTGTCATTTCACTCACAGCTCCTGCAAAGCTCTGGTCCAGCCCCTCCACCCCAGGCCCACACTGTGGGCTCCACACGGTGCAGGCCCTGGAGCCCTCCACAGCTGCAAAGAGAGAAACGATAAGGGAATGAGATCCCGAGCCTGCTTCCTAGTCCATGCCCACACCGATGCTGCAGCTGGTCAGCCCCTCACCACGCAGGGAACTCGTCTGCCCCATTCGCTGCTGAACTCTTGGCCCAGGACAGCATCTGCCGCACAGGAGACGCCTAATCCATGTGAACTCAGACCTCCCACCTCTGGGCCTCCCGCTCCCAGGTGACTTCATTTGGCCTCATGGAGACACAATACTGGATGCCTCCAGTGCTGAACTCCACGCTCAAATCTCTAACTGCTGCTTGACCACCCCAGCAAATCCTGTTGGCTCTGCCTGCAAACGTATCCAGACTTTTTTTTTTTTTTTTCCAGAGACCGGGTCTTGCTCTGTCACCCAGGCTGAAGTGCAGTGGCACGATCACGGCTCACTGCAGCCTCAACCTCCTGGGCTCAAGTGACACACTCTTTGTCTTTTTCTTTTATTTATTTTTTTGAGATGGAGTCTCGCTATGTCGCCAGGCTCAAGGACAGTGGCATGATCTTGGCTCACTGCAACCTCCGCCACAGGTTCAAGCAATTCTCTTGCCTCAGCCTCCTGAGTAGCTGGGATTGCAGGTGTGTGCCTTCACACCTGGCTAATTTTTGTATTTTTAGTAGAGACGGGGTTTCGCCATGTTGGCCAGGCTGGTCTTGAACTCCTGACCTCAGGTGACCCACCCTCCTGGGCCTCCCAAAGTGCTGGGATTATAGGCGTGAGCCACCACGCCCGGCCCAGACTCTTAATTCATGTAGCAACTTGGACAAATCTCCAGGGAAGTATGTGAGTGAAAACAGCCAATCCCAAAGGGTCACAGACTGCACCGTTCCATTTATAGAACATTTTTGAAATGGCAAAATCTTAAAAATGGAGGGCAGATGAGTGGTAGCCAGGGGTTGGGCAGGGAGTTGGAGGACAGGAAGGGTTAGGGTGGTTATAAAGGACAGCACAGGGGACCTGGCGGGACCCTGCTCAGTGTCTTGGCTGATAGAAGTAAATTGTATGGAATGGGTACAAACCTACAGGACTTATGCCATATGCAAATGAGTCCAAGTCGGACTGGGGAGCTCTGCATGGGATCAGCAGGTCAGATTCATGTTGCTATCCTGGTTGGGATATTGTGCTATGGTTTTGAAGCATGTTACCACTGGGGACAACTGGGCACAGAAAGGGATCTCTCTGTGTTCTTTTTCCAGGCAGGATCTCACTCTGTCGCCCAGGCTATAGTGCAGTGGTGCAATCACAGCTCACTGCAGCCTCAACCTCCCAGGCCCAAGCAATCGTCCTACCTCAGCTTCCCAAATGCCTGGAACCCCAGACATATGCTACTATGCCCAACTAATTCTTTTCTTTTGAGATGGGGGTCTCCCTATGTTGCCCAGGCTGGTCTCGAAATCCTGGGTTCAAGCGATCCTCCCGCCTCAGCCTCCCAAAGTGTTGGGATTACAGGCGTGAGCCACCGCGTCCGGCCTCTCCATGTTATTTCTTGTAACCGAATGTGAATCTACAATGTTCTCAAAAGAAAATTTCAATTAACACGCACACACATCCAGAGTTGGCTACACCTCCCCACCTCCTCCTGCCCCCCTCAACCTGCGCCAGGCCACCAGCACGTCTCCTGGACCATTCCAGCGGCTCTAAGCTCCCTAAGCTCCACACCGCACACCTGGCATCTTCCCTCTACATGCAGCAGAGCGGTCCCAGTAAAACAAGGGCTGAGCAGGTCTCAGAGCCTCCAGGCTGAGCCTCCCACTGGCCCCAGAGCCTACTCCCTCCACTTCTTCCCTCCCCCAGAGCACCAGCCACCTGGCTCTCAAGTCACCTCCCCAGAGGCTCTCCCTGGCCCCTGTCTCCTCCTCCTCAGACACCTCTCCTTTCCCTTCCTTACAGGGCTCTCCCTGGGGCATATCACACACTAGGCCATCGCCAGGGCCAGGAGCAGGCGGCCTCTACTCCTTCCACGCCAAGGGTCTGAACAGTGCCTAGCTCACACAGGTGGTTCAAAGATAAGTGCAGTCGGCCCTCCACATCCGTGGGTTCCACATCCATGCGTTCAACCAACATGAATCAAAAATATTCAAAACCGAGGCTAGGCGTGGTCGCTCAAGCCTGTAATCTCAGCCCTTTGGGAGGTCAAGGCGGAAGGATCACTGGAGCCCAGGAGTTCAGACCAGCCTGGGCAACATAGCAAGACATTGTCTCTACATTAATAATAATAATAATAAATTAGCCGGGCATGGTGGCACACCTGTAGTCTCTCAGCTACTTGCGGGGGGCTGAGGTGGGAGGATTGCTTGAGCCCAGGAGGTCAAGGCTGCAGTGAGCTGAGATCTCACCACTGCACTCCAGCCTGGGTGACAGGGCAAGATTCTGTGTCACACAATAATAATAATAATAATAATAGCAAGAGCCTGTCTCTACAAAAAATACAAAAGTTAGCCAGGCGTGGTGGCACATCCCTGTAGTCCCAGCTACTCAGGAGGCTGAGGTGGTAGGATTGCTCGAGCCCAGAAGTTTGAGGCTGCAGTGAGCTATGATCTGTGTCACTGCATTCCAGCCTGGGCGAAAGAGTGACTGTCTCACCAAAAAAAAAAAAAAAAAAATTCAAGAAAAAAAAAAAAGGATGGTTGTATCTGTACTGAACATGTTCTGATTTTTGGTCATTATTCCCCAAACAATACAGTGTAACAGCTATCTATATAGCATTTACTTTGTTTTTTTGTTTTTGAGACAGAGTCTCACTCAGTCACCCAGGCTGGAGCACAATGGCGCGATCTTGGCTCACTGCAACCTCTGGCTCTTGGTTTCAAGTGATTCTCCTGCCTCACCCTCCCAAGTAGCTGAGATTACAGGCGCTTGCCACCATGCCCGGCTAATTTTTCTATTTTTAGTACAGACAGGGTTTCACCATGTTGGCCAGGCTGGTCTCAAACTCTTGACCTCAGATGATCCACCCACCTCGGCCTCCCAAAGTGCTGGGATTACAGGTGTGAGCCACCATGCCCGTCCAGCATTTACTTTGTATTAGGTATTATAAGTAATCTAGAGATGATTTAGAGTATATGGAAGGATGTATGTAAGTTATATGCAAATTCTCTCTATATATTCTCTGTATTAGAGACTCAAGCACCCATGGATTTTTGATAACTGAAAGGGGTTCCTGGAGCCAAGCCCCATGGATACCAGGGATTACTGTACTAACTTGAATGAATGAATGAATGAAGATGGGGTGGAGGTTTGGCAGCAGAGTTAAGCCTGGCCCAGGGGCTGGAGTTGCTAGTTCTTGGCAGCTCCCGGAGCAGACAAGCAGGCTAAGAGGGGACTGTGTGGGGACGGGATGGGCATGGAGGTGGATGGAAGGAAGCTCCAGGCAGCAACACTGTGGGGTGGTCTCCAGGCTCAAGAACCCTAGAGACAGAGGGAAAGAGGAGAACATCCTGCTGGCTGAGCCGCCCACCCTCACCCCACCATGGACATTCTCAACAGAACCAGAAATGGGGGACTGCTGATGGGGAATAACTCACTTCTCAGGGCACAAAGCCTTAGAGGCTTCCCACTACCTGCCCATTCCCTCAGTGAGACTCATGTTGCTTATGGGAATAAGGGTGGAAGTGGAGGTGGGGGTCACAGAGGACCTCGAATTTGCACTTTGACATCCCCCACCAAAGCCCCAGAGCTGCTAGCATTGAGAGCAGAGTCCCTTCATCCAGCGCAGTAAACTGTCCCATTTCCAAATCCCTCAGATGGCAGCGGTCCCCCTTCCTAGCTGTGTGACCTTGGCCAAGTTACTAACCTCTCTGTGCCTCTGTTTTCTCATCTAAAAATGGGGGCTAATAATTGCTCCTACCTCATAGGGCATTATGCTCATATAACGGAAAGTGCTTAGAAAATAGCGTTCAGCTGGGTGAGGTGGCTCAAGCCTGTAATCCCAGCACTTTGGGAGGCTGAGGCAGGCGGATCACCTGAGGTCCGGAGTTCAAGACCAGTCTGACCAGCATGGAGAAACCCCGTCTCCACTAAAAATACAAAATTAGCCAGGTGTGGTGGCGCATGCCTGTAATCCCAGCTACTCGGGAGGCTGGGGCAGGAAAATTGCTTGAACCCGGGAGGCCCAGGTTGCGGTGAGCTGAGATCGCGCCATTGCACTCCGGCCTGGGCAACAAGAGCGAAACTCTGTCTCAAAAAAAAGGAAGAAAATACTGCTCAATGAGTGAAGGCTCATTTCATTCTGAACAGGGCTCCCTGAATTCATATGCTTCTAAAATGCCATCATTAGCTTGTGAACAGCACAAACGTACAATGTTATAATGTTGCATTTTAAGTAATTAAATGCATTCAGTTTCAAAATATGAACATTTAAACTAAATCACAGTTACGGGAGCCAGTTCTGATACTGCTTCAATGTTTAACTTACAAGGAGGCTTGAAAATTACAAGTGCCAGAACATCTCTCAGCCACTAAGTGATGTGACTCATCAATCAATCAATCAGAGGGCCTGGCACACAGTAGGTGCTCAATAAATGACTGCTGGCCAGAGAGTGAGAGCTTATAGGAGGCCACATGTCAGGCACAAAGATGCTGGCAGGCAGCCCTGCAAGCAGCGCCCCCATGTCTCTCCAAGCACTGACCACTGTCATCTGAGCCCCTCCTGCCCCGTACCAATGCACACACTTCCAGGGGCACTGCCCAAGGCCTCTGGAGCCAGGTCTAGGCCAGCAAAGAGCTACCAGACACAAAAGGGACAAGGAGGCTGGAAGACTGTGATCACCAATCCTGATCAGGGTGGCACCTTGAAATTGGTGCTTGGAGATGCCCAGCCCCGAAACAGCCACCTCCCTGCTCCAGCTTCTCACTCCATTTAAAAACCAGCATCTCCCTCTCCGGCTGAGGTTCCCAGGTTAATTATTAGGATTCCCTAAGTAACAGGAACTTTGACCTTGACTTTGGGCCTGGCAGCATGACAAGGTGTGATGTTATCAGCCAGAACAGGCATCGGGATGAACTCACTGCCTAATGAGACACGGTTTATTTTCCCAGCAGAAAGTTGACCAGGAACAGAGCCAAGTACTTCCCAGGCTCCGTGGGCATCAAAGGGATTGCACCTTTTCCAGACCCAATCCACAGCTGCAGGCAGCAGGCAGGAGTCTGCACTGACAAACGACTCACCTCTGCACACTGCTTGATTCCAGAACCTGCGTTCTGACACCGATCACACCTGCCATCCCCTGCCGGGCCCAACCTCACTCAGGAATGCCTGCGACCCAGCAGCCTGTCGTGGGCTGTGCTGCGAATGCCACACATGGGCCAGGCTCTTCCCTCCCGCAGGCCTTTCCCAGCCTGTCCTCTGCAGCTTCCCTTGAGCTCGTTCCTCTTTTTCTCTGTGAGGCATGGAAGTGAGATGCATGCAGCCCACCTTGTTATTATCCGCTGATAGTTTCTGCCTGTGAGTTTTATTCTCCAGAGAGACCCTAAGCCCAGGCGGGGACCCAGGTCCTCCATTTATTCATCCTCAGGTTCATGGCTGTTGTTACTAACAGTTCCCACGTACCAAGTGTTGCTCTCTAGTGACACAGTCAAAAGCGTCCCTGGGGGGCCCTCCTGTGGGCGCACTTATGCCCTGATGTGGACATCAGGGCTCAGAGAAGGGCAATGGGTGCCCACGGCCCAGCCTGGGCCGGCCAGGCTGGTGGACGGCAGACAGACTCAGACCTGTCCTAGCCCTGCCGGCCCACACCCTTCCCCTTCCCCTTCCAGTCTGAGGAGGAAGGGGTCCCAGGAAGGTCTCTTGGAGGAGCCAGAGATGCAGGTGGAGGTGGGGCACGAAGGGGGATGCGAGGATTGTGGCCTGGGGGACAGGGGGCACAGTGAAGGTTTGTGATTGTGTAGGTGACACACAGAGAGACATGGGACAGAGACACAGGCAGGAGAGACGAGGAGATGGAGTGGCACAGATAGGGATGCAGAGACACATGGAGAGACGCAGAGACAAGCAAGATGAACGCAAGAGACATGGATCCAGGCAGTGACACAAAGATAGAGACAGACCAGAATACCAACAGAGATGGAGATGGGAAGAGAGACAGCAGGAAACAGAATTGTTGGGGATGCAGAGCCAGAGGCCGAAATCTCCACCAAGCAGGGCTGGGGGTGAGGGTGGGGCCTTGCCTGGGCCCCTCCCCCAGTGGTCAAGATGGAATGGAGGGCTGAAGATGGGAGGAAGTGGGAGAGGTGGGACCCAAGACACCCCTGGCGGGTGTGCCCAGGTGGGCGTGGCTAGCCCAACCCCTCATGACCCAGCATGGCTTGAGACACACCACGAACCCGGCCACCCCTGAGCACCGGCGTGCTCCTGGCATGAGCAGTGTGGAGGGGCTGACCCAGATGGGCAGCAGCTCAGAGGCGAGTGAGCCACTCCATTCAATTCCTGCAGGCGAGATCCATGGTGGCCGACATCAGCGCATGGCAGGAAGCAGGCGACAGGTTATTCTGTAAAAAGCAGCTTCAGGACTTGGCTTTGGCAGCCTTGAAGACGTCAGAGACACACCTACGGTGCCGCATGGTGGGGGGGGTTTGGAACAATCAGCCCCTCCAGAGAGAGCTGTCTACAAAAGCAATCCTCGCAGCCCACCCTAACTGAGCACCTACTATGTGCTAGCGCTGTGCCAAGTGCATAAGTGAATCCCTTCAGGCAGCCTGGAGCTCAGGACTGCAGGCTCTGGAGCCAGGCAGCCTGGGGACACCTCTTCTACCTCCTCCCGCTGACTGTGGGGAGAAGCTCCACCTCCTGCTGCCTCAGTTGCTCTTTATAAAATGGGGCCAATGATAGCAACTTGCCTCACTACACAGCAGCTGAGCAGGTGAGTAATGAGGTCAGCGCAGAGCGTCCGGGTGCCTGCCTCACGTGAATACTCAACAAAGCACGCCACTCTCCACAACTTATGCGCCTCAGCTGCTAGAACAGCGCCCACATCAGAATACTGCTACATAGAAGCTGCCAAATGGAAAGCAAATCATGCACGTTCAAATCCTCGACCTGAGGCCATGAGGCTGGAGAACTGCCACCCATTTCACAGAGGGGGAGGTTGAGACTCTCCCAAGGCCATGGAGCCGGCCAGCAGCACCACCAAGATACAAAACCCGGGACTGTTTGGCTCCAGAATTCCTGCTTTCATATATTTTTTAACTTTGTATTCTTTTCCATATTTATAAGGAAACTTTTTCATATTTATAGGAAACATATAAAAGCAATGAGGGGACTATGATGAGTCCCCACGTACCATCACCCAGTCTTGACAGCTGTCATTCTTCTGGGCCAGTGGTCCTTAACTCGGGGCAATTTTGCCCCCGGGGACAGCTGGCAATTTATGGACTCCTTTTTGGTTGTTACACTGCGGGGAGGGTACATCTAGCGAGTGAGGCTAGAGATGCGGCAAAACACCCACCAGTGCACAAAACATCCCCGAGTATACAAAACATCTACAGTGCACAAAACACCCCCCAGTACACAAAACACCTCCCAGTACACAAAACATCCCCAGTACACAAAACACCCTCCAGTACACAAAACACCCCCAGTACACAAAACACCCCCCAGTACACAAAACACCCCCCAGTACACAAAACACCCCCAGTACACAAAACACCCCCCAGTACACAAAATGGTCCCCACAGCAAAGAAGGACCTGGCCCCAAATGTCCACAGTGCTGAGGTTGTGAGGCCTGGTCTGCATCCTTGCTCTTGGTTATCCCCCTCCAAATGCTACAGGAACTGGATCCGCAATCTTAAGGGCGAATGGGGTTTGCATTATGATACGAGGAGCTGCGAGGGACAGAGTTTCTCTATGATGAGTGACCCTGAAGGTGACATTCCGATTAGAAAGGGGGGTGTTGGCTGGGTGAGGTGGCTTACACCTGTAATCCTTTTGGGAGGCTGAGGCAGGCAGATAACTTGAGGTCAAGAGTTCGAGACCAGCCTGGCTAACATGGCGAAACCCTGTCTCTACTAAAAATACAAAAATTAGCTGGGCATGGTGGTATGTGCCTGTAGTCCCAGCTACTTGGGAAGCTGAGGCAGGAGAATTGGTTGAACCCGGGAGGCGGAGGTTGCAGTGAGCTGAGATCACACCACTACACTCCAGCCAGGGTGACAGAGCAAGACTACGACTCAAAAAAAAAAAAAAAAAAAAAAATGAAAGGGGATGTTGTTAGCTGCATTCATTGACACTTCATATAAGACTAAGAAAACATCATGTGTTTGGCTCAAAAAGTAGGAGTGCCAGGTGGAAAGAATGTGGGGGGTGTAGAGGGATCCCACCAACTGCCTCCCTTGGCACTCACCCAGAACCCCTTTTGCAAAGTGAACCCAGACCAGCCGTGGGCCCTGGCACCCCTCACATCCTTGATGATGTCCCCCGCTGAGGAGACTCAAATGCCAGGCTGGGCAGGGAGAGGTGGGTACCCACCCACGAGTTCATGTCCTGGGTCCTCTGGGTGCTGCCCGGTCACTGCAGATCATTGCCAAGGCCCAGATGCAGGCCCCTGAACCAAGGGCCCTGAGGAGATTTATTTAAGCCTCTCAGACCTGTTTTCAAAATCAGTTGATTTCACAGAAAATCTGCATCCGCTCTTTTAAAATGTGCAAGGCCTCGGCCGGGTGCAGTGGTTCACACCTGTAATCCCAGCACTTTGGGAAACCAAGATGGGCGGATCACTTGGGGTCAGGAGTTCAAGACCGGCCTGGCTAACATGGCAAAACCTCATCTCTACTAAAAATACAAAAATTAGCCAGTCATGGTGGCGGGCACCTGTAGTCTCAGCTACTTAGGAGGCTGAGGCAGGAGAACTGCTTGAGCGTGGGAGGAAGAGGTTGCAGCGAGCTAAGATCAGGCCACCGCACTCCAGCCTGGGCAACAGAGTGTAACTATAAAAAAGAAAAAAGAAAACACACACACACACACACACAAAGCCACAAAAAGCGCAAGGCCTGGCCACTCTGGTCTCTGTTCCAGGCTGCAGCTGAGGGCCCCGCCTCCCCTGCCAGTCACAGCCCCAACCTGGCCTCTCTGCATCACTCAGGGCCTTGCCTGGTCTCAGTGAGTGTTTGAATTTCAGTTCCTGGGGTGTGAAGAATGTGGGACTCTGGAATCAAATGGGCCAGGCCCTGGCTTTGTTAAAATGTTCTAACTCCTCTGATCCTCGGTTTCCTCACCTGAAGAGTCGGAATGGAGACAGTTACTCCGTACCGGGTGGCCTGGGGATGAACCAAGTAGGGCAGGTAAGTGCTGCTTGTGGTGGCCCAAAGACAGCCCAGAACACTCCAGCAGCATCAGAACTCTCATCACCATGGCAAAGACAAGACACAGGCCCCACCCTTGAGCAGCTCTCAGGCTAGGGGAACAACAGGAGAAAATGCAGATGAGGCCATGTGCCCGCCAGGCAATGAACGAGGGTTTGGGTTAGGGGACCCCAGAGGAAGGCTGGCTGGGGGAACCCAGGCGGCTTCCCAGGGGTGGGACCGTGTGACTGGGGCTTTGAACAATAATGAACATTGCCAGGTGGGGAGCGGGAAGGGTTTTCCAGGGAGGGGAACCGGCATGTGCAAAGGCCGCAAACAATGTCCAACAACCCCAGGATGGCAGGGCTGGGCCCAGGGCACTGCTGCCACAGGGGATGCCCCTGACGGTGGTGCTGCTTTGAGAGAAGGGCATGTTGAGGGTCCCACCAACCAGGGCAAAGTTGGGGTGCTTCCACATAGGGCCCAACAAACAGCACCCCCCCAAAAATGAAAACTTCTTGTTGTCGGAAGGAACTTTCTCCCCTCTCATCCTCAAAATCTCAGCAAGAATGAAATGCCTGAAAAACACAATTTGATTCCCAAACCAGCCTGCCAGGAACCCTCCGTCCCCCTATAGCACTCCACCAAAGACCTTGAAGGAAACGAACCCGGGAGGTCCCTGGGAGCCGTGGGGAGGGGGCTGGTAGGTGGGGGCTGGGACCCGGCACCCCTCGGCCCTCCACAGTCGTGGTCCTCATATTTGCTATCTGCTCCTGCTGCATTTTTACTGCAAGGGCTGATGGGGGCAGCAGGAGAAGCAGTGGCTGGTTCAGGGCCGGGAGAAGGCGCCTCACAATTTCCTCTCCCTTCTTGTTTGTGTCTTACCCAGCCTCCACCACCAGATAAAGCTGAGCTGTCGGGCTCCCTCCCCGAGTCACCTCCTGCAGGGGGATTCTGCAGGGGAGAGACCCAGCACCCCCCACCACTTGCAGGGCTGGACAGGAAGGGGAGAGGAGGCAAGGGGCGGGAGCTGGGGGGGTCGCTGGGGAGGGGAGCACGCTGAGCCTGGCACTGACGACTCCTACAGGCAGCCCGGGCAGGGCAGCTCCGCCCATGGCCTCATTACCTCCCTTACAGCCTTGAAAATCCTCTCCAGCCTTCCAGTGCCTGGACACGCCCCCTAAGAAATCTGGGAGGCAGGCAAGAAGCCTTCAGAACATCTGCTGATGACTATTTATTGAACACCTACTATGTGCTCTACCGGGGGGGAGACTCAAACACACCAGCAGGCACCAAGAGTGAGCACGGTAGGCCAGATGCTGGCTGGGCAGGGACGCCGCTCAGGGGCCCACTCAAACCTCTGCTTCTTCATGAGAAGCCACAAGGGCAAAGTTGGGGTGCTTCCAGATAGGCCTCAACAAAGAGCAACCCCCCCAAATAAAAACTACTTGCTGTCAGAAGGAACTTCCTCCCCTCTCATCCTCAAAAATCTCACATGAAATTTGCTTTTTGGCAACTAACTCAAGTTAAATATATCCATATACCACGCTGGCCGAAGAGCAAGTGTGGTTGAGGCAGAACTAGCCCAAAGATCTCGAGTTTGCAGCCTTGGCAGTTGAAGTTTCAGTCCCTGCCCTTGGGAAGCTCACAGAGGGAGGTAGAGACACACCTGACCAGCTGACCAAGGTCAAAGCTGGATCAAATCCCAGCTCTGCCAGTTACACTGTGTGACTCTGAGCAAGTGAAGAGCCCCCTCTGAGCCTCAGGTCCTTTCTTTGTAAACTAGAATAATAGCATCTGCCTCTGGTGTTGTTACAGGAAATTGAGATGAGGCACAGAAAGCCCTTCGTATACAGTAGGGGCTCAATATAACTATTGGCTGTTAGTCATGTTGCTGTTTAGAGTTGAAGAGTTCCAACCAGGGCTGGTGCATAAAAGTGGAGAAGATGCCGCTCTACTTCTCCCTGGTCTCAAATCCTCCACAGTGGAGGGGACGAAGAGGTACAGGTCATCAGCCTAAAGTCCAGAGCTGGGGCTATGCTGGCTGCAGCCCATGGTACAACACAGTTTTATTATTTTTAATTTTTTAGAATAGAGACAGGGTCTCACTGTGTTGCCCAGGCTGGTCTCGAACTCCTGGGCTCAAGTGATCCTCCTGCCTTGGCCTTCCAAAGTGCTGGGATTACAGGTGTGAGCCACTGCTCCAGCCACAACATGTTTTTCCACACAGTATTCAACAGTTAGAAAAATACTGACTTTTTGACATGGGAAGATTCATAAAACAAAAAACAACAACAACAAAAAACCCTCCAAATGTCCAGCTTTCTCCCCCATATAGGAAAACCTGGTGACCACTGGCCGCCATTTATGCGAGGCTGGCGCCAGGCAAAGGTTCCACTCCTGTACACGAGGCATGGGGTCTGCAATTCGCCACAGTCCCCACCACTCCCTCCTGTCTCATGCCCAGAAGACTCACTCACTCATTGCTGTTACCAGATCACCCTGGGAGCGCTGCAACTGTGGGACCAGGTGACATCTCACACCCTGCCTGTCCTGGCTCTGCTTTGCTCCAAAGCCACCCTGGCTCCCCTCCAGCCCCTCTGCCCATCTTTCTTTCTGGGAAGGTCTCAGCAAGCACGGTCTCCCCAGGCCTCTGCTGCCCTGGTGGGGGTAGGGGTGAACAGGTGGGCCAGGCAGCCCCGAGTCCCAGCCAAGCTTCCCTCCCCCAGGGCAGCATCGCTCTGTGCAGGAGTCAGGAGTTGGCCCAGTCAGCTTTGCTGTCAGCCAAAGAGCTTCCCTGGGAAGCACCGTGTTCTTCTCCATCAGAAAAATTAATCAAAATGACACCTCGTGAACAAGATGTTTTGGCGGCAGAAAACAAACAGTGGTTTACAACAAATTAGTGAGGCTGCTCTGTGCCCCTGGGCACGTGAGCCAGGAGGAGGGCCGGCCTGGCATGGTCAGCAGGAAGCTGGCCCGGCCAAGGGGACACCTGCTGTGGCCTCTGTGCACTTCCGAGGTCCGCAGCCCGCAGGGCTCCAGCCCCATTTCACACTTTCACTTCCGCACATGCCTGAAACCATCTCCAGATGTGAGGGGCCCTCCGCAAGCAGGCGCTGGGCTGATGGCTGCCCCCTCTAGCAGGGTCTCAGGGACATTTGTCTGGAAGACCTGGGCCCCTTTCTGGAGACTCTTTTCTTTCCTCTGACCGGACAAGGGCCCTGAGACCTGGCAAGGGGAGGATTCCAGAGAGCTCAGGGCACAGCATTAGATATTTCCAGGGGAGGAAACATTCCAAACAACCAAACCTGCAGCCTGGAGGGCACCCACGTGCCCTGCTCAGCTCTGGTGTTCAAGTCCTAAGACGTCACAGACCCCGAATGCCAGCCTGAGCTCAGAGCAGAGAACGAGCCCTGGTTTCTTGCCAAGTGAAGCAAATTTGGCCAAGTCCCTCCCCTGCTACAAGAATCGCCCTTAGAATAGTGTTAAATTCCTCTGTGTGGCCTTGAGACCCTGCACAATCTGGTCCCTGCTACCTCCCAGACCTTCTCTCTCTCCACTCTGCCCTGGCTCATGCAGGCAGCCCACGCTGGACTAGCAATTTCTCAAGCACCAAGCTCAGGTGTGTTGCAGAGATTCTGCAATGGCAGTTCCCTTGGCCGGGAGCGCTCTTTCTTCTGACTCCACACCCACACTTACTCATCATCTAGCTCTCAGCTTCCACAGCCCCTCCTCAGAGGCCACTCCTGACCCCTCAGACCTGGGATCCCTTTTAATTTTTTGTACATTTTATTTTGCAGAGACAGGGTCTCACTCTGTCACCCAGGCTGGAGTGCAGTGGTGCAATCTCGACTCACTGCAGCCTTGAACTCCTGGGCTCAAGCAATCTTCCCACCCCAGCCTCCCAAGTAGCTGGGACCACAGGCACGCACTACCATGCCCAGCTAAAGGGCCCCCTTTAGAAACAGCCATCTAACTGAATTTTCTGTTTTTTTTTGTTGTTGTTGCTATTGTTTGAGACAGAGTCTTGCTCTGTTTCCCAGGATGGAGAGCAGTGGTACGATTATGGCTCACTGCAGCCTTGACCTCCTGTGCTCAAGTGATCCTTCCACCTCCTGAGTAGCTGGGAATACAGGCATGCACCACCACCCCTGGCAAAGTTTTGTATTTTTTTTGGTAGAGATGGGGTTTCGCATATTGCCCAGGCTGGTCTGGAACTCCTGGGCTCAAGTGACCCACCCACCTAGGCCTCCCAAAGTGCTGGGATTACAGGCGTGAGCCACCGTGTCCCACCTGTAACTGAATTTTCTTTGAATTTGGTCACTGTCTGTATTCTTGCACCAGACACAAGCTCCCTGAAGAGATCACAGCTCTCTACCAAGGCAATATGTGATGGAAAGAAGAACGTGGATTCATATCCTCATGTCCAACTGTGTGATCCTGGGTAAGTTACTTACCCTCTCTATGCCTCAGTTTCCTCAGCTGTAAGATGGAGATAGAAATAGCACCTCCCTTGTGGGATGTTATGAGGATTGACAAGCTGAAAACAGTGCCTGGCACAGCAGGGCTGGCTCTGTCAGCTGCCCCGTGATTCCCGCTCACCGCTGAGCACTAAGTGTTGAGTCTGTCCTGGACCACTCCATTCCTCACAAGCAAAGCTGGCTTTTCAACCGGGTGCAGCGGCTCACACCTATAATCCCGACACTTTGGGAGGCCGAGGTGGGTGGATCACTTGAGGTCAGGAGTTCGAGACCAACTTGGCCAATGTGTCGAAACTCCGTCTCTACTAAAAATACAAAAATTAGCCAGGCATTGTGGTGCGCGCCTGTAATCCCAGCTACTCGGGAGGCTGAGGCAGGAGAATCGCTTGACCCCAGGAAGCGGAGGTTGCAGTGAGCTGAGATCACTCTACCGGCTGGCTTTTCAGGTGGCCGACGCTCTTCCGCTCCATGCTCGGAATCCCTCCTGAGAGTTCCGGAGCTTTCCTCCTCTGCTTTAGCGTGGGCCCTCATCATTTTCCATCAAATCCAAACAGTTTTCTAGCAAGCAAAGCCTCTCATGAACCTGCCCGTGCCGGCTCACTGACTCAGTCAGACTCTCTGAGGCTTAATTTTTTTTTGAACTTTAAAGATATTATTTTAAGCTGGGCGTCGTGGGTCACGCCTGTAATCCCAGCACTTTGGGAGGCCGAGGTGGGCAGATCACCTGAAGTCAGGAGTTCGAGACCAGCCTGGCCAACATGGCAAAACCCTGTCTCTACTAAAAATACAAAAATTAGCCTGGCGTGGTGGTGGGTGCATGTAATCCCAGCTACTCAGGAGGCTGAGGCAGGAGAATCGCTTGAACCCGAGAGGCGGAGGTTGCAGTGAGCCAAGATTGCACCACTGCACTCCAGCCTGTGCGACAGAGTGAGACTGTCTCAAAAAAAAAAAAAAAAAAAAAAAAAAGAGAGAGAGACTGAACGTGACCAGATCATGCACCCTCTTGCAGGCCATGACAAGGAGTTTGGATTTTATTCTGAGGTCACTGAGAAGCCATCTCGGAACAATTCAAAATAACGTTAAGATCTCAAAAAGGTATTATTTTAATAATATCTAGTAAATTAGAGACGTGGTCTCCCTATGTAGTTCCCAGCTCAAGTGATCCTCCCACCCTGGCCTCCCAAAGTGCTGGGATTATGGGTGGAAGCCACTGTGCCTGGCTGTCTCTGAGGCTTACAAAGGCTAAGAGACTTGCCCATGGTCACACAGCTAAGACATGTCACAGAAGGGGCTTAGCTACAATAAAAGAGAGGGGCAATTCTTATTAAAACCTCACAATGTTATAACGATCAATATAAAAGCATAACTAAAAACTTTTCGTTTATATAGTGCAGCATGAAAATGTGGACTTTTGTGCCATGAAATACATGTGTTGTAGCATGGTCATGCGTACATTTTTGTGGCTGGGTGCCAAGGGCCTGGGGCACAGGCTGGCTCCGTCTGTGGAGCAAATGCCTCTTTCTCAGGCAGCTCAAAGGTAGGGCTGAGAGGCCAGGATCCAGTCGGAAAGCTGGCTGAGGGGGATCGCTAGTATCCACAGGTCACTTCCTGCACCGGACCCCTCGGGCCAGCCCAGGCCACAGGCAATGTCCACACCAGCACCAAGTCACCTGGGCAGCGGGCAGCCTGCCCTCTCTGGGGGCTGCGCCTCTGGTGAGTGGTGTGGCTCCTCCCATGGGGGCAGAAGCCCATGCCAGCATTCCCGTGGGGCCACCCAATATCCTTGTCCCACCTCAGCCCTCTCCACTCCATGGACCCTTTGGAGGCAGCACGGGTGGGTGAGGAACAGACAGCCCAGGGGCGCCACATGGCCAGGTCACCCTGACTGGCTGCTGCGTCTGGATGGTCACTGTTCGGGCCAGCCTGGGGTCGGGGGAGGCCTCAAACACCTGCCTCAGGGGGGCAGTGGGGTCCTGGGGGAGAGACCAGGAGAGAAACCAAAGCTCTCCGAGCCCCCGGCTGCCTGGGCCTCTCAGACCTATGCCGGGCATTGGAACAGGCCCCGGGAGAAGGGCTTGGTGGAGATCCAAGCCCTTGGTGGAGACTGGAATGTCAGCCTCTGAGGGTGATGGCCCTTCAGGGTCAAGGAAAGGAGGTGTCCACCCTGGGGGAGGAGGCGCTGAGGGGAACTGACTACAGATGGCACAAAATCCCAGCTTTGAAATAATCAAGATGGAAGACACTGAGAATGCCTGGGCACCCTACGAGGACTCTCACCTCCCAGAGAGCAGGTCCGGCGGTCAGGGAGGGCATAGAATGGACCAATGGGGTGCAGGGCACCAGCTCTGGGCCCAGACATCACAAGTTCAAATCCCAGCTCCACCATTTTCTGGGTGGGCAAGCAACTTAACCCCTCAGTGACTCGGTTTCCTCATCTGTAAAACAGGAACAATGACCACACCCTCTTCACAGGGTGGGGTGTGAGGCGACTACAGAGTCGGCCCCAACACCAGCGGTGATGATCATCATTCTGCAAGGGCCCCTCCAGCTCACACCCTGGAGCAGCCACAGCCCTGGAGCCTTCAGGTCTGCACACACATACGCACACACTAGGCTGCACCACCTCCCCCAGACAAAGCCCTTGTGGGGCCAAGAACAACACACTGGGGTTGCTGAATGACTCACCCACCCCTGGCCAGGACGCGCTTCCTGGAACAAGTCACTGCAGGTAGGTCTAGGGGGCTCTCCAAGGCTTAGCAAGGCCCAGTGTGGCGGAGAGGAGAGGGTGCAGGTCCCAGCATGCCCCAGCCACACCCCGGGGGGGGATGCCACATCCCTGCAGCAGGAGTGCTGGGGGGACCTCAGTTTCACACCCCACAGGCCTGGATTCCAAACCCAGTAGTGACTCTGGATAGGTGATTCTCCATCTCCAAGCCT
The DNA here is from genome assembly GCF_000001405.40 of Homo sapiens. NCBI lineage: Eukaryota > Metazoa > Chordata > Mammalia > Primates > Hominidae > Homo > Homo sapiens. The sequence goes on along the minus strand of NC_000020.11, from coordinate 50,844,636 downwards.
CAGTCTCTGCCTCTGTAAATGGGAACACTAGCACCAACCTCATCGGGATGACTGTGCAGACTGCAAGAAGTGTATTAAATGACAGGCAGGACCCACTGTTAGGATACTTGGGTTCTAACAGGACATGGGCAGCCAAGGTCCTGTGTCCTTTCTGCCCCCCATGTGTCTTAAATTTGTTTTTTGTTTTTTTTAATTTTCAGAGATAGGGTCTTGTTCTGTTGTCCAGGCTAGAGTGTAGTGAGTGGCATGATCATGGTTCATTGCAGTCTCAAACTCCTAGGCTCAAGTGATCCTCCTACCTCAGCCTCCTGAGTAGCTAGGGCCACAGGTGCATGCCATCACACTTGGATACTTTTTTGTAGAGACAAGGTCTTGCTTTGTTGCCAAGGCTGGTCTTGAACTCAAGCAATCCTCCCACCTTGGCCCCCCAAAGTGGTGGGATTATAGCCATGAGCTACCACATCTGGCCCCTAATGTGCTTTTTTTTGTGAGACAGGGCCTCACTCTGTTACCTAGGCTGAGTGCAGTCATGCGATCTCGGCTCACCGAAACCTCCACCTCCCAGGCTAGGCTCAAGTGATCCACCCACCTCAGCCTCCTGAGTAACTGAGACCACAGGGATGCGCCACCATGCCCAGCTAACTTTTCTATTTTTTGTATAAATGGGGTTTTGCCATGTTGCCCAGGCTGGTCTTGAACTCCTGGGCTCAAGTGATCCACATGCCTTGGCCTCCCAAAGTGCTGGTATTACAAGCATAAGCCACCGTGCCCGGCCCCAAATGTGCTTTTAAAGCCGTCAGTGGGAAATGTCACTCGGGAATGGTCACCATAAGTTGAGGGAGAGGACAAAGGATGCAGTTCATGACTTCATTGTCTTTGGAAAGCAAAGAAATGGAGTTTGTCTGAAGAGGGGCAATCCCAGAGGGCTTCTCACAGGAGATGTCTTTAACTTGGTCTCTGAAGGAGCAAGAGGAGTTCCTAGACCATGAGATCTGGGAGGCCACTGTCCAGCTGTTACAAGCTTGGGCAAAACACTCACCTGGAAGCAGGCAGGTGAACAGCACATGCCTCAGGCAGGTGAACAGCACATGCCTCAGGCAGGTACAATGAGGCCAGGAGCCTGTGACTGGAAAGCACATGCCCTATCAGGCATTTCAAGTCACAATGTTTAAATACATTGCCTGGCCAAATAGAATGAGTTGACATGGGCCAAATTCTGCCCACGGGCAGAACCCCTGACACTTTCTGAAGTTTCATTTCCTCACCTGTTAAATGGAGATACTGTTAGTACCCAGCACACAAGATGGCTGGGAAAGATAAATGAATTACTGCATATAAAATGCCTAACGCAGAGCCTGGAACCTTGTAAGCACTCAATAAGGCCAGGCATGGTAGCTCATGCCTGTAATCTCAGCACTTTGGGAAGTCAAGGCAGGAGGATCGCTGAAGTCCAAGAGATGGAGACCAGCCTGGGCAGCAAAGCGAGCCTCTGTCTCTACAAAAAGAAAAATTAGCCAGGTGTGATGGTGCGTGCCTGCAGTCCCAACTACTTGGGAGGCTAAGGTGGGAGGATCACTTGAGCCCAGGAGTTCCAGGCTGCGATGAGCTAGGATCACACCTGCATTCCAGTCTGGGTGACAGAATGAGATCCTATCTCAAAAACAAAAAGCACTCACTAAATGGGCTGCTGTGATAAAGTGGAGATAAGGTGTGGACAGGTAGGAACAGTGGAGACAGGGCAGTAGAGGGGATACCTGCAGGCAGAGCCCAAGGAGCCACAAGAGGCCCCGCTAGGTGACACCTTTCCTGTGAAGGGGGCAAGTCACCAGAAACAGGCGCTCCAGGCCCGTGGCCTCAGACAAGTCCCCTTATCTCCTTCCCCGAGCCTCCGTCTTCTCACCTATAAACTGAGGGTGATTGGCCAGGCACGGTGGCTCATGCCTGTAATCCCAGCACTTTGGGAGGCCAAGGCAGGTGGATCACCTGAGGTCAGGACTTCGAGACCAGCCTGGCCAACATGGTGAAACCCCATCTCTACTAAAAATACAAAAATTAGCTGGGCATGGTGACGTGCACCTGTAATCCCAGCTACCTGGGAGGCTGAGGTAGGAGAATCACTTGAACCCAGGAGGCCAAAGGTTGCAGTGAGCTGAGATCACGCCACTGCACTCCAGCCTGGGTGACAGAGTGAGACCCCATTTCAAAACAAGACAAAAAGGACACATGATCCTTCCTTCCTTGCGGGGCCACGGAGAGGATCCCAGGAAGACAGAGGAGAGATGAGGAAGAGAACAGCCTTTGCAGGCCACAAAGAGCCATATGCAGGAGGGACGCCCGTCCCCCTTCCCCGGCTTGTTGGGCCAGCTTGAGGCTGACTCCTGCCTCAGGAAGGGCAACCTGGCCGGAATTCTAGATGTCATCCTGGGCACTGTCCCTAAGTGTGCAAGGATGGGCAGGAGGGCGGGAGCTGTTTCTGCTCACCACAGTAACCTCAGATGGCACTCAGCAAACAGTAGGCGCCCAATAAATGGTACATGAGCACACGAACCGTCACAGCCCAGGGCTCACAGGGGACAGAGAAAGGCTGAGGTGCCTGGCCGCCTGTACCCGTTTCCTGTCTGCAGAAGTGAAATGTGCCCCCCTGAACTCTGCTTCCTGCATGCTCCTCCCCACGCTGGGGTCTGCGGAGCGAAGGGGGAGAGGCCCTCCCCTCACTTCTCGGGGCAGGATACTCACGTTCCTGAAGGAGGGGAGCCCTGCGGATCCCAGCCACCTCCGCAGGGCCTGAGGGAAGGCCCCATGGTCCCGCTCAGCCTGAAGCACGTCTGCTTCCAGGAAGGCGACGTGGTGTCCAACCATCTTGACGAAGGCCTGAGGGACACGGAGAAGCCATGATGCCGCATCTGTGCAGGCTGGAGCCCATTCCTGGCCACACTCCCTGGGCTGGTGGGGACTCCAGGCCTTTCATCACTGCGACCAGCCTCCCTCCAATGGGGCTCCCTGCAAGGCAGCAGGGCCTGCTTAGCTGGAGGGGCACCTGCAGAAACCCTGACAACGGTCACAGCTCCCGCTGGTGGCCTCTTGCTTTTTCCCCATAGGGACCCTGTTCTTAGCCTCCATTTTAGAGGGGAGGGAAATCAAGGCTCAGAGAGGCTGGGTCACCTGCTCAAAGTCACAAAGTCAGGAAGTGGCAGGGGCAGGGGCGGGGGTCTCAGGGCACATTCATCAGATTTCAAAGCCTTTTTTGTTAAAAGTTGATTTTATAGAAATAGCCCAAATGCTTATTTATTTATTTGTACTTTTCATCTACGTTAAGGACACACAATTGCTCATTTTAATAGTGGATGTGCTGTATATTCGAACTCAGAAGCCACCAAGGGCCTGGCAGGAAACAAGCAGGTAAAGGGGGCCTAATGGGAAGCAGGGTCAACCAGAAAGCTGAGTCCAGGCCCACAGGGACCACTCAGCTCCAGGCCTCAAGTGCAGAGCTGCCAGTTTCAAGAAGAAAAAGGGGTGCGGTGGCTCACGCCTGTAATCCCAGCACTTTGGGAGGCTGAGGCGGGTAGATCACCTGAGGTCAGGAGTTCAAGACCAGCCTGGCCAACATGGTGAAACTGCGTCTCTGCTAAAAATACAAAAAGTAGCCGGACATGGTGGCACATGCCCGTAATCCCAGCTACTCGGGAGGCTGAGACAGGAAAATTACTTGAACCCGGGAGGCGGAGGTTGCAGTGAGCTGAGATCGCGCCATTGCAGTCCAGCCTGCGCGACAAGAGTGAAACTCCGTCTCAAAAAAATAAATAAAATTGGACAACTCAGTGGTGGCCACTACGCAGACCAGACTTCGCTCGTTCTCGCGTGCCTCGCTCCGCTTCTCCTCCGTAACCATGTCTGACAAATCCGATATGGCTGAGATCGAGAAATTCGATAAGTCGAAACTGAAGAAGACAGAGACGCAAGAGAAAAATCCACTGCCTTCCAAAGAAACGATTGAACAGGAGAAGCAAGCAGGCGAATCGTAATGAGGCGTGTGCCGTCAATATGCACTGTACATTCCACAAGCATTGCCTTCTTATTTTACTTCTTTTAGCTGTTTAACTCTGTAAGATGCAAAGAGGTTGGATCAAGTTTAAATGACTGTGCTGCCCCTTTCACATCAAAGAACTACTGACAACGAAGGCCGCGACTGCCTCTCCCATCTGTCTATCTGGCTGGCAGGGAAGGAAAGAACTTGCATGTTGGTGAAGGAAGAAGTGGGGTGGGACAACAGTGAAATCTAAAGTAAAACCAAGCTGGCCCAAGGTGTCCTGCAGGCTGTAATGCAGTTTAATCAGAGTGCCATTTTTTTCTTGTTGTTCAAATGATTTTAATTATTGGAATGCACAATTTTTTAAATATGCAAATAAAAAGTTTAAAAACTTAAAAATAAATAAAATTAAAATAAATAAAAAAAGAATTCTGGCTGGGCATGGTACCTCATGACTGTAATCTCAATACTTTGGGAGGCTGAAGCCAGGGAGGGTCACTTGAGGCCAGGAATTTAAGACCAGCCTGGGCAACATGGTAAAACCCCATCTCTACAAAAAATTGAAAAATTAGCCAGGCATGGTGGCATGTGCCTGTAGTTCCAGCTACTCAGGATGCTGGGGCAGGAGGATCACTTGAGCCCAGGAGTTCAAGGCTGCAGTGAGCTATGATCAGACTCTCTGGATTAGAATCCAAATTCTACCTCTCAACAGTTACTTGTGTGCCTTTTGGCAAGTTACTTAACTTCTATCAGCCTCCATTTTATTATCTGAAAAATGGGGATTAAAAACAGTATCAACCTTGGCCAGGTGGAATAGCTCTCATGCCTATAATCCCAGCACTTTGGGAGGCCAAGGCAGGCTGATCACTTGAGGCCAGGAGTTTGAGACCAGCCTGGCCAGCATGGCGAAACCCCATCTCTATTAAAAATACAAAAAAAATTAGCCGAGTGTGGTGGTGCATGCCTGTATTCCCAGCTACTCGGGAGACTAAGGTACGAGAATTACTTGAACCCGGGAGGCAGAGGTTGCAGTGAGCTGAGATCATGACACTGCATTCCAGCCTGGGGGACAGGGCAAGCTCCATTTCAAAAAACAAAAACACTAACCTTATTCAACAAGTAGAGTGCTTAGTACATATTAAGAGCCCATCAAATCTCAGACACTATCATTTTAAAAAGGACATTCAGATTTTACGAAAAATCTTGTTTTATTCAATGTTAGCAATAAATCTACACTTTAAAAAAAAATACTGTTCAGGCCCAGTAAAATGTAACTCACCCATTTGTGACCTCTGGTGTCTGTCTTTTCATACTGTCTCTGTGCTCAGTACATGTATGGGCATGTGTTAGTGTGCGTATGCACGTGTGTACATGGCTAAAGGCAGCAGAGGTGGGGACTACAGTGCCATCTCAGACAAGGCAGCACCTCTGTGGCCTGCTTTGTTCCATTAGTAAAATAGAAAAGATTTTTCTCATACCAGGAACAGGAATGAGGACACCTCAGTGCTGGCTGCTTCTGGGAAAGCCTCTCCTTCAATAATACCATGAAATGCAGTCCTCCCAAGACCTGTCAGGCCTCCTGCCATCTAGCCCTACCTTCCCTCCTCCCTCCACGTGCTTCCCTTTGGTTCCTTTAAAGTGCCCAGCCTCACCCCACAGGGCCTCTGCACCTCCACTCCCTGCCTATAGCGCCCTGCTCTCCTTTCTCCATGGGGTGTGGCCCTGCTTGTGTGTGTGGGTGTTTGTTTGTTTGTTTTGTTTTTTTTAAGATGGAGTCTCACTCTGTCGCCCAGGCTGGAGTGCAATAGCGTGATCTTGGCCCGCTGCAACCTCTGCCTCCCGAGTTCAAGCAATTCTCCTGCCTTAGCCTCCTGAGTAGCTGGGATTACAGGCAAGCACCACCACGTCCAGCTAATTTTGTATTTTTAGTAGAGACGGAGTTTCTCTGTGTTGGTCAGGCTGGTCTCGAACTCCCAATCTCAGGTGACCCACCCGCCTCAGCCTCCCAAACTGCTGGGATTACAGGTGTGAGGCACTACACCCGTTCTAACTTTGTATTTTTAATAAAGACGGTGTTTCACCATGTTGGCCAGGCTGGCCTCGAACTCCCGATCCCAGGTGTTCCACCTGACTCAGCCTCCCAAAGTGCTGGGATTACAGGGGTGAGCCACTGCGCCGAGTCTGTCTTTCTGGCTTCCATCTAACTGTCCCTGAGCACCTGATCTCATATAGCCCCGGCAGGCACTCTGGAGCCACCCAGATTCCTGGTCTTCACAGCCCTCATTGCCCTCTGAAATTCTTATCTATTCATGGTCCACGCCCTTTAGAATGTGGGTTCTAAAACAGAAGCTGCTGAGTCAGCACTGCTCACAGGCCAAGACCAGAGCCTGGTCCAGGAGACAGGGCCCATATGGGTGGCGGATGCATAAATGCACACGTGCATGAATGAATGAATGAGTGAATGAGTGAGTGAGTGTATCCTTAGCAAAACGACATTGGGTGAACCCAAGATGGAGGCTTCTCTCGTGCTGCTGCCACCCTGGGGTTCTGGCTGTAGCAGGGCTGAAAGGCTGAATCAGCCACGTCATGTGTGTGTGTGTGTGTGTGTGTATGTGCAGATGTGTGCGTGTGTGTGTGTGTAGAGGTGGGTGGGTGGGAAATGGGCCAGGAAGCATATGCCAAGGGCTCTAGCCTCAGAGGCCTGGCTCAGCCAGCACATATGCTTGTAAAACTCAGACGAAAGTGCCGACTCCCCTTCCTCCAGCCGATTCCAATTTTACGCTCCCAGCGTTAATACCAATCTGGTGGAGAGTGTGAGGCGAAGCTGAGGAATGTGTACTCGCGATGTCTGAACTGTCTCCAAAATGCCTGCCAGTGAGGCCAGCCCAGCCAAGCCGCAGCCAGAGAGGCTGAAACCTGGGCCAGGGCAGCTCCGACTCCGGGGAGAGGAGACGCACACGTCCACCCACACAGCCAGGATGTGGTGGCTGCAGGTGAGCGAGAGGGCCCACCGCTAATCTTAGCCACCCTGAGGGCTGGGTGCAGGGAGCATGACTGATTTCTGCATATTTTCCTCTTCAATAAAGATATACTACTTTTATAATCAGCTGAGAGGGAGGGAAGGAAAGCCTCATTGTTTAAAAATATATTGGCAAGTACTGAGGAATTTGAACACATTTTCCCCCCTGGACACAGGGGTCTTGCCATGTTGCCCAGGCTGATCTTGAACTCCTGCGCTCAAGTGATCCTCCCACTTCGGCCTCCCAAATGCTGGGATTACAGGCCGAGCCACTATGCCTGGAGAATTTGAACACTTCCACCAAATAATTCCCAGCTTCAGAGCATGGGTCCTGTCCAGAAAGGTGTGTTGACATCCAGGAGGGGGGAACATAAACTTTGAAACCCCAGTTCTACCACTGCCCACCTGTGTGAACTCAGGAGCGTCACTTCTCATCTCTGTGCCTCGGCGGCTTTTTCTGTAAAATGAGACTAATAGCAGGACCTTGCTCCTGGGGTTGCTGTGGAGTTGAAGTGAGTTCTTATGTGTAAAGCACTCATAGTCCCTGGCTTGTAGTAGGCATTCAAAAGTACTAGTTTTTGTTGGCTGGGCATGGTGGCTCATGCCTGTAATCTTGGCACTTTGAGAGGCCAAAGTGGGCAGATTGCTTGACCCAGGAGTTCAAGATAAGCCTGAGCAACATGGCAAAATTCCATCTCTACAGAAAATACAAAAAATTAGCTGGGCGTGGTGGCACACACCTGTAGTCCCAGCTATTCGAGAGGCTGAGGTGAGAGGATCGGTTGAGGCCAGGAAGTGTGACTGCACCACTGCACTCCAGCCTGGATGACAGAGCGAGAACTTGTCTCAAAAAAAAGTTAGTTTTTATTAATACAACTGATAAAGGGTCAAGTTCTGGCCTGAGAGGTCACCTCATGGTTTCCAAGCTCTCACCTGGCAGGTCACACTGATTCTGAGGGCAGGGTGGACTTACACTCTGTGGAAGCCACTGACACTCTAGTCACCCCAGGACCCCCGGCTGGCAGGGCAGAACAGTGACTGTCCATCCTGGACAAATTATCCCTCTCTCAGCCTTGTGGACAACTACAACCACCATAATAGTTTGTCCTTGCTGAGCATCTGCAAGATGGCAGGTGCGGGTCTCATTTAATCCTCACAATGACTCTGAGGGGTAGATGGCACATTCCTTTCCTGGAGATGGGGGTCTTCCTTGAAACTGACTCTAAGGGGGTTGGTGAATTACCAAAGGGGCAGATCAGAGCCCCAGCTCTCTGGCTCTGGAGTCCACCTGCCCCATACAATGTCAGGTTCTCAGCAGGTCCCTCAGTTTTATTGTTTGATGTCACACACTTGAGCTAATAGGAAATACATCACCAGCCAGGCGCAGTGGCTCACGCCGGTAATCCCACCACTTTGGGAGGCTGAAGCGGGCAGATCACGAGGTCAGGAGTTCGGGACCAGCCTGACTAACATGGTGAAACTCCGTCTCTACTAAAACTACAAAAGTTAGCCATGTGTGGTGGCACGCGCCTGTAATCCCAGCTACTCAGGAGGCTGAGGCAGGAGAATCACTTGAACGTGGGAGGCAGAGGTTGCAGTGAGCCGAGATCGCGCCATTGCACTCCAGCCTGGGCGACAGAGCGATACTCTGTCTCCGAAAAAAAAAAAGAAAAGAAAAGAAATACATCATCTCCCACTTGATCTTAAAATCCATGGCCCTCTTGGGACCTCACTTAGGACTCCCCCCTTTTAATGGAGCATCAGTTACAGAGAAATCTCTCTCTACTCTAAGGAAAGCAGACGTGCAGGGGTGTTGACAGGAGGTGAGTGCCACTCAGCCTCAATGTTGGTGAGACTCTAGGGCAGAGTAAGGTCTGTGACAGCCGGGAGATTCACGCCCCACGGTGGTGACAGTTGCTTCTGAGCTCCAGCTGCTCCCAGAAAGGAATGGGGAGAGCTTGGGGTTGGTCTTCTAACACCTGGTCCCTCAGCAGTCCTGGCTCCTGTTGGCATCTGAGTTTGCAATCTCTATCTAAAACTTATAGTAGGCCAGGCATGGTGGCTCACGCCTGTAATCCCAGCACTTTAGGAGGCCGAGGCGGGTGGATCACAAGGTCAAGAGATCACGACCATCCTGGCCAACATGGTGAAACCCCGTCTCTAATAAAAATACAAAAAATTAGCCGGGTGTGGTGGCAGGCGCCTATAGTCCCAGCTACTTGGGAGGCTGAGGCAGGAGAATCACTTGAACCCGGGAGGCAGAGGTTGCAGTGAGCCGAGACTGCACCACTGCACTCCAGCCTGGAGACACAGCAAGACTCCATCTCAAAAAAAAAAAAAAAAAATTATAGTAGTTGCGGGTGGGAGTTCAAAATAGTGTAGTCACTTTGGAAAACTGTTTGAAACGTCCTAAAACGAGTTGAGTTCAAAATGGTGTAGTCACTTTGGAAAATTGTTAGAAACTTCCTAAAACGAGTTTCCATAGCTCTCCTAAAAAGATCTGCCAATAATTCCACTCCTAGGTATCTACCCAAAAGAAATGAAAACATATGTTACACAAAAACTTGTACGCAAACGTTCATAGCAGCATTGTTTACGACAGCCGTAAAGTGAAAAGCACCCAACTGTGCGCCAGCTAATGCATGGACAAATGAAGTATGGTCCAGCCATATACCAAAAGATGACTCAACCACAGAAGGAATGAGGTCTTGGCACATGCTACAACATAGATGAACCTTGAAACCATTATGGCAAGTGAAAGAAGCCAAACACAGAAGGCCATATATGGTATGATTCCATTAGCATGAAATGTCCAGCACAGGCAAATCCAGAGACAGAAAGTAGATGAGTGGTTGCCAGAGCCGGGGGCTGGGGAATGGTTGCTAATAGACATGTGGTATCTTTTGGGAAAACGTTCAGGAATGAGATAGTGCTTATTATTGTATCACCTAGTAAATATACCCCACACCTCCAAATGGTATACTTTAAGAATAATCTGCTGGACGTGGTGGCTCATGCCTGTAATCCCAGCACTTTGGGAGGCCAAGGCAGGTAGATCACTTGAGGTCAGGAGTTCGAGACCAGCCTGGCCAACATGGTGAAACCCTGTCTCTATTAAAAATACAAAAATCAGCCAGGTGTGGTGGGCCTTCCTGTAATCCCAGCTACTCGGGAGGCTGAGGCAGGAGAATCGCTCGAACCTGGGAGGCAGAGGTTGCAGTGAGCCAAGATTCCGCCACTGCACTCCAGCCTGGGCAACAGAGTGAGACTCAGTCTCAAAAAAAAAAAAAAAAAAAAAGAAGAGTTCGAGACCAGCCTGGGCAGCAACTTAGTGAGCCCCGGTCTCTACAATGAATGAATGAATGAATGAATCAAAAAAAGAATAATCAATGTAGACTTTCTTCTTTGTGGGGAGCGGGGGTTACAGCAGCTGCAATCCCTCTGATGGGTCCTGTCATTCTAAGAACAGGGTCCACACTCCAGGCCTCGGCCCTACCCTATGGGCTACACCCCTCACTCCGTCTCATTCCTGACCTTGAGCTCCTCCCAGGCCCCAGGTGCCTGAGAAGCTGCCTTTTCCCGCCTCTGGACCTTTCTTTGCACAAGCTGCTCCCTCCCCAGGATTCCTGCACCAAATCTCAGGCCTTAGGTTCCAGGTCACACACTTGGGAAGCCCCCTCTGTTCCAGCTCTGGCCAGGACCCCTTGGTGTGTGCTCTTGCGGCTGACCCACCCCACCCGGCCTGCTTCCCTGTCTAATGCTCCTCCAGGACCACCTGCAGGGAAGCCGACATCTCCCCTCGGCCATATGCCCAGCACCCATCTCAGGGCAGCCTACAGTGCAGCAAACGTTTGTTGAATACGACAAGGATTTGGGTGTAAGAACCTCACCACCGTAACTCCCATTTTACAGGGAAATGAGGCTCAGAATTTTCTGGAGGTCACACACTAGGAGGCAGCAGCACTAGGACTTGAACCCAGGCTATGCAGCTCTAGATCAGCGCTTTGAAACGCGGCAATCTTGCCCCCCAGGGGACATTTGGCAACATGTTTGGTTGTCACGCTGGGGAGTGGGGTTGGAGGGATGCTAATAGTATCTTGTGAGTGGAGGCCAGAGAGGCTGCTAAGCAACTTACAATGCCCAGAACAGCCCCACAACAAAGAATTTTCCAGGTCAGCAGCACTGGAGCTGAGAAGCCTGGCTCTGGGGTGTGTGCCCCTAACCACTAGGCTGTCCTGACTCTTCGGCGGCTTCCTCCTCCTCAGGATAAAGGCCAAAGTCCTGACCTTGGATGGCAAGGGTTGGACAACCTGGCTGCTGCTGCCAGTTTCTTCGGCCCCACTGGGGTCCGAGTCCCCTTTGCCCCCAATACCTGGCTTCCCAGGATCCTTCCAACATCCCAATCTCCTCCTTGCTCAGAGCCAAGATCCTGCCTGGAGCCCCTGCCTGAGCTGCACCCACCTAACACGGTTCCCACAGTTCCCCCACCCACCTAACACAGTTCCTTCCACTCATTCTCCAAGGTCCTGTAGATCCCATACCTCCGTCGCTACTTCCCTTCACAGCACTTGCCTAATGAAAGCAAATCCTGGAGAAGTGTGGGCAGCAGAACGATGGCTCCCAAAGATGTTCATGTCCTAGTCCCAGAACCTGTGAATATGTCACCTTCCTTGGCAAAAGGGATCCTGCAGGTGTGATTAAGTTAAGGATCTTGGAATGGGAGGTCACTGTGAATCATCCAGGTAGGCCCAACGTAATCTCAAGGGTCCTTACAAGAGGGAGGCAGGAGGGCCAGCAACAGAGAGACAGGAAGATGTCACTCCGTGGGCTTTGAAGGAGGAGGCAGGGGCCACGAGCTGAGGAATGCAGGCAGTGCTAGAATCTGGAAAAGGCAAGAAAAGAGGCAAAGAAAGGCAAAGATTCTCCCCAGAGCCTCCAGAACGGGCCAACCTGCCACCACCTTGACTTTAGCCCCATAAGGCACATTTTGAGCTTCTGACTTCCAGAACTATAAGATAATAAATGTGTGTTGTGGATGAGTGTGGTGGCTCATGCCTGTAATCCCAGCACTTTGGGAGGCTGAGGCGGGCAGATCTCTTGAGGTCGGGAGTTCGAGAGCAGCCTAGACAATATGGCAAAACCCTGTCTCTACGAAAAATACAAAAATTAGCTGGACGTGGTGGAAAGCACCTATAATCCCAGCTACTTGGGAGGCTGAGGCAGGAGAATCACTTGAACCCGGGAGGCGGAGGTTGCAGAGAGCCGAGATCATGCCACTGCACTCTAGCCTGGGGGACAGAGCAAGACTCCATCTAAAAAAAAAAAAAGTGTGTTGTTTTCTTTTCTTCTTTTTTTAAAATTGGGCAGCGTCCTGAGCCAGGGTAGGCTCAGAGAGGCTCGTGTGTTGTTTTAAGCCACTGAATTCATGGTAATTTCTCCCAGCAGCGATAGGAGGCTGATATGGTAATACCCTGCTGAGGGTCTCTCCTGGCCCTCAGTCAACATCAGTGGACTGAATGCTCAGAAAGGAACCGGGCCTGACAGCTGGGCCAGCCCAGGCCAGGCGAGAACCAGGCTGCAAGTCTTCACATTTTCTTTCCTCTTTCAAACGTGTGGAATAAAATTCAAATGAATCAGCTATTCCAAGGGCAAAGTTTTAATTATATTCCTGCTTCATTCTCTGCTGACAAGAATGTTAATTCTCTGCTACCTCGGTGCTGACAGCCACGCCTGCTCCCTCCCTCTGCAGCTTGGGAGGGGCTCACGTTCCCTCTGGCCAGGTGACTATGACACAACCGCAAGCTCCTCTCAGCCTCCGGGTCCTCTGCTGTGCAAGGAGCCAGGGTCCCAAGCCCAGGGCCCCAGGTGGATGAAGAGTGTCTGCACTGGCACATATGAGCTGGAGTCCTGTCTTGATGTAACTAGTGTGACCCCAGAGAAGTGGCTGACCTTGCAAAGCTTATGCTCCTCTTCCAGGAGATGGGGGCAGTGAGGGGACTGACTGCAGTGCAACAAGGAGGAAATGAGATGCCATGCATCTTAGCCAGGCAAGTAAAAGATGGGTGAGCTACGTCAGCGGTAAGGCAACAGGGCATGGTGGGGACTGTGGAAGACTGGAGAGCCCACGCCCTTCTGAGGAGCAGCAGCCACCAGCTCCACCCATTTTTTTTTCTTTTTTGAGACAGAGTCTTGCTCTGTTGCCCAGGCTGGAGTGCAGTGGTGCAATCTTGGCTCACTGCAACCTCTGCCTCCCAGGTTCAAGTGATTCTTGTGCCTCAGCCTCCTCAGTGTGTGTCACCACGCCCGGTTGATTTTAGTATTTTTAGTAGGGACAGGGTTTCACCAGGTTGGCCAGGGTGGTTTCGAACTCTTGGCCTCCATTGATCCACCCGCCTCAGCCTCCCAAAGTGCTGGGATTACAGGTGTGAGCCACTGCGCCCAGCCTCCATCCATTCTTGCAAGAACACTGCAAGAATGCAACCCAGGGGCTGGAAATGTTCTCTCTCTCAATTTGGGTCATCATCACATGATGTCGATATATGTAAAAATTCACTAAATTACATACTTAGGCGTGTATACATTGTATATTTATGCCTTGAAACATAAACAGATTAAAGTATTTAAGGAAATGTGGGCCCAGGGTTATCAAAGCTTCTGAATTTTCAAAAGCTTAAAATGCAGATTTTTATATAAAGTACCCTGATTTTTAAATGTTGGAAACAAATTCTTTTTTTTCGTTTTGAGACAGGATCTTGCTCTGTCGCCCAGGCTGGAATACAGTGGCACAATCAATGCTCACAGTAGCCATGACCTCCTGGACTCAAGCCATCCTCCTACCTCAGCCTCCCAAGTAGCTGGGACTAGAGGCATGCACCACAACACCTGACTAGTTTTTGTATTTTTTGTAGAGATGGGGTTTCGCCATGTTGCCCAGGCTGGTCTCAAACTCCTGGGCTCAAGTGATCCTCCCACATTGGCTTCCCAAAATGCTGGGATTACAGGCATGAGCCACTGCACCTGGCCTGGAAACAAATTTTTACTTGTGATTTTTTTGAAATATCACTTGAGTGCAGACTCCCCAACTCCCACCACCAACCCCCTGCATTGGGCATAATGCCTGACATGCTCAAGGCCAGATCGGCGTCTTTGCGGAAAAGGCAAAAGCAAGATCAAGTCCACAGCCTCAGAACCTTCGTTTGCCTAGACGTACCTCTAGCCGGTCCACTTTGGCATAGATGCCACGCATTTCTGTCAGTTTGGCCTTAAGGACTGGGATGTTTTCCTCCAGGATCTGTGAAGTATCACTCCTGATCTGCAAGGAACAAAACAGCTCATCAGGCCTTCTGCCCCATCACTGTGTCCTCCTGCCTGCCTCAGAGGTTGGCCAGGGTCTACACAGACCCCAATGATGGCTGAGGTGCCAGGTGGCATCCTGCGCAATACAGGCCCAAGAACAACTCAGAGCCCCAGGGGAGGACCAACATCGTCGCCTCTGTGGACCCAGACCTACCCAGGTATTATGTACTGAACCACAAATTAATCACTTCCCACCAACCACCCAGCAACACCAGTCCCAAACTAAATATCTTCATTTTCTAAACCACTGAACTGGAGCGAATGGAAAGAATCAGAATCTCTTCTCTAAACCAAAGTCAAAGTCAGTCCAGTTTTCATTGCATTGGAATTAATATTAACAAGTTGATCATTACGAATAATATTCATTAATAATGTTAATGAAAGCCACAACTCTTATGTATCAGATGCTTCCGACACGCAGGCACTGTCCTAAGTACTTCCTTGCACCATCTCCTTTAGTTTTCATTTTCTTCTGCTTGGCAAGGGCCCCAAAAGTGAACTGTATGAAGCCACATATTTTTCCCTTGATCACTGATATCAGACGCTGATGGTTCCTTTTTCCTTCAGAACCCAAGGACCAAGCCTAACTCTTCTGTGTGTGTGAGAGAGAACGAGAGATTCCATTTTCATGTTATCATATCCTCGCTGTGCAAAAAAGGCCACATATTCATGGCTCTCAAATTCTGGGGAGCGGCTGGGCGTGGTGGCTCACGCCTGTAATCCCAATACTTTGGGAGGCCGAGGTAGGTGGATCACCTGAGGTCAGGAGTTCGAGACCAGCCTGGCCAACATGGTGAAACCCCGTCTCTACTAAAAATACAAACATTAGCTGGGTGTGGTAGCACACACCTCTAATCTCAGCTACTCGGGAGGCTGAGGCAGCAGAATCGCTTGAACCCGGGAGGCGGAGGTTGCAGTGAGCCAAGATCAAGCCATTGCACTCCAGCCTGGGTGACAGAGTGAAACTCCATCTCAAAAAAGAAAAAAAATAAAATTCTGGGGAGCAACTGAATCTCCTGGGGGAAGCCTTTCAAATGCTGATTCCCAGCCTCTCCTAGTTTGAGAATCCGCACTTTCAGCCAACAGTCTGAGGCAACGTTGGAATAGGAATCTGGGGACCACTGTTAGAGAAACACCAGTGGGCACAGCAGGAGCTGGACTAAGGAGTCAGGCTAGTGTTTAAATTTAGCTCTACCCACCATGAGCTCTGTGACCTTGGGCAACTCACTGCACCTCTCTGAGCCCTCCTTTGCTCACTGGGACAGTGGTGCAAGACGATGGTCCTTCTTTCGCTGGGATACTGAGGATGAGCTGTTTAGCACAATGCTGGCGTGGAGTGTGGAGGCGGCTTCTGATGTGCCCCCCGTGGTCTCACCCTCCTGGTATCCTCACCCTCATGTAATCCCCTCCCCAAGATTTTGGGCTGAGCCTAGTGACTCACTTTTGTTTGTTTTTTGAGACTGAATCTGGCTCTGTTGCCCAGGCTGGAGTGCAGTGGCACAATCTCAGCTCACTGTAACCTCCGCCTCCCAGGTCCAGGCGATTCTCCTGCCTCAGCCTCCCGAGTAGCTGGGACCACAGGCACGCACCACCATGCCTGCGTAGTTTTTGTATTTTAGTAGAGACGGGGTTTCACCACGTTGGCCAGGTTGGTCTTGAACTCCTGACCTCAAGTGATCCACCTGCCTTGGCCTCCCAAAGATCTGGGATTACAGGCATGAGTCAGCACTCCTGGCCCCAGATTTTTATTTAAAATTTTTTTTTGAAAACTATACCTGTTTTTCCTCCTCTTTCTGCCTAAGTACATCAGACTTCTTGTGGTTATCGTGAAAATCTGCTCCCACCACTGTTCAGGATAACATTTCCCCCTTGCCCTCGGTTTCCCGAGACCTTTGCCCCATTGCCCTGTACGTCTAAAACCAAACTCCTCCATGCCTCTCCCCACGCCTAGCCCTCCTCTGGTCACAGCACTGCCATCTCTCTGGGCACCTAGCTCTAGGTGTCCAGTGTCCTCAGGGATACTCGTTTTTCACGCTCTGATCCCACAAGGTCAAAAATCGGCCCTGAGAGGGTGGCATGTGGTGTCAGGCTGCCCAGCCTAAGCCCCTGCTCCACTGTTCTCCACTATGACACCAGGCTGGTCCCCTAGCCTCCCTGGGCCTCGGTTTCCTCATCTCATATTTTGAAAAAAAAAAAAAATTTTTGAAGGCCGGGCACAGTGGCTTACACCTGTAATCCCAGCAGTTCGGGAGGCCAAGGTGGGCAGATCACCTGAGGTGAGGAGTTCAAGACTAGCCACAGCCAAAATGGAGAAACCCTGTCTCTACTAAAAATACAAAAGTTAGCTGGGCATGGTGGCGTGCGCCTGTAGTCCCAGCTACTCGGGAGGCTGAGGCAGGAGAATCGCTTAAACCCGGTAAACAGAGGTTGCAGTGAGCCAAGATGGCGCCACTGCACTCCAGCCCGGGCGACAGTGCAAGACCCTGTCTCTAAAACAAATAAAAATTCAAGTGGGGCTCCCATGAGAAATGGCTGGTTCTAGGACTGAGCTGAGTCTGGAGCATCTTGTAGCACCAGAAAGCAAGAAAGTGTTCCACAAAATAAAGGATGAGATGGGGCTTACCCAAGGGACACAGAAGCCAACCTGCAAGAGTGAAATGGCCAAAGCTGGGACAAGCTGAGCAACAAAAAATTAACATAGTATTAGATCAAAGCTCCAAGTACAAAGTAAATGTGCACAAACCTAATATGTGCAGAGGATTGAATGGGTCTGGAAAGGGGGAAATGGCAAATTCCACTGGAGAAAGCCGCAGGCACCACCTTATGCAGGCTCACATCCGTGATGCCATGTGGGCATCGGGGACCCTCTGATGGGATGTGATAAGAAGGCTCCTCCTCTGTGGTGATCGTTCCATAAATTCCTATCTCCAGTCTAACCACATGAAAAACATCACAAAAATCGAGGGACCTTCTACGAAACACCTGACCAGCATGTCTCAAAACTGCACAAGTGATGAAAAGCAAGGTAAGACTGAAACTGTCACAGACCGGAATAGACTAAGGAGATGTGACAACCTCGTGCCATGTGGCACCTTAGACTGGATCCTGGAACAGAAAGAGGACACTCATGAGAAACTGGTGACATCAAAACAAAGCGTGGAGTTCAGTGAATAGCAACATACCAATGCTGGTTTCTTCGTTTTTTTTGTTTGTTTGTTTGTTTGTTTTTGGTGGGGGGTCGTGGGTTGTTTTTTGTTTTTTTGTTTTTTTATAGGGTCTTGCTTTGTCACCCAGGCTGGAGTGCAGTGGTGTGATCATGACTTGTTGCAGCCTCGACCTCCTGGGCTCAAACAATTCTCCAGCCTCAGCCTCTTGAATAGCTGGGACTACAGCTGTCCACCACCATGCCCAGCTAATTGTTTATCTTTTGTAGAGACAGGGTTTCACTGTGATGTCCAGGCTGGTCTTGGACTCCTGGCCTCAAGCTATCCTCCTGCCTCAATCCAAAGTGCTGGGTTTACAGGCGTCAGCCATTGTGCCTGGCCCCTTAGTACTGACAAATGTACCATGGTGATGTGAGATGTTAACAATGGAGGCCAGGAGCTCAAGACCAGCCTGGGCAACATAGCGAGGCACCATCTCTATTAAAAAATTAAAAATGTATTTAAAAAAACTTTAGGGTTAATATGGCAACTCTCTGAACAATCTTTGCAATTTTCCTGTAAATCTAAACTATTCCAAAATAAAAAATACATAAATATGGTTTTAAAAATTCAAGTAATTAGGTCTGGATCTACAGCTTCTCTTAAGTCAGCAGCTTTGGCAATGATGGGCCTGAGTCTCCCCGGGCAGCAAAGGCTGGGACTGCTCCCTCCAGATGGGCCTGATCACTGGGGTTTCCACAGTCATCACCCCTCCCCATTGTCTCACCCCAGCTCCACGCTCTGCCTGGCTCCAGCATTTGTTACCAGTGACAGGGAAAGGTCCTCAGTCTCCTCCCTTTCTTCCCCAAGGCCAGATTTCTAGAGAGAAGCTCATTCCTCAACAAGGCTAAACTTGGAGAAAATCACCCTGATGTAGCAAAGAGCAGATAATTAATTCCAGGGCAAGGTCAGAGCACCGGGGAACAAACTTGAATCGTATCCTTCTGTTAATTTCTAAAGAAACAAATCGGGGGAGTGAGAATGAGCTTGGGGGTATGGGCTGGGATTGGCAACCTACAGCAGACAGAGAAAGTGGTAGAAAGGAGACTCAAGGACCACCCTCGCCCCCTAAATCCCAAAGAATTGGGAATAAAGAAGTCTCTTTTTTTCCCCCTTATTTTTGTTTATTTAGTTTTGTTTTTGTTCTTGTTTTTTTGAGACAAGTCTCACTCTCTCTCCCAGGCTGGAGTACAGTGGCACCATCTCTGCTCACTGCAACCTCTGCCTCCTAGGTTCAAGTGATTCTCTTGCCTCAGCCTCCCGAGTAGCTGGGATTACAAGCACCTGCCACCATGCCTGGCTAATTTTTGTATTTTTAGTAGAGATGGGGTTTCACCATGTTGGCCAGGCTGGTCTTGAACTCCTGACCTCAAGTGATCCTCCCACCTTGGCTTCCCAAAGTGCTGGAATTACAGGCATGAGCCACTGCTCCTAGCCTGTTTCTTATTTTATTTTTAGAGAAATCCCTTCTCTGATGCAGCTTCTCCAATGGCTGAAACTGAAGGCAACAGGGAACTGTTTATATCTGCCCAGAGGTTTACCGTAGTTACTCAGAATGAGGGGCCAGGGAAGGCAATCCTAGGGGCTGAAAGGCCCCAAACCTTACCTCTTGGTTCCACCCTGGGCTGGGAACCATAAAAGAAACTTTAGGGCCAGGTGCGGTGGCTCACACCTGTAATCCCAATTCTTTGAGAGGCCGAGGTGAGAGGGTCACTTGAGGCCAGGAGTTCAAGACCAGTCTGGGCAACACAGTGAGGCACCATCTCTATTTTAAAAATTAAAAATTTATTAAAGGAAAAAACAGAACTGTAGGGTTAATGTAGGTCCAGTCTAGAGGGGCACGATACCAACAGAGCACACTCCATGAACTCTCACCATGTGCTGGGAACAGGCCCTGTGAGGCAAGAACTATTTCCTCTTCAACCTTATTTTATGGGAGATAAAACCGAGGCTCAGAGAAACTAAATGAGCTGGCCCAAGGTCACAAAGCTAAAAAGTGGGAGAGGGAGGAGTCTAATCCAGATGGGCCTGAGACCACCCTTCCTAACACCAGAGGTCTACAGATGTCATTCATCGGGCAAAGGCAGTGTCAGCCCAATCATGCCTAAAAAAAACAAAAAAAGTAAAACCAAACCAGATGCCAAGATATCAAAGTCAGGATATTTCCCTTAGAAACCCAGATCTCTGACTTCTTGTGAAAAATCAGGAGACCTGGACACACTGAGCCAAGACCTGGCCACACTGAGCCCATGTTCCACATGGCAACAATCAGCTGGAGCTGAGTGGCAGCTGCCACTTTTGTTAACCCCAGTCCCCATCACTCCCTACAGTCTCCCCAACATGGAATCCATAGCTACCCAGAGGAGCACTTTCTTCTTATGGAGGACTCAAAAGGAAAGTGACACATTTCTCATCTCCAACTCACTTCTCATTACATTACAGGTGTTTACATTTGCACGCCTTGGGCTACGCTCTGAGAAGAGCAAACAGATTTCAGTGAAAAAGCCTCCATGCTCTAGAGCCTCTCCCAGGACAAACACCCAACCAGGTGTGCTAGCCTGGAGGCCCCAGACCCTTCCCCCAACTATCCTCCCACCTCTCCAGACCTGGTCTCCAGAACCCAGAAGTCTGGGCAGCAGGTTCTGAGGTCACCACAGAGGAAAGTCATCTGTCCAGAATGATTCAGGCCCCTAGGAAGGAGAGCCAAAGGCATTTGACCCAAGAACATGCACCCACGCCAAATGCAACTGCTGGGCCAAGGCCAACAGGAAATGTTCTCCATTTATGTGAGCGAAGTAAGACTCTGCTCCTTGGCAGAAGGTGGGCCGAAGGCCACTGGAGTTTCAGAGGGACTGGACAAGCTACCCAAACCCCAGAGGGCACTGAGCTGAAAGGCTTTACAAATCCAGCCTTACTGTGGATAACTTCATCAGTGTCATGCCCCTCTGGTGCTTTGGTAACAATGATGATGGCATTAGTAGCTGCCATTTGTTAGTCATTTAATAAATAGCACTGTGCTATTTATTATAATATTATAATAAAAATTATTAATAAATAGCACTGTGCTCAGCAACGATCTTTAACTGGGTGTAAGTGACACAAAGGAAAGTTCACAGCTCGTAAGTGGACAGCTTGATGAATCCGCACATATGTTTACATCTGTGTAACCACCACCCAGACTAAGATATAGAATATTTCATCACCCCATAAGGCCTCCTGTAGGCCATGACTACCCTCCCCAAACCAACCACTACCTGACTTATACCACCCATAGATTACTTCTGCCTATTCCTGAACTTCAGACTAGTGGAATCGCACAGAATGTATTCTTGTGTCAAGCTTTTCTTTTTAAATGTATTATTATTATTTAAAAATAAAGATGGGGTCTCCCTATGTTGCCCAGGCTGGTCTCAAACTCCTGAGCTCAAGCAACCCTCCCACTTTGTCCTCTCAGAGAGCTGGAATTACAGGTGTGAGCCATCATGCCTGGCCATGACTTCTTTCGTTCAATATCATATGTGTGAGATCATCTATGTTGCTGTGTATAGCAGTCGATTCTTTTTCATTGCTGTGTAGTATTCCAATATATGCATAAATCAATAATTGCTTTACTCATTCTACTGCTGACGGACATTTGGGTTGTTTCCAGTTTGGAGTATCATGAATAAGCCTTCTTTTTTTTTTGGGCCGGGGGGACGGAGTCTCACTCTGTCACCGAGGCTGGAGTGCAGTGATGCAATCTCAGCTCACTGCAACTTCCGCCTCCCGGGTTCAAGTGATTCTCCTGCCTCAGCTTCCCAAGTAGCTGGTACTACAGGTGTATGCCACCGCACCCAACTAATTTTTGTATTTTTAGTAGAGACAGGGTTTCGCCATGTTGGCCAGGCTGGTCTCAAACTCCTGACCTCAGGTGATCCACCCGCCTCGGCCTCCCAAAGTGCTGGGATTACAGGCGTGAGCTACCACGCCTGGCGAATAAGGCTTCTATGAACATTTGTGTGTGAATTTTTGTGTGGTTTGGGCACTTGTTTTCATTCCTTATCGGTAATGACAAGGACTAGAATTGCTGGGATGTGGGTTAAGCACATGTTCAACTTTGTAAGAGGCTGGGTGCAGTGGCTCACGCCTGTAATCCCCAGCACTTTGGATGGCTGAGGCGGGTGGATCACTTGAGGTCAGGAGTTCGAGACCAGCCTGGCCAACATGGTGAAACCCCATCTCTACTAAAAATACAAAAATTAGCCAGGCGTGGTGGTGGGCACCTGTAATCCCAGCTGCTGGGGCACGAGAATCGCTTGAACCCAGGAGGCAGAGGTTGCAATGAGCTGAGATAGCGCCACTGCACTACAGCCTGGGCAACAGAGTGAGACTGTGTCTCCAAAAAAAAAAAAAAAACCTGTAAGAAACTGCCAAGCTGTTTTCCAAAGTGGCTGTAGTTTTTTTTGCATTTCTACCAGCAATGTATGAGAGCTTCGTTGCTCTACATCCTTGCCAACACTTGGTATTTTGGTGGTTTTTAAGATCTAGCCATTCTAGTGGGTGTAAAGCACACATCTCTGCCTCATCTATTCCTTACAGTAACTCTTTGGAGATGGAAACTATTTGTAGTGGATTAAGGACAGCTACAAACTCCTTAATTCCTTCCATGAAGGGGTAGAATACAGTTTCTCTCCCCTGATTCTGGCTGGGCTGTGTAACTGCTTTGACCAATAAACTACAACAGAAGTGACACTGTGTCAGTTTCCATACTTAGGCCTCAAGACATGTGGCAGCTTCCTTCCTGCCCACTGGACTGCTTGCTCTGGGGAGGTCAAACAGCCATGCTACGAGGAAGCCCACGCCAGCCACGTGGAGAGCGTGCACGGGGCAAGTTACACCAACCAGCCCCAACCAGCCCCAACCAGCCCAGCCCAGGTACCAGACAAGTGATGAAGGAGCCAGCTTCGACTCAAATGAGCTGAGTCCTCTGTGCCCTGCTCTAGCCCACAAAATAAATGGGTGGTTGTTTTACATCACCAAATTTTCGGGTAGTTTGACACAGCAATAGATAATCAGAACCATTATTTTCATTTTACGGAGGAAAAAATAAATGTTCTGAGAGGTAACGTGACATGTCCATGGCCCCACAGTAGAAGGAATCAGAAAGTGAAGTGCCAACAATTGGCATTATATCAAATGTTAAAAGAGGTCCCAGAACAGAGGGGTGAATTTCAGTGACAGAGAGTGATCAAGACAGGCTAATGGAAGAACTAATAGAGCAGACGGGAAGCTGGACTTTGATTTCTAACAGCCTAATTTTATCTGAAAGGAAGTGGCTTCTCTCTAAACCGTGCAGCCCAGGGCCTGCCTTCTCTCGGACCTGTAAATTGATCAAACAGTGTTTCTGAAGACCGAGGCAGGGACCTGGGGGGACAGTGGTCCGTGGTGTGACATCACCTGCTCCTAGAGGACCCTACTCATCCCTAACTTGGATTTCAAAGCAGCTCTTAAAGAGAAAAAAGAGGCCCCAAGCTAGGGCTGATCACCGGACACCTCTCTCTGTAGTCATGTAGCCCCACAGCACACAGCAGACATACCAGGTAAGCCAAGCATGAACCTCTAGGGGCCAAGAGGATTTCTAGAATATAAATGGCATTGGCACAGCGTGCCCATGCAGGGGCTGTAAGCTCAAACACCCCCAGGGGTCCCACAAGCGTCACATATTTGCAGAACTGGCTGGGCACATTCTGTCAACACAGACACATGGGAAGAGTCTTTGCTTCCAAAAGGATGCATGTTCTCTTCCATTTCTTGGAACATGGGATCCTCTTGGTCTGGCTTTACTTTCCCACTTTCAGTAGGGTCAAAAGAACAGAGAAACATCATCTATCAAAAATACACAAGCACGTGGCGGCTGTGGAGTCAGGAAGGCTCCCCGGGAGCAGCCAGCACTGTATCAAGCTGGAAAGCACGCTTGCTGCCCACAGCAGGTGGTCGCTTGCTTGCCACGTGACATGGCGGCCGATGCTTGCAAGGTAGGAATGAGTACCCCAGGAGGGCCAGATCTTTGCTTTTCTGAGAGAAGCCGGAACTCTAGATTTTTCACATGAAATTCTAAAAATGTCACAAGCTAATGCCTGCTTTTTTCCCCCCCAGAAACATCAAATTATCTGCAGGCAGGATTGGACCTGTGGGTCATCTGTGTGTGGCCTCAGGATTAAATCTTTCCATGAAGCATCTCCAGGCTTCGAGTTAGGAGGACCTGCCTGATGCTGCCTGCAATCTTGAGTCTCCTGGCAACACAGACACACACACTTCCCACCACAGGAAGCTGTGATGGTTTTTCAGGGCTGGGCCACATGGGTCTCTCCGCCTGTCCACATGGACTTCTGCCCCCAGCCCTCTTCAGGCTGATGCTGGGTCTCCTTGCGCAGAATGCCCATGTGGATGACGGGATGGGATTTGAAAACAAAGGTGTCCCTGGAGCATCCATCCACACCATCCTCCCGACCTGCCTTCCCTGCCCGCAACCACGATCCTTCACCCAGTGCCCAGCCATACCACATCCCTGGCCTCCCCGCCTTTGCACAGGCTGGTCCCTCTGCCTGAATGCACTCCTTCCCCATCTGTTGAATTCTCTATTTCTCCTTACAGCCCCAGATTCATCACCACCTGTTATACGAAGCCTTCCCAATTTCCTAGGCAGGACTTAGCACCCCTGGCTCTGGAATCCCTTCACACCTTGACCTTACCTTGACAACAGCACTGTAGCATGGGACGGCACCAACTGATACCCAAATCAGTCTCCCCACATACACTGGGGCTTGATGGGAATGGAGATGGACTGAACTCTCTTTGCATACTCAAGTTTATGACGGGGCCCATTCATGAGAAAGTGCCCAATGCAGCCGGGCATGGTGGCTCACGCCTATAATCAATCCCAGCACTTTGGGAGGCCGAGGCGGGAGGATCACTTAAGGCCAGCAGTTCAAGACCAGCCTGGTCAACATGCTGTCTCTACTAAAAATACAAAAATTAGCCAGGCATGGTGGTGCATGCTTGTAATCCCAGCTACTCAGGAGGCTGAGGCAGGAGAATCACTTGAACCCGGGAGGCAGAGGTTGCAGTGAGCCGAGATTGCATCACGGCACTCCAGCCTGGGGGACAGAGCGAGACTCTATCTCGAAAGGAAGGAAGAAAGGAAGGAAGGAAGGGAGGGACGGAGGGAAAGACGGAAAGACAGAAAGACGGAAAGACAGAAAGACAAAGACAGAAAGAGAAAGAAAGAGTCCAATGCGTGGTGGTAAAGAAAGGACAATCCAGGCTGTTAAAAGCCTGTCTTGTTACCTAGCTCCCACCTGGACCCACATCTGAACGTAAAAATTGACTCAAGAGAAGAAACCATATAGGTCCTCTTGGGATTTCTGCTGTGACCCTAGAGGCTGGGCCGAGGTCCGCTGAATAGGTAGGGATGACTCAGTGCCTGCTGTCTAGGGTGGCTTTGTGCCGGGCACAAAGAAAGGCGTTCAATGAACATCTGGGGCTGCTGTTACTGTTACTCCCTTGGGTTCTCACAAACACTCTCAGGGTCCGGACACGGTGCTTCTCAGGGACATAAACGCACACCACTGGGCCCAGGTGGCCAGGCTTCCTCCACTCTGGGGAGACACAGGGCCTGGTCACAATATGGAGCTCTACCCTTTGGGCCTCCAGGCAGACACCTCAAGCCCAGGTTACTGGTTTGCCTCTAATAAGCTTGGGAGCTTCTAGAAAATTCTATCAGCACTCCTGGGGGCTCCACACCTGGCTGGCAGCAATCCTAGGAACACTGGGATCTAGAAGCAATTTCTTTTTCTTTTCTTTTTTTTTTGAGACACAATCTTGATCTATCACCCAGGCTGGAGTGCAGTGGCGCAATCTCAGCTCACTGCAACCTCCACCTTCCGGGTTCAAGCAATTCTCCTGCCTCAGCCTCCTGAGTAGCTAAGATTACAGGCGCCTGCCACCACACCCGGCTAATTTTTGTATTTTTGGTAGAGGCAGGGTTTCACCATGTTGGTCAGGCTGGTCTTGAACTCCTGACCTCAAGTGATCTGCCCGCTTTGGCCTCCCAAAGTGCTGGGATTACAGGTGTGAGCCACTGCACCCAGCCTCTAGAGGCGATTTCTAGAGACTCTGGCGTGGGAGGCTTTGTCTTCTGGGCCATTGTCTTCCATCTTCCTCCTCAGCCAGGCTAGTAGATTTGGGCCAACCAGACAGAGTAGGAGGTAAAAGCAGAGAGAACAGAAGGATTCAGGAAGGAACTCGATGCCCAACTCCACCACGGGCTGTGGCCTGGGCAAGAGGCTCCTCCTAGGCCTCGCAGGCCTGAAGCCATTTCCTGGCTGTCTCCATGTTTGCACAGGGGACGGTGCAGAGCTGAGGAAAGTTAAATATAGTCTAGCGTCCCCGCTGAACGGCTCCCTGCATCGGTGCCCGAGAGTGCCACCTTGTGGTCCACTCCTGGCTCCTCTGCGGAATAAAAACCATCTCGAGGGAAGGACGAGATCAAGATGGCCGCCTCAGGAAGCACTTGGGGTTGAGTGAGAGAGAGAGAGCGAGAGAGAGAGAGAGGAGGGAGTGTTTGCACGTGGCTTTCCTCTCAGCGCTGGCCGCTGCCCCATTCCTCCTGGTTGCTAACTCACCACCAAAATGGCTTCCGCAGAAAACTCCAGCAAGGGCCTGAAGTCTGGCCTGGGCCTAAACCCACGCCTTCCAGGCAGCCACTCACCAGGTCAGCCAGGCTGCAAAACTCTTCCAGCCTGAGGAGCATGCCCTCGATGGTCTCCTCCACCTCCTTCGCCTGAAAAAGAGACGATATCCTGGAGATTAGCAAGTGGTTTCCAGGGAGACAAACACCCTTCATTTTTTTTTTTTTTTTAAAGCAAACTAAGTCTTAGGATTATGTGCCCGGTTCCTGCTCGACCCCCTTCCACTGCCTCCTTTGAAAGAGCAATAAACAGGCAGCAGTCCTGGCGCCCATCACGGAGGACTGGTTAAAGCCACCACGGCCTCTCCATTCTATGCAGCTTTCAAAAGAGACAAGATCAACAAATACAGGAAATAACAAAGCTACCCGTATCCTCCACGTTGTACAGATGAGGACACGGAGGCTCAGAGAGGTGGGGTAACCTGCTCAAGATCACACAGTTAACAAACAGCGGGGCAAGGATCCTAATCCAGATGGAGTCCACAACCTCACAGCCTGCTCTAATAAACACAGTGGCCCCGGTGATACCCCGGAGAGGAAAAGCAAGCTGCAGACGGTGTCAGATACAAACCATACCAAAAAAAATGTGTGAGGCGGGCGGATCACCTGAGGTCAGGAGTTTGAGACCAGCCTGACCAACATGG
Source organism: Homo sapiens (assembly GCF_000001405.40). NCBI lineage: Eukaryota > Metazoa > Chordata > Mammalia > Primates > Hominidae > Homo > Homo sapiens. Next base: position 50,817,659 of record NC_000020.11, on the reverse strand, counting down.
CAGAACCCCGTCTCTACTCAAAATACAAAAATTAGCCGGGCATGGTGGCGTGTGCCTGTAGTCACAGCTACTCCGAGGCTGAGGCAGGAGAATCGCTTGAACCTAGGAGGCGGAGGCTGCAGTGAGCCAAGATTGCACCACTGCACTCTAGCCTGGGCAACAGAGCGAGACTCCGTCTCAAAAAAAAGTACATGTCTTCACAGAGAAAGGCCTGGAATGATATGTGCCAGACTGCTAATAGTTAAGAGATGTGCTTATACTTAAAAAATTTGTTGTTTATCTGAAATTCAAATTCAACCGGGCATCCCATAGTTTCTTTGGAAACCCTATTAACAGGGCTTACTTAGCCCTGGGCAGGAGGAGTTGGGAAAGGGACTCTGACAAGGGAAACTTGAATTTTTTATGTTATGTAAAGGGTCCATGGCCGGGAGCAGTGGCTTATGCCTGTAATCCCAACATTTTGGGAGGCCGAGGCAGGAAGATCACTTAAGTCCAGGAATTCGAGACCAGTCTGGGCAACATGGTGAGACTCCATCCCTTTAAAAAAAAAAAAAAATTAGCCCAGGTGCACTGGCTCACGCCTGTAATCCCAGCACTTTGGGAGGCTGAGGCGGGCAGATCACGAGGTCAGGAGATCGACACCATTCTGGACAATGTGGTGACCCCATCTCTACTAAAAATACAAAAATTAGCCGGGTGTGGTGGCACACACCTGTAGTCCCAGCTACTCAGTAGGCTGAGGCAAGAGAATCGCTTGAACCCGGGAGGCGGAGGCTGCAGTGAGCCAAGGTCACACCACTGCACTCCAGCCTGGGCGACAGAGCGAGATTCCGTCTCAAAAAAAAAAAAAAAAAAAAAAAAAAAAAAATTAGCCAGGCATGGTGGTGCATGTCTGTAGTCCCAGCTACCCAGGAGGCTGAGGCTGCAGTAAGCAGTGATCGCACCACTGCACTCCAGGCTGGGCGACAGAGTGAGAACTTGTCTTTAAAAAAAGAAGAAGAAATAAAACCCAGTCATCAGGCTGGACATTAACATAAATGAGTGAAACAGGCCATCAGGCTTGTGATCTGAGAGGTGCTCATCCAGTCCTCCAGCTGCTGGCCACTAGCTGCCATCAGGAAATGCAGGCCCGGAGCTGCCAGATCTTTCCATTTTCCAAGAGAAGCCAGAAATCCTAATTTGATAGGAAATGCCCCAATGTTTAAACATTGGAACACATTTAAAAAACCCTTTAATGCTTCACAAATTAAGCCAATAACGAACGTGCAGAGGGCCTGCCAGTGTACAACTGCTTCATGCACTTGTGTAAAAATTAGGGAAATAATTAGCGGTTTGGCCAGGCGTAGTGGCTCACGCCTGTAATCCCAACACTTTGGGAGGCCAAGGTGGGCAGATCACCTGAGGTCAGGAGTTCGAGACCAGCCTGACCAACATGGCGAAACCCCGTCTCTACTAAAAATACAAAATTTAACCAGACGTGGTGGCACGCGTCTGTAGTCCCAGCTACTCAGGAGGCTGAGGCAGGAGGACTGCTTGAACCCAGAAGGAGGAGGTTGCGGTGAGCCAAGATTGTGCCACTGTACTCCAGCCTGGGAGACAGAGCAAGATCTGTCTTCAAAAACAAAAAAGAAAAATTAGGTTTTTTTTCCCCCTCAAGTTATCTACTACTTTTATGACTTCTAAAATACCAGTTTCTGTTGTTATTTTTGTAATGGCCAGCATTCAGGAAGAAAGTTCGCCAAGCACATGATCTGCTTTCCCTACCAGGCCACACCGTCCTGCTCCAGGGAGGCGTGCTCAGAGTTTCTGGGCAGGCCTAGTCCCTGCCCCCTGCACCTGAAGGCTCCCTCACCACCCACTTGTCCCCAGAGAACTGTTTATACAGCACCAGTTCCTGCTGCTTCCAGCATGAGCCATCTCCACCACAACAAAATAAACGACTGCACAAAAAAACATCTTTCAGGCTGGAGTATAAATAGTACCAAGTTGCAATTTTAAACTCTGCAACCTTCATCTCACAGCTGGGACTATTTCTGTGCCTCAGTCGGGGAGAGGGGAGAGAAGACGGGGAAAAAGAAAGATCATTCCCCCACCCAACCCCAAAATTAAATTACAATGAGAAAATGTCATTATCGCACTAAGGGAGAAAGGATGGAGCCAAGAGGTCACTGTGGTTAGAGGAGAAGATTGGTTGTTCTTTCTGGTCCAGGGGAAAGAAAGAGAAAGAGAAAGAGAGGAGTGGGGCACAGCGGGTGATGGAGAGATCCTGGGAGTGCAGGTGCACACAACGCAGACACGGGTCCAGACATGCTTAAGAACACACAACCTGCATGGGAGGCCACGGAAGCCCATGCCCCAGCGGGGTGGGATGCCTCCTTCCCAAGATGTTTCTGCAGCACTGTGCTTGTAGGAAGTGCATTGCAACCCATCCTGGCCTGCTCAGGAAGGGCACGGCGTGGTCACGGCACTTCTGGGTTCACCTTACCCTCTGCCAGCCATGCAGCTGGAACCCAATGGCTTAACCTCTGCATTTCACTGCCACTGGATCCCCTGTGACAGGAACCATCAGGCCCGTTTGGCAGAATGGTCAGGAGGTTAACCTGACATCATAGATGTGGCTAACTGATTTAACAGAGTGCTGACACACAATAGGTGCGTGATAAGGGGTTGCATTCCATAGCTCGCTTTCTCTCTTTTTTTGTATTTTAATTTTTGCAGAGACAGGGGTCTCACTATGTTGCCCAGGCTGGTCTCAAGCTCCTGGCCTCATGCAATCCTCCTGCCTCAGCCTCCCAAAGTGCTGATATTATAGGCATGAGCCACTGCACCCACCCAATCTCTTTCGCCATAGAATAAAAACAAGGGCTAGTCACTGTATTTGAATTACCTCATTTACTTCTCACAAGAACCCTATGCAGTAGGTGCTACTATTTCCCTCTTTTTACGGATTGAGAAACAGAGGATCAGAGAGGTTAAGTCCCTTGCCCAAGCTCACACAGCTAATAAATATTGAAGCCAGAATTCGACCCTGAGCACTCTAACTCCAGAGCTAGAATGTGTAACAAGATGTTCTTTGGGGCTGGGTAGAGCGGCTCATGCCTGTAATCCCAACGCTGGGAGGCTGAGGCCAGAGGATCGCTTGAGCCCAGGAGTTCCAGTTTAGCCTGGGCAACAGTGGGAAAGTTTGTCTCTATAAAAAGAAAACTAACTGGGCATGGTGGTGCACACCTGTGTGGTCTCAGCTACTTGAGAGGCTGAGGTTGGGAGGGTCACTTGGGCCCAGGAGGTTGAGGCTACAGTGAGCTGTGATGTACCACTGCCCTCCTGGGTGACAGAGTGAGATTGTCTCAAAACAAAAACAAGATGCTCTTGGGGGAAGTTAGAAATGTGTCCCCTTTGTTGCTGCTTGTCAGCTATGGTCAGTCCCCCACCTCACCCCCTGGTATCTAGGGAGGTTCCCAAAAGCAGGAAGGATCAAAGCGAGAGTTTGCTGACTGTCTGGTCAGCAAAGGGAGAAACAAGCCCAAGACATTCCCGACCAACAGGAAGGCGCTCAGGATAAGCCAGCCCACCATGCCCACAAATCATCCATGGGCAATTTTCTCTCAAGATTATCCCCTAAGTGGCCTCAGAAATGAGAGTCCCGCAGGCTGCAGCCCACGTGCCTTTTTAACCAGCCTGTGAGCAGATGAATGCCCTCGCTGTTCTTCGCAACCCCCTGGGCATAAACTGCTCCACTCAGAGGGGAAGGAGGCGAGAGGCTCACTTTAAGTGACATTCAAGGAAGGACCAGTGGAGATGGTGAGTGGGTTTTTTTTTTTTAAACAAACACCTGCGAATCATGGTTTTCACTTTTTTTTCCCACATCCCCGCTTCTCACAAAGTGGCAGTGCAAGCTTCCCAGCTGGGAATGCCCAAACATTGAAGAGGGGCTGGCCCTGCTCACCAAGGGGCTGGCACAAAAAAAAAAAAAAAAAAAAAAAAAGGTCCTCCACCCATGATCTTCTCTAATTCAACAAATGGAAACTCCATCATCCTCTCGTTCAGGCCAAATACTTCGGAGCACCCTTGACTCTTCTCTCCCACCTTCCACCCCATCCAATGTGCCAGCAAATCTTCTCATTTCTACCTTCAAAATGTCTCTACCCAAATCCAACTACTTCACTCTCTCTCCCATACAACCAAGCACCATGGCGCAAGTCACCGTCGTCTCTTGCTAGGACTCTTGCAGTAGCCTGCTCGCTGGTCCCAGCTTCCTGTTCTTACTGCCCTTCAATCTACTCTGTGCAGTCCTGTTAAGACAAAAGCTCTCCCCACCCCAAATCCTCCACTGTACCACTTTGCACTCACAGGGATGGCTGCAATCACAAAAATGGAAAATGATGAGGGCTGGCGAGGATGTGGAGGAATTGGAAGCCTCACGCACTGCTGGTGGGAAGGGTACAATTGTGCAGCTGCTCTGAAAACCAGTCCAGCATCTCCTCAAAAGGAACACAGAGTCAACTTATGGCCAAGCAATATACCCGAAAGAAATGAAAACAGACCAGGCACAGTGGCGCACACATTTAGTCCCAGCACTTTGGGAGGCTGAGGCAGGCAGATCACTTAAGCCCAGGAGTTCAAGGCCATCCTGGGCAACATAGTGAGACACCGTCTCTACAAAAAAAAATACAAAAATTAGCCGGACATGGTGGCATGTGCCTGTATTCCCAGCTACTTAGGAGGCTGGGGTGGGAAAAGCACTTGAGCCCAGAAGATCAAGGCTGCTGTGAGCCATCATGGCGCCACTGCACTCCAGCCTGGATGACAAAGCAAGACCCTGTCTCAAAAAAATAAAAAATAAAAATAAATAAAAAAGAAATGAAAAATATGCTCTCACAAAAACTTGCACAATATTCATTACAGTCAAAAAGTTGAAAAGCCTGGGTGTGGTGGCTCACGCCTGTAATCCCAACACTTTGGGAGGCCGAGGCAGGCAGGTCACTTGAGGTCAGGAGTTCGAGACCAGCCTGGCCAAGATGGTGAAACCCCCTCTCTACTAAAACTACAAAAATGAGCTGGACGTAGTGGCACAAGCCTGTAGTCTCAGCTACTTGGGTGGCTGAGGCACGAGAATTGCTTGGGGAATCCAGGAGGTGGAGTTTGCAGTGAGCTAAGATCGCTCCACTGCACTCCAGCCTGGGCGAGAGAGCAAGACTCTATCTCAATTTAAAAAAAAAAAAAAAAGGCCAGACGCAGTAGCTCACGCCTGTAATCCCAGTACTTTGGGAGGCCAAGGGGGGGCGGATCACAACGTCAGGAGATCGAGACCATCCTGGCTAACACGGTGAAACCCCGTCTCTACTAAAAAATACAAAAAATTAGCCGGGCGTGGTAGTGGGCGCCTGTAGTCCCAGCTACTCGGGAGGCTGAGGCAGGAGAATGGCGTGAACCCAGGAAGCAGAGCTTGCAGCGAGCCAAGATTGTGCCACTGCACTCCAGCCTGGGCAACAGAGTGAGATTCCATCTCAAAAAAAATAAATAAATAAAAAGTAGACACGACCCAATATCCATTAAGTGATGAATGAACAAATAAAATGTGATGTATCCCTACAATAGAGTATCATTTGTCCATAAAAAGTAATGGAGCACCAGCACACACTACAACATGGATGATCCTTGAAAACATGATGCTAAGTGAGAGAAGCCAGGCACAAAAGGTCACGCATGACATGATTCCACTTACAAGAAATGTCCAGGCTGGGCACAGTGGCTCATGCCTGTAATCCCAACATTTTAGGAGGCTGAGGCAGGCAGATCACTTGAGGTCAGGAGTTTGAGATCAGCCTGGCCAACATGGCAAAACCCCATCTTTACTAAAACTACAAAAGTTAGCCAGGCCTGGTGGCATGAGCCTGTAGTCCCAACTACTCGGGAGGCTGAGGCATGAGAATCGCTTGAACTCTGGAGCTGGAGGTTGCAGTAAGCCAAGATCGTGCCACTGCACTCCAGCCTCGGCGAGAGAACGAGACTCCATCTCAAAAGAAAAGGAAGGGAGGGAGGAAACGTCCAGAGATCGGCAAATCCACAGAGACAGAAAGAAATAGATTCGTGATTGCCCCTCTGCATGGAGTGGCAGGGAGAGGAGGGAATAACTGCTAATGGTGATGGGGTTTCTTTTTTGGGTCATAGAAATGTTCTGCAATTAGGTCACGGTGATGTCTGCACAACACAGTAAATATACTAAAAGCCAACAAACTATATACTTTAAAATCATACATTTATACATGAATTATATACCAATTTTTTTTTCTTAGAGACAGGGTCTCACTCTGTCATCCAGGCTAGAGTGCAGTGGTGGGACCATAGCTCACTGCAGCCTCCAACTCCTGGGCCTCAGGGATCCTCCCGCCTCAGCCTCTTGAGTAGCTGGGACTACAGATGGGCACCACCATGCCTGGCTTCTATTTTTTGAGTCCTCCCTCATCTTCTACCTGCTCAGAAAACACCTAATGGGGGCCTCCCCAGCCCTACTCCATCTGGAGCCTCCACCTCCCCCTGATCTCACTGCCTGTTGCTCGTCCCCACCCACAGCCTCACCGCAGGGCCTTTGCACCTGCTGTTCCCTTTACTGGTGAAAGTTGTCTCTCACTTCCTTCTAGCTTTTGCTCAAATATTTCTTCCAGGTGAGGCTTTCCCTGACCCTATAGCTCCCCTACTCCCGGTCCTCCTGCCCCAATTTACTTTTCCCTTTAGCATTTATCACCATCTAACATAACTATTTTTTTCATGGCCGGGCATGGTGGCTCACACCTGTAATCCCAGCACTTTGAGGGGCCGAGGCGGACAGATCACAAAGTCAGGAGATCGAGACCATCCTGGCCAACATGGTGAAACCCCGTCTCTACTAAAAATACAAAAAATTAGCCGGGCGTTGTTGCGGGCGGCTGTAGTCCCAGCTACTCGGGAGGCTGCGCCAGGAAAACGGCGTGAACCCAGGAAGCGGAGCTTGCAGTGAGCCGAGATCGCGCCACTGCACTCCAGCCTGGGCGACAGAGCGAGACGACTCCGTCTCAAAAAAAAAAAAAAAACACAAAAAAAATAACATACTATTTTTCTCAACTTGTTTCCTGTCATCTTCCCCACCAGAATGAAACCTCCGGAGGACACAGGTTTTTGTCTCTTTTATTTGTCTTTCAATTCCCAGAGCCTAGAACAAAGTCTGGCAACTAATAGGTACTTGTGTTTCAAAGTTGGCCTTCCAACTCCCTCTCATCCCACAAATGCTTTTGCAAAAGGACCTTGCAGCAACTCCGGTGAAGAGGTGGGATCCAATTCTTCCCACTCCCGAATCTAGGCTGGCCTGTGACTTGCTTAGACCAATAGGATGTGATGGGAGCAAGGCTCTGTGACTCCCAGGTCTAGGCCTCGAGAGACCTCAAAGCTTCTGATTCACCCTCCGGGAAGCCAGAAGCCACATAAGGAAGTTCAGGCAGTATCACAGGGCAACTAGATTCAATAATAACTTAATTGTACATTTTAAAATAACTTAGAGGTCCTAGCCAGAGCAATCAGACAAGAGAAAGAAATAAAGGGCATCCAAACCAGTAAAGGGGAAGTAAAATTTGCTGTTTGCTGATGACATGATCGTATACCTAGAAAACCCTACAGACTCCTCCAAAAAGCTCCTACAACTGGTAAATGAATTCAGCAAAGTTTCAGGATATAAAAACCAATGTACACAAATCAGTAGACTGCTATACACCAACTGCAACCAAGCTGAGAATCAAATCAAGAACTCAACTTCTTTTGCAACAGCTGCAAAAAATAAAATATTTAGGAATATACCTAACCCAGGAGGTGAAAGACTTCTACAAAGAAAACTACAAAACACTGATGAAACAAACCACTGACGACACAAACAAATGGAAACATATCCCATGCTCATGGATGGGTAGAATCAATATTGTGAAAATGACCATACTGCCAAAAGCAATCTACAAATTCAATGTAATTCCCATCAAAATACCACCATCGTTCTTCATGGAACTAGAAAAAAAAATCCTAAAATTCATATGGAACCAAAAAAGAGCCCTCACAGCCAAAGCAAAACTAAGCAAAAAGAACAAATCTGGAGGCATCACATTACCTGATTTCAAAATATACTATAAAGGCTGGGTGCGGTGGCTCACACCTGTAATCCCAGCACTTTGGGAGGCCGAGGCGGGTGGATCGCTTGAGATCAGGAGTTCAAGACTAACCTGGCCAACATGGTGAAACCACGTCTCTACTAAAATACAAAAATCAGCCAGCCGTGGTAGTGCATGCCTGTAATCCCAGCTATTGGGGACACTGAGGCAGGAGAATTGCTTGAACCCAGGAGGTTGATGTTGCAGTGAGCTGAGATTGCGCCATTGCACTCCAGCCTGAGCAACAAGAGTGAAACTCTGTCTCAAAAAATTAAAAAAAAAAAATTAAAAAAATAGGCACATAGACCAATGGAACAGAACAGAGACCCAGAAATAAACCCAAATACTTACAGCCAACTGATCTTTGACAAAGTAAACAAAAACCAGAAGTGGAGAAAGGACACCCTATTCAACAAATGCTGCTGGGATAATTGGCTAGCCACATGTAGAAGAATGAAACTGGATCCTCATCTCTCACCTTATACAAAAATCAACTCAAGATGCATCAAACACTTAAATCTAAGACCTGAAACCATAAAAATTCTAGAAGATAACATTGGAAAAACGCTTCTAGAGATTGGCTTAGGCAAAGACTTTATGACCAAGAACCCAAAAGCAAATGCAATAAAAACAAAGATAAATAGGTGGGACTTAAACTAAAAAGCTTCTGCACAGCAAAAGAAATAATCAGCAGAGTAAACAGACAACCCACAGAGTGGGAGAAAATCTTCACAATCTATGCATCTGACAAGGGATTAATATCCAGAATACTAAGCAAGAAAAAAAAAATCCCATCAAAAAGTGAGCAAAGGACATGAATAGACAGTTCTCAAAACAAGATATACAAGTGGCCAACAAACATATGAAAAACTGATCAACATCACTAATGATCAAGGAAATGCAAATCCAAACCACAATGCGATACCACCTTACTCCTGCAAGAATGGCTATAATCAAAAAATCAAAAAATAACAGATGTTGGCATGGATGTGATGAAAAGGAACACTTTTACACTGTTAGTGGGAATGTAAACACTTTTAGGCTGTTAGTGGGGATGTAAACTAGTACAATCACTACGGAAAACAGTGTGGAGATTCCTTAAAGAACTAAAAGTAGATCTACCATTTGATCCAGCAATCCCACTCCTGGGTATCTTGAAGTCATTATATGAAGAAGATACTTGCACATGCATGTTTACTGCAGCACAATTAGCAATTGCAAAAATATGGAACCAGCCCAAATGCCTATCAATCAACAAGTGGATAAAGAATATGTGGCACAGCCGGGCGCGGTGGCTCACGCCTGTAATCCCAGCACTTTGGGAGGCCAAGGCGGGCGGATCACGAGGTCAGGAGATCGAGACCATCCTGGCTAACATGGTGAAACCCCATCTCTATTAAAAAATACAAAAAAAAAATTAGCCGGGCATGGTGGCGGGCGCCTGTAATCCCAGCTACTCGGGAGGCTGAGGCAGGAGAATCGCGTGAACCCAGGAGGCGGAGCCTGCAGTGAGCCGAGATCACGCCACTGCACTCCAGCCTGGGTAAGAGAGCGAGACTCCCGTCTGAAGAAAAAAAAAAAAAAAAAAAGAATATGTGGCATATATACATATAGATACCATGGAATACAACTCAGCCATAAAAAGAAATGAAATAATGGCATTTGCAGCAGCCTGGATGGAAATGGAGACCATTACTCTAAGCGAAGTAACTCAGAAATGGAAAACCAAACATCGTATGTTCTCACTCGTAAGTGAGAGCTAAGCTATGAGGACGCAAAGGCATAAAAATAATACAATGGACTTTGGGGACTTAGGGGAAAGGGTGGGAGGTAGGTGAGGGGTAAAAGACTGCACATTGGGTGCCATGTACTCTATTTAGGTGATGAGTGCTGCGGCAAAATCTCAGAAATCACCACTCACTAAAGAACTTATTCATGTAACCAAACACCACCTGTTCCCCAAAAACCTATTAAAATTAAAAAATAAAATAACGTAAAGTCCAGGTGCAGTGGCCCATGCCTGTAATCCCAGCACTTTGGAAGGCTGAGGCAGGCAGATCACTTGAGGTCAGGAGTTCAAGACCAGCCTGGGCAACATGGTGAAACCCCATCTCTACAAAAAAGTACAAAAATTAGCTGGGCATGGTGGCACATGCCTGTAGTCCCAGCTACTTGGGAGGCTGGGGTGGGAGGATCGCTTGAGCCAGGAAGCGGAGGGTGCAGTGAGCAAAGATTCTGCCACTGCACTCCAGCCTAGGTGACAGAGTGAGGTCCTGTCTCAAAAAAAATAGAAAATAACGTAACTTAAAGAGTGTAATTGGGCTGGGTGTGGTGGCTCACGCCTGTAATCCCAGCACTTTTGGAGGCCGAGGCAGGCAGATCACCTGAGGCCAGGAGTTCAAGACCAGTCTGGCCAACATAGTGAAACCCCATCTCTACTAAAAATACAAAAATTAGCCGTGTGTGGTGGTGCACACCTGTAATCCCAGCTATTTGGGAGGCTGAGACACAAGAATTATTTGAACCCAGGAGGTGGAGGTTGCAGTGACCCAAGATCTTGCCACTGCACTCCAGCCTGGGCAACAGAGTGAGACTCGGTCTCAAAAAAAAAAAAAAAAAAAAAAAAAAAGTATAAATGGACTGTTTGTAACTCAAAGGACAAATGCTTGAGGGGATGGACAGCCCATTCTCCATGATGTGCTCATTTCACCTTGCATGCCTGTATCAAAACATCTCATGTACCCCCTGAATATATATACCTACTATATACCCCCAAAAATTAAAAAATAATAATAATAAAATTTAAGAAAAAAAGAAGTCCAGGCAACTCTTCTGTAGAGGCCAGTGAGCGAGGCTCTAGAGGTTGAGAGGCCACATGGAGGAGAACTGAGATGTCCCAGCCAATAGCCAGCACCAACTGCTAGACACATGGGCAAGGCCATACTGGACTGCCAGGGTGGCCAATCCTCCAGCTGAATGCAGTTCATGCATGAACCCTATGAAATGGCAGATGCTTGAAGTTGCTAAGGTTTGGGATAGTTTGCTATCCAGTGATTGGTAATCAATACAGTGCTCATGAATATTCACTGCAGAAAAGAAAGGAAGATGAAAGGGAGAAAGAGAGAGAAGGGAAGGGGAGGACGTGTACTGCCTGGAAGAGCTGTGGCCTGAGAACAGCAGCCTGGGCGGCGCCTTAGTCCCAGCCTTGCATTTTATGCTGTGTGGTCTCAACTGCACCTCTCACCATCTCTGTGCTTCTGACTCCCCATTTGAAAATTGTGAGAAAAACAATCCACAGACTCTGTCTCATGACAGAAGCTAAGGAAGTCTAGTAAGTCGCTTCTCTGGGTCACTCCCAGTGAGATGCCACCTCCATTTAAAAGGACCCTACTAGGCTCTCCAAACTCAAATGACACCGAAGCCATGCAGGTAATAAATACAAGAGAAGTGGGCTGTGCTGAATACTGCTTTCTGCAAACTGTTTATGTTCAGTTTCCCACTTTTTTTTTTTTTTTGAGATGGAGTCTCGCTCTGTCGCCCAGGCTGGAGTGCAATGGCGCAATCTCAACTCACTGCAATCACTGCCTCCCAGGTTCAAGCAATTTTCCTACCTCAGAGCCTCCTAAGTAGCTGGGACTACAAGAGCACACCACCACGCCTGGCTAAGTTTTGTATTTTTAGAAGAGACGAGGTTTTGCCATGTTGTCCAGGCTGGTCTTGAACTACTGACCTCAGGTGATCCACCCACCTCGGCCTCCCAAAGTGCTGGGATTACAGGCATGAACCACCGCTTTGGCCAGTTTCCGACTTTTGACAGAGAGATTTTACTTCTAAGAAAAACAGCAGTGCAGGTGGGGTCATAAAGAGCAGCTGATGTTCAGCCTCCAGGTCAGGGAGACAACAGGGAGGGGTGGAGACTGTAGCAAACAGGAGACCCCAGGCCCTATTTAAATGGGCTGGCTGCTACTGGGCCCCAGCTTGTGCCAGGTAGGGATATGCCAACCCTGCTTTGTTCAAGACAAATGGCAATCCAGATGTTTATGCAAATTCTCTCGATTTGAAAATGTTCAAAACTAGCCTGATAAGTTAAAAAACACTATGACAGCCAAATAAAACTGTCTGTGGGCTGAATGTGGCCTTCAAGTCTCTGGCCAATCTGTGTTTTTAAAACACAAACACACATGAAATACCAGAACAGGCAAATCTATAAAGATGGGAAGGAGATTCGTGGTGGGGGTTGGGGAATGACAGATAACGGGTGCAGTGTTTCCTTTTGGGGTCATAAAAATGTTCTAAAATTGGTTGTGGTTGATGGTTGTACAACTCTGTGAACATGCGAAAAGCCATTAAATTATACACTTTAAACAGGTGAATTATATGTATGCAAATCACATCTCAATAATGCTGCTTAAACAAATACACACACACACACACAAATACTGAAGAATCTTAGCATAGCAAGGTCCATTCAGCCCAGGCAGAAAATCATCCTCATCTCTATGCACAAGATGAAAGCGATGAAATGAAGGTTGAAAGATCCCGGAAGCCAGGGAGCAAATGAGGTGATTCTCTGAGTAGCGTTAGGTTTGAACTGCAAACCAGGAAGGAGTTGGCAGGTTAAACAACGACCCACTGCCCAGAGAAGAAACTCGGGAACTCGTTCCTCTCAGGTCCCCAAAGCAACACAGAGTTCCCATCCTGGTCCCAAAAGGATGCTTGATCTTGAAGTTTGAGTGTCCAGAAGGGGCTGACTACTCTGCTCTAAAATCATGCAGACCCTGACTTCCAGGAAGGTTAATTTGGCAACAGTAACGAACATTTAAAATGCATGTGCTGTCTATGGCCATACTGCCCTAAACGCACTCAATCTTGTCTAAAATGCATGTGTCCTCAGACACAGTAATACACCTCCTAGGTATTTATCCTACATATTTGCATAAATGCAAAATGATGTATGTGCAGAGATATTTATTGCAGGACACTCTGTGACAGCAAAAAATTCCACATAACTTAAATATCTGTCAACAGAGGAATGGTTACCTAAAGTGTCATTCAGACAAACAATGAAATTCTGTCTAACTGCTGAAAATAATCAGGTAGCTCCTGTGCATTCATATAAAAAGGTCTCCAAAACATGAGTGAAAAAAGCATGAGGCCGGGTGCAGTGGCTCATACCTATAATCCCAGCACTTTGGGAGGCCCAGGCGGGCAGATCACTGGAGGTCAGGAGTTCGAGATCAGCCTGGCCAACATGGTGAAACCCCGCCTCTACTGAAAATACAAAAATTAGCCAGGTATGGTGGCAGGCGCCTGTAATCCCAGCTATTTGGGAGGCTGAAGCAGGAGAATCGCTTGAACCCGGGAGGCAGAGGTTGCAGTGAGCTGAGATCGCGCCATTATACTCCAGCCTGGACAACAAGAGCGAAACTCCATCTCAAAAAAAAGAAATCCAGATCCCCAGGCCCACACGCTCTGCTTCATGGGATCCTCCCTAAAATTCATTTTCTACCAGCCCCCAGAGTGATTTTCCAACAGACCAATCAGACCAGGTCACTTCCAGGCTTAAAATCCTCCTGGAGAGCTTTTATAATTCCAATGGCCAGGCTGCACCCACATGAATTAAATCAGAATACTCAGGGATGGGGGCAAGCAATCAGTATTTTTCTCTCTCTTTTTTTTTTTTTTTTTTTGGGAGTCTAGTCTCACTGTCTCATTTTGTCCCCAAGGCTGAAGTACAGTGGTGCGATCACAGCTCAGAAGCTGGGACTACAGGTGTGTGCCACCACACCTGGCTAATTTATTATTTTATTTTGTAGAGACATGGTCTTGCTATATTGCCCAAGCTGGTCTTGATCTCCTGAGCTTAAGCAATCCTCTCGCTTCAGCCTCCCAAAGTGCTGGGATTGAAGGCATGAGATACTGCATCTGACCCCAGCTAGTATTTTTTAAAGATCCTCAAATTATGCCAAAGTTTGTAAAGTTTGAGAACTATAATCTATATTAGTGCTCCCAACCATGCCTATACCCCACCCCACCCGAGAAACTGATTTAATTGAATCTCCTGTTTATAGATGCATGAAAATACATATTTTTGCCTTCTGTTTTTATTTACAGAAAACGGCAGCACACACACATGCCCCTTGCACCTCTCACTCAGCACTCTGTGCTGAACGCTGCTGTGCATGGGCAAAAGCAGCGCTGACTCCCGCTGCAGCCGCTACTGCTCCACTCATCAGAAGAATCGCTATGGCACTGGCCCGCACTGATGGGCACTGGGCTATTTCTAATCTTTGGGAACGTGTTTTGTTTTTGAGACAGAATCTTGCTCTGTGGCCCAGGCTGGAGTGCAGTGGCGCGATCTTGGCTCACTGCAACCTCCACATTCCGGGTTCGAGCGATTCTCATGCCCCAGCCTCCCGAGTAGCTGGGACTGTAGGTGCATACCGCCACAGCTGGCTAATTTTTGTATTTTTTGTAGAGACTGGGTTTTGCCATGTTGGCCAGGCTGGTTTCAAACTCCTGGCCTCAAGTGATTGCCTGCCTCAGCCTCCCAAAGTGTTGGGATTACAGGCATGAGCCACCATGGCCAGCCAACGTGTTTTGTTTTGTTTGTTTTTTGAGATGGAGTCTGGCTCTGTCACCCAGGCTGGAGTGCAGTGGCACAATCTCGGCTCACCACAAACTCTGCCTCCCGGGTTCAAATGATTCTCCTGCCTCAGCCTCCCAAGTAGCTGGGATTACAGGTGCCCACCACCATGCCCAGCTAATTTTTGTATTTTTTTAGTAGACATGGGGTTTCACCATGTTGGCCAGGCTGGTCTGGAACTCCTAACCTCAAGTGATCCACCTGCCTCGGCTTCCCAAAGTGCTGGGATTACAGGCGTGGGCCAACATGCCTGGCCTAACGTGTTTGTTTTAAGGCCTCTGTGTGACGCTGAAGCTGGGCCGGATGGGAGACCTTCATCCAAGGCTCTAGGCAGACCCTCACCTAAAGCAAGGCCATGTCCTGTGAGGAGAGGCTGCCAGAGCCCTGAGGAAGGCTCCCCCCACTCCTGGGCAGGTTTTGTGGGTAGAAAGTCAGGCACATCTGAGAAAAGCTGCCTCTCCCAGCACCTGCCTTGCCCCTGGCTCCTCATGCCCCGGAAGGTTCTGATGCAGGGAGGCGGCCAGCTCAGTCCTTGTCCACCTGGATGGCGCAGCATCCGTCTCTGGTCTCCCTGCTGCCACTGCGGTCCCCCCAGTACATTCTAACACCGCAGCCACGTGGCCATGAATCTTTTCATTTATTATTTTTGAGACAGGGTCTTGCTCTGTCACCCAGGCTAGAGTGTAGTGGCACTCATAGCTCACTGCAACCTCAAACTTCTGCACTCAAGCGATCCTCTTACCTCAGCCTCCCAAACTGCTGGGACTACAGGCATGAGCTACCACACCTAGTACAAGTCGATAAATCAGAACCTGTCCTTCATGCATGACCCTAGAACAGAATTCAGACTCCCCCCCTGGGGACCCAGGCCCTGGTGTGGCCCTGTCTACCTCCCCCCACACCCCTGTGGTCACTGAGGTCCCTCCACTCAGGCACCTCCCGGTCCCTCATCTTTCCCCTGTGGCCGGGCATCTGCTGTCAGATCTTTGCCCTCCGGTCCTTCCCATCCTCCTTCCCCTCAGTCCCTATCACCCCTCAGGTGTCTCCTGTGTGGCATTTATCAGCATTTAGTCACTCTGTTTGTCACTAGTCTGCTTAGCTTCCTCCCCACCTGCAACACCAGGTACCATGCCTGTCTTGCTGGTCTCGCCCAGTGCCTACAGCAGAATGGCACAATGCAGGTTTGCCATACAATTTAAGGAAGAGGCCAGGTGCGGTGGCTCATGCCTGTAATTCCAACACTTTGGGAGGCTGAGGTGGGCAGATTGCTTGAGCCCAGGAATTCGAGACCAGCCTGGGCAACATAGCAAGACCCCATCTCAAAACAAAATTTAAGGAATAAATATTGGAACTACATCTTTGAGACAGTAGACCATACCCTGGAGTCCCCCTAAGAGACTTTTTTGTTTTTTGTTTTTGAGACAGAGTCTCACTCTTGTCACCCAGGCTGGAGTGCAGTGGCACAATCTCGGCCTCACTGCAACTTCCACCTCCCGGGTTCAAGCAATTCTCCTGCCTCAGCCACACAACTACCTGGGATTACAGGCACCTGCCACTACGCACAACTAATTTTGTATTTTTAGTAGAGACAGGGTTTCACCATGTTGGCCATCCTGGTCTCGAACTCCTGCCCTCAAATGATCCACCCGCCTCGGCCTCCCAAAGTGCTAGAATTACAGGCATGAGCCATGGCGCCCGGCCCCCCATCACAGACTTCTAATCCAGCATCCCAAACTTGAATGCCCAAAGGGGACCAGCAGGTCACAAAAGGATGCGACATGTTAGGAAGTTTCCCACAGGTGTGCCGTGTTTGCAAGTTGGATGTAACATTCTTAGCTTCTGCAAAGAAAACTCCTCTCCCACATTTTTCTTGAAACTCAAGGCCATCTTTGGCTAATTTACATTTTTCTACTTTTGTCCAGGTACAGAGTTTGGAGAAATATTTCTCTTTTCTCTCATCCTGACTATAGAAAAATCAAAAGTTCGCCAGGCGCGGTGGCTCATGCCTATAATCCTAACACTTTGGGAGGCCGAGGCAGGTGGATCACCTGAGGTCACAGGTTCGAGAGCAGCCTGGCCAACATGGCGAAACTCTGTCTCTACTAAAACTACAAAAATTAGCCGGGCGTGGTAGTGCATACCTGTAATCCTAGCTACTTGGGAGGCTGAGGCAGGAGAATCGCTTGAACCCAGGAGGCGGAGGTTGCAGTGAGCTGAGTTTGCGCCACTGCACTCCAGCCTGGGTGACAAGAACAAGGCTGTCTCAAAAAAAAAAAAAAAAAAAAAGGGATGTTCAAACCAGAAAGAGGGGTGGCAGGGAACTAGTTGAACAGAAAACCCGAGGCCCTGGAAACAGTAACTCACCTGCCAACCCAGCTCAAGGCACCGCCCCTCAGCAGCTCCTCCATCTGGGGAAAGCAGTGTGAAGTCCAGGCAGAGCTTGTGCCCCTTCACTTGCCCCATCTCCTGCTGCTCCCCCTCCCACCAGCTGCTCTTCTCTCCATCCCCCAAAAACCCCCTGCTTCATCCCATCCCAGGGCTTTTGCAAGAACTGTTCTCTCTGCCTGGGATATTTTTCTCCTCAGCCAGCCAACTCCTACTCAGGCTCAGGGCTCATCCTAAGACAATGCTGCCTCAGGGAAGACCTCCATGACTGCACCCAGACAATAACCTTCTATTCACCCTCCTGAGTCTCTATGCACACACAGGTGCCCTATCTCACATCCGCCCATGTCTGTGCTTTGTAACATTCATTACAGTTTAGAGGTTTTGTTACGGTTTCATTTTGTTTTGTTTTTTGAGATAGGTCTCACTCTGTCGCCCAGGCTGGAGTGCAGTGATGCGATCTCAGCTCACTGCAACCTCCACCTCCCAGAGCCCAGGTGATCTTCCCATCTCGGCCTCTCTAGTAGCTGGGACCAGGGGCACATACCACCACGCCCAGCTAATTTTTGTAGAGACGGGATTTTGCCATGTTGCCCAGGCTGGTCTCGAACTCCTGGGTACAAAGGATCCGCCCACCTCAGCCTCCCAAAGTGCTAGGATTACAGGCGTGAGCCACTGTGTCTGGCCTTGTTATGTGTTTATTGTCTGGCAGTGCCACAGGGGAAGGGCCTCATGTGTCTCACTGCCTGTGGCGTCCCCAGCTCCAGGAAAGACTTGGCACATACCGAGGCTGAAGGTGCTGAATGAAGCAGGCCCCACTTCACAGGGAGGCCCAGGCCCCCTAAGGCCGGGGTTGGCTGGACTGAGATTTCTGCTGCTCCATGGAAGCGGCAAAAGTGCCCCCGGGAGACAGGCTGGTTGGGAGGAGGCTGCTGTCCAGGTCTGTTCGCAAACTAGGTTTTCCTTTTCCTGCTCATGTGCCCACCTGGAAACTGTTCCAGCTTGGGGATCTGGTAATGAATTAAGCTTTAAAAGTGGAGGCTGCATGTGACTCTGCTCTGGCGCAGTTTCTGTTTCTTTTGGTAAATAAACTTCAACAAGTGCTTTCAGTGGGTTATGGCTGCATGGAGCTACAGGGAGTTGGGGCTCTTTATTACAAATCCCTTACAAATGAGCATAAGCAAACCCGTGACTGAGTTAAAGACAGCCCTGAGTGAGAAAATGAAATGAATACACGCAGTTTCTCTTAAAGACTATTCCTAATAGAGACAAAATGAAGCTGGGGCTTAGCCACTGGGCACAATGACATGTCGCTGCTGAGAGTAAGGGAGAGAAGGAACAAGAAATGCACTCAGGATGCTAAAGGCAGTGAAAAGTCGCAGACAACCTAAATGTCTGTGCCTGAGTCCCTGGGACACTAGACCAAAGTATGCTTGGGGAGCGTGGAGCCTCCCCCAGGACCCTGCCTGGCAAAACGCACCAGCCCTGAACCATTTATGAATGATTCATAAATTACGGTCCATCCACATGAAGTCATTTATGCCATGAGAGCCTCTGTTTGCTGACCTATAAAATCAACATAACACCATCCCAGTCACCAGGTCACTGCCGTGACACAATGACATAAGCCATGAACACAGTTTAGCAAACTGGTGCCACACAGTATGTGCTCAGGAATGGGAGCAATTACTATTTCATCATGGGACACTAGGAAGGCAGAGGGTGACGGAGACCTAGGCTCTCCAACATGGCAGCCACGCGTCTCATGGGACTACTGAACACTTCAAATGTGCCCAGTCCAAGCTGAGATGGACTGAAAGTTCAGTATCAAAAGCCTGATTTTGAAAACTCAGGACAAAGAACAGAATGTAAAATTTCATTAACTTTGTACTAGTGATCATATGTTGAAATATTTTGGATATGCTTTTTATTTTTATTTTTTTATTAACTAGAGACGGGGGCCTCACTATGTTGCCCAGGCTGGTCTTGAACTCCTTGGGCTCAAGTGATCCTCCAGTCTTGGCCTCCCAAAGTACTGGGACCACAGGCGTAAGCCATTGCTCCTGGCCCAGATATACTGTTATTTTAAATATATTGAAATTAATTTCACCTGTTTCTTTTCTTTTTTAATTCTTTTGGGTTTTTTTTGTTTGTTTGTTTGTTTTGAGACAGAGTCTCACTCTATTGCCCAGGCTGGAGTGCAGTGGCATGATCTCGGCTCACTGCAACCTCCACCTCCCAGGTTCAAGCGTTTCTTATGCCTCAGCCTCCCAAGTAGCTGGGATTACAGGCTCATGCCACCACATCTGGCTAATTTTTGTATGTTTAGTAGAGACAGGGTTCCACCATGTTGGCCAGGCTGGTCTCAAACTCCTGGCCTCAAGTGATCCGCCTGCCCTGGCCTCCCAAAATGCTGGAATTACAGGTATGAGCCATGGTGCCTGGCCACCTGTTTCTTTTTCATGTGGCTCCTAGAACACTAAAAATTGCGTAGGTGGCCACGCACAGTGGCTCACACCTGTAATCCCAGCACTTTGGGAGGCCGAGGCGGGCAGATCACCTGAGGCTAGGAGTTCGAGACCAGCCTGACCAACATGGAGGAACCCTGTCTCTACTAAAAATACAAAATTCGCTGGGCGTGGTGGCGCATGCCTGTAATCCCAGCTACTCGGGAGGCTGAGGCAGGAGAATCGTTTGAACCCAGGAGGTGGAGGTTGCGGTGAGCCGAGATCACACCATTGCACTCCAGCCTGGGCAACAAGAGTGAAACTCTGTCTCAAAAACAAAAAAAATTGCATAGGTAGCTCACATTTGTAGCTCCAATTATATTTCTATTGGACAGTGTTTATGGATACATGCTCATGTTATTTTTAATTTTTAAATTTTTGTTCGTGTTATTTTTAATTTTTTATATTTTAACATTTTTTTGTAGAGACAGGGGTTTCCCTGCGTTGCCCAGACTGGTCTTGAACTCCTGGTCTCAAGTGATCCTCCCACCTCAGCTTCCTAAGTCGCTGGAATTACAGGCATAAGCCACTGTACCCTGCCTCCATGCTATTTTTTTAAATTGAGATATAATTCACAAACCACAAAATTCACCCTTTCAAAGTGTACGATTCAGCAGTTTTCAGTATATTCACAAATTTGTGCAACCAACACAACTATCTAACATCCAGAACATGTTCATTACACCAAAACGAAGCCCCATACCTTCCCATTAGTAGTCCCCACACATTTTTCCATGCTATTTTGAGTAAAGAAAAGCAAGTTGCAGGACAGTATTACAGCAGCAAGTGAGGTTTCATTTAAAACTAATATAGATGGGCCAGGCATGGTGGTACATGCCTATAATCCCAGCACTTTGGGAGGCTGAGGCCAAAGGATCTCTTGGGCCCAGGAATTCAAGACCCGCCTGGGCAACATAGTGAGATCTCGTCTCCACAAAATAACTTTGTTTTAAAAGTTAACCTGACATGGTGGTGCGCACCTGTGGTCCTGGCTATGCGGGAGGCTGAGGTGGGAGGATCACTTGAGCCCAGGAGGTTGAGGCTACATTGAGCTATGATTGTGTCACTGCACTCCAGCCTGGGTGACAAAGTGAAACCCTGTCAAAAAAAAAAAAATTAAAAACGTCTGTTCAAAAATTATTTTAAAAATATGTGGAGATGGCTGGGCGCTGTGGCTTACGCCTGTAATCCCAACACTTTGGGAGGCCGAGGAGGGTGGATCACGAGGTCAAGAGATAGAGATCATCCTGGCCAACATGGTGAAACCCCGTCTCTACTGAAAAATACAAAAATTAGCTGAGCATGGTGGCACACGCCTGTAGTCCCAGCTACTCGGGAGGCTGAGGCAGGAGAATTCCTTGAACCTGGGAGGCGGAGGTTGCAGTGAGCTGAGATCATGCCAATGCACTCCAGCCTGGTGACAGAGCAAGACTCCATCTCAAAAAAAAAAAAAAAAAAAAAAAAAATATATATATATATATATATATATATATATATATATGGAGAAAAAGAAAAAGAAAAAAGAGAAAACTCATATATATGTATATATATATATATGGAAAGATATTTTATGGTTTTTTTTTTTGAGAGGGAGTTTTGCTCTTGTTGCCCAGGCTGGAATGCAATGGCTGATCTCAGCTCACTGCAGCCTCCGCCTCCCAGGTTCAAGCGATCCTCCTGCCTCAGCCTCCCAAGTAGCTGGGATTACACACCCGGCTAATTTTTGTATTTTTAGTAGAGACGGGGTTTCACCATGTTGGTCAGGCTGGTCTCGAGCTCCTGACCTCAGGTGATCCACCCGTCTCGGCCTCCCAGTAGTGCTGGGATTACAAGCGTGAGCCACCAGGCCTGGCGAGATAGATTTTTTTTTAAATGTCTCACTCTGTCGCCCAGGCTGGAGTGCAGTGGCATGATCAAGCCTCACTGCAGCCTCACTCTTCCCCGTCCCCTATCCCCATCCCAAGCAATCCTCCTGCCTCAGCCTCCCAGAATGCTGGGACCACTGGCATGAGCCAATACTCTGCCTAGGCAGATACAGATATCTACATTTGTAAATGCATTTTAAATGTCCGGAATGATTTATACCAAACAGTTAATGCTGGTTTTCTAAGAAAACTAGAATTGGGGTGGGAGAGAAAAGAGAAAGGGGTGCATAGCCTTTATGTTAAATACTCCTGTACTGCTTTTGTGGTTTAAAAAGAGAATGGGTTGAATTTCTGACCGTAAATAACTCCTAGTGAACTCAGACAAATAACTTTTTCACAACAGCGTCGACAGATGCCTCCAGCCGGAAGGTAGAGGGTCTCGTTTTAGATCTGCTTTTCACTTGGTGCTTTTAAAATAGAAAGCGCAGACAGAGGCGTGGTGTTTTCGCTCCGAGCTGCAGCAGCGCAGCGCGGCCCGCACAGCCGCAGCCTGAGGCGCCGCTCGGCCCGGGCACCGCTCGGAGGTAGCCGGGGCAGCAGAGGTCCCGGGGTCCGCCTCTCCCAGGGCCGGCCTGGCAAAGGGCGGCGCCTGAGGACCCGGCGGATGCTGGGGGACCCGGGTGGGGAGGGAAAGCGAGCCTGGGCCTCCGGGGCCCGGTGTCGCCCGGAGGAGCGAGCAGGGACGACCCGCTGCACATCTCTGCGTGGCGCCCCGCAGCCACCCTTCAGGAAGGGGGGAATCCCCGGGCCCCCCACTCCGGGAGCGAGAGGATGCTCCGGGGAAGCCGAGGGTCCGGAGCCCGGACCCCTAACCGCGAGAACCCTCTCCTCCAACTCCACAGCCCCGTCCCCTACCTCGGCCCCAGGCTCGGGGGTCAGGAAGAGCGCGAGCTCGCGCGCCCCGCTGCGCATGGGCTCCGGCTGATCAGCGTCCACGAGCAGCATCAGGAGGGCGACGGGGTCCGGCTGGCGGAGGCTGCCTGGGAGCCCGTGGTTGCGCCCGGGCCTCGGAGCCCCGCCCCCGGTCCGCTGCATGCCCCGCGGACCGCCTGGCGGAGGCGGGGCAGGTGCGCTCCCGGCGGTCGCGGCTCGCAGCTCCAGGAGCGCCGGGCCGAGCGGGCAGCGCCACCCAGTGGCGAGCGGCGCGCGCTGCGCCCGCCCCCGCAGCACCTGGGCATCAGTGCTTTGCAAACTCGCTTGCAGATGGCAGTCACCTGGAGCTCTTTTAGAATTTCCCAAGCCTGGACCACACCGTCTCTGGGTTAAGACCTGGGCATCAGGATCTTTTGATGTTTGTTAGGTGGTTCCAACCAGATTGTTGACCCAAAGCTAAATTTGAGAACTATTGGGGCAAGCCACCCCTCCCCATCGGAATCCCGGTAGAGTACAGGCTCCCGGCCCCGGACCCGGCCGTAAAATAGAATCCCCGGGAAGCTTTTAAAAGCCCGGAAGCCAGGCCTCGCACCAGGCCGATTAAGTTGGAATCCTTCGGAGTGGGGCTTGGGCATCGGTAGTTTCTAAAACTCCCCGGGTGATTCTAACGGGCGTCCGGGTTAGAGAGGCGCTAGCTTAGAGGAAGCCCAAAGCCGCCCGCCCCCCACCCGTTCCCATCCTACTAAAGCATCTAGTTTGCATCGGGCGGAGGGTCCTGGAATTTAGGGAAGGCCGAGTGTGACGGTCCTCGTCTTCCTCTTCGGTGCGGATTTTAAAATAAACTTCACCAGGAAACTATTGAGCGCACTACATTTCACAACCGCACCCACTCCCTCCATGCCCTCGGAGGCCGGCCTAGATAGACCCTTTACAAGCCTTGGGGCTGAAGAGAGCGAGGTGCGCCTCATCTCCCACCCCAACAGTGCTAATGAGGAAAGTACTAAAAGGCAAATAGGTATAAGACAAGTCTGAAGTTTTGATTTTTCGTTTGATGACTTATTTTTATTTTTAATTAATTAATTTTTTTTTTTTGGAGACGGAGTCTCGCTCTGTCGCCCAGGCTGGAGTGCAGTGGTGCGATTTCGGCTCACTGTAACTTCCACATTCCGGGTTCAAGCAATTCTCCCCCTCCCTCAGCCTCCCGAGTAGCTGGGATTACAGGCGCCTGTCACCACGCCCGACTAATTCTAATTTTTGTATTTTTTAGTAGAGACGGGGTTTCGCCATGTTGGCCAGGCTGCTCTCGAACTCCTGACCTCAGGTGAGCCACCTGCCTCGGCCTCCCAAAGTGCTAGGATTACAGGCGTGGGCCAGCGCCCCCTGCCTGCTGACTTTTCTTTAAATGTTAAATCGCCTCACAAAAAAAAAAAAAAAAAAAGGCTGAGCTGCTTGGGCAAACATAAGGAGACTCCATCTCTCTAAAAGAAAAAAAAAAATTAAAATTGCAGGATGTGGTGGGGCACAACTGTAGTCCTAGCTACTGGAGAGGCAGATGCAGGAGGATTGTTTGAGGCCAGGAGTTCAAGGCTACCGCGAGTTATGATCGCACCACTGCACTCCAGCCTGTGTGACACAGTGAAACTCTGTCTTTTGTTGTTGTTGTTGTTTTTTAAAAAGGAGGGGCTGGTATCAAGGGTGCAAATAAATATATAGGACGTCCCACACCTTCCTCTCCATTAAATCTGAATTTATATTGTAGTTGGCCACCCTAGGTAGGGGCCTAAACAACACATGTTTGACCTGCCTTTTGTGTAGTCCATCACTGCACAATTCCCACTTCCAAATCTGTCCACTGCTAATTTCTCCCTATCCAAATATCCAGGCCTTCAGGCCAGTCATTTTCTGGAAAATTCTTGGCAAAGACTTGGGCCTCAAGTGCTTAAGGGTTTTATAGGAACTCACTGAGCCCACACTCGGCCATTCGTCATTGTCATGATTTCCCTGATGCTCTGAGCCCTCCTCGCCATCCCCTGGGAGCCGGTCTCAGACCCTTGCCCTTGCCTGCTGGCTAGGCATCTCCCACAAAGAGCCCAGGACTGGCCTCAGATCACCAAATTGACCTGAGCACAGCAAACTTCTCCTGGTGGATAAATCTCAGAAACATAAAGCTAAGGAAGAAAAGTCGTGTTGCAGAAGGCTCTGTAGGGCACTGTGCCATTAGCACAGTTTTTAAAACACGCAGAACCACACTGTATATTGTTTATGGACACCGACAGATGGAGCAAAAGTACAAAGCTGTGCATGGGAACGACGTACCCCATGTTCCAAAAGTGGTTACTTTAGGGCGGGGGAGAAGAAACTGGAGAGGGGTATGGGAGGGAGGGATTTCTTTTTCTTTTCTTTCTTTCTTTCTTTTTTTTGTTTTTTGACAGAGTCTTGCTTTGTTGCCCAGGCTGGAGTGCAGTGGCACAATCTCGGCTCACTGCAAGCTCTGCCTCCCGGGTTCAAGCGATTCTCCTACCTCAGCCTCCCCAGTAGCTGGGATTACAGGAACAAGCACCACCAAGCCTGGCTAATTTTTGTATTTTTAGTAGAGACAGGGTTTCAACATGTTGGCCAGGCCAGTCTCCAATTCCTGGTTTCAAGTGACCCACCAGTCTCGGCCTCCCAAAGTGCTGGGATTACAGGAGTGAGGCACTGCACCCAGCCCAAGAGGGATTTAATATATATATATTTTTTGAGACAGAGTCTCGCTCTGTCGCCCAGGCTGGAGTGCAGTGGCACGATCTCAGCTCACTGCAACCTCTACCTTCCAGGTTCAAGTGATCCTCCTGCCTCAGCCTCCTAAGTAGCTGGGATTACAAGCACATGCCACTACGCCTAATATTTTTTTTTTTTTTGAGACGGAGTCTCTGTAGCCCGGGCTGGTGTGCAGTGGCGCAATCTCGGCTCACTGCAACCTCCTTCTCCAGGGTTCAAGTGATTCTCCTGCCTCAGCCTCCCAAGTAGCTGGAATTACAGGTGCCCACCACCACGCCTGGCTAATTTTTGCATTTTTAGTAGAGACGGGGTTTCACCATGTTGGCCAGGCCGGTCTCGAACTCCCGACCTCAGGTGATCTGCCCGCCTCAGCCTCCCAAAGTGCTGGGATTACAGGCATGAGCCACCGCACCCAGCTACGCCTGACTAATTTTTGTGTTTTTAGGAGAGACGGGGTTTTGCCATGTTGGCCAGGCTGGTCTTGAACTCCTGACGTCAGGTGTTCGGCTGAGAGGGATTTCAATATTCGGAATGTTTTATTTCTTCGGCTGATGTTTGTAGCAATACCAAAACTGTATGAATGTCTAAAATGACTCATTTAAAAAAAAAAAAAAAAAGCCAGGCTGGCATGGTGGCTCACGCCTGTAATCCCAGCACTTTGGGAGTGGGAGGCCGAGGCGGTCGGATCACATGAGGCCAGGAGTTTGAGGCCAGCCTGGCCAACAGGGCGAAACTCCTGTATCTACAAAATATACAAAAGTTAGACAGGAGTGGTGGCACACGCCTGTGGTCCCAGCTACTCGGGAGGCTGAGGTGAGAGGACCACTTGAGCCTAGAGGTCAAGGCTGCAGTAAGCCGAGATCATTCCACTGCACTGTAGCCTCGGTGACAGAGCCAGGCCCTGTCTCAAAAAAATAAAATAAAAAAAGAAAAAGGAAATTGCCCATATGAAAAAAAAAAAAAAAGCCTGGGATATTAGCTAAAAGTGCTGATTACCCAAATCCTCTTCCCTGGGGAAAGAGGAGGTCTGGGGAAGGGGTCTCTGTGTCCTTCACAAGTGTCCCAGCGATTCATACCCTGGGCCAGGTTGGCTGGTTGACAATCATTTTGTTTCTAGCCTTTTTTTCTGAATATGTGATTGTACCTTAGAAATATTTTGCTAAAAATATGGATGCCCAGAAGCCCACCCCAGACGTTCTGAATCAGGATCTTTGGTGAGAGGGGGCACTGGGCCTCCGCATTTAACAAGCTCTGCTTCGATTCTAATGCACACTGATGTCTGGGAATAACCCTATCCAGGGGCTCCGCCGCGCTGCCAGCCTTAGTCAGGGACCCCCATGGGAGGCCAAGTAAATGATTTTACACAAAGAGGACTGAGTTTTTAAACATCTCCCCAGCCTCTCAGGGTGCTGGGCTCCTGCCCGGGGGCCCTGCCCCTGCTGCTCCCTGCCCTAGGTCCGCAGCCCTTGGGGAGGCCCCGGACAGCCGCGAGCCTGAGGCCTGGAATGCAGCCCGCCCAGGCCGCACCCTGCCCAAACCAGTTTGAACCAGCTGCAGGGATGGAGCCGTGGCGCGTCCCCACGAGCTCCCTCTGGTGCCCAAGCCGGGCTCAGAGCTGCTGCTCCCGCCTCCTGCTCTGGAGGCCTCCTCGGGTGCAGACAGTGGCTCCATCCCAGCCTGGGGGGAGTGGGGGTGCCAGTGGTTGCCAGGCTCGAAGGCCCGTGGGAGCCGTAGCCCCCTGCTGGGTCCCAGGTCCCACACCCTTCTGCCCCCACGCCATCTGCTTCACCTCTAGCTACAAAATGACTGCCTGTCTGTGTCTTTTTAAAGTCAGTTCTCCCAGCGCAGGCCTCAGGCACACAAAGTTCTAGACCAGACAGTTCCCAAACGTGGCTGCATATTGAAAACTCCTGGGAAACTTCCAGAAAATACTGATGCTCAGACCCCACCCCCAGAGGCTGTGACTTAATTTATGGTGTGGGGTGTGGCCTTGGCTTTGAGAGTTTTAAAAGGTGCTCCTAGGTGGTTCCGATCGACAGTGTTTCAGCACTGGCATAGCTTTGTCTGGGACCCCGATCTCTAAAACCATATTCGTTGTTAATGTGTCCTGAGCCCTTACTATGTGCCAGGCACTGTTCTAAGCTCTTTGCATAGATG
The DNA here is from genome assembly GCF_000001405.40 of Homo sapiens. Classification (NCBI taxonomy): domain Eukaryota; kingdom Metazoa; phylum Chordata; class Mammalia; order Primates; family Hominidae; genus Homo; species Homo sapiens. Next base: position 50,790,238 of record NC_000020.11, on the reverse strand, counting down.
CCCTCACTGGATCCCCACCACACCCTGTGAGGCAAGTAGGTCCTGGGACAATCACCACTGTCTAAAGAACACGTGACAGGCGGTGGCTCACACCTGTAATCCCAACACTGTGGGAGGCTGAGGGGGAAGAATCGCTTGGGACCAGGAGTTTGAGACCAGCCTGGGCACCTCTCTCTGAAAAAATAAATAAAATGTGAAGTCGCTCTCCTACTTAGTGTGTTTCCCCACTAGTGAAATAATTTCAAGCACAACCCATCTACATAGAAGCATAGTTTAAAAACAGGTATTGGCTGGGTGCGGTGGCTCATGCCTGTAATCCCAACACTTTGGGAGACTGAGGCGGGTGGATTGCTTGAGGTCAAGAATTCGAGACCAGCCTGGCCAACATGGTGAAACCCCGTCTCCAGTAAAAATACAAAAATTAGCTGGGCTTGGTGGTGCTTGCTCCTGTAATCCCAGCTACTCAGGAGGCTGAGGCAGGAGAATCTCTTGAACCTCGGAGGCAGAGGTTGCGATGAGCCGAGATTGTGCCACTGCACTCCAGTCTGGCCAAGAGAGTAAGATGCTGTCTCAAACAAACAAACAAACACCCCAACACCACCACCAACAATAAAAACCCAGATATTAAAAAACATTTTTGGGCCAGGCACAGTGGCTCACGCCTGTAATCCCAGCACTTTGGGAGGCTGAGGCGGGCGGATCACCTGAGGTCAAGAGTTCCAGACCAGCCTGGCCAAGATGGTGAAACCCCATCTCTACTAAAAATATAAAAATTAGCCGGGCATGGTGGCAGGCGCCTGTAATCCCAGCTACTGGGGAGGCTGAGGCAAGAGAATCGCTTGAACCAGGGAGGTGGAGGTTGCCGTGAACCAAGATCGCGCCATTGCACTCCAGCCTGGGGGACAAGAGCGAGACTTCATCTCAAAAATAAATAAATACATAAACGAACATTTTTGGCCACCCAAGGTGGGTAGGTCACTTGAGCTCAAGAGTTCAAGACCAGCCTGGCCAACATGGTGAAACCCCATCTCCACAAAAATTACAAAAATTAGCCAGGTATGGTGTCATGCACCTGTAGTTCCAGGTACTCAGGAGGCTGAGGCAGGAGGATCACTTGAGCCTGGGACATTGAGGCTGCAGTGAGCCGTGATCACACTACTGCATTCCATCCTGGGTGAGAGAGCGAGACCGCCATCTCAAAAAAAGAAACAAAAACCATTTTTATGTCATAATTTTGAAATGTTCACTACAGTAACAGGAAACAGCAATCGCAGCTTCCCATTCTCTCCCTGATAAGGAAAGCTTCTACATCTCTGCAGTCATTTGAGTAGTTTTTCTCTACTCCTTTCCCTTCCACAGCAGAGCCACATAAAGGGTCTTGCAGCTTTAGAGGCAAGAGGCCACAGGGCAAGATTCCAAATGCTCCCTGAGTGTCGCGTTTAGCCTTACGGCAGAGCTTCCTTGGCCTTGAGAAGCGAGAGGAGAGTCACTTAGTTGGAGGGCGAAGGAATGTTCTCCCTTCCAGCTACCGAAATTGTGTCCCTACTTGTTTTCTCTGCGTCTATCTAAACAGTAAGTGGCAGAAACTACTGGCCAGATACAGGGACATCAGAGGTTCCCCAAGGTGTGAATTTCAGTGCTGTCCGTGGATTCTCATTCACTGCTCTCAGCCACCTCTGGGTGTTACAGGTGTTACCCCTCATCCAAAACCGCTAGGGCCAGACGTGTTTCAGAATCTGAGCTCTGTGGATTGTAGAAGGCTAATACAAAGCACATACAAGTCCCATGGGAGCTGGGGCAGCATCCTCTTATCTGATCGTATTTCTCAGCAAAGTGTGTGGATATTCACCTTAAATGAGCTAAATAGAGGCCTTAAATAACCTCCCGTCTCTTCACCTCAGTGAATTTCTGCCAAACTGATGGGAAAGAAAGCTAACGGTTTTGGCGTTTCCTGGATTTCAAAATTATAAAAAAGGAATCGACTTGCTTCCCAATCCCACAGCTGGAGAAAATGAGGCCCCCACACATAACCGCTGAGTGGAGCAGTTGAGCTTTGCACCTATTATATCACATAGAGATAGATCAGAATCTGCAAGAAAATTGCTAAACACCCTAGTAAAAAACCGTATTCTTTAGACTATTTGAGACATTTGTTTTCTTGTTTCAGAAACTTGAGTTTTTGTTCATTAAGATTCTAAGAACTTCTTTCTCTCTTCTTTCAGCAAGATTCTTTTCTTTTTTTTTTTTTTTTTAAATAAGTCGGGGTTTCACCATGTTGGCCAGACTGGTCTCAAGCTCCTGACTTCAGGCGATCCACCCGCCTAGGCCTCCAAAAGTGCTGGAATTACAGGCATGAGCCACCGCAACCGGCCTTTCATTAAATTCTAAGGACTTATTTCTTTCTCTCTTTTCTTTCTCCCTTTCTCTCTCCTCCCTTCCTTCCTTCCCTCCCTCCCTCCCTCCCTTCCTTCCTTCTTTCCTTTCTCTCTGCCTTGACTTTCTTGCCTTGACAGGGTCTCACTCTGTGGCCCAGGCTGGAGGGCAGTGGCCCTGATTTCGGCTCACTGCCACCTCGACTTCCTGGGCTCAACCAATCCTCCCATCTGAGCGTCCCAGGTAGCTGGGACTACAGGTACGCACCACCATGCCCAGGTAATTTTTGTAGAAACGGGGTTTCACCATGTTGCCCAGGCTGGTCTCGAACTCCTAAGCTCAAGCCATCCTCCCACCACAGCCTCCCAAAGTGCTGGGATTACAGGCATCAGCCATCACACCTGGCCTTTCATTAAAATTCTAAAGACTTCTTTCTTTCTCTCTTTTCTTCCTCTCTCTCTCTTTCCTTCTCTCTCTCTTTCCTTCTCTCTCTCTTTCCTTCTTTCTCTTTCTCCTCTTTCTCCTCTTCTCTCTCTCTCTCCCCACCCACACCTTTCCTCTCTCCCTTTCCTTTCCTTTCATTTTTTTTTTTTTTTTTTTTTGTGGGATGGAGTCACTCTTTCACCCAGGTTGGAGTGCAATGGCACAATCTCAGCTCACTGCAACCTCTGCCTCCCACATTCAAGTGATTCTCCTGCCCCAGCCTCCCAAATAGCTGGGACTACAGGTGCACGCCACCACGCCCGGCTAATTTTTTTTGTATTTTAGTAGAGACAGGGTTTCACCGTGTTGCCCAGGCTAGTCTAGAACTCCTGAGCTCAGGCAATCCACCCACCTCGGCCTCCCAAAGTGCTGGGATTATAGGCATGAGCCACTGTGCCCGACCTTTTCTTTTCTTGCCTTGACATGGTCTCACTCTCTGTGGCCCAGACTGGAGTTCAGTGGCACTGATTTCGGCTCACTGCAGCCTAGACATCCCAGCCTCAACCAATCCTTCCACCTCAGCCTCCCAGGCAGGTGGGACTACAGGCGCACACCACCACGCCCAGGTAATTTTTGTTAGAAACACGGTTTCACCATGTTGCCCGGGCCGGTCTCAAACTCCTGAGCTCAAGCCATTCTCCCACTGCAGCCTCCCAAAGTGTTGGGATTACAGGCATGACCCACCGTGCCCAGCCTCAAAGGACTTTTCCATCTCTGGAGTCCATGGCATGGCATTCTGTGTTCTTTGTAAATGAGATGCTGCTCTATGTGAAATCTGCCGCCATATCAATAACATAAAAAGCTGAGCTGGGCCTCTGGTTGAAACAATGACCAAAAGCAACCACATTAAAAAATTTAGCCAAAAAAAAAAACTTTTTTTATTGCATTTACCTTAATGAGGATGTGGGAAGCCTTGTTTTCAGTAGTTCACGTGACAAACACAGATCTTTTAAAGGGACTCTGAGTTCAATTTAAGGCAATGAAATAATATAGCTGCTAAAAAGCAAATGGGAATGAGGATGTTTACTAAGAAGAATACAGAATGCAAAGCAGAGGGGCCAAGAAAGAATGATCCCTGGTCCTAGGACAGCCCCTTCTGGGTACAGAGAGTGGCTTCGGGAGGGAGCATTGCATAGGGGCTAACTGCACAGGTCCTAGACTCAAACTGCCTGGGTTCAAATTTTGGCTCCCCACCTATGAGCTGTGTGATCTTGGTGGAGTTACTTAACTTCTTTGTGCCTGACTTTCCTCTCCAGTAAAATGGCATGATACAACTCACAGGGTTGCTAAAAAGATTTAATGAGGCCAGGCATGGTGGCTCACACCTGTAATCCTAGCACTTTGGGAGGCTGAGGCAGGTGGATCACTTGAGGCCCGGAGTTTGAGACCAGCATGGCCAGCATGGAGAAACCCTGTCTCTTCTAAAAATACAAAAATTAGCCAAGCATGGTGGCAGGTGCCTGTAATCTCAGCTACTCGAGAGACTGAGGCTTGAGAACTGCTTGAACCCGGGAGGCAGAGGTTGCAGTGAGCGGAGATCATGCCACTGCACTCCAGCACTCCAGCCCGGGTGACAGAGCGAGACCCTGTCTCAAAAAAAAAAAAAAAAAAAGAAATTCAATAAGAACAATCTCATTATGTATGCTGCTTCAAACAGTGTCTGGCAAAGAGTAAGCACTCAATAAATACTATATTTTAAGTGAAATGTTGACAAACTAGAATGTTTTCAAGGAAGGGCAAAGAGGATGGATAGATACATAAGAAAACAGGTGACACTGCCAAAGTATTTGTCACTGTTAAATCAAGATTAGCCTAAAACTGCCTCCTTATATATTTTAAGTTCGGCTTAAAGGTTTCTCTGTACACAGTGAACTATAACAAATGGAGGTGTTGCGTGGGCATGGTGGCTCATGCCTGTAATCCCAGCACTTTAGGAGGCCAAGGAGGGAGGATCACTTGAGGTCAGGAGTTCGAGACCAGCCTGGCCAACATGGTGAAACCCCATTTCTACTAAAAATACAAAAATTAGCTGGGCGTGGTGGCGGGTGCCTGTAGTCCCAGCTACTCGGGAGGCCAAGGCACGAGAATCACTTGAATCTGGGAGGAGGAGGTTGCCGTGAGCTGAGATCAAGGCACTGCACTCCAGCCTGGTGATAGAGTGAGACTCCATCTCAAAAAACCAAAACAAAACAAAACAAGTGGAGGTATAAACAGACCGTAGTCTACACTTGTGCCAATCACCGAATTTTGGCCAATCAAATGTAGTCAACTGTTTGAACCATGTTCAAATAAGGCAAACGCTGAGCTGTAACCAATCTGATTGTTTCTGTACCTCACTTCCATTTTCTTTTTTTTTTTTTTTTTTTTTTGAGACAGGGTCTTGCTCTGTCACTGAAGCTGGAGTGCAGAGGTGCAATCTCGGCTCACCGCAACCTCCGCCTCCCGGGTTCAAGTGATTCTCATGCCTCAGCCTCCTGAATAGCTGAGATTACAGGCGTGCACCACCACGCCCGGCTAATTTTTGTATTTTTAGTAGAGACAGGGGTTTCACCATGTTGGCCAGGCTGGTCTCAAACTTCTGGCCTCAAGCAATCCATCCGCCTCGGCCTCCCAAAGTGCTGGGATTACAGGAGTGAACCACCACTCCTGGCCATCACTTCCATTTTCTGTAAGTCACTTCCCTTTTCCTGTCCATAAATCTTCCACCATGTGGTTGTGCTGGAGTCTCTGAGCCTACTCCGGCTTGAGAGGCTCCCGATTCACAAATTGTTCATTGCTCAATTAAACTCTCTTAAATTTAATTCAGCTGAAGTTTTTATTTTATCATCACCAACTGTGCATCTGGGTCTGTTGAGAAACTGAATATAAAGTCATCTCATGTTGGCTGGGTGCAGTGGCTCATGCCTGTACTCCTAGCCCTTTGGGCAGCTAAGGCAGGAGGATCACTTGAGCTCAGGAGTTCAAGACCAGCCTGCTCAATATAGTGACACCTTGTCTCTATTATTTTTAAAAACTTTAAAAAGAGAAAAATTAAAACTAAAGTCATGTCACATGGTGCCAGTTTGAAGAAGCTGGAGCTGTTTTGCCTGGAGAAAGCTTGAATGATCTGAAGGAAGGTCACGAGGAAGAAAGATTCAGTGAATTCTATGAGGCTTCTAAGGAAAGAAGTCCAACTGATCCAGAGAGACAAAAGCCACAGAAGCACCACCGGCTTGGCTGTGCAGGCTGGTCGCCGCACCACTCACATAGATGACCATCTGAGTGGCATCCCTTGGTGCTGTGCTACACAGGGGCTGAGGGAAGTGGGATTCCAAAATGACCCTCAAGATTCCTGCCCCTTGGTGGACATGCCCTGTATAACTCCCTCCCCTCCGGGGTGGGCTGGATCAGTGGACACGTGGGATATCACTCCTGAGATTAGACTCCTGATGAGCTTATTTTGAGTTACTCAAAAGGGAGATTATGGCTGGGTGTTGTGGCTCATGCCTGTAATCCCAGCACTTTGAGAGGCAGAGACAGGAGGATCGCTTGAGTTCAGGAGTTCAAGACCAGCCTGGGAAACATGGTGAAACCGTGTCTCTACAAAAAATGACAAAAATTAGCCAGGTGTGGTGGTGCATGCCTGTAGTCCCAGCTACTTGAGAGGCTGAGGTGGGCGGATTGCTTGAGCCCAGGAGGTTGAGGCTGCAGTGAACCATGACTGCGCTATTGCACTCCAGCCTGGGTGACATGGTGAGACTGTCTCAAAAAAACAAACACAAAAACAAAACAAAAAAAACAGATGATCCTGGGTGGGTCTGACCTAATCAGACAAGCCCTTAAAGGAGGGTTTAGAGGTGGAGGAAGGCAGAGAAACAGGCCTTTGCTGGCCTGGAAGAAAGTGAGCATTCATGGCTGTGGCCTGCCCTTGGGGTCCATGTGGCAGGGAGCTACAGGTGCCTCCAGGAGCTGAGGTCCCTAGACCTACAGCTGCAGGAACTAAGTTCTGTCAACTACCTGAATGCACTTGGAAGAGGCCTGGAGCCTCAGACAGCCCCAGCCAACACCCTGATGGCAGCCTTGTGAGACCCTGCGCCAAGGATCCAGGTAACCCGTTCCAAGACCCCTGACCCAGGGAAACCGAGATAACATGTGTGTCGTTTTTTGTTTGTTTGCTTGTTTTTTTTTTTTTTTTTTTTTGAGATGGAGTTTCGCTCTTGTTGCCCAGGCTGGAGTGCAATGGCGTGATCTTGGCTCACTGCAACCTCCGCCTCCTGGGTTCAAGCGATTCTCCTGCCTCAACCTCCTGAGTAACTGGGATTACAGGTGCCCACCACCATGCCTGGCTAATTTTTTTTGTATTTTTAGTAGAGATGCGGTTTCACCATGTTGGCCAGGCTGGTCTCAAACTCCTGACCTCAGGTGATCCACTTGTCTCGGCCTCCTAAAGTACTGGGATTACAGGCATGAACCACCACACCCGGCCGATGTGTGTTGTTTTAAGCTGCTAAGTCTGTGGTGATTTGTCAGGCAGCAGTAGAAAACAAATACAGAGGCACTGCCAAAGGGAAGCTGACTTTACCTGGAAATAAGGAAAAGGGTGTCTAGAGGTGAAATGGCAAGGTGCAGTGGCTCACGTTTGCAATCCCAAAGGAGGCCGAGGTGGGAGGATTCCTTGAGCTCAGGAGTTCGACACTCTTGAGCTCAAGAGTCCTTATCTCTACTAAAAATTAAAAAAAAAAAAAAAGTAGCCAGGCATGGCGGTGTGCACCTGTAGTTCCAGCTACTTGGGAGGCTGAAATGGGAGGATTGTTTCAGCCAGGGAGATGGAGGCTGCAGTGAGCTACGTTCATGGCCGCCATGGCACTGCGCTCCAGCCTGGGTGACAGAGCAAGGCCCTGTCTCAAAAATAAAAATAAAATAGGCTTGGTGCGGTGGCTCACACCTGTAATCCCAGCACTTTGAGGGGCTGAGGTGAATGGAGGTCAGGAGTTCAAGACCAGCCTGGCCAACGTGGTAAAATCATGTCTCTACTAAAAATACAAAAAGTAGCCTGGCAAGGTGGCGAGCGCCTGTAATCCCAGCTACTTGGGAGGCTGAGGCATGACAATAGCTTGAACTCAGGAGGCAGAGGTTGCAGTGAGCTGAAATTTCGCCACTGCGCTCTAGCCTGGGTGACAGAGTAAGATCCCATCTCAAAAATAAAAATTAAAAATAAAGTAAAGGTGAGACACACGCAAGTGGACAGGTGGGATCTCCACACAGTGAGTCCCGACAGGTGGGACAATTCTAGCAGAGTTCAATTGTCACTTCCCAGCCTGTTCCTGATACATAGGGATGGTACAGATGGGGTTTGTGCTTTGCATAGAGAGTTGACATAAAGTTTGACAATTGAAATCACATAGGGTTTCTGCTTTGGATAAAAGGTTGACCTCTAGATCTGTGCTTCCCAAATTTCAATGAGCCGGGCATGATGGTGCACGCCTGCTACTCTGGAGGCTGAGTGGGGAAGATCTCTTGAGCCCAGAGGTTCAAGGCCAGCGTGGGCAACATAATGAGTCCTGTCTCTAAAAACAACAAAAAGAAAAAAGCTTTTAAAAAAGGAATGTACCAGGTGAATGACATCGCCTGGGGATCTTGTTAAAATGCAGATTCTGAATAGGCAGGTTTGTTCAATCACCTGAAGACTGCTATTCTTCAAGAAATGTCAATTAGGCTGGGTGCAGTGGCTCACGCCTGTAATCCCAGCACTTTGGGAGACCAAGGCAGGCGGATTACTTGAGCTCAGAAGTTCAAGACAAGTATTTTCTTTGTAAGGATATAGAATATAGTTCCAGAGGAAGTTCACCAGAATAGCATCCTGTGAAGACAAGAACGGCCTTGGTCTTGTTCAGGGCCGTGTTCTCACCATCTGGCAGAGTAGAGTTGACATATTTTGAATGAGTAGAGTTTGTGAATCATTCTTAACAGCTTTATTGAGATATAATTCACATACTATACAATTCACCTATTTAAAGTATACGTTTCAATGGTATATTTAGTAAATTTGTGGAGCTGTGCAGCCACCATTTTCATGCGCCCAAAAAGAAACCCCACTTATCATCACTCTGCAACCCTCCCATTCCCCTACACCTCCAAGGCAACCACTAATCTACTTTATGTCTCTATGGATTTGGCTCTTCTGGATACTTTGATGTAAATGAAATCATATACTCTATGGCCTTTGTGTTTGACTGCTTTCACGTACTATCATGTTCTCAAGGTTCATCCATGTTGTGGCATGTATCAGTACTTCATTCCTTTTTTTTTTTTTTTTGAGACAGAGTCTCACTCTGTCACCTAGGCTAGAGTGCAGTGTCACAATCTTGGCTCACTGCAACCTCTGCCTCCTGGGTTCAAGCGATTCTCCTGCCTCAGCCTCCTGAGTAGCTGTGATTACAGGTGCACGCCACCATGTCTGGCTAATTTTGTTTTGTTTTGTTTTCAGACAGAGTTCCACTCTTGTCCCCCAGGCTGGAGTGCAACGGTGCAATCTCAGTTCACTGCAACCTCCGCCTCCTGGGTTCAAGCGATTCTTCAGCCTCAGCCTCCCGAGTAGCTGGGACTACAGGCACAGGCCATCATGCCCTGCTAATTTTTGTATTTTTAGTAGAGATGGGGTTTTGCCATGTTGGCCAGGCTGGTCTCAAACTCCTCACCTCAAGTGATCCACCTGCCTTGGCCTCCCAAAGCACATTACAGGCGTGAGCCACCACACCCGGCATCCCTCTATATTTTATAAATCTGTGTAGTGAATATATATTACTTTTGCAAGGACAAAAATTAATCTGTTATTTAAAAAGTTATTCTTCGTTATGAAATATGGGTGGCATTTTTGTAAAAAGGAAGCATCCTCTATTGTCTTATCCCTCTGGAAGTGTTAACCAATTGGAAATAGTGAGGGAGCTGTTTACTAAATAACTTTACACAAAAAAGAAGCAGGAGGGGAAGTTACTATAAACCAACAACAACCAGTTAGGGGACATAGTGGTAAAAATACCCCCTTCATAGGAGAACAAAGACCAATCCCTAGAAATATTCCTAACAGGAAACGTATAGGAGCCTGAAGAAGAAAACCGTAAAACTATGAAGGAACATAAAAGAAGAAGGAAAGAAATGGGGAAACACCATATTTGCTGAAGAGAAGGCTCCACTTCATAAAGCTACCAGCTATTCCCCAAAAGAATCTACAAATTTAGCCCGGGGCAGTGGTTCACGCCTGTAATCCCAGCACTTTGGGAGGCTGAGGTGGGAGGATTACTTGAGGTCGAGAGTTCGAGACCAGCCTGGCCAACATGGTGAAACCCCATCTCTACTAAAAATACAAAAATTAGCCAGGCATGGTGGTGGGCACCTGTAATCCCAGTTACTCGGGAGGTTGAAGCAGGAGAATCGCTTGAACTCAGGAGGTGGAGGTTGCAGTGAGCTGAGATCACACCACTGCACTCCAGGCTTCTCCTGCCTTGGCCTCCCCAAAATGCTGGGATTACAGGTGTGAGCCACCATAGGCGACAGAGTGAGACTGTCTCAAAAAAAAAAAAAAGAAAAAAATCTACAAATTTAACAAAATCACAAACTAGACCTGCAGTGGGATTTTTCTTGTAAAATGTAAAAACATCCCACAGTTGATTTGCTGAAACAAACATGCATTATCCTATTGATTCGAAGACACTTTCCTTCCCCTACATTTTAACATTTTTGAGCTCAACTTGCATCTTATGTTTAGTGAACTTAGCTGTCAAGATTAGCCAGCAAAGTTTTGAATAATAGTAATTGAAATCACAAAATTATAATAATTACCCCTCTCATATCATGACAGATGAAGTGGACAGAAATAAGTAAGAATGCAAAAGATCAGAATTCTACAAATATTTTAAGCTGAGAACCCTGAAAATATACAACATACTCTGCCTCTCCAGTACCAATGGAACAGTCATAAATACTGACCCCATAGTGAGCTATTTGGAGGAAAATTCCACAGAATGAAAATAGCACAGACAGCACTCTGTAATCACAAAGCAATGACACAGGGCAGTTATTAAAAGACCTTAATAATGGACTTTCTTCTTTTCTTGCTTTTTAAGACAGGGTCTCCCTCTGTCGCCTAGGCTGAGTGCAGTGGTGTGATCACGGCTCAGTGCAGCTTCGTCCTCCGGGACTTAAGTGATCCTCCCACCTCAGCCTCCCAGGTAGCTGGGACTACAGGCATGCGCCACCATGCCCAGCTAATTTTAAAGTTTTTCTTTTGCAGAGACAGGGTTTTGCTATGTTGACCAGGCTGGTTTCGAACTCCTGGCCTCAAGCAATCCTCCCACCTCGGCCTCCCAAAGTGCTGGGATTACACGCATGAGCCACCCCTCCTGACCAAGACTTTCTTAAACAGCTCTTACAGCAAAGAGCAAGCACAAAAAAAAGTTGCAGCACATTAAATAAAAATAATAAAAACAACATATAGAACCTGCGGGGTTCAAATAAAAATGTCCTCAGACGAAAATTTATATCCTTAAAAACCTACATGAGTGGCCGGGTGTGGTGGCTCATGCCTGTAATCCCAGCACTTTGGAAGGCCAAGGTGGGCGGATCACGAGGTCAGGAGATCGAGACCATCCTGGCTAACACTGCGAAACCCCGTCTCTACTAAAAATACAAAAATTAGCCGGGCGTGGTGGTGGGCGCCTGTAGTCCCAGCCACTTGGGAGGCTGAGGCAGGAGAATGGCGTGAACCGGGGGAGGTGGAGCTTGCAGTGAGCCAAGATCGTGCCACTGCACTCCAGCCTGGGTGACAGAGCAAGAGTCCATCTCATAAAAAAAAACAAAAACAAACAAACAAAAAAACCCTACATGAGTAAATAAAATATAAAGAAATAAGAAAAGAATAAAATAAATCAAGGGAGATTGGAGGAATTAATAAAGATAAAGCCAGACAGTATTAAAATAGAAAATAGCGGCCATGCGCAGTGGCTCATGCCTGTAATCCCAGCACTTTGGGAGGCTGAGGCAAGTGGATCACCAGGTCAGGAGATCGAGACCATCCCGGCTAAAATGGTGAAACCCCGTCTCTACTAAAAATACAAAAAAAAATTAGCCGGGCGTAGTGGCGGGCGCCTGTAGTCCCAGCTACTTGGGAGGCTGAGGCAGGAGAATGGCGTGAACCCGGGAGGCGGAGCTTGCAGTGAGCCGAGATCCCGCCACTGCACTCCAGCCTGGGCGACAGAGCGAGACTCCGTCTCAAAAAAAAAAAAAAAAAAAAAAAATACAAAAATTAGCTGGGCGTGGTGGCATGCACCTGTAGTCCCAGCTACTCAGGAGGCTGAGGCAGGAGAATCACTTGAACCCAGGAGGTGGAGGTTGCAGTGAGCCGAGATTGCACCATTGCACTCCAGCCTGGTGACAGGGCAAGATTCTGTCAAGAAAGAAAGAGAAAGGAAGGGAGGGAGGGAGGGAAGGAGGAAGGAGGGAAGGAAGGAAGGAAGGAAGGAAGGAAGGAAGGAAGGAAGGAAGGAAGGAAGGAAGGAAGGAAGGAAGGAAGGAAGGAAGGAGAGAGAGAAAATAGAGCAGAATAAATGACTAAATCCAAAAGTTGCTTCTTTGGAGGGGGGAAAAATGAAACAAAAAGCAAGCTAACCTAATCAAGAAAAGAAGGCAAAAGGCTCAAATGCACAAAATAAGAAATGATTAGGGGGAAATAACTATAGAAATAGAAGAAATGTAAATAATAATAGGAGACTGTTCTGCTTACATTTGAAATTTACAACTTGGATACGATGGCTAATTTCCTGGGAAAATATAATTTGGAAAGGCAGAAAATTTAAATAGACTGATTTCTTTAGGAGAATAACAACCCAAGAGAACACAGAATGAAAAAAAAGACACAAATTATAAGATAAAGTACTAGGCATATGCCACGTCAGAGATTTACAAGACTTACATTAGGTAAATTGTAAATAGTCCTGAGGAGAGGAGTCTGTCCAAATGAAAATGCTTATCATGTCCTTCCTAAAGTAATAGATAGATTTAATGTCACCCAAATAAAACAGGACAGGCATGGTGGCTCATGCTTGTGATCTCAGCACTTTGGGAAGCTGAGGCAGATGAATCCCTTGAGACCAGGAATTCGAGACCAGCCTGGTCAGCTTGGTGAAACCCCATCTCTACTAAAAATACAAAAATTGGCCAGACTTGGTGGTGCATGCCTGTAATCCCAGCTACGGGAAGCTGAGGCAGGAGAATCACTTGAACTCGGGAGGCGGAGGTTGCAGTGAGCCGGGATCACGCCACTGCATCCAGCCTCGGTGACAGAGCTAGACTCCGTCTCAAAAATAATAATAATAATAATAATAAATAAAATAAAATAATTTTTAAAAAATGGCTGGATACGGTGGCATGCACCTGTGGTCCCAGCTACCCTGGATGCTGAGGTAGGAGGATCACTTGAGCCCAGGAGATGAGGCTGTAGTAAGCTATGATGGCGCCACTGCACTCCAGCCTGGGTGACAATGAGAGACTGAGACCCTGTCTCAAAACAAAGAGGAAAAACAATGACGGGGACATGGTTGGGAGAATAATGGTCCTCCAGAGTTGTCCACTTCCTGATGCCCGGAGCCTGTGAATATGCTCTTACCTGGCAAGAGGGAATGAAGGTTGCAGGTGGAACTTAGGTTGCTGGTCAGTTACTGCTGAGATGGGCAGATTATCCAGGTGAGCCCATTATAACCACAGGGATTCTTGGAAGCGGAAGAGGGAGGCAGCGTGAGAAAGACTCAGCCAGCCACTGAGGGCTCTGAAGGAAGGAAAGCAAGAGCCAGGGAACACCCGGCTGCCTGCAGAGGCTGGAAAGGGCAGAGAGCAGAGCCTCCCTGACAGTCTCCAGAGAGGAGACTTCACAATCCTGTGGACACCTTCATTCTAGTCCATGAGAACCCTTTTGGACTTCTGCCCTCCAGAAATGTAAGATATTAAATCTATGTTGTTTTAAGCTATTAAGTTACAGAAACAATAGTAAACTAAGATAGGAGGTTAGACCTACCCAATATTAAAACTCGCTATAAATCCTCAATAATTAAAATGGTATGGAAATGGGTGGGGGTGGTGGTTCATGCCTGTAATCTCAGCACTTTGGGAGGCCAGGACAGGTGGATCACTGGAGGCCAGGAGTTCGAGACCAGCCTGGCCAACATAGCAAAACCCCGTCTCTACTAAAAATACAAAAAAATTCGTTGGGTGTGGTGGCCTGCACTTGTAATTCCAGCTACTATGGAGGCTGAGGCACGAGAATCGCTTGAACCTGGGAGGTGGAGGTTGCAATGAGCTGAGATCGTACCACTGCACTCCAGCTGGGGTGACAGAGCCAGACTCTGTCTCAAAAAATGTAGATATATATTTATATATAAATATATGATATATATTTATATATAAATATATGATATATATTAATATATAAATATATGATATATATTAATATATAAATATATGATATATATTAATATATGATATATATTTATATATAAATATATGATATATATTTATATATAAATATATGATATATATTATATATAAATATATGATATATATTTATATATAAATATATGATATATATTTATATATAAATATATGATATATATTTATATATAAATATATGGAATATATTTATATATATGGAATATATTTATATATGAATATATAGAATATATTTATATATATGAATATATAGAATATATATATATGAATATATAGAATATATTTATATTTATATATATATATATATATATATATATATATATATATATATATGGAAATCTTTGGAGAGACAGAATGAGAAAGCAGAATACCAAGTCTAGAGATAGATTTAAAGACACAAGCCTTTGGTATGTGACATTATAAACCAGTAGATTTCGTGAACTACTATTAGTTCACTTTGTTCAAGCAAGGCAGAAACAACTGGATACACCCCTAGAAAAAAAATTATTAGACTCAAACCTTACACCAACCTCAGGCTGTACTGCAAATAGATCGAAGAGCAAAATGTATAAAAAAAAAAAAGGCAGAAATAGACTAGAAGTAAACAATGAATTATTTAAAAACCTCAGAATGTAAAAGCATCTCTTACTACAACACAAAATGCAGAAGCCGTAAGTCACACTTGTAATCCCATAACTTTGGCAGTGCAGGAGATGGCTTGTGCCGGGCGTGGTGGCTCATGCCTGTAATCCCAGCACTTTGGGAGGCCGAGGCGGGTGGATCACCTGAGGTCAGAAGTTCAAGACCAGCCTGGTCAACATGGTGAAACCTCGTCTCTACTAAATGTACAAAAAATTAGCTGGGTGTGGTGGCGGATGCCTGTAATCCCAGCTACTCAGGAGGCTGAGGCAGGAGAATCGCTTGAACCCAGGAGGCGGAGGTTGCAAGGAGCTGAGATCGCGCTATTGTGCTCCAGCCTGGGTAACAAGAGCAAAACTTTGTCTCAAAAAAAAAAAAAAAAAGAAAGAGATGGTTTGAGCTCAGGAATTTAAGACCAGACTGGGTAACATGGAGAAATCCATCTCTACAAAAAAACATTTTTAATTAGTCAGGTTTAGTGGCTCGTGCCTTTAGTCCAGCTACTTGGGAAGCTGAGGAGAGAGATATTGCTTGACCCCAGGAGTTCGAGGCTGCAGTGAGCTGTGGTCACACCACTGCACTCCAGCCTGCGCCACAGAGGGAGACAAAAAGAAAAGTTTTTCCATGGCCAAAACAATTATACTCATATTCTAAAATAACATTAGAGTCACAGAAATGTTCTGTGTCTTGTGTTGGTGGTTACATGGGTGTATTGCATTTGTCAACATTCATCAAACTGTACTTTCAAAGCACATTTTATTATTAACATAAATCATACCTCAGTAAAGTTGATTGTTAGGAAAGTAATATGATAAGATGGGGGAAAAAGAAAATAGAAAAGTAATATGATAAGATGGGAAAAATATTTGCAAACACATATCATAGTCAAAGTAACATGACAAGCTGGGAAAAAAATATTTCCCAACACATATCATAGTTAAAAGTTAATCTCTTTCGGGCTGGGCGCAGTGGCTCATGCCTGTAATCCCAGCACTTTGGGAGGCCAAGGCGAGTGGATCACGAGGTCAAGAGATTAAGACCATCCTGGCCAACATGGTGAAACGCCATCTCTACTAAAAATACAAAAATTAGCTGGGTGTGGTGGTACACACCTGTAGTCTCAGCTACTCAGAGGCTGAGGCAGGAGAATCGCTTGAACCCAGGAGGCAGAGGTTGCAATGAGCTGAGATTGCGCCACTGCACTCCAGCCTGGGTGACAGAGCGAGACTCTGACTCAAAAAAATAAAAAAGTTAATCTTTTTCATATTTAAAAGGCTCCTAGAGCCAGGGCACGGTGGCTCATGCTTGCAATCCCAGCACTTTGGGAGGGCGAGACGGGCGAATCATGAGGTCAGGAGTTTGAGACCAGCCTGGCCAACATGGTGAAACACCATCTCTACTAAAAATATAAAAATTAGCTGCGAGTGGTGGCAGGCGCCTGTAATCCCATCTACTTGGAAGGCTGAGGAAGGAGAATCGCTTGAACCCAGGAGGCGGAGGTTGCAGTGAGCCGGGATCGTGCCACTGCACTCCAGCCTGGGTGACAGAGCGAGACTCTGTTTCAAAAAAAAAAAAAAGGCTTCTAGAAATTTATAAGGAAAACATCAAATGAGCAAAGGATACCAACAGTTGGTTGGGAGAAAAGATAATTCAAGTAGAAAGATAATTCAAGGCCAGGTGCGGTGGCTCACGCCTATAATCCCAGCACTTTGGGAGGCTGAGGTGGGAGGATCACCTGAGGTCAGGAGCTCGAGGCCAGCCTGGCCAACATGGTGAAACCCCGTCTGTATTAAAAATACAAAAAATTAGCCAGGCGTGGTGGCAAGTGCCTGTCATCCCAGCTACTAGGGAGGCTGAGCCAGGAGAGTCACTTGTACCCGGGATGCGGAGGTTGCAGTGAGCCGAGATTGCGCCATTGCACTCCAGTGGGGGCAACAGAGCAAAACTCCATCTCAAAAAAAAAAAAAAAGGAAGAAAGAAAGAAAAGATAATTCAAGTAGCTCATAATCATATAAAGAGATGTTCAATCTCATTCTTAATAAGATACATTTTTTTTTTGAGATGAAGTCTTGTTCTGCTGCCCAGGCTGGAGTGCAGTGGCACAATCTCAGCTCAGTGCAGCCTCTGCCTCCTAGGTCAAGTGATCCTCCTGCCTCAGCCTCCCGAGTAGCTGAGACTACAGTTGTGTACCACCATGCCTGGCTAATTTTTGTGTTTTTAGTACAGATGAGGTTTCACCATGTTGGCCAGGCTGGTCTCGAGCTTGTGACCTGAAGCAATCTGCCTGCCTTGGCCTCCTAAAGTGCTGGGATTACAGGCATGAGCCACCCCAGACGGGCATAAGATACATTCTTCAACCATCAGATTAGTGCCAATCCACAGGATTGGCAAAGCTGTGGGGAAACAGGCACTCTTGTCTTTGGTAGATGGGAGTGTCTTTGGTGGTTCACCCCAAAGAGGACAAGTTGGCAGTATCTATCAGAATTAGAAAGTCATATGCTTTTTGACTCAGTAATCCCTCTTCTAGGAATTTACTTCAGAAATATATTTCCACATGTGCAAAATGACTTCTCAGTACAACCAGTGATTGCCGTGTAGCCCCTCCCTTCCCCCAGGTCTTCTGTATCACTCTCTCCCAGCCTGCAGGCCTCACAACCAAGGCCACTTCCTCACAGAGGTCCTCCCTGACCCCCTTGGCTAACGTGGCCTTGCCCCTCACCCATATCCTTCAAAGAGCTCATCACTGTTCTGACTGTCTTATTCATCAGTTAATCAAGTATCCTTCTCAAGAATCTTAACTCCAGGGGGCAGGGAGTTTTTCTGTCTTTTAAAAAAAAATTGTTTAGGGCTGGGCACATGCCTGTAATTACGGGCTCGCATCTGTAATCCCAGCACTTTGGGAGGCTGAGGCAGGTGGAACACCTGAGGTCAGGAGTTCGAGACCAGCCTGGCCAACATGGTGAAACCCCGTCTCTATTAAAAATACAAAAATTAGCCGGGTGTGGTGGTGCACGCCTATAATCCCAGCTTGAACCCAGGAGGTGGAGGTTGCAGGGATCTAAGATCACACCATTGCACTCCAGACTGGCCGACAAAGCAAGACTTCATCTCAAAAAAAAAAATTTTTTTTTATAGAGATGGGTCTTGCTATGTGGCCCAGGCTGGTCTCAAACTCCTGGCCTCAAGCCATCCACATGGTGTGAGCCACCATGCCCAGCCTGCTGGTTTTTAAAGAGCATATTTAAATGAAAAGAGACAAATTTAAAGGACCCTTGGTTTAAATAGAGCAGGTTGGAACCACCTTCAGGGCAGCCCATGGTCCTGGCTCTGCCATCCTCCAGAACCACCTGGAGCCAGGAGGGGACACCCAAGGTGTCTCTGCAGAGGACAGCGGCCTGATGGATAGACACATAATGAGTGCCCTGATTTCTGATTTAAGAGAAGAACAAGCACTTCCTTGGGAAGCCCCAGTGTCCCCTGCGCTCCACTGTCCCAGGACTGCAGGCAAAGGGACGCCTCCTGACCGCAGAATAGTCAACAGCAGGCACGGGAGTGAGGACCGGGATCCAGGGAGGCCGCTTCCCTCTGTCTATCAGTCTGCAGCCCTGGGTCCCAGCTCACTCCATTGGGGTTTTCCCAGATAAAGATGACTCATGAATTTCTGTGAATTATGCAGAGGGCATTTTAATTCAAATGGCCCCATCGCTGCCCCATCACCACTCCCACCAACCATGCCAGGGGTCAGCCAGGGGTCACCTTGAAGACAAAGTCTCTCTTTGGGAAAGAAGCCTCTTTTTTTTTTTTTTGAGACAGAGTTTTGCTCTTGTTGCCCAGGCTGGAGTGCAATGGCACAATCTTGGCTCACTGCAACCTCCACCTCACAGGTTCAAGCGATTCTCTTGCCTTAGCCTCCTGAGTAGCTGGGATTACAGGCATGAGCCACCATGCCTGGCTAATTTTGTATTTTTAGTAGAGACAGGGTTTCTCCATGTTGGTCAGGCTGGTCTCAAACTCCTGACCTCAGGTGATCCGCCCACCTTGGCCTCCTAAAGTGCTAGGATTACAGGTGTAAGCCACCACACCCGGCCAGGAAAGAAGCCTCTTGAGGCCACTGTGGGGGTGGCTGTGTATCGGGGCACCAGGTGGGAAGGCAGCTGGGGCCTGCCCAGTCTAGGGAAGAGAGCATGGGGGAGTGGAGGGTGATGGGGTAGCACGAGGGAGCGAGGGAAGCTGGGTCTCCAAGAAGCACAGGCTGAATGGGAATCCCATCTCAAACGTGCCCCACCCTGGTCTCCAGCTGTAGGAGCAGTGATAAGGATGAGGACAGGTAGGAGGGACTGAGATGAGATGAGAGCAATTGGAGCCTGGAGAGAGACCCCTGACACTGAGGGAGTGAGGTGACCTGGTGGTCACTGTTCCAGGCCAAGCACCTTTGTTCAACTGTCAAAAACTAGAAACAGGCCGGGTGCGGTGGCTCATGCCTGTAATCCCAGCACTTTGGGAGGCCGAGGTGGGTGGATAACTTGAGGTCAGGAGTTCAAGACCAGCCTGGTCAGTATGGTGAAACCCCATCTCTACTAAAAACACAGAAATTAGCCAGGTGTCGTGGTGCATGCCTGTAATCCCAGCTACTCGGGAAGCTGAGGCAGGAGAATTGTTTGAACCCAGGAGGCGGAGGTTGCGGTGAGCCAAGATGGCGCCACTGCACTCCATCCTGGGTGACAGAGCGAGGCTCTGACTCAAAAAACAAACAAACAAACAAACAAACAAACCTGAAAACAGCAATAATGTCAGTGGTACCCAACACGGCCACAGGACTTGTGCAGTGCCAGGCATTGCTCAAAGAATTCACTCATTGAATTGCTGGTACCCAGGAAGTCTGGCCTCAAGCCTGTGCTCTGCCCCCGCTGAGCAGACACCACTCTTTCTGAGTGACCCCGGACACTGGGCTGGACACACAGCCTCTCACTCACCCCCACAGCTCCCCGGGGGCAGGGCACTGTTACCATTGTACAGACCAGGAGGCTGAGGCTCTTCAGGATGGAGCCACCTGAAGTGGCAAGTTGGTAGCATTGTACCTCCAATGACTCACCTAAAATACCTGCATAAAAATCCAGGTGCAGTGGCACTCGCTTATAGTCCCAGATACCTGGGAGGCTGAGGCAGGAGGAGCACTTGAGCCCAGGAAGTTTGAGGCCAGCTTGGGCAACACAGTGAGCCAAAAATAAATAAATACAATACAGGTAAAGTGCTTGTATATAGGCAGTGTGGTGCAGGTGTGTGTACGCCTGACCTAGGTCCCAGGAGTGACTAAGGGACACGCAGAGTGGGGCTCTCCAATCAGAAGCCCTCACTCTGGAATTGGTTATGGGAGGGTCCCTGGACCTCAGCATGTAACGCTTTGCTGTGGAGGCTGTCCTGTGGGTTCAGCAGTGTCCCCACACCAGGAGCACAGCCTGTGACAGCCTGGCACATCTCCAGACACTGCCACACGTCCCTGTGCTAAAGGCATCTCTTCGGACCTGGGCTGGAGCGTTCATTAACCCGTATGGTGGCTTAGGCATAATTTTCCATGGGCGAAATGAGTAGTATTGAAGACACTATGGTATTTGGTTGGCTACAGTATTGCTCGGGCACCTTCCCCTCACACGAACAGGTGTGGGACTCTGGCAGACCACACAGCCTGACACCTATGGAGCGGCCCTGGGTCTGCGGCTCCCACAGGGCCTCTGCCACTCCAGCCGTGACACACACACATGCTGTCACCAGCCTAGGATGTGCACAAAGCCTGTAGGTCTGAGACCAAGGACATGAGCTTGGAGGAGCTGGCTGGATTCCTCAGACCTCTGGGGCCCGTTTGCCAGAGCAGAGCCGAGACCTGCCTGAGACCTGCCTTCATTGCAACCCTGGCCCTGTGGCACGGCTGCAAGGGAGGAGAGAGCGGGTGAAGGGCTGCTTCCCCTTTCCATCCAAAAACACACAAACAAAGACGCCTGAGCTTGGTGAACACACGCACTGGTCAGGCTCAGCTCCACACAGGGAGGATGTAGATTCAAACCCAGGTGGGCTGAACTCCAAAGCACTCTTCGGCCAACCACTGGTCACTGGAGTGAACTCTCCCCAACCCTCTGTCATCTTGGGGACACAGACCCTGCCCCCCTCCGCAGGGCTGGACAGCAGAGCAGCTTCCCTCTACAAAATGGTCAAAAAGGCAAAGAAAGACTTCCACACCCTGCCGCTGCCTGGGAGAACCCTGAGCTTCCTTTCTGCAGTGACCTCTCCATTAGACGCACAGGCCCACGCATGCGCCCACGAACACATGTGAATTACTTCTAGGATCAGAAGGCAAAAAAATGTTCTTTAGGTCAAATAAAATGTGTTATTATATAATAGTAATTATTCATTATTATACCAAGTTGTAATCTGCACTTCTTTTTTTTCTGAGAGAGAGACAGGGTCTTGCTCTATCACCCAGGCTGGAGTGCAGTTGTGGGATCACAGCTCACTGCAGCCTTGACTTCCTGGGTTCAAGCAATCCTCCCATCTCAGCCTCCTGAGTAGCTGGAACTACTCTGGCACTGCACCCGGCTAATTTTTTTTTTTTTAAGACGGAGTTTCGCTCTTGTTGCTCAGGCTGGAGTGCAATGGCGAGATCTCGGCTCACAGCAAACTCCGCCTCCCGGGTTCAAGCCATTCTCTTGCCTCAGCCTCCCAAGTAGCTGGGATTACAGGCATGCGCCACCATGCCCGGCTAATTTTGTATTTTTAGAAGAGACGGGGTTTCTCCATGTTGGTCAGGCTGGTCTCAAACTCCTGACCTCAGGTGATCCACCCGCCTCGGCCTCCCAAAGTGCTGGGATTACAGGCGTGAGCCACCGTGCCCGGCCGCACCCAGGTAATTTTTAAAAAATTTCTTTAGAGACAGGGTCTCTCTATGTGGCCCAGGCCAGGGTGCAGTGGTGTGATCATAGCTCACTGCAGCCTCCAACTCCTGGACTGAAGCAGTCCTCCCACCTCAGCCTCGTGAATAGCTGGGACTACAGGTGTGAGCCACCACACCAGGTCCTATTTCTTATTGGAAGGGCCCCTGCAGGCCAAGATGCTCACTGCCCAGGGAAGTTATAGCGCAGCCCTGCCCTTGACCCCTTCCAGCCCTCCTGAGAATCTGTCCCTAGCCACCTCCAGGCCACAGGCTACTTCCCCATCTCTTCCCCACCCAGGAGCTGTGTTACACAGATCACTTTAGCATTTCCCACGCTAAACCACTGAAACAGGGTTTTATCTCCCACTCTCCTTGCTCCCAGTTCCGCATGGCCACTGGGCCGGCTGAGACAGAGCCGCTGGAAGTGCCCTGCAGGACCTCGCACTTGACCTTCAGCCTCTTACTTAACCCTCGCAATGCAGGACGGTAGCCTCCACTGGGTCCTGTTCAGCCCCTACTCCTAGAAATGGTCTGGGGGGTAAGGGTGGGGCCCCCTGCAGAGCCCTTGGATGTGTGTTTGCGCCATGGCAGTAGTACACCCACCCCCTTCTGCTTCCGCAGAACCTGGCCGGCTCCTCCCCATCCCAGGGGGAGAGGCTCCTCCTGCTCCCACTTCCCTCCTTTACATTTGGCTACTACTCTTAGGGGTGGGCCTTTGTTTACTTTGCATTTTCCTGATTCCTAATGAGATTAAGCATATTGCCTTAGGTTTACCGGTTTCCCAGTCTCCTCTTCTGGGAATTATCAGTTCCTATTCCTTTGTGCAGTTATCTGTCTTCTTCTTCTTGATTGCTGGGAGCGGCTGATAAATCCTAGATGACCATCCTTTCTCAGTTTTCTCCCAGCCCCTCACCTTTTAATCTTAAATTGTTCTGTGTGTGTGTGTTTGTGTGTGTGTGTGTGAGAGACAGAGGGGAGGGGCGGGGGAGAGGGACAGAGAGAGAGAGAGAGAGAGAGAGAGAGAGAGACAGATACAAGCTTTAAATACTTATGTGGCCAAATCTGTCACGGGTTTTCCTTCTGTGTTTTAGAGTTTGGAAACCGCTTTCTCGTCTCTAAGTTGCTAATCTGTTAACCACTGGTGTTTAATTCCCTGGGGAAGAAGCTTGTCTTACCAGCCAGGCTGCAAAGTCCCTCAGGACAGGGCTCCATCTCCCTGCTGAAGAAGGCCTTGGTCAAGAGATTCCACTGCTCCTCAGAAATACCTTGAATTTGTCCACTCCTTCCCGCCTCCACCCCTGCTTGCCAGGACTAATCCCTGCCTCCCCCTCACCCTCTGCCCCACATGAATACCACAGTGATTTTTTTAAAAATATCCATCAGAGACCAGGCGCTGTGGCTCACGCCTGTTCCCAACACTTTGGGAGGCTGAGGCCGGTGGATCACTTGAGGTCAGGAGTTGGAAACCAGCCTGACCAACATGGAGAAACCCTGTCTCTACTAAAAATAAAAAATTAGCAGGGTGTGGTGACACATGCCTGTAATCCCAGCTACTCGGGAGGCTGAGGCAGGAGAATCGCTTGAACCCTGGAGGCAGAGGTTGCGGTTAGCTGAGATGTTGCCACTGCACTCCAGTCTGGGCGACGAGTGAAACTCCATCTCAAAACAGAAAACCAAACAGAAAAAACCTGATATAACCCAAAGGTCCAACAATAGGGGGTTGTTAAATAAATTAAATTGGTTACATATTATGAAGCTGTAACAAAGAATGGGTATGAAATGCGATGCAGTATTCTGGATTAGGTCTTGGGCCAGAAGAAGGACATTAGTGGAAAACTGGTGCTATCTAAATAAAGTCTAAAATGTAATCAATGGTGCGCTGGGCACAGTGGTTCACGCTTGTGATCCCAGCACTTTGGGAGGCTGAAGGGGAGGATCACTTGAAACCCAGAGTTAGAGACCACCCAGAGCAAAATGGCAAAACCCTGTCTCTACAAAAAAAGTTAGCTGGGTGTGTTGCTGCATGCCTGTAGTCTCAGCTGCTTGGGAGGCTGAGGTGGGAGGATCGCTTGAGCCAGAGAGGTCGAGGCTGCAGTGAACTGTGACTGTACTACTGCACTCCAGCCTGGGTGATGGAGCTGGATTATTTTGATGTCTCAAAATAATAATAGTAATAATAATAATAATAATAATAATAATAATAAAATCTGGTGTTTTCAAGGAGAAAAAGACACACATATCCCTGTAAGTGTGTACATTAGAGCAACGTTTCTGGAAGGAAATTGGATATATTCATAAACCACCCCCTCCCTTTCCAAAAAAATGTGTACACCTTGACCAAAGATTCCTTTTATCCTAAGGAAATAATTGGACAAGGAACAAAAGGATGTATTTACAAAGTTGTTCACCACAGCACTGTTCATAATGGCGAATGAATGAAAACAGCTCAGAATAAGGAATTGGTTTTACAAAATAATGGTGCATCTATACAGTGAAATACGATGAAGCCATTATAAATGATGCAGAGCCATACTGACAGAGAAAGGATAGGTGCAATATATTGTCCTCTAAAAAAAGCAAACTACAGAATAATTTTATAGGTCTAATATGAATATACATTTGATGTGCGCATATGCTGAAAAACTTGAGTGGTTATCTCTGAATAGTAATTATTTTTTCTAAAATTTCTCCTAAAATCACATATTACTTCTGTGGGCACACAGCTTCCTTAACTGATTTACTTTTCTTACACAATATTTATATGTACAAATATACATTTTTCCTTCCCAGTTATGTCTCTGAAGCTCTGAGTTAAACCTTAAGGCCCAGACATGAATACAAAAAGCCCTGGCCGGGCGCGGTGACTCACAGCTGTAATCCCAGCACTTTGGGAGGCTGAGGCAGGTGGATCACGAGGTCAGGAGTTCAAGACCAGCCTGGCCAAGATGGTGAAACACGATCTCTACTAAAAATACAAAAAATTGGCCAGGTGCAGTGGCTCACGCTTGTAATCTCAGCACTTTGGGAGGCCGGGGCGGGCAGATAATGAGGTCAGGAGTTCGAGACCAGCCTGACCAACACTGTGAAACCCCGTCTCTATTAAAAAATACAAAAATTAGCTAGGCATGGTAGTGGATGCCTGTAATCCCAGCTACTCGGGAGGCTGAGGCAAGAGAATCACTTGAACCTGGGAGGTGGAGGTTGCAGTGAGCCAAGATTGTGCCATTGCACTCCAGCCTGGGCAATAAGAGTGAAACTCCATCTAAAAAAAAAAAAAAAAAATTAGCCGGGCATGGTGGTGGGCACCTGTAGTAGTCCCAGCTACTTGGGAGGCTGAGGCAGAGAACTGTTTGAACCCGGGAGGTGGAGGTTGCAGTGAGCCGAGATGGCGCCACTGCACTCCAGCCTGGGCGACAGAGCGAGACTTCGTCTCAAAAAACGTACAAACAAAAAAAGTCCTGCCTATAATTTTTATTTTTGTTGCCTTTGATAAAAACATCTAGGAATGAGTACTCAACAAGGAAAAGGTAAAAACAATTAGCCTTAGGAAGAAAAGAGTAAAAATAAGCACAATGGCAGTCTACCAAGGAGACACGGTGGTTCCGTGTTCTGAGAACCCCTAATTGAGAGCGAACTGCTGGCCTGGAAATGGGTGTCGACTCAGGAATGAATTATGTATGACCACTGTTAAATATTTTATCCATCCTTTTTTTTGAGACTGAGTCTCGCTCTGTCACCCAGGCTGGAGTGCAATGGCGCGATCTCGGCTCACTGCAACCTCCGCCTCCCAGGTTCTAGCGATTCTCCTGCCTCAGCCTCTTGAGTAGCTAGGATTACAGGCATGCACCACCACACCCGGTTAATTTTATCTATCCTTAACCATTATTTGTCTTCACAAAGCAAATAAGGAAAGAAAAAGAAAATACCCACACCATAAGCATTATCAGCTTTGTCATCTCTCCTCCACTGCAAAACAGCCACACAAACTCTCCTGAAGAGGACAAACTCTAACCAGGTTTGAAATACGAGACCACTGTGGCACTACGACTGAGGAATGTCAAGGTGGCGTTGCCTCCTCTGTCAGGTTTGTCATCCTTCAAAATCATGAACATTTTGCTCTACAGAACCTGCTGGTCTAAAAACCACATGGGCAGGCACCGTGGCTTAAGCCTGTAATCCTAGCCTTTTGGGAAGCTTGAGCGCAGGAGTTCAAGACCAGCATAGGCAACATGGTGAGACCTGGTCTCTACAAAAAATTTAAAAATTAACCAGGCGGCCGGGCACGGTGACTCATACCTGTAATCCCAGCACTTTGGGAGGCCAAGGCTGGTGGATCACCTGAGGTCAGGAGTTCAAAACCAGCCTGACCAACAAGACGAAACCCCGTCTCTACTAAAAATACAAAAATTAGTCAGGCGTGGTGGCATGCGCCTGTAATCCCAGTTACTCGGGAGGCTGAGACAGAGAATTGCTTGAACCTAAGAGGCGGAGGTTGCAGTGATCTGAGATAGTGCCACTGCATTCCAGCCTGGGCAACAGAGTAAGACTCCATCTCCAAAAAAAAAAAAAAAAATTAGCCAGGCAGGGTGGCACATGCCTGTGGCACACGGCTACTCAGTAGGCTGAGGAGGAAAGATCGCTTGAGCGCAGGAGGTCGAGGCTGCAATGAGCCGTGTTATTTGTGCTGCACCCAGCCTGGGTGACAAAGCAAGACTATTTCAAAAAATAAAAATAGGCCAGGCACAGTGGCTCACGCCTCTAATTCCAGCACTTTGGGAGGCTGAGGTGAGTGGATTGCTTGAGCACAGGAGTTTGAGACCAGCCTGGCCAACATGGTGAAACCCCATCTCTACTAAAAATACAAAAATTAGCCGGGTGTGGTGGCAGGTGCCTGTAATCCCAGCTACTTGGGAGACTGAGGCGCGAGAATCACTTGAGCCCAGGAGGTGGACGCTGCAATGAGCCAAGGTCACGCCAGTGCACTCCAGCCTGGGCGACAGAGTGAGACTATCTAAAAAAATAAAATTAAATAAAAATAAAAATAAACTGCGTGGTTTATGGATTCTTGGTGACGCCCAGGCAAAGGGGGCTTGTATCCTCCTGGTATCCACACAGTGAGTGGTGAAGGACAGCTGGGATAGCTGAGGCCTGGTCAAGGGCTGATGTCGCCCATTCAGCCTCTCCCGTTTGGCCAGCTTCCCGGCCATTCTGCCTGCTCTCCTGGCGCGTCTCCCTTTACCGTTTATTTTCTCCCTCTCTGCTGGCCCTGTCTGCTCGGCTGTTGGAAACACATGCCAGCCCTACTGGGCATGGGCCCTGTGAACATGAGCCAAGGCACCCTGGGGGTGGAGGAAGGACACTGAGGCCAGCTCACCAGAAGAACCCTGATGTGTTGCAATTGAATTGCAGAGGTTTATAAACCTCTTGCCTTCAAAAGGGGACTGAAAAATTATTACAGTTTGTCATTTTCTAGTGGGATTTGTTTGTAATCACTGTTCCCATATTGTCTGGCGTTGTGTATATGCGTGTGCTCTAGAAGTTTAATTTCACATCTAGGCAGATCAGGTGTGTGTGTGTGTGTGTGTGTGTGTGTGTAAATGCATATGCCCAGTTTAAAATCAACTAGTAGAAAGTCATGTGGAGGCCAGGCACAGTGACTCACGCCTGTAATCCCAGCACTTTTGGGAGGCTGAGCCAGGCAGATTGCTTGAGCCCAGGAGTTTGAGACCAGACTGGGCAACATAGTGAAACCTCACCTTTACAAAAAATACAAAAATTAGCCAGGCGTGGTGACACATACCTGTAGTCCCAGCTACTCAGGAGGCTAAGGTGTGAGGTCACTTGGACTCAGGAGTTTGAGGCTGCAGTGAGCCATAATCACACCACTGCACTCCAGCCTGGGCGACAGAGCAGGACCTTATCTCAAAAAAAAAAAAAAAAAAATTGGGGTGAGGGGAAGAAAAGAAAAAAAGAAAATTAGCCGGGTGTGATGGCTCATGCCTGTAGTCCCAGCTACTTGGGAAGCTGAGGTGGGAGGATTGCCAGAATCCTTGAGTTCGAGGTTGCAGTGAGCCATGATCGCACCACCGCCCACGAGCCTGTGTGGGAGACGGCAAGCCCTTGTCCCTTTAAAAAAAAAAAAGTGTGTGGGTGTGTATTTTTAAAGTCAAGGAGCTTTTTCCACATTTTCTTGTTTCACCAGGTAAGGATTCAAACAATTGAAATCAGCATTCTTTGTAAATTACCCTATGTGGATTGTTGCTCCTGAGAATGACTGATTTGAGATTCTTGGTGATTCTAGGGTTCGTCACTGGTCCACCTGAGAAGTGACACCGTTCAGCGTTGCTGTACTCAGGCAGTCATCATCAGTGGCATTACTGGAAGGCCTATGTTCTAAGTCTCTCCTTGAATTCCTCCTTACCCGTGCATGTACTTACCAAGTTAATGATTTAGTTTCTGAGTCACTAAGCATACACATTTTTGCCTGAGTCATTTTGGGTTCATACCTGAGACAGCAGCTGAAGCCCTCTGGGAATGCAGGAGAAAACCTGATATGCAACTTACCTACCATTTATTGAAGGGTATCACATGCTGGCAGAGAAGCAGCCTGGGAACAAAACTCTTATGTTCTATAAGAACAGTGCTGGGTTTGAATGTAACCTGCTTCAGGTCTTAGAAACAATGGTATGAATGCTGTTTCCTTGTAGTTGCAAGCATTGCTAAGAGACTGAGTGAAAGAGGAATGCTGTGCTGATACAATCTGGGGGGTGGAACCATTAGTCAAATTCTAGCCTTTCTTGTCCTTTCTTCTGGTAGATAACCTAGCGCAAAAACTCCGCCTGGAGTTTTCAGACGCTCACTTTCTGCACACATAGAAGGATTTGTGTGAGGAGTTACTGGCTTTGATCAAAATTGCAATTCTGATGAATCAGATTTTACCAATTTAGGAAGGGGGATTCTCGGCCAGGAGCGGTGGCTCATGCCTGTAATCCCAGCACTTTGGGAGGCCGAGGTGGACGGATCACGAGATCAAGAGATTGAGACCATCCTGGCCAACATGGTGAAAGCCCGTCTCTACTAAAAATACAAAAATTAGCTGGGCGTGGTGGCACGTGCCTGTAGTCCCAGCTACTCGGGAGGCTGAGGCAGGAGAAGTGCTTGAACCCAGGAGGCAGAGGTTGCAGTGAGCCCAAGATCTTGCCACTGCACTCCAGCCAGGGCAGAAGAACGAGACTCCGTCTCAAAAAAAAAAAAAAAAAAAAAAAAGGACATTTCTTATGAAAATCTGGATAAGCAGGGCCGGGCGTGGTGGCTCACGCCTGTAATCCCAGCACTTTGGTAGGCTGAGGCAGGTGGATCACCTCAGGTCAGGAGTTCAAGACCAGCCTGGCCAACATGGTGAAATTCCATCTCTACTAAAAATACAAAAAATTAGCCGGGCATGGTTGCAGATGCCTGTAATCCCAGCTACTTGGGAGGCTGAGGCAGGAGAATCGCTTGAAGCTGGGAGGCAGAGGTTGCGGTGAGCCAAGATTGTGCCATTGCACTCCAGCCTGGGCAACAAGAGCAAAACTCAGTCTCAAAAAAAAAAAAAAAAAAGTTATAAGAGCTGACAACACTGGGCCCACACATACCCAAATGACAACCATCGAATGTGGTGGCCCCTGCCTTGCTGGGGGCGGGCATCTCCTGTTTACCAGCCCCACCTGCCCTGCCCCACTCTGGCCCTTTGGGCATTTGAATTTGCAACCTCCTCTCTGAGACCCATGGTCCTATCATTTCTATACTTTGAAAGTAATAGGATTTGAAACTGCCATTTCAGATTGAAGTTTATATTGCATTTATATATTCTTTATATATTCAATTTATGTCAGATTTATTTCATATATATATATTTTTTTCTTTTCTTTTCTTTTCTGTTTTTTAGAGACAAATCTTGCTCTGGCCCAGGCTGGATTGCAGTGGCATGATCATAGCTCACTGCAGCCTCAAACTCCAAGGCTCAAGCAATCCTCCTGTCTCAGTCAGCCTCCTGAGTAGCTGGGACTACAGGTGTGCACCACCATGCCTGGCTAATTTAAGAAATTTTTTGTAGAGATGAGGTCTTGCTATGTTGCTCAAACTCCTGGGCTCAAGTGATCTGCCCATCTCAGCAGATGTATTTAAAATAGAATCAAAATAAGCAATAACACTTGAAAACAGAAGTCCTAGTATAGTCGCTGTCAGGAGTTTTAAGTTTTTCCTTTAAAGGTAGAACACTGCCACTGGTCTCTGTATTTAATTTCCACCATTTTCCTTTGATAGAGCACTGCTCTCTGTCCCCAATTTACTTTGTGCAGGACATTTTATAAAAAATGTGTTCCCAAATACTCTAAATCTACAAGGCAGCAGGAGCATTGCTTGAGGCCAGGAGTTCGAGACTAGCCCAGGCAACATAGTGAGACCCTGTCTCTCCGAAAAATATTAGCTGAGTGTGGCGGCACGCATCCATAGTCCCAGATACTCAGGAGGCTGAGGTGGGAGGATTGCTTGAGCCCAGGAGTTTGAGGCTGCAGTGAGTTATGATTGCACCACTATACTTCAGCCTGGTAACAGAGCGAAGAAAAAAGAAAAAAAGCTGCAAGTGATACCCACTGTGTTCCCTCCCCTGTAGTTCTTCCTCTTTCTTGTGGTAACAGAACCCTGATCCCTGATTTTTTTTTTTTTTTTTTTTTGAGATGGAGTTTTGCTCTTGTTGCCCAGGCTGTAGGGCAGTGCTGCAATCTCGGCTCACTGCAAACTCTGCCTCCCGGGTTCAAACGATTCTCCTCCCTCAGCATCCCAAGTAGTTCGGATTACAGGCGTCCGCCACCATGCCTGACTAATTTTTGTATTTTTAGTAGAGACAGGATTTCACCATATTGGCCAGGCTGGTCTCAAACCCCTGACCTCAGGTGATCCACCTGCCTCAGCCTCCCAAAGTGCCGGGATTATAAGCGTGAGCCACTGCACCTGGCTGATCCCTGATTTTTCTTTAGGGGACCATCCCTCCCTCAATAGGTCCAGAATTGGGCCCATGACCCAGACTAGGACAATTAGGAGTTATAGGGATTGGGTTAGGGATGGGCACATGACTGAGACAGGGTCAGTGAGGGTGGTCTCTGGGCTTTGGCTGTCACCATGGGGGAAGACAGGCTCCCTGCCAGGTGGTTGGTAATGTGACGGAATGTTGCCAGGGTTGCTGGAGGCCATCTTTGCCACCATAAGGAGGGACTTGGCCTAAGGGAAAAAAGGTAACAGGGGAAAACAAAAGCAAGAAATGGAGAGGGATTCCAGTTTGTGCTGTAAAATAATACAGTAGCCACTGTCTACATGTGGCTATTAACATTTAAATTAATTAAAATGACATGTAATTTGAAATCCAGTTTCTCAGTTGCACTAGCCACACCTCAAGTATGCAGCAGCCACATGGGGGCTAGTGACTCCCCTCTGGACAAAGCAGAAAATTCTATCAGATGGCACTGTGTCCGATCTGTGCTGAAATCTTAGCCCTGATTTTTCAGTTACACGAGCCAATCCATTCCTTTGAATCTAAGTTAGACGTCAATTGGAGTTAGGTGTATTCACAAGCCAAAGAATCCCAAGGCAACATCCTCCCACTCTGAACACTCTGACTACTGACCAGCCCCATTAGTCACAGATTTAGGTATCATTTGGGTGCTTTCTTTTCATTCAGACCAATGCCAGAGAAAGTCATTACTGAGTTCAGAAATGTGGTTAAGCAAAGGACATTCGAGAATACTGGTGCCAGGTCACCATTTTCTATTGTTTCTTCAAAAGGAAAACAATCAAAGATGCGGAACACATGGATATAGAAAACACATGTCTTTCATCTGGATCCATTCAGGTTTTCTTTTTCTTTTTCTTTTTTTTTTTTGAGACAGAATCTAGCTCTGTCATCCAGGCTGGAGTGCGGTGGCACGATCTCGGCTCACTGCAACCTCCACATCCTGGGTTCAAGCAATTCTCCTACCTCAGCCTCTTGAGTAGCTGGGATTACAGAGGGCTGCCACCACAACCCAGCTAATTTTTCTATTTTAAGTAGAGACAGGGTTTCGCCGTGTTGGCCAGGCTGGTCTGGAACTCCTGACCTCAAGTGATCTGCCCCCCTCAGCCTCCCAAAGTGCTAGGATTACAGGTGTGAGTCACTGTACCTGGCTCCATTCACGTTTTTAATGAGCACAAGAATAATTAGAACATCTCATTTATTTTTTGAGACAGGGCTTTCTCTGTCACCCAGGCTGGAGTGCAGTGGCACTCATAGCTCACAGCTCACTGTAGCCTCGACCTCCTGGGCCCAAGCGATCCTCC
Source organism: Homo sapiens (assembly GCF_000001405.40). Taxonomy (NCBI): domain Eukaryota; kingdom Metazoa; phylum Chordata; class Mammalia; order Primates; family Hominidae; genus Homo; species Homo sapiens. The sequence goes on along the minus strand of NC_000020.11, from coordinate 50,757,996 downwards.
CACCTCAGCCTCCTCAGTAGCTGGGACCACAGGTGCATGCCACCATGCCCAGCTAGTTTTTGTATTTTTTGTAGAGACGGGGTCTCCCTATGTTGCCCAGGCTGCTCTCGAACTTCTAGGCTCAAATGATCCTTCCACCTCAGCCTCCCGAAGTGCTGGGGTTACAAGCATGAGCCACCAGACCTGGCAATATATTTTATTTTATTTTTTCCAAATCACTTCTCACTTGATAAACCAATATTGAATCAAACTGATATGATGTACCTGTTGACATGGTGAAATAAAGATATAACATCACCTATGTAATATTCCTGATAAAAACGCATAACTTAAATCTATTTTTTTTTTTTCTTTGAGATGGAGTCTTGCTCTGTCATCCAGGCTGGAGTGCAGTGGTGTGATCCTGGCTCACTGCAATCTCCGCCTCCCGGGTTCAAGTGATTCTCCTGCCCCAGCCTCCCGAGTAGCTGGGATTACAGATGTCCACCACCAAGCCCAACTAAATTTTTTGTATTTTTAGTAGAGATGGGGTTTCACCATGTTGGGCAGGCTTTTCAACTCCCGACCTCAAGTGATCCACCCGCCCCGGCCTCCCAAAGTGCTGGGATTACAGGTGTGAACCACCACGCCCAGCCACTTGAATCTAATTATGAGGAAACAGATAAACCCCAACTGAGGGACAGTCTATGAAACAATTTATCTTTACTGTTCAGAAATGTCAATATTATGAAAGGCAAAGAAAAGCTGAAGAACTGCTCCAGATTAAAGGGGCCAAAAGAGATGAGACAACTCAATGTCTTATTCTGGGTTGGATCCTGGATAAAAGGAAAAAATTTCTGTAAAGGACATCACTAGGTCAATTGATGAGATTCTAGTATTGCTTATATATTAGATAATATTGTAGCAATGTTAACTTTTTTGAATTTGATAATTGGGGTTGTATAAGAAAAAATATAAGAGAATGTCCTTGTTCTTAGAAAATATATGCCTAAGTCTAAAGGGGATAAAAGGGGAGAATCTCTTTAACTAATTCTGAAGTGGTTCAGGAAAAAATACACAGATAGCAAATGAGGATATAACCTGGACAAAGGTTATGCTTTTCATGCAGCTCTTTTCTACGTTGGAAATTATTTCAAAACAAACAAACAAACAAAAAAGCTAGCAAGCAGATAATACAGTACCTTTATTCTCCTTTAGGGAAAAATATGATAGTCTTTCCCATGGCAAATATCTCAAGTGAAAAGTAAAGCACTTCACAGTGTTTTCAAACAGGGCATCCTGACATTGTTTTTGGAATGTTCCAATACACATCCTACAAAAGTGAAATAGAAAATCAGAGCATTTTTCATTACTGTATGAAAACATAGTGTGTGTGTCCTGGATTATAGTGTTCAATGCATTTCTTACTGTGTATTGCAGTTTTTTAAAAAAAATTTTGAGAGACCCTATAACAGGGTGACCCATATTGCAGTCTACCTGAGACAGATCTGGTCCGAGCCTGTTCTACTGGCATAGTTCGTGGCAAACCCATTCATTCTCAAAAGTGTCCCAATTTGGATTATAAATTATAGTCACTCTTATTTTAAGCCACAATTCCTTTTTGTAACAGAATATGGTATGGATAAATGTGCATGGTACTGCCAAAAGACTTTAGCTTTTTCTGTACTTTTTTTTAAATATGGAGAACGAATTTGCACATTATTTATATGACTGAAAATTATTTTTAAAAAGTTATCTTTACTTATGCTGTATTATCTTGTTATCCATCCCTTGGGATTATAATGAACTAGATAATAAGGGTATTAAATTTTCTTTATTTTCTATTACACAGAGAATACTGCTTTCAGAGTAAACTTAATTCCCAAAAGAGAGCTTTTATAAGTGGAAAAACACCTATAGTTTGTAAATAAAATACAAACTCCATTGAATTTTAATATTAACTTATAAAATACAATTGTGTTGTAAAGCAACTGGATAAACACATTAGCTTTTAAAATATTATCTAAGTCTTGTTTTTAGGGAAGAATTTGGTAGACATATTAAGGATCTTTTTTTTTTCTGAGATGGAGTCTCACTTTGTCACCCAGGCTGGGGTGCAGTGGCGCGATCTCGGCTCACTGCAAGCTCCGCCACCCAGGTTCACGCCATTCTCCTGCCTCAGCCTCCCGAGTAGCTGGGACTACAGGCGCCCGCCACCATGCCCGGCTAATATTTTTGTGTGTGTGTTTTTAGTAGAGACGGGGTTTCACCGTGTTAGCCAGGATGGTCTTGATCTCCTGACCTCGTGATCCGCCCGCCTCGGCCTCCCAAAGTGCTGGGATTACAGGCGTGAGCCACCACGCCCGGCATTAAGGATCTTTTAACCGATTAATTTCCTTTATATTTACCTTCTAATGCCCAGTTATCCACCCAATGACAGTCATTTGACTGCACATATACTTCGTTTGGGCAATGAAGACTTATTTTGGTTTCCAAAATATCTTTTCTGAGAGTACTTAAGTATTTAGCATGTTATGTGATCATAGCTAGGAGGCACTGGGTTTTGCTTTACCCTACAGATAACAGCCATCATCATCACGTGATATGCCATCACAAGATAAAAACAAAGGCTTTCCATGTTTAACAGCAAAACACTCCCAAAACTGTGCTTAGAACTCAGCTGCCAAGTCGCTGGTATACATACTTCCAATTTAAACCCCACATCAAACTAAAAGAAGGGAAACACAATCAGAAGTGGTTCTGTCAGTTGCTGTTAAACACTTGAGCACCTAAAGGCAGAACAGAGAGGTCTGGTTTTTGGTAAATTTTTGTAACTTTAGTTTTTCCTCAAAATCAAATTTAATCAAGCTCTTACTCAGCACTGGAAACTAGGAAGCAACAGTGATTTAAGATGCAAATTGCAAGGCTGGGCGCGGTGGCTCACGCCTGTAATCCCAGCACTTTGGGAGGCCAAGACGGGCGGATCACGAGGTCAGGAGATCGAGACCATCCTGGCTATCCTGGCTAACACGGTGAAACCCCGTCTCTACTAAAAATACAAACAAAATTAGCAGGGCGTGGTGGCGGGCGCCTGTAGTCCCAGCTTCTCGGGAGGCTGAGGCAGGAGAATGGCGAGAACCTGGGAGGCGGAGCTTGCAGTGAGCCGAGATAGTGCCACTGCACTCCAGCCTGGGCAACAGAGTGAGACTCCATCTCAAAAAAAGAAAAAAAACAAAGATGCAAATTGCATTGGGGTCATTTTTTGGGAATGAAAGGGATGTTTTAATTCTGCACCATTGTTTCACGGACTCAAAACCCAGAGATGAATATCGGGTACTGAATGCAACCCAATCAAAGGTGTGAAGAGTTCTGTGTGCACGATGTTCCATTTATACTCGGGATTTTTAGTGTTTTTAACTTGGAGGGAAGGAATTAGGATTGTCCTATTGTCCTCTAAACTTGTTGGCAGAAGAGTTAGTGCAATGACCAACTAAGCTGATGACAGGGTGGCTAATTTGGAATTAGAAATGGCTCAGGAAAGGTTGTTCTTTCTCTCAGACCTTTTTTTTTCTTTTTTTGAGATGGAGTCTCACCCTGTTGCCCAGGCTGGAGTGCAGTGGCGTGATCCTAGCTCACCAAAACCCTCGCCTCCCCGGTTCAAGCGATTCTCCTGCCTCAGCCTCCCAAGTAGCTGGGACTACAGGTGTGCGCCACCAAGCTCAGCTAATTTTTTTTTTATTTTTAGTAGAGACAGGGTTTCACTATGTTGGCCAGGCTGGTCTCCAACTCCTGACCTCATGATCCGCCTGCCTCAGACTCCCAAAGTGCTGGGATTACAGGCATGAGCCACCATGCCTGGCCTTTTTCTCAGACATTTTAAGTTTTTCAGTATAAATTGAATTCAATCAACATAGGCCATACTAGATAGATGGTAATATTAATTAAGTATAACTAAGTGAATTTGAATTTCAGAAGATAAGCTGTCACATTACAAACTAGTTTCAAATAATCTTAAAGATAACTTTGGGTGAATAGCTTGCATAACCTTTCACACTATCAGAATTAACCACATTTTAAAAGTTACCATCCAGCCCATAGCCATATGGTCATACACAGTTGCAAAAAGTGCACATACAATTTGGGGTCCATCTTTTAACAATTAAAAGTTAAGGAAGCAAGGATCTTGTTAAAACTCAAGGGTTTTCTCCCTACCTATTTTATATAATGGGCACCTGGTATTTGTGGGCAACTTTTCATATAATTTCAAACAAGAAAGTAGCCTTTATACAAGTCTATCTTTATTTGTAAAAAATAATATACAACTAAAGCTAATTTGATTTTTAAAATCGAAGTTCATTTAGTGATAATGTACACTTTATAATAAAATTGTAGTAAAATACTGACATTTGATAGTTATAAACAAAGTATCATTCATGTAAAAATCATGTTATAGCATGTAAAATTTAATTAGAAAATTCATAGCTCACAAAAGTACATATATTTTGTTGATAGCTCGAGAACATTATCATAAATTTACTTAAGATACAGAACAAAATTCACAGTTAGGCTTGACATTTAGTACTATAAAATTTTATGTTGGATCCACTGATACTTTTGTTAATAAGGTGCACTTGAAATAATTGATTCAGCCTACCAATGAGCTGATATTTTATCGTATAACCAGGATCTATTGGTTTTACAATATATCTAGTAATCAATTATTTCACCAATAATTTAAGAAACAGAGATCTACTTGAAAATACCATTGATAGATACCCTTAACAGGATAATTAAAATAAAAAGCAATAGCAGCTTTGATTTCCATTTCCATGAATGCGTACAAGATAAATCTGTATTTTACAGTTAAAATTTGTACAAAAAGTCAAGCCCTGAAGTAGTTTTTCCCCCAAAAGTTCTGATGTTAAAACTTTAAAAAAAAAAAGAGAGAGGTAGTGTGTAAAAATATTTTTACTTAAAATGTTGAACCCCTGCACCACTTATATTATAAATGAAAGTTAACCTTCTACATACTAACATTATTTTGCCATTCAAGAGTCAAATTTGTAAGACTCACAGAATGTTAAAGCCGGAATGCCATTAAAAATAGCATATAAATGGAAGAACTTCGGTGAATTCAACAAAAAGTACAACGTATTACATAATGTGCAGTCAGTTAATAGTTTACTGATAATATGCTTAGTGGTAATGTGAACAAAATACATTGAAGTATTCTGAGTCAAGTGATCTTCACGTAATCAAGACTTCTTCATATATATTTTACCATATAGAGAAAACATCCTTCAAAGCGGAGTCATTTGAATCTTCATTGTTGTAATAGCACACAATTGTTAAAAAGGTATTCATACTAGCCCTACCATAAAGTTAATTAATAAATAACTCTCCATAAGCCATAGGGAACTTATGTACTTCATAGTATTTTTAGTTTCTATATACAAGCATACCATTGTGCTTGTGCACACTGTACAATAAAATCAGGCAAGGAATTAAAGTTAGCAGCCTTACTCTTAGCTTGTTCTAAGTGGATGCATTGGAAAGTAATAAATAGCCTCATAAAATTAATAGTGATAAACTCTACCTGTCACAGGTGAATACTATGTAGTTTTCATAAAGTGTAGGCAGTGTTTCTAGAAATCCCATGAAGGAAAACCCAATTTTTTTTTTTTTTGGCATAAAAAGTGCACAAGTTTGTCCTATGTGTTAAAACATCTTAATTTGGATGTATTTTTTATCCAAAATGATGCATACTTGGATGCATTAAAAGCACACCAACAAAAATACACACACTAACAATAAAAGGAATGATTTCAAATGAGACTGGGAATGGGAACAAGAATAGGTTAAAGGAGAGACTTCCATATTTCCAAAGTCAAGAGAATTGCCTTTTAAAACATAAATTATATAGCCATACAGAATTAATTTGAAAATATGAAAGCTATAGGAAGGACAAACACCAATTTGAACAACTGTTGCAAAGTTTCATAACTCAAGAAAAGATAGCTTCCTGGCTAGGCGCTCATGCCTGCAATCCAGCACTTTGGGAGGAGATGGGCGGATCACTTGAGGTCAGGAGTTTGAGACCCACCTGACCAACATGGTGAAACTCCATCTCTACTAAAAATACAAAAAAATAAGCCAGACGTGTTGGCGCACACCTGTAATCTTAGCTACTCAGAAGGCTGAGGCAGGAGAATTGCTTGAACCCGGGAGCTGAGATTGCACCACTGCACTCCAGCCTGGGTGACAGAGACTCTGTCTCAAAAAAAAAAAAAAAAAGCTTCCTCAGCTTTATAACATGGGAAGTAACTCCTAAAAACAGCCAAGTGGTTTGATTCTTAGAAACCAGAAATGCACAACTGGGCGCGGTGGCTCACGCCTGTAATCCCAGCACTTTGGGAGGCCGAGGCGGGCGGATCAGGAGGTCAGGAGATTGAGACCTTCCTGGCTAACACTGCGAAACCCCGTCTCTACTAAAAATTAGCCAGGCATGGTGGCAGGCGCCTGTAGTCCCAGCTACTTGGGAGGCTGAGGCAGGAGAATGGTGTGAACCCAGGAGGTAGAGCTTGCAGTGAGCCAAGATCGCGCCACTGCACTCCAGCCTGGGCGATAGAGCGAGACTCCATCTCAAAAAAAAAAAAAAAAAAAAAAAGAAAGAAAAGAAAAGAAACTGGAAATGTACTTGAGAACATCATTTGTTACAATTTATTAGAAAGGAACATAAAAAAACAAAAATCAAAATAGGCTGGGCATGGTGGCTCTAATCCTAGCATTTTGGGAAGCCGAGGCAGGACTGCTTAAGCCCAGGAGTTCAAGACCAACTTGGGCAACATGGCGAAACCCTGTCTCTACAAAAAATACAAAAAGTAGACAGATGTGGTGGTATGTGCCTATGGTCCCAGCTACTCAGGAGGCTGAGGTGGGAGGACTGCTTGAGCCCAGGGGATTGAGGCTGCAGAGAGCTGTGATCATGCCACTGCATTCCAGTGTGGGCAACAGAGTGAGACCCAGTCACTAAAAAAAAAAAAAAAAAAAAAAAAAAAAAAAATCAAAATAAAATATTGGGAACATGAGACCTTTAAGAGCTGAGGTCCCCAATGTACCACAAGAGAGAATCAGACTTCACATTAGAATTTTAAAAATACAGTTAAAGGAAAAATTAACTGGGCTCTGCACAGCAGGTTAAATATGCAACCACTTCCAACAGAAATGATCTAGTCTTCTCACATAGTTCCAAGAATGTGCTTTAACATCTGATTCTCCACAGACAAAACAGCAAAAGCACGTAACTTCATCAGCAAAGGCCCCTTTGTTTTGGACTTAAATTCACCTCTGATCCACCAAAGTTTATATTAACAATTATCAAACTACTACTTTAATAATATTGTAAGCTTGCAACGTTACTCGTCTCATGCCTATTCCACGTCACTGGTCAGAGGTATATATGCTTTTAAACTAGCCAAATGTACAAGTCCTCATGGCATCCTCACTCTGAAAACATTCAAACCACGGTTTCATAATGTTATGATTGTTCCATCTTCTTCTAAGAGTTTTTGATCTGGAGCATGTGTTTCAAATTCCGTGTTTGAGCTGCTTGCTATGGCTGCTAAGCTCACTTCATTAGAGGGAATAAAGCCATTCTGTCCAGACTCAAAGCTTAGCTCTATCTGTGTTAATGACTCCAGGCTCTCAGTATTAGGAACAGCTTTTGGAATCTGCTGTGGCACTCCATTGTCTTCAATGATAATGTCATCTTCTTCGCTGTCTTCATCCTCTGGCTCAAAGCTTGGTTCAATCTGCTGTGGGTAGCCAAGAAGGCTGTTATCAGTAGACTGACCGGAACTGCCAGAAGTCCGACTGTTCCTCACAACATTATTCCTCTGGTTTGCCGGTCTCACTGTTATGATGAGGTTACGGCTATTTGCAATCATCATGTCTGTTACTTGATCAAGGCTCTTCCCTGAAACTTCTATGCCATTAACTTCTAAAACTTCATCATTAACAGCTAATAGTCCTGTACTTTGAGCCAGACCTCCTGGGACAAGCCTGGATATAAAGATCCCTGGAACCTTTTCTAAGCCATGTGGTGTTACCCTGACACTGGAGCCATCCCGGATGTAGAATCCTAGGGGTTTCTCCGTGCCGTATTTGTAAAGACGTACCCTACGATGCGTTTCTGGGAGAATATCCACGTCTATAATAGAAGACACAGGTCTAAAGTCTTGGGGCATACTAATGACTATATGTGGCTTTTTTCTATGGTTGTCAGGACGCAATACGTTGGTTAAAACATTCTTCTTCTTTATTAGCGTGTCTGTACCAAAGGCACTGTAGTCTGCTTCTTCTGTTTAAAAATAAAACAAAATAATTATAGAAATGCTGTAAAAATATCTATTCACTTGCAGCTGAATCTGTACAGAAAGGATAACTCAAAATATATTTGGTATATAAACAAACTAGCTAATAAGCTTATTCTAATCAGATCATAATCTAGTACAGTAGTAAAATGCCATACCAGAAAAAACCACTAGGTGGCCATCTCAAATACACATCACAAAATAAACCAATGTTGAAGTTAAATTTGATAGAGCTCATTCACTTTTAAACATTAAATATGGCAAATGAAACTATGATAGATCTTACATATTTTTTTTTTTTTTGAGATGGAGTCTCGCTCTGTCGACCAGGCTGGAGTGCAGTGGCGTGACCTCGGCTCACTGCAACCTCCGCCTCCCGGGTTCAAGCAATTCTCCTGCCTCACCCTCCCGAGTAGCTGGGACTACAGGTGTGTGCCACCAGGCCTGGCTAACTTTTTGTATTTTTAGTACAGATGGGGTTTCACCGTGTTAGCCAGGATGGTCTCGATTTCCTGACCTCATGATCCACCCACCTCGGCCTCCCAAAGTGCTGGAATTATAGGCGTGAGCCACCGCACCTGGCCAGATCTTACATATTCTTAAACATCATTAAATATATATGTATTTTTACTTTTTTTTGAATAGGGTCTTGCTATGTTGCCCAGGCTGGTTTTGAACTCCTGGCCTCAGGAGATCCTCCCGCCTCAGCCTCTCAATGTGCTAGGAGTACAGGTGAGAGCTACTGTGTCCGGCCTTAAAACATCATTTTAAACCAGTTACTTAAAATACATTTTTCCTTCACTTGTTTAAAAAACTTGTAATGTGGTTGGGCGTGGTGCCTCACGTCTATAATCCCAGTGCTTTTTTGGGAGGCCATGGTGAGTGGATCACTTGAGCCCAGCCTGGGCAACAGCGTGAGACCCTGTCTTTATGAAAAGTAAAAAAAAATTAGCCAGGTGTGGTAGGTAGCGTCTGCCTGGAGTCCCGGCTACTTGGGAGGCTGAGATGGGAGGATGGCTTCACTCCAGGATTCAGGTCTGCAGCGCACTATGATCACTGCACTCCAGCCTCGGTAACAAAACAAAAACACGCCTGCAATTTGCATGTTTATCATATTCAACTCAAATACTTGAAGTGGGATATTTGATTCTCAAGGTAAATCAGAGAGTAAAATCATATACCAATATCAGAGGCTGAGTGGGCAGATAATGTAATTGATGCTGATGCATATCAAACAAACACTTCGGAATTTTGGTATTCTGCAAATAAACACTCTCCCTCAGTTTTCTGTTGCTATTGTTTGAGACGGAGTCTCGCTCTGTCGTCCTGGCTGGAGTGCAGAGGCATGATCTCAGCTCACTGCCACCCCCGCCTCCCAGGTTCAAGCGATTCTCCTGCCTTAGCCTCCCAAGTGGCTTGGGATTACAGGCATGCGCCACTATGCCCAGATAATTTTTGTATTTTCAGTAGAGATGCGGTTTCACTATGTTGGCCAGGCTGGTCTTGATGGAACTCTTGACCTCAGGTGATCCACCTGCCTCAGCTTCCCAAAGTGCTGGGATTACAGGTGTGAGCCACCTCGCCCAGCAGGAATTCTTGATCTCTCATTTTCATTTTGAAAGAGGCAAAGGTGGAGTTTTAACTTTTTTCTTTACTGTGTGAAAAACTATGCATAAAGTTCAATGGTATTTTGTCCTCAGTGGTGGTGACACAGACAATAGGAAGTAGTAGGACTCTGGCAAACTGGAGAGCTCCTGCCTCATTTAGATGGCATAGCTGCTTCTCAGTTCCTCGCAGATTTTCTTCATGCCAGAAAGTCTTGTTTTTAGGCAAAATCTTGCGATCTTTAAATACTGCCGCCTAATTAAATAATAAACTAAAAGGGAAAACAGAACACCTAACACCAGATATGGTTAAATTATATGGCTGAAGGAAGATAGTCTATAAACAAAACATTTCATCAGAGAATGAGAGGTAAAACAGAAAATGAAACTAACAGCAGAAACAAAAGTTAAAATAGTATTTTCAAAAATAACTACAATGAGGATAAACTAAAAAGTGAAATTTACATGAATTAAAAAAAAAACACAACAACTTCAATAATGCCTCTCCCTGGTTTTCCAGTGGCTAGGCAAAAAAAAAAAAAAAAAAAAAAAGAAAGAAAGAAAAAAAGAAAAAGAAAAGAAAAGACAACAACAAAAAATAAATGGCTTCCCTCCTCCTCCACAAAATAGTTGAAAATCCTAGTCTCAGCTGCTGCCACAGAAAACACCAATCTCACCATCTTGCGTTTGTATAGCGCTTCAACTCATATTCTCTTGTTTAATCCTAAACCCCCTCATTGCTAAACTATTATCATCTTCACTTTATAACCAATAAATTAAGGGTACAACGTAAGTTACACAGAAAGAACTAGAGCCCAGGTTTTCTTACGAGGCTAGTATCTTCCAAGTCACAATAATGAATGCCAAGTATCAATTATGTCAGAGTATGGGGAGCTTTAGTATTCTTTTCTGATGCTGCGTGAACACTCTTCAAAACCTAGTTTCAGATAAATATATAAGGTTACGGGTATCTTATTTTTTTGGCATTTTTTTCCCCTTGGGGACACTTGTAATCATTTATAAGTATTTGCATTGGGCTCTTACAGAGACAGAAATGTATTTATAATATGGCTTTGGATATAAATCCATTGGTACAACAATCTTTTTGGCAAAAAAACCTATCAAGAATAGTCTTCTGGTAATGTGTTTTCTCAAAATCATACATATTTGTGTTTTAAAACAATCAATAAGGAAAGCCTATATAACATTTATAAGGGAAATTCCAGACCATATAAACTGAGAACAGTATTACGTTGCCTACATACCTACTCATGGGAAACCTAACCAAAATAAACTCCAAATCTGCATAATTTGGCATCACATCCAGACTCCATTTGAATGCTCTCTGCTAAATTCTCAAAAGCAATATGCCCCAGTACAAAGCCACCTTTGTTCTCCCATCTAGCTAATCAGTTTCCAGCCACTGGGAAAGAAAATATTTTGGCAGAAAGCCAGGGTTCAGGGTGTTAAAGTGTAAAGGTGAATGTCCACAAGGAATTGGAGTTGACTTTCTACCTGAACACTATCAGAGCATTAAACTCAGAATGAGATGGAAAGTTTGAAAACTTGATCATAGCAACTGTCCACTTGTATAAATTCACTTATGCAACAGTACATGATATGGGCTGATACAGCAGCACCGCATTTATCCCAAGCCTTTTCTTCAGCCAATGATCTCGGCTAACTGAACAGACAAGGATCCACCTAGAAGGCCTCCAAATAGTCAAACTGGATGTCTTACTTTCTTACACACAAATAGTGGCTGTTCTTCACTTATCCTGCAGGGCTTCCCTCTGAACCTCTTACTCTTTAAACATTAATTCTGAAAAGCCTAGTAATCTCATTCCTTTGCTCATAGAGGGTCATAAACCACACATTCAGAGCAAAGGGTAAGGATCCATTTGTGGGTGGCAGGCAGATGTAAGACATAAAAGCTTCACAGTGAGTAAAAAGCAAATCTAGAAAAAAAAAAAAACTTCTACATAAGCTCCATCAGTATCCCCATACAGTAACAAAACAGCAACCATTATAGTACAGCCATCAACAAAGTTCAAGATTATGCCCCACTTGAAGATCAGAGGAAGAAATCAAATAATGAAATAATGTTTTAAAATGTTCTAATCCAGGGGTTGACAACCGTTTTCTGTCAAGAGTCAGACAGTAAATGTCTAGGTATTACAGGCTATATAATCACTCTTGTAAAAGCAGCCACAGACAATCCATAAAATATTATGTGGCCAGGCATGATGGCTCATGCCTGTAATCCCAGCACTTTGGAAGGGCGAGGTGAGAGGACTGCTTCAGCTTAGTAGTTTAAGACCAGCCTGGGTAACATAGCAGGACCCTGTCTCTACAAAAATAATTTTAAAAATTAGCTGGGCATGGTGGTTTGTTTGTGCCTGTAGTCCAAGCTACTTGGGAGGCTGAAGTGGGAGGATCACTTGAGCCTGAGAGGTCGAAGCTGAAGTACGCTAAGATGGCACCACTGCACTCCAATCTGGGCAATGGTGAGACCCTGTTCCAAGAAAATTTTATATGCAAAAGCAGCCAACAGGCCTTAGTTTGCCAACTCTTGCTCTAATATAAAATGGTTAAATGAGATAGATCTGGCAACTTTTTTTTTTTTTTTTGAGACGGAGTTTCGCTCTAGAGTGCAATGACACGATCTCGGCTCACTGCAACCTCCACCTCCTGGGTTCAAGCGATTCTCCTTCCTCAGCCTCCCGAGTAGCTGGGATTACAAGCATGCACCACCATGCCCGGCTAATTTTTGTATTAGAGACAGGGTTTCACCATGTTGGTCAGGCTGGTGGCGAACTCCTGACGTTGGGCGATCCGCCCACCTTGGCCTCCCAAAGTGCTGGGATTACAGGCGTGAGCCACTGCGCCCAGCCAGATCTGGCAACTTTAAAAAGATTAAATATCACTTAAAGCAAATTAGATATTCAAATTTTGCAGACCCCTTCATTCCTAATACAGAAAAATTAATCACCAAATATTTAACGAACACTGACTATGTGCCAGGAATTGTGCTCTGTGGTACAGATTTGGTGAATAAAATAGGTATGGTGTCTACTTTCGTGGTGCTTACAATCTAAAAGAGGAGATGGCAACTAACAAATAATTTCAAATACTCTAAGTAAATTATAACAAAGGTGCTGAGAGCTATAAGCACACCATGCTGGGGAAGTATGTAAAGGGGACCTGGCCTGGCTTGTAGGAGTAAGGCAAGGCTTCTCCAGGGAAGTGATTCTGTGAGGAAAACCAGCCAGGGGCTAATAGTAGAAGGCAAGAAGAATGTTCCAGGCACAGGACTCGACAATATCCAGAAGAGGGAGGGCCAGACAAAGAAATCCAATACAGCTAGAACAGAGGGTGAAAAGCAGGAGGGAGGGAGGGAGGGAGGGAGTCAGGAGCTGAGTCAGAGGCAGCCAGGGGCCAAACAGACAAACAGGGCCTCCTGGGAAGTACCAAAGTTTACAGACTTTAGCCTAAGGGCAAAGGGAAGAAAATCAAGGATTTTAAGGGAAGACAGTGATAGTGAACTCATTTGGTTTTTCTACAAAGCTCACTCCGGCTGCAGGCTGGAGAAGGACGTGGAGGGGGAGGACAAGAAGCTACTGCAGCCAGCGCAGTGCAGTGGGTCACACTTGTAATCCCAGCACTTTGGCAGGCCGAGGTGGGCGGATTACCAGAGGTCGGGAGTTCGCAAGCAGCCTGACCAACATGGAGAAACCCCATCTCTACTAAAAATACACAATTAGCCAGGCATGGTGGCGCATGCCTGTAATCCCACCTACTCGGGAGGATGAGGCAGGAGACTCACTTGAACCCAGGAGGCGGAGGTTGCCGTGAGACGAGATCACGCCATTGCACTCCAGCCTGGGCAACAAGAGCGAGACTGCTTCTCAGAAAAAAAAAAAAAAAAAAAAAAAAGAAGCTACTTCAGTAAATTTGGATGGCACCTGGCCTGGAGCAGAGGACATGGAAATGGGGAGACAAATCTGAAAAATAACTAGAACACAGTTTTAATAGGCTTGGTGACTGACTAAAAAATAGGTATGTGTCAAAGGTGACACCCACGTTTCTGTTGTGAGTAACTGGTGTCACATACTGAGATGTTACTCCACAATTTCTTTTTTTTTTTTTTTTTGAGACGGAGTCTCGCTCTGTCGCCCAGGCTGGAGTGCAGTGGCGCGATCTAGGCTCACTGCAAGCTCCGCCTCCTGGGTTCATGCCATTCTCCTGCCTCAGCCTTCCGAGTAGCTGGGACTACAGGCGCCCACCACCAAGCCCGGCTAATTTTTTTGTATTTTTAGTAGAGACACGGTTTCACCATGCTAGCCAGGATGGTCTCGATCTCCTGATCTTGTGATTCGCCCGCCTCGGCCACCAAAAATGCTGGGATTACAGGCTGTAATTTATTTTTTTCATTTCTGGGCCATATCTTTTGTTAAAACTATAATTTACAATTTACTACTAAAATGTATATTCCTTAGACAACTTTAAACCCTGATTCATAAAAATGTAACCTTAAAAGACACCTACAAAATAATGTCCAATGCACAAAATCTAAGAGATGATTTAGATGCCCAGTTACCAGCATCTGGGCCACAAAGTCACATCTGTGTAAGGGCATGCCCTATGAGAGACAAAGTTTAAAGCAAAGCCTTTCTAGTGTTCCTAATAAAACGAGAATAAATCGAAGAGGTAAACATATGTGTCTGGTGTCAATCAAAAACAGACGGTGTTATAGCAAGAAGTCTGGATGTAGAGATTCTGACTAGATCTGGAGAGGGGTCTGTTCTGTAGCACATCAACAGATCCTCCACCTGGCTGATTATCAGGACTGGCTGGGAAGCTTTTAAAAATACACATTTCCCTGGCTGAATTCCAAACTGACAGGAATGACCTGAGTATTTTTAAAAGGCGCAAGCTTTAAATATTTTTTTAAAAATTTTTAGTGCACAGCAATAACCTCAACAATGAGAGCAGAAAGTCTATTCTGTACCTTCTCTTCCCCATCTCCCGAATCAATTAGGATAAACTCTAATACTCTTAACAGGGAATGGGGGATTGGGATCCTCTGCATGAAAATAACTTTTAAGATACCAGGTTTCTTGTGCTTTGTTTTTGCTCCCATGATAACTGCTCTAGGAATAGAGTATGGGGTTTTTCTTCTAACAATAAATTGTTATAAAAATTTTTCAAGATATCCAACAACACTATCTTAAACTTCAGACTATAAAGTAGTTTACACATTGAATTGTAAGCTTTCACTTTAAAGAAATTTTAGTAGAGTATCAGATGTTAAAAGATCACATAGTTTTAAATTTTAAAATGGTTTTGCAATTTGCTTTTCAAAAATCACTTGGGGGCCAGGCGCAGTGGCTCACACCTGTAATCCCAGCACTATGAGAGGCTGAGGAGGGTGGATCACCTGAGGTCAGGAGTTTGAGACCAGCCTGGCTAACGTCGTGAAACCGTGTCTCTACTGAAAACACAAAAATTAGCCGGGCATGGTAGCACACGCTTGTAGTCCCAGCTACTTGGGAGACTGAGGCAGGAGAATCGCTTGAGCCCAGGAGGTAGAGGCTGCAGTGAGCCGAGATCACACCACTGCACTCTAGCCTGGGCAACAGAGTAAGACTCTGTCTCAAAAAAAATAAAATAAAATAAAATAAAATAAATCACTTGGGGCCAGGCACGGCGGCTCCCACCTGTAAACCCAGCACTTTGGGAGGCCGAGGTGGGCGGATCACTTGAGGTCAGGAGTTTGAGAACAGTCTGGCCAACATGGCAAAACCCTGTCTCTACTAAAAATACAAAAATTAGCTGGGCGTGGTGGCACGCATCTGTAGTCCCAGCCACTCTGGAAGCTGAGGCACAAGAACCTGGGAGGCGGAGGTTGCAGTGAGTGGAGGTCACGCCCCTGCATTCCAGCCTGGGTGACAGAGCAAGACTTAAAACAAAACAAAACAAAACACCAGTACATATTAAGTGTAACTTCTGCCTTACTGATGCCTAACTGAAATCAAAAAGCAAACAGAAAATGTGCTGTAATCAAGCAGTAAAATGTAACTATACTTAATGTCATACTTTATATTAGTTCCTTGAATTAAATGTTCATTAAGGTTTACATAAAATCAGATTTCTAGTTAAGCATCTGCTCAACTTTGCTTAAAAGACAGAGTGCGGCCGGGCGCGGTGGCTCACGCCTGTAATCCCAGCACTTTGGGAGGCCGAGACGGGCGGATCACGAAGTCAGGAGATCGAGACCATCCTGGCTAACACAGTGAAATCCCGTCTCTACTAACAATACAAAAAAAAAAATTAGCCGGGTGTGTTGGCGGGCTCCTGTAGTCCCAGCTACTCAGAGGCTGAGGCAGGAGAATGGTGTGGAGCTTGCAGTGAGCCGAGATCGCGCCACTGCACTCCAGCCTGGGGGACAGAGCTAGACTCCGTCCCCACTCCACAAAAAAAAGAGTGCATGCATTATAGTACACTAAGTAAGTCTGCCAGATTTAGATGCTGCGACCTGATGGTAAACCAGACAGACAGGAAACAAGTTAACATATTCTTAAATAAGATATTTCCAGGTCTTCAGAGGATGATGTGGTAAAGGTGGGAAGGTGGAGGGCTTTAGTTAGGGTAGTCAGAAGAGACTCCTCTGACAAACTTATCTGAGCTAAGCAGGAGGAGGCAGACGTGGGAAGAACCGAGGGTGAAGTGTCCTTAAGAATAACCAAGCATAAGAGCACAGAAACAGAAACAAGCTAACGGCTGGGTGCAGTGGCTCACACCTGTAATCCCAGAACACTTCGAGGCCAAGACGGGTGGATCACCTGAGGTCAGGAGTTCGAGACCAGCCTGGCCAACATGGTGACACCCCATCTCTACTAAAAATACAAAAATTAGCCAGGCATGGTGGCATGCACCTGTAGTCTCAGCTACTCAGGAGGCTGAGGCAGGACAATCACTTGAACCTGGGAAGCAGAGGTTGCAGTGAGCCGAGATTGCACCACTGCACTCCAGCCTGGGTGACAGAGCAAGACTCCATCTCAAAAAAAAAAAAAAAAAGAAACAAGCTCATCAAGTCTGAGGAACAGGAAGGAAGCCAGTGTGGCTGACTGTGATGAGGGAGTGAGAGAATGAGGGAAGATGAGGTTGGGAAGTCCAAATCAGAAGGGATTTTATTCTGGTTGCAATGGGAAATCATCAGAGGGTTTTAAGCAGGAATGAACTGACTACCTACTTTCATTTTTGCTAAAGTCATATTTGTATTAAATTTATATTTTTAAAATCTAAAATATTTCTGTTGAATTGCCTATTTCTAAATCAAATTCTAAGGGCTATCAATTATATTGGACATTTTACCATTAATAAATAGAAAACATTTGCACATAGAAACATATTTCTAAGTTGTAATTCCTATGACAACAATAAAAACCATCAAAGGTCTCAATAAAAATTATACCACCAATAAATAAAAACTTAGAAAGGAAATAAAAGATAACTACCCTTAAAAGATGTTAGGATTAATTCCATAATCATGCAAGAGTATAATTCCATTAACAAAACATGTGGTGGTATAACTCAACTGTCATAATCTTTCTACCAAAGGGGATAATCCAACAAAATTCTGTCACATGGCAATACTTTAAAAACCCACTCTATATTTGAATGCACATCCAAACAGCAACTAACTTTTTAAAGAAAATTACAATTGCTAACAAGAAAGGCCTATTATTCAACCATAATTATTTAAATTCTTCCTCCTTTTCCAGCACTCTATATATAGCTTTCCAAGGTTCTATCCATGGTCTTCATCTCAGATAGCCTTTATGTCTACTCCCAAAATTTTAACTATCACTTTTCAAAAAGCTTGCAAATCTAACTAGTTTTTGGATTTCTACCCTGAACTTTTGTCTACCATTTCTAATCTTCTGAATGACTGGTTAAGATTATTTGTCCTAAGACAAAATTCATAATTTTCTTTTCCAAATCAATCTACTCTGCTTGTTCATGACACTGTCCCAGCTGTCAGACTCAAACCATCAAGATATGCTCTGCTGGACTCTCCTTCACTGCAAAGCAGCCACAGTGAGTGCAATGACTCCCAAGTATTTCCCCTCCTACCTTCCCGCCACTGCCTTCTCCCCTCCCCCCACCCTTCCCCTCTACTTCTAGGCCAGTCTCCTCACTTCTTTACCGCCTGCTCCTGGCTCTCTACTGTAAGACTGCTGCCCACTCCAATTCATCCTGAACAGCCAACTGAATCTTCCTAAGGTCATACTCTCATTATATCGCATTCCTGTTAATTACCTTTGAGATCCATCTCAGGAAACTTTGGGAACATTAATTTGTGTGTGAAAGTATTTTGTAAAAT
The DNA here is from genome assembly GCF_000001405.40 of Homo sapiens. NCBI lineage: Eukaryota > Metazoa > Chordata > Mammalia > Primates > Hominidae > Homo > Homo sapiens. Next base: position 50,739,652 of record NC_000020.11, on the reverse strand, counting down.
AGTCAAGTGATATAGGCAGAGGTTATCCTTGGAGGTTTATTTTGTTGGTGGACTTTAGTTCCTCCAAACCCAGGAAAGCAAAGATACATAATCAGTGGAATTCCAGAGCCCTGGGAGTGGTCTAATGCTTATCAACTGATTAGAAATAGTTTTCACCTTCAAAGATAATCCCCACCCATTCTCTCAAGCTACTTTCTTTTCAAAAAAATTTTTTTGAGGAGTCTTGCTCTGTTGCCCAGGCTGGAGTGCAGTGGTACGATCTCGGCTCACTGCAACCTCCACCTCCTGGCTGATTCTCCTGCCTCAGCCTCCTGAATAGCTGGGATTACAGACATGTGCCACCATGCCCAGCTAATTTTTGTATTTTTAGTAGAGATGGGGTTTCACCATGTTAGCCATGCTAGTCATGAACTTCTGACCTCAGATGATCCGCCCGCCTCCACCTCCCAAAGTGCTGGGATTACACACGTGAGCCACCAAGCCTGGCCGCTCTCAAGCTACTTTCTGGGTTGGCTTATAAATACCGTAAGTCTTTAATTTATCCCAATACCAGGCTTGATGCTCTCATGCTGGCTTCCCAAACCACTTCATTTACAATTGAGAAAGGAAAAAATGGTACATACCATAATAAGCCCTACCCTGCCTATCTGCAGACACACATACATACACACACAAAGGCTACGAGATTAAAAAAAAAAAGTTTTAGGACTCAAAATACATTTGAAAATTCTTGGCTGAGCATGGTGGCTCATGCCTATAATCCCAGCACTTTGAGAGGCAGGGACTGGAGGATCACCGGAGACCAGGCAACATAGTAAGACCCAGTCTTTACAAAAAAAGAAAGAAAGAAAGTTATTGCCAAATAGTGATTTCAATTTTTTTGGAAGACTAATTAATATCAGTGTTTACATCCTTCCACAATAGTAACTTCCCACCTCATTTTCCAGATAATTAACTAGTTTTATACAATTTCTTTAAAAAGTATCCTAAAAGTAAAAGAAAGAAAGTATTTACTGGGTGCTTACTATAAGCCAGGGCACTGCACTTAGCTCATTTAATCCTCATAGTAATTCTACAAAATATTATAATCTTTCTATAGGTGCAGACATTGAGACTCAGGAAGATTAAATGGCTTTGTTTCTGGTATTTATTAACTGGTAAATACAGCCTTTGAAAGTTGGTTGCCACCAAAAAACAGGAATGCTTTGGATTCCAAAGTCACACTCTTTTCACATTTTTCTGAGTGGAGAATAATCCATTTGATAAAGTGAAGATTCAATAAATTCCCAATATTCAATAAATTCCCAATTTCTACTTAAGGAAAAATAAAACCAAAGAGGTTAACACAAAAGTAACTAGAAATATAAATTTTCTAAAGTACACTTAGTGAAGCATAAAGATATTAATTAAACCAACAATATCACAAATGTTTTAACCCACATGTTAGTTAACATAAGAAGATTCACACAAAATGTTTATTCACTAAGTTTGTGGCAAAGTCTGGGTATCCTTTCAGTGGGGAAAATACACTATTTCTATTTCTAACACAATTTTTCTAAACAGTGATACTTACCCTTCTTTTGTATAAATATCCTAAGCAGTGGATTGGCCGTTGAAACAGCTTTGTGATAATTATCATCATTATTTATAGGTAGTAAGTCTCCATGGATGTCTGCATAGCCTACCAAAACGTCAACATTGGGGATCTTATGAACATGTTGTAGTAATCCATAAAACTCCTCAAATTTTCCAGGTTTTGATCTTTCCAGCGAAAACCGACGAAATTCAGCTCCAAACTATAAACGTAACAAACATATTACTTAAAAAAAAAAAAAAAAGTAAAAGGACCCAATTTGAAAATGCATGCCATAGAAAAATTAACGAGCAGAGCAAGTATTTTTAATTAAGGAAAGATTGTCTATTGTGAAGAACCTTACTATCAGGGATTTTAAAAAGCCTAAGAAAGGCACAAGAATGTGCCTCCTGACTGCTGTGTCTCTGAAGAGCATTCCTTTCAAGAGAGGCAGGCTCAACTCTATCTATCCCTGGGGTACCTAGGCCTTACTGCGGACTGTTCTGCATAGTGACTCAGCTCAAACCCTGTCTGGAGCCCAGACTCTGACGGCAATGCTCTCCTCAGGTGCATCATGGGGTACCAAAGACTTGTCCAAGTCCTTATTTTGACCAAAGGAAAGCATTTAAGTGTCCTCCCCCATAAATGGAACTAGGATTTCATGGTATGTGGTAAGAATCAACAGCAAAATATACAAAAAGAACTGTGAGCTACGTGGCGTTAAGGTATGATCTTCCCTATGTTAATGCAGAAAAAAATAAGCTTCAGTAATACATCAAATGTATGTCCTATAACTATCCAATTAACGCACAAAGTGTTTATGTGTTTGGCACAGTGCTAGGCCCTAGAGATTGAAAGCCTCGAGCCTGCTCCAGAAGCTCACCAATTAGTGGGTAAAGAGAATAATTACTTCAGGGAGGTATTAAGAGATCACACAAATGGGGCGGAATGGGGAGGAAGACAGCCTCCATCATGCCCAATACTTACCTTCACAGTTCTGATTCTGAAGTCTGTTTCCCTACACCTCTGTTTTCCCAATGTCAAATAATTAAAAGTGACTCTTATTCAACACTAAGAACTGAGGCCAGGCGCGATGGCTCACATCTGTAATCCCAGCACTTTGAGAGGCTGAGGCGGGAGGATCACAAGGTCAGGAGTTCAAAACCAGCCTAGCCAACATGGCAAAACCCGTCTCTACTAAAAATACAAAAATTAGCCAGGTGTGGTGGCACATGCCTGTAGTCCCAACTACTCAGGAGGCTGAGGCAGGAGACTCTCTTGAATCTGGGAGGCAGAGGTTGCAGTGAGTCGAGATCATGCCACTGTACTCCAGCCTGGGCAACAGAGCAAGACTCCGTCTCAAAAAAGAAAAAAAAAAAAAAAACCAAAACACTAAGGACTGGCTTCATCTAGTCCATGATAAACAGGATTTATAACACTGTGGGAATAACATGGCATTTCCTCAAACGTGGAAACCTAAGAAAAGTTAATCTGCCTTCCTCAAAAAGTGTCCCAGTCATGTAAGTTTGAGAAACGCTACATAATTATGCTCTTGGGAATCACTGCGGAGACCAGCACTTTAAAGGCTCATTTAAGCCCTATGTTGGTTTTTAAAAATATTTAAACGAACGTTTGCCTAATGTGTTTAACCACTGAACTCATATTTCTTCCACCTATCTATTACTAGCAAGAAATACTAATGTAAAAATATTATGTCCCAGAGAAAAAAGGAAAAGAGAAATACTGTTGGTACAGCCTTAAGCATCATGTAGAGAAAGCCCCTACCATAATAATTTGAGTTTACAAATATGTCACTTCATTTTCCCAAAGGTCCCATGGGACATCTGGATTCACTGGTTTTGCTCTATCTAAAGTTCACCTGCTCTGCTTACACCCATACTCCTCAGTGGTTTTAACATCAAAACTCACTAAAAACACCTCTTACCTCTAACAAAAATTAAAATAGTTCCCAAAACACATTCCTGAAACATAAACACTAACATCTGTCAAGAAAATAAGGTGACTCATACCTAAGGCTCTCAAAAAGTTTAGTCACACCTTCACATTTCAAAGTAAATAAAAACTCAGGGAACACCCTTCATATCAGTTAGTCTCATGATGTTATCAAAAGTCACAGTTTCTCCTCCATTTTCTTTATTCTGGTATCACAACATGAAGTTGCTAGTGCTTGCTGATTCATCCACAGGGTTTATCACTTCCCCTGATGTATGAATGGGAATAACATCTGATCATTTAACATTTTAGGGCTTCAATGTTTTTGTTAAAGCTTTTGGATGAAATTTCTTCGCTCAATATTTTCTCTTGCTTAACTGTTATGATAAAAACAATAAAAAATTGTATGGCTTCATGGTATATTTGCACTTTTGCCAATATTGGCATGGGAAAAAAAAACCCAAGAGAAATTGTTATGCTTCTTGCAACACAACAATAGGATTAAGGGAACTTTTTACATGAACAAAAACACTAAGAGACAAAATTAAGATTCAATCAGCAATTATTCACTTGTGAACCATTTACAACTGTTTCATAGCCTAGTTTGCCCTAGCCATCCAGAATGTGTATGGACTCCCTTCCCCCAGTGTCTGTTGGTACATTCTAGAAATGCAAACTTAATTTTCATAGTCTATTTGCCTATGAATAATAATTAGGAAATTTTATGACTCAAAGACTGTTCCAGGGTTATTAAAGGACATCATCAAGATTATTGATTAAGAATCTTCCCAACACTAGAGATACAATTAGGAAGATAAAACAGTTACCAAAGAAAAGTCACATACTAGCTGGTACCACAAATTGAACTATAGGTATATTTACATTCTCCATTCTTTTATCATTACTATTTTTCCCTTCCACGTGTGAAGATAATAATGTTGACACTACTGCTTTATTGCATTTTTTTATTTTTTTGAGACAGAGTCTCCCTCTGTCACCCAGGCTCTGAAGTGCAGTGGCGCAATCTCGGCTCACTGCAACCTCCGCCTCCCAGGTTCAAGCAATTCTCCTGCATCAGCCTCCGGAGTAGCTGGGATTACAGGCATATGCCATCACGCCCCACTAATTTTTATATTTTTAGTAGATACAGGGTTTCACCGTGTTGGCCAGGCTGGTCTTGAACTCCTGACCTCAGGTGATCCGCCCACCTTGCCCTCCCAAAGTGCTAGGATTACAGGTGTGAGCCACCATGCCTGGCCAACATTACTGTTTATATGAAGAAAAAGAGATCCTAAAAATGGACCGGAACCCAGTGTGGTGGCTAATGCCTATAATCCAAACACTTTGGGAGGCCTAGGTGGGAATATCACTTGAGCTCAGGAGTTAGAGACCAACATGACCAACATGGCAAAACCCTGTCTCTAAAAAGATAAAAAAAAATTGAAAATAGTAAGAGAAAAATGGACCAGCTAGGTGCAGTGGCTCACGCCTGTAGTCCCAGTACTTTGAGAGGTAGAGACGGGCGGATCACTAGAGCTCAGGTGTTCAAGATCAGACTGGGCAACATGGAGAGACCCCATCTCTACAAAATAAATAAATAAATAAATAAATAAATAAGCTGGGTGTAGTGGTGCACGCCTGTAGTCTTGCTACTCAGGAGGCTGAAATCGGAGAATCGCTTGAGCTCAGGAGGTTGAGGCTGCAGTGAGCCGTGATCGTGCCATTGTACTCCAGCCCGGGTGACAGAGCAAGATCCTGTCTCAAAAAAAAAAGGACCGGCACACTACCTAGTTTTGGTTATAAACTCTTAGCAATCAGTTTTGTAAAAAGCTGTGGTATCACTAAAGCAATGTCAAAGAAAATACTGTTTCAAAAACCCTTCCAAATATTTTTTAAATGGTTAAGGTGACAAATGTTTCAATCTACTGAAAATAAATGTATCAGCAATATATATTTGAAACATATAAGGTGTCATAGACATACTAGAAACACTCACTACCTATATCTTGCCTATTTGTCAACAGCTAGAATAGTGGGACCGACTTCATTCAGCACATGTTCCTAGAATCAGTGTATGATTCTATTTAAAAGACACAGTTAGCTGAAAGTGCAGTATGGCAGTTCAAATATACAACATGTAGTTTAGACAGAAGTAAGTGAAAGATTCACAAATCAGTTGACAAGAGAAAGGCAAAAAGCCTGAAATTCCAGTTTTAAAGCACTCAAGGTTTCTTAGTACTAGAGATAAATTACTATTTGATTGTATTTATCAGTATACTTAGAATTCCTACTCATTTTTTTCTGTGGAAAAAAATTAAAGACTTGCTACCAAGATTAGGGCTATAAACTTAAAATTTTAAGATTATGCAATATCACAAGTGTTTTTCTTTCCATAACCTCAACTCCCACAAATCCAAACTAAACTTATAACAAAAATGCCATAAGAAGGTTCAACCACTGGGCATGGAACCTCTACTGCCACCATACCGCTAAAGGAAAAGTTCTGCTATGTATTTTGGGTCATCTTAACGCTATAGCTCAAGCAAGTCACTTCAATTTGCTATGCTGTGCACAGAGGACACATGGACATGCACATTCCTTAAATTGCTGTAACTACACGTCTTTTCTTACTAATTCTGAAACTAGTGCCAATCCTCATGTAAGTGCCAAGCCGTTTTTGTTTTTGTTTTGTTTTGTTTTTTGAGATGGAGTTTTGCTCTTGTTGCCCAGGCTGGAGTGCAATGGTGCAAACTTGGCTCACTGCAACCTCCACCTCCCGGATTCAAGCGATTCTCCTGCCTCAGCCTCTCAAGTAGCTGGGATTACAGGCATGTGCCACCACGGCCGGCTAAAAATTTTTTGTATTTTTAGTAGAGATGGGGTTTCATCATGTTGGCCAGGCTGGTCTGGCACTCCTGACCTCAGGTGATCCACCCGCCTCGGCCTCCCAAAGTGCTGGGGTTACAGGCGTGAGCCACCGCGCCCAGACTCAAATCACATTTTTTAATGATGTTACAAACGAATGTCGATTTTCTCGATGTGATTCTCAGTTACAGAAACTTACAGAACTTTGCTTATCAACCCTAGACAATAAAACTATTCTACCTAGAGGCTCTAGGAAGCTTTCCTTACTCCACTGTACCTCACTCAAATCACTCCTTGATTTTACATACTCCTTAGTAGTCTTACCATCTATGATGCTCCATTACTTTTTTTTTTTGAAATTGATATACTTTCAATTTTCTCCTTTTCTGTGTTTTGGCCTTCTCAATTCTATTTTAAATGTTCTCAGGGCCCAGCCAGTGTCCTGTTTTGTATTCTGCAATGTCTAGAAGTTATTAAAAAGGCATGAAGGCTTTGCAAAAAAACAGCTTGAGGAAGTCATAACCTTTCTAAGCCTCAGTCTTCTCAGAGAATTGGGCTAGATTATCTAAGCTCCTTTTAACTCTTCAACTCAAGAAACGCTTGCTGAAAGTGTTCCCTTGGCTGCCGATCACCTTCAAATTCCAGCTCAAAACCCCCTTTGGAAGGCATTCCCTAACTAATCCCTCCCTACAGACTACCCTGCTCACTGAGCCTTGAGATTTAGAAATTCAGTGAATACCGAAGTAATTATCAGCAGATTGGCATACCGTTGGTCAAGGGGAAAAGCACTTGATGTGAGTAGGTAGCAGGATGGAATGAAAAGAGCATCTAGAGTCAAACTGTAAAGTGCTACTCCAACGTAAGGTGATAGTACTAATTTTACAGATTAAATGCATACCAAAGTTAGTGCTAGAAAGAGCGCCAGCAGGAAGCAAAGCGAACTTTTAAAGGGCTGTTTAGTTCACTGGGCTCTCTCCTTCGCCACTCGATGCGCCCCTTAACCACAGAAAGTGGGAACAACGGGGTGGTCCAGGGCCCTTTACTCACAGCCCAGCAGGCAGGATTCTCCTACACCTTTTGAGCAGCCTCGCATTTCACTCAGTGTGCGCCATCCTTGGATATACCTTGGCCCCTACTCCCGTCCGTGAACACGGGAATGAGATTTACGGAATGAGATTAAATGCTGGACTAGGTCTTCTTCCTGCCCGGGCCAGGGGCGGACACTAGCGCCCCCTGACCCCCGCCACCCCCTCCTCGGCAAGTTTATTACCCACAGTCTCCCGACCGCACCGTCCAGACCCCGGGGCAGCTCAGCCCGTCGCCTCCCCCGGCGCTCCGAGCCTGGCCCGGCCTCTCCCAGGCCCCGGCCCCCCAGGCCCGCCGCTCCGCCCAGCCCGGGCCCCGCGCACCTTGCTCTTCACCTCCATAGTGCCCAGGCAGCCGCTGCCCGCCCCGTGCCGGTGGCTGCGGTTCATGCTGAACGCCGAGCCCCGCGACGGCCTCCTCCGGCCGGGCGGCCCCTCAGGAGCGCGGGGAGCGAGTGCGCGACTGGGGATCTCGGAAAGCGGTTGCGGCCCGGGCGCCTCCTCACAGGCACCTGCAGAGGGGGCGGCCGCAGCTCCGGCGTCCGCGCTGAGCTCCACTCCACCAGCTGCTCACACGGCGGGACCGAGGGTCGGACTGGTGGCGCGGCAGGCGGGGAAGCAGCTCCCTCCCTCCGGGCCCCGGCGGCGACGGCGACAGCGCTGGAGGAGAGGAGGGGGCGGAGCGGAGGCCACAAGCGCCGCAACCTCTCCCTCTGCCGCCTCCCCCGCGAGCCCGCGCGCGCGCACCCGAGCGGACCACAGCCGCGGCGCGTGCGCGCGCTCACCTGCAGCCCCCGAAGATGCCGCAATCCCTCGCGTTCCGCCCACACCCAATAGAAAGCGCGCACCTGCGCCCGCGGCGCCAACCAATCGATACACGCCTCGCGCGGTGCGTGGGCGGGCTGCCTCCTCAAAACCCCGCCTACCACCGCACGATTGGTCCTGCGCTACGAGGGAGGGGCGGGATCACCTGAAGCCATGGCCCTCCGCCCCGCTTCAGGCCGGAGAGCCAGAAGGCGCATGCGCGGGTGCTGGAGTTTCCGCCCCGGGAAGGCACGCGGGGAGGCCGGCCGGAAGCGCGAGCGCACCTGAAGAAGGGCTCGGCTGGGTGGGCCTTTTGCGCACGCGCGAGCGCGCGCCTGGTTGCCCGGCTCCGCCGGGGCTCGCGCCGCTTAGCGCGCGCCAGTCACACGCACGGTCCAGGGGATTGGATGCGCCGCCCGTCCGGTTGCCGAGGCGCTGCGGGGCTATTCGGTTCCAGCCGGGCCCCCTTCCCGCTTCCACTTTGGGATGCTGCAGCCCCCAACGACGCCCCTCCACCGCCCCTTATCGTTGCTTAGGCGTCCCGCTGCAACTCTTGGTTGCAAAATTCAAGTTTTCCCGCCTCTGCAGCGGTTGCTGGGGGAGAAGCTTAGGGCTCTCTTGGCTTCATTTTGTCCGAAGAGACTCTGCACGCCTTAAGTCCGTCAGGTCGAGAGGGAAGGAAAGTGGGCTGAGGCGCGGGAAGGCTCCTTGCAGGCCCAGCCTCCCTGAGGATTTCTAGTCCAGTCTTTCAGGGCTTTTTTTTTTTTTCTTTAAAAGTCTTCCTTTTCCCTCCTCCCGCCATTCCTTGGCCATTCGCTGTTTCTACAAATGACAGCCTCTAGGTTGTGTTCGTTTCCCGGAGTGACCAAGCTGTGTCCCAGAGCAACAAAACGCTGAATCCTCCTCTCTGAACGTCCCAGAGCCCGGCCTCTCTTCACACAGACCCTGTGGGTCATGGGGAGGAGAGGAGAAGACTGAAGCTTTTGGCTGGAGGAGATTCCCAGGTCCCAAGGTCTCCCTGTGGGACCCGGGAATCCAAGAGCTGTTGAAACCTGCAAGCCAGGAAGGGGGCAGGGGAATGGAGGTGGAGGGGAAGGTCCAACCTGAGATTTGGCAAGAAGAGTGGTTAGGGTACCTTCCTCCCCTCATCTCCCTGCCCACCTCGGAGGCCTCCTAACACTTGTACCCCTGTTGCCCAGCACTTGTTACAAGTTACAGGTTTCCCATTTTTGTGTGCATCTGAGTTTTGTGAGTAATCTGCCACCAGCCTAGAATGAAAGCTCCCGAAGGCGCAGGGACGGCTTGTGCTTTGCTGGCATTGAGTGGCACAGAACCCGACTCCCAGCGGGTACTCAGATGGGTCTTTGCTGGGTGCTGCCACTGAGGGTGTCCCTTCTGCAGGCTCTTTGCCCCACTTGGGTTCAAAGGCGAGAAGCTCATTTTTTTCCCTCTGGAGGATTCAGGTAACCAGACGTTTTGTGGGAGGATTTAAGGTTTTTCTGGCCACCTGTGGCAGCACAGGTGGAAAGGACACCAATCCAAGCTGTATAATAAATAAGCAAGCTGCCTCCACCCCCTGTTTGAAAGCACATAGGAGGTGACTCAAGTTCAGCCGGAAATAAAGTGCATGTCAGGGCCTGTAACTCCCCTGTTTGGACTAGCACAGCAGTTCCCAACCTTTTTGTTTTCAAGACCCCTTTACACTATTAAAAATCATGGAGGACCCCAAAGTACTTTGTTTATGTGTAATGTCTTTCAATATTTATCTTAGAATTAAAACGGATGTGTCCAAAACATGGGAGTACACAAGCATGCATTCCAACAGTCATCAGAGTGATGATGTCATCACATGTCTTGTCCCTTCTGGAAAACTCCATTGTATACTCGTGAGACAATGGGAATGATGAGAACAAATGACATCTTAGTTTTGTGAAAGCAGTTTTGGCCTTGCAGAGACCCCCGTAAAGGGGTCTCAGGGACTCCCAGAGACCACACTCTGATCATGGCTGGACTAGATACCATGTCACCACCTTTAGAGAGCTCCGTTCTTAGGTCTCCTCCTCCTCTCCCTGATTGGCAAGGCCACACCCTGGGAGCAGCACCCCAGCTCTGTGTGAGTGAGTGTTGGGTGGTTGAGTTTTACTCCTGTTATCGGTACTGATTTATCAGGAAGTTCGTGGGTGCCAGTGCACCTGCGTGGGCCCTGCATTCCTGGAGGTGTCGTCACATCCTCTCTCCCTTCCCCAGGTGTGGCATCCCTCTTTACTTGGACTTTCCTTTCTAGAGGGAGGGCCAGGCCAGAGCTTCCTGGATTTCTTAAGGAAAATTATTTCAACCCGTGCGCCTGGGTTGTATAAGGAAGAAAAGTAGAAAATAGTTGGAATTTGATAAAGGTATTGTGAAGGAAGAAAATCCTTTCATTCTGAGAGATGTTAAGGCCACAAGTGTGTTCACTGGGCCTGAATTTCAGCCTTTCTTGAGAAGCATGATCAGCACAGACGAGGATTTTATATTCCCGTTTCTTCCATTTGAAGGCTAACCCTAACCTTATTTCTGTCCATCATCCCTCCCCACCCCCAAATCCTCAAGCTAAAGCTGATCAAGACTTACAAGTGGCCTAAAAAGCTAGTCCCCTGCCTGGGAGAATTAATACTCAGTGGGTTAGGGAGATAAGTAAGGTGAACATATGACATTATGGACTCTCTAAATTATAGGTTCACAGAATCGTTAGTCCAGAATGGGCTACCAGAGATAATCACGCCCATACACTGTCAGGCCTCTCCACTCTCTGAAAGAAGTTAGTGAAGGTTACACTCCTGCTTTCTGCTCCTTTTCAATACTGTCTGTGTCTTTAGGTTCTACAAATACCCTGTTGTGTTTGTTTGAAAGCTACCTTGTGAGGTGAAAGGAGTTTGTAATTTTCCACAATTAGTTTTCTTAATTCATTATTGTGTAATGATTCTTCTTCCTTTCCTTCTTCCTCTAACTCTTAGGAAAAAAAAAAAAGGTGGCAAGAAGTCATCTGTAATGCTGGTAAAAATTTTTTCAATAAATTTCTCTTGCCAGCTCTTTTTCTCCTTGATTGCACAAGTTCCAATTCTGATGGAGCTGGTTAATCATTCTTTGAGAAATAGTTGAAGTGTATATTTACGAATATCAGACTACTCACTGAAGCATTTTAAGCCCTTTAGCAGAGGTGGAATTAAGTCACATGATCTGTTTTCTGGTTAATAGCTTATAATACTGTACTGCTTTTTGCGCGGAGCTGGGGTGGTGGTGCTCACAGACAGAGAGACGAATGAATTGTTTTCTGTAGCCTTTAGGACGTGAGAGCCCTTTTAGGTAAAAACTCAGCTTTGCAGGAGGCAGTATGTGCCAGGCACGGTGCCTAAGCCTTGCCCTTGGCTTGGTCTGCCACGGGTTTGCTTTCTGACCCCTCTCTCGGACTCAATTTCTCCATCTGTAAATGCAGGACCTGATGAGATCATCTCCACAACCCCTTCCAGCTCATAACATTCTATGGTACTCCAGGGATAATGGAGATTGATCATTATTTCAACATTACCAGGGATGAACTGGAATGAAAATAATAATCTTTCCATCAGGGTCAACAGACAGGCTGCAGTCATCAGCCAAACTATTCCACTTCCCAGGAGGTGTTGATGAAGATAGTTGATAGTTAACATTTATGAGACCTACCAGGTGCCAGAAACTGGCTAAGCTGCTATTTACTTATTTGATTTTAAGTTGCATGAAATAACTTCATATTTGGAGGCATCAGATCTTTGTTTTTTAAACTGATAGACATTTATTTGAGTCGTTGCTCTGCTCCTTGCTGTCTGGGTGACCTTGACCCTGTTCACTTAACCACTCAGAGCCTCAGATTTCTCCTCTGTTCCTCTATAAACAGAAGTAGACAGCAATGCCTACCTCACCAGATTGTTGCAGGGCTCAGATGAGGAACCATACATGAAACTGCTCTGCAAACCATCAAGTCTGGTACAGATATTACTGGGTTTCATTTAGCAAATAATGTTGCCTACCAAAGCCTTTGAAAGGAGTTCCTTGAAATAAAATGGAAATGTGTAATAAATAAATGCTTCTTTTTGTTTTCACACCGGGTAACCTCTCAGTAGACATCCCTCAGAGAGGCCAAGAGCAATCATTAAGAGCATGACTCAAGCCAGATACATACAGTTGAGTCCTGCCTCTGCCATTTTCTAACTATGTGACCTTAGGCAAGTTCTTAACTTCTTTGAGCCTCTGTCTTCTCATCCGTAAAATGAGCATAATAAGACAATGAATTGTTTTAATTCATATACAAAGCACTTAGGATAGTGCCCAACGGAGAGTAAGGATGCCCTAAGTGTTACATATTATTGTCATTATTGCTGTCTAATTATTTTTATTACCTACTGTCATAATATAATTCATTAATGTAGCATGTATGTAATGAGCCCCAACTGTATGTATAACATTGTGCATGGAGATAAAGGAAAACAACAACGAAAGAATGACACTGTGATTGATTCCTGCCGTTGAGCACTGCACCTTCCATGGACAGACTGCTCCAACAAACGTTCCTGGAGCACCTACCATGGATCAGACAAAGAAACAGACATGAACGCGACAGAGTGCTTGCCTCCAAGGAACTCAGGGTCGAGCTGAGAAGTCAGACTCATGGAGAGGGAACCATAAACTCCCCTGGAGATGGTGGGCACAGCAGCTAAGGAGGCGGGCACTAGACTTGACCATTCAGGGGTCACATGCGGTTCTGCCACCACCCCGCTGTGGAACCCTGGACACTTGTCTCTCAATCTTTGTTTCCTCAGGTAAAATGAAGGTAGTAATAGTATCTACCTTCTTTGATTTAATTATTATTGATTGAGGCTGGGCGTGATGATTCATGCCTGTTTCCTAGCTCTTTGGGAGGCCGAGGCATGAGGATTGCTTCAGCTCAGTAGTTCGAGACCAGCCTGGGCAACATAGTGAGACTCTGTCTCTATTCTTTTTTTAAAACAAATTATTATTATAAGGCTTGGAGCAGTGGCTCACGCCTGTAATCCCAGCACTTTGGGAGGCCGAGGCGGGTGGATCACCTTAGGTCGGGGGTTCGAGACCAGCCTGACCAACATGGAGAAACCCCGTCTCCACTAAAAAATACAAAATTAGCCGGGTGTGGTGTTGCATGCCTGTAATCCCAGCTACTCGGAGGGCTGAGGCAGGAGAATTGCTTGAACCCGGGAGGCAGAGGTTTCAGTGAGCTGAGATCATACCATTGCACTCCAGCCTGGGCAACAAGAGTGAAACTCCATCTAAAAAAAAAAAAAATTATTACTGATTGAGTATCTATTATGTGCCAGGTACTAGTCTATTTTTTTTTCTTTTTTTTTTGAGACAGAGCCTCATTCTGTTGTCCAGGTTAGAGTGCCGTGGCATGATCACAGCTCACTGCAACCTCTGCCTCCCGGGCTCAAGTGATCCTCCTACCTCCAGCAAACGTTCCAGCTTCCCAAGTAGCTGGGACTACAGGTTCGCACCACTGCTCCTGGCTAATTTTTAAATTTTTGTAAAGACAGGGTCTCACTGAATGGCGTGAACCCGGGAGGCGGAGCTTGCGGTGAGCCGAGATGGCGCCACTGCACTCCAGCCGGGGGGACAGAGCAAGACTCCGTCTCAAAAAACAAAACAAAACACAACAAAACAAAAAAAGACAGGGTCTCACTATGTTGCCCAGACTGTTCTCGAACTCCTGGACTCAAGCAGTCCTCCCACCTTGGCTTCCCAAAGTGTTGGGATTACAGGCACGAGCCACTGCACCCGGCCCCATGTAGTATTCCAGATGTTAAGGAAATTGTAGTGTTAAAAAAAGACAAAATCCTGGAGCTGACATTTGCAAATAAATGAATTTAAGTATATAGTGTGTAAGTGATAAGAGCCATGGAGGAAAATAAAGCTGGGAAGTGGGATGGGAGGCCTGAGGTGGTGGAGTGAGGAGTGGAGGGAGAAAGAAAATTTAAAATAGGGTAGCAAGATGGCTTCTCTGGGACATTGGAGGTGAGAAAGTGATCCTTGTGTTTCTGCAGGTTTAGGGGGCCGGGACTCAGGATGGGGCGTGAGGATTAAGGGAGATAAAGCTCACTTGGTGCCTGGCACACAACAGGGCTCAGAAAGCACCAGCTGCTATTTTAAGCTATTACTCAGTGCTAAGGCCAGGGGATGAAAGGAGAAGAGTGGGAGCAGCAGAGAGAGAATGACTAAGTCAGCCCCGGGGCAGGGGGGGTCTGGAGTGTTTCACGGGTGAAGTGACTTAGTGCTAGGGCTGAAGAATGAGTAGGAGTTTGCTAGAGGCACGGAGGGGAGGAGGCATTCCAGGAGACAGAGCTTCACAGGCAGTGGTGTGGGGGCAGGGAAAGAACATGGTGTATTCCCCAGCCAGCGCGTAGAGCGTGGGTGTGCGCTGGGTGGGGGCCCTCTCTGGAGATTGGGACTGGAAAAGTAGGTGGGAAGCAGATTGAGAAGGGCCTCGGAGGCCATGGTGCAGAGTTTATGCTGGGAGACTCCACACATTTAAAACTGGGGAATGAAAGAATCAGATTTGTGTTTTAATAACATCTACTGAGGAGGCAGGCAGTGGGGCAGCAAATTAGTGAGACTTGCAAGGAAGGCTGTGATTAAATGGCCAAATAAGTGGTGTGGCCTGGGGGGTTTAGGGAGGAGGGAAGGCATCCATTCATGTATTTTTTCATTCATTCAGCACATATTTATTAAGGTGTAGCTAAGAGCCAGGCACAGGCTAAATGCCCAGGTTACAAGGGTGAGAGACAGTCAGCAAGTGCACCAATGTGGGGTGGAAGGAGAGGCTGGGTGGGGACTGCAGGGGACCAGAGCTTCCGCCCCGCAGAAGGGACTCACCTCCAGTCCATATGGCTCCAGCTGCGTGGGAAGGAGGGCTTTGAAGTGGGCAGATCTGATTCTTTAAGAGAGGCTGGATGGTTTTTGTTTGTTTTTTTCAGAGACAGGGTCTTGCTCTATTGCCCAGGCTGGAGTACAGCGGTGCAATCATAGCTCACTGCAGCCTTGAAACCCTGAACTCAAGCAATTCTCCCACCTCAGCTTCCTGAGCAGCCAGGACTACAGGCGTGTGCCACCATAACTGGCTAGTTTTTTATATTTTTTTGTAGAGATGAGATCTCACTATGTTGCCCAGGCTGGTCTGGAACTCCTGAGCTCAAGCGATCCTCCCTCCTCGGTCTCCCAAAATGCTGGCATTACAGGTATGAGCCACTGCATCCAGTTAGAGACTGGACGTTTTTATGTGAAACTTCTTGATTTTTAAATGTTGGCAACTAATCAAACAGGGTACAGTGAGTGAAATGAGTGGAGCAAGTGTGTGTGTGTGTGTGTTGTGTGTGTGCTTGTGTGTGTGCATCCATGCACGTGTACATGCCTTTGCTTAGACAGAGGCATGAGCCACTGTACCCGACCAGGCCTGGAGCTTGGAGTGAAGGAGAAGAATGGCTTAAAATGAGACTGAGGCCAGACATGGTGGCTTACGCCTATAATCCCAGCACTTTTGAGAGGCCGAGGAGGGCAGATCACTTGAGGTCAGGAGTTCGAGACCACCCTGGCCAACATGGTGAAACCCCATCTTTGCTAAAAATACAAAAATTAGCCGAGCGCGGTGGCACACACCTGTAATCCCAGCTTCTTGGGAGGCTGAGGTGGGAGGATTGCTTGAACCCGGGAGGTGGAGGTTGCAGTGAGCCGAGATTGTGCCACTGCACTCCAGCCTGGGTGACAGAGCAAGACTCCATCTCAAAAAAAAAAAAAAAAGAGAGAGAGAGAGACCGACCATGGCCAGATCATGCAGCCTCTTGCAGGCTATGACAAGGACATTGAATTTTATTCTGAGGTCATTGAGAAGCTATCTTGGAACAATTAGAAATAATTTTAAGATCTGTGGCATCTGAATCAGACCTAGATGATGGGAGAAAAGGAAGAGGTGTTCTGGGCAGGAGAATGGCAAGAACAAAGGTTTGAGCAGAGGTTGATCAAGGTGAGGACAGTGAGGCAGGCTGTTCACATGGAGGGATGTAAAGACAGTGGGAAGCCTTGGGAGATGACATTTGAATGGGGAGGCTGGCGCCATTTTATAGAGATCATCGAGGCAAGATCTTTAGTCTCTTCCAGATTTTATCTTGTAGGCCAGAGTGTCCCAAATGTGACTGAGGAAAAGAATTGTCTTGGGTGCTTATTAAAAATGCAGATTCCAAGCGCCTCTTCTGTGATCTCATGTCTGGTAGTCTGGAGCGGGGCCCAGGAAACCTATAATTATTATTATTTTTTGAGACAAGGTCTCACTCTGTCACCCAGGCTGGAGTGCAGTTGCACAATCACTACTCACTACAGTCTCGCCCTCCCAGGTTCAAGCAAGCCTCCTACCTCAGCCTCCTGAGTAGCTAGGACTACAGGTGTGCGCCTCCACACCGGGCTAATATTTTGTATTTTTTGTACAGATGGGGTTTCACCTTCTTGCCTAGGCTGGTCTCAAACCCGTGGGCTCAAGCAATCCACCTGCCTTGGCCTCCCAAAGTGTTAGAATTACAGACGTGAGCCACCACACCTAGCAGGGAACCTGTAATTTGGACTGTCATCCTGGTGATCCTTATCTCAAGCAACTTTAGGAAATACTGATGTAAGTATTCAGGTGTCATCGCAGGTTTTTGACCCGGGAGTCAGAAATTGGTGTGTTAAGACAGATTTGAGGAAAGAGAGCTGCAGGCAGGCCTGCATTTGAAGAGGCCCTTGGAAGAGGAACTTGCACAGAATGTGAAGGTCTGGACTTAGGCTGTGGAAGGGAACTGTATTTGTTTTTTGTGTGTGTTTTGTTTTGTTTTTGAGACAGAGTCTTGCTTTGTCGCACAAGCTGGAGTGCAGTGGCTTGATCTCAGCTCACTGGAACCTCTGCCTCCTGGGTTCAAGCAATTCTTGTGCCTCAGCCTCCTGAGTCGCTGGGATTACAGGCGTGCACCACCGCGCCTGACTAATTTTTGTATTTTTCGTAGAGAGAGTTTCACCATGTTGGCCAGGCTAGTCTCGAACTCCTGACCTCAAGTGATCTGCCTGCCTCGGCCCCGCAAAGTGCTGGGATTACAGACGTGAGCCACTGCGCCTGGCCAGGAAGTGTATTTGTTCACAAAGTACCACACGCTGGGTGGCTTAACACAACACAATTTTGCTGTCTCACAGTTCTGGAGGCCAGAAGTCTGAAATCTATGTATTGGCAAGGTTGGTTCCTTCTGGAGGCTCTGAGGGACAGGCTGTTCCGTGCCTCTCTCCCAGCCTCTGTGGCTGCCAGCAATCACTAGTGTTCCTTGACTGGCAGCCGAATCACTCTGAGCTCTGCCTCCATCATCACATGCATCACGTGGTGTTCTCTCTGTGTGTGTGTGTCTGTCTGTCTGTCTGTTTCTGTGTCTATTTTTATAAGGGCACCAGCGATTGGATTTAGGACTACTCTAATGACCTAATTTTAATTTTTTTTTTTTTTTTGAGGTGAAGTCTTGCTCTGTCGCCCAGGCTGGAATGCAGTGGCATGATCTCGGCTCACTGCAACCTCCACCTCCTGGGTTCAAGTGATTCTCCTGCCTCAGCCTCCTAAGTAGCTGGGACTGCAGGTGCTTGCTACCACACCCAGCTAAATTTTTGTGCTTTTAGTAGAGATGGGGTTTCGCCATGTTGGCCAGGCTGGTCTCGAACTCCTGACCTCAGGTGACCTACCCACCTTGGCCTCCCAAAGTGCTGGAATTACAGGTGTAAGCCACCATGCCAGGCCTGACCTCATTTTAGTTTTATTACATCTGCAAAGGCCCTATGTCCTAATAAGTTCTCACTCCCAGGTACTGGAGATTAAGACTTTAACCTATCTTTTTGGGGAACACAATTCAGTCTACAACAGGAACATACTGATGGAGTAATAATCAAAATTCTTCTATAATACTGATCACAGTGGCTGGGAACACTGTGCTATGCATTTCACAAGCGTTCCATCCTCACAACTATTTGGTGTTAATACACCATGTTTATATTGTTCAAAAAAAAGAAGAGCAGGCCGGGCACGGTGGCTCACGCCTGCAATCCCAGCACTTTGGGAGGCCAAGGCAGGCGGATCACGAGGTCAGGAGATCTAGACCATCCTGGCTAACACAGTGAAACCCCGTCTCCACTAAAAATACAAAACATTAGCTGGGCGTGGTGGCGGGCGCCTGCAGACCCAGCTACTCGGGAGGCTGAGGCAGGAGAATGGTGTGAACCCAGGAGGTGGAGCTTGTGGTGAGTCGAGATGGTGCCACTGTACTCCAGCCTGGGCAACAGAGCAAGACTCCATCTCAAAAAAAAAAAAAAAAAAAAAAGAAGAGCAGACTGAGTCTTGAAGAGGTGAGGCTTCCTGCTCAGAGCCTTGTCATCAAGGCAGAAACTTGTCCAGAAAGCACAGTTGAGGCAGGAGAAGGAAGAGGAAACAGAATAGTGAAATGCTTGGAGCAAGGACTCTGGAGTCATACTTGGGTTCAAGTCCTGATTCTGCCACTAGGGGAAGTGAGCTGGCCTTCCTGACTCAGTTTCTTCATCTGTAAAATGGGGATAATAATGGTACCTATTCCTTGGATTTTTCATAAGGATCCAATGAGATATTTTTAAGGGGTTTGATATAGTGCCTAGTATTATACATAGTAAGCTCTCAAAAAATTGTCACTATAATTCATATTATTCAACTATTTGGGTGTTTTTTTTTTTTTTTTTTTTTTAGAGACAGTCTCACTCTGTTGCCCAGACAGGAGTGCAGTGGCACAATCACAGCTCACTGCAGCCTTGACTTCCCAGGCCCAAGCGATCCTCTCACCTCAGCCCCCCAAAGTAGCTGGGACCCCAGGCATGTGCCACCATGTCCACCTAATTTTATTTATTTTTTTGTAGAGATGGAGTCTCACTATGTTGCCCAGGCTGGCCTCAGCTCCTGGGTTCAAGCGATCCACCTGCCTCTGCCTCCCACAGTGCTGGGATTACAGGCAGGAGCCACCACACCAGGCTCTTCAACTATTAAGAGACAGAGGAGGAGTGGACAGATAAGCAAAAACCATTGTGGGCATTCACGCAAGGGGAGGAGACTATTATCATCCCCATTTTAACCTTTAAGTTACGTGTCGCCTGAAAATTGAGGAAGAAGAAAAGTCTGAAGGATTTGTTGAAAAGCTCTTTGCCTGGCACTTAATAAATTCTCTTAATGGCTGTCCCGTGACTGGCCAGGACATGTATTTGGAACTTTGGGAAACAAGTCAGTGTAGTGATAGGAATAAAAGGCATATCATGGGCCCCTGCAGAGTGGATATTGAGGAAATGAGGACCATAGTTACAAATGGCAAGGAATCAACCATGGCTGGAGGCAGCCACGAATAGAAACAGAAAAGATGAAGGAGCATTAAAATGTGCAGGTGTTGGCCAGTCGTGGTGGCTCATACCTGTAATCCCAGCACTTTGGGAGGCTGAAGCAAGCAGATCACAAGGTCAGGAGTTCAAGACCAGCCTGGCCAATACAGTGAAACCCCGTCTGTACCAAAAATACAAAAAATTAGCCGGGCATGGTGGCAGGAGCCTGTAATCCCAGCTACTTGGGAGGCTGAGACAGGAGAATTATTTGAACCTGGGAGGTGGAGGTTGCAGTGAGCCAAGATCATGCCCGGGCGACAGTGGGAGACTCCGTCTAAAAAAAAAAAATGTGCAGGTGTTGTTTCTAAAGGTACATGTAGGCTGGGCTTGGTGGCTCATGCTTGTAATCCCAACACTTTGAGAGGCCAAAGTGGGAGGACTCCTTGAGCCTAGAGGTTCGAGACCAGCCTGGGCAACACAGTGAGACCCCATCTTAATTAATAAATAAAAAATTATTTTAAAATTAAAAACAGATAAATAAAATAAAGGTACATATACACTCTCATTTCATCTTTTTTTTTTTTTTTTTGAGATGGAGTCTAACTGTCACCCAGGCTGGAGTGCAGTAGTGCCATGTCGGCTCACTGCAACTCCCGCCTCCTAGGTTAAAGTGATTATTGTGCCTCAGCCTCCTGAGTAGCTGGGATTACAGGCACGTACCACCATGCCTAGCTAATTTTTATATTTTTTGGTAGAGACAGAGTTTCACTATGTTGGCCAGGCTGGTCTCGAACTCTTGACCTCAAGTGATCCGCCCACCTCGGCCTCCCAAAGTGCTGGGATTACAGGCACGAGCCACCACACCCGGCCTCTCATTTCATCTTAAGGTGATGGGCACATATCAGTTTGCTTGTGACTTTCCCAGTTATAGTCCTGAGAGTCCCAAGAAACCTTCCAGTCCCTTGTATACCCTATTTTATCTTCATCAAAACATATGGATTTAGGTACTGTTATCATCCTCAATTTATAGATTGGAAATAAAGGCACAGAGACGTTAAATAGCTTGGCCAGCATCACACAGATAAGTGGCAGAGCTGTGTGGTATTGAAACCCAAGCAGTTGGGTTCCAGAGTCCTTACCCTTTTATATTGCCTTTTTTATGGTCAAATGAATTTCTATTATTAGTTTAAAACTTTCTTCCTTCACGAAATACATCATTTTATTTGGGACCAGAAAGCTTGCCTGTGTCTTTTTCCTCCTGCCCCGAGATAATCCTACAGGTAAAAAGTCAGTTAAGAGTCAGGTTGCAATGCTTGTTGGCTTCCAGGAGCCTTCTAGAAACATGATATCCTCCCGGGGATCTGCCCCACAGCCCCAGCGTCTGATCCGAATTCCTCATGGGAATTTTTAAGGAGGAGGAAGAGTGGTTAACCATGGAGAAGAGTTTCCAAAATGAAAATAAACCAATAAACAACATGACTTGTTAACGGAGATCCAGTGACTTCGCCTTTTTAAGTTCAACACGAAGGCGGGGAGAACGAAATCATTTATAGAACTCTTATCTCCCCCAGGAGATATTTAAGAAGTGAACATATTTTCTGAAATTTAAAGGAATGCCAAGTTTATGTAAAATTATACCAATGATGACAGAAGCTTGAGAACAACAACAAAGCCAGCCAGAGTTGATGCCCACGCTTTCAGGCTGAGAAACACAGAAGAGGACAGAAGAGGGCAGCATGAACGTCATGCAAGTGGGGTGATGGGGAGCAAGGCAGGGAGTCTCTCTGAGCTGGGAGAGCTTGGACAGGGGACCTCACCTTTCTGGCTCTCTAAAATTAGATGCAGGGCCAGGCACAGTGGCTCACACCTGGAATCCCAGCACTCTGGGAGGTCAAGGTGGAAGGATCACTTGAGCCCAGGCGTTTGAGACTAGCCTAGGCCACATAGTGAGACCTCATCTCTGCAAAATTAGCCAGGTGTGGTAACACACACTTGTATTCCAAGCTCTTCGGGAAGCTTAGGTGGGAGGATCACTTGAGCTTGGGAGGTCGAGGCTGCAGTGAGCTGTGATCATGTCACTGCACTCCAGCGTGGGTGACAAGAGGGAGAGCCTGTCTCAAAAATAAATAAATAAAAAGTAAAATAAAATGAGACACTGAGAGTAGCTACTCCAAAGAGTTGTACTAAGAATTCTACCAAACTGGGTGTGGCGGCTCACACCTGGAATCCCAGCACTTTGGGAAGCTGAGGAGAGGATTGCTTGAGTTCAGGAGTTTGAGACCAGCCTGGGCAACATGGTGAAATCCCATCCCTACAAAAGATACAAAAATTAGCCAGGCGTGGTGTTGCATGACTGTAGTCCCAGCTAACTGGGAGGCTGAGGAAGGAGGATCACTTAAACCCAGGAGGTTGAGGCCACAGTGAGCTATGTTTGTGCCACTGCACTCCAGCCTGGACAACACAGTGAGACCCTGTCTCAAACAAACAAACAAAAAACACACACAGGAAAAAAAGAAAAAATGGAATTCCACTAGCGCTGGGCATGCTGGCTCATGTGTGTAATCCCAGCACTTTGAGGGGCTGGTGTGGGAGGATTGCTTGAGCCCAGAATTTTGAGGCTGCAGTGAGCTATGATTGTGCCACTGTAGTCCAGCCTGGGTGACAGAGCAAGACCCTGTTTCTTTCTTTCTCTTCCTTTCTTTCTTTCTTTTCTTTTCTTTCTCTTCTTTCCTTTCTTTCCTTTTTCTTTCTTTCTTTTTTTTTTTTTTTTTGAGACAGAATTTTGCTCTTGTCGCCCAGGCTGGAGTGTAATGGCACAATCTCTGCTCACTGCAACCTCTGCCTCCTGGGTTCAAGTGATTCTTCTGCCTCAGCCTCCCTAGTAGCTGGGATTACAGGTGCCTGCTACCACTCCCAGCTAATTTTTATATTTTTAGTAGAGATGGGGTTTCACCATGTTGGCCAGACTAGTCTCAAACTCCTGACCTCAAGTGATCCACCCACCTCAGCCTCCCAAAGTGCTGGGATTACAGGCATGAGCCACCACGCCCAGCCAACCCTGTTTCTTAAAAAAAAAAAAAAAGAAAAAAGAAAAGCATCCCAACAGCTAATAAAGATCTTAACACTGTTTCTGGCACATGGCACATGCTGAATAAATGGTATCTGTCACTGGTCCAGACTTCTCTGGGTTTCTATTTTGGCTTGTGATTAGAGACAGCCCCAAGCTTGTGTTCATCAAAGGCTCACTGTGTCAGGCCCAAGCTAAGGGTTCTACACACATTTTGCTATTTAATCCTCACCTTAATCCAGGTACTATTATTATTATGATCCCATTTGCAGATGTGAAATTGACACTTTAGAGGGGAGAATAAATAGGTTTGCCTAAAAGATTTATGCCAAGAAGAATGGGAGTAGCCTGGGATGAGGACTGAGGGCTACTCTGACATTGCTTTCTACTGCACAACTTTGCAGGAAAAAAAAATGCAATTTTCATATTCCAGGTGCCTTTTTTTTTTTTTTTTTTTGAGATGGAGTCTCACTCTGTCACCCAGGCTGGAGTGCAGTGGCACCATCTCGGCTCACTGCAATCTCCTCCTCCTGGGTTCAAGCGATTCTCCTGCCTCAACCTCCTAAGTAGCTGGGATTACAGGTGCGCACCACCATGCCCGGCTAATTTTTGTATTTTTACTAGAGACGGGGTTTCGCCATGTTGACCAGGCTGGTCTCAAACTCCTGACCTCAGGTGATCCGCCTGCCTCAGCCTCCTAAAGTGCTGGGATTACAGGCGTGAGCCACCGCACCTGGCCCCAGGTGCCTTTAAGTTTAAAGGGACCTACTTGTTTCTGGAAAGTGCCAGTGGGAATTTCCAAAACGGAGCAAGGTGTGCCTGGAACTTTTCTTGAGTGGGGCATCTTTGCTCCTGTTTAGAGGCAGAAACTTTAGGTGGAAGGTGTTTCCTGCACAGTTGAAGCACTTCAAGGTAGTTGAGGAACTTGTACCCTAGGGCTAAATCCTGCTCACTCTTCAGTTTCATCATCCCAGGGTAAGTGTGTTCAAAAGCCTCCACTTCAAACAGTAGTCCTTGACTGGATGTGGTGACTCACACCTGTAATCCCAATACTTTGGGAGGCTGAGGCAAGAGTGCAAGACCAGCCTGGGCAACCCCCTGTCTCTACAAAAAATTAAAAAATTAGCCAGGTGTGGTGGCATTCGACTGTCGTCCCAGCTACTCAGGAGGCTGAGATGGGAGGATTGCTTGAGCCAGGGAGGTTGAGGCTGCAATGAGCCATGACCGCACCACTGTACTCCAGTGAGACCCTGTCTCAAAACAAAACCCAAAAACCAGCAGTCCTTAAAATAGGATGTTTGTGCATATGGGCTGTGTTTTTCCTGTTACTTGGTGAAAATGGTAAGGAGAATGTTTATCTTAGTCTACTAACCTAGTCTGAGTTTTAAAATCACGAGCAGTAAATATTGCTTGTTATTTATATGTGGCTCTTTTTGGTATTTTTTTTTCTTTGTTGATCAGTTCTATGACTTGGGGGAGAAAGGTCTCCCACCTCCATCTTTAAAATCAGAAGGGTGCAGGTTTAGTGATGTGCATATCAAGTCTGGTGATGAACTTGACATCCTAAGCTCTCACCCTTTGAATGGCTCTAAATGAGAAACCTGGATTCTGGGCATTTTTCTTCATGTGGCTGATTCTCTCACACTCATACGTCATTCCTTCAGTGATGTATTCATTCATACACCAAACATGGAGGACCTGCCACACCTTATTTTTTCTTTAAATTCTTCTTTATTTAAACTTAAATAGAGATGGGGTTTTGCTATATTGTCCAGGCTGGTCTCGAACTCCTGGGCTCAAGCGATCTGCCCTCTTGGCCTCCCAAAGTGCTGGGATCCCAGGCGTGAGCCACCGCGCCTGGCTACCTTCCTCAGTTTAGACAACTCTTCTCTCTCCGGCAGCCCCGTGCCTCTCAGAGTGCTAAAGTACTGGTTTTTTAAATTGTCCAACTGTTGCAGGTGGATACTGCTGTAAAATATAATAAAAATAAATTACCAGAAAAATAAGATTTTAAAACCTCAAAGACATACAAAATACACACTTTAATTTTTTAGTTTAAGATTCGACAGAGGCTGGGCACGGTGGCTGATGCCTATAATCCCAGCACTTTGGGAGGCTGAGGCGGGTGGATCACTTGAGGTCAGGAGTTGGAGACCAGCCTGGCCAAGGTCTGGTGAAACCTCGTCTCTACTAAAGATACAAGAATTAGCCAGGCGTGGTGGCATGTGCCTGTAGTACCAGCTACTAGGGAGGCTGAGGCAAGAGAATTGCTTGAACCCAGGAGATGGAGGTTGCAGTGAGCTGAGGTCGGGACACTGCGCTCCAGCCTGAGCAACAGAGCGAGACTCTGTCTCAAAAACCAACCAACCAACCAACAAAAAAGAATCAACAGTAGCCGGGCGCGGTGGCTCACACCTATAATCCCAGTACTTTGGGAGGCCAAGGCGGGCTGATCACGCGGTCAGGAGATCGAGACCATCCTGGCTAACACGGTGAAACCCCGTCTTTACTAAAAATACAAAAAAAATTAGCCAGGCATGGTGGCGGGCACCTGTAGTCCCAGCTACTCAGGAGGCTGAGGCAGGAGAATGGTGTGAACCCGGGAGGCAGAGCTTGCAGTGAGCCGAGATCGCACCATTGCACTCCAGCCTGGGTGACTGAGCGAGACTCTATCTCAAAACAAAAAAACAAAAAAAAACAAACCTCTGTCCTTGAGATTGTATCTTCAAGTCCCTTGTCAAATCATCCTACAGCTACAGCTAGGTAGAGGGAGTGAAGCACAAGCTTTGAAGGCAGCCGCCTTGAGTTCCGATCTCAGCTCCGCTCTGGCTGTGATTGGGGCAGCTGCCTCAGTTTGCCCAGGTTGGACACAGTAACCTCACCAAGCAACTGCAAGGATAAAATGAGAACAATGTGTGTGAAAGGCTCCTGGGAGGTGTTTGTTTCCTTCTAGGTCCTTCTCGCCATGGAGTCGAGGACGGGGATTTGTGGTTGAGGTTTCCAACAGAGGGCACTGTCTGAGCTGCAAGTGGGGAATCAGAGACAGAGAAAGGAGCGTTAGTAAGAAACTCCAAAGGAGCTGGTGTATTCCTAGAATTTTGATTTAATTGAGGTCAGAGTCATTTTACTCATCACTGCTGCACAGTCTTTAGGGTGATATGGAAAGATAATGTTTCTGTGGGTTTGGAGGCTATTTAAGGACAAGAAGTGGCCATGTACCAAAATTCCATGGACACTCCCTACACTTTAATCCCTCTCTGAACTCTTTGTGTCCTAAGTATTATCATTTGTCTTCCACTGCTCTATCTCCCATGTAATCCATCTCTGATAACAGCACCACTATCTCTCCAGTCATCCAGGACTCTAACTTTATTTTGAACCCTCTTTCTCCGTCACTGTCCATATTCAAGTGGCTGCCTGATTCTAAACCTCTAACACAGGCAGGCGCAGTGGCTCATGCCTGTAATCCTGGCACTTTGAGAGGCTGAGGCAGGCGGATAGTTTGAGACCAGCCTGGGCAACATGGCGAAACCCTGTCTCTACAAAAAATACAAAAATTAACCAGCATGGTGGTGGATGCCTGCAGTCCCAGCTACTTGGGAGGCTGAGGCAGGAGGATCTCTTGAGCCCAGGGGGTGGAGGCTGCAATGAGCTATGATCATGCCACTGCACTCTAGCCTGGGCGATAGAGTGAGACCATGTCTCAAAACAACAAAACAAAGCAAAACAAAAAAACAACCTCTAACATGCTGGTCTTCCCCTGTTAGCATGTAACAGCATCCCCAGGTCAGACACTCATCACCTCCTGCCAGAACTAAAAGCCACATCCAGAGGAGTTACAGGAGGCCTCTGCTGAGGGCTACAGGGGCAGCAACCTGCCCTGCCCCCTCCCTTCCCCCTCCCTTAGCATAGTACTCAGTTCTTTCCAAGGTCTCCAGGCTCTGGCCCCAACCCCCCACCTTTGGTTTCCACAGCATTTCCCAAGAGGTGAAATGCTGTGCTTAGGGTCCCACAGTAAATGACAGAGGGCAGGTCTTTTGGACGTAAATCCAGTTCTCTTTCCGCTCTCCTCCACTCTCAGCACACCAAAGGAGGTCCAGAGATTGGTGACTAAATTGATCACGTTCAGATCCCCCATCTGTGGAGTGAAGTTTTGTTTTTTTTTTAGAGACCGGGTCTCACTAGTTGCCCTGGCTGGAGTGCAATGGCATGATCATGGCTTACTGCAACCTCAACTTCCCAGGCTTAAACGATCCTCCCACCTCAACTTGCAAGGTAGTTTGGACTATAGGCACATGCCACCATGCCTGGCTAATTTTTAAATTTTTTTTGTAGAGATACTATCTTGCTATGTTGCCCATGCTGGTCTTCAACTCTTGGATTCAAACGATCCTCCCACATCAGCCTCCCAAAGTGCTGGGATTACAAGCGTGAGCCATAGTGCCCAGCCAAGGAGTGAAGCTGTGATTGGCCCCCACTTCTGAATGCTGAGGACCTCCTTGTCCAAGCACCTCTTCTCTTCTTTGACTTCTTTTCCAGGTGATCTCATCCAGGTCATGGCTTTCAATACCACCTGTGTGCTGGTGGCCTTCACACTGATATTTCTGTCCCCAGCCTCTCCCCTGAACTCCATTCGTGCATATATAGTTGCCTACTCGGCCCTTCCATTATTTCTGTCTAGTAGGCATCTCACACTTAACATGGTCCACACTGAACTCCCCACCTCCCTCTTCATCAAGAAGCAGATCACAGCTCCATCTTTGCAGTTGTATCTTGCAGATGACTACCATTAGAATTATCCCCAGGCTGGGTGTGGTGGCTCACACCCCATAATCCCAACACTTTGGAAGGAGGATCACTTGAGCTCAAGAGTTCGAGACCAGCCTGGGTAGCATATGGAGGCCCTGTCTCAAAATCAATCAATCAATCAATCAGGCCTGGTGTGGCGGCTCATGCCTGTAATCCTAGCACTTTGGGAGGCCGAGGCAGGCAGATCACTTGAGGTCAGGAGTTTGAAACCGGCCTGGCCAACATGGTGAAACCCCGTCTCTACTGAAAATATAAAAAATTAGCCGGGCATGGTGGCAGGTGCCTGTAATCCCAGCTACCCAGGCAGGATAATCGCTTGAACCCGGGAGGCAGAGGTTGCAGTGAGCCGAGGTCATGCCATTGCACTCCAGCCTGGGCAATAAGAGCGAAACTCCGTCTCAAAAATAAATAAATAAATAAAATAAAATAAATAAAAATAAGTAAATAAATAAATCATAAAAATAATAAAGGAATTATCCCTGACTCCTTCACTTCTCTCAACCCTCAACATCCAGTCCTGTTGGCTTGACCTCCAAAATATACCGAGAATCCAACTATTTCTCACCACGTCCACATCTTCTACCCTGTTCCAAGCCACCACCATCTCACGCTTGGACTATTATAGTAGACTCTTCTCTGGTCTCTCCACATCTACCCTCCCCTCTCCAGTTGATTCTGCACAAGCCAGAAAGGATTCTGGTAAAACCTGTCTGATGGTGTCCCTCATCCGGTCAAAGCTTTTTGAAAGCTTCTTATCGCATTCAGAGTCAATGCTAAATTTACAATAGCCTTCCATCTCCTGTGATCTTTCCTCCTTTATGCAATCTAGCTCCCACACCCTTTCCCTCCTTCAGGTCCTTCGAAGTTGCCTCTGCCACTCCCTCAAGCCCCCAGCTCTCTGCTTCAGGACAGATTCTGGACATATTTACTTGCTTTGTCTGTCTTCCCCGCTAGAACCTAAGTTCCCCGAAGCCCTCTGTGAAAGACATACACTTAGTTTTTTTCCTGCTTTATTTCCAGTATCTAAAATAGTTTTGGTTGGGCTCAGTGGCTCACTCCTATAATCCCAGCACTTTGGGACCCCGAGGTGGGAGCATTGCTTGAGCCCAGGATTTCAAGACCAGCCTAAACAACTTAGAGGGACTCAGTCTCTGCAAAAAAATACAAAAATTAGCCACGCATGGTGGCATGCATCTGTAGTCCCAGCTACCCCGGAAGCTGAGGCAGGAGGATTGCTTAAGCCCAGGAGGTTGAGACAGCAGTGAGCCAAGGTTGTGTCACTGCTCTCCAGCCT
The DNA here is from genome assembly GCF_000001405.40 of Homo sapiens. Classification (NCBI taxonomy): domain Eukaryota; kingdom Metazoa; phylum Chordata; class Mammalia; order Primates; family Hominidae; genus Homo; species Homo sapiens. Next base: position 50,710,775 of record NC_000020.11, on the reverse strand, counting down.
GGGTGACACGACGAGCCCCTGTTTCAAAACAAAAACAAAATAGTTCTGGCATGTAGTCTGCACTTATGAGTGAATGGGGTGATCAGTCAAAATCTATATGGTTCTAAGAGGCCGAGACTACCTTGGCCCAGACCCAAGGCAGCACGACACAACTTTACCTTTATCTGGCAAAGAGGGAACCAACAAATGGCACTGGTGGTGTCAGCCACAAAAATAACACAGATTCCATGTTAAGGTTTGGTCAGGATGCAGAGTAGCCTGGGCGCCGTGGTTCATGGCTCTAATCCTAGCACTTTGGGAGGCTGAGACGAGAGGATCGCTTAAGCCCAGGAGGTCCAGGCTGCAGAAAGCCATATTCGAGCCACTTCATCCAGCCTGGGCAACAGAACAAGACCCTGTCTCAAAAAAACAAAAACAAAAACAAAACAACGACAACAAGAAACACAACAATCTCTCCTGGACATTTGGATTCACTGGGCCTGGGATGGGGCCCTTAAATCAGCCTTTTTATCTATTATTTTTTAAATTTATTTATTTATTTATTTATTTATCTATTTTTGAGACACAGTCTCACTCTGTCGCCCAGGCTGGAGGGCAGTGGCGAGTTCTTGGCTCACTGCAACCTCCACCTCCCGGGTTCAAGCAATTCCCTGCCTCAACCTCCCAAGAGTAGCTGGGATCACAGGGGAGTGCCACCACACCTGGCTAATTTTTTATTTTGGTATCTTTAGTAAAGACAGGGTTTCACCATGTTGGCCAGGCTGGTCTCGAACTCCTGACCTCAGGTGATCTGCCTGCCTCAGCCTCCCAAAGTGCTGGGATTACAGGTGTGAGCCGCCCACCCCCCGGCCTATTATTTATTTTTATTTTTTGAGACAAAGGTCTCACTCTATTGCCTACTAGAGTGCAGTGGTGCAAACATGGCTTACTGCAGCCCCTACCTCCTGGGCTCAAGCAATCCTGTCACCTCAGCCTCTTAAGTAGCTAGGACCACAAGTGTGTGCCACCACACCCAGCTAATTTTTAAATATTTTGTAGACACCAGGGAGGTCTCACCATGTTGCCCAGGCAGGTCTCGAACTCCTGAGCTCAAGTGATCCGCCTGTCTTGGCCTCCCAACGTGTTAGGATTGCAGGCATTAAGCCAACTGCACCCAGCCAGGACTTTTTCCATGGCTGTTAAAACCACAAGGTAAAGATTCAAATATTTTTTTAAAATGTATTATATAAAAAGGATTATATCTCAACAGCTGGAATGCAAACAGAATGAAACAAAAATTCAACGAATATGTATTTGTTTTTGATGGTTATTGCTCAGAGCAAAGTAAGGGAGGTTAAGCAGCAGAAAGAACCCACATCTCGTATTTAATATTAAGCAGCTGTCATCACCCCAATTGATATATTGTTCACAGATTATGGTTTCTCTGGCACCTAAAATATACATACTCTCCATCCCTACATATAAGTGTCAAGAGTCCTTAATCATCTCCTGTGTAGAGCAGATTACATTTCCCAAACAGTGAACACAATTTCTCCCTCAAGAAAACGTATTGAAAGATGAGAGAGATTGGAATGTGTAATACAAAACAGAGATGCAGAGAAGAGTGTTTTCTAGTTCAAGAGGAAGAATGACTTTATTAACTGTAAAAATAAGGTCTGCAAGCCACAAGTTGGCATGAACTCACCTGTGTACCTATTTTTCAAACAGACCTGAGATTAAAAACTGGCCAGCAGCCAGGTGCGGTGGCTCACGTTTGTAATCGCAGCACTTTGGGAGGCTAAGGCTGGAGGATCTCTTGATCCCAGGAGTTCGAGACCATCCTGGGCGACAGAGCCAGACTTCATCTCAAAAAAAAAAAAAAATTTTTTTTTGTGGAGATGGAATCTTGCTGTGTCACCCAGGTTGGAGTACAGTGGTGTGATCTCCAGCTGCCTCCTGGGTTCAAGCGATTCTCCTGCCTCAGCCTCCTGAGTAGCTGGGACTACAGGCGCATGCCACCATGCCTGGCTAATTTTTGTATTTTTGGTAGAGACAGGGTTTCACCAGGTTGTCCAGGCTGGTCTCAAATTCCTGACCTCAGGTGATCCACCTGTGTAGGCCTCCTAAAGTGTGGAGATTACAGCCATGAGCCACCGTGCCCAGCCCATCTTTACAAAAAAATTTTTTTAAACATTAGCTGGTGTTGTGGTGCATGCCTGTAATCCCTCTCCTCGTGAGGCTGAGGTGAGAAGATCACGTGAGCCTGGGGGGGTTGAGGCTGCAGTGAGTTATGATTACACCACTGTACTCCAGCATGGCCAAAAGAGCAAAACCGTGTCTCTTTTGTTTTTGAGACAGAGCCTTGCTCTGTTGCCCAGGTTAGAGTGCAGTGGTGCAATATCGGCTCACTGCAACCTCTGCCTCCTGGGTTCAAGCGATTCTCTTGTCTCAGCCTCCCGAGTAGCTGGTGTTACAGGCACCCACCATGACACCCGGGAAATTTTTGTATTTTTGTAGAGACAGGGTTTCGCCATGTTGGCCAGGCTGGTCTCGAACTCCTGACCTCAAGTGATCCACCCGCCTCGAGGAGAATAAATGGAAAGTGCTGGGATTACAGGCATGAGCCACTGCGCCCAGCCAACCCTGTCTCTTAAAATGGACAAATAAACAAAACTGGCCAGCCCCTTCATAGTTGTGTAACCTTAGGTATGTCACCTGGACTCCTTTGAATCTTGGCTCCTATTAAAAGATGCTACTGCCTCACAGAGAGGTTGTGAAAAATGGAAGGATATGCTTTTTGGTTAGTTTTGTTATCATAATTGTTGTTTCTCATCTTACCTGGCCAAACAATCCCAGCAGACCTGGGCATTTCCTAGCCCCCATACCTATGCTGGTGCAACTCATTCTTCCTAGGCTGCCCTTCGAATTTTTGTATGCCCTATGCTGACCTGCAAAGTTCTGCTTAAATGCCACCTCTTCCAAATGCCTTCCCGGATGCCAAAAGTCAGAAGTAATTTCTCCCAGCCGCAGCTCTTATCTTATCAACCCTGTATGTGATTGCACCTCTGTTACAGAAGTTAGTGCAAACTGCTCCCAACACGATGCTGCCAACATTCCTGTGAATGGCACCGCCTCCACCAGCTGCTCAAGCCCAAAGCCGGGCTTGTTCCAAATGCCTCACCCTTCATCACCATTTTTTTTTTTTTTTTTTGGTGGAGTCTCGCTCTGTCGCGCAGGCTGGAGTGCAATGGCGCGATCTCCGCTCACTGCAAGCTCCGCCTCCCGGGTTCACGCCATTCTCCTGCCCCAGCCTCCAGAGTAGCTGGGGCTACATGCGCCCGCCAACACGCCCGGCTAATTTTTTTGTATTTTTAGTAGAGACGGGGTTTCACCGTGTTAGCCAGAATGGTCTCGATCTCCTGACCTCATGATCTGCCCACCTCGGCCTCCCAAAGTGCTGGGATTACAGGCGTGAGCCACCTTGCCCGGCCCCCTTCGTCACCTTTTAAAGCTGTCTGTTTTTGCCCATCTCCAGTTCATCCTCCACAGTGATCCTTCTAAAACGCAAACCTGTATTGCCACTGTGATGCCTAAAGCCCTCAATGGCTCCAGATTAGCCTAGGTGTGCCCTCCTTATCTCTGCAGCTTCATCTTTGCTTTTTGACATATCATTCACGTGCCATAAAATTCACCCCTTTAAATTGTACAGTTCAGTGATTCCTCTTTTTTGTTTTCCTTTTTTTACAATTTTTTAAATTTACAGATGCACTTTTTGGTTTCGTATGTGTTTTTTTTTTTTTTTTTTTTTTTTTGAGACGGAGTCTCGCTCTGTCGCCCAGGCTGGAGTGCAGTGGTGCGATCTCCACTCACTGCAAGCTCTGCCTCCCAAGTTCACGCCATTTCCTATTTCCTGCCTCAGCTTCCCGAGTAGCTGGGACTACAGGTGACTGCCACCTTGCCCGGCTAATTTTTTTGTATTTTTAGTAGAGACGGGGTTTCACCGTGTTGGCCAGGATGGTCTTGATCTCCTGACCTCGTGATCCGCCTGCCTCGGCCTCCCAAAGTGCTGGGATTACAGGTGTGAGCTGTTTGTTCGTTTTAAGAGAGGATTTTGCTTTATTGCCCAGGCTGGGGTATAGTGGCTCGATAATGGCTCACTGCAGCCTCAACCTCCTAGACTCAAGTGATCCTCCCACCTCAGCCTCCCAAGTAGGTGGGACTACAGGTGCATGCCACCACACTCAGCTAATTTTTTAATTTTTTTGTAGAGATGGGGTCTTACTCTGTTGCCCAGGCTGGTTTCAAGGGATCCTCCCACCTCAGCCTCCCAAAGTGCTGGGATTAAAGGCATGAACCACCACGCCCAGCTTTGGATGTGGTTTTTAGATTCACAGAGTCCTACAACTATCATCACTATTTAATTCCAGAACATTTTCGTAACTTACAAAAGATGCCCCAGACCCACTGGCTATCATTCCCCACTATCCCCAGCCCTAGCCCCCGGCAGCCACCCCTCTACATTCTGTCTCTCTAGATTTGCCTATTCTGGACATTTCATATAATTGGAGTCTTACAAGAGGTGGACTTTTGTGTCTGGCTTCTGTTCTTACCAAAATGTTTTCAAGATTCATCCCCATTCATTGTAGCATGTATTAGTAGTTCATACTTTTTTTGTTGTTCGTTTGAGACACAGTCTCGTTCCCTCACCCAGGGTGGAGTGCAATGGCATGATCTCGGCTCACTTCAACCTCCGCCTCCCAGGTTCAAGTGATTCTTCTGCCTCAGCCTCCCAAGTAGCTGGAATTATAGGCACCTGCCATCATGCCTGGCTCATTTTTGTACTTTTGTAGAGACAGGGTTTCACCATGTTGGCCAGCCTGGTCTCAAACTCCTGACTTCAGGTGATCCACCCGCCTCAGCCTCCCAAAGTGCTGAGATTATACATGAGCCACCGTGCCCGGCCAGTAGTTCATACTTTGATGGCTGAATCACATCACATTGTACGGATGGACCATATTTTGTTTATTCGTTCCCTAGTTGATGAAGATTTTGGTTGTTTCCACTTTTTGGCTATTATGACTATGCTGCTATGAACATTTGTGTTCAAGCTTTTATGTGAACATATATTTTCATTTCTCTGGGGTATATACCTAGGAGTAGAATTGCTGGTTCAAACTGTATTCTATGGGCCGGGCGCAGTGGCTCACGCCTGTAATCCCAGCACTTTGGGAGACTGAGGCGGGTGGATCGCCTGAAGTCAGGAATTTGAGACCAGCCTGGCCAACATGGCAAAACCCCATCTCTACTAAAACAAAATACAAAAATTAGCTGGATGTGGTGGCAGATGCCTGTAATCCCCGCTACTCAGGAGGCTGAGGCAGGAGAATCACTTGAACCCGGGAGGCAGAGGTTGCAATGAGTGGAGACTGTCACTGCACTCCAGCCTGGGCGACAGCATGAGACTGTCTCAAAAAAAAAAAAAATTGTATTCTATGTTTAAACTTTTGAAAATCTGGAGACTATTTTTCATGGTGGCTGCATGGTTTTGCATCCCCACCAGCAGTGCATGAGGGCTCTGATTTCCCCACATCCTCCTCTGACATCATCTCCTGGCCCTCTGAGCTCTAACTCCATACCTCTTGTTAGTTCTTATGTCAGCCTGGTTCATCTTCTCACACAGCCAAAGGAGGTGCTTGAAGATGCCTGTGGTTTCAGCCCTACCAGACCTAGTGCCTCCTTGTCTACCCTGAAATGAAATTCATAAATAATATAACCTACATACTCAGATCATGAAAACATCTATGTGTAATTCTCAAACTATAAAATCGAGGAGATTAAATGGTAGGTCACTTATAATCAAATCAGATGTACTTTAATGCTGGAAGTTCTAATGAAGTATCCAGGTGCTTGAACTCACAGGTGGAAACACTTTGCAGGTGACAGCGACCATTGCAGAAAGATCCAGGTGTGGGGCATTGCGGCTGGGTGGAGTTGCTGCCAGGACTGTTACTCCAGAGCAGTGAACAGTGCTTGGTGAATTCCTGAACGAAGTTAAGCACAGGCCTCTCTCAATTTACATGGTCACTGCATTCCAGGAAAATTTAGTGTTTGTTAAAACTATGCAAAAAGTGCTCTGTATTTATATGTAAAATGGAGCCAGATTCTAGATTCCCCTAACCCCTCCTGGTAAGAACCACCTGTGCAGGTTCTTCCCCTCAGCCTCAAGCATTCTTCCCTCCTCTTGCAATGGGTCACTTCACCGGCTCTTTCAGCTCACACTTTTTTTTTTTTTTTTTTTTTTTTTTTTTTAGACAGAGTCTCGCTCTGTTGCCTAGGCTGGAGTGCAGTGGCTCAATCTCAGCTCAGTGCAACCTCCACCTCCCGAGTTCAAGTGATTCTCCTGCCTCAGCCTCCCAAGTAGCTTGGACCACAGGCATGCACCACCATGCCCGACTAATTTTTGTATTTTTAGTAGATATGGGGTTTCACCATGTTGGCCAGGCTGGTCTTGAACCCCTGGCCTCAGGTGAACTGCCTGCCTCGGCCTCCCAAAGCGCTGGGATTACAGGTGTGAGCCACCGTGCCCAGCCGGGCTTCCACCTTCCAGGAGGCTAGCCCAGCTTCTTTCCCATTTGTGGTCTTGAAGTTCCAATAAACAGGCCAGGCATGGTAGCTAATGCACTTTGGGAGGCTGAGGCAGGTGGATTGCTTGAGGCCAGGAGTTTGAGGCTGTAGTGAGCCATGGTCATGCCACTGCACTCCAGCCTGGGCAACAGAGCAATACCCCATCTGAAAAAAAAAAAAGAAAGAAAAAGAAAAGAAGAAATTCCAAAAAAAGTAAAAACAGAGGTGGAAGGTGCAAAGTGGAGGCCTGGTTCCAAAGTGGTGCACAGTCACTTCCACCTCATCTGTGTGTCAAAGCATGTCACAGTGCCAACCTGCTGCAGGTGGTTGGAGAGATAGGCTCACCTTTGATGAGAGAGGCAGCACTGGCACATGCACGGGTTCCAGGAGGCCTGTTTACTGGGACGCTGCTTGTAGTGATTCAGGCAGCAAGCTCCCTGGAATACGCTCTTCTGCCCCTTGTCCTGAAACCTGTGGCTCTTTCTTACAGATGGAGGATCCTCTGGGAGCCTGAGCCTCCCCTCTGGTCTTGGCATCTCTTTGTCTGGGCCTGAAGATGGAGGTGAAGAAGGTGAAGAAGATTAGGGTTTTGATGTTGTTGTTGTTTGTTTGTTTTTTTGAGCTGGAGTCTTGCTCTGTCACCCAGGCTGGAGTGCAGTGGCTCGATCCTGGCTCACTGCAACTTCTGTCTCCTGGGTTCAAGTGATTCTCCTGCCTCAGCATCTGAGTAGTTGGGACTGTAGTTGCATGTCACCATGCCCAGCTAATTTTTTGTATTTGTAGCAGAGATGGGGTTTCACCGTGTTGCCCAGGCTGGTGTTGAACTTCTGAGCTCAGGCGATCCGCCTGCCTCGGCCTCCCAAAGTGCTGGGATTACAGGTGTGTAATCCCACCGCGCCCGGCCCTTTTGGTTTTTTTTTGAGACAGAGTCTCTCTCTGTTGGCCAGGCTGGAGTGCAGTGATGCGATGACGGCTCACTGCAGCCTTGACCTTCTGGGCTCAAGCAACCCTCCTGCCTTAGCCTCTCAAATAGCTGGGACTACAGGCATGTGCCACCATGCCTGGCTAATTTTTAAATTTTTTGTAGAGATGGGGGTCTTGTTATGTTACCTGGGCTGGTCTCAAACTCCTGGCCTCAAGCAATCTCCTGCCTTGGCCTCCCCAAGTGCTAGGATTACAGGTGTGTGAGCCACTGCACTCAGGTGAATATGTTCTGTTCCAGATTTTGTTTTGGTCTTGTTTGGTTTCGTTTGGGAAGCATGATCTCATTTTGCTTTAGTGGTTATGATATTTTATTTTAAGCATGATATTTTATTTTCTTGCCACTTGCCTTATTTCTCTTCCAACTCAACTGCAATGAAAAGTCAAGGCAATGGAGCAATCCAGCTACTTATTCTGTAGATTTTGCTGCAAAAGCACCTAAGATTTGAGAGCATGGATTCTAGAGCAAGACCCTTTGAGTTAGAATCCTGGCTCTGTCACTTATAAGCTGTGGGACCTTGGGAAAGTGCCTCAGTTTCATCCTGATCATGGAGGAATCCCTGATCATGGGGATGCCATTGCTTGGGAGGGTGGTGAGGATGGAGTGAGGTAGTTGATGCAAGCCACTAAGAACAGTGGCTGGCCCCCCCGGGAAGCCCCCAAATGTTGGGTACCAGGACTATGCACAAAGTAGGCCCCTCCACAGGGCAGCAGGGAAAAGAGCCAGATCAGAGTGCTTGTGTAGAGGGCAGGCAGGCAGGCAGGGCACGGCCCCTGCCGCAGATGTTTCTCAGGGATGGAGGCGGCGGGTTGCGTGGGGGAATAAAGAGGATGGCTTAAATATTATAAAAAGCAGTTTGTCGGCTGGGCGCGGTGGCTCACGCCTGTAATCCCAGAACTTTGGGAGGTCAAGTTGGGCAGATCACTTGAGGTCAGGAGTTCCAGACCACCCTGACCAACATGGCAAAACGTCTCTACTAAAAATAAAAAAAAAAAAAAAAAAAAAAGCCGGGCGTGGTGGTATACACCTCTGTAATCCCAGCTACTCAGGAGGCTGAGACAGGAGAATTGCTTGAACCCAGGAGGCAGAGGTTGCAGTGAGCTGAGATTGTGCCACTGCACTCCAGCCTGGGTGACAGAGTGAGACTCCGTCTCCAAAAAAAAAAAGGCAGTTTGTAATCTCTTAGTGCATTCATGAAAGAACAAAGCCAGCATATATGGTGACTCCTGCCCATAACTGGGTCTCATTCTAGCCCTATTATGAGGTATTTGTGCTTTCAATATAAATTATAAATCTAAACAGATGCAGAGTTTGTTTTCCCCCCAAAGCAGATTCCAACCAGCATGAAACCAGCCAACACAAATAAATTGTGTGCTTAAGTCCATTGTTTCCAGCAACATGTAAACTGTTGGGTTACAGAAAGTCGCTTTGAAGGGGCGTCCCATTAGTGCTCCCAGCATGAGGGTTCAATTTAGGTGGTACATATTTGAACAGTGTGCTGGAAATTTGTGGCAAAGAAAGACACACATGGGATGGGGGCAGTGGGGCCAAGAGGCCCTTATCAAATCATACAGGATGCATTTAGGGGCTGTTGTCATAAAAGCACACAATAAATAAAGTGGCAGCCTTGAACTCAAGAAGAATTGTAGAATTCCTCAGCTGGCGGAATCATTTTGGGAATGCAAAGATCGCTTTCAATGTTGTGTTTGTAAGGAAATGACAGTCACCAAGTGGAGAATGTCAGGTCCTCTGAGGAACCCTGTGGGCACTCATGTGCAGAAACTATTTACTTAACTGGAATTGGTTTCTGAAAAAATTTGACTTTGCAGAGTCCCAAAGGGAGTGTGGCGAGTGTCTGGGATTTTCTTTCAGGTCAGGACTCGGCCTTTGCTAATCTCCAAAACTGATAAGGCCCCCAGATTTCAGGGCAGATTCATTCCTCGGCTGAACCAAGGTTTACGGTCCTTGTTGAGGCCAGAGGGAGAGCTTGTCATTCCAAAGGCCTCACCAGCTCCACAGAACCGACTTCTATCTGATAGATTAGTCACATGGGATCAAAGGGGCCTGAAATGAGGCTCAGGATGGGTGAAGATGAGAGTAGCGGAGACGCCTAGTAGTGATGGATTAGAATATTTATCTCCAGAAAGACTCCAGCAATCTGACCATTCTCATCAGGGCAGAAGGTAGATGGGGTTGATCATGGGGGAGAATTTTTGTGCCATTATCCTTAGGCAAATGATGGATTTTACCAAGTAGAATAGGTTTGGAGACTCTTCCTTCTGTTAAGCACCATCCCCTAATCCTCTCCCCAAACTCAGGCTCTGTCTCTGCTCTTCATCCAAAGGATGCTTGAGCATTGGGAAGTAATGAGTCCAAAAGGGCTCAGCCAAGAGTGATGTTGCCTGGTTCCAGTCTGGCTTTTCCATGTGAATTAGACAAATGACTTAAAATCACGCAGCGTTTATCAAGCTCCCCCTCCACTCTAGGCACAAGGATGCCGTGGTGCCCATGGCAGTCGTGACACAGAGTACTGTAGCCCTTGGTGGCAAGGTTTGCAGGCATTCATGTTCAGACCACTGGGATTGGTGATTCTCCTCTGACTAGGGCTGGCTTAAATGCTCCCTCTGTGGTCTTTCCTCTCAGGTGGAGGAGGATGAGAAAACAGGCAATACTGTGGGATGATGATGATGATGATGATAACAACAACATACATTTAATAGGAGCCAAGTATGTGTCAGGCAGTCTCAGTATTTTACATATAATGTTTCAGTGCTTGTCACATTTAACATGTATGTGAATCACTTAGAGATCCTGAGAAAATGCAGACGTCGGGCACAGCGGCTCATGCCTTTAATCCCAGCACTTTGGGAGGCTGAGGCGGGCAGATCACCTGAGGTCAGGAGTTTGAGACCAGCCTAACCAACATGGTGAAACTCTGTCTCTACTAAAAATACAAAAAAATTAGCCAGGCATGGTGGCATGTGCCTGTAATCCCAGCTACTCCTTGAGAGCTGAGACAGGAGAATTGCTTGAAGCTGGGAGGCAGAGGGTTGCAGTGAGCTGAGATCGCACCACTGCATTCTAGCCTGGGCAACAGAGTCAGACTCTGTCTCCAAAAAAAAAAAAAAAAATTGCAGAATCTGGTTCTGTAGTTCCGGGGTGGGGCCTGGGATGCTGCACCAGCAACCTCCCAGGGGATGCCCAATCTGCTGGTCTGTATACACATCGAGAAGCCAAGTATTATTTCACCTAATGCTCACAGCAGCGCAATGCGGCACTGTTGTCATCCCCATTTTACAGATGAGGAAATGGAGGCCCAGAGAGGCCAAGTTACTTGCCCAAAGTCATGCAGCTCAGAAGCGGAGAAGCCAGGATGGAACTCCAGGGTCCATGTGCTCACCCAGTTCTGCCCTGATGGGGCAGCCAGGATGCTTGGTAGAGGAGCACTGTGCCCAGAGTGGGGGCTTGGAGAAGGCTGTGGGAGATTGAGACTCCTTAGCTGGATTCCAGCGGGTTGAGTTAAGGTATTAACCAGGTGAAAGGCAAGGTGGGTGGGACCTACAGAGATCCAGGCTGGGGGAACCACAGGACACAGGAGAGAGGCTGGCACCTTAAAAGGACTGAGATTGTTCCAGTGGATTTGGGGTCAGAGACCAAAAGGCTCTGCAGGACCCTTAAGCTGCCGGGCATGGCCCTCCCTTGAGGGCCAGGTCAGAGTATCAATCTAGAAAGATCGGGGAAGCTTTCTGTTTTCTCATCCTTCAAGACCCTGTTGACATAATTTCCTGCGATACCCCCTTGGTCCTCAAAGGCAGAGGTCCATCCCCCTGCCTCTACTGCTCTGCCCCTGCACTGAGCACTTGGTTTTGTGGGTCCCTATTTTTTTTCTTTTTTTTTTGAGACAGGGTCTCACTCTGTTGTCCAGACTGGAGTGCAGTGGCGTGATCTCGGCTCACTGCAACCTTCGCCTCCTGGTTTCAAGCGATTCTCCTGCCCCAGCCTCCCAGTAGCTGGGATTACAGGCGCACACCACCACTGCCCGGCTAATTTTTATATTTTTTTAAGTAGAGACAGGGTTTCACCATGTTGGCCAGGCTGGTCTTGAACTCCTGACCTCAAATGATCCACCCGCCTCAGCCTCCCAAAGTGCTGGGATTACAGGTGTGAGACACTACACCTGGCCGTGGGTCCTTATTTATATGTCTGTCTCCCACTGGAGTATTTCTTCCTTTAAAAAATTTTTTTTGAGACGGGGTTTTGCCGTCACCCAGGCTACAGTGCATGGTTCCATCACAGCTCACTGCAGGCTCCACTCCTCAGGCTCAAGATTCTCTCACTTCAGCCTCCTGAGTAGCTGGGACCATAGGCACGTGCCACCATGCCTGGCTAATTTTTTTTTTTTTTTTTTTTTTTTGAGATGGAGTTTCCCTCATGTTGTCCAAACTGGAGTGCAGTGGCACGATCTCGGCTCACTGCAACCTCTGCCTCCCAGGTTCAAGCAATTCTGCCTCAGCCTCCCGAGTAACTGGGATTACAGGTGCGTGCCACCACCCCAGCTAAGTTTTTGTATTTTTAGTAGAAACGGGGTTTCACCATGTTAACCAGGCTGGCCTCGAACTCCCGACCTCACATGATCTGCCTGCCTCGGCCTCCCAAAGTGCTGGAATTACAGGTGTGAGCCACCGTGCTTGGCTGCCCGGCTAATTTTTAAAAAGTATTTGTTGAGATGGGGGTCTTGCTATGTTGCCCAGGCTGGTCTCAAACTCCTGGGCTCAAGTAATCTTCCTGCCTTGGCTTCCCAAAGTGCTGGGATTACAGGTGTTGGCCACTCTTGAGTATTTCTTCCTTGTTCTAGACTCTGGGATGAATATTCCTGCCCTCTTAACAGGATGAGAATGCTCTAGGATGAATAGAGGTGCAGAAATCATTTGACAGTGTGAGAAATGCTGCAGCATTTGGAGAGTGTATGCATGTGGAGGCTTGGGAGAGGGAGAGGGACTCTCTGGTTGTCAAGGGGTGGGAGATGAAAGTTGGTCCCTCGACTCACTACAAGGCTTACAGATGCTTTGAGCTCTTGAAATGCCCTCTGCACTCTCCAAGGACACCTATGTGGGGGAACCCTCATGGATGGTGAAGCTTCTGGGGTAATGGAGAGTGGGTGTGGGTGCTCAGGGACTTGCGAGGTCGTTTAATATCATCCCAGGCCAGGCACCACCTGTAATCCCAGCACTTTGGGAGGCCGAGGCAGAAGGATCACTTGAGGCCAGGAGTTTGAGACCAACTTGGGCAACATGGTGAGACTTCATCTCTAAAATATATATATAGTCCGGCCGGGGTGGCTCATGCCTGTAATCCCAACATTTTGGGAGGCTGAGGCAGGTGGATCACCTGGGGTCAGAAGTTCAAGACCAGCCTAGCCAACATGGCAAAACCCCGTCTCTACTAAAAGCCGGGTGTGGTGGTGGACGCCTGTAATCCCTGCTACTCAGGAGGCTGAGGCAGGAGAATCACTTGAACCTGGGAGGCAGAGATTGCAGTGAGCCAAGATCTCACCACTGCACTTCAGCCTGGGTGACAGAGCGAGATTCTGTCTCAAAAAAATAAAAAGAAGGCCGGGTGCAGTGGCTCACGTCTGTAATCCCAGCACTTTGGGAGGCCGAGGCAGGTGGATCACCTGAGGTCAGGAGTTCGAAGCCAGCTTGGCCAACACGGTGAAACCCCATCTCTACTAAAAATACAAAAAATGGCTGGGCCTGGTGGCAGACGCCTGTAATCTCAGCTACTTAGGAGACTGAGGCAGGAGAATTGCTGGAACCTGGGAGGTGGAGGTTGCAGTGAGCCAAGATCTCACCATTGCACCCCAGCCCGGGCCGACAACAGCGAGACTCCGTCTCTCTCTCTCTCTCTTTCTCTTTCTCTTTCTCTCTCTCTGTATATATATATATGTATATTTAAAATTAGCCAGGCACGGTGGTTTCAGCCTGTAGTCCCAGCTATTCAGGAGGCTGAGATGAGAGAATTACTTGAGCCAGGAGTTCAAGGACCCTGTCTCTTTAAAAAAAAAAAAAATCATTTCAGTTGTCCCTGCTATTTGCCAGGCTATCTTGTAGCCTAGGGTCCACCAAATGCCACCAACTCAGGTCCCACCTTCACAACTTTGGCCATATTCATTTGCAACCTGGGCTCTTATGTACTTAATATTTGTATTTAAATTGATTAACGTCCTCCCCCTACAATTTTTCATTTTGACAAATTTCAAACCTACAGGAAAATTGAAAGAATAGTGTGAAAAACATCCATATAGCCCCTTAGCTAGATTCACCAATTGTTAACATTTTTGCCACAATTTGCTTTTTCTTTTCTTTCTTCTTTTTTTTTTTTTTTTGAGACAGGGTCTTGCTCCGTTGCCCAGCAGACCCTGCACAGACACTGCCCAAGCTGGAGTGCAGTGGCACAATCATGGCTCACTGCAGCCTCAACCTCCCAGGTTCAACTGATCCTCCCACCTCAGCCTCCTAAGTAGCTGGAACTACACCTAAGTTTTTGTATTTTTTTTTTTAATAGAGGCAGGGTTTTTCCATTTTGCCCAGGCTGGTCTCAAACTCCAGGGACTCAAGAGAGCCTCCCTTGGTCTCCCAAAGTGCTGGTATTACAAGTGTGAGCCACCTCGCCTAGCTTACAATTTGCTTTCTCTTTATTTCTCTCCATATATACACTTAAAAAAAAACATAGATTTATGGTAGGGGGCACTAAAGGTACTTAAATAAGCTTTCTTTCTTTCTTTTATTTTTTTTTTTGAGAGGGAGTCTTGCTGTGTCACCCAGGCTGGAGTGCAGTGGCACGATATTGGCTCACTGCAACCTCTGCCTCCCAGGCTCAAGCAATTCTGCCTCAACCTCCCAAGTAGCTGGGCCCGCGCCATCACACCCGACTAAGTATTGTATTTTAAGTAGAGATGGGGGTTTCACCATGTTGGCCAGGTTGGTCTTGAACTCCTGACCTTAGGTGATCCACCTGCCTCGGTCTCCCAAAGTGCTGGGATTACAGGGGTGGGCCACTGCAACCAGGCTTAAATAAGCTTTCTATTTCAGAATAGTTTTAGATTTACAAAAAAGTTGCAAAGATAGTACAGAGGGCTCTATCCACCCTCTACGGATTTCTTATTGTTTTTCTTAACTGTTCATCGTACATTACTATGGTACATTTGTCAAGACCAATGAACCATTATAGTTACACTATTGTTAATTTAACTTTATACTTTATTAGGATTTTGTTAGCTTTTCCCTTATCTGGTGGATTCACTTTTAAACTGGAAAAAAAACAACACCAAAAAAATAGAATGTTCATGGAAAACCATGATCAATTGCCAAACACAGTTCTAGCTAGATGCTGTTAGCAGTGGAATGACCTAAGCGTGGGGCCGGCTTTCTCTTTGTTAAAAAGGGAGATTGGCCAATGTTAGGTGTTAAAGACAGGCTAGCTCAAGCTGAGACTTTCTCCCGGCCAAATGGCATTGAACCAGCATGGTCATAGGAGGGAAATGGCTTTCTCACTATGAGATTCAGTGTTTAGTGCCCAGTCTGTGTGTCATCTAAAGTCAGCTTGGGTGGCACCCCTTCGGGAGGCCCACTTTGAGAAACACTGAAAGGTCTGGCTGTGCCACATCCGAAGAAGGCTGGAAACCCAGACCTGAGGCTGCCGGGCTCCAAACCTGGAGCTTCCTTCTGCCCTGGAAGATGGGGTCAGGGCTGGGTGCCCTGATTGGTGGTGGTTGTGGGGGATGGGGGGCTGTGGGGAATATCATTTGTCTTGTCTAGTAACTCCCCTAGCTGTTTTCCCAAAGCTGGCAGGCGTTTAACAAGTGATGGACAGAAAAGAGCACACTGCAGAATTCTATCCACAGCTCCTTGTCATGAACACAAGGGCCATTTATTTGCCCGTCCTGTCGGTGAGATGCATGTGGCCATATATTTAGTCAGTGAGGGGGTGGGAAGTGGCTGAAATGAAATGGCTTTCTCAACTGCCCTTTGCATAATGTCTGAACTTGTTCATATTCATTCCTTGAAAATGCTTCAAAGTGGTTTTTGTGTTTTATTAGTTAGAGTAGGTGATATTGCTTCCTGAAACCAAATCTTTGCTTTCCAATATATATCTGCCGACCTCATTTCCAGGAGACTTCAGCCCACTACAAACTAACTCGATGGCTCTCCTACCCTGAAGGAATTTCACTCTGGAATAAGTCACTGTTGGCTCATGGGTCTGGACATCTAACCGGAGGTGATTCAAACTAGAATGTTTGCAGAATTTCTGGGTTCACCCCTAAGGATTGCTCTTTCTTCCTTATTTCCTTCCTTTCATTTTTTTCTTTTCTTTTCTTTTTTGTCTCTCGCTCTCTTTCTTTTCTTCCTTCCTTTCTTTCTTTCTTTCTTTTCTCTTTCTTTCTTTCTTTTTGGTGGGGGCTGGGGGTGTTCTTTGTTTTTTTTTTTGGGACGGGGTCTCACTCTGTCACCTAGGTTGGAGTATGGTGGTGGGATCTCACTGTGCCTGTAATCCCAGCTGTTCAGGAGGCTGAGCGGGGAGAATCGCTTGAACCCGGGAGGCAGATGTTGCAATGAGCTGAGATTGCACCACTGTACTCTGCCTCCTGAGCTCAAACAATCCTCCCACCTCAGCCCCCTCAAGTAGCTGGAGCTACAGGTGAAAGCCACCACGCTCAGCTAATTATTGCTTTGTACTTTTTTTTTTTTTTTTTGAGATGGAGTTTTGCTCCTGTTGCCCAGGCTGGAGTGCAATGGTGCAATCTCAGCATACTGCATCCCCCACCTCCTGGGTTCAAGAGATTCTCCTGCCTCAGCCTCCTGAGTAGCTGGGATTACAGGCATGTGCCACCACTCCCGGCTAATTTTGTATTTTTAGTAGAGACAGGGTTTCTCCATGTTGGCCAGGCTGATCTCGAACTCCCAACCTCAGGTGATCTGCCCTCCTCGGCCTCCCAAAGTGCTGGGATTACAGGCGTGAGCCACTGCGCCCGGCCTTTTTTTTGTACTTTTATTAAATATGGGGTTTCACCATGTTGCCCAGGCTGGTCTTGAACTCTTGAGGTTAAGCGATCCGTCTGCCTTGGCCTCCGAAAGTGCTAGGATTACAGGTGTGAGCCCCCATGCTCAGCCTGTTTCTTTCTTTCTTTTAATTATTATTATTTTATTTTATTAATTTAAAAAATAGAGACAGGGTCTCACTATGTTGCCCAGGCTGGTTTCAAACTCCTGCCCTCAAGCAGCCCTCTCACCTCAGGCTCCCAAAGTGCTGAGATTACAGGAGCATGAGCCACTGCTTCCTGCAGAATGCTGTTTATTTCTGACCTGACCTATGGTAGAATTATTTTAGTCCAAGGAAGCAAACGGTTGGGATGAAATTTTCTCCACATAGGGGTGCAATGTCCCCAAAGAAGATAGATGGGTCGGGTGCGGTGGCTTATGCCTGTAATCCCAGCACTTTGGGAGGCCAAGACAGGCAGATCACTTTAGGTCAGGGGTTAGAGACCAGCCTGGCCAACATGGTGAAAAGCAGTCTCTACTAAAAATACAAAAATTAGCCAGGCGTGGTGGCAGGCACCTGTAATCCCAGCTACTTGGGAAGCTGAGGCAGGAGAATTGCTTGAACCTGGGAGGTGGAGGTTGCAGTGAGCCAAGATCGTGCCACTGCACTCCAGCCTGGGAAACAGAGCGAGACTCCGTTTAAATAAAAAATAAAACACATTTTTTAAAAAGAAGGAAGATGGCTGGGACAAAAGTAACAGACCAATCTATTCTCACTTTTAGAAATGAAAGGATTACAGGTAAAAGCGTCACTCCCAAACTCTTTTCCCAGAGGTAGCAACTCAGTTTGGTTTACATCCTTCCAGCCTGTCTTGCTGTCTAAGTGTTTCCACAGTGTTTCATTTTATGTGTGTAAAGGGGGAATGTTACACAATCAGCATTCTACCAAATGTATCATGCTGACCCCCTTTTCACTCAGTAATATGTCTTGGAGATCCACCTCTGCTCTTCAATACAGACATAGCTCTTTTAAAACTGCTGGCTAAGCTGACACAGTGGCTCATGCCTGTAATCCTAGCACTTTAGGAGAACAAGATGAGAGGATCACATGAGGCCAAGAGTTTGAGTCCAGCCTGGTCAACATAGTGAGACACCATCTTTATTTTTAAAAATAAAAAAATAAGAAAAAAAAGTACCTTGCTGCCTCATCCCAACCTGGGAAACATGGCAAGACCCTGACTCTACAAAAAATGTTTTAAAAAAATTAGCCAGGCATGGTGGGTCACGTCTCTGGTCCCAGCTGCTTGGGAGGCTGAGGCAGGAGGATTGCTTGAGCCCAGCAGATGGAGGTTGCAGTGAGCTGAGATCACACCACTGTACTTCAGCCTGGATGACAGACAAGGCCCATTGTCAGGAAACAAAAAACAAAAAACCGCTGCCTGATGTACCATATCTTTCACATCTTGTTCAAGCAGTCATTATTGGATGAGCATTTCAGTTATTTCCCATCATTTCCTATGATAAGCAGCTCTCAGCAAGCATCTCTGTGCCTGTCTCCTGTGCACAGGCATAAGTAGTAGGAGACCCTCATCTCTGGTTTTCAGAGGTCTTTGCCAAATTACCCTTCAGAGTCTGTGTGTGTGCTTTAATGGGGAGGGGTGTCCGTTCCTGTTCTTTGGTGCTGTTTATTTCTGGTTTCTTTTCCACACTAGCTGCAGAGTGGAAAGGAGCCAAGGCGAGGGAGAGAAATCTGTCTCTAGGTGTTCCAAGGCCCTGGATGTGCCACAGGGCTGGCCTCCCCTCCGGAGGCGGTAAATGGCTGCTTTGTTCTTGGGTCCGTCCCTGAGCAGAATCAGGACGCAGAGATGTGTCAAGTGGACAAAAGAAATTGTGCACATCACCAAGCCTGGATCCCACCCCTTGACCTGGAGAAACTGTTAACTTTGTAGGAGTCGCACACACACCAGTGTGACTGGGCAAGGGGCGAGCGCCCACCCCGAACCCTGAAATAATTAAGTTATACAAAAGAAAAAAAAACATAACAAAAGAGCCTGACCCTCACTAATGGATGTAAAGGAAAGAACCAAGCTGACTCTCAATCTAGGAGAAGTGGGAGGCGCAAAGGGGGAAAGGGGCTTGGGGGAAACCCAGGACGGAAGGAAGGGGTGTGCAATGGATCAGATCTGGACTGAAGAGGCGGACAGATGGGAAAGGGGAAAGAAAGGAGGGAAAGGAGAAAGAGTGAGGAAGGGGCTGGAGGAAAGTGACAAGGTAAGAAGAGGAAGGAGAGGGCTGGAGGAGGGAGGGGGTGGCCAAGAGCAGTTTAGGAGGGGTAGGCTGCGTCCCAGTCTGTTTGTGATTAGCACGCAGCCTGGTGCAGAATGGAGTAAACAGAAACTTCCAGGCGTCCCCTCCGCCCCTCTCTGAGGCAAAGCAGAAATCAGATGCTCTGTGATTAATCGTGGAGGATTCAGGACACGACCACAAACGCTGTGCGGACTTGAAATTAGCTGCCTTTTCCCAGTCCCCTTGCCAAAATGGGAGTGGGGGGTGGGACGTGAAGGGGTGGGGGCCCCGCCTGCTGGGGGCCAGCATGGAATTCCCCCCGGCAGAGCTGGGAGTGACACTGACAAGCAATCGGCCGCGTCCAGAGCAGCAGGCGGCATCCGGGGGGAGCGGGGCCGGCTGGGGGGCCCCAGGAGGGCTTCCTGGAACCCCAGCTCCATGGCCGCCTGCACCCTGACACAGGCCAGATAAGAGTCCCGGCTGCATTATCAGAGCCCGGCAGGGCACCGGCCTCCCTGCACCAGAAGGAAGACTCGGGGCGCAGCAGGTCCTCAAGGCGATCTTCCCAGAGAGCGGGACCAGCGGCTGGTGGCCAGTGTGGATGGAATTTGCAGAGCCCTAGCTCGAGTCCGGGAGTCCCGGGCCAGATGGGAGCAGACGCTTGCTGGCGGCAATAGGGAAAGTGAGGCAGCTGCAAGGAGGGCGGCGGGACTGCACTCGAGTGTCCAGACCTGCTCGATGGTGAGTGTGAAGTGACTGCTCCCCATGTGTGCCGTGACGCCGCCTTGTGTGGACAGACTTCTGGAGCTGGGGGTGACAGGAGGAGGCAGCCGTTCCTCACAGGCCACCTGGAGCTCCCAAGGCCGGAGGAGGGAACCTGGGTTGAGGCTGAGATGGGATGGCGGTATCGTGCTGTGTGGCCTTAGGCAAGTTATTTGCCCTCTGCAGGCCTCCATTTGTCCGTTTCTAAAACAGTGGTTGAACTAGGTGATCTTTAAGAGATTCTCATGATGACAGCTATTCCTTGTGTATCTGCTATACGCCAGGCACTGTGTAGGCATTTTTGAAGCGTCGGCTCGGGAAATCCCGGTAAGCCCCCTGCAGGGTAAGTATTATTGGTGTCCTCATTGTACCCTGAGGAAACAGCAGCTGGGCGAAGTGAAGTGACTTGCTGAGGTCACACAGCCGGTCAGTGGCAGAAACGAAAAAAGACCTAGGTTTTTCTGACTTGCTTTGGCTAAACTCTCCTGTACACCCCCAGTATTCTGTATTCTGTGCTCCATGGTTCTGCAATTATCCCAAGCAGCAGGGGTGAAGGAGAAGGAGGTATGGATGGAGCATTACCTGCAGGAAGGAGGCAGAGGTGGGACAGAAGGAGTGACAGGCTGACACTGGCAAGCAGCCTTTTACTCTCTAAAGGATGTGTCAGCCCAGGGTGGAGGCTGGCTGCCCTGGGATGGGGCAGGGGCTCCAGGCTTGAACGAAGAGTGCCCAGTGCAATTTCCTAGATTTGCTGCCTTGTCGTAGGAGGCTCCTGGGGGCATGAGAGAAGAGGGTTAATATGTCAGAGGTGGAGAGAGCTGGGGGCAGGGAGACTGGCATATGCCTCAACTAGGTTTTGTTCCAATTTTATTTTGCCTTTGCAGAAAATCTGTTTCGAATCACTCTGGGCCCGTGCAGTGTTTTTGGATGAAACAGAATTGTGAAACGCATACAGCGCTTTCCACATGCCTCCCCTGGGGGGAATCACATATTAATATTATCGTAAGCTATTTGCATATATATCCCTGCAGCTGTGGCTGGCAGCAGCCAAGAGATAAGAGACAGATAAAGTCAGCTCGTGTCTCCCTGGCACGGAAAGGGAGGGTGCAGGTTACACTCAAGGGCCAGGAAACACACAGCAGGTGGGGAATCCCTGGGGTTCCAGGCATCGGGCCAGAGTGAAAGGTCCCAGCACCCAGATGTGGCCTTTTCTTTTTTCTTCCCTTGGAAAATTCCATCCCAAAGCAGCTCTGTACTGATCCAGGCCTCCTTTCCTTTCAGGGACTGGCTGTGAACCCCCCACCACCCACCTTGGGGACAAGTCAGCCCTGAGTTGTGGTCTCAGATCTGGGAGCAACTTGTCCAGAAGCCCCCCCAGTCCCAGGTAAACTGGGACAATTGGTCACCCTACCCAGTTCCACCCTGGATTTTCTCTGTGACCTTGAGCAAGTCACTTCCCTTCTCTCAGCTTCCTCGTCTTTAAAACAAAGGGACTATTTCAGGAAACCTCTAAAATCTCTCCGCAACCCTGAGATTCCATGAGTCTGGTTGAAGAGCGCTTAAGTTCCGAACTGAGAACTTAAGCGTCTGAGAGTAAGATGTCTGAGAGTAAGATCAAGTTTGGAGTGAGGCTGGGCGCGGTGGCTCACGCCTGTAATCTCAGCACTTTGAGAGGCCAAGGCAGGCGGATCACCTGAAGTCAGGTGTTTGAGACTAGCCTGGCCAACATGGTGAAACCTCATCTCTATTAAAAATACAAAAATTAGCTGGCCGTGGTGGTGCGTGCCTATAGTCCCAGCTACTTGGGAGGCTGAGGCAGGAGAATCACTTGAACTGGGGAGGGAGAGGTGCAGTGAGCTGAGATCGTGCCACTGCACTCCAGCCTGGCCAACAGAACGAGACTTCGTCTCAAAAAAAAAAAAAAAAAAAAAAGAAGTTTGGAGAGGAGTAAATCTCCCCACCACTTCCCTAGAGAAGTCCAGGATGGTACTGGAGGAGGCGGGAATGAAGGTGGACTTGGGGAAAAGGACTGATGGCCTGTGGTACCACCTGCATGGGTGTCGGTTGTAACAACCCTATGGCCCTGCAGCTTCTGAGGTGCCTAATGGGTTGTTGAAAGCGTATCATGATTTTGTGGCTCAGCGTTTGTGCTAAGTGATTTGGCCCAGATGCCCACTGGTTGCTGAGGTTTTCCCCATCAGAACCTCAGTGCTCCCCCCAGGGTCCCCCAGTTCATCCTGGGGAGCTCCAAAGGGGTATTTCGAGTGCCTTTGTGAACCAGTCTCTAGTTTTATTCATCCTTCCTGCTTCCTCTTTCCTCTGAGGCCATTTGGAGATGCTTCCCTGCCCAGCACAGCAGCGTCCATGGTGCCATCTCTGTAAACTCCCAAAGCTTCCCGCTGTTTAGTGCTTGAGATACCCTGGGTTCTGGGCAGATGTGAAGAGAATGGCTTCCTCCTCAGTTCGGTGATATTCTTTGCCATGTTGTCCCCAGACAGAGGTGTGCTGGAGGCAGCTTGTGCCAGCTTGTGAAAGCTGATTGTCAGATTTTCAGGAATTAGGTGAACGGGTTGCTAAACACACCATTGTTAAAAATTAAATTATATGAACTTACAATTCAATAAATTCTATGAAAAACAAAGGTAGTCAAGGCTGAGTGTGGTGACTCATGCATGTAATTCCAGCATTTTGGGAGGCTGAGACAGGAGGATCATTTGAGCCCAAGAGTTTGAGACCAGCCTGGGCAACATAACAAGACCCCATTTCTACAAATAATTTGAGAAAAAACTAGCCGAGTGTGGTGGTGCGTGCCTGTAGTCCTAGCTACTCAGGAGGCTGAGGTGGGAGGATTGCTTGAGCCCAAGAGGTTGAGGCTGCCATGAGCTGTGATCTCACCATTGCACTCCAGCCTGGGCCACAGAGCAAGACACTGTCTCAAAAAAATAAAAATACATAAACAAATAATTAGAAATTTTTTAGAAAGGAAAATATTAACTGGTATTTCTGAAGAATTACACTCCTTCATCAATTGTAACCATAGGTTGATTACAGATTTTGCTGGGGGCAAAAATCAACAAAACTGCTACCTGTGAGTGAAATGATTATATTACATTTATAAAAGAAAAGGTATTGTAAGTTTTATTTTTATTTGTAAATTGTGTGCTGCACATCATTTACATCAAAACAATTTTTTTTTTTTTTTGAGATGGAGTCACACTCTGTTGCCTAGGCTGGAGGACAGTGGCGTAATCATGGCTCACTGCAACTTCCGCCTCCCAGGTTCAAGCAATTCTCCTGTCTCACCTTCCCAAATAGCTAGGATTACAGGCACCCGCTACCATGCCTGGCTAGTTTTTTATATTTTTGGCAGAGACAGGGTTTCACCATGCTGGCCAGGCTGGTCTCGAACTCCTAACCTCAAGTGATCCACCTACCTCAGCCTCCCAAAGTGTTGGGATTACAGGCACGAGCCACTGCGCCCAGCCTACGTCAATACAATTTATAATAAACCGAAGTATATGTGTGTGTGGATATGCAAATATATGTACTCGCCCATGCACACTTGTGCACCACACACTCACTTTCCCTTGGAGAGCTGGTTGCTAAACCTTTGCCAGCATACCACTGGTTCCACAGCATCTATGGTTGTGTCTGGATTGTCAAAAATCGTCTCCTGAACAGTCCTCAGTCCTCTTCCAAAGGAATTCAGACCCCAGGCATGGGCCTTGGATGCAAATCTTTCAATTTCCCCATCTCACTTAAACCAGCAGCCAAACTCCTCTCTCTTGCCCGAAGCACTGGAGTGGATGCAGAGAGATCGGGTGGAGTAGAGATCCTGTCTACACTAGCGGCATGTGGGCCCCAGCTCCACCAGCGACACAGGCCCTGGTATGCACTCTCCATTGCGTCCACTGTGTCTGCATTTGCAGGGCATTTCTGGATTCTGTCCGCAGCGGCTCCCGATTAGTCCTCTTCCGTTTCTAGTCTGTCTCCTGCCATCCTTTGTTTTCATGCACAGCGAATGATGCCCTAACAGAAATGGCATCTTGGAACAAGTCAGAGGAACGGCTAAGCCAAACCTATAGGAAAAGTTCAGATAGCTTGCTATTTTTAGAAACTCTAGGAGCCAGGTGGGCCCTTTCCAGTTTTAAGGGCCTAAGCCAGCAAGCACGAGAGGAAAATATTTCTCATTCTCAAGTTCCGCTCTCTTATAGTCCAGGCCAAGGACAAGGCCCAGGTGGGACATTAGCTAAGAGAAACGCAACTGCAATACAAGAGGAGAACCATGCCCACAGCAGTTTAAAAGAGAACTAAAAAACGTGCACTTTTTTTTCTTTCTTTCTTTTTTTTTTTTTTAACAGAGTCTCGCTCTGTCGCCCAGGCTGGAGTGCAGTGGTGCGATCTCAGCTCACTGCAACCTCCGCCTCCTGGGTTCAAGTGATTCTCCTGTCTCAGGAGCTCCTGAGTAGCTGGGACTACAGGTGCCCACCACCACACCTGGCTAATTGTTGTATTTTTAGTAGAGATGGGGTTTCACCATATTGGTCAGGCTGGTCTCGAACTCCTGACCTCAGGTGATCTACCCGCGTAGGCCTCCAAAAGTGCTGGAATTACAGGCATGAACCACCATGCCCGGCCCCAAGCATGCGTGTTTTATTGTTTTGCGAGGTAGGAAGGGCGCGCCTGAGTTTAAACCTCAGTAGCTCCTATACTCACCCTGGGCCACCCCTGTTAAGAGCCCGTTGTCTTGGCCGGGCGCAGTGGCTCACACCTGTAATCCCAGCACTCTGGGAGGCCGAGGCGGGTGGATCACGAGGTCAGGAGATCGAGACCATCCTGGCTAACACAGTGAAACCCCGTCTCTACTAAAAATACAAAAAATTAGCTGGGCATGGTGGTGGGCGCCTGTAATCCCAGCCACTCGGGAGGCTGAGGCAGGAGAATGGCGTGAACCCGGGAGGCGGAGCTTGCAGTGAGCCGAGATTGCGCCACTGCACTCCAGCCTGGGGCAACAGAGCGAGACTCCTTCTTAAAAAAAACAAAGAAAGAGCCAGGCGTCTATGCTTTCAGGCCATTCATTCACTTCATTCCTATTTTTTTCTTTGTCACGTAATTTTAATTTTCAAAAATGGGATCATTCTATACATTTTATTCTGCATCTTCCTTCTTTCAACCAACAGGTGTCCTGGACATTTTTCCATGTGAGCCCATGAAGACCTAAAACATTCATTTTAATGCCCACATCACAGAAGTCCTAGAAGAGGAGGGTTTTTTTTTTTTTTTTTGAGACAGAGTCTCGTTCTGTCACCCAGGCTAGAGTGCAGTGGCGTGATCCTGCTCACTTCAACCTCTGCCTCCCAGGTTCAAGAAATTCTCCTGCCTCAGCCTCCCGAGTAGCTAGGATTACAGGCACATGCCACCATGCCTGATTTCTGTATTTTTAGTAGAGACGGGGGTTTCGCCATGTTGGCCAGGCTGGTCTCAAACTCCTGACCTCAGGTGATCCGCCCACCTTGGCCTCCCAAAATGCTGGGATTACAGGTGTGGGCCACCGTGCCCAGCCTATTTTTTAAAAAATTTTATCCCATCAGGCCAGGCGCAGTGGCTCATGCCTGTAATCCCAGCACTTTGGGAGGCCGAGGCACGTGGATCACGAGGTCAGGAGTTCAAGACAAGCCTGGCCAAGATGGTGAAACCCCGTCTCTACTAAAAATACAAAAATTAGCCAGGCGCAGTGGCGGGCTCCTGTAATCTCAGTTACTCGGGAGGCTGAGGCAGGAGAATCGCTTGAACTTGGGAGGCGGAGGTTGCAGTGAGCCGAGATCGCGCCACTGCACTGGGTGATAGAGCAAGACTCCATCTCAAAAAAAAAAAAAAAAAAATTCTATCCCATCATCAGCTCTCAAGAAGGGCTCAGTTTGGATGGCCATGTCTCTACTTTATAACCAGGTCTCAAACTTTCTTGACCCTTAAACACTTAAATAGAGCCCAGCCTCTCCCACTTTCCAGCAAAAAAGAAATTCTACACTGGACGTGGTGGCTCACACCTACAATCTCAGCACTTTGGGAGGCCAAGGCAGGAGGATCGCTTGAGACCAGGAGTTCAAGACCAGCCTGGTCAACATAGCAAGACCTTTGTCTCTACAAACATATTTTTAAAAATTAGCTGGGTGTGGTTGCATGCACCTGTGGTCCCAGGTACTCGGGAAACTGAGGTAGGAGGCTCACTTGAGCCCAGGAAGTTGAAGCTGCAATGAGCCATGTTTGTGCCACTGCAATCCAGCCTGAGTGACAGAATGAGACGCTGTCTCAAAAACAAAGAGGAACAGAAAAGAAATTCCGTTGGCTCCCCTGTCAACCTGCACCCAGAAGCTGACAGCTCTGTCACCTCCGCTCCCTCCACCCTGGTCCCAGCGGCCATGGTGTCTCTCTCTGGGCTATTGCAGTTGCCTCCCCACCAGTGTCTCTGCTTCTCCTCTTGCCTCCCTCCTGGTCTACTCTCCGTGTGCAGCCAGCAGGGTCCTGTTAAAATGAAATTAGATCCAGTTCCTTCTCTGTTCAGGACACCTCCTATCTCCAGCCCTGGTCCCACCTTGCCCAGAGCACAGGCAAAGTCCTCATCACGGCCCACAAGGCCTGCAGGGCCCAGGCCTCTCTAACCTTATCTCTCCTCCTTCCCACTCCCCACAATTGCTGTTCTTGAGGTCGGGCACAGTCCTGCCCCAGGACCTTTGCAATCGCTTTTCTCTATGCCTGGGTGCTCATTCTTCAGATATCCAAGTGGCCCACTTGTTCATATCGCGCAGGTCTTTACACAAACATCACCTTTGCAGCGAGGCCATCCTGACTCTCCATTTAAAATTACAGCTTCCTTCACTCCCTGGTCTTCTTCATCCCTTTTCTGGTTTATTTTTCTCCTTACCACACACGTCTCATCATCTAACATACATATATATTCTTATTTTCTTAAGTGTCCCCTGCTGGAATGTGAGTTTCCTGAAGGTAGGGATTTATTTTTTTTTTTGAGATGGAGCCTCACACTGTCGCCCAGGATGGAGTACAATGGTGTAATCTCGGCTCACTGCAACCTCTGCCTCCCGGGTTCAGGTGATTCTCCTGCCTCAGCCTCCCGAGTAGCTGGGATTATAGGTGCACACTACCACGCTTAACTAATTTTTGTATTTTTAGTAGAGACAGGGTTTTGCTATGTTGGCCACGTTGGTCTTGAACTACTGACTTCAGGTGATCCACCTGCCTTGGCCTCCCAAAGTTTCTGAGATTAGAGGTGTGAGACACTGCACCCGGCCTCCTCTAGAATTTTAAAAATGGACCTCAAGTAAGTAGAATTGACCAGGTGTGGTGGCTCACACCTGTAATCCCAGTACTTTGGGAGGCCGAGGCAGGTGGATCACCTGCAGTCAGGAGTTTGATACCAGTCTGACCAACAGGAGTAGAGACAGCCCGTCTCTACTAAAAATACAAAAATAAGACAGGTGTGGTGACATGAACCTGTAATCCCAGCTACTCGGGAGGCTGAGGCACAAGAATCACTTGAACCCAGGAGCTGGAGGTTGCAGCAAGCTGAGATCTCACCACTGCACTCCAACCTGGCCAATGGAGTGAGACTCCGTCTCAAAGAAAAAAAAAAAAGAAAAAGTAAGTAGGATTGAATGATTCATAATTCCATAATGACATACTGAAAGGGCACCTGAACAGCCCCACCTACACTTCCATCTAACAATCTCTTTATAGCTATTTATAAAATGATAAATGCCTGTGAACCCATGGTCCCACCTGCGTGCTGGAACTCAGACAACCATTTTATATCAACTTCCGAACTCTTTTCCCATCTTGCCTCCCTCCCTCTCTCACTGTGGTAGTAGCTGCTATCTTGAATTCTGTGTTTAGCTTTCCCTTGCCTTTCTAAAAATTGTGGATAGAATTTATCACTTTAGCCATTTTAAGGGTACAATTCAGCGGCATTACGCACATTCACAATGTTGGGCAATTATCAGCGCCATCCATTTCCAGAACATTTTCATCTTCTCAATTTCCCTTGCTTAAAAAAATAGTTTTATCACCAGGCACGGTGGCTCATGCCTGTAATCCCAGTACTTTGGGAGGCCAAGGCGGGCAGATCACCTGAGGTCAGGAGTTCGAGACCAGCCTGACCAACATGGAGAAACCCCGTCTCTACTAAAAATATAAAATTAGCCAGGTGTGGTGGTGCATGCCTGTAAACCCAGCTACTAGGGAGGCCGAGGCAGGAGAATTACTTGAACATGGCAGGCAGAGGTTGCGGTGAGCCAAGATTGCTCCACTGCACTCCAGCCTGGGCGATGAGTGCGAAACTCCGTCTCAAAAAAAAAAAAAGTTTTATCACTTACATGTATGCCAAAATAATATATCATTTACTTTTACTGCTGTTTGAACTTTACGTAAAGATATATCTTGTCTTCTGGCACATACATGCAGACACACACACACACACATATTTTGAGACAGGGTCTCACTCTGTCACCCAGGCTGGAGTGCAGTGGTGCAATCTCAGCTCACTGTAGCCTTGACTTCTTGGGCTCAGGTGATCCTCCCACCTCAGCCTCCCTGGTAGCTGGGACTACAGGCGTGCACCACCACACTTGGCTACGTTTTTGTAGAGACGGGGCTTTGCCATGTTGCATATTGCCCAGGCTGGCCTCAAACTCCTGGCCTCAAGCAATCAGCCTGCCTTAGCATCCCAAAGGGCTGGGATTACAGGTGTGAGCCATGGTGCCCAGCCCCTGCACTTACATTTTTATAAATCATTTTATTGCTAAAATTCGTTGATATAATTGCTTATCACTTGTTCATTCACTTTTCTCTGCTGTGTACTATTCCATGGCATACCAGCATTTATTTTTCCTGTCTATGACCATGTGGGTTGTTTCCATTTGTCAGTTTTGTTTGCTACATACACGGTTCTGCTTTGAGGGTTCTTGTACTGTCCTATTGCACACATACAGGAGTGTGTCTCAAGTTTGTACCTGGAAGTAGAATTGCTGGAATATGAAATCGTATGCTGAATTATCTTCTAATGGTTGTACCAATTCACAAGCCACCCTCTACACATGGCATTTGTCAAACATCTTACTTTTTGCCACCTGAATGGGTGGAATTTGCCCTAGATCTTGACTGACATCAAGGACGGGGCTGGAATGTCCAAAAGCCTTGAATGGGCTGCGTGTTTGTGACGTCCCACATCTTTGTGGCACAGCTTCTCCTGCAGGAGAGGCAAGCCTGGCAGCTGTGCTACAGAAAGGAACACATGGCGTAGGGATTACAGATCTGATAACATCAACTTTTCCTTCCTCCCCTCCACCTCCTTTTATTTGGTCTGGTTCTCAACGCGTGTGGGGAACGGTGTGGTGAGGAAGGGGCGAATCCTTGGTCCGTGACAGGCACTGTTGCATGCACTTTACAGATATTGCTGTTAATTATTTACCTCTCAGATCCTGCAAATGGAGGTGCCCTTAGAAGCCCCACTTTACAGATATGGAAACTGAGGAACAGAGAGGTTAAGTGACTTGCCTGAAATTACACAGGGAGTAAATGGCAGAACTGGGTTTGAATCCAGCTCTTCTGGCTTCGTCCAAGGTTTATGCTGCCTTTCAGTAGCGCCTGCAGTGAAGGGTTGCAAACTCCTCAGTCCTACAGACTTGGGTTCAAACCCTGGATCCCCTACCACCTCACTGTATACCTCTGAGCAGTTACATCACGTCTTTGAACCTCAATTTCTCTAAAATAAAAAGAGCTATCTTTTCCAGAAGCCTCATTATATGTTTTTTTTTTTCTAGTGCCTTATTGTTTCTTTTCTTTTCTTTTCTTTTTTTTTTTTTTTTTTGAGACAGAGTTTGGCTTTGTCGCCCAGGCTGGAGTGCAGTGGTGCAATCTTGGCTCACTGCAGCCTCCACCTCCTGGGCTCAAGCAGATCCTCCCATCTCAGCCTCCCAAGTAGCTGGGACTACAGGCATGCACCACCACGCCCAGCCAGTTTTTATTTTTTGCAGAGACTGGGGTCTCACTTTGTTGATCAGGCTGGTCTCAAACTCCTGAGCTGAAATAGATTCACCCGCCTTAGCCCCCCAAAGTCCTGGGATTAAGGTGTGAGCCACTGTGCCAGCTATTGTTTCTTGTTAGGTCATATGCCCCTTCTTGAAATTTCCCCGGAATATGTTCTTTGGCTTACGCCTGTCAGAGCTCATCTCTGGAGTTGAGGGGGTATCAATGCCACTCACACTTGTACCTGCAAATCAGGGTGCCCTCCCACCCCCCGACCCAACAAAAGCCAAAGGCTGTTCGTAGGAGCAGGAGATAGGTGCTGGGCATCAGGAAAGCAAGTGTCCACTCTGGTCTGGCTGGGCTGGTTTGGGCCACTGACCTTCATGACCATTGTATTGCGTAAGAGGCTGCTCTGGTTGAGCTGTAACCAGCACAGGCAGCCTTTGGCCAGGTCGGCGTGAGATTACCAGCCTCGCACAGGCGGCTGCACACGACACGTCTGCAATACCTATTCTGAAGGGTAATTCTCTGGGATAAAGCATGTTTATGTTTTTTAGGGAGGTGGGGAAGAAAATTCCATTTCTGTTGCCAATTAGTTCTGCTTGAGAACAGCTTTTCTCAACACCAACATATTGGCTGCCCAGACTTGAGTTCTGTTGATTAACTCAAAGTGGGGAAAAAAGTGATTTTTCTTTCCTTCCTCCACCCCCAACCGTGAAACCCGGCTGTTAGTGATGAAAGGGGTCCTGTGGATCATTTAGTTTTCCTTGTCATGACTCCAGGAAAGGCTATAAAAATAATCAGTGGGCCCCGCTGGCCGTAATTGACTGTAGAGAGAAGTTGGCTACCACAGCGCCTGAGTTATGAGAATCTGTTTCAGATGCAGGCTTCAGTTGAGCCTCGTCTAATGACACCTGCTCCCCAAGGCCAGCGGAGGGTGGGGGTGCTGACGCTTGTCTGCATGCTTCTCTTCCTTCCCGGGTTCCAGGGAGCTCCTGGCAGAGGGACCCAGGACAAAACAGAGATGCTGGGAGGAGAGGACCAAGCATGGATCTGGCCCTGCTGCTTGCACCAAATTCCAGGTCTACTGTTTGTTTGTCTGTTTGTTTTGAGACAGGATCTTACTCTGGTTGCCAGGCTGGAGCGCAGTGGTGTGATCTTGGCTCACTGCAGCCTCAACCTCCTGAGCTCGGGTGATCCTCCCACTTCAGCCTCCTGGGTAGCTGGGACTACAGGTGTATGCCGCCATGCCTGGCTAATTTTTGCAGTTTTTTAGTAGAGACGGTTTTTTTTTTTTTGAGACAGAGTCTCACTCTATTGCCCAGGCCCGAGTGCAGTGGCGCGATCTCGGCTCACTGCAACCTCTGCCTCCCAGGTTCAAGTGATTCTCCTGCCTCAGCCTCCCGAGTAGCTAGGACTACAGGTGAGCGCCACCACGCCCGGCTAATTTTTTTTTTTTTTTTTTGTATTTTTAGTAGAGACAGGGTTTCACCATGTTTGCCAGAATGGTCTCGATCTCCTGACCTTGTGATCTGCCCACCTCAGCCTCCCAAAGTGCTGGGATTACAG
The DNA here is from genome assembly GCF_000001405.40 of Homo sapiens. Taxonomy (NCBI): domain Eukaryota; kingdom Metazoa; phylum Chordata; class Mammalia; order Primates; family Hominidae; genus Homo; species Homo sapiens. The sequence continues at coordinate 50,679,497 of NC_000020.11, read as the reverse complement.
GCGTGAGCCACTGCACCAGTGGAGATGGGATCTTGCCATGTTGCCCAGGCTGGTCTCGAACTCCTGAACTCAAGCGATCCTCCCACCTCAGCCTCCCAAATTGCTGGGATTACAGGTGTGAGCCACCGTGCCCGGCCCAGTCCACTGTTTGTTGGCCATGAACCTGGGGCAAGAAACTTCACTTCTTGGTGCCTCTTTTTTAAATTTTATTCTTTTTTTTAACCATAAACTCAACCAAGTGGCACCCTCATTTTATATATTTTTAAATATTATATATATATTTTTTGAGGTATATATATTTTAAAATATTATATGTGTATCTCTCTCTCTCTGTGTGTGTGTGTGTGTATATATATATATATTTTTTTTTTTTTTTTTTTTTTTTTTTTTTTTGAGACAGGATCTTGCTTTGTCACCCAGGCTGGAGTGTAGTGGTGCAATCCTGGCTCACTGCAGCCTCGAATTCCTGGGCTCAAGCAATCCTCCCACCTTGGCTTCCTGAATAGCTAGTACTACAGGTGTGGATCACCAGGCTTGGCTAATTTTTTGAATTTTTTGTAGAGATGAAGTCTCACTTTGTTGCCCAGGCTGGTCTTGAACTCCTGAACTCAAGTGATCCTCCCACCTGGGCCTCCCAAAGTGCTGGGATTACAGGCATTTTAAACAGATAATAATGGTTCCTCCTCCTGGGGTGATGTAAGGATTGAATGAGTTAATAACATGCAAAGCACTTGCAAGGAGCCTCCACCATGTGCAAAGTCCTGTGTCAACGCCAGCTTTTGTTATTTATTCAAGACTCCCCCACTCTTCCTCCCTTGACACTTGAGTCGTATGTGGTTGTGCCAAAATATCTTAGTCCAGTCCCCTGATGATGGACGTGAGATCAGTTCCGATCTTTTGTGATCACGAATAGCACTGCATTGAATAACCTGTAGCTTGTGAGCCAACCCCTCCACCCACCCCTTAAGGTATGTGAACCCCATGATAACCTTGGCCTTGGACTTTCCTTCCCGGAGCCTGCAGAACGAGGAGAGATATGTGGGCATGTGGCCAACTCTGGCCTGGCATGCAAACAGGCCTGTGGGGTGGGGTGGGAGGTGGGGGTAGGCCCTCCCTGAGCCAGGTGGGACAGATTCCTGCTGTGTCCATCTGGTGAGTGAGGAGCCACAGGGTGAGTTTCAGAGGGTTGGGCCAAGGCCACCCAGCCCCCAGGTTCCTGGTGAATGCCCTTATGTGGACTGGAGAGAGGAAACCTGTACTGTGCCTTGTGGGCTCTGCCCATTTTTTGTGATCTTCCTCTAGGAAGCCCGCTGGGATCTCTGCTCCAACACACTTTGCTATATCAGCCACCGGTTTAGCACCCATGGTGGCTGGTTCTCTTCTTGGGGGGCAAAACCCATGATGATTGAGAAAATGAGATGGGGAGTCAGGAGGCTGATTTTGGTCCTGACTTCCCAGCACCTCCACCCTTGTAACTCCTGTGGCTCCGTGTCCTCATCTGAAAGCAGACTAAGAAGACGAATAATAAGGCCAGGCGCGGTGGCTCATGCCTATAATCCCAGCACTTTGGGAGGTCGGGACAGGTGCATCAGTTGAGGTTAGGAGTTCAAGACAAGCCTGGCCAACATGGTGAAACCCCGTCTCTACTAAAAATACAAAAATTAGCTGGGCGTGGTGGCACGTGCCTGTAATTCCAGGTACTTGAGAGGCTGAGGCAGGAGAATCACTTGAACCAGGGAGGCAGAGGTTGCAGTGAGCTGAGATCGCCCCACTGCACTCCAGCCTGGGTGACAGAGTGAGATCTTGTCTCAAAAAAAAAAAAAAAAGGCCAGGCGCGGTGGCTCACGCCTGTAATCCCAGCACTTTGGGAGGCCGAGGCAGGTGGATCACCTGAGGTCAGGCGTTTGAGACCAGCCTAACCAACATGGTGAAAACCCATTTTTACTAAAAATACAAAAATTAGCCAGGTGTGGTGGTGTGTGTCTGTCATCCCAGCTACTCAGGAGGCTGAGGCAGAAGAATCGCTCGAACCCGGGAGGTGGAGGTTGCATTGAGCCGAGATTGCGCCACTGCACCCAGGCCTGGGCAACAAGAGCAGAACTCGGTCTAAAAAAAAAAAAAAAAAAAAAAGTAAAACAAGAAAATAATAATAATAATGGTAACAAATTCACAGGAAGGTCTTGTGAAGTCTCAGAGACGTAATGCAAATGGGTTTGGACCCTGTGTCTGGCACAAGAAATATAAGCTGGTGTGAGAAAATGACCTATCTATGGGAATGTCTGGGCCACAGGCACTTGCAGCCACCTATGAAGGGAGTTAGTCCGAATTCCCAGGGCCTTGGCAAATCATCCACCCTCAGAACTGAGTTTTCTCTAGCAAATGAGGGTGCTAATGATATGTATCCCAAGGGTTTGATGTGAGAATTAAATGAGACCAGGCACATATTGCTTTGCATTTACACTGTGGTATTGTTGATATTATTAGTTATCTGTGTTGATAGTTGTGAGCATCCTTCCAGACATTGGCACAATGCGGTGCACGCAGCTGGTGCTTGGTGACTGCAAATGGATTGACGGACAGGGCCCAGTATCTGGGCTGGGTGTGGGTGGCTCACACCTGTAATCCTAGCACTTTGGGAGAATGAGGCAGGAGGATTGCTTGAGCCCAGGAGTTTGAAACCAGCCTGGGTATAAGCAAGACCTCTACTAAAAAAAAAAAAAAAAAAAAAGTAGAATCTGGAGGATGCACTGATAGAGAAACCCATTTCTGATGTTGTGGAGCCCTTAGGGAGAATAAAGGGGAAAAGCCTGATGTGACCTCACCTGTGGGTTTTTTTATTTTGTTTTGAGACTGAGTATTGCTCTGTGGCCCCAGCTGGAGTACAGTGGCATGATCACGGCTCACTGCAGCCTTGACCTCCTGGGCTCAAGTGATCCTCCTACCTCAGCCTCCAGAGTAGCTGGGACCACAGGCATGCACCACCATGTCTGGCTAATTTTTGTATTTTTAGTAGAGACGGGGTCTCTCTATGTTGCCCAGGATGGTCTTGAACTCTTGGGCTCCAGCGAACCTCCTGCCTTAGCATCCCAAAATTCTGGGATTACAGGCATGAGCCCCCACACCCAGCCCTCACCTGTGGTTTTATAGTCAGCTACAGCTTAATTCTGGGAGATGATGGGCCTCATCCCACACACCATGGCAAGTACGTGACACAGCAGGAGGCAGACCAACTTCCCCTGACTCTCAGGGCAGCAACCTTCACCCTGACCTTCAGCCCCATGCAGGAAGCAGCCCGTCGGGGTGAGACACAGTATCCATCTGTGGCCAGAGCCCTTGCACATTTTTGACATTTTTGTGTCTTGGGACAAAAGGCGAAGGAACTCAGATGAACTGGTTCTTGTTTCCTGGTGGAAAAACACTCCTGCCCTTATGGAATCTTCGCTGTTGTGTGGTTTTGCCTGTATTTGTGTCTCTCCCTCACTACCCTACAGTTCAGCAGTAGCTATTCTAGAAAACCCACATAAGGTAGACCCAGGAATGATTTCTGGGATTGTCTGAGGATATTTAAGGGGCCAGAGGGCTCCCTGCACCATCGATGCTGGCCCTGGATCTCCTGCCCCGTCTGCCGTTCGACTTGCCCTGAATGCGTGAACAAATGAATGAGCAGACATTTGCTGGACAGCTGCTGCCCTCCAGGCACTGGTGTGCTGGTGTTCCACAGCCCGGGGGCCGAGAGCCACTCAAAGCATTCATATTGGGAAGTTGGCAGGGATGGTCTGGTCAACAGCATGGGCGTTGGCATTGGAGTCAGATGAACCTGGCTTTGTCAGACCCTAAATAGGGTGGCCTTGGACAGACCTGCCTGAACCTGTTTCCTCAACTGCAAAATGTGAATAAAGATAGCACAGTGTGGTCGGTGAGGACTGAGCAAGGAAGTGGCTCTAGCACTTGGCATACACAGTTGGTCCTTAAAAGTGGGCTTTAGACCAGATAGACCAAATTCAAATCTAGATCCAGCTATGAGTCCCTTAACTTCTCTGAGTCTTGATCACTCTCTCTGTAACATGGTATAGTAACCTCTTACAGTTGTTGTGAGGATTTAGGTGAATTCACACATATGATGCATTTATAATGCAGAGAACCTAGTGCATGGTAACCACCTGTATTAGCTTCCTAGGACTGCTGTAATGAAGCACCTCCAACTAGGTGGCTTCAAACAACAGAAACTCGTTCTTTCACAGTTCTGGATGCTAGAAGTTTGAAATCAGGGTGTCAGCAGGGCCACTTTCCCTCTGAAGACTCTAAGGAAGAATCCTTTCTTGCCTCTTAGCTTCTGCTGGTGGTCAGGGATCCTTGTTGTTCCTCAGCTTGCGGCTGCACCATCTTTGCACCACCACTTCCTGTGTGTCCCATCTTGTTTTAGACAGGATCTCACTCTGTTGCTCAAGCTGGAGTGCAGTGGCCTGATCATAGCTCACTGCAGCCTCAAACTCCTGGGCTCAAGCAATCCTCCCACCATGGCTGGCTAATTTTTAAATTTTTTAAGTTTAATTTTATTTATTATTTATTTATTTTTTAATAGAGATGGGGTCTTGCTATGTTGCCCAGGCCGGTCTTGAACTCCTGGCCTCAAGTGATCCTCCTGTCTCAGCCTCCCAAAGTTCTAGGATTACAGATGTAAGCCACTGCACCTGGCTTTTAGTTTCTTTTTTAGAGACTGGATGGGTTTCAGTATGTTGTCCAGGCTGGTCTTGAACTTCTGGGCTCAAGCCATCCTCCTGTCTCAGCCTCCTAAAGCCCTGGGATTACAAGTGTGAACCACTGTGCCCAGCCCCTATCCTCTTCTAATAAGGACACCAGTCATTAGACTTAGGGCCTACCCTAATCTAGTATGACCTCATCTTAACTAATTACATTTGCAAAGACCCTATTTCCACAAATGGTCACATTCTGTGTCTCTGGGTGGACATGAATTTTGGGGGAACACTGTTCAACTCACAACACCACCTAATCAATAGTAGCTATTACTAATACTCCTCTTACTACGGAATTTGCTCAGTGCATACTATGTCCTGGGCACTTCTCCAAACTCCTTTTATTCCTCTTCCCATTTAATCCTCTCCATGACTGTGAAATAGGTCCCAGGATTATCTCTGTTGAGGGCCAGAGAGGTGAGCTGATTTGCCCAAGGTCACATTTGTTAGCAAATGATAAATCTGGGGTTGGGACTCTTTTCTCTCTGACTCCAAAGCTGGCAAGGTTTTGAGACCCTCCAATCCCATCCCAAGAGCTTGGAGTCGGCTGTACTTTCTGTCCTGGAATCCCAGGCATCAGACATATGCTCTTTCCTGGCCCACACCTCCTTCCAGACACATCTTACCCAGAGAGGCTATAAAAAGCGGGGGAAAAGGAATCTTGTCTTTATAATGGCCAACATGGAGTTCTGCTCCTGCCTTGGAACGCTCGTGTCCGGCTCTCCCGTGGATTGAAAGCAGCATGACTCCTGTGCATGGCAGAGCTTGCCAGGGGTGTATATTTCATGCCTGACATCTGGTAACATTTTGGGAGTCTTGACTTGGGGCTACAAATGGAAAAATGGTTCATGAAGGTGTGATTTATTCATCATCAAGATAATGCTATTAAATAAATGCTCGCAACGATTCGCTCCATTGGGTCAGAGAGCCCTGACTTCCCAGGCCGGGCCTGGCGAAGGCCCTGGCAGGACAAGGCTGTTTCTTTGACGCTGAGGAGAGCATGGAGGCGTGGTGAGGCCGGACTGGGGCCTGATAGGGGCAAACGGTCACGCTGCCAGATGATGAATGGCCGTTTACATTTTAACACGCCTGTGTCTTGGACGTGGAGTAATTGGCTTTGGCTGATCGGGGGTGGGTGCAGTTAGGAGCCTCTGACAGCCATGAGCTGGAGAAGGAAGGAGGGTCATTTCCAGAGACTGGGGCTTTGGGGCCAGGAAATAGTTGCTTTGTCAGCAGGGAGAGCCAGTGGGTGGGTTGGAGGCCCCTGAGAGAGATCAGAGGATCCTGAAGGACAAAGCCAGGCTGGCCACCTTTGCAGGGGGTAGCTGGCAAGGGTGTAGGAACCGGCCACGTGGCAGAGAGCAATGCCCCAAAGCCAGGCTGCCTGGGTTCAAATCCTACCTCCCTCACTGACCAGCTGGGCCTGGGACCGCCCCTCCCTAACGTAGGGACCATTACAGGGCCTACCTCAGAGGGGTCTGTGGGTATTGCATGGGCGCGTGGCACCTAGGGGTCTTCACTAAGTGTTAACTGCAGTTGTCATGGTGGTGATGGTATCTAGAGAAGAGTGGAGGCTGGGACGCAGACAGAAGCAGCCCTGCTGTCTTCTGGCTGTAGATCAAGGACAAGACTTACCTTGCCCTCTGCACAGCAGGTAGGAGCCTTCTCCTGGACCTGCCTCAGGGCAGTGGGGACATCCACCGGTCCAGCTCTCAGCACATTCAATGCTGGGGTTGGTTGCCACCCAGCTTGGGCAGCCCACATACTCAGCATCACTGGGTTTACCCCCAAATCTCCATGCGCTACAGGTGAGTTGCCATGGGTTGGCAAGCAGTCCCCGCACCTGTGGACATCAAGGATCTGTCTTCACATCCCCTTCTGCTCACATGGCTCCAGCCCAGGAGGAGATGGGAGGACAGGTGTGCGCCTCTATGGGCAGCCAAACCTGGGGTGGTGGGTGGGGAAGGTGTCAAGTCTGATGCATGTCTGTTAGGGTTCTGGGCACTGTGACGTGCATGCAGGTGGAAAGTCCATTCTCCTGACTTGGAGCTGGTATCTGTTACACCATGAGAGCTGGGGCCTGACCCTTCCCCTGTGTCCCTGTTGCCCCCAGGACTGGCCACTGACGGAGCCATGGTCAGGCTGTGGGACTCAGGCCAGCTGGCCGCGGCCTTCCCACAAGAGTCAGTTACTGGGGCTATCAGATGCTGTGGCTGTTGGTTGGTTTGTCTCTGTGGTGTCAAGCTGGGCCAGCTTTTGGGCAAGAGCAGCCTCATGGGGAACATAATCAATGAGAAAAGGATGGCAGAATCTAGCCTGGGGGTTGCTGGGTGGAGGGCAGAGGGTGCTGGGCTGCCTGGCCATGCCTCCTCTTCAGTACTGAGCTCAGCAGGGGGCCCCAACCCCTTTTACTGTAGGACTCTGCTGGCTTCTGACCAGAGGTAGCTCTAAGCACTGGTCCTTTGCAGCCCCAGGAGGAACGGGCTGCGGGTGAAGTGAGGACGGAGGTAGAGCTTCACCTTGGTGAGGGGCTTTCCTAGGGGGACAGCCAGGTGCTTAGCCTTGTGACAGCTGCTCAGTGAGGGTTATTCACAGCCCCATCGGGACTTACTGATTGGGCTTCACTTCCTGATTCTGTGATATTCACACGGCTCCAGCCAGTGGTTCCATCTATCCACCCATCCATCCTTCCATCCATCCAATCACCCACCCACCCACCTACCCATCCATCCATCCATCCATCCATCCATCCATCCATCCACGCACCCATCCACCTATCCACCTAACCATCTACTCATCCACCTATCCATCCATCCATCCATCCATCCATCTTTTCTTCCTTCCACCCATCCATCTATCCATCCACCAATTTACCCATCCCCACCCACTCACTCATCCACCCATCTACCCACTCATCCATCCATCCATCCATCTATCCATCCATCCATCCATCCATCCCTTCGCCCACCCATTCATCTATTCACCCACCCAACCATCCTTCCATCCATCTACCCATCTACCCATCCACCCATCCATTCATTTTCGTGGTCCTCACAATTAGCCTGTATGGTGGGGATGTGCTATTATGCCCATTTTCAGATGAGGGTACACACATACAGGTTAAGAACTGGTCTGAGGGCAGAGCTAATGAGTGGCTGTATTAGTTATCTATTGCTATTAGTTATCTATCTATTAGTGGCTGGAGGCTGATTTCAATTCTTTTCTATGTGGGTATCTCCAGCATGGCAGCTTGCTGTGTCAAAGCAAGAAAGCCAAGAAGTTATGTGTGTGTGTGTGTGTGTGTGTGTGTGTGTGCGCGCGCGCGTGCACGCGCGCGTGCTCATGTGAGAGAGAGGGAGAGAGAAAGGTGGAAGTCACTGTCTTTTATAACGTAATCTTGGAGGTGACATCCTGTCCCTTTTGCCATATTCTGCTCATTAGAAGTGCCTACCCATGGCTGGGCATGGTGGCTCATGCCTGTAATCCCAGAACTGTGGGAGGCTGAGGTGGGTGGATCACTTGAGGTCAGGAGTTTGAGATCAGCCTGGCCAACATGGTGAAACCCTAAACAACTAAAATACAACTAAAAATAACCCTAAACAACTAAAATACAACTAAAACAAATCCTAAACAACTAAAAATACAAAAATTAGCCAGGCATGGTGGTGCATGCCTTTGGTTCCAGCTACTTGGGAGGCTGAGGCAGGAGAATCACTTGAAGCCGGGAGGTGGAGGTTGCAGTGAGCGGAGATCACACCACTGCACTCCAGCCTGGGTGTCAGGGCAAGACTCTGTCTCAAAATAAATCAAATAAATAAATAAATAGCAGAAGTGTCCACCCACACTCAGGCCAGGAGGTGGGATCACTGGAGGCCATGCTAGAAGCTGCCTTGGCCAAGCCAAGGTTTGAACCCAGTCGGATCTGACTTAAAACCTGTCCTTCCAGAGGAAGCCAACTACATACAGAGCCTTGTTCTTCCCCAGTCCCAGAGACCAGCCACCTGTCTGCTGCCACGCAGGGTTGGAATTTAATCATACATTGACTCACTTCATGGGTGTTTACTGAGCGCCTACTAACACAATGCTCCACAGGACGGTGTGGTGCCTGCCTAGGGGAATGCACCGCTGGTGACGGATATCCATGCTGTACATTTACTCACCTGCCATGTGGGTCTGCAGAGAACATGTCTTTTCTTTATTTCCTGCAATGGATCTGATATTTCTCACAAAGCCTACTCATAGGGCAACAAGGAAAAAGAACTAGATTTAATTTAATCTGATCCAGTACTTTAGGCCTTTAGGTAATGCTTGGTCTCAAATTTCCTTCTGCTCCTCCCAGCTTTTCTCTAAGCTGGCACTGGGTGGGTGGGTGGGGGTGGGGGTGTCTGGGTGTTGATGACGAGACTTCCCAGGAGGAGAGGGATTTCTAGCCAAGTCCGATGCCCAAGATTGCTGCTTGGCTTTCTGGCATTTTGGCCGAAACCGGCAGTAGGTAAAACTCATGCTCTGGGCCTCCGCCTGCCTGGTTGACTTGGCTCTACCTTGGCTCAGAGCGCCCTCTTCTTTTTTTTTTTTTTTTTTTTTTGAGATGGAGTTTCTGCTCTTGTTGCCCAGGCTGGAGTGCAATGGTGCGATCTCAGCTCACTGCAACCTCCGCCTCCCGGGTTCAAGTGATTCTCTTGCTTCGGCCTCCTGAGTAGCTGGGATTACAGGCGCCTGCCACCACGCCCGGCTAATTTTTGTATTTTTAGTAGAGATGGGGTTTCGCCAGGTTGGCCAGGCTGGTCTTGAACTCCTGACCTCAGGTGATCCACCCGCCTTGGCCTCCCAAAGTACTGGGATTACAGGCATGAGCCACTGCGCCCAGCCTTTTTTTTTTTTTCAGAGCCCCCTCTTCTCTACTGCATCTGACCCCTACCTGAGCCATCTACTCCCAGACCCTTCTGCAGGTCCCTCTGCCCCTTGTCTTAATGAGGTGTCACCTACCTGAGCAAGAACACATTGAGCCCATCCTGGCCCGGAGGGGACCAGTGTGGCCAAGGAAAGCGAAACACCAGGGCTTCCTTCCTCTCAACTTGCTGCACCTCCAGGGGCCCCACCCCTAAGCTGCTGGAGGGTGGTCTCAGAGCACTTTCCTCCCAAGCCCCCAGAGGGTCAGTGCGCAGCGGTGACTTCTAAACCTACTGTCTCATAGCAAAGTCTGTGTTGATGATCAGGAACTAGATCTGCCATGGTCCTCTTTATTCCTTCTGTACAAATTCAAATATTTTCCAGGTAGCCAGGTGCCTCAGGCCTGAGAGGGGAAGGGCTACTTACCCAGAAAGGCCAAAGAGGAAAGCCCAGTAATATTTTTCGAGCTATTAATATTACCTGGTACCAAAATGATCACACATGTAATTAGTCACAATCGTGGTAAAAGTGCTGAAGAGAAAGCCTATGAGTAATGAGGGTGTCAGGAGAGTGGCCTGACCTAGCCTAGGGGTCAGGAGAGGTGGTCCTGAACCAGGGTTGGGTAAGGGGATCCAGAATGAATAGCGGGGTGGCTGGGTGAAGAGGGGAGTGTGTATGTGCATGTGTGAGCATGCATGTGTGGGTGTGTGAGTGTGCACCATGTGTGCACATGTGTGAGCATGCATGTATGGGTGTGTGCGCGCCATGTGTACATATGTGTATAATGTATATGTGAGTGTGCATGTGCATGCGTGTGTGTGCATGTGTGTGACTGTCCTGTGTGTGCATGTGAGCAGGTGCTGTGTGTGCATATGTGAACACATACATGCATGGGCATGTGTGCATGTGAATGCATGTCATGTGCATGCATGAGCCATGTGTGGTGTGTGCATGTGTGTGTGCAGCCTCATCATTTCCTGAATTTTTTTTTTTTTTTGAGATGGAGTCTCGCTCTGTTGCCCAGGCTGGAGGGCAGTGGCTTGATCTTGGCTCACTGCAACCTCTGCCATCCAGGTTCAAGTGATTCTCGCGCCTCAGCCTCCCAAGTAGCTGGGATTACAGGCACCCGCCACCACGCCCAGCTAATTTTTGTATTTTTAGGGGAGATGGAGTTTTGCCATGTTGGCCAGTCTGGCCTTGAACTCCTGACCTCAAGTGATCCGCCCGCCTTGACCTCCCAAAGTGCTGGGATTACAGGTGTGAGCCACTGTGCCCGGCCATTTCCCCTAATTTGAGGCACTCCATTCTCTGAGTCTGGATTGTTGTGTGGGTGTGTGTGGGAAAGGAACCGCACTGAGGAGGGAGAATCAGATTCTCTGAGGAGGAGGCGCAAAGGTTGGGGCCTCTGCAGGAAGCAGCTTTGCCTGTTCATGGGACTGAGAGGGGACTCAGCTTCTGGAGTCTGAGTGGTTGGCACCACCAGGGGACCACAGTGGTGGGAGCATCAGGGGCAGGAGGAGGAAGGTCACTGTGTCCCCCATTAGGAATGTCCTCCTCTCTTTCCTGCTGGTCTCAGAGCTGAGGACCAGGATACAGATGGCCAGGTGCCTCTGTCAACAGACTCAGGTGACTGGGCAGAGTCAGTTTCCCCACCTGTGCACAGCGAAAAAGAGATCTGTCTCTGCCGGGATGATGAGTGGACAGTTCTCCCGGGACTGGCAGAGCAAGCCTCAGACTGAGGGCAGCCAGGGAACAGCAGGTCATACTCCCATGGCAGAATGATGCTAAGGTTCCCAGGGTGTCCCAAACACCCTTCCCACCCCCTGCCCCAGTCTCATGAGAGGGCCATGGACGCTGACACTGTAACTATCCTCTGCTAGTCAGGCAGATGCTAGTCACAGCAGCATGGAATCTCAGAAACAGCCCTCACAGTGGGCAGTATTAGTATCCCCTTTCCACAGAAAGAGAAATGGAAGCTCAGAGAGGCTACGGAACTTACCCGTAATCACAAAGCAAGCACGTGTCCCAGGTCTATGTGATCTCAAAGCCTTTGCTACTCTGACTCCCACGGCTGCTGTGTGAATTTTCAGTTTCCTGAAGGGGAGAAGAAAACAATTTGCTCTAGGAAAAGCTTCAAGGGCCAGACTTCAGAAATGCCCAGAGCTGTGAGTTCAGTATCATGGCCCCTGCCCTCCCCTCTCTATGCAGGGGCCGTACAGTGAGCTGAGCCGCGGTGAGGACGTGTTAAGAACTTAAAGCAGCGGCCGGGCGCGGTGGCTCACGCCTGTAATCCCAGCACTTTGGGAGGCCGAGGCAGGCGGATCACGAGGTCAGGAATTTGAGACCAGCCTGACCAACATGGTGAAACCCCGTCTCTACTGAAAATACAAAAATTAGCTGGGCGTTGTGGCGGGTGCCTGTAATCACAGCTACTTGGGAGGTTGAGGCAGGAGAATCACTTGAACCCAGGAGGTGGAGGTTGCAGTGAGCCAAGATCGTGCCATTGCACTCCAGCCTGGGTAACAGAGCGAGACTCCCTCTCAAAAAAAAAAAAAAAAAAAAAAAAAGTAGTTTAAAGAACTTAAAGCAGAAACCCGATTTTGAAATGTTCAAGGACAAGGCCAGGGAGGCTCGTTTGGGGATGGGGTGGAGGTTTCAGTCCATTTAAGTGGGCTGGAGGGGAATTTTAACTTTGCCGGCTGATGGTTAATGTTCCCTTCCCAAGGTATTCATGATTTATGCTGATGCTTTAAAAAGAAAATTTAGCCAAGCTAGGTTCAGAGTCCAGGAAGCTAAGGACAAGGCATTCAGGAAAGCTTTGTTTGTAGGGGAGGTTAGGAGGGATAGAAGCATATTCCAGATACCTCGCCCGCTTTTTTACTCCACTCACCCAAAGGAGAGGTCACCTTATCACATAAGACCGTAAGATAGCTCCCCAGGAGGGATCATGCAGATAAGATGTTTCTTCCTATGTTTGAAGAAATAGGTGTCCTAGGCTGGTCGCGGTGACTCACGCCTGTAATCCCAGCACTTTGGGAGACTAAGGCAGTGGATCACTTGAGGCCAGGAGTTAGAGACCAGCCTGGCCAACATGGTGAAACCCCATTGCTACAAAAAATACAAAAATTAGCTGGGCATGGTGGCACACGCCTGTAGTCCCAGCTACTTGGGAGGCTGAGGAGGGAGAATCGCTTGAACCCAGCAGAGGTTGCAGTGAGCTGAGATGGCACCACCGCACTCCAGCCTAGGCAACAGAGTGAGACGCCGTCTCAAAAAAACAACAAACAACAACAAAAAACAAACAAAACAAACAAAGAAATGGGTGTCCTAGGCTGGGCGTGGTGACTCACGCCTGTAATCCCAGCACTTTCAGAGGTCGGGGCAGGTGGATCACCTGAGGTCAGGAATTCGAGACCAGCCTGAGCAACAGGCGAAACCCCATCTCTACTAAAAATACAAAATTTAGCTGGGTGTAGTGGCAGGCACCTGTAGTCCCAGCTACTTGGGAGGCTGAAGCAGGAGAATTGCTTGAACCCGGGAGACGGAGATTGCGGTGAGCCGAGATTGCGCCACTGCACTCCAGCAACAGAGCGTGACTCTGGGCAACAGAGCGTGACTCCGTCTCAAAAAAGAAAAGAAAAGAAAAGAAAAGAAAAGAAAAGAAAAGAAATGGGTGTCCTTTCTCTGTATTCTAGGCCTCTTGTCTTGGCTGAATTGAAGAAAAATGTATATAAGGCCCTAGATGTTCACTGTCATGTTAATAAACCCTTCCTTGGTCTTCATTCTGGGGCCTGAATGGAAAAACGAAAGGCCCAGAGTCTGGGCCTTGGGACTCAGCATTACAAGGGATGGGACCCTGATTTATACTGGCTTAAGCAAAGAAGGGAATTTACTGGCTCATAAAATTTAGATGTCTGGGATTCGGTTTGGCTTTAGGTATAGCTGGATACAGTGAGGTGCGTGGCGACGGGGGGCCTTAGGGCTGATTTTCCTTCACCTAGCTTGGAGCAGATTCCTTGGTTGAACCAGTCATGGTGGCCAAAAGAACGTGGAGGTGTGACTGTCTGTGTTCTACTCCATGTAACTACGTGCACTGAAAAGTGGTGTGGGATCATTCGCCATAAGAAACCCACCCGGCAGGCACAGTGGCTCATGCCTGTAGTCCCAGCACTTTGGGAGGCCAAGGCGGGTGGATCACAAGGTCAGGAGTTCGAGACCAGCCTGGCCAACATGAGGAAACCCCATCTCTACTAAAGATACAAAAAATTAGCCCAGTGTCGTGGTGCGTGCCTGTAATCCCAGCTACTCAGGAGGCTGAGGCAGGAGAATTGCTTGAACCCGGGAGGCGGAGGTTGCGGAGAGCCGAGATCACACCACTGCCCTCCAGCCTGGGCGACAGGGCGAGACTCCATCTCAAAAAAAAAAAAAAAAAGGAAGAGGGGGCTCTGAGCCAAGGTAGAGCCAAGTTAGCCAGACAGGCCTAGGCTCCAGCAATCTTCTTGCCTCAGCCTCCTGAGTAGCTGGGACCACAGTCACACATCACCACGTCCAGCATTTTTTTTTTTTTTTTGGTATTTTTAGTAGAGTCAGGGTTTTGCCATGTTGCTCAAGCTGGTCTTGAACTCTAGGGCTCAAGTGATCCTCCTGCCTCAGCCTCCCAAAAGGCTGGGATTACAGGCGTGAGCCACCGCACCCGGCCAGCACCATGGGGTTTTTTTGTTTGTTTTGTTTTGTTTTTTGGGTTTTATTTTTGAGACAGGGTCTCGCTCTGTCACCCAGGCTGGAATGCAGTGGCATGATCTTGGCTCACTGCAATCTCTGCCTCCTGGGTTCAAGTGATTCTCCTGTTTCAGCCTCCCAGGTAGCTGGGATTACAGGCATGCGCCACCATGCCTGGCTAATTTTTGTATTTTTAGTAGAGACAAGTTTTTGCCATGTTGGCCAGGCTGGTCTCAAACTCCTAACCTCAGGTGATCCTCCTGCCCCGGCCTCCCAAAGTGTTGGGATTACAGGTGTGAGCCACCGTGCCCAGCCGGGTTTCTTTTTTCTTCCCCCACCGATTTCCCACTTCATGGCAGACACAGCACCCTTTCCTAGTGAGCCCATACACAGCCTCAGAATCTATCTCAACACTATACCCAAAGCAACCAATATCTCCCACCTTGGCGTTGGAACCTGAGCTGAAACTCTTTGCAATTCCTGCTCCAAGCAGATGGAGATAAAAATGCGCAGCTCTGAGCGTTGAGTGATTTGCCCAATGTCACACGGGAACTCAGGCAGAGAACCCTCCTGACTCAGCCAGCCCCCTTTCCCGTGGGATCCTGCCTGATGTGAGCCTTGAAAGAAGGTCTGTCCCTCAGTGGAGATTTCCACTCCAGGCAGCGGCTGCACACACACATGGAAAAGAAATAGACTCGAGGTCAGAGCAAAGCCAACAGTGCGACTGCTGACCCAGCTCTCAGGAGTGGCGCACAGCATGGAGAGCAGACAGGCGGGAGGGCTCACAGCCTAGCAGCCACGCTGTTTGTCCACCACAGAGATCTCACTGGGCTTCACGGTGTCCTACCTTAAATATTAGGTTGGTGCAAAAGTAATTGCAGTTTTTGTCCTTGAAAGTAATATATTGGGGCCAGGTGCGGTGGCTCACGCCTATAGTGCCAGCACTTTGGGAGGTCGAGGCAGGTGGATCACCTGAAGCCAGGAGTTCGAGACCAGCCTGACCAACATGGTGAAACCCCGTCTCTACTAAAAATACAGAAATTAGCCAGGTGTAGTGGCGAGAGCCTGTAATCCCAGCAAGTCGGGAGGCTGAGGCAGGAGAATCGCTTGAAGCCGGGAGGCGGAGTTTGCAGTGAGCCGAGACCACGCCATTGCACTCCAGCCTGGGGAATAAGAATGAAACTCCATCTCAAAAAAAAAAAAAAAAAAGAGAGAGAGAGAGAAAGTAATATATTAGGTATTCAAGTATTAGATACAATTAAATCTAATAATGTGCTCGAGTTGACAGCCATTCTCAAATTGTGAGAGAGGTGAGGTGTTTTCCTTCTGGGGATGGGGATCAGGGTTGTCTTGGATGGGGGGACAAATGGCTGGCACCAATCTAGGGAAGCCAGAAAGTAGAGAGTAAATACTGATGTGGCCATTATTCTGCCAGCTCAGTCTTGCCCAATGAAGGGGAGAAAATAGGTGGCAGAGAACCAGCCGCTTGTTTGCCATAGAAAGGTACCGAAAGGCTGTCCTGACCTCTAGGGGCCTCTTGTGATATGAACTTCATCATTTTAGGGAGCTGACCTTGGGCTCATGTGCTCACAACGCCAAGACCTTCACATATGTTATCCTAATTAGTATTCACAGAATAGTCCTGTGAAGCAGGTAGAGTTATTCCCTATGATCAGACGCTGCACTGGGGCGCTTGGAGAGGTGGAGTCGCACTGCCTGACCCTGGCTAGTAGCCACTGTGCCATACTCCACGGGCTGGCAGACACTGTGAAGCCGAACAGAACAGGGTATGTGAGCCACCTGACAATCATTAAGCACGTTGTAGCCAGCAGTAGGTCTGGGTAAGGTGCTGATGGGAGGCAGCATGTGGCAGTCCCAGCCTCAGGTCACTTGCTGAAGGACAGAGGTGCACTGGAGAAAATGTGGCCTTGGAGGCAGAATCACGTCAGTGAATACCTGTGTGACTCACTCAGTTGAGCTCAGGGCCTACAAACAGGTGCAGTCAGCAGTTTGAAAACTTTTTTTTTTTTTTTTTTTTTTGAGACAGTCTCTCTCTGTCACCCGGGCTGGAGTACAGTGGTGAGATCTTGGCCCACTGCAACCTCCACCTCCCCGGTTCAAGTGATTCTCCTGGCTTCAGTCTCCCGAGTAACTGGGACTACAGGCATGCGCTATGACAATCTGGCTAATTTTTATATTTTTAGTAGAGATGAGGTTTCACCATGTTGGCCAGGCTGGTCTCGAACTCCTGACCTCAAGTGACCCACCCGCCTCGGCCTCCCCAAGTGTTGGGATTACAGGCGTGAGCCACTGTGTCCGTCCTGAAAACTTCTTGTCTAGCACAAACTCCCATTGTACAGGTGAGAAAGCTGAGGCTTGGAAAGAATTGACTTCCCCCGTGTCACCAGCCAGAGAGTGGTGGGGCCAGGACTGGGATCCTCCCTGGGGTCCTGGTCCAGTGGACACCCCTGTGGGTCCACGAGAGAAGGTATGAACTGTGATGGAAGGGCAGTGGTGGGCCACCCGAGAGGAGGGTCCTGGGTGGGCAGAGGCATCCAGGCACACCAGATGGAGAAATAGCTTAGGGCGCTGTGTCTCACTCTCTGCAACAACTCCCCATGGGAGGGATGACAGCAGTCACGGCTGCACCTATGAAGTCCACCACCTGGGCTCCAAGCTAGCCCTGCCACTCTCCAGCCAGTGGCTCTGGGTGAGTCATGTCACCTGCCTGAACCTCCCTGGACCTCAGCACCTTCCTCTGAGCGTGGCCGTAAGCCTCAAGTGACATTATCCCACAGCCCATTGCCTGGCCCTTAGTGCCCAATTTCACCAATGTGGCCAATTATGACTGCTTATTTATTTCCATTTGGAAATTGGCTTTTAATTCCTTTTGGCTTTTCCCTTCTTCTCTGAGGGCTCCTCCTTCAGAGGGTCCTGCCCTGGATAAAGACAAAAGCAGATGCTCCCAGGTAGTCTGGGTCACACCCACGCCTCCCGTGGGTCTGGAAGTGGCTGGAGGAGGAGTGAGTCTGCGGCTGATCCTTTTCCTCATCAGGAGTCAGCTCCTTGGAGCCTCCCAGGGATGTCTGGAGGGGCTGCTGATTGCAGAACCAGCTGGAAGGGAAATTCGAGGGCAGATGTGGCGACAACGGAGGCTGCAGCAGTCAGAGCTTCCCCGCACTGTAGTGGCACAGGTGCCACGCCTGGAGCCCATCAGCCCCATGTTCAAATCCCAGTGCCGCCACTGCCTGCCTGTCGAGTGAATGTGATTCCTCCCACGGTTGGCTGAACTGGCTATGGACAGCAGCTGTCCTGCGCGGGACCCCAGGGGAAATGGAAAACATATCTCTGCCCCAGGCCAGCTTCCCCTTCTCTCCCAGGCCCCGACCTGCCCTTTAGACTCAGGAGTCCTGGCTTCACCCTTTGTCCGGACCTTCAAGAGACAACACAACTCTGATAACAGCAGTTCCGAGGCTGAGAAGGGGTTGTCGTGGGGACAGCGTGTTCCTGCAGCTAAGCCTTAACCTCTTTGCCTCTCCTCAGAATGCTTCAGACCAGGAAAGGGGAACTTGTCACTTGGGACTTGCAGGGACACTGTTTTGAAAGTAAACTCTCCCAAAGAGCCTCTGCCTGCTTTAGGGAGGAATGTTTGTTTGGGTTCTATGAATCAGAAACCTACTCTACCAATTTCAGGTTAAAAAAGGATGTGTCACAAGGCTATGGAGATGTTTATTTTCTTTTGGTTATTAAAAACATGTTAGGCTGGGTGTGGTGGCTCATGCCTGTAATCCCAGCACTTTGGGAGGTAAAGACAGGAGGATTGCTTAAGCCCAGGAGTTGAAGACTGGCCTGGGCAACATAGTGAAACTGTGTCCCTACAATTTTTTTTTTTATTTTTTAAGACAGTCTCGTTCTGTTGCCCAGGCTGGAGTGCAGTGGCGTGATTTTGGCTCACTGCAACCTCCGCCTCCCGCGTTCAAGCGATTCTCCTGCCTCAGCCTCCCGAGTAGCTGGGATTACAGGCATGTGCCACCACGCCCAGCTAATTTTTGTATTTTTAATAGAGACAGGTTTTCACCATGTTGGTCAGGTTGGTCTTGTACTCCTGACCTCAGGTGATCCACTCACCTCGGCCTCCCAAAGTGCTGGGATTACAGGCATGAGACACCGCACCCGGCCTCTACAAAATTTTTTTTTTTTAATTAGCCAGGTGTGGTGGTTCCTGTAGTTCCAGCTACTTTGAGGGCATAGGTGGGGGGTGCTGAGGTGGGAGGATCCCTTGAGCCCAGGAGGTCGAGCCTACAGTGAGCTGTGTTTGTGCCACTACACTCTAGCCTGGGTGACAGAGCAAGACCCTGTCTCAAAAAAAAAAAAAAAAAAAAAAAGGTAAATCCCAGAAAACCCAATGACACTAATTTAAAGGAAGATTCTTTGGTTCGTGTAATGGAAAGTTCGGGGGTAGTGCTGTGATTTGGATAGGGGGTGTTTGTCTCCACCAAAACTCATGTTGCAATTTGATCTCCACTGTGGCAGTGTTGGGAGGCGGGGCCTAGTGGGAGGTGTTGGGCTATGGAGGTGAATCCCTCATGAATGGCTTGGAAGTGCTACCCTCTCACCAGTGAGTGAGTTCTTGCTGTCACTCTCGTGAGACTGAATTGGTTCTCCATCTAACTCATTGCTGTGAGAGTGGGTTATTATAAAGCTATGATGACCTTCAGGTTTTCCCCTTTTTTGCAGTCTCCCTTCTGTTTTCCCTTTTCCTGCGTGTGGTGATGCAACGTGCAAGCCCTTGCCAGAAGTCAAGGCCATCCCTTTAAATGTCTCAGACTGCAGAGCTATAAAATGAAATAAGTCTCTTTTCTTTATACATTACCCAGTTGCAGGTATTCTTTTATAGCAACACAAAATGGACTAAGACAAGTAGAGTGGGTTTCAGGTGAAGCTTGATCCAGCCACTTAGCTCTATCACTGGGATCCAGAATCCCACAGCACCTGCTCCTCTTTCTATATGGACGTACTCCCCAGAATGACCACCCCACATCCAGGTATCCATCACCTTTTAGCTCAAGTATCTGGACCAACAGGAACATCCTGTGTCTCTTGATTCACGTTTCTGAGGGAGGGAATCCAGTACCCAGGCTCATCCTTTTGGGGCATGTATCTGAACTCATGTTCGTGGCCAGTGAGTGAATGGTCTCTCCGGGGTCCGGTGTCCATAGCTTGTTCAGTCATCAGTGGCCAGACCATGTGGGTCACGTGCCTCCTCCACCTGATTGGAGATAGGGTGTCTGAGAAGGGGTCACAAACAGGTCAGTCACCCCAATACCTTCCCAGAGAAGTCAGGACTCAGCTGGTGATTATCCGAGGACCCCATAACTCCTCCCTGGCCTGGAAACCACCCAAAGAGGCCTATTTTGGTCTTAATTTGTAATTTTGGGAGAATTTTAAGTTTGGTTCTGGTTAGAATTTTTTTTTTTTTTTTTTTTTGAGACGGAGTTTCGCTCTTGTCACCTAGGCTGGAGTGCAATGGTGTGATCTCGGCTCACTGCAACCTCTGCTTCCAGGGTTCAAGTGATTCTTCCGCCTCAGCCTCCCGAGTAGCTGGGATTACAGGTGCCTGCCACCACGCCTGGCTAATTTTTGTATTTTTAGTAGAGATGGGGTTTTGTCATGTTAACCAGTCTGGTCTCAAACTCCTGACCTCAGGTGATCCACCCCCTTCAGCCTCCCAAAGTGCTGGGATTACAGTTGTGAGCCACCGCACCCGGCCCTGGTTAGAATTTTCATGCCTGGATATTTCCTGATGTTTTGTTTCTGGTTCATTCAGGAGGAGAAATTCAGACTTCGGTTCAGGAAATGGTTTTAATCACTGTCCCCAAGAAATCGGCCAACAAGCACATGTGTCCACCATCAGGTGGAAAACCCAGAATCATTTTCAGATGGCTGTTAACCAGCGGCAGGGTGGCTTCTGCAAGCAAATGCTGCATTATTATTTTTTTTCTTTCATACCAGGAAAAGGGTTTTATCTTCAAAACAATGTATCCACGTCACTAATCGGTCTGGAAGAACTTGTTTGGCCAAATTTAGAATCCACAATAAGGTCAGAGAGAATAAATTTAGAACTGAACTCTGAGCTCTCAGGGCCAACAGTTCCGTTTGGCACTGGGTACTTGCTAACTCCATCTGCCACCTAGAGCTTGATTGTATTTCCCCTTTACCTCCCAGGTCCACCAGAATTTGCAGGATAACGTAGCCTTGGAGAGTAAGACCTGGCATCTAAACCTGTCTTCACCATTTATAAGCTATGTGACTCTAGGAACGTGTTTCATCTCTCTGAGCCTTAGTTTCATCATCTTTTAAAGAAGGCTGGAGGGTAATAATAACATCTTATAAAATAACATGTAAAGATTGATTATAATTTTTTTTTTTTGAGACAGAATCTCGCTCTGTTTCCCAGGCTGCAGTGCAGTGGGGCAATTACAGCTCACTGTAACCTTGATCTCTTGAGTCTAATCAATCCTCCCACCTCAGCCTCCTGAGTAGTAGGCATATACCACCACACCTGGCTAATTTTTAAAAAGTTTTATTTTGTAGAGATAGGATCTCACTCTGTTGTCCAGGCTGGTCTCAAACTCCTGGGCTCGAGCGATCCTCCCACCGTGGTCTCCCAAAGTGCTGGGATTACAGGTGTGAGCCACCTCGCTCAGTCCAACCATTCTGATTTCTGTCTCTGAATTTGAGTATTCTAGGAACCTCATATAAAAGGATCATACATCACTTGTCCTTGTGTGATGGGCATATTTTCTTATCATAATGTCTTCATGGTTCATCCATGTTGTCGTATGGGTCAACATTTTCTTCCTTTTTAAGGCTGAATAATATCTCATTGCATATATACACACCACATTTTGTTTATCCATTCATCTGTCAATGGACATTTGGGTCTCTTGCACCTTTTTGCTATGATGAATAATGTGGCTATGAATATAGATGTACAAATATTTGTTAGAGTCCCTGCTTTCGCTTCTTTTGGGTACATACCCAGAAGTTTGATTAAAACATTTTATGGAGGCTGGGTATGGTGTCTCACACCTGTAATCCCAGTACTTTGGGAGGCCGAGGTAGGAGGAGCACTTGAGCCCAGGAGTTTGAGACCAGCCTGGGCAATATACCGAGGCCCTGTTACTACAAAAAAATAAAAATAAAAAAAAATTAGCCAGGCATGGTGGTGCACCTGGAGTCCTAGCTACTTAAGAGAGAGGCTGATGCAGAAAGATCCCTTGAGCCCAGGAGTTCAAGGCTGTAGTGAGGTATGATCGCATCACTGCACTCCAGCCTGGGCAACAGGCAAGACCCTGTCTCTCAAAAAAAAAAAAAAAAAAAAAAGTAAAAGACATTTACCCTATGCTTGGCATGTAGTAAACACTCAACACATTGTAGCCAATAAAACTAGTATTAGAAAAATACTGGGTGAAATTTTTTTAATGCAGATTTAAGAATGAGATGTCATTTTGCCTGTCAAATTAACAACAACTAAAAGGTAATAATCCTCAATGCAGCTGGGATGTGGTAAGATGGGTTCTCTCTCTCTTTCTCTCTTTTTTTTTCTGAGAAGAGTCTCACTCTGTTGCCCAGACTAAAGTGCAGTGGTGTGATCTCAGCTCACTGCAACCTCCACCTCCCAGGTTCAAGCAATTCTCCTGCCTCAGCCTCCCAAGTAGCTGGGATTACAGGCACATGCCACCAGGCCTGGCTAATTTTTGTATCTGTAGTAGAGATGAGGTTTTGCCATGTTGGCCAGGCTGGTCTCGAACTCCTGACCTCAAGTGATCCACCTGCCTAGGTCTCCTAAAGTGCTAGGATTATAGGTGTGAACCACCATGCCCAGCCTCTCTCTTTCTTTGTGTGTGTGGAGAGATGGGGTCTCACTATGTTGCCAAGGCTGGTCTTGAACTCCTGGGCTCAAGTGATCCTCCCACCTTGGCCTCCCAAAGTGTTGGGACTATAGGCATGAGCCACCTCGCTTGGCCACAGGGTTCTCTCATACACATCTGTAGGTAATCTTTCTCGAAAGCAACTTGCAGTGCTAAGTATGGTATATCAAGGCTCTTGGAAGTGATCATACTATTTGACCAACAATTTAACTTCTGAGAATTCATCCTAAAGACAGAGCCTCAAACATAGACCAAGATTTGAGTCTGGAGGTGTTTATCACAGCAATCTTTATAATATTTCGGAAGCAACTTCTATTTCCATCCATAGGAAACGGTTTAAAAACTAATGTAGGGATGGGCCCCCAATGGACTATTTTGCAGTCATTAGAAATGCTTGTGAGTTGGCCGGGCACGGTAGCTCACGCCTGTAATCCCAGCACTTTGGGAGGCCGAGGTGGGCGGATCATGAGGTCAGGAGTTCGAGACCAGCCTGACCAACACGATGAAACCCCGTCTCTACTAAAAGTACAAAAATTAGCCGGGCATGGTGGTGGGTGCCTGTAATCCCAGCTACTCAGGAGGCTGAGGCAGGAGGATCATTTGAGCACAGACAGGAGTTTGAGGCCAGCCTGGGCAACACAGCAAGACTCTGCCTCTAAAATGAGGCAGTGAAACAGGAAACTGTATACGCTATACTGTTTTATGAAAAAGAAGATAAAAAATTGTATATATTTCTCCTATAAAATAGGTACCATTTGCATTTATTGTTGCTGAACCTTCACTAAGCTCTATATATACTTTCTCTTGTTTACTCCTCCCAACAATCAAAGAGGCAGGCACTATTATTACACCATTTGACAGATGAGGAAACAGAGGTTCCAAGTGGTGACATGATTCTCAGGGTTACACAGCCAGCAAGTGGCAGAGCTAGGATTCAAACCCAGGCCCCTCGACTCCAAAGAGTAGAAAAGGAAAGGACAGCCTGGCCAACATGGTGAAACCCCGTCTCTACTAAAAATACAAAAATTAGCCGGGCATGGTGATGCGGGCCTGTAGTCCCAGCTGCTCAGGAGGCTGAGGCAGGAGAATCGCTTGAACCCAGGAGGTGGAGGTTGCAGTGAGCCAAGATCGCATGCTACTGCACTCCAGCCTGGGCAACAGTGAGACTCCGTCTCAAAAAAAAAGAAAAAAAGAAAAAAAAAGGAAACAATTCTGCAGTCAAGCCTAACCTAACCATAGGAGTGATTTTTACTTTCTTCTTCATACTTGTATTTTTTTCCCAAACTGGGAGGAGGTAGAGGGAGCAATTTACTAGATAAAAAGGGAAAGAAACAATTGCTAGTTTCAAGCAGGCATCTTTGAAGATAAAACATGAAGGTCTCGTGCCTCATGCCACGAACTCAGTTCGTGTTCATCTTTTTTCTGGTTAAAGAAGAGCAGAGTGTCCTGGCTGAGTCTTTTGGCTGATTGCTTAATAATGGGAGGGTGTGCTGTGGACACACACACACACACACACACACACACACACACAGCCCACGCTAACCGAGACAGGAGGGAGACAAAACCCAGCAGTAGCCAAAACTCTGCTAGATCGATGCAGACTGTTACAGGCGCAGCTTTCCAAAAAGCAGAGCTCAGTGAAATAAATATTTTTCCTGTGAGAAGAGGCTTAAGTCGGCGATCTTAACAACCCCCCAATTCATTCCAGATTCACTCGGTGCAGCTGTCGTCAGCGCGCCCATCTTGATACACTTAGGATTGCTTGGTAACTGCAGTGAGCCCGTGTGTCTGGCTGCTTTCACCCACTGGGCAGTGTGCCCTGGGGCGCTGGGCAGGGGGACAAGAAGGAGTTTGTCCCTGGGGAACCCTATTCCCACCCCGTCTCAGCTCCCCACAACTTCTGGGGGTTTGTCACTTTGTTTCCCCTTGTAAAACCACTATTTAATCTAAACTGGAGGCCTGAGAACGCAACCTCTTCTTGGCAAAAGGCTCCATTCTCTTAGTCCTGGAGACAATATGCAGGAAGAATGTACAGTCAGGGACTCAGGAAACATACAAATGAAAAGTCTGGGTTACCTCAAAAAGCGGGAGCTTCGCTACCCAGGGAGAAATTCGTTGATGAGTTCATTTACTTGCTCACTCAACAATGGTTGGCCGGGTGCAGTGGCTCACGCCCATAATCCCAGCACTCTGGGGGGCCTAGTTGGGCAAATGGATGGCTTGAGGCCAGGAGTTTGAGACCAGCCATGGCAACATGGTGAAACCCCATCTCTACTAAAAATACAAAAAGTAGCTGGTGTGGTGGTGCGTGCCTGTAGTCCCAGCTACTCGGGGAGTTGAGGTGGGAGAATCACCTGAGTTTGGGAAGTTGAGGCTGCAGTGAGTGGTGATGGCACCACTGTACACCAGCCTAGGCAAAAGATTGAGATGCTGTCTCAAAAAACAAAAAGACAAAAAAACAAAAAAACCCCACCAAACACACACAAAAAGCAATGTTTAATTGAATCACCTCCTAAGTGTAAGATGTGGAACAAAGCTGATATAAGAGAGGACAAAGCCACTGGAGATACAGATTCATTCATTCGTTCATGGATGTTTGCTGAGTGCCTCCTATGTGTTAGGTCCTGTCCTCTTAGTGCTGGGGACTTAGCAGTGAACCACGCAGACAAAAACTCTGCCTCCTGGGAGCTTGCAGTGAGCCGAGATTGCGCCACTGCACTCCAGCCTGGGTGACAGAGCAAGCCTCCATCTCAAAAAAAAAAAAAAAAAAAAAAAAAACTCTGCCTCCTGGGAGAGTCATGAGGTCAGGAGTTCGAGACCAGCCTGGCCAACGGAGTGAAACCCCATCTCTACTAAAAATACAAAAATTAGTTGGGCATGATGGCAGGCACCTGTAGTGCCAACTACTTGGGAGGCTGAGGCAGGAGAATCACTTGAACCCGGGAGGTGGAGGTTGCAGTGAACCGATATTGCGCCACTGTACTCCAGCCTGGGAGACAAGAGAGAAATTTCATCTCAAAAAAAAAGGAAAGAAAAAGAAAAAACCCTGCTTCCTAGTACTTGCCCCCTAGCACTTCTAGTTGGGGTGACAAACACCAGACAAGGACAAGGTAATGTTTGGAATGTCAGATGGTATTAAATGCTAAAGAGAAAAATAAAGCAGGAAGAGGGAATTGGGAGACGGGGTCCCGGTGGTCACACTTACAGATAAGGGGCCAGGAAAGGTCTCATGAGAGGGTATATTGAAGTCACAACCTGCAGGAGATGAGGAGAGCGCATTAAATAACAGTGACCTCTGGATCATGCAAGCCCCTTTTCAATGATCTTTCAGCACTGATTATGCCAGTGAGAAATATCCGAGGCGGATGGATTGTTTGACTCCAGGAGTTTGAGACCAGCCTGGGCAACATGGCAAAACCCTGTCTCTACAAAAAAATTCAAAAAGTAGCCAAGTGGGTGGTGCATGCCTGTAGTCCCACCTACTTGGGAGGCTGAGGTGGGAGAATTGCTCAAACCCGGGAGGCAGAGGTTTCAGTGAGCCAAGATGGCACCACTGCACTCTAGCATGGACAACAGAGGGAGACCCTGTCTCGAAAAAAAAAAAAATTAGCCAAGTGTGGTGGCATACGCCTGTAATCTCAGGAGGCTGAGGCAGGAAAATCGCTTGAACCCAGGAGGCAGAGGTTGCAGTGAGCCAAGATTGTGCCACTGCACTCCAGCCTGGGTAATAGAGGGAGGCTGTCTCAAAAAAAAAAAAAAGTATACAATTTAGTGTTTTTTTCTTTTTTTTGGCATATTCACAAAGCTGTGCAACCATCACCACTATCTAAATCCAGAGCAGTTTTACCCCAGAAAGAAACCCCATACCTATTAGTAATGACTCCCATTCTCCCCTCCCTCAACTTCTGGCAATGACTGATCCACTTTCTGTCTCTCTGGATTTGCCTGCTCTGGACTTGCTTGTCCGTGGAGCCATACCTTCTGTGGCCTGCTGGTTCTGGCTTCTTTCACTTAGCATACCGTTTTCAAGGTTCATCTGTCTCACAGCATGCATCAGGGCTTGGTCCCTTTTATATGGCCCTATAGTGTCCCTTTGTATGGCTGTCCCACATTTTGTTTACCCACTCATCAGCTGATAAATATTTGAGCTGTTTTTACTTCTTGGCTACTATGAGTAATGCTGCTCTGAATGTCTGTGTATGGGTTTTGCGTGGACATATGTTAACATTCCTCTTGGATGTATACTTAGGAGTGGAACTGCTGGGTCGTATTTACATTTAACCATTTGCTTAATTTCATACTTAACCATTTGAGGAACTGCCAAGCTGTTTTCCAAAGCAGCTGCGCCCTCTTACATGTCACCAGTAGCGTACCAGGGTTTCAGTTGCCCCACATCCTCTCCAGCGCTTGCTGTGGTCTGTCTTTTGGATGACGACCGCCCTCGTGTATGTGCAGTGGTATCTCCCCAGGGATTTGAGCTGCATGCTCAGCCGTCAGGACTTCGGTCAAGGCTGTGCTTATGGGTATAGAGAGGGCTTGGTGATTTCTTTTTTCTTTTCTTTTCTTTCTTTCTTTTCTTTTCTTTTCTTTTTTTTTTTTTTTTTTTTTTTGAGACAGAATCTCTCTCTGTCGCCCAGGCTGGAGTGCCGTGTTGCAATCTCGGCTCACTGCAACCTCCACCTCCCAGGCTCAAGCGATTCTATTGTCTCAGCCTCCCAAGTAGCTGGGATTACAGGCGCCCGCCACCACGCCTGGCTAATTTGTGTATTTTCAGTAGAGATGGGGTTTCACCATGTTGGCCAGGCTGGTCTTGAATTCCTGACCTCAAGTGATTCACCTGCCCCAGCCTCCCAAAGTGCTGGGATTATAGGCATGAACCACCATGCCCAGCCTCGGTGATTTCTTGAGTGACAGTCGGTGGGGCCTCAGGGTTTGGAGCCTGGGAGGACTTGGGGGTGGGATAGGCCTGGGGAGAGTACATGCCAGGGACAGAACTGGGAGACTGGACCCACCCTTTTCCTGGGCCCAGGGCCACCTCCTCCCTTACAGGTGTAAGGCCTTGGCCTCAGGCTTCATGTAGATCAAGAGAAAGAGGTTCCACAGCAGAACCCTAAATGCAAATGCTTCCTCAGGGAAGCCAGTGCAAAGGAAGTCTTGAGGAGGGAGCTCCACTCAGGCCTGTGCCAGACTCCGAGGGGGAGTTCAAAGACCTAAGGTCTTGTCTTTGCCCCGCCATGTCCACAATAACATAACACATGTACCATCTACTTTCCCTGAAGTTGTGGTTTTCTGTTCAGGTTCCTGATTCCCTAATTGGCCTGTAGCTCCCAGAGCAGCAGATCTGGGCTCCTCCCCCTCTTCTCTGGTGTGTAGGCAGTGCATTGAAGAACACAGGTGCATTGGTGTTAGTTCTCAGCTCGTTTCTAATGTTTAACATATACAGTGTTTCTTGAGCTATTACTATGTGTCCTTACGATGCATACCCTGCTCTGATGATTTCCATGCATTTTATTTCCACTGCTATTTCACAGATGAGGAAACCGAGGATATAAGAGGTGAGGAAGGGAGTGTGGACAACGTTCCACAGCCAGTGGATGGAATTGCCAAGATTCGAACACCGTTCCATCTGACTCCAGAGCCCTTGTCTCTAACCACCAGACTATAGTGGGAGGGTAGATTGAGTAGGGGCCTTCCATTCTCAGGCTTCCTTGACAGAGTATGTATTGGTTTTCTATTGCTGTGTAACAAATGATCCCAGACCCAGCAGCTTAAAACAATATCCATGTATGAGCTCACAGCTGTGTTGGTCCAGAGTCTGGCATGGCTGAGTTCTCTGCTCATCGCAAGGCTGAAATGCAAGATGTTGGTCCGGCTGAGTTCTTGTCTGGAGGATCTGGGGACAAATCCACTTCCAAGGTCATTCAGTTCCGTGTGGCCATAGGACTGAGGTCCCCATTTCCTTCCTAGCTGTCACTGGGGGGCTGCTTTCAGCTTCTAGAGGCCTCCTGTATTGGCCACCTTCACCTCCAAAGCCTGCAATGGAAAATCTCTCTCACGCTGAATCCCTCTCATACTTTGAATCTCCTTGGCCAGTAAGAGCCAACAGGAGGCTGAGGCAGGAGAACTGCTTGAACCCGGGAGGCAGAGGTTGCAGTGAGCTGAGATCATGCCACTGCACTCCAGTCTAGGTGACAGAGCGAGACTCGGTCTCAAAAAAAAAACAAAAAACAAAAAGCCAGTCCTGTTTGAGGGCTCTCTGATTAGGTCAGGCCCACCCAGGCTAATCTCCCTTTTGTCATATAAGGTAACCATGGCAGTCAGATCATAATATTCACAGGTTCTGCCCACAATCAAAGGGGTGGAACCTGTGAGTATTACGGGTTAGAGAAGTCGAGCGTCTTTGGGATCATCTTAATATTCCACTCACTGAGACTGGGGAAGGTCTTGGGTGCTGATAATAACAATAGCAATAGTGATATTGGTACTTCTTTTCCTTTGCTTAGAACTTTGTGGATTACAGACTGATTATACATCTGTAATCCTGCAGGAGACTGTGATGGACTGAATGTTTGGGTCACTCTAAAATTCATATGTTGAGGTTGGATGTGGTGTCTCACATCTGTAATCCCAACACTTTGGGAGGCCAACGTGGGCAAATCACTTAAGCTCAGGAGTTTGAGACCAATCTGAGCAACACGGTGAAATCTCGTCTCTACTAAAAGTACAAAAAGTTAGCCAGGTGTGGTGGTGCACACCTGTGGTCCCAGCTACTCAGGAGGCTGAGGTGGGAGGATTGTTTGAGCCCGGGAGGTGGAGGTTGCAGTGAGCAGAGATTGCGCCACTGCACTACAGCCTGGCAACACTGTGTGAGATGCCATCTCAAAAAAAAATTCCTATGTTGAACCCAAACCCCCGTGCTGTGATTAGGAGGTGGGGCCTTTGGGAGGTGAATAGATCTCGAGGGTGGAGGCCTGGTGAATGGGATTAATGGGATTAGTGCTCTTATAACTTCCAGAGTGTTCTCTTGCCTCTTCCCTCCACGTGGGGATGAAATGAGAGGACCATAGTCTGCAACCTGGAAGAGGGCCCTCACCAGAACCTTACCATGCAGTCACCCTGATCTCCAACTCCTCGCTTCCAGAACCATGAGAAATAACCCCCAGCCCCACTCCCCGACCCACCAGCTTATGGTTCTCTGTTACACACAGACTGCAGGCTATAAAGTATGTGCCTGTATCCCCATTTCACCCATGAGGGGAGTACAGCTCAGACAGGAGACTGCCTAGTTAGCCCGGCTGGGGCTGGAGCCCAGATCTTTTGACCCCAGGCCAGGGCTTTTGGCGCCCAGATCATCCCCTGCCCCCATTGGAAGCCTCAAACCTCATTACCGTCCTTGGAAGGGGGCAAAGTATCTGCTTCCAGCCAGCCTAGCCCTCAGGGAGCGCTTCCCTGTAAACTCACCCCATTGGGTCATCCAAATGGCTTTTACAGGAATTGCCACTGGGCTGAGCGAACCTCACCTCATTAAGCAGGAAAAGCAATAAAGCCTGAGGGCTGCAGAATCAGAATAGTTCCTGGGCAGGAAGGGCCCAGTCCCTGTGGGTGGGGGTGGGGGACAGGCAGGCTGGGCCAGGCCTGGCTGCATGGCCAAGACCAGGGGTCCATGCTCTCCAGAGGGAAAGTGTCAGGACTGTCACCATTGTCCCACCTCTGAGTGTGCCAGGCATCCTTCCCAGGGGCCTACATCTTTTCTTTTTTTTGAGATGGCTTGCTCTGTAGCCAGGTTGGAGTGCAATGGCATGATCTCAGCCCACTACAAACTCTGCCTCCTGGGTTTGAGCGATTCTCCTGCCTCAGCCTCCCGAGTAGCTGGGATTACAGGTACCCACCACCACCCCTGGCTAATGTTTGTATTTTTAGTAGAGACGGGGTTTCGC
Source organism: Homo sapiens (assembly GCF_000001405.40). Taxonomy (NCBI): domain Eukaryota; kingdom Metazoa; phylum Chordata; class Mammalia; order Primates; family Hominidae; genus Homo; species Homo sapiens. The sequence goes on along the minus strand of NC_000020.11, from coordinate 50,649,263 downwards.
CATGTTGGCCAGGCTGGTCTCCAACTCCTAACCTCAGGTGATCTGTCCATCTTGGCCTCCCAAAGTGTTGGGATTACAGGTGTGAGCCATTGTGCCCTGCCTCTAATTCAATACCGTCATATCCTTATAAGAAGAGGAAGAGCTGTGAAGACAGAGACACTGGGAAGCACCATGGGACAACAGAAGCAGAGATTGGCGTCATGCAGCTACAAGACCAGAAATGCCAAGGATTGGTAGCCATCACCAGAAGCTAGGAAGAGGCAAGGAAGGATTCTTTCCTAGATCCTTTAGAGCAAGGGTTCCCAACCCCTGGGCCATGGACTTGTACTTGTCCATGGTCTGTTAGGAACTGGGCCACATAGCAGGAGGTTAGCAGCAGGCAGGTAAGCGAAGCTTCATCTGTATTTAGAACCACTCCCCATTGCTTGTGTTACCTCCTGTCTGATCAGTGGAGGCGTTCAATTCTCACAGGAGCACGAACCCTATTGTGAACTACGCATGCGAGGGATCTCGGCTGCATGCTCCTTATGAGAATCTAATGCCTGATGATCTGTCACTGTCTCCATCACCCCCAGATGGGACCATCTAGTTGCAGGAAAACAAGCTCAGGGCTCCCACTGATTCCACATTATGGAATGTGAGTTGTATAATTATTTCATTATATATTACAATGTAGTAGTAGAAATAAAGTGCACAATGAATGTAATGCACTTGAATCACCCCAAAACCACCCACCCAACCCCCACCCTGGTCAGTGGAAAAATTGTCTTCCACAAAACTTGTCCCTGGTGCCAAAAAGGTTGGGGACCGCTGCTTTAGAGGGAGCATGGCCCTGCCGACACCTTGATTTGGACTTCTAACCTCCAGAACTGCAAGACAATAAGTTTCCCTTGTTTGAAGCCACCCAGTTTGTAGTATTTTTTTTTTTTTTTACAGCAGCCCCAGGAAACCATAGAGTACCCTGGATTTTTTTCTTTCTTTTTTTTAGAGATGGAGTGTTGCTATTGTCACCCAGGCTGGAGTGCAGTGGCATGATCTCAGCTCACTGCAACCTCTGCCTCCCAGGTTCAGGCAATTCTCCTGCCTCAGTCTCCCGAGTAGCTGGGATTACAGGTGCCCACCAACACACCCAGCTAATTTTTATATTTTTAGTAGAGATGGGGTTTCTCCATGTTGGTGAGGCTGGTCTAAAACTCCTGACCTCAGGTGATCCACCCGTCTTGGCCTCCCAAAATGCTAGGATTGTAGGCATGAGCCACCGCGCCTGGCCACTACCCTGGATTTTAACCTTAGCAGCACAAAGTGGTAGGATAAGCTATAAATTATATTTTGTGTTTTCCTTTTAATGAAGAGAAAAAGAGCAAGTCCTCGCAACTGAAAGTAACTGTAAGATAATTTCAGTGGCTTCCAATGTATAGATGAGGAACTGGAGGCTCAAAGAGGATAAGTGACTTGTCCAAGGTCACATAGTGAGAATGAGGTGGCCGGGTGCGGTGGCTCATGCCTGTAATCCCAGCACTTTGGGAGGCCGAGGCGGGTGGATCACGAGGTCAGGAGATCGAGACCATCCTGGCTAACACGGTGAAACCCTGTCTCTACTAAAAATACAAAAAATTAGCCGGGCATGGTAGCGGGCGCCTGTAGTCCCAGCTACTTGGGAGGCTGAGGCAGGAGAATGGCGTGAACCCGGGAGGCGGAGCTTGCAGTGAGCCGAGATTGCGCCACTGCACTCCAGCCTGGGTGACAGAGCAAGACTCCATCTCAAAAAAAAAAAAAAAAAAAAAAGAGAATGAGGCAAAGGCTAGACTTGAACTTCTGTTGACTCCAAGGCCTCTGCTCACCTCTGTGTCAGTCTGTGGGTGTGTATCTCACAGGTTATTGGCATGTCTGCAAAGAGTCCCAAAATCCTGGTCCCCAGACGTCACTTTTCTTTTTTTTCTTTTGAGATGGAGTTTCGCTCTTGTCGCCTAGGCTGGAGTACAGTGATGCGATCCTGGCTCACTACAACCTCCGCCTCCCGGGTTCAAGTGATTCTCCTGCCTCAGCCTCCCAAGTAGCTGGGATTACAGGCGTCCGCCACCACGCCTGGCTAATTTTTGTATTTTTAATAGAGACAGGGTTTTGCCATGTTGGCCAAGCTGGTCTTGAACTCCTGACCTCAAGTGATCCGTCCGCCTCGGCCTCCGAAAGTGCGGATTACAGGTGTGAGCCACCACGCCCGGCCCCCTTTTCTTTTTCACATGAGCTCAAAACTTAGTACTGTCCTTTTTCTTATGGGAACTACCTATGCTAGCCACATTTCCTGTAATATGAGCCCCTATGAAGCAAGCCTTCTTTCCCTGGTGATCTTTATTACAAAATTGGAGATGCATTCCCAACGAAATCATCTCCCAGTAGACCCAAGCAAGAATGTTTGGCAAATAAGAAATTAATTAATAAACAGCTTGTAGTACACAAACTTTAGTGTCTGCCTGGAATATTTTGCAACACTTTTGGAAACTCTAGAATTACAATCCCAGCACAAGCTGTTTATTTCAGGCTGTTAGGCCACATACATATCTCATATGCTTGAGAATCTAGTGACTCCACTCTGAGCATCAGGAATGGAGCCCCTGTTCCTTTTGTGTGGGCATTTATAGTGGCTGGTAGAGCAGGGTTGCAATACCTGGGGAGACCAGGAGGGGGTCTGCTTCCAACAGGAAATGGATTTAAGGCTAAAGGTTCTTGAAATTCAAGGCTTTGGGTTCTAGAAAATAAGTCTGTTCCTTTGGGAGGAAATCCACTTTCCTCATGATGTAGGTTAACCATCTGACTTAAAGTTGCTCAGTCCTGGGCCACGCACAGTGGCTCCCACCTGTAATCCCAGCACTTTGGGAGGCCCAGGAGGGTGAATCGCTTGAGCTCAGGAGTTTGAGACCAGACTGGGCAACATCACAGCAAAACCCTTTCTCTAACCAAAGATACAAAAATTCCCCTGGCATGGTGGTACACACCTATGGTCCCGGCTACTCAGGAGGCTGAGGCAGGAGGATCACTGGAGCCTAGGACATTGAGGTTGCAGTGAGCTGTGACCGCACCACTGCACTCCAGCCTGGGCGACATAGTGAGAACCTGTCTATAAATAAATAAATAAATACATAAATACATGAAGTTGCTCAGTCCTGGGAATGGAACAAAGAAGATGTGAAAAAAAATCTGACTTTTCTGCCTCCCTGCATAGATCCTGCCCCAGGGAGGCGCTTTAGCTGGGGTCAGAGTGCCTGGAACAGTCTCCCTCTCCAATAGGCACCAGGATGAAAAAGAAACTGCATATTTCACTGTCAAAAGAAAAACCAGAACAGCAGGCCGGCTTGATGTGTCTCTTGTAAATTGTTTACCTCTGGAGGACCAGATGGCTCATCTCTTGTTGAACCCTTGACCACTTCCCGTGCTGTTAACAGCCTCCACTAGCAAACAGACCCGGCTCCACCGGCTCACGTGGCTGTGCGGGAGTCCCAAGGCCGGCTGGCCTGTGGGGAGTTGTGGGCATTCCAGAGGGTTGACTCAGCAGTCCTGGGCTCCGGATGCTTGAGGAAATGCAAGACAGGAAGGATCTAGGTTAGGCAAATGGTCAGGTGTGGCAGGGATGGACAGCAGCTGGAGGGAGCGGGGATGGGCTTGAACTGCGCATGCCCACAGGGTTCCCAGTGCCCTTAGGCTATGGCCCTAGCGCCTCACCCTTCTAACGTAGGGTCCTTCTAACGTAGTCCCCATTCACCTCACTCGCTCACCTCTTACCACTCAGATGCCTTTGAATGTCAGCCTCTCCCCCGGCCCCACCTCGCCCTGGCTACGTGTTGGGTGGAGTGGGAGAGGCCGCATCTCCCTGCTGCCTTACAGACCTGGGAGAATCCGCAGACACAGGATGGATTGCGAACAGGCTCTGTCCTATGACATGAGCTGGCTGTGATTTATTTTTGAGGGATAGGAACGGGACACAACGGTGCTCCTGCCTTCCTGGGCAGGGGTAGCGAGCTTTTGGCCGTCCCTGCCTGGGCTCCATCCTTAGACACCACAGAACAAGGCCTCTCTGGAGCTGGCTGCTGGGATTTTTTTGTAAACTACTGTATAATAAGAAATGGGGGCCAGGCGCAGTGGCTCATGCCTGTAATCCCAGCACTTTGGAAGGCTGAGGCAGGCGGATTGCCTGAGGTCAGGAGTTTGAGACCAGGCTGGTCAACATGATGAAACCCTGTCTCTACTAAAAATACAAAAAAATTAGCTGGGCTTGGTGGCGTGTGCTTGTAATCTCAGCTACTCGGGAGGCTGAGGCCGGGGAACTGCTTGAACCACGGAGGTGGAGGTTGCAATGAGCCAAGATTGCGCCCCTGCACTCCAGTCTGGGTGACAAGAGCGAAACTCCGTCTCAAAAAAAAAAAATAAAAAATAAAAAATAAATAAAAGGGCTGGGTGCAGTGGCTCACACCTGGAATCCCAACACTTCGGGAGGTTGAGGTTGAGGATCGCTTGAGCCCAGGAGTTTGAGAATAGTCTGGGCAACATGGTGAAACTCCGTCTCTACAAAAAAAAAAAAAAAAAAAAAAAAAAGCAAACAAAAAAAAACAAAACAGAAATTAGCCGGTCATGGTGGCACATGCCTGTAGTCCCAGCTACTCAGGAGACTGAGGTGGGAGGATTGCTTGAGCCCGGGAGGCAGAGGTAGCAGTGAGCCAAGATTGCACCACTGCACTCCAGCCTGGTGATAGGGCCAGATCTTGCCTCAAAGAAAAAAAAGAAAAGAAAAGAAATATGTACCAATCCAGGTTATAAAAAGTATTTCATGTTTATATTAAACAAATTAATGCATTTAACATGTATACATGTGCTCCTTGAGAAACTAAAGTGGTAATTTGTTTCTGTGCACAAGAAAAGACTAGAATTAACATATCTATTTTAGCAGTTATAAAATACTGTTTTTAGTGTCAAAAATGTGCCTTAAGAATTTTCGGTTGGGGTCAGGTGCAGTGGCTTATGCCTGTAATCCCGGCGCTTTGGGAGGCTGAGCTGGGAGGATTACATGAGGCCAGGAGTTCCAAACCAGCCTGGGCAATATAGTGACAAACTAAGGGACATTTTTATTTTTTATTTATTTTTAAATTTTTTTAGAGATGTGGTCTCATTCTGTTGCCCAGGCTGGAGTGCAGTGGCACAATCCTGGCTCACTGCAGCCTTGAACTCCTGGGCTCAAGAAATCCTCCTGCCTTAGCCTCCCAGCTGGGTGCGGTGGCTCACGCCTGTAATCCCAGCACCTTGGGAGGCTGAGGTGGGCGGATCACGAGGTCAGGAGATCGAGACCATCCTGGCTAACACGGTGAAACCCCATCTCTACTAAAAATACAAAAAATTAGCCGGGCACAGTGGCGGGCGCCTGTAGTCCCAGCTACTTGGGAGGCTGAGGCAGGAGAATGGCAGAATGGCGTGAACCCGGGAGGCGGAGCTTGCAGTGAGCCGAGATTGCACCACTGCACTCCAGCCTGGGCGACAGAGTGAGGCTCCATCTCAAAAAAAAAAAAAAAAAGAAAGAAAGAAAGAAATCCTCCTGCCTTAGCTGGGACTACAAGTACATACCACCATGCTCAGCTAATTTTTCAACATTTATTTTTAATTAAAACAATTTATTTATGAGTGACCATGACCCAAGACATAGCCTCAGGGGGTCCTGAGAACATGTGCCCAACTTTTTTTTTCACTTCTTGTAGAGATGGGTCTCTCTGTGTTGCCCAGGCTGGTCTCAAACTCCTGGCTTTAAGCGGTCTTCCCACCTCGGCCTCCCAAAGTGGTGGGATTTGGCCAGACATGGTGGCTCACAGCTGTAATCCCCACACTTTGGGAGGCCAAGGCGGGAGGATCACTTGAGGTCAGGAGTTTGAGACCAGCCTGGCCAAGATGGTGAAACCCCAACTCTACTAAAAAAAAAAAAAAAACACACACAAAAATTAGCCTGGCCTAGTGGTGCACACTTGTAGTCCTAGCTACTTGGGAGGCTGAGGCGGGAGAATCACTGGAGCCTGGAGGCAAAGGTTGCAGTGAGCCAAGATCCAGCCACTGCACTTCCGCCTGGGCGACAGAGCGAGACTCCATCTCAAAAAAAAAAAAAAAAGTGCTGAGATTACAGGCTTGAGCCACTGCATCCAGCCCTGATGGACATTTTTCTATTCTTTTTGGGTTTTTTTTTTGAGATGGAGTTTCGGTCTTGTTGCCCAGTCTGGAGTGCAATGGTGCAATCTCGGCTCACCGCAACCTCTGCCTCCCGGGTTCAAGCAATTCTCCTGCCTCAGCCTCCTGAGTAGCTGGGATTACAGGCATGTGCCACTACGCCCGGCTAATTTTGTATTTTTAGTAGAGACAGGGTTTCTCCATGTTGGTCAGGCTGGTCTCGAACTCCTGACCTCAGGTGATCTGCCCGCTTTGACCTCCCAAAGTGCTGGGGTTACAGGCGTGAGCCACAGCACCTGGCCTCTGATGGATTTTTTTTTTTTAAATCACTGTGGTAATCATGTGGGGCAGAGGGTGAGAGGGAGGCAGAGATTGGTCCTGGCGAGCAGGGGTGGAGGCAGGAAGGAGGGGACAAATTCACGGTATTTCTGAGGAGCAGTGGAATCTCTTGACTAAGGCCTCATGGGGGGAGGGGGGAGATGGAGACATACCCTGGGGGACTTTGCAGCCTGGCTGGGAAGACAAGCTTCTCCCCCAGGGAATTAAACACCAGTGGTTAACAGATTAGCAACTTAATCTTAGAGACCAGAAAGCAGTTTCCAAATTGTAAAACACAGAAGGAAAACCTGTGACGGATTTGGCCACATAAGTATTTGAAGCTTGTATCTCTCTCCCTGTTTCTCTCTCTCTCACACACACACACACACACACACACACACACACCCACAGAGAACAATTTAAGATTAAAAGGTGAGGGGCTGGGAGAAAACTGAGAAAGGATGGTCATCTAGGATTTATCAGCCGCTCCCAGCAATCAAGAAGAAGAAGGCAGATAACTGGACAAAGGAATAGGCACTGAAAATTCCCAGAAGAGGAGATTGGGAAGCCGGTAAACCTAAGGAAATGTGCTTAATCTCATTAGGAATCAGGAAAATGCAAAGTAAACAAAGCCCCACCCCTAAGAGTAGTAGCCAAATGTAAAGGAGGGAAGTGGGAGCAGGAGGAGCCTCTCCCCCTGGGATGGGGAGGAGCCGGCCAGGTTCTGCGGAAGCAGAAGGGGGTGGGTGTACTACTGCCATGGCGCAAACACACATCCAAGGGCTCTGCAGGGGGCCCCACCCTTACCCCCCAGACCATTTCTAGGAGTAGGGGCTGAACAGGACCCAGTGGAGGCTACCGCCCTGCATTGGGAGGGTTAAGTAAGAGGCTGAAGGTCAAGTGAGAGGTCCTGCCGGGCACTTCCAGCGGCTCTGTCTCAGCCAGGCCAGTGGCCATGCGGAACTGGGAGCAAGGAGAGTGGGAGATAAAACCCTCAGTTTCAGTGGTTTAGCGTGGGAAACGCTAAAGTGATCTGTGTAACACAGCTCCTGGGTGGGGAAGAGATGGGGAAGGAGCCTGTGGCCTGGAGGTGGCTGGGGACAGATTCCCAGGATGGCTGGAAGGGGTCAAGGGCAGGGCCGTGCTATGACTTCCCTGGGCACCGAGCATCTTGGCCTGCAGTGGCCCTTCCAATAAGAAATAGGACCAGGTGTGGGGCTCACACCTGTAGTCCCAGCTACTCATGAGGCTGAGGTGGGAGGACTGCTTCAGTCCAGGAGTTGGAGGCTGCAGTGAGCTATGATCACACCACTGCACCCTGGCCTGGGCCACATAGAGAGACCCTGTCTCTAAAGAAATTTTAAAAAAATTAGCCGGGTGCAGTGGCACATACCTGTAGTCCCAGCTACTCAGGAGGCGGAGATGGGAGGATCGCTTGAACCCAGGAGGTCAAGGCTGCAGTGAGCTGTGATCCCACCACTGCACTCCAGCCTGGGTGATAGAGTGAGCCCTGTCTCTCTCTCAGAAAAAAAAAGAAGTGAGCCGGACGTGGTGGCTCACGCCTGTAATCCCAGCACTTTGGGAGGCCGAGGCAGGCGGATTACCTGAGGTCAGGAGTTTGAGACCAGCCTGACCAACATGGAGAAAATCTGTCTCTACTAAAAATACAAAAAATTACCCAGGCGTGGTGGTGCATGCCTGTAATCCCAGCTACTCAGGAGGCTGAGGCAGGAGAATTGCTTGAACCCAGGAGGCAGATGTTGCGGTGAGCCGAGATTGCGCCATTGCACTCCAGCCTGGGCAAAAAGAGCAAAGCTCCGTCTCAAAAAAAAAAAAAAAAAAGAAGTGCATATTACAACTTGCTATAACAATGAATACATTACTCTTATATAATAACACATTTTCTTTGACCTAAAGAACATTTTTTTGCCTTCTGATCCTAGAAGTAATTCACATGTGTTCGTGGGCGCATGCGTGGGCCTGTGCGTCTAATGGAGAGGTCACTGCAGAAAGGAAGCTCAGGGTTCTCCCAGGCAGCGGCAGGGTGTGGAAGTCTTTCTTTGCCTTTTTGACCGTTTTGTAGAGGGAAGCTGCTCTGCTGTCCAGCCCTGCGGAGGGGGGCAGGGTCTGTGTCCCCGAGATGACAGAGGGTTGGGGGCAGTTCATTCCAGTGACCAGTGGTTGGCCGAAGAGTGCTTTGGAGTTCAGCCCACCTGGGTTTGAATTTACATCCTCCCCGCATGGAGCTAAGCCTGACCAGTGCGTGTGTTCACCAAGCTCAGGCGTCTTTTGTTTGTGTGTTTTTGGATGGAAAGGGGAAGCAGCCCTTCACCCGGTCTCTCCTCCCTTGCAGCCGTGCCACAGGGCCAGGGTTGCAATGAAGGCAGGTCTCAGGCAGGTCTCGGCTCTGCTCTGGCAAACGGGCCCCAGAGGTCTGAGGAATCCAGCCAGCTCCTCCAAGCTCATGTCCTTGGTCTCAGACCTACAGGCTTTGTGCACATCCTAGGCTGGTGACAGCATGTGTGTGTGTCACGGCTGGAGTGGCAGAGGCCCTGTGGGAGCCGCAGACCCAGGGCCGCTCCGTAGGTGTCAGGCTGTGTGGTCTGCCAGAGTCCCACACCTGTTCGTGTGAGGGGAAGGTGCCCGAGCAATACTGTAGCCAACCAAATACCATAGTGTCTTCAATACTACTCATTTCGCCCATGGAAAATTATGCCTAAGCCACCATACGGGTTAATGAACCCTCCAGCCCAGGTCCGAAGAGATGCCTTTAGCACAGGGACGTGTGGCAGTGTCTGGAGATGTGCCAGGCTGTCACAGGCTGTGCTCCTGGTGTGGGGACACTGCTGAACACACAGGACAGCCTCCACAGCAAAGCATTACATGCTGAGGTCCAGGGACCCTCCCATAACCAATTCCAGAGTGAGGGCTTCTGATTGGAGAGCCCCACTCTGCGTGTCCCTTAGTCACTCCTGGGACCTAGGTCAGGCGTACACACACCTGCACCACACTGCCTATACACAAGCACTTTACCTGTATTGTATTTATTTATTTTTGGCTCATGGTGTTGCCCAAGCTGGCCTCAAACTTCCTGGGCTCAAGTGCTCCTCCTGCCTCAGCCTCCCAGGTAGCTGGGACTACAGGTGAGTGCCACTGCACCTGGATTTTTATGCAGGCGTTTTGGTGAGTCATTGGAGGTACAATGCTACCAACTTGCCACTTCAGGTGGCTCCATCTCGAGCCTCAGCCTCCTGGTCTGTACAATGGTAACAGTGCCCTGCCCCCGGGGAGCTGTGGGGGTGAGTGAGAGGCTGTGTGTCCAGCCCAGTGTCCGGGGTTTAGAAAGAGGGGTTCTGCTCAGCGGGGGCAGAGCTCAGGCTTGAGGCCAGACTTCCTGGGTACCAGGAATTCAATGAGTGAATTCTTTGAGCAATGCCTGGCACTGCACAAGTCCTGTAGCCGTGTTGGGTACCACTGGCATTATTGCTGTTTTCAGGTTTTTTTTTTTTGAGTTGGAGTCTCGCTCTGTCACCCAGGCTAGAGTGCAGTGGCATAATCTTGGCTCACTGCAACCTCTGCCACCTGGGTTCAAGCAATTCTCCTGCCTCAGCTTCCCGAGTAGCTGGGATTACAGGCATGCACCACGACACCTGGCTAATTTCTGTGTTTTTAGTAGAGATGGGGTTTCACCATGTTGACCAGGCTGGTTTCAAACTCCTGACCTCAAGTTATCCACCCACCTTGGCCTCCCAAAGTGCTGGGATTATAGGCATGAGCCACTGCGCCCGGCCTGTTTCTAGTTTTTGACAGTTGAACAAAGGTGCTTGGCCTGGAATAGCCACCACCAGGTCACCTCACTCCCTCAGTGTCAGGGGTCTCTCTCCAGGCTCCAAATGCTCTCATCTCATCTCAGTCCCTCCTGCCTGTCCTCATCCTTATCACTGCTCCTACAGCTGGAGACCAGGGTGAGGCACGTTTGAGATGGGATTCCCAAGTCAGCCTGTGCTTCTTGGAGGCCCAGCTTCCCCCGCTCCCTCCCGCTACCCCATCTTTATCTTCCTTCATCCCCCACACCCCCACGCTCTCTTCCCTAGCCTGGGCAGGCCCCAGCTGCCTTCCCACCTGGCGCCCCGACACACAGCCACCCCACAGTGGCCTCAAAGGCTTCTTTCCCAAAGAGAGGCTTTGTCTTCAAGGTGACCCCTGGCTGACCCCTGGCATGGCTGGTGGGAGTGGTGACGAGGCAGTGATGGGGCCATTTGAATTAAAATGCCCTCTGGATAATTCAAAGAAATTCATGAGTCATCTTTATCTGGGAAAACCCCAATGGAGTGAGCTGGGACCCAGGGCTGCAGACTGATAGACAGAGGGAAGCGGCCTCCCTGGATCCCGGTCCTCACTCCCGTGCCTGCTGTTGACTATTCTGCGGTCAGGAGGCGTCCCTTTGCCTGCAGTCCTGGGACAGTGGAGCGCAGGGGACACTGGGGCTTCCCAAGGAGCTGCTTGTTCTTCTCTTAAATCACAAATCAGGGCACTCATTGTGTGTCTATCCGTCAGGCCGCTGTCCTCTGCAGAGACACCTTGGGTGTCCCCTCCTGGCTCCAGGTGGTTCTGGAGGATGGCAGAGCCAGGACCATGGGCTGCCCTGAAGCTGGTTCCAACCTGCTCTATTTAAACCAAGGGTCCTTTAAATTTGTCTCTTTTCATTTAAATATGCTCTTTAAAAACCAGCAGGCTGGGCATGGTGGCTCACACCATGTGGATCGCTTGAGGCCAGGAGTTTGAGACCAGCCTGGGTGACATAACAAGACCCATCTCTATAAAAATAATAATAATAATAATTTATGTATTTATTTATTTAAAAAAATTTTTTTTTGAGACGAAGTCTTGCTTTATCACCCAGGCTGGAGTGCAACGGTGTGATCTCAGCTAACTGCAACCTCCGCTTCCTGGGTTCAAGCAATTCTCCCGCTTCAGCCTCCTGAGTAGCTGGGATTACAGGAGCCCGCCACTACGCCTGGCTAATTTTTGTATTTTTAGTACAGATGGGGTTTCACCATGTTGGCCAGGCTGATCTTGAACTCCTGACCTCAGGTGATCCACCAGACTCAGCCTCCCAAAGTGCTGGGATTACAGGCGTGAGCCCATAATTATAGGAGTGTGCCTGGCCCCAAAAACTTTTTTTTAAAAAGACAGAAAAACCCCCTGCTCCCTGGAGCGAAGATTCTTGAGAAGCATACTTGATTAACTGATGAATAAGACAATCAGAACCATGAGTTATTTGAAGGATACGGGTGAGGGGCAAGTCCACGTTAGCCAAGGGGGTCAGGGAGGACCTCTCTGAGGAGGTGGCCTTGGTTGTGAGGCCTGCAAGCTGGGAGAGAGTGATAGGGAAGACCTGGGGGAAGGGAGGCGTGTGCCAGGCAGAGGACACAGCCAGGGCAAAGGCTGGAGGGGGGCTCCAGCTGAGGCCTGTGCTTTGGCAGGGAGGAGTAGTTTGGGTTCTTCTGGCTCTTCCAGTCGCCTTTGGGTGGTCCAGGCAAGTTGTGTGACCATCCTGGGCTTAGTCTTGACATCGGTAAAATGAGCGAGTTGGACTGTTGGACTCCACACTTTCTCGGGCCCCCTCTGGTACAGGCGAACTGGTTCCCAGAGAAGCCTCCTCGGGCGCCTGTCTGTCTTCTGTGTAAACTCACATTCCTCTTCCTGGGCTATTTTGCCATTTCCTTTCATGCGAAACCAAAGGAGCTATTTTGGAAACTCCTATAAACAAACTAAGCCCTAGCTGGCATTTGAGTGGATAAAAAGGAGCCCTAAGTGAGGGACTCAGGCATAAAAGCCACCCAGCCCCAAAAGCCCATAACGTTAAATTTAGATGTTTTACCTCTAAATGAGGTGAAATTGCAGGTTCCCTCTGGCTGGCGGTGGGGAGGAGACGCAGGGCAGCTTTGGCCAGCAGTGAGCGGACAGACTTAGCGGGAGTAGACTCTGCTTCCTCCAGCCACACCTTGGGGACGGAGGCCCAGGACAGTCCCCAGTGTCTGGGAGCATCTGGCTTCCTCTCCCTGCACACACCAGCCGGGTCTGAACGGCATCAGTTCTAAGTGCCAGGCCAGAGAGAGGCAGCGAGGGACACGGAGTAGAAGAGGCTGTCCTGTCTGCCACCAAAGGTTTGGGAACTGCATGACTCTGTGCCTCCCTTCTCTGCCCTGGGGCCCAGCAGGGTCTCTGCACTGTCTCTCATGCCTGCAGAGTGCTGGTTACCCAGGGCTGCCCTAAGCCACCCGAGCATTCCTCCTCTCTTCCTGATGCCTCCCCAGGGACCTCCTAGACCTGCCCACAATCCAGTAGCTAAAGGGTTAATGCCAGCCCCAGCAGGGGTGGTGACACATGGTGGGAGGGGACAGGGTCTTCAAGACCCTGCTCCAGCACCCAGCCTCCATTTGCTGCTGTGCCATTGCTTAAACATCAGGAATGTCACCCTTGGTCGCAGGTGACAAACTGGACTTGTCAGGAGCTGTCCGCTGAAGGCTCCTGAGATTGTGGGTCTCAGCCTGGCCATCCCATCCCCAATCATCCAGGGGGAGGTCTGTTTCTTTTACCACAAGAAACACTGCTTGGCTGGACTCCAAGTCAACGTCATGGATCAGCCCCACCAGGCCCAGCCGGGAGGGGGCGCAGCTGAGCTGCCTGGGAACTGTCGCGGTCCGCAGGCCCCAAGGGGGCCCACAGGGGCTGGGGCTGCAACACCCTGAAGCCAAAAGAGGTTGGGCTTGATTTTTCTCGGCCACCACCCAGGGCTATCTTTCTAGCTTGGCAGGTCCCCCTCCCAATCCTATTTCCATTCTGGGGCCTCTTCCCCGCTGGAGGAGGTCTGGCTCCTGGGAGGGGGGCGTGTCCTCAGCAGAGCTGCGGGAGCAAGCACAGCGGAGTCCCGAAGCCAGGCTTTGGAGTCCAGCGCGCCCCGGTCCAGTTTCAGCTCTGGCATTTCCTACCTGTGTGACCTCGGAGGACTCATTTCCGTCCTCTCTGAGCCTCGGTTTCCTTCTTTTCTTCCTTTCCTTTTTCCTTTCCTTCTTTCCTTCCTTTCCTTCTTTTGAGACAGGGTCTCACTGTGTTAGCCAGGCTGGAGTGGTGCAGTCTCAGCTCACTGCAGCCTCGACTTGCTGGGAGGTCTCTAATGATCCTCCCACCTCAGCCTGCCGCAGTAGCTCGACTACAGGTGCACGCCACCACATCTGGGTAATTTTTGTATTTTTTGTGGGGACCGGGTCTCACTATGAGACCCAGGCTGGTCTCGAACTCCTGGGCTCAAGTGATCCGCCCATCTCAGCCTCTCAAAGTGCTGGAATTATAGGCGTGAGTCGCCACGCCTGGCATGAGCCTCGGTTTCCTTATCTGCAAAATGGGGATAGTAATAGTACTTGTCTCATATGGTGTTGGGAGAATGAAATGAGAATTTTAAGTCCTCAGAGCAGGTAGCAGGCAGTGCTGGCTACCCAAGGGTCAGAGGCAGGGCCACCCATCATCCTCAACAGCTGCTGCAGCTTTTGTAAATAAAGTTTTACTGAAACACAGCCATGGCATAATTCCTTTACATAATGTCTGCAGCTGGTTTTGCTCTAAAATGCTAGAACTGAGTAGTTGTGACAAAAACTGTATGGCCTGAAAAACCAAAAATATCTACTATCTGGCTTTTTGTTTGTTTGTTTGTTTTTGAGATGGAGTCTAGCTCTGTTGTCCAGGCTGGAGTTTAGTGGCTTGATCTCGGCTCACTGCAACCTCTGCCTCCCGGATTCAGGTGATTCTCCTGCCTCAGCCTCCAGAGTAGCTGGGACTACAGGCATGCGCCACCACGCCCGGCTAATTTTTGTGTTTTTAGTAGAGACAGGGTTTCACCATGTTGTCCAGGCTGATCTTGAATTCTTGACCTCAGGTGATCCACCCACCTTGGCCTCCCAAAGTACTGGGATTACAGGTGTGAGCCACTGCGCTCAGCCTTTCTATCTGGCTTTTTACAGAAAACATTTGTCCATCTTTGCCTTAGAGTCTAGCACATAGTGGTTATTAGTATTAGTATTACTGTTATTATTCCAGCACCTTCCTCTTGGGCTGCACAGCCTGGTGAAGTAGGGGAAGCAGCGTCAACCTTTCCTTCATTGTTTTCTGGTTCAATAAAGATGTGTTATGAATCTTCCATGCACCTGGTCCCTGCCTGCAGGGAGCTCCCTGTCTAGGATGGAGAGATAGACAAGTCACCATTCACAGTCCACTATAACAGAGGAGGTCAGGGGCATCCAGAGGAAACACCAGACACAGCTAGGAGTGGGGAGGTGTCCAGGAAGGCTTCCTGGGGGAGGGGACATCTGGGCTGAAAGATGAGGAGGGTTTAGCCAGGAAGCCAATCCATGTGGCCATGGCACGTGGAAGAAGGAAGAGCCAGACTTCAGTTTGAAAAATGAGTGTCCTGGTCAGGCGCGGTGGCTCACGGCTATAATCCTAGCACTTTGGGAAGCTGAGGTGGGTGGATCGCTTGAGCTCAGGAGTTCGAGAACAGCCTGGACAACATGGCGAAACCCTATCTCTACAATGAATACAAAAATTAGCTGGGAATGGTGGTGTGTGCCTGTAGTCCCAGCCACGTGAAAGGCTGATGTGGGAGGATGGCTTGAGCCCAGCAGGTGGAGGTTGCAGTGAGCTGAGATCGTGTCACTGCACGCCAGCCTGGGCAATAGAGTCAGACCCTGTCTAAAAAAAAAAAAAAAAAAAAGAAAAGAAAGAAAGAAGGAAAAGGAAATAAAGAAAGAAATATGTGTGTCCCTGAGTCGCCTCTCACCTCTCAGAGCCTTTCTTTCCTCATATGAAAAATGGGGCCATTGAACCTCACAGTGCTATGAGTGATGAATCCGCTGTCAGGTTCTGCAGGTCTGCTCCGAGCCTTAGTTTCCCTCCTTCGTCGTCCTCTCTCTCACACTGAGCAGGAGGACCTGGGGCTTGTTTTGAGCTTTGCATCGGGAGGAACTGCTTAGCAATTGTCCTTCTCTCTGACCTTGAAGTGGAGTGACTGGGGTGAAGCTCCAGGAACGGCCCAGAAGGCTTCTGATGGGAAGGTGCAGAGGGAGGGGCCGGGGAAGCCCCTTCCGGCTCCAGTGCCCAGGCTGGCTCCGGAGTACGTCTCAACTACTCACCTTTGGGAATCCCTCCCTACTCCGTCCTTATTCTCTTGCCTGGCTTGGCTGGGGGGATCAAGCAGTTTGAGCAGCTTCTCAGGCCCTGCATAGGTGCTGATAGGGGTAACAGCAGTGAGGAGCTCATACGTGTTTAACAACCAGCAGACAGAAACCCTAACTTGTAGAACTTGCCGCTTTCTGTGGTGTAAATACGTTTACTGTGGCTGATTTCAAACCACCAACGTGATGTCAACAGGCTCACAAAATTCCTGAACATTTAACAATTGACTATTTTTTGTTTTTTGTTTTTTGTTTTTTTTAGTCAGAGTCTTGCTCTGTTGCCCAGGCTGGAGTGCAGTGGCATGATCTCAGCTCACTGCAACCTCCACCTCCCAGGTTCAAGTGATTCTCCTGCCTCAGCCTCCCGAGTAGCTGGGATTACAGGCGCCTGCCACCAAGCCTGGCTAATTTTTTGTATTTTAGTAGACGGGGCTTCACCATGTAGCCCAGGCTGGTCTTGAACTCCTGAGCTCAGGCAATCTGCCTGCTTCGGCCTCCCAAAGTGCTAGGATTACAGGTGTGAGCCACTGTGCCTGGCCCAGTTGACTGTTGGGAGCTGGTACAAGCTGGCTCAGCACAGCACAGGAGGGGACTGTAGGGGACCTCTTTATGGGGGCAGGGGCAAGGCCCCAGTGCAAGGCTCTCCTGACCGCAGGTAAGACAAGCTCTGACATCGGGCATCCTCGGGTTCTAAACCCAGTGCTCAGGTGCCCTGCTGGGGCTCCTGGGCTAGTCTCATCACCTCTCTGAGCCTCAGTTTCCTCATCTATGGAATTAGATCATCAAAAGCTCCTGCTCTTAAGAGGGTTGTATGGATTTCATAATTTACATAAAGCATTTAGTGCAGGGCCAGCTTAGTAATGAGCACTTGATGAATGATGCCTCAACTTCCCCATCTGTACACAGCACTGCTGGGCATGGGTTCATAGCTGTTCATGGATTCGTAGCCACTCATGGGGCACCAGGCTTGCCACACAGCGAGTGGTCAGCAAATGCTTGCCACCTTCCTCCATCCGGGCTAGAAGCCGCTCACTTCTCACTTGGCTCTCCCTGGGTCACCTGGCTTATCTGGGTCACCTGGCTCACCTGCAGAGCTGGGGTCTTAGCCAATTGCACAGAGACAGCCAGCTCTTCCGACATGTCTCTTGCACACTGTGGGCTCTCGGGACATGCTTTCCTTGGTCCTTCCAGCAGTCTCCGTGGGAGGTTCTTTCTGAATTCCCCTTTTACTCTTGTGATCACTGAGGCCCAGAGCCTGAGTGGCACAGTTGGGATTTGAGCCCAGGTCCACCTTCTTTGTTGCCAAGCTTTCCTATGTACGGCACATGTGGGGCTGTGGGGTGGGGGATATATGGGAGGAGGAGGCTTGTGGAGGCTGCACAGATCTGCCAGGAGGTGCAGTAGTAGATGCTGGGCAGATGTGGCTCGATACAGGAAGTTTTTCCAGGCAGAGACCCCCAAGTGAGCAGAGGTGTAGTGGGGTGGACTTGGCCCCTGGGGGAAAGAGATGTTGGAACATGGGGGTCTCATCGTGCAGGAAGATGAGGTGGACTGGAGCTTTTTCGTAGGTTTTGTCTGGGCAATGGGGTCCCTGGAATCCTTGGATTGACACCACCCTGGCAAAGGAGCAAAGTATGAAACTGTAGCAGCAGAGATTTAGGTTAGATATGAAGCAGAACTTTCCAGCTGCCCTTGCTGGAAGATGCTGACCTATATTCCCAAGGGATAGGGTGGCATTTTCTCAATCTAGAGATGGTTTGGAAAAAAGAGAAGACAGCCAGGGCTCGGGGTTGGCCCCATTGCAGGGCGGGTCGGAGACTGGGCAATGGATCGGGGTGGAAGCAGCCCTTGACACCAGCAGTCTGGCTTCATGTGAATTGGACTTTTCCACCCCCTGCTGAAAGCCCTCCCATGGCTCCCAGTCACCCTTGCCCCATTGTAAGGCCAAGCCCCTGCTTGGGGCTACCAATGCCTCTTGGGACCTGAGCCCTGCCGGCCTCTCTGACCTCGTCTTTAGCCCACTGAGCTTCTTGCTGTTTCTGGATGACACCAAGTCCCCTCATGCATCCTGGCCTTTGCCCAGGCTGTTCCCTCGGCCTTAGACACCCTTCCCCTTCACCCCACGTCAGCCTTCCTACTCAGCTCTTGGGCGCCTCTTCATGGCTGGGTCAGATTCCCCCTGGGACCCCCATAACTCCAGCATGGACTCTGTATCGTAACTGTTCGGCAGTAGGTGGGCCTCCCTGCTGGGCTGGAGCCCTTGAGGATGGGGGGACTTGGCCTGCCTTGCAGAGTTCACCTGTGTTAGGTGCTCAGGGAGGGCTGGAGGAGGGGAGAGGAGAAGCTCGGGGGGTGAGAGGGCTGTGTTCAGGAGGTGCTGTCCCCTTGCTCTGGGAGGCAGCATTGCCCGGCACTAAGGACCTGAGCACAGAGTGCAGAGTACAGACACCTGGGTTCGAATTCCATTCCCATCACTGTCCCCCATCAGGTCCCCTAACCTCATGGGACCTCAGCTTGCTGACCTGTGAGCTGGGCACAGTACCAGCCCCCACAACACTCTGGGGCCATTGTGAGGTCTGTAGGTGTTGGTGGAAGGTGGCTGGCCTGCGGACGGCACTCGCTGGATGGTGATGCCAGGCTGACTCTCCTGTCCTCTCCTTGCAGGTGACCACCATGTCGGTGAGGTTGCGGTTCCTGTCCCCTGGGGACACAGGGGCCGTGGGGGTCGTGGGCCGGAGCGCCTCCTTCGCAGGCTTCAGCAGTGCACAGAGCCGGAGGATCGCGTAAGTTCCCCCCGTGTCCTGTTTCGGGGTGCAGGGGTGGGGCTTGTTAATGGGCTGGGGAAGGGCAGGGTCATCCTCCTCCTGCTGCCAGAGACCCGAAGGCCCACTCTCAGGCCGGCTTGCAGCCCGAGAGAGACAGAGAGAGAGAGAGAGAGAGAGAGAGAGATTGAGATTGAGAGAGAGACAGAGAGACAGAGTTTCTTAGTGTTGGGATAAACCTATCATTTCCTTGAAACCTGAACAGTTATCATTTCAAAGTCTCCAGAAGTTGATCTGCCTGAGCTTAGCAGGTCCACTTGGCAGATAAAAAATCTGAGGCTCTGGCTGGGCACAGTGACTCACGCCTATAATCCCAGCACTTTGGGAGGCCGAGGCAGGAGGATCACTTGAGCCCAGGAACTCAAGACCAGCCTGGGCAACATAGCACAACCCAATCTCTACAAAAATTTTTTTGAAAAACCAGAAAATTGGGCTGGGCACGGTGGCTCATGCCTGTAATCCTAGCACTTTGGGAGTCCAAGGCGGGCGGATCACTTGAGGTCAGAAGTTGGAGACCACCCTGGCCAACACGGTGAAGCCCTGTCTCTACTAAAAATGCAAAAATTAGTTGGATGTGGTGGCACATGCCTGTAATCCCAGCTACTTGGAAAGCTGAGGTGGGAGGATTATTTGAACCCAGGAGGTGGAGGTTGCAGTGTACCGAGATCACACCACTGCACTCCAGCCTGGGTGACAGAGCAAGATGCCATCTCAAAAAAACCCACAAAAACACCAAAAAAGAAAAACCAAAAAACCAGAGGCTCAGATAGGTGGAGCCACTGGCCCAAGGTCACACAGCAAAACTGGCCCAGGGTTGGGTCTTCCACGGGCGGGGTTGGGAAGGAATGTTCTTCCTGTCTGGAAGACTAGGCAATGGGGCCACCTCTTCTGGCTCTGTGACCTGGGGCAAGTGACCTCACCTCTTCAGCCTTGTCTTCATCTGAACAATGGGAATTGTGGGTGCACCCTGCTCACGGGGCTGTCGGGAAGGAACCACGAGGGAGGCAGGGCCAGCAGCCGGTGCAGCTGGTGCTGTGGGGGGTTACCGGATGAGGGAGCAGGCTTGGCACAGATGGGCCTGGGGGGCAGCATTGACCCTGTGGCTGAGTTCCCTGGGGGTGCTGGCCGGGCCAGGCCCTGCCTGCTGCCCCGTCCTGTGTCTCCTCCGGCTTTAGGTACTAAGTCCCTGGGAGGAAGGTTGTTTCTGCTTCTGGAGGCCACAGCCCGATGAGCTCAGGCCTGCTGCCCCCTCGCTCCAGGGCCTCATGCCAGGCACTGTGCAAGCCCCCAGGGAACCATTTACGAGCAGGCAGGCCTGGGGACTGGGGCAGTTTATCGACATCCTGAAGGGGCCAAACCTCTGTCTGTCTGAGCCAACGGGGTGGACAGGTCGGGGTCCCCAGCCAGAGCAGAGTGCAGAACTCAGTAGGTCAGTGAGTCAGTCAACAATAAAATCCCACCATGCTCTTCCCCGACTTGAAACCCTGCAAAGATTCCCAACCTACTTAGAATAAACCCAGCGCCCTCCTGGCTAGAGGCCCCTGGGACCTGGCCCCAGCAGCCTACCTCCCTCCCCTCCCGGCCTCAGGGCCTCAGCACATGTGTGTCCTCCCGCTGGAGCTCCTACCCCACTCCTCCACCTCCAGTTCCCGTTGAATCACCTGCAGGCATTGGCTTCCTGCTAGGTCCTGGGGGAGGACCCCTGAGCTCCAGACCAGGCCAGGTCCCTCCTGTGTGTGCTCCCTGAGCTCCTTCCCAGGGGCATTTGCTGCGGGGATAGGACCCCACCTCCACCCCCCTGAGGTCAGCCCTCCCAGCTCACTAACCTTTCCCTGGGGGCTCCCTTCCCATGGGTGGTGGTGCCGGGACCCCAGGGTTAAGATCCTGGAGTGTCCCAGCTGGAAGCACCTTAGGAATCCCTGTTCACGCAGCAGATATTCACGGAGCACCTACTCTGGCCCTGTCCTGGGCTCTGGGGACAGACCCAGGCCCTGCTGTCCTGGGAGCTGATGGCAGCAAACAATAAGCCAGTGATAATTGAGACAGATCCAGCTGGTGGCAGTGCTGTGAGGGAACTGAACTGGGGGTGGGGGAGGGCACCCATGGTCTCCTGGGAGAGCCTGACGAGACAGGGGCATGGGGAGTGGAGGCAGGAAGGGACAGAAGAAGTGGATCTGCGCGTGTGCAGATGGGGGTGGGCCGGGAAGCCTTCGGCGGCGGGAGGCAGCTGCGAGTGCAGATGTCCTGGGTGGGAATGAGCTTTAAGGGACAGAAAGCAGGTGTGCGGCTGGCATGCGTGACAGCAGTCAGGGAGGGAGGAGGACCCTGCGGAGCCTCATGGGCTGCAGTGAGGCCTTGAGACACATTCTCAGTGGAGGGGAGCCTGGGAAGGGTTTAAGTTGATGCCCCAAGACGAGAAGAATTTGACCCAGGCTCCAGAGC
Organism: Homo sapiens; assembly: GCF_000001405.40. NCBI lineage: Eukaryota > Metazoa > Chordata > Mammalia > Primates > Hominidae > Homo > Homo sapiens. The sequence continues at coordinate 50,628,256 of NC_000020.11, read as the reverse complement.
AGTTAGTGCTCAGTGCCCCAACTCCAAGCCTCAGAGAACAGAAAGAGTGGGTGCTGCCTGAGAAAGGCACACAGCAGGCACTCCATAAGTGCTGCAAAGAGGGGGTTAAGTATAAACCGGCCAGGAAATGATGCTGTTTCTCAACTTAACCATTTCTGAGCTGCCTCTTCCTGGGCTTTATCAGAGTCCCCCACTTTCTTGCAGGGGTCTGTAATCAAGGCTGGGAAGGTCAGCTGTGCGGGTTACCTGGCCAGGGGGCCATCCGGCCCAGGTGACCCTCTCCCAGCTGTGTGCCCTGGAGTGGGGCTGGTCCACTGAAGCACTGTAGGGACCCTTGTGTGGTCTGGAAGGAGGGGTAGGGTCTGCAGACCCTGTACCCAAGGGCGGCTTCATGAGCGTGTAGCCTGTGCTCTGTACTTTGATTGAACGCTCTGCTGTTGTGCTCTAGAAATTTTTGTGGGTGTCATTCTGTCGCCCAGGTTGTAGTGCAGTGGTGCGATCTCGATTCACTGCAGCATTGACCTCCTTGGTTCAAATGATCCTCCCACCCCAGCCTCCCAAAATTTTTTTTTTTTTGAGACAGTTTCTCTCTCTCGCCCGGGCTGGAGTGCAATGGCGCGATCTTGGCTCACTGCAACCTCCGCCTCCCAGGTTCAAGTGATTCTCCTGCCTCAGCCTCCTGAGTAGCTGGGATTACAGGAGCGTGCCACCACGCCCGGCTAATTTTTGTATTTTTTTTTTTCTTTTGAGACAGAGTCTCGCTCTGTTGCCCAGGCTGGAGTGCAGTGGCATATTCTCGGCTCACTGCAACCTCCGCCTCCTGAGTTCAAGCAATTCTCCTGTCTCAGCCTCCTGAGTAGCTGGGATTACAGGTGTGCCTCACCATGCCAGTTAATTTTTTTTTTTTTTTGTATTTTTAGTAGAGACAGGGTTTCACCATATTGGTCAGGCTGGTCTCGAACTCCTGACCTCAGGTGATCCACCTGCCTCGGCCTCCCAGAATGCTGGGATTACAGGTGTGAGCCACTGTGCCTGGCACCAAATAGAAATTCTTAATACAATTTTTTTGTGTGTGTTTTGAGACAGAGTCTTGCTCTGTCACCCAGGTGTGCAGTGGTGCAATTTAGGCTCACTGCAAGCTCCACCTTCCAGGTTCAAGCAATTCTTCTGCCTCAGCCTCCTGAGTAGCTGGGACTACAGGCATGGGCCACCACACTGGCTATTTTTTTTTTTTTTTTTCTTGAGACGGACTTTTGCTCTTGTTGCCCAGGCTGGAGTGCAATGGCACAATCTCAGCTCACCATAACCTCCACTTGCCGGGTTCAAGTGATTCTCCTGCCTCAGCCTCCCGAGTAGCTGGGATCACAGGCATGTGCCACCATGCCCAGCTAATTTTTAGTAGAGACAGGGTTTCACCATGTTGGCCAGGCTGGTCTGGAACTCCTGACTTCAGGTGATCCACCCACCTCGGCCTCCCAAACTGCTGGGATTACAGACGTGAGCCACCGCGCCTGGCCCAAAATTCTTGATAAATTTTGAATAAAGAGCCTTGCATTTTTATTTCGCACTAGACCCCACAAATTTCACAACTGGCCCTGCCTGCAGCTCTCCTCCTGCCAGGCCTGTGGGGGCCTCTGAATGTCCTGCATCCATGGGACATGTCCCCTCAGGCCCTAGAGGGGAGCTCTGCCCAGAGAGTGCCCCCACGGTAGGCCTCTGCCTCTCGTTGGCCCCTTCCTGGATTCCTGGGATCAGCTCTTTGGGAGGAAGGAGGACAGAGGTGATCCATCCCCTTGACACCAGGGCTCGCTGGCCGTCAGCAAGGGTCCCACAGTGTCCAAGTCCTAGTCTAGGAAAGACAGCCCTGATGGCTCTAATATCTCAGACCCCTCCTGTCCCCCATCTGATTGTCAAGGATGCCAGAGGATGCTGGGCCTGGGCTGGTTCGGAGGTCCCTGGGCAGCCCCCACCTGGCCTTGGCCTCTGCCGCCCCCTTGTGTGAGGGCAAGGAAGAAGCTGCCCACACCGACGGGGAAGCGGTGCATCTATTTTTAACTTCCTGTCTCCGTCGAGCTCCCTGGGGTCTGAACCCTTGGAGCCAGGGCTGGAGCCTGATTGGGTTTCAGGCCCCACCTTCTGGCCTTGTTCCCTGGTAACCCGAGCAGGCCGAAGCGCAGCCGCACTGTCAAGGCAAACAACCTGGCAGGAGGGCAGGGCTCTGCATGGAGAGGGTGGGCTGATGCCCCTTCTCTTCCCATCACCACCTTGACCCCTACTCTGGCACCTTGAAACCCCTTTCACTATAGACAGGGATTTTTACTCCACAGTCAGATGGCTCACTTGGGGAAGTAACCTGGTGGGGAAATTTTATACTAAGGTGTGAATGATTGACATAATAAGGCCATTTCCCAAGAGCTGGACCTGGGGGGTGGGAGGATAGAGAGATGAGAGGATAAACAGTGAGGATGAAGGAGGAGAGGGCCAGGCCCCGATACTGTCCTACTCTGCCCCAGTTGACAGGCATGGTTGCCCTTCCCCCTTTCCTGCCCCTCCTCAGCCAGGTCTCCCTCCCCCAGGCAGTCAGGCAGGTACTCCCCGAGCCAGGAGCCACTGGGACATCCTCCTCAGCTTGGGAATTCCTCTGTTGGGATGGCTAAGAAGTGTGGGTGTGAAAACGAAATAGCAGCCATTAAGTTTCAAGGAGAGGAGGCTGGAGAAAGAGGCGGCTCATATCCAGCCCTGCCTGTGAAGCTGTCAAGCACACAGACTCTGGAGCCAGAGGCGAGTGATGCAAGTTCAGTTTCCTGGACGGTACCAGGGGGCCTGACCTCAAAGACTGTGTCAGGAGAAATGAGTCCATACATGTAAAGCACCAAGAGCAGGCCAGGCGGGCGTGGTGGCTCACGCCTGCAATCCCAGCACTTTGGGAGGCCAAGGCAGGCGGATCACTTGAGCTCAGGAATTCAAGACCAGCCTGGGCAACATGGTGAAACCCTGTCTCCACCAAAACTACAAAAAATTAGCCGAGTGTAATTGTGCACTCCTGTGGTCCCAGCTACTCAGGAGGCTGAGGTGGGAGGATCACTTGAGCCCAGGAGGCGGAGGCTACAGTGAGCTGAGATCACGCTACTGCATTCCAGCCTGGGAGACAGAGCAAGACCTTGTCTCAATTAAAAAAAAAAAAAACAAAAGCACTGAGAGCAGAATTTGAGCTTGGCAAGTGCCGAGTGCATGCCTGTCATCATCACCCAGTGGCCAGCACCGCCAGGCACCTGGGTAAATGGTTGGCTCACGTCCTTGTTGCATGGAGTCTTCACCTGAAGCCTGTGCAGTCAGTCCTATAATTGTCCCGCCTGGAGGCTGGGGGCAGGTGCAGGACTTGAGCCCGGCCCTGTCTGCCTCCAGAGCCTGCACTTGCAACAGCCGAGTACCAAGGCCTCTGCCAACCACACCAGGCAGAAGGACTGCTGTAGCAACCTCACGTGAGGGCTGGGGCCGGCAGGTTGCACGTGCCCGTCTGGAAGCTTGTCTGGCATGCCAGGGGCTGTTTAATATTTACTGAGTCCTCCCAGACCTGGTGAAACATCCGGCCCCAGAGGCTCTTCCTGCCCCGGCTTCTGTGACACCTGGGCCAGACATGCTGCCTGATTTGGCCATCTGGAGGCTGCATGTGCATCACCTTCCCCGGGTGGGCGGGCTCTCAGAGTGGCCACTGAGCCTGTCCTGTTAAACCTCACACAAGGAGCACTAGGCTCAGAGCTTTCCCGGGAGCAGGTGCATCCAGGTGTGGCTGCAGCAGCGAGGGTATAAGGTCCCCAGGTGGATGGAAGCGGGGCTGGGCCAACGGTGCACACCTGTTGGGGGCTGGAGGCAGGAGCTGGGAGTGAGCGAGCTCCTGCCCCACTGCCTGCTGCCCACCTGCCGGGGTCCCTAACCTCTCAGAAACCTGCCTTTTCCCGAGTCTGCAGCCCTGACCGTCTCTGCCAGCCTCAAGATGGCAAACTTGCGGAGGGCCCGGTTCAAGAGGTGGGTGATGGGGCCTCAGGGAGGGCAAGGGGAAGAGGGAGCACAGCCCCTGTGGGCTTTGGAAAGCATCACTTAACATTAAATATATACAAATGGCTGGGTGCAGTGGCTCATGCCTGCAATCCCAGTACTTTGGGAGGCCAAGGCGGGCAGATCACCTGAGGTCAGGAGTTCAAGACCAGCCTGGCCAACAAGGTGAAGCCCTGTCTCTACTAAAAAAAACAAAAATTACTGGACGTGGTAGCAGATGCCTGTAATCCCAGCTACTGGGTAGGCTGAGGCAGGAGAATCGCTTGAACCTGGGAGGCGGAGGTTGCAGTGAGCAGAGATCGTGCCACTGCACTCCAGCCTGTCGACAGAGCGAAATTTCATCTCAAAATAATAATAAGAATAATACCTGTCTCCTAGGGTGGTTGTGAAAGTCGAGATATTTCTATAAAGCCCTTAGCGAGCTCCTGGCGGCAGCAGGTGCCCCCAGTTACTTAGGCTCACGTGTTCTCACCAGGCTCCTGAGGCCCTTGGGCTTGTGGTGTCAGCTGTTCAGCAGCCCACTAGCCCTGGCCTGAGCTTAGTTTCTCTGCTCTACAGAGACATTACTTGTCATTGTAAAGGTGTTGGAAGCTGGACTTTCTCTGGGAGCTGCCCTTCTCCTCCTCTCACACATCCTGGGTCCCCAAAACTAGAGAGGCCCCAGGTCCAGGCCCCTCTGCAGACTCCCACTTCTGCCTGGGTCAAACCTTGCTCCTTGCATCCACTCCCAGAGCATACCAGGTCCCATTCTCCACCTTTGCTCCCTCTGTCTCCAGCTGGGAACACCCAGGGGTGCACTCGCTATCCCGCTCTGCCTGCAGGGGCCAGGTTCTCTGTTCTCTAATCCCCTTGGGATACTGTATTTTCCCCCGTTCAGCTGAGCTTAATATTTACCAAACTCCTAATATTTTCTTTTTTTTCTTTTTTTTTTTTTTTTTTTAAGGCAGAGTTTTGCTCTTGCTGCCCAGGCTGGAGTGAAGTGGCATGATCTCGGCTCACTGCAACCTCTGCCTCCCGGTTCAAGTGATTCTCCTGCCTCAGCCTCCCGAGTAGCTGGGATTACAGGTGTCCACCACCACGCCTGGCTAATTTTTTGTTTAGTAGAGACGGGGTTTCACCAGGTTGGTCAGGCTGGTCTTGAACTCCTGACCTCAGTTGATCCACCCACCTTGGCCTCCCGAAGTGCTGGGATTATAGGTGTGAGCCACAGTGCCTGGCCTGCACCTAATGTTTTCTAAGCTGTGAGCCAGGGGAAAGATACAGATAGGATGTGATGATTCTAACAACAGCTTGCATGTAAAAGGTCTCCTTTGTGCCACATTTTGGGCCTGGCATCTAATAGAATTCTCAGCACCATCCTCTGATGTATTACGTGGTCCCATTTTACCAGTGAAAAGACAGAGCCTTGGGTAGTGTGTTGTTAATGTAGAGGTGAAGTTGCTTTGATAAAAGGACCCCCAAAATGCAGGTGCTTACTTGAGATTGGTTATTCCTCTCTCTCTCTCTCTGCAGTCCAGAGCCAAGGGGTGGATGAGGGCATGTGTGTGTGTTGGGAGGTCTGCTTCACGAGGCTATTCAGGGCCTGTTCCTTCTCTCTTGTTGTTCAGCCAGCTTTTAGGGGTGGGTTGAAGCTGCTTCCAGCATACCGTTATTCCCGCCCCTGGGAAGAGGAGGAGTTGGAAGAGAAGGGCCAGTAGTCCCCTATAATAACTGATGCTGAGCCAGGCACGGTGGCTCACACCTGTAATCCTAGTACTTTGGGAGGCTGAGGCAGGTGGATCATTTGAGGTCAGGAGTTCGAGACCAGCCTGGACAACATGGTGAAACCCTGTCTCTACTAAAAATACAAAAATTATCCAGGTATGGTGGTGCATGCCTGTAATCTCAGCTACTTGGGAGGCTGAGGCAGGAGAATCGCTTGAACCCAGGAGGTGGAGGTTGCAGTGAGCCGAGATTGCACCATTGCACTCCAGGCTGGGTGACAGTGAGACTCCATCTCAAAAAAAAAAAAAAAAAGAGAACTGATGCCAAAGTTAGATCTAAGAGTCATTTCCACCATGTCTCTTTTGTGAGAATGTTGTCATTAAGTGATGCCTGGTGCCAGGGCGCCTGGCTGATGGCTTTAGAGGGCTAAGAGCAGAATTCAACACATCTGTTGGTGAGCAAAGGCTGCATCAGCCAGCCTCATGGATAAGTTATGGGATCCTGAGAAGAGGCTTAGATGCCAGGGAAACCAGCTCTGTGCTGTGATGAGGGTGCCCTGGCCTCGTACTCCTATAATCAGTCTTGAGATGCTGCTACATCTCTAAATGTTGAGGGACCCAGCCATCACCACTGAAAGGCAGTTTTTAGGATCATCCAGTCCACACTCCCAACTCCAGCTGGCTTAAGCTAAAAAAGAGAGCCAGTTGGCTCATGTAACTGCAAAGTCCACGGGCAGGTTCAGCTTTAGACATAGCTAGATCCAGGAACTCACTGTCATGGAGATTTGGTCTGACTCTGTTTGTTCCTCTCTGTGTTGGCCCCAGTTTCCCTACATGGTGGCAAAAGGAGGAGGCTGGAAGTCCCAGGTATATGTTCCCCAGGTTAGCAATGCCAGGGGAAAAAACACTTCTCCCTTCTGTGAATTCTGAACTCCTGGCTGGCTACTGGCCAGGCTTGATCCCCATACTTCTTGGCCCAGGGGAGCAGAATATGTTGACTAACGCAGGCCTGGAATGTGGATTTGCCAAACAATCCCGTGTGCATGTGTGCATGTGCAAATGTGTGTGTGCATGTTGATTAGTCAGGCTACCTTTCCCCCAAACCACAAGTATAAAAAGCAGAGCTGGGGAGGTGCCCCAGAGGAAAATTGAGGTGCTACTACTAGAGGGAGGGGATGGATGCTGGGCAGGTAAAGCCAACAGATGCTGCCCCAAGGGTAAAGCACAGGACTATGACTTGGCCTCCCACACGGCATTGCCTGCACAGGCAGAGCATGGTGATCAGAGAGCATTGGCATTTGGGCTACTTGACTGTATTTCTTCCTGTAAGTTCATTTCTGATACCAGATTTTTATTACTGTTCTTTTTTTTTTTTTTGTCAAGCTGTTCTATATTTCCGGGAGAGGGCAGGGGAGGGGGCTCAGTCTTTCCTGGCAGTGGCTTTCCTCATGGCGGCCAGGACATTGGCTCGGCTCCTCCTGCTTCCTCTTGGCGTGGATGTGTGTCCCCACCCTTTCCTTGATGAACTTGAGGGCCTGTTTGTCCTTGGAGACCTTCAGTAACTCCATAGCATGCTGCTTGTACAGGGCAAAGCCACACACCTCCCGGATCATGTCCCGCACAAACTCAGTGTATTTGGTCAGACACCCACTGCAGCGGCTGTGCCTGGGCTTGCTCACGTTCTTGGTCACCTTGTGGCCCTTGTTGAGGCCCATGGCCATAGGGTAGCGCAGAGCCATGGCTGCTGCTCTCCAGTGGCAGCCATGGTGGAAAAGCTTTATTACTCTTCTTTTAATCCTCAAATCTAGGCTCCTTATTTTTATTTATTTATTTATTTATTTATTTATTTATTTATTTATTTATTTATTTTTAAGACTGAGTCTCACTCTGTCACCCAGGTTGGAGTGCAGTGATGCAATCTCGGCTCACTGAAACCTCCACCTCCCGGGTTCAAGCGATTCTTGTGCCTCAGCCTCCGGAGTAAGTGGGATTACAGGCACGTACCACCACATCCGGCTAATTTTTGTATTTTTAGTAGAGACAGGGTTTCGCCATGTTGGCCAGACTGGTCTTGAACCCCTGATCTCAGGTGATCCACCCACCTCAGCTTCCCGAAGTGCTGGGATTACAAGTGTGAGCCACCGCACCTGGCCCAGGATCCTAATTTTACAGATGAGAAAGCAGAGACCCAGAGAGGCTCCATAACTTTCTGGAAACCACACTGCTTGGTGGTGATGGGGGTGGGACTGAGCCGGGTCTCCTGACTCCCTGTGGCTCTGGTCACTATTTCCAAAGTGCCTGCCCCTGGGGAGGGCTTTGTCAGGGCCCTTCTCTGACTTCTCTTGCCCTCCAACCCTTCTCACAGAAAGTCCATCAACAGGAACTCCGTGAGATCGCGAATGCCTGCAAAATCCTCCAAGATGTACGGCACGCTGCGGAAGGGGTCGGTCTGTGCAGACCCGAAGCCCCAGCAGGTGAAGAAGATCTTCGAAGCATTGAAAAGAGGCCTCAAGTAAGGCTGGGCTGTGTGCTGCCTTTAAGAAGTGCATTCCTCTACCTCGCCTCCTCTCTGTCTCTTCCTGGGGAAGCGTGGATGGGTCTTGTCTACAAGAGGTGACAGGTTAAGTTCCTGGTCATTCGTTTAGTAAGCAAGTATGTCAGGGTGCAGCCGCGTGCTCAGCCCGGTCCTTGGGCACTGGAAACCTGGCAGTGACTAAGGCAGGAGGACTCTGATCTTGTGGAGCACGCACTGCAGAGGGGCAGATTCAATGCAATCAATCAAGAAGCAATGCAATCAATCATAGAACTTCCACCTGTGCTGAGTGCAATGAAGAAAGGTAACAGAGAGACAGTGCGTCGAGGGCCTCGGCAGACAGGCAACAGTGTGGGCAAAGGCCCCACAGTAGGAGCCTGCACTGTGAGCCCACACACGCAAGAGGTCAGGGCGGTGGGTGTTTGAGTGAAGGACAGACTTGCTCAGAGACCAACTGATGAGCTGGGCCGAGGCCTGCACAAGAAGGATGAGTCACTCCACAAATTTTTTTTTTTTTTTTTTTTGAGATGGAGTCTCGCTCTGTTGCCCAGGCTCAAGTGCAGTGGCACAATCTCAGCTCACTGCAACCTCTGCCTCTTGGGTTCAAGCAATTCTCCTGCCTCAGCCTCCCAACTAGCTGGGACTGCAGGTACGCACCATCACACCTGGCTAATTTTTTTTTTTCTTTTTTTGAGACGGAGTTTTGCTCTTGTTGCCCAGGCTGGAGTGCAATGGTGTGATCTCAGCTCACTGCAACCTCCGCCTCCTGGGTTCAAGCGTGAGCCACTGCACCTGGCATAGCCTCCTTATTTTACAGATGAGAAAGCAGAGGCTGAGAGTAGCTCTTGCCTCAGCCTACCGAGTAGCTGGGATTACAGGCACCTGCCACCACGCCTGGCTAATTTTTTGTATTTTTAGTAGAGATAGGGTTTCACCACGTTGGCCAGGCTGGTCTCGAACTCCTGACCTCAGGTGATCTGTCCATCTCGGCCTCCCAGAGTGCTGAGATTACAGGTGTGAGCTACCGCGCCCAGCCAATATTTTGTATTTTTAGTAGAGACTGGGTTTCGCCATGTTGGCCAGGCTGGTCTTGAACTCCTGACTCAAGTGATCTGCCTGCCTTGGCCTCCCAAAGTGCTGGGATTACAGACATAAGCCACTGTGCCCAGCCCACAAATATTTATTGGGCTTACAGAGTGCCAGGCCAGGGGACAGAAGTAAACTAAACACACAAAATCCCTACCTCCTGTGGAGCTGACTCCTAGTGGGGGAGAGACAGACAATACACAATACAGAAAAGAAAAGTACAGAGAATATCAGATGGTAGTAAGGGCCACAGAGGAAAACAGGCCAGGGTAAGCAGGCAGAGGCAGGGAGGGTTCATTTTAAGTTGGGCAGTTGGAAGGAAGGCCTTGCTAAGAAGGTGACATTGGAGCACACTCCTGAAGGGGAAAAGAACATTCCAGGCCAGGGTAGCCACATACACAAAGGCCCTGGGGCGCAGCAAGGAGGCCAGCGTGGCTAGAGCCAAAGGAAAGAGGATGAGGTTATGGGGCAATGGGGACCAGATGACAGGGGGCCCTGTGGGCCAAAGAGTGGTTTCTGGAGTGATTTTCCCCAGATATAGTGGTACTTAGACCCTAAATTCTCTCCTACTTACGCCTTTTTTTTTTTTTTTTTTTTTTTTTTTTTTTGAGACGGAGTCTCACTCTGTCACCCAGGCTGGAGTGCGGTGGTGTGATCTCACTCAGCTCACCGCAACCTCTGCCTCCTGGGTTCAAGCTATTCTCCTGCCTCAGACTTCTGAGGAGCTGGGACTACAGGCATCTGCCACCACGCCCGGCTAATTTGTTTTTGTATTTTTAATAGAACGTGGTTTCACCATATTGGTCAGGATGGTCTTGAACTCCTGACCTTGTGATCCACCTGCTTTGGCTTCCCAAAGTGCTGGGATTACAGGCATAAGCCACCACGCCCAGCCCCTACATCTCTTATTTATAGATGGGGCACCCCAAAGAGGAACCAGAGTCAAGTAAAAGTTGAAACCAGGCCAGACGCAGTGGGCCTGTAATCTTAGCACTTTGGGAGGCGGAGGCAGGCGGATCACGAATTCAGGAGTTTGAGACCAGCGTGGCCAACATGGTGAAACCCCGTCTCTACTAAAAATACAAAATTAGCCGGCGTGGTGGGGCATGCCTGCAATCCCAGCTACTCGGGAGGCTGAGGCAGGAGAATCACTTGAACCCGGGAGGTGGGGGTTGTGGTGAGCCAAGATCGCGTTATTGCACTCCAGCCTAGGAGACAGAGCAAGACTCAAAAAAAAAAAAAAAAAAAAAGGGAAACCACCTTAGAATGAAATGGTTTTCAAAATAGACATCCTTGGCTGGGCACAGCGGTGGCTACCCTGTAATCCCAGCACTTTGGGGGGCCGAGGCAGGCAGATTCCTTGAGCCTAGGAGTTCAAGACCAGCATGGGAATATGGCAAAATCCTGTAGAGGTGGAGGCTGCAGCAAGCTGGGATTGTGCAGAGTGGGAGCTGGGATGTGCATGGACGATAGAGCATGTTTCTGAAGGACAGATTCTGTGTCCTTTAAGGACCACATGTTTGAGACTTGTCTGGGGCCAAGGCAGCCCCTTCTTCCCAGAGAGCTCAATACCTCAGTGAGTAGCAGTCTGGCAGAAGCTATCTTTTCCACATTTGAGGTGGTGTCAGTAGAGCCCAGAGAGTGTGAGTGACCTTCCTGGGATGACTCAGCAAATCCAGCAAGATGGGACTCCCTGCCTTGGCCCCCAAATCTAGACGCCCCCCACCTTCTTTGTTTTGGAATGAAGTCTCGCTCTGTTGCCCAGGTGGGGTGCAGTGGTGCAATCTCGGCTCACTGCAACCTCTGCCTCCCAGGTTCAAGCAATTCTCCTGCTTCAGCCTCCCGAGTAGCTGGGACTACAGGTGTGTGCCACCATGCCCGGCTAAGTTTTTGTATTTTTAGGAGAGATGGGGTTTCACTGTGTTAGCCAGGATGGTCTCGATTACCTGACCTTGTGATCCGCCCACCTCGGCCTCCCAAAGTGTTAGGATTACAGGCGTCAGCCACGGCGCCCGGCCTAGACCCTTGACCTTGAGGGAGGTGTGCCATGATGACCTCCCCATGAGCTGGGCCCCAGCTTGGGAGGGGGTATAACATGGGGATGAAGATTTTGGGCTCAGAAGGCCACTGTGTGGTTTCAGACGTGGGTTCAGCCTCTTCTCTGCTGTGTGACCGGGGCTGGGGTACTTGCTGCTTTCAAGGGTTGGTTTGTCTATCTTTAAAATGCATATACTAGGTTGGATGCGGTAGCTCACCCCTGTAATCCCAGCACTTTCGGAGGCCAAGGCAGACAGATCACCTGAGGTCAAGGAGTTCGAGACCAGCCTGGCCAACATAGTGAAACCCCATCTCTACTAAAAATACAAAAATCAGCCAGGTGTGGTGGCACACACCTGTAGTCCCAGCTGCTCAAGAGGCTGAGATATAAGAATCATTTGAACCCAGGAAGTAGAGGTTGCAGTGAGCTGTGATCACACCACTGCACTCCAGCCTGGGCGAGAGAGGGGGGACCTTGTCTCAAACAATAAATAAGTAAAGAAAGAAAGAAAATGCATATAATAACAGTAGAAGCTACTTGTGGGCCTGGTGGGGGAATTAACTAGGAACTTCCCTGTAACCAATTTTGTGTGGTGCTGGGCACACAGCCCCCAGTGTGAGGGAGCCTGGCTTCCTACCTGCCTCTGAGCCCCGCTGAGCCCCGTGTCTGCTCTCCACGTGGGGACATTGTCCATTTGGCCTACTTCCTTTCCCTTTCTTCTTCCTCTTCCATTTGAAACTCTTCCTTGCTTTCCTTGCAGGGAGTATCTGTGTGTGCAGCAGGCTGAGCTGGACCACCTGTCTGGACGCCACAAAGACACCAGGAGGAATTCCAGGCTGGTGAGACCCCTCCCTGCCTGCTTCCCACCCAGATAGCCTTGGCCAGGAGTAAAAGATGAACCCTGCGTTCCTTCTAGCCTATGTCACGGTGTGACTCTTTCTCAGAACTAGAGGTTTATGGAATAGCCTCTTCACGTTGCACTGAGTTAACTTCACTTTGGCACGTACAGCAGTTCACACGTTTTAGGCCCATGTCACACTGTCTCTCGGTTCTAGAAGTAATGCTAAGGTGGGCAGTGTATGGAGGTGCATTTCTTTTAGGTGGTCCTATTTTATAGACCTTGGCCATCAGGTGACCTGGACTTGGGATGGCTTCTGTAATGCCAGGAAAGTGGGTCAGGTGTCACATCTTGGGTATGTCACAGTGGCCTCTGCCGCTGTCCTTGATGAAGCCTGCGTGTTCCTTCAATGCCCAGCTGACAGGCAGCGTTTCCTGCCATCATCAGGGCAGTGTCTTTTTTTTTTTTTTTTTTTTTTGAGACAGGATTTCCCTTTGTTGTCCAGGCTGGAGTGCAGTGGCACAATCCCGGCTCACTGCAACCTCCACCTCCTGGGCTCAAACGATCCTTTTACCTCAGCCTCCCAAGTAACTGAGACTATAGGCATGCACCACCATGCCCAGCTAATTTTTTAAATTTTTTGTAGATACAGGGTCTCATCATGTTGCCTAGGCTGGTCTTGAACTCCTGGGCTCCAGCAATCCTCCTGTGTCGGCCTCCCAAAGTGCTGGGATTACAGGTGTGAGGCACTGTGCCAGCCAAGGCAGTGTCTTTCAGGCTGGCCCTGGGCCCTGTGTTGCCCAAGGCTCACCTGCTCTGGTTTTTTGCCTCTCCCTTAGCAGAGACCGACTTAGCAACACACACACACACACACACACACACACACACACACACTCACAAATAGCATGCCCCATTAAATTTGTTTGTTTTGTTTTGTTTTGTTTTTGAGATGGAGTCTCACTCTGTTGCCCAGGCTGGAGTGCAATGGTGTGATATCGGCTCCCTGCAACCTCTGCCTCCCAGATTCAAGCGATTGTCCTGCCTCAGCCTCCTGAGTAGCTGGGATAACAGGCACCCGCCACCACGCCCAGCTGTTTTTTCACATTTTTAGTAGAGACAAGGTTTCACGTTGGCCAAGCTGGTCTCAAACTCCTGACCTCAAGTGATTCGCTTGCCTCTGCCTCCCAAAGTTCTGGGATTACAGGCATGAGCCACTGTGCCCGGCCTCCCATTAAATTGGTTTTTCAGACAAATCACAAATTTGTTTAGGTATAAGTATATCCCATGTAATCTTTGGGACATACTTATGCTAAAATAATTGTTCCTTGTTGATTGGAAATTTTAATTTTAATTAGGTGTCCTGTATTTTATCTGGTGACACTGCTAGGATCCCATTGCTCAGGGACTTCATCCTTTCAGCAGGAGGATCTTCCTTTCATCTGGGAAGTCTCTCCGCTGCTGCCTTGAGAAAACCCCACATGTCCTTAATGAATTAGATTTGGAGACAAAAGCAAGGAGGCCTTGCTACTGTGGGATTCTCCTCCCAGCCAGTGTTTCCCAGAATCCCTCCTCCAAAGCACCAATGTGCAGAACAGGCCACCAGCTTGACTGAGGGACTGGGAAAGCGAGGAGGGGAGATGAGTTTTTCTACCAAAATAGCATCCAGTGGCTCAGCACAGTGGCTCACGCTTGTAGTCTCAGCACTTTGGGAGGCCAAGGCGGGTGGATCACTCGAGATCAGGAGTTTGAGACCAGCCTGGCCAACATGGTGAAACCCCATCTGTACTAAAAATACAAAAATTAGCCAGGCGTGGTGGCGGGTGCCTGTAGTCCCAGCTACTCGGGAGGCTGAGGCAGGAGAATAGCTTGAACCCAGGAGGCGGAGGATGCAGTGAGGTGAGATCGTACCACTGCACACCAGCCTGGACGATAGAGCCAGACTCTGTTTCAATGAATGAATGAATGAATGAATGAATGAAATAAGCAAGCAAACAAGCGGCCGTCTCTGTATCCTGGCTCCAGCAGAGAGGGCCTCGGGGTGGGCAGGGTAGGAGAGGCAAGGACCCAGCCTCATGTGTGTGCCAGGGACTTGGGGAGGGAAAGGCCTGCCAAGCTCAGCATGCCTCACCCTTAGTGGACAGTTGGGCGGGTGACCAGCAGCAGATGGTGGGAGAAGGTGCTGCCAAGATATCACCCAGCTCCAGCACCTGCCCCTCTTCTCACATGGGTACAGTGAGTCTCACCCCGTGGACTTCGTTTCCCATTCTTTCCATTCTAGAAGTAACTCTAAAGCAGGCAAGAGTATAAATACTTGTATGTTTTAGCTGCTCCCATGTCATAGATGGGCACACTGAGGCCAGGGCACAGTGACCGCACTGGAGCCACACAGCAAGATGCCCATGTCGAGTCCTGCTCCCATGACACTGCTGGTTCTCATTGAAACAAGATGTTGGTTTTTGAGACGTTGCTGGGTAGTCACTCTTCTTTTCAAAGGCTTGGGATCTTTCCTCTTTCTTTATTTATTTCTTTTCTTTTCTTTTCTTTTTTTTCGGGATGGATTCTCGCTCTGTCACCCAGGCTGGAGTCCAGTGTCACGATCTCCATTCACTGCAAACTCTGCCTCCCAGGTTCAAGTGATTCTCCTGCCTCAGCCTCCTGAGTAGCTAGGATTACAGGCGCGCACAATCATGCCAGGATAATTTTTGTATTTTTTATTTAGTAGAGAGGGGGTTTCACCATGTTGGCCAGGCTGGTCTCCAACTCCTGACCTCAGGTGATCCACTCACCTCGGCCTCCCAAAAGGCTAGGATTATAGGCATGAGCCACCACACCCATCCTGTTTCTTTATTTCTTAAATGGAGTTTTAATTGTTTCTTAATTTTAAAAAGATTTTATTTATTTATTCTTAAAGTGACAAGGTCTTACTCTGTCACCCAGGGTGAAGTGCAGTGGTACGATCATAGCTCTCCGTAACCTCAAACTCCTGGGCTCAAGCAATCCTCTTACCTCAGCCTCTCAAGTAGCTGGGACTACAGGTGTGTGCCACCATGCCCAGTTAATTTTTAAATTTTTTGTAGAGATGGGGTCTTGCTGTGTTGCCCAGACTGGTCTTGAATGCCTGGGCTCAGGTGATCCTCCTGCCTTGGCCTCCCAAAGTGCTAGGATTACAGGTGTGAGCCACTTCACCTGGCTTAAATGGAATTTTTATTTCATTATCGCATATGTACAATTCCACATAAATACATACATGGGACTTTTTGGGGTTGAATCCTTCTTTCTTTCTCGATTGACGCCCTCCTCTATTCAATCTTCCGTGTCCCATCCCGTTTAACCCTTGAGAACAATCTTTTATTGATCTTTCCATATTTTTCTCTCTGGTCACATAATCATGTAAATGTGTTTAGCAATTGTGAGTTAAAATTGTCTTACAAAAATGAAATGTCAATTTACATACTCTCCTACAGCTTACTTTTCCTCCCTGGTGGATCTACAACCCCATGGTAACCCCTCCAGACTCAGACATAGTGACTCTAATCTCCACTGGAAATTAACAGCCAGTGAAAATTAGAGTCACTATATTTTAAAATTAGAGTCACTTAAAAAACAAGAGTTTTTTTAAACACTTGTTTAAAAAAATGTTTCTTGACCACACTTGTTCATGTACATATTGTCTGTGGCTGCTTTCCCACTATGATGGCAGAGTTGCTTAGTTAGGACAAAACTTTGACCCTGATGAATTTAACCCCACAGGCAGGTACAGCACTTCCCATGTCTTAGGTCCACTTCACACTCTTTCTTGGTTCTAGAAGTAACTCTAAGGTAGGCAAAGGTGTGTATGTTTTAGATGGTCCTACTTTTTTTCTTTTTTTTTTTTTTTTGAGATGGAGTCTCGCTCTGTCACCCAGGCTGGAGTACAGTGGCACGGTCTTAGATCACTGCAACCTCCACCTCTGAGGTTCAAGTGATTCTCCTGCCTCAAGTCTGGCAAGTAGCTGGGATTACAGGCATGCACCACCACACCCAGCTACTTTTTATATTTTTAGTAGAGATGGGGTTTCGCCACGTTGGCCAGGCTGGACTTAAACTCCTGACCTCAAGTGATCTGACCACCTCAGCCTCCCAAAGTGCTGGGATTACAGGCGTGAGCCACTGCGCCTGGCCAGGATGGTCCTACTTTATAGATCTTGGCATGGGGCGCCGTGGCCTGCCAAGCCTGAAATATTTACTCTCTGGCCCTTTACAAACCTATAGAAAGGTTTGCCTGCCCTGATGATATATTATTTGTGTTGGTCGCACCCTGGCCCCTGGAATGGATAGACTTAGGAATTCACCATTAAGGCCTGAACTGCTGTGCCATGTGCCCCTCCCGCTTCCATCCCCCTCATGTTCTTTTGTCATGGCCGAGGCCATTCCTTCAATCTCAATGGTTCCCATTTTGTCAAGGGCCTACTGTGTCCTTTTTTCTCCCTGTGAGGTAGGCGCTTCTCCTACCCTGCTTTACATAGGAGGAAACGGAGGCCCAGAAAGGCTGAATGACTTGCCTGGGACACGCAGCTGGGAAATAGAAGAGCCAGACCTAGAACTGCCTCATCCCACGTGCATGTGTTTAATCAGTGCTGTCCTTGGCGTGGACAGCAGTCTGCCGTTGGCAGAGGAAGGAGTGGGTGGGGGTGGCTGTAGACATGGCTTTCTGTCCTCTGACTCTGAGCTCAGGCGCCGCCAGCATAGAGCCTCATAGGCCTTGGAGGAACATGTGGGACTCTGACAGCTTCTTCCGCCCTCCTTTCCTCCCTCACAGGCTTTCTATTATGACCTGGACAAGGTGAGTCTGCATACGGTGAGTGAGGTGGGCTGGGCCTGGCTGGATGAGAATGACTGTGCCTCATTGCATCTTCCTGGCTGCCTGATGGGCAGAAAACCTGGGTCTCCTCCCCATTTTAGGAATGGGAAGGCTGAGTCTCTGCGATGAGCCTTCCTCAGGGATGGTGAGGGGCCCCATTCTCTGAGTTAGGACCTGTAGGAGGGTGGCAGGGGCAAGCGGGGCAGGTGGGTGGCCCAGGCAACTTTGCAAACATCTTCCCTTTTTCCGGGAGAAGCAAACGCGCTGTGTGGAAAGGCACATTCGGAAGATGGAGTTTCACATCAGCAAGGTCAGCTGGCTCGTGGATGTTGCAGGGTGGGGTGGGGCAGTGCCAGCTTGCTGGGCCTCAGCTAGGTTAGCAGGAGCTGGGGAGGTGCCCTCGAAACAGGGATCAGGGCCTCTGGGTATGGGGCAGCTGCAGGAGGCTAAGGATGAGCAGGGGCCTCGGGCCAGTTGAAGGACAGCAGGGGCTCAGCCCTGAGGTGGGAGTCAGGGGGCTCAGCCCTGAGGTGGGACTCCCTGAGGACTGTGTGGGCTCTTTCTTCAGTTTATGCAGAAAGACCTCATGCTCAGTCTTAGATGGCTGGGAAGGTTGAGCCCTCCCAGCCCATTGTACAGTTGGAAAAGCAGAGGTCCAGAGATGAACATGGGTTGGCCCAAGGTCGCATAGCAGATCTGTAAGCTTTAGAGTCTGCAAACGGTTTCATGATCTTGCTTTACTCCCCACACTGCCCAGTGGGTGGCAGGTTATCACAAAGTCATCTCCCATTTCATTGTTGAAAAACCAGGCAGAGGAGGTGAAGGGACAGATTCCCTTGTCCCTTTCACTCATTTTTGCTGTGCACACTGTGTGCCAGTCGCTGCCAGGAGCTGGGTATGCAGCAGGTGAGGCAGGGGTGGCAGGAGAGGCAGGAGAGGCAGGTGAGACAGGGTTGGCAGGGGTGGCAGGAGAGGCAGGAGAGGCAGGTGAGACAGGGTTGGCAGGGGTGGCAGGTGAGGCCGGGGTGGCAGGTGAGGCCGGGGTGGCAGGTGAGGCAGGGGTGGCAGGTGAGGCAGGGGTGGCAGGTGAGGCAGGGGTGGCAGGGGAGGCAGGGGAGGCAGGGGTGGCAGGTGAGGCAGGGGTGGCAGGTGAGGCAGGGGTGGCAGGTGAGGCAGGGGTGGTAGGGGTGGCAGGTGAGGCAGTGGTGGCAGGTGAGGCAGGTGAGGCAGATGTGGTCCCTGCCTATGGGGGTTCATGTTCTACTGGGGCCAGGGGTGACTGCTTTGAATGGGACTGGACAGGTAGTGACTGTCACCATGGGCTGGGCTAGCGGGGTGCTTAGCTCAGGGAGGGCCTCTCCCAGAGAGGAGAAGTCGACAGGCAGGTGTGGGGCCGCCCCTCCGCGTGGGCAGCGCCACCAGCCCGTGTGCCCACCACAGGTGGATGAGCTGTACGAGGACTACTGCATCCAGTGCCGCCTGCGCGACGGCGCCTCCAGCATGCAGCGGGCCTTCGCCCGGTGCCCCCCGAGCCGCGCAGCCCGAGAGAGCCTGCAGGAGCTGGGCCGCAGCCTGCACGAGTGCGCCGAGGTGGGCCGGGCCAAGCTGGGCTGGGCAGCAGGGGCAGCAAGAGCTGGGCCGGGCAGTGGGGACATCGAGAGCTGGGCCAGTGGGGGCTGGAGGAGGTGTTCTGGGCCCCAAGGAGGCGTCTCTCTGCCTGTGGCCTCTGTCTGGCTGCAGGGATGGTTAGAGGCCCTCGTGGCCTAGCCCCAGGCAGCCAGCTGAGCCACCTCCGGGGCTTTGCAGGACATGTGGCTCATCGAGGGGGCCCTGGAGGTTCACCTGGGCGAGTTCCACATCAGGATGAAAGGTAACAGGGCTGAGAGGGGGTGGGCGGAGGCCTTTCTGGAGGCCCTGAGACTTCTGCTGAGGGGCACGGGAATTGGCCAGAATCCCAGGGGTCTGAGCCCAGCCCTGGCTTTTGCATCCATGTGACATGTGACTTCTGGCAAGTCCCACCCCTCTCTGAGCCTGGTGTGAGGGCCCAGCACCCTCTGTCCATTTTCCATCATGATGGTGTACCTCCCCCCCATCCTCACCCCACTGAAACTGAAAATCTATACTCGGGGGAACCCCAGAGAGGACCTGTGGTCCCAGGTCAGGGAGAGTGGAAGGCGGAGGGGAGACCGGCCATGTCTGTGTTCCAGGCTTGGTGGGCTACGCACGCCTCTGTCCCGGAGACCACTATGAGGTACGGCCACTCTCTGGGGTCAATCCTCAGGGCTCCCCGCCAGGTCTTTGGGGGACGGGAGCTGCTGGGAACCAGGGTTGCAGCTGGGGCTCTGCCTGGCAGGGAGGGCCCTGGGCGGACAGCAAGGGGACACCCACCTGGGCTGACGCGGCCCCTCTCGGGCTGGTTCACAGGTGCTCATGCGTCTGGGCCGCCAGCGTTGGAAGCTCAAGGGTCGGATCGAGTCAGATGACAGCCAGACCTGGGACGAAGAGGAGAAGGCCTTCATCCCCACGCTGCATGAGAACCTGGACATCAAGGTGGGGATGGGGCCCGGGGGCAGGGCTGGGGTGCCTGGGTGTTCGGCTCAGACACCACCCTCCAGCCCCCACCCCCAGGTGACGGAGTTGCGGGGCCTGGGCTCGCTGGCTGTGGGTGCAGTGACGTGTGACATCGCCGACTTCTTCACGACGCGGCCGCAGGTCATCGTGGTGGACATCACGGAGTTGGGTACCATCAAGCTGCAGCTGGAGGTGCAGTGGAAGTGAGTCCCGTCCAGCCTGGGGAGAGCGGAGGCCTGGCTGGCTGCCCCTGGTGGCCTGGCCACACTCTGGCCCTGGGTTCCTGCACCAGCCTCTGCCAAGGGTGTCCCTGCCCTCACGGGTCCTCATCTGTCCCTCACTCCCACCCCTCAGTCAGGTCGAGGCCTAGAACTTCTCTGTAGCCCCTGCCTGCCTTTCTGGTTTTGCTTCCCTTCTTGCTTCTGAACCCCTGACTATTAAAGCCACAGGGAAGGTTGGGGGGACACTTTCCGGGGCCTCCCGGGCTTGGCTCCTTGGAGGAGGCTCACCTCTCCAGGAAGGCCCTCCTTGCTGCTCCCACCCCCTCATTCCTGGCCGACCCTGGCTGCCCCCTTGGCCTGGGGCTGAGCGGTCACCTGCGTCCCCCTCTCGGCTGCAGACCCATGAAGCCCATGTCCATGAGATCACTCCCTGGACTGCATGCCCATGAGCGTGGAGGGCTCCAGAGCTCTCTGTTCTAAGGAAGCCTTGCATTTCCAGGGTGTTCCTTTCCTCCTCCTCAGCGCAGAGGCAGCAGAAGGGAGGGCTGAGGACACTCCTCTGCTCTGTGCTTGCTCTGGCCAGTCGGGGCTGGTCTCTCTCCTCTCTCCCTAGGGTGGGTGTCCGAGCTGGGGGTCACAAAGCTGCTGCCCTCTCCCTCGTGAGCTGGGTGAATTCTGTTGAGCGACCACCTGCACCCTCGGGGTCCTCACCTGTCTGGTAGGGCTGAGAATACCCCTCGCCCAGGGGCCCCTGAAGTGTACAGGGTGGCGGGCAGCTCAGTGCCATCCAAGCCTAGGACCCAGGGTGCCTGCGGGTCTGCAGACACCCTGGGCAGAGAAGTGGGCACTTGCAGAGCCTCTGAGCTCTAGGCCTTCTGGTCAGGCCAGGCCCAGGTGCCACGAGCCAGGCCTTTGTGCAAATAATTATAAGCAAGTTTCTTCGAGGCAAATGGATCTATGGGGACCTACCTACTCCGAGTGCAAGGCTGGACACAGGCCAGGCTGAGCATCACGGGCCAGGCTGAGCATCACTTGCCTCGGTGCTCCCATGCGCTCGCCTGGATTCCCACCCTTCCCTGTGCATGTTCCACATGGGGGTTCTTCTGTAAGCGCACCCCTTTTACAGACAAGGGGTCTGAACCGAGTGTCCCCTGCTCATCGGCTGAGCTTCTCAAAGGGGCCTCTAACTGGGGGTGTCCAGTTGTTACTGGTGGAGGGTCTTGACAATGAGTTGTCCAAGTCCCTGGCATTTTGAACAAAGACTTGAACAAAATGCAGAAAAGGAGCAGGGGAATGAAACGCAGGAATGAAGCAGCAGGACTTTATTAAAGCAAGAAAGCAGGTTGGGCGCGGTGGCTCACACCTATAATCCCAGCACTTTGAGAGGCGTAGGTGGGCAGATCACCCGAGGTCAGGAGTTCGAGACCAGCCTGGCCAACAAGGCGAAACCCCATCTCTACTAAAAACACAAAAATTAGCCAGGCGTGGTGGCACGGGCCTATAGTTTCAGCTACTTGGGAGGCTGAGGCAGGAGAATCGCTTGAACCGGGGAGGCGGAGGCTGCAGTGAGCCAAGATGGCGCCACCGCACTCCAGCCTGGGTGACAGAGCAAGACAGTCTCAGAGAAAAAGAAAAAAAAAAAAGGCAAGAAAGCACTCCACAGGGTGGGAGTGGGCCCGAGCATGTGGCTCAAGGGCATGGTTTCAAAGTTTCTGGGCTTTAAGTACCCTGTTTGAGGTTCCTATGGGCTGCCCCTTTTCTGGATAAAGGATTTGGTCTGTGGTTAGAGGCTGAGGTGGATGGCGCCCTATGCAGATAGAGGGATGGTCCCTGTTTCGCCAGCGGCCCATCCATACACCCTCCCTTTCCATCTGAGCCATGGTTGGAGGCAGGAGGGCTGTAGGGAGCGTTGCCTTTGATCCTTTACTACTCAGTGTGGGGAGACGGGGTTTTTCCTTTTGGGTTAGCTTTAGGAAGATTGCGTTAATTGGCCTTAGATTCCCTGTCCCTTCAGACCTTGGTGTCTTTCCTTGATTTAGCATGAATTGACCTGAGGTTTCCTGCCTCCAGATCCTGCTCTCCTGCTCACAGTCACTGTCCCTCACCATCTGGCTAAGGGCCCTCAGGGCGGTCAGAGTCTGAGAAAGGTTTCTTTTTTTCTTTTTGAGACAGAGTCTCGCTCTGTCGCCCAGGCTGGAGTGCAATGGCGCAATCTCGGCTCACTGCAACATCTGCCTCCCAGATTTAAGCGATTCCCCAGCCTCAGCCTCTCAAGTAGCTGGGATCACAGGTGCCTGCCACCATGCCCAGCTAATTTTTTTATGTTTTTAGGAGAGATGGGGTTTCGCCATGTTGGCCAGGCTGGTCTCGAACTCCTGACCTCAGGCGATCCACCCACCTTGGCCTCCCAAAGTGCTGGGATTACAGGCATGAGCCACCACGCCCAGCCTTGAGAAAGGTTTCTAAAGGGGTAGAGGTCATGTAACCTGGAGTTCCTAGGCTGCACCTGTGACCATGGGCAAGGCCCTGGACTTGGAGGCCCAAGCCTCCATTTCCTGTTTTATTTTGCTTTTTTTTTTTTTCTTTTTTTTTGAGATAGAGTCTTGCTCTGTTGCCCCAGACTGGAGAGCAGTGGCATGATCTCGGCTCACTGCAGCCTCCACCTCCCAGGCTCAGGTGCTCCTTCCACCTCTGCCTCCTGAGTAGCTGGGACTACAAGTGTCTGTTGGTCACCACATTAGCCCAGCTAATGTATTCATTTTTTGTAGAGACGGGGGTTTTGCCAGGTTATGGAGGCTGGTCTCGAACTCCTGAGCTCAAGTCATCTGCCTGCCTTGGCTTCCCGAAGTGTTGGGATTACAGGTGTGAGCCACAGCACCCAGCCCATTTCCTCTTAAATCCATTAAGTACAGTGATGTCTGAAGAGTAAGCATCACTCTTAGTGATCTTTAAGGCTTTGGGGTCAGAGAAAATCTGTGTGTGAATTCAGTTCCGTCTCGCGTGGTTGGTTGTGACACTGCCCTAAGCAAGTCACTCATCTCTCAGAGCCTTCCTTTCCTCCCCTGTAAATAATTCTCCAGGCCACAGAGGGTTGTCTTGGGGGTGGAAATAAGGATTTGTGTAAAGAGTTTAGTAGAGGCTGGGCTCAGTGGCTCATGGCCTGTAATCCCAGCACTTTGGGAGGCTGAGGCAGGAGGATTGCTTGAGCCCAGAAGTTCGAGACCAGCCTGGGCAACATGGCAAGACGCTGTCTTTACAAAAAATAAAAATAAATTTAAAAATTAGTCCAGCATGGTGGTACATGCCTGTGGTCATAGCTACACAGGAGGCTGAGGCAGGAGGATCGCTTGAACCCAGGAGTTCAAGGATGCAGTGAGCTGTGGTGGCACCACTGCATTCCAACCTGGGCATCACAGCAAGACCCTGTCTCAAAAACAAGCAACAGTTTAGAGCAGAGCTCCTCACACACCATCCATGCTATTGTATTGTAAGATGAAGACCATCTACCTGCATAACCTAAGAGCCCTGTGGGCCGTCTGGGCCTGAAATGGCCTCTGGGTGCCGATGGCATCCTGACCTTCTGTTCTCTCCTCCAGCCCGTTTGATACTGAGAGCTTCCTGGTGTCACCCAGCCCCACGGGCAAGTTTTCTATGGGCAGCAGGAAGGGCTCCTTGTACAACTGGACACCCCCGAGCACCCCCAGCTTCCGGGAGAGATACTACCTGGTGAGTGAGCCTTCCCGGGGCAGGGCCGCTGTGGTCACCCTGGGATGGGGGCAGCACGCAGGAGCTGGGCTGAGCAGTCTGGCCCTCCCAGACATGGCAAGCCTCGGGCTCAGCTTCCGTTTGAGGCGATCCTGGGTGTTTTCCTGTGCACTTTCTTCCTCTGCTGCCAGCCTCCAACCTAGCCTGGGTTCTGGGCTTGGCTGGTTCTTCAGGACATCTGCAGTGGGCTCTCTGGATGGTTCTAGCACCCCAGTCATGGCCTTGGCCTTAATATATACGTTTCTAGTAGTAGTACTTGACAGAGTGCCCAGTAAAACATCTTTCCTGTTGATCTCCATGGATCAGGGTCCCCTCCTTAATACCAACTCCTGTCATCAGTTTCTTCCATATTCTTCCAGAGACAGCAATCCATCTACCAGCAAGTGTATACGCCTTTTTTTTTCTTTGTTTTTTTTTTTTGAGACGGAGTTTCGCTCTTGTCTCCCAGGCTGGAGTGCAGTCACGCAATGTCAGCTCACTGCAACCTCCACCTCCTCCCAGGTTCAAGCGATTCTCCTGCCTCAGCCTCCCGAGTAGCTGGGATTACAGGCACACGCCACCACATCTGGCTAATTTTCGTATTTTTAGTAGAGACGGGGTTTCACCATGTTAGCCAGGCTGGTCTTGAACTCCTGACGTCAGGTGATCCACCCGCCTCGGCCTCCCAAAGTGCTGGGATTACAGGCATGAGCCACCGTGCCCAGCCCTCTCTGGACTTCAATTTCTGTATCAGAGAAGTGAGAATAACAGCACTGCCCTTATGGGATTACTGTGAGAGTTAACTGAGTTAATGAACATCAACCATTATCATTGGTTCAGCTGATGAGAGGTAAGGGTTCGTGTCCGTGTACCCAGATTCACACTGTGGCACTGTACTCACCACCCGTGTGGCCTAAGGACCTCTCCGAGGTTAGGGCAGTGCCACCCCCATGGGGTGTGGTGAGGGTAATGGGAAGGCCCTGGAATAGGGCCGGCAACCTCAGAATACTTAATGACAGCTGCTGCTGTTTCTATGGTGTGTTTGTCAGGCCCTTCATTCATTCATTCACTTCATTCATCCAAAACTAGGCTGGGTGCAGTGGCTCATGCCTGTAATCCCAGTACTTTGAGAGGCCGAGGCGGGTGGATCACCTGAGGTCAGGAGTTTGAGACCAGCCTGGCCAACATGGTGAAACCCCGTCTCTACTAAAAATACAAAAATTAGCCAGGCGTCATGGAGTGCCACTGTAATCCCAGCTACTCAGGAGGCTGAGGCAGGAGAATTGCTTGAGCCCAGGAGATGAAGGTTGTAGTGAGCCAAGATAGTGCCACTGCACTCCAGCCTGGGCAACAGAGCGAGACTATTTCAAAACAAAACAAAACAAAAACCGAAACTATATGCCAGCCTCTGCTCCAGGCCAGGCAAAGACTGTGCCCTCAGGGAGCTGAAATTCTACAGGGGAAACAGATGATATCAAAATCCGAGAAGTGCACAGCCAGCCCCAGGGGCATAAGGACTGTGGGAGACAGCAGGAAGGGAAGGGGCCCACTGGGGCCAGGTAGAAATTGCCACTTAAAAAAGGCTGTCCAGGACAGGGTTCTCAGGAGAGGTGACACCTATGTAAGGTCCTGAGGAGGCGAGGGCACAAGCCATGAAGGCACATGGGGAAGAGTGTTCTGACGAGAGCACAGTCAGTGCAAAGGCCCTGAGGCAGGAACGTGGGGCCCAGCCCACAGGGCATGAGCAATAGCCAGGAGGCTGTTGAGGTTGGGGGGAGTGAGTTGGAGGCGGGATGGGGGATAAGTGCAGAGAGGGGACAGGGTTTTTTCTGCACCTCTGGGATGCTGGTCACCTCGGCAGGCCTCAGTCATCCTGAGAACATGGGCATGCACAGCGGGTGTCTGTCAGGGGAAGCCCCTCTGGGGGACTTGCTGTGGTCCCTGGGGTGGCTGGTGAGGCCGCTCCCGTGTCCCCTCTCCAGTCTGTCCTACAGCAGCCAACACAGCAGGCCTTGCTGCTGGGTGGCCCAAGGGCCACCTCCATCCTCAGCTACCTGTCTGACAGCGACCTCCGGGGTCCCAGCCTAAGAAGCCAGAGTCAGGAGCTGCCTGAGATGGACTCCTTCAGCTCTGAGGACCCCCGAGACACGGAGACCAGCACGTCGGCGTCCACCTCAGATGTGGGCTTCCTGCCCTTGACCTTCGGTCCCCACGCCTCCATTGAAGAGGAGGCTCGGGAGGACCCCCTGCCCCCAGGTCTCCTGCCAGAGATGGCCCACCTCTCTGGAGGCCCGTTTGCAGAGCAGCCTGGCTGGAGGAACTTAGGAGGGGAGAGCCCCAGCCTGCCACAGGGCTCCCTGTTCCACAGCGGCACAGCCTCGAGTAGCCAGAACGGCCACGAGGAAGGGGCAACCGGGGACAGAGAGGACGGGCCTGGCGTGGCCCTCGAGGGGCCTCTGCAGGAGGTCCTGGAGTTGCTGAGGCCCACGGACTCCACCCAGCCCCAGCTCCGGGAGCTGGAGTACCAGGTCCTCGGCTTCCGGGACCGGCTGAAGGTATGGCCACCCCGCCCCGGGCGGTGGCCCTGCTTTGCTGATGGCATGATGACTGGGAGTCGGGGGCTCTGGGGCCACGCAGCCTGGGCCGACATCCTGGCCTCACCTCTGCGTGACCTGGGTGGGCCGTGTCTCTCTGGGCCTTGGTTTCCTCATCTGGCAAGCGGGGATAACAACAGCCCTCATGGGGCTCAGGAAGATTTTAAGAGTTCACAGTAGATAGGCTCATGCACATCCAGCCAGAAACTGGCCCCATCTCGCACCTTCTGACCTGGGTGGGCGGGGCTGTGGCTTGTGGCTACAAACCCAAACTTGGAGTGTTGTCAGGGTCGCAGCTGGCTCCATGGAAGGCCCCACACAGTTCCCTGTTTGCCTCATCCACGCACCCCGCACTGAACCTTCTCCACAGGGCTCATACCCCGGGGCTGTTCTCAGTTCACAGGAGGGCTTAGGTGGCAGGTGGCTTTCAGAGGTGCTGACCTAGGCAAATTATTACATTCTCCTCTCGTGTTTACACAAATTTGAATGTACATCAAAAAAATGTATACCACTAGTACCTACTAATACATCAATTAACTTAAGGGTGTCCTTCCCTGAACACGCTCTTTTATTTTTTATGTATTTATTTTTTGAGATGAAGTCTCGCTCTGTTGCCCAGGCTGGCAACAGAGTTGTAGCGGCGCCATCTCGGCTCACTGCAACCTCCTCCTCCCAGGTTCAAGCATTTCTCCTGCCTCAGCGTCCCGAGTAGCTGGGATTACAGGTGCACACCACCACGCCTGGCTAATTTTTGTATTTTTAGTAGAGATGGGGTTTCGCCATGTTGGCCAGGCTGGTCTCAAACTCCTGACCTCAAGTGATCCGCCTGCCTCAGCCTCCCAAAGTGCCGGGATTACAGGCGTGAGCCACTGCACCTGGCCTGGACACCCTCTTTTAAATGGCAACTCCCACCTGGCCCCGGCAGGCCCATCCCTTCCTGCTCTGTGTTCCCTCGGTCCTTATGCCCTCAGACTGGCTGTGCACTTCTCTGATTTTGCTGTTTTCTGTTTTCCCCTCTTTTGTGTAAGATACACTTTGGCACTGAAATAGTTAACAGCTCTCTTCAAACACATTTTATCGCCAACCACACCTCCAACAGGACAAATCAACATAGGGGAAAAAAAGTTTAATTTCTCATTTTACATCCATAACTTTAAAATATGTTCCGTTTACCACTACTATGGTTGTTAAAAAGGACCTGCCTGAAAATTTCCAGAAAAAAATTTAAGAAATAATGTCAACTTTTTGGTACTTCATGTTTTTCATTTTTCTGGAGACAGGGTCTCACTCTGTTGCCCAGGCTGGAGTTCAGTGGTGCAATCTTGGCTCACTGCAACCTCTGCCTCCTGGGATCACACGATCCTCCCCCCTCAGCCTCCTGACTAGTTGAGGCTACAGGCACACATCACCATGCCTGGCTAATTTTGTTTATTTTTTATAGAGACGAGTTCTCACTTTGTTGCCCAGGCTGGTCTCAAACTCCTGGACTCATGCAATCCTCGTGCCTCAGCCTCCCGAAGCGTTGGGATTACAGGCGTGAGCCATCGTGCCTGTACCTTTTTTGTACTTTTTAACAGCCTTTTTTTGTAGACTAATTTGAGTCGGCATGCACATTTGTCACATACTTGTATTTTGAAAAATTACACCCAATTTACATAAAAATGTTAATGCCGCAATAATGTAATCATTTTAAACGTCTTTAAGGAACTTTTCTTTTTTTGGCAAACGAAGTCAGAACAATGCAAATTGATTACAGACCGTGGTTTTTGGTTTGACTTTCTGGAGAGAAATTACACACACACACATTTATGCAAATCTATGTGTATATGATGGTGGGCGCAGTGGCTCACATCTGTAATCCCAGCACTTTGGGAGGCCAAGGCAGGTGGATTGCTTGAGGCTACGAGTTCAACAGCAGCCTGGCCAACATGGCAAAACCCCGTTTCTACTAAAAAGACAAAAGAATTAGCTGAGCATGGTAGCGTGCACCTGTAGTCCCAGCTACTTGGGAGGCTGAGGCAGGAGAATCACTTGAACCCGGGAGGCGGAGGTTACAGTGAGCCAAGATCGCACCAATGCACTCCAGCCTGGGCAACAGAGCGAGACTCTCTCTCTCAAAAGAAAAAAAAGTGTGTGTGTGAGCGCATACATACACACATACATATACATGATTTATCCTCATTATTTGTGGATTCTGCATTTTGGAATTTACTTACTTGCTAAAATTTATTTCTAACCCCCAAATCAATACTCGAGGCGATTCCAAAGTGGGTTTTGGGGCCGGGCAGAGTGATAGAAAATCTGAGCTGCTCAAAGCACACATTCCCAGCTGAGGTCAAGCGAGGCAATGCTTTGCCTTCCTGTTTCAATGCCCAAATGGTAAACAAGTGTCCTCATGGTCTATTTAATGCCATGTTTTTCAAGTTTTTGTGCTTTTTGTTGACAGTTTCACTGTTTAAATGCCTCCCAAGCCCAGAGCTTCAGTGCCGGCTGGTGTTCCTCAGTCCAGGAAGCCTGTGAAATACCTTACAGAGAAAATGTGTGTTAGATGAGCTTCCTTCAGGCATGAGTTGTAGCGATGCTGGCTGTTGAGTTCAATGTTAATGAATCAAAAATAGCTTTTTTTTTTCCTTTTTTTTTGGAGACGGAGTCTCACTCTGTTGTCCAGGCTGGAGTGCAGTGGCACGATCTCAGCTTACTGCAACCTCCACCTCCTGGGTTCAAGTGATTCTCTTGCCTCAGCCTCCCTAGTACCTGGGGTTACAGGCACGTACCATCATGCCCGGCTAATTTTTGTATTTTTAGTAGAGACAGGGTTTCACTATGTTGGCTAGGCTGGTCTTGAACTCCGGACATCAGGTGATCCACCTGCCTCGGCCTCCCAGAGTGCTGGGATTACAGGTGTGAGCCACCACACCCAGCCAACAATAGCTATTAAATAAGGTGTCTTTAAACCAAAAGACACATACAAAGTTCTGCATTGCTGAGTTGATAAAACTGCTGTGACCAGAGGTTCACAGGAACCTAACCCAGTAACTCCCTTAGGAGCAATGGTTCAGCTTTTGCTGATTCAGTTTTTTTGCTGTGATTTTATAGAACATAACCCCCTCCTTTTTTTTTTTTTTTCTGAGATGGAGTCTTGCTCTGTCGCTCAGGCTGGAGCGCAGTGGTGCAATCTTGGCTCACTGCAACCTCCGCCTCCCCGGGTCAAGCAATTCTCCTGCCTCAGCCTCCTGAGTAGCTGAGGCTACAGGTCTGTGCCACCACACCCGGCTAATTTTTGTATTTTTAGTAGAGATGCAGTTTCATCATGTTGGCCAGGCTGGTCTTGAACTCCTGACCTCAAGTGATCTGCCCGCCTTGGCCTCTAGAACATAACTACCTTGACTATTGAGAATCAGCAGTCTACATGCATGTGTGTATTGATACACACTTACATACACATGTATGCCTATATTTTTGTATTGGAAAATGTGATCTCTGCAACTAGCCTTGTTATTCCCTTCGTCCTCAAGATTTTCTCTTTGGCTCCGCAGTTAGGATCCTGGTTTGGTTTTATGGCTTCTGCTTGGGCTGTGCCTTGGCTGCAGTTTGTGTTGGACACAAGGCCTGGGTGGGGTGTGCTGGGAACGGGGGCAGGAACCAGCCCCAGAGCCAGCCACGAGTTGGGGACAAGACAGAAATCTCCAGGGAGGGAGCTGGCACTGGAGGCTCTGGTGACTTGACCAGTGGCGGGTTGGTGGCCCCAACACTCTCCCTTAATCTGTTGGGGAGAGAAACCCAACAGGGAGGAGGAACCTGGAGCCCACAGGCCTCTGAGCCTCGTGAAGAAGCGTTTGCCTGACCTACACCATGTATTTAAAATACTTTGAAATTTGTTGTTGGTATTTCAAAGCTGGGCAGTTTCCCATAAATATCCATGTTTTAGGGTTTTCTTAGAACTGGGCGATCTATGAGCGTGGCCCCCTCTTAGGGGAGGCACCTGCGCTCCTGCCTCCCTGGTCCCCGCTGGGGCAGCTCACTCACTCCTGCCATTGGCCTTGTCCCCGTGGGTGTCTGAGATACAGGGGAGGGTTTTCAGATCTGTCCCCCTCAAGATTCTGCTCCTACCTTGTCACAGGCCATTCAGGAGGGACTTTGGGGGGTGACACGCCCAGTGCCACGCCTTGGGCCAGCGGCTGGGCTTCTGCTGGGGGACGGTGTGTGGGATTGGGGCTTGGGACCGGGACATTGCCCAAGTCTGCCGTGAGGCCCCTGGCCAGTGTCCCAGTCGGGTGGGTGGGGCCCGGTGTTGCCCTCAGGTCTGGCCACTTCGTCCACAGCCCTGCAGAGCACGGCAGGAGCACACCTCGGCCGAGAGCCTGATGGAGTGCATCCTGGAGAGCTTCGCCTTCCTCAATGCCGACTTCGCCCTGGATGAGCTGTCCCTGTTTGGGGGCTCCCAGGGTCTCCGGTGAGTGCACCTCCTTCCAGCAGTGACCCAGTGGCCACCACTCCCACCGGGTGACCCGAGCTCCACGTTTCCTGCCAGCCTCCCCGTCTGTTTCTCCCACTGTCCTTGGCTCAGCTCTTGTCACTCTATCGTGCACCCTTCCCCATGCCATCCCCGCACATCCCCCACTTGCCTCAGAGCCGGTCCTCAGAGACCACGAAGTGGGTGAGATCACCCCAGCCTGCCCCTGAGCCTTCTGCTCCAAGGAACCAGCTTTTAGTATTATTTTTTAAACCTTAAAAATAATCACCAAGTATATAGTAGAAGTTCTTTGAGGCCAGGCACAGTGGCTCACGCCTGTAATCCCAACACTTTGGGAGGCCGAGGCAGGCGGATTACCTGAGGTCAGGAGTTCAAGACCAGCCTGGCCAACATGATGAAACCCCGTCTCTACTAAAAATACAAAAATTAGCTGGGCATGGTGGCAAGAGCCTGTAATCTCAGCTACTCAGGAGGCTGAGGCAGGAGAATCACTCGGACCCGGGAGGCGGAGGTTGCAGTGAGCCAAGATGGCACCACTACATTTCAGCCTGGGCGAAAGTAAGACTCTGTCTCAAAAAAAGAAAAAGAAAAAGAAAAAAAAAGCTCTTAGCCCCTAACCAAGGTGCAGCAGTATCCAGTGCTGTTCCCTCTGTCCCACCACAGGGCCCACACCTCTCATGACAGCTTCCCTCGAGGCTACGCAGCCTCACCTGCCCCAGCCCCCGAGGGCTTCTGCATCCGCATCTCACCACATGGAAGAGCAGAGGCTCAATTCCTTCTCCTCGCCTCTCACAATCCCACGGACGAGTGCGGTGTTTCGTGCCACACTTGCTTCCACCCTTCCTGAGTGGCTGAGTGGGTCGGGCAGCAGGTCTAGCCTCTACCACAGAGTGGACTTGGTGTGAGGCGCTCTTGCCCACCGTATTTCATGCACCCCTCACGGCCTTGAGTGTGGGGCTCCTGCCTCCCTTGATAGATGAGTCACCTGAGCCTTGGGGAGGCAGACTTGTCCAGCGTCACAGAGCTGGGATGAGTTGGAATTCTCTTCTACCTCCACGAGACATCCTGGAAGACGACTGCCCGCCCTGCCTTCCCCAGGCCCTTGGCCACACCTCCCAGCTCTGTTTCGAGTTGCTGCCACCCTTTGTTCCTTTCCCCTTCCTCTTCAGTTGAACTTCCTGGGACCTGGAGTGGGCCTCCTGACCTGGGGCTCGCTGGGAAGGGAGGGTTCCCCCACCCTCAGAGGGAGCTGAACTGCTAACTGGAATGGTCACCCAGTTCTCAATTCAACTCAGAAAGGACCGGCCCCTGCCCCCACCGTCATCACTGAAAGCGTCATCCAGGGAACTCACAGCCGGTGCCCCAGAGCTGGACGTGCTGCTGATGGTACACCTCCAAGTCTGCAAAGCTCTGCTGCAGGTGGCTGGGCTAGGGGACTTGTCAGGGAGGGGCAGACAGGGGTTTGGAGTCCTCTTTGCAAAGGCTCATCTTGAAGGTGGTGGGAAGCATGAAGGGGTGACAGACCTGCATCCTGGAAGCCCGTGAGACTGAAGCTATTCCCCAGTGGAAGAGAGGCAGACCAGGGTCTGGGTGAATACTCGTGTGGCTCTTACACAGGCCAAGCCCTAAACCAAAGGCTTTGGTGGTGACTCTCATTTATAGGTGCCAGAACCCTAATGCAAACTGGCTCAGCCAACAGGAAAATTTATCGGCTCATGGTACTGAAAGCCTCAGAGGTAGGCTTCAGGCTCGGCTGGATGCACGGGTTCAAATGCTATCAGGACTAGGTCTCTCTCAGTTCTGCTTTGCAATGTGGGTTGGCTTCACTTTCAGGCAGGTTGGTCCTCCTTCTGGGGGCAAAGGTGGTCCCTGGCAGCCCAGCCTGCATCCCATTAGCTCAGCCACCTTGGTGAAAGGGGAATCCCCAAATGACAGTCAGGGAGCTGCCCCCGGGACAGAAGAGATGGGCACAAGCAGGTGGGAGCCACAGCCGTAACAGCTGACCTCGGTGGGCATGTTCCATGCTAATCTGGAGCATCTGGGCTGCTTCCCAGAAACTGGCCTCCCCTAATTTATCAAGGCTGGTCCAGGAATGCCTCCTGGAAGAAGTGGCACAGCAAAAGCACGTTCTGGAGACACTTTCTGTCCTTGACTTTGAGAAGGTCGGCAAGGCAACATCCATTGAAGAGAGTAAGTAGCTGCCTGCCACCCAGGGGCTGCCTATGTGAGCGGCACGGGGACGGGATCAAAGCTCGGGGAGCCTCTTCTGCCTTCCTAATAGCCAGAGTTAATCGGGGCCCAGAGTGGAGGCTGTGGCTGGGCTGGGCTCAGAGATACACACTCTTTGTGGGGAGGTAAGGGAGACAAGTCCTGGAGTTGCAGCACACTCTTCAGTCAGCTGTGTGACTCTAGGCAAATGATTCACATCTCTGAGCCTCTGCTTCCCTATCTGCATAGGAGGAGGGCACTGCACGGGGTTCAGTGAGGTAACCCCAGGCCACATTCAAGGTGCAGAATGTGCCGTCAAACAGTAGCTGTGATCCCAGCTGTGCCTCTGCCCCGTGGGACCTCCCCTCAGAAGGCCAGGTTCCTTGTCTGTAAGGAGAGGCTGGTGACAGCAGCCCCTCCCAGGTTGTTGTGGGGACTGCAGGTGGTGGCCCTGGTAAGATGCTTAGAGCCAAAGTTGCTCACGTGTCACATGGGAATGCAGGGAAGGGACCTCGCATCAAGCCACACCGTCCCCTCCTCCCTACCCCCTCAGGTCCTAGTGGAGGGAAACCTTTCGGGTCCTTGTCATGTGCTCTCCCCGAGTCACCATTCAGGTTTCTGAACTGGGGCTTTCAGTCATCCCACAGGCCTCGCGGACGAAGGGGTGCCTGAAGCTGTGGAGAGGGTGCACAGGGCCTGGCAGGGTCCTGTCCTGCCCTGCCACGACGCTGCTGAACCAGCTCAAGAAAACCTTCCAGCACAGAGTCAGAGGGAAGTACCCAGGACAGCTGGAAATAGGTGGGTTCCCTTCTGTCCTGTCGTCCCCTCCCACAGAAAGGCTGTATTGAGTCTCCAGGGCCTTCAGGGTGGCCACAGCTGGCCTCATTTCAGCCCTGTCTTCACCTCTGTGTCTTCATGCCATCGGACGGAGGAGCTTTCTCAGCTTCAGTGCGAGTCACCGCCCTTTCACCGGGCGAGAAGGGGCCTCCACGTGGGGCCTTCTGAGCAGTCTGTGGAGCCCTGAAGCTGCGTGCAAACTTGGTGGGCCGGTGCATTTTTTTTTTTTTTTTTTTTTGAGATGGAGTCTCACTCTGTCGCCCAGGCTATAGTGCTGTGGCACAATCATGGCTCACTGCAACCTCTACCTCCCGGGTTCAAGCGATTCTTCTGCCTCAGCCTCCCGAGTAGCTGGGATTACAGGTGTGCACCACCACGCTTGGCTAATTTTCTTTTTTTGTATTTTTAGTAGAGACGGGGTTTCGCCATATTGGCCAGGCTGGTCTCGAACTCCTGACCTTGTGATTCGCCCGCCTCGGCCTCCCAAAGTGCTGGGATTACAGGCATGAGCCACTGCGCCCGGCCGCCAGAGCATTTTTCTGGGGACAGATTCCATGCCTCCCACCAGAGCCTGACGGGTAAAGAATGAACCTTATGGGAAGGGAGGCAGGCAGGGGCCCACGAGGGTATCTAGAAATGCTGGCTGGACTGCGTTCTTCCCCAGAATTTGCCTTTCTCTGTGGAGCAAGTGAAAGGTGACAGTCATGTTCCAAGCACCACCTGGACTGCTTGTTGACATGCATATTCCCAGGCCCTGCCTCCGGGATTTTGATCCAGGTGTGGTGTGGGGCCCAGGGCATGGGGATGAACCCAACACGGTCTGACTCAGGGTGAGTTGGAGTCACAGTCCTGACTCTAGCTGGGCACACTCCTCCCCTACAGCACAGGGAATGCAGTGAGGGACACCTGCCCTCGTGCCATCAGAAACCCTTTTTTTTTTTGAGATGGGGTTTCACTCATGGTTGCCCAGACTGGAATGCAGTGGCGCAATCTTGGCTCACTACAACCTCCACCTCCCGGGTTCAAGCGATTCTCCTGCCTCAGCCTCCAGAGTTGCTGGGAAACAGGCAGGCACCACCACACCCAGCTAATTTTGTATTTTTAGTAGAGATGGGGTTTCACCATGTTGGTCAGGCTGGTCTCGAACTCCTGACCTCAGGTGATCTGCCCACCTTGGCCTCCCAAAGTGCTGGGGTTACAGGTGCGAGCCACTGCGCCCGGCCCAGAAAGCCTTTTAGCTGACCAGGCTACTCCCAGCTGAGAAGCGTGGAGGGTCGAGGTCTCAGTTTCTCCTGATGTACTCTCCCCTTTGGCCAGCGTGCCGCAGGCTCCTGGAGCAGGTGGTCAGCTGTGGTGGGCTGCTCCCCGGAGCTGGGCTCCCAGAAGAACAGATCATTACCTGGTTCCAGTTTCACAGCTACCTGCAGAGGCAGAGCGTCTCTGACCTGGAGAAGCACTTCACCCAGCTCACCAAGGAAGGTAAGACTGGGGTGGGTGGCTGTCATAGCAGAGGAATATCCACGGAGCCCTGTCACATGCAGTTTCTCAGGTTATAATTCAGAACCACTACATCCATCCCCGCCAACTGTTCTTTTGGGAACCCCGATTTAATGAGATTCTGCGTTCAGCCGATGGGGGCTGATATTAGCTCCAAGGGAAGTCAGCTTTAAAAAGCACGGAACAGAGGTCAGAGCTGGGTAGGAGGGTGATCTTGGCTGGCCAGAGTCCCTGGAAGTGTGGGCTGTGGTTTTATTAATTTATGGAGCATATTTGACCCCTTGTTAAAAGGCCTTCCTGGAGATTCCAGGAGCTCCCTGTGAAATTAGTCCAGGCTGGGCCTTGGTGATCATCCCGGTGGGTCTGGGATTTGTTCCTCTGTGGCTACTGGCAGCAGCCAAGCAAACTTGCAGCTGTCCTGCCAAACTCCCATTCAGGGGACCTGGGCCCACCTCTTTCCTGTCTTCTAGTGACACTCATCGAGGAGCTTCACTGTGCGGGACAGGCCAAGGTGGTCCGGAAGCTGCAGGGGAAGCGGCTGGGCCAGCTCCAGCCTCTGCCCCAGACCTTAAGAGCCTGGGCGCTGCTCCAGCTGGACGGCACTCCGAGGGTGTGCAGGGCGGCCAGCGCTCGCCTGGCTGGTGCAGTCAGGAACAGAAGCTTCCGGGAAAAGGTACGTTGTCCAGGGCAGGTGGCAGACCCTGGCCACAGATGTGTGGGCATAGGTAAGCTGGTGTTCTCATGGAAAAGTACAAAGAAGTGAGTGCCAGGGGCTGCAGTAGCTGTGAGCTATTTTGATGGAGGGACCTGGGCTACGATCTAACACACATGAATGCACCTTGCTGCTTCCAAAGCAACACATCTGTTAGGCCTCTGAGATGTCACTTGCACGCTGAATGTTTTTCTTAGTGCGTTTTTTGTCTGTCTGTTTAGACAGAGTTCTGCTCTGTTGCCCAGGCTGGAGTCCAGTGCCACGATCTTGCAACCTCCACCTCCTGGGTTCAAGCAATTCTCCTGCCTCAGCCTCCTGAGTAGCTGGGATTACAGGCGCCCACCACCATACCCAGCTAATTTTTGTAATTTTAGTAGATACAGGGTTTCACCATGTTGGCCAGGCTGGTCTCAAACTCCTGACCCTGCGATCCGCCTGCCTTGGCTTCCCAAAGTGCTGGGATTACAGGCGTGAGCCACTGCGCCCAGCCTTTCTTAGTGTTTTGATAGTCATCCTTATTTACTTTCAATTAATATTCATGGCTACCTGGTAATGGGTCACTGTGTTCAGTCCATTTGAAAACCAAGAGAGTGGACCTCTCTGCTTTTTCACTCTTTGCCTGTAACTACTGTACGTTTAAGGCGCCACACCCTGAGGGGTTCAGGAAGGGTGACATCAAGGGCATAGTCTACACTGATGGTCTCAGCTCCAGACTAGAGAGGAAATCTCCAGTTCCATTGCCAATAGCCCTTCTTGGAGCCCATCCGCCTACTTTGTGGTTGTTTTTAACTCTTTATTTGGAGACTTTTGAACTTGCAAAAGTAGACAGAGCAATATAATGAATCCACCTGCACCCATAACCCAAGCCCAACCACCATCAACCCATGGCCAATCCTGCCCCTTTCCCCTCCACTCCCCTGTATCACTTTGAAGCAACCTGAGGCATCCTATTTGACCTTAAATAGTTAACTATATGTGTCAAAAGGTTAAGAATTCTTTCAAAAATCACAACTCTAACACCATTATCTTATCTAAAAAATTAACTATCAATTCCTTTATATCATATATCTTATGTTCAAATTTCCAAGCCTCAAGCATCCTGTTTTATTTTTTGTTAAAATAGTATCTACATAAGGACACACATTGTGATTGGCTGATGGCTTCCAATCAATCTAAAGGTTTTTTTCCCCGTTTCTTTCTCTGCTTGCAATTAATTTGATCGATCCCAGGTTGACCTAGACTATCTAGACTTTGCTGCTTGCAGGAAGTTTAACGGTAGTTTAATGTATTTCTCTGTCTTCTGTAGTTCCTGAAAACTAGTAGTTGGCTTCAAGGATCCACTGAAGTCAGGTGTATTTTGTTTTTTGGGTATGGGGGTATATAAACAAGGCCTCCATGGGAAGCAGAGGCTGCAGGGAGCCGAGATTGTGCTACTGCACCCCAGGCTGGGCAACGAAGTGAGACTCTGTCTCAAAAAAAAAAAAAAAAAGGGCCTTCATCTTCATGTGACAGACTTTAGAGAGTAGGAAACACTGAGGTGGGGGCCAACCCAGTGACAGATTGCTTGGCCTCAGATGAGGGTGCTGAGGAAGGAGTAGGCTGCCATGACCTGGGACCCTGGGGTTAGAGGCAGTGGGCAGTGTGACATTTCCACACCGATGTGGCCTCACAGCCTTCACCAGAGCCCTGTGTAGGAGGAGCGGGAGGACCCGATCCTACTCCCAGTCTGTCTTCCCAAAGCAGCAGACACTTTGGAGAGCCACCTGCAGATGGAAAGGCGGCCATTCTCTTTTGGCTCTGGGCCCAGGTCCCTGGAGCCAACTCTACACCTGGGCCCCTCCATCGCCCCACCCGTGCAGTTGAAGGTGCAGCCACTCGACTGAGTGAGGGCAAACCCACTCCTGGGTTTCCCTTTGCAGCCGCAGACGCTGGACTCCACTGCGGGCCGGGCATAACCCTGTGTGCTTTCTGACAAACCCTACAATAACACATGAAGCAAGTGCCAGCTTTGTTTTCAGCTGAGTCAAGTTAGGCCCAAAGACATGAACTGATGTGGCCATGGTCGTGAGACCGAAGAGGGCAGGGTCACCGCTGGGATTGGACAGGAGGGCTGAGGGGAATAGGCAGGTTTCCCTCTGGCCCAAGGCAGCAGCCTTGCCCGTTTTCAGCTGAAGAGGGCAACGCACATGGGATGATCAGTTCTTCTGTTGTTCTGAGCTGGGCATCTGATTTCTCTGATTCAGCATTTTATAGACAGCAGTTTCAGAATGCACTTCCGGAATATTATTAGACAAAAATAGCTTTCTTCATTGTATTAGCCCTGGCATCTGTTTTTAGGGATAAATTAAACACCACAGTATAGATCTTGTGACTGTGTACACAGGGCCCAAAGATGGACCGATCGTGTCCTGAACGTTGTTTAGAGAAAGATGGGCACAGCGTGCCTTACTGTCGGCACCTGGTGGCTGATGGACCCGGAACCATGGACTCCACTTCTGCTTACCCCTCCATTCACAGCCTCCTTACTCTCCCCAGGCTTTGCTGTTCTACACCAACGCCCTGGCAGAGAACGACGCAAGGCTCCAGCAGGCCGCATGCCTAGCGCTCAAACACCTCAAGGTGAGCCTGACGTTTCCCCATTAGTGGCTGATAGAAAAGCCTGCTTGTGGTTAGGGTTAAGGTTAGTTAACTTCAAAATGATTCCACTGGGGCTGGGCGTGATGGCTCACGCCTGTAATCTCAGCACTTTGGGAGGCCAAGGCAGGCAGATCACCTGAGGTCAGGAGTTTGAAACCAGCCTGGCCAACATGGCGAAACTCCATCTCTACTAATAATACACACACACAAAATTAGCTAGGCGTGGTGGCACATGCCTGTAGTCCCAGCTACTCGGGACTTGAACCCGGGAGGTGGAGGTTGCAGTGAGCCGAGATCGTGCCACTGCACTGCAGCCTGGGTGACAGAGCAAGACTCCATCTTAAAAAAAAAAAAAAAAAAGTTACAAAATACAGAGATAGAAAAGAAAGTTATCCATCATCCTAGAATGTAGCAGAAACAATGGTTGACATTCTGGTATGCTTCTTTTAAAAGTTTGTGGGTGTGTGTGAGCATTTAAAATTGTTGATCCAAACATAGTTTAAAAACAGTCAACAAAATAAGAACATTTTGTGTTAGACTGGCAGCACTTTAGCTTTTTTTTTTTTTTTTTTTTTTTTTTTTTCTTGAGATGGAGTCTTGTTCTGTCACCCAGGCTGGAGTGCAGTGGCGCGATCTCGGCTCACTGCAAGCTCTGCCTTCTGGGTTCACACCATTCTCCTGCCTCAGCCTCCCCAGCAACTGGGACTACAGGCGCCCACCACCACGCCCGGCTAATTTTTTTGTATTTTTAGTAGAGATGGGGTTTTACCTGTGTTAGCCAGGATGGTCTCGATCTCCTGACCTCGTGATCTGCCCGCCTCGGCCTCCCAAAGTGCTGGGATTACAGGCATGAGCCACCGCGCCCGGCCTAGAATTCTTTATTTGTGGTGTTTTTTTTCTTTTTTTTTTTTTTTTTTTCACTTGAGAATTCTTTATGAAGGGGCTATCAAGTGTATACCTTAATTTAACCTACTCAGCTGCTTTCATAGGAAAGTTTACTTCATCCAATTTTTATCATAAATCATGTCTTATGATCATGTTTGTGCATAAAGCTTTAAAAAAACATGGAGTTCTGAATTATTTCCTTAGGCTAGACCCAATTCTAGGACCGGAGAATATGAGCATTTTTGAGACTCTTGATACAACCCACACATAGATCCCATGGATGTGAGGGGATGCCCGCTTTCCCTCAACCTCACCTGCATTTGGAATTGCACAATTGCTAGATGAAAGATAATTCAGTACAGATTGAACTCCCATTCATTCTGGGATGGATCAGCAGGAAATTCTAAGAGGAGAAGCTGGTTAGGATCAGAAAACCAGCGAGGGCCAGGTGCCCAGTAGAGGGCGCTGCAGCGCATGCCGGTCCTTGGCCTGCAGGAGCAGCCAGGGGGCATGTGCCTGAGTTGGGCGAAGTACTGGCACAGGCTGTCCTGGAGAGTAGGGCAAGGAGAGCGTGAGGGAGGCAGGAAGGTCCAGAAAGCAGCAGGTCTCCTTTTCAATTCTAGCCTTTCAGCAGGCATCCAGGATGACGAGTTCTGCTAACAGCCTGGCTCCCTAGCGGGTGTAAGGGCTGAAGAGGCGAGACGCTTCCAGAGTCCAGAGGTGCCTCTCATGAACCTGAGGCCACCTAAAAAACCTGGAAGCCTGGAGAAAAGGAAGGGGCTGAGGCCCCAGAGACCATGCTAGGACTGGCCCTGCAGGGCCACTAAGTGGACTCTACCTGCTGTTGAGAAGGCCCCCTAAAGGGTTCTTTTTCTCCTAATCTCGAACAGGGCATTGAAAGCATCGACCAGACTGCCAGCCTGTGCCAGTCTGACCTGGAGGCCGTGCGGGCGGCAGCCCGGGAAACCACACTGTCGTTCGGTAAAAAGTGGCACAAACTGTGCAGCGCAGCGGGGTGCCTGGGGCCCTTAGAATCTGCGAGAGGCCACACCCAGCTCTCCCAGCAGGCAGAACAACTCTGGGGCACCTGGGATGGGCACCGTTAGCAGCCCTGGCACAGAGCCGACCTCCACCCTTTGTAGCATCCTGCCAAGGCAGGCCTCCTCCATGGCTGGGGTGGCAGGGAGTGTTCGCTGTCTTCTTAGACCTTTGGGATAGAAGCCAGAGGCAAGGCAGGGTTCCCATTCAGCGGAACATCCTAGAGGTAAAGACAAGGCCCCCAGGCCATGTGAGTCACCAGGTGGGGGCTCCCGCACATACTCCCTCCCCTGCCGCTTTGCAGAGACCACTGAGACCCACAGTCACTAAGCACTAGGGCCACCCTGGCCCAGGAGAGTTGGAAGTGCCAAGGCAGGATCCAACCCGCTGACAGGTCCCTTTGCTATTTCAGGTGAAAAAGGACGGTTAGCTTTTGAGAAGATGGACAAGCTCTGCTCAGAACAAAGAGAAGTCTTTTGCCAGGAGGCAGATGTTGAAATCACAATATTTTAAAAAATCCTGGCTGATGAGCACAAATCTCACATCGTTTTTTTTGCTGCTGCCCAGCCTGGACATAGCCTGCACTCTGGGTAATGGTGCTGTGCACTCCTCCAGGAGTGTGAGCTGCCCAGAGCTCTACCTGAGACTCCGGCCATTGACCCAGCCCCAGGGCATGGGCTGGTCTTTTGTACAGAGGCAGAAAAAAGCAAGGCAAAGGTACAGCATTCCAGGGGCTGCACGGCCTCAACAGAGCGCTCAACTTCTGGCTGAGGGTCTGTGTGACCTTCCCCGAGATGCAGAGCTGAGCCAAACTAGGTGGCCACCTACAAAAGGGCCAAGGCCAGGCAAGTTGAGGCCCTAAATAAAAGGCTCCAAGGCAAGTGTGTAGAACTCCAGGCCTCGCTGCCGGTCAGCTGCTCGGCACTTCTGCGTCAAGAGGCACTGGGGATGCAGCAGGCTGGCAGGTGGCTGGCCCTGCTAATGCAAGACTGCTCAGGCCATTTCAGCAGCAGCCAGGTGTCACCTTGGTGAGCTGGGGAAGGTGGGAAGGCACAAAGCCAGGGTTTCTACAACCACACTCTCAGCCCGACTGACTTGCTGCGAGTGCTGGTGGAGCTCACAGACGGCGGCTGGTGGATGGTGGACTGTGAACCTCACTTTCCCTATGTTCAGCAGCACAAAGGGAAGAAGCCACCACATCAGCCCAGGAGCCCTGAGCAGCACAGGCAGTAGGGCCACTCACTTTGGCCATCCGCACCCAAATGCAATCAATCAACCCAGCTTCGGAAGCTACCCTAGGATCTCGTCAATAAACTGCTAAGAAGCCATCAACTGGCCTAAAGAAAGAGTTCACTGAAGAACGCAATTGCTTTAAAGAAAGAAAAATTAGTTTCCTATTTAAGTCTTAAAAAAAAGCAAACCATGTCCTGAGATGTCTGTGTTAATAGTGCAGAGAGAACCTAGGGTTTGAGGTTGCTGTAGCAATGGCATTGGAGAACTTTAACTTGAACATTCTCATCGATACTTCCTGGACATATTTTGTGTTTTTAACTTACTTAGTATTTATTTGCCTTGTTCATATGTTCAATTTTCTGAAATTTCAATTAAACTATTGGTGTTTCACTTTTTACCCAAAAGAGTAGACAGCAGTTGTTTCCCCAAATACCTGCCAGTGAGGAGGTCACTCCTGTGGTCTTGTGGTGCGCTGTGGGGACACTTGGAGGGTGGCCTCAGGCAGCAGCTCCGGTAAATGCAGTCTCCAGGCTTCTCTGCATGCTCTCGAAGGCTCCAGGCGTGCTCTCCCCTATATGGGCACTCTGTGGCACGGCCTTTGCCCTTTTGTCCCATCTGATTTCTGGCAAACCCTCTCTTTTTAAGCATCAGCAGTACCAGCCTAGAGCAGGGGTCCTCAACCCCCAGGCCACAGACCGGTACTGGTCTGAGGCCTGTTAGGAACTGGACTGCATGGCAGGAGGTGAGTGGCGAGCGACTGAGCATGACCACCTGAGCTCCATCTCCTGTTAGATCAGCTGCAGCATCAGGTTCTCTTAGGAGCGTGAACCCTATTGTGAACTGAATGTGTGCAAGAGATCAGGTTGCAAGCTCCTTATGAGAATCTGATGCCTGATGATCTGAGGTGGAAGTTTCTATCCCAAAACCATCCCTCACCACCCCCAGGCCTGTGAAAAAATTGTCTTCCATGGAACCGGTTCCTGGTGCCAGAAAAGGTTGGGGACCGCTGCCCTAGAGCATCCTCCCTCTTCTTGAAAGCTTAGATGCCCTTTTTTATACCTGAAATGGTGGAAGCCACACTGACTTCTGCAGCCCCAGGCCCCTGTGGGTCCACATGACCACAGCCTGTCCTCTTCCCAGTCTCATGAGCCTGGGCCTGCAGCCAGCTTTGAAACAGTCGAGGAAACTTCGAGGGTACTGGGGAACTCTTCGTACTATTTTGGCAACATTTTGCAAGTCCAAAATTACTTCAAAAAGTCAAAAAAATCACTTTGGGGGGAATTTACATTGTTTAATTTTGTACACAAATGAAAAACTATACTAATCTGTCTTATTTCTAAGTCAATTCTATATCAAGTGGACTTTACGTACTGAGATGTGGTAACCATTGTGTCTTACAGGTAATTGGGTAAGGGATATGGTTTTGAGATTACAACTCAAAACACTGTTCTTCAAACAACACTGGTAAGTTTGTTAAGTTATCTGAGGGCCCTACACAGGCAAAGCGTCAATTTGGGAAGGAAATGGGCTGAGGCCTAAGGTGTTCAACAAGCTCACAGTCAAGGAAAGCGCTCCAGCCTGAGGGTGCTGGCAATGCAGGGATGCTGAGGTTAATTCTTAGAAGTGGAAAACTCTAACCCCAGCTGATTGACAACATCTGTTTCACATCAGCAGGGATAGAAAGAAACAGGAGTTACTCATCCTGGTTTAGCTCTATTAAGCAAAGAAAAAAATGGGAAGCACCCCAAATTCATGTTCTTTAGAAAAAAATTTTATTGTTGCAGCTAAAATGCAAACCCATCATGAATATGGCAAGTTGGAAAACTGTACAGTCTGACAGTTCTGTGAGGTCACAGAAGACCCTGAGACACTCCCCCCCACCCACCCGGTCATGCAGCCACGTATCCACACACACCTGAAAAGGTATTATACCAAAACACCTTGCTTTTTTTGTTTTTATTTTTGTAAAAATGGTTTATTCCATGGCCATTGTAAAAAATAATGACCTGATGAGTAAATATTGGCTTAAGGCATATAGCAGAGCAGCTCGCTACCTCTCTAACATAATGTGTAACAAGGTGGAGAGCCAGCTGCTCTCCAAGGATAGGAGGTTAAACCAGTACG
Organism: Homo sapiens; assembly: GCF_000001405.40. Classification (NCBI taxonomy): domain Eukaryota; kingdom Metazoa; phylum Chordata; class Mammalia; order Primates; family Hominidae; genus Homo; species Homo sapiens. The sequence continues at coordinate 50,584,387 of NC_000020.11, read as the reverse complement.
TCCATTTTGAAATGCTACTATATATACACACCCAAACTACTACATACATATACAGGACTTAAAAACAACAAGCCCAGCTCAGAATGCTTACAGCCTGGCACCTAAGCCTTATCCACACCTCACCATAGCTCTGCAGGGTGACACCTCGAATGTTCCCACCACAGAATTTCTCTGTACTGGCTTCTACCACGAGAAAGGCAAAATGTGAAAATGCTGGCAAGAGAGTAGCTCGGGAGCTACAGCTGCCGTGTTTTTCATGTTAAAAAGCCACTTAATGTGGAGGTCTTCAGTTCCCTTTGCAGGAAGAGTCGTGAGCACCATCAGGCCCCACAGGGTTTGAGGGTGGGGCAGACGCGCCTCTCTCGGCAAGGTGAACCGGGACAGAGACGGCGGCAGGCTGCCTAAAGGACCGTCACCCAGGCTGTTTCAAGAAGTGTGGTTTCCAGCAGGTGCCTCTCTTCCAAATCACGGTCTGCTCAAGAAGAGTGTTGACTTGGAATGGCGGAGGCTGATCCCAAAGGTGGGGGGCGGGGGGTGTCCCTGCTTCCCTAAATCATGTCCAGAGCGTGAGGTGTGAATATGGCTTCCCATACCCTTGGAATGTCTGAGTTACAGCAAGACCCTGCTGTACCAGGACAGGCTGGGCCTCACCAGGAAGTCACTAGAGTGTCATGCCAGGAATTAGGCAAATGCCTATTCCTGGAAAACTGCACCCTATTGCTGAGCGACAATGACTTCAGCAACAGGCTTAGGAACCACAGCCATGTAATGATCAGGTCATGCACAGGCAGGTTGGACTTGGACATGGGGCACATTAGTAAGCAGAGATCAAAGTTTCTCATTTCAAGCACATATTTTTCATCAGGACACAAGAAGACCTTACATGCATTCTAATACACACGGGGGAGCAGTGATTGAGAACTAGATCTAGCAGATAACAGGGAGGAGAATAAGCGGGACAAAGTAATCTCACATCATGTTTCTTATTAAATACCCACGTGTTCATTATATATTATAGCATTGTTCTATCTTCTCACGTTACCCACAATATCACTAAATAACAACTGCTTACAACCGTCCTCCTTCCCAGTACTGGTCTGACGCAGCAGGCCCATGGCAAAGCCTTCCATTCCCAGTACTACCTGAGGATTTATTATTGTACTTTTTGATAAAGCCCTTGATGCAAGGCTGACATCAAAAAATTTTAATACATTATTGGTTCAAGAAAATGCTAGTGCACTATGGATGCCTTTGGGGAAAAAATTGTTTAAATAAATATGGAGTGGAGAGTTGCTCCCTGCAGATTCAAGGGGGGGGCTGTTGGCGTGCCGCCCGCCTGGGATGCTCCAGGAGGGAGCCCTGGGTGGGGCGAGCCCCAAGACGGGTGTAGGCCCCTTCCCTCTGCGCCGCCAGCATGGTACTCTCTTTCACTCTCCTCAAAAAATGGCTTGTGGATTTGGTACTCAAAGTGGAAGGGGCAAAAAGTAAAAGGATGAGGGGTGAGACACACATCCGGGGAAGATGGGTTTTAGTGCAGAACCAACGTCCGTCCGGGGCCCGGCTCTCTACGCGGTCCGGCGGCCCTTACCTACCGCGGCATGCCTGCTAGTCGGGCGTGGGCTCTGCGGGCAGAGGCGGACAGTGGGTGGAGGTGGAGTGGAGGAGGGTCAGGCTATGTGTTGCTGTTGAACAGGAACTGGAATGAAACCAAACAGTTCAGATGAGCCCAGACCCGCACCTGCAGAGCTGTCGCCTCATGCATGACCCCGGCCACACCCCCCGGCAACTTCAACCTCCGAGGGAGCAAAGGGGGTTTTGGTTTTATTTTTTACAGTAGCCCCCTCTCCCCAAAAATCATCCCCAAGGAAAAAATTGTTTGCATTTTGCAAAACCATCTGATGTACTCAGATGCCACCTGGAAAGAGGTAAAATATTTAAAACCACGAAAAAGTCTTAGGAGGTCATTTCCATGGCCAGAGCTCTGAGGCTAGTCCTCTCTCTTCCCCTTACTTAACAGCAACACACGTCTAACGTGTGAATTTCTGCTGAAATGGCACTTCTCCCAATGAGGTGGAGCCCACTTCTCTGAATTAACAGCGGGTTGACATGCCAATGGCCACCCTGTGGTGACCTCTGACCCCCAGGCAGAGGCCTCGAGGACACCCATTTATGGGGATGGGGTGATGAGGGCTGGTACATGAGCAAGATGGCTGTCACAGGAGGGAGCAATGGAGAAAGGACAATGGAAACCCAGCGGGGACACCCTGAGCAGAAGCAGAGGCAGGTTCTGTTTTTCTAGACGGCCTTTTGTTGCTGTTCTTCTTATAGTGGGAAAGCTCAAAGACCCTGTCCTGGCTCAGTGTGCACACAGCTGAGGGGGGCTTGAGCGCAACAGCGTCCTAACCCTCTTCTCCAAGGGAGTTTACATTCGTAAAAGTTTGGGATTCCTTCCCTGGGAAATCAAATATAAATTATATGGCTGATTACATCACCTAAGGGTATGAGAAAGTTTCATAAGTGCCTACTTTGTTTTTTTTTGTTCCAGAAATAACAAAAAGCTGCTTTTTATAAAGGTTAAAAACAACAATGTGTTGTAACTCTATTTTTTTCCAAAAACAAAGGAATAAAAAAAAAAAGAGAGAGAGAAACAGACGTATTTGGCATTTTCTCTACTTACTCCTGAATAGGTTAAGGCCCTGAGATTAGACTCTTATATTCTTGGGACCAGAGGGCTCCTTAAAACCCCAGTGCATCGATCCTTAATTCTCTTGTTAGCCCTTCCACAGTTCCAGACTTTAAAAACCTTTGATCTGTTTCTTCTGAGACTGGCTCAGATGCACCACAGAACTGAATCCTACCATCGGGCTAGCGGCCAGTGCTCTCTGCACACGAGCATCTCGCCAGCGCGTCTGTCAGTGGAAACATACCCTGTAGCAGAGGTAAGCGCCGGCCGTGAGGACCGTAGCCACGCACATGTTGACCAGGAAGGGCTTCCAGTAACTCAGTGCATGGTCCTCGTCCTTCTCGGGCAGTGACGGCTCCCCTTTGGCTGGGGAGGCAGCCTGGGCACCTCGAAGACTTCCCCCCACGACCCGACTTCTAACTTCAGTGTCTTGACTCATGCTGAGGAATCAGAGGGCAGAGATGGGTTACTCACTTTGGAGAAAATGAATGGCAAGGATGCTGCTATTGTGGCAGGAATTCTAGGAAAAAACAAGCCACGTGTAGACAGAGTTGGATGATGTTAACCTTCCAGCGAGCCAGCCCCCTCTGCTTGGAGGGAGGGCCAGGCCAGGGCCCACATCAGCCTGAAGTCCACTTGTCACCCCCTCCCCCAGGTACTTCAGATAGCACCCACACCCAGGGTAGGGTTCACAAGGTGCCTGGGCGACTGGTCACTGTGAGGATTTATCTGGCTGGAGGACTCACTGGTGTACACACTACTGTATGATTTGCCTTCTCATGTACTGCAATTGCAATGTCTGGCCACATCAGTACACCCAGATCTCATTCTTTAAGAGCTACAGAATATCCCAACACCGGGAGAGAACATAATTGATCAGGTCCCTGGTTATATCATTGGCCTGTCTCTAATTTTTCACTACTACAAACAATGCCACAACAAACACAACTACCTATACACATCTTTACACGCTTGTTTTGAGAGTTGCTGCAAAGTAAATTTCTCCATGTATACAACTGCTGGGTCAAGTATGCACACGTCTTAAAACTTCCCTCCAGAAAGCAGGTACCAAGGGCACAGCCGGCAGTCATCTCCAGCTGGAACTAACACCTGCTCATTCTGCAAACTTTCCGTGCACGGCCACCTACTGCAAGCAGCCTTCCCTGACCACCTCAGCGGACACCTCTATCACATCACTGTCCATGGGCCCCCACCAAAATATGCTTTGGGTCTGCCTTTTTCCCAGCAAGATGGTCTAGAACACAGACCAGGGGACATGTTCTAGTTAACTCAGTACACCACACATATCAATAGGTACTCAATAATGGTTGTTAACCTGCAAGGAAGTAAAATGGGATTTAATCAAGACCACATAAAAAAGGTTACATTCCCCAAAGGACCACTGTGGGGACTGAGGGCACTCAAGCCTGGACATCACATTTCAGGACTGTCCGGAAACCTGGGGGAGGGCGCTGTCGTCAGGGGGGGCAGAAAAACCCTACTCGGTGGCTCCGAGCCCCTCATTCCAACAAGCACCACAAGGTGGCACTAGAAGCCCACAGAAGTGGCTCATGTCCTGCGGCCACCCTGTGCCCAATACCGGACCTCCAGCAGCCAGGAGTGGAGTGGCTGTGGTCCACGCGCCCTGTTCCCCAAGGATGCGGAAGCGCTGCTTGCCAACAGGAGGCTGCATCCACAGGGTTTCAGTACCAGCGTGTGTTTCTAGAACAGAAAGTCATTTCCCCTCACCCCAACAAGCTGGGACCCAATCATATTACCTTTCGATGCCGTAGGGTGCGGCATTTAAGGGGCTTCCTTTTTCTTCCTTGATGGGGCAGTCTTTATCCTCCTGGGTCTCTTCCTTCACCCACTGGTGATTTGGGAAGAACTCCCTGCATTTCCCATTGTGTGGCTCCAGGATTCGTTTGGGTGGCCGGGGAGGTGGGGGGATATGCTCGGGTGGGGGCTCCAGGTCCTCGTGGGAAAGCTCCTTCCACTGATCCTTGAAAGAGCAGCAAGAGGAAGTCCTATTAGTGTTCACTTCGGCTGGTTTGTCAGGAAATCCCTTTGCATGAGCAGAGGTGACGGCTTGGCGAGGGGCTCTCGGCCTCTCAGGGCTGCAGCCATGTACTTGGAAGATGAAATCTTTTGAAAATAAAGTCTCGTCTTCCTATCAATGCTCTCTATGTGAGCACTTCAAAGGCACAAAGTGCAACATGGTGAACATTTTGACAACTTTCTAGCTATTTTAAACATGAAGGGTAGCTATTTCCCCTGACACCAGACGGTGTTTGAACTTTTACAACTGACAGCCTCCTTCAAAGACAAAAAAGTTAAAATGGTCACACCTGGATTCAAACAAAGGCAATGCTGACCTGCACGGAAGAGTCCCCCATGATGAATTTGGCACCTTCGATCACAGCCAGGTAGGAGAAGCGCAGCTGGTCGGCTGTCTGGATCAGCCCCATCCGAAACTTCCTCATTTCTAACAGCACTTTCTTGATATCAACGGAAGAAGGGTCTTTCCTCTTGTCCATCTGAAAGCCAGAGAGGAGATATAAGTCAGCCAGGTCCAATTCTCAAGGGCAACGTTAATAACACCGTTAGATGTCTGTCCCCTCCCAATCTCATGCTGAAATGTGATCCCTAGTGTTGGAGGTGGGGCTGGGTGGGAGGTGTCTGGGTCAGGGGGACAGGTCCCTCATGAAAGGCTTGGTGCCCTCCCTGAGGCAATGCATTCACAAGAGAGCTGGTTAAGAGTCTGGGACCTCCCCCATCTCTTGCTCCTGCTCCCCTTCACCTTCCACCATGACTGGAAGCTCCCTGAGGCCTCCCCAGGAGCCGAGCAGATGCTGGTGCCATGCTTGTACAGCCTGCAGAACCGGGAGCCAGTTAAACCTCTTTTCTTTACAAATTACCGAGTCTCAGGTACGCCTTTATTAGTAACGCAAAAACAGACTAACACAGTGAGTCTCTGTATTTTGGAAGAGGAGCGCTTCAGTTTCTACTTAGGAAAAAACATCACAGCAGAGCAGGTAGAGGAGCTCCCCAGGGCACCCGCGAGGGCCTCCTTACCAGCAAGAGGCAGGTATCAGCCAGACAGAAGGTTCCAGACCTGCCGATGCCTGCACTGCAGTGCACCACAACGGGCCCGTGCTCCGGGCTGAGTGACCCTGACTCTCGGACTTTGAAAAGAAAGTTCAAGAATGAGGCTGGTGATTCAGGGACTCCAAAGTCAGGCCATGTGGTATAGTGGAAATGTAAGATCTCTCGAGTTTCTTGGGTCTGAAAGAGAAAAATACTCATGATGATTCTAAAAGAATCATCTGTACAGAAATCACTAATTCCAAGTACACACAGAGTCACCTTCCACTCTCTACCTCTAAGAGGAACATTCATTCTCAGACTTTCTCCCAGGGTCCACACACCCAGTCAACAAATACCACACCCTGGGGCCAGGCCCTGGGCTTGACACTGAACCTGCAGGGTGCGCCTGCTTAGACTTCATTTCCCTTCGGATTGAAGAGTCCCCTCACCTCTTTTCTCCCTATCACTTCCACTGTCTACATGGTTACAACTGGTTTCTCTCTGTCTCACGAGTCACAATGATGCTGGGCAGCCACCCATAAAATCTTGTCATAAAGCCCTGCAAGGCCTCCCGTGAAAAAGTGAACAAGGAACAGCAGGTGAGGCACTGGCTCTGGGCAACTTTCAGACGGGGGCTTCAAGATGATCTGGAGGTTTCAGAGGATTGTCACTTTAGAGAAAAAAGTAGCAGACTTGGTCTCCAAAGACTGGTGACTCCAAGGTGTGGCTCAACACCCAGCTGAAGAGGCAGTCAATGCGAACGGCATCAGCCCATGAACCGAGTGTGTCCTACGTGCTGGCGCTGCGCTCTCCCACCAGCTGCTCCAGGCAGGCACTCCCATCCATTTTCCGATGAGGAGGTGGATGTTTGGAGGCAGAGAGTCCATGCTGAGAGCCTGCTGCAGACACGTTTGAAAGGTGGACCCCAGCCCTTGTCCCAGAATGTCTCTTCCGTGGCTGGGTCTGCCCCAGAGGAACAGAAGCAATGGCCTGGCGTCTGTTTCCAGCTCTGCTCCTTCCTTGAGGCTTCTGGCGGCTGTGATCAAAAGGCAGCCCTCACTGGGGGGAGTACGCAACATCTTCAATGACCTAAGAGCTCCTAGTAAATGGGAACCAGTCACTTGGTAAGCAAGGCCCTGAGAGGGAAAGGGCTCTGGAAGTGAAAGTCTCCTAACATGGGCCCGGGAAGACAGCCACAGACAGGAACCATACCAGCCTGGAGAGTTTCCCTGTGGCCCAGTGCCAGGGCCACCTGGCGAGCAGCTGATGGCAGAAGGATTCAGGCCAGAGATCTGCTCATGATGCCTTCCTTCACTTGACGAATGTCCACACTATGCCAATCATGTGCCAGTCACTGTGCCAGGGAGGCGGGGGCAAAGACACCACCTCACCCTCACAGAGCTCATGGCATAGTTACTAGGACCTCCCCCAACTCTGCTGGGATGAAAATAATACATATTTAACCCTGCCTCAGCCATTAAATACACTAGTAAATAATATTTAATGTTCATTAAATATTAAATACAGTATCTTGGCACAGAACAAGGAGAAATTTGTGTATGTTAGGATAATTGCTAGACTCACACTAGGCAATTCCATCATTCTTTCCTCTCTAGAAAATGGTATCCATATAACCTTAATGACATTAAAGAAGAAGAAATACCTCTTCTATTTGGTGGGTGGAGGCAGGTGGGGAAGAAAAGGACTTAAAATGTATTTTTAAAAAATTATTATTATTATTTTGAGACAGAGTCTTGCTCTGCCGCCCAGGCTGGAATGCAGTGGCATGATCTCGGCTCAATGCAACCTCCGCCTCCTGGGTTCAAGCAATTCTCTGCCTCAGCCTCCCGAGTAGCTGGGATTACAGGTGCCCGCCACCACGCCCGGCTAATTTTTTTTTTTTTTGTATTTTTAGTAGAGATGGGGTTTCACCATCTTGGCCAGGCTGGTCTTGAACCCCTGGCCTCGTGAACCACCCACCTCAGCCCCTCAAAGTGCTGGGATTACAGGTGTTAGCCACCGTGCCCGGCCGTTAAAATGTATTTTAAAATTGAATAAGAAGCAAGCATGCCAAATGCAAGTTTTCCTTTAATCCTTGAAGGTGTGGGTTACCGCCCACTGACACCCTCCCTCACACCTGCTCACCTCTTTCACAAGGAACTCATTCCAGCCTTGTGCTAGAACAGACAGCTATGGCTGAGAAAAGCCTTTTAAAAACAAAGTCTGTTGGAGCAAACAGATCCTAACATCAAAACCTCTGAGCTGGCTGTATTCACTCTGCCAAGCAAAAAGCGCACAGCTCTTCTGCTCTGTTGAAATTCAGTTTCCCTCAACAAGCAAATAGTTTCCCAGAAGTCACTCTTAATGTCAGGCTTGCAAATGCTAAAAAGCATTCTTTTAAAAGGCTACTGCATAAATCCTCTAGCACATTCCAACACACTGCCCATGTTACTCCTGAGAATCTTCCAGAAAGCACCTCCATCCACCGTACTCAGAACCCTCTGCCCCATCAGGGCTATGGCAGGGCTGGTGACTCCGGCGCGGTCACCACCAGAGGGCAGAAAGCACTCACATCAGCTGCACTGCTACCATCCTCAAGAGCCAGGCAGCCCGAACCCCTTGCCTACGTCCTGGTAACCTGTGCTACATTCTAGATCTTACTTCTACTATTTTTTTTATTTATTTATTTTTGAGACAGGGTCTTGCTCTGTCACCCAGGCTAGAGTGCAGTGGTGCAAGCATAGCTCACTGCAGCCTTGAACTCCCGGGCACAAGCAATCCTCCTGCCTCAGCCTCCTGAGTAGCTGGACTATAGGGGAGCACCACGATGTCTGACTAACTGTTTTTGTTTTTTTGTAGAGACGGGGGTCTCACTATGTTGCCCAAGCTGGTCTTGAACTCCTGGCCTCGAGTGATCCTCCTGGCCTCAGCCTCCCCAAGTGCTGGGATTAAAGACGTGAGCCACCGCACCTGGCTTACATCAACTATGAAATGAATGGCAGGAGCCATGATGATTAAAAAGTAGTACTTGAGAAGGGGAGGCATGGGGTAACCCAGAAGCAGATCCCTCCCCACCCACACAGCCCTGGAGCCCCACTCCACATGGTCTCCCTACGGCTCCACCTTCCCTTCAGATAAAGCCCGTGCTACACACCCATGGTAACTGCTAACCCTTCCCGTATAGGACCTCCCAGAACCCTCGCAAAACCTGAGTTTGACAGAAGAGGAAACGGAGACACTGTGATGAGCTAGTAAGGTGGGGCCAGGATTCGACCCCAGTTAGGTTCTAGAGGTTGGTGGCTGGCCACTCTTCACTGGTGCCCCCAGGTGCTGCCGCGCACTCCCTCCACTGTTCCCCAGAATGACATGAACACCCCCAAGTTACGGATCCAGGGGAATTATTCCAAAGCCCCAGGAGCAGCGCGTTCAGCGGCAGTGCTGCTTGCCACAATGCCTTGCCATGTTCCAAGACCAACTTTTACCAAGCAAGTAGCTGGTGTTATAAACTCTTCCCACAACAAAAAAACCCAAGACCTGGCCCAGAAAACTTTCACTAGCTATGAAACTGGAGTGAGCCCCTATACCCCTTCTTCCCTCTCTTCAGACTCGAAGACTGAGGACCACAAAGAAGGCAGCATGCTTCACTGGGACTTGCAGGCTGCCGCTCCAGTCCCTCTGCAGCTGCACAAGCAGGAACCAGTCTTTTGGGTAAGAAACTCTCCTTTCCCTAAGAACTGGTGTTAACTGTTGTTAAAGGTCAGAGAGAGCACTGTGGCCTCCACCCTCCCTGGGCACTTGGTAGGTACACAAGTAAGCTCCGCTCACCACAGTGCCCAAACCACATCTTGCTCGGGGTATACAAAAGCCAGGAACACTGACATTAGGTAATATCACCCAAGGGATAAAGGAAGAGGCATGTGAACCAGTAGCCGCCTGAAGTGCTGAAGTGTGTGCTATACTCACTGTAAGGTTTTCCAATTCTAGCTGTCGCACTGTATAATATGACTTGATATCTTCAGAGATCAATGTTAATTTCAAATTTGTGTCTTCAAAGATCATCTCTTTTTCTTCTTTTTGTGGCCAGTATTGTGCGCATTTTAACTGGGGAAACAAATAATAGTGAATTATTGTGAGCAATATGGCAGTTTTTCTATGGCAGGAGGCTTGGAGCACATCCCACAAGCTTCATGATAACTCAAAGGCCTGGGGGTTTCTGAACATGGAAGCCATGGTCAGCACAGATGCCTGCCTCATGGGGAGATGGGGGTGGGGGCACGAAGCTGCTGACCGGGGCAGGTTGTGCAGACAGGGCTCAGACTTCCAAACCCATCGGCTCCCCGGTCAAACGTGGCAACGGGATCCTGCAGGGCTCTGACGCTTTCTCACCGTCTACGAGGTGAAGCCAGATTGAACAAAAGGCTTTGAAACTCCTCTGTGTAGCCATTTCAAACATTACCCAGGACCTGATCAGGCTGCTGGCATAGAATGTAGGTGCCTTACCCTGCACAGAAAACTCACAGGCAATTAAAAATAAAACTGGGAGAGACAGCAGGTGAGGCCCTTTGGAGAGGCTGAGCAGTTATCACCAAATACAGACTCCCTTTCAGAGAAGGCTTGGAGACAGGCTCCCCAGGGCTTGCCCTTTCATTCTGGTTTGGTTCAGTTCATTCAGAAAAATACTTTTGATGTTCTATTTTGATAATCTCAGACACTATCTGATGTTCTCAGTTTAAATGTAGCTCATTAAATTTTTCTTTAAAACAAGAAAATTTATGAAAATTTGGTTTCATTTAGGGTCTAAGACAAAAACTGACTCGAATTTAGTGACATTTTACTTGAACTAAGTTTCTGCCTCAGTTACACAAATGTTTCTGCTCATGGATAACTGTTGTGGACAAAAATGGCAGGTCAGCAGGGGCAGAGCTACCGGGTCAGCCTGACCATGTGCCTGGACAGAGGGAAGCTCAAAGCCCTTATGATTTTCAGCAAAAGAAATGTCAGCGTGTGTCAACAGCTCTTTGGCAAATGACACTGGCAGTTCACGTGCACTGACCCACTCAATACCTCCTCTGGGGCAAAGGATGGTGTGGGTGAAGGGAACCACTTCAGGGCCAGCTGTCTGTCAGAAGACACTGCTGTGCCCAGCAGTGACAAGGTGGACTATGGGGGAGGGCTGAGGGGGAAATGCTACGGACATGCAGCAGGAATTCAGAAGAGGGAAATGTTTCAGGTCAGCCAAGGTTACAGAAAAGAGAGATCAGAGAAAGCTCTGTGCAAGAGGCAGGTTTTGAAGGATGACTAGGATTTCCTAGGCAGTGACTGCAAATAAGAGGCTGAAAAGAGCAGCTGGAGAAGGGGCCAGCAGAGGCCCAGATCACAGACGACTGGCAGCAGGCCCAGGGACCTGTGGCATCATCTGGGGGCAATGAGGAGCCAGGAAGCACGTGAGGAGGGTGAATATAGAACCACAAATGCCTATTGGTCCTGCTCTACTGGAGCTGGAAGCTGCCCAAAAGACAAAACCAAAGCAAAATGTGGGAGAAACAAATTAGGAAACACCAGGTTGTGGTGCCAGCATCACAGCAAACTTCACAGTGCCAGACCAGAAGCCAACAGAGCTTTCTCAAGAGTCTGGACACAAGCCTGTCTGAAGTCTTAGCCAGTTTCATCCATGTCACCTTCCTGGATCAATGATGAGTTGCCAAAAGTGAACTCTTGAATGGGGACAATCTGTCACCATTGAAGCAATTCTGCCACTTGGCATGGAGGCGCTAATTACATGGCAAGACCCCCACTTAGCCAAAGTGGGTGTGGCAGCTAAAAGCAGGAACTTAGAAGAATGTGAAAAGATGAATTAATCCCACACTTCTAACAACTAGATCTTATAATGCCTCAAGACCCCAGAAACAAGAGACTGATCTGACAGGTTCCACCCCACCCGTGCTGGGGTGGGCATTCCACAGAGTGAGCAGACAGAGAAGGAAGCGAAGAACAGAAATGCAGGAGGAAGAGGCCACCCTTCCTCATCTCATAAGCAGGGCAGACGAGTCTTAAAGCTCACCTCCAGACAGCAAGCACTCACTTTCAAAACCAAACCTAATGCTTAATAACCCTCTGTAATCTGGGTAAAGACTAAGACTTTGGAACTGTACAAGTGAGGAATTCTGTCATGCAACTAAGTGTCAATAACCCAATATTTATTTTTAAGGACTCTCAGGTGTCTACAGCAACAAGCTATGCTCTGTCATTTCCAATAGAAATTTTTGTTTTAAACACACAAAATTTTTAAAAGGCACAAGATCACATTTCCAGTTACCCTATTACATTGATATATACGGCCATGAAAAGTAGATGGATTTTTATTAGAACACAGTACTTCACCAGGCCTCAAATTGAGTCCTATCTTGGGCTGGTACCAGAGGAACATGGCAGTGCCAACATGCTAGCATCTCTCATAGTTGCTGTTTCCACCATGAAGGCAGATGTTAAACAGTCCTTGGGGCCTTCCCAAACAAGTGGGCAAGTGGTGTTTGGAAAACCTATGAAAGACATCTACAGTAACCCTGTGACGGGTAATTTGGTTTCGCCAAAAATTATTAACACAGAGAACTAAGTAAGTAATTCTTAACACAGAGAACTAAGTACGAGAGAAAAATGAATTATATGGACCCTGTGATACAAAATGCAGTGTCTTGTGCATGAAAGCACCTGAAAGCAAACGGCAGCTTTAGTGAGGATTTCAGGAGGGAGATACGGGTGAGATTCTGCAATGGCCAATTAAACTCACCTTGCTTACTTCCCCCTTCTAAACAACAATCCCAACCCTTACGCCATGGTGCAGCCTACACTGAGGTGTCTAAAGTCAATCCTTAAACAGAACCAGTGAGAACTCTAGCCATCTGGATGACCCCAGTCTAACACACACAATCATCTTCTGCATAACTGGTTTCCAGGAAGCCCAGGGTCCCAAAAGATAACAGGCATGTTTGCCAAAAATAAGAGGGAGCATCCTACACTATTTGGTGAAGGAAGGAAATCAGAAGACAAGTATGCATTAAATGAAAACTCCCCAAAAGCTGGTTTTACCACAAGCTGTGTGGATCATTTATAATTAGATTAGCTGAGCAAATAAGATACTGTAACTTCTCATGATTTCTCCCAGCCAGCCCTCTGGGAGGGATAATGCTGATACAGAATTGAAAATGTTGATCCCAAAGAAACTTTAACAATCTCAAACCATACATTGCTTTTCATGCCAATCTGCACGCCCAAGTAATCCTCCAGTGGAATGGGATACTTAACAAAGGAAAGCAGGGACTGCTGGCACAGTTATCACAGTAAACTACAGCAAAGCCAACCAGCCATGTTCTCGATGCCACCACAGTAACCCAAAGGGAAAGGTTGTCACAGTGGATCTGTGGGCCATTTGTGGTCAGTCTTGAGTGGGAGACAATGAAGCACAGGGCCTGGTGAGGCTGGAACACATAACTACAGCACTGGACACTGCTCAAATACATAACTACAGCGCTGGACACCACTCCTTGCTGTAATGTGACAACAATTGCTAAAGCAAACCTTGTGCTCACAGCAAAGAGGTTTTGCCAAACACTTAGCAACAAAGAAATAAATAAGAAGCAAATGCTACTATATCTGGTAATTTCTGAATAAATGTCTTGATTTAAAATTCCCAACCCTCAATACCATCTAGAGCGGTGGTTCTCAACCGGGGGCAATTTGGCCTACCAGGGGACGTTGGACAAAGTCTGGAGTCTAGACAGAAACACATCTGACTGCCACATCTGGGGAGGGGGTGCTACTGGCATCTGGTGGATAGAGGCCAGAGATGCTGCTAAACTTCCTACAGCGCCCAGCACAGCCACTCCCTGCCCGGATCCCTAGCAGACAATGATCCAGCCCAAGTGTCAGTAGTGCTGAGGGTCAGAAGCCTGCAGATGGAGCTATGCTGAAGGCTTCCACAGGCCACCAGGCTTCCCCTTCCCTCTAAGACAGTGTGTGCTGTGAGCACCTGATGCTTTGTTTCTTTACTCAAAATTGCTGACTAGTGGTGAAGGGTGGGGGTTTGCTTCACATTTGTAACTTCACATTTTACTAATCAAGCTACTAAGGAGGGAAGAAAAAATTTAAAAACCACCTTTCACTGAAAAAGTTTTTTTCTAAGACAAGATACATTATATCATCAACAGAACACTTAGGCAAGCTCCCTGTCTGTTATTGTTGGGCAAATAAACACTTTCATTTTTTAAAAAGTAGGCAAGGGTAAAAAACCCCCAAAAAACCCCAACCCCAAAACAAAACAAACCAAACCCCTATGATTTTAAACACGCGCTGTCCTAAGAGGAAGACTTTCTGCGAGTAACTAAAGCCGTTTCTTTGTGTGTGGTGGAGGCAGAGGCTTCGTGGTTAATGCTTCAAGTTTTCACTGCTGAAGTTTCCTTTGATGTGTTCCTTCTTAACACTTGGATTTTTTACATTCTAGGGCCATGACTGTGCTTTTTTTGGAAAGGTGGCCTCTCTGGAGCCCTCACCTTCTTCTGTGGCCGGAGGCAACCAGGACAGCTGTGAGAGCCGTGTCCTAGCTGAGCCTGGACCTGGCAAGGCCCAAGGACACCCAGTTCCCTGCTCCTGGGCCACACGCTCCTGCTGGTCTCCACGATCCTCAGCCCATCTCCTCCTGGACCCCGCAGCAGGGTTGGCAGTGTTGGGGAGCAGCGAGGGCAGGGAGGCCGAGGAGCCTGTGGCCCTGCTGAACACTGGCCTGCGCCTGCACAGGCAGATGGTCTAAATGGGATGGTCTACACAGGATGGTCTACACAGACAATCTACACAGGACGGTCTACAGAGACAGTCTACACAGGACAGTCTATACACGACGGTCTACAGAGACAGTCTACACAGGACAGTCTATACACGACGGTCTACAGAGACAGTCTACACAGACAATCTACACAGGACAGTCTACACAGGACAGTCTACACAGACAATCTACACAGGACAGTTTACATGGACAGTCTACACAGGACAGTCTACACAGACAATCTACACAGGACAGTCTACACAGACAATCTACACAGGACAGTCTACACAGGACAGTCTACACAGGAGGCCGGCTGCCCAGAAATCGGCTATTCTCAGCTATTCCAACAGAGTGAGGAGGGCAGGGGAGAATGCAGGCAGTTGGGGAGCTGGGGGCAGCCGTCCAGGGGTGCCTGCAAGTGGGATGAACGTGGGCACTGGGACTCCTCGGCCCAGAGAACATGGTAAGAAACTAAAAACAGAAAACTTTGTCCTGGCTAAAGTTCCAAGAGTGGTGAGAGGTCTGTGTCCAGGGGCCTAGGGCCAGACCTGCAGGGTTCCGTAAGCCACACCATGTATTATCCTGTGAGGCAAAGGGAACCGCACAAGGGTTTTCAGCTGGGAAGAACCGTGGTGAGACTTGGATTTGAGAAAGCTCATTCTGAAAGCATGGTACAAAATGAACTATGGTAAGTCAAGAAGGAGAGGTGGCTAGACCCAGATGCAAGAGGAGTGGTGGCCTGCACAAATGGACACCGTGCAGCCACACGCTAGCCCGAGGGGTGTTTGAAAAGTTGCAGGAACTTAGAATGACACACATCCTGAAGTCAATGCTCACTCCGAAGAGGTGTGGCAGGGCAAGAGTCTAGGTACTGAATGGAGGCAAATCTCATCTAGTCAGCCGCTCCCACAGCTCCGCAGAGGTAGCCACACTCTCACCAGCCAAAAAATCAGACACCATGAAGATGCACTAAGAACTTGCTTTTCAAGATAAAAGCAGGTCTCCATAACTCCACACACAACTCCACACTGTGATGAGAGCCGCACAGGCAGCACAGGTGGGCGGAGCGCCACACGCACCACACAGGAGAAGGCGGGGGCGAAGAGGTCCGTGCAGTTCTTCCGCCTCCTCCCTTTTATTCACTTCATTAACTGGTTGACAACCAACATGCATTTATATGCTGCTGTTTTAATTTTTTTAAATAAAAATACTACGTAAAGGAAATACAAAGGCAAGAAAAATAATTTAAAAATCTGGACGAAAATGGTAACTATATGGAGTGGTATGCATGATCACATACACAGCAAATGAAGCCGAGACTTACCGAACCTTTCTCCATCACTCTGTTGAGCATGACGACACCCCTGCTTTTCTGCTCCCACACCATCTCCCAAAAGTGACCGCATGTGTTAGGCAAAGGGCCCTGCAAAGACACAATAACACAACATGTGACATCTGAAACATAACATGCTACAGCGTGTGCTCACCTTCTGCAGTCAGCTAACGACAGCGCCCTCAGTCCCCACAGCTTAGGCAGAGTGGTGGCTGAGGCTGGGACAGGGACCCACCTCTCTCTGCCTGGTGGTCAGTAACTGCAGCTCCATTTTCTACCAGGCAGCGAAAGGCGATTTCCGCATCTCAGTTCAGGGCTGGGCCAACCAAGGACAGAAAAATGCCGATTCTGCTTTCTGGCTCAGGCAGGCCCGCTAAGGGCCTCCACTGAGATTCGTCCCCAAGGCCCTTGGGCTATGGGACAAAACTCCTTGGTGCAGATGAGAGGCAGTGTGGGGGCGTGGCCAACCACAACACTTCTCTTGGTTCCAATCACATCATCTTGTGACCTTGCGCAAGTCACTTCATCGCTCCCTGCCCCAGTTTCCCCATCGCTTACTTGACTAATAATAGTCCCTATTCATAAAACTGTGAAAATGAAGTATGTTCATTTCTATAAAGTACTTAGCACAGTCCCTAGAATACAGCAACATCCAATGAAACATCAGCAACTATTCCTACCATCAGCAATGAGGACCCTGACGGCAGACAGCCTCCATCCTTGGCCCAACAAACTTAGGAGATGTAGAAACATAAATGGTCAATGAGGTGGCCCAAGGGGAACAGAGTCACTGGGGCATGAGGGTGTCTGCTGAGCAGCTGGCCCATTTCAATCCAGCTCACCTGGCAATGGGCACAGATGTTTACTGGACACAGGGTATGAATGCCTTGAGTTTGTCTCAATTATTAGCAGTGGCTGGAAGAGACATTGCCTATCACCTCCACATCAGAACCTGTCATGTCCTTGGCCAGCATCACTTCTTCTCATGGTTTCCATTCTCATCTATTTTCACCTAACCTCTTTATTTTTTTTTAATTTTTTTTGAGGCAGAGTCTCGCTCCATCACCCAGGCTGGAGTACAGGGGCGCAATCCTGGCTCACTGCAACCTCTGCCTCCTGGGCTCAAGCGATTCTCCTGTCTCAGCCTCCCAAGTAGCTGGGATTACAGGTGCACACTACCACACCCAGCTAATTTCTGTATTTTTAGTAGAGACGGGGTTTCACCATGTTGGCCAGGCTGGCCTCGAACTCCTGACCCAAGTGATCCACCTGCTTCAGCCTCCCAAAGTGCTGGGATTACAGGCGTAAGCCACCGTCCCCGGCCCATAAGCTCCTTATTCTTTAAATCTTCTCCCTTTAAGTCCCATCACACTTGGCTCAACCACTAGCCCTCAGTGTCCTCTCACTTTCTTTCCTGAGCTCATCTTGAACTTACTACCTGAACAAGACAAGTCAGCACTCCCTGTGCTGAAGGGACTCGGAGAAAAGCAGACCACATTTAACTCTTCCCTCCCCAGTGAACAGATAAACAGCTCTTGGCAGCCAGAAATCCCGTGGCACATGGCTGGCCACCTGGGCCTTGCATTCTCCACCCTGGCATGAAGACCCCAGTCACTGCAGCTCTCCACTACTCCCTTCATGCCTTCCCTAACTCCCAGCACCACCCCAGTTTAGAATGGTCTGAAGGATCACAATCCCCTAAGATCTGCAAGGACACGCACCACACTTAGCTGACACTGCACGGGGGAGGTGAAGGAGGGCCCCTTGGACATTATTCTCTGCTCTTCTGTACTTCTGACTTTTAAAAAATGAGAAGAGAGACTTGTATTATTACATAATGAACACCACTGAAAAAAAAATGGGAAGGGTGTTCTTGGTTTGGGCACTGGGGAAATGTTTCGGTCATAGTGTCCAGGGGTGATGCTTTGGGGTCAGGCTGCCTCGACTCCTTTAGTAAATCCCCAGGGCAAAGGGAAACTGTGTAAACAGTTTCTCAACATCCCCAGTGCCACCTCACAAACCAGACAGAGCTTCTCATGTCCCAAGGAAGCGCTAGGATGCGGGGTAGGCAGGACAGTAGCACAAGGATACATGGTCATTTGCTAATGCAACACTTGACATGATACACCCGACAACAGGTATTTAAAGGGCTTCCTGACTCCATACCAGAGTTGAAGGGCTGAAATCAAGAAGTAGGAAATTTGACTTCTCCAAAAAGCAAAGTCCTCAAGAAGTCACTTTTGCCTCAACCTCATCCCCAGACATCTCCCGCCTTATCAACCCCCTCCCCCATCAGCCTCCCCTAAATACCCCAGAGGTGCTGGGAGGACCAGGGGCTCAGGGCCTGGTAAAGGCCTGCCCTGTATCCATGCACCAAGAACTTACTCAATGGCCCCATAGGACTGAACACAGCTGGGCTGATGCTCTGCATCCCAGATGACGAGAAGCATCTGGGCTGATTTTAGTCATAAATGGGGAGGAACTGGGACAAGACAAAAAGGCAGTGAAGAAAGGCCTCAGTTGAACGCGCCCTGACCTAGCTCCTTGCTCAAAGCAGCCTTTCTTCATAGAGCATTCTGTCTTCCCCAGAATTTTAATTTCCTAATTATTAAGCAAAATTACAAATGTTCAAAATCGCCCTGTGGCCTAAAGCCATATAAGACTGAAAGCTGACATGGAATGAGAAACAAAAATTATGATGAAAAACAAAATAAGAAACCCAGTCTTTTTAGACCAACTTACAGGTAACAAGTTAAGACTTGAGAAGATTAATTAAAAAGAAACTCTTTTTATCCTCTTTCCCAGATACCCTTTTGGTCACATGCCACTGAGTGTTTTACAAGAGGCTCAATTATTAAACCACTTTCAGGATTTTGTTTCCATAAAGATGCCAAAAGCCAACAGAAATTTTAAGTCATTTTTCATGCTTGTTCACATGATCCAATGATGCCTTTCTTCTGGCCAAAGAATGAGAACCATGCTGAGCTACTCTGAATGGCTCTGGACAGAGATTCCTGGTCTACTGCTAACGTTCTTAGATTTGCCATCACAAGTGCTCTACGACAAATACTTCTGGAAGCAACACAGGTACAGACCCTCCTCCAGCCATGGCTCTGCTGTCTCTGCCAACAGACCACACAGGCAACTCTGGCATTTTAATGTTGTTTTCTATAAGCTCTCATTTCCAGCAATGTCATCTTATGCTTCCCAGAAAAGATTAGCGTTCCTTATAACCAAACTGAACCTTTGAAGGATGATTTTTCCCCCTTCCTTGCTGCTTTTTGGTATGCTGAAATCCTGACCTTCTAAAGGATGTGGCAGATTTTATTTGAGGTGTGGATAACAGCACTCTCAAACTCTTAAATTGACATTAAATAGAAAATTCAGACAATCTGCTTACCTGGGTAAGAATGTAACTCCTTTGGGCTTCTTCCATTTTTATCAAACTAGCGTTGATATAGTCATTATCTTCTTGATGTAGTTTAATCCGACTATGGTCAACTGAAAGACAAACCAGAACTCAGAGGTTAATCCCGGAAAAGCTGAATGTGTACATACAGGTGCACACCCTACAGAAAAGCAAAGGTGAGTTGGTGGCATTAGTGGCATTCACACTGGCTGAAGCCCTGTTTTAGTTGAGATTAGTCATCAGTATGGGGCGACTGGGATTTTCTGAAAGGGTTTTCAGAAGTGTCTGAAGCTTCACACTATGAAGCAACAGCAGTAAGCCATATTAAAACATGGATCATGTCCTATCTGGGAAATCTGTTCTCAGGTCATATCTTGTTGTGATACTTATTACTCTCCCCCAAAAACCTTTCAGGGCAGAGGAGGGCATCAAAGGATCTGTTCTCTGATGCATAACTTTTTTTTTTGAGTCAAGAGTCTCACTCTGTCACCCAGGCTGGAGTGCAGTGGCATGTTCTCAGCTCACTGCAGCCTCCATCTCCCGGATTCAAATGTTTCTCCTGCCTCAGCCTCCCGAGTAGCTGGGATTACAGGCGCAGGCCACCATGCTCACCTAATTTTTCTATTTTTAGTAGAGATGGGGTTTCACCATGTTGGCCAGGCTGGTCTCGAACTCCTGGCCTCAAGTGATCCACCCACCTCAGCCTCCCCAAAGTGCTGGGATTACAAGTGTGAGCCACCCATGCCTGGCTGACATAAACTTTTAGAGGGCAGAAAATATGGTGGCTTCAATCTTTAAAAGGGAACAAAACCCACCATGAATTCCACCTAGTCCCTACAGCTGTTGCTGGTACAATGAGCTACAGTAGGTAGGATTTAAGATCGAACTTCAACCTAACCTCTATCCAGTGGTTTGAAGATTAAATGACCTAAGTACACAGCAGCATGAAGTCATACCTTGACCTTTATACGAGGTTTTTGTTTTTTTTTTTTAAAGTTCAAGTATAATGAACTTCAATGATTCTAAATTTTTAAAATTCAGAGCATATCACAAAGACACTTGAAAGAGAATTTAAGCCCAAACACTGAAAGTATATTAAATTTACCTTTTAGTTTTTAGAAATAAACTTTCATTTGGAAGTCCTGCCCCAGGTCACTAAAATTAAAAAGCCACTTTTTTTTTCTTGTATCATTTGTTTGTCACAAAAGCAGTAGCTCTCTGAGGGCCACTTTCCTTATCCTGTTAGTAGAGCTAATAAGAGCAGGTGGGGACCTTTATTTCTGGCACAGCACAAGGGACAATAAACTCAGGTGATCACCTATAAATAGTACCTTCTCCCTAGGTCCAAAGGGGATATGAATGGGGATAAGTGGTCTGGGGCTTTTTGTTCTAAAGAAGAATTCCAAAGAGAGATGTCTTTGAAAACTAGCCACCATCTGGAACACTGTTTCTCATTATGGAGGCTTAGTACAAATAAAGATACTTGGATAATTTTTAAGTGGATCACAGAGATAAAAGACCTCAAAAATTACATAATGGTATTGGTTGGTTATGTGAGTGGGTTCAAACAGCACTGGGTGACTCTGGGCAAACAACTCACCTCAGAGCCTTGGTTTTTTCATTTGCTAAATGGTAGGTGACAAGAGGGTTGTGGGAAGAGTCAATGAGCTGAGGTGTATACAGAGCCCCTCGTTCAGCAAGTGCCTGTAACTGTGGACTGCTGTCATCACCAGCAGCACTGTGAGCTGGGCAGCAGGTGACCTTCTACCTTGACTCATTCTCCCCCATAACCTTCACAGCAAATGACTGTTTCTACTGGAGGATAGGAGTAGGGGAGGAGGATAGGAGTACGGGAGGAGGATAGGAGTACGGGAGGAAGATAAGAGGAGTGAGATTGGGAGTGAAAAAGTTGGAGAATTGTTTCCCTGGAATAACTTTTTTTTTTTTTTTTTTTGGCTAGTCAAGTAAAGCAGTGGGGATGGAGAAGGAACAAAGAAATCTGTAACTGGTTGTGATCACATAGTTGTAAACACTACTGTACTTGGACCAGCCCCTGGAAGAATATTTTAAATACTGGTTTTTTTTCTCTGTAAAACTGATTCATAAAACCATTTAGATAAGAAATGTTAAAAAATGTAGCAAAGGAATATTAAAGACAAGATTATTCCCTAATTAGAGCAACTATAGCAAAAGCTAGAGATCCAGGGTATCCTGGCACCATGTCAAAGAGGTGAACGGTGATGGTTCTGTTGCGTGTTGATCAGCGGTCTGGAGGTTTCTGGCCAGGACTTCACAGCAGAATCACCAAGGTTTTTTGTTTTTGTTTTTAAACAAATATCAATGAGGTGCCTCAGCTGAGATGTGCTAAATCAAGAGTACCATGTGTTGGCGCCAATCATGTCACCTGATGACCTAGAAGTGCACTTCAGATGTTGGTGACAACCATCCCCACCACAGACAACATTTACTGAGCACTTATGTCTGCGTGAGGTACTGGGCGCTGGGCTAAGCAGCTTATGTTGCTTCATCTTCACACACTCCTATGAGAGAGAACAACTTGCCCGAAGCCACTCAGTTCTTAAGCGGCAGAGCTGACACACAAAACCAGGCAGGGAACCATGGTGGCAGGCCAAGAGGCACACGTTCTACACCAAGTCTAGGTCCATTTTTAGACCCCTTCCAGGAATCTGGGCGCCACATAAGTCAGGTCAGGATGCACTGCTAACCCTTCTGGCAGAGAACAATGACAGCCACCACTCCCAGCCATGGGCACAGGACCTGCAGGAAGTGCCCACTGGAGGAATGACTGGAGAATCTTCTGCATCCCTGGCAGAGCACGCTACCATGGAGACACTGGCAGCTACGACCCCTCACTGCCTGACAATGTCTAAAGACCTGGAAGGGGGTCAAAAAGGCCTCTGTGGCCTAGAGGAGATGGCGCAGTTCAAGTCCTGTACTCAGCTCCAGTTTTCCTTACTTTATGCAAATTCTAACATGTTAAGTTATTTACTTTTCAGCTACCGGCAGACTGACAGCCAATCACTCAGAAGGCGGACAGGGCTGCCACAGGCCAGCAGGCACACTGACAATCCTAGGAAGAACTAACAGCAGGAAAGAGGGAGAAAAATGATGAGGTTGGCGGGGGTGGAGGCGGTGGGGACTCCAGACAGAGCTGCCTTGCATATTCAGCGCAGGGGACGACAGTGCCCACCCCGAATGCCTGTGCGGGGCTTCATTACAGCGGAACACAGTGCTCATGCCCTAATGACGCTGCTGCTGAGTCATCCAGAAAAGGTTTTATTATGCCTGCTATACTCTGCTTCAGCTGGTAGGAAAATGATTCATCACAAAAACAGTCAAAGCTTAAGAAAAGTGCTTTGAACTTCACTGAATTTTCCAGAAACTGAAACCTGAGCCCTTCTATAATGGTGGAAAAATGAGCTATTACTATAAGTCTCTAATGCCTTTACTATAGGAAACAATCGCGTCATAAACCTCTGCTACATTGATTTATTATTATACTAAACCCTGAGGCGAAAGGAGTCTTGACTAAAAAGGCCTGCAGCAAAGGAAGAGCAAGACTGGTACCGGCCACGTGGATACTTACAGGGACTGACGTCTCTGTACCTATTTCGGTTTTTGTTCTTAGGAAGCTTGGCCACTCTACATGGGAAGTCACTGGCTTCATGTCGGATATCCTACAAAAAAGAATAAAGACATTTAACTGACCGTCAGACACTGAGGAAGACCCAGCAAAGAAACAGACATCAAAGAGAGCCGGGCAATATGGGAAATGCAAGGTGATAATTCAGAGGTATGTACCAGGCCATGGGGGAAAACCGAGGAGGAATGAGCACAGGCCTTGGGTAGGAGGCAGTGATGTGGGGCAGGAAGATGGAAAGACGAGGAAGAGGGCAGAGAGACAGACAGGAGGGACAATTCACTCTGGAACACCCTGCACAGCAAAGGCATGGGGGCTGGAGATCACATCTCATGCCAGGAACAGTGAGTGGGCAGTAGGAGGTGCGACAGACGGCTGGAGGACATGGGTGGGTAGCCCAGATCTCAGAGAGCCTTGAATGCCAGGCCTGGGAGTTCCAACTGCAATTTCTATAAAGCTACGATTATTAAAAATAGATAAAATGTACTTTTATGCCAACAAACTATCCAACTGCTTTCCTAGGAGGTGGTAAACAAATCCTATCACCCTGTTTCAACAGAAGACTACACCATGGCTCCTGATCACACCTAAAATTCCACGATAATCACATTAAACAATCTTTTATTTGTGTTTTATTACTTAAAAAATTTTATATTGTTTATTACTAAAAAAACAAATACACACAACGTGAATGTACTTACTGCCACTGAACTGTGTACCTAAAAATGGCTAAAATGGAACACTTTATGTTTTGTATGTTTTACCAAAATTAAAAAAAAAAAAAAAGACAGCCCCATCCCCTACGGTGGGAATAGGAGAGCAGACAACAGCAATAGAATTCTGGAAGCTGGAAATCAGGCTGATTAGTGGTTGGCAGTTGTGAGAAAGCAAAATTACAAGTGAACAGTAAGAAAGCCAGACCGCCCGAGATTTCCACTCCAGATTCCTCCCAAGGCTCTGGCTGTGCTCCCAGTCAGGAAGGAGGAGTGGGATTCCCTGCAGGGGATAAAGGTAGAGCCATCTGGGAAGACCTGGATTGCCATCTCATTCCCCAAGCTCCTTCCATGCTCCTCAGACTTCTGCAGAAATCTAAAGACATACTTTCTGGAAAAATGTAAACCAGAAGGTCTATGAACTGCAGCAAGACTGTTGGCACAGTGGAAGATGTGAGCGCTCCACCAAAAATGGGGTAAGCGGCCATACACAAGCCAAACACCAGGAACTCGAGTCCTTTTCCCCAAGAGACACTCACACCGCTGGCAGCTAGACCCTTCTCCTCCAGGTAGGAGGCAGAGCATCTCTAGATAATCTGACCAGACAAAAGGCACAACCAAAAGGTATCCTCAGAATGCACAACTGGCAGCCTCCCTAGAGGCCCTGAGGCCAGCGCAGTGTTGACAGGCTCCTTACACCTGCTCAAGGTTCTCATACTCCAATAAGCCCCTACTCTCCACCACATGCAGGTACCACTGATGACCAGATATAACAGGAAAGTCTCTAACATAAAAACAAAAAACAAAAACCAGAAAAAAAAAAAAACCCTTGGGGGAAACAAACTGCAGAGAATAGAAAGATTTCAAATACATATTAATATACTCAGAAAGAAAAGATCTTGCATCTATGTATTAAGAACAGAATGTTATATAAAACAAAGATGTCTCTCGAAACTTAAAAACAAGATAGCAAAAATGACAAGCTCAACTGAAGAATCAAATATAAGTAGAAGAAATCCCCCTGCCCAAGAAAGTAAACCAAGAAAAAAAAATAGAAAATTAGCAAACAAAAAAATACAAGGAAAGAAAACATCAAGAAGTAATTCAAGAAAACCTCCCGACCCATCCAGTACTCTTCATAATGATAAAAACAGACCCATTCTAAGGCACAGTAATTGCAATCCCAGAATTCTGCGGACAAAGAGAATGTTCTGTAAGTTTCTGGGAAGAAAAAACAGTTCACTTTCAAAGGATGAGGTGATTAGCACAGCTTCAGACTTTGCAAGAACACTGAAAGCTGGCCAGCAATGAAGCAATGCCTTCGAGATTCTAAGAACAATGATTCTGGAATTCTATACCTAGCCCAGCAGTCATGAAATGAGAAGGGACAATAAAAACATTCCGAGGTGGGTGGATTGCCTGAAGTAGGAGTTCAAGACCAGCCTGGCCAACACAGTGAAACCTCGTCTCTATTAAAAATACAAAAAATTAGCTGGGCGTGGTGGCGGGCACCTGTAATCCCAGCTACTCAGGAGGCTGAGGCAGGAGAATCACTTGAACCCAGGAGGTGGAGGTTGCAGTGAGCCGAGTTGGCGCCACTGCACTCCAACCTGGACAAGAGCAAAACTCCGTCTCAAAAAAAAAAAAAAAAAAAAATTCCCTGACGTGTAAGGTCTCAATACCTTTATCATCCATGCTCCCCCTTTTCCCAGTAATCCACTGGAGCATCTTTTCCACCTGAGTGATGAAATAAACCAAGAAAGAGAAAGATATAGGATACATGGGGGATGGGAGAGGAAGACCAAGAGTGAAGACAAAGGAAATTTCTGCAAAAACTGGAGGGAGAGATAGCAGGGTGACAACTACATGACAGACACGGGAAGCGAGCAGGCTGGATTGGAGGAGTATGACTCACGAGATAGCTGTGTGAACACGCTATCCCAACCATGCCATACCAACCATGACCTAACAAAACTACTAGAGGAAAATGAGAAGACCTGAAATCCAGGAAACTGAATATCCAATAGAGAAGAAAAGCAAAGAAAGTCTCAAGATGACAGCTGTGAGTGGCAAGTCTATAGACCAACCACCCAGATACATGGAGAATGGAAATTTCAAGTAGGATGTCTCCAAGGAAAAACTTGAAACTGAAACCACTCTGTCCAATACAGTAACCCTGAGCTACATGTGGCCAGTCTAAAAAGAGATGTTCTGTAAGTGTAAAATACACATTGGATTTTGAAGACTTAGTAACAAAAGAAATAAATAAAAGCAAAATATCTCAAGTATTTTAAATATTGACCATTTATTGAAATAACATTTTGAATGAACTGGGTTAAGTAAAAGATACTATTAATTTCATCTGCTTCTTTTGACCTTTTTTACTATGGCTACAAAAAAAGGTAAAATCATGTATGTGGGTTGTATTATATGTCTACTGGACAGCACTCACTGATCTTGTGGAAAATCATTCTGTAAGGCTATAAGAAGATATGGGAACATTAGCAAAAGCTACAAAGAAAATTATGCAAATTAAAAAAAAAGGCAATTATCATGGGGTGTGGTGGCATGCGTCTATAATCCCAGCTACTTGGGAAGCTGAGGCAGGAGGCTCACTTGAGCTGAGAAGTTTGAGATGAGTCTGGACAACATGGCAAAACCCCACCTCTACAAAAAACACAAAAATTAACCTGGTGTGGTGGCAAGTGTCTGTAGTCTCAGCTACGCGGGAGGCTTAGGTGGGAGGACTGCTTGAGCCCGGGAGGACTGCTTGAGCCCAGGAGTCCTGGGCTGCATGCGTTATGCCGATCGGGTGTCCGCACTAAGTTTGGCATCAATATGCTGACCTCCCGGGAATGGGGGACCACCAGGTTGCCTAAGAAGGGGTGAACTGGTCCAGGTTGGAAATGGAGCAGGTGGAAATTCCTGTACTGATCAGCAGTGGGATCATGCCCGCGAAGAGCCACTGAACTCTAGCCTGGGCAATATAGTAAGACCCCATCTCTTTAAAAAACAAAATAGGAAAAAAATTAAAAAGTCAATTATTAACAACAGAAATAATGTTTAAAAAAGAAACACAGTACAGTACAGTACAATACTATCTGTGACTATGTGCAGAGGCAAATAATGTAAACAATGAGTACTGATTTAACCAAAAGGTAAAACATTGGGAAAATGGGGGCGGTGAAGCAGAGGGGAGGAAAAGAAAGGGGATGGCTGTTTAAGAAAACTAAATCATCCACCTTAATAATGGTCTCGAATAATGTATCAAAAGATAAACATTTTGAGCTGGGCATGGTGGTATGTGCCTGTAGCGTAGTCTCAGCTACCTGAGAGGCGGAGGCAGGAAGACTGCTTGAGCCCAGGAGTTCGAGGCTACAGTGAGCTACGATGGTGCCACTGTACTCCAGCCTGGGCGACAGAGTTAAGACCCTGTCTCTGAAAAATAATAAAAAGAATTTATAAATTTAAAAAAGATAAACATTTTGCTTAGAAATATGGAGATATATACAAGCTGTAATCAATCAGCAGAACAAAGATTGGGAGTGGTGGTCAATGAGAAAGACCAGAGAAATGGTCTGAGGTGGGGACAGCAAACCACCATATTTTATTTTATTTTTTAAAAGATGGGGTTTTGCTCTTGTTGCCCAGGCTATTAATTTCATCTGCTTCTTTTGACCTTTTCTACTATGGCTACAAGAAAATGTAAAGTCATGTATGTGGGTTGTATTATATGTCTATTGGACAGCACTCACTGATCTTGTGGAAAATTGTTCTGAAATAATGCGATATCGGCTCACCACAACCTCTGCCTCCCGGGTTGAAGCAATTCTCCTGCCTCAGCCTCCCAAGTAGCTGGGATTACAGGCATGCACCACCATGCCCAGCTAATTTTGTATTTTAGTAGTTTCACCATGTAGGTCAGACTGGTCTCAAACTCCTGACTTCAGGTGATCCACCTGCCTCAGCCTCCCAAGGTGCTGGGATTACAAGTGTGAGCCACGACACCCAGCCAAACCACTGGATTTTATCATAAACCGATTACGGTACTATTTGACTCCTTGAGTCATGTGCATATTCAATTTGGATTTAAAAAATGTCCACATTCTGCTATTCTGCTTACTTATTTATAAAACTGTAAAAGGGCAGGTAAGAGTTTTTGACTCATACTAGAGAACAACTAATAACAGAATGATGGAGCTCGAGTGGTGGTTCACATCTGTAATCCCAGCACTTTGGGAGCCGAGGTGGGAGGATTGTTTGAGCCCAGGAGTTCAAGATCAGCCTTGGGCAAAAAAATGATGCCTCGTCTCTACAATACATTTAAAAAAATAGCCGGGTGTGGTGGCGTGCACCTGTGCTTCCATCTACACAAGGGGTTGAGGCAGGAAGATCACTTGAGCCCAGGAGATTGAATCTGCAGTGACCCATAAACACATCACTGCACTCTAGCCTCTCCAGCCTGGGCAGCAGAGTGAGACCCTGTCTCAAAACCAAAAACAAACCCACACAAAAAAACAACAGCATGATGACAGATTACAAACCTACCTAAGAGTAAATAAATTAATCCAATAGTAACACATCCACTGCATCACTTACAGATGAGATTAAGCTTTCAGGGAAATGCTATACAGCACAGAAAAAAAAAAAAAGACCTGAAAAAGTAAAAATCTAAGTCTTAAATTTGTTATTCTACGTATCATTTGGAAGCATTCAGCAGTGAGTACAAATTCTGCCCTTGAAGTGAAAAACAATCTGGTCAGTCCAGCTGGTGTGACTGGATGAAGATGTAAGAAATATCTGATACAGATAAACCACTCAGCTAACGAATATTTACCCGGAGCAAATAAGGGCCGAAATAACAGTTGCAACTGATTTTATTCAGCCAAAAGGATTATGCATATGTACTTTTTTTGGTGTGTGTGTGTGCATGCCTGAGAGACAGAGAAATAAAAAAAAAAAAATAGAGGTAAGAAGCAAAACGTGGAGATGTCATTTAATAAAGACATTGGGAAAATAAAAGGTATCTACATAATACTTTTTAAAAAACAGATTTTAAAATTAAGGTATACTCAGAGTAAAATGCAAAGATCTTAAGTATGTACTTGAATACATTTTTAAAACTGCTTTTGAGGTATATTTTACAAATAATAAAACATACCCACTTAAGTGTTCAGTGAGTTTTAAGCAATGTCTACAACCATTTAACTATCAATGCAACCAAGATACAAAACATTTCCATCACCCCAAAAAGTTCACTTGTGCTTCTGGTTCCAGTCAATTCAACCTTCCACTCCCACCCCGCTACTGCCACCAAAGGCAACCACAGTCTGCTTTGTATTGTTCACATTTTTTTCCATACCATCTAACTTATTGCATTTACTAGCATAAAGTTTGCATTACACTCCTTTGAATTCTCTGTTTTTCTTCCTGATACTGTTAATTTGTATGTCTTTTCTTTTTTCTTGGCCAGTTTAGCTAGAAATTTATCAATTTTACTGATCTTTACAAAGAACCAGCTTTTCATTTAATTGATTTTCTTTGCTCTTTGTTTTATACTTCACTAACTTCTACTCTATTTCCTTTCTTCTTACTTTGGATTTAATTTGTTCTTTTTCTAATTTCTTACAGACAGCATGTAGTTGGGTCATGCTTTTTCAATCTAATCTGACAATCTTCATCCTTTAATTCAGGTATTTAGAACATTTACATTTAATATAACTATTGACATGGCTAGATTTAAATCTGCCATATTGCTAGTTTAGCTGCTTTCTATTTGACTCATTTGATCTTTGTTCCTTTTTTCCTCTGTCTCTGCCTTCTTTTGAATGTTTTTCTTTTTTTGCATCTATCTTATCTCCACCATTGGCACATTAGCCATATCTCTTTATTTTCATTTTTTAGTGTTCTATTTGGTTTACAATATGCATCGAATTCACGATGGTCTACTTTCAAATAATAGTGCATTTTACCAAAAATACGACAACAGCATTTGTCCACTTATCCTTTATGCTATTATCATACATTTTTTATTTCTATGTTATAAATATGATGTATTTTTATTTTTGCTTTAAATAAATTTTAAAATAAAAATATATTTCATATTTATCTATGTATGTCACTTTTAGCAATCCTCATTCTTTAGTATATATCCAAATTTCCATCTTTTATCATTTCTCTTCTGTTTCAAGGACTTCCTTTTTTTTATGCTAGTCTGCTGGCAACAAATTCTCTGCCTTTATTTTTTCCCCAAATAAGTCGTTATTTCACTGCCTTTTGAGAGAGAGAGAGAGAGAGAGAGAGAGATGTGGTCTTGCTGTTGCCTAGGCTGGAGTGCAGTGATGCAGTCCTAGCTCACTCCAGCCTTGAACTACTGGGCTCAGGCAATCCTCCCTTCTTAGCCTCCAGGCTAGCTAGAGTTACAGGTGTGGACCTCCACATCCAGCTAATTTATTTCATTTTATTTTTTGTAGAGACAGGGTCTGGCTATGTTGCCCAAGCAGATCTCAAGCAATCCTCCTGACTCAGGCTCCCAAAGTGCTGGGATTGCAGGCATGAGACAGTGTGCCAGGCCTACTGTGGTTTTGTTTATTTTGCTGAAGGTTTGTTGAAATGCTTGAATCTGTAGGCTTATAGTTTTCATTAAACCTGGAAAAAACTTGAACCTTATTCCTTCAAGTATTTTGGGGGCAGACTTGTTTAATATTGTTCCATATGTCACTGAGGCACCCCCCAATCCACATTTTTTTCCTCTCTGTACTTCCCTTGGGTATATTCTCATATAGATGCTGTTTTTTTCTTCTGCAGTGCCTAAACTATTAATCCTATCCAGCTAAATTCTCATTTCAGATATTGTATTTTTCTTCTTTAGAAATGGTATTCGGTTGTTTTTCTTCCATTATCCTCATTATGTTGTTTTTCTTTAAATCTGCTAAGTTATTTATAATAGCTGTTTTAATGTCCTTATCTGCTAATTTATCATCTGTCATTTCTGGGCTTGCTTCTAATGTCTGATTTTTCTTCTAGCTATGCATCACATTGTTTACTTATTATTATTACTTTTTGCATATCTGATGGTTTTCGGTTGAATGTTTCTACCAAATATCCTACGTATTACAGAGGTCTGTCTCTCTCCGTTCTGGCCGATGCAAGCTTGAATGAGTGCTGGGAATTATCCACTCCCCAACAGTTGTTCTTTATCCAAGCTCATGAAGAGACACCCTACAAAGTGTACACTGTATCCAGCCAGACTCAAGGTGATCCCTTTGCAGATTTCTGGAGTTCTTTCTGTCATAGCCTGCTCATCCTTAGTACCCTGCTCTGCAAATCCTAGCCATTTCAGCCTCCTTTGAACCCCAATCTGCCTCCTAAATTCAGCAAGATCGCCAGGCAGAAAGTTCATCCTAGCGCTCATCCCTTTCCAGTCTACTAAGGTAATGCTTTTATTATCACTCTATAGTTTTCGTATTAGTCACCAGACAAAAATTAGATATCAGAGTGTCAACATTTATTCAACAAATATAAAGGGCCTACTGTGTGTCAGGCACTGTTTTGAATATTGGAGCTACAGCAAAGAACCAAACATAAAAATTCCTTCCTTTATAGAATTTACCTTCTATGAGAGACAGAGAGAGACAGAGAGACAAAATATATGTCAGCTGATAAGTACTAAATTGAAAAATCAAGTAGAGGAAATAAAAGGAGAAGGTTGGGCAGATTATTTTTTTATAATAAGTAGGATGGTCACAAAAGACCTTCCAGTAAAAGTGACACTGGAACAGAGATCTGATGAAGGTGAGGGAGTGAGCCATGGGAATGTTTGGAGGGGAATATTCCAGGTAGGAGGACGCACGGCATGTCTGAGGAAGAGAAGAAAGCCATTGTGGTGGGAGTGAGGGGCAAAGTGGTGGAGATGAAGCTGCAGGTCAGGGAGAGCATGCTGGATCCCAGAACAGGTATATTAGCACTATACCTGGCTAGTTAAAAAAAAAAAAAAAATTTTTTTTTTCCTGTTTGTAGAGATGAGGTCTCATTATATTACCCAGTTTGAGGCTGGTCTCAAACTCCTGGGCTCAAATAATTCTCCAGTCTCAGCCTCCCATAGTGCTGAGATTACAGGCATGAGCCACTGCACCTGGCTGAGGATTTCTGATCACAGCAGTAAGTGGATCCCTTCTGGCTGCTACGCGCAGATGGGATTGCAGGGATCAATGGTGTAAGGAAGGATACAGTCAGGAAACTAAGGTAACAATGCAGCAAAGGATGCTGTGGCTGAAACCACAGTGACAGTAACAGAAGAGGTGAGAAGGGGTCAGTTTCTGGATAATTTATTAGAAATCAGTTTCTGGCGAATCCCTCATCTTTCTCTACTTTAGAATGGTATATGGAAAACACACACATACTCTGAGTACAAGTCTTTATATTTCATTTTGTAAGATAAAATGCCAGGCTTAGAGTCTTAAAATTGAGGGGTGATAGGACCTACGCAATTAAAGGTAACTATAACATTAATGGTTTGGAAGAAAGTAAGTAGACTACCGTACCGTAACAGCAAAACGAGATTTCTGTATTCTACAACTGTATCACAGGGGAGCTACGTTTCCAACAGCTATAGAAAAAGCAGATTCATGACTAATGAACACATTTAACTAGCCTTCCACTGCAAGCAAAAAATGTCCCTAGAAGATCTTTTATTATGCTAACCAAAGATTAAATAACTACTTCTAATCTACTGAATGTGTAAAATTTCCACAGAGAAAACAAAATAAAATAAAAGCCTTTAAAACCGATTAAGATGACTGCTGGGTAAACTGATGAGCCAAACCAAAAGGGAATAATAAACTTGCCATGAAACAGATTCCCAGAAGAGTCCCCTGAACAAAAACACTAAAGATGTCAGGAGTCATTCAGTGTGTGCCTCAGCATTTCAGGGCTGGATCACACTAAATTAGAAATTTTACCAATGGGAAATAGTATCAACAGGTAACAAACAGGTTCTTTACGGATCTCTCCTTCCCCCAGTCCACACCTCAGTGGTTTTTTAAGAGCCTCCTTTCTCTTAGTGTAGATTTCAGAAATGTGATAGAATAAAACGCCACACATCATAGATGTCAAATGTGTACGGCTCTCCCAGAGTGCACGCCTGATCATGTGCTCCTGAAGCAGGCTTGGGTGTGCCCAAAGCTTACAGGTAAATGGTTTCCATTTCACTGTATCATTTTACATAGGCATCAGGCACACAAAGTGATCTGAATCATTTCTGTGGTAAACCATTGTCATGAGAGAAAAAAGCAAGTCCTTCCAAAGTTATGATTTAGCTAGGCTAGGAAGATTCACAAGCACTTGATCAAGTTTAAACAAAGCATCTGCTGAGCTGGAGATTTTAAAAGGGGCAAGGAGGGGCAGAAACCTTCTTCACCTGAATAGTTTTTATAGCTCTTCCTCATTTCCCATCCTTCCCCACTCATTTAAGAAGGTAACAGATGATCTCCCAATGAACACAAAGGGGTAACATGCTTACAAAACTCTGGTAACAGAATGAATTAGAGCCTGGAGTTAATTAATTTTTATATTTATTCAGGAAAGCTCATTATCCATTATTCAGACACCTCCCAAACTCAATTAGGCAAAAAGTCAAACTTGGGTGAAAAGCTGGCAATATTTGATTAGAGATTTCTATTTCTCCTGAAAACACACAGGCATAAAAGCCAGTTTATCCTTGCGGAAATATTTCCATGTTTATATTAAGCACTTCATCAAGTGAAACATCACAATCTGGGTTTAACACCCTTCTCCTCGGTCCACAACTGGGTGAATGTCTCTTACGGGCTCCATGGTAAAATGCATTACTCATTTTAAAGCTATCTGCTAAGTGAAGAAGTAGAGGCAGCAACCCATTAGCAGCCAGGAGTCTGAGAAGAAGTGCTTTGGACTCTCATCTTAGTGTCCCCTCCTAACACAGGCCCAGGCCCAGGGTAGGCACTCAACATAATTTTGTTAACTGAATCAATGGATACTTCAAAGGTTCCCAAAGCTTGAAGTGTCCTTAACAATATACCAACATTCTTTATAGAACAGAAGTGCTCCTGAAAGGGAATGTGTATAAGCAAATATCTGATCCAATCCTATTTTCTCAATTACTTGTTACAAAATGGAAATTACTGAAATCACATTTATTTTATTTATTTGCAGTTGACCCACACAGCCTTCTGACCAAACAGTGTCAAAATAGTTACTAAAACATGGATTCAAAGCAGAAAGAGTAATTTTTGAAAGTGATCTCTGTTTTAAAAGTCTGAAGGAATAAAAAATTCCAAGGGTACCTTTTACTCACTGGAACTTCAGGGAACTACAAAGTCCCTTAGCACCCATCACATCTTCTAAGATCTCCCGGAACCTCCATTCTACAAATGGTTATCTAATTTGATTGTTCGGGTTGTTACCTGGTTCTTCAGGGAAGCTACTGGCTTTCAGAAATGTACAGACAGAGCTAGATTGAAGGGAAATGCAGAAATATAGTAAAGGCAATGATTTAAAATGCAGTAAGTGAACACACAGTGTACATTTCCTGGAACTCTTGCAGTAGTCGCTGAATAGGGAGATATATATAGAAGGGGGGGTGGGGTAACTAGCATAAAATTTTAGAAACCAGATCTTCAAAGTAATGCATGTTGAACAAATTTTGTTAATCACAAATCTCATTATAAATGAGAAAATTTCTATGTAACAAAGTATACTCCGAGGAATATACAAATCATCAGAGGTTCAATGTCTTCCAGGTCAAAAGCAATGCTATATATGAAAGTTAATGAAACGATATAATTTACTACAAAAACCTTAGGAAAATATTTTTATTATATTTATGTGTACATTCATATAAGCAATATGAAATAAATCATATACTTAATATGAAATGCTAAGATAAACTACACTGTTTAATAATAAAGAAAAAGCTTAAAATTAAGCTAATCAGTACCAAGTCTGTTTTGGTTTAAATTTTAAAATGACTATGTACTGAATAAGAACACATACTAAAAAGCAAACCAGAATCTTTTGGTTTGGTGATAGTTGAATGAAAGACAGGGGTTGAGGGGAGGAAGGGGCAAAACTGGTCAGCATTGAAAAGGCAGCAGGATACCAAGTAACTGTCCCTGCCACAGCTGGAGGAAGCGTTGGGTCCGCTTGTACAGTGGTCTGGGGCAAGGTTAATAGATAATGGAGCTACAAGTCACTAACAGAACAATTATGTGCACTTGGAAAACTACGTGGAAAAAAAACAATCAACTGCTTTACAAACTCCCCACAAATCAAGGGATAAGGGCAGGAATGAGGGCATGAAAAATGCTTCGTGAAACTGGCATGGAGACCTTCTGGTGGAGAGGGTGGGGCTGCTTTCACACTCTGATGTACACCCACTGCTCCAAATATAAAACAATGGTCAATTAAATTTAGAGAAAACCATAAAGGCACAGCTAGGCTCAAAAACAGCATGAGAATAAAAACAAAACAAAAGGCTCCCAACTCAAAATGACCTAGAAGCAAGGTATCAAACACAGAAGACAACTAGTTAGTTCTACAAATGATAACCAACAAATCAACTAGAACAAAAATCCATTCCATATGCAATTTATTGTATAGCTTGTTGGGGACTTTAAAAATAAACATACTTGGGCCAAGCGTGGTGGCTCATGCCTGTAATCCCAGCACTTTGGGAGGCCAAGGCGGGCGGATCACTTCAGGTCACAAGTTCAAGACCAGCCTGGCCAACAGGGTAAAACCCCGCCTGTACTAAAAACACAAAAATTAGCTAGGTGTGGTGGCACGCAACTGTAACCCCAGGTACTCAGGAGGCTGAGGCAAGAGAATCGCATGAACCCAGGAGGCAGAGGTTGCAGTGAGCTGGGATTGTGCCACTGCACTACAGCCTGGGCACGACAGAGCGAGACTCCCTCTCAAATTAGAATAAATAAATAAACATACTTGGCCAGGTGCAGTGGTTCACACCTATAATCTCAGCACTTCAGGAGGCCAAGAAGGGCAGATCACATGAGCCCAGGAATTCAAGACCAGCCTGGGCAACATAGTAAGACAAATCAGCTGGGTGTGGCGGCTCTCACACCTGTATTCCTAGCTACCTGGGAGGCTGAGGTGGGAAGGTCGCTTGAGTCCAAGTAGTTGAGGCTGCAGTGAGCTATGACTATGTCACTGCACTCCGGCCTGGTGGCAGAGTAAGACCCTGTCTCAATAAAAAAAAAAAAGAATCAAATAAGCAATTAAATATACTTAAGATTAGAAATACATGAAGGAATCGTGTATAAAAAAGATGTTATGAATAAAAACAGGAAGAAGTAAAACCAGAACAAGGAGATGTGACTGAAGAAATGAGAAATCCTGGAAATAAATGAATAATCATGAAAATTTTTTAAAAAACCTTAAGAGATAGGATAAACGCTAGACTAAGCCCAGTCAAAGCATGAGCAAATTGAAAGCTACTACAGAGAAATGCGCCCAGGATGCAGCATGAAGAATTACGAAACACAAAACGGAGCAGTTCAGAGGCAAGGGGGACAGATGGACTCCAGTCCACACCTCAAAATAAGCAGCACTGAGACACGGAGGCAAACGGTCAAGCTGCAGGATGTTGAGAATAAAAAAAAATCTTCAAAGTAAATTACAATATTGTTTGGAAGCTTAATAGAGCATTAACATGGTCATTTACTTAATTTTTTTAAAACTCTACAGTTATGCAGCCATTTAAGATAAGAAACTCTTAAAAATACAATAAAAAGGGACCATTGTCATTGATGGTGACCCTAAATCGTTTATAAAGCAAAGCCACTTTATATGTGTGTGGCTAATAGCTAGTTTTGATTCCCTGAGGCCTGATGTAGTTTCAGAACTGAAAAATTATTTTCCAGCTAGAATGAGATTCATCTAGAAATGGGGTATCCTATCTTTAAGAAAATACTGTTGTCAGTGAAAGCAACATATTGACATAGTGGTCTACCACTGAAAAATTTTAACACGGCCGGGTGCAGTGGCTCACGCCTGTAATCCCAGCACTTTGGGAGGCCGAGGCAGGCGGATCACAAGGTCAGGAGTTTGAGACCAGCCTGACCAGCATAGTGAAACCCCGTCTCTACTAAAAATACAAAAATTAGCCGGGCGTGGTGGCGCACACCTATAATCCCAGCTACTCGGGAGGCTGAGGCAGGAGAATCGCTTGAACCCGGGAGGCAGAGGTTGCAGTGAGCCGAGATCATACCATTGCACTCTAGCCTGGGTGACAGAGCGAGACTCTCAAAAAAAAAAAAGTTAATGCAGATAAAATGAATTTGGGCCTTAAACCAGAATTTAGAAACAGCACACCAACTTCATTATAGTAAGCTTCTAGAGCCTTTGTTTATATTATTTATACAAAGAATCAGAATAGAATCGTTACCAAAGGTATAAAAATTGCTTTTTCAAGTGTCCCGACTTTAAATCTTATTTTTACCGTCCCTAATAGTGTCTGCTTTTAAAAAATCACTTATGCTTTCTGTTAAATGTCATGAATTTCACCTTGGGTAGAAATCAATAGGCAGAAAATGAATCAGACTTACAGTAATTGATGTCAATAAAACATATTGGAACCACTATTTTTTTTAAAATGCTGAGAACCACAAAACCATTCCTGTAAGAGAACAGTCTAAAAAATTAAATCTACTTTCACTTCTGTTTTGTTTACCTTCTGCTTTCCATAATGACAGCTTAAGAACTTCAGGCCCTGGGCTTCTGCTGTTTGCCGGAGGACAGTGGTACAGTTGACTAAGGACACATGTAGTTGGCAGACATCTGCAAGTGGAAGGCTCACAGCTTTCCTCACCGGGAATCAGACTATCAATCACCAGCTGCTGCCCTCCATGGTCCCAGGGAGAAAGGTATCATAGGAATCCACATGATACTCCTACCCTGAAGTATGGAGAACCATCCTCACAAAACTAGGATGATACTTTGGTGCACAATTTGGAGTGTGAATGGGAGGAAAATAGAACATCAAAATGAAACTGGCTTTGGTTAAGAATTTCGTTTGTATTCCAAGAGTGGCACAAGATTCTGCTACCAGGACCAAGGAAAAGGCATATGTATTATTATCAACCAAATGAGTTTATAAAGTACTTTCTAGATGTAGTGTACTTTTCTACATACCATCTGAGGGGTAAGGATGAAGAAGGAACAAAGAATAAAATACGACCAATGCCCAAAATTATTTGAAGTGAGAGTGCTTCAGTGAAGCCACAACAATAAAAAGACAATCTGGGGAAGAGAGGAAGCAGGCAACCAAGCTCCTCTGTGTGGCTTTCCAAAGAACTCCCCATATGCATTAAGAAAGCAAGGTTCAGATTCAATGCATTAATCCCTTCAATTCATCCAAATATCGACTGAGCATCAACTATGTGGCAAGCACTAAGCATATGAAGATTAACAAGAAAGACAAAAGACCTGCCCTCACAGAGCCTGCGCTTCAGGGGGGAAGACAGTCAAACAGATGTCTGAGCTAGGCGATGTTACATGCAACCCTCATAAACGCTACCATCCCTGCTGCCAACAAGTGTCCCAAACACAAGGGATCTAATCACTTTTTTTAATTCTTCTTCTTTCTTTTCGAGACAGGACCTGTCTCGCTCTGTCACCTAGAGTGGAGTGCAGTGGCACAATAAGGGCTCACTGAAGCCTCGACTTCTAGGGCTCAGGTGATCCTCCCACCTCAGCCAACTGGGTAGCTGAGACTACAGGCACCACGCACTACGTTCCACCATGCCTGGCTCATTGTTTCTATTTTTTTGTAGAGACGGGGGGAGGGGGGGTCTCGCTATGCTGCCTGGGCTGGTCTTGAACTCCTGGGCTCAAGCGATCTGCCTGCCTTGGCCTCCCAAAGTGCTGGGATTACAGGTGTGAGCCACCGAGCTCAGCCAGACCACTCTTATTAAGGCAGAATGAATCGTTCAAAGGCCACAACCTCTAGCTGCACCTCCATCTTTCTTTTTGCTTCTTCCTGGGTATTAAGAGTTCTGGCACTGAAATGTGCCTAAGAACAATGGTACCAGGCTGTACACGTAAAACCACGTGCATCATACATTATGAGCAGTTTAAGGATAACTTGGTCTACATACAGATTTCTCATCTTTTTCAGACTAATCCATGAGGGAGATGCAACTCCACTAACATAGCGCTAATTTAGGATATTGCTGAATAAACAGCAAAGATTTAAAATCATCAGTTCAGTGAGTGCTTACTATTTACTATGCCAAGATGGGTTATGCCTTGTCATGACGTTACAAGAAACACAACCCATTTTAGCCTACAGCCTGTGGTTTCCTATTGTCTTCCCCACTACGAAGGCATGCAATGTTCAGGGTGACTCGAAATTCCTACTCAAGAAAAAGTATCTGGGCCAGGTGCAGTGGCTGATGCCTGTAATCCCAACACTTTGGGGGGCTGACGTAGAAGGATCACTTGAGCTCAGGAGTTTGGAACCAGCCTAGACAACATAGGCAATATAAATAAAATAAATAAAATAAAAATAAAAAGACATTGTACCTCTTGATGGGAATCACACTCAGCAACTTGCAGAGAGGTGGGAGAAACCTGTGGCTACTTCTGCTAACAATCTAATGTTATTTTATTTATCATGATTATTATTACTTTTTGAGACAGAGTTTCACCCAGGCTGGAGTGCAGTGGTGCAATTTATGCTCACTGCAGCCTCTACCTCCTGGGCTCAAGCAATTCTCATGCCTCAGCCTTCCAAGTAGCTGGGATTACAGGTGTGTGCCACCACACCCAGCTAATTATTTCTAGTTTTAGTAGAGACGGGGTTTCACTGTGTTGGCCAGGCTAGTCTCGAACTCCTGACCTCAGGTGATCCGCCCACCTCAGCCTCCCAAAGTGTGAAAGAGATAAATACCCCAGCTCCTTGCTTCTCAGGTACGGCAATGTGAAGGCATGGCCCTTGCAGTCTCTCGGACGTCCCCAGTGGGTTTGAGCCCCGCTGGCCCAGTGGGAACCTGCTCCTTCATGTCCCTTCCCAGACATAGTGATTTGTTTCTTTCTGTCCTTTGCCTTCTAATCTTTTGGAATGTTAGTGTTTTTCTCATTCATATAAGCTCTTTACGTATTTTAAAACCATCAACTCTTTATCTTTATTGGAAATCACTTTTCCAACTTATCTGTTTGCACATTTAAAAAATCAGGCAGGGCGCAATGGCTTACACCTGTAATACCAGCACTTTGGGAGGCCAAGGGAGGAGGATTGCTTGGGCCCAGGAGTTCGAGACCAGCCTGGGCAACATGGTGAAACCTCATCTCTACAAAAATAAAAATAAAACAAGTAGCTGGGTGTGGTGGTACATGTCTGTGGTCCCAGCTACTCGGGACGCTGAGGTGGGAGGATCCCTTGAGGCCCAGAAGTCAAGGCTGCAGTTAGCCATGATTGGGCCACTGTACTTCAGCCTGGGCAACAGTAAGATCTTGTTTTAAAAAAAATTAATACTGAAACAATTTAGTCCAGGCGCGGTGGCTCATGCCTGTAATCCCAGCACTTTGGGAGGCCGAGGCAGGCGGAT
The DNA here is from genome assembly GCF_000001405.40 of Homo sapiens. Classification (NCBI taxonomy): domain Eukaryota; kingdom Metazoa; phylum Chordata; class Mammalia; order Primates; family Hominidae; genus Homo; species Homo sapiens. Next base: position 50,544,082 of record NC_000020.11, on the reverse strand, counting down.
CACGAGGTCAGGAGTTTGAGATCAGCCTGGACAACATGGTGAAACCCTGTCTCTACTAAAAATACAAATATTAGCCAGGAGTGGTGGCCCATGCCTGTAATCCCAGCTACTCGGGAGGCTGAGGCAGGAGAATTGCTTGAACTCAGGAAGCGGAGGTTGTAGCGAGCCGAGATTGCACCATTGCACTCCAGCCTGGGTGACAGAGTGAGACTCTGTCTCAAAAAAAAAAAGTTTAAAAGTTTTTAATTTTTATGTATTCCAACCTATTGACCCTTTCCTCTGCAATTTCCTTTATTGCTTCTAAAAGTAGAAAGTCTTCTTCTTCGATATTGGAATACCACTTTTTTAAAAAAAGCATTTAACATTAAACCATCAGAGTCTATTTTCCTTCTACCATCTTCAACTATGCCCATTATATTGCCTTTACGTCTCATACTATGCTGAGAATAGGTGCTTCTTCTGGCTTGGTCAGCTTAACACAGTTCTACTATGCTTGGTGTCTTCTTTGTGTTTGTGTATTTCAGCAGCTCGAAAGGCTGCATCCTCCTCCCTCTCCCGAAATTCAAATAGTAACAAAATGCAGCTGCATCCGGTAGTTCTGATTTCAGAATGAACACATCACTATTTTTCAGAGATAGACAAACTATTATAATTAGATAGAGTTGGTTTTTAAGAAGATGATGCAGGTTACCTTCATTCTTTGCAACTATTTAGCAAATTAAAGGTCAAGAGGAACACAAGATATCAAAATATACGGAATTTTTAAAACCTACAATAGTATTTTTGTAGTTAAAATAAATACTGCTCCTTTGTCCTTCTGTAAGGAAAGAATGGGCAGGATGGCTCTGGTATAAACATTTCCCCCTTCCCCCATATTTATGTTGTGTATAAACTTGCAGTAAAATACAAGAAAATATTGAAAACATTAAATTGTTCCTGTTTATCATGTTCATAAGCAGATCTTTAAAACAAAGAAAGCATAGCTCTCCATGGCAGTTATCTGACTTCTAAACTCCAGGGGAAGCAAGTTGTATTTTATCAAATATATTTAATTAAGAAGCCATGTTCAGAGTACCTATTTCATATAATAGGCATAACAGAAAAATCTCAACAAATTAATATATCTTACCACTTCCTCAACATATTTAGTAAAATGGGATTTTAAAAAAGTATTCTTATCTCTTTCCTCTCTAGTCACAAGCCTTGGGCAACAGATGCAAGATCTTTTGGTCATCTGCCTTCTTAGAACGGAATACATAAAAAATAAATTGTCTATACAATGGAAGCAGGCAGTAAACCTTTGCTAATAACATATGATCAATTTTGAGAAGCTTTTGAAGGCTGAGGGATGCCAAATCCTTTCTTAAAAGGGCTTGCTCAATATCTCAAAGCCACAACTACAACTATATAGGAACCAAAATCCATATACCTATTGCTAGAAACAGATCCGGGGCCACTATTATTACATGAATAACTTAGGCCTTATAAACAACTATTGCAGAGATAATATCCTTTAAAGACATTACACAATTGGCTATACACTCTTCCTCCAAAGCTCATGAAATGACAACATCTAAGTTAGGTTAAGAGGAAAACAAAGCTTTCCCTAGGACCTGCAAAAATCAGGATGAACAAAGAACTTTAGGAACATTAAATCTAGTCAGATTTTCATGCAACAGCAGTACATAAACTCGGGGAAAAAAATCACTATTAGAATGTGTCTTTCCTACTGTGCTAAAAATCAATCTTCGCAAGATTACTCAAAGCAAACCATATAAAATTTCACTAAGATACATTCATCTTGTGCTCTTGTTTAAGAAGACAAGATAGCTAGAAGGCCAGAATTGTAAAACTCTTTTAAAGTAACTGGTTTTACCCAATCCCCTAGGTATATTAAGGCAATATGATGCCAAAGCCAAGTTTTAAGGATCACCTTCAGAGTGAAGACCACATTGTACTTGCAGCCAATTTTTGTCCTTGCATTTCAAGTTATGCCAAGTGTTGATGGGTCAGGTAGTAATGTCATGGTCCCTGTCCTCAATGAGTTCCCACTGTGGCCACAAATAGTGTTGAGTAGAAAGTACTGATCAGAGGGGAAGTCTATTCTACAGGAAGAAGGGAAAAACATCAAGGTTGGCTAGTAAAAACGAGAGTAGCAAATTTAGGAGTAATTGCAGAGCAGTCACATCTGGTGCAAAGGAAAGAGGAAGCTTCCAGGCACCACTGACCTGCTACCTCTCCTTGCCGACTTTGGTTGGCCTCAATGGGTGGTAATAAATCATACAGCTATGTCCAAGCTGCTTCCCCTAGTCTGTTCCGGCACTGTTGCTTCAAAGGAAACCTCAGCAATGAGGGCCAGGGTGGAGAAGGGACGGCCATTCTGAGGCTAGAGCAACCTCAGAAGCCTGCTGCTTGTGTCACTCTGCAGGTTCTTGCCATCACACAAAAGGTCAGAAAGGAGAGAGGAAGCTCACGCCATACTACGATGACCTGCGACCGGGTCTGGTTTGCCCAGGCTCTTAGAAAGGAACATGGGACACATGTACAACTGTTAAACATCTTGCCACTGTTCACCAAGCCTGGAGAGGCTTCCCAGAAGAGATGACAGAAGAGCTGTCCCGTACATCTCAAAGGAGCCGACACTCGTAGGTCTAGCTTGGTCATCAGCACAGCACAATTATGCAGACATTGGGCTCTCCATAAGGATTTACTGAATGAGTGTGCCAAACCGGTCAGAAAGAACCAAGGTGAAAGCAGTGGATTTGGATTGAGAAAATAGACATAGCATGATGATGACGATGGCAAACAAAATAAGAACCGCATAAGAAAGTACCAGTGACCAAGTCAACTTTGAGAACTTTCTCTGTTCTCTCCCTTGACCTCCTTAACAGAAGGCTCATGGGGCATTTTCTAGCAGTGAGTAATTTCCTGCTGATATCCAGGGAATGCTGGGTGTTGAGAGAAACATTTCTCGGAAGAATGTGCCTCTTCACCTCTACTTCTCCTGCAGGTCGCACTGTTTTCTGATGTGGTACATTCCTGAGACGGAATGTAGTACATTCTATCTGACACAGAATCTAGGCTCCCCACAGCCTCCTTGCAAACTAGGGACTGAGCAGGTGGATGGCTAGGATATCAAGAAGGTTTTCACATGGAGCCCTGAAACAAGCCAGATAGAGACCTAGTATAATCCACAGCATTCCCAGTGGCAGGAGGACCCAATCAAGACACAACAGAACTCTCTGTGCAAACACTATTCAGGCAGGGGTGGCAAGCACTGTCTTCCCAGCTCCCTGTGCCTCGAAGAGCTCACCATGATGATTAGCTCCCTAGAGGCTGGACTCTTGAGTACTTGGCAGGCTGATGGGCACCTCTGCTGAACCCTGGACGGTAGCAGCTTATTTCCTGGATATTTTGCCTTTCTACCTGAGTCCAAAGTATAGGTGGTACTTGCTCCTCCAATCCCTGAGTGACATGGTTTGTAGTTTTGCCCCCTCCAAATCTCACGTTGAAATGTGATCCCCAATGTTAAAAATGGACCTAGTAGGAGGTGTCTGGGTCACGGGGCCAGATCCTTCATGAACGGCTTGATGCCGTCCTCATGGTAATGAGTTATCACTCTATGAGTTCATGTAAGAGCTGGTTGTTTAAAAAAGCCTGGCACCACCCCCTTCTCTCTCATAATTTTTCTGTTAAGTTTAAATGTATGTTTTTAAAATTTTTAATAAGGCTGGGCACAGTGGCTCACGCCTGTAATCCCAGCACTTTGGGAGGCTGAGGCGGGCAGATCACGAGGTCAGGAGTTCAAGACCAGCCTGACCAACATGGAGAAACCCTGTCTCTACTAAAAATACAAAAAATTAGCTGGGCGTGGTGGCGCATGCCTGTAATCCCAGCTACTTGGGAGACTGAGGCAGGAGAATCACTTGAACCTGGGAGGCGGAGGTTGCAGTGAGCCGAGATCACGCCATTGCACTCCAGCCTGGGCAACAAGAGCGAAACTCTGTCTCGAAAAAAAAATTTTTTTTTAATAAATGAAGTTTAAAAAAGTGAGAGGAAGTGAAAGAAACAGACGACAGGCAAAGAAGATCAAACATACACATAACAGGCTGAGTTCCTGAAGAAGGAAACCCAAGCAATGTACCAGACGAAAAACGGAAAACTCTAATTCAAGATTTTCCTGAAATTAAAAAAAAAAGATTTAAAACTACATATTGAAAGAGCACATGGATTTTTGAGGGAGAACAACCCAAAACAGCCAACACCAAGACATGGTTGCATAAATGATGAGACTTTGAATTAAAAGGTTAAAAAAATCCTTTGTTCCTCAAGCCCAGGAGTTCAAAACTTCAGTAAGCTCTGACTGCCTCACTGCACTAAAGCCTGGGCAACAGGGTGAGATCCTGTCTGTTTAAAAAAAAAAAAAAAAAAAAAAAAAGAGAGAAAGAGGGAAAAAATCCTTTGGGCACATAGACAAAAAACCCTAAGTCACTTATAAGCAAAAGATAATTAGACTGTCAAACATTTACAGCAATGCTTTATACCAGAAGACAACAGAATAACATATTTACCTTAAAGAAAGAAAATGTGATCCAAACATTTTTATATACAGACCAAATGGCCTTAAAATAATAGGCTGCTGACAAACTATTATGAATATGTACTGTTGATTCACAGAAGATTGTTCCCACAAGCCCTTCCTGAGGAATCTAGTGCAGAAAGAGCTTCAGGAAGAATTGAGAGAAGAGGCTGGGCGCGGTGGCTCACGCCTGGAATCCCAGCACTTTGGAAGGCTGAGGCAGGTGGATCACCTGAGGTCGGGAGTTTGAGACCAGCCTGGCCAACATGGAAGAAACCTTGTCTCTACTAAAAATACAAAATTTGCCAGGGGTGGTGGCACGTGACTGTAATCCCAGCTACTCAGGAGGCTGAGGCAGGAGAGTCGCTTAAACCCAGAAGGTGGAGGTTGCGGTGAGCCGAAATCGTGCCGTTGCACTCCAGCCTGGGCAACAAGAGCGAAACTCTTTCTCAAAAAAAAAAAAAAAAAAAAAAAAAAGAATTGAGAAGAACTTAGAGTGAGCATTAATATTTACTAGTAGGTCTAAGATAGAAGGATGTAAGGGAGACAACACTCTATACTACAGCTATGTCCGAGGCAGAGGCACAGAACAGGACGAGTTTGTGAAAAGTAAAACAATCTTGCTTATTGCTTTTATAGGTAGCAGCTAGGAATACTTCAAATCAGACTCTGGAGGAGGGTGAAAGAAGGGAGAAGAAATGAATATTAGCTAACTTCAACACTGCTCACAAAAGGGAATCACAACAACAGCCAAACACTGAGAAGATGAAGGGCATATAATAAAGATAATAGTATAGAAGCAACTATTAGAAAACACAAATGTTCCTAAATGCCAAAAGATTTAATGATTTATAAAATTTCTTCTCATATTATACAAATAACATGTCCAGTGTATATAATACAAAGATATAACAATAACCTAACCAGTGTTCACAGTCTGGCAGTGCCTACTCTTCCCCACTCTTCTCCAAACACACGCAAACGTAAACAGCGAATTCTTACTGCTTGTTTTTACACAGAAAGGATCACACTGTACACATCACTCTGACAGTCACACCTAACTAGTTTTTCTTCTCAGGTCCTTGCTGTTTGCTTGTATAGCCCCTTGGCCGTTTTATCTCCTGTTTCTACATTTTTTTTCCAGCTGACTTTCTGGTCAGTGTGCTTGTAGCTACCCCATGCAACCTGACAACCAGCTTCTCTTCTGTCCTTTTCATGCTTTCTCAACTCCAAATACTCTAACACAACTTCCTTTTCACATTTCTGTTTTTTTTTTTTTAACTTTTTACAACACCCTCAAATCAAAACTCGGGATTGTTTTCTGATTATAAAGGTACTGTGTTTCCATTTAGAAAATTCAAGCAACACTGAAAACCAGGAAGTATAAATCAACTGACCACCTATGTACCAACCAGGGTGCTGAGTATCTTTTCGGTTATTTGTTCCCCAGAGAGGCAGCCAGTGGAGAAAGCTCGATGGCCTATTACCACCTGAGAACAACATCCACTCAAGATGAAGAGCAAAAGCTCAAAGCCTCCTCTGTTGCTGGAACTTTCCCCATGTTTATTCTTCTACTTACTCTACTCTGCTTAAATTACGGGCCATTTGACATGTACATTACTGTCAGGCCTTTTTCAGACATTGCTGATGCTTCAGTCCATTTTGAACGGCATTCAATGGTTCTCTGTTGGTTAGGTATCATCCAGCATACCTTTCAGCACCCAGGGTAACTATAAACTGGCTAAACCGTATCTAAACAATCAACAGGCTTATAAAGTACAAGCAGATTGGCAATTCTGTTTTCAATCTCATTTCTCTTACAGGTAGCTGCTTTCTTAAAACAGGTTTAAAGAAAACATACAAGGGTATGACGGAGATATGATTAGGAGAGGGAATGCTTTTTGAGGGCAGAACAAAACAACCTAGAATTGAATCACATTAAAAACAGCTTTATAATAAAAGAGTATTGAAAACACAATGCATACACACGTGGATACGAGTAACACTGGGGAAATATGAATAAGATGAGCAGACTGTATCAATGTCAGTATTGTGGTTGTGATACTGTACTGCAGTTCTGCAAAATGTTATGGGCAGTGGATGGGGGAACTAGGCAAAGCGCACATGGGATCTCTCTGTTTTATTTTTAAAGTTTATTTATTATTATTATTATTATTTTTGAGATGCAGTCTTGCTCTTGTTGCCCAGGCTGGAGTGGAATGGTACCATCTCGGCTCACTGCAACCTCTGCCTCCGGAGTTCAAACGATTCTCCTGCCTCAGCCTCCCAACTAGCTGGGATTACAGGTGCCCGCCACCACACCCAGCTAATTTTTGTATTTTTAGTAGAGACAGGGTTTCGCCATGTTGGCCAGTCTGGTCTCAAACTCCTGACCTCATGATCTGCCTGCCTCGGCCTCCCAAAGTGCTGGGATTACAGGCGTGAGCCACCGCGCTCAGCTCTGTATTATTTCTTTCAACTGCACAGGAATCTACAATTATGTCAACAACAATTTTAACTAAAATATATGATTGGCAAAATATAGATCAAAATGTTTAGAGTGCTTATAAGCTGCAGTGATAGGAATAAAGAAAAATTTTACTTTTTTTGTTTTCTACAGTAAACATGAAATATAGCATAAAAATAGAAAAGTAAGTATTTCTTAACAAGAGGTAAAAAGATATAATCAAGACTTGGGACATGTAAAAAATATTTTATAAAATCTCAAGGAATATAAGTAAAGGGAATACAGGACTGTTCAACAAATTACAGGATTCTAAGTTATTAAAAACATCCTTAAAATTAAAAAAATCTGGGTAAACAAAGGGGAGGGCCTATGTATAGTGGTAAAACATTAACTTAAGGAAATGGTATGTCAGGAGGCGATGTGCTCTAGGGACCAATGTTCTGGCCACACGCCTTCCCTGTGTTCTTTAGAATTGCTAAGCCACTTCTAATCACATCATTCTTTAAGCCTTGCTTAAGTGCCCAAGGACCACTTCAAACAAGCTCAAAGCTCCTTTGTAAACACTTGCATTGCATCTTTTATTTTTCTTTCCCAGCACTCCTCCACAATTAAAATTAATCATTTGTGTGACTGTTTCAGGTTGGTCTTCCTCTTATAATTATAAAAGAGGCCATTGGTACACGTTTCTGATCAGCACACCGCCTGGCAACTGCATTCACGGAATACATTTTTAAATGAAGTAAGCGCCAACATAAATTATATGAATATACAGATGGCTATCACACTGCCTTATAGGGAAAAGTAAGACTCTTCTGTTCAAGAATAACTGTTAGGTAGGTAGATGACTCTCAAGAGCTGAGTCTTCAATAAGGCTTTATTTAATTTCACAAACATTTCTGAAGGATTTATGGAGGTATCCCATCTTATGTGGTGACTAAATCCTACAGTTAGATATGAGGTAAAATTTGCACACAATCAAAATTAACCTCAGGAAAACATACCTTAAATTGCCAGCATCTAAGCCTTACACATTTTAATGCCTAGATTTTAACCTCTTTTCTCTTTTCAACTGATACCTCCCTTTCCCCAGAGGATATCAAGGTGTGGTTTGATACTGGCAATGTAGTATTCAAGGAATTTCTTTCTCTCTATTTGGGGGTGGGGGACGGGGACCAGTACATATGGTTTAATTAAGGAAGGCTAAATGTATATACGACACAAGACCACAGGGTGACTGAACATTAGGTACTGAGGATACAAAGATGTGAAAGGCAATCCCCATGTTCCTATAGGGTTCACATTCTAGCTAAAAAGAAAGTAATGTATAAGCAACCAAATAAAAATATTAATTCATATAAAATGTCTAAGCATTAAAAAGGAAAAGCATGTTGCAAAATCCTATTTTGCCTGTCAGAAGCTAAACACTGTTCTTTCTAGCAGCTTGCTTTCTGTAACCAAATCCTAACTTTCCCCTAAGCAGATGGAGTCCTAAGGCGAATTAGGGCAAAGTTAACGTGGTCACGGAGGCAACAGAGAAAAGAGTATTCATAATAAAATATTTCCCATACTACAAAAAAGAGGGGATTCAATAGAAAGGACAGCTCAGTGTAGGAAGAGGGAGGCACGTGCTCCGCTGAGGCAGGGGCTGTGAATAGAATGGTGGGTGGCTCCGCAGGCAGAAGACACAGCATCAGTAAAGACAGAATGTGGAGCATGCGCTGCAGGTGTACGGGGACCTGGCCAGGAGATCAAGGGAGTGCCTTTATCCAGGCATGCCTTCAGCACCTGTGTTAGGAATCTGGAGGTAACACCCTCATCAATGGGGAATGGAAGTTTTCAAGTAGGACAGTGATACATAACATGTCCTCCCATGAAAGATACAGCAGAAAGGAAGGACCTGAACCAGCTGAAGGCGACTTTGAAGACCACAGATGAGAAGGGCCTGAACTAAGGCTTGGGAAGGAAGTGAAGGAAAGAGTTTCAGACATACATCCCAAGAATAAAATTGGGCCTGTAATTCCAGCACTTTGGGAGGCCAATGCAGGAGGACCGCCTGAAGGCAGGAGTTCCGCCTGAAGGCAGGAGTTCAAGGCCAGCCTGAGCAACAGTGAGACTCTGTCTCTATAAAAAATAAAAATAAAAAGTTAGCTGGGCATGGTAGCAAGAGCCTGTAGCCCCAGCTACTCCAGAGGCTGACGTGGGAGGATCATTTGAGCCCAGGAATTTGAGGTTACAGTAAGCTATGATTGCACCACTGCACTCCAGCCTGGGTGACAAAGCAAGACTGCATCTCTTTAAAAAAAAAAGGATAAGGATTAAGTTGGAGGACTTGGCAGTCAACTGGATGTCAGAGTAAATTAGAGTTGAAGATTACTTTAGGTTTTGAGTTAGAGTAACTAAGGAATAGATACAAATATTAACTTATAAACATGCCACTGACTTTATAATTACTCAATGTATTTCTCAATACAGCAAAAGAAAAAAAAATTACAGTAAAAACAAAAATCAAGCTTACAAGCAGATAAAGCAGTCCTCTACGTTACAAAATACACCTTCCAAACAAAAGCAGCAGAAAGCTTACAGAATACATTAGAAAACATATAAAATCTTATGGTTACTGACTTCTAATATATTTTAAAATAATGCAGCATATTTTCACGGTAAAAAAATGGCGTAAGTGCTTGAGTGATTTTCTGGCAAAAATAATTAAATGTGTTTCAAGGAACTGCTGGTAAGTCAGAGCAAGAAAATCTAAAGTCTCATTTGGATTAAATTTGCTAAAAGCAGAAAGTGCTATTTAATATGACAGCTTCGGCCGGGTGCAGTGGCTAACACCTGTAATCCCAACACTTTGGGAGGCTGAGGTGGGCAGATCTTGAGGTCAGGAGTTCGAAACCAGACTGACCAACATGGTGAAACCCTGTCTCTAATACAAAAATCAGTCTGGCATGGTGGCGCATGCCTGTAATTCCCAGCTACTCAGGAGGCTGAGGCAGGAGAATCGCTTGAACTCGGGAGGCGGAGGTTGCAGTGAGCCGAGATCGCGCCATTGCACTTTAGCCTGGGCAAGAGAGAAAGACTCCATCTCAAAAACAAAAATAAAAAATAAGACAGCTTCTATAGCCAGACAATCTGCTCCTCTTCTGTGCTCATAACTATTAAGGAGAAAAAAAAATCACGGAAGCTTCCATCATTCTCTGCCAGAAGGCACTTGTGGAACAATCTGGAGTTCTAGCGAGCAGCCCTGTTCCACCTCCAGCCTCACCTGACCTATCTTCTTGGTTACAGTGATGCCCGACTGAACCTTTCGGAAGTGGTACATCAAATCTTCCTTTCTGGGGGGGGGCAAGGGTGTCCCTTTCTGCTGAGAAGTGAAACAGCAGCCACCAAGTCAGGGACAAAAAGCCTCATGTGAACAAGCAAGGGGCCTCCAGCTCTCGACGAGCCAGCTGAAAAGAGCGGGCTTCTACATGGAAATCCCTTAGTCTGCATCTTCACTGGCTAGCAATTGAAAGCTCTTGCATTTCAGCAGTGTTTGGCTGAGGACAGAAATGGGGTACAGGCTGAGTGCATCCAGGCTGGGGGCGGGGGGCAGGGGGCAGTGGGTAATGTGATGTCTCCCAGAGATGAGAGCTCCCAAGACAAGTTGGAAGCCCTCTGTACAGTTATGTACTGCCATGAAAAGGTCTTATCTGAAAACTAATCTTAAATAAGAAATATAGTCAAAGGAGGCAATGTAAACTCTAGAGGCTGTTATTTTCTGCAACATGATATACAATGGAGAATTAGATGGAAATGCGTGTATGGTTTACAAGATTAGTCATCTGGGATTCTACAACCTCTCATAGCAAAATTAGTATGTAATAACTCTGCCACAACATTTAGATTTAGAAATTCGCTAGAACACCTCAAAAAAACTATATATTTATTTCAAAATCAGGAGAGTCTGATAGGATATTCAGTTGTAGACCAGAGGCAAAAACCCTGGTCAAAAGCAGAAAAAAAAAAAAAGTGATATTAGAGGAACAAAACAGGGCAATACCTGCAGACCCCAGGAGAAAACAAAAGGGGATAATGAAGACAGCCAGGCCCAAAAAGTGTTCCTGGAAGCTACTGATCTCCAACCCAGCAATTCCAGCCTAATCCTATTTCTCAGGGCTCTAATCTATGCCCTGCATACCTGGACCCAGTCTGTACTCCAAAATTCATGGGAATGAAACTTAATTGGAAATGATAAAACCAATTCCAGTGCCAGGATTGCAGGAAAAGGGATCTATGAACACACACCCACCCACACATAGACAGACACACACACACACCCCATCATCCACATGGAGCCCAGAATGTTTTTTATTCATACAATCATTATTATGTATAATATTAAATACCATACATACAAATCATTAACATAGTTCTATGGGGGAATTACATATTAATTGGAATACTGCAGGTATATTGCAGATTATATAGGTTCTACGGACTCATTTGGGATTTAACCACCATTCACAACACGGATTCTACAGGACAATACAATCAGAGCTCCAGAGAACCAACTTTCCAACTTTTCAAGCATGACACATTTGTGCGTTAAGGACTGTCTGTACTTTCATGCTTGATTACCATTTTGACTCTATGTCAGCCAAAAAAGTCCATCTGAGCAACATTCGCTGAACCGACCCAAAGAAGATTTAAGGGGACACTCTGTAAATAATAAACTGTGAACCTCACAAGCTAGGTACTCCATGACATGTAAGACTAGCCATGGCTTTTACCCAAAGCCTCTCGATTTAAAACAGATTATATGAGGATATTTAAAAAACAAACTCATGGACACAAAGTTTTGCCACAAAAACCTGCTGTTCTATTTTGCAGGCCATTGTAGTTAGTTTTTCAGCTGTTTGTTAACATCTCTATCATCCATCCTCTTCAACTGGCATTGGTAGGTTACAGATCTCCCCTTAAATACAGAGGTAGAAAGTACAACTACAGACAGATTCCATACCAGAAGACGCAGTTTATTACTAGTCTGCAGCCAATCCCAGGTCACAAGGCGCACATGTGGAGAACCACAGGGCTACCATGGTTACCATGCGCGTAGCCAACACCACATGCCCTGCAGCCTTATAGGGAAGTAGCCCTAAGATCCCACATGTCAGTAATTGCTAGTGGTAGCCGTGGTACCACTAGCGGGGAGAGGATGGTAAGGAGAGAAGCAGGACGAAGAGTATGGCCGTGGATGGGGACTCAATAACACACAGAGAGCGACCGGGGGCCAGAGCAAGCACAGTGGAGCCCAGCATACTGGAATACAAAGGCTCACTACTTCCCACATTGTCCACGACAGCTTCTATAAGACTCCCTGCCAGGCACAGTGGCTCACGCCTGTAATCCCAGCACTTTGGGAGGCTGAGGCAGACAGATCACCTGAGGTCAGGAGTTTGAGACCAGCCTGGCCAACATGGTGAAACCCCGTTTCTACCAAAAATACAAAAATTAGCTGGGCATGGTGGCGGGAGCCTGAAATCCCAGCTACTAAGGAGGCTGAGGCAGGAGAATAGCTTGAACTCGGGAGGCGGAGGTTGCAGTGAGCTGAGATTGTGCCACTGCACTCCAGCCTGGGTGACAGAGCGAGACTCAGTCTCAAAAAACAAACAAACAAAAAAAGACTCCCACCAACAACCCCGCCTTGAAGGTTTTATTTCTACTTTGTCCTCAACTGTCCCACCTCTGGCCTTCAATCTCATTAAAAGGCATTTTTATGTTTAAAAACACTCAGTAAATAGAACTGAGGATTCAGAACCACAGTCTAAACGAGAGAAGCAGAATGAAAGCTGGTGAGTGTGGTGGTCTGGAGAGGAACTACCTACTCTGTTCAAACTCAGTTACTCTGATGACAGGCAATCAAAGGCTCCAGGAAAGTAGCCCATCAGAGGAAAGACGCTGGACCAGAAGAAAAGGGTTCCCTTCAGGTCCCAGGTCTGCTCTGGGACCACTAATAAGGCTGGGTCTCAGTTCACTTAAAAAACAATCCTTGGCCAGGTGCAGTGGCTTGTCCCTGTAATCCCAACATTTTGGGAGGTCAAGGCAGGAGGACTGCTTGAGCCCAAGAGTTGTAGACTAGCCTGGGCAAAATAGCGAGACCCTGTCCCTACAAAAAATAAAAAATAAAAAAACAATTAGCTGGGCACAGTGGTACATGCCTGTAGTCTCAGTTACTTGGGAGGCTGAGGCAGGAGGATCATTCGAGCCCAGGAGGTTAAGGCTGCCAGTGAGTTTTGACTGTGACACTGCACTCCAGCCTGGGTGACAGAGTGAAACTCTGTCTCAAAAAGAAAAAAAAAAAAAAAATTGGCCAGGCGTGGTGGCTCACGCTTGTAATCCCAGCACTTGTAATCCCAGCAGTTGTAATCCCAGCACTTTGGGAGGCCGAGGAGGGTGGATCACGGGGTCAAGAGATCAAGACCATCCTGACCAACATGGTGAAACCCTGTCTCTACTAAAAATACAAAAATTAGCTGGGCATGGTGGCATGTGCCTGTAGTCCCAGCTACTCAGGAGGCTGAGGCAGGAGATTCGCTTGAACCTAGGAGGCGGGGAGGCTGCAGTGAGCCAAGATCGCGCCACCATACTCCAGCCTGGTGACAGAGCAAGACTCCATCTCAAGAAAAGAAAAACAAATTAAAACATTTTTTAAAAAAGCAATCTTTGCTCCAAGTCATTTACTGCAAGGGGTTTTACTGTTAAAATAAGTAACAGAAAGTTCACTGCACACTGTGAAATTAAGTGCTTTTATTCTAAATTCAATTACATTCACGTAAAGTTCCAGTTAAAACAAACCTAAAAAAAAAAAAAAAAAAAAAATCAGCCAGGCACAGTGGCTAAGGCCTGTAATCCCAGCACTTTGGGAGGCCAAGGCAGGTGGATCACCTGAGGTCAGGAGTTCAAGACCAGCCTAGCCAACATGGTGAAACCTGTCTCTACTAAAAATACAAATATTAGCCAGGTGTAGTGGCACCCGCCTGTAATCCCAGCTACTCCAGAGGCTGAGGCACGAGAATCGCTTGAACCTGGGAGGCGGAGGTTGCACTGAGCCGAGATTGAGCCACTGCACTCCAGCCTGGGCGACAGAGCAAGACTCTGTCTCAAAAATAATGATAATGATAATAATAATAAATCAAATATAACAAGAAGCCAAACCAACACTAAAAATCCCTTTTTCACAAGAATAGACATGTCATCAGCTCAAAGCTATAAAGCCCAACTTGCCTAGTCAAGAACAAGTTTTTGACTAAGTTTATGTTTATATCTTCCTTCTCTATTCAATTAATACCATTCATTTCACAAAGATCCAGGAGATGGGGGGAAAGTTGAGATCCACAAATAACAGAATAATCTTCAGGGCTGAACTAAGGATAATATATTAAGAAAAAAGTTAAAAACAAAAACAATGATTTGGTTTCAGACGCAAAAGTGTCATCTGCTCAGAACTTTTGCTATAAACTTTCTGGCAAGATCAAAATCTCAGGAAATTCCAAACCAGTAAAAGTTTAAAGACAAATTACTTAGGAAAAATGATCTAACTTTGGAGACCCAAGCATGCTCCTCCCATTGTCATCCAGTTTTTACTTTTATATTGGACTACCAAACCCACCACAAAATCATAGCTAACAAGAGCTTTGCTTCCTGCAACTTGAAAAATCTCTGGCTTTTAATAAATGCCTCTATTTCCTGTCAGCACTGGTCAGTCCCAGCTACAAAACCTACGAAGTTTGAATGAGAGAGACTCTCTCATACCACTGATGTCTCTCATACTTGGCCAGCACACTGGAACATAAGACTAATAAGCCACAGGGAAACTACCTCTCCAGAGTGGCATGGTCTGTGCAGGGCATGGAGGCAGGGCCAGCTGATGAAGACATGGACTGCTTCGAGATAAGACTTAGCTCCATCGAGCATTAACATAACTGGGATCAGATCCACTGAAACGAAGTCCAATTCCATGCAAGGCACCATGAGGGAGCCACCAAGCATTACACACAGTTCTCGCTGAGAAATGGTATACAATCTCATGGGGGGAAAACACCACATACAGAAAATTACTATAAAAAGGAACAGAGAAAACAAAGTGTAAAATCTAAATTGATCCTGGGTAACACATGGTTCAACACAATACCATCAACTCAAAGCCTCCCTAGCAATCACGGTTTCCAATTCATGAACCTTCTAAACAGCATTCTCATCTATTCATTCAGGAACTACTTATTGGGTATTTTCTTTCTTTTTTCTTTTTTTTTTTTTTTAAGATGGAGTCTTTTTTTTTTTTAAGATGGAGTCTCACTCTGTCACCCAGGCTGGAGTGCAGTGGAGTGATCTCAGCTCACTGCAACCTCCACCTCCCCAGTTCAAGTGATTCTCCTGCCTCAGCCTCCCAAGTAGCTGGGACTACAGGCACCCGCCACCACGCCTGGCTAATTTTTGTATTTTTAGTAGAGACAGGGTTTCACCATGTTGGCCAGGCTGGTCTCAAACTCCTGACCTCAAGTGATCCGCCCACCTCAGCCTACCAAAGTGCTCGGATTACAGGTATGAGCCACTGCGACTGGCCTTGTTGGGTATTTTCTATATGCCAAACACTATATTGGGTACTAAGAGATACAAATGACTAGAACAAAAGCAGCCCCGCCCTTTATAAGACTTGATAGATTACTTGGCAATAGGTAAGTAAACAGGCTATTACAGAGCAATGCGTGTTATTACAGTATACTCAGACATGGTGCTATGAAAGGAGGCCTTCAGAGGGCCATGGGAGGACCTAGACAAGGCAGTTAACTTGGACCTGTGGAAAGGGGAAATCAGAGAAAGCTTCCCAGAAGAAATGTACAAAATGTGACTGGAAAGAAGAACGAGAATCAGTTAAGTAAAAGGTAGGATATTCCAGGCAGAGGAAACAGCATATGCAAGGCTCCATGAGAGGCAAAGACCACCACAATTTCAGGAACAAAGTGCCTCTGAAGGCTGTCCCATAGTGCACAGTGTATGTGTGCACACTGAATTCAAGGGCCGATGCTACATCCTGGGTGAGTGAATGAGATGGCTCAAAAAGAACAAAAGGGCTAAATGAAAGCAGCAGATTGGGTAAACCCTGTAGGAACTCCTCAAGTTGAGGAACAAACAGAGAAGACACCGATGAGTAAGGTCTAGGACTAGCTAGAGAAGCAGGAGATATAAAAGAAAAGGAAAAAATAGAGTTATTAAAACAGGGAAGGGAATATTCAATATGCAAATACAGGTCTACCACACTGAACTGCATTAAAATTAGGATGCAAAATATCCACTGTATTAGTAACAAGGAAGCAGATCTTGTCAAGAATTATTTCAGGCCAGGTGCGGTGGCTCACACCTGTAATCTCAGCACTTTGGGAGGCTGACGGGTGGATCACTTGAGGCTAGCCTGGCCAACATGGTCAACATGCCAACAAGCCTGGCCAACATGGTGAAGCCCCATCTCTACCAAAAATACAAAAAATTAGCCAGGCGTGATGACAGGCACCTGTAATCCCAGCTACTCAGGAGGCTGGGGCAGGAGAATCGCCTGAAGCCGGGAGGCAGAGGTTGCAGTGAGCCAAGACTGCGGCACTGCACTCCAGCCTGGGTGACAGAGCAAGACTCAGTCTGGAAAAAAAAAAAAATTATTTCAGTGGCTTGGTAGCATAGAGCCTCACTTCCCTGGAAGATAAACACACAGAGTGACTGGAAGATGAACGATGGGCAGAGTGACCTATTTACTTCAAAAATTTCAACCAGAGAAGGAGAGTATAAAGCAGTGGCTGGAGGGGCCGTCTCGGCTGGAGGAAGCTGAGAACGTTGAACTGGCATACATAAGATGATAATAGGGAGGGCCTGGGATCCATTCCTCGAGAGTCACCAACCCCTTATTGCAAGATGCCTTGAACAGGTGAGATGGGAAGGGGTCAGGAGCGCAGACTCTAGGAGCAAAGGCTCCTTTTCCCCTGTGAGAGAAATGAGGTGGAAAGGATGGCAGGTAAGCTTTAGATCTGATGGCCAGATGCTGGGGGAGACAGATTTGGGATTAAAGACTGGATTTCTAGGGGCTCAATACTGGGGGATTTTTTTTCCAGCAGCGCTTAGGAGCCTGGGCCCAGGAAGACAAAGACAGGGGAAGAGCCTGCTCCAGGGCTAGAGGTGGTAGGTAAGAAGATGGACACAAGTACAGTGGAGAGGCAGCATCTAAAGTGACTGACCACAGTCTCAGATGCATAAGGAGGGAAGTGAGGAGGCTGCGGTGGGGGGAGGAGAGAAACAGCTGGAAATCTGAATAAAGGAGAAAACCCAAACTAGAGAAAGCAACTGAGCGAGGGAATCTGGCAGCACAGAGGCTGTAACTAGAGAGCAGAAGGTCTGAGCTTAACAGTAGGTCAAAGGTAGAGACTATCTCAACTGCCAGGGAAGGAAATAGCTGGAAGAGAGGAACAGGAAGTTCCCTGGGACATGAGGTGATGATGCTGGGTGGGCTGCCCAAATGCACTGACATGGGCCAGGGGTGACAGAAGCCTTGATATGGAAAGACAGGTTGTGAGCCAGGTAAACTAAGGGGAGTAGGGAATGCTGCAAACAGGCCCATTTAAAATACAACTAAGCTGGGCATGGTGGCTCACACCTGTAATCCCAGCATTTTGGGAGCCCGAGGCGGGAGGATCACTTGAGTTTAGGAGTTCAAGACCAGCCTGGACAACATAGTTAAGACCCTGTACCCCACCAAAAAAATCATTAAAAATAAAATTAAATTAAATACAACAACAGAAGGCAAGCAATTAAGCAATTCCCCACTATGGCAATTTATTGACTAGAAAGCTTAAGTCCTAAGATACATACATGCATACAAATACATACAGTGAAAGAGAGAATCTGCACGCGCACACACACACACATACACCCTATGTGCTCCCCCGCACCCCTCAGGCATTTTCACTCTCCTCCGCAAATCAGAAAACAAAAGCATAATCAAACTGGGGTCTTCTGCAGAGTTTGGTCTTCTATCCAGGATGCCTTTTTATCACTCATTATTACTCATCCCCTTCTTCAAAACTGCTGCCTCCCCCTGCGACAGTGGCCATATAACGGCTACACTTCAGTGATTCTGTCAAGGAGCTTATGAACTATGGTTCTTTTACCCCATATATCTACTTCTGCCACATGTTCCATGGTATCCACTCAGTGACACATAAATGACTCCAAAAGAAAACAAGAAAGAGAAAAAAAAAACTCATCATTCAAAAAAATAGTCAAAATACCTTTTTATTCTCCTTTGTCATCCATTTTTAAGGAAAACCTTTCCCCTTTCAGACGTTTAAATGATTTGTAGTCAACAACTATCAAAAAACAATCATCAAAAAAAAAAAAAAATCAAATCCAGGACTACTTCTGTATATAATCCTCATAGCTAGAATTAGAAACAGGAAAAAAGGGGAGATGTTTTCACAATTTCAGTGGTTTGCAGACAGCTAGTTCTGTTATCTATATGGCATATATGGCAGAGAGACTGCTTCTATATGGCAAGCGAAGAATTTAATAAATGTGTGAATGGTAAACGGGGAGCAATCAGGAAATCATTCAGAATTAATCAACATAATTTTTGTATTTAAATTTAAGTAACCAGGCCAGGTGCGGTGGCTCACGCCTGTAATCCCAGCACTTTGGGAGGCCGAGGCGGGCGGATCGCCAGAGGTCAGAAGTGCGAGACCACCCTGGCCAACATGGTGAAACATTGTCTCTATTAAAAATAACAAAAATTAGCCGGCTGTAGTGGCGGGTGACTGTAATCCCAGCTACTCAGGAGGCTGAGGCAGGAGAATCGCTTGAACCTGGGAGGCGGAGGTTGCAGTGAGCCGAGATCGTGCCATTGCACTCCAGCCTAGGCAGCAAGAGCAAAACTCCATCTCAAAAATAAATAAATATAAATAACCATAAAAATATCAGAATCTGTAATCTGAAGTGTTACAGTACCTAAAAATTCAGTCTTATCACTTAGCCATTTAAAAGTAAGATAATTATCAGTACACTTGAGTTTTTTAATAAGGTACTTGACTTGAAAGAATCACTCAAAGCTATCTGTGTACTGAGAATTGCTAATAAGAGCACATAGGCTGGGCATGGTGGCTCACGCCTGTAATCCCAGCACTTTGGGAGGCTGAAGTGAGTGGATCATGAGGTCAGGAGTTCGAGACCAGCCTGACCAACATGGTGAAACCCTTCTCTACCAAAAATACCAAAAATTAGCTGGGCGTAGTGGCAGGCGCCTGTAATCCCAGCTACTTAGGAGGCTGAGACAGCAGAATCGCTTGAACCCGGGAGGCGGAGGTTGCAGTGAGTCGAGATTGCGCCACTGCACTCCAGCCTGGGTGACAGAGCGAGACTCCACCTCAAAAAAAAAAAAAAAAAAAAAAAAAGACCACATAATGGGATAAACCAGCCAACATCATTGAAAATATCCCTTAAAATTCACAACAACTAAATGAGACCTTTATTCTCATAGTGGCAGCTGCAAGTCAGTGAACTAGGCACATGTTTTCAATATATTCCTAGTGGGAAGGCTAAAACTTGAAGATTCTTTTAAAAAATCTTTACATATTAAAATATAATTTTTTTTGTACAAATCAAAGATTATCTGCATACATACTTGGATAAAAGTTATCACTTCACTTCAATGAATCCTGTACTGCCTGCCTACTAATTACTGTGCACTGTTGTTGGTGTTCTAGGGCTACAAAATTTACAATGAAACAAATATCACCCTCCTGGAGAAGACACCTACACAGATGCCTTCACTATCTGGTCGCATGAGCTCAAGGCCATGATGGAATAACCTCCACTAGGCTACCCTTCTGGAAGCGTTTAGAGGCCATATGGCAGTCGAGGTTAAAAGTAATGGCAGAGGAAACATGAAAAGGAAGAGAGGAAAAATATATACAATAAGAGAATAATGCATATGCATTGTGTGAGGGGGTAGCAGAGAAAGGTTAAGACCAAAGAGGAAGGAAGTGAAATATGATCTCACCCTTTCAAGCCTAGGTGACACTTAATATGAACAGAGACGGACAAGAAGTCAATCCCAGATTAGGGAGAGACTCAGAGAATATACAGGCTCACTCCTCCTTGCCCTTCAGAACTTCAACTAGATATTACCTTTATACACTATCCTTTATTTGTTTTGCCTGCTCCCAATCCCAATTAGATACCTTTTCCTGAGCATCCCCACAGCACCTGGAGCCTAGGCCTGTAAGAGCTCTTATCACTGTGAACTGAGATTATCTTTATTCAGCCACTTTGTCTGCTGGACTACTGAACTTCCTAAGGGCAGGGACCAAGTTTGTCTTCCTCACCACATATCCCAACTGCCCAGCACAGAGCCTGGTACCTAGTAGCTGTTCATGTATTATTTTTTGAATGACTGAATCAACAGACACTGGCTGCAAGGAGCTTACAATCTAGACGAGAAAAGCAAATGAAAGATTGACAAAAAGCTTCAGAGAAATTGGTCCTGAGTGGTTGGTTTTAATTTCACATACACAAAAAAGTATAAAGCAGCCATGCTGTCATGCCATATGATCCCGGAGTGCTAAAACACTGAGCTGGTTTTGTCCTTTTGGGAAGGGTTCTCTGAAGCTTCGGAGCATTCTCCGAATGTTCTATATTTAAACACCCCACCACCTACCAGATGCTTCCCTGGACGTCCTCTAACAACATGGTCACAACCAGATCACCATCTTCTTTGCACACGTTCCTTTTCCTGTGTCCCCACCTTGATGAGGGGCTGCATCTTCCATCTAGCTATTTCCCTAATCTGGAACATTCCTCCCGTTTCCTCTTCTTCCCCTTCCCCCACATTCGATAAATCACCAAATCCTCCTGATCTGAGACGGTAAGGCATAGAGACTAAAAATACAAATACCTGGCCGGAGGCAGTGGCTGATGCCTGTAATCCCAACACTTTGGGAGGCCGAGGTGGATGGATCACCTGAGGTCAGGAGTTCAAGACCAGCCTGGCCAACATGATGAAACCCCATCTCTACTAAAAATACAAAAAAAAAAAAAAAAATTAGCCGGGCATCGTGGCAGGCACCTGTAATCCCAGCTACTCGGGAGGCTGAGGCAGGAGAATCACTTGAACTCGGGAGGCGGATGTTACAGTGAGCTGAGATCGTGCCATTGCACCCCAGCCTGGGCAACAAGAGCAAAACTCTGCCTCAAAAATAAATAAATAAATACAAATACCTTTCCCTCTGGAGAAAGGTACAAAACTTAGGACAAAGACCTTGACTGGGTTATAATGGTAAAGAATCATCCTTATCTATTGCTTGTTCTAATTTGCCATACACAACATACCTCTATAGAGTAATAGGTGTTCAAGAAGGATCAAAGAAAAAGCATGTTCTACAACATAATATGTACTTTTGTTGCTAAAAGGGAGAGACCTTTAACAAGATACATTCCTCCCTGCAATGTATGTATTTATTTTATTTTATTATAGCTATGAGGATAAGGTAGAGCAACCATTTAGTCATGAAGTTGGACACATGACAAATGGTATCACTCCTGACCAAGTCACAAAGCAAGTCATTAAAAACCTTACTTCGTAGCCGTCTCAGTGCAAGCATATTTGGTCACCTCATTCTTTTATCAGCCCCCATTAGGCCCACCCAATGTAACTTCAAGTTGGTCATCAAAAATAGTTCCTGGAAATAACTGAACATGGGACAGAAATACAGCCACACTCAGTTGCCTGAGGTGGGAAAAAATGGTGGTGGCTTCTAACTTCCTCAAAATAGCAGAAGGAGGCTGAGGATAAAGAGAAAAGAGGAAGGGCGGGAAGGGAAGGAGTACCTGGCCAATGATTTTATCCTAGACTTTACTGTCAAGGGCACTCCCTCAGGCCACCAACCCTTTAGCCCTTTGCTTCAATTTTATCTAACGATAATATACCAAATACCTACAAGGCCAAGCATCACATAACATTAACATCAAGCTTGACGAGAAAACTCAGCTTGGGGTAGGGGTTGCAAACTCAAGTGCTAGGTAGTGTACACCGACAAGGACAGTGTGACCCACTGTGGGACTGTGGTAAACTCTGCAACGCACACATGTACATCCAAAAGGAGTTGTGTCCCTCAGTCCAGCAGACCACTGCCAGTGTAAGCTCAGACGGTGTGATTTTCAGATTTTTCAAGAGAGGCCAGAATCCAGAGTTGCATGTCATTTCTCCTGATTCATTTATAAACAATGGCACAAATTAAACTCTTCTCTTTTTTAAAAAGCATTGCGTGAAGCAAGCAAAATATGACTGTGGGTGGCCAATTTGTGACATCTAGGAAAGAGGTTAGAAAACTAGGCAAAGGTCAAAAACTACAAACTCTCTCCTCCTATGTCCTAATAAATCGGGGAGGCTTAGCACAATCCCCTGTCTCTCTTCACAGCCATGTATGTGGAAGCTGAAGCAGTGGCCACACTGCCATAGTGCTATTGTGAAGCTGAATCCAGGACACAGGAGAAGACTGAGGGTCTGGGACCTCATTGTCCTCCTGAAACATTTCCTGCTGTTATAGACCAATTGACAGTATATAATAAACAGCATTGCATGTAAAGGACTTTGCACAGTGCCTGAGGCACAACACAGAATTCAATAAATGTTAGCTATTAGTGGGTTTTATCCTGAACAAGGGTAGAACATGCAGCAGACTGTTTCTCTCTCAAATGGAAGATTTTTTAGTCCAATTACAAAATCCAACATTCCTCTTTAGACAAAAGAAGAATTTCAAAAGGAACTACATTCATCCATGTGGCATTCAGGAATTTTAAAATATAATGTGACTTATGCCCCCACAGGGCATTTTATTATTTTTAAGGAAATAATGGGTTTTTTTCAAGTTTTAATTTGAGTTAATATGAAATTTTAAAGTTCTGTCCCACTTTTAGATTAGGGGGATCAGGCACAGCCATATAATGCTACCATATCTAGCATGAGTAAGGCATGAAGCCCCAATTTTTCCAGAAAGATCACCCCACCCTCTGGTCTTCTCCTGTGACCATGTCTTTGTAGAAAGTTACATCTAGGTAATGCTATATGGCTGTCTAGTCTAGTCTAATGACTACATTTTACAGATCCTGTATGCAACTCCTCAAAATCCCACAACAGTCAAAGGCAGAGTCAGAACCCAAACCCAAGTCTTCTTCTTCCTGAGTCGTCTTCTTCCATGACCTCACATGTCCCCTCCTGTGAGTGCACATGCTCAGGGTGGCTGCTTCAGGGGAGCAGGGCAGCTTGAGACTAAAGCTCTGAAACACAACTGTTCTGTGTGAAACTAACCAGTACTGGAGACAGATACAGGCACCTACCCTTAGGAGCAAAATGTTCTATCAAGCAAGGGCACAGGCTGGGGAAGGTTTCCTATACACAGCCCAGCAAAGCCTTGCTTCAGTACATTGCAGGCGTGGTCATAATCTTTTACAAATCCTCTAATATCAACTGTGCCTTTTTAACCACTAGCTTGGAACAAGAATTTCATACCTGTATGAAAGAATATAATTTACTTGCTGGAAAAGTAGAAGTGTCACAAAGCAAAGAAATCACTTAATTTTTTTTTTTTTTTTGAGACAGAGTTTCACTCTTGTCCCCCAGGCTGTAGTGCAATGGTATGATCTCGGCTCAATGCAACCTCCGCCTCCCAGATTCAAGCGATTCTCCTGCCTCAGCCTCCTGAGTAGCTGGGATTACAGGCATGTACCACCACGCTCGGCTAATTTTGTATTTTTAGTAGAGACAGGGTTTCACCATGTTGGTCAGGCTGGTCCTGAACTCCGGACCTCAAGTGATCCACCCACCTCGGCCTCCCAAAGTGCTGGGATTACAGGCGTGAGCCACCATGCCCGGCCGGAATCAAAGATTTTTAAATACTGTCACTATGCTTCCAACTGTCCAACTTCCAAAGTACTGAGAAAATATTTTTTGAAATGTAGCCAAGTATAGAATATAGACTGTGTCCTACATTCAAAAGTTGTCTTTCTAGAAAGCATGTTTTAATGGCAAAGGATACAAAGCAAGCTGTAAAAAGAGACTAAAATTAGCTCAAACCACAAATAACCTAACATACTTATCACTTCCTTATGATCAACCTACAAAAATCAAACTTTAAAGGCACTTACAAAACTAAAGGTGGGAGGCCAACTGCACCCTTTAACTTCGCTATACCTTTCCTCCTTCTAACATGGACCCTGGCACATAAACACTGCCAAACGATGACACTGTGTTAACGTGAAGGCAAGCACCAGGGAAACTACGGGAGCACAGTTTTGCCCTGTAAATAAAACAGCATGTACCATGCAGTTCTTAAGTGGTTAGAAGGGTAACTACCTCCTCAAACTGAAGATGGGAAATGCAGATGAAGGCCCACACCCATCTTCAGCTGCATTTCACAGACAGCTAAGGACATACCACGCTCCCACTTCAAACAAAATATTCTTCCATCTTCTAAAGCCATCTATTTCCTACTTTCAAAAGCAACATCTTCCAAATCTATTGGGAAACCAAAAGTTTGTTACCATTCGAGTAGTGGAACAAGTTGCAAAATGAGGTTTAGTTGACAAATATGTATTCATGGGTAAAAAAAAGGCACTGGGTTTGTTAAACTACATCTACTTTTTCAGTGATTCTCTCTCTGAGTGTATTAACTATGTCTGATAAGTTTTGTGATAAATTTTTTGGAGAAACTTCAAGCTCACAAAGGATGAAAACAAGTGGTTAAGGATGAGTACAGAACCTACCAATACCACTGTGCACACTCCAATACTGTTACTCAAACTTTCAAAAGCATTTTCATTAGCAGGTAGAGAAATAGGGGCAAGTAGCAGACCTGGGTAGTTATTTGTGGTGTGAACAGACCAAACAAAATACTGATAATGGCACTAATATTCCTAAGATTTATTCAAGAAAAACTGTCAGTAAGACATGAAGGAATATTTAGAAATGCTCAGAAATGACACCATGATAGGTACATAAAGGGCCCATTGAAACCCAGCATTCTAGGGATGTGGATTCTCAAGGAATATTCAAGAGCAACCTTTAGGTGTGGCTAAACCAGGTTGTATTCTGGGGACTGCTCCAAAAATTTGGTTTTATGCTTGTATAAACCTGATGTAGCTTAATGTAACTTTCTGATCTTGGCCCCATTCTGCCTCACCCCACCTCGGAGCATGATCCTTAACACTATGGCAACAGGGAGGTGGCGTCCAGGTAGTAGAGAACAATAAGAGTAATGCTCTTAATTCAAAAGTGCTGTCAAGATACAGTTCAGTTCAGAGTAAAAACAACAAAGCAAAACAATGACAACAACAACAACAAACCAAAAAATGACATATTCTCTCCCTGCCCCGAAAAAAAAATTCACTGGGTACCTTCTTAGAGGCCTCTTTTCTCTGTGCAAAAGTTAGCCACAAAAATATTTATGACTCAGTGAAGGCGTATTTTCCCTTTATCCTTACAGAAGCAAACTAAGCCCTGACTATTTGAAAAGTGAAACAGTAGTTAACAGCGACAAATGTTCAAACATCAAGGAGAGTTAAAGCTAATTTACCATGTTATGCTAAATGCAGTTTGCTTATTTGTTCTCTTGAGTGAAGTTATATTCAGAAGTGACTTCATCCTTAGACATTTTTAAGTAACTCACGTTCTTAAGAGAACTCTATTTGGAATAATTACTTGATGTTCACTTTCCTGTAAGAAATTCGCAATAGTGTACAATCCTGTAACCGGGGCCCATCTGGATAAAAATTAGCTAAGCTGTTTGCTGTAATGTAACGTAGTGACTTTTAAGTAAGATTCTGCAAAAGGAAGAGAAGTGCCAATAAAAGATCCATTAAGAAAGGAAAAAAGTCGAAAAACGTTTCTTAACAGAGACAAGGGAAGAGTTTTCCTTTTCTAATCACTAAGAAATTTTTAAAAATTATTTTGAAAGCCTAGTTTTGCTATGCTCATCTTATCTTTGCAAGTGATGTTGCTCACCCACAAAAGCCACAAACACAGCCGAGGCTTCCTTCTTCATCTGTAAAAGTAAAATATACCTCAGTCTCTAGGAAGAAACATCTGAAAAGTAAAGAGAAGGAGACAGGGACACAAGCCTACTTGGGACCCAAAACTTTACTTCAAGTGGTTAATCCTCAAGAAGGATTTAGAATTTCCCAGCACTAGATTCAGAGTAGTAAAGAATACGTTTATTTCCCAGAGAAAATGCAGACCTTAAGTGTCCCTTTGCCATGTTTACTCTGAGTCCATATTACAGAGCTGACTTCAGAGCACTAATTCTATCTAATTACCATAGGGTATCCATAAAACCTTACTGCCTTAGTAAAACCATAAGCACTCAGTAAATCGAACGATGTCATACGTTTTTCTCTTAAAAAAAGGGCTGGGCCGGGCACAGTGGCTCACACCTGTAATCCCAACACTTTGGGAGCCTGAGGCAGACAGATGGCTTAAGCCCAGGAGTTCAAGACCAGCCTGGGCAACACAGCAAAATCCCATCTCTACTCCAAAAAAATACAAAAATTAGCTGGGCGTGATGGCACATGCCTGTAGTCTCAGCTACTTGGGAGCCTGAGGTGGGAGGATCACTTGAGCCCAGGAGGTGGAGGTTGCAGTGAGCCAAGATTGTGCCACTGCACTCCAGCCTGGACGACACAGCAAGACCCCATCTCAAAAAAAATATTAAAAAAATAAACTTTAAAAGGACTGAAAATCATTTATAAGTACTTGGTATTATTTTATTTGTAGTAGTGTGACTTGTACCAAAGCCCAGAGATCAATAGATTTGATGGCTACAGTTTTCTTTGGCTGTTTCAGGGCAGGAGGGAATCTTCCATGTGAAATGGTCTTATTTTCAGTTTTCATACAATCAAAATTTACAAGCTGTCAGCAAGATACTCATGATTATGTCAAGCTGCTTTGAAAAAGGAGAGGGCAGCAGCTATTAAACTCTAAAGACCATTTCTACACAAAGTAAAGCATTATTTCTAAAATGCTGGAGACTTAGGTACTTTCTTCTCAAATATGGCAGATGTGTAAACTATCATATTATTCAAATGAAACTTAGACCAGATGTAGGTTTCTTCCTAAAATTACAACATAAAGGGCAACTATTCTTTGCATACCTAGTTAGGGTTGAAGCTTTCGTAAATTCTCAAGAATCAGTTCCTCTATCTTTTACAGGAAAAGCCACCCAATTGCTACTTGAGAGAAAAACTGCAAAAGCATAGCGTACGTGTCAGGGCTACTCATTTTCCACATTACCAAGTCAAATGAACTCTATTTATCAAAAACATTTCATGCCCCTCGGGAAAAAACACCCCATTCTTTTGAGTTGTTAACTATACTCACAAAGCTCCTATAAACTTTTGAGCCTAATAGTACCCAACCACACCTTACAAAACTGAGTAACTGCTGCAGTTTTTACAAGGATTATTCAGGAACATTAAATTGTATTTGTGAGTACATTAAGGATTTTTATTACTTGACCTGAACTTAATGATCAGTTAGTCCAGGATCATTTTTACAAGGGAGAAACCAAAACCCAAAGAAAGTAAGGGACTCACTCAGCACTGTTAGTATGACAGCTGAGACTGCAACTATACCCAGACACAGGGGACACTAGAAAAAGCAAAACATGAAACTACTCTCTTGCCCCTAAGGGTGGTCTGATCAAAGGCCAAAGAATGTCATTACCATTTATAGTTTGAAAAAAAAAATCAAAGACTTGGTAACAGTCGTTATTTTATGGAGAACTATATTTTATATCCCAAAATCAAAAAGTATTTTATGAACCAACCACATGCAAAGGCCCGCTAGGCTTGTGAGAACCAGTCAGGAGGGATGAGGGAAGAGGAATTCAACAATTCTTAGAGAGACAAACATATTACCTCCAAGTTGCCTGTAAAGTTCACCGTAGGCCAAGCACAAATTTATTGTTATATTTAAAGCTTCTGTGAAACAAATCAGTGGTATCAGCTTCTACTGGCTAAGAATGCCAGCCTTTCTTCCAAAGCCACTGCAGCAGGCAATACTAAATTACCTCATTAGGCCATGACTCAAAATGTGGTGGGGGCCTTCTCCCAGAGTGACCTCTACTATTGGTACTAATGTGGGCTAATCTATTTGTTTCCATCATTGCCCCCCTAGAGTGGGAGCCAGGAACATGTTTTGTACATCTTTATACCATCAGGCTAGCAAAGTACTGACCATCAATTCAATCCCAACTCTTGTTAGGTACCTACTCTGTGCCAGGAGCAGAGGACTTCAAGATGAATGAGAAAGATACAACAGGTGGCCTCAGGAAGCTTGGGCTCCATTGGAGATAGACCTGGGATATAAAGTAGCAGCTACAGCTGGGCACAGTGTCTCATACCTATAATCCCAGCACTCTGGGAGGCCAAGGCAGGAGGATCACTTGAGCCCAGGAGTTTGAGACCAGCCTGGGCAATATAGTGAGACCTTGACTTTATAAAAATTTAAAAAAAAAATGTTTGTAAAGACGCAGCTACAATGACAGCAGGGCTTTAGAAGAGATATGTGCCAGCTTGTATGAAAACACACAGGTGACGGAACAAAACTCTGGTGCAAGGAAGCACACATTCGAGCTGGAAGATGCAAGCTAGATTGAACGGGAGAGGCATCCTCAACAAAGTGCTCAGCAATGGTATAGAGGAATGAAGGGCGAGGATGAGTTTGGAGAACGCTGCCCTTTCTTGTCTGGCTAGAATGGAAGCCACATAGGAGGGAAGGACTGGAAGCTGGCTGCCATGCTAAAGAGGAGTTTGGACTTTACAAGTGTTATGAAAGAATCAGAAGTAGTTGCAGAGGAGTGAGAGACTCAGATCTGGTTTTAGAACAATGAATTACTCTAGTGATGATGGGACCATATTAACGGGTAACCGGCTTCACTCATTTCTGCAGTGTGAAACTAGAAACCATTGCAGGCTCATAAGCAACATCTGAGAACCTAGACTACTAGTGTGGTGGAAAGGATGCCATAGTGACCAACCAGTGAAATGTGGCAGAGGGAATCACCAACTACTCCAAAGTCCCCAGCCCTCCTGGATACTCAAAATGTGAACATGGAATGGCTGGTGCCAAACTACATCATCTGGGAACAATGACCCAGCTAGAATTCCAATTTTCCTGAATATGGGCAGCATAAAGTAACATGCCCAGCCGATTTGCCAGTATTAGTTGTTACCAGAAACAAATCAGCATAAACACTGTAGGGAGGAATGCCAAATTGTGCAAAATATATATAGGCTCAGGCAGGCCTCAGAAAAAGTACCTGCTCACGCCTGCAATCCCAACTTCAGGAGGCCAAGGTGGGAGGATCGCTTGAAGCCAGGAGTTCAAGACCAACCTGGGCAACACAGCAAAACCCCATTTCTATTTAAAAGAAAGAAAGAAAGAAAAAGCAGTGCTAGGAACAGAAATTGCCAAAAGGATTCTGTAATCTACAAGATCACAAGACAGTTTTCTTTAACAAAGAGAAAAGGGAAAGAATCACACAACAAAAGGCCGTTATTTCAGTAGCTAAGTCAAAAAACCTCCACAGGAAATTTCTTATTCATTTCCACTGTGAAATTCAGTACACATTCAATTACATTATTCAATACCAGGTATTTTAATAGGTTTTGAGGAGCTATTCAAGATAAAATGCAAAATGGAGGAGAAGTAACGGCAGATAACTTGCAGCTAAGAAACAGCGGCATTACCATTATCCCCCAGCTGACTTTTTAGAACCACTGGTTGGTTTACTTACTTCCAAAAACACCAAAGTATTCCTATAAATATGCCAGTGATGTCAAATAACAATAGCAAAAAGTTCTTTCCTTCACTATTTCTACTTGTGCTCCCAGTTAATCTAATATCAGTCCAGACAATTACAAAGGCATTTACACCATTTCCAAAGTACTGATCAGACACCTAAATTTAGTTCACTCAAACCAGGGCTAAACAAGAACATTTAGATCTAATGGGTCACTCAAGATGACTAGAACTTCCCAGTCTCTCCATGTCATTTCCGTTAGTCTTTTTTTTTTTAAGTGAAGTGAGTCATAGTGTATAGATCTTTCTCCTTTGCATAAAATAGTTTTTTTTCCTCTGAAGAAAATAGTATTTAAATAAACATTATTGGCAAATTTTAATATTCATCTTTTTGGAATATAACAACATAAGCTGTATATCAGTAAGGAATTTTAGTGAACTATTGTTACAACATGGTTTTAACCTAGTCAGGCATTAGATTGTATTTCATAATGAAAACAGCTATAAAAACAAATGTCAATTGGAAGAGTGGCCCATTTTACAAAGCCTGCCTCTAACATGAATAAATCTTGCCTTCATGTCACAAGGTATTATTGCAGTCCCCTTTATCTGAAACAATCAAATCATTCACAATGAAATATAGTGAGTGGTGTCAGAGAATCAAAGAATTTACAGACGAGAAAACAAGCAAAACACCGGACCCAACCCCTCTTAAACTACAGATGGAGGGGAGCACATGAGCTATTCTTTTCATTCACTCAACCCTCTCTCCTCTCATTCTAGCTCAGTAAAATCAATCTCTTTTCCTCATCTGGGCTCATTCTCTCCTCTTAGACAGCTAGGCCCAATCAAGCAACCGGATGATTTGAAAGTGTTTAAATGCTAGAAAACAATGTTTAAAGCCATCTATATACACTATCAAAGCTGACTTTTTATAGACCTAGATGCTTATTAGCATCTATGCTATTCATTAGCATTAAAGATTAAAAATACGGTTATGCTCACTTTATCAAACTGACCTAGCAAAGAATCTCTGCCTAAAAAGTTTGTTTTCCAAGCTGCCACATTCCTCAGCACTCAAAAGTCCTCTTCACTCTTTGTTCTTTTCCCAATAGTTTTCAAGTTTTTACATCTTTTTGTTCTAATCAGAAAATAAGTTAGAATAACTGACCTGCTTACCAAGTTGTAAGCAAAAATTACATTATTCTCTGATCACAATAGGCTAGGCAAGCTCAAAGTATGACTTTGTATAAGGCTGCCCTCATTTCAACATGCTATAAAGTATTAATTTTTTTAAACTTCCATTTTCTATCAATTGTAAACACATTCTTTGAATCCTTGAAAAATAATGGTTTTGGTAAAGCGATACACACCTTGGAAAGTTAGCCACTTTAGACTCAAGGTCATCTGAACTCTGTTTCAGAAAACGCTACAGTTGTATGACAAAGAGCTACTTTTACACTTAGGAGAAAAGCTTCTGATTTCAAGATCTTAGAAAAGAAAAATATCCATACAGTGGAGGTGAGAAAAGCTGGCCCTGACAATTCTCTAAGACCAAAAGAAACTACCTCAGGGAATGTGGCAATCCATTAAGAAGCAGTGAAAATCTCAACACCTTGACTAACTTGTGGGGTTTAATTGTGGCAGAAAAACTTAAGAACAATGAAGGAAATGAATTGAAGACTGACACACTCCATGCTAGTTGCATGCTGAATACAATTTTAACCATGCTTGGGTGACAGGTCAACCCACTCTGGCTTAAAATTGTAAGAAATAAAATTCAACTAAGAACTAAGTTACAATACGTATTTCTTGTTGTCAACTCAGTCAATTTCAGTGGAAAAGACTTCTCTCCACAATGCTTCCACTGTGATGGGGTGTATCATAATCAACTCCAACACTTCAGACCAACAATTTTCATTTAAAGACATTTTAGACTCTACTGCATTAAACTGATGCAGAAAATTTGTCTACACAGTCTCAAAGTCCCTTATGGAATTCATTCAGCTAATTCAGAGACCAGATATGGCATACAAATTTTATATACTGATCAATCATACTTATTAGTATATAGATTACAGTGGTTAGAAATATTAGTCTAGCAGAAACTAATATACACACTACAGTCCAAATAAAAAGAATCCTGTCAAATAAGCTTGATGTAAATCCACATGAAAATCAAGGCTGCCAAAAAAAAAGGCTTTTGTTAGTCAAGCATACCAAAGAACTGCTTAAACCTTTTTTCCTTTCTAAGCGGAGCTCAAAATAGATTTTAATACTACAGCTGATGGATCTCACAATTTGCCTTTTGAGCCTATAAGCTGAAAACAGAATCATCTGCTGTCTCCCTTTACACAAGTAACAAAATCTCTCTATTCTGTATATCGCTTATTTAAGATACTGTGCAAGTGTGGTTTTAGTTAATCTTAACAACCCCCGCAATGACATTTAATTGGGAGTATGTATCTTATTCAGCTGCTTGTGAAAGGAAGAGCTCTTTGTGTTTTTAACTACTTGTTTTATAGATATATGAGAAACCCTCCTTTCCTAACTTTTTAACACACAAGGAGATGACTCCTAAGACAAGGTCATCTCTGCCACGACCAAAGACTAAGCTGCTCATTGAGGAAAGATGCTATTTTAGAGAGGGTTAAAACGTTAACCTTCCTGAGTCCCTGCCTGAAAGAATAATATCATGGCCCCAATGGAGTGGGTACCGCAGGCCTCCTGGCTAGAAGGTTCTTTAGCCCCATATTCTCACGGCTTTCTGCTCCTCTTGGTTCAGCTCACAAAGCAAATGTCTCCTCCTTTGACAGGCCTTCCCTGATCCCCTTCTCTAAGACAGCCGGCCTTCTATGCAGTCACCCTGTACCCCGTTAGGAAGTCGTTCTCTTCACAGCACCTGTCACTATCTGAAATTATTTGCTTTTGTGTTTGATTGCCCTATTCGACTCTAGGCCCCACTAAGGCTAGGATCTTGCCTGTCCTGATTAGCAAACACCACCTCCAATGCCTAAGCGGTGCCTAGCACAGAATAAGCTTGCCAACTCCTATCCAATAAATGAATGAACAGAAAGGGGAAAGGGGACTGTCATCTCTGGGACTCGACGCACACTGAGACTAGGGGAAAGGAAATGTGAAGGAGGGACGGGGGGAGTAACCTTTTCCCCCAGGGAGACAAAGGAAGAGAGTCTGAGGTGGTCCACTCCAGAAAAGGAAATAGTGGGGGTGCTAAATCACCCCAGGGGACAAAGAGTGGACAGGCAGGGGGCGGGGTCGGGGTGCGAGGGATTCGCGTTGAGAGCACAGACCGGCGGTCCCCCGGCTTGAGAGATCACCCGAGCTGGAGAACAGAAGGGAGGTGGGGGATCGAAGGGGGCTCCGACGCTGCGGCGAGAAACACGCCCGCCCCGGGGACAAAGGGTGGGGGGACGCAGTGCGTCGCTGTCCCATCGAATCCTCAAGCAGTAGGAGCGAGGCAGAGGGCAAGACCCAGAGGGAGTCTGGGGCCTGGAGGTCTGAGGGGATGTTCAAGCGGCCTAAGCGAAGGGCCCGCCACGCTCCGGGGCGCTCCCGCACCTGGTAAATGGCCGCCCAGCTCCCGGACTTGTCGATCTGCTCGAACTCCTTTTCCATCTCCATGACGGGCCAGGGCGGCTGCTGCGCCTCCTTCTCGGCCCACTGCGCCGTCTGCCGCTCTAGGCCGCGTCGCGCTCTTAGCCCCGAGGCCCGCTGCAATCCCCGACCCCTGCAGCTACCGCCGCCCTAGCCGCTGCTGCTTCTTCATGTCAACCGGCAGCCGGAACTACGCATCACGCCTGCCAGGGGCTCCGCCCCTGAAGCAGAAGGACCAATCAGCGATCGAGAATTTCGACAAGCACTTCCGCGGGGAGGAGCCGGGGGCGGTGCTAGGGGAAGTGGCCCCAGCACCGCGAGATATCTAATAGCGCGCGTTCCCTCCTCCGCTTTGGGGCTCTGGGCTCGGGCGCGGCGCGCGCCTGTTGCCTAGGCGACCCCGGGAGCCCCGCCCACGGCGCGTGGGCTCTCCAGGCCCGGGAGGGCATTGAGTTCCAGCCCCGACCCGGCCCGTTGAGTCACAGAGTGAGTGGCCTTAAAGTAGTCATGCACCTCCTTTCCTGCAGGGCCTGGGCCCCAGCCTCAGTAATCCAAGCTGGAGTATGGGAGGAGGGCACCGTGCTCTATTTCCTGCCTCCCAGCTCTGGCCAGATGTCTGCCCTTTTTTCATGAAACTCAGGAGTATCATGTTTCACTACGCTGCTGGGGAAGCCCACTGCTCTCTAAGGGTAGTGTCCCTGTCTGAAACGCAGAATTTCCACTTGGGTGCTGCAGGAATGAATGGATGGGGATGGAATGATTTTCAGTGTTTCCCGAAGTATCAAGGAACTCCTGCTCAGACTGAACTAAGCAGAGCACAAATTCCATGGTGCATTATGTTAAATAAAAATCATAGGAGCCCAGGCGCGGTGGCTTACATCTGTAATCCCAGCACTTTGGGAGGCAGAGGCAGGCGGATGTCTTGAGGCCAGGAGTTCCAGACCAGCCTGGGTAACAGAATCAGACCTCGTCACTACTAAAAGTTAAAAAATTAGCCGGTGTGGTGGGGCCCAGCTGCTGGGGAGGCTGAGGCAGGAAGATCACCTGAGCCCAGGAGGTGGAAGCTGCAGTGAGCTGTTTTGGCGCCACTGCACTCCACCTTGGGTGGCAGAGAGAGACCCTGTCTTGAAAAAAAAGGGCTGGGTGTGGTGGCTCACACCTGTAATCCCAGCACTTTGGGAGACCGACGCAGGTGGATCACCTGAGGTCAAGAGTCCGAGACCAGCCTGACCAACATGGTGAAACTCGGTTTCTGCTAAAAAAAAAAAAAAAAAAAAAAATTAGCCGGGCGTGGTGGCGCATGCCTGTAATCCCAGCTACTTGGGAGGCTGAGGCAGGAGAATCGCTTGAACCCTGGAGGCAGAGGTTGCAGTGAGCCAAGATAGCTCCACTGCACTCCAGCCTGGGCAACAAGAGCGAAACAAACAAACAAAAAAAGTTCTGGCATTAGGGTCTCAACAGACTAGACTAAAAATCAAAATGGAGTCACTCATGCTAAAGTTCTACATCATCAGACTGATAACCTTTCACAAAATCAGAAGAGAGATACACACCCTGATTTCCCAAGCAGACCGTTTTAATCAACATAATGAAGTTCCCTTTGCTTTAATCCTTACAACAAAAAGTAACCTGAAGTAACCCGATGCGACCAATCAGTTATTTCTCTCTTGTTCTGTTTCCCTGTTCCTGCCTTACAAGGAAAGTAACTTTGAAATGACCAATCTGCTTTTTGTTCTTTGTTTCTGCTTTTTTCAGCCCTTTTCTGTCTATAAAACCAACCTCCTCTGCTCAGCTCATTGGGACACTTGTGCTATTTTGAGGAATGAAGTCTTGCCCGATTCTAGAATCATGAATGAAGCCAATTAAGATGTTTAAGTTTGTTGTAATTTTGTCTTTTGACATTTACGGTCACCTGGGAAGTGTGTTGAATAATGCAGGTTCCTGGACCCATCGCCAAATGATTCAGATATCTTTGGTCTAGGGATGAGACCCGGAATCTGCATTTTCACCAACAACTCCAGCTGATTCTCGTACCTATGATCCTTAAAGCACCCATGAGCAGGTTGGTCAGGTTGCCTTCCTGCAGGCTCCAGTTTAAACCATCCCCCTCTGGGCCTGGCATGTCATGTGGACGTTGTGAATTCCAGGAGGTTTGAAAACCTGGAAGAGAGAATTGTCTTCATTCCGTGTTGCCCAGAGACACTGCCTGGTATTATCAGCTGAACTCCAGCTCATTCCTTGAGTGCTTGTGGCAGGCACTATGCCTGGAATTCTAAGTACACATTCCCATTCAATCTCCACAACAACCCTTCAATACAGGTGCTATTATTCCCATTTTATAAACGAGAAAACTGACTGGCTGTGGTGGCTCACGCCTGTAATCCCACCACTTTGGGAGGCCGTGGTGGGTGCATCACTTGAGGTCAGGAATTCGAGACCAGCCTGACAAGCATGGTGAAACCTCAACTCTACTAAAAATACAAAAATTAGCAGGGTGTGGTGGTGCATGCCTGTAATCCCAGCTACTCGGCAGGCTGAGGCACAAGAATCACTTCAACCTGGGAGGCAGAGGCTGCAGTGAGCTGAGATTGCACCACTGCACTCCAGCCTGGGCAACAGAGCAAGATCCTGTCTCAAAAAAAAAAAAAAAAATTAGCCGGCTGTGGTGGCGTGCACCTGTAGTCCCAGGTACTCAGGAGGCTGAGATGGGAGAATCACTTGAGCCTGGGAGATTGAGGCTGCAGTGAGCCATGATCATGTCACTGCACTCCAGCCTGGACGATAGAGTGAGACACTGTCTCAAAAAAAATAAATAAATAAAAATAGGCCAGGCCTGGTGGCTCACACCTGTAATCCTAGCACTTTGGGAGGCTGAGGCAGGTGGATCACCTAAGGTCAGGAGTTCAAGACCAGCCTGGCCAACATGGTGAAAGCCTGTCTCTACTAAAAACACAGAAAATAGATGGGTGTGGTGGTGCACACCTGTAATCCCAGCTAATTGGGAGGCTGAGGAAGGAGAATGGCTTGAACCTGGGAAGTGGAGGTTGCAGTGAGCCGAGATTGAACCACTGCACTCCAGCCTGTGCGACGGGAGAAAGATGCCATCTCAAAAAATAAATAAATAAATACAATAAATTAAATTAAAATAAAAATAAAAAATTAGATGAGGGGGGGACCGGGTGCGGTGACTCATGCCTGTAATCGCAGCACTTTGGGAGGCTAAGGCGGGTGATCGCCTGAGGTCAGGAGTTCGACACCAGCCTGATCAATATGGTGAAACCCCATCTCTACTAAAAATACAAAAAAATTAGCCAGCCATGGTGGCGTGTGATTGTAGACCCAGCTACTCGGGAGGCTGAGACAGGAGAATTGCTTGAACCTGGGAGGCAGAGGTTGCAGTGAGCCAAGATCACACCACTGCACTCGGGCCTGGGTGACAGAGCAAGACTCTGTCTTAAAAAAAAAAAATGGATGAGGAAACTGAAGCACAGAGAGACAAAATTACTTGTCCAGAGTAGCATTGCACATTGGTATGGAAACCTGCATTCTAGCCTGGTTTCCAGAGCCTGCTTTGGAGCCAGGCTTCGTGGGTCCAGGTTCCAGCTGAATAAATACTAGTGGTGCAAACTTGGGCAAATTTTCATTAGTCTCTGCTCTCCTTTGTAAAACAGAGATAATAAAAGTGCCCACCTCATAGGGCTGATGTGAAGGTTGGATGAGTACATATCATGCTCTTAGTATACTGAGTGGCTCAATAAATATTAACTGTCATTACTACATATCTTTAAATAATAGCAAATAAAGGAGATAAATGAAATGTTATTGAATACATGCAATTAGCTTGATCAGCAGTGTCTTTAGAAAGTGAGCATTCCATAGGGGAAAAATTAACAAAAATGCCCATTCCAGTGAAAACTGTGGGAGCTGCCACACTTGGAAGCTACCTAATTGAAGTCTTAGTTCCTTTAAGTGACTGTCCAGACTCCTGTGCTCCTCCCGCCCTTAAACCCTTATACTTTTTGGGTTCTGGTTTGTCTGGAACTCACAATCCTGAGAGCATCCTGGAACAAAAACAGGGCTGGTTCATTCCTGTCCCTGTATGTCAAGCTAAGTAAGTAAATAAATGCCCATCCCAAGCCCAAGTGGCCCTCACGCCTGCAGGGGGTGCTGCCCAGTGACTGGAGTAGCCTGTTTTGTTTTGTTTTGTTTTGTTTTGTTTTGTTTTGTTTTGTTTGAGTTAGAGTCTTGTTCTGTCACCCATGCTGGAGTGCAATGGCGTGATCTTGGCTCACTGCAACTTCCACCTCCCGGATTCAAGCGATTCTCCTGCCTCAGCCTTCTTAGTAGCTGAGGTTACAGGTGTGCGCCACCACGCCCAGCTGATTTTTGTACTTTTAGTAGAGATGGGGTTTTGCCATGTTGGCCAGGCTGATCTCGAACTCCTGACCTCAGGTGATCCGCGCGCCTCGGCCTCCCGAAGTGCTGGGATTACAGGTATGAGCCACTGCACCCAGCCTGGAGTAGCCTTTGAATGGGGCCGAAGCTATACACAGGGTCTTGGTGGGGGAGAGGGGAGTTGGAGGCAGCCTCAAGCAGGGTCCAAGTTTGGGCTGTTTAGAGGCTGTACTTGTTTCCAGTGGCTGCTGTAACAAATTACCACAAATTTGGTGGCTTCAAGTAACAGAAATTTATTCTCTCACAGTTCTTGAGGCCCAAAGTCCAAAATCAAGGTGTTGACAGTGCCGTGCTCCCTCTGAAGGCTCCAGGGGAGGGTCCTCCTTTGCATTCTCCAGCTTCTGGTAGCTCCAGTCATTACTTGGCTTGTGGCTGCCTCACTCTGATCCCTGCCTCTGTCTTGGCAGACTTTCTTCTCTGTATCTCCTGTTCTGCCTGCCCCATTTCCCTCTGCCCTGTTCCTACAAGGATGCCTCTCTTTGGATTCAGGGCTCATCCTATCCAGAACGATTTGGCAATCCCATCTCAAGATTCTTAAATTTATTACATGTGCAAAGACCCTTTTTCCAAATAGGTCACATTTACAGGTATGGGGACTTGGACATATCTTTTTGGAGGCCTCCACTCAATCTACTACAGTGGCAGAGAGTGAAACCTTGCCACAAATATTGATCCTGAACGAAACCCCTAATTTCAGGTACCAGCTAATTTGCCCTTCCATTCATTGTGTACATAGCTTTTAATATTTGGGTCATGAAACCCTCCTATGCAAAATCCTCCAACAGTTTCCCATCCTACTTAGAAGAAAACCCAAATCATGTCTAACCCTGGCCCACAAGGCCCACGTGACCTGGCCCGTCACTGTGTCCCCTCGCTT
This sequence comes from Homo sapiens, assembly GCF_000001405.40. Lineage (NCBI taxonomy): Eukaryota > Metazoa > Chordata > Mammalia > Primates > Hominidae > Homo > Homo sapiens. The sequence continues at coordinate 50,505,222 of NC_000020.11, read as the reverse complement.
ACTTCCCTGCAGTCTCAGGTCTATCTCCAAATATACGGGGCTGGCTCCCAACCCAGCATCTTTGCACCAGCTGTTCCTTCTGCCTGGATCACGCTTCTTGCAGATCTTCTCAGCTTTCAGGTCTCAGGTCAAACGTTACCTCCCCAAACAGGTCTCCCCTGACCACCTTCCCTAAAATAGTCCCCAGTCACTCTCTAGGGGAGGATCCTCCCTTTCCTGTTCTAGCTTCTGGTGGCTCCTAGCACTCATCTGTGTCTTATTTATTTGCTGGCTTGTTTCTTTCTCCTGCCCCTCAATGTCATGTTCTAGGAGGGCAGGGACCTCGACTTCTTGTCTGTTTCCTTGATATTTGGTTGAGAGGAGGAACTTAAGGTCTACTCCGACTCTCTGAGGCTTGGTGTTGATCTGCAAAGCTCTGGCACTTCCCTGCCAAGGCCTGGCCTAGAAGCAGCCATGCCCTGGGATCCTCCAGAGATGTGATGGTGGTGATTGGGAATCTTTAGTGATGACTGGTTAGAAATAGACAAATGATCATGTGACATGATGGCTAAAACCTTTTCCTGGCAGGCATGCCTGAGGAATGGTCTCACGCGGCTTCTCCAGCCTTTCCTTCGTGGATTTAGCTAATGGAGGAAATCAGCACTACAAATCAATGACCCATTAAACTTTTTTAAATGTCCTAAGAGTCGTCAGTGGAGAAGGATGGCTGTTTACCAAGCCTCCAACAGATCACTGACTCCTGACTTAGTGAGGTCAGCAAGTTTCCTGGAAAAATTGGTCCTGATCTTCTTCCTGGGAGATAGCACAGTTTTAAGAGCTTGTGATCCTGAATGAGCCCTACTGAGTCTCTAATGACATGTCACTTCCTCAGAGAGCCCCCTTCTGACCACTTCTAATAAACAGTGCTCTATCACTCTATTCCTTTTTCTTCTTGGCACTTAGCAGGCATTTAATGACTTATTTTTTCCCTAGTGTTACCATGTGATATGATGTTGTATATTTTTATGTGTTTATCATCTGTATCTGCCAGTAAATGTAAACTTCTTAAAGAAAGAGACTAAGTCGATTTGGTTCATTGCTGTTTCCCTGCAATACAGATCATTCCCAGAAGAGCATATCAGTTTTAGAAGGTTCTGGAAATGAACATAACAGGGCTTCTTTGTACATCATAGACTCAGAGTTCAAGAATCCTCAAGGTCATCTAGCTTCCTCCACTCACCACTGGGTACACATAGCCAGGAAGGAAGATGGCTCTTCCCCCCACAAGATTCACCCATGCTCGCCTAAGAGAGTTTGGGCACTTTGACTGGTTGGCTGACTTAGGGACAGCCAGAGACATCCCTGCAATGGAATAAGTAATGGGGAAAAGCCAAGGCCCAAGGCACTAGAAACTGGGTGCACAGAACTCCAACCTTCAGCCATAAACCATGCTAACTAATAGTGTTACCTTTTTTTTTTTTTTTGAGACAGGGTCTCACTTTGTTGCCCCAGGCTGGAGTGCACTGGTACAATCTCGGCTCACTGCAACCTCTGCCTCCCACGTTCAAGTGATTCTCCTACCTCAGCCTCCCAAGGAGCTGGGATTACAGGCACTTGCCACCACGCTTGGCTAATTTATTTTGTATTTTTAGTAAAGATGGAGTTTCACCATGTTGGCCAGGCTGGTCTCAAACTCCTGACCTCAAGTGATCTGCCCGCCTCAGCCTCCCAAAGTGCTGGGATTATAGGCGTGAGCCACCATGCCTGGCCTAAAAGCATTACTTTGAATTTTGTGTTTCCCAACAGCCCTGCAAGCCTGCTGTTTATCCACATTTGAGAGATGAGAAAATAGCTGCTCGGAGAGGCTAAAGAGGTGAAAGCAATGAACACCCAGTACAGAATGCTGGCTTGCATGCTGGATGACAGAGCACCGTGGTACAGAGCTAGGAGCTTCTAACCCCTGAGGCTGCTACTCACTAGCTTGCAGGCCTGGGTCAAGTTGCTAAATGGAAATCCTGGTGTCAGCCTGGATACTTTCCAGTGAGAAAAACCCAACTGAAAAGTGGCTTTCGCAAAACGGGGAATTTACTGGCTCATGAAATTGGGAAGTCCAAAGGAGGCTTCCTTGCTTCAGGCACCGCCAGATCCAGGGCCTCAAACGTCATTGTGACTCTCTCTCTCCCCAGCTCTTTTATGTTTCTTCCCCTGTGCTAGCTTCACTCTCGAGCAGGCTGTCCTCTAGAGCCCCAGCAGCCCCAGGCTCACAGCCTATCAGCTCAGCAGCTCCAGTGGGAAGAGCTTCTTTTCCCTGGTGGACCCTGAGTCCTGGCCTTGAGTCTCATTGATCCAACTGAAGCTCACATGCCATCTCTAATCCAATCCCTCTGCCCAGGGGAGAATTTGTCAATTGAGGAAACTGAGGCTCAGAGAGGCCAGTTATTTAACCAAGGTCATACAGCCAGTAGGTAGTCAAGTGGGATTTAAATCCCTGATTTAATCCCAGATGCAGCCTGATTTCAGCATCTATATTCTCAGCCATGAAGCTATACAGTCTCTCCAAGGACTCCCATGAGCTCTAAAAACAATAGTAATAACAATGAGGATAATAATAACGATAATCATTCATTAACACCACCACTCTGGAGCCTGTACTATTGTGATCTCCATTTGAACCGTGGCACAGAGAGGTTAAGCAACTTGCCCACAGTCACACAGATGAGAAATGGTGGAGTCAGGATTTGAACCCAGTTCAGCTCTATTTGCTGCTTCTAGTTCTGAAACTATATTAAATATATGAGTTCTGCACTATTTCAGAACTCACGGGAAGGTTAACAGCCCAGAATCTCCCACTCACGTCTCTACTGGGCTTCATTTTTACTGGGCTTCATTTTTAATGGGCGACTCCCCTGCCTCTCTACCACCCGGAAGACATTTTAAGCTTTACAGCAAGTCATTAAAAAGAAACAAAAATAAATGCGTAAACATAATCCCACGCTGCCTGTCTGGTAAGAGCAACTTCCCCGGTGGGGGAGGAGGAGGCATTCAGGGGGAACTAGGGGAATCACATGTGTTCTGAGAAAGGAGGGTCAGAGATGTGCGGGAAAGTTCAAGGAGGGAAGTTGGATCCAAAGATGGAAACCGGTCCCAGCTCCATGCTTTCAGCAAAGGAGGAGTCTGGGGAGGGTTTCCAGAGGCCCCTACAACATCCTCCACACTCTAGTTTGCAGGGCTGAGGCTTGCGGGGGCACTTTCACTGTACACATGGTGGTTCTGGGTGTGGGTTCTGGAATTAGGCTGAATTGGGCTCATGTGCCCTTGGGCAAGTTCCTTACCCTCTCCAATCCTTGGTTTTCCATCTTTTACAGAATGCAGGGATGTGATGATTAAATGAGAGTATGTGTGTAAAGCACTCAGCCTGGTCTCTAGTTCACAGCAAGGACTCAAAAATTTTGCTGTTGTTCTACAGTTGTGTAAGTTGCTGAGTGGAAAAAAGCAAGCTACCATCTGTCTTCAGAAGTTTTTCATAATATATATTGCAACCTGCAATTTTACAACCCTATTTTTTGTTCTGCTGCTGTAGGTGAACTTGGCTGGTTTCATGGGTGTGTGTGCAACCTGTGTGATTGCAGAGTCCCGAGCTCAGAAGGGGCCTGCACTTGTTTGCTCTGCTGTCTTTGTCTTGAAATTCTTTTGTTTGTTTGTTTGTTTCTTTGTTTTTGTTTGTTTTTGAGACTGAGTCTCGCTCTGTTGTCCAGGCTGGAGTGCAGTGGCGTGACCTTGGCTCTCTGCAACCTCTGCCTCTTGGGTTAAAGCAATTCTCCTGCCTCAGCCTCTCGAGTAGCTGGGATTACAGGCACCTGCCACCATGCCCGGCTAATTTTTTTTTTTTGTATTTTTAGTAGAGACGGGGTTTCACCATGTTGGCCAGGCTGGTTTTGAACTCCTGATCTCAAGTGATCTGCCCGCCTCGGCCTCCCAAATTGCTAGGATTACAGGTGTGAGCCACCGCACCCAGCCTTGAAATTCTTAATAATTTTTTTTTTTTTGAGATGGAGTCTTGCTCCGTTGCCCAGGCTGGAATGCAGTGGTGCAATCTTGGCTCACTGCAACCTCTGCCTCCCAGTTTCAAGAGATTCTCCTGCCTCAGCCTCCCGAGTGGCTGGGATTACAGGCACCCACCACCACGCCCGGCTAATTTTGGTGTTTTTAGTAGAGATGAGGTTTCACCATGTTGGCCAGGCTTGTCTCAAACTCCTGACCTCAGGAGATCCACCTGCCTCGGCCTCTGAAAGTGCAGGGATTACAGGCATGAGCGACTGTGCCTGGCCGAAACTCGCAATAATGTTTGAACAAGGAGCCCCGCATATTCATTCTGCATTGAGCTTATGTAACCAGTTCTGGAGGTGAAGTCTAGTTTTTCAAGTTTTTGAAGGGGATTTGGAGCCATTTTTGTCTTTGAAGATGAGAATGTTCTTCCATTATTCTGGGAGAAATCACTGCTCTTGGGGAGAATCCTAAGACAGTGATATTATCCAGATGCAGATTCCCCATGTTGAGTTGTTTCTTATTGTTTAATAATACTAGTTATGTTAGCTACATGTATTGGGCTTTGACGAAAGACTAGGCTCTGCACTAAGCTAGCACTTTACCTTTATCATCTCTCTACATCTTCCCAACAACCCTGTAAGAGAAACTGTCATTAACCTCATTTCACAGATGAGGAAACTGAGGCTTGGAGTGATACATGACTTGCCCACTGTTGCACACCAGCATTGTGATAATGCATGTAAGTTGGGTGGATCTGTACTAGGACCATAGCCTTTTAGAAAAGAGGAATGAATTTCTAAGCTTTGATTTAGCTAGAAGGGTTCCTGAAGTCCTTGGGAAAGATGTGTACCTTTTTGACCAAGTATTTGCTCCAGCAGTTTCTGTATTTGAAGATGAAACTGGTCTTCTGTTTGAGACTTGACTGTGCAGAGAAGAGGCGCTGACCTGAACTTTCCTTCCCCTTGTGCTGGTGGGAAGCCCTTGGAGAGGACTCTGATTTGGAATAACTGAAAGTGGAGGGACCCGGGCTTAGGGGATCGCACTTACAACTCTTGTGATGGCCTCATCCAGGCCACAGGGAAGTGAGCTGCAAGGGGAACCACATGGGGAATTGTACTTTCTTCAGGAGGACATGGATATTCCCACTGCCCATATCCTGGGGTAGGCAAGGAAGCCAGACTCACTGTGGGAAGGGGAGGGCCTTTTGCTTTACCTGGGGCAAAGAGGAGAAAGAGGGGGTCCTAAATTCTAGGGAGAAGAAGTTAGGCAGCCATCATCCACGGGAGGTAGGCTGGTTCTCACAGCATGACAGCATGCTAGAGAGAAAGGAGGGTGAAGACCAGCAGGAAGGAAAGCATGAAGCAGCTATATGGCCTCCAAACATGATTTATTTACAATTTCATTTTGCATTTCCCTTTTCTGCATTGTAATTCTCACCTGTTATCCCCAAGGCTTCAGTAAAATTTTGTTAACTGCTATGGGCTCATCTTAGCTGCTGGGTCAGATACTAATTGTCCCCAGTGTCAGTTCTCTGCTTTCATAGAAACAGGATTGTAACTGGGCACATGCCTGCCTGGCTAAAGACTACATTTCCCAACTTCCCTTGCAACTAGATGTGCCATATGACTGCATGCTGACCAATAGGACCTGAGTGGAAGTGACGTGCACCATTTCTAAATCATGCCTTTAAAGGCTTGGTTCAGGAACAGTGTGGGGTGGGGTCAGGGTCTTTCTTTTTTTTTTTTTTTTTTTTTGAGATGGAGTCTCGCTCTGTCGCCTGGCTGGAGTGCAGCGATGCCATCTCAGCTCACTGCAACCTCCGCCTCCCAGGCTCGAGCAATTCTCCTGCCTCAGCCTCCTGAGTAGCTGGGACTACAGGCGCGTGCCACCACACCCAGCTAATTTTTGTATTTTTAATAGAGATGGGGTTTCACCATGTTGGCCAGGATGGTCTTGATCTCTTGCCCTTGTGATCTGCCCACCTTGGCCTCCTAAAGTGCTGGGATTACAGGTGTGAGCCACCAAGCCCGGCTGGGTTGGGGTCTTTCTTTCACCTTTTCTTCCATAGTACTGCCTGGAATGTGACATGGTGGCACCAACTTGAACTGTGTGGACAAGAGCAACATGGAAGGGATGGAAGAAAACAAGATAGAAAAAGCCTGAGACTCTGACCCCATGGGCCAGCCCCATTAGCCCCAGACTGATCACACACACTGTTACATGAACAAGACATAAAAGGGCTGATATTCAGCTGATATGCACAGCTACAGTCATCCTGATTGCTTGTAGGTATCATTCTGACTGGTTAGAAATAAATTTCTGGGCTGGGCATGGTGGCTCACGCCTGTAATCCCAGCACTTTGGGAGGCCGAAGTGGGCAGATCATGAGGTCAGGAGTTCGAGACCAGCCTGACCAACATGGTGAAACCCCGTCTCTACTAAAACTACAAAAATTAGCCAGGTATTGTGGCAAATCCCTGTAGTCCCAATTACTTGGGAGGCTGAGGCAGGAGAAACACTTGAGCCCAGGAGGTTGCAGTGAGCCGAGATCACACCACTGCACTCTAGCCTGGGTGACACAGCGAAACCCAGTCTCAAAAAAAAAAAAAAAAAGTAATAAACTTCTGCTTTGTTTAAACCGCTGTTAATGAGGGTCTCAGTTACAGTAATTAAACCTATATTCTAATCAATCCAGCCATGTTTTGGGGGCTGTTAAGGAAGAGGGCTGGGTACTACTTTCAAGTTGAGATGGTGTTAGTGACAGGAGCACCATCCTGGTGCAGACAGTTAGGAGGTGGCAGACAAGGGCAGTAGATGCCCTGGGAGAAAGGGCTCACTGTGGTTGCCAAGCAATCACAAGCATGGTCCAGGGAACATGAGAACATCCCCCAGAGACTCTGAGTAATATCCTGCAGAAAGAACCTGATGAAAGTTCTGTCTTGTTAGGGTCATGGGGTTCCGATGTTAGATATTAAAGAGGAAGCTGGAAATCTGGGGGATGGCTGGGGTTATAAACAGGGCCCAGTGAATGTTAATTCCCTTCTGAGGCAGACACTGTTGGTTGCCTATCTATTCATCTTTCTCTTCCCCCTTCTTCTTGGCTGACAGTGCCAAGAAGAAAAAACTGGGAGGCCCCTTCAAAGCCTCCTTTGCATCAGGGCATGGGTATGGGACTCAATCCTGGCCAATGGCAGTATTGCAAAATCTGCCCAAGAGCTTCTGGGAAAGATTTTCCCTTCTTGTAAAGGAGACATATGGGGCCAGGCATGGTGGCTTACGCCTGTAATCCTAGCATTTTGGGAGGCCGAGGCGGGCGGATCACTTGAGGTCAGGAGTTCAAGACTAGCCTGGCCAACATGGTGAAACCCTGTCTCTACTAAAAATAGAAAAAATTAGCTGGGCGTGGTGGCGGGCACCTGTAGTCCCAGATACTCGGGAGGCTGAGGCAGGAGAATGGCATGAACCTGGGAGGCAGAGCTTGCAGTGAGCCGTGACTGCACCACTGCACTCCAGCCTGGGGGGACAGAGCGATGCTCCGTCTCAAAAAAAAAAAAAAAAAAAAAAAAAAGAGAGACATATGGGAGGAATTATTTTTTTTTAAAACCAGGCTAAGATAGAGGAGCAAAAATATAAAAAGCACTTAGGTCCTTGACATCACTGAGTTATCGAATTGTCCCTGGGACTGCCTAGCTCTGGACTTATTTGAAGACATCATAAACATTTTTACTACTTAAGCCACTTTGGGTTGGTTTTTTTGTTACCTGCAGCTGAGAGCATGCTAACTGATACAGGGTCTTTGTCTTCTGTCTCTACCTTCCTTTAGCCCTATGGGTCTCATGTTTAGACACATTCCTTCCCCAGAGCACCAGTTGTTTGGAAGTCAAGATCTTTTGGAAACTACCTGTATTAACTTATCATCACTGCCTGCTAAATAAGATTCTCTCTGGTCACTCCTTACTTCTTCATTTCAGGAGCGAAATTGGTATCTGGTGGGGTGAAAGCAGAACCTCGGCCTTCATGCAACTCTGTGTTTGGGTATGGAATGATCCTCTCATATTGGTCTTAGCAATCTGCACGTGTGTCTCTCTCAGCCCTCACAGTCGTGGATCCTGTAGTATTCATCTTGCTATGTCCCCAGGGCCTAGCCCAGGACCTGGGCGAGAAGAGGTGCTCCCTGAATGCTTGTCAAATAAATATATGAAGAATTAATCATCACATCCCATTTTATCACCTCCCTAAACAGAGTCATTTTCCCTCCCCACTGCCTTCCTGCATTCCTCTAGGGCAAGATGGTTCTTGCAGAGAGAGAGAGAGAGAGAGTGAGAATGAAGAAGAGGTTAACCCAATTGTCATTTCCAAAGCAGCTGTTAATCCCTGCCTTCTTAAATTACCCTTATTGTACCCACTTTCAGCCTCAATGTTGGGTCAGCACTGAGGCAACTCTGACTTTGGTCTCCTTTAAAAAAAAGGAAAAAGAAGGAAGGAGGGAGAGAAGGAAACTCTGCCTGTATTCAAACCATTTCAAGAAACATGGTTGAACTAAAGAGAGAAGCAATTTAAAGTGGGTGTTTTCACACGCAGAGCTGGAAGTTCTAGCATTGGAGGTAGGACATTTTTGTTGTTCTTATTTCTTTTTCTTATCACAAAAGGAATACTCATTTAATGAAGAAAACTTGAAAAGTGCATATAAAAGAGACACAACTTACTTTTTTTTTTTTTTTTTAAACGGAGTTTCACTCTTGCTACCCAGGCTGGAGTGCAATGGAGCGATCTTGGCTCACCGCAACCTCTGCCTCCCAGGTTCAAGCAATTCTCCTGCCTCAGCCTCCCTAGCAGCTGGGATTACAGGCACGCACCACCATGCCTGGATAATTTTGTATTTTTAGTAGAGACAGGGTTTCTCCATGTTGGTCAGGCTGGTCTCGAAATCCCGACCTCAGATGATCTGCCTGTCTCGGCCTCGCAAAGTGCTGGGATTACAGGCGTGAGCCACTGCGCCTGGCCCACAACTTACTTTTAACTCTTACTACCTGTGCTGGTCACTGCTCACGTGTTGTGTGTGTGTTTTTTGTTTTGTTTTGTTTTTGTTTGAGACGGAGTCTCACTCTGTCCCTCAGGCTGGAGTGCAGTGGTGCGATCTCGGCTCACTGCAAGCTCTGCCTCACGGGTTCACGCCATTCTCCTGCCTCAGCCTACCGAGTAGCTGGGACTACAGGCGCCCGCCACCATGCCCGGCTAATTTTTTTTTTGTATTTTTAGTAGAGACGGGGTTTCGCCGTGTTAGCCAGGACGGTCTCGATCTCCTGACCTTGTGATCTGCCCACCTCGGCCTCCCAAAGTGCTGGGATGACAGGCGTGAGCCACCGCGCCTGGCCACTGCTCACATTTTGGTAAGCACATTTTCACAAGTTCTTAGGTCTCTCTGTCACTTCATCTCGATCTTCATCCTCCCTTTATTCTAACCCCTCCCTTTCACTCTGTCTTTCTGAGGTCTCTGTCTCTCTCTTTCTCTTTTTATCAATTTTTTTTTTTTTTTTTTTTTTGGTGACAGAGTCTCACTCTGTTGCCCAGGCTGGAGTGGCACAATCTTGGCTCTTTGCAAGCTCTGTTTCCTGGGATCAAGTGATTCTCCTGCCTCAGCCTCCCAAGTAGCTGGGATTACAGGCATGTGCCACTACGCCCAGCTAACTTTTTGTATTTTTAGTAGAGACAGGGTTCACCATGTTGGCCAGGCTGGTCTTGAACTCCTGACCTCAGGTGATTCGCCCGCTCAGCCTCCCAAAGTGCGAAAGAGATAAATACCCCAGCTCCTTGCTTCTCAGGTATGGCAATGTGGAGGCATGGCCCTTACATGGGTGGGTTTGAGCCCCACTGGCCCACATGCTCATTCATGTCCCTTCCCAGACATTATTTGAAGACATTATTTGAAGACATCAGGAGCATTTTTACTGTTTAAGCCACTTTGGATTGGCTTGCTACTTGCAGTTGAGAGCATGCTAACTGGTACATGGTCTTTGTCTTCTGTCTCTATCTTCCTGTAGCCCTATGGGTCTGAAGTTCAGCCATATTCCTTCCCCAGAGCCCTAGTTGCCTTGGAAGTCAAGATCTTTTAGAAGCCACCTGCATCAACTTTTCACCACTGTCCTAAATCAGAAACTTCGTGGTCACTTCCCCACTCCTCACCTGCTGCCTCCAAGGATCTCCTCAGGAATAAATTACTTGCATTTAAATCCTTGTCTCAGAGTTGGCTTCTGGAGGAACTCAGATGAAGATGGCAGACTTATCACTTTTCCTTTTGTCTAACTAAAAGGCTTCAAATAGAAATCAATTATTCAACTGATTATGAATCCAAAAATTTCTGGCATATTTGAAAGAGCAGATCATCCCGACTTTTAGTCCTCAAGATATCAAAAATATTGCATCTCCATCTAGCACCTCCCCCCCCATTACACACCTGCTTTGTGCTAGGCACTTTACATGTGCAACAGGATGATGTTAGGGGTGCTCTGAGTCTCTTGGCCTAAGTTCAAAGGTCATTCAGCAGTTGGGGTCAGCCACCTTCCTTCACGGCTCGCTGTGGAGCCATTTCAGCAGAATGGCAGCCCATCCTTATGCCCATTCTACCGTGGGCGTCAAGGAGAAGGGGAAAGAGAGCACGTCTTGCTTCTCCTGCTCCCCCTACCCATTGTCCCAGCTCCAAGCCACTAGAATCATGAGTCTGGCTTGAACTGGGTGACATGGGGCCAGGGGATCTAAAAGAACTTTGAATCAGATCTGAGAATGAAGTTTTTTCCAAGGAAATTTATATTGAACTATAAAACACATACAGAAAAGTATATGTGTGTACATGCACACAGATATATCATAAGTGCACGGCTCAGTGAATTTCCCCAGACTAAACATGCTCACATAACCTGCACCCAGATCAAGATACAGAACTCTCCCAGCCCCTCAGAAAGCTACCTAGTAACCCTCCTAGTCACTACCCTTTGCCAAGGGTGACCACTATCCTGCTAACACCCTGGATTGCTTTTGCCTGTTTTTGAACTTCACATAAATGGAATCATGCCGTGCATGCTTTTTGGTGTCTGTCTTCGTTTGTTCGACATCATGACCATGAGACTGGGTCTCGTTGTGCTTCACTGGTTGAGACTGACATTCTAATTGGAGGAGATTTGGGTTTTAAGACCTGAAATAGACAGCTTTGGTAACCAAAGAGTCAGTCAGGCATGCTATGGAATTGTTGAGAGGCTGGTTGAGGAAGCCCATTCTTTAATAGCTCCGTGACTTTGGGCAACTCATTTAAGTTCTTTTTTCTCTATTTCTGTAAAATGGAGATAACTATTGGTCCCTACCTCAGAAGCTCATTGTGAAGATTTGGTGAGTAATATATGCCAAGAGCTTAGGCAAGTGCCTGGCACAGAGGCGGGGCCACCTGGGAGCTTGCCGCTACCTCTGCTCCTGCCTCTACTACCACTACTCTGTTATTCTGATCATTCCCCAGAGGGAAAAAGGAAATTTCAACAGAGACCATTTGGTAGCAATTATTGTAAAAATAAAGTGGTTTCGTAGTTACACCTCAACAAGTTGAGACGTACCCCTGAACCAGTTAGACATGTGTCACCTCAGTTAAAGTTCACATCAGCCCTGAGAAGTGAATGCTTGTTTGACAAATGAGGCAACTGAGGCTCAGAGGGAGAAGCAACGCACTCCCTCAACTCACTCCCACAGGGTTACAGAGCGAGCTGGTGGTGGAGCCAGGGTCTCTGTGACCCTGTGTGCTGTTCTCCTTGCCCTTTTACCTAATTCTCCTGCTGGAGCTGGTGGTCCTTAGGATGCACTGGGATGACCCCATTGGACTGCCTTTGGCATGACCTTCTAAAGCATGTGGTGCTGCTTTAGAACTTATCAAAATATTTTCTGTGTGGATTTCCCATCAGCCTGTTCACATGAGGCTTAATCTTTCTTGTGGGTCTCATAAGTAGCACTTTATGAAATACCAGGTGAGTCAGTCATACTCAGCAAACGAGTTTTATGATGACTAAGAATGTTGGGGCTTTTTGCTGAAATTAGCCAACTGAGGTAACAGAATTCTTCCATTGCATATCACAGAAATTGGTTCTGGTCAGGCCGGGTGTGGTGGCTCATGCCTATAATCCCAGCACTTTGGGAGGCCGAGGCAGGCGGATCTCCTGAGGTTAGGAGTTCAAGACCAGCCTGGCCAACATGGTGAAACCCCATCTCTACTAAAAACACAAAAAATTAGCTGGGCCTGGTGGCGGGCGCCTGTAATCCCAGCTACTCGGGAGGCTGAGACAGGAGAATCGGTTGAACCTGGGAGGTGGAGGTTGCAGTGAGCCGAGATGGCGCCACTGCACTCCAGCCTGGGCAACAAGGACGAAACTGCGTCTAAAAAAGAAAAGAAAGAAAGAAGGAAAAAGAAACTGGTTCTTACCAACAGAAACAGAAAAGGAATTTGTTAGAAGGATATAAGGTGCTTTTTAGAAATGGAGCAAGAAAGCTCTGAAACCAAGTTTAGAAAGAATTGGCCACATGATGCGCTGGGGGATCTTGCTGGCATCAACTCACGAGTGTGCTCTTCAGCTCTGAGGGTGCGGCACTCAGGACGCTTTGGCTGCAAGTAACAGAAAACTCAACTCAACCTGGCTTAAGCAGTAAGGGAGTTTATTGTAGGAAGGGCAACACCAAGGTTGGTTGATTCAGAGGTTCAAGAATGTAATTGAGATCCAGGGTTCTCTCTCTTTCTTCCCATTACTATCCATGTGTTGGCTTTATCTGAAAACTGGTTCCCTGTGGCTGCAAAACGGGGCACGCTGCCAGTAGTGATTATGACGGTAAGATCATTTGCTAAATCATCCAGTGCGAAAGAGAGGGAGTGTCTCCCCATAGCTCTCTCTTGAGAGTAAGGAAATGTTACTGCCAGAAGTCCCCAAGAAATCTATCCTGGTGTCTTTTTTTTTTTTTTTTTTTGAGGCAGGGTCTCACTGTGTTGCCCAGGCTGGAGTGTAGTGGCGTGATCATGGCTCACTGCAGCATCAACCTCCTGGGCTCAAGCAATCCTCCCACCTCAGCCTCCTGAATAGCTGGGACTACAGGAGTGCACCACCACACCCAGGTAATTAAAACTTTTTTTTTTTTTTTTTGTAGAGACAGGGTCTCACTATATTGTTCAGGCTGAACTTGAACTCCTGGCCTCAATGATCCTCCCACCTCAGCCTCCCAAAGTGCTGGAAATACAAGTGTAAGCCACTGCAGCCAGCTCCCCTGGTGTCCTATTGGGCAAAACTGGCTTGGGCCTGTTCACTCCTGAACCAATCATCAGCAAGAGGCACAAGGGATGATTTTGGCCCCCAGGGGACATTTGACAACGTGTGAAGACATTTTTGGTTATCATAACTAGGAGAGGTGCTAGTGGCATCTCGTGGGTAGAATCTGGGGCTGCATCTATATATCCTATAATGGACAGGACAGCTCCTTCCCATCCCTTGCACACAGAAAAGAATGAACTCTCCCCAAATATCAACAGTCCTGATATTGAGAAACCTTGGCTTAGACAAATCAGGCACATCCCTGCTCCTGGGATATAATAGCCTGGTGAGAGTCATCCACAGTTTCCACTGCAAACTTTCTTTCAGAACTTTTTTTTGTCATTCTGTTTGAGATTGAAATTTCAGAGAGGGTTTGTTTGGCTTGGCCTGGGTTACATACCCATTTACAGAATAGTAGAGGACAAGGCACTGTGGTTGACCTGAAGCTCCTCCACAGGAAGCTTGGGATACTGGCATGGGAAGTGGAACGGATGTTAAACAAGCAACAACAACAAAAAAGCCCACCTCAACTGGGATGAACTTCCTCAGTGACATTCCTTACAAAGAAGAGGGAGACATCCTGGAATGATATGGGGGAGGGGTGGGGAGAGGGACAGTATGATATATATTAGCTTGACTTTATTATTTTTGTGTATATTTTTGGAGATGGAGTCTTGCTCTGTTGCCAAGGCTGGAGGGCAGTGGCACGATCTTGACTCACTGCAACCTCCACCTCCCGGGTTCAAGTGATTCTTCTGCCTCAGCCTCCCGAGTAGCTGGGATCACAGGCATGTGCCACCATACCCAGCTAATTCTTGTATTTTTAGTAGAGACAGGCTTTCACTGTGTTGGCCAGCCTGGTAGCTTGACTTTAGAGATGACTGTCATCAATTCCTTCCCTCCCCATATGTGTGTGCCACTCCTCCTTGAGATAGGGGGTCTAATCCTCAGCCCCCTTGAATTTGGCCTGGGCTTGACCTTGTGACTGTTTTGACCAATAGAAAATAGTGGAAATGATGCTGGGTCAGTTCTGGACTTCCTGCTCCAGTAGCCAACTGCATGAGAGACCCCCATGTGAGAGCCACTCAGCTAAGCTGTCAACCCATAGAACTGTGAGTGGTATAAATAATTGTTGTTTTTAAGCCACTAGCCACTAGGTTTTTTTTTTTTTTTTTTTTTTTTTGAGACGGTGTTTACGTCTGTTGCCCAGGCTGGAGTGCAGTGGCATGATCTCGGCTCACTGCAGGCTCCGCCTCCCAGGTTCACGCCATTCTCCTGCCTCAGCCTCCCGAGTAGCTGGGACTACAGGCACCCGCCACCACGCCCAGCTAATTTTTTGTATTTTTAGTAGAGACGGGGTTTCACCGTGTTAACCAGGGTGGTCTCGATCTCCTGACCTCGCGATCCGCCCACCTCGGCTCCCAAAGTGCTGGGATTACAGGCGTGAGCCACCACACCTGGCTTAAGCCACTAGGTTTTGAGGTAGTTTGTCATGCAGCAATTGATAACCAGAAAAATACATCAATATAATATACATATAAAATAAAGATATTTCTATTTTCATATTTACTAATTGTATTAGTTCATTTTGCATTGCTATAAAGGAAAACCTAGCCTGGGCAACATGGTGAAACCGCATCTCTTCAAAAAATACAAAAATTAGTTGGGCGGGGTAGCTCACTCCTGTAATCCCAGCACTTTGGGAGGCTGAAGGGGGCAGATCACTTGAGGTTAGGAGTTCGAGACAAGCCTGGCCAACATGGTGAAACCCTTTCTCTACTAAAAATACAAAAAGTAGCTACTAAAAATACAAAATACAGGTGGCATGCACCAGTAAGTCCCAGCTACTCAGGAGGCTGAGGTGGGAGGATTGTTTGAGCCTGGGAGGTGGAGGTTGCATAAGCCACAATCGCACCACTGCTCCAGCCTGGGGGACAGAGTGAGGCCCTGCCTCAAAAAAAAAAAAAAAAAAAAAAAGGAATACCTGAGGCTGGGTAGTTGTTTATAAAGGAAAGGTTTACCTGGCTGGCTCATGGTTCTGCAGGCTGCACAGAAAGCACAGTGCCAGCATTTACTCACTGCAGGAGGTGAAGCCGGAGAAGGCATGTCGCATGGTGAGAGAAGAAGCAAGAGAGATGCCAGGCTCTTTTAAACAACCAGCTCTTGAGTGAACGAACTGAGTGAGAATTCAGCCATTACCATGGGGAGGGCCCCAAGCCATCCATGAGGGATCTGCACCCATAACCCAAACACCTCCCACCAGGCCCCACCTCCAACACTGGGGATCACATTTCCACATGAGATTTGGAGGGGATGAACATCCACTGTATTACTAATATTTTAGTTAAAAATATTTTTATTATAAAAGTAATAAAAAAGCATCATGAAAAATTGGAAAAAAAACAAACACCCCTGGTTACACGGATTTAACTCTAATCACAATCAGCATTTAGTTGTGTATTCTTCCAGTATTTTATTCTCATGCAAGCTTTCAATCCAGCAGTTTGAGAGCATCTCTTTTTTCTTTACTTTTATGTCATCATTATTATTCTACATGGCCATAGCGTCTTTACAACCAGCAAGATATAAGAGCTACCTAGACTGAATAATGGTCTCCCCCAAAGATGTCTGTGCCCTAATCCCTTGAACCTGTGAATGTTACTTTATATGGCAAAAGGGGCTTTAGAGGTGTGATTAAAATATGGATCTTGAGATGGGTGGTGGGGGGTTACCCTAGGTTAGCACAGTGGGCCCAGTATAATCACAGGGGTCCTTATAAAAGGGAAGCAAGAGGGTCAAAGTCAGAGAAGGCCATGTGAGGAAGGCAGCAGGGTCAGAGAGAGACTGGAAGATGCTATGCCACTGGCTTTAAAGATGAAGGATGGACCAACCACGAGTCAAGGAATGCGAGCGGCCTTTAGAAGCTGGAAATGGCAGGGAAACAGATTCTTCCACAGAAGCAAGGCAGCTCTGCCAACACCTTGAGTTTAGCTCCACAAGACCCATTTTTGGACTTCTGGACTCCAGAACTATAAGATAATAAATTTGTGTTGCTTTCGGTCACTAAATTTATGGTAATTTCTTACAGCAGCAATAGAAAACTAAGATATCACCTTATTGAGCATTTTACACACATCATCTTATTTAATTTTCACGGCTGCCCTGAGGGACAGGTCCTATTACCATCTGCATTTCAGAAATGAGAGCGCTGGTACTCAGAGAGATGAAGGGACTTCCTCTGGCCTCACAGCTGCTACTTGCAGAGCCAGAGGGACACGTGCTAGCCGTACTATTTATGGTTGTACTTAAAAACACCACTTATATCGGATTTATCGGGACTCATATAAACATACAGACATTGGTCTATGCCTCTGTCATTTGCTATTTTTTTTCATTGTTTTTTTCTGGAATTAACATTGTGAGTTCTGTGGAAGTCCCACCAGCCATCAGATGAAAACCGCAGTTTTGAAATTGCAAGGGTCATTGACTCACCAGACAGTTTTTTTGTTTTTTTGTGTGTGTGTTTTTTTTTTTTTTTTGAGCCAGAGCCTTGCTCTGTTGCCCAGGCTGGAGTGCAATGGCATGATCTCGGCTCACTGCAACCTCCACCTCCCCGGATCAAGAGATTCTCGTGCCTCGTCCTCCCCAGTAGCTGGGATTACAGGCACCCGACACCACACCACGATAATTTTTGTGTTTTTAGTAGAGATGGGGTTTCACCATGTTAGCCAGGCTGGGCTCAAACTCCTGACCTTAAGTGAGTGATCCACCTGCCTTGGCCTCCCAAAGTGCTGGAATTACAGGCATGAGCTACCGTGCCAGGCTTAGACAGTCTTTATTGATATTGACACCAAAGAGTTTCATTTAAAAAGATGAAATCCAAGTTTGATCTGGGGTTTGGATGGGCCAGATGTAGCTTTGAAGATCTACTGAATTTTCACTGTTATGTCAACCTCCTGTTTTTGAGATTGAATTTTCATGATACATTTATAGAAAATCTGCAAAGCTCCTGAAATGGAGTCAAGATTAAACACATGTCTACTCTGAAGATGGCCAAGAGTCTGAGGATTATTTTCTGCTCAGTTGAGGTTTCTCCTCCTCCTGCAGGTTGGTCTATCCATGAGCTGAGCTCACGAAGATAAGTGTGGAACCCAGCACTGTTTCCCCAGAGTGCTTTTGCATTTACCTGTTTGGAACAATCTTTTTTGTATGTGCTGGAAAACAGTCATTCCTGTCAACCAGCACCAAATGTCTGCATTGCCTTATCTTTCTTTCGTTTGCTCATAGGTACATGTGGTTCAAATGGTGAGCATGACCACCATCTAGCTTCCTGTTACCCGAGTCCCCCCGGGAGTCAAGATTTACCTCATAGTTCTTACCAAGCTTGATTTATTTTCTTTTTCTTTATCTTTTTTTTTTTTTTTTTGAAACAGAGTCTTGCCCTGTCACCCAGGCTGGAGTGCAGTGGTGTAATCTCGGCTCACTACAACCTCTGCCTCCTGAGTTCAAGCAATTCTCCTGCCTAAGCCTCTCGAGTAGCTGGGATTACAGGCGCCGGCCACCACACCCGGCTAATTTTTGTACTTTTAGTAGAGACAGGGTTTCACCATGTTGGCCAGGCTGGTCTCGAACTCCTGACCTCAGGTGATCCGCCTGCCTCAGCCTCCCAAAGTGCTGAGATTACAGGCCTGAGTCACCACACGCGGACTATTTTCTTTTTCTTTTTAGATTTTAAAATTTATTTTCTTTTTCTTCTTACCTTTCTTAATTTTTTCCTTGAACCAGAACCCAGCTTGATTTCCCCCCAAATGTGCAACTGATAGACCTACTGTAGAGTCTTCATTATAATAACTTTTTACTTTCAAAAAATAAAGGCATTATTTACCTGCAGTAAAATCTATCCTATCTAGTATACAGTTCTGTGATTTTTTTTCTTTTTTCTTTTTTTTTGAGACAGGGTCTCGCTTTGTTGCCCAGGCTGGAGTGCAGTGGTGCAGTCTTGGTTCACTGCAGCCTCAACCACCTAGGCTCAAGCGATCCTCCCACCTCAGCGTCCCAAGTAACTGGGACTGCACTACAGGCAGGCGCCACCAAGCTTAACTAATTTTTTCTATTTTTTGTAGAGATGGGGCCTCATTATGTTGCCTAGGCTGGTCTCGGCTCAAGCGATTTGCCCAGTTCAGCCTCCCAAAGTGCTGGGATTACAGGTATAAGCCACCGCACCTGGCTGACTGGGTTCTGTATTTTTTGACAAATGCACAGTCATCTAACCACCACCACAGTCAAGGTTTAGAACCATTCTATTAATTGTCTTCCCAATTTCCTGGGGACCCTTTGTAGTCTACCCTTGTGCCCACTCCCAGCCTTTGGCAACCACTTAACTGTTTTCTGTTCCTATAGTTGTCCCTTTTTCAAAAGACTATATAAATGGAATCATATAACATGTACCCTCTGAGTCTGGCTTCTATAATTCAGCATGATGCTTTGGAGGTTCATCTACATCATCGTGTGTATTAAGAGTTCTCACCTGGGCGCGATGGCTCATGCCTCTCATCCCCACACTTTGGAGGCCAAGGCAGGTGGATCACCCGAGGTCAGGAGCTCAAAACCACCCTGGTCAACATGGTGAAACCCTGTCTCTACTAAAAATAGAAAAATTAGCTGGGCGTGGTGGCGGGCACCTGTAATCCCAGCTATTCGGGAGGCTGAGGCAGGAGAATTGCTTGCAAACGGGAGGTGGAGGTTGCAGTGAGCCAAGATCATGCTGCTGCACTCCAGCCTGGGTGATAAGAACGAAACTCCATCTCAAAAAAAAAAAGAGTTCTCATCTTGTTACTCGTGAGTAGTATTCCATTGTACAGATGTACTGCCGTTTGTTCAATCTTTCCTCAGTAGAGGGGCATTTAGATGGTTTCCCATATTTTGGCCTTTATGAATAAAGCCACTATAAACGTTCTTGTACAGGTTTTTGTGTTTTTATTAAATAAACAGTTTTTATTTCATTTGGGTATATTTCTAAAAGTGGGATTTTTACTTTATTTATTTATTTATTTATTTATTTATTTTTATAGAAACGGGGTCTTACTGTGTTGACCAGGCTGGTCTCAAACTCCTGACCTCAAGCAATCCTCCCATCTTGGCCTCCCAAAGTGCTGGGATTATAGGCATAAGCCACTATGCCTGGCCAGGATTGGTGAGTTGTATGATAACCGTAGGTTTAACTTTACAAACAAACAAACAAACCTGCCAAACTGTTTCCAAAGAAGCTGTACTGTAGGAGGCTGAGGCACGAGAATCCCTTGTACCCAGGAGGTGGAGGTTCCAGTGAGCCGAGATTGTGTCACTGCACCTCAACCTGGGCAACAGAGCAAGACTCTGTCTCAAAAAAAGAAAGAAAGAAAGAAAGAAAGAAAGAAAGAAAGAAAGAAAGAAAGAAAGAGAGAGAGAAAGAAAGAAAGAGGAAAGGAAGGAAGGAAGGAAGGAAGGAAAGAAAGAAAGAAAGAAAAAAAAAAACAACCAAAGAAGCTCTACCGTTGTGCATTTCCACCAGTGTATGGGAGTTCCAGTTGCTCTGCATCTTAGTCAGCACTTGATGTTGTCTGTTGTCATTTAGTTTATTTTTATTATTTTAACCATGCTGAAATGAATTTTAAAAGTAAAAGTGGCTGGGCATGGTGGCTCACGCCTGTAATCCCAGCACTTTGGGAGGCCGAGGTGGGCAGATCACCTGAGGTCAGGAGTTTGAAACTAGCCTGGCCAACATGGAGAAACCCCCGTCTCTACTAAAAATACAAAATTAGCCAGGCATGGTGGCACATCCCTACTCGGGAGGCTGAGGCAGGAGAATTGCTTGAACCTGGGAGGCGGAGGTTGCAGTGAGCTGAGATTGCACAATTGCACTCTAGCCTGGGCAACAAGACTGAAACTGTGTCAAAAAAAAAAAAAAAAAAAAGGAAAAGTGACCATGGATAAAGGCTAAAATTTATAACTCAGACTCTAAGGCCCTGTGTGAACTGAGCCCTGCCCATTTCACCAGGCCACTCTCTGTTCTCCAGTATCCTTTCAGGTCTGGCTACAGGGCCTTTGCACATGCTGTCTACTCTACTTAGGATGCCATTCCTGCTTTCTGCCTGGCTAATGCCTATTGTCACATGGATCTCGTCCTAAAGGCACTTCCTTGTGGGTATGCCTAGATTCTGTTTCCTTGTTACATGTTTTCGTATCTGCCTTTCTTATTTACCACAGTGGTTCTCAACTGGGAGTGATTTTGCCCCCCAGGGGCCATTTGACAATGTCTGGAAACATTTTTGGTTGTCAAAACCAGGGTAAGAATGCTACTGGCATCTAGTGGGTAGAGGCCAGAGACGCTGCTAAATATCCTACAATGCCCAGAACAGCCTACAGGAATGATCCAGTCAAAATTTCACTAATGCGGAGGTTGAGAAACCTGTATCACAACGTAATCAACTAATTGCTTTTTATGGCTGCCTTCCTGTTCCCATCTCACTCCCCCACTTCCCCATCTAGGCTTCCCTTACCCCCTCCTCGCCATGTGTATTTAGCTGTTTAATGCCTCCTTTTCCTGCTAGAGTATAAAGCCTAAGGGGCAAGGATTGTGTCTGTCTTGTTTTCTATATATTGCGTATCATAGGTGCTTAATAAATGTGTCAAATGAATAAAAGAGCAAATGAAAACTATCTTTCATAAAGCACATCTTTAAGGACACCAGAAAGCTTTCCTCTTGACTTCTGTCTTGGTAACTCTAAATATTATTTGGAAAAAAAATAAACAAGGTGGTGGGGAGGAGGGAGAGGGAGAGAAAAGCAGAGAAGAGGAGGACAAGGAGAAAAGGAAGAGGGAGATAGAGAACACTGTCTTTGTAGACTCAATCTGAGCTGGAATTCCAGCACTTAACTGTCACATAGTCAAGAGCAAGTCACTTTCCCTCTCTGAGCTCGTTTTTCTCAACTGTACAATGGGAATCAGAAAACGAAAGTAACTGTGCTAATGGCTGGCAACTACCCTGCACTTTATAAATGTTAGTTTTGTTCCTTTCTTCCTTTCCCCTCCTTCTCCTAAGTTTCCTGGCCAGCATCAGTGCTCACTCATCCTCCTCAGCCCACTCAAGAGAGCTGCCTGAAGCTAGATGGACAGTTCTATAAATGCTGGTGACGTATACCCAACCTCCGGCACCCGCATCTCTCTGCCCAGAGCCTGTGTGCTTCATGTGCGCATGGCAGGTCACATGTGTGGGAAGGGAAGTGTACTGGAGTTGCTGGCCCCGGGCACCACCTTCAACCGCTGAGAGTGGTCATTGCGGATAAACAGCACAGTTTCCCCAACCCTTCCTGAGACAATCTTGCGGTATACTCCACATCATCCCCTGAGGGCCCCTCTGGGACTGTGCCCCAGTTGCCCATAAAGGTAACTAGCTCTTTTTTTTGTTTGTTTGTTTGTTTTTGAGACAGAGTCTTGCCCTGTTGCCCAGACTGGAGTGCAGTGGCATGATCTTGGCTCACTACAACCTCTGCCTCCCGGGTTCAAGCAATTCTCCTGCCTCAGCCTCCCAAGTACCTGGGATTACAGGCACCCACCGTCACGCCCGGCTAATTTTTGTATTTTGTTTCACCATGTTGACTAGGCTGGTCTTGAACTCCTGACTTCAGGTGATCCGCCCTCCTCAGCCTCCCAAAGTGCTGGGATTACAGGCATGAGCCACTGCGCCTGGCCAACTGCCCAACTTCTAACTGGTAGTATGTGCATCTTTTTCTATGAGTTTTTTGGGTTTTTTCTTCTGGTTGTCAGAGTCAAGCAGCCTAAAGGAGGTTGGAGAATGAATATTCCTTCTCTTCTTTCCAGCTGCCTTCAACCAAGGAATGGATAGAGGTGGTGTATAAATACCCCAGCTTCCTGATTGTTTTGCAGTGGGCAGGTCTATGCAAACTTACCCCAAAGTCCAAGGAAGCTGAGAGGCTGAAGAGATGATGCTGACATACTCAGTTCCTTAGAAAGAAACTTTTAATAGAAACTTAGAAACAGATGCCACGTCTGTGTCTCCTGCGGTGGCCAGACAAGATGGTGGATCCCCACTCCATTATCTCCCAGACCCAGGGCTTCTATACCATAGGAGAGGGGTGGTTCAGAAGGGATGTGTAGAACAGTTGAAGTAAGATAACATCAAGGTTGTTTGACCTAAGGACAGGATATAGAGTCAGAACCTGCTCTTACACAAGGAATAATAGATAAACTAGAAATCTTAGAGGCCTTCTTGGAACAGGGGTTAATCAGAAGCCAACATGGCGGATTAGCTTCCAAGATGGAGTTGCTGATCCTTCAGGTAAGATAACTCTGAGACATGTGTTCTACACAGGTGGAATTAAGCTTCACTTGCCTAGGGCAGTAACTGTCTTGATAACTTGCTTAATATTGGTTGTCCTCCTTTCCCTGGGTCTCTTTTCTTCTCTACTCGTATTTCTTTTGCCTTCCAAAGAAGTGATGTGTCCTTGAGTCTTTGTCTCAGGGTCTGTATCTAGAGAATCTAAACTAAGATATGAGGTGTGCCAACAGGGGATTCCAAACTAAGACACTTATCAATTAGATCCAATTGCAAACGGTCTTGCTTTAAATCTCCCCAAAAGAACAGAATGGGACATGCTGTTCTTCAACTAAACAGCACTCCTGTTTACCATCTGGGGCCAAACCACGGGGCTCCTATTCCCTGAGTGGAAGGACCTCATCTTCCCATGGTATTCACAAGGCTCACACCCCACCTTTTCATACATAAATCACCCCCTTTATTTCACATGAACATCTTTGTTGTATTTTGCAGAAAGTTACCCTTACTGAAACACAGAGGACGCTCTGTTGGTAGCTTTGGAAATGGCCCTTGGGGCTCCAGCTGGGAGCATCTCATGTTCTTGTTCCTACGTAGTTACTTTCTGGGGATAGTCACACATGTTGAATGTTGGCAGGGAAGAGTTACCCTAGTCCAACACTTTCATTTGCCAAAAATAAGTTTTGAGGATGGCTGATGGGAAATCCCACAGTGCCTACCAATGGTATCATGCTACTTTATGCTGTTTTCTGAATGTTCTTTCATTTTATAACGTGAATATAATGAATGTTTGCTGATTTGGGGCCACCCTGAATCTACGGCACTCTCTTCCATGCCAAGTAACCTGAGTTTCCATTTGGGAACCACCCCTTCTGGAAGTTCGCTCCATCAGGAAGTTCCCTTGAGCCTGTAACCCAACAAGGAGCATGTGACTTAGCACCAACGAACCAGAGCAGTGGAGGTACAATAACTATGATGATTGGCTAGGTACAGTGGCTCACGCCTGTAATCCAGTGCTTTGGGAGGCTGAGGCGGGGGGATGACCTGAGGTCAGGAGTTCGAGACCAGCCTGGACAACATGGTGAAACCCCGTCTCTACTAAAAATACTAAAATTAGCCGGGTATGGTGGCGGGAGCCTGTAATCCCAGCTACTTGGGAGGCTGAGGCAGGAAAATTGCTTGAACCTGGGAGGTGGAGGTTGCAGTGAGCCAAGATTGCACCACTGCACTGCAGCCTGGGTGACAGAGCGAGACTCCGTCTCAAACAAACAAACAAACAAAAAAACTACGATGATTGGCTTAGAGATGGGTATGTGGCACAGATTGGTTCAATCAGAGTTCATCTCAGGATTTGTTTAGTAGCTACTAAGAAGGCATGCTTTCTCTTGCTCCTCGTGAGCTTAGAGTGGTTGGGCAGCTAACAAATGCACTTGGCTAACTGAACATCTCAATTCCAGAGGAGCTGTTTATTCCCCCAGCTCTCCTGTTGGGTCACCATGGTCTACTGTGTCCCTTGACTGAAGGATGACACAGCTTCTGTCAGGTAGCCTCTCTGTAGAGCTCCCTCTCTCTGGACCTGGAGACCACTTCTTCCTTTGCTCCTCCAGGCCACTGTTACTATGTGGGGGTGCTAAGGACCCCTCTGTTACTATCTAGCTGTGATAAACTCCCTTTGTTACTATCGCTGGAGTGATGCAGCATCCCTGGGTTCTGTAAATCCCACCTACATTTTGTTATTGTTGTTGTTAATTGTTTATTTATCAAGAGAAACTATTTCTTTTTTCTTTTTTTTCTTTCTTTTTTTTTTTTTTGAAACAGTCTTGCTCCATTGCCCAGGCTGGAGTGCAATGATGGCACAATCTCGGCTCACTGCAACCTCCGCCTCCCAGGTTCAAGTGATTCTCCTGCCTCAGCCTCCTGAGTAGCTGGGATTACAGGCGCACGCCACCACACCTGGCTAATTATTTCTCGTATTTTTAGTAGAGATGGGGTTTCACCATGTTGGCCTGGCTGGTCTCGAACTCCTGACCTCGTGATCTGCCCACCTTGGCCTCCCAAAATGCTAGGATTACAGGAATGAGCCACCACACCTAGTCAAGAAACTCTTTCTTTCTTTCTTTCTTTTTTCTTTTCCTTTTTTTTTTTTTTTTTCAGACAGTCTGGCTCTGTTGCCCAGGCTGCAGGGCGGTGCTGCGATCTCAGCTCACTGCAACCTCCACCTCCCAGGTTCAAGCAATTCTTCTGCCTCGGCCTCCCAAGAAGCTGGGATTACAGGCATGCCCACCATGCCCAGCTAATTTTGTATTTTTAGTAGAGATGGGGTTTCACCATGTTGGCCAGACTGGTCTCGAACTCCTGATCTCAAGCGATCTGCCCGCCTCAGCTTCCCAAAGTGCTGGGATAACAGGCATGAGCCACCACGCCTGACCAAGAGAAACTATTTCTTAGCTGACATATTCATTCATGTTTCATAGTTCAGGAACACAAGTCAGTGACAAACTTCTAGATATTTCAACTCAAAGAAATTCTTCATATTCCAAGATCACTTTGTACTCTGAAAGATACCAGCCTTCCTCATCTCAAAATCTTTTATGGAATCATAATTTCTGTAGAAATCTGCGTATGCCTTCTTTCTTGGTTCGGCCATAGCAATCTTGTAGAAAGCTGCAACCACCAGGGATACCATGAATGCTCCAATAATATGAAATCACAGACGCTTAACCAGAAGGCTATGCATTGGAGGTTTTGTCAAAGCACCAGAAGCCATGGTAGTTACTGTCCTTGATAGGTGTGTAAACTTCAACACCAACATCCTTCCCAGCTGTTGGAGAAATGGACGGTCCCCACCTACATTTTATAGACAGTCCATTCATAAAACTCTCCTCCTGCCAGGGCACGGACTGATGTGAATCCACCTAATGGCCCTAGGCAATAGGTGCCTTTATTGTCATCCTTGTTTTACGCATCAGAAACTGAGAGACAGAGAAGCTAAGTGAGCTGCATAAAGCCACAGAGCTAGTAATTGGTGGTACTGATACGGGAGTGGGGGCAGGGAAGTGCTGGGAAGGGAAGGGCGTGGTCCCTGGGTAGGGCTTCACCCCTGGGCCTGTGCCCACGGACCTACGTGAGGACAGGCATTTCTGTTTTCCTGCACGAATGTTGCATTTCCCAAGACCACCCTGGCTTGCCACGCCCCCATCCTATGCCTATAGAAACCCCCAGACCCTAGCAGGCAGAGACACAAGTGGCTGGATGCCAAGAAGAACGCACTGGTGGAAGAAGACACAAGCGACGGCCAGGTGCGGTGGCTCACGCCTGTAATCCCAGCACTTTGGGAGGCCAAGGTGGGCAGATCACTTGAGGTCAGGAGTTTGAGACCAGCCTGGCCAACATGGTGAAACCCCATCTTTACTAAAAAAAAAAAAAAAAAAAAAAAAAAAAAAAGATACAAAAAAATTAGGCGGGCGTGGTGGCAGGTGCCTGTAGTCCCAGCTGAGGCACTAGAATCACTTGAACCCAGGAGGCAGAGGTTGCAGTGAGCCCAGATCATGCCACTGCACTCCAGCTTGAGTAACAGAGTGAGACTAAATCTCAAAAAAAAAAAAAAAAAAAAAAGACACAAGCAACTAGACCTGGAGAAGAAGGAACTGGCATGAGAGCACACCATCAGGCACCGGCAGATGCCAGCAGGCCATCGACCGGTGGAACAACTTGGAGTTTGGCTGGGGTGGTGGGAGGAGAGCCTGGGCCACTCAGCGGCCCAGGTCCAGGGGAAAATCGCCTTCCCACTCCATCCCCTTTGGCTCCCCCATCTGCTGAGAGCTACCTCCACTCAATAAAACCTTGCGTTCATTCTCCAAGCCTACGTGTGATCCAGTTCTTCAGGTACGCCAAGGCAAGAAACCCCAGGATACAGATAGCCCTCTGTCCTTGAGATAAGGCAAGGGGTCTAATTGAGCTAACACAAGCTGTCTATGGACGGTTAAACGAAAAGAGCACCCTGGAACACACGCCCACTGGGGCCTCAGGAGCTGTAAACATTCACGCCTAGACGCTGCGTGGCCAGAGTCCCACACCCTGCCCGTCTGCCTGCTCCCCCTAGGGGTTTTGAGCAGCGAAGCACTGAGGAAGTGAGCCACACCCCCATCGCATGCCCTTCGAGGAGGATAAGGGAACTTTTCCTGTGTCAGTACCAGTGTTTGAACCAACGTCTGTCTGGCTGCAGAAACCATATTCTTCGCCAGTGCGTAGGCCTTGGTACCTTAGAAATGCGGGGAGAGGGACCAGGTTGTGGATTCACTCCTAACTCATCATTAACCTGCTGAGGACCTCAGTTTCCTCATCTTTTTGGTTAAGGACCAGTCCAGGAGTTGCAAACTCAAATGCCTACAGGGATCAAGAAGTGACATAAATGAAGGCAATGAACTGTTTCATTGTTGTGAAGAAACGTATTTTCTCGTTTCTTTTTCTTTTCTTTTTTGAGACGGAGTTTCACTCTTGTCACCCAGGCTGGAGTGCAATGGCGCGATCTCAGCTCACTGCAACCTCTGCCTCCCGGGTCCTGGTTCAAGCGATTCTCCTGCGTCAGCCTCCCGAGTAGCTGGGATTACAGGCATGCGCCACCATGCCCAGCTAATTTTGCATTTTTAGTAGAGACGGGGTTTCTCCATGTTGGTCAGGCTGGTCTCAAACTCCCAGCCTCAGGTGATCTGCCCGCCTCGGCCTCCCGAAGTGCTGGGATTATAGGCAAGAGCCAGCATGTCCCAGGCCTTTTTTTTTTTTTTTTCTTTAAACATATGGCCCTCTTAGTCTATCTTTCCTTTCTCCATTAGCATAGAGAACTGGGCACAGAGACAAATCATTTAGAAACTGCACTTGGCTGACAGTAACAGAGACTTGATTTCAGTGACTTAAACATATTAGAGATTTATTTCTTTCACATAAAACCATGTCTGAAAATCTGCATTCCAAAGAACAGATATGGCAATTCTATGATGTTTTCGGGGATCCCATTTCCTTCCATCTTTAGCATAGAACCTCCCTCCTCAAGGTCACAGAATGGCTGCTCAAACTCCAGCCATCATGTTTATATTCTAGGAAGATTGGCAAGACACCAAAGGGCTTTCTTGGAAACCCCAACATCAACTTCCACTTATCATGCATTGGCCATTCAATCGGGCACTACTGACATTTTGGACTGCATAATTCTTTGTTGTGGGAGGGAGACCTGGGGATTGGAGGGCTGTCTAGCAGTACCCTGACCTCTACCCACCCACCAGATATCAGTAGAGCACTCCCTGCCTCCCTCCCTGCCCCTGTTGTGGTAACCAAAACTGTCTTCCAAGACTTTGCCAGATGTCCTCTGGGGGACAAAATCACCTCTGACTGAGAAACACTGGGCAATTCTTAGCTTCAAGAGAAACTGGGAAATGTTATTTCAAAATTCATTGCCAATAGTGTAGGAGTTTCTATAAGTAAGAAAGAAGTAGAGGTTGGACATATGGATGGCAAATAACAGTCTTGCCCCAAGAGAACTCATTCAGTTTCCTTTTAATTCTACTTAAACAAAAACAGTGACCCAAGAGTGATGATGAACAGTGTCAGGCTATAATAGGGAAGGGTGGGGACTGTGGCACACTGAGAGCCAAGGACCCATCTAAAGGAGGTACAGGATTTTTGTGAGCAGCATTTTACCCATAAGATACAAGTTTGCAACATTTAGTCTATACAATTTCAAAACATGTACTATGGAAAATTTCAAACATCATCTAGAAAAATAGAGTCATATAACTAACTCTCCAGTATCCACCTTCAGCAATTATCCACATTCATTTTGTCAATTTCATCGTAAGCCTTTTGTCACTTCACCAGTAGTTGATACTAAGTTGTTCTTTTTTTTTTTTTTTCTGAAACCACCATGCTATTAGCACACCTTCCAAAATTAACAATGACATCTTACTATGAACCAGGTGATTTTTTTTTCTTTTTTTCAGACAGAGTCTTGTTCTGTGGCCCAGGCTGGAGTGCAGTGGCACAATCTTAGCTCACTGCAATCTCTGCCTCCCGGGTTCAAGCAATTCTCCTGCCTCAGCCTCCCGAGTATCTGGGATTACAGGCATGCGCCAGCACACCCAGCTAATTTTTGTATTTTTAGTAGAGATGGGATTTTGCCATGTTGGCCAGGCTAGTCTTGAACTCCTGACCTCAAGTGATCTGCCTGCCTCGGCCTCCCAAAGTGCTGGGATTACAGGTGTGAGCCACCATCCGTGGCCTATTTTTATTTTTTTTAGAGAGGGTCTCACTATGTTGCCCAGGCTGATTTCGAACTTCTAGGCTCAAGCAATCCTCCTGCCTCGGCCTCCTAAAGTGCTAGGATTACAGGCGTGAGCCACCACGCCCGGCCGTCGATCACTTCTTCAAGGATGTGGCACATGCCTTGAATTTAGACCTGCTAGCACTTCAAGCTGGGCGGGAACTAGGGACTGCCGGGTTCCCACCCACCTCCTGCCATCTCCCTTGTGCTGACTCATTTTTGACCCTGAACTTGTTCATTCACCCAGGCCTTTGCTTTCTTTTGTGCAAAACAAGGAGAACAATTCCAACTCGCCTCCCGACAATGAGGCAGGAGCAGTGTAATTGAAGGACTGCACATGCCCTGTGCACGTATTAAAGTACTTAATAATTACTGCAAAAATAGCAGCAGTGATGAGGTGATTATAAGCCCCAGCAGAAGCCCCGCATAAACAAAGAGGTCCAGAAAGGGCTCTCATGTTCTTAATGTTCTGACTCTAGACAATCTAAGACCCACAGCCCACAGCCCTCCTGGCCCTGAATCCTTACATTTGCCTTCTATTAATACAGGAAGACGTTTTTGGTGGCCTGACAAGAGAAAAGGTTCAAAGTCCAAATTCCCCATTTGTGCCATTAAGGGAGAAAGATATTTTGCAGCTTGGTTCCTAAATTAGAAGATGATTCCCAAATCATCTTCTAATTAAATGTCTCTCTTTATCTCTGCACCTTTTATATTGCTGCTGACACAGCTTTGGAGCCGGGTGGTGCTCAGGGTCAAGGGGAGGCGGGGTGATACATTCCTTTTTTTTTTTTTTTTTTTTTAGCTCACTGCAAACTTCACTTCCTGGGTTCAAGTGATTCTACTGCCTCAGCCTCCCCAGCAGCCGGGATTACAGGCATGCACCACCTTGCCTGGCTAATTTTTGTATTTTTAGTAGAGACGGGGTTTCACCATGTTGGCCAGGCTTGTCTTGAACTCCCGGCCTCAGGTGATCCACCCGCCTTGGCCTCCCAAAGTGCTGGGATTATAGGCATGAGCCACCGTGCCCGGCCAGATGATACATTCTTTAGGTGCACGCTTGGAGATGCCCAAACAGGCCTCTGGCTCCTGCCATGCCCTGCAGAGGACACTCTTAAAATATCCAGGGGACAGATGCTATTTTTGAGGTGCAGCTTAAAGGCTGCCTTGTGGCCCCTACATAATCTGCTGCCACTCTGAGCTTGCTTCAAAATAGATCTTGCCTTGCCTTTTGTGCTTCCAGGAAACTTGGTTTCTCAGTTTTTACTTTCATCACGAGTTAGATTTGCTGATTCTACAAGTCCATATAAATGGCATTAGACAGCCGAGCACGGTGGCTCACGCCTGTAATCCCAGCACTTTGGGAAGCTGAGGTGGGCGGATCACGAGGTCAGGAGATCGAGACCATCCTGGCCAACACAGTGAAACCCTGTCTCTACTAAAAATACAAAAAATTAGCTGGGCGTGGTGGCACGTGCCTGTAGCCCCAGCTACTTGGGAGGCTGAGGCAGGAGAATTGCTTGAACCTGGGAGGCAGAGGTTGCAGTGAGCCGACATCGCGCCACTGCACTCCAGCCTGGGCAACAGAACAAGACTTCATCTCAATAAATAAATAAATAAAATGAATAAATGGCATTAGACAATATGTACTCCTTGGTGTCTGGCTTCTGTTGCGCAACAGAATGTCTGTGAGATTCATTTGTGTGGGCTGTATCAGTAGTTTGTTCATTTTCATTCTTTTAATATATGTGTGTATATATATACATATGCACACTAAAATAATGTATACTAATAATATATTTAGACTATTTTAGTAGACTTCCCAGATTATAGATTAAATAATATATTTGTATATTTGTAATATATTTGTATGTATACATACATATATACACATACATATATATATATAGTAAACATTTATCCATTTATCCATTCTGCTGTGGATAGTAAACATTTATCCATTCTGCTGTTGAACACTTGGGCCACTTCCAGTTTTGAGTTATTATGAATAAAGCTGCTATGAACATTTTTATTTTATTTATTTTATTTTATTTTATTTTATTTTATTTATTTTATTTTTGAGACAGAGTCTTGCTCTGTTGCCCAGGCTGGAGTGCAGTGGCACGATCTCGGCTCACTGCAGCCTCTGTCTCCCGGGTTCAAGCAATTCTTCTGCCTCAGCCTCCCTAGTAGCTGGGATTACAGGCATACACCACTACGCCCAGCTAATTTTTGTATTTTTACTAGAGACAGTTTCATCACATTGCCCAGGCTGGTCTCAAACTCCTGGCCTCAAGTGATCTGCCCACCTCAGCCTCCCAAAGTGCTGGGATTACAGGTGTGAGCCATCGTGCCTGGCGTTTTATTTTTTATTTTTATGCCCTGCCCTTTTCCCACTCCCCACCCTCACCATGACCCTAGGCGGGGTTGGGGAAGTGGAGAGAGAGGGGGAAGTTGCCACTCAGATGTTTATTGACTTCTCAACCTTAACACACCCCACCCTGGGGTACCCAAGCGAAATCTGGGCCCCTTTCTCTAGCCTTCCCAGCCCAGTAGCCTCCATAGCCACCCATGTGGCCACGTAAGCCAGAATTCAGCCTTGAGTCTTCCTTGAGTCTGCTCTGTTACCCCTCCTGGGCCACATCCAACTCATCCATTGCAATTTCAAACTGTCTTCAATCTGCCTGCTCGTTTTCACCACTGCCACCTCTCAGGTGCAGCCACCCGCTCCCTGTCCCTCCCTCAGGGAACTGTCCAGCCTGCTAATCAGTCTCCTGACTTGCGTCTTGCCTTCCTCCAGTAGTTTCTCCAAATGGCAGCAAGATGCTTTTAAAATGGAAATCAGATCATCTTCTTTTGAATGTCTTCCCACTGCATTTGGACTCAAGACCAGACTCCTAAGTGGTGATCTACAAGGCTCAGCAGCCTCAGGCCACCACTTGTCACATGTCATCCTTCCCAGGCACACTCTTAGTTCCTGAAATACACCAACCTCTTTTTCAGCTTGGGGCCTTTTGCATATGCTGTTCCTTCCCACAATCAGTTATTAGTCCATTGCATATCTTTCTAAGATGGTTTATGCATGTACAAGCAAATGTGAATATATATTCTGTTCCTCCCCATTCCCTTAAAATGTTATGCGTCCATGCTGTGTGTGAATAAATCTGTAGGATGAACTCCTAAAAGCAGAATTGCCTTGGTAACAGCTATGGTCATTTTAAACTTAATGAATAATGCCAAAGTCCTCTTCATGTGGAGTCGCATCAGTTTGCGTGTGCTCATTTTCTGACACCCTTACCAACACAGTGGATTGTCAATTTGAGACTTTGGTTAAACCAGTGCAATGGTGGGGGCGGGGTGGTGGTAGGAAATGGTATCTCATTTCTCTTTTTATACATGCAATTGAGCTTTTTTTTTTTTAGTCGGAGTTTCACTCTTGTTGCCCAGGCAGGAGTGCAATGGTGTGACCTTGGCTCACTGGAACCTCCGCCTCCCGGGTTCAAGCGACTCTCCTGCCTCAGCCTCCCAAGTAGCTGGGATTACAAGCATGCACCACTACACCTGGCTAATTTTGTATTTTTAGTAGAGACAGGGCTTCTCTATGTTGGTCAGGCTGGTCTTGAACTCCCAACCTCGGGTGATCCGCCCTCCTCGGCCTCCCAAAGTGCTGGCGTGAGCCACTGTGCCTGGCCAAAACTGAGCATCTTTTGGTATGCTTAAGAGCCATTTGCTTTTTCCTCTTTTTGATCTTTTTTTGACCATTTTCCCACTGATTTGTTGGTCTTTTCTTTTCTTTTGAGACAGGATCTCGCTCTGATGCCCAGGCTGGAGTGCAGTGGCATGATCATGGCTCACTGCAGCCTCAACTTCTTGGGCTCAAGTGATTCTCCCACCTCAGCCTCCCCAGTACCTGGGACTAT
This sequence comes from Homo sapiens, assembly GCF_000001405.40. Lineage (NCBI taxonomy): Eukaryota > Metazoa > Chordata > Mammalia > Primates > Hominidae > Homo > Homo sapiens. The sequence continues at coordinate 50,472,303 of NC_000020.11, read as the reverse complement.
AGGCATGCATCACCATGCCTGGCCAATTTTTGTATTTTTTGTAGAGATGGGGTTTTGCCATTTTGCCAGGCTATTCTCGAACTCCTGGGCTCAAGCAATCCACCCACCTAGGCCTCCCAAAGTGCTCGGATTACAGGTGTGAGCTACCGCGCCTGACCTAAAACATTTGTTAATTTGCCCTTCTTCTCTCACCCTCTAAGATGTTAGCTCCTTGAGGGCAGGGACCACACACATCTTGTTCACCATTGTATTCCCAGCAGCTTCCACAGTGCCTTGCACACAGGAGGTGTTCATGGTGGACATCTGTAGTTGTTTACACCTTCTTTTTTTTTTTTTTTTGAGGTGGAGTTTTGCTCTTGTTACCCAGGCTGGAGTGCAATGGCGCAATCTCAGCTCACTGCAACCTCCGCCTCCTGGGCTCAAGTGATTCTCCTGACTCAGCCTCCTGAGTAGCTGGGATTACAGGTGCGCACCACCATGCCCAGCTAATTTTGTATTTTTAGTAGGAACAGGGTTTCACCATGTTGGCCAGGCTGGTCTTGAACTCCTGGCTTCAAGTGATCCACCCACCTTGGCCTCCCAAAGTGCTGGGATTACAGGCGTGAGCCACCGCGCCTGGCTGCTTCTAGAAAATTTTTATGCCTATGCGAGTATATTTATATGTATATGCCAACATATTGTTTCACTTTTCATTTACAAAAATGATTCTACTATGCATTCTGTTCTGTCCCTTCACTTTTTCATTTAGTAATATCCTCAATCAATGACTCAGAGGAAAATGGATGAGGGATATGTACACACAAGTACACAGAAAAGGAAATACAAATAGCTCATAAACATGTGAAAGGATGTTCAACTTCCTTTATAATAAGAAAAATGCAAATTAAAAGTACACAGAGATCATTTCTCGCCTATCAGATTGGCAAAAATCCAAAAGTCTGATAACACACTGTGTTGGCAAGCCTGCAGGCAAAAAAAAGCACTTTTGTACCTTGATGGTGGAGGTGGAAATTGGCACAGTCCTATGGAGGACAATTTGACCATATCTGTTGAAATGACAAATATATATACCCTTTGACGCAGCAGCCACAGATTCTGAAAATGTATCCATCAGATATTCTTGCTCAAGTGCAAAATGACATATATCTGGGATCATGTTTAGAGCAGAGGTTTATTGTCTATCTCCCTCATTAGAAGGGAGGACCTATGAGGGCAGGAACCTTGTTGGTCTTGCTCCCCCATGACTGCCCCAGCTCCTAGCACTGTCTTTGAACATAGTAGATGTCACAAAGACACCCCTCACTCAATATCTACATGCTCCTCTACCTTTCCCAGCCTTCCTTGCAGTAAGGTTGAAAGTACATGGCTCATTTATGCCCAATGGGATATGCAAAAGTGATGGAAGCTACTTTCAGGTCTGGCCGTTGAAAAATTCCATGTTACCTTCTAGCTCTCTCTTTGCCTACAGTGTTCATCTCTAAGACTTCCTTTTCCAGATAAAGAAGGTGAGGTAGGAGATCAGTAGGACTTATTTTCCAAGCACAAATCACAGCCCTGCTGATCAAAACAGGATGCAGTAAAGAAACTCGCTGAAACAAGCAGATGGTGACAAAAGTGACCTCTAGTTGCCCTCACTGCTCATAGCATAAAGACACTCCCACCAGCACCAGGACAGTCTGCAAATGCCATGGCAATGACCTGGAAGTTACCTTATATAGTTCTGGGAACCCTCTGCCACTTTTCTAGAAAATTCTGAATAACCCGCCCCTTCATTAGCATATAATTAAGAGTGGGTATAAATATCGGTAGCCCTGGTCTGCAAGGACTACTGCTCTGGGCTGTGGTCTTTGCTGCTGTTCTGGGCTGCTCTGCCTATGGAGTAGCCCTGCTCTGTCTACGGAGCAGCCCCTCTGCTGCACACTGCTGCTCTAATAAACTTGCTTTCTTTCACTGTTGGCTCACTCTTGAATTCTTTCCTGAGTGAAGCCAAGAACCCTCCCAGGCTGAGCCCTGATTTTGGGATTCACCTGCATCAGCCTGTTCCAGATGGAGAAAAGTACTCAATTTGTATCATAATGCAAAAGCAAGAAATGAACCTTTGCTGTATTAAGTCACTGCAACGCTGGCTTTGTCCCTGCAGTATAGCCTATTTTATTCTGACTAAAGTACTGTAGTAGGTGCTCAATAAATACTTGTTGAATAAATGTAAGCTGTAATGATCATTCTTGTGCCCTGGATGAGCTACCATGTTGCTGGGTACATATTTAATACTTTGGTAGATAGCACAAACTGTCCTCCAGAAAGTTTGCATCATTTTTTTTGTTTGTTTTACGTTGTTTGAGACAGGGTTTCACCCTGTCACCCAGGCTGGAGTGCAGTGGCACAATCACAGCTCACTTTAGCCTTGACCTCCTAGACTCAAGTGATCCTCCCACTTCAGGCTCCCAAGTAGCTGGGACCACACACATGCACCACCACATCTGGCTATTTTTTTTTTTTTTTTAATTTTTTGTAAAGACGAGGTCTAGCTATGTTGCCCAGGCTGGTCTCGAACTCCTGGGCTGAAGTTATCCTCCCACCTTGGCCTCCTAAAGTGCTGGGATTACAGGTGTGAGCCATTGCACCGGGCCAGTTTGCATTAATCTATACTCCCACCAACAGACATAATGATAACTCACACACAGAGATCTTGCTCTGTTCCAGGCACTATGCTCAGTGCTTTGCACATATGAAATAAATTCATGCCCACAACAGACCTATGTGGTAGGTACGATTATTGTCCCCATTTCACTGATGAGGCAATGGCAGCACTCGGAAATTAAATGACTTGCTCAAAGTCACACAGCTGGTAGGAAGGGGAGTGTTTTTAAAATTACAGATTTCCAATATCCTGCTTTTCAAATGAACTGGCCAAGGTCCAGGAATCTATTTTAAAAAGACTCCCCATATGCTGCTGATAGTCAGCCAGCTTTGGAAACCAGCTCCCTGGAGGACTTAAGTTAAAGGTGCCAAAGAGTAGGTTTCATTTATTTATTTGTTTTTAATAGAGATGAGGTCTCGTTATATTGTCCAGGCTGGTCTTGAACTCCTGGGCTCAAGCAATCCTCCCACCTTGGCTTCCCAAAGTGCTGAGATTACAGATGTGAGCCATCGTGCCTGGCCCAGTTTTTGTTATTTTTTTTAATGCCGCTATAACATAGGGGCCTCCTTGGCAGGCATCTTTAGATGGTCTTAAGTATTTGTTGAACAGGAATAAACTGATATAAGTGAATCAAACTTGTATACTTCCGTTAAAGAAAAAAAAAAAAGAAGGCCAAGTGCGGTGGATCATATCTGTAATCCCAGGCACTTTGGGAAGCCAAGGAGGGAGGATCACTTGAGTCCAGGAGTTTGAGACCAGCCTGGGAAACACAGTGAGACTACATCTCTAAAGAAAATTTTACAAAGAAAATTAGCCAGGCATGGTGGTGCACACCTATAGTCTCAGCTACTCAAGAGGCCAAGGTGGATCACTTGAGCCAAGGAGTTCAAGGCTGCAGTGAGCTATGATCACACCAATGGACTCAGGCCTGGGTGTCAAGCAAGACTCTGTTTCAAAAAAACCAACAAACCAAAAGAAGAAGAATCAAGAAGAAGAGAAGAAGGAGGAGGAAGAGGAGGAGGAGAAGGAGGAGAAGAAGGAGAAGGAGAAGGAGAAGGAGGAGGAGAAGGAGAAGAAGGAAGAGAAGGAGAAGAAGAAAGAAGGAAGAGGAGGAGGAGGAGGAGGAAGAAAAAGAAGAAAAGAAGAAGGAGGAAGAGCTTTATTTATGTATGCCAGGCCAACTTCTTTAGAGGTGTATTATTAGAACATAATTTCGTCTGTGGGGCCCAGAGACATAAAATAAGAGACTGAAATATGATAAGCGTTTATTTGTTTTTCACAGGGATGTCTGAGCTGGGCGGTGGCTCTGTACCAGAAAGTTGTCAGAGGCTTGGGCCCCTAACTTGTTGTCCCATTCTCACCAGCATGTGGACCCCATCCAGAGGTCCAAATGGCTGATCACCTTGTTTGCTGTCCCATGTTCTGCTCACATCTCATTGGCCATACCTCAGTCACATGGCCGCTTCTTGCTGCAAGGGAGGCTGGGAAATGTAGTCTTTACTGCAACCAGCCATGTGTTTCCACGGAGCATTTACCTCTATAGAAGGGAAAAACTGATACTGGGGACAACTCTCAGACTCTACAACTGGAGGCATTATTACAGAGCTTAGAATTTAGATTCTGGAACAAAATAGATTACTCATTCCCAATAACAGCACTATGCCATATGGTTTCAGAATTTTAGCTGACCATGACTGCCAATTTCAGGAGGCCCACTTGGCTGGTCTTGGGGTTTGTGATATGCCTTATGGTTGTATAATGCAATAAGCACATGTGGGGTCACAAACTAATCAACAGCAATAGATTCAAGCCAACAACGTTTCTTTTTAAATTTCTTCTCAAGGGTGTCTTTGTCAGTGTCAGAAGAGAGGTTAATTAATATTTTGCTGATTATGTAAGAAGTTACATGTAGAAAAACCAAGATTTCTTTTGGCTCTAAGCATCTACTTTTTTTCAGCAGTATTTTAATTCCATAGATATGTTGGTGTCCAGGGAGGGCCTGAATCGCCTGCCCCTTATTCTAGTCCTATCTTCGGTATTAACAGACTATCCCTGCCCCCGCCACCACCTGAATACAACTTGATTCCAAATAAGGAAACAAGGAAAGTGAACAAACTTATTCGTGGGACCCATACTAAGTCCTAGGCACTCAGCTGGGTGAATAAGCCTCCTTCTTGTGGTGGGTGACGATTGTTTTTACCTACCTGGCTCCCATTTCCTCTGCCCCTGTAACAGCATCACAGTTTTTGTAGAGAAGACTCCTGGCTCAGTGTCAGCTCACATGGTTTAGATGGGGCTGAGCCTACTTCTGGATTTAAATACAGGCATCCGACCCAGGCCTGGACAATCAGTGTGCTCCACTCCAAGGATTCAATTCTGTACTTTTTCCAGAACACTGGGAAAGAGAAGTTTTTTTGTTTTTTGCTTTTGAGGCGGAGTCTTGCTCTGTTGCCCAGGCTGGACTGCAGTGGAGCGATCTCGGCTCACTGCAACCTCTGCCTCCCAGGCTCAAGCTATTCTTGTGCCACAGCCTCCCAAGTAGCTGGGATTGCAGGCACCTGCCACCATGCCTGGCTAATTTTTTTGTATTTTTAGTAGAGACAGGGTTTCACCATGTTGATCAGGCTGGTTTTGAACTCCTGACCTCAAGTGATCTGCCAGCCTCAGCCTCCCAAAGTGCTGGGATTATAGGCATGAGCTACCGCGCCCAGCTGAAAGAGAAGTGTTTCAGCTGGACTTGAAGCTCGTGCAGCATGGGCCTGGAGCCGTTGTTGTCTACCTTTTGCCATCATGTACTCATTCCTTCATTCAGCAAATACTTACTGAGCACCTATTATGTGCCAGGCAGTGTTCTAGGCACTGGGCTATAAAGTGGAAAACAAAACAAAACAAAACAAAACCCACAAAATCCTTGCCTTTAAGGAGGGAGTTGACGTTCTAATGGGGACAGGGATACAGAAAATAAACACATAAATGTGAAATATGGTCAAAAGATGATAGGTGATACGGAGCAAAAAACAAAACAAAACAACAGCAAAGGCTGGGTGTGATGGCTCATGCCTGTAATCCCAGCACTTTGGGAGGCTGAGGCGGGGGGATGACTTGAGGTCAGGAATTCAAGACCAGCCTGACCAACATGGTACAATCCCATGTCTACTAAAAATACAAAAAATTAGCTGGGCATGGTGGCAGACTCCTGTAATCGCAGCTACTCTGGAGGCTGAGGCAGAGGAATTGCTTGAACCCAGGAGGTGGAACTTGCCGTGAGCTGAGATCGTGCCACTGCACTCCAGCCTGGGCTACAGAGCGAGACTCTGTCTCAAAAAACCAACCAAACAAAAAACAAACAACAACAATAACAGCAGCAAAAACCAAACAGGATAAGGAGGGCAGGAGTATGCAGGGGCTATGACATGTTGTCCAGGCTGGTCTCAAACTCCTGACCTCGGGTAATCCATCCGCCTTGGCCTCCCAAAGTGCTGGGATTGCAGGCGAGAGCCACTGCATCAGGCCAGTATATTTATTTATTTATTTATTATTATTTTAGACAGAGGCTCGCTCTGTTGCCCAGGCTGGAGTGCAGTGGCACAATCTCAACTCATCACTGCAACCTCCGCCTCCTGAGTTCAAGCTATCCTCCCACCTCATCCTCCCTAGTAGCTGGGACTACAAGCGTGCACCATCATGCCTGGCTAATTTTTTTTTTTTTTTAGTAGAGATGGGTTTCACCATGTTGGCCAGACTGGTCTCAAACTCCTGACCTCAAGTAATCTACCCGCCTCGGCCTCCCAAAGTGCTAGGATTACAGGCGTGAGCCACTGCACCAGGCCAGTTTATTTATTTATTTATTATTTTTTGAGACAGAGTCTTGCTCTGTCACCCAGGCTGGAGTGCAGTGGCACAATCTCGGCTCACTACAGCCTCCGCCTCCTGGGTTCAAGCGATTCTCCTGTCTCAGCCTCCTGAGTAGCTGGGAGTACAAGCGCGTGCCATCACACCCAGCTAATTTTTGTATTTTTAGTAGAGACAGGGTTTCACCATATTGGCCAAGATGGTCTTGAACTCCTGACCTCGTGATCCACCCACCTCAGCCTCCCAAAGTGCTGGGATTACAAGCGTGAGCCACTGCACCCGGCCCAGTATATTTATTTTTAAAGGAAACTTAATAACTCTACTGCATCAGCCAACTCGAGCTATGTTTTACTGCAATAACAAACAGCCCCAGCATCTCAGGAGCTTGTTAATGACAAAGGTCGATTTCTTATTCATATTGAGAATATGAATCCTCAGTTATTTTCTCATTACTTGTTGGTTGTGGGTCACTGCAGCTCTGGGCCGTATGTCATCTTTACTCTGATCCAGGTTAAAGGTGCAGCCCATTCCTGGGGCAGGCCATTCTCACAGCAGAGATAAACCACATGACAAAGCCGCTTCTCGAAAGCTTAGCTCACACTCTGTTGCCCAAAGGAAGTCACACAGCCAAGCCTGACTTCAGCCGGGAGGGTCACCAGGGAATTGCCAATGGGATAAATACTTTGACAATAATACAATCTACCACATCTACTGTAAAGGGAAAACCAGCACCACTTGCTCTCAATAGAAGGTGACCACAAAAAGTAAATATTATGAAAACATGTAACTTTATTAAATTCTAGCCAAATAATTTTGCCTTCTGAAGGCACTAAGTCTGAGGCCCACTCTCAAACAGAAAGTTCGGAAGGGAGGCAGGTAAGTGTTAGAAAGGCGTTAATGTCATGTTCCTATCAAACTGAGACTGCCGCCTAGATGCCATCAGAATGATTGACAGAGAATGAAATGTTATTTGATACTGGGGTGCTGTGCCCACCAAGATCTCCCCACGAATCCCACTGGTATTTGTTCTATACTTTGGAAGACCCAGCTTCAGAATCGCTCTAGGGGAGTAGAGAAGGAAACTCAGTGTCTGAGGGAGGGATGATAATGACAGCCACCTGTTAGGGGTGCCGCTATGTTGCACAGTTTCATGAATGGGGCCCCTGAAGTTGTGCAACATGGCGGTCCTGGAGAGAATCTCTGCGGGTTACCTCATTTAATTCCCACCTCCGCTCTGCCAGGTAGGCAGGATTACCTCCATTTCGCAGCTGAAAAAACTCAGATTCAGGGAAGTTCAGTGCCTGGCTCAGGACCGCAGCTGGAGGGGTCGGGGAGAGGCTCTAACCCTCCGGCTTGAAGGTGTAGTTTCAGACTTGGCCACTTGGTGTCACTCTCTCCAAACTGTCGGAAGAACCTCTGAGCTGGCCGGTTTGTGGGGGACTCCGGGCCCAGCTAGTTGCACACTGATCCCCAGTCCGGCAAAGCGGCCCCTCCTGTCCTCCCTCCGCCCTGTCACCCTTGCGGGGTGCAGAATTTCTGCCTGTTCCCTGTTTGAACTGGGTCTCTGAGTACGCCTGAGCCAAGTACTTCACAGGCATGATCTCACTCGAGCCTGCCAGCAGCAATGTGGTCTCAGACTACAGATGAGGAAACTGAGGCCAACGGCGTAGGAGCAACTTGCCCAGCTAGTAAGTGGCAGTCAGAGTTTGAACTCAGGTCTGAGTTAGAAGCTTGGCGTTTTGATGCCCAGAAAGTGCATGGTAGGACAGTTGTATTAATTCTCGATTTTTCATAGAATATATTTCCAACCCACTCCTCAGTCTCTGTAATGTCCTTGGCAATGAAAATAATCTGCCTGTTTAGAGAAGTGTATGTGTTTTTGGTCTTTTCTTTTTTTCATGTAGAAGTTAGTTTTCCCCTGACTACCAAGAGAACACTGAGGTGTTTACTTACTTAATTTTTAAAAAAATTATCTGAATATACCTTGATAATTATTTATTTTATTTTATTTTATTTTATTTTAAGACGGAGTCTCGCTCTGTTGCCCAGGCTGGAGTGCAGTGGTGTGATCTGGGCTCACTGTAACCTCTGCCTCCCAGGTTCAAGTGATTCTCCTGCCTCAGCCTTCTGAGTAGCTGGGACTACAGGTGAGCACCACCACACCCAGCTAATTTTTTTTTTTTTTTGTATTTTTAGTAAAGACGCGGTTTCACTATGTTGCCCAGGCTGGTCTCAAACTCCTGGGCTCAAATGATCCTCCTGCCTCGGCCTCCTAGAGTGCTAGGATTTACAGGCATGGGCCACCACACCCGGCTGGTAATTATTTTTTTAAATTAGAAAATCTAAGTAAAAAGAACAAAATATAGCCAGAAGTGGTGGTGCATGCCTGTGGTCCCAGCTACTTGGGAGGCTGAAGCTGGAGGATCACTTGAGCCTAGAAGATCAAGGCTGCAGGGTGCTATGATTATGCCACTGTACTCTAGCCTAGGTGACAAAGTGAGACCCTGTCTCTGTATTTTTTAAAAAGAACAGACCGGGCACAGTGGCTCACACCTGTAATCCTAGCACTTTGGGAAGCTGAAACAGAGGGATCGTTTGAGCCCAGGAGTTCAAAACCAGCTTGGGCAACTTAGTGAGACTTCGTCTTTACAAAAAAAAATTTAATTAAAAATAAAAAATCAGCCAGGCATGGTGGCAAGTGCCTATAGTCCCAGCCACTCAGGAGGCTAAGCTGGGAGGATCACTTAAGCCCAGGAGGCAGAGGTTTCAATGAGTGGTGATCGCATCACTGCACTCCAGCCTGGGTGATAGAGCAAGATCTTGTCTCAAAATAAATAATTGATTAGAGAAATAATAAAAAAAGAACAAAATAAAAGTCGCTTCTAATTCACATCAGCCACCCAGAGATAAGTGCTATTGACACGTTGGAGCATATCCTTCAAGGCATTTTTCTCTCTGTCATCTATCAATGCATTAAAAAGTTCCATTTTTAAAAACTAACAAGGGATTGTATTCATATGCAAAAATTCAAAAGATACCAAAAGATTTACAGTGGGTCTTCTCCCTCTAATCCTTAACCCCCATCCCCAGCTTTAAAACTCCAAGCTTCCCTCCCCAGAATCCATTCTGGTTATCATTTCTTGGGGATCATTACAGAGACATCCAGAACACAGATAAGCAAATATGTGCGTGGATTCCTGTACTCATTTCTCTAAATAGAAGCACACCACACACCCTGTTCTGCACTGGGATTTTGTTTTTTTCAACTTAGCAATGTACCTTGGCAGATCTTTCCAGATCAGCACTAGGAGAGCATTCTTTGCACATTCCATTGTCTGAATATAATAATTTATCTAACAAGTTTTCTGGTGATAGTCACGGAGGTATTTCCAGGGTTTTTCTGCAACAAACAATGCTGCAATTAGTATCCCTTTCACAGAAGTCTTTCCATGTATTCAGAGCTATTTCTGATGGATACATTCTTAGCAACTGAATCGCCCAGTCATAGGGCAGGTGCGTTTAAACATTTTGACGCTGGTTGTCTAAATGCTCTCTAAGGTTGTACCTACCAATCGTCATTTGCACCGGCAACCTCCGTGAGCTCTGGTTTCCCCACGTCCTAGCCAAGGCCAAGTATGATTGGACTTCTTGATCTTGGCCTTGCCGATAGGGGAAAAAGGTGTTCACCATAGTTCTAATCTACATATTCATTGTTTATATGTTAGATTGGACATTTAAAAAATACGTTCAAAGACTGTTTATATTTCTTTTCTGGTGGCAAAGCATTCAAATTGTTAGTCTATTTTTCTCTTGGATAATTGTCTTTTTGTTGATCTGCTAGGGATTTTTATATACTAAGAAAATGAGGTATTTGTTTCTCATACATGTTATGAAAGTACATATTTTTAAAATATAGATATATCAGGCCGGGTGCAGTGGCTCACACCTGTAATCCAAGTACTTTAGGAGGCCAAGGTTGGAGGATCACTTGAGTCCAGGAGTTTGAAACCAGTCTGGGCAACATGGTAAAACCCTGTCTCTACTAAATATGATGGCAGGTGCCTGTAGTCCCAACTACTTGGAAGGTTGAGGTGGGAGGATTGCTTGAGCTTAGGAGGTGGAGGCTGCAGTGAGTCGTGTTCACTCCAGGCTGGTTAACAACCAAGATTCTCTCTCTCTCTCTGCGCGCGCGCGCGCACACACACACACACACACACACACACACACACACACACACACACACAGATAGAGTGTTTGTATACAATGTTTCTGAGGCCTGTGGTCATTTGATAATATATTGTGCATCCTTTCCCATATCTGTATTTCTTTGCAGCAAAATTATTTGTTGATAGTCAGTGAAAAAAATCACTCTGAGTACACTGGAAATTCATCAAACACAAGTGGCTATGAATTGCTATGAACACAGCAATAACAAGTATCCGAGAGGAGGCTTGTGAAGCATCTCGTATGTTTCATCTGTTTATGCACTTAATTTAATCCTAAGCATCTCGTATGTTTCATCTGTTTATGCACTTAATTTAATCCTAAGCATCTCGTATGTTTCATCTGTTTATGCACTTAATTTAATCCTCCCAACGAAACTGTGACATAAATAACATCATCCCCATTCCAGATGAGGAAACTGAGGCCCAGGAGAGTCATGGGATGTGTCCAAGGCCTCCCAGATGGTCAGTGGAAGATCTGAGATTCAAACCTATGTCAATTTGTCTTTGAAACATTGGCTACCGCCTTCCATGACCTTAAATTCCCACATTCCCAACTAGTCTGGATTAAACACCCGGAAGGTACGTCCTCATCCTCCCCTCCCACCACCCTGGGCTGGGAAGAGTCATGTAGTTTAGGGCTGGGCCACCAGGAGGCGCTAGGGACAGACACATTTCTTGCCTGTTGTATGGGGCTGGGAGCAGGCTGGGGCCAGGCACCCTGGGACGGGGCACTACTTGGGGCCTGATGATCCTGAGGGCTGAGGTGGCTCAGGCCAGAGGGAATGGCTCCTGCCACGTCTAGAGGGAATCACCTCTGGCAGCCTTCAGGGACTCCTAGATATCTGGCCATAGCTCAGCCCCTCTGGGGACTTGGACTCCTGTAGATCCGGGTTCCTCAGCCTCAGCACGTAGTACACGGGGCGGAGTACACGGGGCAGCAGAATCTTTTGCTGATCTGTCCTGAGCCTTGCAGGCTGTTCACAGTCTCCCTGGCCTCTACCCATAAGATGTTGGTAGCCCCTCCCCACCCAAGTTGTGACAACCCCAGATGTCTCTAGACATTGCCAAATGTCCCCTGGGGGGCACAGTTGACCTTGGTTGAGAACCGCTGCTGTGGACGCTCAGGGTAGGCAGATCACACACATGACGGGAGCCAGCCCTGTGTAAGATAATAGCAGCTCACACCTAGAGAGCCCCACGGAGAGAAAATCATTGACACTCTATGAGGTGGGGACTGACACCACCTCTGCTTTACACATGAGGAAACTGAGGCCAGAAACGTTCAGTGACTTGCACGAGGCCACACAGCCGGTATGTAGCACAGCCGGGGGTTGAACCCAGGCCATCAGGCTCTAGCATCTGTGCCCCTAACCACTCAGGCAAGATGCATTGCTGGTCCATCGAATCCACAGGAGTGTTCTCCATGGCCACAAAGAAATACTTCTCTCCCAATTTCCTCTTTACCTAAGTTCATTTTCCACTTTTGACCAAGAGCCACCTGTAAGAGATTTTTCATTTTCCTTGTAATGGTACTGAGAAAAACACCAGCCCAAACTGCCATGATAAATGGCAGTGGACACAACCCCAATAGCAGGACTGCATTGTGGAGCAGTGGGGACCGTGAGCACTCAGAGGCTCAGCCCCGTCAGTCCTGGTATATTATTTCCTGGTATGGGTGCCGGCCCAATTTTGCAGGAGAAATCAGAAATCTAGATTTTTAATGTGAAATTTCCTAATTTTAAAATAATGACAATTCAAAAAATTAAAAACCCTGTGAAGATCAAACAAAATATGTCTGCAGCCCAATTTACCCTGATAACTGCCAGTTTGCAATCTTTCCAAAGGGCACATTCAATGTCCAGGAACAAACCCTGAAAGGTGAAACCCTCTTAGTGCCCTCTGCCTTTCATCATTATTTATTTAGTTAGTTCTTTTTGTATTCAGTCACCCATTTATTTTATGCATGCATTCCACCCACCCAGTCATCCACTAATTCATTAATTTGCCCATCTGTTCATTCATCCCTCCATCCATCATCCATCCTTCACCCACCCAACCATCCATCCATTCATCCATCCACCCATCTATCTGTTCATCCATCTCTCCAGCCATCATCTATCTCTCATCCATCCATCCATCCATCCTTCCTTCCATCCATCCATCCATCCTTCCATCCATCTGTTCATCCTTCCATCCATCCACCGACCCATCCATTCATCCACCCATCCATCCATTCATCCATCCCTCCATCCATCATCCATCTCTCACCCATCCATCCATCCTTCCATCCACCCACCCATCCATCCATTCATCCATCCCTCCACTCATTATCCATCTCTCACCCATCCATCCATCCATCCATCCTTCCATCCATCCATCCACCCATTTATCATCCACTCACCCATTCATCCATCCATCCATCCATCCATCCATCCTTCCTTCCATCCATCCATCCACCCATTTATCATCCACCCACCCATTCATCCATCCATTCTTCCAGCCTTCCATTTGTTAACATCTACTTTAGTGGAAATGGAAAAAAAGATGACAAATCACAGACATCACAGACAAGGATAAAACCAAATGGTGTTAAAATCTGCGTGTGTGTGTGTGTGTGTGTGTATCTCACTGTCACCCAGACTGGAGTGCAGTGGCACCATCATGACTCACAGCAGCTTCAACCTCCAGGGCTCAAGAGATCCTCCTGCTTTAGCCTCTTGAGTAGCTGGGAGTATAGGTGCATGCCACCATGCCCAGCTAATTTTTTAATTTTTGTAGAGATGAGCTATCACTATGTTGCCCAAGTTGGTCTTGAACTCCTGGACTCAAGCAATCCTCACGACTTGGCCTCCCAAAACTTTGGGATTATAGGCCTGAGCCACCACATCCAGCCCAAATGGTATTAAGTTCAGACTCTGTCATTGATCAACTGGGCAACCTTGGGCAAATTATTACACCTTTTGAGCCTCAGTTTCCCCGTCTGTGAAATGGGGCTAACAGTAGTACCTTACTGCTTGCAGGCAGGTCTTCAGGGTTAGGCAGGTGAGGCGAGGTAACATACGCGAGTAGGGGGCAGGTGGTGAGGCCCTTTTTTTTTTTTTTTTGAGGCAGAGTCTCGCTCTGTCGCCCAGGCTGGAGTGCAGTGCCACGATCTCGGCTCACTGCAAGCTCCGCCTCCTGGGTTCACGCCATTCTCCCTCAGCCTCCTGAGTAGCTGGGACTACAGGCGCCCGCCATCATGCCCGGCTAATTTTTTTGTATTTTTAGTAGAGACGGGGTTTCACCGTGTTAGCCAGGATGGTCTCATTCTCCTGACCTCATGATCCGTCTGTCTCGGCCTCCCAAAGTGCTGGGATTACAGGCGTGAGCCACCGCGCCCGGACAAGGCCCTTTCTTTACAGACGCTGCCGTGCGACACGTGTTACGCTGCAGGGAAACACAGGGCCGTGGCATTAGGCAGGGTTGCTAGCTCCATCTTGGGGTCTGGGGAGTGGGGGCATGTCTTGCCATGCCCAGAGTTGGGAGAGGAGTTGCTTTGTTATTAGTTGCCACAACTTCCCCTGGTCAAGCTGACACCCTACCCCCGCCCGGCACACGATGGTTTTCCTGCTCTTGCTTAACTTCTAAAGGGCAGCTCTTTCTCTGTCCACCCCGCCACACCCCACCTACCCCACCCCCTGCCCCAGTTTGTGGGAAAACTCTATGGAACAGAAAGGGCTTGCGGGTTCCTTCTCTAGATTCTTTGTTATTTTTTTTCCCATTTAAATTGAAACCATGCTTATTAAAGAAGAGTAGAAAAAAACACATCAAACAAGAAAGAAGAAAAATTATTTTTTTGTCCCATCCTTCTAACAAAACCACACTAAACGGTCTGTTTCTTTCTTTTCCCCAAGCCAGGGTATTGGACTGTGTGTGTGTGTGTGTGTGTGTGTGTGTGTGTGTGTGTGTGTGTGTTACATAGTTGTAAATCACTCTTTACTGTTGTGTTTTAAAAAAATTTTTCCGTTGCAGATGATCCTCGACTAACAATGGTTCATTTTAGGACTTTTCGTGTTTATTATGGTACGAAAGAGATAGGCATTTGATAGAAATCATACTTGGAATTTTGAACTTTAATCTTTTATCAGTTTAGCAATACAGAGTACAATAATTTTACATGAAATACTCAACACTTTATTATAAAATAGGCTTTGTGTTAGATGATTTTGCCCAACGTAGGTGAGTGTAAACGTTTCGAGCACCTTTAAGGGAGGCGAGGCGAAGCTATGATGATGTTCCGTAGGTTGGGTGCACTAAATGCACTTTTGACTTAATGATATTTTCAACTTGCAGTGGGTTTATCAGGCTGCAGCCCCATCCCAAGTCGAGGAGCATCTGAATTAACTAAGCCTTCCCCCCCATTGCTCATTTTCATGAGCATATTTGAAGGGCTGCACTGATTTAGCATGCAAATGTGAAGTGAGCACCTGCTGTGTTCTGTGGGAGAGAGAACAAGTGTAATGGCACAGCCAACATTTACTGAGTGCAAAGTTGGTGCCAGATGTCTTTCTAAGTACTTGTATTAAACTGCTTCTTCCTCACAACCACCCTGTGAGGTAGATGCCATCACTATGCCCTTTTTCCAGATGGCAAAACTGAGGCCCAAGGTTGCACAGCTAAGAGGCGGAGCTAGCATTTGAATCCAGCAGGGTCATCCACAGGGCTGGGTTCTGGCCATGCTGGGCTACCTTGGGCCACCCGCAAACAAGTAACCCCAGAGTGACTGAAGCAGGGATGAGGAATGTACAGGAGCATGTGATAGCCCCAAGACCATCCAGGGACATCAAGGAAGGCTTCCTGGACGAGAAGGTGACATCTCAGCTGAGAGCTGAGAGCTGAGTGGGAGGTGGGAGGTGAGGGCGCTGCCAGCAGAGGGAGCAGCCATGCAGGGACCCCAGGTAGACATGGGCACCAAGTGTTGCCAAGCTGGCACCACTGACCCTGCTGGTAGAGGTGGGCAGGGAAGATCACGCAGAGGCCATGGTCCCAGGAGCCCTGAGAAACCATGGCAGGCCCCAAAGCATTTTAAGCTGGGACGAGGCATGACTGGGGAGGCCTTCCCCCTCCAGGGTGAGCAGTGCCCCTGCTCTGCCCCCACAGCCTGGCCATTCTCCATTGTAGTCCCCTGCACCCTGGCCAGTTTTTGCCTATTTATCCTCTCTCTTCCCTCCTCAACTGAAGAAAGTTCTAGAGGGTGGGAATCCAAACTGATTTGTTCACTTCTGTGGCCTAGATCAGAGCGGGGCAGTTACAATCCCCGGCCTGAGACGACTGGACATCACTCGGTGACGCTGTGTGGAGATGGTGCCAGTTCTGTCTGCCACGGCCTTGGAGGCAGGGCCCCTCCTGTGACCCTCGGCTCCTTGGGGCTCCACGGGATGTGTCTTCAGGTTTGCCAGGACTTTGCTCCAACTTGCCCGTGGCGTCCTGTTTGGTTTAGGAGAGGCCCCGGCAAATACTGAGCCCATGTTGCGCCTCTTGGCACTGTTCTCAAAGGCCCAGAGAAGTGGGTCTGTGTGGGGCCAGCTTCCCACTTCCTTCCGGTTCCCAAACCCATCTGGAGCCCAACGCAATTCAGCTTCCTCCTCCAGCCACACCGCCTGCTCCCACAGCTGGAGACAGGAGAGACTTGGGGCTGTGGCCCCTCCCTTACTGGGGCTGAGGGCCCCGGGGTCACTGTTTACCCCTGGCCCCCACAGCCAAGCCTGCTATCTTATCAGCTCAAACACTTCAGAGTTCAGGCCAAGAAGCCAAAGTCAATTTTGAAAAAGTCTTTAAAAGGCCAAAACACAAACACCAGCAAGGGCGGGATGGGCCGAGGGGTGAAGATGAGGTTGGGGAGGGGTAAACTCTCGGGTTGCTTTACCAGATTCAAAAGGAATCAGTGATTTTCCTGGGCCCAAAGGTGCATCCAAGGACCATCACTGCAGCACTGCCTGCAGAAGCAAAAGACCAGAGCTGCCTGAGGTGTCCGTCAGTATTCTATGGTTTTTAAAAAGAATGACTGTAGTCGCAGCTAGTAGGGAGGCTGAAGTGGGAGGATTTCTTGAACCCGGGACTTAGAGGCTGCAGTGATCTAAGATCATGCCACTGCACTCCAGCCTGGGTAACAGAGCAAAACCCTGTCTCAAAAAAAAAAAAAAAAATGGCCAGACACGGTGGCTCACACCTGTAATCCCAGCATTTTGGGAGGCAGAGGTGGACAGATCACCTGAGGTCAGGAGTTTGAGACCAGCCTGGCCAACATGGTGAAACCCTGCCTCTACTAAAAGTACAAAAATTAGCTGGGCGTGGTGGTGCACGCCTGTAATGCCAGCTACTCAAGAGGCTGAGGTAGGAGAATCACTTGAACCTGGGAGGCAGAGGTTGCAATGAGCCGAGATCAGGCCACTGCACTCCACCCTGGGTGACAAGAGCAAATCTTCGTCTTAAAAGAAGAGAGAGAGAGAGAAGGAGAGAGAGAGACCAGTTACTCTCTGAGCTCTTGATGCGTACACCTTTCTGTGCAACTAAAACATACACATACAATGTGTGGTATGGAAACAGCTCCAAGATCAATTATAAAGAAGAAAAAAGAAAAAGCAAAGATATAAAGCAGTGTATTGAACTAGATCCTTTCTGTGTAAACGGGAAAGATGAAGATATAGCCCACATGCCTGTTTCTGCACAGAACAGTTCTGGAAGCGCTTACTAGGTACCTGGAAACACTAATCGGCTCTAGAGCAGTAGTCAGAGGGAGACAGACTTCTCTTTGTACACTCTGTACCTTTTGACCATCTTAAAACCATGTTGGCCAGGCGTGGGGGCTCACACCTGTAATCCCAACACTTTGGGAGGCCAAGGTGGGCAGATTACCTGAGGTCAGGAGTTTGAGACCAGCCTAACCAACATGGTGAAACCCCATCTCTACTAAAAATACAAACATTAGCAGGGCTCGGTGGTGTATGCCTATAATCCCAGCTACTAAGGAAGCTGAGGTAGGAGAATCTCTTGAACCTGGGAGACAGAGATTGCAGTGAGCCGAGATCATGCCACTGCACTCCAGCCTAGGTAACAGAGTAAGACTCCGTCTCAAAAAAAAAAAAAAAGAAAATCTCTATATATAGAAATAAACTACTAAGAATATTAGTGACTTTGTTCCAGCCAAATGGCCAATAACAAAAGGTGCAAATAGCAAAAGGTGGAGGTGGGGGGCGGGTGGTTGCAAGCGGTATAGTGACTTTCAGTGTAGATGAAATTATGGAAGACGCAGCTCACGAAGCATCTTGGGCCTATCTAGATTCTTCTCAGTAGAGTTAACCACATTCAAACAGAGCTTTCAAAGTTTCCTCATTCTTATAAACCTGGCTGTTTAAAACGTACTTTCGAAACTTCCCGAGAATTCCATAAAGTAGAATCAGATCGCTGTATAGATTGATTGGTTAATTGAACAAATACACATTGTTTTATGTGATGGAGGTGTAGCAATGAACAAGACAATCATGATTCCTCATGTCCTAGAGTCCATGGGTCTAGAGGGAGTGCCAAGCAGATAACAAGTAAAGAGCAACAACAATGCAAGAAACAAATATGACCATTTCAGAACCTAAGAGGCACTGGGAAGAAACTGAGGCCAGGGAATGGAACTGATGATGGCTGGTGTGGATAGTGGTCAGTGAGGGGCTCTCCTCTCTGAGAAGGTAACCTTTGAACTGAGACATGAAGGAGGAAAAGGAACCAACCACAAGAAAATCAGGGAAAGGGTAATTCCAGGCAGCAGGAATAGCTAGGGCAAAAGCCCTGAGGCCACATTGAGCTTTGCTGTGATAGGAACAAGAATGGTGGCCAGTGTGGTGTGGGCTTAGAGAGACAGCCAGAGAAGAACGGAAGAGCCAGATGGAGAGGCGAGCAGTGGCTGCTTCTGTGATCTTGTGGGCTTGGTACAGAGTCCAGATGAGGAAACTGAGGCTCAGAGAGGTTAAGTAACTTGCCCAAGGTCACACATTTAATGATGGCTGAACCAGGATTCAGACTTGGGTTCCCAACTTCATACCCAGTCCTCTCAACACTCACCTCTGCCCATATGTGGCAAAAGCATTAAACATGTATTTCCAGACAGGACAGCCTGCGCTCTAAGAACACTGTGTGTGTGTGTGTGTGTGTGTGTGTGTGTGTGTGTGTGTGTGTGCGCGCGCGCGCGCGCACGCATGCATCTGCGTGTGTTTGTATGTGTGTTTTAATTGCAAGGAAAAGTACACACATTATACATAAAGAGCTCAGTGAATTCTCGCCAAGTGGACACATTCGTGGAATGAGCACCCAGATGTACACAGGACATTCCAGAAGCCCCCTTGATGTCTCTCCTGGTAAATCCTCCCCACCACCACCCCCAAGGTTAATGGCTGTCCTGAATTCTAACCCCATAGATGACTTTTGCTGGTTTTGAACTTTCTATAAAGGGAAGCACACAGTGTGTGCTCTTCCCATCTGGCTTCTTTTGCTCAGCATCCTGACTGCACAGCTTGTAGAGTTCCAGTCGACTTTGACTGCCACTCAGCAAGAGCGCAGGTGGACTCCCAGAGCGCTTCCTTCCCATGAAGGCCAGGAGAAAGCCACTTGCCCAAAAGCAGTTCAAAGTACGTTGTTACGTGAAAAAGTCAGGTACAAAACCATCTGCATAGCTCAATCCCATTTTTGGAAGGGATAAAAAAGGTCTCTTTTTATGCAGAATCAAAAATGATCCTGAAAAATATGTTAAATTTCCTCTCAACCGTGGTGCATTATAAACACTTAGCAAATCCAAATAGCCCCTGGATGGAGAGGGGTCATCTTGTGTTTGGGGCCATGTTGAACAAAAAATAGGACCTGCCAGCTACACTCACTTGCCATATGAAAATTGTCATTCTCAGCCGGGCTTGGTGGCTCACGCCTGTAAATCCCAGCACTTTGGGAGGCTGAGGCGGGCAGGTAACTTGAGGCCAGGAGTTTGAGATCTGCCTGGCCAACATGGTGAAACCCCATCTCTACTAAAAATACAAAAATTAGCCAGGCGTGATGGTGCTCACTTGTAATCCCAGCTACTCTGGAGGCTGAGGCAGGAGAATCACTCAAACTCGGGAGGCAGAGGTTTCAGTAAACCAAGATTGCACCACTGCACTGCAGCCTGGCCAACAGAGCAAGACTCTCTCAAAAAAAAAAAAAAAGAAAAAGAAAAGAAACGAAAAAATAAAGATTGTCACTCTCCCCATCACCCTTTTTGGCCCACTGATGCCCAGTGAAATTGCGTGAGTTAAATGCCTGGTAGATACAATTCTACAAGATTCAAGTGTTATGTGGAGGTTTTTCCTGCGTAGTGGGGATGGCAGGTGGATTTTTTGTGTTTCTTATCTATTTATTCTAACCTTTCTTCCTTCCTTCCTTCCTTCCTTCCTTCCTTCCTTCCTTCCTTCCTTTCCTTCCTTCCTTCCTTCCTTCCTTCCTTCCTTCCTTCCTTCTTTCTTTTTCTTTCTTTCTTTCTTTCTTTCTCTTTCTTTCTTTGAGAGATAGGCTCTCACTCTGTCGGCCAGACTGGAGTGTAATGCCGCAATCTTGGCTCACTGCAACCTCCGCCTCCCAGACTCAAGCCATCCTCTCACCTCAGCCTCCCAAGTAGCTAGGACTACAGGCACATGCCACCGTGCCCGGCTAATTTTTGTATTTGTTTTGTAGAGATGGGGTTTCACCACGATGCTCAGGCTGGTTTCAAACTCTGGGATTCAAATGATCTGCCCACCTTGGCCTCCCAAGGTGCTGGGATTACAGCTGAGGGTCACCACGCCCAGCCTTACTCTAACTAGCAAAAAATAAGAACAAGAATTCATATATACTAAATAAGAACTGCAGCAGCAGCAGCAGCAATAAACTGGCAAAACAAAAAGAAAGCATTTCTGTCTCCGTTTATGTGCTTCCAGAAGGTCAGCTAGAGAAAGGGCACGTCACCCCGATGCACTGAGTCGATTGCACAAGAAAGGGAGTGCCGACTCCTCCACATCCAGGGGATCATCCAGCCTATATGTGGTTTAAGGGGCAGCCTCAAAGCCAGAAGGACTCGGGTTCAAACCCGAGCATTGCCCCTTACCAGCTGTGGCTCGGTTACTCCTCCTGCATAACAAACCCACCCCAGAACACAGCGGTGTAAAGCAGCCATTCTACTCGCCTGGAATGATATCTCTCAGATCCTGTGGTCAGGAATGCAGACAGGGCACAGCAGGACAGCTTGTCTCTGCTCCACAGTGTCTGGGGCCTCGGCTGGGACAGCCTGAAGGCTGAGGGCGACTTGGTGGCTGGGGTGCTGGCCTCGGTCGGAGAGTCTTCACTTGCGTGTCTGGCAGCTGCTACCGCAGCTGGGCCATCAGAAAGACACCTGTGTGTGACTTCTTCGTGTGGTCTCTTCACTTGGGCTGGTTTGGGTTTCCTCACAACATGGTGGGAAGGGGGAGTGACTGCTAATGGGTGTGAGGTTCCTTTCGGGGGCAATGCAAGTGTTCTAAAATTAGGTAGTGGTGATGATTGCACAACTCTGTGAATACACCAAAACCCACTGGATTGTGTACTTTAAAAGGGTGAGTTTTATGGTATGTGAATTATATCTCAATAAAGCTGGGGGGGTTTTTTTTTACAAAAAAAAAGAAGCAGAAACAGATCATGAGGATGAGAGATGATGCTGTAAGCATCTTAAGACAACACGATGCGCAGCTGGGTGCACTCCCTGTAATTCCAGCATTTTGGGAGGCCGAGGCAGGAAGATGGCTTGAGCCCAGGAGGCTGCAGTGAGCTATGATCTTGCCACTGGACTCCAGCCTGGGCAACAGAGCAAGAAAAAAAAAAAAAAAAAAACAGAAAACACAATTTGCCACACTGTGTGAGGCACTATCTTTCTATGCCTCAGTTTCTTCTTCTGTAAAATGGGACTATTTAATAATCAAATGAACTCATAGGGTCTTTCAGGGTGAAGAAAGGTAATTCTGAGCCTAGTAGCTGGCACATAGTGAGTGCTCAGGAAATGTTATTATTTCAAACAATAAAATGCCATAAGGCAGCAGTGTGTAGAGTTAATTAAAACAACAGGTTTTAGAGCCAACCCACAAATTTGAATCTAGCTTTCTCAGTGGTTAGTTACTTAACCACTCTAGATCTGTTTCATTATCTGTAAAATGGAGTTAACATAGTACCTGCCTCATACACTGTGACAATCAAATGAGTTAATAGCACGAAGGGCTTGGAACGGTGCCTATGTGCAATACAGCACAGTACACAGTAGGTACTACATAGTTGCTGACTGTTATTGCTTCTGGCATTTCCCTGGCTTCCTGGCGCTGCTTAGGTGGTGTGGATCCATTGGAAGCGTTTGTGTAATAGTAATAACAACAATGATGCTAACAGCTGGCCCTTATCCACTGTCACAGGATGAGGAGGGGATGCTGGGCACCCCCTCATACCAGCCACCAGGGAATTCCACACAGGAGCTGGGCTGGCTGCAGAGGGCTGAGTGGTAGACCCCAGGGGAAGGTGAGGCATTCAGCCGGAGGGGACTGGATTCCCAGAGGAGCAGAGGAGCAGAGGATCCTGGGGCCACTGAGGGGCTCACAGGGCTGCGGGGAAGGGAGCTATAGGCTGGAGCAGAGAGCAGGAAAGATGGGCAGAGGCCAGACAGCCAAGAAGCTTGCAGCCTGGACTGTGCCCTGAGATTCTTGGATGCTCTTTCGTTTTCTTACTGAAAATACTGGAAAAAACAGCCTTGTCCCATCTTAGGACAAACGTGTTTCTCTCTTCCTTCTTGGCCTCTGCGGGGGTGACTCTCTTCCAGCTATCCTCTCATTCCCTCCTAAGGTTCATAGCAACACCTAACACGGACAGCTTCGAAGATCCCTGAATGGTGCTAAAGGCTTTTTGCCGTAGGCTTCCCAGATTCTCACAACAGCCCTACAGAGGTTATGTAGAGAGACCCATTTTATAGAAGAGGATACTGGGGATGGAGGGAGGAGCCATTTGCACAGGTCATACACTAATGAGTGGCAGAAACAAAATCAATCTCTGACGCCTTCTCTCATTCTTTCTACAAGTCCCACTGATGGACTACTCTGCTCCAGGCATAGTTAGACTCGGGGATACAGCAGTGAACGAGAGAAATCATTGCTGGCCAGGCGCGGTGGCTCATGCCTGTAATCTCAGCACTTTGGGAGGGTTAGGTGGGCAGATCGCTTGAGGCCAGGAGTTCGAGACCAGCCGGGCCAACATGGTGAAACCCCATGTCTACTAAAAAAAAAAAAAATTGCCAGGTGTGGTGGCTTACACCTGTAATCCCAGTTACTCAGGAGGCTAAAGCACTTGAACCCAGGAGGTGGAGGTTGCAGTGAGCCAAGATTGTGCCACTTCACTCCAGCCTGGGCAACAGAGTGAGACTCTGTTTAAAAAAAAAAAAGAGACATCACTGGTTCCCTCCTCAAGCTGATGCCCTACGGCAGGAGATAGACAACTCAACAACAAGAAAAAACGTCTCCTGTATATTGAGGCCAGGAAGTTCACTGTAGTGACCAACCCAGCAGAGCAAGGGAGGAGAATGTCAGGAATGTGGGCTGTTTCAGCAGCTTTAGCCCTGAGAAGGGAGGGAGGAAGCCTTGGGAATATCTGGGGGCGGCGTGTGCAGGGCAGAGGGAACAGCAAGTGCAAAGGCCCTGAGGTTGGATCATGCAAGCACAATGTGGCTGGAGGAGAGTGAGTGAGGGGAGTTTCTCCTAAGTGCCAAAAGGAGTTGGGAAACAGGCCAGGCATGTTGGCTCAGGCCTGTAATCCCAGCACTTTGGGAGGCCAAGGCCAGAGGATCACCTGAGGTCAGGAGTTTGAGATCAGCCTGGCCAATATGGTGAAACCCCGCCTCTATTAAAAATACAAAAATTAGCCAGGTATGGTGGTGCACACCTGTAGTCCCAGCTTCTTGGGAGGCTGAGGCAGAAAAATCGCTTGAACTTGGGAAGGGGAGTTTGCAGTGAGCC
The DNA here is from genome assembly GCF_000001405.40 of Homo sapiens. Taxonomy (NCBI): domain Eukaryota; kingdom Metazoa; phylum Chordata; class Mammalia; order Primates; family Hominidae; genus Homo; species Homo sapiens. The sequence continues at coordinate 50,448,535 of NC_000020.11, read as the reverse complement.
AAGATTGCACCATTGCACTCCAGCCTGGGCATCACAGTAAGACTCCGTCTCAAAAAAGAAAAAAAAGAAGAAGAAGGCCAGGCACGGTGGCTCATGCCTGTAATCCCAGCACTTTGGGAGGTCAAGGCGGGAGGATCACTTGAGGTCAGGGGTTCGAGACCAGCCTGACCAACATGGAGAAACTCCATCTCTACTAAAACTACAAAAATTAGCCAGGCATGGTGGCGCATGCCTGTAATCCCAGCTACTCAGGAGGCTGAGGCAGGAGAATCACTTGAACCTGGGAGAGGGAGGTTTTGGTGAGCCGAGATCGTGCCATTGCACTCCAGCCTGGGCAACAAGATCGAAACTCTGTCTCAAAAAAAAAAAAAAAAAAAAAGAGCCGGGAAACACAGTATGTCCAGACTCCAACCTCTTGTCACCACCTCCATAGCCACCGCCCTGTCCTGCCACTGCCACCCTGCACCCGGACCACTGCAGTGGGTCCTTGCTGGCCTCTTAGCTTCCACCTTTCTCCTCCATCCCACCCCACCCGCTTCGCACACACAGTCCAGTCTCCACATGTAGCTAGAGGGAGTCTATCACCCATACAACCACATTGCCTCTGCTCAGAATCCTCCACGGCTCCCACCTCACTTAGAGTAAAAGCCAAAGATCCTATGAGGCCCTGCAAGATTGATACCTCATCCCCTCTCTGACCTCATTTCCACCCCCTTCCCCTCACTCACTCTTCTCCAGCTGCACTGGCCTTCTTGCTGCTTCACAGACACACAAGGAGCAGTCCTGCCCCAGGACCTTTGCACTTGCTGTTCTTGCTGGCTGGACTGTTCTTTCCACAGATATCCTGAAGGCTTGCTGTCCTTACCAGCTTCAGATCTTTGCTCAAATGTACCTTCCTCCTAAGGCCTTCCTTGACCACACCCAGCATGCCTTCTCCACCTTTGCAGCACTATTTTCACTGTCAGCAGAACTTACCACCCTCTGGAATTTATGCTTTTCCTTCTTTTTCTTCATTGCCTCACCAGCCAGAATATAAGTTGCATGAAGGAGGAATTTGTGTCAGTTTTGTTTGCAGCTTTCTGGCACATAGTAAGTGCTCAATAAATCTTGGTTGAGTGAATGAAGTACAAATGAAAAAAAGAATTGAGTGAAGTGGTCCTGATGGAGGGCGACAGGGAGTGGTGGGGACTGTGGCAAACGGGGAGCCCTTGCCCCATCTGGAAGGAGCAACTACCGTTTGACGGCAGCCTGAAGTTTCCACGTGGGAATGTGGGCTCAGGGCGGCCAGAGAGCCAAGAGTTTCAAGGGAAGCCAGAAACTCCTGCATTTACATGAAATGTCTTGATTTTGAAACCACTGCTGACCAAAAATCCACATCTTCCATGTTCTTAGGTGGGAGACTGCTGTTTGAGGCCTCCAACCTGGGTCAAAATGCTTGCAGTGGGTTTCATGGAATCCCAAGATATCTGGGAAAGCTGACTGGGGTTACAAGAGAGGAGTCTCGTAAGTGGAGTCAGCCTTTGAGTGTTTCTGTGAAATAAGTGTCATTTTCATTGTGAGGTTCTGGAAATGATTTTATTTCCGGGTGAGCTTCCTGCTCTTGTTTCAACTTTCAATCCTACTCTCCTATTCCTGCCAGGCCTGGGCATTTTTCTTCCACTCTGGAGAAAAAAATCAAAAGTAAATATTGGCAGAAGATTGGCTTTATTGTGGTCCTGATAAGGAATAGCATAAAACGGAAAGAGTGAGATTTTATTCCCCTCCCACAACTTCCACTCCGACCCTACTTCTTTAATATTTACTCACAAATTTCACTTCATAGAAACTCTTGGTGTTAGTTTTGTTACCAACAGGGCTGCCACATGGGGTGTGCCCTCACAACTCCAATGGCTCCATTCTACAAATGGCCCAATGAACGGCACCCGCTGAAGTTGTGCTGTGATTGCCTGTGAAGTCACGCGTCCCTTAATGACAGGGCTATGTTTTGAGAAGTGTGTTGTTAGGTGATTTCGTCATGACGAGAACATCGGAGTGTACTCACACAAGCCTAGATGGCATAGCCTACTACACACCCAGGCTACACGGTGGAGCCTGTGGCTCCCGGGCTGCAAACCTGTACAGCACGTGACTGTACTGAAAACTGTAGGCCAGCGGTCCCCAACCTTTTTGGCACCAGGGACCGGTTTCGTGGAAGAAATTTTTTTCCAAAAACCAGTGTGAGGGGGATGGTTCCGGGACGATTCAGGTGCATTACATTTATTGTGTGCTTTATTTCTACAATTATTACAGTGTAATATATAACGAAATAATTATACAACTCACCTTCACGTAGAATCAGTGAGAGCCCTAAGCTTGTTTTCCTGCAACTAGACGATCCCATCTGAGGGTGATGGGAGACAGCGACAGATCATCAGGCGTTAGATTCTCATAAGAAGCACACAATCAAGATCCCTCACATGGGCAGTTCACAATAGGGTTCGAGCTCCTATGAGAATCTAATGGCACCACCAGTCTGACAGGAGGTGGAGCTCAGGTGGTAATGCGAGTGATGGGAAGTGGCTGTCAATACAGATGAAGCTTTGCTCACTCACCTGTCACTCACCTCCTGCCGTGCAGCCCAGTTCCTAATAGGCCACGGACTGGTACCTTGGAGGGTTGGGGACCCCTGCTGTAGGCAATGGTAACACAATGGGAAGTATCTGTCTCTAAACATACCTAAACGTAGAGAGCATACAGTACAAATACCGCCTTACAGTCTTACAGGACCACGGTCGTATATGTGGTCCATCATTGACCAATGTCATTATGTGATGCATGACTGTGTATATTTGTTTATAGCGTCTCATTTTTATTGTCTGTGGCATAGTAATCCTTTGGCAAATGTTTTCTGCTTTGTAAAAGTAACACAAGCATGTGGAGAAAAACTCAAGCAGTGTAAAAGGCCATGTCGTGCAAAATATCTTCCTTCTCATTTCCTCTGACATTTCCCAGTTCCCCTCTTCAGAAGCACCTCTTGTTGCCAGTTGTTAGTGTGTCCTTTTAGAGATATAAACAAATATCTGTCTCTCTCTCCCCGCTTCTCTCTCCAGTTGTCCCTGGTATCCTTGGGGATTGATTCTAGGACCTTCCACAGATATCACAATCTTTAGATGCTTGAGTCCCTTATGTAAAATAAAGTAACATTTGTATATAACTTAGGCACATCCCCCTGTACACTTCAAATCATCTCTAGATTATTTATAATATGTAATGCAATGTAAATCCAATGTAAATAGTGGTTTTAATGTATTGTTTAGTGAATAATGACAAGAAAAAGTCTGTACATGCTTAGTACAGACACATTTCTTCTTTGAATATATATATATATATATTTTTTTTTTTTTTTTTGAGACAGTCTTACTCGGTCACCCAGGCTGGAGTGCAGTGGCAAGCTCTCGGCTCACTGCAACCTCTGCCTCCCAGGTTCAAGTGATTCTCCTGCCTGAGCCTCCTGAATAGCTGGGATTACAGGCGTGTGCCACCACACTGACTAATTTTTTATATTTTTGGTAGAGATGGGGTTTCACCATGTTGGCCAAGCTGGTCTCGAACTCCTAACCTCAGGTGATCCACCACTTTGGTCTCCCAAAGTGCTGGGATTACGGGCATGAGCCACTGTGCCCGGCCTCTTTGATTTTTTTTTTTTTTTTTTTAGACAGAGTCTCGCTCTGTAGCCCAGGCTGGAGCTCGGCTCACTGCAACCTCTGCCTCCCGGGTCCCGGTTCAAGCAATTCTCCTGCCTCAGCCTCCCAAGTAGCTGAAATTACAGGCACATGCCACCGTGTATTTTTAGTAGAGACGGGGTTTCACCATGTTGCCCAGGCTGGTCTTGAACCCCTGACCTCATGATCCACCAGCATCGGCCTCCCAAAGTGCTGGGATTACAGCCACCACGCCCAGCGTCTTTGAATGTTTTTGATCCATGACTGGTTGAATCTACGGATGGGTGGAACCCATGGGTATGGAGAGCCAGCTGTACACACACAGACACACACACACACACACACACGCACGTGCACACACGCACGTGTAGCATGCCTCTCTATACTTCTGGTGTTTCTCTACAATTTTGTTATGCATCAGAGGTTTATAGATGGATTGGCAAATTATCGTCCTCAAGCCAAATCTGTCTCACTATTCTGTATGGCCTGCAAGCTACGAATGGTTTTTACTTTTTTTTTTTGACACAGAATTTCACTCCTGTTACCAAGGCTGGAGTACAATGGCGCAATCTGGGCTCACTGCAACCTCCCCTTCCTGGGTTCAAGTGATTCTCCTGCCTCAGCCTCACAAGTAGCTGGGATTACAGGCATGCACCCCAACACCCAGCTAATTTTTTGTATTTAGTAGAGACGGGGTTTCACCATGTTGGTCAGGCTGGTCTCAAACTCCTGAACTCAGGAGATCCACCCACCTCAGCCTCCCAAAGTGCTGGGATTACAGGCATGAGCCACCATGCCCGGCTGGTTTTTACATTTTTAAATGATTTTTAAAATTTGAAAGAAAGGCCAGGCACGGTGTCTCATGCCTATAGTCTCAACACTTTGGAAGGCTGAGGCGGGCAGATCACTTGAGCCTAGCAGTTTGAGCCCAGCCTGGGCAACATAAGGAGACTCCATCTCTACAAAAAATACAAAAATTGGCTGGGGGTGGTGGCACATGCCTATAGTCCCAGCTACACAGGAGGCTGAGGCAGGAGGATCACCTGAGCCCAGGGAGGTTGAGGCTGCAGTGAGCTGTGATGGTACAGCTGCACTCTGGCCTGGGTGACAGAGTGAGACCCCGTCTCAAAACAAAACAAAATTGAGGCCAGGTGTAGTGGCTCACACCTGTAATCCCAGCGCTTTAGGAGGCCGAGGCAGGCAAATCACTTGAGGTCAGGAGTTTGAGACCAGCCCGGCCAACATGGCGAAACCCTGTCTCTACTAAAAATGCAAAAATTAGCTGGGTGTGGTGGCTGCATGCCTATAGTCCCAGCTACTCGGGAGGCTGAAGCACGAGAATTACTTGAACCCAGGAGGCGGAGGTTGCAGTGAGCCAAGATCACGCCACTGCACTCCAGCCTGTGATACACAGTGAGACTCTGTCTCAAAAAAAAAAAAAAAAGAAAGAAGAATGCTTTATGACACACAAAAATTATATGCAATGTACATCTGTGTCCATAGATAAAGTTTTATTGATACACAGCCCAGCTGCTTTGTGCGCTATCTATGATTGCTTTCATGCCACGATGGCAGAGCTGAGCAGCTGCAACAGAGACAGTACGGCTTGCAATGCCCAAAGGATTTTCTATGCAGCCCTTTACAGAAAAAGTCTGCAGATATGGTTCTGTACCTCGCACATATTGTTCTGTACCTTGCTGTTCTCGCATCACGATAGATCCCAGGCGCCTTTTGCTATCGGCACATATTGAGCTACTTTATTTCTTTGAACAAAGGCTCTGACATATGTCCCTGTGTCACTGGGCCATTATTTATCCAGTTCTCATGACGGACTCCCAAACTCTTGTTTAAACGAAAAGATTTCATGTCTTAGGAACGTTTGAAAATTCCTCACAAGGACAAGAAATCTCAAGGAGTCATTCTGTTTATTATTTATATCTTGTTCTCTCAGAAATCGGATTTGTGGTGGCTTTCCAGAGGAGGGACAGACCCAATAAAACCCCATAAAACCATGAAGACAGAGGTGAAATACCAGGAAAGGCTTGGACTCGAGATGCCTGTCCTTCCCAGCTGAGGAAGCCTGGATTATATTTGAGCTCAAGGCTTTATTTGAATCATATTTGCAGATGATGCAAAAATCTTTGTGGGTGTTTATTTTCCTCAAGAGGGAGTTTGAAGGCAGAACGCCTCTGAGAAGTTGGAAAAAAGGCCAAGCAGGATAACATAGAACAGCGTTTCCTATCCTTACATTTGCCAAATCTTGAAGCAAATGATCTATTATTTACTTAATATTTTCTTTAACTTTTTTTTTTGCAAAAAACCTTAAATATAGTTGTTTTATAGTTGTTGTGGTTCTGATTGATGAGATAGCCATATATATGGTTTTGGTTCTTTTTTTTTCCTGAGACAGAGTCTCGCTTTGTCACCCAGGCTGGAGTGCAGTAGCACGATCTGGACTCATTCCACCCCCACCTCACAGGTTCAAGTGATTCTCCTGCCTCAACCTCCTGAGTAGCTGGAACTACAGACACCACCACCACGCCTGGCTAATTTTTGTATTTTTAGTAGAGATGGGTTTTCATCATGTTGGCCGGGCTGGTCTCGAACTCCTGACCTCAAGTGATCCGCCAGTCTTGGTCTCCCAAAGTGCTAGAATTACAGGTGTGAGCCACCACACCTGGCCTATATGTTTTTTTCAAATGCATTTAAATACTTAATAAATACTAAAATTATTTAAAAACACGCAACCACAACTTCATGTACCACCTACAATCATATTGCAAATCAACGTGGGTGTCTGTGCTAAACATTTTTAAATGCTGGGGTATCAGACACTGCGGGTTGCCTTGTCAACTGCCATTCCCCTCTCCTTTCCTGCTGAGAAAACCCTGACTTTCTGCAGCTGGCCATGTGCCTAGTCCTAGGGGAAAAACTGCATTTGCTTTACCCAGTCATAGCCACCCTGTTCTCCTGGACCTGCGATTGGCTCAGAGGTGGTCACGTGACCCAGTTTTGTCCAAAGGGAAACTAATCTGGGGGCTTCTGGGAAAGAGTTTACTCTATGACAAGAAAGAGGCACATAAAGAGAAACCTATTTGCCCCTTTCCTTCTCTGCCTGCTTTGGACATTGTTGTGTGAAGAGGTGATGCGTGAGCTGTGGCAGCCATCTGTGATGTGAAGACCAGACTGAGGACAAGTTGCTGACTTGCTGTTGACGGAGGAGAGGGAAAGTGCAAAGACTGTGGGTCCTTTATGACAACCTTAAGATGACAAATACACCATGAGGTCTCCAGTCTGTCCAGAAGTCTTTTAAACAAACAGTAAATGTAATTAGAGTCTAAACTGCTGTAGTGGAGCCTCTGAAGCTAGCTTAACAGACTCAACTGGCTTTGTGTTTTCGAGCTGCACTCCAGGGTCCAACACACTCATGTTCATATTCCAGCTCCACCAAATACTCCTGGCTCTGTTACCCAAGGAAAGTGACTTCACTTTTCTAAGCCCTTGTTTTCCAATCCATAAAACTGCAATAGTAATACTAGTTATCTCAGACAATGGCTTTTGAGAAACAACTTTTAAATTTATATAGAGCATTTAGAATATAGTAAGTGCTAACTGCTATCATCATCATCATGTCTTTAGTATTCATACAGTCCTTTTAAAATAGGGGGAAAGACAACATGGACAGAGACAGGAAGACAGGAAGTTGACAGCACCTAATTAAAGGTCACTAGCCAGGCACAAGATGAGCAGAAAATGATCTGAGTGTCAGAGCTGACCACAAGCTGCAGATGAATCAGCTTTGCAGTGAACAAGCTCCACGCAAGCCTGGAAGGCTGGATGACAAGCATGATAGGCGGACTCCTGGCTGTGAACCTTCTGTTCCGTGATGCATGACTCACACCTTTCCAGGAGCACTGGGTTTACATGTGGTTATCTCATCGTTTTAAAGGATGTGGGGAAGCTGTCCTGGGTCCAAAGGCATGGAGACAGTGACCCAGGGGCGATTTACGTAAGAGGCTGGAAAGATTCAGGGGCAAGGTCATCATCATCACTGCCTCCATGGGAAGTGTTTAATTTACAAAGCAGCTGTTGGCCATGCATACAGCAGCCCGAATGAAAGGAACGGACCACGAGGTTGTCTTGAGCGGAAAGAGCACTGGGTAGTGAGTCAGTAAACTCATGACTCCACCACGTGACACTGGGGAAGTTTTCTCTGCATTCCAGACCTCAGTATCTCCACGTGTGTGGTGGGAATCCAGAGCAACCTATGGTCCTGAGGAGGAGTGACAGGTAGAAATGCATTCAGCTGCAAGTAACTGGAAATCCACCTGACTGCCGCTCAGACCTGAAAGGGTTTATTTATAGCACCAAATAAAAAGTTCAGAGGGAGGCAATTCTCCATTCTTGTGCCTCAGCCTCCCCAGTAGCTGGGATTACAGGTGCATGCCACCACGCCCAGCAAATTTCTGTGTTTTTAGTAGAGACAGGGTTTTGCCATGTTGCCCAGGCTGGCCTTGAACTCCTGACCTCAACCGATCCACCTGCCTCAGACTCCCAAAGTGCTGGGATTACAGGTGTGAGCCACTGCACCCAGCCCTCAACTCCCAGATTTTACATGGATGTCTCATGGTCTGCTTTTGCCATAGCTGTTTGTTTTCCAGCCTGGAAACAGCTATACATCCACTTGTATAGTCAGGGTCTTTTGGTTGAAAGTGACAGAAACAAACCCAACTCAAAGTGACTTAAGAAAAAAAATAGTGTGTGTTTCTGTGAATGTTTTGGTTCATTTAAATGAAAAGACCTTCAGCTTCAGGAATGGCTGGATCCAGGTGTGCATCTGTTGTTTAGGAATCATGCTGTTTCCACTTCTTGGTTCTGTTTTCCTCCGTGTCAGTTAGGGTCACCTTATGTGGTGGCAAAAATAGTCCCCAGTATCCCCCAGCTTCCATTCTGCCAGATCGACAAGCCAAGTGAGCAGAAGCTGACTTTCTGTGTAGCCTCAGCACATGTCTAGGGGTTGACTGTGATTGGCCAGACTTGGGTCACATACCCATCTCAGACCAATCCCTGGGGCCGGGGGGATGGAATATGCTGACTTCCCAGGCCTCATTCATCCACCTCCTCTGGTTGGGGAGGCACATGGAGTGATAGTGGTGGAAGGGTGCTGTTACCGGAACATGGGGGAGGAACATTGGTCAGGTACAAACAGCAGCTGGCCATGGAACCAGCCTCTTGCCTGTCCTGCTGTATCTACTTCAAGACCTCCTTTGGACTTGCCTAGTACTCGATACATGCTTGTCAGTGAAAGAGCGATGCTACAAGTAGACGCAGGAAGGGCATGGTCTCAGGAACAATTTCCCAGGAGTAGTCAGGCAGCTTCTGATTTTTCACATCCTGCCCATTTTCCTTCTAATCTCATAGGCTGGCATCCATTCAGACTGCCAAGCCTCAGTGGCAGAGGGTGGCTGCTTCATGGGCTGTGTACCACGGTGGGCACCCGCCCACTGCAGGCCTGGGCAGAGGAAGGGTGAATCAAGAGTGGCTCACTCGGTCCTGTGGAAAGTGCACAGGAGGCTCCCACTGGGGAGATGATGAGCAGGAGCTGACACAGGCGGGTGTCACCCTCCTCTTTGCTCCTCATTGGCCACTCCTGCAGGCCACACTTTCACCCGGTTCTCTTTCTCACCAGGAACTTCCAAAGAATCCCCTTCATGCCTGAGTCATTGCTCAGGTGCCTGCGGGGACTGGCTGGCTGATGCTACAGAGGGAGGCAGTCTCAGGGGACCGACAGGCTCGGGCACACACGCTTTATCTATGGAGGCACCTGGAACTCACTGCAGCCATCATGGTCCTGTAAAAATGTGGGAGCCATGTAGCCAAACCTTCTGAATTTTTAAAACATATACTTTATTTTATTTTTTTTTAGATGGAGTCTCGCTCTGTTGCCCAGGATGGAGTGCAGTGGCGCCATCTCAGCTCACTGCAACCTCCACCTCCCAGGTTCAAGCAATTCTCTTGCCTCAGCCCCTGCTAGTAGCTGTCATTACAGGTGCGCACCACCAAGCACGGCTAATTTTTGTATTTTTAGTAGAGACCATGTTGGCCAGGCTGGTTTTGAACTCCCGACCTCAAGTGATCCACCTGTCGTGGCCTCCCAAAGTGCCGGGGTTACAGGTGTGAGCACTACACCCGGCCAAAAGTAAGTTTTATTTATTATTTTTTTGTGTGTGAAGTAAGAGCAAGTTTATTAAGAAAATAAAGGAATAAAAGAATGGCTACTCCATAGACAGAGCAGCCCCGAGGGCTGCTGATTGCCTTTTTTTTTTTTTTGGTGATAGAGTTTTGCTCTTATTGCCCAAGGCTGGAGTACAGTGGCGAGATCTTGGCTCACCACAACCTCCACCTCCCGGGTTCAAGCGATTCTTCTGCCTCAGCCTCCCCAGTAACTGGGATTACAGGCATATGCCACCACGCCCAGCTAATTTTGTATTTATAGTAGAGACAGGGTTTCTTCATGTTGGTCAGGCTGGTCTTGAACACCCGACCTCAGGTGATCTGCCTGCCTTGGCCTCCCAAAGTGCTGGGATTACAGGCATGAGCCACTGCGCCCGGCCTGGTTGCTCATTTTTATGGTTATTTCTTGATCATATGCTAAACAAGGGGTAGATTATTCATGCCTTCCCATTTTAGACCATATAGGGTAACTTCCTGACATTGCCATGGCATTAGTAAACTGTCATGGTGCTAATGGGAGTGTAGCAGTGAAGATGACCAGAGGTCACTCTCGTGGCCATTTTGGTTTTGGTGGGTTTGGCCAGCTCCTTTACTGCAGTCTGTTTTATCAGCAAGGTCTTTATGACCTGTACTTTGTGCTGACCTCTTATCTCATCCTGTGACTTAGGATGCCTTTATTATTTATTTATTTATTTATTTTTTTGAGACAGAGTCTCTCGCTCTGTAGCCCAGGCTGGAGTGCAGTGGTGCAATCTCAGCTCACTGCAAGCTCCGCCTCCTGGGTTCACACCATTCTCCTGCCTCAGCCTCCCGAGTAGCTGGGACTACAGCTGGCTGCCACCACGCCCGGCTAATTTTTTGTATTTTTAGTGGAGATGGGGTTTCACTGTGTTAGCCAGGATGATCTCAATCTCCTGACCTCGTGATCCGCCCGCCTCGGCCTCCCAAAGTGCTGGGATTACAGGCGTGAGCCACTGCGCCCGGCCAAATGCCTTTATTTTTAAAAGAAACTTTAGGCTCACAGCAAAATGGAGAGAAAGGTACAGAGATGTTTTACCTACCCCCTCCCCCGACACAGGCACAGCCTCCACTATTATCAACATTGCCCACCAGGGTGGTACATTTGATACAATTGATGAACTACATGGATGCATCATTGTCACTCAAGGTCCATAATTTGCTTTAGGGCTCACTCTTGGTGTTGTACATCCTATGGGTTTGGACAAATGTGTAATGACAGGAATCCACCATTGTCATCATATCACTGCCCTAGAAAGTCCTCTATGCCCTACCTAGACATCTCTTCCTCCCTCTCACTCCCGGAAGCCACCTATCTTTTTATTGTCTCCATGGTTTTGCATTTTCCAGATCTGATATTTTTTATGGCGTCTTTTTGCAGTAGCCATTGGCTTCTGCTATCCCACCAGCAGCCACTCTGAATGGTCGATGCCCAGGCCAGTCTGGTTAAATATTTTGAATACTATTCCTGGAAATATCCGTTTCTTTACATACTGATGATAAATTCTAATTTTACAAAAACGTCACGCAGGCCAAATCAAACATTCTACAGGCTGCATTTGGCCCATGGGCCACCAGTTTGAGACATCAGATGTGGGAATTAAGAAAGAAGCTGGAGTCTAGAAGTCCTATTTCAGCTCTGCCACTTCCTAGCTGTGTGACCTTGGGCGGGTCACTTTGCCTCTCTGAGCCTGTCAAGTGAAGGCCTTGAGCATGGGATTACGGGGACGTGATTATTAGCGCTTCCTCAGCGCCAATCTGAGGCCTGATGTCGTGGCATATTCAGAAGCCTCCCAGGATGGCAGTATGCCCTACAAACCAAAACATACAAGACTTGCTCTTATAAAATTAGGAGGCAACAACAACAAAACATCAAAAAATCCCCAGAAACATACAGGTTCTTAGGCTAGAGAGAAACGAGAGATCGGCAGATTGAGACTTGCTGCCTGCTTGCCTGGGCAAAGGGAGAACCAATTTCTCTACATCTCAGAAACCCTCTGTTACTTTAGTCTCCTTGACAAGGACCAGCGCTGACCCAGGGTCAGGAGCCCAGCTCCGGAGCCAGGCAGTCTGGGATCTAATCCCAGTTCTGCCAAGTACTAGCTGTGTGGCCTTGGGTGAAAAACTTAACCTGTCTGTGTTTTACAGCCTCAGGGCTGCTGTTCATGTCATGGTCTGTGTGATTGGGGCCCCCTGGAGCTGGGCAGTGCATGGCTATTCCTGGTGGCTCTGAGGTCCTTGTCCAGGAAGTGGGAATAATGTCTGTGAGGATTAAATGAGTGAACGCATACAATATGCTTGAGGCAGTGCTTGGCACAAGGCAATGGCTGACTGGGCAGAGTGGTGTTTGTTCTGCTCTGTGCCACACGTGTTGCCTGCACCCGGCACTGCTGGGCTGCAAGTGTCCCACTTTAAAGAAGAGAACACTGAGGCTCAGAGAAGAAAATCATGGTTCAGAGAGGGTCAGTAACTTACCCAGGGTCACCCGGCTAGTAAATGGCAGGTAACAACAACAGCAAAAACAAGAACACAAAAGCGATCATGTAACAAGACGGGAAACAGCTAATACCAACTTGGCACCGCTAGCTGCCACGTGCTGGGTCCACGGCTTTAAGCACATGACCTCGGAGTCTGGCTCCAACATCCGTGCTCTGCTCCTCTCAGCCTGCCCTAGGTGGGCGCATCTCCCGCTGCCCTAAACTCCACTTGGAACCTGAGAGAGGGTCGGCTCCGGCAGGCCCGTGAGCACGAGCATGGCTCTCTGAGTCTAGCTCTTCGGGTTCATGGATCGCTTCCCAGTGGGACACCCTGGCCCTGTGACCAGAGCCTCACCCCTCACTCCCCTTTTATCCTTGGATTTCAAAGCACTTTACACTCACACACTAATTAGAGAAGACACCTTCCTGTGCTCCAGAGAGGCAGGTATTTTTAATTAACTGCTCTTGCGAGTCTGCAGGGCATGGGGCTGCAAACTCTAATTCTAGGATATTGGCTCACAGAATGCGATCCAGGGCGTCTTTGACTGCCACTTCCTCAGAGGCCCTCCCGGACTACCTGATCCAAAGTCGACCCCCCACCCTCATCTCATGCACCTGCCCGGTTCCTGGGTACTACCTGTGTCACGGTTTTGTTTTTGTTTTTTGAGACAGGGTCTTTCTCTGTTGCAGTGGTGCAGTCTTGCTCACTGCAACCTCTGCCTCCCAGGCTCAAGTGGTCCTCTGGCCTCGGCCTCCCATCTCAGCCTCCTGAGTAGCTGGGATTACAGGCATGAGCCACCATGCCTGGCCTTTTTTTTTTTTTTTTAATGTGTATTTATTTGCATATTGACTTACAATAATAACAGCAGCTATATTTATAGAACAGCCACTGTGTGCTGGGCCTGCACTCTGATCATATTATCCTCCTGGGGCACAGAGAGGTTAAGGAACATCTTCAAGGTCACACAGCAGGTGAGGAAGCTGTATTTTTTTTGGCTCGCTTGTTCACTTGTGTGTGCTTAGTGTTTGTCTTCCACAGGAGAAAGTCTCTTGTTCATTGCTGTGTCATTGCAGTGCCTAGAACAGTGCCTGGCACCTAGTAGGCACTCAATAAATACTTGTCGATGGGGTGAATTTGGAATCCTGCACTCAGCTTGCGTCAGAGCCCAAGTCTTTGTGTAAACATAGACAACTCCTTCTGTGCCTCAGGGAGAAGGAAAACCACAACGTGGCTCTTTCCTAATTCTCTGCTCTTTTACACCTCCAGCTTTTGCTCAAGTGACTTCCTTTGCTTGCTTTCTCCTTTTCCATTGTTTAGCTCAGAGGTCAGTAAACTATGGCCTGGGGGCCAAATCTGGCTCAGCGTGTGGTTTTTGTCAATAAAGTTTTATTGGAACACAGCCACATCTATTTCAGTTTTATCTATGGCTGCTTTAGATCTGTAATCATAGTTGTGACAGGAACTCATGAAGCATAAATATTTACTATCTAGCCCTTTACAGAAAAGGTTTTTGACCCTGCTCTAGCTGACTTTACCCTTTAAGAATGAGTGAAAAGGCCTCCTCCTCCAGGAAGGATTCTGTGATTTCCCAGGCTGGGTTAAGGGGTCTTGTTAGGAGTTCCCATAGCCCTATGTTTCCCTCTAACATGGAGTTTCTCTCACCTCTAGGAGCCTGTCTAGACATCTTTCCCTGATCGCCCAACCCCCTCCCCTCATGAAATTTTTTTAATTGACAAAAACTTGCATATATTTTTTAACTGGACAAATAAAAATTGTATATATTTATTTGCATAAATTTATAACTTTTGGTGGGGTGTGGTGGCTCACATCTAGTAACCCCAGCACTTTGGGAGGCCGAGGCGGGTGGATCACCTGAGGTCAGGAGTTCGAGACCAGCCTGGCCAACATGGAGAAACGCTGTCTCAGCACACACACACACACACACACACACACACACACACACAAATGAAGAATTCCCTGACAGGTATCTAACTGTGACCCTCCTGCCATGACATCCTGGGGTCAAAAACTCAAAAGGCTTTAGGAGCCCGGTAGGAAATGCAAATGGAGTGGGACCAATTCTACTGTGGCCCTGCAGGGGAGGGGAGGGGAGGCTTGAGCGTCCAGCTGGAGCCTTTTTCTGACTGCTGGGAGGGACAAAACACGAGCCCGGAACTGGGAGGCCGAGAGATAAAACCTGGCTCCATCCCAGCACTTCATATAGAACCCACTAGGTGACTGGGCCTGGCTTTGGCTGTTGTCAGACTAGTGGTGGCGGCGGGGTGGTGGCGGTTAAATTTTCTATGGGAGGACACATTGTCATACAATTGGCATAGCTGCTCCCTTCTTTCTTGAACTCAGGAAATTATAGCTCTGTGCTAATGGTGATCACATTGGTAGAGGGTGATTAATTAAATTATTAACAACAAAAAGGAGCTACTCTGAATGTCTTTTCTGATCTCTTTTGGTGGGAAATCCAGGGAATTCTTCACTTATTGTGTATGTGTATGTGTGTGTGTGTTCATGCCAAGTGTGTTTCTACACAGCATCTCAGTGGCGTATTCTGGAAAGCAAGCATCAACAGTGTACTGTAAGAGGAGGCTGTGCAAGGGCAACTGAAACTTTGGGACTAAATGTTGGCCCACTCTTTGGTGAGTGTCTGTCCTCCCCACCAGATTGGGAGCTCCAGGGGCACAGCAACTTGCCTGCTTTGTTCTCCATGTATCCGTGAGCTGGACACATAATAGGTTCAAAAATATTAAGGAAAACCTTCGGCTACAGCTGGCTTGTCCCCTGCACAGTCCTGGTGTGTCCTCTGGGATCCTCTGGACATTTCCATGTGCTCTTCCCTCTGCCTGAGTAGCTCTTCCTGTCCCTTTGGCTCAGTTAATACCCCATCTCCATTCATATCTCAGCTCCATGTCACCTCCTCAGGGAAGCCTTCCCTGATTTTCCAGACAAGGTTGGGTCCCCCTGTTAAATGTCTTTCTATGATTCATTCATTCATTTTCCCTCTCATCACTTAAACATTGAATGACTTCTCCAGCAAACAGCCATAGGGCTCCTACTCTGTTCCAGGTTTTGTTCCAGGCACCGGGGACACAGCCTCTGCTCATATTCACAGAGCCCATCTTTGGGGATCATTCAACACATAAGTAAGCAATATAACTTCCGGCTGTGATATGGGCTATGAAGTCAATATACCAGGGTGACATGGTTAGAAAGTGACTGGTGGGAGGTGGTGGGGGATGGGTGCTGAGGTGACCCCATGAGGAGGTGACATGTGAACCAAGATTTGAACTAGAAGGAGGAGCCGGCCATGGGGAGATCTAGGGAAAAGCATCTGAGGAGAGGGAATAGCAAGTGCAAAGGTCCTGAAGCAGGAACACGTACAGCACAACTGAGAAACAGCCAGCAGCCCATTATGGCTGGAGCAGGATGGGGAGAGGTGAGCACAGGAAAGGGAAGGGGTGGCAGATGGTTCAGGACCTAGAGGACCTGAATTTTGGCCTGGGAGGGGAGGGTGGCCTATGGAGAGTTTTTAAAAATTTATTTTTATTTATTTATTTATTTATTTATTTATTTATTTTTTGAGACAGAGTCTCACTCTGTTGCCCAGGCTGGAGTGCAGTGGCACGATCTCGACTCACTGAAACCTCTGCCTCCCAGGTTCAAGTGATTCTCCTGCCTCAGCCTCCTGAGTAGCTGGGATTACAGGCACATGTCACCACGCCTGGCTAATTTTTGTATTTTTAGTAGAGACAGGGTTTCACCATGTTGGCCAGGCAGGTCCCGAACTCCTGACCTCAGGTCTCCCAAAGTGCTGGGATTACAGGCATAAGTCACCATGCCCTGCCTGAAGGGTTTTATTTATTTGTTTGTTTGTTTGAGATGGAGTCTTGCTCTGTCACCCAGGCTGGAGTATAGTGGCACGATCTCAGCTCACTGCAACCTCTGCCTCCCAGGTTCAAGCGATTCTCCTACCTCAGCCTCCTGAGTAGCTGGGACTACAGGTGTGCACCACCACACCCGGCTAATTTTTGTATTTTAAGTAGAGATGGGGTTTCACCATGTTGGCCAGGCTGGTCTCAAACTCCTGACCTCAGGTGATCCGCCCACCCTGGCCTCCCAAAGTGCTGGGATTACAGGCGTGAGCCGTCATGCTCAGCCCATTGGAGGGTTTTAACAACAAGGTTCTCTGTTGCTTCACAGTCTCAGCCTTCTCCCCATTTGCAATTCTGCGTCTGTGTGACTGAGTGGTGTTGGGCTTTCCATCTGATTGTGAGTTGCTAGAGGGGGCAGCCACATTCATCCTGATCTGCAAATATCTGTGTCTGCCTCTTAGACTGTGTTGGTCTTAGGCTGGGTGCCCCCAGAAGCAGACACCGAGGCAAGGATTCAAGTGATTTGTTTGGGTGGTAGTCTTAGGAAGTAAGGGAGTAAGGGAGTGGGGACATGAGACACAGATGAGAAGACACACACAGGGGACATTTTTGAGCAAGTTACTGGTCTGGGCAACTGGGGCTCGATTCCACTGGGGAACTCTGGGAGCCAGTGTAAACATGCCTCCAGGCTATTTCCACCAAGGGGCAAGGAAACCGGCGTCTTCCTCCATCACCTCCTGTCAGTGGTTGGTTAAGGGCAGCTGCCAGGGGCATGATCTCTCAGGTACTCCGCTTGTCCTGCATGGGCTCAGTGGGGTGTGGTGGCCAGAGAAAGCCCTTGGCAAAAAGATGGAGGTGCTGGCGGCCTGAAGCCTAGGCCAGTGAACAGGACTGGTGGGTGCAGAGGGGCGTGGCTGCCGCGGCCACAGGGTGCAGTCTGTACTTCAGTAAATGAGCCACTGCTCACCAACAGAACAGCCTCTGGATGCGGATCAGGCCCAGGCGCCACTCCCTCTTGAATTTTTCACAAATCCCGGGAGTTCCTCAGGGGGTTACCTTTCGCTTCAGTCTCTTGGTTTTGTGTGGCTGAGATGGAAGGTTCTGGAAGCCTGGCCTGCCATCCTAGAAGGCTGGGGCTCACCACCTCCTGGGAATTGAGGGAGGAGAAATTTGGAAGTAGTTCCCTCAACAGTCCCCGCTCTTGTCTCACATGGACGGATAGACAGACAGATGGGCAGCTCTGATGGTGTGGGCCCTGCATTCCAGGAGCAAAACCCTTCTCTCCCTCCCCCACCGGGGAGAACTGGACCGTATTCAGATGGCACCATGCCCTCCACCCACCACCCGGAAACTGGCCTTGCTGGCAACGGGTGGGTGGGGAGGAAGGCTGAACTGTTGGGGCTTGTTCCCGGCCTCGGGAGCGGGGCAGGCGGCAGGGGTGAGTTGCAGGGATGGGCTGAGGTTAGAGATTCCTCTTGATGAAAATCCCTTGCCCCACAAATGGGCCTGTGTGGACAGAGAGGGCGAGTGATAGGAAGATGCGGTGAGGGCAGAGAGACGCCTTCCAGGGGAAGAAATCAGAGAATCCTGCCCAAGACCTGGAGCCCGCGAAGCCTCCCACCTCCTGGGGCACCAGGTGAGGGGTGGGCAACCTCTCGTGAGACCAGGGCTCCTCGCCCACAGCCCTGTTGATTCTTTCTGGCAAGGGCCGTGTTGTGCGCTGTAGGGTACCGAGCAGCATTCCTGGCTGCCACCCACTAGGGCCGGCGGTTGGCTTCCTCTCCCAGTCGCGGTGATTGAAAATGCAGGGCTGGGCACGGTGGCTCACGCCTGTAATCCCAGCACTTTGGGAGGCCGAGGTGGGCGGATCGCTTGAGGTCAGGAGTTTGAGACTAGCCTAGCCAACATGGTGAAACCCTGTCTCTACTAAAAATACAAAAATTAGCTGGGCGTGGTGGCGGGCGCCTGTAATCCCAGCTACTCAGGAGGCTAAGGCACGAGAATCGCTTGAACCCAGGAGGTGGAGGTTGCAGTAAGCCGAGATCGCCCACTACACTCCAGCCTGGGAGACAACGGGACCCTGTCTCAAAAAAAAAAAAAGAAAAAGCAAAAAGAAAAAAAAATGCCTCCGGGCATTGTCAAATGTCGCCCAGGGTACAAAAGTGTCCCTGGTTAAGACCCACTGCACTAGACCCGCTGAAGAAAACCCCTTAAACCAACCAGACAGGGCTGGTATGGGCTGGCATGGGGACTTGCATGGGGCTGGCATGGGGACTTGGGACTGCTCCCCCTTCCACCCTCTACTGCTTCTCTTTACTCCTTCCCCAGATTGGCAGATCTGGTTCTGCTACCCTCCCCCTGGGATCATTTGGGCAGGGGCTTAACCTCTCTGAGCTCCATTTTCTCATCTGAAAAATGGGCCTTAAGAGGCCTTCTTGCACAGGCCCATTTGGAGTGATGATTATAATCATAACGTTGATGGTAATAATAAAACAGCTCACAATTTCAGAATGCCAACTTTGTTCCAAGCCCCGTGGTAAGTGATTTACATGTCTCAACACATTGAGGCTTCACACCCAGTGTGTTAGGCTGGGGCTGACAGTGCAGACACCCACTGCCCATGCCCGGGCTGCTAACTTGCTATTTTCCCCTCCTTAGGGTGTCACATTCCACATTCCAGCCAGTGGGAAAAGGAAAGGGGGAATGGCATACCCTTTCCCTTTAAGGTACAACCTAGGCTGGGCACAGTGGTGTGAGCCAGAAGTCCCAGCTACTCGGGAGGCTGAGGCGGGAGAATCACTTGAGTCCAAGAGTTCTGGGTTGTAGTGCGCTGTGTCAATCGGGTGCCTACACTAAGCTCAGTATCAACATGGTGATCTCCCTGGGAGAGGGGAACCACCAGGTTGCCTAAGGAGGGCTGAAATGGCCCAGATCGGAAAGGTCAAAACTCCCGTGCTGATCCAGTAGTGGAATCACTCCCGTAAATAGCCAGAACACTCCAGCCTGGGCAACAAAGTGAGACCCTGTCTCTAAAAAAAAAAAAAAAAAAATACAGCCTGGCTGGGCATGGTGGTTCACCTCTGTAACTCTAGGCCAAGGTGGGAGGGTCACTTAAGGCCAGGAGTTCGAGACCAGCCTGAGTAACATAGCAAGACCTCATCTCTAAAAAAATTAAAATTAATAATTAAAAAAATAAAGTACAGGCTGGGTGCAGTGGCTCATGCCTGTAATCTCAGCACTTTGGCAGGCTCAGGTGGGGGGATCATGAGGTCAGGAGATCGAGACCATCCTAGTCAGGTGAACCCCCCCGTCTCTACTAAAAATATAAAAATTAGCTGGGTATGGTGGTGTGTGCCTATAATCCCAGCTACTTGGGAGGCTGAGGCAGGAGAATCACTTGAACCCAGGAGGTGGAGGTCGCACTGAGCCGAGATTGTGCCACTGCACTCCAGCCTGGTGACAGAGCAAGACTCCCTCTCAAAAATAAATAAATTAATTAACTAATAAAATAAAATAAAATAAAATAAAGTACAACCTGGAAATCAGCCACATAGCTTACAGTCACATCCCGTTGGCCAGAACTTGGTCACATGGGTACATCTGACTGCAAGGGAGGCTGGGAAATGTACTTTTTATTGAGACAGTCCTATGCTCAGCTACAAGTTCATTACTATGGAACTAGGGGAAGATACTTAGGGACAACTAACAGTCTCAACCACATTCCATTTCACAGATAGGGAAACTAAGGCACAGCATAGTTAAGTGGTTCCTCAAGGTCACAAAGAGAGTAAGGAAATAAGACAATGTGTGTAAAGTGCCAGGCAACATTTAAGTGCTCAAAGCCAGCCTTCTCTAGCCACGCTCTTCCCACACATCCTTTGAGTATCATCCATTGAAATTTATTTGTTTCAAGGGTCCCCTTTAGAGGAGCATGCTGGAATTTCATGCACCGTGAGGACTGATAAGTTTTCTTCTGCCCTTGAAATCCACACCCTTTAGGTCATCCAGGTGAGATCCACAAAATAACCCAATGGTTTTCAGGATAATTTCTCAAGCAGAGCAAAGGACTCACATGCCCCAGTAGGAGATATGTTGAGGCAAGTTCCCGGCCAGAAAGATTCTCCTCAACTACACGGAAACTGAGGCCCAGAGAGGGGACAGGACTTTGCCGAGGCCACACAGCCAGCTTCTGACAGATCCAAGACTAGGTCCCCAGCCAAGGAGCACTGGCATCTCCCCAGGACCTTTTCCTGTTTGTGTCTCGTGTTAGCAGTTCTCAAATGTCTCATGTTCTGTGATATTTGAGTGTGAGGCAATTAATCACCTTTGCATGCTCCGTGTGTCTGGGCAGGGCCTGTCACATGGTGGGGTGCCTGGGTAGGGCCGTGGTCCTTTGTTGGGGAACTCCAAATCATTATCTTCCGGGAGCTTTCTCTTTTGTCTTCAGTCAGGGGTGCTTCCCAAGATAGGAAAGTCTTTATCTCCTGTCCTAGGCAGCTGTTCCTGAGGGCGAGGTGGGAGAAGGAGTCTGCAGATCTCATTGTTCAGTAGACAGATTTACATTTGTTTTCTGTGTAGAACCCCCATTCCTGTGGTCAGGGCATCCCTGGTTCAACTGCTTCACCTTGGACTCTTCCATGAGCGTGAAGGGGGATGAGGGTCCTTGGGGACTTTCATCTCACCCCTCAGGTTTCAGTGCTCCCTGCAGAGGTCTCGGTCCTTTCAGGGCTCTGGGGTGCCATGTACCTGCCTCTGCCTCGCCCAACCTTCCTGCAGGCACTTGCTGCCAGTTTTCTCTGGCCAACTCAGTGGGTTCCCTCACCCATCATCTGCTGTCCAGCTTTTATAACCCAGTGGCATCATCTCTTCCTCTGCCTGTTCTCTGCCCTGTGTGTTTGTGCCCTTTTACCCTGTCAGTGAGATTTCTGGAAGAAGCAGAGGTTTACACTATGGTGACACCCTTTACTGGCTGCCTAATAGCTGGACCCTCAGTCCTCAACAGCAGAGCCCTGATTTTGTTTGGGGGTGGGAGGTGATAGGTCCAGCCAGGGGAGAGGGATTAAGATTGGGCTGTGCCAGTCACACTATCCCACTTCCCTTTTCCAGCCTCCTTTGCAGCGTGGAGCAGAGATATGACCAGTTCTGGCCAATGAAATGTGAAGGGAAGTCCTTTCAGGGAGATCATGGGAAAGATTTTCTTTCCAGATTAAAAGAGCTCAAGGAGAGGCCAAGCATGGTGGCTCATGCCTGTAATCCTAAAACTTTGGGAGGCCGAGGTGGGAAGATCATTTGAGCTCAGGAGTTTGAGACCAGCCTGGGCAGCATAGTGAGAACTTGTCTTTATCTAAAAAAACCAAACCAAAACAACAACAAAAATCTCTCTAAAAAAAAAGCTCAAGGGGAGAGTTTTGTGTTTTTTTGTTTGTTTGTTTGTTTTTAGATGGACTCTTGCTCAGTCGCCAGGCTGAAGTGCAATGGCACAATCTCGGCTCACTGCAACCTCCGCCTCCCGGGTTCAAGCGATTCTCCTGCCTCAGCCTCCCGAGTAGCTGGGACTACAGGTGTGTGCCACCATGCCCAGCTAATTTTTGTATTTTTAGTAGAGACGGGGTTTCACCACGTTGGCCAGGATGGTCTTGGACTCCTGACCTCAGGTGATCCCCCTGCCTCAGCCTCCCAAAGTGCTGGGATTACAGGCGTAAGCCACTGCGCCTGGCCGAGATTGTTTTCTTTTTAACTCACCACCCAACACTCCTATCTTGAACTTCATTAAGGGATGTGATGCTTGGGGCTGTGGCAACTATATTGTTACTGTGGGGCCACAAGGCTAATGATAAAAAGCCAACACAGAATGGCTAAATATGAAGGCTGAAAGTAGCTGGATGCTGAATGACATTGCTGAGATGCTTTTTTGACCCTGAAGCCATCAACTTTCAAAGTGTTGTCTGCGAAATAATAGAATGCCTTTACTGTTTAGCCCACTGTGACTGGGGCATTCTGAAGCTTTCAGCAGAAGGCATTGCTAACTAATACACTTATGCTCAGGCTACCATATTTTGGTCCTGCAGTTTCTACCCAAAATTCCAAATGATGGGACTATCTCTTATTTCTAGGATTGGCTGACACGCCCATCTCCCACCTCCCCTTCTTGGGAGCTGACGAACAGCCTGTTGAATCTGCTTAGATCCTTTGCAGGGTGAATGAAATATAAGGAAACTTCTTGAATGAATCTTTGACATTGACTCACCTTAAACAGGCACATTTGCTTATATTTTGGGGCTTGGATTCTTTGATGTATTATCAAACTTCAGAATTCACAGCTTTCAGGGAATTTTTGACTGTATCAGTTTAGAAAGACTTGGATGCAAATAACAGAAGAATTATAATGACTAACAATTATATGGTGAGTATAACTTGCCAGGTAGAGTAATTAGCACTTCATTTACGCTAACTCATTGAATAACTTTACAACAACCCTATGTAGCGGATACTATCGTTCCCTCCATTCTCCATATAGGGAAACTGAGGCACAGAGCTAGTCAGTAACATAACTGGGCTGCCACAGTATAGAGCCAATTAGCTTCGGCTAATATAGAGCCAATTAGCAAATGGCTTCGGCCATAACGACATCCATCATTTACTTAAAACGAAGTTTGGCATTGTCAGCCCAGGAGTCCTCCAGCCTAGACCTTGGCCATGCTCACTGTCTTAAGATGGGGGCTGGGATCCTGTATCCCTTTTTCCCAATGGATGTGTCCAAAACAAAAAGGGAGGAACAGCGGCAGTAGTGCCAACTCCTTAGGGAGAGAAAGTCTCCCTGGAGCACTCATCCCCGCTGACTTCTTGTTGTACCTCATTGGCTAGAGTCAGGTCACATGCTCACCTTGGTCCAATCACTGGCAGCTTGGAATGGGTGTGGCATGCTTGACTAGACCAATCACATTCATCCCCTGGGGCCAGGCACTATGGCTGCCATTAACCAGGGTTCAGTTAGTGAGGAACAAGGGAATGGGTGTTGGGCAAGCAGCTGGTGTCATCTGCCCCAGCAGCTGACGTTTACTGAGCATGTACAGTGAGCCAGGCTCTGTCCTAAGCTCTTAATGTGTAATATCTCATCAGGTCCTCTTGTTATTTATTATTATTTAGAGACAGGGTCTTGCTGTGTTACCCAGGCTGGACTGCAGTGGTGTAATCCCAGCTCGCTGCAGCCTTAAACTCCTAGGCTCAAGCAATCCTCCTGCCTCAGCCTCCCCTGTAGCTAGGATTATAGGAATGAGCCACCACACCTGGCTAATTAAAAAAAAAAAAAAAAAATTTTTTTTTTTGTAGAGATGGGGAATCTCGCTATGTTGCCCAGGTTGGTCTCAAACTCCTGGCCTCAAAGGATCCTCCTACCTCAACCTCTCATGCTGTTATTAACCCTGTCTATGAGGAACAACCTGAAACCCAGAAAACTTAAATGACTTGCTCAATCAAGATCACTCACCCAGCAAGGTGACTAGTCTAGAGAGGGTTACCAGATAAAATACAGGATGCCCAGTTAAATTAGAATTTCAGATACACACAAAAAAAAATATTTTAGGAAGCTAAGCAGTGGTGTGAGGGCTCAGGCACACTTCGTCTGCATAATAAGCATGAAGGAGTATCTCTTGGTTCCGCAAAGAATTAGACATTCCCCCATTTTTCATGAAACTTGACCCCTTTTGGATTAGCACTTGTTTTCTTCTTTTTGAAAGAGATACAGTTACAGAGAAATACGTCCCTGCTCTCAGAAAACAACAGTGTATGCATTTTGATGAATGGCACCCGACATTCAGCCTCAGGACCAGGGAGGCAGCAGGGAGAGTTGGGGAGTGTGGGGGAACTGGTGTGTCCACTTCAAATACCCCTGTCCCCAGCTGACGGTTGCCAGGTGGGAATGTGGATTTAGCCCAGTGAAATCTTACAGTGTTTTAAGGGAGGTAGAAATCTGAATTTTTATGTGAAATCTCTTGATTTATGAACATTAGCTCAAATTTAATTAAAATGCCCTGTGGGCCAAAGGAAATCCGTCTGCTGGCTTGTGGGCAGCCGGGGGAAAGCCTCTGCTGATCGGCTCTGGAAGTGGAGGCTGCAACTGCCTCAAAAAGAGGAGCGGAGCAGAGGCTGGGCTGGAGGCAGCCTGGGGCCTGGAGTGTGCTTAGGGTTAGGAATTGCAGCCAGACCTGGGTTCCATTCTCCTCTCTGCCAGGTAACTGCTGTGTGATGGTAGATGGGTTGCACAGCTTCTCTGTTTTCCAAAGCATTTAGAGTAAGTAATTGTATCCATTCTCCTGTGAGGATTCTGCTGAAGGAGCTGACACAGTCGAGGCACCTGGCGTGTAGTGGGTGCCCAACAAACACGAATCCTCTCCCCTCCCCTCCCAGGGCTCACTTAGGAGTTGGGGATTTGAACACTGCTTTTCCAGCTCCCCTTCCCTCCCTCTCCTCACTCCCTCCTTGCTTTCTCCTCCACCTCTTCCTGCTTCCTTTCTTCTCATTTTCTCTCTTCTGTCATTAAACAGTGGGAAAAATTAGGACCAGGTGTTAGGAGACCTGGGACCGGGCCCTGGTGCTATTCCTGTCTTGGGGTGAGACTTGGGGAAAGGCTTTTCTCATGGGACCTTAGTTTCTTCCTCTGTGAAATGGGCAGTTCTGATTGGAGACACAGGTGCACTTCCTGGTGCCAGGGTCGTGTGATTCTGTGGGGCCTTGGGGGTCACGGGGGGAGATGGCAGCCTTGGTGGTGATGGGAGGGGGTGGCTGGGGTAGGAGGCATGAGTCAGAGTGTGCTCTCAGGGCTGAGGAGCAGGAGAACATCCCGGCACATAGCACCCAGTGATTAGCAAACCGCAGGAAGGCAGAAGGCCGAGTCATCAGCGAGCTTGTAAACACTGTCCAAGGAGAGCCAGGCCCTGCTTGTCTGGGATTGGCCACAGGCCCCTCCCAGGGATTTGGGGTCAAAGTTCTTCATAAATCATCCTCCCAGAACACGAGAGCCCCACCCTCCTTCCAGACTTTCATTTATTTATTTATTTATTTATTTATTTATTTATTTAGAGATGGAGTCTGTCTGTGTCGCCCAGGCTGGAGTGCAGTGGCGTGATCTCGGCTCACTGCAGCCTCCCCATCCTGGGTTCAAACAATTCTCCTGCCTCAGCCTCCCAAGTGTCTGGGATTATAGGCATGTGCCACCACACTTAGCTAATTTTTGTATTTTTAGTGGACACGAGGTTTCACCATGTTAGCCAGTCTGGCCTTGAACTCCTGATCTCAAGTGATTCGCCCACCTCGGCCTCCCAAAGTGCTGGGATTATAGGCGTGAGACCCCACGCCTGGCCCCTTCCAGGCTTTCTGTGATCTGACTTCTGCTCACCTCTCCAGGGCCATCTTGAGACACCTTCTCTCTCACCCTTCTCAACTCTTGCCAGGCCAGAGCCTGGTGAGTTTCTGGATATATGCAGCTCTCTTCCTGCCTCCAGCCCTTTGCACAAACTGTTCCCTCTACCTGGAATGTTCTCTCCGTCTCCAGACCACAAGACAAAGTGTCCTTATCATTCCAATTTCAGCTCAAACATCACCACCAGTGGGAAACCCCCTCCCATCCCCAGGTGAACTCAGGTCCTCTTGTGGCCCCATTTACCTTCCCTCCAAACCACTGGCAGCCATCTGGGAGCTGTATTTATAGGCTTTTGTGTTTGCTCAGTCTGTCTCTTCTTTTCCTGAGGGTGGGGACTGGAGGAGTCATTTCTGCTGCCGTAAGTCAGTACCTGGCACAGAGCAGGTCAGCAATGAATATTTATGAGAGGAATGAATTGGTGAGTGAATGAAGTGCTCAGAAGGGTTATGGCAAATCCTCCAGGAGCCAGGGGAGCTCGGCATTCTCTCCATTAGTGATAGCATATCAGCCCAACCCTCTAATATTGCCTCACTGTACTTAGAGGAGAAAAAAAAAATCCAGATTTTTCCCTTGGCCTTCCCGTTTCTCCCAGGATCTAACCTGCTGAACTCTCTGACCTCCTTTCCTACCAGCTGTGCCCGCCTCCCACTGCATCCCTGTCCCAGTTCCAGCCATGCTGGCCTTTCTGTTTCTTTACAATACCAGGCTTGTTTCTGCCTCAAGGCAGCTTGCTTTTCTGTTCCTCGTGTTTGGAATGCTTGTCCCTCAGGCCTTATTATCATTTATATCTCAGCTGTGCTGCCTCCTGAGGGAGGCATTTTCCCACCCTCATTGTCCAAGAGATTACCCTGTTTTGTTCTTTCCCAGGATACATCACTATCTAAAATTGTTTTGTTTATTTACAAATATTTGATTGGCTTTTAGCTGAGTTCATGGCTGTGCAGAATAAACACAGACCTTCCTAGCTTCCCTTGCAGCTAGGTGCAGCCATGTGCCTGAGCTCTGGCCAAGGGGTTGAAATTAGTAGTGTGACAGGTTTCTGGACTGTTTCCTAGAGATTTAGTTGATGCCTGCCTTTTACTCATCATCCTTCCTTCTCCATCCTGTCATTCTGGAAGGCAGACGTGAAGGCCGGTGCAGTGGCCTTCATCTTGGATCATGAGAAAGTGGGGCCCACACCTAGAGATGGCAGACTGGTGTCCAGGAAGAAGCTGAGATACTGAGAGCTTCATAGAGTTACCAAATCCATCCCAAACTGCCTACATCTGGACTTCATTCACATGAGAGGAAAAGAAACTCCTCTTTTATTTCTTAATTTTTTCCAAATTTGGTTTACTACATTTTATTATGACTACATTTGTATGTCCCCAGGCAGTACAATCTGATATAAAATGTCAGCTAGAATACACACTGGGTCTTTTAATTTTTAAAATTTATTTGTATTTTTATTTATTTATTACTTTTTTGTTTATTTATTTTATTATTATTTATTAATTTTTTGAGGTGGAGTCTCGCTTTGTCGCCCAGACTGGAGCACAATGGTGCGATTTTGGCTCACTGCAACCTCTGCGTCCTGGGTTCAAGTGATTCTCCTGCCTCAGCCTCCCAAGTAGCTGGGATTACAAGCACCCGCCACCACACCTGGCTAGTTTCTGTATTTTTAGTAGAGATGGGGTTTTGCCATGTTGGCCAGGCTGGCCTCAAACTCCTGGCCTCAGGTGATCTGCCCACCTCAGCCACCCAAAGTGCTGGGATTACAGGCGTGAGCCACCAGGCCCGGCTGGGTGTTTTGATTTTAAAATGTAGTCTATAGGGCTTTATCAACTCTGTCCAGAATTTTGGTTGGAGTTATTAGAGGAGACCTGGGCCAGAGAGAGGAGATCACTTGCTTGAGGCCACACAGCAGGGGAGGGGCAAAGCTGGGGTTTCACCCCAGGGCCCTAGATCCTAACCCCCCAGCCTCATTTTTCAGAAGTTTCCAGCTTGAGGTGTTGCTGGGCTTCCTCCAGGCTCAGCCCGGACATTGGGCAGTGTGATCTACACCTACTCTGCCTCTTAGGGCAGGAGAGTCTTTCTTATTTCTCTGGGACCCAGAGCAAGGTGGAAAATATGAGAGAGACCCCCAGCTATGGGATCCAACAAGGGTTGAGTCCCAGCTCTAGGCTCTGCCGCCGGCTGGCTGTGCACCTCAGGGAAGACCCCAACCCCTCTGAACCTCGGTTTCCTCATCTAATAATAGCCTCGAGCAGGTCAGTTGTCCTGTAGGTTCCCCGAGGTGCTGTGTTTCGAGTGTCTGACCCCTCAAGAAGGATACAGCACTACTCCCACAAAGTAGGAATTTCTGGAACACAGGCAGTGTCATTGGTGTTACAAGGAAGTAGGCTACTTAGTGCAAACTTTGGAGTCCGTTCTGGGTTCAAATCCTGGATCTGTAGTTAGCCACTGTGTGGTGCTGAGTAAGTCACCTTCCTGGTATAGTTTTCAACCATTTTCCTGGTTGGAAAATGGGGGTTCATTTGTTGGTTCATTCACCCAATACGTATGTGCTGAGCACATCTTTGTGCCAGGCCGTTTCTGGGTGCTGGAGATGCGCAGTGAGCAGGATAGGCAAAGTCCTTCCTCATTTGGGTCCAGACAATGGAGAAACAGACAGAGGTGTAGCACACGGGATGATGATGGGACACACACAGCAAACTGAAGCTGAGTGAGGGAGCGGGAGCCCTGGGAGGGTTCCCGGGGCCGGGATGGTCAGGACACCACCCTGCAGGGGACACTGGGACAGAGACCTGACCGACATGAGGTTCTAGCCCAGCTAAGCCCATCCTTCCCATTTCCCAGAACTGTTCTTGAGCCTCTTCTAGCTGGAGTCTTCTTCAAAACAAGAACCATGCAGTGGCCAGCTCCGTGTCCTAGGCACCAGCCCAGCGATGGCCGAGTGAGGCATCCGCTTCTCTTCATCTGCCATTCTTTCCTGCCTGGACAATCGCAGTAGCCTCTCCACATGGGTCCTCCTGCTCCCACCCTCACCCTCCTACAGTCTATCCTCCCCACTGCATCACACTCAGTTCCTCTTGTCGCCAAAACAAATGACCACTAACTTAGTGGCTGAAAACAACACATATTTATCCTCTTAAAGTTCTGGAGGTGAGAAGTCGAAGTGTTGGTGGGACCACTTCCTTCTGGAGGCTCCAGGAGAGAATCTGTCTCCTTGTCTGTTTCAGCTTCTAGTGGATGCTCATGGCCCTTGGCTTATGGCCCCACCCTCCACTCTCAAAGCACATCACTGCAGTCTCTGTTTCTGTCATTCTCTCTCCTCTTTGCCTTCTCCTCCTCTGTAGGCAGGTCTCCATCTGCCTCGTGGTATAAGGACTCCTGTGATTAATTGGCCCCACCTGGGTGATCCAAGATAATCCTCCCATCTTCAGAGCCTTCACTGAATCACAGCTGCCAAGTTCCTTTTGCCACATAAAGTAACACTCACAGATTCGGGGAATTAAGACATGAACATCTTTGGAAGGCCACTATTCAGCTAACCAAAGCATTCAAGATGATCCTAATAGAACCTGAATCAGACCCTGTGCCTCCTCCTCAAAACCTTGCTATGGCTCCCACCTCCTACATGCAAAGCCCTTATAGTGGTCACATGGTATCACACATCTCTTCACTTGTGACTTCCCCATCTCATCTTCTTCTCTCCTGCCTCACTTGGCTCCAGTCACTGGCCTCCTGCTTGTACTTCAACACTCCAGGCAAACACTTGCGTCAGAGCCTTGGCACATGCTGTTCCCTATACCTGGGACTTTTCATTTCATTTCTTTTCTTTTCTTTTTCTTTTTTCTTTTTGAGACAGAGTCTTGCTCTGTTGCCCAGGCTGGAGTGCAGTGGTGTGATCTCGGCTCACTGCAACCTCTGCCTCCCGGGTTCAAGCGATTCTACTGCCTCAGCCTCCCGAGTAGCTGGGACTACAGGCGCCCGCCACCACGCCCGGCTAATTTTTGTATTTTTAGTAGAGATGGGTTTCACTATGTTGGCCAGGCTGGTCTCAAACTCCTGACCTTGTGATCCGCCTGCCTCGGCCTCCCAAAGTGCTGGGATTACAGGCGTGAGCCACCGTGCCAGGTCTTCTTTTCTTTTCTTCTCTTTTCTTTTTTCTCTTCTCTTCTTGTTCTCTTCCCTTTCCTGTTCCCCTTTCCTTTCCCCTTTCCTTTCCCCTTTTCCCTTTCTTCTCCTCTCCTCTCCTCCCCCCTCCCTTCCATCCCCTTTCCTTTCCTTTCCTTTTCCTTTCTTTCTTTTTTTTGAGACGGAGCTTTGCTCCGTCTCAAAAAAAAAGTGCTCAGAAGCTCAGAAGTGTCACCCAGGCTGGAGTGCAGTGGCACAATCTCAGCTCACTGCAACCTCTGCCTCCCAGGTTCAAGCAATTCTCCTGCTTCAACCTCCCAAGTAGCTGGGATTACAAGTGTGCGCCACCACGCCTGGCTAATTTTTGTATTTTTAGTAGAGAGGGGATTTCACCATGTTGGCCAGGCTGGTCTCGAACTCCTGACCTCAGGTGATCCACCTGCCTCAGCCTCCCAAAGTGTTGGGATTACAGATGTGAGCCACTGCACGTGCTCTGTTGCCTGGAACTTTTCATTCCTGCCTCTTCCTAAGACTGGACCTTTCTCTTCCTTTGGGTCTCATCTTCTCAGAGAGGCCCTGTTGGACATCACCCTCCCTAGAACGGCCCTTCTCCTGCCCCACAGTTGCATTTCACACAGTCAAAAGTGACCTTGGTTGTGTGTTTGTTTTCTTGTCTATCATCTGCCTTCCCCACCAGACTGTCACCTCCTAAAGACCCAGGAGGGGCTGGATCTGTCTGGTTCTCGGCTGTATCTCCAGCACCATGGACAGGGCCTGGCACTTAGTAGGTGCTCAGAAAATACTTGCTCCATGAATCCATATTTGGTTTATTTCAAATGTCCCTCAATGCTGCCATGAATAAAATATAAATTCATTTTAAGGCATTCGTACATTCCCAGTGACTTTGTGGCTTGATCTTTTTTTTCTGTCAATGACTAAGATGACCTTCATATATTGAGAGGATGCGAAGCATTGTCTGTACTGAGCAAGTGAGGACTCAGAAGGCCTCGAATGGAGGCAGGGGTGTCTTAATGCAGATTGGCAGTGGGGTCTTATGGAAGAGCAGGGCATGAAGTGGGCTTCTTGTGCAAGTGGCACCCTCTCTCTGTGCCTCAGTTTCCACATCTATAACATGGAGATTGTAACAGAACTTACCTTATAGTCCCACCCTCTCTCTGTGCCTCAGTTTCCACATTTATAACATGGAGATTGTAATAGAATTTACCTTATAGAAGGTTCTTAACTTTGGTGCTACTGACATTTGGAGCTGGATAATTCTCTGCTATGGGGGTTGTCTTGTGCACTGTAGGGCACTGAACAGCATCCCTGGCCTCCACCCATCAGATGCCAGTAACTTCTCTCCAGTTGTGACAACCCCAAATGTCCCCACATATAGCCTAATATCTCCTGTGGGGGCAAAATCACTCCCAGCCAAGGACTGCTCCCTGGTCAGATGATCCGGGCGCTTGTGTTGCCACCCGGCACAGGCTGCTGCTCAAGTTGTGCAGGGAATCGTAGCTGCTCTGTGGTTAAGTGGCTGCCTGGCCCTGCCACTCCTTAGCAGGTGGGCTTGGACCAGTGACTCCAGCTCTCTGAGCCTCAGCGTCTTCATCTGTAAAATGAGATAATGTTAGCACTTCATCTCTTGGGGCTGTCAGGAGGATTAAGTAGATTAATCCTGTGAAGCGCTCAGAAGCATGCCTGGCACACAGTGAGAATTTGAGGCCGAGGCTGAGGCTGATGAAGGCTTCTGGGAATAGTGGGAGCTAGAGAAAGGGATCTTTGCATCCTCACCTCAGCAAGTGCTACCTGAGGCCTCTGGCGTGTGTGCCCCTGCACTAATGGAGGACATGCGGGAACGGCTGCCCCCACCCAGACAGGCGGCTGGCTCAGTCCCTCAGCCCTGCCAGGCCATTTAACAATTAAGCGGCTGAGGGGTGACGAGGCTGGAAAGCCAGAAGTGACCAGGGTCTGGCCTTGCTTGGCTTTGGTGACGCGATGGCCTTGGGATCATGGCCTTCTTGAACCCATAAGCAGGGGGTTGGGCCCCAAGACAGGCAAGGCCAGGCCAAGGTCTGTGCTGGTGGCCTCAAGCTGAAGCCATGCAGGGACAGGAAGGGGGTTGTTCCAAGGCTACAGGGAAGGGAGTGCTGTGGAGCGAGAGTTTCTGTCCATGGGGGCGACCCCCATCCACTCACACTCTGGCATTCCATTTCCCACTTCCCAACTCTTTCTCAATTTTCACCTCCAATTTATTGAGCACTTACTACATGCAGGGCTCTGCCAAAGTACTTTACACAGATCTGACTCCTGTTCTCCCTCTCGCATCATGGAAAGGGGCTCTGTCCCCTCCCCAGATGAGCGAAGCCCTGTTACTCAGACTCCCATTGCACCAGGTAAGGAGTGGAGGCTCTCAGAGGTGAGTCAACAGCTCACAGGGGCAGAGTCAAAGCCCCAGCCCAGGTCTGGGGTCTCCCAAGCACCTGCCCTTAACCGCACAGCCCCTGCTAGGCCTCCTCTCTCTGTCATTTCCCCCCCAGCACCTCCACTTTCCTCTCTCTGGCTCTTGCTGTCTCTCTGGCTCTTGCTGTCTCTCCAGCTTTCCCTGAACATCTTCCTAGTTGTGTTTTTCTCCTTCTCTGTGTCTCTTTTCTGTCTGTTTCTCTTTTTCACTTTCTCGGTCTCTCTCCCTCCCTCTGTTTCCTTCTCTCTCCATCTGTTTGTGTTTCTCTTTCCCATCCCCTGTCTCTCGCTCTCTCTCTCTCACTCTGCCTGTTTCTCTCTCTCCCTTTCTCTCTCTCCTCCTCTGCCTGCCCGCCTCCCCTGGCCGCCCCGCCTTGCGGCTCTGTCTCTCTGCAGTCAGCCCTTGTCCCCACGCCAGCACATTATGTCCCTGGTCAGACCCTGACGTCAGGCGGGGCCTGGCGGGCGGCCATGGGACACTGCCGGGCAGGCGAGAGGGAGTGCTCGACTTCCCGGTCCCCACTGTAGTGGCCGCCTGCCCGCCGCCCGGCCTGGCCTACCCAGCCTGGCAGCAAAGCTTCACTTCTCCCGGCCTAGCTCAGCTGGCTGGAGAGTGGACCGCGCTTTGTGGCTGCCTTCCCTCTGAGCCTGGGGCTGCAGGCCACTCGCCTTTCCCTTCCCCTGCTTCGACCCCACAACCACAAAAGACTTGGTCCCAGAGGGTAGGCAGTATTGCATGGGGCCAAGTCTTGGCTGTGTGACAAGTCACCCAGCCCTCTCTGAGTCTCCTTGTAAAACAAAGCCATTGAGGCACCTGCTTCTCAGGTCTGCAGGGGGTGTCAACCCACAGTGGCTCACAGGACAACAGGAGCGAGGCCCCAGCAGGAATTCAGTGTCACTGCAGTGTCTAGGCCAGCAGTCTTCAAGGAGGGGAGGCTGGCAGAGATGGGGGATCTGAGTGTCACAGTGACAGGGGAACATGGCTGACGAGCAGGCAGGGATGTGCCATGGGGGACTGCCAGGCAGGACAGCCCCACCCACAACACAAACAGTGCCCTGCCGAGAAACCCTCCCCAAGCTCGGCTGGTCTCAGGTCCCATCAGAGCTTAAATAAGTGGTTTAAAAAAATGTCATATTTCTTGTTTGGTTTGTTTATTTTTTCCCCCTGATTTTCAAAGCAAAGTCGTTTCCTTGAAGGACATACCAAGGGTACTTGAGCTTTCTAGTTTAGAGACAGACTTTAGGATCTGATCAACGCGGGTCAAATCCGGCCGGGTGACCCTGGCCGGTGACTTTGTGCTCTGAGCCTCAGTTTCCTCATCTGTCAAATGAAAGTAAGGAATGAGAAGGTCATGGGGATGAAGCAAAAGCATGTTTGTAAAGCACCCAGAATGGGATCTTGCCCGTGGTAAATGGTCTATATTCGGTAGTCTTTTTTTCTCGTCTTTTTTTATTCTTCTTATTTTAAATATAGGAGACACAGAAAAGTACAAAGAAGAAAACTAAAAAGGTGACCCAGAGAGAACCACTCTAAGATGTGCACGGGAATTCAGCTCAGCTCGCGTATTTAAATTGAGATCCTACTGTTGTCTGTTTTTTCATTTTTCACGAAAATAAAACTTGACTCAAAGTTTCATTTTAAAATACCTTTGCTTATTACTATTATTTGAATACTTACATATTCAAAAGGTTCAAAAGGTATCCAGGGAGAAGTGAGGATACCTCCTACTCCAGCCTCTGTTGATTGGTTTCTTGTGTATTCTTCCTTCCCTGGGTCTAAGTCCTCTGCAGACCCGTGAGTTCCAGCTCTCCTGCTCCTATTCATTTTGAGTTTTTTTTTTATTCACTCGATTATAAATCATGACATTTATTTTAAAAAATCAGAACCTACAGACAATCAAAAGAAAGAGGAGCATAAGAAAAGTGGAATCAAGCCAGGTGTGGTAACGCATGCCTGTAATCCCAGCACTTTGAGAGGCTGAAACAGGAGGATTACTTGATCCCAGGAGTTCAAGATCAGCCTGGTCAACATAGCAAGACCTTCATCTCTACAAAATTAAAAAAAGAAAAAAAGAAGTTAGCCGGGTGTGCTGGTGCACGCCTGTGGTCCCAGCTACTCGGGAGGCTAAGGTGGGAGGATGGCTTGAGCCCAGGAGGTCGAGGCTGCAGTGAGCCATGATCATGCCACTGCACTCCAGCCTGGGTGACAGAGTAAGACCCCATCCCAAAAAACAAACAAAAAAGGAAAGTGGAATCTCCTGAAACCTTACTACCACTTTGACATTTTGGAGCACATCCTCGCAGGCTTTTTCCATCACTTGATGTGTGTGCACATTCTGGTAGCACCAGGTATCTTTCCTTAGTGCTGATCAAAGGTTTGGATGATATGTTTGTGTACTGATCTGATCGTCATCTGCCTTCCCCACTGTGCGGTCAGTTCCAGGAGGCAGGCAAGACCGCGTCTGGGTCTTCCACACCACATTAGGTCCATAATGAATATTTTCTGAATAAATGACTAGTGAATTTTCAAAAGGGATTGTACAATATATAATACTATCCTGTGGCCTATTTTTTCACTTAACGTATTGGGGACATCTTTCCACATCTCTGTGTGGCGAATCTCCATTTTTCATGTCTGCACAGAATCACCACAATAAACATCTTTTTGATGTTAGCCAGAAGCTTCTGCTGCCCCCAACTGGGAAGCTCTTTTTCTAATGCAGATCTGTTAACAAATTCCATATGACCCACCCACACCCCAGCCCTTTGGCCGGTTACTTTCAGGCTAACACTTCACTGGTTACATGGGCCCATTGTTTTCTGGGACAAGTCAAGATTTACTGTCTGTCCCTGACATCATGTTTTCCCAGAGAAGCTTAAGAGTGAAGAACTCATCCCTCCCTACCTCCTGTTTCCGCCAGTTAAGGGTTCTGTAGATTTGCTGAAGTTGGGAAACTTGGTGTAACCCTTGCCTCACTGACCGCCTCACCACAAAGGGCACACGCCAAGCTCATTCATTCCTGCCTCAGGGCCTTTGTGCCGGCTGCTCTCTCTGCCCAGAATACACTTCCCTCCCATATTTGCTCAGCTCACTCCCTTCCTACCGCAGATCTCTGCTTGAACATCACCTTCTCAGAGAGGCCTTCCTCAATTATTTTTCTAAATGAGCATCTCCAAATCACTTATCCAGTTTTACATTTCCTTGTAAAACATTTTACTTGGTATTGTATTAGATCAGATTATATGATGTTATGTTGTGTTGTGCTGTGTTATATGAATATTTTTGGCGTTTTAAAATGGATTGCCCATCTCCTTCACTCTGAAGACAGGGACTGGGACTTTCTTTTCTTTCCTGCAGTATCCGCAGCACCTAAAATAGGGCCTGGAGCATGGTAGGTGCTCAGGAAATACTGGTTGAGTCAATCCATGGTAACTCTAGACTCCAAGGTTTCTTCCAAGGCAGAGAGTCCAGTGCCATCATTTATTCATTCGAGATTTATCTATTGAGCACCTACTGTGTGCCAGGGCTTGTCCGGATGCTGGTGTTGTTCAGTGCAACAGTGGACAAGGCAAACACATCCTTCACAAACGTCTCCTTGAAGGATGTGGTCAGGGGTCCAGGAGACACACATCCATCAGATAGAGACATCCGCGTTGGCTTGCTGGCCTCAGGTTGGTGAAGCGAGGACAGATCTCAAGGTCCCCACTCTAACTTAGCCTCTGCAGAGTTGGGTGAACCCCAAGGGTGACACAAATGGGAATGACACTTTTGTCATTTACTTCTCTCTGCTGTTCTCTTGCCCTCAGTGGAGGAGAAATGGAGAAGGTGTTGCTAGAAACCTTTTTGGATTCTTCCCACAAGCCCAGCCGTCTTTGCCGAAGGAGCTGACCTTTGCCCTACTTTCTGGCCCACACCCTGCGGTCACCCTTCAGGGAATTTCCTACCTTAGTAGATCACATCTCTCAAAGGAATTGCCAGAAAACTTGCTTTCCTAGCCTCCCTGAGCCTCCCGGGTGCGGGAGTGTGAAGTGGGCTCCCCTGTGAGAGGCTTCCAATTAAAAGAGAACAACAGGACAAAAGAGGTGGGAAAGAGAACCTGGGTCTGGAGGATGCAGTGGGGGCGTCCTTGAGTAGAAGTGGGGCTCACTGGGGCAGCTCTCCATCAAATTCCAGCCTCATTCCTAGCTGTGTTGCCCCCAGTCCTGACTCAGGAACTCCCCTGAGGGTCCTATGAACCACCTAATAACCTTTGATAAACTCCTTTTCTGTGTAAACTAGCCAGAGGGGTGCATTCTGTCCCTCGCAACTAAGAAACCCAGATTGACACTAGATCACACTAGGTCTCCTAAGCTTCGTGGTTAATGACTGCTCATCCATATGTTGTATTTAAGAACTATCCAAAAATGACTATCTCGGACTCATTTTCAGCTGCTGGAGGGAATGATGTGGAATGTTGTCATCTTTACCCTGGTCCCAAAATGGGTCCTCACATCCCCTGCTGGAGGAGGAGGGCATTATGTCAGCTGAACCATTTTGGAAGGCAGTTGGGTGACAGGCACTGACAGCTTTAAGAATGTTCATGTTCTTTGACCCCCAAACCCTTCTTCTGGGATTCTGTACTAAGGAAATAATCATGAATAGTGACAGTGGACAAAGACATTCACGACAGAATTGACAAGAGTAAGGCTGGGCGTGGTGGCTCACGCCTGTAATCCCAGCACTTTGGGAGGCCAAGGTGGGCAGATCACTTGAAGCCAGGAGTTCGAGACCAGCTCGGCCAACATGGTGAAACCTTGTCTCCACTAAAAATACAAAAATTAGCCAGGCATGGTGGCAGGCGCCTGTAATACCGGCTACTCCGGAGGCTGAGGCAGGAGAATCGCTTGAACCCAGGAGGCACAGATTGCAGTGAGCCGAGATCATACTGCTATACTGCAGCCTGGGCAGCAGAGTGAGACTCCATCTCAAAAAAAAAAAAAAAAAAAAGAATTGACAAGAATAGTGAGGAATCAGAATCTACTTAAATGCCCAATAAGCAGGGAATGTTTAAGTTAATCAGGAAATGTTTCCTAAAAGGATGTTAGAGACACCTTCTGCACAAAATATTAGTGTAATACTTAGGATTAGGTTCACCTTTGAATGTTAGAAAAGCCAGAATAACAGGGGCTCAAATGAAATTTTTTTTATTTTTTTTGAGATGGAGTCTTGCTCTGTCGCCCAGGCTGGAGTACAACGGCAGGATCGCAGCTCACTGCAACCTCTGCCTCCAGGGGTTCAAGTGATTCTCCTGCCTCAGGCTCCCGAGTAGCTGGGAATACAGGCGCCTGCCACCACGCCCAGCTAATTTTTGTATTTTTAGTAGAGACGGGGTTTCACCATGTTGGTCAGGCTGGTCTCAAAATCCTAACCTCGTGATCTGCCCACCTCGGCCTCCCAAAGTGCTGGAATTACAGGCATGAGCCACCACGCCCAGCCAGAAATTTGCTTCTTACCTAAAAGATGCGTGGAGGTGGCAGTCTAGGACTAGTAGGGTGGCTGTACAAATTCACTGGGGACTCAGCGTCCTTTTCTCTCATTGCTCCGCCTTGTCCCAAGATGGCCACTCAGGTTCCGGCCATCACATCTGCACTCCAGCCAGCAAGGAGGATGGGACAAAGTAGAGGCACCCCTTCCCACAGACATTACTTAGACGTTACTTATATCCCATTGGCCACATGGACACCTAGCTGCAAGAGAGGCTGGGAAGTGTAGATTTTCTTCTGGGTGGTCACGTGCCCAGCGAAAGCTTGCAATTTCCATTATTTATTTATTTTTTCAGAGATGGAGTTTCATTCTTGTTGCCTAGGCAGGAGTGCAATGGTGCCATCTTGGCTCACCACAACCTCCAATTCCTGGGTTCAAGCGATTCTCCTGCCTCAGCTTCTTGAGTACCTGGGATTATAGGCATGCACCACCACATCTGGCTTTTTTTGTATTTTTTGTAGAGACAGGGCTTCTCCATGTTGGCCAGGCTGGTCTTGAACTCCTGACCTCAGGTGATCCGCTCACCTCAGCCTCCCAAAGTGCTGGGATTACAGGCGTGAGCCACCATGCTCAGCCTGCAATTTTCATTATTAAGGATTAGAGAAGATCAGAGGATAAGAGAGAAACAATAGACAACAATTAAAGAGAACGTCAAAGAAAATTTTGTAATAACACGAGAAGTATGATTTTGAAGACTTTGAGACTAACAGGATTTGAAATTGTACATACAGTGTGATTGCAACTTTATAATAAAATTTCAAAATGGAGAAAGCTACTCAGACGAGCAAACTGTGAGAAAATTGCCCTCTGTGGGTGGTCCCATTAAAAAAATTCATATTCTTCTATTTTACGAATTTTCAATATTTGAACAAAGTTAACTTCCCGAAAAAGCATCCCTGTGCAGATTACATAATCCACTTGAGCTACAATTTGTGTTGTGCAAGTTCTGTCCTCAAACGTGCCAAGGCAGCCAGATGGGAAAAGAAGAAATGAAATTATCTCTAGTCATAGAACACATGATTGTGAATGGAGCAAAGTCTAAGGAATCCACAAAAAGCAAATAGGAAAAGTGTGACCTGGGACTTAGTGCAGGATAAAGTCACAGCTTTGCTGAAATATGAGTTCCATCTCCTTGGGCATGTCACAAACTTCTCCACTTGGATGGGGTGATTTTTTTTTTTTCCTCCAGGGGACATTCAGCAATGCTGGGGACATTCAGCGATTTTGGAGACATATTCTGTCATCACAACTTGGAGTAGTGACATGCTGCTGGCATCTAGATGGTAGAAGCCAGGGATTCTGCTAAACATCCCACAACGCCCAGGACAGCCCCCACAACAGGGAATTATGTGACCCCAAACGTCCACCTTGCTGAAGTGGAGAGCCCTGCCCTAAACATGTCTATTGGGCCTGCTTCCTGGCTTTTGCTATCACAAGCCACACTGTCGTGGTCTGTAGGGCACACAACTCTGTGGACGTGTGCGAGTATTTCTGCAAGATGTTTTTCTGGGGGATGGAATTACTATAGCATTCCCGTTCACTCTTAGATGCGATAGCCTCTCGAATGCTGCTGAGATGCCCTTTCCAGCTTGTCCCAGGCACTGCACTAGGAGGTTGGGAATGCATCTGTCTGCACCCAGGGGAGCTGTGAGAAGTGCTTACTGTGTTCTGCTTAACACGTTGTGTGGATTAATTCATTAGGTCCTCCTGAAATCCCCTGAGGTAGGCGCTGCCATCACGCCTGTGTCAGAGATAAGGAACCAGGCTGCGAGGCAGCACAGGGGCTGGATCAGCTGGTCCCAAAGCCAGCAGACTCCCCCAAACCTCAATGCTCTGGCCCAGGAGTTCTCAACCTGGCTGTGCATCAGAATCACCTGGGGAATCCTAAAAATCTTGATTCAGAGGTGACCCCGCTGGCCCAGTAAGGTCAGGCATGGTTCTGGAATCAAATAGATCTTGAATTCAATTTTGGCTCCTCCACCTCTTGGCTGTGTGACCTGGGGTCAGTGACTTTACCTCTCTGAGCCTCAGGGTTGACATATGAAAAAAGTATAGCATTAGTCCCTACCGCAGAGGGTGGTCATGAGGATTCAGTGAAATGCCCTACATCACAGGCTAAACGTGGCGCCTGGTATACTTAATGAGTAAGTGATCATTAAGGGTTGATTCTTATTTTTATTTTTGGAGCAGGGCTCAAGCACCTCTGTATGTGTATGTAGGTGTGTGTGTTTGTGTGTGCGTGTGCTTGTGTCTGTGTGTGTGTGTGAGTGTGTGTGTGGTTAAGCCTCTTAACTGATTCTGTTGGGCCCAGCTATTCATGCACCTATCCATTCATGCATTCATTTCTTTATGTGCTAATCCATTCATACATGCATTTATTCAACACATTTACTTAACAAAGA
Source organism: Homo sapiens (assembly GCF_000001405.40). Classification (NCBI taxonomy): domain Eukaryota; kingdom Metazoa; phylum Chordata; class Mammalia; order Primates; family Hominidae; genus Homo; species Homo sapiens. The sequence goes on along the minus strand of NC_000020.11, from coordinate 50,408,294 downwards.
CCATGTGCCTGTCTAGGCTTTAGAACCCGAGGATGAAAAAGCAATCAAGACATACAGAAACGTAGACCGGGCGCGGTGGCTCACGCCTGTAATCTCAGCACTTCGGGAGGCCGAGGGGGGGCAGATTAACAGGTCAGGAGTTCGAGACCAGCCTGGCCAACATGGTGAAACCCCATCTCTACTAAAAATACAAAAATTAGCCAGGTGTAGTGGCACGTGCCTGTGGTCCCAGGTACTTGGGAGGCTGAGGCTGGAGAATCACTTGAACCCTGGAGGCGGAGATTGCAGTGAGCAGAGACCGTGCCATTGCACTCCAGCCTGAGTGACAGAGTGAGACTCCATCTCAAAAAAAAAAAATGCACAGAAACTCTCCTCTCATGGAGCGGACAGGAGTATCAGGTGGGGAGTTAGACTAGGAAAAATAAATGAATACACACGTTCTTTTGTTGTTGTTGTTTTGAGACAGGGTCTCACTCTGTCACCCAGGCTGGGGTACAGCGGCACGATCTCGGCTCACTGCAACCTCCACCTCCTGGGTTCAAGCAATTCTCCTGCCTCAGCCTCCTGAGTAGCTGGGATTACAGGTATGTGCCACCATGCCTGGCTAATTTTTGTAATTTGAGTAGTGATGGGGTTTCACCACGTTGCCCAGGCTGGTCTCAAACTCCCGGCCTCAAGCGATCTGCCCCGGCCTCCCAAAGTGCTGGGATTCCACGTGCGAGCCACCGTGCCCCGCTGAATAAACATGTTCTATAAAGCCATGTGGTATAAACTATTGGCAACATAAATCAGTAGGCTAGTGGGACCACATGGAATGGGGGTCCTCTTCCAGACAGGGTGAGAAGACAGGTGTCTTCTGTTTGCCCTTCCAGATCCCTCTGCACCCCTCTTTGCTCTGGAGTGCCTCAAGGTGCACCGCATTTAGAAGCCCACACGTCCCCAAGGTGGATGCCAGGAACTCACTTTCTATGGCTCTCTTGCCAAAGGAGAGCTTGGGTGCAGGGGTGACAGCTGTGCTTGAGAAACAGCAAGGAGGTCTGCAGTGTAGATGCAGGAACTGAGGTTCAGACAGACACGGTGGCTTGTCTGAAACCATGCAGCCGGGGAGCAAAGGATCCCAAACCCAGGTCTACTGGGTTCCCCAGCTTGAGCTCTTCTTTAGTTCACGGCCCTTGTTAAGGATGAATGCCACTGAGCTGAAATGAAGGAACAGAAAAGTCCCGACATTCCGACAACATCACACAGCAAGTCAGCAGCTTCGCACACTGAGGCCCAGTTTAGTGTTTACCAATCATCAACAGCAATCCCAGCCTGGGCTCAGCATTTGATAAGCATGGGCTTGTTGTGTGATTGCAACAACCCTGCAAAGCAGGATGAGCAAACCAGGGTTCAGAGAAGCCAAGATACTTGCTTGAGGTCACACAGAAAAGAAGTCAGGATACAAATCTGTGTTTGTTTCCCAAACCTTTGTTCTTTGGACACCCCGACAAGAAGACGCATTGAGGATGAATGGGCATATATCTGACTCTGAGCAACCTGGGGTCAGGGTCCACATCTGAAATTTCGTTCAACTTCCAGACCAAACCCAAGGGCACTAAATATGGCAGGCCCTCCATAAAATATCACATAAACGCTGCAAGAGAGCACGGCCAACTTACAGGGTTTTGCTTAAGAAGTTCAGAGCCTCCGAGACCCGTCTTTCTCACATTTTTTTTTCTTTTAAATATCTCTCATAGAAACTCTAGCTGAGTCATTCTCTGGCCTCATTTTAGCTGTTCTAAAATGATTTTAGCTCTTCTAAAATGGTGGCTTTTGTGTGGGGGGGGTAGAAAGCAATATTTCCCACGTTCACGACCTGGACTGTAGTATTTATCTATCCAGCCTTTCATTCACCCATCTGCCATCCATCCACCCACCTGCACTTCCATCCGCCCATTCTATTCATTTACTCTGTCCAACCTTCCATTCATTCCTCCATTGATCCATCAGTTTCAACTCCATCCATCCATCCATCCATCCATCCATCCATCCATCCATCCATCCAGTAAGTACCTACCAAGCATCTCTTTTGTACCAGGTCCAGTGCTAGACTCAGAGGAGCTAGAAATAAATAAGGCTTGGTCCTTGACCTCATAGTGCTCCCAGTCCAGGAGGAGAGGCAGATATGATGGATGGTAGGAAGGCCTTGTTTGTTTATTCCACACATGTTTCATGGTGCCACTGATGTGTCAAGCAGTGTTAGACACTGAGGAGCAAAGATAAAAGAGACAAGGTCCTTGGGACCCCATCCTAGTAAGAAAGACAGAGGTCAGCATGCACTAAGGCAGGAAGCGCTTGTTCAATAATCCTTTGTTCATTCACTGCATGTTTGCTGATGACCCTCATAGGCCAGATCTGGGCTCTGGGGACACCAAGATAGAAAAGACTTGGCCTTAAGCACTTGGAGCACAGTCCAGTGGAAGAAACTGTCCAGTAGAGAATTTCAGCCAAGCATGATATGAGATGCAATTAGGGTGAGAACAGGAGTCCAGAGATGCCAGGAAAGTGGCCAAGGCAGCTTTCTGGAGGGTGTAAGGCCTGGTCTGAGCCTAAAGGATGTGGTGGGGTCCACTCCATTGGGTCCCCTCCCCTGGCTTCCTGCAGAACATGAAGGTCAGACTCAGGGGCTCCAAGGACACCCCTCCCACCCAGCCAGCCAGCCCTTTAGAGGGTCGGGTGGGAGATGGACGGAGCGACCAGGGCGCAAACCCTTTCTCAGGTCAGTGCCCTGGGAAGCTGGCCGGCCAAACCTTGGAGACTGTCCCACAGTGACCAAGGTCCATGGGTGACATTGAGGTTGTTTGTGCAAAAGTGCTCCATTTTTCTAGGCAGTCTTGTTCATAGAAAAAAACAAATAAACCAACCCAGCTCTGTTGACATGACTTATGGTGGGGTGTGGAGGGGGATGAGAACTGCTACCACGCCGGGCACCCTAGAGACATCGGTGCCTGTAGGGGTGGCGGGAGAAGGGCAGAGGCTGGAGACGTGGCAGGGGCCAGATCTTGCAGAGCCTCCTAGGTCTTGACAGGACTTGGGGTCTGATTTGAAAGGCAATGGGGAACATTTGAACTGCTTCAAATGGGTTAAAAAATATGATTCAAAACCTCCAGAGGGCTAATGGTTAATTCATTTGCTCATGCATCCATTCATTCATTCAACCAATACTGAAGCACCTACTCTGTGCCAGGCACTGTTCCAGGTGCTGGGAAGACAAGGGTGAATGCAGCAGACTCAGATCCTGCCTTCTTCGGACCAGAGGCCACGCAGACCCTAAATCAAATAATCACACGATGAAGTCCAAACAGTTGTAAGCCATACCAGGGAAGGATTCTCCAAGGAGCTGACACATAGCAGCTGGCTTAATCCTTCCTTCAACCAACATTTATTGAGCACCTACTATGAGTCAGGCACTGGGCTGAGTGCAGGGATGCAGGGCGAGCCAGACCGATCCAGACCCTGCCCTCGAGGAGCTGCCATTCCAGTGGAGGAGGCGAACCTATCAATGAACCACAAAGTATGAGGGAGGTGTAATCAGGGTACATAGAGGGGCTGTGGGGGCAAGGAGGGCTTCCTGGAGGAAGGGAGATAAGGAGGAGTTAGTTAGGTGAGGGATTGTGCATGGAGGTGAGGGGGGAAGGAAAACGAGGTCTCTTAGGACCTGCTGGGCTGGTGGCAGGATGGGGGCTGTTGGGAGAAGATGCTGCAGCCTTGGGAGGTCAAGATGCATTGGGTGGAGATGCAAGGTTACAAACCCTGCCCTCGAGACAGCTTTGGAGGGCAGATGGCACCTGCAGGGCCCTCCTGTCTCTGTCTTTCTCTCCAGCTCTGTCTCTCCATCTCTGTCTCCTCTTTCTCTGTCTTTCTGTCTCTTCTTTCTCTGTCTTTCTCTGTCCGTCTGTCGCCTCTGTCTCCTCTTTCTCTGTCTTTCTTGTCTCCTCTTTCTCCTCTGTCCATCTGTCACCTCTTTCTCTGTCTCTTCTTTCTCTGTCTCTGTCTCCTCATCGTTTCTCTCAGGCTGCTCCCTGACTTTCTTTCCTCTGCTCCGGTCATCTTTGCAAGATATCAGTAAGAGACAAGAATACGAGGAAAAACCCTGGGCCGGTGGGCAGAGAGCAAGGTCGGGGCACAAGGACAGCTGGGCGCAGGGACAGGCAGTGACTGAATGTTCTGTTTTGGAAAGACAGCTCTGGTCAGGGGCGAAGGTGGCTGACCACGAAACCCGATAACCTGGCCAAACTCTGCTCTAGCCAGTCCTCTGGCTGGCAGCTGTGACCTGGTGGATGCTGCCCAGAATTTTCCTAGAGGGAGGGGGAAGAAGGGGGAAAATGGTCTGTGGGCAGCTTCTTCTCTGTCAAGTGGGACTCACAGGAAGAAATGGAAATAAGTGAATTCTTAAGGGAGACCTCAGTGTGGTTCAGAATAGGAAAGCCCTGCTTGTCTGTTCGTGGTTTGCTAGGTTTTCACAATCCAATAAGTGCTCCCCGTGTGCCAGACTCTGTGCCTGGGATGACATTGCCAACCCTCTCCTGCAGGGTGTTGTGATTTAAGACCATGGACTCTGGAGCCAGACTGCCTGAGTTTGAATCCTGGCTTTGCAAATTACTTGTGACTTTGCACAAGTTACTTAACCTCTTTCTTTTTTCTTTTTCATTTATTTATTTATTTATTTACTTTTTTTTTTTCTTTTTTGAGACTGAGTCTTGCTCTGTCGCCCATGCTAGAGTGCAGTGGCACAATCTCAGCTCACTGCAACCTCCGCCTCCCGGGTTCAAGTGATTCTCCTGCCTCAGCCTCCCGAGTAGCTGGGACTACAGAAGCCTGCCACCATGCCCAGCTAATTTTTGTATTTTTAGTAGAGACAGGATTTTGCCATGTTGGTTGGTCAGGCTGGTCTTGAACTCCTGATCTCAGGTGATCCACCTGCCTTGGCCTCCCAAAGTACTGGGATTATAGGCATGAGCCACCGCACCTGGCCAACCTCTTTCTTTTTTTTAAATTTTACTTTGAGACAAGGCTGGAATGCAGTGGCACAATCACAGCTCACTGCAGCCTTGACCTCCTGGGCTCAAGCAATCCTCCCACTTCAGCGTCCCAAGCAGCTGGGACTATAGGTATGATCCAGCACACCCAGCTAATTTTTTGTTTTTTGTAGAGATGGGGGTCTTGCTATGTTCCCCAGGCTGGTCTCGAACACCTGGCCTCCCAAAGTGCTGGGACTACAAGCCTAAGCCACTGCTCCTGCCCCTTAACCTCTTTCTTTATGGGTAAAATGGGAAGGAAATATCATCTCTCCCACACATTTGAGGTAGATACTAATATTAGTTAATATATGTGAAGTGTCTGGAATAACGCATGGCATGTAATAAATGCTCCACAAAACACAAGCTGTTATTAGTTTAGTTCTGCAATTAGTTCTGTGAATGCTGAGGAGGCAGAGGGAGTGAAATTCAAATGCTAGCTCCATCCCTTCTTAGCTCTAGGACCTTGGTGAAATCTCGTAGCTTCTCTAGGTGTCCGTTTTTCTTACCTGTTAAGCAAAGATGATCTTAGTACTCGCCTTGCCAGGTGGTTGAGAGGGTCTATGTCTTTGTAAAGTGCATGGGTGCATGGAAATAATTCACTTTATGGGGGAAGAAAATAAGTCCCAAAGAAGTTTATTTCTTTATTTCCATACGTCCAGCAGGCCCTGAGCACCTCCTGTGTGCCAGGTCCCCAGAATGCCTACAACAAGCTGGGGCCTGTGCTCTTTCTGTCCTGGAAGACAGCAGAGGGCAAGGTGGAGATAGTGCATGCCCCCTTGGCGCTCACCTTTAGTCCTGACCAGCTCTGTGAGATGGGGTGGCAGGTATGACCACCCCGTGTCACAGAGATGGAAACTGAGATCCAGAGAAGTGAAGAAGCTGCCAGGACACAAGGTTCATGTGCACCTGCTCCTCTGAGCGGCTTCTCTGAACTTCTGTAACAACCCCACCACTGTCTATCTCATCAAAGCCACCTAGGGCCTCCATCTTTCTCACCCTCCACTCTGTGTTCCTATCTCGGTCTCTCCAGCACCTGGCCCAGAGCTGGCCTCAGACATGTTGATTGTGCCAGACAAAATCTACGAGCCCTGAGAGCGGGAATCCGTGCAGCTGTGCAATGTGTCACTTCTCCTGTCCTCCTTCTGCTTCCAGCAAGAAGAAAATGCAGTGCGGCCATTGACCCCTGAGCACCCCCCTCACCACCAAGGCAGGAAGCGGGTGACAAGCACAGGCAGTGTGGAGGAGGGGACAGAATGGGGTCTGGAGTCCCAGAGTTCCACATTCTCAGTCCTGGCTGTAACTGTGGACATGGCTTTTCCCCTCTCTGAGCCTTGGTTTTCTTATCTGTAGAATGGGTACAATCCTTGTGATACCCCTTCTGTTGATATGCAGAATAGAGGAAGCCTGGGTATAGAACTAGGCACAGGAGAGGTACTCAGAAAACGGCAACTGTTTCTTTTATGTGGAAGGGGTGGCTGAAGCCCTCTCCCCTCACCCAATCTCTCAAGCCCAGTTTGACTCCTCATAGCCAAGGGTGAGATAGTAAGTGTAGTGGTTAACAGCATGAGGCCTAGGCCTGACTGCCTGGGATCATATCCTGCCTCTACCACTTGGAGCTGTGTGATCCTGGACAAGTGACTTAACCTCTCTGGGCCTTTTTTCTCCATTTATGAAATAAGTGTAATAAGAGTCCCCAGCTCCTGGAACTGCTGTGATGATCAGATGAGTTCACAAAGTTTAAGTAAAGGGCTAGGATCCTGCCAGGCACATGAGTGCTATAGAAGCGTTTGTTGCTCTTCAGGAATCGAGGGGAGGAGGGACCTGGTGGCTCCTGCAAAATTTACAAGGGACTCAGGGACAGGGATGGGAAGGAGGAGCTGGAGAAGAATCCTGATGTGAATCAGCAGGGAATTTCATAAAGCAAAGCCCACTGTATTGAGGATGACCTTCACACAGGATCCGGTGCCCCCCGGGGAAGGGCCGCCGCCTCACTCCCATCCTTCCCAGAGCCCAGCTTGGTGCTTGGTCATCTCTGTAAGGCAGAAGCTCCATCCTTCCGGCTGCTCTATCTGGAACCTTGGAGCCATCCTTGGCTTTTATTTTTAGATTTTAAGTTCCGGGGTACATATGCAGGCCGTGCAGGTTTGTCACATAGGTGAACATGTGCCATCGCGGTTTGCTGCACCCATCAACCCATCCCCTAGCTATTAAGCTCGGCAAGCATTCGCTATTTATCATGATGCTCTCCCTCCCCACCCCCACAACAGGCCCCAGTGTTGTTCCCCTCCCTGTGTCCATGTGTTCTCATCGTTCAGCTCCCACTTATAAGTGAGAACATGCAGTGTTTGGTTTTCTGTTCCTGTGTTAGCAGAAACCCAAACATCCTTGGCTTCTTGATTTCTATTGATCGCATCTAGTCCAGCAGCATATGCCCCAGCAGCTCCACCTTAGAACAGATCAGGAGTCCAAGATCCGTTCTCCCCGCCTCTTCACCTCCACAGCCACCCCTTGGGCCCATTCACCATTCTCTTCTGCATGAACCACTGCAGTCACCCTGACTGTCCCCTTCCCCCTGGCTCCTGACAGCCCATCCTCTACACCCAGCTGGAGAGATTCTTTCAGAAACGAAGTCAGACTGTGCCCTCTTCTGTTCAGAACCCTCCATGGCTCTCACCTACCCCAGAGGAAAGCTAAGTCTTTCCTTCGACGTGCAAGGTTCTATGGGCGCTGCCCTTCACCCCTCTGAACTCACTTCCTCCCACGCTGCCCCTCACTCATTCTGCTGCAGCCACACTGGCCTCTTCTCTGCCATCCTCGCTCATGCCAGGCACGGTCCGGCCTCGGGCCTTTGCACTTGCTGTTTCCTCTACCAAGAATGCCCTTCCTCTGGAAATCCCCATTGCCCAATCCCTCATCTCTTTCAAGCCGTACTCAAATATTTGCTCAGTGAGACCTTTCCTGCCCTGCACCCCCACTCCCTATTTAGATTTATTCCTCTCTGATGTTCCCCTCCTCCTTCCCCGGCTTATTTTTCTCCTTAGTACTCACTGCCATTGGAAACATGATCTATTTAATTTACCTGTGAAGGCTGATGCCCCCTTCCTCCCCCATTCCGTAATGTCAGCTCCACGCTGACGGGGACATGTGTGTTCTATTCACTGTTGCATCCTAATACATTCAGGTGATGGATGATACGAGTCTAGTGTGTTACCTTGGACACTGATGGAGGCAAGACTGTTAGGGTGAGGGTGGAAGCAGGAGACCAGGAAGGAGGCTCCTGCAGGGGTCAGGTGAGAGAGGTGGGGCTGGGCCAGGGCAGGGAGGGGCGGCTGTGTTTGGATGGAGCAGCAAGCACCAGGTGTGGGGGTGAGAGAAAAAGAGGAGTTGAGGATGATGCCCTGGTATCCGCCCTGAGCATCTGGAAGGATGGGCTGCCCTTGACGGAGACAAGCTGTGGTGGGAGAGCGGGTTTCGATCCTGGACAAGTTCCATGGGAGCTGCCTCCTGAGGCTTGCTAAGGCCAAACGCTGTGCCAGGGACTCGGGAACAGCGGCGTGACACAGAGCCTGCCTTCTTGTCACTCTTGTCTCATGGATTGGCATGGCAGCATTGCCACTTGCTGGGAAACACTGAGCCAGTGGCACCACTCCTGAGCCTCAGTTTCCCCATCTGGATGACAGTCCCTCCCTCCCAAGGCCTGTGTGCAGCTCCATGAGCTCATGCCTCTGACGTGCCTGGCATCCAGTGGGCGCTCCAGCAGAGCTTGTTCCTTCCCTGTCCAGCCCCCATGCTGGCTGTCCCCCAGGAGACTGTGCTGGGAGCGTTATTTTTAAGCCTGGCTCCAGCGGGCTGGGCCATGGTTCTGAAGGCCGTGGGGAGACCACAGTGCTAGCAGCATCCCGGCTTTCTTGATGCCAGGAGACCGCGGCGTGGAAACATCAGAGGAGGCCGCCCTGTGTCCATGCCCTGCCTGGTAACCCTTTATGTGAAATTATGTCATGTCACCCCATGCTGTTTATAAACATCTCTGACCTTTCCCAAGCAGGGCTGTGGGGGAGGGGGCTGCACCTACTCCTCCCACTCCCCACCCCCGCACGCCAGGACCTGCTAGTGACCCCTCCCATTAGCCCACATCACACAGAGCAAAGTGGGTGCACTGGCCTCCAGCCAGCGTTGGCCTGGTTGTTTCAACACCTCCAAGCACCTCGCAGCTGACCAGCCCTGGGGTATTTTTAAACCCTGGCCTCGGCCAACCTCTTTGTCACATTCCGGTCGGGGCTTGAGTTTAGTGCGTGCCCCAATTCGGATAGCTGGGTGGGGGCTGGCATTCACTGGACAACAAACATTTCATCTAGTTCCAGAACCTGTGGACCTACTATGTACCAGGAGTGGGGACCCCGGGGGGCTCCCTCACAGAGCCTGTCCCCAAGGTGCTCACTGTCTGGCAGGGACACTGTGACGGGCCCACACTGTGACAAGTGCTAAGATGGAGGCGAAGATGGCAGTTGCAACTTAAATATCCGCAGGCCCAGCAGGTTACGTGAACGAATGAAGTGGGCGTGGTGTGAGACTGCGGGTAGGGGTGGGGCCTGCGGAAACTGGCGAGCCCATGCCCAGTCTGAAGGGGCTGGCTGCGCGCCCCTCCGCTCCAGCCTCTGTTGTCATAAGGGAGTCGGGTCCAGAGCTTCTGATTTTCCAGGAGAAGCTACACATCTAGGTTTATGTGAGATTTCATAAAAAAAAAAAACAAAACCCTTGACTTTTAAACGTTGGCAATAAATTTTGTAAAAATGTCCAAAACATTCTGAGAGCCAAATGACACCTGCTTGTGGGCTGGACTCAGCCCATGAAGTCAAGTTGAGGCAAACAGTTTGTGCTCTCTGATGCAAACAGGTGCACTATAAAATAGTCAACAAATGCGGCCTGAACACCTACCCTGAGCTCCTTCTACTGTTCCAGGCCCCAGGAAACGGCCGGGAACAATGTGGAAACATCCTTGCCCTCGTGTCGCTTTCAACCAGTGGGGTTGCTGGCACCACCTCCTACTGGCTCACGAATTCTGCAAGCTAGTTGTCACACACAGCCATCGCTAAGAATTAAATTGCACGAACTTCCAGTTAAATAAGTTACAACAAAAACAAAGGTAACAACTGCTCACAGATCACCACTTTCTCACCATTTCACTGTTCTCTGTGTTGTTGAAGTGATTGACGTCTGTTGTGTTGTATCATATCATATGCCATATCCCACGGTGGAAATAGTACAACAAGTTCTTCCCAATGCCATGCTCAGTAAGTCACACTGGTAGCTCCAAATGGACCATGGTGGGACTATTTACACCACCGAAATGGATACATGTAAAAATCAGGGCTCCCCCTTGTTGAGAAGGTGTCATTAAACATTTAGCAGTAAACCAGATTTTTTTTTCTTTTTTCTTTCTTTCTTTTTTTTTTTTTTGAGATGGAGCCTCAGTCTTGTGGCCCAGGCTGGACTGCAATGGCGCCGTCTCAGCTCACTGCAACCTTCGCCTCAGGGTTCAAGCGATTCTCCTCCCTTAGCCTCCCGAGTAGCTGGGATTATAGGCACAAGCCACAAAGCCTGGCTAATTATTTGTATTTTTAGTAGAGACGGGGTTTCGCCATGTTGGCCAGGCTGGTCTCGAACTCCTGACCTCAGGTGATCCACCCGCCTCGGCCTCCCAAAGTGCTGGTATTAGGCGTGAGCCACTGCGCCCAGCTGGTTTGTCTTTTGAAATATTTCCTCTGACTGTGTGGATTGAGTGGAGCAAAGCTGGAAGCCAGGAGACCAGGGAGGAGGAGCTCACTGCCACGGTTCAGGTGGGCAAGGACAGTGGCAAGCCTGCACCTCGGTGGTAGCTGTGAAAGTGGCAACAAGGGCATGGATTTGGGATGTATTTGGCAGTCAAGTCAGCAAGATTTGGGATGTGTGGGGTGAGGGAAACAGGAACCAAGGGGCCACCAGGACCTGGTCTGAACAGGGCAGCACTGTTTCCTGAGCTGGGAAGACAGGTGGGCAGGGCTGGGGTTTCAGGAGGGAAATAAATGGAGTATTCCGCTTTGTGAAGTTAGGGGCCTGCGTGAAACCTACATGGAGGTGTCAGCTCACCAGCTGGGCTTTGTAGTCTAGAGTACAACGTAGTTCTGGAAGCAATGTCCCTCTGTCGCAGTGGCAACCCCAAGTAGGGGGCTGGGGGGATTCTGGGAGGGCCTCACAGTGTAGGAGTCCTGAAGTACCAGGAGAAGAAGCACGTGGTAAGAGAACCATGGAGGAAAGGTGGTCCAGGAGGAGGGCACAGCAGGGCCAAAGGCCTGGAAGCAGGGCAAAGCACGTTCTTTTTGGAGGGGATCCAGTGGTGGGAAAGAAGGCTACAAAGGCAGAGGATAGATCACAAAAGGCTGCTTCTTTCAGCCAAAGGAGGCTGCAATGTACCCTCAGGGCACTGCGTTGAATTGTAAGCAGGTGCAGGCCAGGAGGGCACTTTACCAAGGAAACACTGCATTGACTTTGGGCCTTGAGGTGCCCCGGCATGCGAGCCTCTGCCCTCCCCTGCCCGCCAGGCCCCCAGCACCCACCCCAGCATACACAGCATAGCGGCCTCCAAGTTAGCCCAGAGCCTTTGCCAACCCAGCCAGTTTCTTGCAGATTTCTTGCCGATGAACCAGGAAAACAAAATAACCCCAATGGCAGGAAGAAGGGTCAAGGGAATATTCAGGGATGTTGGTGTCTGAATTTCCATCAACAGGAAGGCCCAGGAGGTTACCTTCTGGGACAGGGGGTGACTGAGGGGTGCACGATACGGCGTGGACTTAGGTGTTGACGGGGTCTTTGTAACCAGTCCTTGTGGGAGGGAAAGGAGGGCGTGAGGCACAGCTCTGCAGCCTGGCCCTGTCCTCTCTTAGGGCCGGAGTTCAAAGGCGGGTTTTTCTGCCACGCATCCAGCGGGTTTTTCTGCCACACATCTGCTGGGTGATATCGGGCAAATCATTCCTCTTTGTGAACTGTTTTCTTATCTGTAAAAGGGAACGATAATGGCACCTGTAAGTGCATCATTCACCTTCCCCCAGGAATCGTTGGGGGGGGTGAAGTGAGATTTTTTAAAATGTCAATAATTTAGCCCACTGCCTCACACCTGCTAAACTCCCAATAAATGTCAGCTGTCAATCATTATTTGCAAAGTTATTATTCATTATTGAGTACTTACTGTATGCCAGGCTTTGAGCTGTGGGGGCTATCTAATTCAAGCTTCATTCCCTCCCCGTGAGTAAGGATTGTTATTATTTCACAGGCAGGGAAACGGAGCTTCCAGGAGTTGGCCTGGCTTGCCCACGGTAAATTTGCTAGCAGAGGACACAGCGGGGGTTTGAACTCAAGTCTAACCTCAAAACCTGTTGTCATACTCATTCTGTGTTCTGCCTGCCTATGAATTAATCAGGCTCCAGAATTTTGGGAAATAGTTGTAGTCTGTGTGACCCCCCCCCAAAATCTATCCACACTCGTGGGGACCCTTGCTCTTCCTGGAGCCAGCCAGCTCAGGCTACACCCTTGACATGGGGTGTAGCAGATGGTTGCTGTCCCAAGGCAGCCAAGGGCCTGGAGAAGCAGAACCACCCTGGGCCAGCCTGGGGCCTTCCTCTTGAATCAGGAGTCCAGCTGGGCACCCGTGTCCCATCAATAAACGTGCCCAAAAATAGCTTGCTGGGCCCCACCAGGGCAGGAGGACCAGGACGTCCTGTTCCCGCAGGCTCTGGCCAGAGACTGACCGTGTACTTGGCCTTCCTGGTCAGAGGCTGCTGGAAGGGAGGGCAGAGCTCACCCTGCCCGGGGCCTTGTGGGAGTGAGCTGTGCCCCTGGGCACCGACACCCCCGACCTCAGACATTGTGGAGCTTCTGAAATGTGCTGCTGGCGAGGCAGATGACTGTATGTGGAGCTGGGCCAACATCTTAGTAGACAGGCTGCCGGGGAGAGAAGGAGCACAGGCTCTGGAGTCTGACAGGTGTGGGTTTGAATCCCAGTTCGGACATTTCATAGCTGTGTGACTTTAGGCAAGTCCTTCTCTCTGAGCCTTGGTTTTTCTCACCTGAAAAATAGGGGAAAACCTTTCATAAGGTTATTATTGTGATTCAGGGAGTTTATGTGTACAAAGAATAGTTTGTAGACTTTGCCGGTTTCTTTATGATCGTCTCCACTCCCCACCCGCAAGATGTTAAGCCCAGCAGGGAGTGCAAGGACCTTTGTCTGTTATTTCTGAAGATCTCCAATGCACACAAGATGTGTTCAGGCTACTTGCTGAATGAATAAATGAATGAAAGTATCAGGCACATAGCAAGTGCTCAAAAACTCTCAGCAATTCGTATTGTTAACGTGCTTGAAAAAGAGGAACTTGGGCATTGAGAGTGACTGACAAATCGTATTGGTGAAGATGAGGAAGGAGCTCAAGGGAGCGGGGGAAGGACACGTGTCATACACAAAAGGACAGGAGGGACACGGAGAGCAAACACCGGGCAGAGGGCTAAGCTGCCTGAAGCTGGGAACCCCAGGGAGTGTAGACGCCGGCCTGGATCCCGGGTCTGGGATGGCAGACATGAAACTTCTTGGGAAGACATCCCTCCCCACAGGCAGGGGGTCCTCACTGGTCTCACACGGGTTGTCCCCATGAACTTGTGGGAGCTTCACGGCTTCTGCATCTGAGGAGCTGATTGGAAGGGGAGGTGGCGTGCAGGCTGACAACGCGATGCTTCGTATTCATCATAATCACAGCAACAAGACCGACTCACACCAATGCAGCCCTTCCCGATGCCAGGCGCTGACCTTCACACGCAGTGACGCGTCGCATCCTCAGAACCACCCCAGGAGGTACCCTGCTATCCTATTCCCATTTTACAGATGCGGACACTGAGGCTCAGAAAAGCGGTGAAGTTTGCCCAAGGTCACACAGTAAGTGGCCGAGCCCAGGCCGACCTCTTGACGTTTCCACTCTCTCCAGCACTCCAGCCACCTGTGACCACATCCACCTCTCCAAGCACACGGGCTTCCTCTCACCGGGGCCTTCCTGGGCGGATCCTCCTTGCGGCACTCAGCTCAGCTGTTCAAGGATGCCAGCGTCAGCTTCCTTGGGCTTCTCCTCAGATGGCCCTGCCTCAGGGAGCTTCCCCCGACCTCCCCCTGCCCCCAGGCCCCTGCCGTCCCTCACTGGGCTGTGACAGCCTAGGCACTCATCTGTTTCCACAATCTTTTATTGTTGTTGTTGTTGTTTTGAGACAGAGTCTTGCTCTGTCGCCCAGGCTGGAGTGCAATGGCGCGATCTCAACTCACTGCAACCTCCGCCTCCCAGGTGCAAGTGATTCCTGAGTAGCTGGGATTACAGGCGCCCACTGCCACGCCCGGCTAATTTTGTATTTTTAGTAGAGACAGGGTTTCGCCATGTTGGCCAGGCTGATCTCGAACTCGTGACCTCAGGTGATCCGCCTGCCTCGGCCTCCCAAAGTGCTGGGATTACAGGCGTGAGCCACCACACCCGGCCTGTCTCCACCATCTTAAGTACAGTGGAGGGGTCTGCATTTTTTCTGGAAACCAGGTGTCCGGCAGAGAGTGGGCACTGCTGGAAACTGTTTTGCAAAATAAACACACTTGTGGGTACAAACTGTGTACCAGGAGGAGCCACGACCCTCAGATCTCTCGGGTCCAGGATTGTACCCAGGACAGGCAGTGTATGGAGGGGAGGCCATGATCACTGAGTCTCTGGCCACTCCCTGGGGCCCTGAGTGTTATTCCCTGGTCTGCTCATATATACAGGCAGCACGGCCCCATGGTTAGCATCCAGGCTCCAAGACCCAACCACGTGGGTTCAAATCCCAGCTAGCTACCAGCCTGCCAGGGGATCCTGGGCAAGTGACTTAATCTTTTGGGCCTCAGTTTACCTATCAGAAAAATAGGGCAAGTGATAGGATTGTCGTGAGCATTAAGTGAATTTTCGAAGTTATTATTTATTTATTTTAGAAACAGAGTCTCACTCTGTCACCCCGGTTGGAGTGCAGTGGCTTGATCATAGCTCACTGCAGCCTCCCAACTCCTGAGCTCAAGCGATCTGCCTGCCTTAGCCCACTGAATAGCTGGGACTACAGGTGCACACCACCATGCCTGGCTAATTTTTAATTTTTTTGGAGAGATGAGGTCTCACTCTGTTGCCCAGTCAGGTCTCAAACTCCTAGCCTTAGGCGATCTTTCTACCTCAGCCTCCCAAGGTGCTGGAATTACAGGCAAGAGCCACTGCATCTGGCCTAAATAATTTTTTGTGTGTGTTTTTTTGAGTCTGGGTCTCACTCACTCTGTCACCCAGGCTGGAGTGCAGTGGTGATATCTCAGCTCACTGCAGCCTCAACCTCCAGGGCTCAAGCAATCCTTTCCATCTCTGCCTCCTGAGTAGCTGGGACTATAGGTACATGCCACCACACATGGCAAATTTTTTATTTTTTGTAGGGATTGGGGGTCTTGCTATGTTGCCCAGGCTGGTCTTGAACTCCTGGCCTCAAGCGATTCTCCCACCTTGCCTCCTAAAGCACTGGGATGAGTGTGAGCCACTGCACCTGGCCTAAATGAGTTTAATACGTAGTTAATATCTGGCTCTTGCCAAGTGCTTCATCAGTGCTAGTGGACATTATTGTTTTAATCATTACTGTTATTATTATTAGGGAAGGCAGATTGTGTAGGATCCTAAGTAGGAAGTTTCGTCTTTATCTTGGGCAGCAGTGGGCAGATTCAAAAGCCTGCTCTGAGTTGGTTTCAGTGACAGTGAGAGAAGTGAGAGGAAGTAAGAGGGCGATGCTAACCATGGTGGCGTCTAGCGCGTGAGCTGTCAGGGCTCTGCCCCACACCTTACCTGTGCCATCGACTTCACCCCCACACACAGCCCCCACCTAACAGAAGTCTCTGCTCACCCCCTTTTCAGACGGGAAAACCCAGGCTCAGTACTATGTCACCTGCCCCAGGGCATATAGCCAGGGAGTGGCCAAGCCTGGGTTCAAACCCTGGGATGTTTCCTATTGCTGCTGTAACAGATTACACCAAACTGAAAATGACACACTTTCATGACCTTACTGTTCTGAAAGTCAGAAAGCCAAAGTGGGTCTTACGAGGGGAAAATCAAGGTGCAGGCAGTATGGAGTTCCTTCTGGAGGCTTCAGGGGAGAATCCATGCCTTGTCTTGAGGCCAATGGCACTCACTGGCTTGCACCGCTCCCACCTCTGCTCCCACTGGAGTCGAAGTGGGCCCTCTGGGCCTGACCCTCCCGCCTCCCTCTCATAAGGCCCCTGGTGACTGCCTTGGGTCCACTGGATAAGCCAGGCTCATCTTCCCATCTCAAGACCCTGAATTGAATCACACCTACAAAGTCCCTTTGCCATGTAAGGTCACATGTTCACAGGCTCTGGGGATTAGGAGGTGGGCACCTTTGGGGGGTCATTATTCTGTCTACTGGACACCTAGAGTTTGGCTCCAATCCTGCCTTTTTGGCTTTCCCTGGGAGTGCCCGGGCTGAGGGTGAACGGAGGAGGCACCGCACGGTGGCGGGGGAGCGAGTGGCCTGGTCTCCGGGCAGGCCTGGGCCTTTATGTAAGGAGGCTGTAAGCCTGGGAGAGTAGGCCCAGGGTTGAGTGAGGACCACCAGGTCAGAGCGAGGGGAGTGAAGAGGCCTAGGACGAAGCTCCTGCTGACCAGAGCCAGAAAAAAGCAGGCCTGGTGGCCAGAGAGGCCGACTTTCCGAAAGAAGCTGGAAATTCTGGGTTTTATACGAAATCGCCAATTTTTAAATGTTGGCAAATGATTCAAAATGATGAAGGAAACCCATGCAGTGCAGGTTATACAAAACCACACAGTGCAGGTCATAACGGAACTCGTCTGAAGCCAGACGAGGCCTGCAGGTGGCAAGCTGGTGGCCTTCAGCCTACCAGGGAGAGAGGGGAAGGCCAGTCCCTGCAGAGGTCAGTGAGCGTCTGGAACACTCGTGGAAGGAGGAGCTCCTTCCACCTGAGGAGCTCCTTGTGCCTGCTCTGCTGGGTGGGGGAAGCCTGGGCAGGGTGTGTTCAGGTGGGGGACAGCAGGCTTCCCCGAGGGGAAGGCCCAGAGCAAGTAGGGGTGCAGACCAGGCTCAGCTCAGCCCCAGTTCCAGCTCTGCCTTCAGGCAGGCAGGGGGCTGTGAGGCCTCGGGCAAGTTACCTGGCCTCTCTGGGCCTCCCTTTGCTCTCAGTGGAGGTTGACTCCACAGAGTATCCAGGCTCATGCATTCATTGAACAAATACTTGCTCTATGCCAGGCCCTGGGGACTTGCGAATGTGCGAAGCAGAGCGAGGCCCTGCCTCCAGGGTAGGTGGACGGGGCGTGGATGTGGAATTGAGCCTGGACTTCCTAAGAAAGGAGTCAAGAGCAGTCAGTTCTTTCCCTGCTGACAACCGCTTCCACAGCCTCATCCTGGAAGTAGCTGTGGTTTGTGACTTTTGTTCATTCATTGAGCACCAGCAGAATGCCATGTGTTCTATCCTCAAAACCTACAGGGTTGGTGTTATTATGGCCTCATTTTACAGGTGGAGAAACTGAGGCCAGGCACACAGGTCACACAGCCAGGAGGAGGCAGGGGTGGGAGGGACCCCTCACCTCTGCCTCTTCTCCCAGGCCCTCTGCCTTAGCTCTGAGCTATTTAGCAGAGGTCCTGGGGAAGCTCTTAGAGCCATCAGCTAGGGCCTACCTGGGGGGAATGTGGAAGGAATGTCTTCTGTGTATGCTAAACTTTGTCCTGAATTTACCTCCTGTCAACTTCAAGCAGACCCGGTGCCTGACCTTGGCCACTGCATGGCCCTTGGTGCCTTTAGAGATTTCAAACTGATCCTCTTTCATCTTTCCGGACATGAGGCCTGAGCATTTTTTTTTTTTTGTCTCTCCTCCTGAGGCCATCCTGGGACTCCCTAAGCCATTTTATAATCACAGTGTCCAAGCACAAGCACCTGCTATGTATGCGCCAGGCACCCGATGGGCACAACCTCAGTTAACCTTTAACAATCCCATGAGCCCAGTGCCAGGGCTGATGAGAAACTGAAGTTCGACAGGGCCGAGTCACTTGCCCAAAGTCACACAACCATAAACGAATGGGTTCAAAGCTATACCATTACCCACCGTGCCACACGGCTTCTCTCCACCAACCACTGGGGGGTGGGAGGGGTGGTTCTGCTCTGCGCCGAGAACTTCACCAGCCTTCTGCTTAATTCATTGCCAAGACAAATCCCTGAGCATTTTGTTTTCCTGCAAGTCCCCAGTGTGGGGGCTTCTTCCTGGGATGGGGGACTGGGTTTCTAATGTATTCGGAAGCCGCTTTCTAAGACCCTTTTCTTGTCTCCAAACCCGCCCAATTGTTTTGTGTGGGGTTCCACAGTGGGGAAGTTCTCTCCATCTTTTCTCCCATGGTTGGGAAGGCGAGAAGGGCATTAACGGTGCATGCTGACAGTAGGGTGCAGGGGAGGGCTTTGGCGTCCTGGATTCCAAATGCCAAGGGAAGGCCTGGTCAGGAGGGTGGAGTTGCCCAGTTAGAACTTGGCTGGTTCTTATCAGCTCTGGAGCTCTGTGCCGGGCAGGCGCTGGAATCAAAGGAGGCCAGGCCTGTTTATTTACTTTCTCCCCTCCTTTTTGGCAAAAGGAGATCAAAGGTAAAAGCAAATGCTCCGCTCTGCACCCCTCCTCCCTTCGTTTCTTCCTTTTTCTTTCCTCCCTTAGAAGCCTGAGAACTAAAAGCCGTAGATGTAAAGGGAGGGTTTTGTCATCACCACTGTTTCCCTGGCACCGACACTGCACTGGGCCCCGGGCTAAGAATTTTGCAGAATGGCACAAATCTCTGCAACTAACATGATGTGTGACAGCTCTTATTATCCCCATGTGGCAGAGGAGGAAACTGAGGCACTGAGCGGGGAAGTCGCTCTTCACAGGTTGCTCAAGCCTCTCTAGCTTCTAGCTCCATGCTCTTTTTCTTTCTTTCTTTTTTCTTTTTTAGAGGCAGGGTCTCGCTCTGTCACCCAGGCTGGTCTTGAACTCCTGGCCTCAGGCATTCCTCCCACCTTAGCCTTCCAAAGCATTGGAATTGCAGGCCTGAGCCACCGCGCCCGGCCCAGGTGGACCAACTTAATCATGCTCTTAATCATGCCTGAAGCCACATCCCTCCTCTAAATACACATTTCCACTATGCAAAATGAGAACAGTACAAAGGTGGCTAACAGCAGAAATCCAACTTCAAAGGTTCCCTGAGTCCTTCTGTTGTGTAGTGAGTTCAGAGGCTACGAACACCCAAGCAAGACACACAGATGATTGAAGGCAGTCAGGTGGGATGCAGTAGGGAATGGTGGAGACTGTGGTGAAGTGGAGAGTCCCCGAGATGCAACTCAGCATCAATCCATTGCTGCCTTGCAAAAATAAGGGCCCAGTGTGGTCGGGACTTTTGGACAAGCCAGGTGTTTTATGTGAACTCCCTGGATTTGTAGTAGAAGATGGGAGTCCATTTTTGTTTTTTGCTGATAGTGGGCTCGGCTGGGGTCCTGGATTAAATATTCCATTTTCCCAGTGAGTTGAAATATTATCTTTGTCCTGATCCTTCTCATTGTTCTTTCATTTTGTACTTTTTTCTTTGTGAACTCAAAGATTGTTTTATCCAACTAAAAAAACCTTGTGGGTCGCTACTTTAAATTGCATTAAGTTTTATGTATGTTGGCAGAATGGTCATCTTAAGGATGTGAAATCTTCCCATCCAATTATTCTCATCTTATTTGGTGCCCTTTGGGAGGATTTTCAAAGTTTTCTTCCAAAATATCTTGATTTTTAAAATAATGCCAAAATTCCAAGCTGTTTGAACTGCATGGGCCAAGCAACATCTCCTGGGGGCTGTGTTTGGCCCAGGGGATCCCTGTTGCTCCCTGAGATTCAGGGCAGCCTCACCCCATGGGGGAGACTGAACACGCTGTCATTCAAAGATAACCCTGTCCCAGGCGGGAAGATCTCCAGCGCCAGAGAACTGGGGGCAGACTGGGCTGGGAAACTCTGGGATGTTCGCTGCTTGACCCACTCTGTGGGAAGCCAGTGTGCCCACTTCCTTCACACTCAGCCAGATAAGCCCGCCGAGGCTGTGCCTTCCTGCTGAGGCTCCTGCCAGCTCATTTTTGACCAGCACTTAAAACAACAATTAAAAACAACTCATATGGTGTGCTTTGCTTTTGAAAAAGCAAAGCAATTTTTTCACTTTGTATTTTTATTTTTGAGACAAGGTCTAGCTGTCACCAAGGCTGGAGTGCAGTGGCATGATTACGGCTCACTGCAGCCTCGACCTCTTGGGTTCAAGCAGTCCTCCCACTTCAGCCTCCGGAGTAGCTGGAACTACAGGCAGGTATCACCACGCCCTGCTAATACTTTAATTTTTTTTTTTTTATAGAGATAGGGTCTCACTATGTTGCCCAGATGGGTGTTGAACTCCTAGACTCAAGCGATCCTCCCGCCTCATCCACCCAAAGTGCTGGGATTACAGGTGTGAGCCACCTTGCCCAGTGTGCAAAGTACATTTTTTAAAAATAAGAAAACACCTTCCGTTGGTCCAGGAATATGTATTGAGATCCACTAGTGCCAGGCACTGGGCAAGGCTCTGGGGACGGGGTGAAGTTCCTGCTTTCCTGGGTCTGAAGCTCTAGCGGGGAACACAGGCGATAAGCCCAGAAACAGATGAAAAAATACGGCGCATTCCAGCGACGGTCAGGGCAGAAAGAGATAAGGTGAGTGGAATAAGAGGGACCGGAGGGCCACCTTAGGCAAGAGCTTGGGGACGACCTCTCAGCAGAGGTGACATTTTGCCGAGACGGGAATGACGAGAAGGAGACAGCGGTGGGACTCCTGTCTCAATGGTCACTCTGATACTCAGGAAAGCACTGTGGCTTTTGGGCATTTAACCGGCCAAACTTTTTTGCCTAATTATATTTTTATATTTTGTTATTTATTTATTTAATTTATATATTACATGTTTGCATTTTCTAAAAACCAAAAGTAGCCATGCAGTGTTTTATAACTGCCTATTTTTCCTACTTGAAGCCTCAGTTTCCCCATGTGTCAACTGGAGATGTTCTCAGTAGCCACCCCACGTGAAGGCAAAACACAGGCCGATGTGAGGATTTGCTAAGGAAATGACCTATGGAACACAATTGATCCAAAGATGAGCAATTATTGGTATATTTTTATTATCATTTTATTATTATTTTTATGAGTCCCAAGAGGTGGAGATTGGCATTTCCATTTTGCAGGTGAGATTTTTCAGCCTCAGAGAGTCACACATCAAAGGCTGAGATGCGAGCAGTTGGACAGAGGGCAGGACGGCATTCCTCTGACCCCCCAGCCTGAATACAGTGAAACCTCAGCCAGATAGAGCCCCTTTTTCTTGGGAGAGGAAGTCGAGGCTGAAACCAGCTGCTTCTTTTTGGTCGTTTTTTTCCCTTTCTGCGATGTTTGTTTTTGTGAACATCGTACTTATCTGATGTCACAGGTTTTGGGAACCTAAACCACAGACATAAATACATTGTGTTGTGCTTTGAAGGATTGTGCAGCGAGATAAGTGAGTTTGGTGATGGGGGGATACAGCGTGCATGGACGCAGGGCTTTTTTTTTTTTTTTTTTGCAGAACTAAGAACGTCAATGTTTGTTCTCGGGTTCAAAGAAGTCAGCGTCTTTGGCGGGAGCTGGGCCACCATCGCCCGGACCACGCTGGGGTGCTAAGTGCTCACATCCTCCCCAGCACTGTCCTCAACAGCCAAGAGGCAGGCACAGGGGAAAACCCACCAGCAACACCAGCACCACAGCGTCCACACCCGCCGAGGATGCTGCACAAAAGGCCCATGGACCAGGGTGCCTGGGGGCAGGGCATGCTGGGCACCGTCCATCTTCTGGCAGCTTCTGGTTAACCCGAAAATCCTGTTTGGTTTTCCTGTGTCTTTTGAGAATGTCACTCAAACCCCTGAATCCTCTCTGTGATCTAAGTGTCATGAGGCCTGCAAAACCTCGCTTCCTGCAGCAGACTTCTCCGCTTCCTGGCCCCCATGAAGACTGTTATCCACAAGTAGCCAGAGGGATTCTGTAAAAATCAAAGTCAGGGCAGGGCCCTCCTCTGCTCAAAACCCTCCCATGGCTCCCTACTTCACTCAGGGAGGAAGCCACGCCCATATTGTAGCCTCTTCCACCTCTCACACTCATTGCACAGGCGGCCACCAAGCCCCTTTCTACCCCAGTGCCTTTGCACTTGCCACCCCCTTACTTCATTGCAATCCCTTCTTAGCAGAGAGGCTGACCCTGAATTCCCTCCTGAAATAGTGACCCTTCTCAAATAAGTCTCCCCTCGCCTTGCCTTATTTGTCTTCATATCTGTTCGTCACTACCTGACATGTTAGATATTTATTATTTTCTCTCTTGCCGTTGGGCCTAAGTTCCCAGGGCCTCTCATGTTTCTCCAGCGCCCAGAGGCTGACTGGCTTATGGAGTGAGCGCAATCATTTCCTTTTGTGTGTGAATAAATGAAAGAATCTTGGACCTGACCGCTTCAGACCAAGGGGTTTAGCCCAGGTCTCTGGGACAATGAGGATTCTTAAGGATTTTTCACTGGGGATTGACAGAACCAATTGGTTTGGGAGAGATCACTGCAGCTTCTGAAAGAAGCCACCTGTCCCATGAGGGCATGTGCCATATGGAATACAGACAACTTGATATCAGTGCCCCCCTCCTCGGAGGGTGGGGGGAGGGGGGCGGGTGTTTCAGGAATTAAATCAGAAAATATTGGGATGAGGCTTAGCCCTGTCCTTGGCGCACAGGAAGTACTCAGCCAGTGGTCATGATCAGCATCAGCTGTAGCATGAACGGACCATGGAGACAGGTGGGCTTGCTGACATCCAGGTTCCCAGATTGGGCAGCTGCATGGAGGGGGTTGTGTGCCATGGGAATAAAGGAGGAGGGAGTTTGAGGTGGGGCTGAGGCTGAGGGTGCTGAGGTCAAAGCAGGAGAAAGATCTGGGAGTTCTGTGAGATGTTCAGGTGGCCTGCCCAGTTGGCAACTGGACTCAGGAGAGAGCCCACTAATGGATTTGGGGGTCTTTAGTGCCAACGTGGTGACTGAAAACTAGAGAATGGTTGGGATGGCCCAGAGACCACACATAGAGACAGAAGAGAAGAGCTGGCATGGAACGCTTAGGGCCCCACAGTGTTTGAAGGGAGAGAGAAGAGGAACCCATATATGAGACCAAAACAAAGTCAGAGAGATCGGAGGAACATCAGCAAACAGTGATGATAAGGAAGACAGTCGCCCATGTGACTGTGGTTCCTCCCACAAAAGGGATGGAGTGTATTTGCCCAGCCTTGACTTCAGTTCGGCCATGGGACTTGCTTTTGCCAATAGCATGAGATGAAAGTGACAGTGTGTCATTTTGAGACCAAGCTTTAAGATCTCTTGAATGTGGCTGGGCGTGGTGGCTCATGCCTGTAATCCCAGCACTTTGGGAGGCTGAGGCAGCGGGTCACAAGTCAGGAGTTTGATACCAGCCTGGCCAACATAGTGAAACCCCAGCTCTACTAAAAATATAAAACAATTGGGCGGGGCGCAGTGGCTCACATCTGTAATCCCAGCACTTTGGGAGGCTGAGGCAGGCAGATAACGAGGTCAGGAGTTCGAGACCAGCCTGGCCAACGTGGAGAAACCCCATCTCTACTAAAAATACAAAAAATTAGCTGGGTGTGGTGATGCACACCTGTAATCCCAGCTACTCAGGAGGCTGAGGCAGGAGAATCGCTTGAACCCAGGAGGCAGAGGCTGCAGTGAGCAGAGATCCGCGCCATTGCACTCCAGCCTGGGTGACAGAGCAAGACTCCATCTCAAAAAAAAAAAAAAAGAAGGAAGGAAGGAAGGAAAGGAAAGAAAGAAAGAAAGAAAGAAAGAAAGAAAGAAAGAAAGAAAGAAAGAAAGAAAGAAAGGGAAAGAAAAAGAAAGAAAGAGAGACAAAATAATTAGCTGAGCATGATGGCACACACCTGTAATCCCAGCTACTCGGGAGGCTGAGGCAGGAGAATTGCTTGAACCCAGGAGGCGAAGGTTGCAGTGAGTTGAGATCACGCCACTGCACTCCAGCCTGGGTGACAGAGTGAGACTGCATCTCAAAAAAAGAAAAAAAGAGATCTCTTGCATGTTTCCACGTGGCTGTTGTGCCTGTGCCCCCACTATCAGCAGCCATGCCCAGAATGGCCCATTGGTCCCAGGAAAAGGGCGAGGGACCCGTGAGGCAGAGCAGAGCCAGCCCAGCCAAGACAGCAGAACTCCAGCTGAACAGGAAATATATTAATGGGTCCAGCCAAGGTCCACCAACCTGCAGCCAACTCCCTATTCAAGAGAATAACAGGTTGGGGGTGGTTTCTCAGGCAGCATTCTTGTAGGCATAGGTGACTGATCCACGCTGTGAGATGGAAATGAAATCGCAGTGAGCTGAACTGAAAAGAGGATGGAACAGAAGAAGTTCCGGTGAATAGAGGTGGAGCAGACATTGTCAACTGCCCAACCACAGCTCTTTTCAACTCTCCTCCCTAGGTGGGAGAACACTTTTTTTTGAGGGGGCATCAGCACATGCCTTCAAGGAAGGGACCCCCTCCTGAAACTGAGGGGATAAAACAAGTCTCAGGATGGAAGCCCACACACTGAGGATGGTAGAATGCAAACAGAAAGAGAACACAGGTTTTGGAAGATGTCTTTCAGCCATTGTATCAACAATTCTTGAACTACTGGGGCAGACACTGCTCAGTGCCTGCCCAATGCCCTCGCTCCTTTTCTTCCTTGTTGACAGAACCCTGACTTTATTGGGATGGCAATGAGCCAGCAAAACGCACTCACTCCCCTAGACTGCCTTGCAGCCAGGAATGGCCACGTGATCCAGCATGACCAATGATATGAAAGCCAAATTTTCCCAGTGGGGCCCCCAGAAGAGCTTTCTGAAAAGAGACAAACATGGTGGACACACTGCTCTGCCCTTGTCCCCTCTTCCAGCCTGTAATGTGGACATGAGCTGAGGGTGGAATGGTCATGCTGCAATTATGGCCAACCATGAGGACAGAAGCCACATGTTCGAGATGGCTAAGCAAAAACTGGGAAAGTGACCAGGTGCGGCGGCTCATGCCTGTAATCCCAGCACTTTGGGAGGCTGAGACGGGCAGATCACTTGAGGTCAGGAGTTCAAGACCAGCCTCGCCAACATGGCAAAACCACGTCTCTACCAAAAATACAAAACTTAGCCAGGCGTGGTGGCGGGCGCCTGTACTCTCAACTACTCGGGAGGCTGAGGCAGGAGAATTGCTTGAGCACAGGAGGCAGAGGTTGCAGTGAGCCAAGATCACACCATTGCCCTCCAGCCTGGGCGATAGAGTGAGACTCTGTCTCAAAACAATAACAACAACAACAACAAAACTGGGAAAGAACCTGAACCCCTGGTAGCACCCCTGAGTCACCCCATCAGCTCTGGATGCCTCTGGATTTCTTGTAGCAGGGGACAATATAAATAAATGCTGCCAGGGGTCAGGGTCTGTGTTCCTCGAAGCTGAATGCATGCCTGTCAGAGCCGCCATGCCATCTCTGGGTTTTCTGAATGTACAGGAAGACACACTTCCTTAATGATAAAGTCATTTGAGTTGAGTTTCCCTGCCCCTTGCAGTTGCATGTGTCCCAGGGAATACCTGGGTTTTGTAGTGAGCTGACTTCTAACAAACTGAGATATGCCTGATTCTAGACTTGAGTGAAATGGGGAAAAGGGAACACTTTTGCCATTCCTGGAACACCCGCTGGTGAGACAGAGGCCACATGATTTCCTGTGCACGTTTCTGCCACGAT
Source organism: Homo sapiens (assembly GCF_000001405.40). Taxonomy (NCBI): domain Eukaryota; kingdom Metazoa; phylum Chordata; class Mammalia; order Primates; family Hominidae; genus Homo; species Homo sapiens. The sequence goes on along the minus strand of NC_000020.11, from coordinate 50,382,298 downwards.
CGTTCTAGTCCTTAGCTAAGGACTCAGGGTCTACTTCCACTTTTGATATCTGTGTACTAATCACCTTCAGGTAGGTTTTTCTCCCTGGAGGAAGAAGCCAAGGTTCAAGGAGGAAAATTTACTATCCAAGGCACGCAGCCAAAGCTAGACTGAAACCCAGGTCAGCCTGATGCTGAGACGATCCTTTTTTTCTCCTTTCTGGGTTCCTGTCTCCTCATCGGTAGAATGAAGAGATTATTCAAGATCAAAGTTTTTCAAAAATTTCGTTTCAAAGCAGGCAAAACCCTTTTACAACTGAACCTTTACTTGTCCAACCTATAAAAAAAAGATGAAAGAGAAACATCTCTGAGTAAGGAGGGTCAGGCTGCCTGCAGCTCCACCCCAAGCCCCATGGCCTACAGGCACCTTGCTGGAATCCTGGGATTTGGGGGAACTTTCAGGAAACGCCAGCCTAGATTATCTCAGGGCCTTTCGAAAAGTCTCTGATTTTTCAAATATTGCTAAAATGTTGCACAGAAGACAGGCACGCACATGGCAAAACAAAAACAAAAACAGAAGCCACAAGTTTTCCTTTCAACAGTGCAAACGGACAGGCAAAATATCATCCTTCCTCCCATCTCTGACTTGCCATTTTTACCACGCGAAAGTCAGGAAACCTGAGCATCTACCAGCAAATAGGTAAACACATTCCTCACTCTCTCCTTAAGACACACACAGACACACACACACAGACACACAGAGACACACACACACAGACACACAGACACACACACACAGAGACACACACACAAACACACACACGCACACACAGACACACACACACACACACACACAGACACACACCCACACACACTTTGTAGCATTCTATAATCACTGTTTTTCATCTCATTTTTCTAGGCTAATATTACATCTTGGCTGTTGTTTCAAATCAGTACAGCGATATCTGCTTTATTCACTTCAGTCTCAGCACAGGATTGAAATACTCTTTAATTCATGCAGCTACGAAGGCCCCTAATCTTGGATATTCACATTGTTTGGAGGCTTTTGTTATGTCAAAGGATGCTGCAATGAAGGTCCTTATATAATGCATCTAGGTGTACATGTGTTGATTTAGATCCTTCCTTCCTTCCTTCCTCCCTCCCTCCCCTCCCTCCCTCCCTCCCTCCTTCCTTCCTTCCTTCCTTCCCTCCTTCCTCCCTCTTTCTCTCTCGTTCTTTTTCTTCTTGCTTATTTTCATTTTCAAATTTTTATTCCACGAACATGTACCATTTGTATAATAATTAAAAGGGTATGTTTACAGACCCAGGACTCAAACTTCAGCCAAGTTAGATAAACAGCCCCACGCATAAGCACAATTCAGAAAGAAAAAAATCCAGCCCCTGCTGCTGAGGCCTGTTTGGCCGGGAGGTGGCATCGCTGGAGAATCTCATGCCAAGATCCAGCCCCTGCCTGTTGCGATCATCCTGGAGAGCAGGGCCTGGGTTCCAGTCCTGGCTGAGCCACGAACTTCCTGGGTGACCCAGGTAAATCACTGTGCTAAGTATGGTACCTTCTCTGGGGAGGTTGATGTTATTATTCCCACTTCCCAGATGAAGAATATTAAAGACTGAGAAATGAAGCACTTGCTAATCTCTCCTACATCAATCAAGAAGTCATCCGGCCTAGAAATGCACCCTGAGTCTTCCCTACCTCCCCGGCAAATATCACCTCACCCACGAGGATTGCCAGCTCTGCCCTCACAATAGAGCTTCTCCCTTACCAAATCCTCAGCATGGCCTTCGAGGCCCTCTGTGGTCTGCACCCCCACCTCTCCAGCTTCACCCACGTCCCCATCCCTGCACTGCACTCTTCCCTGGCTCTCTCTGCACCAGAGCGCCAGGCTCATCCCACTGCAGGGCCTTTGCATTCGCTGCGCCCTTTGCTTAGATGCCTTTCCTTCCCAGCAGGCCCAGGACTAGGTTGGGGCAAGTGAGATCCCCAGGGTGAAGCTTTCAGGAGGCTCTCACTCTCAAATGCCAACCTGCGCGTGGCTGAGACTGAGAGCAAGCGCCTCCTTCTATCCTGCATGCGAGGCACCTCCTGAGCCCCTCCCTCATTAGGGCTGGCTTCCTGGATCCGGCTCTTCTCATGACTGGGGTCTTTGCTTAAATGACCCCTCCGCACAGAGAGTTCTCCCTGACTGTCTCAAACGGGCAGCCCTGCTGTTCTCAAACCTACCGCACTGTCTTATTTTCTTCATTGCCCTAATTTCAGAATTTGTGTTTTGTGCCCATCTCTGCCTACTAGATTAAAAGTTCTATGAGGGCAGCGACTGTGTCTGCCTCGTTCTCAGATATTTCCCCACTGCCCAGCACAGGGCCAGCACTCAGGAGACAGTCAATACCTGGAGTGAATGAATGAATGAATGAATGGGCTAGTCAGTGTCAGAGCTAAGGTTTGAACCCAGGTTTGCCTGCCTCCAAAGTCAGTCATCCCGGCCATGACCGAGAAAGGCGAGAGTGGGATCTGATCACGCAGGGGACCTGGGACTATGGCTGGTGTCCCTGCCTGTCCTGCTGGGAACCCTGCATCGCAAGGACAGGTTTTCTGAGGAAGCTTCTAGGAAGGGAGGGGTTTGGCCCCAGTCACCAGGGACTTCTCCGAGCCTCAGGCCTTCGGTGGGGCCAGCTGTGGCCCCCCTTCTCCGTTCTAGTTTTTATTTTTAGCGTCAAGTTTTTGGGCACAGTAGACTCTCCTTAGGAAAAGTCCAACGAGAGGACAAGGGAGGCGGTTTTGAAATCCGGTGGGAAAGTAGGTCAGGCTGGGTTGCTGGCCGGACTCCAGACGATAAGGCCTGTGTGGAAGTTTAATAACGTGAGCGGCCATATCCATGACATAATTCATAACTGAGAGGAAATAGCAATTAAGGGGCAATTGTGCAACGCGAGACAAGCCTCCTTCACAGCTCATAAAAGCAGGAGGAGGAAGAGACGACGCTGTCATTCCGGGGCCGCTGGGGGCCTGGCTGGCGGCCTGTGGGGATCTGGGGATAAGTCAGTCTGTACCTTGGGGGGTTTGCACTCATCTTTCCTCGCCCCCTCAGGACCCAGGGAGCTGGGAGGATGTAGAAGCAGACCGAGCGCCTACTACGTGCCTGGCTCAGGGTCGGGCTGGGGTACGAGTGTAAAAACGCCGGGTGTTTCGCTGCGGCTGGGAGGTTTGGATGCAGCTGCGCTATTTTGGCGTTGCCTTGTCAAAACGGAAAATTGCTTTGATTATCAAGTGAACTGTACCCCAGACACCCGGATCCTTAGTCCATCTCCCCTGCCCCCACCCTTCAGCGACTGTGGACTTTCAATTTCTCTTGTATTCGTTTTTCTGTGTGGTGGTTCCACAAGCACCATTTGCTTTTATCATTAGTTTTTAAAAAGCTACTAAATCCACACTGGCCCCTTCTCTGTTCCTTGAACTGGCCAAGTGTGTGCTGTCGCCGGCCCTTTGCGCTTGCCGTGGCCTCTGCCTGGGGGTTGCTTTGCTTTTCCGCTAGAGATCCATGTGGCTTGGCCCTCACCTCCTTCAGGTCTTCACCCAAACGCCTGCTTCCCTTGGAGCCCCAACTGACCAGTCTTTTTAAAACTGCAAACCCACCTGGCGTTCTGGATCTACTGTTCCTGCTTTATTTTTATCTACAGCACTTACCACCAATTAACCCTCTCCACAGGCTGTTCACTTATTTTGTCGTCTGCTTGTTCCCACCAGCGCCACCAGCAAAGGAATTTTTGTCCGTCTTGTTCTTGGCTGCATCCCCAGCACCAGAAACTGTGCCTGGGGCATAGTAGGTGCTCAGTGAATATTGGTGAATGAATGAATGAATGAATGTTTGCCATTGTAACTGACGGCCCATGAGATTATAATATGTTGACTTTGTTATTATAAAGCTCACCATTCACTGTTTGCTTTGGGGATGGCCTGAGAATGACTCAAGGTCAAGCCTTCTTGGATGCTGCTGGTGGGAGCAGAAGTTGGAGTGACCAGGGCTGGCTCAGCTGGCTTGGGTATTTGCAGCTGACACCTGTTCTGACTGGTCAGGGATCAACTTGGATATCACCGCTCCCCTCTGCCCTTTCTAAAGAGCTCCTTGGCCATTTCTGTCAAAATTTTAAACACATCCACCAGCTGACCCCACCTGTTCATAAGCATTTTCGTGCAAAGGAGCAAAGCTCTGTATGCAAAAGGGGTTTCTTGGCTGGGCACGGTGGCTCACACCTGTAATCCCAGCACTTTGGGAGGCCCAGGCGGGTGGATCACCTGAGTTCAGGAGTTCAAGACCAGCCTGGCCAACATGGTGAAACCCCGTCTCTACTAAAAAAAAAATACAAAAATTATCGGGGCGTGGTGTTGCGCGTGTGTAATCCCAGCTTCCCGGGAGGCTGAGGCAGGAGAATTGCTTGAAGCCGGGATGCAGAGGTTGCAGTGAGCCAAGGTCGCACCACTGTGCTCCAGCCTGGGCAACAGAGCAAGACTCCATCTCAAAAAATAAAATTTAAAAAAGGGGAGGGGTTCTTGCAGAACTCTTCACAACAGCGCATGTACATACACACACACACATACACACACTCTGACTCCCACAATCAAGGATACACACATCCCCTCCCCACACTCACTCACACACTCATGTAATTAACCATATACACTTATTTTGTCATTCACACACCCAGACGCACACGAGTACATGCTCAGCAATGTGCTGGCACACTCAGCCATACACGCTGCCCCCTGCCCGGCTCCCACACACGGCACACAGATGCCTACTCACTCACACATGCTTAGCCACACACGTGCACACACACACACCTGTGCACAAGCTCACTCACCTTCCTAAAATCTTACATTCACATGCCAGACACACAGTCACCTCCATACACACGTACCGCACACAGTCGACCCCACCCTCCGGCCACATCTGGACACAGACCCTGCCCCTCTTCCACAGGCCACCACCCCAGTGCGCTCATCTCCTGGCTGTGTTTTGAGGAGTGGGGACAGACGCCTGGTCAGTGCATGCCTTGACCCCAGCGCCCCTGGCCCTCTCCACTCTGACCTGCTTGATGTGGGCAAACGGGACCGGAGCCAGCTCTGAAAGCCCCGAGGTGCATAATGCCCACGTCAGCCCTGACTGTGCTGCCTCAGGGCACGTCTGCCCGGCTCATCTGTCCCTGGGCACCCGCCCACTTCCTCCCCACCAGTGGGTGGCCAGGCCTTGCTGACATCAGGTGGTTTCTGGGCCTACCTGGCACCCAGGAGAGAGGAAGGAAGCAATCTGTCCCAGCCACGAGAGCCAAGTGAGGAGCCCAGGACAGGCCCCGGGCCTTGGTGAGCCACAGCCCCTGCGGCTGCATCTGACAGGGCTGGCAGCTGGACTGCCCACCCCTTCACCTGCTGGGACACCATGGCCTGGGCCAGGCAGCAATTCAAGAAGGACTGGGCTCTCTGAGTTACCCCCGAGGTGGTGCGCTCCTCCCCTTCCCAACCCTCAGTATAACAGCCGCATGCACCAGGCACCACGCACTGCTCTGTCTCCATGAGTGACTCAATCAGCCCTCACACAGCCTGTGGGCTGGGTGCTGGTATCATCCTTGCTTTACAAATGCAGAAACTGAGGCACAGAGAGGTGACGGCGATGGCCCAGGAGCAGGACCTGATGCCCGGCACTCTGGCGCCAGGCCGCTGCGCTCAGTCACCCCCACCCTCTCCCAGCTGCTTCGCCTTATTTTGGTTTTGGGTTTTTTTTTCCTTTGGGGGTTTTTGCTTTGTTCTGTTTTGTTTCTGTGAGCCTCCAATATCCACGGCCCTGCACACCTCTTATCTCTAAGAATCTCCATGAATCCTGGCAACCACCTCACAAGCAGGGGCGCCACTATTAGCCCCATTTAACAGATGAGGAAACTGAGGCTTAAATGACCCACTCAGGGGCAGCCAGCAAGGACGAGGCAGAGCCAGAGTCAGGTTTGGACCTGGGTCTGAGGGCTCTTTCTACAGTGCCAGCTCATCTGCCTTATGTGGCAGAGACCTTTGATGGACCAGAGGTAGGGAAAAGTCACCCCAAACTTAGCTCTGGGTCTCTGCTGGCCTCAAAAGAGGGGGCTAAGGGGGCACTTGGTGCCATAGAACAGTCAGAGAAATAAGAACAAATTTATGATGATGACAACGACAAACTTTTTTGTTGCTTTTTAAAATAATTGGGGGCCGGGCACGGTGGCTCACGCCTGTAATCCCAGCAATTTGGGAGGCAGAAGCCAGAGGATCACTTGAGCCCAGGAGTTTGAGACCACCCTGGGCAACATAGTGAGACCCCATCTCTACAAAAAGTAGAAAAATTAGCTGGGCATGGTGATGTACGTCTGTGTTTCCAGCTACTCAGGAGGCTGAGGTGGGACGATCGCCTGAACCTGGGAAGGTCAAGGCTGCAGTGAGCTGTAATTGTGCCACTCCACTCCAGCCTGGGCGACACAGTGAGACTTTGTCTCAAAAAATAAAATTAAATAAAAATAAAAATTTTTAAAAGTGGGATATGATGAACATGCAATCAATGCACAGGTCTTACGGGTTTAGTCTGATGAATTCCAATGAATCAAACACCCAAAACAACATTCAAAACATTTCTAAAACGAAGTTCCCTATATCCCTTTCCAAACTCCCCATCCCTGGCCCAGCCGAGGGAGCCACTGATCTGCTTGCTGTCACCAAAGTTTAGTTGTGTTTCATCTAGAGTTTCAAAAACCAGGAGCGTTCTTTTTGGTCTCAACACAATGCCTGCAAGATGTATTGCATTGTTGCAAATATCACGCACTTGTTCCTTTTTGTGACTGAGTAGCGTTCCACTGCAGGAGGACATCTGGGTTTCCAGCTGTCATGAACATTTGTGCACACTGAGCACCCACTTGAGGCCTGTCACAGTTACAATCCAGTGTCCTCTGCAGGCACTGTGCATGTTGATCCTCACCACTGGTAGATATGGTTCCCACTTTGGGGTCAAAGGAAGTGTGAGTGCAGGGAAGTTGGGTGAGAAACCCAAAAACACATAGCTCACAGCAGCCAAGGCAAGATGTGAACCTTGAGCAAGGGACAGATGTGGACCCAAAGACATGGCAGGTGGCCCCAGGCCCTGGGGGCACACGTTTGGTGGAAAGTGAGCTGGAGCGCCTATTGAGTTTCTGGTCCTGTTCTAAGCACTTTGCATGGACCAACTCATTCAGTCCTCCCAATAACCTGTATTATCCCATTTCACAGCAGCAGAAACTGAGGCACAAATAAACATGAGTCACATCTCCAGGATCACACACCTAGTGAGGATAGAGCCAAATTGGACCCAGGTGGTCTGGCATCACAGTGCTTCCCTTAACCACATGGCTGTGCTGCCTCACTGGCCCCCCTTCTAATTTGCCCCCTAGTGGGGCAGGCTCAGGTCCTGTCTGCCTGGAGGCATTTCCACTCACGGTTGTCTCCCTTCCCAACTGGGAGCCCCTCAAGTCTGATCAGTTCAAGATCCAAGGGCCTGGTGCTGGGAGAGCAGGGAGGAGGCAGCAGGGTAGAAAGCCAAGAACAAGACTCTAGATTCAGCCTTGGATCCTGGCTGCGCTGTTTTCAGGCTATGTGACCTTGGACCAGTCACTTAACCTCTCTGAACCTCCACTCCCTGTAAAATTAAAGCTGATGGCAATAATAACGACCTCATGAGGATTGAGTGAGCTGGGTGTGGAAGTAACGGAGCTGACATTTACCTGCACTTTGCTACCTGCCCATGAACTCTCAGTCCTCAACCCAGGCTCACAGCAACCTTGCAAAGCAGATGCTGTTTAATCTCCACCTTACAGACAAAGAAACTGAGTCTCTAAATACTATCTCCAAGCTAAAAGCCTCTAACCATACATTTCCTGCCTTGAACTCAGTCTTGAATATCCAGCTACGACTCAATATGCCTAACAGGCATCTCGGACATCCCAGGTAAGAAACCAAACGCCTCCTCCAGCAGGATCCTACCTCTCCTGCATCGTCTTTGCCTCTGAAAGTGGCACCTCTCTCCTTCCAGGGGCTCAGGCCAAACACCTGAGTGTCCTCATTGACTCTTCTCTTTCTCTAGCCTCTGCCCCACCACCTCCCATCCACAGCCTGCATCCAGGATCCTACCACCCTCCAAGGTCCGCAGCCCCGCCCTGGCATGAGTGTGTGTGCTTGGATTGTTGCCATGGCTTCCGAACTACCTCCCCCATTCCATCATTGTCTTGCTACCCAAAGGAAGTCGGATCACATCTCTCCTCTGCTCAACACCCTCCTCTGGCTCCCATGTCACCCACAGTCAAAGACAAGGTCCTGGCAGTGTCCCTAAATCCCGTGTGGTAGTACACCCCCACTCTGCCTTTCTGGCATCTTCCTTCCAGCCACACTGGCCTCCTCCCTGCTCCTGGAACACATCAGTCACACGGCAGCCTCAGGACCTTTGTACTTGCTGTTCTCTCTTCCTGAGACTCTGTGCCCTGAGAGAACCACAAGCCTCCCTCTCTCACCTCCTCCAGGTCTTCCCCCCATTTTATTTTTTCTTTGTCTTTTTTCTTTCTTTTTTTGAGACACCAGGCTGGAGTGCAGTAGCATGATCTTGGCTTACTGCAATCTCCGCCTCCTGGGTTCAAGCAATTCTCCTGCCTCAGCCTCCCGAGTAGCTGGGATTACAGGCATTCACCACCACGCCCAGCTAATTTTTGTATTTTTAGTAGAGACAGGGTTTCGCCATGTTGGCTAGGATGGTCTCAAACTCCTGACCTCAGGTGATCTGACTTCCTTGGCCTCCCAAAGTGCTGGGACTACAGGTGTGAGCCACCACACCCAGCCCTTTCCTCCATTTTCAAAGTATCTCAGGGCGTCCTAGACCACCTGCTTACATGAACAAGACCTCTGCACCAGCACTCCTCGCCCCTTCTCTCTGTGACATCATCACCAATTGACACTCGGAATTTTAAAATTTATTAACATTATCATTATTGTTAGTTTTGAACGTCTCTACCTAATGGGTTCCACAGGGCAGGATTGTTTCGGGGTGTTCGTTGTGGCATCCTCAGCACCCCCTGCCCGGTTCAGAGTGCTTGCATAATAAACGTTTGCCAAATGCATAAATGGGGATCAGGAAGGGGTGACTCCCCCCAGATCACCAGGTTAGAACATGAGAGCTGGGCTTGGAACCCAGGGCTGTGCACTCAAGCTTCCAGTGACAGGTTCCATGCCACAGAGATGGCAGCTGTTGCTGTCACGATTTTTAGGGTGATATTCCCATCGTTCCCCACCCACAGGGGAGAGCTAGGGGGCAAAAGAGAGAGGTTGGGCTGGCTATGGCCTCCAGCCAGTAAGAGGTGACTCACCCATCCCGTGATGACAGGTGGCATTCCTCCCCTTCCCTGGGAGGGTGAGGGGGGTACTTTGGCCTGAGATAAAGGGAGCATCCTCCTTCTGGGAAGAGGACAAACAGGTGGGAGAGACAGCCAGGTCACTGCCTGGAGGCTAGCATGTCTAGGCTAGAGGGTCACCAATTATGATAGGGGCAGCCCGGGTTGGGCTGGTTGGACTGACCCCTGAGCCTCCCTGGAGTGAGAGACTCAGGCGCTAGTCCTCTTACCAGGAAAATGGAGCTTTTCCTAAGAAAACAGCATTCCAACCTCTCCTTCAGCAGGTCACAGGGAAACCCCTCGATGTCCCTCCATCTTCCCCTTGGCATTTTTGCCTGGGTTGAGAGGGACCTGAGCCAATCAACAAACACTTTTTGAAAGAAACAGCAAGAGTCCCACAGACTCTAGCCAGACAGGCTTTATTTGATGTATTGATTTATTTTAGAAAAGTCTTAACTATGTAAATGACACTTGAATACAGTTCTGTTGCAGAAGACTCAACCGTCCTCCTCCCCAGTGAGTTTGCTGCCTCTGAAATTGCACTTGGCTGCAAGTAAAAAATAACAAACACCAGGGTTTCACCCAATGGGAGTTCACTTCTCTTGTGTAAAAAGAAGTCTAGAGGTGAGCAAGTCTGGGCTTGTAGGCTTGTTCAGGGACATCACCAATGACCAGCTTCCTGGTCTCCCATGTTGGTATGTGACTTTCAAACTCCTGGCTCAAGAGGGTTGCTTCTCAGCAAGGCAAGAGGGCAGGGAAGGGACAAAGTGTGTGCGCTCTGGGTCTCATGGCTACTACATTGCACCCGCGTGGTTTCAGGGGAGGCTGGGGAGGTCTTATTTCACTTGGGCACATTGCCGCCCCATTCAAAAGTGGGGAGAAGGGGTGATGAATGATGGCAAGCGCTAGCGGCCTGGGCCCTGGATTTCTTTTGTGCCACCTGATTCGAAACAGATTGCAAATGTGGTTTTGCAGCCCGCTTTTTTTGTTCCGCCTAACTATGTGTGTAGAGATTTGCCTTATCATTTTGATCTGCTACATAGTATTCCATGGCATGAATGCACCATGGTTTATTTACCTAATTCCACGTTCATTGATTTCATTGATATTTAGTTTTCCAGCCTAAACTTCACTATTATAAACAATACCACAGTGAGCATCCGCACACAGCTCTCTGAGCGCATGTGTATTTCTGCACAACTGGGATTGCTAGACAAATGATGCAAAGTGCTACCACACCACCGCCAGGGCTTTGCCAGTTTGCACTCCCTCCATCCACAAAGGAGAGGATGAGAGGGCCTACTTCCCCCACACTCACCAGCCTAGCTGTCTTTTTTTTTTTTTTGAGACGGAGTCTTGCTCTGTCGCCCAGGCTGGAGTGCAATGGCGCGATCTCGGCTCACTGCAAGCTCCGCCTCCCAGGTTCACGCCATCCTCCTGCCTCAGCCTCCTGAGTAGCTGGGACTACAGGCGCCCGCCACCACGCCCGGCTAATTTTTGTATTTTTAGTAGAGACGGGGTTTCACCATGTTAGCCAGGATGGTCTCAATCTCCTGACCTCATGATCCGCCTGCCTCGGCCTCCCAAAGTGCTGGGATTACAGGTGTGAGCCACCGCGCCTGGCCCCATCTGTCATTTAAAAAAATTTTTTCCCATTGTGATTATTTTTGTTGTAATTTTTTTTTTAGCTATAGCTCACTGCAGCCTCAAACTCCTGGGCTCAAGCGATCCTCCTGCCTCAGCCTCCTGAGAAGCTGGGACTACAGACTCACGCCACCACACCTAGCTAATTTTTAAATTTTTGTAGAGATGGGGTCTCACTATGTTGCCCAGGCTGCTCCCAAACTCCTGGCTTCAAGTGATTCTCCTAACTCAGCATCCCAAAGAGCTGGGATTACAGACATGAGGCAACCCCCCAGCTTTTTGTTATAATTTGAATTTCCCTTATTAGTATTAAGGTGGAGCCCCTTGTCATTTACATATAGGCTCTTTGTATTTTCTGATCTGTTCTTTGCCTTTTTAAATTATGTGGCCATTGTTTTGTACTTAGTTGGTTCCTTTCTTTTCCAATTATGTTAGTTCTTTTCTATTTTTTCTATTTTACAAAAAATGCATTGATTATGCCTTAATAAATGGAGTACATAATTTGTGTTCAGTAAACTACATTCCTTCAAAGCAGAGTTTCTCAACCTAGCACTACTGACATTTTGGGTCAGATAATTCTTTGCTGTGGCGGCTGTCCTGGGCACTGTAGGATGTTGAGCGGCATCTCTGGCCTCTACCCACGAGATGCCAGTAGCATTGCTTACCCCCATGATGACCAAATGTCTCTGCACTTTGCTGAATGTCTCCTGGGGGTAAAACCATGCTTGGTTGAGAACCTCTGATTTCAACTGTACAGTTTGATGAGCTTTGATCGATGTGTACAACCAAGAATCCACCCCCTCCTCCAAGATCTTTGCATTTCGTTATAAATATCCCCCCCCGTCTGAGACTTGGCCCTTCCTATTGGCGTAACCTCGGTCGAGTCACTTCATTTCTCTGAGTCTCAGTTTCCTCCACTGTGAAATGGAGATAATGATTCCAACCAGGCAATGATGTCGTGGGCCTCAGAGTGAACAACGCATGCGCTGGCATGTCATACGAGTGCAGTGAGTGCTAATTCTCTTGTCTTTCCTCACTGTGTGTGTATGTAGGTAGTCCATAGATATTACCTGAACACCTACTAGGTGCCAGGCCCTGGGCTAGGCTCTGGATACAGTGGAAAACAAGACAGAAAATGTCCATGTCTCTACTGGGGGAGACAGCGAGCAAAGAAGCCAACAAATGAATGAACAAGAGCAGGATTCCCCTACGACCCCACACAGACCCATGCTGGGAAGCAACAAGATGCACAATGTGGTGGAGAGGCACCGGGGTGGGCGGTGGTCTTTGGAGACAGTGAGGAGGTGCCGTCTAAGCTGAGAGCAGGAGAAGCTAGAGCAGCACGGAAGGGAGGTCTGGCCAGAGGGAATAGCAAGTACGGCAGCTGTTGAGGCTGGAACTTGGACCTTGAGAGCTACCATAAGGCCTTTCCCACGGCAGCCGACAGGGGAGGGGAACCCCAGCTCAGGCCTCTCGGGAGAGCAGGGAAGGGCAGGTGCTCAGGGCTGGGCCCAAGGCCAGATAATGTTGGGGAGTGGCCAAGAGTGCAGCAGGGCCAGGGCCAGGTGGGCTGAGGGCCTGGGACCTGCCTTACCTGTAGGCCCTTGTGGCGCCTCCTGTTCTGACTGTGGACTCTGCTCTGTTTCTGCAGCTTCCCCACCGGGTGGGGCCTTGCAGCCCCCAACTGGGTGCTTTTGGGGACACTGCCAGGCCAGACAAGTGTTGCTGCCCCCCAGGCACCGGGACCAAGCCCAGGGTTCTTATGTGTAATCAGCACCCAGAAAATGTGTGTGGAACTCAACTGGTGCCTGCCTCAGTTTCTCCACCTTGTATTTCCGGCCTCTGCAATTCACTCTGATTTGCCATATGTCACAACCAGCACTCTGTGAGTTGCAGGGGATGCTGCAATGACCACCATATATGGTCCCTGTCCTTAGGGAGCTCACAGTCTGGCTGGGCAGAGATAAGTCCATGACTGGCACTGTGGGGGTGAGTGTGGCAGGACCATCAGTGTCCACCAACATCCATCAGCTTTTTTCTCATACTGAGAGAATTTTGGAGCATTAGTGGGAAACATGCTAACATAATCGGCAGATAGTGATTCTATTTCCCGGCCTCCTTTGCAGTTAGGCATGGTCATATGACTGAGCTCCAGCCAATGGGATTGAGTAGAAGTGATAGCACTGCTTCTGAGTCATGCCCTTAAGAGGAATGACCCTTTCTCTCTCCCCACTGCCTGGAACGTAGATGTGACGGAGAAGCTATAGCAGCTGTTTTGGACTTGACTGGAAGCTATGGACTGAGGATGACAACAGCTAGATAGAAGGAACCCAGATTTCCAGAATGAGCTTACAGAACTAAACCTTCCCCAAAAGAGGCAAATTTTAAAGCCTTGGCAATGAGAATGAAGATTTTTTGAGACAAAGTTTCCGGGAGAAACATAGCATATAGGCAAATCCAGGGATAGGAGAGAACATGCAGACTTTGAGACACCTAAAGGAGTAGAGGGTGGCTGGACCGTAAAGGACAATGGGGCAGGTGAGATGGGGCTGGAGAGGTGGCAGAATCCACTTTGAGGAGCCTGAAAGAGCCAGGTTAAGCCCTTTAGACTTTGTCCTGTGGGTAAAGGGGAGCCATGGAAGGCTTATGGCAGGAGAGGGAGTGATTAGATTTGCTTCTTAGAGTGATCTCCCTGGCCACAGGGCAGGGGATGAATTTATTCATTTATGGGATTCAGGAATAAAATTGAGGCCCTACTATGTGTCAGGCACTGAAGGTTATCAGTGAACAAAACAGACCCAATTCCCACCCTCATGGAGCTGCAACCTGGTGGGGTGAGACATGAGTGAAATAATCACACAGGTAAATAAGAAGTATGATCAGGGCAATGGAGAGATGTATGTCAGGATGTGAGGTTTGTAATGAGGGATTCAACTTGGGGGGATCAGAAGAGCTTTCCTGAGCAAGGTGACAGGGAAACAGGAGCGGGAAGAGTTCCGTTCAGAGGGAACAGCATAGGCTGTTGATGCCCACACAGCAGCAGGGAGAGCGGGGGCTTGGTTGGTGTCCAGGTGGAAGATGATGGCAGAGCTGGAGAGACGTGGGCACAGATGGGGAAGGAAAGCAGGGACTCCTGAGGACCAGCCAGCTTCTGGCTTGAGCAAGGTGGGTACCAACAGAGGAGGCCAGTGGGGAGGAAATATGATGAGTTCAAATATAGTGTGTTGGATTTGAGGTTCCCATAAGCCAATCAAGTGGAGATGCTGAGTGGGGCTTTGCATACAGGGGTCTGGCACCCAGAGGGACTCCCTGGCCAATCGCGGTTGTGATCCTCCCACCTGGAGCACTGTGTGGACTCCCAGTCTTGAGCTTGCCAAATGCCAGCCTTTGGGGGCACCTCATGAGCACCAGGAGTTGTGCTTATGGTAGACACAGCACGGGTTGCCCACCCATGACTCCTTCGCTGACGGGATTCAGTTTTGTTGGTTGTGCATCTACTCAGGAGCTCAGGGACGGTGGCTATTCCTCGCCCCGGCTTCAGAGTGAGTTATAGGTCCAAGCCAACTGCAGTCATTCTCATTCCTCCATCAGTGACTGGTTTGGAATTATAGATGTAACGCCATCTTGGCCAATAAGAAGTCTGCAGATCTGCAGGGGGGAAATTTGGGAACAATTTTCTCCATCATGAAAGGAGACACAGGGGAAAAAATGCCCTCCTCCTCTTTGCTTGATTTTATCATGTCCCAGTGTGATGCCTGGAGCCACAGCAGCTGTCTTGAAACCATGAGGAGACATGTCCATAAATTGCTGAGAATGGCATAGCAGGAAGAAGAAAAGAATGTGAATCACTGGTTACATCTTTATGCCTCCAAATGAAACAACCCTGTTAAATAAAATTATAAGTCCTCTAGCTTTTTTTTCCCTCCTTTAGTCAAGTGTTCTGCTCCTTGCGGCTGAAAACATTCTGACTGAGAAAGTGTTCTTATGCACTATCTCACTTAATCCTCTCGTAAACCTCTGAGGTTGATATTACTATTATAGCCATTTTACAATAAAGAAACGGAGGCTTTTGGCAGTAAACGACTTTTCCAAGGTCACAAGGACAGTGAGTTACAGAGCTGGGATTGGAGTCAAGGCTCAAGGGTTGATCTGAGAGTGCAACTGAGCTATACCACAATTTCCTTTTAAAAGTCTTTCCCCTAACACGTTTTTAGTAGGGAACCATAACCCTGTTCTTATTTTTCTCTGGAAAACTGTGATTATGGTTGGTGGGAAATTTAGAGTGGGCTGCGTTTCTTTGTACACAGTTAATGGCTTTGATTATATGTTTCTGGCTTCTTTATTCTGAGAAAGGCTGCCATTGGCTGTGCAATATAATCAAATCATTTCTTATGTAAACAGCCATCTGGCACAGAGCCAGGGCAGTTCCATCAGCAGGAAGGTGAAAATGAAACTGTGTTGCCAGCCCCGGAAAGCAATCTGCTATTCAGCAGGAAAAGATCAAGGGTTAATGACATGGAGTTGGGCAAAGGCTGTTGCTGTGGCTCTGAGCATTATCAGGAGGCGGGGAACAAAGAATGGTTGTTAAATGGGTTTGTTACAAAAGTTATTTCCTAATGTAATTCATGCAATGCTTGCCAAACACCAGGCATATCCTTAGAAAGCAGAAGGGAACAAAAGGAAGGAAGGAAGGAAGGAAGGAAGGGAGGGAGGGAGGGGAAGGAGGGAGGGAGGGAGACTTTTATAGTCAATTATAAGACTCTTAGAAAGAATTACTATCCTTAATATACAAAGAGTTCTTGCAAAACAATAAGAAGAGGTAAACACCGTATTAAAAACCCACTATTCTGGCAGGCGAGGCAGCTCATGCCTATAATCCCAGCACTTTGGGAGGCCGAGGTGGAAGGATTGCTTGAGCCCAGGAGTTTAAGACCAGCCTGGGTAACACAGAAAGATCTCATCTCTACAAAAAATAAGGAAAATTAGACAGGTGTGGTGGCATATGCCTGTAGTCCCAGCTACTTGGGAGGCTGATGTAGGAGCTGAGATGGTGCCACTGCACTCCAGCCTGGGAGACAAAGGGAGACACTGCCTCAGAAAAAAAGAAAAAAAAGTATGAAGACAAGTTCCACCCCACCAGTTATCAATGATAAGCTACAATGATATGTCATTTTCTGCCTATCAGATTAGAAAAGACAAAAAAGATTGGCAACTCTCAGTGTTGCAGAGTATGGGATAATGGGGATTCTCATACTGTCCCGAACGGACTCTACAAGGGTCTCTGGGAGCAGAATGGCAACAAGCACCATGCTGTTCACTGGGCAGAAATTTTAAAGCAACCTGGAAATTTAACTTGGGGGCATTTATTCTAATAGGCCAAGTAGTCTCTACGGGGAAGGTCGTTCATTGCAGCATTGTTTATAATAGTGAAAAATTGGGGGAAAAAATTCTGAAATGCCAAACTACAGAAGATTCATTAAGCAAACAATAGTCCTCATATAATGAAATGCTGTATTAAAAATTTATGAAATTGCATTAAATAAATATAAAACATTGTGTTAAGCTGTATTAAAAATACTCATTAAAATGGCAATATAGAGGGCCGGGTGTGGTGGCTCACACTTGTAATCCCAGCACTTTGGAAGGCCAAGGCGGGTGGATCACAAGGGCAGGAGTTTGAGACCAGCCTGACGAACATGGCAAAACCCCATCTCTACTAAAAATTCAAAAATTAGCCGGGCGTGGTGACGGGCGCCTGTAATCCCAGCTACTCGGGAGGCTGAGGCAGGAGAATGGCTTGAACCTGGGAGGCGGAGGCTGCAGTGAGCCGAGATCATGCCACTACACTCCAGCCTGGGTACCAGAGCGAGACTCTGTCTCAAAAAACAAACAAACAAAAACAGCAATACAGAGAGACAGCCATGACATTGTAGAGAAAAGCATTTTCATGTGCATAATCTCATTTGTATTAAGTTGTGTGTGCAATGGGCATATATTAAAAAGAGTATTCTAAATGATGTTTGCCAAAATGTCGGCAGTGTTTATTTCTGGACAGTAGGATTTGGGGTAATTTTTACATTCCTTTAAATCAGGGTTTCTCAACCTTGACACTATTGACATTTTGGGTCAGATAATTTTCATTGCGGGGGACTGTCCTGGGCGCTGTGGGATGTCTAGTGGCATCCCTGGCCTCTCCCCACTAGATGCCAGGAGCTAACCCCTACCCCCTATCCTAACAACCAAAAATGTATCCAGATATTGCCACATGTCTCCTGGGGGACAAAACCACCCTTGGTTGAGAACTACTATTTTAAATGCTTTTCTGCATTATTTAAATATTTTAACAACAAGCATGTATTGTTATCATAATCGGAAAAACAAACACATTTTTAAAAAAATTCAGTAAAGTCATCTGTGGCTCTGTGAACTGACTTTGGATTTGGTCAGCAAAATTCAGTCAGAGAGTACAGAAATCTGTTATCTTCTTATGTTTGACAGAAGGTTCTGGTGAAATATCTGGACGTTTAGCAAAGTTTTCCCTGGGTTGGTTTTTGCTCAAAAAACAGCTTCTTTTTTTGCTATGGGTTTGAATATAATTAAACTCCTCGAGTGGATGCTTTGACGGTCTTGCCCACTTTCTCTTCTCTTGGTAACTACTCGTATTTTGAGGGGATTGCCACACTTCTCTCGTGTGGTCCCCCTTTTTGGGGAGCTGATCGCCTTCCTGACACCAAATCTAAGCTAATTTTCCAAATCTCACCTTCGGCTGCAGCCGCTGGTTCGAGGGCGGACATGTAACTAGGTTAGTTTGAGTCTAGAGAAGAATCAATGTCAGGGGCCTCTGGAGTGCATTCCAAGTAGCCACTCGAAGAGATCTTCATCTGGACAGAACGAGACCTGGAACAGTCATGCTTGTTTCAACGCCGTGAAGAAAACCAGCCAGAGGAAACAAACAAACAAACAAACAAACAAAAACAACACACGGAAGCAGAACTGGGTAAATCGCAGAGGAAAAGAGTTGAAGCTCTGATCAAACCAACCCTGAAGCTCACCCTTCTACTAGGCTTTTCATTAATACAAGCCAGTAAGTGCCTTTTATGCTTTAAATCAGTGTGAGCTGAGTTTCTATTCCTTGCAGCCCAAAGCTAACTTGTACAACCTCCTTCGATAAGAGGAACCTCTCCCAGAGTCCTGCATTCGTGTCATTTTAGCAAATATGTATTGGACACTTACTGGACACCAGGCCCACTGTCTGATCCCAGGGGGACGAAGATGATGAAGACACAATCCTGGCCTTTGAGGAACGTGCTGCCTGGTTGGGGAAGATGAGGGTATGGGATATGTGCCATGATGGCAGGGACACAGAGATACAGTCGGCTTGGGGTTGCAGAGAAGAAATCCTTGACTGAGCCCATCTGAAGGGAGAGTAGGGGAGGGAGAAGGGCGTCTGCCAGCCTGGATGCTTGAGAGATTGCTCTAGGGCAGGGCAGGTACCATGTGCAGAAAGGAAAGAGCTGCGAGATGGGGAGCATGACCCCAGAGGCCTCCGGGGTACCCCACATAAAGGGGGCTCAGGCAGGGCTGGGTCCCCCGAGAGAACCCCTGCAGCTTCAGAGCATGAGCCCCCCTCCACCTGCCCCTGCTTGGTGCAGTCCAGCTGCTGGCAGAGAAGGTGGGGGTTGGGGAGGGACCCCTTGTCAAAGCCCAGCTTTTTCATTCCAAGGATGGAAAAACCAAGATATCAGCAAAGATGGCACTTTATCACCAATATTCTTTCAACAGCATTCATTCCACACAAGCTCCTACGGCAGAGGGCAAAAGTCAACCCAGGCTTAGGGATTGGTGGGAGACAGATAATCACCTATAACCCTGAAAAATATAAAGCTTTGATCATGCTCTAGGGGTTTCTAACAGACGTTCCAGGGAAGTCAGGGAAGGCTTCTTGGAGGAAGAAGCACTTAAGCCAAGAGCTAAAGGGAAAGGAGTTCCCTTGGCAAAACCGGGAGGGAAGGGGTTTCAGATGGAGGGAACAGCCCGCGCAAAGGCCCTGTGGCAGAAAGGAACACATATGAGCAAGGGCTTTGCATTCACATCCTGCTTTTCATGGGTCCTGACCACAAGCCTGTAAGGTAGGTCTTCTTATCACCGTTTTAGAAATGAAGACATTGAGACTTAGAGAAGCAGTGACCTCCCCAGAGACACACAGCCAGGAAGCAGCAGAAATGGGAATTGAACCTGCATTCTTCATCATACCCTGGTATGTCCCTGGTGGGGGTCAACCAGCAGCTTTCTGACTGCTGGGATACTTCTCTTTGAGAACACAACAGTTCTTTTTTTTTTTTATTATTGTACTTTAAGTTTTAGGGTACATGTGCACAACGTGCAGGTTAGTTACATATGTATACATGTGCCATGTTGGTGTGCTGCACCCAGTAACTCATCATTTAACATTAGGTATACCTCCAAATGCTATCCCTCCCCACTCCCCCCACCTCACAACAGGCCTGATGTGTGATGTTCCCCTTCCTGTGTCCATGTGTTCTCACTGTTCAATTCCCACCTATGAGTGAGAACATGCGGTGTTTGGTTTTTTGTCCTTGCGATAGTTTGCTGAGAATGATGGTTTCCAGCTTCATCCATGTCCCTAGAAATACCGTTTGACCCAGCAATCCCATTACTGGGTATATACCCAAAGGATTATAAATCATGCTGCTATAAAGACACATGCACACGTATGTTTATTGCGGCACTATTCACAATAGCGAAGACTTGGAACCAACCCAAATGTCCAACAATGATAGACTGGATTAAGAAAATGTGGCACATATACACCATGGAATACTATGCAGCCATAAAAAATGATGAGTTCGTGTCCATTGTAGAGAACACAACAGTTCTAAAAGTGTGGTCCGAAGATCCCTAGGGGTCCCCAAGACCCATTAAGGGGTTCGTAGGATTATTTGCCCTGTTTACTCTCATTCTCACATGAGTGTAAAGAGTTTGAAAAGTTCATTGATAGATGTTTAGATTCCACATTGCATCTGAATTTAAGACATTACCACTGATTAGTTTTTGTGTAGCATTAAAGACTATTCATGGCTGGGTGTAGTGGCTCATGCGTGTAATCCCAGCACTCTGGGAGGCCGAGGCAGGCAAATCACCTGAGGTCGGGAGTTAGAGACCAGCCTGGCCAACATGGTGAAACTCCATTTCTACTAAAAATACCAAAATTAGCCGGGCATGGCAGCAGATGTCTGTAATCCCAGCTACTCGGGAGGCTGAGGCAGGAGAATCACTTGAACCCAGGAGCCGGAGGCTGCAGTGAGCCTAGATTACGCCACTGCACTCCAGCCTGGGCGACAGAGTGAGACTCCGTCTCAATATACATGTATTTCACAATGTGACAATATCCTCCCTTTTTCCAACGATGTGCCTTTGGAAGCCAGGTTTTCTCAGGTACTTCATCCTAAACAAAGTCTCACAGCAGATCCACTGCAGAAGCAAGTGTGAGGACCCGCTGTCCCCCAGAGGCCAGCTGTTACAGAGAGATGCAGAAATATCCACAATCCAACAAATGCCACTTTTCTCATTAAATTTGTCCATTTTAAAATGCATAGGTATTTATTATAAAAAATGTTATGTTCATGTAATGGATTTATTATTACATTTGAGTGAATAAATAAATATGTTATACATTTCTTAGTTTTCATTTCTAACGTGAGTATCGACTGATAGAATCCACACAAGCAAGAAGAGCTCCTTGGGGTTCTCAGCAGTTTTTTAAAATGTAAAGGGATCCCGAGGGCCACTGTCTGGGGAGGCTGCAGAACTGGCCTCTCTTCCCTGCCCTGCACCCACCTAGGCCCCTGCTCTCTTCCTTTCTCCCTTCCGTCCTTCCCCACTGTAAGTCTGTACTCAGTGCCTCCGGGAAGGGCGGGGACACCAAGTACGGGGATCCCAGGAGGCTTCCTGGCTTTTGAGTTTCAAAAGTTGAGAAGAGCAGGAAGAACTCACGTCTTGCAGAGAGCAAGGTTCCCCCACCCAGAATCAGAGCCAGGGTCGCAGGATAGGTACAGAGACGGGGTGTCAGGGGTGGCCCCCAGCCTGGGGCTGAGCCCAGTGAGGCCCAGAACCTCAGGTAGAAGCAGCTTTTCCAGGATTCTGGAAAGGCAGCCTCCAACCAGCCCTTGAAGTAGCCAGGAAGCAGCCAAATGACCCCCAGGACCAGGGGCAATGGAGAAGGGGCAGGCACAGAACCACGCAGGGCCTCAGGGGGGGGACCAGCCTGTGTCAGGCAATGCCTGGTGGGAAGACGACACCCAACACCAGTGCCTCTGTCCTCATTCCTATCCCCAACACCTTGGCCTCATGAAAGGCCAGGGGACCCAGAGCCTTCCCAGGAAAAGTGGAGTGGGGTGGTGGCGAGGGTGGGAATCACCGTCAGATGAAGCCTCCTCCAGCCTGGCATAACCACGACACAAGATGGAAAATCAGTTCCATTTGTGAAAACACAAAGAAACTCCACAGTGCCAGTGTGTGAACCGGGACTCATACCCACCCCGTGTGGAAAAGCCCCACTTGTGTGGGATGTAGCCTCCATGACAGATCTCTTTCTTTGGGCATCAGAGAGGTTGAGTCACTTGCGTAAGGCAGCTCAGCAGGAAGGGGCAGAGCTGGGATTTGCCCCAAGGCCCTGGCTCCAGCCCTCATGCCCTTGACCCCAGGCTGCTGACGGAGGGTGTTCATCCCCCAGGCCTGGCCAGAGTGTGAGGCTCAGAATCCCAGGCTGGGCCTGGGGGCACAGCCCCTGGGATTGGAGGATTGGACCCCAGCGTCCCTCAGGTGAGCAGAGGCCAGTCAGCCGTGCAGGGCGTGGTGGAGCTGGGTCTCTTGCCCAGGCTGTGCACCAGGTGTCCCCTCACCTGCTGAGTACCCCAGGAGGGGCGGGTGAGGGCCTCACCCTGCAGGACAGGTTCTTCAAGGTCCTCTGCCTGGGCGGAGTGCCTCTCACTCCTCCCGGAAGAGTAGACAAAGATGCCCCAGAAACAGGCCCAGAGAGGCCAAGAGATTAGCCAGAGGTCACACAGAAGGTCATGGGAGTGCCAAGACCACCCCTTACAGAGCCTTGGGGGAGGCAGAGCCCCTGAGGAGGGAAGCACAGAGCTGGGTCCCTGCACCTGCCCCCGCATAGAAGGCTCTTGGGGGACATGGGGGCAGGTCCTGGATGGGTTCCTGACTGAGGCAACACGGACATTGTCCGTGATGCTCCCCTCTCACCTTCCACATCTACACCATCGTAACTGTCGGGTTTATGCCCTAAATATCTCCTATATCCAACCACATCTCCTCACCTCCCTGGCCAAGCCCTGGGCCAGGCTCCTCCCTCTCACCCGTGGACTGTGGCCATCGCCCCTTCTCTGCTCTTCCTGCTTCCAGCCTCACCCACTCTCTTCTCCACATTCCTTCCTCTGCCTACGACCTTCTGTGACTCCCACTCACTCAAGAAAAAGCCCAGACTCCTCTCTGTGGCCACAGGGCCCCTGGCCAGCTCTCCTGTCTCATCACCACTTCCAATATCTGCTCCTTTGACCTGCAGCTCCAGTGAAATGACCTTCAGTTTCTGTCCACCAGACATTTACACATTCTAGTCCCTCTATTTGCACTATTTTTTTATTTGTAATAATTGAGGTGAAATTCATGTGACATGCGATTAAACATTTTAAAGTGAACAAGTCAGTGGCATTTAGGACATTCACTACGTTGGGTACCCCGTATCCTGGCACTATTTTTGCTGATCCTCCTTTTCATCCTTTCAGTCATCCAGACGTCACCTCCCCCAGGAAGCCCATCTTGACCCTCCCTTCTTCCCCATAGTTTGGATCAGATGCCTCTTTGGAGCTGCCAGGTCCCCTGTGGCTCCCCTACTGTGTTGTGTTGCCCGCTAGTGTGAGTGGGCTGAGGGCAGGAACCACGTCTGATTCTTGTCAGCACTCGCGGCACCCACACATGTGTGGACTTGGGGTGTGTTTGTGATGAATGAGGACAGAGGCAGAGACAAGTGGAGAGATGGTGAAATGTGAACTGAGCATCCCCTTCGCGCCAGGCCCTGTGCTCGGTGCTTGTGCGTGTCACGCGGTGGAGGACAGAGCAGACATGGAGCCCGCCCTTGTGGAGCTGACATCCCCAGGGGCGGGGTGAGGGGTGGGCCAACATGCCCCCTGACAATTACAAGATGGCATCATCAGGTCTCCGATGATGAGTATAAGGCATTGTGGGAGCACCCAGAAGCCTCCTGACCTGCCTGGGCTGGGAAGGTTCCTCGCAGGTGGCATCTAAGGGTTGTGAAATACACAGAGGGCTGAGCAGGGTGGGTGCAGAGGGCTGGTGGGGAGTGTCCCCAAAAGAGAGCACAGCAGGGACAAAAGCCTCGCCCAGGGGGTCCCGACTGCGGTGATTTTGTTCTCCCCGGGAACATTTGGTGGTCTGGAGATGTTAGTTTTCACAACTGGGGAAGGTGCTGCTGGCATCCAGTGGACCAAGGCCTTGGACGCTGCTTAGTGTCCTTCAGAGCACAGGACAGCCCTGCAATGGAGAATGGTCCAGCCCGAGGCTGAGAAACCCTG
Source organism: Homo sapiens (assembly GCF_000001405.40). Classification (NCBI taxonomy): domain Eukaryota; kingdom Metazoa; phylum Chordata; class Mammalia; order Primates; family Hominidae; genus Homo; species Homo sapiens. Next base: position 50,358,618 of record NC_000020.11, on the reverse strand, counting down.
GCACAAAGGCAGGCCTTTGGGGGCACTAAAAGAAGCTCAGGAGAGGAGGCTGGAGGGGGCGCAGGCAGCCTCAGCCCCATCCAGGGCTTTGGATTTGGGGATGGGGTGTTCAGCCCAAGAGAAGACTTAGGCAGCAGAGGACCTGCTGAGATGCAGGGTTCAGGAAGCTTGCTCTGGCCACAGTGTGGACTAGGATGATACGGCTGTATGATCCAGTGGCAGAGAAGTCGAGGCAAAGGGCACAGAGAATGCAAAGGTCCTGAGGTGGAAACTGTCTGAGTAGGTTCTGGAGACAGAGGGGAGGCCGGCAAGTGCAGAGATTACTGAGAGACACCATGCAAGGCCACGGAGGCTGCAACAAGACTTAGGGGGTTAGTCCAAGAGCAGTGGGGAGCCCTCAAAAGTGTTTCACCAAGGGAGGGGCACTGTCAGCCTTGGGTCCTAGCAGGCTCCCCCTAATCCTGTGTGGAGAATGGATCCTAGGGGTGAGGGCGGTGCAGGGAGATGAGGAGGAGGCGAGGCTGGGGCCAGGTCAGGCCAGGAGCTGGAGTGAGGTGTTGAGGGGGTGTGTCCGCCAGGCCCAGCTCATGAGTTTGATGGGAATGATAAGCAGAGGACTGGAGAGTGGCTCAGAAGCTTCTAGCTGGCGAGGCAGCCTAGGCAAGGGGCCTTGCAGGCATCTCTTTGCACCTCATGGCTCCTGGGGGGCCGAAGGCCCTGATATCTATGCCTCCCACCCCTTCCTGGACAAGTCCAGCCTCTGCATAGATGTCTTCAACCCATGCACCTGCAGGAGGCAGCCCGGGATGCTTGCTGTTGGGATTTTCCCAGAGTTCCAACCCCAGGACACACTGCAACTCAAAGTGGAATCCAGCTGCTGGTGCTGCCTCTTAAAGAAAGGCCAGAAAAGGACAGAGCCAGAAAAAGCCCCGTGTTCCACAGTCGACTCTCAGCAGCGCCAGTCTCTGCTGTCTGCAGGGCCTGGGTTCGAATCCTACCTACGCAACCCCGTGTTCAGTGCCTTGGGCTCCTCACCGGTGGGGTGGGCACAGCAGCGCCTCCCTCAGAAGGCTGGTGATCATTTGAAAATGAGATAATTCATGGAAAGTACCTGGTGCATAGTCAGTATTTAGTAATTGTCAGTGAATATTACTATTATTATTAATTAGGGCATTGAAAATAATTCACACTTGCTCCCCTCCCCAGCTGGAAGGGCCAGTTTTGGCTTCAAATCAACCAGGACTTCATAGCTGACGCAGGGCCACACACAGAGCCCCACACCAAGCTCCCGGGGGATAAACCAGGGGAGGGCTGTTCCCCTCATAACTGACAGCCCAAGAAAAATTGCAGTTTGCAAGACACTCATGTGGAAATGGAGGACTTTGGAGCCATGAACCCACTCCCACACTCAGATGCCAGGGCCTCAGGCAAGTCCCTGAGCCTCTTGGAGCCTCATTCTTCCCATCTGCGGAATGGGAACTCTGCTGCCCACGCAGCTTGCCGGAAGGTGGAATTGAACCCTCTCTACTCTACTTTTGAGACACAGGAGGGGCTAACTCTGCCTCCCGGGGATGGCATCCTGGCCCCTCGAGGCCCCCTTTAGGGCTGAGGGCTCCTCTTTGCCAAGCAGCTCTTGTCTCACAGACCCTTGCGCCAGCCCTCAATTGTCCCAATTCTGCAGATGAGGACTCAGAGATGTGGCCAGGTACATCACAGAGCTGAGGCCATGCCAAGCTCGGTGCCCTCCTGGCCGAGGTGCCTCCCGCTTGCTCCCCTCTCAGCCCTCGAAGTCACTGCGACTCGTCGTCTCAAGCCAGAAAGTGGGGCCAGATGGTGGCAGATCCACGGGCGTCTGTTGCATAATTAAGTGAGGGCGAAAAATGTTGTTTGTAATTAAACAAGGGAACCAGGACAGCAGCAGCCTCCGCAACAGCTGGGGTGGCTCAGGAAGGGGAGGCCACCCCTCTGGAAGATTCTGGCTGGGGGTGAGGGGTGGGGGATGAAGCTTGCAGAGGTCGTGACCTCTGTTCCTCCCCTAACATCCCAGCTCCACCTCTGCCAGCTGCGTGGCCTTGGCTCCGTCCCCTCCTCTCTTTGTGCCTTGGTTTCCAGACGACGGCAACAGCGGGGCTTGTCCTGGTCTTCTCTCACCTGTCCACACCTCAGGGCCTTTGCACTTGAGGTGCCCCCTGCCTGGCAGGCGCTTCCCACACCCAGATCTTCCCAGGGAGGCCCATCCACCTGCCCCAGGTCACAGCTCAACTGCCTTCTCCTCCTAGCGGCTTCTGGAACCTCTCCCATCCTGTCACCCGCTTCTGTTTTCTCCACAGCCTGGCTTGGTGCCCTGCACACAGTAGGTTCTCAATAAGTACTTGTTAAACAAATGGAGAGCCCTGTGTCATTTGTCCCTTTTATCTGTCATTCTGTTTGCTCCAAAGCCATGAGGCCGTTTCACAGATGAGGAAAACTGAGGCAGGTGAAAGAGGATACACCTCGCCAGCCTCCTCAGGTGAAGCACGGGCGACATGGACAGCCATTGAGCTTGATCACCCCTGGGTTCAAATCCCAGCTCTGCCTCTCCTTCTTGGTAGGGGACCTTGGACAAGTGACTGTGCCTCTCTGTGCCTCAGTTTCCTCATGTGTAAAAATGGATGGTTATATTGAACTCTCAGGGTTGTTGCGAGTCAAAATGAAAGTGTTAAAGCAGGTGGTAGCCACTAAGTACCAGAAATAGTGTTCCATAAAATATCTGCTGAATTAAGGAAGTGAGAATCATTATCCACATTTCACAAATGGGGGAAACTGAGGCACAGGGAGGTGAAGCTAACTAAGCAATGAAACTGAGTATCAAACCTAAGTCCGTTCAACTCCAGAGGCCTCTTGTGCAATGAAAGTAACATTGTGGAAAATTCTAGGCCTCAGGACTCCCAAGTGATGGGAAGGATGGGAGACTACCTAGCATGTAAGAGGATGACTGGACAGGCACAGCCAACCTCCATGTGGGGGACAGGCAGGCAGCAGAGATGGCCCCGCCAGGGCCCACATGAAGGATGGCTGGACCTGGCCAGTCTCCACTCTCTGTCTTTCTGATATTCCATTAAGGAGTCTCGCTCTATCACTCTCAGTCCATGGAGTTTGAGCAAAGCTGACCCACCCCCAGCTTCAAGGATGTCGTTGTGACTGAGGACCTGGCCATGGGCCACGGGGCAGGGTGAGAGATGGCCACATGATCCAGTCACAGCCAATGAGAGCCAGTCTGGGGGCTTTGATAGGAATGGTTGAGAAAGAGTGCTGGAGCTTCCCTCTGGGTCGCTGGGCTGATAGGGTCATATTAGTATCAGTGGGAGTCGTAGTCACAGTGGCAGTAGCAGCAGCAGTTGTAGTAATAAAATGATAGCTAGTATTTACTGAGCATTAGGTGTGGTAGTTGGTGCTTCATATATATTGATTAACTCAGTCTTCCAGAGAGACGTGGAAAACAATATCATTCAAACACCTGGATCTAGCTATGCCTGAAGCAAGCCTCCCTGGAATTTTTTTATGTGACCCAATAAATTATCTTTCACCTAAACTGGTTTTAGTTGGATTTTTGTTCCTTGCAACTGAGACAGCCCTGACTAATCCACCTGCCTTCTGGATGTTATCTAGGCTTCCATCTCCCCATCATTACTGTAGCTGAAGCGGCGCACCCATTAACTGTTTTATGCCTGTTGCTGACTCATAGGTTTCCATTGGAGTTCTTGGTCCATCCTTCCCAAACAGAGGCCCCAGGCCTACTCCTTTTCCCATTCTGGCTGAGCAGGAGAGAGGGCGTGTAGGCGTGGTGCACACCTGTGTTCCAGGAAGGTGCTCCGTGGGGTTTGCTTGGCCCCAAAACACACCTCGTTATTAGTGTGATGACTGCTATTAAATAGTCTTCCCGAGCAGATCAGCTGCTTTGCATAAATGGTGATCTCACCAAGACTTCCCAACAACCCTGCAAGGCAGGTATTGTCATCCCATTTTAAAGATGAGGAAAATGAGGTTCAGAGAAGCAAAGCCTGAATCCCACAGCTCTAAGCAGCAGATCCTGCACTCCCTAACTCCAGAGCTGAGCCCCTTCCAAGAGCCAAGTTCACAGACCCTGGCTGCCAGAACTCAGGGTCAACTTGGTTTATAATATGTGTGACAAATCTATGTGTATGTAGAGTCTATGAGTGTGTGTGTATAGTACATGTGTCAAATCTCTATGTATGCAGTCTATATGTGTGTGTATAATATGTCTCGAATCCACACATACAAATAGAATGCAAATAAGTAGGTATTCTATAGGTAATCTATATGAATATCGAATGTGTGTCTAATATATGTGCCAAATCTATATGTATGCAAAATATAAATGTGTGTAATATATGTGTAGAACCTATATGAAGGTAGAATATATATGTGTGTGTATAATATACATATAGAATCTACATCTATGTGGACATATATGAGTGTGTGTGAAATATGTGCATAGGATCCATATCTACACAGGACATATATGAGAGTGTATGTGTGTGTGCGTGTGTGTGTCTAATATATGTGTGGAATCTCCGGTTTCACCTGCCCTGTATCTCTGCACAGCAGGTACATTGTGCAGTGAGAGAAAACAACGACTATCTTCTCCCACCTCATCCTGCACCACCCTGGACCAGCCATTGTTCCCTGCTCCCCTCTGGCCTCCCGCAGTCACCTGGCCTCCCTGCTCCGCCCCTACCCCAACCCATTCTCCCCTTGGGCTGGAGGGCTACTATTAGAACCGAGGTCAGGTCAGGACTCTCTGCTCAGAGCTTTGCATGGCTCCCAGCTCTTTTAGAGCAAAGTCAAAGTCCTCACAACAGCCCGCAAGGCCCTGCCTGGTCTGGGACCTCCCTCGTGGTTTCCCTGACCTCCTAACCGACCCTGTCTCCCTCTTCCCCTTGGCTGCAGCTCCGCAGCCTCTTTCTCTGGGGCCAGGCACGCTACAGCCTGTGCACTTGCAGTTCCTGTCCCCCACGCAGATCCCCTGCCCCGGATGTCACTTCATTCAAGTCTCAGCTGAAATGTCACCTCCCCGGAGAGGTCTTCCCAGATTCTCTCCAGCTCCTTCCCCTGTGTGGATGTTCCTAAGACGCTCCCATGTGACATTCTCCCACCACCCAGCACAGTGCCTGACATGCAGTAGCTGCTAAGCCACTGGCTGATGGGCGAAGGGGCAAAACCAGCCAGCGTTCAGGTCAGCGCTTGTCCTGCTGAACCTCCTCTCAGGCCACCCAGGATCTGCACGGCCTCACCTGGCCTCTGCCCACCACTGTTTTCCCACCAGCTCACCCACTCCACTTCCTTCTTGTCTGGGGCTAGAAGTTACCTACAGAGCCTTTCTCTGCCTACATTTAATGGCTGATTTTTACAAAAAAGCAAAAAGGCAAGTGTCAGCAGCAACACCCCTCACCTCCCATTCCAGGGTGTTTCTCTGTCACTGCTGGGCCCCATGGGGAAACTCTGCCTTCTGGGACAGTCCCGCCTCATGCGCAGGAACCGGTGTTCCAGGTGGCTGAAGTTTCCGGATAACTGAGGATAACCTCTGGAATCAAGGAATGGAAAAAGCGTGGCCAGTGGTTGACTCTAACCCACCAAGGGGCTCTGTTAGGCCAGCACTTTTGTATTTTAACAGCTCTATCAAAATATAATTCACCTACCATAAAATTCGCGCTGTAAAAATGTACAATTCAATGGTTTTAAGTACATTCACAGAGTTGTGCAACCATCACCACAATCAATTTTAGAACATTTTCACCACCTCCCCAAAACGCCCCGTATCCCATGCCTACTCCCCATATGCCCTCATCCCAGCCTCCCCAAACCACCAATCTACTTGCTGTTTCTACAGATCTGCCACTTCTGGGCATTTCCTAGGAATGGAATCGTGCCCTATGTGGCCTTTTGTGTCTGGCTTCTTTCACTCAGCACCACGTTTTCGAGGTTCATTCACACTGTAGCATGAGTTTGTCGTTCATTATTTTTATTGCCAACTAATATCCCATTGTATGGACCCACCACATGGGGTTCACCCATTCATCCAGTGATGGCCATTGGAGCTGTTTTCACTGTGCAGCTGTAATGAATTGTGCTGCTGTGAACATTTGTGTGTAAGTTTTTGCGCAGACATATACTTCTGTATCTCTTGGGTATATACCTAGAAGTGGAATGTCTGGGTCATGTGGTAACTCAATCTACACTTTTGGGGAACTGCTGGACTGTTTTCCAAATCGGCTGTACCTCTTTACAATCCCGCCAGCAAGATATGAGAGTTCTAGCTGCTCACACCCCCACCAACATTTGCTAGTGTCTGTGTTTTTGATCATTTGCCATCCCAGAAGGTGCAAGGTGGCAGGCCAATGCTTTGCCGTCATTAGTGGCAAACGTTTAAAAACTGGGACAGTTTCTTATTTTTTTATTTTTATTTTTTTGAGACTCAGTCTCTCTCTGTTGTCCAGGCAGGAGTGCAGTGGCATGATCTCAGCTCACTGCAACCTCTGCCTCCTGGATTCAAGGGATTCCCCTGCCTCAGCCTCCCGAATAGCTGGGATCACAGGCCACCACACCTGGCTAATTTTTTTTTTTTTTTTTGTATTTTTAGTAGAGACAGGGTTTCACCGTGTTGGCTAGGCTGGTCTTGAACTCCTGACCGCAGGTGATCTGCCCGCCTTAGCCTCCGAAAGTGCTGGCAGGTGTGAGCCACTGCGCCTGGCCTAAAAATTGGGAGAGTTTCTATCAAAATCTGGATCTCTGGCTTCTCTTGAGGAAGATGGCTTTTTGGCATGACTGGGATGCGTTCCCCGTGGAGGCTGAGTCGCAGCTACCCTCCAGGCCGCCACAGTCCTCACCCAGCCAACCCTTGTTGAAGGGACTTCAGGGCTCCTTTGACACTGAGGTCTGTAATATGTGTTTGAGCCCAGATGAGGTCCACAAAGATGAAGAACTTTCATCACTTGGCCTTTCTGGAATCGACTTTCCCTCAGGCCGACTGGGGGTTGAACCACGAATACATTTTCCTACATAGTATATCCCACATTGACACAGGGTACCGTCTAAGGGATCCCTTATCCAAAATGCTTAGGACCAGAAGTCTTTTGGATTTTTATATTTTCCAAATTTTGGAATATTTGCATATACACAATGAGATATCTTAGGGATGGGACCCAAATCTGAACATGACCTTTACTTATGTTTCATACAAACCTTATACACACAGCCTGAATGCAATTGTACATAATTTTTAATAATTTTGTGCATGAAACAAATTTTGTGTGCATCGCACCAACAGAAAGAAAGGCGTCCCACACCTATCTCAGTTACCCACGTGGACAATCTGTGGTTGTTTGGCATCACCCTTATTCCTGACTCTGAATTTATATGCTATCAATAAGCAATCATTGTCTCACACTTACTCACACATAAGTACTCCATGGTAAAAAGTATGACATAGCATTAATACAGTGGGAAAATAAGGAGTTCAGGGCGACCAAGCAGAACAGCGATATCAGCAGATAGGGGGCTCAGCCGTGAAACAACAGCGACAACAGAAAACCGCGGGCTTTCACTTACGGCATCAGGTCCGCACTCAGAAAGTTTCAGATTTGGGAGCATTTCGGATTTCAGATTTGCGAATTAGAGATGCTCAACCTGTCTTTTCACAGTGATCCTGGAAGGGATTCATTGTCCCTGTCTCCAGATGAGAAAATTGAGGCTTCCTGAGGAGACAGCACGTGGCCCGTCCTGGGTCACATGCTGGTGAGGGTCTGGGCTGGGATTCCAGGCAGCTGGTCTGACCTCCCCGCCCTGTGGTTTTGGTTTTTGGTTTTTTGCAGAGACAGAGTCTTGCTGTGTTGCTCAGGCTGGTCTTGAACTCCTGACCTCAAGCGACACCCCCATGTTTGCCTCCCAAAGTGCTGGGATTACAGTGTGACCCACTGCACCTGGCAGTCCTGTGCCTTCTGTGACATCACATGGTCTGTGAGGTCCCTGGGTCTTTCTCACATCCTCACACTGCGGTGGGCAGCCCGAGATGCAGGTCTCTTTCTTAAAGAATTGTGTTTGAGCAAAAAAGCCCACAGAAGTCACCATCTTTCCACCTCAGGATCTCATACAGTTCTGATAATTATAGGTACAGGGAAGTCTCAATTTCAAATGTTCAAGTCCTAAATGGATTGATTGTGTTCACTGGACTACAAGTTCCAGGGGGGAGGGGACCTTACCTGTTTGTTCACTCCCATGTCCCTCGTAAGAAGAACCTTCCAGGCACAAGGTATCTACTATGGAAACATGTGTCTGATGAATGGATGGAGCTGGTGATACATTTATTTATTTTTATTTTTATTTTTTTGAGACGGAGTTTCACTCTTCTTGCCCAGGCTGGAGTGCAATGGTGTGATCTCAGCTCACCGCAACCTCCATCTCCTGGGTACAAGTGATTCTCCTGCTTCAGCCTCTGGAGTAACTGGGATTACAGGTGTCTGCCACCACGCCTGGCTAATTTTTTTTTTTTTTTTTTGTATTTTTAGTAGAGACGGGGTTTCACCATGTTGGCCAGGCTGGTCTCGAATTCCTGACCTCAGGTGATCCGCCCACCTTGGCCTCCCAAGCTGGTGATACATTTAAAAATAGAGTTTCCAATCTTTTTTTTTCATAACTTTTTTTCAAAACTTTTTTTTCAGCAAAGGTGTTTTGCTAAATGTCTAACCAAACATGCTTGAATGTATCCACCCTATTGCTTAGCTTCAGATCACGACTCCTTCTTCCCTTATAAGCAAGTTACTCACCTTCTCTGGGACTCAGTCTCCTCATCTAGGAAATGGGGACAAGCATGTACCTACCTGAAAGTCAGTGCAGGTACCTGTAAAGCTCTCAGGACACTGTAGGAATTAGTGGCTATATTCATTATTATTATTATTATTTGTTTTCATCTGAGAGCCAGGCCAGGGGTTTGGGGGACAAAGGTGAATCAGGTTGCTAGCTCTGGGTGACTCAGATTCTCGCCTGCATCATGGAGAGTTCACAAGAAGGGTCATGGTGTCCCCTGAGAAATGACAAGGAACCAACTGGTCTATGAACGTGAGGGGAAGTGACTGAATGGTGGTTAGCCTGAGCTGGAAAATGCACACTCGGTTGAGTTGCTCAATCCATCCGGTGACAGCAAGGCCCTCGGGTACACTGGGGGAGCCAGGTACATGCTCAGGGCCCAGTGTAGAGGGGCTGGGCCTGAATGGCAGAGGGGATCCCCGCAGCCTAGAGCTGGAGGCTCCCAACCCCTGGAGACATGGGGGCCTTTGGAAGGAGGAGGCATGAATGCTGCCTCGGCTGTTTTTGGCTTAACGCTGAGGTGTCCCTCAGCCTCCCACCTGCCCAGAGAAGAAAGTCATGTTTTTTAAAAGATGGAGATCCGGCCGGGTGTGGTGGCTCACGCCTGTAATCCCAGCACTTTGGGAGGCTGAGGCCGGTGGATCATTTGAGGTCAGGAGTTTGAGACCAGCCTGTCCAACACGGTGAAACCTCGTCTCCACTAAAAATACAAAAATTAGCTGGGTGTGGTGGCAGACGCCTGTAGTCCCAGCTACTCAGGAGGCTGAGACATGAGAATTGCTTGAACCCGGGAGGCAGAGGTTGCAGTGAGCCGAGATCGTGCCATTGCACTCTAGCCTGGGCAACAAGAGCGAAACTCCGTCTCAAAAAAAAAAAAAGATGGAGATCCTGGGATTACCCCCAGACATCGGGAGCTTCTCGGGGGCTCAAGCTTCTGGCAGTTTCTTTACTTGCTTTGGTTGAATTCTTCATTTCCACCCAGGTCTCACCCCTCCAGGCTGCCAGTCTCTTTCTGCACAGGCCACACATATGGGGCCTGCTTGAACCCGGGAGGTAGAGGTTGCAGTGAGCCAAGATCGCGCCATTGCACTCCAGCCTGGGCAACAAGAGCGAAACTGTCTCAAAAAAAAAAAAAAAAAAAAAAAAAAAAAAACCACAGAACATTATTCAGCCTTCAAAAAGAAGAAAACCTGGATTATACAAAGTGAAATAAACCTCTATCTCGAAGAGCAAGGAAACCTTTCCCAGAAGCCTCTAACAAATTTCTCAACACATCTCATTGGCTAAAATCACATTCCATGTCCAGCCTAAATCAATCACTGGCCTTGTTGGGGTGGGGGACACTGTGGCTGACTTAGAGCAACGGGAATCAGTCCCCTGAGGCTTGGCTGAGGCCCATCTTCCTGGAGCCCATGGGAGGGGTGGGGGCAGGGATTTCTTGTGCAAAATGAGCAAAATAGGTTCTGTTAGGAAGGAGGAAGTGGGGGGATGGCTGAAACGGGAATAGCTCATTGCCGCTATCAGCATATCTGCTTCTTGCTGTCGGGACCTACTGAACTGCCTCCGTTTCTGGGTTGTTTTGAACTGACTCTTCCGCTTTCTCATAAATTCTGTAAGCTCACTCATGTTCCTCTAATAAATTTCCTTCCCACTTAAGTCAGCCAAATCTGGATCTCACTGAGGCCCCAAATTTCCTCAGTGATCATCTTTAGCATCATCGTCACCGAACCATCTTTGCTGATATTTATTGAGCACTTGCTATGTGCCAGGTCCTGTGAGACACACTTTGCTTACAGCAGATATTCTCAACCAGGGGGTGATTTTGCCCTGCAAGGAATGTTTGGCAACGTCTGGAGATATGTGTGGCTGTCACAACTCAGGGAAGGAGGTGCTACTGGCATCTAGCGGGTAGTGAGGCCAGGGACACTGCTAAACAAGTCCTGCAATGCATGGGACAGCCCCCAACCAGGAGTTATTTGGCACTAAATGTCAGTAGAACACAGACTGGGCAACTCGCTCCTAACCAAACCTGGCGTATTTCACAGAGAAGCAGCCAGTCCAGAATGCCCGAGGGCCCAGGTTGAGAAAGCTTGCCTTGCACTGTCAAGCAGTGAATGGCCGAGAAGCATCTGCTGTGTGCCTGTCCATGCTGAACAGTAGTGGGGCTGAGGGCCCAGCCTTAGCCCCTGGGAACTCGAGCCCATTTTAGTCCTTTAGGTTATTCCACTTGCTCTTTTCCTTATTCCAAAAGGAGCTTGAGGCAACCAGAACCAGCGATCATTGCTCATATTGCCCATGAGTGAGAAAAGAAACTAGCTCTGTGGAGGAAGAGACGCCTCCCCCAGCTTTGGATATTCAAAGGGGTTCCTCATGAGAGAATTTCGCATGGGGTCATGGCAGTGCGGACAGTAAGGTGATGAGATGTATATTCAGAAGGCTCAGCTATTTGTCAGGATTTCTTGTAGCTGCAGGCAATGGAAACCCAACCCAAGGTGGGTTTTAAAAAGGGAGAATGAGAGAGCCATGTCTGCTTCAGATACAGCTGGATCCAGGAGCACCGCTGACGATTTTCGTCTGGGGGCTGTCTGCGCCTCTTGGCTCTGCTTTGCCCCATGTCACTGGCATTCTCAGGCGGTCTCTGTTTCTCAGGGTGGCACAGTGCCTCAGCTGCTCCAGGCTGACATCCTACAACGAGCTCAGCCACCTCAAGGCGGCAACGTCTTTCCCATTCCAAAGTCGCCGGTTTAATTTCTTGGCCCTGATTGGATCGTGTGCTTACCCCTGAACCAATCCATGTGGCCAGGGGCCTGACTGGCCAGGCCTGCAGCCCTGAGGATGGATGGGGTCAACTCTCCTAATTCACAAGACCAAGGGGGTGGAGGCACCACAGGGGAAACTCAACGTGGTCTCCAGAAGAAGGGACACATGTGCTGGGTGGCCCCAGACCCGCGCAAATACAGCATCCTCACCAGCTCAGCCAGCGAATCTAACAAGGACCTACTTTGAGCCTGGCGCCAAGCCCAGAAATGAATCTGGCAACTTCCTGCCCTCTGGGAGGAAAAGAAGATATAAATAAGTGCAATTCAAAGCACTGTGTGATGTGTCCTGAAAGAAAGAAACAAACAAAAGGCTACAGACACGAGAGGTTGGCTGAGAAAGGGCACTGGGCTGGCAGGAATGGCTTGAGCAAGGGTAAGGAGGTGGGAGGGGCCAGGTGTGTTCGAAAAACTAGGGGTCATCCTCGTGGCTGGCGACGTGGGGAACGAAGCTGCAGAGGGCAGTTGGGGTAGATGGAGCAGGACCAGGCTCACCCAGCCGGGCCGTTTGGACTTTCTCCAGGTCGCAGCGGGGAGCCATTGATGGTTTTAGAGCAGAGCAGAAGCAAGATCTGGAGTTGCACTTTCTGAAGATGAACTCAGCCGTTGTGGAAGGGGAAGGGCTGGGACAGGGAGAGACTGAAAGGGACAATTGAGCAGCTGTCACAACTGTCCCAGGACAGATACTGGACATCAGAACCAGGGCAAAGGTAGGGCAGAGGTCTTTTCATTGTCTCCGAGGGCTGGGCACATAGTAGGTGCTCAATAAATGTGGGGTGGAGAGAGGAATGGGAGAAGAGGCCTGAACCTTGGCAGCTGCAGGAGGGGAGGGCCGATACCAAGTTTATCCAGTTACGCTGAGCAAAGCCCCCACACCACAGTGGGTCCTCAAGGAAGCCATGGCTACCCTGGTCAGCCCCCAACCTGCTTCTCCTGTGCAGCTGCTGACAACTGCAGCATGTCCCAGCCAGGGATGGGAGTCTGGAAGAAAAGCAGGAAGGAAGTGAGAGGACAGAGCAGGTTGTTCTCCGCCTGGGCCTGGATTCCCCCTGCAGCTCCTGACCCTTCTCAGGAAACCAGGATGCCAGGTGCCAATGGGACACCAGAAGCAATGACCATGCAGCAGAGGACTGGACATGATGACCTTGGGAGGTCAGCACACCACCCACTGATCTCTGAGGCCGAGGCCCCTCCTTTCATTCTTTCTTAGAAATATTTATGCTCAGGAAGCTGCTTCCTTGACAAACCCGCTGGGCTTCCTAAATATTCACCAACGACTCGTTGTACCATTGGCAGGACATTTTTGCCAGAGCTGCCAACTGTATTTACCGACAGAGGGACTGGGAAGATCTGGGGCAGTGGGGTGGTCAGGGGGAATATATATATAGGGGAATATACAGAGGAGAGTCCTGAGAGAGCAGAGACCATCGAAGCCTCTGGATCAGCTGTGGTCAGGTGGGGAAACCGGGTCACTGATCCCTCATAAGGCTTGAAACCAGCAGCTCATAGCACCTGCCAGAGTCTCCCTATTTTCAGAGACCAATATAAAAGATGTCTGGCCCAGAGTGGGCTGAGCAGGTCCTGAAGGCAAGAAGGATGTGCAGAAAAGGAGATGGGACACCCATTCCTAATCAGGATTGACTGGGCTGTCCTGCTTCCAAGTGCCTACTCCCAACTTAATGACAACAGCAGACACCTCCATTCCACCCACTACGTGCCAGGCTGTGTTCCCATATGTCACATGTATTACCTGGTTCTTGCAACAAAATAGTCCTGAGCACCAACTATGTGCAGGACCCTGTTCTAGACACTACTCATGAACAAAAAACCCAAAATGCCGTGGAACGGACACTCCAGTGTCATCGGAAGTAAATACAAGATGTAGTATGCTAGAAGGTGATGAGTGTTTTGGAGAAAAATAAAGCAGGGATAGGAGATGCGGCTGTCACAGGTGGGATCTAGTGGCACAGCACTTTGGAGGTAATGATGAACAAGCACTCCCATTTGGCCAATGAGGTCACTGGGGTGCAGAGAGGCTAAGTGATTTGCCCAAGGTCACACAGCTACAGAGGCAGGATTCGAACCCAAGTCATCTGGCTCCAGAGTCCTGGTTCCTGACCTGACGAGGACTCCAGGTTCTCTGACTTTAGCACAGGCGTCACCAGAGCCTCAAGATGCAGAGCGACTTGCAGAGGAGCAGGCAGCCAAGATGGAGGAGGTGGAGGGTTGGCTTTAGCATTGGGCCAGCTCCCAGGCTGCAGGCCTTGGGAGGCATTTCTCCTCCCTGGGCCTCAGTTTCCACCTCTGCAAAATGGGGAAGTTGCAACCCCTGCCATGGAGTGGGGGTTCCTTGAGGTGGCGCTGTGGAACTGCTTCCTAACACTGGCCACAGCGACTCCCAACACCTCTCAGGCTTGCCCTACAACCCATTTTTCACCTGCAGCCAAAGGCGTTGCCATGAAACAGACCATGTCATGGTCCCATCCAGATCCTCTGATGGCTGCCCCTCACTTTGGACTCTGGCCTGCAGGTGGCCCCTGGTGTCCTCTCACCTCCACTCACTTCACTGCGGCCACCCAGCCTCCTGGCTGCTCTTGCAGATCTGCCAACTCCATCCTGCCCCCCAGCTTGGGCACCCACCATTCCCTCTGCCTGAAGCCCCCTCCCTCACCTATCAGCCACGAATGGAACTCAGCCCGCACTCTGAAACAGAGGCTTTCTTGCCCCCTTGGGATCAAGATGCTCCACAGACAGACCCCGAGGGAGATGGAGACACAAGCAGAGGGACAGGCTGAGACATACATGGGCACGCAAACCAAAGGTGCTCAGAGCCACACGTGGTCCAGAGGTACAGAGAGACACACGGTGCCAGACGTAAAGTCACAGCCACAGCCACGCCCAGGGAGACACATGGAAGCCCCAAGCCACAAGACTATTCAGACACACTGGCCATGGGTGTGCAAGACGTGCATGGGCACACTCAGATAGACACACATGCCCTCACCCCACACACACGTGCACAGGCACACCCAGGGAGCCGCAGCCAGCACCAACGTGGCCCAGAACACCCAGCCACACACATGCACACACACACTTCCCTCTGGCGCCCGGAACAGCCCCGTGCCAAGCGTCCTAGGACAAGGACCGCCTGCAGCCAGCCTTGGCGGGAAGGTGTCCTGGCAAACAATACCTCCCCTCTCCCACCGTCGGCACAGACACAAGGAGCCATTGTCAGCCTGGCACACACCGCGGGGCGGCCTCTCCACAGGCCCTCCTGGCGGGCATGCCTGCACGTGGGGGCGGAAGGCTGGCGGCTCCCCAGGCCCACCTGCTCCCATCTGCCCACCAGGGACCCTGCCTCCTTCAGAGCCTCCTGCCTGGTCCTGCAGACCCTGGAGGGCTTAGCTCCCTGGCCCACTTTCCCTCCCCAACCCCTTGGGACTTACGCATCCTCCTCACAGAGCGGCCAGGGCTTACGAGGGGCAGGGTTTGGTGGCTGAAAACGTGAAATCTAGATTCAAACACACATGCCGTGTGACCTTGGGCAAGTCACTTCCTGTCTCTGAGACTTGGTTTCCTCATCTGTAACATGGGATAATGCTAGCACCTCCCTCACAGGGCCGGTGGCATAACGATTTGAGCCACAGCATACACAACACTGAGGCAGCAGGTGCACCCTGGGATCTGGTAGGCCCAGGCTCCGGCGACAGCCTTGCCATTCTCTTGCTAGGCCTCGGGCAGTTGACATCACCTCTCTTCCCCTCAGTCTTCTCACCTTGAAAGTGGGGATGGTCGTTGGCCCCCCTTTCAGAGGTGTTCCTTCTGTAAGACTCTCACATGGAGGGTTTAGGATGAGCCTGCCACACAGTAGGCACTCAATCAATGCTGGCCATGATCATTGTCTTAATGGCCTGAGGCTTGCTTATTCACTTATTCTTTCTTTTCATTCCTTTCACCAGTCTTTCCTGCGTACCTACCACATGTTGTAAGCTGAGCAGTTCACCCTAAGTTGCTCCCTCCCCCTATGCCCCAATGGGCTCCTGTTAGATGTTTGTTGACTGACTGAATGACAGGAGGCAATTCAGAGACCATCACTACCTCCAGGCAGCACAAGGACACTGACTGAGTGGTCAGGAGCCCTGGGTCAGCCTCTTAACGGCTTGCGATGCCCGGTCAGGAACACAGATCCCTGCTCCACAGCAAGGACGTCATGAAGATTAGGCAGGGTGGAAAAAAGAAAGTGCCACTCAGTGAACACCTACAATGCCAGGGCCACCCTGCCAGCAGTGCCACAATCTTTTCAGGACCTGCCCCTGTGCAGACGGCACCTGTTTGAGCAGCCACACCCCTCTGCATCCCTCTCACCATGCTCCGGCTCATTTAATCCGAAAGTGCTCATCAGCTGCTGGCTTCACGGTTTGAGTTCATTGGCTTGTCCTATTTGGTGTCTGTGCCCCCGGACCAGGGTCCCTCGACCTTGGCTTGACTGACATTTGGGGCCAGATCATTCTGCACCTGAAGGCTGCCCTGGGCTTTGTAGGATTGGTTCAGCAGCCTCCTTGGCCTCTCCCCACTAGATGCTGATAGCACCCTCCCTCCACCCAGCTGTGACAACCACACACATCTCCAGACATAACCAAGTGTCCCATGGGGAACAAAACCACCTCTAGCTGAGAACCAGAGGGCAGAGATTTTGATTTGTTTGGTTTCTTGCTGTATGTCCCTGTGTATACAGTAAGTATCAATACATATTTGTCGAGTGAATCTTGAACAGATGCATCTCACCGACTCACGCTGTTCCCCTTTGCTGGAACGCTTTTCCACTGCCCTTTTCTGGCGCACTCCTACTCATACTTCAAGACCCTGGCAAGGAAATGATATGAGGAAAGTGGGGCATGCAGGGACTGGGTGAACAGGAAAGTACCTACTATGTGCCACTAAGAAAGGGCCTCCCGCAACCCCACTCCCAGGCCTCCTGTGTCCAGTAGGAATGTGGGCCCAGTATGGCCACATCTTCCCATTTTTCAAGAGAAGCCAGAGAAAAGGACTTTATGTGAAATCTCCTGGCATGTCAGATGTTGGCAATTGATTCACATTAAAAAAAAATACTTTAAGGACCAAACTAAACATATCTCCAGAGTGGACCTGTCCCATGGGCAGCTGTCATGGAGGTCTGCTCTAGGAGGCTTGATGGGTACGAACACCTTTGAGGATAACGAAGCTGAAGCAGTTCTTCCTGGCGTCTCACTTGCGTGCCCTCTGTTGTAGCCATTGTGGGAGGGGTTCTCATACAGCTGGGGCAGCTCTGATGGGGGACAGAAGGGCAGAGGTAGCGCCCCCAGCTCTGAGCCGCACCCACAGGCAACACCCAGCCCACCCCAGACCAGCTCCTTGCCCAGCTCAGCCCAGAGTCCAGGGTGGATGGAGTGTGGGGAGGACTCATCATGGGGGCTGTGAGAAGCCTGTTTATGGCTCCAAAATTCCTATGCCCCAGGCCTAGGGGAAATTAGTGCTCGTATGAGGCTGTTCACCTCCAAACTCCTTGGCCTCTCCAAGAAATTAAAAACAGGGAAACCGAGGCAGGACTGAGCTTCATGGAGACCTGGGCCTGCAGGCCTGGGCAGGCTTGGAGGCAGCCAGGAGGCTGACTTCTCTGGAAAGTCCCTTGTATTCGAGAACTGGCGGGGTGCCGGGGAGCGAGGACACCAGGGGTCTCCTAGTCTCAGAGCCTTCTGCCGGATCCAGGAGCTCCTCAAGCGTCTGCCCTTTCTGGGACAGAACTTTCCAGCAACAGAAAGTTGAGGAAGCCCCTCTCTGGAAACCCTGAGCCTCCTTGATGGGGCTTGCATTCTGCTTTGGGGCAGAATGTGGGACTGTGGGACAGGAGGACGGGGCGTGAACCCCAGTCCTAAGCCCAGATGTCGGCTGGAGATCCTCAAAGCCAGGGCCTCTTCTCAAGAGTCTGATGGCCCCACCAGCCATTTCTCTCACCCAGACCCCAAGTCAGACTGGACACTGTCACCATTGTCCTGGAGGCCAAGAGACCCGCAGACCAGAATTCAAAGCCTTGCCCCGCTGCGGGCTGAGACAGTCGCTTGGGCTCTGTGGTCTCATTCCTGCATCTGTAAAATGCATCCTTCCATTGTAGGAATTCAACAAGCACATGACATGGGGCTGGTGCTGGGCAGAGGAGAGAAGAAGTGACAGTGAGCACGCACCCTGGGCTGGTGCTGAACCCGCCACACACGTCCTTCTTCCCTTCTCACCACAAAACCCTGCATCTGTTCATTCAATGCTGGATGAGTGCCCCCTATGTGCCAGGCTCTGAGATTTAATGGAGGACAGTGGAGAACTGGCCTCTGCCTGCTGGGAGCTTACAGTCTGGCCAATGGGGAGTTATGAACCCCCTAAATTATTGTGTCAAGTAGTGGTCAGTGTTATGGGAAAACATTCACGCAGGGTGAAGAGGTAAGGCCAGGGGAGCAATTTGGAAGGGCCGGGGGTCAGAGCAGGACCCCCGGGGTCATTTAAGCAGACACCCAGATCAGGAGAGGGAAGAAGCCCTGTGGCTATCTGGAGGAAGGATGCTGAAGGCAGCGGAAACAGTGTGTGCAAAAGCCCCGAGGTAGGCGTGTGCTTAGCATGTTGGAGGAACAAAGAGGAGCCCAGTGTGGCAGGGGTAGAGGGAACCAGAGAGAGTGAGTAAGAGGAGATGGGCCAGGCGCGGTGACTCACACCTGTAATCCCAAGCACTTTGGAAGGCCAAGGTGGGCAGATCACTTGAGCTCAGGAGTTCGAGACCAGCCTGGGCAACATGGCAAAACCCCATCTCTACTACAAAAAATACAAAAATTAGCTGGCCGTGGAGGCATGTGTCTGTAGTCCTACCTATCTGGGAGGCTGAGGTGAGAGGATGACTTGAGCCCAGGAGGTTGAGGCTGTAGTGAGATGTGTTGGCACCACTGCACTCCAGCCTGGGTGACAAAGTGAGACCCTGTCTTAAAAAAAAAAAAAAAAAAAGAGACAGAGAGAGAGAGATGAGGTTATAAGGGAAGCATGGGAAAGATCTTGTAGGGCCTGGTAGGCCACAGAGATCTTTGACTTTCTGCCAAGTGAGGTGGGAGCCGTGGGAGGGTTTTGAGCACAGGAAGGTCATGTCCTGACCTCCTATACTCATCCTCATCTTAAAGGTGAGGAAACTGAGTCTCAGAGAGGTGAAGTTACCCACCCAAGGTCACACAGCCAGCAAGTGGCAGAGCTGGAGTTTGCCCCCACATCCCTGTGGCTCCCAAAGCCAGCCTCTTCCCATCCCATCAGCTGCCTCTGTGTCTGGCGTGAGTCAGGAGGCTGGATTGCTGGGAGGGGGAGAGCTTTTTAGAGCTGCTTTTTGGAGCCTCCTGGCTCTGCCTGGCACATCCCCTCCTTCCCCACCCATGCCTTCTCCCTTGCCCTCAGCCACCCCCAGCTGCCTGCGGTGAGTGCCTAACATTTAAGGCTATCCCCTCCCAAGTGCAGATTGGATTTTTTTCTTTCCATAAGTCCCCATTATGCCCCAGTAGACTGGATTTTGGGCAATAGAAAAAACGAGCCTAAAGAACTCCAGCGCTAATTGGGGGTGACAGGCAGGGGCTCGGGGCCTCTGGAGCAGCCTGGCTCTGTCTCTAATTTGCAGAGTGGCCAGGGTAAGTCCCTGGCTTCCAAAGTCATGCTTGTTTGAAGGACAATCACTTTCTTTTTCTTGTAAAAGGAAGATAAATTGTCAGCCTGTCGGTTTCATTATGAGCTCGTCCGCTGTCTTTCCAGTAACTGAGGGCGAGAGGCTGAGCCGCTGCCCAGAGGCTGCCTGTGAGGCCTTGGGGGCTGTGGTTGATGCCACCTGGCCTCCTTCGCATCACCTCCCTCTCAACACCCCTCCCACCCCCTCCAATAATTGTGGTATTTGGTTTTCCCTCAACACCAAATGTGAAACTCTCCTGGAGGGAGTGCAAAAGGAAGTCTGTGAATCTCTGAACTGTGGTTGAATGAAGGTATTCTTAGGCGCCTGCTTGCAAGGATGGTGAACTTCTGGTGCTAAAAGCAGAATTGCTTTTCAGTAAATGTTATTACTCAAAAGGAAGTTGTTACCACCACAGCCACCTCGAGCCTCTTCCAACTGCCACTCTGTCTGCCAGGCCAAGTGGGGAAAGGGTCTCTCAGTGGCTCCCAATGACCCCATCCAGCCCCCAGGGGAAGGTCTTGCTATCTCAGCTGACCCTGGAGGCCTGAAGCTGAAGTGCAAACAACCACAGTCTGCCTAGGCAGAGTATCTCAAGGTAGGGGCTGTTTGCTGACTCAGCATTTAAAAGTCCCAAAGCTTGAGTGATCTTGGCTGAGCTGGGCTGGAGCTACAGGTGGGGTTGGGGGCACACAAGAAAGCTGCCCGTTGGCTGCAAGGTTGGCTGTTTTTTGAGAGCTGTTGTCCATCTTGGCAATGCACCTTGCCTAACCCCTATTTCCTCTTCTCTAAAATGGAAAGGTGATCATACCTCAATGGAAAGAGCTAGCATATTGATTACTCTAGTAGATACTTAATAAGTGGTGAGGTTATTATCAACAGTGAAAATGATTCTGGATTTAAATCAGACAGACCAGGGCTCAGATCTCAGCTCTGCCACCTACTAGTTGCACAACCTTGGACAAGTCCATTCCCCTCACCAAGTCTCGGTTTTCTCTGGATCACGCAGGAGTGATTATAGCACCTACTGCTCAAAGTTGTTGGGAGAATTCCGTGAGCTGCAGCACGTAAGTCACAAGGCACACAATAGGTATGCAGTAGGCATGGGTTCCACTCCTGCTCCATTTTGCCTTACAGAGGATCACCCCCCAGGCTGTGTCCCCACCTGAGCAGTCCCAACCACAGGCTCCAGGTGGAGAGACACCCATGAAAGTTTGCACCCACCGGGGTCCAGAGGGCAGACAAGAAGCGACCAGGCCAAACTCAGGGGAGTGGAATGGACCACTCAGCAGACACTTCCCTGCAAGAAAGAAGTCAAAACAAACCCCCTGGCTGGTGAGACATGATCCCAATCTAGAGCTCTCAGAGGATGCTCTCGGGTCCAATCCTCTGCCTGCCTCTACCTGTAGCCTTTTCTACAGCCCGGAAAAGTGGCAATTTCATTTACTGGGCAGCCACTGCAAGTGAGCATTGTGCTCTGCATGTCTCATGAATCACGTCATCGTGTCCCCCCAGCAACCCCACGAGACAGTTCCTCTCATTGCTCAGCACCTGCAGGTGTGGAAACTGAGGCCCAAGGAGGTGAAGGGACTGGTAGCTGAGATTTGAACCCAGCCCATCCCATTGTCAAGTCACACACATAATCACCGCACTACTTCCGTTATCTGAGAACAGTGTGTCTGTGTTACCAAAGATATAATTATATTTAGTAGTGTCTGGGTATAGAAAATTGTATAATATATTCTTTTTAAAATGTATTCTTTTGAGATTATTATAGATTTACATGCAGTTGTAAGAAATAAACAGAGAGAGTCCATATACCCTTTCCAGTTTCCCCCAATGTTAACAGTCACAATAAAGATATTGACAGTGATATAGTCAAGATACAGACATTTCTATCACCACGAGGATCCCTCATTGCCCTTGTATAACCAAACCCATCTCCCACCCCCAACCCTGCCCCCGAGCCATGGCAACCACTAATCTGTTCTCCATTTCTATAATTGTGTGGTTTCAAGAATGTTACATAAATGGAATCATATAGTTTATGTAACCTTTGAGGACTGGTTTTTTTCACTCAGCATAATTCTCTGAAGATTTATTCAAATTGTGTGTTATCAATATTTTATTCCTTTGTATTGCAAGTAGCAGTCCATAGTATGGATATAACACAGCTTTTTTTAGTTAAAAAAAACCATAGACAGGCTTCCGGGTGGTTTACCAGTTTTTGCCTATTATGAAGAGAGCTGCTATGAAGATTTGAGCATAAGTTTTTGCACAAACATAAGTTTTCATTTTTATGTCCAGGATTGCAACTGCCAAGTCATAAGGCAGTTTTTAAAAAACTGTTTTCCAGAATACGGTACCGTTTTACATTCCCATCAGGAATGTATGAGTGTTCTAGTGTCTCCATTCCTCACCAGTGATTGAATGCGAAAGTTCCCATCGTTTTTTATTTTGGTCATTCTGATAGGTGTGTAGCAATATCCGATTGTGGCCTTAATTTGCATTTCCCTAATGGCTAATGATGTTGAACATTTTTTCATGTGTTTATTTCCATCTGCATGTTCTTTTCAGTGAAATATTTGTTTGTGTCTTTTGCTCATTTTCTATTTGGATTTTTTTAACTGCTGACTTTTGAGAGTTCTCGAGAATTCCGTCAAGTTTTAAGAATTCTAGGTACTAGTTCTTTGTCAGATATGCAGTTTGCAAATATATTCTCCTAATCTGTAGCTTGTCTTTTCCTCCTCTTAATTGGGCCTCTCATGGGTTAAAAGTTTTCAACTTTGATGAGGTCCGATTTATCAATTTTTTTCCTTTTATGAATTGTGCTTTTGGTTTTCACATCTAGTAATTCTTTGCCTAGCCTTAGATTCTGAAGACTGATTTTCTCCTGCTTTTTTCTAAATGTTTTATAGCTTTATGTTTTATCTTTAAGTCTATGATCCATTTTGAGTGAAGTTTTGTATAACGTGTGAGGTTTAGGTCAATGTGCTTTGTTTCTTGCGTGTGGATGTCAAATTGCCCCAGCACGATCTGTTGAAAAGGCTTTTTATCTTCCATTGAACTGCTTTTGCATCTTTGTCAAAAATCTTTTGGGCACATTTGTGCGTGTCTATTCTTGGGTTCTCTACTCTGTTCCACTGTTGCATGCATCTGTCCCTCTGCCAACCAGACTGTCTTGATTACCACAGCTGAACAGTAAACCTTAGCATTGCATCAAATGAGCCCTCCCACCTATAGAAAATTGTATATTGTATTTTAATTCATTGAGAAGTGAGGTGGCAAATCTCTGTCCTTCAACTTATTTATTTAAAGAGAGAATAATATTTTCCACGGAGGTAGGGTGGCCGAGCGGTCTAAGGCACTGTATTAAGACTCCAGTCTCTTCAGAGGCATGGGTTTGAATCCCACTGCTGCCAACTTACTGGCCAGGTGTGGTGGCTCACGTCTGTAATCCCAGCACTTTGGAAGGCCAGGGTGGGTGGATCACTTGAGGTCAGGAGTTTGAGACTAGCCTGGCCAACATGGCGAAACTTCGTCTCTACTAAAAACACAAAAATTAACTGGTGGTGCACCTCTGTAATCCCAGCTACTGAGGAGCCTGAGGCAGGGGGAAGTGCTTAAACCAGGAGGCTGAGGTTGCAGTGAGCTGAGATGGTACTATCTGCATGCCAGCCTGGGAGTCAGAGCAAGATTCTGTCTCAAAAAATAAATAAATAAAGTAAAATAAAATAAAAATAAAAAGAGAATACTGAGACAGAGATGACCAAGGATCCACCAAAGACTCATACTCCTCCTCCTAAGTGTTGTAGGTAAGCAGTCACCCACCCAGGAGACTACATTTCCCAACTGCCTTTGCATCTAGGTGGAACCATGTGATAAATTCTATCCAGTGAAATGTGAGGGGAACTGATGTGTACGTCATTCTCGGCTGAGCTGGTTGAGCATGGGTTTCTCCTCTATCACCTCTTCTGGCAGCTGGCTGGATGTTGATCCTCAGGGAGACCTTGGAAGCTACCTGTTGCAGATGACTGAGCCCCCATCTGTCAGATTCCTGAGTGACTGACTGCATGAAGCAGAGCTCCTCCTCCTCATTGACCATCCTAACAATAAGAAATGTCTGCATTTACAAATGAAATGTTGTAATACTATGAAATTTTAAGAATTGAAATAAAAAATACAACTTATAAAATGTCCATCCATGTACAACTTAAAACCTCTTCATATACCCCTGGCATATTTATGGTCTGGGAAATATACATATGTGTGTGTGTGTGTGTGTGTGTGTGTATATATATATATATACACACACACACACACATATACATATTTTGTTTGTTTGTTTGTTTTTTGAGACAAGGTCTTGCTCTGTTGCCCAGGCTGGAGTGTAGTGACATGATCTCGGTTCACTGAAACTTTTGCCTCCCAGGTTCAAATGATTCCTGTGCCTCAGCCTCCCAAGTAGCTAGGATTACAGGCATGCGCCAACACGCCTGGCTAAGTTTTGCATTTTTAGTAGAGACAGGGTTTCCCCATGTTGGCCAGGCTTCTCTCAAACTCCTGGCCTCAAATGATCCTCCCACCTCGGCCTCCCAAAGTGCTGGGATAACAGGCGTGAGCCATGGCGACTGGCAGGAAATACATATTCTAAATCCTATGAGAGATATTAATCCACACTCTTCCTCCTACAGCTAGAAAAACAGAGGCTCAGAGAGGGAAGGGGTTTGCCCAAGGTCACACAGTTAATCCAGGACTGAGCCCAAGTAATTCCACTCATTAAATATAACTGATTTCCATGAACTTTTGATTCCTTCTTTTAAAAAAGGATGGGCAAGTCTGAGCGTGTGTCATCCAAGACTCCAAGTGGACAATTATAAAAACAAATCATAATTAATAATTCCTTATGAAACAAGTCAGAGAACTTCCAGGGTTGGGTGGCGCCAGTTTTGGGGAGAAGTAATTTTAAGACTTCCCGCCTTTCACAGGGTTGAGGGAGCAATTTAAAATAAGCTCTAATAAACACGGCTCATACAGCTGTGACCTTTAGAATGAAGGTCTCGCCTTCAAAAGCCGATCAGCCTTCATGATGTGGGGTTTGCCTGTGCGCTGAGGTTTAAAAAAAAAAAAAAAAAAAGACCATGAGGAATTTATGGGAAACAACAACTCCTTGCGGTTGCTGAACCAAGTGAGTCAAAGGGCGTCAGAGAGAGCAATTTTGGAGCACACAGGAGGGAGGTGCCAAGGACTCCTTTGCCAGACTTGCAGCCCCGGGTACTGAGGACAAGCCTGCTCTGCTACTGAATAGCTGTGAGTCCTTGGTCACCGACTTCACCACTCTGTGCCTCAGTTTCCCCATCTATGAAGTAGGGATTATAAAAGAACTCTCCCCACAAGGGTAGGTAATGTGTGCAAAGCTCTGAGCACAGTGCCTGGCATATAGTTGGTTTTCCATTTACCCTTGTAACATTATTACAGGATGAATTCCCCTCTGAGGACAAAGAATTGAGATAGCTGTTCTCCCGTGTTCTGCAGTTCTCAGCCCAGACTTCGCATTTTAAAAATACTGGATCTCGCCCCAGAGATTCCACTGCAGTGGCTTTGGGGGTAGGCATGGGCATAGGAATCTTTAAGGGTTACCAGGCAAATCTAGTGGGCAGCTGAGTCTGACAGCCCCTTCCTAAGGACGGCACAGTCTCATTGTGGTTCTCAGCCATTTACATCGTATTGTAATAAAACATTGCTCCACCATGTTCCCTTTTTTCTATGTTTGTTTTTAAGCTCTAACCATGTGGCTGCCCATATGTCCAGTTCATTTCTTTTAATTTCTAATTTCTGCTTCCTCCACATTTGTCTCCCAGCATGGACTCCAGGCTGCCTGCCCTCTGGCCCTCTCCCCGTAGGACTTCATGACAAACTCACTCCCTGCATGCCCTTGTCCGGTTGAGAATTTGGGAATTTCTTTGAGACTTCATATTATTATGAAAGGTGAAGCCAGTGATCCCAGTAACGGAATCTGAATCTCAGGGGGATGGGGCTCCAGCCCCCAAAGTTTTTTAAATGCTATCCTAGTGATTCTGAAGAGGATTTAGAATCGGGACCCATTAGCTGAACCACAACATCCATCATGGAAATACCAGGAAAGTTCAGGGGAAAGAGGAAAAGTCAATGAGCTGAAATTGCCATTCCAATCCCTTTATCTGGACGTTCACTGAGGGCCCAATAACAACCAGGCCCTGGGGACAGATAGGAGACCACAGTTTGTTCAGAGGGGCCAGGAGAGCAGAACTCAAGACTGCGTGACATGCATGTTCTTAACGCCCAAGATGTAAAACCTTTGACCTTAAGTTGTTCACTCCCCTGTGGGACAGGCAATTACAATCCACTGTGATTCATGCAGATATTAGAAACTCATGAAGTGATTGACTGATTTAGGAGGGTCAGGGAAGGCTTCCCCGAGGGGGTGACATCTGAGATGGGCTTTGAAGAGTAGGTAGGAGTCAGGTTGCAAAAGGTCAGGAACCAGGAAACATTTGTAGCAGATGCTGTTGCTGCCCGGCCCGCGTCCCCTAGACAGATGCCCACTCTCGCTCACTGCAGATGTCTGCTTAAGTGCTTTCATTTGGCCATGGGTGCACGCTCAGCTAGAAGTTCCAGAGAGTTGGAACTAGCCCCTGGAATTAGCCCGCAGCTCACGACTGGGGGAAGTCGGAAGATACATGATCTCTTCCCTTGCAACTGGGTTGGAATGACTGAAGCGCATGCTCTTCGCTGTCTCCCAGAGTTCCCTGGTGGGTCTGAGGTCTAGTTGCCCACAGCGGTGATTGGTTTAATAACATTTATTTTATTTTCTTTCTTCCCTATTTTGATTACCCAACCTGCTATGGGTGCTTCCTGAGATCACCACCCAAAATATACTCCTTGCACTCAAATTCGTGTCTGAGGGCCTGTTTCTGGGAGAACTCAGTGGAGGAGACTGCATGTGCAGAGGTCCCGAGGCCAGAAGCCACACAGCATGTGCAGGGAGGTGACCAGCAGCTTGTGCACAGAGTGGAATTTGGAGGAAAGGCTGAAGAGGCCAGAGACACAGGTCAGGAGCAGCCAAGCGGGCCTCCACCACCGCACAGAGGTCCTGGGCTTCTTCCCACATTCTCTGGTTGGAGTAGGCAGGGCAATGAGCTGGTTATGCAGATACCTTGAGGATGTTTGGGTAGGGCTGGCAGGCTGGAGAGTGCCAAATTCTCCAGTCATTGCTTCAGTGAACTACCTGGCCTTTGAGTTTATTTGAACAAGATTCAATTCTGCCCTGGACAAAGACAGAAGATTGGCAAGTGGCCACTGGTTTTGAGTGGTTAGTGACAGCCCAGCAGAGTAATGGTTGACCATTCAGTTTGGCTTCCAAGGGAGGGTCCCACTCCAGAGAAAAGGGCCCCCCCACCTCATCCCCCATCCTGCAGCCTTGATTCTTAGACCTCCCACCCAATGGGTCAGCAGCGCCTGCCCAAGATTCTGCTTTCTCTGACTCTCTCTCCCGTGCAGTGCCCAGCCTTGGGGGAAAGCGGACACCTGGAACTCCAGACAGGGTTCAGGCGGAGACACAGCGATCCCATCACACTCTAGGGCTCTGGAGGAAATGATGGTGCCAGTCAGGGTCTTAGTTTGCTGCTCTGTCTAATGGGCCTGTGGGTCCCGGGTGTGGCCACAGGACTGTGAGAGAATTTGAGAATTTCTTTGAGACTTCATATTATTATGGAAGTTGAACCCAGTGATCCCAGTAACCCAGAGAATCCTGCAATATCTAAATTAGGGCCCAGCCAAGCCTCTCATTTTACAGAGGAGAGAAACTAAGACCCGGAGAGGGAAAGAGGCTTACCTGAGTTCATCCAGCAAGGCAGTGTTAGGGAAGAACTGTGGCTCTTATGCCAAGTGTGACGGGGTGACATGGGACATGAGAAATTTTTATCTGAGCCACACTGTCCAGGTCCATACCTTGCCTTCCATACTCTAGCCGGGTGATCCTGGGGGCGTGTTACTTAGTCTCTTTGAGCCTCAGTTTTCCCCTCTGTGCAATGGTGACCGTGACACCCCCTCACAGGACCACCGTGAGCACTTAGTAGCGGCCCCCTTTCTTACCCCTCACCCTGCAGAACAACTCTGGAGGACAAAAAGAAACACCGTCCCCAGCTGTCCACAGAGAGCCCAGAGCCAGCTTCATCTATTAGCTTCCCCTCCTTGCTTCAAAAAATGAATCTACTCTGGGAGACTTGGGGGTCCACCCAGATAGGGATCATCTCTGTGCCTGGCCATGGTGCTCCCCACCATGCCTCCATCATGCCCCTCCCCTGTGGACCGCAGAAGCCTCCGGGGCTCGCTTGACAGGTTACGCCTCAAAGTTCAGTTCAGTTGCAGCAAAGTTAAGTTGCTGACTTGCCAGCAACTTCCCACCCTGGCTGGAGCAGGGCCAGGCAGGGAGGAAGAACAAAGGCTTTTGTCTGCCCAGCCTCAGAGGAGGGTGAGAAATAGAAATCCTGCCCAATCATGTGGAAGCCCCCAGAGCTCCCTGCTCGGGCTTGGGGCCAGGGGAGGCAAGTCAGGGCAGCCACGTGAGAGACCCACAGCACAGGGATGGGAAGCGACGCTGGGAGAAATGTCCATCCGCCCACCATCTATCCACCCACCCATCTACCCATCCACTCACCCACCCATCCGCCCATCATTCCTTCCATCCGTCAACCCTTTCATCCACCCATTAGTATACCCTTCTATCCATCTATCCATCCATCCCTTCCCTCTCTCACTCCCTTGATCCATTCATCCACCCACCCATCTACCCATCCATTCATCCATCTATCCACTCCTCATTCCCTCCATCCATCCACCCACCCATCTATCCACCCACCCGTCCATCCAAATATCCATCCAACCATCTATCCGTCCATTCAGCTGTCCATCCATCCATCCATCCATCCATCCATCCATCCATCCATCCACTCATCTATCCACCCACCCCTCCATCCAAACATCCATCCAACCATCTATCCATCCATCCATCCATCCATCCATCCATCCATTCATTCATCCATCCATCTATCCATCCACTCATTAATCTACCCATCCATTCATCCATCTATCCCACCCTTCCTCCCTCATATCATACATCCATTTCTCCACCCATTTATTCATCCATCCATTCATCCACCCATCTATCCATCCCACAAGCACATATTGAGCATCATGGAGGCCAGGCCCTGGGTTGGGCACTGGGGATACAGCTGTGAACAAAGTCTCTGCTCTCATGGTTCTAATATTCTAGGCAGGTAGTGGACAAAAAGAAACTATATAAATACGTAATATAATGACAGAAGGTGATAAATGCTAGGAATAAAAATAAACCTAGGTAGGAAAGCAACACGCAGAGCCACTATAGATGGAGTGGTCAATGAAGACAAGAAATGATAGGCTAGATCTGGCAGGGGAATAAGTACAAGGGCCCTGAGGCAGGATTGAGCTCAGCATGTTGGAGCGACAGCCTAGAGACCAGTGAGGTCATCATGAATGGAAGGAAGGGGAGGGGAGCAGGGGGTAAAGCTGGAGGGGCTCTGGGAGCAGGAGACCCAGCTCTGTATAGTCAGAGGATGGTTCCTCTCCTTCTTTGGACCTTGGTCTTCTTATCTGTATAATGAAGTCCTGGGTGAGATCATCCTTTCCTATCTGAGGCTCTGGCATTTAAAAAAGATGGTCTTGCTCTTTCCTGGGGATCTATAGGAGCAGGGTCTAGACTGTAAAGGTAAAGAATGCAGGCTCTGGGCAGGCGCAGTAGCTCATGCCTATAATCCTAGCACTTTGGGAGGCTGAGGCAGGCAGATCTCTTGAGCTCAGGAGTTTGAGACCAGCCTGGGCAACATGGAGAAACACCCTCTCCACAAAAAAAAAAAAAAAAAAAAAAAGCAAAAATTAGCCTGGTTAGGTGGTATGTATCTGTAATCCCAGCTACTCAGGAGGCTGAGGTGGGAGGATGGCTTGAGCCCAGGAGGTAGAGATTGCAGTGAGCTGAGATCATGTCACTGCACTCCAGCCTGGGCAACAGAGCCAGACCCTGTCTCAAAAAAAAAAAAAAATACAGATTCTGAAGTCAAGGCATTTGATCTCTCTGAGTCTCAGTGTTCCCAACTGCAAAATGGGAATAATAATACCCCTTCATGGAGTTCTTAGCAGGATTTGATGGGATGGTGCCGGTAAAGCGTCTATCCCTGACACCTTCCTCCCTGGCCACTGTTATATAATTAGGTAAAACAGCAGTGGTAGCTTCTATTGATCCTCAACTCAGAGGCAAAGTGTACAGAGCCCTCAGATGCCCCTCAGTGGGGATACTGGCCTTGGCTGGCAGGGCAAGGCTGGCACAAGCCTGGGGGCTGGGTCTCCAATGTTTGGCTCTGATCATAAGGGGATTTCTGTGGGGGAGTGCAGATAGAGCCCTTTGAGCAGCTCAGAGGCCTCCTTCCTGTACAGGCAGCTCTGCACCAGCACACAGCTGGATTCTCGTTCAGTTATACCACGTCCAGTGCTGTGGCCTTGAGTTGTGTGTATCCCTCTCTGAGCCTCGGTTTCCAAGTCAGAAGCTTGCTTGGGTTCTCATCCCAGCTCATCTGGTCCATTCCTGCCTCAGGACCTGATATGATTTGGCTGTGTCCCCATCCATATCTCATCTTGATTTGTAGCTCCCATAATCCCCATGTGTAGTGGGAGGGATTCCGTGGGAGGTAATTGAATCATGGGGTTGGGTCTTTCCCATTCGGTTCTCATGATAGTGAATAAGTCTCAAGAGAGCTGATGGTTTTATAAAGGGCAGTTCCCCTGCAATGATCTCTTGCCTGCCACCATGTAAGACGTGCCTTTTCTCCTCCTTCACCTTCTGCCATGATTGTGAGGCCTCCCCAGACCTATAAGTGGAACTGTAAGTCCATTAAAGTTCTTTTTCTTTGTAAATTACCAAATCTTGGGTATGTCTTTATTAGCAGTGTGAGAATGGACTAATACAGGACCTTTGCATGTACCGAGTTGGTCCCCACTCTTCCAGCTCCTTGTCCTCTTTCAGTGTGCTCTTCCAGCTCCTTCTCCTCTTTCAGGGCTCAGCTCAAATATCACTGCAGGGAGGCCTTCCCTGACTTCCCACACCAACATAACCCTGTCCCCATTCATACTGTGCCCCTGCACATGGCTTGCTTGCTTTCAGAATACTCCTGAACACTTTCTGAAATCATCTGCTATTTCCCTGTTTGCTTCTTTATTGCCTGTCTTCTCGACTATGATGTCAGCTCCACCAAGATAGAGACTGGATCTGTCTTATCCAGTGTCTCCAACAACTATTGCAAAGTAGGTGCTCAGTAAATATTTGCTGAATGAATAATGGGGACTTAACGACTCCTTTGGTTTTCTTTTAAAAGTTTTGCCACTTAAATATTAATTTTAATTATACAATTAACCCATTATTATATTCTTAAAAATATTTTTTACAGTTACAGCTTGTAGTTAAAATCCCCTTTGATGTCCATCCTGGACATTCCCCAAGGGGGTCATGTAATGAGTTTAGCATCCTTCCATATTTACTTCTGTGCACTTACAATGAAATGTCTACCACTGTTGTTGGTAGTGTGTGCATGTGTGTGAGTGTGCATGTATGTTCACAGTAGATTAGATAGAGCTAAGAGTTGAGAGCAACATAAACAGCTCTGGGTAATTGTGGTAGTTAAATTTTACGTGTCAACTTGACCAGGTTACAGTGTCCAGTTGTTTGGTCAAACATGAGTCTAGATGTTGCTATAAAGATATTCTGTGCTGGGCTGGTGGCTTACACCTGTAATCCCAGCACTTTGAGAGGCCAAGGCGGGCGGATCATGAGGTCAGGAGTTCGAGACCAACCTGGCCAACATAGTGAAACCCCATCTCTACTAAAAATACAAAAAAAAAATTTGCCAGGCATGGTGGCAGGCACCTGTAGTCCCAGCTACTTGGGAGGCTGAGGCAGGAGAATCACTTGAACCTGAGGGGCGGAGGTTGCAGTGAGCTGAGATTGCACCACTGCATTCCAACCTGGGCAACCCAGCAAGACTCTGTCTCAAAAAAAAAAAAAAAAAAAAAAAAGATATTCTGAGCCACGCATGGTGGCTCACACCTGTAATCTCAACACTTTGGGAGGTCAAGGAAGGCAGATCACTTGAGTCAGGAAGTCGAGACCAGCCTGGCCAACATGGCGAAACCCCATCTCTACTAAAAACACCAAAAAATTAGCCCGGCATGGTGGGGGACGCCTGTAATCCCAGCTACTCGGGAGGCTGAGGCATGAGAATCACTTGAACCCGGGAAGTGGGGGTTACAGGGAGCTGAGATTGCACCACTGCATTCCAACCTGGGCAACAGAGTGAGACTCCATCTCAAAAAAATAAATAAATAAATACAAATAAAAATAAAAGATATTTTGTAGATGGGCTCGATAATGTGTGTGGGCCTCATTCAATCAGTTCAAGGCCTTGAGAGCAAAATCCAAGTTTTTGGTAGAAGGAATTCTGCCTTAAGTGTGTATCATAGAAGTCTTGCCTGAGTCCCCAGTCTGCCGGCTTGCCCTACAAATTTCACATTTGCCAGCTTCTACAATTGCATGAGTCAATCCCTTTAAAAATTGAATTAAATATAAATAGATATACACACACGCATCCTGTTAGGTTTTGTTTCTCTGGAAAGCCCTGGCTGATACAGTAATTTAAACAGAGAAGCAGTCTATTCAAAGTACTTTATGAGGGGAAGAACAATCAATCCAATAAACAAAAATGGCCAAGACTCGAGTAGGCATTTCACAAAAGGGGATACCCAAAGGATCAATAAACACACAGAGGTGATCAACATCCTTGCTCAGCAGGGAAATGCAAATGAAAACTTTGATGAGATAACCACTGTACACCCACTAGAATGGCTAAAATGAAAAATATGGAAAATACCAAGAGTGGATGAAAATACGGAGCATTTAGAAAAAACCCTCATACATGACTGGTAGAAATGCAAAATGGTGCAAGCACTTCAGAAGACACTGGCAACTTAATAAGGTGAAACATACACTTGCCATAAGACCCAATGAGAGGACTACACTCAATAGTAGTGCAGACAGATTTTCACCAAGAAGGACACATATAAATATTCATAGCAGCCCTATTCATAAATCTCCCCTAACTAGAAAGTACCCAAATGTCCATCAGTAGAAGAATGAATGAAAGAACAGAGACACACTCAGACACTGCTCCAACTATGGAATTTTGCCTAACAATGAGAATGAAAGATCTGCAACCACACTCAACAGCATGGGTGAATCTCAAAGACTTGAACATTAAGGGAAAGAGGCCAGACACAAACAAGCACACATCATTTGATTCCATTTATATAAAGCACTAGAAATAGACACAACTCGCCTTGGTTAGCCTCGGGGAAGTCGTGACTGGAAGAGGGCATTAAGGGAAGCTTAAGGGAACTGGAATATTCTGTTTCTTGATGAAGGGCTGGTTACACAAGTGTACTCACTTATGAAGGCTCATGAAGTTATCGCTTACGACCTATGCATTTTTCTCTATGTGTGCTATACTTCAGTGAAAGTTCAAAATAAAATAAGGGATTTGAGGAGCCTGGGAGGATTGCAGAACCAGGCTTAAGGTCAGCAGGGACAGTACCCCAAATCACACACAACACTGGATCGGTGGGCCCTCTCTGCTGCCCCTGAACTATCCCTGCTTCCAGGTCTCAGTGAGCACGTCTGATCGGTGGCACCTGGGTCACGTGACCACCCCCTAGCTGCAAGGGATGCTTGGAAGAGTGAGCACCTAGCAGGTTCAACATCAGTGATGGAGGTGTGCAGACTGTGCTTCAAAAGATGGGGAGCCTCAGACCACTGCAGGGTGTTTAACCCTTCCTCAACTGATGGATATTTAGGTTGCTCCCAGTGACCATCTTGACCATACTCCCTGTGCCTGTGTGTGGATGTTTCACTAAGGGAGATGCCACATCAAGGAACTGCAGTGTTTCCCCCAAAAATGTGAACTTACAGTTTTACTGGCTACTGTGAAAATTGTCTTCCGGAGAGGCTGTTTCAATTTACACTGCCACCGGCAGTATATCGGTGTGACCGTTTCCCAGTCTCCTTAACACTTTACATCACCAATCTCATTCATGTCAACCTGAGGCATGGGAAATGTTCTCGCATTGTTGTTTTAATTTGCATTTGCCTGATTACCAGCATGGTTGAACATCTTTCATGTTTATTTGCCATCTGTATTTTATGTAAATTGCCTATTCACATCCACTACCCATTATTCTAGTGGGTTTGTGGTTTTTTTCTTATTGTTCTGCAGGAACTCTTTATATATTGTGGAAATAAATTCATTGTCTACATTTATGTTTCAAATATTTTTACCTAGGTTACCATTTGTCTTTTAACTCTGGAGTGGCCACATACTGTTTTACCCAGGCTCACAACTTTTCTGAGGTTGGGAAATGAACACTGATGGGAAGAAGGTGGGGATAACGGGGAAAAGGGATCTTTCTGACACTACTCCGTTCTCTTCCCACTAGCCCTGAGTACATTTTGTAATACCCCTCCCATATCATCCTTTCATTTCCTTGTTCTTGTCACCAATAGAAAACAGTAATAGAACCCCAGCCACAGAACTCCTCACTTTCACTTTTCAATTTTTTTTATCAAGCTTAAAGTTTACAGATTTGGAGTGAAGCAACCTCAGTGTCCCTGCTGGGGTGACGGCCAAGTTGAGTGCCCCTCACAGGTGTCATTAATTTACTGATATTGCAAATGAAGAAATCAGGTTAATTCAAGTAATTTGCAAATTCCTTCCAAAATTGCCAATAGTGGGCAAACTGCTAAACAGTGTATAGGGCATGTGGTGAGCAAATGGCCTGGAGGTGAAATGGCCTGGTTGAAATCATGCTTGAAAAGCTTTTATCTCATTCATAAAAGGGCAGAGAACATGGTTTGGTAAATACAAATACATGCGTACTGCAAAGTCAGGGGCTGGCAAGCTACAGCCTTTGAGCCCAACCTGACCCACCACCTGTTTTTGTAAATAAAGTTTTATTGGCACACTGTCACAGACATTCACTGACATACAGTCTGTGGCTGTTTTCCTGCACCACGGCAGAGTTAAGTAGTTGCAATAAAGAGGGTCTGGCCCACAAATCCTAAAACATTTATTATCTGGCTCTTTACAGAAACATTTTACCAACCTCAGCAGCAAGTAATAAAAAACACATAAGTTATAATTTTGTAGTATTTTTAGAGATATAAAGTACAAGAACAATTATTTTTTTAAAACTGTCTGGCAGATCATGTATGGCTGGATCTGAGTTAAATGCATAGAAAGTGCATTCCACTGAATAACATGATCAAGAGTAAGACTTTAGGCCCAGATAATTAATTTTTACAAATTCTCAGCAAGTTGCTTCATGTCTCCAACCTCAGTTTTCTCATCTGTAAAACAGGGATGATGTTTAGTTCTGACCTCATAGGGTACAGGTAAAGAAGGCTCTTAGAACAGTGCCGGGCACATAGTAAGTACCATGTAATTATTTGTTATTATTATCATTATTATTGCACAGAGACAGGTCTAGATCAGTGTCATGGCTGTGCTACTTCTCAGACATGCGAACCTGGACACACAGCTTCCTCTTCCCCAGCCTCAGTCTCCCTACCCATAAATTGGTGCCATAATGGTTGCCATCACCTGGAGTTGCTGTGAGGGCCCCTTGGCACAGCATCTGGCACACAGTAGGCACCCAACACAGATGAGCTGTTACTGCCAGCATTCCCATCACTCTGACTCAAAGCTCTGCACTGTCTGGAACTCAGTCTCACCCCTCCTCTGTAAGGCAGGCCATGACTCCGGACCCGCCGTGTACCAGCACTAACTGTTTTCTACCCAGTGATTGTTTATTTAACTGTCCTCCTAAAGTAACTCCTCAGCCATCAAAGGGCTGTTTACAAAGCCCACAATTAGCCTTCTTGGAACAACAAATAAACAGAAACCTAATTAGGCATGTTTCTCCTGGCTCAAGGCACGGCAACCCCAAGGCTTGGGCATCACAGCTGTCATTCAAATAGACATTTGTGGGCTGTATGGATGAATGGATGTGTAGATGGATGTGAGGATGAGTGGGTGGGTGGGCGGATGAATGGATGGATGGATGTGTGGGTGGATGAGTGGATGGATGAATGGGTGGGCGGACGGTTGGATGGATGGATTGGAGGTTGGAAGGAAGGAGAGGTGGATAGATGATATTTGAACTGATGGACAGATGGATGAATGGAAGGTTGAATAGATAGAAGGCAGGAGGAATAGAAGAATGGATGGGTGGATGAATAGAAGGACAGGTGGAGGGAAGTCTTGATGGGTGGAGGGATGGCTGAGAGTTGGATGGAAAGGATAGATGGAATAATGGAAGGACAGATGGAGAGATGTTTGGATGGCGGATGAATGTGTGGATGAGTAGGTAGGTGGAGGTATGGGTAAAGGAATGAAAAGATGGACTGGTGAGTTCAGGTTAGTGGAAGGCCAGAGGGAGAGGGTGATGTGAACTGAGGCTCCAGGCTTTTTCCTGCGTCTCCTTCCCACCCTGCCCTGTTCTTCACTGAGATGCTGTGTCACCACCCAGTAGAAGGGACTCTGACCGTGTGGCATCAGAACAATCCTGGGTTTGAATTCGCTCCTACCATGTTCTGCCTCTGTGGCCTTGAGCAAGTCCTGCCACCCTGAGCCTTAGTCTCCTCCTCTGTAAAACGGATGTTTGTACTGTCCCCACTTCACAGTGTGGCTGGCAGGGTGAATGGGTTAAGTGCCCACGCCATGGTCCCTGCCCTACCTGTGTGAATTCCTGTTTGGTGGCTGCCCAGAGCAGGGGCTGGCATCACTTGGGGCTGGGCAATGTTGGTAGACTGCCCAGACCCTCTGCTCTGAGCTCCACTCCAATGGAGGGAACAAGCACCAGCCTGTGCTGCGGCAGGGCCCTCCCTCTGGGAGGTTCTTCCCCTGGAGAGAGGGGGCTGGCCTCTGCCTGGGGAGACTTAAAATCCCACTGTGGGGACGGGCACTGGAACAGAGCCCAGGACCTGGCTCCCCTCCCTCCCAGCTCCCTGCGTTCCAGCCTCGGGGGCCTCCACTCGGTTCTCAGAGCTGGGGGTGAGAATGCGACTCAATGTCCAGCTGCCTAGATTCACATCCCTTCCTCCCACTGGCTGGCTGGTAGCCTTGGGCTGGATACTGACCACTCTGTGCCTTGGGAAATGAGAGTTCCTACCTCATAGGACTATTGTGAGGATTGAATGAGTTAAAATGTGAAGTGTTTAGCACAGTGCCTGGCACACAGTGAGCATGGCTAGCTGCTATTATTCTTGTATAACAGTTGTTTTCATTACTGTTGCTGGTATTATTATCATTATTTTACCTCTCCCATATCCTTTTCCCCTTCTGGCCAGAGGGCATTTGATGTTTCCTAGCAGGAGATGGCCCTCAAACTGGGCCTTGAAGGAACAGAAAGGCCCCCAGAGGCAGAAGAAGGCACCCCTCGGGAAGACTCCGCCTGGGGCAGCTCCCACAGCAGAAGGCCAAGAGGTTCTGGCCAGAGGGAGGCGTGGCTCCCAGCGCAGGGGCGGGATAGAGAGAGGTGAGTCAGTGTCTGGCCCAGCCAGGCCCTCACAGCCACAGCTCTGCTTCCCATCAAGGGGCGGAGCAGCTGCGGCTCCCCTCTGGCCAGGGCTGGGGGTCTGAGTCAGCTGGAGTCAGGTAAGCAGAGGAGGATGTGGGGCTTTCCCACCCGCAGCCTGGAAGCCCGTGTGTGCAGGGCAGGGCTGCCTCCCACGGCAGGGGCAGGCAGAGGCCTCTGCGCCAGGTACAGCCTAGGTACCGCCTACCCCCATGGCTGACCCTGGGCCCCAAATCCAGCGGGAGGCCTGGGAGCATCTTCTCCGCCTGAGTCACCGGGCTGGGCCCAGGACCCCAGCCAAGGGCTTTGCCTCTGGGAAGAAAAGAGCTTTGGAGTCCAGCAAAACCTGGGAAGCAGGGGGAAGCTTCCCTAGCAGGTGCTATTTGAGCAGAGGCCTGGAGGAGGTGAGGAAGTGAGCAGCGGGCCGTGTGGGGTAATGGGTGCTCCAGGAAACCAGAACGGCAGATGCGAGGTTCTGAGGTGGAGCCTGGAGTGTCGGAGCAACAACAAGGAGACTGTCGTAGGGATGAGGCCTTGGGGAGGAGGAACAGAGAGCAGAGAGGACCTGGGGCATGTCCCACAGTGGATGAGCCACGGGAAGGACTTTGGCTTTTCCTCTAAGCAAGGTGAGAGCTGTGGGAAGTTTCCAGGCAGAGAAGGGACGAGATCTGACTTAGATTCTCACGGGATCTCTCTGGCTGCATGTGGGGAATGGATTGGAGGTGGAGGATTCAGGACAGAAGCCAGGAAACCAGGGAGGAGGAGACCACAATAGTCCAGGTAAGCCATGCAGGGTCTGGACCAGGGTGGGGACCGTGGAGGTGAGAGAAGAGGTGGAATTCTGGGAGTTCCTCTGCACGTCAGCCAACCCGCCCTTCTTGGGTGCCTACTGTGTGTGAGTTCTGTACAGCAACATGATACAGAGATCACAAAGGCTGAGCCCTTGCCCACAGTGTAGGAGACAGGAGGAAAAGGAATGCAACTGTGATGTGATCAGTGTCAGACTGAAGTGTGAATGAAGGGCAGCTACATCTCCCCAGGTTCTGTCCTAAAACTTTCTATGTAGGAGCTCAACCTAGTGAGATAAGAGCTATCATAAGCCCCCATTTTCCAGATAAGGAAACTGAGGCCCTCTTAGTCAAACAATATGTCTAAGTTAAGAGACTCCTCCCACTAGTAAGTGGCAAGACTGGGATTCACAACCGGGTCTGAAGGGCTGCAGGACTGACCCCGCCTGACCACCTGTGTAATCAGGAAGGGCTTCCCGTAGAGGTGAGGCTTGAGCTGGGTTCCCAGGGATGCATAGGATTCCGTCAGTGAGCAGAGGGCCTTCCAGGCCTGAGCAAGGTATAAGCCAATGTGTGTTCAAGACACACAAGCCCCACGTGGAGTTTCTCCCTCCCCTTGGCATCACAGGGAGGACGAAAGGGAGCTGGAAAGCCTCACCTACAGTGTTAACTGATGGAATTTCACGCCGGGTCCCTGTACCTTGCAGCTACCTCTGGCCCCATCCATGGTCCCAGGCTCACGATGGGTGAGAATCATCCCCTTAGCCACTGTCTCCCACACGTCACTTAAAAGCCATCTTTAAAGCCATTCATACCTTTTCTTAAGTAAATTGATTTTTTGGTTTACTCCACTGGTTTTTTAAAAAAATAACTTACTGAGACGAAGTTCACATAGCATCATATTAAGCATTTTAAAGTGAACATTTCGGTGGCATTTTTGCATTGTGTTCTGCAACCATCACCTCTAGCTAATCACAAAACATTTTCATCACCCCAAAAGGAGACCCTGTGACCATAAAGCAGCCGCTCCCCATTCCCCTAACAACCACCATTCTTCACTGGTCTCAATGGATGTACCTATTTTGGAGATTTCCTGGAAAGGGAATCATACAATATGTGACCTTCTGGCCAGGCATGGTGGCCCACGCCTGTAGTCCCAGCACTTTGGGAGACTGAGGCGGAAGGATTTCTTCAGCCCAGGAGTTTGAGACCAGCCTGTGCAAAATAGGGAGACCCTGCCTCTACAAAAAATACAAAAATTAGCCAGGTGTGGTGGCACGCACCTGTAGTACCAGCTACTGGGGAGGCTGAGGTGAGAGAATCATTGAGC
The DNA here is from genome assembly GCF_000001405.40 of Homo sapiens. Taxonomy (NCBI): domain Eukaryota; kingdom Metazoa; phylum Chordata; class Mammalia; order Primates; family Hominidae; genus Homo; species Homo sapiens. Next base: position 50,319,360 of record NC_000020.11, on the reverse strand, counting down.
CTGGGAGGCAGATGTTGCAATGAGCCGAGATCACACCACTGCACTCCAGCCTGGGCAACAGAGCAAGAACCTGTCTCAAAAAAAAAAAAAAAAAAAAAAAAAGACCTCTGTGTCTGGCTTTTTTCACTTAGCATCATGTTTTGGAGGTTCATTCTCATTGTAATATGGATTAGAAAAAATTATTTTAAAAGGAAAATTTGTGTTACTATCAGAAGGAGGAAACAACTTTTCATTTCTGTAAAGAGAAAGTAACCTTAAAACAACAATCACAAAAGAACGTTACCAAATTCTTGCTCCATTCTCCTGCCTGCTGAAGGCCCTGAGCTTAAGGCCAGCTCTGCCTCATAAAGGGAGACGAGCAAACGTGGGAGAGGTATTCAAGTCCAGCCGCGCCCGCCTGAGACTTTCTCCTTGGGTTAATCAGAAGAATCAAAGAGAAGTGCAAAAGGAGGAATGGTGACAACTGTGGTCTAACCCATCTTGCGTGGGAGGCTCTGATATTTCCAGAGCAGAGCGGGGGTGAGTGCAGCTCATGACAGTGAGTGTCCCTGGTGCCATGGCTGGTAGGTTAGAGGGGAGGGCTGCAGATGGGGAGCCTGTTGGAAGCTTCTTCACCAGCCCAGACATAACATAATCCAGAGAATCCCATGCCTGCCAATCTCTTCCCTTTTCTAAATCCTTTCACATCTATGAGTGGAGGTAGGCCAGGTGATAGCCGGGTTAATTCCTGGATGCTATTCTGTTCCCGTGATGTATTTGTCCACTTAGATGCCAATACCAAACTGTTTTATTTCTATGCCTTTGTCATATATTCTAATGTCTGGACGGACAAGTCCTCTCTCTTAGTTCTTCTTTCAGCATTGCTTTGACTATTTTTGCACATTTACTCTTTTATGTGACTTGAGAACATCCCCTTTTAACAGACAGGCCCAGAGATGTTAAGGGACAAACCCCAAGTCACACAGGGCTTCTGCCTCCAAGCCTCATGGCCCATTTCCAGGACTCCCAGGGGTCCTGGGCAGTGTTAGGAGTGAGCATGAGCCTGGCATGCTGGGAGGAAAGGGAGAGTGTTTTCACCGCCCCAAACACGCCATTCTTGTGGGTCGTGAAGAACACTGTTTGCCTATTAAAGGCTTTGGACGCCTTGAAAAATAGCAGCATTTGCCATGTTCACATTTCACCTGCAGGTATTACCTACTCTTTCCATCAATTCGCTTTTTAAATGTTTGCGAAAACTTAATTTTAAATGAACTCATTTTATCCTGGCTTTAAATGAGGAACCAGTGTTGACTGTGAGGCCTTTGTTGTCTGTGCCCTGCCCATACCTCCTCTCCCTTTTCTCCGGTGAACACAGACAGGATTCCACCTGCAGCACCTGTCCCCTTCACCTGTGAGCTTTGCTCATGGGGCAGGCTGGATGTGCTGGGAACTAACACTCCAAGCGGCAGCTGTCAAGCAATGATAGGCAGGAGCTGACATGTCCCTTCCCCAGCTCCCTGACCACCCGATCTCCGCCCCTGGGGGGCTAACTCCGTTACTACATGGGCTCCCAGCGTGCCACAGCAGGACCGAGCCCCAGCTGCCTAAGTGGTTACTGGCTTGGTAGCGCTCTTGAGATTGGCAGCCCTTCCTCCCTGATCTCACTTCCCTACCAGTGCTTTCTGGAGGCATCTCCCAAATAGGCTACTTGCCTTCAGTTTATTCTGTTAAGGTCTGCTTGCAGGCACCCAATCTAAGGCACTTGCTGCAAATGGAAGACAATTGGTGAAATATACAAAAAAGTGAAACAAAGCCAGCTACTATTGCCGATGACGGCTTGTACTTGGGATCTGCTCTGTTTCTTCCGAAGAAAAAGCAGGTGGTAGGAAGGTGCTCAAGACACACAAGCCCCACGTGGAGTTTCTCCCTCCCCTTGGCATCACAGGGAGGACGAAAGGGAGCTGGAAAGCCTCACTTACAGTGTTAACTGATGGAATTTCACGCCGGGTCCCTATACCTTGCAGTTACCTTTAGCCCCATCCATGGCCCCAGGCTCACGAGGTCCTGAGAACAACTTTCCACAGGCCAACTCCAAGGACAATGGAAAGTCCCTTAGCCTGGGCAGCTGACAAGACACAGGCCTGGCTGGACCCAGTGGGCATCCCTCAGTACCCACCCAGGAGGGGCCCACAGGACAACTAGCCTGACGCATGGGCAGATAGATGGGTTCAACTTTGCCGTGAGTGCATCTGGAGAAGGGAGAGCTCATGAGCTCATTCATTCATTCACTCATAGATTCAACAAATTCTGATTGAGTACCGACTGTGTGCTGAACACTGTGCTAGGCACTGGGGAGATAGAGAGAAGGACAGACCCAAATCCCTCATGGAACTGCCACTCCAACAGGGGACACGGCGAGAAACAAACAAACACACAAATAAACTCGGAAATGAGAGCATTCCATGCTACAAAGGACAGAAACAGAATGAAGGGATCAAAAATACATGGGGTGTCTGAGCACAGTGGCTCACGCCTGTAATCCTAGCACTTGGAGGGCCGAGGTGGGAGGATTGTTTGAGCTCAGGAGTTTGAGACCAGCCTGAGCTACATACTGAGCTCAGTGAGTGAGTATATCCCTACTTTAAAAATATATGTATATAGCTGGGCATGATGGCACACACCTGTAGTCTCAGCTATTCAGGAGGCTGAGGCAGGAGGATCACTTGAGCCTGGGAGATGGAGGCTGCAGTGAGCTATGATTATACCACTGCACTCCAGCCTAGGTGACAGAGTAAGACCCTGTCTCAAAAAAAAAAAAAAAAAAAAAAAAAAAAAGAGGAGAGAGGGCTTTGGTAGCATAGCCTAGAGAGCCTCTGAGGAGGGTCAGTGAAGTTCAGAACTGAATGTGGAGAGCTAGAGAAGGCAAAGAACTAGGGAAGAGCTAGTGCAAAGGCCCAGGGGTGGGAATGAGCTGGGCATGTTGGAGGGGCAAACACTGGCTGGTGTGCTGGAGTGGAGGAACAGGGGAATGGTGGTAAGAGGCCAAGGTGAAAGTGGTGGTCCTGGGGCAGGTCAGAACAAAGATGCCTGGTAAGTGTCTGTGTGAATACTGTGTCTTGCAGGAAAGGCATCCATGGGCACTGGATGGGAAGCAAATAGCAGAGGCTGAAGGCAGTGGGTTTGGGAGGCTTTTTCTCTTGGTATCTTTATGTGGGAGGGGAGGCCAAGGGGAGAGACTTTGGTTTGCTTGGGGTCAGCCAGACTGCAGCAGGGAAGGTCCTCAGGCCCCTTCATCAGGCCTGGCTAGTTTCAACCAATTGAATCAGCAACTGGTCTTCAGCACCTCATCATAGCTTGTACTATGTGAGAGGCTATTTATTGAGATATCTATGCACCAAGCTCTCTACAACCCTACCAGAGGCTGCCCGACATGCCCCTTGCCTGGGAGATACAGAAATAGAAATTTGCAGTAGAGTGTGACAAACATTCCAGGGAAGGTCTGGATGAAGGAAGGGTCATTCAAATTGGCTTTTGAAAGATGAAGAGAGACTCACTGGAGAAAAACCAGCATTAAAAGAGCAAACAACTATCTCGCTTGGTGCTGTGTCCCCAGCACCTGGCTCAGAGCCTGGTGGACAGTGGGGGCTCCATCAGTATTTGTTGACGAACGAATCGGAGCTGCCCACACTTTGGTTATGCAAATTGGAAACTGCCTTCACGATTTTTATGCTGTCTACTGTCCACTTCTACTATTCCTTATTTAATGTGTTTCTTCAAATTTACTGACGTTTTTACTTAAATAAATTCATTTTAAAAGAAAACATTTGGTGTTATCACTAAAATTGAAAAACCAAAGAATACATGCCACAAATCAAAGATAACCAGAAAAATACTTAAAAAGAAAACAAAACGATGTTATTAAAGTCTACCTATTGAAAGAATAAAAAGACAAGCCACAGAACAGGAGAAAATATTTGCAAATCACATATTTCACAAAGGCTTGACTAGTATCCAGAATATATATAAAGAACTCTCCAAATCTATTAAGAAGAAAACAATTGGGTCTTTTTTTTTAACTGACATAAAGTTTGAACAGATACTACACCAAAGAAAATATACGGATGGCAAAGAAACACATACAAAGATGTTCAACATCATTAGTCATTAGGGAAATGCAAACTAACACCACAATGAGATACTATTATCACCTATTTGAATGACTAAAAGTAAAACACATGTACACACACAAAAAACTAACACCACCAAGTGCTGGTGAGAATACGAAGCAACTGACACTTTCATACATTGCTGGTAGGGATGAAAAATGGTACAGACACCTTGGAAAACAGCTCAGCGGTTTCTGATAAAGTGAAACATACACTTGGCCACCTGGCCCAGCAATTCCACTCCTAGAAATTTACCCAAGATAAACAAAAATTTATGTTCACATAAAAACCTGTTTGCAAATGTTTCTAGTGGCTTTATTTATAATGGCTGAAAACTGGAAACAGTCCAAATATCCCTCAGCTGGTGAATGGATGAACAAGCTTTGGTACATCCATACCCTGGAACATTATTCTGCAATAAAAAAGAACCATCTACAGATACACAAAACCGCATATATGCATCTCAAAAACATCATGCTGAGCAGGAAAAAAAAAACAGACTCAAATTGAGATAACACATTGTAGAATCCCACTTATATGGAATTCAAAAAAGGCAAACTTGTATAGGAACAGAAAACAGATAAGATGTAAAATTCAAAAACATGTGAAACTCATCTGTGGTGATACAAGTCGGGATCGTGGTGGCCCTAGAGGGAACATGAGTGGAGGGGAGAAAGGGCAGCTGTGGGGGTGGGGATGTCCAGTCTGCTCACTGGGGTGCCGATTACAGGTTTGGGACCAGCTGGACACCTCATTCATATGTGCTGCAGCTCTATAGGACATTTTGAAAAGTCTAGCTAGATACAATTGTGTGCCTGAGACATGAATGAGCCTGACACCTGCTCTCCTTTTCACAAAGGGAGACTAGCAATTATTTGGTCTTCGAGGCAAGTTAGCACCACACAGAGACTCTTCTGGATATAAAGGAAAGACTGTAAAGAATTTGCAGAGAGAATAACTCTCGCTATGTGACCCGAGGTGATTTTATGCTTTGCCTGTGCAGCCTATAAAATAATCTTGTGTGGTCCCCATGATGCACATCAACCAGGAGATGCTGGAGAGTCTGAGACAGCGTGCTGGCAGCACTCTGCCGGGGGAAGGACACGGAGGTGTCCAGGCTCGGCTCCAAAAGCAGACAAGCCTGCACTGCGCTGGAGCAGGTGAGAAGTAGCTGGGTTCCACCGTGCCCTTTTCGTCTGTGTCCCTTGCCACCCAACACGAGCTCAGCACACAGTTGATCTTCACTAACTAGTCACCCCTCCAAGCTTTTGCAATGGTTGTTCCCTCTGCTAAAGATACCCCCTTCTCCCACCTTGACCACCCGACTAACTCTTAAGCTCAGCTCCCAGGTGCCTCCTCCTCCTTCTTCTTGGTACATGAGTGCCCCGCTTGGCATTCGCTTAGGGGTGTCTATACACACTATTTCCTCTGCCTGGAGTATCTTCTTCCATGGGGCAGGGGTCAGTCAGCACCTTCTGTATGCAAGGGACAGAAAGCCAGTCCCAACTGTTTTCAGCCAAAAATGGGAAAGACAGTGGCTCACATAACTAGAAAGTTGAAGGTGCCTAATTTCAGGTACAGTGGGATCCAGGAGTTCAAAGCCTGTCCAGCTCTGTGCTGCTTCCTGTCAGGCAGGCTTTTCCCTTGTTTTGTCCTCTTCTTCTCTAAGCGTTCACTTGCTCACTGTCCATCCAATGGAAAATGGCATCTCCTTCACAAATCATGGCCAACCCTGAAGTCCCAAGATCAAGTTTCATTGGGCAGGCTCAGTCATGTGCCCATCCCTGGACCAATCACTAGAGCAAGACCCGGTCACATGTCCACCCCTGGAGACAGAGGCCTCTGGGCACCCCCAGCCTCATGGACTGAGAAAAGGGAAGAGGGGGTTCTTCAGTAGGAAGTCGAGGTGCTGTTACCTGAAAATGGGAGATAGATGCTGACTTGTCCACACACCCGCACCTTCTCCCAGCAAACTCTAGCTCGTCTCTGCACATTGTATGACCTCAGGCCAACCCCTTCCCCTCTCTGGGTCTTATGTTCCTCCTCCGGAAAATGGGCAGGAGGCCGTTTGAATTCCAACATTCCAGAATTCTGGGACAGCTTCCAGGACTGGAGTCAGCTCCCTAGATCCCAGGAACGTTCCAGCACTTCTGGGGACGGAAGTGGAGCATCAGCCAGAGCCCTCCCCGGCCCCCGGCCTGGGAACATGTTTAGAAGATGACAACTGGGCTCCCTTTGGCCGAAATTCCACTCCCGTGGGGGCCTTGCCAAGGAAAATAAGCCCAAGAACCAGGCATTAAAGGTGAGCATACTTGAGCATTTTAAGATGACAAATTATTTACACAGGTGTGGGAACCAGCCCCTCGCACCCTGCTTTCTTTTTCTCCCTCCCCTTTCCAAATTCTTTCCCCCAAGGGTGCTGACAGACATGCCAAGGGAGGGGGTGGTTGGTCGTGGAGATCTGCCCAGAGTAAGTCCACAAACCCAGGGCAAAGTAGGAGGACAGAGAAGCCGGAAAGAGGGTGTCTGCGTGGCGGAGGCTGGTCCTTGCTCACCTGCCTTCTTGCTCTCTACCCCATTGCCTGGGGAGGTACTGAGGCTAGGGTCCCAGGGATTTCACTGCTACCCGAGTCCTTGAAGAAACTCATGCCCAGGCCATCCTTTGTCCACAAGGGAGAATAAGGGACCAGAGAGGTGAAAAGCAATCCCCAGGGTCACACAGCCAGTTAGCTGAACTTGGGGCTAGCAGGGGAAGAGGTAGAGGAAGCAATTGTTTCTTACTCACCTAGTGTGTGCCTGACACTGTGCTGAGCTCTGGGAACACATTGTGAATGAAACAGACAAAATCCCCTGCCCTCATGGAGCTGAAAAAGATATAAACAAGATAAATAGCAAGATACCTCCAGAAGTGCTTGAAGAAGAGTAAGACGGGGTGAAGAGGTGGCAGCGGTGCTGTCTAGGTTGGGGAGGTAACATTTGAGCCAAGAAAGATGAGAATGAGCCGGCCATGGGGAGATTGGAAGGAAGGACATTCCAGGCATCTGGCACTGCACATGCAAAGGCCCTGAGGTGGGAAAGGGCTTGTTGTGTTCAAGGAACTGTCAAGGGGCCAGTGTGGCTGCAGCAAGAAGGAAAGGCAATGACTGAGGGGTAGATTCAGGTCAACAAACCCAAGGGGTAGGTATAATCATTCTGTGTTACCAAGGAGGAAACTGAAGCCCAGAGAGGGGCAGTGACTTGTCCAGGGTCACAGAGCAGAGCCAGATTCCAGTACTTTTCATTGGCTCCAAACCCACATTCCTGCGCTTTCGTGAGGTGAGAGGATGGGAGCAGGCGCTGCGAGGGCCTTCCAGGTCTCCAGCCTGCAGCTCAACTCCAAAGATGAGAAGCATCTGGGCTAACTGGTGCTTCCTGTGGGAAGAAAGCAGAGATTGATTGAGCTGCTGAGTCACAGGGGAACAACAGGCTAGGCTCCCAGGCTGCAATGGGTTCTGCCTCAGTTTACCTACCTGTAATAAACGTGTTTCATCACACGTCTGCCTCCAGTGCTGACTTCAGAAGGGTGCTGTGAGGGTTAATTACTGCCTGGCAGCTCCAGGAGCCTTGATGAAAGGTGGCGGGAAGTGGGCGCTATTAACCTGGGCAGGTAATTACCCACGGCCTGAGGGAGGGTGCAGAGGGGTCCTAGCCTGAGTCACTTCTGGTTCTCATTCAACCCCAGGCCAGCCTCTTTCCAGGTGGGTAGGGCCCAGTGTGCCCAAACATCTGGCCATCGTTCTGGCCCCAAACCCCTCAGCACCGGGCAGGGCTGAAGCTAGGAGTGGTCACAAGCCACACAGTCCCAGGGTTGAAATCCCATCTCTGCCGCTCCTCTGGCCAGAAGACCTGGACAACACTCCTCACCTCTTGGGCCTGTTTCTTCATCTACATAGTAGTGTCTTAGTCTGTTTTGTGTTGCTATAACAGAGTACTACAGCCTGGGTAATTTACAAAGAACAGAGATGTATTTCTAACAGTCCTGGAGGCCGGAGAGCCGAAGATGGAGGGGCTCACTCAAGCAAGGGCCTTCTTGCTGTCATCCCATGGCGAGGGCATCCCATGGCAAGAGGTGGCACGTGAGACAGCAAGGAATGGCCGAACTCACTTTCATGACAAATCCACTCTCTCCATCATGAAGCCACTCCTGCAATAATGATACTAATCCATTCATAAGGGCAGAGCTCTCAGGACCCAACCACCTCTTAAAGGCCCACATGACCTTTGGGAGACACGCTGAGACCCTGGCGGTGCGGGGTGAGGACGTGGCCCCTCCCCAGGGCACTGTGGTTGTTTCTCACACATATGCCAGATACTGCGCCTCGCAGCCACTTCGTCCCCATTGCCTCAGTTTGAGGCCAAAAGTGACACATCAGGCCACAGCCACCTACCCCGTCAGCCATCTCAGCCTCCGTGACCTGAAGGGAAATGATGAAAGACTTTTCTAGAAATAAATGATTTTTAAAACATCCCAGGAAATCATCCCTGGCTGCCGCTGGGCCCCCAGGAGGGAGGGCAGGCCTCTTATTCCCCCTGCCCCAATCCCCACTTGGGCGCCAGAACCAGGCTCTGACTGCCCCCTGTCCCTGGAAGCCCACCCCTTCCCTCTTCCTCACTCTTGTGGCTCCTGGGTCTTGATGCCACCCCCGTCTCCCCCACCCCATACGTGCACACACACACATGCACACACACGCAGATGCACACACATGCACACACGCACATACACACGCCTGAGCTCTCCGTCCAGCTATGAACGCACAGCCTGGTCCCCAGTGAGCCCCGATGTTTTCCTTCTTCCAGGGTTCAGGGGACAGATACTAAGGCCAGAGCTCCCTTCCTCCTTTTACTCCCTCCCTGAGGCAACATGGTGCCCATCTCACAGGTGGGCACACTGAGACTCCGAGATGCAGATGCCCACACTCTGAGCGGCTGAGAGGCAGGGAGGGTCACATCCTCCGGGAGGGGCAGGGGAGTCCCAGCGGCAGCCTGAGCAAAGGGCAGGGGCGGGGAGCCTGGCCCTCCGTGGGGTTCCTGGGAATGAGGCTTTCTACTGTGAGCAGGCAGCTCCGGGGCCTTGGGACCCCGGATGGGAAGAAGCTGGGCCCTTGTCAGGTGGCTGCCCCTACAGGTAGAAGTCAGGCACCAGGTGGCCACTTTCAGGAAGAGCCTGGCATTAGGAGAGCTGCTCCAGGGTGGGGGCCCCACTAAGCTCACCTCCCACCCCTCTGCCCCTCACTCACTCCCTCTGCTCCAGCCACACTGCCCTTGCTGAGCCTTCAACAAGAGGATCCCACAGCCTGGCCTTAGCACCTGCGGTTCCCTCTGCCTGGAGCACCGTTTCCCACCCCCTGCCTTTGCACGTGGGCTTCTCCTCTTTGTTGGGGCTTCTGTTCAAATGTCACCCCATCAGAGGGGACCTCCCAGGCTCTCTCCATCGCACCTTCTGCTTTATTTCCTTTGGAGCCCTGCTCACTTACTGAAATGACCTCAAATGTCTGATTCTCCTCAGCTAGAATACAGGCTCCACGAGAACAGAGGGCTTTTAAATGTCTTTCTGTTTTGTCCACTGCTGTATCTCCAGGACCTGGTAGCAGGCACGGAACACAGTGGTGCTCAATAAATGTTTGCTGATGTACTGAAGAAGTTTTGAAAAGATAAGATGTAATTTGTATCACAGCGGGAGGGGTGGGTGTTTCAGGGGAGACGTCCTCCAAAGAACTGGATGATTTCTCCAGGGTCTTAAAGCGTGTCATGACCAGCTCGACGTCACAACAATAATAATAATATTTATTGGGCGCTTCCTGCGGTAAGCACTGTACACAGATCTTCTCAGAGTCCTTCCAGCCACCTGTGAGGTCAGGGCTGTGATTATCCCCACTTTCCAGATAAGGAAACCGTAACTTAGAGTTACAGTTAGGGACTGCTCCAGGTCACCAGTGATTTGGTGGCAGGCCGTGGTTGAATACAAGGCCACTTCGACCCCTCTCCCACCACCCTGGCCTGCCCCTATCCCTCCAGAGCCTGAAGGTTCCCTGGAAACCACACGGTCCCTTGATCCCTGGCACAGCCAAGGGAGGTTGTGTGTCTCGCCCATCACCCCCTAGCTGGTCAGGGGCCCAGAGGGGATGATCCCTGGCTGCCGGTGGGCCCCTGGGAGGGAGGGCAGGCTTGGCAGCTGTCCTGTCCCGGGGACGCCAGGCAGCCGGGAGTTTCTCTCCCCGGACTTACTGTACATGATTCAGCGCCAGCCCCAGTTGTGAAATCTGGGAATCTTGTGGGCAAGGCTGGGCCTGGGGGATGGCCGTCTGGGAAGAGGAGGCCGGGAAGGGGTTAAGGGGGGTGGCGGGGGGAGGAGGGGGCAGGCGCCAGGCCAGACCAGCAGAGAGCGCACAGTTAGCACTGGGCCGGCTGCCTGTGGCGGGTGTCTGACATCACAGCTGCGTCAGCCCAGCCAGCCCCAGCCCCCTACTTCCTCCTCTCCCTGGGCAGCATCCTCCGCCACCTCCCCAGCCTCACTGTCCTGTCCTGAAAACAAGCAGCATCCAGTTCCCTCCTGGAAGGAGGCAGGGTGGTCAGGAAGAGGGACTTTGCATACAGGAGGGACTTAATAAATGATAGCCGTGATGTCTTGGAGCCAGACCATAATCCTGTGAGCTAGACAGGGCAGGTAGGAAGCTATCACACTTATTTTAGGAAAGAAGAGACTCAGGGTCTGAGAAGGGAAGGGACTTGCCCAAGGTCACCCAGCTGCAGAGTCATAATGACTTGAAGTGTAAATAAGGATCGTGTTGATCTTCCTCCACTCTTCATTAGAAGGACTAGAAGGACATGTGTCTCTTGGTGCCTGGTTGGGCTTCAGTGAATGTCCCAAGGCCTGGAATTTTCTTCCTCATCTCGTTAATTTGTTAAGTCAGATTAAACCAAACGAGCATTTGTCTGACTAGAGGAATAACAAAGGATTTCATAGGGACTATTCATATATCAGTGATGACTTATGGTAGTGAATAAAATAAATTCTGCATTTGAAATGTTTTTCTTAAGAAATTACAGACTGAGGCCAGGCGCGGTGGCTCACGCCTGTAATCCCAGCACTTTGGGAGGCCGAGGCGGGCAGATCACTTGAGGTCAGGAGTTTTAAGACCAGCCTGGCCAACATGGTGAAACCCCGTCTCCACTACAAATACAAAAATTAGCCGCCCATGGTGGCGCACGCCTGTAGTCCCAGCTACCTGGGAGGCTGAGGTGGGAGAATCGCTTGAACCTGGGAGGCAGAGGTTGCAGTGAGCCAAGATCTTGCCACCACACTCCAGCCTGGGCAACAGAGCGAGACCCTATCTCAAACAAACAAACAAACAAAAATCACAGAGTACCTACTCTGCTCCAGGCTCATTTACATGCGTCAGGCTCAGTCCTCATGGCAACTCTTCGAAGGTGGGACTATTACCCCATCTCACAGAGGAGAAAACTGAGGCACAGTGAAGCAAGTGATGCCTGAGGCCACAAAGCCAGGAAATGACAGTGGTGATAATAATAATAATAATAATAATAATAAAAAAAATGCTAGTTGGCCTTGATAAGCTGCTTCCTCCACGCACTGAGCATGGTATTTATAGGAGCACACTGGCTTCTTTGAGCTTCCCAGGAGGAGAGCACTCTTACTGTCCCCATGTCACAGGTGAGAAACCAAGGCCCAGCTGGGTTACATTACTTGCCCAGATCACACAGCTAGGAAGTGACAGAGCTGGGATTTGAAACCAGGCTGTCTGGCCTCTGTCCGTGCTCAAGCACAGTGCTGGGGCTGGACACACTGTAGGTGCTCAGGTCACTCAGGGGTGACTGAACTGGAGATGCTCAGGGCTTCAGAGGGCACCCCTCCTGCAAGCTACCCCTAGCATCAGCTCAGGGCCACCCTGAGCTGGCCTGTCGTGGCTGGGCAAGGAAGTGCAGTTATGTCTTCCCCAGGATGCCATTATTCCCACAGTTGCCACAGCCCTTGGGTGCACAGAACCACCATGAGGAGCTCCAGGATCCTCCCCATTTTACAGAGCAGAAAAGCCAAGGCCCAGAGAGGGTGGGTGACTTGCCCAAGGTCACACAGCATGGTCGTGTGGGCTACAGCCCCACTCCCAGCTCCTGAGCCTGCCCTCAGCTGCGGAGGCCATGGAGGATGAATTCCAGGAAGAAGAGGGGAGCCGAAACCTGGCCCTCCCTGACCCTCCCCAGGAACAGCCTTTCCTCTATTCCTTCCTTTTCTATCTCCTAGCTTGTGGGACTCAGCCTTACATGAACTGGGTCACAAAGGGGGACAGGAAGGGCATTCCTGGCAGAGGAAACAGCACGGGCAAAGGTGGACCGCATGTGGAGCAGGGAAGGAAGGATATCTGGTTGGGATGCTGTGGAGAGTGAGGAGCCGGGGCAGGGAGCAGCTAGAGTCAGGTAAGCGGGCCTTGAATGTCACGCTAAGGAGTTTGAGCTTTGTCCAGAGGCGATGGGAAGTCAGGAAGGCTTTAGAGCGGGGAAGGACCAGGATCACTAAACAGAGGGTGGACTATTGCCATCACCTCCCCACTATCCCCCCTGCCTCTGTCCTGGCCCTGGCCCCTCCAGCCCATTCTCCACTGCAGCCAGAGGGATCCATGAAAACTGAAGTCAGACCACGTCCCTTCTATGCTCAGAACCCTCCATGACTCCCATGTCCTGCAGAGAAAAAGCCAAAGTCCTTTAACAGCCCACGTGGCCCTGCAGGATCCGCCCCCCACGGCCTCTTGGCCCTCACGTCCTCCTAGTCTCTCTCCCTCGCTCACCCTGTTCCACACACTGGCCTCTTTGCTACACCCCAAACACAACAGCCACAGCCCCCACTCAGGGCCTGTGCACCGTTCCCACTGCCTGGAACACTCTCCCCTCCCCGCGGCTCCCTCCCTCACCTCCTACAGATCGTTGTCAGCTGTCACCTGCTCACCAGGCTGTTCCTGCCCCGCCCATTGAAATCCCATCTCCTTTTCCTGCTTCATTTCTCTCCCTAGCATGGATCTTCTCAAATGCAATATGCAACTTATTTATCTTGTGTATTGCCTGCTCTCTCCACAAGTGTGAACTCCACGGGGGCAGAGACCTTTGACCGTCCTATGTCCTGCCATGTCCCCAGCGCCTGACCCACAGGAATTGCCCAATAAATATTTGTTCGGTGAATGGATTCTTTTTTTGGCAGAATAACTTGGTGAGGACCTTCCCTGGGGATGCAGATGGAGAAGCGACCTGCCCAGGGTCACCCAGCTCACAAGTGGCAACCTCATCTGGCCCCAAAGTCTGTGATTTTTGCCTCCATTCCAGGCTGCCCTTCTAGGCATTAGGCCCCACATCAGCCACTGTACCACTGCATATGCCCACGAGGCTGCAAGCTGGGGTCTGTCCTTAGTTCTATCTTAAGCTAGAGGCTCAGAGAGGTGAGGTGACGTGCCCAAGGTCACACAGCAACTTACAGTGTGAGTTCGGCTCTTTCTGCCTCTGTATTTTGGGTACTGTCTTTAAAGCGGCTCTGCCTCTCCCTCCTCCTTTCCTCTTTCCAACCAATGTGTTTGCGGCTGGAACATCAGGCCTGTTGTGCGTGGCCTTGACATACACCATGTCCCGGGCCTGGCCCCGCCTACCACCCTGGCTGGGCCACGAGCACAGCGCCTGGTTCCACATGCCTCAGGGATGAGCCGCAGAGAGTGTGACCAGGCCCAGCTGACACATCTCAGAGCACATGTGGGTCTGCCTCCCACAGGCCCAGCCGGCCCCCCAACACCAGCCAAGTCTCAGCCCGTCATCGTCCCCCGGGGGTGGTGCTGGGCCTTGTGGGGCAGAAGGAAAGGTAAACCATGACCCTGAGGAGCTCAGAGACTGGGGTTCTTGGGAAGCCAATTCAGGCCTAGAACCAGGGCCAAAGTCTGGGTGGTTTTAGAGGAAAAAGAGACTGGCTCTGGGGTTGAAAACTGTGTCACCAGGGACCAGGCAGGAATTTAAAATGAGCAGAGTGGGCTGGGGTAAGATGATAAATAGCTACTATTCCTTGGCCTCAGCATCAGAGAGACAAGAGGGAGTGGTGGGGACTGGGGCACATGCCTTGTCTGAAGACAGTCACCTCTCAGCTCCGGTTGATGGTGGTCCCTAGAGAACAGGGCCCAATATGATCGGATGCTCCGTGCCCTGATTTTCCAGAGGGAATCAAAACACAGGTTTTTATGTAGTACCCACAGATTCTTAAATATTGGCTTCATTCATTTAAAAATTCTATGTGGGCTGAGGAAAGCCCCACAGGCTTGGGCGCCAGATTGGGCCCCTGAGGCCTCCAGTTTGCAGCCTCTGTTCGCTGCAGCTGAATGGAGCAGGCAGAGAAGGAGCAAATCTCAGCCTGACCCCGAGTCAGGAGCTATGGGTTGGGACGGTGGCCAGGACCCAGCTCCAGCAGCTCCAAGGGACGTGGAGAAGTTTTCTGTCATCTGGTCCCCTCCTCCACTCCATGGAGATGATTCCCCCGCCCGCCAGCTCCAGCAGGCTGGGGGGTGAAAGGGAGCCTGGGCGGGAGCCGAGGTCTCCTTTCTCACATGGGACACAGCTGTGGATGTTTTTCAGGCGGATCCTAATTTCTCTCTCCCCATCCCCCGTGGCTCTGCCACACCAGGAAGTGGGTGACTCTCTGTGTCCCAAGTTGTCCCCCAAAAGTCCGCTCCATGCTCCAAGCTACCTGCTTCCACAAGCACAACTTTGAAGCTTCACCATGTCCCTTATAACCAATTTTCAGATGAAACAGGCTCAGGGAGGGAAAACATCTGGCCCAGGCCCCTGCAATCAACACACAGAGGAGCTGGACTTAAACCCAGGCCTCACGCACTTGACCACTGGGCCCTCATCCTGTCTCTTCCTGGTAGAACCCAGCCCACCCTCCAAGTCTTGCTCCAGCGCTTCCTCCTGGCTTATTGAACAAGCAGCCAGGCCCTTGGCCCACTGCCAGGTATTCAGACATGAACAGATAGTGTGTCTCAGGCTCCCCTGTGCTATTTGTTGAATGAATATTTCACTCATTTTCTCCAAAGTCGTGGGTGGTTGTCCATATCCAATCTGTTGTCTCAGCCTCTGACCACATGTCTGTACACTTCCCCGATGCCTCCTCCTGGATGGCCCCCAGGCATCCTCCAAATCAGTATGCCCAAAGCAAGTTCAGCAACTTCCCCCAAACTGTCCCTCTGCCTGTCTCCCTTCTTTTGGAAGGCTGCACAACTGTTCAGCGTCCAAAGCCAGAAACATGAGCATCATCCATAAAGCCTCCCGCCGCCATGCCTCCAACCCAATTGGTCACCAAAGCCTGGGAGTCTCGTCCTCAACCTCCCTCAAATCCATCCACCCTCCCCTCCTCTGAGGCTGCCATGCCAGGTCAATCTCATCACCTCTCACTCAGGTGGCTGCAATTCCTTGCCACCTCGCTACTTTCCCTGCAACGATACTTCCTCTCCCTCAAATTCAGCCTCCTGCAGGAGCCTGAAAGACACCTACTATTTTCTGCTGTTTACTATCAGAAGCTCCCCATTATTTTCAAAGGAAGTGTAGCACCTTGGCCAGCCTTAAAGCCTCTGACCTCTCCCTTACAATTTGTATGTTCCAGCCAGCCCGAACTACCCACTTCTCCACGATGTCTTTTCTGATCTCTGAACCTTTGCATAGGCTGTTCCTTTTTTTTTTTTTTTTTTTTTTGAGATTGGGTCTCACTCTGTTGCCCAGGCTGGAGTGCAATGGCACGATCTTGGCTAACTGCAACCTCCACCTCCCGGGTTCAAGAGATTCTCCTGCCTCAACCTCTCGAATAGCTGGGAGTACAGGCATGCACCACCACAGCCCAGCTAATTTTTTTATTTTTAGTAGAGATGGGGTTTCACCATGTTGGCCAGGCTGATCTCAAACTCGTGACCTCAGGTGATCTGCCCGCCTCGGCCTCCCAAAGTGCTGGGATTACAGGTGTGAGCCACTGTGCCCAGCCGTGCACGGGCTATTCCTTCTGCCTGGTGTGTTCTTCCCACTCAACTCTTTGTCTGACTACTCCATATATGCCCTTCAGGATTCAGTTTACATGTCATGAGCTTCGTAAACCTTCTCTGACCCCCTAAGTCTGGTTTAGGTACCTGCTGAGGTCCTACAGTGCTCCCCGCCTCCCACCATGTGTGAGTCAAACTACAGTTATGGCAACCAGAAACCCTTCCAAATTTTGTGTTTGTTTTGGATTTTAGAGACAGCATTCCTTCCAGGCATTTTAAGCAGAAAGGATCCAACACAGGGAATTGAACACTCACAACATTGCTAGAAGGGCTGGAGAGGCACCAGCACCACACAGCAGAACTGGACCTTCAGGAGAGCTGCCAGCCACTCAGGATGGTGGGGAATCAGGAGGCCACAGAGGAGCTGTAGACTTTGAGAACGTATCACAGCACCATCCAGCCATCTGGAGATGAGGAAGCCACCACCACCACCCCTACCTCTAGACTCCCCAAGAGTGGTAACCGGACGCCAAGGTTGCTGCAAGAAAATCCATCCCATGACCATGCTCACCAGCAGAAAGAGAGCCCAGGAAAAAACAAGGCGGCCCCCACTTCCTGACTCTCACAGGAAGGCATCTGCCTGGCGGGACCTGCAGAGCGTTCAGAGCCCCTGCTGCAAAGAAGGCTGGGGAATGCGGCGTGTAGCCTTCCAGTCTCTGCAGCCTCTTGCTAGAAAGAGATATTAATAGGAATGGATGCTGAGGATCAGATGACCCTGAACATGAGGTCTTAGGATTCCCTATCTCAGCCCCAACACCCTGTGCGAATGGAAACCTCTGCTTACTTGTCTGTGTTCCCTGATGGACTGCGGACACTTCAAAAGGCCAGGATGATGCCTTGGATATCTCGGGCTCAGCAGCATCTTGCATAGGCCCAGTGCAAGACAACAGTAGTCATGCAAGAAGAAAAAGAAGAACTGACATTTATTGAGCATTTACTATGCACTGAGCACTGGGCTACATGTTTTACATACCTGTTGACATATTCACAACCCAATAGGGTAGGCATTATTGCTGTCCCTATTTATACATGAAGAAGAGAAGGTCTATAGAGGTGAAGTAAGTTTCCCAAGGTCACCCAGCCAGTACATATCAGAGATGAGATTAAAAATGCAATCTGTCTGACTTCAAGCTCCAAACACTTGCCACTTATGAGAGGCACCTTTATCTTCTCCCAGGCATCCAGAAAGGTCACAGCAATGTTGTGCAATGAATGAATGAATACATAAGTGTCTTCTCCTTTAGGAAACTACCTGTCCCCATCTCAGCTGCCTTCCCTCCACTGGGCCTGGGTTCCTCTCCAAGATCAGGGCTCAGAGAGTAAAAATAATACATAAGACTGCACTGGGATTCCTCACCTTGGGTCTGTAGGTGGCTCTTAGGCTCCATGACCACCACTCCCATAAAGTTGCTAACATTTTGTGTCTATATGCAATTTTCTGGAGATTTGACTCAAAGTTTTCACTAAGCTTTCAAACTTCAAAAACTTGATACTGCTGCATCAGGGAGGAACACAGGAATTTTCCTGCCTCCTGACCTCAGTTCCGATCTTATGACATAGCATGCATTCACCTGTATATCCATCCAACTTACCTATCCATCCATTCATTCTCTCATCCACCATCCATGTACTCCTCCATCCTATTTCCCCATCCACTCATCCACCCATTCATCTATTCATCCACCAATCAATCTAACCATCCATCCATCTTTCCATCCATCCATCCACCTATCCATCCATCTATTCTCTTATCCACCCTCCTACCCACCAATCTATTCATTTATCTACCCATCCATTCGCCTATCCGTCCACCCACTCATCCATCCATCTATCCACCTACCCATCCATCTATCCACCTACCCATCCATCTATTCTATTATCCACCCTCCCACCCACCAATCCATTCATTTTTCTACCTATCCATTCTCCTATCCATCCATCCATCCATCCATCCTACCCATCCATCTATTCTATTATCCACCCTCCTACCCACCAATCCATTCATTTATCTACCTATCCATTCTCCTATCCACCCACCCACCCATCCATTCATCTATCCATTTACCCATTCTTCTGTCCACTCACTCATCCATCCACCCACTCTTTCATCTATCCATCCAACCATTTGCCCATCCATACACCCACCCATTCACTCATGGAATCACCAATCCATCTACCCATTTATCCCTTTATCTGTTTATTCATCTAGCCATCTATTAAGTCATCCATCACTTTATGTATTAATTCATTCATTTAATTATATATTTATCTATTCATTCATCCATCAGTAATTCACAGTATTCAACAATGAAATCACCCGCTCCATCCATCACACAATTTAAAATCCAGCACTTGTTTATTTATTCAACCATCCATCATCCATCTCTCCATTTATCCACTAATTTCTTCATTCATGTGTTCACTCATCCATTAATTCAATTGTTAATTATCTCATTCATTGATTCATCTATTCTTTCATTGATCTATTTCTTCATCCATTTTATCCATTCATAAACAGTTCCCTTATCTCCACACATGTACCCAGCCATTAAATTATCCATTTGACTATCCACCCATCCATCAAGTCATCACTCATCTTTTCACCCATTAAATGCTCCATCCACCCATTCTGTTCTCTATACCAGAACCAAGAAGTGAATCACGGCTGGCCCTGCCCTTGAGAAGCTCACAATCAAGTGATGGAAACAGACAGCTACAACCCAAGATGGAAAATATTCAGAAGTCAAAGGGAGCTCCAGGCAGGTGCCTTCACAGAAGGGGACTCAGGTCCTTCTAGGGATTCAGAGAAGGCTCCTTGGAGGAAGCAGCATCCAAACAGGACTCATGAAGTCAGAAAAACAGTGAACAAACTCCCTTAGATATCCCAGAGGGTAACTCACAGGACCTAACCACCTAGATGCTCATTGAGCTCTTTGGAGCATCCAAGACTGAGAACACCTGTGGCAAATGTTCACCCAGGAATTCCCAAACCCAATGGCTAATGGAACACTTTCCCCCTTGTCACTCCTATTAGTACCCCCAGAGACTCTGTGTCCCTCAGATCTGTGTCCTCAAAATGGATAAATGATAAAATAGATTTGGGAAATGCTAGTCTGGTCCAAACTTCTTGTTTCCACAAAGAAGAAAACAAAGTTCCACAAAACATCTCTGACCTCAAAAATTGTGTTCATCTGTAGATAAGATGCAATGCACAATATATGCCCAAAGACTCCACGTTTTTTTTCTTCAGACGGAGTCTTGCTCTGTCAGCAGGCTGGAGTGCAGTGGTGCGATCTCGGCTCACTGCAACCTCCGCCTCCCGGGGTCAAGAGATTCTCCTGCCTCAGCCTCCCAAGTATCTGGAACTACAGGTGCGTGCCACTATGCCCAGTTAATTTTTTGTATTTTAGTAGAGACGGGGTTTCACCATGTTGGCCAGGATGGTCTCGATCTCCTGACCTCGTGATCTGCCCTCCTCGGCCTCCCAAAGTGCTGGGATTACCGGCGTCAGCCACCGTGACCGGCCTCCATTTTTTTTTTTAACCTGCAGAGCTGAGCATAGTGTGTGGCACACAGTAGGTGCCCAATAAGTATTTATCAAAAGAATGTGGCCCTTGTTGAAGGAGTCACTCCAAAATGGCCTTGGCTTTTAAGCTGTCCCTACTGCGCAGTGACCCCTGTGTGGCCTTAGCCAATGCCACAACTCCCAGCCTCAGTTTTTCTGTCTGGGAAATGGGCAATAAGGTCATCTCAGCAAAGATTGATGCAGGAAGCGCATGCTTAGACTCGACTTTGGTTGCAGGCTTTGTCTCAGGATGTAACTCACCGCCACTTTCTCACCCTGGCTAGTTGGGTTTCTAGCCAGCGATGAAGACCTAGAGGCATCTGAGCCACACTGAACCTTCGAGGTTGAGGCTGGTACCTGGAAACCGCCTGAGTAATCCCACTGTGTTCCTGCCCAGCCTGATGGGGCATGAACTGGAAATTCCCTATAATATTTGCTCATTAAATGATTCCTCCCCTCCTCCTGCTTTTTCCTCCTGCCTCCCACTCTCCCTTAGCCAGCTCCCAAAGCGCCTGCAGTAATCTCTGCAAAGGAGTCCAACTGGTTTGGGGAGGGCTGGGTGGCCACTTCTTCCTGCCTCCCACCTGCCCACCCGCTGCCGGAGCCCAGGCCTCTGCCTGCCGGGGTGCGTGGGCTGTGCAGTTCTAGAACACAGCGCCGAATGCCCACGCAAGATAAAGGGACCACTAGCGCCTCCTCAGCCCAGGCCCAGCCCTTGTGCAATCCAGATCTTTGCTCCTCAGAGACAGCCATGGGGATGAGCAGATATGCTTATCTGATGGGGCCACGAGGCCTCCAGATGATTCCAGGGGCTGTTTTTTCTTAATCCGGCTTTGGGCTCCTCACTGCCATGCAAATGTGCCCGCTGTTCCCCCATTTGGGCATGTCCTCATCCTCCTTCCCGTCAGTCAACACTTATTAGGCACTTCCTGTGTGCCCAGCCCTGTGCTGAGTGCTGGGGACGCAGAGGTAAATATGACAAAGTCCTCGCCCCATGGAACTCACAGTCTGAGGGGGACAGGGCAGATACATAAAAAAAGAGAATGGTCACAGGAACGTGGGTAACTCTCAAAATCATAATGTTGAGGAAAAGAAGCCCAGTAAAGAATACACCACATGATTCCACTTACAGAAAATTGTAGAGAACGCAAACTAATCCACAGCCGCAGAAAGCAGATCAGCCACAGTCGGCAGGCGATGGGAGTGTGGATGGGGCGGCCGGGAGGGATGAATGACAAAAAGACACAAGGACACCCTTGGGGGCGATGGATATGTCTGCTGTCTTGATTGTGCTGGTGGTTTCGGAAGTGTGTGCATATGTCCAAACTCATCCACATGAACACTGGAATATGCGCAGTTTATCGTGTGTTTGTTACACCCCAGTAAAGCTGTTGAGAAGAAAAAAAGGGAGATAATTGAGAGACAGTGTGAGCAGTGCAGCAAAGGTGAAACTCAGGAAGGTCATGGGAGGGTGGATGGAGAGGGTAGTCAGGGAAGGCTTCCTGGAGAAGGCAACTGTTGAGCAAAGTTTTGAAAATGAAAACAAGTCACATAAGGAATGAAGAAAAGAGAGTGGTGTTAGATTCCAGATGGCCTGAGCTCAAATCCTGACTCAGTGGATTCACAAAAAGCTGTGTGTCTTTAACTTCAGCTCTCTGAGACTCAGTTTCCTCATCTGTAAAATGGATCTCCTATTTACCTGATAGGACTGGTGGGAGATTGAAATTAGGGAAAGCCCTCCGCCCGACATCCAATGCTCACAGCATCTGCAAACGCCCTGAGGTAGGAGAGGAACAACAGGGAGGAAGTCTGTGGTTGCAGCAGAGAGAGGAAGGGGAGAATCAGGGGGTGGGAGGGAAGGCCCCAGGGACCAGGGCTACAGGATGTGCGGGCCATGGTGAGGGCTAGAGCTGTCTCTTAGCACTGGGGAACCAAGCGAGGCCTGGATAAATGCAGGAGAATTTTATCAACAAAGTTGTCCTTTTAATGAGGTCACTCTGATTATTACAAAAAACAATTTTACAGTCGGGAAAACTGAGGCTTGAGCTAAGGATTGTTCCGAGGTCCTGTGGAATCACACAGCTAGAAGGCAAGTGGTCTCCCATCCGCCTGAACCTCTCTGTAATCTCTAAGCAGGTGAAGGGCTGTTATCCAGGTCTATTTGCACACCTCTGGTGATGGGAAACTCACAGTGTTAACAGTTCTTCCTATAGGACCCAATTAACAGAGGCTTCTCAAATTGGACCCAGCTCTTCCCTCTAGCTCTGCCTGGACACCAGCTGCTACCCTGCCAGAGTCCTATTAGGAGGAGCCCGCTGTGGGCGGGGATGAAGTAGGAAGAGATATGAGCTGTGACGGAGGCTTTCTGGGTGCTGCCCCCAGCACTCTGCCACAAGAACCCAGGACATACCCATTCCTTCTCTGGGCTTCAGTTTCCCCATCTGTAAAAGGAGAGATGCTCATTGCTCTCAGAAGCAGACTTGGCCCTGCCGAGGGGCCTGGCAGGGGGTGGGGCAGGCATGGGGTTCACCAGTATCACCCGTCCACCCCCGTCTTGGGGGCCAGGGCCCTGTCTGGATATAAAGGCCGGTGCCCTGGGGTGCAGCCGGCTTAATAACAGGTTCCAGGATCCAGGAGGGGTTTGAACCCAGGAGAATAGGTTCAAATACAATTGAGCAGCCCACGTTCCTGTCTGTAGCTCTGAAAGCCAATCGTTCCCACACCCAGAGGGCCCGGTCCCGGCTCTCATCAAACCCATTCACCCCAGTGGAGCCCCCATCTGTGTACCTACCATGTGCCAACCTTCCCACTGCGCTCAGAAGATGCACACTCCTGACTTTGGCCATGAGCTCTGGACCTGCCCCGGCCCCCAGTCCCCTCCTCACTCGCCCCTTCACACAGGCCAAGCTGAGCCCTGCATCGAGGCCTTTGCACTTGCCATTCCTCCTGCCCAGAACTCTCTTCCTGCAGATCTTGCCATGGCGGCTCGTCCTCCAGGCCTCCAGCCAAGCTCACCTTCCAGTGAGGCCTCTGACCCCATCCTATTGATCCCTGTCAGCCCCCTGCCTTGTTTTTCTCCATCAAAGTCTTCACTGGGATGTCCTGATCCTCTGCCTGGCGTCTGTCTGTCCCTGGATTTGGAGCTCTTAGACGGCAGAGTCTAGGGCTGCCCTGGGACTGGCTCTGACATCACCAGGTCCAGGCTGGACCCAGCCTGGTACCCACCTCACAGTGTAGGTTAAAGAACAAATGAAACGGGCATGGGAGATTTTGCACCCACCTGGGGGACCATCAATGCTTCATCTACACAGACCCTCTCATCTCCACACACAGGCCAGGGGGATGCATAGACCTGGACACAGATTCACTGCATCCCGCCCCCTCCAAAACACCCTGACACACACGTGTGCACACACACGCGCCCCCCGTGCCCACCTCCCCTGGCCTCCACACCAGTGCTTGGCACCCAGACCTCTCAACTTTCCCTCCTTTCACTGGGCGCCAGCTGGCCCTTCGCCAGCTCCTCTCCCCAGCCTGCCCGCCTGCCCTGGGCACCAGACTTATAAAGGACGAGGAAGGGCCTGGGGTGGGCTGGCTGGGTGCCATGTGAATGCGGCCCCTGGGGCCTTCGCTTCCCCCCGCTGCCAGACACCTGTGTAATGAGTGTCATTACTGGGGACCCGTTGGGCAGGCCCCAGCTCGCCGCAGCCACCCAGGCTGCACATGATGCTGGGGACAGGGTGCAGGGAGCGTGAGGGGCAGGGGTGCTGGGGGCGTCTCTGCTCTTGCCAACCCCAAAGCTCAGCTCTGGGTTTCTGGATCAGCAAAGACGACTTCCCGCCTTCCACGCAGATTCCAAACCTCAGGCCCTTAAGTCCCCTATGGGCTAAGGTCCAAGATGGACTCGGAAGGAGACAAAGGAGGAGAAACACTTATTGAGCACCTACTGTATGCCTACTTGTTGCTAAGAGCTGGTCACTTTTACTTCCCACTGTCAGACACTGTCTCATCCACTCACCCCTCTTCTGTTTGCTTATTGCACATCTCAGCTCATTCAAGCACAATTGAGCACCTACTATGTACCAGGCTGTGTGCTAAACACATTACATATATTAACTCATTTGTCCTTTCAGCAATCCTATGACGTGGCATCTTACAGGTAGGATGCAAAGAGGTAAAGTGTCTCACCCAAAACCACACAGCAAATAAGCAGTGGGCCAGGAGTTAACCCAAGGCCCCTGGCTCCAATGTCTGTGTTCTTAACCACTCACTGCTTTACACTACCTCTTCCATCAGCCCTACAAGGGCAGGGATTTTTGTCACTGCTGTGTCCCCAGCACCCAGCCCAGGACCTGGCATATAGGAAGCGCTAAAAAAAATCCAAGGAATAAATGAGTGGACGAATGAGCGAATGATCTCACTGAGTTCTGAGAATATCTTTCCAGGTGGTATTTATGGATGAGGACACAGAGGCTCAGAGAGGTAAAGTGACTTGCCCCAAGTCACACAGGGAGTGTGTCACAGCACTGAGATTGGAACTAGGATGGGAGGTCTGCCCCTCCGCCCTCCTGCCCCCCATGGCCCTAATCTCTCCAGACAGTCCCTGCCCCTGGACTGTGGGCCACATGAGGGCAGACGTGTGCCTGTCCCTGGGCAGTCCTGGGATCCAGCCTGGGGTCTGCACGCGGTGGAAGGCAATTCCAGCTCCTCCCCTTGGCCCCAAGGCCTTCTGAAAGGGAGACCCTGACAATAACACTTCCTCACCCGGTCACTTTCCTGACTCCCAAGCAGTGATGAATTTCCCAGACAACGCCTGCACCTCACCGCCACCTCTGGGCCTGTCTGTGTGCTGCTTCCCCTACTGGGAACGCTCTCCCAGCCCTTCTGCCCCAGCCACAGCTTGGAGGTCACCTCCTCCGCCAGGAAGCCATCCAGGCAGCCCCACAGCCCACAGCTCTCGGGGCTGCAGGGATGAATGTGGGACCCTCTCCTCCACGGCCTGTGTTCTGGCTTCTGGCTTCTCCGGGGGAGTTGAACTCCCTCGATTCTCATGCCTGTCCAGCCACTGACCTTCTAGGGGAAGCTGGCTCGGGCCTCACTGAGCTCATCTGTGAGATGGGTAGAAGTTCTGAATGCGATCTCAGGCAGTCTTGCCATCTCTCACATAGGCTCCTGCCCAAGTCCCAGCCGCGGCTGCTCACTCAGCCCACCAAGCCCTGCATGGTCCAACCCCTGCTGGCCCTCCAGCACCATGTCCTGCTGCTGTCCCCTCCTCACACCCCTTCAGCCTCCTTGCCTTTCCTGGAACTTCCCAAACCCATTCCCACCCTCAGGGCCTTTGCACGTGCTGTGGTGAGTTTCCCTCTGCTGGAAATCTCTTCCCCAGGTCTGGTCCTTCTTCTCCTTCAGGCATCTGCTCCACATCACCGCCTCAGAAAAGCCCTCTCTGACCCACTCAGCTCCCAAACACCCCTGCTGATTCCCATCACGGCCCTTCTCTCTGGTGAAATCCTCTCGCCTCTTCAAGCATTTGCTCACCGATGTTTATCTCCTCCATCCTCTCCTCCACCATAGTGAGGGCAGAGACCTTGTTCACTGCTGGGTCCCCTGGAGCCTGGCATACAGTAGGTGCTCAAGCAGTGGTGGTGGAATGAAGGGAAGAACATCAAAGTGCTGCCCCACCCCTGCCCACCACCGGCCCCCAGCCCAAAATCAGGGAGTGGGAACCAGGAGGCCCCACTCCCGCCAGCAGCAGGCGCCCCCTCTGAGCCCGAGCCTGTCTGGTTCCCAGGCCCATAAAAACCACCGCCCTCACCTTGCCCTGGGGCGGCAAAGGGTGAAGGAGGAAGCTGTGGGGTTCAGAGATTGAACTGTCATGGATTCAGAGGCCTGGGCCAATGAAAGTCAGTGTTCACAGAGTGCCTTCTGCGTGTCCAGGTGCAGTTGAGACACCCCACACTCACAGCCCTCACTGCAGTTCTGCAAGATCAGGACCACCACGATCACCCTTCACAGGTGAGGAAACTGACGCACGGTAGGGTGCAGCCACGTGCTCCAGGCTGTGCAGCCTGAGAAAGGTGAAGTCAGCATTGGAACCCAGCTCCGCCCGACACCGCAGCCAGCATTGCTCTCATCCATGGCAGTGCACGGAGACCATGTCGGTGCCAGCTATGTGCCAGGTGCTGGTTCAGAGCACAGGTCCTGGAGCCAGACTGCTCAGTGCGTTAGGCAGGTGACTCAGCCCCTCTGTGCCTCAGTTTCTCCAGCTGTGAAACAGTCCACATGGCACCTCCCTTGTCGGCTGCTGAGGAGACGAAAGGAAATTATTTCCAGTCAAACAGAGTGCTCTTGTTGCATGCCCTTGGGAGAATTCATTCCCGCTCTGAGCCTCAGTTTCCCCATCTATCATATGGGGATTAAACTACGCCACTGTGTTGCATCGCTGCGAGACTAACGTGACGTATTTGCACAGTGCCTCCCGCACAGTGGACGTTTACTCAGAGCTCACTGTTCATTCACTCCAGTCCTGCAGGCCTCACTGTCCCCATCTGTAATCCCAGAAGGCAGCCCTGATCACCCAAGACGGCTGCTAAGTCCCTAGTGCAAAGGTCGAGGGGTCCCAGGGCAGCCCTGACAACTGGGGATATCCTGGGGGTGGGGAGGACAGCTGAGTGGCCGGGATCAGGAAGCTGCAGGGGGCCCAGGTGACTCACCCGCTGGCGGGGCTTGGGGGCTGGGCTGCGGCCCCCACGCACCCCTCTGGGCCCTGCCTTGTGCCCAAAAGTGCTGTGTCATGCTCCGTCATGTGGCTCCGGGTCATTAATACCCGAGTTCTGGGAAGCTTGGGCCGAGTTCCCGGAAGGGGTCAGCCAGTTCAGTAAACAGATTGGCTGGTTCGTCGTCACAGCTGAGCCGGGCGGGCCTGCAGCTCAAGAGGCAGGAGAT
The DNA here is from genome assembly GCF_000001405.40 of Homo sapiens. NCBI lineage: Eukaryota > Metazoa > Chordata > Mammalia > Primates > Hominidae > Homo > Homo sapiens. The sequence continues at coordinate 50,292,598 of NC_000020.11, read as the reverse complement.
GGAGGCTGGTGGCCAAGGGGACACAGGAACTGCCCCCGGCCCCATTCGGGGCTGGCACCTCCCAGGGCAGCCTGGCCCAGGCTCTGCAGATGAAAGGAGAAACCAAGGCCCAGAGAGGGCAAGGCAGTTGCCAGAGATCACACAGCAGGTCCGGGGCGCGGACCTAGAATTCTGGTCTTATCATCCAGTGCTCTCAGCATCACTCTGACTGATGGGCAGGGGGGGACAAATCACCTCAAATTGTAACCTAAGCCCCCCAAGCCCCCAAATCCTAACCTGGACCCTAAGGCCAGTGTGTTGGATGAAGGGAGAAATAAATGGAAGGCAACTTGGGAAGGAAGCAACTTTGAGGGGTTACTGGGCTGTCCCCTGTGGTCGATCCTATAATCATAGTAACTGCTTCTAGTGTTTCTTGAGCATCTATTATGTACAGGGCATTACCATAAGTGCCTTCCATAAATCCACCCATTTAATATTCAGCCACCTTTATACGAATAAACACAGGCATCACGTTTAAAGCATCCACTGAGTGCCAGGCACTGAGCTGGGTGATTGACATACACCACCCGGGATCCTCTGCGGACCTTGCCAGGGAGGCATCGCCGTCACCCCTGTTCATCAGATGAGGAAACAGATGCCCAGGAGGGCGAGCAGCTGAGGTGTATGGTGGGAGAACAGCAGGCTCCAGAGTCGACTAGACCCAGGGATTCAAATCTTTACTTTTACCCTTCCTGCTGTATGGCCTCAGGCAAGTGACTCCACCTCTCAGAGCCTCAGTTTACCCATCTGGTAAATGGGGATGATTATGGTACTGGAAACACTGGAGCCAGACTTGGTGGGAGCTCGTGAGTGTCATGATAGGGCAGTGGCTGGAGTGCAGACTTTTGGGTTGAATCTTGCTGTGCCCCTTCTTGGCTGTGTAACCTCGGGCATGCCGCTTAGCCTCTCTGGGACTCAGTGTCCTCTGTAAAATGGACATAGCACCTCCCTCATGCGGCAGGTGGGAAGAATGAATGAGCAGAAATCCCCGCAGCCTTCTGTGCGAGGCCAGGTATTCTGCAGCCACTGAACGCAGGTGACTTGTTCTTATATTTCACCTATGATGGCTCCACTGGGACTGGGGTGAGGGGAAGGACACTAGACCATGGGCAGAAGGACAAGGCACCCACATTCTTTGCTGCCCTTTTGCACCCACAAACAATCTGGAAAGGGAAGCTCAGCCTTGCCTGCCTCCTTGAGGGTCGGGGCTGAGGCTTGGCGTGAATGGTTGCCATGGCATCCTCCCCACCTCCCCACCAGCCACTCTGCCTTGCTATGGACTCCACGTTCCTCCCCTACTTAAAACCCTCTAGGGCTCCCCATTCCTCTTCTCGTGTACTACTCCCCAGTTTGGCTGAGCCCCAGACAGGCCTTATCATGGCTCTTTGGTTCTTGGCACCCCAGCCCCAGCCCCCTTGGTACAAACTCTCACACTCATCATTCCCACCTCACCCTTGTGCACACACAGGGCCCTTCACCCGGCATGCCCTCACTTTCCCTAACCCACCTGCCTGGTCTGGATTTCACCCACCCTTCAACGCACGTATTCAAAACCTCCTCCTCCAGGGAGACTGCCCTGATCCTCCCCTTTGAAAGCGAACTCTTTCTAGACTCTCTCTATATATATACCTCACTTACGTCTTTCTATCATTATATATCAACTATTTTTGTCCACCACCTCAAATTTTGGCAGCTGTGAGGTAGAAAATTTGCACAAGGGAGATTTTGGGGAAAAAATATTGCCTCTAAAATACTTAAAGAAATCTGCTGGCCAGGTGTGGTGGCTCACTACTGTAATCCCAGCACTTTGGGAGGCCGAGGCAGGTGGATCACTTGCAGTCAGGAGTTGGAGACCAGCCTGGCCAACATGGTGAAACCCTGTCTCTATCAAAAAATACAAAACTTAGCCAGGTGTGGTGGTGCATGCCTGTAGTCCCAGCTACTCAGGAGGCCGATGTGGGAGAATCACTTGAACCCGGGATGTGGAGGTTGCAGTGAGCTGAGATTGTACCACTGCACTCCAGCCTGCTAGGCGCGACCCTGTCTCAAAAAAAAGAAAAAGAAAAACCTGCTAAGTTGAAATTTTAAAATCTTTAATTAACCCACTCACACTTTATAATTCTATATTAAATTTCTAATTTAATATTTACAAAAATATTACAAAAATTTTCGAGGCGTTTGTAAACAATCTGCGAGTGAGAATGTTTCTTGTTGGGCAAGCGTTCCCTGGTGTACGCAGGGTTGCCAAGAACCCGAAGTAAGTGGTAAAATAAACGCGCTGCTTGTTGCCACACAATTTCAGAAGTGAAGTTACTAATATTATTGAAGTGTTTGGGTGATTTTTCCAACCCTCTTTTGGGTCCAGTCTGACCTTCCGTGTCCGTGTATTCCCCATCATCCTCATCAACCCGTCTCCTTCAACTCTTTTTCCAGTTCCCCGTCTTCTTACCTCCCTCCACCTGGAAAACAGTCTTCCATATTCCCGCCACACATGCTCGCTCACACTCCTCCGCCCCCTGCAATGCCCTCTCCTCTTTTTTGTGGGAATCTGACCCTTCTTCACAGTTGAGTCCAAGCACCACCTCTCCAAGTCACCCCGTCCAGCCCCGATCCAGGACCATCTGCCAGGCTCGGAGGCAGCTGTGCTAACTCTCCCCGCCAGCTCCTTACCTGCAAAATAGAAGGGCTGCAGTATCACAGAGGCCTCAAACTCACGGCCTTCAGGCCAAACCTGGCCTGATATTTGCCCTAACATTTAAATATCAACAGGTTTCATATAGCAATCTAGATCAAGCTTGTCCAACCCGCGAACAACAGGCCACATGTGGCCCAGGATGGCTATGAATACGGCCCCACACAAATTCATAATGTTTCTTAAAACATGAGATTTTGTTTGCGATTTTTTCTTTTTAGCTCATCAGCTATCGTTAGTGTTAGTGTATTTTATGTGTGGCCCAGGGAAGCCAAAAGGTTGGACACCCCGATCTAGATTTACAGCTTCTCATGAAAAACTGTCAGTCCCGGCTTCCCACGGGGCGACACTGGCAGAAACTGAGCAGCGTCCACCCCTTTAGACAGGCCTGCACCCCTCTCCCACCACTTCACCATGAGTGCTGCTTGCCCAGCCCTGGCAGCACCTGAGTTTGGCTTTTTTCAGTCTCAGAATCCCTTCTTTTATTTTATTCTAATTTTTATTATTATTTATTTATTTTCTTTTAGAGACAGGGTTTCGCCATGTTGCCCAGGCTAGTCTCTAACTCTTAGGCTCACACAATCCTCCCATCTCAGCCTCCCAGAGTGCTGGGATTACAGGCATGAGCTATCGCGCCTGGCTGTGAGGCTGCCTTTTGGAACCAGTCCTCCAATGAGGCTGATCCTCTGACTCCCTTGAAAAAGCATCTTAGAGTCTCCTGGTCTGCTGGCAAGGAAAGGCCGCCTGCCCACTTGTTCCCATCTGCACCGGTAGAAGAGACCCTTCCCCAGTGTACATCCTCTGGACACTTAAATTCTTTGAAGCACAGTGTGAAAAACTCAGCACCCCCTGAGGCCAGGTTGTGACCACGCCAGGTTCTGGGCCCTGCCCTAGACCTATGAAGTTGGCCCCTCAAACCAGTTCCCCATCTCAGCAAACGATAGCGCCTGCATCCACCTATCCACTCCAACATCTCCCTCGCCCAATCCAACAAATCCTGCTGGCTTTGCCTTCCAAACAGAATCCAGTCCCTTCTCCCACCTCTGCTGCCATCGCCCTCCTTTTGTCCTAGACTAGGGGAGTCATCTCTGCTGGGTTCTCTGCTCTCATCACAACATCCTGGCCCCCCACAGTCCACTTGCCCCATTTGCAGCCAGAGAGATCCTGCACCCAGGACACATTCCGCAATGTCTGGAAATAATTTTAGTTGTCACAGCTGGGTTTGGGGAGGAGGTGCGACTGGCAACCTCTCCAGTGGGCAGAGGCCGGGGACGCTGCTTAACATCCTACACTGCACAAGACGACCCCACTACAGAGCAGCATCCAGCCCCAAATGTTAATGGTGCCGAAGCTGAGGAACCTGGTGTTAGAACCTGAGTCAGGCCATCTCCCTCCTGTGCCCAGAGCCCTCCAATGCTCCCGCCTCACTTGCAATAAAATTCAAACTCCTCCTCCTCCTGAGGCCCTCAGGGCCTGGATGATCTCTGGCTCTCCTTCACTTTCCCCCACAATGCAAGCTTGTTCCAACCTCAGGGCCTTTGCATCTGCTTTTCCTACGATCTGGAATGCTCTGTCCCAGACATCTGTGTGGCCAGCCCCTTCAATTCCTGCAGACTCAGCCCCTTTTCCCAGTGGTCTCACTATGGGACATGCTATGTCTTTCACTTATTTGTCATTTCTTTGCTGTCTCCCCCTCCCAAAACCTAAGAGCCATAAAGTCAAAGGGTTAGTCCATTTTGTTTCCTGCTGTCTCCCTAGTACTTTAGCACATACTAGATGCTCAATAAATGCTTCCCAAACAAGCACATGACTTGGTCTACCAGGTCTCCTGTGCATTTGAATTTTAGAGTTGCAAAGGTTTAGTCTGCTGAGGGCTGGTGATTCCTTCGTCCTGGAGGAAAAAATTCAGTAGTTCCAGGACTCCATGATCTGAAGCATCTGAAGCATCCATGGAGCTTCCATTTGAGGCCCAGAGCATTGCCCAGGGGTCTCACCCAAGGCCTCGCTTAAAGAGGGGATGACAAGTAGGTGAAAGAGAAGGTGAGGCAGGGGCTGAGCCAGGAGTTTGGGAAGGCTGAGGCCACAGGTGGTGGTGGGTGACAGAGCTCAGCTTGCATGGGTCCCAGGGCTTCACAGCCATCAGGACTCCAGGAGTGCAGCACCAGCCTGCAGATCGCCATGCCCTTTGCAGCATGAGACACACCCAGGGAGGCGCTGGGAGGGGGCTTCTGGAGACCTCCGGCCACAGCTCAGAAAATAAAGATGGACAATTTGGCTCAGGAAAAAGCCATGTAAAGTGAGTTATTCACCAAGAACCAGAGCCAAAGCATCATAATGAAGAATGACCTTAGAGAATGGCCGGACGCAGTGGCTCATGCCTGTAATCCCAGCACTTTGGGAGGCTGAGGCAGCCAGATCACGAGGTCAGGAGATCGAGACCATCCTGGCTAACACAGTGAAACCCCGTCTCTACTAAAAATACAAAAAAAAAATTAGCCCGGCGTGGCGGCATGCGCCTGTAGTGCCAGCTACTTGGGAGGCTGAGGCAGGAGAATGGCGTGAACCCGTGAGGCGGAGCTTGCAGTGAGCCGAGATTGTGCCACTGCACTCCAGCCTGGGCAACAGAGCAAGACTCTGTCTTAAAAAAAAAAAAAAGAATGACCTTAGAGAGATTTGACTAGGTCACTGTCTTGCCACGTGGGGGATAAAAATTGTGAAAATAAATTGATTTTCTCTTTGACCTAACACAATTATCATATAATTGCTGTGGTGCACACAGATTCTTAGAATGAACACACTAAAGCAAGCGTGGATACATTTAAACATATTTAAACCAAATTGCATGACTGCACAATGCAGTGTTCTTTTCATTGTACTTGACATTCCTGACATAATCACGGGGAGGGTCATTTCTGCAAAATGATTCCATCTGCACTGTGGCCACCGCTGAGCCCTGGTCACTGCCCCCAGAACTGGCCCACTGCAGCTTCTGGAAAAATAGCCGGGCTGCAGCCCCACCCACCCCAGAACGGAGTCCTAAGCAATCAGCCCCCAACATTTCCAACTTCTGATTCATAAATCTGGCATGGCTGCATGTGATTGGTGGGCCCTGGTCACATGTCCATACCCAAGCTTTGGAGGAGCAGCCCTCAGCCCCCTGGCTGGGGACCTGGCTTCCTCCTCCGCCCCCACTCCTTGGCCCCACACCTGGCTCCTACCGCCCAGCGCACATCCCTGGAGGCGTCGGCCTCGCGTCTTCGGTTTTTAAATGACCAAAGAAGTATCGTGCCCCATTTTAGAAATGAATGATAAGACAGGCAGGATATGTGTTATGACTTTTAACAACTAAGGGGCTAATTTCCCCCACTACGAAGGCGGTCTCAAACAAGACAGACCCTCCATGGAAGAGAAAGCATAGAAACAAAAGTGAATTGGGAACAACTAGGCGCCTTGGGAAGGCGAACATGGATGAAGCAGATGTCATCTCTTCTGAGCTGCGAACAGGAGACACACCGAGGTTCAGAGAATGAGAGTGACTGAGATGAGGAGGAAGAAGGAGAGAGTTTCAGGCAGAGGGGACTGCTCAGGCAGAAGGGTGGAAGGACTGAGAACACGGCTGCCGCAGCTAGAATTGGAACCTTCTAGACCAGAGGTGGCCCACGGGGCCACAGATATCCACAGAGTCAGGTTTTGTTTATTTGTTTTTAATTTGACTCGTTGGCCAACATTTAAAAATCAGGACTTTTCACATACAATCTCAGACTTCTGGCTTCTCTTACTAAATGGGAAGATCCGGGCCGCCTGCTGGCTCAGAGGCCACCGTCCCCTGAGGAGAGCCTGTTCTCTCCAGTTCACCGGAGCCAGCACCAGGCCACCTTACTCATCCTTTCACCTTCTGGCCCAGAGGTGCCTGGGTTTTGGTTCCCTGTTCTAAAGCCTGCTAAGGAGGATGCTGGGGAAATCAGAAAGCTCGAACAATTCTCTCAAGGCTGTCCAGCAACAGAGCTGCAGCCCGGGACTCGGGATACCCAGTCCTGCTGGGGACACCAAGTCCCTCCCCACAGAAGCTCCACAGACCCCACCTCAGTCTCCAGGAGCTGCTGACCCTGGCCCGGAGTCCCGGGGGACCAGGAGGCCGGGCTGGGGAAGGCCCCGTCCTGTTTAGGTTTTTGTGGTCTCGTGAGTAACCGAGTGGAAAAAAACAAGCTTGAAAAGATAACAATTACAACGAAATTAAATCAAATCAGACCCGTGACTCATTTATGGAGCCGTAAAAACAGAAAACAAAAACAAGCTGGTTCTGGAGAAGTGAGGCCAGGGTGAGGAAGGGAGAAGTCGGGGAAGGGAAAAAAATAAAGCAACAGCAGCTATGGCCCTGGGACTGTAAATTATCCCAGCAAGGAGGGAACCATGCGGGCCCTGGAGGGGCTGGGCCTTGGGGGTTCCGGAGCCAGGAGTCCCAGGACCCCGTGGGAGAGGCCAGAGACCCCACCTGCCTGCAGGATGGCTGACCTTGTCCCCCCAAACACCTCCGTGAGTTGGGTACCATTAGGGTGCCATTTTGCAGACAAGGAAGCTGAGCCTCAGAGGGACCAAGTGACAAACCTCGATCACACAGCCAGGAAGTAAGAGGACTGAGATTCAAACCTGGCTCCAAAGCCTGTAACGGGGTTCAGTTTTGTCATCTAGAAAACAGGCACCTGAGCTCAGCTCTGTTCCAAAAACAACAAAGAAGCCAGAGTCCTGGAAGCTTCCCTGGATGTTTTGGGAGCCCCGAAGCCTGACATCGGACATGGCTGCCCCTCTCTAGGTCTCACTGTCCCCATTTGTTCACTAATGGGGTCACATCAGGCAATGCCTAAGGAAGGCCCCAGCGGGTCTGACCCAGGGGAGCTTCAAAGCCTGTTTCCCAGAAGCCTCTGCCCCCGGGAGATGTAAGAGGAGCTGGAGGCAGAGCCAGAGGGAGCCAGCCGTGCAGGCCCACGATTCCCTCAGAGGTCGTCCTGACCCAGGGAGGAGACTGTGCAGGCAGCAGGAAGCTGGCCAGGCAGAGAAAGCACGGGCGCCGGGCTGATGAGGGTGGGATTGGATGGGGCTAGAAATCGGGAGCCAAAGCTAACACCACCACACGGCATTGGGTTTCAGGTGCTTACTAAGGGTCGGGCGTGGAGCTAAGCACTTTCCATTCATTCATTCATTCATTCATTCATTCATTTATTCTGCAACTATGGACTGAGCACTTTCTTGTACGAGGTGCTTTGTTGGGATCTGGGGACACAGTGATGACCAAGAGAGACAAAGATGGAGCTGCCACCCAGGAGCGGGTAGACAAAACAAGCAGGAACCATGATGAGTCAGGTAGCACTGAGAGATGCAGGGAGGAATTCAGTAAGGAGGGAGTGTCAGGGGCAGGAAAGGCCTCATGAGCTGCGACGTTTGAGCAGAGACTTGAAGGAGGTGCAAGGGCCGGCCCAAGCAAAGGGAAGGGCGCAGGTGGAGGCCCTGGGTGGGGCATGCCCGGTGCATTTGAGGACCAGCCAGAGGGCCAGCATGGCGGGGGCAGAGTCAATCCCTCCAACAGCCAGGGGAGCAGGCACTATATTACCTCCTCTTACAGAAGAGGAAAAGAGGCTCAGAGAGGGGAAGTGACTTGCCCAGAGTCACACAGCCCGGAAGTGGCAGTGTGAGGAGCAGTCACTCCTCGCAGTCAGGATGTGCCGGGGTGCATCCATGCCATCGGTGGCCCTGTGTGTGTGACGAGGCTGCACGGCCCAAGGGTGGCTCCCAGAAAGCGTGTGTCACCTGCCTTGGTCACAGCTGTGGGTGGTATGATTGTGCAATCCAGCACCCTGCAGGGAGCCAGGGGCCGGGACAGAGGCTGGGCCGGGACTTGACACAGCCCTGACTCCACCCCAGGCTCAGCCCTGCCATCACTCTGCCTCCCAAGCCCCATGGGGTCTAGGGGCTACCAGACAGCCAAGAATCCAGGGAGCTCACTCACACTGAGGTGCAAGTGACTGCTAGAAGCCCCTGGTTTGTCCCTATCCCTGGGCTGACCCTTTCAGCAGGTCACAGCAGCAGCTTTGGAGACTCAGTTTCCCCCTCTGTCAGATGACAGGTCCACTTAGTGGGTCTCCAACAGCAGTTGCAGGTTCTTGGGTCCAGAGAGAGCTCCCTGAAGTCACACAACCAGTGGCTGACGGAGTCAGGGTGACCCTGGCCTGCTCACTCCTGCCTGGAGGATGCCTCCCCCTGAAGCTCAGCCACCCAGGCTCCACCACTCTCCCCTCACCCACCCTCTTGCTGCCCACACGTCCAGGCCCTGGCCCACACTGTCCACTCTCCTGGGAGTGCCTTTCCCCTCCCCCTATGAAAAAAGAACACGGGATGGTCAGGGGCGTAGAGGGAGAGATTGTCGAGCAGGCAGAGGCTACTTAAGCCAGGGGAAGGGTCAGAGAAGGTGGCTGTCGAGAGTGGCATCCGAGCTCAGACCTGAAGGAGGTGAGGGAGCCGTGGACATCCATGGTGGACAAGGGCTCCAGGGACCTGCAAAGACCTTGAGGTGGAAAGACCCAGGGCTTCTTGAGGAACAGCAGGAAGCTATCAGGGCTGGAAGGGAGTACGCGAGGGAGAGAGGCAGCGAGGTCATCAGACAAGTGGAGGGTTTGCTGGGGGGCCAGGGTCGCACCCGGCCTCACGGGCCACAGGGAGCTTTCACTCAGAGAGCTGGGATCCCTGGGAGGGTCTGTGCTGGAAGGTATAGGTCCCTTCTGACAGGTCCCTCTGGTCGTGTGTGGAGAACAGACTGTGAGGGGCTGAGGGAGAAAAGGAAGCCAGGAGGAAGTGACTGCACCAGTCCAGGCGGTGGTGCTGGTGGCCGTGGCCGAAGCGGGGGCCGTGGAGGTGGGGAGACGAGGGCAGACTCCGGGTCTACCTTGAAGGTGGAGTCGACAGGATGTGATGAGCGATCAGATGTGGGAGCAAGTGAGAAGAAGAAGGCAGGGGAGACTCCCAGGTTTGGGGGACCACCTGGAGGATGCAGGAGCCATCAGTAGAGGCAGGACTGGCTTCGGGGGGCAGATCAGGAATGGAGTCCTGGCCAACCTGGGTTTGAGGCTTCTCCTGGTCATCCCAGCAGGGACAGAGACAGGTGGGTGGAGACCCCTGAGTCTAGGCTCAGGGGAGGCCTTGGGGAGGTGCCCTTGGAAGTCGCCAGCATTTAGATGAGGACGAGAACTGTCTTTGGTGTCTGTGTCCCCCTTCTTCCCTCTCATGCTAGCAGCAGGTCCAACCTGGGGAGGAGCTCCAGGGTATCCTAGGGACCCAGGAATAAGTCCATGAGCGTGTGTGACAAATGCCCACCATGGTTCAGGGCCATGCCAAGCGCTTTGCCCACTTGATGCCTTTCATTCTCACGACACCCTGAAGGGGTAGGGACCACCCCAGTCCCGTTTTACAGAGCCAAGAGGTGAAATGATTTACGCAAGTGTCACCCAGCAGTATGGGAAGGCTGCTCTACGGGAGGGTCAGGGAGCGGCACACAAGGCCATCAGGGAAGGCACTGCAGTGCTCAGCAGCGCCGGATCACAACGCCCGCCCCCTGGCTGGGGGACACCCCAGGTTCCTGAGTCTCCCACATCGCCTCCTCCAGGCAGCAGGCAGGATTACCTCTTGGTGATTCTGGGGCCTCCAGAAAAGGGCTGAGGGCAAACCGGGAGCTCCCCAAGGTCAGCAGGGAGGAGGCTGGGGAGGAGCTTGGGGGGAACCTGGGTGTTTTGAGGGCCAGGCAACGTCTCAAGCCAGGTACCTGCAGGCCTCCAGCATGAGGGAGGAAGGGACAAAGACTCCAGGGCATGCTTGGCGGGCAGTGAGATCCCCTCCCCCACTTCCGTGGAGCTCTAGAAAGCATCTCCCTGCCCAGGGTGTTCTCCCACCGATGGCTCGAGGCCATCTTTCATCCCAACGGTGGTGTGTGGCCGGCCGTGGGGTCTCCTGCAATTACCTGGAGGAATCCGCCTTCAAGCAAGCTGAAGTTCACAGCGGGAGCATGATGCACACCACTTGTTCAGCAACTGTTCATGAAGCACCTGCTAGTGGCAGACCTCTCAGCTAAGGTCACCAGAAGGAAGAGGCTTTGGCAAGGTCCAAATTGACCTGAAAATAGGACTCTTTCCATTGACCTGACCTTCAAACAGCATTCCTTCCTCTGCGGGATTCAAATTATCCACTTATGATCCATGCAGGATAGGGAAAGGGAACAGGAGTTGGCAGCTCCCCATGGGGCAGAAGAGGAGGAATAAGACCCAGATATTACGTATGGAGACCCAACCTTGTGGCAGACACTGCGCTCGGACCTCAGTTCCTAATCCATAAAATCAAGCTTATGACATGTCCTTCCTCCAGGGTTGTAATGGGCTAATCCAGGGATTAGCAAACTTTACTGTAAATGTCCAGAGAGTTCATATGTTCAGCTTTGTGGGTTTTAAGGTCTCTCTCACAACTGCTCAACATTGCAGTTGTAGGGTAAAGGCAGCTGTGGACAATATGTAAATGAATGGGCATACTGTGTGCCAATAAAACTTTATTTATAAAAACAGGCTGTGAACCAGATTTGGCCTGGAGGCTGTAGTTTGCTGAACCCTGAGTTAATGGATACAAAACAAAGCACCTGGTGCATAGCAGGTGCTTAATAACGTTTGAGGAATGAGTGAGTGAAATGATCGGGCCTCTTTAACTCTCGCTTTCCCCATCTGCTAGAAGAAATCATTACACTGAGTTATCATCTATTGAGTGCTTTCCAGGCCACACAGGGCTTCAGGAAGCCCAGCACAGCCCTCTCATCGTTCCTCCTCATAAAACCCTGAGATCGGGCTCTCAGTGGTCCCATTTTACAGGAACAAAGGCTAAGGGCCCAAGGCCACATGGCTGGAATGTGGCAAAGCTGGGATTGGAACCCAGGTCTCCAAGACCAGACCTCAGGCTCTCTGAACTGCCTGGCGTTCCAAGGCTATCCCTGGAGTGTGGAGCCGAGACTGGAATGCTGTCCCTGGCTGCAGGGTCTGGCTTCAGATTCCCAGCTCAACCCCAGATGTCAATCCCCTCGTGGGCCCCAACTCCAGGACCCAAGCCAGGGGTCTCTGCCTGCATCCCCTCCTGGGCAGTGGGTCAGATACACAAGGAAGAGAGAAAGAGGTATAGACGAAGACAGGGACTGAGAAATACAAGGAGACAGAAAGAGGCAGAAACAGAGAGACACAGAGAGAGACAGAACTCAAGAGGGACAAACTCATCTCCCATGCCTCCCTCCCTCCTGGGGGCCTTGGACCCTCCTTGCCAGCACCCCTGACCCATTCCCACCATCACCATTGACTCCCTCCAGGAAAAGATTGATCCACTGCCCCCCACCCCACATGGTCCTGGGCTGGAATCCCAGCCCAGATGCTGACCTCTGTGTGACATCAGACAGGTGACTCTCCCTCTCTGGGCTCAGTCTCTCCATCTGTGAAATGAGAACGCCAACCAGGGCAGTTTTATTGGCTGCTTGATGAGAGGGGGGCCTGGGCCTGACACCAACAAGCACCTAAGAGCCCTGGGCTGGGGGCAGGAGGTGAGCTCAGGGCTCCTCTCCCCGGAGAGGTCACTATTCATTTATTGGTTCTTTTAAGAAACATTTATTAAGCACCGACTGTGTGCCAGGCATTGCACTAGGTGCATAAGGTAGACAAAAGTCCCTGTCCTGAAGGAGCTAATGTTCTACTGGGGAGATAGGCAAGAACCAACAAGCAAATTCATACGAAATGTGCCAGGTGGAGAGAAGGCAACCAGTGGGGTAGTGGGGGTCGATAAATCCAGGCAAGTTGAGGGGAGGAAGTAAGGGTGTAGGGTGTAGGGTGGCCAGTGCAGGGAAGCTCCTTCGAATTCTTGTCATTTCTCCAGAGGCCATGACAGTTTTTATATTTAAGCCAGCTGCTGATGGTGGGGGACTCATTATCGATGCTCCCTGAGTTTCCGGCTCCCTGCAGGGCACTCTCATCAATTTCATCACATTGAATCTCCTCTGCAACCCCAGAAGACAGGTACTCATTTTCATTTTTATTTATTATTAGTATTGTTATTTTTAGAGATGGGGCCTCAATCTATCACCCAGGCTGATGTGCAGGGGCATAATCATAGCTCACTGCAGCCTCAAACTCCTGGGCTCAAGCAATCCTCCCGCCTCAGCCTCTAGAATAGCTGGGACTACAGGCACACACCACCACACCCGGCTAATTTTTTTAGAATTTTGTAGAGACAGGGGTCTCACTATGTTGCCCAGGGCTGATCTCAAACTCCTGGTCTCAAGCAATTCTCTCGCCTCGGCTTCCCAAAGCGCTGGGGTTACAGGCATGAGTCACCACACATGGCCAGAGACAGGTACTCTTATTGTCCCCATTTCCCAGATGAAGAAACTGAGACCCAGAGAGATGAAGTGACTTGCCCAAGGTCACATTGCTGGAAAGGGGCAGAGCCAGGATTCAAATGGGGCCAAACAGGGATATAATCCAAGGTGAGATGGGCCGATACGATACCAGGGCAGGGGCTTGAAGGGGAGACAATCAAGCAGGGAACAGGGCTTATGCCAGAGCCCTCAGCAGCCAACAGGTTAAGGGCCCGGGAATCTGGGTCTCTGGCCCCAGATAGGGTGACAGCCACACCCAGGCTCAGCCTCTGGCCCGCGCCGCCTGCTGGGAACACACAGTCCTCAGGACTAAGAGGCTCAAAATAGAAAGTGCAGGACCTGGGTCGAAGCCTGGAATGCCCCAGGCAGGCAGACCATGACTCCTGGAAGGGCCCAAGGCTGCAGGGCTGGGGCTGGCGGGGCGAGAGTCACTGGTATCCACTTGTTAGAGCCTGCGTCTCATCTTTGTTATTCTCCTGATGCAGTTTCCAAGACGCCAACTCCAGGATGTGACCAACCCGGGCTCCTCTCCTGGCCTAATCTCAGACCAGCTGTGTGGCCTTGGGCTGGTCACCTACCCCAGAGGACCTCAGTGTCCTTATCTGCCATCGGCTCATAGAGTTGTTCATTCAGGCAGTCAGCCAATGTGTGTCGAGCACTTACCATCTGCCAGGCACTGGGATGGCACTGGGGGCACACAGAGAACACAACAGACAAAAATCCCTGCCCTCATGACTAGGTAGAAAGACCCTACCTTGCTCAGAAGGAAGTCGGGGGGGTGGTCAGGGATGGCTTCCCATGTGGGCACCCGAAGGAGTTGTGGGAGGGAGCCCTGTGGATGCCTAGGAGAAGTGTTCCAGGCAGAGGAAACAGCCAGTGCAAAGGGCCCGGGGCAGTGTGGGCCTCAGGCTGTTTCAGGAGCAAGGAGGAAGCCAGCATGGCTGGAGGGTGAGTGAGGAGGAAGGCTGGGAGAGGAGACAGAGGGAGGTCAGAGAGGAGGCCCCGAGAGCCAAGGAAGGAATCCGAGGGTTTATTCTCCAAGCAACAGAGATCCCTTAGAGAGGACTTTGCTGTGGACTGATGTGGGCTGGCCCACAGTTTTAATAGCTCCCTCTGGCTGAGTGTGGAGAGGGGATTTCTGGAAGACCAGGGAAGAGACTTCTGTGCCAGCAGAGATGAGCAGCAGTGGTGGCAGTGGAGGCAGAAGGAAGGGCTTGGGTCGGGGGTCTGTTTGCAGGAGCTGCTGGGAGGACCTGCCGAGGGAGAGAAGGGAAGAGGGCATGGGTGGGGGTTGAACAGAGACCCCCTCCACCCTCCAGGCCTCAAGGAGCCCCACAGGAAGTGGGTGGTCAGGCGGCCCAGCTGGGAAGGCTGACTGGTTTGTCCAGCCTGAAGCCCACGACCCTCTCCCCACCCTCTGCCCATGGCAGCCCAGGGCTAGAAATGTACCTGGAATGTCAGCCATGAAGCCCGGCCAGACAGTGCCCATGGGACCTGCTGGGGGCCAGGTGAGCACCCTGGCCACAGCCCTGCCTACAAGGGTAATCTCTCGGACCCATTGACCAGGGTAAGTGGTAATTACAGGCCCTGGAGCAGAGAGGGTGGTGACCTCCAGCCAAGACACGCAGGGACTGCGATTCGCACGCAGGACCCCTAACGAGGCACACCCTCTTTGTTGCTGAACAGGCAACAAACTGCCCCAGAGACCAGGGCGTGTCAGCAGAAAGAGCACTGGGCTATGAGTCTGAGACCCCCAGGGCCTTCTCTGAACCTTAGCCCCCTCATCTGCCAAAGAAATACTTATCCATGCACGCACGCTTGCATTGCTTCCCAAGTGTTTACTGGGCACTTGTCCTGGACAGGCGCTGTGCTGGGGGCTGGGTGTACAGCAGTGAACAAAACACACAAAAATCCCCACCTGGGCGATGGTGACATTCCACTGGAAAGAGACAGACAAGAAACAGGATATACCAGCAGGTTAATTTCTAGGATACGTGCTAAGTCCTAGGAAGAAATAAAAACAGCATGAGGCCATAGGAATGAGGGGCTGGTCAGAGAAGGTGTCCCCAGGGGTGACTTTGGAGCAGAGGCCTGACCCTAGACAAGGATCCGCCATGGGGAGAGCTGGCGAGAGTGTCCTCTGTTCCAGAGGGAAGAGTGGGTGCGAAGTCAATGAGGCAGCAGCAGGATAATTGGCAAGTTTATGGCAGAGAGATGAGGCCACCGTGGCTGTGGGTGAACAGAGAAGGGAGAGGCAGTGAGGTCAGGCGGGGCCAGGGCAGAGATCCTGCAGGCCCTGTGGGCTTCTGCTCTGAGTGAGTTGGGAGCCATAGAGGGTTCTGAGCAGAGAAGGGATAGGATCTAACTTGAGCTCTTACAGAATTCCTCTGGCTTAGGAAGGCGAGAGAGGAGGCAGGGAGACCAATGAGGAGACGACTGCAAACATCCTAGCTGGACCAGGGCAGGGCAGGGTAGTGGGGGTGGACCCTTGGACATGTGGATGAGTTTGCTGATGGGCTGACCATGGGAACAAGAGGGAGAACCCAGGTTGGGGGCCTGGGCAGCCAGGTGGCTGAGGTTGCCATCGCTGTAGCAGGGAAACTGCAGGTTTGTGGTGGGGGTAGACAGAGCTCCCTCTGAGCATGAGGCCCCACCCAGAGTAAAAGAAGGACTCCCAGTCCACACACCCCTGCCTCAAGCACAGATCAGTGAAGGGATTCTGTGGACAGGTGGCCCTGGAAGCTGTGATCTGCAGGGGCGAGGTGCCTGCTGTCTACCTGGTGAAAGTCCTACCAATGCAGCTCTTGAGGCTGCCCAGTCTCACACCCCAGGGAGCAAACTTGGCACCTGTTCTTTGCCCTACCCTGAACATCCGCTGGGCTCCCGGGGTTGGTCCCGATGTTCATTTGGAATCTCAGGGGTGATGGGTGGGGAAGGTGGAAAAACGCTGTACCTCTTTCCCACCCATCCCTGTCCCCCGTCAGCCAAACAGGGCTGAGGACTCGCGATCATTCTTCCTCTGCGCCCCTGTCCCCATACCTCTCAGAGACAGCGTGACTTGTGGCCTCTGCAGCCAGGAACGTGCTCTGGTCCCGTCATCTCACACTGCCCCATCCCCCTCATAGTCACTTGGTTTTCTGCACGTAAGTTCCCTTTTCATAGATGGAGGAACTGAGGTTCCGAGAGGTGGGGCAGGCTCCCAAGTTCACACTCAGGTTAAGTGGCAGGGGCGGGATTCACACTCAGGTCCATCTGATTCCAAAGCTCTTAAGCCCTGAGCATTATAGCTGCTGGCTTAGGTCGGCTCCCAGAAGCTGACCCAAGACAAGGTTTTGGGTGCAAGTGGGATATTTGGGAGGTGATTCTAGAAACACTGGGAAGGAGTGAGGAAGTGACACAAGGAAGGTAGATGAGCAGGTCTCCTCAGTGGGCAACAGGAGCCCAACCCCCTAGAGGCCTCTGGGACAACTCGCAGAAAGTACCTTCCCACTGTCCCCTGAGCCAGAAGCAAGGAAGCTGAGTGGGGGGACAAACAGACCCCACCTCTACTGGCAGGGGTCTCTCACTTGCTTCCCACACTCTTGTGGCCAGAGGAAGCCCTTGGGCAAGAGATTCAGGATAGCAGCTGCAAGGGCGACCTCCCAGGTGGGCACCAACAGCTTCTGAGCCCCCCAACTTCCAGGACAGCACTCACCCCAGAGAACAGGATGATGTTCAGTAGGATGTGACTGTGCTGCGTGACCTTGGCAAGTAGCTTCATCTCTCAGAGCCTCAGTTTTCTACTCTGAAGAAAGGAATCATTAAAAAAAAACAAAAAAAAAACTGTTTCACAAGGGTTGCCGGGGATTCGATGGGACATGAGGTAAAGGTCTGAGAATCACACGTGGCACATAGGAGGTGCGTTTTATGTATTTGTGGTTAAATGAGAGCATGCCTGGTGCATAGAAGCCACTCCACTATAACAGCTATTATCATTATTATTATAGTTTTGTTGTTGTTGTTGTTTAGGACCTCTCCAAGACTGCGCAAGCCTAGGTCTGCTCTGTGGGGACAAGATGGTGGCTGGACAACCTCCCCAGTTTCCTGGGTCCCACAGCCTCTTGCTTAAGGCTGCCTGAACTTTGGGGAAACAGAGGAGGAGGAGAAGGAGGAGGAAGGGGCGGAGGCTTAGGCCAGGCCTGCTAGAGGTAACCGCGGGCAGTGACCCCGCCTGAGAGGCCCCCATTCACCCGTCCACCCATCGCCAGAGCTGCCTGCCCATTCCACACAGGGGACGCCTCGTCTTGCACAACACAGGAAGGAGGAGGCCTGGGTGGCGGTGGGTGACGCCGGGACCCCGTGTCCACCCGGCTGCAGACAGGATGGGCAAGGGAGGCCCCGCCAGGCTTCCTGTGTGCCGAGCACACTGGGCAGAAAGGAGAAGTGGGGTCCAAGGTCACTGGGAGCTCTGGGCAGCACCTTCCCCTCCCTGGCCCAACTGTTCCGCCTGTTCTCCCTGACTCAGGCACCCAGGGTTCAAACCCCACCAGCTCGGCCATGTACCAGCTGCATGACTCTGGAACACGCAGCTCTCAGGGCCTCTGTGTCAGTCACTGCCAGGGTGCGGGGAAGCCCTCTGGGGGCTTGTCATCATCATCCCCATTTCACAGATAAGGAAACCAAGGCCATGGGGTATTTTCTCTCTCTCTTTTTCTCCTTTTTTTTTTTTTAAGACAGATGGGGGGTCTTGCCCTGTTGCCCAGGCTGGAGTGGAGTGGCACAGTCATAGCCCACTTCAGCCTCAATCTCCTGGGCTCAAGCAATTCTCCCACCTCAGCCTCTCAAGTAACTGGGACTACAGGCGTGCACCACTACACTCAGCTAGTTCTTTTTTTTTCCCCTCTAGAGATGGGTTCTCACTCTGTTGCCCAGCCTGGTCTGGAACTCCCGGCCTCAAGCGATCCTCCCACCTCGGCCCACCATCATAAGGTATTTTCAAACAGCATTTGTTATACTTGAAGATTTAGAGGTACAACAGGGGAGTGCAGACCTGAGGACCTACTGGGTGCCGCAGACACACCTATGAGGCCAGCGTGGCCCCTATCCTCCATCCTGGGTCCACAGCAGGCATCACTAATCAATAATGAGTCTCCTTCCTAGTATCATAGATGCAGCCTCAGAGCCCTGCTCAACACAGCTCTTCGGCCACAGTCTCCATCCGAGCACCCAAGGCCTGAGTCAGTGGGGAAGGTAGATCTGCCTGCTCCATCCAACAACAAACTGGACCAGAGGAAAAATCTGCCCAAGAGCGAGGCTGCCCTCTGGCAAGCTACCTTGGGGTACTTCCCTCGAACTTGTCTCCCCCAGCTGGCTGGGAGTCTCAGGCTCGCTTCCTTGGATGCAAACTTGATCTGGAAAAGGCAGCTCAGAGGAAGCATCTGCCGGCTCCCAGGCAGCCAGCAGGGCTGGAGCAGGGGGTGCTGGAGCAGAGGCAGAATTAGGAGATCAGCAGGGCCCAGGCAGACCTGGGGCAGGAGGTGGTGGGAAACAGTGACAGAGGAACTGGAGCTGGGCCTGTTCCTGGAGAGGAAGGGTCCAGGACAGGGCAGGGAACCAGCTGGGACTCGGAGAGGCCAGATTGCCAGCAGGTTGTGGGCCCCACCGGCAGTGCCAGGGAAAGTCCAGTGACCCAGAGTGCCCGGGGCCGGGGGGGATTGTGTAAAAGGAAAAATGAAACTGAATGCAGAGCCCTGGGCCTCCCGCCAGGCCTGGCCATCTCTCCCCACATTCACTGGCATCGCCCCCGTCCAAGTTGCCATCCTCGCTCGCCTGGACATCTGCGGCCATCTCCGGCTGGGTGTCCCTGCTTCACACAGCCAGAGGGATCTGAAATGGGATCCCGCCCAAGTCTCTTCCCTGCTTTGACCCTCCAGTGACTGCCCATCCCATTGGAGATGTGATTCAGAGCCCACCCCTGGCCCCGAGCCCTGGATGTATGGCCCCAGCCTGGTCTCCACCACCCTCTCCTGCTTCTCTCCCCTACATTCATGCCCCGCCAGCAACACTATTTCCTTCCTGTCCCTTAAATCTATCAACCTCATTCCCCACTCCGGGCCTATGCCTTTGCTGTGCTGCCTGTGACACCTTCCCCCATATTTTCCTTTGGTGGCTGCATCTCAGTGAGGTCTCAATAAATACCCTCCCTCCAGAACCCCCAACCCCAACCTACCCCAGACTCCTTCCCTGTCACCCTCCACCATATGCCTCTGGCATGTGTTTGTAGTATCTGTGTCTGGAAGTGTCTGCTTATTTGTTTACTTGTCTTTCTCACCAGAACATCAGCTCCACGAGGGTAAGGGTAATGTCCACCCTGGTCACTGCTGTATCCCCAATGCCTGGCACAGTACTGGACACAAAGTAGGTGCTCAATAAATATTTGTTGAAAGAGACTGAGAGGAAGCTGCTTAAATCAGCTAGAAGATTCTCACTGAGACCTTCCAAGTCCCCACGTGCCATCCCTCCCTGGGGATGACAGGCTGTTCCCCACCATATGTCAGTCTCTGAGTGGTGCACGGTGTTGGAGAGAATTCTGGTTGCAGCAGGAAAGATGATCAATTAGTGATGTCTGCCACAAACCAGGAAAGGCAGGGCAGCTCCAAAGAGATGTGGGCTCCAAAGGTGACGGGGGCATTTTTGTCTTGTTTGTTCATTGCTCCACAGTACCAGGACAATGCCTGAAATCTAATAGGTGCTCAATAAATATTTGTGGAATGTCATATACATGGGTTCCTTATCTAATTGGCTACTCCTTTCAGGGAGAAAAACACTTTTAGCTTATTCAACCAACAACTGCTGGCTAGCCATTCAGTGAGGACCCACTGTGTGCTAATCTGAGAACATTCCAGAGAGACTGATCCTCCATTTACAGAATAGGAAGCCAAGGTCTTCTTGGGACTTGATGGAGGTCACCAGCTGGGTTCAGCTGACCCCAGAGTTCTGTAAGAACCCAGACTCGAGGCCTGGGGTGGGAGGGTGAGGCCTCCCCAGACTCCTGCTCCCCACCCCTGGGCATCCCCAGCCCCCTCCCTAGGGCACGGAGGGGTGAGGACAGGCGGCTGCTGCTTCCCTTTTGGGGCATGTCACAGGGCTGTGGTTAAACGGAAGCAGGGCCCCTGCCCATCCCGAATGCAGGCCCCCGAGGGCCCCACCCTCCCCATTCCCTGCCCAGACTCTTCCCAGCTGACCAGGGGCATCAGTTCCCCGTTCCTCTTTTCTCTGAGCAGAAGGAAGTGGGTGGGGCCATGAGAACATCTCACAGACTCAGTTTCCCCATCTGACAAGTGGGTTCAACCCCTGGCACCTGCAGGTGTTGGTCTGTGGGTGGGGGTTCAGTGAGATAAATCATGAAAGACGAAGAGACAGTGATTGTTATACCCAGACCAGGAAGGCAGAGGTGGGCGGAAGTGCCAGGTGACCCTGTCTCCTATCCCACTGAGGATCGAGTCCAGATGACCACCCCTGGCCCCAAGCCCTGGAGTATTCAGGAAGAAGCTGGTGCTGCTGGCTCAGATCCTCCCAAGAACCCCTCTGCCTTTGGCATAGAGACTGGGCTGCTTTCACTGGGAGCCTGTCCAGCCCCCACCTCACCTTCCTCTCCACATCTGCCCCTCACTGCGAACTGTCCGCCACGTGGAGCTGCGAGCCTATTAGCCTCTCCTACTCTGCTCCATTTCACAGCAGGGCCCTTGCATGTGCTGTGTCCACTTGCTGGAATATTCGTTCCTCCCTTTCTCATCTGCCTGGCCTCTACTCACCCTTCAGTTCCCAGCTCAGCTTCTAGGAAGCTTTCCCGAACACCCTAACCACATCAACCTCCTTCCCCCTTTACTGACCCTCAGATCACCTTGTACTTGTCACAGCCACAAATTGACATTTTGAAGGGTGTTCATGTCCCCCACCGGCCTGGGAGCTTCTTGTAGGCAGGGATCATTGTCACCCCCAGCTCAGTGGGTGCTTCATTGTGTGTTGAATGAATGAATGAATGAATGAATGTTGAAGAATGAACGAAGGGGACAGGCAAGTCACTTCCCCCAGACAACCTCACCAGACACATCCTGCTCGAGCCTTTGGGTCCTGCCCTGCCCAGACTCCCTTCTCCAGGCTGGCTGTTTCTGCCACGACATTTCTGGTCCTCAAAATGCCCCCTCCCTCATCTCTCGCCTCACTTTCCCAGATGGAGACCAAAGGGACAGACCTCGATCGTGGGCTTTCAAACTGGGTTCCACTGAGCCTGGTGGTATTCTAAGGACAGACCCTCGGGTCACCTGGAGAAGTGGTAAAGGTGGGGGGCCCCCACTCCTTATACCTACCAGGACAGCATCCCCTTGATCTTTTTTGTATTCAGGGCGGCCACCGCGCAGGCGCTTTAACTAACGAGAATTCACCTGCACACACTCAGCAAAAAGAACAAATACAGCCTTGGAGAGAGAAGAGCCAATTGCCAGGTGGCTGTATCGGGAGAGCGAGATGTGGGCTGGTGGATCCCCCCAGGCCGAGTCTGCTGGGTGCGATTCCAGCTTTAACGCAGACCTGTTGCTACGATGTGGTCCTTGAACGCAGGCCACAGGGTGGCCCCATGAGACCCAGCTGAAGCGGCCATGGGATTACGCAGGCGGAATCTATGGAGAGACCGTACATCCGCCTCGGTTGGAGGGGCCACGTCCTTCCTGCGGAATCCCCAAGGGGAAGTTGGCCGTGGTGGATTGCCACCTTGCCAGACAGCTCGGGTGCTTGCGCCTGAGTGAGGCAGGCCATCGCTTGGGGTCCTCTGTTTGAACAATAGGCACCACAGCTCAGGAAAAGGGGAAACAAAAACAATAACCATCGGACAAGATACCCCCAAAGGGAACACCGAGCATGGACCAAAAGTTCCTAAATTCCATTCCTTGCAACTGTCTCCTTCCAGACTCCTGGAGGTTCTGTGATACGGAAAGAAGGTTCCAGGCTCCAGTGCCCATTGCTCTGGGCATGATGGAGGCTCGGAGCTGCTCTCCCCACCACTGGGACACCCACCGTCATCCAGGCAGTGATCCTGGAAGAGGAAAGGTGGTGACCTCAGCCCAGGGGTCACCTTGGGACCCAGACACCATCCCTATGGACTGCATCTGTGGGAGGACCCACGGAGCCCGGCGCCAGCTGCTGCGTTCTGCGCACTGCCCTGTGCTGGCCCCATGCTGAATAAGACACAGTCCCCACTTGCCGAAGCTGACCTTTGGCAGGTGTGGTAGGGGTGGGCAGGGCTACTTTCAGGGATGGTCTGGGAGGCCTCTCTGAGGTGCACAGGCCCGAGTGAGGGGATGGGGCTGATCATGGAAAGATCCAGAAAAAGAGCACCCAGGAGAGGTGGGGCAAAGCTCTATGTGTTCTAGCAGGAGGAGGGAGGTCACTGCGGGCAGGGAAGAGGGGAGGGGAGGTGGGGAGGGGGAAGGCCATGCAGGGCTGTCCTTGGGACCAGAGCAGGGACTGTCTTTCTCTCTGAGGGAGGTAGGAGTAGGGTTTGGAGTGAGGCAATGGTGTGACCTGACTTGGGTTCCAACAGGAGCCCTCTGGCTGAGTGTGGAGGGCTGTGTGGGGTGGGTGGGGAGTCCAGGGCGGAGATTCTGCCCAGGCAGGCGAGCAATGACCAGACAGAGGAGGGAAGACTTGTCGAGTTCTGGATTCAGTCCACAGGCAGAGCCGATGGAATTTGCTGAGGATTGAATGTTGGGGTTAGAGAGAGAGGAGTTAAGGACAACTCTGGGGTCTGAGGCCTGGCCCACTGGGTGGGTGGCAGTGCTGTCTTCTCAGCTGGGAAAGACATCCATGTCTCCCAGTGGGGTGCGCCCCTGGGACACCCATGGACAGACTGACAGAGCCCGCATAAAGGCACGAGGGACCCCGCACAGCTGAGCTCACGGGGCAAGGGTCAGATGAAGGCAGGAGAGGGGTCGTTTTCAAGGCCCAAGGAGGAACGGGCAGGGAAGTAAGAGGAGAACCAGCGAGACCAGCAAGCCGCCATCAAGAGGCTGGGGAAGACTGTGCTCAAGGAGGGGGCAGTTACCCAGGGGGCAGACGCTGCCAAGAGGACCAGCCAGAGAAGGCCGAGCAAACCCAGGCCCACTGTGCCACTTAGGCCGTCAGTGAGACTCCAGCTGGTGGCCAGCCCAGCCGTGCCCCCATCACCTTCGGAGCCCACATCTCTTTGGAGCAGCCAGACAGGCTGAACCCTAATTGGCCTGAGTCAGCCACGGGAATTCCTTTCTGGTTCAAATGTGGACATGTGAGCCCATCATTCCATGAGACACCAGGGGACATCCACTGGGACATGTAAGAAAAATTGTTGGCTGGGCACGGTGGCTCACGCCTGTAATCCTAGCACTTTTGGGAGGCTGAGGTGGGTGGATCACCTGAAGTCAGGAGTTTGAGACCAGCCTGGCCAACATGGTGAAAATTCATCTCTACTAAAAATACAAAAAATTAGCTGGGAGTGGTGGCCCACGCCTGTAATCCCAGCTATGTGGGAGGCTGAGGTAGGAGAATCGCTTGAACCCAGGAGGCGGAGGTTGCAGTAAGCCGAGATCGTGCCATTGCACTCCAGCCTGGGCAACAGAGCAAGACTCTGTCTCAAAAAAAAAAAAAAAAAAAAAAGTGAGATCCTGGAGGAGAAAGTCCCCTTTTCTGTTCATCTCTTCCTAGTTAGGATGTGATCATGTGGGACGTGATGTCTTGAGCCACAGCAGGCACTGGGGCCCATGAAGAAAGAGAAGTGAAGAGATGCCTACCTAGAGCGCAGGGAGCCTGCCCTGGAACACTGGAATGGCCCCACGTTAGACTTCATGTTATAAGATTTAATTAATATTTTTACTGTTGCAGTCATAGAAGATGGCCTAATTGGGGCAAGAGGAAACATAGGAATGAACCTGAGACAGGGGAGAAAATGGAGAGAGGAGGGATGAGAGCTGGAAGGGGGTCAGAAACACCCAAGCACGGGGTTCAGATGCACAGCAGGCTCCCTAAGTGTGAGTTGCTGTTTCTGCAAACAGGAGTTGTTCCCTGAGCACCTACTCTCTACCAGGTACATTTCCAAGCCCTGGGTGTCCATCAAGTCCTTTAATCCTCCCAGCAGTGCCAGGGAGGCTTCATCTGCTCCCCACATCTCTGCTTCCCCCGCCCCATGTTCAGATTCTAAAAAACCAAAAGGGCTCCCTCTAATTCATCTCGCCCCCAGAGAGCACTGACTCCCCACGGTGTCCCACTGAGCCCCACTGAGTCCAGTCCACCTCAACTTTCCTGCCTCTGGGAACAGGGTACCCACCCTCTGAGGGCCCCACTTCCCAAAGTTCTTTGTCCTGGCACAGCAGGTGCTGAGTAGCTCCCTGGACCTCTGTTTCCGCATCTGTAAAAAGCCACTAATCCTAATTGCACCTCCTAGGCTGATTGTGATGACCCAGGAAGGACCCTTGACCCAGTGTCTGGCCTGTAGTAGGGCTCGGTAAGCGTGAAATCTGATTATTGCCCATTATATTTATGGTTATACACAGGGCTGGCCCTGCCTCCTGCTGGAGCCGTGGGTCTGTCCAGGTTGAGAAGCTGAGGTGCTTGGAGCGTCCCCAGATCCCAAACAGGGAGCTGGAGTAGGAGGCGGGAGCATGAAGTCTCCTGGGCCCCGCCCGCCACCTCGCCCTGCCGCCCCTGCTCAGCAGCCGCCCCGCCCTGCCACCTTGGTCTCTGAGAACCCATTGTTCCTACCTGGCTCTGCTCCAGGGTCCTGGCCTTGCCACTTTCCTCTAGGATCCCCCGCCACCCCCGGGGCTTGGGCCTCCCCGCGGGGTCCTAAATTGGGTGCCAGATGTGGCAGCTGTCCAGCAATGGGAACAGGAGCTGGAACCCCAGCTCTGCCACATCCCAGCTGTGTGACCTTGGGCGCTTCCCCTCTCTGAGCCTCAGCTTCCTTGTTGGTTAAATGGGATGACGGGACCTCACAGGGCTGTCATGAGGGTTTCGTGAGCCCAGGATGGCAGAGTGCCCAGCATGTGGTAGGGCTCGGGAACATTCATCCTAATTTCTCTGCTCCTCACGGGCCTAGAGGAAGAGCCAGGAACATCAGAGGCAGTGGCCAGAGTGGGTAGAGCACTGGAAGGGGAGTCTAAGGCCAGGGTCCCGGCTCCAACCCTGCTGTGTGACCTCGGGCAGGCTGTGGGTATCTCTGGGCCCCAGAATGAGGGAAAGAAGTAGCTGGGATCCTCCTTCCTCCCCAGGAAGCAAAGCAGAGGGGTGGTGCCAAGTTTTCTTTTCATTTTTTTTATTTTCAGCACAAAGGGCTCAAATGGAAAGCAGCTGCAGAGACAGAGAATCCGATTGTGAAGGCACCCGAGACTCCAGGCAGGCGGAAGAGGCAGCGTCTTGGGTGCTGGGCTGGGTAACAGAGGCCAGGGTATTGACCAGAAACTCCAACAAGCAGGGGACAGCTTGGGGGGTGGGGGGTTGTCTCCCACCCCTTCTTCAGGGTGCTGGCCTAGGAGACAGGGACCCCGCCTCGGGCATCTCCTGCTTAACCTCAGTTTCTGTGTCCAGACATGGGCAGGCCATCCTGACTCTCTTAGCCTTGGTTTCCATCTCCAAAATGTGTCCAGTAGTGGCACCTTCCTTCTAGGGAGGGGTTGTGTGGTTAAGGTCTCGGGGCGGGCTCCTCAGTCAAACAGGCTTGGCTTTGATCCTGCCTCTGCCTCTCACTAACTGTGTGACCTGGAGTAAGCCACCTCCCCTCCCTGTGCCTTGATTTTCCCATCTGTGAAATGGAAACAATAATAGAACTAATCTGCTGGGGAGATGAACTGAGAAGACTCAGCCTGGTGCCTGGAGCAGAGTAAAGACTAATGATTATTGTTGTCTTTCTTTTTGGAGGCAGAGTCTCACTGTGTTGCCCAGCCTGGAGTGCAGTGGCAGTGGCGCGATCTCGGCTCACTACAAGCTCCACCTCCCAGGTTCAATCATTGACCCTCCAGCCTCAGCCTCCCGAGAAGCTAGGACTATAGGCTCACACCACCAGGCCCAGCTAATTTTTTGTATTTTTAGTAGAGACCAGGTTTCACCATGTTGACCAGGCTGGTCTTGAACTCCTGGCCTGAAGTGATCTGCCTGCCTTAGCCTCCCAAATTGCTGGGATTCCAGGTGTGAGTCACCGCGTCCAGGCATCTTTCTTATTATTATTATCCCAGGAGCTCCACCTGCTAAGGCCCCAGCCTCAGAAAGCCTCCCTTCCCCTGAGTGCTGGTTCATCTCAACAATTTCCTCACATATTTCTTGAGCAGCAACTATACCGGTCTTGGCAAAGCCAAGGTTCTATCTAGGAGAAGAAAGACATTAAATGAAGGACCCGTGTGTGAAGGGCTTGGTGAGTAGCAGGGGCTCATTGACACTGTTCACCAGCACCTGCCCCCTCAGCTGCTCTGTGCTGGACTCTTTCTGGGCTCTGGGGACACAGTCTTCAGGGGAGTCCCAATCAGAGGGTCTGGGTGGAGGTGAGAAGCTGGTGTGTGGATGAGGCAGTTTCTCACACTGTGGCAAGGTCTGTGATGGAGGAAGTCCAGGTGACTTTGGGAGCTAGAGGTCAGGATGGGCTTCCTGGAGGAAGTGGTTAGGAATGAAAATAACATCTATTCAGCATTATTATTATGATGTGTCAGGCACTGTTCTCTCCTCAACACCCCGCTCCAGAAGGTTTTCTTCTCACACACCCATTCTACAGGTGAGTCTGGGATCAAAGAGGCCCAGTAGGGTGTCAGAGGTCACGTAGCCAAGACATGGCAGAGCTGAGATGAAACCCCGCAGTGGGACACTGCCCCACTTGCCCCCCGACAGCGCTCTCCAGCCTCCAGGCCTTTGCTCCAGCTCTTCCTTCTGCCCAGACATTCCAGACCCTGCACCGTCTCATATCCACTCTGCTGGAGGAATGAAGAGAACAGCCCTTGGAGGCCGCAAAGTGTCCTCAAGCCTCAGTTTTCCCATCTATGAAATGGGGATAGCATGGGGCTTTCCTCTCGGGCTGCAGAAAGGATCGAGAAAAGGCTTATTATTCACCTAGGGCCTAGCCCTTGGGAACCAGTCCGGAAGGACAGCTGTTATTATTGCTAATGCTGTTCCTATCACAGTGACAGCGTGTCCCGTTAGGCCTGCAAACCCCTATACCTCAGTTTTTCCTGTAATGAAACCTGCCTGCTGAGGCCTCGGTGAGGGCTCATTTAATGATAATCTTTAGGGAAAAAAAATACACCCCCCAAGCCGCCTGTGTGGCTGCAGCCCACAGGGGTAACCTGACGCCCCTCGCCTGACCTGGCCCCCAGGTCTTTGTGTGAGTCCTGCCCAGATTACTGTATTTGTCCAAACCCAAAGCCAAGGCTGGCATGAGCTCAATGCTCTGCATTGTGCCAGAGCCAGGCCCCCCAGGCCTCATCCCTCCTCCCGCTGGGGATCCGGCCCCCAGGAGGTGTCACAGGGGAAATCGGAAACCCAGCAGGGCCCACTGGGGTGGCCTCCTGGGTGCCAGGCCCTAGGCTTACGCTCCTTGCGTGTTGCCTCATCAATCCTTCATGACCTCACTGTGCAGAAAGGCACATGCTGTGCCCATTTTCCAGATGGAGAGAATGAGGCCCGGGTAGCCAAATTGTTGCTACAGTTCATGCCGGTGGAAGTGGCAGAGCTCAGGTCAGGCTGAAGGAGGACCTGTCCCCAGAAGAGGAACCTGGGAACCCTGGATCTTCAGCTGGAGCCAGGCATCTTGGGGAGCAGAGATGAAGGAAAGCCGAACCATGTGGCAGGGGGCACCATGGCTAAGGATTCCGCCCTGAGTTCAAGTCCAGCTCTGCCACACGCCCTGCACAGAAACCTACTCCTCTCTGAACTTTGCTTTCCTGAACGAAAAAAATGGGGGAGCAGCTGAGCACGGCAGCTCACGCCTGTAATCCCAGCACTTTGGGAGGCCGAGGTGGGAAGATCACTTGAGGTCAGGAGTTTGAGACCAGCCTGACCAACATGGTGAAACGCTGTCTCTGCTAAAAAGACAAAATTAGCCAGGCGTGGTGGTGGGCACCTGTAATCGTAGCTACTCAGGAGGCTGAGGCAGGAGAATCACTTGAACCTGGGAGGCGGAGGTTGCAGCGAACCCAGATCGCGACACTGCACTCCAGCATGGGCAACAGAGCGGGACTCCATCTAAAAAATAAGTAAATAAATAAAAAGTAACAATAACAATAAATAAATAAGGGAACAATAGCTTTTCCTCAGGGGCTGGGAGAGGACTCAGGCCATAAGGTAGGTGAAACACTTAGCAGGTAGTAAGTGCTCAATCTACAGGAGCTTAAAAACCCAACCGCATCCTCCATGGGGAAGAATCTGTCTCCTGCCTGCGGGTCTGAGATTCCAAAACACTGAGGAAATTTGGCTCCAATGGGACCTGGTATTTGGGGAGGGAGTTAAAAAGGAGGGGTGGGGAGCAGTTTTTGGAGATCACTCTCTCCTAGGAGTTCCCTCCCCTCTTCCCAACTTCAGTTTCTCCATCTGACCAGGCTCCTGCCCAGCCCCTCCTAGAGAGACTAGTTTCGGGGCTGATTTTGTTGTTTGCTGTTTTTTTCACATCTGCACATACAATCACTCAGTCTAGTGTGTCTCACATGCCCGCATGGAGCCACTGTGTGTGCACTGTTGTGGTTTTTCATTTTTACTTTTCTGCAAAAGCCTTCTTTTTTTCCCTTGGTGACCATTGAGAATGGATTCTTACCTATTTTTCTGTAAGAATGAAAATCCCATACAGACTGTCTGCCCGGACAAAGGGTTTCTTTATCTGTCATTCCTTTTACAAATCAGAATCACATTGGGCATCCTTTTCTGCATCTTGTATTTTTCACTCAAGAATACCCACACAAGGCCAGGAGCGGTGGCCCATACCTGTAATCCCAGCATTTTGGGAGGCTGAGGTGGGCGGATCACTTGTGGCCAGAAGCTTGAGACCAGCCTGGCCAACATGGTGAAACCCAGTCCTCTACCAAAAATACAAAAATTAGCTGGGCATGGTGTCGCACGTCTGTAATCCCAGCTATTCAGGAGGCTGAGGCACAGGAATCGCTTGAACCCGGGAGGCAGAGGTTGCAGTGAGCCGAGATCATGCCACTGCACTCCAGCCTGGGTGACAGAGCGAGACAGTCTCTCAAAAAAAAAAAAAAAAAAATATATATATATATACACACACATACACACACACACACACACACACACACACGAAACAAGCCCTTGTATACCAATTACCATAGCAGCACTAGTCACAGTAGCCAAAAGGTGGAAACAACCCAACTGTCCATCAGTCGATGAATAGATATGCAAAATGTGATCTAGCCATACAACAGTATTTGATCATTTTTTAAAAATGAAGTACTGGTGGGGCGCAGTGGCTCACGCCCGTAATCCCAGTACTTTGGGAGGTCAGGGCAGGTGATCACCCGAGGTCAGGAGTTCGAGACCAGCCTGGCCAACATGGTGAAACCCCGTCTCTACTAAAAATACAAAAATTAGCTAGACGTGGTGGCACATGCCTGTAATCCCAGCTACTCGGGAGGCTGAGGCAGGAGAATCACTTGAACCCGGGAGATGGAGGTTGCAGTGAGCTGAGATCATCCCACTGCACTCCAGCCTGGGCGACAGAGTGAGACTCCATCTCAAAAAAATTAAAATTAAAAATTAAAAAAAAATGAAGTACTGATGCATGCCACAACGTGGAAGAACCTCAAAAACATTAGGCTAATTGAAAGAAGTTAGACACAAAAGGTCATATATTGTATGATACTGTTTATATGAAGTCTCCAGTATAGATAAACCCATAGAGACAGAAAGAAGACTGACGGTTGCCAGGAACTGGGGGGAGGCAGGAATGAGGAGTGACTGTTTAATGGGTACATGGTCTCCTTTGGGTGATTGAAAATGTTTTGGGGCCTAGCACAGTGACTCATGCCTGTAATCCCAGCACTTTGGGAGGCCGAGGCAGGCAGATCACTTGAGCCCAGGAGTTTGAGACCAGCCTGGGCAGCATGACAAAACCGCACCTCTACAAAAAATACAAAAAATTAGCTGGGCGTGGCAGCATGTGCATTTAGTCCCAGCTATCTAGGAGGCTGAGGTGGGAGGATCACCTGAGCCTGGGGAGGTTGAGGCTGCCCTAAGCTGAGATCACACCACTGTACTCCAGCCTGGGCAACAGAATGAGACTGGAAAATAAAAAAGAAGGGAAGGGAAGGGGAGGAGAGGAGAGATGAGGGGAGGGGAGGGGAGGGGAGGGGAGGGGAGGGGACAAAATGTTTTGGAACTAGATAGAGGTGATGGTTGTACTACATTATGAATGAACTAAATGCCACTGAATTGTTCACTTTAAAATGGCCAATGGTTCATTTAAATGGTTACTTTTATGTTATGTGAATTTTTCCTCAATTTAAAAACATACACATGTATCTTCCACCTCCTGTTTAAAACAAGGGTGGAATATTACATACACTAATTTCCCTTGAATTTTTTCATTAAAAATAAAATCTAGAGGGAAAAAAATGCTTGTGTAACAAATAATACTTAAAAGCAAACAAACGAAACAGAAGGGTCCTGGGAGGGCTGCGGGTCATACTTTTCAATGGCCGGGTAACAACACCAGGGTGTGGCCAGGCCTAAGCAGCATCACCCATCTCCCCGAAATCATGAGTGACGAGTTCTCATTTTGGCTTTTTTTCCTCTAGACACGTGTAGGCACTAGACACTTTACACACAAGAGTTTACTCAGCTCTTAAGGAGAGAAAGTGAGGCAGTGAATGAGCCAGAACTTGAACCCAAGCCCATCTGACCCCACAGCCACACAGGCCTCGCTCACTCCTTCCTTAGGACACAGTAAGGAAGAGGAGAAACAATGGCACCTGCCCGTGGGGAACTGACATTCTAGTCTGGGAGACAGACGAAAAACAAAATGAATCCATAAACTCTATGGCCTATTCCCAGAGGCTGGGGTTCTAGGGAGAAATAAAGGAGGGAAGCAGGGGAAAGATGGTGGGGAGTCTGCAATTTTAAGAAGCGCTGTCAGGGAAGGCCTCGCTAGGAAGGTGATGTCTGGGCTTGAAGGAGGTGAGGGAGTGAACAGGTGGCTTTCATCCATTTGGTGGGACAACAAGCACGAAGACCTGGGGGCAGGGAGCTGCTGGGAGCTGGGGGCTGCTGGGACATGAAGGGGAAGAGGCCAGGCCAGGCCACAGAGGGCGTGGAGGCCGGCTGAGGGGCTGGGGCTTTATTCAGAGAGTAACGGGGAGCCATGGAAGGGTTTGGAGCACGGCCGTTGGAGGTCAGATTTAGATTATGAAAAGCTCCCTCTGGCTTCCCCAGGAGAAGGTGGCAATGGAGCTGGGGTGGGGGAGGTGAGTGTGTCAACAGTGGCTCAGGCAGGTGTTGGCACAGAAGCAGAGAGAAGTTGTCTGATGCTGGGCAGCTGGGGTAGGGGGCGGAGAGAGGACTTGGCCACCTCCCCACCACCTAGTCACCCCTGAATTTAGTCCCCCTTGGAGGAGGCCAGGCCCCAACCGCCCCAAAGAAAGTGCTAAGAGGGGAAGCCAAGCTCTGCTGACTCATGGGCCTGGACCTCTCAACTTCCCTCCTGGGGAGCCTTAAGCCCAGAAGATGGGGTGGGGAGCCCTGTGGGGACTGAGAGCAAATAAATAATTATAACTGTGGTAAGGGATAGAAAGTGGTTAACAAGGTGACCTGACTTGGGGGGGTGTCATCAGGGAGGGCTTCCTGGAAGAGGGGATGTTTGAGCCCAAATCAGAAGAATAAGAAGGCCCCAGTTTAACCAGGTCAAAGATAGAAGGAAGAGCATCCCAGACAGAAGGAACAGCCCCTGCAAAGGCCCTGTGGCTGGAGGCAGCCTAATGAGTTCAAGTTTCTGAAAGGAGGCCTGGCTGGGCAGAAAGAGACCACTGTGTGCTGAGCCCAGGACAGACAGCGGCCATGCCCCAGCCAGGGAACATGCCCAGCCCAGGTCAGCACATGGTCAGCTCCTGGCAAGGCCTGCTTCTGCTGCCATGGAGGTTTTGTTGGTGAGGTTCCCCACCCATAAACTTCTCCAAGCTTCACCACGAGCCAGTGAAATAATAAATGTACTTAGCATAGAAATCAAGGAAGTACCAGAAATTGTTATTCTCTTTGGCTAGACAAGGAAATCAGAGCTCAGAGAGCAGAAAGGTTCGCAACTTTTCGAGTCATGCCACAAGTAAGAAGGTCAAGAAGAGCTTCCACGCCCAGCACCAGCCCCTCACAGGACTGGCCATGGGCTAGCCTTTGTGACAATTGGATAGGGCCCCTGGGTGGGGCAGATGGAGGACAGAGAGGCAGAAAAACGCTCCACAGCAGAAGCTGGCTGGGTGCCCATGGAGGCAGGGACAGAAGATGACAGCAAGGAGGAGAGACACACGGATGACCGAGACAGAGAAACGAGAGATACAGAGAGGGACAGTGGGGAGAAAGGAAGAGAAAAAACAGTGGAAAGAGAGAGAGGAAAGGAGAAGGGGAGAGGATGGGAGGAGACAGGAGAGGAAGAAAGGAGGAGGGGGGCAGGGAAGGAAGCTGTGGGGAGAGGAGAGGAGAGAAGAGGCAGAGAAAAGAGAGAGACAGAAACAGAGACAGACAACACACAGAGAAACAATGAGAAGGAGGTAAACAAGACAGAGACAGAAAGAGACAGTGACAGAGAGAGAAAAAGACAGAGACAGATTCAAAAAGAGAGACACACACACAGCCGACCAGGATGGGGCAGATGGGCCCGCAGCCTTCCAGACTCACCCAGCCTCACTGCCTCCCAGTCTCCAATTCTTCAAGCCTGGGATTCTAAGAACTTTGCAACGTTTTCAAGGTCTGATTTTAAAACGCTGAGGCTCCCTCATTCAGCAAGCACTAATTGAATGCCTACTGCATATTGTGCACCAATACTGTTCCAGGCAGCCAACACTGTTCCAGGCACTGGGGCACCACAGTGCACCCAGATCCAGCCAACCTTTCTAGGGCTGACACCTCAGAACACTGCCCATGGACACGTGATAAAGGGCTTGGAGGCTGGCATCAAGAAGCCCCACTCCTGGGGTTGGAGGGGGTTAGGGAGTACAGGGCAGGCTGCCCAGCTGACCCCAAGAGGAGGGGCAGAGGTCCCTGGGGTGGGAGGGGTGCAGTAGGGTCCAAAAGCTAGAGTAGGAGCCTGTCACGTAGCAGGGAGGCCAGTGTGGCTGGGCAAGGGGGCAGAGGGCAAGGCGGTGAGTGGGAGAGGTGAGCTCAGAGAGGAGATAGGAGCCAACACGCAGGGCCTCGCAGGACCTCACAGGGCCTCTGAGTGGGGTGGGATCCCTGGGAGGGCTCTGAGCAGGGGTGGGACAGGGTCTGAGTTGGTTCTGGCAGGGTCCTCTGGCTGCGTGTGAGGAACAGGCAGGGTGGCCCAGGGCAGAAGCAGGGGCCCCAGGCAGGAGGTGACTGCAATGGCGCAGGCAGGATGATGGGGCTAGACCAGGCAGCATCCAGGAAGGTGGGGGGACAGGAAGGAGCCTGAAGCTCTGGGGACAAGTGAGAAGACTTCAGATGGGCCTAGGGCCCTATTTCTAGGACTCCCATTCTCAAGAGTTCTATGAACCTCTTTTCTGACACAATGAGCCACATCCCACCCTGGCCTCGCTATCGTAAGCTTCAGCAAGCTCAGCTCAGCAAGTTCTCAGTGGCCCCGAAACAAGGCTCCCCACGCTTGGATGCTTCTTTCCACCAAAGGGGCAGAAGATAGAAAAGAGGAGATGAGGGGAGCGAAGGGGAAGAGGCAACAGCACCCTTCTTTGGCAAGACACACACACAGACACAGACACACACACACAGACACACACATCTTACGCACTCACCTTCCAGAAACCCTCAGAATGATGGGGCAGAGGAAAGGCCCTCCCGAGTGAGAAAGGGCCCAGGAGCCCATTGCCTCTTTAGGAAACGTTGGAAGTAAGTGATTCATTCCTGCCAGAAATGAGAAGAAATGGTAAGAATAGCCATCGCCACTCCTGTGTGCCAATGGCATGCCCACCGCTTCCCAGATATTATTTCTATTTTTATGAATTGTCCTTGTGTATCTGATAACAAAATTAAGAGACTCATTGTTTTAAAAAAAATGAGAGAGAGAGAGAAAGCAGAGGAGGGGGAAGAGAATGACAGGGAGGAGAGGAATTCTAACATCACGGAAATACGTAACTCACACCCCTCCACTCACGCTCTGCCCCCAAACACTCCAGGCCCGCACCCGCCTCAGGGCCTTTGCACTGGTTCCCTCTTCGTGGAATGTTCTTATCCTGGAGCCAGCCACACGGCCCCCTCCCTGCTCATAGAGAGGCCTTCCTGACCAAGCAGCTGCCCCCGCCACATCTGTGATTTTTCTTCCCAGCACTTAGTGCTACCTCACATTATAATTGGTTTATGGTCTGTCTGCCACCAGTAGAACATCAGCCCCAGGACAGCAGAGATTTTTGTCTGTTTCGTTCAGTGCTGTTTCCTTGATGTTCCGAACAATTCCTGGCACACAGTCGGTATTCAGTGAGCATTTGAATGAATGAGTGAATGAATGCATGTGTGGATGAAATGGCTCTCTGCTCAGGCAGACCAGGAAGAGGGGTTTTCCGAGGGGAACAACTGGATCCTCCATGTGCCCGGAACACAGTAGGCATTTGTAGAATGGCAGATGGATGGACGAACAGACAGACTGAGTGGGGAAGGATAGGACCATGAGGAAATGAGAGATACCAAAGCAAGAAAACAAAAAGGAAAACAAGAAAACGAAATATCATTAATCCAGGCTTCTGAATGCCTGGCCCGTGCTAAGCCCGCTCCACCTATTAGTTCATTTCTTCTTCCCAACAACCCCATGAAGGAGGTTTTGTTTTAAGCCCTGGTTCCAAATGGGGAAATTGAGGCTGCACAAGAAGCATTTTTTGCCATGTCCCATGGCCAGGAAGGGCAAATCGGGCCTGCGTGCCTCTGAAGCCAGTGCTCCAAGAAGGCTGTGGCTGGTGCACCCAGGCTGTGTGCCAGGCGCAGGGCTGGGCTCACCAGAAGGAACGAGGGCCAGGGGATGCCAGGCTTTCCACATTTGTAAGAGAGGGTGTGTGTTCACATTTTTAGGTGAAATCTCTTGCTTTTCAATGCTGGGAGTCAAATTAAAAGTTTAGAAAACATGATACAGGCCTAAAAAGTACATCTGAGGGCTGCTAGTGTGAGACGTTTGGTCCAGGATTGATATTTATTTCGGGGAACAAGGATATTATTGAGAGTGGGGTAGACAGAGAAGGCTTCCTGGAGGAGGTGGAAGAGGCTGGGCCTTGGGTTTGAGAGGAGGGGACCTTATGTGAGAAGAAGCAGGAGGGGCCTTTGGTTGGGTCACCCAGAGGCCACTCTTGGGGTCAGGGTAGGCCTCCTTCAAGAAGCCCGGGCAGAAGAAGCACAGCAGGTCAGACCAGATTCACACTGGGAACACCTAGGGGGCAGAGCACCAAGGCCGTTCTCGCACCCCCCACTTCCTCCCCTTACACATCCTGTCCCTCCCTCATTGACCCTCCGGGGATCTGAGCTGCCTGGGACATTTTCCCCAGAAGACCCTGCTTCCTTGTGAATTTCCCATGGGGGCTAGCTGGAGGGAGGGACTGACGGTGAGTCAACATGGCAGCTGGACGGACTGGGAACAGCCTAAGAGCTCTTTCATCCACTGGCCATTAGCAACAACACAGCCTCAGGCAGAAAACTTTGAGAATTAAAACACAAATTTATTGGCTCCCAGGGAAATCAGAACATCGAAGCGAAATACTGTGATTATAATACTACGTCAACCAGTCAACCATAAGGTGACCTTTTTCTCTTAGCTGTATATGAATTCTATTTAATGTGAAATATAGATACATTTTAATGTTTGACACGACTGAACCTGGGTTTGAATTCTACTTCACCACTTATTAGAAGAGAAACTTTGGGCAAGATATATAGCTTATCTGTGTCTGCATTTCCTCATCTGTAAAATGGGGATGAACAGAGAACCAGTGTCTAGAGCTGTCATGCAGTCCAAAGGAGATCATGTGTGGTGAGCACTTAGAAAGTACTTGTCAGATAATAAGTGTTCAGGTAGTAATAAATAAGGTTATGAATTTAGTGTTGCACCACTATTTCAAATCATATTATAGGATAGGCATAGTGGCTCACACTTGTAATCCCAGGACTTTGGGAGGCCAAGGCAGAAAGATCACTTGAGGCGAGGAGTTAGAGACCAGCCTGGGCAACATAGTGAGACTCCATCACTACAAAAATATTTTAAAATCAGCCAGATGTGGTAGTGCTTGCCTGTAGTACTAGCTATTCAGGAGGCTGAGGTGGGAGGATTGCTTGAGCCTAGGAGTTGGAGGCTGCGGTGAGCTGTGATCATGCCACTGCACTCCAGCCTGAGTAAGAAAGCAAGACCCTATATTTAAAAAAAAATTAATTGATTAAATTCATCACATATAATGGATTCTGGAGACATCAATATAAACTCATGTTTAGCTAAACATGAATATAACTAGTTACACATGGAAATATTGATAACTGTGTGTTTATACACAGGTTAGTATACACACAGATATTTCTTTGCTCCATCAGCTGAAAAGGGCTAAAAGAAATGATACCCCAGCAGCCATGAGCACACCCGGCACCCAGATCTTGGTTTCTTATACCGTTCTCTAATAAAAAGAACCAGGACTCTTTAGAGAAATGGCTGATTCTAAGACTGCAGCAGGAAATATATAAGTTGAATGTGGAACAACTTGTAGTGCCAGAAAATATGAAAGGACTTCAAGAAAACTACACTGATAGGGGTCTGTGGAAGGGGGCAGGAGCCAGTTGAAAGAGCTCCCAATGGCCAAAGTTAGCAGAATTTGAGCAAGAAAATAAATAAAGCAACCTTGGATTATAACCCAAAGTATAAATAAAGTAAATATCCGTGAGTCTGTACTGATATAAATAAAATATTGAATAAATGGATAGGAATGAAGAGGCAAATCTCTCATGCAGAAAAATTCCAAATAATTTACATAGATGCTCCAGTGGAAAGGAGGGGAGATAACTCCTCACACCTCAGGCGCAGGCTGCACACAGCAGCGTCTTGCCAAAGAGTACAGTGTGGAAAAAGGAAAAAATAGCAACTTGATGGTGGAGAAACTTCACAAATACTACTCAGGCTAGGTGATCAATGTCAACAGCAACAGTTGGAAGTCACATTAACAGTAAGTACACTTGATACGCTGTGATAAAATGACATTTTACCTCTGAGATCTTCTTCCCCCAAACCTATAACCCTAATGTGGTCATACAAAAAAAAAACAAATTCCAATAGAGGGATATCCTACAAAATACCTGACCAGAACTCCTCAAAACCGTCAAGGTCATCAAAAACAAGGGAAGTCTGAGAAATTGTTATGACAAGAGAAGCCTAAAGGGACATGACAATTAAATGTCACGTGATACCCTAGATGGACTCCGGGGACAGAAGAAGGACATTAGGGAAAGATTAAGGCAGTCGGAATAAGCTATGGGACTCTAGCTCACGACAATGTATCAACGCTGGTGCATTAATTATAACATAAAGGTGGAGCGCAGTGGCTCATGCCTGTCATCCCAGTACTTGGGATCCCTTGAAGCCAGGAGTTTGAGACCAGCCTGGACAACATAGCAAGACCCTGTCTTTACAAAAAAAAATACAAAAGTCAGCTGAGCATGGCAGCCCATGCCTATAGTTTCAGCTACTTGGGAGGCTAAAATGGGAAGATTACTCGAGCCCAGGAGCTCAAGGCTACGGTGCGCTATGATTGTGCCACTCCAACCTCAGCAACAGAGGAAGACCCTGCCTCAAAAGACTTAAAATTTAAAAATGGTAACAAACCTACCAAATTAATGTGACACATGAATAATAGGAGAAACTGGTCATAAGGTACAATCTTTTCAGTTATTCTGTACATTTAAAACTTCTCTTAAAAATAAAGTCTATCGGCCGAGCACGGTGGCTCATGCCTGTAATCCCAACACTTTGGGAGGCTGAGGCGGGTGGATCACTTGACGTCAGGAGTTCGAGACCAGCCTGGTCAAAATGGTGAAACCCCATCTCTACTTATAATACAAAAATTAGCCGGGCGCGGTGGCTTGTGCCTGTAATCCCAGCTACTTGGGAGGCTGAGGCAGGAGAACCACTTGAACCTGGGAGGCAGAGGTTGCAGTGAGTTGAGATCACGCCACTGCACTCCAGCCTGGATGACAGAGCTAGACTCCATCCCAAAAGAAAAAATAAATAAATAAACTCTATTTTGGTTGGGGGCAGTGGCTCACGCCTGTAATCCCAACAGTTTGGGAGGCTGAGGCAGGTAGATCACCTGAGATCAGGAGTTTGAGACCAGTCTGGCCAACATGGCAAAACCCCGTCTCTACTAAAAACACAAAAATTAGCCAGGCATGGTGGCACTGCGCCTGTAGTCCTACCTACTCGAGAGGCTGAGGCAGGAGAATTGCTTGAACCCAGGAGGCGGAGGTTACAGTGAGCTAAGATCACACCACCGTACTCCAGCCTGGGAAACAGAGAGAGACTCTGTCTCAAAAAAATAAAAATAAATAAATAAATAAACAATCTATCTTAACAACTGGATTTTTTTTCCAGTGAGTATGTTTTTCCCACACTCTCATAATTCACAGAATGACTTTTTCACACCTGGTTGGAACATCTTCCACATTTGGTCTGTCATTCCGCCAGTCATTCTGTGGGTCCTGATCTCAGGTTTCCAGACCACGATGGTTTCATTGCTGAGTTGATGGGACATGGTCCTTTGTGAAACCCGTTCTGTGGTGGAATTGTGTCTTGACCCAATGAGCCCGTTCTGCTCACACCGGAGTTGTCGTTTGGCTAATTCATCCTGTAGACACCTATTGTTTACGTCAACATCCAGCAATGGCCATTGTAGGGTTAAAGCGTCAGGCTTCATTATTCAATGTGGGTTACATTCCTTTCTTCCCTTCATCTTTTCCAGTTCTGTCACCTCAAGCGGCATCCCTGGGCCCTGGTCTCCAAGTCCCGATCCTGTCTGAAAAATGGCCTGAAGGCCTAGCACAGGGCAGCCTCTACCTCAAAGCACCATCCGGCTTAACATCCCAGCGGTGCCTCAGATGAGAAGCCCTGTGGTGGGGTCCACCAGAAACCCCTGGCCTCCATGTCTCCTTCCTGGCCCCAAGGACAGCTGACACTGTCCAGGAGGAAAGGGCAAAGGGGAAGCACGTGGCAAGACACTCATTTCTCAGAAAGTCTGGGTTAGGAGTCAGGGGACCTGGGTTCAAGTCCCGCATCTGCCTCTGACTCACAGTGTCACCTTTGGCCACTCACTTCCCCTCGTCTGGACCTCAGTTTCCTCATCTGGGAGTCAGTGGGGTGGACCAGCTGATCTCCCAAGCCTTCCCCAATTGGCATTGCACTGTTGAAATCCGGGCTGGTGATATCATGCCCCCTCCCCAGCTCACCTCACTCTCACAACCAGCACTGAAGTCAGAGACCGTGACTGCCTTTGCAACTAACAAACTCGCATTTGTGTGTAACGCTCTGAATTTACATTCAACAAATGGCAAAGGCCTGTTACCTTTGTATTTCTTTCTAAAATGAACGTCATAGCCTGGCCAGTGGTTCACATCTGTCATCCCAGCACTTGAGGCTAAAGTGGGAGTATTGCTTGAGTCCAGGAGTTCGAGACCAGCCTGGGTAATGTAGTGAGACCCCATCTCTACAAGAAATAAACAAAACTAGCCACAGAGAAGTTGTGTGTGCAGGTGCTTTTCTTTAAGTTTCCTGATCCAAAGTGCCCAAGTTCTGGGCTGGAAGTGAATCACAGTGAGTTTGCATTTTGTGTCTCGTAGTCATTCATAACTTTGGTCTTTGTTCATAATAATTACCCTTGGAATGAAATTCAAATTCCTCACTCCTGCCTTCGAAGCCCCGCAGGGTCCACTCCCTCCCCTTCTCTCCAGCCCTCTCCCTTTCACTCTCCCTATTCCAGCCACGGTGGCCTCCCTACTGTTCTTTGACCCACCTAGCTTGTTCCCACCTCAGGGCCCTTACCTTTACCACTCATCCACCCCCAGCACCCTTCTCTTAGGTCATGCCTGCTTCTTGGAGGCCCTCCCTGGCTGTCCTGCTGGTCACCCCGCATCCCAGCTCTCTGCTTCATTTCCTTTACCACAATCTCAAATGATGCTGTTTACTCATTCAATGCCCATCTCTCCCACTAGACTGTCAGCTCTGGGAAGGCGGGGATTCTGTCCGCTTTGTTCTGTGATGTGATCCCAACACTCCCCTCAGGGCCTGACACATAGTAGGGTCTCAATAAATACAGGTTAAATCAATGATGGGGCCAAGCACACTGGCTCATGCCTGTAATCCCAGCACTTTGGGAGGCCAAGGAGGGTGGATCGCTTGAGCCCAGGAGTTCGCTTGAGCCCAGGAGTATTTTTCGTCGAGAAGGGATTTTGTATGCGAAAAATTAGCCAGGTGTGTTGGCACACGCCTGTAATCCCAGCTACTCGGGAGGCTAAGTGTGGGAGGATTGCTTGAGCCTGGGAGGTCGAGGCTGCAACGAGCCGTGATCACGCCACTACACTCCAGCCTGGATGACAGAGCAAGACCCGGTCTCAAATACATAAATAACAAAATGAGTGGATGAATGAATGAAACTGTGACCGTAGTCTGCAGCTAGACAGCTGGCATTTGTTGAGCACCTACTGTGTGCCAGCCACTATGCTGTTGTTTTGTCCCTGCGGCAGGTGGGTTGATGCTCTTCATTTTGCACATGAGAAGACCGAGGCTCCCAGGCCTCAGAGCCCCAGAGCGTGGAGCTGGCCTTGAATCCAGCCTGGGGACGCTGGTGTTGGGCTCCTTCCACCCTACGAAGTCCCCCAGCAAGAGAGTCACGGGGAGGGGAGCTGAGCGGAGCCTGCCCCTCATGCACACAGGCACCCCTTGTCTAAGGCAGAACTTTCTAGACACCTCTCTGTCCCAACGCCTGGTGGAGCCCCTGTGGCCAGCATGGGAGCTGAGTACCCAGGCAGCCTGGCCTTATGCCAGTCAGTGCCAGGAACCAGCCTGGGGAGCAGAGTCCGGGCCAGCCCAGTGGTGAGTGACACAGGCCATTTGCCCCAAGGGGGCTCCCAATGTCCACTGCGGCATGGGGAAGACCACCGCACTGAACCCTCTCCTCAAACCTCCAGGGCAGGTCCCCGGGCCCCATGCAGAAAAGGGGCCAGGATGGCTAAACCAGGCTCGAGCCTACCCAGGCTTCAATCTATGCCCCCATTTCCTAGATCTGAACACTGAGGCCCAGGGAAGTGCGGTATCTCAGCAAGACTAAGAAGTAGAGTGGGATTTAAACCAGGAAGGCACTCACGGTTGTTTATGCACACGTGTGCACATGGGCGTGTGTGGGCGGCTGTGTTCCCAGTGCCATCTGCACCAATGGTGTGTCCTCATTGGCTCACATCAGCCTCATGTACACAGCAAGCGTGTCCATGTGCACATGCCTCCCGCCTCTGTGCCTGTGCTTGTGAACCCACAAGATTCCTGGACCCTGACCCCACCCCCACTGTGTCAGGCTTGACTCAGCTGAGACTCAGTTTCCCCATCTGCTCAGTGGCCCCAGAGGTTATTGTCTGCTGGGGATAGGGATCTGGGCCCCTGCATCCCTCTCAGCCCTGGGCAGAGCAGCCTAAGAGAGCCAGGGAAGGCACCATGCCAGTTTGGGCCAGGGAAGAAGGGGGACAGAGGGCGGGAGCCAGCACAGGGTCTGTCTGGGAGCCTAGGGGCTCAGGCCCGTGTCCA
This sequence comes from Homo sapiens, assembly GCF_000001405.40. Lineage (NCBI taxonomy): Eukaryota > Metazoa > Chordata > Mammalia > Primates > Hominidae > Homo > Homo sapiens. The sequence continues at coordinate 50,250,463 of NC_000020.11, read as the reverse complement.
CCTTCCCCTTGGGGTAGAGCTAGCCCCCAGGGCCCTGGCCTAGTCCTTCATGTCTCATGCTCTCAGCCTGGTGAAGGGAAAATCATCCCATGTAGGCCAGACCCAGGGCTGGGCGATGCTGGTACACAGAACTGACTCCAGCACCCAGGACCTGCCCTCGAGAGGTGCCCAGGGTAGGCAGGCAGGTGAGCAGGTAAACCAGTCACCAAAAGACAGCCTGTAGTCCTGAGTGTGGATTTTCCTTTGAACACTTGTTAGCTGTGCATCCTTGGGCAAGTCTCTTAACCTCTCTGAGCCTCTATCTCCTCCCCAGGAGAAAACTATGCTCCCCACTCGGGGTTGGGTGAGATCCCAGCACAGAGCCTGGCACAGGTGGTGCCGCTGAGTCACATGGAGGCTTCCCTTATTTAAGGTCTGCTCTGGGAACCAGGAGGATAGAAAAGACCAGGGGGAGGACAGATTCCCTCTGGGGCTGGGGAAGCCCCCAGTTCACCTCCCACCTCCAGAGGAGGTGCCGCCCAGCCAGACCTGGACCAGTGAAGGCAAGGTTGGCATAGAGAAGCCGGAAGCAGGAGGGCAGTCCAGGCAGAGGGCACAGCCCAGGCAAATGACAGTCATGTCTCTCAAATCCAGGGTTCTCCTCGTACTTCAGGTCTCAGCAAAAGGCCACCTTTTCAGAAGAGCCTCACCTGTTCGCTCAATCTTGGGGACCCCATACCCCCACCTTCCATCAAAGCAGCAGGCTTATTTTCCGCTTTGAACTTATAAACAATCATGCTTGTTTATTATCTGTCTCCTCTGCCAAGTTCCCCCAGGGTGTGGACAAAGTCTGTCCTGTTCACTGCTCTGTCTAGCACAGCACCTGGTACACAGTAGAGGCTTAATAACACAGTGAGCACCGTTTAAGCAAGTTACTCCACCTCTCACTGCCTCAGTTTCCTTATCTGTAAAACGTGCATCATAACAGCACCTACCTCATCCAGTTGTAAGAATTCAATGAGTTACTATTCATAATGCCCTTAGAAATGTCATAAGAATTAAACGAGTTAACATTTGTAAAGCCTTAGAACAGTTTCTCCTTGTGACCACGTAGGTACTCTGCAAAAGTGTATAAATAAAATATACAATGAGTGAATGAAGAGAATAACAGATGCATAGATTTGGAAAGTCATAATATTATAGATTACCAAGTTGCATAATTTGTAATGTCCTGGTTGGTATTCACATTTCATTTTCTTTTGCTTTTTTTTTTCTTCCCATAGAAACGAGGTCTCAATATATTGCTCAGGCTGGTCTCAATCTCCTGGGCTCACGCGATCCTACCGCCTCAGCCTCCTAAAGTGCTGGAATTACAGGCGTGAGCCACCATGCCTGACCCACATTTCCTTTTCTTTATTACTATTTCCTGGCTTTTTATTTTGACAATTTTTAAGCCCATAGACAGTCAAATGATTAGTACAATGATTGCCTCAATTTACCAGTTGTTAATTCTTCAGTCTGCGGGCCTTCCCTCTAGCTAGGTTAAATGAGAAAGATGCATATTTCTACTTTTGGGGGGGCTTTTCTTGCCTGATCCATGTGGGAGCAAGTTGAAGACACCAAGGTAATTTACTCCTGAACTCATCAGCTGCTGTGATTTTTTTTTAAATCTCTATCTCAATGGATATATGAATTCTCTGGAACCAATTGCAACCAGGTCCGTGATCTTATAAATCGATAATTCTACAGATCTACTAGTCCCTGAATCCTTGAACCTGAAAATATTTGGTTCTAGAAACCGTCATCTGCTGGTTCTCAGAGTCTGCACATGGCTGAGGTTCTGTCTTTCTGTGGTCTGGGACTCCCGGTACTCTCCCCCGAGTCTGCGGCTCTCTCGGTCCAGTCCTGATGATCCTCCCATTGGTGCCTCTGAGCACTGACTCCTACTTCCCAGAAGCTATTGCCTGGGACGAAGAAAGGGGAAAACCCAGCCAGTCCCAAGTCCAGTGCAATGCCAGCTTCGTGGATGCCAAGTGGCACAGGGGCCTGGGTCACAGGCCCAAGGATGGGACCCTGGCCGGGCCGCTCCCTGGGTGCCCAGACCCATCTCAGGCCAGCTGGGTGAGGGGCAGATGGGTGGCCCCCGCCTCCACCCTGTCCGTGGAGCAATCGTCTGAGTCACCCCCACCTCATGACTTGCCTGCCCGCCACCACTAAGGCCTGTAATTACAGCTGCCTCCTCCTCCGAGGCTAGGTCTTATCAGCCCATCAGGGCAGGCCAAGGAGGGGGACGCCCTGGAGGTACCCCACAGATGCGGCTGGTCCTGGGGCTTGATGGCATGCGATCTGGGCATGCCTCGGCCCTGCTAACCCCAAGCCCAGAGGCTGGCTCTAGACTCCCAGAACTCCCACTGTCCATTCCCCAAAACCCTGCCTCAAGTTCCACCATTCAACTCATTTTCCTGTTGAAGCGTAAACTGATCACTCACAAGACATTTCAGAGCAGATTTTCCAAAGCCCCGGGGAGGGGAGAAGCTCTGCGTTAGGCACACAGGGAGCTCAAGGAAGACTCAGCAAAGCGCCACTATGGTTGCGGCTGTTGGTCAGACCTCACCGTGGGTGCTGGAGAAGGGAGGAAAGAAAGGGTCTTGATGAAGGGACTGTCACTGGTGACTGGTTCTGGAAGGGAGGTGGAGGCAGCAGCCAGCAAACCGACCCTTCACCTCCTTACCTGCTCCCCTTATCAGCTAGCTGCCTTCTGACCCTGGAGGGAGGAACTCTGGCTCCTATTCCATAGATGAGGGAACTGAGGCTCAGAGAAGCTTCACACCAACTCCTGTCCTCCAAGGGAAGGCAGCAGGGATCGTGGTGATGTTCTGGGAATGGGTGTGGCTGTTCCCAGGGAATGGGGATCCTCCCATCCCAGCAAAGGACTATCCAGCTGCACTCAGACCTCCTGGATTCAAATCTGTACAATTAGACCCTTAGACCCTCTGTGCTTCAGTTTCCCCAACTGGAGATAATAGCAAGGCCAACCTCATCTGGTTGTTGTGAGGATTAAATCCATCACCTAATGAGAAGCTTCCTGAAGGTACGTAGTAGGCTCTTTCCTCCCTCCCCTAGATGTTGACAGATCCTTCCCTGAGTCAGTGGAAGATGGGGAGGCTGGGATGTGTCCCACCTTGCCAGGGGTAGGTGGCTGACTCTGTGCCCCCATCATCTCCCCTACCCACACAGGCTTCTGGGAAGCTGCAGCTGGTCCCCAGGCTGTCCTGACCCCTGGGCTGGGTCCCCAGGATCAGCACCCCCAACTCCACACCTCCAAAGACAAACGCAGACACAACTCAAGGCCTGTAGTGTGGCTGGTTGCTTTGCAATTATTAATAATTTCCTCCCTCCGTCCCTCCTGCGGACCTGCTCAACCAGTCTCCCCACCAGCACGGAGCAGGCCTGACATTTGAACCAACTATTATTCTCTCTCCCTTCAGGGAGAAGCCAGGAGGGAATGTGGGCCTGTGTCCTGACGCTGCGCGGGGAGAGGCAGAGGCCGCCCACAGGTCCCCCTTTCAGTCCTGGGTGCAGCATCCAAGCTCCGCCGTACCCCGTGGCAATGGGCTCATTGCCCCTTTCCTGAAGACCAGGAGAGAGAGAGAGAGAGGGAGGTTGATTAAGCCCCTGCCAAGCAGCAGACAGGTTGGAAAATCCTCTTGCACGGAGGCAGGAGTGGAGGGTGGTTATGAGTCAAACTCAGGGTCTGGATTCCTGTCCTGGCTCTGCCCTTTCCTCGCTGTGTGGCCTTGAACAAGTCGTTTCACCTTTCTGAACCTTCTTTTTTTCATCTGCCAAATGGAGGGATGAATTCCCACGTTGCAGAATCCATGAGGTTTAAAAAGCCCCAGGCCCAGTGCCCAACAGGGTACACGGGAGAACAGTTCTCTGGGTCCAGAGGCTGCTCACAACCAGGAAGCCAGAGGGGCTGGGCCAAAGTGACAGCCAGCACTGCCCTGAAGACAGAGTCCCTAGGCCTCCAGGGGACAAAGCCTAGAGGGCCAGTTCCATCTCCAACTACATCCAAAACCGGTCAGTGGGCACAGGCCAGGGTATATGCCCCCCTAATTGCTCCCTGGCTCCATTAGTACCATGTGTGGCTCCTCCTGCAGCACCCAGCACACCCAGCCAGACCCAGAAAGGCTGATGCTGCCCCAGGTGCCCACCCTGGCTGGAGGGAGAGGGCAGCTCAGGCCGATGAGTCCTGGAGTAGTGGGGAACAACTAAGGGCCTCTGAGCAGGGGCAGGACCCGAGCTGGGAAGGTTGAAAGGTCAAGATCTAGCATTCGGGACCTCGCCATCTACCCTTTGACCCTTGTGGGATAGTAGAATGGCCAAGAGCCCAAGTCGCCTGGGTTCAAACCCAGGCTTCGATATTTGTAGCTGTGTTGCTGTGAGCAAGTTACTGGGCTTTTCTAACCTATCTAACCTCAACTAACCTATCTGTAAAATGGGACTAGTAATAGCCTACAACTGTCAAGAGTTGAAATGCAGCAATGACTTGTAAAGTACGTAGTACAGTGCCTGGCACTTAGTAGGTGTTCAGTAAGTGGATGCTGGTAGGAGTTTCTGCATCTACCAGGCAGTTTCGCTTATCATGCAGTTTCCTCTGTCTGGCAAGCCCATCTCCATACTTCTCCTCGTAGGAACTCCTATGCATCCCTTAAGGCCCTGCCCAAATAGTCCCACCTCTGAGGAGCCATCACTAACCCCTTACTTAAACAAACACAGGAAGCCCTTTCTTCTGGGCTCCCTGCCACCACATACTCCTCCCACAGCCTGGCCACACTGTCGGCAGATGAGCTGATGCCCGTGGGGCTCACCAGTGGATTACCAGTGCCTGCCTGGCGTGGAGAGCTGTGAATGAAAAGCTGCCCTCGCCTTAGTCAACTAAAAACAGAACACAAAAATCCCCACGGATGTGGAAAGAGCTTATAGTCTCCAGCCAAATTTTGAAAATGTTCTCAGGCCACCACCAGAGCAAAGGACAGTGCAGATCCCAATATGTAGAATTCAGGGTTGAAAATTCCTTTAATCAAATCAGTTATAGATTTTAAAAGGGAAGGGGCCAGAATACCATGTGGCTAGGTAAGAAGAATGAGGCAGCTCTGTGTGCTGATCTAGAACAGTCTCCAGGATAAGTTGTCAAATAATTAAAAAAAAAAAAAAATGAGGAGCAGAACACTGTAAGAAACATATTGGCTACCATTTGTGTGGAAGGGTGGGAGGGAGGCAAGGACAACATAGATATTTGTTTGTATGTACATAAATTAACTCTGGCCAAAATAGCAGGTTAACAGTGGCTGCCTCTAAGGAGGGGGAGTCAGAGGCTGGGGAAAGGAGAGAGTGAGGAATTGCCTTTCATTCCATACCCCTTTCTACTTTTGGATTTTGTAGCATTTGCTCACCATAGCTATTCAAAAATTAGCACATAAGCACATGTTTAGGGCATTGGAATTCACATACTCCAGCAGCAGGCCCTACCTGATTCAGGAACACTTCTCAGCACCCCTGACAGGCTATCCTGCTTTGAATGCTCCCAGTGACGGGGAGCTCAGTACTTTACCTGCCAGCTAATCCATCCAAAGGGTAGCTTGGAAGGATGGATTTGGGCTCAGTGACAGGAAGCAGGAATGTGCTTCTGGAGCCACACACAGGTGCCTCTTTCTTGCCCCTGACGTTGGGCAGAGATGTGACTGCCTGCCTAAGAACCTGCTCAGAGGGCCTGCCTGTCCCTGGGCCCAGGTGGGAGGTAGGCAGGAAGGTAGGGTGTGCTCTGCTGTGACTCAGGCCCCACGGGTGCCCGGAGCACAACCAGCTTCCCAGGACACAGCGCTGTGACTCAGGGCCACACAGCAGGGCCAACCCAGGTGGCAGCTGGCGGGCCACCAGCACACCCGCACCCTTCCCAGCCTCAATCCCCAGCAGGGCCTCTGTTGCCAGCATAAACCACCTCGCTCACCGCTGTCCCCATCCACAGAGGATGGAATGAGGAAATGAAGACCCTGGCACCAGACAGCCTGGGTTCAAATCCTGCCTCTGCCATTTGCTGGCTGAATGGTCCAGTGAGCCTGAGCCTCAGTTTCTCCATCCATACAAAGGGTGAGCCATGCTGCCTCGCCTTCCTCATAGGGTTGCCACGAAGATGCTGAGTTCATCCGAGAAAGGGTCCTGGATCAGCCCGGGCAGAGTCTTATGCAAATGTAAGCCATTATTATTGTGGGTGCCCAGCCAGATGTGGTGGTCACTGACATCGGAGCCTCGAAGGAAGCTTGGGTGCCTCCGCTCACCCCGCTGGCCTGGTCAGCAGGCCCAGGAGGAGCAGGCCTCCTGGGGCACCTGGCCTTGGGAAGGTTCAGGGACTCTAGGTCCCCCTGCCAGGTTATGAGCTCCATGACAACAGAAATTTTTCCCTCTCTCATTAGTGGGGCCCAGTGCCTGGTCCTGGTGCCTGGGATAACGGCTGGCACACAGGCAGAGTGAGCCTCACAGACCTGCAACGCATGCCTTCACACAGGGCCCCATGCTTGGATTAATGCCGTTACCTCTTGAAATTCTTAATTTTGAACAAGGACCATCACGTTTAATTTTGCACACGACACTGAACATTCTATAGCTGGTCCTGTACAGAGTTGACAGCCAGTACACCTTTTGGAATGAATGAATGAATGAATGAATGAATGAATGAATGAATGCCGCCCTGAGGTGTCATTTCTCTCATTTTACCTCTGAGGATCATGGACTCCAAGCCCCCTTTTACAGGCGGGAGAACAAAGGCTCATGAGCTGAACAGACTCACCCAAAATCATCCAGCATGAATCCAAACCCAGACTTGTCAGGCCCCAAAGCCCCAGATCCCGTGGCCTCCTCTGGCATGTCAGGGGCAGCTGATCTGTGCCTGGGGAAGGCACAGAGCAGTGGATCTCAGGGCAATGAGGCCAAACAGCAAGCTCTACCCCACTATCAGAGCTGCTCTGCTTCCCTTTTCTCAGCTGGGGAAACTGAGGCCCAGTTCTGGGTAGCACAGGCCCAGCTTGGCAAGGGTGCCTGCCTGGGAGGCATCCTGGCTGGATGCCCGGACAGGGGGCGGGGGCCTCTGTGAATCGCTCCTCAGTCCCCGCCGACCACAAGCGGGTTGGGTGAAAGGCGGCTGCTCCCCGCCCGCTTCCCCGCCAACGTGGGCCCGAACAATGGGCCTTTGTGCCCGGCGTGGGCGCGTTGTCAAGGTGCGCAGCCCTGGCCCTGGGCCCTGGCCTCGGCCTCCATGAGGGCAGAGGGGCCAGGCCAGGGGGTCTGCGGGGGCCGGGAAACCCAGCAGAAGAGAGAGCAAGTCTGAGATTCTCACAATGAACGAAGGCCAAGGCACAGGGTAAGAGTGACAGGCACCCAGGGTCACACAGCACAAGGACATCAGCGGCAAGTTGGGAACCCAGGACTCCAGCCTTCCTCTCGCTGTGGCCTGAGTGTCCCCGCTGCAGCAAGCGGCTCTGGCATCCCTGCAGCTGAAACCTCCCCTCAGGAGGTCAGCAGGGCTGGAATCATTCCTCTTCTCCCTTCTTACACTCCCACGCCATGTCTTCCTTCCTCAGGGGCTCAGCCCAACATCCCCCGCCCATCTCTGGGAGGACCCCCAGATGGCATCAGCCACAACATTGCTCGGAAAATGTCTCCCGTCCACAGGTCCCTCCTGACCAGCTCTTCTCCCCAACAAGATCGTGTGCCCCTTGGGAAGCCACCTGGTCAGGTAGGCACTGCCATGAGCCCCTGTTACAGGAGAGAACTGAGGCTCCCAGCCGGGCAGGGCTCACTCGAGGTCTACACCCTGGATGCAGATGACCCTCACCTCTGTCCTGTGTGGGAGCCACAGGAGGAAGGTGGGGACAAAAGACCAATTCCTGCTGTTTAGCCACCCACCTTCTGGAGGGAAAGGCAGAGAAGTCAACCGCAATAGTAATAATAACAAGAGACCGCCAGGTATTGAGCATCTAGTAAGTGCTTTATGTCCGAAATCTCATTTCATCATCATAAAATTGCTGGGAGGCAGGTATTATTATCATCCCCATTTTACAGATGAGGAAACTGAGGTTCAGGTGAAGCAACTTGCCCGAGGTCAATCAGTTAATAAAGGGGTTCAAATCCTAGCCAGGTCCACTGAATGTCTGTGCTCACTCAACCCTCACAACCGTCTTATCAGGCAGGGTTGATGTTCCCAAATTACAGATGAGGTAACTGAGGCTCCAAGCCGCAAAGTCACATGCCCAAGGTCACACAGCTAGGAGGGGGGACCAGGGATTTAAACCTGGGCTTCTGGCCCCCAAGGCCCCCGTCTTGTTTCTTTCTTCCCCCACCATAACCAAGTTCCCTAAAAGTCCCTTGAAACCATCTGTGCCACCAGCCCCTCGTCCCCATCTCCCACCACGATAGACCCAATGTCCACCCTGCACCTCGGCCAGTCCTAGCTGGCCTCACCCAACGCATAACGGATATTCATGAAAAGCCAAAAAGAGAGTCCCAGTCGGGAATAAGCTAAATGTCCAGGAGCAGAAGCCTGAGGAAGAGCACTGTGGTCTGTCCCCACGACAAAGCCCACAGGGACAACCAATAGATGCACCCAAGCCACTCCGCCAACGGGGACGGAACTCCAGAACAGAACATCGGGTGGAAAAAAAGCAGGATGCAGAAGCAAATGTACAAGGGACGCCATCTGTACAATCCCACCCACAACCCAAAGCAGCTCCCCGAATCCCTCAGGGATTCCACGTGTGTCTGTGTGTCTGTGTGTGTGTGTGTGTGTGTGTGTGTGTGTGTGTGTGTGTGTGTAAAAGTCTAAAGATGTCCTACAACTGCTTTGGGAAACTGGCCATAGCTACAAAAACCAAGCATGTGCATATCTCATCATCTAGCAATTCCATTCCTGGATATAGACTAAGGGAAATGCCTGCTTATGTCTACTGTCGGATGTGTAAGAGAAGGTTCACAGCAGCACTATTCAAAATAGTGGAAACTGGAAACAACCCCCATCTCTGTTGACCATAGGGTGATTCAACAAACTGTGGTCTAGTTAGACAATGGAATACTCCACAGCCGTGAAAACAGACACAAAACTTGGATAGACCTCATTGGATGAGTTTAAGTGAAAGTGCCTGATACAAAAGAGCACAGACTGAATGGGCTCACTTATATGAAGTTCAAGAATAGGCAAAACCAATCTATCGTAATAGGAATCAGACCAGTAGTTACCTTTGAAGGGAGCCCCTGGAGGCTAGGAATGTTCTACATCTTGATCTGGTGTGATCCCATGACCATCAAACTACAATTAAGATTTGTGCATTTCGAGGTCAGGAGATGGAGACCATCCTGGCTAACACAGTGAAACCCCTTCTCTACTAAAAATACAAAAAAATAGCCAGGCGTGGTGGCACGGGCCTGTAGTCCCAGGTACTCAGGAGGCTGAGGCAGGAGAATCGCTTGAACCTGGGAGGCAGAGGTTGCAATGAGCCAAAATCGTGCCACTGCACTCTATCCTGGGCGACAGGACGAGACTCCGTCTCAAAAAAAAAAAAAAAAAGATCTGTGTGTTTTACTGTGTGCATTTACACCTCCATCAAACCAGGTGGATACCTTCATCAAACCAACAAGAGAAGGATAAAGACACACAGGGAAATCACGAGCATCAAATCCAGGTTGCAGTGACTGGTTTTTTTGTTGTTTATTTTTTGTTTTTTGTTTTGTTTTGTTTTGTTTTTTGAGACGGAGTCTTGCTCCGTCGCCCAGACTGGAGTGCGGTGGTGCAATCTCAGCTCACAGGTTGCAGTGACTTCTAAGAGAGATCCTTCTGGGCAGGGATATGGGGGGATCCCCTATATTGGGGTGGTTCCTTTTAAGGAAGAAAAGAACACAGAAGAACATAAGTTTCCAGGCAGTTGAGTGATAGCTGCGTGGAAACTTCTGTTCTTATCCTTTAAATTTTTTTGAATAGTAAAACATTAAAAATATTGAGAATCAAACCAGAAACAAAGCCTATTTCCACGGCTTCTCCTGCTCCAGAGCTCACAGTGGCTTCCTCCTGCCTCCGGGCTGTGGCCACCCTCCTTTGCATGCCATTCGAGGTCTCATCCTGGTCCTCAACCCGTCTTTCCAGCCTCTCACTCACCCGTCCCCACCAGCCAGGCTGGTCTCCTCACTCTTCCCCTAACACGCCTTAAACATTCCCATCTCCACGCCTTTCCTCCCACCTGGAATGCCCTCCCCATTCCTGTCTACTTGCTCTGTGCCAGGCACTGTGCCGAGTGCTGTAGGCTATTAACTCCTGAAATCAGGGGCTCGGCCATGGGGAAATTGGGGCATCACTTGCAACCACAAATAATCTCCATCATCACCCCCCAAAGCCGCCCAAGTAAACCAAGTAAAAAGAGTAGTGCTGCTAAGCCCACAAATTCAAGACAAATCACCCCATAGCCCAACCATCCCCTAAGACCCTCCAGTATAGAAATTCTGGCCCACCACTGGATTTAAAACTCACTCATCTCTTGGGATTGTGTCTTTAACATTCCCATTTTACACAGGGGGAAACTAAGGCTTAGAGAGGGCAAGTAACTTGCTTGAGACACTCAGCAAAGAAAGACTGTCTTTCTCTTGAGATCTTTTCCTCCTCCAAGATCTCCCAATCATGACTGACCCCCAAGTTTGTCCCTGCCTCAGAGCCTTTGCACTTGCAGTTCCCTCTGCCTGGAATGTCCTTCTTCCAGCTATTCCCAGGCCCAGCTCCTTCTCATCATTCTAGTCTCTAAATTCGGCCAGAGTCATCCTCCCAGATCCCCACCCTCATCCCCAGTGCAAAGCAGCCCCACGCCTTTCTCTATCACACAACCACAACTTAGCACCATACAATTGTTCCGCATGTTTATTCACTCATATCCATATCATCTGTCACATGCACACCGTCCTAGAACATAAGCACCAAAAGGCGGAGATTGTGTCTATCTTGTTCGGTGTTGTGTCCCAGGGCCTGGTGTTGTAGGCACTTAGTAAATGAGTTGGAAGAACATAGATCAGTGGCTGTGCCTTCCCAGGGCCATGCAGTGAGGAAAGGACAGAGAAGGGGATCAGTGACCAGCTGAGGCCAGATCTCCACTGAATCACTCAGCTCTGTTTAGGTTCAAGGCTGCAAGGGGTCCAAAGAAACAGGAAAGAGGCTGGGCGTGGTGGCTCACGCCTGTAATCCCAGCACTTTGGTAGGCCAAGGCGGGTAGATCACTTGAGGTCAGGAGTTCGAGACCAGCCTGGCCAACATGGTGAAACCCCATCTCCACTAAAAATACAAAAATTAGCTGGTGTGGTGGTGCAGGCCTGTAGTACCAGCTACTCGGGAGGCTGAGGCAGGAGAATCGCTTGAACCTGGGAGTCAGAGGTTGCAGTGAGTAGAGATTGCGCTATTGCACTCCAGCCTGGGTGACAGAATGATACGCTGTCTCAAAAAAAAAAAAAAAAAAAACAGGAAAGAGAGGCAACCCCCAGCAGGGCCCCGCAGCCCTGCAGCTCCAAGCCACTACCCATCAAATGGGCTGGAAAAGCCCCACGACCTACCAAAAACATAATTTTTGTTACTGTTTTTGAGTTTTTATAATAGTATAGTTTTGCTTTTCTAGTATTGTTAATTTTTAGTTTGCACTTTTATCATTGTAGTTAGCTCCATTTTTCCCGATGTTTAGCATTTTCACAGATGCTTGCAAAGCTCCTATGGCCAGGTGGAAATGAGGACAAAGACCCTGAGAGACAGGAAGAAGGAGACCGAGACAGAGGAAGCGGGCGGTGGCGGAACAGAGAGAAATAAGCGGATATGAAGAGACAACAGGGCTGGAGAGACACGGGGAGAGTGACAGTGACAGAGATGGAGAGAGCAGAAACCAAAACTCAGACAGATCTGACTCCCGCATCGCCTTCCGTAACGTGAGCCTCCATAACCATCAAAATCACAGGGTTGGGTGAGCATTTGCTAAGTGCGGACACTGTGCTAAACGCTTTTCTGTGAACGATCATGCTTGATTCTCACAACCTCCCTGTGAGAGGAGGGATCCTCTCATTCCTTGTTTTAAAGATGAGAAAACCGAGGCACAGAGAGGTTGGCCGGCTTGCATTCCATCACACAGCCAGCAGGCGGTGAAGCCAGGTGTGACCTCAGGCCCGCCCCAGACCCAAGGCTGAGCCATTCTCTCCAGTCTTGGAGTGTCTAGGTTTGTTTTAGGGCAGCTCTTCTCATTTTCAGCTGTGCTGGTGAATCCCTTGCAGACTTGTAAAAATGTCCATCCTAGGCTGGGCGCTGTGGCTCATGCCTGTAATCCCAGCACTTTGGTTGGGAGGCTGAGGCAGGTGGATCACTTGAGATCAGGAGTTTGAGACCAGCCTGGCCAACATGGCGAAACCTGTCTCTACTAAAAATACAAAAATTAGCCAGGGATGGTGACGTGCACGTGTAATCTCAGTTACTCGGGAGGCTGAGGCAGGAGAGTTGCTTGAACCAGGAGGCAGAGGTTGCGGTGAGCAGAGATCACGCCACTGCACTCCAGCCTGGGCAGCAGAGGGAGAGCCCGTCTCAAAAAAGAAAGAAAGAAAATGTTGGTCCTGATTTAACAGGGTTTTGGGGTAGGGGGGACCCAGACCCTGCATTTCTAATAGACTCCCAGGTAGGGTCAATGCTGTGGCTCCCAGGCCACACCTTGAGCAGTGAGGATCTAGAGGAGTCCAGTACTCTAGGACCCTTTGGCCACACCGGGGACAGGGAGAGCCCAGAAGCCTCTAGCCAGTCCAGCCACCATCCATACCCATCCAACCAGTCCAGCCACCATCCATACCCACAGGCCTTGGGGTCATGCTGGCCCCTGCGGTTCAGTTTCCCCTTCTTGGTACTTCCTGTTGATCCCGGGAATTCCCCATAAGCTGACTGTCCTGCACACAAAGGCGGCTGCACAAAGATGTGCATTGTGGCATTGTTTATAGGAAGGGCAAGTTGGAACCACCTAAATGTCCACCAGTAGGGTACTGTTAAATACACTAGGATCTGTGCAGCTATTACAAATGATGGTGGCAGCCGGCACAGTGGCTCACGCCTGTAATCCCAGCACTTTGGGAGGCCGAGGTGGGCAGATTGCATGAGCTCAGGAGTTCAAGACCAGCCTGGGCAACATGGCAAAACCCCATCTCTACAAAAAATACAAAAATTGGCTGGGCGTGATGGCTCACACCTGTAGTCCAGCTACTCGGGAAGCTGAGGTAGGAAGATGGCTTGAGCCCAGGAGGCAGAGGTTGCAGTGAGCCAAGATTGTGCCACAGCATTCCAGCCTGGGCAACAGAGTGACACCCGGTCTCAAAAATAATAATAATCATAAATAAAATAAAAATGATGGTGGGTCAAAATTCAAAATATATATAACTTTTTTTTTAGAAGGAGTCTCACTCTGTCGCCCAGGCTGGAGTGCAGTGGCGCCATCTTAGCTTACTGCAAGCTCCGCCTCCCGAGTTCACACCATTCTCCTGCCTCAGCCTCCCAAGTAGCTGGGATTACAGGCACCCACCACCAAGCCTGGCTAATTTTTTTCTTTTTTTGTATTTTTAGTAGAGATGGGGTTTAACTGTGTTACCCAGGATGGTCTCGATCTCCTGACCTCGTGATCCCCGTTGATGCAGCAATTCCACTTCTAGGATGTACCCTATGGATATACTTGCACAAGAACACAGTTGCAATTTGTCATGGCAAAAGCCTGCAAGCCACCATCACTAAGGAACTGGCTGTTTACATCCTGCTCTGTGTCCACCATGGAACGCCACACAGCCTTGAAAAAGGAGGGTGCTCTCTACGTACTGATATCATCAAGATCTACTGTTGCTGAAAATCACAAGGCACAGAACTAGTGTGTAGAGTCCTCTGATATCTGTAAGAAAGCAAAGCAAATACATGCTTTTGCCCACATGTTCACAGAACCCTTCTGAAAAGCAACACAAAAGACTGTCACAGTGAGGAGCTGAGAGGGTGAAGACAAATGTAAGAGGGAGACTGGCTTTTCACTGCACGCTTGTTGTACCTTTGGTATTTGGTGCCACATGGTATTATCTATGGACAAAATGAGTTAAAGTTATACACGATGCGCAAGTGCTCCATTTGTGGATATAGGAAAATGCTTGTGATAAAGTATTGAGAGAAAAGAAGATGGCCTAATTTATATAATGCATGATTCACATATATCCATGAGCTGTCTCTGTAAGTATATCCCACATATATCTGTAACTATAGAGAGAAATGTCTAAAAATACTATCAGCAAATTAGCAAATGAAGTTGCTACTATTCACGCACTAAATGCATTGATTCATTTCCTGACAACAACAGGGCAAGGTGGACAGACTGCTATTATCCTCATCGCACAGATGAGGAAACAGAGGCTCTAGAAGTGAAGTTACCTGACCAAGGGCTCACAGCCAAGGGGAGGCAGAGCTGGGATTTGAACCTCAACCACAGGACTAGAGATGCCTCTCAATTGCAAATTGGGTAGTGTCTCTTTTTGCTTTGAATTTTCAGCATTCTTAAAAGTTGAGCCAATGAACCCAAGTCTCTCTCTCCTTCTACTGCCACTTTACTTTTAAACAAGACTTTTCAGAAAAAACCCTAAGAACATCCCATGTCCCCCAAGTCAGCAGCCCCCGTTTCCTGGCACTCACATCCCCAGGGAATTCCCCTGGCAGTTCCTGGTATAGGAAACCATGAGAGTGGTTTTTAAAAAAAGTCAAGCAATGCAGTGAGCCGGGATCGCACCACTGCACTCCAGCCTGGGCAACAGAGCGAGACTCCGTCTCAAAAAAAAAAAAAAAAAAAAGGAGTCAAGCAAGAGCCGGGAGAATGTTCCATGTCCCAGATAAAAGGACACTAAAGAGATGTGCCACCAAAGGCAGGGCCTAACCCTTGGTACCAGGAAAAATAAAGAAAAAAAACAGATGAAAAATGGTTATAAAGGGCACTTTGGAGCAGTCCAAGTCATTTGAACATGGCCTGGAGACTAGGTAATGTAATTGAATCAATGCTAAATTTCTCAGGAGTGATCTTGGCACTATGGTTACGTGGGAGAACACTCTTGTCCTTCGGAGGCACACGCTGAAGTAATTAGGGTGAAGGGTAAGGATGTCTGCAACTTACTCTCAAACAGCTCAGCAAAAATCACACAGAGGAAGACCAAGAATGCACATGGGGCCAGGTGTTCGCAGTCGGGGATTCTGGGGGAAGGGACACTTGGTGGCCCATTGTGAAGTTTTGGCATTTTTCTCCAAGTCTGAAATTTTTCAAAATAAAAAGTTGGGGGAGATCGGTAGTTGCCAGAGGCTGGGAGTAGGAAAGGGATTGATAACAAAGGAGGCACCAAGGAACTTTTTGCTGTGATGGAATATTGTGTATCTTGATGGTGCTGGTTATACAACTGTATACGTTTCTCAAGATTCATAGAACTGCACACCACGAAAGGGTGAATCGTGCTGTATATAAATTATATATCCATAAAAGTGACCTGAAAAAACAGTGGGAAAGACAAAGAACCCACGGGGCCCCCATGGGCTCTGGGTCCCGCCTTGATCCAGCCTCACCTGAGCCTGAAGTGGCCCCGAGGATTCAGTAACACAGAAGGGCTGCCCTCCAGACCCCAGGACCCACAGCCTGGCCTTGGGGAGCTTCCTTCTAAACCTCCCTGGCCTGAATCCAGAGCCTCGGTGCTTCCCCAGGGCCGGGAGAGATGCACTGAATGATTTCCTTGCTGGAAGAATCCTGGAGAAAGCAGTCTAGGTGCCCCTTGCGAAGCACTGGCAACCTCAGCGGAGATAAGGATCACTGCGTCCACCCCACCACCACGGGGTCACAGCCGGAGCTGCACAGGCCCAGAGGAAGAAAGCGACTTGCCTAAGGTCGCACAGCAAGTCAGGCAGCTCTGCTATAGATGGGTCATTCCGAAACTAAAGCTCCGAGCCCAAGATTATCCCATCCAACCACCCCTATTTCTCAGGTCAGAAGACCGAGGCCCAAGTCTGTGTCAGAGCACACATTAGCAATGTCTCCGGAGCCCCAGATGCTGCCAGCATGGTGGGTCTTGGTGTGGTCCCCACAGGCTGGGCAGTGGGGGGCCTAGGAGGGTGGGATGTGAACCTCCATTCCTGTCTGTCATCCTCTGTCATCTCCACAATCCCCTCCCAAGCTTCCTCTGCTCCCACCCATCAGGGCAGAGGGCTGGACACAGGGGCCATTTGGGGGTCCCACACCTGCCCACCCCCACTGCCCTGGGGAGCGCCCACATGGCATGGAGCCATGGATTCTGCCCAGCCCACGAAACTCACCCCACCCAGAACCTGTTTCAACTCCTCCAGCTCTCCTTGGCAGCCGCGGAGGCCTCATTAAGTGATGCCAGCACCTCCCACACACCCCCGAAGAAGGGGAGGGGGCACTGCCCAAGCAATGGAACTCTATGGCCCCATCGGAGGCCCCACGCCTCCCCCAGAGACCCCCAGGTCCGGTGATGGGCACCACAGAGACACAACGCCCATGCCAGACTCAGGCTGGGAAGCAGGGGCCTCAGTGTGAGATGCAGTCCGGGCCCTGCCACCTCTCTCCCTGGGCAGGCCTGCCTCGGCCCCGGGGAGCTGCTTAACCTCCTTAATTAACTGGCAATGATTAAGAGGCCACCTTGGGAGGCCCCTGAGGCCTCAAGGAGGGCTGGGGGCCTGAAATTGGGGGCAGGGCCCCCCAGTCATGGCAGGCTCAGAGACTTCTCCCACGTGGAACAGGGAGAAGGAGCCCCTACCCTGCACCTTAGGGTTCAGGGCAAAACAGCCCATCCTCCCTGCGTCAGCTGTGTGGCACTAGGAAAATGGCCTTACCTCTCTGTGCCTCGGCTTCAACCAAGAGGGAGGGCAGGGTGGCAGTGAGACTTGATTAATGACTGTTTGTGAGAAGGTCCCAGAGATGCCACTGATAACAGGCCCGGCTATTATTCTGGGAAGGCATCGAGGAGTGTCTGAGCCCATAATTACCGAAAGGATGAAAACAGTGGAACAGAGAAGGCTCGCCCAGCCCTGCTCCCTGCCCCCAACACCCACCCTCCTGCCCTGGCAGGGGCCCCTCCTCCGGGCAGGGAGACCCAGGAGAGGAGGCCTCAGCCCCAGCCTGGGCCCAGGCCTGCCAGTCCTCCTCTCCACACCTACATTTTTAAGCTCTTTCCATCCATTCCTTCACTCATTCATTCATTCATTCATCCCACGAATGTTTATTAAGCACCTACTGTGTGCTGGGCTGTGGGATACAGCAGGGAACAAGACCCACAGGGATCCTGCCTACAGTAGCTCTGTCCCCTGCAGGAGGCAGGAAATAGACAGGAAAATTCCAGCAAGGAAGCAGAACATTGAAAAATAAAAGCAAAACAATGAGGTGATGTGATACATAAGAACTGGGGGGCTTCAGTTCAGGTGCTCGGGGGGGCCACACTGAGGAAGTGAGGCAACTTTAGAGTTGAGGACCCATGGAGGAGATGGGGCTGTCATGAGGAGAGTGTTCCAGGCAGAGGGACAGCACGTGCAAAGGTCCTGGGGTGGGAGACTGCTGCTGGAGGAGGCTGGTGCAGGGGCAAGAAGGCAGAGTCATGGGAGGTGAGGCCAGGGAGGCAGGGGAGGCTGGGGCAGATCCAGCAGAGCTTCTTGGGGCACAGTGAGGAGCCCAGATTGCATCCTCGGGACGGAGGGCAGCCACGGGAGAATTCTCAGCATTGGAGGGACGAAGGTGGGATCCTCTCCCCACAGCAGCACACAGGGCCGTTCAATGCACACACGTTGAATCAAAATCCCAATGATGGCCAGGCACAGTGGCCCACACCTGTAACCCTGCCACTGCCCAGCACTCTGGGAGGCCCAGGTGGGTGGATCACTTGAGGCCAGGAGCTTGAGACCAGCCTGGCCAACATGGCGAAACCCTGCCTCTACTAAAAATACAAAAATTAGCCAGACACGGGGGTGTGTGCCTGTAGTCCCAGCTACTCGGGAGGCTGAGACAGGAGAATCACTTGAACCCAGGAGGCGGAGGTTGCAGTGAGCCGAGATCATACCACTGCACTCTAGCCTGGGCAACAGAGCGAGACTCTTTCTCCAAAAAAAAAAAAAAAAAAAATTCCCAATGGCTGAAGAAGACCCCAGTGATACCACCTGCCTGTCTGTAGAATATGTTCCTACCCGTGTCTCAAATCCTTCCTTGGGCCTCAGTTTCTCCCTTTGAATAGTGGACGGGCACTCCCAACTCAAGTGGTGATGATGATTTAAATCCCACAAACAGAGAAAGAAGGCCCTGAGCACCTACTGTGTGCTGGGGGGCAGGGGCCGGCCTCCAGGAGGCACCTGCCATGGGCATTTTGCATAAGATGTCCGGCTGCTCCTGAGGCCTCTGGAGCACCAAAGCCTGTGTTCAGGTCCCAGTTCCGCTCCTTAGGATGTCTTGGCCTCTCTGGGCCTCAGTTTCCTCATCTACAAAATAGGGTTGATAATAATACCTACCTCATGGAATCGTTGTGAGGATTAAATTCATTGATACCTGTAAGGTAAGGAAACAAGGACTGGACCAGAATAAGTGCTCAATTTCTGGTCATTTTTATGGTTAATTTCCTAAACTCTCTCCTTAAGCTCCCCACCTGTCTGCTCCCCACCAGCCCCCTAGCGCTGGATTTCTCGGCTCTGTCCCTACACAATAAGTCCAGTCTCACCTCTGAGCTCTATGCGTCCCCCAGCAGCCAGGAAGGTGTTTAAAATGACACTTCTCTGCTCAGTACTGCAGTGTCTCCCCCTGTCCAGGCCAGGTCCTCCCTGGGGGATTGTGCCTGTCCCCCGGCCACACTTACACCATCCTCATTCTCCACTCCTCCCTCCAGCTGGAGCAACCTCTGGGTCTCAGAGGGTTCCATCCACCCTGCCTCGGCCACTTTGCACGTGCTGTTCCCTCTGCCCAGGACACCCTTCCTCCCACTGTTCTGCCTGCGCTGACTCTTCCTTCTGTGGGGAACCATCTGGGGCTTTCTGGGGCTGCCACAGACTGCTCATGCGGTGCCCTGTGTTTCCCATATGACAGCACCAGCTGAAAGGACATGTCAGGGTCCCCAGCTAAACTGGGAACACCTGGAGGCTAACTCCTTCTCTGCAAGGCTTGGAGGCTGTCTGGGGAAGGCAGGTGGCAATCACAGTGGGGGTCTACTGTGAGTCGAGAGAGTTGAGGTGAGTCGAGTGAATACACTTAACTTAAACTGACTTTAGCCAGGTGCAGTGGCTCAAGCCTGTAATCCCAGCACTGTGGGAGGAGGCCAAGGCAGGAGAATCACTTGAGGCTAGGAGTTTGAGACCAGCCTGGACAACATAGTGAGACCCTATCCCTACAACAAATAAAATTTGAAAATTAACCAGGCATGGTGGCATGTACCTGTAGTCCCAGCTACTCAAGAAGCTGAGGCAAGAGGATTCCTTGAGCCCGGGAAGTCGAGGCTGCAGTGAGCTATGTTCTTGCCATTGTACTCCAACCTGGGTGACAGAGCAAGACCCTATCTCTAAAAAGGTAACAAATAAATAAAAACTTGGCCAGGTGCGTTGGCTCACGCCTGTAATCCCAACACTTTGGGAGCCCAAGGTGGACAGATCACCTGAGGCTGGGAGTTCGAGACCAGCCTGACTAACATGGAGAAACCCTGTCTCTACTAAAAATACAAAATTAGCCGGGCGTGGTGGCACATGCCTGTAATCCCAGCTACTCGGGAGGCTGAGGCAGGAGAATCACTTGAACCTGGGAGGCGGAGGTTGCAGTGAGCCTAGATCGAGCCATTGCCCTTCAGCCTGGGCAACAAGAGCGAAACTCCATCTCAAAAAAAAAAAAAAAAAAAAACTTGTAAAAGTTGAGATGAGGTGTGTTGAGGAGCTGGGTGGAGCTGAGCTGAGCATTCAACAGAGCAGGATTGACTTGAGCTGAGCTGAGGTGGGTGGGATTGCAGTGAGTGGCGCTGAGCTGAAGTAAACTGAGGTGAACTGAGGTCAGCTGAGCTGAGCGGAGGTGAGGTGAGTTAAGCAGAGTTAGTTGGGTTGAGTTGAGTCAGGTAGAGGTGAGTTTTCACCTGAACTGCGCTCTGCTGAGTGGAGGGGCGCAGGGCTGATGTCAGTCGTGCTGATGAGCTGGGTTGTGTCAAACTGAGCAAAGGAGGGTTGAGTGGAGACACATTAAGCTGAGTCGAGTTCAACTAAACACAATGAGTGGAGTTCTGTTGAGTTGAATTCAGTTGAGGTATTGCGTGGATTCAAATCAAGTTAAGGTGAGTTTATTTTTATTTATTTATTTATTTATTTTTGAGATGGAGTCTCGCTCTGTCACCCAGGCTGGAGTGCAGTGGAGCCACCTCTGCTCACTGCAACCTCCGCCTCCTGAGTTCAAGCGATTCTCCTGCCTCAGCCTCCCGAGTAGCTGGGATTACAGGCACCTGCCACCACACCCAGCTAATTTTTGTATTTTTAGTAGAGACAGGGTTTCACCATGCTGGCCAGGCTGGTCTTGAACTCCTGACCTCAAATGATCCACCTGCCTCGGCCTCCCAAAGTGCTGGGATTACAGGCATGAGCCACCGCACCCGGCCTATCTTCGCTTTATACATAAAAAAATTAAGATGTTTTTTACCCCATAAGAATTAATTTCCACCCCTGTGGGGGCAATGTCACCTCCACACACACACACCCAAATGCCCGAGAGAATGCCTAAGTCAGGCTGAGCAGAGGCAAGGAGAGGGATCCGTCTACAAAAAGGATCTGTTTTGACTTCCTGGAGGAGGCAGTCTCTGGCGTGGATTGTGATTACCACAAGGCTGAGGCCCAGGCCAAGGCCAGCCCAACCTCAGTTGGAGTTCTCCTTCCACCACGCCCTGTTTCCTTCTCCCCTCCTCCAGCCCCATTTCCTCACCTGTGAAATGAGATATAGTAACAGAAGAAACAACAAACGTACAGGCCCTGAAGCAGGTACCAGCTCGGCATATTGACTTTAGCTGAGGGAGGTTCCTGTGGTTGGAGGGGTGAAAGGGAGAGGAGGGGCGGTCAGTGGAGCTCCATCACGTCAAATCTTGCGGGACACGGGCAGGAGTTGAAGTCTATCCTGAGGACAATGGGGAGCTATGGGAGGATTCTGAGCAGGAGAAGGACGTGACGTGCATAAATGAAGCCTCTGGATGGACCCTGAATGGACTCCCCAGGGGCCCAGGACAGTGCACCTAGATGGCCGAGCTAATTGTCCATGCTCTGGCCACAGGGGGCAGAATCTGAGGCTCATGTTCACAGCCTCCTTTGTGGGAGACAGAACATCTGCCTCATACAGCAGAAAATTCTCCACACATAGGAAGGAGGTTCGGATTCTGGACAGTTGGAAGAAATGCCTCAAAACGCCCAACAGTAACAAGAAATAAACAATTGGACAGAGTGCTGTGGGGCTGGTTGGATAGAGGGAAAAAGGCCCAGGCCAGGCCTCTTGGGGTCTGCCCCAACCCCAAGACCCCAAGCCACCTCCCATACATACAAAGCCATGCCCTGGTCCCCAGTCTGGGGTGGCGGGCCCTGAACACTGCTGGGTCCCAGAACCTCATGCCAAGAGTTGCCTTCTTCACGGTATGTGTCACCTGCTTTCATTAACCACTAAAAGGGTGTTCCAGGCAGGGTGTGGAGGCTCACGCCTGTAATCCCAGCACTGTGGGAGGCCGAGGCAGGAGGATCACTGATCGAGACCAGCCCAGGCAGCATAGCAAGACCCTGTCTCTACAAAAAATTAAATTAAAAATTAGCCAGGCGGATGATGCAGTCTTGTCGTCCCAAGCTACTCGGGAGGCTGAGGTGGGAGGATCACTTGAGCCCAGGAAGTTGAGGAGGCAGTGAGCTGTGGTTGCGCCACTGCACTCCAGCCTGGGTGACAGAGTAAGACCCTCTTAAAAAAAAAGGCTGTTCCAGCAGCATGCACAGTGACACTCAAGGGGCCCCATGGGACACCCTCAACCCAGAGATTTCCCCTTTTGGAAAGACAAGCTCTACGGACAAGCAGACCCAGGTGCCCACCTAGGCTAGTGATGTCGCCTCTCTGAAACTGTTTCCTTACCGTGAAAGGGCCAGAGCCTTCCCCACCTTTCAATGGAAGAAAGTCACCTTCCCACCCAGGATGTCGGGGTGGCCTAACACTGGTCTTCAGAGTCACAAAGATCCTGATTTTATTCCCACTGTCCACACACCTGTTAGGTACCAGGAACCAAACTGGGTACTTTACATCTAGAGCTCTATATAATCCTCACGGCAGCCCATGGGGGCAGAGCCAGGACTCAGACCCAGGTCTGCCTGATATACAAACCCTTGCCTTAACCACTGGGCCATAGACCAGTGGATGCCAACCACTCCTTAGCGAGTGCCTACCGTGTGCCCAGCACTGTGCTGAGCAATCTACAGGAATTTCATGCCTCATCCTCACCACAAACCTCATGAAGTGAAACCATCTCCAAGTCCAGGTGAGAACACTGAGGCTCAAACAGGCGAGGAGCTTGCTCAAGAACAGGGAGATGCAGAACACTGAAATGTACACCCAGGTCTGTCTGAAGCTAAAATTCCAGTGCTTTCTACTATGCCACTAGTAAGAATGAAAATAGCTAGCATGTATTGTGCACCAGCTATATGCCTGGCCCTGCTCTATATACTTCATCTGCATCATCTCTCAGTCATCACCACACCCTGTGAGGGGGATGTAAATATTATCATCTCCATTTTCTTTTCTTTTTTTTTTTTTTTTTTTGAGACAGAGTCTTAGTCTGTCACCCAGGCTGGACTGCAGTGGCGTGATCTCGGCTCACTGCAACCTCTGCCTCCTGGGTTCAAGTGATTCTTGTGCCTCAGCCACCCGAGAAGCTGGGACTACAGGTGTGTACCACCATGCCCAGCTAATTTTTGTATTTAGTAGAGATGGGGTTTCACCATATTGGCCAGGCTGGTCTCGAACTCCTGGCCTCAGGTGATCTGGCCACCTCAGCCTTCCAAAGTGCTGGGATTACAGGCGTGAGCCACCATGCCCAGCCAATCATCTCCATTTTCAAAATGAGGAAACTGAGGTTCAGAGAGGGACATGAACCTGACCAAGTTCACACAGTGGGAAAGGTGCAGAGCTGAGATTCAAGCCCAGGGTAGCTGGCCCCAGCACCCATGTCCTTCATCTCCCATCTACAAACCTGGCTCCAGACACACCTCCTCCATGAAGCCTCTCAAGACTCATCCCTGTCTCTGCCACCCCATCCCCGCCTCTGCCACCCCATCCCCATTACTGCACATCCCCATAGGCTTTTCCATGTTTGTGTTTGCCATGGGCTGCAAGCAACGTCATTCCCAGAATATTTACTTTGACCTCCCCTAGTCTACCCACCAGCCTATACCCAGACAAGGGGCCCTGGACCAGCCAGAGCCCTGCCTGCTCCCTGATGATTAATTAAACCCCCAACCTTGACCATGTCTGCCATCCAGGCCTCGTGCTCAGTGACCTCAGCCTGGCGTGGTGAGAGTGGGAGGGATGGGGAAGCGGTGGAGACGGTTCTGTGGGATGGTGGGGTCTCCCCTGCCACCCACCTGCTCCCTAGGAGGAGCTTTAGCAATCAGAAAAGGCAGTGGTTTTACCAAGAAAAGGAGGAAGAAAACACAGGCAGAGGGCAAGAAGCTCATGGCATGAGTGACTCAACACCCAGTGGGCGGGGGGAGAACTGGAGGGTGGACTCCAAGGAGCTTCTGGCCTAAGGCGGGGTCGGCAGCCCAGGACGGGGGCCAGTGGCAGAAGGACCCAGGAAGGAGCTTGGCAGGGAAGAGGGATGCACGTGATTCGAACATCTGTGTGCCGGCTCAGACCTCCCTGCCACCCCCAGCAGCCCTGAGAGGCAAGGGGCCGCATTCCCATTAAATGGAGCAAAACACTGAGGCTCAGAAAGCAAAGTGACTTGCCCCAGGTCACACGGCATCTAAGTGGTGGAGCAGGCATTGGAACCCATGTCAATGGCTCAGAGAAGGAGTTAAAAACACAGACTTTATAGTCAGACCTGGATTCCAAGCCAGGCTCTTCCACTTGTAACCATGTGACCTTGAGCATGTCACCACTCCCTGGCCTCAGTTTCTCTGTCTGCACAATGGGCATAGCCACATGCCAACCTCATAGATCTTTGAGTGGACTCTATGAGCAGCACAGAGACTGTCTTAAATCAGAGAGGGCCATTGTGGGACTGATAGCATGGGCCCAGCTGGAATGACCCCATTACCAGGGGGTTCAATTCCTTGCAGAATCGATGTTCCAGCCATAAAACTTCTTCTTATTTTGAACTAAATAAAACCTGCCTCTCCTGGGGACCATCCAGACTGGCCTTGGAAGACCTCCCTGCCCTGTAAGGTGGAATGAGGCCTCTGACATTGCACAGAGTGTTCATTCTCTTGAAAAGCCCTTGCTGAGCTCCTACTGTGTGCAAAGCAGTGGTCTAGGCACTGAGGACACAGAAGTAAACAAGACCGACAAGGTCCCTGTTATCATAGGGCTGATGTTCTAAGGAGAGGAAACAAACATTACATGTGTAAACCCCTAAGAAACATAACAATTAGATAATCATTTGTTGAGGAAATCTAAGTATCAGAAGCATCTAAACAACAGAGAACATGTAGAATATATTTTTCTGATTTTTTTTTTTTTGAGACAGAATCTTGTTCTGTTGCCCAGGCTGGAGTGCAATGGCACGATCTCCACTCACTGCAACCTCCACCTCCGGGGTGCAAGTGATTCTCCTGCCTCAGCCTCCTGAGTAGCTGGGATTACAGGTGCCTGCCACCATGCCCAGCTAATTTTTGTATTTTTAGTAGAGACAGGGTTTCGCTATGTTGGCCAGGCTGGTCTTGAACTCATGACCCAGGTGATCCACCCACCTCGGCTTCCCAAAATGCTGGGATTACAAGTGTGAGCCACTGTGTCTGGCCTGATCATCTGTTTTTTACATGACACCATTATATAAATCAGATGATGTTCTTTCCTGGTTTAAAACCCTCTCATGGCTCCCACTGTCTTCTAGATCAAATATAAATGCCTTAATACACCACTAAGGGTCTGTATGTTCCAAGTCCCGTGGATCTATCTGACCTCACCCCTTCACCCATTCTACTCCAGCCACATGGGCCTCCTCAGTGTTCCTTGGACATGCCAAGATCTTTTAGTCCTCATAGCCATCGCACATGTTGTTCTTCCACCTGATGCTCTTCCTCACACTCTCCAACTGGACAACGCCCCCTCAAGACAGTCCCATCTGGGTCCTGTCTTGCCTATCAGCTTGGCTCATTTGGCATTCTTCCCTGAGTCCCTGCGAAAATCCACGCAAAATGGAAAGAAAAATAGTCAGGAAAGATCATGAGTCATTTGTTTACAGGCACTAATTAATTGCTAAGCTCGAAAACTTGATTTCCATTCTTCCTTTTTTCCCCTCTCTGCCCTTTGAGAATGTTTGGAATCCACATTGTTTCCCAATGCAAAAAGTATGTCAGTTTATTTTTAGCAAATGCACATGATGGCTGGGACTGTTATTCATCCCCCCGCGTCAGTGGGGAGCTGGCCACGGAGCATGTGGGCTGCTTGATGCTCTTCAGATGTGGCTCCTGGAAGGCCAGCTGGTCTGCAATGGCCCAAGCTGGGTCCAGCATTGAGGCACTGGGGACAGAGGTTCCAGGCTGCACTTTCTCCTCCGGGCCAGGGGTGGTGCAGTGGAGTGGGAGGCAAGAGGACAAACACTTCCTCCCAGACTGGCTGAGCAAAGCCCTTTCTCCTGGACTAGTAGGTGGGCAGCTTGGGTATTTCAGCATCTTGCCCTCCACTTCTTGTCTTAGAAGGACCTAATTGATTCACCCTTGGTTCAACCAGGATGGGAAAGTCCCCATGCTCTGTCTAGCTGATGCCACTGTGCCTTCTCTGTTCCCCTCCTGTCCCCCACCACCCCCACCTGCGACCCCTCTGAGCCCACCTTGCTCATCCTTCCTGCTCTCTGGGAGCCCAGGTAGGAGATTAGGGACATCCCCCTCTAGTAAGAACACTTGCCAAGAGCTTCCTTCCAAGATGGCTGCTTCCACTCCCCTTGCACCTTTCAGAGTCCATTCTCTGGCCTGGATGGGGCCCAGAAGCTATGGGGAATCTGCTTCCACCTACTCTGAGGGATCATAAAGGACCTGTCTCTAACAGATCCTATTGCCTCCAGCAATAAGGGTGGATGGTATGCCTGTGGAACAACAGACTGTCACCCCCCAGAAGGCAAGAACTATATCTGTTGTGGTCTTTGTCTCCAGGGCTTAGTACACAGTGGGAGCTCAATAAAGACCTGTTGAATGATTGTGACCTGAGTTCCAGCTCGCTGTGCAATGACCATTGTCACTTGCCTCTTCTGAGCCTCACTGTCCCATCTTGCCAAGGGGTAACTGATTGTTAAAGCCCAGAGCAGGGATTGCAAACTCAACTGCCTACAAGATCGGGCAGGGACATAAAAGTGAAACTGGCAGGAGACAACTGTGGTCATGTCCTGTCTAGAGGGGACAGCCACTCCCCAGCCCCAGCACCCAGGACTATGAACCCGAGTCCCTGCATCTTCCCATTTCCCAAGAGAAGCCGGGAATCTGGATGTTTGTGTACGACATTCTGATTTTTCATAGTTGGCAACTCATTTTAACTTGCAGCAAAAGCACCATGCAGGCCAAACCCAACACATCTCGAGGCCGGCCCGGCCCACAGGCCGCCGGTTTGAGCCCTTGGTGGTTGGCGTTTGTGGCTTACCAGGCCTTGGAGCAGGCCTGTCACGCCCAAGACTGGGACAGGAGGTTGGGATGAAGAAGGCAGAACCAGCCTCGCCCCATGTGGGAGTAGCTATTATCCCAGCTTATGGGAGGGCCAGGCCGGACTCGTCGGTGCTGGGACTGCAAGCATCGCCTGCAGAGCTTGCCTTCCACTTAATTAAGGAAGCCGATAGTCATCTAGGTGGAGCGTGGAGATAGGTCGAGAATGAATTAGCAAACTGCAGCCAGCCGATTGTATCTATTGTACAAAACCCAGATATAATATCAGATTAGGACACTTTGTGTGCGTATTATAACACCATATCA
This sequence comes from Homo sapiens, assembly GCF_000001405.40. Taxonomy (NCBI): domain Eukaryota; kingdom Metazoa; phylum Chordata; class Mammalia; order Primates; family Hominidae; genus Homo; species Homo sapiens. Next base: position 50,223,231 of record NC_000020.11, on the reverse strand, counting down.
TTATGGGATGTGTTATAATTAAGGCCCAAGTGGGTCCCCATCTCCCCCGTGACTTCGCAGGTCCGAGCACAGCATCTCCTCCTAACACCCTCCCAGCCAGAACTAGCCCGGCAGATGGGGCATCCGATGCAAACCCTGATCAACCTGCCATGAAACACTTCCCATGGGGTGCCGGGTCCTGCACTGGACACTCAGGGGGATGACAGTGGGGCCAACAGAGGACACCCTGTTCTCAGAGAGCTCCATTCTCGGGGGAGGAGGGGCCCATGAAAAATACAGAAGCAAAACAAGTTGAGACTGTGGGAAGTGTGGGGCGAGGGGACTGGAGAGCATGGGTGTGGGTTGGGCAGTCGGAGCTACTTGACAGGGTGGTCAGGGAAGCCGTCTCCACAGCAGCCTGTTCTGGGCACCAGCCTCGAGCCATCAGCCAGAGAAAGGACACTTGTGATGTTTGCTGAAGCATCATCTGGGCCAACAGCCACCCCTCCTGCGCGCCCATTCACTGATTGAACAAATCTCTGTGGAGCCCCTACTGTGTGCGGGGCCCTGTGCTGAGTGCTCAGAAAGCATCGTGATCACCACAGACAGCAGTCCCTGCAGTGTGGAAGGTGACATACTAAAGAGATAGACAGGCATTGACCAAACAAATAACAGATGTATAACATGATGGCAAGTAGGGAAGAAAGATGAAAGGGCTGGAGTGATGGTGGAGGTGACAGTTCAGCAGGTAGCCGGGGAAGGCTTCCCTGAGGAGGTGACATTGCGATGAGATCTGAATAAAGTGGCACATCCAGCTGGGGGAAAGAGCTGAAGGAACTGCATTCCAGGCAGCAGGAACAGCAAGTGCAAAGGCCCTAGTTAGGTCATGCCCAGTGTGTTGGAGGAATAGCAAGGGGCCCGGTGTGGCTGGAGTGAGTGAGCAAGTAAGAAAGGAGGGAGGATGAGGTCAGAAAGGCCATGGGGGCCAGATCAGACAGGGCCCTGTGATCCTGGGAAAGACCTCAGGTTTTGCTCTGCAGCTGGAGCCAAGGAAGGTTCTAAACAGAGGAAAGATGGGATCTGAGTGGGGTTCTAACAGCATCCCTTTGGCTGCACGGGGGAAGTGGGGCGTGACGATGACAGCAGTGAAAGCAGCAAGGAGGCTACTGCAGGAGAGAGAATGGTGGCCTTGAATTCAGCTGTGGAAGCGGAGGGGAAAACCTACGCAGGTTCTGGATGTTTTAAAGGTGGCGCTGACAGGATTTCCTGGCCAGTTATCGAATGCAGGGCAAGAGAGGAAATGAAGGGACAACCCGAGGTTTGGGCCTGAGCACCCAGAAGGATGGAGCTGCCATTTCCTAAGAATCAGGGACTATGACGGCCCCAGTGCTGGGGTCTGTCGTCCGCATTCCCTGCAAGCTCCCTGCTGACCCCCACCCCATTCTCTCTCGGGTCAGGGCCATGGAGGGAGAGAGTGAGCAGTCGGCCCTACCCAGGCTTCCGGGCAGGAAAGAGGCACCCAGGGCCTGGCCACAGGATGACACAACCCTTAATAATTTCTCCGCTGAGTTTTGCAATGGGCACCCTTTATCGACAGGCAAAGGGTGAGGGATTTTGCAACTGCCCCAACTGGTGGTTGTAGCTGATGTCAGGCCAGAGGGCTATCAGGCCAGGCTATGGGCATCTTCTCAACCCATGAGGATTGAGTCGCAAACAGGCCATCCAGGCCTGAGCCATCGTGGGTGGTATAGAGGGCCTCAGGGCCCACAGGGTTCAAACCTCAGACCCTCCACCTGGCCAATGACTTTGGGCAAGTCCCTTCCCCTCCCTGGACCTCAGCTCTTTCCCTTAAAAAAAAAATAAAAAAAATAAGGAGAGCCATTAAAGGAATTATTTTAAATTACTTAAAAGCTTGTATCCAATGGCCCGGTTAACGTTCATCCAGTGCTTCCTGTGTACCCGGCCCTGTGCTAAGAACCCTCTGGCAGCACCTCATCCGATCCCCATGTCACCCTTAAACTTATTTCCCCACTTTACAAATGGGGAAACTGATGCTTAGGAGGAGGAAATGACTGCCTAGGTCCCCCAGCCTGTCAGGGATGGAGCGGGGACTCGGACCCAGACCTTTCCGACCCCAAAGCCTACACCCCGTTGTTAGGAAGTCGCTGCCACGCTGAGATGTAGTTTCCTCGTTTGTAAATGGGAAGTCCAAACTAAATAGAAATTAAGCAGCACCACCCTGGTGGGGTTGGTGCCTGGCACCTGGGGAGCATTCAAACCCAGCAGCCATTCTTATGACCAGAACACTCGTCACTGGCACACAGAGCTGGCGGCCAGCACCACCCCTAAGGGTACCCCCATGCCCCACCCTCACCCCTCCTGGCCCCACACTGGCCCTGTGGGGCACAGACAGGACACAGGCTTTAGAAACATGCACTCCGTGGTCCAGATCCCCCTTCCACCCTCTCGCCATGCCCCTGGGCACTGCCTCCCCCTTCCACTGGGGGTGACAATTCCCTTCCACCACACAAGGCTGTTTCTGGGTCACAGGAGGCCACAGGTCCATGTTAGGCCCAGTGTGTGGACACAGCTCCATTTGACACAGGAGGATCCAAGGCCCAGTCTGGAAAAGGGGCTTGCCTGGGACTTTCAGCCAAAGAGAACGAGGTGCGGTCACCACGCCCACTGGAAGAGGGCCTCTGCCTGCTCCAGGCCTGATGCAAAAGCTTGCCCGGCAAAGCCTCTGTCTCTGGGTCTCTCCCCTCTTTATTTCTCAGCCTCTCTCTTTCCCTCTGTGTCTCTCACATCAGTTCTTTCAGGGTGTCTCTCTGTGTCTCTCCATCTCACCCCCATGTCTCCCTGTCTCACTATCTGTACCTCTGGCCTAGGTGGTGTCTTCCCCACACACTCATCTGCTGGGCTCACCACCTCCTCTGCATTCCTGGCTCTGTAAATGTTTACTGAGGTGAAGGTGTCTGGCCGCCTCATTTGCTTGAAACCCTCACCCAGCACCGCCCCCTTCTCACCTCCACCACCCAAGGGCTCCCCAGGGAGGAAGGACAGGTGGGGGACCCACAGCCCTAGGAATAGTCAAAATGACCCAAGTTCAGGGGTCTGCGCTCGTAGGCAGCCAGATCCCCGCTCAGTGGGTGTGGGTGGACTCCACCCACGACATTCGAGGCACAGATGCTGATTAGGTCCCCTTCCCCACTTGCAGCAATTGGCAGAGGCTGGACATGGAATGCATCTGTGGCCAGTGAGATGGGGAAGTCTGCCAAGGGGCTTCTGGGAATGGTTTCTTCATTCTTAACAGGACATGTGAGGGCCTTTCCTGCTTGGCTGTATGAGGAAGAGATGGCAGGAGCTTTGGCAGCCATCGTGGCACCATGAGGAGCTGGGCTGAGTGGAGACGGCAGAACCATGAGATAGGAAGAAACTGGGGCCTTGATAGTGCCCAGCTCTGACTCACCCAGCTATGATTCATTCAGTCATTCAACAAATATGGATTGAGCACCTACTATGTGCCAAGCCCACGATGGGCGCTGGGAACACAGAAGGAACATGATCCCTGCCTTACATTCTGGGGTGGGGGACAGATTTCAATCAAATAATCATCCAAGCAAGTGTAAAAACACAGCCATAGTCAGGGCTGCAAGGAGAGATCCATGGAGAAGAGACCAGAAAGGGGGACAGGGAGGGCAGGGAAGGCATCTTAGGTCAGGTTGCCCAGAAGAGGAGCCTGACTTGGGGACTGGCATGCACGTGATTCACTGAGGACATGCTTTTGGGAGAAGGGTGCGAGAAGCAGGACAGGGCAAGGTGGGAGCTAAGCCAGGATATGGCCTCCGCTGAGTCTCACTTGGCCTGATCCCCCGGGGAGCTCTGGAACGTGAATTGCACCACCACACTCCTCCCACCTCAAAGTAAGAGGCCTGAGTCCTGGTCTCATTGGTCACTGGCTGTGTCCACCTCTGTTTGGGGGATGGGAGGCAGCTCCTGCTCAGCGAGGCAGGACTCCAGCTTTAAGGGGCCCCAGCTGGGAGCCCACAGCAGCCAACACTGTGTGGCAGCAGGAAGATGCATGCAGATCCCACCAAAGAGGCTCTGGGGAATCCCCACAGCACCTGCTACCAGAGGTCCACCTGATCTGAGATCTGGCATTAACTAGGTGAAGAGGAGAAACGAAAGTGTTCCAGTAGAGAAAGCAAAGTGTGCCAAGGCCCTGTGGCAGGTGGGAGCTGGGTGCAATGGAAAGAAAACCAAGGTGGCTCTAGCAGGGCAAGTGACAGTGAGAGTGGCCAGAGATCAGGGGAGGGGGCCGCCACTGTGCAGCACCTGTGGGTCTGGATAAGGAGGCCAATCTTTATTCTGAAGGCAGTAGGAGCCCTGGAGGCTGTGGAGCAGGGGAGGAGCGTGACCCAGCTCATGTTTTTTTGTTTGTTTGTTTGTTTAGATAAGTTCTCGCTCTGTCCCCCAGGCTGGAGTGCAGTGGCACAATCTCGGCTCACTGCAACCTCTGCCTCCTGGGTTCAAGCAATTCTCATGCCTCAGCCTCCCAAGTAGCTGGGATTACAGGCGTGTGCCATCACACCCATCTAATTCTTGTAGTTTTAATAGAGATGGGGTTTCACCATCTTGGCCAGGCTGGTCTCGAACTCCTGGCCTCAGGTGATCTGCCTGCCTCAGCCTCCCGAAGTGTTGGGATTACAGGCATGAGCCACTGCGCTCAGCCAGCCCGTGTTTCTTAGACTCTGTCTGGCAGCATGTGGAGAATAGATGTAGGGCTGAGACTAAGAGCAGGAGAGCAGTCGGAGGCTGCTGCACTCACTCGGGTTAATCACCCAGGCCAGGTGGGGCAGGAGGCACAGAGAGGTGGAGACAGGGTGAGACAAGACTTTAGGAGGCAATAATAGTGGCAGTGATCAATTGCCTTCTGTGAGCTCAGGACAGTATCCCCGTGAAGTAGAAACTCTTATTGTACCTGCTTCACAAGAAGGAAACTGAGGCACCATGGGATCAGTGCCCTAGAAACGGCTCAAGGCCTCACTTGCCAACTCTTTCCACCATGCTACGAGGACACTTCCACACCTGCCTCATTGGGCCCCAGGACACTGGTAAACCTCAGGCATTCAGGGAACTTGGGGCAGGTCAGTCACCCTGGACTGTCTGTGCCCCCCAGCTGGGGACACGTGGGGATCCCCTCATGTGTCACCAACCACTTTCTCACTTCACCCCCCCTTGAGAAGCACTGTTATTTTTCCTCCAAGGTCTCCCAACCAGAGACCCCATTTCTACCCAGTTTTTTGCTTTCCCATGTGGGGTGGGACCCTACTCTGTGTGACCTGGAGACCCAGAGAGAGACAAGGACTTCCCTGAGGCCACCTAGCGCGTCCCTAGCACGGGCACTTGCAGCTGAGGCAAGGCCACCTTGGACCAATGCTGTTATCTGCAGCTGAAGACAAGAGGCACAGTGGGACACTTAGGGACCCTGAGGCGGCGGCCTGTGGTCCCAGCCCTGCGTGGAGACGTGGGCCATGCCCAGCCAGGAGATAATCTCAACCAGATTCTGGCCAGTGATTCCTTGCGACATCACAGCCAGGGCCACCTGGTGGAGTCTCAAGACGCAGGAGCTTATGGGGCTGGGGCTGGGGCTGGGGCAGTGGGAGGGGCACAGGGGAAGCCCAGGGCTCAGTAGGGTCCCTTCATAACGTAGAAGGAGTCCACACTGCAAGAAATGTCCAGTCCACTTCCTTGGTGGTCAGTAGCTCACTGGTGGAGTACCTGCTGCATGTCAGGTCCTAGGGGACACCACGGTGACTAAGCAGACCCGGAGTCTGCCCTCATGGAGCTGCCACTCCATGGGTGGAGGAAGCAGACATTGAATGAGGAATGCCACTATGAGAACAGAGAGCGCTGAGCCCTGGGAAGCAGGGGGTGGGAGCTACGTGGTGCATCCAGGGAGACCAGGCAAGCCAGGAATCAGGGGCCTCCCCAGTGAGGTGATGTATAGCTGAGGCCTGAGAGCTCTTGGATGAGGGGGCATGCTGGGGGACACAGCATATGCAAAGGTTCTGAGGTGGGCCAAGTATGGAATGTTCCAGAAATAGAAATAAGTCAGAGTGATGAGGCAGGATCAAGAGCTCATCACCAGCCTCCCCTAGGCTGAGGAGAGGCAGGTGGATTTCAGTTTAAGGGCCATGGGGAGCCACTGAAGGCTTCAGGCAGGGGCTGGGGTGGACATGGTCAGAATGGAGTCCAGTGGGTCACTTTGGCTGCTACACAGGATGGCCTGGAGAGGACTGAGAGACTGCAAGCCCTAAGACCCAAAGATCCAGGCTTCCTAAATCTCCCACTCCAATACTCAGGGTTCTAGGAGCCAGCAGACCTACTGGGCCAATCCCAGGCACCCTCATGGCCCCCAGGCTGCCTGCCCCAACCAGGACCTCCTAAGGAACATTCCAAGCTGCGATTATCTCGGTGCCTAACACTAATTAGCTCGACTGCACTTTAGACCCTCCCAGCTCTGCTCTGGGAGGGCCCCCTGGAGAGGCAGCTGCCAGGTTCACATCCCCAGGGAGGCCTGGAGGGGCAAGAAGTGAGAGGCCCCGGAGGATTCCCAGGAGCACTCAGACCTGCAGCTGGAGCTCAGAGGTGTGGGAGATGTCCTGATGGGGGGGCTCCAGCTCCCTGCACCCCTGTCCCATGGTCAGTGGGTGCATGGACATCCCCACCCCACCCCCCAGTGCCCCCATGCCTCGTCCAGTCCCAGGCACCTGGCCAGAGGCAACCTTGCCCCCACCCCCACCCGAGCTCCACTGCCCCCTTCCTCCTGACTCTGAATCTTTGTCTCTCTCAGCCTGAATCTCTGCTTCTGAATGTCTCCCTCTGTCTCTTTCCTTTCTTGTCTCTCCCTTTCTCTGTATCGCCCTCGTTACCTGTCTCTTTCTCTTTCTCTCTCTCTCTCTCTCTGGTCCCAGCCTCCCAGGGGCGTGGGGTGGGAGTGAGTGTCCCCACAGCCTCCAGGCTGGGGAGTGAAGATGGTGCCTGCACAGACTGCTCCCAACCTGCCGGTTTTTCCAGCTCAGCCCCACCCTGGACCGGGCCACCCCCTCCCCGGGGACCCACCCTCCCTGGGCCAAGTGGGGCTGCTAGAAGGTGAGGCCTGACCAGGAGCCTCCTGGGAAACAGAAGCCAAAACAGGAGCAGAGTGTCTGGGCCCTGCACGCCAGCCCAGCCCCACACTGCAAACACAGCCCCATTTACACACGGGGAAACCAGGCTCAAAGAGTGCTCACCACCGGCTTAGGGGTAGCCACGCTGCTGATCACAGGCAGAATTTGAACCTAGGACTCCGGCAGGGATTCAGAAAATGCCATCATTCTCCCTCCCACCCCCAGCCCCCCAGTTTCCCTCCCCAGGGACCACCCTGGTCTCAGATTCTTGTGTGTTCTTCCAGAATTGTCCACGAATACCCACACTTCTCTTCTTGCATGTATGTTTTAACACAAGTGGTGAAACAATAGGCACCGTTTGCACCTGCTGTTTCATGTAAGGATGTCTTGGAGATCGTGTCTTATCAGAACCTTTTCCCTTATTTGTAATGCCTGCAGGATCCCCCAAGGAGTGGAGCGGACTGGCCTCATGGCACTTAACCGGCCCCACTCATGAACACTGCAGTTGTTTCCAGTCTTGTTTTAATACATAAAATCTCACATTAAACACAGAAAGTGTCCTTGCAACCATCCACCCACCCCATGTCCCCTACATGCATGCAAACGTGCTCACACACATGCACACACGCACTCACATGGTGCTGCTGAACTATAGGATCCAGCAGTCCTAGAAGGTGTCGGTGAATCTTAACCAGAAATAAGTTCAGAACGATGAGGCAGGCTTGTTAACAGTGCAGATTTCTGGGACTGCTCCAAACCACTGGAAGCAGAGGCTTCACTGGAGGAACCCTGGAGAGGAAAGACTCAGAGGAGGAAGCTGTGGCAAAATGGTGAACAGTCAGGCTAAGTGTTCAAGCTGTGCCCCTGGCTTGCAGGACTCCCGGGGGCTGCCCAGGGCTGGGCCCTGCCCCCCATCTCCTCTGCAGCTCCCTTTCACTCTGTTCTTGCAGTGAGGCTTCAGAAACATCCAGGGATTGAATAAAAGGGGATCTATCCAATACAATAAAAGGAATAATGAAGTTGAAAAACCAATAATGGGGAAGCAGAGGCAAAGAGCAACAATAGAACAAGTCCAGGTTTCCACAGACCTTGTTATTACTCAGTAGCAAGACTGGACTCGAACCCCCATCTTCTAACTCTTGGGCCAGAAGTTTTCTACTGAATTCTACCCCACCCTGGTCCAGGCTCCTGTCAGCTACTGGTCCATTTATCTATCCACCCACCCAATTTTCCACCCACCCACCTACCCACCCATCCATCTCTCCTCCATCTCAGTGCTGCTCACATCACCACCCAGCCATCCAACCATCCATCCGTCTACCCATCTCTCTGCTCGTAGACAAAATCACCCACCCTTCACCCTCCATCCAGTAGTCACTGAGCACCTGCTATGTGCCCAGTGCCATTCTAAGAGCTGAGGACACAGCCACCCATACAACAGATGGGTTCCTGTCCAGGGAACTTAGCACCTATGGGAGAGACAGACCACAGATTGTAATCACACATAAACAGAGCCCAAATGGGGGTCCTGCCTGTGGACCACACACAGAGATTGAGGGGAGCTGGTGGGGAGCCCGGAAAGGCCTGCCCTCCCAGTCGGGACACTGTGTGCCTGCCCCCAACCAGTTCCTCCTCCCATTCGCCTGCCCACCACCTCCCCACCTCCAGCTCATCTGAGGTCACTGAGCCCTCCATGGGGCGAGTCCCAAGTAGGCAGGTCCCCTCAGGTATCACCCAACCCACCAGGAATCCCATTAAAACTTAGCAGGTCACTCCAGCCAGGTGTGGTGGCTCATATCTGTAATCCCAGCACTTCGGAAGGTCAAGGCAGGAGGATCGATCACTTGAGCCCAGGAGGTAGAGGCTTCAATGTGCTATGATTGTGCCTCTGCACTCCAGCCTAAGTGACATAGCAAGGCCCTGTGTCAAAAAAAAAGCTTAGCGGTCACTCATCCAAAACCCACACATACTCTGCTACTTATTGAGTGCTTACTGTGTACCAGACCACAGGCTGCATACTTTCCACCAACTGCTTCATTTTGTTCTCTCCTCCCCTTGGCCGACATCACCCACCCTGTAACCCTAGGAGGAAGAAGTCAGGCATATCCCCGCCCTGCTCAGAACCCCACCCACCCCTGCCACACACACACACCACCTCCCAGCTCCCATCCTACTTCTCTCCCCATCACTCACAATGGCACCTCCCCTACTGGCCTCCTTGCGGTCCCTTGAACATAGACAGCATGGTCCCATCTCAGAGCCTTTGCACTTGCCATGCCATTCCCTCTTTCCCCAGAGACCTCATGGCTCCCCCGCCCCACCCCACCCAATAGCACCTTCCCTCAGCCAGGCATTCCCTGACCTCTGTGGTTAAGTGAAACATCCTTCTCTTCCTCACACTCACGCACTCTCTCTCTGATTCTCTCCCTCTTGCATGCACACACACAAACACACACACACTCTCCTCTCCCTCCCCTTCTTTATTTTCCTCCCTAGCACTCATCATCGGACCACCTGTATCCCCCACCCCAATAATGGACCCGCCATGAAGGTGGGGCTTGGGGCCGCCTTATTCTCTTCTGTATCCCCGGGCTTAGCACAGCACCTGGTGTGTGGTGTGTGCTCATCAAAGTCATTCCTGGAGCACATCTTTGAGAGTCTTTTGTGTGCCAGGCTGTGAGTTGCAGACACAGCACAGAACAAGATGGAAACATCGTGGCAAGTAGGATCAGAGGCCCTGGGTCTAGGAACCTTACCCAGCCACTTCCCGGTTGTGGAACCTCAGGAAAATATCGGAGGCCTGAGGGGTAGCTGATCCCACCGGCCAGCTAGACCCTCCCAACATCCTTGTGACATCCACAGTGTGATAATTCTCTGGAAAGTGCTGGGCTCAGTGCGTGTTGCTACCTTATGGTTGATTGTCCATGCTCTTACCGGTTTCACAAGCAAACTCCAATTGACCAAAAATCACCCCAGTGGAACCCCTCAATTAACCAAATTGGGGTTTGGGGGAGGAGGGTTTTTTTTGTTTTTCTTCCCCTTTGCTTCCGTCAGTCCATTTACTAGCTGTTTATTTACCGGGCACCAAGTGTGTGAACATCATGGAGTCCCCGCTTACAGAAAGGTCTCAGAGTCAAGGAAAGAGATGGACTAGAAATATGGGGCAGAGGCAAAGTCACAGGAGACGTCCTTATCAAGTGGGAAGACCTTGCCACCTTCCAAAGGAGGAAACTGGCAAACGCACCATGTGGACGGCTCTCAAGAACATCACGGAAGGACAGGAACAAGTCCCATTGAGATGGCTGGTGTGAGGTCGCCAAGGCATTAAAAAGAACGATCATCCGGAAATGCAAATGAAACCACAATGAGATATTACTACACACATGGCCAAATAGCTCATATTAAAAAGACTGACCTCTCCAGGTGTACTCAGAATCAAGGGATGGGGCCAGGCATGGTGGCTTACGCCTGTAATCCCAGCACTTTGGGAGGCTGAGGCAGGCAGATCACTTGAAGTCAGGAGTTCGAGACCAGCCCGGATACCTGGCAAAACCCCATCTCTTCTAAAAATACAACAACAAAAAAATTAGCCGGGTGTGGTGACACACACCTGTAGTCCCAGGTACTCAGAAGGCTGAGGCAGGAGAATCGCTTGAACCCAGGAGGCGGAGGTTGCAGTGAGCTGAGATGGTGCCACCTCACTCCAGCCTGAGCAACAGAGTAAGACTCCATCTGAAAAAAAAAAAAAAAAAAAAAAAAGGAGCGAGATGGGCCAGAAATATGGAGGACAGCAGTAGCGAAATGCTTTGGAAACTGTTTGGAAATATGCAGAAACTCAACACACGTGAATGATGTGTCCAGTGATGATGCCTCGGGTATAAACTTGATAGAAACAAGAGCTGGCATCCACCAAATGACACAAACAAGAGCTGGGTGCAGTGGCTCATAGCCATGATCCCAGCTACTCGGGAGGCTGAGATGAGAGGATCACTTGAGCCCAGGAGTTCAAGGCTGCAGTGAGCTGTGATAGCACCAATGCACTCCAGCCTTGGCAACAAAGCAGGATCCCAACTCGTAAAATAAAATAAAAAAAAGAAAAAGAAAAAAGACACAAAGAAGAATGTCCATGGCAGCTTTATTCACAACAACCAAAACCTTGAAATAACCCAACTGTCTACCAACAGTAGACTGGACTATGGTATAGTCACACAGTGGACAGTGGAACACAACACAGTAGTGAGAATGAAGCTGTACAGTACTGCATAGAGGAACTTTAAAAGTTTAACTGAGCAAAAGAAGCCAGACACAAAAGCAAATACTCTGAATGATTCCATTGATATGAAGTTGTAGAACAGGCAAAACAATGTAATCTGTTAGAAGTCAGGAGAGCAGTTGTCCTAGACAGAAACATTTTTCAGTGATTAAAAATGTTTGTTCTGTTTCAGGCCAGGTGTGGTAGTTCACACCTGTAATACCAGCACTTTGGGAGGCCAAGGCAGGTGGATCATCTGAAGTTAGGAGTTCAAGACCAGCCTGGCCAACATGGTGAAACCCTGTCTCTACTAAAAATACAAAAATTAGCCGGGCAGTAGTGGTGCACACCTGTAATCCCAGCTACTCAGGGGGCTGAGGCAGGAGAATCGCTTGAGCCTGCGAGACAGAGGTTGTGGTGAGCCGAGATCTCGCCACTGCACTCCAGTCTACAGTGACAGAGTGAGACCCTGTCTCAAAAAAAAAAAAAAAGTTCTGCTTTTTTATCCAAGTGCTGCTCACACTGGTGTGTTCAGGTGGTAAAAATGTATCTTCTGTACCCTGCTTAGACTTCTGTAAAAGTTCACATTTTAAAAGATATAACAGAAAGAAAGGAAGGAAGGAAAAGCCACATTCACACAGAGATGAAAGAAATGCATACACAAAGATCTGGAAGTTCAAACCCCAAAATTATAAAACCACGCTGACAGAGTGAAAAGGAGCCAGCCCTGGCCAGATGGTCCAGAACTGACTTCAGCTTGATTGGAAATGTTATCATGTGTTAAGAGAATGGATACCTGTATTACTATTATCAATTTAAATCAAAATTTCTTAGTAAAAAGGCAAAAAGACAGCCAGCCACGGTGGTTCACGCCTATAATCCCAGCACTTTGGGATCAAGCAGGAGGATCACTTGAGCCCAGGGGTTTGAGGCTGCAAAGAGCTATGATTGTGCCACTGTACTCCAGCCTGGGCAACATAGCAAGACTCAGTCTCTTTATTTATTTATTTATTTATTTATTAAGTTCCGGGGTACATGAGCAGGATGTGCAGGTTTGTTACATAGGTAAACATGTGCCATGGTGGTTTGCTGCACCCATCAACCCATCACCTGGGTTGGATGTATTAGCTCTTTCCTCTAATGCCCTGTCTCCTTGTGTCTTAAAAAATTTTTTTAATAAAAAAAATTTAGGGCAAAAAGAGAGGCCAGCCAGGGAATCAAAGAGCAAGTTGTAGCTACTGAGAACCTCCTCTGTGCTCCAGGGGCACACACGTAGGCATGCCTAGCCCTTACTTGCCCAAGTTTCCCACTGATAGAATCTGAGGGCCAGAAGACCAAGGTTCACCCATTGTTTCTCTGTGGCCTGGCACAATGCACTTCCTCCCGTTTCCCAGGTAAGGAAACTGAGGTCAGTGAGGTTAACGATGAGGACAACTGCCCTCAAAGAGTGTTCCTGAGCACTCAGGAGACAACTCAGGTGAAAGTACTAGGTGACCATGCCGGATGCCACAGTACAGCCAGGACTGGCCACATCAAGATGCAGGGCCCTCGTTCACAAATCATTAAGAATTTCAAGGCCAGGTGCGGCAGCTCATGCTTGTAATACCAACACTGTGGGAGAGTAAGGCAGGAGGGTTGTTTGAGCCCAAGAGTTTAAGACCAACCAGAGCAACATAGAGAGACTCCTCCCTACTCCAATATCTACAAAAAATAAAATTTTAAAAATTACCAGGGCTGGGGGCAGTGGCTCATGCCTCCAACCCCTGAGCTTTGGGAAGCTGAGGCGGGCGGACTGCCTGAGGTCAGGAGTTCGAGGTCAGCCTGGCCAACATGGTGAAACCCCGTCTCTACTAAAAGTATAAAAAATTAGCCAGGCGTGGTGGCAGGCGCCTGTAATCCCAGCTACTTGGGAGGCTAAGACAGGAGAATCACTTGAACCCAGGAGGCGGAGGTTGCAGTGAGCCAAGACCGTGCCATTGCACTCCAGCCTGGGCAAGAACAAAACTCCGTCTCAAAATAAATAAATAAATAAAAATAAAAATTGCTGCGCACAGTGGCTCATGCCTGTAACCCAACACTCTGGGAGGCCGAGGTGGGCAGATTATTTGACGTCAGGAGTTCAAGACGCAGCCTGGCCAACATGGTGAAACCCCATCTATACTAAAGATATAAAAATTGGCCAGGCATGGTGGCTCACGCCTGTAATCCCAGCACTTTGGGAGGACAAGGCGGGTGGATCATAAGGTCAAGAGATCAAGACCATCCTGGCCAATACGGTGAAACCCTGTCTCTACTAAAAATACAAAAATTAGCTGGGCATGGTGGCACTCACCTGTAGTCCCAGCTACTCAGGAGGCTGAGGCAGGAGAATCACTTAGAACCTGGGAGGTGGAGTTTGCAGTGAGCCGAGATCTTGCCACTGCACTCCAGCCTGGTGACAGAGTGAGACTCTGTCTCAAAAAAAAACAAAAAAAAAAAAAAAAAAAAAATATATATATATATATATATATATATATATATATATATATATATATGTATAAAATTAGCCAGGCGTGGTGATGGGTGTCTGAAATCCCAGCTATTCAGGAGGCAAGAGAATCGCTTGAGCCCAGGAGGCAGAGGTTGCAGTGAGCAGAGATGGCGCCACTGCACTCCAGCCCGGGCAACAGAGTGAGACTCTGTCTCAAAAAATAAAAATAAAAATAAATAAAAATTACCCGGGCATGGTGGCATGTGCATGTAATCCCAGATAATCAGGAGGCTGAGGCGGGAGGATCACTTGAGCTTGGGAGGTTGAGGCTGCAGTGAGTCATGATCACACCACTGCACTCCAGCCTGGACAACAGAGCAAGACTCTATCTAAAAAAAAGAAGAGAGAGAGAATTTCAAGATGACAACAGCAGACCTGTAAACCAAGTGGGGGCCCTTCCAAACAAGGGGCTCTGTGGAATTGCCTAGATGGTACTCCCATGAAGCCACCCTGGTTCTACCCTAGCTTACCAAGAGCTTTCACAAAAACCAGCATAGAAAGTTTTCTGATAACCTTCAGGCAGTCAGAAAGCTCCTTTCTCTAGAACTTTCCATTCCATGCCAGCTGTTTTCACATGTTGGTGTTTGTAAGGCCTTAGAGCAACAGGGGCTCCCCTCTCCCAAGGAGCAATAACATCAACAACAGCAATAGCAGCTGCCATTATTGGACAATTAGCACATGCCGGCATGGTGTTGAGTTCTGCACACTTTTGACTCCTCGACTCTGCTCACCAATGCTATTAAGTAAATGCTGTCATAGGCAGGCTCTGAAAGTGGAAACGGAGGTACAAAGTAGGCCACTCACCCCAGGTTGCAGAGCCAGAAAGAAGAAGAACTGGGATTCACACCCAACCCTGCAGGGCTCCAGAGTCCACACGCTGGCCCAGGAAGGAAGGCAAAGGCCGGCGGGAGGTGGACGGAGGGTGGCAGAGCCACCCTAGGCCAGGGAGGGAAGGCTCCAGGGATGGGAGCCACCCTTTGCTCCACTGACTCCCCTCCCGACTTGGAGCTGTGAGCTCTGAGCTGCAATGGTCTTTGCCAAGCAGTCATTTCGCCATCCCCTGCCAGACCCTAGGGACCTCTGGGAGCACAGCAGAGCTGTCCAGCCCGGAGAGTCCAGGCCAGAGCACTGGGTAAGGAGCACACTCTGGGGTTCCTCAGACCCAGGTTCAAATCCTGCCTCTGCCACCCACCAGCTGTGTGACCTCAGACAAGGTACACTCCCCCTCTGAGCTCCTGGGTCTTTTTTGGCTTTTCTTTTTGAACCTCAGGTGTGCAGGGTGACGTTATCTGATGCCTCAATTCGCAACATGTTATCATGATTGCCCACACAGGCTGCCCTCTAGTTGTATTCATTTATTCCCTTTCACCCCAATCCCTACTCCCTGCCCACCTGACTCTCCTATGTTCAATGTGCAGCATGAGTTCATTGATTTTAGGTTTCTACTTTGATGCTGGCGTTTAACATATGTACAGTAAAGCGCATAAACAGACAGCTCAATGAACTCTTCTTTGTTGTTGTTGTTGTTGTTGTTGTTGTTGAGACAGGGTCTTGCTCTGTCACTCAGGCTGGAGTGCAGTGCCACAACCATGGCTCACTACAGCCTTGACTTCCTGGGTTCAAGCGATCCTCCCACCTCAGCCTCCTGAGTAACTGGGACTACAGGTGTATACCACCATATCTAGCTAATATTATTTATTTTTTGTAGAGACTGTGTCTCCCTACATTGCCCAGGCTGGTCTGGAACTCCTGGGCTCAAGTGATCCTCCCACCTCGGCCTCCCAAAGTGCTGGGGTTACAGGTGTGAGCCACTATGCCTGGCCTGAATTCTTATATATGGATAAATTCATGGAACTACCACCTGGGGTAAAACATAGGAATTTTGCAGATCCCAGAAGTCTTCCTCATGTCCCACTGCAGGCAATGACTCCTCTACCCCACAGAAGGAACCACTTTTGTGCCTTCTAGATTCATCTTACCTGTTCTTGAACTTCATATCAGAGGAATCACACAGAAAGTCGTCTTTTGTGTCTGGCTTCTTTCCCTCAGCATAATGCTTTTAACATTAATCTATAGTGTGCATGGGCTGGGCATGGTGGCTCATGCCTGGAGGGTTTGGGGATAAAGTGATGTCATGTCTACAGCTGCCTCTCAAATAATTCAGGCAAAAGAAAAAAATACAAATGGGGGAAAAGACAAAGTGGGGAAAAATATAAACAATATAGCTGAAGGATATCCTGAAGTTTCTTTTCTTTTTTTGGGACAGAGTCTTGCTCTGTCACCCAGGCTGGAGTGCAGTGGCGTGATCTCGGCTCATGCGACCTCCGCCTCCTGGGTTCAACCCATTCTCCTGCCTCAGCCTCCCAAGTAGCTGGGATTACAGGTGCGTGCCTCCACACCCAGCTAATTTTTGTATTTTTAGTAGAGACGGGGTTTTGCCATGTTGGCCAGTCTGGTCTCAAACTCCTGACCTCCAGTGATCCACCTGCCTTGGCCTCTCAAAGTGCTGGGATTACAGGCGTGAGCCACCAACCCTGGCCCAGCTGCTACTTTCTACCAGGGCCCAACAGGCGGGAAAGAAAAGGCAGATTCAGACCCTTCAGCATCACCCAGGACTTGAGGAAGGGAGTCCACATTGCACAAATGGGGTTTTGCCGCCTAAGACTTGTTTTTTTCTGCGTTTACAAGGGTTCAAATCAGTGCCGTTGGAGAGTGTTTGAGGCTGTCACAACATCTGGGGAACTGAGGCGTGGGGCATTCACATGGCTGTCAGGAGGAGGCCTTGGGCTCAAATTGTAGGGGGCGTGGGATCTTAAACCATCATTGGCAGCCAGACTGATGGGCAGGGTAGTGACACACTAAGATCCTGTCATCTTTGCTAGGCTCTGGTTTTATGGGATCTAAGGTTTTCCGTGGTTCTAGTTCCAGGTGGAGAGTGACAACTAACTCTGGCATGTTGCACATTCTCAGTAAATGAATTGTGGAGTAAATTCCTTGTGATGATAATTGATATTTATTGAGCATTTACTATATGCCAGGCAGTATTCTAAGCACTTTGCACCTATCATCTCCATTAATCCTCTCCACATCTTGTGAGATAGGTACTATTATTACCATCATTATTTTGTAAACAGGAAACTGAGGAACCGAGAAGTTAAGCCACATGCCCAAAGTCACAAGTTGTTAAGAGGAATATAAATGAATGAATGAATGAATGAATGGCAGTCCCTATCTAGATTAGCATTTTTCTTTTAAACATTACTGAAGCGAAAGTCCAGTTGCAACTCTTCTTGGGGAATAACAATCCAGCCCAAGCTCCCTGACTCCCTGTTCTCTCCAAGTCAGCCTCTCTCCTTCTCATTGCTTAAGGGGAAGTGTCCCCCATCCTGAGCCTGAGGTAGCTCGAGCTCCAGCCTTAGAAACACAAAGACCTGGGGCCCTAATGTGATGGGGACCCTATCATGTCCCAAGATCGCACGCATGTAGCTTCCTTTAGTTGTATATAGGCTCTTTTGGCCTGAAACAGTTCCTTTCTCAGTCTCTCCTTGACCCACATGACCTTGACATGTTCGAGGATGCAGGCCAGCTATTTTTTTTTTTTTTTTTTTTTTTGAGACGGAATCTCGCTCTGTTGCCAGGCTGGAGTGCTGTGGTGCAATCTAGGCTCAGCTCACTGCAACCTCCGCCTCCCGGGTTCAAGCAATTCTCCTGCCTCAGCCTCCCAAGTAGCTGGGACTATAGGTGCAGGCCACCATGCCTGGCTAATTTTTGTATTTTTAGTAGAGATGGTTTCACCATGTTGGCCAGGTCTCTATCTCTTATCCTTGTGATCCACCCACCTTGGCCTCCCAAAGTGCTCCTCACTTCAGATCTCTCGGATGTTTCCCGTGATTAGATTCGGTCTCCGTGTCTGATATATATTTGCAGGGATACAGCAGAAGTGATGCTGTGTTCCTGATATATGGTCTGTCATGTACTGAGGGCTTACTTTTCACCAAGACCCACAATGCACAAAAGTCAAGGATGTGACAAGACCTATTGCATAGATGAGGAAACTGAGGCTCAGGAAGAAGAGGTCACTAACTCCAGGTCAAACATCTAAGTGACAAAGCTGAGATTTAGACTCACATCCATCCAACTCATGAGCCCTATAGGGAGATCACGAAGGAACGAGGGACGATGAGGAGGAACGGCCCGGCATAGGGCAGGGGGCCTTAGAGAGTCAGCCTCAGTTCATTCCATGATCACAATCTCACTACCTCAAAAATGCAGATCTCTGATCCTTGTGGGGTGGCTGAGACCAGGGATATCTGGCCCTATTAGTGACATTAAGACTCTGCAATCCCGCTCCTGGGTAAATACACCAGAGGCACTCTGAGAAGACCATTAGGGGGCTGATAAACACAAAGATGTACCACCTAGGTCTCCTTCAGGGGAGAACCAGCTGCAGGGAGTATGATGAGGTGATGAACTCCAGCCACCAACAGCTGTCCCAGCTGCAGAGAGCCATCTCGCCCCAGCCATCCTTCCCAGGGCAGCCCGAAAGCCAGACAGACCAAGGCAGGGTGTAAAGGTCTGGCCATTTTGCCCAACACAGGGCACCCAACAAGCAAGTTCCTCTCCGGTGCTCCCAAGACTGCTCAGGGCTCTGCAGGCCTGCATCGCTGCTGGATGACTTCATCTGCCCAGTCCTTCTTGCACCCCCTCCATTTCTCAGGTGTTGACCCCCACAAACATCTTGCACTCCAAACTCCATTTCAGTATCCACACAACCTGCCCTGTGACAGAGGTACATTCAACAATGCTTGTCAGAACAGTGTTTATGGCTGTGGGGACTTAGAGGCAAAATCATTGTCCACCACAAGGGCAGTGGTTCCTTAAAATGTGGCAGATACATACAGAGGAATGTTATGCATCAGCATAAAAAGTAATGAATCAGAGGGACACAGAGCAACCTGGAGGCATCTCTCAAGCCTATTCTTCCAGGAATATATGCTGCACTCATGTAAAATGTGACCTATTGGATAGAATTGTCTGTTGCAGCATTGTGTGAAATAGAAAAAGACTGGAAACAATCTAAATGTCCATCAGAAAGAGACTGGTTAAATAATTATGGTACATCCATCCAATGGAATATTATACAACCATTAAAAGGAATGTGGCAGCTCTATAGTACTGATATGAACAAGCTCCAAGATACATTGTTGAGTGAGAAAAGCAAAGCACAGGTCAGTGTAAAAAATGTGCTACAGTGTGCATAAATATCGTGTGTGTGTGTGTGTGTGTTTGGGTGCACTCACATAGACCATTTGAAATAAGAAAAAGCTGCTGGAAACTTCAGTAACCTCTGGGAGAGGGATCTGGGAATGTGGGGGCAGGAGTGGGAGGGAGACAGACTTTTCATTGCAAATCCATTCACACCTTTTGAATTTTGAACAATGAGCACATATTATGTATTCAAATTGAAAGGAAAAATGTATAGAGGCCATGGTGAAGTTGATCTGAGGCCATCCATAAGAAGGGTGGCATAGTGTGGGGCCAGAGACTGAACAGGGTAAGGAGGGTGACCAATCATGGAACAGAGGTGGGGGGACAGTGACAGCAAACTGGTTACATATAGGGGATGGGTCAAATAAACAAATATATTAAGAATAATGGAAGCCTATTTTCTCACTGATGGAAAAGAGAGTTTCAAATATGGAAAGAGAAAATTAGAATAAACTCTGTGATGCTGAATGGGAACTGCAGTTATCAGTGTACACTCATTTTTCTAAATAGATGATAGATGATAGACAGATAATAGTTAGATACAGAAATAACACAGCTGTAAATATGTGTCTCTATATATACATATATACAGTCCTTAACTCTGTCCACTGAGAGAGTCAGGCAGTGGAGACACCCCAACAGCAATGAGCACTTTGTCCTGAGATTTTGGCTTCTAAATTCCATTCTCTACTAAAAGGAACCAGGGCTCCTGGGAGAAGTGGCTGATTCCAGAGCTGGGGGCAGAAAAAATACCAGATGAGCTTATAGTACCTCACTGTGCCAGAAAGTAAGAAAATGCTCAAAGAATGATGGTGACACAGAAGCTAGTTAAAAGTGGCTCCCAGGAGCCAAATCTGGGACAATTTAAGCATATAAATAAGTTAACAATGATGATGATATACCACAACCCACTGAATAAAATAGAAAACTATGAATCTATACTGACAGAAATAAATGAATAATTGAAAGTCTGATGACATTCAAGAAATTCACACAGTTTCAGCGTGCCTCCTCTCAAATGCTGATTAACTACAAAGAGCGGGGAAAGTAACCCTACAGATGCGAAGTCTGGCAGCTATCTCCTCAATCAAGTCATCAAAGAGTGCACCATCAGCAATGGGACGAGGAGAAGAACATAACATCGCTTCTTTGATTTTTCTGCCAGAGCTGCAGAACCTGAATCTCACCACAATGAAGCATCAGACAAACCCACAGGGAAAGACATGCTGTAATGCTGTACAACAGCTGCCCTGTATCCTCAAAAGTGTCAAGGTCATGAAGGTCAAGGAAAGACTAAGGAACTGTTCTACCTTCAAGGCAACTAGAGAGATGTGGAACTAAACAAAACATGTGGCCGGGCGCGGTGGCTCATGCCTGTAATCCCAACACTCTGGGAGGCCAGGGTGGGAGAATTGCTTGAGCCCAGGAGTTCCAGACCAGCCTGGGCAACATAGTGAAACCCTGTGTCTACAAAAAATACAAAAATTTGCCAGGCAGGGTGGCACATGCCTGTAGTTCTAGCTACTCAGGAGGCTGAAGTGGGAGGATCGCTTGAGCCCAGGTAGTTGGGGCTGCAGTGAGCTATGATCACACCACTGTACTCCAGCCTGGGTGACAGAGTGAGACCCTGTCTCAAAATAAAATAAAATTAAAAATAAACACAAAGTATGATCCCAAACTGGATTCCCTTACTGGATGTTATCAGGGCAACTGGTGAAACCTGAATGGGTCTTGGTAGACAGTCATGGTGTATCCTGTTAATTTCCTGATTATGATGGTTATATTGTAGCTATCTAGGAAAATGCCCTGGTTTGTAGAAACTATGTATCAAAACATTAAGGGGTGATAGGGCAACAGGTCAGCAATTTATTCTCAAATAATTCAAGAGAACCAATTTGAGACGTTTCTCAAACTAAAAAGTTTTTTAAAAATACACAGTAAAAAAGTAAAAAACAGAATGAGAGCTAAGTTTCAATACCATTAACAGGAATTAAAACATATATTTTTAGATTTCTGATGGCTTAGCAAGCCACTTCTAAGTGAAATATGTGAATATGTTCATCAAAAGACATGTCCCCTCGCTGGGTGCGGTGGCTCACGCCTGTAATCCCAGCAGTTTGAAAGGCCAAGGCGAGTGGATCACCTGAAGTCAGGAGTTCGAGACCAGCCTGGCAAACATGGTGGAAGCCCATCTCTACTAAAA
Source organism: Homo sapiens (assembly GCF_000001405.40). Lineage (NCBI taxonomy): Eukaryota > Metazoa > Chordata > Mammalia > Primates > Hominidae > Homo > Homo sapiens. The sequence continues at coordinate 50,201,827 of NC_000020.11, read as the reverse complement.
TTACAAAAAATTAGCCAGGTGTGGTGGTGGGCACCTGTAATCCCAGCTACTCGGGAGGCTGAGCACGAGAATCACTTGAACCTGGGAGACAGAGGCTGCAGTGAGCCAATATTGCACCACTGCACTCCAGCCTGGGAGACAGCACAAGTCTGTCTCAAGAAAAAAAAAAAAAAAAAAAAAAGACATGATCCCTCAAATATTCATCTCAGCCCAATTCTAAAGAGCTCAAAACTGGTAACAACCTGAATGTCCATGAGGGATCGAATGGGTAAATCCATTGTGGTGTGTCCATGTAATGTCATTTTGCTCAGTAATAAAAAGGCATAAATACTGATACACACAACAACTTGAATGAATGTTAGTTACAATACTTAATAAAAGAAGCCAGACATAAACAGCATCTATTGTGTGATTTCATTTCTATAAAAGCATAGAAACAGGCAAAATTAATGTTTGCTGTTAGAAATCAGAATAATGATTACCCTTAGGTGTGGAAGAGGGGTGGCTAGAAGGGACACAAAAGGCTTCAGGGGTGCTGGAATGATCTCTTCTTGATCTGGACACTGGTGGGTCAACACCAGGAAAATTCACAGAGCTGTATATCTGTGTTATGTGCACATTGCTGTGTGTGTATATTTCACTAAGAAAGAAAGAGAAAAAAATGTGATGCACGGGAAAATAGACTAAAGCGCAATGCAGGCTTTGCAAGGACTGATGACAATCGTGTCCTAAGAACTGGAAAGCATAATTAGCTCTGCATCTGACCTGCAAGAATAAAAGCAGGAAAGGGTCCCTGTTGTCCCTTTGTCCCTCACCACCCCACAAGAGGGTCAGCCAGGCGAGCTTGATGACTGGTGCCATGTGGCATGAGAGGACTGAGGCCTGGCTGGAGTCAGGTGCCCCAGGCTGCCCTGACCCCCACCCCAGTTCTCTCTCCTCCACAGCCTGCTGACTCCCACCCACCAGCCTCTCTGAGGAGTCTTCCTCCTCCTTGGCCACCCCTGTCCCTGCCAGGGCTCCAGGGCTAGGGCAGGGATCTGATGACAGCTATAAAAATAAAAGTTCACCCGGCCCGGCTCCCTGGCCTCCAGACTCACCTCCCAGAGATCTCAGCTGGGCTGGCCCCAGGAAGGCTGGCAAAGGTGCCTCCCAGCCCTGGCAGGCCAAGGCCTCAGTGGAGCAGGTGGTGGCGGGCAGCATGGGTCAGAAGGGTTATTCAGGGTGGCATGGGGCATCTGGTCCCAGCGCAGCTGCCAACAGGCTCTGTGAGCTGCAGCAGGACCTGACCATCTCTGTTTCCAAACGGAGGAGTCCCTTAGTGGATCACATATGCAGGCTAGGGCTACAAAATGCGGAGCTCACTGAGGTCAGCAGAGAAATTTCTGTCCATTTCAAGGGCTTGGTTCAAGCCTGGGCTGAGGCACACTGAAATTTCAGAGTCATGAGAGAGAGACACTTGAGGACAGGCAGGATATTTTCATGACAGGAGGTCTTTGTGCATTACTTCTGTAATTAAAATGAATAAAAAGAAATCCTTCCACCACATCTGATGGAAATTCTTTTTCCTAAGCAAAGCGTGCATTTCTGTGCTCATGTGCAATAGTGTCCGTAACAAGGAAGCACTGGTGCATGATGAAAAAATGCAGGTCGTGAAAGAGCTCACACAGGTTGATTCCGTTCTGGCAAATATATCAGTTAGAAATAGACTCAGCTGCCAGTAACAGGAAGCCCAAACGACAGAGACCTCAGTAAGCAGAGATTTCTTTCTCTCATGTAAACAAGCCCAGAGCAAAGCAGGTAAAGACTGGTGCGGCTGTTCTACCACCATCAAGAACCCCAGTGCCTTTTGTCTTTCGGATTCACCATCCTCAGCATGTGGCTTCCATGCTTCAGAGTTTGCCTCATGATTCAGGATGGCCCCTGGAGCTCTGGCCATCACATCTGAGTTCCAGGCAGGAAGTAGAAAGAAGCAGGGGCTGGGAGGTGGCAGAGAAGGAACACAAAAGGGAATGTGCCTCACAGCCGAGTCAACCCCCTTTAAAGAGCTTTCCCAGAAGTCCCACCTACAGCTTCTATTTAATCTCACTGGTCATCCCTAGCTGCAAGAGAAGCTGGAAACTGTAGTCTCTTAGTAGGGTACTTGCCCCCCCAAAATAGAAGGATCTCATTGGTAAGAAAGAGGGAGAGGAATGAGTATTGGATCGGCCACTTTAGCCACAATGAGGAAAAATACACATGGAATGAAAATTCTGGAAGTTAACAACTTACCCTGTGTGAGTTAACCTGTCAAATCTTTGCAAAACACTGTGAGGAATTTTATGATCTTCTTATTACAGATGGGGGAACTGAGGTCCAGCAAGATGCATTCACTTGCCTCAAACTACAGAGCTAGAAAATGGTGGATTTGGGCCAGGCGCGGTGGCTCACGCCTATAATCCCAGCGCTTTGGGAGGCTGAGGCGGGCAGATCACGAGGTCAGTTCGAGACCAGCCTGGACAACATGGTGAAACCCAATCTCTACCAAAAATACAAAAATTAGCCGGGTGTGGTGGCGGGCACCTGTAATCCCAGCTACTTAGGAGGTTGAGGCAGGAGAATTGCTTGAACCCAGGAGGCGGATATTGCGGTGAGCTGAGATCACGCAACTGCACTCCAGCCTGGATGACAGAGCAAGACTTCGTCTCAAGGGGGAAAAAAAAAAAAGAAAATGTTGAATTCAGAACACCAGCATTCCAATTCTAGCATCTAAGCTCCTAACCCACCAAAATGGTAATGATGATATGAATAATGATGACAGCTAATACCTACTGTGTGTGGCACTGCTTTAAATTTGTTGTGTTATCTCACTTAAGCTTCACAACAACCTTATGAGGCAGGTACTATTAATTATTCCACTTAATAAACAAGAAAATGGAGGCACAGAGAGGTGAAGTAACTTGCCCAAGGCCACACAGCAAGTGTTAATGGGTTTATTTCTGAGTAGTGCTCTTTATTTCCTTCTTTTATTTATACTCTGCAGTCTCTGATCCTCCCATCACAATCATGCATTACTTGGGAAATCAAATAAAAAGCAAACACCCCCGCAGAGGTCCTGTCTCCTGCCTGTCCCCAGTCCCTCACCAATCCCACCCTGAAGACCCCTCCCTCTCCAGCCTTGCCTCTCTCCCCACAAGGGTTGGTGCCCTCTCCCCTGCAGTCAGGGCTACCCAAAGAACTCTCCCTCTCTTGGCTCCCGGCCCTGGCTCCTCCAGCGCCCCTCCTGGTGAGCCCTCCCCTCATTCCTGCCCGATGAACTGCTCCCCGTGGCTCCAGGCCCTGGGTCACAGGCTCCTCGCCTACGAGGTCTCCTGGGCCCGGGCAGGCCTCCCTGTGCCCTTCACCGACTGCACTTTACCTCATCCCGAAGGCCCAGGAGCCTATTTCATTCCCTCCACAGGCTTGTCAAGGCCTTTCTGGGTGCCACACCTGGCAGGGACACCCACTCTCTCATCCTCAAAGCCACCTCACAGCCCGCCCAGCCTCCAACACCCTGCATGAAAGATGTGGCCTACCCCTCCCCGCTTTCTCCATCCTCCCCTCCCCCACTCCAGCCCTGCATGAGGAACACTGTGCCCTCCCCATCCTTCCCTCCCCCATTCCACCCATGCATGAGGAACCCTGTGCCCCCATCCTCCCCTCCCCCACTCCACCCCTGCATGCGGAGCCCTGTGCCCCCATATTCTTCCCTCCCCCACTCCACCCCTGCATGAGGAACCCTGTGCCCCCCCATCCTTCCCTCCCCCACTCCACCCATGCATGAGGAACCCTGTGCCCCCATCCTCCCCTCCCCCATTCCACCCCTGCATGAGGAACCCTGTGCCCCTATCCTCCCCTCCCCCGCTCCACCCCTGCATGAGGAACCCTGTGCCCCCATCCTCCCCTCCCCTACTCCACCCCTGCATGAGGAGCCCTGTGCCCCCACCCTGCCCCACCCCTGTCCTCTTCTTCCCCACTCCTCCCCTTGCTGCCTCTGCTCCAGCCATGCTGGCTCCAGGCTCTTCTCCTCACACGGAGCTGGGCCCTGCCTCGGGGCCCTTGCGTGTGCTGTTCCCCCAGCCTGGAAGGCTCCCTACGCGTTCCCCCCCAATCACCCTCCTCCACTTCCCCCACCTTATTTTCTTCAGGGCCTTTATCACAATCTGCAATGGGCTTGCCAATCTGCTAGCCACACATTGTCTCCTCTACCACAATGACAGCTCCGGGGGTCAGGGACCATCTTGGGCTCACAATGGGTGCTTGCTCGACACTGGGTGATATCTGTACTCCGTGCTCACAGGTGAGGAAGCCCAGGTTCAGCAAGGCTAAGTGCCTCAACCAAGGTCACTCTGCAACCAAGGGACAAGGCCCAGAGCTCTTTTGCTCAAGCATCCTACCCCTCAGAGGTGTCTAATTGTGTTCTTCCCGTGTCTCTTCCCCAGAGCAGTCAACCAGACAGAAAAGTGGCTGAGCTTGGGGCTCAGGCAGGCCTGGATTCAAATCCCAACCTTGCTGCTCTTGGGACAGGAACTGTCCCCTCTCAGAGCCTCGGGTCTCCTCTCTGTAAAATGGAACTCTTTCCTTTCTGTCTCGGAAGACACCTGGGAGGGGCTAACACCACCAGCCCAGAAAGCCCCTGGCTTCCCCAGCCCACTCTGGCCTCTCCTGGGTCTGCCCAGCCCAGGCCTCCCTCACTACCCTGCCCCGGCCAATGCACCATCAAAAATCCCACAGGGAGCGGGGACTGCTGGGACGCCATCACAGGCCACGCAGGAGATTGGCCAAGCTGAGAAAGAACTCAGGAGGGGGTGGAAGGGCAGGACAGGAAAACAGCAAAGGAGAGGCTCAGGGCCATGGGGGAAAACAGGCAGAGAAGGCCTCTCAGGTTCAAATGCAAGGTGAGAATTCAAACCTCACATCAGCCACTCACCAGCTCTTGGACCGGTGACTTCACCTTTCTGTGCCTCATTTTCCCCATCTGGGGAGGGGGAGTAATAAGTAGCACCCATGGCCGGGTGCAGTGGCTCAGGCCTGTAATCCCAGCATTTTGGGAGACTGAGATGGGCAGATTACTTGAGGTCAGGAGTTCGAGACCAGCCTGGCCAACATGGTGAAACCCCATCTTTATGAAAAACACAAAAATTAGCCGGGCATGGTGGAGCAAGCCTGTAATGCCAGCTACTTGGGAAGCTGAAGCAGGAGAAGTGCTTGAATCCAGGAGGCGGATCTTGCAGTGAGCCGGGATCATGCCACTGCACTACAGCCTGGGTGACAGAGTGAGACTCCTTTAAAAAAAAAAAAAAAAAAAAAAGCACCTACATCATTGGGATTTTAAGAATAAGGCATGCAGGACACCAGCAGGTGCAAAGTGAGCATCCAGTAAACTGCAGCCCACCATACTCCTGACTCCCTGGGCTCAGGGGTCTCTGCTCAGATGCCACTTCCTAGGAGGGGCCTCGCAGGACCGCTCCCACTCACCTCTGCCCCACTTTCCTTCCTGCAGAGCCCTTGACTCCATCTGCCATTATCTTGTTCCAGTCACTGGATACTTAGCATCTGTGTCTCCCTGAAAATTATCACCTCCATCTTGGCCACCACATGTCCCCAACACCCAGTAAGGGGCCTAGCACACAGCGGGTGCTCAATAAATGTTTGTCAAATAAATGAAAAATATAACTGGGCAAAAAAACGACTGAGAAACTGGGAGAAAACAGTCTCAGAGAGGTCTGGACAAAACTTGGAAGGCAGGGGAATATTCTTTTTTTTTTTTTTTGAGACAGAGGCACGCTCGCTCTGTCGCCCAGGTTGGAGTGCAGTGGTGCGACCTTGGCTCACTGCAACCTCCGCCTCTGTGATTCAAGTGATACTCATGTCTCAGCCTCCTGAGTAGCTGGGACTACAGGCACCCACCGCCACACTAGGCTAATTTTTGTATTTTTTTAGTAGAGACCATTTTGCCCGGGGTTGGTCTCAAACTCCTGACCTCAAATGATCTGCCGTCCTCAGCCTCCCAAAATGTTGGAATTACAGGCGTGAGCCACCTCGCCCAGCCTGCAGGGAAATATTCTTCAGGTGTTCAGAAGGAGCAGTTCCCCTTCTCACTCCCACTCCAGCTTCTGCCATTCTTAGCTGTGCAAACTTAAGACAGGTCAGTTCACCTCTCTAAGCTGGTTTGCACAGCAGCAAAATGCTAGTAACAAAAGCTGCAGCCTCCAAAAGGCTAATGAGTTGATTAAACCAAGGAGCACAGTGTCAGTGTGGAACCGGCACCCAGCAGTGTCTCGAGCGTTCATTTCTGACATCCACTTATCTCCTTGCTAAAATCACCAGGCCGTGGGACAATTGCATAAGATTATGAGGTGTGAATGTGTCTTGTTTTGTGAACTCTCTTGTCCTGAGCAAACATTAGTTGGGGTTCCAGGCTCCCACCTCCCAGCTAGCCTCAGTGGTCAAACACACTAAATGGGTCTGTGGTTAACATGACCGGCTTTCTCCCACATATCTAAGGACCCAGCACCTCCCTCTGTGCCAAGGGCTTGGAGTGGTGCTTTGCACATCTAAGCCCTTGTCTCACACCTGCTATTATCATGATTCCTCAAGGCTCGTCCCTGGCCTCCTGGGCTCGCCTCACCCCATCCCACCCCCTCCTGTTTCTGGATGTCGGAATGGACTGGTTCCTCCCTGCGAGCCCTTCACCCTTGCAGCTTGGTGAACTGTGGGGTTGGTGTTGCCCTAACTATGACATCTCCCCAAGTCCTTTGGGCACAGCTCCGTCCACAGTGCTCCCATACCAAGCCACCGTCAAAGCCCTCAACCTGTGAACTGCTTCTCCCAGCCCTCCTTAGAGGCAGCCCAAGGGGTTCAGGTTCAAATTCACTTTCTGTTGCTTCCAAACTGTGAAACTGATGTTTGCAGTTCTGGGGCTTGGAGTGCCTGAACTTGAGGTCAGGCAAGGAGCCCTCCAAGAAGAGCCTGGGATTTTAAACAGGAACTGGGATTACAAACCAGGCTCCCAGCCCCAAACTTTCCCCATAGACTTGGGAGTCGGATGGTTTTGTAACCTGCTCCACCTAGCCCACCTTGAGCACAAACCTCACTTCTGTGGACCTCAATGTGTGCTTTTAGAAATGGGTCTAGCACCTTCTGTGGGGTACTGTGGATGAGAGCAAGATGTGAGTGTGTGAAGAACTGACTCAACGCTGGTTCCAGGACAGCACTGGGGAAACAGAAGCGAAGCTGTGGGGCAGACGGGGGCGGAAGAGGGGCACCGTCTGGCCAGGCTGCTTCCCTCTCACCTCATTTGGGTGAGCAGTGGCCACCAGCCAACTCTTGGTGACAAAGGAGGGAGCAGGGATTTGAGATTTGTTCCTCAATTTCGACCCTCTCCACCTCCCTCCTTCCCTAGGTCCAGCCCCTCAGCCTCTGCCTTCAGCAAGTAAATCCTTGAGGTCAAGCCCACATTGCTGTCGCTGCTACTGACAGAAACCATCGAGACCAGTGGGGCTTGGGACTGAACTGACTTCGAGGCTTTGAAGGCATGCCCGGCCAGTTGTCCAGTTGCCCAGGGCTGGGAGGGGACGTGGTCAGGGCCACGCTGCAGGTCCCAGGTTGAAGTGAGGTTATCTGTGTCCAGCAATCTGCATAGCCCTCGAGCCACCATCAGGAGACACTGGCATTAGGGAGGTGGAGCTTATAGGAATCCTCCGCTTTGTGGCGGTGGGGGATGAGTGTCGCTGTCTGTTCCCCACATCCCAGGCTCCCACAGGGAAAGCACAACCAGGCCCCCAAAAGGAAAAGGAGGGGCAAAGCATTTCCCATTCGCGAACCACGGTATCAGCAACTGCTCCTGAGATCCCAGACCGCCCCAGGTCCTTGGCAAACCAGGCTACGATGCCTGCTGCCCCTGAATTCCTCAGGGCAGGGCAACCCCCAACCAGTGTCTTGCCCATAGGGATCGGACAGCCCAAAGCTGCTCCCCACCTCTAAAAACAGGCGTCATAACAATCCCCACCTTCCCAAAGGTTATTGTGAGGTCTAAATGGGATGGGGCAGGTCCAGTGTTTACCAGATGCCGGCCCCTGGCAAGTACTGGCCACACTGGCGCTGCACTGGAGACTGGGGTGCCAAATGCCAGCAGCTTCCCAGCAAAAAATAATAACAAGAGCAAGCGCTTATATAACACTTCTTGCGTGCCAGGCACTGTGGGACGCTGTACATGTATCCACTCACATCCATCTACATCCTCAACTCTCAGGAATGCCATCCAGGGCTGGATGGGAGTAGGGGGTGCGGTGAGAAGCCGGAAGGGGCAAAGGGATCAGTGGGCAGGGAAGAGGAGCCTGTCCCAGGGAATCAGGGCTAGCAGCCCCACGTTTGTGCCTGGGCTCAGCCACCTTGAGCAGGCAGGTGAGGTGGGCTCAGTGTCCAAGTCTGGGCAAAGAGAGCAAGTGATGAGCCTCCCATCCTCAGGAAAGGTAATCAAAGTGTGGGAACCCCTCCCCCACCTCTCTCCACCTGGCCTGGCCTCTCCCCTCCTGCTGGCCAGGGACACACAAACACAGACTCGCCCACACACCCAGGCTCCCCTCTTTAAAATACACATGTATACACAAACTGTGTTTTAAACAACCCACCCCACTACACTGACCAAAAGCATCTGCCCTGACTCGGGCTCAGCAGGACCAAGACCTGAACCCCCTCCTCCTACAGTCACAGGCCTGCCTACCTAGTCCCCAAACACAGGGCAGGGGTCACAGACCTCCCAGCCCTTCCAAACCCAAGCCTGACACTCGGGACCAGCCAGAGGCTCCGGAATCTCTTCTCAAGCAGGGTTCCCAGCCACCCGTCCCGGCGCCTAGGGGCTCTGAGTCAGCCTGAATGCCTGACCCATTACTCTTCTCCCCTTTCCCCCGGGGCTGGAACCCCATCTCAAGCAGACCCTGTGTGTGTGGGAGGGGGAGTAGCAGAGGAGGCAGAAAAACCAGCTGCAACACCCCCACCCAACCACCAAAACCTCCAAAAATAACAGCAGCCCCCCACACACAACCCCCTACACACCAGAAACGCAAAAACAAAATCCTACAAATCCAAAATAAAGTAAAAAAATAAAAAACAAAAGCCAATTACTGCCCCCAAAAGGCTTTGTAACCATTCTCAAAAAAAAGTTTATTAAAAGTGTTCTTAATGCTTGAAACGGAAAAGATTCCCAAAATATACAGACGCCTCTTTTCTCATAGAAATAGATTATTTTTTATAATACAAAAAAAGACCAAAAAACAAAACAAAACAAAACATCAACAGCAACAAGCCCGTAGGAACATCTTTAAGCGATTACTCAGGGCCCGGCTGACAGTTACACGTGGGTTGCGTCAGTCCCGTGTACACACGCGTTCAGCCATGTTTAAACCGATTGCATCAACTTCGAAACCGGCCCGCCCGCCGGCGCCTGGAGAGGGGCAGAGGGAGAAGCAGAGAGTTTATCATTCATCTGTACACATAGACGTTTCTTCTTTAAATAACACCACGGGCGGGAGCCCCATCTGCATGTGCGGTTGGTTTGGACAAAAATATAGATATATATATATAATAAAATATTAAAATTACCGACGGGCTCCCCGCGCTGCCAAGTGCCCCAGTGCCAAAGTTTTGCCGGCGCCGCCGGGGGCGGGGGCGAGGGCGCGGGCGCGGGCGCTCCCCGGAGTCTCAGCCCCGGCCGGCAGGGGGACGCGCGCGGGGGCCGCGCTAGCAGTGGCCGGAGGAGGCGAGCAGGGGCTCGGGCAGCTGCTTGAACAAGTTCCGCAGGGTGCTGAGCTCGCGCGACAGCTGCTCCACCTTCTTCTGCAGCCGCTCGTTCTCGGCCGTGAGCTCCAGGACCTTGTGCTGCGTCTCCAGGTTGCGCATCTTGGCCTTGTCGCGGCTCTTGCGCACGGCGATGTTGTTGCGCTCGCGCCGGATCTTGTACTCGTCGCTGTGCTTGTCCACGGTCTTCTTGGCCTTGCTCTTGACCTGCGAGGGCGCCGGCGCGGCCCCCGCGTAGCAGGCGGTCGGGGGCGCCTTGGCGTCAGCGGGGCTCGGCGTGCCGGGCGGGCTGGACGAGGAGGACGTGGAGAGGCTCCCGCTGCTGCCGCTCGGCACCGCCTGGTAGCCGAGGTAAGCGCGCAGCGCGTACGGGAAGCCCGCCGCCATGCCTGCGCCGCCGCCCGGCGCCCCGGCCTCCTCCTTCCGCTTGCAGTCCGCGGGCTCGAAGCCCGGCTCCGCCTTGAGCTCGGCGGGCGGCGGCGGCGGCGGGGGCGGTGGGTGCAGGGGCGCGAAGCAGCCGGGGTGCAGCGCGCCCTTGGCGGCCCCCAGGCGCCCCAGGCTCACGTAGCCGTACTCGGCCGGCTTCTTGCAGTTCTTGCCCCCGTAGTCGTCGGAGAAGAGGTCGGAGAGGAAGTCGTGGTGCTGCCCGGAGGAGGCGGGCGCGGGGGCGGGCGCGGGCGGAGCCGCCTCGAAGGTGTCCGTGGCCGTGGCGGGCGCCGGGGCCTGCGGCGCGCCCAGCGGCTCCAGGTACGGGCTGAAGTCGATGGCGCGCTCGTGGTCGCCGATGCTGCCCAGCTCGCCGGCGGGGGGGCGCGGCCCGGGTCTGGCCGCGGGGGGCGCCGCGGGGGCCGCCTTGCCGCCGTACGCAGCAGCCAAGCAGTCCGCCTCGTAGTAGAAGTTGGCCACTTCCATGGATTTAAAGGCAGGCGGCGGCGGCGGCAGGGGGAGACATGCTGGGTCCCAGGCCACCAGGCGTTGCATGAACGCGGGTGCCCGGGGAGGGGGCCTGGGGCTGCCCGCTCCGGCCGGCCCGCAGGTGGCGCGGCCTCCCTGCTCTGAGCTGTCGCCGCTGCGTCGCTGCTGCTGCTGCCGCCGCTGCCGGGGTGGCCGCTATTAGTGAGGGGGCTGGTGGCTGGACCCTCGGGTGGGTCCCCTTCCCAGTCCCGTGCGCGGCTCTGACTCGCTAAAGTTTCTCCTGAGCCCGGTTATTTATAAGGGCGGCCCGTAGCAACCGCTGCGTCACGCCGGCCCCTCCCGCCGCGCCGCCGGGACGCGAAGGACACGGCCGCGGCCGCCCGAGACCCCCGGGAGGACGGCGGCAGGGCGCAGCGGAGGGACCGGGCACCCGGAGCGCGTTTTCGGGGGGCCCCCGGGACGCAGGGGCGGCCTCACGCCCCCTGCCCACCCCCGCCCGGCCGCCCCGGGATTGGGAGCGAGAGGGGGCGGTGCGACCCCGCCCCCGGACCGCCCCTCTGGGCTGGAGGCTGTCCTGGAAGGCGGGGGAATCGGAGGAGGGGGCGACCTGATCGCCTTCCCCCCGAGACGCGGCCCCGGCCCGCCCCCTGCTGGAGGAGGCGGAGGTTTCAGGAGGGCCGAGCAGAGCCCCGACGGCCGACCAGGGTCGGCTCCCCGGGCCGAACCCTGGAGACCCCAGCCCGCAGCTCTAGCTCCAGGAGAAGCGACCCATCTCCGTGGCCCTTCCTCCCGTAAACTCCCACCTCCTCCCCAGGTCCCCGGCTTTAGAAAGAAGACTTGACGCCTGTGACGACTCCCCTCTTAAGCCACAGACAATATGAGGACCCCGGGGGTCGGCGCGACCGGGCAGGATCGCGCCCCGCTTGGGGCTGGACCCTGGTCCACGGAGCCCCGCCCCTAGCCCCGCCCACCACACCTGCCGCCTGCTCGAGGCTTGGACACGCCCGGGTCTTCTCTTGCCCCGCGCTGCGCCACCCGACCTGGGCCCTGGGATGGGGCAGGGGCGGGGGGTGCTCGGCCCTGCCACACTGTGTGACCTTGGGTGAGTCACTTCACTTCTCCCAGCTGCAATCCATGAAGGGTGTCGCTACTGTCAGTGGTGGTGGCATTGTTCCCACCAGACTCCCAAACCTAAGGCTTACGTTGTGGGCTGCACATCAGAGAGAACGGGACCCCCACGGATTGTGCCAGTGGAGGCCCAGAGAGAGCATGGCGTGGCATACCAAGGTCACATGGCCGCATGTCCCCCATTCATCCCAAATGAAATGCCCTCATCTGAGCCCTAAGACCTATTGCCAGTCCCAGAGGCCAAAAACTTCTGTTTCTGAAGTTGCTAGGGAGGGACTTAAGCGAGGCCTCACGGGAGGGGGTGGTATGCAGGAAAGAGAAGGAAAGAGAAAGATAAGTTTTTACCAAGTCCCTGCCCTGTGCTTACGGTGGGCCTGCACCCCGAGGTTCAACTTTTTTCACCCCACCAGGAAGATGCTTTTGCTGCTGCCATTTCACAGACGGGAAAGCGACAACGGCCCGCCTGGACTTGAACACAGGCCCAAGGCCTTCTGACCACTTGCCCGCCTCTGCTGGGTAGGCTCAGGTTAGAGGGCCCTTTGCCCTCCCGGACCCATTCCTAGGCCATTGGGGCAGCTCCCTGGGCCCACCTCTCTGCCACTCCTAGCCCAGGCCACCTAGGCAGGAGCTCCCAGCCTGCCCGGGGCTGATCCCCAGCCCACTGACCCCAGCCCTGGCCCCAGCGGGCAGGCGGGCATTGCTCAACCTTTGGTGTTATCTGCTGAGCTGGGGTGACCTCCGCCCCCAAGAGCTGGAGAAATGACATCTCTGGGCACCCTTGGTGGGTAGGAGGCAGGGAGGGAGGGGATAAAACACTGGCCCAGCCTGCTGGCTTTCTGGGTCTTCCCAGCAGCCTCTGGGTTGGGGAGGGATCAAGGCCCAGAGGGGTGCGGCAGCTTCCCTAGGGCCACCCGGCCAGCCCTTCCTCACTGCAAAATGGGACACTCAGGGCTGAGCTAGAGGCCACGGCTTCTGAGAGGCCCTCCCTGTCCCACCTGCTAGTGAATTTCCTTCCCTATCGCCAGCCACCATTATCCTAGCTGTCTACCTCAGTCTCCCTGCAGGCTGCCACTTGGGGAGGGCTGGCCCACGAGGGACTCCTGAGCACAGCACGCTCAACATTTACCAGTGAAGGAATGCATTTGCTGTTCCCTGTGCACCAAGAACACTGTCACCCCACCTCTGCCCAAGGCAGCTCCTCAGGTCTCAGCCCAAAAGCTGCCTCCTCCGGGAAACCCTCCCTGACCTTCCCATGGGAAGTCTAGGCCCTCAGTCACTCCTCTCACACCCCTGCTTCATTTCCGTCACCATTCTCATTATAATCAGAATTATCTTGCCTGCCAGTCTTGCTGTCTGTCCCCACGGCCTTCACTACTGTGTCCCTGGTGCCTAGAACAGAGCCTGGTACATAGAAGGTGCTCGATGAATGGTGAGTGAATAAATGGAGGAGGCTGAGAAGAAGGAGAGGTTCCTCGTTAGCTGGGCTGTGTGACCTTAGGCAAAATGGCTCCCCTCTCTGAACCAAAGCACTCGCCCACGTTCCCTTTCTGGATTCTGAAGAGATGCAGGGAGATATGGGGGAACTGAAGCTAATTGGAGGATTTGCTGTGTGTTCTTAGGCCAAACTTCCACCTTCTCTGAACCACATTCCAAGCTCTTTGCATGTATTAACTCATTTAATCCTACTGATAATTTGTAGGAGGCAGGTCTTTTTTCTTCTTCTTTTTTCATATTTTTCAATGTTTTGTAGAGATGGATATGTCTCACTCTGTTGCTCAGGCTTTTCTCGAACGCCTGGCCTCAAGTGGCCCTCTTGCCTCAGCCTCCCAAAGTGCTGAGATTACAGGTGTGAGCCGCTGCGCCAGGCCACAGTCTTATCATTATCTCCACTTTATAGATGAGGAAACTGAGGCCCAGAAGAGCTAAGTGTGTCTGCTCCAGGTCACATGAAAGGATGAGAAGGAATAAAATCTTTCCAGTCTGACTTTCCCTCTTGGGTTTGTCATAACAGGCCTGGCAATGTGAGTCCCATCTTCTGGATAGAAGAACTGAGGCACAGAGAAGGGTAGACCTGGGGTCACACAGTGCGTTAAGGTGTTACTCGGACCTTGCAGGCCAGCCCCCAAAGACCAGACTCAGCCCCAGCAGGGGTCTAGGCCCTCTGGCCTCTGGGGTGGAACATGCTTGCCACCCTTCCCCACCCTCCACCCCCTGCTGGGGATGACCCATCCCTTCTCAGCGCAGGTCCCACCCCGGTGCCGACCCAGGTGTCCTGCAGGGAAGCTGCAAGCTAGGATGACGTAAGCCCTTGTTTTTACAAGGCTCTTGCTCAACAGGCCCCGCCTGCTGCTCCCCCACCCCCACCCCAGTACTGTTCAGCCTTTCCCCAAGAAGTGGGGATGGTGGGAGCTTGAACCACCACGGCCCAGAGGCCCAGAGTACGTGAGTGGCTGTGTGGGCACAGGAAACCAGGATCCCCCTGGCGCCACCTCTCCCAGTCACCTGCCCTCAGAACCTAGAGCCGGAAAGGATCTCAAACTGGCAGCCAGTGGCCAAATCGAGACCACAGATGTGTTCAATTTGACCCCATAGCGTTTTGCTTGATGTGTGTGTGTTTAAGTGAATTTATTGCCAACATTTAAAAATCAGGAGATTTCACATCAAAATTCAAATTTCCAGCTCCTCTTTTAAAACCTGAAGCTGTGGGCTGGGCCCACGTGGCCACATGGTGGTGGGCAGGAGCCAGGCGGGGGCGGGGAGGGAACAGGCACTTTCCTACCTGGGACACACGTCCTCCTCTGCCCCCAAACTGCTTTTCACAATTCCTCCTCCCCATCTCTGCAGCTTTTCCCTATCCCATTTTCAAGAGGAGAAAACTGAGGCGATTTGCCAAGGGGAGATCCACGTGGCTGCTTTGACAGAGAGTGTTCTGCAAAAGGGCTTAGAAATCAGCCAGCAGGTGGGAAAATATGGCGGAGAGGTGAACCATCAGAACATGAATGGGGGGGTGTCTCTAGTGGGCGTGGGGCAGGGGGATGGCAGGGGGATGGCCTTTCATGCTGCCCTGTGCCTTCCATGCTGTGGCTCTCCGGCCGTGTCTGGTGTCCCCTCTGGGCCTCAGTCCCTGGTATATAAAATGAGGTGATAATATTCTATCTGGGATTCTGGGCCTGCTGTTACCCCTCACTGCTGGCCTTCCCCGACACATTAGAGTTAATCAGATGTCCCTTTCACCCCACAAAGCAGGCAGATGGGGAAACTGAGGCCCGAAGAGGATTAGAACTTCCTACTTCCCCCTCCAAATCCCCCTTGTACCCTTGTGAATGGGTACAAGAGCCAGACTTAAAAGCCAGATTCCCTGATTCCAATGTTTGAGATTTTCCCCATCATGCCTCCTCTCTGAGGCCTCAGTTTCCCCATCTGCCAAGTGGGGCTGGCAGAGATAGATCCCCAAGGGCTGCCAGGCTCCGAGGTTCTGAGATCCAGGATTTTGGAGACGGGAGGTGCTCAGGACCGGTAGTGAAACTTGCCTGAGTATATACTGCCCCCAGGTGGCAGGTTCTGGGACTGCAGGAGCCATTCACATGCGTGAAGATCCGCTGGGCGCCCTTGCTCTGGGATCAGGAAAGGCCGGTGCCATGGATGTGATAGATGCACACAGGGCATCAGCAGGCCGCCGAGAGGAACCAGAGTGTCCAACGAACAGAAAACAGTGCTCAACCTTCACATTTATCGAATGTTCCTTGGCACATGCTGTAATTCTGGCCCTAAAGACACATTCATGGACAAGACAAGCAATTCCTGTTCTCGTGGAGCTGAAATTCTCCTGGGGGAAGACAAGCACTAAACAAGATCAATGATTAAAGTATAGATTGTATTAGATTCTGGTCAGCACTATGGAGGAAAATACAGCAGGGGAGCAGAGCAGGAGTTCTGGGAGATTTGATTTTTTGTTTTCTGGGGTTTTTTGTTTGTTTGTTTTTTGAGACAGGGTCTCACTGCTGGAGTGCAGTGGCACGATCTCTGCTCACTGCAGCCTCTGCTTCTTGGGCTCAGGTGATCCTCCCACCTCAACCTCCCAAGTAGCTGGGACCACAGGGGCATGCCACCACACCCAGCTGATTTTTTAATGTTTTGTAGAGATCAGGTCTCATTATATTGCCCAAGCTGGGGGAGTTGATTTTAACTTTATGTTAGAGTAGTCAGGGAAGACCTCACTGAGGTGACATTTAAGCAAAAACCTGAATGTGGTGAAGCAGGTATCTGGGGGACCTTGGACCACACAAAGGGAACAGCAAGTGCAAAGGCCCTGAGGTAGGAGCACGTAGTTGTGGTGATGACGGAGAGTAGCAGGAATTTGTGTCATAGAAATAGTGGGGGCTGGCCAGGCACAGCGGCTCATGCCTGCAATCCTAGCACTTTGGGAGGCCGAGGTGGGTGGATTACTTGAGGTCAGGAGTCTGAGACCAGCCTGGCCAACATGGTGAAACCCCATCTCTACTAAAAATTAAAAAAAAAAAAATGGCCAGGCATGGTGGCGTGCATCTGTAATCCCAGCTATTCAGGAGGCTGAGACATGAGAATCACTTGAACCCGGGAGGCGGAGGTTGCAGTGAGCCGAAATTGTGCCTCTGCACTCCAACCTGGGTGACAAAGCAAGACTCTGCCTCCAAAAAAAAAAAAATGGAACATGGAAACATGGAATGGGAGAAAATATTTGCAAATCATATATCTGATAAGGGGTTCATATCCAGAATACATAAAGAACTGTTACAACTCAACAGCAATAAAAACAACTCAATTAAAAATGGGCAAAGGACTTGAATAAACATTTCTCCAGAGAAAACTGTGAATGGCTAATAATCACATGATAAGATACTCAACATCACTAACCATTAAGGAAATACAAACCAAAACTGCAATGAGGCGCAACACTTTGGTGGATCACCTGAGGTCAAGAGTTGGAGACCAGCCTGGCCGACACGGTGAAACCCCGTCTCTACTAAAAATACAAAAATTAGCTGGGCGTGATGGTACGTGCGTATAGTCCCAGCTACTTGGGAGGCTGAGGCAGGAGAATCACTTGAACCTGGGAGGTGGAGGTTGCAGCAAGCCAAGATCACGCCACTGCACCCCAGCCTGGGCAACTGAGTGAGACTCCATCTAAAAAACAAACAAAACGCAATGAGAAGAGAGGATTTTGAATGTTCCCGACACAAAGAAATGATAAACGCTTGAGGTAATGGATATCCTAATTACCCAGATTTGATTATTACACGTTGTATACATGTATTGAAATATCATTTTGTAACCCATGAACATGTACAATTATGTGTCAACTAAAAATAAAAGGAATAAAACACAATGAGATACCACCTTACGCCCATTAGGCTGGCTGCTGCGTTGGGAAGGATGTGTAGAAACTGGAATGCTTGTGTAGCTACTGTGGGAAATGGTATGGCTGTTCCTCAAAAAATTAAAAATAGAATTACCAAATGACCCAGCAATTTTATTTCTGGGTGTGTATCCAAACGAATTGAAAGCAAGATCTTGAAGAGATATTTGTACACTCACGTTCATAGCAGCCTTCTTCACAATAGCCAAAAGGTGGAAGCAATTAGCTGGGTGTGGTGGCGGGTGCCTGTAATCCCTGCTACTTGGGAGGCTGAGACAGGAGAATCGCTTGAACCTGGGAGGTAGAGGTTGCAGTGAGCTGAGATCGCACCACTGCACTCCAGCCTAGGTGACAGAGCAAGACGCCGACTTAAAAAAAAAAAAAAAAAAAAAAAAAGAGGTGGAAGCCACCCGTGTCCATCGATGGACGAATGGACAAAATGTGATGTGTCTGTACAATAGAATGTTATTTAGCCTTAAAAAGTAAGGAGATTCTGACACAGGCTACAACACGGATGAACCTTAAGGATATTGTGCTAAGTGAAATAAGCCAGTCACAAAAGGACAAATACTGCATGATACCACTTACATGAAGTGCCTTGAGTAGTCAGATTCATAAAGACAGAAAATAGAACAGTGGTTGCCAGGAGCTGAGGTAGGAGGAAGTTCTTGTTTAATGGATATAGAGTTCCATCTTTGGGAAGATGGAAAGAGTTCTGGAGATGGATGGTGGTGACGATTACCCAACAGCGTGAATGTCCTTAATGGCACCAAACTGTGCACTTAAAATGGTTAATATGGTAAGTTTTATGTTCTGCGTATTTTACAATTTGAAAAAAAAGGCCAACGTGGGCCAGGCGCAGTGGTTCACACCTGTAATCCCAGCACTTTGGGAGGCCGAGGCAGGAGGATCCCTTGAGCCCAGGAGTTCAAGACCAGCCTGGGCAATACAGTAAGATCTCTTTTTTTTTTTTTTTTTTTTTTTTTTTTTGAGACGGAGTCTCGCTCTGTCGCCCAGGCTGGAGTGCAGTGGCGCGATCTCGGCTCACTGCAAGCTCCGCCTTCCTGGTTCACGCCATTCTGCCTCAGCCTCCCAAGTAGCTGGGACTACAGGCGCCCGCCACTGCGCCCAGCTAATTTTTTGTATTTTTAGTAGAGACGGAGTTTCACCGTGGTCTCGATCTCCTGACCTCCTGATCCACCCGCCTCGGCCTCCCAAAGTGCTGGGATTACAGGCATGAGCCACCACGCCCGGCCTCTCATTTCTAACAAACAAACAAAAGATGGATCTTCACCTGTGGACAGAGAAAGATGTCCACTGGCATTGTGACTTGAGAGGCAACAGGCAGGGCAGGGGCCTGGTAAAGTCACGTTTGTCTTGAAAACCTTTGCCATTAGCTAAAACGTTTTTAAAATGTGAATGACACGCAGTGTTGATGGTGTGGAAAAACAGGCACTCTTACAGCTTCAGTCTTTGTGCGAAGTGGCGTAACCTCCAGTTCTAATCTGGCCATGCCCATCAAAATGGGAAATGTCGCAGCCATAAAAAATGAGAGTTCATGTCCTTTGTAGTGACATGGATGAAGCTGGAAACCATCATTCTCAGCAAACTATCGCAAGGACAAAAAAAACCAAACACGGCATATTCTCACTCATAGGTGGAAATTGAACAATGAGAACACATGGACACAGGAAGGGGAACATCACACACCGGGGCCTGTTGTGGGGTGGGGGAAGGGGGTAGGGATAGCATTTGGAGATATACCTAATGTTAAATGACGAGTTACTGGGTGCAGCACACCAACATGGCACATGTATACATATGTAACTAACCTGCACATTGTGCACATGTACCCTAAAACTTAAAGTATAATTTAAAAAATAATAAAACAAAATATAAAAAAAGGAAAAAAACAAAATGGGAAATGTCACTGGACCCAGAAATGCAAGGCATTTATGCCACCAAGACACTCACATTTGCTTAAAGAAAAATGGAGAACAGCAAATGCTTTGCAATAGCAAAAGCTTGTGAGGTAACGTCAGTGGCTGTCATTACCAAAGAACACTAAGAAGAATGAGGTAGCTCCATGGGAGAGGACTTAGACCAGCACTGTCCAAGAGAACCTTCTAGAATGATGGACATGTTCTCTATCTGGGTTGTATCATACGGCAGCTATCAGCCATGTGTGTCTATTGAATTCCTGAAATGTGGCTAGTGTACTTGAGGAACTGAATTTTTAATTTTATTGAATTGTATTTAAATTTAAATTAAGGCTGGGTGCAGTGGCTCACACCTGTAATCCCAGCACTTTGGGAGGCCAAGGCGGGTGGATCATGAGGTCAGGAGTTCAAGACCAGCCTGGCCAAGATGGTGAAACCCCATCTCTACTAAAAAAAAAAACCCACAAAAATTAGCCAGGCACAGTGGCAGGTGCCTATAATCCCAGCTACTCAGGAGGCTGAGGCAAGAGAATCACTTGAACCCGGGCAGCAGAGGTTGCAGTGAGCCGAGATCATGCCACTGCACTCCAGCCTGGGCAACAGAGTGAGACTCCATCTTAAAAAAAAAAAAAAAAAAATTAGCCGGTCATGGTGGTGTGTGCCTGTAGTCCCAGCTACTTGGGAGGCTGAGGCAGGAGGAGTGCTCTACTTTTAAAAAATACATAAAAATTTAATCTTTTAAAATACATTTAAATCACCTCCTGGACTAGCGACTACTATATTGAACAGTACACATCTAGAACAATCTCCAAGATCTATCATTAATTGGAAAAAAAATAAAAGCCAAGAGCAGGCCGGATGTGTGGTGTGCGAACCCCACATAAATGAGGGGAGGAGTGGAAATGTACTCACGTATTCTTTTTGGTTTGTTTATCTGTTTAGAAACAGGGTCTCACTGTATCACCCAGGCTGGACTGCAGTGGCTGTTCACAGGGAGATCATAGCACACAAATTCCTGGGTCTGGCGATCCTCCCACCTCAGCCTCCTGAGTAGCTGGGACTGCAGACGTGCGCCACCGCACCCAGCTTCATGTATTTGAGGATGCAGAGGCTCATGCTGGAAGGGTCATAAGAAACCAGCAACAGTAGTAGCCCAGGGCCGGGGGTTCTGGCTGCCACCATGTAACACTGCACCTCAAAACTTAGTGAATAACGCTGCAATAACCGTGCAAGCGCAGATATTTCTTCAACATACTAGATTCATTTCCATAGGATATGTGCAAGCGCAGATATTTCTTCAACACACTAGATTCATTTCCATGGGATATATACCCAGTGGTGGGGTTACTGGATTATATAGTAATGCCTTTTTTTTTTTTTTTTTTCAAAACAGAGTCTCACTTTGTTGCCCAGGCTGGAGTGCAGTGGCATGATCTCAGATCTCAGCTCACTGCAAATTCCACTTCCCAGGTTCAAGCAGCTCTCATGCCTTAGCCTCCCAAATAGCTGGATTACAGGTGTGTGCCACCACGCCCTAAAAATACAAAATAAAAAATTTTTGTATTTTTAGTAGAGACAGGGTTTTGCCATGTAGGCCAGGCTAGTCTTGAACTCCTGACCTCAAGTGATCCACCCACCTCGGCCGCCCAAAGTGTTGGGATTACAGGTGTGAGCTACCACGCCCGGCCAGTAATTCTGTTTTTTAAGGGCTTAAAATAACCACCAGTATATTTGCTCACGATCCTGTAGGTGAGGAATTAGGACAGAGCATGAGGGGACGGCTTATCTCTGCTCCAAGCGTCCACAGTGGCTTCTGTGCTCCACGTGTGGCACCTCACGGCTGGCCCGAGTGGCGGATGGCTGGCTGGACCATGTGTCTGCTGCCTTAGTTCATTCCTCAGTGCTCCCTCTGGCAGTTTCTTTCTCCCCATGTGGCCTCTGCACATGCTGCAAGTTGTCCCTTCAAGTAGCCTCTCCTCCTGGCCTCTCTTGCCCTTTCCATGTGGTCTCCTCAGCACAGTCTTTTTTTTTTTTTTTTTTTTTTTTAAACCTTGCACTTTTTGCAACCAGCACAGACTTCTTACACAGCTGCTGGCCTCCCCCAGAACACAAAAGTGGAAGCTGCTGCTTAAGACTTAAGCCAGCCAGGCGCGGTGGCTCACGCCTGTAATCCCAGCACTTTGGGAGGCCGAGGCGGGTGGATCATTTCAGGTCAGGAGTTCAAGACCGGCCTGGCCAACATGGTGAAACCCTATCTCTACTAAAAATACAAAAATTAGCCAGGCGCAGTGGCACGACCCTGTAATCCCAGCTACTCAGGAGGCTGAGGCAGGAGAATCACTTGAGCCCAGGAAGGGGAGCAGAGGCTGCAGTGAGCCAAGATTGAGCCACTGCACTCCAGCCTGGGCAACAGAACAAGACCCTGTCTCAAAAAAAAAAAAAACTCAATTCACCATGGGGCCTAGCGTGGTGGCTCACGCCTATAATCCCAGCACTTTGAGAGGCCAAAGCAGGAGGATCACTTGAGGCCAGGAGTTCAAGACAAGCCGGTCAACATAGCGAGACCCCCCCGTCTATACAAAAAAATCCAAAATTAGCCAGGTATGGTGGTGCGCATCTGCAGTCCCAGACATTCAGGAGATTGAGGCAGGAGGATCTCTTGGGCCCGAGAGGTCAAGGCTGCAGTGAGCCATGACTGTGTCACTGCACTCCAGCCTGGGTGATGGAGCAAGACCTTGTCTCTAAAAAGAAAAAAAAAAAATGTTTGCCATGGACACGTATGACCTTATGATTGGTTGGGTCCAGAATGTTGCCCGGTCCTGCTTCCACACCTTGGTTGTGCTGTTCCCCTGCCTGTAACAGTCTTCCTTTCCATCCCCAGCTGTCGAAATGCCCAGGGAAACGTTCCCTGAATGCCCAAGTCCGTTACTCTCCCCTCCTCCAGGCTCCAGCTGGACTTCAGGCCTCTGGGCCTCACTCCATCCACCCTACTGGAGTTAGTGTTGTGTAGTCTCCCTCTCCTGGGAACCCCTCTAGGGTCTGCGCAATCTTGGTCATCTCTGTCCACACACACATACAGTGGAATCATGCAGGTGCTGAGTAGGTGCTCAGTGACTTGAGGGCCCAAACCAGGAAAATACACATTTGCCCAACCCACCTTCCCCAACCCACCCCACCCCACCCCCACGCCCCGCCACAGGCATCATGGGTTGCGCTGCCTAGAATGGCCACAAGGTGGCGCGGGAGCCCCGCCTCCGATCTCTGCAACCTCTGAACTGGGAAACAGCTTCAGACTGGGGTTCCTGAGGGCCAGAGACCCCCGGGAGAGGGGGCCTCAAGCCCAGCTTTAAAGAGAAAGCTTACAGGCCAGGCGCGGTGGCTCACGCCTGTAATCCCAGCATTTTGGGAGGCCCAGGCGGGCAGATCACCTGAGGTCAGGAGTTCGAGACCAGCCTGACCAACATGGTGAAACCCCCGTCTCTACTAAAAATACAAAATACAAAAATATTAAAAATACAAAAATTAGCCCGGTGTGGTGGTGCATGCCTATAATCCCAGCTACTTGGGAGGCTGAGGCAGGAGAATCGCTTGAACCCGGGAGGCAGAGGTTGCGGTGAGCCGAGATCGCACCATTGCACTCCAGCCTGGGCAAAAAGAGTGAAACTCGGTCTCAAAAAAAAAAAAAAAAAGAAAGCTTACTGCCTACTCCCCTCCTCAAATTCAAAATTTACTTCCTCTTCAAGTAAATGGACTTTAATTATAGGCGTGCCAGCACTGATAGCTGCAACAATCTCTGAAATCTTGTTTGAGTGAAAGATGCCAGATGCCAAGAACTTCCTGTGTGATCCCATCTGTTTAGAGCTCTAGAACAGGCAGAACTCACCCATGAGGAAAATATCAGCACGGTGGTTGCCAGTTGGGGGAGAGCACAACTGAGGAGGGGACAAGGGTGCTCGCTGGGGTGATGGTGTGTGTTTCGTGTGAGTTTCCTAAGGCCGCCATGATAAGATACCACAAACCCAAAACAACAGAAATTTATTCTCCCCTGAAACCAGGGTCCTGCTCCCTCTGGAGGCTCTGGGGAAGAATCCCTCCTTGCCTCTTCCATGGTGCTTGCCCGCCATCCACCATGTTCCTTGGCTCTAGCTGCCTCACCCCAATCTCTGCCTTAATCTTCCAACGGCCTTCTTCCAGTGCCTTCTTCCCTCTGTGTGTTCACCTCCAAATCTCCCTCTCCTTTCTCTTATATAAACACCAGTCATTGGATTTAGAGCCCCCACAATCCAGAATGATCTCATCTTAAGTTGGGTTCATCTGCAAGCCCCTATTTCCAAATAAGGTCACATTCACAGGTCCCAGGGGTTAGGACTTGAACATATCTTCTTGGGGGACACAATTCAACCCACTGCATGTTTAACATCTTGGAGGGAGTTTGGGCAGTGCAGGTGGATGCATTTGTCAAAAGTAATCAAAAGTGGCTGGGCGCAGTGGCTCACCCCTGTAATCCCAGCACTTTGGGAGGCTGGGGCGGGTGAATCACTTGAGGTCAGGAGCTCAAGACCAGCCTGGCCAACATGGTGAAACCCCATCTCTACTAAAAATACAAAAATTAGCCTGGTGCAGTGGCAGGCGCCTGTAATCCCAACTGCTCAGGAGGCTGAGGCAGAAGAATCACTTGAACCCTGGAGGCAGAGGTTGCAGTGAGCAGAGATCGCAACACTAGACTCAGCCTTGGTGACAGAGCAAAACTCCATCTCAAAAAAATAATAATAATAATCAAAAGTACACCTAAAGGTGCAGTTCACCAAATGTAAGCTTTACAGACAGAGAAACAAATATTTGACTCTAGTTAATGACGTGCACACTGACATCTTGACATGCACACTGACATCTTGAGGGGTATCTGCAGCTTACCCAATTAAATGTTAAAAATAAAACAAGCCAGCCATGGTGACTGCCACCTGTAATCCCAGCACTTTGGGAGGCCAAGGCGGGTGGATCACTTGAGGTCAGGAGTTCAAGACCAGCCTGGCCAACATGGTGAAACTGCGTCTCTACTAAAAATTAGCTGAATGTGGTGGCGCACGCCTGTAATCCCAGTTACTTGTGAGGCTGAGGTAGGAGAATTGCTTGAACCTGGGAGAGGGATGTTGCAGTGAACCGAGATCGTGCCACTGCACTCCAGCCTGGGTGACAGAGTGAAACTCCATCTCAAAAAAATAACTGAAATAAATAAATAAATATAAAAATAAAACAGATTAATGAATAAACAGAGGTAGAGCCCCACCAATGCCACTTTTGAGAATCTATCCTGAGGAGCTCATCATGAAAATAACTCAAGCCTGCTCCTCACCACACATTCATTTAGGCTTTTCTTTAGATAAGATCTCTGTAGCCCAGGCTCAAGTACGTCGGCACCATCACAGCTCACTGCAGCCTCAACACCCCCAGACTCAGGTGCCCTTCCCTCCTCTGCCTCCCAAGTAGCTGGGACCACAGGCACGCACCACCATGCCAGGCTAATTTTTTTTTTTTTTTTTTTGGAGACAGGGTCTGCCACTCTGTCACCCAGGCTAGAGTGCAGTGGCACAATCACGGCTCACTGCAATCTCAGCCTCCCCAGGCTCAAGCAATCCTCACATTTCAGCCTCCCAAGTAGCTGGGACTACAGGCACACACCACCACACCTGGCTAATTTTTTTGCATTTTGTAGAGACAGGATTTTGCCATGTTTCCCAGGCTGGTCTCAAACTCATGGGCTCAAGCGATCTGCCTACCTCGGCTTCCCAAAATGCTGAGAAGCCACTGTGCTCGGCCTAGTCATTTAAACATTTTAATGATGAAAACTATGGAAACCAACTCAGTGCTCAGCTTTGCCACCCCCACTGGAGCACCTGGGGACTCAGCCTGAGGCTGTGGGAGGCATCAGGTGCGGGAAGCCTCTGAAATGAAGGGAAAGGTTGAACGTGGTTGCGTTTGCTTTATTACAGAAAGAATTATTCCAGCTTTCATCCAGTTCTCAGGGCCAGGCCGGTAACCCCCACAGAGGTGAAGGCCCCTGGTCAGCTGGGTGCTGGGTGCCCACCGGGTGCTGACATGCATACTCAGACCCCTCAAGAGGAAAGGGTGGCCTCCTTCACCAGGAAGCCGGCGCTGGTCCCGGCCCTGTCGCCGGGAACGTAAGCAACTGGGCCTCTTTTTCCTGGGCATTTATGCTGTGCCAGGCACTGCCCGAGGGGGTTGTATTTCTTCATATATTTATTCCCTTCTCTTCTGGTACCTGCCATCCACCTCTTCTCACCCCCACTCAAAGGCAGCCATTCTGTCACTTTGTGTCTTTTTGCTGGAATGTGTCCCTGCAAAACACATGTGGCTACTTTGTGGCATGAACACTTGTGTGAAGGGTTTTGTAGCTGTGGCTCATCCACGGTCCTTTCTATGAGCAGTCCCCAGTCTCAGCCGCCCAGTCCCTGGGGTAGACACCCAAGTGACCCCCAACCTGCCCCACCACAGATAAGGTGAGCTGCCACCTCCTTGCACCCTCTAGGGCTGGTGTGAGGATGTCTCTGGGACTTTGGCTTGAGAGTAGGTTGTAGGGGATGGGGGGACTAATTTGACTAAGTACCAGGTGCTCTACAGAAAGGCTGTCCCGTCTCCACTCACACCAGCTGTGCCCAAGGGTTTTATATCCCATATCTTCCACCACCGCTTGGTACTATTCACCATTTTTTTTTTTTTTTTTTTTTGAGACAGAGTCTTGCTCTGTCGCCCAGGCTGGAGTGCAGTGGTGCAATCTCAGCTCACTGCAACCTCCACCTCCTAGATTCAAGCAATTCTCGTGCCTCAGCCTCCCGAGTAGCTGGGACTACAAGTGCCCACCACCATGCCTGGCTAATTTTTGTATTTTTAGTAGACACGGAGTTTCTCCATGTTGGCCAGGCTGGTCTCGAACTCCTGACCTCAGGTGATCTACCTGCCTTGGCCTCCCAAAGTGCTGGGATTTCAGGCGTGCACCAACACACCTGGCACTATTCACCTTTTAAATTTTTTTTTAATTTTGAAATACTTTCAGACTTAGAGAAAAGTTACAAATACTTCAAATATTTCCCAAATGTTTTCATTTTACTACATTTGATGTATCATATTCTCCTTCTTTCTCTCTCTCTCTCTCCACAGACACACACACACACACACACACACGCACATGTGTCGTTTTTTGTTTGTTTGCTTTTTGAGACAGGGTCTCTCTGTCACCTTTTTAATTAGCCAGGCGTGGTGTTGCACATTTGTAGGCCCAGCTACTCAGGAGGCTGAGGTGGGAGGATCGCTTGAATCCAGGAGTTCGAGGCTATAGTGAGCAGGTATCATGCCACTGCACTCCCTCCTGGGCAACAGAGCGAGACACCATCTCCAAAGAAAAAAAAAAAGAAAAAAAAACAAAACAAAAAGATGTCTGCGGTTGGGCATGGTGGCTCATGCCTGTAATCCCAGCACTTTGAGAGGCCAAGGCGGGTGGATCACGAGGCCAGGAGTTCAAGACCAGCCTGGCCAACATGGTGAAACCCTGTCCCTACTAAAAATACAAAAATTAGCCGGGCGTGGTGGTGGGCGCCTGTAATCCCAGCTACTCGGGAGGCGGAGACAGGGGAATCGCTTGAACCCGGGAGGCAGAGGTTGCTGTGAGCCGAAATTGTGCCACTGTACTCCAGCTTGGACAACAGAGCGAGACCCTGTGTCAATAAATAAATAAATAAATAAATAAATAATGTGACCTGTTAATGTGAGTTACATATTTAATTTAAAATTGTCTAGACTGACCAGCCTGTGCAACATAGTGAGACTCCATCTCTATGAAAAAATTTAAAAATTAACTGGACATAGTGGTGCCTGCCTGTAGTCTCAGATACTTGGGAGGTGAGGCAGGAGGACTGCCTGAGCCCAGGACTTCAAGGCTCCAGTGAGCTATGACTGCACTCCAGCCTCGGTGACAGAGCAAGACCTTGTCTCTAAAAATAAATATTTTCTTTTTTGAGACAGAGTTTTGCTCTTGTTGCCTGGGCTGGAGTGCAATGACACTATCAGCTCATCGCAACCTCCATCTCCCGGGTTCAAGCGATTCTCCTGTCTCAGCCTCCCGAGTAGCTGGGATTACAGGCATGCACCACCACACCTGGCTAATTTTGTATTTTTAGTAGAGGCGGGGTTTCTCCATGTTGGTCAGGCTGGTCTCAAACTCTCAACCTCATGTGATCCATCCACCTTGGCCTCCCAAAGTGCTGGGATTACAGGCGTGAGCCACCGCACCCGGCTTCTTTTTTTTTTTTTTTTTTAATTTTTTGAGACAGAGTCTCACTCTGTTGCCCAGGCTGGAATGCAGTGGTGCTATCTCTGCTCACTGCAACCTTCACCTCCCAGGTTCAAGCGATTCTCCTGACTCAGTCTCCTGAGTAGCTGGGATTACAGGCGCCTGCCACCACGCCTGGCTAATTTTTTTTGTATTTTTAATAGAGACAGTGTTACACCATTTTGGCCAGGCTGGTCTCGAACTCATGACCCCAGGTATTCCACCTGCCTCAGCTTCCCAAAGTGCTGGGATTACAAACATGAGCCACTGCACCCCGCCAAGGGTTGTAGTTCTTAAAGTCTTTCTTTATCAGGCATATAAGAATGAGACCCCTCTCTTCATGGTCTGCCTCTATTTGTGAAGGTTTTCTTAACATTAGTGACACCAGGCCAGGCGCGGTGGCTCACGTTTGTAATCCCAGCACTTTGGGAGGCTGAGGAGGGCGGATTACGAGGTCAGGAGATCGAGACCACGATGAAACCCCGTCTCTACTAAAAATGCAAAAAATTAGCTGGGCGTGGTGGCGGGTGCCTGCAGTCCCAGCTACTCCAAGAGGCTGAGGCAGGAGAATGGTGTGAAGCTGGGAGGCGGAGCTTGCAGTGAGCCGAGATCGCACCACTGCACTCCCTCCTGGGCAACAGAGCGAGACTCCATCTCAAAAAAAAAAAAAAAAAAAAAAAAAAAAACATTAGTGACACCATTTTGATTCTGACAACTGTCACACATTTTTTTATTGTGGTAAAATATTTAACAGAATATTTATATTTTTCACCATTATTAAGTGTACAATTCAGTGGCATTAAATGCATTCACACTAGGCACAGTGGCTCACACCTGTAATCCCAGCACTTTGGGAGGCCAAGGCGGGAGAATTACTTGAGCCCAAGTGTTCAAGACCAGCCTGGGCAACATAGCGATACCCCCATCTCTACAAAAAAATACAAGAAAAATCAGCCAGGCGTGGTGGCACGCACCTGTAGTCCCAGCTACTCGGGAGGCTGAGGTGGGAAAATCACTTGAGCACGGGAGGTCGAAGCTGCAGTGAGCTAGGATTGCACCACTGCAGTCCAGCCTGGGCAACAGAATAAGACCTTGTCACAAAAAACAAAGAAAAGAAAAAAAATTCACAATGCTGTATACTCGTCATAACTCTCTGTATCCAAAACTTTTCCATCATCCCCAACACAAACTCTGTCCTCATTCAACAATTCCCCCCTCTCTCCAGGTAATCTCTATTCTATTTTCCATCTCTCAGAATCTGCCCATCCCAGGTACCTCATACAACATTGTCCTTCTGTGTCTGGCTTCTTTCACTGAGCACAATGTTTTCCAGGTCCATAGGTGTTGTGGTCTGTGTTGGAATGTTCTTCCTGGGACAAAACAAGGCCTGTCTGACTCCAGGGCTGCCCCCGATCCCCCACGCCCACCTGCCTGTCCCCTCTGCAGGCCTCAGTGCTTCTGTCTGTAGGAAGGGAAGGGCTGGGCGGCCTGCTGGGCTGGTCACCTGCCACCTTGCCGTCAGCGCCTTCCCTCGCGTTAATCACTGTTCAGCCAGAAAACCGAAACCCCTGAACACCGCAACAGAGACTCTCCCACAGGGAACGGGTTACAGAGACGACGGTGGAGGCAGAGGCCGAACGGGATGGGGAGGACGCTCCGAGAAAGAAATCGCAGCCGCAGAGAGCCACTGCCACCTCTAAGCTGGAGGGGCTGGTAAGGTTGCTGTAGCCCAGGGCCTGCGTCACTCCGCAAAGCGGGAGGCACAGGGGCCTGTCCCGGGGCGCTCCCCGACCGGGGCCTCCCGTTGGCCAATAGGAACTCACCGGACGCGAGCCTGGGAAAGGCGCCGCAGGGTCAGCTCTGGGATACACAGAGCAGAGCTGCAGAGGGCGGAGCTTGGATCGGAAGGCAAAGAGCCCCCGCCCCCGCCCGACAGACCCTCCCTCCCTGGTCAACTCCTACCAGGCAGCCCCCACTGTGGCTCCAAGCCCTGGCTTCTCGGACCCAGCTTCCTTCTGTCCCGCTGGCCTAGGGTGGAGCGCCTCCAGCTGTGGCCAATGCTTCACCTGGCCTTTCTGCATCTCGGCTCGTCCGTCCTCTGTGTAAGCAATGCCTGTATTCCATCCCTTCTGTCTGAAATGCCTAGGGTGGTCTCCCTCTTCCAGACTGGCCCCCAATGAGACACCAGTGGTGCTGTCGTTTACAGAGTGGCCACAGTGCTACCACGGGAGGTTAGTGGATGGCTGAGTCATGAACCAGAAAGGAGGGCAGAAGTGAGGTGAGATGGGTCCCCAAGGCAGGGCCACTCCGTGGTAAGTGCAGGATCTCAAGGCAGACCCTGAGCTTTACAGAGACGTTGAGTGGCCACAATCAGGCCCCCAGCTCAGCCAGTGGACGGGCTCCATGTGGCACTGGGCCAAAGAAACCAGCCTCCACTGAGGGCCTCCTGTGTGCCCAGCTGTATTCCCACGTCAACCCCATCTCAGCTGGCAGGGCTCACCGTAATAGAGGACTGCAGACTGTGTGGTTTAATCAACAGAGATTGTTGTCAAGGTGTGAGCGGGGCTGGCTTCTCCCGCAGCCTCGCTCCGGGGCTTGTAGATGGCCGCCTTCTTGCTCTGGGCTCACATGGCCCTCCCTCTGTTTGTGTCTGTGTCCACATTTCCTCTTCCTATGAAGACAACGATTATATTGGATTAGGGTCCACCCTAATGACCTCATTTTTACTTAATTACCTTTTTTTTTTTTTCAAGAGGGAGCTTCACTCTGTGACCCAGGCTGGAGTGCAGTGGCGGGATCTCGGCTCACTGCAACTCCCGCCTCCCGGCTTCCAGCAATTCTCCTGCCTCAGCCTGCCGGGTAGCTAGGATTACAGATGTTCACCACCATGCCCAGCTAATTTTTGTATTTTTCCTAGAGATAGGGTTTCACCATGTTGGCCAGGCTGGTCTCGAATTCCTGACCTCAAGTAATCTGCCCACCTCCACCTCCCAAAGTGCTGGGATTACAGGCGTGAGCCGCTGTGCCTGGCCACTTAATTACCCCTTTAAAGGCCTTATTTCCAAATACAGTAACATTCTGAGGTACTGGGGGTTAGAATCTCAACATAATTATTTGGAGGAGGTCATCATTCAGCCTGTGACACCCCCCAGTTTCACAAGGTGGGCATTATCGGCCCTGTTTTCCAAATGAGGAAACTGAGGCCCAGAGAGTGGCTCACCCAAGGCCACCCAGAGCTGGGTCTCCTCAGGTCCAGGGCTCCCCACCCCCCACACCATGAGCAGGGCTGCTGCTCCACCTGCCAGCCCAGGGAATCTTCTGTCACTCTCTGTGACTGCCGCAGACCCTGGGAAACGGATTCCAATCCCTCTTCCTTTCGTTCCCTCTGCTGTGTGTAATAAGATGATGACCCACCATTTATTGGCCCTTTCCTATGTGTGAGGCTCTTCCACTAGCATTTCTCATGCATTCCATACACACACACGACACGGCTCCTCTGGCTCTGCTCAAGCCTCCTCAGAGATGCCCTCCTCACACACCCCACTTGTAACAATGCCTCCACCCACACCAGCACGCCTCCTGCTTTATTTTCGTTTGTAGTGTCATAAATACCTGAAATTAGGCTGGATACGGTGGTTCACGCCTGTAATCCCGCCACTGGGAGGCCGAGGTGGGTAAATTACTTGAGGCCAGGAGTTCGAGACTAGCCTGGGCGACATGGAAAAACCCCATCTCTACTAAAATACAAAAATTAGCCGACTACTAAAATACAAAAGTTAGCCGACATGGTGGTGTGTACCTGTAGTCCCAGCTACTTGGCAGGCCAAGGCATGAGAATCACTGGAACCCAGGAGGTGGAGGCTGCAGTGACTGAGATGGCACCAGTGCACTCCAACCTGGGTGACAAACTGAGACTCTGTCTCAAAAATAAATAAATAAATAAAAATAATACCTGAGATTATATCACATGCATGCTTATTGGTTTGTTGTGTTCTCTGCACTAGACTGTAAGCTCCAGGAGGGCAGGACCCAGGCCTCATCCCCTGCTGTATCCCTGGCACCTAGATGAGATTGTCAGTCACTGACATCTTTATTGAAATGTTGTTTCAATAAATTATTAAATAAATTAGTTCTTTCACCCAGCCCTCACCAATAATCTGTAACACGGGCCTTAGGATCCTTATTTTATTTTATTTTTTTTGAGACAGAGTCTTGCTCTGTCTCCCAGGCTGGAGTGCAGTGGCGTGATCTCAGCTCACTGCAACCTCTGCCTCCCAGGTTCAAGTGATTCTCTTGCCTCAGCCTCCCGAGTAGCTGGGATTACAGGCACACGCCACCACACCCAGCTAATTTTTGTATTCTTAGTAGAGATGGGGTTTCACCATGTTGGCCAGGCTGGTCTCGAACTCTTGACCTTGTGATCTGCCCGCCTCAGCCTCCCAAAGTTCTGGGATTAAAGGCATGAGCCACCGCACCTGGCCCAGAATCCTTATTTTACAGAAGAAGAAAGTGAGGCTCAGAGAAAGTCCCAAATCCACCCAGGCTCACCCAGCTAGTAAGTAGTGAAGCTGGAATTTGAACCCAAGTCTATGCTTGCAACCTCCACACCCAGGCCACCTCCTTGCCTTGACCTTCCTTCCAAATCTCTCCCTGCTCTGTGCCTTCCCAAACCACCCTCACACAATTGCCCCGAACCTCTCTTCTTCTAGAAATTCCCAATACGTAACCAAGCTGGGCTGCAGTATCCCTTTGTGCCAGCAGGTGTCACCAGAGAATCCAGAAAGCCATAGTCCGCGGTCTTGCACTCCAGAGCACAGTTCATACTCTGATTTACTTAATCACTTTTAAGGATATTTCCAAGTTTTTGCTCCACAAAGGAAGGTGCAGCTGCATCCTGGCACCTGTGTTCATGTGCTATGTGGTGAGAATTTCCCTGGGAATGGATTCCTAGAAATGCAATTGCAAAAGAGCAAAAATAACTTTAAATTGCATAGATTTAAAGATTTGCTAAGCCGGGTTTACAACTGAGAAATGTGAGACCCAGAGAGGGCACATGGGTGGCTCAGGGGCACACAGCTAGCTAGTGGAAAGGCCAGATTTAGAACTAGTAGTACTAGCTCCTCTGGGCCAGGCGCGGTGGCTTACACCTGTAATCCCAGCACTTTGGAAGGCCAAGGTGGGCAAATCACTTGAGCCAAAGAGTTCGAGACCAGCCTGGTAGAGTGAGACCTTGTCGTTAAAAAAAATACAGAAAAAAAATCAGCCAGGCACGGTGGTACACACCTGCAGTCCTAGCACTTTTGGAGACCAAGGTGGGCAGATCACTTGAATCCTGGAGTTTGAGATCAGCCTGGGCAACATAGTGAGACCATGTCTCTATAAAAAATACATATATATATCTCCAGCTGTGGTGGCACACATCTGTAGTTCCAGCTACTCAGGAGGCTGAGGTGAGAGGACTGCTGGAGCCCAAGAGGTCAAGGCAGCAGTGAGCCGTGATCACACCACTGCACTCCAGCCTGGGCAACAGAGCGAGACCCTGTGTCAGAAAGAACTAGCCTCCAGCCATGAATATTTCTACTGCACCTGGACGTTGCTCCCACCTAGGCTAAGGCAGAGTCTTTGTGCATGAATCTGTATGGGGGCCTGGATCTGACTGCTTCTTTGGTTATTCAATCATCCATTTATTCATTAGACAAACTACAATGGTGGGATACAGGCTCCATGCTGTAAGAAAGGTTCAAATAACAACTGCCTCCTAGTCAAAAAGTAGTTTGTTTTCCTCTCTCATATTAATCTGAATGAAAGTGATCCAGAGCTGCATAGTTGCTTTACGGTGTCAGGAACCCAGTCTTTTGCTATCTTGCGCTCTTTTTGTTGAAGACAACTGGCAGTTTTCATCTTATGGTCCAAAATGGCTGCCCAAGGCTGGACACAGTGGCACATGCCTGTAATCCCAGCACTTTGGGAGTCCAAGGTGGGCGGACCACTTGAGCTCAAGAGTTCAAGACCAGCCTGGGCAACATGGTGAAACCTCATCTCTACAAAAAAAAATTAACCAAGCGTGGCGGCAGGTGCCTGTTGTCCCAGCTACTTGGGAGGCTGGGTGGATCGCTTGAACCCGGGAGGTGGAGGTTGCAGTGAGCTGAGATCGCACCACTGCACTCCAGCCTGGGTGACAGAGTGAGACCCTGTCTCAAAAAAAAAAAAACCCTATGTTGACTTCTAGTCAACATAGTACTGGTAGTTCTAGCCAGAGCAATTAGGAATGAAAAAGAAATCAGGCCAGGCGCAGTGGCTCACGCCTGTAATCCCAGCACTTTGGGAGGCCGACGCGGGTGGATCACGAGGTCAGGAGATCGAGACCATCCTGGCTAATACGGTGAAACCCCGTCTCTACTAAAAATACAGAAAAATTAGCTGGGCGCGGTGGCGGGTGCCTGTAGTCCCAGCTACTCGAGAGGCTGAGGCAGGAGAATGGCGTGAACCCGGGAGGTGGAGCTTGCAGTGAGCCGAGATCGAGCCACTGCACTCCAGCCTGGGCGAAAGAGTGAGACTCCATCTCAAAAAAAAAAAGAAAAAGAAATCAAAGGCATCCAAACGGAAAGGAAGAAGTAAAATAATCTCTGCTCTCCAATGATATGATCTTATATGTAGAAACCCTAAAGATTTCACAAACTAAGAAAAAACTGTTAGAATTAATAAATGAATGCAGCAAAGTAGCAAGATACAAAGTCAGCACACAAAAATCAGTTACTTTTCTCTACACTGACAGTGAGTGATCTGAAACAAAAATTATAAAAACAATTTCATTTACAATAATATCAAAAAGAAGAAAATCCTTAGGAATTAATCCAAAAAGTGAAAAACTTGTACAATGAAAACTACAAAACAGGCCAGGCTTGGTGGCTCCTGCCTGTAATCCCATCACTTTGGGAGGCCAAGGTGGGCAGATCACCTGAGGTCAGGAGTTCAAGACCAGCCTGGCCAACAAGGTGAAACCCCACCTCTGCTAAAAATACAAAAAATCAGCCGGGCGTGGTGGCACTCACCTGTAGTCCCAGCTACTCGGGAGGCTGAGGCAGGAGATTTGCTTGAACCTGGGAGGCGGAGGTTGCAGTGAACTGAGATAGCGCCACCGCACTCCAGCCTGGGTGACAAAGCAAAACTCCATCTCCAAAATAATAATAATAATAATAAGTGTTGGTGATGATGTAGAGAAATTGGAACCCTTGTGCACTGTTGGAATATAAAATGGAACAGCCAGGCCGGACGTGGAGGCTCACGCCTATAATCCTAGCACTTTGGGAGGCTGAGGCAGGTGGATCACTTGAGGTCAAGAGTTCAAGATCAGCCTGGCCAACATGGTGAAACCTTGTCTCTACTAGAATACAAAAATTAGCTGGGCATGGTGGCGCACACCTGTAATCCCAGCTACTTGGGTACCTGAGGCAGGAGAATGGCTTGAACCTGGGAGGCGGAGGTTGCAATAAGCCAAGATCACGCCACTGCACTCCAGCCTGGACAACAAGAGCAAAACTCCGTCTCAAAAAAATAAACAAATAAACAATAAATAAATAAATAAAATTTAAAAATGGAACAGCCA
The DNA here is from genome assembly GCF_000001405.40 of Homo sapiens. Taxonomy (NCBI): domain Eukaryota; kingdom Metazoa; phylum Chordata; class Mammalia; order Primates; family Hominidae; genus Homo; species Homo sapiens. The sequence continues at coordinate 50,166,686 of NC_000020.11, read as the reverse complement.
ACCTGGAAAACAGTATGGCAGTTCTTCAACAAATTAAACACAGAAATTACCATATGATGCAGCAGTTCCACTTCTGGGTATATACCCAAAAGAATTGAAAGCAAGATCTTGAAGAAATATTTGTACACCCATATTCCATTAGCAACAGTGTTTACGATAGCTAAAAAGTGGAAACAACCTAAGTGTCCATCATCATCGATCACATGAACAAACAAGCAAAATGTGGTCCTTCAGCCTTAAAAAGGAATGAAGTTCTGACTCAAGCTATAATGTGAATGAAAGAGAGAGAGAAAAAAAAAGAGAAGAGAAGAGAAAAGAAGAAAAGGCAGCCGCTTTTCAAATGAGCTGACCCTGAGCCAGGCTTCTAGGAGCCAGAGGTGACTCAGCAGAGGCCCCACCCTCGATTCGCATGGGGAGACATTCCGGGGCAGCCTCCCGCTGACGTGTCTCAGCACATAATCACAAAGAGCCAAGCACGCATGAGTCAGAAGCAGTTATATCCCTAAGTCATAAAGCAGCAGCTGGGCCCAAGATTCCTGGCATCCTTCCAATCTCACCTCCCCCGCCCTATTTACCCAGGAGCAAAAGAAGCGGAGGGAAGCAACACAGCGCAGCGTGACTACGTGCTTGATCTGTCTCCTCCTAACGGGCATGCAGGTTGGTTCCAGTTTCCAGCGATCCTAAACACACTTGGCTGGACCTCCCTGTGCCTACAGAGGTGGGATTTTGTGACATAGGTGGGGGGAAATGGAATTGCTGGGGTGAATTGTAGATCCACGGGAGCTCCATTGCAACAGAAAAAGGCATGCCTCTTCAGTTTACTTACAGGTCAGGATTTCTAACCTTGGCCCCATTGACATCCTGGACTGGGTCATTCTTTGTTGTCAGGCAGCGGGGGAACCGTCCTCTGTAGGATGTTTAGCAGCATCCGTGGCTTCTACCCAATAGATGCCAGTAAATCACCACCTCCAGTTGTGACAACCAAAAATTTCTCCAGACATTGCCAAATGTCCCCTGGGAGTCAAAATCACCCCCAACTGAGAACCATTGCTGTAACTGTACAGAGCCTATGAGGATGAGGAGGATTTCTTTTTCTTTTCTTTTTTTTTTTAGACAGAGTCTCGCTGTGTCGCGCAAGCTGGAGTGCAGTGGCGCAGTCTCAGCTCTCTGCAACCTCTGCCTCCTGTGCTCAAGTGATTCTCCTGCCTCAGCCTCCCGAGTAGCCAGGATTATAGGCATGCGCCACCGCGCCCAGCCAATTTTTGTATTTTTAGTAAAGACGGGGTTTCACCATGTTGCCCAGGCTAGTCTTGAACTCCTGACCTCAGGTGATCCACCTGCCTCGGCCTCCCAAAGTGCTGGGATTACAGGCATGAGCCACCGCGCCTGGCCTACGAGGAGGATTTCTAAGCACAGATTCTTTAAACAGGTTTTATGTGTTATTGACTTTCTTCTCTTTGGGCAGAAGGACATTTTACCTCCCTAGAAGGGGTGCAATGACATTGATAGTCACTAGTTTAAGAATAAGAGATGTCCCTTGCAAGCAGACTCAGAGAAAAAAAAAAGGGTCTCAGTTCCTAATTGGGATAAATAACGAGATTTGAATCTGAACGATAGAAATTAAATTATAGGCCAGGCGCAGTGACTCACACCTGTAATCCCACTGCTTTGGGAGGCCGAGGCAGACAGATGACGAGGTCAGGAGATCGAGACCATCCTGGCCAACATGGTGAACCCCATCTCTACTAAAAAAAAAAAATACAAAAATTAACTGGGTGTGGTGGCGTGTGCCTGTAGTCCCAGCTACTCGGGAGGCTGAGGCAGGAGAATTGCTTTAACCTGGGAGGCGGAGGTAGCGGTGAGCCAAGATCACGCCATTGCACTCCAGCCTGGGCAACAAGAGCGAAACTCCATCTCAAAAAAAAAAAAAAAAAAAGAAAAGAAAGAAAAGAAGTTAAATTATAGCATTGCACCAATGTGACATTTTCTGATTTTAAAAACTATAGAGTTCCTATAAGATAATGTCTTTGTTCTTAAGAAATACACACTGAAGAATTTAGGGTAAAAAGGCATTATGTCTGTAACTGACTCTCAAATGGTTCCGAAAAAATGGTACACATGGAGAGAAAGAAGGATAAATCACGTGTAGCAAAATGTTGATAATTAGGGTATTGAGAGTTTATTGTACTATTCTTGCAACTTTCTGTAAATTTGAAAAAAAATTGAATTATTATTTTTAAAGGCATTTTTTTAGAAACTCACCTATGTTTTGTTCTAGTTTTTAAAGCAAGTTTTAATCTGTCATTCCCACCTGCTCCCAGGAAAAGGAAAAACATCATTGTATGATTGTGCCCTGGATCTAGACACAATTAGGGCACAGTCCCAAGAGGCTTCCAGAAAAAGGTTCTCAGTATAAGTGTGGCAGGCAGGAAGATCTCTTGCGTATATTTGTAAAATGCCTGGAAAGAAATTCCACCGAACATAAACAGTGGGTGGTGATGGTCCTATTGTCTATTGTGTCCCTCTGTAACCACCCTCTCCCTGCACTTGCCCCCTTCCCCAGGCAACCCAGGTGCCTTAGGTAAGTGACCCCATTCCCTGCCCTGCCTTGGAGGGCCGGATGAGTCAAAGAGTAATCTTATCCCTCTGCTAGTGAGTACAAATGAAGTCTGTGGGCCAACAAGGAGCGAGGAGCAGTTTCCTGGAAGCCCTGGGCTGGTGTTTGACTTGCTTTGAGATAGAATAAATGGGAGAAAGAGACTTTATGGGACATCTGGGCCTAGGGCTCCTGGATGCTGTGCTGAAAACACCACGTACAGAAGCCAGTCTAACCTTCTGGATGATGAGAGCCCAGATGCAGTACAGAGGTGCCCCAGCCAACAATCAGCTGCTATCTGAATCCCATCTGGATCCCATCTGAATCCCATGTCACCATGAATGAGGCCACCTTAGCCCAGCCAGCACAGCTGAAAGCCAGAAGCAGCCGCATGCACAAGCCCAGGGGAAGCCCACAGAGGAACCACCAGCCAACACACAGAATTGCAAGCAGTTAAGCAACTAAGATTAAGACAACAATTTTAAAATGAACCAGGTCCGGCCGGGTGCGGTGGCTCTCAGGCCTGTAATCCCAGCACTTTGGGAGGCCGAAGCGAGCGGGTCACCGGAGGTTGGGAGTTCGAGACCAGCCTGACCAACATGGAGAAACCCCGTCTCTACTAAAAATACAAAGTTAGCCAGGCGTGGTGGCGCATGCCTGTAATCCCAGCTACTCGGGAGGCTGAAGTAAGGTTATAACATGGCCTGGCGTGCAGTACGTGCTCAATAAATGCTCACCGTTATTGTTGATCAGGCATTTCTGATCTTGTCCCCTATGCCATTCACTATGAGGGCTCACGATGACAGGCAAGAAACAAGTAATCTACTAGGGAAATAATTGGGGAACTCTCAGGAACACCACAATGGCTAGAGAGCCTAGGAAAGCAGTTCATACACTGGAGGCCAAAAAGAAGGACTCGTGCCTGCCATGTGTGTGGCAGAAGCTTCCGAGTATCAACTATTAATAATATCATTTTCCTTTCTTATTATTAATAGAACCCCAGCTTTTAAGTTGGTCTCCGCAGAGGACAACTGCATTCTCCAGCCTCCTGTACAGCAGAGAGTGCCATGTGACTAAGACCAAGTTCTAACCAGTGGGATCAAAGCAGGGAAGTGTTGCCTTCTTTGCCCCTTCCTGCTGGCTGGAATATGACAAAACGGCTGCAGCATGAGCAACCTTCTTGGGCCCTGAGGTGGAAGCCACCTGTTGGTTGACCGACCAGATGGTGGAGTGACCAGATAGAAGGGGCCTGGTGATTGTGGATTCTGCCACACTACCTCTGGTCCCCTATACCTATGTGAAAGGAAAAGAAATGTCTGCCATGTTCGTGTGTGTGTGTGTGTGTGTAGTGTGTGTGTGTGTGTGTGTGTCTGCCATGTTTAAGCCACTATAACTTTGGGATATCTGTGGCTTATAGTCAAATCTAATCCAAACAAATGCACCTCTATGTCCCCCTCACAGATAAGAAGATTGATGCAAGGGAACCCCTGATGTGGCCATAACACAAAGATAGCTTCAACCACCACCGATACGGAGCTGGACTCCGCCCTTCCTGGCCTCCTGGCCTTTTATTCCCCGCTAATTCCTCTGGATTCCTAATGACTCCCATTCCCTGCATGCACACCAGGTACAGTCACATCTCCTGGCGTTTACTCTTGCCATACCCAGTGTCCAGCTTCCCTCCCTTATCTTTGTTTTGTTTTGTTTTTTGAGACGGAGTCTTGCTCTGTCGCCCAGGCTGGAGTGCAGTGGTGTGATCTCGGCTCACTGCAACCTCCGCCTCCCGGGTTCAAGCCATTCTCCTGCCACAGCCTCCCCAGTAGTTGAGATTACAGGCACAGGCACGTGCCACCACGCCCAGCTAATTTTTGTGTTTTTAGTAGAGATGGGGTTTCCCATGTTAGCCAGGCTGGTCTCGAACTCCTGGCCTCAAGTAATCCACCCGCCTCGGCCTCCCAAAGTGCTGGGATTACAGGTGTGAGCCACCACACCCGGCACCTTACCTTACCTTTTCTCCTTGGTAAAAACACTGGAGAAGTTGGCCAGGTGCAGTGGCTCACACCTGTAATCCCAGCACCTTGGGAGGCCGAGGCGGGCGGATCACGAGGTCAGGAGATTGAGACCATCATGGCTAACACGGTGAAACCCCGTCCCTACTAAACATACAAAAAAATTAGCCGGGTGTGGTGGTGGGCGCCTGTCGTCCCAGCTACTTGGGAGGCTGAGGCAAGAGAATGGCATGAACCCCAGAGGCGGAGGTTGCAGTGAGCCAAGATCACGCCACTGCGTTCCAGCCTGGGTGGCAGAGCAAGACTCCATCTCAAAAAAAAAAAAAAAAAAAAACGAAACATTGGACAACTTAACTTCTCTGAACCTCAGTTTCCTTTTCTGGAAAATGGGGCCAAATAGCAAGTTGTATGCAAACTGCCTGCCACAGAGCAATAGCCACCTTCAAACACAGTTCCCCACACCTTTCTCGCTGATCCTTCCCTGATCTCAGGCCCCACACTCTGCAAGCAAGAAAAAATATAGCAAAATAAAAACAGAATCCAGGCCAGGCACGGTGGCTCATGCCTGTAATCCTAGCACTTTGGGAGGCCAAGGCAGGTGGATCACCTGAGGTCAGGAGTTCAAGACCAGCCTGAACAACATGGAGAAACCCCGTCTCTACTAAAAAATACAAAATTAGCTGGGCGTGGTGGTGCATGCCTGTAATCCCAGCTAGTCAGGAGGCTGAGGCAGGAGAATCGCTTGAACCCAGGAGGCAGAGGTTGCCGTGAGCCGAGATCACACCATTGCACTCCAACCTAAGCAACAAGAGCAAAACTCCATCTCAAAAAACAAACAAACAAACAAACAAAAACAGAATCCACTGGATTCCTATATCAGTGAAGTTCAAAGGAAAGTTTCAGTTCAGGTAAGGTTTGTTCCAGTGGCTCAGTGCTAACAGTAATAGCTAAAATTTATTGAAGGCGGGTGTAGTGGCTCACACCTATAATCCCAGCACTTTGGGAGGCCGAGGCAGGTGGGTCACTTGAGGTCAGGAGTTTGAGACCAGCCTGGCCAACATGGCAAAACCCCATCTCTACTAAGAATACAAAAATTAGCTGGGCGTGGTGACAGGCACCTGTAATCCCAGCTACTTGAGAGGCTGAGGCAGGAGAATCACTTGTACCCCAGAGGCGGAGGTTGCAGTGAGCCGAGATCGAGCCATTGCACTCCAGCCCGGATGACAGAGTGAGACTCTGTCTCAAAAAAATAAAATAAAATAAAATTTATTGAGGGTTTACAATATACCAGGCACTCTTCTAACAACTATGTATGTATTAACTTATCTTCATAACAACCCTATGAAGCTGGCACTCTGCTAGGATCCCCATTTTTACAGGAGGAAACTGACATCCTGAGAGAGTAAATAATTTGCCCATGGTCACACAGCACACAAGTGGTGGAGCTGAGACTTAACCTAAGTCTGTCTGACTGGAAAGGTAGGGCTGCTTTCAGGTGAAGCTTGATCCAGGCACTTAAAGGTCTCAGCAAGGACCTGGTTTCTCTTGGTCTCTCCTTTTTGCTTCCTCTAATGTTGCACTCACCCTGAGGATGATGCCCCCATGGCTGCCAGCAGATTCTGATGAGACTTGCTTTCTTATTCACATCCCAATTCCATACCAGGATCCTGAAGTCCACTGTCATAGACCATCTGAAGTCACATGCTCATCCCTGAACCAATCACTGCATCCCAGGGGACTGGACAATGTAGCTTGGCTTGTGCTAAATTCAGGGGCTGAGAACAGGGGCAGCAAGAGAGATTCCTCCAAAACTTCAGGGCATTTTTTTTTTTCTTTTTTGAGATGGAGTCTCACTCTGTCACCCAGGCTGGAGTGTGATCTTGGCTCACTGCAACCTACACCTCCCGGGTTCAGCGATTCTCCTGCCCCAGCCTCCCGAGTAGCTGGGACTACAGGCACGTGCCACCACACCCGGCTACTTTTTTTGTATTTTTAGTAGGGACGGGGTTTCACCATGTTAGCCAGCATGGTCTCGATGTCCTGACCTCATGATCCGCCTGCCTTGGCCTCCCAAAGTGCTGGGATTACAGGCGTGAGCCACCGTACCCAGCCAATTCAGGGTATTATTTCTATGAAGGAGCAGGAATGGATGTCGGCAGCCAGGAACAGATATCCACATGCCCATGTCTCACATGTTTCGAAAAGAACCTTTTGTGGAAAAGAGGAAGTTTGGGGACAGCTGTGCCACAGTCCAGACAGGCAACATCTGGTTCTGATCAGTCCCTCCAGGACACCCCCCACCCCCAGGGAAGGAAGCCTTCCTGTCCACACTCTTGTCCCTTGTCAGGAGGTGGACACACTGAGGGTGTTGGCCTAAAGCCCGCAACAGGGCCAGAGCACTGCCTGGGGCACTTTCTGCTGGGTAGGAAGCCCTGCTGGGGGTGAGGAGATGTGCTCAGTGACTGGATCAGGGAACAGGTGGCTCTGCTGGGCACACACAGCCTCTCAGGAGCCCCCGACATCCTGACCACATGGCCATCCCTGCTTGCCTCTGAGGCTCTTCTCACAGCCTGGTATACTCTCTGAGGCCCCCTGGTCCTTCTGCCAGGCTATGGCCTGGGTTTTTTTTAAATTCCTGTGGGCTCAAAGCCCACTTCTTAGCAGCCCACATATTCAGCCAAATCATTAAAATACATCTGCAATAGAGGATTTTTAGGGCAGTGAAACTACTCTGTCTGATAACTATGATGGTGGATCCATGTCATTACACATTTGCCCAAGCCCACAGAATGTACACCAAGAGTGAATCGTAATGCCAGCTATTGACTTTGGGTGATAATGGAGTGTCAATATAGGTTTATCAATTAACAAATGTACCACTCGGAGGCCAAGCGCAGTGGCTCACGCCTGTAATCCCAGCACTTTGGGAGGCTGAAGTAGGAGGTTTGCTTGAGCCCAGGAGTTCAAGACCAGCCTGGGCAACATAGTGAGACCCCATCTCTACAAAAAATAAATTAGCCAGGCATGGTGGTGTGTGCCTGTGATCCAAGCTACTTGGGAGGCTGAGGTAGGAGGATTGTTTGAGCCTAAGAGGTTGAGGCTACAGTGAGCCATGATGGTGCCACTGCATTCCAGCCAGGGAGACAAATACAGAGACCCTGTGAGGAAGAAAAAATTTTTTTAAAAAGGGAAGTCTGGGCTGGGTGCCGTGGCTCACGCCTGTAATCCCAGCACTTTGGGAGGCCAAGGTGGTTGGATCACATGAGGTCAGGAGTTCGAGACTAGCCTGACCAACATGGTGAAACCTCATCTCTACTAAAAATATAAAAAATTAGCTGGTGTGGTGGAGCACATCTGTAATCCCAGCTATTTGAGAGGCTGAGGCAGGAGAATCGCTTGAACCCAAGAGGCGGAGGTTGTAGTGAGCTGGGATCACACCACTGCGCTCCAGCCAGGGCAACAGAGTAAGACTCCACTCAAAAAAAAAAAATACAAAAAATTAACTGAGTGTGGTGGCCCATGCCTGTAATCTGCCTGTAATCCCAGCTACTTGGATGACTGAGGTGGGAGAATCACCTGAACCCAAGAGTTCAAGGCTGCAGTGAGCCATGATCACACCACTGCACTCCAGCCTGGACAAAAGAATGAGACCCTATTTAAAAAAAAAAAAAAAAAGTGTATGTCAAAGAACATTATCAAGGAAGTTAAAAGACAACCAACAGAATGAGAGAAAATTGTCGTAAATCCTATATATGATAAGGGATTAATAGCCATACTATATCAAGAACTCTTACAATTCAAGAAAAATACCAATAACTGAATTTGAAAAAAGGCAAAGGATTTGATTTTTTGTTTGTTTGTTTTTGATATGGAGTTTCGCTCTTGCTGCCCAGGCTAGAGTGCAATGGCGTGGTCTCAGCTCACTCGGATCACTCGCCTCCCAGGATCAAATGATTCTCCTGCCTCAGTCTCCCAAGTAGCTGGGATTACAGGCATGAGCCACCACATCCGGCCAAGGCAAAGGATTTTAATAGATATTTCTCCAAAAAAGATATACGTGGCCGGGCGCGGTGGCGCATGCCTGTAATCCCAGCACTTTGGGAGGCCGAGGCAGGTGTATCACCTGAGGTCAGGAGTTCACAATCAGCCTGACTAACATGGTGAAACCCCGTCTCTACTAAATACAAAAAAATTAGCTGGGCGTGATGGCGCATGCCTGTAATCTGAGCTACTGGAAGAATAAAAAAGTGCAGTTCTGACATGTGCTACAACATGGATGAACCTTGAAAACATTATGCTAAGTGAAAGAAGCCAGACAAAAAAGGCTTCATATAATTATAGATTATATGATTCCATTATATTGAAATGTCCAGTAGAAGCAAGTCCTTAGAAGCAGAAAGTAGATTAATGGTTACCAGGGGCTGGGGAAAGAGGGAAGTGAGGGAGTAACTGCTAATGGATATGGGGTTTCTTTTGGGGGTACTTAAAATGTTCTGGAACTAGATAGTCGTGATGATTACACAACTGTGTGAATATACTAAAAACCACGGAATTTAATATGGTTCACTTTATACTTTAAAAGGTATGAAATTTATATCTCTTGGTGGGGCATGGTGGCTCATGCCTGTAATCTCAGCACTTTGGGAGGCCAACACGGACGGATCACGAGGTCAGGAGTTCGAGACCAGCCTGGCCAACATGGTGAAACCCCATCTCTACTAAAAATACAAAAATCAGCCAGGGATTGTGGGCGCCTGTAATTTCAGCTACTCAGGAGGCTGAGGCAGGAGAATCGCTTGAAACCGGAAGGCAAAGTTTGCAGTGAGCCGAGATCACGCCACTGCACTCCAGCCTGGGTGACAGAGCGAGACTCTGTCTCAAAAAAAAAAAAAAAAAGATTTATATCTCATGAAACAAAAGATATAGGCTGGGCACAGTGGCTCATGCCTATAATCCCAGCACTTTGGGAAGCTGAGGTGGGAGGATGGCTTTAGCCCAGGAGTTTGAGACCAGCCTGGGCAACATGGCAAAACCCCATCTCTACCAACAATACAAAAGTTAGCCAGGCATGGTGGCGAGCACCTGTAGTCCCAGCTACTTGGGAGACTGAGGTGGGAGAATCCCTTAAGCCTGGGAAGTCAAGGCTGCAGTGAGCCAAGATTGTGCCACTGCTGCACTCCAGCCCAGGTGACAGAGTGAGACCCTGTCTCAAAAAAAAAAAAAAAAAAAAAAGGCGGGTGGGGTGGCTCACGCCTGTAATCCCAGCACTTTGGAAGGCTGAGGTGGGCAGATCACGAGGTCAAGAGACCGAGACCATCCTGGCCAACACGGTGAAACCCGGTCTCTACTAAAAATACAAAAATTAGCTGGGTGTGGTGGCGCGTGCCTGTAGTCCCAGCTACTCAGGATGCTGAGGCAGGAGGATCGCTTGAACCCGGGGGGCAGAGGTTGCAGTGAGACGAGATTGTGCCACTGCACTCCAGCCTGGCGACAGAGTGAGACTCCGTCTCAAAAAAAAAAAAAAGTCGGCCGGGCGCGGTGGCTCACGCCTGTAATCCCAGCACTTTGGGAGGCCGAGGCGGGTGGATCATGAGGTCAGGAGATCGAGACCATCCTGGCTAACAAGGTGAAACCCCGTCTCTACTAAAAATACAAAAAATTAGCCGGGCGCGGTGGCGGGCGCCTGTAGTCCCAGCTACTCGGGAGGCTGAGGCAGGAGAATGGCGTGAACCCGGGAAGCGGAGCTTGCAGTGAGCCGAGATTGCGCCACTGCAGTCCGCAGTCCGGCCTGGGCGACAGAGCGAGACTCCGTCTCAAAAAAAAAAAAAAAAAAAAAAAAAAGTCAGATCATGTCATTCCTCTACTCAAAACCCCACAGGGAAGGGACTTCCCAGCTCATTTTAAGTAACTGTCTCCCCCATATCCTTTAGGTCTTGGATCCAATGTCACCTTCTTAAACAGGACTTCCCTAACCTTCACCCCCACCTCCCAAGAAAGCAGGGATTCTGTCACATTCCCTGCTGTTTCCCTGGGACAGGTTGGTGTTTAATAAACATGTTCAGTGAATGAATGAAGGAATGAGTTATCTCAGGCAGTCTGTCCATCAACCATCTGGTGCTGGCCACTGTGAGGGTCTCTGGACAGCAGCAGTAACCAGCCACCCTACCCTGTTTGGAGGCTGTGGGATACGAGCAGAGAGCTTTAGAAGGTATTTACCTGAAATCTGACATCCAGCCCCCACCAAAGCCACCAACCGCGCCCCCCCCCCCCCGTCCGCCGCCCCCCACCCAAGCCTTAAGCTCCTGGGTTAAAAAATCCAACTGTTGGATTAACTGTGCTGTTAATACTGATGCAAAACCAGCCAGCTTCACCGGAATTCACCAGGACTTGGGTTGCAACCCATCCCTGCCACTGGAAGGTGGCTTTTCCTTCCTGGGAGCAGGTGTGGGAAAGAAACGGAGGGAGCATAGGCCTGGGTGGGGACAGTGGCTGTCTATGGTAGGAACACTCAGGAAACAGCCCTGGGGTGACTGGTAGTGCAGGAATCCAGGACTTAAACCCTCAGAGAACCTGGATTCTGGAAGGGGATCTTACCTTCCCTCTCTGCTCCCCCAGCACCTTTCAGGACCTTCCACAGCCTCTAGGGAGGCTCCTATGTGATCTCACTGTATGGATTTTTTTTTTTTTTGAGACCAAGTCTCACTCTTGTCACCCAGGTTGGAGTGCAGTGGCGCCATCTCGGCTCACTGCAACCTCCACCTCCCAGGTTCAAGTGATTCTCCTGCCTCAGCCTTCCAAGTATCTGGGATAAGTAGCTTGCCTAATTTTTGTATTTTTAGTAGAGACAAGGTTTTACCATGTTGTCCAGGCTGGTCTCAAACTCCTGGCCTTAGGTGATCCACTGGCCTCGGCCTCCCAAAGTGCTGGGATTACAGGCCTGAGCCACCGCGTCCAGCCTGTATGGAATTTTTTTTTTTTTTTTTTGAGACGGAGTCTCCCTCTGTCGCCCAGGCTGGAGTGCAGTGGCGCGATCTCGGCTCACTGCAAGCTCCGCCTCCCGGGTTCACGCCATTCTCCTGTCTCAGCCTCCCGAGTAGCTGGGACTACAGGCGCCCGCCACCGCGCCCAGCTAATTTTTTGTATTTTTAGTAGAGACGGGGTTTCACCGTGTTAGCCAGGATGGTCTCGATCTCCTGACCTCATGATCCGCCCGCCTTGGCCTCCCAAAGTGCTGGGATTACCGGCGTGAGCCACCGCGCCCGGCTGCCTGTATGGAATTTCTATGAGAAATTATTGCATACTTTGTTGTCGGTTAGACCTGGGGTAAATCCCTGCTGCTGTCATTTATCTGCCGAAGTATTAGACGCATCTGGCTGAGCCTTAATTCATTCATCAAGCATTTATTGAGCTTCTACCATGTTCCAGCCCCGATCCTGGCACGGGGGCCCTGCTGTAAACAAAGCTGTTCTCTGCCCTCAGGAGCTTGCTCTCTGATAGGAGAGACAGGGACTGCAAGCTCAATCCCCACCAGAAGCGCTGTGAAGACAAAACAGGGTGATGTCACAGTGACTGGAGGAGGGGGCACCTTTGAGCAGGGTGGTGGTGGTGGGGCTCTCTGAGGAGGCAATACCATTGGTGTTTAAGAGTCAAATAAATGTTGCTCGTCTAGCTCTTGGTCCAGCACCTGACAGATATTAAGCGCTCAGCAAATCTCATAGTGACCCTAGTTGTCATTTTCATTAGTTTACTGTCCTCGCCACCGGGAGAACATGAGCTGGGGAGGATGCGGGGCAGGCTCGACGTTTCTCCTCTTTGGGCGCACAGCACAGAGCTGGCACACAGCTGATGAACACATGGCACCCGAAACCTCTGCACACAGTAGGGCTTGATAAACCAGCCCACTCTCCATCGGCCTCGCTAGGGAGCATCGTACAGAGCACCCGCCAAATGCTTCCTGGCCTCGGCCCCAGCCCGGCGCCCTGCCCTCGCGTTCCTTGCACACAGTGGGCGCTTAACGCTGCCGGCTCAAGAAATGCCCATTTCTGGGCCCTGCCTCGGCCCATTGCATGGGCCCGTGAACCGAAGCCTAGCTGGGCGGCGACGCGCCGCGAGCTCCCAGTGGGCTGGAGCCGGGAGCCCTGCCGGGGCTGAGCTGGGAAGGCGGGCACGCGCCTCCGCCCCAAGCTTCCGCGCCCAGCTGCGTCCAGCTGCGTCCCAGCCTCCGGCTCGCGGCGGTTGGCTGCGGCTCAGCGACGTCCGATTGGCCTGCGCGGCTCCGGCGCGAGCCCCGATTGGCTGTGACGCGCGGCCGGGCGAGGACCCCGCCCGCGCCGCCGCCGCGCCCGGCGCTGGGCGGTCATTGGGCGGCGTGATCTCGCCGCGGTTCCGCGGCCCTGCCGCCGCCGCCGCCAGCAGAGCGCACCGGGCCGATCGGGCGAGTGGCCATGGCGGGCGCCGAGAACTGGCCGGGCCAGCAGCTGGAGCTGGACGAGGACGAGGCGTCTTGTTGCCGCTGGGGCGCGCAGCACGCCGGGGCCCGCGAGCTGGCTGCGCTCTACTCGCCAGGTAAGACCTCTGGGCCCCCCTCCAGGCCTGCGGTCACCAGCCCCGGCTGCGGACAGCGACCCCAGACTGGAGTCCCAACCTCGGGCCCAGATGCGGAACTCCAGCCCGGGTGTCTAACTTGCAAATAGCAAGTTCGGGGACCCCACCCCAGTGTCCCTTCCGAACCCAAGCCAGAACCTTGGCCCCGGGGTTTCCTGGCTGCAGAGACACTCCCCAGATCAAGAAATTACCATGAGCTCCCTGGGCGACAAACGGAGCTCCCATCGGACCCGCAGATACGGAATCCTAGCCCCGGGGCATTCTCGGTTGTGAAGAGTGCTCCTAGACTTAGAACCCCACCCCCTCATCCCCCCAGGACCCGGTCCAAGCCCAAAGCTGCCCTTCAGCTGTAAGCACTGCCCTCAGGCCCCTAAAAGTCACACCTCATCCTGGGTTCCCCAGATCTGGAATCTACATCCTAGTACCTCCTCTGTGCCCTAGCCCAGGCCCTGGGCTGCAAACAATGACCTCACCTCCCTAACCTGGGAATGTCAGCCCCTCTGCCCAGGGAACCCTAACTCAGGGGCTTCCAGCTGCACGGTACCCCCCACACCCTTCCCCCAAAACCCCATCCTAGTGATAGCTTCAGTGGCTACAGACCGATATCCTCTCCCCAACCCTCCAGTGGTGAGCATCAGTCCTTGCCCCATATTCCTGGATCCCAGGCAGTGAGGGGACTGAATGTACCCCACTGTAAGCTCCCCTGTACATAAGCCCCAACTCTAGCTCTTGCCCCTCCCTCACATCCATGTATTGGCCCCTTCCTTAGGACTTGGGACTGGAACCCCCATATTCCCCAGACCAGATCATAAGTTGGAGTTCACCTCTCCCTCTCTGTCCCTTTCCCTCAGGCCACGGTTTCTCCCTAGCTTCTTCCTGCTTTGCTCACTGTATATGCTCCAGCAAGCACCCCCCCTACACCCACTTTTGTGACTCCTACGTGAGCCCTAGGAATTTTACTGTTTGGCCTCAGGAGGGCCCTATATCCCCAGGAGTTAAGGAAGTGCCTTTGAGAACTCCTGGTTCAGGTGACTGGGAGGCACCTCTACCTGGGTGTCACCATGGAATGAAGCTTTGTTTGTCAAATATCCTGACATCCTTCCTTTTTCTGTGGGGCAGCCACCAAGCACCACATGCAGCCCTTGCCTGGAGTGGGCCTGGGGTCACTAGCACCTTAGCTTTCTGCCCTCACTGGCCTGGGTTCCATGCCGTCTCTTCCTTAAAAGGCGGCATGGCCACGGACCATTTGCATTTCCTCACTGGGTCCTAGACCACTCCATTCTCTGTATGTGATTTTTCACACCTGACTTGGGCACCTGGTCCATGCCGCTATGGTTTCTTCAGGCCTATACCCAAGACACCCAGCCTATGGACTTAAAACCTCCTGCTCTCCTGGGGGTAGGCCAGGGTTAACATCCTGACTCTGTTATTCAGCTGTATGACCTGGTCCAAGCCACTTTCCGTCTCTGTTTCCCCTTGGTTTCCTTGCAAGTTAAAGTTTATCTGCCCCTTCGTGTTAGGAAGTGGAAATGAGATCGTCCACTGGCATTCAGTAGGCACTCCCTGTTGTTGTGTGGGTTTTTTTGTTGTTTTTTGTTTTGTTTTGTTTTATTTGTTTTGAGATGGAGTCTCACTCTGTTGCCCAGGCTGGAGTGCAGTGGCGTGATCTCGGCTCACTGCAAGCTCCTCCTCCCGGGTTCACGCCATTCTCCTGCCTCAGCCTCCTGAGTAGCTGGGACTACAGGCGCCCGCCACCATGCCCGGCTAATTTTCTGTATTTTCAGTAGAGATGGGGTTTCACTGTGTTAGCCAGGGTGGTCTCGATCTCTTGACCTTGTGATCCGCCCACCTCGGCCTCCCACAGTGCTGGGATTACAGGCGTGAGCCACTGTGCCTGGCGCCTCCCTGTTGTTAACAGTAGTCTGACCTTTGCTGTGGGGGATCCGCCTCACCTCTCTGGTCCTCAAACTCCCCACCTGGGAATTGGGGATAAGGATTCAAGGGCCTCCCTCTTTAGTGTCCAGCTCTGCCTGCTCCTGTGAACCCTACCTACTTTCAGACAGCCCAAATCATTCCCAGGCATTCTGAGCCTCCCCAGGGATTGCTGTTTCCCCACTCCACCACGATCAATTGCATATTTGTCCATTTCTGGTTTCCCCAAGTGCCCTTCACTCTCTGAAGAACAGCCATGCCTGAATCAGAGTCTGCAGACAGCCTGGTGCCCCAAATCTGCAATCAAGGCCCTTTATCTCCTCCAGACCTGGAGGTAGGGGAGGAGACTTGCCAAACTGGTTTCTCCAACTTCCTTTCCACTGGCCTCTCTGCTTCTATCTGCTCACTGTGTGATCTTGGGGAAGTATTTGACCTCTCTGGGCCTGAAAAAGTGAGAGACCAGGCTCAGTGCATATTGAACACCTATGTTCTAGTCCATGTTCTAGGCTCTGGGGGCAGAATGGTGAACAAGACAGAAAAAAATGGAGCTGGCCGGGCGCGGTGGCTCACACCCGTAATCCTAGCACTTTGGGAGGCCGAGGTGGGTGGATCACTTGAGGTCAGGAGTTCGAGACCAGCCTGGCCAACATGGCGAAACCCCGACTCTACTAAAAATACAGAAATTAGCTGGGCATGGTGGCAGGCCCCTGTAATCCCACCTACTCAGGAGGCTGAGGCAGGATAATCTCTTGAACCCAGGAGGCGGAGGTTGTTGCAGTGAGCCAATACCACACCACTGCATTCCAGCCTGGATGACAGAGCGAGACTCTGTCTCAAAAAAAAAGAAAAAGAAAAAAACGGAGCTGGCATTTTAGTAAATAGCCGGGCCATAAACTTGACAAATAACTGTCTCACGTGCCCAGTGGTGGCAAGCGCTGTGGAGCAAATACATAGCAGGAGAGGGGGATCTGAAATGTTGGGGACAGGAATGACATTTTAGGGAGGGGGCAGTGAAGGCTTCCCTGAGCAGGTGACATTCGAAGTGAGGCCTGAAGGGAGGAAGGACTGGAGGGAGGGAGCCTTGAGGATATTTGAAGAAGGGTTGGTCCAGACCAGGGAAACAACAAATGCAGAGACCCTGAGGTGGGAGCTTGCCAGGCATGTTTAGGGAATATGGAGGACACATGTAGGCTGGAGGGAAGAGTAGAAGAAGTTCCTGGGTTCTAGGAGCAGAATGTTTGAGATTACTGGGGCTGGAGGTGGTTTGGCACTGTGACAGTTGACAGCCATAATCATGGCAATCAACATAGCCGAGTGATTGAGCCTCACTGTGCTGGCATTTTCCTCACCTGCTCTCCGTGCATCCCCACTACAACCGTGTGAGCTGTACCTTGATATTAACTGCATTCACAGAGGAGGAGGCTGCAACCCCTCCCAACCCCCACCCCAGGCATGCTCTTCCTAAAGCTCACCCTGATCGGGGTTAGGCCCGCATCTGCCCTCACCTGATGGGAAGGCCAGCAGGACAGGGACTGAACCTATTTGGTTTGATTAAAGTGCTTGGCCCCTCATGAGCACCCAGTCCACTTTTGTTGGAACATTTCCTGAGGCTTAGAAAATGGGAGAGGCTGCCTGAGGTCATACGGCGGGGCACCGGGCAGCAGTAGGGCTAGGCCTGGAACCCGGGACTGGGCCGGGTGGGGGTGCGCTAGGTTCTGTGTTCTTACTCTTCACTATGGAAGTCAGCCAGCCAGGGGTGAGTGTGTGGGAGGTGGGGGCGAGTATTCCGGATCATCAGAACAGCATGTGTGCAGGGCAGGTGGCAGAGAATGGGCCTCTGTGTGTAGGGAGCTGTGAGTAGTTGGACCAGAGCAGCATGGGGCTGAGGGAATGGTGACAGGTGCAGCAGGGAGGCGGCCACAGCCTGATTTCGCAGGCCCCAAGTGTCTGGCCCAGAGGTTGAGCCCTGGTCCTGCAGGACCCAGGAGCCGTTCTGTCCTGTTCTGGGCTGAGTTTCCCAGCAGCAGCCCACCTCATGCCAGATGTCAGGGTTTGTGAAGGGCCTGGCCAGCTTGGCAGGCCAGAGGGTGAGGCGGGTGTCCAGCTTCCCAGGAGGTCCCAGCTGAAATCTGGCCATGTGTGTGCTACTTCTCAGGTGCCCCAGGCTTCATGGGTGCAGCCTCACGGTCCTTGATCCACCTGTACCCCACCCAGGCCAACTGTGGGTGCCCCCTGCCCTGGGGATTACAGAGGCTCTTGGCACAGGGGGAAGGGAAAGGTGGAGGGTGTCAGGAGTACTGGGTGAGAGTCCTGGCCTGTACTCCCAAAGCTGAACCCAGGGGTTCAGTCCCCCAGATGGGCTTTCTGTTTTTTGCTCCTTTTGTCTCTGTTTCTCATCTTTGTTTCTTTCGGTTTTTTTGTTTGTTTGTTTTTGAGACAAGGTTTTGCTCTGTTACCTAGGCTGGAGTGTGATGGAGCGATTGCAGCTCACTGCAACCCAAAACTTCTGAGCTCAAATGATCCTCCCGCCTCAGCCTCCAAAGTGCCGAGATTGCAGGTGTGAGCCACCACGCCCAGCTAATTTTTATTTTTATTTTTGTAGAGGCAGGATCTAGTTATGTTGCCCAGGCTGGTCTCCAACTCCTGACCTCAAGTGATCCTCCTACCTTTGCCTCCTAAAGTGCTGGGATTACAGGCATGAGCCGCGGCACTCAGCCTGTTTCTCATCTTCCCATGGCTCTGATTCCTTATTTGTCTCTCATCTCTTATTTGTCCCTCTGTCCATCTCTCATCCCCACCTTCTCTCTACCTCTTGTCCCCCATCTCCCTGAGGCTGAGGGTCTGCTGGAGGCCAGGGGTCCTCAGAAGTCCAGCTTATTTGGGGCTTGTCTCTGCCTGGAACCAGAAGAGTTGGGCCCACCAAGCCTTTGACTGCAGCCTGTCCCCTGGAAAGCAGGATGACAAAGGCATGACCCCAGGCCTCCCCTGCTCTTCCTAGCTCCCCATACCTACCACACGAGGCCAGCCCCTTCCTCAGGCCAATAAGTGGCTACTGCTTTTGGCTCAGATCTTCAAACCCTGCCAAGCCAGGGGCTGGCTCTGATAGCAGGACCTCAGCACTACAGCCAGAAGACAGCCCGGGCCTCCTGTGTCCTGAGCAGCCACCCTCCCTGTCCCCACCTCAGTCTGCTCATCTGTTAAGTGATACAGTTTAGGCCAGTTGACCCCACAGGCCCTGCCAGGCTGATGATCCATGCTGTGACTTTGGTGACCCTCAAGTGACTTTGGACAAGTGCCTTGACCTCTCCAGGCCCAGCTTCTCTCTCTGAAGGATGGGACAGAGGGTCCCTAGCTCCAGGAGGTGGTGAGGGGTGCTGAGATCATCTTAGCCCTGTATCTGGCATGTTCCAGTTGCTCAGTGAAAGCTACTTAAGTTGTGTATGTTTTCTCCCCCTGGAGACGGAGTCTTGCTCTGTCGCCCAGGCTGGAGTACAGTGGCACGATCTCGGCTCACTGCAACCTCTGCCTCCTGGGTTCACGTGATTCTCCTGCCTCAGCCTCCCGAGTAGCTAGGAGATTACAGGTGCACCCTCCCGAGTAGCTAGGAGATTACAGGTGCACACCACCACACCTGGCTAATTTTTGTATTCTTAGAGACGGGGTTTCACCATGTTCATGTTAGCCAGGCTGATCTCGAACTCTTGACCTCGTGATCTGCCCACCTCGGCCTCCCAAAATGCTGGGATTACAGGCATGAGCCACCACACCCGGCCATTGTGTATGCATTCTTTATGGATGAGAATTAAGGTATTTGGTCTGCAGAAGGATCCAGCTTCCAGAGGCCAAAGAGAGATGGAGTTTAGATGGAAAAATATTCAGATTTGGAGGACGTTCTCCATGGCGTGGGGAGAGAGCTGGATCATCTTTGGTTTCAGGACTGCCCCGAACGTCCAGGCTAACATGTCTCATTGATGTGTCTGGGATCCAAACCCAGCTCTGAACCTCAGTTTCCTTGTCTAGGAAATGAGATCACTCAGTTCCTTCCTTGACGGGCTGATACTTGAATGAGAGACTGTGCCTCAGACTCAAAAACTCAGATGACTGCAGGGGCCCAGCCAGGGCTGCCACCAAATCTGGCCACCCAGTGTGAGACCCCAGGGAAGGGAGAGGACCAGGGTGAACCTGGAGCTCATATCCCATTGGATGGGGGCAGCTATTACTTATTGTTTAGGCCTAGGGTGGCCAGAGCCCTGTGTTGTTGAGGGAAGCAGGAAACTAGGAATTTTACGTGATTTTCAAATTTAGCTCACTTTTTAAAACTGAGGGCAAAACATGTCAGAGGGAGTCAGTTTGCAACCTCTCCGATATGGGCCACACCCCAGCGCATGACAGGCTTCAGTGTGTGTCAGCCATTGTTAGGGTAACTGTTATTTGATCATGTTGCAGTTGGCTCTGCCCACTTCCTGTCCCTGCATGCTGTGGGGCAGGCAGGCAGGTCGATCGGGAAGGTTCACTTGTTCTTTCCTTCTCACCGCCTCTCCGTGTCCTCCCACCCCACCCACTCGGGGTTTTCTGCTTCTGAGCCCTGGGCCTTGGCTACAAACAAGAATCAGAAAGGGGAAGGCCTTGCTGGGCCTGATCATGGTGATCCCCAGGCTGGGGCGGCTGCTGGGGCAGTGGGGGTGCTGCGTGGCTCAAGAGAAACAGCCCTCGCCTGAGAATTGGGGAACCAGGAGATCTAGGCCCCTGTGACCTCTGCTATGTGACCTCTGTTGAGGTCCTTCTCCTTCCTGGGCTTCACGGTCTTCTTCTGCACAAAAGGAGCCAAGGGCATGTAACCCTGGTGTGTTCCGTTCCCCTTCTGAGCCTTGGTCTTTTCAAGGGGCAGGGGAGGGCAGCTGTCCTGGTTCTGGGTCAGGGTAGGTCAGGAGCAGCTTGCTGTTGTGTGACCTGGAGAAGGCCTTCTCTCTCCCTGAGCCTCAGTTTCCCTATCATGACAAATGGGGAACCCAGTACTTCCTTCCCAAGGTATGTCGGTGAGCGGCACCCAGAGACAAAGCCATGGAGTTGTCCGTTAGGATTGTGGTTGGGAATTTGCTCATTCTGCAAGCATTTACTGAGTGTCAGGGCCCTGGTGAGTGAGCCAGACATGGTTCTGGGCCTCCCGACTTCACATTTAGGTAGGGAAAGACAAACGTAGACAAGGCCACAGGCATGAGCAATGGGCCTCGTGTGGGGGGAGTGTGGGGTCAGAGGAGGCATCATGGATGGCTTCCTGGAGATGGAGGTTTCCAGGGTGAGATCTGCAGGAACAGTGTCAGGTGCACAGGGAGTGAAGAGAACAGCATGCACAGAGTCCTAAAAAGAAGAGAGGGTGGACACAGGAGGAGCCCTTCTCACCTGCTCTGGCCCTGACCCCTTCACAGGGACCTGCCTGGCCCCGCTGCTTAAGTGGGGGCCTGGGCTCCTGACCCAGAATGTCGTCAAGGTGATAGGGTGATGGGGAATAGAGGGAGGGACCAGGGGCAGCAGGAACAGGATAGAGCGGGGCGAGAGCGGGATCTTAGGAGCCAGACCTCTGGCCATGGAATTCTGGTCTCTGCTGACTAGTTGGGTGGCTTTGGGCTACTTCCTTGACCACTCTGATGGTCAGTTTTCTCATCTGCAAAAGGACATCACTTCAGCAGGCGCCTGATATGTAGTAACTGCTCAGTATATTTTAAACACCCATGATAAAATTGTTGTCATTAAAGGTCTTCTGTGCCTTATGGAGCAGCTGCCTGGGGCATACCCTAGTCACATGTTCTATGTCACCCACATGGTGTTTTTATTTCCTTTAATTTTTTTTTTTCTTGAGATGGAGTTTTACTCTTGTCACCCAGGCTGGAGTGCAATGGCGTGATCTCAGCTCACTGTAACCTCCGCCTTCTGGGTTCAAGCGATTCTCCTGCCTCTCCCGAGTAGCTGGGACTACAGGCGCCTGCCACCACACCTGGCTAGTTTTTGTATTTTTAGTAGAGATGGGGTTTCGCCACGTTGGCCTGGCTGGTCTCAAACTCCTGACCTCAGGTGATCTGCCTGCCTCGGCCTCCCAAGGTGCTGGGATTACAGGTGTGAAACACTGCACCCGGCCTTATTTCCTTTAATGTTTAAAATTTTTTGTTTTGTTTTGTTTATTAATAGAGACAGGGTTTTGCTATGTTGCCCAAGCTGGTCTTGAACTCCTGGGCTCAAGCAATCCTCTCGCCTCAGCTTCCCAGGGTGCTTGGATTACAGGAGTAAGCCACTGGGCCTAACCCCTTTTATTTATTTTATTTTTATTTTTATTTTAGTTTTTATTTTTTGAGATGGAGTCTCACTCTGCCGCCCAGGCTGGAGTGCAGTGGTGCCATCTCAGCTCCCTGCAATCTCCACCTCCCAGATTCAAGTGATTCTCTTGCCTCAGCCTCCCGAATAGCTGGGATTACAGGTACCCGCCACATGCCTGGCTAATTTTTGTATTTTTAGTAGAGATGGGGTTTCACCATGTTGGCCAGGCTGGTCTCGAACTCCTAGTCTCAAATGATCCTCCTGCCTCGGCCTCCCAAAGTGCTGGGATTACAGGTGTGAGCCACCATGCATGGCCCCCTTTTATTTTTTTATTTTAATTTACAATTAAAAGAAAACAATGTAATATGCTAGTACTTTAAAAGGAAATAAGGGAAAAGCCGGTCTTAACTATATAGATTTTTTTTTAACATAAATGGCTGCTATTTGGCACTTTGCTTTTTGCACTTACCTAGATGTCCTGGACATCTCTCCACGTCCACTTATAGACAACTGCCCAGGTGTTTTCCTGGCTGCAGAGATGATGTGGACTGAATTCATTTGGCCAATCCCCAGGCAATGGCCACTTAGGTTATTTCCCAAGTTTTGACACCACAAACAAAGCTGCAGCGAGTGAATCAGCTTGTCTGGGCTCGTGTGTCTGTGAAAACTATGTGGCAACACTGAAACAGATTGCACACCCAAAGCCTGACTTCTGGCTCCTCTTGGGAATCAGAAGCTCTGCCTCCCTGGCCCACACGCCATACTTTTAGAAGCCCCACTGCCCCAGAGCCCTATTTGTCCATGAATTCCTGACTCATTGTCTGGAGCCTGCTTGAGGGAGGCTGGGCAGGGTGTGAGCCACCAGGATTAAAGGTTGTTTGTAGCCTCTGCCTCCAAATAGTTACCTGCAAAAGGGGACAAGTGAAGCCACAAAGATTCTACTTTAAAAAAAGAAAAAGAAGCTCATTAAAGTTCCCTTAGGTGTCTCCAGAGAGAGCCCAGAGGGGCCCAGGAGACCAGAGTTCTGGTCCTGTCTGTCAAAGAATTGGTCTGTCAGAGAATTGGGCCACTCTCTGAAGGGCCCCATCCTTGGTTTAATGCATCCAGCCCTGACTGTTTGACCTTGGTGAGGGCCTCAGTGACGTCATCTGTGAAATGGGTACAGACTCCTTTGCGGGAGTCTGTAAGCTCAGCTTGTGGTTGGCAATATAGATGCATTAAACAAAGTTGAAAAGCTCCTGGCCAGGTGCGGTGGCTCACACCTGTAATCCCAGCACTTTGGGAGGCCAAGGTGGGCGGATCACAAGGTCAGGAGTTCAAGACCAGCCTGGCCAATATGGTGAAACCCCATCTCTACTAAAAAATATAAAAATTAGCCGGGCATGGTGGCGGGTGCCTATAATCCCAGCTACTCGGGAGGCTGAGGCAGGAGAATCGATTGAACCTGGGAGGTGGAGGTTGCAGTGAGCCGAGATGGCACCACTGCACTCCAGCCTGGGTGATAGAGTGAGACTCTGTCTCAGAAAAAAAAAAAAGAAAAGAAAAGTTCCCATGGGGCCACACTCTGCCTGGCCTTGACCTTCCAGCCTTTACCTCTCGCCTCTGCTCCCTGCAGGCAAGCGCCTCCAGGAGTGGTGCTCTGTGATCCTGTGCTTCAGCCTCATCGCCCACAACCTGGTCCATCTCCTGCTGCTGGCCCGCTGGGAGGACACACCCCTCGTCATACTCGGTGTTGGTGAGTGCCCGAGGCACTGCTGCCTGCCTCAACTTCCCTAGGGGCCAGGGACCCACCGGGTAACTGGCGCGTGTGTGTGTCCACATGCATGGATGTGTGTGCTTGAGTCCAGTATGTGCCTTGAGTACCCCACCTCCCTATTGCAGTCAGCAGCACCTCCCTGCAGCCTGTCACTTGGGCCCAAAACCTAAACATGATCCTCAGTTCCTCTCTTCCTCTTGCATTGCACATCCAAACCATCAGCAAATGCTGTTAACTCTACTTTCAAACTGCATGAGGAGTACAGCCATGGCTCTGTACCTTCATGGTCCCCACGCTTGTCCAGCCACCATCCTCTCCCGCCTGGGCTGTTTCAGGAGCCTTCTTCCTGGTCTCCCTGCCTTCACCTTTGCCCTGCACCGTCCAGTCTCCACATGGCTAGCTGGATCCTGCTAGAGCCCCAGGCAGATCATGCCACTCCCCCACTCTCATCTGCATACATCTGCAGCTGAATAGAACACCGGCTCCTCAGTGTACCTGCCCCAGCTTCCTCTAGCCACCCTCATGCTAGGTCACCCTGCACCTGCCACGCTGGCCCCCTGACTGTGCGTCTGTCACCTGCTCTCAGATACATTCCTACTTCAGGGCTTTTGCATGTGCCATTCTCTGTGCCTAGAACTCTCACCTACATGGCTCACTCCAGGTGTCTGCTGAGAGGTCACCTCCTCTCAGCAGAGGAGGTGTGATTGCCCCACAAAACATAGCAGCCCCAGCCAGGTGTGGTGGCTCATGCCTGTAGTCCCAGCACTGTGGGAGGCCGTTGGGGCGGGGGGGGGGGGGCGGATGACTTGAGGTCAGGAGTTCGAGACCAGCCTGGCCAACGTGGTGAAACCCCATCTCTACTAAAAATACAAAAATTAGCCGGCCGTGGTGGCAGGCGCCTGTAGGTCCCAGCTACTTGGGAGGCTGGGGCAGGAGAATCATTTGAACCCAGGAGGCGGAGGTTGCAGTGAGCCAAGATCACGCCACAGCACTTCAGCCCAGGCAGCAGAGCGAGACTCCGTCTCAAAATAGCAGGCCTGTCACACACTATCCCCCTTTTCTGTTGTTAACACTGTGTCCACAGTGTCTTTATTTGTTTATCATCTATCTCTCCCAACATCTCTCCCAACTCAAATGCCAGCTCTCTGAGAGCAGAGATTTTTGTCTGTTTCATTCACTGCTGTGTCCCTAGCTCAAGCCTCAGGCCTGGCACACAGCCGGTGCTCAGTATTTTTTGAATTGATGAATGAATAAATGAGAGAGCTGTTGTTTATTAGTACCTCCTGGTGTTTTCCATCGGTCACTTCTTACGCTAAGGTTGTCATCATTTTCCAGATGAGGGAACTGAGGCTCAGAGAAGGGACTAGTCCAGAGTCACACTTCAAGGCAGAGTACAACATAGTTGTTAATACACTATCTCCACTCCCAGGCCCTGGATGACTCAGTTTCCTTCCTCTCCATGCACCACCCTTCCCCTCCCCATCCCCGGCTCCAAGACTGAAGGGGGCGGCTGTGCCCTTGGTCCTGCCTGGCCCTTCCTAAGGGTTCAACTCCCACAATCTCATTAAAAGCGTTCTAGCCACCTAAGCCAATAGTGCTCAGGCCAGCTAATTGAGCCATCTGGGTCTGGGGTGGGGTTGGTATATGCTGGGGACGGGGGCCGGACCAGCTGGAGGGGAGAGAGATGAACCCATCCATTGCTGGGAAGCCCAGGCAGGAGCCAGGCATGTCCCCTGCCCCCAGGGATGGGAGAGACCTGCACCCCCAGCCTCTCTGCCTCAAGCCCCATATTCAAGGGCAGGAATACAGTCTGAGCTTTGCAGCCTCATCTGGGGATGGTTACGAGCAGGCCTCTACAAACCTGGGTTTAAGTCCCAGCTCTACCACCTCCTGGCTCTGTGGCCTTGGGCCACATTGCATCTCTCAGCCTCATTTACCACAGTGTAAATGAGGCTGCTGGCAGTACCTGCCTCCTAGGGCTGTTGTGAAGGCAAAATGCAGGTGTGCCTAAGTGCTGAGAAAACCAGTGACTAAGCAGGGGCGGGGAGGGGACAGCACCTGCCAGACCACTGATCAAGGCTTTCACTTCAGCCTCGCTGGTCAGTTTAATCACGGATGTTTTGTGAGCACCTACTATGTGCCAAGCCCCATGCTGGGCACTTTTCACTCTTTGTGCTACCCTAGTGAGGAGGTTCCCATCACCATCTGAGAGGCTAAGTAAGTCACATATTGGTCCTCACCCAGGCAGCAGCAGAGTCTGAGATTGCAAATCCAGACCTGCCTGGCTCTCAGTTGAGGACTTCCCCACCAGGGCGTGTATAGCCTCCAGTTAACATTGGGAGGCCAGGCTGTTTCAGGCCTCTACGGGGGTAAAGGATGGGCTGGATCAGAGCCCAGGTGTGTGCTGTGCAGGCTGGGAGGGTGGATGTCCCAGGTAGGTCACTATCTCCCTTCCCTGGTTGGGATCTGATCTTCCAGCCACAGCCCAGGAAATCTCTGGCTTTCGAGGCTGCACAGCACCAGCTTCCCCATCCCACACATTTCTCTCTGGGCTGATGAGAGCAGACAATCCCCTGATAATGGTGTTTGCACAGTCCCTAATCGATTTAAATAGCCACCCCGATTTGTGTGTTAACATGCAGGCAGTAAGGGCACTGTGCCAGCCTGCAGAGCCTGCCCCCTACCCCTATCTCCCCAGAGCTTCCACTGTCCCAGGCAGGTCCCAGAAATCAAGGAAGGCAGAAGCACGAAAAGATGTCGAGTTAATAAACACAGACACACGTGATGCAGCATTGGGAAGCAAAATCAAGCTAAGCGGGTAGGCGGGAAAGGCCTCTCTGAAAAGATGACGTTTGCACAGAGACCTGAAGGAGGTGAGGGAGGGGCCGTGCAGAGATCTTGGGGAGGGGCATCCAAGGCACAGGGAAGAGCAAATGCAAAGGCCCCGAGGTTGGCACGTGCCTCGTGTGTTTGGGGAACAGAGCGAAGCCATTGTGGCTGGAGGAAATTGATCAAAGGAAAATTGTGGCAGCCCAGCAAGGCACTGGAAGCAGATGTTGTGGGGCCATGAGGGCCTGGTCTGGATATGGGGTCATGAGAAGCCATTGGTGAGTTTCCCACAGGGAGTTGACATCATCTGATGCTGCAGGGAAGATGGCTGGGGGTGGGGACAGCCAGGGAGGAGGCGCCTGCCATGGTCCAGCCACGTGAAGATGGCAGCCCAGACCTAAGGGTGGCCCAGACCTGGGTGGAGCGGTGGAGGTGGTGATGCGTTGTCAAATTCTGGAGGAGCTGTGAAAGGTGAGCTGCCAGAATGTGCTTCCAGGTTGGCTGTGGAGGTGAGAGAGAATTAGCTTGACTCCAAGGTTTCTCTCTTGAGAGATGGAAGGGATGAAGCTGTCATTCACAGAGATGGAGAGAGGTCATCGGCAGAGCAGGCCTGAGGGAGATGCTTGAGATGGCCGCTGTTGAGCTAAGGAGAGGTGTTGAGCAGGAAACTGGAAATCTAGGTCTGGAGGCAGGGAGAGGCAGCTGGAAATAGCAATCTGGGGGTCCGGCCGGGCATGGTGGTTCACACCTGTAATCCCAGCACTTTGGGACGGTGAAACCCTGTCTCCACTAAAAATACAAAAATCAGCTGGGCATGGTGGTAGGCGCCTATAATCCCAGCTACTGGGGAGGCTGAGACAGGAGAAATTGATTGAACACGGGAGGCAGAGGTTGCAGTGAGCCAAGATCGCCCCATTGCACTCTAGCCTGGGCGACAGAGTGAGACTTCCTCTGGAAAAAAAAAAAAAAAAAGAAAGAAATCCGGGGGTCATCTGTGTCAAGATGAAGCTCCTTATCTCCTAGGCTGGCTGAGCACCCCCAGGGGCTGAGTCTCCCGTGTTTCCAGGCTGGGGAGGAGGAAGAGCCAGCAAGGGAGGCTGGGATGGCGCTGCCAGGGAGATGGGGGGAGAACCAGGGAGGTCGGGGGAGAACCAGGGAGGGCTTGCAGGGGCCAAGAGGAGAATGTGTTTCCAGGAGTCTTGGGGGTCGACTGGGAACAGCCACCGAGTGGACCAGCAAGGTGGCCAGTAAAGGGACCTTTGGATTTAGCCACGTGGAGGTCATCAGCCACTGTGACACGCACATCGTTGTCGTGAGTGAGTGGGTGAACAAGTGAAGGCCGTAGGAGCCCTGAGCTTTTGTTCCACGTGGAGAAGGGGGAGGAAGTGTTTGGGTTGTGAGTTGGCCCTTAAAGGAGCAGAGTCCTTCGTGGACCTTGGGAGAAGCCTTCCGGGCAGAGGGCACAGTGAGTCCAGAGGTCAGGGATGAGGTCAGAGAAGTCCCAGGCTCGGGTCGTGGCCCGTCCTGTGGCTGGAAGTGGAGTCTGGATCTGACTGAGCTGGAAGGCGGTAGAGACAGGACTGGGACCCAGGACCGAAACCCATGGATTTGCCCTCAGTGCATTCACTTGGCTCCTCAGCCACGCCTTCCATCTCCACGCCAGGCCTTTGAGGTGGGCAGGGAGGGGTGAGGAAGTCCCAGCTGGGTGACCTCTGGGGAAATGGAAGCCCGCACGGGCCCAGCGACTACCTCAAGTTCCCCCGTGAGTCAGGGTAGCCTGGGGTGAGCCGTCTCCCATCCCTCTCCTTGTCCCAGTGTTCTGCGGGGAAGGGTGGTAACCAAGCCGAAGCTGCCCCCAGGGGGAGCCGGCTGCCAGCTGCCACCACCCCAAAGCTGGGACAAAGAGGCTTCTGTGTGCCTGTCTGCCACCCCTGCCCCCATTAAAGCAGCCTCAGACAGCAGCCTGGAGTCACTGCCACCGGCAGAGGCCGCAAGATCACGGAGCCAGGGGGAGGGCTCCTGGTCTCCTAAGATGATTCCTGACTTCTGTCCAAAGCAGACATCCCTCCCTGCTGGGCAGCGTGCAGGCGCCAGGCCTTGACCATTGGACAGATGGCAAGACTGAGGCTCAGCAGAGAGCTCACAGGAGCTGCGTTGGGGGGATGCTTGCTGTGTCGTGGGACCCACCGGGCCCTTTACCCAGCAGCCCATTTTATTAACTTCTCATAGTTAAGGGAGGTAAATGTCCCCATTCTCCATACCTGGGTGCGAAGTCTCCCTAACCCTAACCCTAAGGTTGCATCATCCTGAATGACTCTAGCGAGTCTCTGGCTACTCACCAGCAGCCCTGCCTTGCCCCTGCCACCGTGTGACCTTGGGGAGTTCTTACCCTCCTCTGGAAGGTCAGGATGGGGTGGGGCCTGTTACTGTGGACATGAAGTGAGATTGTCCACTTTTTGAAAAACAGACTTTATTTTTTAGAACAAGTTTTCAACTTACAGAAGGATGGGGCAGATAGTACAGAGAGTCCCCATATGCCTGGGGCACGCAGTTTCCTCCATTATTCACATCCTAAATCTTACATTAGCGGGGCACATTTGTTACAGTGTGTGCCAGTGTTGATACATTATCATGAGCTGGAGTCCATGGCTTATTCAGATTGCCTTAGTTCTTCCCTAATGTCCTTCTTCTGTTCCTGGATCCCATCCAGGGTATCACATGGCCTTTAGTTGTCATGTCCCTTTAGGCTCCTCTTGTCCAGTTTTTTTTGTTTGTTTGTTTTTTGAGACGGAGTCTCACTCTTGCCAGGCTGGAGTGCAGTGGCGCAATCTCGGCCCACTGCAACCTCCGCCTCCCAGGTTCAAGCGATTCTTCTGCCTCAGCCTCCCGAGTAGCTGGGACTACAAGCGCGCGCCAGCACGCCCGGCTAATTTTTGCGTTTTTAGTAGAGATGGAATTTCACCATGTTGGCCAGGATGGTCTCAATCTCCGGACCTTGTGATCCACCCTCCTCGGCCTTCTAAAGTGCTGGGATTATAGGAGTGAGCCACCGCGCCTGGCTGACCTTGACGGTTTTGAGGAGTGCTAGTCAGGTGTGTTGTAGGCTGCCCCTCTGTTGGTATCTATCTGATGTTTTTCTCATGATTAGACTGGGGTTACGGGTTATGAGGAGGAAGAGTTCAGAGGTGAAGTGCCATTTTCATCACATCATAGCAAAAGTACAGACTGTCAACATGACTTATCACTGTGATGACTCTGATCCCATGACTAAGGTAGCAG
The DNA here is from genome assembly GCF_000001405.40 of Homo sapiens. Taxonomy (NCBI): domain Eukaryota; kingdom Metazoa; phylum Chordata; class Mammalia; order Primates; family Hominidae; genus Homo; species Homo sapiens. Next base: position 50,137,372 of record NC_000020.11, on the reverse strand, counting down.
ATGTCAGAGTTCTCCACAGTTAAGTTACCCTCGGCTGGGTGCGGTGGCTCACGCCTGTCATCCCAGCACTTTGGGAGGCACTTTAGGATTTGTGAGTGGGTCGCTTGAGCTCAGGAGTTCACTGGTCAGCCTGGACAACATGGTGAGACCCTTGTCTCTACAGCTGTAGTCCCAGCTCCTCACGAGTCTGAGGTGGGAGGGTCGCTTGAGCATGGGAGCTCAAGGCTGTAGTGAGCTGTGAATGGCACCGCCACACTCCAGTCTGGGCCACAGTGGGAGAGTCTGTCTCAAAAAAACAACAAACAAAAGTTACTCTGCTCCCCCCACCCCGCCTTTTTTTTTGAGATGAAGTCTTCCTCTGTCACCCAGGCTGGAGTGCAGTGACTCGATCACGACTCACTGGAGCCTCAACCTCCCAGGCTCAAGCAGTCCTCCCACTTCAGCCTCCAGTAGGACCACAGGCACATGCCACCACACCTGGCGAATTTTGTTATTTTATATACAGACAGGGTTTCGCTGTGTTGCCCAGGCTGGTACTGAACTCCAGGACTCAAGCAATCCTCCCACCGTGGCCTCCCAAAGTGCTGGGATTATAGGCGTGAGCCAATGCGCCCAGCCTTCCTCCCCTCTTTTTTTTTTTTTTTTTTTTTGAGGCAGAGTCTCACTCTGTCACCCAGGCTGGAGTGTAGTGGCACGATCTTGGCTCACTGCTACCTCTTCCTCCCAGGTTCAAGTGATTCTCCTGCCTCAGCCTCCCAAGTAGTTGAGATTACAGGCCTACACCACCATGGTCGGCTAATTTTTGAATTTTTAGTAGAGATGGGGTTTCACCATGTTGGCCATGCTGGTCTCGAACTCCTGAACTCAAGTGATCCATCTGCCTTGGCCTCTCAAAGTGCTGGGATTCCAGGTGTGAGCCCTGCGCCCAGCCTCCGTCCTCATTCATACTGTGCTCTTTTTGGAAGGAGGTCTCTGTACACAGCCCACACTTAAGGAATGGGAAGTTATGCTCCCAGTGATGCACTTCTTAACACTTCACAAAGCCCCAGTACACAGTGTTAACCCAACTACTGTTTTCTCATCTGTATAATTTTTATTATGCTCATCTTTCTCATTATCTGTGAGGATTAAGTGTTTAGAATGATTAAGGAGATAAGATTCGGCCTAAGCGAGGCCTTGATGCCATTCAGGGATTAAAGGAGATAAAACATTTAAGGCGTTGGCACGGGGCCTGGTAGTTATAAGTGCTCAATAAATATCAGGTTTTTTTTTTTAAAAAAAGTAGTTGACATCTTAACCCAAAGTAAATGAGGGTGGATGTCTACACATAGACTTGTACACCAATATTCACTGCAGCAGATTCAAAACAGCCCCAGACTGGAAACAGCCCAAATGGCCAACCATGGCCAGGTGGATAAATGCATCATTGTACATCCAGATGGTGGGATACTCAGCCCTAAAAATGGTGAACCACTGCTGATCCGCACGACTGCATGGCCCACGCTAGAAACATTACACTAGTAAAAGAAGCCAGGCTCCAAAGAGCACCTACCATCTGAATCCGTTTAAATAAAGTTCTAGAATAGGCAAAATCAGTCTCTGCTGATAGGAGGCAGCTCTATGGTTGCATGGAACAGGGTCAGAAGGGAGCTTAGTGGGACAGGGGAGCCAGCTGTGGGGCTGGAAATGCTTTTTTTTTTTTTTTTTTTTTTTTGAGATGGAGTTTTGCTCTTGTTGCCCAGGCTGGAGTGCAATGGCGTGATCTCAGCTCACCGCAACCTCTACCTTCTGGGTTCAAGTGATTCTCCTGCCTCAGCCTCCCGAGTAACTGGGATTACAGGCATGCGCCACCACACCTGGCTAATTTTGTATTTTTAGTAGAGACAGGGTTTCTCCATGTTGGTCAGGCTGGTCTCAAACTCCTGACCTCAGGCGATCCGCTTGCCTCGGCCTCCCAGAGTGCTAGAATTACAGATGTGAGCCACCGTGCCCGGCCTGGAAATGCTTTCTATCAGGGGTCAGCACACTATGGCCTGAGGACCAAAAACACTTGTAAACAGGTATTCTGGGAATGCTGTTGATGTCTGCCTTCACACTACAGCTGCAGAGTTGAGGAGCTGCAGTGGAGACTGCCTTGGCCTGCAAAGCCCAAAATATTTACTGTCCATTTATGTATTTATTTATTTCTGAGATGGAGTCTCCATCTGTTGCCCAGGCTGGAGTGCAGTGGCACGAGCTCTGCTCACTGTAGCCTCTGCCTCCCAGGTTCAAGCGATTCTCCTGCCTCAGCCTCCTGAGTAGCTGGGACTACAGGTCCGCACCACCACACCCAGCTGATTTTTTTGTGTTTTTAGTAAAGACGGGGTTTCACCATGTTGGCCAGACTGGTATCAAACTCCTGACCTCCAGTGGTCCGCCTGCCTCAGCCTCCCAAAGTGCTGGGATTACAGGTGTGAGCCACCGTGCCCGGCCTGCCTGACCCTTTAAAGAAAGTTTGCCAACCTCTTATATTCTGTGTAGGTATAGAATCTCTATCTTAACCTGGGGGTTGGTCAGACAGGTGTGTCTACGCATAAAAAGGCTGTGAGCTGTGTAAGGCCTATGGCCTTTACTGTTTGTAGGTTATATTCAATTATAACATAAAATGAGCCAAGGTTTAGAGAGGGGAAGGGGCTTGTCCCCATCTCATCAGGAGCCCAGAACTCGGGGAACAAGGAACCTGGACTCTGAATCCCTTGCGAGGCCCCACCCTTATGACATCCAGCCACTTCTCCTCTGTAGCTATTTCTTTCATGAAGGCAGCATTCATTCATTCATTTATTTTTGAGACAGAGTTTTGCTCTTGTTGCCTAGCCTGGAGTGCAATGGCGAAATCTCGGCTCACCGCAACCTCCGCCTCCCAGGTTCAAGCCATTCTCCTGCCTCAGCCTCCTGAGTAGCTGGGATTACAGGTGCCCACCACCATCCCTGGCTAATTTTTTGTGTTTTTTGTAGAGACAAGGTTTCACCATGTTGGCCAGGCTAGTCTTAAACTCCTGACCTCAGGTGATCTGCCCACCTTGGCATCCCAAAGTGCTGGGAGGAGTGCAATGGTGCCAGCTCTGCAGCTCTGCACTGTGCTCCAGCCCAGCCTGAAGGCAGCATTTAGAGATGTCATTAGTCCGAGCTATGGGGACAGGACCTCGAGATACCTCAGTTGACCTCATTAAGCAAGTAAAGATGCTGAGGCCTAGAGTAGGCACAGTGTCACACAGCAATATGGTAGCAAGAGCTGAGGCCCCCAACACTTGATCTAGTTCTGTCATAGCTCTTGGCCACATGGCCTTTTGTCCCTGCTGGTAGACAGAGGCAGTGCATACACAGCATCCCAAAGTATGCAGTAGGAGCTCTAATAATGCCATGGACCTGCTGCAGTGCAGTTTAAGGACACAAAAGGGTGCTGGTTTTGGAGGCAGGTCGACAGGCCTCTTCCCATCCCACAGCTGCCATTTCCAGGCCACTTGACTGGGAGGCAGTGGTTCAACTTCTCCAGGCCTCTTTCTTCATCCAAGAAGGGATGACAAATGAGGCCATCTCAGGGGATGACAAGTGCCATGAAAGAAATGAAGCAGGGAGATGTGAGCGAGAGCAACTGCCCGGAAGGATGGCTTTAGCCAGAAGGGTTGGCTGACCTTCGCTCTGAGCAAGAAGGCCGAGGAGGAGCCAGCACAGGGGATCTGGAGTGGGGGTGGGGTGCTGTGTAGAGGAACAGAAAATCCAGAAGCCCTTCTGGGGCTTCCACCTCCCTCGCCTTCTACATCCCCGCCCCTGCCCCTGGCCTGGGTCCACCCTCCCCATCACAAATGGGCAAGACTGCCCAGACCAGAGCAGGGCCACTGGGTGCACAGGCTCTGGGGCCTTGCTGAGTCCCAACCCCTTTACCTCAGCCCAGCCACTGTGCAGTGACACCCTTCAGCCTGTCCTTAGGCGTCTGTGTGCCAGGAGGTGTAGCTGCCACCTGTCCCCACCTGCCCTTCCGCCCTTATCCCCAGGAACTTGCAGGTGCCTGCATGAAGCTGTGCTGCCCCCACCCCCACCACCCCTCCCGTGCTTGGCACCTGTGATGGATACCACAGGGCCTCTGGAAAGTCGGCATCCAGTGGCTGCCCCTCACCCCAGGCCTGGACGTCAGGATTGCACATTCACAGTGACTTGCGTGCTTACTTTTGTCCCTTCAACCACAAGTCTCACTCACCCAGGAGGCATCCAGGGGCTTTTCTGCAGTCTCCACAGTACCCCCAAGACCCTGGTCCCCTGTCACCAAGGGGTTGAGGGCACCAGCAGAACTCAGAATCTTGGACAACCAGTTGACACAGACAAACCGAGTCTGGGAAGGGGTTTGTCTGAAGCCCCATGAGCCAGGGGGCCACACGTGTCATCACTCACAGCTGCCTTTGTCCTCTGCTGGACTTTACAGCGTTTCCCCATAGACATGTGTTCAGTGTCTGACATGTTTCTGTCCCTAGAGCTTATCACACAGGAGGCCTTTGTGGAGTGTGGCTTAGTTGATTGACTCAATGACAGCAACAGTAATATGGCCTGAGGGCTTACTATGTGCCAAACACTGCACTTAGTAGTGCTCTACTGAGTTCTGAATAGGTGCCAAGAGCTGGGATGCAGCCACAAGCCAGACTAAAGCCCTGGCCATGGTGGAGCCAACCTCCTTGTTGGGGGAGAAAATAAACCAGCACAAGAGCAGTCAGAGGTGCCGAGTGCTTGGAGAACAATATACATAGGAGATCGGAAATGCTGGAAGATGAGGTGGTTGCAATTTTCCATCAGGTGTCCAGGGAGGACATTTGAGTAAACATCTGAAGAGGTGAGGGAGTGAGCTGTGTTGCATCTTAGGAAAGAATGTTCCAGGCAGAGGGAACAGCAAATGCAAAGACCCAGAGGCATGCAAGGGAAAGGAGATAAAGTAGGCCTGGGCTGCAGCGAAAGAGGAGAGTGATGGGAGGCAGCAGGGGTGGAAGCCTCAGTTTCCACCTCTATAAAGTGGGAATAAAAAAGCTACCAACTTAAAACAAATGGTGAGAATTCATCAAGATCTAGCCTGTAAAGCATTTGTGCTTGGCATTGAGAAAGTGCTCGTAAATGTTAGCATCATTCCCTTTTATTTATTTATTTTTTCAAGACAGAGTCTCACTCTGTTGGCCAGGCAGGAGTGCAGTGCATGATCTCGACTCACTGCAACCACCATCTCCCGGGCTCAAGCCATTCTCCTGCTTCAGCCTCCTGAGTAGCTGGGATTATAGGTGTGTGCCACCACACCCGGCTAATTTTTGTATTTTTAGTACAGATGGGGTTTCACCATGTTGGCCAGGCTAGTCTCGAACTCCTGACCTCAGGTGATCCGCCCACCTCGGCCTCCCAAAGTGCTGGGATTACAGGTGTGAGCCACGGCGCCCAGTCGCATCATTCCCATTTTACAAGAGGAAACTGGGCACAGAGAGGCTAAATAACATGTGCAGCGTCACAGCTAGTGAGTGCCAGCACTGGAATTTGAGTCCAAATCTACTGAACCCTCAAGTGAGTGAATGGTGTTGGAGTCTGAGGGAACCCTGCTCAAGTTCCGAACAGATTGAGAACAGAAACAAGGAAAAGGCTGCTGGAGACCAAATGATCATGTTTATTGCTGATAAAAGCTGGAGGGGTGGGGGTGGAGCAGCGAGGCTTCTATCTGCAGGTAAGGTACTTTCTTTTTTTTTTTTTGAGACGGAGTCTCACTCTGTCACCCACGCTGGAGTGCAGTGGTGTGATCTCAGCTCACTGCAACCTCCGCCTCCCGAGTTCAAGTGATTCTCCTGCCTCAGCTTCCCGAGTAGTTGAGACTACAGGCGCATGCCACCACACCTGGCTAATTTTTGTGATTTTAGTAGAGACGGGGTTTCACCATATTGGTCAGGCTATTCTCGAACTCCTGACCTCAAGTGATCCGCCTGCCTCAGCCTCCCAAAGTGCTGGGATTACAAAGCATGAGCCACCGCACCTGGCCGAGGTACTTTCTTTCTAACACCAAACCCAGAAGGACATTGCTGCAGTTCCAGGCAGCACTGGTGCAGAGCAGGCTTTCCTTATATGGGGCAGAGAGAAGGGCACAGCCTGCTCCTAATAGGGAAAGGTTGAGCTGATCTGAGCATGCCCAGTTTATGCTCTCCAGACTCTCCAAGCACATGAGTCTTGGCATCTCCCCGAGCACAGCAAGTAACAGGCAGGAGGAGTGTTAAGCCTGAGGCTCCATCTTCAGGGAAGAAAACATCCCAACTAGAGAAGAAGGGACACCTTCCCCTCCTAACAAATGAATGAGCGGGCAAGTGAGTAAATGAATGAGTGATTCTGATTGGGGGGGTGCAGGGATGTCCCTTCACTCACCCTCTTGTCCACAGTTGCAGGGGCTCTCATTGCTGACTTCTTGTCTGGCCTGGTACACTGGGGTGCTGACACATGGGGCTCTGTGGAGCTGCCCATTGTGGGGAAGGTGAGTATGTTGACCTAACCATGTCCTCAAGAAGGAGGTTGGGCTGTATGGCCTTGAGTGAGTCCCCTTTCTTCTCTAAGACTGTTTCCCTATCTGAAAGATGGGAACCATCATTGCAGCCTGTCCCTCACCCCTGTGCTGCAAGACTAGAACAGGAGTCCCTTGGGATTTTGGAAGCAAAAGCATCAGGCTTGGGATGGTCCAAGAGTTTAGATATGTGCCTGCCTCATCAGAACCCCTGAATTTGGGGGTGTCTTGCTTTTCCATTGTCTCCCCTGCTGCTTCTTGCTGTTTTAACTGCATTTTATCCTGTATTAGTCACTTTTTTGGTTTTGACAGAAAATCTAAACTGGCTTAGGCAAACAAGGGTACTGATTCATGTAACTGAAGATTTCAGGGTTAGAGCCAAATTAAGGAATGGCTGCATCCAGTAGGACCGACAGACCACATTCTTCAGGCCCAGTCTTCTTCCATCTCTATCTCTACTTTCCCCTCATAAGGTGGCCAGTGTGCTTTCTCACCGCCCAGAGATCCATCCTTCCAGCTCCCAAGAAAAGAGAACTGTCCTTCTCCTTCCAGGAGAACAGCATTTCTCCTTCCCTGTAGTTTCCGCCAACTGAAGTCCCACGGCTCACTCCCATTGGCCCAGATTGGGTCACGTGCTGGGCCCTCAGGCAGTCACTGGCTAGAGGGAGGAGATGCTATGATTGGCCAGGCCTGGTCACGTGTTCTTTCTCAGCCCGGGGCGAGGTCAGCCTTGTCAGAAGAGCCTGGACTAAGGAGGGGAGGCTGTTACCCCAGCAGGTGCAGGGGGTCCAGAGGGTCCCACCTTTTACTTAGAGGGACCTCCTCAACTGCCTTGGGGTGGGGAGGAAGGGCGGAGGTTGTCTCCAAGCCCCCTTACAGCACAGGTAGGGAGACTGAGGCCCAGAGGCAGACAGTGCCAACCCAAAGCCCTTCCAGGGTCATTTCGGCTCATCTCCCCAAAGGCTGGATGGGGTCTGTGTCTGGCAGTGGGCCAGGTGGGAATGTTCAAGCATCCCGGGTGGAGGAAACTTAGGATCAAAGGCGGGAGGTGAGCCCAGGGTGAATGTGTTTAGGGGGCTGTGGAGAGCAGCTGACCACCTTAGGCTGACTGCTGGGGCTGTGTCCCCCTCAACTCCAGGCTTTCATCCGACCCTTCCGGGAGCACCACATTGACCCGACAGCTATCACACGGCACGACTTCATCGAGACCAACGGGGACAACTGCCTGGTGACACTGCTGCCGCTGCTAAACATGGCCTACAAGTTCCGCACCCACAGCCCTGGTGAGACACCCAGCTAGTGGTGGGCTGGGAGGGGGCCTTGGGGGCAGAGGCCGACCCCCAGGAGCCTTCTGGGGCTTATGTGTTTGGCTCCTTATGGTATTTTAAAAGAGTTTTCATTCATTGTCTTCATGTAAAATCAGGAAACCTGACATGAAGATGGAGGTTTCCAGCTTCTCTTGCACAATCTGCTCTGGCCCCCCTGGGTCCATGTTCCCACCTGGCCTCACTGGGTGGGAGCTGAGCTGCAGCCACTGCCTTTGACAGGACGCGTCTTTCCAGTTTACCACCGTCCCCACTATTCCTTGCTTCCCTGCACCCAACCCACCTTGTTCATTTGTGTTACCTGCCTGGCAGGGCTTCTGGGGTTTTGCTACCGTGGCCTAGTGGAAAATGTCTAGGCTGTGAAAACAGGGCCTGCCTATTTTTAGAGGGACTGGTCCCAAAGTAAGTGATTTCACCACTCTGAGCCTCAGTTGCCTTATCTGTCAGGTGGAGGTAGGTTGGGGCCCGGTCCTGTTCCAGCACCTTAACACCCATTTGTTCTTCAGGCAGCCTCCGGTGGGTAGAGGTGGTGAGGACGTGTAGTGTAGTGGGTGCTATGGCACCCTGCCCATCCCCTTCCCTGGGGGTGCACCCAGCCCCTGCTTCTGTGAGTGGTGGCTGCTGACAGCTCCCAGCTTCTCCAGGGATGGAGGGGAGGTCCCACCTGTCTCCTTGGGATAAGGCTGGAGCCAGTGACTGAAACGCCTCCGACGCTAGTCCCTTTGCCTCTGAGTGGGTCTAATTCTAAAGAGCCGTTAACACCTCAGAGCTCCTTGCAGGAACAGACTGAGACAGGACGCCACCCACCCCATCTTTGCTCTGCTCTTCCCCTGCCGTGTCTTGCTTCCCTCCCTCCCTTCGAGGTTTTTTCCTGAAGAGGCTCCCTTGATAAATCACATGCACAAGAACCTGTTTCAGGCTCCGCTTCTAGGGAACCTGGGTGAAGGCATCATTCCCATTTTCCTGATGGGGAAATTAAGCTTCTTAGAGGCAGAGTCACCGATCCAGCCCATACTGCCAAGAAATGTCGGCAGAGATCGGAACCCAGCTCCAGCTGACTCCGGTCTACATTCCCAGCCATTGCCATGCTTATGCCATTATCCTATTACACCATTACGCCTGCTTCCTGAGCAGGAGGAAAGCCTGAAGCCCAGGGCAGCACCTGAGCTTGCCTGCGGCCCTGCAGGGGGTGGAAGAGAATCCTGGGTGCTTGCCCAGCTCAGGAGCCGCCCAGGAGCAGGTGGTGAGGGCCATTTGGGGTGGGTTCCCCGTCCCGAGTGACAGCTGTGCCGGCCCCCCCTCTCCCCAACCTGCAGAAGCCCTGGAGCAGCTATACCCCTGGGAGTGCTTCGTCTTCTGCCTGATCATCTTCGGCACCTTCACCAACCAGATCCACAAGTGGTCGCACACGTACTTTGGGCTGCCACGCTGGGTCACCCTCCTGCAGGACTGGCATGTCATCCTGCCACGTAAACACCATCGCATCCACCACGTCTCACCCCACGAGACCTACTTCTGCATCACCACAGGTGCGGCCACCAGTGGCGTGGAATGGGCTTTCCCCACCCCAGCCACTGCACCATCTTCGAGGTCAGGAGGGCAGAGATCACAGCAGGAGGTCACACAGTCCTTGCCCTCTGGGAACAGTCTCTCAGGTCATGCATTTATTGAGCACCTACTGTGTGCCAGGCACTATTCTAGGTGCTGAGGACACAGTAAATGAGACTGACAAAGCCCTCTCCCTCGACTTCATGGCGTTGTGATTCCAGCCACCCATCATCCCGTATTTATTGAGCACCTACCACATGCCATGGTGCTTTGGGCGTAGGCTCCTGCAGCAAACAAAATAGCATGAATCAGCTGGGCGCAGTGGCTCATGCCTGGAATCCCAGCACTTTGGGAGGCCAAGGCGGGTGGATCACTTGAGGTCAGGAGTTGGAGACCAGCCTGGCCAACATGGTGAAACCCCATCTCTACTAAAAATACGAAAAAAAATTAATTGGGCTTGGTGGCAGGCACCTGTAATCCCAGCTACTCGGGAGGCTGAGGCAAGAGAATTGCTTGAACCTGGGAGGTGGAGGTTGCAGTAAGCTGAAATCGCACCACTGCACTCCAGCCTAGGTGACAGAGACTGTCTCAAAAAAAAAAAAAAAAAAAAAAAAACCAGAAAACACGGATCCTTGCCCTTGTGGCACTCACCATCTAGTGAGGGAGCTGGAACGAATGAATAAAATGTGTAGCGTGGCTAATGGTGCTAACTGCTATGGAGGAAAATAAAGCAGGGGTGGGAGAAGGAAGTGGGGGCTTTGCCTCTTAAATCGGGTGGTCAGGGAAGGTGACACTTGAACAAAGACCCCGAGGAGCTGAGGGACAAAGCCGTGCAGACCTCTGTGGGAGGCACTCTAGGCAGCAGGAACAGTAGGTGCGAAGGCCCTGAGGCTGGCCTTTGCTTGCTTGGTGTGTTTCCGGAATGGCAAAGAGGCTCCTGACTGGAGTTGAGGCAGAGCAATGGAAGAGGGAGAAGCGGGCAGAGCAGTGGAAGAGGGAGGAGAGAAGGGGGCAGAGCAACTGAAGAGGGAGGAGAGAAGTGTGGGAGGGCCCTGAAGATAGATGAGCACAGATTAGAGCAAAGGTAACAGGAAGCAGCAGGCCAGAGGCAGGAACATGCCCAGTGCAGTGGAGGAAGGGAAAGGAGGCCCACGTGCCATGCTCAGTTAGCAGCCAGTGCGAAAGAGGTGAGGTGAACTGGGAGTTTCTCTGGAGCCAGCTGGGCTGCTTTCAAGGTTAAGTGTATCAGGTGCTGTCAAGTCTAACTCAGGCCTAACTCTCAGCTTCTCCACATGTGCCTTTAGGCAACTCACAAACCTCCCTGGGGACCGCTTTTCTCCTTACAAAATAGGGCTGCAGCCGCCTCCTTCATATATCACCTTCTTAGGGCCATAGTGGGAATGGCAAATGCGGTGTTTGGCATATAGTAGGTACTTGATAAATTACAGCTACTATTTTTTTTTAGGTCTTTCTGGAAACAGAACTGAGAACCACAAAAAAACATTCTTTTTCATGTCCTCAATTTGTGCTCCTTGGAAGGCAGGTGGAGGGATTAGAATTCAGGCTATTTAGGAGATGGGTTAACTACTTAGGCAGGGCTGAGTTCCAATCCTGGTTTGGCCACCTGCTAATTGGGAAACTCTTCTCTAAGCCTCAGTGTGCTCATGTGGAAAATGGGACTGATATTAGTATCTACCTCATGGTGAGCTGGAAGGCTGTAAGATTGTGAGCAATATTTATTCAGCACCTACTCTGCGCCTGGCTGTATTCTAAGCACTGAGGATCAGCAGTGAAAGAACATGGTGTTTTGCATTTTGGGGATAACGTTCCAGTTGGGGATTGGGGGGTGAACAAACACAGAACAGGAAAATAGAGAATTAACGAAGATGGTTACAGGTTATCATAAAGGCTATAAAGAAATGAAAGAGGGTGGCCTGTCATGGTGGTTCACGCGTGTAATCCCAGCACTTTAGGAAGCCAAGGCGAGAGGATTGCTTGAGCCCAGGAGTTCAAGACCAGCCTATATAAGACAAGACCCCATCTGCATTAAAAAAATTGTAAATAGAGCCAGGCTCAGTGGTTCATGCCTGTAATCCCAGCAGTTTGGGAGGCCGAGGCGGGTGGATCACGAGGTCAAGAGATCGAGACCATCCTGGCCAACATGGTGAAACCTAGTCTCTACTAAAAATACAAAACTTAGCTGGGCATGGTGGTGTGCACCTGTAGTCTCAGCTACTCGGAGGCTGAGGCAGGAGAGTCACTTGAACCCGGGAGGTGGAGGTTGCAGTGAGCCGAGATCGCCCCACTGCACTCCAGCCTGGCCACAGAGTGAGACTCTGTCTCAAATAAATAGATAGATAAATGATAGATAGATAGATAGATAGATAGATAGATAGATAGATAGATAGATAAAGGGTAATGTGAGAAACCTGGGGTGCTGCTTAAGTGGATGATCAGGGAAGGCTTCCTGGCAGAGGTAGCATTTGAGCTGAGTGATAAGGCCACCACAGTGCCTGGTATATAGTAAGTGCTCAAATATAAGTAAGTGCCTGGTATATAGTAAGAAAGTAGAGGAATATGGGGGTTGGAGGCCTGAGTGGCCCCAGGCCCATTGGTGGGAGGCCCCCACTTCCAGTTCCTTGGCCGGTCCCTGTGTCCTATCCTGTACTGACTCACTCCTCATTGGGCCCCTCCAGCCCAGTGAAGGTCAGCTCTCTTCCAATGTCCCCTTGACTACTCTCTCCCATTCAAACTCCCGCTGCCATTTCTACTGCAGGCTGGCTCAACTACCCTCTGGAGAAGATAGGCTTCTGGCGACGCCTGGAGGACCTCATCCAGGGCCTGACGGGCGAGAAGCCTCGGGCAGATGACATGAAATGGGCCCAGAAGATCAAATAACTTCTCCGAGCCTGCTACCTGGTTGCCAACCTTCCCTAGCCCCCAAACCGAAGCCATCTGCCAAATTCCAGCCTCTTTGAGCTGGCCCCTCCAGATGGAGAGGACATCTCCTGGGCTGGGCCCAGGTACCCCAGCCCACCCCTCATGACACAGAATACTTGAGCCACTGATTTTTCATTTCTTTTTTTTTTTTTTCCTCGGCCCCTCCTCAGCCACCTGAGTTGCTCTATCTGCAAGCCTGACTCTGCCAGCCTCCCCTGGTAGAGAGGAGGTTTACCCACTCCCTGCACGCCTGCCGTCCCTGCCCCGCTGGGCAGCCCTTCAGTGTGGCTGGCGTTGGGGCCAGTGAGTTGCCTCTTTCCCTCCTTGTCTGGCCCCAGTGGTCTGGGGAGCCCCCAGGCACACCTAAGCGTCGTGGAGCATTGTTCTGCCACAGCCCTGCATACTGACCCCGGGAGGCTGGGCAGGTGGACAGCCCCAGCCACCACCTTCAGCCTAGCCTGTCCCCCAAGGATGGTGAAGCTCAGCAGGGGTCTGAGGGTAGCCGGCCAGAAGAGGCTGGAACCTCCTGCTCAAGTCTAGACCCCTACTTCTCTGCTGCCCCCACCCTGCCAGAGCTGATGTTTCCAATACCAAGATGTCTTCACAGGGCACAGCCCCTGCAGAGCATCTTGGTCATTTGGAAGAGGACACGGTATCCCCTCTGGCCAGAGTATGTCAGAGAAGGAAGAGTAGGGCTTTTTTGTTTTGTTTTTTTTTAAAGGTGCTTGCTTGTTTAATGTAAATAATAGAAAGCCTTAATATCTTTTCTGTAACACGGAGTAATATTTTAATGTCATGTTTTGGATGTACATAATATATTTATAACAAAGCAGCAAGAGTCTACTTAACCTTGGCTGCCTCGTGGTGTTTCCTGGCTGGGTGGGGTGGGGGGTATCAAGGAGCCTGGGACGTGAGGCCCCACTCTCGCCCCATTCCCAGCTCCCCCCAACCCTGGCCTCAGGATGAGAGCTGTCACCTGAGACAGTGAATTAATGTTGACATCTGCTCCAAAGCCTTTTGGAGGGGATTGGGTGAGGACAGTGGTCTTTCCTGTTGATCATGATGATAAAGTAATGATGGCTGATCCCTATTTGTGACTTCCTTCAGCAAATATTCACTGGCACCTGGTGTGTGCCAGGCTCTGTCCTGTACACAGGTACAGCGGTGAAAGAACCAACAAAGACCTATCCTGGTGGAGCTGACCTCCTGGGAAAAGAGTCAATAAACAAATAAATGCACATGGAAATTCAGGTGGTGATTTGTGAAGAAAATCAAACAGGACAGAACCACAGCGGAAAAGCAGGGTCGGTGCTGCTTTGGCAGGGTGGTCATGAAGGGCCTCTGAGCTGAGACCTGGGGGAGGAGAGGAGGTCAGACACGAAAGAAGTGAGGGAAGAGGCCTCTTGATGGGACAGCAAGTACACAGGCCCTGAGGCAAGAACAAGCTTGGGGCCACGCACAGTGGCTCACGCCAGTAATCCCAGCACTTTGGGAGGCTGAGGCGGACAGATCACCTGAGGTCAGGAGTTCTAGACCAGCCTGGCCAACATGGTGAAACCCTGTCTCTACTAAAATTTACAAAAATTAGCCAGGCGTGGTGGCAGACGACTTTATCCCAGCTACTTGGGAGGCAGAGGCAGGAGAATCATTTGAACCCGGGAGGTGAAGGTTGCAGTGAGCCGAGATCGAGCCATTGCACTCAAACCTGGGGGATAAGAGCGAGACTTCGCTTAGAAAAAAAAAAAAAGAACAAGCTTGGGATTTTAAGAGATGGTGAGGCAGCCACTGTGGCTGGACTAGAGTGAGCTAAGGAAAAATGGAAGACAAGGTTGGGAAAACATGGATTTGGTATACAGAGACTCATAGGCTGAGGTGAGTGGGGACCTGCTGGTCATTTTATTTATTTGTATTTATTACTATGTTTTTAGAGACAGGGTCATGCTCTGTCACCCAGGCTAAAGTGCAGAGGTGAGGTGTAATAGCTCACAGCAACCTTGAACTCCTGGACACAAACGATCCTCATGAGTGGCTGGGACTAGCACATGCCGCCACACCTGGCTTGGCTATTTTTTTTTTTTTTTAAAGAAATGGGGTCTCACTATGTTGTCCAGGTTGGTCTTGAACTCCTGGCCTCAAGTGATCCGCCTTGGCCTTCCAAAGTGCTGGAATTTTAGGTATGAGCCACTGCACCGGGTCAGGACATTATAGACCAATTAGTAACTTGTTTATTTGTTGAATAAGTAATTATAAGGCATCTCCTATGAACTAGGTACTGCGATTCTGTAGTGAACGCTACAGACATAGTCAATAGCTAGTCTAGGCTAGATAGTTTCTGCAATATTAGCCAGAAAAAAGAAAGCCTGTTGGGGACAGGGAAATGCCTAAAGGACTCCAGAGCAGTCACAGATAATGACATTTCTGAGTAGCTGGGATTACAGGCGCCCACCACCATGCCCGGCTAATTTTCGTATTTTTAGTAGAGATGGGGTTTCAGCATGTTGGCCAGGCTGGTCTCCAACTCTTGACTTCAGGTGATCCACCCACCTTGGCCTCCCAAAGTGTTGGGATTACAGGCATGAGCCACTGCGTCCAGCCATGACATTTATTTTTTAAAACGTGACCCATAATGCCATTTTCCTTTGCCAACTAGACTTTTGATTTGTGACTATGCCTGAGGGGACCACACAAGGAAGGGTGTTAGAATTCGACAACTCATAAATGACAGAAATTTAAAGTAAACAGCTAAAATAATCGTATTAGCTCATAAAACGGAAAAGTCTACAGGTGTTCTGAATTAAGGTTTGGCAGGACCCAGGGGCTCACATGATTCATCAAAACGTGGTCTCTCTAAGCTCTGTTTTTCTCTTTGAGTTGAGACTTACTAGACCAGCTCAGCAATCTCAGTGGAAAGTGCATTCCCAGTAGTTGCAGTGGAAGTCCCAGGGCAGGCTCTCATTGGTCTGGACTGGGTCACGTGCCCATCCCTGAACCAATCACATTGGCCAGTGGGGTGAAATGCTCTGGTTGCCCAGGGCTGAAAAATGTCCATCTGGATTTGCAGGGTTGTGATCACCTCTTCCTAAGGCATTACTACAAAAAGAAGTCAATGGTGGATGGGACAGGCAGCTAAATTCTTTAGAGGCCATAGGAGTAGCCTCACCACTGTGGTGTTGGTTTCCAGGCCCCACCAATCTGTGTCAGTTCCCCTGGAGCCGACAGAAAAAAAACCCTCAGCCTGAGTCCAGAGAGGTAAAGTGACTCCCCCAAGGTCCCACAGGTAGTAAGGGTAGAGCAGCCCTCAGACTCAGACCATTTCACTTCTGAATTCTGGGGGCTGGAAAAAAATCCTTCTCAAAACCAGAAGGTGCGCTGCATTGGGTCTGAGAGTGTTGGGGCCACTTGTGAGATCAGGGACTTGCAAACAAGTGCCTATGAGGGCCAGACAGGGGAAAATGCTACTTAATATTACTGAGCACTTAACTTTGCACCAGACTGTGCAGAGAGCTCTGGCATGGGTCCTGTCAAGCAGTCCCTGCAGCTCTGAGAAGTGAGTACTCTTTGCACCATTTGCAGATGGGGAAACTGAGGCACAGAGGTCATGTAATATGCCCAAGGTCACACAGCTGGTAGGTGGCAGAATCAGGATTTGAGCCAGCGTCTGACCCAAAGCCCCTGTGCTTTAACGCTCCCATTGTGGAGAGGGAGGTGAGACAGGTGGCACGTGAGAAATGTGTCCACTATGAGGCAACTGCAGCATGCCTGAGAAAGGGCCGCTGACGCTGGGGACTGGGATGACCTGGAGACATCAGGCCTAAAGGGCAGCTGCTACTCACAGCAGCTGGTTAAACAGGAGCCAGAAATCTAAACTTTAAAAATGCTGGCTCCGTGTTTAAAACGTACTGTGGGCAAAACAAAATGAGTGCATAGGCCAACTGCCTGCAGCCTCCCTCCCAGCTGCTGTGGGATGGCTTGGTTTCAGGTAGGCATGTGCTGCTGTCTGGTGGTGGCACAGGGTAGTGGCATGCAGGGCAAACATGGATTTCCAGCTCAACCGGGGGAGCTGTAGTGAACTTGCATACCCCTGTGTGCTCACTGTTCTTTAGAAGGGGCCTGGGCACATACCTTTGGGCGCCTGCCCCCAACTGAAACTCCATCACCCCGCCTTTTTTTTTTCCTGGAGACGGGGTCTTGCTCTGTCACCCAGGCTGGAACACAGTGGCATGATCTGCGCTCACTGCAGACTCAACCTCCCAGGCTCAAGCAATCCTCCCATTTCAGCCTCTTGAATAGCGGGAACGACAGACATGTGCCACCACCCCCAGCTAGTTTCTTTTTGTATTTTTTGTAGAGATGGGGTTTCACCATGTTGCCCAGGCTGGTCTCGAACGCCTGAGCTCAAGCGATCGGCCCACCTCAGCCTTCCTAAGTGTTGGGATTACAGGCATGAACCACCGCGCCCAGCCAACCCTCCTTTGATAAACCAAAAATATTTTTCAAGCTACCCACATATATATATGGGTATATATATATATATAGCAATATATATATTGCTATATAAGCAATAGGTAATGCTTGCATAGGTAAAGAATAAGAATCACGCCGGGTACAGTGGCTCATATCAAATAATATAAACAGGGCTAGAGTATGGATAAGCTGACCCTGGACAGTGGGCCAAATCCAGCCACTTGCTTTTCTATAGCTCAGAAGCTTTTGTGGGTTGTTTGTTTGTTTGTTTGTTTGTTTGTTTTTTAGAGACAGGGTCTTGCTCTGTTGTCCAGGCTGGAGTGCAGTGGCACAATCACAGCTCACTGTAACCTCAGACTCCTGGGCTCAAGTGATCCTCCCACCTCAGCCTCCTGAGTAGCTAGGACTACAGATGGACACCACCACATCCAGCTAATTTTTTTTTTTTTTTAGAGATGGGGTCTCGCTATGTTGCCCAGGGTAGTCTCAAACTCCTGGCCTCAAGTGATCCTCCCACCTCAACCTCCTGAAGCACTGGGATTACAGGTGTGAGCCACCATGTCAGCCACGAGCATTTTTTAAATGGCTGGGGGAGGGGGAACAATATTTCCTAACACAGAAAATTCAAATTCCAGTTTGTAAAGCTGAATTGGCACACAGCCATGCCCCTCATTTACATATTGTCCGAGGCTGCTTTTGCACTGCAGTGGCAGAATTGAGTCGTTGCATCGGAGACCACGTGGTCCACACAGCCTAAAATATTTACGATCTGGCCCTTTACAGAGAAAAGTTACCAACCTCTCCCTAGTCTAGAATGAAGGGTAAATTGCTCCCCATTCATGTTCCCTCAGGTACTCAGTTCCCCTCCTTAGAGGCCATCATTTTGACAAGACACTTGCAATGCCTTATGTAGGCAGAGGGGTATGTCTGCCCCACTCCTTTTCACACAATATGTAGGATATTATGCACACAGTTCTGCACCTTGCCTTTTTTCACTTAATATATTTTGGAGATAGTGTTATCATTAATGTTCACAAACCATTATTATTTTTTACAGCTGCATAGTGTTCCACCTTCAGGATGGAATGGACTTGACTTTTTTTTTTTTTTTTTTTTGAGACAAAGTCTTGCTCTATTACCTGGGCTAGAGTGCAGTGGTGCAATCCCAGCTCACTACAGCCTCTGCCTCCTGGGCTCAAGCTATCCTCTCTCAGCCTCCCATCCCAAGTAGTTGGGACTACAGGTGCATGCCACCATGCTGAGCTAATTTTTTTTTATTATTTTTAGAGACGGGGGTCTTGCTTTGTTGCCCAGACTCGTCTCAAACTCCTGTGCTCAAGCAATCCTCCTGCCTCAGACTCCCAAACTGCTGGGATTACAGGCTTGAACCACGAGTGTGTTTTAAATTTTGATAGTGCATACCAAATTGTCTTCCAGAGGCCATGCCGGTTTAAGTTCACAAGTTTTCAGAGTCCCTGTTTCCTCACACCCTTGCCAACACAGCGTGTTATCAAATGTTTTGTTCTTTGCCAATCTGATAGGTGGTTTTAATTTGCATTCCTCTTACTGTATTTCATTGATTCTAAGATGTCACTGATTCTAAGATGCATCCTGATTTCAGAAGTTCACATGTAAAAATGTGGCTGGGTGTGGTAGCTCACGCCTGTAATCCCAGCACTTTGGGCGGATCACGAGGTCAGGAATTCAAGACCAGCCTGGCCAACATAGTGAAACCCCGTCTCTACCAAAAATACAAAAGAAATAATTAGCTGGGTGTGGTGGCGGGTGCCTGTAATCCCAGCTACTTGGGAGGCTGAGGCAGGAGAATTGCTTGAACCCAGGAGGCGGAGGTTGCAGTGAACTGAGATCGCGCCACTGAACTCCAGCCTGGGCGACACAGCGAGACTCTGTCTCAAAAAAAAAACAAAAAAAAAGTAAAAACGTATAGCTTCAAATCACTGAAATACAATATGTTTTGTGAGATTGGGTATCTTACTGTGAGTTTAAAATGCATTTGCATTTCCTCATCTGTTCATGTCCTTTTCCTATTTTTCTTGGAAGGGAGGGTAGCATTGGTTAAGAGTGTAGGGTTCAAATCCCAGTTCTGCCACTTACAAGCTTGTGACTTTGGGCAAGTTACTTAACCGTTCTGTGTCTCAGTTTCCTCACCTGCAAAATGGGAATAATAATGGTACCTACCTCATAGGATAGGTGTGAAGATTAAATACATTATTATATGCAAAATACCATGTTCCTGGAATATGGCAAATGCTCAATAAATATTTGCTGTAACTGTCATCTTTGAGTTATTTTTTCTTAATGAGTTTCAAGGGCTCTTTATACGTTAAGGAAACATCCTTTTTGTCCCCCCACCTCCCTGCCCCAAACCCCAGTTTTCATTCCTTTTTCCTTGACCACAGAAGTAACATATAATACAAAATTAAGACATTACAAAAATTGTATCAGAAGAAGCCAATGGAAACAACTTAGATGTCCATTGATAGAGTGAGTTAATGAAGTACACCAAGACCCCCTGCCCACCCATCCCCACCGCTTTTTGACTGTATATTTCGGAAACTACATCAGACATTAAATAAGATGTCTCAGCGCCATGGCTAGACACACCTCAGGGAGCCATGACTCCACATAAATGCCATAGAATTTCACTAGCAAATGCATCACACATCCTGTTTGTTTGTTTGTTTGTTTGTTTGTTTGTTTTTAGATGGAGTTTCGCTTTGTTGCCCAACCTGGAGTGCAATGCTGCAGCAACCTCTGCCTCCCAGGTTCAAGTGATTCTCCTGCCTCAGCCTCCCGGGTAGCTGGGATTACAGGCATGAGCCACCATGCTCGGCTAATTTTTCTATTTTCAGTAGAGATGGGGTTTCACCATGTTGGCCAGGCTGGTCTCGAATTCCTGACCTCAGGTGATCCACCGGCCTTGGCCTCCCTAAGTGCTGGGATTACAGGTGTGAGCCACCATGCCCGGCCTCATCACACACTCTGTTAACCACACATCCCTTCTCCTCTCTGTCTTCTGCAAGTCCACAGTCCTTCCTGTCGACAGTTTGTCAGCTTTACTTTCTGCAGCTTATGCTACAAAAACTGTAGCACGAGGTTGGGGGGGTTCCTTAACTATAAATAGGAAATTGAAGGTTGTGGATAACATTATATAATTTTTGTTTTTTCACCTTTTGAATATACTTTTTCAAACTACTCATGCCTTTTACATCCCAGAGATTCCAAACCAGCCCTAGTGTTTTCCCACTTGAAAAGAGAGTTCACGAATGGACATTGTGGATCTGTCAGGTCTACATGCCTCTCAACCGAACCACTGCGTCAGCTTCCTGTATCTATTAGGTATGCTTTTTGGTGGTAGGTAACAAAAACCTACCTTTAAGAACAACTTAAGCAACAGGCACATTATCTCATGTCTTCAGATGTCTGCAGTTGGGCAGCCCTGCAATTCCTTCAGCAGCTCAGCCACATCACCCAGGATTCTAATTCTAACCATTACAACCTCATATTGTAGGAAGGAGGAAAGGGGACAAAAATAGGCTTTTTCTTCAGCTTTTTTGTTTGAGACAGTCTCGCTCTGTCGCTCAGACTGGAGTGCAATGGCACGATCTTGGCTCACTGCAACCTCTGCCTCCCAGGTTCAAGCGATTCTCGTGCCTCAGCCTCCCGGGTAGCTGGTATTACAGGCCTGAGCCACCAAGCTCGGCTAATTTTTGTATTTTCAGTAGAGACGGGGTTTTGCCATTGTGGCCAGGGTGGTCTCGAAATCTTGACCTCAGGTGATCCGCCCGCCTCGGCCTCCCAAAGTGTTGGGATTACAGGTGTGAACCAGGGCGCCCAACCTTCTCTTCAGCTTTTATGAGGGGAGGGAAAGTTTCCAAACACCCACCTTGCCATGTGGGGCCATGGCGACTGGAATGGCGGTAAACATGCCCAATACACCTTCTCTCTGGGTTCCCTGCTACCAATATTGCTGCTGCCCAATTGGGTGTCCTCGCCCTGTCTCCTCATGGCAGCACGATGCACTTTGTAAAAAGGCAAACCTGCCCACATTTAGCTCAAAACCTCCCAGGCTCCACCTCCCTCATCACGGGAGAGCCAGCGGGTGACACAGGGTAAAGAGAACTGGATTCCAAAACTGATTTTACTCCTTCCTTGTTGTGTGACCTTGGAAAAGCCATCTAACTCCTCTAAGTCTCAGTTTTCTCATCTCACAAATGGAAATGGTAACAGCTACTTTGCAAGGTTCATTGAGGATTAGGTAATAATAGCAGCTAATACTTATATTGCACTTAGTGCCAAGCCCTCTTCTAAATTCTCTAGTTCTATTAACCATTTTAATCTTCCCCAAAATCCGATAAAACAAGACTCTTATCCCATCAGCTGAGTTTATCAGCTCAAGCGCAGAGCGGTGATCAGGCGCAGGCGCCGGAAGGAATCCTGCTCTGGGGACCGGCTGTGACGTCCAGGAATGGGGCAGAAACTCTTCGAGGGAGCGTGTGCGCGGGACGTACTACAACTCCCATCAGGCACTGCGCCAACGCTAGACTACAACAACCAGCATGCCTCGGGCTGTCCCGCCTAACCTCTTCCTGCGATGAGCTCGGCACGGGAATTATTATTGTCAATTTTACTTGCAAGAAGTTTCCTACAAGAGCCAAGGAATCCATGCGAGTAAACATTTACGGGCACCATAGATAAAAGGCTTGTGTTTTAATCCTCATCCTCTCCACCTGTTAGCTCTGAGTCTCAGTTTTCTCATCTCTAAAAATGGGGATATTCACAGGAGTTGCTGCATCGAGTTGTGAGGATTAAAAGTTGGATGTAACGGCTTGGTAATTATGAGCTCTTCTAGTGTCCCTTCCTCTTCCCTGTGCCCAAGGGGTTTTAGGAAAGCATTTTATCTCCACAGCAATCCTATGAGGTTGATACTACTATCCTCATAGAAGGGGAAACTGATGCCAGGAGAGGTTCAAGCGTCTTACCTGAAGTCACAAAGCAAACTGAGTGATGAAGGAAGACTTGAACCTAGAAAATTTCACTGCAAAGGTGAGTCCACCTTAGGAACCCAAATGCTTCCACTTGCTACTGATGCTTTACAGTGACCCCAAGTCCAGGGCAAGTATTTTCTGTGCTCCCCAAAGCAAACTTGTATCACGTGATACACGAAAAGTCAAGTTGCTTCACCTGTAGCCAGTGCTGGCACTTTGAGAGCTAATTATAGCTGAATTTGATGTGGTTGGAGGAATCGAGGAAGGCTTCCCTGAGGGGATGGTGCTGGATCTGAGAACTGAAGAGTGGGAACAGCACAGGCAAAGCCCCTGAAGTGGGAGAGGGCATGTGTTCCAGGGGGCTTGCAAAGGGCCAGTGTCGCCGCAGAGGTACAGAAAGTCTCAGAGGCGCAGGCTGTGCCAAGGCTATGGTGAGGCAAGTGGGGTACCTAGGGTGCAGATTTTTTTTTTTTTTTTGAGACTGAATCTCTCTCTGTTGCCCAGGCTGGAATGCAATGGTGCAATCTCAGCTCACTGCAACCTCTGCCTCCCGGGTTCGCTCGATTTTCCTGCCTCAGCCTCCCGAGTAGCTGGGATTACAGGTGTGTGCTACCACGCCCCGCTAATTTTTGTATTTTTAGTAGAGACGAGGTTTCACCATGTTGACCAGGCTGGTCTGGAACTCCTGACCTCAGGTGATCTGCCCACCTCGGCCTCCCAAAGTGCTGGGATTACAGGTGTGAGCCACCATGCCCTGCCCTAGGGTGCAGATTTTAAGGAGTCACTCACCTGCAGCGCTGTGCAAGTGCGGAGTCAGGACCTGAGTGAAAGCCCCGTTAAATCTGACCACCCCATCCTCGTCCCTGCCCTGGGTGCAGAGCCTGGTGCACAGGGTGTCCAGGCATCCTGCTTTGCCCTGGAGAGCCCTGGTTTCCACTTGTCCTGGTGAGATTATAATAAGTCCCCTTTTAATCTGATGTGTGTCCTCATTAGGTGATAATTCTATGGTCGCTCAACTTGTAAAGTTTGTATTTTATCCAGAGGGAATGGGGAGCCACTGAAGGCTTTAGCTGGAGGGTGTTTTGAGCAGATGTTGGTCTATATGGAGAATGGGCCATAGGGGAGAGAATGGAAGCTGCTGGGGTCTTCCAAGTGGGAGATAAAGGCAGCTTGCCCTGAGTGGAGAAGTGAACGGAGTGGAGAGATGCAGAGTAGGCACTGCTATCAGACAAAGGTGATGAATTGGATGTGCTGGGTGAGGGCTTCCAGCTTCCTTGTCCCTCTATGTTTAGAGTCCTGGTCCTTCTGCCAGTATTTTGCTCTGTGACCTTAAGCCAGTCCCTTCACCTCTCTCAGCCTCAGTGTCTACATCCATATAAGGGCTTCTCAGACAATTTATAATAAAGGAGGAGTACCTTCTTGGGTTTATTTATTTGCAAAAATATTTCCCAAGGGCCTTTGCACAAGCTGTTCCCTCTACC
The DNA here is from genome assembly GCF_000001405.40 of Homo sapiens. Lineage (NCBI taxonomy): Eukaryota > Metazoa > Chordata > Mammalia > Primates > Hominidae > Homo > Homo sapiens. Next base: position 50,114,061 of record NC_000020.11, on the reverse strand, counting down.
TCCTCATTGTTACGGTCTCTGCTGAAATATGACCACCTTAGGAGGCCCTTCCTGACCATCCTCTGCTGCTCTTGTCTTGGTTTATCTCTACCCTATCAGAATTATAGTTTCCTGTTTATTTACTTGCTGTCTACGACTAGAATGTAAGTCCCTGAAAGCAGGGATTTGCTTCTTCAGAGATGTCTATCCATCCCCAGCGCCTAGCACAGTGTCTGGTACATAGTAGGTGCTTAATGTTTGTTTGTTTGGTTGAATGAATGAATGAACGAATGAATGAATGAATGAATGAATGAATTGGGTAGATGGTTAGCAAATGCTTTCCCTGCCACCTTAATGCCCCTAAATCATTTAGCTGCACCCACTCCAAGCCTTCTCTGGCCGGGGAGCATCAATCCTAGGAGCCAGATCATCTGACCTGGAGGGTGATGATTCAAAAAATTTGAACCTGGAGGTTAAAATTCTGCCTGTCTCTGCCACTTAACAGCTGAGTTTAGATAAATCGCTTGATCTCTCTCGGCTGCATTTTTCACATTAATTCTGACCTTGCGGAGATGTGGTGAGGATCTAGATAGGAACTAGACAGGAAAAAGCCCCAAGCGAATTCGGCGCTTTTGTTTGAAGCTATATTTTCTTTTTCTTTCACAATCGCGCCTTCCCAAGCCTAGTCACCCCTGCCCTTCTCACTAAGCACATCACAACCTCCCTCGCACCCGATGTGTGGGGACTTGCAGGTTGCTGGGCCCTCGAGCACGCAGATATTTCCTTTCTCTAAAAGGGAAGGAAAAGAGCCTTCCAGGCCACGGGTCGTGCAGGTCTCCGGGGCGGGCGTCAGCGGCGGCGTATGTGCGTGCGCGCGCGCCTGCGCATCAGGGCCGGGGGACGGGTAAGGGGGGGGTGAAGAAGGGGCCGGCCTTCAAGCAAGAGCGACGCAAGATGGCAGCCACCACGGGCTCGGGTGAGCGGGGGCGCCGGGCCCGGCCGGCCGAGGGGGCATGGGCTTGGGCCGGGGGCCGGGGACCCTCAAAGCCTCCTGCAGCGGAGCCAGGGTCCCCGCGCCGCCTCTGTCTGCTGGGCTCCGCGGCAGCCACCGGCGCGGCCTGACCGGGGGAGGAGGAGCAGGCGGTGGCCGGAAGCACGGGCGGGGGGCTGAGGGGCCTGTGGGCGGCGCGGCGAGGCCCTGAGGCTCCCCCGGGAGGCGTGAGGGCCCTCTGTGCTGTCTGGGGGAGCCGGAGTGGGCGAGGAGCGAGCTCCGAGGCACTCCTGAGGATACCGGGGCTGGCGACTCTTAAGGGGCGATCTAGAGGTCCCCTAGAGGAGGCGCCCCACAGCGGATGGAAGTCCCATACTGGGTGCCAGGGGTGCGGCTGAGAGGGGCCTTGGGATGTCTGGAGGGGACATCAGAGAAGCCCTTCAGGCTGGATGGAAGAAACGGGATCCTGAGGGGGTGACTTGAGAGGATCCCCTATCGGTTGAGGGAACGGCTCCGGCGTTAGTTTTAGAGATGGGGTTAGCTGAGGAAATAGCTATGTTGACTAGAAAGGAGGAGCCTTGGAGCAGCTGCTTTTGGGGAGAATGAAGGGGGTCTCCGCATGATAAGTGAGAGGAGGGAAAAGGATTCAGATGCCAGAGGGACCTAATAGCGGTGATAGTGAAATGACCCCATCATTACCAGTCTCCTGTTCGAGGATACAGATGGATTGCTTCAAGTTAGGTTTCAGGGGACAAGGTCCGAGTGGGGCAGTTGGTGGAAGCCTCTGATATTGGATGAGGGAGAACAGATGAATTGGGAGCCCCGAGGATGTCTCTTTGGGAGTGGGGATTCAACTGAGGGAAGCCCCTGAAATGAGGGAGTGGAAAAGGTCGGGTTCCGGAGATGTTTCCTGTAAAGGAGAAAAGTCTCCTCTTTTTGAATTGAGTGAGGGAAGCATATCCTAGAAGTGTCTCTTCTGTGGAGACGCTCACTCTCATCGACTCCTTTAATAATTGGGACAGATATGTGGGTTCAGCTCAGAAGTTCCCCACTGGCTGATGGGAGTAGGGAGGTGAATAGATGAAATGGGAACTCTTGGGTGAGGCTGCACCCTCAGGTGCCTGGCAGTGAAGTTGGCCAAGGAGGTTCTCTCAGATGGGGTGAAAATGGGTTACCTCTCTGATGGAGGAAGCAAACAGGGCCACAGTGTTCCCCACTGTGGGGCTGCAGGGACACCAGCCTGAGTACAGCAATCATTGGCATATTTAAGGCCACAGCAGCGGCAGTGTTGGGAAGGAATTGGTGATCCATGGGAAATAGGGTGAGGGGAATTCTTTATAAATGTTGCTACTCTGCGGTCTCAAGGAGCCATACTTGCCTGATGGTTGGGGTGGGAATAAAAGAAATTGAATGTGGGGGATCTGACTGAAGTGACCCACCACAAGCTGCTGCCTTTTGAGTTTAAAACAGTGGGGTCTTCTTGCAGAATAGCGGAGACCATGAATCCTTTTACTCGATTTTGGTTTCAGCTGGAACAGTGCTGAGTCAATTCATTTACCATGACGCTGCCCCAGGCACTCCCAGAAGAGAGATTCTGAGTCAGGCCAGACTGCTGGGTAAAACTTCTCACCAGAATAACACTCCTACCGGGTCGTAATAAACGAAGGGGCCCAGTGTGCTGGTGGTAGCCAGCAATAAGGTGCTGTTGCAGCTCAGCCCTGCTTGCAGTCACTCGGTTGGCTACCTACAATCTGGGTTAACAGCTGCCCGGTTCTAACTTCTCCAGACCCTGACAGTTAAAAAGTGAGTGCTTCATAAATGGCTATGGTGATCAGATAAAATGTCAGCTGCTGTCTAGTGGAATACAAGAGCACTTGGCATGGTTTAGATAACATAGGACAGGCTTTGAGGTGCCCTAAAATGGACTTCCCAAAATTCTTTTGTCTGTTTATTCAACAGATATTTACTGAGGGCCTATTATGTCCCATCGTGGATAGCAAACAAAATGGACATAGTCTGTATCCTTCGGGAGCTTCCATTCAAGTCAGGGAGAGAAGGCTGTTAAGGAGTAAATAAGACAATTTCAGATAGCAGTAAGTGCTATGGAGGAAATTGTGTGATGTGATAGTGTCTGGAGAGGTGGTCAGGAAAGTGACATTTCAGCTGAGTCAAATAATGGAAAGAGCTAACCCTACAGTGTCACAGGCAGGAGAGAGAGTGGGCTGTTAGTGCAAAGGCCCTGTGGTGGGACTCTGCTTGGCATGTTGAAATAACAGGATAAAAGGCCTTCATGTGCAAGCAAGGCTTGTTAAGGAGATGAGTTGGAGAGACATGGCTTTGGATTTGAGATGGTATGAGGGGAAGCCATCAAACAAGTGTCTGGTATGAAGTAGGCATTCAGTAAATATTTGTTGAATGAATGAATAAGAGTCTTAAAAAGAGGAGTATGATAAGATCTGACCTTCGTCCCTAGGCAGTGAAAAGAGTGCAGGGTGCTAAGAGTAAAGCAGACCTTACTTGGGGTAAACTAAAATGAGTGTACAGGCCTCTCTGCTTTCTAACCCTGAGAAGTCTTCCAGGTGTGGTCAGGGCCCAGAGGCCTTCCTTAGTCAGGTTTAGAGTGAGGCTCTTGATTAATCTGTGCCTCCGGTTGCCAGGAAACAGCTGTGAAGCCTTTGAGTTCCTGTAAGGGCTGAACTTAGTTTTTTATGGTCACTGCTTTCAGCATTTGGCTACACCACCTTCCCACTTCCTTTGGTTCTGCAATGTGTGATATCTACATATGTCTTAGAGGGTGGAACTGTGAAAAGCCCACCACAGATCCTCAGAATCCCCATGTTATGACGGGTGACTTCCTCCTGCCTTGGCCAGGATTGCAGCACATCAAATAGTGGCCCTTGGTTGCCAGGCCCTTCCTCTCACTCAGCAGCCCACGAGCTTCCCTGACATTTAATCAGAAAATGAGTGCCAGAGGGGTAAGCCCTGGTGGGGCATGATTTTAAATTTGCATACATCGGAGTGGCCTCATATGCACATTCAGCTTATAAAAACTTAACCATGTGGGCAGCAGAGATTAGTCTTCCCTTCCATTCAAGAGTCTTCCCCAGAGAGAGCTGGAAATGGATGAAAACTCACAGTCCCTTAGTTCTTCTCAGTTCCTGTATGTCTCACTGTGTGAGCATCTTATGCCAATTGTAATTAAGTGCCTTTTGTACAACATGGGCCCTACATTCAAAGAACAGCTTCATATTGTGCTCAGCCAAAGAAATAGCAGCCTGCTCCAGTGATGGAGGGGAAACTGGCTTTGTTGGGCTAGTGCAAGCTTTTTTTTTTTTTTTTTTTTTGAGACGGAGTTTCGCCCTGTCACCTGGCTGGAGTGCAGTGGCGTGATCTTGGCTCACTGTAACCTCTGCTTCCCAGGTTCAAGCGATTCTCCTGCCTCAGCCTCCTGAGTAGCTGGGATCACAGGCACGCGCCACCACGCCTGGCTAATTTTTGTATTTTTAGTAGAGACAGGGTTTCACCATGTTGGTCAGTCTGGTCTCAAACTCCTGACCTCATGATCCGCCCGTCTCAGCCTCCCAAAGTCCTGGGATTACAGGCGTAAGTCACCGTGCCGGGCTGCAAGCTATTATTTTCTTAAGGGATTACCAAGGTTAATTTTGATGATCATGATTTTCCCCCTTCATGTTAACTGAAAACCACTCTATTTCCCCCACCACATTCTCTTTTCTCTTCATATCTCTATCCCTCCCACCTCCCCACAAATTGTAGCTCTGCAGTAATTTGGTAAAAGTAGAATACAAAATATGAAGTCAGGAATCCTCTGCTTAATTTTGAAGGGGCACAGTGAAGTTCAGAGCAGCACATTTGGCAAAGTAAATGTTTGAATACTATTACTGTTGTATTGTGGATAGTGCTTTAGAGTGTCCCATAGACTTCGACTTACCTGTGATGTTGTCTCATCTAACTCTCCACAGCCTGGTCACCAGCCAGGGGCAGTATCCACCCACATTACTGAGGGAGGAGCCAAAAGCCAAGGGAGACTGGTGATGCTCGGACTAGAGCCCAGGCATTTTTAACTCCTGTTCCCTCACCAGCCTGCAGGAAATGGAAAAGGCATGGATTTAGGGATATGTTCTTCCTAAGTCTTGGAGTGTTTAATCTTGGAGAGAGAAAGGGCTTTAGTAAGAAGTGTCTACTGCTACCCGTTTCAGGAACCCTTTTTATAGCATCTCTGGCCACTGTTTGTCCTCTTCTGGGTTATGTGCTGTCCAAGGAGAGTGAGGTCCTTTTTTCAGGAAGCTCTTGCTTATATTTTATACTGAATGACTCACACCTCTTGGGCTTGGAGCCCCATCATGGCAGGTACAAAGTAGTACCTCATCCTTATTTACATGCAAGCCATCAGACTTCTTTTTAAGTTGCACTCTTGGGTTTACTAAGTGCTAGACACTGTATTAACTACATTATCTCACTTGTCACAACAGCCCATTGAGGCAGGTATCGATTGTGAAGGTGAGGAAACAGGCCAGGAGAGGAGTGACTAGCCTGAGGTGCAGAGCCTGGGTGCTCTGGGATGGTGTTGCTTCAGGACACGTGCTCTTGGCCGGATGATCGTTCTTCCAGCCCCCATTTCTTATTCTCTGAGGTAGGCCTCGCAAGCATCTTCAGCCATTGGCATGTCTGTTATTTCTGCCTTGGCTGATTAGCTTATTCATGGGTAGATGGCAGTGACCTCTCAAGTAGTAGTCTTTCCTCATCTTCACATCCACCCTGTCACAAGTCCAGTAGGTGTAACCCCAAACTAAATGCCAAATCCTCCTTTCTGTCTCCACTCTTGTCATCCTAATCTAACCAGAACCGTCTTTCTCTTGCCTGGAAGATGGAAAAAGCCTCTTGCTTTCAGTCTTGCCCTTTCCATTTTCTATACAGGAGACAGAATGATCTTTCACAGACGTAAAATAGAAACTGCCACTCCCCTTCAGCAAGCCCTTCCCACTGCTCTTATTACAGAATAACCCATCCCTTTTCCATGGCCCACAAGGCCCTGCCGCCTTGACTTCATGTGGTGTCACACACCTCTGATCTTGCTCTGTCCCCAGATCTTCATGGGCCTGACTGCTGTTCTTCAGGTCGCAGCTACCCAGAAAGGCCGTCCCTGAGCACTCCATTCAATAGTTTTTTAGTCATTGTCACAGCTTCTTGTTTTGTTCTGTTTCTCTAAAGCACTTAACCTTACCTGAAGTGTTGTTTCGTTGCATATTTTCTATGCCTTTTCACTAGGGCAAGATTCTATCTCAACTTCTGTTGTGTCCCTAGCACCAGCACAGTTCTGGACAAAATAGTAGGTACTCAGTAAATATTTGTGAATGTTGCAGTGAGTTAATTCAGAATCTCTTTGATGTAGCCAAATGGATACATTTGACAATTTGTGGAGAAACAATGTATCCGATAGGGCAGAAGCAAAAGTGGCTATTCAGCCTTTCAAAAAACTGAAACTCTTATCCTTATTTGGTGGTATTTATAGAGGTACTTGATCGTAGAATTAACCATCCTCCCCTTCTCCAGTTGTCCTGACTCATTTCCCACATCTTGTTTCCCCCTTTGTCAAAGAAAATCTGATGCTTGGTCTTGGTCACTGACCCTAGCAGCAGAACACAGGGTCTTGCATTCTGTCACTAGCTGTTGTCACGTGGCTGGACTGTAAAGAATGACAGCTTGCTACTAATTCTTTCCCTAGAATTCCCCTAGAGCAATGGATCTCAAACTAGTATACCTCAGAGTCCTGGAGGGCTTGTCAGATTCTTAGGCCCAACCTTGGAGTTTCAGATTCAGGAATTCTGGGCTGAAGACCTGAGAATGTACATTTCTAGCGAGTTTGCGATGAGGTCTGGGGACTAACTTGGAGAACCATTGCTCTAGAGAAGGAGAAGAACAGATCTCCTGGGCAGGCTAACTAGACAGCCAGACTACACTTGGGCGGTTGCTCAGAAATAAAAGTTACTTGCTTATGGCTCTATGTCCAGTTTTCAGGGACGTTGAATCCCAGTGCATCACCTTCCATACCTCCTCATTTTCTGAAGTGGGAGCAGCATCAGATTCCTAGCTCAGTTCACTGTCTTCCCTGAATGGGCAACCAAACCATTTTTAACTAGCAGCTTTCTTTTCAGGAGAAACCTCTGAGGTTCTACCTTTTTTTTGTTTTTTTTTTTTTGTTGTTGTTGTTGTTGTTGTTGTTGTTGTTTTTGGTTTTGAAACAGAGTTTCACTCTTGTTGCCCAGGCTGGAGTGCAATGGTGCTATCTTGGCTCACCGCAACCTCTGCCTCCCAGGTTCAGGTTCAAGTGATTCTCCTGCCTCAGCCCCCTGAGTAGCTCGATTACAGGCATGCGCCACCACGCCCAGCTAATTTTGTATTTTTAGTGGAGACGGGGTTTCTCCATCTTGGTCAGGCTGTTCTCGAACTCCCGACCTCAGGTGATCCACCCATCTCTGCCTCCCAAAGTGTTGGGATTACAGGTGTGAGCCACCACGCCCAGCCAGCTCTACCATTTTAATTCAAGACCTAGGCCAGGGTTTTCCAAGATTGACATGCTGTGGTAGCTGCTGCTTGGTGGCCATGATTTTCCCAAAAGATGTTTTAAACGACTTCAGAATCCTTTTTGTACCACAAATATATTAATATGTTGCTGTGTTTCAGATTACTGCATTAAATGTTTTACTGTGGCATGGTGTAAAGCTCTATCAAATATTCATGCTTTTTCAACCTGGTTGCCATATTTTCTTTGTAATATCCTGCAACTGCTGTCTTTTCAGTTTATATTTAGCTAAGAGAATAACCGGCTGACTTTTGATACTGACACAGGTCCAGGAAAAAGCCTTCTGGAAAGAATAATTCTGAAATAATAGGAACAAATATTTTCTTCAAAAAGTCTTGGATTACTGTGATATTTTAGCACCTTGATGAAGTTTTTTTTTTTAGCATTTTCATAATTCACTTTTTAATAGTCATAGTCTATTTGATTATACTTATCATTAGCTATAGATTTTCCTAGTGTACTTCCTAGCTATTATAGAGCCTGTAGTTCTCTTGGTTTTGCAAGATTATAAGAGTCCTTTTGTTTGTTTGTTTTTTGTTTTTTTGTTTTTTTGTTTTTTGTTTTTTTTGACGAGTCTCTGTTGCCCAGGCTGGGCTGCAGTGGCATGATCGCAGCTCACTGAAACCTCCACCTCCCGGGTTCAAGTGATTGTCATGCCTCAGCCTCCCAATTAGCTGGGATTGCAGGCATGTGCCACCACAACTGGCTAATTTTTGTATTTTTAATAGAGATGGGGTTTCACCATGTTGGCCAGGCTGGTCTCAAACTCCCACCTCGGCCTCTCAAAGTACTGAGATTACAGGTGTGAGCCACTGCGCCTGGCCTGTAAGAGTCCATTTTTATGTCTTCCATATTGTCACTTGATGCTGTTTCTCCAGCTGCCTTTTTGGTGTCAGATTCACACAGAAATATTGGGAATCCTAAAATTTTATGTTGATTCAATTGATTAAAGTGCTAGAGGACCAAAACATATGTTAGAGTATTCTTGGGTTTTCTCATCTGTTGTGCTTCTGTTCTTTGGCATATGTACGTTTAATTTTTTAATATATTCACTAAAATGTTTTGTTTAATGTACCGTGATTTTGAATTTAAACTCTATTTAGGATAGGATGAGCTTTTCGCTTGTCACTGATACATCCTGAAGTCTGCAGGATCTCTGAATTCCAACCATATTTGGACTTATGTCCCTGGAGTAGACCCTGAATTCTATAACTAGGGTGTGATTAGGCCATTTGGAATTAAATGCTCTTTTGTTTTGTAGAAAATATTGATGTAACTTTGTATGCAGTTTTTAAATGGTTTGAAATATTAGTAACTTGCTTTCATACATACTTTATGAAACAAAGTTCATTTTATAGTGAAGAATTCTTTGACTTATGTGATTTGGGTGAGAAACCAGTTTTCCCTTATTTTAAAAAAAATGGTAAGTTTTCCTAAAATTCTCATTTATTAAAAATAAAACTAGGCTGGGTGTGGTGGCTCATGCCTGTAATCCCAGCACTTTGGGAGGCTGAGGCAGGTGGATCACTTGAGGTCAGGAGTCTGAGACCAGCCTGGCCAACATGGTGAAACCCCGTCTCTACTAAACATATGAGAATTAACTGGGTGTCGTGGCGCGTGCCTGTAATCCCAGCCACTCGGGAGGCTGAGGCGGGAGAATCGCTTGAACCCAGAAGGTGAAGGTTGAAGTGAGCCGAGATTGCGCCATTGCACTCCAGCCTGGGTGACAGAGTGAGACTCCATCTCTAAAAATAAATTAGAAATGGTTACCAAATTTTACTTATCTCAAAATAAAAAACCTTAGGTATGTTAATTTTTTTTTTTTTTTTTTTTTTGTGCCAGAGTCTCACTGTCGCCCTGGCTGGAGTGCAGTGGCGCAATCTCGGCTCACTGCAGGCTCCGCCCCCTGGGGTTCACGCCATTCTCTTGCCTCAGCCTCCCGAGTAGCTGGGACTACAGGCAGCCGCCACCTTGCCCGGCTAATTTTTTGTATTTTTAGTAGAGACGGGGTTTCACCGTGTTAGCCAGGATGGTCTCGATCTCCTGACCTCGTGATCCGCCCGCCTCGGCCTCCCAAAGTGCTGGGATTATAGGCGTGAGCCACCGCGCCCAGCCAGGTATGTTAATTATATGGCAACAGTGTCCAATATTTTGGACCCAGTAGATTAGAGTTTACAATAGGAAATACTGCCTTTTTTTTTTTTTTTTTTGAGACGGAGTCTGGCCCTATTGCCAGGCTGGAGTGCCGTGGCGCGATCTCGGCTCACTGTAACCTCCGCCTCCCAGGTTCAAGCAATTCTCCTGCCTCAGCCTCTCGAGTAGCTGGGATTACAGGCGCGCACCACCACGCCCAGCTAATTTTTGTATTTTTAGTAGAGACAGGGTTTCACCACGTTGGCCAGGATGATCTCGATCTCCTGACCTCGTGATCCGCCTGTCTCAGCCTTCCAAAGTGCTGGGATTACAGGCATGAGCCACCACGCCTGGCCTGATACTGCCATTTCTTCAACCAGCAAACATTTATTGATATTGAGTATCATTATATGCCAGACAGCATACCAGATTCTGGGGAGGCGGGATTGAATGAGTCACAGCTCTGACTTGAGAAACTTAGAGAGTGAGTCAGACAATAAAAAAGGAAGAAAATCAAATGTAAAGAAAACATACCACACATGCCTGTGTGGAAGTAAAGGTGTTTGGGACCGGGACCGGGGTCTCTGAGAGGGCCTCTCCTGACTGCCTGGCTTCTAATTAAGCTTTATAGCTTTTAAAATTATTATAGTCAGGCCGGGTGCAATGGCTGATGCCTGTAATCCCAGCACCTTGGGAGGCCAAGGCGGGCAGATCACTTGAGGCCAGGAGTTTGAGACCAGCCTAGCCAACATGGTAAAACCCCGTCTCTACTGAAAATGCAAAAATTAGCTGGGCGTGGTGGCAGGCGCCTGTAATCCCAGCTACTTGGGAGGCTGAGGTGCAAGAAACACTTCAACACAGGAGACCGAGGTTGCAGCGAGCCAAAATCACACCACTGCACTCCAGCCTGGGTAACAGAGTGGGACTCTGCCTCTTAATATATAACTGTTCTTAGGCTTTAAAATTCATACTAAGCCCCTTTAATAATCCTTATAATGTTAGACTCCCAGATAATGGTGCTGTGAATGTTTCTCTCTTGTATTTTCAAAAATAAACCAGATTAGAATTTTGTGACATTGAGCGTTGTTCATTCTGAAATACTGTTCCTAGCTAATACCTAGTCATTCATTAATTCTTTCAATAAGTATTTGGGTGCTTACTCTAGAGGGCAAAACACCCTGACACATTGGAGATTCAGCAGTGAACAAAACAGATGAAGTTTTACTCTCATGGAGCTTATGTTCAGATGGGAGACAGACAAGAAACAACCAATAAAGTGAAAATGAATATATTTACAATGTCGAGTGGCAATGAGTACTATGAAGAAAAATAAGGCAAGATAAGGGAATGGACAGTTAGACCCTTGGTTGAGGACAAGGGAACCAGTCAGCCATTCACAGCTCTGGGACAGAGAATTCCAGGGTGAGGGACTCACAAATACAAAGGCGGGATGTAAGGATGCCTCTTCAGAAACTTAGAGAAGGACTGGTGTAGCTGGAGGAGGATGGGGGAGCAAGGCAGAGTGGCACAAAATGATGTTGGCGAAGCAGGTGGGGCTCTCTCGGCCAGGTGACAAGTTTGGGTGGATTGCGGGTGCAACGGGAGGCCAAGAGTAGGCTTCTGGTAGGAGAGCGAGGGCACCTAGTTTACCTTTAAGAGGATCGTCGGCCGAGCACGGTGGCTCACACCTGTAATCCCAGCACTTTGGGAAGCTGAGGCCAGCGGATCACCTGAGGTCGGGAGTTCGAGACCAGCCTGACCAACATGGAAAAACCCCGTCTCTACTAAAAATACAAAATTAGTCAGGCATGGTAGCGCATGTGGGAGGTAATATATCCATTACTCTGACCTGTCTTTTAAAAACAGAGTGGTAGACCAGGTATCCTTACGTTAGTGATTCTGGGTCATGACACCCCAAGATCATTGGTGAGAGTACAATGAACATGCAAGGATGCATACAAGGTTGCTTTTGTGTTTGTTTTTTAGAAAATGAGGTTTGCAGACCTTTTGTCCTTTTTTACTCGATTTAAAAAATTTTCAACAGGTATTTATCTGAAGTACTGGGTACAGGCCAGTTTTTTTGTTTTTTGTTGTTGTTGTTTTTTGAACTACCACCACAGTCATGCAAATGAATATGAGCTGTTGAATTAATTACCCTATCTTCTACATCTCTTCTACTTCCCATCACGCAGGCCTATAAGAAGTTTGATGCCACATGTTCGGTCACAGTGTTTGCTCTAGGCAAATGCTTCTGGCTCTATATCCTGAGACGTTAGCAGTAGCACACCCCAAAGCTGATCATTACCTAGGAGACTTGGATATGCCTTATCTCTTGCCCTACTCTGAGCCTTTTGCAGCTCCCCCCGATTACCCTTAAGGTAAAGTCCAGTAGTAACATGGCTCCAACCTCTTCATCTTTTGTCAGATTTCAGAGAAGGCTGTGAGCCCTCAAAGGCTAAGTAACAGTGTCCTCTGGTAGGTTCTGTTTCTCGTGCTTTGATATGGTTTTATTTCATTGCCCTTTGTGTATATCTTGTTTCCACACTGACACCTTAGACTGTGTTAGGGAGACCCCAGTTTTTATTTTGTTCATAGCCCCTAGATTGTCTAGCAAAGTGCTGGATAGGTATTGGATAACTATCACACTGAGAGAAGGTGTGTGTGCCTATATGTTACTGATAATTTATGTATAGGGAAATTTTGACAAGCAGGTAAAAAGCCAAGCAAACTTTTTTTCACTGTGGTCCTGAAATGTGTAAAATTTTTTTTTTTTTTTTTTTTTTTTTGCTTATAAATGTGAAGTCCAGTTCTATACACATTAAACATCATGAGAATTGCTTGAACCTAGGAGGCAGAGGTTGCAGTGAGCTGAGATTGCGTCATTGCACTCCAGCCTAGGGAACAAGAGCGAGACTTTGTCTCAAAAAAAAAAAAAAAAAAAGTTCTTTGAGGTCTTCAATGATTTTGAGAGTATAAAGCATTCTTGAGAGCAAAAGGTTTGAGAACTGCTGTTCAAATGAAATAAATGTTTATTGTAATTGTTCAGTAGATAGCAGTTATAGATATTTATATGTATATCACAACTCCTAGTTGCAATACAGATAGATATTGGCCAGTCCAAAGTTTTTCATTTATTAAACTGTTTCTGGTGCTGGCTTTACAACTTGAGTCAGAATCAAATTGTCCTATAATGCAGGAACAAAAGAAAGCTGACCTTTCCCTCTGTGGGTCTCAATTCCTGTTCCAAATCCTAGCCTAAAATAAATTGACCTGACTTATTTCTTTGGTTCAGTTGTATGTGTGGGCTTTGCACACTTGTTTTTAAGTAATCGAATATCTAATCCAGTAGAAATGTATGTTGGAAGTATAGGATTAATTACTAATATATTTTGCCCTACTTCACAAGTAAAAATTAAATATCAGAAAATTATAACTTGAATTCACTGTTTTGAAACTAATAGCAACAAGCTTGTGATATTTGAATGTTAGGATTTCCTAATCAGATCTGATTGTTAGGTGAAAAGGTAACCTTTCAGCCATAGAGAAGTTCTTTGCTTAAGTTTGCAAGAGGAATAGTCCTACTATAAATAGTCCAGCTGACATTTAAATACCTGACATAAGAAACTAACACATTTTTTTGTCTTGCCAAAAAGAGCAACTCAAAATAGAGGTCACTTGTGTAATACAGCTTCCATTCAGTAATGAAGGGCTTAACTGTAGAAGCTGTTATACTTTGCCATTTATTTGACAGTCTTAACACTTTTTTTTTTTTGGAGATGGAGTCTTGCTCTGTCACTCAGGCTGGAGTGCAGTGGTGCAACCTCAGCTCACTGCAACCTCTGCCTCCAGGGTTCAAGCAATTTTTCTGCCTCAGCCTCCCGAGTAGCTGGGACTACAGGTGCACACCACCACGCCCGGCTAATTTTGTATTTTTAGTAGAGACGGAGTTTCATCATACTAGCCAGGCTGATCTTGAACTCTTGACCTCATGATCCACCCACCTCGGCCTCCCAAAGTGCTGGAATTACAGGTGTGAGCCACCGCGCCCCGTCTTTTTTTTTTTTTTTTTTTTAAATAGAGACAGGTTCTTGCTCTGTTGCCCAGGCTGGAATGCAGTGGCGTGATCATAGCTCACTACAGACTTGACCTTCCAGGCTCAAGCAGTCCTCCTGTCTCAGCCTCCTAAGCAGCTGGGACTACAGGTGTGCACCACCACACCCAGCTAATTTATTTATTATTTTTTGTTTATTTTTGGTTTTTGAGACAGGGTCTCACTCTGTCGCCCAGGCTGGAGTGCAGTGGTGCAGTCTCGCCTCACTGCAACCTCCGCCTTCCTGGCTCAAGTGACCCTCCCCTCTCAGCCTCCTGAGTAACTAGGACTACAGGTGGGCACCACCATGCCCAGCTAATTCTTGTATTTTTTTGTAGACATGAGATTTCTCCATGTTGCCCAGGCTGATCTCGAACTCCTGGCCTCAGACGATTGTCTTGGCCTCTCAAAGTGCTGGGATTACAGGTGTGAGCTGCCATACCCAGCTGACCAAGTTTTAGTAACATTAAAATCATTGTCCATTAAAAGTTAGTCACTTAAGGAATGCCGTTAAGTGAGATTCCTACTCAGAGAAGAACCCTTGATCCTTATTGAGATGAAGTGCTGGACAACCAAAGCCCTAAAGAAGCTGAGGGAGCTTGGCTTATGGATTCCTAGGGGAAGGAGCCTTCTGGACAGCAGGAATGACAGTCGCACAGGCCCTGGGTAGGTCCTTGCGTGGGGGTGCAGTTGAAATGGTTCCTAATTGGTTTTTTGTTATGCAAATAACATGGGATTGTTGTAAAAAAATCAGGAAATAGAGAAAGTAGGGGGAATCATCCATAATTCTTTTACCCAGAGATAACAGCTGTTAACATCTTGTTCTGTATCCTTACCAACTCTATAAAGCTCCTTAAGATGTCACTTATCATCTATATGAGTTTGCTAGTGCTGTCATAACAAAATACCATAGACTGGGTGGGGCTTAAACAACAAATTTCTCACAGCTCTAGAGACCAGAAGCCCAAGATCAAGGTGTCAGCAGGTTTTGTCACATTCTGAGGTACTGGGAGTTAGGACTTAAGTATATAAATTTGAGGGGAACACAGTTCAGCCCAGCCCATAGCACGATCTGTGAACAAGTACCTCAGTCATCAGCCTTCCTATCAATATGATTCTTTTGATGTTCATTTTTATTAGTGCAGGCTTGTAAATTAACCAGTAGTAATGTAGTGACTTTTCCCCCGCTAGCCTAATTAGGATTATTAAAGATTTAGATTGAACCCTTTCTGAACAATAGTTGTGTTGTCTGGCTTTTTGCCTATAATGTCACCACTATCTTTCAGTTTTATGTTTGCTACAGGAGACTTAATCCAGTATAGCTGAATAATCCAGTTGGCTGCTGTGCAGATGAAAATGCCAGTGTTTTCCAAACAAGCAGTTCAAGTATGCTTGCAGGTTTTGCTGTTTCCTTTCAAATACCATATGTAGTACTATTTAATATTTTTCTTGTAATCAACTGACTCTTTTGCTTACATTTATTTTAAAGGAAACTTTTACCATTATTATAAATGGGAAGTTAGTATATTACTTACCCTAAATAAGTTATTCTTAAACATAAATACGTGACTGTAAAACGAAGTGTTCAATCACATACCACCGAAAGTCCTCTAACATACCACTACCAACTCTGTCCTTCAGTTGCTTGGACCAAAAACCTGGGAGCTGTAGTTGACTCTTGTCTCTCACACCTCACAGGCAACCTGATAGCAAATCTCCACAGCTCAGACCTCTGAAATGCCTAGAATTACGCCACTCCTCACTACTTTCCTGCTATCACCCTGGTCCAAACGGGTATTATCTTTTGCTAGGATTATTGCAGTAGCCTCCTAGCTGCTTCTGCCCTTGCTCCCTTCACTCTCATCCTCACACAGCAGTCTGAGGGATCCTATTAAAAACAAGACAGATCATGTCACTCAGTAACAGTTGGCATCCTTAATCTCCTCTTGCTCTCTCATCTTCCTCACTTGGTTTGAGCTAAATTGGCCTCCTTGCTGTCCTTTGACACCCTAAGCAGCCTCTATTTTAGGGCCTTTGCACTTGTTTGCTCTGTCTCAAAGACTTTCTCCTCAGCTATCCATAAATCATGCCCTCTCACCTTCTTTAGGTCTTTAGTTATGACACCTGATTGCAATAACACTTTTCCTTTATCCCTCCATTTAAAAGTATAGCCCCTCCCGTATTACTCCCTCCTCCGGAACACCAGGATCTGTCATACTGTATAATTTACATATTCATTTTTGTCCATTATATGTCTTCTACTAGAATGTAAGCTGCAGGCATTTTTGTTTTATTCACTGCTTGTTCTTCAGTGCTTAGAAAAGTCCCCGATGTATACTAAGTACTCAAATATTTATTCCAATTGAATTAATGGCGTGTGTCCTACACTTTGGGAAATACATATACTGGCAACACCTCCCACAATCTGGGGTCCCTCCAGTGAGCCTCTCTTCACAGTCACATGGTTAGTCCTGTTTGTCTCTGAGAGTCTGGCCAATTGAGAGCTCAGCATTCAAGGCAGAGAACTTGAAACTTGACTGGATCCTGAGTTTTTTCCAGAGAAAATAGTGCATATGCCAGGGAAAATGGAGGAAGGAGAGACAGTCAGGATTGGTTGGGAGTGCAACCCTAGGAGAGATGATTTGTTCCCCAAGCACAGAAGGAAAGTCCATCTCTCTCTCCTCCCATAGCCCCCTCCCTTGTCTGGCCCCAGTACCTAGGTTCTGTTCTGGAAGACACCTAGAAATGGCTCAAGCCTCAGCCTGAACCCGGTACTGTGGCTTGAACCTGTGAGGTGTTTTCATGCGTTGCTTTCAAGAGCTACTTGCCAGGCTTTGGGATTTTTGGAAAACAATTGAGAACCAGCTATTCCCTTTTAGCTTTTTTGTAAGTTAAAAGAGAAACTATCACTTAAATAATTGAAAAACAATAGAATATTTTATCCTTGGTGCCTTCAGTTGACTCTTAGTTGATTAAGAGGATACCATTTTTATTTCCCATATCCATGGTGACTATTCCTCCTAAAGGTTGTTTGAGAGTCATGCCAACAAATAAGCGTAGTCTTAGCCTCTTGTCTTCCAAGGTACTTTTGTTAGCACCTGATATTGATGGTTTTCATCTCATACTAGTTGACCCCAATTCATAGACATTTAGACATGTAAGCCCCTTAGGAGGTTTGTCCAAGGGGTAGGGGTGGGGTATCTTTCTAAGTTTGGTTATCTAGCCCTAGTCACTTCACCTGTCAGAGAACCATGTGCCCCTTCCCTCTGGTTGTGCTGGTTGATACTGATAGCTTTATAAGTAGCAAGTTTGAGGTGTGATAACTTTCCGTGATTTTTTTGCATGTTAGCATCTTGATTCCCAGGGAGAGATAATGAGCAGCTAGCTCTAGGCTTACAAGTTCCCCTGGAGTTGCTGGTATCTTGAATTTCTTTCCATTTATTTTAGGAGTAAAAGTCCCTCGCAATTTCCGACTGTTGGAAGAACTCGAAGAAGGCCAGAAAGGAGTAGGAGATGGCACAGTTAGCTGGGGTCTAGAAGATGACGAAGACATGACACTTACAAGATGGACAGGGATGATAATTGGGCCTCCAAGAGTAAGCGTCGAGCTACGGCTATAAATGTCAATGTCTTAAATTCACTGTGCCTCCTTTTAAAAAATATTAGCCTTATCACGGAAAAAAAGCTCACCAATGGTATATTTTCTGAAATGTGGCTATTCTTTTTTGACCAGTTTCAGTTTATATATTTGAACCTCCTCTGATGCTGTTTAACCCCTCTAAATGGTAAGCAAAAACCTGTTTAGACTCATAGTGTGAATTTATATGACAATGTAGACAGTGAGGTGTGAAGTCATTGCACCATCAGATGTCGTTCAGAACAATCTCTGGGCTAACCAAATAACTAGGCCCTAGGTATAGCCAGCATTCCTGAAGCCAGTCTCCAAATTAACTCTGGAAAGCCTTCCCAGTTGTGGTTTTTCTTCACTGTCTCCCAGGTCTGCCGTGCACCTGTATCCTAGTTCCTTGGGCCATTCAGCAAAGGTCCCTGGCAAGCCTGTCAGCTCCTGGTCTATTCCAGGCACTACTAGACCCAGAGGCCTTTGCAAAGAAGACGAAGACAATGAGGATGGGGAAAAGTGGCCTCTTTCAGACCTTCCTGATTTGTGAGAGTTCCCAGTCTTCATAATGCCAGCCAACCGTTTTTTGAGGACACATAGTAAACCCTCAAGAAATGTCTCTTAACTCTCACAAGACCCCATTGTTAGGTGCAATTGCATTCCATTTCACAGATGAGGAGACAGACTCAGAGGAGTCAGATCTCTTGCCCAAAGTCACATAGCTGGTAACCCCCAAACCAGATCTGACTCCAGAGCCTGTGCTCTTAACCACTGTGCTGTGGTGTCTCCCTTTTGTTTACATTTTGAGTTTTCATCTGTTACCATTATAGAAGATACTAATCAAGTAGTAACTTGATGTAGGAGTCAAGAAATTGATTTCCATACTGTGACACACACTTCAGACAAGCAGTAAGGGCCTCTGCCTGAATGTAGCAAGACCTGTCCTGTGTCTGCTTGTGTTTAAGGATGATGACAACATTCATTCTTTTGATTGTGTGCAGGACTCTGCACTAGCACTGTGAGAGCAGAAAGACATGTAGGGCGTGGCCCGGGCTGGAACAGGGACAAGTGACATGTTCGTTAAGTGTTAGGACACTAATGCTCATTTCAGATGGTCATCAACACTCATGGTGAATGATTGGCTTTGCCATTTAATGTTGCTTCTTAAGTCATTTTGTGACCCTATAGTTTTGTGGAGTTTTAAAAATATATACATTTGATCTGTTTTTACTCATTTCTTTATCCTTTTTTTCCTGTGAAAACCAGAATTTTCTGCGTCTGCTAAATACCGGGGAAAACCCAATCTAGAAATCCTGTTTCTCCATGGAGATAATTTTCTTTGCTGTCTCTGAAGGTCCATCATATGCTGACATCTTCTTCACTGCATGTCTTCTCTTCCTAAGAATGATTTCGGTTTCTTGAGGATGAGAACTGTGCTTCCCTCCTTACTTCCCAGAATACCTAGAAATGACTCAGAATGGGGTACTCAGTAGATTTGTTAATCAACTTACTGATTTACAGGTTCTAAAATACTGAGAATTGAACCAATGTACAACATTGCGATACACTAAATACCACTGAATTGTACACTTTCAAAAAAACACACAAAACAATGCATCAGTAAATTCTGCTGAAAATATTCTGTCTGCCTAAAACAGCTTGGGCTACCCTGAATTTCAGTTTATCTCTTTCCAAAAGAGGCTTTGGAAGTTGTAATGCGTAGCTACGGTATGCCAGGAGTCCTCCATGTATTTGTTTTTGGTAACAGCTTTATTGGGATAGAATTCACCCTTTTAAATATACAGTTCGGTGGTCTTACATTCAGAGTTGTGCATCCGTCACTAATTTCAGAACGTTTTCATCACCTCAAAAAGGAACCCATACCCATCGGTAGGCACCCCCCATTCTCCCTCCCACATCCCCCATTTCCCATCTTTGACAATCATCAGTCTACTTTCTAGCTCAATGAATTTGCTTTTTCTGAACATCTATTATAAATGGAATTCTACAGTATGTGGCCTTTTGTGACTGGCTTCCTTTACTCAGCATAATTTTTTCAAGGTTCAAGCATATTGTAGCATCTATCAATACTTTTATTCTTCTTATGGCTGAATAATATTCCATTGTACAGATACGCCATATTTTGTTTTTCCATTTGTTGATGAACATTTGGGTTGTTTCTACCTTTTGGCTATTATAAATAATGCTTCTAGGAACATTTATATACAGGTTTGTATGTGGACATATATTTTCTTTTTATTTTTTTATCTACACCTGCTGGAATAGATGGACATAGTTGTTTTTAGCTACCTAATTTTTCCTCCTTTGAAGATGGACATATATTATATATAATTATATATTATATAATGCATTATATATTATATAATGCATTATATATTATATAATGCATTATATATTATATAATGCATATGTTATATATTATATATACTGTATATTTATATAACATATATGATATGTAATATATATTACATATAATTATATATAAGATATATAATTATAATATATAATATATTTTTATTTAAATAAAAGCAAATCCTCCAAGCCTATATATATTATATATATAACATACATAATATATTTTATATATATATATTTTATTATTATTATTATTATTATTTTTTTTTTTTTTTTTTTTTTTTTGAGTTGGAGTCTCGCTCTGTCTCCCAGGCTGGAGTGCAGTGGCGCAATCTCGGCTCACTGCAACCTCCACCTCCCGGATTCAAGCAATTCTCTGCCTCAGCCTCCCGAGTAGCTGGGATTACAGGTACCCGCCACCACGCCCAGCTAATTTTGTATTTTTAGTAGAGACGGGGTTTCACCATCTTAGCCAGGCTGGTCTTGAACTCCTGACCTCATGATCTACCCACCTCGGCCTCCCAAAGTGCTGGAATTACAGGTGTGAGCCATCGCGCCCTGCCGGAGATACATTTTTGAATTCCCCTGGGTGTATACCTAGGAGTGGAATTGCTGGATCATATGGTAACTGTGTTTAACATTTGGAGGAAATGCCAAACTGTTTCCCAAAGTGGCTGCACCATTTTACATTCCTACTAGCAATGCCCGAAAGTTCCCATTTCTCCACATTCTCACCAACACTTGTTATTGTCTTTTCACCCTTGTAGTTTTTATTATCCTGGTTCCCCAAGGTCAGAAACTAAGTCATAAAAGGAACTATCTGTGTGTAGATGCTTCCTGTGACCAATCTTTCATGATTAGCACATGAGCTATTTGCTGTGTAACTCGAATATCCACATAATTATTAAAGCATCTAAATAGAGCACTTGAGTAACTCATCTCCCTATTAGGTTTTTGTTATTGTTTTACTCAAAAGAACATTTTCCATCAAAATTTCAAAGGTCTATACCATGTGATCCAGGAATTCTTCTAGGAATTTACTTTCCAATTTCTCTTGAATGTATTGCCCAAAGGCAGTGTACAAAATTATTTCATGCAGCATTGTCAGTAGTAGCAAAATATTGGAAACAACATCATTGTCTTTGAGTATACCATATTATGTCCTGTTTAGCTGTTGAACAATGAGACAGATTTATGTGTGCTGAAATGGAAT
Organism: Homo sapiens; assembly: GCF_000001405.40. Classification (NCBI taxonomy): domain Eukaryota; kingdom Metazoa; phylum Chordata; class Mammalia; order Primates; family Hominidae; genus Homo; species Homo sapiens. The sequence goes on along the minus strand of NC_000020.11, from coordinate 50,093,059 downwards.
GATCTCCATGATATTGTGAAAAAGTAAATTATAAAACAGGAGACAGAGTATGCTGCCAGTTGGAGTGGGGGGCCTTGGGTGCAGAGGAAGAGCTCATGCATACACTGCTTCTGTGTGCTTAGAATACCTCTGGAGGAATGGGAAAGAAGCTGCTGACAGTGGTTGTCTTCTTCAGAAGGGAGCTGGCTGGCTAGGGCTGGAGTGGAAAGGAAACTTACTTTTTACCATATACCCTTCTGTACTCTTTGAATGTTTTAGTCATATGTGTGTGCTGTTTGAATAGTGCCCCCACCTTTTTTGTTTGTTTGTTTATTTAAAGAAAAGCAAATCCTCCAAACCTAAAAACAAAGCTTCTGAGCCAACTGCTCCTTGCACAATTCTGGCAAATGTCTAGCTGTCCACAGCGTTAGACATGGAATATTTCTACTTTGACCACAGAAGTACTAACAATAGTCAAGTTATATAGAGCAGAGTTTCTCAGACGTGGCATGTAGGGCTGGTTCTTTTCTTTGTCATGAGAGTGCTAGGTATGTGCGTTGTAGGCTGTTTAGCAGCATCCCTGGCCTCTACTCACTAGAAGCCAGCAGTACCCCCGTCTCCATTGCAGCAACCATAAATGTGTCTAGGCAACGCTTGATCCTCCCTTCCCCTTCCCAGCAGAGGGGCAAAAATGGCCCTCATCGAGGAGCACTGTTGAGCCTCTGGGGTTCTCCAAAATAGTGTTTTTTCTGTTTTTTTGAGATGGAGTCTTATTCTGTTGCCCAGGGTGGAGTGCAGTGGCGTGATTTCAGCTCACGGCAGTCTCTGTCTCCCGGGTTCAAGCGATTCTCCTGCCTCAGCCTCCCTAGTCGCTGGGGTTATAGGCACATACCACCACACCCGGCTAATTTTTATATTTTTAGTAGAGACAGGTTTTTGCCGTGTTGGCCAGGCTGGTCTCAGACTCCTGACCTCAGGTGATCCGCCCACCTTGGTCTCTCAAAGTGCTGGGATTACAGGCATGAGCCCACCACACCCGGCCAAGTGTTTTATGTGTGGATTAGAGCCTGGATGTGTGTTTATACCCTGGAGTACTGGTACCCATGCTTCAGAGGAACTGAACATAATTACAGGGGTGTAGGAAGTAAAAGAAAAGTGATCCTTTCTCTGATTCATTATGCTCACCATCGAATGAAACTTAAGTTGGTGTGTGGTGTGGTTCTACCCACTTTTGCTGTGGGTATGCAAACGTAAATATATATCTTTTTAAGAAAAATGGGATCTTCCTATGCATAATGTTTTACAACTTAATTTTTTTTCACCTAATAGATGGTGGACATCTTTCTATATCAGTGCATATTGACTGATCTCTTTTTTAAAAGCTTTGAGGCGGGGCGTGGTAACTCACGCCTGTAATTCCAGCACTTTGGGAGGCCAAGGCGGGCAGATCACCTGAGGTCAGGAGTTCAAGACCAGCCTGGCCAATATGGCGAAACCCGGTCGCTACTAAAAAAGTATAAAAATTAGCTGGGCGCGGTGGCAGATGCCTGACTCAGGAGGCTGAGGCAGGAGAATCACTTGAACCTGGGAGGTAGAGGTTGCAGTAAGCCGAGATCGCGCCACTGCTTGCAACAAGAGCGAGACTCCATCTCAAAAAAAAAAAAAAAAAAGCCTTAAGTTATATGACTGATTAATGAATATGAATATATTCTTGTAAAAATTTTTAATGACAAAAGCCCAGGTGTGGTGATTCACGCCTGTAATCCCAGCGCTTTGGGAGGCCGAGGCAGGTGAATCACTTGAGGTCAGGAGTCGAGACCAGCCTGGCCAACATGTTGAAACCCCATCTCTACTAAAAATACAAAAATTAGCTGGGCGTAGTGATGCACGCCTGTAGTCCCAGCTACTCAAGAGGCTGAGGAGGGAGAATCGCTTGAACCCAGGAGGCAGAGGTTTCAGTGGGCCAAGATCATACCACTGGACTCCAACCTGGGTGACAGAGTGAGACTCTTGTCTCAAAAAAAATTTTTTTTCCAACAATACAGAGTATATAGAATAAGAGGTTAACTTAGTCCCGCTTTAACTCTGTGTCAGTCAGGAAAAGAGAAATCATACCAGCTAATTTTTTTCCCAGCTTTATTGAGATGTAATTGATAAATAAAAGCTGTATATATCCAAGGTATACAGTGTGATGATTTGATATACATTGTGTAATGATTACCACAACCAAATTAATCAACGCATCCATCACCACGTGTAGCTACCTTGTGTGTCTGTGGTAAGGACACTTAAGATCTACTCTTTTACCAAATTTCAAGTAAACAATCCAGTATTATTAACTGTAGTCACCATGCTTTACATTAGATTCCCAGAACTTACTCATAACTGAAAGTTTGTGCCCTTTGACCAGTATCTCCCCTTACACCCTGGTCCCTGTCAACCACTGTTCTGTTCTCTGCTTCTGTGAGTTCTACTTTTAGATTCCATGTATAATTGAGATCATACACTTTTTGTCTTTCTGTGTCTGGCTGATTTCACTTAGCATAATGTCCTTCAGGCTCATCTATGTTGTCATGACTAGCAAGATTTCTTTTTTTTTTTTTTTTTGAGACAGAGTCTCGCACTGTTGCCCAGGCTGGAGTGCAGTGGCGCCATCTCGGCTCACTGCAGCCCCCGCCTCCCAGGTTCAAGCAATTCTCCGACTGGCAGGATTTCTTATTTATGGCTGAATAATATTTCATTGTGTGATATATGCCATATTTTCTCTAGGACATTTAAGTTGTTTCCATATATTGGCTATTGTGAATAACTGCAATGAGTGTGGAAGTGCAGATGATCTCTTTGAGATACTGATTTAATTTCCTTTGGATTGATACCCAATACTAGGCAACAGAGATAATTTAATATAGGAAGTTGATCAAATAGATGTTGGACTAAAAAATCAAAGAAGGCACAATATGAGAACACAGAGATACTGCTGCAGAAACAGTAACCACCCTCTGGGTTTGGGAGGCCAGCAGAGGAAGCTTGGGCTGTCAGAACCTGGCACTTGGGGAAAAGGTGCCCCCTCTGCTGCTGCTGGCACCTGCGGGGCAGGGGCAAGCCTGGTTGGGGGAGTGCAAAAGACACTGAAGCCCAGAACCAGCTCTTGCTGCCGAGGTAAGGGGCTCATACTGGGGTGATACCTAAAGGAACAGCAAGCAAATGTGAAGGGTCAAATGCCTCCTACTTTTTATTTTCTATTAGGATCATGTGGTTAATTTGACCATTCAGTCCTTAAGAATATTTGAGTGCCACCCAAATATTCTACAACCTAACTAGAGAAGTGAAAACTTACTATTGCCTAGAGATGGGCCCCGTGCTCACTCAGAAAGATACCATGAATGGTGGGAAGAGGGAGAGTCTCTGTACAAAGGATAATTGTGTCTCGTCGCTGTGCAGAGAGGTGCCTGCTGCTGCTGGCTAGGAAACTCCAAGCCCACTTCTCTCCACTCTGCTTTGGATGCTGGGGCTGGGACTCTGCACACTACACTTTTCCTTTGTCAGCTGGCTTCCTCTGAAGGTTCCACCAGTCAGGGACACAAGAGAGAGCCTGAAAGGCATGGGGAAGGGAAAAGGGATTTGCTGTATCCAGTTTGCCTGTTTGTTCTGTCTGTACCACCCTGGTAACAGCCCTTCATCCTGGCATCAGCAGTGTGTTTCAACCTCCAGCTTTCTGGGGACATTCACAAAACCAGCCTCATCACATCCCGCCAAGCCCCCTCCTTGGAGGTTCTAGCAGCAGCCAGGCAGCACCCCTTCCTCAGAGTTCTGAGTTCAACTCTTCAGACCTCTTCCTTAGCCTCCAACCCTGGTAAACTCAACCCTGGTAAACTCCAGCTTATCCCCCCCTCCCTTAAGAGTTTCCATCCTGCTTCATTTCGTTATTACATCTGTGTTAGCTTAGATTCCCTTTGAACATTTTCAGTCCACTGACGCCTGTTTAAGCAATGTCTTATATTAAATTCTGTTATAAAACCTAGTGTGGAGTCTTTTTTCCTGATTTATCCCTAACTGCCATATCCCCACTCTTCTCCCCAACAGTTACTGTGATCTGCATTCTAACATAGCATGTACCCACATTGTACATTAAACGTAATTTGTATATAACTATGTAAGATTGGAACTGAATAGCAGGTGACTGGTTGACCTAATGTTTCCTTTTTGTATGTTTAGATTTTGTAATTTTCCTTGCATATTTTTGTAATTAATACCTTTTTCCTTTTCTCATATCTCATACTTTTTTTTTTTTTTTTGAGATAGGGTCTCATTCTGTCACCCAGGCTGAAGTTCAGTGACACAATCACAGCTCACTGTAGCCTTGACCTCCTGGGATCAAGTAATCCTCCTGCCTCAGCCTCCGAAGTAGCCAAGACCACAGGCGCACCACCACACCTGGCTAATTTTTTTTTACTTTTTGTAGAGACAGGGTCTCACTTTGTTGCCCAGGCTGGTCTTGAACTCCTGGGCTCACGCAGTCCTCCTGTCTTGGCCTCCCAAAGTGCTGAGATTACAGGCGTGGGCCACCGTGCCTAGCCTAGCTCATACATTTTTAAAACAAATTTTATTTTCTAATACTTACAGGCTTATAGAAAAGTTGCAAAGGTAGTACTTCCTGTGCTACCTTTTCCCTGTTGCTAGCATCTTATGTTATTATGGTACATTTGTCACAACCAATAAACCAACGTTGATACATTATTATTAGCTAAAGTCCATACTTTATTCAGGTGTTCTTAGTTTTTACTTATATCTGTTTTTTGTTCCAGAATCCCATCCAAGATACCACATTACACTTAGTCATCATATCTCTGGCTCCTCGTGGCAATGACATTTCTCAGGTTTTTCTTGTTTTTGATGCCCTTGGCTGTTTTGAGGAGTACTGGTCAGGTATTTTGTAGACTGTCTCTCTATTGGAATTTGTCTTTTTTTTTTTTTTTTTTTAATGATTAGACTGGGGTTATCTCATATGTATGCATTTGGCCCAGGAAAAATTTATAATCTCCAGGCTCTGGGCCTGTAGTGCCTAATGGACAAAGTAGCCTGTGTGCACACAAATATATCCAGAATTGGAAGAAAGTGTATGTCTGCTTTTATAGGCTATACATATCCTACAATGTATCGTCTATACCTGGTGCCATGTTTTGCCAGTCTTTCGTATGTGTGTGTGTGCCCAAGGAGTGTCCCTCGGCCTTTGAGAAGGCTACGAAGTCTCCGGGTTATATGAATATGCCATGTTCATATAGTCCCTTGCAAGGAGACATGTAGATTGTAGTTATTTTTGCTATTGCAGACAGTGCTTCACATTTTGTGCACAAGTTTGCGTCTCTCTGAAGGAAATTGCTAGGAAGGGGCCTGCTGGTCTGAGCATGCCCATTTCACATGTTGATGAGCACTGCCAAACGGCTCCACAAAGCATGAGCCATATCAACAAAGTGGAAAGTGTTTGTTTCATGATCAAATAATGAATCTTAAGAGCAGTATTTCTCACAGACGCAGAATGTTCCAGCAATTCTCCTTCAGGCACATTTCCTTTGCTGAAACCTTTTTAGCAGGTCCCTGGAGCACTCATGAACAAAATAAAAAAACCAGAAACCCTGTAACCCTGGTTTCTATTAAAGTCTAGCTTGGGGCTTTTTTTTTTTTTTTTTGACAAAGTGTCGCAATGTCACCCAGGCTGGAGTGGAGTGGTGCAGTCTCGGCTCACTGCAACTTCCACCTCCCAGGTTTAAGCAGTTCACCTGTCTCAGCCCCCCGGTTAGCTGGGACTACAGGCACCTGCCAATATGCCTGGCTAATTTTTGTATTTTTAGTAGAGACAGGGTTTCATCATGTTGGCCAGATGGGTCTCGAACTCCTGACCTCAGGTTATCCACCCACCTCGGCCCCCCCAGATGCCGAGATTACAGGCGTCATCCACCGCACCCAGCCTTAGCTTGGGGTTTTTTGTTTTTTGTTTTTTGTTTTTGAGATGGAGTCTCGCACTGTCGCCCAGGCTGGAGTGCAGTGGCGCAATCTCGGCTCACTGCAAGCTCCACCTCCCGGGTTCGTGCCATTCTCCTGCCTCAGCCTCACAAGTAGCTGGGACTATAGGCGCCCACAACCACACCCGGCTAATGTTTTGTATTTTTAGTAGAGACAGGGTTTCACCGTGTTAGCCAGGATGGTCTCGATCTACTGACCTTGTGATCCGCCTGTCTCGGCTTCCCGAAGTGCTGGGATTACAGGCGTGAGCCAGCTCACCCGGCCTTAGGTTGGGGCTTTTAAATGACCCTTCAGGTGTGTGTCTGTGATGACTTGAGGCTTTTTTTTTTACTGTCTTCCAGTGAAATTACCAGATGAATATCAGTGGTGAGAAATTTGATTCCTTAAAATGTAAGGAATTTCATTCTTGAATTGTGTGACAAAACCAGGGAGCATGATTTTTGCTCCATTCAGGATCTATTCAGTCAACACTGAGTATATAGTTGTTGATGGAGACTATGATAGGTTCTGAGGATGGATCTGTTATATTCTCCATAAATCTGTATGTGAGTCATGCCTTTGTTTGCTTCCTACTTGTTCTGTTTACTGGGTTTTTTTTTTCTTTGAGGAAACACCTTAATTGCAATGAGGTGTTTATTTTATAATATAAAAGTGTGAAGAGAAACATTCAACAAACATTTGAGTACCAATTCAGTTGAGGGCCCCTGTCAAGGCCCCCACCCTCCTTTTTCTGTGTTTAGTGAGGGTGTCTGATGCATAACTGAGCCTCAGTTGGGAGGGGCTGAGGGGATCGGGAACACTTCCAAGGGGAAGCAGCTGGGGTGAGAGCCCCAAGGTGGAGAGAACTTGGCAAGGTTGAAGAGGAATGGTGGGCAGGGGAGGGAGAAGAGTAAAAGAAGAGGCAGTTAGGGCTGCCCGGGTCAGTCTGGGAACTTTGGCTTCCTCTTCAGGTCACTAGGAGCCATCAGAGGGTTAAGCCAGCAGAGACAGCTTCCTGTTTTTAAGACGTTGGTCTGGCTGCTGTGCCGGGAGCAAGAGAGAAAGAGACTTGGGGGAGTTCAGAAGAGGTGACGGTGGTGGAGGAAAGTGGATGGATATGGGGTCTCTTTCAGAGGTAGAACAGTGGGGTCTCTTTCAGAGGTAGAACAGTGGGACCTTCTGACCACTGGCAGGTAGAGGGTAAGGGAGAGGGGAATTGGGTTGCCTGCTAGTTTTTGCTTTAGCTAACTGGGTAGATGCTGATGTCATTCACTGAGGAGGAAGAGGGCAGGTTGAGGGTAGGTAGAAATTCACAGTTTTGGTTTGGTTGTAGTTTGGGATCCCTGTGGACAAGAAAAGTTTCCATGGGTATATTATGAATGCCTTCTGAATCAAGGGTTTAAATCACATCCTCTGATTTATTCTCCCCAAAGACCACTAGATGCCGCTGTTTACACGGGAGCAATTATGCAGTACAAGACTCCTTTCCTGAGGAGAGGGCACGGATGCCGGAGAGGGTACTGATGCCGGAGAAGGCACTGATGCCTGACAGGGGAACCCACAGAGAGGGGAGCCCCTGCCTTTGAGGGGGTTACTCTTTACTGGGAGACATCACCCTTCAGTGTGGTCTTCAGACACATGTGATAGCAGTGTGACTTCATATGGGATAGAAAGCTAGGGACTAGGTAGTGTTTGAGCTGGGTCTTCAGGGTTGCAAGGCATTTCAGGTGGGGGCAGGACGCTCCAAGCAGAAGGAACAGCCGGGCAACAGAGCGCATCTCCCTGCTTATGGGGTAGATGGTACAGTGAAGAGGTTATTGGCATAGGGGGTTGGACTTTTCAGTGTTTCTCAACAAAGGCACAGTTAGCCTTTTAAAGAAGGACGGTTTTTGGCTGGGTACGGTGGCTCATGCCTGTAATCCCAGCACTTTGGGAGGCCGAAGAGGGCAGATCAGCTGAGGTCAGGAGTTCGAGACCAGCCTGACCAACATGGAGAAACCCTGTCTCTACTAAAAATACAAAATTACCCGGCCATGGTGGCACATGCCTGTAATCCCAGCTACTCAGGAGACAGGAGAGTCACTTGAACCCGGGAGGCGGAGGTTGCGGTGAGCCGAGATCGCACCATTGCACTCCAGCCTGGGCAACAAGAGCAAAACTCTGTCTCAAAAAAAAAAAAAAAAAAAAAAGACTGCTTTTCCCTGTGCTGCCTCACCCATTGAATGCCAGTAATCTCTCAGGTCAGACTACCAAAAAAAAAAAAAAAGACTGCAGGGAGGGATGGAACACCCCAGTTGAAATCCCTTACCCAGTGCCTAACCCCGGAGTGATGGAGAAGGGGGAAGCAGCTCTGAGTCTGCACCCCTCCCTCGTCTTGTCTTAATTTTGAGGTTCTCTAAAGCAGTGACCTGTTCTGTGCTTTAATACCACATAGTGTTATTTAACTGATTGGCTGATGATCCTGGTGAGTGGACATTTAACTCGGCTTCCTAGAATAGAGAATGCCTCTTACCATTCCCCAGAGAAGGACTGCAAAGTAGAGAAATTAACATAAAAACAGGTCCCTCTGATTAGACTTAATACTAAAAACTTCACTGGTACTAGCTTAAATGCTCCATCTTCTTTGTATTCCCCCAAGGCCCGGAAGTCATATAAACTAGTGTAGGAACTAGTATAGAACTGCTGACCTACCACAGAACAAGTAGACTCCATGCTGGAAGCAGATGTACCAGTTCTACAGTCAGGGATAAATGGGGTTTCACAAGCTCTACCTTTTTGAATGCTTTGTTTGTAATTGCGTGACATCTCCGTACTCTTTTTTTCCAGACAATTTATGAAAACCGAATATACAGCCTTAAAATAGAATGTGGACCTAAATACCCAGAAGCACCCCCCTTTGTAAGATTTGTAACAAAAATTAATATGAATGGAGTAAATAGTTCTAATGGAGTGGTAAGTTGTTTTCTCTGTCCCACTTGTTCCTTGGAGTTGACAGTTGCTTTGTACTTAACATCAGGAGCTTTTAGACTGGGCCCAATTCCTAGGTTCTTTGGTTATTTGTTGATAAACTGTATCACTGTGCATAGGAGCACAGATTTGGGATGGGGCCTGTTTCCCAATTATATCTGGCGATCACTCATATAGCACTTACCCTGGGCTAGTTCTGTGCTGGTCGCTTTGAAATATGAGCTCTTTCCTCATGCCACCCCAGTGAGGTAGAGATGAGGAAACTGAGGCACAGACGTGGAAGATCTTTCCCAGGGCTACACCTTTACCCCCCTGGGCCTTATTTGTGAACCACTGGCATGTAATATTTTTTTCCTTTAATGGCCTTGCTTTTTTATTTTTACTACCATAAATGAAAAACCTGTCTCAGTTGTCATAACTGGGCAATAATGGCAACAGTAAATATTACAAAAACAGAGCAATGTTAATAAATCTTGACTCCATGTGTCATTTGCCAAAAGCTTTGAGCCTTTGAGGCCTGCTCTCCTGTTCAAAGAGGAGATCAGCAAGTGTTGAAGGGATGCTACACATGTTAACGTCACGCCAAGCCTTCGTCTTTGAGATACTCAGAAGACTGGAAAATTGAAAAGAGATGAGCTTTGTTACAGTGTGTTTAGTGTTTAATCCTGAATCTGAGTTCCACCTAAAGTCCTGAGCCCAGAGCTCAACCTGTGCTTTGGGGAATTTATTTTGGGAAATGCTGCCTTAACCTGAGAGGTGCTGGCTCTGTGGCAGGCCCTTGTCACTGGAGCAGGTGTCCTGGCCACCCTTTGCCTTGGCTGTCCGTACTGCCCTGCATGCACATCTGTCCCCCTGACCTGGGCGCAGTGAAGAGGACAGGTCCTGAGCCCGGCAGCCGCCAGCCCAGCAGCGGCCATTATTGAAGAGCCAAGTAGGGCTGGGTTGAGTCTCACCCAAGTGTCAGTACCACCGTTTCCTTATCCCAGATAGTAATGGTTCAGGGCACAAAAGGGAAAGGCAGGCTGACTGGAGGGAGGGACTCTAGCAGGTAGGTATTCCGCATGTAAGGTATTAGGATTAGCAGCAGGTTCAGCTTAAAAAGTACATCTTACTCCAGTTTGCACCTTAGCTTAACCCCGGCATATAGCTATTTTGTTTGAGAGTCTGAGAGTAATTTGCTTTTGTTTGCCTTGTTGTAGGTGGACCCAAGAGCCATATCAGTGCTAGCAAAATGGCAGAATTCATATAGCATCAAAGTTGTCCTGCAAGAGCTTCGGCGCCTAATGATGTCTAAAGAAAATATGAAACTCCCTCAGCCGCCCGAAGGACAGTGTTACAGCAATTAATCAAAAAGAAAAACCACAGGCCCTTCCCCTTCCCCCCAATTCGATTTAATCAGTCTTCATTTTCCACAGTAGTAAATTTTCTAGATACGTCTTGTAGACCTCAAAGTACCGGAAAGGAAGCTCCCATTCAAAGGAAATTTATCTTAAGATACTGTAAATGATACTAATTTTTTGTCCATTTGAAATATATAAGTTGTGCTATAACAAATCATCCTGTCAAGTGTAACCACTGTCCACGTAGTTGAACTTCTGGGATCAAGAAAGTCTATTTAAATTGATTCCCATCATAACTGGTGGGGCACATCTAACTCAACTGTGAAAAGACACATCACACAATCACCTTGCTGCTGATTACACGGCCTGGGGTCTCTGCCTTCTCCCCTTACCCTCCCGCCTCCCACCCTCCCTGCAACAACAGCCCTCTAGCCTGGGGGGCTTGTTAGAGTAGATGTGAAGGTTTCAGGTCGCAGCCTGTGGGACTACTGCTAGGTGTGTGGGGTGTTTCGCCTGCACCCCTGGTTTCTTTAAGTCTTAAGTGATGCCCCTTCCAAACCATCATCCTGTCCCCACGCTCCTCCACTCCCGCCCTTGGCCGAAGCATAGATTGTAACCCCTCCACTCCCCTCTGAGATTGGCCTTCGGTGAGGAATTCAGGGCTTTCCCCATATCTTCTCTCCCCCACCTTTATCGAGGGGTGCTGCTTTTTCTCCCTCCTCCTCAAGTTCCTTTTTGCACCGTCACCACCCAACACCTTCCATGACACTTCCTTGCTTTGGCCAGAAGCCATCAGGTAAGGTTGGAAAGAGCCTCTGACCTCCCTTGTTTAGTTTTGGAACCATACTCACTCACTCTCCACCAGCCTGGGAAATGAATATTGGGTCCTCAGCCCTGCCACCCTCTGCTGTCATCAGCTGATGCATTGTTTTTAGCTCAGGTTTTGATAAGGTGAAAAGAATAGTCACCAGGGTTACTCAGACCTGCCAGCTCTCGGAGTCCTTGGTGGTTGAACTTGGAGAAAGACCGCATGAAGATACTTGTAAGCACACATGATCCCTCTGAATTGTTTTACTTTCCTGTAACTGCTTTTGCTTTTAAAAATTGAAGAAGTTTTAAACAGGGCTTTCATTTGGTCATCCTTGCAATCCATTGGGGTCTAGTTTGGAATCTGACAACTGGAACAAAAAGAACCTTGAATCCGGTGCATGCCTTGGTTTTGGTGCTGCTGCTGCTTCCCAAGATCCTCAGCAGGGATTAAGAAGGAACCCGGTGTGCACAGCAGATCCCCGAAATTGGTGGGCTTGACCTCCTGGCAAATTGCTGCGTCTTTCCACTTGCTGTTCAGGACCACTAAATGCTGAAATGTGGATGCATACCGAAATAAAAGCAATTCATTGTGTACTAAAGGTTTTTTTTTTTTTTTTAATTTAGTATTTGTGTAAAACCACCTTTTGAAGCAGCAACTATCAAGTCTGAAAAGCAATTGATGTTTCCATTAATCTTTTTCTGGGGGGAAAACCTTAGTTCTAAGGATTTAACATCCTGTAAGTGAAGTTTAACATAACAGTATTCCATAAGCAGCCTTTTTATTGTCAGACCATTGCCTGATTTTAATATAATAAAAAAAAAGTGTGCGTTAATATTTAACAGGCTGTACTTTTCTTCCTCTTGGCATATTAGGGACAGAATTTAATGTTTTAGATGCTTTGGGATTCAAATTGACATCCTAAAGCAGGGGTCGGCAAACTTTCTAAAAGGGCCTAAATTAGTAAATATATAGACTTTGCAGGCCAAGAGGCAAAATCTAAGGACATTGTGTAAGTACTTATATTCTGAGAGAAAACAGATTTCCCAAATTTTTAATTGGTGAAATTCAAAGTGGAATTCAGTTTATTTATAATGCTACTGGCCCACTAACGTGAGGACTGGAGTTCTTTTAGGAGATAACATGTTGTTTAACTGGGACTCATTAGTGTTCCCTGTCATCAAGCCTCTTGCAAATGTTCATCTGTAAAAATAATTCTTCATGCTAAAAGCCATACAGAATCAGTCAGTGGGCTAGATTTGGCCCATGGATCATAGTTTGCCAACCCCTGTCCTAAAGATGGTAGGTTTTTGTTTTGTTTTGTTTTGAGACAGAGTTTTGCTCTTGTTGCCCAGGCTGGAGTGCAATGGCGCGATCTCAGCTCACTGCAACCTCCACTTCCCAGATTCAAGCAATTCTGCTTTAGCCTCCCGAATAGCTGGGATTACAGGCACCCGCCACCACACCCAGCTAATTTTTTGTAGTTTTGGTAGAGATGGGGGTTTCACTATGGTGCCCAGGCTGGTCTTGAACTCCTGACCTCAGGTGATCCACCCACCTTGGCTTCCCAAAGTGCTGGAATTACAGGCGTGAGCCACCGTGCCCAGCCCAAGATGGTAGTTTAAAAAAGCGTTCTTCCTTTGATTTAAGTAGCCTCACAGGTCTTGAGCTATTAAGCCTCCACTAGAAGCCATTTATTGGCTGGACTTAGTAGTCTATTCAGAGAAAAAAAAAAATCATCGGATTGTCACATGTATTTCTGATGTTTAAAAAAAATTTTTTTTTGATCTGATGATTAACTATTTGTCTACCATCTACTGCATATGCAGTGGGAACGTGTCTAGTTTTTACCCAGAGTTTGAACTTCTGCTGTAGTCCCAACTACATACAGGTACGATCTTGGTGCCCTGTGGCAGGAGCAGGCTATTCCCTCTGGCTGTTGGGGCCAGCTCAGGTGTGAGAAGAGCTGGCTGTAAGGAAAGGGCCAGGTTCTTCCCAACAGGCCACCCTCCAGAAAGCCCTGCCCAGATTTCTTTGGATGGTCTTTGGAGTCCTCTGCAGGGACTGGTGCCCTTCAGTTCTGAAAGTACATACATTGGGCCAGGGAAAGCTGTGGGTTCTTCATCCTCAGTCAGCCCTCCCAAGGGAGGAGAGGAGAGGTTCCAAAATTATTTCAGGCCAGATATGGTGGCCCACTCCTGTAATCCTAACACTGGGAGGCCAAGGCAGGAGGATCACTTGAGCCCAGGAGTTTGAGACCAGCCTGAGCAACATAGTGAGACCCCTGTCGCTATAAAAAGTTAAAAAATTAGCCAGTGTAGCCGGGCGCGGTGGCTTATGCCTGTAATCACAGCATGTTGGGAGGCCGAGGCGGGCAGATCACGAGGTCAGGAGATCGAGACCATCTTGGCTAACACGGTGAAACCCTGTCTCTACTAACAATATAAAAGATTAGCCGGGTGTGGTGGCAGGTGCTGAGGCAGGAGAATGGCATGAACCCGGGAGGCAGAGTTTGCAGTGAGCCGAGATTGCGCCACTGCACTCCAGCCTGGGCGACAGAGCGAGACTGTCTCAAAAAAAAAAAAAAAAAGGTTAGTAGTGCACGCCTGTAGTCCCTGCTAGTCAGGAGGCTGAGGTGGGAGGATCACTTGAATCTGAGAGGTCGAGGCTGCAGTGAGCCATGATGGTGCCACTGCATCCAGCCTGGGCGACAGACGGAAACCCTGTCTCTAAAAAATAAAATGGCCGGGCGCGGTGGCTCACACCCGTAATCCCAGCACTTTGGGAGGCTGAGGCTGGTGGATCACGAGGTCAGGAGATCGAGACCATCCTGGCTAACACAGTGAAACCCCATCTCTACTAAAAATACAAAAAATTAGCCGGGCGTGGTGGCGGGCACCTGTAGTCCCAGCTACGCCGGAGGCTGAGGCAGGAGAATGACGTGAACCCGGGAGGTGGAGCTTGCAGTGAGCCAAGATCGTGCCACTGCACTCCAGCCTGGGCGACAGAGTGAGACTCCGTCTCAAAAAATAAATAAATAATAAAATGCTGCTGGAAAACCCCAGAACAAATTCGTGGTTAAATCTAAAGGTGGCCTCTTCTGTGCTGAGTTACCCCCAAGAGGAAAACAAATCCTGTCTCAAATCCTAGAGTGTGCACTTTACCTGGCTTCCCTGGGTCACACCTCCGGTCCCCAGCCCCTGCCAGGTTTATATACCAGAGGGGATGCGGGCTGGGTGGACCTGGGCTTAAGGCCTGTGAAACAACACTCAAAACCCTCTGAGACAGTTGTTTGGATCTGTGATCTTGTGGGCACTGTGTCCCACGTTTGTGTAATTTGCTCTTCCTTGGTGGTGGGTTTACAGATGGTCTAAAGTTTATGGACAGAGTTTAAGCCTAGGGCACACAGGAAGTGCTTGTCTGAGGTTCAGATGTTGCCACGTTTTTGTTTTTGTTTTTTTTCCGAGACGGAATCTCTCTCTGTCGCCCAAGTTGGAGTGCAGTGGAGTGGTCTTGGCTCACTGCAACCTCCACCTCTTGGATTCAAGCAATTCTGCCTCAGCTTTCTGAGTAGCTGGGACTACAGGCATGCGCCACCACGCCAAACTAATTTTTTGTATTTTTAGTAGAGACAGGGTTTTACCATGTTGGCCAGGCTGGTCTTGAACTCCTGACCTCAGATGATCTGCCCCCCTCAGCCTCCCAAAGTGCCGTGAGCCACCGCGCCTGGCCAGATGTTGCCACTTTTGCCAGGTGGTTTCCCTGGGTCACACCTCTGGTCTCCAGCCCCTGCCAGGTTTGTGTACCGGAGGGGATGCATCCACTGGTAATTTTCACTGTGTGGAAACTTGTGGTGTGGGGAAACATCTGTCGTTACCTGACAAAGGTCGGGGAGACAGCAGGTGTAGAAAGCACCCCTTCTGGCTGACCAACAGCAAGCCAGCCATGGGGCCCCACTGCCCTGGATCTCTGACTGACTCTGGTCTTGGGGCAAGAGCCAGTTCCTTGGACTGCATCTCCACTGGAGAAAGTTCTCCGGCCCTCTGGGTGGGAGCACTGTTGGCTGTACTGCACCTTTAGCTGTGGTGTTGCATAACGATGTGGATGGCGTCACATAAACGGAGCGGCCCCTGCCTCTGTGCCCCTTTCCACCCTGCCTGTGGATCCCTGCTTGGCCTTTTTTTTTAGACGGAGTTTCAATCTTGTTGCCCAGGCTGGAGTACAATGGCATGATCTCGGCTCACTGCAACCTCTGCGTCCTGGGTTCAAGATATTCTCCTGCCTCAGCCTCCCGAGTAGCTGAGATTACAGGCATGCACCACCATGCCTGGCTAATTTTGTATTTTTATTAGAGACGGGGTTTCTCCATGTTGGTCAGGCTGGTCTCGAACTCCCAACCTTAGGTGATCCGCCCGCCTCGGCCTCCCAAAGTGCTGGGATTGCAGGCATGAGCCACCGCACCCGGCCCCTGCCTGGCCTCTTGCACCTCCCCTCAGAGAACCTTAGGGAGCCCAGGGACAGTCACATTCCCTCTCTTGGCCTGTCCCTTCTTGACGTCACTCCTTCATCACGGAGCCTCATGACAAAGTTCAAGATACAGCATTAGGGATTTCCTTACTTGGCAGAGGAGGAAATTCCTTTAAGAAGAGGCAGCTTGGCTGGGCTCAGTGGCTCACGCCTGTAATCCCAGCACTTTGGGAGGCCAAGGCAGGCAGATCACCTGAGGTCGGGAGTTTGAGACCAGCCTGACCAACACGGAGAAATCCCATCTCTACTAAAAATACAAAATTAGCTGGGTGTGGTGGCACATGCCTGTAATCCCAGCTACTCAGGAGGCTGAGGCAGGAGAATCACTTGAACCTGGGAGGTGGAGGTTGTGGCGAGCCGAGATCACGCCATTGTACTCTAGTCTGGGCAACAAGAGTGAAACTCAGTCTCAAAAAAAAAAAAAAAAAAAGGCAGCTTGTGAAAGCTTCATTCTTTCCAGTTTGCAAGAAACAAGCTGCTGGGGTGGGTGGATTGTACAGAGCTCTGAGCTCCAGAAGATAACAGATCAACCTCAAAGACTTCCTTGTGAGACCTGGGCAAGGTCACCTGCTAGATGCAGTCAGCTGTCACACACGGGCCAAGGTGACCTTGGGAGAGAGGAGACCTTAGGCTAGAGCCACCTCATTGCTGCTGGTGGCCCTGTCACTGTGAGAAGAAGACACGGGCCACATCCTTGGGGTTCTGATATGTGTCTGATGTTATGCAGCTGGGTGGGGACAGGTGAGTGTGAAGGTGTTACTAAGTACTGGGCACATGGGCTGAGTGAATGCCAGATCTTTCTGATTTTCCAAGGAAGCTGTGAAGGCAGATTTGTACGTGAAGTCTCCCTACATTTATGTGTCAATTAACAGAGTTGGCCAGAGGCAGTGGCTCATGCCTATAATCTTAGCACTTTCGGAGGCCAAGGCTGGCAGATCCGTTGAGCCAACAAGTTTGAGACCAGGCTGGGCAACATGGTGAAACCCCGTCTACCAAAAATATAAAAATTAGCCGGGCATGGTGGTGCACGCCTGTAATCCCAGCTACTCGGTAGGCTGAGGCAGGAGAATTGCTTGAACCAGGGATGCAGAAGCTGCAGTGAGCTGGGATCACACCACTGCACTCCAGCCTGGGTGACAGAGTGAGATTCTGTCTAAACAAAGAAAAGAAAAACAAACAAAAAAAGAGGCCGGGTGCAGTGGTTCACGTCTGTCATCCCAGCACTTTAGGAGGCCGAGGCGGGCAGATCACCTGAGTTCAGGAGTTCGAGACCAGTCTGACCAATATGATGAAACTCCGTCTCTACTAAAAATACAAAAATTAGCCAGGCATGGTGGCAGACGCCTGTAATCCCAGCTACTCGGGAGGCTGAGGCAGGAGAATCGCTTGAACCTGGGAGATGGAGGCTGCAGTGAACTGGGCTTGCACCACCGCACTCCAGCCTGGGTGACACAGTGAGACTCCGTCTCAAAAAGAAAATAAAGGGAATAGAGTGCAGGGCAAAGTCTCACCTCTGACCCCGTTCTCCCAAGGCAAGCACCAGTGTGTGAGCCTCTGAGATGGCACAGGCAGCACGCGAGCAAACGCAAGTGCAGCCAGCACCACTCCGCATTCTTTCCCCCTCCCCTCATGCACTTCCCCCACTTTTTTACGCAAATGGGAATGTGATCTCCACTTAGCTCCTCCCCGGGATATTCTTCCCAGTGCCCTGCAGAGCAGCCTTGGGGATCCGCTCCGTAGTTAAGCGCAGCACACCCAGCACATGAAGGGCCACCACCACGGTGGCCAGGCCTGGACTGCTGGGCCTGAGGTGGTCTCTGCTGCTCTGCTGCCCGCTGGCCTCAGGGCATGTGTGTGCATTTGCATACCTCTGTAGAACACAGTTCTAGGAGCAGGTTTCTCCATCCAAGGATACAGGCATATTTTATTTTATTTTATTTATTTTAATTAATTAATTTATTTATTTATTTTATATTTTATTTTATTTTATTATTTTATTTTATTTATTTTATTTTTGAGACAGAGTCTCACTCTGTTGCCCAGACTGGAGTGCAATGGCACTATCCTGGCTCACTGCAACCTACGCCTCCTGGGTTCAAGTGATTCTCCTGCCTCAGCCTCCCGAGTAGCTGGGATTACAGGCGCCTGCCACCATGCCCGGCTAATTTTTGTATTTTTAGTAGAGATGGAGTTTCATCATGTTGGTCAGACTGGTCTCGAATTCCTGAACTCAGGCGATCCGCCTGCCTTGGACTCCTAAAGTGCTGGGATGACAGACGTGAACCACTGCAGCTGGCCTCTTTTTTTTTTCTTTTTCTTTTCTTTTTTTAGATAGAATCTCACTCTGTCACCCAGGCTGGAGTGCAGTGCTGCGATCCCAGCTCACTGCAGCTTCTGCATCCCTGGTTCAAGCGATTCTCCTGCATCAGCCTACCGAGTAGCTGGGGATTACAGGCGTGCACCACCACGCCCGGCTAATTTTTGTATTTTTGGTAGACGGGGTTTCACCATGTTGGCCAGGCTGGTCTCGAACTCCTGACCTCAAATGATCCACCCGCCTTGGACTCCCATGCCCAGTGTATTTTAACTATCTCATTCATTGCAGTAGTTATTCCTTTGTCCCTCTTGCAGGTGGGCGCCTCATCTGGCTTCTTCACTGCCATGAACCCAGTGTTAAAAATAGTGTTGA
The DNA here is from genome assembly GCF_000001405.40 of Homo sapiens. Classification (NCBI taxonomy): domain Eukaryota; kingdom Metazoa; phylum Chordata; class Mammalia; order Primates; family Hominidae; genus Homo; species Homo sapiens. The sequence continues at coordinate 50,074,749 of NC_000020.11, read as the reverse complement.
AGGCTGGGCACAGTGGCTCACGCCTGTAATCCCAGCATTTTGGGAGGCCAAGGTGGGTGGATCACCTGAGATCAGGAGTTCGAGACCAGCCTGGCCAACATGGTGAAACCCCATCTCTACTAACAATACAAAAATTAGCTGGGCGTAGTGGCACGTGCTTGTAATCCCAGCAACTCGGGAGGCTGAGACAGGAGAATCACTTGAACCTGGGTAGCGGAGGTTGCAGTGAGCCAAGATCAAGCCATTGTACCAGCCTGCGTGACAGAGCCAGACTCTGTCTCAAAATATAATAATAATAGGCCTGGCGTGGTGGCTTACGCCTATAATCCCAGCACTTTGGGAGGCAGAGGCGGGTGCATCACTTGAGGTCAGGAGTTCAAGACCAGCCTGATCATCATGGTGAAACCCTGTCTCTACTAAAAATACAAAAAATTAGCTGGGTGTGGTGGTAGGTGCCTGTAATCCCAGCTACTCAGGAGGCTGAGGCAGGAGAATGACTTGGACACAGGAGGCGGATGTTGCAGTGAACCGAGATCGCGCCATTGCACTCCAGCCTGGGAGACAAGAGCAAAACTCTGTCTCAAAATAATAATAATAATAATAATAATAAATAAATAAGTAAATAAAATAAAAAATGGTGTCTAGGCCGGGCACGGTGGCTTAAGTCCGTAATCCCAACACTTTGGGAGGTGAGGTGGGAGGATCACTGAAGCCAGGAGTTCATGACCAGCCTGGCCAACATAGTGAAACCCCGTCTCTACTAAAAATACAAAAATTAGCCAGGCGTGGTGGTGCACACCTGTAATACCAGCTACTCCGGAGGCTGAGGCAGGAGAATCACTTGAACTCGGGAGGCGGAGGTTGCATGGAGCCAAGATCACACCATTGCACTCCAGCCTGGGTGACAGAGTGAGACCCTGTCTCAAAGAACAAAACAACAACAACAACAAACAGTGTCCAGCACAAAGTCTGACTGTGTAAACTGAATGAATGAATCACTCCTCAGGGCTGGGCCTGGCCTTCCTCTCTTGGTGGGTCACATGGACCTGTGAGGCCACTGGCAGTGACAAGGGAGGGGTCCCAGTGGCCCCGTGGGGCCTCCTGTTCCCTCTGCCCTGCATGCAGGGAAGCTGGGTGGCTGGGTCAGGGGGCAACAGATGGACTGGCTCAGAAGCCTGGCCTTCCCTGGCAGGAATTTTGAGAATCAGATCTGAGCAAGTCCCCCTTACACCCATTGCCAGCCATGAAAGAGAGCAGACGGGGGTTCCACGACCCAGGGTTGTCCATGGTGGGCAGGAAGCTAAGATGGAAGCCACTGCTTTCTGATTGGCCAGGGAAGGCCTGTGCCTCAGATTCTTCAGGGTCACCAGCAGAATCCAGAGAAAGCACAGGCCACAGTGGCTTGGAGGATCCTGGAGAGGCCACCCACCTTCTTCAGAAGCTGATGGCACCTTCATTCCCTAGGCCTGGCCCTGGGGCTGGCTTCATCTTGGGGTTCCCAGTGGGAGATTCTAGTGCCCCTGCCAGGAACCAGGGGAACTGATGTGGCATGCCAAGGACATTGATTAATATAACAGTGATGTCAATACCTCACCCTCAGTCCAGGATGCTGTCTGATAGGTGACAACTGATACTGGTTGGGTAGGTGTGGTGATATGAGATTTCCCACCACCCCCCCTTTTTTTTTTTTGAGATGGAGTCTCGCTCTGTGGCCCAGGCCAGAGTGCAGTGGCGCGATCTCGGCTCACTGCAGCCTCTGCCTCCCATGTTCAAGCGATTCTCCCACCTCAGCCTCCCAAGTAGCTGGGACTACAGGTGCGCAACACCATGCCCGGCTAATTTTTATATTTTTAGTAGAGACAGAGTTTCACCATGCCGAAATTCCCTTTTAAAAATACCCTTCGGCAGGCGGGCACGGTGGCTCATGCCTGTAATCCCAGCACTTAGGGAGGCCCAGGTGGGCAGATCACTTGAGGTCAAGGAGTTTGAGACCAGCCTGGCCAACATGGTGAAACCCCGACTCTACTAAAAATACAAAAATTAGCTGGCCATGGTGGTGCGTGCCTGTAATCCCAGCTACTAGGGAGGCTGAGGCAGGAGAATCACTTGAATCTGGAAGACGGAGGTTGCAGTGAGCCGAGATTGTGCCACTGCACTCCAGCCTGGGAGACAGAGTGAGACTGCATCTCAAAAAACAAACAAACAACAAAAAAAACCCAGCAACTTTGTCTTGGCACAGTGGTTCATGCCTGTAATCCCAGCACTCTGGGAAGCCAAGGTGGGCAGATCACTTGAGTCCAGGAGTTTGAGACCAGCCTGGGCAACACGGCAAAACCCCCTCTCTACAAAAAATACAAAAATTAGCTGGGCATGGTGTTGCACACCTGTAGTCCCAGCTACTCGGGAGGCTGAGGTGGGAGGATCGCTTGAGCCCAAGAGGTGGAGGTTGCAGTGGGCCGTGATTGTGCCACTGCACTCCAGCCTGGGCAACACGGCGAGACTCTGTCTCAATAAATAAATAAACATATACATAGATATAGATATAGATATAGATATACACATATATATATACACTTAAGTAAAAACCAATTATCTAGGAGCAAATGTCAAGTAAAAGTACAGGTAGGGCTCAGATGCGGCAAAAAATCATGTTGGGGTAGGAGCCTGAGTAACATCAGCGAGCGCATACAGGTTTATCCTTTGGCCTCTGGCCCAGCTGTTAATGATATATTCATGTTTATTATCTGCCCCCTCCCACCCCCACTAAAATGTCAGCTTCAAGAGGGTAGGGATGAGGCCAATTGTGTTCACGGCTGTGTTCCTGCCATCTCACACAATGTTGGGCATACAGTAGGTGTTCAGTGAATACTTGTGAATGGGTGAATGGCTGGCTGGAAGGCCATGCATGAGTGAATGAGCGGAGGTGACACCTTCACATCCTCTCTCCGCCTCGGTGGATGCCAGTGCAGGCCCAGGAGTCAGCCGTTTCCACTACCAGCTGTGTGGCCCCGGGAGGGCTCCTTAACCTCTCTGTGCGTTTCCGTTGCCATTTCGCCGGGTTATTCTAAGGATTACGTGTGGTTTTACATGGTGTGGGCTTCTTGCAGTCCTCGGCACGGAGCACCCCTCCGTAAATGTTATTTCGCTATTGTTCTTTCCTTTCCTTTCGGTGTATTCTGCTTATGTATTCGCTATTGCTCTTCCCCATCTCACCGACCAGAAGAGTGAAGCTCCTCCCCGCTCTCCTGGCGCCCGGCTTCCCCGTTCTGGCTCGGGCCTGCACGCCCGCCCTTGGCCAGCAGAGGGCGCTAGCGCTCTAGGGACCAACGCTCCGGCTGGGCCGGGCCACGCGTCATCTCTCAGCCGACCCGAGGCTGGGGCTGGAGGAGGGGACAGGCGTGACCGCCGGGGCAGGGGTGGACCACCGGACATCTGGGTGTGTGCCTTTGGCACAGCGGGAGCCTGCTGGAGGCTCCCAAAGCGGAGTGGGCAAGCTTTTTCCCCCAGTGCGCTTCCAACCCTTTTTCTTTCTTTCTTTCTTTCTTTTTTTTTTTTTTTTTTGCGACAGGGTCTCTTGTCGCCCAGGCTGGAGTGCAGTGATGCGATCACGGGTCACTGCAGCCTCCAACTCCTGGCCTCAAGCGATTCTCCTTCCTCAGCCTCCCGGGTAGCTGGGACTACAAGTGGGCGCCACCACGCCCAACTAATTATTTATTCATTTAGAGACAGGGTCTCACTCTGTCACCCAGGCTGGGGTGCAGTGGCATGATCAAGTCTCATTGCAGCCTCAACCTCCTCCTCAAGCAATCCTCCTGCCTCAGCCTCCTGAGTAGCTGGGACTACAGGTGCAGGCCACTGGCCAATTAAAAAATATTTTTTTTTTTAATTAGCCGGACGTGGTGGCGGGTGCCTGTAGTCCCAGCTACTCAGGAGGCTGAGGCAGGAGAATGGCGTGAACCCGGGAGGCGAGCTTGCAGTGAGCTGAGATCACGCCACCGCACGGCAGCCTGGGTGACTGAGCGAGACTCAGTCTCAAAAAAAAAAAATTTTTTTTAGTAGAGACAGGGTCTCGCTGTGTTGCCCCGGCTGGTCTCAAACTCCTGGGCTCAAGTGATCTTCCTGCCTTGGCCTCCTAAAGTGCTGGGATTACAGGCGTAAGCCACCATGCCTGGCCTCCAACCCATTTTTTGCCAAGGACCAGCTGAGACTCAGAAAGGGTTGTCCAAGGTCACCCAGCAGGTGGGGGTAGTGGGGGTCATGCTGTGAATACAAGGCTTTGAAGCTCACATACCTCAAGGACCTGATAGGGGCTGTGGAGAACACAGGACTGACCACCTTTGCCTCTAGAATGCTGGCCCACATGGCCAAATCTTCCAAGTCTTCAAGAGAGACAGGGACATCAGGATGTAGTGAAATGTCTCGATTTTTATGGTAGCAATGAATTAAAGGCTTTGTTTGTTTTTGTAGAGCCAGGGTCTCATTATATTGCCCAGGCTGGTCTTGAACCCTTGGCCTCAAGCGATCCTCCCGTCTTGGCCTCCCAAAGTGCTGGAATTACAGGCGTGAGCCACCACTTCTAGCCTTATTTGTTTATTTATTTATTTTGAGATGGAGTCTTGCTCTGTCGCCAGGCTAAAGTCCAGTGGCGCTATCTCGGCTCTCTGCTACCTCCACCTCCCGGGTTCAAGCGATTCTTCTACCTCAGCCTCCCAAGTAGCTGGGACTACAGGTGTGCACCACCACACCCGGCTACTTTTTGTATTTTTAGTAGAGATGGGGTTTCACCATATTGCCCAGGCTGGTCTCAAACTCCTGACCTCAGGTGATCCGCCCACCTTGGCCTCCCAAAGTGCTGAGATTACAGGCATGAGCCACCATGCCTGGCCGCCTTTTTTATTTTTAATCACAGTTTCCACCTCTGAGCAACCTTGGAGGTAGCTCACCTCTTCCTCCCTTGGAGGAAGGTGTTTTGAAACAAAACCATCCCCCTGGTTTCTTCACCTGCCTGCCTGAGCTTCTTTAGGCTTCAGTTTACCAGTGACTGCATCTTCCAGGACTGCGCTACCCAGGACATCCCCTCCCTCTGGGTTAGGAGCCAGTCTCCATCCCTGAGCTTCCCCAGTAGAGCTTCCATTTGTTCATTTGTCCATTCATTCATTCAACAAGCATTCATTGAGTGTTTACTGTGTGCCAAATACCGTGTGTAGGGACATGCAGTGATGAGACAAAACCCTCCCTTCGTGGAGCTGATATTTGAATGGGGGAGTTAGACAACAGACAAAGAAGGAAATGCACTAGGTTCTTTTCCAGGCGTTCAGCACATACCCAAGTAAAGGAACAGAGGGCAGGCAGGCAGCAGTGGGCAGGGGGCCTCTTGGAGGAGGTGACCCCAAGTGAGGAGGAGCTGCCAGCCCTGGAGTCTGGTAGGTATTGTTCCAGGCCAAGAGAACAGCAAGAGCAGAGGCCCTGGGCGGTAAGATGCAAGTCACATTATCACATTAAGTCCACAGCACAGGGGCTGGGCGCAGTGGCTCACACCTGTGATCCCAGCACTTTGGGAGGCCGAGGCAGGTGGATCACCTGAGGTCAGGAGTTCGAGACCAGCCTGGCCAACATGGCGAAACCCTGTCTCTACTAAAAATGCAAAAATTAGCTGAGCATGGTGGTGGGCACCTGTAATCCCAGCTACTCAGGAGGCTGAGGCAGGAGAATCGCTTGAACCTGGGAGGTGGAGGTTGCACTGAGCCGAGATCATGCCACTACACTCCAGCCTGGGTAACAGAGCTAGACTCTGTCTCAAAAAAGAGTCTGCAGCACATGGCATGCAATAGACACTCTGTAAACAGATGGATAAATGGACAGATGGATAAATGGACAGATGGATAAATGGACACATGGATGAGCTTGTGGCCTTGGCAGCCCCCTCTCTTGGCTTGGTTGCCCACATCTCGCCCTGGGGGTGGACATGGACACCGCCTGGCACAAGGAAGTGGCTCAGTCAGCTCCGGGGCTCCCTGAGCTGCACCCCAGCCCAGAGTGGGGGTCTCCCCTCCCAACAGCAGCAGGAGCTGTGGACTGGCTGCCACGCCCCAGCCATTCACAATCTGGGGGACACTTCCCCTGACCTGGTCCAAATCCCAGCTCTCCAGGGTCACCCTGACCTACAGACCTGACCACTCTGAACCTCAGGCAAGGCCACCATCTGCCCACGCCAGCCCTGCCTCTTTCATACTCTTCCCTGCCCCCAGTGGCTCAGGCGCCCAAGCCATGGGTTCCTTGGAATGTAATTCTTTTTCTTCCCAGAAGCCTGGGCCGTTCACTTCCGGCCACACTGCCCTTGGTGCCTTCCTGACCCTTTGCTTTACAAACCTGACACGGTGGCCAGAGGCTTAAAGCCGGACCCAGCCACACCACCTGGCCTCCCCATCGTGCCATGGCCCATCTGTCAGCATCCTGCCCTGGGAATCTGACTGTAGACACCAGGACCCTCCACAGCCGTTTCCCACAAACCCCTGCTGGGAACATGCCTACCTGGCTGTGCCATCCAAAGGGCACTGCCCTCTACAGCTTACAGGCTGATTCCAAATCCTAGAGCTCCCGCTTCACCAGGGGCATGTTGGTATCCACACTCCAGAGCTGCCCATTCCACAGATATTTAATGAGCAGCTACCGTGTGCCCAGCACTGCCCTAGGCCCAGCAGACACAGCGGGGAACAAAATAGTCAGAAAACGCGGCCCTCGTGAAATGGATGTTCTGGGAATGGTGACAGTCAGGGCAAAGGACTAGGGAGAAACAGTAAACAGATGAAAAAGTAAACCATGTAGAAGATGAGATGGTGATAAATGCTATAGAGGGAAACAAGGCAGGGAGGGGGATAGGGGATGGGGTGGGGCAGAGGTGCCATTGAAAATTGGAATGGGGGCAGGTGCCTGATGCTTGAGAAGTGGCATTTGAGCAAAGACCTGCAGGAGGTGAGGGAGTGAGGCATGTGGACATCTGGGGGAAGAATGTGTCCTGCAGAGGAAGCAGCCAGTGCAAATGCCGTGAGGCAGGAGCATGCCTAATTTGTTGGAGAAACAACCAGGAGGCCAGTGTGGCTGGAGCAGAGTACAGGGTCAGGGAGGGAGGAGGAGGCTTAGGAGATGGGGTGGGGGAGGGGTAGTGGTGGGGCAGATCCTACAGGGCCTTTCAAAGATCCATCTTTTTCTCCAAGGGAGATGGGAACCATTGCAGAGGAGGGACGCATGTGCTCCAGGTTTTTACCTCTAGCTTCCCTCTAGCTTCCTGCAGAGAACAGACCACGGGGCATTGCTGGAAGCAGGCAGTTGACTGCAGTAGACCAGAGGGGCAGAGGATGGCACTGGACCTGGTGTTCCAGAAGAGGTAAGAACTGATCAGTGGCCGGGCACAGTGGCTCGTGCCTATAATGCCAGCACTTTGGGAGGCCGAGGTGAGAGGATCACTTGAGGCCAGGAGTTCAAGACCAGCCTGAGCAACATAGCAACAGAATGAGACTCCAGCTCCCGCATTTCCTTGATTCCGGAATGCATGCCTTTCCTGTGGCCTCTTAGACTTCCATGCAATGCAGAACGCTCAGACCAGGGAGCCCACAGGACTCAGAAGTGAGAGGGTAAGAGGGGGAAAGGAGCTGGGGGACTCCCAGGTTTTGGCCTAGCCCAGGGGAGGCTCAGGAAGAGCCAGTTTGTGGGGGCCTTCCGGTGCTGGGTGGGAGTGTGTTAAACTACGATGCCTGTGAGACCCTCAGATCAGGGGCTCAAGGAGGCTGGCCAGTCCAGAGTGACCTGGGGACAGGCACCAGAGTGGCCCCTGTGGAAATGGAGTTTAAGGTGTGAGGCTGTACTCCCAGGGAGGGTGTGGATGGAAGAAAGGAGGCCTTTGTTCAGATTAGGAAAAGTCTCCCCTCCGGCAGGCACGGCCCACCTGGGCAGACGACCTGGGAGCCATCACCCTCCCACCTCTCCTGGTGGGTGCAGCACTGTGCCAGGCATTGGGTGCAAAACACATCACTGACTGGATGCCAAGTTACACTCAGCCCTCCACTGTATGGTCCTGGGGTCTTCTGATGTCAACAGGATGAAACTGAGGCCCAGAAAGGCCAAGTGGCTTGCCCAAGATCACACAGCTTTGAGCCACAAAGTGAGATTCCACTCTGATCCCTGTGACCTTGAGCCAGTGGCCTTAGCTGCCCCTCTGCCACCCACCATGACGATAAATTAGCTACTTCTAGCCTGGCAAGGTCAACAGAGGACTTTACTTACCCTGATGAGCTGAGGTGCCTGAAGTGCCTCACAGCCACCATCTCACTTTGCTCCCAACCATTCCTTGGTAGTGTTGGTGGCCCCATTTCACAGATGAGGACACTGAGGCTCCAAGAGTCTCTGTCACTAGCTCAGGGTGACCCACCAGAGCTGGGATCTGAACCCAGGACTGGCAGCACCCAGCAACCAGTGCTAAGTACAGAGCGTTCCAGATGGGGTCAGAGATGTGAGGCAAACCAAGAATGACAGTCAAGACTTAACGAGCGGCCGGGCGCAGTGGCTCACGCCTGTAATCCCAGCACTTTGGGAGGCCAAGACAGGCAGATCACCTAAGGTCAGGAGTTTGAGATCAGCCTGGCCAACATGGCGAAACCCCATCTCTACTAAAAATACAAAAGTTAGCCGGGTGTGGTGGCGCATGCCTGTAATCCCAGCTACTCAGGAGGCTGAGGAAGGAGAATCGCTTGAATCTGGGAGGCAGAGGTTGTAGTGAGCCAAGATCGCACCACTGCACTCCAGCCTGGGCAACAAAGTGAGACTCCATCTCAAAAAGAAAAAAAAAAAAAAAGACGTAATGAGCACCTTCTCTATGCTGAGCTCATTATAAAGCAATTCATGGACTCTCCCCCAGCCCTGAGATCGGAACTATTAATCAAACCGATCTTACAGAAGAGGAAACTGAGGCATCAATGACTTGCCAGGAGAAGGTCTGTTGGCCCCTGCAGGTTCCTCTACCCCCACCGACCCTGTCCTTCCCAAAGGCCCCAAGGTGGTGGAAGAGGTCAGGCAGTGCTGGGTGACCCTGGGAAGGCTGCTGGCCCCTGGGCCTCTGTCTCCTCACCCTGACCACAGGCAATGACCCAGATCCCTGAGTTCCCCCACCCTGAAGAACCCAGCCCCAGGAGGAGGACTCCAACCCTCCTGCTCACTGTCAGCCAGGCCGAATCCATTAGGCTGATGCCCTGTGACATTTTTGCCCAAGGTCATTGCTTCCTATGAAATCATACACACCAGACCCTGAAGCCTGGCCAAACAGGGACCCTGGGAGGCCACTGAGCCCTACCAGCCGGCCAGGCTGCATGGACACCAGCTGCGTGTGGTGGTCTCTGTGTCCCACTGAAGCTCTGCTCAGATAAATCACAAAGCAGCCTCAGCTCACAGAACCCCTAGTAAAGTCCTGGTGTGCGGGGGTGCTGGGGTGGCAAAGACCCTGAGGCTCAGAGAGGGGCTCCATTTGCCCAAAGATGCACAGCTGGGGAGTGGGCTGATGGGGGCTGGAATGGAGTCTGAGAGATTTGGGATTATCCGCTCTCAGCTGGGCTGCAAACCAGACACAACTGTTGCGGCCCCAGGTCTCGGAGGGCCCTGGAGACAGATGCAGGGGTTCTTGAGTCTGGGGGAGCAGCTGCCACTGTGTGTGTGCGTGTTTGTGTGTGTGTGGGGGTGTGTAGGTGTGTGTCCAAACACACATATGCATGTCCACAAGCCATATAAGATACTGAATGGGTAAAACAAGGATTCCTGAGCAGGCAGTCTGTATTTAAATCCCAGCCCGTGATTTACTGCTGTGTGACTTTAGGCAAACAACCCCACCTCTGGATGGAAGGAGAAAGGGAGGCCTTTGTTCAGATTAGCGAAAGGTCCGCCTCCTGCAGACATGGCCCACTTGGGTAGACAACCTGGGAGCCATCACTCTCCCACATCAGGGGTGTCCTTATTTGTGTAATGGGAATGAGCGGCCCCTCTGTGTGTGCCTGGGAGGGAGCTGTCAGCCTTGGGCCCTGGCCCTGCAGCCCCTGGGCCTCCTTCAGCAGAGTCCTCCCTGCAGTGGCTGCTGCAGGGGACGGCGGGTGCAGGGCCTCTTCCTCTCACCCTGCCTCTCTCCCTTCCTTTAAAAATTTATTTTTTATTAATTTATTTTTTGAGACAGAGTCTCGCTCTGTCGCCCAGGCTGGAGTGCAGTGGCGCGATCTCAGCTCACTGCAAGCTCCGCCTCCCCGGTTCACGCCACTCTCCTGCCTCAGCCTCCTGAGTAGCTCACGCCTGTAGTCCCAGCACTTTGGGAGGCTGAGGCAGGCAGATCACATGAGGTCAGGAATTTGAGACCAGCCTGGCCAACATGGTGAAACTCCGTCCCTACTAAAAAAACAAAAATTAGCCAGGCCTGGTGGTGCACGCCTGTAATCCCAGCTACTCGGGAGGCTGAGGCAGGAGAATCGCTTGAACCCAAGAGGTGGAGGTTGCAGTGAGCCGAGATCGCCCCACTGCACTCCAGCCTGGGTGGCAGAGTAAGACTCCATCTGAAGAAAAAAAAATGGGGGTCTTGCTCTGTTGCCCAGGCTGGAGTGCAGTGGCGTGATCACTGCTCACTGCAGCCTCGACCTCCCGGGCCCAAGTGATGCTCCCACCTCAGCCTCCCAAGTAGCTGAGACCACAGGCTCATGCCACCATGCCTGGCTAATTTTGCATTTTTTGTAGAGATGGGGTCTTGCTGTGTTGTCCAGGCTGGTCTTGAACTCCTGAGCTCAGGTAGTCCTCCGTCTTGGCCTCCCAAAGTGCTGGGATTAAAGGCGTAAGCCACTGGGCCCAACCCCTCACTTCCTTCCCACCTGCTCAACCCCTCTTGATTCCTTATCCTGCTCTTGGGGGCCCCTGGTGCAGAAGTGGTCCAGACAGGGGGTACCCTGAGGAGCCACCGGGGGGCCTGACCCAGAGGGGACGACATCTGCAGCCCTGGTTATGGAGCCACACTGGGTTCCAGAGGTTTACCCCTGGAATTCTGGAACCCTGTCCAGTCTCTGAGCCTCAGTTTCCCCATCTGTACAAGGGCAAAGACAGGGGAAAGCCCCAGCCAATGGACCTGTGACAGCTCCTGGCTCAGGTCACGGATGCCAGCATCACCCCATTATCACTCATGGTACTGCTCTCTCTCCTTCATCCCAGCCCAAGAACATGGATTCGCCTAAGTTCAATGCATGTGTGATGTCACCCAGCTGTATTTTTTATGAGAAAATGCTAAATAGGTATGTAAATAAATAAACAATTTTAAAATTTCTTCCTGCTGACAGGTCAACAAACGTCGTTGTTGTTGTTGTTGTTTTGAGACGGAGTCTTGCTCTGTCGCCCAGGCTGGAGTGCAGTGGCGCGATCTCGGCTCACTGCAACCTCCACCTCTCAAGTGATTATCCTGCCTCAGCCTCCCAAGTAGCTGGGATTATAGGCACGCACCACCAAGCCTGGCTAATTTTTGTATTTTTAGTAGAGAAGGAGTTTCGCCACGCTGGCCAGGCTGGTCTCAAACTCCTGACCTCAGATGATCTGCCTGCCTCTGTCTCCCAAAGCACTGGGATTGCAGGTGTGAGCCACCACGTCTGGGCCAGGTCGACAAACATTTTTAAAAATTAAAAAATAAAGAGAAAATGCAAGGCATGCAATGAAATGCCTGTTTTCCCCAGTGTGTGTCTGTATTTCCCCAGTGTGTGTAGTTAGAGAAAAAATCCAGAAGAAAACACTCCACCATTTCAACCCCAGTACTCCAGCCCAGTTCTCAGGCAGGGGTTGCCCCTCTCTGGGACACGTGGAGGAGACATTTTGGGTTGTCACACTCTGGGGGGCCTCCCAATCTGTAGGCAGAAGCCCAGGATGCTGCTAAGCATCCCACGGTGGACAGGACAGGCAGCCCCCACGCAGAGACACACTGGGCCCAGAATGTGGCCGACATTGAGAAACCCTGTTCTCATGAGGCACGGTGGCTCACGCCTGTAATCTCAGCACTTTGGGAGGCTGAGGTGGGAGGATCAGAGGATCACTTGAGTCCAGGAATTCGAGGCTGCAGTGAGCTATGATCATGCCACTATACTCCAGTCTGGGCAACAGAGCAAGACCCTGACTCAAAAAAAAAAAAAAAATCAAAGAAAAGCAACCCTGCTCTCCCTGTATGGGTGTGGGGACATATCTTTCCTCTCCTCGCCTTTCCGTATTTCCTAAAGGAAAGTGACCAAGAATGTGGACTGAGCCACCAGAAGGACTGGCGCTGGAATTCTGGCCCTGCCTCTCACCGGCTGTGTGCCCCGGGCAAGTGTCCAGACATCACTGATCATCTGCCTCGGGGGGTGCATGGCTTGCCTCATGCAGCTGTAGGAAGATTTGGTGAGAGGAGGCCTATGAAGGGGCTGGTTCACAGGTAGCCCTCAATTCAGGAGAAGCTGTTCATATCTATAGGAAAAATACTGGTAACTGGTCCAGGTGCAGTGGCTCACACCTATAATCCCAGCACTTTGGGAGGCTAAGGTGGGAGGTTCACTTGAGGTCAGGAGTTTAAGACCAGCCTGGGCAACATAGCAAGACCCCATCTCAAAAAAAAAAAAAATGCTAGTAACAGCATCAGTGACTGAGCTTGTGATGCCCAGAGACTGGGCCAGCAGGGCAGGAGACGTCAATGTGGTCACCCTCACCACAAGCCTTTGACGAAAGGACTGGTATTAGGCCCACTCAACAGAGAAGGAAACTGAGGCACAGAGAGGCTAGGCAATATGCCCAACGTCACACAGCAAGTAAGTGGCAAGGCAGGGATGGGAAGCCTAGCTACAGGGCCCAAGTTCCCACACTGCAACCATTGGGTCCTCACCGTCTCCAGCCCCAGATAAGGGGGGGGTTTTCAATTGAGTTTTCCCATTTGTCTTCTCTAAAACTTAGAATTTTTTCCCCAAAAGTCTATGTTGGCATTTGGATCATTGCTAAAATGGCAGGTACCTCAGGTAGCCAGCCATTAACCTCCTGCCTGGGCCCCAGACATCCTGCCAGGGGCCCCAGTTTCTCTGAAGAGGGGCCAAAACAGCCAGGAATTTCACGCCCCTCCTGCCCTGGGCCAACTTCAAAACAGCTCCATGTCATAAGCCCTGCTTTGATTCCAGTCATTTTATGAGCATGAAATTCAAGTCTTACTCCCTCCGAGGTTGTCAAGCTCCTTGGGGGATAGGGTGGCCTTGTGGGGCCACTGGACAGGCCACAGGGAAGGTGTCAGGGCTTTCAAAAGATCTGAGGTTGGGAAAGCCAGAGTCTCCCTTTAAGACTCAGGGCTGTGCCTGGAGAGGGGACCCAGGGCCCACTTCTCCTAGGAAGCACCTACTATGTGCTGGGTGTTCTGCCAGCCCATGTTGGCCTCCACTCTCCACAACAGCTTCTACAAAGCCAGATGACTTTTCCCCAATTACAGATGGGGAAAATGGGGCTTAGTGAGGAACAGTCACTCCAGTCACTGGGCAGAGTCAGGATCTAGGCTCTTTCCCCTGCATCCTGCTGCCTCCCGACTTCCAGAGTCACAGCAAGAGGGACGAAGGGCAGACAGGTGGAGAACTTCCCTCCCAACTGCCTGAGCTCTGGGCTGTAGCCGAAGGTGATGAGACTCACTTGGGTGGACCTTCTGAGGTGCATTCAGAACTCGGGGATAAACATTGGCTCTAACTTATCTGCAAGGCACCAGAAGGGGAGAGACCCCCGAAATCTCGGCTGTGGGTGTCCACGTTGGGTGTGGACATGGGCTTCTGGGATTAGGGGTTCCACAGAACCTGATTTCCTGGTTACCTCCTTGAGGCCGGGCCCTCAACAGCTCTTCACAGCCCCCACCTCACTGGCTGGACAGCATCCAGCCCCCAACACAGCCTGAACAACAGCCCTGAAATGCCCCGAAACGAGTCTTCCAGGGCCGCCACAAACGTGGTGGCTTAGAAAAAGAGAAGTATCAGCCCGGGCAACATGGCGAGACCCCATCTCTACAAAAAATACAAAAATCAGCTGGGCGTGGTGGTGCATGTCTGGAGTCCCAGCTACTAGGAAGACCCAACCAGCTCCCGGCTGGGACCCTGCCATAGCTCCCTATGGCCCTTAGGCAGACATCTGGCCACACCCCGCGGGCCCTGCACAACTCAAAGGAGCTCTCCATTCATTCCTTCTCTCATTCATTCATTCATTCACACATTTATTCACACAGCAAAATCCGAACGAGTCTTCCAGGGCTGCCATAAACGTGGTGGCTTAGAAAAAGAGAAGTATTAGCCTGGGCAACATGGCGAGACCCCCATCTCTACAAAAAATACAAAAATCAGCTGGGCGTGGTGGTTCGTGTCTGGAGCCCCAGCTACTAGGAAGGCTGAGGTGGGAGGATCACTTGAGCCTGGAGAGGTCGAGGCTGCAGTGAGCTGAGATTGCACCAATGCACTCCAGCCTGGGCGACAAAGCAAGACCATGTCTCAAAAAAAAAAAAAAAAAAAAAAAGGCCGGGCGCGGTGGCTCACGCCTGTAATCCCAGCACTTTGGGAAGCCAAGGCGGGCGGATCACGAGGTCAGGAGATCGAGACCATCCTGGCTAACATGGTGAAACCCCGTCTCTACTAAAAATACGAAAAAAATTAGCTGGGCGTGGTGGCGGGCGCCTGTAGTCCCAGCTACTCAGGAGGCTGAGGCAGGAGAATGGCGTGAATGGCGTGAACCCGGGAGGAGGCGCCTCCAGCCTGGGCGACTCTGTCTCAAAAAAAAAAAAAAAAAAAGGAGAGAGAGAGACAGAGAAATATGTCCTCCCACAGTTCTGGAGGCCAGAAGTCTGAAGTCAGGGCATCAGCAGGGTGCGCCCCTCTGAAGGCTCCGGGCAATTACCCGCCTTCACCTTATTCCAGCTCCTGGTGTTCCCCAGGGTTCCTCGGCACCCCTGGGCTTGTGGCCGCATCTCTCCAGTTCCTGCCTCTGTCTTCACACGGCCTTCTCCTCTGTGCCTCTCTGTGTATCCTCCTCCTCTTCTTCTTCTTCTTCTTTTTTTTTTTTTTTTTTTTTTGAGACAGAGTCTTGCTCTGTCACCCAGGCTGGAGTGCAGTGGCGTGATCATGACTCACTGCAGCCTCCGCCTCCCAGGTTCAAGTGATTCGCTTGCCTCAGCCTCCCGAGTACCTGGAATTACAGGTGTGCAACACCACGCCCAGGTAATTTTTGTATTTTCAGTAGAGATGGGCTTTCACCATGTTGGCCAGGCTAGTCTCGAACTCCTGGCCTCAAGTGATCCACCAGCCTCAGCCTCCCAAAGTGCTGGGACTACAGGTGTGAGCCACCATGCCTGGCCTTCCCACTCCTCTTCTTACAAGGCCACCAGGCATTGGACTTCGGGCCCACCGCAACTCCAGTGTGATCTTATCTGGAGATCCCTATCTAATTAATCAGCCAATGCCCCTACTTCCAAATATGGTCACATTCTGAGGTTCCTGGTAGACATGAACTTCAGGGGAACAGAAGGTCATCCACCATAAGCACCTACTGTGTGCTCCAGGCCCAGGGGACAGTATGGTGGATGAGGCAGACAGGACGGGCTCTGCCCTCATAGAGCTCCAGTTCAGAGGTGGGGTGGGAGGGAGGAAGACAGAAACATAATTACAGAAGTGATGCTTTCGTTACAACTGCAATAAGCTCTGCCAAGAAGCATCGGACAGAGCCCTCACCTTCGGCTGGGCTGGGATGGGTGAGACCATCAGCACCCAGTCACCCAGCCTGCCTTGCCAGGCCTGGGCAGCGGCCTCCCAAAGGCCTATTTCCCTCCACCCAACTTCCCTCTCATGCTTCCTGGGGTCGTTGCCTGGAACTCACTTCCTCCTGGAAGCCTCTCCTGGCCCTACAGTCTATGTCAGGTGCTTCCTCTGGCGCTCCCAAGGCCCCCGAACTTCCTCCTATCACTGGTAGGTGGTAGGGTTGTCTTTTTTTCTAACTTGGGAATTTTTTATTTTTTTAAAGACAGGGTCTCGCTCTGTGGCTTAAGCTGGAATGGTGCAATCACAGCTCACTACAGCCTCGACCTCCCAGGCTCAAGCAACTCTCCCACTTGAGCCTCCCGAGTAACTGGGACTTCAGACAGGCGCCACCATACCCAGCTAATGTTTTGATTTTTTTTGTAGAGATGGTGTCTCTCTATGTTGCCCAGGCTGGTCTCAAACTCCCAGGCTCAAGCAATCCTCCCATCTTGGCCTCCCAAAGCGCTAGAATTACAGGGATGAGCCACCGCTCCCGGCTTAACTTGGGAATTCTTTATGTTTATTTACTTACGAAAAGACTGCTTTCAGTTAAAAAAAAAAAAAAAAAAAACTTTGATAGAAAAGTGCACTCTCGGCCGGGCGTGGCGGCTCACATCTGTAATCCCAGCACTTTGGGGGGCCGAGGCGGGTGGATCACCTGAGGTCAGGAGTTCGAGACTGGCCTGGTCAACATGGAGAAACCCTGTCTCTACTAAAAACATAAAAATTAGCCAAGCATGTTGGCAGGCGCCTGTAATCCCAGCTACTTTGGAGGCTGAGGCAGGAGAATCACTTGAACCCAGGAGGCAGAGGTTGCAGTGAGCCGAGATTGTGCCACTGCACTCCAGCCTGGGCGACAAAGTGAGACTCCATCTCAACAACAACAACAACAAAAGATTAAAAAAAAAAAAAGAAAGTGCACTGTCTTCCTCCCCTCCCTAAATATATGGTCCAGAAATTCCCTCTCTTGGCAGGCAGATGCACTCAGCATAGTCACTGGTACACAGTAGGTGCACCATAAATGTTTGAATCCATGAGTAGCCAGTGCTGGGCTCTAGGGACAGGAAGACAATGAAGTCACCACCCCTGGTCCCCAGGAATTCACTGCGGTACAATCTCTATGCTGCCCAGTCCAGAGTGGGGTACACAGTTGGTGCTCCCTAAATGCTGCTGGTGGTTGGGAAGTTGCCCTTGGGGTCCCTGCCATCTTTGCTGCCATTGGCGCAGTCAGGGCTGGACCCTGGGTGGAGTGGACCCAGGGGCTGGCGGGGTGCCCTCTGGGACAGCTGGGGCCAGGCTGCCAGAGTCTGGGAATCCCGGCTTCCTTGCCTCAGGCACCTGCTGTTTTCTCTGGGTCTTGACTCTGGTGGTCGGCTTTTCGCATCCAGGTCTTCCGTCACCAACCACTGCTCAGACTTCAGGACCTTGGTGGAGGACAGGGCGTTCCCGGGCCATCCATTAGCATTTATCACGTTCCTCCCATGTGCCCGGGGCTGTGTCACGTGCCAGCATGGGGAGCGGGAAGAAAATGCCAGGCCTCACTGTGCGGGGCAAGTCAAGGGAAAAATCCTGGATTCAGCCGCACAAGCGGAGGGGCAGGAGGAAGACCTATCATAGCCTCCTCTTATGAAACCTTTTGTGCTGGGCCACTCCTGTACCCACGTGATCTCACCTGATCCTTACAACAGCCTTTCGAGTCTGGCACCCTTGGATTCCCAGTTACAGATGAGGACACAGGGGTCCAGAGAGGCTGAGACTTGCCTGGGGCCACACAGCAAGTCAGGCATGGGGATAGCAAGGACACCAGGCAGCTTGCCCTGCGGCCCAAACCCTCGTCTTTGTCCAGCCACTAGAGGTAGGTATGTGGGGAGGAGGGAGGAGGCCTTCTTTTCTAACTTTGCAATTCTCTGTATTTTCTAAAGTTTGTTCAATGGACATGTTTCACTTTTGCAATCAGAAAGAAACGAAACCGAGAAAGCATGTTGTTTTAGTAGAGATTCCTTATGAAGCTGTTTTCTCTCACCCTTCTGAACAGCCAACTGTCCCTGTGCCTCAGTTTCCCTTTCAGCCGCAGTGCTGGTGGGACAACACAGGGACACACACTTTGGGGAAAGCAAATTAGCAATGGCTCTCAGAAGAGGAAAAGTGTCTACCCTGCACAGCTCTACCTCTAAGAATTGACCATCAGAGTCTAGACAGCACCTGCCTGAGTCCTCGAAGACTCGGACACCGGGTGCCCGTAGTCAGTGTGGTCTGTAGTAGTGAACCTCAGGCAGCAACCTACATCATCATCAACAGGGGCCTGGAAAACTGGACGTGGTGCATTCCCATGGTGGAATACCACACAGCTGCAAACAAGGACAGTTGCAGAGAGGGCCGGAGTATACTGCTAAGTGAAAAAAGCCAGGTGCAGAGCAGCATTTTTGTTTTTTTTTTTTTTTGAGATAGAGTCTCATTCTGTCTGGAATGCAGTGGCGTGATCTCAGCTTACTGCAGCCTCCACCTCTCGGGTTCAAGCAATTATCCTGCCTCAGCCTCCCAAGCAGCTGGGATTACAGGTGCTCACCACCATGCCCGACTAATTTTTGCATTTTTAGTAGAGATGGGTTTTCACCATGTTGGCCAGGCTGGTCTCAAACTCCTGACCTCAGGGGATCCGTCCACCTTGGCCTCCCAAAGTGCTGGGTTTATAGGCGTGAGCCACTGTGCTCAGACTATATTTTGATACTATTTATAAAACCAAAAACAAAAGAGGACAGAGAATGTATGTGGATTTTCTTGTGGGTGTTCAGACAATCTCTAGAAAGCATTAGAAGCCATTTTTAACAGGAGTAGGGCTGAGGGTCGGGAGCAGGTGGATGTCTCAGGTTTTTTCTCTGTTTTTTTTCCCAGTTATTATGATTTATTATTACAAAATAGTTCAGGCCACTGAATAAAATATACAGAATAGCATCCCTGGAGGCCAGGCGTGGTGGCTCCCGCCTGTAATCCTAGCACTTTGGGAGGCCAAGGCAGGAGGATTGCTTGAACTCAGGAGTTCAAGACCAGCCTGGGCAACATGGCAAAACCCTGTCTCTATTTTTAAAAAATTATCTGGGCGTGGTGGTGCGTGCCCGGAGTCCCAGCCACTCGCGAGGCTGAGGTGGGAGGACTGCTGGAGCCCAGTAGGTCAAGGGCTGCAGTGAGCCAGCGATGGCGCCACTGCACTCCAGCCTGGATGACAAAGCGAGATCCTGTCTCCAAAGAAGAAAAAGAAAAAGAATAACACCCCCACCCCCACCTAAAAAAGAAAATACCGCAGAGAAAACATAGCCCCTGCAAACCCCCCAACCCCAGTTACTCTCCTCCCCGCTAAGAACTGGCTCTCTGAATCTGCAATTTCTCCTTCCCACGAGTGTCTACACTTTGATGTCTCACTGAGCACTCTCTGAATTTTGATGAATTTTGCACTTTTGTTCCGTGTGGGTTACCTCTACCCCCCTGGAATGCAGAAAAATAAACGCTGCAGGAGGGTTCTGGCATTGTTACCCCTCCCGGACTGCTCCTGCAGCTTCAGTTTCCTGGCAAAGGGGCTGTCCCTCGCCTGGGCCCCCAGGGGACTCGAGGAGAACAGAGGAGCTGGGCCGTGGAGCACACGAAGACCAGGGCACAAGAGCACAAGTGCGACTGGCCTGGCTTCTGCAGGCCCGGGGCTCAGAGCCAGCAGGCTGGAGCCAGGCGGCCTCCTGGGCCTCCTCACAGCCGCTTTTGATAAAGCCCCTCTGTGCGTGGGGTGGGGGGGCCCGGCCGGCTGGAGCCAGCTCACATCTGGAGGCCAGCACAGGCCTGGGGCAGCCGGCGCGGCTGACAGCGGCGCCACCCCGAGCCACACGCCGGCCCTGGATAAACACGCCCGCGCCCACCCAGCCGCTCACCTTTCGCCCACAAGGCTGCCTTTCTTCTCGGATCCAGGCTGGGGCCACCACGAACATTCCTCCCAGGCACAGGGCAGAACGGGCCGCTGACCTCAAGGCTGAGTGAAGCAAAAGAAGGGCTTGGAAAAGCACCTACTACCTGCCAGGCACTGCACGTATTTCAGGCTCACTGCTACCCTGGGAGCAGAGACATGTGGGCAAGAATGTGCACGCTGGAGCTAGGAGACCTGAGTTCAAATCCTAGCTCCAGCTGTGTGACTTCCAGTAAGTCACTTAACCTCTCTGAGCCTCCATTTCCTCATCTGTGAACGGGCAATAATAATAGTCCCCTTCTCAGAGGGCTATGTAAACATTTAAAAAGTTACTGTAGTAAGTTGCTTGGAGGAGTGCCTCACCCATGCACTCAATACCACATTCGACAAAGTGATACTGAGGCTTTTCTGTGCCAGGAACGAGGATAAAGATGGTGAAAAATGGGGACTCAGGCCTCGGGGAGCTGTGTCTCTGCTCAGCGGAGCAGGAAGGGATGGTCCTGAGGGGAACTCACAGAGCAACTGGCTCCCCCACCTTGTCCTGCTGCCGGGTGTCCTGGGACAAGGCTACCACCCAGCGGCCACCCAGCCAGGATCCAGCCCAGTTTGGAGACAGGCAGGTATGGGAGCAGGTCAAGGCTCCTTACCCCTTTCCCTGGGATATTACGACCCAGCACCAGCCTGGATCTCTTCCTTCTGTGCCAAGGTGTGGGCTCTGGGGTTGGTGGGTGTGGCAGGAGAGGCAGCCGGGTTACCTGACGCTGTGCCAGGTTCTGTGAGACCTTCAGAGACAGCTCCAGGTGCACATCAGGCTGTCTTTTCCTGGCGACCTCAACATATCCATCCCACTGCCTCCCTGGCCCTTTGTCTCCTCATCTGCAAGGGGCGGGGCCCTAACAGCACTAGGTACCAGTTACTTCCCTGACCCTCTGTTTCCTTGTTTTCAAAAGGACAAGAGCGTCAGGTGCCAGTTGTGTCGAGGAGAGACCCTGTGAGAGAGGCTGTGGGAAAAGCACAGTGCCTGGCACAAAGGGAGAGGTCTGAGTAAAAGTCAAGGTGGCTTCCTGGAGGAGGCCACTGTGCTCTCCGGCGGCAGGAGAAGCAGGAATAGAAGGAGTTTCCGGAAAAGGAAGAGGGAGAAGCTGTGTTCAGCGCCTGCGCCGTGTGTGGAGTGCAAACTGTCTGCAGGAGCCGAATCATTGAATCTTCCAGCAATCCTGTACTCCAGCCATCCCCATTTTACAGATGAGAAAACTGAGGCTGGGGGTGGAAATAATTTATTCACTCAGGGAGTAAAAGCTGGAGCCAGAATTTAAACCCAGCTGGCAATGATGCCCCCCTTCCCTCCCTCCTCGGGTCTTTACGGCATCCTCATGGTGTGCTGGATTCACAGAGGTAAAGTGAACCCAGCATCAACCCTCAAGGAGCACCCCCCTTACATCTCTGTCTTCCCCCCACCTTGACCACCACCCACGTTGCCCCTTCCGGGCCTCAGTTTCCCTCCTCTGAGCAATGGGTTCAGTTTCTGCCACCCCTTCTGGCCCAGGGTCCCCAACTCAGGGCGGTGTGGAGGTGTGGCAGCTGAGGCGGCTAGTGAGGTGGGGGTCCTCCACCTGCTGCCACCCCCCAGTCCCCCATGAACCTGCTCGCCAGGCTGGAGCCAGCCGCCATCTGGAGCGACGGGCTGTTTATGGAGCCAGGCGGCGGCGGCCCTGGCCCTGACCCGGCCAATCTGGAAGTGATTAGCAGCCGGGGCTGGGGAGCATTTGGAGTTCTCATCAGTCAGCCGGGACCCCCCTCCCCAAAGCCCCACACCCCTGGCTGCCCAGAGCCAGGGCCACTCTGAGGGACTCTGAGGAGCCCCCTTTCTTGCAGGGCATTCCAGCTCGGACCTGCTCCAAGGCCAGGAGCGCAGAACACCAGCAGAGGTGGGAGACCAGACTGGGCCACCCACAGGCCGGGATGTGGGGGTGGGAGGGGGCGGGGCTGAGAGGGACGATTTGGGGCTTTCGCTAAGGAAGGAAACCTCTTGCAGAATTTCTTTCTGTAGTGTTTGGTTTTGAATATCCACACAAGTGCACAGAAAAAAAGGAACAACCCAAACAGCGTGGAAGGGGACAAAGGGTGGAAAGTCGGTGTCCTTTCCCCTCCCTCAGGTCCCCACTCCCTCCACCACTGCCGCCAGTCTCTTGGGTCTCTGGAGATGGTGTGAACATCTACACACGCATCTATCTGGTCATCTTCTTTACCTTTTTCTCCAAGTAGCAGCTTGCTTTACCTCAGTCCCACTCCCTCCTTTTTTCCCCCTTGGATTAATCCATACTTCTACTACTACTACTACTACTACTACTACTACTACTACTGCTAATGCTTTTATTTTTAAATTAATTATTATTTATTTAAGAGGCAGAGTCTCACTGTGTCACCCAGGGTGGAATGCAGTGGCACAATCATAGCTCACTGCAGCCTCGACCTCTTAGATTCAAGTGATCCTCCTGCCTCAGCCTCCTGTGTAGCTGGGACTACAGGTGCATGCCACCACACCCAGCTAATTTTTTGTTTTTTTATTTTTCTAGAGACGAGGTCTCGCTGTGTTGCCCAGGCCGGCCTCTAACTCCTGGGCTCAAAGGATCCTCCTGCCTCAGCCTCCCAAAGTGCTGGGATTACAGGTGTGAGCCACCGTGCCCGACCTAATGATAATGTCAATAATATCAATAATGTCAATAATAATCATAGCAACAGCAAAGTTTCTCTAGGGCTTAGTCTGTATCAGACACAGTCTGAGGCTTTATATCGGGGTCCCCAACTCCTGGACTGGAGACAGGTACCCATTCGTGGCCTGTTAGGAACCGGGCTGCACAGCAGGAGGTGAGCAGCAGACAAGCGAGCATTACCGCCTGAACTCCGCCTCCTGTCAGATCACCCACATCATTAGATTCTCAGAGAAGTGCGAACCCTATTGCAGATTGCATATACGAGAGATATGCACAACACACAACCCCCCACACAACCCCCAGCCCCTTTCAGATTGTCTTCCACGAAACCGGTCCCTGGTGCTAAAAAGGTTGGAGACCGCTGCTTTATATGGATTAACTCATTAACCCAGGGTGAAGTGAACCTATCATGAGAGTCTGTTGTGGTTTGTTTATTTATTTATTTATTTATTTATTTATTTTTTGAGGTGGAGTCTTGCTCTGTCACCAGGCTGGAGTGCAGTGGTGCGATCTTGGCTCACTACAACCTCTGCCTCCTGGGTTCAAGCGATTCTTCTGCCTCAGCCTCCCGAGTAGCTGGGATTACAGGCGCCCGCCACCACACCCGGCTAATTTTTGTATTTTTAGTAGAGATGGGGTTTCACCATGTCGGCCAGGGTGGCCTCGAACTCCTGACCTTGTGATCTGCCCACCTCGGCCTCCCAAAGTGCTGGGATTACAGGCGTGAGCCACTGTGCCAGGCCTGTTGTGTTTTGTTTGTTTGTTTTTGAAACAAAGTTTCGCTCTGTTGCCCAGGCTGGAGTACAGTGGCTTGATCTCGGCTCACTGCAACCTCTGCCTCCCAGGTTCAAGCTATTCTCTTGCCTCACTCAGCCTCCTAAGTAGCTAGGATTACAGGCATGCACCACTATGCCTAGCTAATTTTTTTTTTTTTAATTATTTGTAGAGATGGGTTTTCACAATGTTGGCCAGGCTGGTCTTGAACTCCTGACCTCAGGTGATCCGCCCACCTCAGCCTCCAAAGTGCTGGGATTACAGGTGGGAGCCACCATGCCTGGCCGAGGGTCTGTTGTTATCATCATCCCCATTTTGAGGATAAGGAAACAGAAGCACAGAGAAGCAAGGCACCTTCCCAACTCCACACAGCAGTGACTGGAGAACTCAGGTTCAGGCCAGGCCTGTGGTCCAAAACTCCGCCCCATCCTGCCTGTCCGAGACTCCAGAATATTCTGCCGTCTGGATGGATCCTGGTGGATTTGATGAGGCCTTGGGTGGTGGATGCAGCATTGAGTTGTTTTCATCTGGGGCTGGTGGGAACTGTGTGGGGAACACCCTGGTGGGACGTCATCGCCTGGGGGTTGGGGTGTGGTTCCATTCCCAGAAGGGGCCTGGCTGGTCACAGGACTGAACAGCCCTCAGGCCCAAGGCCATTGCCCAACTGTACTCCATGGGGAGGTGCTGACACCTGATCCCATCCCCTGCGAGGACAGTGGGACAGTGGAAGCCCCGGCTCCCACATCATGGGCCTGTTCCTAGGGAACTCAGACCAGGTCTGACACGGCAGGGTTTGCGGATACCTCTATCTGTGCTAAGCCTCACTCCAGCACACGCTTCTGCTGGGGCCAGAGTGAAGCATGAAGAACGTATATCAAGTCTGGCCTCTGCCAACTCATGTGCCCCCATCACCCTCAGGATAAGGCCCAGCCCCCTCTCCCTCCCCTCCCTTCCCTCTGACTTGGGTCACCCAGTGCCACAACCATTGTCTGATGGTTGTCTCCCCAGACAGGTGTCAGCCCCACCATGACAGAGATTTTGGCCTGTGTTATTCACGTCCATGTCCCCAGAGCCTAGAGCAGAGCCTGGCGCATAGTGGGTGCTCAAAACATTTGTGTGTTTTTTTTTGAGACAGATCTCACTCTGTCACCCAGGCTGGAGTGCAGTGGTACAATCTTGGCTCACAGCAACCTCTGCCTCCCAAGTTCAAGCGATTCTCAAGCAATTCTCGTGCCTCAGCCTCCCAAGTAGCTGGTATTACAGGCGCCCACCACCACACCCAGCTAAATCTTGTATTTTTCGTAGAGACGGGGTTCTTCCATGTTGGCCAGGCTTGCCTTGAACTTCTGGCCCCAAGTGATCTGCCCACCTTGGCCTCCCAAAGTGCTGGGATTAGAGGCATGAGCCACAGCTCAAAACAGTTGTTGAATGCGAGTGTGCATGAATATATGATTATATGAAAGAATGAGTGAGTCAGTGACGAGCCCAGTCTGACTGCCTCGGAGGGCTCTGTCAGCATGATGGCTGCCCTGAAGGTAGTGGGGTCCAGGCCCAGACCTGGGGGAGGGGGAGGAGGTCCAGCTGGAAGAGGAAGAAACAAACAAGGGTTTATAAAGCATCTACTTCACATTGGGCACTCTCGCCTTCCTACGGCCTGTAAGACCCATCACACAGATGAGGAAACTGAGTCCCCTTCGTTCACTCCACAAACCCATCCTTGGAGTCTCCAGGGCTGGGGCAGGGGTGACAGCAGAGAACCAGCCAGGCACTGACCCTGGTTTTTCAGAACTGATCAGGGAGACAAATCTGACAGGAAGTGAAACAGAATAAACCAGAGCTAACACCCAGCTCCTCTGTAATGCCACTCTGCAGCCAGCCACTGGTGTGAATCCTGGCACCGCCGCGCATGAGCTTGTTTAAGAGGTTGGGTTCTTGGCCAAGTGCAGTGGCTCATGCCTCTAATCCCAGCACTTTGGGAGGCTGAGGCAGGAGGATCACCTGAGCTCAGGAGTTCGAGACCAGCTTGGGCAACATAGCGAGACCTTGTCTCTATAAAAAATTGGCTGGACATGGTGGTGCACACCTGTGGTTTTAGCTGCTTGAGAGGCTGAGGCAGGAAGCCCAGGAGGTCATGGCTTCAGTGGGCTGTGATTGCATCACTGCACTCCAACCTGGACAATAGTATGAGACTCTGTCTCAGAAAAAAAAAAAAAAAAGTTATATTCTTGACACAAGTGACACCTGTCTGCCCCCTGTTCTGGGTGTCCAGCAGCAACACTGGCGAATGCTTATGTAGTGCCAGGTGCCCATCAAAGAGCTTTACACAGACGCACTCATTTAATTTTCAAGACTCTTCCGACGTGGGGACTATTATCCCCATCCTGCAGTTGAGGAAACTGAGGCTCACAGAAGATGAGTGATTTGCCCAGGGACACACTAAAGTAGACCCAGGAAAGTTACACTATGAAATCACACACAGAGTCATGGATGCCAGGTTCGGGATGATGTCGCCTCTGGAGGGGGCGGGGAGGGGCTGAGATCAGAAGGATGCCAGGAGCATCCCACGGTCACTGCCACGGTTAACTTCTCTCTTGGAGGTAGGAACATGTACAGAGGCTCAAGTACCATTTCTTTCTTTTTCATTTTATTTTTAACACATTTTTTGCACCATTTTTTTTTTGCAAATTGAAAATGGTCCAGAACAGGAAGTAGCCATGTAGCCACATCACATAGAGTGGGGAACAGTGGGCACGGGGCAGGCCTTTGACCAGTTCTATCTGCTTCGGGGCTGGAGCCAGCCTGGGTGTGGGGGCCCCTCCCAGCCCCCTCAGCCTTGGGGCCCTCCCAGCTCTCAGTGACGCAGCTGTGGTGGCATTTGGCAACCGGGCTGCCCACAGCTACCACAGCCCTGTGCATCTGCCAGCTGGGGGTAGGGGGAGCCGGGGCCTGTCCCTGCCAGCTGAGCCCTCCTGCCAGCAGCCTGGCCCAGGTGCCCCCGACATGCTGTCTGCAGCCCCTCGCCCACCTTACCTTGCCTCCCCACACTTTCCGCCACTGAACCTGACTGGTTCTCACTAACCAGAAAGTCAGTGCCTTGCCGGCAGGATCGTGTCTGTGTCTGGCACCATTCTCTCCCCAGAACTAGCACACAATTGGTGCTCAATAAGTATTTGTGGAATGAACAAATGAAAAACTGGACAAATAAATGGCAACCTCCCCTTCCCTGTCTCCTTCCCTTCTTCTTTCTCCCTCCCTCCTCTTCTTCTTTTCTTCCTCTCTCCCTCTCTTCTTCCCTTCCTTCCACAGATAGTTATTAAGCACCTATGTGCCAAGCACCATGCTAGGCACTGGGGACACAGTGGTGCCCCAAACAGACAAAAGTCCTGTCCTCACAGAGACAACATTCTAGAAAGGGAGTTAGACAACGAAATGACCCCACAGGCTGGGCACAGTGGCTCATGGCTGTAATCCCAGTGCTTTGGGAGGCTGAAGTGGGAAGATTGCTTGAGGCCAGGAGTTTGAGATCAGCCTGGGCAACATAGCAAGACCCTGTCTTTACAAAAATTTAAATTAAAAAAATAAAGTACTTGGCCGAGTGCGGTGGCTCATGCCTGTAATCCTAGCACTTTGGGAGGCCAAGGCGGCTGGATCACCTGAGGTCAGGAGTTCGAGACCAGCCTGGCCAACATGGTGAAACCCCGTCTCTACTAAAACTACAAAAATTAGCTGGGTGTGGTGGCGGGTGCCTGTAATCCCAGCTACTTGGGGGGCTGAGGCAGGAGAATCACTTGAAACCAGGCGGCAGAGATTGCAGTGAGTTGAGATCATGCCACTGCACTGCAGCCTGGGCAAGAAGAATAAAAAAAAAAGCACTTAAGGTCTTAAGAAAAATCAAAAGAAATAACTCCATAAACCAAGTGCAGAATTGAAGCAGGAGAAGATGCAGGGAGAGGCCTTCAGTGCCATCCACGCCTGGAGCGGAGGTAGGGGCGTCTTCCTGAGAAAGGGACCCAGCAGCGCCTCGTTCCCATCTTGCTTGGGCAGGTGAGAGGTGCCAGGAAGATGGCAAAGCCTGTGCCCCTCGTGAAGCTCAGAGTCTCAAGGGACGCAGACCTTCCTAGTGAGTAGGAAACTCATTATGAAAGAGGAAACCCTCTGGCGCTGAGCAAGAGTGTCAGCGCCTTGCCCTCTCAGCCAGGAAGGTCCCAGAGGAAGTGACGCCCGGCAGTGTCCCAGCACTGGGCAGGATCTGCTGGCAGCCCACCAGGAGAAGAGTATTCCCGGCAGGGACACCAGCTGGGGCAAAGGCAGGAAGACTGTCACCACCCCTCGGAAGCTGTGACTCCAGCCAGGCTGGGAACGCCCCTCTCTGGCCTCGGGCTTTCTCTTTTGAGAAAAGGGAGCAAGGGAGCAGGGCCGCCCACCAGGCAGGGATGCTGGAAAATTCTCTAGGAGGCTTTGAAGGGCTGGGCAAGGCGCTTGATTTAAATCCTCCCGGGCTGACTTGCTATTTCCTGTCTTCCCTGATGGGCCATGAGCCCTGGGGGAGAGAGGCCTGGTCTGCCTGCCCTGTGGCCTGGCACAGTTTGGCACACAGTAGGTGCTCAGGGGGGTGTGTCTGTGGAATTAAATGAGCGAGTGCAGTCCCAGTTTCCTCATCTGTGTGTGGGGATAATGCTGATGTGGCCACAGAGATGGCATGAAGAAGCTCTTTTTTTTTTTTTTTAGCTTTTTGTAAAGATGGGGTCTCACTATGTTGCCCAGGCTGGTCCCAAATTCCTATCCTCAGGTAATCCTCCTGCCCTGGCCTCCCAAAGTGCTGGGATTACAGGTGTGAGCCACCACACCCAGTCCCTGAAGAAGCTTTCACATTTTTTGTGCTGTCTTCTCTCCCCACCTCCTGGTGGCAGGTCAGGCCTCTGAGGATCCCCTAGAGTCCCCAGAAATTCCCTCTCTGGGAGCTGAGGGTAGAGAACACAGTGAGAAGGTGGGTTGGACAGATTCCCCAGCTCCAGATTTTGAGGCTAGGGATCCTAAGGTGCCTGAAAGGAAGTGAAAATCAGCTTCATTTACAATGGAAGGAAACTGAGGTACAACAACAATAATAATGAAATCTTAGCTTGCTGAGTGCTTTCTCTAAGCCAGGCACTGTGCTAAGCCCTTTGACCCAAGTTGTTCCATGTAATCCTTTCAACAGTCATAGTAGGAAGCAAATACTATGATCCCATTTTACAAGTGAGGAAATGAAGACTCAGGTAAATCAAGGCCACACCACCAGTTAATGGGGGAGCAGGCATGGGAATGAGAATCTAACTTACAACCCAGAATCATAAGCCTGATGCTCCCTGTGTGGGGAGGTGGTTTGGGAGGGACAGGATGAAGGTTACATTGGAGAGGCTGGAGATGAGAAGAATGGACAGATCCTTCATCTGGGGGATCAAGGGCTGTGGAATAAATAATTGCAAAAGTGAGGGGTCTAGGGTCAATGCCATTGCTCTTTTCACCCTGGATAGCCCAGGAAAGCTCCAATCTTCAGCCCACCCCAGCAACCTGAAATTTACTTTGCTTCACTCACTCATTCATTCATCTATTCATTCAATCAGTCAATTAACAGAAAACACAATACAGAATCACACAATACCAAACATATCCATTTAAACAATAAATGTAAATGAGTTAAATGGGTCTATTAAAAAACAAAGACTCATTAGATTCAAAATCAGAATGCATTCATTTATTCATTGCCTTTCATTTATTTAGTGCCTAAATTATTCTAGGTCCTGTTTTAGATTCCAATGATAGAAGATAAAAATAAAATAGGGGAGCCGGGCAAGGTGGCTCACGCCTGTAATCCCAGCACTTTGGGAGGCTGAGGCGGGTGGATCACGAGGTCAGGAGTTCAAGACCAGCCTGACCAACTTGGTGAAACCCCATCTCTACTGAAAATATAAAAATTAGCCTGGCGTGGTGGCATGCACCTGTAATCCCAGCTACTTGGGAGGCTGAGGCAGGAGAATGGCTTGAACCTGGGAGGCAGAGGTTGTGGTGAGCCGAGATCATGCCACTGCACTCCAGCCTAGGTGATAGAGCGAGACTCCGTCTCAAAATAAATAAATACATACAAATAAAAAATAAAATAGGGGAAATATGGGGGTGGGGGTGTGTGACCTAGGGAGAGAGACCTTTAGCTACAAAGATCTTGAGGCTGGAATGAGCTTGTAGAATGGAGGAACACAAAGCGGGCTTCGTGGTTAGAGAATGGTGCTAGCAAAGGAGTGTGGTGGGGGAATAAGGTGGGAGAGGTCAGCAGGGCCTATACCCCAGAGCATTGACAGGGCAGACGCTGTGGAGTGTTGAGGTGCAGACGAGCTTGGTCCTGCTTACATAGAGCATGGGTCAGCCACTGCTCCTGGCTGTCCCAATAACCTCAGCTGGACTCGACCCTTCCCAGCTGGGGGCCCTTCATCCCACCCGAAGGGACCCGAGACAGCGGACCACAGCCTCCTCCTCTGGGGAGACCATGAATTACCAGGTGCCAGACTCTGCCACTGGTGGCTTGTGCACTTAATCGGCTCATTAAGTTCTGCCATCAGGTTAGTTTTCTTCCTATTTTGAAGAAGAGAAAACTGAGGCTCAGAGAGGTAAGGTGACCTTCCCAGTGCCACTCACAGCCAGTGAGCAGCATGGCTGGGGTGAACTCAGTGCACTGGACACAATAGTGCACCCTCTTGGTACTTCATGGCTGTGTCCCAGGAAATGGCAGTGGAGAGGCCTCAGCTGGCTGTGTGTCCTCACATAGGTCCCCCAACCTCTGTGGCCTCGGGTCTGTGTCTGGGAAGCACATGAGGTCATTGTCAGGACCTTGGTGACTTTCTCCCTTGGGGCAGTGGGGTTCCCGAAGTGCTGGGCAGGCGACTTCTCATTTCATCCTCACAATCAATCACCCTGTTTGACAGAGGAGGCAACTGAGGCTGAAAGAGGGGAGGTGATTGTCCAAGGTCATGGCTTCAGGCTCTCCTAAAGACCTGGAACTGGATCTGTTCATTGAATGGTGAACTCCCAGAATGGAGAAATCCAAGGATGTGGAGACTCTGAGGTGGGGTTGGGGGACGAGAACAAGACCACCAGGATATCAAGGGGAGAGCTGGCCTGGGACCCAGGACACGGGCCCCAACCCTGCCCCGCACTGCATCCTGGGCTAGTTCCTGAGCGGGGAGGGGCCGTAGGAAGTCTCCCTATCTCCCCACTCAGGCCATGCCCTGGGTCCTGCCCAAACAGGAAATGCCAGGCCAGCCCCCACCCCCACCCAGGGTCATGGGAAGACTCTGCCTGGGATTCCAGTGCTCTCAGCACTGGCCCAGCCTGGGGGGTCTGCGCCCTGGTAGCGGTGGCATGACCTTGGGCAGGGCCGTTCCTCTCGCTGGGCCTCATTCTCCCCTGCCCACCATACTCACAGGCTCTGCATCAGACAGGCACTGCCACCTCCTGGCTGGGTGACCTCGGGCAGGTGGCTGTCCCCTCTGAAGCCCAGTTCCCTCTTTCTTAAAATGGGGGACAGTGCACACCGCGCGTGGTCCATCAGCTGAGCCATTATTGCCCCAAGCAAGGGCACAGTGGGGAGGGCTGGCCTCTGGAGAGATCACCATGGCCCTCTGGGGATGGCGTCCTGTCTTTCCCTGGACTCAGAACCATGCCAGGTACCTCTTTGCACTTGTCTCCCAATCGGCAAAAGAGGCAGAGCCGGCCGGGCGCGGTGGCTCACGCCTATAATCCCCACACTTTGGGAGGCTGAGGCGGGCAGATCACAAGGTTAGGAGATCGAGACCATCCTAGCTAACACAGTGAAACCCTGTCTCTACTAAAAATACAAAAAATTAGCTGGGCATGGTGGCAGGCGCCTGTAGTCCCAGCTACTCGGGAGGCTGAGGCAGGAGAATGATGTGAACCTGGGAGGCGGAGCTTACAGTGAGCCAAGATTGTGCCACTGCACTCCAGCCTGGGCGACAGAGCGAGACTCCGTCTAAAAAAAAAAAAAAAAAAAAGAGGCAGAGCCATAACCCTGGCTGAATCCTTAGTTATTGCAAGGACTGAGTGACAGGAGAAGGGGTCACAGAGGTGGAGTGGCAGCGGGAAAAGGTGGAATGATGTGGATTGGGAGAGACCCTGGTGCAGGCTTTGGGGGCCTGGAGAATGTGGCCTCCTGGTCATTTTCTTTCCTAGTGAGAAAGTGTGGCCAAAACAGGGAGGGGGAGCAGTGGACAGGACCCAACCCCATCTCTTGGGGGCTTGCAAAGTACAGGGCAGAGCGGGAAGGGAAAACAGGCCCGAGACAGGGGTGAAGGTGGCTCTGCTCCCTCCACGTGGTCCTCCCAGGCAGGATGCAGGTGCTCCCAGTTGCCAGGCTTTCTATGAATGGTCCTCACTCCTCCC
Organism: Homo sapiens; assembly: GCF_000001405.40. Classification (NCBI taxonomy): domain Eukaryota; kingdom Metazoa; phylum Chordata; class Mammalia; order Primates; family Hominidae; genus Homo; species Homo sapiens. The sequence goes on along the minus strand of NC_000020.11, from coordinate 50,043,058 downwards.
AGACCCTGGCTCACAGATCCTAGCCCACAGTTTTCTCAGCAAGCCACCACCCCATGGAGTTGGTTGAGCCTGGAAGATCAGAGAGGCACAGCAGTTTGTCCAAGGTCACACAGCAGAGTGGCCAACACTTCCTCAGGCCCTCCCTGGGGACAGCAGGGGTCCCAGGTGTGAATGAGAAAGAACTGCTTACCCGTTCCATGGGCCCCAGACCCCGAAGAGTCTTGGGAAACTGAGACACCAAGGTGAGTCCCTCTGAGGCAGCAAATGTGCAATGGCCTCGGTGTTTGGGCCTGTCCATGCCTGGTACCAGGTGTGCCCAGGGGGCAGAAGAGCCTGGGAAATGGGCTGGGACTTACTGCTTCTCCAGAGGCTGGGTTCTTTGCTGTAGAGGATAACCAAAAGCGTAGGAAAGGTGAGGGATACCGGGTGAATGCCAGGGCCCAGAGCACAGCTCAGTACATGGGGGCTGCTGTTGGAGCTGTTGTTGTTAGAGACCGGTTACTTAATCCCTCTGGGCCTCTGTTTCCACATCTGTGAAATGGGGACAGTAATAGTCCCCTCCACAGAGGGCCCCACTGAGGATTCCAAGAGTTATCTGCTGTAACGTACTTACAATGCACCTGGTATTTTTCTTCTTTTCCTTTTCTTCCTTGGCACAATCTTGGCTCACTGCAGCCTCTGCCTCCCAGGTTCAAGCAATTCTCCTGCCTCAGCCTCCTGAGCAGCTAGGATTACAGGCATGTGCCACCACACCAGGTTAATTTTCGTGCTGTTTTTTGTTTTATTTTGTTTTGTTTTCAGACGGAGTTTTGCTCTTGTCGCTCAGAGCGATGGCACGATCTCAGCTCACTGCAGCCTCCGCCTCCTAGGTTCAAGCGATTCTCCGGCCTCAGCCTCCCTCGTAGCTGGGATTACAGGCATGCGCCACCACACCCAGCTAATTTTGTATTTTTAGTAGAGATGGGGGTTTCTCCATGTTGGCCAGGCTGGTCTCGAACTCCCGACCTTAGGTAATCCTCCCTCCTCGGCCTCCCAAAGTGCTGGGATTACAGGTGTGAGCCATTGCGCCCAGCCTAATTTTTGTATTTTTAGTAGAGACGGGGTTTCACCATGTTGGCCAGGCTGGTCTTAAACTCCTGGGCTCAAGTGATCTGCCTGCCTCGGCTTTTCAAAATGCTGGAATTATAAGCACACACCACCTTGCCGGCCGCACCTGGTGTTTTTCTTTTGCTATTGTTCCAGCACCCAGAACGGTGCCTGGCACACAGTAGGTGCTTAATATATCTTAGCTGTTGTTATCATCATCATCATCATGATCATCAAGGCACTGACTTTCCGCTTCCCAGCTGTGTGAGGTCTTGCTCAATTTCACTTCCTCCTTCGTAAAGTGGAAATAACGATAGTACCTGCCCCTAGAGCTGGTGAGGACCCGTTCCTGCCTCCCACAGACACCTATTAAGTGCCTCCAGTTTTAGGAACTGGGTATAGATATGGCTGGGAACAAAATGGAAGAAAACAAAAACAAAAATCCCTGCCCTCATGGTGCTGACTCTCCTGTGGCAGAGACGGAGAAGATGAACAGGGATTTTATACCAGGCGTCAGAAGGGAACCAGTGCTAAAGAAAATGAAAACACCAGGCCGGGAGAGGCAGCTGGCATGCGGGCCGTGGTGGTTTTACGTGGTGAGGCGGTATCTCAGTGAGTGACAGGGAGGCGTTGGGAGGTGACAGGCCTACTCCGCCTTGGCTGGTTGGGCCTGTGGGCTGTGGGAGGGCTCAGGCTTTGTGAGTGGGGTGGGAACCCTGGAGGGCTCTGAGCAGAGGGACAGGGTCTGTCTGACTTAGCTTCTGTGGCCAAAAGGGGACCGAAGGGGACTGAATGGGAGGCAGGGAGCCCAGGAGGCCACCGCAACAGTCCGGGCGTGAGAGGGTGGGGCCAGGCTGAGTGGGTAACAGGGAGGGGAGACTTGGCCGAGTCCTGGGTCTGTTTTCATCCTCAAATCTTCTCAGGCCGATTTGAGAGAGTGAGACCCCTGGGGTCTTGGAGCCAGGCCTGGGAAAAGCTACTTCACGTCAGGCCAGGGGCTGTAGCCCTGGCAACCTCCACTCCGCCTGGAAATCCTCCACCTCGGGGCCTCTCTTTGCCCAGACCTGGCCCAGGAGGAGCACATGGGAGCCGGGACCTTCCCAACAATCCTTGCCGTTGGCTCCACAAACCTCAGCCAGTCCTGCAACCTGGGATGCCTTTTCCACCAGGATGCCTGCTACTGTCACTGTTGTCATTAGATAATTAATGAACTATAATTAGAAATCATATCAATAAAATTTCACAGTCTAAGGCTGTTGAAATAGGTACCATCATTATCCTCATTTTAGAGCTAAGGACAGTTTTGGGCGGTAGGGGAGGTGCGGGTGTCACTGCCTGAGGTCACACCGTAGCAGGACTGGGATTCAAACCCCCAGACCTCCGGTTCCAGAGGCCAAGCTTTTGTCAAAGACATGCAGTGAAACAGGCTTCTCAGAGGTTCCAGCCAGTCTTCATTGCAAAACAAGAGGGAAAACCGAAGCCAGGACAGGCTCGGGGACCTGGCCCTGCCCCTGCCCCTGCCCCCAGTGCCTAGAGACCCCAAAGCAGCCTCTGCTGAGAGGCCCTTCCCAGGATCTCCCACAGGCCAGGGCTCTGGGCCCTGCAGGAAGTGGCCAGGGCTGGGACAGGCCTGCTGCTTTGATCAGCTTTACGAGCCAGGGCTGTTTACGGAGTCTCAGGCCCCCAGCCCCCTGCCACCCGGGGCTGTGTCTTGTCACCAGCACTTGGGATATTAGCAGTCCCAGGAGAGTCTGCTGGCCAGACGGGTCTTGGCCCCATTTCCTCCAGCCTGGCCCGCACCTTGCCTCTTAGCCTCAGCCTCCGGGGACAGGGAGGGGCAGGGGTAGGCTGAGAGGGTCCCCTCGGGCCAGATACCTCCTGGGCTGGGGTGCTCCCCGCACTTCCTCTGCAAGTGCAAATGCAAGCTCAGTCCTACCACAGGCCTTTGCCTGAAGCCTGCAGCCCACCCCCAGGTCTCCCCACCTGCTCCTCTTTTCTGCTTCTCCTCCTCGGGGCTTCAGGTCCCTCCTCAGAGAGCCCTCCTTGACCACACTGTGGAGTCACCCTCCAGCACAACTTCAATTTAATTCCTGGTGCCCGCATCACTGTCTGGAATTCTCTTGCTCATTCTTTATCCTTTGGATGTTCTGTCTTCTTCCCCAGTAAGGGAAACTTGTCTGTCCCACTCACTTTTGTGTCCCCAGCACCTAGCATGGTTCTGGCACACAGTAGGAGCTCAATAAGAGTGTGTTTTTGTTTTGGTTTTGAGACAGGTGCTCACACTGTTGCCCAGGCTGGAGTGCAGTGGCGCCATCTTGGATCACTGCAACCTCTGCCTCTGGGGTTCAAGCAATTCTCCTGCCTCAGCCTCCCAAATAGCTGGGACTATAGGGATATGCCACCATGCCTGCTAATTTCTTGTATTTTTAGTAGGGATGGGGTTTGCTGTGTTGCCCAGGCTGGTCTCGAACTCCTGGACTTACACGATCCTCCCACCTTGACCTCCCAAAGTGCTGGGATTACAGGCGTGAGCCATCGCGCCCGGCCTTTTCTAAATTAAGTGTTTCTTCAGTAAAAGAATGATGAACCCTTTCTGGGAGGGAGGCTGTGGGCAGACTGAGGCCCCAAATCATCAAAGCCCCCCATACCCCGCCCCATGCGTGTGCCTGGAAAATTCACTGGGGCACAGAGGGGAGTTTCAGCCCCACTTTGTGAATGAGGAAACAGGCTTAAAGAGGTGACTTGTCCAGTGTTCCCAGCCTGAAGGAGCAGGGCTGGGATTCTATCCTGGGTCTCTCTGCCCTAGACCCCAGAGTCTCTGTCCCCCAGTCCCATCCTTCCCATCTTCTACTTCCCCACCCCCCACTCCCTCATCCCACCCCCCACTCCCTCATCCCACCCCCCACTCCCTCATCCCACCCCACCCCTGGGGCCTGGCTCACGCCTATGTTGTCTCCTGACAAGAAGCTGCAGGGGACAGGTGTCCGACCAGCCAGGCCGGTTCCAGGGCACGCATAGGGGGGCACTTCCCCCCAGGGGCGATGCCGTGGGATGACCGTGGACACCTGCTCCCACACCTGCCCTGCCTCCTCACCCGCCTCCATTCAGGCCCTGTGATTCCCTCAATACCCACAGGGCCACAATGGACTGTTTTGTCCTCAGAGACACCAGGAGCCCTGCTCCAGCCCTCAGCTCCCTGCCCCACCCCCTCGGCTCCCTGCTGTGTGCTCTGTGACCTGGGGCAGGTGCACGTTTATTCTGGCCTGGGGAGGAGGCAGCAGCAAATGGGACTTGTTCAGCACAGACACCATTGACAGGGGCCTCTCCACTCATCCCTGCCAGCTGGGGAACTTCGGGGCTGGGAAGGTGAAGAGGGTGGCAGGGATGACAGTATATGGGCACCACTTGGGGCTGGCTGGTTCCCATTCTCATCGAATCTCTAGGTTTTCCAACAATCCTGGAGATAGTCACTGTGGTCATCCCTCAATCTAGCCGAGGAAATGGAAGTCCAGAAGCAGAGAGGGCAGAGCAACCGGGCACGGTGGCTCACCCCTGTAATCCCAGCAATTTGGGAAGTCGAGGTAGGATGATCTCTTGAGCCTAGGAGTTCCAGACCAGCCTGGACAATACAGTGAGACCCTGTCTCCAGAAAAAGAAAACAAAACAAAACAGAGAGGGCACAGGGCACTTGCCTAAGGTAACACAGCAAGCAGGATTTGAACCCAAGTTTGTGTGATTTCCCTATTCTTCCAACTTGTCTCCCCTCGGGCAGCTGATGTCACTAGAGACTTTGCCAGGCATTTAGCTATGCCCAAGTTCATTCAGAAGACTCCTGCAGCAGACACGGACTTGCCAAACACTGGGCTAGGTCTGGGGACACAGCATGAACGGGATGGACAGACCCAGTCTCAGGGAGCCCACTTTCCAGTGGGGAGACAGAGAAGAAACCAGCAAAGGAAGCAACCAGTGAGATCACATTAGATACGACCAGGACATGAAAGAAAACTTAACAGGGGGCTGAGCTGGGGGCGCTTTAGGGCTGCTGAGGGATCTCCGAAGAGATGAGGTTTGAGCTGAGACCTGAAGGAAGAGAAGGAGCCACCAGGAGAAGAGGAGAAAGGGCGTCCCAGGCAGCTGGACCTGTATAAGCAAAGGCCCTGGGGTGGAAGTGCGCCCAGTATGTCTGAGGAACAGCAAGAGATAGGGGCAGATTACTCAGGGCTCGGAGGGAAGGGGGAGGGAGAGAGGGAGTGTAAGGAGAAGGAGCGCTCACCCCGCAGAAGAAGATGGGCTGTTTTCTCATCTGAAAATGGTATTAAGCTGCTCCTAAGGCTGCAAAATGACACAGACCCCTAAAGAGAGTTGGAGCTGCCATTCCTGCCTGCTGTGGAGTCATCAGACTCCTTCCTTCTCTGGAGAGAACGTTCTCACCCATCTCCCTCCTCGATCTAAGAAGGGTCAGGCAGAGGAGACAGCTCAGAGCTGGAGGAGCTGGGATCTATGATCTTGGGTGAGGTTCCTCTGGGAACCTGTTTTTCTGTCTGTGAAATGGGCATGGCCCTGGCCCCCACCTCACAGGAGAGGGAGGTTGAGGGGTTTCAGAGCAGGAGCCTGGCACTCAGCAGGTGCTTGGTTCAAAAGAGCTCCCATCTCCCTCGTTGGAGGTGGAGTGGGGTAGGGCGTTGCTTAACCCAGTGCAAGCTCAAACCTGCTAGGCAGCTGGAACTCTGAGCTCAGGCCCTGTCCCACTCCAACAAGAAGGTTCTTAGCCCTAGGTCAGGCCCAAAGAGAGCCATCCTCTCTGCCTGCCTGCTGGGGTGAGTTGCCCCGTCTGAGATGAGTCCAGAAGCCACCTCCTCAGAAGCTTTAGTGCCCCTGAGATCTGAGGGGTGGAGGCTCCAGGGCCAGTCGTTACCCGAGGCAGAGCTTGACAGGGGCCCGAGAGAACCCAGATTCCCAGCCTCCAAACTGTTCCATCACACAGATAAGAAAACTGCAGCTCAGAGAGGGTGGGGAACTTGTCTAAGGTCACACAGCTGGAAGGGTAGGCAGTGTAGACCTGAACCCAGTCTGGCTGACTCTGGAACTTTTCCTACAGAGCCACAATCCTCCTCCACTCTTTCATTTCTTTGTCAAAACAACACAATGAGGTTGGTACTTAGAGTATGCCCATTGCATAGATGGGGAAACCAAAGCTTGGAGAGAAGTGACTTGTCTGAGGACCCAAAGGACTTTTGTAATTTATTCAACAAGTATTTATTAAGCATCTACTATATGCCAGGCCAAAATAGATGAGCAGGGACCAAAACAGATAAGCCCAGCGTTTATGGCCCTCACCGCCCCGTGGGAGTGACAGACATCGAACCATTCAGGAAGTGATATGCCCTGGGCTTTGCAGACAGGCCTGGGTTTGAACCCTGGTTGTCACTTGCTAGCTGTATGACCTTGGGCATATTACTTAACCTCTCTGTGCCTCAGTTTCCTCATGTATAAAATAGAAGATAATAATAACACCTACCTCATAGGGTTGTTCACGGTTCTTAGCCCAGGGTGAGTGTTCCCTAAAGCTATTATTTTCTGTCATCTCATTTTACAAATCTTTTTTTTGTTTGTTTTTGAGACAAGGTCCTCCTGGGTTCAAGCGATTCTCATATCTCAGCCTCCTGAGTAGCTGGGACTACAGGTGCCCACCACCACGCCTGGTTAATTTTTGTATTTTTAGTAGAGATGGGGTTTCACCATGCTTGCCAGGGTGGTCTCGAACTCCTGACCTCAAGTAATCCAACCGCCTCGGCTTCCTAAAGTGCTGGGATTACAGGCATAAGCCACCACGCCTGGCCTACAAATATTTTTTTAATTATTACTTTTTTAGAGGCAGAGTCTCACTCTCTCACCCAGGCTGGAGTGCAGTGGTGCCATCATAGCTTACTGCAGCCTTGAACTCAAGGGATCCTTCCCCATCAGCCTTCTGAGGAGCTGGCACTATGGGTGAGTGCCACCACACCCGGCTAAATGTTTTTGTTTGTTTTTTATTCTGGAGAGACAGGCTATGTTGCCTGGGCTTGGTCTCAAACTCCTGGCAGCAAGCAATCCTCCTGCCTTGGCCTCCCAAAGTGCTGGGAATATAGGCGTGAGCCACCATGCCTGGCCTATAGATCTTTATTGAGTGCCTGCTGTATACCAGACTCTGGTCTGGGAGCTGAGGACACAAGTGACTGAGATGACATAGTCACTGCCTTCATGCTTTCCAACCATCTAGTGTGAGCCCAGGTATCCTGACTTCAAGGCTAGCAGCCACAGAGCTACTTTCAGCCCCCTCCTCCAGGAAGGCTGCCATAATGACCCTGGCCTGCTGGGACCTGCCTCACTCTGAAATTTTTTTTTTTTTTTTTTCTGAGACGGAGTCTCGCTCTGTTGCCCAGGCTGGAGTACAATGGTGCGATCTCGGCTCACTGCAAGCTCTGCCTCTCAGGTTCACGCCATTCTCCTGCCTCAGCCTCCCGATTAGCTGGGACTACAGGCGCTTGCCAGCATGCCTGGCTAATTTTTTGTATTTTTAGTACAGACGGGGTTTCACCGTGTTAGCCAGGATGGTCTCGATCTCCTGGCCTCGTGATCCACCTGCCTCAGCCTCCCAAAGTGCTGGGATTACAGGCGTGAGCCACAATGCCCGGCCCACTCTGAAATTCTTAAGCCAATTCTGACACCCTACCCCTCTATCCACCCGGCTCCACCCATTAAGCCTAAGGAGGCCAGAGTTTCCCGTGGGTGCCCCAGATACTCAAGCACCCCCATTCCCAGGCCTGTGAATGTCTACTGCTCCCCAACCTCCACATCTTCCATGGGAGCTTCTGACAGGCCCTGAAAGGCCTAGAAAAGGTGGCTGAGCTGAGCCCCCACCCTCATTCTCCACCTGATGCTGCCTGCTGCTCTGGGGCTGCTTGCCCGGCCTCCTCCCGGGGCATCAGAGCGAGTGTTTATCTGCTGCCATGGGAAGCCCTGAGTCACTCATCTGGAGCTGGCACCCACCGCAGGATGGAAAGGAAAACAGGCACTGGCAGGGTGTTTTCTCCATTAAGTTCCCTGCGGATAGCAGGAGACGGGCAGAGTAGGGATGAGGAGAGAAATGACTTTTTCAGGCATGACGGTCCTTCCTCTGCTGTCCAGGTCTGGCTCTCCCCTGGAGAGTCTCAGCTCTCTACCATGTGTGTCCTCCCCAGGGTCTGGCCATGAGGAAATTGAACACAGAGAAGCCCAGGCCCTTCCCTAGGGCACACAGCAAGCACCCAGCCTCTGGCCTCAGTGAACAGGCAGAGACTACAAACGGGGGGTGCTCGGACCAACCAGACCCACAGAGGGACAGAGGAGACTTGTTTGACCCCCACAGAGTTAGAAACAACTGGAATTTCTTGCCCACAAAATCAGCCTGGGAGCAGGGGCTCACACCTATAATCCCAGCACTGTGGGAGGCTGAGGCAGGAGGATCGCTTGAGCGCAGGAGTTCAAAACCAGCCAGGGCAACATGGAGAGACTCTGGCTCTAAAAAAAAAAAAAAAAAAAAAAAAAATTTAATAGCCAGGTGTGGGCCGGACACAGTGGCTCACTTCTGTAATCCCAGCACTTTGGGAGGCTGAGGTGGGCAGATCACTTGAGGCCAGGAGTTGGAGATCAGCCTGGCCAACATGGTGAAACCCTGTCTCTACTAAAAATGCAAAAATTAGCTGGGCGTGGTGGCTTGCACCTACTCAGCTACTCAGGAGGCTGAGAGGGGAGGATCCTTTGAGCCCAGGAATTCCAGCCTGCAGTGGACTATGATCTCACTACTGTACTCCAGCCTGGTGACAGAGCAAGACTCAGTCACTTTAAAAAAAAAAATTCTATTACAATTCTGACTTCCCGTTTTCCCACAGCAGCGGGCCGGCTTTCCTACGTGGCAATGAATCACACCCATCACAGTCTCCACCAACCCCTATTGCTTCACCCTTAACTTATTTAAGTACCTGCCTAGCATCTGCAGGCATTGGAATCATCTGACCCTTGCTTAAAGCAAGGAAAAGAAGAAGAAATGGAATTTTAGGCAGAGGTTAGAGTAGGAAGAATCTAGGCTCCCGAAAGCTATCACTGGAGGTTCTGGAATTTGCAAGCCCTGGCTGGGAGGGAACATTCCCACTGACCATTCCAGCCTCTGCTGACCCCAGGGCCTTTCTGTGGCCACGGTCCTGGCTGTAAGTGCATGCACAGTCCTGGGTATCCTTCCAAGTGGATGTGTGGGCCCTGTGTGTGTATTTCTGGGCACAGAAGACTTTCAGGGTACTTGAATCTTGAATCTGCCATTTTCTGGCTGTGCGGTCCCAGGCAAGGACCTTACTCTTTCTGGGCCCAGTTTTGTTTGTTTGTTTGTTTTGAAACAGGATCTCCCTCTGTTGCCCAGACCGGAGTGCAGTGGCATGACCATAGCTCATTACAGCCTCAACCTCCCAGGCTCAAGTGATACTCCCACCTCAGCCTCCCGAATAGCTGAGACTACAGGCACACACCACCATGCCCGGCTAATTTTTTTAAAAAATTTTTTGTAGAAATGGGGTCTTGCTATGTTGCCCAGGCTAGTTTTGAACTCCTGGGCTCAAGTGACCCTCTCGCTTTGGCCTCCCAAAGTGCTGGGATTATAGGCATGAGCCACTGCCCCAGGCCTCTTGTCTGTAATATGAGCCTAGGCTGGCACCAGACAGGAGTAAGAGTAACTTTTACTATTTGATGTAAAGCCAAGCACTTGGCATGGGTTAACAGCTTCAGTCCTCGCTAAGAAATGAGGAGACCAAGGCACAGAAAGTAAAGCGCACAGTACAGGACCCGATCACAAAGGCCAAAAGGCAGCCAGGCCTGGCTCCCAGGGCCATGTGCTGGCTCCCCACACAGAGAATGTCAGCCGTGTGTGCTCTCAGCACTCTCCTGATACTGAGGATGAGAGGCACACATTACATTTGGGGACTTTCTTTTTTTGGGGGAGAGACAGAGTCTTGCTCCGTCACCAAGGCTGGAGTGCAATGGCGTCATCTCGGCTCACTGCAATCTCCACCTCTCGGGTTCAAGCAATTCTCCTGCCTCAGCCTCCGGAGTAGCTGGGATTACAGGCACCTGCCACCACACCTAGCTTAATTTTTGTATTTTTAGTAGAGATGAGTTTTCACCACATTGGCAAGGCTGGTCTCCAACTCCTGACCTCAGGTGATCCACCCGCCTTGGCCTCCCAAAGCACTGGGATTACAGGCATGAGCCACCATGCCAGGCCCATTTGGGGATTTTCTGTATGCATAGGGACCCTATATGCATGGTGTGCATGGTAGACCAGGCCCTGCACACACGTGAGTGCATGTGAGTCAGTGTGCATGTGTGTGCAAGTGTGTGCAGGAGAGGTTCTGGGGCCCACAAAGGACAATCATGTGTGTCTATCCATGTACACTCACATCCATTTGTGTACATAAGTGTCTGCTCCTGCACCTGTGTGTCTATTTGGATGTGTGTGTCTGTCCCTGCACGCAAATGTTTGTCCCTACATACAAGTGTCTGTGTTCACATGTGTCCACCCTTGAACACATACTTATCCTTCCATACATGTGTTCATCTGTGCATACGTCGGGCACTGTCTCCTCTCATACTCTGGCATGAGCTCAGTACATGTAGTCGCCCCCACCACGTGTGTGCAAAAACCCGGCTCCACCCATTAAGCCCAAGGAGGCCAGAGTTTCCCGTGGGTGCCCCAGATACTCAAGCACCCCCATTCCCAGGCCTGTGAATGTCTACTGCTCCCCAACCTCCACATCTTCCATGGGAGCTTCTGACAGGCCCTGAAATGCCTAGAAAAGGTGGCTGAACTGAGCTCCCACCCTCATTCTCCACCTGATGCTGCCTGCTGCTCTGGGGCTGCTTGCCCAGCCTCCTCCCGGGGCATCAGAGTGAGTGTGTATCTGCTGCCATGGGGAGGGGCTGCTGCTGGCCTGGGGTGGGTCTGCAGGAAGGCTCCTTCCCATGCCTTTGCACCCCCAGGAACCCCAAAACTTGTCACCATGCCACAATCACAGGAACATAGACTAATGCACACACACACCCCCACACATGCACAAAATACATGGCAGACAAACAACACTCCACACACACGTCCAGGCACCTGCCAAAAAAAGACGTGACACACACAGACCTGCTCCTATACAGTCACACCAAATTCCAGACACACAACACACACCCACAATACACTGCAGATACCCACAGGCACCTACAAATACAGAAGCACTAACTGCCTGAATCAGAGACACATAATGCAGGTGCATGGATGGGCGCACACAGACACACAGGGATGCACAACACCACACGCGGACCCACATGCATCTGTCCACATCACAGACACACACTCACACGCGTACCCCCTATCCAAGGCCATCCAGCTGGCCCCACACCCCAGGAGGACCGTGGAGAGCTCTGTCCCTCTTGCTCTCTCCCACCTGGCTTTAACCTCCTCCAAGCCATGTCCCCACACACCCCATCTTCCCTACTGCTCCCCTTGGCTGCCACACTGGCCTCCTGGCCAGTCCTGGAACACACTAGGCACATTCCAGCCTCAGGCCTTTGTACTTGCTGTTCTCTCTGCCTAGAATGCTTTTCTTGACCCCTTGATATCTGTGTGCCTCCCTCCCTCAGCTCCTTCCCGACTCTGCTCAAGACTGTCATCTTGGCTGGCTGCGGTGGCTCACATCTGTAATCCCAGCACTTTGGGAGGCCGAGGCGGGTGGATCACTTAAGGTCAGGAGTTCAAGACCAGCCTGGCCAACATGGTGAAACCCCATCTCTACTAAAAATACAAAAATTAACCGGGTGTGGTGGCACGCACCTGTAATCCCAGCTACTCCGGAGGCTGAAGCAGGAGAATCACTTGAACTCGGGAGGCAGAGGTTGCAGTGAGCCGAGATTGCAACACTGCACTGCAGCCTGGGTGACAGAGTGAGACTCCATCTCAAAAAAAAAAAAAAAAAAAAAGACTGTCATCTTGCCAGTGAGGCTGCGGCTGCTCCTGACCCTGCTCCCCGCACTGTGAACGCAGCCTGCGCCTCGCTCCTTCTGTGGCTCTCTGCTTTGATGCTGCTGCTGCTGTTCTCAGCTCTTACCACTACCTGATATTTATCAGTTGCTGGTCTCCCCATGAACGCCCTGGGGCAGAGGTCTCATTTCATCCAAAGTTGTAACTCCATGCAGTGAGCCGAGATCGCGCCACTGCACTCCAGCCTAGGCAACAGAGTGAGTGAGATTCCGTCACAAAATAAATAAATAAATAAATAAATAAACAAAGTTGTGACCCGAGCATCTGGAAGACTGCCTGGCACACAGGGGTGGTCAGTAAGTATCTGCTGAATGAATAAACACAATAGAATAGAAAGGATTGGTAGGTTCTAGAACAGACCAGAACACACAATAGAACAGAAACAATGCAATGGAATAGACAAGCTACACCACAACAGCCCAGTATAACCCATCAAAGCCAGGCTGATGCTCAGGGCTTCAACAGAATTGGGCAGAACAGCCACGAACCCCCTCCTAAAACTACGATCTGGACCTCAGCAGACACCATCAGGGTGGGTGGCCACGAACTGCATCTGGACAGGGGTCTTCCCACGCCCCTCTCCCCCGGCTATCCTGGGCTGAGAGCTTTTCCGCCTGCTCTGTCCCTGTTCCTGCCCAGCCGAACAGGTCAGGGGTGGTTTCTGGTCTGGACACCGGGGCTCTGGCTCCTGTCTGGGGTGATTCCTGCTGAGTCACTGGCCACAGTTCTGGCCAGGCTCCCACGGGCCTGATTATGTTGGAGGTTGGGGGACCATGGCCAAGGGATGAGGCACTCAGCCTACGGGTGCGTGGGGTGAGGGTGGTGCTGGGCTGGCCACAGGCTGCTTCTCTCCGTCACTGGTGGCTTTTACTTCACCTTTCCCATGGCCAGATGATGACAGAGAACACTCTCTCCACCAGGCCTGACCAAAGGTCTGGCTAGGCTGATGGTTACGAAAGAGAGGGAGAAAGAGAAGAGACTTAGGGGACCCCTCCCCCGCAAGCAATCCTCCACGGGGAAGGCTGGCCGTGGGAAGCTGTCCCTACCCAGTGCAGACTCGAGTCTGGCTTGAGAGCCCTGGCCCACCTCTGGACAGGGTCCTGATCCAAGGCTGGCGCTTCATCTCAGGGCAGGGGCAAGGTGGGGGGACCCTGCCTGTCTGCCTGGAAGGTCAGTTCTCGCCCTAACCCCACCTGGAACTTGACCATGTCTCTGCAGCCCCTCTGCTCAGGACCCTCCAGGGGCTCAAGGCAAAAGCCACATCCTCCTCATTGCCTGCCCCACCTGCCCGCCCCGTCCCCTTGCTGGCCTCACCTCCTGGCCTCGCCCACTCTGCTCCCACCCGACTGGCCTCCTGCCTGCTCCTTGACTCTGCCCACCACACCCCTGCCTCAGGGCCTTCACACTGGCTGTTCCCTCTGCCTGGAACTCTCTCTCCGCAGACACCCACATGGCTTCCTTCGATTCGTCCTGCAGATCTCCCTGGCATCACTTTCTGAGACACCGTACTCAACCCCCTCCAACAGGGAAAGCCCCCGCGCTATGTCCTGACTCCCCCAGCTGCGCCTGGCTCCCCCACCTGTGCCTGGCTCCTCCAGAGACACCTGTTCCAGCCCAGTGTGCGGTGTGCTCATTGTGCCATCTCCTTGGGTGGAGTGATGGCTCCATGAGGGCAGGCAGGTTGTCTACTCTGTTCACTGTTTAAAGCAGGGCCCTGCCCGAAGGAGGTGCGCAATACCTTCCGGGCAAATAAATGAATGAATGGATGAACTAAAGGAATTGGGAGGGGGAGTAGGAAGAGCACACTTAAAGCTCAGGCAGGTGCCGGGCGTGGTGGCTCACGCCTGTAATCCCAGCATTTTGGGAGGCTGAGGCGGGCGGATCACGAGGTCAGGAGATGGAGACCATCCTGGCTAACACAGTGAAACCCCGTCTCTACTAAAAAAATACAAAAAATTAGCCGGGCATGGTGGCGGGTGCCTATAGTCCCAGCTACTTGGGAGGCTGAGACAGGAGAATGGTGTGAACCCGGGTGGTGAACCTGGGAGGCGGAGCTTGTAGTGAGCCGAGATTGCACCACTGCACTCTGGCCTGGGCGACAAAGCGAGACTCTGTCTCAAGAAAAAGAAAGCTCAGGCAGGCCCCAGTGTGGTGGCTCAGGCTTGCAATCGCAGCACTTTGGGAGGCCAAGGCTGGTGGATCACTTGAGCTCAGGAGTTCGAGACCAGCCTGGGCAACACAGCAAAACCCCATCTCTACAGAAAAATACAAAAATTAGCAGGGCATGATGGTGCACGCCTGCGGTCCCAGCTACTCGAGGGGCTGACGTGGGAGGATCACCAGAGCCCGGGGAGGTTGGGGCTGCAGTGAGCCATGATGGCACCACTGCACTCCAGCCTGGACAGCTTCACTGAAGAGGTGACATTTAAGCTGAAGCCTGAGATTTGAGAAAGAACCTTGAAGTGTTCCAGGCAGAAAACACAGCCAGTGCAAAGGCCCTGAGGCTGGAACCTGGTCAACACACTCAAGAAAGAGAAGGAAAGCTGTGAAGCTGAGTGCAGTGTGTGTGTGTGTGTGTGTGTGTGTGTGTGTGTGTGTGTGTGTGTATGTGTTGGTGGCGAGGGAGGGAGGAGTTTGCAGCCTATAATGCAGGGAAGTGCAAGGACCCCACTCTGACACCCCAGAATCTCCTTGCCCCCCTGGCAGGTGGCTTTCTGTCTGTCCCACCCAACAATGGTTACAACTGGTGTCTCACTCTCCACTCCCTCCCTCCCCCAGATTATCCCCTTCCCCTCCCTCCGCCCCGCTCCCCCTTTTCCCGCCTGGCCTGGCAGAGCCGGGAAACAGTGACTCAGGAGTCTGGCCGACTCAGGCCTCCCTCCCCTTCGTGTCAGGCTGCTGGGCTGGAGCCAGCTTTGGCCTGACATCCAGCCTCAGGCCTGACATCCAGCTGGGCTCCGGCCAGGGGTGCCCTCTCCTCAGCATGGCAGACACTCCACGTGGCTTCTTACTGGAGGCAGGAATAAGAGTAACAGCCCAGGTCATGTAAATATAACCTTCCCCACCACGTGTCGTGGCTATCCCCATTTTCCAGGGGAGGAAACTGAGGCTGGGTGAGGCTGTGACACTTGTTACACACCCTGGGGATGTGGTGCCGACAGTGGCGGTGCCCAGTTGGCAAGTGCAGGGCAGGGGGCTGGTTGGGGCTGAGGCTTCACCAGTGTAGACAGGCTGCAGACTTCCCCAGGTACCTCCCAGGCAGGAGGGACCCAGGGCTGCAGGCCTGGCCTTGGATCCTAACACTCCCGCAACGCCAGAGCTGGGGTCTCCCTTTCTCACTAACCCCACCCCACATACACTCACCAAGAAAGAAACAGGCCAAGAGTCAGGGAAGGAAAATACCCAGCAAAGGAGACAGGGGACACTTCCTGGGGGGTCCTGGGCCCTCTCCCCATTTCCTCCATCAGTGACTCCCACCATCAGCCAGTGACCTCAGTTGAACAAGTTACTTCATTGTGCAGAACACTAAACCACATTTTTCCAGACTTCCCTGAGAAAGACACACGTGGTTCAGAGTTTGGGCTCCAGTCAGATCCTGACTGTCTGGGTTCAAGCCCCATCTCAGCCGCTTCTTAGCTGTTCAACTCTGGGCAACCGTCTCCACCTCTCTGGGCCTCAGTTTCCCATCTGAACAACGGAACTTCTAACAGTACAGCCTCCCAGGGTTGTTTTGTGCCTTGGCACACAGCAAGTGCTCAAAGAATGTCCCCATTGTTCTCCACAAGCCCTGATCTGTGCAAAACCTCAGCAGAGAGGCTCAGGGACCCCCCACCCTGTGTCCATGTTGAAAACTCGCCTGTGGAATTCTCGGTCACCCCATTCCTTCTGACAGAGTTACAAATTCAGATTAGATTTTTATTCTCTGACATCCACTTAACAGGCCACAGTTATTATTGTTTCTGGCCTAAAATACAATGTGTTTCTGGTGAATTAATGGGTCCAGGCTACTCTCACTCCTGAGGAGATAAGGTCCCAGCATTTCTGGAAAACTATGTGCTGTTTTCTGATCTGGAACATTCAGTTGTAGCATGGACATGGGACTTTTGAAGTAGACACTACTTCTACTTCTGGGCCACCCAACATTTCCAACCCTGGGGAGAAGATTCTGGGGGTCCCTGACTCCCTTTTGCCCCAGAGCTGCACCCGAAACAAGAGCATGGGATTCTGGGGCTGGGGGGACCCTTGTGTAGAAAAGGATAATAACAACATTGATAACCATAGCAGCAGGCCAGCCTTATTAAATTTTTTTTTTTTTTTTTTTTTTTTGAGGTAGAGTCTTGCTCTGCCTCTCCGGCTGGAGTGCAGCGGCTATGATCTTGGCTCACTGCAACCTCCGCCTCCAGGTTCAAGTGATTCTCCTGTCTCAGCCTCCCAAGTAGCTGGGATTACAGGTACCTGCCACCATGCCCAGCTAATTTTTGTA
Organism: Homo sapiens; assembly: GCF_000001405.40. Taxonomy (NCBI): domain Eukaryota; kingdom Metazoa; phylum Chordata; class Mammalia; order Primates; family Hominidae; genus Homo; species Homo sapiens. Next base: position 50,026,400 of record NC_000020.11, on the reverse strand, counting down.
TTTTTAGTAGAGACAGAGTTTCATCATGTTGGCCAGGCTCGCCTTGAACTCCTGACCTCAAGTGATCCATCCGCCTCGGCCTCCCAAAGTGCTGGGATTACAGGCATGAGCCACCACGCCTGGCCTTATTTCATTCTTATCCTCACCATTTGAGGGAGTTTTTCTCCTTAGCACCATTCACTGGGGAAACTGAGGCACAGAGAGGTGAACCAGCTTGCCCAACCTCACTCAGCCAGGACGGAGCAGGAGGGGGTGGGAATCCATGCAAGTTTGATAGAGAAACACTGACTTTTACCTCTTTCCTCACCTTTTCCACAGATGGCAACTCAAGAGGCTAAGTGTGGACCGAAGTCACCCTTGTTACTGCTCTCATAATCTCTCTTTTTTCTCACACTCTTCCTTCTCAGCTTTAGGTTCAAGTTGGTTTGGAATCCAACAGGCCTGACATCATCATTTCTCACCAGTGTAACCTTGGCTCATGAATTCTGCTTTCTGAGCCTCAGTTTCCTCATCTGCAGAATGGGGGCAGCACAGAGCCTCCCTCATTGCCTTGTTGTGAGCGTTCCCCAGGATCATGAGTGCTTTAAAAGGTGCTTAGGTCAGCTGAGCACAATGGTTCACACCTGCAATCCCAACACTTTGAAGGCTGAGACGGAAGGAAGATCGCTTGAGCCCAGGCGTTCAAGACCAGCCTGAGCAACATAGTGAGATCCCATCTCTATTTATATATTTGAAGTGCTTAGGTGGTAGTTCCTCAATAAATTAAACAGAATTACCATATGATCCAGTAATTCCACTCCTGGGTATATCTCCAAAGAACTGAAGATAGATATTCAAACAAAAACTTATACACAGGCCGGGCACAGTGGGTCACGCCTGTAATCCTGGCACTTTGGGAGGCCGAGGCAGGTGGATCAACTTGAGGTCAGGAGTTTGAGACCAGCCTGGCCAACATCGTGAAGCCCCGTCTCTATTAAAAATACAAAAATTATTTTTTGTATTAAAATTAGCCAGGCATGGTGGCGCACACCTGTAGTACCAGCTACTCAGGAGGGTGAGGCACAAGAATCGCTTGAACTTGGGAGGCAGAGGTTGCAGTGAGCCAAGATCCCGCCACCCCACTCCAGCCTGGGCAACAGAGCGAGACTCCGTCTCAAAATAAACCAACAAAAAACTCGTACACAGATGTTCATTGCAGCACTATTCATGATAGCCAGAAAGTGGAGGCAACCGAAACTGAAATGGCCATCAACTGATGCAGAAATAAAATGTGTACCTACATGCTACATACCATATATGCACTACAGCATGGGTGAACATGTGAAAGGCCACATAGTACATGATTCCATTAATATGGAAAGGCAAATTCACACAGATGGAAACTAAGTGAGTGGTTTCTAGGGGCTGGGGTGTTGGAGGGATGGGAAGTGATGGCTCGTGAGTCCAGGGTTTCCTTTCGGGGTGGTGGAAATGTTCTGGATCTAGGCAGTGGTTGCACAATACTGCACATGTACTAAATACCAGTGAATCGCACATGTTGAAAGGTTGCGTAGCAGTGCGTGCCATGCAGCAAGCATCCAGTGAAAGCCATGATTGTCACTGTGATTTTGGGGGAATCTTTTGGGGCTCAAGGCTTGGGTTCCAGAGTTGGCTTCTGAGGCTTAAGTTGAGTCAAAACTGCAATCCATAAAACACGGCACTGATTTTCCCTGCCATCCATCAACAGCACCCATGCTGGGATCCTTGTGGCCACATTTTCTGCACCACGGGGGAGTCAATAGGCATCTCATGATAACTCTACCCAGCTGGCCTTGTAACTGTGGAGGAAGAAAGACAAGATATCCCCACACACCCAATAAACAGATACTATGATGCCATCTACAGATAAGGGTAAGGGGTAAAGAAGGGCCTGGTTTAGCCAGGGTCATCAGGGAAGGCTCCTCAGAGGAGGTGACACAGAGTCTGAACAAAGCAAAGGAGGAGCCAAGTGGATCTCTAACTGCGACCTTCGAAGCTCCAGGTGATGCACCCCCACCCCCCTCTCCCACCTCAGCCCCACCAGGCTCCCTTTCTACGCATCCCCTGGACAGGCTCCTTCTCTTTTTTTTTTTTGAGATGGAGTCTCGCTCTGTCGCCAGGTTGGAGTGCAGTGGCACAGTCTCAGCTCATTGCAACTTCTGCCTCCTGGGTTCATGCGATTCTCCTGCCTCAGCCTCCTGAGTAACTGGGATTACAGGCGCCTGCCACCACGCCCAGCTAATTTTTGTATTTTTAGTAGAGACGGGGTTTCACTGTGTTGGCCAGGCTGGTCTTGAAATCCTGACCTCATAATCTGCCCACCCCAGCCTCCCAAAGTGCTGGGGTTACAAGCATGAGCCACCACGCCCAGCCAGGCTCCTTCTTACCATCTGGGTCTCTGCTCAAATATCACCTCCTCAGGGATGCCCTCCCAGACTGCCCGGTCTCAGTCACACTCCATCACCTTCCCCTGCCTTGTTTCCATCTTAGCACTTTTCCCACCCACAATTATCTTCCTTATGTCTCTATGATCTGTCTCCCCCATCAGACCATAGACCTCGCTCTATGAGAGCGAGGCTTTCAGTCTGTCTCATTTTCTGGCATATCCCTGTGCCTCATGCCTAGAACCCAACACGTAACAGGTGCTCAAGAAATATCTATAGAAGTAAAGCACAAATACATGAGTGAATAAATGTGTGAATAAGTGAATGAATGAATGCTTCTTTGTAGACAGGTGGAGGCTCAGGCCCTGAGGGGGGCCAAGACTTCCCCCAACGACACACAGGTGGGGAGAGGGGTGACTCCAGGGGCCCTCTCTCTGCCCAGGCCCCACCTGGAGTGTCAGCAAGGCCGATTATTGACCAGGGGCTGTGGGGCAGGCAGGAAGCTATGTGGCCAAAGTAGGTTTGGGGACCACTGCCCCACCTATCTCCTTCCCTCTGATGCCCCCTCCGCCGCACAGCTTAGGATTTCTGCCCACTCCACTCCCTAGCCTGCATCCTGGCTACACCAGCCTCCAGTTGTGGGTGACCCATAGGGACTTTCCCCAACAGGTGAGGGCTGGGGCAGGGGAAAGTGTCAGGTGGCTGCCAAGACGGGCTCTCTGTTCCCGAAACTGCCATCCAGGAAGTGAGCAGGGGTGACAGAGTGCCCATGACACTGGGACTCTACCGAAGCCCCCAGCTCAGCCAGAATGCCCGTCCACATGAGCCTGAGCAGAAGGACACACTTCTCTGAGCCTCCATTTCCTCACGGGCAATAATTCTCGCCTCTCAGGGCTATGTGAGCAAGAAATGGGGTTGCACGGGCAAAACACCTCCCACGGGCTTGCCCAAGTGTTGCATAGGACACACTTGCACTAAGAGATAGAGTATGGGACATAGTTCTACCAAAAAAGTGTTTGTTGTTTATCTGAAATTCAAATTTAACTAGGCATTCTGGGGTTTGTTGTTGTTGATCTTGTTGGGTTTTGTTTTGTTTTGACACTGGATCTTGCTCTGTTACCCAGGCTGGAATACAATGGCGCAATCATGGCTCACTGCAGCCTCCATCTTCTAGGCTCAAGCGATCCTCCAATCTCAGCCTCCCGAGTAGCTGGAACTACAGCTACAAATCACCACGCCTGGTAAATTTTTGTATTTTTTTTTTTTTTTTGTAGAGATGGAGTTCCGCCATATTCCCCAGGCTGATAGGCTGGTCTTGAACTCCTGGGCTTAAGTGATCTGCCCCCCTCAGCCTCTCAAAATGCTGACATTATAGGCGTGAGCCACTATGCTTCGCCAGATCTTCTTGTTTTTGTTTTTGCTAAATCTTTTGTTGTTGTTGTTGTTGTTGTTTTGAGATGGACTCTCGCTCTGTCGCCCAGGCTGGAGTGCAGTGGCGCCATCTCAGCTCACTGCAACCTCCACCTCCCAGGCTCGAGCAATTCTCTTGCCTCAGTCTCCCGAGTAGCTGGGATTACAGGCACATGCCACCATGCCCAGCTAATTTTTGTATTTCTTTTTTTTTTTTTTTTTTTTTTTTTTTGAGACGGAGTCTTGCTCTGTCGCCCAGGCTGGAGTGCAGTGGCGCGATCTTGGCTCACTGCAAGCTCCGCCTCCCGGGTTCACGCCATTCTCCTGCCTCAGCCTCCTGAGTAGCTGGGACTACAGGCGCCCGCCACCACGCCCGGCTAATTTTTTGTATTTTTAGTAGAGGCGGGGTTTCACTGTGTTAGCCAGGATGGTCTCGATCTCCTGACCTCATGATCTAATTTTTGTATTTCTAATAGAGACGGGGTTCCGCCATGTTGGCGAGACTGATCTCGAATTCCTGACCTCAGGTGATCCACCTGCCTCAGCTTCCAAAGTGCCGGGATTACAGACATGAGCCATGGCACCTGGCTAATTTTTGTATTTTTAGTAGAGACGGGGTTTCACCATGTTGGCCAGGCTGGTCTCAAACTCCTGACCTCAAATGATCCGCCCGCCTCGGCCTCCCAAACTGTTGGGATTACAGGTGTGAGCCACTGTGCCCAGCCTGTTTTTGCTAAATCTGACTATCCTAGTCTGGCAGGAAATAAATGTTCGATAATGTTCTCTAAATGAATGAATGAATGAATGAAGCTAAAGTGTACTGGCTGAAGGAATACAAAAATGAATGAGTGATTGAAGAAATGGCAGTATCTCCTTCCTTCCCTATTGTAAACTCTAATATGGTCTACTAGGTCCAAAATACTGGACACTGATACCATATAATTGAGATATGTAAGGTTTTTTACTTTAAGTAAAATTTGATAGTTTTATTTTTAATAAATAGAATTTTAGGGAAACTTAACAATTTTTTTTAATGAAGGAAAACTGGTTTCTCACCCAAACCACACAAGTCAAAGAATTCTTCACTATAAAATGAACTTTGTTTCATAAAATATGTATGAAAGCAAGTTACTAATATTCTAAACCATTTAAAAACTGCATACAAAGTTAACACATCAATATTTTCTACAAAACAAAAGAGCATTTAATTCCAAATGGCCTAACCACATCCTAGTTATAGAACTTCAGGGTCCACTCCAGGGACATAAGTCCAAGTATTGTTGGAATTCAGAGATCCTGTAGACTTATGGATCTATCAGTGACAAGTGAGAAGCTTATCCCATCCCAAATAGAGAGTATAAGTTCAAAATCATGATACATTAAACAAAACATTTTAGTGAATATATTAAAGAATTAAACTCACATATGGCAAAGAACAGAAGTGTGACAGATGAGAAAACTCAAAAATACTCTAACATATGTTTTGGTCCTCTGGCACTTTAATCAATTGAATCAATGTAAATTTTAAGATTGCCAATATTTCTTTGTGAATCTGACACCAAAAAGGCAGCTGGAGAAACAGCATCAAGCGACAATATGGAGAACATAAAAATGGACTCTCATAGGCCAGGCGCGGTGGCTCACACCTGTAATCTCGGCACTTTGGAAGGCCGAGGCAGGCGGATCACCTGAGTTCAGGAGTTTGAGACCAGCCTGGCCAACATGGTGAAAGCCCATCTCTACTAAAAATACAAAAATTAGCGGGTGTGGTGGTGCATGCCTGTAGTCCTGGCTGCTTGGGAGGCTGAGGCAGGAGAATTGCTTGAACCCAGGAGGCGGAAGTTGCAGTGAGCCAAGATTGCGCCACTGTGCTCCAGCCTGGGTGACAGAGTGAGACTCTGTCTCACAAAAACAACAACAAGAAAAACAAAAACAAATGAATGAGTGATTGAAAGCCCTTTTTTATAGGCATTATTACTACGGTTATTACTCTTTTCTCACTTATGGTTCAAAAGTTCCTGCTTTTGAGAACCATCTTTCTCCTTTCTTTGGCTCATGACAGCAGGCTGGAGGAAGCCGAGGCTTGCAGAGGGAAATGACTCACCCAAGGCCCTCCAGGCCTGTCTGCATCTGAGGTCGAGGCCTTTTCACACTTCCAGGCAGCTTCTGCCCTCCACACAATCATAACACCTGTCCCAGCCTCACATACAGGACCCCTTCAAATCTCACACAGCCCCATGGAGCTGGGGCAACTGCCAACCAAGAGACTGAGGCTCAGAGAAGTGATGGGACCCCTCTGAGCTCATGGTGGCATCTCCGGGATGCTGCTGTCATCCAGGGGCCCTAGAGCTGTGGCTGGCAGAACTCCAGGCTTGGCTATCAACTGGTGACTCCTGCAGCCCCATGCCTACCTGCCCTGGCCGCCGCTGGACCAAGACCCAGTGAGCAATTACTCAGCCCAGGCTGAACTGCGTGGAGGAAAATCCTCCTTTGCAGCTTTGCTCCCTCGGGCTCCACAGCCGGGAACTACCTCCCCCAAGGCCAGTTCATCTCCTGGCAGCGCTGGCAGATGTAGAAACCCAGGCCTGTCTGTGAGCTGGCAGCAGGTAGGAGGCTGGCAGAGCTTGTGCCAGGCACTCTGCCAATGTAGCCAGCGCTGTTTCATTCAGTCACTCAACAAACATTTATGGAGGGTCTGCTGGGCCAAACACTGGGTCCATTCCTTGTTGGCTGTTGGAAGAAGTAGATCAGATCATGAGTGTTTAAAAAGAGCCTAGCGCACAGCAAGCGCTCATGTAGCTATCCTTCTTCCCTGAGCAACTACTGTGTGCCTGGCACCATGTGTGGCCCTGTTTGGCCTGAGAGGGAGATAGGATCAGACAAGGAAATCAGAGTAAAGAAGAGCCTGGGAAACTGATCAAACCTGTTACGGCTCATGGAGCATATACTCCTGTGCTGGGCACAGCCCTGGCACTGTCTCACTTAAGTCATGACAGCCCTGAGCAGTGGGATTGCTACTATCCCTGCTACACAGAGTGGAAAGAGAAGGCCAGGACTCTGCTACAGGATTAGCACTGCTCTAAGATCTCCCGGCCAGGCACGGTGGCTCACGCCTGTAATCCCAGCACTCTGGGAGGTCGAGGTGGGTGGATGGCTTGAGGTCAGGAGCTCGAGACCAGCCTAGACAACATATTTAGGAGAGAAAGAGCAATTGCAGAACACCTACTAATTGAGTCAACTCCCTTCAATGAGCAATCTATTCATCCATCCATCCATTCATTCATTCAACAAATCTTTATTAAGACCCAGCACAAGGCAGGCACTGGAGATGCAGCAGTGAATAAAATAAGCAAAACTAAAGCTTCCTACAGTACCAGTAAGAGCACAGAGTCTGGAGCCAGATGCCTGGGTTCAAGTCCCAGCTCTGCCACCCACCAGCTGTGTGGTCTCGGGCAAGAAGCTTGACCACTCTGAAACTCAGTTTCTTTTATTTTCTGAGATGAAGTTTTGCTCTTGTTGCCCAGGGTGGAGTGCAGTGGCACAACCTTGGCTCACTGCAACCTCCGCCTCCCAGGTTCAAGCAATTCTCCTGCCTCAGCCTCCCGAGTTCAAATAATTCTCCTGCCTCAGCCTCTCGAGTAGCTGGGATTACAGAGATCTGCCACCACGCCAGGCTAATTTTTTGTATTTTTAGTAGAGATGGGATTTTACTATATTGGCCAGGCTGGTCTTGAACTCCTGACCTCAGGTGATCCACCCGCCTTGACCTCCCAAAGTGCTGGGATTACAGACATGAACCATCATGGCTGGCCCCTAAGCACAACCTTTAACCTTGGTCTTCCAGGCCCTACAAGACCCTAGACACCCAGTGTCCCAAGAACCACCTGCATCTGAATGTCCACTGGGTGTTCATCTCCTCTGCCTTTGCCCCAAACGCACAAATATGCATCTGCTGGTGTGGGGCCCCAGGATCTGCATTTTATTTATTTTTTTTGAGACGGAGTTTCGCTCTTGTTGCCCAGGCTGGAGTGCAATGGCACAATCTTGGCTCACTGCAACCTTTGCCTCCTGGATTCAAGCAATTCTCCTGCCTCAGCCTCCCAAGTAGCTGGGATCACAGGAATGTGCCACCACACCCGGCTAATTTTTTGTATTTCTCATAGAGATGGGGTTTCACCATGTTGGCCAGGCTAGTCTCAAACTCCTGACCTCAGGTGATCCATCCGCCTCAGCCTCCCAAAGTTCTGGGGTTACAGACATGTGCCACTGCGCCCTGCCAGGGATCTGCATTTTAATAGGTGTCACTGGTGATGGCTGTACTGGGGCCCAACATGGCCAACTAGGCTTGGAACTGGGCAGAGATGCAAGTCATCCAGGCAGAGGTGAGAGCAGGACCAGGATGTGAGATGGGCTGGAGTAAGCTCTGGTTTATTTCAGACAGGAAGGAGAGTGAGGAAGGGGTTAGGAGGAAGGATAGAGGGAAGGAGTAGGAATGGAGGGAGGGAGGGAGGGAAGGAAGGAGGGAGAAGGGAAGGAAGAGAGAGGAAGGAAGGGATGGATGGAGGAAGAGAGGAAGGAAAGGAGGAGGTAGGGAGGGGGAGAAAGAAAGAAAGAGGAGAAAGAGAGAAAGAGGAAGAACGAAAGAAGGAAAGAATTTTCATTTGTCCCAAGCTTGCCCAAATTGAGTTTGCAGCCAGACCACAGGGCTTTCATTTTCTCCCGATTTTTCTGCCAGAGGCAGAAAACATTCTCCCTTGGGAAGCTCAGAAATAGCTGAGCTCAAAAACTAGGCTGGGTGAGGATTTCAGGCTACAGGGAGGGATTTATACCAAAGGCCTCTGTAGAGTCTGGAGGTTAAGGACACAGCCACTGGCGCCAGTCGGCCTGGGTTCAAATCCCAGTTCTGCCCCCTTCCTGGCTCTGTGACCTTGGATTTGGCCTCAGTTTCTCTCCCACAAAGCAGGAATCAACAACAGTCCCAGGCATGATTGCATCTGGGCATTCACATTTCATCCGTGGGACTTGCCTCCTCTCCATCTTTGCAGCCTCCACTCAGCCAAGCCTCTCCTCAACAAGGCAGGATGAACCCCCAAGTCCAGGATTCCACCCAGCCCATTTAGCAACCCCAATAGAAACGAAGTGCCTCTTTCCCCATGGGTCCAGCAAAAATCCCAGGCCTGTCTCTCATTGGCTGAGAGGATGCAGTTGTCCTGATTGGTCAGTACTGAGTGCATGCCCCACCCAAAACCCTTGGACTGAGGCACAGAGAAAGGAGAGTCCATGCTGGGTGGGAACTTAAAACAGATGTCCCTACAAGGGCCCACAAGGGACAAGAATAGGAGAGAAGCCACTGGCTGGGCACGGTGGCTCAGGCCTGTAATCTCAGGACTTTCGGAGGTGGCGGTGGGTGGATCGCTTGAGGTCAGGAGTTCCAGACCAGCCTGGACAACATGGCGAAACCCCGTCTCTACTAAAAATACAAAAATTAGCCAAGCATGGTGGCGGGTGCCTGTAGTCCCAGCTACTTGGGAGGCTGAGGCAGGAGAATTGCTTGAACCAGGGAGGTGGAGGTTGCAGTGAGCTGAGATTTTGCCACTATACTCCACCTTGAGCGACAGAGCGAGACTCTGTCTCCAAAAAATAAAATAAAATAAAAATACAAAAATTAGCTGGGCGTGGTGGCCCATGCCTGTAATCTCAGCTACTCAGGAGACTGAGGCAGGAGGATCCCTTGAACCTGGGAGGTGGGGGTTGCAGTAAGCTATGATCACACCATTGCACTCCAGCCTGGGTGACAGTGTGAGACCCTGTCTCAATTAAAAAAAAAAAAAAAAAGAGAGAGAGAGAGAAAGAGAGAGAGAGAGACAGAGAAGCCAACACAGCACTGGTTGAGCACCTAGCATGTGCCAAGTGCTTTCACATGATCCTGTTAAGCCTCCCGACAAACCTGCCTGATGATGTTGCTTTGGGAAACAGGAAAGGGAGCCTTGGAGGAGGTGAACAGACCAGGCCAAAGCCACCCAGAGCAAGCTCTGCTTCTAAGCCCTTCCCTCCACTCCGGCCCTGCCTGATCTCGACCTCCACGAGGGGGGAACTAATAGGGGCCGTTCATCAGACACTCGCTGCAAGAACAGTCGCTGCCGTTTCCCCATGGCTGAGTCCCTGCTACCCTGTCCCCGGATACCCCTGAGGCTCTGAGTGCTCCAGGCCCTTGCCCTGGGTCACACAGCAGGGAGAGGGGAGCCAGGGTCTGCACCCAGAGCTGCCTAAATCTAATTAGGGCCTGAAAGTCAGGGCTGGCTCCCACCGTCGGGGCCAGGGTTACAGTGGGAGGAGCCTGCCGCCTTTCCAGCGACCTCCTGGACCTTGTCTCAGCTGGAAGAGGGCCCCAGCCTCTGCTCTCATCTGGATGTGACAAGAAACAGCCCAGCAGCTCACCCTAGACAGGGCAGGGGCGGAGCTGGAGAGGGTGGGAAGGGAGGCGCCAGCCATGCTCCCTGAGGAGTGGTGAGGAGAGCAGGCGCCGGGGATGGAAGGCCTGGGTTTGAACCCATCTCTGCCCCTTAAACCCTGTGTGAACTGGCGAGTACCTGACCTCTCTGGTCTCCTCTGCAAAGTACGTCCAGGCAACCTCCTGGGGGTGTGGGAAGCCCCCAGGAGCTGGTGCTTGTAGCTAACATTTACGAAGCCCCAAGCCTGGCCAAAACCTGGGATTGGCCTAGGATGAGCAAGCACTTCCTTCATCACCGCCTGCGGGGAGGGAGGTGCTCTTATTATTACCTCCACTTTACAGAGAAGAAACTGAGACACAGAGGAGGTGACTTGCCAGATGATAGTTACACAGTCAGGAAGTGTCAGAGCACGGACTGGAACCCAGGCAGACCTGGCTCCAGAGCCCACCTCTTCGCCACTCCCCAGCGCCGGAATGCAGTCAAGTTCCAGGTTAGCAGCTCCTTACCCTGTTGCTGTTGACATCTACCAGGGTTTCTGGAGTTAGGGTCCTACCCTGGTCTGGAAACGGAGGCGGGGGGAGGGGGGGAGGGGACGAGGGGGCGCGGTGGGGGGTGGGGGGAACGTCCCTATATTCCATCCCCAACAGCCACCCTGCCAAGGAAATGGGCCCGGAGGGGGTATGTGCGGCGCCCAAGGGTGCACAGCCGTGGGGTCAGGTGTGGCTTATCAGGGCAGCATCTTCCCCGCCGGCATCTCCTGGATCCCCCTCATTTATACTCTCTCTCTCTACCCCCCGCTGTGGGGCGGGGGCTGCCTCCATGCCGGCTCCACGCTGACTCCACGCTGGCTACAGGACATTTGTTACTGTGTCAGTTCTAGCTCCCACCCCGATGGGGGGGCCGGCAGGCAGGGGGCTTCCTGGCGGCCCTGGGAGGGAGGAATGCGCCCCCACCCCCAGCCCCATATGGCCTCCTTCCTGGCCCATCTGCTTCCCATTGCCCTACGCGGCTGCTGCGGGGCCGCTGGAGCCCGCCCGCAGGGGTGTGAAGTTTATGTGGCTGGGCCTGGAGCCGGCGGTGACAGGGCCACACACGTTCACACAGACACACACTGGACACCGCCCACCAACCCTGCTGCATGTGTGCTCACACACACACATCAGTCCACCCCCCACGTCCCCAAATACACCCACAGTCTCACATTCACTCCCATCAACTAACACCAGAGACTTTCAACTCACACACACACACCAGTGAACGCCATACCAAACCCTGACACACACGTACACAACGCACTCTCAGAACGGACCCCTGCTCACACACACAGCCACACACAACACGCTGACTCACACTGCCTGACACCCTTCCTAGATGTGCCCCTACACTCACACCTGCACACACACACACACATCCACCCCAACACACAAAGACACACCAGCTTACCCAGATGACACAAACACAAAACGGTGACTTCCACACAGGCCCAGACCTCGGAGAGGCCATTGGATGGGGAAGGGGCCCCCTCCAAGGCACAGGACGGCCTCTCCCCCAACCCCTCTATCAAGAGCCCAGACCCCTGTGCCAACACAGGCCACACGCTGTCCCACCTCCTCCTTATTCAACCCTAGAGGCCGAGGAGGCCATTCCTCAGAGGAGGCCTGGAGACCAGCAGCCACTGGCCGAGGTCTCCAGGGAGTGTGGGCAGAGACCGATTCCAACCCAGGCCACCTACACTGGGCACTCAGCACTCCAGCTCAAACCCCTGAGGGAGCCCCCATCTGACTCCCCTCCTTCTGGGCACCTGCACCATCCCCAGTGAGATCCTATCACTCACCACCACCTCCAGGGCCCTCGAAGAGAATTCAGGGATCTGTGAACTTGGACTGGGGGAAAAAAAGGGATGTCCTGATTTTCACTAACCGCCAACTGGAATTTGGCATTTCCTTCCCTTACGAGCAGACGTGGGAAACCACAGTGGCAGTAGCTGGACGGTGGCTTTGTCAATCAGAAATCCTTTGTCCATGTCTCTTTACAGTGTCATAGAAAGAGCATTCGTCCTCTTCCTGATTTCAAAATTACCATAGTTGGCTGGGCATGGTGGCTTGCGCCTGTAATCCCAGCACTTTGGGAGGCTGAGGAGTTTGAGGCCAGCCTGGGCAACATGGTGAACCCTGTCTCTACCAAAAATACAAAAAATTATCTGGGTGTGGTGGTGTGGGCCTCTGGTCCCAGCTACTCAGGGAGCTGAGGTGGGAGGATTGCTTGGGCCTGGGTGGTGGAGGCTGCAGTGAGCCATAATCATTCCACTGCACTCCAGCCTGGGCAACAGAGTAAGTGCCTGTTTCAAAAATAAATAAATAAACAAAAACCAAAAAGCACAGCTGTCACCATATCAAACATTCAGCTATTAAATATTTTAATGACTTTAGTTTAATATAATGTTTTACTTTAATGCTATACAATTTCATTTATAAAGGTAAATCTAAGGCTGGGCGTGGTGGCTCATGCCTATAATCCCAGCACTTTGGGAGGCTGAGGTGGGCGGATCACGAGGTCAGGAGTTTGAGACTAGCCTGGCCAACATGGTGAAACTCCATCTCTACTAAAATTTAGCCAGGCATGGTGGTGCGTGCCTGTCGTTCCAGCTACTCAGGAGGCTGAGGCAGGAGAATTGCTTGAACCCGGGAGGTGGAGGTTGTGGTGAGCTGAGATTGCCCCACTGCACTCCAGCCTGGGCAACAGAGCGAGACTCTGTCTCAAAAAAAAAAAAAATATATATATATATATATATATACACACACACACACACACACATGAATCTAAATGTATAATAAAAAAGGGATCTATGGCACAGGAGCTGATCAGAGCCCCGAACTAGGCCCAGGTACTGTATTCTTACACACTTCTACTATTATAGCTTTTTACAGTGAGGACCACAGTACAGCTGGAATAGCTTGCCCAATTCTAAATGGCTGAGCCAGGATTTGAACCCAGGCAGCTGGCTCACCCTTGAGCTCTAAGCTATTCTATCTGTGGGAACCCAGTGCCCAAGCCCCGCCCCCAGGAAGAGGATCCTGGGGTCTGGGAGGCCCCGTCACACACACCATCCATCCTGGGGACCTGGAAACCTCCTGTCCAGCCCAGGGCAGGTCCACCTGGCTGCCCCAGCCAGAAAGGAGCCAGGGCAGCGTTTACAATGTGTGAGAATTCTCACCCCGCAGCAGTGGCAGTCAGAGTAGGCTCCCAGCTCCCAGGCCCCGGCTCTGCTGGAGGTTCTGCAGTAAGCTGAAAATGAGCTTCCTCTGTGGGGCCCCAGGAGGCAGGAACAGCCGGTGGGTCCTGGAGCCTTATCATCCCTTATCGTTGATTCACCTGACCTTCTGCTTATCTGTAACTCAGGAAACCTGTCCTCTGCTAGCCAGAAACCAAGTCACCAGAAAGAAAGCTGAGGCTTTCTTTGTCTTCCACGGCCTGGCTTTGTCCATTCATTCATTCACTGCTTGAGCATTTCTTGAGCACCTACTGTGTGCTGGGTTGGGGGCAGAGGCTATAGCTGTGAACGAAGTCCCACCCTCACTGAGCTCACTGGCAGGTGGAGGAGACAGACAAGAAACAAGTGAACCAAAGGCATGCAAGATAATAAAAAGAAATAAGTATCTTTGCCAGGGGCAAAGAGAAGGGCCAAGGCAGCAGGGCTTAGACACATGGTCTGAGAAAGCTTCTTTAAAGAGGCGATCTTCAAGCCCCAGCCTAGCGGAAGTGAGGGAAACAGCTGCAGAGACAACAGGGGTAAGAAAGTGTTCCAGGAAGAGGGAACGGCAAATGCAAAAATCAACACCTGGCTACCCTGAGCTTCACTTCTGCCTTCTCTGAGTCTGAGTCTGAAATTGGTCCTTTGGGCCAGGTGTGATGGCTCATGCCTATGATCCCAACACTTTGGGATGCCAAGGTGGGAGGATCACCTGAGATCACGAGTTCGAGATCAGCCTGGCCGAACATGGTGAAACCCCCGTCTCTACTAAAACTACAAAAATTAACCGGGCATGGTGGGGGGTCCTTGTAGTCCCAGCTACTTGGGAGGCTGAGGCAGGAGAATCACTTGAACCCAGGAGGCCGAGGCTGCAGTGAGCCGAGATTGTGCCACTGCACTCCAGCCTGGGCAACAGACCAAGACTCCATCTAAAAAAAAAAAATAAAAATAAAAAAGAAAAGGAAAAAAAAGAAATTAGGGGTTTGCCCCTTCCCCAAGTCCCATATCCTGGAGGGTCACCTGCCTTCCCCTTCCTCCAGTCATCCTCTCATGCCTCCTCTCTCCTTCCAATCCAAGGACCCAGGGTGTTAATTATATATGCAACCTGTGCAGCTTTTCCCTTCCCTTCCCTTCCCTTCCCTCCCCTCCCCTCCTCGCTCCTCTCTCTCTCTTTTTTTTGAGACAGTCTCACTCTATCACCCAGGCTGGAGTGCAGTGGCACAATCTCGGCTCACTGCAACCTCTGCCTCCTGAGTTCAAGTGATTCTCCTGCCTCAGCCTCCCGAGTAGCTCGAACTACAGGTGCCTGCCACCATGCCTGGCTAATTTTTGTATTTTTGGTAGAGACGGGGTTTCACCATATTAGCCAGGCTGGTCTCGAACTCCTGACCTTGTGATCTGCCTGCCTTGGCTTCCCAAAGTGCTAGGAGTACAGGTGTGAGCCACTGTGCCAGGCTCTTTCTTTCTTTCTTTTTTGAGACAGAATCTCGCTCTGTCGCCCAGGCTGGAGTGCAGTGGCGCGATCTCGGCTCACTGCAACCTCTGCCTTCTGGGTTCAAGCGATTCTCCTGTCTCAGCCTCCTGGTGACTGGGATTACAGGTGCACATCACCATGCCCGGCTAATTTTTTGTATTTTTAGTACAGACAGGGTTTCACCATGTTGAGGAGGCTGGTCTCAAACTCCTGACCTCAGGTGATCCACCCACCTCGGCCTCCCAAAGTGTTGGGATTATAGGCGTGAGCCACTGCGCCCGGCTCTTTCTTTCTTTTTTGAAGCAGGGTCTCGCTCTGTCTCCCAGGCTGGAGTACAGTGGCATGATCACAGCTCATTGCAGCCTCAACCTCCCAAACTCGAGCAATCCTTCCACTTCAGTCTCCCGAGTAGCTGGGACTACAGATGCGTGCCACCATGCCCAGCTAATTTTTAAATGTCTTGTAGAGAGAGGATCTCGCTATGTTGCCCAGGCTGGTCTTGAACTCCTGGGCTTAAGCAATCCTCCTGCATCGGCCTCCTAAAGTGCTGGGATTACAGGCCTGAGCCACTGGGCCGGGCTTGACTTTTTGTTTCTATGTCCCTCTGCCAGGGGCATCCGTCTGTTGCCTTGCCTGGGATGGAAACCCAGGAGTCAAGAAGCTAGTGGCTCCTGCCCTCTGTTCTTCGTTGGGCTTCTGACACAGTGCCTGGCCCATCCGCACTTGACAGATGAGAAAACTGAGGTTCAGAGAGGTACCTCGGGGTGGCTCCAGCCCCACCATGGCAGCTCCGGGCTGGGCACCTGCAGGTCCTGGGCCCTTAACTTTGATCTTATTAATGACCTCCACTTTCAGGGGCCGCTCCAATTTCTAGTGTGGTTCAGGTGTCCCCTTAGGCCATGGGGCACGGCCCTGGCATCTGAGTGTGCCACCGTCTCCTGAGTGTCTCAGCCTCAATTTGTGGTCCATGGGGCGGACCATCGTGTTAACAGCATCCGTAAGTGACCGGTGTCGCTGGTTGCTCCCGTGTCCTGGGCCCCAGGCCGCAATTTAGTCCTGCCGCCCCAAAAGGGAAGGGCCTATTCAGCGGAGGAGGTCAACGAGGCCAGGGGAGCTTGGCCCTGAAGGCGTCCTCCCAGGGCGGGGACGGTGAGGGCGCCTCCTGCTCCTCCACCTGCCGGCCGGGGCGCGCGGTGGTCCCGGGAGGGCCGGGGAATGCGCGGGGGTGGTCGCCGCCCCCAGCCCGGCTCACGTTTCCGGCCCGGGCCGCACAGCCCCCGCCGCCCCCTCGCCGCCGCCGCCGCCGCTGCCGGCCCCCTCAATAAGGCGCCTCGCCTTCCACCTCCGAATTTTCCACGCAGGGTTAGCCTGGCGACGCGCTGTCTGCGGGCCCCATAAAGGCGGCCGTGTGCTGCATTCGTCTCGCCGGGGCCGCGGCCTGGAGGGGCGCCCGGGCTGCGAGGGGCCTCCGCCTGCGGCTGCAGAAAGGGCCCCCTCCTCGGCCCGGCAGGCGCAGCCTCCAGAACTCCAAGTTCAGAAACACCGTAAAGACAAAGAGCAAACATCGCAGCCAGCCTGCGCTGGGCCCTGCTAAGGGTGCGGAGGGGCTTCAGAACCCATGGCACCCTCCTAGTCGACCTGGGTGGCAAAGCCTTCTCTGAGCCTTTGCAGGAGGGTAGAGGAGGCTCAGGGGTTGGAAGAAGTTGTCCAAGGTTGTGCAGGAGGAATGGGGCAATTACAATGAGTCGGGCTCCCAGCCCAGCTTCGTTGTGGAGCCTCTGCTTCGTGCCAGGCACTGCTCTAGGGCTTGGAGTATTGCAGTGAACAGATGCAAACCTCCCTGCCCTCCTGGGGCTGACATTCCATCGGGGGGAACCAGACATTGGCAAAGAAACCCCTGAAATAAAGTGTCAGGTGCCAGTGAGTGCAGGGGCGGGGGGGGGCGGGGCGGGGGGAATAATGCAGGGAAGGGGGTTGGGAAGTGACGGTGGTGGGCATGAAATGGCTCCTGGGATGGTCAGGGAAGGTATTTTGTTTTTGTTTCTTTTATTTTTCGTTTTATTTTATTTTATTTTTGGAGCCAGAGTTTTGCTCTGCCCACCAGGCTGGAGTGCAGTGGCACCATCTCTGCTGACTGCAACCTCCACCTCCCAGGCTCAAGCCATTCTCCTGTCTCAGCTTCCTGAGTAGTTGGGACTGTAGGCATGCGCCACCTGGCTAATTTTTTTTTTTTTTTTTTTTGAGATGGAGTCTCACTCTGTCGCCCAGGCTGGAGTGCAGTGGCGCGATGTCGGCTCACTGCAAGCTCCGCCCCCCGAGTTCAAGCGATTCTCCTGCCTCAGCCTACCGAGTAGTTGGGATTACAGGTGCCTGCCACTGCGCCCAGCTAATTTTTGTATTTTTAGTAGAGTTGGGGTTTCACCATCTTGGCCAGGTTGGTCTTAAACTCCTGACCTCGTGATCCACCCGCCTCAGCCTCCCAAAGTGCTGGGATTACAGGCGTGAGCCACCGTGCTCGGCCCTTTTTTTTTTTTTTTTTTTTTTTTTTAGATGGAGTCTTGCTCTGTCACCCAGGCTGGAGTGCAGTGGCTGGATCTTGGCTCACTGCAACCTCCGCCTCCTAGGTTCAAGCAATTCTCCTACCCTAGCCACCCGAGTAGCTGGGATTACAGGCACCTGCCACCCCGCCCAGCTAATTTTTGTAGTTTTAGTAAAGACGGGGTTTTTCCATGTTGGCCAGGCTGGTCTCGAACTCCTGATCTCAAGTAATCCACCCACCTTGGCTTCCCAAAGTGCTGGGATTACAGGCTTGAGCCACCGAATCCAGCCTGTTTTTGTTCCTGGACTCAAGCGATTCTCCTGCCTTGGCCTCCCAAGGTGCTGGGATTACAGGCATCAGCCACCATGCCTGGCCAGAAGGTCTTTTTGAGGGATGGAGTCCTGTGGACAGCTAGACCCTGCCGGCCAGGCCCTGCTGTCCTGTTGCCACTGGTGATGCTGCTGGAAGTCCCCTCATTAAAGCATCTTCCTGGAAGAGTGTTCCAAGAAGCAGAAATAGAATGCACAAAGGCCCTGTGGAAAGACCATGCTTAGCTATCATTCCTTCATCATTTACTATAGGTACCTCTCATGCTTTCTTTCTTTCTATCCCTTTCAACCACTCTGCCAGTCCAGGAATCTGTGGAATGTTCCTTTTCCAGCTGAGGGCACTGACGCTCCAAGAGGTTAAGAGGGTGAACCAAGAGGTTAAGAGACCCCCTAGCAGGTCAGTAGCCAAGCTGAGAGTTGAACCAGGGTCTCTCCTGCTGGTACATTGCTGTGACCGGGCAAGGTCAGGTCTGATTCACCTCTGATCCCCTATCCTTGAGCACAGGGACTGTCCGGGGCAGCAAGGGAGGGACAAAAGAGAGGAAGAGTTTGAGAACAATGCCCACCTCCACACCCATTGGTAGGATTCTTCCTGGTGGCTCATCTCTATGTGAAGATGCATGCAATAAAAATATCCTTTTCTTGGCCGGGCACGGTGGCTCACGCCTGTAATCCCAGCAGTTTGGGAGGCTGAGATGGGAGGATCACTTAAGCCCAGGAGGTTAAGGCTGCAGTGAGCTATGATCCAGCCACTGCACTCCAGCCTGGGCAACCAAGCGAGATCCTGTCTCAAAAACAAAAAACAAACAAAAAAAAACTTATCAAAGCCAGACGTGGTGGCCCCTTGGGAGGTTGAGGTGGTAGGATTGCTTGAACCCAGGAGTTTGAAACTAGCCTGGGCAACATATCAAGACCCTGTATCTATGAAAAATAAATTAGCCAGGTATGGTGGTGTGTGCCTGTAGTCCCAGCTACATGGGAGGCTCAGGCAGGAGAATCACTTGAGTTCAGGAGTTCAAGGCTGCAATAAGCTATGATTGCACCACTGCACCCCAGCCTGGGCAACAGAGCAAGATCCTGTCTCTAAAAAAATCAAAAATCAAAATAAATAATAATAATTAAAAAGAAGCTAATTTGTGTGGGACTGAAATGTTTTGTTTCTTGATCTAGGTGCTGATCACAGAAATGGGTTCACGTTGAAAACAGGCATTGAGATGAACACTTCTGGTCTTTTTTATTTTTGGGGATGGACACTTCTGATTTGCATCTTTTATATTGTCATGCTTTCGTTAAAGTTTTTTTTTTAATCCAGACAGTTCAAGAAAGAAAAAAATGTAACAAGTCAGTCTCCTTCCCGCCCTGAAACAAACCCCAAGTTTCCTCCACAGAGGCCACCAGACACAAGTGTTAACACGTCTGTATTTATGCTTAAAAATACTCTGAGCCAGGCACAGTGGCTGGGGCCTATAATCCCAGCTACTTGGGAGGCTGAGGTGGGAGGATCACTTGAGTCTAGGAGTTCAAGACCAGCCTGGGCAACATACAAAGACCCCATCTCTAAAATACAATTTTAAAAAATTAGCCAGGGGTGGTGGCACATGCCTGTAGTCTCAGGAGGCTGAGGCAGGAAGATAGCTTAAGCCCAGAAGTTTGAGGCTGCAGTGAGCCATGATTGTGCCACTGTACTCCAGCCTGGATAACAGGGTAAGATCCCATTTCTAAAAAAAAAAAAAAAAAATAGATAGATAGATAGATAGATAGATAGATAGATAGATAGATAGATTGTGGAAGACCCTGTACTTAGAGGAATTCTTTCTTGTCCCTTGGGCCTTTATGTTTTTATTTTTCTAAAAAGCCTTTGCTGGACACAGTGGCTCACACCTGTAATCCCAGCACTTTGGGAGGCCAAGGTGGGTGGATCACTTGAGGTAAGGAGTTCAAGACCAGCCCCTGTCTCTACCAAAAATATAAAAATTAGCTGGGTAGGGTGGGGCACATCTGTCATCCCAGCTACTTGGGAGGCTGAGTCAGGAGAATCGCCTGAACCCGGGAGGTAGAGGTTGCACTCAGCTGAGATTGTGTCACTGCACTCCAGCCTGGGCAACAGAGCGAAACTCTGTCTCAAAAAAAAGAAAAAAAAAAAAGAAATGCAGCTGGACGCAGTGACTCACGCCTGTAATCCCACCACTTTGAGAGGCTGAGGTGGGTGGATCACCTGAGGTCAGAAGTTCGAGACCAGCCTGGCCAACATGGTGAAACCTTGTCTCTACTAAAATACAAAAATTAGCTGGTCAAGGTGGCGGGCGCCTGTAATCTCGGCTACTCTGGAGGCTGAGGCAGGAGAGTCACTTGAACCCAGGAGGCAGAGGTTGCAGTGAGCTGTGATCGTGCCATTGCACTCCAGCCTGGGCTACAGAGCGAGACTCCGTCTCAAAAAAAAAAAAAGAAGAAAAATGCATTTCTACGTTTTCCTCCCTGTCTCTTCCCCTGGGCACCCAGTCTTGGTGCCACCATCCCCCCACCCTTTCATGAGGGCTGCAACCCTCCTCCAGCCTGGTCCTTGCATTCACTCACTCTCCAACCCCACCCAGCCCATCCACAAAGACAGCTCCCACCCCTTCTTCCTCTCTGACCTGCCAGGGAAAGCCACAAGCTGCAGGTGCCTCCTCCCCGGCCTCCCACTTCCTTCAGTCCCCACAGCCTATTTCCCACACGCAGCCAGAGGGAAGTCACTCCTCCGCATAAAATCCCCTGGTGGCTTCCCACAGCTTAGAATAAAATCCAAATGCCTGGCCTTTGGCTGTGGCCTATGAGGCCTAGGGGATGCCAGCCCCTGCCCGCCTTCCTCCTACCTCTCTCCCCCAGCCACACTGACCTCTTGCCATTTCTTCAATACCCCAAACATTTCCCCACCCCAGGGCCTTGGCACTTGTCATGCTCTCTGCCTGCAACTTCCTCCCCCTCTTCCAGTTATCTTTGCCTGGGTAACTCCTACTTCTTCCATCTCTGGGAAGGCTCCGCCTAATATCCCCAAGTCCCTGACTAAGCTCGTGCCCCCCGTGGCTCTCCCATAGCACCCTGCACTCTTCCCAGGCAACATCACTCCCTTCCCTGAGAAATGGGTTCGAATCCCTGCTCAGCCATTATCACCTGGAATGACCTTGGGCAAATCCCTCCTTCCTCTGGGACTTGGGCCTCCTCATCTGTCTGAATGGGGGTATGATAGTAACAGCTCTGTGCTTCTCTGGAGGGCTGCAGGAAGAACCTATTCCTGGGCTCCAGAACCAGTTGCTTTGCCTCAGCCAGGACCCCAGACAGACTGTATCCTTCTCAAACAGCACAATATATATTTTTTTAAGACAGAGTCTCGCTCTGTCACCCAGGCTGGAGTACAGTGGCCTGATCTCGGCTCACTGCAACCTCTGCCTCCCGGGTTCAAGCGATTCTCCTGCCTCAGCCTCCCGAGTAGCTGGGACTACAGGCACACGCCACTACGCCTGGCTAATTTTTCTATTTTTAGTAGAGACAGGGTTTCACCATGTTGGCCAGGCTGGTCTTGATCCCCTGACCTCATGATCCACCCGCCTTGGCCTCTCAAAATGCTGGCATTACAGGTGTGAGCCACTGCGCCTGGCCCAAGGCTGTGTCCTTCTCAAGCCAAGGTGAGTTGTCAGCATCCTGAGAACAGGGACTTGTCTGTTCCCTGTTGTGTTACTCCTGGCCTGGTGACCTTAGGACTGAGTGCACATGTGGTGAATGCAGGAAGGACTGAGCTATGATTGCAGGGGCTCAGAGCTGGATCCTTGAACCTTCTGCAGACTTGCCCCCTTCCCAGAGAAAAGAGTCGGGATGAGAGCCAGGGCTCAGCTTCTCCTTCCCAAGGCGGTGGACTCTGCCAGCAGAAGTGACCCTAGCCCTGCCACAGGACAGATCCCATTCAAATTTTGGTGCCTAAAGAGAGTTACTACGTGACCCAGAAATGCCACTCCTTTATTTCCCAAGAGAAAGAAAAAGTTATCAAATTTTGTACTTTATATATGGCACTTTACTATTTGTCAATTACATCTTGCGAAAACTGTTACGCACACACAGCTACTAAAATGGCTAAAATAAAAGATAAAAACAGGCCGGGTGTGATGACTCATCCCTGTAATCCCAGCACTTTGGGAGGCTGAGGTGGGAGGCTCACTTGAGCCCAGGGGATTGAAACCAGCCTGGGCAGCATAGCAAGACCCTCATCTTTACAAAAAATTAAAAAATTACCCAGGCATGGTGGTGCACACCTGTGGTCCCAGCTACTCAGGAGGATGAGGTGGGAGGATCATTTGAGCCCAGGAGGTCGAGTCTGCAGTGAGCTATGATCATGCCACTGCACTTCAGCCTGGGTGACAGAGTGAGACCTCGTCCCCAAAAAACAAAAACAAAACAAAACATTAAAACTGGGCTGGGTGGGGTGTCTCATGCCTGTAATCCCAGCACTTTGGGAGGCCGAGGTGGGTGGATCGCCTGAGGTCAGGAGTTTGAGACCAGCTTGGCCAACATGGCGAAACCCCGTCTCTACTAAAAATACAAAAATTAGCCAGGAGTGGTGGCACGTGCCTGTAATCCCAGCCACTTGGGAGGCTGAGGTGGGAGAATCGCTTGAACCCAGGAGACAGACGTTGTAGTCAGCCGAGGTCACACCATTGCACTCCAGCCTGAGTGAAAGAGTCAGATTTCATCTCAAATAAATAAATAAATAAATAAATAAAACTGATAATGACAAGTGCTGACAAGGATGCAGAACAACTTCAGCTCTCTCAAATGTTGCTCGTAGTCCACACACAAACCTGGACAGGAATGTTCACAGCTGCATTCTTCATAATAGCCCCAAAGTGTTTCCATTTATGAACCCAAATGTCCGTCAGTTGATGAATGAACAAATAGAATGTGCTGTATTCATCCAGACACAAAAATAATGAAGTTCTGTTATGCACTGCAACATGGATGAACCTCAAAAACATTATGCTACGTGAGAGAAGCCAGACACTAAAGACCACGTGATGACTTGTATGATCCATTACTATGATGCCATTTCTATGAAATGTCTAGGATAGGCAAAGCCATAGAGACAGAAAGCTGATTAGTTGTTGCCAGGAGCTGAGAGGAGGAGGAAATGGGGAGTGACTGCTCATGGCTATGGGGTTTCCTCTTCAGGTGATGCAATGTTCTAGAATTAGATAGGGATGATGGTTGCACAACCTCGTGAAGATACTAAAGCCTGCTGAATATCCTTTAAGTGGATGTAGCCTTTAAGTAGATCAATTGTGTGGCATGTGAGTTATATCTCAATACAGCCATTTTTTAAAATCCTGGTGCAGGGCCGGGTGTGGTGGCTCATGCTTAAAATCCCAGCACTTTGGGAGGCCGAGGTGGGTGGATCATGAGGTCAGGCGATTGAGACCAGCCTGGCTAACACGGTGAAACTCCGTCTCTATTAAAAATACAAAAAAAAAAAAAATTAACCGGTCGTAGTGGTACTTGCCTGTAGTCCCAGCTACTTGGGAGGCTGAGGCAGGAGAATCACTTGAACCCGGGAGGTGGAGGTTGCAGTGAGCAGAGATCGCACCACTGCACTTCATCCTGGGTGACAGAGTGAGACTCTATTTCAAAAAAAAAAAAAAAAAATCCAGGTACCAGCCAGGCGCAGTGGCTCACGCCTGTAATCCCAGCACTTTGGGAGGCCGAGGCGGACAGGTCACCTGAGGTCAGGAGTTCGAGACCAACCTGACCAACATGGAGAAACCCTGTCTCTTTTTATTATTATTGTTATTATTTTCGAGACAGAGTCTCTCTCTTGTTGCCCAGGCTAGAGTGCAATGGCGCGATCTCAGCTCACCACAACCTCTGCCTCCTGGGTTCAAGCTATTCTGCCTCAGCCTCCCAAGTAGCTGGGATTACAGGCATGCGCCACCACGCCTGGGTAATTTTGTATTTTTAGTAGAGACAGGGTTTTCCATGTTGGTCAGGCTGGTCTCAAACTCCCGACCTCACGTGATCCTCCTGTCTCAGCCTCCCAAAGTGCTGGGATTACAGGTGTGAGCCACTGCACCCGGCCTGAGAAACCCTGTCTCTACTAAAAATACAAAAATTAGCCAGGCGTGATGGCGCATGCCTATAATCCTAGCTACTCGAGAGGCTGAGGCAGGAGAATCACTTGCACCCAGGAGGCGGAGGTTGTGGTGAGCCAAGATCGCGCCACTGTACTCCAGCCTGGGCGACAAGAGCGAAACTCCATCTCAAGAAAAAAAAAAAAAGAAAGAAAAAAAAAAACCTGGTGCCACCACTTACCTAATGGCTGTGCATTCTTGGACAAGTCCTTTGTCTTTTCTGAGCTCAGTCCCTGACTCTCTCGAAGGGGCTGTCACCCCATGCAGCTCATTCCCTGGAATGATTGAGTCACAGCAGTGAGCACCTGCAAGGTGAAGATTTGTGGTCTTGGTGAAGATTCGTGGTCTGGGTGAATATTCGTGGTCTTGGTGAATATCGGCCCCCCAGAGTTGAAGAATGAGCTGTCCATAGATACTGAGGTGGAGGATGGATTCAGTTCACTGGCAGTGCTCAGGGTGGGCACCACAGGGCACCCAAATGTCACTCTATGGCCCTCAAGATTGACAGGGTGGCCATGACTGCAGAGTGCCAGACCCCCTAGGTCCCGGAACATTGCCAAGTGTTGCATGTTTTTCCTGTGTGTGTGTGTTTCTGTTTAAAAAGAAAAATACATACTCCTTACTGTTACTACTTTTTGTAGAGGTGGGGTCCCATTATGTTGCCCAGGCTGGCCTTGAACTCCTAGCCTTAAGGGATCCTCCTGCCTGAGCCTCCCAAAGTGCTGGAGTTAAAGGTGTGAGCCTGTAAAAACCCAAAACCCATGCCTGGTGCATGCTCATTACAGAAATTCAGAGACCTATAAAAAAGAAAACTTAACCCCAGCCACCCCACTATCCAGACAGAACCACTGTTGACCCCCAGGGCAGACAGGCGCTTCCCTCTGTGTGAAGGCAAGGATGGGTAAAGCTAGAGGTAAAATTTTACAGAAATGGGGCCTTGGCCAAGCGCAGTGGCTCACGCCTGCAATCCCACACTTTGGGAAGCTGAGGTATGTGGATCGCCTGAGCTCAGGAGTTCAAGACCAGCTGAGCACCATGGTGAAACCTCATCTCTACCAAACATTAGCCAGGTGTAGTGGCATGCACCTGTAGGTCCAGCTACTTGGGAGGCTAAGGTGGGAGAATTGCTTGAACCCAGAAGGCGGAGGTTGCAGTGAGCTGAGATCGTGCCACTGCACTCCAGCCTGGGTGACGGAGTGAGACTCTCTCAAAAAAAAAAAAAAAAAGAAAAGAAAAGAAATGGGGCCATATCATTTTTTCAGGCTGCTTGGCAAACTGCTTTTTCTGCCTGTCAGCACCTTCTCAAGGCAATGTGTGACAATCGAGTTTGTCCGTGGGACTATTGACTGCTTGCTTGTGAACTAAAAGATGCTCCCTTAGGGGAAGCTATCATAATACAGACGCAGAAGAGGTTAAACATTACCTAACAGGAAATGCCCTCCTCCTCGCCATTGCCTCAGCCTCCTCTCCCAGAAAATCACTGTGACTGTGGGTACAAACCTTCCAGATCCTTCCTTTTTTCCTTTCTTTTTCTCCTTTCCTTTCTGTCAACAAATATTCACTGAGTACTGACCGCTTATTCGTTCATTCATTTAATTGTTCAAGAAACATTTTGGGGCCGGGCACTGTGGCTCATGCCTGCAATCCCAGCACTTTGGGAAACCAAGGCAGGTGGATCACGAGGTCAGGAGTTCGAGGCCAGCCTGGCCAACATAGTGAAACCCCATCTCTACTAAAAATACAAAAATTACCCAGGCGTGGTGGCGTGTGCCTGTAGTCCCAGCTACTGGGGAGGCTGAGGCAGGAGAATCGCTTGAACCCCGGAGGTGAAGGTTGTGGTGAGGTCAGACTGTACCATTGCACTCTAGCCTGGGCAACAGAGCAAGATTCCAGCTCAAAAAACAAACAAACAAAAAAACAAAACCTAAAAATTAGCTGGATGTGGTGGTGCATGCTTGTAATCCCAGCTACTCGGGAAGCTGAGGCAGGAGAATTGCTTGAACCTGGGAGGTGGAGATTGCAGTGAGCCAAGATTGCGCCATTGCACTCCAGCCTGGGTGACAGAGAGAGACTCCATCTCGAGAAGAAGAAAAAAAAGCATTTTGGGCTGCTAATCATGTGCCAGGCTTATTCTTTCTCTGTTCATATGAGATACATATAATGGGCCGGGCATGGTGGCTTATGCCTGTAATCCCAGCACTTTGGGAGGCTGAGGTGGGAGGATCACTTGAGCTCAGGAGTTTGAGACCAGCCTGGGCAATGTGGCAAGACCCCGTCTCTACAAAAAAAAAATAATAATAATAATGCAAAAATTAGTGAGGCGTGGTGGCATGCACCTGTAGTCGCAGCTACTAAGGAGGCTGAGATGGGAAGGTCACTTGAGCCCGAGAGGTCAAGGTTGCGGTGAGCCGAGATCTCACCATTGCACTCCGTCCTGCATGACAGCGCAAGACCCTGTCTCCAAAAAAAAAAAAAAAAAAAAAATAGAGAAAAATATACATACCATGTATATTTTAGGGATTGTATAATCATCTATAATTGCAAAGTTTTCAGAACACACCAGGACTCCAGGTAACATATACAATCCACTTGTGCTGGGCATGTAGATTGTTGATGGTGTTTGCTCTACTGAAACGTGCTGGGTAAAATGTGTGTGTTAAAGTGCTTTTTATTTTATTATTGGGTCAAAAGTTAAGCACATTTTGGTGACCTGCAAAGTGAAGCTGGAGAAGGCAAGGACTCATCCTGGGTCACAAAGTGAGACATTGGTGGCATTTGTAACTGCAAGCAGAAGATTGACAGCCTTGGGAAAGCCCCGTGCCCAGCGCTGGGTCTTTCCCTGGGGTAAAGATGAGTTTCTCTGAGGGATCCCCGTCCCGAGGGCCCCCATGAGTGACACATGGGTTTCATTTCTCCTTGCTGCTACCTTTTCAGCCCCATTTAAGCTTTTATTTCAGGCCATAGCTCCAGCTAAATAGAATTGAGTTTGGTGCCCTGCGTCCCCTAGCCTGAGGACCTTCCAGGTTGTACCCAGAGAGGAAGTGTGCACGGCAAGTGTCCCGGCTCCTCCAGGTCTGGGCTGCCCAGCCCTGGCACTCAGGATTCCAGGGGATGAAACAGGATGCCAGACCCTGGGATCTGCAGGCCAGCTCAGGTCCCCAGACTTTGGTAAGAGACGCAGAGTGCCTGAAACCGTAGGATTATCCTCTAGATGAACTTGGAAAGCTTCGCTACTCTCCCTTTCTTCATATCCGTAAAATGGGCATAGTTACAGCCACTGTTTACTAAAGCTTACTCTTCCAGGCCCGAGGGCAAGCAATTTACAAGTTTTTTTTTTCTTTTTTTCTTTTTTTTTTTTTTTTGAGACAGAGTTTCTCTCTTGTTGCCCAGGCTAGAGTGCAATGGCACGATCTCAGCTCACCGCAACCACCGCCTCCTGGGTTCAAGCGATTCTCCTGCCTCAGCCTCCTGAACAGCTGAGATTACAGGCATGTGCCACCACGCCCAGCTAATTTTGTATTTTTAGTAGAGATGGGGTTCCTTCATTTTGGTCAGGTTGGTCTTGAACTCCCTACCTCAGGTAATCCGCCCACCTCGGCCTCCCAAAATGCCGGGATTACAGGCGTGAGCCACCGTGCCGGCCAATTTACAAGGATTTACTCACTGAATCTGTACAACAACCCCAGGAAGGAGAGGCTGCTTGTCAGATAAGAAAATGGACACTCAGAGAGGTTGAACAACTTGCTCTAGGTCACACAGGAGGTAGGCAATGGAGCAGAGACTGAACCCAGGAAGTTTGACTCTAGAGCCCCTAAACTCTATAGGACCTTCTCTTATACCCACATTGCCTCAGGCTGTTGTGATGATTAAATTAAATAATCCGTGCAAAACAGGTAGTGAACTGGAATGAAGTGTTTCTGTTACCATCATCGTCATTATTATTTGCCTGAGTGTTTGCTCTTTGCCTCCCTGGGTCCTTATTTCCCTCACTTGGCGAAAAATCCTGTCCCGGCATCATCCTTGTCTCCTCCCTCAGTCTGCTCATTCATGTGTCGCCAAACAGCACCCCTGCCTCATCTGCCACCATCACGGGGCCGTGGCCACCTCCTCAACTGCTCTTCCTGCTGCCAGACCTGCTCCCATCACAGTGGCCCCAGGGATCTTTCCAAAGAGTAAACCCACTCAGTCCCCTCCCTGCCAGCCCCTCCCATGGCTCCCCATTGCCCTCAGGATAAATCTGTAGTTCCCCACTCCGAGGCCCGCATGGCCTGGCCCTGATGCAAGCCGACCTCTCCCTCTGTGGCTGTCACCCAACCCTGGGGTACCTGCTCATGCAGTAACCTCTGCAGTCAGGGCTTGGTGGAGCTTTGACCTAGGGCTCTCTCTCTCTTCCTGGAGCCACAGAGGCAAAATCCTACTCACCTCCCAAGTCTCCTCCTAAGGGTCCCCTCCTCCAGGCCACCTTCCTGACCCTCCTGCAGGGTTTGGTGAGTGAATAATAAAAACTTCCTGGATCTGCTTAAGGCTACAGTGAGCTGTGATTGCACCACTGCACTTCCACCTGGGTGACAGCGTGAGAACCCCCCCCCCCCACCGACCTCCAAATAAATAAACAGATAAGTGCACCTGGATTCATTCCAGACCCTGAGAAAGCCTTGCCAAGCCTTTGGTTGTAGCCACCAGTACACCTGGGGTTGAATTGTAGAACCCAGAGATATGTTCAAGTCAATTCCCAGGACTTGGGAATGTGACCTTATCTGGAAATAGCATCTTTGTGGATGCAATCAAGTAAAGATTAGATAATCCTGGATTAGGGTGGCCCCTACATCCAATGACTGGTGTCTTAAGAGAAACAGAGACGGCTAACCAGTCGCAGTGGCTCACGCCTGTAATCCCAGCACTTTGGGAGGCCGAGGCGGACAGATCACCTGAGGTCAGGAGTTCAAGACCGGCCTGGCCAACATGGTGAAACCCTCTCTCTACTAAAAATACAAAAATTAGCCGGGTGTGGTGGCACATGCCTGTAATCCCAGCTGCTCTGTAGGCTGAGGCAGGAGAATCGCTTGAAGTAGGAGGCAGAGGTTGCAGTGAGCAGCCTGGGCGAGAGAGTGAGACTCCATCTTGAAAAAAAAAAAAAGAGAAACAAAGACACAGAGAAGAGACAAGGAAGGAGTCTACCCTACAGTCTGTGGAGGAAACACAGCCCTGTGGATGCCTTGATGTCCTGCTTCTGGCCTCTGGGACCATGAAGGAATAAACTTCTGCTCTTCCCACCAAGTTCATGGGAATTTGGTGGGGGCAGCCCTAGGAAACTAATATATCACCCAACTGTGGGTTTCACAGCAGAAGGAAGTCTAACCAAACAAACTCAAAAACAAAAATTCAAAATGGGCCAGGCGCAGTGGCTCATGCCTGTAATCCCAGCACTTTGGAAGGCTGAGGTGGGCGGATCACTTGAGGCCAGGAGCTCGAGACCAGCCTGGCCAGCATGGTGAAACTCCGTCCTACTAAAAATACAAAAAAAATTAGCTGGGCTTGGTGACACACACCTGTAATGCCAGCTACTTGGGAGGCTGAGACATGAGAATCATTTGGACCCAGGAGGCAGAGGTTGCACTGAGCTGAGATCGAGCCACTGCACTCCAGCCTGGGTGACAGTGAGACTCTGCCTCAAAAAAAAAAAAAAAAAAATGCTGGGCGCAGTGGCTCACGCCTGTAATCCCAGCACTTTGGGAGGCTGAGGCAGGTGGATTACCTGAGGTCAGGAGTTCGAGGTCACCGTGGCCAACATGGTGAAACCCCATCTCTACTAAAAAGACGACAACAACAACAAAAGGCATGATGGCAGGCGCCTGTAATCCCAGCTACTCGGCAGGCTGAGGCAGGAGAATTGCTTGAACCCGGTAGACGGAGGTTGCAGTGAGCTGAGATCACACTACTGCACTCCAGCCTAGGCAACAGAGGGAGATTTCATCTCAAAAAAAAAAAAAAAAAAAAATGGTGACCACACGGTGTTTCTGACAGGCACATATCAACTCACTCATCATTCCTTCAGCAATGTTTCCCGGAGCGTGTGCCTCCCACATGTGAAAGGGACTCCAGGGATCACTGCACAGTGAATGAAGAAGACAAAATTTCCACCTGCATGGCTGGGCATGGTGGCTCATGCCTGTAATCCCAGCACTTTGGGAGGCCGAGGCGGGCGGATCATGAGGTCAGGAGTTCAAGACCAGCCTAACCAACATGGTGAAACCCCGTCTCTACTAAAAATACAAAAATTAGCCATGCGTGGTGGTGTGCACCTGTAATCTCAGCTACTTGGGAGGCTGAGGCGGGAGCATTGCTTGAACCCTGGAGGCGGAGGTTGTGGTGAGCTGAGATCGTGCCATTGCACTCCAGCCTGGGCAATAAGAGCGAAACTCCATCTCAAAAAAAAAAAAAAAAAAAATTCCACCTGCATGGAGCTGACATTCTGGTGGGGGAAGACAGTCAACAGAGAAACTCTGAACAGGGAAATGAGTGTTTTGTCAGATGGAGAAAATAACAGGGAAAGGGGTTGGAATGAAAGGGAGAGGGATGGGAGGTGAGTGGCCATGTGGCTCTCTAGGGTAGTGCTCCTGGCAGAAGGAGTGGCAGTGCAAAGGCCCTGAGGGGGCAGGGAGCCTGGTGTGGCTGGAAGGAGTGAGGGGGGCGGGGAAAGGGATGAGGCAGAGGTGGTGGAGGCCCTTGTGGAACCAGGTAAGTGAGACGGAGCCATGTATGCATGGAAATATATTTGCTCATTTTTTTTTTGCTGGGTGCAGTGGCTCACATCTATAATCCCAGCACTTTGTGAGGCTGAGGCAGGTGGATCACCTGAGGTCAGGAGTTCAAGACCAGCCTTGCCAACATGGTGAAACTCCGTCTCTACTAAAAATACAAAAATTAGTGGGGCATGGTGGTGGGCGCCTGTAATCCCAGCTACTTGGAGGCTGAGGCAGGAGAATCACTTGAACCCAGGAGGCAGAGGTTGCAGTGAGCTGAGATCAGATCATGCCACTGCACTCCAGCCTGGGCAACAGAGTGAGACTCTGTCAAAAAAAAAAAAAAAAAAAAAAAAGAGACAGAGAGAGAGAAAGAAAAGAAATATAGTTGCTTTTTTTTTTTTTTTTTTGGAGACAGAGTCTTGCTCTGTTGCCCAGGCTGGAGCGCAGTGGCACAATCTCGGCTCACTGCAACCTCCGCCTCCTGGGTTCAAGCTATTCTCCTGCCTCAGCCTCCTGAGTAGCTGGGATTACAGGCACCCGCCACCATGCCCAGCTAATTTTTTTGTATTTTTAGTAGAGATCAGGTTTCACCATGTTGGTCAGGCTGGTCTCGAACCCCTGACCTCATGATCCACCCACCTCGGCCTCCCAAAGTGCTGGGATTATAGGCGTGAGCCACCACGCCCGGCCAGTTGCTAATTTTTTTAACTGACAAAGATGTAAACCAAGATCTCCATGGCGTCATGCTGGGGACAGTAAAGGCATAAGGATAGAGAGTGTTGATCACATGCCACTGGAGCTTCACATGTCACCTTCTCACTCTTTTAAAGGAGGGAATACGTTCCTGTGATATTTATGAAACTGACAATTTGGGCAGGTGTAGCGGCTCATGACTGTAATCCCGGCACTTTGGGAAGCTGAGGTGGGAGGATAGGTTGAGTCCAGGAGTTCAAGACCAGCCTGGGCAGCATGACGAAACTACATCTCTGCAAAAAACACAAAAATTAGGCAGGTATGATGGTGTGTGTGTTTAGTCACAGCTACTCAGGAGGCTGAGCTGGGAGAATCTCTTGAGCCCAGGAGGTTGAGCCTGTAGTGAGCCGAGATTGAGCCACTGCACTCCAGCCTGGGTGACACTCTGTCTCAAAAAAAAAAAAAAAAAAAAGGAAAAACGAAAAAAATAAACAGTTTGAAAGCAAAGAAGAACAAGGACAGTCCTGATCCCTGTCTACCAGGAGACCCTCATCCCAGCTCAGAGGATACCCATAAGTAGCCAACAGGTCACTAATGCAGCCCAGATGTGCCCAGAGATGGCCTTGGCCCCAGACCTGCCTGCCTTGACACTTGCATGGAGACTGGCTTTATAGCCAGTTTATTTCCTGGACTCGTTTTAAAGAAAATCCCCGGGGAGGATCTAATGGCCTGGCCAGATCCTGCTGCTCCTGGCCCCATTTCTCCCAACCCACAGCTCTAAGCCGCTGCCCCGACAGAGGGGAAGTCCTGCAGGAGAAAGCCAGCCAGTAAAGTAGAAGGAATGATGGGGTTAGAAAATCACCGTTTGGGCCGGGCGCAGTGGCACACGCCTGTAATCCCAGCACTTTGGGAGGCCGAGGCGGGCGGATCCCAAGGTCAGGAGATCGAGACCATCTTGGCTAACACGGTGAAACCCCGTCTCTACTAAAACTACAAAAAATTAGCTGGGTGTGGTGGAGGGTGCCTGTGGTCCCAGCTACTCGGGAGGCTGAGGCAGGAGAATGGCGTGAACCCAGGAGGCAGAGCTTGCAGTGAGCCAAGATCGTGCCACTGCACTCCAGCCTGGGCGACAGAGCAAGACTCTGTCTCAAAAAAAAAAAAAAAAAAAGAAAGGAAATCATCATTTGGTAACTACCATCGTAAAATGTAATTGATTTAGGCAAAAAGAACCTGAAAGGGATGAAACTTGTGGATGGAAGTTTGAGGCATCATAGGATCACATGGTCCTTTCCGTATCTTGTGAGGAGATACTCGGAGGCATCACATGGTCTTCAAGTATCTCTTCACAAGATACAGATTGAGCGCAAAGGGAAAAAGAGGAACTTCAGCAAGGAGGGACCTAGTGGGCCCCACCTTAACCAAGCAGTCAAAGTTGATGTCAGTCTGGGATGAGCCGACCTCATGTGCTTCATGACACCTTGCACCAAACAAGACACATGCTGCTTCTGTGGTTCTGCCCAAAGTGCGTATCCCAAATGTAATTATGAGGAAACATCAGGAAAAAAACTGGAGGGCATTCAACAAAACAACTGGCCTGTACTCTTCAAAAAACGTCAATGTTGTGAAAGACAAAGAAAGGCTGAGGAGCTGCCTTGGGAAAAAAGAGATTAAGTGAGCGGTGGCTCACGCCTGTTAATCCCAGCACTTTGGGAGGCCGAGGCGGGTGGATCACCTGAGGTTGGGAGTTCGAGACCAGCCTGACTAACATGGAGAAACCCCATCTCTACTAAAAATACAAAATTAGCCGGGCGTGGTGGCTCATGCCTGTAATCCCAGCTACTCAGGAGGCTGAGGCAGGAGAATCACTTGAACCCGGGAGGTGGAGGGTGCAGTGAGCCGAGATCATGCCATTGCACTCCAGCCTGGGCAACAAGAGAGAAACTCTGTCTCAAAAAAAAAAAAAAAAAAAAAAAAAAAGAGTCAGGACAAGTAGCTGGGCATGTCTGTAATCCCAGCACTTTGGGAGGCTGAGGCGGGCAGATTGCTTGAACCCACAAGAGTTCGAGACCAGCCTGGGCAACAGAGTGAGACCTTGTCTCTGTTAGAAAAAAAATTTTAAATAAATAAATAAAAGAGTGAGGACAAGTGAATGCAGTGTGTGATCCTTGCATTGCATCCTGGTCATTCCCCACCAGCTACACCCCCCAAAATGCTGTGAAAGACATCATTGGGGCACTTGCAGAAATGTGATTATGACTATGGATTACAGAGTAGCATTGCACCAATGTTAAATTTCCTAATTTTGATCATGAAACTATGGGAGAATGTCCTTATCCTTAGGACACATAGCTTAAATATTTAGCAGTAAAGGGGCACTGTGTCTATAACTTACTCTCATATGGTTCAGGCCGGGCGCCGTGGCTCACACCTGTAATCCCGGCACTTTGGGAGGCTGAGGCGGGCAGATCACTTGAGGCCATAAGTTCGAGACCAGCCTGGCCAATATGGTGAAACCCCGTCTCTACTAAAAATACAAAAATTAGCCGAGCATGGTGGCACATGCCTGTAATTCCAGCCACTGGGGAGGCTGAGGCACAAGAATCGCTTCAACCCAGGAGGCAGATGTCGCAGTGAGCCGAGATCACGCCATTGCATCCCAGCCTGGGTGACACAGCGAGACTCCATCTGAAAAAAAAAAAAAATTCAAATGGTTCAGAACTAAATAATGTGTGTGTATGTCTAGGAAGAGAGGGAAGATGTATCCATGATAAAACGTTAACGTATTGAAGAATCTGAATGTACGATTCCAGTTTACTGTTTCTTGCAATTTCTGTCAGGCTGCAATTATTTCAAAGTAAAACGTCTTAAAAATCTTTAAAAAATGGCTCCCTTCTTCCCTCCCTCCAGTCCTTGTCCACCCCAATCCCACCTCCTGCAACCCACCAGGGAACCACTTTTGTTAGTATATTGTCCTAACCTCCAGAGTCTCCGTATGCAAATACAAACAAGAATGAATCACGTGTTGATGATTTTCATCCCTCTTCTGCCCACAGAAGGGAGCACATCTGCCGGTGATTTCTTTTTCACTTAGTGCTTTGGGGTTTGCTCAGGATCAGAATATAGAGGCTTTCCCCATTCTTTTCTCAGCTTCATAGTATCTACCCCCACTAGATCCAACATCCCCTTGGTGGTGTGCTCCACCAAGCCCGGACTTTTTTTTTTTTTTTTTTTTTTTTTTTTTTGAGACAGAGTGTCACTCTGTAGCCCAGGCTGGAGTGCAGTGGCACGACCTCGGCTTACTGCAACCTCTGCCTCCCAAGTTCAAGGGATTCTCGTGCTCAGCCTCTCAAGTAGCTGGGATTACAGGCATATGACACCACACCCAGCTAATTTTTGTATTTTTAGTAGAGACGGGGTTTCACCATGTTGGCCAGGCTGGTCTCGAACTCCTGGCCTCAAGTGATCTGCCCCACCTTGGCCTCCCAAAGTGCTGGGATTACAGGCGTGAGCCACCTCGCCCGGCCAATTTTTAAATTTTTTTGTAGAGACAATGTCTCGATGTGTTGTCCAGGCTGGCCTTGGACTCCTGGGCTCCAGCAACCCTCACACTTCAGCCTCTAAATAGCTAGGACTACACAGATGTGAACCACCATGCCCAGTTCCCCAGATAATAATACTAAATAACTGTCACCCACTAGGGCTCAGGTGTGCTGGGCCATGGGCTGGGTGGCCACAACTGCCACAAGTTTCTTAAATACAGGCTTCATCTCCAAGGCCACCAACACCCTGAGCCAGGCCACCATCCTCCCTCCTTTCCTTCCCTCCCTCCCCTCTGGCCCTTTTTTGTTTGTTTGTTTGTTTGAGACAAGGTCTCGTTCTGTGACCCAGGCTGGAGTGCAGTGGCGAGATCTCAGCTCCCGACCTCAAGCGATTCTCCTGCCTCAGCTTCCCAAGTAGCTGGGACTACAGGCATATGCCCCACCATGCCCGGGTAATTTTTTATTTTAGTAGAGACGGGGTTTTGCCATGTTAGCCAGGCTGGTGTCGAACTCCTAGCCTCAGGTGATCTGCCTGTCTAAGCCTCCCAAATTGCTGGGATTACAGGCATGAGCCAGGGTGCCTGGCCCCCTCTGGCTTTCTCATGGTCTCCCTGCCTTTGTCTTTCTCCTCCTGGACCCCTGAGATCCATTCTCCCAAGCAGCCAGGGAGATCTTTGTAGGAAAGGTAACAGCAGGCCTCAGCACTCTCCTGCTTTACAGCCCCAGTGGCTGCCCTAGGGGCTTAGACAAAATTCCCACCTGCTTAGCACCACAAGCTCTGCAGAGCTGGGCCCACTCTCCTCTCCCACCCTGTCTTCCCAGTCCCTCCGCCATCCTGGTCTTTCTCATGGGGGCAGCACATTCCAGCAGGCTTGCTATTCCCTCCCCCAGATCCTTCCCTGCCGGCATCTTTCTCCTCCTTCAGGTCCGGGCTGGAATTCAGCTCTTCCAGGGCTCTCACTGCCTTGGCCTGGGGAGCCCCACCCCGTTGTTCTCTAGTGCCTGGCACCCTTTCATTCTGTCCTGGCACCATCACTGTAGAAAAGCGGCTTGTTTATTTAATCACTTGTTTGCTTTCTCTCTCCCCGACCAGAACATACGTCCCATGAACGCAGGGATGGCCTGTCTTGTTCACGGGTGTAACCCCAGGGCCTGGCACATATGGTACCCTCGAAACCCCTGAATGAATGAATGCCTCTGTACAGTCTCCGAGAGGAAGGCACTACTGTCACCCTGTTTTATAGACACAGAAACTGGGGCCCCCAGAGGGAGAGAGCCTTGCTCCAGGTGCCCTGAGAGTCAGCGGCATGAGCCCAGCCTACCGAACTCCCAGGATGACCTGAGGGGCCGGGCTTGGTGACCTCAGGCAAGCCCACCTCTGTGCCTCATTTTCCGGAGGCCCGACCCCCAGGGATTATGTGAAGTCATGAAATCATTCATTCAGCACCTACTGTGGGTGGATGGAGACGACCTAGAGGGACCCGCAGGGACCCAGGACACAGTAGGCCTTCAGCTCATGGATGCCCAACCCCCATCCCCCCAACTCCCTAACTTCCCTTCAGGGAGGCAGGCCACAATTTGGCGATTGTTAGAGAACGTTTTTTTTTTTCCTTTTGGGAGGAAAGCTGCAAGTCATTAAGGGCTGCTCCCGGCCTGCGGGTCACCATTTCCTGTTTAGAAGAAAGAATCATCTCTCCTTTGGAACATGAAGCTCCCCCCACCCCCAGCCTGACTCTGGGGCTCCGAAGCTCTGGGACGCCTCAGCTCCTCACAGGAAACTGGCACCTCCAGCACCTTTTGTGTTCAAAAAGGACACTCATTTTCTCCTGGCCCCAAGAGGCCCCCAGTGGTGAGGTCACCACCATCGGCTGGCGGGGAATGAATTACCCTAGCCCAAGACGCATGCTGACCGTCCCGCCGTCCTCGGAGCAGGAAGCTGAGTGACCCCTACCCTTTGGCCTGGCTTCTCACCCTACTGGCTCCAGCCAGCCAATTTCCTCGCATCAAAGGCCATTTGGTACCCAGCAGCAAGACGGAGGTGTGGGACTGACAAGGAGGCCCAAGGGGGCCTGGAGCCCTTGGAAACAGGAAGGACATCCTCTGTCTCCTTGGTCGCATTCCACTCGCATCTGGGGGAAGCGGACAATCCCACCCCAAAAGACCTGCAGTGCTGGGGCAGAGCTTTGCAGCCTGTCTAGTTGATAAGACCCAGGAAGCCAGCTTTGCACTCCGTGGGCCAGATCAACTTCAAAATTCAAGAACGAGAAAGTAAAAAGCCACAGTGTATAGTGAAGAGCTCGTATGGATGCCGCTGGCTCACCCAAACAGCAGCAGACAGGACACCCAGGCCAACGGGAAAACCCAGTCTCATAAGGTCCCTGACAGTGACACCCAGGACTCCAAAGCCCTATGATGTTTCCAAGGACAAGATTTAAGGCTGTGTCAGAAATATCTAAGCTTCAGGAATTCCTGTCCCCTCCTCCCTTACCAAAGACCTTTCAAAATACCCACTCCTCTATGACACCAAAGACTTTTTAATATATAAATTAACTGCTTTATTGAATATCAATAAACTGTACATATAACTATACAAAACGTTTCCTTGATACAAAATGTTTGAAATATAAATACCAGTGTACCTTTAAAAATGTAAACATCTTCCTCCCAGGCCCACCTGTCGGGCCCCCAGAATAGTTCTGGGAGACACATCGGTCAGACCAGAGCACCCCACTTGGGCCCCCGACAAGTGACAGCCATTACTCACAGTCCCTTTTCAGACATTGTTAAATTGCCCGGGAAACAGGTGCCACCCCACCAAACAGGAGGCTGAAATAGCTGCCTGGGCTCGGGGCATCTCAGACTCTAGTCTGCCACCGCCTCCGCAGGCCCTGGGGCTGCACCTGGGGGTGGATTATTGCATAGTTAGTCACACCTCGTGGAGGGTGGCCTGAGGGTTCCTTGTGGGGGGGTGTGTGTGAGGGGAGTGGGGTCCCCTGAGTGGGGTGGGAGCTTCCCAGTGAGTCTGTCAGCCTTTGTCCTGTAGCTCAAAGCAGCTGTATCCAAACAGCTCTGGATACAAAAACCCACGCAGACAGGCCAGCTCAGGAATCCCCCAGGGCTGGGGGCCAGCTGCCCTCCCTCCACAGAAATGGCCATGGGAAGGCCTCTTCCAGAGCCCAGGCAGAGGACACAGAACCAGAAAATGGTCTTCATCAAAGTCCTGTGGGGCTGATGTGGCCAGAAGTGGGGCACTCAGGAGGGAATTCCATGGCAGTGAGAAGGATGTGGGGTCCTTCCTGCTGGAGCTGGGGAAGGCTGTCAGGCAGGGGCAGGTATGGAGAGGAAGAGGGAGCCTCGAGGGTCAGCGGGGACATCCTGAGCAGCCGGACTCTTGGTGCTTGTGGAGCAGGGACATTCGGGAGAAGGTCCGAGCACACGCCTGGCACTGGTACTTCTTGACATCTGAGTGGGTCTGGAGGTGGGCCCGCAGGTTGGAGCGGTCAGCGAAGGCACGGCTGCAGTGGGGACAGGAGAAGGGCTTCTCGCCTGGGGAGAGAACGCCAGAAAGGCCGAGTGAGCCGTGGGACAACGGCTGGCAGTGATGGGAATCCCTCCCCGCATACCCCAAACCCTGAAAGAATCCCATGATCCCAGGAAAGCCAGGCCTCCGTCAAACACACAGCCAGGGTCCAAAGGCCGGGACCTGACGGAGCTCTGCTGCTTCCCACTGTGCAACTCTGAGCAAGTTGTCTGGCTTCTCTGAGCCTCCATTTTCCCACCTGTAAAATGGGGCTATTCACCCCCCACTCATAGGGGTTGATAAGTGACAGAAGGTAGGGTACTCATCCACATCCCGCAGGGACGTGCGAAGTGGTCAACAATGACTCAACACCTTTACTGATTCATCCTACTGTCACTTGATCCTACTGTGGTCTCATTTCAGAGACAGTGAAACTGAGGCCCAGAAGTAGCATGTTCAGGTTCCCCTGGCAGGACCCCAAAGCCTCTGATTTCACCTACTGCCCTTACTGCCTTCAGTCAAGGGAGGACGTGACTGGTGTCCTTACCATCAGTCCTGGAGTCATTCCTTGATTTACTCTGTTGGGGGCCAAAGCCAGAGTCAGCCTTAAGAGGCTTCCCCACCCCCACCTCCAAGCTGGTTAGGCCACTCCTGGGGCCCGGCCAGCAGCCTGCTTTCCTCACCACCCCACCTCCTGCGCTGTAATCCCAAATCTCCTTGTCTGTTCTCCAATCAGGCTGAGTCCCATAAGGGCAAGGGCCTCCTTTGAGTCCCTTCTGAGCCCCAGCCCAGGGCCTGGGCCCCTTTCTATCACCCAAGAGGCTACGGAAACCTGTGGCCCTGACACACCATCTGCCTGGCCAAGGCTGTGTTGGGAAAAGTCTTGCACATGGAGCTGGGTGCCCAGTAAATCCTCAACAAGCCCTTAGAGAATAAATAAGTCTGTTTTAAAAATTAAAGAGGCCTCAGAGGAGTCTGCCCCCTCACTCATGCCTCATAACAATCCCTGCTCCAACCAAAAAGCTATATAGTTCCAAAAACACCAATAATGTTGATTTGTTTTTTTCTGGGGGATGCAGCATTTTCCAAATAAAAGGTCATAACAGTAACCCATTAAACAAAAATCTATTGAGGCTGGGTGTGGTGGCTCACGCTTGTAATCCCATCACTCTGGGAGGCCGAGTGAGGCAGGATTGCTTGAAGCCAGGAGTTTGAGACAAGCCTAGGCGATAAAGCAAGACCCTGTCTATAATTTTTTTTTTAATCTACTGAGCTCCTACTAAGTGCTAGACACTATTCCATAATACTGAATAGTCTTTTTAAAAAACATGCAATTCTCCAATCCCCTCACGCCCAGTCTGATATGCCCGCAAGGTCAGGGCCCGCCTGTGAAATCCCAGCGCTGGATGGAATTTAAGAGCTGAGAGTGAATTCATTCCATCACCTCCTGGGTGCCTAGGGTGCCACACTGAGCTACCAGGGTAGGAGAGAGTCCAGAGGATGGCTCCAATGGGACCCATGCATTCAATAGGGACTTATGGAGCGCCTGAGAGCTGGACTCAGTCTCATGGGGCAGAAATGGAAACTCGCCACTCCAAAGGGTGGGGGACATAGAGGATTGGGGGAGGGGTGCCTGAGCACTACTCCACTCTGCCATTACTCAGCAGCCTCCACACGCCACGCCTGAAGGGTTTGTTGATTGCATTCTAAGTCTTCATGTGAATGAGAAGGGTAAGTTCACCCTTGTGAACTAAGGGCTGACTCTGGAGATCTGGAAAAGGGGCTGGAGTCCATTTGTAAGACCAGAGTTAGGACAGCACCTCCCTTCCCTTCCCAGGGCTGTTGGTGAAGTCCTGAGCACTACCCTCCTGTACAGTAAGTGCCCAAAGTGTGATGAGACCTGAACCCAAACAAAAGGGGAAGGAGACATTCTAGGACATGATGGGCTGGGGGCGGGGGCTGTGTGCACACGCAGGAGGCACAGACCCCCACTCCTTGGATCCCTCGCCCCCCAGACGCCTTCATGGTACTCCTGGCAAGTGTGAAATCGGCACCAGGCCGGCGGGGACAAAGGGCGCCGAGGGGGGCACTGTACATGCGATATCCCCGGATTAAAGGGGCCTGCCATGCAGTGGGCCAGCAGCTGTGACTGGAACAGGTGCTGGGCACCGCTGCCCCATGCACCTGCTCCACCCCTCCCAGCCCCCACCCACTGGGCCCACCATTAAGGCACACAATGGGAGTCAATGAGGACCGCAATGATACATTTCAAGGGGATTTCTGTGTCTCAGCCATGCCTTTACATTAAAATAATGTCCAGATGGGAGGTGAGAGAGGCAGGCAGGACTGCAGCACCCTGAGGGGTTCAACTGTCCCAAAATAGAGCCCTGTGAGCTGGGCAGGCACCCAGGAGGCCAGGCAGTTGGACCTTTACATGTTAAAATCAGAGCAATTGGTGCACGAAGGAAGAGAAATGGGTAGCCTTAGTCGAATAAGATGCCAATAAAGCCCGCGAATTGCCAGTCCTCCCAGACACCTCACTAACCCTCACCGCTCAGAGGTCAGGCGCCAGGCCAGGAAATGGCAGAACCTGGCCAGCTTGAACCCTGTGGAATCTTCTCCCTCAACTGTCACTCTCCAAAGAGCAGCTCCAGGCACAGTGGCTGCCACCATTCAAGTTCTAAAAAGTTCTACCTTTTCTCCATGTCCAGAAAGTTTTTTACACATTTAGTAAATTTTCAAAAGACGTGATTGTGTTTTCTGCCCCAAAGATGCCGTTTCCTGGTCTGTGTGCTAGGATTCAGTGGGGGTGGGGAAGCCGACCTGAGAACCGTTCGGGTATAATAAATTACTATAAAGTGATTAGCCACCTTTACAGCCACTCTCTAAAACATATGCTATCATAGTTTTCCCCTAAGGCTCAGAGAGGTTAAGTTGCTTGCCCAAAGTCACACAGCAAGGAAGCAGAGCAAATGCCAAGGAACCATTTTTGTGAGAGTTTAGCAGGTACCGGCACTTTGCCAGGTGCTTCCCATATGCATTCCTGCATTTAGCCTGTATAGAAACCCCAAAAGCTGTTCTCATGCCCATCTGAAAGATAGAGAAAATGAGGCTCACAGAAGAGAAACATCAGCCTAAGTTTTGAGAAAGTTCTCAAAGAAGGATTCAGAGCCAGGCGGGGGGTCTGACAACATCCTGTCTGGCTAGGGAGGGGGCGGACCCGGGAGAGGGTGTGGCCGGGTGGGCCCCTTCACACCTGGCCCCCACAGCAAGGTGTTGGTTGCACCTTTCCCATATCCAGCTCCGACCCATTTGGCTGAGAAACAGGCTGCAGGGGATTGGGAAGGTGTCTGCTTTGCCCATCTGCTTAGCTGATGAAGAAAGTTTCTGCCAAACGTTTCCAGAGAGCCAGGCCCTGGAACTTGAGCTAGAAGTTAGAAGACTCGGGGCCTCAGTGTCCACAGCTTTGGGAATGAGAACAGCAAGCCCAGATTCACAAAAGCTGCCAGAGAGAGCAACGGTGGGGGCGCCTGGAGGGGCACGTACCAGTGTGGGTCCGGACATGGCCTTGTAGCAGCCAGGGCCTAG
This sequence comes from Homo sapiens, assembly GCF_000001405.40. Taxonomy (NCBI): domain Eukaryota; kingdom Metazoa; phylum Chordata; class Mammalia; order Primates; family Hominidae; genus Homo; species Homo sapiens. The sequence continues at coordinate 49,984,309 of NC_000020.11, read as the reverse complement.
AGAAGGCCTTCCCGCAGGTTCCGCAGACGCAGGGCAGCGTGTGGCTTCGGATGTGCATCTTGAGGGCACCCAGGCTGAGGTATTCCTTGTTGCAGTATTTGCAGTTGAAGGCCTTTCGAGCCTGGAGATCCTTGGCCTCAGAGAGCTGGGCCAGCTGCTTGGGCACTTGGCCCAAGCCTGGGAAGGCAGCATAGGCCTCGGCCTCCAAGGAAGAGACTGAAGTAGAGGAGAAGGACGAAGGAGCCGGTGAGGGTGGGCTGGGGGGCTGGGAGCCTTTCCCACTGTCCTCATCTGACAGGGAGGTCAGCTCTGCCACCCTGGGACTCTCCTGGAGCCGAAGGGAGGCCCAGGCAATTGGCTGGGCTTGGGGCGCCAGGACAGAGTCCCAGATGAGCATTGGCAGCGAGGCGGTGGGGTTGAGGATCTCCGGAGGTGGGATGGCTGCCAGCAGGTGGGCCTGGTCGTAGGGCTGCTGGAAGGTAAACTCTGAGGGAGAAAAAGCAGAGTCAGGCGTTAATTAAATCATTCACTCAATCAACAAACATGAGCCCACCGCTGGCCAGGGGCTGGGTGGGGCCGATTCTCAATACATAATTAGATCAAAAAAATTATCCACAGGACAGACCAGGTTCCTGCCCTCCTCGCCCAGGTCACCCAATCTGAGTCTCTCACACGTAGGACCCCCAGTTGAAGGAGGTCATTTCCTGATCTCCCTCTCCTAAGTCCCCAGTCTCCAGCCTGAGGCCAGAACCCCATCATCCCAGCCCCGGAGCCACCACCCTGCCCCAATCCCCCTCCTCACACACATCTCGTCTCCCCACCCCTCCCCTCAACCCTCTGGACTCCGGACTCTCCCCAGCAGCGTCCAGAGGGCCCTCCTGACACAGGCCTCCTCTCCTTCCCCTCTTGCGGAGCTCCTCCGCCTCTCGCCGGCTACAAAGGCCCCCCAAGCTGAAGACCCCTGCCCTCTACACGGCACTCCCCCAACCACCCAGACAGATCCCCGGAACTGGGGACCCACTTGCCCGGTCTCCCGAGCCCGCAATGGTCCACAAAACATCCTGTGACTCGATCCTGGCTCAGGCAGGCCGCCTCCCTCAGGTGCCCCCCACGCAGCCTTCGCCTGTCTCCCCCAAACCTCCTGGAGCCCAGAACCCCTCCAACGCACCTGGATTAGAGTCCTGCAGCTCGCTGTAGTTAGGCTTCCGATTGGGGTCGGAGGGCTTCCTGACGAGGAAAGAGCGCGGCATAGTGGTCGAGGCACTGGGGTCGCCGATTCGCGCAGCAGTAGCGCAGAAGAACCACTCGCTAGGCCGTGCCGCGGCGCAATGAATGCAGCAGCGCCGCCAACTCCCTTAAGTACTCCGGGGGGGTGGTGGGGGGTGGGAGGGGCGGGGCCTTATCTGCCACGCCCCTTTGTCACCTCCGCGCCAATCGGAGGCTCGTCTCCGCCGAAGGCCACTCCCCGAGCAGGTGCGCCGGCTGCTGGCCGGGCTCGCGCCGCGTGGCGGTGAGAGCCCGGGCGGGGACTCCTCCGAGGCGGGGTTCGCTGGCGCAGCGCGGGTCGTCCCCGGTGCTGGGGCTGTCCGGGGCGGGACGTCGAGCGAAGCGAGGCCTCTGCGAGGTGGGACCCCGGCAGGACGCCGCGCGCCCACCGGCTCAGCGCCCGGTGGTCTGAGCGCTTCTGACGCCCCCTGGCGCTGCGCGCCGGCCGGGACACCTGACCTTCCGACGCCCGCCCCCGCCTCGGGCTTGGGAGGGGGCGGAAATTTCCTCCGCCCGGCTGGCGCCTGGAGAGCGTGGCATTGACGAGGGAAACGCACATCACTGGGGAGGAAGCGAGGAAAGGGACACCGCACGTGGCTCTCGGCGGCTTGAAATGCCACGGCCTTTTTGCAAAGCAGCCTGGCCCAGCTAGCCAAGAGCACCCGTTCCTTCCCTTATCCAGTGTTTACGGAGCGCCCAGCACGTGTGGGGCACTGTACCTGGGGCCAGGGCACAGCCCCGGACAGAACACTCAGAGCCTCTCCCGAAGGGTAGCTTCTGGTCCAGTGAGGGAGACAGACGAAGTAAACAGATAATTACAATGCAAAGGGAAGTGTGCTTTGGTGGGGGAGAGACGGGACGCGGCGACCGTTAAGAGGCGGGTCACCTGACAGGGGGTCGGGGTGACTTCCCAGAGGAAGTGAAGAATTATCAAGGGAAAAGGCCCGAGGGAAGAAGTGGCAACTGCTTCAGAGTAACTCCTAGAGAGCAGCTTCCAGGGATGGGGTGGGATGGGCATGCCCGGAGGGGTCAGATGTGCTGGGCCCCAGGGCCTCGTAGGAGTTTGGACTTTGCCTCAAGGGCACTGGGGAGCCACCGAAGGATTTTCAGCTGAGGAGGGACCTGGTTAGAGTTTCGTTGAAAAAGATCCCTGTAGGCTGGCGGGAGAAAGAAGGCATGGGCCGGGCGTGTCTCCTCACCCCGTGAAGATCCTCGATCCTGTGTCTAAAGGCTGTAACACGGCTCCATAGGGGCCCTGACTGAATGCATGTGGGGTGGGCCCAAGTGAGGGGCAGCTGCACCCCCACCCCAGCTTCCCTGGGAGGCGTACCAGGCCCGGGGGTGGCTCTGAAATAAACCTCACAGGTCTCACCGTTCTTGTTTCCACCTGTGAAGGAAGACTATAAAAACCTATAAGCACCCCACACCACCACCACCACCAACCTGAAGGGCAGAACTACTGTCTGTTTAGTCACTTGGTGCCGGGTGTGACAGCCGTGAACAAAATCGTCCTCCCCTGGTTCTAGCTGGAGAGCGGGCAGTAGGGTGGGGGACAGAGGCAGTAAGCAGTCATTAAGCGGAATACTCCCCGTCCCGTGTCAATTTAGCTCCAATCAGGATCCTTTGCTTGAAGCCAAAGTGAGGCCAGATCACCCCCTCCTCTGCTCAAACCCTCCCATGCGCCTGTCTCAGAGTAAAAGCCAAAGTCCTCTCCTCAGCCAACTCGGCCCCGCTGCTCTGACCCCAGCTGACATTGGCTTGAGCCTCTCTCCCTCCCCCATGCACAAGGATCCCACCCCCAGCCTTCCTTCTGTTCCTCCAACATCCCAGACCTTTCCCACCTTGGCACCTGCTGCTCTTCCTCCTCTCCCCTACGTCTCTTGCTCCTAGATCTTCACGCTGGCTTCCTTTCATTCTTTGTTTCAGCAGCAACTTCACTAACTGCTCAGCCTCGTTTAGTGAAGAGAGAAATGGCAAATTCAAGCCACAGTGAGCTGCCATTTCACGCCCATCAGAAGGACAACAAGGAAAAATTTGGTCACTATCAAGAGTTGATGAGGAGGTGAGAGCTGGCGAGAGGGTCGGTGGGCATAGTCACTTTGGAAAAGTTTGGCATCAGCTAGCAACAGGTGACTCCTCTCCCTGTCTGTCCTCAAGCCAACTGCATCCCAGGGGCTGCAGCTGACAAGTCTGTCCTCAAACCAACTGCATCCCAGGGGTTCTCAGCTCTGGCAGCACATTAGATCCCCACAGGGAAGGATTAAAACACCTAAGCCTCGGCCCACCCCACCCCCACCCACATCTTGATTTAATTAGTCTGGGTGGGGCCTCTGGCATCAGCATTTTAAAAAACTCCCCTGGGGATTATAATGAGCAACCAAGCAAAGTAAAGAACTGTTGTCCAGCCCAAACCCCGAAAAAACAAAAAAGGATATTCATTGTACCCTCGTTCCTAATAGCAAAAAAAGCAAAAACTAAAACAAAACTGGATACAACACAAATGTTTATAAACAGTAGACTGGATTAATGAACCCTGGTGCAATCCTGTAATAGAATACTATACAGCAATAAAAATGAACTACAACTCCATGCAGCAACAGGGATGAATCTCAAAAACACAATGTCGAGCAGAGGTCACAAACAAATGCATAGTTATTTGGATTTATACGAGGTTCTGAAGCAGGCAAATGAAACCCTATATTATTTAGGGATGTATGTGGGGGTTGTAGAATTAGAAAGAAAAGCAAGGAAGTGGTTTTTTGTTTTGTTTTTGAGACGGGGTCTTGCTCTGTCACCCAGGCTGGAGTGCAGTGGCACAATCACGGCTCACTGCCGCCTGGAACTCCTGAGCTCAGCCTGCCAAAGTGCTGGGATTACAGGGGTGAGCCACTATGCCGGCTGCAAGGAGATGTTTGATACAAAATTCTGAAGAGTGGCTGGTGAGGAGGGGAGGCAAGAACAGGCTGCACATGAAGCTTCTAGAATTTTGGTAATGATCTGTTTCCTAGGCAGGGAGGGATCTTTATTGTTAGTCTTTCTACTGTACATGGACTATTTATTTTACCGTATCTTCATGACATGGTAGTGTACAGAGACAATTTAAACACTTTTAGGTATGAATAATATATTTAACACAAAAAATGTAAGTCACTTCCTCAGGGGAGCCTTCCCTGATCACCCTAGCCAAAGTAGGACCCACCCTTGCCCCAGCACCCACCTTCTTTTTTCTTTTTTTCCCCCTTTTTTCACTGAGACGCGCTACCATGCCTGGCTAATTTATTTTTTGTAGAAATGGGGTCCCACTATGTTGCCCAGGCTGGTCTCAAACTCTGCGGCTCAATTGATCCTCCCACTTTAGCCTCCCAACTTGGTGGGATTACAGGAGTGAGCCACCGCGCCCAGCCCACCTTTCTCTCTCATTGTCTTATTCTGTTTTCTTCAAAGCACATAATGGGGGCTCAATCAAGTACTTGCAGGCAGCCACTGCCTGGGCCTCCCGCTTTCCACTTTCCTTCAGTGGTCAGGCACCTGCGCGGGGCATGGGGGTGGGAGGCAACGCAGAGGGGAGGGGCCTTGCTCAGATCGGATCGAATTGTCCCCGCCACCCCCTCCAGGCCCGCCCTCGCTCCACTCCCTCCTGCAGGCGGCGGAGACCACGAGGTGAGAGGAGGCTTCGGGCCAGGCCTCTCGGCCGCAGACCCAGCTCCCTTTGCAGGGGAAGGTGAGGTGACACTTTTGATACTGTGGGGTCAGGTCCTCCCGGAAATGGGCGACATCTGCGGCCCAGGTGGCCTGGGACCCGGCAGGGCCAGGCCCTCCCCAGCTCCCCGCACGAGGGGGTCCCGCCCCAGGCCTGGGGCGCGGTCCTCTGGCGCCCTCTGCTGGCCAAGGCGCCTCCCTGCAATCGTCGCGGGGTGCAGGGGGCACGTGCTTTTCAGGGAGGTGAAGGCTGGTATAACTGCCGGGAGGGCAATCTGGGAATACCTAGTGTGCTCACGAAAGGCTTCTGGAAGGAAGGTACATTTGAATAGACACCTGCATTTTCTGCAGGTGCCAATCTCCCACTAGAAGTAAAACCAGTAGCTAAATAATGTGATTTACAGTTACCCAACTAAAAGAAGAGTCTCCCTCCATTCCAGACCTCCTTTTCCCTCCCCAAAGCAACCTTTTTTTTTTTTTAAACCAGTGTCTTGTATGACCTTCCAGGGATGGCCTATGTATATATTAATATGTGCATGGGCAGTGCGTGGTGGCTCACACCTGTAATCCCAGAGCTTTGGGAGGTCAAGGTGGGAGGATCGCTTGAGCCCAGAAGTTTGAGACAAGCCCGGGCAATATAGCAAGACCCTGTCTCAAAAAAACAAAACAAAACAAAACAAAAAATAGGCAGGTTACATGCCTGTTGTCCCAGCTACTCGGGAGGCTGAGGTGGGAGGATCACTTGAGCCTGGGAGGTAGAGGCGTCCATGAGCCAAGATCATACCACTGCACTCCAGCTTGGGCAACAGAGTGAGATCCTGTCTTTAACTATATATATATATATATATATATATATATATATATATATATATGTATATATGTACAGCCCTTTATGTATTACAAATAGGAACCTCCACACTAACCTACACCTTGCTATAGTAACATTTTTTTGTTTTGAATCGTCATCACATGGGTAATGCTATAACAATATTCAGTGTTTTGAAAATCATTCCATATCATTACACGCAGCTCCCTTAGTTTTCTGCAGGGATGCGGACTATTCATTGTATGGATTATAGCACAATCACACAATTTACCTAACACGAAGACTCATGATGGGCATTTAGGTTAGATTGCAATTTATTGGCTACTACAAATAATGTGGCAATTTCAATGAATGCCCTCTACACACATCATTGCACTTCACATCAAATGGTATGTTATATAAAATGTTGATACATTTGTCCAAATGCCATCCAAAAAGATGAAACTGAACTATACTCCCACTAGCAGGGAGTTGAGGGCCCCTTTTCAAAAGTTGCCCAACACAGAGTATTGTCTTTTTGTTTTTCTTTTTTGAGACAGGGTCTCGCTATGTTGCCCAGGCTGGAGTGCAGTGGCATGATCATAACTCACTGCAGCCTCCATCTCCTGGGCTCAAGTGATTCTCCTACCTCAGCCTCCTGAGCAGCTAGGACTACAGGGCTACAGGCATGAGCCACCACACCTGACCCTGTCTATTTTTTATTTTTTGAGACAGTCTCACTCTGTCACCCAGGCTGGAGTGCCATGGCATAATCCCTGCTCACTGCAACCACCGCCTCCCAGGCTCAAGTGATCCTCCCACCTCAGCCTCCAGAGTAGCTGGGACTATAGGTGCGAGGCATCACATCTGGCTAATTGTCTTTTGCTTTTTTTTTTTTTTTTTTTTTTTGTAGAGCCGAGGTTTTGCCATGTTGTCTAGGCTGGTCTCAAACTCCTTGGCTTAAGTGATTCACCTGCCTCGGCCTCCCAAAGTACTGGGATTACAGTCATGAGCCACCTTGCTGGCCTTTAACTTTTTTATCTTTGCCTGTCTGATAAGGGAAAATGGGATCTCCTGTTGTCATTTGCATTTCACATGACTAGGGTGGAGCATTTTTTTTTTTTTTTGCGACAGAGTTTCACTGTTGTTGCCCAGGCTGGAGTGCAATGGTGTGATCTCGGCTCACCACAACCTCCGCCTCCCACGTTCAAGTGATTCTCCTGCCTCACCCTCCCATGTAGCTGGGATTACAGGCATGTGCCACCACACCCACCTAATTTTGTATTTTTAGTAGAGCTGAGGTTTCTCCATATTGGTCAGGCTGGTCTCAAACTGCCAACCTCAGGTGATCCACCTGCCTCGGCCTCCCAAAGTGCTGGGATTACAGGCATGAGCCACCGCACTCAGCCGTGAGCCACCACGCCCGGCAGTGTGGAGCATTTTTTACATACACCAAAGCCATTTCTGTTTCTCTGTGCTCTGAACTATTGCTTCATGTCCTTTGGTCACCAAATTGATGAACTTGATTTCTTTCCTTTTTTAAAATCCTGCATGTCCTTCCAGTGAATGAACTTCTTAATTTCTAAGAGCTCTTTATTAGACTGGTGGCCCCTGTTGATTAGCTCATTATCAGTGAATGAATTGATCAGGAGTTGGAAAGTTAATCTTGACCAGGAGAAAGACATTGTCTACAGAAAGTTCAATGAATGAGTCAATGCTCTACTGCCATCCTCATCCTGGATTTAACCTCTTCCTATGCCTCACACTTGCCTAAAAACAAACAGTGATTCAGCCGTGGGCCTTATCCAATAAGCCCTCTGTGAAGTCACCATTTCAGAATACAAATTGCTTCTAAGGGAGGTTTCTGGGTCAAGGTCTAAGTCCGTTGGGCATGACCCATGGGGGGAGGCTCCAAGATAAGCTATACAAGCCTTTGTAAAATGGTATTTATTTTTTATAATTTTAAAAATTAGAGATGGGGGTCTCACTATGTTGCCCGGGCTAGTCTCAAACTCCTGGGCTCAAGCAAACCTCCCACCTAATCCTCCCAAAGTACTAGTATTACAGCTAGCCTTTTCATTCCTATTTACTGAGCACCTGCTGGGTGCCAGGCTCGTTGTAGGAGGCTCACCTCAGGGATGTCCCTATAGCATCCCAAAGTTGTATTCTAGGCTCCTGCATACAGGCCGAGGCCATGCGGGGACCAATGAATACATTACCCATCTGCCCCGAAAAGAAGGAAAAAGCTCTGGATGTAATGAAATCATATCAAGATATTAAGTGCTAAAAAGCAAGGTGCAAGCCGGGCTCGGTGGCTCACGCCCGTAATCCCAGCACTTTGGGAGGATGAGGCAAGTGGAGCACCTGAGGTCAGGCATTCAAGACCAGCCTGGCCAACATGGCAAAACCCCGTCACTACTAAAAATAAAAAAATTACCTGGGCACGGTGGTGTGCGCCTGTAATCCCAGCTACTTGGGAGGCTGAGGCAGCATGGCTTGAACCTGTGAGGTGGAGGTTGCAGTAATCCGAGATTGTACCACTGCACTCCAGCCTGGGCAACAGAGTAAGACTCTGTCTCAAAAAAAAAAAAAAAAAAAAAAAGCAAGGTGCAAAACACCATTATACAGGTATTTCTTAGGACATTAAACCATCTCTGGAGAGAGGGTAATGTGCCTGTCTCTGAGGAGAAGCTGGTAGCTGTCAGCAGGGGTGGAAGGAAGATTCTTTACTAAATATCCTTTCCCATGTCTTGATTTTATTTTTTATCATTTACAAGTATTATCGGCATTATTATTATTATTATTTTAGAGACTGGGTCTCGCTATGTTGCCCAGGCTGGTCTCGAACTCCTAGGCTCAAGCAATCCTCCCTCCTCGGCCTCCCAAAGTATTGGAATTCGGGTGTGAGCCACGAATCTGGACAATTGGATTAATTTTTAATAGGGTAGCAAAAGTCGTCCATACGGCCAGGCGCAGTGGCTCACGCCTGTAATCCCAGCACTTTGGGAGGCCAAGGCGGGCGGATCACGAGGTCGGGAGATCGAGACCATCCTGGCTAACACGGTGAAACCCCATCTCTACTAAAAATTCAAAAAATTAGCCGGGCATGGTGGCAGGCGCCTGTAGTCCCAGCTACTCGGGAGGCTGAGGCAGGAGAATGGCATGAACCCAACAGGCAGAGCTTGCAGTGAGCTGAGATCACGCCACTGCACTCCAGCCTGGGCGACAGAGCAAGACTCCGTCTCAAAAAAAAAAAAAAAGTCGTCCATGATAGAGGAACTGTTGAGTGTAAAACAGGCGCATCAATGGAATCTTTCACGACTGTTAAAATGTTCACGCCTGGCCAGGCATGGTGGCTCATGCCTGTAATCCCTGCATTTTGGGAGGCCGAGGTGGATGGATCACCTGAGGTCGGAGTTCGAGACCAGCCTGACCAACATGGAGAAACCCTGTCTCTACTAGAAATACAAAATTAGCTGGGCATGGTGGTGCATGCCTGTAATCCCAGCTACTTGGGAGGCTGAGGCAGAAGAATCACTTGAACCCAGGAGGCAGAGGTTGCAGTGAGCCAAGATTGTGCCATTGCATTCCAGCTTGGGCAACAAGAGCAAAACTCCGTCTCAAAAAAAAAAGAAAAAAAATTATGTTGATGCTCGGCCAGGTGCGGTGGCTCACACCTGTAATCCCAGTACTTTGGGAGGCCAAAGTGGGTGGATCACTTGAGGTCAGGAGTTCGAGACCAGCCTGGCCAACATGGTGAAACCTCATGTCCACTAAAAATACAAAAAATTAGCTGGGCATGGCAGCAGGCACCTGTAATCCCAGTTACTTGGGAGGCTGAGGCAGAAGAATTGCTTGAACCCAGGAGGCGGAGGTTGCAGTGAGCCAAGATCGTGCCACTGCACTCCATCCAGCCTGGGGGACAGAGGAAGACTCCATCTAAAAAAAAAAAAAAAAATGTCGATGCTGTTCTGTGGGTACATAAACCCTCCCTGGTCCCAGCTCTCTTGTAGGAAAATCCAGAGCCTTCACTATGGCCCACAACGAGGCCCTACAGGATTGGCCCCCTGTGGCCCCTTGAGCTCCCCACCCTAGCCCCCATACTCACTATCGCCCACAAGGCTCCGGCTGCAGGGCAAACCACATCAGCCATGCTCCTGCTTTGGGGACCTTGCATCTGGTGTTCCCTGTCTCCTCCCAGCTCTTCTCCCATATAGCCACAGGGCTCACCCCCCATCGCAGCAAAGCCTCCCAGGCCACCACTTCATCCCCCTCTCCTCCCTTTCCCTCTGGCACGCCTTCCCCTCTTGCTGCTTAGTTTTTCTCCACTTCGCTCATAATCTGGCATGGTGTATGTTTCACTGATTTTGTTGATTTCCCTTTAGACTGGAGGTTGCCAAACTACAGCCCTCAGGCCAAATCTGACCAAGGTTTGTTTCTTGTATGGTCCTTGAGCTAAGAGTAGCTTCTACAGATGAACACTGCAACCGATTTAATGGTAGATAACAGTTACTTGGAACCTCAATTAAGGCAATATGTGAACCTTCAAAATTCCATGCTTGCTGGACCTCATGGTTCATGCCGGCAGTCCCAGCACTTTGGAAGGTGAGGCGGGCGGATTGTTTGAGCCCAGGAATTCGAGACCAGCCCAGGTAAAATGGCAAAACCTCATCTTTACAAAAAGTACAAAACTTAGCCAGGCATGGTGGCATGTGCCTGTAGTCCCAGCTACTTGGGAGGCTGAGGTGGGAGGATCACTTGAGCCCAGGAGGTCAAGGGTGCTGTGAGCGGTGATTGTGCCATCGAACTCCAGCCTGGACAACAGAGATTCTGTCTTGAATTAATAATAATAATAATAATAATTCATGCTTACAAAAAAAACTGGCTGGGCCCAGTGCCTCTCACCTGTAATCCCAGCACTTTGGGAGGCCAAGGCGGGAGGATCAGTTGAGTCCAGGAGTTCCAGACCAGCCTGGACAATGTATCAAGACCCTATCTCTATTATTTATATTTTAAAAACAGACAGGCTGGGCACGGTGGCTCACGCCTGTAATCCCAGCACTTTGGGAGGCCAAGAAGGGTGGATCGCTTGAGTTCAGAAGTTTGAGACCAGCCTGGCCAACATGGCAAAACCCTGACTTTACCAAAAAATAAATACAAAAATTAGCCAGGTGTAGTGGTGTGTACCTATAGTCCCAGCTACTCAGGAGGCTGAGGTGGGAGGATTGCTTGAACCTGGGAAATCGAGGCTGCAGTGAGCCAATACTGCACCACTGCACTCCAGCCTGGGTGACAATGAGAGACCCTGCCTCAAAAAAAAATTAAATTAAAAAAATGAAAAACAAAATTGTACTCAAATATTATTATAATTTAAATATTGTCCATAAAAATTTTGTGGGAATTTGTTTTCTCTTGTTATATGAGTACTGACATAACATCCTTGCTATTTAAGTCTGCAAAACCTAAACATTCACTTTCTGCTCTAGACAGCTCCACACAGGCAGGAACTTTGTCTTGTCTGCTACTATGACCTGAGCACCAAGAACAGGGTCTGGTTCAGTAATTATTAGCTGAATGAAATGAATGAACTCATATATATATATGTGTGTGCGTATATATACATATATATGTATGTATATATATGCTTTTTTTTTTTTTTTGGAGACAGAGTCTTGCTCTGTTGCCCAGGCTGGAGTGCAGTGGGATGATCTCAGCTCACTGCAGACTCCGCCTCCCAGGTTCAAGCAATTCTCGTGCCTCAGCCTCCCAAGTAGCTGGGATTACAGGTGCGAGCCACCATACTGGGGTAATTTTTGTATTTTTAGTAGAGATGAGGTTTCACCATGTTGGCCAGGCTGGTCTCAAACTCCTGACCTCAGGTGATCTGCCCGCCTCGGCCTCCCAAAGTGCTGGGATTACAGGCATGAGCCACCATGCCCTGCCGGAACTCATATTTTTAACTGAAAAAAATATCAGGTGTTAAAAAAAAAAAAGAAGAAGAAGAAAAAATTCAAGTGGGCTGGGTGCAGTGGCTCACGGCTGTAATCCCAGCATTTTGAGAGGCCAAGGCAGGAGGATCAGTTGAGCCCAGGAGTTCAAGACCAGCCTGGGCAAGATAGCAAGACTCTGTGTCAACAACAACAAAATTAATAATTAGTTGGGCATAGTGGCACACACCTGTAGTCCCAGCTACTTGGGAGGCTGAGGTGGGAGGATCCCTTGAGCCCAGGAGTTGGAGACTGCAGTTAACTATGATCATGCCACTGCGCTCCAGCCTGGGTGACAGAGCAAGACTCCGTTGCTTTTTCTTTCTCTTTCTTTTTAATTAAAAATATGGAATGCTTTATGAATTTGTGTGTCATCCTTGCATAGGGGCCACATTAATGTTCTGTGTATCATTCCAATTTTAGTGTATGTGCTGCTGAAGCAAGCACAGGACTTCATCTCTTAAAAAAATATATCAGATGAACAGCATATGTAATAGGCTGCCTTTTGTGCAGAAGTAAATAATATCTGTCTCTGAGAGGTCCAAGAAGCTGACTGCTTCAGAGGACAGGAGCAGGGTGGGGTAGAAAGATGTCTTCTTTTTCTACAAGCATTTTTTTTTTTTTTTGGAGATGCAGTCTGGCTCTGTTGCCCAGGCTGGAGTACAGTGGCTCGATCTCGGCTCACTGCAACTTCCACCTCCCCGGGTTCAAGTGATTCTCCTGCCTCAGTCTCCTGAGGAGCTGGGATTACAGAAACCTGCCACCGTGCCCAACTAATTTTTGTATTTTTTTAAGAAACGGGTTTTTGCCATGTTGGCCAGGGTGGTCTCGAACTCCTGACCTCAGGTGATCCACCTGCCTTGGCCTCCCACAATGCTGGGATTACAGGTGTGAGCCACTGCGCCCGGCCTCTAGGAGCCTTTTTGTTTTTTGTTTTTGACGTGGAGTCTCTCTCTGTCACCCAGGCTGGACTGCAGTGGTGCGATCTTGGCTCACTGCAACCTCTGCCTCCTGGGTTCAAGCGATTCTCCTACCTCAGCCTCCCCAAGTAGCTGGAACTACAAGTGTGCACCATCACACCCAGCTAATTTTTTTTTTTTTTTAATTTTTAGTAGATATGAGGTTTCACCATGTTGGCCAGGCTGGTCTTGAACTCTTGACCTCAGGTGATCCACCTGCCTCAGCCTCTGAAAGTGATGGGATTACAGGCGTGAGCCACTGTGCCCGGCCTAGAAGCCTTTTTTAAAGAATATGAATGTTTTATTTCAGATATATGTGTCACCATTTCAAATAAACTTTTCATGAAAAAAACCCAGCCCCAAAAAATGAGGCAGATACTGACAGCCTCTGAGACTCTTCTTCCTCTGTCCAATGGAGTAATATGTCTGGTGACCAACCAGTCCAGTTTGCCTGGCAGTGAGGGTGTTCTGGGGCAATCCTGGACAAAGTGGGATGACGTGGTCACCTTGGAAAACAGAAAGCTGTGGAAGCCTTCGAGGGTGGACATGTGGGGGCTGAGCTGGGCCCTGAAGCCAGGCCTCTCTGCACCTGCCCGAGTCCGATCACACACCTGCCAGAGCCCAGCTCTACGCCTGGGAGATGGATGCCTCTGGAGCTCAAGGACTGAGATAGGCCATTGGGATGTCTCTATAGTGCAAAACACACCTTCCCCAGTGAGTCTCCAGGCACTTGCAGGGTGGGCGGGCTCAGGGGCTCATACACGCACACTTGCTCGCAGACTGTCTCGGGCCTAGGCCCCTTACCCATCAGACTGCACTGATAGAGCCCTGCTCTCTCCATCTTCCTCGCAGAAGGCTGAACCTGCCTCCAGGAAAGCCCCAGGGTCTCCTGGCTCCCCTACCTGCACCTACCTTGCATACCTGTAGAGCTTTGTGCACCTTTGACCCACAGCAGGTGAGAGGTATTGGCAAGAAGGGGAAAATGAGAGCAAACTCCTTTTTTTTTTTTTTTCTTAGGGACTTGGCTGCCACACAGACCGCAGTGACCTGGCTCTCACGGCTGCCCGCAGTCTCCTTTTTTTTCCCAAGGATGCCTGGAATACCCTTCCCCAGATCTTCCCAGTGCTGGCCTCAGTTGAAATATTACCTTAGTGATGCTAATGCCATTTCCCTTTCCCATCTCTGTCACATTGGCCTTGAGTGGTAGGCAAGATGATCAGCTCCATTTTACAAATGAGGAAACTGAGGCTCAGAGAGACGCTTTACTAACATGTCCAAGGTGTAGTGAGTAAGCTGTGGCATGTACCTGGCTGAATGGGCTAGGATACTGTGATAAACCAGCTGCACACAGACAAGGTTCCTGCACCTGCGTAGCTCACAGGCGAGGGGGGAAAGGGGGTAACAGCTGGTTCAGTGTTCTTGCAACTCCGAGGCACCTAAGGTGACTCAGAGGAGTGAGAACCAGGCTGACTCCAGGTTGAGGTCACAGGCATGAGCAGGTGAATGAGGGGGTTGGGGGTGGGGTGGGGTAAGAGGGCATTCCAGGCGACAGTGATAAAAAAGCCCAGGGGCAGATGAGTGTTCCAGGAAATGAAAATGTTCAGGGAGGCCCCTTAGAGTTTCTGAGACTGCCAGTTTGTTGTTGTTGTTGTTTTATTTTATTTTATTTTATTTTTTGGTGAGACGAAGTCTCACTCTGTCGTCCAGACTGGAGTGCAATGATGTGATCTTGGCTCACTGCAACCTCTGCCGCCCAGGTTCAAGTGATTCTCCTGCCTCAGCCTCCCAAGTAGCTGGGATTACAGACGCCTGCCACTGTGTCCGGTTAATTTTTGTATTTTTAGTAGAGACAGGGTTTCACCATCTTGGCCAGGCTGGTCTTGAACTCCTGACCTCGTGATCCACCCGCGTTGGCCTCCCAAAGTGCTGGGATGACTGGTGTGAGCCACCACACCCAGCTGAGACTGCTAGTATTATTTTTTTAAATCAGAAATGTTTAAATGGAGTTTAGAAAATTGTGGTCTGTCATACTTTTATTGAAAACACTTTTAACACATATATACAAATCACTACAGAGCACGGACCCTGGAGTGGAGCCTAGCCCTTCAACCTCTGCTTATGTGAGCCCGGATCAGTCCCTTCCCTTCAAGTGTAACCACACCCAGGACAGGAGCTGAAACTGACGGCCACCTCAGCAGCCCAAATACACACACACCCTCACCAAGAGCAACCCCTCTCCTGACCTCACCTGGCTTTTCTCACTTATCTTGGAGATTAATAGTTTCCAGATAAAATATACATGTGAATTTTAGATAAACAACAAATAGGTTTTTAGTGTATAAGGAAGGCTGCATGAGACATATGCTTCATTTTAAATTCAAATTTAACTGGGCCTTCTGTGGTTTTATTTGCTATTATCTGCCAACCCTACTTGGAGATGGGCTTCTATCAGCATTTCCAGCACAATCTATAACCAGTCCCCTGTTGATGGGCAATTAGGTCGTTTCCCATTTTTTGCTTTCCAGGAACAATAGCCCCATGAAGATCCTTGCACAAAGGACTCTGACCTCATCTACGATTGTATCTGTTGGGTGTGTTCCTAAAAGTCACTTAGTCACTTTCCTGACTGGATTCCTGTGGCCATAGAGACCCCATGGGTCAGAGGAATTCCTTCTCAGTCTCCATCGAAAGCAACTCCCTGTCACCCTCCCAATCTCGCTCTCTCTCAACCCTCAACCTTGCTCTTTCTCGTCTCTCTCCATCTCTTTTTTTTTTTTTTTTTTTTTGAGACAGAGTCTCACTCAGTTGGCCAGGCTAGAGTGCAGTGGTGCAATTTCGGCTGACTGCAACCTTTGCCTCCCAGGCTCAAGCGATTCTTGTGCCTCAGCCTTCTGAGTAGCTGGGACTACAGTCGTGTGCCACCAAGCCTGGCTAATTTTTGTATTTTTAGCGGAGACAGGGTTTCGCCATGTTGGCCAGGCTGGTTTCAAACTCTAGAACTCAAGTGATCTGCCCACCTCAGCCTCCCAAAGTGCTGGGATTACAGGCGTGAGCCACCGCACCCAGCCTCTGTCTCTCTCCATCTGTTTCTTTCCCCCTCTCTCTGCTTCTATAGATCTCTCTCTCTCTCTCAGTCTTTCTCTTGCAGTCTCCCCGACTGTCAGCCTCTGTCCCTTCTCAGAGACTCTCTCCTTTTGACCCAGCAGCTCTGCAAACAAAATAATCTGACAAGTTGGGGAAGATGTATTTTTAAGGATGCTCACTCTAGTACTGTCTGTAGGAGTCAAGCTGGAAACAACCTAAACACCTATTGATAAACAAAGTATGCTCTGTCCCTACCAGGCAGCATCATGCAGCCATTTGAAACACCAGCACATTAACATGGAAAGATATTGACATACATCAGAGTGAAAAACACAACTTATAGATGGAAAGTAAAGCATTCACGCATTTCAGTTTCAATCAAAAATATAATGCCCCAGGCCGGGTGAGGTGGCTCACGCCTGTAATCCTAGCACTTTGGGAGGCCAAGGCGGGTGGATTGCCTGAGCTCAGGAGTCGAGACCAGCCAGGGCAACATGGTAAAACCCTGTCTCTACTAAAATACAAAAAAAATCAGCCTGGCATGGCGGCATGTGCCTGTAATCCCAGCTACTTGGGAGGCTGAGACAGGAGAATCACTTGACCCTGTGACCCTGACCCTGGGAGGCGGAGGTTACAGTGAGCCGAGATCGTGCCATTGAACTCCAGCCTGGGTGACAGAGCAAGACTCTGTCTCAAAAAAAAAAAAATATATATATATATATATATATACACACACACACACACACACACACACATATACACACATATATATATATGCACATATATACATATATATAAAACGACCCAAAGACATGTAAGAGTTTCACTGCTGATTGAAATAGTCATCCTGGTTGTCTCAGGGACGGGGGATAGGGGAGGCAGGGAGGGAAAGGGGGGCGGGGGGGTAGGAGTAGGAGTGGCTTCCATTTTCTTCTTTATATTTTTCTTCCCGGTTATTTTTTTTTTAACAAGGGGCATTATAATTTTTAACACTGTGCATTTTTGCATATTTACTTTATTATACCTTACCTGCGTGTTCATGTGTGTGTGTATATATATTTTTATATGCACGTACACTATTATTTTCTAAACCATATCAGAGTGGATTAGAGATGTCATGCCCCTTTACCCCTATACTCTTTACTGTATGTCTGCTAAGAACAAGGACATTCTATTATGTAACTCTGATATCATTATCAAAATCAGGAAATCTAACATGGATCAATTACTTATTCCTTATTCCATAGGCCATATTCAACTGGCCCAATAACATCCTTTATAGCAACCCCCACACCCTCAAAGATTCAATTCAGGATCATGCAGCATTGCAGTGTTGTCAGGCATCTGTAGTTTCTGATGTTGACATTTTGGAAGATTTGTGGACTGTCCCTCAATTGCATTTGCCTGGTGCTTCCTTATGATGACACTGAGCTTGTATGTTTTCCTGCCTGGAACCACAGAAGTGGTGCTGCCTCTTCAGTGCATCCCATTGAGTCATCTATGGTCTGTTCCATTATCTGTGATAGTAACTTTCATCGCTTAGTTAAGATGGGATTAGCTAGGTTTCGCCACTAGCAGTGATTCTACAAAGTCACTAATTTTCCCTTTCTAAATAATGTATGTGATCATCTGAGACCATGTAAATAGACTAGTTTTTTGTTTTGTTTTTTGAGACAGTGTATCACTCTGTTGCCCAGCCTGGGGTGCAGTGACGGGATCTTGGCTCACTGCAACCCTCCACCTCCTCAGCTCAAGAGATCCTCCCACCTCAGCCTCCTAGCTGGGATTACAAGTGTGTGCCACCAAGTCTGGCTTATTTTTTACATTTTTTTGTAGAGACGGGGTTTCACCATGTTGCCCAGGCTGGTCTCGAACTCCTGGGCTTAGGTGATCTTCCCACCTAGGCATCCCAAAGTGCTGGGATTACAGGTGTAAGCCACCACGCCCAGCCCTAGATGATTTTTATAATCAGAAAAGGTAATCATCACTTTAAATTCTTGTAACCTGTAAGGGCTGAGCTAGTCCACCGATTCTAATCACCGGGCGCCTCCACCCCACCCCTGTCACAATGTGTTTGCTGTAGCACTATCCGGTCTTTTTTTTTTTTTTTTTTTTTTGAGACGAGTCTCGCTCTGTCAGCCAGGCTGGAGTGCAGTGGCATGATCTTGGCTCACTGCACCCTCCACCTCCTGGGTTCAAGCGATTACTCCTGCCTCAGCCTCCAGAGTAGCTGGGACTACAGAAGCATGTCACCACGCCCAGCTAATTTTTGTATTTTTAATAGAGATGAGGTTTCACCATGTTGGCCAGGATGGCCTCGATCTCTTGACCTTGTGATCCAACTGCCTTAGCCTCTCAAAGTGCTGGGATTACAGGCATGATCCACCGCGCCCTGTCTTTCCGGTTTTACATTACATAAGGACTTTCGAAATCAGCCTACAGATAGATTTCACCCGAGGCTTTTTTAAAGATACAGATTCCCAGGCCCCACCAATTAGAATCTCTAAGGCAGGGACCTGAGAATAGATTTCTGTAGCGAGTGCCTTCCAGGTAATTCATCTCTTCAGGCCAAATTAGGGAATCACTTCACTTCATAGTAATGTTTAGTCATCAAACATTAACAGCTAGCCTGCTGGGGTGGGGTTGGGCCCTGGGAGGGCTTAGGAATGGAGGGGACAAACAATAGTGACATTGGTAGCTCGCATTGATTAAGCACTTACATTGTGCCATGCTCTGGATTATTTCACTAAATTCCCACAACTCTACGAGAAAGACACTTATTAGCCCCATTTACAGATAAGCACAGATTAGAATAACTTGTCCAAGGTCAAGCTAGTGAGTGATCAGCTGACCCCTAGATCAGCTAGTGAGTGTGGATGCTGGGAATAGGAGACTCCACACAGTCTGTGTGGGGGACTATACATCTAATCGCACCTCTGCACTGGAATATCAAGTCTCACTTCTTGTCCTGGGCAAATGACCTCAGCTTCTCTGGGCTCCATTCCCTCATCTGTAAAGGTAATGCTATTTAGTATCCCTCCACCAATGCTGGCTAAGATAATTCCATGAGATCCACTTTCCTGGAGAAACTGAATGCCTGGTTTTGATCACCTTTCAGGGCCTAAAGTGGGGAGGATTAAATCAAAATTATTGTCAGGAACCAGGAATGAAAATAATTACCATCATTGTTGCTATTCTTGTATTCATAGGGCCCAGCTGAGCCCTGCATGAGACATTCAGCAGAAGACACCGCAGAAAGCCAAGGAGTAACAAGGGAGGAATAAAGGGACCACATTGAGGACCTGAGCAGGTCAGACCCCACCTGGCAGTAGCCATCTTGCCTGCCCACCTGTCTTGCCTCCTCTGCCTTCCAAGTTCCAGTTTCATGTGCTTCCGATTTGAGGCCCTGCCTCCCCATGGTGATGGACAACAGGAAGCCAGAGCCAGGGGGTGACACTGCCCCCTTCAGGCTCTCCTTACCGCTGCACCAGACTCCTTCCAGGGTGGACAAGCTGCCATGGAAAGAAAGTAACCACTGGAAATTCTTTTTTAGTTCTATTTCAATTCTAGGAACATTTATTGAGTCTACCCGGGGTCAGGCATGGAGGCCGGTGGTGCATAAGACAGACACAGCCATTACCCTCAAGAGCTTAATTTCTTGTAATTGGACAAATAACTTAATGAGAAGGTGTGAGTTGCCTGGCACAGAGCAGATGTTCAGAACATTTGTTCTGCAAACATGTCGAGTAGGGTTGCTAGAGTTAACCAATAAAAATACAGAATGCTCAGTTAACTGTGAATTTCAGATAAACAGCAAATAATTTTTAGGATGAACATTCCTGGCATTTACTTCCTGGCCTGCTTGTGCAAATTATTCACACTCGTATGCAATATTTGGAAAATATTTATACTAAAAAAGTATTTGGCCAGGTGCGGTGGCTTGTGCCTATAATCCCAGTACTTTGGGAGGACAAGGCAGATCCCTTGAGCCCAGGAGGTAGAGGCTGCAGTGAGCTGTGATGGTGCCACTGCACTCCAGCCTGGGCAATGAAGCAAGACCCTATCTGAAAAAAAAAATTTTTAAAAAAGGCAAAGATGGGCCTGGGGCACCAAATATTCCAGAGGAAAGGGAACGTGTGTACTCCTTGAGGTGGGGAACATGACCCACTTGAGGTGCAGAAAGAAGACTTGTATGGGGCTGGGCGCGGTGGCTCACCCCTGTAATCCCAGCACTTTGGGAGGCCGAGGCAGGCGGATCACCTGAGGTCAGGATGTCGAGACCAGTCTGACCAGCCTGAGAAACCCTGTCTCTACTAAAAATACAAAATTAGCTGGGCATGGTGGCGCATGCCTGTAATCCCAGCTACTCGGGAGGTTGAGGGAGGAGAATTGCTTGAACCTGGGAGACAGACGTTGCGGTGAAGCAGGTTGGGTTGCGCCATTGCACTCCAGCCTGGGCAACAAGAGCGAAACTCTGTCTCAAAAAAAGAAAAAAAAAAAAAAAAAGAAGGCCCGTGTGGTTGGAGTAAAAAGAGTGCAGAAGTAGATGTGAAAATATCAACCTAAATAACAGAGAGAGAGGCTCTCTAAAAGAGAAAGGGTCCTCAGCCTCCTGAGTAGTTGGGACCACAGGGGTGCATCACCATGCCTGGCTAATTTTTTATAGAGGTGGAGTCTCGCTATATTGCCCAGGCTGGTTTAGAACTCCTGGCCTCAAGCTATCCCTCCTGCCTCCACCTCCCAAAGTGCTGGAATTACAGGTATGAGCCACTGCACCTGGCCATATACAGTATTTTAAGATAACAACCAGAATCATGACTGACACAGTCACACAAGAAACATCAGACTTTTATAAATTGAATATAATCTTTAGAATATTCACATTAATTGGCCGGGCGCGGTGGCTCACGCCTGTAATCCCAGCACTTTGGGAGGCCAAGGTGGGTGGATCACAAGGTCAGGAGTTCGAGACCAGCCTGGCCAACATAGGGAAACCCTGTCTCTACTAAAAAATACAAAAAATAAGCCAGGCTGGTCGTGGGTGCCTATAATCCCAGCTACTCAGGAGGTTGAGGCAGGAAAATCGCTTGAACCCGGGAGGCGGAGGTTGCAGTGAGCTGAGACTGTGCCATTGCACTCCAGCCCAGGCAATAGTGTGAGACTCTGTCTCAAATTAAAAAAAAAAAAAATTCACGGCCGGGCGCGGTGGCTCACGCCTGTAATCCCAGCACTTTGGGAGGCCGAGGCGGGTGTAGCATGAGGTCAGGAGATCGAGACCATCCTGGCTAACACGGTGAAACCCTGTCTCTACTAAACAAAATACAAAAAATTAGCTTGGCGTGGTGGCGGGCGCCTGTAGTCCTAGCTACTCTGGAGGCTGAGGCAGGAGAATGGTGTGAACCTGGGAGGTGGAGCTTGCAGTGAGCCGAGATCGTGCCACTGCACTCCAGCCTGGGCAACAGAGTGAGACTCCATCTCAAAAAAAAAAACAAACTCACATTAATAAAATATCCAGATAAATTTAACTTTAGAAGAGATTAACATAACCAAAATTATGACAGATAATATTAGGTATCTATGAATTTATATAATTTTTGAAATATTTATATCAATAACAGACCCATAAATGTAACTGAAAGATCTAGTAATAGAATCACTTATCACTTGACAATGCTTCCTGTACAACTTACCAGATAAACCTAATCATTTAATATCTCTACAAGCTGAGAAATACATCATTAGAGGCCCTCCACTGGCCCAACTGCAAAATCCCTAAGTTCATTCCAGTTCAAACAGACTTAATTGGCTTGGGTGTGGTGACTCAGGCCTGTTAATCCCAGCACTTTGGGAGGCTGAGACATGAGGACTGCTTGAGGCCCGGAGTTCCAGACCAACCTGGGTAACATAGTGAGATTCCCATCTCTACAACAAAAAATAAATACAAATTTAAAAGAAAAAGAAAACCTGCCAGGCAAGGTGGCTCATGCCTGTAATCCCAGCCCTTTGGGAGGCCGAGGGGGGCAGATCACCTGAGGTCAGGAGTTCGAGACTAGCCTGACCAACATGGTGAAACCCTGTCTCTACTAAAAATCATGGTGGTGTGCGCCTGTAATCCCAGCTACTCAGGAGGCTGAGGCAGGAGAATGGCTTGAACCAGGGAGGCAGAGGTTGCAGTGAGCCGAGATCACGCAACTGCACTCTAGCCTGGGCGACACAGCAAGACTCTGTCTCAACAACAACAATAACAAAAATTAGGTGGGCGTGGCAGTGTGCCTGTAGTCCAAGCTACTCGGGAGGCTGAGACACGGAGAATTGCTTGAACCTGGGAGGCGGAGGTTGCAGTGAGCCGAGATCGCGACACTGCACCCCAGCCTGGGTGACAGAGCGAGACTCTGTCTCAGAGAAAAAAAAAAAAAAAAAGAAGAAGAAAACCTGGGCCAGGGGCAGGGGCTCACGCCTGTAATCCCAGCACTTTGGGAGGCCGAGGCAGGCGGATCACGAGGTCAGGAGATTGAGACCATCCTGGCTAACACAGTGAAACCCGGTCTCTACTAAAAAATAGAAAAAATTAGCCGGGCGTGGTGGTGGGCACCTGTAGTCCCAGCTACTCGGGAGGCTGAAGCAGGAGAATGGCGTGAACCTGGGAGGTGGAGCTTGCAGTGAGCTGAGATCGTGCCACTGCACTCCAGCCTGGGCGACGGAGCGAGACTCCGTCTCAAAAAAAAAAAAGAAAAGAAAAAAGAAAACCTAGTTGTTTTAACATAGGGGATATGAATTTTTTAGTTTTCTATCAGTGTATTTTTAATCTATCTTTAGAAAGACGTAGAAATAATTCCCTTCTAATTATAGCCAACTTGATGACACACAAAATGCCTTTCATAAGTTCTCCCTTCATGAACACCATCATGACTTATTCAGACCATTGATGATGTGCTTTGACTCTGTGCCCTGTCTTATACTTCCTCTTCATTAAATACCAATCATTTTACTTTAGAACATAAATTTACCAGAGACTCTTTCCCATACAAAATTATTCTTTTCAACTTTCCTTTTAAAAAATATATCTTCATAACCATAACTTCCTTCATATCTCTGTCTCTCAGTTATTGGTTTTCTTACTATCTTGTTTCTATTTCCTTCATAAGTCCATATTTTCTTTTTTTTTTCTTTTCTGTTTTTGAGACAGAGTCTCGCTCTGTCGCCCAGGCTGGAGTGCATTAGCGCAATCTCGGCTCACTGCAAGCTCCTCCTCCTAGGTTCAAGTGATTCTCCTGCCTCAGCTTTCCATGTAGCTGGGACTATAGGCACGTGCCACCACGCCCAGCTAATTTTTGTATTTTTAGTAAAGATGGGGTTTCATCATGCTGGCCAGGCTGGTCTCAAACTCCTGACCTCAGGTGATCTGCCCGCCTCAGCCTCCCAAAGTGCTGGGATTACAGGCGTGAGCCACCGCGCCCAGCCAGCCCATATTTTCAAAAAACTTACATAATCTCCAAATTAAACAAAATTATTCTTTTATTTTCAATAAAGAACACATTTTTTGGCCAGGTGTGGTGGCTCACGCCTGTAATTCCAGCACTTTGGGAGGCCGAGGTGGGCGGATCACGAGGTCAGGAGATTGAGACCATCTTGGCTAACACAGTGAAACCCCGTCTCTACTAAAAATACAAAAAAATTAGCCAGGCATGGTGGCGGGCACCTGTAGTCCCACCTACTCGGGAGGCTGAGGCAGGAGAATGGCGTGAACCCGGGAGACAGAGCTTGCAGTGAGCAGAGACTGCACCACTGCACTCCAGCCTGGGAGAAAGACTGAGATTCCGTCAAAAAAAAAAAAAAAAAAAAAAAGCGCACACTTTTGGCCAGGCATGTGGCTCACGCCTGTAATCCCAGCACTTTGGGAGCCTGAGGAGGGCGGATCACTTGAGGCCAGGAGTTCAAGACCAGCTTGGGCAACATAGCAAGTCCCTGCTTCTACAAAAAAAAAAAAAAAAAAAAAAATTAGGTGGGTGTGGTGGCACGTCTATAGTCCCAGCTACTTGGGAGGCTGAGGCAGGAGGATCACTTGAGCCCAGGAGTTCAAGGCTGCAGTGAGCTATGATTGTGCCATTATATTCCAGTCTAGGGGATAGAGTGAGACCCTGTCTCTAAAACAAAACAAAACAAAAAAGCCTCTACCAAAAAGAGGGAGGCTCAACCTGAGAGAAGACTCACCAGGGCAGAAAAGGGGAGCCATGGAAGCAGTGCGCTCAAAGGGCTCTAGTGAATACTGTACACCAGTTCCAAGAATCACCGATTTCTTCCAGTACTAATCTTTTTCAGGTCCCATTTCTGACACCATATATGTCAACCTAAATAACAGAGAGAGGCTCCCTAGAAGAAAAAGATATTTAGTCGGGAATAGAGCATTACCATGGGAATACATTTGTCATAGCAAACTACTGCATATTCAGGGAGGTAAAGGAAGACAAAAGCTTTTGTTTTGTTTTTTGAAACAAGTTCCCCCTGTCGCCCAGGCTGCAGTGCGGTGGCACAATCATAGCTCCGTGAAGCCTTGAACTCCTGGGCTCAAGTGATCTTCTCGCCTCAGCCTCCTGAGTAGCTGGGACTGCAGGCACGTGCCACCACACCTGGATAGACAAAGGTTGGTTCTTTTTGATGATCAAGTATCAACCAAGCTATGGAACAGACAAAGTTGTTTAAAGGACAAAATGAGGGTTACTTTTTAAAAATTGTTATTTTTTTTTATCTTTGAGATAGGGTCCCGTTGTGTCATCCAGGTTGGAGTGCAGTGGTACAATCTTGGCTTATTGCAGCCTTGACCTCCTGGGCTCAAGCAATCCTCCTGCCTCAGCCTCCTGAATAGCTGGGACCAGAGGCGGGTGCCACCACACCCAGCTAATTTTTTTTTTTTTTTTGAGGTTAGTCTGGCTTTGGTCCTGAACTCCTGGGCTCAAGTAATCCTTCTATCTCTGCCTCCCAAAGTGCTGGGACTATAGGCATGAGCCACCGTGCCCAGCCTACATAATTAAAAATAATTTTTTTTTCAAAGACGAGATCTCACTATGTTGGCCAGGCTGGTCTCTAACTACTGGCCTCAAGCGATCCTCTTGCCTCGGGCCTCCCAAAATGTTGGGATGATAGGCGGGAGCCACTGCGCTGGGCACATAATTTTTTTGAAAATTTATCTTTGGCTACAAAGATCATTAACAAGGGTGAAGGCAGCGTGAGGTTGTACAGGCAGTTGCTGGGCAGATGTCCTTGTAGAAGTATTTTTTGTATAAAGTTGCATTCTGGGCCGGGTGCAGTGGCTCATGCCTGTAATCCCAGCACTTTAGGAGGCTGAGGCGGGAAGATCACCTGAGGTCAGGAGTTCAAGACCAGCCTGGCCAACATAGTGAAACCCTGTCTCAACTAAAAACACAAAAATTACCCGGGCATGGTGCTGCGCGCCTGTAATCTCAGCTACTAGGGAGGCTAAGGCAGGATAATCGCTTGAACCTGGGAGGCAGAGGTTGCAGTGAGCCAAGATCATGCCATTGTGCTCCAGCCTGGGCAATAAGAGTGAAACTGTCTCGAAAAAAAAAAAAAAAAAGTTGCATTGCGATGGCCTTTGTGCAAGGTTGTGTTTTTGCAGAGTCTTTTGTGATGGTTTTTGTTATCAGGCATGCAAGCATTCACTGCATAGCCTTCCCTGACTCTGTGTCAGGGTTTTTTGGGGGTTTTTTTGAGACGGAGTTTCGCTCTTGGTGTCAGGGTTGTTTTGTTTAATACTGGTGACTACGTTTTGATTCTGACCTTTCACAAGAAGCCGACGTTGGAGACGTAGGCAGTTGGCAGAGGTCACAGGGTCTTGAGGACCCTGTGAGGTGTGGGGCTTTGAGGGTAACTGAAGCCACTGAAGGGTTTTAAAGGATATGGTCGGTCACATTTGGATTTTTGGAAGATCCTTCTGGCTGCTTGGTGGCGGAGGACTGGATGTTGGCTGGGCAGCAATGGAGAGAGGTCAAATGGAAAGTTGTGGCAGTATTTCAGATGAGATCACAGTGGCTTTTAAGATGTAGGTGCCGGCCGGGCGCGGTGGCTCACGCCTGTAATCCCAGCACTTTGGGAGGCTGAGGCGGGCGGATCACGAGGTCAGGAGATCAAGACCATCTTGGCTAACACGGTGAAACCCCGTCTCTACTAAAAATACAAAAAATTAGCCGGGCGTGGTGGCGGGCGCCTGTAGTCCCAGCTACTCGGGAGGCAGAGGCAGAAGAATGGCGTGGACCCGGGAGGCAGAGCTTGCAGTGAGCTGAGATAGCGCCACTGCAGTCTGGCCTGGGCGAAAGAGCAAGACTCCATCTCGAAAAAAAAAAAAAAATGTAGGTGCCAGTGGGATGATAAGAAAACACAAATGTGGGTTTTGTTTTGTTTTTTTACCTCTGAACTTTTTATTGGCCTCCTGTTTCCCAAAGGGTACCCTGCTTCTGCTGGCTTAATGTCTCAGAACTTTGGTGTCGTTGGTCTCAGACACCACTTTGCCATCCACTGTCTGGCGGGTGGTGGTCTTTTGGATGGTTTGCATGGAGTTGCGGCTGTCCAGGGCATCACCAAGATTGAAGTCCTCGCTGTCTTCCAGCAGGCGGCAGTAGGTGGTGATCTCAGCCTCCAGCTTGACCTTATGTTCAGCAGGGCTTCCTACTCCTGGGCCTGGCACTGTCCCTCTGCCTGGGTCTGTGCCAGCTCTGACTCCAGGTACAGCAGTATCCCACTGAGCTGTTCCATCTGCAGGAAATAGCGGGCCTCCACCTCCCTCAGGCTGTTCTCCAAGCTGGCCTTCAGATTTCTCATGGAGTCCAGGTCGATCTCCAAGGACTGGACTGCATGTCTCAGTTCTGTGAGTCATCTCAGCAGTTCCAACCTCGGTGGACTGCGTGGTGACTTCTGTAGTGTTCTCCTCAATCTACTGAGATCAGTACATGTCCAGCTCCTCTCTGTTCTTCTGAGCCAGCTTGTCATATTGGGCCTGCATGTCTGTCATGATCTTGCTGACGTCCTGAGATTTGGGGGCATCTACCTCCACAGTCAACCCAGAGCTGGCAATCTGGGCTTATAGGCCTTTTACTTCCTCTTTGTGGTTCTTCTTCATGAAGAGCAGCTCCTCCTAGAGAGCCTCGATCTCTGTCTCCAGCTGCAGCCAAGTGACATTGGTGTCATCAGTGACCTTGCAGAGCCCATGGATGTCGCTCTCCACAGACTGGCGCATGGCCAGCTCTGTCTCCTACTTGACTGTAAAGTCATCAGCAGCAAGACAGGCATTGTTGATCTGCAGAACAATGCAGGCATTGTCCACAGTATTTGTGAAGATCTGAGCCCTCAGGTCCTCGATGGTTTTGAAGTGATGGCTCCAGTCTCTGACCTGGGGTCCCTTCTTCTCCAGGTGCTCCCGGATTTTGCTCTCCGGCTTCCAGTTCTTGGTCTCCAGGCTCCTCATTCTGTCCAGGTAGGAGGCCAGATGGTCGTTCAGGCTTTGCATGGTCTCCTTCTCGTTCTGGATGCCTCCCATTCCTGCCAGATCCCCAGCCATCCCCCCGGCCAGGTCCCCGGACCCCATGCCGCCCCAGAAGCTGGTGGAGTGGGACTCGGAGATCCGGGAACCAGAGCCCCGGGCACCTGCATAGACGCTAACCATACTGCTGACCGGCCGGGCGCCATAGCTGGGCGCCTGGACAGAACCCAGGGACCGGGTAGTTAGTGGAGAAGGTGGAGCGAGTGGTGAAGGTCATGCTGTCCAGTGGGGAGAGCGAGAGGACAGGACTCAGGCTTTGCCAACATTATTTTTTTGTTATTTTTTTGAGACGGTGTCTCACTCTGTCGCCCAGGCTGGAGTGCAGCGGCGTAACTGCGGCTCGTTGCAACCCCTGCCTCCAGGGTTCGTATGATTCTCCTGCCTCAGCCTACTGAGTAGCTGGGACTACAGGCACCCGTTACCATGCCCAGCTAATTTTTGTATTTTTAGTAGAGACAGGGTTTCATCATGTTGGCAAGGCTGGTCTCGAACTCCTGACCTCAAGTGATCTGCCCGCCTAGGCCTCCCAAGTGCTGGGATTACAGGTGTGGGCCCCCACATCTGGCCCAAATGTGTTATTTAAGAGCTAAAATTAACTTGAGGCAAGAGAGCAAGAATCTGTCTCAAAAAAATAAAAATAAATAAAATTAACTTGATTTGGTAATATGGGGCATGGAGGTGGACAAGGAGTTAAAGATGAGGTGTGGGTTAATTCTTGAGCAATTAGAAGGATGGTGGTTACGTCTGCCGGGAAAGAGAAGCCAAGCACACAGTGTGGGGTGGTAGGAAGGTGGTGGATGAGTTCAGTTTGAGCCATGCAGAACTTAGAATGCCTTTATTTATTTAGAGATGGAGTTTCACTCTTGTTGTCCAGGCTGGACTGCAATGGCGCAATCTTGGCTCACCGCAACCTCCGCCTCCCGGGTTCAAGGGATTCTCCTGCCTCAGCCTCCAGAGTCGCTGGGATTACAGGCATGCACCACCACGCCTGGCTAATTTTGTATTTTTAGTAGAGATGGGGTTTCTCCATGTTGGTCAGGCTGGTCTTGAACTCCTGCCTCGGCCTCCCAGGTACTTGAGAGGCCAAGGCGGGAGGATCGCTTGAGCCCAGGGGTTCGAGACCAGCCTAGGCAACATGGTAAAACCTCGTTTCTACCAAAAATACAAAAATTACCTGGGCGTGGTGGCTACGCCTGTAGTCCCAGCTACTCGGGAGACTGAGGTGAGATGACTGCTTGAGCCCAGGAGGCAGAGGTTGCAGTGAGCCAAGATTGTGCCACTGCACTCCAGCCTGGGTGACGGGGTGAGACCTTGTCTCAAAAAAACACAGAAAACATACCTGACCACGTCAGACTACCTCAAAATCCCACCACCACCATCACCACACAGTTCCAAGCCCCCATCACCAGCTGCCTGGATTCCTGCAGCCGCCTCCCTGGTCTCTGCTTCCTGTTTCCCTACTACAGTCCCTTCTCCAAACACAGCCAGAAGCATCCTTTAGGAATCTAAGCTGGATCACCTCACTTAGAACCCAAGAATGCTCACTGAGAAAAGCCCAAGGCCTGACCATGTGTACACAGCCCCTCTGGTCTGCCTTCCAGACTGCCCCGTGCTGCCTCATTCTCTCCCTCATTCACTCCACCATGGGCTTACCAGCCGCCTCCTTGCTGCAGGGCCTCAAGTGTAACCCATGGGCTCCCACCTTAAGGCCTCTGAACTTGGTTCCCTCTGCAAGGAATCCTCTTCCCCAACATGGTCACTGGGCTTCTCCCCATTTCATTCAGGTCTCAGTTCCAGTGTCATTTTCTCGACCTGTTTTGGCGTGACACGGGACTTCATTTCCAGAGGATGTCAGACCTCAAAGAAACAGGCACAAATTGCAATATTCTGAGGTAACTGGCGTCCAGGACTCAGCTGATACTTAGACAGAGGTGGCCTGCACGGATGTGAGGGAGGAAGAGGCCTCCCAGGTTTCTGGCTTGGGTAGTTACCACTGCAAGATGGAATAATACAAAAGAAGGCATGGGTGAAGATTGGAGATGCTGAACTGTCTCGGCTGTATTAAATTTGAGGTTCCAGGGCCGGGTGCAGTGGCTCATACCTGTAAAACCAGCACTTTGGGAGGCCGAGGCAGTCGGATCACGTGAGGTCAGGAGACCAGCCTGACCAACATGATGAAACACCACCTCTACTAAAAATACAAAATTAGCCGGGTATGGTGGTGGGCGCCTGTAATCCCAGCTACTCGGGAGGCTGGGGCAGGAAAATCACTTGAACCTGGGAGGCAGAGGTTGCAGTGAGCCGAGATTGCGCCACTGCACTCCAGCCTGGGCAAAAAGAGCGGAACCCTGACTCAAAAAAGCAAAACAAAACAAATAGGTTCCAGGCCAGGCTCGGACTGACACCTGTAATCCCAGCACTTTGGAAGGCCAAGGTGGACCACCTGAGCCCAGGGGTTCAAGCCCAGCCTGGGCAACATAGTGAGACCCTATCTCTTACTAAAAAAAATTAAAAAATAACGTTTCTATGGGATTGGAATGAAGCTCAAGCAGCCAAACACTACAGTGAGCACCCACGATGCAGCGCTGTGCAGGGAGAGCTCTGTGTACTTTGCTCCTTGGATCCTAGCATCCTTAAGAGGCAGATAAAATTATCCCCACTTCATAGGAGACAGGTTCAGAAAATATTCGCTAGATGCCCCACAGCTAACAGCAGAGTATGAACTTAAACACATCCAGGACCTGAAACTTGACCCTGCGGAGCCCCTTTACTACAAGCCCTCAGCACTGCTGCTGTTACCCGCACGTAGCAGAAGCCGCATGTCTAAAGCCTTGCTATATGGAGCGCTGCCACTTCTCACCTCCCAGAGCCTCCCAACTGTAACAAGTGTTCTTTTTCCAGAGGACAGGCACCATGAGGCCCAGCTGGTGGCATCAGCTGAGATTTGACGCCAAACAGGACTCAGCAACAAGCAAGAACTTCCCTTCTAGAAAGGGTAACCATCTTCTGGAGACTCCCCAAGCCCATGCTATGGCAAATGTGTTGAATGAAAACAAGAACCATAGCTTACCACTTAGATTAAGTTATGAAATTTATTTATATTTTACCTTTTAAAAGCCAGAACATAACAAATCTCACTTTCTGGAAAGTCATCTTATTAGAAATACAAGAAGTGCACTTAATACAAGGAAGTAAGTTTCTCGGTGCCACCAGTGAGGTGGACATACACTCACATCAGTCCCTCAAACGAAGGTTTCGCCAGATTTCCCTCCAGACTTCTGAGATGATCTGAATTCAGGAAGGTCTGAGTGAACTTCTTCCAGAAATTACAGTGAACAAGCTGACCTTAACTTTTGGGTCCTCCCGAGAAATACTAATGAAAAAACTATTTTTTTCCAGTGGGCCCTGTGTTTGCTGGCTTCTCGGCATCTGCAGCTCTTCACCGGCAGGCGCGGAGCCCCACAGCAGCAGTGTACAAGCGCGAGGTAGCACTTGCAGCCCCATCAGAGACATATGACATCAAAAAACCAACCTAAACCCATATGCCTTTTGGTCAATCAGAGGTTCTGCTCCTACAGATTAGGCTGACAGCTCTTGGACTTATATTTATTAATATTTGTGAAATATGAACTCCAAGGTTCTTGAGCTGTTCCTAAAGCAAGTTTCCAGCAACAGCTTTTATTAACAACTGTTCATCTTGCGATGTGCTGTGCCTTATGAACGATGTCTCGTCAGAACAGACCAGGGGTGGTACTGGGTTTCCTATAGCTTCTCTCTGCATCTACAAAGCAGGTTTTCAAACACATTTTACATGTCGAAACCAGTGTCATAAGGAAAACATTTGTGACAGAAAAACAATGCTCAGTTTAATCTAAGTTACCAAGCAGAAGGTAAAAGAACTAGTATCCGCTGAGTCCCCAAACCTCTTTCTTCTAATTCATCTGAGGATTTTTTGTGCTTCTAGAACAAGAATGTAGGCAGGCTCCCAAATGGAGAGGTAAACATGACCGCGTTGTTTGAAACTACTTCATTAATTTGTAAATCAGAACCAAAAAGCTCTGGCCCTCCCACTTCTCTTAGCTGACCCTCCTCCCCACTTACGGATAAACAGACTTTAACTTCCCTAACCCAGAAACACTTCCACCAAAAATGTATGGTTATACCTTATCCTAAAAAGGCACCATGCAGGCATTTAAGACTGAACCAGTGAACTCTAAATATGTAGTAGTAGAAAATATCACTAATCAAAACTTCCAGCATCAGATGGTACAAAACCCCAAGAGGACTGGTGACATGTACCCCGGGATGGCAACCCCAGCTTCTGGCAACCCCACAGCCCAGCGGGAGCTTCAGCTCTGGTCAGGTGCACGGCTGCCAAAGTCTGCACACCTTGGGGACAAGGAAAGGAGACACTTGCTTCATTGTGCTATTCATGACCCAGAAAAGGTCCTGGCTGGCTTGAAGGACCCGAGAGACAAACACTGGATGGGAGGAATGAGTGTGAAACAAGAGGTGGAGAAGCTAGATTATCTTCCACAGGAGGCGGCAGAAGCTCCAGGAAGTAGCCGAGAACCAATACGAACTCGACCGTGTGACAAACAAGGTTAACAGTAGGGGAAGACAGCTTTGGCAAGAGCCCAAAGGGAAGAGAAGGGCTGACCTGGGGACCCACTTCCCCTGTCAGAAGTGACCCTGTCCCAATGCCATGGCTCATTTTCAGGTCTGTTGAACAGGTAAGGTACAGGAGTCATAGATTTCACGTTTAATATGTAATGGAAGCTCTGTAACATGAGACAGATAGCAAGCACGGACTCTGCTCACTGGTCGATGATGGAGCGCTGCAACACCTGATTCATCATGTCCTCTTCATCAACATCATAATCCTAAGGGCAAAAAGAGACATGCAGCCTCAGCAACTGTTTCTAGATGCAAAGACTGGCTTTCAGTAGAAGCAGGACAGCCTAGCAACTGGATCCGGAGCAGGTTGCCAGGGACCGGATCCCCAGTGCAACTGTTTGTGATGCTAGGTATGTAACTTTGGGAAAATTAATCTGTCTCTGCTGCCTTCTCTTTTTTTTTATTTGATGGAGTCTCGCTCTGTTGCCAGGCTGGAGTGCAGTGGCACAGTCTTGGCTCACTGCAACCTCTGCCTCCCAGGTTCAAGTGATTCTCCTGCCTCAGCCTCCCGAGTAGCTGGGACTAACAGGCGTGCGCCACCATGCCCAGCTAATTTTTATGTTTTTAGTAGAGACAGGGTTTCACCATGTTGGCCAGGATGGTCTCAATCTCTTGACCTCGTGATCCACCCGCCTTGGCCTCCCAAAGTGCTGAGATTACAGGCATGAGCCACTGCACCCAGTCTGCTGCCTGATTCTTAAATGAAGTTAAGGATGCCTCCCTTAAATGGAGATTGAGAAACCCAGACAGCACACGAATGGAGGCTGGCACAGACCAAGTGCTCAGAACATTTGTAAGTCTGTCGGAACAGAGCACGCAGATGCACTGAGCTGAAGAGTTGTTTCTGAGAGGTGGAATCAGTGCACAGTACAGAATCAGATTTTTAGAGCCATACAATACAGCAGAAACTATAGCGCAACTAGCCCTCTTTAATGAGTCATTTTTAGGACTCATTTTTAATGAGTCATTTTTGTTAATGTGACACAGATGAATGTAATTCATCTGTGTCACATTAACAAAAAGGGCAGTTATTCTGAAGTCTGAGTTTCAGACACTGTCAGACTGAGAAAAAATATTCTTTATGACAATTTAGCAGAGAGCTTTCTTTCTTAGATACTGAAATTCAGCCATCAAGACCGAATACCACTCTAAAATCCTAACTTGACATCTATATATGTAAGTAAGAGGTTTACTTGATATAGTTGGCCAAAGTTACCTACTACTATAATGGCAAGACAACAGTGTGCCCCTTTGAAACCATCCAGCTCTAGGGAAAGAATATAAACCTGACAGCCGTATTTGGCTAGTGGATATATGCTATTTGACCTGAAGTATTTTTGAAGATAATTAAAACCTGTGAAACCTCCTGTGAAATTTTCCTGTCCTGCTTGGGCATGGGGGGTGGAGAAGCTAGGCAATGCTGCGCCTGCATTTCCATAGGAAAACAAGGTGATGGCAGCATAACGAGTCAGGCACCACCTGGCTTGGAAATCCTCAGGAGGATCATTTCAATTATGGTCCCCATGGACATGCGAGATTGAGCCTCCCAAGTCCAAATTGTTGTTGTGTGTGTGTGTTTTGTTTTTTTTTTTTTTTTTTGAGACAGGGTCTCATTCTGTTGCCCAGGCTGGAGTGCAGTGGCATGATCTCAGCTTGCTGCAACCTCCGTCTCTTGGGCTCAAGAGATCCTCCTGTCCCAGCTCCCTCAAAGTAGCTAGGACTACAGGTAGGAGCCACCACACCTGGTTACTTTTTGTATTTTTTGCAGAGACAAGGTTTTCCCATGTTGCCCAGGCTGGTCTCGAACTCCTGAGCTCAAGCGATCCACCTGCCTCAGCCTCCCAAAAATGCTAGGATTGTAGGTATGAACCACTGCACCGCACCTGTCCCCAAACCAAGTTCTATAACAGGCAGAAATTATATAAACCACAAGAAAAGTAGACAAAAATTTGGTGGCAGGGCTAGGAGATGGAAAGAGCAAGTATCACTGTCTCTGTCTCAAAGACTGACCAGATCATCTTCTTGTTTGTTTTGAGACAGTCTTGCTCTGTTGCCCAGGCTGGAGTGCAGTGGCACGATATTGGCTCACTGCAACCTTGCCTCCCAGGTTCAAGCGATTCTCCTGCCTCAGCCTCCCAAGTAGCTAGGATTACAGGTGCCCACCACCACACCTGGCTAATTTTTTTGTATTTTTAGTAAAGACGGGATTTCACTATGTTGGCTAGGCTGGTCTCGAACCCCCGACCTCAGGATCCGCCCACCTCGGCCTCCCAAAGTGCTGGGATTACAGGTGTGAGCCACTGCGCCCAGCCCAGATCATCTTCTTAAATGTCACTCTGGGCCGGGCGTGGTGGCTCACGCCTGTAATCCCAACACTTTGGGAGGCCAAGGTGGGCAGATCACGAGGTCAGGAGTTCGAGACCAGCCTGGCCAACATAGTGAAAGCCTGTCTCTACTGAAAGTACAAAAAGTAATGGGGCATGGTGGCATGCGCCTGTAGTCCCAGCTACTCAGGAGGCTGAGGCAGGAGAATCACTTGAACCCGGGAGGTGGAGGCTGCAGTGAGCTGAGATCACGCCACTGCATTCCAGCCTGGGCGACAGAGCAAGACTCCATCTCATGTAAGTAAATAAATGTCACTCTGGCCACCTGCCTGGCCCATGAATAGAAACTGTATAGTAGCTACAGTATACAGACTGGAAGCCCATCTAGCTCCCCAGCTACAGCTGCCTGCCCGCCTCTTCCACTCAGTCTTCTTTTCTCTCTTGTCAATCCCCTTTATCACTGTATCCAGTATACAGACTGGAAGCCCATCACAACAGCGACAAAGTTCAACACTGGGGATCCCCATTTCCCCTTTTGAGAAGAGTGAAGTAGCCGTGCCACTCCCCCAGGGGAGGGATCAGAGCCCAGGCTCCAGACTTACCACAAAAGTGTCATAAGAAAACCGGTGCCGGCGCTGGATGTGCTCTCTGAAGTTGGCGCTGCGGTAGTTGGGGTCTCCCCAGGGCATCGAGGCACATATCGGACAAACCTTTCAACACAAAAGCAAGGTCTTAGGCACCCAATTTCCAAGCTTGCACCAGCCCTCTGTGGCCTGTGTCTGGCCTCCTTTCTTCCAGGACAGCTTTCCTGACATACTGTCCAGGGCCAGTAACTCCTTCCTGTGCACATCAGCAGCCCAAAAAAACACTGCAAATTTCCAGCTCAAGTCAAATGACACGTGGGACTGGGTAAAGTTCAAATCATGATACCACCCTTTCTCATTCCCTACTGTAAGCAGAGAAGTGAGTCAGCCTGGTGGGGGGCCTAGACTGGCCTTCCAATCCAGCACACAAGACAATCCAAAAGCATGAGGAAAACTAAGAAAATAAGCCGATGAGCAATGTCCCAGGGAAGTAAAACACAGCCTTACATGCATCTTAACAAAGGAAATGCTCAGAAGAGGGGGATCAGGCTGAAAAGCCCTCACACAAAAGGTTGATTTGGTTTTTGAAGATTGGGAAGTATTTGGAAAGGCAAAGAGGACATGAAAGAGTGCTCCAGGCCGGGCACAGTGGCTCACACTTGTAATCCCAGCACTTTGGGAGGCCAAAGCGGTAGATCACCTGAGGTCAGGAGTTTGAGACCAGCCTGGCCAACATAGTGAAACATCTTCTCTACTAAAAATACAAAAATTAGCCTTGCATGGTGGCACACGCCTGTAGTCCCAGCTACCTGAGAGGCTGAGGCATGAGAATCGCTTGAACCCTGGAAGTGGAGGTTGCAGTGAGCCAAGATTGTGCCACTGCACTCCAGCCTCCAGCCTGGGTGACAGAGTGAGACTCTGTCTTAAAAAAAAAAAAAAAAAAATTGTGCTCCAGAAGAGAGGCAGCAGCACGGAGAAAAGGCCAGAAGGCGGCAGTTACTGTCAACACATGTAAACAACCAGACCAGTGAGTGCAGAAAACTCATGCCAGGGAGAGAGAAGACCTAAGTGCCCCCACTTAAAGGTGGAACCCTACCCCACAGCAAGGAAGATACAGTGATAAAGGGGATTGACAAGAGAGAAATCTGGAATGGTAGAAGACTGAGTGGAAAAGGTGGGCAGGCAGCTGTAGCTGGGGAGCTAGAACATAGGGTGGGACTAGAGACTGAAAAGGAGATGGCTTCTAAAGGGAAGGGAGAAACGCAGAGTTAAGAACTTGCAGAGGGCCGGGCGCGGTGGCTCACGCCTGTAATCCCAGCACTTTGGGAGGCCGAGACGGGCGGATCACGAGGTCAGGAGATCGAGACCATCCTGGCTAACACGGTGAAACCCCGTCTCTACCATAAATACAAAAATTAGCCGGGCATGGTGGCGCGCACCTGTAGTCCCAGCTACACGGGAGGCTGAGGCAGGAGAATGGCGTGAACCCGGGAGGCGGAGCTTGCAGTGAGTCGAGATCGCGCCACTGCACTCCAGCCTGGGCGACAGAGCGAAACTCCGCCTCAAAAAAAAAAAAAAAAAAAAAAAAAAAAAAAAAAAAAAAACTTGCAGAGGGAGAGGAAGACAGAACAGAGGGCCAAAGGCTGAAGAGAAGGCCTCAACATAGACAACATAATCAGAGGGATTTCAGAAGCCAAAGGAGGGGAAAAAGACAGAAAATTAGGCTGCCATACCAGAAAAGTTCAGCAATAACAGTATCCAACAAAATTATGAGTGCAAGTAACATTTAACCAAGTCAATCTGTATCTAAGACTTTAGCTTATAAACATACATAGATACAGGCAAAGATATGTTTCTCAAAATGGCCAGTTCCATCTTAAGATGAGCATTGATAGCTGCCCTAGTACTCTCACAAAAGCTCATTAAAATTCTAAAATTTCTGCACCACTGTTTACAGCAATGGAGCTGAAGGCTGCCCATACAACAGAGTATGTAGTTCAAGAGAAGCAGTATGAGATAAATGGAAAAATTAAAACTATAGAGGAAGTATACACCTAACTATAAAAAAAGACCTGGTCTGTCAATCACATTGAGAGAGAAAGGTAACACATTGCTAAGATGGAACAAATACTTTTTTGGGGGGGGGGGGGGGGGGGGGGGCAGTTTTGTTCTGCTGCCCAGACTAGAGTGCAGTGGCAGGATCTCAGTTCACTGCAACTTCTGCCTCCCAGGTTCAAGCAATTCTCATGCCTCAGCCTCCCAAGTAGCTGGGATTAAAGGCGCCCGCCACCATGCCTGGCTAATTTTTGTATTTTTAGTAGAGATGGGGTTTCACCATGTTAGCCAGGCTGATCTTGAACTCCTGACCTCAACTGATCCACCCGCCTTGGCCTCCCAAAGTGCTGGGATTACAGGTGTGAGCCACCGTGCCCAGCCTACATTTTTTTTTTTTTAAAGGAGACTACACATGCCAGTAGGTAATATCTGAGTAAAATGTCCAAGGATTGATAAGCCTTTTCCTAATAATTTCACCTAAATCCTCTTTCCCCACAACTATGAAGAAGCTACTTCCAAAAATAAAATGGCAGCTTCATGGAGAAATTTGGTGGACACCAAGGGAACCAAGTTAATGTTACCAACAACAGACATCACATGACTTAATGTAGCACCCAGAGGACAGAGAACTCGTGTACCATCCCTGCCTCTGCCTTGGGGGGAGGGGGAAATTGCTATGAAAGACATTACAATTGTTAAAATTAAAACATGAATTTCACATTAGACATTAGATTGAATCAATGTTAAATTTCTTGAATATGATTAATTATACACACAAAAATATAATTTTCCAAGAAAACATTCTTGTTCTTAAGACATACACACTCCTGTATCAGGGTGCGAAGTATTCAGGGTGCAAAAATGGTCATGGTATCTGTAGCTTATTCCCAAGTGGTCAGCAAAAAATGTGTACTATAGAGCATGGTTAAGCAAATATGGTAAAATGTTAACAATCTGTCAATCTAGGTGAAGGGCACACAGGAGTTCATTCTACTAATCCCGTCATTTTTCTCCAAGCTTGATCCTTTCCCTTAATGAAGTTTAAAAAAAAAAAAAAAGGTTACTCACCACAGATTTGGTATCCGTGCTATGGAATAATTTGCAGTGTTCCACAAGTCCTTCCTGATCAAAGTTCTTCTCAGGACAGTAAGGACAAGGAAAGGTGTAACGGTTTGGAACATTCCTGGAAGGTGAAACACAGGAAAAAAGAAAACTTTTCTGTGAGTACCTTTCCATTAAACTTCAACCACAGTACACTCCAAAAAGGAGCAAAGCTCACCAAATGTGTAATGATAAGGATGCTGATGATCACTTCAGACTCAGGTCAAGTGTTGTGAAAATAACAGCTCAGCTGGCCGGGCGTGGTGGTTTACGCCTGTAATCGCAGCACTTTGGGAGGCCAAAGCAGGCGGATCACCTGAGATCAGGAGTTCAAGACCAGCCTGACCAACATGACAAACCCTGTCTCTACTAAAAAATACAAAATTTAGCCAGGCATGGTGGCAGGTGCCTGTAATCCCAGCTACTTGGGAGGTTGAGGCAGGAGAATCGCTTGAACCCGGGAGGCAGAGGTTGCAGTGAGCTGAGATTGCACCACTGCACACCAGCCTGGGCAACAGAGCGAGACTCTGTCTCAAAAAAGAAAAAAAGAATATAGCTCAGCTAACATCTGAAGTGAACACCAGAGTCCTCCCTTGCATACTCCTCCCAAAATACTTGTATCAGCTTTAGCCAGCATAACAATTCATACAACTAAACCCCTGGGCATGCAACCTCTTTGTATTAATAGCAAGAGATGACCTCCACCTAAGGGGAGACTGAGTCATTTACCTTGGCTGAAGAGATGCATCCTTAATGGTGGCCTTCACACCTTCCATGATGTAATTCTGGTATTTGGAACAAGTAGCCACGTGGGACCGGATCTTGGACAGGAAGAACTCAAATAGGAAGAATCAGAGCCCATAAGTTAGTGAGGACCTTGCAACAGGCAAAATATAGTCCCAAACAAGGGCACAAAGAAAACTAGACCTACACCACCCTGGCAAATAATCTCACCAAACTCCTGACTACGCTGATGGGGCTGAAACCCTGATTATTGCAGATTTCCCATTAATACCAAGGCTGCTATTTTATTCGACTAAATCAGGATATCCACTTCCACTCTAAAATAACTCTCCTAGAGGTTTGCTCCTATTCATGATAGGCTGTCTGCTCACAGACAAGCTCCAAATCTAGGATGTTTTTAAAAGTTTTCTATACTAGCATTTAAACTAGTCTCCTTACAGCAAGCCAAAAACCACATTCTGTTATGTGCAGCAGAGAAAAGTGATCCTTTAGGTAAAACATATAAAAGCCACTAACCCTGGTTAAAGTATCTATCACCAGCCTCTGAGAAATAATCTTTAAAATCTAAATTCTCTTTTTTTTTTTTTTTGAGACAGAGTCTCACTCACTCTGTCGCCCAGACTGAAGTGCAGTGGCACCATCTCGGCTCACTGCAACCTCCGCCTCCCGGGTTCAAGTGATTCTCCCACCTCAGCCTCCTGAGTAGCTGGGATTACAGGTGTGTGCCATCAGGCCCAGCTAATTTTCATATTTTTAGTAGAGATGGAGTTTCACCACGTTAGCCAGGCTGGTCTCGAACTCCTGACCTCAAGTGATCTGCCTGCCTCAGCCTGCCAAAGTGCTGGGTTTACAGGCGTGAGCTACCACGCCCGGCCCAGCCTTTCATATAAAATCTAGGCTGTGCAACAGTAAAACAGAAAGAGAAGAAAACCCAGAGAATAGTGCTTCATTACAGGTTTTCTAAAAAGAAAGAAAGTTTTAAGAATTGAAGAAAAGAGGGAAGATAAAGGAAAGAAAAACATTTTCTGAGGCATGCCAACAGTACAATCACTAATCTTGAAAATGGAGAAAAGCAAAAGCATACAGTAAAACAAACAAAAAGCCCATCATGGGCGGAGTACGGTGGCTCACACCTGTAATCCTGAGGGAGGCTGAGGTGGGCCATCACTTCACGCTCCCGAGTTCGAGATCAGCATGGGCAACATGCAAAACTCGTCTCTACTGAAAATACAAAAAAATTAGGCAGGCGTGGTGACACATGCCTGTAGTCCCAGCTACTTGAGAGGCTGAGGTGGGAGGATGGTTTGAGCCTGGGAGGCAGAGGTTTCAGTGAGCTGAGACCACGCAATTGCACTCCAGCCCGGGCAACAAAGCCAGACCCTGTCTCAGAAAAAAAACAAAACAAAACCAAAAACCACATTATGCATGCATAAATAAAGATGAAGAGACCGGGTGCAATGGCTCATGCCTATAATCCCAGCATTTTGGGAGGCTGAGGCGGGCGGGTCACGAGGTCAGGAGATCGAGACCATCCTGGCTAACACAGTGAAACCCTGTCTCTACTAAAAATACAAATATATATATATATATATATATATATCTCTGTGTGTATGTATGTGTGTGTGTGTGTGTGTGTGTGTATATATATATAGCTGGGCGTGGTGATGGGCACCTGTAGTCCCAGCTACTCAGGAGGCTGAGGCAGGAGAATGGCGTGAACCCAACAGGCGGAGCCTGCAGTGAGCTGAGATCACGCCACTGTACTCCAGCCTGGGCAACAGAGTGAGACTCCGTCTCAAAAAAAAAAAAAAAAAAAAAAAAAGAAGACAGTAGGGAATTGTATTTCAATATTTTGAGTTTCTAAAAGTAAACTTCAAAGGGGGAAAAAAATGCTCCAATATTTGAGCTCCAGCTTACCATGATGATTGTCTCACCTCCAGCTCAAGAACTTGACTTTAAGCTACAAACTGAGGAATCCTCAATTTTTTTTTCCTTTTTTTGTAGAAACTGGGTCCACTATATTCCCCAGGCTGCTCTCAAACTTCTGGGCTCAAGCAATCTTCCCACCTCAGCCTCCCAAGGAGCTGGGACTACATGCATACACCACTACACACAGCTGGTTTTGTTTGTTGGTTTGTTTTGGTATATACAGAGTCCCACTATGTTGCCCAGGCTGATTTCGAACTCCTGGGGTCAGTGATCCTCTTGCCTTGGCCTCTCCAAATGATAGGATATAGGCATGAGCCACCATGCCCAGCCTCAAGAGTGAAGCCCCCAATTAAGACACAGAAAATAGCCCTATTCAGCATTGAAATGGCCCTACTATGCATCCCTAATACTAAATCACGCTGAAAAGGAGATGGTAAGGTATATTCTTACTATGGGCATCCATACCGAAGTGTTAAAAATAATGAAACTGACATGCAAGGCTGTCCAATATGTAAGAGAAAAAAAACCTGAAAAGTGGAAAAAAAAAGTTGGGAATGAGTGTACATTTAAAAAAGTGAAAAAAGTTGAAGAAATATATATATTATAGTATAATCTCATTTTGCAAAAATCCTACAACTTGGTTGGTAAAAATTCTACAGTGTTTGTCAAAGGGCAGAAAATGTTATGCAGCTTTCGAAATTAAATCACTTTTTTTTTCCTTGAGACAGGGTCCGGCTCTATCACCCAGGATGGAGTGCAGTGGCACGAACTCAGCTCACTGCAACCTCTGCCTCCTGGGCTCAAGCCATCCTCTCACCTCAGCCTCCCGAACAGTTGAGACTACGGGCACACACCACCATGCCCTGCTAGTTTTTTGTATTTTCAGTAGAGCCGAGGTTTCACCATGTTGTCCAGGCTGGTCTAGAACTCCTGGACTCAAGCAATCCACCCACCTTGGCCTCCCAAAGTGTTGGGATTACAGGCATGAACCACCTTGCCAGGCCTTAAGTTGAACGAATTTTGAAGTAATCTCTGGAATGAGGAACAAGCCTACATTATTGTGTACTTTTGTATGGTCTGCAATTTTAAAAATTTTAATGATTCTAAAATCAACAAGGCTGTGTATATCTCTTGGAAAATAAGACAACAGTATTTCTCCTTTCCA
Source organism: Homo sapiens (assembly GCF_000001405.40). Lineage (NCBI taxonomy): Eukaryota > Metazoa > Chordata > Mammalia > Primates > Hominidae > Homo > Homo sapiens. The sequence goes on along the minus strand of NC_000020.11, from coordinate 49,942,379 downwards.
GTAGCAGTTATAACAGGTATGAAAATAAATATACTTGACTCTGATTATACAAGAGCATGGATGCATTTCAAATGTTAGCTATTGTTATTACAATCCAATGATTTCATATTGACTTTTTTTTAAGAGACAGGGTCTTGCTGTCAGCCAGGCTGGAGTGCAGTGGCATGATCATAGATCACTGTAATCCCAAACTCCTGGGCTCAAGTGATCCTCTGGCCTCTGCCTCCTGAGTAGCTGGGCCTACAGGTACATACCACCACACCCGGCTAATTTTATTTTTTTGTAAAGATGAGGTCTCACTATGTTGTCCAGGCTGGTCTCTTAACTCCTAGCCTCAAGCTCTTGCCTCGGACTCCCAAAGAGCTGGGGTTACAGGAATGAGCCACCGCGCCTGGCCATAATTGATCTTTTATAGGAAAAAACTGGGATAACTGATTTCTATGGCTTTCAAACCTAAAATATATACTTAACCAACTCTTAAAAAAAGAAACAAAAACCAGTAAGGTTATGAAAACAAACCAGCCCAGCCATCACCACAGGTAATTGGCATGCACGCGTGCTGTTAGTGACCTAGTCATGCTCTAACTTCAGCAACAACATGGCAGCTGTACGTTTTACCCCAACTTATCATGGAAAGACATGGACTCTTCCACATCACTTCCACATACATTCTTACGGCAGCCATGGCAAGAAGTCTCTGTGCTCTCGATCTGCCGCTCGAGCTCCACGGCTCGGACGCCAGGTGCCAGAGCGCTGCGACACACCCCACAGACAGGCTTCTTCGGCTTCAGACATTCCTGCAGGCATGCAGAGCAAAAGCTAGAACAAGACATACAGAGAACCTCTGTCACGCATCATGGAGACAAGACGACAAATATGGATCAACTTTTAAAAAGACATCAATGGATAATGGAGTAAAAAACAACTTGCTCTCTCCTCCCAGTTCAAATACTAAGTCCTTCCAAGCCAGAAAAAATGAGGGATAGGAGTGGACTACAAAGAACACACAACTACAGAAACAAATGCAAACTCCTGTGATAGACACAGTGAAGGTGTTAAGGTTGAGGCTTCAAGCCTTAGGCCCTGCCACTGAAGGATCTCAGTGGGGTTTCTTGAATCTCCATTTTTTCCTTTGTGAAATGGAGAGAGTAGTACCTACCTCTAGGACTGCTGGGAGGATACAGTTTGTATAGCAGACCCCTGGCAGAGTGTCCAGCCCTTACAAAACGCACCACAAACGGGAGCTGCTATCATTACAGGTGAAGGCAAAGCGCTACAGGAACATAAAGGGAAAATCAACTAGTGACCTGAGAAGGAAAGGGCTGGTAAGACTGCAGTGAAGGCTGGGAGCGGTGGCTCACGCCCGTAATCCCAGCACTTTGGGAGGCCAAGGCAGGCAGATCACGAGGTCAGGAGTTTGAGACCAGCCTTACCAACATGGTGAAACCCGTCTCTACTAAAAATACCAAAATTAGCCAGGCATGGTGGCAGATGCCTGTAATCCCAGCTACTCGGGAGGCTGAGGCAGGAGAATTGCTTGAACCTGGGAGGCAGAGGTGGCTGCACACTCCAGCCTGGGCAACAGAGTGCGACTCTGTCTCAAGGGGGGGGTGGAGGGGAAGACTGCAGAGACGGCATCTCTGATCAGCCTTAAAAGGGTTCAGCTCAGCCAGGCGCGGTGGCTCATGCCTGTAATCCCAGCACTTTGGGAGGCCGAGGCGGGCAGATCACAAGGTCAGGAGATCGAGACCATCCTGGCTAACACAGTGAAACCCCGTCTCTACTAAAAATACAAAAATTAGCTGGGAGTGGTGGCGGGTGCCTGTAGTCCCAGCTACTCGGGAGGCTTAGGCAGGAGAATGGCATGAACCCAGGACGCAGAGCTTGCAGTGAGCCAAGATCGCGCCACTGCACTCCATCCAGCCTGGGAGACAGAGCGAGACTCCGTCTCAAAAAAAAAAAAAAAAGGGTTCAGATGGATCCTTTTGTAGTTCATGAACCTGAGGACTGGGTGTTCATGTGCATGTGTGAGATGTGCCACCCTCGAACCTTGTTACAGATGTTGGCCCATTACCCCTCTGGCATTTTAAAAAAAGAGGTCAGCTAGCAGAGGAAGGGAAGACTATTCTAGGCCTAATTTAGGCTTAAAATTGATATGTATCTGAGGAAATAAAAATCTAACAGACTTTTCCTCATAAACAGTAGGGAGCCAGGAGTTTAAAAGGAAGGTATTAACAAAACAAGGCCAAATCCAGGTTTCAGAAAAATATCTCTGTGCTATCATGGAAAACAAAGTTTTGTTACTTTTTTTTTTTTTTTTTTTTTTGAGACAGAGTCGTGCTCTGTTGCCCAGGCTGAAGTGCAATGGTGCAATCTCGGCTCACTGCAAAATCTGCCTCCCCGGTCCAAGCGATTCTCCTGCTTCAGACTCCCAAGTGGCTGGGGTTACAGGCGCGCATGACCACACCCAGCTAATTTTATATTTTTAGTAGAGACGGGGTTTCACCACGTTAGCCAGGCTGGTCTCGAACTCCTGACCTCTGGTGATCCACCCGTCTTGGCCTCCCAAAGTGCTGGGATTACAGGTGTGAGCCACTGAGCCCAGCCCTATAGTTTTTTTTTTTTTTAGGTGAGAAGGTGAGAAGAGACAAAGTAGAAACCAAACAGATGGCTAAAGGCAGAGGATTGTGAGGGTCTGACTGAAGCAGCAGGGGATGAATTCAGGAAACCATTCACAGAAAGGTAGAATCAGGAGGACTTGATAACTTACTGACTTTGAAGAAAAGAAGTCAAAGATGACCGAGTTCCTATCCTGAAGCCTAGGAAGATGGTAATGCTGAGATAAGGCATACAGAAAGAATGGAGAAGACACCCTGGGCTACTTACCCAACCTGATAGATTAAGACAGTATAACCAAATCTGCCAGAAAGAACTAAAGATATATAATGAAAGGCCATCTTCTGAACACTTGACCATTTTCTACTGCCTCTAAGAATCTCCTTCCTCCTTGTCATTAAGTTAGATGTTAATGCTGTTAGGCAAAATTCCAGACCAGGTACAGAGAAGGTGAGGGAGTCTATTCATTCACCACTGAGGGCAATGGAAACTTGACAAAGCCCTGTTCTCATGATGCTTACATTCTAGAGTGAAGGGAAACACAAATGTTAATTTCAGATAGTGATTAAAAATATGAAGGAAATATGGCAAACAGACCAGCTGGGGTGATCATAGAAAGCTGCTTCTGAGGAGTTGGCATTTGAGCTGGGTGGGACCTGATTACGAGGACAGCCACACAGATCTGGGTGCAGAGCTCCACACCAAGATCACGCCACACACAAATGAGGACTGGAAAGGAAGGCAGGCAGACCTTGGGGGCCATGATGCGGTAGACCATGGTGAGAAGGGCAAGTGATGAGGCAGTAGAGACAGGCAGGGCCTGTGGCCATCACTTGTGTTGCCTGTTCACAAAGGCAGATGACAAGAGGAACCCAAGAGAGCACAGAGGGTCCAGTGAGTATAATGGAACCAAACCCAGCATGCAGATAAAAGCAGCTCGAAGTCTCTTCTCAAGCACACACACAGGTACAGCTCATCTATCAAATGTTCACGAGTCACTTTGTGCCTGAGACATGCCCAAACTACCAGCCTGCTTTTGAACAACTCAAATATCCTGGGATGGCTTTTCAGTTTCTATTTCCTACTTATGCGCCCTTTTCTAGTTCAGCCTTCCGATGCTCCACTCCGTCACAGTGCTAGGAAGAAATTCCCTTCTCTTGGGCACCCAGCCAGCTGCCTTTCTCCAGCTGTATTCTACCAGATTGGAGAACACAGTCATTCAGGGCTTGAAATAAAGTTTTATAAAAATCCAATGCCCCAGCCAGAGTTGCAGTGATGCTCAACTTTCCAAGCACAAAAGGTAAAAATCAACTAGGCACAGGAGAAAGCAGTCGGTTGGAGCTAGCGGGGATTTGGGCTGCCCTCACAGAGGTGCTTCCATCTGTCTTCAATTTGCACTGAACTGCTGATCACGTGGGGCTAGGACAGCGAGGATAGAGAAGAGCCAAGGTTTGAAAACCAGTACTGTTCCTTGCCCTCTGACCTAGGAAAGGTTCACCAAGCTCAAGAAAATCTCAAATTTTGCTGCTCTTCATTTAGCAAACTGTGCTGGGTCTAGCCTTTTTACAAATGTTAATAGTAAATGAAATCCACTGAATTAATCCAAAATCAGGTAAATCTGATCCAAGGATAAGTGGATTCAATGAAAAAGCTAAAGACCACTTCAACTCTCGTGAAGCTTGCTTACACGACTTATTAGTTCATTCAACCATTACCTGATCACTCACCCCACGCACAGAGGTGTGATCCCTGAAATACCCTCCCACTTGCAGAATGAATTTTTACAATAGTTTGACCAGTCATTGGTACTTATTTATAATCAATTCACTGGACTGTAAACTCTGAAGGCAGAGTCTACCCCAAAATCTGGCACACAGAGGCCATTCCAGTCAGTTCAGGGGCAATAAAGATATGGCCACTCCGTCATGAGCTGTTAAGTTTTGCTCTGTGCAAGCAAGGAGAAGGAAGTTAAGTCCCAGAAAGGAAGTGGGGGAAGTAATTTAGATGGGGATGGTATTTGGTGAGGTAACTTAACCTGGGACTTGAAGCCTGAAAAGGGAGGGGTGGGGGGAAGAGTTCCAGGCTAACCGAATTGCAAAGATGAATAGCCTAAAGCAACATGATGAAGCAAAAAGCAGCCAGCTAGGTGCCAAGCACTGTTCTCTGGACTACTGAAATGGTCACCTGCAGTACATCTGGGAAGAGCTAGGCCACGGTGACCCTTCCCTAAGAGAGCCTCGGACCCTCAGTGTATTCACCTGTAAAATGGCTGCCAACCCTCCCCCGCTGCAGGGTGGCTATAGAATAATGCCCATGGAGTGCAATGGCTACTGTGCCCGCTGCCAAGACCAATGCCAAGGTGATCCCACGATAAGCACTGAGAGGGGCCAGAGGAAAAGCCAATTCTGAGGCAAGAAGCAGGTGGCCACGTTGTCTACAATTCTTTCAACTCAGATGTGTTTGTGCGTCTGATGGAACAAGGCTTAGATTCAAATCGACCAACCTGACCAACCTCGAAAGCCCCGGCCACAGCCCAGGACCTGGACTGGACATTTATACACATATCTGCTTTAATCATTATAACCACTCTATTCACAATATTCAGGTCATGAAGGCTTAATTGAAAACTGAAAGAAACAAACCTCCTACACAGGAAGTAGAATGCTAACAATCCCATCTGCCAACTCCCACCCCCCTTTCACAGCTAAGGGCAAACTGGCCAGATCCCCATAAAGACTTCCCTTTTGTTGTTTTAGTCTAGTTCAGCGTTTCTCCCGACTTTAGTGCACAGTAGAATAACTCGCCACAGCTAGACACGACGCCAAATGTCCTATGCTTTAAGAGCGACGTGGACTAGAAAGGAAACGTCGGCTCTCCAAGGGCGGACTTCGGAGCCTAAAGTCCCCGCAGGGCACGAGTCCACTATCACGTGTGGGAAGGAGACTGACAGGCCGCCTGGAACATCGCAGGCGCTCAACAGACAGCAGCTGCCCCGCTAAGACGGGCGGAGGAACGGGATACTTAGGAGTGAGCGGGGCGGGACAGAAGAGCGCCCCGGCAGCTTTCACGGCCCTTAGGAGCCCCGGGGGACACCCCCGGGAGGCCCCTCTGGGTGGGTCCTCTGGCTCCCGCCCTGAGACCCATCTCGCTCCTCGGCTCCATTCCCTTCCCAGTTAAGCGCCCCCCGACCAGGCCCGGGCTCGCCGCTTACACGTGTCCGCAGGGCACCTGTACCGGCTTCTCGTACACCTCTAAGCACACGGGACACGTGAAGCGTCCTAGGGGGTCAGCCTCCGCCGCCGGCCCCGCCAGCTGCGCAGCACCCCCGCAGTCCCGCTGTTGCGCCGCCATCTTGCTGCCGCTCTGCGCCGCGCAACGGCGGCCGATGAGGAGGAGGCCGAGGGGGCGGGGCTCGCGGGGCGGTGAGCGGTTGGGGGCGGGGCTAGCGGGTGGGCCGCCCCTCGGGGCCCCTCTGACGCAAGCGAGCTAGAGGCCGAGGGAAATCTGGAAAACGTGGAAGCCAAATCCAAAGGCTGCCAGAATTGGGACGGGCTCTGCGCGTGGGCCGCTGTTTTCCAAATTTATCGTTAGTTCGGCACCACTTGCACTATCACTATTTATCTTCGAATCAAGTTGCTTTTTCCTTAAATTTATTTATTTATTTATTTAATCTATTTTGGGACAAGGTCTTGCTTTGTCGCCCAGGCTGGTGTTCAGTGGCGCGCGCGATCATGGCTCCCTGCAGCCTCGACCACCGGGGTTCAAGCGATCCTCCCACCTCAGCCTCCTGCGTAGCTGGACCACAGGCAGTCACCACCATGCCGGACTAATTTATTTATTTTTGTATTTTTTGTAGAGACGGGGAAAGGAGGGGGGGAAGGAGTGGTGCAGAGAGCGGGCGGGTCTCACTGTGTTGCCGAGGCTGGCCTCGAACTCTTGGACGCAAGCAATCCGCCTGCCTCGGCAACCCGAAGTGCTGGGATTACAGCGGTGAGCCACAGTACCCAGCCATTTCTTAAATTTAAGCAAATTCTAATAACAGATCTAATTCCTGAGCTGCAAGAAGAAAATCAATATCATTTATTTATACAAAGGAGCTGGGCAAGGTGGCTTACTTCTGTAATCTCAGCACTTTGGGAGGCCGAGGTGGGCGGATCGCTTGAGCCTAGGAGTACTAGAGCAGCCTGGCCAACATGGTGAAACCCCGTCTCTACTAACAATACTAAAATTAGCCAGGCGTGGTTGCCCATGCCTGTAGCCTCAGCTACTCAGGACGCTGAGGCAGGAAAAGCCTTTGACCTGGGAGGCGAAGGTTGCCGTGGGCCAAGATGGCTCACTCACTCCAACAGTCACTAAACTCCAGCCTGGGCAACAAGAACGAAACTCCGTCTGAAAAAAAAAAAAAAAAACAAAAACACAACCTGGCTAACACGGTGAAACCCTGTCTCTACTAAAAATACAAAAAATTAGCCGGGCGTGGTGGCGGGCGCCTGTAGTCCCAGCTACTCGGGAGGCTGAGGCAGGAGAATGGCTTGAACCTGGGAGGCGGAGCTTGCAGTGAGCCAAGATCTTGCCACTGCACTCCAGTCTGGGCGACAGCGCGAGACTCCCTCTCAAAAAACAACAACAACAACAACAAAACAAAACAAAAAAACCCCAACAACAAAGTACATTCATTTCATATTGTGCAATCATCACCATCAGCTATCTCTAAAATTCTGGTCTTCTTGCTAAACTGAAACTGAAATTCTGTCCCCATTAAACAATAACTTCCTCTTCCCTCCTCCCATCCCCATACCCCCAGGCCCTGGCAATTTTCTGTCTATGATTTTGAAGCACTTATAGCTATAAAATTTCCCCTGAGCACTGCTTTCACTGTGTCCAGTAAATTTTGGCATGCTGTGTTTTTGTTTTCATTTGTTTCTCAATATTTTCTCTATTTATTTAATTAATTTATTTATTTTGAGATGGAGTCTCACTCTGTCGCCCAGGCTGGAGTGCATTGGTGCAATCTCTGCTCGCTGCAGCCTCCCTCTCCTGGATTCAAGCAATTCCCTTGCCTCAGCCTCCCAAGTAGCTGGGATTACAGGTGCCTGCCACCACGCCTGGCTAATTTTTGTATTTTTAGTAGAGACAGGGTTTCACAATGTTGGCCAGGCTGGTCTCAAACGCCTGACCTCAAGTGATCCGCCAACCTCGGCCTCCCAAAATGCTGGGATTACAGGTGTGAGCCACCCAGCCTGGCCTGTTTCTGAGTATTTTCTAATTTCCCTTGTGATTTCTTCTTTGATCCATTGGTTCTTTTAAGAGTGTGTAAATTTCCACAAATTTGTGAATTTTCCAGTTTTCCTTTGATATTGATTTCTTTTTTTTTTTAACCCCCCCATATTGATTTCTAGCCTTATCCAATTGTGCTTGGAGAAGATATTTGGTATGATCTCTTTTATTTCTTCTTTCTTTCCTTCTTATCTTTCTCTCTTTCTCCTTTTCTTCTGTCTCTTTTTGTAGAGATGAAGTCTGGCTGTGTTGCCCAGGCTGGTTGCAAACTCCTGGGCACGAGCAATCCTCCTGCCTCAGCCTCCCAAAGTGCTGGGATTACAGGCCTAAGCCACCACAGCTGGCTGATGTCTACCTTTTAAAATCTCTTGAGGCTTAATCTGTGGCCTAACATATGGTCCATCCTGGAGGATATCCCATGTGTGCCTGAGAAGAATGTGGATGCTGTTGTTGCTGGGGAGTGTCTGTACATGTGTTAGACCTGGTTGTCTTACTGTGTCGCTCAAGTCCTTTATTTCCTTACTTGTCTCCTGTTTGTTCTATTTATTCTTGGGAGTGGGGCATTGAAGTCTCTAACTATTATTGTGGAATTGTCTATTTCTTCCTTCAATTCTACCAATTTTTGCTTCATATGTTCTGATGGTCTGTTATTAGGTATATAAATGTTTATAATTGTTATATCTTCTTGCTGTATTGAACTTTTTATTAACATACAATGCCTTCTTTATCTCTTGTAACCTTTTGGACAAGTAATTTTTCTTTTTTCTTTTTTTGAGACAGGGTCTTGCTCTGTCGTCCAGGCTGGAGTGCAGTGGTGTGATCTCAGCTCACGGCAACCTCTGTCTCCTGGGTTCAGGTGATTCTCCTGTTTCAGCCTCCTGAGTAGCTGAGACTACAGGCATGCACGACCACGCCTGGCTAATTTTTGTATTTTTAGTAGAGACAGGATTTCACCATATTTTTTAGGCTGGTCTCAAACTCCTGACCTCAGGTGATGCACCCGCCTCGGCCTCCCAAAGTGCTAGGATTACAGGTGTGAGCTACCGTGCCCGGCCTGGACAAGTAATTTTTCTGATATTAGTATTGCCAGCCCTCCTCTTCTTTGGTCACGCAAAAAGATATTTGCATGAAATATCTTTTTCCATCCTTTCAGAACCAGTCTATAAAGTGAGTTTCTTATAGAGAGCAATACAGTTGAATCATGTTCTTTAAAAAAAAAAAAAAAAAAAGCTGGGTATGGCGGCTCATGCCTGTAATCTCAGCAGGAGGAGGCTGAGGCGGGTGGATCACCTGAGGTTAGGAGTTCAAGACCAGCCTGACCAACATGGTGAAACCCTGTTTCTACTAAAAATACAAAAATTAACCGGGCCTGGTGGTGCATGCCTGTAGTCCCAGCTACTTGGGAGGCTGAGGCAGGAGAATCGCTTGAACCTAGGAGGCAGAGGTTGCAGTGAGTGGAGAACGAGCCACTGGACTCCAGCCTGGGCAACAAGAGTGAAACTCAGTCTCAAAAAAAATTTCTTTTAAATTAATTTTTTTTTTTTTTGAGACAGAGTCTCGCTCTGTTGCCCAGGCTGGAGTGCAGTAGCACAATCTCGGCTCACTGCAAGCTCCGCCTCCTGGGTTCACGCCATTCTCCTGCCTCAACCTCCTGAGTAGCTGGGACTACAGGCGCCCACCACCACGCCCGGCTAATTTTTTTTGTATTTTTAGTAGAGACGGGGTTTCACCATGTTAGCCAGGATGGTCTCGATCTCCTGACCTCACGATCGGCCCACCTCGGCCTCCAAAGTGCTAGGGATTACAGGCGTGAGCCATTGTGCCCAGCCTAAATTTTTCCTTCCTTTTTTCCTTCCTTCCTTCCTTCCTCCCTCCTTCCCTTCCTTCCTTCCTTCGTTCCTTCCTTTGTTCCTTCCCTCCTTCCCTCCCTTTCTTTCTTTCCTTTTTTTTTTTTTTTTTTTTTTTGAGACAGAGTCTCACTCTGTCACCCAGGATGGAGTGCAGTGATGTGATCACAGCTCACTGCAGCCTTGACTTCCCAGGCTCAAGTGATCCTCCTGCCTCAGCCTCCTGAGTAGGTGAGACTACAGGCATGTGCCATCACACCTAGCTATTTTTTCTATTTTTTGTAGTGATGGGGTCTCACTATGTTGCCTAGGCTTTTTTTTTTCTTTTTTGAGACAGGGTCTGGCTCTGTTGCCCAAGCTGGAGGACAATGGCAAAATCTTGGCTCACTGCAACCTCCACCTCATGGGCAAAAGCCGTCCTCCCACCCCAGCCTCCCAAGTAGCTGGGACTATAGGCGTGCACACCACACCCAGCTAATTTTTAAATTTTTTGTAGAGACAGGGTTTCACCATGTTGCCAAGGCTGGTCTCGAACTCTTGAGCTCAAATGGTCCTCCTGTCTTGGTCTCCCAAAGTGCTGGGATTACAGGAGTCAGCCATCATTATTAAAATTTGTTTGCTTAAATTTAAGAAAGGGCTGGGCATGGTGGCTCACGCCTGTAATCCCAGCACTTTGGGTTGCTGAGGGGGGTGGATCACTTTTGTCCAGGGGTTTAAGACCATCCTGGGTAACACAGTGAGACACCCCACCACCCCCAACTCCCTCCCCCATCTCTACAAAAAATACAAAAATAAGTGGGAGGATCACTTGAGGCCAGGAGTTCAAGATCAACCTGGGCAACGTACCAAGACCCTGCTGTCTACAAACAAACAAACATAAAATTAGCTGAGTGCAGTGGCATGTGCCTGTAGTCTTAGCTACTCAGAGGAGGGTTGCTTGAGCCCAGGAGTTCAAAGCATCATTGAGCTGTAATCTTGCCACTGCACTCCAGTCTGGGCAAGAGCAAGACCCTGTCTCAAAAAAAAAAAAAAAAACAAAATTAATGCCAGGTGCAGTGGCTCACACCTGTAATCCCAGCACTTTGGGAGGTCAACATGGGAGGATCGCTTGAGGCCAGGAGTTTGAAACCAGCTTAATCAACATAGCAAGACCCCGCCATCTCTACATAAAAAAAACTAGCTACGTGTGGTGGTGCACACTTGTGGTCCCAGCTACTCAGGAGGCTGAAGTGGGAGGATTGCTTAAGCTCTAGAGATCGAGGCTGCAGTGAAACATGATTGTGCCACTGCATTCCAGCCTGACTGACAGAGACCCTTTCTCAAAAAAAAAAAAAAAAAAAAAAAAGGCCAGGCGCAGTGGCTCACACCTGTAACCCCAGCACTTTGGAAGGCCGAGGTGGATGGATCATGAGGGCAGGAGATCGAGACTATCCTGGCTAACACAGTGAAACCCTGTCTCTACTAAAAAATACAAAAAAATTAGCCGGGCCTGGTGGCGGGTGCCTGTAGACCCAGCTACTCGGGAGGCTGAGGCAGGAGAATGGCGTGAAGCCAGGAGGCGGAGCTTGCAGTGAGCTGAGACTGCACCACTGCACTCCAGCCTGCGCGACAGAGCAAGACTTTGTCTCAAAACAAAACAAAACAACTAAATAAAATATAAAATTCTATTCCCCAGTCTTACTAGCCATATGTCTAGTGCTCAATAGCCACAAGTGACTCGTGGCTACATATTGAAAAGATCAGACACAGAACATTTCCATCGTTGCAGGAAGATCTATTGGACAGCGCTGCTATAGATACCCTCATGCATGTGAGACAGCTACATGCACACGGATATCCAGGACAGCGTTGTCACACTAGGAAGATACTGGAAGCAACCAAAATGATGATTGGGGGTGATTAAACAAATGCAATAGATATAATTACTAGTATATCAATTCCATGAGGTCAGGAGGTTTTGTCAATTTTGTTTACTGCTGTTATCTTCAGCTTCCAAAATAATGCCTGGTGCATGCTAGGTAATTACATAAATATTTGTTAAATAAATATGAAGCTGATATTGAATCATCTCATATATATATATATATATAAAACTTTTTTTTAAAATGGAGTCTCGCTCTGTCACCCAGACTGGAGTGCAGTGGCACGATCTCAGCTCGCTGCAACCTCTGCCTCCTGGGTTCAAGAGATTCTCCTACCTCAGCCTCTCGAGTAGCTGGAATTACAGGCATGCGCCACTGCACCTGGCTAACTTTTGTATTTTTAGTAGAGACGGGGTTTCACCATGTTGGCCAGGCTGGTCTTGAACTCCTGACCTCAAGTGAGCTGCCCACCTTGGCCTCCCAAAGTGCTGGGATTACAGGTGTGAGCCACTGCACCTGGCCCAAAAAATATTTTTAATTAAAACAACATCAAGATGCCAAGTAATGCAACTAATATATGTATATGTTTGTATATGATAAATAGATGCCTTTGGAAAGTAGGGTGACCAAGTGTCCAGGTTTGCCTGGGAGTGAGGGGTTTCCCAGGATGTGAGACTTTCAGTGCCAAAACTGGGAAAGTCCCGGGCAAAACAGGATGAGTCAATTGCCCTACTGGAAAGATTTTTTTTTTTTTTTTTCTGAGACGGAGTCTCACTCTCACCCAGGCTGGAGTGCAGTGGGACCATGTTGGCTCACTGCAACCTCCATCTCCTGGGTTCAAGCAATTCTCCTGCCTCAGCTTCCTGAGTAGCTGGGATTACAGGTGTCCACTACCACGCCCGGCTAATTTTTTTATATTTTTAGTAGAGACGGGATTTCGCCATGTTGGCCAGGCTGGTCTCGAACTCCTGACCTCAGGTGATCCACCCGCCTCGGCCTCCCAAAGTTCTGGGATTACAGGCGTGAGCCACCGCGCCCGGCCTCCTGGGAAGATTTCTGAGAATCTGGTACCAATGGTTCCTATTAGAAAGGGAAAATGGCCCGGGTGTGGTGGGTCATGCCTGTAATCCCAGCACTTTGGGAGGCTAAGGCAGGTGGATCACTTGAGCCTGGCGGTTTGAGACCAGCCTGGGAAACATGGCAAGACCCTGTCTCTATTTTATATGAAAAGAAACAAACAAACAAAAAACCAAAAAACAAAAGGGGAGCTAAGGGACTGGGTCTTAGGTTCTGGGCCTGGAGAAAGACTTCTCCTTCTGTTTCCTCTTGTGTTGTCTAAATATTTATATCAAGTTCATGCACCACTTTTTAATTAAAAATTCGGGACCAGGTGAGGTGGCTCACATCTGTAATCCCAGCACTTTGAGAGGCTAAGGCAATTGCCTGGAGCCCAGGAGTTCGAGACCACCCTGGGCAACATAGCAAGATCCCATCCCTACAAAAAATACAAAAAATATCTGGGCATAGGGGCATGCACATGTGGGCTCAGCACTTGGGGAGGCTGAGGAGGACTGCTTGACCCCAGGACGTTGAGGCTGCAATGAACCATGATCGTGCTATTGCACTCCAGCCTGGGTGACTTTTTTTTCTCTTAAAAAAAGAAAAAATAAACAATGATGCATTAAGAACAGTTAAGATGAATCGGAAGTAACTCCAGCCCTCAAATCCTGTAACTCTCAGGCGTCACAGTTCTATCAGCCTCAGGCCACATGTAAAATTTATCGCTATACTTGTCTAAGTTAGGCATAATTTACCCCATCATGTATTGCTACATTTTTAAACCTGTGGGCAGATAATTTCATCTTGATTTCAGCCGGTTCTTCAAGATTGCCAAATTGCTGAGCGCCAGGAAGAATTCCTACTGACACCACCAGGGGGCGTGTGAGCATCTCACAGACTCACCGGGCCCTGCGAAGAGAACACCGGCTCCTTTATTCTTTCCAGTTCTCTAAGTATTTCCTGCCTCTGCCCATCATGGCTTACTGTACATTGCCTGAAAACAAAAATTAAAAAAAAAAAAAAAGAGTCTCAGCCTAAAAGGAGTCTTAACAGAGGAGACACTGGCATGTAAATATTCATTCAACCAATAACTCTATGTGCTAAGTATCCTGGTAAGTGTTGGAAATGTAACAGTGAATTATTCAGTCTCAAACAGGAAAGCCACGCGGGGATGATCACATAAAAATGCGGCCCCTGGCAGGGTGCAGCGGCTCACGCCTGTAATCCCAACACTTTGGGAGGCAGAGGCCGGTGTATCACTTGAGGTCAGGAGTTTGAGACCAGCCTGGCCAACATGGTAAAACCCCAGTCTCTACCAAAAAAATACAAAAATTAGCCGGGTGTGGTGGCGCATGCCTGTTAATCCCAGCTACTAAGGAGGCTAAGGCAGGAGAATCGCTTGAACCCAGGAGGCAGAGGTTGCAGTGAGCCAAGACTGCGCCACTGCACTCCAGCCTGGGCGACAGAGTGAGAGCCTGTCTCAAAAAAAAAAATTAAAAAAAAACTGCCTCCAGAAAATTGCATTTCATCAGTTATCCCACCAGCTCATAGCATTTTACAGTTTCTATTATATCAAGGGTCAGCCACATAATGAGGTAAAAACATAACGATCTCATAATATCTGACAAGAACTACAACCAAATAATGAGTACTAACAAGAAGACATTGAAATAGGGGATTTGAATCCACCTTCATCTACAATAAACTGCACCTCATGTGTATATTGTGACTTGAGACATTGGCTAAGGATAGAAGAAAGTCATCACAATTAACAAGACATTTCAAAACTAAGCATTCACATAGAAGTAGAATTTCCGGGTCATTTCGTAAATGTGTGTTTAATTTTTTTTGTTTTGTTTGTTTGTTTGTCTGTTTTGTTTGTTTGTTTTTGAGATGGAGTCTTGCTGTTGCCCAGGCTGGAATGCAATGGCACGATCTCGGCTCACTGCAACTTCCGCCTCCTGGGTTCAAGCGATTCTTCCACCCCAGCCTCCTGAGTAGCTGGGATTACAAACACCTGCCATCATGCCCGGCTAATTTTTGTATTTTTGTAGAGATGGGGTTTCACCATGTTGGCCAGGCTGGTCTTGAACTCCTGATCTCAGGTGATCTGCCCGCCTTGGCCTTCCAAAGTGCTGGGATTACAGGCGTGAGCCACCGTGCCCGGCCAATGTGTGTTTAATTTTATTAGAAACTGCCAAACCAAGCCATTTTCCAACTATTTCCCATGACCACTAACAAGGTATGAGTTGCTTCACGTCCTCACCAACATTTGGTTGTCAGACACTTTTAGCCATTCTAGTGAGTGTGTAGTGGTACTGTGCAATTTTAGATTTCATAATGATTAATGACGTTGAGTACCTTTTCATTTGTTTATTGGCCATTTTGTATGTTTTACCTCTGTGAAGTGTCTGTCCAGATCTTCTGTTATTTATTTATTTATTTTTTTTTTTGAGATGGAGTCTCACTTTGTTCCCAGGCTGGAGTGCAGTGGTACCATCTCGGCTCACTGCAACCTTTGCCTCCCGGTTCAAGTAATTCTTCTCCCTCAGCCTCCCTAGTAGCTGGGATTTCAAGTGTGTGCCACCACGTCCAGCTAATTTTTTTGTATTTTTAGTAGAGACAGGGTTTCACCATGTTGGCCAGGCTGGTCTCGAACTCCTTACATCAAATGATCCACCCAGATTGGCTTCCCAAAGTGCTGGAATTACAGGCATGAGCCACTGTGCCCAGCCACACCATTTTTTTTTTTTGAGACAGGGTCTTGCTCTGTTGCCCAGTCTGGAGTGCACGGATTCCAATGGTGTGATCGTGGCTCACTGCAACCTCCACCTCCTGGGTTCAAGCAATTCTCCTGCCTCAGCCTCCCGAGTACCTGAGATTTCAGGTGGGTGTCATGAGATCCAGCTATTTTTTTTTTTGTATTTTTAGTAGAGACAGGGTTTCACCATGTTGGCCAGGCTGGTCTCGAACTCCTGACCTCAAGTGATCCACCCACCTCAGCCTCCCAAAGTGCTGGGATTACAGGTGTGAGCCACTGGCCTGGCCCCCCCCAAAATTTTTTTATTGTGATAACATACATAACATAAAAATTGCCATTTTAACCACCATAAAGCATATACTTTAGTGGCAGTAATTACATTCACAATGTTGTGCAAACATCGCCTCTGTTTCCAAAATTTTTTCAGCAACCTAAACAGAAACTCCATCTATAAGAAATAGCTCCCCATTCCTCCCTCTCCAGCCACTGGTAACCTCTAATCCTTTTTCTGTCTCTATGAATTTGCCTATTACAGACATCTCATCTAGTGGAATCACACAATATTTGTCCTTTTGTGACTGGCTTCTTTCACTTAACATAATATTTTTAAGGTTTATCCATGATGTAGCATTGGAATTTCCTCACTTTTTAAGGCTGAATAATATTCCATTGCATGGATGTACCACATTTTGTTTATTCATTCATCTGTCAGCAAACACTTGGGTCGTTTCTACCTTTTGGCTAATGTGAATAATACTGCAATGAACATTGATGTACAAGTGTCTGTTTTGAGTCCTTATTTTCAATTCTTTCAGGCATATGCCTAGGAGCAGAATTGCTGAGTCATATGGTCATTCTGTATTTAACTTTTTGAGGAACTGCCAGACTGTTCTTTACAGTGGCTGCACCATTTTACATTCCCACCAGCAAGTACGAGTATTCCATTCTTTACATCATTGCCAACATTTGTTATTTTCCTTTTCAAAAACATTTTATTATAGCCACCCTAGAGGGTTTGAAGTGGAATCTCACTGTGGTTTTGATTTACATTTCCCTAAAGATTAGTGATGACACACATCTTTTCACATGCTTATTGGCCATCTGTGTATCTTCTTTGGAGAAATGTCTATTCAAGTCCTTTGCCCATTTTTAATTTTATTTATTTATTTATTTTGAGATAGAATCTCACTCTGTTGCCCAGACTGGAGTGCAATGGTGAGATCTTGGCTCACTGCAACCTCCACCTCCTAGGTTCACATGATTCTCTCACCTCAGCCTCCCAAGTAGCTGGGATTACAGGGGCCTGCCACTACACCCAGCTAATTTTTGTATTTTTAAAAAAATTTTTTTATTATTTTTTTTTGAGACAGAGTTTCACTGTTGTCACCCAGGCTGGAGTGCAATGGCAAAATCTCGACTCACTGCAGCCTCCGCCTCCTGGGTTCAAGCGATTCTCCTGCCTCAGCCTCCCAAGTAGCTGGGATTACAGGCACATGCCACCATGCCTGGCTAATTTTTGTATTTTTAGTAGAGATGGGGTTTCACTATGTTGGCCAGACTGGTCTCGAACTCCCAAACTCAGGTGATCCACACACCTTGGCTTCCCAAAGTGCTGGGATTACAGGCATGATCCACTGCTCCTGGTGTATTTTTAGTAGAGATGGAGTTTCACCATGTTGGCCAGGCTGGTCTTGAACTCCCGACCTCAGGTGATCCTCCCGCCTCGGCCTCCCAAAGTGCTGGGATTACAGGTGTGAGCCACTGTGCCCGGCCAACTTTTGCATTTTTAGTAGAGATGGGATTTTGCCATGATGGCCAGGCTGGTCTTGAACTCTTGAGCTCAAATGATCTACCCCCCTTGGCTTCCGAAAGTGCTGGGATTACAGGTGTGAGCCACCATGCCCAGCCACCTTTGCCCATTTTTAAATTGGGTTGTCTATTTGTTGTTGCGTTATAGAAATTCTTCATATATTCTGGATATTATACAATTCTACACTTTTTTTAACTTATTTTTTTTTTTAGAGACAGGGTCTCACTCTGTTGCTGAGGCTGGAGTGCAGTGGTGCCATCACAGTTCACTGTAACCTCAAACTCTTGGGCTCAAGAGATTCTCCCACCTCAGCCTCCCCAGTAGCTAGGACTATGGGCTCATGCTACGTGTCTACCTAATTTTTAAAATTTTTTGGAGAGATGGGGCTTTACTATGTAGCCTAGACTGGTCTCCAACTTCTGGCCTCAAGCAATCCTCCAGTTTCGCCCTCTCAAAGCATTGGGATTACATGCGTGAGCCATGGCCCCTAGCCAAAATCCTCCTCTTTTGAGCAGCATAAATGCAAGGTGTCAAGGCCTGACCATAATGGCATAAGTCCCATTATGTTCCCCATTGGTCTGAGGCTGACTCTACACCCCAGCCTGGCAAGCCCTGTGACTGAGTCAGTCATATCTAGCTTGTGTTGAATGCTCACTCTGCACTTGGCATCGTATATTATTAGCTCATTTAATCTCTCAATAATCCTCAGGGGTACTATTAATCCCATTTTACTGATAAGGAAATAGAGGCAGTCCCAGAGAGGTTAGATAGCTTGTCCAAGGTCACACAGATGGAAAGCGGCAGGGCTAGGATCTGAACTTAAGCCTTTCGGCTCCAGAGCCTACTTCGACTTCTGGCCTAGGGATAATGTTGCTATGTAATAAGGACAACCTGTGTGTGGCTTTCCTTTGCTTGCTTCAAGGGAGAGGGAAGGACAAAGATGTTTGCTTCCAGCAAGCCGTCTTCTAAAACCCAATACTTTTTTTTTTTTTTTTTTTTTTTTGCGATGGAGTCTCGCTCTGTTGCCCAGGCTGGAGTGCAGTGGTGCAATCTCGGCTCACTACAACCTCCGCCTCCTGGTTCAAGCAATTCTCCTGCCTCAGCCTCCCAAGTAGCTGGGATTACAGGCATGCGCCACCATGCCCGGCTAATTTTAGTATTTTTACTAGAGATGGTGTTTCACTATGTTGGCCAGGCTGGTCTGGAACTCCTGACCTCAAGTGATCCTCCTGCCTTGGCCTCCCAAAGTGCTGGGATTACACAAGTGAGCCACTGTGCCCAGCCCTGAAACCCAGTACTTTAAGAGACTGTTATAGTACACACTGGGGCTCGTAACTTTGGGGTTACTGTTTTCAGGAGCAATTAAGAATCATAAGGAAGAAATGCTGAGTTGCCCACATCCAGTCCCATGAAGTGTGTCTCCTTGGAGCTGGGCTGGGCTGGGTGGATCCCACTAACAACAGCCCTCTGCCAGCTGCCTCACCTTTGGACTCGTGGGTTGCTCCTGCTGCAGACATGAAGACTTTAAAGCGATTGGCAGTTGGGTTTATATTTAGGGAAAAGGGGGAAGAAAGCCGTTCTTACTGATTGTGAAGAAGCTTGACAGCGCCAGCTTTCAGTTCAAGACGTGCCATCTTTAGAGTTACAAACCTCCCCCAAACCCTGCCTCCACCCGTGGGAGGCCAGAATGAATTCTGAGCTTTGGGAGCCAGACAGAATCTGTAGCACCCAGCAAATTCATGTGGGACAACAAGAATCCTAATCGTGGATAACATTTGCTGCAGGATCACTGCCTTCCAGGCACTGGGGGAACTTCTTTGCACATGTTATCCCATTCAATATGCAAAATAACCTTATGAAGAAGATACTATGATCAGCTCCATTTTACAGGTGGGGAAACTGAGGCTTAGAAAGATGATGAGGCTGGGCGCAGTGGCTCACGCCTGTAATCCCAGCACTTTGGGAGGCCAAGGCGGGTGGATTGCTTGAACTCAGGAGTTTGTTTGTTTGTTTGTTTGTTTGTTTGTTTTTATTGATCATTCTTGGGTGTTTCTCGCAGAGGGGGATTTGGCAGGGTCACAGGACAATAGTGGAGGGAAGGTCAGCAGATAAACAAGTGAACAAAGGTCTCTGGTTTTCCTAGGCAGAGGACCCTGCGGCCTTGCGCAGTGTTTGTGTCCCTGGGTACTTGAGATTAGGGAGTGGTGATGACTCTTAAGGAGCATGCTGCCTTCAAGCATCTGTTTAACAAAGCACATCTTGCACCGCTCTTAATCCATTCAACCCTGAGTGGATACAGCACATGTTTCAGAGAGCACAGGGTTGGGGGTAAGGTCACAGATCAACAGGATCCCAAGGCAGAAGAATTTTTCTTAGTACAGAACAAAATGAAAAGTCTCCCATGTCTACCTCTTTCTACACAGACACAGCAACCATCCAATTTCTCAATCTTTTCCCCACCTTTCCCCCCTTTCTATTCCACAAAACCGCCATTGTCATCATGGCCCGTTCTCAATGAGCTGTTGGGTACACCTCCCAGACGGGGTGGTGGCCGGGCAGAGGGGCTCCTCACTTCCCAGTAGGGGCGGCCGGGCAGAGGCGCCCCTCACCTCCCGGACGGGGCAGCTGGCCAGGCGGGGGGCTGACCCCCCCCACCTCCCTCCCGGACAGGGCGGCTGGCCGGGCGGGGGGCTGACCCCCCCACATCCCTCCCGGACGGGGCGGCTGGCCGGGCAGAGGGGCTCCTCACTTCCCAGTAGGGGCGGCCGGGCAGAGGCGCCCCTCACCTCCCGGACCGGGCGGCTGGCCGGGCGGGGGGCTGACCCCCCCACCTCCCTCCCGGACGAGGTGGCTGCCGGGCGGAGATGCTCCTCACTTCCCAGACGGGGTGGCTGCTGGGCGGAGGGGCTCCTCACTTCTCAGACGGGGCGGCTGCCGGGCGGAGGGGCTCTTCACTTCTCAGACGGGGCGGTTGCCAGGCAGAGGGTCTCCTCACTTCTCAGACGGGGCGGCCGGGCAGAGACGCTCCTCACATCCCGGACGGGGCGGCAGGGCAGAGGTGCTCCCCACATCTCAGACGATGGGCGGCCGGGCAGAGACGCTCCTCACTTCCCAGATGTGATGGCGGCTGGGAAGAGGCGCTCCTCACTTCCTAGATGGGATGGCGGCCGGGCAGAGACGCTCCTCACTTTCCAGACTGGGCAGCCAGGCAGAGGGGCTCCTCACATCCCAGACGATGGGCGGCCAGGCGGAGATGCTCCTCACTTCCCAGACGGGGTGGCGGCCGGGCAGAGGCTGCAATCTCGGCACTTTGGGAGGCCAAGGCAGGCTGCTGGGAGGTGGAGGTTGTAGCGAGCCGAGATCACGCCACTGCACTCCAGCCTGGGCACCATTGAGCACTGAGTGAACGAGACTCCGTCTGCAATCCCTGCACCTCGGGAGGCCGAGGCTGGCGGATCACTCGCGGTTAGGAGCTGGAGACCAGCCCGGCCAACACAGCGAAACCCCGTCTCCACCAAAAAAATACGAAAACCAGTCAGGCGTGGCGGCGCGCGCCTGCAATCGCAGGCACTCGGCGGGCTGAGGCAGGAGAATCAGGCAGGGAGGTTGCAGTGAGCCGAGATGGCAGCAGTACCGTCCAGCTTCGGCTCGGCATCAGAGGGAGACCGTGGAAAGAGAGAGAGAGGGAGACCGTGGGGAGAGGGAGAGGGGGAGGGGGAGGGGGAGGGGGAGGGGGAGGGAGAGGGAGAGGGCGAACTCAGGAGTTTGAGACCAGCCTGGGCAACATGAATAAATCCTGTCTCCACAAAAAATACAAGGGCATGGTGGCGCATGCCTGTAGTCCCAGTTACTTGGGAGGCTGAGGTAGGAGGATTGCTTAAGCCTGGGAGGTGGAGGTTGCAGTGAGCCAAGATGGCACCACTGCACTCTAGCCTGGGTGACAGAGACCCTGTCTCAATAAATAAATAAATAAATAAATAAATAAATAAATAAATAAATATGATGTCCCAGGCAGTCTGACTCCATGTCATAACCCTGAAGATAAGCTGTCTGACAACACAATTAAATTATGCTCTTAGATCAGAGTGAGGATCCTGAAAAGAAAACAGTATGGGAAGTAAGAGCTAGTAGTTAGCAAAACTGTATCATTTCATTCAATCAAGAGAAATGTAATAAATGTAATAAGCAGCCACTATGGATAAAGTGCTTCTCTAGGCTTTAAAACATATAAAAGGATTGATTCATGATAGCTAATGCTAATTGAGTAATTAACATGTTATCATGTCACAAGGACTATCTCATTTAACCTGTATTTTGGTAGGTACTATCGTTACCTGTAGCACCAACCAGCTCGACTGCCTGTCGTTCCTCACCCATCCTTAGTGCAGGGTGCAGACCTGGCACCCAGGGCCAAACACAGCCTCAGCCACACTCCTGTGATAACCATGGTATTGACTGGTCCAATTGCAGTGGTGCTTACGACTAATTCATCACAACCAGTTATAGATTTGTTTCTTCTCCATTCCCATTGCTTCACTTGACTAGCCTAAAAAATAAAAAATAAAACATGGTTGTTGTTGTTTTTTTTGAGACAGAGTCTCGCTCTGTCACCCAGGCTGGAGTGCAATGGTGCAATCTCAGCTCCCTGCAACCTCCACCTTCTGGGTTCAAGTAATTCTCCTGCCTCAGCCTCCCAAGTAGCTGGGATTACAAGCACCCACCATCATGCCCAGCTAATTTTGTTTTGTATTTTTCTAGAGATGGGGTTTCACCATGTTGACCAGGCTCCTGACCTCAGATGATCTACCTGCCTCGGCCTCCCAAAGTGCTGGGATTACAGGCATGAGCCACCATGCCTGGATGAAGCATGATATTTTATGTTTAGCATTAGTATGGGCTCATAACTTCTCTCCCCACAATTAAGTTTTATAATCTGTTATTATTATTTATTTTGATACTCACATTGCCCATATCTGGCCAATAGGGACCCTCCATCCTGGCTTTTGTGTGCTTTCAACATGTCCCATCATTCTTTGGGCACTTCCTACTTTCTGGCTCAATAACATGTTCCAACCTCATGTTGTAATTTCCCTGACCTACCCCTGGGAATCAGCCATTTCTCCAGGAAGCCCTGGTTCCATGGACTAAGATCTGGTTAGTCTTAGTCTACGTGCTTGTTGCTACAGGTGTGCCATTTCTTCTAGGCCCTCTCAACAGGTAGAAACAGGAGGTATATTTACAAATATTGTTTATAATTAAGAAATTTTATTTAAAAATCTGGATTCCAGGCTGGACGCAGTGGCTGGTGCCTGTAATCCCAGCACTTTGGTGGGTCAAAGTGGGAGGATCACCTGAGGCTAGGAGTTTGAGACCACCCTGGGCAACACAGCAAGATCCCACGTCTTCAGAAAATAATTAACTGGGCATGATGGCATGAGCCTGTAGTCCCAGCTGTGTGGGAGGCTGGGGTGGGAGGATCCCTTGAGTCCAGAAGTTTGAGGTTGCAGTGAGCCATGATCATGCCACTGTACTCCAGTCTGGATGACAGATCAAGACCTTATCTTTAAATAAATAAATAAACAAACAATCTGGATCTCTAACTCCTCTCCAAAAATCAGAGTATCTGGTCATTCCTGGTGAGTGGGGATCTTGGCCACAAGTCAGCTGAAGCATGGAAGGAATTCAACAATATTTGTTTTCTCACTGAAGTACTTATTGGATGCCTACTGTGAGCCGGGTACCATGTTAGATTACATTACTCATTTCTGGTCCTACGCAGTGTGAGGCTATAGTACTCTAGTACCTCGTATTTGCCCACATTATGTGCTTGCAGGTAGCTGAGTTTGTGTTTTTGTTTTTTGTTTTTGTTTTTGCTTTTTTGAGACAGGGTCTCCCTCTGTGTCCCAGGCTAGAGTGCAGTAGCGTGATCTTGGCTCACTGCCACCTCCACCTCCCAGATTTAAGCGATTCTCCAGCCTCAGCCTCCTGAGTAGCTGGGACCACAGGTGGGCACTACTACAGGCTGGCTAATTTTTGTGGTTTTAGTACAGATGGGGTTTCACTGTATCGGTCAGGCTGGTCTCAAACTCTGGGCCTCAGGAGATCCGCCTGCCTCGGCCTCCCAAATTGCTGGGATTACAGGCTTGTGCCACTGAGCCCAGCCACAGGTAGCCGAGTTTTTGATCTCAGGTCCTTGCCTTTGATTGCTCCCTTTACTCCAGCTGGAAGGAAAGCTGGACAGCCTCACATGTCCAGGTCACTCAAAGCCCAGCTCAAATGCTACTTCCTCCTGGAGGCTATCCTTCATTTACCCTGTCAGAGGTCACTTCTCCATGCTCTAAGCTCTATACCCCTCTCATATCATTTACCATCTTCTATCCTGAATTCTAGGGTTTTATTAATCCTACTCCTATGTTATGAATATTCTCTTTCGGTTAAGGAGACTGGATGCTCTGTGAGGGCAGGAACTGTGTCTGTCTCACTCACAGTTATGCCCTTTAAACCTAACATCAGGGTGGGCATGGTGACTCATGCCTGTAATCCCAGCACCTTGGGAAGCCAAGGTGGGAGGATCACTTGAGCCCAGGAGTTTGAGAGCAGCCTTGGCAAAATTGCGAGACCCTCCCTCTACAAAACAGTTAACAAAATTAGCCAGATGTGGTGGTGTGCAACTGTGGTCCCCGCCACTCAGGAGGCTAAGGTGGGAGGATCGCTTGAGCCTAGGAGGTTGAGGCTGCAGTGAGCTATGATCATGCCACTACACTCCAGACAGGGTGACAGAGTGAGAGACCCTGTCTCAATTAAAAAAAAAAAATCTGACATCAAACTTGGCACATGGTAGGTATTCAGTGAAAATTCTGGTCAGAAACAAATTATGTTGAACAACCTATTGCATGCTAGGTAGTGCATATATGTCAGGTAGTAGTAATATAATTGTGAACAAAACAGACATAGTTTTGTCCTCATGGAGTTCACTGACTTCTGGGGGAGAAAGATATTAATACAGATCACATAAATGTGTGTTTGTGGAATGAAAGACAGATATCTGTATCTGTGTTCCTGTCCCCAGTTGACTTTTTTTGTTTTGTTTTTTTGAGACAGAGTCTCACTCTGTAGCCCAGGCTGGAGTGCAGTGGTGCCATCTCGGTTCACTGCAACCTCTGCCTCCCAGGTTCATGCCATTCTCCTGCCTCAGCCTCCCGAGTAGCTGGGACTACAGGCACCCGCTACTGCGCCTGCTACCACACCCGGCTAATTTTTGTATTTTTAGTAGAGACAGGGTTTCACTGTGTTAGCCAGGATGGTCTCGGCCTCTTGACCTCGTGATTTGCCCACCTCGGCCTCCCAAAGTGCTGGGATTACAGGCGTGAGCCACCGCGCCTGGCCATGCATCACCCTTTTTAAGTGATCCACAGTATTTGTTAGTATGGATATACCATTACCCCAGTGATGGAGATTTAAATATTTCCTATTATTGCTTTTGCATTAGAAACAATGATGCAAGAGGTCTCTTTGGGCACAGTGTATGTTTCTCTAGCAGATTTTGAGAAATCCAATTGCTGGGTCATGGGGTAGCTTTTCTGTTTTGCTTTTTGTTCTATACTCCTCTGTATTGTTGGAATCATGTATTACTTTGGTGATGGAAAAAAAAACTAAAAAATAGAAAGAGGTAGGTAGATTGTTCGTGTTGTTGGCTCTTCGGAAGTAGAAGTGCCTAATCATTGTCACGTGACCCTTACATAATCTGGTAATCATTATATAATAAAGTCGGGAAAGGACGCTCCTGTCATTTCTACATCACCAAGTAGAGAAATCACAAGCCTTCAACTGTGTTTAAAAGATGAGAAACATGGCCGGACACAGTGGCTCAGGCCTGTAATCCCAGCACTTTGGGAGGCCGAGGTGGGCGGATCACGAGGTCAAGAGATGGAGACCATCCTGACCACCTTGGTGAAACCCCATCTCTACTAAAAATACAAAAAATTAGCCAGGCGTGTTGGCGCGTGCCGGTAGTCCCAGCTACTCCGGAGGCTGAGGCAGGAAAATGGCGTGAACCCAGGAGGCGGAGCTTGCAGTGAGCTGAGATTGTGCCACTGCACTCCAGCCTGGGTGACAGAGCGAGACTCCGTCTCAAAAAAAAAAAAAAAAAAAAAAAAAACTGAGAAATGTGACTGTCTTTGGAGACTTTGGGTCTTTTCTGATAGTAGATGATGACCAGGGTTTCCTACTGGTAAAGCCCTTCTTCAAAATCTTTGTTTCTCTTTTGCCTGTCATAGACCCACAGAGCTGGAGGGGACTTTTTTAAGCAGCCCCACGTGAAAATGCAATATTGTAAGAGCTACCAAACCAGAGTGCTGAGTTGCTGTAAGAGGCAGACTTAAGGTGGGACAGTTTGTCTCAGATGGAATTCCTGTGAACATCATCACATTGCAGATAATTAAGAGAGGAGCTTAAACATGAGCTGATAAAGAACACAGGGACTTTGAGCGGTGCTCAGGCAACGACAGGTAAACACAGTAATGCTACTGTTTGGACAGCAGCAGATTGCTGGTTCTCCAAACGTTTCCCAGTATTGTGTCACTGACTCATCACACAAGCCCCACCGGTTTTAGCTGGGGTCACCAAGACTCAGAGTGAGAATCCTACAATCAATGAACATCTGTTGTGTGCCTCCTCATCAGACATGTGCAGAGCTCGGGGGGAAATAGATGAATAAGAAGCTCAGGGTCTGGTGGGGATGTCAGATTATATATATATATAGTTTATCCGAAAGTGCTGGGATTACAGGCGTGAGCCGCCGTGCCCGGCTTTTTTTTTTTTTTTTTTTTTTTTTTTTTTTTAAGAGACGTGGCCTCGTTATGTTGCCCAGGTTGGTCTCGAACACCTGGGAGCAAGCCATCCTCTCGCCTCAGCCTCCCGACTAGCTGGGACTACAGTCGCGTGCCACCACGCCTGGCTTTATTATTTAATATTACAGGTTAGAAAGCTGAGGCTCAGAGAGGTTAGGTAACTTGTCCAAGGTCACACAGCTAGTAAGTGGCAAAACTAAAAATAGAACCCACGCTCTTAACCGCCGCCCACGGCCCGTAACACCCGCAGCCCTAGCAAGGCTGGATTCCAATCACGCGTGATTTCAGCATCTCACTGGCTCTCTTTGAGCCTCGGTACTTCTGTCCGTAAAATGGGGGCGAGGGATCCGACCGTCAGCCCCTGCTTGCTTGTGCGGAGTCATGAGTACAGCTCGTGGATCATGATAAGTGGCAGGTCCGGGAAGTGGAGGCCGAGTTCACGCAGTCAGCACTCATAGCTCCCAGCTCCCTGCTCCTGAGCGGTTTCCATGACAACCCGGCCAGCCACCATCCCTAGGCCGAGCGGCTTGCGTCACGTCCGGCCTGTTTACTTCCGGGTCCCAGTCTCAGACGCAGCGATGGCTCGTTAGGCTCCAAAGTGCGGTTCCGCCGGTTTCGTCCTCGCTCTTCGGCCTTCCGCTTTGTCCTCCGCCTCTGGGTTGTAGTCTCCGTCGGCCGCGGGCATCGACCGCTTCCCGGAGCCAGCGCGCAGCCGTGGTCCACCCTCTCTTCGGGCCCGCCTCATGGTGACATCATTTCCGGGCCGAGTGTTTCCGGGTCGCTGCTGGCCCCCGGGTACTGGTCTCAGTACCCCTGCAGCCGGCCGGAGAGGCTAGAGCCCGACGGGGCCCGGCTCCGGCGGCAGCCGCGCCTCTCGCTTGCTTCCCTCGGCCGGGCCGTCCTCGGCGGCAGTGTCAGGGTGAGTGACGGGCGGCCGCGGGCGGAAACTGCCTTCGGGGCTTCCCCAGGCGGAGGGGGCGCCAGACAGCGGCAGGGCTCGGCTGGCCCGGGAGCGGGGTACCCTCACGGCAGGCAGGACTACAGGTGGGCCCGCTGTTTCGGCGCTCCCGGGACCCCCAGCCTATCCTCAGGACCCCCATTCTCCCGGGAGCTGCCTCGCAGGCTCCTGGGACCCGCCGAGGGTGGCTCAGGGCCGCCCAAGAGGAACACCCCTCTTCGGCGACTGGCCAAACAGAAGGACACCCCGATTTCGCCACGAGGCAGTTACCGCGCAGGGGTTCCCAGTTCAGGCTCTGGCGGCACACCTGGGTTTGTACTCACTGTGTGACCTTGGATAAGTCACTTCATCTTAAGAGCCTCAGTTGCCTATTTAAGTGATTGAACCTGGTTGCTAGGGCTGGAGTGGAGATGGAATGAGATCATGCAGGGCCTCTGGCATACAGCAGGCG
The DNA here is from genome assembly GCF_000001405.40 of Homo sapiens. Classification (NCBI taxonomy): domain Eukaryota; kingdom Metazoa; phylum Chordata; class Mammalia; order Primates; family Hominidae; genus Homo; species Homo sapiens. The sequence continues at coordinate 49,914,889 of NC_000020.11, read as the reverse complement.
TCCAATAAGTGATAGTTCCTGTTACTTCATTCAATTCACGAAGCCGTAGGGGGGGCCAGAATTTGAGACTGGGCTGTTTTTCACAACTGACGTGGCCCCCCGAGGCTGTAGGAATGACCGAGCTGGGACTTAGCAGCCGCCAGCTTCTGTCCCCTGCAGGGAGGGAAACAGCTTCCTTCAGAGCTTCTCCGAGAGAGGCAGCTGCCACTAGGGAAGCTTCTTTCAGCACCGCTGAGGTTATTTTCAGAGGTTTGGAAGGACTCTGTGTGAATTTCTTTGGAATCTAGTAGGAGTGTGGGGACCTTCTGGTGTTTCACAGCCAGTGGAAGGTGCCTTGGATGTTTCTCGGAGCCTCTTGCTTGGAACGAGTGCATTGGTGTGGGTGGGGAGGTGGAGGGGGTTGAACTGACTTCCCCGTCTCCTGTTTGGAGGCTGATGGAGCTAGACCAGGGATGTGTAAACCTGTGGACAGGGGCAGTGCACAGACCAAAATAGGTCTGCCTGTGCAGAGAGGGGGCGCCTTCAAATGCTGCTTGGGGAACATTTCTGCTTGAATGGGCCAGCTGAGGTAAAGCCAAGCTAATGCTTAGCTACTCGGAATCACTTCACTTCCATGCAGTGGGACTCTAAACAGATACAGCTTTCCTCTTAGATGTTCAAAAAATAACTAAAGAAGCCACTGGCTCCCTGACTGTGCAATATCTCTTTTTCCATTGACTTGCTTTTCAAGAAGGTACCTAGATTGTGGGTGCAGGAGGTGCTGACTGGAGCCGTTGACTCTGGGCACCTGCCTGTCTCTGTGTTCAGGATATTCACAGTGCTGTTTTTTTGTTTTTTGGGTTTTTTTTTTTTTTTTTTTCCACCAGACTGGCACGGCTTGGCGTTCCAATCCTTGGGTTGCTTGGAGAAATTAGCAGCTTCTGTCGCTGGGCTGTCTCGGTCTCCTGTAACCACGATGTTTTTGCAGAGAGCGTATTTTGTTGTTCTTGCAGAGTGCTGGGAATGAATTGCTGGCTCTGTGCTCAGAAAAAACACCAGCTATGACCAGCTACAAGGCATCTTGTATTCTCAGAAAATGTTTTCAGCAGGGATGATGTCAGCTGCTTCATCACTGGCCGATGTCTCTGACCAGCCTCTTTCCTTGGCCCTTGAGCTTACATCATATAGAGATTAGCTCTCCTAGCCCCATTCGGTGTGGGAAGATGGGAATTTTGCTACTACAGGAATTTTTGTAACTCAACTCTGCTCGCGCCGCCATAAGGCATTCTAACTTAGCCAAACACTTTCGAGTAGAGCTGTCCAGCAGATGCAGCAGGATGGCTTTGCAAGAGTCGGAGTTTTGGCGTTAGACCTAGGTTCAGAGCTCAGATCCACTTCTTCCTAGCCTTACGACTTAGGGTAAGTGAGTTGGCCTCTCCGAGCCTCAGTTTCCTCTTTAACCTTGGATCTATCCTGTGGATTTCATTGGTTTTCACAGAGCAGTTAGCAGAGGGATGCCACACAGTAATCCCTTGGTAAATGGTACTGATGTAACAATAAATGAGTGAGGTAAATTGGAGAAAGCCCAGGCATCAAGGGCCTCCCAGCAAGAGTTCAGATTCCAGCTCTGACCCTTTCAAACTCTGTTGGGCAGGTTGTTTTAATGGGAAGAGCCTGTTTTCCTTATAGAGTTGTGAGGATTAAATGGGATGATGTAGGTAAAGTGGGAAGCCCAATGCTTAGCACATAGTAGAACCTCAGTAATTGTTAGTCTCTTTCTTTCCTTTCCTTATTGACTGATTGAGACAAGGTCTTGCTCTGTCACCCAGGCCGGAGTGCAGTGGTGCCATCATAGCTCACTGCAGCCTCAAACTCCTGGGCTCAGTGGATCCCCCCACCTCAGACTCCCAAGTAGCTAAGACTACAGGTGGGTGTCACCACACCCACCTAATTTTTTTTTTTTTTTTTTTTGTAGAGACGGAGTCTAACTATGTTGTCCAGGCTTGTCTTGCCCTTAATTATCTTTTAGCTTTTACTTTCTTCCGCCTTTTCCCTCACCTACCCAGGTTGGTTTGAGATTTGTTTTAGATAGGCTTCCTGTCCTTATTGTGAGTATTTTGAACATCAGCTGGGCTGTTTGGATCCCTTTCCTTTATTTATTGTTTTTCAGCAACAAACAAGGGTGTGGACTGTGGTGCGATTATAGAGCAGCAGACGCTGAGCCGAGCTTGAGACTGGCTGACTTTGTAAAAAATCAGTCTCTTTGAGTTCAAGGCTGACTTCCTTGGAGAAAAATTACAGCAGTATTCGGAAGCTTAATGTCTCTGTGTTTGAATGGTTCTCAGACTACCAAAAAACAGACCCTGGGGCCAGAGGCGTGATGGCAGCTTCTCTTAGATAAGTCAAGAATGGTAAATGCATGTGTGACTATCCTCTCCAGTGGTGCAATACATTTATTTATGTAGAGATGGAGTTTTTGCTCTGTTGCCCAGGCTGGAGTGCAATGGCACGATCTCAGCTCACTGCAACCTCTCCCTCCTGGGTTCACGCCATTCTCCTGCCTCAGCCTCCTGAGTAGCTGGGATTACAGGTGTTCGTCCAGCTAATTTTTGTATTTTTAGTAGAGGCGGGGTTTCGCTATGTTGGCCAGGCTAGTCTCAAACTCCCAATCTCAGGCGATCCACCCACCTTGGCCTCCCAGAGTTGTAGGATTACAGGCGTGAGCCACCGCGCCTGGCCTGCATTTTTATTTTTTAAGAGAATATACATTTTAAATTGTTTATTTTTTTATGGACAGAACAGTATGAAGTTAGAGCACATACCTACTTTGATACTAGGTGGTATGCTCTTCCAGCTAGAGCTGCAGGCAGGATGTGTCTCCTTTATTGCTGTCCTCTACCTGTCCCACCCATCCCCATTCCCCGACTGGGTCCAGCTCAGGCAGAGGGTGGGGGCTGCAGAAATGCTTGCTGGACATGGGAATCGTGGGGTGGTGAGAGGAATACAGGTTCCAAGTCAGAAGGCCAGGCTTGGATTATCGGGTCCATCATCTGCTAACCTTGAGCTACTTGTCGTACCTCATGCCATCTTTCTGAGCCCGTTTCTTTGCTCTCCAGCTGATCTCCCAGGATTCTTGGGAGGTACCAATGAGAAACTAAAGTGATGGCATCGTGAATGCAGACATCCTTTGCAGCATCCATTTCTCTTTTTCTCTTTTCTTTTTCTTTTTCTTTTTTTTTTTTTAGAGACGGAGTCTCGCTCTGTTGCCCAGGCTGGAGTGCAATGGGGCGATCTCGGCTCACTGCAGCCTCCGCCTCCTGGGTTCTAGCAATTCTCCTGCCTCAGCCTCCCGAGTAGCTGTGATTACAGGCGCATGCTGCCACACCCGTCTAATTTTTTTTTAAATTTTGGTAGAGACGGGGTTTCACCGTGTTGCCCAGGCTGGTCTCGAACTCCTGAGCTCAGGCAATCCACCTGCCTCGGCCTCCCAAAGTGCTAAGATTACAGGCGTGAGCCACCGTGCCTGGCTGCAGCATCCATTTCACCTACTTTATCAAGCACAGGCAGGCTCTGTGTTAGGCATCGTGGTGAACAACACAGACATGGTCCTTGCCTTTATGGAGCTTACCACGAGCTTACCAGCTTACCAGGGAGGGTGAGGGGTGGACAAAGAGAGGAAGCTAATGAATGAATGAAGTTGATAGTTTCAGATTGTGGTTATCGTAGGAGAATGTGACAGTGTGGAACTGGGAAGGTGAGATAGGGTGGTACCTCTAGAGGCTGATGTTTGAGCTGAGGCCTGAATGATGAGAATCTTCCTGAAGCAGAATTTTATCCCAAGTGGATTTTGTTTTCTTTTGTAAAGACAGGGTATTGCTATGTTGCCCAGGCTGGTCTCGAACTCCTGGCCTTGAGCAATCCTCCTGCCTTGGCCTTCCAAAGTTTAGGGATTACAGGCGTGAGCCCCCGCACCTGGCCCCTAAATGGATGTGTTTGCCTCCTGTACTCCTCAGCCTTATTTGTCACTGTAGCACTGGGCTCCCTCAGCAGTGCAGTGTGTTGGAGACAGTGGCCTCTCTGTGTCCCTAGTTTTGCTACACATCCCACCTCTCACCGCACCATTAGTACTCCCAGGAGTCTCCTCCTGGGGACAAAATCTGTGGAGGAGCCAGACTACTGGCTCTTTGAGATGAGGATGATTTTGTTGACCTCCTGATAGTTGCTGGGCTCGTAGGACCTTCCTAGCTGAACACAGGTCTGCTAAAGGAGTCCCCCACATGCCAGGCCCAGTCCTGCTGCAGCTTCTCTCAGCCCCTTGCTGTCTCCCACACTCAGCAGACATGAAGCACACAGGTCACCTTACTGAGCAAGATGGTCACAGGCCTGCACCCACGGAGCTTCTGGGCAGGAGCAGCAGGACCAGAGCATGTGAAAATGCACATCTACCACCCAGTCAGAGGTATTTGCCCCACTCAGAGAAGGCCTGTCCACTTAGGGGTACAGCACCTTCAGACAACAGCAATGGCCATCAAGGACTTCCCGGAGCCGGCTCTCTGAGCAGCTTCATATTCCATCATGCATAATCCTCTCGCCAGCTCTGGACAGAGGCGCTATTATTAACCCCGTTTTATAGGAGAAAACCGACACCCAGGGAGGTGGAGCAATTTGCCCAAGTAACCTGGAGAAGCAGCCCTGGCCTCACTCGCAGGTGCCTGGCCTTGGACCCCGTGTCCGTGACCCTGCGCGTGTTGTCTCCCCTGGCCCTGGCAGTGTCCCTCCATTAATCCGGATTCGCTCCCAGCGTTGTGGTGACAAGAATATTGCTGGATCTGTGCCTGTTCTACTAACAAGTGGCTAAGCAGATGACAAGATTGTGTAAAGCCTGTGTCCCAGCTCAGAACATTCTATCCTCTCCCAACAGGGGGCTGTCAAGCGCTCTGGTGATAAAGGGGCCGCAGGCTGTCAAAGGCCGGTAACAGCACTCCAGGGGCCGGTAGCCACGGTGGCCTCTTTTGAAAATTGTAAATAAGACCGTATCTCTCTCCCCTCGCTGTAAACTCTTCAGTGGCTTCACGTGGCTCTTTGTATAAAATATCGAATTCTGAATGTGCTCTTGCGGCCTTGGGGCTGAGGGTCCCGCTGATGCTGGCATCTGCCTCTCCTCATGCCCCTGCCCTCGTGGCCTCGGCCTCACTGGCTGCAGTTCTGTTACTGTTCCAGGCTTCCTGCCTCAGGAAAGCAGGGTGTGGTGGGTAAGGGCATGGACTTTGGAGCCAGATTGCCTGGGTTCTGAGCTCAGCTTCTCTGCCTCCTGAGAGTTCTATAACCTTGGACAGTTTCTTTTTCTTAAAAATTTTTTTGTATTTTTGTAGAGACGTGGTTTCACCGTGTTTCCCAGGCTGGTCTCGAGCTCCTGGACTCAAGCCATCCTCCCCCGTCAGCCTCCCAAAGTTCAGGAATTACAGGTGTGAGCCACTGTGCCTGGCCTACCTTGAGCAGTTTCTAATGTCTGTGTCTCAGTTTGCACATGGTCCACTGGGGCTGCCTGTAGCGTCTCTCTCCTAGGATTGTTTAAGAAGAAAAAGTGAGGCTGGGTATGGGGGCTCACACCTGTAATCCTGGCACTTTGGGAGGCCAAGGCTGGTGGATCACTTGAGGTCAGGAGTTCGAGACCAGCCTGGCCAACATGGTGAAACCCCATCTTGACTAAAAATACAAAAATTAACCAGGCGTGGTGGCAGGTGCCTGTAATCCCAGCTACTTGGGAGGCTGAGGCAGGAGAATCGCTTGAACCCGGGAGGCGGAGGTTGCAGTGAGCTGAGATCACGCCACTGCACTCCAGCCTGGGCTACAGAGCAAGGATCCATCTCAAAAAAAAAGTAAGCGAGTTAGTGTGTGTGAAGCTCGTCACGTGTCTGGAGCCTCTGGTACTATTAGCTCAGGGCCTTCCTCTACTGCGACTCCTTCCCCGGCCTCTTGGCCTGGCAGACTCCTCATCCTTCAGGTCTGTTGCTGTCTCAAGAGGGCTTTCCTAAACTCGCCCTTCCCCAACGAAACCAGGACAGGAGCTCCTGCTGTACTCACCCGAATTTCTCTTTCAGGAATATTAATCGTATTTTTCATTTGTGAGCACAACAAAGTCAAGGTCCATCTCTCTCTGGCCTCTGTTGTAACCCTGCTTGTAGTACATGCTCTGTAGTGTGCTGCTGGGGTCCAGTGTAGCCCAGGCCAGTTCTGCTGTTCATTTTGCCTCAGCGACCTGAAGCCGAAGCGCGACCGTATCGAGGAATGACATGCTTCTTGTTCCCCTCCTTCCAGAGCACTCCGCTGGTCCAGGCGGCAACATGTCCATGCTTTTAGTGATGTCCCTGCCTCTAATCCAGAAGCCATGGAGGAGATAAGGTAGCCCCCCTCGATCGGATGGGGAAGCCCAGTTCAATGGATACTAAATTCAAGGATGACTTATTTCGGAAGTACGTGCAGTTCCATGAGAGCAAAGTGGATACCACCACCAGCAGGCAGCGGCCTGGCAGCGATGAGTGCCTGCGGGTGGCAGCCTCAACCCTGCTCAGCCTGCACAAGGTGGATCCCTTTTATCGATTCCGGCTGATCCAGTTCTATGAGGTGGTGGAGAGCTCCTTGCGCTCGCTCAGCTCCTCTAGCCTGCGGGCTCTGCACGGCGCCTTCAGCATGCTGGAGACGGTGGGCATCAACCTCTTCCTCTACCCGTGGAAGAAGGAATTCAGAAGCATCAAGGTGAGGTCCTGGAGCAGCCTCCATACAGGCCCTCCTTCTCTCTTCCTGCCCCTGGCAGTCCCTCCTGAGAGGCTATGCCAGTCTGATCCCATCCATCCTGTGCTCTCAGATCCTTCCGGGCTCCGAACCTTCCCCGTCTCTCCAGCATCACCTCTGAACCGTTTCTGGCCCGGCTGCCACACCTTAAGCAGAGAAGCTGGGAAGGCAGGGGCAGCCAGGTTATGCAGGGTCTTGTGGCCCAGGGCAAGGCTTGGATTTGTTCTGAGTAGGCGGGGAAGGAGGCAGTGTGGGATCTGGCTTGCATCTGAAGAGGGTCATTCTGGCTGTGGTATGGGAAGTAGGCTGTAGAGGGGTGGGGGGAGGTGGGAGGGATGGGGAGAGCAGTTAGGAAGCTTCTCAGCGGTCCCAGCAAGCTGAGGGGTGTTCTGTACTAAGTGGGAACAGTAGAGGAGGAGGGGGAATTGAGAGAGGGATCCTGAATCAGACCACGCGGGGGATGGCACAGGAGAGCTGTCACCTAGCCAGGCTTCTTCATTCTGCCATGGGAGGAGTGGTAATCAAGAGAGGGGATGGCACAGGAGAGCTGTCACCTAGCCAGGCCCTTCAGTCTGCCGTGTTACTCAGCCCCTCATGGAAATACCAGAGAGGAACGTTCTGATTGTCACCGCGTTCTGCCTGTAATCTGGCCCCTTTATTCAGCCATGTTTGCCCAGGCTCTCTCTTCATATGGAGTAGAGTCTTCGTGCCCCACTAGGAAGCGAGAGGTTTTGCTTCCTGTGTTTAACAAAGTAGCTGCTGCCAGGCGCGGTGGCTCACACCTGTAATCCCAGCACATTGGGAGGCCGAGGCGGGTGGATCACGAGGTCAGGAGTTTGAGACCAGCTTGACCAGCACGGTGAAACCCCATCTCTACTAAAAACAGAAAAATTAGCTGGGCGTGTTGGCGGGCGCCTGTAATCCCAGCTATTCAGGAGGCTGAGGCAGGAGAATCGCTTGAACCCAGGAGGCGGAGGTTGCAGTGAGCCAAGATCGCACCACCGCACTCCACCCTGGGCAAAAGAGCGAGACTCCGTCTCAAACAAAAGAAAGGAGCTGCTGGGTCATTTCCTTGCACAATTCCTGAGTGCTTAGCAAGCCCCAGCTCCTGCGTCTTCTGCCTCCCGCAGGGTGAGGCTGTCGAGATCCTTCCCTGCCCTGCCCTCTCCCCGCCGCCCCACTTCAGAGCTGGACATCCTTTGCTTTGACATAGTCTCTGTCTTGTGTCTCTGACAGAAAACCCCACCTTTCTTTTCTACTCCCTCCCTTCTAGACCTACACGGGCCCTTTTGTTTATTATGTCAAGTCGACATTACTGGAAGAGGACATCCGAGCCATCCTGAGCTGCATGGGCTACACACCTGAGCTGGGCACTGCATACAAGCTCAGAGAGCTCGTGGAGACCCTCCAGGTGAAGATGGTCTCCTTTGAGCTCTTTCTGGCCAAAGTCGAGTGTGAGCAGATGCTAGAAATCCACTCACAAGTGAAGGACAAGGGCTACTCCGAGCTGGACATTGTGAGCGAGCGCAAGAGCAGTGCAGAGGATGTGCGCGGCTGCTCGGACGCCCTGCGGCGGCGGGCAGAGGGCCGGGAGCACCTGACGGCCTCCATGTCACGAGTGGCACTCCAGAAGTCGGCCAGCGAGCGGGCGGCCAAGGACTACTACAAGCCCCGCGTGACCAAGCCCTCGAGGTCAGTGGATGCCTATGACAGCTACTGGGAGAGCCGGAAGCCACCCCTGAAGGCCTCATTGAGTCTTCGGAAGGAGCCTGTGGCAACGGATGTGGGGGACGACCTCAAGGATGAGATCATCCGCCCATCCCCTTCGCTGCTGACCATGGCCAGCTCCCCCCACGGCAGCCCGGATGTGCTTCCACCCGCCTCCCCCAGCAACGGCCCGGCCCTGCTGCGCGGTACCTACTTCTCCACTCAGGATGACGTGGATCTGTACACAGACTCTGAACCCAGGGCCACCTACCGTCGGCAGGATGCTCTGCGGCCGGATGTGTGGCTGCTCAGAAACGATGCCCACTCCCTCTACCACAAGCGCTCGCCCCCTGCCAAAGAGTCCGCCCTCTCCAAGTGCCAAAGCTGCGGGCTGTCCTGCAGCTCCTCCCTCTGCCAGCGCTGTGACAGCCTGCTCACCTGTCCTCCAGCTTCCAAGCCCAGCGCCTTCCCCAGCAAGGCCTCGACTCATGACAGCCTGGCCCACGGGGCATCTCTGCGGGAGAAGTACCCAGGCCAGACTCAGGGCCTCGACCGCCTCCCGCACCTTCACTCCAAATCCAAGCCCTCCACCACGCCCACTTCCCGCTGTGGCTTCTGCAACCGCCCAGGCGCCACCAACACCTGCACCCAGTGTTCAAAAGTCTCATGTGACGCCTGCCTCAGCGCTTACCATTATGACCCCTGCTACAAAAAGAGTGAGCTGCACAAGTTCATGCCCAACAACCAGCTGAACTACAAGTCCACCCAGCTCTCCCATCTCGTGTACAGATAGACCGGCCTCGCCCCTTCCAGCTCCAAGGGCTACATCAACCGACCTTTCGGGTTTCACGGTGAAGAAGTACTAACGCATTGATCTCAGAGGCGGAGGCCTGCACTTGACCATGTAGGTGGCAGAGATCGTGGGCTGGCTGTGTCCACGTGGGAGTTCACTTAGCGACTCAGATATCTCAACCAATGGCTGCTTTGTTGTCTGACAAGGGAGAAGGTGGCACTTCCGTTCAGATTCATTTTGCTAATCTCTCCACTCCCTGTTCAGTTGGTTCTTTTTTTGGGGTTTTGTTTTGTTTTGTTTTGTTGTTTTGTTTTTTCCTTTAAAGAGGATTTCTGTCTCTGGGACCCTCGCTGCACCTACCCCTCCCATTGCAAAGCCAACTTGGACTGGGAAGGGCCCTTCAGGTCACCAAACATCCACCTGGAGCGGCGAGCTAGAGGCCTGTTGGCTTGTGAAATGAGCCCTCCTGCCACACGGGGCCTCTCCCAAAGGCTCATCCCTTGGCCGCCCCCTTCCTAAACACAAGGATCCCCAGCTGGACTCCCCACCCCCTGGCTTCCCCACCTCTCCAGGTGTCAAAGGTGAACCGAGTCCAGTATTAGCTGAATGTCATTTCGTACACCACAGCTCAGTCAGCCCATGGCCTTCGTGAACTTTGCTCCAACACACTGATGTGTGGGCTTCCCACAGCAGGACTGACTTCCCCCTTTCTGTTGTTTGCACATGCCCCTCTTACTGTACTGTCAATAGATATTTTTGAGATTTATTTTTAAATAAATATTCAACTTGCTGTGTGTTTCAACGTGGTTAAAAAAATGAATTATGTAGCTATTTATTAAATGCCCTGGGTTCTTTAGTCTTCCAAGGGAGGGCCTCGCGCCCATTCGTGTTGTATCCTCCACTCACTATGGCCCGAGGGGAGAGGAGAGTTTGGGGCAGGGAGGAACAGACATGAAGCCTCCTTTTCTTGAGCTGGTGGAGAGCCACTGTCTTCCCTGCAGTAACTATCTATACACCTACCTCCAGTGTGCACTTAGGGGGTGAGCGCGGGTGTCGAGGTCTGTGTGTCTGCAGACTGCTAACCTATGACAATTCAGGGACCTCACCTGTCGGACCTATAGCTTGCTGAGCAGGAACCTTGCACTTCACACTTCTTGAGTCTCGTTTCAGAAGGAAAATCATTTGGGATTCCTACTGCCCCTCCATCTCAATCCTCTTCTCTTCACCAGTTTCCAGGACTCATCTGCAACATTTGCAATCTTTTTGCACTAAAAGTGGGCAGGAGTCGGCATGTGCCCATCAGAGAGACGGCTCCTCAGATGCTCAGCTAAGCCTAAGCGCTTCCAAGCCTGAAGGCCCCTTCAGCTTCTCATGTGAATTACCAACCCCTGGATTTTCCTTGTGGGGGTACAAGAGCAGGAGTGGGGCAAGAGTTTGAAAATAAAGCCGCTTCCTTGTGAACTAACTATATTTTAGCCATAACTGTTTGTGATGTACACAATGTTAAGGGATTTATATGCAGTGGGCTTTTCTGGGAGAAAGTTATTCAGCTCTTGAGCAAGTTTAAGTCTGGCTGAATCCTGAGGCCACTGTGAATTTGCTGATGTTCTTCCAACTCAGTTGAGTGATTTTAAGGTTTTCCAAATCTTCTATGGCTCTCTTTTTAATATATATATATATATATATATATATATATATATATATATATATATATATCTATCTGGTAGATCACATGTAGATGTACAGTGTGTATATTAAGCTGAATTTCAACCAACTTTATTACTAAGACCAGCCTAGCAGGGCATTCATCTTTGATGTTCTTCCTTTTCACATTTCAGAATCGGCAATGCCTGGCCCACTCCTGAGAGCTCTAGTTTTCTAGTTTTCCATTTCCAGATTGCGCCAGCATTACAGTAACTAACTCTTTCTAACCAACCGTGATGCCACGTAACTTACCCTATGGACAAAAGCAGGAATGACTAACACATCCTAGGAGGGAAAGTCCAGTGTACCTGTCATCACGGACGCACTGTGGTCACAGACTGGAATACGAAATACTACAGCCCTGCTCCCAGGTGTGCATCTTACTGGATGAGGTTGCTGTGATTGAGATAGTTAAATACATGCTAATTTAAAAATGCAGATGTTTTACATTTGATTTCTACCAAGAGTTGAAATGTTGAGAGATGATTAAAAATAATAATAATAAAGTGTCTTCCATTGTTAAATGAAGTGTTTGGGGTTTTATGTCCCCTGGCCCTGCTTTGAAGTTTGGTTACTTGGGAGTTTATTTTTCCTTAAGCTGTATTTAGTTTTTTAATGACAAGACTTAAATTTTCTCTTCCATGAAACTGACAAATAGCATTTGAGTGCTATACTGCGAGCCTGGCACTTTTTATTTTTTTAATTTTTTGTAAAAAAAATTTTTTTTTTTTTCGAGACGGAGTCTTGCTCTGTCGCCCAGGCTGGAGCACAGTGGCGCTATGTCAGCTCACTGCAAGTTCCGCCTCTTGGGTTCACGCCATTCTCCTGCCTCAGCCTCCCAAGTAGCTGGGACTACCACACCTGGCTAATTTTTCGTTATTTTTAGTAGAGACGGGATTTCACTGTATTAGCCAGGATGGTCTCGATCTCCTGTCCTCGTGATCTGCCTGCCTCGGCCTCCCAAAGTGCTGGGATTATAGGTGTGATCCACTACGCCCGGCCATGTTTTTTTTTTTTAGTTTAAGACGGGCTCTGTTACTTCCCAGTCTGGAGTACGGTTGTGTGATCATGGCTAGCTGTAGCCTGGACCTCTTGGACTTGAGTGATCCTCCCACCTCAGCCTCCCAAGTAGCTACAGGTGGGCACCACTATGTCTGGCTAATTTTAATTTTTTGTAGAGGTGGGGTCTCACTATATTGCCCAGGCTGGTCTCAATCTCCTAGGCTCGAGTGATCCTCCCGCCAGGCATTTGTATCCTGAGACTATGTGCATGATCTTACTTACTAGCTTCAGTCATCCTATTAAATAGGCACTGTTACCATCTCCATCTTACATATGGGGAAATGGCGGTACACAGAGTTCAGATGTTTCCCAAAGAGGGGACTGCATCATCCAGGAGAAATGCTTGTTAGTAGAGACAAAGAGGCATTAATAACATTGGAAGATGTTTTTTAAAAGTTAATTCCATTTGAATTTTTTTCCATCCATTTAACTGTCTTGAGGAGGGAGTCAGTTCGATGCTACCTTGTCTTTAACAGAGAAACCTGGCATCAGACACAGCGTGTGGCAGGCTCTTAGCCAGGTTTTGTTACCTTCTAGGGCAGGCCATACTACTTTTCCATTGTAACAGTGATAGGTTTGCTTTAAAAATCAATTTAAGGGCCGGGTGCGGTGGCTCACGCCTGTAATCCCAGCACTTTGGGAGGCCGAGGCAGGAGGATCACCTGAGGTTAGGAGGTTGACTAGCCTGGCCAACATGGTGAAACCCCGTCTCTACTAAAAATACAAAAATTAGCTGGGCATGGTGGCGGGTGCCTGTAATCCCAGCTACTTAGGAAGCTGAGGCAGGAGAATCGCCTGAACCCGAGAGACGGAGGTTATAATGAGCCAAGATTGTGCCATTGCACTCCGGCCTGGGTTGACAGGAGTGAAACTCCATCTTGGAAAAACAAAACAAAACAAAAAAGGTGTTTTTTTCTTAAGTGAGGATTGACTTAAAAGCAAAATACATGGCAGAAATCTTAAGGCAGCAGCAGCAGGCCTGTGCCCACCCACTGACCACGCTGCTGTGTGGGCTCCCACCAGGCAGCTCAGCTGTCAGGGCAGACACTGAACAGGTTTCTCCATTTCATTTGCTGGCTGAACAAATACCCAGGCCTTGGGCCAAAGCCAGGCTCAGGTGCTGGATTGCTTTGAGCTATAGCATAGGAAACGGCATTGCCACCCTGGCTGTCGGGGGTAGCAGTTTCCTGGAGACGCACACCTACCCTGGGAGAGCTAAGGAAGCCAGGTGCTTGCTCCGCATCCAAAAGGGAACAGAGACTTCAGAGCAGATTGCTTCATGTACATTACATGTACATGTAAATGACAAACATATTTAAACCTCATTGGGCCCACCAGCTGGACAGCATTAGCTCTGCTGGCCGATCTGTGGCACCTAGGATGCTAGATTACCAATCTCAGGGATGAGAGCTGTGGCAGACACCAAATCGTACCCCAGTCTCCATCCCCTCCCCCTTGGTAGTAGAAGCCCCGGTTTTCAAATCTGTGGCCACCTATAGTAAAGATTGCCTTCCCTAGCCTTTCCTGCAGCCACGTGTGGTCAGATGACTGTCTGGTCCCTGGATGGAGAGGTGCTTTGTGTGGTGTCTGGGCATGGCCTTCAAGGAAGGGAGCTTGCCCTTCCCACCCAGCCCTTCTTCCTGGCTGGAATGGCTGTGATGGCTGGAGATGGAGCTGCTCTATGAAGCTGAGGGGGCCAAGCGAGGAAGGGGTGGGCAGCAGCTACAGCAGCTGGCCCTGATGCTCTGGAAGCTGCCCCCATGGCCTGCCCGTGCTGCCTGCCTCTAGGTCTGTTATATGAAAAATAAACTGTTATCTCACTTAAGCCCCAATTTGTCTATTTTTTTTTTTCTTTGAGACGGAGTCTCGCTCTGTCACCCAGGCTGGAATGCAGTGGCGCAATCTCGGCTCACTGCAAGCTCTGCCTCCCGGGTTCACACCATTCTCCTGCCTCAGCCTCCTGAGTAGCTGGGACTACAGGCACCTGCCACCACGCCCGGCTAATTTTTTGTATTTTTAGTAGAGACGGGGTTTCACCATGTTAGCCAGGATGGTCTCGATCTCCTTACCTCGTGATCCACCCGCCTCGGCCTCCCAAAGCGCTGGGATTACAGGCGTGAGCCACCACGCCCGGCCTAATTTGTCTGTTTTTAAAACCTTTTTGTTTACAAAAGACATGAAGCCTAATCTGGGCAACATAGTGAGACCCCATTAAAAAAAAATTAGCTGGGATGGTGGCACATGCCTTTGGTCCCCAGCTACTTGGGAGGCTGAGGTGGGAGGATCACTTGAGGCCAGAAGTTCCAGGCTTCACTGAGCTGTGATGGCACCAGTGCAGTCCAGCGTGGGCAGCAGAGTGAGACCCTGTCTCAAAAAAAAAAAAAAAAAAAAAGCAAAAAAGTGATACTAGTATAATGAATCCCAGCTTCAGCAATTGAACAGTTAGTTACCAACTTGTGGCCAATCTGGTTTTGTCTCTACCCTTGCCATCCACTTTCCTACTCCTGAACTCTTCTGAAGCAAATTCTAGATGTCTGTCTCATTTGTGAATTTTTCAGTGTTTATCTAAGAGACGAGGGCTTTTAAAACATGATACCTGCTACGGACTGCATATGTCCCCCCAAGAAAAAACAAACGTTGAAATCTAATCCCCCCAGTGTGCTTGTATTAGGAGGGCACTTTGGGAGCTGATTAGGTCATGTGGGTGGGGCCTTCACGAATGGGATGGGTGCCCTTACAAGGGGCTGAAGAGAATGGAGTTCTCCCAGCACAGGAAGACCCAGCGAGCTGACCGTCTGTGAACCAGGAATTGGGCCCTTGCCAGACACTGAATCTACCAGTGCCTTAATCTTGGACTTCTCAGCCTCCAGAACTAAGATAAATAAATTTTTGTTGTATAAAAGCTACCCAGTCTGTGGTATTTTGCAGCCTGAACAGGCTGAGACAGTATTACCTTCACATCTAACTTTTTTCTTGCGACGTGTTTGTTGAGGAAACTGGATTATTTGTCCTTTAGAGTTTGCCAGAGCCTAAATGTTTACTTCAGCCTGCTTGTTGTTTTAGCACTGGGAGTAGTTGTTCTCTCTGTTTACCTCCAATTTCCTACTGTTTATTTGCACATATTGTGCAAAAGTAGAAAAATAAATACTTCTTATGGGAATGATTCAAGGCTGCAGCTTCATAAATGAGAGATGAGAGGAAATCACTTAAGGCAGGGGTGAGCTTAAGGGATGGGAGTAGGTCCAGGTTTTCAGACATGCGAATCTCCACTGGTAACATATTTCAGGTCCTATGTGAGGAGGAGGAGGCGGTTCAAGTGGAACTGCAGGACTATACGGCGTTCTATTTTTAATGTTTTGAGGAGTCTCCATACTGTTTCCATAGCAGCTGTACCCATTTTATCATTTTTATTTATATTTTAATTAATTTTCTTATTGTACACCTGAACTTAATATATTTTATTTTTTTGAGATAGAGTCTGACTCCGATTACCCAGGCTAAAATACAGTTGGCATGATCTTAGCTCACTGCAGCCTCGACCTCCCAGGCTCAGGTGATCCTCCCACCTCAGTCGCCGGAGTAGCTGGGATGACAGAGGCACGCCACCATGCCTGGCTAATTTTTTTGTATTTTTAGTAGAGACGGGGTTTCATCATATTGCACAAGCTGGTCTCAAACTCCTGGACTCAAGCGATCCACCTGCCTCAGCCTCCCAAAGTGCTGAGATTACAGGCATGAGCCACCACACCCGGCCAGCGGTACCATTTTATATTCCCACCTGCAGCACAGGAGTCCCCATTTCTCCACCTCTTTGCTAACGCTTGTTATTTTCTGGGGTTTGTTTGTTTTTATAGCAGCCTTCCTAATGGGGTGAGATGATATCTTATTGTTTTGATTCATATTTCTCTAATGATTAGTGATGTTGAGCATCTTTTCATATGCTTTTCGGCCATTTATATATCTTCTTTGGAGAAATGTCTATTCAAGTCCTTTGCTCACTTTTAATTTTTGTTATTTTAAAAATAGAGACGGGATCTCTCTATGTTGCCCAGGCTTGTCTCAAACTCCTGGGCTCAAATTATCTCCTATCTCGGCCTCCTAAAGTGCTGGGACTACAGGCATGAGCCACTGTGCCCAGCCCTTTGCCCACTTTTTAATTGGGTAAATTTTTTGTTTTTTATTTGCAGTTCTTTATATAGTCTGGATATTGATCCCTTATCAGATACATGATTTGCAAATATTTTCTCCCATTCCATAGGTTATCTTTTTCATACTGTTATTTCTTTTGATGTGCAAAAATTTAAAAGTTTGATGTAGTCGGCTGGGCGTGATGGCTCACACCTGTAATCTTAGCACTTTCGGAGGCTGAGGTGGGCAGATCACCTGAGGTCAGGAGTTTGAGGCCAGCCTGGCCAACATGGTGAAACCCCATCTCTACTAAAAATACAAAAATTAGCTGGGTGTGGTGGCGCATGCCTGTAATCCCAGCTACTCAGGAGGCTGAGGCAGGAGAATCGCTTGAACCCAGGAGGCAAAGATTGCAGTGAGCCAAGATTGCGCCACTGCACTCCAGCCTGGATAACAGAGCAAGACTCTGTCTCAAAAAAAAAAAAAAAAAAAAAAGTTTGATGTAATCCCATTTGTCTATTTTCGCTTTTACTGCCTATGCTTTTGGTATAATATCTAAGAAATCATTGCCAAATCCAATGTCATGAAGTTTCCCCTTAAGTTGTCTTTATAGTTTTGGGTCATACATTTAGGTCTTTTATCTATTTTGAGGTAATTTTTGTATACAGAATAAGGTAGGGGTCTAACTTCATTCCTTTCCTTATGAATGTCCAGTTTTCCCAACACTATCTGGTGAAGAGACAGTCCTTTCCCCATTGAGTGGTTTTGGTACTCCTGTCGAACATCATTTGACCATATATGTGAGGGTTTATTTTTGGGCTCTCTATTCCATTCCATTGGTCTATGAGTGTATACCTGTTTTCATGCCAGTACCACACTAGTTTGATTACTGTAGCTCTGTAATATACTTTGAAATCATGAAGTGTAACGCCTCCACCTTTGTTCTTTTTAAAGATTGTTTTGGCTATTCAGGGTCCCTTGAGATCCCATATGAATTTTAGGATGGTTTTATTTCTCTATTTCTGTAAAAAATGCCATTTATAGGGATTGCATTGAATCTGTAGATCCACTTTGGGCAGTATAGATCGTTTTGTTGTTGTTTTTTTGAGACAGGGTCTCGCTCTGTCACCCAGGCTGGAGTGCAGTGGTGCAGTCATGGCTCATTGCAGCCTTGAACTCTTGGTTCAAGAGATCCTCCCACCTCAACCTCCCAAGTAACTGGCACCACAGGCATGTGCCACGCATGGCTAATTCTTAATTTTTTTTTGTTGAAACAGGGTTTCACTGTGTTGCCCAGGCTGGTCTTGAATTCTGGCCTCAAGTGATTTGGGAGGTCTTGGCCTCCCAAAGTGCTGGGATTACAGGCGTCAGACACCATGCCTGGCCCTATTTGTGTCTTTTAAAATTTCTTTCAGCATGTTTTATAGTGTTCAGTGTACAAGTCTTTCTTGCTGCTTGGTTAAATTTATTCCTATTTAATTCTTTTTGATGCTATTATAAATGGGATTTTTTTCTTAATTTCCTTTTCTGATTGTCCACTGTTTATGGAAATGCAGCTGACTTTTGTGTGTTGACTTTGTATCCTGCAACTTTGCTGAATTTATTTATTAGTTTGAACAGTTTTTTTCTTGTGGAATCTTCAGGGTTATCTACATATAAGATCATGTCATCCATGAGATAATTTTAGCTTCTTTCTTACCAACCAGGGTATCTTTTCTTTGGTTTTCTTGCTTAATTGCTCTGGCTAGAACTTCCAGTACTACGTCGAATTGAAGTGGTGAATGTAGGTATCCTTGCCTTGTTCCTGATCTTAGAGGATAAGCTTCCAGTCATTCACCATTGAGTATGCTGTCAGCTGTTATCCTAGATGGCCTGTATTGTGTTGCAGTAGTTTCCCTCTATTCCTAGGTGGTTGAGTGTTTTGATCGTGAAAGGGTGTTGAATGTGTGCATGTATTGCATGGTAGCTGGCTGTTGGGGTTTGCTTGGATTTGGGTCTGATCTCTGTGGTAAGAATACTTGATGCGTATTCTCTCATCAGGAGGCATATTATGTCGAGTTCTCTCCCTTTGGGGAATTAGCAGCTATTAAGGCTGTTACTTCCCACTTAGATCCATTATTTCACTGGAAGTTACAAAATAGAGATATTCCAATTCAATGATTTCTTCTTTGTTTGGCAGCTGGAATACTTCTATAAAAGGCAACTTCCCTGTGATGGTGGTTATGCGAATCTACACGATATAAAATTGCGTAGAACTAAACACACACACACACGAGTGCCTGTAAAACTAATGAAGTTGGAACAAGATCTGTGGACTGTGGCAATGCCAGTTTCTTGGTTGTGAAACTATTCTGTAGTTGTGCAAGATGTTACCACTGAGGGTAACGGGGGGAAGGGTACATGGGACCTTTCTGTACTATCTTTTTTGCAACTTCTTGTGAATCTGTGATTTTTTTTTCTTGAGACAGGGTCTCATTCTATCACCCAGGCTACAGTGCAGTGGCACGATCACAGCTCACTTTAGCCTTGACCTCCTGGGTTCAGCCTTCTGAGTAACTGGGACCACAGGTGTACACCAACATGCTGGCTAGTTTTTTTTAATTATATATAGAGAGACAGGGTCTCCCTATGTTGCCCAGGCTGGTCTCAAACTCCTGGGCTCAAGCAGTCTTCCCACCTTGGCCTTCCAAAGTGTTGGGATTACAGGTGTGAGCCACCACACCTGGCCTTACTCTTCTGTTTTTTTCCCCAACCTTTAAAAAATGTTAAAACCATTTTTAGCTCTTAGGTAGTACAGACACAGGAGGCGGGCTGGATTTGGGCCACAGGCAGTAATTTGCCAATCTTTGCCCCAGGGCTAGAAGAGGAATCGTGGGTGGAAGGGCCACAGGCCTCTCCGTGGTGACTGCATCAGTTTGGACCCTCACCTGTTTCCCTAGGGGCCTTCAAGTCACTCCATCTAATGCACTGCTCCTCTAGTTCTGGTCAAAGAACATGTGTGTTCCTTATTATTGACTTAATAAATATTCTTTATGAGAGAAATAGAAAGTATATGCAAACAGCAAGATTTTAAAAGTTACCTATAATCGGCCAGATGCGGTGGCTCATGCTTATAATCCCAGCACTTTAGGAGGCTGAGGTAGGTGGATCACTTGAGGTCAGGAGTTTAAGACCAGCCTGAACAACATGGTGAAACCCCGTCTCTACTGAAAATACAAAATTAGCCAGGCGTGGTGGCAGGGGCCTGTAGTCCCAGCTACTTGGGAGGCTGAGGCAGGAGAATCTCTTGAACCTGGGAGATGGAGGTTGCAGTGAGCGAAGATCGTGCCACTGCACTCTAGCCTGGGCAACAAGAGCAAAACTCCATCTCAAAAAAAAAAAAAAATTTACCTATAATCCTTCCACTTGGAGAGAACCAAAGTTAAGTTAAAACTCTATGTCTATCCTTTAAGATTTTTTTCCTGTATACACATACTGCTAATTTAATTTATAGAGCCACATCTATTGATATGGTTCTGAAATCTGCTTTTCTCAGTTCATGAAGTTATAACAGCATTATTTCTGTTGTAACAAAATACCCAACCAGAAATGGCAGATACAGAACATGTATTGCCCCATGTCATGAGATCCAGAGGGAGGTCAGTTCCAGGACTGGTTAATTAACTGCTCCAGCAGTGTCCTTGACAACATACAAGCCTTCTGTCTTTCTGCTCTGCCATCCTCAGCATGGTGGCAAGGTGTTCCCTCCTGGTCTCCAAATGGCTGCAGCAGGTGGAGGCATTACATCCTCAAGTAATGGGAGGCAAAGGTCAGACAATGGGAAGAGAACATGTCCCTTCCTTGAGTGTCTTTTTGAGAGTAAGGAAAGTTTTAGAAATTCCTCAAAAGATTGCTTCAGGCCAGGCGCGGTGGCTCACACCTGTAATCCCAGCACTTTGGGAGGCCGAGGTGGGCGGATCACCTGGGGTCAGGAGTTCGAGACCAGCCTGGCCAACAGGGCAAAACCCCATCACTACTAAAAATACAAAAATTAGCTGGGCATGGTGACGGGCACCTGTAATCCCAGCTACTCAGGAGGCTGAGACAGGAGAATCGCTTGAACCCACGAGGCGAAGATTGCAGTGGCCGTGAGCTGAGATGGTGCCACTGCACTCCAGCCTGGGCGACAGAGCGAGACTTCGTTTTTTTTTGTTTTGTTTTGTTTTGTTTTGTTTTTTTTAATCGCTTCATTCTCCTGCCAAATAAGGTCACAGACCCATTCCTCAGCCAATCTCAGACAAGTAGAGGGAATGACCAGGAACAACCTGAACCGAGAACTGGCTCTGTTTCCCCTTGAAGCATACAGTCACCCATTACACGAACCACATGGGTTCTCTTAGCAAAGACAACAGGGCTCGGGGAAGAAGTGGTGGTTGAAAGGAACCACCAGGTCTTCCATATTAGGGATGAATGGGTGCGCGCTGGAGTGCCAGTATGTGTATTTGTATAAAAGGATGTACTAAAATTTCTACTTTCGTTTTTAGTCATTTTAAAATCTCAAACAGCATTTAAGGAGAGGGTGAAATGTTTCTCTCTCCCTAAAGGTGGTAAAATGCTGGTCTGATAACATTCTAAACATTTTTCCACATCCTTAGAATCTTGAGCTGTTGGTAAATATTCTATCATCATTTATCTCACCAGTCCCTCATTCATGGACAAGGAAGTTGTTTTCCATTTATCCTCATTCAGATATTGCCGGGATGACCATTCTTGGAGTGCGGTTTTCATGCACTTTCCTTTTGCCCCATGAGTGGAACTGCTGGGCCGTTTTCAGGCTTTGGAGAGCTGTCACCACAGTGTCCTCTGGAGAGTGTGAGCCAGCTGCCCTCCCACCAGCAGATAGGAGCGTATGGCTCATCTTCGCCACAAAATGAACCAACTACATTTTTGTGCCCTTTTTTTTCTGTAAGCAAAGACTTATTTTCTTCCCCATTTACATCAGGGTATTAGCTGGCAGCTGCCTGTATGCGCAGAGGTTCCTTCTGTCCCCAGCACCAGACTGGTCCCAACTGATGCTAAGACCCCCCAGGTCTGCCAGGCGGCCTCCCCAGGCAGGGGGAGTGTGGCTGATGCCTGCCTGCTCTCCTGCAGGTCCATAAATATTCACAAAGAGGACCCTCATTTACGGGGCACTTACTGTCACCCAGGGCCTTGAGATGACTGTACTGGCCCCTGGCCCCTGACCCCCACTGCCCTTCATGTCTCACATCTTCTCTGGCTAGAGCCAGAGGGCTGTGTTGTCCCTTGCTTGGGGTGGGGGGGTTGCCTCCAAGAGGCAGTGGGGCCCCGCTCCAGGCCAGCTTCATTCCCCTAGTGCCCTGTGGAATAATAAGCGGGGGTTACAGGACCCTCAACTTTGTGTGTGACCCTCCAACCCCCCGCCAGCTTTCTAGCCTCTAAGGAAAATATTTCTTGCCTCGATTGCTCCCCTCTACCCTGAGAGCTTTTTTTAGGAGTTGAGAAGGTTGAAATACAAATGAAACATACCCTGTTCCGTGGGAACGAGGTGCCCACTCAGGACCACCCCCCACCTTTGCTGCCAGCACTCCGTTCCGTCCCAGCTGACACTCTGCTCAGCACAGCGCAGCTCCACTTCCCAGCCGCCCTCGCAGGCAGGGCTGGCCTGGAAAATTCTGCTGTTAGCCAGAGTCCTTATCACTCTCGTGGTGCCTCCCTGACACTGAGGCCAAGTGTCAGCTACCACTTCTCATCACACTTGCAGTTTTTATTATGGTGGAGAAATATTTCTCTGAATCTGGGTTTCCACCAAAAGCGGGCCACGGGGAGCCCACTGTGGCCTCGGGAGTCTCCCCTGGGGTGGGCTGAAGCACAGTGTGGGAAGGAACCAGGAAACTCAGCTCTTGCCCCCTGGCTGGGGCCAGGACAGCTTCTCCTGACTGGTTTCATTTTACATCACATGCATTTTTGGTTCGTGCCTGTTACCTTCAGCAGCTTGGATGCCTTTGGAAGTACGTGGGGGTATAGATGAACTCACGACCCTTCTTGCCCCACATGCCACCACTTCTGATCAGAGGCTATGGATGCCCCCGCTCCTGCGGCAGGGCAGGTTCAGTGACAGAATTTCCCCATTTCACCATCAGGCAAAGGCCTGTGGGGGACTGATCTGTAAGCCCCGAGCAGGAGGTCAGGCGGCCCTGCAGCCTGGGCGAACAGCCAGCGAACCCAGGGAGGAAGGGCTCCCAGCATCGTGAGGAGAAGCTGAGCCTGGCTGGGGGCTGAGCTTCACATGCTCCTCACTGAGGGCCAAAGGTAGGAACCAGACGCAGGCCAGCCTGACCCAGCCCTGCTCCTAAGCACTGTACTTCCTGGTGACATGGCTGCCACCGGCCCAGGGGCTGGGTAGCTGTGTGCCACAGAGCCCAGTCTAGGAGGTGTGACCTGTGCATCTGCAAAGCCACCTGAACATGAACACAGACACTGGCTCCAATTCAGCAGCATACACTTTATTTCTAAATAGGCATCCAGTGACACGACTGTTCATACATCTATTCCTGACTCCCTTAAAGAGTCCAACGAGATGACGCAGGGGCTCCTGCATGGCAGCCACAGGTCCCCCATCTCTGACCCGCCTTCCCCTCCCAGCCCAAAGCCCCACCAAGAAGAGCAGCACATCACTGCTCAGGAAACAGGGGCCTAACAGGGGCCTCTTGCAGCTCACTTGGGGGAGAAAAATGAGTAAGTCTGGCCTTCATAATGCTTCTTAAAACAAAAACCCAGCACTCGTCATTTTTACAAAGGAAATGATGAAAAGGAATGTAAGATTCACATCCATCTTGAGGACAATTCAAGCTTCGTCATTTTGAGGACGATTCAAGATTTGCAGATCCTTACTTGGAGAAACCGTCAAAGCCTTTGGTGTAAGCCAGGCCATGCCCACCATGCAGGTGGAAGCAGGGAGGCCTCCCCATCCCAGCCTGAGGCTCTGGTTCCGCAGGGCTGGCAGCTGACTTTTGACCACGGATGCACATCTTCCCATCCAATCACAGGCCCACTGCTCACCAGCACTTCGCGCTCACTCCGAAGCCAGTGAAGCCCCCGCAGAGCAGCCGGGGAGACCAACTCAAGGGCACCAGAGGCCACAGCAAGAAAATAGCTCGGGAGAGGGGGATGGGATGGGGCAGGGGGTGTGTGTTAGTCTTCCTCCTTCTGTTACATGCCTGGTAACAGTGAAGCCCCTCAATGTCTAACTGTTGGACAACTGTTTGGGAAACGGCAGGAGACTAAATGGAAGGGGGCTGGCTCTTTATTCTCGAGGCCTTTATCTTGACTGTGAGATGGAGGGCGTGAAATGGAGGGCGTTAGACAGAGGACCCGGGGCTGTGGAGATGCCTTCCCGAGGACTCTGCTTCATGACTCCGCATCAGGAAGCTCAGGGTTTCCTACCCGCCCCCAGCAAGGGCAGCAAACACTGGCTCTCACTCGGCAGGGAATGCGGGGGGTGGAGGGGGGCCTTTTCTCTTCTGCATGTGAAATCCTTGTCAGTGGCAGCAAACGGCCACTGAGCTTCTCCCCACACAGGAATCAGGCAGCAGTTCCAGCCCTGAGCCACCCCAGGCCACACCCACACCCCAGCCTGCCCCATCCTCAGCAGAAGTGGCCTGGCCTCGGCTACCCTGCTGAGGACTCTCCAAGCATGTGCGCCCTGCGGGAACACGGACCTGAGACTTCATGAGGCCAAGCCCTGCCGATGGCACCTTTGCCAAAGGTTTTAAGAAGGGTCCCCAGTCACCCATCTTTCAGCATTCCATGGCACACAAAGGAATCCTGTGGGCTAACCTGGGCGACTCTGGCGCTCAGGCCTACCCCTTGGCCTCATGCCAGCCAGCCCAGCCCAGCTCACCCACTGTGAAGAGGGGTGGCTGGCTTAGGGTAGGGGCCGAGAGGGCTTCAGTTCTGCCTCTGGACAGTGTGTCTGACCTCCAGATGATGGAACTGAGCCACCCTTAGCCTGGCCCTGGCCCATCCCCCTGCACACTTATCTCGGGGACCTAGAAGCCAGCCCTTTTCCCTGCGAGACCCCACACAAGCCACGGGGTGGTTGTTCCGAGGGGTCATAACAACTACAGGCTGCAGAAAGCATGGGATTCATTCCAAGAACTCGTTCCACACAGCAGTGCCTGTGGTGGAGGGGCTGCTGGCTAAAGGGCTGGTTTCCTCCAGCGCTCCCTGGCTCCAGCCTTCACTCATCCTGAAGTATTCCTCCTACACGCCACAGTTCTCCTGTACCATGGCCTAGACCCAGAAGAAAATAAATACACACGCAGGAAGATATAGTTAAGCTGCGTATTTTTATATCTTCTATGCATTCACTGCCCCAAATAGAATTATTGGGTGTGCTAAAGGTAGACAGCAGCAATTTGTTATTCTCAGGCAAAAAAAACTGACCCAGAAAAACAGACTTCTATGGCCTTTTGTTACCAAGGTGAGCCAAGATTGCCAAGGAACACGGGGTGCCCTCATCTCTTGGGGGCACTCTCCCAGGCTGCTGACCTCACCTGGCCGACAGGGGGCAGAAGAGGCTCAGAGGAGATCGAGGCAGGTGCTGGTACCTCCTGGGAACGGTCCCGCCACCCCCTTTGCCCCCAACAAATCCTGGGGCCCCTCCACCAAGCCCCACATGCTCTTCCGCCACAGCATCGTTTTCAAGTCTCAGCTCAAAGTGTGAGGCCAGGTGTGACCTGGCTGGGGCTATCACACCTGGTGACGAGGGGGCAGACGGAAATGGGATCTGACTCTTTTCATTGCTTTATCTGTGAATTTAAGATTAGGAAAGAAAGAAATCCTGGCAAACTGAGTTTGCAAAACAACTTACATCTGGGAGATGGGACCCTAAACTTCAGGGGAGAGTGAGTTCTGGCAGGGGTGCGAGAACAATCTGGTCTCAGATCCCTGCCCGCACTCGCCCAGGGGCAGGCAAAGGTCCCTACCCTCTGACTTCCTCTCTTCTCCACTAAAAGGAAATGGTGGAAACCAAAATTAAGCAAGGCAATGGCTCAAATTATGGGGTTGAGAAATTAAAAAAGATCATATTTTAGCTCTATCAAGTACACATTTACTTTTCATGCAAAAAGTAAACAGTGTGCTTCCTGCTTGGCTGGCCTGCTCTGACTTCAGGGTCAAGGCGAGGTGGTAGGATCGGGCCTGGCCTCTCATTCCTGGCACAGAGGAACCTGGAAGGTCCTGAGGTCAGTCCCTCCTGACATCTGGAGCCACACTGCCTGAGGTGGAAGAGATGGAGATGTGCTTGCTCTAGCCCAGGGTCCATGCTGGCCCATGTGGGCCCACTGTGTCCCCAGAGAAGCAGGAATGCACATGATCAGCCCAGGGTCCATGCTGGCCCATGCAGGCCACTGTGTCCCTTGAGAAGCAGGAATGCTTCTTAATGATGAATTAAACCACCCCAGGGTGCCAGGTTCCAAGGCTCCCTGGGACCCAGAACCACATACGGAAGTTGGCAATGGCTCTTTGATGAGCTGAGCAGTTTGAGGCTCGTCAAAGGGGAGATGAGGAGAGGATGGGAGTCATTCCATCTGGACATGACTGGCAGCTCCTCACCCTGAGATGGCTGAGGGGGCCAGGCCCCTGGGACAGGGCTGGGGTGTGTGTGCGTGGAGCGTGTGCTCCAGGATGCTGGGGCCCCAGGTCAGAGTAGAGGAGGGAGCACTGGGTGCTGCTGCTCTGGCCCCTGCCCCAGTGCTTTGGGGACCCTAGCATGGGTGACGAATGGGATCCAACGTGGTAGGGAACTGGGAGAGGGGAAAGAGGATGGAACCCTGACTAGCAGCGAAGATGGCAGCAGTGAGCAGACACTGCAGGGCCTCAGCACAGTGGCCTCCGATTAGACAAAAGAACAACTGAGTACGGGAATGGTGGGGAGGGAGATCAGATGGCAGGAGGCGACTAGAGGCTCTCAGCACTTTGCTGTAAAATGCAAATCAAGACAGCAGTTGTGGGCCGGCAGAAACCCTGTGCCTCTAGCTTTTCCCTCTAGAGGGCGCTCTGACCCCGCAAGATAAAAGCCTAGAGTTGCAGCTTGCAGGGGGCTCTAAAGAAGATACCAGAAGGTACCAGTGTAAACATTCAGAACATGCCCAGAGAAGGGCAGCAGCCGTCTGCTACCCAGGGAGATAGACTGCGAAGTGCCAATCAGGTAAAGGACAAAAGGTCACTCCGTTTCTCTCTGAGGGAGCACAGGAAGTATCACAAAAGGCAGCGGGAGGTTTTCAGGATTTCTGGGCCCTGCCACTTAGGTCAGAATTGTGGCTGCAGAGGCATCTTGATGACTCAAAGGCAGGTGGCTGACCCCTGGCTCTGCCAGTCCGGCGGGGGCAGCATGAAGGCAGTGGCTGGGGAATGGCACAACTGTAGATGGTGCTCCTCTAGGCAGGGGGCCGCAGGGGTCCTCCGGGTGGGGGGGTAGGCGCCCTAGCTTCACAGATGACTGGCACCTGGCCCCATGCTCCCTCCCCTCTGTGGGCTGAGGAGCCACACTGAGCGGAGGCTGGCTCAGGGAGGAGTCGGGAGATGACAGTTTCCCAAGAAGTCGCCTGGCTCCAGAGGCCTGTCAGGTTCTGGACTAAGGCGACTCTGCAGCCAGTACCTCGCCCCGCCCTCTTATGTCTTGAAGGGGCTGCTGGATGCACGCATCTCTGCGAGGCCCCTGCTGAGTGTCTGTGCGCAGCAAACGCCCATCCTGGGCCTGCCTGCCTGAAGCCTTGGCACCTGGCGTCAGAGCAGCTCCTGCTCGTCGTCCTCGGAGCCGGAGGGGCCCTGGCGTACCTCCTCGTACCACTTGTTGGTGAGAGTTTTCATCTGGATGCGCCCGTGGTGCAGGTCCTGGGTCGAGAGACACAACCAAGCCGTCAGGGCGTCAGGGGCAGGGCCATGGAAGGGAGGGGATGCTACTGGGTGTTTTGTGTGGGGTGTCTAGGGAGGAGGTGGGAGGCAGGGTGATGGCCACAGGCAACTTCAGTTTCAGTTGAACAAACTGAGCTGGGATTGTTCTTTGTGGGGGTGGAGGTCACGGGAGGTGTCATTCAGAAAGGAGGAGGGAGCATGGCTTGAGGCTGAACATGTGGTCTCTGGAGTCAGACACAGTTAGCTCTGCTCCCAGTTATGCCCATATTGGCTGTGACCTTGCGGGGTTACTGCACCCCCTTAGGCCTCCATCTCCTCAGCTGTCAGGGACACAGCTGCATCCACTGCACAGGATGCTGGAGAAGGAAGCGGTCGTGGTCACAGTCACTGGAGCTGCCTGGCTCCTGGAAGAGCGCACACACCGGCAGCTCTCAGGCCTGCCGGAGAGTGGAAAATGGGCCTGCTCGGAAACAAAGCGGGCAGCAGCAGGAAGAGCCCCACCCCTACCCAAGGCCTCCAACTAAAGAGAGGCCAGCAGTGCCCCGAGGGACAGAACCAGAGCCCTGAGCTGGGGGCAGACTTGGGCCACAGCTTGAGGCCCTGGTATGTCTGAAATTCCTCAGCTCCGATTCAGTAGCTGATCAATACCCCGAGTCTATCATCCAGGAAAACCAAACTGTGTTAACAAATCTATTATTAACCTCGCACTAAATGTGGCAGCGAAGGAAAAACAGCAGATGCCGAGTTCCACAAGCACGTCCAGCCTCCAGATCGGGAGGCGGCGGCCTGGCGGGCCCACGTGAGCTTTCCTGCCTCCCCACTCTTCCTCCACCCCACCCTGGGCCACCGCAGGTCCTGAAGGAGGCAGGCAAGGGACCCCCAGAAAGTGTGGCCTGGCCGGTATCCCACCTCCTGCGTCAGCCTCCGAGTGAAGAAGGGGTTCAGGTACTTGGCGTCCAGCCACACGAAGCCCTTAAGGTCCTGCCGCCTGATGTAGTGGGCCTCGTACTCCTCCTCCGTGAGCTCCGACAGGTGCTCCGACTCCACAGTGTTGCCCTGAGCAGGGAGGAAAGGCGGCCCGACGGCCACCAGCTGGCACCATCGGGGGGCACCTCCTGGAAGCCCCCACACCACCCAGGCCGCCAGTGTCCCCAACCCTAACTCCACTTGACCATCAATGCAGGGTGACGGGCAGCAGACGGCCTCCTGGGAGCCTGCAGGGAGGCAGGAACGTCCATCAGGGCACAATGGATGCCCAGGACCCCACCTAGGACAGCTAAAACAGAAGGACTGGGCCAGGCTGGGGCTTGGTCTTTAAGCTTTTCAAGCTTTTGGGTGATTCTATCATGCAACCAGGACCAGAACTGCTGTTCTGGGCTTTTCATTAGCAGCAAATCGCACAGGGAGGCTTTTTGTCTCTTTGCCTGTGGCTCTATTAGCTAGGACTCCACCGTGGACAGGCTTTTGCCAATCAAGTCAAGAGAGGAGAGGGGAGAGGAACACATCCTGTAGGAATTGGGGAGGGACGAAGAAAAGGACCCCATGTGGAGGGGAGAGACGGAGGTAAAGAGGCGGGACTCGGGTCATAGGTAGGAGCAAAGCAGACAGGCTCTGAGTGCAGCGCCTGCTCTGCTGGAGGAGTCTCAGTGGGGCCACAGTGAAGTGTGCTCTGCAGCTTCACTGCAGGTGGTGGGGAGGGGGACGGGGCAGGTGCAGGGAGGGCAGAGGATGGCCGGGGAGGGGAGGGCATTTAGATGCTGTGAAGCAGTGGTTGTCAAACACTGGTCTGTATTAGAATCTACCTGGGGGGCCTGTGAAACCACAAAATACTGAGCCCACCGCAGCCACCTGCAGAGGTGCTAATTCAGTAGGTCTGAATGGGCTTGGGAATCTGCAGATCTAACAGGTTTCCAGTGATGCTGCTAGTCTGGGGAGCCCATTTTGAGGACTGCTGATCAGCGTGGTAGTAAAGAGGACAGGCTCGGGAGTCTGTGCCCACAGCTGTCTGATTCTCTTGGTGCCTCGGCATTCTCATCTGCAAAGTGGGTATAATGAAAGCGCCAGTTTCTGGCAGGCTATGGGGACAATCTGAGATCATCCAAGGAAAACGCAAGCACACTGACTGCCACAGAAAACATTCCAGAAACTCAGCGGTTCATCCTCAGAGGAGCTGTCCTGTTTCTGCTAGTGCTGTGCTTCGCCAAGCGTGTTCACAGGATCAGCTGCAGCAGCACCACCTGGCAACTTGTTAGAAACGCAAATTCTTAGCCTGGACCACATGGTGAGACCCCATCTCTACTAAAAATAAGAAAAAATTAACTGGGTGGGGTCACGCCTGTCTGGAGTCCCAACTACTCCAGAGGCTGAGGTGGGAGGATCGCTTGAGCCCAAGAGGTCTGGGCTGCAGTGGGCCACGATCACGCCACTGCACTTCAGCCTGTGCAATAGAGTGAGACCCTGTCTCAAAAATAAATAAGAAGAAACACAAATTCTTTCGGACCCCATACCATACCTATGAGATGCTGGTGTGAGACCCAGCAGCCTGTGTGTAGCAAGCCCCCCACCGATTCTGATACCCAGAAAGGCCTAAGCTAGAGCTTTTGTGAAAAACAAAAAAGTTGGTAGATAGGGGGTGGGGGCAAAGGGCCTCTTAGTGTGGTGGAAGTTCTGCAGAGCCAGGCCTCACAGCCATCTGGAAGTTTCCTCCCAGCAGCACTGCACTGGGTGAGGGGCCCAGCTGAGCATGGAGATTGGAGGCCATGGTCTTGCCAGCCCTGACTCCAGTGTTAGCCGTGGATGGCCACGTGAGGACTCCTGGGCCTCTGATGACTGATTAAAGTTACTGAGGCCTAGAATACGGGAACTAGAAAGAGATGCATGTCCAGAAATGCATGGTGATCAGCAGGGGATGCTCTGGGCTGGAGCCTACAGCAGCCTCTGCTTCGGTCAGAGGGCCTAGCTTTGCACAGGGGTCCTGAGGGTGAAGACAGGGCGGGAAGGCAGCCTGGTGGCAGGGGCGGTGGCTTGTAGGAAGAAGAGGTGGGCAGGCTGCAGAACCTCAGCTCTCCCTACAGCTGGGGCCTGGGTACCTCCAGCCCCACACCATGTCTGTCCTTGGGGGAGTACCCCTCTCACGGCCCTCACAGCCACCGCAAGACATCCTCCCCTCCTCAGGCCCCCAACAGGTGGTTTTTAGTAAAACCATACTGGGGAATGACAGGATTTTGAAACCCTCAAACCTGGGCCCTGACAGGTGTCTCAGCTGCTGGCAGGGCAGAGGCACTGCTGTGGTTGTGGCACAGGTCCAGACTCCTGTGGTGCCCCATGGAGCTTCAGAGAGGGAGCAGATGGGGTCGTCCACAGCCCCCATGGCTGCGGCAGGTCACAAGGCCACCAGACACCCCCACCCCAAGAGCCATGCTTCAGAACTCAAGTTCCGTCACCTCCTTCTCAGGGGGGATGACCGGGGGGTGTGTGTGTGTGTGTGTGTGTGTGTGTGTGTGTGTGTGTGTGTGTGTCGTGTGTGTGTGTGTCGTGTGTGTGTGTGTCGTGTGTGTGTGTGTGTCGTGTGTGTGTGTGTGTGTGTGTGTGTGTGTGTGTGTGTGTGTCGTGTGTGTGGAGGTGCTGGGCATCCTCAAAGCAAGAAAGCAAGGCTCATCTCCCCATTTCCTGACAGTGGGGACCACCAGCTGCGTAGCAGGCCAGCCCCCTGCCCCACCCCCACAGGCGCATGGTACTAACCATCTTCTCAGTCTTGCTGAGGTTGACGTCCTTCTTGTTCCTGCGGTGTGCCTTGGCGTCCTCGATGTCCATGAGGCGAATGAGGGGCATGGTGCTGCCGCCCAGCAGCAGGATGGTGAAGAGCACGATGACGATGGTGGTGGTGCCGATGAGCTGCCGCTTCTCCATGGGCTCCAGGTCCAGGTGTAGGCTCAGGGCATAGGGGATGGCTCCCCGCAGGCCTGGGTGACAGCAAACAGTGTGAGAGGACACAGTGAAGAGGCAGCAGCTTCATGGGCTGGCTTCCCTGGAAATCCAGCCGGCCCAGCACCACGACCAGCTGACTATTCTAATGGCCCTGCTGAAGAGTGTGTGCTCACCCTGTGAGGCTTTGGGGTGTAAAGAGCAGGTGGCAGAGATGGGACCACAGACTCACCTCCATTCCAACATTGGCAGATCAAATGAGATGGCCTGCCCCAGCTACAGAGCCCCAGATGCGGGTGCGGGAGGACTTAGCAAGCCTGATGCTCGTGTCTTGGAAACTGCAGGACAGCTGCTGTGGGCTGAGCCCTCCCTGTGTGTGCGCCAGGCCTGGGCAGGTGCTCAGTGTGCAGAGCATCACTGGATCTTCACAGGAATCCTCACCGAGCAGCGCTACTCTTGTCCACAACACACAGATGAGGGATGGAGGCCAAGAGCAGCATGGCCCGCCCAGGGCCACTCAACTAATACCCACAACAGCACAAGATGCAATGTGTCCAGTACCCCTCCTATCTCGAGATGCTGTCCCTGTGGAGGCCCCTGGTGGCACTGATGGGGCTGTGGGCTGCTTAGGTGGTAATGACAGGCTGGCTGGTCCTCTGTGACGCTACTAGGGCACAACTGAGGGGCATGGACTGAGCTGGAAAACAGCACATTCCTCTGTTAGAAGTTTCCTGGCTTCCTTGGTGCCATACGGAGGGGACAGGCAGTCCTAGCCCCACCCTTGGGGAGCTCCTAGAGCAGCTGGGAGGAGGCACAGCAAATAAGGGGTGTGAAATGCTACCTGGAAGAGATGGTGGGGGGAGGGGGGTGGGGGGTGGGGGGGGGCATGGTGCAGACAGCACCAGGACCTTCCCCAGACAGGAAAGCGGGGAGGCTCACATCACCATGGGGTAGGGCAGCCAGGCTGCTGCAGGCCAGACCCAGATGGGGAGACGGCAGGGCAAGAGCAAAGGGCACATAATACAGAGACATGGTGAGGACAAGGGACTCTCAGCCTCTCTAAACCTGTCACGGGCCAGAGGATTCAGTGACACGGGACATGTAATGTGCTTTAACAGGGTGTGTACCCAGCAAGTGCTTAGTACCGGCTAGCCAGGCCACCGGGCAATTCAAAGTAGGATTTCTTGGGCAAGGGGGATGCAAAGGCATAGGGATGACAGCATCCCCACGGCATCCAAACAGGCAGCTGGAAACAGGAGTACGGATCCCAGAGGGAGGTCTGGGTTCGCGGGAACAGCTTTGGGACTAGGTGGAAGTGAAGGCCAGTGGACGGGTGAGCGCACTCAGTGAAGTGCAGAACACGTGAACAGAAGTGGGGCTGGGGCCAAGTCCTGAAGAAGCCACTATTTGAGGGGTCAGCGAAGGGGGACGAGCCCAAGGAGACGTCAAAGGAGAGAAAGGAGGAGCATGGCCCAGAGGCCGGGGAAGAGAGTGAAGTGGTCCTCGCCAGAAGGTAGGGGCAGTGGGAAGGAGGTAGGCTAGGACGGGGGCGGACGCCTCCCCTCCAGGTCTGGCTGCGGGAGGTCACTGGTGACCTGCCAAGGCCAATTCCAGCCCCGTGGACAGGCGGTGAAGAAGTGGAGAAAATGAGCGAGCACGGCTCACTCGCAAGGGTCTGGCCATGGCAAAAGAGGTGCGGACACAGCTGCGGGGGACATGAGGAGGAACTCTGGCTGAAGTTGCTGGTGTTTTGTGGG
This sequence comes from Homo sapiens, assembly GCF_000001405.40. Taxonomy (NCBI): domain Eukaryota; kingdom Metazoa; phylum Chordata; class Mammalia; order Primates; family Hominidae; genus Homo; species Homo sapiens. The sequence continues at coordinate 49,882,126 of NC_000020.11, read as the reverse complement.
AAGGAGGAGAAGCTCTGATTGCTTAAATGATGATGGGAGGGGCCGGTAGCAGAGGCTTGTTCAGTGCCCCTCGTTGAGGATCCAGGAAAGCCTGGATGGAAACCCACAGAGCAAGAGCCCGGGGAGCCTGGGAGAGAACAGGAGCCGACAGCCCCCGCCATTTCAAATACACTCCAACCTTCCCCATAACGCTCTCTTATCCTCATGCCCCCCTTCCCAAATAGCCCACATCACTTCAAAAACCTCTGACACACTTCTGCAACCATTTACAAAGTAGTTTGCCTCACTGGCAAAAGAGATTAGGAAAAAAATGAGTTTTTCTCACCACATATAAATGTATATGTATATATACACATACGTACATATATATGAAACATATACATTTTTAAACATGGCCTTTTGAAAGAAGAGAAATCTGAGACAAACTTGCAGATATGCCTTTGGATAGAGAACATTATAGTGTGTTGCTATAACCCAACCCACACGGAAAATACTTTGATTATAATATTTAAGCAAGAAAGCATAAAGAACAGTATGTATTGCTCAAAAATAAATTTAAGGATGCCTATGGATCCAGTTCTTTAGAAGCAAAGATGTATGAAATCATTTCCGTCCTTTAAAAAGTGATTAAATAGCAACTGAAACATTCAAATTAAACTACTAGAACTTTGTGACTAAAAGGAAAAATATCCAAAACTAACATAAGGTATGAAACAGTTTCAACTTTCACCTTTTCTACCTTGAGACCATTATTACTTCAGCCTAGAAGACCCCCAGGGAGGCGCTGAAGCACGCCCAGCTGCATCCCGGACTGCACTATGGTGTTCAGAAGAGAGTGGCAGAAATCCCGGCTCTGCCTCCAGTGGTCACGTGACCCTGGGCATGTTGTTTGCCCTCTTCCAACCAAGCCTCACCCACTTCATAGCACCATGGTGAGGGGCACCATCTTGATTGCAGTGGGTGCCATTAAACGGGAGTATTGATTACTTGTGGTTTTGCCAAGGGCGCTAGCAGAGAACCACAGCTCTCCCTGTATGGGGCGTGCTTTTAACAGGTACTTCCCCACCCCATTTATCCAAGATTTGACTTACCACTAAACCACATGATGAACATCATCTTCGGTGTGATTTTATGATCCCGGAAGAAATTCAGGAGGTAGGAAAGAGGGAAAATGTTTACCGCTCTGCCAAATAGTACAAGCACCTGTTGATAGCAACAAACTAAGTCTTAGGTGAAAACATCTGGCTCTTCAAGCTGAAGCTTCTTGGATGAAGCTAATGCAGACTGTGTAACACATCCAGTACAAATGCAGTATTCCCCTCAGCCACAAAAGACACGAGCAACACCATGCTCGTCAGAGACCCAGCATGGGCGTGCTGCCACAGCTGCGGGATTCTATGCATCTAGGAAAGGATAAAGCTTTGTACGTTACCTTTCTTAGTAGCCAGAAAAGAGAGGACGGACGAGGTATCAGGAAGGGCTTTAGTAATGACAGCAGAACAAAACTGAATGCCAAGAGGCTGTACAGAAGTATTCACAGATTAGTTTAAGGGCAACCTGACTCCCAAGGTGCCCCTCCTTGGGACAGGGCTGCATTGATCATACCAGGACTAGGGGGACAGACAAGGTGTTTCTGCCTCTCCCTCAGGGAAAGGAGGGCAGCTATGAAGGACCTCCCATGCATGGAAACACTGCTCTCTGAGCAAGAGGAACGCAGAGGTAGGGACTATCAGGAGGCCACATGCCCCGGCTTAGCCTGCCAGCTGCTTGCTGTGGCTTTTGGTTCCTCTCCATCTCCAAAGGCATGTTAGTCTTGGCAAAGTACAGCTTTATGTAAAGTTTACATCTTTTTTTTTTTTTTTTGAGACAAAGTCTCACTCTGTCTCGCATGCTGGAGTGCAGTGGTGTGATTGTGGCTCAATGCAACCTCAACCTCCTGGGCTCCAGTGATCCTCCCACCTTAACCTCCCAAGTAGCTAGAACTACAGGTATGCACCACCATGCCTGGCTACTTTTTAAAATTTTTTAGTTAAAGATGAGGTCTTGCTATGTTGCCCAGGCTGGTCTCAAACTCCTGGTCTCAAGCAATCCTCCTGCCTTTGCCTCCCAAAGTGCTAGGATTACAGGTGTGAGCCACTGCACCCAGCCTAAAGTTTAAATCTTATCTAAGTGGATTCTTAGGACATTTATTACTTTACTTTCATTTTCTTCATCTTGGTTCTCACCATAACTACTTGAAAAGGATGATATAGACATGTACAGTACATTCTTTAGGCTTTAAGTTTATTCCTTTAACAAGCATGAATTTGAGAGTTTTTTTTTTTTTTGAGATGGAGTGCTGTGGCGTGATCTTGGCTCACTGCAACCTCTGCCTCCCGGGTTCAAGCAATTGTCCTGCCTCAGCCTCCCTAGTAGCTGGGATTACAGGCGTGTGCTACCATGCCCGGCTAATTTTTGTATTTTTAGTAGAGACGGGGTTTCGCCAAGTTGGCCAGGCTGGTCTCAAACTGCTGACCTCAAGTGATCCACCCGCCTCAGCCTCCCAAAGTGCTGGGATTATAGGCGTGAGCCACCATGCCTGGCCAAGAGTAAATGTTTCCAATCATCAAACATTTCTATGCCAGACAACATGCTAATCATTTTACATGCATTATCCTGCTAAATTTAAATCCTTGCAAAGGTCTTACAAAGTAGGTATTGTTGTCTCCAGTTTATAGACAAGGAAACTGAGGTATAGAGAGATGAAGTAATTGGTCCAAGTTGACAAGGCAGGAAGTAATGGATCCAAGTCTCAAATCTGGTTCAGACCCCAAAGCCCATGCTCTTGACCACTAAATTGAGTTTACAGGGCAGGAACTGTAACCCACCTGAATAGGCCATCTCCACTAGCTGCAGGGCCAGCCTGGGCCTAACTGCTTAGAGAAAACTGAGTTGTCACCCCAGGGCATCCTTTCATTTTCCTCCCAACCTGTGGCTGAAATAGTCACCTCCCTGTTTCACCCACTGAAATCCAATCTTCCATGCCTACACTTGTTTCAGGTTTGATCAAATGTGTCCCTTTTCCCCAGTGGCCACACTAAAGGCTATTATACTTTTTTTTTTTGAGATGGACTTTCGCTCTTTTTGCCCAGGCTGGGGTGCAAATGGCATGATCTCAGCTCACTGCACTGCAACCTCCGCCTCCCGGGTTCAAGCGATTCTCCTGCCTCAGCCTCCTGAGTAGCTGGAATTACAGGCGCATATCACCACGCCCGGCTAATTTTGTATTTTTAGTAGAGATGGGGTTTCACCATGTTTGCCAGGCTGGTCTCAAACTCCTGACCTCATGATCCGCCAGCCTCGGCCTCCCAAAGTGCTGAGATTACAGGTGTGAGCCACCGCGCCCAGCCTAGGCTATTATACTTTCTGTAAAGGACTTTTGCTGCTTCTCTCTTGCCCTGAAACCTGAGTTTGGAGGACAAATAACAGTGACCAAGAGCAATGAGCTCTTGCTGACTGAGAGATGGAAGTACCCAGGTTGCAGGAACAATATCTTATAAACAGACAAATAGACAAATATAAATAGACAAATTTGAAGAAAACTGCAGTAAGAAGTACATAATAAATTATCCAGAAAAAGCAGAAAAGAGAAAGAAATCCCAACTCTATGACCACTGTGAACATGTGGCTATATTTTCTTTACATATTTTCTTTTTTCTGTGCATAATATTTTTACATGGTTATGATCAATTACATATTCAATTTTGAAATCTGCTTTTACCTCCTCACACAAAAACTTACAAACCTGTACTTTTATTTAAAGACCATAATATTCAAGGCCATTAAAAATCTTAAAAAACAAGCAAAAGTCCTTTCTGGGGATATTTATTCACTTAATTCTACCCCTGCCCCCTTACTGTATGTTTGTGATTTTTTTTTTTTAACAAAAGAAACTTTAAACAAAAGAGTGTCTATGTAGCTGTTGACTTTGAACAGTTAACAGTTACATAAATGAATCCGGAACATGTGTTTATTGATCTACAAATAAGTAATTAAATTTAAAAAAAAAAAGGAAAATACTTACTATGCACCAGATGACAAAGGAAATTTCAAACTTGTGAGGAAAACTAAAAATGGACAGGCCAAGAAATGCAAACACACATGTTTCTGAAACAAACCAAAGAATGGATTATTCAACCCCAATGATTTCATTCCAATATGGTACTAAACTATTAAGCAAGCAAACATTCACAGTCAGAATCCAATACAACACTTTCCTTATTTTCTTGAAAATCCTGCAGCCAATATCTTGGTCAAACTTGTGCTTAAATTCTCTCATTCTTTTCTATTACATAAGCTACATGTCCCTGGTATTCAGAAATCTCTTAATGTAATGAGTCAACTGTCAAATACTTCTGCAAATAAACACGATCCCACCCAGGGAAGATGATAAACACAAGAATCTGTCAATCTGCTGAACACTGTCATTAGCAAGGGCCCCAACTGCGGCAAAGTGGCAAAAATTCAGAGCAAATGACTGCAGACGCCACATGACAAATGTGAAGGGGCCTCTGGTTAACTTCCACATGATTAGCTTAATATATTTAACACTGCCACAAGGTTTAGAACACAGCTCACACCCAGCAGGATTTGCAGAGTGAGACTCATTGCTAACTCCTGGCTCCACTCTGCGAGCCAAAAAGAGCCCAATATTTACTCTCTGTCACACAAACTTGTATATATTAAGAAAAAGCACCTTATAAATTTCTAACACTAGGCTCTCTGCTTAAACTGTGATGGCCCTCAGAACAGCATAATGACTAAAGAGATTAAAACTGTATATATATTTTTTTAGAGACAGAGTCTCACTCTGTCTCCCAAGCTGGAATGTAGTGGCACGATCTCGGCTCACTGCAACCTCCGCCTCCTGGGTTCAAGCAATTCTCCTGCCTCAGCCTCCCAAGCAGCTGGGATTACAGGCGCTCGCCACCACGCCCAGCTATTTTTTTTTTTTTTTTTTTCAGTAGAGACAGGGTTTCACTGTGTTGGCCAGGCTGGTCTCAAACTCCTGACCTTGTGATCCGCACACCTTGGCCCCCCTCAAAGTGCTGGGATTACAAGCATAAGCCACCGCGCCTGGCCTAAAACTGTATTTTAAAATAGTTGATCACAAACAGCAAGGCTGTTTTACATTCTAACAATGTTTTTCCTTTGAATGGTACCCAAGTTTAAAACAAGTCCACAAGCTGGAGAATTTACCCCCCCTTCTCTCTCTGAAATTTTTTTCTTATCTAATATTTGTGTGATCTTTCCAAATGAGCACATTTAGAAGACATTCAGATCTAGTGGATGCTTTTCCCTGGCAGCATCAACTCCAGGATCTGGATACATCACGGTATCCATTTGCTCTGAATTTCTGCCACTTTGCCACAGTTGGGACCCTTGCTAATGAAGGTGTTCAGTAAACAGGCAGAATTGTGTTTATCATCTTCCCTTGGCGGGATAATGTTTATTTGCAGAGAAATTTGACAGTTTTTCTGTCACATTTGACAAATTGTCAAAATTCGACAATTTTTCTAATGCCCAATCCTCTATGGATGGATATTTAGACTGTTTTTATTTCTGAGAGGTTCAACAAACACCCCAGTATGGGCTAAATTCCACAGGGTTGGACTGTTGGGCCAAAGAGCACGTGCCTTTTAAATTCAGACAGACGTGGCAAATGACTCTCCAGAAAAGATTCCAGTAGGCCTGTTTTCCACACGCCAAGGCCAGAAGTGGGTATTATCAAACTTAACATTTGCCAAACTGCTGGGTACAAAATAGAATCTTTTTGGATGGACGATTTGCTTTATGTGTCTTTAACTGGGAGGCTCAGGGTCAGAATCTGTAGCCTGGCTTTCTGAGAGAGGTGCTGTACAAATAATACCCTCTGGCCCAGGAATAAAGAGACCTGGCCTGCATACCCACTTCTTGGCCATGAGACCATGGGCAAGTCATGTGACTACTCCTCACCTGAGCCTCCTTATCTGCTGAAGTTTCTGCCTGGGTTGCCTTTGCCTCCTAGCACGCTAACAGTGTGGAAGTAGCAATTAAAAATGAGACAAGTGGCCGGGTGCGGTGGCTCATGCCTGTAATCCCAGCACTTTGGGAGGCCGAGGCAGGTGGATCACAAGGTCAGGAGATCGAGACCATCCTGGCTAACACGGTGAAACCCTGTCTCTACTAAAAATACAAAAAACAAAATTAGTCAGGCATGGTGGCGGGCACCTATAGTCCCAGCTACTCCGGAGGCTGAGGTAGGAGAATGGCATGAACCCGGGAGGCGGAGCTTGCAGTGAGCTGAGATCACGCCACTGCACCCCAGCCTGGGCGACACAGCAAGACTCCATCTCAAAAAAAAAAAGAGACAAGTCCCTCAAAATGCCAGGGGTGATTTTGATGACAGCTAGGGCAAAGTCACTTGGGGGCCAGCTTAAAGGGACATGGTGAGAGCTGTTCCCCGACTCCAACCACTTCCAAGTATAAAGTTGGTGGGGAGATACATGGGTATGTCGGAGCGTGGGGGAACAAGAACTTGAACAAACTGCTTAAAGACAAAGCCATCGTGGTTTATCCCAGCCCAACAAATGACACCTCTACTGCGAACTGTCCCCGAGTGATGTCCCTCAGGCTGCTCTTGTGAATAAAGGATTCTGTGGACAAGTTTGGAAAATTCTATAACTATATCCCCCGTTAAGGATTTGACAATCCATTATTTGCTGAAAAGTCTGGCAATTCATAAATGTTAAACTTTATTTAACCAGGATTTCCTAAACTCTTGTTTGACTACAAAAGCTTTGTTTTTCTTTCTTTCTTTTTTTTTTTTTTTTTAAGATCATAGCCCACTGCAGCCTTGAACTCCTGGGCTCAAGTGATCCTCTCAGTCTCCCAAGCAGCTGGGATTACAGGTGTGAGCCCCATGCCTTGCTTGACTATGGAGCCATTTTCACCAAACCATCATTAATATTTTATTTCCAAGGAATACATTTTTGGAAATGTCACATTAATACATTAAAAATGCATGTATCAAATGTTCATAATTGGTTCTCACTATTTTTGGTCTTTAAATTGTAGGCGCCAGATGTTCATTTATTAGGTGTTTGGTTTACTTTATGAAATTTCAAAGCCAGAGGAACAAACAAAAGATAAGGGAGTGAGGGATCTGGCTCTGAGGAGCTGCTGCCCTGCTGCCAGGGAAAGTCTCAACTGACTTCTCAAACAGGATAAGGAAGCAAGATCAGCTCTGGGTGGGCCTGCTCACGGCCACACAGAAGCAGAACTCACCACATAAGAAGGCCACGGTGCGGAGGGTCTGCTGCATGAGGATCTGGGTGACTGGGGAGAGGTTATGGTGCGTGTAGTGGGACATCACGATGCCTGAGAAAAGGATGGCCATGATGCCTAGAGAGGGAGAGAACAGAACAGAAAGCACTGCCGTGTGATCCCCAACTCAGATCTCACAATGCCTGCAAGGCCCTGGGGCCTAGAGCATTAGAGGGTTTAAGAAAAAGGAAAATAAATGAATTCCTGAAGCCTCCCAGAGGCTTCAGAAAAAATACTATGGGTCCCTTCGCTCTGGCAGCCTCATTACTAGCTGGGTGACCTTGAGCCACATTACATCCCCCATCAGAGCCTCAGTTTCCGCTTCTGTACAGTGGGACTAATAGTAGCCACTCACAGAACTGTTAGGAGGGTGAGTGAAAATAAGCCATGTAAAGTCCCCTTCACAGCACCAAAGATAAAAAGGTGTGGACCATCACTGACATCCAGGGATAGGGTTGGCAGATGTGGAACCTGTGGCTATTGAGGGCCCACTGCACTACCCCCCCACCCTTTTTTTTGGGGGGGGGACAGAGTTTTGCTCTTGTCACCCAGGCTGGAGTGCAATAGTGCGTGCGATCTTGGCTCACTGCAACCTCTGCCTCCCAGGTTTATGTGATCCTCCTGCCTCGGCCTCCTGAGTAGCTGGGACTACTACAGGCACGCATCACCATGCCTGGCTAATTTTTTGTATTTTTAGTAGAGAAGAGGTTTCACCATGTTGGCCAGGCTGGTCTCAAACTCCTGACCTCGGGTGATCTGCCCACCTCGGCCTCCCAAAGTGCTGGGATTACAGGTGTGAGCCACTGCACCTGGCCAACTGCACCGTTTGTATAAGGAACTTGAGCACCTATGAATTTTCTATACGTGGGGAGTCCTACAGCTGATCCTCCACAGATGCTGAGGGATGACTATATAAGGGTGGCAAGCAAACCACTCTGGGGGGCAGAAAGGAGCCTAAGAATCTGTGTATGGAGAATGTGTGGATTCTTTTTTTTTTTTTTTTTTTTTTTTGAGACGGAGTTTCAGTCTTTTTGCCCAGGCTGGAGTGCAATAGCGTGAAATCGACTCACTGCAACCTCCCCCTCCTGGGTTCAAGCAATTCTCCTGCTTCGGCCTCCCAAGTAGCTGGGATTACAAGTGTTCACCACCATGCCCAGCTCATTTTTGTATTTTTGGTAGAGACGAGGTTTCTCCATGTTAGTCAGGCTGGTCTCGAACTCCTGACTTCAGGATTGTGCCAATGTGCTGGGATTACAGGCGTAAGCCAACATGCCCGGCCTCTTTTTTTTTTTTTTTTTTTGGAGACAGGGTTTCGCGTTGTCGCCCAGGCTGGAGTGCAATGGCGTGGTATCAGCTCACTGCAACCTCCATCTCCTGGGCTCAAGCAATCCTCCCACCTCAGCCTCCCAAGTAGCTGGGACCACAGGCACATACCACCACGCCCAGCTAATTTTTGTATTTTTGTAGAGATGGGGTTTCACTATGTTGCCCAGGCTGGTCTCAAACCCCTGAGCTCAAGCAATCCAACCTGCCTCGGCCTCCCAAAGTGCTGGGATTATAAGTGTGAGCCACTGCACCCAGCTAAATGTGTGGATTTTGATGGACTTTTAAAATACTTTTCCTTAACTTTGAATTTTCCCATAATCATGAACTACTGTTATTTAAAAAGGTAATGCATCTTTTCTTCAGAGCCCTGCACGAGGGTGTGTACAACCTTCTGTGCTTACACAGGATTTGAGCCTCGACATTCGTCCGCTGCCCTCAGTCACTCCTGAGGAACTCACAGGTCTCTTCTCAGCATCTCCCTGCATAGGGAGCAGGAAAGGGGTCTCTATTTCATGTAAGGAAGCTGAGATTGTCTTAAAAAATCATCAAATAAGCTGCCAAGATATACTAATTCCAAGTCAAACTTTAAAAGCAAAGTTTTAATTCACTTCTGCCATTTTGTGGAAACAGTGACTATCTGGCAAACTTTCCACGTATAAAAGGGTGAAAATCGGCCGGGCGCGGTGGCTCATGCCTGTAATCCCAGCACTTTGGGAGGCCGAGGCGGGTGAATCACGAGGTCAGGAATTCAAGACCAGCCTGGTCAAGATGGTGAAACCCCGTCTCTACTAAAAATACAAAAAATTAGCTGGGCATGGTGGCACACGCCTGTAATCCCAGCTACTCTGGAGGCTGAGGCAGAGAACTGCTTAAACCTGGAGGGGTGGAGGATGCAGTGAGCCGAGATTGCGGCACTGCACTCCAGCCTGGGTGACAGAGCAAGACTCTGTCTCAAAAACAAACAAACAAACAAACAAAAAACTGTAAAAAAAAAAAAAAGGGTGAAAATCACAGCACTGTATTACAGACTTGTCAACTGCTAAGCTTACTGTAACACAATACCCTACAAAATATAGGAAACCTACTTTTTTGTATTGCCCCAGCAGGTATGGGCTGGCTGAGTGACAGCAGGAGCTGGACATTTGATCTCCTAACCCTCTTAGGAAACAGCAAATGCCTTTGCTCTTCAGTTTCCCCTACAGGGAGATTCCAGCCATGCTTCCTGTAAGACACACCTGACATGGTGGGCGAAGGAAAATGAGAGGGTAGGAGACTTCTTTACCTGCTCCTTTAGGGCTCTTTGAAGCTCAAGAGTGTTTTTGTTGTTGTTTTCCTTTGAGATGGAGTTTCACTCTTGTCACCCAGGCTGGAGTGCAATGGTGCCATCTCAGCTCAATGCAACCTCCGCCTCCCAGGTTCAAGCGATTCTCCTGTCTCAACCTCCCAAGCAGCTGGGATTAGAGGCGCAGTCTCGGCTCAGCCTGTCTACAAAGGCTGACAGTAGCCCTGTGGGACTGAGGATCTAACATGGACCAGTCTTCCTTCTGGTTTTCCTTACAGGAAATCTCCATCTTTAAGGATGGCAACAAATTCAAACATTTTGGATTTTTCTATATGGATAAGTAAGCCCTGTCTGGGGGCTGAGACTGGACCACAGCTGCCACCTGTGCACCTGACCCACTGTTGGCACTGGGCCATCTGGACAATCCCAGAGGGCTTTACCCTGGGCTAGTGTGGGGTCAGGGCACCTTGAGTTCTAGGCGAAAGGAAAGAGGGTCAGCAGCAGGCACAAAAGCCAGAGGGATGGCTCAAGTATCTGCCTCATATGCCCTCCAGAAGCAAAGGGGACTCTCCACCACCCACATCACCCTCATCTGCGGCCAGTGGAGCAGGCTACAGAAACACAAAAGCGGGGGTTGGTGCAAACCAGGATAACTTTTTTAAGTGAGGTAAAAGGCATGGTATTTGAAAAAATACGCTTAAGGAAGAATTTCCTTTAAGAATTAGGCAAAATCGTTTAAGAAAGCAAATGCAGCAAAAGCGTTCAGCCTCCTGAAGGAAGAATGGCAGAAAAGAAAGGGAGAGAGGAAATCCACTTCTGTTTATGGTTACATCCACTGTTCTAGATGTAATAAAGGAAGACAGTATGGGATTCAAGTCCAAAAGGCAGTGAAAAGGTATCATGGTACAATTTACACTGTACCGTGCCTTACTGTATGTAAAATATAACATACTTCTTGAGGGCTGAGTGAAACCGTAATGAGTACGCTGTGTTAATTACTCAATAATAAACATATTTTGCCATAAAACATTCAGACTCACTGAGGTACAGAGTAAAAGACAATCTATTCATACTGCCCGCTCAGACGTAACTACTCTTAACTACTATTAACACTTCAATATGCAGACTGCCAGTTCTTTTACCATGTGATTATAAAGTTTATCTTTAAAGTAATAGGCTTGGCATGGTGGCTCACACTTGTAATCCCAGGACTTTGGGAGGCCAAAGTGGGTGGATTGCTTGAGCCCAGGAGTTTGAGACCAGCCTGAACAACAGAGTGAGACTGGCTCTACAAAAAATACAAAACTAGTTGGGTGTGGTAGCACGTGCCTATAGTCCCAGCTACTCAGGAGGCTGAGGTGGAAGGATCACCTAAACCTGGGGAGGTCAAGGCTGCAGTGAGACGTGATTGTGCCACTGCACTCCAGCCTGGGTAACAGAGCATGATCCTGTCTCAAAAAATAAAATTAAAATAAAATAAAACTAAAGTAATAAACAGGATCCTATCACATATATGGTGCCTATTACCAGCAGAGTGATTTTTTTTCAAGGGCTTCCAACTCTCTTGTCGTGGTGCATATACTAGAAACCCAGCTCCTTCTCAGGCCTGCAGAACCTGTGAGGCAGCGTCCTGGCCACACTGGTCTTCCTTCTCTTCCTGGAGCATGCCACACTCCCGCACATCTATCTTCAGACCCCTGGCTCCTGCAGTTCCTGCTGCCAAAACCCTCCTTCCCTAGAGCGTCCCTGGGCTGGCTCCTCTCGCCACACAGGTCTGGGCTCCAGTGCCACCTCCAGGGGAGACCTCCCTGACTGCCTGAGATCCCATCCATTCTCTACCACATGCCACTCTCTGTCACATGGCTTTAATTTCTCTTCTTGTCATTTCTTGCCACCTGGAATTGTTGTATGGGTTTGCTTAAATTCTGGCTTTCTTCTGCAAGAAAAGGAAACTGATCTTGTGTTGTTTATAAATGTAGCCCCAACAGCAAGGATAGTTCTCAGCATAGGGTGGACATTTAATAAGTATTTCTTGAATGGGCGAGAGTTTGATTTTTCAACTTACTTTTAAAAAATTTAACAATATGTCAAATTCTTTCCATGGCAGTACAGACAGGTCAAGTTCATTTTTTAAGTAGCTGCACAGGATTCCATAGTGCAAATGGACTGGAATTTGATCTTTTCCATTACTGATGAACATATAGTTCCTTCCAGTTTTTCTCTCCCAAGCAGTGCTGCAATGGAATTCCTTAGATATCTGTGCAGAAGAGCACTGCACCATACATTCTATCTTTGGCCAACTTCATGCCAGTATCTTTTTATTTTTATTTTATTTTTTTTTTTGAGATGGAGTCTTGCTCTGTCGCCAGGCTAGAGTGCAGTGGCAGGATCTCGGCTCACTGCAACCTCTGCTTCCCTGGTTCAAGCAATTCTCCTGCCTCAGCCTGCCGAGTAGCTGGGACTACCAGCACGTGCCACCATGCCCAGATAATATTTTGTATTTTTAGTAGAGATGGGGTTTCACCATATTAGCCAGAATGGTTTTGATCTCTTGACCTCGTGATCCACCTGCCTTGGCCTCCCAAAGTGCTGGGATTATAGGTGTGAGCCACTGCGCCTGGCCCATGCCAACATCTTAAGAAAGTGTTATGTTGGCCGGGCGCGGTGGCTCACGCCTGTAATCCCAGCACTTTGGGAGGCCGAGGCGGACAGATCACGAGGTCAGGAGTTCAAGATCAGCCTGGCCAAGATGGTGAAACCCTGTCTCTACTAAAAATACAAAAAAAAAATTAGTCGGGCGTGGTGGTGGGCACCTGTAATCCCAGCTACTCGGAAGGCTGAGGCAGAGAATTGCTTGAACCTGGGAGGCAGAGGTCGCAGTGAGCCGAGATGGCACCACTGCACTCCAGACTGGGCTACAGAGCGAAACTCTGCCTCAAAAAGAAAGAAAGAAAGAAAGAAAGTGTTATCTCATGATTAATCTTGCAAACTCATCCTTCAAGCCCAAAGTCCCCTCCTCTGTGACTCACCTTGACAGAGTGTCACTCTCTCCCATCCCCTGCAAGCCCAGTGTTCGCTAACTGCTCTGCCTAAGTGGGGTCTATTCATCTTTGAATCTTTAGTGTCAGAGGCCAAAGTGGCCCTCAAAACTGGCTTGACTGAACAATAAAAATAGTTAACATGGATACAGTCAGAACAAATATTCTGAGAATAGCTAACGCTTGCTGAGTTATAATTAGGGAGACTGTTTGATTTGCTGTGGATACCAGGACATTTTTTAGAATAAACGGGGATATTATTAATTCATCATATTGAGACAGAGGGCAAACCAGGACTTCTGGCCACCCCAGCAGTGGCACAGATGCCCCATCAGGACTCTCACTTGCATCGCTCCCCACTCCTCAGCAAAGGCGTCAGGCTGGCCCTTTTGTCTATTTTATAATGAGGAAGTAGAGCATGGGGTGGTTAAGTCTGTAATCTGAGGTTACACAGCCAATAAGAGGTGGAGCTGGGATTCAAATCCAAGTCTGTCTGTTATCCAGCCCCAGTCCTTAGCAACTGTGTTCCCTACATGTGGATTTAGGTAAATAATTCCCACTTCCTAGGAAGAGAATGTCCTGCTCCATGGTCTTGGGAACCACTTGAGATCAGTCCTTTGTGATAGTCAGGAAAAGGGGAGCACACAAAGGAAGGTGAAGACAGCAGAAACCACCCTTTCCATCTGTGCTTTCACAGTGCAATGTGGGGCGTCCACACACCACACAGGGCCATCCTGCCCCTCTCTGAAAACCCTGCGTGACAAATACCCAAAAGGCAAAGTGCGGACAGAGCAGGTTCCCTCACCCAGAGGCAGATCTGGTGTTCCTGGCTTGCACTGCTGTGTGTGGAGCAAGGTCCCTAAGGAAATGAAACCCCTCTCAACAGGAAACACTGCCAGTCTGAAAAGAAGGTAAGAAAAACACTCCCTTATTTTAATCACAGATTCCAAACAGATGCATGAAACACATCTTTGCCAACAGGTACTCAATGATCTTCTCAAGGGGGTAGAGGAACAATTTAGAAAAACAGATGTAAAAATAGCTAGGCTAGAGCCGAATGACTCACAGGTAACGTTTTTGTAAGTGCCAACATTCAGTAAAGAAAGGGAACCTCATGGCAGACACCAGGATGGAATTACCCTGGTGAACTGGTCTGCGATGAAAAACAAAACCCTGAAAATGGTGAGTCCACTCTGCTTCCTCCTTGTGCTGCTCATGCAGCACCCAAGTGTGACTCCGGATAGCGACTGGGTAGAAAAGTTCTGTCAACTGAGTCACTAGAGACCACTGGGCCTTCAGCTTTGCGTCTGAAGAAATTACTGCTACACAGAACACTGTCCTGCTCTACATAACTAGAAAACCTGATACAAGATATGAAACAAAACTATTTTCTGACATGGGACAAAAGATAGGGTAGGACTGTGATTCCTGCCGGAAGGGAGACAAAGGTGGCCACTCTTTCCCTAGGCCCCCTGCTGAGCTGACTGCCTGAGGCTGAGGCTTTAAGAGGGCTGTCCTGTTGAGTCGGGGAAGCTGCACAGAAAGAGAGCTCTTGGACATCTACTGTAAAGTCCCCTTGAGTCTTTGACTGATACTGATCAGTAAATATGTCGGATGAAACAAGAAGCTGGGGAAAGAACCATTAAAAAGAAGTAGGCTGAACAATTCCAGAAGCTGACATGGGTGGGAATAGTTTGCGTTCCCACCAGCCAGAGTGGAGTGAGCTCACGGTACCTGAGACACCTTAGTTAGGGCCCTGCTACTCTGCACCAGCCCTAAAAAAGTTTAAATGTAAGCCTCAAGAAGGATTAAACTGATGTCAAGAGACTTAGATACGTGCCAGAAGAAAAGTCCAGAAATAACACACACACACAAAAAAAATTGTTTTTAAAAGAAAAGTCCAGAACTCCGTAAAGGAATACAATAAAATCTTGTGCTCAACAACATAAAACTTCACAATGACTGACATCCAATCAAAACTTAATAACAAGCAAAGAGCAAGAAAATGTGACCTATAAGCACAAGAAAAATCAACAACAAAACAGACCTACAGTTGACAGAGATGACGGAATTAGCAAACAAGGACATTAAAACAGCTATCAGAAATTTCTATGTTTCATATGCTCCAGAATATAGAAGAAAACATGAACATGATGAAGAGAGAAATGGAAGAAATGAAAATAACCTAAAGGGATCTGCTGTAGATGAATTATAAAATATGTAAATGAGAAATACGCTGGGTAGGATTAGCAGGAGATTCCACATGGCAGAAGATCAGTGACTTTGAAGATACGGCAACAGGAAATAACCAAAATTAAGCACATAGGGAAAAAAAGAAAAAAAGGCAAAGCATATTGTGGGCCAATAGCATGCTACCTCTCATAACTGGAGTAAACTGAAGTCTCAAGGGGAAGAGGAAGGCGGAACAAAAAAATATTGATAAAGAAATGGGCAAAAGCTTACCAAATTTGATGAAAGCTATAAACTCATATAAACTATAAACCCAAAAAACTCAATGAACCCAAGGCGAATATAAAAATAACCACACCAAAGCACATCTAAATGCAGTTGCTACACACCTATCAGGACAGCTAAACTTTTTTAAATTAAAATAAGTGTGGTGGCAATATGAAGCAACTGGCACTCTCTCATACATTCTGAGGAATGTAAAATGATACAGTCACTTCGAAAAACACTAGGCAGTTTCTAAAAAAGTAAAAATGTACTTACCATATGACCTAGCAGCCTTAATCCTAGGTATTTACCCAAGATAAATGAAAACACATGCACACTGTTCTTAGCCCAAATCTGGAAAACCCCAAATGCCCTTCAAATGATGAACAGACAAACTGTGGTGCAATAAGAACGATAAACTACTGCCACACGCAAAAACACGGATGTCTCTCAAAAACGTAACTGAAAGAGAGGAGACACAAAAGACTACGTACCACATGATTTCATTTAAACTACAATGACAGTGCAGGATCAGTGGGTGCCAGGGCTCAGGACAGGCAGGTGGACTGACTGCAGAAGGGCACAGGGGAGCCACACTGGGCGATAAGAATATGCCACACCTCGACTGTGGGGGTAGTTATGACTGTCCACATTTGCAAAAATTCATGGAACTATATACTTAGAACGGGTCCATGTATTGTGTGTAAATTATACCTCAACGAAGTTAATAAAAAAGAAAATCTCTGCCATCTTGTGGCACAGATCAAAACATCCCTGCAATAGTGCCTCCTTTCCAGAACAAGGCCTCTGAAGGGCCTTCACTCAAAGGATGGGATCAGACTTCCAGGGCAGAGCCCTTCCCAACTGGCTGCCCCCTCACACAGGAACAGGGGTGAGTCACGCTCCATTTTCAGGTCAACATCCTTACAACGTAACAAGCTGTGGACGCAAGCTTGACTGCCACTTGTAGGCAGAAAGCCCAACTAAGCCAAGCCTGATTGGGCTGCTGAGTGATTACCAGGTGACGGCTCCAAGATCATTACGCTGTGACTGGCCACCCCTCCTCCAGCTGGTGAGCATCATCTTCTAGGGCCGCATCAGAGTCGTCTCTGCTGCTGAGAGCTGTGTGCCCTCCTCCAATGGGGTGCAGGGAAAAGGCTCTGGGCCTCCACTGTCAATCTCACTACCACCACTGCTTGTGCAGTGCAGCTTTGGGCTAATGACAACCTCTTAGTACCTACTTCACAGGGCTGGTATCAGCATAAAAAAACTGAATACTGGTAAAGTGTGTCCAATAAACGCCCAACATTACGCCACCACCACACTTTGCTTGTCCCTCTATGTAGCACTGAGTACATGGTTTCATGATGATCTGTTTTGGAGGGAGTTGTATTAGAGGGTTCTAAGCACTAGTTCTTGACTCCAAGACAACTAGTTTGAATCGTTGTTCCACCAATCCCAGCTGTGACCTTGAGTAATTTACTTAATCTCACTCAACCTCAGTTTTCTCATCAGTAAAACAGGGACCTTCACAGTACCTCCCTCCTACAAGGCTACCCTCCTCTGAGGGAGCCTCACAGGACTGATGGGCTAAATGAGAGAAGGCGGGTTAAGAGAAAATGTGACCGTGACACCAATGTGACTGTTTGAGCCCCTGGATCCAGGCAGGCCTAAATCCAGATGTGTTTCTAGGGAACCAATAGATTTCCTTTATTACTTAAGCTCTTCTGAGTTGTGACTGTCTCTTGTGACTAAAAGTGACCCAACTGACAAAGCCTCTTTCCCCAGGCAGGACAAGATGCCATCACCACAGCACTTTCAGGCTCTCTGTCACTTACCTGAGAGTGAGATTCCTTCTGCAAGCCCATAAGGCAGATAAGCAAAAATGATCATCATGCCAAACTCCAAGGAAGGCGTTTTCCTCAAGTCAATATGCTTCAGCACGTAAATGACAACTGTCAAGGAAGGAGAATCGAGGGAGAGTTGATGGGAGATGTGGAGAAGTCACAAAACTGCTGCTTTCCAAATATATGAAGTAAACAACAGATATAGATTTTAGAATGTCCCAAGGTTACAAATGGAAATTTGTCATTATGGATTTTTTCCTTTGTAGGGAGACTGTTGCTATAAGAAAGGGAATCTGACAAAACACTAAGAAATGTAAATTCCGGAGATAAATGGTGGTGGAAGATGAAAATCAACCTAAGTCAACTCATTTAAAAACGCTGACTTAGAGGGCTGGGGATGTGCCGGGCCATGGCGCAAAGCTGGGGCTGCAGACACACCAAGGACAGCTCACTTGGCCAGGTTCCTCCCAGGGCCGGCATCACCCCCACTCCTCCAACAACATCGGATGAGATCACTAATGCTACCCATCTTGCTTTCCCCATCAGTTTTGAGTCAAAGACAACTAGTGAGAATCGCTGTTCAAACTGAGGTTCGAGGCCCTGTTGAAGCACAGTATTTCCTATTCCTGGAGATTTCCAAACTCATGCCCCTGTGAAAGGAGAGAGCCTTCTATATATTGAAACATCATTCACAATGCCTATACTGGAGCTCACAGTACCCATTTGCTCCACTTCATTTTGATAGATACTTTTTTTTTTTAAAGAAAAAGATAAATATAGAGGAAAATACTGAACTGGAAAAAATTTTCTTTTCCATTCTGTTTATTGGTACAATATGAGAAGCTGTCAGCCAACTCAATAGAGCCCTTAGACTTCTGGACAAAGGAGTTGATGGGAAAATTCAACAGGATGGCAGAAAAACATGCCTGTAACCAGGCAAAAGAGTCTCTTCCGGCCATCTGTGACACAAACTGCTCGTGGAGGCGGGCCAGGTGGCCATCTCCCTGAGACGTAGGCTTAGGTGCGCACCGAAGTGGTCTACTGCCTGTTACTATTTTAAACATAATGAAATTTCTACAGCAATAAAGGTGACATTGGCCTTAACAAGCCTCTTTCCATCTCCAGCTGGAAAAGCTTATTGGTTGTCAAACAACAAAATCAGTGCAAATAACTCAATGGAACACACTTTGAAAGCCCCTTTTGCAATCCTTCTGGATAAACACTTTCAGTGGGATAAAAATTTTCTCTATTTGGCATTTTATTTTTATTTATGTATTTTTTAGAGATGAGGTCTCACTATATTCCATTGCTAA
The DNA here is from genome assembly GCF_000001405.40 of Homo sapiens. Classification (NCBI taxonomy): domain Eukaryota; kingdom Metazoa; phylum Chordata; class Mammalia; order Primates; family Hominidae; genus Homo; species Homo sapiens. Next base: position 49,863,522 of record NC_000020.11, on the reverse strand, counting down.
GGCTGGTCTTGAACTCCTGGGCGAAAGCAATCCTCTGGCCTTAGCCTCTCAAAGTGCTGGGATTACAGGCATGAGCCACTGCACCTGGTCTATTTGACATTTTCAAAGAAAATTAATTTCCAGTTTTCCAAATGTGAAAAGTAAGATGGCAGAAAACGAAAATCATCGGAGTGTGGTTATCATACTCTGGGAACTGAGAGGTCCCCAAAATCACATCTGATATCCAACAGTGTACATGTTTTTTAAACTTTGAAAAGTGACATCCTAAATTTCACGTTAGATTAAAAAATCCTTGAGTTAGAGTGTTTCTCAAACAAAAACTAAGCAAAAAAATCCTCCTTTAAGCAAAATCTTCATCTAAAATTGGCCCCCTTAAAAAACAGGAGAAACTGGCTAGAGACAGAAGTTATCAGGAATAATTTTAACCCTGCATGTTCATCACATTAAAAGGATATTAATGCAGAAATTAAGCCAGTGAGAGTGCCGAGCGCTGCAGAGCCAAAGAACATTTTGAGGAAGTAGTCAAGGGCTTGTAAAAATGTTTGCCACCCACTGACATCTGACATATTTTTTCTTGTTAAACCTTCAGCTGTGCTAGGAAATGAAAGAAAACAGAAATAAATTAAAATGTTATATACACAAAGTTCTTAGAAATTAACTTAAAACATTTCTTGCTTATTCGCTCATTCATTCATTCATTCATACCATCATTCATTCAGTCAGCCAAACGTTTATTGTTCACCTACTTTGTCCCAGGTACTGTTATTTTCTGGGGTTCAGAGATGAGAGCAAAGCTGCTGCCCTTAAGGAGCTCCTCCCCTCAGGCTAATGAGGGAGAAAAACAAGATGAACACTAATGACAATCCGCGGGAGGGGTAGAGGGCTGTAGAAAAGCAGGGTGGGTAGGTAACTAACTCAGACTGGCCGGGCTCAAGGAAGGTGCTTGAGAAAATGTGGGCTGATGCCGGGCGTGGTGGCTCACACCTGTAATCCCAGCACTTTGGGAGGCCGAGGTGAGCAGATCACTTGAGGGCAGGAGTTCAGACCAGCCTGGCCAACATGGTGAAACCCCGTCTCTACTAAAAATACGAAAACTATCTGGGTGTGGTGGTGCACGCCTGTAATCCCAGCTACTCGGGAGGCTGAGGCAGGAGAATCGCTTGAACCCAGGAGGCAGAGGTTGCAGTGGGCCAAGATCGCACAACTACACTCCAGCCTGGGCAACAGAGCAAGACTCTGTCTCAAAAAAATAAAAAATAAAAAAGGCCGGGGGCTGGGTTTAGATTTGGGATAAAGACGACTTGCCCAGGTGAAGAAATGGGGGAAGGCACCCAGTGAGGGAACAGCATGTGCAAAGGAAGAGAGCCCATGCATATGCAACCCATTGTAGGAACTTTCAAGTACCAAGATTAGTGCAGCTAAAACGCAGCGGTGGGGTGGGGGTGGGACAGTGGCAGGAGGCAAGGTGAGAAGAGTGGCAGAGGGACAGGAAAGAGCCCAGGAAAGGTGCTGGTATTTCAGCTTGAAGGCCTGGGGAGTCGATAGGAAGGATTTCAGTACAGAAATCCTGTGATAAAACCTGAAATTGAGGCTATGGCAAGTCAGATTAGAATGGAGCTACCCAAAGAAGAAATGTCCGAGGTTTCAGGCTGAGAGGGAGGATTTAGGAGACATTAAGGAGGAAGAAATGAAAGAAAGAACTTTCCTTTTACTGTAACAGAACAAAGTAAAATGTCAGATGTTATTAAATTCAATTGTTGGTTTTGTCCTTAAAGATAAAACCATTACACCATGAACATCGAGTTATTCTCATTAAATATCCTCCTCGTGTCTCTCAAATCCATTCCCTTCTTCCCTCCCCTACTGCCCTTTACTCCCAGGGATAAGTCTCACTGATCTCCTTCTAGACATCCTTGCCTTCCTACAGACCAACCCCGTTGTCCACTCAGTGGCCTAGATGATCCCCCTCTTTTTGTTTTTGAGACAGGGTCTCACTCTGTCACCCAGGCAGAAGTGCAGTGGCATGATCTCAGCTCACTGCAACCTCTGCTTCCCAGGCTCATGTGATCCTCCCACCTCAGCCCCAGAGTAGCTGAGACCACAAGCATACATCACCACACCCAGTTAGTTTTTGTATTTTCTGTAGAGATGGGATTTCACCATATTGCCCAGGCTGGTCTCGAACTCCTGGGCTCAAGTGATTCGCCTGCCTCAACATCCCAAAGTGCTAGAAATACAGGCCCTAACTGATCCTTTTCAAAGGCACACCTGATCAGGTTACCAGCCTGTTCAGAACTCACAGTTTCCCGACGTTATCAGGAAGCCCAGTCTTAGTTTGACTTGGCTCCTGCCTGCCATACCTCTCTGACCTTACCTCCTCTCCCCAAATCTAAACATCTGGGCCACACTGTCACTGGCACCTCCCAGGTGGTCACCATTCACTTTTCCTTGCCCCAGCTAACTCCCTTATTCATCCCTCAGAACCCAGGGTCAGTGCCACTCCCTCAGGCACACCTGCCCTGATCCCTTCACGCAGGCCTGCCCATTTAAAGGTTGTCATGGTGCTTGACTTCTCCTTCACAGCATGGGAAACTGTCGTGCCTCATTCCATGAGGATGAAGCCTGTGTCCATCTTGTTCGCTGCCTTATGTCCGGGGCTTAAAGCAGAGCCTCCCACACAAAAGACAGTCAATACCTTTTTGTTGACTCAGTAAATGAAACAAAGAATAGTCAACAGTAATATTCAGCTTCATCAATCACCATGTCATGAATCGATATCATTTTATTATTATTATTATTTTTGAGATGGAGTCTCGCTCTGTTGCTCAGGCTGGAGTGCAGTGGTGCGATCTCAGCTCACTGCAACCTCTGTCTCCAGGGTTCAAGCAATTCTCCTGCGTCAGCCTCCCAAGTAGCTGGGACTACAGATGCGCACCACCGTGCCCAGCTAATTTTTTTTTGTATTTTTAGTAGAGACGGGGTTTCACCATGTTAGCCAGGCTGGTATGGAACTCTTACCCTCAAGTGATCCACCTGCCTTGGCCTCCCAAAGTGCTGGGATTACAGACATGAACCACCATGCCAGGCCCCAGGATTGGTATCATTTTAAAGCAGAATAAGATGAAAAGGTAGCTTGGTCAAATAAACTCAGAAAGCCTTTCGAGGAAATTCACAGCCCAAAATAACATAATAAAGGTCTGAGAAGTCTTGCAAAAAAGAAATCTAACTTTCTTCACGTGAAAGCTTTGCAGACTCATCTGAACAAACAATCTCCCCAATCCCCCTTCTTTCTAGCAGATCACAGGTTAACATCCCACCTTGAGGAATGTGGCAGCCAACAAGGGCTCATATTGGAAAAGTGCTTTTGAAGGCCATGATCACCCATAGTTCCCAAAAATGGATCTGCAGGTCACACACATACAGTGCCCAGCCTCAGCCCACATCACTACCACAGCAGGTACCCAGGCTGGTTTCACTGCTTTTTATACAGAGTAGCCTGAGGCCCAAAGAGAGTGAGTCACTGGGTAAGGTCACACAAAGGGTTAACAGCAGATCCAGGGCTGGGGCAATGGTTTCTGAACTCCAGGTAATGAAAGTAGAATTTGGACTCTTTCTGGCCTGGTAATTTTCTACATTTTGTTTCTTAAGGTCATGTTTCTCATACCTTAAAGAATAAAAGGGAGTATTGCTTCAGGGTCCATTTCATGAGCTTAAGCTGTAGCTGGAGAAAACAAAAGGTTTCCTCTACAGCAGTGACTTTAAGAACACACTATCATAGCAACAAATCAAAGCTGAAAATGAATTCAAGTTACCGAAGAAACAGAAGACATTTGCTTTCTGGCATTCATGAAGGTAACAACATCAAAAAGGGGGTAACTCATTTACATATTCAGTTGCAAAGATAAATGTGTCAGCTCACTTTGGAGATGATCGTTTATGAAGTATACCTCTTCAAAACCAGGTATGATTCTGATAACCAAGGAAAGGTGACAACAGCTCCCAGGAGCATATTTTTCTTCTGTACTAAAAAAAAAAAAAAAGGTGGAGGGGGAGGCGGGGGTAAGTCTGACATGCCCCTTTTCTGTATCTTCTGTCTGAAAATAAGCCTCCCAGGCCTGGCTCACAAGACGTTCCTTCTGAGAAGCCTTCCTCATATCCTTCATGGTCTGGTCATTGAGCCCCCTCATGCTTAAGGCACCATGTTCACTTCTCTACGGGCATCTTTTGCCCATCATGGACCGACTGTCAAATCCACCTGGCTCTCAGCAGTGTCTGGCACACAGAGGTCCCTCACCAAATGCTGATGGCAGATGACCAGCCGTGGCTGGAGAGTTTGTGAGGCTGATTCTCAAGCCAGCTTGGGTCTCAGCAGTGGCAGTGCTGCTGGTAGAGGAAGAGGCTGGAAACTATATATGCATGCTCCACAGATCCAACCGTGGCCTCAGCAGTAGCACTGCTGCTGGTGGACGAGGAGACTGGAAACTATACATGCATGCTCCACAGATCCAACTGTGGGAACTGTTACCACAGACGATCTTGGTTTCTTTTCTTTCTTTTTTTTTTTTTTGAGACAGTCTTGCTCTGTCGCTCTGGCTGGAGTGCAGTGGTGCGATCTCGGCTCACTACAACCTCCGCCTCCCAGGTTCAAGCAATCCTCCTGCCTCAGCCTCCCAAGTAGATGGGATTACAGGGACCTACCACCATGCCGGGCTAATTTTTGTATTTTTAGTAGATACAGGGTTTCACCACGTTGGCAAGGCTGGTCTCAAACTCCTGACCTCAGGTGATCCACCTGCCTTGGCCTTCCAAAGTGCTGGGATTACAGGCATGAGCCACCATGCCTGGCCCCATCTTGGGTTTCCAAAGCACTTTTCCAGTAAGAACCTCTGGCTACCAACGATGACTCCATCATTTCCCATCTTAAATAGAAAAAGTCTCCTATCTTTGGCTTTTATAATAGAGACAACTGGAAAAGCTCAGAAAAGATCCTACCTCTGAAAAATTATTTTTCTTTAAAAAAATCAAGAGACAAAGCAATTGAGTTTAGCTCCCAATGCATAAAAATAACTCATGATGTCACCTCCAAGTTAGGCAAAATTCCTTGTCACAAATGTTCAATATGTGTAGCCAGGATACGAGATAAAAGTAAAAACCAGAATGCTAGGCAGCTTTCAGAGTAGATCTTAAATAAGAAAAAATACTGCCATTGGATTTTTTAAAGGTCTTGTGGCATGATGTTGGATAATATCCTAATAAAGCTATAGAAATTTCTGCCAAGAGAAACATGAAAAAGCCAATAGTAGGAAACTGGTTAAGTAGATCATAGTAAACCCAGAAAAAGGAATACACCGTAACCAGTAAAATTATTTTCCAGAAGACTGTTTTATCAATTGTGTTCAATGGAAAATAGAGTACAATATTTGGGGTATAAGCCTATTGAAATAAAATGTATATATATTTACACCAAATTATCAACCATAATTATCTCTAGGTAGTAGCAATGTGTGTGATACTTCTCTCTTTTTTGCTTGTGTATTTCCTAAATTTGGTAAGAATATATGTACTACATTTAGAATAACAAAAATACTTATAAGTTTGGTTGTTTTTTAAGGCCTGTTGAGCACCTCTTGCCATCAGGCAGTATTTGGTAAGCTCCTCCTGCAAAGGAAGGGCAAAAACAGGGCAAAAACTGGGCAAATGTGGTGAAAACAACAACTAGGGGCAGGGAAAGAAAAGGAAAGGATGTCACATTACCCAATGCTGGATGCTTTTCTCATAGTACCCTTTTGTTTGTTTGTTTTTTTTAAAACAGAGTCTCACTCTGACGCCCGGGCTGGAATGCAGTGATGTGAGTTTGGCTCACTTCAACCTCTGTCTCCCAGGTTCAAGCGATTCTCCTGCCTCAGCCTCTCGAGTAGCTGGGATTACAGGCGTGCGCCACCACACCTGGCTAATCTTTGTATTTTTAGTAGATATGGGGTTTCACCATGTTGGCCAGGCTGGTCTTGAACTCCTGGCCTCAAGTGATCCATCCGCCTCAGCCTCCCAAAGTGATGGGATTACAGGCGTGAGCCACCGCGCCCAGCCCTGTAGTACCTTATTTAACTATTCAGTCCTCAAATCTAGTCCTAGGCTGAGGCATTTTATTCCAACATAAGAATTCTGAATATAGTCTATAAAAAAACTTCTAAGAAAATGCCAGCTACCACAGAGTGGTTATGCTTTAGCAAAGGCAGTAAGTCAGTATTCAGGTAAATGGAAATTCTATTATCTAACAGAACACACACTGGCCTCTAAGATTCTCTTAGCTCATTTTTGATACATTATCCGGGGCTCTTTTCTCCACGTGCTTTGGAGTTTTTTGCGGGAAGGTGGGAGAATGGGGTCTTGCTATGTTGTCCAGACTGGTCTCAAACATCTGTGTTTTGGCAAAAATCTTTGGGTTTGTTGCCTGCCTGTTAATGACCACCATAAAATGCAGAGTTCAAGGAAATATCCCTGCATCAGAAAAATATATTTGAGATTATCTGAAATGCATTTACTTTTCCCAGTGATTTTGTTTTGTTTTGTTTTTGAGACAGGGTCTTGCTCTGTTGCCCAGGTTGGAGTGCAATGGCTCCATCACAGCTCACTGCATCCCTAGTAGCTAGGAATACAGGCACGTGATATGACACCCAGCTAAAATTTTTTTTTTTTTTTTTTGAGACGGAGTCTCGCTCTGTCACCAGGCTGGAATCCAGTGGTGTGATCTCGGCTCACTGCAACCTCCGCCTCCCAGGTTCAAGTGATTCTCCTGCCTCAGCCTCCGGAGTAGCTGGGATTACAGGCACCCGCCACCAAGCCCAGCTAATTTTTGTATTTTCAGTAGAGACAGGGTTTCACCATGTTGGCCAGGCTGGTCTTGAACTCCTGACCTCAGGTGATCCACCCGCCTTGGCCTTCCAAAGTGCTGGGATTACAGGACTGAGCCACTGCGCCTGGCCCCCAATGACTTCTTGACATTTTATTATTCATCTTTAACTTCTCAGATCCCATCAATTAGGGTAGTAATACCAACAAATATTTGAAAACAAATTGTAGTGTCCAAAGTAGAGTTTACACAATAGCATCTTAAGGCAGGGCACCTATCAGCATTCCTACCTTATTTTAAAGCTGTGAAAAGGAAGGTGACATGCATCAGCTAGTGGGGCCTCTGTCTATTGCTTTTGTTGCCAATAATATTGCCCAAACACTGACCCCTGAACAGGCCGCTTCATCATATCTGGGGAACTTATTAAAAACCCATGGTCTTGGGACTCACCCCAGACCAAATGAATCAGAAGCTCTGAGGGTGGGGCCTAGGAATGTCACACTTAATAAGCACCCTCAGTGATGTTGACAAGCTGGGCTCAGAAACCACTACTAAAAGGCAGGTCGAAAAAGGTGGGCAAAGCCAGGAGCAATGGCTTACACCTGTAATCCCAGCACTTTGGGAGGCTGAGGTGGGCAAACTGCTTGAGCCCAGGGGTTCAAGACAAGCCTGGGCAACATGGCGAACCCCATCTCTACAAAAACTTCTTAAAAAATTAGCTGGGCGTGATGGCACGTGCCTGTAAGTCCCAGCTACTCGGGAGGCTGAGGTGGGAGATCAGTTGAACCCAGGAGGTTGAAGCTGCAGTGAGCTGTGATGGAGCCACTGCACTCCAGCTTGGGTGACAGAGCGAGACCCTGTCTCAAAAAAAAAGGTGGACTCTCCTCTTTTAACCACCCCTGGAACCTGACCATATTCTTGCAGCACATCAAGGCTTGTCAGGACAGAAATACAGAGAAAGAGAGTGGGTGAACTGATCACCCAGAGGACAAGCAACTGTACACATGCTGTGTGGAAATATCTGCCCCTTTGTTACAAGGACCTTTAGTTCTGTCACATGAAAAAAGTCTGTTCTCTGCCCCCGTACTTACTTGGTCAGAACAATGGAGACTGCATCGTTGAGAATACTTTCTCCAAAGACCAGCATGTTGAGCACGGGGTCCACATGAAGTGCATTGAAAATGGCAATAGTGGCCACTGGATCGACAGCAGATATTAGGGAGCCAAACGCAAAACTGTAAGAGACAGAGGGAAGGGGAGATTCTGTAATGTGTGTCACTTGGTCCACATATTAAAGCATTAAAGTCAAAGGCCATATTTAACAGAAAGCAATACTACACGCTAGAGCTGAATTAATTACAGAAGGTAGCGTATTTTTTCCCCACTTATCTGCTGTTTTGTGGGTGGAGTATGAAAGGCCCACTCTAAACTGAGTTGTTAGGAATGGCCTGGTTTTCTAGTGTCAGCACGGAGACTTGACTTTGACCAATGATGGAAGGGAGACTTTTGCTTAGATATATTTATCATACACCGCCCAGTTCCACGGGTCAGAGCAGCTAGAGCCAAATGGCCCATGAGCTCCTGCATCTGACCTCTGCTCTGCCCCTCGCCACCAGCCCCTTGGAATGCTGTCCGTGACCGACCCCAGCCTGCACTCAGATTTGCAAGATCTAAGAAAGTGTCAAAAAGCAGCAGCAACCCCAGTGTGCTTTGGGGGTGAGTGGCGTAGACAGCCGAGAGAAACACTGAGGCCATCTCCCAACTGGGCCAGTGACCTCACTGACAGTCCCCGTGAAGATCTTATCACCCCCAGCAGATATGTGCTGATTGTCTAACATGTTTCAGGAATGGAGGCTACCATGGCCGGCACTGTTCTAAGCACTTCACATACGGTGACTCAACAATCCAGACAGTGACTGTATGAGACTGCTACTACTGCCCCAATGACAGAGGAGAAAACCGAGGGACAACGGGATGATGAAGTAACTTGTCCAAGGTCACTCAGCTAACAAGTAGCAGAGCCAGGCTATCTGCCCAGAGTCGGTACTCCTACCCCCAACAGTAGATACAGCAATACCCAGAGATGAAGGCAAATTCAGACAATACCACATGTGACCCAGGAAATCAATTGAGGTGACGTGGGAAGGTGGGGTGGGGGTGTGGGTGTGGGAGCCACTTAGATGGGGCGGTCTGGAGAGGCCTCTGTGAAGGGATGACACATGTAAGCAAGAACCTACATGTTAAGAAGCAGCTGGCCAGGCCAAGAGCTGCAGGCTGAGGTGACAGCAAGCGACTCCTGCGGTGGGAGCAAGCCTGCTGCCTGAGGAACAGAAGGAAGGTGCATGTGGTGGTGGGGGTGGGGTGAGTGGCAGGAGCCATAAGAGGCTGGCGAGGGAGGCAGGACCAGCTCCCTCAAGGGGCCTCATGTGCCACATGAGCCTGGACAATTCACTCTCCCTGCCCTTTGGTGATTTTCCCACAAGCCTCTGTGCCATGCCTGTTGCAACTTTCTTTCCAGGGCAGCAGAATGGTGGGTCTGCCCCCTTCCACAACACCAGCCAAAACATGGAGACCCAATGGCCAGCCTGTGTCAGTCATCAGCCAGAGACGACTGCCCTGAGCTTCCCACCCTCACCAAGCCTGGGTCTAGGGGGAAAAGGATGCTCGGCTGAGCAGCCTTCAATGGGTGATCTTTTGGCTGCAGGGTCAGGGAGAGGAGAGCTGACTGAGGAAATGCCTGGCTGCCTTGCCAGGTACAGTTCTCTTCAGAAGTCAATCATCTGGCCTCTGGTTTCCATGGTAGCTGCCTGTGAATGTGACTCATGCGCATTAACCCAGAGTGCCTCCGGATCCCAGGCTGAGGATTCAGTTCCCAGACTTCGCCTGTCCTCACAGAGGTCATCACAGGCCTGTGAGCTCCAAGGGAGTGGATGCTGAATTTTCGTCATGGGTGAATTCCCAGGGTCTGTACTGGGCATGGCCCAGAGACACTTGCAGAAGGCAAGCAGGCAGGCAGGTGGGAAGAAGAAAGGGAAGGAAGAAAGGGAAGGTAACTCCACTAAACAACTGCCCATCTGGGAGATCCTATTTTATTGGTGGCTGGTCCCCAGGCCCTTGCACCACAACCCAGACAGAGCTTCTGGTCGCTCTTTTATTTTCACTCTCATCAACCACAGCCCCATCACCAGAGGCCGTGAAGGAAGGAGGATGATGTCTAAAAAGTGTATCCTGGGCCGGGCACAGTGGCTCACGCCTGTAATCCCAACACTTTAGGAGGCTGAGGTGGGAGGATGGCTTGAGCTCAGGAGTTCAGGACCAGCCTGGGCAATATAGAGAGAACCCTATCTCTACACACACAAAAATTAGCCGGAAGTGGTGCCGCATACCTGTAGTCCGAGCTACTCAGGAGGCTGAGGCAGGAGGACAGCTTGAGCTCAGGAGTTTGAGGCTACAGCGAGCTGTGATCATGCCACTATACTCCAGCCTCAGTGAAGCGCAGGCCCACCACAGGCTCCCAAGTTCCCTGTCCTGTGCCTCTCCTACCCCTGCAGGATACACCTTTTATATTTTAAAAATTTGTTTATGGGTATTCACTTCACAATGCTTCACCTTTTCTGTATGTTTAAAATTTTTCATAATAAAAGGTTGGGGCAACGTCCATCTTACATAAGTTGACTGATGTCTCATGTGTCCCTAAAATGTATAAAACCAAACTGTGCTCTGATCATCTTGGGTACATGTCGTCAGGACCTCCTGAGGCTGTCACGGGTGCGCATGCTCAACCTTGGCAAAATAAACTTTCTAAATTAACTGAAAAAAACAAAACAAACAAAAGGCTGGGGGAAATGCTTTGTATAAATCATGTTACACAGTTTGCTTGGGAATCTAAATTGAGGCAGAGTATTTCTGACAGTGAAGATGAGAAGTCTGAAATACAAACTGCTGAATCATTGAGAGGTCTGTATGGAAAGACGGTTATTTCACCTGGCTGTCAGCTGTTCCACTTCACATCTTTAAGACCTCGCCTTTTAAACGCCAGAAGTTCAACTTAAAAATGTATTTTCTTTATCCCATAGCCCCAAAAGATAGCAACATTAACAAAATGAAAAAGAAATGAACTAAGGCAGCGAAATAATTCAGGATCTCTAAGAGTGAAATCTCTCTCCAACAAGATATCACTAGAACAAAACAAAACGTGTGCAACGAAGTTATTTTTATGTTTTCTACAGTGCAGAGGTTGCAAAAAGTCTGTGGTCCCCTCTCATGTTTGGTCTGCATGGTATTTGTGAAAAATTGAGCAAGTTGTCAACATTGAAAAACTGGAAAATTCCCTATAAAAATCTAGAAACCCAGCATCTTTTTGAAAAAAAAGTATTTAAAATAGCCACCAATTCTGGGCCCAGATTTCCACATGGTAATCATGAGTTGGCGCTGAGAAGTGGCTGTCCCTTCATACAGGGTGTGTTCTCCCACTGGCCGCTGCCCCATGTCTAGACTCACAGCTGGCCAGCTTCCCTCTGTTAAGTGCTCTGCCAGGCCCTGCGGCTGTGTGGGTTTGCGACCCCAGAGCAGTCCCCATCTGAGGGATCGTCACTTTCTAACAGCAAAGGAAACTTCTGCACACGGAGAGGAAAACACTACCCGGCTCTAAGTCAGTGTGTCTACAGGGCAATTCCTTTCCTGTCCTCCACCTGAACATCCCAACCACTGATTCAATTCAACTTCACAGGAAGTTATCCAGCATTGTCTGTATCTCTAACCAGTTGCCCCCAAAACAAGTGGAAGGTTTGAATACTGTGATACCTTCCTTTACTGGGCATTTCTTTTTATTTGCAAAATACCTACCAAACACAGGACATCAGTTCTGCTTTATTTCCAGCTCTCATGGAATAGGACTACTTGTTTATGTATCAAAACTGTCTTACAACAAAAGCTCCAAAATTGTCCTGGGCTGGGGTGGGTGGTGAGTGGAGGTAGAAATAGAATTGGATTTGTTATCAGAGACACAGTTCCCATGAAAAGGGTTCCCAGATTCTAGTCCCAAGTTGCTAAACTGCTGCTAAATCCTGAAAGCTCTGACTGGCCCCATGGCAAGGATCTGGGGACGAACATGTGACCCTGCTGCCCAGCTCCCCAGCCATGTCACAAGACCAAATGCAGACACACTGAGCAAGGCTGTCTGCTCTCAGAGGGGGGAACCCAGACTATGCTCAGCATGGGCACTTTTTCAGCACTAGATCTGGTACCTTCTGAGAGACAACTGCCTCAACCTAGTGAGGTTGCTTCTCACTATGCAATTCTGGGAAATCCTGGATGGGGCTCATGGGAAGTGCTCACGGGAGTGGCTTCAGATGGAGGGGCTTTCTACAATAACCACAATAGAGGTCTTGGCCCTGCTTCCCCCACCACAGGCTTCGTGGGAATCCCAGAGGAAAGTTTCTCCGTCACTCCCCCTCTCCATCTCTAATCTGTCAAGAAGACTTTTTGTTACGGCGACTGAAAAGTCTTGTAAATAAGAAGACAATGGTACAGTGTACGCGTGCACACAGGCAGGGCAGTTAGCTGAGCAGAGTTACTCCCTCCCAAGCTTAAACTAAATCATTCCAATCAGCAATGCCCCACTAGGGATCTTCAAAAGTCTTTAGGATACTTTTGATTCATTTCAGAGATACAAATTAACTCAGAGTAAGATTCTATGGCAGAAATCCTTACCAAAAATAAATACACAGAGAGAGAATAGAACAGTACCACACCCAGGAAGCAATGTGGAGAAACATTTCCCCTGTCTGAAAAGCAGTCGCATGGGTGTTACAGTATGAAGGATTTACCTGTCTGTCATGTTGAGTTTAGAGATTACATCAGCCTGTAAAATAAAACACACAAACACACAGACACACACAAAAAAAAAACCCTGGAGAACAGCCAAGATTTAAATGTCCATTAGTGCTTTATTAAAACTAATAAGGACATTAATCTTCAGTTCCCAAACCACTTGAAAAATAAAAGCTCCTAAGCCTTAGTTGAAACATGCATTCCATCGGCATGCAACGAGAGTATGGAAAAGAATGCTACATTCTTCAAGCCCAATTAACTGTAGTTTCCTTAAGTTTATTCTTACTTAATACTAGAAGCTGAGCAATGAAGAAAGCTGCATGACAGACAGATTTATTCTGGTGCCATCAAAGCTGCAATATAGGTGAAAATCCAATGGAATGGGCTTTGGCTATTGAGAGAAGAAAGCAGCTGATGTGTTAAAGAAATCTGCCCGTCACTCAGATACCTGACCCTCAACTTAATTTTCAGAACTGAGACAGGCAAACTTTCTGCAACTGACAATAAAGGAAAAGAATGTGACATGCATGGACATGCATAATACAAAACTACAGATACTACCTTCCTAGGGATGTTTGGTCTAAATTAATTTGAAGTCTAAAGTAGAGACCACCCAACTGGTGCCACTGGGAAGTGGTTTAGCAATTGTGGAAAATCCAGAGTATATAATTCTACAGGTAGACAGCTTAGAATTGAGTGAAGAGATTCAGCATCACCTTTGATTTTATTATTTCTCCAATGCCAGCAGAAAAGCACATCTTTGATTTTTTAAATACAAATTTTTATCAAAAAACAGCATTCAACCCCAATTCAGTCTACTTGACAACACAGTTTGAAGTTCTTGATGGCATATATTTGGCTTCATTTTTAGGTATTCTAATTTAAGACAGTATTGGTTTGCAAATAAACTCAAATACTTTGGGGGGGATTATGGAAAAGTTTTACTCAATTCCAGATACCAAAGGTCTTGGAGGACACTTTGAAACAATTTAGCACGCCTCTACTGTGCCTCATATGAAGCTAGGATTTCCTTCCAGAAGGAATTTACCTTAAGGGTGAAACCCAGGCCCCACAAAGTGGCCCCATTTCACCTTCCCACCTCCCTGCACTAGCTCTAAGAATGTAAGACTTTCAAAGTGTTTCAAAGATGATTTTCTTACCTGACCCAGAAAATAAATTCCTCCACCTACTACAAAAGCGGAGATTGCCGTCCCAAAAACAGCAAACAGGGTGATGGAACCAATATTTTGAAAGAAGTTACCCTGTTTGAAAGAGCAGAAATCAGGGAAATGATTAGAAAAGCCATTCCTGTCAGTGAAGGCACGGCCTGCACACCTGGCCCTCCGTGCAGACTTGATTCTCTGTAAAAGGCACCACTGCCCAACCTGTGTGGCAAGCTGGGAGCCCGGGAGTCTTCCTGCACCCCCGCACTTACTGCAGTGTCCCGTCACTCACACCATCTTTCATCTGAAACACTGCATAGCTTCGCACAAGTCTCCTCAACCCCCCAGGGCCCCTTTCCCTCCACTCTCCCGTCTTTCCAGAATGATCTTCCCAAAAGACAAATCTGATTGTGCTGCCTTCACCTGGACCCCTATTTCCACTTAAAATGCAGCTAGCCCCCACCCTGAATGATTCGACTCCTGGGGAGGCCTCTGGGCTCATCTGGCACCATGCTCGCCTTTGTTCTCTGGGTTCCAGTCCCACTGGTGGCTTCGAGCAGGTTGTGCTCCCTCTTTGCTTGTTAAGCTTTCATCATCCCAAGATCTCAGGACATTTCAACTCTTCCCAGATCCTAGTCTGTGCTCTCAGTGCACAGTCACCCTCTCTTGTAGCGGTTGACAAGACTGCAATTTTGCACTTATTTATGTACTGATGTCTTACTTTCCCATGAGGCTGCAGGCTCATTCTGGGCAATGACCCCACCTGCTTTCGCACAACACGGTCCCTGACATAATGCCCGTCAGATGGAAGATGCCCAACAGACAGGCACTGAAGGAATTAACTGTGTTTCACATCCAAAGTCCACACTATTAGGATACCAAGATACACTATCAGATATTCCTTTTTCCTGGCCAGGTCTTTTAAACAATTTTACTTCACTCTATTAGTATCATCATTAACTATGTCAGATAAAATGTTTCTATCTATACTTCACAGCGTTTAAGATAAAATATTCAAGTTCAAGCAGCATGGTAGCATCTTTCAAATTTCCATAAAATTAAGGAAATTAAGCTATTTATTATAACCCTATGAACTCCACTTAGGAGCTACCAAGAGTCTTTGATCACCCCCGATTGTGGTTGTGAACAAGAATCTTGTTTTTAGCTCAGAAATCACCAAACCATGGACATCAAGACCTGCTATTTTAAAGCCCACTTGTGAAAGAGTGTCCTCAGCTGAACACTGACTGCCCCACTAAGCCCACCTCCTAGAAGCTGCAATTTTGACTTGGCTGCCTATCATCTGACATTCAATTCCTTTGTTTGGCATATCAATCTTTACTGCACAAAGAATTTTAAAACACAATGATTTGGTTTTTCAAAACAAAGGGCTTTCAATCTATGAGTTGCTCTTTGCAAATCGCTGTTTTCTTTTGTTATTTAAAAACAGATTAGACTGGGCTCGGTGGCTCAAACCTGTAATCCCAGCACTTTGGGAGGCCAAGGCGGGTGGATCATCTAAGGTCAGGAGTTCGAGACCAACCTGACCAACATGGAGAAACCCCATCTCTGCTAAAAATACAAAATTAGCTGGTGTGGTTATAGACGCCTGTAATCCCAGCTACTCGGGAGGCTGAGGCAGGAGAATCGCTTGAACCCAGGGGGCCGAGGTTGCAGTGAGCCGAGTTCGCAGTGAGCCGAGTTCGTGCCATTGCACTCCAGCCTGGGCAACAAGAGCAAAACTCCATCTCAAAAAAAAAAAAAAAAAAACAGATTAATCAGTTTTGACCTGTTTGCAGAGATCTAATGTTGATATAATTTATATATTTGGTTAATATTAATCTGGATCCTGAACATTTACCCAAGTTAAAGTTACCATAATACAAGAACTTCCCTCTGCTACATAAAGCAAATTTATCTGTTTCTCTCTGACATAATTAACATCCTGTGATTTGTGTAATATTTGCAATTCAAAGAACCAGTTGCTGCCTAGCTAATGCATATCAACTGATGATAATCTTACTGTAATCTGTATTCTAAATCCAAATTTACATTAGCAGATATCATAATATTAAAATAAAATATTCAAACTTTACTTCCTATCATCTTTGGGCGAGGGTAGAAAGTGGATAGAAGTTTCAGAAGTAGCATTTCATAATCCTATCAGTCCCTTTCATATAAATTGTCACATTTCCTGCTGGAAAGTCATCTTCAACAAAATGTTTCTCTAAAAAACTATTACTTTCCTCAAATTTTGAACAAGTTTCTCTCCCCTCTAAAAAAAAAAAAAAAAAAGAAAAGAAAAACTTTACATGCTCTAATATTCAAAATGTCATGTTTTTAAGTCAAAATCAAGTCAATTTCCTCAGCATGTTTTGAAATATTTTCATATCTGCTTACAGTTAAGATTTGTTTACAAAGTGAAAGGAAAGACATGGTGACCTTCAACTTATGTTTCCTTGTTAAAAATTATCTGATGTCACTAACAGTTTGTAAGACTTGTGAATATTTTTTACATTAAATTTCCTTTTCACTTTTTCTTTGGATAGATGCACAATAAAATAATAACTTAAAAAAAAATCTGGGCTGAACATCTTAATATGCTTTTGTTTTAGTACAGGAAAATTAAAGACTTAATTTCTATGTTTTTACCAAACATTTCTAGACAAATCTAACTCATTTTTTAAAATTATGTATTTATTTATTTTATACCATGTCAACAACAAATTAAGTTTATTTTTATTTATTTATTTTTGAGACAAAGTCTCCCTCTATCACTCAGGCTGGAGTGCAGTGGCGTGATCTCAGCTCACTGCAAGCTCCACCTCCCGAGTTCAAGCTATTCTCATGATTCTCATGCTTCAGCCTCCAGAGTAGCTGGGATTACAGGCACGCACCACCACGACCAGCTAATTTTTGTATGTTTAGTAGAGATGGGGTTTCACCATGTTGGCCAGACTGGTCTTGAACTCCTGGCCTCAAGTGATCCACCCACCTCGGCCTCTCAAAGTGCTGGGATTATAGGCATGAGCCACTGGGCCCGACCATATTAAGCTTAATAAATTATTATTACTACTGGTGGTAATATTGTTATTAATAATAAATGACATTTTTATCATTAATAACAAGCAGCAGCACTTCATTTATTTAGTGTGGTGGGTGGTGCTTTGCCTACGTTCTTTCATCTAGTGTGACTCTCAAAGCACCCTGGGAGGTAGGGTTTTGGGGTTTTTGGTTTCTACTTTACCAAAAAGAAACCTGTAGGGGGCAGCGCATGATTAGATCTGTGTTGTGTCTCTGGCTTTCCTCTCTCCAAGGACTGGCCTAAACTTTCCAATCTTCACAGTTTTTTTAAAAATCACATTCACAAAATAGCTGCTGTATTATTAATACTAGTATTTTAAGTTGAATCACTTTATTTTAAAACTTAAATACATTTATGTTTAAAGAAAACTCACAGACAAGGAAAAAACCATGCACGCACACAAGCAGGCTTAAAAGTGAGAAGCTCCTGCTCAGGCAGAAAGACTCACACTAGGGGACGAGTGTGGTGGCTCATGCCTGTAACCCCAGCACTTTGGGAAGCCAAGGTGGGTGGATCACTTGAGGTCAGGAGTTCGAGACCAGCCTGGCCAACATGGTAAAACCCCGTCCGTCTCTACTAAAACGACAAAAATTAGCCGGGCAAGGTGGCGTGTGCCTGTAATCCCAGCTACTCAGGAGGCTGAGGCAGAAGAATCACTTGAACCCACAAGGTGGAGGTTGCAGTGAGCCGAGATCATGCCACAGGACTCCAGCCTGGGTGACAGAGTGAGACTCCATCTCAAAAAAAACAAAACAAAAAAAAAAACATCTCACACTGGGAGTTGCAAGGCAATGGCCGTCAAGGCCAAGCCAAAGCAGAGAAGTGGGTAGGGGCCAGTGCCACTGCTCACCAAGGCAGGGAGGAAAGAATGGGCAGGCAACTGTGGGACTAGGCAGGGAAGGATGGGGCTCCAGCCTGGGAAGGAGAAGCTGGACCAGGGAGTGGGCGAGGAGCGATAGAGGTTGAGGGATGAAGGGGAATATCAAGCTGGGGTCTGAGGCCAGGGGAGGGCACCGAGAGGGAGACATGGAAGGATGGATGGGCCTGAGAAGGTTAGAAAGGCCCCAGTGGGGGAGCTGAAAGAAACAAAAGTCCTGGGGCACATGTCCCCGTCGTCCCAGGACACAGTCTATCCTCTTTACATCTATCAGTCTGTGTCCAGGAAGACGAGTCAATGCATCATCTGTGAGCCACTTAACATCACTTCAGCCATCTTCCTGGGCAAAGCACCCATTTATGGCAAACACTGGCTCAGTGAGCCATACTGCCTGAAACCATTAAAGCAGCCAATTCATCATGTCTGCTCCTCTCCAGAAGTCAGGCACTGCAGTCCAGCTTCCACTGAGCACAACCAGGAAGGAGCAGAGCTGCTGCTGCTGCTGCTGCTAAATTATACCCAAGCTTTTAAGGAACTTGCCTTACAAACATGAGAAACTGTCCAGACCAAAGCACCAATGTGTGCCTGAGTCTCACCTTGTGTAATGAATATCCAGACTCAAAGATAATAGGGGGAAGCAGGAGGAGGAAAAACATGTTTGGACGAAACATTTCTTCTTCCTGTAAATAGAAAATGAGTATCTTAAGGGCATGGAATTTGTGTAATTAAGAAATAAATTAATCAATAAAGAGCCAAAATAATTATTCTCTCAGGGCCTGGCCTAGTGGAAACATATAATGTTTAAATAACTACCTGATAATAAAATCAAGCAGAATGAGAGATTCCCCCACCAAAAAAAAAAATGAAACTGTATTTTATTATTTTTATCATTATTATTATTATTATTATTTTGAGACAGAGTCTTTCTTGCTCTGTTGTCCAGGCTGAAGTGCAGTGGTGCAATCACAGCTCCCTGTAGCCTCAACCTCCTGGGCTCAAGTGATCCTCTCACTTCAGCCTCCTGAGTAGCTGGGACTACATGTGCGTGCTACCATGCCGGGCTAATTTTTTTTTTTTTTTTTTTTTTTTTTTTTTTAAGATACAGGGTCCCGCTATGTTGCCCAGGCTGGTCTCAAACTCCTAGCCTCAAGCAATCCTCCCACCTCAGCTTCCCCAAATGCTGGGATTACAGGCATGAGCCACCATGCGTGGCCAAGACAAGGATTTTAAAGGTGATCAGTGAAAAGAAACAGCACAACACAGTAGTATGTTTTTTATTCCTTAGTACAGAAAGAAAATTAATCTGAATACAGAAAATTTCAATTCTGGTTGCAGACTTTCAAAAACAACTCCACAAATTGGAATCCTCCAGGAAAAAGGTAATGGCAAGCCCTAAAACAATCCACTCAGAGGAACAGTAAATCCTATATATGGTTAAAATAGCTCTGCCTTCTTTCTGCTTATCACAGACAACTCTGCCATTTTCCAAAGTCTGATGTGATAAAACAGTCCACACTGGATGCTCTTTCGACTTGAGACTTTGATACAAAGACAGCCCCTTACCATGTGTCTTGCTATAAAAGAATACCTGAGGCTGGGTAATTTACAAAGGAAAAACATTTATTTGGCTCATGATTCTGCTGTCCGGAAAAGTTCAAGACTGGGTATCTGATAAGAACCTTAGGCTGCTTCCACTCATGGGGGAAGAGAAGGGGAGCCAGAGTGTGCAGAGATCCATGGCAAGAGAGGAAGAAAGGGGGGGCGGGGATGGGACCAGGCTGTTTTTAACAACCAGCTGTATAGGGAACGAACAGAGCAACAACTCATTCACCTCCCTCCCCCAGCAAGGGCATCAGTCTATCCATGAGGGTCCACCCCCATGACCCAAACACTTCCAACACTGGAATCAAATTTCAGCATGAGGTTTGGGGAGACAAATGCCCAAACCATAGCACCATGCTTCCAGATTTGATTATTAAGTGCCACTACGAAAGGTGTTTCTAGAATATAGCCATCTTTGGAGGGGTGAAACAATAACAATTTCATTTTCTATATTATTAATATATCTCTCTAGTTGTTGGTAGAATTTTGGGGAAATATATATTGGTCCTCAAGCCCAAAATGGTTATGTGTAATACACAGTCTATTTAAAAATGCAAAATCAGGCCCTTTTTCATATGAATATTTTCCCATGTCACAATTTTGACAGTCTGATTTTTTGTCAAAATGCCTATTCCAAAGAATGCCTAAATGTATTCTTACAAATGTACAGCTGTTACCATAAAGACTAAAAGAAAGTCAAAAAACGCTCAAAATAGAAGCAAATGATGACTTCTGAAATGCCTTATTAAGTCTTAAAATAGCAGCATGTACAACAAGCTCAAGCTCATGATTCAGACTGGGACTGTGTGAAAAAAAATGAGCCGAGCTCTGTGTTTTACGGGGCAACCTATTCTCAGGATCTGTGCAGCAGGACCACTATATACAGCCTTTTGGAGGTATAAAAACTAGCCCCCCCCACCCCAGGAAAAAGGAGAATCTACCTATAGTGGGGTTATATAGTGTCCCCCAACCCCAATCACAATTCATGGCCACCAGGAACCTCAGAGTGTGACCTTATTTGGAAATAGGGTCTCTGAAGATCTAATGAAGGTAAGGATCTAGATGACCTTACACTGGATAAGGGAAGGCCAAAGGCAGCAAACATCGACTTGTAAGAGACAGAACAAGGCACATAGACACGTGGAGAAGAATGCCATGTGAGCACAGAGACAAAGACAGGAGTGATGCGGCCACAAGCCAAGGAAAACCGGGGCCACCAGAAGCTGGAAGATGCAATGAAGAATTCTTTTCTAGAGTCTTTGGGAGGGAACCTGGTCCTGTTGATACCTTGACTTCTCACTTCTGGCCTCCAGAATTGTGAGAAAACAAATCTCTGTTGTTTTAGGCCACTTAGTTTGTGATAATTTGTTACTGCAGCCCTTATGAACACACTGCCTTTCAGGGAAATAGTGTTACAGTTCCTTTTGGCAATGGCTCCCCCAAAATGTTCTGAGGTGATTTTAGGTGGCACTTGAGCAGTGTGTGTCAAATACCACTGACCTCATGGATTGAGAGAGTCAGCCCCTTTTGATTATTTCTTCAGGCCCAAATAAATCCAAGACACCTTAGGATGGCAATACCGCTTCTAAGGGCTCTCTCCAACGTGCTGATCTCCCTTGACAGAGAGCAGACTTGACCTCTGATGCTTCAGCAGGCATCTGTACTACTTCATTTTTATCATGTTTACAAAACAATATTAGTTTCTGAATTGAAATAGTACTGTAATGTTGCCTTGAAAATAAACATGGCCAGGCGTGGTGGCTCATGCCTGTAATCCCAGCACTTTGGGAGGCCAAGGTGGATGGATCATGAGGTCAGGAGCTCGAGACCAGCCTGGCCAATTTGGTGAAACCCCATCTCTACTAAAAATACAAAAATTAGCCGGGCGTGGTGGCAGGCACCTGTAATTCTAGCTACTCAGGAGGTTGAGGCAGGAGAACTGCTTGAACCTGGGAGGCGGAGGTTGCAGTGAGCTGAGACCACGCCATTGCACTCCAGCCTGGATAACATAGTGAGACTCTGCTCCCCACCACTCCCCAGCAAAAAAAAAAAAATAAAATAAAATAAAATAAATATATAGGCCACGTGGCTCAATCCTGTAATCCTAACACTTTGGAAGGCCAAGGTGGGAGGATCACTTGAGCCCAGGAGCTCGAGAACAGCCTGGGTAGCATAGTGACATCGTGTCTCTACAAAAAATTTTTTTAAAAATTAGCCACACCCAGGCGCAGTGGCTCACACCTGTACTCCCAGCACTTTGGGAGGACAAGGTGGGTGGATTACTTGAGGTCAGGAGTTCGAGACCAGCCTGGCTAACATGGTGAGACCCTGTCTCTACTAAAAATACAAAAATTAGCTGGGCATGGTGGCACATGCCTGTTCTCCTGCCCAGCTACTCAGGAGGCTGAGACAGGAGAATCACTTGAACCCGGGAGGCAGAGGTTGCAGTGAGCCGAGATCGTGCCACTGCACTCTAGCCCGGACAACCAAGAGAGACTCTGTCTCAAAAAAAGAAAATAAGAAATAAATAAATAATTTATATATATATACATATAATTAAAAAGCAAGTTGATAGAAAAATATTAAGCACATGATAATACAGGTTGCTACCTGGGCAGACCCAGCAGGTCAGTTTGGAATCAGAACTTCAGGGAAAGAAACCACCAGCTCCTCTTGTTTTTCTGACTTCCCACTGCTCCCTGCACATCTGGTTTCCAGGCAGGAATCCTACTTCTCACTCTGACTCTCCACAAATGCAGTCTCCTCCAGGAAGCCTGCCCCAACTTTTTTTTTTTTTTTTTTAGAGACAGGGTCTTGCTCTGTTGCCCAGGCTGGACTGCAGTGGTGCAATTATAACTCACTGCAGCCTCAAGCGATCCTCCTGGGCTCAAGCGATCCTCCTGCCTCAGCCTCCCAAGTAGCTGGGACTACAGGTGCGTGCCACCACGTCCAGCTACTTTTTCGTATTTTTAGAAGAGATGAGGTTTCACCATGTTGGCCAGGCTGGTCTCAAACTCCTGACCTCAGATGATCCACGTGACTCAGCCTCTCAAAATTCTGGGATTACAGGCATGAGCCACCGCACCCGCCCAAAATCTAACAATTTTTAATTGTTTTAAAGTCAATTCAAATTTTGATCTTTTTTTTTTTTTGTATTTTTTTAGAGACGGAGTTTCACCATGTTGCCCAGGCTGGTCTCGAGCTCCTGAGCTCAGGTGATCCACCCACCTTGGCCTCTCAAAATGCTGGGATTACAGGCATGAGCCGCCAACGCCCAGCCTTGATCAAATGATTTTTAAATCAGATCAAACAAAATGGGTTAGTGGGCAAAATCTACACATCAGGCTATATCCAGCCTAGGAGTAGAAAAAGGCTCTTCAGTCATGACCCACTCTTGGGTGGTTAAATGTAACCAAGTAGCAGGAAGGCAGAGATCCCACATGCAATGCGCTCCAGTGGGGCCTCCCCAGCAGAAGTGTGTCTTATCACTCTCCAGAGCTCAATATACATTTTCAAAATTTATTTAATATATAAAATATTTCATTACTACTATTTATAACAGCTTCAAATTGTGTTTTACGTTAGTCTATAAGGTTTGTCTTGCTAATTTTACACTCTACAGTTTCACAGGTCAATTAATCCTAGCACCTAGGAGCTTCATCAAAGTAGGAAGGGCTTAAATGTGATCAATTTTAGCCATATAATTCTTTATATTTTGAAATGAATCTTATTTCCCTCCACAAAATCAATTTTGTAGCATACTTGTTAATCTCGCCCTACTCAACATGGATGCTCAAGTTTATGTTGAAATTCCAGTTTCAATGAGTACTTGCACCCCAGGATGATGTTCATATTCTAATAACCTCTTTAACACAAGGGTATATATATCAGCAAACTGAGGACGGGGTGGTATGGTGGAGAAAACACTGCATATTCAGGCCAGAGGGTTTGGACACAAGACTCCACTCGGCCACTTTCTTTCTAGCTCTGTGACACTGAATACATCCCAATCTCCCTGAGTGTCACTTTTTTCATCTGTAAAAACGAGGTGATGATATTACAATACCCAGACAATCCACCTCACATGACTGTCATGAGAATAACATGAGCTACAATATATAAAGTACTGTGTCTCACAGTACTGGACAAGTATGTTTTATTATCCTCAGTTGTCAAAATGGAATTGGGAGCAATAAACAGTATTTAATGTTTAATGCTAATTAGAGAATTTTCCTGCCTAAAAAAGTAGGTTAGTCTAGGATTACAAAAATGCAAGTATAATAACAAAAAAAAATGACATTGGCGCCCATGTTCACTTGAAACAGCATGAGACTTATGCTTTTGCAAAAACTCAGATGTAAAGGCATCAACCTGTATCTAATAAAAAAATTAAAAAGTAATGGGATATATAACATAATAATATAAATAACTCCACTGATAGCCAAGTAATTACAAAAAAGCCAGCATAATGATCAATGTTACTAAAATTAAGAACAACCAAAGGGCAAACCTACCTTCCAATTCGCCAGTTTTTTAAACTCTATAATTTTTATAACTGCTCCCATGAGAATACCTACAAGAGAAAATGTAAACTTTAACATAAATTTAAGATATGAGAAAGATTACTCAAATTTAAGACATGACACAGCCTCAGGAGGTCCTGACGACATGTGCCCAAGGTGGTTGGGGCACAGCTTCGTTTTGTACATTTTAGGGAGACGTGAGACATCTATCACATGAATTTCTCACTCACATCTCAGGCAAACACACTAAAATGAAATACAAAAGTCAGGCTGTGGGGGAGGAAAAGTATTTTAAAGCAAGACCCAAGGACACTCTGCCTGGTGAAGATTTACCGCCTATCATTTTTACCATATCCACCCATTTTCAATGTGAAATGCAGAGTTTACAAGCTAAGTTTGCCGTGTACTGTTTATTTCCATCATTTTCAAAAAAGAATCCATGATCACTTTCTCAGACTCAAATAGCAGTTCCATGTTGAATATTTAGCTAGAAAAACACAAATGCTGAAAATAACCTAAAGTAAAAGTTCTGTGAAATTCCTGGAAGAAAACAGACCATCTAAGTTCAGGCATGTTTCCATAAAGCTGACAGGCTCATCACTCTTATAAAGTGGCCACCAAAAATAATTCTCAAAGAAGCAGCATGGGCACAATTTATGATTGCTCTGTTACTCCCTAGATAAACGACTCTTAACCCTCTGTTGGTTCACCAGAATCACCATGGGAACTTTTTATAAAATAAAGACGCCCAAGTAGAACTCCAGACCTACTCATTGTAGGGTAGGAGTTCACAGTCTCGGTAGGAGGTGACACAATCACAATCTCGGGTAGGAGGTGACACAAAGCAAGCCTGCAGGCCATTCCATGGATGCTTCAAAACGAAGACTTCACTTTCCCATGGAGGAAGGAGCTTTCGCCATCAACGAGAAGATGGAAGCACAGCTTACTGGGTGGGCAGGAGACAATACCAGAACACAGAAGCTGAGCAGGAAAAGGACGTGCACTAAAACTACCTCAGGGTGGGTAGTTTCAGGTGAAGAGGGGAGATAAGTTCATTTTCACTTTATAAACCTCCATGCTATTTGAATTGTTATATAGTATTAAAAAATAATAAAACTATTTTGAAAAAGAGGAAGGACCCAAGACAAAATAAAGCTGAGCTATAAAAGGAGTCAATGAATACACATTCCCTTGCCAGAGGGCATGGAGCATGGATTTGAACCCATCTCCTGCTACAGTTCCCCAACAGCTCCCATGTTCTTATTTTTTCAGGTTGTAATTACATTTTAAGGAGCTTTTACATGTTTTATTGGCCAAATAGTATGCGGATACTATGTAAAATGTCATAAATAAGACAAAAGCCCCTTTAGATCATACCCCACTTCCACCCCCATCTTCGTTCTCTCTCTTCCTAGCCCAAGGTAACCAACTATCTTGGAAAGTTTGGGAAATATTATATCAGGCCCTTCTCTATCCTCTTACATATATTTAACTCAACAGTACCAGGGTGTGAGTGTTTGTGTGTGTGTGTGTAAGTGTATGCATGGCACACCTGAGTGTATTTATTTATATAAAATTTATGGTAGTATAATGTATCATCCTACTACTTGCTATTTTGTTCAACATTAAGTCTTAGAGATCTAGTCAGGGATTATTATGTATAGATTTGCTTCATTCCTTTTAACAGCTGGGCAGGATAGTATAAAAATGCCACACAGAACCGACCAGGCGTGGTGGCTCATGCCTGTAATCCCAGCACGTTAGGAGGCTGAAGCGGGCAGATGACCTGAGGTCAGGAGTTCGAGACCAGCCTGGCCAACACAGTGAAATACAGTCTCTACTAAAAAAATACAAAAATTAGCCGGGCATGGCGGGCGCCTCTAATCCTAGCTATTCAGGAGGCTGAGGCAGGAGAATCACTTGAACCCAGGAGGCAGAGGTTGCAGTGAGCTGAGATCATGCCACTGCACTCCAGCCTGGTGGACAGAGTGAGACTCCAACTCAAAATATTATATAAAATAAAATGAAAATAAAAATAATAAAAAAAATTGAATAGATATTTTGGAAAAGAAGATATACAAATGGCTGAGAAACACATGAAAAGATGTTCAACATCATAAATCATTAGGGAAATGCAAATAAAAACTACAATGAGATACCACTCCATACCTACTAGGATGGTTATGTAAACCAGAGTATCTGAGACAAGTCTCAGTCAAGTTAGGAAGTTTATTTTGCCAACATTAAGGATGACCACCCTTGACACAGCCTCAGGAGGTCCTGACGACATGTGCCCAAGGTGGTCGGGGCACAGCTTCGTTTTATACATTTTAGGGAGACATGAGACATCTATCAACAATGTAAGATGTACATTGGTTTGGTCTGGAAAGGTGGGACAACTAGAAGCAGGGAGGGGGCTTCCAGGTCACAGATAAATAAGAGACAAACAGTTTCATTCTTTTGAGTTTCTGATTAGCCTTTCCAAAGGAAGCAATCAGATATGCATTTATCTCAACAAAGAGAGGGGTGACTTTGAGTTCTGTCCTTTGTCCACAAGGAATTTTCTTGTGTACAAATTGAGAGGGAGGTATGTTAACTTTTTTATCTTAGTAGCTATCTTTTTAGAAATAGAATGGGAGGCAGGTTTGTCCTAAGCAGCTCCCAGATTGACCTTTCCCTTTAGCTTAGTGATTTTAGGGTCCCAAGATTTGTCTTCCTTTCACAGTTATAATTTTAAAGATGAGAAATAAGTGTTGGCAAGGATATAGAGAAATTGGAACACGCACTCATTGCTGATGGGAATGTAAAATGGGGCAACCACCATGGAAAACAGTTTGGCAATTCCTCAAAAGTTACCTTATGACCCAGCAATTCTACTCAAAGAAACTGAAAACATGTTCATGTAAAAACCTGTACACAGATATTCCTAACAGCAGTATTTCAAACAGTCACAGGGTGGAAAGAGGCCAGGTGTGGTGGCTCACACCTGTAATCCCAGCACTTTGGGAGGCGCAGGTGGGTGGACTGCTTGAGGTCAGTTCAAGACCAGCCTGAACAACATGGTGAAACCCCGTCTCTACTAAAAATACAAAAATTATCTGCGCATGGTGGTATGCACCTGCAGTCCCAGCTACTTGGGAGAGGCAGGAGAATCGCTGGAACCTGGGAGGCGGCGGTTGCAGTAGGCCGAGATTGCGCCACTGCACTCCGGCCTGGGTGACAAAGTTAGACTCCATTTCAAAAAAAAAGTGGGAAGAACCCAAATGTCTATCAACTAATGAGTGAGTAAACAAAATGTGGTATATCCATACAATGTAATATTATTCAGCAATGAAAAGGAATGAAGTACTGGTACCTGCCAGAACATGGAAGAATCTTGAAAATACACCAAGTGAAAGAAGCCAGACACAAAAGACCATATATTTTACCATTCCATTTATATGAAATGTCCACAATAGACAAATCTACAGGGACAGTAATGGTTGCCCAGGGACAGGGAGGAGAGCTAAAGGGCATGTGGTTTCTTTTTGAGGTGATAAAAATGTCCTAAAATTGACTGTGGTGATGGCTGCACGACTCTGAACATACTAAAAATTGTTGTACATTTAAAATGGGTGAATTGGCTGGGCATGGTGGCTCATGCCTGTAATCCCAGCACTTTGGGAGGCTGAGGTCAGGAGTTCAAGACCAGCCTGGTCAACATAGTGAAACCCCGTCTCTACTAAAAATACAAAAAAAGCAGTTGGGCGTGATGGCGGGCACCTGTAATTACAGCTACTGGGGAGGCTGAGGCAGGAAAATCGCTTGAACCCAGGAGGCGGAGGTTGCAGTAAGCTGAGATTGTAGCACTGCACTCCAGCCTGGGTGATAGAGCAAGACTCCATCTCAAAAAAAAAAAAAAAAAAAAAAAAGTGAATTGTGTGGCATACAAAGTACATCTCAATAAAGCTGTTGCCAAATAAAAAGTACCACCGATTGTATGATTCTATTTCTTTATACGAAATGTCCAGGACAGGCAAATTCACAGACAGAAAGTAGATTGGTGGTTTCCAGGGGATGGGAGAAGGGAGAAATGTGGAAATGGGGAGTGACTGCTAATGGGTATGAGTTTCTTTTTGGGGTAATGAAAATGTTCTGGAATTAGGTAGAGGTGATGGTAGTACAACTCTGTGAATATACTAAAAAACTCTGAATTGTGCACTTTAAGATGGTGAAATTTATGATATGTGAATTATATTGTACCTTTTTTTTAAAATCACAACCTTTTGAACCATTGCCCCACTGATGGTTGCCTCCAGCTGTTTGCTATTAACAGTGGTGCTGCATTGAACATGCTTGTACATGCCACTCTGTGTTAAGAGTATCTCCCTGTGGAAGACATTCACAAAAAAAAAAACAAACCCAGACTATCTCCCTAGGGCAGATCCAGAGACTACAAATGGCAGGTTTACAAAGCATAAGCATTTTTAACTCTGAAAATATTGCCAAATTATCCTCCAAAGTGGTTGTACCGACTTACACTTCCACAAGAAAGCGTCCCACATCCTCAGTCGCGCTGGATAATCATCAGATGTTAACATTTCTGCCAACATAGTGGGCAAGAAATTGTACTTTAATGTTTCAATTTGTATTTGATTCAATTTGCATTCAGCAATCATCCTGATTACTAGGGAAGTTAAACCTCTTTCCATGGTTTCAGGCTTCATTTTTAAAGCTTAGTGTTTTTCTGCTTTACTAAAACCTCAACTTTCTTTTTCCCTTCTAAATGTATACCAAACCTTAATGCCATGATTACCTCGTTTATAATCACACATGAAGCAGTTACATTTGAAAATCAGTAATTATTCTATTGCCCAAGCCTGCGTCTTTTTATTATTTATGATGTACTAGGAAGCGCTGTAAAATACAATGTGATATTATTGTTATTATTACTTAAATAATCCTTTGTGCAGCATTAAATTGGCAAACTACCACTTTACCTCTTGAGATTGAGGCTCATAGTTAGGTCAAATCAATCTACCCAACAGAGAAAATGAATGTATTTCACACAACTGGCCACCAGATATTATATATGGCATATATATAGTGTGTGTGTGTATATATACAGTATATATATATATACACAGTATATATATATACAGTATATATATATATATACAGTATATATATACAGTATATATATATACACAGTATATATATATACACAGTATATATATATATACACAGTATATATATATATACAGTATATATATATATACACAGTATATATATATATACACACTGTATATATAGTGTGTGTATATACATATACTGTGTGTATATATAGTGCATATAGTGCGTATATACAGTGTGTGTATATACATAGTGTGTGTGTGTATATATATATATATATATATATATATATAGAGAGAGAGAGAGAGAGAGAGAGAGAGAGAGAGAGAGAGAGAGAGACAAGCTAATATTACAAGCGTGCACCACCACGCCCGGCTAATTTTTGTATTTTTAGCAGAGACAGAGTTTCACCATGTTGGCCAAGCTGGTCTTGAACTCCCAACCTCAGGTGATCCGCCTGTCTCAGCCTCCCA
Source organism: Homo sapiens (assembly GCF_000001405.40). Classification (NCBI taxonomy): domain Eukaryota; kingdom Metazoa; phylum Chordata; class Mammalia; order Primates; family Hominidae; genus Homo; species Homo sapiens. The sequence goes on along the minus strand of NC_000020.11, from coordinate 49,834,005 downwards.
AAGTGCTGGGATTACAGGCGTGAGCCACTGCGCCCAGCTTATATTTAAAAATATTCACAAAAAAATAGAAATTGTAAAAGAGTGAGGTTAAAAATAAATAGAAACACAAGTTCTAACATTTTCCTTTGCTCCTAGTTGATCTTTGTGCATACACCTAATTAAGGACACCCCTCAATTCATTCAGAGGATCAGGAGCAATTAATGATTATTTGTTGAGCTGCTTCTTTCAGGATTTGTCACTTTCAATTACTTCTAATCCTCAAAAGAACACTGTAGGGAAGCTCAGAGAGTTTAAGAAGCTTTTCTGAGAGCTTAGGGCCAGTAAGGATGCTGGCCCGTTGGCTCGGGTGCATCCTACCATCTCATCATGCTAAAGACACAGGAGACTGCACTACTGCAGGCTGCCTACACTACTACAATGAACTGCCAATGCTCGCTCGCTCACTCCCAGAGTGCACTGCAGGGCTACCATTATGACTGTAAAATATAAGTATTCCTGGTCAGTAAGGTTACATGAAAAATGTTTCAAATGTATTAATTTTTTTTGTTACCAAGAAATGTTTTATTTTTCTTGCAGTAGTTTTGTTAATTGTGCAAAATCACGTTTTGTTTTTGCCATTTAGACATTATCACACAATCCTATTCTGAAAGACAAGTGTTCATTAAAAACAAAGCAAAAATAAAAATTCACAACTTTAATTACCTAGATTTGCCATTTAAAGGTTTAAAGGGAAAAAAAGGGAAGTGCTGTCTTACAAGCTTTTTCACAAGTGTCACATTTTCTGCTTAAAAGGGAAGGACACGCTAGGCATGGCGGCTCACACCTGTAATCCCAGCACTTTCAGAGGCCAAGGTGGGCGGATCACGAGGTCAGGAGTTCGAGACCAGCCTGGCCAACATAGTGAAACCCCGTCTCCGCTAAAAATACAAAAATTAGCGGAGTGTGGTGGCACGTGCCTGTAGTCCCAGCTACTTGGGAGGCTGAGGTGGGAGAATCGCTTGGACCCGGGAGGGGAAGGTTGCAGTGAGCTGAGACCATGCCATTGCACTCCAGCCTGGGTGATAGAGTGAGACTCTGTCTCCAAAAAAAAAAAGGAAAGGATTTCAAAACAAAGGTGAAACAGCTTAACAAATATTTATAAAAAGGAACTTTACAGAATTGTCAACAATATTAAGACAACACTGACTAACCGGTTACATTACCACATCTTCCTCCACCCCCACCCCCAGAATGTGTCCTGCCAAGACTAGAACAGGCTTTGTGTTCAAACAGAAATGTTTCAAAATCCCAGTGAAATAAACTGTGCTAAAAACCTGACAGGCATCTTCCCTGCCCTCCCACCTCGTCTTCTGCAATCCTCTAACTCAGGTTCTAATCTGTGAAAGGGCCAAAGCCGTGAGTGGGGAGAGGGGAAGGACCCTGCCCCAGTGTGGCTGCCTTATAATATACATTCCACCATAAGTGCTGGTCTTCTGCAAATTATGATTTTGGAAAATCCAACCCATGTAGAGGGATAAGAAATTGACATCCCTTGGGTGACTTCCTGTTCTTATGCAACATCCCAAGCGCCCTCTGGTCCCCTATCCAAGGAGAAATGCTAGGGCCTCGAGGATGTCCCAGACCCACCCCAGAGGGTCAGTCAGTTCAGGTAGGTCAGGCCAGTTCTTTTCACCCCCGACAGACCCCAGGCCTGGAAGCACCGAAGACCATGATGCTGGCTGGAGTGAAGACACTCATTTCCATATCAAGAGCTGAGCCTAAGAAATGCTTATCGTTGGTCAGGCTGGGTCTGGGCCAAAGAAGGGACAGACAGACAGAAAGAAATACTGTCTCCATGAGAGGAAGGTGGGGAGAAGGGAGGACAGAGAGCAGTGGGCATGCAAGGGGCTTGGCAGGGCAGGCTGGAGAATGTGGGACTGCGGGGAGGAGACCAAGGTCAGAGCAGCTCTTCAGAGGCAGGTGAAGAGTCTGTGGCCTAACAGAAACAGGAAGGAGTGTCCCCCAACCCCACTCCTCTTGGCTCCTCACTAATGACCCTGAGGACCCCCTCCCAAGGACTGGAATGCAAATCCAAATACTAGAACAGCCCAGGGCGGGGCAAGCGCCCACTGTGGCAGTGGTGTCTGGGGTGTCACTTCCAGGCAGCGAAGGCCAGATGCTCACCATACTCCCTGGAAAGCCAGGGCCTCATTTTCGCAGGACTCTGCCAGTCTCTTTTCAGTTCACAAAGGCGTCTAAGGAGTGCTAGGTGCACACTGGACACTTAGACATGAACATCTTTCTCTTTCTCAGCTCATCACCTGAGTTTGGGGGCCCCACGGGACCCTCTGTCTGGAGTCTGGTCTGGCTCATCTGGGCCCAAGTCCTCTCCCTGCAGAGAATTCAGCGGGGGACGTGGACATGACTATAGCCTCTTCGCTCTTGGGGAAGCTGTGGGAAGGCTTCCAACTCTCATTGCTGATTCTAGTTCCTTGACTGGAAGGGGTTTGAGATAAGACAAGCTTGGAAGAAGAAAAAAAGCCAGGCAGCTGTTTCTGGGCAGTTTCTATCCTGGGGTGAGAGAGAGAGAGACAGAGAGAGAGAGAGAGAGAGAGAGAGAGAGTGTGTGTGTGTTTGTGTGTGTACACAGCCACCTCCTCGTGTGTGTGCGTGCACACACAGCCACCTCCTCGTGTGGAGGCCAGTGCCCAGCTCAAGAGCTTTCCCATGAGCCAATCCTGCTGACACTCATCCCCTCCATACCAGCCTCAAAGGAAGGGTGCTGCTGTGTGCTGTGCTGATGGCAAGTCTCAAAGTCTGTGTAAAAGGAAATGGAGACAGGTGGGCTGGTCCAGAGCAAAGTCCCAGGCCCCTGACCCCATGTGAGGAAGAGGGAGTTAGCGGAGAGATTAGAGGGCTGGGGGTGGGGGGTCCGACGGCTTAGTGTATGCAGGCTCAGGACACAGCGGACATATTGTTGGACTGGTCCAGTGCCTTGGCTCTTTTGTACACCTGGTTGGCTGCAGCTGCCATGGGAGTCAGAGAGTTGACCGCATTGCCCAGCGCAATGGCTAAGCAGAGATCCTTCTGCATGTATTTCAGTAGAAATCAGGCTTAAAGTTTCCTTGCAGGGTATTTTGGCACTTCTGGTCTAGGAAGATGCTGGCCAACTGTCCCTGATTGAGGATGTCCAAGAGTGTCTGCTGGGCCTGATCTGTCACCTAGGCCAGGGTCAGCACCTCAGTGATCATGGCTATGAAGCTCCCTTGGACTATGTTTACAATCAGCATCATCTTGGCTGCGTTGCCAACTTCACCTAGGAAGGAGGAGGTCTTCCCTATCGCCTGGAAGCAGCTGCTGCAGTCCTCCTATAGGCCCCTGTCTCCAGCTGCTAAGATCACCAACATTCTGTGATTAGAAAGCTGCTGATTCCCTGAGATGGGAGCTTCTGGAAAGCGACCCCCCGACCTGGACGCAATCACCCAGGCCAGCTAAGTGACTATGTCAGCGTCCACCGTTGACATGTCCACGTAGCACTTTCCAGGGCAGATCCCTTGCAGCATACCACTGGGGCCCAGCACCAGGTCCTTGGCCGCCTTGGGATCCAACACACGGGCGAAAGTGATGTCACAGGTTGAGAGGACTTCAGCAGGGGTTCTTCCCAGGCGGGCCCCCTCCTAGATGAACAAATCACGTTTCTTGGCAGTGCGGTTCCAGACAGTCACTGTGTGACCCATTTTTAGCAAGTTAGAGACGATTCCACTTCTCATGAGACCAAGGCCCCCAAATCCCATCTTTTTGTCTGTGATGCTGCCATTCACGGCCGTGCTGTCAGCTGCCCGGATGGAGGTGGAACCAGTTTCCTCTTCACATATTTTCAACTTCTTTGTGATTGCCTGGTAACAGACAGAGATGGCTTGTTTGGCTTAGCAGGAAATGATGGAAATGAGGATCTGCATCTTTAACAGGCTCGCTTCTGGTCGGCTGCCATTTAAATGCAGCCACTGGTCCGGCCATCATCCACTTCAAGGTACCGGACTCCACGATGGTGACATTCTTCTCATTCTTTGGGGGCTGACCCCGCTTCTGGGGACTTTGCTCTTGGATTCTTTTCAGAGGGGATTTGGAGCCTGTCTCTGAAGAGCCCGAAGACACCCCCTTCTTTCCATCTCCCATGATCTTCTTCACTTTTCCTTCAGACAGGCTGTTTGCACTTCTCATCACCTGAGTTTGGCCTGCTTCTCTCCTCACTGGAATTAAGCCGATTCTTGTCATCAGCAGAATTGTGGGATGACGTCTGATCTTTCCCTTTGGGCTCTCCTGAGAAACTCTTTGGCGGCATCCACCGCTTGCTGGAATAGTTTACCCTTGTGAATCTTTATCATTTCCTCTTTATGAGCATGATATGGCTTCAGCTGTTTCACTTTAATCCAGGCATGATCTTATGTTCCAAAAAAATTTCACAAAGAAGCATTTCTTTCCATGAGGTTCTTTTTTTTTTTTGAGATGGAGTCTCACTCTGTTGCCCAGGTTGGAGTGCAGTGGTGCGATCTCGGCTCACTGCAAGCTCCACCTCCCGGGTTCATGCTATTCTCCTGCCTCAGCCTCCTGAGGAGCTAGGACTAGACGCCCGCCACCACGCCTGGCTAATTTTTTTTTTTTGTATTTTTAGTATAGACGGGATTTCACCATGTTAGCCAGGATGGTCTCAATCTCCTGACCTCGTGATCCGCCCACCTTGGCCTCCCAAAGTGCTGTGATCACAGGCGTGAGCCACCGCGCCCAGCCCCATGAGGTTTCTTCAAGTCCTTCGGTGGATTAACGATCTTTCCTGGTGAAGGAGGATACCAGCCGAGTTTCCCCCACATCAAGTTGCTGAGCAGCGAACTCACAGCCCCCATCTTACTATCCAACCATCCCCGACGCATGGGCCACCGAAAACATCCTCAAATGTATTAATAATCAGGTTACAAAGTGTAGAATCCCAGCACAAGTTCTCTCTCTCTCAAAAAAAAAAAAAAATCTATATATACACACATACACACACACCTATGTATTTGCACTGTGTTAAAAAGAAATAAATGCATACATACACACACACACACATCTATACTGTGTGCCATGCACTGTGCTAATGTGTAAAATATATTAATACATTATTATTATTATTATTATTACTATTTATTTGAGACAGAGTCTCACTCTGTCACCCAGGCTGGAGTGCAGTGGCACAATCTTGGCTCACTGCAACCTCCGTCTACCGGAGTAAAGTGATTCTCCTGCCTCAGCCTCCTGAGTAGCTGGGATTACAGATATATGCCACCATGCTTGGGTAATTTTTGTATTTTTAATAGAGATGAGGTTTTGCCATGTTGGCCAGGCTGGTTTCAAACTCCTGACCTCAAGGTGATCCGGCCACCTCGGCCTCCCAAAGTGCTGGGATTACAGGCATGAGCCACTGTGCCAGGCCCTTTTTTTTTTTTTTAATTAAAAACAATTTTTTGGCCAGGCACAGTGGCTCACGGCTGTAATTCCAACACTTTGGGAGACCAAGGTGGTGGATCACCTGAGGTCGGGAGTTCAAGACCAGCCTGACCAACATGAAGAAACCCCGTCTCTACTAAAAAATATATATATAAAATTAGGCGGGGTGCATTAGCTCACGCCTGTAATCCCAGCATTTTGGGAGGCCGAGGCAGGCGGATTACCTGATGTCAGGAGTTCAAGACCAGCCTGGCTAACATGGTGAAACCCTGTTTCTACTAAAAATACAAAAAATTAGCTGGGCGTGGTGGCAGGCACCTATAATCCCAGCTACTCGGGAGGCTGAGGCAGGAGAATCACTTGAACCCGGGAGACGGAGGTTGCAGTGAGCCGAGATCGTGCCATTGCACTCCAGCCTGGGCGGCAAAAGTGAAACTCTATCTCAAAAAAAAAAAAAAAAAAAAAAAATTTTTTTTTGGTGGGGGTACGGGGGCTTTCCAACAAAAACTGGAAAGCCTGCTCGACAAATTCTAAAAGAGCTGTAACTGGCCAAAAGTACTATCCTTAAAAAACAAAAAAATTAAAATCTTTTAGTAGAAAACAAGAAGGAATAGAATTAAATAGCACAAATATGGTTTAAAAAGTTATGACAGGGGAGCACTTTTGTATATTCTATTTACCCAATGATTCAATCAAATCTAGTTTGTAAGTTAGATCACAGTTTTTCTAATCATCAGCAGTATTAAGGCTAAACTTTGGCAACTGAAAGTCAAACTTTCAGCCCTCCACTTATAACCCTAATCTGGCCTTTTCTCACTCTAAAATAAAGCATGATTTTTGGGGTTGGGGGAAACTCCTGTCTTTGGTATTATTCAACAGAGGATGCTGGCCATACGCTTACAAGTATTTCATTTTCTTTTTCTTTTTTTTTTTTTTTCGAGATGCAGTCTCTATCTGTTGCCCAGGCTGGAATGCAGTGGCACGATCTCAGCTCACTGCAACCTCTGCCTCCCAAGTTCAAGTGATTCTCCTGCCCCATCCTCCTGAATAGCTGGGACTATAGGCGTGCACCACCATGCCTGACTAATTTTTGTTATTTTTAGTAGAGATGGGGTTTCGCCATGTTGGCCAGGTTGTTCTCGAACTCTTGACCTCAGGTGATCTGCCCGCCTCGGCCTCCCAAAGTGCTGGGATTACAGGCATGAGCCACTGCACCCAGCCTCATTTTCATTCCTTACAAATTTTAGCCTAAAATATATACATGAATCAGCATTACACAGCCAGTAAAAAAATAAATATGGGCCGGGCACAGTGGTTCATGCCTGTAATCCCAGCACTTTGGGAAGCCGAGGCAGGCAGATCACTTGCGGTCAGGAGTTCGAGACCAGCCTGGCCGACATGGTGAAACCCTGTCTCCACTAAAAATACAAAAATTAGCCAGGCATGGTGGTATGTGCCTGTAATCCCAGCTACTCAGGAGGCTGAGGCAGGAGAATCGCTTGAACCCAGGGGGCGGAGGTTGCAGTGCGCCAAGATCGTGATTGCACTCCAGCCTGGGTGAAAGAAGGAGACTCTGTCTGAAAAAAAAAAGATAAATAAATAAATATGTGAACTCAACTAATACATGGAAAGAACAGAAAAAATGATATAAACTCAAATTAAACTATACAAAGGCATCTAATACATACGGACATGTCTACACATGGACTGGAAGAGAATGAAACAAGATAAAAATAATTGTCAATAAACAAGATTTTTCTTTTTTCTATATATAGTAGTTGTTTAACTGTGCAAAAGAAATTAGTTTTTAAAAGGCCCAAACTACAGAATTCCATAAAGTATGGAAAGTATCCTGAAAGCTTCGAACAGGGGCCAAGGAACTCTTTAGAACTTCAGGTTGATACTATATTTTTATAAAGAATGAAAAGTGGCCAGACAGACACTCATTTAAAAATACAGTAAGGTAGAAGGAGGGGACATGTGCTTTTGGAGTGCAGATGGTCCTTTTCTATACTGAGAATTTCTTAGGAATGCTGAACACCTAACTATAAAGCAAAAGACCAGTAATGTCTCGAAATGACTGCAAGCTACAAAGCAACTTCTGGCAGGAGAGGAAAATTTATCCCTGAAAGAACGAAAACCATACTTTCTCTGGCAACTTCTTCTAGATTCTTTTTTGGCACAAAGTTGGAAATTCTTGAAATGGTAGATATCTCAATATTTTGTTACACTTTGCTCCAGCTGGAGAAAAACGTTTTCCTTCCATTTCTTTAGCTTTATGAAATACAGAATTACTTTGATAGCTATGTCAGCATTTACAAATTCTAACCAAATGTCCTCTAACATAATTTTTAAAAAGTACTTTCTGGACCTCAGCACTCTCCCTGGAAGTGCTCTTGGGTTTCCAGTCACCTGAGTTAGCAAGTAAGCATTGAAAGCAAGACTGCCTTTCCATCACTTCTCCCAAGACCTAGCTATTCAGGCTACAATTATTTCTGCAACATCAGTGAAGAAATGAACCTTGTAGATGGAGAGCTCTGGCTGACTCCCAACACCATTCCACCCCACTCCCAGTTGAGGTCGCCAGGTGGTCAGAGTTCATCCTGCAACTTTTGGTGCCAGAAAGAAGAGGAGGTTCTCTCTCCCACTGCAGTTACTGCTTTAAGGGCTTACCACACCAAGAGCCTGTCTGAGAACGGATCAGAGTACCACAGGGAGAGAGCCTGCCTGACAGCGAAGCCGGGGAAAAGGGATTCACTGCTGAGGCATGGAGAAGAACTGGGTCCAGGAGACCTGATTCAGCTAAGTCTCAAGCTAATACTACCTGTAGTTTTGCCAGTTACATGAGTCAAGAGGTGAGCGCCCCTACCCCCACCAATTTTTTTTGTTTGTTTGTTTTGAGACAGAGTCTTGCTCTGTCACCCAGGCTGGAGTGCCCTGGCGTTGACTGGAGCTCAATGCAACTTCCGCCTCCTGGACTCAAGTGGTTCTATTGCTTCAGCCTCCAGAGTAGCTGGGATTACAAGCACCTGCCACCATGCCCAGCTAATTTTTCTATTTTTAGTAGAGACAGGGGTTTCACCATGTTGGCCAGGCTGGTCTTGAACTCCTGGCCTGAGGCGATCCACCCACCTCAGCCTCCCAAAGTGCTAGAATTACAGGCATAAGCCACCGCGCCTGGCCAATTTATTTTCTTTTGAATTGGGTTTTGTCCCTTGAATGGAAAGAGTTCTATGTTAGTTAAGATGCTTTTAGTTGCAAGTAAAAGAACCTAGACTAAAAATGGCTTAAACAATAGATGTTGGTTTTGGTTTTTTTTCTTTATTCCAAGTCAACAACAGCTAATAGATGTTTATTATCTCATATAAAAGGTAGCACTAAGATAGGAAGTTTCAGGGCTATCAACTCAACAAAGCAACAATGCTATCAATAATCTGGGATTCCCATCTGTCCCCTCGGCAATCCTTAGCATTCTGGCTTTTGTCTTTGAGCCACAGTAGTTGCAAGATGGCTACCAGTCCACTAGGCATCACACTCTCATTCAGCAGCATCAAAGAAATGAAGGGGAAATGTCTCATTACTATCTGAGAGGAAAACATTTTCCAGGACCCACTACCTCATCACGCTTCCCCTTGGTGTCACTGGCCAGAACTGGGTTTCACACTGCCTTGCCGCCCCTACCCCTCTGAACTAATCATTGGCAGAGAAGAGTGAAATTAACATGATGGCAAAGACCAATCTTGACTTGGAGGGGCCCATCTTCCTTGAGCACACTGTGGCAAGATACCTGATCAAATTTGGGGTTCTATTTTCAAGGAAGAAGGGGGAAATGACTCTTTGGTAAGCCACCAACAATGTCTGCTCTAAGTCCTAATAGAAGCACTGGTGTTCAGCAAGCTGCAGTTACCCAGACATTCAAGAAACATGAGGAGCTTGAAATTCCAAATGAAATTATAAGAATTATCATTTTAATTTTCATGTGTATAATATCTAAATACACACCAACTATAATTTTGATAACAAATTTATGTAAGAAGCTATAAAACTGACCACACAACTGTAAATTCCTTGGAGTAGTTCTTAGAGCCTTTACCGAATGTCCCAGAATTATGGGTATTAGTCACATAGGTTCTTTTCAATATGCCTAATAGCAGAAAGGAATGTTAATGAGCAAGGCTCCTATTCTTAGAGCTCTATGACTATCTTACTAGCTAAGGTTGTTAGAATCTACCAAGATATATTGCTAAAAAACATGCTAAAAACAGAACAAGAACTTTTTGAGTAAAACTGGTTTTGAAACCTGTACTCGAGGTCAACACTATCCAGTGGTGCCCATTCCTTAAAATACGGCATCACCTGGAGGTCATAAGGCATAAATGAGATAGATGACAATGTGAAGCCTCACAAGCCAGGATCTGGCACTTAGTACTGAAGTCCAGGGAAAATACAGGAGAGTCTGAACCAAGGTAGTAGGACTGCTGGGGTGATGGGAGGAGGGGGAGGCTAGTGAACAGAGTCTAAACAATCATTTCCAAAGCTAATCTAAACAATAACTATCTTGTGAAAGAATTACTACTCCACTAAAGATCTACCAGGCAATGAAAGTTAATTTCTAAACATCAGCAGTGATCAGGAAAAATTAAATACCATCAGTAGGCAAGTAGAAACTAGTAAAAGTGACTGCAATATAATAAACTGATAAAAAGCTTTGGCTGACCTTAGTAAGACTTTATTTACTGTGCCTTACATGTCTCCACCCACATTTTAGCCTTGAACTTACACTTACGGAAATTCCCCACTTCTTCCTTCACTAACCACTTCAATGAACTTGTGTGTGCATTCACACCTGTTATTACACGGGTTCATTCACTGCAACTAGATCTCAACAGTTAATTGGCACAGGAAACAAAACAGAAATGTAAGTGGGGTAGAGCACAATGCTCTCTGAAGACTTTAGACCTGACTCTGGCATTAAGTGAGCCATTTCTTCCTCCTAAACTGTAAAGTCAGAGTCCCTTCTGTCTATAAAATTGAGTGATTCTATGAAGTGTCATTACTTACCTTAGTTGAGTTGGATGTCAGCCTAGCCTAGCAGTAGAGGTCAATGTTCCCCAAGGGTAGTTCTACCAGAAGCAAAAGGCTAAGAAAGGGCCTTTGAGCTGTACAGAGCTGTATGGCCTTTGGGCTTCTACATGACCTTTAGGAGGTCACTACCCTTCTTGAGCCCCAGTGTCCTCATCTGTAAAATGGGATCATAGCACCCTTAGGGCAGGTTGCAGTGAGGATCAAATGAGATCAGGGATGTGATGCATCTCTTGTGGTTCCTGGCACTAAAGAGGCACTCAAAAAATGGTAGTTATTGTTACTGCTTTTATTATGGAATCACCAATACACACTTACCTAAAGAAACAACAGCAACACTCTCTGGCAAGAAATGTAATCTGTATCGGATCAGTAAATGCACCAATATGATGCAGATAGCTGTGGAAAAAAAAATAATACAATGTTTTAAAAAAAACACTCAATTCTGAATGATAAACACCAAGTTCAAGTCAGTGGTTATTTCTGGGGGGGTCCTCACAGAAATGGACAATTGGAATAACACAGTGAACTTCAGCGGTGTTTTTCGTGTCTCATTTCTTAAACTGGAGGTACATTTACAATGTTTATTATATTTTCTCTATACTTCTTTGTCTGCCTGAACTAGTTTGTTTCCCAGTAGTTATTGGAAGAGGAACAGAAATCTAACTTTTTTGAGACAGGGTCTCACTGTGTCATCCAGGCTAGAGTGCAGTGGTATGATCTAGGGTCACTGCAGTCTCAACTTCCCAGGCTCAGGTGATTCTCCCATCTCAGCCTCCCAAGTAGCTGGGACTAGAGACACATGACACCACACCCAACTAATTTTTTTGTATTTTTAGTAGAGATGGGGTTTCGCCACATTGCACAGGCTGGTCTCCAACTCTTGGGCTCAAGCAATCCACTCACCTTGGCCTCCCAAAGTGCTGGGATTACAGGCGTGAGCCACGGTGATCAGCCAGAAACCTATTTTTTTATATAAGCTGTTAAACCTTATAAAATTATTTAAAATTATTCAAATTTTTCTGATTCTGAGAAATGGTCTTCAACTTTTTGGAAGTGATTATCAACTGGAACACTATATGGTGAAGAGGAAGTCAATGAAATCAATCACTTTTACATAAATGTAACTGCAACAGATTGCATTGACACAAATTATTTTGCCATCATGTGACTGGCTCTTAACATAGAGGGAAGTAAGGGTTTTACAAACAGGAAAAAGTAAATGGTTTGGTGACAAGAACATCAGAGATCTGAATATGGAACACTCCTGCTCCCCAGCTGGGTGCAGCTGTGTCCTGCCATTCCCATCGGCTGAGGACTTCCCATGAGCCATGAACTAGGCTGAACACCCCAAATACTCTCTCATTTAATCCTCCAACTTCCCTCGGAATTAGCTGTCATTACCACTATCTTCTCTGATTACAAATCAGAAAACTGAGGCTTCTAGACATCACAGCCCCTGTCACACCACTGGTAGGTGCTGCAGTATTGAGTCAGATTCCAAATCTGTGCTCTTAACCACAGCATACCCCACCACCTCCCACTTGGCTGGATGCCTTCATTCCTCAATCTCCAAAACAGAATAATGTCTAACTTTCCTCACAGAGGTGTTGTTATGAAAGAAAATAAGAAGATGTAAAATAAAACGATTTGAAAGGGATATTTCTGCCCCCACCAACCCCCCGGCAAAAAAAATGGGTACTTCACAAAAATTATTCCTGAATGTAATTTCCTAATCCAAATGTTAGCGTGCATGTCTTTCTTTTACTGGGCACCTAGATGGTATACCAGCTCATCAACCACAGTATTAACAGGACTAACATTAATTTTGTTATTTTTTTCAAGGAAATGTTTAAACAATCCACATGCCTGTTAACTGGTCACCCTCAGAGGCTGCACTGACAAATTAGGTTTCTTTAATCCCACCAAAAAACACCAGGTGGCCAGAGTGTTGTAAATGTAGACATTTTGTCCTCTTTTCATTCTGTGCTTTAAACTATCAATCTGTGGTGTTATTTTTATATAAATATTTAACCTAGTTAGAAATCCTACATTAAATACTAATGGCAAGAAAAAAGTTCCAGTGCATAAACATAACATGTGACTAATGAACATGCCCAATGTCTAGACAAAACAAAAAACGGCAAATAAGCACATAAGTGGACAGAAAATAGACCAAGAGAGTTGAACCAGTTTCTGCTCTTCCTTTGTACCAAGCTAGATTTTTAAAAATTTAAGTTATTCTCATAAATAGATCAAACAACTCTTTGCGGCTTTAAGAGCAAAAGGGGAAACTATTAACAGAAAGAGTTAATATAAGGCTCATCAATGCCAGGTAACAGCCTTCAGCCATTAAAAAGAATAAAGTCAGAAAAGACAATCCATAGAAGGGGAGAAAATATTTGCAAATCATATATCTGATAAAGGTGTACTATCCACAATATATAAAGAACTCTTAAACTCAACAGCCAAGAGACAAACACCACAGCTTTTAAACGGGCATAGGACATGAATAGACAAAAGATGTTCAACATCAATAGTCACAAGGGAAACTAAAATCAAAATACAATGATTCACTGGAAGGACATGTAAGATTTTTTAAAAAATACAGTGAGGGCCTGGTGCGGTGGCTCACACCTGGAATCCCAGCACTTTGGGAGGCTGAGGCAAGCAGATCACCTGAGGTCGGAGTTCAAGACCAGCCTGGCCAACATGGTGAAACGCCGTCTCTACTAAAAATACAAAAATTAGCAGGGTGTGGTGGTGCGCACCTGAATCCCAGCTATATGGGAGGCTGAGACAGGAGAATCACTTGAACCCAGGAGGTAGAGGTTGCAGTGAGCCAAGATCATGCCACTGCACTCTAGCCTGGGAGACAGAGCAAGATTCCATCTCAAAAAAAACAAAACAAAACAAAAATACAATTTCATATCCACTAGGATAGCTATAATTTTTTTTTTCCCCGAGACAGAGTCTCACTCTGTCACCCAGGCTGGAGTGCAGTGGTGCAATCTCAGCTCACTGAAACCTCCACCTCCCAGGTTCAAATGATTCTAGTGCCTCAGCCTCCCGAATAGCTGGGATTATAGGTGTATGCCACCACGCCCACACCCAGCTAATTTTTTTGTATTTTTAGGAGAGACAGGGTTTCGCCATATTGCCAGGCTGGTCTCGAACTCCTGGCCTCAAGTGATCTTCCCGCCTCAGCCTCCCAAAGTGCTGAGATTGCAGGTATGAGCCACCACGCCCAGTCTATCATTTTTTTAAAACCAGAAAACAAGTGTTCGCAAGAACATGGAGAAACCGGAACCCTTGTAAAATGGTGCAGCCCCTGTGGAAAACATTTGTCAGTTTCTGAGAAAGTTAAACATACAGTAACCGTTTGACTCGGCAATTCCACTTGCAGGTATATATCCAAAAGAAATAAAAACATTTATCCACACAAAAGCCTATACACAAATGTTCACAGCAGCAGTATTCACAACAGCCAAAAGGTAGAAACAATCCAAATGTTCACTGATGAATGAATAAACATCATGTGGCATATCCATACAGTGGAATATTACTCAGCCATAAAAAGGAATGCAATTCTAACATATGCTATAACATGAATCTTGAGAACATTATGCTAAGTAATAGAAACCAGACACAAAAGGCCACGTATTATATGGTTTCATTTATATGAAATATTCTAAATAGGCAAATTCCTAGAGACAGAAAGCAGAATAGTGGTTGCCAAGGACTAGAAAAGGGAGGGATGGGGAATGACTGCTTTTAATGGTTTTCTTTTGGGGTGATGAAAATGTTCTGAAACTAGATAGTAGTGATAGCTGCACAACATTGTGAATGTACTAGATGCTGCTGAACTGTACATTTTAAAGTGGTTAAAATTGTAAATGTATGTTATGTATTTACTACAAAAAAAAAAGAATGAGGTAGACAGAAAAAACACCAATACAATGATCTCCAAGACATTCTGTGAGATGAAAAGGCAAGTTATGGGACCCCATTTATGTCAAAACAAATTTGCAACTCCAAACATGTATTATTTGTGTTTCTGCATGTACTTACGAATATACATCTGTATATGCAAAAACAAGCACGTTTTCAAGTACACTTGGAAAAAAACCGAGCAAGAAAGGGCAAACACTTCTGTGTGGTATGGAGGGTGTGCTTTCAATTTTTCATGCCTGGAGTAATGACTATGGAAAATATATAAAACACATATCAATCATAATAACTCCATTAAGTTTCAAGGCCCATAAAATGTATGTGTCAAATAATGTTAATTGTTAATCTAGTGTAAGTAAATAACAATGATTCCCCATTTTTTCTTGTGGAGTCAAAGATCAACAACGGTTAAATGCAAGTCAACTGATTTCAAGCTTCTAAAAATCAAAAGTAACTACAGAGTTTTGTCATCCCTTCTCAACAAAGAGGAACACACTGTAATCCTGTCATGTGCTTACAGGACACAAAAGTTACCATTTCATTTGAATTAACTAAAAGAGTAACAAAAAGTGGCAAATGAATTCCAGGTCAGGAGTTCTGAGGTCTAGAATAAACTATGGGCTAATTTCCCTTAATTCACTTGAGTTCATTTATTCATGAATTAGCAAGTTACCTAATAACAGCAATTTTTAAAACACCATCAGATTTACATTGTTTGAACTGGGTGTGGTGGCTCATGCCTATAATCCCAGCACTTTGGGAGGCTGAGGCAGGTGGATCATCTGAGGTCAAGAGTTCAAGACTAGCCTGGCCAACATGGCGAAACCCCATCTCTACTAAAAATACAAAAATTAGCTGGGTGTGGTGGCAGGCACCTGTAACCCCAGCTACTTGGGAGGCTGAGGCAGGAGAATCACTTGAACCCGGGAGGCAGAAGTTGCAGTGAGGTGAGATCATGCCACTGCACTCCAGCCTGGGCAACAGAACAAGATTCCATCTCAGGGGGAAAAAAAAAAAAAAAAAAAAAAATTCAATGTTTGGATATCTAATCAGAAATAAAATAACATGCAACAGGCAAACAATGCCTTAAATTTACTTAAAAAGAAAGCATCATTCTGTTTTGGTAATACATGCTAACCTCCACATAAGCAGAGACACTAACTCATAAACTATCAAGAATCTGATTAGGTGAAAATGAAAGCCATCTAACATTGGTGTGACTCTAGAGTCTAGGTTTATAATCTGTTTGGAGAGGGCAATCCAAGAGAAATATACAGCAAGTTCAGCCTTTCTGGCCCCAAAGATGTATTAACACTGGGCAGGATTTTGCCTGGTTTAAAAAGTACATTATAGAAACCTGTTTTGTGGTCTTTTGTTCAGCTAATCTTAAATGCTCCACGCCCTGGAAGTTACTTTAAAAGTCATATTATACTTTTCAATTTCCCTTAAAAAAAAAGTGATTACAAAAGTTTTTTTTTTCCAGGCCCGCCTTTTATATTGTCTAACATATCAAATTGACAGCAGTGTAAATAGATTAATAATACTCCTTAATCCTGAAGGAAGACTTCAGCTACTAAAGATTTCTTAATCAAGAAAAGAAATGCTTTTCTTCTTTGTCTTCGACTACTATCACAAAAGAAAAAGAAAATAAAACAAAAGAGAGTCCTTCATTGTTGAAGTAATCCCCTAGAAATAGAATTCAACTACATTTACAGGGTAAAAAATTACCAGGGTGTATTAAATCTATATGAGACATTGTATACTTCTGGTCTGTGTACTTTTTCAGTATCGGTTTATAAGTTTCTAAAACTATGACAGACAAGGATGAGTCCTAGGATTTCAAATAAAAAGACCGTATTATTAAAATCTTTTATTTTTTGTGGAGACAGAGTCTCACTATGTTGCCCAGGCTGGTCTCAAATCGCTGGCCTCAAGTGTATTATTAAAATTCTTTGTCCACTCACCAGAGACAGAATATAAATGTAAGAGAAGTTATACTTTTCCTTAATAAACAGTCCTAATACACATCAGAGAAATAAAAAAAAAAAAAAAAACAGTTGCACCTTTTAACTTTCTGAAAAGACCTAATCTCATTAGGAGTATGACTTTGGTATCATTAAAGAAAAGCAGCAAATGAAATGCTTGTTTCACTTTCAAACAAGAATTTGTTTTTGTTTTTTTGGGGGGGTGGGGTATGGAGTTTCCCTCTTGTCACTCAGGCTGGAGTGCAGTGGCGCGATCTCGGCTTACTGCAACCTCTGCCTCCCGGGTTCAAGTGATTCTCCTGCTTCAGCCTCCCGAGTAGCTGAGATTACAGGTGCCCGCCACCACGTCTGGCTAAAATTTTTTGTATTTTTAGTAGAGATGGAGTCATCGTGTTGGCCAGGCTGGTCTCGAACTCCTGACCTTAGATGATCCACGCGAAAGTGCTGGGATTATAGGTGTGAGCCACGGCGCCCGGCCAAACAAGAATTTGGACTTGGCTGGGCGTGGTGGCTCACGCCTGTAATCCCAGCACTTTGGGAGGCCGAGGCAGGTGGATCACGAGGTCAGGAGATTGAGACCATCCTGGCCAACAGAATGAAATGCCAACTCTACTAAAAATACAAAAAATTAGCTGGGCATGGTGGCAGGCACCTGTAGTCCCAGCTACTTGGGAGGCTGAGGCAGGAGAACGGCGTGAACCCGGGAGGCAGAGCTTGCAGTGAGCCGAGATAATGCCACTGCACTCCAGCCTGGGCGACAGAGCAAGACTCCATCTCAAGAAAAAAAAAAGAATTTGAACTTGGGTCAAACTCAAAGCTATTTATTCCTTAGCTAATCAAAAGTGGTTGTGTAGTTTCAACTGGATTTCTTTTTTGTCTGTTTGTTTGTTTGTTTTTTGAGATGGAGGCACACTGGGAGGCATTTAAGTTTTTGTCTTTTATCTAAACCTCTCGACTGGTATCTGGTAACCTGGTTATCAGTCTCTAGTCTTATATCAGCCTGGTATGACAACCACCTGACTTCTCTATGCTGAAATTTCCTCACACACTAAAAGAGAAGGTTGAACAAAATTAGTTTTTTGGTTTTTTTTGTTTTTTTTTTTTAAGACAGTGTCTCACTCTGTCGCCCAGGCTACAGTACAGTGGCACGATCTTGGCTCACCGCAGCCTCCGCCTCCCAGGTTCAAGCAATTCTCCTGCCTCAGCCTCCTGAGTAGCGGGGATTACAGGCACATACCACCACGCCCAGCTAATTTTTGTAATTTCAGTAGAGACAGGGTTTCACCATGTTGGCCAGGCTGGTCTGGAACTCCTGACCTCAAGTGATCCATCTGCCTTGGCCTCCCAAAGTGTTGGTATTACCAGCATGAGCCACCAAACTCGGCCCAAAATGAGGTTTTCAGAGAGTGAATGCATTTAATCAAAAATAGTACATAACTAAATTAACAATACAGGTGGTACATAGATATGGCAAAAGTCATGACCATGGTTAATGAGAATGACAGAGGTTAAGGAAAACAGGGTGCTGGGGCAAGGGTTTCTGCTCTTTCAATCAGCAGCAAAACCATTAAATAAAATTCACATGGAAGTCAAATAAATATGAACACAAAATGCTGCTCTGATTGAAGCCAGGAGCAGGGGGTCAGATATTCTCCCATCTGACTCCTCCCACCTCCTGCCACCCCACCCCCTGCTCCTTCATCCCCTGCACAGGTGCATACTCCTTTGAGTAGAACTTGAAATCCATTAAACTAGATGTTCAAGATTCTTTTTTTTTTTTCCAGACAGTCTTACTCTGTCATCCAGGCTGGAGTGCAGCGGCGTGATCTCGGCTCACTGCAACCTCTGCCTCTCAGGTTCAAGTGATTCTCGTGCCTCAGCCTCCTGAGTAGCTGTGATTACAGGCATACACCACTACGCCTAGCTAATTTTTGTATTTTTAGTGAAGACAGAGTTTCACCATGTTGGCCAGGCTGGTCTTGAACTCCTAACCTCAAGTGATCCACCCAAGTCTCCCAAAGTGCTGAGATGTCAGGCTTGAGCCACCGCGCCAGGCCTCAAGATTCTTTCTAGGCCAAAATTTTTTTAATCCTTCTTTCAAAGGCCAAGATATTACATCAACAGCTCTTCAGAACTTGCTAAGCACCATGATTTTATAAAGAAGAGAGTTTCCTGTTAATGATGTTATAAACTGATCATGTTCCCTCAGTGTTTGATATGAAAACCAAATGGGAGGAAGACTTGACAGTCAAGAGGAGTGACAGGGTTAAACACACAGACCGAGCACACAGACACGGGATGGCAGATGATGGGGATGACAGTGTCCATATTCACCTAGGACAAGGAGGCTGAAGAAAATGGTCATGCCGCTGGACTGCTCCTCTTGCTGGGCCTGCTCCCCTGTCTGCACGGGGAGGATGGGCTTGCCAGGGGTCGGGAGCACCAGTTTCGTCGTGACAACCAGGGTGGTGTGGAGGGTGACATTGAAACCCTCATGAGTTGTATTGGGGAACCTCCTGGAGGACATAGAAAGCATAATTAGATAATGGAAAAGGGTCCCAAAACATCAATTCACACACCTCACACCAGAAAGAGAAGCTGTCCAAGAACTTTATGGGATTCAGAAGTCTTTAACAGGCAGGCCTTCGAGAGAAACTTACTAAGAAAATCCCTGCCTGCACAGCACAAGGGTACCAGTGGCCTCTGGTGCTTTTGAATACAGCCACTTAGAGGACAAGAACGGTAGGGAATCAGAGCTAGTATAGAAATGAAATGCTGCCTGCTCTTTGGCAAATACTGGGGGATTTAAAGGGAGGCAAACTGGAGTCTCATCACTTTCCAAGGTCCAACACTGTTTACTTAGCACCTTTGTTTCTCCAATTTACATTATTTTCCTGGCATTATTTCTGCAAGTTGAAGAAGCCACCTCAATTTGCCCAGTTGTTGATCTGGGCATGCCCTACCCTACTTTACAAAATCCCTCTCAGATTTCAAACGGCTCAAATGTCACCTCCTATTACCCCATCTTACCACACCCGAATTTACCCACTCCACTGCGTATGTTCCCACAGCTCTTTCACACTGTGCTGGGATTGTGAACTAGTACAATATTGCTATAATAACTGTTACTGTGACTACAAAAGTTATTATTTTCTGAGCACTGCTTTATTCCAGGAACTAGGTAACACACTACCTCTCATTTAATAGGTATAACATGTCTGATTGGGTATGATTACTTTCCGTTTTTTACTCATGCATAACTAAGGCTCAGGGAGGTTGCAAAACTTCACCAACATCTCAGTTAGTGGCAGAATCAAGCTGAAAACCCAAACTTGAAATCGCTGGGCTATATTGCCTCTTTTATTTTGTGCTGCTGAGGCTGTTTAGTGTCTGGGATGGAGCAGCTGCTCAATAAATAACTGATTACATGAAATGACCCCCACATGGCCAAGAAATATATTTGAAAAGTTATCAGGTGAAGGACTCCAGTATCAATGAAGGGGTTCCTTATTCATCTTCACATACTCATTCCACAAACAGTGATAGGGCATCTACAATCTGCAACAGACTCTGCCCTGCAGGTATGGAGATGACTTTTGGACTTGCCCAAAAGTACCTGGAGGACACAGCCCGTCCTTCCCCATCTCCCCTTGTCCAGCTAACCCCCTTCCTCTCTACACACCAGCCATGCTGCCTGTCACTCAAAAGCACTAAACTCTTTCTTGAGCCAGGCCTTTTGAACCTGATGTTATTTCTCCTATCCCTCATTCTGGTCATTCAAGTTTCTGCTGAATGTCACTTTTTCCTGAGTGGACTCCCCAACCTTAACTCTATTTTGCTTCCTTCAGAACACTTAACCCATTCATGCCAGAGGTTGCAATTTTTAGAACTGCAGACGTGAGAAAAATCAGACCTTGGCGATGACCTTGAGCAGTAGGATATAAATAACTCCCACATGCTTAGCGTTCCAATAATGGAACACTAGGCACAAATAACGTTAATTAATCACGATCTGAAACCACCTTGACTAATTATGGTCTTCTTTTCCCACTAGAATGGAAGCTCCCAGAGAGCGGCTCCTGGTCGGCCTCCTTTCCTACCACCTGCCCAGGGCCTGGAATTGAGTAGATGGCTAACAGTTAATGACTAAATGAAACTTAGTGAAGGAGAAAGACATGAAAACTGATCGTTATACAGGAGGCGACTGGCTACGTAGGAGGTGGGTGTGGAGAACCCGGACGACTTCCTGGAGGAGGCGGAAGAGGGCTCAGTAACCATGAGATTACCGAAAACTGGGAAAGTAAATATGGTTTGTATTTTCCGCAAGACAGCTCTCCGGGCCTGCGCTGGGCAGTAGATTCCCAGCTCGAGGGACCGATCTCCAGGGGAAAGCAAGGCCCACCTGGGCCCAGGCCCGCCCATCCCGCCCTCCTCGTAGGCACCGGCTTGGTCAGTCCTGGCCAACCAGCAAAAGAAGCTCCGCCTTCCGGGGCCGGAGGGCGGCCTGAGGCGCTCGCTGTCACCCGCCGGGGCCCAGCCCCGCCGCCTCCGCCGCCCGGGAAAAAGCCCACTCACTCCTCTTCCGCCATCTTCTCCCCCATCCTGCGGAGCTTCCAGGACCACCGAGTTCGGAGCCGCGGGGCTAGCAGGACCCGCTTTTGCTTCCGGCTTCCGCTGGAGGCGCGGGCGGGCGAGCGGGAGGCGGGGCCTCGGCCGCGCGAGGGCGGCCCTCTGTCCCTCCGTCTCAGTGGCCCGAGGGTGGGAGAAAGCGCGTGGGAGGATTGCTTCTTAGTCTCTCCCGGGGCTTTCGGGACGCTTGTCCGGCCTGGGCCACATGACCACCTGGGACCGAGAGATTCCGGCTTTTCCCCATCACAGGGCGGGGACGTTTTGGGGAAACTCCTCTGAGGTCACTGTGACTCACCCTGAGGGCAAGCAAGCACCCTCCACCCAGTGCCCTCGACTTCGCTGTGCTAAAAGAGTTTGAAAAAGGATGCCCAGCCTGCAGCCTAAGCGGAGAGACCCCAGGGGGACACTTCCCCACCCGAGCCTTAGTTTCCTTCGGCTGTGGAGAGGAATAACCGCCTGGACTTGGCAGGACTGTGCAGCATTCCATCTGTAAACATGTGTTGAGTTCAGACTATATGCCTAGCGTTAAAAAGGATGCTGATGATCTAGGGGTGGACCATTCATTAAGGGGTTCATTGATTCACCACATGCTTAGTAGATGCTTCTATGTGCCTAGCAGTGACCGGTGGGGTGGGGATGCAGGGAGGAACAAGGTGAGGTGAGAGGGGTAGGTGAGACCCCCATCGGGAGGACTGGGGCTGAGGACTTTGAACTTTATTGGCCGCTTCTGTTGCTACCTCCCTTCCTGATCCAAGGCACTCTATCTCATCTGGATAATTGCAACGGCTCCATTCAGGGTCTCTGACTCACCCCTGTTCCTTACGGACTTCCACACAGCAGCTTAACTCATCACTCCTCTGCTTAGACCCTCCAATGGCTTCCAATCTCCAGAGAAAAAAAAAACGTGGGGAATGTACAGGACTCAATCCTGCCCCCTTTTCCCCTCTGAAGTGTGTGGGAGGGGGGCATGGGGCTCTATATCTCCCCTCCCACACACTTTGACTTTCCACTATTGTCCCAGACTCACCAGGAATACTTCCACCGTTGCACTTACTGAGCCTTTATCTAGAATGCTCTTCTTCTGGGTAGCTCTTTGGCTCCCACCTCTCCTACGTTTGGCCTTTTATTTAACCCTTATCTTGTGTGTTAGACCTCCTTGACCACCCTACTTAAAATCCAAGGCCCCCCGCCTTCCCTAAACTATTTTTCCACATGACACCTAACCTACCATATGTTTTACTCATACACTTGTTTGTTAACCATCTCCCTCCATGAGAACGGAAGCTTCATGAATGCAGAAATTTTTGTCTGTTTTGTTCTCCATTTTATCTGCAATGCCTACAACAGTACCTGGCACATAGTAGACACTCAATAATAAATAATCATTGAGTAAATAAATCAGTTAATTCTAGCACACCTAGAAGGGTTTTGAACTGAGAAGTAACCTAAGCTTTGCTGCCTGTTGGGAGTTGACTGGGGATTGGCGAGAGAGAGAGGATGGAAGCCCCAAAGCCAGCAAGGAGGCTTTTGCAATAATCTAGGTGACAGCTGATGGCAGTCTGGATGAAAGTAATACGGTGGAGGTGGCAGGAATGGTTGGACTCCTGGACGCATACTGAAGACAAGGTTTGCTGACGGACTATGGCGTATAAAAGAGGAGTTAAGCATGGTGTCAGGGTTTTGGCCCCGAGGAACTGGGTAGAGAAGAAATCTGGCTCTAACCTTGGGTTCTCCATCCTCTGCAGTCTCTTAAGACTGCTAAAGCTGACTGAGAGAATGTCATCAGGATCCACCAATGTTTATTGAGTAATAATAAACTTGCTTCCTTCCTGCAGGTGTGGTGTTGGGCTATTGTTTCCTTAATTCTTTACATAGCTTTGAGGTAGATACCATCATTATCCACAGACATAGAGAAATCAAGGCACTTGCCTGCGGTCCCACAGCTAGCAAATGACAAGGCTGGGATTCAGGCACAGAGCCAGTGTTTTTAAACCAGTAGCCCTGCTACTCTCCACTGCCTTAATTTCTCTGGCTCTTAAATGGGACTAATAACCTACTCTCCTCCGTTAGCACAGAGCCTGGCGGGAATGACCTGGTCTACAAAGGATTGAGAGTGGGGTTCTCTCTGGCCACACTTGTCAACTGAGGGCTTGAGGCTACCATTTTCTACCAGCACCAATAAACCCCACATGGCTGGAATTCGCCAAGCTGGAAACTCCACATAGCTGGAATTCACTACTCTTCTCTATCCGTTGTCTTGCCTACTGCCCTTGGCCTCCTCTGGGCCTACCACTAACCATGAGGCTGCAGAGAACATTCTCTCATGCCCATGGGTGAGTCTTTGGCTCTTCTCACCTATTCCTGAGAATGAATCTAAAATCCCTGGTCCTTCCCCGAGGAAGGTGAATAAAGCCATTCAACATGCAGTTTCTGGGCTCCAATGCTGTGTCAGGCCGAGAAGGAGGCAGCATAAGGCACCACAAATTCTGGTGCCAGACAGTGCTGGTTCCCAACCCCTCCTCAGGACCTACAGTCTCCGTGACCCTGAGAGGCTACAGCACCCTCAGAGCCTCAGGGCCCCCTCAATTTTTTTTTCTTTTTTTCTTTAATAACGCTTCTCTTTAGAAGACTGTTACAAGATTAGAGAGAAAACTGCCTTTGCTCTCCATTGTCTCTGCCTAGACAGCTCTGCCCGCTATCTCCAGTCTTCTTGTTATTCATGTCTCAGCTTAAATGTCCCCTCCTCAGGGAAGCCCTCCCTGACCAGTCTCTGTAAAGAGTCAGACAGTAAATACTGAAGGCTTTGTGGGCCTTACTATCTCTGTAGCAACAAATCAACTCTGTAGTTTGCATGCAGCATAAATAATATAAATAGGCATAGCTGTGTTCCAACAAAACTTTATGGATACTGAAATTTGAATTTTGCATTACTTTCACATGTCATGAAATACCATTCTTCTTTGGATTTTTTTTTTTTTTTTTTTTTGAGATGGAGTGTCTGTCACCCAGGCTGGAGTGCAATGGCACGATCTCGGCTCATTACAACCTGCACCTCCCAGGTTCAAGCAATTCTCCTGCCTCAGCCTCCCAAGTAGCTGAGACTACAGGTATGTGCCACCATGCCCTGCTAATTTTTGTATTTTTAGTGGAGATAGGGTTTCACCATGTTGGCCAGCATGGTCTCAATCTCTTGATCTCGTGATCCGCCTGCCTTGGCCTCCCCAAGTGCTGGGATTACAGGCATGAGCCACCAGGCCTGGCCTGTTGTTGTATTTTAAGATGGAGTCTCACTCTGTCACTCAGGCTGGAGTGCAGTGGCACGATCTCGGCTTACTGCAACCTCTGCCTCCTGGGTTCAAGCGATTCCTGCTTCAGCCTCCCAAGTAGCTGGAATTACAGGCGTGTGCCACCATGCCCAGCTAATTTTTGTATTTTTAGTAGAGACGGGGTTTCGCCATATTGGCCAGGCTGGTCTCAAACTCCTGACCTCAAGTGATCCACCTGCCTCAGCCTCCCAAAGTGCTGGGATAACAGGCATGAGCCACTGTGCCTGGCTAAGAATTTGATCTTTAATGCTTTTATTAAACAGGGAATCAAATTGGTTACCATGTATATCAGTCAGGATTCAATCAGAGAAGCAGAACCAAAAGGGGATATATTTTAAGAGCTTTATGGCAAGGAATTGGCTTAAAACAACACAAATGAATTATCTTATAGTTCTGTAGGTTAGAAGATAAAGATTTTCACTGGGCTAAAATCAAGGTGTTGGCAGGGTCACATTCATTCTGGAGGCCCTACGGGAGAATAAACTTTCTTGCCTTTTCCAGCTCCTAGAGTCTGCTTGCATCCCATGTCTCATGGTCCACTCGCTATTTTTAAAGCCAAGGACTGCCTCACCCCATGCTCTGCTTCTGATTCTGACTCTCTTGTCTTCCTCTTCCTCTTCCCCTCCACCCCCCCCTTTTTTTTTTTTTTGAGACTGAGTCTTGCTCTGTCGCCCATGCTCAAGTGCAGTGGCATGATCTCGGCTCACTACAACCTCCGCCTCCGGGGTTCAAGCGATTCCCATCTCAGCCTCCCAAGTAGATGGGGTTACAGGTGCCCGCCACCACACCAGCTCATTTTTGTAGTTTTAGTAGAGATGGGGTTTCACCATGTTGGCCAGGCTGGTCTTGAACTCCTGACCTCAGGTGATCCACCCACCTTGGCCTCCCAAAGTGCTTGGATTACAGGCATGAGCCACTGTGCCCAGCCCCTCTTTCTCTTATTAGGACCCTTCTGACTACATTGGACCCACCTACATAATCAGAATAATCTGCCCGTCTCAAAGTCAGCTGATTAGCACCCTATTTCCATCTGCAATCTTAATTCGTCCTTGCCCTGTAACATATTCACAGGGACCAGCAATTAGCACGTGGCCATCTTTGGAGGGCCATTATCCTACCCACCACGCCATAGGAAAAATAAGATCTGTTGGACTTCTCCTCATGTATTTTTTTTTTTCTTTTTTTGAGACGGAGTTTCACTCTTGTTGCCCAGGCTGGAGTGCAATGGCACAATCTCGGCTCACTGCAACCTCCACCTCCTGGGTTCAAGTGATTCTCCTGCCTCAGCCTCCCGAGTAGCTGGGATTACAGGCATGTGCCACCACACCCGGCTAATTTTGTATTTTTAGTACAGATGGGGTTTCTCCACATTGGTCAGGCTGGTCTCGAACTCCCGACCTCAGGTGATCTGCTCGCCTTGGCCTCCCGTAGTGCTGGGACTACAGGCGTGAGCCACCACACCCAGCCCTCTTCATGTATTTTTGCTATTTATTATCATTTCATATTGATTTATACATGGGAACGAGTGGGGCATAATTTCTTTAATACCTTTGGATGCTAACATTTTAATCTGGCCCTGGCCACTTAGCACGTAACAGGCACTAGAATTACTAAGCAAAAATAGAAAATCTGGGCTTGTAGAATTCAGTGGAGTCAGGTGTAATTCTCTGAGAAAGTTTGTGAAAAAAATCCAGATTCCAGGCCATGCATGGTGACTCACAGCTGTAATCCCAGCACTTTGGGAGGCCGAGGTGGGTAGATCACCCGAGGTCAGGAGTTCAAAACCTTCTTCACCCTCACCTGCCTTGTGTCCTCCCCACTGTCCCCACCCTAAGACTTGGTGACCGATAGAAACACTTGCTTCCTTGGCTTACTTTTTTTCTTTCTCCCTTTAAAAAAAAATCATAGTTTTGGCCGGGCGTGGTGGCACACACCTGTAATCTCAACTACTTGGGAGGCTGAGGCAGAAGAATCACTTGAACCTGGGAGGTGGAGGTTGCCTTGAGCCTAGATCGCACCACTGCACTCCAGCCTGGGCGACAGAGGGCGACTCCATCTCAAAAGAAAAAAAAAAGGAAAAGAAAAATGAAAAGTTGCAGAAAAGGAGAAAAGTAAAGGTCATCATAGTTTACCACGGAGCTCAGCTGTGAATGGCATTTACATAGTCACAATAATGTATACTGTAAATGTCAATCTCACAAGAATAACCATATAACTATATTGAGAGAATAAAGGATGGGAAGGGTCTCTGCATGGGCTGGGCAGGTGAGGAGAGGGAAAGAGGGCAGAACCCTTATTGCCCAGAGTGGGAAAGCAGATTTTACTGAAAACAGAAAAACTAAGAAGTGGCGATAGAAGCATGTTATTCCAAGACATGGAGTTAAATACCCAAAAAATCAGCTCAAAGTGATTATCTTTGGGGAGGCAGAAATGAGAGGAGAGAGTGAAGTGGGGATTCCTATTTTTAGAAAATTTGACTCTTCAACTTATGTGCATGTATGACCTCAATACAAATAAAATTTAAACCAAGAAACAAAAAAGGACAGGAGTAACATATTGAAATATTGTTTCGATAATGGTTATTTCTCAATTGTGGGTCATGGATATTGTTTTTCCTTTTGCTTATTTGTATTTTTAATATTTTTTTTCTGCAAATGACACGTCATTTGAAATGTAAGTAAATCCCTTTGACACTGTGCTTGTGACCTGCAACACTCAGTGACTGCCAGTCATCTTTCATAAACTAGAAACAGACCAGCTTGTCATATTTATTTCAATACAGAAAGTCAAGGCCGTGGGTATTTTGATCTTTCTGTCTTGATGCTGCCTCACCTCCCTGTTCTGAGTCACCAGCCCTATGGATTCTTCCTCCTCCACCCTCACCCGCTTTGTGTCCTCCACACTGTCCCCACCCTAAGACCTGATGACCGATAGAAACACTTGCATCCTTGGCTTACCTTTTTTCTTTCCCCCTTTAAAAAATATCATAGTTTTGGCTGGGTGCAGTGGCTCACGCCTGTCATTCCAGCACTTTGGGAGGCCGAGGCAGGAGGATCACTTGCACCCAGGAGTCTGAGGCCAGCCTGGGCAACATAGTGACACACTGTCTCTATTTTTATTTTGTATTTATTTATTTATTTTTGAGATGGAGTCTCGCTCTATTGCCAGGCTGGAGTGCAGTGGCGTGATCTTGGCTCACTGAAACCTCTGCCTCCCAGATTCAAGCAATTCTCCTGCCTCAGCCTCCCAAGTAGCTGGGACTACAGGTACTAAAATATGATTTTTTTTAAAAAATTAAAATAGGCGAGGTGCGGTGGCTCACGCCTGTAATCCCAGCACTTTGGGAGGCTGCAGCAGGTGCATCATGAGGTCAAGAGATTGAGACCATCCTGGCCAACATGTTGAAACCCCGTCTCCACTAAAAATACAAAAATTAGCCGGGCATGGTGGTGTGCACCTGTAGTCCCAGCTACTCGGGAGGCTGAGGCAGGAGAATTGTTTGAATCCGGGAGGCAGAGGTTGCAATGAGCCGAGATCATGCCACTGCACTCCAGCCTGGCAATACAGTGAGACTCCGTCTCAAAAATAAATAAATAAATAAATAAATACAAAATAAAAATAGAGACAGGATCTCACTATGTTGCCCAGGCTGGCCTCAGACTTCTGGGTGCAAGTGATCCTCCTGCCTCGGCCTCCCAGAGTGCTGGAATGACAGGCGTGAGCCACTGCACCCAGCCAAAACTATGATATTTTTTAAAGGGGGAAAGAAAAAAGGTAAGCCAAGGATGCAAGTGTTTCTATCGGTCATCAGGTCTTAGGGTGGGGACAGTGTGGAGGACACAAAGCGGGTGAGGGTGGAGGAGGAAGAATCCACAGGGCTGGTGACTCAGAACAGGGAGGTGAGGCAGCATCAAGACAGAAAGATCAAAATACCCACGGCCTTGACTTTCTGTATTGAAATAAATATGACAAGCTGGCTTGTTTCTAGTTTATGAAAGATGACTGGCAGTTACTGAGTGTTGCAGGTCACAAGCACAGTGTCAAACGGATTTACTTACATTTTCTGCTTCTACTCCTACCTGCCTACCACAGTCATGCATCACCTAAGGACAGGAATCCATTGTGAGAAACGTGTGGTCAGGCGATCTTGATGTGCGAACATCCTAGAGCAGACTTCTTCAAACCCAGATGGTGTTGCCTATGACACACCCAGGCTTTTATGGTATGGCCTATTGCTCGTAGGCTACACACCCGTACGGCATGTTACTGTACTGGGTACTGCAGGCAATGGTAACACAATGGCAAGTTTTTGTGTGTCTAAACATATCTAAACACAAAAAAGGCACAGTAAAAGTACCATATTATAACCTCATGACACCACCATTGTATTTGTGGTCTATCTTTGACCAAAATATCTGTATGTCTGTAGCTGTATTTACCTTACAATGACAGTGCAAGCAGTCTTTTTTTTTTTTTTTTTTTTTTTTTTGAGAGACAGGGTCTCATTCTGTCCCCAGGCTACAGTGCAGTTGTGGGATCACAGCTCCCTGGAGCCTCAACCTCTCTGGCTCAAGCCATCCTCCTACCTCAGCCTCCCAAGTAACTGGGATTACAGGCACGTGCCACCGTTCCTGGCTAATTTTTTGTTTTATTTTATTTTTTGTAGAAACGGGGTCTTGCTATGTTGCCTAGGCTGATCTTGAACTCCTGGGCTCAATCAAGTGATTCTCCCACCTCAGCCTCCCAAAGTGCTGGGATTATAGACATGAGCCATGGTGCCTGGCCCAAGCAGTCTTTTTGAAGTATGTATCAGATCATGTTACTCTTCTGCTCAAAATCATCCCACGGCTCCCCATTTTACTGCAAACAAAACCCAAACTCCTCTTGGCAGTCTGCAAGGCCCTGTTTGGTCAGCTCCCTTTCCCTGAAGGGGTCTCTTGTCCCTTTTCCCCTGCATCCCAACTCACTTATCTGCTCCTTGAACATGCCATGCTCCTCCCCAGCTCAGGACCTTTGCACTTGCTGTTCCTTTGTCTATCACCTTCTAGATATACATAGAGCTGCCTCCTAGTCATAATTCAGATCCCATACAATGGAAGCACCCTGACTGAGGCCGTCTCCCACCTGCCCCAGCCAGCCACTGCATCTTCCAGCATTTCACTCTCTTGTCCTCGTGGTACCTATTATGTGAAGTTACTCTGTTTTGTCCTTTTTAAAAAAACATATTTGAAATTATTATTGAAATATGGCCCAGGCACCATGGCTCATGCCTGTGATCCCAACACTTTGAGAGGCCAAAGCAGGCGGATCATTTGAGGTCAGGAGTTCGAGACCAACCTGGCCAACATGGCAAAACCCCATCTCTACTACAAATACAAAAATTAGCCGGGCGTATTGGTGCACACCTGTAATCCCAGCTGCTTGGGAGGCTGAAGCACGAGAATCACTTGAACTTGGGAGGTGGAGATTGCAATGAGCCGAGATCGTACCACCGCATTCCAGTCTGGGTGACAGAGTAAGACTGTCTCAAAAAATAAATTAATTAATTAAATTAAATTAAATAAATATTGAAATACAACTCATATAACAAAAACTTCATTTTAACATGTGCAATTCAGTGGGTTTTAGTGTATTCACTATGTTATGCAACCATCACAACTGTCTGATTCCCAAACATTTCTGGCACCCCAACAAGAACCTCTGCACCTATCAGCAGTCACTCCCTGCTGCCCCATCCCCTGGCAGTCATTACTTTATTTTCTGTCTCTATGGATTTACGGATTCTGAACATTTCATGTAAGTGGAATAAAATCTGTGGCATTTTATGACTGGCTTCTTTCACTTAGCACAATGTTGTTTCTTTTTCAAATTTACTTCCTTGTGACCTGTCATCCCCATTAGGCTCACAGGGGGTCTAGTACCTAGACTAGCACCTGACATAAATCATTAAGTATGGATTAAGCACCTACTATGTGCTATGTCCACAGTAGCACAGAAAACTCCAAGGAAACTGCCTTTTTTATTTTATGTTTTTCAGAATTTTCAATTATTTCTTCTTCTAATTTTTATTTATTTTATTTTATTTTTGAGACAGGGTCTCACTCTGTTACCCAGGCTGGCATACAGTGGCACAATCACTGCTCACTTTGGCCTCAACCTCCTGGGCTCAGGTGATCCTCCACCTCAGCCTCCCAAGTAGCTGAGACTACAGGCACAACCACTGTGCCTGGCTAATTTTTGTATTTTTTTGTAGAGGCGGGTTTTCGCCATGTTGTTCAGGCTGGTCTTGAACTCTTTGGCTCACGGGATCTGCCAGCCCGTGTCTCCCAAAGTGCTGAGATTATAGGAGTGAGCCACTGTCCCCGGCCCTTTATTTATTTTTTATTTTTTTATTTTTGCAAACTTTTTTTTTTTTTTGAGATGGAGTTTCACTCTTGTTGCCCAGGCTGGAGTGCAATGGCGCGATCTTGGCTCACCGCAATCTCTGCCTCCTGGGTTCTCCTTGCCTCAGCCTCCCAAGTGGCTGGCATTACATGCGCCTACCACCACGCCCAGCTAATTTTTTGTATTTTTAGTAGAGATGGGGTTTCACCACGTTGGCCAGGCTGGTCACGAACTCCTAATCTCAGGTGATCCACCCGCCTCGGTCTCCCAAAGTTCTGGGATTACAGGCGTGAGCCACCGCACCCTGCCCAGGCATTTTCAATGAAGGGGAAACTTTCTCCATAACCTCTATTTTCCCCTCAGTAATCCTCAAGTCTTCCCGGTACACCCTCAACACAGGTGATGGGCTAAGGGTTCATAGACGGTTTGGGGAAGTCTCCCCTTTTCTAACTCAGCAGACATTCAGCTGTCTCTAGAGAGAGCCACAGTACCTCAGCACGAAGCCCTTAACCAAAACTGAAACAAAAGAAAAGTCCCATTACACACCTGTTTCTAAGGGGTTTTCCCGTCTCTTTGCTTCTTATTCAAGACAAATCTGTGGGACAGTTAAAATATTTGCCATAAATAAAAAGATATAGGCTGGGCGCGGTGGCTCATGCCTGTAATCCCAGCACTTTGGGAGGCCGAGATGGGTGGCTCACGCGGTCAGGAGATCAAGACCATTCTGGCTAACATGGTGAAACCCCGTCTCTACTACAAAAAAAAAAAAATTAGCTGGGCATGGTGGCGGGCGCCTGTAGTCCCAGCTACTCGGGAGGCTGAGGCAGGAGAATGGCATGAACCCGGGAGGCGGAGCTTGCAGTGAGCCGAGATCACGCCACTGCACTCCAGCCTGGGCAACAGAGCGAGACTCTGTCTCAAAAAAAAGAAGGGGCCACAGGACAAGGAATGCAGGAAGCTTCTAGTTGCAGAGAGAATCGCAAGTAAGGAAATGGGGGCTTCAGTTCTACAGCTGCAAGGAACTGAATTCTGCCAACAATCTGAAAAGAGTCCAATTCCTCCCATAGCCTCCAGATGAGGACTCCAGTGAGCTGACATCTCTGCTTCAGCCATGTGATGCCCTGAACGTATAACACAGCAGAGCCTGCATGAGCTTAGGACCTACAGAACTGTGAGCTAATACATGAGTATCACTTAAAAGGAAAAATAGATATATTCACCTTGCTGCCGTCAGTCCTCAGCTGAAAGTGGGTTTGCTTTGAGTACCCCAGGGCGGGCCAGCTCTCTTGGGCCAAGGGGTAGACAGAGAGGCTGATTGGGAGTTAAGAACCCAGACACTGGAGCCAAGCTTCCGGGGTTCAGATCTCAGCACTGCCACTTACTGCCTCTGTCATGTTGGGCAAGTTAACCCCCTTGTGCCTCAGTTTCCCTGGTATGTATTTCAGAGTATTATTTTTGGGTGAAGTGAGCTAATATTCAGAAGTTCTTTTTTCTTTTTTTCTTTTTTTAAGACAGAGTTTCACTCTTGTTGCCCAGGCTGGAGTGCAATGGCGTGACCTCGGATCACTGCACTGCAACCTCTGCCTCCTGGGTTCAAGCAATTCTCCTGCCTCAGCCTCCCAAGTAGCTGGAATTACAGGCGCCCACCACCACGCCCAGCTAAGTTTTTGTATTTTTAGTAGAGACGGGGTTTCACCATGTTGGCCAGGCTGGTCTCGAATTCCTGACCTCGTGATCCGCCCGCCTCGGCCTCCCAAAGTGTTGGGATTACAGGCGTGAGCCACCGTGCCCAGCCTATTCAGAAGTTCTTGAAGCCATGTCTGTCTGGCACATAAGTACTTCATGGATGTTTCTTAAATAAAATAACCTCCCCCAGTCAATATATATGTGCATAATGGGGCGATTGCTTCAAAGTAGGGCTGAGCCCTTCGTTGCTTCTCCTGGGTTAGAAATACCAGTTGTTAGCCTGGGCAACACAGTGAGACCCCATGTCTACAGAAAAGAGAAATAAATAGTCAGGCACGGTGGTGTGCACTTGTAGTCCCAACTACTCAGAAGGCTGAAGTGGGAGAATAGATTGAGGCGGGAGAATAGATTGAGCCTGGGAGGTCAAAGCTGCAGTGAGCTGTGATCGCACCACTGCACTCCAGCCTGGGTGACAGAGCGAGCCCTGTCTCAAAAAAAAAAAAAAAAAAAAGAAGTACAAGTTGTGGTGACATCTAACCGCATATTTTCTTGTCTAATTTAAAGCCCAAAAGGGAAGTTTCTCTCTATTTCCTAGTAGGGGGAAACTAGAAAAAGCCCAATTATCTAGTAATAGAAGAATAAGTGCAGGCACTAAAAAGGATGACTCATATCTATGGGTATTAACTTGGGAGGGGTCTCTGCTCTGCCTTAGCAATGTAGTATAGTGGTTAACGTCATGGGCCTTGAAGCCAGATTACTTGTTTCTGAATTCCAGCTTGGCCACCTTGTGTGATCTTGGGTAAATCACTTAACTGCTCTCTGCCTCAGTTTCCCCATCTATAAAATTGAATTAATAATAGTGCTTATCACACAGGACTACTGTAAATATAAAATGGATTAATACACAGAGAGCAACTAGCATATGCATTGTACATACTCAATAAATCTTAGGATTACTGTTAAATAAAAAGATAGCACAGGTTCACTTTAGAATTAAGTACATGTGTATGCATTTAAAAAATCTATGGGCTAACTTACAAAATGCTCCAAAATTATGACTGTTTTTTATTCTATTCCTCACACTTTTCTGTATTCTCTGAAAATGCTTTTTCATAGTGATGAGCCAATACTTTTTTTTTTTTTTTTTTTTTTTGAGATGGAGTCTCGCTCTTGTTGCCCAGGCTGGAATACTACTTTTATAATCAAGAAAAAAATTTAAGTAATTCCCTTTGAGGGTCGGGAGCTTAATAAACAACTTTGCCCTCCAGCGTTGAGACCATCCATGAGTTATTTGCCCAACCTCATCTTCATGTGTTTGAGGATTGTTTTTGCCTTGGAAATTCTTGAACAGGAAACCAAGTCCGCTCCCTGTAAATCAGGATGGGCCTGTTAAAGGCTTTACTGGAGCGAGGAGGGGCGGTCCTCCTTCTTCACCCTCTCCTCTGTATTTTGGGGTAGGAGGGAATGACTCACCCTTCTTTTGGTTTGGCCATTTTTTCACTCCCAGTTTTTTTCACCCCCAATTTTTCAACGAAGTGTGGGAAACAAACGTGGCCCATCCGATCAATAGATCTCCATGCATTCGTCTCAAAGGTCAAAGCAGATCCATGTCTACTTCGCTACAAGTTAAAAGAAACACACAAACTACAGAGTGATACTTACTCAACAAATGTGTGTTGGATACTTGGCCAGTTGTGAAAGGTACTGATGACACAGCAGTGGCAAACAGAGAAAAATGTCTGCTCTGAATAAGTTAATTTAGGGAGTGAAAAACGCTAGCATGCAAGAAAGCATGATGGAGACGGAGCCACTTCAGATGGGGTGGTCACTGGGGAGGGAGTGTTTGAACTGAAAATGTAGAGTGTGCTTCCATTTTTGTAAAAATATTCTTCTGTGTTTGTATATGACTATTTATTATAAGCACAGAGAAGAAGTCTGGAGGGATACTCACTAGACTCTATTTGTGTTCTTATTTTTATTTTTTTTACTTTTAGAGATGAGGTTTTGCCCGGTCACCCCGACTAGAGTGCAGTGGCTCACTGCAACCTCAAACTCCTGGGCTCAAGCGATCCTCCTACCTCAGCCTCCCCAGTAGCTGGGACTACAGGTGCACACCACCATTCGCAGCTAATTTTTTATTTTTGTTTTTGCAGAGATGGGGTCTCACTGTGTTGTTCAGGCTGTTGTCGTTGCTCTTGAACTCCTGGACTCAAGCGAACCTCCCACCTAGGCCTCCCAAAGTACTGGGATTATAGGGCACAAATAGGCCCAGCCTATTTATGCTTTTAACTCCTAATACTTCTGGAGTTCCATTCTATGCATTGGCCTGGGCAAAACTCTTGGAATACCAAGCTGATTTAGGTAGGCATAATTCTGCCCTCAGAGGACTATCTCCTTTTCTAATTCCCCATCCTGCCTGGTCTGGACTAGACTCCACACACATCACTGCAAGTGACAGAACCCCCGCCTCAAACTGGCTTCTTCTACAAAAAAAAAAAGGGAATTTATTGGCTCACATAATGAAAAGTCCAGTGGTAAATCCGATTCAGGCATGGCTGGATCCAGGAGCTCAACAGAGTCAACAGTCCTCTGCCTCTCTCCATCTCTCATCTCTGCTTCCTCTCTTGTTGGCTCCACTTCAAGCCAGCTCTCCCCAAGATGGTTTCCCGCAGCTCCTAGCTTCCACTTTTCCAGCCAGCAATTCTAGAGGATAGACAGACTCTCTTTCTCTGGCTCCCTGAACCAATCATATCGACCTGAGGGATTCAGAAATTCAAGTGAGGAGAATGTGCCCACTTCTGGAATAGAAGGGAGAGTCTCCCTCACCTGAATCACATCTACTGAGGGCAGGAAAAGGCCACCCAAATTCCTAATGGGAAGGCCAAAGGACTGCATTATCGGCACATACGGAGCATTAACTATTTTCATACAGTAATGACAAGAGATAGGAGCACTTATCATTCCCATTTTGCAGGGTGGAACTGAAGCTCAGCAACTTGCATGAGGCCACACAGCTAAGAAGTGGAGAAACTGGGATTTGATCAGAGCCTGCCTGACATCAAAGCCCCCAAAGGATGATGGTGATGTTGATAATAATCAGAATACTGTTGAAGGCTGGGTGCGGTGGCTCATGTCTGTAATCCCAGCACTTTGGGAGGCCCAGGCAGGAGGATCGCTTCAGTCCAGGAGTTCAAGACCAGCCTGGCAAACATAGTGAGACTTCCTCTCTACAAAAACTAAACAAAATTAGCCTGGTGTGGTGGCACCTGCGGTCCCAGGTAGCTACTCGGGAGGCTGAGGCAGGAGGATCACTTCAGCCTGGGAAGTTGAGGCTGTAGTGAACCAAGATCGCACTGCTGTACTCAGCCTGGGAGACAGAGCAAGACCCTGTCTCAAAAAAGAAAATAATAATAATACAGTTGAGTATCCCTAATCTGAAAATCTGAAATCTGAAATGCGCCAAAATCCCAAACTTTTTGAGCACTGACGTAATGCTCAACAGAAATGCTCACTGGAGCATTTTGGGTTTCAGATTTTCAGATTAGGAATGCTCAACTGGTAAATATAATGCAAATATTCCAAAATCCAAAACAATCTGAATTCTGACACACTTCTGGTCCCAAGCATTTCGGATGAGGGATACTCAGCCTGTAATAGTAATAAGAGCTATTATTAGTTGAGCACCTACTGTATGCTAAGCTTTGCAAGCATGATCTCATTTTCTTCTCCCAGTAACTGTTCGAGGCAGGTAGAGAGGACAATGTTGTTGACTGACTCCTCGACATCCATCCCAGCCCAGCCACAGGCACTGGAACCAATGAGTCTAAGCCAATCATGAGACTTGCATCTTTTTGCCAGAGTTTGGTTCCGGAATGGGCCTCTGACCTACCTCAGGCTAATGAGAAGTGGAGAGAAGTTTGCCAGACGCTTCTGGGAAAGTTCTTCCTCACTCTTCCAGGAAGATGGCCTGGAAGTGAATCTATTTTCCTACCAGACATGAAAGAGGATGCCCGTGGCCCTGATAGCTCCTGGCAGTCATCCTGCGATCACGAGGAGGACCAGCCTGAGGATGAAACCAACACTGTGGACGGAGACATGGAAAAAGCCTGGCTCCAGGATGAGATCACTAGGCTGCTGGATCTCCTGCTCCCCCGTCCTAGAAATGTCCTGTGTGGGGAGCCAGGGGAGCCTGTTCCAGTAAAGCACGCTTGAGTTTTGTTACCCACTTCTTTCTAGTGAAGGGCATTCTAAAGAACTCAGTAGGTATTTTTATTGTCCTTATTTTACAGAGAGAGTGAGGCTCAGAGATTGAGTTGCCTGAGATCACACAGTGAGCTGGCCTTTGATCCAGAGTTTATCTGACTCCAAACTCACCACACAGTACGGTTCCCACACAGCAATAGTCTTCCTTCCGCCAAATGTCTTTCAGCCCCATCATGCTGAATCCCTGTGAAGTAGGTCTTTTATTATCCCTTTTGTTTCTGAGATGGAGTCTCTCTCTGTCACCCAGGCTGGAGTGCAGTAGCACAATCTCAGCTCACTGCAACCTCCACCTCCCAGATTCAAGTGATTCTCCTGTCTCAGCCTCCCAAGTAGCTGGGATTATAGGTGCATGCCACCACACCTAACTAATTTTTGTATTTTTAGTAGAGATGGGGCTCCACCATGTTGGCCAGGCTGGTCTTGAAGTCCTGACCTCAAGTGATCCTCCCTCCTCGGCCTCCCAAACTGTTGGGATTACAGGTGTGAGCTACCGCACCTGGCATTATTCCCATTTTGCAATGAGAAACATCTGTAGGGAAGGGGAGGCTGATTATCAGAGAGGATTGTGGACCTACACTTTGCTTTTAGCCTTCTGATTCAGAGCCAAGAGGGACGATCGTCAGATGGAAAGGCGTGGGAAAGTGGGCAGTAAGGAAATCATGGAGGATGAAGAATGCTATGATCTTATTCTGACCCAGGAGGCTTGAAAAACAGAGCCCCAGACACTCATTCGTATTCTCTCAGGATTGGCTCTTAATTCATTTTAAATTTGAGGTCTTGGCTGGGTGTGGTGGCTCACACCTGTAATCCCAGAATTTTGCGAGGCCAAGGTGGGCAGATCACCCGAGGTCAGGAGTTGGAGACCAGCCTGGCCAACAGGGAGAAACCCTGTTTCTACTAAAAACACAAAAATTAGCCAGGCATGGTGGCGGGCACCTGTAATCCCAGCTACTCTCGAGGCGGAGGCAGGAGAATTGCTTGAACCTGGGAGGCGGAGGTTGCAGTAAACCAAGATCGTGCCACTGCACTCCAGCCTAGGCAACAGAGCAAGACTCCATCTCAAAACAACAACAACAACAACAACAACAACAACAACAATTGAGGTCTTTCTTTTTTGCTTTTTTTGTTTGTTTTGTTTTGTTTTTGTTTTGAGATGGAATCTCGCTCTGTTGCCCAGGGTGGAGTGCAGTGGCGCGATCTCAGCTCACTGCAAGCTCGACCTCCTGGGTTCACACCATTCTCCTGCCTCAGCCTCCTGAGCAGCTGGGACTACAGGTGCCCGCCACCACACCTGGCTAATTTTTAAATATTTTTAGTAGAGACGGGGTTTCACCGTGTTAGCCAAGTTGGTCTCGATCTCCTGACCTCGTGATCTGCCCACCTCAGCCTCCCAAAGTGCTGGGATTACAGGCGTGAGCCACCACGCCCGGCCTGTTTTTTTTTTTTTTAAGAGTCAGTCTTGCTCTGTTATCCTGGCCGGAGTGCAGTGGTGTGATCATAGCTCACTCCAGCCTCCAACTCTTAGCCTCAAGACATCCTCCCACCTCTTCTTCCCCAGTACCTGGGACTACAGGTGCATGCCACCATTCCTGGCTAATTTTAAAATTGTTTGTAGAGATGGGGTCTCACTATGTTGCCCAGGCTGGTCTTGAACTCCTGAGCTCAAGCGATCCTATCGCCTCAGCCTCCCTAAGTGCTGGGATTATAGTCATGAGCCTCAATGTCCAGCCTGAATTTGAGGTTTAAAAAATTCACACAGGGAACACATCACCACTGTAGAAAAAATTTAGAAATATAGGCACATAATAAGATAACATAATTCAAAAATCTCATCAATAAGCCAGCTGTACAATTTTTGACAATTATGCTCAATCTCTTCATGCCTCTGTTTCTTCTAAACAGAGTGATCAGGAAAGTCTCTCTGAGGAGGTGGCATTTGAGTTGAGGCCTGAAGGATGAGTTGGAGCCACTACGGGAAGAGTGTTCCAGGCAGAGGAAGCAGCACATGCAAAAGTCCTGAGGTAGAAATGAACTTGGCCACTGAAGAGACAGGAGGACAGCCAGTGGGGTTCATGAG
Source organism: Homo sapiens (assembly GCF_000001405.40). Lineage (NCBI taxonomy): Eukaryota > Metazoa > Chordata > Mammalia > Primates > Hominidae > Homo > Homo sapiens. The sequence goes on along the minus strand of NC_000020.11, from coordinate 49,795,158 downwards.
AAACAAGAGACAAGGAGAGTCGAAGGAGATGAGATCAGATCATGAACTAGATTAGGGTCAGATAACAGAAGAGGAAATGAGCTTGAGGCAAGAGGGCCACTGTGCGTGCCCAGCACAGCACAGACGTGGGCCAGTGACTTAAGCAGAAGCTTTATTCATCAGCATTGGCCTCCCAGGAGGAAGAGAGGGTGAGAGACGTGAAAGACACCACCAGTCAGTCTGGCACTTTTTTTTCTTTTTTCTTTTGTATATCGAACACCTCACAATTTTTTATGTCATTCTTGCACAGGGGCCATGCTAATCTCTGTATTGTTCCAATTTTAGTATATGCGCTGCCAAAGTGAACACTTTTTTTTTTTTCCCAAAGACAAGGTCTTGCCCTGTCACTCAGGCTGGAGTGCTGTGGTGCAATCGTAGCTCACAGCAGCCTCGACCTCTTGGGCTGAAGCCATCCTCCCATCTCAGAGGCCTCTTGAGTAGCTGGGACTACAAGCATGTGCCACCACGCCCAGCTAATTTTTAATTTTTATTTTGTAGAGATAGGGTCTCACTACACTGACCAGTCTGGTTTTGAACTCCTGGGCTCAAGCAGTCTGCCTGCTTCAGCCTTCCAAAATGCTGAGATTACAGGCATGAGCCACCATGCCTGGTGAGTCTGGTACATTTTTACCAAGTGCGCTCACTGTGCCAGGCCCCGCCCCAAGTCCTGGCCTCCAGGCATACTTGCAGAAAAGATCAGAAACTCAGGGACAGCCAAGGCTAGAAAGAGGCATTTTTCTGAAGAGGATGCTTGATTGGCCAAAAAATGGATGGAAAGGTCCTCAAGGTCCCTTCTAAGCAGGCAATGCAACTTAAAGCACTTAGAGACATTTCACAGTCATAAACTGGCAGCAACTTGAAAACCAGAAAATTCCAAGGCCTACAGGAGTGATGAACAGCCCAGGCTCTGGAACCAGCCTCTCTGGGTTCATGCCATGCTCTACTATTCCTAGCTGAGTGACCTTGGGCTAGTTATTTGCCCTCTCTGTGTCTTCATTCTCCATCTATCTAGTGGAGATGATGATAGTACCTCACCTCAAAGTTTTTTGAGAGGTTAAATGAGTTATTTCATGTTAGATGTTTAGAAAGATGCCTGGCACATAGTAAGTGTCATGTGGGGTAGTGGTATTATTTTCATCGGTAAGGAAGTGCAGAAACAAGAACTCTTCATGTACTGCTGCTTGGCAGTTGAAACGTATGAACTCTGAGACCAGTGATCCCACTTCCTGGTATTCACCCTAGAGAAGCTTCAACATATGCAAAGTTGGGTGTGGCAGCTTTGCCTACAATGGGTCCAAAGTGCAGTGGACTAAATAGGCATCCATGGGATAGTGGGCAAGGAGACCATGACATGTTCCTGTAAAGGAATACTAGTGAGCAATTAAAATCAATGAATGGTGTGGCTCGCGCCTGTAATCCCAACACTTTGGGAGGCCAAGGCAGGTGGATCACCTGAGAGGTCAGGAGTTTGAGACTAGCCTGGCCAACGTGGCAAAACCCCGTCTCTATTAAAAATACAAAATTAGCCAGGTGTGGTGCCATGTGCCTGTAGTCCCAGCTACTCAGAAGGCTGAGGCAGAATCGCTTGAACCCAGGAGGCAGAGGTTGCAGTGAGCCACTGCACTCCAGCCTGGGTGACAGAGCGAGACTCTGTCTCAAAAAAAAAAAAAAAAAAAAAAAAACAATGAATGAATGGCTGGGCACGGTGTCTCACGCCTGTCATCCCAACATTTTGGGAAGCCAAGGTGGGAGGATCACTTAAGCCCAGGATTTCAAGACCAGACTGGCCAACATAGTGACACCCCATCTCTAAAAAAGAAAATAAAATGAATGAACTAGATCTAAACAGATCTTAAACATACAGTAATGTTGAGTGAGAAAAGGGACTTGCAGAAGTTAACATTTAGTATGATACCGTTTGTGTAAATATTAAATCCACAAAACAATGTCATATATGTAGTAATAACAGGGTGATAATGAAATATTTAAGAACCGGCATGACCTAGGCACTGACCAGTCAGAACAGAGGCTGGCCACATGGGTCCCAATGGGTGGTCCACACTTCCATCACTCCTAGGATGAAGATGTGGCTTCTCCACGCCCACCAGCACTTCTACCTTCGCCACACCTGTCCTGTTCATTCTATGCCTTATTAGCATTAGCTGTGTGACCTCAGACAAACTGATTCATCTCTCTGGGCTTCAGCTTTTTCATCTATAAAATGGGAATAATAGTAGCAAAAGCTAATACATACACAGCATTTCCCATGTGCCAAGCACTCATTGTAACCCTCATACTAACTCTTTGTGGTAGGTTCTATGATTACTCCCATTGTGCATATGAGGAAACTGAGGCACAGAATGGCTGAGTAATTTGCTCGTGGTCTGGAGAACCTTAATTACAGGGTTGTTGCAAATACATACTAAATGATACATGTTAGCAGCTTAGAAAAAAGTCTGGCACTGAATAAGTGGTCAATAAATATCAGCAGGCAGGGCACGGTGGCTCACACCTGTAATCCCAGCACTTTGGGAGGCCACGGTGGGGGGATTACCTGAGGTCAGGAGTTCAAGGCCAGATTGGCCAACATGGCGAAACCCCATCTCTACTAAAAATACAAAAAATTAGCTGGGCGTGGTGGCAGGCTCCTGTAATCCTAGCTACTTGGGAGGCTGAGGCAGGAGAATCGCTTGAACTGGGAGGCAGAGGTTGTAGTGAGCCAAGATCACACCATTGCACTCCAGCCTGGGTAGCAAGAGTGAAACTCCATCTCAAAATAATAAATAAATAAATATTAGCAGTTGCTATTATGTCACTGCCTTACTCATAAGCATTCAGTGGTCACCACTGGCCTTAGGAGACAGTTTGAATTCCACATCATGGACCACAAGGTCATGGTCTATTCCCTTACCGCCCCTCTTCCTTCCCTCTGTTCCCCTTGTTCTCTGTTCTCCAGTCAGAGAGAAGTGGGCTTCTCTCACTTCCTCCTGCACCCCTCACCTTCCCTGCCACTGGACCTTTGCATATGAGATTTTCCCTTGCCTGAAGTGCTATTCCCTCTTGCCCTTCTTTTGCCTGGTTAGCCTCTAAACACCTTCACACATCATGTACAACGGCACCTGTTTCAGGAGGTCCTGTTAGAATAGGTTGAGTTTTCTTGGTCTATGTGTGTGTAACTGTCTATAATTTCCCTTTTGGAATGCTCTCCCTCCTGGAATTGCTTGGTGTTGATATCCTCCTGTCAATGGTGAGCTCCTGGAAAGCAGGGGACTCTTCTGATTTTATCATTAAAATTTTTTTATTTTAATTTTTCTTTTTTAGAGCAGGGTCTTGCTCTGTCGCTCAGGCGGGAGTACAGTGGTGCGATCGTAGCTCACTGTAGCCTCGAACTCCTGGGCTTAAGCATTCCTCCCTCCTCAGCCTGGGACTACAGGCACACACCACCACTTAATTTTTTTTTTTTTGGTAGAGATGGAGTGGTCTCCCACTGTTACCTAGGCTGGTCTCAAACTCCTGGCCTCAAGGGAGCCTCCCACATTGGTCTCCCAAAGTGCTAAGATTACAGGCATGAGCCACTGTGCCCAGCCCTGACTTTATCATTGTTGTGAGCCTACGGCAGATACTACAGATTGGCTCACTCACCTATCCCATTCCCCTGTAGTGTGACCTCCTGTACTGTAAAGGCCAGACAGAGAAAAACTACATTCTGAGATTTCTTTGCAGCAAGAGTGCCTTATGTGATCTGGGTTCCCCTAGTAAGCCTTGGAGACAGAAGCAAGCAGAAGGATGCCAAGTGGTGGAGTCTTCTGGCAAGCACAGTGGGAGCGGTATCTGGTCCTTCTGGGGAAGCATGGGGCAATTCTAGCAGCCTGTCTCTAGCTACCTAGGTCCTGAGTTTGGGGAGAGGGGGGCAGCAGCAGCAGTGATATTTTGATTAGAACAGTTCAACAGTGAAGGTGAGTGTTGCTCCTGGCATCGATGCTCCTGGCTGCACCGTTTGTGGCTATTTAACATCTAGAGTACTTCCTACCTTTCATAAATCCCTTTGTGGGCCAGGCACGGTGGCTTATGCCTGTAATTCCAGCACTTTGGAAGGCCGAGGCAGGTGGATCACTTGAGGCCAGGAGTTTGAGACCAGCCTGGCTAACATGGTGAAACCCCATCTCTACTAAAAATACAAAAAATTAGCCAGGCGTGGTGGTGCATACCTGTAATCCCAGCTACTTGGGAGGCTGAGGCAGGAGAATCACTTGAGCCCTGGAGACGGAGGTTGCAGTGAGCCGAGATTGTGCCACTGCAGTCCAGCCTGGGCAACAAGACTCCATCTTAGAAAAAAAAAAAAAAAATTCCTTTTCTGCTTAAGCTGGCTCTAGTTGACTCTGCAATTTAGAATTCCTTGCCCAAGCACTCCATAAATATTTCTTGAATGAATGAATGAATGAATGATGACCTCTCAGGAATCTCTCTCTTTCCCACTGATTATATCCCCAAGATGGAACATCTCAGTCTGAGTCTACATCACAGGCCCCAGATGGGTAGGGTTCTTTCAAAGGTCAGGGACAGGAAAATGACGTTGAATGTCCTTATCACTGGCCGGACAAGAACACTGAGGCCTTGCAGATGAAAGAATCCGAGGAAGGAACTGGGGTTATCTCCTAAGGCAGGTGGGGGGCGCTGGCTAGGAGCCTTGGAATGAAAAGGGTTGGGAAAGGTTAGTGTGTGAGAATGAGGTGGAGAGGAGGCAGCCAGGGTGGATCACTCAGCTGTCCCAGGGCCTCTCAGGGGGCTTTCTCTTACTGGGTCCCTTTCTGCTATGCACACTGATAAGTCAACTCAGTGCATATACTTCCTTTGAGCTGAAAAGCAGGCTGGAAAAATACAGTTATGAGGCAAATATTTTAAAAGAATTCTTGAACCATGCGTCTGCCAGAGCAGCTTTAGCTGTGCGTGACAGAAAACCAATCTTACGAAACGTTTAGGTTGGTTTCCTGCAGAAGCAGATCTGAGACAAGGATTTGTGTGCAGATATTAAATCGTTTACTTGAGAAATGATCCCAGGAAGCTCTGGTCGGGGAGGGAAGTAGGACAGGGAAGGGAAAGAAACCAATAGAAGGTAAGTTACTGAGCAGGTTATCACTCTGGGCAGCTGGGGCTCAACCCTGCTGGGGAACTGTGGGACACAGAGTGCAATACACCTCAGAATTATCCAGGTGAAGGGCAAGGGAGTGGGGACATTTATCCACCAGCCCCTGTCACTCATTGGTTAAGGGCTGCTTGTAGGGGAGGGTGAAGCCCCCAGCATTCTCAGACTGTGTATGCAGAGCGTATATGAGAGCAAAGCCCTCAGGCTGCAAAGATAGGCGTGGAAATTTGAAGCCATCCACTCACTGTGGGTCAAAAGGATGAATGCCAAGGGGATATGGACACAGAAGCCACGTCATCTGCTACAGTGACTTAAGTCCAAAGAGGAACCATATTGAGGATGGGCGCGGTGGCTCATGCCTGTAATCCCAGCACTTTGGGAGACCAAGACAGGTGGATCACTTGAGGTCAGGAGTTCAAGACCAGCCCGGCCAACATGACAAAATCCTGTTTCTACTAAAAATTCAAAAAAGTTAGCTGGGCGTGGTGATACGTGCCCATAGTCCCAGCTACTCAGGAGGCTGAAGCAGGAGAATTGCTTGAACCCGGGAGGTGGAGGTTGCAGTGAGCTGAGATGGTGCCACTGCACTCTAGCCTGGGTGACAGCGAGACTCCATTTCAAAAACAAAAAACAAAAAAACAACAAAGAGGAACCATATTGACTCATGGAGAATAACATGTTCAGGAATATGTGGCTGCCTTCAGGTACAGCTGGATTCAGGGGTTCATAAGTTATCAGGGCTCAGTCTTTCACTCTCACAATGGTGGCTACCTTTGAGCTTCAGACCCTCTTCATACCAGCCTAGCGCAGCAGAAGCAAAACAATCCCAGCAAAAACCTGAGGGATAACTCACTGGTCCACTTGGGGCAGGTGCCCATTTCTGAGCCAATCCCTATGGGCAGAGAAATGAGGGGTGCTGATTGGCCAGCATGGAGCATTGGCCTTCCTGGAACCAAGGATAAAGTTAGTGCTGCATGCCTTTCACATGGACAGGGAGTAAAGAAGGGGGCTCCCAGAGAAATTAGGATGCTGTTATGATAGGGGAATTCATAGTGAGTAGACAAAACCAAAAGGATAGATGTAATCTAAATCCCCACTCTGCAGACAAGGAACTACTACCTTAAAAATATACAATAAAATATTTTTTATTATCTATCCCTAGGTAAGGGAAGGGCCTTGTCCCAGCTCATTCAGTTAGCAGCACCCAGCTTCCTGTCTTCACCTGGTGTCTTTTCTTCTGGAGCAGGTGGTCTCCCAATAAACAGGGTTTGTTTACCCAACACAAACACATTAGTGTCCTTCCTGTCCTAGCTTCTTCTCCCAATCCACACTCAAGGTGACTCTACTACATATATTCCTGTTTTTTGTTTTTAAGAGACAGGGTTATGCTCTATTGCCCAGGCTGGAGTGCAGTGATGTGAAGAAGCTGGGACTACAGGCATATACCACCACACCCAGCTGATTTTTTTTTTTAAACTTTCTGTAGAGTTAGGGGTCTCACTATATTGCCCAGGCTGGTCTCAAACTCCTGGCTTCAATCAATCCTCCCGCCTTGGCCTCCCAAAGTGCTGGGATTACTGGCATGAACCACCCACTGTGTCTGTCTACTTCCTGCTTTTGTTAAATTAAAAAAAAAAGAACATATTTATTTATATATATATATATATATATATATATAGACAGAGAGAGAGAGAGATGAGACAGATATAGCTATAGATAGATAGATAGATAGATAGATAGATAGATAGATAGATGTATACACATATGTTGAGATGGGGTCTTGCTCTGTCATCCAGGCTGCAGCACAATGGCGCAATCAAGGCTCACTGCAGCCTCAACCTCTCAGGCTTAAGTAATCCTCCCACCTCAGCCTCCTGAGTAGCTGGGGCTACAGGCACACGCCACCATGCCCAGCTAATTTTTTTAAAAAATTGTTTTGTAAAGGCAGGGGTCTCATTGTGTGGCCCAGGCTGGTCTCGAACTCCTGGCCTCAAGTGATCCTCTCACCTCAGCCACACCTGGCTTAAATAAATATTTAAATCCCTATTTTCAAGACAGAGAAACTGAGAGTTTAAACAAATGATGTAATGCTGGGGTTGACATGAGCCATGTGGGCATGTCGGGGAACAGTTCTTCACTGGCTATAAGTTAGTCATGTGGCTACCCCTAGCTGCAAGGAAGGCTGAGATAGGTAGTAAAGCCATGGGAAGCCATGTGCCAAGCTAAAAATCAGGTATACTCTTACTAGGAGAGAGAAGACAAGAACACAAATTAAGGGATCATTTGCAATCTTTGACCAAAACAACTGACTCTGAGATGATCCATAAAAGGTAACTGCTATTGTTGTCTCTTTTTTGAAAAACTCAGAAGGTATATTTGTTTTTGTTTGTTTGTTTCTGTTGAGACAGAATCTTGCTCTGTCACCCAGGCTGGAGTACAGTGGTGCAATCTCGGCTCACTGCAACCTCTGCCTCCGGGGTTTAAGCAATTCTCCTGTTTCAGCCTCCCAAGTAACTGGGATTACAGGCGTGTGCCACCACACCCGGCTAATTTTTGTAGTTTTAATAGAAACGGGGTTTCACCATATTGGCCAGGCTAGTCTTGAACTCCTGACCTCAACTGATCCACCCACCTCGGCCTCCCACAGTGCTGGGATTACAGTCATGAGCCACCCTGCAGGGCCTCAGAAGGTATATTTGAAAGATGCGCATAAATGCTGGGTACTGATATCGTTCTGCACTGGACTTTGGAATCAACAAAATAGAGTTTAAATTTTTATTTCATGCCTTCCTGGGCTGTATGACGTTAGGAAAGTTCCTTAACCTCTCTGAACCCTGCTTTCATCATTTGCTAAGCAAGGATAATGGTATATTACTCATCAACGGCTGGGAAAATCAAATAAGACAATGGACATAAAGTTGAAGTATAGTATTCAGTCCAAAGAGGGTGTTCAATACATGGTCATTTTATTGATAAGGAGTGTATGCTGGGTTAGAACATGAGCTTGGAGATCAGAGAGACCTGGCTTTAAATACAGACCTTCACTTCCTGGCTGAGCAAATTATTTAACCTCTCTGTGCCTCAGCCTCCCAATATTTGAAATGGAAGCAGTAACAGTTCCAGCCCACTGGGTGGCTGAAGCATGAAAGAATGGATGGCACATTTTATTTTATATTTTATTTTATTTTATTTTATTTTATTTTATTTTTTGAGAGATGGAGTCACCCTCTGTCATCCAGGCTGGAGTGCAGTGGCACGATCTCTGCTCACTGCAACCCCTGCCTCCCAGGTTCAAGCGATTCTCCTTCCTCAGCCTCCCAAGTAGCTGGGATTACAAGTGCCCACCACCATGCCCAGCTAATTTTTGTACTTTTAGTAGAGATGGGGTTTCACCATGTTGGCCAGGCTAGTCTCGAAATCCTGACTTCAAGTGATCCACCCGCCTCGGCCTCCAAAATGCCCGGCCAGATGGCACATTTAAACCAGTCAAGCAAGTATGCTTTCGCTTTATTTTGTGTTATTATTAGGTTCCTTTTTCTCTTTGAGGGCATGGAGGAAGAGACAGGGTCAAAAGGCTGTTGCTACAAACATACAAAGTTTGTAGTAAGTAAGTCTTACACAAAAGAATACGTGTTATGTGCTGCCATTTCATCAAGTTCAAAAAACGGCAAAAATCATCACTGCTGTTGGAATCAGGATAACGGTTATCGCTTAGGATGGGAAAGACTTGAAGGGAGCTTCTCCGGGGCGGGGAATGTTCTGTTCCTTGAGCTGGGGGCTGGTTACCCCGCTGTCTGCCTTTGTGAAAATGTATCGAGCCATCGCTCCCCTGTGCACTTTCCTTATTTGTGCACTTTTCTGTATGTCTGTTACACTTCAATAAAAAAGTTTTCCCCCAAAAGTCTCTGTGGTCTGTTGGAAGCTGGCAATGGCCAAGGGGCTGAGGCGCACAGGTGGGGACCCTTCCTTGCTAGCCACCGCAGTTTCTGTTTCAGCTTGAGGTACAGCAATCAACTTCCTCTTCAGATGCATGACTTGCTGCTGACCTCTAGAACCTCTGGCCACAAGGCTCCTCTTGCCCCTGTAATGTGGCCTGATTCCATTCCTTCATCTGGGTCCAGTCTGGTGCCAGCCAGCCTGACTGTCCATATTATCAGACGCCAGGACTGTGGGACAGACTTGTTTAGAAGGATATTTTGATCAGTAGCCTTGGGTGGCAGCTTCAGATCAACCTCATATTGAACTTACAAGGAGGGTTGGTGCTGTCTGTTCTTTCTTTTTTTTTTTTTTGAGACAGAGTTTCACTCTTGTTGCCCAGGCTGGAGCGCAATGGCACGATCTTGGCTCACCGCAACATCTGCCTCCCGAGTTCAAGCGATTCTCCTGTCTCAGCTTCCCAAGCTGGGATTACAGGCATGCGCCACCACGCCTGGATAATTTTCTATTTTCAGTAGAGACAGGGTTCCTCCATGTTAGTCAGGCTGGTCTTGAACTCCCAACCTCAGATGATCCGCCCACCTCGGCCTCCCAAAGTGCTGGGATTGCAGGTGTGAGCCACCGCGCCTTGCCTGTTCTTTTATTCATTAATTCAAACGACAAGTTGTAGACACCTAACATGTACATGGTTCATGGTTTGTACAAGGATACTTCATTCATGCATGCATGGATTCATTCATTCATTCATTCACATACCTGCTAGGCACTGTGCTAGGTGCTGGGAACGCATCTGTGTAGAAAACAGACAAGGTCCCTGCACTCCTGGAGCTGATTCATTAGTAGAGGGAAACGGAAAATAAATAAATAAATTGCCCAGCATGATGGTTCACTTATAATCCCAGCACTTTGGGAGGCTGAGGCGGGTGGATCGCTGGAACCCAGGAGTTTGAGATGAGCCTGGTCAGCATGGCGAAACCCCTTCTGTACAAAAAATACAAAAATTAGCCAGGTGTGATGATGTGCACTTGTGGTACCAGCTACTTGGGAGGCTAAGGTGAGAGGATTGCTTGAGTCCAGGAGACAGAGGTTACAATGAACCATGATCACACTACTGCACTCCAGCCTGGGCAACAGAGTGAGACCCTGTCTCAAAAAAATAAAAATAAACAAGTAAATGCACAGTATGTTAGATGGTATGAGTGCTACGGAGAAAATTTAAGCAGAGACACGGACAGTGAGTGCAAGACGTGTTTGGGGGCAGGTTGCAATTTTTAATAGAGTGTTCAGAAAATGACTTCCTGAGAAGATGGCATTTAAGCAAAGACTTGAGGAAGCCAAGGGAGTTGGCCATTTGAATGTATGAGGGAGGGCTGGGTGTGGTGGCTCACACCTGTAATCCTAGCCGTTTGGGAGGCTGAGGTGGAAGGAATGCTTGAGGCCAGGAGTTTGAGATGAGCCTGGGCAATATAGTGAGACTCCCATCTCTACAAAACAATAAATAAATTATTTATTTATTTATTATTTAATATATTTCATTATTTAATATATATATTATATATAAATATATATACATATATTATTTAATATTATATATAAATATATATATATTTAATATAATAAATAAATAAATTAGCCAAGCTCGTGGCACACACCTGTAATGTCAGCTACTCAGGAGGCTTAGGTGACAGAACCAGAACCTGTCTAAAAAAAAAAAAAACAGTATGTGAGGAAAGCCTGAGAAGGAGCAACCATCATTAAAACAATATTGACAGGCCAGGTGTGGCGGCTCACGCCTGTAATGCCAACACTTCGGAGGCCGAGATGGGCAGATCACTTGAGGTCAGGAGTTCAAACCCAGCCTGGCCAACATGTCAAAATCCCATTTCTACTAAAAATATAAAAATTAGTGGCTGGGTGCGGTGGCTCACACCTGTAATCCCAGCACTTTGGGAGGCTGAGGCAGGTGGATCACCTGAGATCAGGAGATCGAGACCAGCCTGGCCAACATGGTGAAACCCCATCTCTAGTAATAATACAAAAATTAGCTGGGCGTGGTGGCACATACCTGTAATCCCAGCTACTCGGGAGGCTAAGGCAGGAGAATCACTTGAACTCAGAAGGTGGAGGTTGCAGTGAGCTGAGATGATGCCACTGCACTCCAGCCTGGGAGACTGAGCAAAACTCTTGTCTCCAAAAAAATTAGCTGGTCATGATGACGGGCGTCTGTAATCCCAGCTACTTGGGAGGCTGAGACACGTGAATCACTTGAACCCTGAGGGCAGAGTTTGCAGTGAGCTGAGATCTCACCACTGCACTCCAGCCTGGGCGATAGAGCGAGGCTCCGTCTCAAAAAATAAAAATAAAAAATAAAAAAGACAGTATGGCTTTCTCCATTTGGATGCTTGCCCTTCCATCCCAGCTGCCATAGTTGGAAAGAAGCTCAGGATACGTAGAGAGGCTGTGTGTGGGGCCTCAGCCAAGCCCCAGCCAGCAGCCTGCATTAGCTGCCAGACAGTGAGACTTCAGGTAACTCTCGCTTCTAGCCTTTGAGTTTTCCAGCTGAGGCCTCAGTGCTGGCATTACAGGAGTGAGCCTTAGAGCAGATAGAATTTTTCCCCACTATGCCCTTCCTGAATTCCTATCCTACAGAAATTTGGGGTACTCTGTTAAACAAACCCCAAATGAGGAACATTCTATGAAATAACTGGCCTGTATTCTTCAAAAAATGTCAAGGTCATAAAAGACAAAGAAAAGCAGAGGCATCATTTCAGATGAGAGACAATTAGGCCAGGCGCGGTGACTCAAGCCTGTAATCCCAGCACTTTGGGAGGCTGAGGTGGGTGGATCACTTGAGGTCAGGAGTTTGTGACCAGCCTGATCAACAAGGCGAAATCCCATCTCTACTAAAAATACAAAAATTAGCAGGGCGTGGTGGCAGGCGCCTGCAGTCCTAGCTACTCGGGAGGCTGCGACAGGAGAATTGCTTGAACCCAGGAGGTGGAGGTTGCAGTGAGCCAGGATTGTGCCACTGCACTCCAGCCTGGGTGACGGAGCAAGACTCCGTCTCAAGAAAAAAAAAATAAAAAAGACAGACAAAACATGGTCCTGAAGTGGATCCTGCACTAGGCGGGAAAAAGCTGTAAGGGATTCTTTTTTTTTTTTTTTTTTTTTTTACCACAACTGACAAAATTGGCGTATGGATGGTAATCAAGGTAAATTTTTTAGTAACACTGCTGTGATTACAGAAAATAATATCTATTTTCTTTTATGTTATTTTTGAGACAGAGTCTCACTCTGTTGCCCAGGCTGGAGTGCAGTGGTGCAGTCTCAGCTCACTGCAACCTCTACCTCCTGAGTTCAAGCGATTCTCTTGCCTCAGCCTCCCAAGTAGCTGGGGTTACAGGTGTGCACCACCACACCCGGCTAGTTTTGTATTTTTAGTAGAGACAGGGTTTCGCCATGTTGGTCAGGCTGGTCTCAAACTCCTGACCTCAGGTGATCCACCCGCCTCAGCCTCCCAAAGTGCTGGGATCACAGGAGTGAGCCACTGCACCCAGCCTATAGCAAATAATATCTTGTTCTTAGGAAATACATGCTGAAATATTATGAGGTAAATGGGGCATCAAGGTAAATTTTCTGAATTTGGTAACAGTGCTGTGGTTACAGCAAATAATATCGTGTTCCTAGTAAACATATGCGGAAATATTAAGAGGTAAATGCGGCATGATGTATGAAAACTATAATAGTTCAGAAAAATAATAATAATAAACATAGTCACATGAAGAAAGAAAAGATAATAAAACAAACATGGCAAAATAGTAAAGACAGGTGATTCTGGGTAAAGGGTATATGGAATTCTCTGAATTATTCTTGTTATAGTCCTATAAATTCAAAACCGTTTTGAAACCTGTAATCCTGATTATATCTCTGAAAGGGAAGTGGGTGGGTAAAGGAACAGGGAGGAAGGGAGACCCACCCATTTTTCACTCTTTACTTTCACTCTGTACTTTTTGAAGGTATTCATGTAGTCAAATAAACAAGTAAAAAAAAGGGAAAATAAAAGTTCACTTATTAGACACAGATTCTAGGCACTGTGCTGAGCCAGTCAATACTTGAGATGATTCTCATTTATTCCCCTCTACTCTGCCCATTGCATGGAGGAGGAAACTGAGGCTTAGAGAAAGAAAGTGATTTGCCCAAGGCAGAACCCAGAGCCAGAAATTAACCCAGGTCAGTCCACTACAAAGGCCTCAACACTCAGTTGGGCAGGGTCTTTGCCTTTAAGGAGAGATTCCTTGAAACCCTCTTCACTGTTTAAAGAAAAAATAACAGGCTGGGCGCGGTGGCTCACGCCTGTAATCCCAGCACTTTGGGAGGCCGAGGAGGGCAGATCATGAGGTCAGGAGATTGAGACCATCCTGGCTAACACGGTGAAACCCCGTCTCTACTAAAAATACAAAAAATTAGGTGAGTGTGGTGGCAGGCGCCTGTAGTCCCAGCTACTCGGGAGGCTGAGGCAGGAGAATGTTGTGAACCCGGGAGGTGGAGCTTGCAGTGAGCTGAGATCGCGCCACTGCACTCCAGCCTGGGTGACAGAGCGAGACTCCGTCTCAAAAAAAAAAAAGAAAGAAAGAAAAGAAAGAAAAAAAATTGAAAAACCAAGCACCTGGCTCTTAGCTTTGTGGCTGTGGATTGTCCATTGTAAAGAATAATCTGGGGGGCCGGGTGCGGTGGCTCACACCTGTAATCCCAGCACTTTGGGAGGCCGAGGCAGGTGGATCACGAGGTCAGGAGATCGCGACCATCCTGGCCAACATGGTGAAACCTCGTCTCTAACTAAAATACAAAAATTAGCCTGGCGTGGTGGCTTGCGCCTGTAATCCCGGCTACCCAGGAGCCTGAGGCAGGAGAATCGCTTGAACCTGGGAGGCGGAGGTTGCAGTAAACCAAGATTGCGCCACTGTACTCTAGCCTGGGTGACACAGTGAGACTACATCTCAAAAAAAAAAAATAATAATAATAATAATAATCTGGGGAGGCTGGGCACAGTGGCTCACACCTGTAATACCAGCACTTTGGGAGGCTGAGGCGAGCAGATTACCTGAGGTCAGGGGTTTGAGACCAGCCTGCCCAACATGGTGAAACACCATCTCTACCAAAAAATACAAAAATTAGCCAGGTGTGGTGGCAGGCACCTGTAATCCAGCTACTTGAGAGGTTGAGGCAGGAGAATCGTTTGAACCCCGGAGGCAGAGGTCGCAGTGAGCCAAGATCACACAACTGCACTCCAGCCTGGGTGACAGAATGAGACTCCATCTCAGGAAAAAAAAAAAAAAAGAAAAAAAAAAAGAACTTTGCCAAGGTCACATAGCTGGCATGTGGAAAAAGCAAGGGTCAAACCTGGGCAGCAGGGTCCACACTGTCCGAATACTGTGGGTATCTGTGACTTGAGCCTGCCCAGAATCCTAATTTTCCCTTGGGGAACTACCCCACCCCTATAATCTATATGGTTTGGGTGAAGCTGACCACAAACCTGGCTCTAGAATGGGTTGTATCACCCAGTCTTAGCCCACCAGAGCAGAAAATTATCCTGGCTATGGCGATTAATTCAAAAGTGACCCCAGTCAGATCAGTGTGAACCTTCCATCAGATCTTTACTAAACACTATAAGGAAAAAGATACTCCCTCAGGGTAGTAAGAGCTCAGCAGTCTAGAGCTGCCAAGGCCATTTTTGTCACCTACTTGAAAAGGAAGGCAGCACAGGGCAAATCTGAACTGGAGAAATAGAGCAAGACAAAGTCCCACTGACATTACTTAAGCTCCTGGATCCAGCCATACCTGAAATACTCCTGGATTTTTCAACTGTGTGAGCTAATGTATTCTGCTCCCCTCCTTGCTCATTTTGGCTCAGGCTAGTTGAGCACATAGTAAGTGCAGATGTTCAAACATAGATCATGGTTTAGGTCATGATCACAGCCTACCCCATTATTATTATTATTATTATTATTATTATTATTAAGATGGAGTCTTGCCCTGTCACCCAGCCTGGAGTGCAGTGGTGTGATCTCGGCTCACTGTGGCCTCTACCTCCCGGGTTCAAGAGATTCTTCTCTCTCAGCCTCCCAAGTAGCTGGGACCACAGGCATGCACCACCACACCAGGCTAATTTTTGTATTTTTAGTGGAGACCAGGTTTCGCCATGCTGGCTAGGCTGGTCTCGAACTCCTGACCTCAAGTCATCCACCTGCCTTGGCCTCCCAAAGTGCTGGGATTACAGGCGTGAGCCATTGTGCTGGGGCCTATTATTATTATTATTATTATTATTATTATTATTATTATTATTTTGAGACAAAGTTTTCCTCTTGTTTTCCAGGCTGGAGCGCAGTGGTGCTGTCTCGGCTTGCTGCAACCTCCACCTTCTGGGTTCAAGCGATTCTCATGCCTCAGCCTCCCAAGTAGCTGGGATTACAGGTGTGTGCCACCATGTCCGGCTAATTTTGCACTTTTAGTAGAGGTGGGGTTTCTCCATGTTGGTCAGGCTGGTCTCGAACTCCTGACCTCAGGTGATCCACCCACCTCGGCCTCCCAAAGTGCTGGGATTACAGGCGTGAGCCAGTGCACCTGGCCCCTATTATTATTACTTTTTAAAACATTTTCCTGTAAGAGCTTTACTGAGATATAATTCAGATACCACATAATTTACCTATTTAAAGTGTATGATTTCATGGGTTTTCATTTTCATACCTTTGGAGTTGAGCAACCAAGTCCCCAATCAATTTTAGAGCATTTTCACCACTCCCAAAAGAAACCCCATACACGTTAGCAGTCAATCCCCATTTTCTCCCAAGTCCCCCTGCCCTGGCAACCACTAATCTACTTTCTGCCTCTACAGATTTGCCTATACTGGACATTTCACATAAATGAAATCATGTAACATAAGCTCCTTTATGCTGTTCATTTGTTTTTTGTGTTTTGCTCGTTTTTTTGTTTGTTTTATGGAGACGGAGTCTCGCTCTGTCACCCAGGCTGGAGTGCAGTGGTGCGATCTCAGCTCACTGCAACCTCCGCCTCCCAGGTTCAAGCAATTCTCCTGCCTCAGCCTCCCAAGTAGTTGGGACTACAGGTGCGCGCTGCCACGCCCAGCTAATGTTTTGTATTTTAGTAGAGATGGGGTTTCACTGTGTCGCCCATGCTGGTCTTGAACTCTTGCCCGCCTCTGCCTCCCAAAGTGCTGGGATTACAGGCATGAGCCACCGCACCCGGCCAGTTCTTTTGTTTAACATGTTTTTCCAGTTAATCTGTATTGTAGTAAGTGTCAGCCTCTATTTCTTTTTATTGCTCAGTAAGACTCCATTGTATGGATACATACATTTATTTACTCATTTATAGGCTGGGCGTGGTGGCGCACACCTGTAATCCCAGTACTTTGGGAAGCTGAGGCAGGCGGATCACCTGAGGTCAAGAGTTCAAGACTGGTCTGGTCAACGTGGTGAAACCCCGTCTCTACTAAAAATAGAAAAATTAGCTGGGTGTGGTGGTGGGCACCTGTAATACCAGCTACTTGGGAAGCTGAGACAGGAGAATTGATTGAACCCGGGAGGTGGAGGCTGCCGTGAGCCGAGATTGCACCACTGCACTCCAGCCTGAGTGACAGAGGGAGACTCTGTCTAAAATATATATATCCATCTATCAGTTGTTGGACATTTGGATTGGTTTCACTTTTAGCTATAATGAATAATACTGCAGTGAACTTTCATGTACAAATTTTGTGAGGACATATGTTTTCAATGCTTGGACATATACCTAGGGGGAAAATTGCTGGATGATATGGTAACCCTATGTTTACACTTTTTTTTCTTTTTTCAATAGAGACGGGGTCTCACTATCGAGGTTGCCCAGGCTGGTCTCGAACTCCCAAGTTCAAGTGATCCTCCCGTCTCAGTTTCCCAAAGTGCTGGGATTACAAGCACTTGGATCACTGCACCCAGCTTGTTTAGTCTTTTGAGGAACTACTACCCTGTTTTCTAAAGTGGCTGCCCCACTTTACATTCCTGTCAGCAGTGTAGGAGCACTCCCTTACTTTTGCTATGTCTCTGGCAAGTTGCTTCAGCTCTCTGGGCCTCTGTTTTCCCATATCGTAAATGGGGATGCTCTATTGTAAAGATTAAACAAAGACCATGACTGGGCACAGTGGCTCACGCCTGTACTCCTAGCATTTTGGGAGGCCGAGGTGAGAGGATCTCTTGAGCCCAGGAGTTAGAGACCAGCTTAGACAACATAGCAGGACCTCATTTCTACAAATAATTTTTAAAAATTAGCCAGGCGGCCGGATGCAGTGGCTCACACCTGTAATCCCAGCACTTTGGGAGGCCAAAGTGTGTGGATCACCTGAAGTCAGGAGTTTGACACCAGCCTGGTCAACATGGCGAAACCCCGTCTCTCCTAAAAATACCTAAAAATACAAAAATTAGTCGGGTGTGGTGGCACATGCCTGTAATCCCAGCTACTTGGGAGGCTGAGGCAAGACAATCACTTGAACCCAGCAGACGATCTCATGCAGTGAGCTGAGATTGCACCACTGCACTGCAGCCTGGGCAACTTAGTAAGACTCCGTCTTGGAAGAAAAAATACAGAAATTAGCTAGGTGTGGTGGTGCATACCTGTAGTCCTAGCTAATCGGGAGGCTAAGGTGGGAGGATCACCTGATCCCAGGGAGGTCAAGGCTGCAGTGAACTGTGTTCCAGCCTCTGCACTCCAGTCGGGGTGGCTGCTTGAGACCCTGTTTCAAAAAAAGTGATCAGGTATATGAGATTTGAGGTGAGTGTCTTACATTCTAGGCTTCAGTTCTCTTCTGTGAAGTGGGGATAGCAAAAGCATTTTCCTCGTAAGTTTCCTCTGAGCATGAAATGAGACCCAGCTGCTAGAGACAGGACAATCTCAGATAAATGGCGACTTTAGACCTAGTCATAAAGTGCCTCCAGTTGAACAAAACTTGCCTGCCTATCTGTGGGCGATGCACCCAGTGCTATAATATTTATTAATGCTCCCTTGATTTTCAATGTAAGATTTTTTTCGCCTTGTAAGACCCTGGAAGCGGCCGAGTGTGGCGGCTCACGTCTATAGTCCCAGCACTTTGGGAGGCTGAGGAGGGCAGATCAAAAGGTCAGGAGTTTGAGACTAGCCTGGCCAACATGGCAAAACCCCATCTCTACTAAAACTACAAAAATTAGCTGGGTGTAGGTGGCAGGCACCTGTAATCCCAGCTACTCAGGAGGCTGAGGCAGCAGAATCGCTTGAACTCGGGAGGCGGAGGCAGTGAGCCGAGATCGCGCCACTGCACTCCAGCCTGGGTGACAAGAGCAAGACCTCATCTCAAAAAAGAAAAAAAAAAAAACAAAAAAAAAACTCTGGAAGATTTGCGGTCCAATTCACGAGGATCAGCTGATATTCTGGAACCATGCTGTGGATTGGGGGGGATGACATGATCTGCTGATGAATGACACATTGGCTGAGAAACAGAAACTGCCCAGCTTAAAGTGAGAGAGTGTGAAAACCTCATGACTGAGTCATGGTCCTAGGAGTGGGATGAGGGTGGGGAGGTGGGCGGGAAGAGTGGAATGGGGGTGGTTAATTAGCCATTCCTTTAAGTGGGCTCTCTGCCTTTCTGTCTTTTTCTCTGAGCTCATCACTTCCTCTCCCACTTCCTACAGTATGGTCTCAAACACTTGCATTTTCGGAAAAAAGCATGATCTCCTGACCTTTGTACATGCTGTTCCCTTTGCCCAGAGCACCATTTCTGGTAATTTCCTCCCTGTCACCTGGCAACGTTCATCCTTGAGTTTTCAGCTTAGAGGTCAACTTCTCCAGGTAGCTGTCCGAATTGGGGATCTTCTGTCTTGCCAGTGGGGCATGTATGTCCTCTGGATCAGAAAGCAGCATCTCTCTCTCTCTCTCTCTCTCTTTTTAATTTTTGAGACAGGCTGTGGCTGAGGCTGGAGTGCAGTGGCGTGATCTCGGCTCACTGCAACCTCTACCTCCTGGGTTCAAGCGATTCTCCTGCCTCAGCCTCCTGAGTAGCTGGGATTACAAGTGTGTGCCACCACGCCTGGCCTGTTATTTTAAAATAATTAAATCTGTCTCCATCCTGGGATTGCTAAATAAATAAATTAATTAATTAATTAAAAGCAAAGCTTAAAAAAATGAAAGCAGCACATACTTGTGTAATAATGAATGTAAACAACTCAAAAATGTGTAGGTTAGAAGTGAGAGTTATTTTGCCCCTCCTAATAAATATTAGCTGAATCCATGAATAAATGTCATGTCTATAAATAGATGATGAATGAATGATTGAATAAGAAAACAGTTCTGTCCAGAGAGACCTCGGTTCAAGGTGACCCCCCGCAACCTCCCACTCACAAGCAGGCCAGCTGGTTTCTCTGAAAGTCTCGGCCCTGGGCCAGTGTTTTATTTCTTTCTGGGATGGGCCCCTATCTAGGAGTTTTTTTTCCCTTGGAACCTTGGAGAATGACTCATGAGGACTTTCAATGGGCAGCAAGTGCCCTGGTGACATAGGGTCACATCCTGTTACTCAAGAAGGCAGGTCCTGGGTAGATCCCAGGGAGGTGAGTTGGTGGGGGATAAAGAGCTCCTGTGTGGCCAGCAGCTGGCTGCAGTTCCCCAGGAAACAGCTTCCGGCAGACACTCAATCTCCAGTTGTAACAGGTGGTGTGGAGTCCGCTGTCCCAGGGAGTGGGCTCAAGGCCTAGTCCTGCCAATGAACTTGCTGTAGAAACTTTTCTGTCTATCAAATGAGGTGAGGTCCATGGAAAACCTAAAGGTTGCCTGTTGAATACTCATCCTGTTCCTTCTTTTTTACTTACAGAACCCCAACTGGGGGTGGGGGACATTGGACAACAATGTGTCTAAGGGGAGGCTGGGCCTCTCTCTGGCCCCAGTGTTTGTGTGTCCAAATGCATGCACAAGTGTGTGTGTGTGTGTGTGTGTAGCTGCAAGCACACAGGAAAATGTATACATCTTGTTTATCTTGTTTATCCACGAATCCCAGCTCCAAGACATCTTCCTGGAGGGATGGCCAAGGCACATGATGACAGTCTACATTCTTCTCATTTTGTTTTTTCTAGTTTGTTTCATTTTTTCCTTTTCTTGTTTTCTTTTGTTTGCTTTTGTGTGTGTGTATGTTTCTGTTTCTTACTTTTTGTTATTTTAAATTTTATTTATTTTTCTTCTCACTTTTTTATTTTGGAGACAGAGTCTCGCCCTGTCACCCAAGCTGGAGTGCAGTGGTCCAATGTCGGCTCATTGTAACTTCTGCCTCCCAGGTTCAAGTGATTCTCCTGCCTCAGCCCCCCGAGTAGCTGGGATTAACAGGCATGTGCCACCGCGCCCAGCTAATTTTTGTATTTTTAGTAGAGACGGGGTTTTACCATGTTTGCCAGGCTGGTCTCAAACTCCTGACCTCGGGCAATCGCCTGCCTCAGCTTCCTAAAGTGCTAGGATTACAGGCCTAAGCCACCGTGCCCAGCCTCATTTTTTTTTTTCTTTTTTTTGAGATGGTCTCCCTCTGTCACCTAGGTTGGAATGCACTGGTGCAATAATTGCTCACTGCAGCCATGACCTCCCATGCTCAAGCAATCCTCCCACCTCAGCCTCCCACGTAGCTGGGACTACAGGTGAGTGCCACCATACCCGACTAATTTTTGTATTTTTTGTAGAGATGGAGTTTTGCCATGTTGCCCAGGCTGGTCTCCAACTCCTGGGCTCAAGTGATCCTCCGACCTCGGCCTCCCAAACTGCTGGGATTACAGTCTTGAGCCACTGCACCCGGCCTATTCTCACTTTCTGAATGGCTTTGGGCAAGTCACAATCTCTGTGTGCTTCAGTTTCTTCTCTGAAGTGGGAATGGCAAGCTGGACACCCTGAGCGTGTGTCTGTAGTCCCAGCTTCTGGGGCTGAGGCCAGGGGTTCAAGGCTATAGTGTGCCATGATCACTCCTACGAATAGCCAGTGCACCCCAACTCGAAAAAAATTTAAAAGACCAGGCATAGTGGCTCACACCTATAATCCCAGTACTTTGGGAGGCCAAGGTGAGAGGATCACTTGAGCCCAGGAGTTGGAGACCAACCTGGGCAACATAATGAGACTCTGTCTCATTTATAACGACAACAACAACAAAAGGTAAAAAATAAACAGTGGGGGCTCATGTGAGAAAAGCTATAAAAACAGAGAATATTGGCTGTTAAATATTGATGTTTGCAGGTTGTCAGGAAAGGAATCTTGTAGAGAATATAGAACTCCTGGCCCCTTTCCTAAAGGTTCTGATGCAGTGGGTCTGGCATGGGGCCAGGCCTCTGTTAGCAAGGGCCCCAGTGACGTTTATCAGTTAGCGAATTTGAAAATCACTGTCTTAGGCCGGGCGCGGTGGCTCATGTCTGTAATCTCAGCACTTTGAGAGGCCGAGGCAGGTGCATCACCTGAGGTCAGGAGTTCCAGATCAGCCTGGTCAACACAGTGATACCCCGTCTCTACTAAAAATACAAAAAATTAGCTGGGTGTGGTGGCAGGCACCTATAATACCAGCTACTCGGGAGGCTGAGGCAGGAGAATTGCTTGAACCCGGGAGGCCGAGGTTGCAGTGAGCCAAGATCATGCCACTGCACTCCAGCCTAGGCAACAAGAGTGAAACTCCATCTCAAAAAAAAAAAAAAAAAAAAAAAAGGAAAAGAAAATCACTGGCTTGGGAGAAATTCCAATTCCTGACTTTGCCCCTTATACCTGAACAAGTCATCACACTTCCATAATCCTGATTTCCTCATCTCTAAAATAATAATAATATGGCTGGACACAGTGGCTCACACCTGTAATCCTAACACTTTGGAAGGCCGAGGCAGGTGGATCACTTGAGGTCAGAATTTCGAGACCAGCCTGGGCAACATGGTGAAACCCTGTCTCTACTAAAAATACAAAATAATTAGCCGGGCGTGGTGGCAGACATC
Source organism: Homo sapiens (assembly GCF_000001405.40). Classification (NCBI taxonomy): domain Eukaryota; kingdom Metazoa; phylum Chordata; class Mammalia; order Primates; family Hominidae; genus Homo; species Homo sapiens. The sequence goes on along the minus strand of NC_000020.11, from coordinate 49,773,027 downwards.
TGTAATTCCAGCTACTCGGGAGGATGAGGCAGGAGAATCGCTTGAATCCGGCAGGCAGAAGTTGCAGTGAGCCAAGATAGTGCCACTGCACTCCAGCCTGGGTACCAGAGCAAGACTGTCTCAAAAAATAAAAAAATAAATAATAATAATAATAATAAAAATATTACTAACCTCAGTGGTTCCTAGTAGGAGTTGACGACGGTTCTCAACCGAGGGTGATTTTTTTTTCCCCAGAGGATATTTGACAATGTCTGGAGAAAGTTTTGGTTACAACCAGGTGTGGTGTTGCCCCTGGCATCTGTGAATGGAGGCCAGGGATGTTGCTAACCATCAGACAACACACAGGACAGCCCCCGAAGCAAAGAATGAGCCAGCCCAAAATGTCAGTAGCGCCAAGGTTGGGAAACTCTGGGTTAAACTTATTAATGCACCATGTGCTCTCAGGAGGGTAGAGGCCAAGAAGCATTTTCTGTTGACTTAGCACAAACAAAGTTGCCCACAACATAAAGGGCTTTCCCAGTCCAGGAAAATGGAGTAAAGTGCTGGGTGTGAAGAAGGTCAGAGCCAGAGTGAGACCCATTGTTCTGCATGAGAGGGGGTGGGGAGAGTGGCAGTGACGCCAGAAATCTCTGAGTGTGACTCACTGAGAGAAGCCAGCTGGATGGCAGGGTTGCCAGAGCCTTTGTTCCAAGCTGCATTTGAGTAGTGAGCTTGAGGTTTTTCCACAGAAGGTGGGTACTCATTGAAAGGGACTTCGTTTTCTGAAGTTGCTTGTTGCTCCCCCCGCCCTTTTGTTGTTGTTGAGACGGAGTCTCCCTCTGTCGCCCAGGCTGGAGTGCAGTGGCACAATCTCTGCTCACTGCAACCTCCGCCTCCCTGGTTCACGCCATTTTCCTGCCTCAGCCTCCCAAGTAGCTGGAAGTACAGGCGCCCGCCACCATGCCTGGCTAATTTTTTGTATTTTTAGTAGAGACGGGGTTTCACTGTGTTAGCCATGATAGTCTCGATCTCCTGACCTCGTGATCCACCTGCCTCGGCCTCCCAAAGTGCTGGGATTACAGGCATGAGCCACCTCGCCCAGCCCCACTTTTTATATTAAGAAAATATTGACCGTCTAGATCAGTGGTTCAGGAGTGATTTTTGTCTCCCAGGGGACATTTAGCAATGTCTGGAGGCACTGACATAACTGGGGAGGAGGGTTCTCTGGGCATCTGGTGGGTGGAGGTCAGGCCTGCCCCTAAACCTCCTACAGTGAACAGGACAGCCCCCACCCCCACCCCCACTCAAGGATTATTTGGCCCAAAATCTAAATAGTGCTGGTGTTGTGAAACTCCAAATTATATGGCAAAATCCTGTCTCTACTAAAAATACAAAAATTAGCCGGGCCCGGTGGCGCATGCCTGTAGTCCCAGCTACTCAGGAAGCTGAGGCACAAGAATTGCTTGAACCTGGGAGGTGGAGGTTTCATTGAGCCGAGATAGCACCACTGCACTCCAGCCTGGGTGACAGAGCGAGACTCTTGTCTTAAAAAAAAAAAAAAAAAAAGAAAAGAAAAAGAAAAAATAATAAACTCCAAGTTATATAAAAATGTCATTATTGGGGTCCAAACCACCCCTACCGCTTAGGAGGTGGTAGGGGAACAGGTTTGAGGAGGGAGCCTGAATTCTTTCTGTTTGGTCAGGTCAAGTCGTACCGAGATCATTTGAGAGCCAGAAAGGGGCCCTAGAGGTATTTTGCAGTGTTTCTTGAGGCCCCACTCTGTGCCACGCCCCCTGCCCTCTGACTGCAGGCATCTTGGAGAGAGGTATCACCTCAGAGCTGGAGAAATGTCAAGCTAGTTGAATAACAGGCACCAAAGGTTTTGAGGGGTGCAGAGCGAAGAGCCTTGGGCTGAGAGTTTGAGTCCTGACTGTTTCAGTGAGACCAGCAAGCGCTTTCTCTCTCCAGCTTCTCCATTTCCACCTTTGCAAACTCTGGACTCCAAGGACGCAAGATGGCCGGAAACAAGATGGTGGAGGTAAGGGAGATGCTGAGAGCTGGACAGAGGCTCTGGCACCACTGAAGTTCCCAGAAGTCAGGGCAGAGTTGGGGTCCAAGGAGGTCCAACCATGAGGACAGAGTGTAAGTGGATGTAGGGCATAGCAGAGGACCTGGCCACCTTTTAGTTGAAGAGGAAGTGATGAACAGAGAGAGAAGGTTGTTAGGAGGAGGAGGTGACAGAGAAGATAACATTTCTCCAACTGGAGTTAAGGTCTCAAGCTACATAGGGTGTGGCTGCAGATCCTGGAGGTTGGTTTTACCACTGAAAATCCCATGTCTCCAGAATATCTTTAGTCCCAGGCAAATCAGGATGGTTGATCTTCCTGCCCAAACTGCCCACTCCCAATCCCCTTCCCCTTGCCTTCTTCTATTAGAGAGACCAGGAAGCTAAATACTTGGTTCTCCAGTGGAGGCAGTGAGACATGGTTCAGGAAAATGAGATGTAGGCTGAAGTCCACTGGGAAGGCATTCCTTCTGAAATATAGACACAAAGTCTTGCCAGGAAAAAACATTTGGCCCTTCCTTCCCCTTCTTTAAGTAGCAGAATCTCTGTAATTTTTTTTTTTTTTTCGAGACAGGGTCTCACTCCGTCACCCAGGCCAGAGTGCAGTGGCACTATTATAGTTCACTGCAGCCTTGAACTCTTGAGCCCAAGCATTTCCTTGCCTCAGCCTCTCAAGTAGCTGGGACTACAGGCATGTGCCAACATGCCCAGCTACTTTAAACTTTTTTTTTTTTTTTTTGTAAAGGCAAGAGTCTCACTTTGCTGCCCAGGCTGGTCTCAAACCTCTAGGCTCAAGTAATCCTTCCACCTCAGCCTCTCAAAGTGCTGGGATTACAAGAGTGAGCCACCACACCTAGCCATAATCCCTGAGATTTGGCTGGACAGTCAAAAGCTACATTTCCCCACATGTAGATATGGCCATCTGATCACATCCTGGCCTATGAGATGTGAACAAAAGTGCCAAGTGCAGCTTCCATGCCAGTTCCTTAGAGCAACAGAGTATACCCTTCCTTGCCATTGCTTGGTTAATGGACTCAGACGATGAATGGGCCAACCGATTCACTCCTTGAATGAACATGTTTGTTTGACCTGTGCAACATCAGTGCCTTCTTCTGATCATAGCACCCCAATTTTCCTTCAGACAATGAAGCAAAGGCTATAGGTGCCCTGGCCATTGTCCTAACCTTCAATGCACGCTGGCCCAAGCTTCGTCTCTTTGTCTGAGGACTTTCTCAGACCAGCAGGGACCATGCTCTTCCATGCTGGAAGTTCTGGGCAAAAACTCTCCTGCTAGCAACTGTCAGACAATGACTGACAGAAGTTGGTAGATGAATACCCCAGCTCCCTCAGCACTAAGATGGGATAACATTGAGGTCTATGTTTGCTATGGTTTGAATGTGTCCCCCCAAAAGCATGTATTGGAAACTTAATCCGCAATTCAAATGTGCTGGGGAGTGGAGCCTAATGGAGCCCTCATGAGAATGGATTAATGCCAGTTGTGAAAGGGCTTGCGGCTGCGAGTTCAATCTCTTGTTCACCCTCACCTTCTCTTACGTTTTCACCTTCCACCATGAATGATGCAGCATGAAGGCCCTTGCCAGATGACAGCACTATGCCCTTGGACTCCCCAGCCTCCATAACCATGGGCCAAATAAACTTCTATTGTTTTAAATTGCCCAGTCTGTGGTATTCTATCATAACAGCACAAAATAGACTAAAACAATGCTCTACACTGGCTGCCAGAGTTCCCTGATGGGATTGTGCTCCAGTTGTCCACAGTAGTAACTTGCTGGATAATACTTCCTGTTTCCGCAGGCTTCTCTTCTCTGTCTCATTCCCTCAATCCCCTAATGGTGCTTTCTGGGATCATCTCCCAAATAATCCACTTGCACCTCAAATCCTCATCTCAGAGTCTGCTTCTGAGGGAGCCCAAACAAAGGCATGAAACCTTTCCCATTCCCCAGTCTCAGTCTATATGGTTAAAGTGGGCCTGAACCCCATTCTAGGATGGGTCAGACTCAGGTCTGACCAATGACACCACCATACCTCTTTTAGGTACAGGGATGGTTCAGGGATGACCATTTGAACTCAAACAAGGCCAATAACAGTTTCATCCAGGATTTATGTTGAAACGATTGAGAAAGAGAAACATTTCTCCTGTGGTTTCTAAACTGTCAGGATGTTGGCTTGTGAGCCCACAATCCTCTGAGAATGAAGCCACATCAGAGACAGAGCAGTGAGATGAAAAAGAGAAACCACATCCCAATGGCTTTAGGTGCATCTCCGGTTCCACTGTGGTGTATAAATAATTTTTTCATTTATTAGGCTGGGGCATGAGAACTCCCCTGTTCCCCACAGGCAGGACTACTCCCTATTGTTTCACATGTTTACTTTCCCTGCCTGGCCCCTGAAGCCACTGGGGTTTGCAGTCTCTGTATTTGGCTGCAAACCAGTTTTTGCTTGAGTATTCTTCCTGAACACTGTTCAACCTGAATGCTTTCGCAACACGATGGGGCAAGGACAGTTACCGAAAGTTCAACGTGGTGGAATAACCTGATTGGGAAATCAACTGTCTTTCATTTTCTCAATTCCAGGGCCATTGGGAAAGAATGAAAGGCATTTCCCTACTCTTTGCCAAGAAGGTAGCTGGGGCTTTGTGATGGAAAGGACTGGGTGTCTTTTGTTTCCCATGCAGAATTAAGAGACCGTCCTTCCCCCAAAGTCTGGGTCAGAGAGTCTCAGACTATAAAGGCAGGACTACATACATTAGGGGTCCCGGAGGAGCTTGTTCCAAAGGTGGAGGTTCAGGTCCCAGCACAGGTGTCTCGGTCACCTGGGAATTTGTCTTTCAAACATGTTTTCAATTTGTCTTTCAAACATGTTCCTCCAAACACTGAGAAACTTGGGATTCTTTTATTTGTATGTATACTTCTTTTTTCTTTTTCTTTTTTTTTTTTTTTTTTGAGATGGAGTCTCGCTCCGTCACCAGGCTGGAGTGCAGTGGCGCGATCTCGGCTCACTGCAACCTCCGCTTCCCAGGTTCAAGCAATTCTCCTGCCTCAGCCTTCCGAGTGGCTGGGATTACAGGCATGTGCCACCACGCCCAGCTAATTTTTCTATTTTTAGTAGAGACGGGGTTTCACCATGTTGATCAGGCTGGTCTCGATCTCGTGACCTCGTGATCCACCCACCTCGGCCTCCCAAAGTGCTGGGATTACAGGCATGAGCCACCACGCCCGGCCCTTTTTTTTCTTTTTCAGATAGAGATGGGGTCCTGCTATGTTGCTGGTCTCAAACTCCTGAACTCAAACAATCCTCCCACCTTGGCCTCTCAAAGTGCTGGGATAACAGGCATGAGCCACTGTGCCCAGCCTAGGATTCTTTTATTTGTAAATGACAGAAGCCCCATTTGAAACTGATTTTTACGCAAAAAGCAATTTATTGGCTTAAGTAACTGAAAAGGACTGAAGTAAGTAACTGAAAAGTACTGGCTTCAGACCTGGCTGGATTCAGGAACTCAAATGAGGTTACCAGACATAGTCTCTCGCCATCTCTTGGCTTTGCTCTTCAGTGAGTTGGCTCCAGTCTTAGTATCTACTTGATAGCAAGCTGGCAACCAATAGCTCCAGGCCTGCATCCTGCCAGGTATGAGTGTGGTGGGAAAGGAGGTCACTTCCTGGAAATGCTGCTGAAGTTGCAGCATTCACTCTGATTGGACGAACTCAAGTTGTGGTTCATCTCTGAACCAATCATTGTCACTTGAAGAAGGCAATGCTTTGATTGTCCAGGCCTGGTCACATGCTTCTTGGTGGAACCAAGGGGTATAAACAGCCTCACCTGAACTGCAGGGAGTGGAAGCGAGGGAGGGGAGGTTTCCCAAAGAAATTGGTGTCCAGTATAGTCTAGTCTAGGCCATAAATCTTCCCCTCATGTTAGGTGCTTTGGGCATCTGAGCATCCTGGGAAGTTCAAGTTGCTTTTTGGTCCGGATCACAAAAAGAGATCCATGGTGCCCACTCAGGAAATTATCAAAGCCATATGGCAGCATGTGGTGTCTCATGCCTGTAATCCCAGCACTTTGGGAGGCCAAGGATGGAGGATCACTTGAGCCCAGGAATTGACCAGTCTGAGCAACATGTCGAAACCCCATCTCTACAGAAAATACCAGTATTAGCCAGGTGTGGTGGCACCTGTAGTTCCAGCTACTTGGCAGGCTAAGGTGGGAGGATCGATTGAGCCTGGGAGGTCGAGGCTGCACTGAACTGTGATCATGCCCCTGCACTCTAGCCTGGGTGATAGAATGAGACCCTGTCTCAGAAAATAAATAAATAGTAGGTTAGTACAAAAGTAACTGTGTTTTTTGCCATTTTTTAAAAGAAGTGGTAAAAACCACAACTACTTTTGCACCGACCTATAAATAAAGCCCTAAAAGAGATTCTGTTGATTACTTCATTCCCCTTCTCCCCTGCCAACAGAACCTAATTTTGTTGGAACAAAACACAACATGTCATGTGCAGGAAATTAATTCTGATTGGTCTGAGCCAGCCATGGAAATCCTGTTGACAGTCTTGGAGTAAGCATTGGAAGCAGTCCTGGCAGTTGAGGCATTGGTGGAGGTCTGCTGAGGGTTTCTGGGAAGGAAGTTCCTTTCTATTAAAAGAGAGAAACTTTCCCACCTCCCAACTTCTTTTCTCTCTCACACATATTCTTCCAGCCTTTGGACATTGCTGTGCTAGAATGTGACATTTGAAGTTGTAGCAGCCATTTTGAGACCATGAGGAATCCTTGAGAAGCTTAGAGGCATTTGAACCAGAGCAACTCCGTCTTGAGTAGGGGCTGTATGAAATAAGGCTGAGACCTACTGGGATATGTTCTCAGGCACTTAGGCATTCTAAGTCATAGGATGAGACAGGAGGTCAGCACAAGATACAGGTCATAAAGACCTTGCTGATAAAACAGATTGCAGTAAAGAAGCCTGCCAAAACCCACCAAAACCAAGAAGGCGATGAGAGTGACCTCTGGTCATCCTCACTGCTATACTCCCACCAGTGCCCTGACAGTTTACAAAAGCCATGGCAACCTCAGAAAGTTACCCTATATGGTCTAAAAGGAGAGGCATGAATAATCCACCCCTTGTTTAGCATATGATCAAGAAATAACCATAAAAATGGGCAACCAGGCACTCTGAGGACTGCTCTGTCTATGGAGTAGCCATTCTTTATTCCTTTATTTTCCTAATAAACTTGCTTTCACTTTACTATGCGGACTCACCCTGAATTTATTCTTGCGCGAGATCCAAGAACCCTCTCTTGTGGTCTGGATTGGGACCCCTGTCCAGTAACAAGCTAATCCAATACCCCAGAACTGAGACGCTGAAATAGCCAACCCTGAAACAGTCCACCTATTGGTGTATTGTTACCTGAGATAATACTAAGTACTCTAGTCACTTAAGGCCCTCTTGACCCAGTCTCCTTACATGCAACTCAAAGTACTCTAATGAATCCACCTGCAGGAAAAGAGGGCCAAACAAAAAAGGCTGTGACTTCTCGGAGATTATTCTGGTTCAAAAGCTGGTTGAGCCTCTCCCAGTTGGCTCCCCCAATGTTCTATTAAGAAGCTCTTGCTACTTCCTGCTGACCAGGTCATTTAAAAGAAGAAGAAGAAAAAGCTGTTGCACACGATAAGCATTCATCATTCATTAGGACACTCCCACTATGGACTGGGTGCTGTAAACTTCCTTGTCAGCCTGAAAGTTGCCTGAAGCCTCATGCAAGCATTTACAACACAGAGGGTGAGAGTGGGCTGGCTGTGGAGTCTAGCCTCTAACATTTTTATTTGTTTTAATTTTCATTGTTAATAATTTCTTTTTCTTTCTTTTCTTTTTTTTTTTTTTTAGATGGAGTCCCCCTCTGTCACCCAGGCTAGAGTGCAGCCTGATTCTACAACTTGGCCATGTGATCCTGAGCAAATTACATTCCCGTTTCAGTTTTCCCTCTTCAACAACAACAAAAAAGCGTTGGATTAAGTAATGATTAAAACTCCTTTCTGCTGGGCGCGGTGGCTCATGCCTATAATCCCAGCACTTTGGGAGGCCGAGGCAGGCGGATCACAAGGTCAGGAGTTCGAGACCATCCTGGCTAATATGGTGAAACCCCATCTCTACTAAAAATACAGAAAAATTAGCCTGTAGTCCCAGCTACTTGGGAGGCTGAGGCAGGAGAATGGCGTAAAACCCGGGAGGCGGAGCTTGCGGTGAGCCGAGATCGCGCCACTGCACTCCAGCCTGGGAGACAGAGCGAGACTCCGTCTCAAAAAAAAAAAAAAAAAACACTTCCTAGAGTTCTACTGTCATCTTTTATTTTTCACCAATCCTCTAGATTCTTTTTTTATTTTCTTCTAAAAGGAACAAAAGTCCGCCAGGCACGGTGGATCACACCTGTAATCCCAGCACTTTCGGAGGCCGAGGCGAGCGGATCACCTGAGGTTGGGAGTTCGAGACCAGACTAACCAACGTGGAGAAACCCCATCTTGACTAAAAATACAAAATTAGCTGGGTATGGTGGCACATGCCTGTAATCCCAGCTACTCGAGAGGCTGAGGCAGGAGAATCACTTGAACCCAGGAGATGGAGCCTTCAGAGAGTCAGACCGCACCACTGCACTCCAGCCTGGGCGACAGAGCAAGACTCCTTCTCAAAAAAAAAAAAAGAAAGAAAGAAAGAAAAAGAAAAACGCCTAGACCTGGAATTTGCAGGGGAAAGAGCAAGACTGTCTCAAAAAAGGACTTAGAGGATCAGAGAAGAGTCACCAGTCAGATTGAGAAACCAAGCACATCCAACTGCTGGAGTAAAACTGCAAAAGGGAGGTGGTGGAGAGGTCTCTGGGAAGCAGTTCTTTGTGAGTCTACAGCCAAGAACCTAGTCATGGGCCTAAGCCAACTTTTGGAAAGCAGGCCAACAGTTAGAAAAAAGAGCTAGAGGTCAGGCGCAGCGGCTCACGCCTGTAATCCCAGCACTTTGGGAGGCTGAAGCGGTTGGGTCACCTGAGGTCAAGAGTTTGAGACCAGCCTGGCCAACAGGTTGAAACCCAGTCTCTACTAAAAATACAAAAGTTAGCCGGCATGGTGGTGTGCGCCTGTAGTCCCAGCTACTTGGGAGGCTGAGGCAAGAGAATTGCTTGAATCTGGGAGGCGGAGGTTGCAGTGAGCCGAGATAGTGCCACTGCGCTCCAGCCTGGGTGACAGAGCAAAACTACATCTGAAAAAGAAAAAAAGCTAGAGGTAGTATAGGAGAGAGCAGAGAGCAGTCCTGAAAACAGACAACCATAATCCAGTTTGATAGCTGTTTCAACAGGGTAAACACAAAGGTGCAATGGGAGCCCTAAGGGGTTTCAGAATCCAGTCTAGAAATCAAGGAAGGTGGTTGGGTGCGGTGACTCATGCCTGTAATCCCAGCACTAATGGGAGGCCAAGGCGGGCAGATCACTTGAGCTCAGGAGGTTGAGACCAGCTGGACAACATGGTGAAACCCCGTCTCAACTAAAAATACAAAAATTATCTGGGCATGTTTGTGGGTGCCTGTAATCTCAGCTACTCAAGAGGCTGAATCGTTTGAATCCAGGAGACGGAGGTTGCAGTGAGCCAAGATCGCACCACTACACTCCAGCCTGGGTGATAGAGCGAGACTCCATCTCAAAAAAAAAAAAAGAAAAGAAATCAAGGAAGGCCTCTTGGGGGAGAAAACATTTGAGTTGAGACCTGACGAAGGAGGAGACAGCCACATGAAATGGGGGAGGAGGGAGAGAAATTAGCATACGCAAATGTCTGGAGGTAATATAGGATATTGTCAGAGGTGTTAGAACCAGAGCGACTCCATCTGGAATAGGGGCTGGGTAAAATGTGGATGAGACCCAACGGGCTTCATTCCCAGGAGGTTAGGCATTCTTTCTCACAGGTTGAGATAAGAGGCCAGCAGGATTCCTATCACAAGATACAGGTCATTGAGACCCTGCTGACAAAACAAGAGGTAGTAAAGAAGCAGGTCAAAAGCCATCCAAACCAAGATGATAACAAAATCGACCTCTGGTTGTCCTCACTGCTCATTATACACTAATTAGCATGCGAAAAGACACTCCCACCAGAGTCATGACAATGTCCAGAAGCTACCCTATATGATCTAAAAAGAAGAGAAACCCTCACTTCCAGGAGCTCCCCAACCCTGCCCTGGAAAACTCATGAAAAATTCACCCCTTGTTTAGCACATAATTAGGAAGTATCCATAAATACACTCAGTCAAGCAGCCCATGCTGCTGCTCTGCCTACAGAATAGCCATTCTTTTATTCTTTTACTTACTTTTTTTTTTTTTTTTTTGAGATGGAGTCTCACTCTGTCGCCCAGGCTGGAGTGCAGTGGTGCGATCTTGGCTCATGGCAACCTCGGCCTCCTGGGTTCAGGCAATTCCGATACCTCAGCCTCCTGAGTAGCTGGGATGACATGGGCGCACAACCAGGCCCAGCTAATTTTTTGTATTTTTAGTAGAGATGGGGTTTCGCCATTTTAGCCAGGCTGGTCTTGAACTCCTAACCTCAGGTGATCCCCCTGCCTCAACCTCCCAAAGTGCTGGGATTACAGGCATGAGCCACCGCGCCCGGCCTTTATTCCTTTACTTTCTTAGTAAACTTGCTTTTGCTTTACTCTGTGGACTCATCCCGAATTCTTTCTTGTGAGAGAATTCTTTCTTGTGGTCTGGATCAGGACCCCTTTCTAGTAATAATATTAGGCAATTAAAAGTAGTTCAGTCTGGCTGGGGAACAAGTATGAAGTAGGAAGGGTCATGGGTGATGGCAGGGGACCAGGAGGTGCCAGATCTTGCAGGTCTTTATCAGTGAGGAGTTCAAACTCTGTCTTAAGAGTACTGGGGGGGTGGCCGGGCACAGTGACTCACGCCTGTAATCCCAGCACTTTGGGAGGCCAAGGCGGGTGGATCACCTGAGGTCAGGAGTTCAAGACTAGCCTGGCCAACATGGTGAAACTCCGTCTCTACTAAAAATACAAAAATTAGCCGGATGTGGTGGCGGGTGCCTGTAATCCCAGCTACTCAGGAGGCTGAGGTAGGAGAATCACTTGAACCCAGGAGGCAGAGGTTGCAGTGAGCGGAGATCGCACCACGACACTCCAGCCTGGACAAAAAGAGCAAAACTCTGTCTCAAAAAAAAAACTGAAAAAGTACTGGGGAGCCATGGGAGGGTTTGAAGCAAGGGAGAGGTAAGTATTGTTGAGGAAAAAAGCCAAACTCCGTAAAATATTTGAAGAAGTTTATTCTGACCCAAATATGAGTGATCATGGCCCGTGACACAGCCTCAGGGGGTCCTGAGGACATATGCACAAGGTGGTCAGGTTGCAGTTTGGTTTTATACATTTTAGAGAGATGGAAGTCACAAACAAAGACATAAAGCAATACATGAAATGTATACATTGGTTCAGCCTCAAAAGGCAGGACATCTCAAAGATGGAAGCAGAGGGACTTCCAGGGCATAGGTGGATTCGAAGATTTCCTTATTGGCAATTGATTGAAAGAGTGAAGCATTGCCTGAGGAGTTGAAGTCAGCATAAAGAAATGTTTGAGGTCAGGTGCGGTGGCTCACACCTATAATCCCAGCACTTTAGGAGGCCAAGACGGGTGGATCGCTTGAGCCTAGGAGTCCCAGGCCAGACTGGGCAACATGGAGAGACCCCTGACTCTACCAAAAATTAGCCCAGCGTGGTGGTACGCACCTGTGCTCCCAGCTATCAGGAGGTGGAGTCAGGAGGATGGCTTGAACCTGGGAGGCAGAGGTTTCAGTGAGCTGAGATCACACCACTGCACTCCAGCCTAGGTGACAGGGTGAGAACCCAACTCAAAAAAAAAAAAAAGAAAGAAAAAGAAATGCTTGAGTTAAGGTAAGAGAGTTGTGGAAGCCAAGGTTCTTGTTTATGTAGATGAAGCCTCTAAGCACCCAGCTTCAGACAGGATAGATGGTAGATTTCTCTTATTAGACCTCAAAAGGTGTTAGACTCTTAGTTTAATTCTCTCCTGGATCAGGAAAAGACCTGGAACAGGAAGGGGATTCGCTACAGAAGGCAAAGAGTGGGCTTTGCAGGGTCACTCCAAAATATGTCAAATAAATATATCTTGGGGTAAAATACTTTGACTTTCCTTAGGGCCTGTTATCTGTCACTGTTATGCTCTACATCACATACAGGGTCAGGTTGGAATTTGGTATCTTATTGCACAAAGAGTCTGTTTTGTCCATCTGATGATCTGGTTTTTTGTGTTTTGTTTTGTTTTTTGAGATGGAGTCTCGCTCTGTCACCCAGGCTGGATTGCAGTGGAGCGAACTCAGCTCACTGCAACCTCCACCTCCCAGGTTCAAGCAATTCTCCTGCCTCAGCCTCCCAAGTAGCTGGGATTACAGGCGCCTGCCACCATGCCTGGCTAATTTTTGTATTTTTGGTAGAGACGGGGTTTCACCATGTTGGCCAGGCTGGTCTCAAACTCCTGACTTCAAGTGATCTGCCTGCCTCGGCCTCCCAAAGTGCTGGGATTACAGGCGTGAGCCACCATGCCCGCCCTATGATGATCTGTATTTTAATATGAATGCTGACCAGTTGTGCCTAAACTCCAAAGGGAGGAAAGTATGAAGAGGCGAAGAGGCATATCTGACCTTCCTTCCCATCATGGCCTGAACTAGTTTTTCAGGTTTTCTTTGGGATCACCTTGGTGAAGATGGGGATTCATTCAGTCAGTTGAGGGGCTTAGAATTTCATTTTTGGTTTACATTATCACAGGTGTTGGCAAGTTGGAAATGAGATAATTTTTTTGGTTTTTTTTTTTAGATGCAGTCTCACTCTGTTGCCCAGGCTAGAGTGCAATGGTGTGATCTCAGCTCACTGCAACCTCGGCCTCCCGGGTTCAAGTGATTCTCCTGCCTCAGCCTCCCCAGTAGCTGGAATTACAGGCATGCACCTCCACACTCGGTAATTTTTATAATTTTAGTACAGACGGGATTTCACCATTTTGGCCAGGCTGGTCTTGAACTCCTGATCTCAGGTGACCTGCCCACCAAAGTGCTGGGATTACAGGATTTTGTAATCCTATGAGTCCTTAAAAGTCCTTTTGTAATCCACAGTGTAAGCCACTGTGCCCGGGGCTGAGAGGACTTTTTGAATATTTCCCTTCCAGGAAAATAGTTCAAATACCTCAACGGGAACTCTGAGTCCTGTACCTTCAGTTGTTTGAAGGTAATCTGGAGAATAGAACATGGGGAATGTGACTGCATGCGTTACCATATTTTCAGCGGCCAGTCACAGCATGCCTGATTCATGGTGGCTTGAGCAAAGAAGAAATGCAATCTTTTTTTTTATAGCAAAACATGTGGAGGTCAGCAGCTCCAGAGTCATTGCAGGGGCTCGGGGGTGTTCTTCAGGACTCAGGCTCTTCTCATCTTTCTGCTCTGTCATCTTCAGCAGTTGGCTTTTGTCCTCAAACTCATTGCCCAAAACAGCTGCTGCAGTGCCTCACATCATTTGATCACAGGACACTGATCAAAATGGAAGGGAAGGGGCAGGGCAGAAGGCTTTAACTACCTGAAGGTCTATGTTATTAGTAAAGTGAAGCCCCAGATTTCCCCTGACCTCTCATTGGCTAAAAGGCGGACCAGGCACCCATCCTGGACCAATTCCTGTAGAACAGAAAGGACTTACTGGGTCTACTTAAGACAGATCATGATTTATCTGCTGGGGCTGGGGAGCAACCCACTCTCCAAAGATGAAGGGATTTCGATCTAGTAGCTGAGCCCAAAATCAAGATTATTTGGGCAGGCATATGTGGAGGTGGGGTGAGAATGGTTGCGGGGTAGTAAAGGCAGCATGTCAGTTCCAGTCCTCTGGGAAGCAGATGGTAAAGTGGAGCTAGTAGGACGAGAGGGAGGAGTGTCATGCCTGTGAAAGACAAAAGTGGGTGAAAGCAGCACTCAGCAGGGGAGCCTCAGACGGCAATGCAGGGCTGACAGAGGCTTTGTCAACTCAGTTTGGGAGCTCCAGAACAAAGACTGTTTGTTAGGGGAGCCCCATGTTGGGCAGAACTGGTCGGGTCCTAGTCCCTCCATGCAGGTTCTTCGCTGGAGCCTGCTCAGGAAGAGCTAGCCTTGGCTTGAAAGTTAAGGCAGATCTCAAATGTGCTGAGGCCGAAGGCTGTTGGCTAACTGCATTCTTTGCAGGGGATCGGCAAGTTCTTTCTTGAAGCTGTACCCCTCCAGGGCCACCACAAGGTACCCAGCGTCTGGCCTAGTTGTGCCCAAGGAAGTCATCTTTGAGGTGACAAATCCATTTCTGCCCAGACCAGCATCAGACCTGATGGAGTGAGAAGAGAGACTGAGAGATATTGAGATATTAGGCTCAATTCAGAAATTGTCTAATCTTTTGAAAAACATTTTCCCCCACATATAATTTTTTTTTTTTTTTTTTTTTTTTAGACAGAGTCTCACTCCATCACAGGAGTACAGTGGCATGATCTCAGCTCATTGCAACCTCTGCCTCCCCATGCCTCAGCCTCCCAAGTAGCTAGGACTACAGGCATGTGCCACCATGCCTGGCTAATTTTTGTATTTTTAGTAGAGATGGGGTTTTGCTAAGTTGGCCAGCCTGGTCTTGAACTCCTGACCTCAAGTGATCCGCCCACCTTGGCCTTCCAAAGTGCCGGGATTACAGGCATGAGTTACCACACACAGCCCAGAATATTTTTATTATAGTAAAATTAGAAATTCTACATGGGTGCAAAGAAGATAAAAGTTAGTCAAGGCCAGACGTGGTGGCTCACGCCTGTAATCCCAATACTTTGGGAGGCTGAGGCGGGAGGATTGCTTGAACCTAGGAGTTCAAGACCAGTCTGGGCAACATGGCAAAACCTCATCTCTACAAAGATTTTTAAACTTAGCTGAGTGTGGTGGCACACACCTGTCCTAGCTGCTTGGGGACTGAGCTAGGAGGATTGCTTGAGCCCAAGAGATTGAGGCTGCAGTGAGCCATGATTGCACCACTGTACTCCAGCCTGGTGACAGAGCAAGATCCTGTCTGAAAAACAAAAAATAAAAAAGATTAGTCATGATTCTCCCATCATTAATGAGGATAATAGCTAATGTTTATATGGATTGTTGATTATGTGCTAGGCATTGTGATAAACAATTCATACATATTGTCTCATTTACTCCCAGCTCTGCTGCTTGAGTGCGTTACTTAGTCCCCCTACGCCTCAGTTTGCTCATTTGCCCGACAGGGTTTACCACACTATCTGTCACGTGCAGTTGCTCTGTGGATTCAATAAGTTCATTGATGTGAGGCACTTGGAACATTGCCGGGTTTCACAAAAATGCTCAATAAATATTAGCTATTATCTTCATTACAAGTCCTCATTCCTTTAACCACAATTCTAAAATCAAAAAAGGCTATCATACTGCAGGAGGAAGACAGGCATCAGAAAAAAAAAAAAAAAGCCCATAATGACAACTAGAAACATCTCTGAAAAACAAAACAAAACAAAAAAGGCTATGAAATGAACTGTTTCTCAAAAGTCTGATGCCAGCACTCATTTGGAAGGAAATCCTGACCTGTCCTGAGGTTATACATAATCTTATTGAACCCATTTAGTGTAAATTTTGAAACTCTGATATCCGATAAATGGTTGTAGCCTCGTGATACTAATCTTCATGACAACACTACGAGGTGAGTACTATTGATATCCTGACCTGGGAGGAATTTGTTTTTGTTTTTGTTTTTGGGACAGAGCAAGACTCTGTTTTTGTGACACAGCAAGACCAGGCTGGAGTGCAGTTGTGTGATCTCGGCTCACTGCCACTTCTGCCTCCTGGGTTCAAGTGATTCTCCTGCCTCAGCCTCCCGAGTCACTGGGATTACAGGCACGCATCACCACGCCCGGCTAATTTTTTGTATTTTTAGTAGAGATGGGGTTTCACCATGTTGGCCAGTCTGGTCTTGAACTCCTGATCTCAAGTGATCCACCCGCCTCAGCCTCCCAACGTGCTGGGATTACAGGCGTGAGCCACCGTGCCTGGCCAGGAATTTTTTTTTAAGTAGTTTTCTTTATGCAGGACTCTGCAGAACCCTTAATCTGCCAACATGCTCTGTAAATCTCCAGGAGGCTGCTATAGAATGCAGCCTTCCCCAGACTCACAGACCATGGATGTCAAGGTCATTTTTTTCCCCAGGAGATCTCCCTGTGCTATCACTTTGAGAACCTGGGAGGCCTACTGGGTGGAACAGCCTGGAAGAACTAAGGACCCTGGGCAGAACAGGAGCAAGAAGGAGCCTAGCTAAGTGGACACTGGAGTCCTGTCACCAATTAACTGTATGTGTCCTTGAAAAAAATCTCTCCTCCTCTCAGAAACTTAGCCTCTTGACTCAAAAAACACATGACAAAACCATCTTTGAAGTCTCTTAGCTCGCCAGCAGCATTTTCTCTTGTCTTTTGAAGAAGAAGCAGGCGGATGCATTTGAAGAAGACAGTCACAAGAACTTCAAGGGGGTACAGCTGGTGCCAGGTTCCCCTTCCTGGAAATCATTTGAAATATCAGGCTGGGCTGGGAATTGCTCAGCAGTGGGAAGCAGGCAGGAAGAACTCCAAATGTCCCTCAAGCTGCAGGATGCTGAGTGCCAGATCACTTTCCAACCCTTTAGTATCTGAACTTGCCAATGACATTTCTTTCTTTGTTGTTCCAATGGCCTCTCCGAGACCACTTCAGCAAGAGCCAGCCTTGCCAGATTAAATGTACTTCTTTCATGCGCTTAAAAGAAATGAAAAACCTGGCTGGGCACCGTGGCTCACACCTGTAATCCCAGCACTTTGGAAGGCTGAGGCGGATGGATCACCAGAGCTTAAGAGGTTGAGACAAGCCTGGCAACATGGCGAAATCACATCTCTACTAAAATTACGAAAAATTAATCAGTCGTGGTGGTGCATGCCTGTAATCTCAGCTATTTGGAAGGCTGAGGCACAAGAATCACTTGAACCTGGGACAAGAAGATTGCAGTGAGCCGAGACTGTGCCACTGTACTCCAGCCTGGGCAACAGAGCAAGATTCTGTCCCAAAGAAAAAAAAAAGTTCCCAAGTGTTCCACATACTTTGAAGTTTTACTATCTACTTTTTGAAATGGTGAAAGTTGGCCCCAGAGAAACAAAATTCAAGCACACACAAAAAAATCTGAATTAAATAGGTCTCCCTCCCATTCCCCTCTGCTACCTGTCCCCCTCCACAGAGGCATTCAGCATTACCAGTCTTGTATATCTCCTTCCAGGTTAACTTTAGAGGCATGGAAGCATATATTGTTGTATCTGTTGGGATGCTTTTGGCTGCAAATATAAAACAATACCCAACCCGCAAATGTATAATTTACCTATGAGGAGTCTGGATGTAGAACAGTTTCACAGTTGGTTCATTTAGGGAAGCAATGCTATCACTAAGGATTCAGATTCCTTCTCTCTTCCTGCTCTGGCATCCTTAGTACTATAACTTTGTGTCTTTTTTTTTTTTTTTTTTTTGAGATGGAGTCTTGCTGTGCTGCCCAGGCTGGAGTGCAGTGGCACGATCTCGGCTCACTGCAAGCTCCGCCTCCCGGGTTCACGTCATTCTCCTGCCTCAGCCTCCCGAGTAGCTGGGACTACAGGCACCCGCCACCACGCCCAGATAATTTTTTTGTATTTTTAGTAGAGACAGGGTTTCACCATGTTAGCCAGGATGGTCTCGATCTCCTGACCTCGTGATCTGCCCGCCTCGGCCTCCCAAAGTGCTGGGATTACAGGCGTGAGCCACTGTGCCCAGTCACTTTTGTGCCTGTTTTTTTATTTTTATTTTTTAATTTGAGACAGGGCTTCTCTGTTGCCCAGGATGGAGTGCAGTGGTGCAATCATGGCTCACTGTAGTCTTGACCTCCTGGGCTCAAGTGATCCTCCCACCTCAGCCTCCCTAATAGCTGGGACTACAGGAACACACCACCACCACTCCAGGCTAGCTAAAACAATTTTTTTTTTTTTGAAGAGATAGGGTTTCACTATGTTGCCCAGACTAGTCTGGAACTCCTAGGCTCAATCAATCTTCCTGCCTTGGCCTCCCAAAGTGCTGAAATTACAGGTATGAGCCACCGTGCCAGACTTTTGTGTCTTGATACTGGGTGAGTCAGTAGCATGGGCAGAAGGAGTATCCTGGAAGCCATTTCTCTGCCAGGACAACAAGCAATACTTTCCTTATTCACCGAAAAGATCGTGAGCTACAAGACTACATCCCGCTAAAGCTGCGTGCAGTGGTGCACACCTGTAGTCCCAGCTACTCAGGAGCCTGAGGTGGGAGGATCACTCGAGCCCAGGAGCCCAAGTCTAGCCTGGGCAACACAGTGAGACCCCCACCTCTATTAAAAAACAAAAAAAAGATTACATCCACTAAACCCAAATTTAATGGATTCCCTAACTCATCTTCCCCTTAGCTGATCCCTGCCCATAGCTCCCCAAATGCCACCCGATGCACATTCCCAGGCAGGCAACGTTGGGGAGCTGGAGAGACCTTGTCTAACCAGTTGCAGCTAAAATACTTACCTTTGCAGATGTTGCAGAAACACATGACTGTGTGAACATATTGCTAGATTTGGAAGGGGCTGTGCAATTGAAGAGCCCTGATCTCAGCTTTGCTTCATTCACTTAATGGTGGATCTATCTCTAGATTTTCAGAAAAGCTGGACAGGACTATGTGATGAATCAGATGTAAAAAGTGAGTGAAAGGCCAGGCGTGGTGGCTCATGCCTGTAATCCTAGCACTTTGGTAGGCCAAGGCAAGTGGATGACTTCAGGTGAGGAGTTCGAGACCAGCCTGGCCAACATGGCGAAACCCTGTCTCTACTAAAAATACCAAAAAAAAAAAAAACCAAAAAAAAAAAACCTGGGCATGGTGGCACACACTTGTAATCAGCTACTCCAGTGGCTGGTGCGCAAGAATCTCCTTGAACCCAGGAGGTGGAGGTTTCAGTGAGCTGAGGTGGCGCCACTGCACCCCAGCACCCCCCAAAAAAAGTGAGTGAAAGAGAGAAAAATCCAGAATTATTTCAGTGTATTTTTGGCTTGAGTAACCAGGTATTTAGTAAGGGAGAAACAGGTTTGGAGGGTGAGGAATCATAAAGTTTAATTTTATTAGACAGGCGTGGTGGTGTGCACCTGCAGTCCCAGGAGGCTGAGGTGGGAGGATTGCTTGAGCCTGGGAAGTTGATGCTGCAGTAAGCCAAGATTGCACCACTGCACTCCAGGGCAGCGGAGTGAGGCTCTGTCTCAAAATAATAATAATAACAATAAAAGTTTAATCTTAACCATGTTAAATTTGAGATTCTTACTAGACATTAATGAGCAGTTGGACACAGAAATTAGGCATTTATTATCTCCACAGTTCTTAATAAGTAAATCTTGCATCTGTAGGTTTTTTTGTACTTAGTCAAAGCATCCCAATAGTTACAATATTTGCATATATGTGTGTACTATATTATACACACACATATATACTTCTATTCATCCATCTATCTCTCTACAATTTACCCGGAAGATGATGCATGAAACTAGTCATAGTGCCTGCCTCTGGGGAGGGGGGACTGTTGGCTACAGGATGGAGGTGGGAGGGAGGCGGGAAGCATACTTTTACTCTGCTTGAATAAAGAACTGGAGACTAAGAGGAAACTTACTTAAGGTCACAGAGCTGGTGGGTAGCAGGGCTGCCATTTGGGCTGAGGTTGGCCTGGTCCCAAGTCCAAGCTCTTTCTGTTCTGACAGGTTCTCTCTCCTAAATGTATACCTCCAGGATCAATGCTGTCTTTCTTGCTGCCTCTCCCTGGTCTGGCTCCTCTGTGTGTCTCACTGCGGCATCTCCTGTGGCTGAGCATTAATAACTGGCTAAAAGGATTCCTGCCTGTGGCCAGGAAAGGCTGGGTGCACTCTTCTTCCCCTCCATTCTGGAAATCATCTATGTAGCCTGTGGCTACAGCTGCAAGTGAAAATAGTGCTGGAAGGTTCCCAGAAAACACACCTGCCCCAAATGGACCAATTTCTCCTGCCTTCCTTTACTTAAAGATTAGAGATGTTCAGAATTCTGGTCACAGGCCTGGGTTATAACTGCTGCTCTTTCACTGCTAATGGTGCTGTGTGTCCTTGGGAAAGTTACTTACCTTCTCTGTGCCTCGATTTCCTCATCTACAAAATGATATTAATAGCAGTAGCTATCTCACAGGACTGTGGTAAGGGTCAGTGAGCCAGCAGGTGTAAACTGCGTGGCTCTCTGCCTCTCTGGCACACCATCAGTCAACAGGCATTGCTCCCACCCCACACATGCCCTTCCCCCACAGTGCCTTAGCACATGGAGTTCCTTCTACCTGGAATGCCTTTCCCTTCCCCTCTTATTAGTCTAACCGTCTAATTAATGACCACTCACCCTTCAGAGCCTCCAACATTTTACTGTAACATTCACAAAGACAGGACTGCTTGTGTCCCAACACCCAGCACACATGGTATTTGGCATATAGTTGGCATTCATTAATTGTTTATCCATTGAGTGAGTGAATGACTAAGTGAATTAATAAGGTGAAAGATCAGTTAATGCTCACTCATTCAATATATGTTCTGTAAATGAGGATAATAAATACCCATCTGACTGTATCATTAGGCTTAAAAATGCTGCGCATTTAGGTCAGGCACAGTGGCTAACGCCTGTAATCCCAGCACTTCGGGAGGCTGAGACGGGTGGATCACTTTGAGGCCAGAAGTTTGAGACCAGCCTGACCAACATGGTGAAACCCCCGTCTCCACTAAAAATACAAAAAATTAGCTGGGCGTGGTGGCACACGCTTGTAATCCCAGCTGCTCCGGAGGCTGAGACATGAAAATCACTTGAACCCAGGAGACAGAGTTTGCAATAAGCCAAGATGGTGCCACTGCACTCCAGCCTGGGGGACAGAGTGAGGCTCTGTCTCAAAAACAAAGAAACAAAAAAGCAAAAATGCTGTTCATTTAAGTGTCTAGAGTGATACCTGGTCAGCAGCACTGAATAACATTTATTATTAGTGCTATTTTATATTATTATCATTTTAAAAATTTTTTGTCGTTTTTGTGGAGACAAGGGGTGTGGGGAAGGGGTTGCCAGGTTGCCCAGGCTGGTCTCAAACTCCTGGGCTCAAGTGATCCTCCTGCCTCTGTCTCCCTGAGTGCTGGGATTACAGCTGTCAGGCACCACACCCAGCTATGATCATTATTATTATTTCGCACAGGTGTTCTTGCATCTTACTGGTGGGCTTAGGCGTTCTTGGCCCTGCTCTCATGGACAGGCCCCTTCAGAGCTTCACCTTGGCAGCTGGATGCACTTCTCTGTCCAAGCAGCCTCAGCCTCCAGATGCAGGAATGTTCCTGTCTTGGGGAAACAAATTCTTAGCTTCAGGCCTGACTTCTGCCTGGCCTTGGCTTCAGTTTCTTTGTAGATAACTTCATTCAGCTGCAGAGCATCATGGACATATCGTGTGGTTTCTGCCCAGTTTGTGGTGACCCATCTCTCTTTGAAACAGGTGCAACTACCCCATGAAACCACGCGTACAAGCTACTCAACCCTGCCCTCCAGCCAGAATTGACTGCACAAAGACGGGCACCTGACTGGTTGAGGTGATCAGATTCTCTGTCTTGAGAATGTGGTGAGTCTTGTGGGCTGTTGCTTAAAGGAAGGGGTTGTGCTGTCAGGTGCTATGGGGCAGTCGGGTTTGCTCATGGGCTCAGGGAAGAAGACAGGGAGAGGGAAAAGAGAGAAGCAGAGATGAGGAAACCTGTGGGCAGAGTCATAGAGAGACCAGGATTTGGCTGCCACAATTCCTGGTGGCCTTTCAGGTGCTCATTTAAGAAATGTGTGAGGCCACTGCACTTCCTGCCCTTGTGTTTCATGTGATAACAGCGGTTCTCACAAAAAGTACAGCCAGGTGGCATAATAGACACCTGTTGTCTTTGCCTTTCTGGCCTTGATGCCCCTTCTGGAAACAGCACCTGCATTCTCCCGGGAGCTACGGGTCTCCTCCTTTCTGTCCGTGGGGGCCAGCTCTGCCTAGCTCTAGGCTGGCCCAGTCACAGCGATTGGTTTAGAAATGGGCATGTGACCAGGCTAGACCCAGTGAGACTTCCTTCTGGGACTTTCTGTTCTCATCCGTGAAAAGACAGAATTGCCTGGCTCTGCGGTTGCTGAGAGGCCATCTTGACCCAGGAGTGGGGACACAGCAAAAGCTGGAGTGCAGCACTGGAAACGGAGGGAGAGTCCCTGGAGCCACATGTTGGCCCTTGGGTCCAGCTGTGCTGGAAGCTGGCACTTGTCCTGATGTTTTCAATTAAGTGACCAAAAATAAAAGTTGATTCTCCTCATGCTTCAACCAAATTTAGTTGGGTTTCTGCAACAGCAGAAACACTCCTGACTGATACTTCTTATGGTGAATTTCCCCTTTTTTTTCTTTCTTTTTTCCTCTTTTTTTTTTTTTTTTTTTTTTTTTTTGAGACAGGGTCTCATTCTGTTACCCAGGCTGGAGAACAGAGAACAGTGGCACAATCATGGCTCACTGAAGCCTCAAACTCCCTGGGCTCAGGTGATCCTCCCACCTCAGCCTCCCAGTAGCTAGGACTACAGGCACTCACCACCACACCCAGCTAATTTTTTGTATTTTTGTAGAGACAGGGTTTCGCCATGTTGCCCAGACTGGTCTCAAACTCCTGGGCTCAAGCAACCTGCACGCCTTGGCCTCCCAAAGTGCTAGGATCACAGGCTGAACCACCGAGCCCAGCCTCCCCCTTTTATTATAGTTGGAGCCAGTTTTAGTGGGTTATTTTCCACCAGATCCATAGATCTTGGACTGGGATATTGAGCCTCCATTCTAATGCCCACACTTCTGTTTCATTCCCAGTGATTTTGTAGGTTCCCAGATTTTGGCCTTAGTTCCTTTTCCTTTTGCTTTTGAGAAACTGCCTGGGATAAAAGAAGTGGGAACTTCCATTCATCAAGCGATTACAATTTCAATAATTGTAACTTCCATGAGGAAGTCATTCTAATCAGCCCCATCTTGGGATATGGTGGTTTAGAGTCAGAAGTGAGATGAGGACCAATGAAGGCAGGATTTTACAAATGAGGAAATGGAGGCTCAAACTGGTGAAGTGACCTGCCAAAGATTACCCAGCCAGTAAATACTGAGCTGGGATTTGAACTCTGCTCTACAGGACTTCAAAGCCTGGCTTTTAGCCACTATCTGTCCTGCCCAGGAACAAGAGCAATCCAATGCACAACCACCTGCCTAAGTAACATGCATTGGAGGCCCCAGGTTTATGCTTTTCCCCCTGCAAATTCCAGGTCTAGGTGTTTAAGAAACAAGCAGACAAGAATAGCTGAGGATGTGTTTCACAGCCCTGAGCATGCAAAACTAGGGCCGGGCGCAGTGGCTCACGCCTGTAATCCCAGCACTTTGGGAGGCCGAGGCAGGTGGATCACGAGGTCAGGAGATTGAGACCATCCTAGCTAACATGGTGAAACCCCATCTCTACTAAAAACACACACAAAAAAATTAGCTGGGTGTGGTGGCGGGCACCTGTAGTCCCAGCTACTCGGGAGGCTGAGGCAGGAGAATGGCGTGAACCCGGGAGGTGGAGCTTGCAGTGAGCTGAGATGGCGCCACTGCACTCCAGCCTGGGCGACAGAGGGAGACTCCGTCTCAAAAAAAAAAAAAAAAAAAAAAAAAAGAAGAAAAAAAAGAAAGAAAGAAAAACTAGAGACAATCTACATGTCTCCGAATGGAACATTAGATAAAATATGATGGCTGGAGGCCAGGCGCAGTGGCTCACACCTGTAATCCCAACCCTCTGGGAGGCTGAGGTGAGCAGATCACTTGAGACCAGGAGTTCGAGACCCGCCTGGCTAACATAGCGAGACCCTGTCTCTATTAAAAATATAAAAATTAGCCGGGCATGGCGGTGCACACCTGTAATCCCAGCTACTGGGGAGGCTGAGGCAGAAGAATCACTTGAACCCAGGAAGCAGAGGTTGCAGTGAACCAAGAATGTGCCACTGCACTCCAGCCTAGGCAACAGAGCGAGACTCTATCTCAAATAAACAAATAAATAAAAACAAGTAAATAAATACAAATTTAAAAAAAAAAAGAATATTTTGTGACACATGAAAATTATGTAAAATTCAAGTTTCAGTACCCAGAAATAAAGTTTTATTGGCACGTGGGCATAGTCATTTGGTTTTTTGTTGTTGTTGTTTTTGTGTGCTGTACAACAGCAGAGTTGAATAGTTGTGGCAGAGACTGTACTGCCGACAAAGCCTAAAATCTATATTATATGGCTATTTACCTAAAAGGTTTGTCAAGCCCCTGGCTTATTTGATTCTTATAACATTTTTATCCCCTTTCTACGAGTCCTATTTTTATCTACTATCACATATTTATTCCCTTTCTACCAATGAGAAGACTGAGAGAGAGAGGTCTCAGAGAGGTTATGCCATGCCCAGGGTCACACAGCAGAAAAAAGCTAGGATAAGAGCCTAGGAGCCCGGCTTCTGAGTTCAGGGCTTAACCCCAGGTTAGAGCCCTCCTAGCTCACAGCCTCTGTGCCTGGGACTCGCCCTGGGAATTCCCTGGCCTTCAACTCGCAGCCCTGTGCTGGTGGAGGCCCATCCAGGGTGAGGAACTGCAATGTCTCCTCAGATAGCCTCACAGGGCACCTTGCCAGGCCCTTTTTTCCTCTGGAGCCTGTCCTGGCTCACACAGGCCGCTCTGTGAGGCTGTGGGCAGGAGGCCTCTCTGGCCAGCAGTGTTCGGTTACTGCAGTGACATTCAATTGTTCCTAAGAGAGGAGGCCTGTTTTTGGCAGCTCCTAGACCTGGATTCCAGGAAGCTCTGCCTGACTCCCTTTCTGTTTGTTTCCCATCAGCGAATCTGCCTGTATCACTTTCCACCAGGTTACGTAAGTCAGCCTGTCGCTCTCACTCTGTCTGTCTTGCTGTTATCTTCTTATCACTCTCAGCACATCACCAGCCAGGGAGGAAGACTCAGGACTTAATAATAGGGGGATGGGACAAGACACAGGGCATGTCTGTAGTTTAGTGCTTCCAAGATGGACCGAAACTTCAGCTCTGCCCAGTTCCAAGGCTCCAGGGATGCATGTCTTACCCTAGATCCAGGGGCCCAGGGCCTCAAACCTGGAAAGTGATCCCTGGGGTGGCAGTGCGGCTCTGTGGGTGAAGGACCCATGCCTGTGTGGACACTAGCATAGTCCCTCAGCAGGCTAGCTTGGTAAGAGCTAGGAAAACAGAAAATGGATATTCAGACTCAAGAAGTGGATGTTTGAGTTCACATCTCAGCTCTGTCATTTACTGGTTATGTAATTTTGGGCAAATTTCTAAAACTGAGGCTCAGATTCTGCATCTGTACTATGGAAATAATAATAAAACCTCTCTTATTCAACATAATAAATTTTTTTTAAGAGACAAGGTCTTGCCGGGCATGGAGGCTCATGGCTAAATACAAAAATTAGCTGGGCATGATGGTGTGTGCCTGTGGTCCCAGCTACTTGGAAGGCTAAGGTGGGAGGATCCCTCGAGCCCAGGAGGCAGAGGTTGCAGTGAGCCAAGATCGCCCCACTGCACTCCAGTTTGGGTGACAGAGTGAGACCCTGTCTCAAAAGAGAAAAAAATAAAAGAGAGACAAGGTCTTGTTCTGTTGCCCAGGCTGGAGTATGGTGGCATGATCATAGCTTATAGCTCACTGCAGCCTCCAAGTTCTGGGCTCAAGAAATCTTCCCACCTCAGCCTCCCTAGTAGCTGGGACTACAGGCATGAGCCATTGTGCCCAGCTCGTAAAAATAATTACATCATTTAATACAAGTAAAGGGCTTAGAGCAATGCTTCGGCTCAGGCAATAAGGGCTCAGTAAGTAGAAGCAATTATTATTATTACTAAAATAAGAACTATTGTTATTGGGCCAGGAGTGGTGGCTCACACCTGTAATCCCAGCACTTTGGGAGGCCAAGGCAAGCAGATCACTTGAGGTCAGGAATTCGAGACCAGCCTGTTCACAAACATGGTGAAACCCCGTCACTAATAAAAATACAAATATTAGCTGAGTATGGTGGTGTATGCTCGTAATCTCAACTACTTGGAAGCCTGAGGCAGGATAATTGCTTGAACCCAGGAAAAGGAGGTTGCAGTGGGCAGAGATCGCGCCACTGAACTCCCATCTGGGTGACAGAGCAAGATGCTGAAAAAAAAAAAAAAAAAAGTCGGGCACGGTGGCTCATGCCTGTAATCCCAGCACTTTGGGAGGCTGAGGCAGGTGGATTACCTAAGGTCAAGAGTTTGAAACCAGCTTGGCCAACGTGGCGAAACCCTGTCTCTACTAAAAATACAAAAAAATTAGCTGGGTATGGTGGCAGGCGCCTGAAATCCCATTTACTTGGGAGGCTGAGGCAGGAGAATTGCTTGAACTTGGGAAGTGGAGGTTGCAGTGAGCCGAGATCGCGCCATTGCACTCCAGTCTGGGTGTCAGAATGAGACTCTGTCAAAAAAAGAAAAGAGAGAGAGAGAGAGAGAAAGAGAAAGAAAGAAATAAAGAACTATTGTTATTCGTACTCATCAGAGAGAAAAGGTCATGCACGTGCCCAAGAAGGTATGAACAGTAACATTTGTTGCAGGTCTATTTTTAATAGAGACAAATTGAAAACCATCTAAATGACCCTTGAGGCCAGGTGTTCAGGACGAGCTTGGGCAACATAGTGAGACTCCATCTCTACAAAAAATTTAAAAATCAACCAGCACAGTGCTGTGTACCTGTAGTCCTAGTTACTCAGGAGGCTGAGGTGGGAGGATCCCTTGAGTCCAGGAATTCAAGATTACAGTGAGCTATTTTCAAGCCACTGTACTCCAGTCTGTGACAGAGTGAGACCCTATGTCTCTTGTTTTTGTTTTTTGTTTTTGAGATGGAATTTCGCTCTTGTTGCCCAAGCTGGAGTGCAATGGTGTGATCTCGGCTCACTGCAACCTCCGCCTCCAGGGTTCAAGCGATTCTCCTGCCTTAGCCTCTCGAGTAGCTGGGACTACAGGCGTGTGCCACCACGCCCAGCTAATTTTTTGTATTTTTAGTAGAAACAGCGTTTCACCATGTTAGCCAGGCTGGTCTCAAACTCCTGACCTCAGGTGATCTGCCCACCTCGGCCTCTGAAAGTGCTGGGATTACAGGCGTGAGCCACCACGCCCAGCCTTTGTTTTTCTTTTTTTGACATGGAGTCTCATTCTGTTGCCTAGGCTAGAGTGCAATGGCACGATCTCAGCTCACTGCAACCTCTGCCTCCCAGATTCAAGCGATTCTCCTGCCTCAGCCTCCCGAGTAGCTGAGATTACAGGCGCCACCACACCTGGCTAATTTTTGTATTTTTAGTAGAGACGGAGTTTTGCCATGTTGGCCAGGCTGGTCTCAAACTCCTGACCTCAAGTGATCTGCCCACCTTGGCCTCCCAAAGTGCTGGGATTACAGGCGCGAGCTACCATGCCCGGCCACGAGACTCTATCTCTAAAAAAAAAAAAAAATCAATAATAATAATAATATTGGCCAGTTGTGGTGGCTCACATCTGTAATCCCACCGCTTTGGGAGGCCAAGGCAAGAGAATTACTTGAGGCCAAGAGTTCGAGACCAGCCTGGGCAAAAATAGCAAAACCCCGCCCTCCCCCACAACAAATCTCTATTTTTCGAAAAAAGAGAAAAGTAAGTAAGTAAATAAGTAAATGTCTCCCGATAGAGAATGGCTAAACAAATTATGGCACATCTATACTATGCACTTCTGTGCAGCAAGTAAAAAGAATGAGGCAGATCTATATGGCCTGATATGAAAAGCCTTCCAAAATGTAGTGTTGCTCAATGCAAAAAAGTAAGTAGCAGAAGGCTACATGGAGCATGAAAATGTACGTAAAACAAAAACGCAAAATAGCCCCTGATGACATATACATATGCAAATGCCCAGAAAAAAAATGTCTAGAACAGTTGATATGCTTGTCACCAGCCACGTGTGGCTGTTTACATTTAAATGCAAATGAATTACAACTAAATAAAATGTAAAGTTTAGTTCCTCAATGGCATCAGGCCCATTTCCAGCGCAGCTAGTGGTGGGTGGATTAAACAGTGCAGATATAGGATCTATGCATCGCTGCAGAGCCTTCTATTGGATGGTACTGGTCTAGAAGAATAGCAAAGCCAAATTGATAACAGCAATTATGTTGGCATAGGGGAGGAACAAGGATTGCAGGGCTTTATTTATTTATTTATTTTTGAGATAGAGACAGGGTCTTGCTATGTTACCCAGGCTGTTCTCAAACTCTTCAGCTCAAGCAATCCTCCCACCTCAGCCTCCCAAAGTGCTGGGATTACAGGCATGAGCCACCATGACTGGCTGTATTATTTATTCTTTTAAACACATATTTATTGAACATTTACTCTGTGCCAGGCACTGTCCTTAGCACTGAGACCACACTCTGCATATATCCATGCCTTCTGGGTGTTCCCATTCCAGTGGCTGATATATCAAGTGGAAATAAGTGCTTTGGCAAAAAAAAAAAAAAAAACAGAGCAGCGGATATGGATAGAGAATGTTGGCAGATGGCACAGGGTGATCATTAAAGACAATTTTTTTCACTTACGTGCATTTTTTTTAAAGATGAGACCTCCTTACTTTTTTTTTTTTTCTTTTTTTGAGACGGAGTCTTGCTCTGTTACCCAGGCTGGAATGCAGTGGTGCGATCTCGGCTCACTGCCGATCCCAGGGTGTGATCCCAGGTTCAAGTGATTCTTCTGCCTCAGCTGCCTGAATAGCTGGGAATACAGGCGTGTGCCACCACACCCGGCTAATTTTGTTTTTTATTTTTGGTAGAGATGAGGTTTCACCATATTGGCCAGGATGGTCTCGAACTCCTGATCTCGTGATCTACCCACCTTGGCCTCCCAAAGTACTGGGATTACAGGCATGAGCCACTGCGCCTGGCCCTCCTTACCTTGCATACTTTTACTCCTTATGTACTTTTAAAACTATATAAAAGGAGTGCCAGCTGCGGTGGCTCATGCCTATAATCCCAGCACTTTGGGAGGCTGAGGCAGAGGGATCACTTGAGGTCAGGAGTTTGAGACCAGCCTGGCCAACATGGCAAAACTCTGTCTCTACTAAAAATATAAAAATTAGCCAGTTGTGGTGGCACATGCCTGTATTCCCAGCTACTCAGGAGGCTGAGGCAGGAGACTTATTTGAACCTGGGAGGCGAAGGTTGCAGTGAGCTGAGATGGAGCCACCTCACTCCAGCCTGGGCAACAGAGTAAGACTGTCTTTAGAAAAAGAAAAAAGAGAAAAAAAAGTACATAAAAGGAAAAAAACATACCCCAGGACTGGAGAGAGGAAACCTGAATTCCTACCCAGTTCTGCTCTTGCCTTGTGTGCCTGATGCCAAGTGGCTTAACCTTTCTGGGCCCCCGTTTCTTTATCTGCAATATGCATTAGACAAAGGCTCCAAGGCCATCAGCCCTGTCGTCCTGCGGCTGGATGCTTCTGTGAGTTTCTCTACCTGTCCAGGAAACCCACGGATCATTGGCATTCTTTGGAAGTGTTAAAATGGCAAGATTCTGCAGGAACCTGTTGCAAGAATCCAACAATCCAGAGGGAAAGAGGAGAAGAAGGAGCAGGAGGAAGAGACCTAGGCAGCCAGCAGAGGCTTCGATCTCCAGCAAACTGCCTGAGGGCTGCTTCCGTGAACCTGGCTTAAAGCAATACAGCATTCCTTAGAAAGTCATGGGGCGTGGTGGCTCACAACTGTAATCCCAGCACTTTGGGAGGCCGAGGAGGGTGGATCACCTGAGGTCAGGAGTTCGAGACCAGCCTAACCAACGTGGAGAAACCCCATCTCTACTAAAAATACAAAATTAGCTGGGCATGGTGGCACATGCCTGTAATCCCACCTACTCGGCAGGCTGAGACAGAAGAATCGTTTGAACCCGGGAGGCGGAGGTTGCAGTGAGCCGAGATCGTGCCATTGCACTCCTGAGCAACAGCCTGGGCAACAAGAGTGAAACTCTGTCTCAAAAAAAAAAAAAAGTCATGTTATAGCAGTGCAGACAGACACTTCCTAATAATGGCTAATATTCCTTGAGCACTGACAGTGCTCTGGGCACCCTTTATGCAGATTAATTCATTTAATCCTTGCGACAGACCTGTGGAAGGAGTTCAGAAAGGCTGGGCTGCATAGCCCTCAGTCTTAATCACTATGCTTCAGCACCTGCTGCGTACAGGAAACTAAAACATTAGACAGAAGAAACCAAGGCGTTTGCTTGTTTAAAGCAGTATATTCATGTGCCCTGGGTACACAGACTAAGTGGAGATTAATTCTGATTGAGAGTGTTGGGGTCTTCCTGCTTCTTCCCAGCCGCTTCTCAGATGCCAGAAGAATCCTGAATCAGACCCTGTTTCTCTGCTGAAAATCTTCCTGTGGCTTCCACCTCACTCAGCATGAAAAGCCGAAGTCTCACTGTGATCCATTGACAAGGCCTTCCATGATCACTTGCTCTGCCGTGCCCTCCGATCTCATCCTTCCACTGTCTCATCCCACTCCTGCCAAGCTGGCCCCCTCCCTGCTCCTTTGCTCCCTTGCTGGAGCTGCGGCCTCCTCCAGGGAAGCTCCCTGGAGGTGAGGTCTGAGCTGATCCCAGGAGTGTGTGTAGGTATAGTTAGTCTAAGAGAGTGGGAAGGTGAGGGGAGGGAAAGATGTAACACACAGCGTGAGCAAGCGTGCCTCATTCAGGGACTCAAAGGAAACCAGTGTGGTGGTGTTCGTAAGAAAGAAACTGAGCGGAAAATGGCAGAGGAAGAGTGGGAGAGGTGGGCAGACCTGCTTTATGCAGGGGCTGGGAGGCGTGTCAGGCGGTTTGGATTTTTTCCTGAGGGCAATGGGGAGCTATGGAAGAGTTTATTTGCTTCTTATGTTTTTTAATTTTAATTTTTTTAATTTTTTGTAGAGACAGGGTCTTGCTACATTACCCACACTGGTCTCGAACTCCTAGCCTCAAGTGATCCTCTGGCCTCGGCCTCTCAAAGAGCTGGGATTATAGGTGTGAGCCACCACGTCTGGCTGGAAGGATTTTGAACAAAGAAAGAACATGTATGGGGCTGGGAGTGGTGGCTCATGCCTGTAATCCCAGCACCTTGGGAGGCCAAGGCAGGCAGATCACTTGAGCCCAGGAGTTTAGGACCAGCCTGGGCAACATGGTGAAACTCTGTTACTACAAAAAATACAAAAATTAGCCAGGCGTGTTGGTGTGCACCCACAGTCCCAGCTACTCAGGAGGCTGAGGCGAGAGGATAGTTTGAGTGTGGGAGGCAGAGTTTGCAGTGAGCTAAGATCATGCCACTGCACTCCAGCCTGGGCGATAGAGTGAAACTCTGAAGAAAGAAAGAGAGAAAGAGAGACAGAGAGAGAGACAGGGAGAGAGGGAGAGAGGGAGGGAGGGAAGGAAGGAAGGAAAGGAGGATGGGAGGGAGGGAGGGAGAAAAGAGCTGTAGCGAGAACCCCGATCTTCTCAAAGAAGACCTAAGTGGTCATAAATAGAATGTTGGTGAAAATATGGATAAGAAAGGTCATTTTGATGAGGTCTCAGAGAGAAATGAGGAATATGTTACTCAAAACGGGAGGAAAGGCAATTCTTGTTATAAAGTGGCAAAGAACTTGCCTGAATTGTGTTTATGACCCACTATTTTGTGGAAGAACTTGTGAGCAACAAAAGTAGACATGTAGCTTAAGCCATTTCTTTTTATTTTATTTTTCAAGTTGGAGTCTGGCTCTGTCACCCAAGCTGGAGTGCAGTTGCACAATCTTTGCTCACTGCAACCCCTGCCTCCTGGGTTCAAGCTATTCTCATGCCTCAGCCTCCCTTGTAGCTGGGATTACAGGCGTGTGCCATTGTGCCCAAATAATTTTTGTATTTCTAGTAGAGATGAAATTTCGCCATGTTGGCCAGGCTGGTCTCAAACTCCTGACTTCAAGTGACTATAGGCGTGAGCCACCGTGCCTGGCCTGAAGCTATTTCTAAGTAAAGAGTTGAGGGTGCAGCCTGGGTTCTCTTGACTACTTATAGTAAAATGAAGTGAGAGAGAAATGACTTAAAGATGGAATTGTTGGCCAGGCACCGGTGGCTCACGCCTGTAATCCCAGCACTTTGGGAGGCTGAGGCAAGTGGATCACCTGAGGTCAGGAGTTGGAAACCAGCCTGGCCAATATTGCAAAACCCTGTCTGTACTAAAAATACAAAACATTAGCTGGGCGTGGTGGCAGGCACCTGTAATCCCAGCTACTTGGGAGACTGAGGCAGGAGAATTGCTTGAACCTGGGAGGCGGAGGTTGTAGTGAGCCAAGATTGTGCCACTGCACTCCAGCCTGGGCAACAGAGCGAGATTCTATCTCACCAAAAAAAAAAAAAAAAAAAAATGGAATTGTTAATCAAAAAGGTAGAACTCAAAGCCTACCCATATTGGAAAAAAACAGAAAGCCTATATAAGACAGAACAGCTGGGTGTGGCAGCACAGGGCTATAATCCCACACTTTGGGAGGCCAAGGAAGGAGGATAGCTTGTGGCAGGGAGTTTGAGGCAAGTCTGGGCAATATAGCAATACCCTGTTTCTAAAACAAATAAAAAAAAATAGCAGGCTGGCATGTGCCTATAGTCCTAGCTACTTGAGGGGCTGAGGTGGGAGGATCACTTGAGCTTGGGAAGTCAAGGCTGTAGAGAGCCATAAACACACCACTGCACTCCAGTCTGGACAACACAGCAAGACCCTCTCTCAAAAAAAAAAAGAAAGAGAGAGAAAGAGAGTGAGAGAACAAAGGTGTGGCCAAGGAAACATTTGATAAGGAGATTAGTATGGATCAGCCATCTCAACAGAAACCAGGATCTGTTGTCCAAGAGAATGAAAGAAGGACCCCAAGGCCGGGTGCCATGGCTCACGCCTGTAATCCTAGCACTTTAGGAGGCTGAGGTGGGCAGATCACTTGAGGTCAGGAGTTTGAAACCAGTCTGACCATCATGGTGAAACCCCGTCTCTACTAAAAATACAAAAATTAGCCAGGCGTGGTGGTGCGTGCCTGTAATCCCAGCTACTCCGGAGGCTGAGGCAGGAGAATCTCTTGAACCTGGGAGGTGGAGGTTGCAGTGAGCCACAATTGTGCCACTGCACTCCAGCCTGGGCAATAGAACGAGACTCCATCTAGAAAAAAAAAAAAGAAGGACCCCAAAGACATTTCAGAGATGACTGGAGCTGCTCCTCCCGTGATAGGCCCATTGTGCCAGGGCCCAGAGGACAGAGCAATTTCAAAGGAGGGGCCACCAGGGCCTGTGGGACTTTGGCTACCACTGCCTCTCGACTCTGCTCCCCACACTCCATTTCTACCTCCTCGGCCATCCCAGATGCCGCTCCAGTGGGCCCTGGTTTGGGGTGTACTGTGCCCAGCAAAGCTGTGGGGACGTGGCTGCCTCCACCTAAGTTTCTAAGGATGCCCCCAGAAGGCCTCAGGGCCTAGGCAGAGAAGCAAGGCAGCAGCAGGGCCTCTGTGGAGAGCCCCCACAAGGGCAGTGCCGAGTGGAGCCATGGGGGTGGGGTGCCTGCAGAGGTGGGGCCACCCTGAGACTCCAGACTGGTTGCACCACCAGAGCGTGATGCCAGGCTGGGACAGCCACAGGCACATTACTCCAATCCATGAGAACTGTGGCATAGGCTGCACTCAGCAAAGCCGTGGGAACAGAACACTCAGAGCCTTGGGGGTCAAACTGCTGCCCAGCCAAACTGTGGAGGCAGGACCTCCATCCCAGTGGGTCCGGAAGTCAGGGCACAGCCCCCAGTGGGCCTGGAGGGCAGAGCCTTGAGTCAAAGATTGTTCCTGAGACGTAAGGTTTTGGACTTGCTTCAGATCTGTCACCCCTTTCCTCCTTCCTACTTCTCCTTTTCGGAATGGGAATGTCTGTCCTATGCCCATCCCATTGATGTATTTTGGTAGTTCACAGGTTCACGGCTAGAGAGCAGTTTGCTTCAGGATGAATCGTATCTTGAGTCTCACCTGTATCTTATCTTTATTTTATTTTATGTTTTGAGATGGAGTCTCGCTCTGTAGTCCAGGCTGCAGTGGAGTGGCGTGATCTTGGCTCACTGCAACCTCTACCTCCCGGGTTCAAGCGATCCTTTCACCTCAGCCTCCTGAGTAGCTGAGATTACAGGCCTGTGCCACCATGCCCAGCTAATTTTTTTGTATTTTTATAGAGACGGGGTTGGACCATGTTGGTCAGGCTGGCCTTGAACTCCTGACCTCAAATGATTCACCCACCTTTGCCTCCCAAACTGCTGGGATTACAAGCGTGGGCTGATATTATGGTTTAAGACTTTGGGGGCTATTGGGATGGAATGAATATATTTTGCATGCAAGAAGGACATGACTTTTGGGGAGCCAGGGGAGAAATGCTAAAATCTGAATGTTTATGTCTCCCCTACCAAATTCATATATTGAAACTTAATCACCAATGGGGTGGTATTAGGAAGTGCGGCCTTGGGAAGGGTTTAGGTCATGAGGGTGGAACCCACAAAAATGGGATTAGTGCCACATATAAAAGAGGCCCCAGAGAGCTGCCTTCCCCTCCTCAACCATGTGAGGACACAGCGAGAAGATATCATCCATGAACCAGAAATCAAGCCGTCACCAGACACTGAATCTGCCAGTGCTTTGATCTTGGACTTCCCTGCATTCAGAACAGTGAAAAATAAACCTCTGTTGTTTAAAATCCACCCAGCTTATGGTATTTTGATATAGCAGCCTGAAAAGATGAAGACAATGAGTGAGCAGATGAAATGGAGATAGGGGGAGTTCAAGGGAATAGATAAGACGGAGCGTAGATAGCCAAGAAGCTTAAAGTCCAGGGACATAGCCGGGTATGGTGGGATGCACCTGTGGTCCCAGCTACTCCAGAGGCTGAGACAGGAGGATCACTTGAGCCCAGAAGTTTGAGGCAGCAGCAAGCTATGATGGCACCACTCTACTCCAGCCTGGATGACAGAATGAGATCCTGTTTCAAATAAATACATAAATAAGAAAAAATTTTTAAATGATTAAAGTCCAGGGACAAAAAGTACCACAAACAAAGTCAAAACACAAATGACAAGCCAGGAAAAATGTCAACTCATATAGAAAGGGCTGTATCTTCCTAATACATAAAGCATATTCTTTCTAGAAATAGAAAAGTACACACCCAGTGGAAAATGGCAAAGGAAATGACCAAAAAAATACAAACGGCTCTTACATATATTAAAAGATGCTTGAATTATCACAGAAGAAGAAATGCAAGTGAAACTATGTGACGCTCACTCTGTTGTGCTGGCAAAGATCAAGCACCCTCCCATGTTGCTGGTGAGCATGTAAACTGGTACAGCACCCTTGGGAGCAAGGTCTCTATCATCATTACAAAGACATACCTTTTGACCCAGAAAGTCCATTTCTAGTCATTAATCCTACAGACACACCTGCCCATGTGCAAAATAATGTATATATATTGCAACACTGTGTTAAGGTAGAAAGATTAGAAACAACCAAATTTCTGTTAGAAGAATAAACTAATTATAGTTTATTCATAAAACTGAATATTATGTGGCTATTAAAAAGAATCAGTGGGCACAGTGGCTCACACCTGTAACCCCAGCATTTTGAGAGGCTAAGGCAGGTGAATCACTTGAGGCTAGGAGTTCGAGACGAGGCTGGTCAACATGACAAAACCGCTTCTCTACCAAAAAAACAAAAATTAGCCAGGGGTGGTGGCACACGCCTGTAATCTCAGCTACTAGGGTAGGTGAGGCAGGAGAATCACTTGAATCTGAGAGGCAAAGGTTGCAGTGAGCCGAGATTGTGCCACTGCACTCCAGCCTGGGTAACAAAGTGAGACCCTGCCCCCTCTCAAAAGAAAAGAACAGGAAAAAAAAAAAGAGAGAGAGAGAGAATCAGGCTGGGTACAATGGTACACACCTATAGTCTCAGCACTTTGGGAGGCCAAGGCGGGAGGATCTCTTGAGACCAAGAGTTGGAGACCAGCCTGGGCCACATAGCAAGACTCCCTGTCCCTACAGAAAATAAATTAATTAATTAAATAAAAAGAATAAGGCAAGTGTAACGCACTGAAATATTAAATGAAAAAAGAAAGGGCAGAACAGTATTATGCTATTCTTGTGTAAGAGCATGGGGGAAAAGAATCTATGTTTATATTTTATGCACATAAAAACTGGAGAAACACAAGAAACTAACAATAGTAGTTAGCTCTGTGTGTGTGTGTGTGTGTGTGTGTGTGTGTGTGCATGGCAAGGAGCAGCTAGTGTTGGGAACTGGTTCAATGGAGAACAAAAGTGGGAAGGAGATTTTTTTTTTTTTTTGAGACGGAGTCTCACTCTGTCGCCCAGGCTGGAGTGCAGTGGCGCGATCTCGGCTCACTGCAAGCTGCGCCTCCCGGGTTCACGCCATACTCCTGCCTCAGCCTCCCGAGTAGCTGGGACTACAGGCGCCCGCCACCACGCCCGGCTAATTTTTTGCATTTTTAGTAGAGACGGGGTTTCACCGTGTAAATCAGCAGGATGGTCTTGATCCCCTGACCTCGTGATCCGCCCGCCTCAGCCTCCAAAAGTGCTGGGATTACAGGCCAGCCACCGCGCCCCGCCAAGACTTTTTATTGGATTAAAAAATATACGTATATGTAACAGCTTTATTGAAATATAATTTACATGCGATACGATTTTTCCATTTAAAGTATTCAATCTGCCGGATGCGGTGGCTCATCCTGTAACCCCAGCACTTTGGGAGACTGAGGTGGGCAGATCACCGGAGGTCAGGAGTTCAAGACCAGCCTGGCCAACATGGTGAAACTCCATCTCTACTAAAAATACAAAAATTAGCCAGGCATGGTGGCGCACACCTGTAATCCCAGCTACTCAGGAGGCTGAGTCAGGAGAATCACTTGAACCCGGGAGGCGGAGGTGACGGTGAGCTGAGATTGTGCCACTGCACTCCAGTCTGGCAACAGAGCGAGACTCTGTCTCTAAATAAATAAATAAATATTCAATCTAATGGTTTTTAGTATATTCACAGAGTTGTGCAACCACACCACAATCAATTTTAGAACATTTTCATCACCCCCTTAAGAAGCCCCATACCATTTAGCAGTCATTCCCCATCTCTCCCCATGCTCTCAGTCTTAGACAACTAATCATCTATAATAGATTTGCCTATTCTGTACATTTCCTAGAAATAGAATCATACAGTATGTGGCCTTTTGTGTCTGGCTTCTCTTATTTAGCATAATGTTTTCAAGATGGATGCCTGGCCAGTCACAGTGACTCATGCCTGTAATCCCAGCATTTTGGGAGGCCAAGTGGGGAGGATCACTTGAGCCCAGGAGTTCAAGACCAGCCTGGGCAACATAGTAAAACCTCATCTCTACAAAACAATTTTTAAATAGCTGGGCATAGTGGCATGCACCTGTGGTCCTAGGTACGTGGGGGACAGAAGCAGGAAGATGTCTTGGGGCTAACAGTTGGAGGCTGCAGTGAGCCATGATTGTGCCACTTCACTCCAGCATGGGTGACAGAGTGAGACCCTGTCTCAAAAATAAAAATAAAGTAAAAAGATTAATGCCCGCTTATGCCGAGGTAGATGCCTGTAACCCCAGCTACTCAGAAGGCTGAGGGAGGAGGATCACTTGAGCCTAAGAGTAAGACCCTGTCTCAAAAAAAAAAAAAGGTTCATGCACATTGTAGCATGTAGCATACTTCTTTCAGTACATCATTCTTCATTTTCCTCTTTTGAGACAAGGACTCACTCTGTTGCCCAGGCTGGAGTGCAATGGTGCAATCGAGGCTCACTGCAGCCTCAACCTCCCCTGCTCAAATGATCCTCCCACTTCAGCCTCCTGAGTAGCTGAGACCATAGGTGCACACCACTACACCTGGCTAATTAAAAAAAATTTTTTTGTAGAGATGATATCTCACCATGTTGCCCTGGATGGTCTCAAACTCCTGGGCTGAGTGATCCTCCTGTCTCAGCTTCCCAAAGTGGTAGAATTACAGGAATGAGCCACCAAGCCCCGCCTCATCTTTTATTTTATTTTATTTTATTTTATTTTTGGCTAATTTTCCATTGTATGCCTATACTATATTTTGTTTATCCATTCATCAGTTGATGGTATTTCGATTGTTCTCACCTTCCTCTCCCCGCTCCCCGCCACCAGCTTTTTTTTTTTTTTTTTTTTTTTTTGACACGGAATCTCGCTGTCATCCAGGCTGAAGTGCAGTGACAGGATCTCAGCTCAGCTCACTGCAACCTCCGCCTCCCGGATTCAAGTGATTCTTGTGCCTCAGCCTCCCAAGTAGCTGGGATTACAGGCGCCTGCCACCACCCCTGGCTAATTTTTTTGTATTTTTAGTAGAGACGGGGTTTCACCATGTTGGCCAGGCTGGTCTCGATCTCCTGACCTCAAGTGATCCACCCACCTCGGCCTCCTAAAGTGCTGGAATTACAGGTATGAGCCACTGCACCCAGTAACTTTTTTCCACTTTTGGCTATGATGCTGTGAAAGGAAAATAAATCTTAGGGCCCCCAGATCCCTAAGCTAAAGGGAAAAGTCAAGCTGGGAACTGCTTAGGGCCAACCTGCCTCCCATTCTATTCAAAGTCACCCCTCTGCTCACTGAGATAAATGCATATCTCTTTGGCTCCTTTGGAGAGGCCAATCAGAAACTCAAAAGAATACAACCATCTGGGCCAGGCGCAGTGGTCCTTGAGAAACTTTTAAGCAGGGAAGTGTGAAAATAAGTATTTCAAAATCTGAGCTGTTGAGACTTTAAAATATTTCAAGCCTTAAGGGAATGTGATTGTGGGACACAAGTCTTCTGAACCTACTCAGCTGTAACCTAGGCAGGCGTTACCTTTGTTTGTTTGATTATAATTAGCCCTCTTCTCTACCTACATTGTTTTAGAAAGTATTGTAAACGGCCGGGCACAATGGCTCACGCCTGTAATCCCAGCACTCTGGGAGGCCAAGGCGGGCGGATCACGAGGTCAAGAGATGAGACCATCCTGGCCAACATGGTGAAACCCTGTCTCTACTAAAAATACAAAAATTAGCTGGGTGTGGTAGCGTGCGCCTGTAGTCCCAGCTACTCAGGAGGCTGAGGCAGGAGAATCGCTTGAACCCGATTCTCCTGCCTCAGAGAATCCTGCAGAGGTTGCAGTGAGCTGAGATTGTACCACTGACTCCAGCCTGGCGACACAGCGAGACTCCGTTTCAAAAAAAAAAAAGAAAGAAAGAAAATATTGTAAATGACTAAAGGGCACCAGAGAAGACCCCTTTCCTCTTCACTGTTCATCTTCATTGTATAATAACTTCCCTCTTACCTTTCTCACACAAAGACTTCATGACTATCATCATACTGTCTTGAGATGGAATGTCAAATACACTCTTTAAGTGTATTTCTAGAAAGGAAATAAAAACAAACCATAACTAATTAAATTGTTGTAGCTCATAAACCAGCCTTGTATAGAAAATGTAATGAAGGCAGGTTCAGTGGTTCATGCCTGTAATCCCAGCCACTTAGGAGGCTGAGATGGGAGGATGGCTTGAGCCCAGGAGTTTGAAGCTGCAGTGAGTCCTGATCACACCACTACATTCCAGCCTGGGCAACAGAGTGAGACCCCATCTCTTTTAAAAAACAAGTCATAATCCTGTTAAATTTCTTTGTTTTCTTCCTACCTAAGCAAGACCCTAACTTTTAACTTTTGAGTTCTCACCCCACTTCTCTGGAGTCTGTGTTTCCGAGTGGCCATTCACAGCTTCTTGCTTGAATGCTCTCTTTAAAACTGGATTCTCCACTGCACTCCAGCCTGGGCGACATATTGGGATCCTGTCTCTTTTTATTTAAAAGCCAAAAAAAAAAAAAAAAGCCTGGCGGGCTTTTATTTAAAAGCCAAAAAAAAAAAAAGGTGGCTCATGCCTGTAATCCCAGCATTTCGGGAGGCCGAGGCAGGCGGATCTCTTGAGGCTAGAAGTTCAAGACCAGCCTGGCCAACATGGTGAAACCCCGTCCCTACTAAAAATACAAAAATTTTCTGAGCATGGTGGTACACACCTGTAGTCTCAGCTACTTGGGAGGCTGAGGCAGGAGAATCACTTGAACCCAGGAGGCAGAAGTTGCAGTAAGCCAAAATCCCGTGACTGCACTCCAGCCTGACAACAGAGCAAGACTGTCTCAAAAATAAAAAAATAAAAAAATAAAAAAATTATATAGACCCTGACACTGCATTTATTTAATTTAATAAATTAATTTATTTGTTTTTATTTATTTTCTTTTTTTGAGACAGAGTCTCGCTCTGTCACCAGGCTGGAGTGCAGTGGCGCAATCTCGGCTCACTGCAGCCTCCGCCTCCCAGGTTCAAGCGATTCTCCTGCCTCAGTCTCCCGAGTAGCTGAGACTATGGGCATGCGCCACCACATGCGGGTAATTTTTGTGTTTTTAGTAGAGACAGAATTTCACCATGTTGGGCAGGATGATCTCAATCTCCTGACCTTGTGATCCAACTCCATATGTATATGTATATATATATTCAATTTTATATAGATACACAATTACTTTTTTTTTTTTTTTTTTTTGAGATGGAGTCTCACTCTGTCACCCAGGCTGGAGTGCAGTGGCGCAATCTCAGCTCACTGCAAGCTCTGCCTCCCAGGTTCACGCCATTCTCCTGCCTCAGCCTCCCAAGTAACTGGGACTACAGGCGCCCACCACCAGGCCCGGGTAATTTTTTTGCATTTTTAGTAGAAATGAAGTTTCACCGTGTTCGGCAGGATGGTCTCGAACTCCTGACCTTGTGATCCACCTGCCTTGGCCTCCCAAAGTGCTGGGATTACAGGTGTGAGCCACCGCGACCGGCCCCACAATTACTTTTTAACCTAACACTGTATCTTAGAGACTTTTCTACATCCTTATGTAGACAGCTTCATCATCCTTTTTTTTTTTTTTTTTTGAGACAGTCTCACTCTGTCGACCAGGCTGGAGTGCAGTGGCTCAATCTTAGCTCACTGCAATCTCTTCCTCTTGGGTTCCAGCAATTCTCTTGCCTCAGACTCCTTTGAAGCTGGGATTACAGGTGTGTGCCATCCTGCCCAGCTAATTTTTGTATTTTTATTTATTTATTTATTTTTGAGACTGAGTTTCGCTCTTGTCTCCCAGGCTGGAGTGCAATGGCGCGGTCTCGGCTCGCTGCAACCTTTGCCTCCCAGGTTCAAACGATTCTACTGTCTCACCATCCCAGGCAGCTGGGATTACAGGCGCCCACCTGGCTAATTTTTGTATTTTTAGTAGAGATGGGGTTTCACCACCACCACACCTGGCTAATTTTTGTATTTTTAGTAGAGATGGGGTTTCACCATATTGCCCAGGCTGGTCTCAAACTCCTGAGCTCAGGCGATCCACCCACCTCGGCCTCCCAAATGGCTGGGATTACAGGCATAAACCACCTCACTGGGCCATGAAATCAAGGAATATTTACAGAATACCCTTCTATCTGTAGTGTCATTAACAGCAGGCAGAGTTGCCTATGTTTAGTATTATGGAATCTTTACAGAGTACCCTTTGTTCTAGGTAGGTTCAGGGAAACCTGTACCCTCCTTTAGGTAGAATCATTAATTGTTTGAAGAGTGCTCTTCGGCTATAGAATCACCAACTGTGTACAAAAGCATAAAATCAAGAAGTTCTATATAGCCCATTTCTATCTATTAGAATTATGTAATATCTATAAAGCCTATTCATAGCAATGAAATCATAAATGTTTACAGAGCACTTCCTGTGTACAGAATTTCAGGGTGTCAGAACAAATAAGTTTTCCTTCTTGTATATGGAATTATGAACTGTCGGCCGGGAGCAGTGGCTCACGCCTGTAATCCCAGAACTTTGGGAGGCCAGGGCGGGCAGATCACGTGAGGTCAGGAGTTTGAGACCAGCCTGGCCAACATGGTGAAACCTCTTCTCTACAAAAAATACAAAAATTAGCCAGGCGTGGTGGCCCATGCCTGTAATCCCAGCTACTTGGGAGGTTGAGGCAGGAGAATCGCTTGAACCTGAGAGGCAGAGGTTGCAGTGAGTCAAGATCGTGCCACTGCACTCCAGCCGGGCTGGCAGAGTGAGACTCCATCTCAAAAAAATAAATAAAAATAATAAAATTAAAAAATCAAATTATGAACTGTTTTTGAGGAACACCCACATGTATACAGAATCATGGAATGTTTACAGAGTCCTTTCTTTTCTTTTCTTGAGATGGAGTCTCGCTCTGTCACCCTCACTGGAGTACAGTGGCGCGATCTTGGTTCACTGCAATCTCCACCTCCCGGGTTCAAGTGATTATCATGCCTCAGCCTCCCAAGTCGCTGGGATTACAGGTTCCCATCACCATGGCCGGCTATTTTTTGTATTTTTAGTGAAGACAGGGTTTCACCATGTTGGCCAGACTGGTCGCAAACTCCTGACCTCAGGTGATCTGACCGCCTCAGCCTCCCAAAGTGCTGGGAATACGGGTGTGAGCCACCGCGCCTGGCTAGAATCCTTTCTTGTAGCATGAATTTTGAACCGTTTGCAGAACATCTGTCCATGTATAAAATCATTGAATGTTTGCAGAACCTTTTTGCTTATCGTTATGGAATGTCTACAGAGCACCCTCATCTGTACAGACTTAAGGAATGTTAGCTAAACCCCCTTCTATGTGGAATCATGGAATGTTGGCTGAGCCTTCTATGGCATAAAATCATGGAATGTTACCAAATACATTTCTTACTATAAAATCTTGAACATAGTTTTCTCCTGATGCTCAGTGGCTCAGGACCTGTGGTAGCTGCTGTAGTCAGTAGCCTGGTCAGCCTGGTCAGCGGCCTGCAGCATTTGCCCATAGCATTTGCCTGTGGTTACGATGATGAGTTTATGTCTCAATCCCAGATCTTTCCTCAGTGGAGTAACAGGAAAGCCAAGGATGGTGAAACTTAAGCGGGGAATGGAGTACTAGGGCTACCTGGTATCTGTAGATGGCTACATGAACATGCAGCTTGCAAATACAGAAGAATACATAGATGGAGCATTGTCTGGACATCTGGGTGAAGTTTTAATAAGGTGTAATAATGTCCTTTATATCAGAGGTGTGGAAGAAGAGGAAGAAGATGGAGAAATGATTGGGAGGCTGAGGCGGGTGAATCACTTGAGGTCAGGAGTTCAAGACCAGCTTGGCCAACAAGGTGAAACCCCATCTCTACAAAAATACAAAAATTAGCCGGGTGTGGTGGCACATGCCTGTAATTCCAGCTACTCAAGAGGCTAAGGCAGGAGAATCGCTTGAACCCAG
Source organism: Homo sapiens (assembly GCF_000001405.40). Taxonomy (NCBI): domain Eukaryota; kingdom Metazoa; phylum Chordata; class Mammalia; order Primates; family Hominidae; genus Homo; species Homo sapiens. The sequence goes on along the minus strand of NC_000020.11, from coordinate 49,729,419 downwards.
GAGGCAGAGTTTGCAGTGGAGATCACACTACTGCACTCCAGCCTGGGTGACAGAGGAAGACTCTGTCTTAAAAAAAAAGAAAGAAAAAGAAGATGGGGAAATTAGAGAATAGCATCTTTTGTGGGGGATTTTTAAAATATATATTTCTAGACAATAAAGATTTGTTTTTCAAAAAAATAAAAATAAATGAAATACAATATTGAAACGTTAGCTCTATATTCCCTACTTACATGTTGGAGAGGGCAGGGGATGGTGGCTCACACCTGTAATTCCAGCACTTTGGAAAGCTGAGACAGGCAGATCGCCTGAGGTCAGGAGTTCGAGATCAGCCTGGCCAACATGGCGAAACCTTGTCTCTCCTAAAAATACAAAAATTAGCCGGGCGTGGTGGCACACACCTGTAATCACAGCTACTCAGGAGGCTGAGGCAGGAGAATCGCTTGAACCTGGCAGGCCGAGATTGCAGTGAGCCAAGATCGAGCCACTGCACTCCAACCTGGGAGACAGAGTGAGACTCTGTCTCAAAAAAAATAATAAAATAAAATAATTTTTTCAAAACAAAGCAAAAAAAGATTTTACTAAGTACAGTAATCTACAGTAAATCTTTTGATATATTAAAACTCATCTTATAGGGCAAGGTCAGCAAAGTACAATCCATGAGCCAAATCTGGTCTGCTACTTGTCTTTGTAAATAAAGTTTTATTGGAACAGAAACACACTCCTTTGTTTACATAGTGGCTATGGCTGCCTTTGTGATAGAATAGCAGAATTAATTGACTGTGCCAAAGATTGTACAGCCAGTAAAATAAAAAATATTTACTGTCTTGGCTGGGCACAGTGGCTCATGCCTATAATCTCAGCACTTGGGGAGGCTGAGACAGGCAGATTATTTGAGGCCAGGAGCTGGAGACCACCCTAGCCAAAATGGTGAAACCCTATCTCTACCAAAAATACAAAAATTAGCTGGGTGTGATGGCACATGGTGGTCCCAGCTACTCAGGAGGCTGAGGCAGGAGAATTGCTTGAACCCTGGAGGCGGAGACTACAGTGAGTTGAGATCAAACCACTGCACTGCAGCCTGGGCAACAGAGCGAGACTCCATCTCGAAAAAAAAAAAAATTTACTATCTCTAATCCCAGCCCTTTGGGAGGCTAAGGTGGGAGGATCACTTGAGGCCAGGAGTTTGAGACCAGCCTGGGTAATATAGTGACACCTTGTTTCTATAGAAAAAAATAAAAAATCTTTGCCAGGCATAGTGTTGTAAGTCTGTGTCCCAGTTACTTGGGAGGCTAAGGTGGGAGGATCACTTGAGCCCAAGAGGTCCAGGCTGCAGTGATCATGTGACTGCACTCCAGCCTGGGTGACAGAGTGAGACTCTTTCTCAAAAAAACAAACAAAAAAATTACTCTCTGCCTCTTTATAAAAGAACTTTGCTCACCTGTGCTCTAGTGGGAAAATATACTCTGAATTCCTTTTAATATTTAGTTTTTTTTTCTTTTCACAGCAGACTCAGCTGAATTCATAAATAGTTTCATTAATTCATTCAACCAATATTTACCAAACACCTATCAAGTGCTTAGGGTGCTAATTTAGGCACTGCGGTGCAAATATGAAAAAAAGACAGTGCTTGCCTTCAAGGACAGTCGTTCCCATCAAGAGCATTCCCCATGGCATTATGAAATCTACCCATAACCTTACATAATTTATAAGAAACCAGTTGTGTGACCTTGGGCAAATTTCTTAATCCTTCTAGACTTTTATTTCCTCATCTGCAAATGAGGGTGGCAGTAGTACTTACCTCAAAATGTTGTTGTAAAGATTAAGGGTTTTGTTTGTTCAGTGGTTTGTATTGTTTTGTTTTGAGACAGGGTCTCGCTGTGTCACCAGGATGGAGTGCAATGGAGCGATCTGGGCTCACTGCAACCCCTGCCTCCCAGGTTCAAGCCATTCTCCTGCTTCAGCCTCCTGAGTAGCTGGGACTACAGGCGCATGCCACCACGGCCCAGCTAATTTTTTGTATTTTTTAGTAGAGATGAAATTTGGCTGGCTATGTTGGCCAGGCTGGTCTTGAACTCCTGGATTCACGTGATCTGTCCCCTTTGACCTCCCAAAGTGCTGGGATTACAGGCAGGAGCCACCACACCCAGCCCATTAAGTAAATTTTTTTTTTCTTTTTTTTTGAGACGAAGTCTCACTCTGTCACCCAGTCTAGAGTGCAGTGGCAGGATCTTGGCTCACTGCAACATCCACCTCCTGGATTCAAGCAATTCTCCTGCCTCAGCCTCCGGAGTAGCTGGGAATACAGGTGTGTGCCACCACATCCAACTAATTTTTTATTTTTAGTAGAGGTGGGGTTTCACCATGTAGGCCAAGCTGGTCTTGAACTCCAGACCTCAGGGGATCCACCCGCCTCGGCCTGCCAAAGTGCTGGGATTACAGGTGTGAACCACCATGCCTGGTTGTAAATTTTTTTTTTTTTTTTGAGATGGAGTTTCACTCTTGTTGCCCAGGCTAGAGTGCAGTGGTGCGATCTCAGCTCACTGCAACCTCCACCTCCCGGGTTCAAGATATTCTCCTTCGTCAGCCTCCCGAGTAGCTGGGATTTCAGACACACACCACCATGCTCAGCTAATTTTTGTATTTTTAGTAGAGATGGGGTTTCACCATGTTGTTCGAGCTGGTCTTGAACTCCTGACCTCAAGTGATCTGCCTGCTTTGCCCTCCCAAAGAGTTGGGATTACAGGCATGAGCCACCATGTCTGGTCCATAAATTTTTAATAAAGTGCTTAGACTAGTGCCTGACACAGAGTAAGTGCTATTCAAGTGCTTTTTTAAAAAATCTTTTATTTTATTGTATTTTTTTGAGACACAGTTTCTCTCTGTCACCGAGGCTGGAGTGCAGCGGCATGATCTTGACTCACTGCACCTCTGCCTCCCAGTTTCAAGCGATTCTCCTTCTTCAGCCTCCCGAGTAGCTGGGATTACAGGCATGGGCCACCATGCCTGGCTAATTTTTGTATTTTTAGTAGAGATGGGGTTTCACAATATTGGCCAGACTGGTCTCGAACTCCTGGCCTCAAGTGATCTACCCACCTTAGCCTCCCAAAGTGCTGGGATTACAGGTGGAAGCAACCGCACCTGGCCCAAAAAAGAATTTTGAGGCTGGACACCTGTGATCCCAGTGTTTTGGGAGGCCCAAGTGGGAGGATTGCTTGAAGCCCGGAGTTTGAGACCAGCCTGGGCAACAGTATAAGACTCTGTGTCTATAATTTAAATAATAATAATAATAAATAAAAAAGATTTAATACAGGGATATAGGTGCTTACAAAATCATTAGGAGGTCTGGAAGAGTAGAAGTCAGGGGCCATTTCAGGCTTTTGATTTCAAGGTTCCTCCAGCAAGGCCTTGTTCCCAAGGTTACCAAACTGCTGCTTCCCTGCCACCACCATGGCCTCCATCCTACTACCTCACACCCTCCTAAGTGGGGACTGCACAGTGGACTCCACTGTACATGCTCCTCCCACCTGCAGAACCGCTCCCTTAGCTGACACAGCTCCAGCAAGACGACCTCTCCCTCTCTCCCATCCTCCAGATCTCATGCAAATGAATCTAACTGACAGAATTTAACTTCCCACTGTCATAGCTGCAAGAGAGCCTGTGGAATGCTGTTTTAAGCTTTTGAGCCTCTTTCAACAGAAGGAGAGTAAATGGAGGTTAAGAACATCCATCCAGGCCGGGCGGGGTGGCTCAGGCCTTTCTAATCCCAGCACTTTGGGAGGCCAAGGTGGGCAGATCACCTGAGGTCAGAAGTTCGAGACCAGCCTGGCCAACATGGCGAAATCCTGTATCTAGTAAAAATACAAAAAATTAGCCAGGCATGGTGGCATGCGCCTGTAATCCCAGCTACTCAGGAGGCTGAGGCAGCAGAATTGCTTGAACCTGGGAGGCGGAGGTTGCAGTGAGCCGAGATAGCGCCACTGCACTCCAGCTTGGGCAACAGAGCGAGACTCCGTCTTAAAAGAAAGAAAGAAAAAAAGAACATCCATCCAGAATCAAGTCCAAAAATTCTGGGAGGTTTTAGGATGGGAAAAATATTTAAGCTGGATCTTAGAGGATGAGGAGAAAGAGAACACAGTATTTCCTGGTAGCAGAAACAGAGCACCTAAAGGCATGAAGGCATTGAAAAAAAAGTTGGTGTGGTCCACAAATATCTGTTGTTTTTGCCTGCCCAGCAACAATTCCACTTGAATAATTGCACTTTGATTTCCCCTCGGGGAGCCACCCCTCCCTACATCAACCTTGTGGTTCACAGGAAGCTGATCTTGCTTCCTGGCTCCAGGGTGGGGGCAGGTTGGGGAGTGGGTATGTGACCACTTCTGTCCAATCAGCACACTCCATCCCTTTAATCACAGGGATCGGTTCGGGGAGGAACATATGAATGAAGCCAGACCAATGAGACTTTATTATAAAATTTCTTTTTTTTGGCTAAGTGACTGGGCTGGGGAATGGAAGCCTGGAGCAGCTGAGAATAAGCTGGTCAGGAGGAACACATGAATCTGATGAAACCAACTCAGAGGGAAGCAGAACTAAGATATTGAGAGAAACTAAGGCTGCTGATATCATGTGAGCCCCCCAGCTATGCCTGACTAATACACTACATCAAGAGAGTATTTCACAAGCCTGAGAGCCACTGTCCCAGGGAGCTTATAGCAGCTTTATTCCTAGTATCCTCTAACTAGAAACGATCCAAATGCCAGATGACAGCAGTTGACTGGAAAGTAAACTATGGTGTATTCACACAACAGGATACTATTCAGCAATTAAAATGAATGGTTTTACAATCTCACTCATCGGTATGCATGAATCTCACAAACATGGTGAGCAAACGGAGCCAGACAGAACAGCACAGGTCCTCCTCAACATACAGAGGAGCTACATCTTGCTAAACCCATTGTGAGCTGAAAATACCGTAAATTGAAAATGCATTAATCCACCTAACCTACCAAACATCTTAGTTTAGCCTAGTCCACCTTAAATGTGCTCGGAACACTTATATTAGCCTAAAGTTGGGTAAAATTAACACAATGCCTATTTTATAATCAAGTGTTGAATATCTCATATCATTTATTGAACACTGTACTGAAACTGAAAAACAGAGTGGTTGTATAGGTACTTGAAGTCCAGTTTCTTTCTTTTTTTTTTTTTTTGTGAGATGAAGTCTTGTTCTCTCACCCAGGCTGGAGTGCAGTGGGGCAGTCTCGGCTCATAGCTACCTCGCCTCCTGGGTTCAAGCTAATCTCCTGCCTCAGCCTCCCAAGTAGCTAGGATTACAGGTGCGCACCACCATGCCTGGCTAATTTTTTGTATTTTCAGTAGAGATGGGGCTTCACCATGTTGACCAGGCTGGTCTTAAACTCCTGACCTCAAGTGATCCACCCGCCTCGGCCTGCAAAAGTGCTGGGATTACAGGCATGAGCCACTGCGCCCGGCCTTCTTGAAGTCCAGTTTCTACTGAATATGTATCACTTTCTCACCATCATGAAATCAAAAAGTGGTATGTCAAACTATCATAAATTGGAGACCATGTACATCATATACATACACATATCATATACATATACATACCTATACATATGTGATGTACATGTATACATCATATCATGTCCTTATTTCTTGATGTGAATGTTGGTTAAATGGGTAATTCCATTTGTAAAAATTTAGCAAACTATACTTTTGTTACAATGTGTATTTTTCTGTATGTGTGCTATGATTCAATTAAAATTAAAAAAACACACTTGTAAAAACCTCAGCAGATGCAAAACTGGGGAAGGAAAGAAAGGCAGGTTAGGACTAGGTGAATTCAAGAGTCAAACTATATCATTAGGACTCAATTTCTCTTTGCTGTTTGTATCAGTCTGTTTATATGCTCATTTCATTCTCAGGTTCCACATGTTGATAAAACAGTTGCCATTGCTGTGGCCTCACAACCTGTCATGTTTATGTCTAGCATGAAAGAGAAAGTTGGCCTCTCCAAAGGCACAAAGAAAGCTGGACATTTAGCATCATTGGCTCTGGCTGGTCTGCTCAGCCCTGAACCAATCACTGTTGCAAAAGGAATATAATATTCTGACTGGCCAGGCTAGTTCATATCATGTCTGGAGATGGAAATGGAGTTAACAACCTCAGAGAACCACATAGACTGAAAACAAGGAGAGAAGGAAATCTGGCTGTTTCAGAAGTCAAGTGAATGGATGCTGGGTGACTAAAAAATTCAGTAAATACCTGGTCCCTAGATGGCAGTGGCATCATCATTATTATCATCATAATTTTCTCTTAGCATCTAGAAAAATGTCTGGCATCTAGTTTGGTACTTGATAAATATTATTATTTTTTCTTTTTTTTGAGACAGAGTCTCACTCTATCACCCAGGCTGGAGTGCAGTGGGGCGACCTTGGCTCACTGCAACCTCTGCCTTCCAGATTCAAGCGATTCCCATGCCTCAGCCTCCCGAGTACCTGGGATTACCGGCACCTGCCGCTACACCTGGCTAATTATATATATATATATATTTTTTTGTATTTTTAGTGGAGATGGGATTTCACCATGTAGGCCAGGCTGGTCTCAAACTCCTGACCTCAAGTGATCTGCCTGTCTTGGCCTCCCAAAGTGCTGGGATTACAGGTGTGAGCCACCATGCCCGGCCAGTACTTGATAAATACTAATATCTGTTGAATGAGAGAATGAGTTATATCAGGCAATACTAGGAGCAATCTTGTCATGCCTTAGGCCTTCCTCTACAGGATAGGAAAGACTGAGGAGAATTTAGAGAAGGGATATAAGTCAGTTTTTATTTTTTATTTTTATTATTATTATTATTTTTTGAAACAGAGTTTCACTGTTGTCGCCGAGGCTAGAGTGTGATGGTGTGATCTCAGCTCATTGCAACCTCTGCCTCAGCCTCCTGAGTAGCTGGAATTACAGGCGCCGGCCACCACGCCCAGCTAATTTTTGTATTTTTCGTAGAGACGGGGTTTCACCACATTGGCCAAGCTGGTCTTGAACTCCTGGCCTCAGGTGATCTGCCCGCCTTGGCCTCCCAAAGTGCTGGGATTACAGGCGTGAGCCACCATGCCCGGGTTATTTTATTTTATTTTTAATTTTTTAATTATTTTAGAGGCAGGGTCTCATAATGTTGCCTAGGCTGGAGTGCGGTGGCTATTCACAGGCGCAATCCCACAACTAATCAACACTGGAGTTTTGACCTGCTCCATTTCCAACCTGGGCTGGTTCATCCCTCCTTAGACAACCTGGTGGTCCCCCCATCCTGGGAGGTTGCTGTATTGATGCCGAACTTAGTGCAGACACCCAAATGACATAGTACACTACAACACAGAACTCTTGGACTCAAGTGATCCTCCTGTCTCAGCCCCCCGAGTAGGTGGGACTACAGGCTCATGCTACCGCGCCTGGCTATAAGTCAGTTTTTTTTGACAGCAAAGACATAGTCCTGTACAGAATCAAAGCTCTTGGAGGCCTTTGCTAACTTTTACCTTACTCTCTCTCTTCAGAGGGGATTGGTGGCAGAAGGACCAAACCCTGGAAAATTCTGATTACAGTAACGGTGGGTGAAGCAGGAAATAAAGGAAGCCCTCCTTCACTGCTGCTAGGAATATAAATTGCTACAAGCATTTTTGAGAACAATTTGGAAAATAGTAAAGCAGAAGATATGCATACCTCACCTGTTCACCAAATCCTCTCTTGTAAACCATGTGACCTGGAGACATTTTTGCCACATGCACAAATTACATACAGACGCGTGTTGAGCCAGTTGCAGTGGCTCATGCCTGTAATTCCAACACTTTGGGAGGCCGAGGCAGGGGGCTGCGGGGAATCACTTGAGGTCAGGAGTTCGAGACCCGCCTGGACGACACGACGAAACCCTGTCTCTATTAAAAATACGAAAATTAGCTGGGCGTGGTGGCGTGCACCTGTAATCTCAGCTACTTGGGAGACTGAGGCAGGAGAATCACTTGAAGCCAGGAGGCAAAGGTTGCAGTGAGCTGAGATTGCACCACTGCACTTCAGCCTGGGTAAAAAAGCAAGACTCCCTCTCAAAAAAAAAAAAAAAAAAAAGCGTGTTGCTCCAGTTACTACTGCTGCAGCATAACAAATTATCCCAAATTTAGTTGTGTAAAACAATAACCATTTTATCATTTTGGAAAGGGCACAGTGGGACAGCTTGTCTGGGGCTTTAGATGGGAAGGTTTAAAGGGTGAGGATGACTTGACAGCTGGGAGTTGGGACATCTAAAGCCTTGTTCTCTGACATGCTTGGTGGCTGATGCTGGCTGTCATCTGGAACCTCTGCCAGGGCTGCTGACCAGAGCATCTGTATGTGGCCTCTCCACTTGGCCTGGGCTTCTTCACAGCATAGGGGTTCCAGGCTCCAAAGGTGAGTGTCCCAGTGATCAAGTCAGAAGCTGCATTGCCTCACAAATTGTGCAGCATCATTTCCATCTTTTTTTTTTTTTTTTTTTTTTTTTTTTTTGAGACAGAGTCTCACTTACTCTGTCTCCCAGGCTGGAGTGCAGTAGGGCAATCTCAGAATCTCGGCTCACTGCAACCTCCACCTGCCAGGTTCAAGCTATTCTCTCACCTCAGCCTCCTAAGTAGCTGGGATTACAGGCATGCACCACCACGCTTGGGCTAATTTTTGTATTTTTAGTAGAGATGGGGTTTCACCATGCCAGCCAGGTTGGTCTTGAACTCCTGACCTCAGATGATCCACCTGCCTCAGCCTCCCAAAGTGCTGGGATGACAGACATGAGCCACTATACCTGGCCATTTTCATCTTTTTATTGGTTATAGATGATTCACAATCCCACCCAGATTCACAGGAAGAGGAATTAGAGAAAGTTCTAGAAGAGCATGAGGACAGGAAATATTGTTGAGGGCATCTTTGGAAAATACATTCTGCCACACGCATACATCGCAGTCATGTTTGTGCCTGTCCACCATCCCTTATCCAAAGCCGTTGGGGCTAAACGTGTTTTGAATTTTAGAAATTCTTAGAATTTTGAGGCCGGGCGTGGTGGCTCATGCCTGTAATCCCAGCACTTTGGGAGGCCGAGGTGGGTGGATCACCTGAGGTTGGGAGTTAGAGACCAGCCTGACCAATATGGTGAAACCCTGTCTCTACTAAAAATGCAAAATTAGCCGGGCATGGTGGTCCATGCCTGTAATCCCAGCTACTTAGGAGGCTGAGGCAGGAGAATTGCTTGAATCTGGGAGGCGGAGGTTGCGGTGAGCCGAGATCAGGCCATTGCACTCCAGCCTGGGCAAAAAGAGTGAAACTCCGTCTCAAAAAAGAAAAAAAAAAAGAAATTCTTAGAATTTTGAAAGACAATATGGTGCATTCATGAAATCTCCTATCATACCCCTTGAGAGGACTGGTTCATCCTGTAAGCAAAAATCTAAACTCGGTATGGTGGCCCATGCCTGTAGTACCAGCTGTTCAGGAGGCTGAGGCAGGAGGATCGATTGAGCCCAGGAGGTTGATGCTGCAGTGAGCTGTGATTGCGCCTCTGCACTCCAGCCTGGGCGACAGAGGGAGACCCTGTCTCAAAAAAAAAAAAAAAAACAAAACAAAACAAAACAAAAAAAAAAACACTAAATATTTCCTCAGTGGAACATATGAATATTCACATTAAGTGGCATAATGATTATAAATAGCTTTCTGTCTATTCAGGTCAGGTTTTGCCACTAAAGAAGTTCAAATCAGGTCAGATCTTGCTGCTAAATAAATTATAAAAAGCCTTCCATTTTTAGGTTTCCTGGAATTTGAATTGTAGCTAAGGATTTATGGACCAGTATGAGGAAAAAATTGGAACAAACTTAAATAGACATCATTAGGAAAAAGGATTTTAAAAGGTGAGGCCAAGTTATATGATAAAATATTACACAGCAGTGAAAATGAATAAACTTGAGCCACATGTATCATTATGGAAATATCTTATAAAAATAATGTCAGGAGAAAGCAAGTTGCAGAACGGTATATTTATGATAAGTAAGGATAGGCCAGGTTTTCTGTATTAAAAATAGCCCTTGGCCTGGCGCGGTGGCTCATGCCTATAATTCCAGCACTTTGGGCGGCCGAGGCGGGCAGATCACTTGAGGTCAGGAGTTGGAGACCAGCATGGCCAAGATGGTGAAACCCTGTCTCTACTAAAAATACAATAATTAGCTGAGCATGGTGGTGCACGCCTGTAGTCCCAGCTACTTGGGAGGCTGAGGCAGGAGAATCACTTGAACCCAGGAGGCAGAGGTTGCAATGAGTTGAGATCATGCCACTGCACTCCAGCCTGGGCAACAGAGCAAGACTTGTCTCAAAAAAAAAAAGCCCCTATATCTCAGAGGCTTTATTTATTGCTCATGCTACGTGTCATTGTTGGCAAAATGGAGTTGGGAGCATCTCCTCCTCATTCTGGAACTTAGCTGGTGGGTGGCTGCTCTGAACAACATTGATGGTTATTTGATAGAAGGAAAAGTAGAGGGAAGGATGCACCGGCTTTTTTTATTTTTATTTTTTTTCTTGAGACGGAGTTTTGTTCTTTATTGCCCAGGCTGGAGTCCAGTGGCACGATCTCAGCTCACTACAACCTCCGCCTCCTGGGTTCAAGTGATTCTCCTGTCTCAGTCTCCCGAGTAGCTGGGATTACAGGTGCCCACCACCACACCTGGCTAATTTTTGTATTTTTAGTAGAGACGGGGTTTCACCATGTTGGCCAGGCTGGTCTCAAACTCTTGACCTCAGGTGACCTGCCCATCTCAGCCTTCCAAAGTGCTGGGATTACAGGCATGAGCCACCATGCCCTGCCGGATTGTTTTCTTTATGTGTGTGATTTCAGCTAGCCTGCAATTGGGTGTTGACAAGCACAAGAGGCCCAACCTGTGCTCTCCTGAGATTTCACCAAGGACCTCCCTTTCTTTAGGCCACTCCCCTGCGCTAAAACCTTCAAGGGCTCTCTATGGCTCAGAGGAAAAAGTTAAGAATAGTGATGGCTCCCATGGATTGAGCACTTCCTACATATCAGGCCCTTTATAGAGATACTATTTGTAATCTGTGCACAATCCTAGAAAGAAGGAACTGTCTGATCTCCATTTTACAGATGCGGAAATGGAGGTTCCGAGAGGTGAAGTGACTTGCCAAGATGACAGAGTGAGGGCAGGGAGGAAGGAAGACTGGCAGCCAGATCCATCTAATTCCAGGGCCCATGCTGAGCCACAGGGTCAGGCCTCACTCCTCCAGCCTCACCCCTCACCTCTTTCTTTTCCTTGGCAGGACTAGCTGCTCCAACCAGGCAGGCCTCTTCTCACTGCCCCTTGAGCAAACCTGTCTCAATGTCCCTTCAAAGACCATCTAGAATCTCACAGAACACCTTTTCCTACTGCCAGCCATGCTGAGTCCTGCCCTTATGACAGTGTCCCTCAGTTAGTCACTTTCCTGTAGCTCATATGTCACTAGGCTGCAAGAATGTCTTAGTCATCTTTGCATCTGCCATGCCCAGCACACAGTCACTGCACACCTGTCGTCCTTCAACAATTATTCAGCGCCTACTGGCTGCTGAGCACTGTGCTAGGTGCAAGGATACAGCAGAGAGTGAAACCAAATCCCTGCTCTCGTGAAGTTTACATTCTGATCTGGGAGAAGAAAATGAACAAGTAAACGCGTATATGTATAGTAGAATGTCAGGGGATAAAAAGTGCTATGGAGAAAAATCAAGCTGAGGAAGGCTATGGATAGAGAGTGCTGGGATGGGGAGAAGAAAGCTACTTTAGAGGAAAGGTCTTTTTGAGACGGTAACATTTGAGCAGAGATTAGAATACAGTGAGTTTGTCTGAGGAGCTGAATAGTCAAATGAATATATAATGAATACATGCTTTAGTGAGTTGGAAACCTAACTTGGAGATGAAAAAGTAGTGTGGAGGAAGGAGTTTGAGGTAGGGATCCCTGGATACTCCTGACATACTTCTTTTTCTTCCATTTAAAAACATAAACTGCCGGAGGCGGTGGCTCATGCCTGTAATCCCAGCACTTTGGGAGGTCGAGGCAGGCAGATTACCTGAGGTCAGGAGTTCGAGACCAGTCTGACCAACATGGTGAAACCCTGTCTCTACTAAAAATGCAAAATTAGCCGGGCATGGTGGCGTATGCCTGTAATCCCAGCTACTTGGGAGGCTGAGGCAGGAGAATCTCTTGAACCTGGAAGGCGAAGGTTGCGGTGAGCAGACAATGTGCCATTGCACTGCAGCCTGGGCAACAAGAGCGAAACTCCACTGAAACAAACAAACAGACAAAAACCATAACCAGTTTATTTATTTATTTTTGAGACGGAGTCTTGCTCTGTCGCCCAGGCTGGAGTGCAGTGGTATGATCTCAGCTCATTGCAACCTCCACCTCCAGAGTTCAAGCGATTCTTGTGCCTCAGCCTCCCAAATAGCTGGGATTACAGGCTGCCTGACACCGTGCCTGGCTAATTTTTGTATTTTGCATTTTTTTTTTGAGGTGGAGTCTCACTCTGTTGTCCAGGCTGGAGTGCAATGGCACGATTTTGGCTCACTGCAACCTCTGCCTCTGCCTCCCAGGTTCAAGCAATCCTCCTGCCTCAGCCTCCCGAGTAGCTGGGATTACAGGCACGTGCCACCACGCCCAGCTAATTTTTGTATGTTTTAGTAGAGATGGGGTTTCATGTTGTTGGCCAGGCTGGTCTCAAACTCTTCACCTCAAGTGATCTGCCTGCCTCGGCCTCCCAAAGTGGTGGGGTTACAGGCGTGAGCCACTGTACCCGGCCTAAAACATAACCAATTTATTTTGATGCCTTGTTATTTCAGATAGGTCAGAAATAGAGACTGATCATTGGTACATAGTTTAAATGTAGGAAGGTTTCTCTTTCTCTGTCTATCCAGAACAGACTGGATGTTACAGAATGTTATGGTATAATTGTTAATTCTCTTAGTATTACTGTGGTTTTGAAGGATAATGTAATTTTCCTTAGGATTTGCTACTGAAGTATTAAGGCATGAAGTACTAGTAAGGCAACAACTTACTTTTTTTTATTGTTTTTTTGAGTCAGGGTCTCACTCTGTCTCCCAGGCTGGAGTGCAGTGGCGCTATCTTGGCTCACTGCAACCTCCACCTCCTGGGCTTAAGAGATCCTCCCACCTCAGCCTCCCAAGTAGCTGGGACTATAGGCACACGTCATCACGCCCAGCTAATTCTTTTGTATTTTTTGTGGAAATGGAGTTTTGCCATGTTGGCCAGACTGATCTCAAACTCCTGAGCTCAAGCGATCCATCTGCCTTTGCCTCCCAAAGTGCTGGGATTACAGGTGTAATCGCCCAGCCTACCTTTAAATATTTAGCAAAAAATAAAAATTTTCAACATATGAATATAGATACATACATGTGGAAAAATGATAACAATGATCAAATCCAGGTGGGGAGTGTACAGATGTTTCTTGTACTATTCTTTCAACTTTTCTGTATGTTTGAAAATGTTTCATAGATACGAGGGTTGGGAGGGGCCATTGTGTGGGCCAACAAAAACTATTTGCAAGTTAGATGATTCCGGCTAGTCTGGGATTTCTGGTCCAGGGCCTTACCTGCACTATTTCATCGAATCCACATCACATCCCCGTGGGGTGGGCAGCACTGGGTCCGATTCACAGGTGATGAATAGAGAAGCTCAGAGAGGTAAGTGACTTTCCCAGAGTCACACAGCCAGGAGATGCCAAGCCGAGATTTGAACTCACATCTATCTGAGTCAAAATTCTCTGCTTTCCTTTTTGATCGTTTAAGCCTCTTCTCTTCCACCATACCATTCTCCAGGGGTATTGAATTAGGTGACAGCTAAGCACTCTTACTATGTGCACTTTGCATGTATTACTTAAATCCTCGCAACAACCTGATGAGGTTGCTAATAACCTCCTCCATTTTACCGAGGCACAGAGAGTTTAACTTGCGTGAGGTCACACAGCTAACAATGGAAAAGCTGGGAGTCAGAGAACCTGGGCAGTGTGGCTCTAGACTCCCCACTTAAAGGATCAAAGAAACACTGTAAAAAGTAGAAATCACTTTAGGAATATAAATCAGAATTATTGTTGATTCTCACAGAATCCCTGCAAAGTCCTCTCCCCTCCCCACTGCTTCTGGCATTCCAAGACAGTACCCTAGTTTCAGATATGTCTACACAGGGACACTGGCCTCCTCAGTCCAGCTCCTTGAGGCTACTGCTTCTTGCCATAAATTTCTAGGACTGTTCATTGCCTTCTGAGGTCCTTTGAGCTGATGCTGATCTGAAAGCATTTTTTTGGATATGGTCCCATACCCAGGTGATGGGGATAGGATACCGATTTGCCTGCAGGATAAGAATTAGAGGTCATACAGACTGCTGAGACAGTTACAACCTAGAGGTCAAGGGCCTGACATGGGAGACAGGCCAGTTTTGATTTAAGCCCTTACTGCAAGGCTTGGGTGAATTGCCTTTCCATCTAGAAACCTCAGTTTCCTCATTTGTATGATAGTAATAATAACAGCACACATCTCAAGACTGGTGGGGGAATTTCATGGCATGAGTGAAGTCCATGTTTCTCAGCAGAAGTCTAGAGACATTGACAATTGTTATCATTATGCTATTTCTGATACAGTAGGATCCCTGACTACAGCTCCAAGCTCATCCCTATTTCCCCCCCTACTTCACTGGATTTTATCCATGTTGGCCTTGGATTCAACTCGGGGGCAGATCAGCCCTTTTCCTACCTCAGGGCCTTTACACCTGCTGTTCCCCCTGGTATGACTGCTTTTTCCCCAGCTTATTCAAAAAAGCTGGCGCTTTCTCACCCTTTTATATCTCAGTTCGTGTCACTGCTCAGTGAGGCCTTCCTTGACCACTCCAGCCTGCCTGCAATACATCCTCCTGTTTTATCGTATTCATATGTGTTACCAGTACCTGATATTACTAGCTGATTTGTTTCTTTTATCTCTCACATAATGTAAGTTTCAAGTAGACAGAGATTTTTATCGTTTTTTTTCTCTGTAGCATGCCCAGCGCCAACAACTGTGTCTGGCATTCAATAAATAAATGGTGAATTGAATGAATGAATGAATGAATGAATGAGGGTGTATACCAGGCCGAACCCCCAAGCCTTGCAGTCCCCACTCTTCTGCTGCAGTGGGCAACGAGATGAGTCAGACTTTGTAGATGGCCCCTTGGCCCCCGAGATGGGGGACGAGCTAGCGCGGAGCACTTGGGAGACATTCCCCGAAAGCCTGGGCGGTGGCCGCACTGGGAGAGGGTCTGTCGCCATTTGGCGATTACTCCATGCGGGCTGCTGTGGGCGCCGAGCGAGGGTCGGCGGCGAGCGCAAGCGCGCGGGTCTTTTGCGACGGTGCCCGGCGGCACTGGCCCCGCCTCCCGCGCGTGCGCCCCGCCTCCGCCCCCGCCGCTGCGCCCGCTCGGGGCCGCTCTGGCCCCCGCCCGCTTCATGTGGCCCGGCCCGCGACGGCCGGCGGCTGGGAGCGGCGAGGCGGCGGCGGCGGCGAGTGGCGGCCCGCGAGGCCCGGGAGGCGGTGGCCGAGGCCCAGGCGGTGGCGGCGGCGGCCCAGGAGGCGGCGGACGGGGAGCTGCGGGAGCAGGCCCGGCCTGGCTCTCTAGCGGCCGCCTGGCTGCAGCATGCGCGCCCGCCGGGGGCTGCTGCGGCTGCCGCGCCGCTCGCTGCTCGCCGCGCTCTTCTTCTTTTCTCTCTCGTCCTCGCTGCTGTACTTCGTCTATGTGGCGCCCGGCATAGGTAGGAAGGGGGCTTGGGACCGCGGCGGCTGCCGCTCTGGCCTTGAGGGACCCGGGGAATCCCCGCCCCTCCCTAAGGGGCCCCGGCCGGGAGGCGGCCCTGAGCCTGGTCCTCCGAAGACTCCGGAGTCCTGGCCCGGCTCTCGGGGACGCCAGGACATTCCTGCCCTCCGCACCCCAACAGGCGCCCGGGATCCCTCTCCCGCGCCAGCCTCCGGCCCACCCCGCCCCTCCTAACGCCACCCTCGCGAACCCGACTGTACCTTCACGCCCGCCCCTTGCTCCGGAACCCCCTTCCCGCTCTTGCCTCGCTGGAACTCCCACTTCCCGCTCCTCTGCTCGAGAACTCCCGCTTCCCCTTCCCTTCCCCGGGGTCTCCTCGAACCCCCATTCCCGGCATTCCCCGCACCCCAGTCCCCCGCGGCGCGCCCGCTCTTCGCCGAGCCCATGTGCCCGGGTCCCAGGCCGCCCCACCTTCTAGCTCCCATCCATCCTCCCCCACTCCCCATGACTCCATCGTTTCCTGCTCCCGTGAGCCCCCTCCCTCCCCTTTCTTCCTCTACTTCCCCTATTACATCCACCTCCAGGTCCTCCTCCCTAACTCACGTTCACCTCTTCAGTGGCCTGATCTCTCTGCCTGCCGGTGGCACCCCCCTTCCCCTTACAGAGGTCCACCCCCATTCAATCTCCTGCTAATCCCCTGAGCGTCCCATGCCTCTTCCCCATCTCCCCCCCCCCCACCTCGCGTACCCACAAGGGCACATCCTTGTCACCTTTGCCCCCAGCCCCCCAGACTTTCAGCCACAGCTTCTTTCTCAACTGAAGACCTGGGGAAGGGGTGCTGTCTGTGTTCTTTCTTCCACTTCTGCCCTCTCCTAGCCTTGAGGGTAGATGGTGTGGTTCTTCAGTATTGGATAGTGCCTGCTCTGCGGACAAAGGAGAAGTTTAAATTGTCCGTAGAGAAGGGGATATGATTGGGGCCTTTGGGAAATGGTACCAGGTGAGAAGGGGGAGCATGGAGGAAAGATGTAATGGGTACTCCTTCTTTTCAAAGTCTTATCCTTTAAAGGAAAGGCGGTCTCTGGAGAAACTGACCCTCCCACCCCTCCCCCGCCTGCCCCAAGCATAGTCTTTTATAAGACCACAGGGCACCAGTTAGGACAGGAAGAGATCAGAAGGAAAGACAGCATGAAGGTTAAGAGCGGAGGACACAGAGGTCAGACTTGGATTCCAATCTCTGCCCTGTATGACCTTGGGCAGGTTACTAAGCCTTTGCATTTCTCCTCTGTAAAATGGGAATGTGAGTCCCAATCTCATACAGTGTTAAGGATGGAAGTAGATACATGTTCTTTAAAAGCACTTACCACTGTACCTGGTGCTTGAAGAGTTTTAAAAATAAGTAAATAAAGGCAGCTATTACATGTAACTTCCAGGAAGAAGGGAGTTAGGTGGAACGCTTAAGGAATGTGTTTGCCTGACTTGGCATCACTATGAGGAAACCTCAGTTTATGGTGAAAAATGATCAGAAGATGCTGCTGGGGTAGGGGCAGGGAGAGTAAATTCTGCTAGAAAAATTTTGGATTATATGGATTTTAGGAAAGGGTTGATGGTTTAGCTGTAGGGAAATGCCTTTTAGGATTGTAGCAATAACTAGTGCCATTCTCTGTTGACCTGTCAACGCAGAACTAGCTGAATAGAGAAATTTCCAGATAGAGCAGGAGATCGTCTCCTGATTATTTTTTAAGCATATTTTACTTGTGGTTAATGTTGATGTTTTGAACTATCAACTAGATCTGGGAAGATAGAACAGGCAGCATCAGATTGCCTTGTTTACAAAGTGTCATCACGAAAAGTGTTCCTCTAGGAAGGCATAATATGTGGCCTGATGGATTTGATGAGTAGATTGTAAAAGGGTTGGGATTCTGGCAGAACAAGAAGAGATAACTAATTAGTGGAATTAACTGAGAAAAGAGTTCATTAGCATGTTGGCTATTAGACTCTAATAAAAATGGGTGTGAAAAGATGGGATTTGGACCTAGAGGCAGTCTTAGAGCCATAATCCTTTTTTTCTCCTTTTGTGAAAGTGACAGGTACTTCTGGTCTGAGTCCATAAATCAGCTATATCTAAATGGAAAACTATATCCCACTGGGATGGTAATCACCCTTTTGATAGAAAGGTTAGAAGCCAGATTCTTCAACAGAAATGGAACTTATCAATTTAATTAAGATTCCTCAACAGTAGATTTTTAGGTCAGTGGAACCCCTGTGTAAAGCGATGTGCTACTGCCATGCCTAGAATCCTATATCACTGATAGCTGAAAAAGAGGCAGAGCACTTACATTTTCATTAGTACTGTATCCCCTTGAATGTAAGCCTTCTGAAGGGGAATTCTACTTAGGATGGAAATTTTGTTCGTGAGAAAGGGGAACAATAAAAAAAGGATGTGGAGTAGTTACATTTAGCTGTTTGCCCTTCCTACTAATTTTTTTTTTTTTTTTTTGATAGAGAGTCTCTGTTGCCCAGGCTGTCGTGCAGTGATGCTCATAGCTTACTGCAGCCTTGATCTCCTGGGCACAAGGGATCCTCCTCCCTCAGCCTCCTGAGTAGCTGGGACTCCAGGTACATGCCACCCTGCCTGGCTAACTTTTAAAACAGTTTTTTGTAGAGACAGGATCTCACTATGATGCACAGGCTCTGTTGAACTTAAATTTTTAGAATGTCTAGCTTTGGACAGTGGGGCGGCAAATTTTTTCAAGGTTAAGGCAATCTGGAGAAATAGAAGGTTGTTTTGTGTTCCTTGGGTTATGAAGACCTTATTTGAATAGTTATTAAAATGAGCTTAGAAAATAATACTAGGTTGGCTGGGTGTGGTGGCTCACACCTGTAATCCCAGCACTTTGGGAGGCTAAGGTGGGTGGATCATGAGGTCAGGAGTTCAAGTCCAGCCTATCCAAGATGGTGAAACCCTGTCAGTACTAAAAATACAAAAATTAGCCGGGCGTGGTGGCAGGTGCCTGTAATCCCAGCTACTCAGGAGGCTGAGGCAGGAGAATCACTTGAACCCAGGAGGCAGAGGTTGCTGTGAGCCGAGATTGCGCCATTGCACTCCAGCCTGGGTGATAGAGTGAGACTCTGTCTCATACACACACACACACACAAAAAAAAAAAAAAGAGAGAGAAAATAACAGAAAATAACATTAGGTTGAGCCATATGAAATTTCTGTTTTTGCAGGTCAAAAACAGTTGTATATCAGCAGTTTCATGTAGTTCACTTTAATAAATTTCCCAATGACAATTCTGTTTTCTGGCACAGTGGAATTATTGGACTTATATTTCCTTCTAGGTTTAACTTTTTCCAGTGCTTGCTTTTGATTTGCTTTGTATACCCTGTGGCTACATTGTGCTCAAGGGCTAGAGATATCATCACTCCAAGAGATTCAGAAATAGTAGACTTGAATTTGAAATAAGAAAAATCATGTAGCTATAAATGTTATGAATTGTCCATGTATACTGTAACCCAGCCAAAATTTCAGCCTAACCATTAACTTAGTATTTTTGAGCTCTAATGCCACTTAATGTGGGTGACCCGTATTCTAAGAGCAAAGGAAACTTTTCTTGGACTTGAGAGTCATCCGTGAAATGGGGTACCATCTCACATAGAAAATTGGATATGAGGAAAATTACTAAATAAGACTATTAATAGTGTGTTTGCAAAAAATATAAAATGCCCTCAGCTACTATAATAATACCATTTGATCCATTTAATGTTTTAAAAATACGACTTCGTTGGAATTTTTTTTTTTTTTTTGAGACGGAGTTTCGCTCTTTTGCCCAGGCTGGAGTGAAATGGTGTGATCTCAGCTCACTGCAACCTCTGCCCCCCAGGTTCAAAGGATTCTC
Source organism: Homo sapiens (assembly GCF_000001405.40). Lineage (NCBI taxonomy): Eukaryota > Metazoa > Chordata > Mammalia > Primates > Hominidae > Homo > Homo sapiens. The sequence goes on along the minus strand of NC_000020.11, from coordinate 49,709,676 downwards.
CTGCTTCAGCCTCCAGAATAGCTGGGATTATAGGCGCTTGCCACCACTGGCTAATTTTTGTATTTTTAGTAGAGATGGGGTTTTACCATGTTGGCCAGGTTCGTCTCGAACTCCCGACCTCAAGTGATCCACCCACCTCAGTCTCCCAAAGTGCTAGGATTACAGGCGTGAGCCACCGTGCCTGGCCGGGAGTTGTGTTTGTATTGTTAATTTTGGAAGTAGTGTTTTATATCAGCAATTTAAAAGGAGAAGGTTGGGACAGAAAGTGAGAGAGTGAAAGAGAGAAAGTGGTGGATTTGATAAGGAGCAAGGTAATAATGTTGCATAAAAATGTGATGTCCCTTCTCTTCAACCCTCTACCCTCTGGCCTTTATGATTCTCATTTATTTAATCACTTGTTTTATTTGCAATGTTGAAATATCCCTATTCCCTTCAGGGTTCTGCAGAAAACTTTTGAACTTATTTATGACCTGTTAACTTAAAAAAAAATCCGAGAGCTCAGAGTACTTCCGTACTCCAGTCTGATCAGGTCTTTTAAAAGATAACAGAAGCGAGCTATTTATAAATATACATATGAGGTGCTGATTTAAAATCTTAATAAGTTTATGGTACCATCATATGGCAAGGTTGTGTAGAGGTTACTGACCTTAGCAAATTGTCGAAACAGTTATCGGTTTCAAGAGAGGTGCCTGTGCATGGTTAGGGGTAATTGTTTATGCATTGATGACTTTTTTTTTTTTTTTTTGAGATGGAGTCTCGCTCTGTTGCCCAGGCTAGAGTGCAGTGGCGCAATCTCAGCTCACTGCAACCTCCGCCTCCTGGGTTCAAGCAATTCTCCTGCCTCAGCCTCCTGAGTTGCTGGGATTACGGGCACCTGCCACCACACCCGGCTAATTTTTGATGGGGTTTCACCATGTTGGTCAGGCTGGTCTTGAACTCCTGACCTCGTGGTCTGCCCACCTTGGCCTCCCATAGTGCTGGGATTACAGACATGAGCCATTGCGCCTGGCCGATGACATTTTATTAATTGAAATTCTGTTCTACATTTAAACTAATTTTTCTCTTTCCTTGATTACTGAAGAAAAGAGATGGGGAATGATTTTGACATTTTTGGCCTGCTTAGTTCCAAGAGAAATTTGATTTATGGCTGGCTTTTGGAAGGCAGGAGCCAGTAATTCTAATCTTACCTGATTTGATCGAATGACCTTGAGCAAGTGACTTGATTTCAATGATCTGATACTTTCAAAAAATCCCAAAGCCCTTTGAAAAACTAGAACTGCATCTTAGTCAATCTTTTAGAGAATTTTTAAGAAATCATACCTCAATAAAGCTAGTGAGATGCTTTCATATATAGAATGTTGATAATTCATTTACATTCTACATAAACATTGGTCCTAAGATTTTAATTTATTTTTATCTTACTATTTTTTGAGATGAAGTCTCTCGCTCTGTCACCCAGGCTGGAGTGCAGTGGTATGATCTTGGCTCACTGCAACCTCTGCCTCCTGGGTTCAAGTGATCCTCCTGCCTCAGCTTCCCAAGTAGCTGGGATTACAGGCGCCTGCCACCATGCCCAGCTATTTTTTTTTTTTTTTTTGTATTTTTAGTAGAGACGGGGTTTTACCATGTTGGCCAGGCAGGCTGGTCTCAAACTTCTGACCTCAGATGATACGCCCACCAAAGCCTCCCAAAGTGCTGGGATTAGAGGTGTGAGCCACCGTGCCCGGCCATTCCTAAGATTTTAGACAAAAAAAAAAAAAAAAGGCTGGGCAAGGTGGCTCATGCCTTTAATCCCGGCACTCTGGGAAGCCAAGATGGGCGGATTCCTTGTGTCCAGGAGTTCAAGACGATCCTGGGCAACATAGTGAAACCTCGTCTCTACTAAAAATACAAAAAAATTAGTTGGATGTGGTGCCTGCCTGTAATCCCAGCTACTCGGGAGGCTGAGGTCAGAAGATCACCTGAGCCTGGGAGGTCGAGGCTGCAATGAGCCATGATTGAACCACTGCACTCTGTCTGGGTACCCAGAGTGAGACCCTGTCTCCAAACAACGATTTTAGAGAAGATACATGTTTTATATAATCAAATACAACTTTTCCTAATAACCACATGAAAATTTCAGATTTTCCCCATTCAAGTGTAGTCTGAAAATAGCCTTTTTTTTTTCTTGACATGAAAAAGCCCTCTGAATCCCTCAGCACACTCAGTTTCTGAGCTTTCTAGAATGAAATACATATGGGGAAATATGGGTTACTTCACTTCAGAGAATTAAAGAGCCTTATCCCGTGAAGGACACCTTTTTTTTTTGCTCCAAATCCACATGCACTCTTGCGCACATATTTGAGTATAGTGTTGTCCCTTCTTCTTAGGAGGAAGCCGTGTTTGGAGAACAGGTTGATGTTACAAAAGTAAACAGCACCACTTTTGACCAGGACTTTGGTGATGTTTTATGTTCTCTTTGTGGAGTTTTTGCTATATTGGAAGCCAGGTCTTGGGTTTGGAGTTGAAATTTTCTTTAGTAGAAAGAAAGTGGTTGGTTTTGGATAGTCTCAGCCATTCAAACAGTATTAATTACTGTTCCAGGATACCTAGCCGGCAGATGATTCTGTTCCAGCATCAACTCCCCCCGCCCCAGCTGAACAGGCCAGTGGGAGCCTTGTATAATAATCACCAGGAAGGAGGGGCTCTGTGTTGCCATGCCTCTTTAGAGCTCTCTGAGAGAGCAGAAATTCCAAAGCAGCAGAAGGCCAGAATACAATTGACTTCTTGCTTCCCTAAATTTTGCTGCTTTTTAGATCTTGGAAGTATGTTCGGCACATCTAATCACATAAGGCAAAGAAAAACCTTAGCACGTAAGAAGTGAGCAATGTAATGCTGCTGAGGCCTGTCAGAGAAATAGAGAAAAAGGGAGGTTACCACTGGCTAAGACAAACAGATAATCGTAAGCAAGCAGGTTGGGTGTGGGCTGAAGAGAAGAGGCAGGCCTATGTGCACTGTGGGGAAAAGGGCAGTTGTTCTTCACTTTCTAGTAGCCAATAAAGGTATGCTTGCCTTTGCACACGAGTTATGTTTTGTAGAAAATTGTGAGGAAAAATTAATGGGATTTTAAGATCCACTTAAAATCCTGGAGCTACCCAGGTACCCAGCATTTGAGTGTCATGTTATCAGTTATGGGAGATCTTTGAATTCTAAACTTTTGACTACATCTGTCAATTTATAGATGATCATATAAGTCAAGTTGAGTCATTAACTTGCCCAAAGTTGAGAATTATTAAGATATTCCTGAAGCACATACAATGTGGTTGAAAAGAGATCTGGGTTCAGATCAGCTTGGAGTGGGCAGATTCATTTTGTTTTCAAATAGAGGATACTACCTTTCTCAGGCTACTTGTCAGAATTAAGTAGAATATGCACATAAAAGGGCTTAGCACAGAGCTTGACACAAAGGTCCTTATGTTTATGATTTTTTTTTTTTTTTTGAGATGGAGTTTCGCTCTCTTGTTGCCCAGACTGGAGTTCTATGGTGCGATCTTGGCTCACTGCAACCTCCGCCTCCTGGGTTCAAGTGATTCTCAATCTGCTTCACCCTCCTGAGTAGCTGGGATTACAGGCACCTGCAACCATGCCCAGCTAATTTTTTTTTTTTTTTTTGTATTTTTAGTAGAGATGGGGTTTCACCATGTTAGCCAGGCTGGTCTCTAACTCCAGACCTCAGGTGATCCGTCCTCCTTGGCCTTCCAAAGTGCTGGGATTACAGGTGTGAGCCACTGCACCCGGCCTTATGATTCTTATTTATAACCATAGGAGGTGCCCTCTTGGTCTCATGCTCATATTAAACTGAGATTAGGTTTGGGCTCCTGTCTGACTTTACCAATAACTAGGTATGAATTTTTTTTCCTGTTTTCTGTGAACTGAGGAGACTGGACTATTGTGCAGATTCTAGGGTCCCTTTCAGATCTGAAGTTTCATGATTCTGAGCATGTGTGAATTGAACCTTTGAAGTAAAGAAGGAATCATTTTGTCAAGTAAAGACACTGTCTTTTAAAGTTCTGATTTCCCGTTGACTTCATCTCCTCCCCAGACTGCTGCGGTGAGAATGGTGACATGCTTGTGTGTAATCTTCAGACTTTATAGTTTCAGTCTTTGGGGTGAATGGCAAGGTCCCCACTGTGCAGTGCCATTGCTTTCGGACATTAGCCTGGGAACTCCAGACTTCGTGTCTCTACATGGAAATCTGTCTTTGAAATCATTGTCACTAAGGAAGGGAGGGAAAATTGTGCTGTCTTGGTCAAAGGAAAGAAAATCAGAAAGAATTTTTGGAAATATCTTTGGGATGTTAAGACCATTTTTTCCTTTTTTTGGACCATTTTTTTTGTCCTGTGGGCTAATCCTTTTACATTTTGATCTGCTAAGCCAGTCCTTTCCTCTGGCTTCACACTTCAGCTTTTAAGTGTGAAATAGAGCCCCAGACTCATTACCTCAATCCTCTAGGTAGTTGGATGTTAAATGAAAATGAATATTGCATTTGGATTCAGTAATTCTTTTTATATGGTGCCTTTTATACTGAGGAGCATTCCAGCTCCTGCTGGTTGCATGAATTCAGTGTTTTCCCAAGCATGGGAATCACATTAAATAATTTAGAGTGCTGCCCCTTCTCTACTTCCTCTTTTTTTTTTCTCCTTTTGTTAGTTTGAGTAAGCAATTATTAGACCCTGGGTATTGTTCCTCTGCCTTTGCAGGTGACGGAGCTACCCAGGTACTTTGCAGCAATCAGAAGCGAACCTGTTCATTGTTTCTGAGGCACCTTCATTACTGTCATCAATTATGAACAGTTCTCTTAGGTGGTTAGTAGCCTAATTATAAAGATGAAAAATATTGTGGAGTATTGGGTACCGGAAAGAGTAGGTTGTAAGACAGCAATGTTGTGGTTTTTTTTTGTTTTTTTTTGTTTTTTTTTTGAGACAGAGTCTTGCTCTGTCGCCCAGGCTGGAGTGCAGTGGCGGGATCTCGGCTCACTGCAAGCTCCGCCTCCCGGGTTCACGCCATTCTCCTGCCTCAGCCTCCCAAGTAGCTGGGACTACAGGCGCCCGCCACTACGCCCGGCTAATTTTTTGTATTTTTAGTAGAGACGGGGTTTCACCGTTTTAGCCGGGATGGTCTCGATCTCCTGACCTCGTGATCCGCCCACCTCGGCCTCCCAAAGTGCTGGGATTACAGGCGTGAGCCACCGCGCCCGGCCGCAATGTTGTGTTTTTACATGTCAGTGGATCCAGGGTATGCTAGTGAGCACAACTGTATATTATTTTTATTAAAAAGTTGTAGGATATTTAAATATCAGTAAAGAGGTAACTTTTTCCACCCCCTCCCAAGTAGTCCTAAAAGTATGGATAATTGACATTTAAACCTTCTTCTTAATTCTACTGTGTTGAACAATCATAAGCTTGGGAAGATGGAGAGACAGGGTTATTTTTTCCTCACAGAGCTGCTCATTATCCCATTTTAAGTTCTACTTTCAGGAACCAAGCCTAAATTGTATTCCTGATCAGGATGTGTGTATTTGCTGATTGGTAGACTTGGCTGGTGAAGGTCATAAAATAGTGTTTTCCTAAATACTGTGTTGTGTCTTGCTTATGTAATTGAAAAAGGAAAAAAATGTTTTATTCCTGTTCAGAAAAATGACAGAATTGCCAACCTAAGGAAGTCAAACCAGATAGACCAAAAATGATAGTAGACTGACTTTAGGATTCATGATATAGTTATTTTGAATCTGTATTTTTTTTTTTTTCCTGAGATGGAGTCTCACTCAGTTGCCCAGGCTGGAGTGCAGTGGTGCGATCAGGGCTCACTGCAACCCCTGCTTCCTGGGTTCGTGTGATACTGCTGCCTCAGCCTCCTGAGTAGCTGGGATTACAGGCGAGCACCATGACCCCTGGCTATTTTTTTTTTTTTTAGTAGAAATGCGGCTTTGCCGTGTTAGCCAGGCTGGTCTCGAACTCCTGACCTCAGGTGATCCACCTGCCTTGGGCTCCTAAAGTGCTGGGATTACAGGCTTGAGCCACCATGCCCGGCTGAATCTGTATGTTTTAAATAAAAGCATTTAATGCTTTAACTTTTTTAGAAAAGCTCATTTGACCCATATCCTCATAATCTATATAGTCATGAGAGGGAAGTTTTCTGGATTGTAATTTCCTTGTGCCTAGGATGGTGCCCAGCACGTTGTATGTACTTAAATATTTAATGAAATGAAAGAAGAAACTATTGTCTGGGCAGACCAGCCTCTTGGTCGTTGGACTGCATTTACTTTGGGGAAAGGAATTAATTAATCCTGATTTTGAAGTGACTGAATTAATTTTTTCCAAATCTACTTTGTACATTTTTCTTCTTTTGGTGGTAAAATATGAAATTTGCCATGTATCTATTTTAGTAATTTAAGTAATTAAGTGTACAGTTTAGTGGCATAAATTACATTCATAATGTTATGCAGTAATCACTTTTTTTTTTTTTTTTTTTTGAGACGGAGTCTCGCCCAGGCTGGAGTGCAGTGGCGCCATCTGGTCTCACTGCAAGCTCCGCCTCCCGGGTTCGTGCCATTCTCCTGCCTCAGACTGTCGAGTAGCTGGGACTACAGGCACCCACCACCACGCCCGGCTAATTTTTTTGTATTTTTAGTAGAGACGGGGTTTCATCGTGTCAGCCAGGATGGTCTTGATCTCCTGACCTCATGATCCGCCCGCCTCAGCCTCCCAAAGTGCTGACATTACAGGCGTGAGCCACCGCGCCTGGCCAGTAATCACTATTTTTTAGGGTTTTTTTTTGTTTTTTGAGATGGACTCTCGCTCTGTTGCCCATGCTGGAGTGCAGTGGCACTATCACGGCTCACTGCAGCCTCAACCTCTCAGGCTCAAGTAGTTCTCTCACCTCAGCCTCCCAAGCAGCTGAGACCACCAGTGCGTGCCAGCAAGCCCGGCTGATTTTTACATTATTTGTAGAGATGGGATTGCCCTATGTTGCCCAGGCCGGTCTCAAACTCGTGGACTGAAGCCATCCTCCCACCCCCGCCTCCCAGAGTGCTGGGATTACAGGCATGAGCCACCATGCCCGGCCTGTTAGGAGTTCTTTACGGATTCTGAATAATATTAAACCTTTATCAGATACATGATTTACAAATATTTTCTATTCTGTGGGTTGTCTTTTCACTTCTGATAGTGTCCTTTGATGCACAAAAAAGTTTTTAATGAGGCCCAATTTACCTAATTTTTTGTTTATGCTTTTAAAATACACTACTTTGTAAATATTATCACTTACCTTTTGCTCCCTACAGTGTGCCCATTCTTTTTCTGCCCATGAAGGTCTTTATAAGCTACTGATGTGATTTTTGAGAAAGCAGGAGTCATGGTTTTTTTTGTTTGTTTGTTTCTCTTGCTCTAACGTGTTTAAGTTTGAAGCTGTTTTCTTTCTTTATTATTCTCTGTCTTTATTCATTTATTTAGATTCGGATTCGGCAGGCGACACGGGATTTATTTTTTGCCATACAGGAATGAAAAGACATGATGATTTCGAAGATAGGGAAAAGCACATTTTGTTTGGTATTTCCTTTTTTTGTTGTTGTTTTTTGAGGTGGAATCTTACTGTCACCCAGGCTGTAGTGCAATGGCATGATCTCAACTCACTGCAACCTCTGCCTCCTAGGTTCAAGTGATTCTCCTGTCTCCGCCTCCTGAGTAGCTGGGGTTACAGGCGCATGCCACCACCCCCAGCTAATTTTTTTATTTTTGGTAGAGATGGGGTTTCACCATTTTGGTCAGGCTGGTCTTGAACACCTGATCCACCTGTCTTGGCTTCCCAAAGTGCTGGGATTACAGGCATGAGCCACCACGCCTAGCCTGTTTGGTATTTTCTTAGCCCCAAATCTCCATTAATCAGCATCATTTATGTTTTGGTGTTTAGTATTAAGTAGTTACAATAAAGACCCTGAGGCATGACTTTCAGTTTGGTATTGTGGGTGTTTTTTTTGTTTGTTTTTGCCTTCTAATTCTTTGAAAATTAGTAATGCTTTATTCACCAGAATATTCTGTTTCCCCGTGCCTTCCTCGTCCACAACACAGGCACAGGGTGGCAGGTGGTGAAGAGAAACAGGCTGCCAAGATGGTCCCTAGATGACTAGGAGGGGCGTGATGTGTGCACAGGGTTTTTTTTTCTGTTATCCTTTATAACATCAGAAAATGATGTCAAATGCTGACGAATGAGGAAATAGAAAAATCTAACGTGTAAAAGCTGCTGGACTCCCACAGCTCTGACTTAGTAAAATTTGACAATTTGATACATATTTTTTTTTCTGATATCAGCTGAACTGCAAATGTATTTATCTAAATGTGAGTGATAAAAATGGTGATTAAAGGCAGGGGTGGGTACTTAGAAAACTTTTATGTTCTGGTGCCTGTGATAAAAGAGAAAAAATTACAAACTCATCTTTGCATTTGCCTGATTTTGCTATTTTCTTATAGCTAAATTCATTAATCTCTGTGTAACACCCCTACAGTGTGCTAGACTTGAAGGATACAGTGATGAACAAAGCAGACAGTGTATCACTGTTATTTTTTAAGTCTTCTAAGGAGCATGCTTCACTTTAGTAAATTTTTAGTTTTGGGTGATTTTATATTTCTGGACAGATGTGTTTAATTGAGGGCCAATTCATCTGGTGTTCAGTTGGAGTTAACATTCTTTAATTGCCAGGAATGATAGTGAATAAGGTAGTCACCCCCTTATCCAGAGTTTCACTTTCTGTGGTTTCACTGAGTTCTGAAAATATTAAATGGAAAATTCCAGAAATAAACATTTCACAAATTTTAAATTGTGCACCATTCTGAGTGGCGTGATGAAATCTTTCACCATCCTGCTCTGTCCCCCTTTGTCTTGCCTGGGATGTGAGTCATTCCTTTGTCCAGCATACCCACGCTGTATACACATTTAGTAGTCGTCTGGATTATCACATCATCATCGTGGTGTCACAGTGCTTGTGTTCAAGTGACCCTTATTTTAATTTTATTATTTGTAATACTTTTGAATTTTAATCTTATGGCCAGGTGTGGTGGCTCATGCCTGTAATCCCAGCATTTTGGGAGGCCGAGGCTGGAGGATCGCTTAAGCCCAGGAGTTTGAGACCAGCCTAGGCAACCTGGGGGAAAACTTGTTTCTACAAAAATACAAATAAAAATTAGCCAGGTGTGGTGGCACATGCCTGTAGCCCCAGCTACTTGGGATCGCATGAGCCTGGGAGTTTGAGGCAGCAGTGAGCCATGATCACTCCAGCCTGGGCAACAGAGTGAGACTCTCTCAGAAAAATTAACTTTACTTAATTACTTTTATTATTGTTATAATTGTTCCATTTTATTGTTGTTGTTGTTGTTGTAAACCAAATTGTAAAACCATTTTATATTTGTTGCAAACCAAAAAGTATCTGAGACAGGTCTCAATTTATTTAGAAGTTTATTTTACCAAGGTTAAGGGCATGCACCCAGGCCCAAGGTCTGTGCCTTTCTCCTAAGATGATTTTGAGGGCTTCAGTATTTAAAGGGGGAGAAATTTTAGGAAGGCGTGGTAGATAGGAGGCAAATGGTTACATTCTTTTGAGTCTTTGATCAGCTATTCACATGTGGCGGGCAAGGGTGGGGGGCAGCGGAGGAATAGTCCCTTATGCATTCATCTAGCTCAGTGAATCTGCATTTTTACATAAGACAAAATATACTTACCGGGCAGAGGAAGTGATGAGATTATGCATTTGTCTCAGGTAAGCAGAGGAATGACTTTAAGTTCTGTCCTTTGTCCTATACCTGTGAAGATAAGCTGTCAATTTACGTTGTCAGGGTGAAATTCAGCAGAGTGGTTGTAGGGTAAGGATGTTGAGGTCCACAAGGAATTTCCTATTGGGCAGATTGTGAGGGAGGTAGGTTTGCATGATGCCGTTCCTACCTTGACTTTTCTCTTTGACTTAGTGGGTTTGGGGTCCCCAAGTTTATTTTCCTTTTACATTGTTATTCATCTTTTACTGTGCCTAATTTATAATTTAAACTTTACCATAGGTATGTGTGTATAGGAAAAAGCAATGTATTTAGATCTGGTACTACCTGCAGTTTCAGGCACCCACTGGGGAATTTCAGAACGTATCCCTTGAAGATAAGGGAGGACTGCTGTATGATTCATAGCACAGTTTCAGATTAATCATGTCCGATGCAGTCAGATGCTTGATGGTTATATGGGGCCTGGTTTGTGGGCAAATGACTAGTGGGGTTTTTTTTTTTTTTTTTTTTTTGCCCATTTAGGATTCAAGATGGGTTTTAACCTTTTAAGTTACAATTAAGCACTTTGTGTCGTACAGTATGTATACAATAATGCTTTGAAATGGCTAGTCATGAATGTATTAATGGTTTGTCTTGCACTGAAACCTGAAATGTAGATGAAAAAGTTGATAAACATAAGGCAATCAGTACTGATTGTCATTGTCATCTACCCCAGTACATTCTAAGTGTGGTAGATACAGTAATTCTTATATGTTGCTATTAACGTCATTTCTGATTTTTGATTAGAAAAATATTTAGGTTAATGGCTTTCTTGTTGGTTTCAAATTTATAGTAAAAGCTATACCTTTATGTCTTGAATCTGCTTGCCAGTCTTTGCTTTGATAGGTGGTTTTTGCTTAGGCTACGATAAATTGTTTCATCTTTTCTAAAGAGGGATGAGGAAGTATTTACTTTGTGAAATTGGAAAACCGTGTGGTTGGTGTGGAAAATAAGCATGTTATTAATAAACAGCTAGTCTTGTGCTCCATACTCTTGGATGTAAGGTAGAAATAACCTTGCCTCTATTGCTGAGATTTAAAAAAATAAAAAGCTAGGCTACTACCCGTGCCTTCCTCGTCCACAACACAGGCACAGGGTGGCAGGTAGTGATGAGAAACAGGCTGCCAAGATGGTCCCTGGATGACTAGGAGGTGTGTGATGTGCGTCCAGTTGTCTGGATGGGGCAACTGGAATCCTTCATTGTGTGGTTCATGCTTGTGTGTGTGTGTGAATGCGAGAGTGGGAGGAAGTTCAATGTTTTGGCTTTGGTGTGGGATTAATTTTCTCTTCGATTGTTAATTTGGCATACCTGACTTTTTCATTCTGGTTTAAAGTATTAGAAATCTTAAGATTTGTGTGAATTAGAAGATTGGGATTTATTTGAATTTCATTTGGCACTAGGGAAAATTCACTTTAGGTAAGAGCTACTTTTTGGGTTGGCTTTATGTTCAAAGCAGTTTTTTCCTTAAGAGTTTCATTTTATTATGGAAATTTTCTTTTTTCTTTTTTTATTTTTTTGAGATGGAGTTTTGCTCTGTCCCCCAGGCCGGAGTGTGGTGCCACCGTCTCGGCTCACTGCAACCTCCACTTTCCAGGTTCAAGCAATTCTCCCACCTCAGCCTCCCGAGTATCTGGGATTACAGGTGCGTGCCACCATGCCCGGCTAATTTTTGTAGTTTTTACTAGAGATGGGGTTTCGCCATGTTGGCCAGGCTGGTCTTGAACTCCTGACTTCAGGTAATCTGCCTGCCTCTGCCTCTCGAGTAGCTGGGATTATAGGCATGAGCCACCGCGCCCGGCTGGAAATTTCCAAACATATAAAAGTAAACTTAATAGTACAGTATAATGGACCCCATGAACAAAAGTAATTTTTCTAACCTCAAAAGCAGGGGCAGTTTATTTAATCAGGTAAAAACTGAGCCTTAAAAGTCAGACTTTGCTAAAAGAAAACAGTATTTTTTTCACTGTCCTGAATATAACATTAAGGAAATAGGATTTGGTTAGGTCTAGATAACATTTAATAATTTCAACTGTGTTAAAGACAAAAGTAATTTTTGATGTGACCATGGACTTGTCATGAAAAATATAAAGGTGAAAGGGATTCCATCCCCCTTCCTCTAAACAGAATGGAACATAAGCACAGGTTTAGGCTAATTCATAACCTGGATTTTTAAAGCTTTTACATAGTTGGGTTTCATGTTGTTCAGATGTCTTACTAAACCAGGTATCTAAATGAGTGTTTTTCTGTTAAAAAAAAAAAAAAAAGGACATGTCCCCTTCCTCTGCCATCCCTTAATCACGGGGCTCCACTGGAATAGAGATGGGCGGATAAAGAAGGAAACTTAGTGTTAGCAGCTCCAGTGAACTGGTATGAGGTAGAGGAGGGTTGAAGCCATTGATCACAGTGACGTTTCCAGAGGATTTAAGCTTTCCCATTGTCCCATCCTTCATTTGAACCCTCAGAATGTACAGCCAGAAGTCCAAGAGCAAGCGTCTCTGCGAAGGGTAAACCTTCCAGGCTGTGCTCCCTCAAAGGCGCCGCTGCGCTTGAGGAGCAGGTGCTGTGGCTGCTGAAGTCAGGTGCTCTGGGAGCAGACAACAACTGCCTGGGTGTGTAGCACCTGTGTCCTTTTGGCTCCCCTGGCCTTGTCTTCTGAGACTCTGTTGTTAATTTCTTTAGCTGTTTATGTCAGCTTTGACCAAAGCCCACTGCAAAGCTTAGAAGGGTAAGGAGGCAACAATATCCCTTTGAAGACTTATTTTGGCACAGATTTTGTGATTTGTGAATAGTAACATTCCTCAGTAGCCACAAATTAAACAACATCGATCTAATTTTGGTATTAATTAGTTGTATAATTAAAATAGTAAAACCATCTGCATAGATTGAAGCTATAGTTTCAGGTTGTATTATATGTGTGAAAAACCGACTCTTCATTGTGAATTTTGAGTAGACTTCCCAGTAGATTATTTATGTAAGCTGTGTCATCAGAAACATTCCAGAATGAATCACGTTTAATTAGGATCTAACAAATGTTACCACCTTTGTTCTGTTGAACAATATTTTTAAACCATTAAATCAACTTGGTTGATAAAAGGAAATTGCAGTAATTTATTCATAACCCTTTCATCACAAGTGTTTTCACTTGTGTCCTTGTCATTGTATACACAGATATTTGAAAATTTTGCACCTCAGGAATTGCTGGGCTGGGAGAAAAAGGATGGCAGCAATTTAAATCTGTATTTGTGCTAGAATAATCTTTTACAATCTCTTTGCTATAAGATCTTTTCCTGGCCAGTTCTGTTTTCCCCACTATAACGAAACATCCTGTCTTAATATAAGATTATTTCTGGCAAGGGATTCTTGAAAGCTGTAAAGAAAACATACCTGCTGTCTTTACCGATAATGTGGAAAACTTCATGGGAAATTCTAGCCCCTTCGATGTCAAGTCTATTTAATCTCATTCCTTTACTATTAATAAATTTAAATAGATGAATTTCAAATCTCATTAAATGTTACAACAGTATGTCTAATTAGTTTTTTTCTTTCTTTGATTGGATTCCACAAAGTAGAATAAAGCTCTTCTCAGAAACCTGTTTGGACTTAGTAATTATTTTTCTCTAGATTGTTATTTTTTCTCTAGTTTGTCAAGAGTGAGTAAACTTTGAATGATTGAGAGTCTGTTATGACATAGGTCAAATCAATTGAGCAGGACCAAAGAGTTGGGCTACCCTGGTCACATTAACTATATACATTTACTGCGATTATTTCCATTGTTTCTTCATACACAGCTGTGTGACACAGCGTGCCTTTTGCATCGGTAAAGGAGTTAAATCTGTAGTTAATTTGTGTGGCATTCTCTAGGCTGAGCCAGGCTTTCTTAGCCCTTTGGAAGATCCCACATGGAAGCATTAGACATAATGAAAACTCAGCATATTTCTTTGCTTCTGAGTTGTTGGAAATGATTAGATTGAAACTCAATGTGTTGTTTTCTTTTCCCACCCCCACCCTTTAGAAAGGTATCTGTATGTACAGAATGGGAATATCATTAATGTCATGCAGTTTATTCTTTTCTACAAAGGTGATTATATTAAATAGTTCTGCTATAACATGGCATAAGCATTTCTAACAGTGACCACACTGGCCGGGCCCGGTGGCTCACACCTGTAATCCTAGCACTTTGGGAGGCCAAACACCTGAGGTCGGGAGTTCAAGACCAGCCTGGCCAATGTGGTGAAACCCCATCTCTACTAAAAATACAAAATTAGCCGGGCATGGTGGCATATGCTTGTAATCCCAGCTACTCGGGAGGCTGAGGCAGGAGAATCGCTTGAACCCGGGAGGTGGAGGTTACAGTGAGCCGAGATTGCGCCATTGCGCTCCAGCTTGGCGACAGAGCAAGACTCCACCTCAAAAAAAAAAAAAAATAAACCACAACAGACTGTCATGATAGGTTCACTTCACCCTGTGGTTAATGAGTTAATCCATATAAAGCAGTGGTCTCCAACCTTTTTGGCACCAGGGACCAGTTCCGTGGAAGACATTCTGAAAGGGGCTGGGGATTGTGTAGGGGGTTGTGTGTTGTGCCACTCCAGCCTGGGCAACATGAGCAAAAGTCTGTCTAAAAAAAAAAAAAATTACTGCACTATGCCAGATTGTTCAATAAAAGCCATAGAGATTATGAAAAATTGGAGTTAGGTGTGCAAAAACTGCATTAGTTACTCATCACCAAAAAAAAAAAAAAAGAACCTAATGAAAACAGTGCAGGTGTTCACATGTTAAGCAGTTAAGGAATACTGTAAATATGGCACTTTGAAAATCTAAATCTGTGGTTTGCTCATAGAAGTGAGCATCAGCAGGGTTGCAGCTTGAGTTATTGTGAAGTGGTAGAAGGAGGGTTCTCTGAAATGGCATTGAGAGTTCTAACATCAGATGTGTGTGGCACCCACTTGGTGAACTGAGTAGCTGGTAGATGCTTCAGGGGTGTGTGTGTGTGTGTGTGTATCTGTCTGTCTTTCCAGCTGGGTGTAGTTTTCTGGGTTTTCCTCGTGGATGAAATTGTGCATATGCAAAGGCAGAGTTCAGGTTATGCGCATATTGTTCCCAGGTGTTATCAGTTGTGTTAGAGCAAACTTGCCTTCCCTTTCCCTTTCCCTTTCCCTTTCCCTTTCCCTTTCCCTTTCCTTTTCCCTTTCCCTTTCCCTTCTCAGCAGGGCCTTGCTGTGTCACCAAGGCTGGAGTGCAGTGGTGTGATCACACCTCATTGCAGCCTTTACCTCCTGGGCCCAAGTGATCCTCCCACCTCACCCTCCCAAGTAGCTAGGACCAGTAGCTACTTTTTAAAAAATTTTTTTGTAGGGACTAGGTCTCCCTGTGTTGCTTAGGCTGGTCTCAAATTCCTGGGCTCAAGTGACCTTCCCACCTCGCCCTCCCAGAGTGCTGGGGTTACATGTGTGAGCCACCGTGCCCAGACTTTGATTTGCCTTTGATTTAGGAAGAGGAAGTTACAGTTTTCCCAACTATAACTTTCAAAAGTTATAGTTGGGAAAAGAAAAATAGATGCGCAAATCGGTGGTAGGTAGGTGTGAAGCCTAGGTAAACCCATTCTTTTCCCATCTAGGCACATCGCCTCTCTATACAGAAAGGGCACTTTGAAGTATGAGGAACATACTTTTTCTAACTTCTTTCTGGAAATAAATGTGAAAATTAGGGTGTTAATAAAAAGTACGTTTACATAAGCTGTCTGCTTTTCAAGGAAGAGTGGCTTAGACTTCTGCTAGCTTAGTTGATCAGGTCATCTCACTTCTGTTATTTTTTTGTAAATCTAATGAGGTGGCTAATTATCGAAAGTGAGGTGTCCATCCTGTCACTTTGAGTTATCTTCCAGGTGCAGAGATTAATTTTGTTGTGCCTTTGTTCCCTTCATTAACTGTTTGTGGGTAGGCATTTGTAAGGTCACTTTCTGGGATTGGGGAACCTCCCCTGAGGCTACCCCTTATGCAAAGAGTTGTTCTTTATGCAAAGCTGCATACCTGCCCTGGAGTCCACCTGGCACCTTAACCTCATTTGCACTGTTCTCTAAACTTCTGGGGCCTAGCTAGTCACCTGAGCATAAGCGCACACTGCTGCCAGCAGGCTTTTGGAAAATGTCTTAAAAAGTGGTGGCGAAAGTAAGCTTGTTTCTTGATGATATGTAACCATGAATAGTGAAGACGTTTATACTCAGAATTCCTAGACTCCTAGAAATCAGATGTAGAGAGCTTCCCTATTAGTCATCTACCTTAGGGCCTTTAGAAACAGCAAGGTAGAGATACTGTGTTGTGTTGTTTAGGACAAGGAGAATTAGCCTGCACCTTGGAGAGAGAAACTGCAATGAGCTGTGGAGCCTAATGATTCTTAGCTCTTGTCCCCGCTCTGCAACTTACTGGTTTGGTGACTTTGGGCCAGTTACTGGACCATTCTGTTCGAACTTCAGTTTCTTCATTGGAATTGATATTAGTTTCTACCTGATAGTGAAGAACTTAGCAAAGTCCCTGTGGTGGCAAGCATATGCAGTCAGTGTTATTGCTACCGTGATTGATATTCTGACTATTGGGAGATTATAATCTCAGATGTGTTTTCAGGATGAATTCACAAACACAGTCATATGTTGCATAAGTATGGGGATACATCCTGAGAAATGCGTTGTTAAGCTATTTTGTCATTGTGGCAACATCATGGAGTGTACTTACACCAACCTAGATGGTATAGCCTATTACACCCCTTGGCTGTATGGTATAGCCTATTATTCGTAGGCTACAAATCTCTACAGCATGGTACTGTACTGAATACTGTAGGTAAGTAAATGTGTAGCTAAATATATCTAAACAGAAAAGGTATAGTAAAAATACAGTATTATAATCTTAGAGGATCACCATTGGATATGCAGCTAGTCGTTGACTGAAACGTCATTATGCGGCACATGACTGTGTAAGATACAACAGGATCTGAAGAATCGCAACATTTTGGATAATTTTTTTTGGTGTGTGTAATTTTTCAAAAACATAATTGAACTTACATTATATGTACAGTTTTATATACTAACTAAAAACGTTAAATGTAGTCTAGAGGCAGTGTGACAGGTTTTCAGTGGAAAGGATACTCAAAATTATTGGGCTTACCCCTGTATCTTACAGGTGGGAAAACAGAATCATGGAAAGGTTTAAAGGATATACTCAGCCTCCTAGGCAATGCCAGCACTACAACTGAGTCCCATTCTAGTTGTTATTCCAAGGATTTTCACCAGTTTACATCAGGAATTTTCATAAAGTTGGCATTGGATGATGATATGGTGATACCAAGATATTTTCTATTGTTTTTGTTTTGTTTTGTTTTTTGAGACAGGGTCTCGCTCTGTCACCCAGGCTGGAATGCAGTGATGCGATCATAGCTCACTGCAGCCTTGACTTCCTGGGCTCAGGTGATCCTCCTGCCTCAGCCTCCTGAGTAGTTGGGACTACAGGCACGCGCCACCATGCCTGGCTACTTTTTTTTTTTTCTTTTGTAGAGACAGGCTCTCACTTTGTTGCCCAGGCTGGGATGTTTTCTTTTGGATGGGAGTGAAAGGCTTATGTATAAATAGAAACAGCACACTCAACATACCTATTGTTTTTATAAGGCACACTACAGTGAATACATTAAAAAAAAAACAGTAGGTGAGAATACTCTGAAGATAGTGAGAAAGCATAATTGTAGGGGACATAGTTTTTAAATGGTTGAATTACTGTCTGAGGCCTCTTTACAGACATGGGGTAAGTGGGATGCCAAGGTGTGTTGTTGCCAGGAGAATCAGGTTATATGTACCTTTGGGTGGCAGCAAGGATAAATCAGGACAAAGGGCATTCATTCATTGTAGCTTCATAATCACAGTGTGATAAAATCAGTCATTTGGTGATCATTACAGGTCAGTCACTGCCTAGGGTTTTGTTTTTTCCCCGGTATCTTTATTTTGGATTTTAAAAATAATACATTCAGTGTATAAAATTTGGGAAATACAGCGAAGCATAAGGAAAATAAAGACAATCTAAAACCTCATAACCCAAAGATAACACACTGTTAACATTTTGGTGCTTTTTCTTCTGGATCTTTTTTTAGGGGAGTATGTGTAATTTTTCAAAAACGTAATTGAGCTTACATTATATGTACAGATTTATATACTAACTAAAAATGTTAAAACTGTAGTCTAGAGGCAAAGTGACTGTCAGGTTTTCAGTCCTGTAAGAAAATGTGGACTCTACCATATACTGCAGAAGAACATGTTTTGGCGTGTGGGTTTTTTTTTGTTTGTTTTGTGAGACTCTGTCACTCAGGCTGGAGTGCAGTGTGGCAATCATGGCTCACTGCAGCCTTGAACCTCCCAGGATCAAGCGATCCTCCCACCTTAACCTCCTGAGTAGCTGGGACTACAGTTACGTAGTACCATCACGCCTGGCTAATTTAAAATTTTTTTTGTAGAGACAGGGCCTCACTATGTTGCCCAGGCTGGTCTCAAACTCCTGGGCTCAAGCAGTCCTTCCACCTCTGCCTCCCAAAGTGTTGGGATTACAGGCGTGAGCCCCTGCTCCTGGCCTGGCATGTACTTGATATAGGAGCAGTGTCTAAAGCTGGCTGATTGCCCCGCACCGTCATTTTAATCAGAATGACTCATTTTTCCCATCTATAGCTAGTCTCAAAAATTAATAATAAATTACTTAACCCTCCAGGAAGTTTCAGCAAACACCCGGTTGATCATTTACCACTCTTATCTGCTATCTCTTAAATAATATTCTAGGACCAGAGCACAGGCATAATCTGCTAATTTACGTTAAATTATCTGTCTGCCAGTTAGAGCCAGGTAACTACAGTTCACAGTAGAGGCAGCAATCCATTCTTGCCAAGAAAGGATTCCATTTGGTTATATGCAGAAGGGAAACCCAGGTATTCAAGGAATATAAATTATAGATAAATTGCAATTTCAGGGTAAGGATTCTTCTCTAGGATATTTTGTGTCTCCATGAATTCATAAAAATAGAATTTTAGGAAACAAGAATACTTGTGTTGAACATATCAATCGGTATGCCTTCTTTGAGACTAAACATTTCATTGAAAATTAGCTGTTAGATTGATACCATTTAAATGGCTTATATGCATTTAAAGATGTAACAGATATAACTTTTTTGCAACTTTTTGTAAGTATTAAATTTAGCTTCAGGAATATGGTTTCATTTACTATTTTATAATTAAAATATAATTGTCACCCCCCCCTTTTTTTTTTTGAGTTAGAGTTTCACTGTTGTTGCCCAGGCTGGAGTGCAATGGTTCAATCTCGGCTTACTGCAACCTCCGCCTCCCAGATTCAAGTGATTCTCCTGCCTCAGCCTCCCGAGTAGCTGGGATTACAGGCATGCACCACCATGCCTGGCTATTTATCCCTTTTAAACATTACTTTTCTAAGACTGTCTCTTCACACCAGAGACTTGAAGATTGTTCAAAGTGCCGTGGGTTAAAAATAACACTTGTGGCCAGGCATGATGGCTCATGCCTGTAATCCCCGCACTTTGGGAGGCGGAAGTAGGTAGATCACTTGAGGTCAGGAGTTCGAGACCAGCCTGACCAACATGGCGAAACCCTGTCTCTACTAAAAATACAAAAGAAGTAGCCAGGTGTAGTGGTGTGTGCTTCTAATCCCAGCTACTTGGGAGATTGAGGCAGGAGAATTGCTTGAGGCCAGGAGGCAGAGGTTGCAGAAAGCTGAGATCATGCCACTGCACTCCAGCCTGGGTGACAGAGGGAGACTGTCTCAAAAACAAACAAACAAATAACAACAACAAAAACACTTGTGCTATGTATGCCTAGAGACCTAGCTCCTCAGAACCTGAGGCCAGGAGTTCCAGGACAGCCTGGGCAACGTAGCGAGACCCCGTCTCCAAACAAACAAAAAAACATTTATTCTGAGAGAGGGAAATAAGGGTAGGGATTGACTGGAAAGGGGCTTGGGAAACCTTTCAGGAGTGATTGTAATGTTTCATATCTTGATAGGGATTTAGATTACACAGGTATGTGCATTTGTCAAACTCCGCAAATGCACACCTATTCATTGCATGAACTTTTACACCAAGAAGGGAAAAAAAATCTAATTAATTAACATGCATGTTGAAGTGTTTAGCAGGAAGTATACTGATCTCCGCAGTTTACTTGGAAATAGGTCACAAAGTAAGATGGATTAATGGATATATTTGTGATAAGCAAGTTAATAGTGGAATCAAGATGGTGAGTATATGGGAGTTCACTGTAAAATCCTTTCAACTTTGCTGTATATTTGAAATTTTTCATAATAAAACGGTTTAAAAATGTTAAAAATTTTCACATCGGTGATTAGATATCAAAAAAGATGTTACAAATTTGTATCTGTGAAATTGTAGTTCCCACGGGGCAGAAACGGATCCATTGAATCACACCACTCCCGTGATCATTTTAACTTTGAGATTGATAAGAGAGTGAGCTAAGAATTATCAGGTTCTTCATCCTCAGTATGTTAAGGATCTCTCTTATCTTTCTCATTGAGTCTAAATATTTTTTTTCTGATTATTTTGCTGTCTTTGTTACTTGGAAATCAAGTAACATAAATCCTGTATAATTGTCAAAGAGGTGACATCTGTGTTTATTTCTGCATGTATCATCCAATGGATACCTAAACACTGTTTTGCTGAGACATTTTCTCAGGCTAGCACTCAATACAAATCTGTATTTTTCTATTCTCCTTCCTTCTCCTCCAGCTTTCAGTCTAGATGTTTTCTGATGGCATAGCTTTTGGATCAATCATTCTCTTTTTTTGCTCTGTCTTACCCAATATTAAAATATTACACCCTGTTTTTTTTTTTTTTTTTTGAGATGGAGTTTCACTCTTGTTACCCAGGCTGAAGTGGAATGGCACGATCTCGGCTCACTGCCACCTCTGCCTCCCGGACTTAAGCAATTCTCCTGCCTCAGCCTCCTGAGTAGCTGGGATTACAGGCACGCGCCACCAAGCCTGGCAATTTTGTAATTTTAGTAGAGATGGGGTTTCTCCACGTTGGTCAGGCTGGTCTCGAACTCCTGACCTTAGGTGATCTGCCTGGCTTGGCCTCCCAAAGTGTTGGGATTACAGGCGTGAGCCACTGCACCCGGCCTTGACACTCATTTTGTCCTATCTTTTGGCATGCCTGTTAATTTTTATTGAAAAGTGGGCATTGTATATAAAAAAATTGTAGCGACCCTAGATGATTTTCTAATATCTAGATGGCTTACACCATTTGCTAGGCAAATAGAATGGGGGCTGATTCCATTTATCTTGTCTGAGCTGACCACAGCAAGGGCGTGGTTTTGGTCAGGCTCCATCTCTTTTTGGTTTGCCTCTACTCTTTGGAAGTACCCTGCAGGAGTTCTGGCTAAGAACTGGGGCCCTTCCCCCATGGTGTGTCCTGAACTTTAATCTTTGTCCCCCACGGTGTGTCCTGAACTTTAATCTTTGTCTTCTTAGTACATGGGATTGGTGAAGAAACCTGCTGTGCTATTCAGAGGCTTTCTGCTTGGTTTCAGCCTTCTGACCTGTGCATCTTTGGGATTTTGTAAAATGTCTTCAGGGTAAAACACTCAGTTCTTTTCACAGGAATCCTAGGCCCTTGTCTCTATTTTTCTTTCTTCAGGCCTGAGACATTACCATGAGCTCTGCTGGTTTCTCTGCCTGTGAATAGTGGCTCTGGTCATGTTCCCAGGCTGCTTTTCTGTTTCCTCAGCCTCCTTCCTGGCACCTAGCATTGGCAGATTCCCTGAGGGGCAAAGCAGTTGTGGCATATTGGCTTGCTCCTAAAGGGTTTACCCTTCCGGATTGTGTCTCTTCAAGTCATAGTAGCTTCCACAGTTCTCCAAAGTCTTCAGACTTTGAAAAAAAAAATTTTTTTTTTTTTAATTTTCTCTGGCTGTTGGAGTTGTTTCTCTGAGGGATCTCTGGTCTGCCACAGGCTCTCAGTCATAGCCAGAAGCAGAGGCTACTTTATGCAAATCTTGCACATGTGCATTGTTACTTATGTTGCAGAAAAGGTGATGCTAGTCTGTGCTCCATTTACTAAGGAAGAAATATTCAGTTTATAGGGAATCGAAAATAAATTATCTGTTTATTTTATTTTATTTTTTATTTTTTCCCAGGACAGAGTCTTGCTCTGTTACCCAGGCTGGAGTGCAGTGGTGCAATCTTGGCTCACTGCAACCTCCGCCTCCCGAGTTCAAGCAATTCTCCTGCCTCAGCCTCCCGAGTAGCTGGGATTACACGCGCCTGCCACCACACCCGGCTAATTTTTGTATTTTTAGTAGAGACAGGGTTTCACCATGTTGGCCAGGCTGGTCTCGAACTACTGACCTTATGATCCGCCCACCTCAGCCTCTCAAAGTGCTGGGATTACAGGCATGAGCCACCGCGCCCAGCATGTTTATTAATCCAATAAATGTGAACCAGCAAATATAAACTTAACGTTTATGCATTACTGCTGTACTTTCTAACAGTGTCAGTGGTTAATTTAAAAGTCAGTAGAAGTTAAGTGATTTGTCTAAGGCAGAGTTTCTCAACCTTGGCACTGTTGACATGCTGCTTTGTTGTTGAGGCTGTCCTGTGCCTTGTAGGATGTTTTGCAGCCTCTGTGGCCTTTACCCAAGAGATGCCAGTAGCACCTTTCTCCCGCAGTGGTGACAACGAAAAATGCCCCCAGATACTGCCAAATGTCCCCTGGGAAGCAAAAGCACCCCTAATTGAGAACTACTGGCCTAAAGGAAGGGAATAGTTTTCCTAATTTGATATAATGCCAGAAAAGCAGAATTGGATTTTGAGTTACTCAAGTCATTGTCTCTGACCATTGGACTATATGCCAGCTTCATTCTTTTTTTTTTCTTTGGTAAAGATGGGGTCTCGCTGTGTCACCCAGGCTGGAGTATAGAGGCATAATTATAGCTCATTGCAGCCTCGAACTTCTGGGCTGAAGGGATCCTTCCACCTCAGCCTTGTGGGTCTCTGGGGCTGTAGGTGTGCACCACCACACTTGGCTTTTTTTTTTTTTTTTTTTTTTTTGGGCAGAGACAAGGTCTTGCTATGTTGCCTATGCAACATAGCAAGAACCCTTGGCCTCAAGAGGTCCTCTTGCCTCGGTCTCCCAAAGTGCTGAGGTTACAGGCATGAGCCACTCCACCTGGCCCAGCTTCATTTTTTACTGACAATTTGATGGTAAATTCTAGGGTCCTAAAAATGGTTGTAAGAGTAAATGTATTTTTTTTTTAACCATTGGCTTGCCATCTGTGAATTGGGAACTTAGGTCACTTGGTTGCTTATTCTAGGGTTAAGAAGACAGACTCTTGATTTCTAGGCAGTAGTAAGTGTTAACATCCTATGTGTGGTATCTCTTGGGCTTCTGCAGAGCAGTTCTGTTGCAGTCTGTCTTCATTGGATCTAATGCGTGTACAGCAGTTCTTTAAAACTGACAGGAGCAAACCAACACAGAGAAATCCACTCAGAATGTAAGTAGTAACCATTTGGAATGTAAGGTAGGAAAGACATAAAGAGATCAGAATTAGAGCTAAAACTAAGGGAGAAAAAGACAGCTTAGAAGATTAGAATGGACAATTTTGAATGGCATGACACTACCAAAAATAATTTAAGCTGTTAGCTCCCCTTTCTCTTATTCTGCGGACATTTTCCGGTTTTCCAAATCATTCTGCTTTGATGCCAAATGTCTTGTTAATAATGCATGGCTTTTTTATAGTACTCCCTTCCCATCATGCCTCTTAGGTGCTGAGTCAGAGGAGATGTTACAGCAGCAGCTCAGGAGAAAGGAGAAATCCCTCTGCAATGCTCAAATACTACTTTTTTTTTTTTTTTGCACATTTATCTCTTAGCAAGCTTTTCACTTTAAATACTCTAAAGCTTCAATTCAGGGGATGCATTTTTCTTACTGTTAAAGAACAAGACTTTTAAAACTATCCAAAAATGTCTAATAACGTGAGGTTTTTGAAAGCTCTTAAAAGCAGATCTAAATGTTAGTGTGTATTGTATTTGATTTCTAGGACAATAGCTGTTATTTTTCTACTTTTCTACCTATTGTCTGGATATGCCTCTTCTGAGTCCGTAATTTCTATTCTGTAAAATTTAAAATAATATTTTCACATTGCCTTTATGATAGACAGCTATAGGAGACAAACAGATAATTGAGGAAATGGGACAAATGATTGTCCGGTGAGCACTGGGATCCAGGCTTGGATCCAGCGTTTTTCTCCCCTACTGTTTGCCAGCCCATTGCATTCTGGGTGGCTACTCAGAGGCTGACTTTTGAGGCTCAGCAGTTGCTACCCCTGCTGCTTTCAAAGGCTGGGCTGTCTGGGTCACAGAGTTTTTCGTTTTCTGTTGGTTAGGAAATACTGTGTTTTGAAGGGCCCTGGTAGAGGGAAAGTAATTTTTGAAGCCCCTGGGTTTGTGGTATGAGTTGAGAGGAGGCACCCACTGCACCTGCTGAAGTTCCTTTTAGAGACGGCAACATGGAGAAAGTGTTCCTAGGTCTGTGATACACATGTTAGCCTCTTAGTCATGTCTGCCTTTAAACTGTGTAACACATCTTAACAAACTTGGGAAATCAGTTCACCTGATGCGGAGTGGTGTGTTTAAGTGCATAAATCAGAAGTTTCCTAGAGTGACAGTATTCTTTGTTGTCATGGATTTTTAAGGTGTAATTTAGAAATTGTTTACCTCTCTTCACAATCAGAATAACAATATTGTTGAAAATAAAATAACAGCATGGAAACTCTGTGTACTATATTCACAACTTTTCTATAATTCTAAAATTACTCTAAACTGAAAGGCTTATACAAATAATAACTGTGACTTCCTGAAGGCCTACTCTGTTTCAATCACTCTGGAATCTACATTTGTTATTTCTAACTCTCCTAAGACTGTAAGAAGTTTGGTCACGAGCTCAAGATCACACAGCTAAGCCGAGCAGGGACTCAAACCTCTGTCTTAGCTGAGTGAAACTCTAATCCTACCGCATGCCACCTCTGTTCTCTGGGGAATTGGAATGGAATTATTTGAACAAGGACGTGGCTCTTCAGTATGTCGTTTAAGTCTGCAGGTATGCCTTGATTTCTTTCTGTTGTAGATCAGTACTTACTGTATGGCACTTGCTGATTTTGCGTGCTTATGTCCTTGATATGTGGCCTCTTTCAGTTCAGGGACCAACTTTTTTTTCTTCTTGAGGAGTCTTGCTCTATCGCCCAGGCTGGAGTGCAGTGGCGCAACCTTGGCTCACTGCAAGCTCTGCCTCCTGGGTTCACACCATTCTGCTGTCTCAGCCTCCCCAGCAGCTGGGACTACAGGCGCACACTGCCACGCTCAGCTAATTTTTTTGTGTCTTTAGTAGAGACCGGGTTTCACTGTGTTAGCCAGGATGGTCTCGATCTCCTGACCTTGTGATCCGCCTGCCTCAGCCTCCCAAAGTGCTGGGATTAGAGGCATGAGCCACCGCGCCCAGCCAACTTTTTTTTTAAATTAAAGTAAATTCTGAATGAACACATTAGCGCTCACCATATACAAGACTCCCTTAGAGCTCTGCATGTGTTGCTTCTCTTCCTGACCCAGTGAGGTAGGTACTATTACTTTGCTCTTTTTTTTTTGAGATGGAATCTTGCTCTGTTGCCCAGGCTGGAAAGCAGCGGTGTGATCTCAGCTCACTGCAGCCTCCACCTCCTGGGTTCAAGCGATCCTCCCTCCTCAGCCTTCCAAGTAGCTGAGATTACAAGCATGTGCCACCACACCTGGCTAATTTTTGTATTTTTAGTAGAGACAGGGTTTTACTATGTTGGCCAGGCTGGTCTCAAACTTCTGACCTCAAGTGATCCACCCACCTCGGCCTCCCAAAGTGCTGGGATTACAGGCGTGAGCCACCGTGCCTGGCTGCAGTCTTTATTCTTAAATGTTTTACCAATATTAACTCATTCAATACAAATGAGATAGGGATATTATTATCCCCGTTTTATGGATGAGGAAACACAGAATGAATAATTTGCCAAAGGTCATTCAGCTGACTAGAATTTAAACCTGTCTAGGCCGGGCGCAGTGGCTCATGCCTGTAATCCCAGCATTCGGGAGGCCGAGGTGGGCAAATCATCTGAGGTTGGCAGATCATCTGAGGTCAGGAGTTCAAGACCACGCTGGCCAACATGGTGAACCGACATCTCTACAAAAATACAAAAATTAGCCGGGCATGATGGTGGGTGCCTGTAATCTCAGCTACTCAGGAGGCTGAGACATGAGAATCGCTTGAACCCAGGAGGCGGAGGTTGTAGTGAGCCGAGATTGCACCATTGCACTCCAGCCTGGGCAACAGAGTGAGACTCCATCTCCAAAAAAAAAAAAAAAAAAAAAAAAATTTAAACCTGTCTAGCCCTCCTCCAGAGTTAATACTTTCAACCATTAAACCATTTACCTGACAATTTATTCAGCTTAAAGATAAAAGGAAAACCAGAAAATACCTGTTAGACTAAACAGAGCACATTTATGTGCAGATAGTTTGCAACTTCTAAGGAGAACATTATTTGTGAAATCAAAACAGTTTATTTCTAGGATAACTTTTATTATTTAACTTTTAGTTGAGAATTTGTATTTGTTGTATATAAGCATATGTCGTCCTTCTATGTCACTTTTTTTTTTTCCTCCCCAGAAACAGGGTCTCCCACTCTGTTAACCAGGCTGGAGTGCAGTGGTGCAATCACAGTTCACTGCAGCCTTGAACTCCTGGGCTCAAGCAGACTTCCCACCTCAGCCTCCCAACTGGCTGGGACTACAGGTGCACACCACCATGCCGGGCTAATATTTTTTTATGTCAGTAGAGAAGGGGCCTTCCTATGTTGCCCAGGCTGATCTTAAACTCCTGGGCTCAAGTGATCCTCCTGCCTTAACCTCCTGAAGTGTTAGGATTGCAGATGTGAGCCACTGCGCCGGCCTAGAATTGGAATCTTGAATTTTTGCCTTAGGCTCACTAATAATACTCTTAACTACATTTAACAAATATTTATTGGGCTGCTGCTATGTGGTAGGCAAACTTGTGTGTCCTTTTAGGTAATTAGTGCTTTGGAGAAGCAGAGGAAAGTGGATGCTTTGCAGGGAGTAGAGAGAGGAAATTTTGCAATTTTAAATATATTGTGATGAGGGAAGGTCTCACTGAAGTGAGGTATTCAGGAGGTGTGCGAGCAAGCCATGTGGTTGTCTGGGCAGCGCTGCCAAGACAGTGGTTGGGTCAGTGGCCTGTGGTGAGAGCTTGCATGGGTATCTTCAGGACAGGACAGCGAGAAGGCCCGTGTGGCTGGAACAGAGTGAGTGAGGTGCAGAACTAGAGAGATGAGGTCAGAGGGATAAGGGAAATCATTTAAGAGCTGGTGTAGACAGACTTGCTCTGCGAAGGGCCAGATGTAAACGTTTTCGACTCTGCAGTCCATAGCAACAACTCAACTCTGCCTGCAATGCCGAAGCAGTAGTAGGCAGTGCACAGAGGGGCACAGGGTGTCCAGCAGTGCTTTATTCACACTGGCAGGCACTGGGCAGGATTCACCCACCACAGCTTCTGACTCCTGGTTTAGTGTAAGCCATTGTCCAGAGTTTGATGTGTACTCTGAATGAGATGAGAATTCATTGGAGGGTTTTTATTTATTTATTTATTTTTGAGACAGGGTCTGGCTCCTTTGTCCAGGCTGGAGTGCAGTGATGCAATGGAAGCTCACTACAACCTCAACCTCAAAGGCTCAAATGCTCCTCCCACTTTAGCCTCCCAAGGACCTGGGACTACAGGCGCAAGCCACCATGCCGGACTAATTTTTGTATTTTTTGTAGAGACGGGGTCTTGCCAGGTTGCCCAAACTGGTCTTAAACTCTTGAGCTCAAGCCCTTCACCCACCTCAGCCTTCCAAAGTGCTGGGATTACAGGCGTGAGCCACCACGCCCAGCCTTTCTTGGAGGTTTTCAAATAGAGGAATTAGAAAATTTGACTGCTGTTGTAAGGAATGCCACTGGTTGCCTAATTGAGAATGAACTGACAAGGAATGAGGGTAAAAGGGTAGAGTTACCATTAACCAGGATGGGAAGACTGCGGTAGAACAGGTTTGTGGACGGGAAGGACAGTGATCTGGTTTTGGACAAATTTGAGGTAACTGTTAGGCTTCTGAGTGGAGATGGCAGGGAGGCTGTTGGTCTACAATCCTGGTGCTCAGTGCAGAAGTCAGGGCTCAATATAAGGATTTGGGAGTGTCCAGCAAACAGGTGGTATTTGAAATCATGAGACTGGATGAGATCACCAAGGGAGTGAGTGTAGATCGAGAAGTCCAGGGTCTGGGCCTTGGGGATCTGCAGCATTAAAATGAGAGAAATTAGTTTGGGGCTGTTTTGTCACTTTGGGAGTGTGGATTCTTTGATTCTGATTACGGATGCATGTAGCGCTCTGACTCTTAACGTGAATTTTAAATACAGAACCTCAGTGTCCTTCCGGCTAAGTTTATTATTTACCACCTATGTTCTTCTTACTATTTTTTTTTTTTTTTTTTTTTTTAGAGATGGGGTCTTGCTCTGTTGCGCAGGCTGGAGTCCAGTGGTGTGATCATAGCTCACTATAACCTAAAACACATGGGCTCAAACAAACCTCCAGCCTCAGCCTCCTGAGTAGCTGGGACAACAGATGCATGCCACCACGCCTGGCTAATTGTTTTTGGTAGAAATAAGGTTTAACTCTGTTTCCCAGGCTGGTCTCAAACTCCTGGCCTCAGGTAGTTCTCCCACGTCAGCCTCCCCAAAGTGCTGGAACTTATTAAATTATAATTCTAGTTTTTATGTACAGTTTTTTTAAATTGTGGTAAAATATATGGTAAAATATACATAACATAAAATAGGCCATTTTAGGTTGTCCTGCCTATGGAGTAGCCATTCTTTTATTTCTTTACTTTCTTAATAAACTTGCTTTCACTTTACGGAAAAAAAAAAGTACCATTTAAATCATTTGAAGTATACAATTTAGTGGCGTTAAGTACATTCTCAATATTACGCAACCATTACTACTATTCGTTTCCAGAACTTGATTTCTTCATTCCAAACAGAAACTCTGCACCTATTAAAAATTAGTCCCCTTCTCAACCTCTATTATTAGTCCACCTATTATTAGTCCCCTTCTCCGCAACTTCTAATAATCACCATTCTACTTTCCGTGTCTGTGAATTTACCTATTCTGGGTACCTCAGATAAATGGAATCATATAATATTTGTACTTTTGTGTTCTGGCATAGTTCACTTAGCATGTTTTCAAGGTTCATCTATGTTACAGCATGTTTCACTGCTTTTTAAGTTTAAATTTTTTAAGTTTTAATTTTGCTAAACATCCTAGGATGCACATCAGTGCTTTTATTATTATTATTTTTTAAAACAACCTCTAATATCGAGTCTTATTTCTGACAGGAATTCTTTGCTGCAGAAGGGTCTCCATAGCTCAGCCTTATGTTCCAAAACACTCATGGTCTCTGTGTCCAGAACACTCCAAGAGCTTGTTGAAATGGCTCTTCAGCCCATGCAGCCCTCTTATTTGTGCTACTAGTAAAATAATGATAATGCTATTGAATAGCTGGATTGTTGACCCTCTGGCTAATATGATTTGATGGATTTTATTATATGGCATTTTAATCAAAGGATAAGCTTGTCTCATTTGAAATAGATAGAAAACCTGAAAAAGGGACAGTTTAAAGGTAGCAATCAAGTCAAAATAGTTTTCTTCTTCTGGAATGTGATAAATGTATTTAGTGAGAGGTATCTTGGAGAGCGTGATTTTACCACTTACTCATTTGACAAATTGCTGAGCTTAGGGGCCAAGTCCTGTAATATTTCCCTGTTGCTTCAAGGCAGGTATACTGAAAAAAATCAGTTATTAAATATTTGCCATATTTCCTAAATAACCTATTCATTCTTTGCCTGATAACAGCAGTTTTTATGGCAGCAATATGTGTTAAAGGAAAACCTGGCTGTCCTTTGGGGTTCAGTAGTCAGGTCCACTGAAAGTTCAGCTGATGTGTGAAACAAGGTTTTTGTTTTTTGTTTTTGTTTTTTTTGAAGATGTAGTCTCACTTTGTTGCCCAGGTTGGAGTGCAGTGGTGGGATCTCGGCTCACTGCAACCTCCGCCTCCTGGGTTCAAGTGATTCTCCTGCCTCAGCCTCCTGAGTAGCTGGGACTACAGGTGCATGCCACCACGCCTGGCTAATTTTTTGTATTTTTTTTTTTTTAGTAGAGACGGGGTTTCACCCTGTTAGCCAGGCTGGTCTCGAACTTCTGACCTCATGATCCGCCTGTCTCGGCCTCCCAAAGTGCTGGGAAACAAGGTATTTGTTTAACTAACTTTCGGTATTGTAGGAAAGACTCATTAATGTTCTTGATTGTGGTGCTAGAGAATGACCAAGGATAAAATGAAAATAAATTTTTAGCTTCATTTTAGGACTGGTGATTGCGAAACAACAACAACGAAACAGCAAAAAACCCTTTTTAGTCAAAAAAATTGGGGGAGAAGAAAATTAGAGGCAAGAGGTTATTTTTAAGATGTGGCCACAGTTCAGTCTGGTTTCCAGTAGACTTTTAGGCCATTTCCCATAATCTATTGAGTCATCCCAGCAGTTCTGCAGTCAGCTATAATGAAAGTTTAAAAGGAAGATCATAGTATCCATTCTTCTCTCCTTTTGTATTGTGGTTAACTTTGGGTCTTGGCTTTATGTTACCCTCCCCACCCCCAGCCCCTTTTAATGTAATCATGTAGTGGGCAAGGGATTAAATTAATGTAATTAGGAGAATGGAGGGAACTTTGCTTTGTGCTCCAGGAACCCTGGGGATTCCCCCCAGCCCCCATTACCAGTAACAGCACTAACAATGTTTATATTGAAGTGGATATGGAAGCCAAGGATCTTCAAGGTCTTAGTAGCAAGCCTAGTAGTGAGCTGTTAAGCCAAATGAAAGCAGTGATTGAGTCTCAGCTTGTTTTTCTATGAGAGTACTAATACCTACTTTATCGAAGTTAAATGAAACCTTTTAACCCTTAATATTGATTAAGGCTTGTGTTAGGAGGAAGTTTGAGAGAATGTGTCCTTGCTACATGTCTGTCCAACTCCCAAAGGCCCGAGGGTACCTGGATGGCTTCCAGGGCTCAGTGATTATGTATTTTATGCATTAGTAGGCTTCTTTCAAGATATCTTGGCCAGATAATTATGAGGCTTGTCCTTCAGAGGCAGCATGCACACCACCACGTAGGGACTCATGGCTGGTGCCTGTCTTGCAGCTAGAATAGCAAGACATCTTCATTCTTGGAACAGTGAGAGTGAACTCAGAAAAGGGCCTGCATTCTTGTCCAGCCAAATTATTGTTCACCTGTCCTAGACTATAAATAATTCCATGACATGTGTCCAGTCCTTTGTGAGTTCCAGGGTTGGTTTTGCTTTTCTATTTTGATTGCCTTGGACTTGCTCTGCGAAATTAGTAACCAAGTTGACCTTCATCTTTTAGTTTAGCCCAGGACTCTAGGCCCTGTGTGCTTGCCATATCAGGAGGGGTGAGATCAAGGCCCCACTTCCAGTGTCATTTGATTCTCTACCCTGCCATTTGCTGTGTTCTGAAGAAATAAAGTTTGTTTGCTGTTTGTCCTAAGGTGGAACATATCTTTCAGAGCACATGCTAACAAGATTTAAAAGATATTTCAGGCTGGGCGTGATGACTCACGCCTATAATTCCAGCACTTGGGGAGGCTGAGGCGGGCAGATCACCTGAGGTCAGGGGTTCGAGACCAGCCTGACCAACATGGTGAAACTCCTGTCTCTACTAAAAAATACAAAAATTAGCTGGGCATGGTGGCACATGCCTGTAATCCCAGCTACTCAGGAGGCTGAGGCAGGAGAATTGCTTCAACTTGGGAGGCGGAGATGGCAGTGAGCCGAGATTGCACCATTGCACTCCAGCCAGGGCGTTAGAGTGAGACTCCATCCCAAAAATCAATCAATCAATCAATCAATCAAAGATATTTCACCTCTCACAGCCAAATACAGATGTAATTTTGGGGGAGTACGATCCTTATTTTATATTGTGTTCTGATTATATGTAATTTTTGTTTTATCCTTTCAGCTGCGTAAGAAAAACTCAATTTCCACTCTTTTTGCAGACAATTCTTCAAAAATAGATTGCAAAGTTTTCATGTATTCATTTTACCATTTGTTCTTAAGAAGACTTACTTTAACATAATTACCAACAAATGTTTGCACCTAGCATTTCTGCTCAGAGAATGGTGTGAAAGGGGATAAAAATAGTAAGCCTTAGCCAGTGCCAAAGTTGTCAGTGGATTAAAGAATAGTGCTATCCTGGAAATGCTGCTTTAGGGGAGTTGGAGGCAGGGGGTCTTGCTGGGGATGGTGTGCAGAGGGTGGTTGGTGCAGGTAGGAAGAGGTTCCAAGCACCTTGTTAGGCTTAGTTTCTGTGCTATTATCTTAGGGCTAGACTTTTGGGAGGGGTTGTACTTGTACTTCAGTTTGTATGTGGGTCATGTTTGCACCATAGCGGGTGTGGTTATTGACAACTGTGTTTCCCGGTGGTTCCCCTTCCAGCCCATGCTCACCAGATGCCATTAGCAAGTTGTACCTTCTCTAATACCCTGAGGTTTTTCTGAGAAGGCTGCAGAAATACCCCCTAGAACAAAGAAGTCAGCAAAAACAAAACAAAACAAAAAACACCACTTAAGGGTAAGCACACAAACACATACAAATATAAGGACATACATCATAGGTATTGTAATGTTCCAATCCCATAATTTTGGAATGATTACATAGGTGGAATACAGAAGTATCCCTGCTTTTCAGCATGACTGCCCTTGATGACTCATCAAAAAACAGCAGTGCTAGTCATCTTAGACACAGAGGATGTGTGCCATTTAGACTTGTTCTTTTAAATAGTGAAAATTATTGCTTTATGGTTTTATTCTGTGCCCCCCGCCCTCATGCCCCTATGGGCCAGAGAGGCAGTTCACCAACTTCTCTCCAGTTGTGCCTCCCCTTCCTTCCTGTGACTTTAGGGAGTTTGTACGCATCTGCTCTAGTCCTAGAACCATGGGGCCTTCATAGCCCCTGCGCAGTAGCCAAGAGCAATGGGCCTTCTTACGGAAGGAAGAGCTCAGTTGGCAAGTATATCCTGAGCTGAGTTGTGAAGGCACACATTCATACCTCTCTTTATTTTTAATGGGGTTAGCACAGTCTTCAATCAATAGCTTAACTTCATCTCTGCTTTTATTTCTGCTCCTAGCATAAATTATTTAGCACAAATGCAGACATAATCTCAGAAATTACTTAGTATTAGTGTCCTGCTGTGAGCATCATTTTCTTGAGTGTGTTGTGTTCTAACCGCAAATTAGCAAAAGACCCTTCAAGAAAGTCTTTCTGTGGATTCATTTAGGGGGAATTTAGAAGGTTGTAGTCAGTGCTACCTGATCACTTTTATTTTCAGTGAAATTTTGTTTTATTCATAGTATAGTTAATAGCTTTCCTGTAACACACACACACACACTCTCTCTCTCTACATATATATGTATTATGTACATTTTTAAAAGTCACTTTTTACCTGGTAATATCTTAATCCCTTAAGGATTTGTCAGTTGGCCCATCGGTGGACTGAGTCACTTTATGAGTAGGGATTCCGAAAATGCCAAGCTTTGTCTGGGGGGGTTGGGTTGGGGGAGGATGCAATAATAAAAACTCTAACCTTGAAGATGCGGGGAGGGCCTACAGACATGTTGGAATTCAACAATTAGGTATATTTTAGTGTAGCCTCATAGTGCAGCGACCCAGCTGTAAAGATGAAGTCACTCATTCCTGTAATGATTTGCTAGCTTGTTGAACTAAAGTCTAGAGTTGAAAATTCTGCTCCTTTTGAACAGTGATCTAATTGTGAAACGGACAGTTGGCTACTGACAGTTTTCAAATATTAGCCAGTTGCTGATTTTAAAAATAACTGTGAGAAAGGAAGACCAAGGTGAGAAGAGACTAAAAATCAAACAGTCACATGAGGTTTTGTATCTTCAGACAGCTGAAGAAACCCGACAACCTACAAAGATATGATATTTGCTTGGGTAGTTGTAGTTCAGGTGTTTCCTTGTGCACCGAGCCCCTAGTGCATT
Organism: Homo sapiens; assembly: GCF_000001405.40. Taxonomy (NCBI): domain Eukaryota; kingdom Metazoa; phylum Chordata; class Mammalia; order Primates; family Hominidae; genus Homo; species Homo sapiens. Next base: position 49,675,590 of record NC_000020.11, on the reverse strand, counting down.
GCTCATAATAGGTTCTGGGGCAGAGGTACCTGCTGATAGCTCCACAGGGTCATAAGCAACTTTGAACACCCCCAGGAGCCTTGTTGTTGGGCGTGGTGGGAAATGTTAATTGGCCTCTGAGTGAACTAGGAGGTACTGTTAGGATTCTTATCCCTTGATAAACTTACTCCCTGTGGCCGTCTTGTTAATATTTAAAAGTAAAGTGTAAATCCATTACAGGACACCATAATTTAATATTTGTTGCATTTCTGAGCTATGTGGTTGCCAGCATAGGGTCAGTATCCTAAGGCCTTTGAGTTTTCTGAGTTTTAACTCTCAGCTTGACTGTGGGGTGTGTGGGCTTGGGAATTGACTTTTGTTTGAGAGTAACAGCAATCTTAGGAATTAGTGATTTTTTTGGTCCTTGCAAATGTTACTGAACACACGGAACAAGCCAGCCACCAGGCTGCTCGTGGAAGGGGAAGGGAGGCAAAGTTGGGTTTGGTCCCCCTCCCCTGCTCTTATCCCCTCCACTCCCTTTTCTTCCTGAGCTCATGCTTTTGTTGTGATAGATTATTTTTCCCGGGATTTTTTGCTTTTGAAATCTTAGTTTTTGTGTCTTTGCACCTAGCCAGTAGGAGCAGCATTGTCTGAGATCTTAGCAGGTTCCAGAGAACTGTCCATTGTGGGTAGAGTTGGGAGTGGCAAGAACTGAAATTCCAGAGGCAGGAGCCAGGTTTTATGGACTTTTCTGAGTCATACTAAGCATGAGGAATTTGGACCTTGAAAGTGGTGGAAAGCCATTGAGAGACAACAGGAGGATATATTTATCATTTCTTTTAGTTCACCTATGACATTATAGGACGTTATAGGTAAAGACTAAATGCAATTCTTTTTCTTCTTCTTCTTCTTTTTTTTTTTTAATAGGGATGGGGTCTCGCTATGTTTCCCAGGCTGGTCTGGTCTCTGTAACTACTGGGCTCAAGTGATCCTCCCACCTCGGTCTCCTGTGCCTCCCTTCCCCTTCCATGAGCAGTCCTGCGGCTGGCTTATTCAGTAACATTTGCAGACTCACTAAAAAAAGTTACTAATTCCTGGGATTTTGTAATTCCAAAGTGTTGGGATTACAGGCATGAGCCACCACACCCGACCCTAAATGCAGTTCTTGATTCCAAAGACTAAAGAATACTTTACGGGCATAGAAAAACCCCGCAGTGCTTTAACTTCTTATGTGAACATTGCTAGGGTCTTTATTCCCTCTGTAACAATTCCTGGCCCATTTACAGGATTTTTAATATTAGTATACTTTGATTTAGGTTTAGTTGGCAATCTAGATACATCCCAAACCAAACTTTTCCCACATCTTTTTTTTTTTTTTTTTTGAGATGGAGTCTTGCTCTGTCGCCCAGGCTGGAGTGCAGTGACACAGTCTCGGCTCACTGCAAGCTCTGCCTCAGCCTCCCGAGTAGCTGGGACTACAGGCACCTGCCACCACACCTGGCTAATTTTTTTTTTTTTTTTTTTTTTTTTGTATTTTTAATAGAGATGGGATTTCACTGTGTTAGCCAGGATGGTCTAAATCTCCTGACCTCGTGATCCGCCCACCTCGGCCTCCCAAAGTGGTGGGATTACAGGCGTGAACCACCATGCCTGGCCCCCAGAACTTTTTATTATGAAAAAATTCAAACTTACAGAAAAGTTGCAAGAATAACACAATAAAAGCATTATCTTCCATCTGGAGTCAACAGTTACCACTATTTTGCTTTTTTTGTTTGAACTGTGGCTCTGCTTTCTCCACTGAGCCACGTTAAATTGTTGATAATTATCCAGGCAGTTAACCTTTAAATACTTCAGCACACATCTCTTTAAAAAATGACATTCTCCTGTTTAATCAAAGTACTATTATTGCATCTAAGAAAATTAACAGTACTTTCATAATCTTTTCAATACTTGATCTTAGCCAGAAGGCCGAGAAGTGATCATAATACTTTCTAATATCCAGTCCTCATCCAGTGGTGCTCAGAATGTTATTTGTAGCTGCCCCCATCCCCAAAATAACATATTACATTTGGTTATGTCTGTTAGTCTTTAGTAGCTTTCTCACCCCATCCACTGCTCATTGTAGTAACTCTTTGAGAAAGAGTTCAGGCCAGTATTATTGCATGTCCTACATTCTGGAATTGCCTAGTGTCACTTTGATGTGTTCCCTAGTTTTCTGGTTGTTTTTTTTTTGAGTTGGAGTCTCTCTTTGTCACCCAGGCTGGGGTGCAGTGGCACGATCTCGGCTTGCTGCAATCTCTGCCTCCTGGGTTCAAGCGATTCTCCTGTCTCAGCCTCCTGAGTAGCTGGGATTACAGGCATCCACCACCACGCCCAGCTAATTTTTGTATTTTTAGTAGAGATGGGGTTTCACCATGTTGGCCAGGCTGGTCTCGAACTCCTGACCTTGTGATCCGCCTGCCTCGGCTTCCCAAAGTGCTGGGATTACAGGTGTGAGCCACTGCGCCTGGCCAATCCACTGTATTTTTGTAAACCAGAAGATAAGTCTAAGAGCTTGATTCGATTTAAATTAAAAGTTTTTGGCAAGAATACTCAGAAGGTAATCTTAGTTTGTTCTAGTTGGTGATAACCCAGTTTGGGCACTTGGTTAAGTGGTACCTATCTGATCTCTCCATTGTAAATGCACGTTTCCCCCTTTGCAGTTATGTGATCTGTGGGAAGAATTTGTTTTTGATTTTCTTTCCAAAGTGTAGCCTTACAAGATTTGTTTTTTGTTTGTTTTTTTTCTGGTTTGTTTTCTTTTTTAAATCCAAGCCTTTGCGGAGGTCGAGGCCAAGCCACCCACCTTGGCTTCTCAAAGGGCTTGGATTATAGGTGTGAGCCACCTTGCCTGACTCCTTACAAGTTTCCATCAATCATGCTCTTCCAACGTGCCTTTGTAGAGTAGGTTGGCCCTTCTGTTTCTGTGGACTTGGGTCTTGAATTGCTTTAAAATGTGAACATTACTTAGCTAAAGAAAGAAAAGTTTATGTCTGATCAAGTGACAGAGTCTGTCTGTCATAATAGATGACAGAAAAATAATCCAGCATTCTGCATGGCCCAGAGAACCCGTTTCTAGGACTACAAGTTGATATATGCAAAAGACAAGCCATCTGGAGGAGAGGAAGGGTTTCATTACCCACAAGGTGTTAAGGAAAGACTTTGTTTTGCTAAGTGTGTGTGCCTTAGAAGCTAGAAATTTTCAAGTGCTTTCTCTGGCATCTTTTGCCTTTTTATGGAAAGCATGGCTCTGATTTCCTATGTTTGACAGTTTGGGTGTTAATACCAGTTGGAATGCTGCCTTCTTGGAAGCACTTAAATTCCCAACGAGTAGATAACCCATTAGTCTGTTACAAGCTTCCAGGCTAACAATAATGTGATTAAAATATATTATCCCCATAGGACATGAAGAATAATCTTTCCAAAAGAGAATCAGGAGGGAGACCAAAGAACAGTATGTGGAAGAATATGTTTGGATGGTAGGCTAGATAGAGGAAACTTGCTTGATGAAGTTAAAGCTAGAAGCACCAAGAGCTTTAGGATCATTATGAATCATTTGGGGTAGGATAATTTGGGGGTAGAATAACAGTTTGAGATTAGGGGAATTATTAGGGTCTGGAGCAATGAAGAGGGGAGGAATCTCTTACTAAGGCAGAAGGTTGTGTTTTTGTGCTTCCCCCGACCCCATACAAAAATTTATTGATTATTGTTTTAAAAAAAAATGAAAAGAAAAAGACCCTGCCCAAAGGCAGCATTCCTAAAGGGTGCTCATAAAGTAGATGCTGTGTGAAAAGGGGTTCTCAGTAACTTTGGAAACTTTGAAATTTTGGGTCAGTTGATTTAAACAGATTTGGTTACTGCAGTTTTTCACTAGTGGAACAGAGAACCTCCTTATCTTACAGGGTTCTGATGTTCATGGAAATGTTGCATTGTAACAAAGAAAAGACAACCCAGATGACCTGTAATTCTGCCACACAGAGATAAAAAACACTGAACATCTTGATAAGTGATTTCTAAAACTGTTCTAGGCTTATATTTTCCTTTGTGTCTTTAACACAAATGTGATATACTGTATGTAGTATATATACAATGTATATACCGTCTTGAATCAATAGCTTCATCTCTGCTTTTATTACTGCTCCTAGCGTAAATTATTTAGCACAAATGCAGACATAATCTCAGAAAATTATTATTTTTTGAGACAGAGTCTCACTCTGTCACTCAGGCTGGAGTGTAGTGGCATGATTTCAACTCACCACAACCTCTGCTTCCCAAGTTCAAGTGATCCACCTCAGCCTCCTGAGTAGCTGGGGTTACAGGCATGCACCACCACACCCGGTTAATTTTTGTATTTTTTGTAGAGATGGGGTTTCGCCATGTTGACCAGGCTGATCTTGAACTCCTGACCTCAGGTGATCCGCCCACCTTGGCCTCCCAAAGTGCTGGGATTATAGGCATGAGCCACCGTGCCTGGCCTGCACGGTATGATTTTTAAATAGTGAGTACTTCTAAAACAATAATCATTATTTCAGTGATAGCTGAGTTAGTCATGGTCTGATTTTGCCATAATTTTTTTTCCAGACCCTTTTGGTGCATAGATAGGTTGGAGTTTTGCTTTTATAAGTAGCACTGAGATAAACAGTATTGAACACATTTGTTATTTATCCAATTATTTCTTTAGGATGAATACCTGAAAGTAGGAACTACTGGGTTAGAGTATGAACATTTCACTTTGATCTGTATTGCCAACCTCTCTAGAGGTTATATCAATTTGTTTCCATCAACAAGGTGTGGGATACCTGTTCCACCAAAGCCTCTGAATGTTGGTGAGGCTTTGGTAGAACAGGTATCAGTCTTTTGACTCATTTAGACAAGCAGTTTGTAGTGTCAACTTAAAATTTTACGTTACATGTTTGCAAAGGGTTAGAAGAAACTTAGTTGTAGGCAGATAGCAGTTCAGTGTTGAAGAAATTCAACTTTTTGCTATAGAATTGCATTCTTTTAAACCCTCACTCAGTCAGACACCATGATGCATGCCTGTAGTCCCAGCTGCTTGGGAGCTAAGGCATGAAGATCTCTTGAGCTCAGGAATTTGAGACCAGCCTGGGCAACATAGTAAGACCCTGTCTCAAAAAAATAAATCATTACTGTTGTAAAGAACATTGGTAAAACAGAAGGAAAAAAGGTCATCTCACATCACTGTTACTCCCTAACAGCAAAGCAGGTTGGTAAATTTGCCTCAAGTCTGTTTTAGCCTGATACATGTTCTTATTCCTTAGCAATAGTTGTCAAGATATAGCAGAACTTTTTTCATGTTGTTAAAAATGTGATAGTCTATGCTAAATATTATACATAAGGTGTATGGTGATAAGGTTGCATAGTTTTCACTTTTAAAGATGTGTAAGATTCCGTCAAGTTTTGTGTCACAGTTTATGTGCTGTTGTTTTAGTAAGTGAAAGCAAGTTTATTAGAGAAGAAAAGAAACTGGCTACTCCACAGGCAGAGCAGCACTGAGAGCTGCTGGTTGTTGATTTTGAGTTGTTTCCCAAGATTTTGCTTTTAGAAATAATGTAAGTAAAAACTTTGTGCATAGAATAGCCTCATATTTAGGATACTTTGCTAGCTCAGAAGGTATGAGCATTTTTATGGCTATTGTTGAATTTGCAAATAGTTTTCCCAAAGGGTTTATACCAGTCTGCACGAACACCAGCACAGTTGGTGAAGTATCAGTTTCACTATGACCTTTTCTGGCTTATAGCCTTTTTTTTTGTGGTTGCAGAAAAACCAGTATACTTCTACCTTAAAAAAGCAAGGCAACTCCTCCGGCTATCACAGCATCTGTGTGCCAAGCTATAATTCTTTTTTTTTTTTTTTTTGAGGTGGAGTTTCGCTCTTGTTGCCCAGGCTGGAGTGCAATGGCGCGATCTTAGCTCACTGCAACATCCGCCTCCCAGGTTCAAGTGATTCTCCTTTCTCAGCCTCCCGAGTAACTGGGATTACAGGCATGCACCACCATGCTCGGCTGATTTTGTATTTTTAGTAGAGACGGTGTTTCTCCATGTTGGTCAGGTTGGTTGCGAACTCCTGACCTCAGGTGATCCACCTGCCTCAGCCTCCCAAAGTGCTGGGATTACAGGTGTGAGCAACCACGCCCAGCCTATGTAATTCTTTAATAAATAGCTAAATGCCTACTATTTATCAGAAGTTGATGAAGAAAAGAATAAGACTGTCTGTACTCTTAAGGAGCTTACAGTCTATTGGAAGAGAGAGACATGCTCAAATTTGTAGAGGTCATGGATAGAAGTTGGTGTATCAGTTGAGAAAGAGCCCAAAGATAGGTGTAGGCAGTTCTAATCTTGGGGGTGGGATGATACCAGGAAAAGCTAGGAAAGGGACATTAAAGCTTAGTATTGGCTGGGCATGATGGCTCTCACATGTAATCCCAGCAGTTTGGGAGGCTGAGGCAGGAGGATTGCTTGAGCCCAGGAGTTTGAGACCAGCCTGGGCAACAAAGTGAGATTCTACCTCTACAAAAATAAAAAAATTCACCAGATGTGGTGGTGTACGCCTGTGGTCCCAGCTACACAGGAGGCTGAGGCAGGAGGATTGCTTGAGCCAAGGAAGTTGAGGTTGCAGTGAGCTGTGTTTGTGCCACTGCAATCCAGCCTGGGTGACAGGACGAGACACTGTCTAAAAAAAAAGCTTAGTATGAGCGGGTGTCACAAAAGCACGTTCATACAGAGGAGGTGTCAGTGGGGGTGGGAGGCTGGAACCACAAGGCAATTCAGGGACAGGGATTGGTCGGTGGAGTGGGGGCGGTGACGGACAGAGATTAGGACGAGGGGGTGCGGAGGTGAGGGGAGCAGAGCCTTTGTTCTGGTTTCAGTTCCACAGAGGAGTGTGGCAGTGCTGGTCTTGTGCCTCTAGCACATTCCCATCAGCAACATCCGTCATACCCTGACGCCCCCCCCACCCCCACCCATTCTCCGCAGGGTTGTTTTGATAAGTGTACGTGTTCAGTTTCAATGGAACCAGCAAGGTAATTTACAGTTTTCTCCCACCCAAGCTTATACTGAGGTTATGTGGCTGTGCATGTGGATATTGGTACTTCTGAGGGTTGATAACTGGTCATGCTATTAAGAATTTTGGGGGAAGCAAAGCTGAAGCTTAGATCAGTAAAGTACTTACCATAGGCTACCCAGCCATCTAGTATCTGTTTAGACAGCATTTTCATGTCTAATCTTATGTACAGTTTAATAATTTAACAGATGGTAGACTAATAGGTCAGTGGAAATGTTTATAGGGTACTTCATAGCTGTTAATTTTTACCACTTGGATTTTTTTAATAGCTAGGAATAGTAATTAGGGTGAAAAATGAAACCTACGAATGACTTTGTGATTTTTCTGCCTCAAATGAGAAGGATTAGGAAAGCAAAAGTTTCCTCAAATCAATTTTTCCCCCAAAATATTTTTTTGTATTATTTACTTTGTTAATGTGTGTATGTGTCCCCCCTCCTCCCAGTTCTCTTTAAACACTTTTTGTATGAAAATTGTCACACGGTTGCTCCAAAATATTTAAATAGATAAGACAATGGGTGTAAATTTTGCTGCCAAAAATTCCTTGTATCTTAAAAAAGCTGTATTTTCTCTCTTAAATGTATGTTAATGTATGTAATGCATAGTATGAGTATCCAGCATTTTAAGCAGATTTAAAATGGAAAAATTCATGATTCACATTAGAGCTTCAAACTTATAAAATTTGGGGGATGCATTATAGCGTGAGTATTGGCACCCACTCCTGAAGTGGAATATTGGAAGCCTGAAATATATGACATGTTGACAGTAAAGATCCAGGTAATATTGGCCATGCGGGGTGGCTCACACCTATAATCCCAGCACTTTGGGAGGCCAAAGTGTGAGGACTGCTTGAGCCAGGGAGGTTAAGACTGCAGTGAGCCATGATCGTGCCACTGCACTCCAGCCTGAGTGACAGAGCAAGATCCTGTCAAAAACAACAACAGGCCGGGCGCGGTGGCTCACACCTGTAATCCCAGCACTTTGGGAGGCCAAGGCGGGTGGATCACAAGGTCAGGAGATCGAGACCATCCTGGCTGACACAGTGAAACCCCGTCTCTACTAAAAATACAAAAAAAATTAGCCGGGCGAGGTGGCAGGCACCTGTAGTCCCAGCTACTCGGGAGGCTGAGGCAGGAGAATGGCGTGAACCCCTGGGGGGCGCAGCCTGCAGTGAGCTGAGATCGCGCCACTGCACTCCAGCCTGGGTGACAGCGAGAGTCCGTCTCAAAAAAAACAACAACAACACAAGCCAAAAAAAAAAAAACACTTCAAAAAGATCCAAGTAAAAGGAATCAAACAAAGTGTGGGCAGCATAGTAGCTGTGGATTCAGGGGATTGAGCATCTGAGAGGCAGTAGAGCATGTTTGTTAAAAATCTGGACTCTGGAGACAAAGCCTGCTGTGAAATCTTGGCTCCACATGGTCAGATTGCGTATTCAGACCTGAGTTTTTTTCATCTCTAAATTGATGGTAACAACCTGCCTCTCAGTTATTGTGAGGATGAAATGAGATAAAACACAGGCATTTGGAAAGGTGCTGGCACATAAGGACTCAATAAATGCATTATTAGTTGTATAGGAATCCATCTCTTTATAAGCAGAATAAGCAGATTCTTTCTTTACCTGTTGTGCAGAGCAGTGAACACTGATCATCTGCTTGTTTGGGGGTAAGGTTGAATTATTTTTCAGGTTGTGCTTTTTCCACAAAATATTGGTCTAAAAAGATAATGCAGGTTTTGCAGATACTCTAGCATGGCAGAAATCAAACTTCAACATTCCTTTGGCACATTTTGTTTTTCCTTAATTTTTATTGTGTCTTATCTGTGTATTTTGTATATGGGGGAAGGAGAGAGCACTAGCAAGCATGAGCGTGAGAGGGAGCCTCCTGTTCTATTTATTCATTTTCTGCTTCTCTTCTCTTTAGATTCTCTTCCCTTTTCCCTGTTCTTTATGCCAAAAGCATGGACATGCTAAAGAGGTAGAACCTGTGATCCATAGATTGGCTCCAGTGTTTTTCTGGAATTTATTTGACTCTGTTATAAATCCCACATTTTATAGTGGGATGATGATGTGAGTAAATTCAGAGAAAGAAAACCCAGTCTAACAGACCCCCCTGAGCACCAAGCAGCACCTTTGCTGAGTGTCATTCTTTCTGGCTCTGGTCAGTTGTGTCTAGCTTTATATCTTGACATTTTCCCTCCACTCTACATGCCATGGAGATGTGGTGTTCCTCTGCATTGCTCCATGTAGAAAGTACAGTCTTTGCTAAGATTCAGGCTCCCAACTTTTATTAATCACCTGGGGGATTCTACACACAGAATCTTATTTAGTTCATCTAAGAATTTAGATGTGGATACTAAAAAGTTCAGTCCTTAATCTGGAGCCAGGAATTTTGAGTAGGGTAAATTTACTTGTTCCGATTGATACCTACTCATTGGCCCACTGGAAATCCAATCCTGGACCGTTTCTGCAATGTCGTGGCTTTCAGAATCAAGTTCAGACCCCAAGTATAGTGCGTGAAGCCCTTTCGCTCTTGCTCCCCCCATTTTTCTAGCCTCCCGTCTCATGTTCTTGCCATATGCAACCTTCGCTCCAGCCATATGAAACTTCTTTGATTCCTCAGATGTATTTCCCCCTGGATGGCTCTTTGTTTTCATTTATGCTGCTCCCTCTCCTGCTTCAGTGCTCTTCTTTCAGGACCATACTCTAGAATTACCTCTTCTGAGAGTATTTTCCTGGCCCCTGCTCCCAATATGATCTAGTAGCCACTCTCCTGTACCCCTGAACAAACGTGACTATTCTTCCATTGCAAGGTGATGGCAGGGACTGTGTCTTACTTGTATCTCTTTATCTTTAGAGTATAGGGCAGTCCTGGAACATCTTATGTATATAATGAGTGTTGAATGAATGTATGTCTGAATTACAGTTTGTAACATTTATAAAAGAATTCATCATCTCTTTGTAGCTGGTGTTTTATAGAAGTGTAAAAAGTCCTTAGGACTTGATGTTTCTTCATTATTATTATTATTATTATTATTATTATTATTATTATTATTACTACTACCCCCCCACCCCCCCTTTTTGAGAGACAGGGTCTTGCTGTGTTACCCAGGCTGGAGTGCAGTGACATGATCATAACTCACTGCAGCTCAAACTCCTGAGCTCGAAGGATTCTTCTACCTTGGCCTCCCAAGTAGCTTGGGAGTACGCCATCATGCCCAGCTGATTTTTAAATTTTTTTGTAGAGACAGAGCCTCACTAGGAACAGCCCAGGCTGTTCTCAAACTCCTAGCCTCAAGTGATCCTCCTGCTTAGGCCTCCCAAACTGCTGGGATTACAGGCATGAGCCACTGTGCCCAGCTCTGTTTCTTCATTAAATAAAGTTGGGAACTTGGCCACTCCTGGAGAGTAAGTGGCCACTTTACTTTTCCCCTTTTGGAGAAAGCTTGAAGTCCAGCAGAACAGTAAGCCACTTAACCTGGCAGTTGCAACACATTAATTAACAACCTTTTATTTTTCTTTTGGAAAAAAATTGCAAATCTGTAGAGACATTGAGAAAATAGTACAATAAATATATGCTCTACACCTGAGTTCACCAGTTGGTAGCATTTTGTCACATTTGCTTTAACTTTTTATATGCATACATAAGCTCATACATGCATATGTGCATATGCACACATTTTTTTCAGAAGCATTTGAAAGTAAAGTTGTAGACATCATGATGCGAAACCTCTAAATACTTCAATATACATCTCCTGAGAATAAGCGCATTATGCATAATCACAGCACTATGATTACACTTAAGCTTAACATTTAGTAATATCTGATATACATTCCATGTTTAATTTTTCTCACTTGTCTCAAAAATATCTATTTTAGCACTCTGATTTTTCTATTCAGAATTTAGTCAAAGTTCATGTATTGCGTTTAGTTATGTCTCTAATCTAGAATAGCCCCTGCTTTTTTTTGGTCCAGATCAGTTATTTTGTAGAATATCCTATGTTCTTTCAGCCTGAAGAATCTAAAGTGTGTGTGTGTGTGTGTGTGTGTGTGTGTGTGTGTGTGTGTGTGTGTGTATTTGGAGACCTCATCTCTAAAAAAATATAAATGTTAGCTCTGTGTGTGGGGGCATTCCGCTGTGGTCCCAGCTCCTCCTGAGGCTGAGTTGGGAGGATCACTTGAGCCCAGGAGTTGGAGGCTTCAGTGAGCCATGTTCATGCCACTGCACTCCAACCTGGGTGACAGAGTGAGATCCCAACTCTTAAGGGATATTCTAGATTTATCTTCTTGTTTTCTCTTCAGTAGATTAGCAAGAATATTATATAGGAAGTAAATATCTTACATTGCATTAGGAGCCTGGAACTGTAGGTTGTTCTAATATTGGGGTTGCTGAGTTGAGACATTTGGTAAAGGGATGACCTGCTAGATCTTCCTCTTATGCAGCAAAATTACAAATGTCAGTTGTGATCAACATGTAATTTGTGGGGTGGTGCATTGAATATGTGTTTTGACTATCCTCTTCAACAACCCTTTCACCTGAGGGTTTTAGCATCCATTGATTTCCATGTCATGATTATGACCCAAATATGACTGTAATCAACAGACCTGCTAAACAGAGTTCCAGATTCTTTACGGTTCTTTTTGTCCTTACAGTATATCTCTCAAAGAATGTATCGGAGTACTTTTCCGTTGGTTGTGTTTTCAGTACAATGTATTATTAGAATTATTTGTTTGTGTTTGTATTTAGTTTTAGGGTTTGCCCATTTTTCATATATATATATATATATATATATATATATGTATATATTTTTTTTTTTTTTTTCTTGAGATGAATTCTCACTATGTTGCTCTGGCTGGACTTAAACTCCTGGGCTCAAGCCAGCCTCCTACTTCAGCCTCCCAAGCAGCTGGGACCATAGGTGTGTGCCACCATGCCCAGCTAGATAATTTTTTTAATACGTAAATGTCCAAAATATAAAAGGTGTACTCAGGCCTCAGTCCTACCCCTTCATTTTTATTAGTTTCTGGTTTACTCTTCCTATGTTTTTTTTTTTGTAAAAATATGTGAGTGCATATCAATTTCCCTTTATTAAGTAGCATAATATGTCTTGGAAGTCAATTCATGGGTTTTGCTCACCTTATTTTTGGGGAAGGTAAATTTTGTTGACATATAACATTAAAATGTGTACATGTAAGCAAAAAGCTTGGTGAATGTTTAGAAAATGAATATATCTGAATAACCAGCATCCAGGTTAAGAAATAAGATGACCAGAAGCCACCTTCAACTCTCCTGCACTCCAGGGTAGCCATTCTCCTGACTTTTATGTTGTAGATTAGCTGTGCCTGTTTTTGTATTTTATCTACATGGAATCATACCACATGTGTTCTTTTGTGTCTGGCTTCTTTGTGTCACATAAAGTGTGAGAGATTCATTCACGTGGGTGCATGCAGTTCTAGTTTATTTATTCCTGTTGCTGTATAGTATTCCAAAATCGGAATAGGCTACAAATATTTAATCTCTTCTGAGTTCTTTCTAGTTTTGGACTATAACAAATGTTTTCTCATTCTTTTTTATGGTCTCATGGTACTCATCCATGGGAGTGAGTATAAAAATGTATTCAACCAGTCTCCTTTGGATGGTCATTTAGGCTTTTTTCCCTAGTGTTTTTCTACTACAAATATTATTGCACAAGATTTTGAATAAACTTGTGCATTATAGTATGGAACATGTTTTTAAAAGCTTTATGAGGAATGAGAGTAACAGAACATTTTGGGGGGAAAGCTAATCTTTTTGGCAGTGCTGCTCAATTGGTGGAAAGGAATGACTGAGCTTTTCTTAGGAACAGGTTAGTGCAGTGAAACTGGTTAACTTACAGTATTTTGGGTTCCTCTCAGAAAGGAGGAGGGGGCTAATGCAAAATAAAGAGAAGGGCTTGAAATCCATCTCCATGCCTCCTGGAGCACAGCCAAGTTCAGAAAACTCTATATTGTCTCAACTTATTATTATTATTTTTTAAATTCAGATATTTATTATGCATCCTCTGTGTTCCCAACACACCATTCTAGCCACTGGGGGTACAGCATTAAAGGAAGTAGGCAACAGCCTTGCCCTAATGGAGCTCACATTCTTATGGGGGACAAGATAAATTTTAAAATATGTTGTATGTTAAGTAGAAAACCAAAGCAGAGGAGGGTGATTGGTGTTTGGGTGTGAGTGTGTGTGTGTTGTATGTTTGCATATGTTGGGGGTGAGATACAGATTGTAAAAAGTGGTCAGGAAGGGAATGGTTTCTTTTCTGGTTCTGAACCCTCTTTTAGCTTACCAAGCCAACCACAGCAAACATTAAGGATACACATTAAGGTTCAGTGAGAAAGGAGGAGGTTTTCCTGTTAGAATCAGAAGCAGAGAGGAAGAAAGGCACCATTGTGTGGCCAAGAGGTGGCTGAAGGGCAGGAAACCCAGTCCTTCGCCCCCGGAAGCTGTCCAGTTAAGCCATGGCCCAAGGCTGCTAACACTGGCATCTGAATGGAAATTTCTAATTGTGTAGACCTGAATGGGGCTTATTTTTCTCAACTGAATTATGGTTATATATAAGAGATCCCTCCTCCTAGATATGAGGCTGGATAATAATTACATTGTCTCATGAAAGTGTAAAACAAATTATTAGTAAGTGTGAATTTGTGTTAAATGTTGTCGCATTTACCACACTGCATTGTAATTTGTTGAATTTTGTCTATACATTACTCATCTATTCAGCGTTGCCTTATGCATACTTGGCCTCCAGTGCCCTCGTACGGTGCCTGAAAAGCACACAGTGAAGGAGGTGCTCAGTAGAGACTCGTTGAAACTGGAGGATTTAACCACTGCACACCAACTTAAAATTGTTTTTTTTAACTGTGATTCAGCCACTGTTGCGCAGGACCATATTATTAGAAAGTACTGCTTTCAGAATTTTCAAAGTTAGCTGGGTGCGGTGGCTCACGTCTGTAATCCCAACACTTTGGGAGGCCAAGGCAGGCAGATCACCTGAGGTCAGGAGTTCAAGACCAGTCTGGCCAACATGGTGAAACCCCATCTCTACCAAAATACAAAAAATTAGCTGGGCATGATGGCAGGTGCCTGTAATCCCGGCTACTCAGGAGGCTGAGGCAGAAGAATCGCTTGAACCTGGGAAATGGAGGTTGCAGTGAGCCGAGACGCGCCACTACACTCCAGCTTGGGCGACAGAGGGAGACTCTATCTCCAAAAAACAAAAAGAAAAAAACAAAGTAAAGCTCATCAAAATATATGCAGCAACTCAGTTCACCTCTCTGGTTTTGATTTCTCTAACCATATGACCTTGGGCAAATTACCCCCTGGAGGACTTGACTTCCTAATCTAAAATAAACACTCAAGATGATATCTACTTCACAGAGATGTGAATTTTGAATGAGATAATTTAGATTGAAAGCAACATGTGTATGCATATGTACTTCCTACTTTAGGCCAGAGCCATGGCCTAAGTTTATTAACAAGACTGCTTTTTTTGTTGTTGTTAACCAAACAGCATCTCACTGTTGCCCAGGCTGGAGTGCAGTGGCACGATCATGGTTCACTGCAGCCTTGATCTGAGTGAGTGGCTGGGACTACAGGCGCACACTACCACACTCGGCTAGTATTTTTAAAATCTATTTTTGTAGAGACGGGATTTTGCTGTATTGCCCAGCTGGTCTTGAACTCCTGGCCTCAAGTGATCCTCTTGCCTCCGACTCCCAAAGTGCTGGGATTACAGATGTGAGCCACTGCGCCCAACCGGTAACAAGACTTTTAATAGAGACACCTGAAAGGTCCTACAGTTTGATTTGTATAACCAACTACATGAGCATTGCACAGGAGAAGGGCAATTTAGCATCTCTAAAAAGATTAAGGGGATTTTGCTTCTAGCAAGCTTGATATGAATTAGTAATAGGATGTGACTGCTGTTTACCAACAACATTCAGCAAAGATTGATTGATTGATTACCTAACCATGTAATGGACGTTTAAAAAGTCTATTCATAGAAATATCCAAAACTGAATTTCCCAAAGTAAGTTCTGCAGAGACTCACTTGATGTTCTGGTTTGGGAAATGGCAGGCTAAATAACTAAACATCTCTCTTCTGGGAATTTCTGGGCCTTGAGTTATTGTGCATTGTGAATCTCCAAAAAGGGGCTTGCTTTTACAGATCTTTGGTAACAGGTGGAACAGGGCTGCTGGTGGTTTGTGTGTTTCTAGGCTCATCCTATTGCATCTGGACAACTCCGTTAGTGTGGTCACAACTCTTTGTCAAGTGTAGACAACTGGGCCAGTATGCAGAGAGCGCAGCCTGGATGGGGAGTGAGGTTGTGATGATGAAGTTGTGATGATGAAGATGTGAAGTTGTGTGAAGTTGTGATATGGGAGGGGCACACATAGAAGGGGCCTGAGTGGGAGAGGGTGTCTGGGGAAGGTTGAGAGAGAACCAGTGGGCAAAAGTGACTGGGCCAGCCTGGCCAACATGCTGAAACCCCGTCTCTATGAAAAATACAAAAATTAGCCAGGCATGGTGGCATGCACCTGTAGTAGTCCCAGCTACTTGGGAGGCTGAGGTATGAGAATCACTTGAACCCGGGAGGTGGAGGTGCAGTGAGCCAAGACTGAGACTCTGTCTCAAAAAAAAAAAAGAAAAAAAGAAAAAACAAGTGACTGGGAAACATTTTGTACCCAACCAAAGTAGGTTTTCTTTGCTGATGGCCATATTTTCCCTGTTGACTCTGTGTTCTTGGAGGTCATAGTTCCCCAGTAGTGGGAAGCATTCGATGATATTGGTGAGTGTTCCTTAAAATGCCATCCAATCCCAAGTTGTGGATTTGTGATTATTTCCTTTTGTTTGGCAATCTTTACTCCCTCAGTTTTTATTTTTTTAGCATTGTGCTAGTTCCTTTCGATAATTAGAAAAAAAAATACTATGTGGTTTACGTTAATTTATTAGTTGAATGACGAGACTAACACGAGACAGTTGTTAGTGAATTAAGTCAACATGGAAACAAATCCAAGTTTTGATAGTCTGTAATAGACCATCACAGAAACTGGAGAAGGGGGGAGACTGACACGGTACTGAAAGCTTCCTCAAGAGGTCTGTGAACTGGGGTTTGAAGGATTAATGGGATTTGCACGGCAGAAAGAATAGACTCCTTGCTGTAGCAGCAGCTCAGGGATAAAGGCAAGAGACGTAAAAGACTTTTGAGCAGTAACAGTGTGGATAAATCTGTAATTAAGAAAGGTCAAGAAAGATCCATCTGGCAGCTTTGTGCAGGAGATGAAGATGTGAGAGCTATCTCCTTAAGAGTAAGCATTTAAGCCATGTGGGTGCTTGAAATCTTTCAGAGAGAGGTTGTGGCTAGAACATGGATGAGTGAGGTATAAAAGCTTAGTGGTTAAGAGCACAGACACACCTGGTTCAAATTCTAGTGCTCTCAGTTGACCTTTGTGAAGATACTTGGAGAAACTGAAGCCTAGAAGTTGTTTGTAAATTGGATAGTATTACTTGCCTCTTAGGATAATTATGAGGATTAAATGCAGTAAGGAATTATGTAATTAAGTACTCAATAAATGTTGCTTATATTTATTATGTGGCCAGAGTTCCCTAGAGCAGTGGTTATAGAAGTGTGGTCCTTAGTCCAGCACCATTTATCACCTGCGAGCTTGTTACAAGTGCACATTCATGGGCCCCACTCAGACCAGATGCATCAGTCTGGGTAGTGGGACCTAGGAAACAGGCTTCTTAAAAGCACTCTGGGGGATGGGTGGGAAACATTAGAGAATGACTGCCCTAGAGGAATCCTCCAGTTGGGATGCAAAGCTAAGAAAGGGAGAGTGTTTAAAGGAGGGGCTAAGCAACTGTGTCCTTTGCAGTGCAGAGGAAAGGAGGTAGTGAGTTCTTGGCGGCACCTTACTATAAGCTTTACACAAGATTTTCAATAAATACAATAAAAGCTTTACACAAAATTTTCAATAAGACAACTGGTTTAGTAATATGTTGGGATGAAAGGAAGATTTCAGGGCAGTGGGAACATACTGCACAGCCCAAATGATTAAAAACAACAACAACAACACAGGACTGAATTAGAAATGTGATATTAGATGAAGTTTAAGTCTTAGGTTTAACAAGTATTTGTGGACTGCCCCCCTACTGTGACTGGCAGTGTCCTATCTGCTGGAAATAGAGAATGAGGTGTTACTCCTGCTTTCAGAGACTTCACACAGTTATACTTTTTTTTAATAATTGGAAGCTGTCTTTTTTCCTTAAAATCTTTCCTAGCTACTAGAGAATAAACACAATATCTGATCTATTCTCCGACGGTGCCAGAAGTTAAGCATAGGGCTGTCTCCCAATCAATGCAAGGCCGCATTTGAAACTGCTCCCTCATTTCGGAAAGCATTCTGAACACTGGTCCTTTTTGCTTATTATTTTATGGCTTGGGATATACCTTAAGAGATGATTTGAAATCTTTCGAAAGATTTCAATGTCCCTGTTTAATGTTGGCCACGTGGGGTTTTTGACATTATGCTAACCCACCCCACCTCTGTCATTCCCAGTATAAAGCACCAAAAGCACTAGCTTGAAATACAGTGACTTCTAAGCTTCGTCCATTATTCCATTCAGTCATTGTTTGCTGCGCATTATGTACAGGATACTGCTTTAATAGTGATGAAACCTAATGTCAGCCAAGTGTTTTGTCAAAGAGCCGGAATCCACATCCCAAGGCCAGATGTATTGAGTGTGGAGGAGGCACTGGGGCCTGGTCCCGAGGTTAGCCAAGCGGTTAGATGAATCCACCCCCAGACACCCACAAAGTTTAGATTTGTAAATGTTCCACCCCTGTAACACATCCCCCTTTCACAATGACAAAGGCAATTTGAGGGAATTAGAGTGACTGGTTAAGAAACTATGTTTTACAATCTCACTGTTTCTTGAAAATAGATGGCATAGCAGTGGAGTTTGCAAGTAGAATATAGGGATTACATTTTGACGTGTTTGTGAGCTTCTAGTTTTGTATCATAGAGAGACTTCAGGAAAATGCAAGTGGAGATCACTTTCCAAAGAAGACAAGATTGGCAGGTTAATCTGAACACTCATTTGTTAAGAGCATGTTTTAATTGACCTTGGACTGTGCTCTTTCCCTATTGCTTTGGACTTTTGGGCTGGGATGGGTGGATAGTGAGGACTGCAAATAGTCTTTCGTTACTCCTTTTTCTTTCCAAATCTCCCAAGGGTAAGTGATTGGAGCCTCAGTCTACCACTTTGAAAAGGTTGCCAAGACCAGACCGTGGCTTCAGACCATGGCTTCAGTGCTTCTAGCAGTCAGAGAGTCAGTGGTTTCTTTTCTCTATGAAGAACCATGAACTAATTCTGAGAAGGTGAACTTAAAGAGAGCAGAAACCTTTAAAAAAAAAAAGTTTTAACTAATTCATAAAGGTCTTTCTTCTGATGATCAGAGTGCTAGAATACAGATTGGGTATTTGGAGAAGAGATGGAATATATTTTTTTTTAAGTTGATGCTTTTTCTAGAACTGTTGGATATTGACAGAAATTCCTCTAAGCTCTACTAGCTACCCAAAAGATGTTGGTGTCCTGAAAGGTATGGAAAATAGAGTTATGGTCATGTAGGGTTTTAAAAGAACTAAAAGAGGCTTTAAAAGTCCAAAAAGAAAAAAAAATCCATAGCTATGTGGTATGTTTTTTTAAATGATTGCTTCTGAATCCACCTCTTTTTCCCCTTTTTGCTTTCTGCAGTGAACACCTACCTCTTCATGATGCAAGCCCAAGGCATTCTGATCCGGGACAACGTGAGAACAATCGGTGCTCAGGTTTATGAGCAGGTGCTTCGGAGTGCTTATGCCAAGAGGAACAGCAGTGTAAATGACTCAGGTATATTTTTAGTAAAGAGGTGGTCTGATTAGAATGTCTCCTCCCAAGAGAGGTAAATTCGGTTGCAATAATTATTTTCAATGGGAAAAGCGCATTGTAAAAGAGGGATTTGGCTGAGTTTTACTTTACTGCTAAAAAAGCTCTTGCCAAATGAATCCTCGTTCATTTTTGTTAACAATATGACTCAGTCTGTTTGTGTTGCTATAAAAGAGTACTTGAGGTTGGATAATTTACAAAGAAAAAGGATTTATTTGGCTTATGGTTCTGCAAACTATTCAAGAAGTGTGATGCCAGCGTCTGCTTCTGGTGAGGGCCTCAGGCTGCTTCCACTCTTGGTGGAAGGGGAAGGGGAAGCCTGTGTGTATGGTGAGAGGAAGCAATGTGGCAGGTGAGAGGAGGGCAGGGCCAGGCTCTTCTTAACAACCAGCTCTTGTGGGAGCTAATAGAGGAGAACCTACCGCAACAGCAGCAAGCCATTTGTGAGGGATCTGCCCCTGTGAACCAAACACCTGCTGTAGGCCCCACCTCCATCATTGGGGATTACATTTCAGCATGAGGTGTGCAGGGGACAGACATTTAAACTATAGCATAATACATTAAGAGTGACTGGATGACTACTTCTTTTTTTTTTTTTTTTTTGAGACGGAGTTTTGCTCCTGTCATCCAGGCTGGCATGCAACGGGTGATTTCGGCTCACTGCAACCTCCACTTCCCCAGTTCAAGTGATACTCGTGCCTCAGCCTCCTGAGTAGCTGGGATTACAGGAGCATGCCACCATGCCTGGCTAATTTTTGTATTTTTAGTAGAGATGGGGTTTCACCATGTTGGCCATGTTGGTCTTGAACTCCTGACCTCAAGTGATCTGCCTGCCTCGGCCTCCCAAAGTGCTGGGACTACAGGCATAAGCCACTGTGCCAGGGCTCTTTCTTTTCAACTCTTTCAAAAACTGAATACAGGAAGGAAGTAATACTTCCACATGATTAAGTGGGACTCTCTTGAGGCCTCTCTAGTCCAGCCAGGGATGGTTTTTATTTAAAAAATAGATTCTGAGATTTCATCTTACTAAGGATTCATGATTCGCCTCATTTCTGTAACTGAGGACTAATGTGCTTTCTGGGTTTGTTTGGGTTTTTTTGAGATGGAGTTTTGCTCTTGTCACCCAGGCTGGAGTGCAGTGGTGTTAATCTCGGCTCACTGTAACCTCCACCTCCCGGGTTCAACTGATTCTCCTGCCTCAGCCTCCCGAGTAGCTGGGGTTACAGGTGTGCGCCACCATACCTGGCTAACTTTTGTATTTTTAGTAGAGACGGGGTTTCGCCATGTTGGCCGGGCTGGTCTCAAACTCCTGACCTCAGGTGATCCGCCTGCCTCGGCCTCCCAAAGTGTTGGGATTACAGACATGAACCACTGTGCCCGAGCTTTTTTTTTTATTCTCTTGAGATGGCATCTAAGTTTGTCTCCCAGGCTGGAGTGCAATGGCATGATCTTGGCTCACTGCAGCCTTGACCTCCCAGGCTCAAGTGATTCTCCTGCCTCGTCCTCCCAAAGTGCTAGGATTAAAGGTGTGAGCCACCGTGGCTCATTTTTTGTATTGTTTGTAGACATGGCTAATTTTTGTATTTTTTGTAGACACGGCTTTCACCATGTTGCCCAGTCTGGTCTTGTACTCCTGAGCTTAAGCGATCCACCTGCCTTGGCCTCCCGAAGTGCTAAGATTATAGGCATGAGCCACCATACCCAGCCTCCTATGGCTTCTTAATGATTTCGTCTAAGCCCAATATTTTAAAATACTTACATTTAAAAAAAAATTCTCCCTCTAAATCAGTCCTCTCTTCTTCTCTAATAAGTTACAAGATTTTTGGAAGTTCACTGTCGAATGTGAAATTGCTTTGCAAATGTTGCAAATGCGAATTATTCTGTGGCGCTTAGAAAATCAAGAGAAAACATTGCCTCTCTTAAAAGAATTGCCTCTCCTTAAAAGAATTGACCACATCCTAATTTATCAGTTTCCTTTGCCGTCCACTTTAGCAACAGAGGACTGTAGTTAGCAAACTGATAAACTTTTGATACTTTCTTGTTGGCAAAGAACAAGTGAATGACATTTCAGAGCTTTTTAGACAAATTGTGGTCGCACTGGGTCAAGTTACCTGAGCTCTGAACCATACCTGGGAGAGGAAACCCTGCAGTTTCCGTCTTGCATGTGGTGGTAGGTTTTGCACAATCCGCACACACATTCTCACTCGACTCATGTGGCTCTGTCAGTTAAGGCAGAATTTTATGCTGTTTGCATTTTTCACACATAGTACATATAATCTTGGGGAAGATGGCGCAGCTTGATCATGTGACTCTTTCCCTAAACCCTGCCAAAATCCTGCTTCTAGTTAGGTGAAGAAACGAGGCAGTACTGACTGCCCTTCCAGAGCGCTCTCCCCTGTATAGCACTGAGTAAGGGAACATTTGTGTCCTCATGACATTTATCCAGTCCAGATGTCATACTTCTGCAGTGTTAGATGAGGCTGGAATATCTGTCTCTCTGGGCATTTGGCAGTACTGGCAGTTCTCTCAGAAGTTAGAGGGGCATGCAGCAGGACCCCATTTCCACACCACTGCCGGTCTGGCAACACAGGATTGCGCTACTTCCTGAGTTGCTGTCTTTGAAAACTGAGTACAGAGGTGAGTTTCACCCTTGGAGGGTGTATCCAGTGACCCGTTATTATTGAACTTGGTGTACTTTTATTCTCAAATTATCATACACCCAAATACCTTTTCCTTGCATCTCTCTGGTTAGAACAATCTATTTTTTGTTAAACGTGTTTATTTCTCTAATAGATTGGAAGTCTGTGCCATCAGGGACTCTCTTACTGTTTATTAGATACTTGACTTACATGATTTCATGTAGTCCCTCACAAGAACCCAGAAGGTAGCTACTGTGTCCCCATTGTAGGGATAAAAGGAACAAGGCACATGGAAGTCATGGAACTTGATGCAGCAGCAGGGTTAGGGTTTGCTGATTCTCTGACTCCAGGGCCTGTGCCCTGAATCGCAGTAATGGCTTCATTCCTTTTGTCATCTTTGTATCCTTAGTACCTTATACACTGCCTCGCACATAGGAAGCACTTGGTAAGTTATTTTTGTATGCATGAAGGAATGAATTTAACAAGAAAGCACGTCTTAAGTGTTGTAGCATGTTTCTAAGGAGGTCACCATCTTGTGGAGCTGCTGTGTCACTGGCACATCTTTGGCGAGTAAGTACAGGTTGAGCATCCCCAATCAGAAAATACCAACTCCAGACTGCTCCAGAATCCACACATGATGAAACCTTGAGTGCCAACACGACACTTGAAAAAAATACTCAATGGAGCATTGCAGATTTCGGATTTTTAGATTGGGGTTGATCAACTGGTAAGTATAATGCAGATATTCCAAAATCCTAAAAAATCAGAAATCTGAAACACTTCTGGTCCTAAGCATTTCAGATAAGGGGATACTCAACCTGTACTGAAAAGAAAATAGCATTTCACTGAAAGTGTATTTAATGAAAACCCATCATTCTTCTTCATTTCAAAGCAGTTGTCTACCTAGCACAGTCAGAGAGGGTATTCTGGGCCCAGCACTGCTGAGACAGCCAAATGACTGACACCTCTGGCCCGACCACTTCTGCCTGGAGCACTGTTGGCTTAATGGTGGTAACCTGGATTATGCACCATCCTCTGCTGAAATAATGCTGAGGCACATACCCACATTCAGGCATCTGCATTAGGCCAAGCATAGCTCAAAAGCCCAGGGTGACATTTAAGTCATGCTGGTTTTCTTTAAGTTTAAAAGCAACATGGTGATTAGTGAATGAAAACAGACTTTTGGGGATGGGGTCTGTGAACCTGGAAATAAACCTGAAGTGGTGACCAGGAGAAGCTTCCTGTTGTCACTGAAAGCCATTGGTTTGTGAGATTGTGAATCTGCAGAGTGAGTAAAGTCATGCTGGTGTGCTTTGTAATCTATTAATGGAGTGGGTCATCTTCACCTCTTTCTCGGTGGTTTTAGATGTCCAGTCTGTAGTCTTCGATGTGGCTACCCTCCCAGTAGGTAGTCATCCTTTAATGGACTAACTCTTGAAGAATGCTAATTCTTTATATTTCACAGATATTTGTCCCAGTGGCATCTTTCTAGTATATATAAATTTCCATATTTTTTTCAAGCAGAGAGGCAAGTGTTTGGTCTTTTCTCAAATGGGAGGGGAAAGTGGTGATTCTTGCTGGGGTCCATTGGTCAGCACTTTCGATTCCTTCTCAACTGGATTTGGTAACACAAGGGAGAAGGCAGGTTTTTACCTCCTCCAGGTATTAGGGTAGCAATACCAAGCTTAGCTATACATTGGAATTCCCAAGGACGTTTCCAAAGTACTGATGTCTGTGCCTGACTGCTAGCGATTCTTATTTAATTGGCCTGAGGTATAGCCTGAATGTTAGAATTTTGTTTGTTTGTTTTTGTTTTGAGACAGTCTTGCTCTGTCACCCAGGCTGGACTGCAGTGGCACCATCTCAGCTCACTGCAACCTCCGCCTCCTAGATTCAAGTGATTCTCCTGCCTCAACCTCCTGAGTAGCTGGGACACCAGGTGGGTGCCACCACCCCCGGCTAATTTTTGTATTTTTAGTAGAGATGAGGTTTCATCATGTTGCCCAGGCTGGTCTGAAACTCCTGGCTTCAAGTGATCTGCTCACCTCGGCCTCCCAAAGTGCTGGGATTACAGGCATGAGCCACCACACCCGGCCTGGTGTTAGGATTTTTGAAAGCTTCTTAGATGATTCCAATGTGCAACCAAGGCTGCTGAACCACTGGTGTGAAGCAATGCTGAATAAGCAGTTGCTGTTGGACAGAAATGTTGGTCTGCAAGCCCATGATATCAGTAGCCATTTGAACCTGTAGGTAGGAGTCTGTTGTTTTCCCATTTTCTATCTATCTATCTTCTTTTTTTTTTTTGAGACGGAGTCTCGCTCTGTTGCCCAGGCCGGAGTGCAGTGGCACGATCTTGGCTTGCTGCAACCTCTGCCTCCCAGGTTCAAGCGATTCTCCTACCTCAGCCTCCTGAGTAGCTGGGATTACAGGTACCCACCACCATGCCTGGCTAATTTTTGTATTTTTAGTAGAGATAGGGTTTCACTATGTTGGCCAGGCTGGTCTCAAACTCCTGAACTCAGGTGATCCACCTGCCTTGGCCTCTCAAAGTGCTGGGATTACAGATGTGAGCCACTGTGCCTGGCCTGTTTTCCCATTTTCTTTTTTGAGACAAAGTCTCGCTCTGTTGCCCGGGCTGGAGTGCAGTGGCGGGATCTCGGCTCACTGCAGCCTCCACCTTTTGAGTTCAAGCAATTCTCCTGCCTCAGCCTCCTGAGTAGCCGGAGCTACAGGCGCATGCCACCGTGCCTGGCTAATTTTTTGTATTTTTAGTAAGAGACACAGTTTCACCATGTTGGTCAGGCTGGTCTGGAACTCCTGACCTTGGGTGATCCATCCGCCTTGGCCTCCCAAAATGCAGAGATCACCGCGCCCGGCTTGTTTTTCCATTTTCTAAATGTAAAAGCAGCTGCCTTCTTTGCCCTTCAAGAACATGTCCAGGTTTGAAATAGATTAGATTTAAATTAAAAAGTAAAACTGTGGCTGTAGAAATTCAACAGGCTTGTTTTTCTCTCAGCATTTTCCTCATTCAGTAGGTACATGCTTTAGAAGAGTAAGAAGTTATATTTGGAACTCCAAGGGGATAAGGTATAACCCCACCCGTTGCTGGACAGCTAGCAGGGGAGAAAAACAAGGGCTCCTCACGATAACTGCACATAGTTTTACCAGGTCGTGAGCAATTAATTTCCTCTGTCTCTTTCATTTTAAAAGGCCTCTATTGCTACTGAAAAGCAGACTTTGTTTGTTTGTTTGTTTATGATGGAGTTTTGCTGTTGTTGCCCAGGCTGGAGTGCAACCGTGTGATCTCAGCTCACTGTAACCTCTGCCTCCTGGGTTCAAGCGATTCTCCTTCCTCAGCCTCCTGAGTAGCTGAGATTACAAGTACCTGCCACCATGCCCGGCTAATTTTTGTGTTTTTTTTTTTTTTTTTTTTTTTAGCAGAGATGGGGTTTCACCATATTGGCCAGGCTGATCTCGAACTCCTGACCTCAAGTGAGCACCCCACCTTGGCCTTCCAAGTAGACTTTATTTTAATTAAAGTTTTATTTAAAAATTTTTAAACAAGAAATCAGGAAATTAAGCCACCCCTCCCAAGATGTAGAGTAAGTTTCTGGAAGATTTTTGCAATAGAGTTGTTGCGTATTTGAGGATTCTTAAAACAGTGACATATTATTAATTTAGTAATCAGAAGAAAAATAAATGCTTTTTTTTTGTTTCATGCTAGGTGCTACCAGGCTTACTGTATCATTGTTTGAAGGAAGTAGAAAGGAATTTATCTATCTTCAAAGAAACTCCAAATAGTAGAATCATTAGAGTTAGTGATATCTTGTCTCTTGCCTCATGTTTTTTAAATTCTAGTTTCCTGATTAGGTTCTAGCTCTAGGGCTTGGGTCAGTCATTGACCAGAATGATTATTATCTTCGTTTTTGTTGATTTGTTTATGAAAATATACTTAGTGTAATACTTTTGGGAATTTCATTGCCTTCTAGTGAATGTATTGACTGTGCCAATACATGTTTCCAGCCAGCGTCTCTTGCCACACATGGGCGTATCACAAACACAGGCACATTTTCTATTACTTGTGAGGTCTTTTAATTTTTTTCTAAAGGAGAATAATTTCATCTATTAGATTCATCCTGAGTAATAATTAGGATGAGGGGTTCTTCACATAGATTTTTGAAGTAGTTACTACCTTCAGAAGAAGATTCAACCCAGGCCAGGTTTGCATGTATGAGCTGAGCTCAGAGAATTTCTGTGTAAATATTATCTTTAAGGTTCTGTCTTGGTTCATGTTTTTGTTTTTGTTTTTTTTTAAGATAGGATCTCATTCTGTCACCCAGGCTGGAGTACAGTGGTGTGATCATTGCCCACCGGAACCTCGACCTCCCAGGCTCAGGTGATCCTCCTGCCTCAGCCTCCCGAGTAGCTGGGACCACAGGCGCGCACCACCAGGCCTGGCTAATTTTTAAAATTATTTGTAGAGACAGGTTCTCAGCATGTTTCCTGGGCTGGTCTTGGCCTCCTGGGCTCAGGCAATCCTCTTGCCTCAGTCTCCCAAAGTGCTGGGATTATAGGCATGAGCCACCCCACCCAGCCTGGTTTATGTCTTTATATAAATTAGTCTCTACTATTCTCTATAAATGCAGGCTTAGTGTTTTTCAGGAAAGCTACTACTGAAAAGGACAGAAAGCATTCTGTTCCTTCCCTTGTTAAGACACAGTTAAAATTTTCAAGTTGCCTCTCGTTGAATTTTGCCCCAGAGTACTTGCAGAGTAGGCAGCGCAGAGTAGGCAGCCGTGTGCATATATAAAAGGATTCAATGTGTTAGCCATTTGATTCTTGGAAACCTGCTCATAGTGCTTTTTCAAAAATATCTTAGTTGAAGATTCTAGAATTCTAGGGTACAAAGTGAATTTGAACAGGATGTTTTAATTTTCATAGAATCAGCATGGATCCAAAAGGATTTAATATTCTGTGAAAAAAATAAAAACAATACAGTATACTGGAAGGATCTCTCATTCAGAGTTTAGTTGGAGCTCTGTCATGCATTAGCCAGGGCTCCTGGTCTGAGTTCTGTGTATGTTGTTCCAGTTATTCATCTGTAGAAAATGAGGTTGGAGGACCCTCCTCCTACTCTACAAGTACAGTCCCCTAGGAAAAAGACATCTGCCATCACACTCTTCATATCCACTAACGTGACTCTAAAGGGGCATACATATGTGAGGGTTTTTAAATTATAAACCCTTGAGAATGAGAACACAAAAGGAGACCACAGCAAAAAACCTTGGTAGGTAGAAAGCAGAAGAACCACTGATAAAAGACTTAACAAACCCAAGAAAACTGACTGCTCAAAGCAGCAACAGGAGAACCAGCAACCACCCCAGGATCCCCCAGAAGCTCAGGAACTAGCAATATGGGAAGTAGGAGCAAAGGTGGCAACTAAAATAAAGGGAGATTGAAAGCTGTTAAAAAGCAGTCAGATACCCAGACCCATTTCCCCATCCTGGCAAGAGCTGGAGACTTAATAACCCCAGAGATGGCAAAACAGAGGCTCCTCAACCTGGGGATACCTGGCATGACCACAGTATTTGAAAAGATGGGGATTACATATGCCCCAGCCTCTTTCTCTTCTTTCTTAGTTTCAGGATGTTTATAGTCAGGACTCTACCATTCTGGCAGGAGATTCGAGTGGATTTCTCTGGAGAATCTGGTCAGACCAGGAGAAAAGACCCAAAGATATTGACACTGGAGATACCAATAAGAGAAAAATGACTGCAAACATGAAACAAGAATATAGTAAGAAATGAACATTCAGGAAACAAGAGCTCTTCAAAGTTAAAAAATATGATAGCAGAGATGATGATTAAAGGAAGGTTGAGTAAAGTTGAGGAAATCTCTTGGAAAGTAGGGCAGATAAATGGCAAGACGGAAAACTGGATAGAAAAGATGAGACAGAGGACTGGGAGGTCTCACATCCAACTCCTGTTCTGTATTCTCCAGAAAGGCAGCACAGAGTACAGAAGGGAGGAATCATCACCGAGAGAATACCTCCCCCCAAGCACATTTGGCATGGAAGAAGGCCAGAAGCTGCCACACCTCCTCTGGGAGGATGAAGTTGAGAGAATACCTAATGTATGTCTTAGGAGGAAATGTCTTGGTGAAAGGCGTGGTGTTGAATTAGAATCATTGCATATAAAACTGAGCAAACAGAAAAACAAGATGCATAACTTTCCACATTTCTCAGCGACGACTAGTACTTAACAGCAGCATCGTAATACAAAGACTGAAGATTGTCCTAACCACAGCTATGATATGTGACCGATGGGAGACTGGGGAATGGAAGGGGATCGTGTGGCAGGGGTGGCAGAAGGAAGGGGATAAGTGGGAGGTCGGTAGGTAAGACTGAAAACAGAAACATCACGACCAGCCGTAGAGGCTGACAGAGGTGAATACTGCATATAAATGCTGAGATACTTGGCCAAAAGAAGGGCAAGTGGTTCCTTTAGAAAACAGAAATGAGAGGAGGGCAACTGCTGTTTTTAAAATTACATTTAATTACAGTTGACTGTAAACTGAGTGCTGCATATAAACCTATAAAATCAATAGGAATAGGAACACTGGTTAAAATCTGCCATTTGGCTGACATTTTTATTGATGGGTTCACATTTTTAGCTGCATCAAAGCGGTAGTCCAGAGTCCTGTCTCCTTCTACCAAGATGATAGCTAAGAGAAAGACTTACTTGGTAGGCATCTGATAATTGCACGGTTGATCACACATACCAGTCTGATCGACTTTTTTCCTTTACCTCCCTAGATTATCCTCTTGACTTGAACCACAGTGAAACCTTCCTGCAAACTACAACATTTCTTCCTGAAGACTTCACCTACTTTGCAAACCATACCTGCCCTGAAAGACTCCCTTCCATGAGTGAGTACAGCTCTGGCCTGTCTTCCTCTGCTTTTAAAATGGATAAAGGGGAGGGCACTCTTGATCTCTCTGTCTGCCTGCAGAGAGAATATAAATACCTCCCTGCCATTGGAAACAGGGTTTGTGAAAGTTGTGCTCCTGGCTCCTCTTCAAAGCCTGCTGCAAGGTTGCCTGTGTTCTTGGGTGCCATTTTCTACCTTTCCTACTTTTTCACTCTTCCCTTTGCCCTTGCCTGTCCTTTGTAACTTGGGTTCTGTTTGAACTTCCTAGAGAAAGTATGAATACAGTCATTCATAGCTTAACAACGAGGGTACTTTCTGAGAAGTACATCATTAGGTGATTTTATTGTTGGGAGAACCTCCTAGAGTAAAATTCCACAAATCTAGATGGTGTAGCCTGCGACACCCCTAGGCTGTATGGTATGGCCTATTGCTCCTGGGCTGCAAACCTGTGCAGCATGGTACTATACAGTAATTGTAGCTCAATGGTAAGTATTTGTGTATCTAAACATAGAAAAGGTACAGTAAAAAATGAGATATAAAAGATAAAAAATGGTACAGCTGTGTAGGGTACTTACCATGAACGGAGCCTGCAGGAATGGAAGTTGCTCTGGTGAGTCAGTGAGTGAGTGAACGTGGAGTGAATGTGAACGTGAAGGCCTGAGACATGACTCTGCACTACTGTAGACTTTATGAACACTGAACACTTTGGCTGCACCAAATTTATTCAGAAAATATTTGTCTGTCTTTAATGGTAGATGAACCTTACTATTATACCTTTCTACTTTCTAAACTTGTGAACTTGTAAAAAGTTTTAAAAAAAACTGCAGCCTTGAACTCCTGGGCTCAAGCAACCCTCTTGCCTCAGCCTCCTGAGGAGCTAGGACTACAAGTGCCTGTTGTCAATGCCTGGCTAATTTTAAAATTATTATTATTACTTTTTTAAGAAATGGGGTGTTACTATGTTGCCCAGGCTGGTCTTGAACTCCTGGCCTCAAACAACCCTCCCACCTAGGCCTGGGCAACACGCTGCAGTGTGCCATGATCGTGCCACTACACTCCAGCCTGGGCAACAAAGCAAGACCCTGTTTCAAAAGGGTAAAATAATGATTTAAAAATATAGTATAATAAATATATAAACCAGTAACATAGTTTATTATCATTATCTAGTATAATGTACTCTACATAATTGTATGTGCTATACTTTTTTATTTTTGAGAGGGAGTTTTGCTCTTGTTGCCCAGGCTGGAGTGCAGTGGTGCCGTCTCCGCTCACTGCAACCTCTGCCTCCCAGGTTCAAGTGATTCTCCTGCCTCAGCCTCCCGAGTAGCTGGGATTATAGGCATCTGCCACCACGCCTGGCTAATTTTTGTATTTTTAGTAGAGATGGGAATTCACCATGTTGGCCAGGCTGGTCTTGAACTCCTGACCTCAGGTGATCCGCCCACCTCAGCCTCTCAAAGTGCTAGGATTACAGGTGTGAGCCACTGCTCCCAGCCTTGTGATACACTTTTATATGACTGGCAATGCAGTAGATTTGTTTATACCAGCATCACCAGAAACACTTGAGTAACACAACAATGCTATGGCAGCTATGTCATCACTAGGCAGTAGGAATTTTTCAACTCCATTGTGATCTTATGCAACCACCGTATATGCCATCCGTCACTGGTGAAAATGTCAAAGCACATCACTGTATAGGCAGTCAGCTTTGTCTTTTTAGTATAAACCTCTCACTGATTGTAGTGCTTGATCTTAGAGGTGGGGGTCTCACTATGTTGCCCAGGCTGGTCTCCAACTTCAGGGAGCAATCGTCCTGCCTCAGCCTCCTGAGAAGCTGGGACTACAGGCATGAGCCACCATGCCTTGCTTGGAAGTTATTTTCTTAACAAAGTGCTAGTTAAAACAATTCTTAGATCTTTTTGTTCTTTTTTTTGAATCTCGTGTAAGCTAAAACAAGGACAGTAAACTCTTATACCTTTCCTATACTTTTAGGCTTCTTAATATGGTTCCCCACTTCTTTTTTTAAAATTGTTTTTTTTTAAGAAGTGAGATCAAGAAAAGGAAAATCTTACATTTGCAAAGTTGACTTTTATGCACAAATATAGTGAAAATAGGGAAAATGTTAGAAATAGTCGTGCATGGTATTTGAACATATTCTCATCCATATATGAATAATTAATTATAAGTATGTAAGTTGTGTTGGAAGCCTTACTGTTTCATTTGCATGTCTCACCACACATATATAGGTTTTCCCTTTAAAACCTGCATTTGTCTGCATCTAGATGTAAGCTTAGTTTGGGAAGGCTGAGATTTGTGTATCAGAAATAGGCGTTGACAGGCCTAAAACTAATGTTATTAGTTCATTGTTTCAGTAGCATTTATTGATTGTTACTGTACCACTTCCTGACTTAAGTCAGAGATGACCAGCATTCTGAGTTAGGACATAATCACTCAGGGTCCTGACCCACTGGTGAATGGATTGAGAGAGGTAGTGTGGCTGCACTTGCATCAGGAGCAAACCTGACATGACTCTAAGCTCAGCTGCTTTTCTCCTTCTTCTCAGAAAAGCTCAGCTGCAGCCAGGTGCAGGGGCTCATAGCTATAATCCCAGCACTTTGGGAGGCCAAGGTGGGAGAATCACTGGAGCTCAGGAGTTCAAGACCAACCTGGGCAACATAGTGAGACCCTGTCTCTATTTATTAAAACATATTAATAAACAAAACAAAAAAAAAAGAAGGCTGGGCACAGTGGCCCACGACTGTAATCCTAACATTTTGGGTGGCCCAGGTGGGTGGATCCCTTGAGGTCAGGAGTTCGAGACCAGCCTGGCCAACAAGGTGAAACCTCATCTCTACTAAAAATACAAAATTAGCTGGGTGTGGTGGCATATGCCTGTAACCGCAGCTACTCAGGAGGCTGAGGCAGGAGAATTGCTTGAACCCAGAGGCAGAGGTTGCAGTGAGCTGAGATCACACCACTGCACTCCAGCCCGGGCAACAGAGCGAGACTGTCTCAAAAAAAAAAAAAAAAAAAAAAAAAAGCTCAGCTACTGTTTTACTTAAAGTTTTCATTTCTACCTGGCCCCTGACAGAAGCAGAACTCTAAAGTCTTAATTCCTTGATTTGCCTCTTCACCTTGAAAATAGTGAGGAACTGAAATACGGTGAGATGGAAAGCAGAGGAAGGGACTTCCATCCTTGCTAAAAACAAATTCAGCTGAAAAAGCATTGCGCTCTCCAGAGACTAAAACCCCAGGCATAGGGAAACCTATCATTTTCTGACCTCTTAATCCCTTTTCCCCGTCTCTGTTCAGAGGGCCCAATAGACATAAACATGAGTGAAATTGGAATGGATTACATTCATGAACTCTTCTCCAAAGACCCAACCATCAAGCTCGGAGGTCACTGGAAGCCTTCTGATTGCATGCCTCGGTGGAAGGTAGGGTGTGAAGTCACAGCCAAAATGCTGAGAAGCCCACCTGGGGTTTGCCTTTGGTCCGAATCACCATGGGATTAGCTAACCATGACATTTTGTCATTTTCATCCTACCATTCCATGCAAATGTAGAAACATTTTAGAGGAATGGGTTTCCACAAGGACTCTTTTTGTAGATACAGAAATTTGCATTATTCTGATGACCGAGCAAGACCCTTTGGTCTTCCCACCAGGAATATTAACAAAGCAAGGGGATGAGGGCGTTGGTGGTCTCTAATGACCCATTTGCAGAAGTCATCTACAGAGTCAGTGCTTCATTCCTGTTCTCCATTGGTTACTACAAGATTAGTGGATTAAAAAGCAAAGTTACCTGGCTTGACATTGAGATTTAGTTTTTTTCTGCCTGACCATAGTCAGAAGACATCAGTAGTTTTCGTTAAGCTGTGACCCCAGCTGAAGTCCATTCTTTCAACAAGTATCTATTAAAATGCGTATTCTGTGCCAGCCTCGTTAAGTGCTGCTGATGCAGCAGATCTGGAACACATCAGTATCCAGCCCATCGCTGGGAAATAAAAACAGTTGAATAACCAGCATTTGTACATTGCACATTGTAAGGGGAAATACTGTTTTGTGAAGCTTGTTTTAATTGTAAGTTTATAGATGTATTTTTGTCACAGTGTAGAATGTGTGTTTTCCTATGAGTTATGGCCTAGAATAAATTATAGGCCTACTATGTACTATAAGATATGGTATATGTAAGAATCACATTCATCTAGGTCCAAGGGCCAACTTGCCAACATAGATCTTTGTTTAGAGAAAGCTGAGGACAAGATAGCCAGCCTCCCAGAACTCCCATGGGTTGGTCAGCAATTCATCAGGGGTGTCCTGCTAAGGAGTGAAAGCTGAGAGTCCTAACTGTGCTTCTTTTGCTGTAATCCACTCCAGGTGGCGATCCTTATCCCCTTCCGGAACCGCCACGAGCACCTCCCAGTCCTGTTCAGACACCTGCTTCCCATGCTCCAGCGCCAGCGCTTGCAGTTTGCATTTTATGTGGTTGAACAAGTGAGTAGTCCTTTCTTTTCCTTTCTTTTTTCTCTTCTGAGACAGCAGTTTAGGTTGCTGCAAGCTAATCCACTGTTGGTGTGAAGAGCCAATAAAACTGAAATCTTAGGATCGAGTTGCCTGAGGTTTGAAGGGGGAGCAGAGAGCAATTCTGTGCTCCTGGTTTGAGATGTCTGTTGCCCAGTACTGGGCACACTTGAATCCAGGAGAGAGCTTTGTTGGCTCATGAACAAAGGCCTCTTGTATTATGGTTTTGTTGGTGCCTGCAGGCTCCAGACCCAGGAAGTTCCCCTTAAGATAAAGAGCTGCAGCAAGGTACAGCACAGAGGATGTGGCCTTGGAGTCAAGAGACCTCAGTGCTTGTCATGTCTGCTGTTAATCAACCAAGTGGCCTGGGACATTTGCAAACTTCTCTAAGCCTGAGGGTTTGGTTTTGTTTTAATCTTAAAAATATTGGTAGGGAACCAGATATAGAGGTCACAAACTGAAGAAGACCGCATGGCAAATTCAGTCTGTAAATCTTTTTTTTTTTGGTCCTGCATATATTTTATTTGCCTTTAGATGGAACATGACTGTCCTACTGTGGTTTTCTCTTGCCGGGCCTACTTTATATGTTTACATTACTGACTTGGCTTCTGTAGGCATTTTGAAGTATGTGATCCTTGAACTAGAGGTGCTATATCCATAGATAAACAAAAGGTTGACAGATTTCCCTGAATACACTGATCGTCAGTCTGAGGGTCTTTTGCATGCTCACCTCTCTCTATGGGCACACTTTTGAGTCTCACAGTCTGAGTTGCTGTTAAGTGGTCACCCTGGAGCTTGCCTTATACTGGAGTGAGAAAAAAGCTGAGCACCACTGTTCAGCAAGGCTGGGCATCTGGGAAA
Organism: Homo sapiens; assembly: GCF_000001405.40. Lineage (NCBI taxonomy): Eukaryota > Metazoa > Chordata > Mammalia > Primates > Hominidae > Homo > Homo sapiens. Next base: position 49,641,579 of record NC_000020.11, on the reverse strand, counting down.
TGCTAACGGTCTATCTGCCGGTCCTAAGTTGGGTATTTTGATAGTGGCAAGGGGGAGTCAATGTAGCTGTAACACTAATTAGGCTGTTAACTGATTTGAACTGGTTTCTTCATGAGCCACTGAATTCTTTGTCCATAGGCTTGAGTCCCTGGCATGCTCAGTGACTGTTGTCTTAGTTAGATCTTAAAAATAAAACAAGACAAAACTAAAAACCACTCTTTGTACTAGATTTGGTTTATGAACAGTTAGAGATTGGTTGATGTGCTGAAGAGCAAGTGGTAAGGAGTAGAAATGGTAGTGTTGTCTCTTCCCTTTGTGGAGCGGGGTACTCTTCTAAATGCTGGTACACGGTTGCATTTCTGCCTTCAGTAGCCTTGGGAGAGAGAAGCTTGCGTTTGCTATCACTTACATTTTTAAAGAAATTGGGGCCAGAGGTCCAGTGACTTTTTCTTTTTCTTTTTTTTGGAGATGGAGTCTTGCTCTGTCGCCCAAACTGGAGTACAATGGTGCGATCTTGGCTCACTGCAGCCTCCGCCTCCCGGGTTCAAGCTATTCTCCTACCTCAGCCTCCCAAGTAGCTGGGATTACAGGCATGCGCCACTACGCCTAGCTAATGTTTTTGTATTTTCAGTAGGGATGGGGTTTCACCATGTTGGCCAGGCTGGTCTCGAACTCCTGATCCGCCCACCTTGGTTTTCCAAAGTGCTGGGATTACAGGCGTGAGCCACTGTGCCCATGCCAGAGGTCCAGTGACTTCTGAGCCACACTGTGAGTTGATTTGTGGTGTTGGACCTGGTTACACTAGCCCAGTGATCTTTTCCAGTTGGTTCTAATAAACTCGTCTTTAGGCACAGGAAAGACAGCAAAGATTTTCCTTCAAGATTCTTTTAAAGATAAAGTTCTGTTTCTTTTAGGTTGGTACCCAACCCTTTAATCGAGCCATGCTTTTCAACGTTGGCTTTCAAGAGGCAATGAAAGACTTGGATTGGGACTGTTTGATTTTTCATGATGTAGATCACATACCGGAAAGTGATCGCAACTATTATGGATGTGGACAGATGCCGAGGCATTTTGCAACCAAATTGGATAAGTATATGTATCTGTGAGTATCATTTCTTCTTAATTAAAGAGGTTAAATCTGAAAGGATGGTGAGCGATGTGAAAAGGAAATCTAATTAGCTGCAACCTAGATGCCCATCAACTGATGGATGGATAAACAAAATGTGTGTATCCATACAATTGGAGCACTGTTTGGCAGGAGAAAGCAATGAAATACTGATACGTGCCAAAACACGGATGAACTTCGAAAACATTACGTTAAAGAAGCCAGACACAAAGGTTGTGTATCATATGATTCCAGGTGTCTGAAATGTCCAGAATAAGCAAATCTATAGTGACAGAAAGTAGATAAATGGTTATAAGGGGCTAAGGAGGATAGGAGGAGCAGGGGGTGATTGCTAATGGGTGCAAGGCTTTGCGGGGGACAGTGATGAAACATGTTAATATAGATTGTGGTCATGGTTGCACAATTCAGTGAATAAACTAAAACCATTGAATGATATACTCTAAATGGGCCAATTGTGTATGGGTATGTCAATTATATCTCACTAAAGCTATTAAAAATCAGTTTGCAAAAATTAATTTTGCTAATTTGATACATTCATATGGTTCAGGTCAGGAGCACAGAGAGCACTGTTTTTAGTCCTCAAATGAGAACCTTCTAGGGAAAACAGTTACCCTGTAACACACAGATGATTGATGTCCCACATCTCCTCCTAGGCTTCCTTATACCGAGTTCTTTGGCGGAGTGAGTGGCTTAACAGTGGAACAATTTCGGAAAATCAATGGCTTTCCTAATGCTTTCTGGGGTTGGGGTGGAGAAGATGACGACCTCTGGAACAGGTACCTCTGCCGTTCTTTCGGTGTCTTCTAGAAATGCTACCTTAGACTGCAGACCAATACTATCCGATAGGAATATAATGCAAGCCATGTGTGTAATTTAACATGTTCTAGTAGCTACAGTTTAAAAGGTTAAGGAAAAAAATGAAATTGACCAGCTGTGATGGCTCACACCTGTAATCCCAGCACTTTGGAAGGCCGAGGTGGGAGGATCACTTGAGCCCGGGAGTTCGAGGCCACAGAGAGCTGTGCCACTGCACTCTAGCTTGGGTGACAGAGTGAGACCTGTCTTAAAAAATACACACACACACACACACACACCACACACATCCAAGTTTTTAGAAAATATCTTTAATCTTAATTTAAAAATATCTTAATATCTTAAAAAACAAACTGTATATCCCAACAAAGCAGCTATTTTCATTTTTCTCCTTTGACATGCGAAAATCAACAAATTATAATTTAGCAATTTTTTCTTCTAATAAATAATACGTTCATTATAAAATACAAATGAGTATAAAAATAAATTACCCACAACAATAAGTAACATGTTACCATTTCATTGAGTTTATTTTGTGTTTAAAAAGTGGCAAGTGAACAGTAATTTAAAATCTCTGTGTGTCAGTTTTTAAAATCACAAATCTCAGGATTGTGAGGATTAAATGATGTAATGTGTATAGAGCTCTGGCATATCTGATATGTGATAAGCTCTCAATAGGTGTTACTGTTTTTATATCAACATTAAATACTCTGTAAACAGGATCTTAAGTGGCTCCATTTAATTCGGTTATATAGATGTACTGTAATTTATGTAACTATTTCCTGGTGTATATTTAGAATCTTTTCCATTTTCCACTATTTAGAGTGTGATATAGTAGATAATTCTTTTGCCTGTTATTCCTATTTAGGAAAAATTCCTATAAGCGAATGTAGTCATTTTAAGGCTCTTTTTTTTTTTAAGCTCTGTCCTTTAATGGATGCAAATAGGGTTTTTAAGGCATATTATAACTAAGTGCCCCTCCTGCTAAAGGTTCTAACAAAACTTTTCACTTCACCAGTGTTCTCTGTACTAAATGCCCATTTCATTGGAACCACTCCAAACTGAAGGGTGGAATATTAGTGATATGTCTACATAGATTTAGCTGCGCCATCACATAAGGCTTGTACTGTACAAGCTTGGGTGAACAATCCTGTGTGTGAGTGGAATAAAGTAATATTTTTATGGAGTAAGTAAACAGTAACCTCATAAGGAACAAATGCAAAATACTACCTGGTATCTGTTTCCTTTGTAGCTTGGCTTTTGAAAAGTATGTGTTTGTTGTTAATTACAAGGACTATTTTGCTAATAAAAATTCAAATGATAGGCTGAGCACTGTGGCTCACACCTGTAATCCCACCTCTTCACAAGGCCTAGGCTTGAGGATCACTTGAGCCCAGGAGTTCAAGACCAGTCTGGGCAACAGTGAGACCTTGTCTCTACAAAAAATAAAAAAAATTAGCCTGTTGTGGTGGCACACGCCTGTAGTCCCAGCTACTCAGGAGGCTGAGATGGGAGGACTAATTGAGCCTGGGAGATTGAGGCTGCACTGAACCATGATCACCTCACTGTACTCCAGCCTGGGCAACACAGTGGACCCTGTCTCTTAAAAAAAAAAAATTAGATGATACAAGTGTCTAAGTATTAATCCCCATTTTGATTCTATTTTATTCCCTGGAAGTAACCATTTCTTTCCGTACTTTTCTTTTCTTTTTTGAGACAGATTTTCTTTCTGTTACCCAAGCTGGTGCAATTTTGCTCACTGCAACCTTTGCCTCCCGGGTTCAAGTGATTCTCCTGTCTCAGCCTCCTGAGTAGCTGGGATTACAGACCTGCACCACCACGCCTGGCTAATTTTTTTTTTTTTTTTTAAGTAGAGATGGGGTTTCACCATTTTGGCCAGGCTGGTCTCGAACTCCTGACCTCAAATGATCTGCCCACCTCGGCCTCCCAAAGTGCTGGGATTACAGGCACGAGCCACCTAGCCCAGCCTATTTTTTCCGTTCACATAAAAACTTTAATTCAGTTAAAATTGAGTTTTAACTCAGTTTTTAAGAAATGACACAATGAGTCAGTTAAGCGGGTGAGAGCTTTTGCTGTGTGTGATTTCCAGGGTAAGCTTGTAACATGTCTTGTAGGCTTTGGTCACTCCTGGGCTATTACCGTTGTATCTAAAAGCCTGTTCTCTTGGTCTTGGACAGAGTACAGAATGCAGGCTATTCTGTGAGCCGGCCAGAGGGTGACACAGGAAAGTACAAGTCCATTCCTCATCACCATCGAGGAGAAGTCCAGTTTCTTGGAAGGTTGGTGGAATTTATCTCTGTCTCTTAGAAGTATCCCCTATACTTTCATGTCCGGATATCTTAGAGCATATTACAGCCCCTTCTCCTACTCCCCACCCCGAGGCCCTGTTCTGACAGCTGTTTGACAGCTGTTGCATGTATTCTAACTCTGAGGCAGAACAGTGTGGGGATCAGACCGTTGGTGAACATTTTCAATAGTAAGATTCTTCGAAGGAAATCACTTGTCCTATGTCTTCAGCCTTGTGGTCTCCACAGTAGCCTTTGGGGAATTTGGGAAGAAACAGCTTGGATGAAGGTCCCTGAGGTGACAGAGCAGTGGCGCCCTTTCCGCAGGCTCCCGTTCCGAATGGTGTCCTGAGCTTCTGTCTGGGTGGCTGCAGTTGCTGTGTTACCTTTTCTTTCTTTGTGTGTGTGTGTGTGTGTGTGTGTGTGTCTTTTCTAAATTGTGGGGAAGACTGTGCTCTAGACAACCAATTCTAATTGCTGAAATTCTGTTTTCATGGGAGTAAAATGGCACTGAATACAGAGTATGAACTTTCTCATCTGTTGTATTTTTAATGCTTTACCTCCCACTTCCCCACTCTCTGACCTTGGGCAAGTTACCTCACATTATTAAGCCTTGGCTTCCTCATTTGCTAGCAGGGGCTGGCGTGAGCATTAAATGAAATAATTAAGTGAAGCACCTGGCATGAAACACAGGAGGTGTTTCTGACCACAGCACTCAGCCTGGCATAGCAGAATTGGCCGTGCGCCCACCTTGTGCTGCAGAAGTGCTGCCATGGGTTGCGTCCTCTGCTGTGGGACGCCCTGCTCCATCCTCTGGCTGCAGAGGCATGGATCCTCACTCAGAGCCACCTCTTCTCTGTTCCCTCCCTAAACAGGTATGCTCTGCTGAGGAAGTCAAAAGAACGGCAAGGGCTGGATGGCCTCAACAACCTGAACTACTTTGCAAACATCACATACGACGCCTTGTATAAAAACATAACTGTCAACCTGACACCCGAGCTGGCTCAGGTGAACGAGTACTGAGAGGAGAGAATGTACGTTTGCTTTACCCACCGCCACCAAGAAAGCAGTCCGATGAGATTTTTTTTTGGAGGGGGGAGGGTCTACACAGCAAGAGAACAGAAATACTGTGTCTCATGAAGGATCACAGAGTTCAGGGGGAAAATGTGACAGCACACGCACAAACGCCTTCACTGGATCAGCCGCTGGAACTGAGGGAGTGAGCTTGGGGACTTCCTTCGTCAGCACTGGCTTTCTGTTTTCACAAGACAGACGTCTGTCCCGCTGCTCTCTCCCCATCTCCTACCCCACATCCTGTCTTAGCCGCAGTCTCCAGAACCCATGATGAACTGTGATCTGCCGTGGTCCTGCCGTGGTCCTGCCGTGGAGCCTGTCCCTACACATGACCTTGGAGCCTCTTGGCCTTCAGAGCAGAGGCAAACCCACCACAGGGCAGCTGCGTTTTAGGAAGAGCAAATGAAACTCCACACCATTCTTCTAGATCTCTGGTGTTCTCTTTGGTTTCATTTTTTTAAAAAATTACCTTCTTTGGGTGGGGATTGAGGGTGGAGGGGAGGGTGTTTGGGAAAGATAAATAGACATAAATATATAACAATCACTTCTTGAAGAAGTATAATTGTAAATAAGCCATGTAAAATGCCTTTTTAAAATTTAATTTTCTAGCTGGCTCCAATTCAAATTGAGGATTTATGTATTAGGCCACTTACTTGGTTGGCAAGTGCAGGAACTCAGTTAAAATGCAGTTGAAGAATGTCATCTCCCGAATTGCTGTCACTTTGGCGAGGGAGTGGATATAGGGCATGTCACAAAAGAACAAAATAACCCGACCTTTATTGCTGGGAGCTGGCTTCTGTCCCTTTCTTCCCCCCCCCACGAGTCTTGCCCTTGACTTCTGCTCTGGATTCACTCTTCCCTGTCGGCCGCGCATGTGCTCATCCCACTCTCCGCTAAGCGGGAGGCTGCTGTTAGAGCAGGCTGCTTCCTGCCTAAAGCAGGCCCTTCGGGGCTCGCTGCACACACATCTCTGGCTCTCCAGGCTTCGTGTTCTGTCTTTTCATCAGCATGGCGGGGCGGGGGGCGGGGGGCGGGGGTGTGTATGGGAATCCCTCCCCCTCTTACTTTTTCTCTTGTGGAACTTGGCCACAGTTTCTGAACAATGTGCCTACATTACCAGCTGGCTTCAGTGATTCCTCTGTGTCCCTTTTTGGTTTCTGGAAAGATTCTTTGTCAACATTAGTAACTGATACATAGAACCAAGGAGCACTCAAATAGGGAGCCAGGAGCCAGGGAGCTGGTGACACTTGTGTGCTGTGGGGCAGCTGGGATCCAGGTAAGACCGGATTGAAGCTTTGAAATTAGACTAACAAAGCTCCAGACAGCAAGAGCCCAGGTGCACTGCTCACACCCCCACCTGCATTTTGAAGTCATATTATTTTTTGTTTTGTTTTTTAAGACGGTCTGGCTCTGTCGCCTAAGCTGGAGTGTGGTGGCACGATCACAGCTCACTGCAGCCTCCATCTCCTAGGCTCAAGCCATTTTCCCACCTCAGCCTCCCGAGTAGCTGGGACTACAGGTGCACACCACCACACCTGGCTAATTTTTTGTATTTTTAGTAGAGACAGGGGTTTCTTCCATGTTGCCCAGGCTGGTCTCGAACTCCTGGACTCAAGCAATCCGCCCACCTTGACTTCCCAAAGTGCTGGGATTATGGGCGGGTGTGAGCCATTGCGCCCAGCCTTGAAGTCATGTTCTAAATTGTATTTGAATTTGTGCCTCTTTGTTTTTCCCCAAACCAAAGCCCTCAAATTGTAGTCTCTGTCGGCTTCTGCAGAATTCTGGAAAATGCCAGTTTTCCTCCCCCGCCCTTGTTTTCCATAAAACATATTTATATATTGTGATGAGGAGTACTTTCTGAAGAGTACTTCGTATTTTTTTTTAATTGCCTTGTTTGCCTTCAACTTCCTTGATTTTCATAGTTTACATGGGTGTGTGTAGGGGTGTGTGTGTGTATGTGTGTGGGTTAGGGCTTTTTTCGTTGCATGTGATGGTTCTGTGGACATATGATCCCCACAAACTGTGGGAGTGATTGGCCAGGCCTTGTTTTGTTTGTTTGTTTGTTTGTGTTTTTGTTCTTTTGAAGAATAGAGTGGTATTTAGAAAATAAATTGCATTGCAAAGCTCTTATCGGCTCATATGAGAGAGCAGGTTCCTGCCCTTGAAAATGCCGGTAAGCTATAGCATATGTTTTTTAAGACTTAAGCATTTCATGCTTTAAAATACCTTCACAAGTGAACATTACACACAGAAGTTCATTTGGTTTTCCTTTGTTTTATGGTGCATATAGCAATAAAGACCCCCCTCCACCCTGCAACCCCCATCCCCCACCGGGCCTTTGTCCCTGCCTTGGCTTTTCTCCCCTTCTCATTCTCCTCTCCCCTTTCCTCACTGAAGGCTGTGAGTTGCTTTCAATGTGACAACACTATGATGTCATTTGGAAGGATTTGCCAGGACAGACTGATTCTGAGTCCTGGGTGCCGTATGTGTATGCGGCAGTGTTGTCAGGCGATCTTGTTTGAAGCTCTATGTTGCCATAATTACCATCAAGTACACACTGTTGGCAAAAGGCTAACACCTGACTTTAGAAAATGCTGATTTGAGAACAAAAGGAAAGGTCTTTTTTCACTGCTTAAAGTGGGGTCACTTTGATACCTTTGCGGTCATGTCTGTGTCTGATGAGTGTAGAATCTCTGGATGTGCACTGTCAGTCATGTGTCCACCAGGCCTCGAATATCATATGGGAAATGTCATAGTTAAAAACGTACAGCCAGGCCCGTGTGCTGTTAATAGTGTGAAATTGTCATGTTAAAAAAAAAAACAGGAACCAAATGTGACCTTGTGCATATATTGGTAGCTGAAAATCTTCAAGGCTACTGATGGGTGGCCCCTTAATCTTGTCTTTGATTGCTGTGTGCAGGGAAAGGTGTCCCCGTTTGTTCATGCTGTTTTGGGGGGTGGGGGGGTATTTGCAAGAATACTCATTTTGACATAATAGGTCCTCTTGTCAGAGATCCTCTACCACAGACATTAATAGCTGAGCAGGAGCCACATGGATTGATTGTATCCACTCACCATTGACGATGGCATTGAGCGTAGCTAGCTTATTTCCATCACTACGTGTTTTTGAGCTTGCTCTTACGTTTTAAGAGGTGCCAGGGGTACATTTTTGCACTGAAATCTAAAGATGTTTTAAAAAACACTTTTCACAAAAATAGTCCTTTGTCATTACATTATTTACTCATGTGTTTGTACATTTTTGTATGTTAATTTATGAATGATTTTTTCAGTAAAAAATACATATTCAAGAACCAAACCTTGGTGGTCATTTCTCTTTGTGTAGGACAGTTTGGGTCCTTGGGGGTCTTTCCTTTTTCCTTTCCTTTCCTACAGGAGTTCAACTTAAGGCAGCTCAGCTGAGCTCTGGGTCTTGCTGGGGTAAATACTGCCTGACCCGTGCTGCAGGTGAACGGGCTGAGTAAAAAGCTACGCAGTGTAACAGAAGCAGTCCTCCACTGTGCTGCCCAGGCATGCCCACGCTTGGGTTTTCTTTCAAGAATCACCCAGGTGGTACCAAGAAAGTTGCATAAGACACTTGAGTGAGGGGACTTGGGGGTGAAGGGGGTGGTGAGGGTTGATGGAGTTTGATTCCAGAAGGTTCTCTGGGATCAGTGTAGGGTTTATATGCCAGATTCTGCTCAGAGATTGTCATCATGGCTTCTATGTGTTGAATGTTTGCCACTCACAGTATTAATAGTGTCAGATGCCGGGGACATAATAATAGAGAAAATAAGACAGGATCAGTGGACTCATTAAACTTACGGTCCACTGGGGGGTATGATTAAAATTGTATCCTCAATACCTGGTCCAAAAGGGGAAGCTGCAGGTGACGAGTGCATGGTAGGGTGGGCATTCCAGTTGGGAATGTAGGGAAGGTGGAAGCAAGTGAGCTAGGGGGAGACAAGGAGCGTGTGGCACACAGCTGCAGGGCAGGGAGGAAGCCAGCGTGGCTGGAGTAGAGGGGGCAGGGGGGCGCACAGGGGGAGGAGTTTGCATTTCATCCTTAGAGCAGTGGATTCAAGAGTTTTCAGCAGGCAGGGCTGCGTGATGCGATTCGGATTCCATAGCAACTTTGAGAGATGGCTCTGGTTGCAGGGAGAACGAGCGATGGTACAGAAGCAGAAGAGAAGCAGGGGCGAGTGAGATGGGTGCAGGGACGACGGAGGAGGGGAGACTGGGAGATACTGAGGTCGTGCTCCCAGGACCTGCCAGGGGTGATGGGGATGGAGGACTCCACCTAAGCTGCTGGCTTCCCACTTGCACAGGTAACAGGGCCATTCCCTGAGATGGGGGCACTAGAGTCAGACCAGATTGGCGGGATAGATACGAGATCAGTTGTGACTGCTGAGTTCAGGGAGTTTTGAGACAACCTGGCAGAGACAGCAGGGTGGGGGCTACAGGCAGACTGGGGAGTCTTTGGGTGGAGGAGGTTAGTAAGGACCCAGCAGCGGGTGAGATTGCTGGGGGATTGAGAACAGGAAGCATGGAGTAAGAGAAGGCAGCAGCCTTGGCCCAGCCTCTGAGAACCTGGTTGAGAAAAGGAGGATGAGTGAGCAGGAGGAGGGGTGGGAGGACAAGCAGGCCAAGAGGGAGAGTGGTCAGCCGTGCTGAAGGCAGCAGAGAAGCGATACAAGAGGAAGAGGGAGAAGCAGTGAGTTGGCAGTGGCCAGGTGTTGGAAATGTGGCAGGAGCCGTTTTGCTGACCTGATGGGGTGGAAGGAGGAGATAGCAGCAGAGTGGGTGTCTCTTGGATTTCCTGGGAAGGGGTGGAAAGAGGAGGTCAGGGCCACAGGAAGCGCGGGAAGCTGGGGGTGGGAGGTGAGGTGGGGTTGGGTTTTGGTTTTCCCACAAGAGAAGCTTGAGTGTGTTTCTTCTGAACCACAGGGAATGTCTGAGAGAGCACAGCTGAATACGTACAAGAGACCAGGTGATCTGGTGGGAATGTCCCTGAACTACTGGCAGGAGATGAGATTCAAACCAGAAAAACCAAACAGAAGGAACGAGGAGCTCTGTATAGGCCATCCCATTGGCAGACACACACCCCGTGAAGACTGTTGTTGCTGTGGAGGTCAGAGATCCCTTCCAGCCAGCTGCTGGAATTGGGATTCAGCAGAACTGATTCCTGGCACTACCACGTCCTCCATACTCTCAACATTTTTTTTTTTTAGTTTTCAGGGAAGTCCAGTAATAAAAATAGTTCCTATTTATTGAGTACTTGCTATGTGCCAGGGCCTATGCTAAGTGCATTGCACACCGTGAGTCCTCAACCCTTGAGAGGCGGGCACTGCCCCTTGTTCTGGAGCACGGCTTCTCCACATTGCTCTTGACAAATGGGGGAGCTGTCCTGCTCATTGTCGGGTGTTCAGCAGCACCCCTGGCCTCCTCCCTCTAGGTACAAACCCAAATGGAACAGCTACTCTAGACAAACTGAAGCCACAGCTTGCCTGAGGTCACAAAGCTAGCAGCTGAGCCGGCTGGGGACATTTTTGCCCCAGGGAAGACGCTCTTAACCCCTAGGCTGCTTCTGCTGACCCAACTCTTTTGCATATGTGCTCTAAATAGCTTTTGTTCACAGAGTTGAAAAGTCTATTCTAAAAGTAACGTGAATATGTGCTTGCTGGAAAATAAGTGTTAAACCACTCCTTTAATATTAGCAGTTTGACTGATGTCTACATTTTTTAGTTTTTTTGAGACGGAGTCTCTGTCACCCAGGCTGGAGTACAGTGGCACGATTGTAGCTCACCACAGCCTCAACCTCCTGGGCTCAAGTGATCCTCCCGCCTCAGCCTCCTAAGTAGCTGGGACTACAAGCCCACACCACCACGCTCAGCTAATTTTTATAATTTTTGTATTTCTTGTAGAGATGGGGTTTCACCATGTTGTCCAGATTGGTCTCGAACTCCTGGGCTCCAGCCGTCCTTTTGCCTTGGCCTCCCAAAGTGCTGGGATTCCAGGTGTGAGCCACCATGTCCAGCCATTGGCTGATGTCCAGATCTATACCTGTATACCTATATGCATGCTTAGGAAAACAAAGGCATAGTTTAAAAACCATAAGTTGTCCTGTAATTACTTTTGTTTTGTTTTGTTTTTTCTTAATGTTTCTGGAGACCTCTTTTCCGTGAATGAAGAGCTCCCTCAAATAAAGCCCAGATGTTACCTCCTTGGAGAAGATTTGATGAGCACCCAGTCTGAAATGCCACCTCCCTGTCCCTGTCCCCCCTTACCCTGTTTTATTGATTCACAATATTCTCACTCTGAATCGTACTATATTTTTATTGTTCTTTGTTCATTGGCTGTCAACCCCACTAAAATATAATCCCCATGAAGGCAGAGACTGTTTTGTTTTCTGCTCTATCCCCAGAGCTAAGAACTGGTCTTAGCACATAGTAGTTGCTCAATAAATATTTGTTGCATGAATGACTGAACCTATCTTATTATTTGAATTGTGACACATGGTAATCTCTTGTGTGGATGTATGTAATTTAGCCATTCCCCTCCTAATGGACATGGAGGTAGTTTCCAGTTTTCCACTATCACATTATATGCACCACAGTGAACACAGATGCACATCAATCCATGTGCACATATATGTGTAGGCCAACTTGAGAGAGTCAAGAAATGAAATTGTTGGAGCAAGGGATACACACCCACACCCACACACACACACACACACATATATATGCACACATGCACACACAAATACATACATATATTTATTTGTTTATGATATAAGGTCTCACTCCGTCACCCCAGGCTGGAGTGCAGTGGTGCGATCATGGGTCACTGCAGCCTCAACCTCCCGGGCTCAAGCTATCTTCCCAACTCAGCTTCCTGAGTAGCTGAGACCACAGGCACACACACCACACCTGGCTAATTAGTGTATTTTTTGTAGAGACAGGGTCTTACTATGTTACCCACACTGGTCTCAAATTCCTGGGATCAAGTGATCCACCCGCCTTGTCCTCCCAAAGTGTTGGGATTACAGGCGTCAGCCATCACGCCCCACCTGCACATTTTAAATGTTGAAGGAGCCTACCAAGTTGTCCTACAAAAAGGCAGTATGAATTAATCCTTCTACCATCAGTGAATGATCATGCTATTTATATCTTTAACCCCTGGAATTAAAGGGGATTTTGTGTATGATATGGTCAGGAGGGGCGGTCTATAATTTATTTTTTCCAAATGGATTGCTAATTGTCTCAACAGTATTTATTGAACAATCAATAATTTCCCCATGTCTTACACATTAAATTCTGTAGCAAGATTCTTCCATTTCATTGAGCTATTTGTCTTATTATGCCTTACAGTTTTAATTATGATAGCCCTGTAGTATGTTTTTATAAGACAAGTTTATCTCTACTTTCTATATCCTACCCCAAATTTTGTAAACATTTATAGAAGTGTAATATACATACAGAAAAGTCCATAAATCCAAAGCAAACAGCTCTTTTGTCAGGGTGAACATACTTACACAACCCCATTCTCATCAAAATTTTCAGCCAGGCATAGGCAGGAGGGTCACTTGAGGCCAGGAGTTCAAGACCAGCCTGGGCAACATAGTGAAACCCTGTCTCTACAAAAATTTAAGAAAAAATTAGCCAGGTGCAGTGGTGTGTGCCTGTAGTCCCAGCTACCGACGAGGCTGAGGCTGGAGGATCACTTGAGCCCAGGAGAGTGAGGCTACAGTGAGCCATGATTGCACCATTGCACTCCAGCCTGGGTGACACAGAATGAGACTCTGACTCAAAAAAATTGTTTTTCTTGGCTATGTTTATGTATTTTCTCAATCCGGTGAGATTTATTTTGTCAAGTTATATTTAAAAATCTATTTAAGGGCCAGGCATGGTGGCTCATGCCTGTAATCCCAGTACTTTGGAGGCCAAGGCAGGAGGATCACTTGAAGCCAGGAGTTTGAGACCAGCCTGGGCAACAAAGAGACCCTGTCTCTATATTTTAAAAAATTGCTTTTTAAAATCTAGGATCATGACTGACATTGCACTAAATTAATGATCTGGGAAGACAGCATCTTTAGCATCTTTACAGTATTAAGCTTTACCTCTAGACTTACCAAATTCTTTTGCTGAGGTCAGGCGCTGTGGCTCACGCCTGTAATCCCAGCACTTTGGGCGGATCACCTGAGGTCAGGAGTTTGAGACCAGCCTGGCCAACATGGAGAAACCCCGTCTCTACTAAAAATACACAAAAAAATAGCCAGGCATGGCGGCAGGCGCCTGCAATCCCAGCTACTTGGGAGGCTGAGGCAGGAGAATCACTTGAACCCGGGAGGTGGAGGTTGCAGTGAGCTGAGATAGTGCCATTGCACTCCAGCCTGGGCAACGAGAGCGAGACTCTGTCTAAAAAAAAAAAAATGCTAGTTTCCTCCTAACCTGGTACCCTCGATGCCACAGTACCTTGCAGGTGGGCTGTTCTTAATAAATACAGTCACTGAGTAACAATTCAGATTTACCATCACATGCAAACTAGCTGTAAGGGCAAACGGTTAAGGAGGATTTATGCCGCTTGTGAAATGCAACCTGCTAGATGCTGGCAGAAAACTTTCCAGGCAGGCTACATGCCATGAGACTCCTTGAGGAAGCACAGCCCTGAGTACTTTTCTCACTGCTCCAAGACACACCTTTTCTCTGCCACCACGCCCGCCCCACACAGCACCCTGCTACGACTAGATGTGGGACTGACAAATGCCACTGTTTGACTTATTTCTAGGACAATGGTGGGTGGCAGTCATGTAGGAGAGAGGTCTCTGCTGTGTAGGGAGGCTCGGAGGTAAGGAATAGGTGGGAGTAGGGTATACATCTTCCACTGTGAATTCTAGGAAGAGCAGGGCCCAGGAGAGATGATCTGCTGGTTGCACTTCTACAGCCAACAACTCCATGGCCTGGGGAAGTCACTTCACTTCCCTGCAACTTCATTTCCTTGCAGTCAGATGGAGAGACAGCACTTTGGGAGGCTGAAGCAGGTGGATCATTTGAGGTCAGGAGTTCGAGACCAGCCTGACCAACATGGGGAAACCCCTTCTCTACTAAAAATACAAACATTAGCTGTACGTGGTGGCACATGCCTGTAATCTCAGCTCACTCAGGAGGCTGAGGCAGGAGAATCGCTTGAACCCTTGAGGCAGAGGTTGCAGTGAGCCGAGATCGCACCACTGCACTCCAGCCTGGGTGACAGAGCAAGACCCTGTCTCAAAAAAAAAAAAAAAAAAAAAAGCCAAGAGGACAGGGCTCAGAGAGCTTCCAGATAGCTGAACACACGGAGGTTTGTAAGAAGGTGAACAAGAACTCATCCACGTGCTGGGAGGGTGGCATGGGGACAGGCTCAGGACCCTTCCAGACCTCACTGTGTGTGTCTCATCTGGCTGTTTAACTGCGTCCTTTAAAAGAACCTTTGTCATAAACCAGTAGACGTAAAAGTAAGTTTGCCTGAGTTCTGTGAGCTGCTTTAGCAAATAAATTAAACCCAAAGAGCGGGTTTGGAGCTGATCGGTCAGAAGTTCTGGAAGCCTGGACTTGTGACTGGTGGGAAGGAGGGGACAGTCTTGGGGACTGAGCCCTCAACCTGTGTGACCCGAGGCTATCTTCAGGTAGACAGCATCGGAGTGGAATTGGGGGATGCCCCGCTGGTGTCCACTGCTTGGTGCTTGGGGAAAAACAGACACACATTTGGTCATGGAGATGTTCTGTGGCCAGGTGCACTGGCTCACACCTATAATCCCAGCACTTTGGGAGGCTGAGGTGGGCAGATCACCTGAGATCAGGAGTTCGAGACCAGCCTGGCCAACATGGTGAAAACCCATATTGACTGAAAATACAAAAATTAGCCAGGCGTGGTGGTGGGTGCCTGTAATCCCAGCTACTCTGGCGGCTGAGGTGGGAGAATCACTTGAACCCGGAGGCGGAGGTTGCAGTGAGCTGAGATTGTGCCACTGCACTCCAGCCTGGGTGATAGAGTGAGACTATGTCTCAAAAAAAAAGTCTTTAGTGTTGATTGCTGTAGTGTGAGAGCAGAGGAAAAACAGTTGTTTTTTCCACCGTCACAGGGGCTGTATGCAGTCTCTGTCACTCAGCTATTCAACTTCTCAATTCTGCCCTCATAGCTCAAGCAGCCCCAGACAATATGTAAACAAACAGGCTTGGCTGCATTCCAATAAAACTTTATTTACAAAAACAGGTGGGTGGCCGTAATTTGCCAACCCCCGAGTTTGGCTGAAAATCAATAGAAATGTGAACGGTGACGGAGGATTACGAACAGGGAGGCAAACCAGGGGAAAAATAACAATGTGTCCTGGCTAGTTCATCGCTATGTAACACATAATAGCAATAACATGGAAGGAAATCAAACCCCCTGAGGACACAAGAGTGGCTAAACAAGCCAGGCTCTGTCAACACAGAGGAAAAGGAAGTGCCACAAAGTGACAGATTACACAGGAACAAGAAATGGCAGGGCTGTGAGTGAAGACTGCAAGTGAAGAAAGGACACACCACAAGAAGGACGCGCTCATTACAACAGAACCCTGGGCTGGGCGGCACGGTGGCTCACGCCTGTAATCCCAGCACTTTGAGATTCCGAGGTGGGAGGATCGCTTGAAGCCAGGAGTTCAAGACCAACTTGGGCAACATGGCAAGGCCCTGTCTCTACAAATATATATATATAAAATTAGCTGGGCATGATGGTGTTACGTTTGTACTTCCAACTATTCGGGAGGCTGAGGTGGGAGGATCCACCACTGCACTCTAGCCTAGGCAACAGAGTGACACCCTGTCTCAAAAACAAATAAATTTTACATTCCTTGGTCCTCGGACATGGCTAAAGAGATCTAGGGCAATAGAGACACTACATTTTTGTGTCTGTCAATCCGCCTGATGACAGAAATAGAATAGAGTCTGGGTGCAGAGGGTCATGCACGTAATCCCAGCACTTTGGGAGACTGAGGCAGAGGATCACCTGAGGTTGGGAGGTCGAGACCAGCCTGGCCAACATGGTGAAATCCCGTCTTTACTAAAAACACAAAAATTAGCTAGGTGTGGTGGCGGGCACCTCTAACCCCAGCTACTCAGGAGGCTGAGGCAGGAGAATCGCTTGAACCCGAGAGGTGGAGGTTGCAGTGAGCTGAGATCGCGACACTGCACTCCATCCTGAGCAACAGAGTGAGACTCCATCTCAAAAAAAGAAAAAAAGAAAAAAGAAAAGAAACAGAATAGAAGTAAAACAGTTTAGTACTGAAATGAACTGTTGAGAATCTTAGCTGCCCCGTCCCTCTCTAACATCATATATACTGTGAAGTGCTGTTTTCGTCTTGTTTTGTTTTGTTTGTCTTTTCTTTGTCTTTCTTCCCAACTGGGACAGGGGACAAAGGACGCTGTTTTGCTCCCTGTTCCATCTCCAGCACCTAGTCCAGAATTCGGCATACTGCAGGACAGAAGGCAAGGGGCAGATGCTCAAATATTTGCTGAGTAAATGACAATGAACCTTCTCAATCTGAAGATTCCAGATGTAGGAAGAGCCAGACACCCCCAGGCTGAACCCACTCAGAAGCTGGGTGCTCTTGGTAAAGTCACATTTCTCTTATACTGTTTTCTCATTTGGAG
Source organism: Homo sapiens (assembly GCF_000001405.40). NCBI lineage: Eukaryota > Metazoa > Chordata > Mammalia > Primates > Hominidae > Homo > Homo sapiens. The sequence goes on along the minus strand of NC_000020.11, from coordinate 49,624,594 downwards.
AAGGGAGGTGGTAAAACTTTCCACATGAAGTTATTGTGAAGAGGAAATGCAGCAACATATGTGAGTTACCAAGAACAATGCTTCACACACGACAGGTGGTCGGTCAATGGAAGCTTTCATCATGGCAGCTTCACTGCAAAGCACCGTCTATAAATCTAAAGTACTCTTGCTATTTTTGTTGTCTGTTTTTTTTTGTTTGTTTGTTTTGTTTTGTTTTTAATGAGACAAACTCTTGCTCTGTTGCCCAGGCTGGAGTACAGTGTCGCGATCTCGGCTCACTGCAGGCTCAATTTCCTGGTCTCAAGTGATCCTCCTACTTCAGCCTCCCGAGTAGCTGGGACTACAGGCATGCGCCATCACACCTGGCTAATTTTTAAGTTATTTGTAGAGACGAGGTCTCCCTATGTTGCCCAGGCTGGTCTTGAACTCCTGACCTCAAGTGAGCCCCTTGCCTCAGTCTCCCAAAGTGCTGAGATTACAGGCATGAGCCACCACATCCAATCCTAAAGCCTTAACGCCTTTTTCTTTCTTTCTTTTCTTTTTCTTTTTTTTTTTTTTTTTTTTTTTTTGAGACAGAGTCTCGCTCTGTCACCCGGACTGGAGTGCAATGGCGCGATCTCGGCTCACTGCAACCTCCACCTTCCAGGTTCAAGCGATTCTCCTGCCTCAGCCTCCTGAGTAGCTGGGATTACAAGCGCGCACCACCATGCCTGGCTAATTTTTGTATTTTTTTTTTAGTAGAGACAGGGTTTCACCATGTTGGCTAGGCTGGTCTCGAACTTCTGACCACATGATTCACCCACCTCGACCTCTCGAAGTGCTGGGATTACAGGCGTGAGCCACTGCGCCTGGCCAAAGCCTTGTTCTTAAGACCGACCTACAAGAGAAGTAACTGGGAGCCAAGATTGCCAACCTTGCTGGTGGCAAGGCCACTAACATTCCTGTTGACAGAATAATCAGTGGAACCAAATACAAAGTAATAAACCACATATTAAGATTTGTTTGCCTATCATTGAGAAATTTTTCTTTTTTCACACTTTTTGGTTTTAGATCCACTGACTAATAAAAATATAGCTGCAGTGTCATAAGTTGGTCACAGCTGGAATGTATAGTCCAGATTTCTCTCAGCAAAATAATTTTTTTTTTTTTTGAGATGAAGTCTTGCTCTGTCATCCAGGCTGGAGTGCAGTGGTGCAATCTTGGCTCACTGCCACCTCTGCCTCCCAGATTCAAGTGATTCTCCTGCCTCAGCCTTCCGAATAGCTGGGATTAAAGGTGCACACCACCACACCTGGCTGATTTTTGTACTTTTAGTAGAGATGGGGTTTTGAACTCCTGACCGCAGGTGATCTGCCTGCCTTGGCCTCCCAAAGTGCTGGGATTACAGGCGTGAGCCACTGCACCCGGCGGAACTAGCATTTGAGTTGGTGTCAGGAGCTGCCTGTCAGGCCTGGGGTGTCCCAGTGGTCAGTGACAGCATCAAGGCCGCTGCAGATATAAATACAACATAAGTAAAGACAATGGGTTTATTAGGGTAAAGTGGCTTCAAGAAAAGCCTCCTATCCCAGGTGGCCATAGAAACTCTTTTTTTTTTTTCCTTTTTGAGACGGAGTCTCGCTCTGTTGCCCAGGCTGGAGTACAATGGTGCTATCTCACCTCACTGCAACCTCTGCCTCCCAGGTTCAAGTGAGTCTCCTGCTTCAGCCTCCTGAGTAGCTGGGATTACAGGTGTGCACCACCATGCCTGGCTAATTTTTGCATTTTTACTAGAGATGAGGTTTCACCACGTTGGCCAAGCTGGTCTCGAAATCCTGATCTCAAGTGATCCACCTGCCTTGGCCTCCCAAAGTGCTGGGATTACAGGCATGAGCCACCACACCTGGCATAAATCTGTAGCCACTGTTTATTGTGCTCGCTTTACAGATGAGGAAACATGCTCAGCAAGGAAACTCTGGTCTAGTGAGAGTTTGTAAATGGCAAAGTGAAGTTGCAAAGTAGAGATGTTTCCAAGCCACATTCTCATTTCATAATCCAATAAAATTCAGAATAAATTATCAAAAGCAACCTCAAAATTTTAACTTCTTGAAAAATAGCTATTATTTCTAAATGGCCCCTGAATCAGAGGAAAATCAGAACCAACATGGAAACTTATCTAGAGTCTTAAAAAGCAGACACTGTTCATACCAAAGTGTGTGAGACATAGCTAATGCTGCCTACAGAGGAAAATGTATAGCCTTAAAGACGTCTATTATTTTTAAAAATTGAAAACAAAGTGGATTAAGTATTTAACTTAAGAAAATAGAAAATATAAGAAGCCAAAAGGATAGGAATAAGAAATTAAAGGTAAACTATGCAATTAATGAAATAGAAAAAACAAAGTAGAAGTGATAAATAAAGTGAAAAAGGTGTTCTTTAAAAAGAAAGCACCTGAAGACAGATAAATCCTGACAAATCTGATTGATTAAGGCAAACAGTAAAAAGAGCAAGATTAGCAATAAGTAAGGAGACAGAATCATGAAATCATTATTAAGCCATTCAACAAATAGATAACACCTACAACGCATTGGTTTCTGGTTTAGAGGCTGCAGGTAACAGAGTTGAACAAGGCAGATGTGATTCCTACCCCCACGGAGTTTATTCTGATGGAAGGAGACAGGAAGTCAACTAGTAAAGTCATAAGATAGTTTCAGACAGTGAGAAGTGGTTTAAAAGGAAGGTAACGTGCGAGGAATGTGGAACCACTTTAGATCGGATAACCAGGGAATATCCCTCTGAGGAGGTGACGTGTCAGATGAAACTTGAAGGACGTAGAGTCAGCCATGGGAAGATCTGAGGGAAGAGAACGTCAGGCAGCGGGAACAACAAGAGCAAAGGCCCTGCGGTGGAACACAGCTGCTGTCTCAAGAAAAAGAGAACATTGAACGTCATGATGGATTGTTATAAAAGAGAGAGAGAGAGAAAGGGCTGAAGCACAGTGAAGGGAGAGGTCATAGGCAGAGGCAGGGATCACTCAGGATTTTATTCTGAGTGTGTTTTGTTCTGGGAGGCCATTTGAGGGTTTCAAGCAGTGAAGTGAAGTGATCTGATTTCTGTGCTGGGAGACCTCCTGTGGCTTTGGGTTCCTGGTGCAGATTGGACTCTGTTGGTGAAGGGCCAAGCATGAATGCTGAGCTCTGGGGAGGATCTTAAGGCTGCATCCAGATGAGAGGTGATGGGTTGGCTCCAGGCGGTGGAAGTGAAGAGGAGTGGACTTCAGTGGAGATTGTAGTCTGCCACCTGGATTCTCCTTCAGGACAGAGGCTCCAGGATTCGCCTTCAGCCAAGGAGAATCGCCTTGCCTAAGACTGCCTCCTCCATAGGGGCAGGCCACCTCCAACGTCGGGTTGACATGGGGGTCTAAGGACCCCATTTCATGGTCCTGATGTAGGCAACTCAGAAGGGCTGTTCCAGCCTCTGAGCTCTGGTGAGGCCTCTGGTGTGCCTGCATTCCAGCCCCACATCACTGCCCCCCACACCACTCTACCCCCTTCACAGGTGCTGTGCGTGAGAGCACTCCCCAGTAAACCACCTGCGTGCCCAGCTCTCTGAGTCTGTTTCCCAGGGAACCCAATCAAAGACGCTGATCGATCAGAAGAGCGGTACAAGTAGAACACACCACTCAGTGGCAAGTCCTTTCTCCACAGATGATGACTCAGGGAAGGTCCCAGAGCCTCTGGCAGGTCACAGAACCTCTGGCAGAGCTGAGGTGACCCCAAGCTCTCCTCTTCACAGCTCTGCTCCTCTTCCACCTGCAAACCAAGAGTCACAATGGAAGGGCCCAAGGTCTGCAAAAACCAAAAGTGTGTCAGCAGGACGGGACACTGAAGAAGTGCCACTCTTAGTTGTGGGAGTCTTTGTGGCTTTGGTTGCAATTACGTGGGAGTGTGCTTTTTAGTCTGACACTGTGCTGCTCTTATAATTGGAGGATCAGGTCATTGGCATTCAAATCAGTCCCTCCCGAGAGACACTGCCAGTCTAGTTTCTGGTAAGTTTCAATTTTCCTGTTGCTGCAGAGCCCCAGCTTTACATACTTTTGAAACCTTGGCCAGGAGCAGTGACCTGAAACAGTGAAACTGCTCTCCTATTCTAAATTTGAACTGTTCAGCCCTCTGGGTCTGAAGCTTCCTGCTTTTCGCTTGCTGGCTTTTTGGGGCAGAGTGGGGCTGCTTTCACTTGCTCACTCGCTCACTCAGTCATGTATTTATTCATCAGACATCTCTGATGTTGCTGACCAAGGGCTCAATGTCTAGACAGAGAGATGAAGATGACCCTGCCCTCAAATGGCTCATGCCCAGATCAAGGAGAGAGATGGTTAACTGATCCACTTCCTAATGCTTCAGTATGAATGACTTATCTTCTCACTTATCACTCACTGCACCCCCACTTTGGAATCAGTTCAGAACGCTTTGAATGTCCCAGAGGAGAGTTTGCTGTCTATTCCATAGGCAGTGGGCAGCCAAGTTAGGTTCTGGAGAAGGAGAGTGGCATGATTAAAGGTGTACTTTAGGTTTGTTTATCTGGTTGCATATCCATCCATCCATCCCCCATCCATCCATCTATCCCATCCATCCCATCCTCTCATCCATCCATCCATCCTATCTATCCATTACCCACTCATCCGTCCATCCATCCATCCATCCATCCCATCCATCCATCCATCCAGCCATCTATCCTATCCACTCATCCATCCATCCATCCAGCCATCTATCCTATCCACTCATCCATCCATCCATCCATCCATTCCATCCATCCATTTATCCATCCACCCATCCCATCTATCCATTACCCACCCATCCGTCCTTCCATCCATCCATCCCATCCATCCATCCATCCATCCATTCATCCACCCATCCATCCCATCCACTCATCCATCCATCCATCCATCCCATCCATCTATCCATCCATCCATGTCATCCACTCATCCATCCATTCATCTCATCCATTCATCCATCCCAACCATCCATCCCCCACCCACACATCCATTCATCCATCCATCCATCTCATCCATCCCACTCATTCATCCATCCATCCCATCCATCTCATTCATCCATCCATCCATCCATCGATCCAACTATCCATTCATCCATCCATCCATTCACCCTATCCATCCATCCCCCACCCACCCATTCATCCATCCACCTATTCATCCATCTATTCATCCATCCTATCCATCCCATTCATTCATCCCTCCTATCCATCTCATTCATTCATCCCTCCATTTCATCCATCCATTCATCCCATCCATCCATCCCATCTATCCATCCATCTCATCCATCCATCCCTCATCATCCATCTATCCATCCATCTCATCCACCCATCCATCATCCATCTATCCAACTACCCATTCCAGCTATTCATTACCCATCCACCCATCCATTCATCCATCGGTTCATCTCAACCATCCATTTATCACATCCATCCATTCATCCCATCCATCTATCATCCATCCATCCCATCCATCCCATCCATTCATTCATCCATCTCATCCATCCATCCATCCATCCAATATTTATTGAGCATTTTCTATGTGCCAGGCACTGTGCTGTGTGTACCTGGTTTCCATCTAATGCACTGAATAAGAAAGATATTAAATCCCTGCCTTCATGGGACCAACATTCTGGGGAAGAGAGGTGGATAGACAATAAACAAGTCAACAAGTAAGTGAGCTCCCGACATTGCTGAGTTATGAAGGGAATAAACAGGATGATAGGGTTGAGAGTGACCAGGGTGAAGGGTGAGGTCCTTCAATTAGATGATCAGGGAAGTGATCTCTGGAAAGGTGATGGTTGAGCTGGGCTTTAAAAGAAGAGAAAGAGGCAGTTATAGGAAGAGCAGAAGGAAGAGAGTTACAGACAGAAGAAACAGCAAGTGCAAAGGCCCCTAGGCAGGAAAGAACTTGGCTTGCTGGAGAACATGAAAGGAAGCCAATGTGGCTGAATAGGAAGGGAGGAGGGAAGGCTGGAGAAGAAGATGGGGCCTTGTAGGCCAATGTGAGGACTTGGGAGTCTTTGGAAAGGCAGCCAGAGGCCACTGGAAGGTTTCCAGCAGGCAAGTGACATGTTTTGATTTATGTTTCTGAAAGTTCCCCCGGCAGCATGGGAAGCAAATGTAGCAGCAAAAAAAAAAAAAAAAAAAAAAAAACCCCAAAAAGAAACAGCAAGGAGGTCAAGGGTGAGGACGGTAGCAGCCTGGACCAGGGTGGTGGCCATGGGGTTACAGAGAAATGGAAAACTCAGGACAAATTTTGGAGGTGGTGGGAGGGAAACAGAGGACTTGAGAATGATACGTCACTTTGATGCTTGAGCTACAGGGTGGTGTCACTGAGGAACAAAGACTGGAGAGTGCGGAGATAAGGAAGGAGGAATGAAATAAGTCTTTGTGGGGAACCAGGCTGTGTTTTTAGGATATTTCAAGTAGGTAACTCGACATTCAAGTCCAGAGCCCTGGAGAGAGATCAAGGATGCTGTTGGGAGTCTGAGATGTATCAGAACACATGTTTGTTTAAAGCCACTGAGTTGGAGCTGCCAGGGAGGAGGAGGAGAGGCAGGGCCCATGGAGCATCTAGTGTCAGGAATAGAGGCTGTTTCAAGAAGGATGTTTCGAGAAGGAGAGGGAGGTCAATAGTGTCAAACGTTGCTGAGAAGTGGCTCTGAGCACGGGATCCCACACTGGGACTTGGCAGCAAGGATCACAACACCAAGAGCCATTTGGTGACACAGGGGATGAAGGCCTGCTCAAGGGCACCGAGGAGAGGGTGGCGGTGAGGAGAGGGTGGCCGTGTAGAGAGGGTGGTGGTGTGGAGAGGGTGGGGTGTGGAGAGGGTGATGGTGTGGAGAGGGTGGGGTGTGGAGAGGGTGATGGTGTGGAGAGGGTGGGGTGTGGAGAGGGTGGGGTGTGGAGAGGGTGATGGTGTGGAGAGGGTGGGGTGTGGAGAGGGTGATGGTGTGGAGAGGGTGGGGTGTGGAGAGGGTGATGGTGTGGAGAGGGCGGGGTGTGGAGAGGGTGATGGTGTGGAGAGGGTGATGGTGTGGAGAGGGTGGGGTGTGGAGAGGGTGATGGTGTGGAGAGGGTGATGGTGTGGAGAGGGTGGGGTGTGGAGAGGGTGGGGTGAGGAGAGGGGGTGAGGTGAGGAGGGTGCAGGGTGAGGAGGGTGGCGGGGTGTGAAAGTGGGTGGGGGAGTATGCACAGCTTCCACCAGAAGTTCAGCCTTAGGTGGGACGGAGGACCAGGGTGCTTGTTGGAAGATGATGAGGGTCAAGAGAGTACACTGTGCGTTTTTTTGTTCTTGTTTTTGTTTTGTTTTGTTTGAGATGGAGTCTCACTCTCTTGCCCAGGCTGGAGCGCAATGACGAAATCTGGGCTCACTGCAACCTCTGCCTCCCAGGTTCAAGTGATTCTCCTGCCTCAGCCTCCCAAGTAGCTGGGACTATAGGCAGGCACCACCACACCCAGGTAATTTTTGTATTTTTAGTAGAGACAGGGTTTCGCTGTGTTGGCCAGGCTGGTCTTGAACTCCTGACCTCAGGTGATCTGCCCACCTCGGCCTCCCTAAGTGCTGGGGTTACAGGCATGAGCCACTGCGCCCGGCCACGTTGTATGTTTTTTTTTTTAACACAGGAGATCCCGGGAGGAAAAGAAACTGAGGCTGCACAAGACAGGCAACTGGGTTCCAGTAGTACCAATTGTGTGCTCACTCTCTGTGTGACCTTGGGCACGTTAGAGGGACATTCTGGGCCTCAGGTTTTACATCCCTAGAATGGGCTCCTCGGGTCCCAGGTGACTTACATGTTGAGGTGAGCTCGTCCTGGGTGGGAGAGGTCCCCAGGACAGGGCAAGCTCCAGCACAGAGCCAGCTTCTGTTTGCGATTGTCCCAGGCTGTCCCCAAGGAGGCCATCAGGCCCCACCAGTCTCACGTTACTGCACTGACAATCCTGCCTTGCTCTGAGGTTCACAATCAGACCTGGCTGGTCCCTTGAGGCTCAGTCCTGAATGCTGCACTTTGCTGGGGGGGTTGGGGGGGGATTAGAGCTTTAGAGTCTGAGGGGCTTCCAGGTCCAGGCAGAGGCTCTGGAATGACAAGGACTTGGATTTCACCCTGGCTCTGCCACTTCCTGGCTTGGGGACCTTGAGCAAGGACTTTACCTCTTTAGGTCTTAGTTTCCTCATCTGCAAAACAGGAATCACCATGCATCATGATCATCACCCGCTATTGAGAAGATTAAGTAAGAGAATAGCTGTAGAATGCCTAGCACATATTAAGTGCTCAATAAATGCTAGCTGGCTTGCCCTATCTATCTGTCTTGCTTATAGAAACCGAGTTCTGCTTAGGAGGCTCTCTCTTCTTGTGTCCTGTTACCTGGGTGGAGCCTGGGCCCCTGGGGCTCTGATGGGCAGCCTTGTCCTCCGCCACACCCACAAGAGTCTAGTCCTGTGGGGCCCACAGCCTTCCCCACTGTCTGCACTTACCTGTCCCGCCTTTCTGCCCTCCGGTCTAAACTCGGTATCAGCAATTGGCCAGGATTCTACCCAGCACAAAGGGAGGGGCACTGCGGCCTGGGGCTTGCACGAGACAGCAGGTGCACCGCAGGCCAGGGAGGGCAGGGGACTTGCCAGAGGCCACACAGCACAGGGAGGAGGGCAGATTTGGGGGTAGTTTGTCACTCTGGCTTCTGCAGGACATCCAGCTCATGTGGCAGTGGCTGTGCTTGGCAGCTGCTGGGCAGGGCACCAAGGACGGACCCTGGGGCGGCTCCTGGCTGCCGGAGGTTAGCTCTGGGCCAGGCCTGGTGACTCAGCAGACCTACTGATCAGGGCCTGGTCGTGTTCCCCACAGTCCCACGGTGTAGGTCCTTCATGCCTGCCAACACCCAGTGTCACCTAGAGGTCGTAGGGCAGAGCTTAGCAGATGGGGAGCAGTGCTGGCTCCAGCTGGCATTGTTCTATCCCCTCCAGCCCTGCAGATCCCACAGCCCAATGGGCTGAGGCTGAATCCTGGCACTGTCTCTACGTAGCTGTGTGACCTTAGGTAAATCATTCAATCTCTGAGCATCAGTTTCCTCATCCGTGAAATGGGGATAATAATGCCTATGCTCTTTGATAGGAGGATTTAAAATGCAACTGTCTGGGCATGGTGTCTCATGCCTGTAATCCAAGCACTTTGGGAGGCCAAGGCGGGAGGATCGCTTGAGTCCAGGAGTTTGAGACCAGCCCTGGCAACATGGCGAGACCCTGTCTCCACAAAAAATAAAAAAAATAGCCAGGCATGGTGGTGCGTGCCTGTAGTCCCAGCTACTCTGGAGGCTGAGGTAGGAGGATCGCTTGAGCCTGTGAGGTCGAGGCTGCAGTGAGCTGAGATTGCACCACTGCTCTCCAGCCTGGGTGACAGAGCAACACCTCGTCTGAAAAACAATGACGACAACAACAACAATAACAACAACAACAACAAACCAATCAAACAAACCCCCCCCCCCCCACACACACACACACACACACAACCACCAAACCCTCTGGAGGCTCCCACTGCACTTGGAAGAAAGCGCTATTCCCTACTCGCAAGGCCTTGAGAGGTCCAGCCGGCTCACCTCCGCGGGGCCTCCCCTCCCCGTTCTCCCTTTGTTTTCTCTACTCCAGCCTCTCTGGCCTCCTCACTGCTCCTCTGTCTCCCTGAGCTTGTTCCCACTCCGGACATTTACCTTTGCTGGTCCCTCTGTATCTAAGTCCCTGGAGGTACCCAGTGCTATGTGGGTGAAGGGCAAAATAAGGCCAGCTTTTAGTAGCCAGTTTCTCATTCACCCATTAATGCATTTCTTCATTTAAAATCATTTCCCTGAGCACCTACTATGTTGCAGGCCCCGAGGTAGGTGCTGGGGATGAAGCTGTGGAGTATCCTAGTTATATCAACTCTCAGGGTAAGAGGGGCTGACCCTTGACTACCAAACCTTCAGTGGCTCCCTATTGTCCCAGGCCAAAGTTCATACTTCCGATCTCAGAATGCTTGCTTTTCCTATGTGGGTCCAGGTGGCTGTGTTAGTAGCTCTCAGAGTCCCTGAGGCCATTGCCACTGCTGCCGAATTTTTTGTTTGTTTGTTTGTTTGTTTGTTTGTTTGTTTTGAGATGGAATCTCGCTCAGTCACCCAGGCTGGAGTACAGTGGCGCAATCTCGGCTCACTGCAAGCTCTGCCTCCCAGGTTCACACCATTCTCCTGCCTCAGCCTCCCGAGTAGCTGGGACTACAGGCGCCCGCCACCACGCCTGGCTAATTTTTATTGTATTTTTAGTAGACACGGGGTTTCACCGTGTTAGCCAGGATGGTCTCGATCTTCTGATCTCGTGATCTGCCCGTCTCGGCCTCCCAAAGTGCTGGGATTACAGGCGTGAGCCACCGTGCCCGGCCGCTGCTGAATTGTTTTACATTCTCAGGGTTTCTGCTCCTGCCGCCCCCGACCCTGGCACCTGGCTGCGCTCACACAAACATACAGGGGTTGCCTCCTATTCCTCCTGGCTCTTCCTGGCCTTGCTCACATCCACCTTCCCCCCAGAGCCTGGGTGAGTGTTGATGCTTTCTCAGTCCAACATCATTTATTTATTTTGAGACAGGGTCTGGCTCTGTCACCCAGGCTGGAGTGCAGTGGTGCAATCTCGGCTCACTGTAGCCTCAACCTCACAGGCTCAAGCGATCCTCCTACCTCAGCCTCCTTAGTAGCTGGGACTATAGGCACACACCACCATGCCTGGCCTGCGTCATCGTTTAAGGCCCTCAGCCTATCTGTCATTCTTTGTAGAAATATTCTCTCATCAGGACCTCACATCAACCCCATAGCCTAGTTAGGTTGATCTTATCCCTGTTTCACAGATGAGGAAACCAAGGCACAGAGAGGTCAAGTAACTTGCCCAAGGACACACAGCTAGTACAGGGGACTTGAGCCCAGCAAGCTGATCCCAGGTCTGCGTTCTTCACATTCCTGCTCTGCTATCTTCACTATTCAGCTGGGCTTTTCCAGAAATGCTTCCTGCTATCAGGCTGGGAACATGCCCTCATGCGTCCCCACTGCCCGCGGAGGGAGGCCCAGCTCCTGTTCGTTTATAGCCACTCTTTACCTGCTGGCTCTGCAGACCTCCTTCAGTCGGGAGGCCTGCGCTTTCCTTGGCCTGCTCTTCTGAGGCTGCCCTCCAAAGCCCTGGAACATTCTATAATCCCAGTGCTGGGCGCTTCACAGTCATTGCCCTGTGTAGGGCTCTCATTATCCCCATCTTACAGATGGAGGAACAGAGGCTTGGAAAAAGGAGATCATATCTGCCCCACACTGGAAAGCAGGAGACCTGTGGAACCCAGGTCTGTCTGACCAAACACCCCAGCCATGCTCACCTGACGGTCCTCATGCTTAGTGTCGTGATAGCCGACCATGAAAGTTGACTACTATGACCGACCACCACTACTGACCGCCACAGATGGCCACTCCAGCCAGCCACTATAGCTGACTGCTGGAACTGACCACCTGCTCTTAAACACCTGCTGAATCAGGCCTGGTTCCCACTACTCTACCCAGGCAGTCTCACACCATTGCTGGAAGGTTGCTTCTATTTTTCACCCCATTGTATTTATTTATTTATTTATTTAGACTGAGTGTTGCTCTGTTGCCCAGGCTGGAGTGCAGTTGCGTGATCTTCGCTCACTGCAGCCTCAACCTTGCTAGCTCAAGTGATTGTCCCACCTCAGCCTCCCGAGTAGCTGGGACTACAGGCGTGTGCCACCATGCCCAGCTAATTTTTGTATTTTTTGTAGAGACGAGGTTTCACCATGTTGCTCAGCTGGTCTCAAACTCCTGGACTCAAGCGATCTACCCACTTTGGCCTCCCAAAATGCTGGGATTACAGGTGTGAGCCACTGCACCCAGCTTTCACCCTGTGTTAGAGATGAGGGAACTTAGGGTCTGAGAGGGAGCATGACATGACCAAGGTCACTCTGCTAGCAGGGGGCAGGGCTAGACTTAGAACCAGGGCTGGGGGACTGCAAAAGCCTCACACAGCTGCCCTGCATGTCCCAGTGACCAGGCCACCTGCATTTTTGCCCCACCCCAGGGAAACTTGAGTCTCCTGAGAAGGTCTGGCTTTTCTATTGTCCCCACCCAAAGCTCCTTGGGAGTTGACAAGAGGGACCAGCCTTGGGCTTCCGGCTTGGGTGCCCTGGACTTTTCCCATGCAGCTGTCAATGGGCCTTTGTGTGTCCAGGCTGCCTGGCCCTTGTCCACACCACATGGCTTCCTGATGACTTGGGGCGCTCGGCCAGCAGCTGTGTGTGGCCTGGGGACCCATCACCCACTGGGCAGGACGCTCTAAATGCCTTAAGGCAGGGACTTGAGCAGCCCCTAGGCCTTCGCCCTGACTTTTCCCTCTGCCAGGAAAGACCTTTCTTCAAATTCTGCCATGATCGGCAGCTTCTATCCTTCAAGGCACAACTCAAATGCCACCACTTCAAAGAGGTGACCATCTGGCTCACTGGAAGTTGCACTCTAAGAGGGCAGGGGTTTGTCTGCTGGGTAGGGGAGACAGACAATAAAGAAGGCTAGGCAGAGTGGCATAATCCCAGCACTTTGGGAGGCAGAGGCAGGAGGATCACTTGAACCCAGAAGTTTGAGACTAGCCTGGGCAACATAGTGAGACCCTGTCTCTACTAAAAAAAAAAAAAAAAAAAAAAATAGCCGGGTGTGGTGGTGCACACCTGTGGTCCCAGCTACTTGGAGGCTGAGGTGGAAGGATCACTTGAACCCAGGAGGTTGAGGCTGCAGTGAGCCTAGATTGTGCCACTGCACTCCAGCTTGGGTGACAGAGCAAGACCTTGTCTCAAAGCAAAACCAAAAACAACAACAACAAAAACCCAAAAATGTAATAAGTTAACATTTCAACAAGATCCTTTCGGGTCATTGAATGGAGCGTGTCTAGGACAGGGTCTTTCTGAGGTGGTGACATCTGAACAGAAACCTGGATGAAAAGGAGAAACCCCCGTGAGCCCCTGCGGAGCCCAGACGCAGGCACACAGTAGGCGCTCAGTAAATGAATGTGGCTGCGCAGGCCATGGCTCTGACTGCCGTGGGGGCGACTTTCCCCTCCAGGGGGCGCCTGGCAATGTCTGGGGACAGTTTTGGCTGTCACACGGCGCGCGGGGGGAAGGAGGAATGCAACAGACTCCGAGTAGTCGGAGGCCAAGGGTGCGGCTAAGCGTCCTGCCCCGCACAGGTAGCCCGCGGGATGACCCGGTCCCCGCGCGTCCTGGGTGCGGCTCGGGCGCTCCCTGGCGGCTGCACGGGGCATTGCAGCAGTCCCCGAAGAGCCTGGCGATGGGAAAGGTCCGTCCCTGCAGCGCCCGCGTGGTGACACCAGCAGCAGCGTGATAACCGCACCGCGAGCGTGTACCTGTCAACACGAGGGTAAACCCAAACTCCACGTCCACACTGCCAGGCAACTCAGGGTGAATGCATCCGCAACCCACTCCTCATCTCCCGCAGAAACCTGCTCTGCCCACAGCCTTCTTAGCCTTAAGGGCAGCCAGCTCCACCCTCCCCAGAGGCTCAGGGAGTCATTCATCCCCGACTCCTCTCTGTCTGCCACCGACATGTCCCATCCACCAGCTAATCCTGTCTGTTCCACCTTCAGGATACATCCAGACTCTGTCTCCCCACTCCACTGCCCCGCCAAGCCCAGCCGCCATCCTGTGTGCGGTCACCTCCTCCCCGAGCTCGCAGCCTCCACCCTGGGTCCTAACACTCTGGCCTCCTGGTGGAGTGATTCTGCAAGGGCCTAAGTCAGGCCAGGCTCCTCCCCTGCTCAGAACCCTCCATGACTCCCAGCTCACTCACAATGAGAGCCAAGGTCCCTCAATGGCCCTCAAGGCCTAATTTAAAATTGAAACACACTCCAGCCCCACCCTCTCAGTCTTCTGTGCTGCCTTTTTTTTTTTTTTTTTTTTTTTTTTAAGACAGGGTCTCGCTCTGTCACCCAGGCTGGAGTGCAGTGGTGCGATCTCGGCTCACTGCAACCTCCACCTCCCAGGTTCAAGCGATTCTCGTGCCTCAACCTCCCGAGTACCTGAGAGGCACGCCACCACGCCCAGCTAATTTTTGTATTTTTAGTAAAGGCAGGGTTTCACCATGCTGGCCAGGCTGGTCTCAAACTCCTGACCTCAAGTGATTCACCAGCCTCGGCCTCCCAAAGTGCTGGGATTACAGGCGTGAGCCACCGCGCCCAGCCTTTTTGAGAAAGGGTCTCGCTGTGTCACCTGGACTGGAGTTCAGTGACACAATCACGGCTCACTGCAGCCTCGATCTCGACTAGGCTCAGGCAATCCTCCCACCTCAGTCTCCCAAGTAGGTGGGACTACAGGCATGAGCCACCATGCCCAGCTAATTTTTTGTGTTTTTAGTAGAGACAGGGTCTGTACTATGCTATGTTGCCCAGGCTGGTTCCAAACTCCTGGGATCAGGTGATCCTCCCGCCTCAGCCTCCCAAAGTGCTGGGATTACAGGTGTGAGCCACCGTGCACAGCTTTTACTCTATTTTTATATACAGCAAGAATCACCAAGTGCCATATATTTTACTTATTTGTCTTGCTTATTGCCCATCCTCTCTTTGTGAACAGCTGCTGGGGGCAGGGATGGGCTGTGTCTTTCTGGTCACTGGCATCTCTCCAGCACTCAGCACTGTGTCTGGCACTCAGTAGGTGCTCAACGAATATTTGTTGAATGAATGGATGGGTGGGTGGATGGACGGATGGGGATGGATGGATAGATGGATGGATGGTTGGATAGATGGATGGGTAGGTGGATGGATGGGTGGATGGATGGATCTGCCAATAGCAGCATAGCGGTTTAAGAGCACAAATCCCAGCCTCACATTAGAACTTTGGGGGTTCTGGTTCCACCTCCACCACCTACAAGCTGTGCAAGCTTGGATGGGCTAGATGACCTCTCTGGCCCTCAGCTTCCCAACAGGAATAAAAAGAACACCCACCTTGTGTTCTGACAGCATTAAACCCCTTAATCCATGTAAATCCACAGCTGAGCCTGGGCTCAGGCACACAGTAGGTGCTTAGTAAACATATGCAGATGGACAGATGCCAGGGCAGTGGTTCTGACTGCTCTGGGGTAAGCAGTAGGTGCTGCATAGGGACAAGTGTCTTACTTTAGTCACTGTTCCCAGCCTACCTCCTCCCCTCTCCACTCGCTAAACCCCTGAAGGGTAGGGATCATGTCTCAGTCATCTTTCTTTGCACATAGTAGGTGCTCATTAAGTGCTGGCATTGAGAGGAGGACACTGATGTTGGAGGAGTGCCTCCTGTTTGCCCTGCAAACTGAGAGGCAGATTCTCCTACCCCACCTTACAGGTGAAGAAACCGAGGCTCAGGGACCCCTGAGAGCAGAGGGAAGGGACGTCATTCTGCAGAGTGACCAGCAGGGGGCGAGCGGGACTGCTCTGTGGCTCCGAGGACCCAGCGGCAGGTGCACTGCTCTGAGAGTGAACGCTGCCTTACATTTTGCACGGTAGGCACCTCGCTTTTCTCACCTTAGTACCAGCCCTGGTCGGAAGGGCCCTGTCACACCAGGACACGCCTTTCTTCTGCCTTGCATCGAGCGCTTATGCTCTCCCAGGCGCTGTGCTAAGGGCTTCCCACATATATTAGCTCATGTGGTCTTCATGACAGCAGATGTGCGGCAGGTCCTGTTACTGCCCCCTTTCTGCAGAGGTGATAGCTGAGTCCAGGAGAGGTCACTAGCCAGAGGTAATGCCGTTCCACCATTGCATGTTGCATGTACGAAGGCAGATCTCATGCCTTCGGATCACATGCCATGATTGTGTAAAAACATGTGTGTGGACTCGTTTGCAGAGGGGTGCATGTACCTGCATGAAAGAAGGGAAGCAGACATTTGTGACCAAGAAGGTGGACAGTGGCAGAGCACAAGAGTTTGTCTAAGTTATTACATCCATGACCTTTCCATGTCAGAGAAGCGGGGAGCTGGGGGAGCCCAGAAAGGCAGAGCTTGGCTCAGCCTCAGGGGATGCTCCTGGGGCAGAGGGGGAAGCCCACCTGATTTTTCAGGGAGGAATCATGGTTACCAGATGGAAGCAAGAGGACATTTCGGGCTGGAGGAACAAAGTGTACAAAGGCCCAGGGGCTGTTCAGGGAACCCCAATGGCTGAGTCTGGCTAAATTGGAGTGAAAGGGAGGAGGGAGGCAGGATGAGGCAGACATATGGCGGAGCTTGATTCACTGAGACTTAGAGGTGAACGCAGACCATGGGGTCAGATGCAGGGCACGTAGGACACTGTGAAGTCCCAGAAAACAGTCTTCTACCTCCTGCGGGAATTTCAAAGGGCTATCAATGTTCCCCTCTTCCAGATGGGCAAGCTGAGGCTCGGAGAGGTGGGACAACTTGCCCAGGTGTCCTGTACATGGCAGGTTGGGATTTGAACCTACTCTGGGAACTTCTGCACTTTGCTGCTTTTTGAGAAAACACCATGAACTCAGAACAATTCCATGAATTCTGACCAAATGAATGAATGTATGGGTGGGTGGGTGGATGGATGGATGGGTGGGTGGATGGATGGATGGATGGATGGATGGACGGACAGATGGATGGGTGGATAGATGGATCTGCCAATAGCAGCACAGTGGTTTAAGAGCACAAATCCCAGTCTCACATTAGAACTTTGTGGGTTCTAGTTCCACCTCCACCACCTACAAGCTGTGCAACCTTGGATGGGCTAGATGACCTCTCTGGGCCTCAGCTTCCCAACAGGAATAAAAATAGCACCCACCTTGTGTTCTGACAGAATTAAATGCAACCCATGTGCCTGGTACTGGGCTGAGTGTCTTCTCAGCATTGTTTTATTGAATTCTCAGAGATCATCATAGGAAGGAGGTGTTATTATTTTCCTTTCTTTTACAGGTAAAGCACCATGACTCAGAGAAGGCAAGTGACTTGCCTAAAATCACAGGGCCCACAGAGTCACAGCCAGAATGCAAGCCTGGGCCCTCAGATCTGGAGTATGCCCTCTTCACCATGGCTCCAGGCACCAAAACTCCAGGTAGCTTTGGATTTTGTGCTATCTGTGTTTTATTTTCCTTAATATATATTTTAAACGGACTTTCTGCCCACATTTTTCTTTAAACCTGTTTCTGCAGAGGAAACTTTATATCATTAGCAAACATGGAAAACCTATATCATTTATCATGAAAACAGTTATGAAAATAAGGCTGGGTGCCAGGCACGATGGCTCACACCTGTAATCCCAGCACTTTGGGAGGCTGAGGTGGGCAGATAACAAGGTCAGTAGTTCGAGACCAGCCTGGCCAACATAGTGAAACCCCAACTCTACTAAAAATATAAAAATTAGCCAGCTATGGTGGCGCATGCCTGTAGTCCCAGCTACTTGGGAGGCTGAGGCAGAAGAATCGCTTGAACCCAGAAGGCGGAGGTTGTGGTGAGCCGAGATCATGCCACTGCACTCCAGCCTGGGCAACAGAGTGAGCTTCCGTCTAAAAAAAAAAAAAAGGAAATAAGAAAATAAGGCTGGACATGGCGGCTCACGCCTGTAATCTCAGCGCTTTGGGAGGTCAAGGCAGGCAGATCACCTGAGGTCAGAAGTTCAAGACTGCCTGGCCAATATGGTGAAACCTTGTCCCTACTAAAAATACAAAAATTAGCCAGGCATGGTGGTGCACACCTGTAATCTCAGCTACTAAGGAGGCTGAGGCAGGAGAATCACTTGAACCCAGGAGGCGGAGGTTGCAGGTTGAGCTGAGATGGTGCCACTGCACTCAAGCCAGGGTGACAGAGTGAGACTCTGTCTCAAAAAAAAAATTATGAAAATAAGTACAAGAAGTGCTAAAAAATATCATGATATTCTTGCCAGATGCTCTTGCTTGCACAGTCAGGAGTCAGGGGCCTGTGAGAACTTTGTTAGAAAGAAGAGAGTTCGGCGGCTCAAGCCTGTAATCCCAGCACTTTGGGAGGCCGAGGTGGGCGGATCACGAGGTCAGGAGATCAAGACCATCCTGGCCAACATGGTGAAACCCCGTCTCTACTAAAAATACAAAAATTAGCTGGGTGTGGTGGCGGGCACCTGTAATCCCAGCTACTCAGGAGGCTGAGGCAGGAGAATCGCTTGAACCAGGGAGTCAGAGGTTACAGTGAGCTGAGATGGCACCATTGCACTCCAGCCTGGCCACAGAGCGAGACTCCGTCTCAAAAAAAAAAAAAAAAAAAGGAAAGAAAGAAGAGAATTAGCGAGGTGATGGGGAGATGTTAGCGGCAGGGATTTTTTTTTTTTCTTGAAATGCTCAGAGCAGCTGCAAGAGAATCCCCATAGGAAGAACTTCTGCTCTGTGATTTCATGCCCTGTGGGACCTAGAATAACCCACAGACCTCGAGTGTGGCAGCAGCTGGGCAGGCCACTCAACCCCAGGTCGGATCCTTCTCAGCTCGCCTGGGGCTGTCCCAGGCCCTGCAACAAAGTCCTTGTCCGAATGTACTGGGTGGGTGGGGGTATCCTGGCAGCAGAGCCCTGACTATGCCCTCTCACCCTCTGCTCCTCGCTGACAGAGTTCCCTCAAGGCAGGGTATACAGCTGGCACTCAGCCAGGCCTCCAGAGCCTGGGCTGCAAAGATTCAGTGTTTGGTGGCTGGTTTTATATATTTATTTGAGACGGAGTTTTGCTCTGTTGCCCAGGCTGGAGTGCAGTGGCACGATCTTGGCTCGCCACAACCTCCGCCTGCCGGGTTCAAGCGATTCTCCTGCCTCAGTGCCCGGCCCCTATTTTTTTTTTTTAATAGAAAAATGTTCCTTGCACCACCAACTCTTTCCTGGGCAGGGTTGGGAAACCATTTCCAGATGGGAAATAATTTTAGGGAAGAGAAACAGCTAAAATTACAGGCCATTCTGCTGCCAGCTCTCGCTGGGATGAGCCAGCCATGGCCCTAGAACTTTCCCAAAGTGGGGTGGGTGGGTCTGGGTGGGGAGAGAAGCCAGGATGGACTGTTGAGATGGGATGTCCCTCGGGCTGTCCATGTTCAGGCCTCGTGAGCATCTCCGAACAGCCTTGGCGGCTGCTTCTGGGGGCTGCTCGCTGATATCAAACACTCACCCATCCCCCTTCAATTCTCACCACGACCCGTGAGGGCAGAAGCTTGGAAACATCCCTGGTGTAGCCTCAGGATCCAGCTGCCGTTTTACAGAAAATCCCAAGGACAGAACGTGTTGAACCATGACACGGTGCTGTCATCAGCCTAACCCAGACCCAGGGATCTCTGCAGGTTAAATGGCCCAGGTACTGCGCAGGTAAATTGTAAGGAAAAGAAAGGGATGGAGGAGGAATAGAAACTAAAAGAGACATCAAGTTTTTAAAAAGTGGGCAAGATTAAGTATAGTGTCTGGGGCTGCTCACATGGTTGGTAAAACAAGAAAGAAACACAAGTGATATCCATAACACTTAGGGTAGCAGTGACTTTTGGGAGGGGCAGGGCTTTGAGAGGACAGGGTTCTGCAGGGGTTTCCAGGGGTGGCAGGCAAAGTTACATTTCTTGACCTAGAGGTGGTCACGAGGGTGTTCAGTTGCCTTATAATAAATCATTAAGTCACATGCTTATGCTGTGTGGTTTTTGTATCTGTATCTGTTCTATTTTTCAAAAAAAAAAAAATCCCAAGTTTAAAAAACAACAATAACAACAAAATATCCCCCATGCAGATGAAGAACGGGGGGCTTGGAGGATTGAAGTGATTCTTCCATGCGGAGTGAGTGGGGAGCTGGAATCTGAACCAGCTTATAAGCCACAGCCTGTTTATTCATTCAACAAATATTTGCCAAGCCCCAGGGCTGTGCCAGGGACTGGGCTAGCAGCGAGTGAGAGAGACATCCTGTCCTCATGGAGCCCAGAGGCTCAGTAGTCAGCCAGGTTAGAGAACCGTGACACCCTCCTGCCAGGGTGCCTGCCAGGTATCTTGGAGGAACTGCATCTTGGGGATAGATGGCTGAGCTCACAGGATTTAAGTGAAATCTCCAGGGGCTAAAAGCAGATATGAGTTGGAAATTGCAGCCTGACCCGATGCCTGAGGTAGGGTTTGCCTACCATGGGTGGGATCAAAGGGACTTTTAAAAAGACTTCTAATTTTGATGGCCAGGTGCAGTGGCTCACGTCTGTAATACCAGCACTTTGGGAGGCCGAGGCGGGTGGACCACTTGAGGTCAGGAGTTCAAGACCAGCCTGGCCAACATGGTGAAACCCCATCTCTACCAAAAATACAAAAATTAGCTGGGCATGGTGGCGGGTGCCTATAATCCCAGCTACTCGGGAGGCTGAGGCAGGAGAATCGCTTGAACCCGGGAGGCGGAGGTTGCAGTAAGCCGAGATCACGCCACTGCACTCCAGCCTGGGCGACAGAGTGAGACTCTGTCCCCACCCCCCAAAAAAGAAAAGAGAATCCAACTTGTACATCTGAACTTGAGCTCAGACATGTAAATTATCCCCTTGTTAGCCACAGGTTCGACCTCACTTTCTTCTTTTTTTTTTTTAGACAGGGTCTCGCTCTGTTACCCAGGCTGTAGTGCAGTGGTGCAATCACAGCTCACTGCAGCTTTGATCCCCCAGGCTCGAGTGATCTTCCCACCTCAGCTTCCCAAGTGGCTGGGACCACAGGTGGGTGCCACCACACCTGGCTAAGTTTTAAATATTTTTTGTAGAGTTGAGGTTTCGCTGTGTTGCCCAGGCTGGTCTCGAACTCTGGGGCTGAAGTGATCCTTCCACCTTGGCCTCCCAAAAGGTTGGAATTATAGAAGTGAGCCATTGCATCCAGCCGTCACTTGCTTTAAATTAAAATTTTTAATCAAACAAGGAAAAGTGAACCCAGGTTGGCAGGCTGAGCCCATCCCTAGCTCCAGGGATGAGCACTTGGCCAAGGCCTGACCGATTAGAGTTCAGCATCTGGTGGCCACAGCAATTGGTAACAGACGGGAAGTGAACCAAGCCAGGCATATGGGCATCTTCCCAGGAACTCTTCTAGGTGTGCAGGGAAAGAGACTATATTTGTTCGCTAGAACTGCCATAGCAAAAGACCACAGACCGGGTGGCTTAAGCAACACAGTTATTATCTCACAGTGCTGGAGGCTGGAAGTCCAAGCTCGAGATGCCGGCTGTCAGGGTTGATTTCCGTCAAGGCCTCTCTCTTTGGCCTGCAGATGGCGACCCTCTTGCTGCCTCTGCACACGGTCATCCCTCTGTGCATGTGCGCTCCTGAGGTCTGTTCTTCTTATAAGGACACCGGGCAGACTGGATTAGGGCCCACCCTAACAACCATTTAAACGTAACCACCTCTTTAAAGACCCCATCTCTAAATGCAGTCATATTTTCAGGTCTTGGGGGTTGGGACTTCAACATATGAATTTTGAGGGACCACAATTTAGCCCATAACAGAGGCCTTCTCTTTCCACTGAAGTTGCTATTCAGGATGAAAGCAGGCCTTGAAATATTTCCATGACAACAGGATGCCCAGAGGTGGGCTGGCACAGGGTGCTCCCTGGATGACCCCTTGCAGGAAGGAGGCTGCCTACCTGGGGCTGGGACATAACTTCACTACCTTCCTAGGGCCATGAGGAAGGGCGCCTCTCCCCAGAGTGGCAAAAACAAGAACATGCAGTTCTGGCATGGATGTGGGGAAATGGGCAGTCTCTTTCCCTTTTGGCAGCCCCTAGCAATAATAGAACCATACATCATCTTTTGATACAGCAATTTCGCCTGTAGGAATCTCTTTCCCCAAACCTACTAGTGCATGCTTACAAACACACGCACCTGTGGGGTTGCTCAGCACGGTGGTTTTGTAATAGAGGAGGATTGCAAAGAGCATTAAGGGCCATCAGCAGGGCCCTTGTTTATTCCATCTGGAGAATTCATTACTTGGGGTCAAAGCAGCTTCGCTGCTTCCCAGCTGTGCAGGCTTGGGAATGTGTCTGGGCCTTGTGGAGAAATGAGGTAATGAGAGCACCCACCTCTAACGTCCTTGTGACCAGTTGATGAGCTACTGCATGCGGGACTCTTGGGATGCAGCAATAGTTTCCTGTGTGTGCACAATGTGCTTTTACTTTTTAATTTTGATTACGATTTTTCTTTAGATGAATATTCTGCATATGTATACAATGTGCTTTTTTTTTTTTTTTTGAGATGGAGGTTTGCTCTCATCACCCAGGCTGGAGTGCAATGCTGCAATCTCAGCCCACTGCAACCTCCGCCTCCCGGGTTCAAGTGATTCTACTGCCTCAGCCTCCAGAGTAGCTAGAATTACAGGCGCCCGCCACCACGCCCAGCTAATTTTTGTATTTTTAGTAGAGACAGAGTTTCGCCATGTTGGCCAGGCTGGTCTCGATCTCCTGACCTCAGGTGATCCACCTGCCTCGGCCTCCCAAAGTGCTGGGATTATAGGCGTGAACCACCATGCCTGGCCTACAATGTGCTTTTAGCTGAGAGGAATGGCATCATGCAAAGACCTTCCTACTCAACGTATGGTTCCAGATCAGCAGCACAAGGAGCACCTGGGAGCTTGTTAGAAATGCAGCATCTGGGCTGGTCGGGGTGGCTCGCACCTGTAATCTTAGCACTTTGGGAGGCCGAGGTGGGTGGATCACTTGGGTTCAGGAGTTCAAGACGAGCCTGGGTGACACAGTAAGACCAGGTCTCTACAAAAAATACAAAAATTAACTGGGTATAATGGCATGCACCTGAAGTCCCAGTTACTTGGGAGGCTGAGGCAGGAGGATTACTTGAGGCCAGGAGTGGAGGTTGCAGTGAGCTGTGATCATGCCACTGTACTCCAGCCTGGGCAACAGAGCAAGACTCTATCTTAAAAAAAATGCAGTGAATGCAGCATCTGAGTCCCCACCCCAAACCTATGAGCCAGAATCTGCATTTTATCATAGTCCCCAGGGCCCCAGTGTGAACATGGGCACGTTCGAGTTTGAGTAACATTGCCACTGACCTTGTTCTGAAACAATTGGAAATTGGTGCTCCCTTTTCCCTGGGGTTGCTGAGCTGGTGAGAATAAAGCTGGGAGTGGCAAGGGGCAACCTTGGTCACATCATGACCTGGAGAGTCTGTGTGGAGTAAAAGAGATGAGAGCCAGAGGTAGTGCATCTTTGTAGACATTGATTTAGCATCTGGATCCAACCATGCCTGAAGCCTATCTCTACTCCTGCTTTTACCAGAGACAGTTGACGTAAATTCTCATGACATCAGCCAATTTGAGTCAGGGTTCTGCTATATTTTTCATCTGATAGAGCCCTGCCTAAGATACCCACTGTATGGGCTATGGAACTTCCTTGCCTTCTTTTCTTTTCTTCTCTCTTTTCTTTTCTCTTCTTTTCCTTTTTTTGAGACAGAGTTTCACTCTTGTTGCCCGGGCTGGAGTGTAATGGCGTGATCTTGGCTCATTGCAACCTCCCCCTCCGGGGTTCAAGCGATTCTCCTGCCTCAGCCTCCCGAGTAGCTGGGATTACAGGTGTGCCCCATGATGCCTGGCTAATTTTGTATTTTTAGTAGAGACGGGGTTTCACCATGTTGGACAGGCTGGCTGGTCTCAAACTCCTGACTTCAGGTGATCCAACCACCTCGGCCTCCCAAAGGCCGAGGGATCACCCAGAAGACAGGAAGACCCAGGCCACAGAGAGAATACTGCAGATATCATGAGCCACAGAGCCCTGAGCCACTGACCTGTCTCCCAGGTCTTGGCTTGGGCCTCTTCCAGAAGCAGACACTTAGAGAGTCCAAGGGCAGGGAACTTAGCGGGGAGCTGATCGCAGGAAGCTCTGAGAGCAGAGGGGAGGGGGCAGCTGGTACTGCTGGGTGTCTAGATGAGCAGGTTATCAGTTGGGCAGCTGGGGCTCCGTCCTGCTGGGGCCTCTGGGAGTGGGTGCAGAGTCCACCTCAGGGTTGCTCCTCCCCAGGCCCCAGGAAGCTGGAGGATTTACCAACACCCCCATCCAGCAAGCATAGGCCAGAGAACCACTGCAGGAAAACAGAAACCTCTCCCCTGGACGTGGTGCCATCAGCCCAGAGCTGCCAGATCCCCAGGCCTCCATCCTCATCTGGATTGAAGCAGCCATCCGCCTGGAAAGGGCCTGTCTGCCTGGAAAGAAACTTCAAATGCGGCTTTGGGGGGATTCCAGAGACTGTCTGTTCCCATCTGTGCAAGAGGGACACTGAGTGTTCAAAACCTAAGGAGGCCTCGCTGTGAATCAGGCCAGAGCAGGGGCTCACCTGGGAGGGGGGTCTCCTGACATTGTGCCGGCACCTGCTGGCCTCACCTAATGCCTGGCCCTGCCTGAGAGCAGACCAAGGGAAGATGAGACTAGAACTTTAGGAAGATCGCTCTGGCCGCTGGATAGAGAAGGGACTGTTGTGGGGAATGGGGGACGAGGGTAGAGTCAGGGAGGCCCAGGAGGGGTTGTTGCCACTGTCCATCCATGCAGTGAGGCCCAGAGGGGTAGTGGGAGTGAGGGAGGCTGGGTTTGCAACTCTGGGGTGAAGGGACCTCCATTTTGTTCAGTGATACGCCCTGCCCTTCTCTATCCCATACAAGCTGTGTGACCGTGGGCAAATTACTTCACCTCTCTGGGCCTCAGTTTTCTCATCTGTGAAATGGGGGCATGCTTCTCTATACCCACCTATATCTAGAGGGTGATTGTGGGATTATGAGTTAACACGTATATAGCACTTGGCCTGTAGTAAGTGCTACAGAGTGTTGGCCTCTGTTCTTATGATAGTTATTGTTACTGTTAGTATTAGTATTCTTATTATCGTCATCTCCCTCCAAATTTCACACCAGTGAATCCAGACTCCAGGCAGCCATGTAAATCTGGGGTTTAACTCTTGAAACTGAGTATGTCATCCACTTATCTTGCTATGACCTCAAGAGTCCCAGCCCCAGATATCTGAGACCCTCGTACCCCCTCCCAGTGCTCCAGGACCTGCCTCACTGAATTCCTGACCCTGATCGCAGTCTACCCTGTCGGGCTGGGGCACTTGGGCCGTGTCACCTCAGTGTGGGCCTAGACAAGGGAGCTCATGGCATGTCCTCCCTCCTGTTTCTCCCTGCCTGTGCGTCTGACCCTGTCAGTTGAACCTGTGACATTTGCTCCTACAACTGGCCACTTCTCTGTCTCTATGGCCACCACTCTGTCCAGGCCACCTCTGCAACTATAACAGCCTCCTTGATAATCGTTGACTCAAAAGGGAGGTTTTGTGTTCAATTTCCTTTATTTATCTATCTATCTATTTGTTTATTTATTTATTATTTTTAGAGATGGGGTTTCGCCATGTCACCCGGGCTGGTCTTGAACTCCTAGACTCAAGCGATCCACCTGCCTTGGCCTCCCAAAGTGCTGGGATTCCAAGCATGAGCCACTGTGCCTGGCCCTTGTGTTTAATTTCAAATCACACAGCCTGTTGCACAAGTTCGAATAATATAGAAGCATATCTAGGCCGGGTGCGGTGGCTTACACCTGTAATCCCAGCACTTTGGGAGGCCAAGGCGGGTGGATCACGAGGTCAGGAGTTCAAGACCTGCCTGGCCAAGATGGTGAAACCCTGTCTCTACTAAAAATACAAAAATTAGCTGGGCATTGTGGTGGGCGCCTGTAATCCCAGCTACTCGGGAGGCTGAGGCAGAGAATTGCTTGAACCCAGGAGGCAGAGGTTGCAGTGAGCCAAGATTGTTTCACTGCACTCCAGCCTGGGTGACAGAGTGAGACTCTGTCTCAAAAAAAAAAAAAAAAAAAAAAAAAGAAGCATATCTAAACTTAAGACCTTTTGTTAACTCTGGAAAGATGTTAATAGTAGTGATTTCAGGGGAGTGGTTAGGGACAACTGGTTTCATATCATTTGCATTTCATTGCTTAGATTTTGTGACAAGTGAGCATTGCTTTTATATTTTAAAAATTATGTTTAAAACATAGGTAAGACATTTAAATGGGAAAAAATTCAATGACAGAAAAAAGTATCCAATGAAAACGAGTGTCTCTCCCCACCCTTAACCCCCAGGTTTCACTTTCCCTAAGCAATGCTGCTTCCAGTTTCCCACGGGCTCTGCCACTGAAAGTCTGTACGTACGAAAACACACATGATTGTATGCACTCTTTATTTACATATATAGATGCATGTTACACCCAGTGTCTTGCAGCTTGCTTTTTTTAACCTAACATACCTATCATTCTTTCTAATTCATCACACATACCTGTGTTGTCCTTTTTCACAGCTGCATAGTATTCCACTGCATGGCCGGACCATATTCATTAATAGTTATTTTCTTACTGATGGCCCTTTAGGTTGTTTCCAGCCTTTTCTGTTATAAAGCAATACTGTGGACCAGGCACAGAAGCTCACGCCTATAATCCCAGCACTTTGGGAGGCTGAGGCTGGAGGATTGCTTGAGCCCAGGAGCTTGAGACCAGCCACAGCAACATAGAGAGACTTCATGTTTACAAATGAAATAACAAGCTGGTTGTGGTGGTGCGTGCCTGTGGTTCCAGCTACTCAGGAGGCTAAGGTGGGAGGGTCACTGAGCCCAGGAGGTTAAGGCTGCTGTGAGCTGTGATTGCGCCACTGCACTCCAGCCTGACAGAGCAAGGCCCTGTCTCAAAACAACAACAACTACAAACAATACTGTGGTGACTGTCTTTGTACATAGTGTGGTGTGTGTGTGTGTGTGTGTGTGTGTGTGTGTGTGTGTGTGTGAATGTATCTGTGGGAGAAATCTCTGGAAGTCAGATTTTATAACAGATTTGTGCATTTTACATTTTGATCCATATGACCAAACTGCACTTTGTAGAGGTTGTACCAATTTATTCTCCCACCAACAATGTGTGAGGGTGCCTGTTTCCCCACAACTTCATCAGCACCATGTATTGTGAACTTTCTGATGTTTTTGTCACTCTAATAGATGGAAGCAGGTGTCTCAGTATGGTTTCAGTTTCTATTTTTAAATGAAGAGTGAAGCAGAGTACCTTTTGCTTGTTCAGTGAAGCATAGTGTCATTGGCCAGGCGCAGTGACTCACGCCTGTAATCCCAGCACTTTGGGAGGCCGAGGTGGCGGATCACCTGAGGTCGGGAGTTTGAGACCAGCCTGGCCAACATGGCAAAACCCTGTCTCTACTAAAAATACAAAAAATTAGCCAGGCGTGGTGGTGGGCACCTGTTCTCCCAGCTACTCGGGAGTCTGAGGCAGGAGAATCTCTTGAACGTGGGAGGTAGAGGCTGCAGTGAGCCGAGATTGTGCCACTGCACTCCAGCCTGGGTGACAGAGTGAGACTCTATCTCAAAAACAAACAAAAAAACAGCAACAAAAAACCGTAGCATCATTGTCACATGTCAGGAAGCTCCATTGTAAAATATAAAAATAATTTAAAACAAAATAAACATATAATAATAATTTAGGCCAGGCGCAGTGGCTCACGCCTGTAATCCCAGCACTTTGGGAGGTTGAGGCGGGTGGATCGCCTGAGGTCGGGAGTTCAAGACCAGCCTGGCCAACATGGTGAAACTCCATCTCTACTAAAAATACAAAAATCAGCCAGGCGTGGTGGCGCGAGCCTGTAATCCCAGCTACTGGGGAGGCTGAGGCAGGAGAATCGCTTGAACCCGGGAGGTTGAGGTTGCAGTGAGCTGAGATCAGGCCATTGCACTCCAGCCTGGGCAACAAGAGCGAGACTCCGTCTCAAATAATAATAATAATTTAAAACAAAATAAATTATTTTGTTTTGTTTTCTCCTTGAGCCTCCATACCGAGGCCCATGATATATGTCCCTGGATGTATATGTGTCCTTGTGAAACAAGCAGAATTATTTTATGATGAGTGTTCTGATTTGCAGAGTTCTCCTGTTCCTCACTTGCTTTCCCCGGCGTTCTGTTTCCCAGATCTCTGCCTGTAGCTGTGCATGGCCAAGTGTCTCTCCCCATGCTGAAAAGCCACTTACTTCATTTCTCTTTCTTTCTGGGTGAGCTGTTGCTCATGTGGAACATTTTTGGGGTGGAACATTTTTCAGTCATGAGGAAACTTGGACCCTCAGTCGGTTTCCTTTGAAGCCAGGGAGACACGTGGGGCTGGAGGGAGGGCACCCCAGCTTTCCTGTGACTCATCTGGGTCCTGCTGGGCCACACAGGCAGTTCCCACATGGCAGGACCACGCCTGGGCAGCCCCCTGCAGGCACTGCTGGCCTAGCCTTGGGAGGGGAGCTTGTAGGGGTTGTGAGGGGCGCTCAGAGAGAGGGCTCATGGCCAGGACTGTCCCCTTTAAAGCTGCCGGACTTCAGGCCTTCTCTTTGGGGCTCCCCGACACAGCCCAGGGCCCACCCCTCTTTGTGGGCACAGGATGGGTGTGGAAGGGTAGGGGCTAAGTCACAGCTCTTCAGCCCTCAGCATCTCAGCTCTCCCCGAGTCTCCTCATCAGTAAGACGGGGAGGACCACTGGGGTAGCTGAGTCACCTTTCCTGCCTCCCTTTGGCGGCCACAACATTCTACTCCAGCACCCACGCAGTCTCCAAGGGTCTACTGAGCACCTGCTATGCACCAGGCATTGGACATACATAAAGCAGCAAACCACGTGCCTTCCTGGAGCCAACGCCTGGTGTGTTTGGTGTGTGTGGTCAGCAGACTCATGCGCCCTTCCCCAAGACGTCCTCATCCCTGGAACCCGTGAATGTACAAGGTTACACGGCCAAGGGGAATGGAGGCTGCTGAGCAGTCTCCTTGAGCTGGGGGAGACGACCCTGGATTACCCAGATGATGACATCGTGACCCAGTGTCATCACAAGGGGCTTAGTGCAGGAGGGAAGCAGAGGTGTTGCAGGCGGAGGGATGCAGCATGGGAAAGATGGCCTCGCCGTTGCTGGCTTTGAAGATGGAGGTTGGAGCCGTGAGCCCAGGAATACAGGTGGCCTTGAGAAGCTGGAGGAACGGATTCTCCCTGTGAGCCTCTAGAAGGAACGTGGTCCTGCCCACACCTTGATTTTAGCCTGCTGAGACCCACTGTGGGCTTCAGCCCTCCAGAACTGTAAGCTCACACATTCATGTTATTTCCAGCTCCCAAGTTCACGGCGATTTGTTACAGCAGCAACAGGAAAGGGAAACACAAATAAACACGTGTAACATATGTGTCCCACCATCCTAAGCACAGCAGGGTCAAAGGAAGCCAGATGGAGGCTAAGGACTGTGGGGGATGTTTGCATTTTTAAACAGAGTGAACAGGTAGGGAGGGTCTCACAGAGAAGGCGACATTCAAGTAGAGGTCTACAGTAAGCCATCTGCATAATGGGTGAAGTGAACCAGGCAGAGGGAATAGCGTGTGCAAAGGCCCTGAGGTGGGAGCAGGGCTGCTGTGTTCAGGGCTGAGCAGGCACCATTGTGCCTGCGTAGAGAGATCAAGAGGGGACAGAGGGAGGAGAGCCCATGGAGGTTGTGGGGGTGCGGGTCAGATGAGGGCCTGGTGTATTAGAAGCTGCTGGACAAATGCATTCCAAGGTCCTACGAGCCATGCGGGGACAGAGCTCCCAGCCTCCAATGGCAGAGCATGTTTCTCCAGAAGCAGGGCTTGATCCGCCCTGTTCCCAGCTCTGCCCAGGCCTGCTGAAGGGGTTTGCACGTCCCTGAAGTAAGGAAGGGGTGTGCTTACCCCCTCTCTGCCACCAGCTCTTACCTTCTAGGCCAGCCCATTGCTTGGAATGTTTTCTTCATCCCAGTGCCTGATACAGCCTGGTCCTGGCAGGAAGCGGAGGCTGCAGTGCACCCAAACAGAGATATCGTGACCTTCCTGTCACCCTGGAACTGCCAGGCCTAGAGGAGAAGGCGGCACTGCCTCCCTTGGGATCAGGGCTCAGGGGTTGCCCTGAGCTTGGGCAACAGGGCTGCAGCCGAAGGAGAAAGGTCACTGTTTCCTCTTCACTTCCTGTGCTCTGTGACCTGGGGCTGGTGGCTCACCTTCTCTGGGCTTTGATCTCATCTGTGCCACGAGCAGTTAGATGAATCATGAGTTGCAAAGAAACGGCCTGCAGCCACATCCCGTCCACAGATGTGTTTAAATGTTTTAAATTAGTTGCCAATACTTAGAAATTGGGAAACTTCTTGTAAATCTCTAGATTTCTGGTTTTTCTTGAGAAACCAGATATGGCAGTGCTTGTGACTAGAGCTGAGTAGCAGCTGCCTCCGTCCCCACCCAGCTCCCTCGGTGGTTTCTGGCTCCTGCCTGGCTTTTGGAGTCTATGAGTTTGCAACCCTGGGCTCTAGAGGCCCTTCCAGCTCGGATTTCACTAATTCATGCAACAGAAATCCTTTGAGTGTTTAACATGTGTAGGACTCAGAGATAAGTCTGTTTTACAGATGATGGAAGGGAGGCTCAGAGAGGGGTTGTGACCTGCCAGAGTCACACAGTCAGTGGCGGGGGCTGCATCTGAGCCACACTGGCAATAGATGATCGATCCAAAAGGGCTTTAGCCAAAATTCATTGAATACTGACTATGTGCCCAGTGCCAGACCACAGCCCCTAACCAGACAGACAAGATCGTGACTTCCTGGGCCGATATGGCAGTCCCTGGAGCCGAGTGATCAACAGATAAATATGTAATGACACCTGGGCTAGCTGGGAAGGTGCAGATACAACCTGGGGTGGTCACAGGGAGGGAGGGGGCGACATTAGCGCAGTTTCCTAAGGAATGAGGGTTTGAGGCCAGACTCGGTGTGGACTCCCTTCCTCCTCTCATGTCTAGTATGGATCCTTTGGCAAGGGCCAGGAGACTGGAAGGGGAATCCCTCCTTGTGGCCGATTTTCCACTAAGACGGTGGTGACGCGTGGCTCAGGAGCCAGGCTGCCCGCCAGGGTGTCTGCTGCTCATCCACCATGCGACCTCAGACAGGGACTTAATCTCTCTGCACCTCAGTCTCCAAATCTGTAAAATGGAGTCAATTTGGGTGTCTAGCTCACAGGGGCGTGGTGGCAGGATGAAGTGAATTACAAATTCTAGTAAGTGAGTCACCTGGGACATTGGGCTGTGGTCTACAGTGAGGTGTGATCCCTGAGGAGAGAAAGAGAGGCTACAAAGATCAGAGCGTGTCCATCCTCTGAAGGACTGGTCAGGGATTAAAGGACTGTAGGAGACGTGGGACACGTGGTAGGTAAAAAAAAGCGGCCGTGTGTGCTGTGTAGTCCGATCTCATGGACAACGGTGGGACTTGAACCACTGCTGACTCTACCTGCAGGAATTTTCCACCTCGGTGGAGGGTGGGACTAACCTCCACAGGAGGCTGGGATTAGTATGTGGTCATCTATCCTCTGGTGAACCCAGCCAGCCGGGGGGCACCTGGGCAAGGGTTTGAGGAGGAGGGAGGAAAGTGGAAGGGAGGGAAGACGGTTGTGCCTGGAGGCGCAGAATCCTGTGTCTCCTGGCAGGGAGGAGCTGGGGTTCTTGGCCATTTCTGAGCAAACAATAATGTCTTCCCAATACATTGCAGGCTCACCACTGCCATTCTCTGTGTGCCTGACAGAGACAGAGATGCACAGGCCTTTCGCCCTCCACCTCCTCTCTCTCTCTCTCTCTCTCTCTCTCTCTCTCTCTCACACACACACACACACACACACACACACACACACACACCCCCCACCTGGATGCATCTTCACCTCTCACCCCCTTTTAATGTCCCAGGAGTTCAGCCCCAGCTCAGCCTGCTGGTTCAATGCAGGAAGAAAAACCACAAGTTTCCATTTTGTCCATACAGAGAAGGGACTGGGGCCTCAGTAGAGAGGCAGTGCCGAAGCCCCAACCCCTCACCCCACCGCCTTTTGCTCCCCATCATCCTTGGATCTCCCAGGAGAGGAATTATCCCAGATCAGAAGAAGATGGAAGCAGGAATGAGGGAGGGTAGAGGCTGAGAGACACCTGTACAGTCCTGCTCTGTCCCTCACCTGAACCTTGCAGGCAGGTAGTGAGCCTTCAGTAAATGTTACATGGATGGATGGATGGACTGGTGGATGAATGGGGGTAGATGGGAGAATAGATGAATGGGTGAGTGAATGAGTAGATGGGTGAGTGGGTGGATGAATACATAGGTGGATGGAAGAATAGGTGAAATGAGTGGGTCAATGAGTAGATGGGTGGATGGATGGATGGATGGGTGGATGGATGGATGCATGGGTAGATGGATGGATGGATGGATGGTGGGTGAGTGGATGAAAGGGTGGATGGGAGAATAGATGAATGAGTGAGTAAATGAGTGGATGGGTGAGTGGATTGAGGACAGATGAATGGGTGGGTGGGTGAATGGATGGCTGGATAAATGGATGGATGGATTGATAGACAGGTGAGTGGATAGATAGATGGATAGATGGGTGGATGGAAGAATGGATGAAATGGGTGGGTAAATAAGTGGATGTGTGGGTGGGTGGGTGGATGGATGGGTGAATGGGAGAATAGATGAATAAGTAAATGAATGGATGGGTGAGTGGATGAATGGATGGATGGATAGATGGATGGACAGATGGATGAATGAGTGGGTGAGTGGGTAGATGGATGATTAGGACTTAATCCTGAGAATACTGGACTTGGAGGAAAATTACTGGGTCATTAGGATCCTGACCACAGAGTCATCCAGGCCAACTTCACCTCCTCTCCTCCTGGTTCCCTCAAGCCCAAGCATCTTCAGGGAGAGGAATCTCCTCAGAGCAGGAGGATAGAAATACAAGGTAGAAAGGGAGCAGGTAAGGGATGAGAGGACCTGTGGGAACATGGGTCTGGACGAACAATAACCCAGCCTCTGTGGTATCTGGCTTTGTACAGCTCTGGAGTCAGGCAGCCGGGGTTCAAATCCCAGCTCTATTGCCTCCTTGCTGTGTGACCTTGGACAAGTTACTTCACCTTCCTGGGCCTCTGCTTTTTCATTGGCCAAATAGGGTAAAAATAGTACTTCCATGAGCTAAAGGTTGTTATGAAGACTCTGTGGGAGGACGTGAGGCATTTTGCACTGGGTGTGACATGCTGTTAGTCTCAGTAAACATCAGTGACTATTATTTCATGCTTGTCATTGTTCCATGTGCTTTCTATAAATGAGCTCATTTGATTCTCTTAATCTATGAGGTGTGGGCTAGTATTTTTTCCATTCCACAGATAAGGGCTGGGGAGGAGTCCTTGGATGGCTCAACTGGAAGGAAATCTCCCCAGACAGCTGCTGTTAGCAGGAAGGGAGTTTGGATCTGGGGCCTTCCACAGGGTCTGCGGCAAGTGGGTGTTGGGATGAATTGGAGAAAGATCATTGAGAAAGCCTCGGGTTGGAGTTAACTTGTCTTGAACACCTCTCTGACACCTGCCAATCTCCTTTTTAAGAAAGACACAACAGCCTCAGGCTTAAATTTTTTTTTTCAAGAGAGTATCGATTTTCTAAAGCCTCAGGCTTAGAAACTACAGTAGCAATCATACCCTGTGAGAATTTGATAACTTTTTCACATCTTCATGGAATTTATATGCATAGGGTTTTCCTTTCTTTCTCTCTCTCTCTTTCTTTCTTTTCTTTTTTTTTTTTTTTTTTTTTTTTTGCTATTTATAGCAAGTATGTGCTGATACTGGCTTTCTGTTTCTAGTGATATTGTCAAGATTCCTTTAAATGAGTTTCTTTATATAAAAAGAAAAATGCTAAGTTGTAATAGAACAGAGGGTATAAAGATGTGGCAAAAACCAAACTGAACACACACACACACACACACACACACACACAACCCCAGAGATCATGGAAAACAGTTTACTTAGCACATGCACGCAGTCATCCAAATCACACTGGCTCTCATTCATTCATTCATTTACATGTTTGTTCAACAAGTACTTACAGAGCACCTACTATGTGTTTGTACACAGAGAACAAGATAAAGTCCTCTTCTTATGGAGCTGACAACAACCCGGCAAAGAATCAAACAGAATCATTTCATCAAGTCACAAGTACAATGAAGGAAACTATGAGTCTGTTCTCACACTGCTATAAAGAAATACCTGAGGCTGGGTCATTTATAAAGAGAAGAGGTATAATTGGCTCATAGCTCTGCTGGCTCTACAGGAAGCATGGTGGCATCTGCTTCCTGGGAGGCCTCGGGGAGCTTTTACTCATGGCGGAAGTTGAAGGGGAAACAGGCATCTTCACATGGCTGGTGCAGGAGGAAGAAAGAGAGAGGGGAAGTGCCGCACACTTTCAAACAAGCAGATCGCATGAGAATTCACTATTGGGATGACAGCTCCAAGGGGGATGGTGTGAAACCATGAGAAACCGCCCTCATGATCCAATCACCTCCCACCAGGCCCCATCTCCAACATTGGGGATTACGGTTGAACAGGAGATTCGGGCAGGGACACAGATTCAAACTGTAACAGAAACACACATGTGAGAGAGACGTGTAAGGAGATTTGGAGAAAAGGCCTCCTTTGGCTGGGGTGGTCGGGGATGTCCTCTCTGCGGAGGCGACATGTCAGCTGGGACTTGGTTGATAAGAAGCTGGCTGTGGGGAGACCATGGGGAAAGACTTGGCATTAGGAACAGCAAGTGCAAAGGCCCAGTGGCAGGACCCAGCCTGAACGTTTGAGGAGCAGAAAGAAAGTCAGTGTGGCTGGAGCTGAGTGAGTTGGGGGAGAGTGGGAGGAGAAAAAGTCAGAGAGGGAGCAGGGACCAGAAACCTAGGGCCTCGAGAAACATGGGGATTATTTTTTTACAGGGATGTTAGACATTACTACTATCTTTTAACAATGGGCTGGAGGAACCCACACAGATGGAGAAAGGGTGCCTCAAAGGCCCACCACGAGCTCTTGGGATGGCGGTGCAGCTCCATGCAAGTGCAGCTGAGGGTACCTGTTGAGGAGTTTATTGTCCTAAGCAAGGGGATTTGAAGGAAGGAATGGGGGGCTGAGGCCAGCTGCTGCCCAGGCACCCGGGTTCAGCCCCTTGAAAGATCTCCTTGCTTCAGGGAGCCAGGCTGGGACTGGCTTAGCCCATCCATCTTAAAAAAAAAATATTTTTTGAGATAAGGTCTCTCTCTGTCGCCCAGGCTGGAGTGCAGTGGCACCATCATGGCTCACTGCAGCCTCCACCTCCCAGGCTCAAGTGATCCTCCCACCTCAGCCTCCCATGTACCTGGAACTACAGATGTGCACCACCACATCTGGCTAATTAAAAAAAAATTTTTGCAGAGAAAGGTCTTGCTGTGTTGCCCAGGCTGGTCTTGAACTCCTAGGCTCAAGTAATAAAAAAATTTTAAATCATCCAAATAACTCATGGAGATATTCTCCTTTTAATACATTAAAACATCATATGTGAGGCTCTGAAGTCCCCACCTGGGCCCCAGCACTCCCAGCTCCCCTTGTCCTACTTTCTCCCATAGTTTTTAGCACATCTTCCGTACTGATGTCTTCCTTGTTTGTTTCATGTCTGTCTCCCCAGGGAGAATGGCAGAGCCACAATAGGAAGGTATTGGCTTGTTTTCTTCCCTGCTGCCTCCCTAGCACCTGGCATGGTGTCTGGAACATGGCAGGTGCTTAATAAATATGTATGAAATGGATGAATGAATGAAGTCATAAAGAATGAGAACTCTCTATCCCCATTCCAGTCCTTCCTTGTGCCCCAGGAAGTAACTCATCTTACCTCTTTGGAATTTGCTCTTCTACATCTTATCCCCATGGTTCTCAACCAGGGCAGCTTTGCCTCTCAGGACACATTTAGCAATGTCTGATGACATTTTGGTTGTCACAACTGATGGGGGCGAGGGGTGCTACTGGAATCATGCCGGTGGGATGTTGCTAACCATTCTATAATGCATAGGACAGCCCCTTAGCAAAGAATTGTCCAGCCGTAAATGTCAGTAATGTCAAGGCTGTTGTTTAGATCCTGGAATGTTGTACTGCTGTTAATGGGGAGGTTTTTCTCTGCTGACCTAAAAAACCTCCAAGATTGGTTACTAAGAGAGAAAAACAGGCACAGAATGACGCACACAATATGATACCATTTATATTTTAAAACGCACCAAAAAAAAAAAGCCCTTTGTATTTTCCACAAGTCTATATAAACGTGTGTGGGTTGAGTTGGGTTTTTAGCTCTTGCCACAAAAGCAACTGGGAACTGAAGAGAGTTGGACGGGATGGTCTCCAGCATCTCTCCAGCCCGGATGTTCCCTGAATCCTTAAGTGGAGCAAACACTTGCTAAAGGAAGCGCCATCTCTAAGAAGGCAGGGAGACCAGGGCGAGACTTAGCAGCGGGAGGGAAGAGCAGGGATGGCAGGAGGTGTCCAGAGGCAGGGACACACACTGTGTGCTAAGGCCCCACCACTCCCAGGCATGGCTCCCAGACTGGCGGCTGCTGCGTTGCCTGGGAGTGCATTGGAGAAGTAGCATCCCAGGCTTCACCCCAGACCTACTGAGTCAGAATCTGCTTTCCCACAAGCCCTCCTGGTGAAGAATGGCTTTTGGCTTAAAAACACCCAGAGACACTTTTTTTTTTTTTTTTTTTGAGATGGAGTCTTGCTCTGTCGCCCGGGCTAGAGTGCGGATCTCGGCTCACTGCAAGCTCTGCCTCCTGGGTTCAGCCTTTCTCCTGCCTCAGCCTCCCGAGTAGCTGGGACTACAGGCGCCCGCCACCACGCCTGGCTAATCCTTTGTATTTTTAGTAGAGATGGGGTTTAATTTCACCGTGTTAGCCAGGATGGTCTCGATCTCCTGACCTCATGATTCGCCCACCTCAGCCTCCCAAAGTGCTGGGATTACAGGCGTGAGCCACCGCGCCCTGCCCAGAGACACATTTTTTATCTTACAAGAGAGAAGAGTGGATAAAACTGCATTTCTCTCTGTTTCCACATCTCTCTTAAACATCTTCTAACACTTTTTCTGCTTTAGTGGAGGAACAAAGAAGGAAAAGAAAATGTAAACACACAAGTGCGTGCGTGCACCCACACACACACACACACACACACGCAACATCAACGATGTCATGTACAATCCAAGTGATGGCTAACAGGCACGTATTTCTTTAATGAGCACCATTTCCGATGAAAAACATACTTCAGGCTCCGTGCAATTCTTCCACCAAGATTTGCAAGCTCTGGGGTCATCGTAACCTAGAGGTTAGACGTGATGCTTTGGACACATGAACAACAGTCTTGGCAGTAAAACCGTTTGACAGCATGATGCCCTTATGAGTTCCATCATCTGGAGCAGAACCCATCAGATGGAGCAGAGCCTGTCATTTTTGGTAGGGAGCGGAGCCTGCTGCAGCTTAACCTGGCAGGACCTTGACTTTGATTACTGAGCTCATTCAGGAGCTGCCTTCACCATAAATCCATCTTCTCTATCGGCACAAAGTCAGGCCTTTTATAGCAACCATCTGTATAAACAAAGTATTCTTGTGTCTAAAAAAATGACTTCTTCTCTGGATAAGATTTTTTTTTTTTGAAACAGAGTTTTGCTCTTGTTGCCCAGGCTGGAGTGCAGTGGTGCAATCTTGACTCACTGCAGCCTCTGCCTCCCAGGTTCAAGCGATTCTCCTGTCTCAGCCTCCTGAGTAGCCGGGACTACAGGTGTGCGCCACTACATCCGCCTAGTTTTGTATTTTTAGTAGAGAGAAGTTTTCACCATGTTGTCCAGGCTGGTCTCAAACTCCTGATCCGCCCTCCTCAGGCTCCCAAAGTGCTGGGATTACAGGCATGAGCCACTGCGCCCAGCCTTTTTTTTTTTTTAAACAGAGTCTCGCTCTGTCACCCAGGCTGGAGTACAGTGGCTCAATCTCGGCTCACTGCAGCCTCCACCTCCCGGGTTCAAGCAATTCTCCTGCCTCAGCCTCCTGAGTAGCTGGGATTACAGATACCCGCCACCACACCCGGCTAATTTTTATATTTTTAGTAGTGATGGGGTTTCACTATGTCGGCCAGGCTGGTCTCGAACACCTGACCTCTGGCAATCTGCCCGCCTTGGCCTCCCAAAGTGCTGGGATTATAGGTGTGAGCTACCACACCTGTCCTCTGGGTAAGATTTTTTGACTTAATTTTCCCTTCACCTCCAACTCCCTTGCTTAAAAATATCAAGACTGAGCCGGGC
Organism: Homo sapiens; assembly: GCF_000001405.40. Classification (NCBI taxonomy): domain Eukaryota; kingdom Metazoa; phylum Chordata; class Mammalia; order Primates; family Hominidae; genus Homo; species Homo sapiens. The sequence continues at coordinate 49,586,421 of NC_000020.11, read as the reverse complement.
ATGGTGGTTCATGCCTGTAATCCCAGCACTTTGGGAGACCGAGGTGGGCAGATCATTCGAGGTCAGGAGTTAAAGACCAGCCTGGCCAACATGATGAAATCTTGTCTCTACTAAAAATACAAAAATTAGCCAGGCATGGTGGTGGGTGGCTGTAATCCCAGCTACTGAGGAGACCGAGGCACAAGAATTGCTTGAACCCAGGAGGCGGAGGTTGCAGTGAGCTGAGATCGCGCCACTGCACTCCATCTTAGGCAACAGAGTGAGACTCTGTCTCAAAAAAGAAAAAAAAAAAAAGACTGGACCAAAAAAAAAATTGTAATTTTATTCCCCATGTCTCTTAAGAAAACAAAAACATATTTTGAATTCTACGCCTCCCTGAGTGAGATGGCTGTGGTGGCAGTGGAGCTCACTCTGGAAGGCTTTAGATGCCAGGATGAATGTTTATTCCTGGCCTCTGACTACTTTCTCCTGACCTCTGACCTCTGGCCTGTCCCCTTCCTCTTTCTCTGGATTCTGTCTCCCCAAATTTCTTGGACCCACCTCCAAAGCCCCACTCCCCATGCAGGAAGGAAAAGAGCATTCACAGGATAAATATTTAGCCCAAAGGTCTTGGAGAGTGTTTTTGGGAGGCTCCCGGCAGTGGGGCTCCAGGCATAGATGACCTCACCCAGCTTCTCCTAACAGTGCCACCTTGGTCCTTCTTGCCTGCCCTCCACGTCCCATCTCCCTCAGTCCCTCTGTCCAGGGCAAATGGTGGTAGCCTCTGGAGGGGGATTTGGCTCTCTCATAATCCCCATCATCGCTTCTACAACCACCCCCAACAAACGCTCACGCAGCCCATCTGCTTAGCAGGTGTTTCCAGCTGCCCCTTCGGAAAAGACCACTGTCCCCAAGACCCCCATATAGACCATCTGGGCCTGCCACTGCATAGATGTGGCCTCCTTCACGGCAAAGGTTAACATCCGGGGCTCCGAGTCAGACCTGAGTTCAAATCCGGCCACTTCTTAGCTGGGAGACTGTGGGCAAAGGGCTTTGGCTCTCTGAGCCTTCAATTCCCTCCTTGTAAAAGGAGAATAAAGCACTGGTTCTTAACTAGGGGTGATTTTGCCTCCCGGGAAACCTCTGGTAATGTCTGGAGACAGTTTTGGTTGTCATAACTGGAAGGTGGGAGTGTTAATGGCATCTAGTGGGTAGAGTCCAGGGGTGTTGTTAAATATTTGACAGTGCACAGCACAGCCCCTTAATTAAGGAATTATCCAGTACAAGTGTCACTAGTGTCGGGGTTAACAACCCCTGATGAAGTGCTACCCACACTGTCAGGTGGTTGTGAGGATGAAGATCAGGAAGCAGCTAACACGGGGCCTGGCCCACGCTAAGCACCCAGTCCGTGACTGCGAATATGGGTTTTATGATCAACCTCTTTTGGTTTTTTTGCTCATCCTCTTCTCTCCTGCCCTAGACCAACTCCAGAGAGCTTCTTTCGCAATCGAGCATACAAGATCGGCACCACCTGGCACGGTGCAAAGGAGCCACCCCACCCGTCACCATGTCCACACCCTAGCCACAGACCTCTCCCCGGAGTCCCACTGCTGCCTCCTCACTGGCTTCCCTGCCTCCTTGCCTGCCCTCCTCCATTGCTTTCTCCCCACTGCTGCCCAAGGGAATCTCTAAAAACCAGTGTTTTTGAGCACTAGGAGGGCTCTGGATCTATGTAGAGCACTTTACCTACATTATCTTATTGAATCCTTAGAACAAACCTTTGAGGCAAATGCTAAGATTGTTTCATTACGGAGGAGAGAAAACAGGCTCAGAGAGGTGTCGTAAGTGACCTAAAATCACAGAGCAAGTAAGTGGCAGAGCTGGGATTTGAAACCAGGTTTGTCTGAGATTAGACCTTATAAGTGGGATGTTAGCTGCATCTCCTACTCACTAAAACAGTGGGTGTGCTTCAGAATCCCCTCAGAGGGGGCCTGCTACAATGGGGAGCCACATCTAGGGTGGACCCCAGGAACCCACATTTTGACAACCTCCCCCAGCTCCTGTCGTAGGCGATTCTGATGCTGGTGGTCTATAAGCACTTGGAAAAAGCCTCTCAGATCCTGCTGCTCTTCTTCCTAAAACCATCGATGGTTCCCTTTTATTCTCTGAATTGAGTCCAAAGTCCTGGACACGTGGCCTTTTCTCCCATTCACTCTAGTGTTTGAGCTTGCATCTGGTCTTTCACCCCTGAGCATTTGCTCAGGCACGCTCCCTGCCTGTGACACGCTGCCAGCCTTCCTTCTCCCTGGGCCTGGTGGGTTCCCACAGGTGCTGGGCTGGGAGTTAGGACTTGCGGGTTTTAGCTTCATGGGATAGCAGTCTCCCAGCGTAACCCTGGACGACACATCCTTCACTCCCTTTGGGCCTTAGTTTCTCCACTGGAGCCACAGAGATTTGACTGGATGCTGGCTGTGTAAACAGAGACGGCAAAGGCAGGCTCTTGCTGCCAAGCCAGGCATCTGGGCCTCCCCATCTGTTTGCAGGTCAGCAGCCTGTGTTCCTGGCAGGTGCTAAACACTCACTCATGCTGCTGAGAAGATCCAGGGAGGTCTGGCTCCAGCACCGTGACTGCAGTTGCTTGGGCCAAATCAATGTTTCCACATCTTATCTCTAACTGGCTCAGTCACAATATTTAGACACTTGGCCTCAAGTTGAGAAATTTGGTGACTCAGGGAGATAGCAGCTGTGGCCGGCTCCTGACCCCTGAACCCTCTACCCCTGATGGGGACACACCCTCCCAGAAAGAGGAATGGACTTTCCCTACAAGAAGCTCTTCGTGAAGGGAGAAGGAAACTGAGGACCAGAGAGGAGAAACAACTTGCTTGAAGCCACACAGCTACATAGTGGCATGTGTGCATTTAATATTTACTGAGCACCTACTATGTGCAAGTCTCCATGGTGGGTGCTATGAAGACAGGCGCGAGCAAACAGGACAGAGAAGGGATTTGTTCTTGTGCGAATTTCAGTCACAGTCAAATCTTATTATTATTATTTTTTTAGAGACAGAGTCTCTCTCTGCCCCCCAGGCTGGAATGCAGTGGTGCAAACTCAGCTCACTGCAGCCTCAACCTCCAGGGTTCAAGAGATTCTTGTGCCTCAGCCCCCTCAAGTAGCTGGGACTACAGGCACATGCCACCACGCCTGGCTAGGTTTTTTGTTTTTGTTTTTGTTTTTGTAGAGACTGGGTTTTGTCATGTTGCCCAGGCTGGTCTCAAATTCCTGGGCTCAAGCGATCTTCCCGCCTCTGCCTCCCAAAGTGCTAGAATTACAGGTGTGAGCCACCGCGCCCGACCGACCCTTGATATTATTGAAGGTTAACATTTACAAAGCTTTTATCATGTGCTGGTCACCATTCTAAGTACTTATTAAATCTTCATAATTACCCAGTGAGGTGGCTGCTGTCATTTTACAGATAAGGAAACTGAGGCACAGTGAGGTTGACACTCACTTGGAGCCACATGCTAGTACAGTGGGCTGAATGGTGGACCTCTAAGAAATCAGGTTCTCCTAATCCCAGGAGCCTGTGAATGTTACCTTATATGGTAAAGTCTTTGCAAATATGATCAAATTAAGGATTTTGTGATGAGGATATTATCTGGGATTATCTTGCTGGGCTCTAAATGTTATCACATGTATTAAAAGCATGCATGTCATATGCTTCGTAAGAGGAAGACCAAGGGAGGGTGGACAGACACACAGAAAAGAAGACAACGTGAAGACCAAGGCAGAGATGGCAGTGATGTGGCTACAAGCAAAGGAATGCTGGCAGCCACCAGCAGCTGGAAGAGGTATGGAGTGATTTGTCCCCCAGAGCCTCTGTGGGAGCATGGCCCTGCTGACACCTTGACTTCAGCTGAGTGAAACTGATGCTCACCCTCTGGCCTCCAGAACTGTGTGAGAATAAACTTCTGTTGTTTTGAGCCATCGAGTTTGTGGCAATTTGTTATAACAGCCACAGGAAACTAAGCCTAATAGCTAGGGAATGGCCATGCCAGGATTCAAACCCTAGCAGCCTTCCAATTTCTAGCTTTACAGATGTGCCTTAACTCTTTTTTTTTTTTTTTTTTTGTCATCTGTCAATCCTAGTCCTGCAAGAAGGTAGATAAGATTGCTTAAAAAACAAACTCTGATAGGTCAGCTGGCTGTTGCGCTGTTAGTCTTTGCTGGGGGACCAGGCACTTCTTAAGATGGTTTCTCCTCCTGCAGCTGGCTAGCCCAGGTTTGTTCTCATGGTGGCTATCCAGAGTTCCAACAGAGAGGGGAGAAGTGAAGAAGACTCTTGAAGCCTAGGTTGGAAGCAGGCACAGCATCACTTCCCTTGGATTCCAGTGGTCAGAGCAAGTCTCAAGGCCAAGCCCAGATTCAGATCATGTGGAAATAAACTCACACTGCAAAGGGCTCGGATGCAGGAAGGTCATTAATTAGGGCATCAATGTGAGAAAACTACCCTAGTCTCTACCTCCAGATCTAGAAGTGGGAAGGCGACGCAGGCCTGACCGATATGAGCTAGAGAAAGAAGTAAAGGGATTTGCATCTGACCTTAATAAGGCCAACCAGAGTTAGTCCCAGAGTCTCCTTCTGCTGGCATCACCAAGCTGCCAGGGCATAAGGACTGCTAAGGCTATCTTGATACAAAACAGGGAGAGGCTGCCTGAGGGAGAAGCCAATACAAAGGAAAGCATTGCTTAGAGAGAGAAGTGAGTCCTGGCAACATCCATGGAGCCCCTGGATCCTGCCATTCCTGAAGCTGTTTTTCTTCCCAGTTCCCTGAAGCCAGGATTTCCCACCACTGGACTTTCCCTGCTTGAGCCATTAAATTATTGTTATTATTATTGTTAATCAGGTAGAGAGAGAGAGAAAGAGTTTTTCCTTTTGGGATCAAGCGCCATGGTCAATTGGAGCACAGATGCCTCTGAATCTTGCCTTATGACCAGGAATGGGAATACACAGTTAATAGGAGCAGAGAAAAGGCAGGCCTCGAAGTTGAACATCCTGGAATCTAATGCTGCCTCCGTTACTTGCAAGCTCCACAATGTTGGTTAAGGGAGTCCTGATTCTTTCCATCCAGAATGGTTATGAGGATTCAAGGAGCTTGCGTACCTATACGGCTTTGTGCAGAAGGGACACTCACTAAATGACATTTCCTAACCTTGACCTCTCTCCTCGGAGCTCAGTTTCCCTGTTACCAAAGTGGTGTTCAGGCAGAAGCTTCTTGAAGAGGAGCAGAGGAAGGTGGGAAACTGATCAATGGAGTTTGTCCCTGAAATACCCCAGGGGAAGCCTGTCTTGCCTAAATAGACAGTTTAAATGATTAGCCTGGCTTAAGATTTTGTATTTCTTCCAGTGTGAGGGCTCATGACCAACATCATACCATGGACACAGAGCAGTAGCAGGGACTTTTGTGGTTTTTATTAAATGCCACACCCGTGTGTACATATGTCCCTTAAAGGAAACTGAGACTCAGAGAAGTTAAGTGACCTGCCTGAGGTCACATAGTGGCAAAGCCAAGATGTAAACCCAGGTTCTCTGGCTCCAGCATGTCTCTTGCTCCTAATCACTGAACTAGATGACATCCATGGAAAATGTAAAAGGCTCATTTTTCTTTGCATATCTGAGTTCAGAGTAAGGAAAAGTTCAACTCCAACACACTAGCATATCTATGTAAACAGACCCTTAATTTTTGTGTGCAGGAAGGAGCATTCCAGGACTTATAAACTAGCTATGCTTGGGCTGTTTCCAGGTCTGGACATATTTTATTTGGTCCACACAGTATCTTACATACCGGAAAAAATGCACATTGGAAAAATAAGCCTTTCCCCCACTAGCTTCTCTTAAAAACCATAGGGCTAGAGCTGAGCAGTGAGGTTGGATTTGAAGGGGGAGTCTGTCCACTGTAGGGGGAGGGTGGGGAGGAGGCTTCGACCCCTGAATACAGCTCAGTCTGAGGCAGTTTCCTGCGCCCTGGGGAGACCCCATCTGGGTCCTGGGTTTCCCAGGAGGCGGCCATTCACTCCAACAGGGAGAACAATGCCCTCCTGTTCCCCTGCCAGCCTGGAGTCCTGGGAGTGAAGAGAGGCAGCCTGGGCCTCTGACTGGAGCCCAGACTCCACCATTCCCGGTTCTGTGGCCTTGCCTTCTGTCTGGGCTTCCCATTCCTCATCTGTAAAATGCGCACACAGCCGTCCCTGCCCAGCTTTCAGCCCTCCCACCCCACTTTCTGACCCGCCTTTGGGGGATCATCCTTCCCACCTTGTTTGGTTGACCATCAAGGTCTGTGGGCAGGCACATGACCCAAACATGGCCAATCAGACTTTCTCGTGGGAGAATCAGAAACTGAAGCGGAAGGAATGCTGAGATTGGAAACAGCTGGAGCCCCGAAGACCTGGCCACTGGTTCCTGCTCCCCACACCCCTGGCTCCTGCTCCCCGCGTTCCCGGAGCTGCTTGTTCCTGTCCTTTCCAAGTCCCAGCTGGTCAACTTTTCCTTCCAATACCTCGTCCCCACCTTTTCTTTTTCTTAAATTAGCCAGGGTTGGTTTCTGAGGCTTGAACAAACCCAAGTACTCTGCCTGATGCCAGCATGACAATTTCTGCTTCTAAAGCTGGTATGAGGGTCAAATGCTATGCACTAGAGTATAAACTGTGAAGTGCCATCCACATATGAGGAATTGTCCAGGCACTGGCACATCGCAGTTATGAACTTGGGCCTCAGAATCAGAATTTGATTCCCAGCTCCACCCCTTTCTTGCTGTGTGACCTTGGGCTGCTTGCTTCCCCTCTTTGAGCTTCAGTTTCCTCACCTGGAAAGTGGAGATGATACTGGTATTAAGACCAGCTATATACTTTGTGGGTACCAGAGTAAAGTAAAATCATGGGGACCCTTGTTCAAAAATAATTAAGAATTTCAAGCTGGTGACAGGAGAGCGCTAAGCCGAGCATGAGACCATTCTGGGTGCAGGGGCCTATGTGAGCACCCAGGTTGCATGTCCATGAAGCTGGCCCTGACTGCATAGAGCTTGCTGCGAATGGGGCATCTTATCCAGGCTGGGCAAGGAGTGCAAAGCTGTGTCACTCTAATTCATATCTGGTTGCCTCCCAGAAAGCCCTGGAGAAGGTTTACGAAATGAGAATGTAATAAGGTTTCATCCATTAAGCACCAGGTATGAAACAAGTACTTCACATACTACCTTATTCAGCTTCAGAATGGAGAACTTTCTTCTATTGCAAGTGAAAGAAACTCAACCCAAATTGGCTGAAACAAGCAAACAAAAATAATTTAATGGTTCATGTGGTCAGGAGCATTCTGGCTTCAGGCATGGCTGAATCCGGGGGTTCAAATGATATCTCAAGAAACTGTATTTCCCTATCTCTTGGTTCTGCTGCCCTGTAAGTCGGTTTCATTCTCAGACATGCTATCTCCAGGCAGAGGCAAAAGTGGTCCCCCAGTATCCTGCCAGGTCAGAAATCACAGGCAGAAGGTCCTTCTGATCACCAAATAAATGGTTAGGGAGACAGAGAACTCTCTCCAGCGTGTCTGGTATTAGTGGAGGGAGGTTGGGAGGCTGTGAAAATAATGCTAATAGCCCACATTTATCCAAGGCTTTCCATACTTCCAGAGATTAACTCTTTTCATCCTCACAACCAACTCCATTTGACACCTGGGGAAACAAAGGCACAGATAAGCAATATGCCTGAGGCCTTTTAAGTGGGGGGGCGGGTGCCAGGCTTTGAGTTCACATAGTCTGGCCGTGGAGCCCAGGCTCTCTCACTCTAGCCCTCTGCGGACATGCAGGACATGTAGACATTTGGGCTATGTGATTGCCTGTGCATCAGAGTTTGGAGCTGTGAACCATGAGCGTGGCTGAACATCCACCAAAGATTTCTATTTTTTTTTTTTTAAAGCAGTGAAATGTTTGTGTGTTTGAGATGAGATTTTTTTTTAGACAGCATCTCACTCTGTTGCCCAGGCTGGAGTTCAGTGGCGCGATCTTAGCTCACAACCTCCGCCTCCCAGTTCAAGCGATTCTCCTGCCTCAGCCTCCCAAGTAGCTGGGATTACAGGTGCCTGCCACAATGCTCAGCTAATTTTTGTACTTTTAGTAGAGATGGGGTTTCACCATGTAGGCCAGGCTGGTCTTGAACTCCTGACCTCAGGTGATCCACCTGCCTCGGCCTCTGAAAGTGCTGGGATTACAGGCGTGAGCCACCGTGTCTGGCCAAGATGAGATCTAACATGATCTAACATGGAACAGACACAGGAGCTGATGCCTGGTGAAGTGGGGCTGGGGGATTATTGCCCTCTGGGGAGGTGCTGGGGTGGGAGGGAGAGGAATGGAGGTCACACAGGCTTGTTGCATTGCGATCTGAGACTATTGTACTTTTATTCTGCTTTTAAAAAAATTATTGCCATGTTCTTTGTGGCTTACTAGGTAGCCAGTGTTTGTGGTTCACTATGTTATTTTGACTTTCTATTTCCTTTTTTTTTTCCCTTGGTATTTCAAGAGCTGAGAGAAGTGACTTAAAATGTCCTTGCTCTGTAACTATCTGTTGCTGTGTTATCTGGTGCATGGATGCTCACACCTTTATTTATTTTTATTTATTTATTTATTTTTTGAGACAGAGTTTTGCTCTGTCGCCCAGGCTAGAGTGCAGTGGCTCAATCTCAGGTCACTGCAACTTCTGTCTCTGGGGTTCAAGTGATTCTCGTGCCTCAGCCTCCCGAGTAGCTGGGATTACAGGTGTGTGCCACCATGCCCGGCTAATTTTTGTACTTTTAATAGAGATGGGGTTTTGCTATGTTGGCCAGGGTGGTCTTGAACTCCTGACTTCAAGTGATCTGCCTGCCTTGGCCTCCCAAAGTGCTGGGATTACAGGCATGAGCCACAGCACCCAGCCAATTTTCTTTCTAGTCTTTCTAATGTTTTCTTTATTTCTGTCTCATTTTTTTCCTCTTTTTCCATTTCTGTTAACCGTGTCCTTGCTGTATTTTCTGCAGGGCCTATTTCCTTCCCCTCCAATTTTGTCTTCATTTCTGATATTTTTTTTTCTTTCTACTTCTTTCCTGAGTGCTAACCCTTCATGTTCATTACCTCCTTTTGCCTGCCTTCTTTTTGAGTTCTTCAGTTTCCTTATTGTCCTCCTTCACAGAGGTAGTTGCTCCATTCAGTTCTCCTAAGATGTTTCTTTCTTTCTTTCTTTAAATTTGAGACGGAGTTTCACTAGTTGCCCAGGCTGGAGTGCAATGTCATGATCTCAGCTCACTGCAACCTCTGCCTCCCACATTCAAGCGATCTCCTGCCTCAGCCTCGAGAGTATCATGTTGACCAGGCTGGCCTTGAACTCCTGACCTCAGGTGATCCACCTGCCTCGGCCTCCCAAAGTGCTGGGATTACAGGCGTGAGCCACCACACCCAGCCTCCATTCAATTCTTTTTTGAATTTATGCCAATATGATTTGGATATAATTTTCATCCATTTTGTGTTAACACTTTCATCTATTGGTAGATTTTTCTGCTCTTCATAATTTATCATAATATCTTTGTATCAAGGCTTTTACACTTTTTCAAAAGCTTGTCATTGGAAGGGCTTGGTTTTCCTGGGTCAGGTATTTTGCTGATTGCTCCTATGGGTGTAAGGAAGAATTAGGGTAGCTTCATGGGCTCTGTAACTGTGGCTCTCCTCTGCTGCCATAGAGACAGACTGCTTCCTGCAAATATGTCTTCTCTCTGTAATTCTTCACTATACCTCCTCTGTTTCTCTGAACCAAACGAGATCCAGGAGAGCTTCTGCTGCTAATCGTATTCACCCAAGCTTCTACATTCATTTTTATAAAGAAGGAACATAACTTTCATCTCATGGCAAGCCCTCATCCCTAGGAAGTGTAGTTTTGCTGATGCTTTCTGAGATTTGCTATCACTGAGCCCACTCACCACTCCCATGTGGCTTCTGCCCTGTCTTAGCTGCTTCACACGTACTCTGAAGCCGATGAATTATATGTCTCTCCTGGCTTTGCTAAAAATGGAGTTTGTGGTTTGGTTTTGTATATTTGTTTTTCCATTATTCTTGATGCTCTGGTATAATTTCTAGAAGGAGAGGGTAAATGTGGCCTTAGGCAGCCATTTTTCTACCCCCACTATCTAACTGGATCCTCTTTAGTAACTCCTTGACATAATAAGCAAAGCAGCTATGACTGCTGTCCCATTTTCAAGATGAGAAGCCAGAAGTTCTGAGGTTCTTGGGGTGCTTCAGGGTGGCAGGAGCATCATCACTCAGGGTCTGTCTGGGTGACAGATCAACATGGGTCTCTTTTCTCCTTGCCTTCCATGCTAGGCTGGCTCTCAGGCAGGACAGCAGGGAGTTGAGGAGACTGAGGTCTGACTTCATCATTTTTTCCACTACAAAGTGCCAAGGCAGCTGGTTGGGAGCCGTGAGGCCACCTGTCCCCCGTCCTGGGAAAACCAAAGGATGAGAAGCTTGCTGGAGTCCCTCTCCTGTAGCACCCACCACCTCTGGCAGATAGCCTGGGAAGAGGGGCAAGACCACTCCAGAACATCCTCTCACAGGCTAAGACAAGGTCTAGGTGGAATTAGCCTGGGAACGCTGAACGAAAGGCCGCCTGGCCCAGCCATGTTTGCATCTGGGTAGCTGCCCCACCTCTGGGCTCTTAGCCAAGCACATTCCCTACATAATCCTGGCTCTCCTGGGGAAGGATGCTGGAGGATGGCTCCCCTGCAGCTGACATCCTTGCACTTTAGAGACCTTCAAATCTCCAAAGGCCCAGGCCTGTGCAAATTCTTAGAGACAGTCAGCAGCAAGGCCCAGATGGCAGAAAACAGGTCATTTCTTCCAACCCTCTGCCTCTGATTCAGACCTGCTTTCTCTTCATGTATAAAAAAGACCAAGTGAAGAGGTTTTCTGTCTTTCATTTCTTCAGTAAAATTCTTGATAAAGAGGCCTGCACAGTGTTGGCAAATAAATACTTGGTAATATGTGCTGAAAGAATTATGCTTCATCTCTTTTGTTGTTGTTGCTGTTGCTGCTGCTGCTGTGTTGTTGTTGTTGCTAAGACAGGGTCTCACTCCGTCGCCCAGGCTGGAGTGCAGTGGCACAATCTCGGCTCACTGCAACCTCTACCTCCCGGGTTCAAGCAATCCTCCCACCTCAGCCTCCTGAGTAGCTGGAATTACAGGCGCACGCCAGCATTCCTGGCTAATTTTTGTATTTTTAGTAGAGACGGGGTTTCACCACGTTGGCCAGGCTGGTCTTGAACTCCTGACCTCAAGTGATCCACCCATCTCAGCCTCCCAAAGTGCTGGGATTACAGGCGTGAGCCACTGAGCCCAGCCTTGCTTCATCTCTCTTTCTTTTCTTTTTTTTTTTTTTTTGAGACAGAGTTTCACTCTTTTGCCCAGGCTGAAGTGCAGTGGCGCGATCAACCCCCGCCCTTCTGGTTTCACATGATTTTCCGGCCTCAGCCTCCTGAGTAGCTGGGATTACAGGTGTCCCCTACTACACCCAGCTAATTTTTGTATTTTTTAGTAGAGACGGGGTTTCACCATGTTAACCAGGCTGGTCTCGAACTCCTGACCTCATGATCCTCCTGCCTCAGCCTCCCAAAGTGTTGGGATTACAGGCGTGAGCCACTGCAGCCGGCCTAGCATCATCTCTTTTATTAAGTGCCTACTGCATGCACTAGACACAAGATCTTCTTGAATTCGTCCAACCACCATGGGAGGGGGGCCTTGTCGTCATCATCCTCTTGTACAGATGTACCAAGGCTCCAAGAGTAGAAAGCAGCCTATTCTAATTTAACTGGTACAAAGAACATTCAACCAAAAGGATTCTAAAAAGTTCAGAGATAAAGTATACATTAGTCAATTCTTGTTGCTTAAGAAGATCTCAAAATCTCCATGACTTGTAACAACACGTACATTTTTCTTCTTCGGACCTCTGCAGGTCAGCTAGGGGTTCTCTACTTCAGGCTGCAGGTTGAGCTCAGGTTTGCCCTGTGGGTCATGGCTCAAGGCAGAAACCAAGGTCAAGTGGAAATATGTGATTCCTCGTGAAACCTCTGCTCAGAACTGGCAACTGGTCATTTCTTCATCCTCCACTGATCAAATTGAGTCACAGGCCCGAGTCCACCATCACTGAGTCAGGGAGATACTATTCTCTGCTCATAGTGGGAGGCACCGCAACCCTGCAGCCAAGGGCGTGAATGTCTAATTCTGATACAGGGAGTGGGTAAAAATTGGAGACTATGATCTAATCTACTGCAGCACAGTTCCAGGGGTGGCTAATTAATTGTGTGACTTAGCAAAGATTCTCCTCAGGCTCCAAGGTGGCTGCCACAGCTCTGACCCAATCTCTGGCCACTCACACGCTACGCTGAGGTGTGGTGATAGCGTGACCAACCTTCCTGGTTTACCCAGGACCGAGAGGTTTCCCAGGATGCAGGGCTCTCAGTGCTAAAACTGGGAAAGTCTGGGCAAACCAGGATGCGTTGGTCACTTGACGTGTGTAGCAGATTGTTTCTGAACGTTTGGGGGTAACTGGGGCAACATGTGAGTGTGTATGTGAGAGTAGTGCATGTGTGTGTGTGCGTGTGTATGTATATGAGTGTATGTGTGGTGTTATTCCACAGCCCAAGACAGCAAACAACTAAACACTCAGTATGACACATCACCAATAGAAATGGTCATTTATTGGCTCCTAATTCCACAGAGGATGTCACACTGGGACAGGCCCCCAATCTGTGCTCATGTCGGCCTGGTCTTTGCCCCCTCTTTCAGGCTGCCCCCTAAAACTCTGTTGTCCTTCCTTAATTCTACAGAGCAATTTTGTTCAACATCCCAACTCCAAACCTATTTTACATACCCCAAATGTTTAAACCACTGGCCCTTGGCACAACTAGACTGCAGGGCTAAAAATCTGGGGGCAGGTGTGTGCTGTTGGTCTATGCAGCGTTTTAAAATAATTGGAGCCATTATTTCTGGCTTCTCTTGAGTCTAAAGATCTGGCCACACTAGGCATGTATTTCTACGTGGCTTTAGTTGGCTGGTACTGCCAGAAGCTGCTTCCTTTTGGATGGGGCAGCCCTCTCTAGTTTTCCATTGTTCCCATCCCTCCCTGTTGCCTTCCTGATATGACTGGCTCACTTCATTCATTTGCAATACTTGCTCGAAGACTTGAGTTTACCACTCTCTCTTTAGCAGCACAAAAACACCAGAAACGTTGCGGTTTGGGTCTCTCCTTCCCCTCCACCTCTCAACCTCGTTTAGCTTCTGTAAGTGGAAGAATTTATTCTTGCATTGTTCCAGTTTTAGACGGCAGCTGTGCTTCCTTTCGTAGCTGCAGCAGCCATGAAAACACACCTCTGGGACCTCCCTTGGTGGAGCCTGATTGACAGATATGCCATGCTTCCCAGGGTTTGCTCCTAGCCAATCACTGGGGGAAGCAGACTTGTTCTTGGGAGACATAGGGCTCCTCAGGAGGCTCAAGGACAACCTGTTAGCCTTGAACTAACTTACTTACTTTCTTTTTCTTTCTTTCTTTTTTCTTTTTGACAGAGTCGCTCTGTCACCCAGGCTGGAGTGCAGTGGTGCGGTCTCGGCTCACTCTAATCTCTGCCTCCTAGGTTCAAGCAATTCTCCTGCCTCAGCCTCCCAAGTAGCTGGGATTATAGGTGCCAGCCACCACTCCTGGCTAATTTTTTGTATTTTTAATAGAGACGGGGTTTTCACCTTGTTGCCCAGGCTGGTCTTGAACTTCTGACCTCAACTGATCCACCCACCTCAGCCTCCCAAAGTGCTGGGATTACAGACATGAGCCACTGTGCCCGGCCAGACTTGACCTTTCTAAGAATGCACTGCAGCCCACGGTCCCTTCTTTCCTCTGTCCCTTCCTTCCATTTGTCCTCCTTTCTGTCCCTTTCTCCCAGCCCTCTCTGGCTCCCTCTTCATTTTACTCCCTGGCACTCCCTCAATAAGCCTTTAGTATATCTCATCTCATCTTGGCTCTCCTGGAGAACCTGCTCCTAACCGATTTGGAAAAATCAAAAGGTAGAGAAAGAGAGGGCTTCCAGGCAGGTAAACAGCATGAGCAAAGGTGTGGAGGTGGGAAGGCCCAGGGTGTGTTTGCAGCACCAGGGAGTAAGTTAGCTTGTCCTAAGAAGCCATCAAATTCCCATGCTCTAGCTTATCAAAGGAAGTACTACGTGACCTTGGGTGAAGTGACTCTTTCTGGACCTTGATTTCACCATCTGTGAATTCGGAATAATTTTACTACCCATTTTATAGGTTCTTTGTGGGGAATAAATAAATTATTATGAAAAAGTGTTTCAGATGGCTTCAGTTACTAACTAAAGTTAGAACTATTGTTACAAAAAAATATTTAAAACTGCCCCTCTCTGTTGAGACTGGTTTTTAGCCTTGAAGAAGGCAATACACATAATATTTTCCTTTCCGGACACAGTTTATTTGTAGCCTTTAGGATGCAGACATGAATCAGACCTGATCCTTGGAAGAGAGAAAGCAGGGGTGTAGGGTAGAAGGGCTCCCTTTCCCAGGCAAAATTCCCTGTGTTCTAATTGGGTTGGGTCTTGACATTACTCTCACAACCCCACAGTGGCCACAGAAGAGAGCAGAGGCTTGGTGAGATGGGAGAGTTGCCTAGATGTCTTGTTTCTACTGGACAGTGAACATCTGAACACACTGAGGCTCCTACAGGGAAATGTCTGGATGTTCGTCCCTGGGAGAATAAATTTTCCCGGGGGTCCAGTTTCCCTTCCCCAGAGGAGCTTCCCTTCCCCAGAGGAGGGCTTAGATGGCACACTTGGAAGCTCTCTCGGTGGCTCCCTGCTATCACCACTACCAGCAACATGCCCATTGCACAAGTAAAGTAGTTGAGGCTCACAGATTAAGCGACTTGCTTAGGTTTATATGGAAAGCAAAACTTGCTTTTCAAATCCTTGCGTATTCCAGCCCTTTTGCCATGGGCTAGAGGGGTCTTCCTTGGGATGGTCTTCCCTCATCTTTATTCTGAGGCCATATCAGCTCTGTCCTCAGCAGGGTCCTTTGAGTCCTCCCGGGGCAGGGGAATTCGGAATTTCTGCTATTTTCAAGGCCTGCCTGTTCCTCCAAGATGCCATAGCCAGAGGGTTGGATGTCCTGTCAGCCTGATAAACATAGAAAGCTTACACAGTAAGCAAAGTAAAAATAATAAAACAAAGCAACACTTTTGAATTCTCGCATGGGCCAGTCCTGCAGAGGTGCTCCGGATGCATCATTGCCTCATTTGGTCCTCCCTTCAGCCATATCTAGAAGGCGTCTCAGTTGGGAATGTCTTTGGCTGCAAGTATTAGAAAAATCTGACTCATGGTGTCCTAGCACAGACGTGTGGTTAGCTCATTAAATGAGAAATCTATAGGCAGGTGGTTCCAGGGATGGTGATTCCGCAGCTCTGGTTTGGGGCTCTGCAGTTTTCTTGGCCTTCCCTCATAACACTACAGCCCCCCTCAGCTCCCCCACTAATCACATTCCCACACGATTGCCCCCAAAGCAGAAGAGAAGGCAAATAGGAAGGAAACACATTTTTCTAGAAGCCCGCAACAGATATCTGGAAGGTGCCCACCTCAGGACAAATCACTAGCAAAGGTGGATTTCCTGGACCAGCTCAGACCCATGGTGGGTCATTCTCTGGGAAGGGGGCCTGGCCACCTTCCTAAACATATGCCGACTCCTGAACAAATCCAGGAAGAACCAGAGGCTCACATTCATCTCCCTTTGGTGTGTGAGCAGCTGCCTCTCCTTCCCTGGGAGGATTTTGTCTATGGGTCGAGAAGGGAAGAGAGTATCTGGAAGAGATATTTGTATTGAGGTGATATTGGTCTGCACTGAAGCCAGGGGTGGGGAGTAGAAGAACTAATATTTATTGAGTACCTATTGTATACCAGACCCTGTGCTGGGTGATTTCATTCTCTTTTCATTTAATTCAGTTCTCAAAGCAGCCCCATGAGGAAGGAACTGTTCTTCCCATTTTTCAGATGGGAAAATTGAGACCAAGCCTGATCACAGATAATGGAGAGGAGCGGAACTGGTATAAGCGCTAATTGCGGTTAACTTTCCCTGATGCTCATGGTGTGACAGGCACTCACATAGGTGTGCCCCATGGACCAGGTCGTTTGTTCCTGACCTCAACTCCATGAGGTTCTCTTTTCCCCATTCTGTCAATGAGGAACCTCAGCTTAGGGAGGTGGAGCAGTCTGCTTGGGGTCACAAAGCTGAGGATCGGCCAAGCCCAGCTGTGAACCCCACTGCTAGCAGACAGCCCTTTGGAGCTCCCCAAATTTGGAGAAAATCCTCTGGACCCGTTCTATGGCCTTCTTGGGATTGTTGGCTTCTCTGGCAGATAAGCTGGAAAAATAAACAAGAGGATCAGAAAACTCCTTTTGCCTCCTGCTGTTCTGAATCTGCTGAGGCCACAAGGGGGTCATCCAGCTGCCTCGACAGCCAACATTAAGCAGGCAAATGAATGAATCTTGAGTATGATAGCAGGACATGTGAAGTACTGCCAGAAAAAAAAACTATCAAAAAAACAAAGAAACAAAAATCAGTAAGAGGAGATGACTGTTTTAGACCAGGTGGCCAAAGACAGCTTCTCTGCAGTGACAGCTGAGCAGAGATAGAGGCACCGGGGAGGTGGTGGAAAGAGCAGGCTGTGCGAAGAATGCTCCGAACAGAGGGAACAGCACGTGCAAAGGCCCTGCAGTGGGACCTCTAGGGAAAGATGGGGAGATCAGTGTGGCTGGAGCAGAGTGGGTGAGGGAGAGAGTCGGGGGCATAGGGTCAGGCAGGTAAAGGTGAGAAGGGGCGGATCATGCTGGTTCTCGAAGGGCCTTGTCAGGACCCTGGCTGATAAGGATGGAAGCCAGGAGACCAGGAGGAGCAACAGCTTCTCCAGAGCTCTGCTGGGACTATGGAATGAAACGTGCCTAAGCTCACCCGGCACTGAATGGGTGGATACAGGACTAGAACAAGACCTCCTGGGTCTTACCTCCAGGTTCAGCCCATGGTTTCATAAAACTTAGTGTGCCAAGCACTCAACAGTTTGTGATTCCTTTTAGTGTCAAGCTCTCATCACTTCCTCACAACAGCCCCAGAGGTAAGCACAACTCTGCCCTCCCTGTTTCCAGATAATGAGGTGAGCTCAGAGAGGTTGAGCTACCTGCCCAACGCTTCCCAGGGTGGGAATGGGGATGGTGGGGGCAGGGGCGTGGAGTGAGGCTGGATTGACCCCCAGTTCTCATCAGCACCCTGGGGTGGTACATTGCAGAGCCGCGGGCACAGGGGGCTGGCACCCCAAGCACCAGGTAGCGATGACAATGGCCACCACATCCGGAGGCCCTAACGTGCACCAGGTAGAGGGTGCATACTTCACGGGCACTATCTGTCCCCAAAGCAGGTGAGGATGAGGGGACTCCCTGAGACACCCTTGTACCCCCTGCCCAGTAGTTACTGAAGATACTATAGGGTGCGATATAATCCAGACCAGCCCTCCCAGCCCAGACCACAGAATGGAAAACTCCAGGTCCCCAGCACGCCTGGGGTGGGGGATGGGGTGAGGAGGAGCCTTGGGGGGTTTCCTCTGTCTAGGTGGAATGTGGAATGTGGTGGGAAAGCTCCTCCTGACCCCCTTACACTCCTCCTCCATGTTCGTCCCCTCCCACCACATTTTCTCCTCCCACTGTGCCCCCTCCTCCCCATACCTCCTTGGCTGTTTCCCCATCGTCCCGCCGTCTTCCCACATTCCCTCCTCTTCCCTTCCCCAAAAGTCCTCTCCCATCTTCCCCATCCCTCTTCCCTCCCCGCATATAATCTCTTCCTTCCTGTAAATCCTCTCCCTCTCCCCTCCCTTCCATCACCCCCCAGTCCACCACATCCCCCTCAGTCCCCCATCTATCTCCTTTCCCCTTGATCACTCCCCAGCCCACCACATCCCTTCCGCCCCCTCCCCCTCCCCCTCCTTCTCCCCTCCCCTCCCTCCCACATTTTCCATCAGGCCTGAGCTGGGGGGAGCAGGGTTTCTAACAGAGCGCCCCGGTCCGACCCCTGCGGACCTCGGAGGGCCCCATCCCCCACCCCCCCCACCCCGCCCCAAAGCGGGCTGGGGTGGGCGGAGTGGGAGGGGCGCGCCGGGTGGGGGCGGGGAACTTTACCTGGGAGTGGGCCAGGCCGCCAGCCCCGCCAGCCCCGCCAGCCCCGCCAGCCCCGCGATGGCTTGGGCCGCGCTCCTCGGCCTCCTGGCCGCACTGTTGCTGCTGCTGCTACTGAGCCGCCGCCGCACGCGGTGAGTGTCCTGCTCCGCTCGGCCCCGCCAGACAAAGGGGGCGGCTCCCGCCCGGGCTGCAGCCCAAGGGTCTCGGAGCCCGCGGCCGGCCCGGCCCGAGTCCCGCTCCAGTATCCCGGGCAAGGCGAGACCCTCGGAGGTGGGAGTCCCGGGGCCCCGCACGTGGGTGAGGGGGCCAGGCCGTGCTCCCCCTGCCAAGAAGGTGCAAGGTGGGAAGGTGCGGGGTCCGGTAGGTCCCCCGGGGCGAATCGCCCACCGCGACAAGTCCGAGTCTGGCCCTTAGCGCGACGGCAGGGACCTAGGAGGGGGTTTCAGGTGAGGACCGAGGGTTTGTGGGTGGGGAGCCGTGCGGGGACAGCCTCTGCGTGGCCCGGGTGGAAGAAGCGCTCTCCACTCTCCAGCCTCTGCCTGCACCTGGCACCCACCTACGCGCTGTCAAACCCTGCCTTGCTTTCGGCAGTCCTATAGGGATAGCCTCGCTCCTCAACCCATTACACAGATGGGAGTGTTGAGCCAGCGGAGTGTAGAGCCCCTGGGGGATGTCTTGATCATGCCCTGGAACCACCCACCCCGGGATTCCCCGTCTGGAAGACGGGGGTCGGTGGGCTTAGTAATTTCATTTGCCAGGGAGAAACTGAGGCCTATGAAGTCTCTACCTTCCCCTGAGGTCCCACAGCCTGGACAGAACGGAGCCAGGGTCAGATGTCACAGCCTCCTGGTCCCAAAGGTTTTCCAGCTCCATTGAGCATCTGTGATTTAGGAGAAAAAGTAAAGACAGCCTCAAATCAAGGAGATAGCTGTAGCTCTCCTTTTCATAAAATATTTTTTAAGTTAACTTGAATTGCATAAGGAATAGCTGAATACATTCGACTTAACACAAATATTTATCCTGTTATAGGTAAGACCGAAGCCCCTTAACCCTCCCCCAGCCCCTGAAGTCTAGTCCTCTCTCCCTCTCTGGGCCTCTCCTGTTGCTGAGTCTGGGTAGAACCTTCCATATTTAAAAAAATATACTTTTTATTTGAGACTAGTTTGGGATTTACAGAAAGTTGCAAAGATAGTACAAAAAGTTCCTGTATTTCTCTCACCCCGTTTTCCCTATTGTTAACATCTTACATTGTTATGGGACATTTGTCGCCACTAAAAACCAACACTGGTCCGTTACTCTTAACTAAACTTCAAACTTCACGGGATTTTATCCAGTTTCCCATTACTGTCCTCTTTTGTTCCAGGATCCGGCCCCAAGTTACCACATTGCCTTTAGTTTTCATACCTCCTCAGTCTCCCAGATGTTTTAAAAATTACTCTTACATAAAAATTACTCTTACATACATAGACATGAGCTTGTAGCTAATACAGAGCCACGTAAGAGAGAGTTAGTTTACATTCGTGTCTGAAAATTCCGGAAACCTTGGGAACTTTTTGATTTTTAAACAATATGGTAGTTGAATTTTCAAACAATAAGCTCACTGTATTTTTCTTCAACCTCCAGACATCTTTTCAGCTGAAATTTACAACTGTGTAGTCAATCATTTGCCTTAAAACAAGAAAAGAAAAAGACAGTGAATAAATGTCTCAGGGAAGAAATGAATTATTTTTCCTGTCAGGCTTTCTCAATACACTGTATAGAAATGTTTTCAGACATTATGTTGCTTGCTCTTTTCACTCCAGATTTTAGTTTTGACATCTGTTCTTTTTGCTACAAGCAGATCTTTTTGCTACAAGGAGATCGAATCCATTCTTTTGATCCTCTCTGGAGTCTTCCATCATGTGAATACGTTATGGGCTCTTTTTTTGTTTGTTTGTTTGTTTGAGATGGATCTTCCCTCTTGTTGCCCAGGCTGGAGTGCAATGGCACGATCTCGGCTCACCGCAACCTCTGCCTCCTGGGTTCAAGTGATTCTCCTGCCTCAGCCTCCCCAGTAGCTGGGATTACAGGCATGTGCCACCATGCCCAGCTAATTTTTGTATTTTTAGTAGAGACAGGATTTCTCCATGTTGGCCAGGCTGGTCTCGAACTCCTGACCTCAGGTGATCTGCCTGCCTCGGCCTCCCAAGGTGCTGAGATTACAGGCGTGAGTCACCGCGCCCTGCTGAGCCTTTGATTTTTATACCTGTGGGCACCTTGGAAGGGTCAACAGTGGGTAGTGGGGAGAAGTGTGGGAATGAGGGTCACTGGCAGCTTGAGGGTAGGTGCATGGACCCTGGGGACCCCAGTTTAGATCCCCAATCTCACTTTCTCCTTCCAGTTCAGCTAGGGACACTCTGGTTATCTCCATTTTACAGAGGAGGAAACAGGCTCAGAAAGGCTAAGCAACTTGCTCAAGGTCTGTCTGGATTAAAACTCTGGGCTGTAAGAATTTTTAGCTTTTACTTTTAGTGATAGGATCTCACACTGTGGCCCAGGCTGGAGTGCAGTGTACAATTATAGCTTACTGGAGCCTTGAACTCCTGGGCTCAGGTGATCCTCTCATCTTAGCCTCCTGAGTAGGTGGGACTACAGGTGTGTGCCACCATGCCCAGTTAATTTTAAAAATTTTGTAGAGATGGCATCTTGCCATGTTGTCCAGGATGGTCTCAAACTCAGCTCAAGCGATCCTCCCACCGCAGCCTCCCAAAGTGCTGGAATTACCGGTGTGAACCACCACGCCTGGCTTTGCAAGAATTTTTAATTCACAGGAAGAATGAATTCTCAGTCTTCCCACACATTATACTGGTAATCTGAACACTCAAAAGTCTTAGAACCATGTGACTTTTAGATACTAAGAAATGCAACTACAAGCAAAAAATTCTTAAAGAAGGACAATGGCCGGGAGGGCGGATCACGAGGTCAGGAGATCGAGACCATTCTGGCTAACACGGTGAAACCTCATCGCTACTAAAAAAAAAAAAAATACAAAAAAAATTAGCCGGGCGTGGTGGCAGGCGCCTGTAGTCTCAGCTACTCAGGAGACTGAGGCAGGAGAATGGCATGAAGCCGGGAGATGGAGGTTGCAGTGAGCTGAGATCCTGCCACTGCACTCCAGCCTGGGCGACAGAGCGACTCCATCTCAAAAAAAAAAAAAAAAAAGGGCAAACAAGTGAAACAAGTGGGTGACCCTGATGCCGTCTGAATGGTGATCCAGTTTGGGTTAAAATAAGCAAGGCTCTCCAGCTCCCTTGTCTCATTTCTTTATCCTGACCAAGCCTTGAGGTAATTTCCATCACCCTTATCATACAGCTGAGGTTTAAAAAGATGAAGTGACTTTCCCAAGGTCATACAAAAATTATACTCCACATCTAGGCCCCTCCAAAATTCATGCTTATCCCAGTAAGACACCACTACTTCTGGGAGTGAGCAACTCCGTCTTTACCTTTAGAATTTAATTTAAAACTTTTAAATTAGGAAACATTTCAACTATACAGAAAAAGAAAAAGAATACGGTAAGAAGCCCCATGTACCTATACCTTGATTTGACAGTCATTAACATTATTTAAAAAATATTAGACATAGGCTGGGCACGGTGGCTCACACCTATAATTCCAGCACTTTGGGAGGCTGAGGCGGGCCGATCAAGAGGTCAGGAGATCGAGACCATCCTGGCTAACACGATGAAACCCCGTCTCTACTAAAAATACAGAAAATTAGCCAGGCGTGGTGGCAGGCACCTGTAGTCCCAGCTACTCAGGAGGCTGAGGCAGGAGAATGGCGTGAACCCAGGAGGCGGAGCTTGCAGTGAGCGGAGCTTGCGCCATTGCACTCCAGCCTGGGCAACAGAGCGAGACTCCATCTCAAAAAAAAAAAATTAGATGTCATGATATTCCACCCTTGAATATTTCAGAATGCATATAAAACTGACAACTACAATTCTATTTTCTTGCCTGAGAATATAAAAAGATAATTCTTAATGTCATGTAGTTCCCAGTTCAAATTCAAATTTCTGCAATTACAGCAAGAATTTTCGAGCCCCATTCGGTGAACATGAGGGTGGTGAGCTGAGAGTTAGGAGTATGGCTTGTGGGCCCCTTGAAACTAATTGATTTGCCTTGTGAGTATCAGAAGCATTCTTCCTGCTTCCCAGGCCTCAGTTTATCTGTACTTCGAGGTGGCTCATGGAGGTGGTCTCTCAAGCCCCAGCCATATCACCAGGCTACTGCATCTCTTCCTTTGGGCTTGTGTGACCACCACAGGGAGCACTGAGAGAGATCTCTTGGTTGGGAGGCTCCTTTTCTGGGGGTCCGGAAGGCATAGTGGCATCAAGCGAGGGTCACTGTGGCCCAGTGGCTGGTCTGGGCCCTTGCAGGATGCAGAATTTGTAGGCACAAATAAATCTGTCTCATTCTAACATGCACTGACCAGAGGTCACCCAACAGTGGTCCGTGACTGGATTCAGCCCTGGATGGGCTGGGTTTGTGCTGTGTGGGACATGGGGAGAAAATTGGGGGATTCCATACACAAAAATCTAGATTTCCAACTTCTTCTGAAAAATGGGAAGATCTAGCAATACTTTCCTGGGACTCAGTGGTAGCACCCTCTCTAAATCTTGCCACAGTCCCCACTACTCCCTATTGCCTCTCCAGCATGCAGCTATTCTAGTTACCACTGTACTTCCTCTGCTGTTTTTTCCTGTGTTGAGAAATAATTCTGTGAATTTGTGTCTATTTCAAAAACCAGAAAACAAAAACTAGGGCAAGGCCACGTGCTTTTTATGCACAGTGGTAGCAGTGCGGGGCAGGTATGGAAGAGCATCTGGGAAACCCTGTTAATGGCAGACTGAAAACCCTGGAGGCCTGTGGGTGAGCCCTGGGGGAAGAATGGGTTAAGCAGGTTAAACAGAATTTTGGGTTGCTCCAGCTCACCTGTGCAACTAAGCCCCCTTTTGTTCCCCATTAAATCCTCCCAGAGCTTAAGGCCCTGCATTGAGTTGAAATGATTGAACAGAGAGGTTGGGCAGTCTACCCAACATTGCACAGCTGAACCATGCCAGCCTCTGCTCTGGACAATCTAGAAGATGGACTCTGTGTCAAGTGCTTAACCTGCATTGGCTTTCTTAACCCTCTCAGCAACTCTGGGAGGCAGGTGCTGCCCATTGAGCACCGACTGCATACATGATTCATTCAGACCAGCCACTGTTCTGAGTGCTGGAGTGAACAACACGCCCTCCCTTCATGGCTCTTCCATCTAGTGAAGATGCGATACGTCAGGGGGCATGGAGGCGGGTGACATCCCATCCTTGACTCCTTTCCCTGGTTCACAAAGGGTCAAGTGGGAGAGAGATCCAGGGCAGGCGACAGGGGTCAGTGAGTGAGGAATAGGCCGTTTTTAGAGGAACCCATGTGATGGGGCTCCAGTCGGAAATCAGAAAAGATGCCTTGGGATCTGACCCAGGGTGGGCAGGAAACCGGCTGTGTGGGCAGGAGCCGGGGATGGAAAGGTCAGGGCCCACCGCCCTGCCCGCCAGGGCCTGGCAGTACCTAAAAAAAAGTGAGAGTGTCCGTGGGTGGGGCTAGAGCCCACAGTCCCCAAAACAGAGCCTCCTTCGCCCCCGCTGGCTGCAGGCTGAGTCACCCTGGAATGTGACCACGGCCTGAGTTGGATTGAGGGCCCAAGGCTGGAGGAGCCAACATCAGGGGTCAGGCGCCTGGGCTCCGGGCTTCCTGCCTTTGTCTGCGCCTCCTTGGGACTTTTCTGGGGAAAGAGGAAAGCTGCCAGGAATAACACCTGGCTCGCTGGGGAGCTCCGGCCACAGCCAGGAGAAAGGCAGGGGAAGAAAGCCTGCTCCCGCCTGCAAAGATGTTTTAGGAGAAAATTTCAGGGCCTGCATTTGAGTAGGTCTCTGGAATATCTCTGCAAAATGGAGGTGAAAATGCCCACTTAGGGTGACTGGGGGCCAGGGTAGTGTCAAGAGGGTGGGCACTGCAGCCAGACCTGTCTGGATTAGAAACCCAAGTCCTCTATGTTGGACCCTCTGGCATGTGACTTAGCCCTCTGCACCTCAGTTTCCTCCTCTGTAAAATGGGCCTGGCAGTAATAATTGCTTCCTCATAAGGTTAGGGGGAGGATTCATTGAGTCACTGGGATAAAGTCCTCAGTGTGGTGTCTCCCACACCATCAGCGTTCATTAAATGTTAGCCATTATTTCCAAACAAGGAAACGTTTGGAAAATGCCAAGTATAGCTCCTGATGTGTAGTTGGCACTAGGTAAATGGTGCCCAGGAATCTTACTGCTCCTGCTTCTCAGCTGCTTCCCAGCTACTAGGTGCCAGGTGCTCTGTAACTCCCCTCATCCTTGGCACAGCCCAATGCAGTCAGTAGCATTATTGCTTCCATTTTACAGATGAGGAAATAGAGGCATGGAGAAGCTAAGTCACACAGCCAGCAAGAAGCGTGGCTGGGATTTGAAGCCAGGAAGTATGGTGCTAAAGTTTGGGCTCATCGTGACCATGCCCTCCTGCCTCTTATGCAAAAATCACTGCTTCTGGGTCCAGTCTGCCAGGCTCTGACCTGGGCTGGAAGGGGGCTGCCATGAACCAGTTATTCCAAGGCTACTTGGGCAGCACGACACGTGGAGACTTCAGGAGAAGTGGCCTTAGCCCAGGGGCTCACAAAAAGATGAGGCACAAGGCAAGGCCCTGCACCTCCTTAGACTCACAGAGCTCAAATTTGCAAGTCTCCTCTTTGACTAGAGAAGCCGGGATGGGCTGGGGAGAGGAGGGAATGGTTGGGAGAGGCACTTCCTAGGCCCTCAAATTTCATCTTTGCTTCTGCTCCCATCCTTCCCAGCCTTGGCCCTCAAATCTGGCCATTTGCTCCTGCCCACGAGCTGTCCCACCCTTTGGGTTATACTGGGGGCAGCCAGGTAGAGGGAAAAAGGGAGCAGGAGACAGGGGCAGAGGGAGGTAGAGAGGGAGGGGGAAAGGAGGAAGAGAAGTGGCTGCTTCCCTGAACTGCTGGGTGTGGAACAAAAGGCCCTGTGCTGAAAGTGGGAGACTCAGATGTTAGGTCTGGCTCCCCGGGGACCATGGCCATTGCTTCCACCACATTGCTCTCCTGGGGGGGTCACGGTAGTTCCCTGACACATCTCCTTCCTTCCTCTTGTCTTTCTCTGGTATGACCCTTTAAAGGTGTGGTCACATCACTTACTGGCTCCTGCTGCAAACCCTCCAGTGGATCCCTGCCACGCGTGGCATAGGAGCCGGACTCCCACCTTGGCCTTGGCCCTCGTGGTCCACAAAGTCATCTCCAGCATCATCGCCTACGTCTCGTCCCCACATTCTCCACTCCAGCCACGCTGGCTCCTGCTGTCTCGAAAACCTCACCGAGCATGCTCCCACCCCAGTACCTTTGCACTTGCTGTTGCCTCTGCCTGTAACACTCTTCTCCCTGCCCCTCCCAGAGCACTCCCTTCACATCCTTCTGGTCTTTGCTCACGTGGCATCTCCTGAGGAGGCCCTCCTTGACCACCTTTTGTAAACCAGCCCCCCTCACTGTCTCACACCACCCTGTTTTCTTTTTTCTTTAATGGAATATAATTCATATCCCATTTAGTTCACCCTTTTGGGCTGGGCATAGTGGCTCATGCCTGTAATCCCAGCACTATGGGAGGCT
Source organism: Homo sapiens (assembly GCF_000001405.40). NCBI lineage: Eukaryota > Metazoa > Chordata > Mammalia > Primates > Hominidae > Homo > Homo sapiens. The sequence continues at coordinate 49,560,454 of NC_000020.11, read as the reverse complement.
GAGACAGGGAGTGCTTGAGCCCAAGAGTTAAGATCAACCTAGGCAACACATCAAGACCCTGTCTCTATAAAAAAATAGAAAAACAAAGTCAGGTGTGATGGCATGTGCCTATATATAGTGCCAGCTACTCGGGAGGCTGAGGCTGGAGGATTGCGTGAGTCCAAACGTTTGAGGTTATAGTCAACTATGATCATGCCACGGCCCTCCAGCTCCCCTTTTAAAGTGTATAATTCGGCCGGGCATGGTGGCTCACGCCTGTAATCCCAGCACTTTGGGAGGCTGAGGCAGATGGATCACAAGGTCAGGAGTTCAAGACCAGCCTGGCCAAGATGGTGAAACCCATCTCTACTAAAAATACAAAAAATTGGCCGGGCGTGGTGGCGGGTGCCTGTAATCCCAGCTACTCGGCAGGCTGAGGCAGAGAATTGCTTGAACCCGGGAGGTGCAGGTTGCAGTGAGCCAAGATCGCGCCATTGCACTCCAGCCTTGGCGACAGACCAAGATTCCGTCTCAAAAAAAAAAAAAAAAGTGTATAATTCAATAGTTTCTAGTATATCCACCGGGTTGTGCAATCATCACCATCATCTAATTCCAGAATATTTTCATCACCCCTAAAAGAAACCATGTACCCATTAGCAGTCACTCCCCATTTCCCCCTCCTCCAGCCCTGGGCAACCACTAATGTACTTTCTATCTCTATTGATTTCCCAATTCTGGACAGTTCATATAAATGAATTAATACAATATGTGGCCTTTTGTGTCTGGCTTCTTTCACTGGGCTTAATGTTTTTAAGGTTCACCCACATCGTAGCATGAATCAGTACTTCATTCCTTTTTGTGGCTGAGTAACGTTTCGTGGCATTGATACACCACATTCTGTTTATCCGTTCGTCACTCAACGAACACTTGAGTTGTTTTCACTTTTCAGCTATTACGAATAATGCTGCTGTCACCCGAAAGCGGTCCTGATCCAGACCCCAAGAGAGGGTTCTTGGATCTCAGGCAAGAAATAATTTAGAGTGAGTTCACAGAGTAACGTGAAAGCAAGTTTATTAAGAAGGTAAAGGAACGAAAGAGTGGCCACACCATAGACAGACCAGGGCGTTTCCGAAGGCAAGAGGAGGAATGTGTCTGCCTTAGTTACAATTCTTCTTGTTTATATAGAAGATAAAAATCATGGGAGAGGTGTGCTCTTCTACCACAAGGGCTGGGGACAAAAGATTGTTACCTAACAATCTTCCATAAGAATCTATATTATTATCTTTAAAGCAAAACTTATTCTTAAACTAAGAAGGCTTTTGTTCATAAAATATCGGGACAGCAGGATGTTTCCTGGGTCTGTTAAGTCCTGGATCTGTTAAGTCTTGGGTCTGTTGGGTAAGCATGATTTAACGTGTTCCCTTGATCGTAAACATCCTGCGCTTAAGAATGCCTAGCTTCCTGGCCCAGCATGGTGGTTCACGCCTCTAATCCCAGCACTTGGTGAAGCGGAGGCAGGTGGATCACCTGAGATCAGGAGTTCGAGACCAGCCTGACCAACATGATGAAATCCTGTCTCTACTAAAAATACAAAACTAGCCGGGCATGGTTGTTCATTCCTGTAATCCCAGCTACTTGGGAGGCTGAGGCAGGAGAATCACTTGAACCTGGGAGGCGGAGGTTGCAGTGAGCTGAGATCGCGCCATTGCACTCCAGCCTGGGCAATAAGAGCAAAACTCCATCTCAAAAAAAAAAAAAAAAATTGTCTAACTTCTTCTTGGGATTGCAGCCCAGCAAGTCTCAGCCTCATTTTACCCAGCTCCTATTCAACATGGAGTCACTCTGGTTTGAACACCTCTGACACTGCTTACGAATAATAGTGTATACATTTGTATAAGATCCAACGTTTTCAATTCTTTAGGGTACATTGCTGGGTCTTGTAGTAAGTCTATGCTTGACGTTTTGAGGAACTGCCAGACTGCATTCCAAAGCAGCTGCACGATTTTACATTCCCACCAGCAATGTATGAGGGTTCTCACTTCTCCACATCCTTGCTAACACTTATTTTCTTCCCTTTTTTGGTGGTGGGAACAGGGTCTCGTTCTCTTGCTTAGGTTGTAGTCCAGTGGCACAGTCACAGCTCATTATAGCTTCCACCTCCCAGGCTCAAGTGATCCCCCAAACTCAGCCTCCTGAGTAGCTGGGACTACAGGTGCACACCACCACACCTGGCTAATTTTTGTATTTTTTGTAGAGACAGGGTCTCACCATGTTGCCCAGGCTGGTCTTGAACTCCTAGGATCAAGAGATCCTCCCACTTTGGCCTCCCAGAGTGTTGGGATTATAGGCATGAGACACCATGCCCAGCCTTATTTTCCTTTTTTAAAATTTTTGTTTTTATTATGGCCATCCTGGTGGGTGAAGTGGTACCTGTAAACCAAAAAGTGTCTGAGACAGGTCTCAATCAATTTAGATGTTTCTTTTTCCAAGGTTAAGGACATGCCCAGTAGAGAGGTCTGTGCCTTTCTCCAAAGACGACTTTGAGGGTTTCAATACTTAAAGCGGGGGAAAGGTGGGCTGTAAGAGAAAGAGGGAAGGTATGGTAATCCCCATGTCACAAGAGAAAAGGAACGGGTAGGGCGATAGTCAATGATGTATTTCTCTCATGCACAGTAAATCAGCACTTTACATAAAATAAGGTGAACATAGAGTAGCTGCCTATGGAGATACTGAAACTTTTATCTGTAGCTATCTGCTTAGGAATAGTAGGAAAGGCAGCTTCTTGCATGACTCAGCTTTCAGTTTAATTTTTTCCTCATGGCAGAGTGAATTGGTGTCCTGAGTTTTTATTTTCCTTTCTCCCCGGTTTTCTTTTCTCCCTGGTTTTCTTTTCTTTTCTTCTTTTTTTTTTTCTTTTCTTTCTTCCTGCACGTTTTTTGCTCTGCAGCCTCAACCTTCCAGACTCAAGCGATCTTCCTGTCTCAGCCTCCCTAGTAGCTGGGACTACAGACATGTGCTACCATGCTGGGCTAATTTTTTTAATTTTTAGTAGAGACGGGGTCTCACTCTGTTTCCCAGGCTGGTCTTGAACTCCTAGGCTCAAGTGATCCTCCTGTCTCAGCCTCCCAAAGTGCTGGGATTACAGGCATGAACCACCATGTATGCCTGCCCCCCTTTTCTATTTAAGATCTTTTGGAGAAAGCATTTTAGAAGAAAATGAATCTCCGGTCTCAGGTTTTGTCTGATCTCTCATGTCTAGGATGGTTTATTTCTAGACGAATAGGTCCCACATTGTTAGGAAAGCTCAGTTTTAGTAGGTTGTGAAGTCTCACATCACACAAAGAAAATAAGAGAGAAAGAAAACAGGAAAAAAGGAGGAAGTAAGCAGATAAACAAAAAAGAAAGAACGAACCTGGAAAACTGATAGAGGCCATATTACTCTCAAGTCCGTATATCAGTAGGCAGGTATGAAAATGATTTCTGCATATAAAGAGATTGCTTTTATTTTCTTCCAAAGTTTAAGTTCAGTTTATAGGGCTTTAAGAAAAGCACAGCTTAACTTTTAGTGATTTCACATCAGGAAAAATGAGGGGAGGAAAAAAAAAAGAAGGGAAAACATTGAAAACATTCTTTTGGAGACTTGGAGCCAGGAGAATTTTTAGAATTCAGTCCAAATTGTGGAAAATAATAAAAATGGAAAAACATTAGACAAGTCTAGACTCTAATAACAGGTGTACTATAGTTAATTTTGAAACATGACTTTTCTCTCTCCAATTCCCCAATTTTATTAAAGACAAAATCATAGTAGGACCAACTTATTTGTAAAATAAGTTTTAGTTATATTATACTTGGCTTGATTATTTTCATAAAATGCAGCAAGACTGATCATTTGCCATATGAGCTCTCTCTTCTTTTTAAAATTGGCTTTGCTGGAAGCTTTTCCATAAGGAATCTGAGTCTAGACCTTTTTAAAAGCCTCACACCCAGCCAAGGATTTAGCTGTGCCTGCAGATACCTGTATGAATTGAGTGAATTCAAAAAGTGACATTCTTTGCTTTCCACAGGTCAGGACCCTGTAAACGACAGGGTATATGAAGCCAGTTTTTCCAAGGTGCTTTTATTAGCTCTATAGTTCAGCCTTATTTTCTCAAAGTAGTCTGAAAATATGTCATTCCAGTTAAAGCCTTGGTAAAATAACCAGTGTCTCCAATTATGCCCTGTTATAAAAGAAAAAAGATACTTAGGCAAATAACTACATTGCCATAAATTAAGAATACTCACAAATAGTTTCCAAGTTTTGGAAAAAATAGGTAAAGAGAAAGAAATTCTGTTTTAAATTTTTCTCATGAGAGTATACTTTACTGAATTGTTAAAAGCTATAAATAGCTTAAAAGAAGAGAAAGTTTTCTTGACTCTGTAAAACAAAACAAAAAGAATCAACAAATGTTTTAAACAAAAACTCATAAAAGATTATTTCAATCTCCTGTTAGTTCAGTTCATGCAATTAACTCCTGTTCTGCTCAAGATGGGATTAGCAGTCCTCATGAATACATCAGTTCTCCATGACAGTCCTGGAAGTTTTTCTCCCTATTCCAATGGCACAATCTCTAAGGTTGTCAGAAGCCCATGTTTAAGAGTACTCCTCAGAGTTCTATAGCTGATTATAAATCACCTATAAAAAGATCAAACTAAAACAACTGTGGATGACAAAAGTCTTAGAACAGCCATAGTTAAAGACACAATTGACAAGGAAATTTGGTTACGTCTGTGGTATTCAATAGTTTTACATAATAATCATAATTACTACTGATGATGTATACTAAGTCATATCAGAATCACAGGAATCTCATACAATTTTGGAACACATACTCATTTATATAAGCAACTCATTTATATAAATATAATCCAAAGAAGATTAAACACCATTTCATATTTGACAATGCTTCCTGTATGATTTTATTTTACCAAATAAGCCGAATATGTCTCTTTTGGACTTCAGAGGACCTAATGCCAAAAAATTAATGAGGTCAAAAGGACTGAATTGACTATTTTATTTTGGAAAGTTTGTCAAATATAGAAAGTTTAAAACACTTGACATCACAAAATAGAATCACAGGTTATTGTAAAATAAGTCATTCATTTAGCCAAAGGTATAACTCAGAGATTTCAGAAAAAAGGCAAAAACCTTTATTCTTTTTTTTTTTCGAGACACTCTCACTTTGTCGCCCAGGTTGGAGTGCAGTGGTGCAATCTTGGCTCACTGCAACCTCCACCTCCCAGGTTCAAGCAATTCTTGTGCCTCAGACTCCCGACTAGCTGGGATTATAGGCACCTGCCACCACACCCAGCCAATTTTTTTGTATTTTTAGTAGAAACGGGGTTTCACCATGTTGGCCAGGCTGGTCTTGAACTCCTGACCTCAAGTGATCCACCCGCTTCAGCTTCCCAAAGTGCTGGGATTACAGGCATGAGCCACCACACCTGGCCTAAAAACCTTTATTCTTTGAGAGAGGAGACTTAATTTTCCAAATAATAAGCTCTAATAAATACAGCATGAGGCCAATTAAATCCTGTTTCTCAAATCTTATAAACAAATCTATTAAATTTTAATCATCTTGACCCTAAGATGTAATTTCCATAAACCATTTTCTAAACTTTTATAATTTTTTAAAGGGTGGGATAATGCTTCAAGAAAACCTTGTTAATCTGACACAGGAGCCCAGATGCTGGTCTTGCATCAGTGTGCCTTTGATGTTAATGTTTAATTAATAGAGAAACTCTGAACTAATTTAATCTCTCAGAATCAGCCCTTACAATCTCATATGCCCACCTCTTCCATGATAGTCCCTGGGCCTAGAGAGGTTGAATAGTTTTCATTTCTGGCTCCATGTCTCACAAATGCAGCTTATTTTGAATGTCATCTCCTCCTAGGTCTGAAGATGATGCTTTAACTGCTGTCAGTGTTTAAGATTTAGCAGGACTCAGTGTCCTTTTTAGACCCAGGAGTCAAAGCCCTGTAACTAAACAGCACCAGGACTTTAAAAACATTACAGAAAGTTACAAGGATGTAATAACCTTCATTAAAAATTTTTTTATATCAGCTTTCCTAGGCAAATCAAAACACAGAACAATTTAGACATATTAAGAAATGCCAGGAGCACAGAATGTTATATTGGATGAAAACATTTCCTTTAGACCTTTATGATAAAGCATTTTTAGCATCAGGCTACAACAGTTAGGACCTGAGGGAAAAAATTTATATGAGCTGACGAAAATGTTGATGGAGAGAATTATTCTCTCAGTCCTTCTCAAAGAGGAGAGAAAGCTGAAAATAGCAAGATGCAATAAAAGTTGAACTTTTGAGTTAAAAAAATTAAAATCTCATGTAATGTTATTAACAGTAAAATAATACCTTAAGAAAATTTTGTTCTAACCAATTCTTTAGTGTATTAGTGCATTTTTAATATCAAAACCCAATCTCTAGAAAGACTATTATAAATAATTTCCTTTTAATTATAGTCAACTTGTTCACATAAAATGTTTTTCATAAATTCTCTTTTTATAAACCTTATTATGACTTACACAAACCATTTACAACATGCTTCCTGTTTTATCCTAAACATCTCTCTTTCGTAAATGATCAATCATTTTATTTTAGGACAAAAAATTTTTACGGGATTCTTTCCATATACAATTATTTTTCTTTTAACCTTTCTTGCCAAAGATACCCCTTTATAATTTTCTTTACATGCTTCTTATTTACTTATTCTTTTTACGTTGTTTAATAAACAACCTTTGAATTAGACAAAACTATTTCCTTTTAATAAGAACACTTTTTTAAGAAAAATGTTTTTCTGTAACTTTTTAAGGAAAAATTGGAAATGACCCAGACATTTAATGGGTATCTATTATTTAATTTAATATCACTTTAGATTCTGAATTATATGACATTTATTTATAAGCATTTATTTCATTACATTTACCTAATTAATTTTTTAAAATAGTTTACCTAGATTACTTATGAAAACTGTGATAGTCACTATTTAAAGTTATTTCCCTGTTAATCATTTTTATAGCTGTGAATTTCAGATGTTTACTTAAGTAAGAACTTTAAAGTTAAATACATGTGTGTTTTTTGTTTTTTGCCAATAACTCAGGATTTAACTGTTTTCATTAAATGAACAATATTAAATGCCTTATTTATCAAAAAGTTACACAATGATAATTCTCTTTTGGGCTGGATTTATAGCTTCATAATCCTCATGCCAAATTTTGTCACCTTATAATATCTAGCAGAGATAAATATATAACCCCTTGACTAATACATATAAAACAATAATGTATATTGACAATTCTGAAACCATTTCTAATTTTATTTTACCAATAATTTTAAAACCAGCTTATTTGTTAAAGATTTACTTAAGTCATGTGAGCTTGAAAAACCATTTGGGCTTAAAGTTTCTATTTTTCTGATAAAGTATTTGATTTTTTTCTTTAAGCCAATTTATTAGACCTCTTATGTATTTTTTTGTAGTGAAACATTATATACAGGACATATAAATACATAGACAGACAGGCAGCAGTAGATCTGATAAGATTCATAAGACCCCTTTTTTTCTCCTGTTATAAAGCTCCTGGCTTTTCTTAATATGTCTAAGTTGTTTTATGTTTTTATTTGCCTAGGAAAGCTGATATAAAACAATTTTAAATAAAAGTTATTACATCCATGTGACTTTCTGTATCGTTTTTAAGTCCTGGTGCTGTTAAGTTATAGTGTTTGACTCCTGGGTCTAAAAAGGACAACTATCTTAGACTTCCAATTTCTTGATAACCTGTTTCATTACCCTAGGCAATTGTCAGCCAAACTTGCATACTAAAGGAACAACTCTTGGGTGAAAATCAGATAGGGAAATGTATATCTCTAAAGAGAGAGAGAGACAGACAGAGAGAGAGAGAGAAAGAAAGAGGGAGAGAGAGACTGGGTGTGTTAGAGGGAGATTAAAAATGGATGCCAAGCCACAAGCCAAACATAAAATTATAGAAATCTTCTGTAGGATTTTATGAGGAGACAAACTTTATTTAGATAGGTAGATTTAAATTTAGTCTCTGTCTTTTAACTGGACCTCTGAGCTCTGGGCAGAGTCCACACTGAATCCTGGGTCTCTAAAAGGAGAGAGATATCATGAGACTAAGCCATGTAATGCTTTTACAGTGCACTTTGTTACAAAAGCATTTCTCTAAGTATTTTAACCACTCCCTCTCTTAAACACACAAGAGTAGTTCCTGTAGTAATAGCTATTTTAGTTAATAAAAAAAAAAGAAATCAGATAACGCAATACAAAAACAATCAGTTTAAGATCTGAGAGGAACTTGTCTTTTTACACTCTTAGGGTTTCATAAGGAAAAACAGAGGTTTCTCCCCAGAAGGAGTCTGGCACCTTCTCTGTTTTCTTTAAGGAATCCCAGGCTGTTAGAAATTATTTTAGGTCCCTTATGCAGCAGAGGGCGGCAAGAGGAAGGAGAGACAGGCAGAAGTAAATGGAGAAAACAGAATTCAGTCGACTGGGAAGAAAAAATCTTTTTCTCAAAAAACAAGAACCTAGGAGAGAAAAAAGAAAGCATAAAGGCATACACACACACACACACACACACACACACACACACACACAAACACATACACATGCATACACACACATACACACGCATACACACACACATAAACACACACACATACATAAACACTGCTGACAAAAAGAGTTAAACTCTGTAAAATATTTGAGGAGATTTATTCTGAGCCAAATATGAGTGACCATGGCCTACAACACAGCCTCAGGAGATCCTGATGACATGTGCCCAACGTGGTCAAGGCACAGCTCGGTTTGTACATTTTAGGGAGACAGGAGATATCAATCAAATACATTGACAATATACATTTGTCCAGTCCAGAAAGACAGGACAACTTGATGTGGGGGGTGCTTCCAGGTTATAGGTGGATTTTAAAACTTTCTGATTGGCAATTGGTTGCAAGAGTTATTGTCAATAGAAATAAATGTCTGGGTTATAATAAGAGGTTGTGAAGACCAAAGTTTTCTCATGCAGATGAAGCCTCCAGGTAGCAGGCTTCAGAGCGAATAGATGTAAAGGTTTCTTATCAGACTTAAGGTCTGTGTTGATATGAATGCTGGAGGGTATAATGAGTCATGTCTGACCCCCACTTCCCACCACGGCCTGAACCAGTCTTTCAGGTTAAATTTTATTTTATTTTTTTTGAGACGGAGTCTTGCTTTGTCGCCCTGGCTGGAGTGCAATGGAGCAATCTCAGCTCACTGCAACCTCCTCCTCCTGGGTTCAAGCGATTCTCCTGCCTCAGCCTCCCGAGTAACTGGGACTACAGGCATGCACCACGACCATGCCTGGCTAATTTTTGTATTTTCAGTAGAGATGACGTTTCATCATGATGGCCGGGCCGGTCTTCAACTCCTGGCCTCAAGTGATCCACCTGCCTTGGCCTCCCAAAGTGCTGGGATTACAGGCATCAGCCACTGTGCCTGGCCTGCACTTTACCATCTACAAAGCAGGAAAAAAAACTTCAAACTTGCCTTCCTTGTTGGAAGTGAGTTGAAACTCCAGAAGGGAGTTACGTGCTCTCCATCGTCATGGAAGCAGGAAAACTTGCCTTCCTTGTTGGAAGCAAGTAATACTCCAGAAAAGGAGTTGTACAACAAAATAAAACTTAGCTCTCAAATTGTAGCTCTCTTAGATCTCAAATTTTCAGAGATTCGGGATTCTCTGCAGCAGGGAGCTCCCAGCCCTACTGGTTTGACCAATGAAGACAGATACCAAGCTGTTACCAAACACCAACAGGAGATTTGTCAAAGGCCAGGGCCACCTACATGGAGTCCCTTCATGGTCGCCAATTTGTAAACTAAAAAGTATCTAAGCTAGGTCTCAATCAATTTAGATGTTTATTTTACCAAGGTTAAGGACAATGCCAGGGAGAAGAAAAACCACAGAATCACAGAAACAGTCTGTGGTCTGTGCCTTTCTTCAAAGATGACTCTGAGGGTTTCAGTATTTAAAGGGGGAAAAGTGGGCTGGAGGGGAAAGAGGGAGGGTGTGGTCATCCACATGTTACAAGAGAAAAGGAGCAGGTGAGGCAATAGTCCCCGAGTGCTCCATTCAGATTACCTCCCCGACTGCTCCATTCAAAATCACACTCTGCAACCTACACTCTTTATGCCCTTCCTTGCCTTATCAAATGGTGACAAGTGCCATGGCTTCTGTAGGCGACCTGGTGAGCCTCCCCTGGACCTGGGCAGCATCCCCTGGTTGGGGTATGCCTTGGACTTTGGAAAAGATGCTGCCAGCTTCCTCACGAGGATGAAGGAGAAGCACGGTGACATCTTTACTGTAAGTGCCTCTTGTGCCTCGGGAGGGATGGGGATGAGCAGCTGGGCCTCATATCTGGTTTCTGTTGATTCCTTCAACATATGTCCCTATGCCAACCCCCCCACCCCACCATCCAACATCCATCTGAGTGGTCGAGCCAACTTTCTATCCAGCTGCCTGTCCAGCTGCACTCTCAATGCTGACCTAACATCATCCCTTCAGTCTCCCTCTTGCTCTTCCCAGCGTGGAGTTATGCAGTCACTCAATATCTATCCAATACTTGTATATCCATGCAGCTGACCTCCATCTATCCATTCCATTTCCATCCGTTCAACATCCATCTTCCCATCCCATTCTTCTGCCTGTCCACCTGGTGTCTACTAAGCGTCCTTCCATCCTTATATCTACTCAGCATTCATTCGTCAACCTCCGTCTATCCACTCACCCATCAGTTTTTCCATAGATTCACCCGACATCTGTCAATTCATTTATCCATCTTCTATCCCTTCATGTGTCTGCCCAGATCTACCCAGAGTTCTTCCACTCATGGATCCAATGTTCATCCAACTTTCATCTGTATACAGTTGGCCCCCTGTATCCATGGGTGGGTTCCATATCTCTGGATTCAACCGGCCACGAATTGAAAATATTTGGGGGAAAATGTGTTGGTACTAAACTTTTTTAGACTTTTTTGTTGTAATTCTTCCCTAAAAATATAGTTTAACAACTATTTATTTAGCATTTACATTGTGTTAGGTATTATAAGTAATCTAGAGATGACTTAAAGTATATGGGAGGATGCATGTAGGTTATTTGCAAATATTATGCCATTTTAAATCAAGGACTTGAGCATCCATAGATTTTGGTATCTGCAGGAGGTCCTGGAACCAATCCTCCATGGATACTGAGGGATAACTGGTCAGTTTCCACCAACTTTCATTTTTCTGTTTATCTACGCATCTTTCTGTTCATCTGCCACTATCCACCCAACACTCAGCTATATTCAGTATTCGATGTCTCCCCACTGGATATACATCTATTTATATCTCATCCATCCATCCTTACAACATCTATTCAAACGACCACCACCCACCCACCTTCCATGTATCCTTCCAACTTCCATCCAATCAACATTCATCCTTCACTTTACCCAGTATCTACCTAGCATTCTCTCATCCATGTACCCAACATTTATTGGTACATTTGGTTTCCAACCAACCTCTAGCTGCCCTTCCATCCATCTTTCCATCCAACATAGATTCATTGATCTATCCTTCCATTTATCCATCTATCTAACATTGTATCCACAAGTATTTACCCAGCAATTTCCTTCCTTCCTTCCTTCCTTCCTCCCTCCCTTCCTTCCTTCCTTCCATTCATTTACCCATTCACCAATCCATCCATCTGCCCATTTACTCTTCTACAATCCACCCACTGGAATTTACCCAACAGCATCCATCCATCCATCCATCTATTCATCCATGTATCCATTCATTCTTCCTTCCATCCATCCATCCATTCTTTCATCCATCCATCCATCCACCCATCCATTCATCCATCTACTTATCCATCCATCCTTCCTTCCATCCATCCATCCATCCATTCTTCCATCCAACCATCCATCCATCTATCCATTCATCCATCCATTCATCCATCCATCCATGATGTGCACAGGATCCATCTGCCGCCTTCTCTCCTGGCTACTGGAGATATGGCAATAACCAAGATAATCATGGCAGGTGCTTAAGAGTGAGGTGGTAGAGAACACAGTCTTTGATTTTAAAAAGCCTCAATATTCCCAAATTCCAGTCCTAGTCCTGCCACTTCTCAGCTATGAGATCTTGGGCACATTTCTTCTCCTTTCTAAGCCTCACTTTTTCAGCTATAAATGGGTGAGTGATGGTCCCTACCTCACAGGGTGGTAGGTGGTAGTGAGGCATAGATAAGAGAACATAGTGTGTTACTGTCCAGTGGGGCAGTGCCTGGCACACAGTAAGGCCCTGACCACTGAGAGCGGCTGCTGTTCACAGTGACACTCCTCACTCTATCCCTGGCAACTTCCCACAGATACTGGTTGGGGGCAGGTATGTCACCGTTCTCCTGGACCCACACTCCTACGACGCGGTGGTGTGGGAGCCTCGCACCAGGCTCGACTTCCATGCCTATGCCATCTTCCTCATGGAGAGGATTTTTGATGTGCAGCTTCCACATTACAGCCCCAGTGATGAAAAGGCCAGGATGAAACTGTGAGTGGCTGGAGATGGCACCTGTGGGAGGGCCAGGGTGGGCGACTCATTTCTACTCATGTGGCCCAAGTTATTCTTGGTTCCAAAGCAAATGTTCGGTAAAGACATTTTGTCTTGAGAACACAAACAGAAACAAAACAAAAAACAACCCAAAAGAATTGGGTGGAAGAAGAACTCTTTGTCTCTCATCTCTGGCGGGTTTTTTTGTTTGTTTGTTTGTTTGTTTGTTTGTTTGGAGGCAGCCCTGATTTTAGTAGGAGGAGACCAGGGTTTGGGTCAGCCACACCTAAATTCAAATCCCAGCCCCATCACTCCCTAGCTTTGTGACTTTGGACAAACCTCTTTCCCTCTCTGAGCCTCTGTTTCCTCCTCTGTAAAATGAAGGAGAGAGGTGGAATGATGAATATTTCTGAGTCCATACTCTGCCAGGCAGCATGCATTATCTCATTAGTCTTCACAACAATGCTGGAGGCTAAGTAACTTACAGCCCCATTTCATAGATGCAGCCACTGGATCTCAGAGAAGTGACTTGTCTCAGGCCACATAGCCAGAAGTGGTACAGCTCCTGAAACATATGGAGGAATCATTTTATTTTATTTATTTATTTTTGAGACAGAGTCTCTCTCTGTTGCCCAGGCCAGAGTGCAGTGGCATAATCTTGGCTCACTGTAACCTCCGCCTCCCGGGTTCAGGCGATTCTCCTGCCTCAGCCTCCCAGGTAGCTGGGATTACAGGCACGTGCCACCACACCTGGCTAATTTTTGTATTTTTAGTAGAGACAGGATTTCATCATGTTGTCCAGGCAGGTCTCGAACTCCTGACCTCAGGTGGTCTGCCCGCCTCAGCTTCCCAAAGTGCTGGGATTACAGGCATGAGCCACCATGCCCAGCCACATATGGAGTCATCATATCAATAAGAGAACAGATGAACATGTTTGCTCTGCATTCATTCAGCAGACATCTGAGGACCCATTGTACCCTGGTCATTGCCCTGGATGTAGGGTGTGCAGAACGGTGCCAACCACCATTTGAAGGCAGCTATTATAGGCCAGGTGTCTGATAGGCTCACTTTCATATCTGTGCATTAGCCTAAAGAGGTGGGCATTTTTATCCTTATTTTACAGATGAGGACACTGAGGCTCAGAGAGGTGAAGTGACTTGCTCAAAGTCTACTGCTAGTAAGTGGCAGGACTGGGATTTGAACCCAGGTCCACTGACTTCACAGCGCATTCTCCTTCATCTAAGATACCAAGGCTGATAAGACCCTGTGTCCGCCCCTGCAGAGTTCACACAGTCCAATGGCGATCTTCAGTGATCTGTCTCCAGGAGGAATACCCTCTGGAGGTTAGGAAGAGCATCTAGGAAACTGTTTTGCAAGATAGTTAAGGCTGAAGCAAGGCCAGCATGATGAAGTGGATGTTGATGAGACATGATGCCTCCTCTGAACCTTGGCCTGGGGGCAGCTGCTTGGAGCCTGAGTGTCCTGGGTCCTGACATTCCAGGGGGACCCTGGGGGTCCCATTAGCAATAGGAATCCACAGCTCACTGAATCTGCCCCTGCTACCCAGGGAGGATCCCAGTTTCCTTCAGTGTTTGCCTCAGGAATTTTCTGGAATTTCTTACAAGCTGGCGTGATGTCTTCTGGGCACAGCAGCCACATCTGTTGAGGGCTTGTCTCTGCTGAGGACCAGCGCTTGGAGTGGGGTGGGGAGAAGAGCTGGGTCAGGGTCCATTGAAGGCCAGATCCCATGTATTGAGCACTTACAATGTGCCAGGCACCGTGCGGAACCCTTCACATGCATTGTCATACATGAGTCATGAGCCATGTCTGTCGTTTTTCCCACTATGTTCCAACTTGAACATCCCAAACCTTTTCATACCCAGGAGTTCATGGACGCCCTGTGCAAACCCTGCCCTGGTGGATTACCCAGGCACTTCTGGCTTACTCAGTCTAAAGGTGTCCATCCTACTTCCCAAACAGCAGTCCATCCTACTTCCCAAACAGCAGGCATGACAGATCAGGGCCCTGATTGGCACTCTCCCACTGTTCTTGTTGCTGCCACTAGGTGTTGCTGTTGACCATGGGCTGTGCACCGCCCATGGACACCCCACTTCACTTGCTGTAGGGATATCCTTTTTGGTCCAGATCCTACACAAGGAGCAGAGAGGCCTTAGACTTAGATGCAAGATACCCCTTTCTTGGCTTCTAATCATATCCTCAGTCATGGCTCAGTGTAGACTCCATATCATGGAGGCTCAGTATAGGGGAGCTTCCAGCTTCTGCCACACTCTTCCAGACGGGGCCTCTCCTCACTCTGTGCAGGTCCACACGATGGGACCAGATCTCCAGCCCACATCCCTTTTTCCTTGTGTCACTCTCATGTGAGGTCATGTCTTTTTTTTTTTTCTTTTCTTTTTTTAAGACACAGAGTCTCACTCTGTTGCCTAGGCTGGAGTGCAGTGGTGTGATCATAGCTCACTGCAGCTTCAAACTCCTGGACTCAAGCAATCCTCCCCACCTCAGCCTCCTGAGTAGCTGGGACTACAGGCACCTACTACACATCTGGCTAGTGATTCTTTGTGTATTTATTCTATTTTTGTAAAGGCAGAATCTCACTATGTTGCCCAGGCTGGTCTTGAACTCTTAGACTCAGGCGATCCTCCCACCTCAGCTTCTCGAGTAGCTGAGACTACAGGTGTGAGCCACCACCCCTGGCTAATATTTTATTTTTTGTTGAGATGGAGTCTCACTATGTTGCCCAGGCTGGTCTTGAACTCATGGACTTAAGTGATTCTCCCACCTTGGCCTCCCAGAGTGCTGGGATTACAGGTGGGAGCCACCATGCCTGGCCAGGGTCACATCTTATTGGCAGTCCTGAGTCAGGGAACACCACAGCTATTCCAACAGATCTTCCTATCTTTAGATTTCAGGGAGAGATGAGTTGCTTTTCAGTTCCTTCTCTTCCAGAACGCTATGGGTCCCTTATCCAAGCTGTGTGCCTTAGGGAGGGAAAGACTCTCCTGGTTAAGAATTCAGATGCTGGAGTTGGGCAGACCAGGATTTCAGTCCCGCTTTGGCTGTGTGACCTTGGGCAAGTCACTTTCCTCTCTGTTTCTGAGTTTCTCCATCTGTAAAATGGGTGTCATAATAGTAACTCTTATTCCCAGGTTTGTCTGAAGACGAAATGAGATTAGGCTCAGTATAACAGATGGGAACTATTGTTGACGATGACAGTCATAATAATATCCTCTTATTTAAGCTACTCTTCCGCAGGACCTCTTTGCCAATGGGGAGCTTGAGCTCTGGGACCCTTAGGTTTGGGGAGGGAGGTGCCTGTAGGTGTGTATTTCCCTTTGGAAGCCAAATTTTCATGCTTTTGTTTCCTGCCTCAGGACTCTTCTCCACAGAGAGCTCCAGGCACTCACAGAAGCCATGTATACCAACCTCCATGCAGTGCTGTTGGGCGATGCTACAGAAGCAGGCAGTGGCTGGCACGAGATGGGTCTCCTCGACTTCTCCTACAGCTTCCTGCTCAGGTGAGGCTGTGCAGCCCCCACCCTCCTGCTGGGGCCCGGCACTTTGACCTGTGTCAGCCATGAGCAGTGGCCAAGGGAACCGTGAGGACTCTGTGGGTGGGGGAAGCAATTTGAGACACCCAAAGCAAAGACTGTAGGAAAGACGCCATGCACCAGGGCCCCGGCTGTTCATCTGACCTAGCTCATGAACTGTAAAAGGAGACACTGGCTGGAAATGGGACCTTACAGGTCATTCAGAGAGGAAGTCACAGAGCAAGACTTCAGAGGTCATCTTGTCCTGTGGCTTCCAGACTTTGGGATTTCACAGAACAGAAAACAAAATGTTTGGGAGATCAACTTGGGACCTTAACCTTTTATCTGGTCTTGTAAATGTATGTTAAAAACTGCACAACCGAACGTTCCTTCCTTCAGCAGTGCCGGGCACTAATCCAGGCTCTGGGGATACAGCAGGGAACAGGACAGATGAAGTCCCCAAATTCACACAGCTGACACTCCAGTGGGGGAGGCCGAATTGAGTTATGTCAGAGAGTGATAAACACGATGACAGAGATCCACGGGTGGGGTGACAGCATCTGGGGGGCTTTCTTAGGCCGACTGACGAGGCAGGGTCATGCTCTGGGGGTCTGGCTTCTGAGCCAAGACCTAACTGCAAAGTGCCCACCACGCCAACACTCTAGGCAGGGGAAACAGCAGGTGCAAAGGCCCAGAGGTGGGAGGAAGCTCAGAGAGACGGCCAGTGTGGCTACAGCATAAAGAGCCAAGGAGGGAAGGTGGACAGGAGGTCAGAGAAGTGGGCAGAAGCAGGCCTCAGGCAGTCGGGAGGTCAGGGAAGGCTTTGGAAATTATGCTGAGTAAGATCGGGTGACATCAGGGGTTTGCACAGGGGCAGGACATGATCTAACTTAGTTTGAAAGCCCCCTCTGGCTGCTGGATGGAGGATGGACTGTAGGGGTAAGGAGGGGTGGAGAGGGAGGCAGGAGGACCTAGCAGGAGGCTGCCAGGTGTCACCAAGGTGAGAGAATGGTGGTGGCCCAGGGAGGTGGTGAGAATTTGGGTAGCTTTTGGAGATAGAGTTCACTGGCTCTGCCGGAAGATTTGACTGGGGCAGCGGTGGGGATGGGGGAGCGTGGGCGTGAGTGAGAGGGATAGAGTGGTGTTAAGGACAGCTCCCTGATTTTAGTGATGCCCTTAACCAACCAGAATTTAATTTAATTTAAATTTAATTTAAAAAAGGACATTTCAACCCCTCCAAGAAATTAGAGCAACATAGTTCTAGGATAAAGGGCAGTCATTCGTTGACACATATGGGCATGTGGGTATATTTATGATATGTGTGTGCATATGTGTAGACTCGGCGTGTCTCAGCTCTTTTAATGCTCACAATCGCTCTAGGAGGCTAGGACTTTACATATTCCATTTGACAGATGAGAAAACTGAGACCTGGAGAGCCTGAGTCATTTGCCCAGAGGCCTGTGTTGGGGTCAGGACAGGGCTGGTCCCAGAGTCTGCACTCTCAGCCACAGCTCTCAGCACACGAACAGTCCCCATTCTTTTTGTTTTGCCCTGGGGTGGTGCAAACAGTGTCAAGGGCTGTAATTGGTGTGGGTGATGCTGGTCTGGTCCACCCTGCATTGTATGATGGGGACTGAGGTCCAGAGAGGGCCAGCTGAAACCACCCAGCAAGTTCACAGTAGTGATCCTCCCAGGTCTCCTGGCTCCTGGGTCCCTGTGCAGACAAAGAAGTCAGAGAGAGATAGGCTGGGGAGAGGCAGGCTCAGGGGCAGCTGGGTCTGGCTAGGCTCCATGGTACAGCGGCAGGCACAGGGGAATCAGCTCAGGGGGAATCAGACGTAAATCCATACCTGTAACCCGGTAACTGTGTCTTCAGGGCCTGAGGCCTGGGCTGGAGCTCCTGCCCCCTGGCTTGGCAGCTGTAGGCCTTTCCACTGCCATCAATCAGCAGCCCCTGAAATACAAAGAGAATGGGCCAGTTGGATGGGAGGGACACAGAGGTGAAAGGGGTGCCGGTTCAGGCAGCCCGAACTGTGAGGTGCCACCTCTTACACCCACCAGCCTGGCCTGTGTTGGCCCTGGCCTCACTGAGTCACACCCAAAGTTCTCCTCTGTCCTCACCTTGTAGCCCTGGCCTCCCCTCCTCCCACCTACCTCTCTGCTGCCCCTTGAGCAGGTCAGGCACGCTCTCTCTTTGTGGCCTTTGCTATTTCTGTTCCCTTGCCTGGGAATGCTGTTCCCCACAGGTCTGCGTGGCTCCCACCCCACTTCGTTTAAGCCTTATCGCGAGCGCCACCTGCTCAGAGAGGTCTTTCTTGAGTCCCATTTTCGTGATGGCTCCCTCCTGTGACCCAGCTTGGTTCAGCTTTATTTTTCTTTGTGGCTCTAGCGCCGCCTGTGGGTCGTGTGTGTATTTACATATGGGATTATCCTGTCTTCAGCCGTGCTCTTTTGATATGGAGCTGCCGGCTTCGCTTCCACAGAGCAAAACCTTGTGGTCCTCTGGGTTTACTTTTTCTTTTTGTTTTCTTTTCCTTCATTTTATTTTATTTTATTTTAAAGACAAAGTTTCGCTCTTTCGCCCAGGCTGGAGTGCAATAATGGCGCGATCTCTGCTCGCTGCAACCTCCGCCTCCCAGATTCAAGCGATTCTCTCGCCTCAGCCTCCTGAGTAGCTGGGACTACAGGTGCCGCCACCATGCCCAGCTAATTTTTGTATTTTTAGTAGAGAGGGGGTTTCACCATGTTGGCCAAGCTGGTCTCGAACTCCTGACCTCAGGTGATATAACCACCTCGGCATCCCAAAGTGCTAGGATTACAGGCGTGAGCCACCTCTCCCGGCCGGTTTACTTTTTTGGTTTATTTTTCATTGCCTGTTTTGGTAGAAATATATGTACCGGGAAATGGTTCTCTGAGTTAGCAAAAAACAACAGTGCAAGTGTGATGATAAATGATGACCAGTGTCAACTGCAGTGTCACCGAGACCACAGGGCCTTGGGAGTACCGCAGTGGCCTGGCAAGCACGTGTCTGTCTAAAAGGGGCGGCTGCAACTCTGCTCCTGCTAGGTTTCCAGGTGGGACCGCAGGTCAGCCAGATTCCTTTTTCAAGATGAGATGAGCAGGAAATCCGGATTTTGTGTGAGTTTCCCCAAATGTTTGAAGGAAGCTTTAGTTTGTTTTTAGGAACTCCCTTGATAAAACACATTTGTGGACTGAATCCAGTGTGTGGGCTGCACCTTTACAACTTCTGCCACCACTGTGCAGGTGAGGGACAGAGCAGGGACCACGCAGGCCTCTCTCGGCCCCCACCTACCCTCATTCCTGCTTCCATTCTCTCTTCATCTGGGAAAACCCCTCTCCTGAGAGATCCTGGTCTCTGGTCTTTGTCTGCACAGGGATCCAGGAGCTCAAGGGGAGGGTGAGAGGGTGAGGCCCCGGGGCTTTGGTTGCGTCTCTTTGTTGTGACTCTCTGCTGAGGCAGAGATGACAAAATGAAAGCCTGCAGTTTCCCTCCCAGGACTGAGGTCAGCCCGCTGGGCTGGGGCTGGACTCCTGGGGCATTTAAAGGGGGCTGGAGGTGAAGGCGCGTCCTCTGAGCGTGGTCCTGTGTGTGTGCGTGTGCGTGTGCGTAAGTGTGCCTCAGTGAGAGCACATGAGAGCTCATGCTAGCTCCCATGTCTTACCCTTTTTCACACTTGACCAGGCCCTGACCTCCTTCTCGGGCCTCCCAGAGCCCCTCAGATCAAGCACAACCTTCTCACTGCTGCAAATGCCTGCCTTGCGTGGCCAGCCCTGACAGCCCAGGCCCTCCCATCCTCTGCCTCACACCCCGGCTCCAGTGCCTGCACCAGCCACAGCTGGCACCTCTCCCACCAGGCACGGTTGCACTCTCAGCTCTGGGCCTTTGCACAGGCTGTGCCTGTTGCCTGAACACGTTCCTCTTCTGCTTCCCCCGATCATCCTGCAGATCTCAGCTCAGACCCTCCCTTCTCTAGGAAGTCTTCCCTGAATCCCTCCCTGGGAGCAGGCATCTCCTCCCCTTCTCTGTGCCCCCATCTCAGCACCGTCCCCTCGAGCTCTCTGCTGCAGCCTCATCAGCCTCCTTGCTGCTCCCCAGCACCGGGCTCCCTCCTGCCCCAGGACATCACACCTGGTGCTTGCTCTGCTTCCTACCCCTCCCTCTGCTCTGCCCATGGCTGACTCCTTCTCAGCCTTCAGCTGTCAGCTTGACACCAGCCCCTCCCTCACCTGGCACCTGACACCACAGCCCCCGCCCTCCCATCCTGCTACCCAGCTTTGTGTCTGACAGTGCCGCGGGGCACCAGCTGGCGCATTATTCATTTTACTCATCCTCTCGTCTGTTGTCTGTCTCCCTGTGCTGAGAGGTCAGCTCCTTGAGGACAGGGATTTTTGTTTTTTTCACTGCCGACTGTTCAGTGCCCAGAATGGTCTTTGGCGCACAGTAGGATTAGTAGTTGCTCACTGGGTGTATGAATGAAGCTCTTGTGAGTAGCTGTGGCCACACATGAGTGTCCCAGGAGGACCCCTGACCCTCTGTCTGCCGCCCCCAGAGCCGGCTACCTGACTCTTTACGGAATTGAGGCGCTGCCACGCACCCATGAAAGCCAGGCCCAGGACCGCGTCCACTCAGCTGATGTCTTCCACACCTTTCGCCAGCTCGACCGGCTGCTCCCCAAACTGGCCCGTGGCTCCCTGTCAGTGGGTAAGCACCATGGGGGCCCCAGTGGGTGGGGGGGAGGATGGAAAGACCCAGAGGGGGAGCCCAATTCAAGGTAGAGGACCAGAGGCAACACAGGCAGAAAGACATCCAATGCCCAGGGAGGCAGTAAGATCCCCATCACTGGGGGTATGCAAGAGCGCAATGGTGGGGAGCCAGGGCTTGGACCAGAGCTTGGGTTCCTGGTGGAAATTCTGATTCAGCACATTTAGAGTGGGGCTGGAGAATCTCTGTGTGTGTGTGTGTTCCTTTTTGTGTTTTAAGGTTTGAGTTGCTTTAAAAGTTTTTACAAGTAGTTCGTGCTGATTATAAAAAATTCAAGCCATATAGAATAATTTACAGGGAAGAATAAAAGAGCGCTCCACTTTCTCCCCAGCCTCAGCCCACCACTTCCCTCTACAGAGGCAACCACCATCACTAGCTTGGAGTACATCCTGGGAGCACTTTCTCTAAACAGACACACAGATGTGTGTTATTTTTATTTTTATTTTATTTTTGAAGCTTTTAACTTCTTGTTTTTTACTGAGGTATAATTTATATACAGGAAAGCACACACATCTAAACGCACTGAGAGGCCAGGTGCAGTGGCTCACACCT
This sequence comes from Homo sapiens, assembly GCF_000001405.40. Lineage (NCBI taxonomy): Eukaryota > Metazoa > Chordata > Mammalia > Primates > Hominidae > Homo > Homo sapiens. Next base: position 49,538,957 of record NC_000020.11, on the reverse strand, counting down.
GTAATCCCAGCACTTTGGGAGGCTGAGGTGGGCGGATCACTTGAAGTCAGGCGTTTGAGATCAGCCTGGTCAACATGGTGAAACCCCATCTCTACTAAAAATACAAAAATTAGCCAGGCATGGTGGCGGGTGCCTGCATTCCTGGCTACTCGGGAAGCTGAGGCAGAATAGCTTGAACCTGGGAGTTGGAGGTTGCAGTGAGCTGTGATCACGCCACTGCACTCCAGCCTGAGTGACAGAGCCAGACTCTGTCTTAAATAAATAAATAAATAAATAAATAAATAAATAAATAAATGCACTGAGAAGTGGATCTAAACATTTTATGCTCTTTCCCAGCCAGTATTCACCCCTGCGAGGTAGCCACTGGACTGGTTTCTTTTACCTCCAATTAGTTTTGCCTATTCTTCAGCTTCCTAGAAATGGAATCACACAGTATGTGCCCTTTTATGCCTGGCTTCTTTCACTCAACTTGATGTTGGGAGATTCATCCAGGTTGTTGTATGGATCAATAGTCCAGTTTTTATTTATTTTTTGTTTTTTGTCTTAAAAACAATTTTTTTGAGACGGAGTCTTGCTATGTTACCTATACTGGTCTTGAACTCCTGGGCTCAAGCGATCCTCCTGCCTTGGCCTCCCAAAGTGCTGAGATTATGGGAGTGAGCCAGCATGCCTTTTTTTTTTTTTTTTTTTTTTTTTTTTTTCTGAACCAGGGTCTCACTCTGTCACCCAGGCTGGAGTGCAGTGGTGCGATCTCGGCTCACTGCAGCCTCAATCTCCTGGGATCAAGTGATCCTTCCCCCTCAGCTTCTTGAGTAGCTGGGACTACAGGCATATGCCACTAGGCTTGGCTAATTTTTAAATTTTTTTGTAGAGATGAGGTTTCACTATGTTTCCCAGACTGGTCTCCAACTCCTGGGCTCAAGCAATCCTCCCACGTTGGTCTCCCAAAGTGTTGGGATTACAGACGTGAGCCACTGTGCCTGGCCAACAGCTTGTTCTTTTTATTGCCGTATAGTATTTCATTAAAGAAATATGCCACAATTTGTTTATCCATTCCTGGTTGATAGACATTTGAGTAGTCCCCCATTTGGAGCTGTTAGGAAGAGGTTGTTGTGAACATTCTTGTACGTATCTTTCAGTGCACACGTGCATTTCTTTTAGCTGTTGGCCTGTTTTTTGTTTTGTTTTTGTTTTTGTTTTTTTGAGACAGAGTCTTGCCCTGTTGCCCAGGCTGGAATGCAGCGGCACAATCTCGGCTCGCTGCAACCTCTGCTTCCCGGGGTCAAGCAATTCTCCTGCCTCAGCCTCCTGAGTAGCTGGGATTACAGGCACGCACCACCACGCCTGGTTATTTTTTGTATTTTTAGTAGAGACAGTGTTTCGCCATGTTGGCCAGGCTGGTCTTAAACTCCTGACCTCAGGAGATCTGCCTGCCTCGGCCTCCCAAAGTGTTGGGATTACAGGCATGAGCCACCACGCCCTGCCTAGCCTGTACTTCTATAACTTAGATATATCACACTAGAAGAATTGTTGTACCGCTTACAGCTTTCACTCAACTCCCTGTCTACAGCATTTCCACATCGATTTGTAAAAATCTACCTCATCTGTTTTTGTGGCTGCAGAGCGTACTTAGTGTTGGTAGAGTGTCCTGGCTGATTCCGTGTGCAGGGGCCGTAGGAACCACTGGGCGGCGCCATTCCCTGGGCCATGTGCCCCCAACTTCCCTGATGAGCAGAATCCTCTCAGGCCCTTCTTCATAACGTAGGTCCCTCAGCCCCATCCAGGTCCATAGGAATCCAGGTCTCCAGGGGAGAGCTTGGAAAACTGCATGTCTGACAAGTGTCCTGAGAAGGCTGGGAAGTGCTGTGTGTGCTGGGCTCAGAGACTTGCAGCAGAGGCCTGGATTTGAATTCCTGCGCTGCTGCTTCCTTGCTGGTGACTCGGAGCAAGTTACTTCTACTTGCCCCAGTTCCTTTCTCTGGAGGGACCGTGGAGGGGAGTGGCTAAGACAGAGTCTGGGCTCTGACGGCTTGAAGAGCTTTACCAGCTCCCCCTCCCAGCATCTGTGTGTTTTCTCTGTGCCTCAGCGATCTCATCTGCAAAATGGGGGGAACAGCAGGATCTTCCTAGAGGGCAGCTGTTAGAATTGGCTGAGGTAACAAGAAAAAGCACTGTGGCCGGGCGCGGAGGCTCATGCCTGTAATCCCAGCACTTTGGGAGGCCGTGACGGGTGGATCACCTAAGGTGAGGAGTTCAAGACCAGCCTGGACAACATGGCGGAACCCTGTCTCTACTAAAAATACAAAAAAATTAGCTGGGCGTGGTGGTGGGCGCCTGTAATCTCAGCTACCCGGGAAGCTGAGGTAGGAGAATTGCTAGAACCCTGCGGGTGGAGGTTGCACTGAGCCGAGATTGTGCCACTGCACTCCAGCCTGGGCGACAGAGTGAGACTCCGTCTCAAAAAAAAAAAAAAAAAAAAGAAAGAAAGAAAGAAAGAAAGAAAAGAAAAAAAGAAAAAGCACTGTTTGCTGAGCACTTACTATGTGCCAGATACGAGGTTAAGCATTGTCATAGTCAGTGCTCAAACACTTCATCACCCATTTCCTTTTGCTTATATATTTTTAAAAAGCCAAACTTTAATGCATTATTGATTTTGTTTACATTATGAGAGAATCATAATCTTGTGGTTAACAATTCAGAGTTACAGGTTGTATAAAATATAATACCCCTTCTTCCAAGCCCAGCTTCCTGTGAAGCCAATGTTAGCATGGTGGTATTATCCCTTCATGGTATTTTGTATGTTCTCACAACTAGAGACAAATATGCACATCTACAGTGTCTCTGTGTTTACAAAGAAAAATTGTATCTGTTATTTACAACCTGTTTTTAACCTAACAATATAGCTGTACATTCTTCTCTGTTGATATAAACATCTTTTAGAGATATTAGCTGATGCAATTAAACAAGAGAAACCAATTATAGACATCAGAATGGGTAAAGAAGTAAAACTATTCCTATTTGCAGATGATCTGATATTGTACCTGGAGAACCCCAGAAAATCAATAATAAAACAAACTCCAGCAATAAATGAATCCAGCAAAGTAGAAGGATATGAAATTAACATTAAAAATACAAGACATCTGGCCGAGCACGGTGGCTCATGCCTGTAATCTTAGCACTTTGGGAGGCTGAGACAGGTAGATCACTTGAGGTCAGGAGTTTGCGACCAGCCTGGCCAACATGGCGAAACCCCATCTCTACCAAAAATACAAAAAATTAGCCGGGCATGGCGGCAAGCGCCTGTAATCCCACCTACTTGGGAGGCTGAGGTGGGAGGATCACTTGAGCCTGGTGAGACAGAGGTTACAGTGAGCCAAGATCACGCCACTGCACTCCAGCCTGGGTGACAGAGCAAGACTCCATCTCAAAACAAAAACAAAAACAAAAAACCAATACATTTTTTTAGCCCTCACATGGCTGTTTCAGTAGTTAGCCATTTCCCTCTGACAGATGTCAATATTCTATCTTTCTTTCTTTTTGCTTTTATACCATTTCATTGTACTTGTATCTGTTCTACCATCTGGTTATTTCATTTCTCTCTGCCCACTTCTTAGAAGTGGTTTTGCCAGGTCAAAGGCCCTATACATTAAAATTTTTATCTGCTTCTGCCACATCATTTCCAAAACCACAGAGCAATTCATCCGCCTACCTAAAGGGAAGAAATCTGCTCCACCAGATGCCATCAATCTTTCCATTTATTTGCTAATCTGATGGGCAGAGGTGGGTAACTTATTGCTTTAATTTGCATGTTACCACAACCTTGCCAACATGCAGTTATCAGCCTTTAAATAATTGCCAATCTGATGGAAAAAAGGACATCTGGCTCTATGTGGCATATCACTGACTACTGTGATGAAACATCTCTGGGTGTGTGTGGTTTTTTTGTTGTTTTGAAACAGAGTCTTGCTCTGTCACCCAGACTGGAGTGCAGTAGCGAGACCTCGGCTCACTGCAATCTTGACCTCCCAGGCTCAAGCGATCCTCCCAACTCAGCCTCCCAAGTAGCTGGGACTACAGGCACGTGCCACTGAGCCTGGTTAATTTTTGTATTTTTTTGTGTTTCAGTAGCCATTTGCATTTCCTGTTTATGAGCCGGCTGTTTGTGTCCTTTATTATCTTTTTAGAGGAACTCATTTGAGCTTATCAAATCTTGCCATCCATGCTGGAAGGTTGTTATTCACATACCCATGTTGCAGATAAGGAAACTGAGGCTCAGAGAGGTGAGATCACTTGTCATAGACATGCAGCTGGTAGGTGGAAACTTGGTCTGTCTGTCTGCAAAATCCTGTGCATAAAGCACCTGCCACATCCTAGCACTGATTGCTTCCCCAGGAAAAATTGGGTTTCTCCATTACCATTTCCTCCACACAGATGCTCCAGAGGAGTCTGATTAGACGCAGAGGAACTCCCCCCATCACTCTGGGAGCAGCCCTGGGCTGGCTATAGGAAGGATGCATTTCTCAATATGAGCAGCAGGTGGCAATGTGGGACGGTGATTTCTCATCTTAATTGGGACCAGAGGCATGTGGGCAAAGCAGCCCCCGAACATTGCTGTGGGGTGCTTGAAGCATTGCAGCCTCTTTTGGCAGAACCTGCTGAAACATAAAATAAAATGCACATTCCTTTGATCCTGTACTTCCACTTCTAGGAATTTATCCTACATAAATGCTTGCACATGTCTACAGATACACAAACATATTCATTGTCACATTGCTTATAATTGCAAATGCTAGAAACAATTTAAAGTCCATCAGTAAGGGCTGATTAAATAAATTATGCATTCATCTAAAGGCCATCTATGCATCTAAAACAGAGTGGGACATACTGGTAGTGAATGAAATCTACTGTTACAAAAAAGAGCAAGCTGCAGGCAGAGGGTATACTATATCACTATATATACATACATTTTATATATATATATATATGTTTTTGCTTTTGAGACAGAGTCTTGCTCTGTTGCCCAGGTTGGAGTGCAGTGGCACGATCTTAGCTCACTGCAACCTCTGCCTCCCAGGTTCAAGCAATTCTCCTGCCTCAGCCCCCCGAGTAGCTGGGATTACAGGCACGTACCACCACCCCCGGATAATGTGTTTGTACTTTTTTAGTAGAGCTGGGGTTTCATCACATTGGCCAGGCTGGTTTTGAACTCCTGACCTCAAGTGATCTGCCTGCTTCAGCCTCCCAAAGTGCTAGGATTACCGGTGTGAGCCACCACACCCGGCCATTTTTAAAAATGTGGGAGTATGTATAGATTTTTGCCTTTGGGAAGGCCGAGAAGGGGTGGAGAGAAAATCATTTTTTACAAGATGTGGACTTGAACTCTTAGATTCTTTATTTTTCTTCTTTTTTTTCTGTATGCATACATTATTCTTCCTTCACTTTTTAAAGTATAAATATATTTTAAAAGAAAGTTAATCCTTTGAGAACCCTTAGGCCATTGAGTCTGGTGTTTCTCATACAGTAGGGAGTTGGGGGCAGGGGACAGTTAAACAGACCCCCTAGCTAAGCATAGTGCTTCTGTCTGGAACATTTATTTTACTGGATTATTTTGGGGGGCTGTTTATTTGAACATTGTTTTGGGGAAAAAGGCATTCTTATATCAAAGAATCACAGAGTCTGATGCAAAACTCTGATGCATTTCAAAGGTAAAACACAAGACTTTAAAGACATGTGTCTTCTGGGGGCCTCTCTGTACTATGCCCCCAAATCTAGAGGGCCTAGAGGGCTTTCCCAGAAAAAACTTGAGAGGTATTCAAGTCTGGGTCCTCATTTTTTGGATGAGGAGACTGAGGTCCAGAGATGGGCAGGGGCTCAGCCGAGGCTACATAGCATGGGGACTCTGGGATTTAAACCAGATACACCAATCTGGTTTAAATTGGTGGGCTGCCAATCACCGTGGGCCTGGCAGCCCTCATTCATGGCATCCGGTTATCACACCAATAAGAAATACCTCGTAATAATGGAGAGAATGTAGCAAGTAGCATTTTACAAACTTCTACCGATACCAAGTGTGTTCTGTGTGTGATCTTTCTGAATCCTCCTGACCATCCTATGAGCTAGATGGCCCTCATTTTACACATGGGGGAAACTGAGGCTCAGAGATGCAAAGTGACTTGGCCAAGGTCATCTCGTTAGAAAGGGAAGAGCTGGGATTTCAATGCTCTCTGTCTTCAAACTTTGTGCTCTGTATTTCGCAATTTATTATTGTTTCTTAATTAAAGAAGCAATTCATGAACATGTTCTCCTTGGGCTAATAATTTGCTAACATTCAGTAAGATTTGTTATTTAATAATATAGCGTTTATTAGGACTGTGTCAGTCATCTCTGTGCTTTAGATGTTAATAACGCATTTGATCTGTATATAACCCTCTGTGGTGGGTACTTTTATTATCCCAATTTACAGGCAAGAAAACTGAGATGCTGAGATGTGAGGTGACTTGTTCAAGGTCAGGCACTCTGCTACAGCACTGGGCCTCTTAACTGGGCTCCTCTGACTTTTGTTAAAAAAAAATCAAATATTTCAAAAAGGAAAATTCTCTTTTGACCACATTCCCTCTAAATCTATCCCCAGGTAACTATTGCTATCTGTTTGCTGTTATCCTTCTAGAACAGTGCTGTACATAGACAAATAATGGGAATCACATTTGTAATTTAAAATTTTCTATTAGACACACTAAAAAAGAAAAATAGAAGTGAAATCGATTTTAATAATACATTTTATTTAAGCCAATACATCTAAAATATTATTAGCATTTTAGCATTAACCAATGTTAAAATTATTGATAAGATATTTTACATTTTGTTTCTCATGCTGACTCTGGAATCCAGTGTCTCCCCTACCCTATATTAAATGTGGCTGCATTCGAGCCAGCCGCATTTCAAATGCTCCATAACTCCCTGGGGCTTGCGGCTACTCTGTTTCCCAGAACAACACTTGGCCTTTATGCAGACATTAAAATACAGCATGAGGCTGCGCACAGTGGCTCACACCTGTAATCCAGCACTTTGGGAGGCCAAGGCAGGAGAATCACTTTTGTTCAGGAGTTTGAGGCCAGCCTGGGCAATATAGACAGACCTTGTCTCTACAAAATATAATAATAATAATTAGCCAGTTGTGGTGGCTCACACCTGTAGTCTCAACTACTCAGGAAGCTGAGGTGGGAGGATCACTTGAGCCCAGGAGGTTGAGGGTGCAGTGAGCCAGACTACGCCATTGCACTCCAGCCTGAGTGACAGAGCAAGACCTTGTCTCAAAAGAAAAAAAACAACAAAATAGCAAATTGTACTGGAATCCCAAGTAGACAGCAAGCCTCTGTTTTCCCAGTGGGAAGATTTTTAAAATTTTGTCTTTTTTTGATTTTTGGGGCAACCTAAATATTGAAATAATTAGGAATGGAAGTAAATAGTTGCATTTCTCCGTATCTGTTTTGTTGAACGTCTGTAGTGAATTGTATAAATGTGCTGTAACCATTTCGAACATTTGCTTTCTTCCCACGACCACATTTCAGGAGGGGGCTTTATGCAGACTCCCCCTTTAACTACACAGCTTTGCTCATCTGCAGGGCCCCAGGTTGAGCCACCAAGCTCAGTTTTCCAGAATCTTCTCTTCCTCACTCCCATATGCACTGAATTCCTTGAATCTCTACAGTATATGATGTTTCACTGGAAATTATTTTTGGGGGGTTTGCCAGATTTTCTATTATTTTATTTTAAAAATTATTTCGCGTGGTTTAAACATTAAAAATGTAAAGTAGATTACAAACCACATACCCGATATGGGGTTAACATCCAAAATAGATAAGGAACTCATACAACTCAATACCAAAAATTCCAAATAACATCTGGGAGCGGTGGCTCACACCTGTAATCCCAACACTTTGGGAGGCCGAGTTGGGCAGATCACGAGGTCAAGAGATCGAGACCATCCTGGCCAATATGGTGAGACCCTGTCTCTACTAAAAAATACAAAAATTAGCTGGGCGTGGTGGTGCACGCCTGTAGTCTCAGCTACTCGGGAGGCTGAGGCAGGAGAATTGCTTGAACCCGGGAGGTGGAAGTTGCAGTGAGCCGAGATCACGCCACTGCACTCCAGCCTGGCGACAGAGCGAGACTCTGCCTCAAAAAACACAAAAATCCAAATAACCTGACTGCAAAATGGACAAAGGACCAGAATAGGCATTTTTCCCAAAGAAGACATACAAATGGCAACAGGTATGAAAAGGTGTTCAACATCACTACTCATTGGGGAAATGCAAATCAAAATCACAAGGAGATATCACCACACACCCGTTAGAAATGTCAAAAGATGACAAATATTGGCAAGGATGTGGAGAAAAGAGAACTCTTTCGCACTGGTGGTGGGAATTTAAATTGGTATAGCCATCATGGAGAACAGTATGGAGGTTCCTAAAAAATCAAAAATAGAGCTACCACATGATCCAGCAATCCCTCTTCTAGGTATATATTCAAAGGAAATGAAATCACTGTCTTGAAGAGATGTCTGCACCTCCAATTCATTGCAGCATTATTCACAACAGCTGAGACATGGAAACAAACTAAGTGTCCATCAGTGCATGAACAGATACAGAGATAGTGGTACAATGGCCCCCTCTTAACCTCAGGGGATATGTTCCAAGACCCCCAGTGGATGTCAGGAACCATGGGTGGTACTGAACCCTGTATATACTGTTTTGTCTTATACATACATAACTATGACAGAGTTTAATTTTTTTTTTTTTTTTTTGAGACAGAGTTTCGTTTTTGTCTCCCAGGCTGGAATGCAATGGTGCAATCTTGGCTCACCACAACCTCCGCCCCCCAGATTCAAGCGATTCTCCTGCCTCAGCCTCCTGAGTAGCTGGGATTACAGGCATGCACCACCACACCCAGCTAATTTTGTATTTTTAGTAGAGACAGGGTTTCTCTGTGTTGGTCATACTGGACTCGAACTCCCGACCTCAGGTGATCCGCCCACGTCGGCCTTCCAAAGTGCTGGGATTACAGGCGTGAGCCACCATGCCTGGCCTGATAAAGTTTAATTTATAAATGAGGCACAGTAAGAGATTAACAACATAATAAAATGAAACCAATTATAACGATATACTGTAATGAAAACAAAATAAGGGTTACCTGAACACAAGTACTACCATACCATGACAGTTGACGTGATAACTGAGACAGTGGCTCCCAAGTGACTAATGGGCAGGTGTGGTCTACAGTGTGGATACACCGGACAGAGGGATGATTCACCCCCCAGGCAAGATGGAGCAGGATGGCACAAGAGTTCATCATGCTACTCAGAATGGTGTGCGATTTCAAACTTAGGGAGTTTTTCATTTAATATTCTTGGACCATGGTTGACTATGGGTGATGGAAACCTTGGAAAGTGAAACTGGATAAGACAGGACTGCTGTGTATGTAAATCCACGAAAGAATGTTATTCAGCCATAAAAAGGGAGAAATCCTGCCATTTGTAACAATATAGATGAACTTGGAAGACAATATTGTAAGTGAAATAAGCCAGACACAGAAAATCAAATACCGCATTATGTCATTTATACGTGGGAGCTAAAAAAGTTGAATTCAGAGGAACAGTAGAACAGTGGTTACCAGGGCTCAGGAGGTGGGGAAATGGGGGTGTGTTGGTTGAGGGTATAAACTTTGAGTTATAAAATGAATAAGTTCTGGAGATTTAATATACAAGTATACAATGTATTGTATACTTGAAATTTGCTAAGAGAGTGGATCTTAAGTATTCTCACCATGCATGCACGTGTGAGTGTGCACCTATGTAAGGTGATGGATATGCTAATTAGCTTGATTGCAGCAATCATTTCACACCATATTTGTGTATCAAAACATCATGTTGTACAACTTAAATAAGAATTTTCCTTTGTCAATTATACCTCAGCAAGGCTGGAAAAAAATTAAGTAATAACAGTGGTAAGTCTCCTTCCTTTTCTTGTCACATCCCCTTCCACCAATTCCCACTGCTCATAATTGATTAGTTTTATTAGTTTCAAATGGATCCTTCTAGAGTTCCTTCACACAAGTGCAAGTGAATGTGACTATATTCTTATTTTTCTTTTTTTCCACAAATGCATACTAAACACGTGGTTGCTGGCACTTTGCTTTGTGCTAACAATATATCACAGCAATAGATAACTCTTGGGTAAGGTTTAGTGTGTCCTCTACACTGCTCTAAGGGATATACAAATGTAAACTGATTTGATCCATGATCCAATCACTGCTATATATATATTTTTTTTGTTTTTGAGACAGAGTCTTGCTTGCTCTGTTGTCCAGCCTGGAGTGCAGTGGTGCAATCTCCGCTCACTGCAACCTCTGCCTCCTGGGTTCAAGCGATTCTCCTGCCCCAGCCTCCTGAGTAGCTGGGACTACAGGCGCCCACCACCATGCTTGGCTAATTTTTGTATTTTTATATTTTTGTTAGAGATGGGGTTTCACCATGTTGGCCAGGCTGGTCTCGAACTCCTGACCTCAGGTGATCTGCCCGTCTCGGCCTCCCCAAGTGCTGGGATTACAGGAGTGAGCCACTGCACCCAGCCCACTGCTATATTTTTATCCTGTGTTTTTTGCCAGGCAGGACAGAGCAGGATGGCACAAGATTTCAACACACTACTCAGAACAGCATGTAATTTAAAACTTATGACTGTTTATGTCCGGAATTTTTCATTTAATATTTTTGGACCATGGTTGACCATGGGTAACTGAAACCTTGGAATTCAAATTCTTTTGTATTTTGAGTATCACTCTGTCACCCAGGCTGGAGTGCAGTGGCTCCATCTCAGCTCACTGCAACCTCCACCTCCCGGGTTCAAGTGATTCTGCTGCCTCAGCCTCCCAAGTAACTGGGATTACAGGTGCCTGCCACCACCCCCAGCTTATCCTTTTTTGTATTTTTAGTAGAGACGGGGTTTCACCATGTTGGTCAGGCTGGCTTCAAACTCCTGAACTCAAGTGATCTGCCCACCTTGGCCTCCCAAAGTGTTGGGATTACATGCGTGAGCCACTGCACCCGCCCAGAATGCAAATTCTTTGTTATACAACACTATCTTTGACTCATTTTTGCCAAATGACCTTCATATGCCTTTTAAAAAAATTGTGGTAAAATAATAAATAACATAAAATATACTATTTTAACCATTTTAATTGTATAATTCAGTGGCAGTAAATACATTCACAATGTTGTATAACCATGCCGTTATCTATTTCCAGAAACTTTTCATGATTCTAAACAAAAGCTTTGTGCCCATTAAACAATAATTCCCCACCTGCCTTTCCTCCCAGCCCGACATATCTTCTATTCTACTTTCTGTCTCTTCTATTCTACTTTCTATTCTACTTTCTGTCGAATAGTATACTTCTATTGTACTTTCTGTCTCTGAATTTCCTGTTCTAGGATTCTCATTATATGAGATTTTGGAGACAGAGTCTCTGTCGCCCAGGCTGGAGTGCAGTGTCGCCATCTCAGCTCACTACAATCTCCGCCTCCCGGGTTCAAGCTATTCTTGTGCCTCAGCCTCCTGAGTAGCTGGGATTACAGGTACACACCACCATGCCTGGCTAATTTTTTTTTTTTTTTTTTGTATTTTAGTAGAGACAGGGTTTCACCATGTTGCCCATGCTGGTTCTCTAACTCCTGAGCCCAGGAAATCTGCCCACCTTGGCCTCCCAAGGTGCTAGGATTGCAGGCGTGAGCCACCATGCCTGGCATATGCGTCAGAATTTCATTCCTTTTTAAGAGTGAATACATTGTGTGTATATACTGCATTCTATTTATCCATTCACCTATCAACCGACATTTGGGTTGTTTCTGCCTTTTGGCTACTGTGAATAATGCTGCTATGAACATTGGTGCACGAGTATCTGTTTGAGTCTCTGGTTTCAGTTCTTTGGGCTATATACCTAGAACTAGAATTACTGGATCATATGGTAATTCTTTAACTTTCTGAGGAACTGCTAAACTCTTTTTCACAGCAACTGCAGTATTTTACATTCCCACCAGCAATGCATAAGGGTTCCAATTTCTCCACGTCCTCACCATCACTTATTTCCTATGTTTTAAATAGTAGCCATCCTCATGGTTGTGAATGGTATCACACTGTGGTTTTTACATGCATTTTCTAATGACTAATGGTGTTGAGCATTGTTTCATGTGTTTATCAGCCATTTGTATCTCTTCTTTGGAGAAATATCTATTCAAGTCCTTTGCCAATTTTCAAATCAGGTTGTTTGTTTTTTATTGTTGTTGAGTCGTAGGAGTTCTTTTATATATTTTGGGTGTTAGACCCTTATCAGATATATTATTTACAAATATTTTCTCACTTTCTGTCAGCTGTCTTTTCATACTGCATTACCTTTTTTGCTTAATTATTCATTGATTGTGCAAATATAGAGTGCCTCCTATGTACTCAGAACTGCTGTAGGCACAGGGGAAAAGTGGAGAATGGTCCTGCCTTGCTTTTTAAAGTCATCTGTAAACGCCGTGTTTACAGTGATATTCAAGATTGCAGTTGTGTGGTCAGACTTCAAAGAATGCCAGTTATTTCTAAAGCTGTGTTAAATTTCTTTGCCTCTTTTTTTAGCCATCCCATCAGATGATGCTTAGAAGTATCCAGAGTTGGCATCAACTGAGGTGGTTTCAACACTGCCCGCGCCCTGCAGGCCTAAACCTCTGGATGCCCAGTTCCCACGCACGTGATTTTGACATGATCAATCTGGGGTTGGCACCTGGGCATCCAGAGATTTAAGAGCTCCCAGGTAATTCTTCAGAGAGCCTGAAAAGTGGAGAAACATAGGAAGATAATGTATTTCAGTTGAACACTTAAGCTTATTGCTTTACATTGAAATGTCACCCGAAATGGTGACATTCATTTCAATGTAAAACAATGAGCTCAAGTTGAAGTCTAAAAGTTAAACATATTCAGCGTATTATTTGAAAATGAAGCCAACATACTTTAAAAAAAAAACATAGTCTACATTTTCGACCCTTTCAAATGCCCTGTGAGGTGCAGCCAGGTTTAGAATCGCTGGTGGGGCGAGTCTTCCTGAAACACGGCTTGTGGTTCAGAAGAGTCAGTGAGGGAGTTTCCAATACTTTGAAACTTCAGAGCAATCCAAAATGACTCTCACTTTTCCAAGGGGTGATTTCGGAGAAAACCAAATTTTATATTTTATATTTTTGTTTTAAACTTTATATTTGTGCATATAAATAGCATTACCGTGGAGCTTTAAAACAATGTATATTAAGGCTCATGTATGGTTCATGAAAATATTTTAAAAAAAAAAAAAGAAGTAGAAAAGAAAACAATATCTAAATAGTGTCATTCTTCAGTGCCCGGCTTTATCCCCTTACCAGTCTGCCCTTGGGAACTCTCTGTGTCTGTAGGTAAAATGTACTAACTCACTTTCACTGCTGTATGTTTCCAGAACATAAACACACCATTGTCTGTTTAATGGTGATGCACGCTAGTGATCTGTGGGCCAAAGTTGACCTTCAGAGATGCTTCTGTGGTCTGCACAGTGATTAAAAACTTTTTACTTGGATGCTAACCTTAAAAAACATCAGAAGGTTATACATAATTGTCTGGATTATCAGCTTCCTTTGAAAGCACAGGCCTTCTGGCCATGCTGGGGTGTTTCCCTCTCCTGCCGAGGGCTGGTTGGTGGGCTAAGTGCCATGGCCCCTTTCTGGCCCGTCTCTCTTTTACTTGGCCTGCCTTCTCTGGAGTGAGTTGAGTTTGAGACTCCAGCCCAATCTGCCAGTTAGGTTGTTGCTGATGTCTTTCTGTGATTGCTGCTGTGCTGAGCCTGCTCACAGTGGCCTCCTCCTCATGCACATGGGCTGGCATTGCTCTGGGGTTGGACCCTGGGGAGGGAGAATGCTGCTCAGTGTTTAGTGTTCCTTCTCCTGCTCTGGAAAGAACTACCATTTATTTAATGCATGATATAGTTTTGCTGTGTCCCCACCCAAATCTCATCTTGAACTGTAGCTCCCATAATTCTCATGTGTTGTGGGAGGGACCCAGTGGGAGATAACTGAATCATGGGGGTGGTTTCCCCCATACTGTTCTCCTTGTAGTGAATAAGTCTCATGAGATCTGATGATTTTGTAAGTGGTTTCTCCTTTTGCTTGGCTTTCATTTTCTCTTGCTTGCCGCCATGTAAGATGTGCCTTTCACCTTCCACTATGATTATGAGGCCTCCCCAGCCACATGGAACTGTGAGTCCATTAAACCTATTTTTTAAAAAATAAATAAATAAATAAATTACCCAGTCTCAAGTATGTCTTTGTCAGCAGCATGAAAACAGACTAATACAATGCATATTTATTGAGCACCTGCTACGGGCCGGGTGATGGGGACATAGAGGTGATTGAAATAGATCAGGCTCCCACCTGCAGGAGACAAGACCCCTTGCTTCTTTTTACTGGGGGTAAGACAGATAATAAGCAATTTGGTATTGAAAGGGCTTCCTGCTGTGGGCCTGTCCTGCAGCTTCTTTCCCACAGGAACTCCCCACCCTCAATGAGTGACATTCAGAAGACCCTTGGCCTCATGGGAGGTCATGCCTGGCCAGCCCTGGGTGTGGGATGGTGAATCTGTAACCCCTACTCTCTGTGCTCTGTCCCTGCAGGGGACAAGGACCACATGTGCAGTGTCAAAAGTCGCCTGTGGAAGCTGCTATCCCCAGCCAGGCTGGCCAGGCGGGCCCACCGGAGCAAATGGCTGGAGAGTTACCTGCTGCACCTGGAGGAGATGGGTGTGTCAGAGGAGATGCAGGCACGGGCCCTGGTGCTGCAGCTGTGGGCCACACAGGTGGGTGTGAATGTGCAAGTGGGTGTGTGCAGGTGTGCATGTGTGGTTGCGATATGAACGCATGTGTGTGTGCATGTCTGTGCACCTGTGCAGGTGTGCACATGACTATGCCTGTGTGTGCATGTGTATGTAGGTGTGCATTTGTGAGTGTGTGCTGATGTGAGTGTGGGTGTGTGCACACATACCCACTGCCCAAACCAGTTCCCTGACTTCCTTTACTGTCAAATAGCATCACGAACAGAAACATTCATTCGGTATTCTTTTCTTTTTTTTTCTTTTGAGACAGAGTCTCGCTCTGTTGCCCAGGCTGGAGTGCAGTGGCTCGATCTCAGCTCACTGCAACCTCCGCCTCCCAGGTTCAAGTGATTCTCATGCCTCAGCCTCCCGAGTAGCTGGGACCACAGTTGCCTGCCACCATGCCTGGCTAATTTTTGTATTTTTAGTAGAAATGGGGCCAGGCTGGTCTCAAACTTGACCTCAAGTGATCTGCCTGCCTCGGCCTCTGGAAGTGCTGGGATTACAGTGTGAGCCACCACGCCCAGCTTCTTTTTGTTTTTTGTTTTTTGTTTTTGTTTTTTTTTAATTTGGAAAAATGTTAAATTTATAGAAAAGTTTAATAAATAGTTTAATGAACTCCTATATATGCCTCACCTTGATTCCCCAGTTTTAAACATTTTACCACCTTTGCTTTCTCTCTCTCTGTCTCTCTCTCTCTTATGCTCTCTTTTCCCCACTGGGATTATTTTATTGAAATAATTTGGGAATAAGTTGCAGATATCATGCTTTTTTATCCCTAATTGCTTGAGTGTAAGCAAGAACATCTCCTGCATGACCACAGTACAATAACCAATTTCAGGATAATGAGCCCAAATACATGATCATTATCTAATAAACAATCTGTATTCCAGTTTTGCCAGTTGTCTCAATAATGTCCTTTTTGGTTCATCTTGGTCCAGCATCCAATCCAGAATCACACGTTGCATTTAGTCATTCTGACTCTTCTGTTTTCTTTTCTTTTAATTTTTTTATTTTTTTGAGATGGAGTCTTGCTCTGTCGCCAGGCTGGAGTGCAGTGGCATAATCTCGGCTCACGGCAACCTCTGCCTGCTGAGTTCAAGCGATTCTCCTGCCTCAGCCTCCTGAATAGCTGGGACTACAGGCGCATGCCACCACGTCCAGCTAATTTTTTGTATTTTTAGTACAGATGGGAGTTCACCATGTTGGCCAGGATGGTTTTGATCTTTTAACCTCGTGATCCACCAGCCTCAGCCTCCCAAGGTGCTGAGATTACAGGCATGAGCCACTGCACCCGACCCATTTTCTTTAATCTGGCACGGTTTCTGTGCGTTTCATTGTTTCTCATTACATTTACATTTTTTGAAGTGTGCAGACCAGTTATTTTGAAGAATTGTTTAGAAGTTCCATTGAGACACTGGGCATGGTAGTGTGCACCTGTAGTCCCAGCTAGTCAGGAGGGTGAGGCAAGAGGATTGCTTGAGCCCAGGAGTTTGAGACCAGCCTGGGCAACATAGTGAGATTCCACCTCTTAAAAAAAATCCTTTGAGTACTTACCGTAGACCTCAAAGATTCTGTGTTGTGTCGATTACCATTTGGGGGGTCAGGAGGACAGGGGGCAGAGAGTCAAGGAAACATATACAAGGTGATTTTAGATGATGATATGTAGAGTATGAAACAGGGCTGTGAATAGAGAGACTTTCGGGTCTGCTCTAGCTGGGGTGGTCAGGGAGGCCTCCCTGAGATATTTGAGATGAGCCCTGGATGATAAGAAAGCTAGATTCAGAGACTTGGAGAAGATATGGGGATAGAAGATTCCAAATAAGGGAAACAGCAAGTGCAAAGGCCCTGGGGTTGGATCTTGCAGAGTAGAGTTGGATCACACAGCTGAAGCAGAGTGAGGGAGGGGGCGTGAGACCGAGGGAAGAGGTCACTGAGGGCCTTGTGGGTCCTCATAAATGAGGACTTGGGATTTTTCTCTGGGCGAGATGGGGGCCTGGGAGAGTTCTGAGCAGAGGAGGGACAGGATCTTGGGGGCAAAAGCAAAAACAGGGCAACAAGGAGGAAACTGTGGTGGCAGGGTCAGGTGGTGGCCATGGAGGTGATGAGGACGTGGATAGATTTTGGAAATTTCAGGAAGACAGAGTCAGTGGACTTGGTCATGGACCAGATATTGGAGTGAGAGAAAGATGGTAGCCTTCCATGCTGCACAGCTCCAGGCCTGGTTCCTGCCCTCTCTCCTGATCCCCAAGCCCCATCTTTCTCTTGGCCCCACTTCGACGGTGACAGTTGCACAAGCTGACATTTCTGGGTAATTCCTCTCCCATCGACTTGCAGCTTATTTTTAGTTTCCTCAGAGCCATTAACTGTCCTTGCAGGCAGAGACTGGCAAGGGGTGGGGACTGGGATCAATTGGCAGTTGTCCCCCACATCAGTGCCTAATAACATATTTATGTGCAGAGATGACTTGGAGCTCCAAAGTGTCTCCAGAACTCTCGTGGGAATGACTGGTGTCAGCAAAACTGGATGCTGGCTGAGGGGTTTGAGTGGCAGAAAGTCCAGGGAACAGCCTTTGGCAGGGCCAGGAGAGCTGGGCAGGAGCTGGGGACAAGATGTCCTCTGAGGTTGAGTCGTTGACAGCGTCCAGAATTCAGGCAGGTGGGAAAACTTTTCAAGGGCCTTTTGGGAGTGGAGCCAAGAGGGTACTTGGCCTAGGAGTTTCTGGCACAGGCTCTGTGACCTCCCAGCCTGAGTTTGAATCCTGATTTTGACACTTCCTGGCAAGTCAGTCACTTAACCTCTGAGCACCTCGGTTTACTCATCTGTAAAATGGAGATGGTAGCACCCGTTTCAAGACGTGGTTGTGAAGATGAAAGGAGGCAGGAATACATGTGCAATTTTGTAACTGTGCCTTGCAGATAACAAGTGCTCAAGAAACATCTTCAACAAATATTTAGAGCACCTACCATGGGCCAGGCCCCATTCTAGAAGCTGGGGATAGAGCGGTGAGCAAAACAGACAAAAATCCCTGCCCTTAGGGAGCTGGCATTCTGGTGGGAGAAGATAGACAATTAATAAACACATAAGCTGTCATCACAGTGCTTTGGGAAGTTAGAGAGGAACATCATTTGAGTCCTAGAGTTCAAGACCAGCCTGGGCAACATAGCAAGACCCCATCTCTGCAAAAACTACCTTATTTTTTTTGTAGAAAAGCTGGGCGTGATGGTGCGCACCTGTAGTCCCAGCTACTTGGGAGGCTGAGGCAAGAGCATTGCTTGAGCCTAGGAGGTCAAGGCTGCAATGAGCCATGATTGTGCCACTGCACTCCAGCTTGGGTGACATAGTGAGACCCTGTCTCAAAAATAAATAAATAAATAAACAAACAAGTAAGCATCTAAAATGTATTAGAAGTCAGGCGCAGTGGCTCACGCCTGTAATCCCAGCACTTTGAGAGGCCAAGGCAGGCAGATAACTTGAGATCAGGAGTTTGAGACCAGCCTGGCCAACATGATGAAACCCTGACTCTACTAAAAATACAAAAATTAGCCAGGCATGGTCGCACAGGCCCGTAATCCCAGCTACTCAGGAGGCTGAGACATGAGAATCACTTGAACCCGGGAGGTGGAGGTTGCAGTGAGCCGAGATGGCACCACTGCACTCCAGCCTGGGCAACAGAGTGAGACTCCCATCTCAAAAAAAAAAAAAAGTATTAGAGGGAATGTGTTCTATGGAGAAGAGATGCAGCAGGAAGGCAGGCCCAGGAAGGCCTCACTGAAAGGTGACATCTGAGCAGAGACTGAAGGAAGTGAGGGGTGAACCATGTAAATATATAGAATGAAGTTTCCCAGGCAGGGAGCAGCAAGTGCAAAGGCCCTGAGGCAGGACTAAGGGTGACACGGTGGGGAGGCAGAGCTGCCGGACCACACAGGTCCCTGTAGGCCATGGGGAGGGCTTTGGCTTTTACTGTGAGTGAGACAGGTGCCTGCTGTAGGGCTCTGAGCAGAGGAAGAACCTGGCCTGTCTTTCGCTTTAGAGGGATCATTCTGGCTGCAGCGCTGACAAGAGACTGTAGGGGGTGGGGAAGCAGAGGCAGGGAGAGCAGAGAGGAGCAGCAGGATCCAGACAAGAGAGGGTGCTGCTGGGCCAGGGTCAGGGGTGGTTAGATTCTGAACATATATCAAAGTAAAGCCAACAGGATCCGCTGTTGGATGGGACCTTGGGGGAGGCCATCAAGGATGAATCCAGGTTTGGGCCTGAGTGACAGGAGGGATGGCAGAGCCATGGGCAGAAGAGGGAGATGGCGGGAGGAGGAAGTTTCAGGGAGAAGATCGGGGGTTGGGCTTTGGGTATGTTGAATTTGAGATGGAGATGGGGGAGTGGACACCTGGAGAAGAGAGTCTGGAGTTCAAGTTTGAGGTCCAGGCTTGGGAGTTGTCAGCATAGAGGAGTTTAAATCCTCAGGACTGGAGGAGATACTGCAGGCGAGGGTGGGTGAAGAAGGGGGCATCCCTGGGGCTCTCCAGTGGTGGGAAGGGTGAGGAGGAGGGGCCAGGAAGGTGGGAGGAGAGCCGGGAGTGGGAAGCTGGGTCAGATGCTGCAGAGAGGCTGAAAAATGGTAGCTGTGATTGCTGCTGTCAGGTCGGAGATGATGAGTCAGGAATAATAATCTCAAAAGATACTGAGCACTTACCCTGGGCCAAGCATCCTGTTGAGCACTTTGCAACCACCATCTCATAGGATCCTCACAACAGCTTCCTGAATCCAGAACCCCTGAACCTGGAATCGAGAGTGATGGAAGGAGCAGTGGGAGTCTCAGGCATCCAGGGAGGACTCTGTGGGCCGAGACCTAAGGTCCAGGCAAGGGGAAGAGGAGGCTGTAAGGGAAGGTGGGGTGGGGTGGTGGGGGGCAGACGGAGGAGAGTTTCCAAACACAGGTCAGGCTTCCCTGCCAGCTCTGAGCCCACTGATGCTGGTAATGCCAGGACTGAAACCATTGATTGACATGATGTCCCTCAGCCCCATCCATCACATCTGATCCTTCTCTTCCTTCCCGATATCTGGCTTGGCCTTCACCCCATCACATCCTCAGCAGCCACAGCCACACATCCCTGGAAATTCCTGGGTGGTCCTGAGAGGTAGGGGAGGGGGCCACGGGAGCTGCTGGGCCTGCACATAGCTCCGCTGAGATAGTGATCATCGAGAAGAATCCTTGAGGCATCTGACAACGGAGTAGAAAGCAAAACCACAGTATTGAGAGTCAGACAGACTCGGGTGGAATCTCACCTCTGCCACTAAACTAGTTATGTGACCTCAAACAAGTCACTTTTCTGGGCTTAAGTTTCACCATCTGTAAAGAGGGTTGGTTTTTTTGTTTGTTTTTTTTTTTGTCTTCAGTAGTTTTATCTTGAAATAATTTTAGATTATAAAAGAGTTGCAAAGATAGTACAGGAGTTCCCAAATACCCTTCACCCAGCTTTCCCTAATGTTACATAACCACAATACATTCATCAAGACTAAGAAATTCACATTGGGACATTGCTAGTAACTAAAGTCTATACTTTATTCACATTGCCCCAGTTTTTCTACTAATATTCTTTTTCTCTTCCAGGAGCCAATCCACAATCCCACATTGCACTTAGGGCTTTTGTTTGTTTGTTTTAAATAGACTCTATTTTTACAGCAGATTTAGGTTCACAACAAAATTGAAGGAAAGGTGCAGGGATCTCCCTTAGCCCCCTTCTCCCAATGCCTCGCCTCTCCATCGCTGGTGTCCCTCAGCAGAGTGGCACATTTGTTACAATTTATGACCTACACTAACACATCATCACACTCGGGATATTCTTTTATTCCGTTGGAATCTTCTAAATCATAAAAATTAAAAGAAACACAATCTGTGACCCCCATCCCTCAGGTCTCCCTTCTTCTGCCAGGCTACATCCTCAGAGGGTCTCCCCCTGGGGGATGACTACAATGGCCTCCAGTAGCTCTAGGCAATTTAGCAATCCCATGGAGGAGGGCTTCCCTTCCCCTAAATTCTAGCACAGCTCCCAAGACTGATACTCACTGGCCCAGCCCACGTCATATGCCCCACTCTGCGTGGATCACTCAGTGCCTCCGCCTGGGTCCCATGCCCACACTTGAAGTCTGGAAGGATGGGTCAGTCCTGGATGGCCCACATGGACTTAGACTTAAGAGGAGGTGGTTCTTTGAAGGAAAGTGGGGTGCTGTTACCAACGACAAGGAAGCGGATGCAGGCAGGAGCGGGCAGCGGAAGTCCCCCACTTCCACTGATGGGCCATGTTGTCAGGAGGCAACAAGAAGGAGCATGTGAATCACCAAGGGTGTGGTCTGGCCCGCAGTCAGTGCCTCCCAGAGGTCAGCCACTGCCATTCACAGGAAAGCTAGAACAGGGGTGGCACTGCTTTTGGGTCATGGCCTTTGGCTGCAGTAGGAGGGAATGAAGACAAACAAGAAGTGTCTTCCTGAGTAAACGGAGGCAAGGCTCCGTGGGTGAAAGCTCAAATTCCAGGGTGGCAAATTCAGGATCTCTTATGGTTGTGTGTGCACACACACACACACACACACACACTCACACTCACATCTGTGCAGTTGGGTAAAAGGCGGTCTTGGTCACCTCCCTAACTTGCCACAGCTTTTTCCTGCAGGCAGAGATAGCCAAGCGCCCATGTGTTCCACTCCTGCTTGGTAATTAATGAGCGGTGGCCCCCATCTAACCATCTGGGCCAGATAAAATGGCCTTGGCGCTGAGCTAAGCTGGTGTTGAATTATTTATCATCCGCATTTGCCTGGCTATTTAAGTGATGGACAGCAGGTGACCTTGCTGTGTCAGCTGGACCTGAGGTGCTGGTGGAACTCTCAGAAAGGGCCGGAGGCCCCCCCGACTTGTTTTCAAATCCAGGGGAGGGGCCAGTGGGGGAGGAGTAACCACTTCTGAGCACCTACTATGGGCGCAGCACGTGTGGGATTGCTTGCATTCAGCCTCACTGGACCCTTGCGTCCACCCAGGAGGTGGCAATGTTACCCCCAGTGTTGAGACCCAAAGGGGGACGTGACTTGTCCACAGTCACAGAAAGTGGGGAGCTGGGATTTGAACCCACCTCTACCTGGTCTCAGTCCAGGGATCTTCTAGCCCACCTCCCAGGCTGTCTTGGAGCTCCACCTCTAATCCAAAGGGATGCAGATGTTTATTTGACAAATATCAGTGAGCCTCCACTATATGCTGGGCAGTGGGTAGTGACCGGGGAGTACTTCGTTTTCCTTTTCAGTAAAAGGCCTAATAATGGCACCTGCGTGATGGAAGTATTGAGCAGAGGAGTGTGGTTCCTCCTGGCCTCACGGGCACTAAAGAGGAAGGCAAAATCTATCTCACCATCACTAATGCTATGGTGCATTTCTTTCCAGCCTTTCCCCATAGGTTTTTCTTCTGTGGTTAAGATCATGCAGCTGTTTTAATCTAACCTTCTATTTGGTTTAATATTGTAACATGAGCATCTCTCATGACATTGTACATCACTGTAGAAATGATTTGGATACAGCCTGGGAAACATAGTGAGACCTCATCTTTACAAAAAATAGAAAGATTAGCCGGGCATGGTGGTGCATGCTTGTATCAGCTACTTGGGAGGCTGAAGTAGGAGGATCACTTGAGCCCAGGAGGTGGAGGTTGCAGTGAGCCACGATCGTGCCATTGCACTCCAGCCTGGGTGGCTTCTGTTTCACTTAAAATTAGTGTGTCCATTAAAAAATTTTGAACAGTTTAAAAGGTATTTGCAAGGAAAGTCAGCCTCCTTCCTCCTTATCCTCTTGTCTTCCCAGCTTCTGTCCCAAGGTAACCTCAGTTACCCGTTTCTGGTGTCTCTTAGAGATGGTCTGTGCTTCTTTGGGAGGCTGTGGCAGGAGGACTGCTCGAGGCCAGGAGTTTGAGATCAGCCTGGGAAACATAGGGAGACCTCCATCTCTACCAAAAAAAAAAAAAAAACCTAGCTGGGTAGCACATGCCTGTGGCCCCAGCTCCTTGGGAGGCTAAGGCAGAAGGATCACTTGAGCCTAGGAGGTCGAGGCTGCAGTGAGCTATGATTGTGCCACTGCATTCCACCCTGGGTGACAGAGCAAGACCCTGTCTCAAAAAAAAAAAGAGATGGTCTGTACTTCTTCATGTATATTTCTCTTTAAACAAACACACAAATGGCAGCATGCTGAGCCACCACCCTGCACCTTGCGTTTGCATGCTTCTGTGTGTCTTGGCTACAGTCCCACATCGGTACACACAGAGCCAGCTTCTTTTTAATGACTTCCTGCATCACATCATCCAATGGATGGATCTTCATTGATCTCATTGATCTCTTATTGATAGACATGAGATTGTTTCCAGCATTTTTCTATTACATGAGCACTGCAATAATTATCTTTGTGCATATGTCCTTTTGCCCATGTGTAATTATGTCTGTAATGAAATTAGTGGGTAAACATGATATTTAATGATGATTTAATATTCCATTATTATGATTGAATAGAATAGTCACGGCAGACAAAAACCTTCCCCCAAATTGAGATTAGTTGGTATTCTTCCCATATCTGGATCACTAAAGGGTGCCATATACACATTTTAGCCACATACCAAAGAGCTGAGGCTAAAATGTGTATGAAAATGTTCAGCTAAGACTGAAGCCTTGAAGCAAGAAATTCCACTCGTTTTCCTAAGTGTTTATCTATTGGGAAGTTTAAATAATTTTTATTCATAGCTTTCAGTCATCAATGATGATTGCGGCTTTGTTTTATACGTACACAACACACACACATTTATTCTTCAAGTGACTGATAGAATTTGAAGATACAAAGCATATAGGGAACTTTTTGCTTCCCAAACTACATCAAGAATGATTATATTTGGAAGCAAATCTTTAGATATCACACCAGTTAGCTATTGTTGCATAACAAACATCCATAACAACTCATCAGCGGCATACACCCATCAGCATTTATTTAACTCACGGGTCTGTGGGTCTGGCTCATTGGGGCAGCTCAGCTCTGTCCATGAGTCTCTCATCCTCCTCTTGGGATCAGTGGGCTTGCCGAGCAAGTGGAAACACAAAGTCTCTCGCGGCTTAGGCGTAGAGTGGCTGTTCCTTCAATTCCACCTCAATCTATTGGCCAAAGCAAGTCCACGGCTGAGCATAAATTCAAAGGGCAGGGGAAATACGCTCTGGCTCTTGAATAGGAGGAACAGCAAATTCACATGGTAAGGAGCGTGGATTCTGCGATTGGGGAAGAATTGGGGCCAACAATGTGATCATTCTCAGATGTGAACAGTCTTAACTGATATACCCTGTTCCTATTACTGACACTGTTTTGCTGATTAGCTATGAAGATTACCTGTGTGACCTAGGATTAGTGACTTTGCACACAGTCAGGGATGCCACGAGTGGCCTTGAAGTAGGTATTTTGGGCCACAGGGCAGTTTTGGCCATGTCCTGAGGCTGGAGATAGACACTGGTCATGCCTGGGTGTTTGGCAGCAGTGGGAACCCAGGCCTACTGGCCCCTCTGTCTTGGCCCGAGCTGTGTCCCTGGCAGAGACGAGTCAGCTCTGCCCTCATAATGGCATAACAGGGGCCCTTCTCCTTGCAGGGGAATATGGGTCCCGCTGCCTTCTGGCTCCTGCTCTTCCTTCTCAAGAATCCTGAAGCCCTGGCTGCTGTCCGCGGAGAGCTCGAGAGTATCCTTTGGCAAGCGGAGCAGCCTGTCTCGCAGACGACCACTCTCCCACAGAAGGTTCTAGACAGCACACCTGTGCTTGGTGAGATCGTCAGACCCTCCAAGATAGCCCCTAAGACTGCGTCATCATGGACCCCCAAAGCCCTCCCCAACATGGACTCCTGTCTTCCAGGGTCCATCAGTGTGTCCTCCGACCTAGGGTCTCCCTAAGCCTCCTATCTTCACACACCTGGCATCTCCATACTCCAGCCTCAGCTAGGGGTCAAGTGACAGAAAACCTAACTTCAATTGACTAAGGTGAAAAGGTACTTTGAGACATGTCACTAAAAAGCCCAGAGGATTGGCTTCAGGCACAGGTGGATCCATGCACTTTAACAATGTCGTCAGGACTACTCAGTTCCTCTCCACCTCTCAGCCCTGTTTCCCACTGGGTTGGCTCCAGTCTCAGGCTGGCAGTAGCTGTTGGCAGCTCAAGGCTGACTTCCTCCTGGCTCTGTGAGACTCTGAATCTCTTACAGTGTTCCCACCAAGAGTCCCAAGACTGTGTCTCATTGGCTTTCTTTGGGTCATGTGTCCATCCTGAACCAATCACAGGGCTCAGAGGGATGCTCTGATTGGCCAGTCACAGCCCCATCCCAGGAGTTGAGCATAGAAGCAGCAGTCTAACCCCTGAGAATGAGAGAGGGGTGGACCCTAGAGGAAAATCAGGGGCCCGTTTCCAGAAGAGAAATATATGCCGGGCAGACAGGAACAGAGATTGATGGCCCTACTCTCTCCCCAGCCTTCTGATATCTCCCTAGCTCCCACCTTCCCTCACAACTTCTCTTGGGGTCAGACCTGGATACCCTCATGTTCAAACGTCTCTGAGGGACCACAGAGACCACATGTCATCGTGTGTCCTTTTTCACCTTGCTATGTGACTGTGTGGGCGAGGCAGGCACCCTCTCTGAGCCTCTTCATCTTCCTCTGTAAAATAAGAGCTGGGGTTGGCATATGAGCAGGTGAAGGGATAGCCCGCTGACTCTTCCTTGCACCTGCCCCATGCAGATAGCGTGCTGAGTGAGAGCCTCAGGCTTACAGCTGCCCCCTTCATCACCCGCGAGGTTGTGGTGGACCTGGCCATGCCCATGGCAGACGGGCGAGAATTCAACCTGCGACGTGGTGACCGCCTCCTCCTCTTCCCCTTCCTGAGCCCCCAGAGAGACCCAGAAATCTACACAGACCCAGAGGTAAATGGCAGGGGCGCCTGGTCATATGGGGTCTGTGGGAGAACAATCAGTGACTTTGGGATGAGCCAGATCTGAGTGGCAGCCTGGCTCTGCTCTTTGTTTGCTATGTGACATTGCCCAGATTGCTTCACCTCTCTGTGTTTGCTTCCTCACCTGTGAAATGGACCTCATAATAGCACCTGCCTCATGAGATTGATAGGAAGATTAAATGGGATCATGCATAAGCAGATATTGATGGCCCCACTCTCTCCCCAGCCTTCTGATATCTCTTTGGCTCCTACCTTTTTTCACAGCTTCTCTTGGAGTCAGACCCAGATCCCCTCATGTTCAAGGGTCTCTGAGGAACCCTAGAACATGAGGGGATGTTCATTCACACTGAGTGCTTTGTGATAGCTCAGCCATTTTCCTTATTTCAGATTGTTATAATGTCAGTTTCTCAACACTTTTGCCTTGCCCCAGACTTTGAGAAGAAGTAAACTTTCACAATTGCTAACAGATTGGGTGTTTACTGTGTGTCAGACCCTAAACTACATGCTCATCTATCCATCCATTCATTCATCTGCCCATCTACTCATGCATCTGTCTATTCATGTATTCATCCATCCATCCACACACTCACTTATCTACCTATCCATTCATCTATCCATCCGCCCATCCATTCATCCATCCACCCACCAATTTACCCTTTCATCCACCCATCTACCCATTCATTTATCCATCCAGCCACCCATCCACTCATCTATCCATCCATCCACTCATCTACCCATGCATCCATCTGTCCATTCATCCATTCACAAATTCACCCATCCATCCATTAATCTATCCATCCACCCATGCATCCATGCATCCATCCATCCATCCACATACTCACCCATCTACCCATCCATTAATCTATCCATCCACCCATCCATCCATCCATCCACCCATGAAGCTACTCTTTCATCCACCCACCTACCCATGAATCCATCCATCTATCCATCCGTCTGTCCATTCAATCATCTACTCATTTATCCATCCATCCACCCACTCATTTATCTACCCACTCACTCATATGTCCATCCACCCATTCTTCTACTTATCCACCCATCCATCCATCTATCCACCCATCTACTCATCCATCCATCCATTTGTCCATTCATCCATTTATTCATCCATCCACCCATCAATCTACCCATTCATTCACCCATCTACCCATCCATCCATCCACCCCATCTACCCATCCATCCATCTATCCATCCCTCCATTCATCCATCTTTCCATCCACATTTCCATCTCTTAGTCTATCCACTGGTTCATTCACCTATCCTTCCACCCATCTTTCAGTCGGCAGCTACTCCATGCCAAGCTCTGTGCTCAGCTACAACCCTTGCCTTACCACTGTGCAGTGTAACCAAAGGAAATTGGCATTTTCTTTTTAAAAAATATTTTAATTTCTTTTATTTTACATTACAAAAGTAATATATATCATAGAATATAAAGAAATACAGAGAAATATATACTTAAATGTAAAAAATATGTATTTCCCTTCTTCTCCAGTTCTACAGAGTTCTCTGACCAAGGTTTGGAGTGTGCCTTGCGAATTGTTTTCATGGCTTTACAGGCATACACACAACACATTCACATGCCATGAAAAGATTGGTGTGTGTATAGGATCATGCAATATATACTATTCTGAAACTTGCTTTTTTCACTCAACAACCAATTGTAGAAATTCTTTCCATGTCAGTACACACAAACCTTTTGCCATAATTTTTTAACCAATCCCCTATCAATTGACCTGTATATGGTTTCCAGTTTTTCCCTCTTATAAACATGACTGTCATGAACATCCTCATACATTTTTCTTGGTGTGAGCTTGTTCTGGGAATGGGGTCAGAAAAGGACCTTCTTCCTATTTCAGGTATTTAAATACAACCGATTCCTGAACCCTGACGGATCAGAGAAGAAAGACTTTTACAAGGATGGGAAACGGCTGAAGAATTACAACATGCCCTGGGGGGCGGGGCACAATCACTGCCTGGGGAGGAGTTATGCGGTCAACAGCATCAAACAGTGAGTGGGGGGCCAGGGCAGGGCCAGGGTGGCTCCTGATCCCCTGGTTGGCAGGCGCCCTTCTCTCCTGGGACTGAGGGCTCAGCCAGGAGAATGGTTTGGCAGAGGCTTCACATGGACAGCCCGTGAGCCATCTCTTATTTGTGGTTTTACAACTGTGTGCTTTTATAAATCAGAAGAGCTCGTGTAAAAAAGCCAGATTTCGGATTTCTTTTGAAATAATCAGATCTGGCAGCAGGTTCTTCCCTCCAAGACTGGTGTCCAGATTCCAAATACTGGACATTCCTTTCAGCTGACCGTAGCTACCCGTCTGCAGCTGCTGCCGCATGTTCAGAACTTCATGTTAGGAACTGGCCGAACTTCACTGTTCCCACTTGGTTATTTTAATACCTGTGGGGCCGAGAGCCTCATAAATTATCTCCCTTGAACCCCAGGAGCTTTGGCCACCAGGATCACAAACAGATTGGACCAGGGGTTATGACATCTGCCCTGTCCTCCTGTCCAGCCCCTGTGCAATCATAAGCTGGGTTACCTTCTGAGCCTGTTTCCTCAACTGTAAAATGAGGGTTCTGATTATAACTATACCCCAGGAGTGTCAGGATAAATGAATTGGATCTTTCTAAGTTCTTAACCCACTGTCTGGCTCATTGTAGGCATTTGAAAAATGTTAATTATTACCATAATTGTTAATATCATTATTGTGCATGCATTGTGCTAAGTGAGTGGGCACGTTACATAAACCTTTAGCCTCAGTTTCCTCAAGAAAATGGAGTCAATTATGAACATAATACAGCTCATATGCATTCCTTAAAATCACCTTGCTGTGTGAAATCATGCAACAAAAACTGCAGGGATTCACGCCTGTAATCCCAGCACTTTGGGAGGCCGAGGTGGGCAGATCATTTGAGGCCAGGAGTTGGAGACCAGCCTAGCCAACATGGTGAAACCCCGTCTCTACTAAAAATACAAAAATTGGCCGGGTGTGGTGGAGCGTGCCTGTAATCCCAACTACTCAGGAGGCTGAGGCAGGAGAATCTCTTGAACCCAGGAGGTGGAGATTGCAGTGAGCCAAGATTGCGCCGTTGCACTCCAGCCTGGGCGACAGAGTGAGACTCTGTCTCCAGAAAAAAAAAAAAAAAAAAAAAAGAAAGAAAGAAAGAAAAAACTGCAGGGATTGAGGGAAAAGGGGGACTGGGGCCAACACTCAAAAACCTCATCAGTGACATAATAAAAAAAAAAGAGAGAGAGAGAAGAACCCAGTAAAAAAAATGGTAGTAAAGTTTTATACATGTTACCTGGCTAAGAACTATGTAAGTGCTGTAATAACTGTGGCTGTAGATCGATGCTTAGTTGTGTGCATGTGTATATTTTATGGATTTCTGCACACCCAGGTTCAGCTGGGTGCAGTCTTTCGTCTTCACCTCATGTTTCTCACAAGTGAAATTGCACGTGAGCAAATGTGAAACTTGCATTATATTCAAATGGTGCCCTAATATATCAATCCTATTGGAACAAATTCACCTGTTCAAAACAAGTGTTAGAGCAGAACCGACTGGCATTCCTACCTCATCAAGTTTTTGGACAGATAAAAAGAGATAGCGGGTACTAAATGCTTAGATGGTGCCTAGCGCACAGTGTTCCAATAAATTAGCTAATTTGTTGTTATTTTTATCTCACTGAATTGTCATGACAACCCTGCTGGTCCATCTAAAACCGAGTCTAGGCAGGTCAGATCATTTGCCGTGTTCCCAGGAAGTGGAGGTGCAGGAGTTCAAATCCAGGGGTGGGCACAAAACCGCCATCCCTTAGAAACTCACCCTCTAGTTTCCTACAGCCTCAGAGCTGGAAGAGACTCAACATGCCTTTCCCCTCTTTGACCAGATGGGAGAACTGAGACCCAGAGTGGGTAAGAACTTGGCGAGGGCCACATTCCCATAAGCGGCACAGCCCAGATCTGTCCAGAGTGTTAACTCCCCTCTCTCCTCATCTGCCCTCTTCTTCACTCCTTCAGTGAGACAAAAGAATCCCCACCATGTGCTCAGTGCTGCATCGGGCGCCTGGGTTGGGGTAGGGAATAGTGGTGGGAAAAGAGTCATAAGATATTCTCCTGACCCTTACGAACATGGGCATTGGTAAGATGAGGCAGGGAGGCAGCAACCGTTGACATCCCCCGTAGGGCTGCCTCCACATTTATGGGGGCACTGATTACATCATAGGCATGGCAGCTGCGAATAGTTATTATGACAGTTTTCCCAGAAGATGGCAGTAGAGAGTGCTTGTTCTTGCAAAGTTGGTCTATTTAGGACAATTTTCTCAGAGATGGCAGTAAAATGTCTTGAGAGCGATGCCTGTTTCTAATCTCACAAAGACACCTAAGGGTTAGCAGCAGTCCTGGCCAAGATAGACAGTGAGGGTTCCAGGAGTGTGGGGAAAGGCGGCAAAGTGTGTGGGCTGGAGGATCCAGAGGAGTCGCCGTATTAATCAGCACAGGCTCAGCTCTGCACCTGCCGAGTCTCAGTGGCTTTTACCAACAGAGGTGTAGTTCCACTCACACGGTATCAGCTGTGGGATTGGAGGGCTTCCCCACTCTGTGCACAGACTCGGGCCAGGCTCTTTCCCTCTTTCGGCTCCACCGTCTCAATGTGAAGCCTGCATGGCTGCCAGGCAGGAGGGACAGCTGGAGAGCCACACACTGGCTCGCGAATGCTTTGACACAGGAGTGACACAGGCCACTTCTGCACACAGCCCATTCACCAGAACTCATCCACGGGCCTGCCTAACCTTACAGGGGGCTGGCAAATGTGGTGAGCAGCAAATGCGTTTCTTCTACTTCCTCACTCCTCTCCTCACTTTACTCAAAGTTGGAGTCAGACTTAGGAGGCAGCCATGGCTCCCCTGCCTTGTTCCCGATAACCCCCTGCCCTACTCCTCTCCTTCACACCTTCCATGCCATCTCTCTGCAGATTTGTGTTCCTTGTGCTGGTGCACTTGGACTTGGAGCTGATCAACGCAGATGTGGAGATCCCTGAGTTTGACCTCAGCAGGTACGGCTTCGGTCTGATGCAGCCGGAACACGACGTGCCCGTCCGCTACCGCATCCGCCCATGACACAGGGAGCAGATGGATCCACGTGCTCGCCTCTGCCCAGCCTGCCCCAGCCTGCCCCAGCCTCCCAGCTTTCTGTGTGCACAGTTGGCCCGGGTGCAGGTGCTAGCATTACCACTTCCCTGCTTTTCTCCCAGAAGGCTGGGTCCAGGGGAGGGAAAAGCTAAGAGGGTGAACAAAGAAAAGACATTGAAAGCTCTATGGATTATCCACTGCAAAGTTTTCTTTCCAAAATCAGGCTTTGTCTGCTCCCAATTCACCTCGTTACTCTCACCTCGTGATATCCACAAATGCTATTCAGATAAGGCAGAACTAGGAGTCTTCACTGCTCTGCCCCCAACTCCCGGAGGTGTCACCTTCCTAGTTCTTATGAGCTAGCATGGCCCGGGCCTTATCCAGTCAAAGCGGATGCTGGCCACAGAAAGGCCACTCAGGATGTCCTTTGTGTCCATTGATGTCATTCAGCAGTCAGTCCCCCAATAATCCTTAAACTAGCTAAAACCAAAGGAGTCCCTTAGAAGATCTGCTTCCCTGGGGCCCCATTTGCCAGATTGCCCCATTGCTCACACTACTTGAGAAAATGCAGGAGAGCTTCCCCCAAGGCTGATGCATTCCCGGTGCAGAACAGGGGCACCCTCCAAACACTGGGCTCTGAGGAGTGGAGTTCTCTGTTCTAGAGTGACAGGCACCAGATGGGATGGGCTTTCTCAGTGTCAGCACTCAGGTAGGGAGCTAAGGAAGACACAGCCCAGACAAGATGGCTGGAAGGAGCCAGCCAGGACTCCTTAGACTGATCAAGCCAAAAAAGAAGGTGCCGATTTCATGCATTCTAGTGCAGAAGCCCCAACTGTGATCACGATCCAGTCTGCAGACGTGTTTTGTTTGGACTTCACTTAAAAAAATGCCTTAGTTGTTATCATCTTTGGGAGAGTTCATTCAAAATGTCCAGCTTCTCTTGAAAACTTGGTATATCTGGCCACACTGGGCTCACATTCCCAAGGGTAACTCTTGGCCAGAGCTGAGTGGCAGCCGCCTCCCTTATGCAGGACATGTGCTCTCGGCTTCACCAGGGTTCTGACCGGGTCTGCTTCTGCATTCACAGCGCCTCCTGGACCTGAAGGCATCTGAGTGTGAGACCCTGTTCTAACTCTTAGAAGTGACATTGTAAGAGGTGGTGGGGACCAGCTAATTGGTCCAACCCAGCCTGAGTGCACCACCCTTTGAACAAATGTATCAGTGATGAAAATTTGCCTTTGCCCCGGCTTGCCTGTAATCCCAGCACTTTGGGAGGCCGAGGTGGGCGGATCACTTGAGGTCGGGAGTTCAAGACCAGCCTGGCCAACATGGCGAAACCCCGTCTCTACTAAACATAAAAAAATTAGTCAGGTGTGGCGGTGCGTGCCTGTAATCCCAGCTATTCAGGAGGCTGAGGCACCAGAATTGCTTGAACCCAGGAGGTGGAGGTTGCAGTGAACTGAGACTGCGCCACGGCACTCCAGCCTGGGCGACAGAGCAAGACTCTGTCTCAATAAATAAATAATTAATTAAAATAAAAAACAGCTTAAAGAGAAAAATGGCCTGCAAACCTTTTTTATGATGCTATTTTTATTAATATAAAGTCCTGTTTATTGAGACCCTTTAAATGCCTGCGAGAGACCCTACAGACAGTATGTCTACTCCTCACAGCATCTCTATGAAGAGAAGGAGGGTTGTGCCCACTTCATAGATGAGAAAACTGAGAGGTGAGGTGACTTGCCTGGGGCCACATAGCTCATAAGCTGTAGAACTCTGCAGGCAGATTTACTGTCCCAGGAGCAAATGCTGGATGAGCAACTCCTGTTCTTTGGGCTCAAGGGGACTGGTGATGGGACAATTCTTCTCGACTTCAGGAGCTGACAGAGCCAGAGGCACCTAAACTTGGGTACATCTTGTAAGACACATAATGAGGTCCCTCTAGCTTTAGCTGGAGGGAGATAAAAGAACCCCAGACCTCTGAATGTCCCAGAGGCTAGTCTCTTCTCAGAGCAGCACTGGGGTTTGGGGGCTTCCCTGGGCCTCAGCCTCCAGGCACCCCCAGGATTCCCAGAGAGACGCTGTGATTGGCAGGAGGCAGGATATCCCCAGGGAAACCCATCTTCACGCCTGGGTGACCCCCACTGCCGCCTCCTTCTTAACTCTGCAGGAAATCAGAGCTGGCAGCCTCCAGTGGGAGGACAGAGCCGGTTTCCGTGGCAACCCTCAGCTGCCTCATCGTGGCTGGGAAGGGAAGGAAGCAAGCCGGCAGAAATAGCTATGGAAGGTCTTGCGCAGGCTGCAACCCTGGTGTGCTGGGCGAAAACCCTTATGACTCCCCCCTTCCAAATCAGGCTGGGTTGTCACTGAGACTAGATTCTCACCTGCCTTCAAAGAAGGGCCAATTCCCTTTAAAGGTCGCACCTCCTTGGAACCACAGTCATTAGTGAATTACACTCAAGGAAAAGATGTGCTCCCACCAGGCAGCTCCAGCTGTTACCTGAGATACTGAAGTGCAGCTCAGGAGACGATTATTTAAACCTGCCCTTGTTTTAATCGTTATTTTTCTCTTTAAAAAAAATAGAAGCTATAAAGAAAAGAGGGAGAGATGAGTGGGTTAGCTACCTGCTATGCGCTAGTTAGGAAGTTACCTGGATGCCATTGTATTTCTTCATCCCTTGCTTAAGAATCAAAATTACTGGACATATGTTAGGAATACTCTTTCTTTCTTTCTTTCTTTTTAAGCTCAGTGGCAAGAATGAAATACTCTTTTTTTTTTTTTTTTTTTGAGATGGAGTCTCGCTCTGCTGCCCAGGCTAGAGTGCAGTGGCGTGATCTCGGCTCACTGCAAGCTCTGCCTCCCGTGTTCACACCATTCTCCTGCCTCAGCCTCCTGAGTAGCTGGGACTACAGGCACCCGCCACCACACCCGGCTAATTTTTGGATTTTTAGTAGAGATGGGATTTCACCGTATTAGCCAGGATGGTCTTGATCTCCTGAGCTCGTGATCTGCCCGCCTCGGCCTCCCAAAGTGCTGGGATTACAGGTGTGAGCCACCGCGCCCAGCCAAGAATAAAATACTCTTAAGTTGATCTAATGAAGTGTTTCCTTACCATTGTGATTATTGTTACTATTATTTGCTATATTTTAATATTGTTGTTTACCAAATATTCTCCTTTAAACAGACTCGCTTTTTAAACTTTTTTTTTTTTTTTTGAGACGGAGTTTCACGCTTATTGCCCAGGCTGGAGTGCAATGGCACGATCTCAGCTCACCACAACCTCCACCTCCTGGGTTTAAGCAATGCTTCTGCCTCAGCTTCCCAAGTAGCTGAGATTACAGGCGCACACCACCACGCCCAACTGATTTTTGTATTTTTAGTAGAGACGGGGTTTCCCCATGTTGGTCAGGCTGGTCTCGAACTCCTGACCTCGTGATTTGCCTGCCTGGGCCTCCCAAAGTGCTAGGATTACAGGCATGAGCCACCATGCCCGGCCTAAACTTTGTTTTTAAAATGAACTTTTTTTCCCCCCAATTGCTGCCAATAGTGGATAACATGTATCACTCACTGCCAAAAATAGAAAGTGACCATGAAAAATAAATTCGCTGGGGAAGGGGGCTCCATGCTGGTGTGGCCAAGGCTGAGAGCTCTCTCTTCTCTGTTACAAAACGAGATAAGCAAGTGTTAGAATTGCCTTAAGGCCACACTGGCATCTCCCTGACCTTCTCCAGGGACAGAAGCAGGAGTAAGTTTCTCATCCCATGGGCGACCAGGGCCATCTCCTCCCACCAGTGGCCCCCACTCACAGGGAGCTGGCAATGCCCTACCTGCCTGTTCTCCAGATGGAGAAACAGGCTCTGAGATTTCACAGGTCTTGCCCAAAGTCATTGATTTTGATGATTAAAAAGAATAAACACAGTGTTTCCTGAGTAGCAGTGATTGTTATGCCTTGCTATTTTAATAAAGATTCTATTTTCGTATAACATTGTCAAGTGGAAACATGCTGAAATCTATTAAACCATCTTTGTTTGTGGAACTGCCTCTGAGTGTGATTCTGATGGAGGGCATTGGCCGTGCCTGGAATGGTGAGGTCAGCTCTTGGGACAGGAGAGCACAGAGCATCTACTCTGTCCCTTGCTGTGGGCCCAGGCCTCTCACAGACAGAACTGAGTCACACCTTTACCCACCCTCCAAGGCATAGATGAGTATCCCCGTTTTTACAGAGAAAGAAACTGAGGGTCAGAGAGGTGAAGTGGTTTGCCCGAGAACGTGTGGCTAAGAGGTAATAGACCTGGAATTCAAATGCAGGACCCTCTGCTGCCTGAGACAGTGTTCAGGATCTTTCTTTCAGTGATCCTCCGGCTGGCAGCAGAGGGACTGGGTACCCATTAGAGCAGGGGTCCACAACCCCTGGGCCACGGATCAGTATAGGTCCTTGGCCTATTAAGAAATGGGCTGCACAACAGGAGGTGAATGGCGAGTGAGTGAGCAAAGCTTCATCTACATTTACAGCCACTCCCCATCACTCACATTACTGCCTGAGCTCCACCTCCTGTCAGATCAGTGGCACCATTAGATTCTCATAGGAGGGCGAACCCTATTGTGAACTGCACAGGCGAGGAATCTAGGTTTCGCACTCCTTATGAGAATCTAATGCCTGGTCATCTATCACTGTCTCCCATCACCCCCAGATGGGACCATCTAGCTGAAGGAAAACAAGCTCAGGGCTCCCACTGATTCTACATTATGGTGAGTTGTATAATTATCTCACTATTTCAAACAATGTAATAATAATATAAATAAAGTGCACAATAAACGTAATGCACTTGAACCATCCTGAAACCATACCTCCCACCCCCACCCCTGGGTCGCTGGAAGAATTGTCTTCTATGAAATCAGTCCCTGGTGCCAAAAAGGTTGGGGACTGCCGCATTAGAGGACTTTGGGGTAGACCCTGGTAACAAGCAGACAACACAAAAGCTCTCTTTAAAATTCACCGGATGCTGTCCATCCTTCACCAGAATGCATGCATTCATGTTAAAATAAAAAAGAAGGGGTGAAATGGATTAAATAAGCCTTGGGAGAAATAAAAAGAGAAATTTGGTTTTTTCTCTCAAATCTTTGTATAGAAATAATATCCCAGGGCAGATGTGCCTCACGTCAGTTTCCTCATCTGTGAGGAGGTCATGGAGGCACATCAGGTGGGATGGGATTTGGCAGTGAGTGACAGACTTCTCAAAGTAACATAGCAACATGTTATATATTAACATGCTTTCATTCAATACCACAGGTTTTTTTTTTTTTTTTTTTTTGAGATGGAGTCTTGCTCTGTCTCCCAGGCTGGAGTGCAGTGGTGAGATCTCAGCTCACTGCAACCTCCGCCTCCCGGATTCAAGGGATTCTCCTACCTCAGCCTCCTGAGTAGCTGGGATTATGGGCATGTGCCACTACACCCAGCTAATTTTTGTATTTTTAGTAGAGACGGGGTTTCACCATGTTGGCCAGGCTGGTCTTGAATTCCTGACCTCAGGTGATCTGCCCACCTCGGCCTCCCAAAGTGCTGGGATTACAGGCATGAGCCACCATGCATGGCCACATTTTTTTTTTCTCTTTCAAGCAGATACGGGAGGCCAGAGGTGGTGTGACATCTCCACAATCATGAGGTTCCCTCCTTTCTGGACCCTCTAGCATCTGTAACCAGTGGTTTCCACCTCAGGGGCCGTTATGGCTGCTTAAGCTCCAGCCATTTTGTCCACATTCCACCCAGCAGGAAAGAGGGTGAAGCAAAGAAGAGAAAAACCCCTGCATTCATCCCATTGGTCAGAACTCAATCACATGACCACAGCTTGCTGGACAGACAGGAGGCTGGGAAATGTAGTCTTTCTCTTCAGGACATCAGTATGTGCCCTCAGAGGGGTACCATACCCCAGTTTGAGAAGTGCTGCGTTATGCTCTCTTGTTTACCAGTCATGGTCTGAACCACATGGCAGGGCCAGAGGGACAGGGCTTGGCTTCCCTGAGCCGCTGACCTAGCCTTTGTTATAACCCAGGTCCTAGTGATCTGCAGCTCCAAGACTTTGGCCTTTCATACCCTTGTACCATTAAAGTCAACAGAAAGACCCAGTGTTTTATTTTGCCAGGTAAGGACATTAAGAAATACATTTACTCCTACTGTCAGCTTATGAAAGGATATTTTAATACCCCTAAAGCAGAAAGGTAGGTTTTATATTGGAATTAACACAACCACTCACTCAAAAGTCTATATTGAATAGCCCAAAAGGTGGAAACAATCCAGATGTCCACCAACTGATAAATGGATAAGCAAAATGTGATGTATCCCCCATTCCAATGGAATAATATTTGTCAATAAAAAGGAATCAAGTACTGACATATGCTACAACACAAATGAGCCTTGAAAATATTATGCTAAGAGAAAAAAGCCAGTCACAAAAGGCCACTTATTATAGGACTGAATGTACATGAAATGTCCAGAATAGGCAAATCTATAGAGACATGAAGTTGGCTAGTGGTTTCCAGGGATGGGGAAATAGGGAGAAGTAGGGAGTGACCACTAATGAAACCTACTAAAATGGATCACTGTGATGGTTGTGAAATTCTGTGAATGTACTAGTAAATGGGCAATTTTTTTTTTTTTTTTTGAGACAGGGGTCACACTTTGTCACCCAGGCTGGAGTGCAGTGGTGTGATTTCAGCTCACTGCAACCTCTGCCTCTCAGGCTCTAGCTATCCTCCCACCTCAGCCTCCTGAGTAGCTGGGACTACAGGCCTGAGCCACCATGCCTGCCTGGCTAATTTTTGTTTTTGTATATTTTGATAGAGGGGGGTTTTGCCATGTTGCCCAGGCTGGTCTCAAACTCCTGGGCTCAAATGATCCTCCCTCCTCAGCCTCGCAAAGTGCTAAGATTATAGGTGTGAGCTGCTGTTCCTGGTCATGTGGGCAAATTTTATGATATATGAATTATACCTCAAGAAAGCTGTTATGCACTTTTTAAGTAAATATTTTGAGCACCTCTCATTGTACCAGGCACTGTTCTAGACAACAGGACCCGGCAGTGAGTAACACAGACCAAAAAAATGATATATCCCTGTCTTCACGGCGCTGACATTCTCATGGGAGAAACTGTAAGAAATGAGGCAAATAAGTAAAATATAAAGCAGTTCAAATGGAGATAAGTGCTTTGGAGAAGAATAAAGGAGTCAGGAGATGGGAAGTGAGATTTGAAAGAGAGTGAGCAGGAATGGCCTCCCTGGGGGAGCTTTGAACAGAAACTCGATGGAAATGAGAGGAGCAAACCACTGGGGCATCTGAGGAAAGAATGTTCTGGAGAGATGCAATGGCAAATGTGAAGATGGGAAGCTCTGGGGCAGGTTCTAGGAGCAGGAGGGAGGCAGTGTGGCCAGCAGCCACGGAAGGCTCTGGGCAGAGAAGGGCCATGGTTTAACTTGTATTCTAGGAGGATCCATCTCACCGTGCATGCTGAGGGCTGGGAAGCTGGAGACCAGGGAGGAAGGGACTGCACTAGTCCGGGCAAGGTCTCTGCCCTCATAGATTTCACATTTGGGCAGCAGAGGCCATCCAGTAAAGAAACAAATCAGCATAAATACAGTGTCAGATGCTGAGGACAAGCAAACAGCAGGAGGTGATGGATGCTGACACGGAGATGGATGTGCCTGTGGCCTTGGAGGCAGTCAGGAAAAGTCTCCAGGCAGGTGGCGATAGGAGTTGAGATCAAGATGAGAGATCGCAGCTTTGTAAAGAACTAGAGGAAGAACATTCCAGGAGAAAGAGACTACAAATCCAAAGAACTCTAAAGAGGCAAGGGGTTTGGTGTGCTGGAGAAAGAGAGCATCCCAGGAAGGCTGTGGCTGAGTGAGGGGGTGGCAGGAGCCACTCTGGGAGCAGACCTTGTCAGGAAGAGGAGGCTGGGCTTTATGCTAAGTGCCCTGGGAAGCCATGAGAGAGTTTAAGTAGGAAAGTAAATCACCATCATCCTTTAAATGGAATCAATTTAGCTTTATACAAATCTCATTCCATTGTCCCTGTTTTTTCTCATTCATTTCATGATGGACCAGTGAAAATGCAAACACGTTATTGGTCTGGCATTTGGGAGTCATGGCCATTTGAGACATGGTTCAGAGTGTGTGTCTGCAAGGATGGGAGGGTGATGAGTTGGGGAAGAGCTGGCAGTGTACTATCTTATTGCCCCAGGACCTTCCGTGGAGCTTCACAGTGGCCTGGGAGAGACAAGGCAGGTGCACCCATGCTATAGTTAGGATGTTTGACCTTTGCAAACCTCATGTTGAAATTTGATTCCCAATGTTGGAGGTGTGGTCTAATGGGAGGGGTTTGGGTCATGGGAGTTGATCCCTCATGAAAGGCCTGGTGCCCTCCCCATGGTAAGAAGTGAGTTCTCACTCTAGTAGTTCCTGCAAGAGCTGGTTGTTGAAAAGAGCCGGTGCCTCCCTTGCCTCTTTCTTGCTTCCTCTCTTGCCATGAGGTCTCTGCACACACGGGCTGCCCTTCCCCTTTCAGCATGAGTGGAAGCAGCCTGAGGCCCTCACCAGAAGCAGATGCCAGTGCCACATCTTGTATAGCCTGCAG
The DNA here is from genome assembly GCF_000001405.40 of Homo sapiens. Taxonomy (NCBI): domain Eukaryota; kingdom Metazoa; phylum Chordata; class Mammalia; order Primates; family Hominidae; genus Homo; species Homo sapiens. Next base: position 49,499,286 of record NC_000020.11, on the reverse strand, counting down.
AACATTGAGCCAAATAAGCCTCTTTTCTCTATAAATTATGCAGCCTTAGGTATTCCTTTATAGCAACACAAATGGACTAAGACAACTCACATTATGCAAATCTGGGAGATTGACCTTTGGGACATCTGGATCCTTGGGATGAACAGGGTCTGTATGTGACTTTATTTCAGGTGTTCTAAGAGCTGACCACTGCAGAAGAGACACTAATTGATTGGCCAACTTCCTCACTAGAAGAAACCCTGGCTTTCTTCAGATATTAGGCAGCCTTGTGCTCAAGAAAATGGGCCCAACCTCCAAATCAAGACAGGGCCAAGCCAAACATGGATATCAGGTTCCCCTTGCCAGTAACTGGGCTAGTGGTGGTCATGTGATCCAGTACTGACCAATGAGATGGCTGGGAAAATCAGTGGGGAGCTTCTGAAATATGGGAGATGTTCCTTCTTCCTCCCTCTCTGGGAGTTGTCATGTGAGAGGCTGAGCATGGCAGCCGTTTTGTGACGATGTGGACAAGAGACTCTCACAGAAATCAAACAAGGACCCTGAGATAGCTAGGCTGTTGCTGAGACAGGTCCTGGCATCACCTACTTCTGGATTTTGTGTTAAATGAGACCAATAAATGTCATACCTTTTTTATACTTTACTAAGAAGCCACAGTGGACAAGAGCTTGGGTTCTGAGTGGGCTTAAATCTCTGCTGAGCCACTTAATACCAGGGTGATTTGGGGGCATTTCTCTGTGCCCCAGCTTATTCACCTGTAAAATAGGATAATGGATAATAATACCGTCTCCCTCATAGGGTTCTTGTGAGCATTACATGAGTAAATATTGTCATTCATAGCCAGCGGAAGAAACAGAAAAATAAGTATTGTAGGTTAGTCTCATACAGTTTCCCAGAGGAAAGAGACATTAACTCAGACTATGGGAGGCAGGGAAGGTGATGCTGAATATGGGCTCTGAAAGGTGAATAGGAGTTCACCATGTGGGGTAAAGAAGATGGCTGGGGTTGGAGAAACATTCTAAGCTGTGGAAATAGCAGGAGCAAGGCCTCTGTATCAGATATCTCGTGCTGTGTAACAAACAACTCCAAGATGTAGTGACTTAACACAAAACTATTTTATTATTTCTCATGTCTTTGTGGATTGGCGCTTTTGGTTTGTGTTTTGAGATGGAATCTCACTCTGTTGCCCAGGCTGGAGTCTAGCAGCATGATCTTGGCTCACTGCAACCTCCACCTCCTGGGTTCAAGCAATTCTCCTGCCTCAGCCTCCTGAGTAGCTGGAATTACAGGTGCCTGCCAACACGCTTGGCTAATTTTTGTAATTTTTTTAGTAGAGACGGGGTTTCACCATGTTGGTCAGGCTGGTCTCAAACTCCTGACCTCAGGTGATCCACCAATCTTAGCCTCCCAAAGTGCTGGGATTACAGGCGTGAACCACAGTGCCCAGCCAGGTTGGCACTTTCTAAAAAGCTCATGAGAATGAATAGCTCTCATAAGAACTAATAGAAAGAGAATGGGGCTTATAGTTGGATGGTTCTGCTGCTGCTCTCACTTGGGGGTCTCTCATGCAGCTGCAGTCAGATGTTAGGTGAGGCTGGGACGTCCACGACGACTTCATTCATATGCCTGGTGCCTTGGTAGGTATGGCTGGAAGGCTGCATTCAGCTGTAACATTGGGAGGGCTGAGCCTCTGGTCTCTTTCCATGTAATTGCAGGGCTTCTCACTTTCCATGTGGTTTTTCCACATGGTCCCTTCCAGCAGGGTAGCCTGGCTGCCTACACAGTGGTTCAGAGCTCCCAAGAGCACAAAAGCAGAAGCTTCCCGACCCTTTCAAGGCTTAGGCCTGGAACTGGCATTACTGCCACCACATTCCACTGGTAAATGCAAGTCACAAGGCCAAGCCCAGAGTCAATGTGGAAGTGAGCTGAGCAAAGCATGGATACTAACAACAGTTTCCCTAGGGACTGGCTATCACTAAGCCGGAGGTTGGAAAGTTTTTGCTGAAATGCAGGAATGTGGAAAGGAGTGGTGGGTAAAGAAGCTGGAGAAACAGGGCAAGGGTCAGAAACTTGTTTCTGTGTCCTACCATCCCCAAGCTTGTGAGAGAGGAGAGGCACTGAGGAAATCTGTGTTAAATGAATGAACGGCCTTTGCCTTATCTTGGGAGTTTGCCCTTTGTCTCAGGCAATGAGTGGTGAAGACTTATAAATAGGGAGTGACATGGTCAGACTTGTGCCTTTAAAAGTCTACCCTAGTAGCTGGGGGGAGGTTGGATTGGAGGAGGGAGAAGACTTGGGGAAAGATCAGAGCGGAGGCAGATGAGATCAGGAATGGGTGGAAAAGGGCAATGGAGAGGCAGTAGGAGAGATATCAGTCCCCACAGGGCAGAAGAACTGGATTTTAATGAAACATTATCTTAGGAGGATCAGTTAATTAGCTCTTGATCTCTGTGGCTTTGATTTCCTCCTTTTGCTGACTCGCCTCCTTTCCATTGCGTCTTGGAGTTCCCAGGCTCCTCTGTGGGAAAGAGATATTAGTTTACCTCTAATTGCTCTGCTGGAAGCATGTGCCTCCATCCATCTCCACCCTATGGTGGAGTGGCTTGGTAGGGATGCCTGGAATGCTGCATTCAGCTGTAACATTGGGAGGGCTGAGCCTCTGTCTCTTTCCATGTAATTGCAGGGCTTCTCATTTTCCATGTGCATTTCATCATTGTTTGGCCACAGACCCTGGAAGTCAGTGGCTTTGAAGGTCCAGGCCACAAAGAGGCTCACTGGTTTATCTGTCTTCCTCTGTGGGGACCCTCTGATGGCACTCACCTTTCCTCCCAGGGAGGGAGCCCAAAACAACAAGCTAGGGATTAGCACAGAGCATCACTGCAAATGTTAGGTGGTAGATGGGTTGAGATGGCTGGGTGGGCAGATAGATACATGGATAGATTAGAAGGGTGGACGGATGGATGACTGGCGAGTGAGTGGTGGATAGATGCATGAATATTTGGGGTGGATGAGGGAGTAGTTGTGTGGGTGGGTGAATGGGCAGATAGATGGATGAGTGGAAAGACAGATGGTGTACGGATGGGTGGATAGATGGATAAATGGATAAGTAGGTGGATGAGAAGGTAGCAAGATGGATAATGGATAGAATATATGAATGAATGGAAAGAAAGATGGATGAGTAAGTGGGTGAGTGAACGAATAGATGAGTGAGTGGGTAGATGGATGGGTGGGTATGTAGTTGAATAATTTGGTTGCTGAGTATATAGATGGATGAGGGGATGATTAGGTTGATGGATAGGTGATAGGCAAAAGAAAGGAAGGAGAGATGGGTAAATGTTTGGGTTGGTCAGAAAACCAGGCTCAGTCAGGCACACTGGGTATGTGCCTATAATTCCAGATACTTGAGAGGCAGAGGTGGGAGGACCATTTGAACCCAAGAGTGCAAGGCCAGCCTGGGCAACATAGACTCCAACTCTAAAACAAATTTTATTTAATTTAGAAAATGAAAATGAAGAAAGAAAAGAAAACCAAGTTCATCCACTTACCAGGAACTTGGGCCAGGAAACCCAGGGCTTAATAAAGACAATCAGGCTAGGGGAAAATAGAACAGGCACTAGAATCAGACATCTGTTCACTCAAGTATCATCTAACATTTAATAGGTCTTGTTTATATCAGAATATTCAGCCTGAGAGTGAAAGAGCTGGAAAGAATCTTAAATGAGATCAGACGCATGCAAAGCATTTAGAACAGGGCCTGGTATACAGGAAGTGCTCAATCAATGTTAGCTGATATTGTCATTGTTAGCATTGCTACTACTCTTCCCTTAATGAGTACTTACTACTTTTAGGCAAGGTGTGAAACACTTTATTTGCATTATCTTTTTACTTCTTTCAGCAACCCTGAGAGGAAGATTCCACCATTATCCTGTTTTTAATTATGATTATGATTATTATTTTGGGGTGTGACAAAAGAGAGATGGGTGAGAAGACTGGAGTCCAAGCTGATGGAAAAATCCCTCAGGCTGCTGGTGCTTTGTCTGGGCAGGGCCACAGCAAAGACCCGTTGTCCTGAGCGACATCCACTCAGAGATGTAATGATTTTCCTTGAGGCTTCGGGTACCCCTATAACCACCCTCATAAAGCAATTATTCTTACCCAGGAATTCATGGGGGAAGGGGGATTAATTAGCCTTGCTCAGTGCCCAGATGTGCCAAAAAACCTAAGTAGGATACTCAGTGGGATTATAAATAAATGATGACAGGTATTATGGAGTCCAAGAGAAAGAAAAAAGCTTGACTTCAAGTGAACACGTCTCTTGCCAGCACCTTTTAAAGGGTATATCACTTGTATTTACATGGACGAATTGGGTTGACTTGACCTCACTCAGCCTCTGAGAAAAATCTGAACACTTCTCAGCAGAAGATGTCTGCAGAGAGGATTGAGCAGAAAACATTTTCAGAGGGCCTTGGCCTAGAAGTTGGGTGCTCGGGTGTTGGTACTTGCCTCCCCACTCACTGGCTGACCACTGGGATCCTGTTCCCCTAAATCAGCTTTTTATTTCCCTATCTTTAAATGAGATGGCTGTACTTGAGATATTTTATTTTATTTTATTTTATTTTTATTTTTTTGAGACAGAGTCTTGTTCTGTCACCCAGGCAGGAGTACAGTGGTGCAATCTCCGCTCACTGCAATCTCAGCCTCCTGGGCTCAAGCGATCCTCCCACCTCAGCCTTCCACGTAGCTGGGACTACAGGTGCACACCACCACACCTGACTAATTTCTGATTTTTTGTAGAGATGGTGTTTCACCATATTGCCCGGGGCTTAATAAAAAGTGGGCTCAGCCATCCGCCCACTTTGGCCTCCCAAAGTGTTGGGATTACAGATGTGTGCCACCACAACTGACCTGTACTTAAGTTCTCATTGGGATGGGGTGTCCCTTCTCTATAGAATATTCTGCTTTTTATTACTCTTTTTGCCTTGTTTCCTATAAGTATATATAAGTATATATAGGGCTCAAGTAGATTACAACTGCAGTGGCTCATGCCTGCAATCTCAGCACTTTGGGAAGCTGAGGTGAGCAGATTTCTTGAGCCCAGGAGTTTAAGACCAACCTGGGCAATATGGTGAAACTGCATCTCTATTATTATAAAAATACAAAAATTTTCCAGGCATAGTGGTGTATGCCTGTGATCCCAGCTACTCAGGAGGCTGAGGTGGGAGGATTGCTTGAGCCCAGGAGGTCAAGGCTGCAGTGAGCCGTGATGATGTCACTGTACTCCAGCCTGGGTGACAGAGTGAAACCTTGTCTCAGAAAAAAAAAAGTAGATTATAACCTTCTCGTCAGTGGAAAGAGGATTATATCAGTTGAGCTCTTTTGGATGTAGATGACACAATGACAACTCAACTTGGCTTAGGTAAAAAGAATTTATGAGCTCACATAACTGGAAAATCCAGGGGCACCCAACTTTCCCCTCTAATGGCTTTATTTCTAGGTAGTCTCTCCTCTTATGATGGCAGAAAATTGTTAGAAATGAAGGCTATGTGCCTTCAAATAACTTACAGTCTTTTCATTCAGAAAGTGAAAATTCTAAATCATGCACTGTGCAGAGTCTGGGGAAACAGAGAGAGGCAAGATAGCCTCTTTGGAGTCCCTTGGCCTTTGCATGCAAGAAGCACAGACTCACATTTATACCAGGACCATGCAGGTAACATAAATAAGAAGAGTGAGGCCGGGCACAGTGGCTCACGCCTGTAATCCCAGCACTTTGGGAGACCAAGGAGGGTGGATCACTTGAGGTCAGGAGTTTGAGAACAGCCTGACCAACATGGTAAAACCCTGTCTCTACTAAAAATACAAAATTAGCCAGGCTTGGTGGCATGTGCCTGTAATCCCAGCTACTTGGGAGGATAAGACAGGAGAATCACTTGAGCCCAGGAGGTGGAGGTTGCAGTGAGCTGAGATCACACCACTGCACTCCAGCCTGGGTGACAGAATAAGACTCCGTCTCAAAAAAAAAAAAAAAAAAAAAAAAAAAAAGAAATGACTTGAGCGAGGGGCTTTAGGGAAAGGTGGAGACTGTAGCAAACAGGAGAGCATGTCCTGCTTTAAAGGAGCAGCTGTGACTCAAGGGCAGCCACAACTCTGTGTCAGCCATAATTGCCATGCCATGCAAGAATGTGGTTCCAGTGTTAATCAGATCCTTTAATTTTTCAAGTGACGCTGCAAATCCATATTTTATGTAAACTCTTCTGATGTTTCACTGTTGATTACAATTTTAAAAAATACTCTCATGGCCAAACAACACAAGTCCACAGTCCACCAGCTCATGCCCTCTGCTATTTGGAATAGAGATTGCCTAGAGGGCTGGAACACTGCTTACGTACCAGCCATTTCTGGTTTTTTTTTGTTTTTTTTTCCCCCCAGTAACTTTTGCAGAATAGCCATTCTTTTTTTTTTTTTAAGATATATACAAATGTCAGTTGAGATACTGAGATCTTAAATGATCTCAGGGGGTTTCCTCATCAAAGCCTTGGAGATGGGGAGGGGCCAATAAGAGAGATCATTGTCGAATTTATTTCTGTATACCTTATCCCAACGAATAGAACTGGATACCCTTGAGATCAGAGATGTGTCTTATTCATAAGCTTCTTCATTTGTTTTATTTTTAATTTTTGTGGGTACATAGTAGGTGTATGTATTTATGGAGTACATGAGATGTTTTGATAGAGGCATGCAAAGTGAAATGAGCACATTATGGAGGATAGGGCATCCATCCCCTCAAGCATTTGGCTTTTGAGTTACAATCCAACTGCATTCTTTATTTTAAAATGTTCACTTAAGTTATTATTGACTATAGTCATCCTCTTGTGCTATCAAATAGTAGGTCTTATTCATTCTTTCTATATTTTTATCCATTAACCATCCCCACCTCCCCCTCCCCAAGCCCTCACTACCCTTCCCAGCCTCTGGCAACCATCCTTCTACTCTCTCTGTCCATGAGTTCAATTGTTTTGATGTTTAAATCCCACCAATGAGTGAGAACATGTGATGTTTGCCTTTCTGTACCTGCTTATTTCACTTAACATAATGCTCTCCAGTTCCACCCATGTTGTTGCAAATGACAGGATCTCATTCTTTTTTATGGCTGAATAGTACTCCATTGTGTATATGTACTACATTGTCTTTATTCATTCATCTGTTGATGGATGCTTAGGTTACTTCCAAATCTTAGCCATTGTAAACAGTGCTGCAATAAATATAAGAGTGTATATTTCTTTGATATACTAATTTCCCTTTTTGGGAAGTATATATCCAGCAATGGTATTGCTAGGTCATATGGTAGCTCAATTTTTAGTTTCTTGAGAAACCTCCAAACTGTTCCATAAGCTTCTTATATGCCCTCAAATAAGAGGGTTTATTTATTCATTCAAAAACATTTGTCAAACGTTACTTTGTAATAGGGATTGTGCTGGCCACTGGTGAACAGTATGGTGGACACTGTGGCTGCCCACCCAACTTCTGTCTTAATTTCTTCCTTATTAAAGGAACTTGAATTTTGTTAATACAGGAATAATCTCACCCTATGGGGTGAATCCTGTTCCCTTTGCTAGTGATCAGCCTAGGGGTGGCTATATGACCCTGTTCTGGCCAATGAGATGGTAGGGGAAGTTGATAGTGGGTGGCGGGATTACAAAAAAAGAGAGAGAGAGTGAGAGAAGCGAGAGTTATTTTGGCCATCCTTGTCACCTCCTCCTTCCTGCCTTTGAATATGATTTTATGAAGATTGATGCCTGGCATAACAGCAGCCATTTTGTAGCAATGAGGCAGTAAGCCTGGGCATGAAAAGCCCATACACATAGGGAGGCAGAACAAAAGGGTGGAAGAAACCTGGGTCCTTAATAACAGGGTTGAGCTGCTGAATCAACTTTCATGCCACCCTCCTCTTAACTTTTTATGTGAGATAAGTAAGTATCTGTATTCTTTAAGTCTCTATTATTTAAGCATTCTGTTATATGAGATGAGCAAGACAGACCAGCTCCTGCCCTTAGGTAACCTGCAGTTACCAGACAATGAGAGCTGGTGATGACTGAGTGCTTTCTACAAATTCCTTATAATAACCCTATAAAGCAAGTGCTCTTTTTATTACCACCCTGTATTTCAGATGAGAAAATTGAGGCTCAGAGAGGTTAGGGCACTTGCCCAAGGTCACTGCAAGTAAGTAATAGCACCATTCTGACTCCAGAATCCTTCCTCTGAGCCACAGGTCACACTGCCATCTGAGTCATTTTGCACTGAATCCTGGTTGAGTAAATAAATGGACAAGTAGTCACAACAGGGCTGTTAGCTGAAAAGTGACAGAGCCATTCCCACTGCCTGCACTTGCAAGCTCCAGGCATACCCAGATGTTCTTTATCTGAATCTGGAGCCACACTTTGTAAATATCGGGCCACTAGTGGGGAAGAATCTGAGTGATGTGGAATATCTAGCACTGGCCTTGGGCTTGGGGACCTTTGCTTTCCATTTAATTAATCTAAGGTTTCTCAATCTTGCCACTATTGACATTTGGGCTGGAATTTTTTTTTTTTTTTTTTTTTTTTTTTTGAGACAGAGTCTTGCTCTGTCACCCAGACTGGAGTGCAGTGGCGCAATCTTGGTTCACTGCAGCCTCCACTTCCCAGGTTCAAGGAATTCTCCTGCCTCAGCCTCCTGAATAGCTGGGACTACAGGCATGCGCCACCACACCTGGCTATTTGTATTTTTAGTAGAGACAGGGTTTCACCATGTTGGCCAGGTTAGTCTCAAACTCCTGACCTCAGATGACCTGCCCACCTCAGCCTCCCAAAGTGCTGGGATTGCAGGCATGAGCCACCATGCCTGGCCAAGAATTCTTTATAGTGGGGGGCTGTGCCGAGCATTGCATGGGGTTTAGCAGCATCCCCGGCCCCCACCCACTAGATACCAGTCTCCCATCAGAGACTTGTGGCTGTGAAACTGCCCAGCCATCCTTGCCACTATCATCGAGTCCAAATCTCATTACCTTTGCCCTGGACAATTGGAGAAATCTTATCGTGGGTTTTCCTGCCGCCATTTTTTATCCTCAAATACTTCATAGTGCACACCAGCAGCTGGAGCCATCGCCTCAAAACATATCAGTGCATGGGACTTCTTTGCTTAAAACACTACCATGGCTTCCCATCACAATTAGAAAAAACTCAAACTCCTCCCTTAACCTTGAGAATAAAATCCCAACCGGGCAATGCATGGCTTGGTCTTGGCATCCATCTGTTCTTAGAACACATCAAGCTCATTCCCACCTTAGGACCCTTGCTTGTGCTGTTCCCTTGCCTGTACCTCCTTCCTCAGAACTTCACATGGTTGGCTTTTCCTACCCACAGGTTCTCAGCTTAGACATATTGCCTCCTCCAGGAAGCCTTCCCTGACTACTCTATCTAAAGTTGCTGATGTCTCTCTCAGTTAGGCTCTATCGCTTCCATTTACTTTTTTTCATTGCGTTTATCACAAGCAGAATGACTTATTTACTTGATTATTAACTGTATCTCCCACAAGAATATAAGTCCGTGAGCGCAGTACTGTCTATTTTATTTACACTGTAGCTCCAGTGTCAAGAGTAATGCTTGGTACATAGTAGGTGTTTATTAATGGTTGGTTGAAGAATGGCATTTCCAGACTGGGAAACACCTTTGCCTTCCATCTAACTCATGCAGGGTTTCACAATCTTGCCACTGTTGAGATTTGGGGCAGGAGAATTCTTTACAGTTGGGGCTGTCCTGGGCCATGCATGGTGCTTGGCACCATCCCTGGCCTCTACCCACTAGATGCCAGGACAACCACTCTCCCTCTCCCCTGGAGTTATGACAGTCAAAAATATCTCCAGACATTGTAACATATCCCGTTTGTTTAACAAACAAACAAACAAACATAATAACATCAAAATACCTGTCTCACTCATTTTTGTAGGGAAATTGCTTTCCTTGGCTTTCCAGCTGATTGGAAGATTGGCCCCAGGTTTCTTTCCAGGGACCTGTCTGTCCACATTTGTATTAGTCAGGGTTCCTCAGGGGGACAGAACTAATAGGATAGAGGTATATATGAAAGGGAGTTTATTAAGGAGAATTGACTCACGCAATCACAAGGTGAAGTCCCACAACAGGCTGTCTGCAAATTGAAGAGGAAGGAAGCCAGTAGTGGCTCAGTCCAAGTCCCAAAACCTCAAACGTAGAGTAGCTTACAGTGCAGGCTTCAGTCTGTGGGCAAACACCTGAGAGCCACTGGTGTAAGCCCAAGAGTCCAAAAGCCAAAGAACTTGGAGTCCGATGTTCCAGGGCAGGAAGCATCTAGCATGGAAGAAAGATGGAGGCCAGAAGACTCAGCAAGTCAGCTTCTCCCACCTTCTTCTGCCTGCTCTATTTCAGCCACACTGGTGGTTGATTGGATGGTGCCCACCCACACTGAGGGTGGGTCTGCTTCTCCCAGTCCACTGACTCAATTGTTAATCTCCTTTGGCAACACCCTCACAGTCACACCCAGGAGCAATACTTTGCATCCTTCAGTCCAATCAAGTTGACACTTAGTATTAACCATGGCAACATTCCTCAGGGGTTTCACTGGGTAGAGGAGCTGTGGGTAGGCTTTGGTGGCAAACTGGTGATCAGGATTAGGAAATGAGTGCAAGGGAAGAGAAACTGTCCCATAACAAACTTACTAAAAAGTTTGTAGAGAGGATTAAAGGTCCACAAATAGCCAAGTGTGCCCTAAAAAAGAACAAAGAAGAGAGACAAGGGCTACAGGCACTAAAGCTCACTATAAAGCCATGCTAATAAAAACAGGACCACAGTGACATAAGCACAAGAAGCCCAATGGAGCAGAGTGGGGAGTGCAAGAGGCTTCATATGACAAAGGTGGCCCACAGATCAGCTGGGGAAAGGACAAGTTATTTCATAGGTAGTTTTCAGAAAACTAGCCAGCTATAGGGAATGAATGAAGTTGGCTCCCTACCAAATCACACACACACACACACACACACACACACACACACACACACACAATTGGTTAAAGACCTAAAGTAAAAAATAAAAATATAAAATTAATAAACAAAACTGTTTGCAACTTAGGGGCAGGGGAGGACTCAAACAAAAACTTTAAAAGCACAAACTATACAGCCAAAAATAGATTATCTTGATCACTTTAAAAAGATTTCTGCTTAATAAAGGACACCATAGGCAAAGTTAACAGGTAGGTGACAAAGCAGAAGAAGATATTTGCAATGTCTAAAATCCACAAGGGACTTAAAATCTGCATTATACAAAGGAATCCTGCAAATCATCAAGAAAAAAACAGGAATCCTGATAGAAAAATGGGCCACTATGTGCACAGGTGATATTTATACAAGAGAACAATAAGCATATGAAGAGAGTCTCAGACTCATTAGTAATCAGAGAAATGCAAATTTAAATATACTGAGATGTTACCTTGTACGTGTTAGACTGTCAAAACCTACATATCTGGATAATACCAAATGCTGGCTGGGATGTGGAGCTGTAGGAACTCTCAAGCACTGCTGGTGAGATGCAGCCTGGAACAGACATCTGTAGGGAGACTTGGGTGTGCTTAGTTAAATTAAGTGCAACATACTCTGTGATGTGTCAATTCTGAACCTGCAGGAAATGTTTTTTTAAAAAATCATCACACTGGCTCATAAGCAGACACATGGGAGGATGCTCGTGGATGCATTCATTGTGGTGGTGGGAGTTGGAGGTCTTCTGGGTGACCACATAGCGGGTGGACAGTGGAAAGGGGACTTGTGTCATCGTGAACAACTGTGCAGCTATTACAAGCAGCAGGCTGGGTGTACCCACAGCAACGTGGATGGATCTTAGAGAAAAATAAATAGAATGTGATGTATAACACAAACCATATATGCAAGTTTTAAAGTGCACACAAAACACCAAACACAGTTTTCAAGAACTCATACAAACAAAGCAATATACAGGCCGGGCGCAGTGGCTCACACCTGTAATCCCAACATTTTGGGAGGCCGAGGCAGAAGGTTCACTTGAGCCCAGGAGTTTTAGGTTGCAATGAGCCATGATCATGCCACTGCACTCCAACCTGGATGACAGAGTGAGTCCCGATCTCTAAAAGCAAAAGCAAAAACAAACCCAAACAAAACAATATACGGTTGACACATGACAACCATTTCCTATGGGCTAGTGGGAGGGGAATGCAGATAAAAGGGAATTTAAAAATGAAAAAAACAATACAGAAGAAAAACAAGTAACAAGGTTTTCTGTCTGTTCCTGGCCTTGGCAAGAGAGGTGTGTGGCTCCACGAGGACAGGGACCATATAAATTACTCACCCTCAATTCCCAGCACCAACACCCATGCTGAGGCACACAGTAGATGCTCAGTAAACATCTGGAATGATTCCATTAATCAATAAATGAACTGATGGAGAAAGGACTTTGCAGAGAGGCTGCTCTGGTATTTGGATAGCCCGTTGATTTTGGAGTCAAACAAGAGATTCCCATATCTGGTTGTGCCAGCACTTGCCAGCAAGATATTGGGCAAGACACCTTCTCTCGGAGCTTTAGCTTCCACATCTATAAATAACCTCATCTCTTATTTACAGATGTGGAAGCTGATGGATGTTATACCTTCAGAGGACTACTTGTAGTAGGTGCCCAACAAACATGCATCTCCACTCCTTGGTTATATGGAGTAGAGAAGAACCGCACTTCTAGGTGTTATTTTAGCTGTACCTGGAAGGCACCGTAATGCCTGCAGTAATGCCTGGAAATTTCACCATTATAGAGTCATTTTTTCCCTCTCATCAGGAAGGATTTATTGCTTTCTGAAACCTCCTGTGGGAATGCCCAGATCTCTGGAGAAAAGTTGCCTTCAACAGATTAGGCTTACAGAGGGGCCAGCTGAGAACCCTTTCTGACCCTAGGAACACCAGACTGAAGCAGGAGGGAATGTGATTGTTCACTGTCTCTCACACCCCAGGTCATTTGCACTTGCTGTTTCCTCCACCTGGAATGCATTTCCCTCATTCTCCCCATGGCTAGTCCCTTCTTATCTTTCAATCTCTATTAATCTCCTCTGAGACACCCTTCCTGACCACCCTGTGTAACACTAGCAGCTTGGTCTCTCTTTTTCCACCCCATCATGATGTTCCATTTCCTTTATAACAATCACTGTAGCCTGAAACTCTCTCTTTAAAAATTTACTTTTTTAGTTACCTGTCTTCCTCCACTGGTCTACAAGCTCAGAAAGGGGGGCGGGCTGAATTAGGGCAATAGGCCAGAAGTTTAGGTTTTAGTCTAAAGCAAGGGAAAGTCTTGGGAAGGTTTTAAGCAGATGAGAAACATGGTCCAACATTTCATGGTCCATGAAATGTAGCAGTTGTTTTGGTGGCCATGGGGAGAATGAACTGTAGGAGGCCAAGATGGGAGCCAGGCATGGGAGCCAGGGATGAGGCCAAGATGGGAGCCAAGTTGCAGGGAGGTTGCAGGGAGACAAGACGATGGTACCTTGGACAAGGGTCATGATGGTGGAGATGATAAGTGGACAAGTAAAAAATATATAATAATATTATGTGCAACTCTATGGAAATTATGGAAATGAACCCCTTAATTTTAGAAAGGAAGAAAAGGGCCAGAGAGGAACCTGTGTTGGAACACTGTATCTTGTTCAGTTTTTGTCCTCCAGGGCAGGGGAGCTCACTGCTGTACCCATCCCCGGCACTTTTTTTTTTCTTTTTTTTTTTTTGCAACAGGGTCTCACTTTGTTATCCAGGCTGAAATGCAGAGGTGCAATCACAGCTTATAGTGGCTTTGACCTCCTGGGCTCAAGTGATCCTCCTGCCTCAGCCTCCTGAGTAGCTGAGACCACAGGTAAGCAGCACCATGCCCAGCTAATTTTTTATTTTTTGGCAGAGATGGGTCTCACTATGTTGCCCAGGCTGGTCTCCAACTCCTGGGCTCAAGCCATCCTCCCGCCTCAGTCTCCCAAAGTGCTGAGATTACAGGCATGAGCCACTGTGCCCGGCCGCTGACACCTATTTACTTATCATGCAGTAAATGAATATTTGAAAGAATAAATGAGTAAACACAAGGCCCATCTGTGGCATCCTTAGAGAACCCTTGCCTGCCTCTCCAGGTACCTCCTCCAGTTTTCATTTCTGGGATTATGTGATGGGTTTTGCCTCCCCCACTGGATGGGGAGCTCCAGGGGGAAGACTTTCCCTTCACGGAGCCTGGCATTCTGCTTGCACATAGGAAGCTGTCAATAACCAGATGTCCAACTTAACATGAATAAATGAATGAATGAATGAATGAATGAATCACCAGACTATATAAACCAGCTCACTCTTCACCCTCTCTTCCCCATACCTCGCTTTATTTTTCTTCTTAGCGGTTATCACCACCTGCCACATTGCATATGTACTGATGTATTCATTGTCCGCCTCCGTCCCCCACCCCCGACCCCCCGCTAAAATCTAGAATGGAAGCTCATGAAAGCAAGGGCTATTTACAGTTCCGATCTGCCCCCTCCCACCCTCTGACCCTTCCTCCTGTTTCATTATTTCCCCCAGCGCTTGTCACCGCCTCATATATCCTTTCGCTTTTTTGTTTATGATCTGTTTCCAACCAGCTCCACGAGGGCCGGATGTTTGTGTTTGATTCACAGCTGTATCTCAGACGCCTGTCACCGTGCCCTGCACCGCGGCTCGCGCACAGGAGGCGTTCAACACACGTTGTTGACGGGACGAAGGAAGGCGGGATCGCGAGGCCAGCTGTGCAGGTGGCCTGGGTGGAGAGGGATGCACGGCCACGCGCGTCTCCTTGGCCCGATCCCGGAGCCCGCCCCCGGCCTCCCCGGCAGGCTGGGCCGGGCAGGCAGGAGTTAAGCCGCGCTCGCTTCCGACCCGCAGGTGGCGCCGTCCTGCCTTGGTGCCCGGCTCCGGGCGCTCCGAAGTGCGGGACAGAATAGCAGCGAGCGCGGAGCCGAAGCTCAGCCCCGACTTGTTGATCTCGCCCAGGCAGCCGCCGCCGCCGCCGCCGCGGGAGCAGGAGGAGGAGGAGGTGGAGGAGGTGCCGCGCGGCCGCGGTCCTGCCCCCGCGCCCCCGGCGCCCGCCGGCGCCCCCCGCCTCGGAGAGCGCGCCCCGGCCCCGCGGCGCCTGCAGCCCGGGCGAGTTGCCTGCCCGGCCGGGGTAGGCCCGGCTCAGCCCGGCCCCGGGACCGCCGCTGCCCACGGGCGGGGGCGCCCGGGCGGCCGGGACGATGCGCGGTCCCTGGCCCCAGGAGGCGGCCGCCCTGGGGGTGAGTGTTGGGGCGTACGGCCTTCCGTGGGGGTGCATGGGGACACGGACAGGGGGTTTGCCTGCCGCAGCTCGGCCTGTTGGTCTGCTCGGGCTCCGCAGCTCCAGGCTGGAGGGGAGCGGGGTGGGAGGCAGGCAAGGGCTGAGGCCTGAGGGGACGCGCAATCCCCATTCTGGGGCTAAGGCGTGAGCCCTACATGCAGGGGGTGCTCAGGGGAACCCCCCGAAATCACTAGTGCGCGGTAGGAGGATGGCACCTTTTGAAAAGGCCAGAAAATTTAGCTCATTTCCCCGCCTCCCACCTCCCCCACCCCTTCCCTTCCAAGCCCGGGGAAAGGCGCAGAACCCGGAGTTATAAAAAGCCATCGCGGGAGAGGAACGAGGAGGAGGAGTAGGAGGAGGAGGAGGAGGAGGAGGAAGAGGAGGAGGAGGGGGAGAAGGAAGAGGAGGGGGAGGAGAAGGAGGAGAAGGGGGCGGGGAAGGAGCGAGGGGAGGACGGAGCAGGCGGATCCCGAGGACTCTGCCCGCCCCTCCTGCGGTAGGGTTGGGGGCTCAGAGGGAGAGGCGAGAGCGGGCTTTTCCTCCTCGCGGCTCACCTTGTCGCTGGAGCAATCTCAGGAGATGCTCCAGTGTTTGGGAAGAGGGGTCGCTCCAGGACAGAGGGGCTGTTGTGCACACCCCGTCTGTTGTGACCTCGGACAGGTGGGCACCTGGAACCCCCGGAATTCCCCCAAATCTTTTAAGATTTGGAAAAAAGCCCGCTGCCATTCCCCCACCCCCAAAATCTTGATTATCTCGAGAAGGGGAAGGAAAAGAAGAGAACTCGTTAAAAAAAAAAAAAAGAAGGAAAGAAGAAGAAGAAAGAAAGAAAAAGATAAAGAAAGAAAGTTTTCATGCAGCTCCCCCTCTCTCCCCATGGCGGGGCCAGGTTCGGGACTCGATCGGGAGACCCATAATGAAGAGAGTTTCAGCACTCTAAGGGGCGGACAGCGCCCCGGGCGGCTGGGTCGCGCCTGGGCCGCAGAAGCCCAGGGTGGGGCCTCCCGGGCTCCAGGGGCATCTCTTGGGGCCCTCTCCCCGCCCCGAGGGGCGGCCCCTCCCTCCATCCATGGGGTGCGGCGGACTTCAGCACCGGCGGGAGGGACAGCGACCATCCGTCCTACCCCACTGAGCCGCTTAAGCGCGGGGGAAGGTCAAGGCCGGCTGGGAGCCTGGTGGAGAGGTGGGGGGCGGGGGGACAGCATGCCCAGCTCCCCGTTTGCTGACCCGCGTCCGCTTTCGCTTTCTGCCTCGCAGCCGTCGGGATGGAGGTGAGAAGACGGCCGTGACGCGCGCCCGCGGGGCCCCCTGCACCCCCAGCAGCCCACAGCGCTCCCTGCCCCCCTCCCCCGCAGCAGCGGGCCTTGCCGTCGAGTGACAGCGGCCTGGGGGGGCAGGGGGGGCGGGGGCGGCCGGATCAGCGATGCCGGCGGGCATGACGAAGCATGGCTCCCGCTCCACCAGCTCGCTGCCGCCCGAGCCCATGGAGATCGTGCGCAGCAAGGCGTGCTCTCGGCGGGTCCGCCTCAACGTCGGGGGGCTGGCGCACGAGGTACTCTGGCGTACCCTGGACCGCCTGCCCCGCACGCGGCTGGGCAAGCTCCGCGACTGCAACACGCACGACTCGCTGCTCGAGGTGTGCGATGACTACAGCCTCGACGACAACGAGTACTTCTTTGACCGCCACCCGGGCGCCTTCACCTCCATCCTCAACTTCTACCGCACTGGGCGACTGCACATGATGGAGGAGATGTGCGCGCTCAGCTTCAGCCAAGAGCTCGACTACTGGGGCATCGACGAGATCTACCTGGAGTCCTGCTGCCAGGCCCGCTACCACCAGAAGAAAGAGCAGATGAACGAGGAGCTCAAGCGTGAGGCCGAGACCCTACGGGAGCGGGAAGGCGAGGAGTTCGATAACACGTGCTGCGCAGAGAAGAGGAAAAAACTCTGGGACCTACTGGAGAAGCCCAATTCCTCTGTGGCTGCCAAGGTGAGTCTGGGATCTGGGGGCTGCTGGTCTGGGGGGATCTGCTTGCATCCCCATATTGAGGACCACTGCTGGAGGACTCTGGCTTTGTTCCCAACGATGAAGATTAGTAATGGGGAGGGGCTAGGACTGAGTCCCCAGAGGTGAGGACCAACCCCCTCAGACTTTTCCCATGTGGCACTGGTCACTCCATCTTTTTATTATCCAAGACGTTATACCCCTACTTGGTTGGAGAGGTTTCACAGGGACCCATAAAAAGCCACAGCAAGAAGATGGACACTGACGAATAAGAGAGAGAGCACAGAGAGACAACAGTGGCTTGCTGGGGTGGAGTAGGGTTTGCTTCCCTGTGAAGTCCCAGACCTAGGCTGGATTGGATCACCCTGTGATTTTAATATCTCCATATTTATAACCTCACTCTGCCCCAGCAAGGGAAAAAAGCAGCTTACAGACATGCTTACAGGACATTGAGATACTGTCAGATAGTTTAAACATAAGTAAGAAGGGACCCCGAGGGGTGGGTGTGGACCCACACGACACATGCAGTTGGTTGTGGATGCTTGCGGGTGAGGGGTCACCCCCTGGTTACTTATTTATTTGGTGAGTTTATTTCCAGAATGGTTTGGTGCAGCTTGTAAAGATGTTTCAGCTCTTGGAACAAGATGTAAATTTCAAAATAGGAGAGAAAAATGAGGCAATGTGAAAAATAAAGGAGGAGGAGGAGGAGGAGGCAGGAATGAGTTTGAACACAAAGAGTGGGCCAGAGAGTCTTTGGTGCTGCTGGGTAATGGCAGGGGCTGTAGGGGACTGAGGAAGGCTTGGGGTGGGAGCCAAGGCAGGGCAGGAGGGCACTGGTTGATCAGCAACTTCTCTACGTCAGGCTGGGATTTGGGGTTGCCTGGGAAAGATGGGGCCTGTCTTCATGTGCCCGAAGTGCTGGGTGCTGGGAGCAAATGACAAAACAGTGTGTGCAAGGCTATAAAAGAGGTTCTGTGAGGTTCACGGAGAACCCAGAAAAGAGAGATGTTGATGTTGAAATCCAGCAAGACCAACTTGGGAAACATGGGGAGAATGTAACTGAGTGTGGGGCCTAAAAAAAGGGGTCAGGTAAGTAGATTTGTGGTAAAAGAAAGAGGAGAGGAGGAAGCCTAAATATCCAGCCATATCTTACTAGCTAGGGCTGACTCCTGTCCAGCCCAGCCTTTCATTGTGGGGTCTCCGGCTCAGTTCTCACTGAAGGCCCACCTGCAGGTCCCAGTCTGAAGGGAGACTCCGTGGGGTCCTTCCTCCAGATCTAGCCACCCAAGGAGAGGCCCCTGAGAGTGGATGGAGAAGGGGTGGCTGGTAAGAGGGTGGAGGGAGCCCCCACGTGTTTTTTTCGTTTCCCTGTTGGCCCTAACAAGGATGTAGAGGCTCCTGGGCCTGGCTTCCTCCTCTGAGGCTGTGGGCTGTCTCTCTCCATAATCCCGCCCCCAATTTTGTGTCCAAAAAGCCTCCTCCTAAGACAGAGTCACTCACCCTTAATCAGCTTAGGATCAACAGACTTATTTTGCTATTTCCAGGCATGACACAGGTTCTCCCACTGCACATCCCATTTAGGCCCAAATGTGACTCTCCCTCCCTGTCCCATCCCTAAGACATGAGAACAAGGTACAGGGAACTGGACAATTTGCCCTCCCAGAGAAGAAGCAGGCACAGGGCCATGTTTTGGTCTGGCAGCAAGACCCAAGCACCGGGGCTTGCAAGAGGTGCTGTTTGGGAATAAAGAACCTCTCCTCTCCCTTGGGTTAATCCGCTAGCAGGGACAGCCTTGTGACCTCTCCATGATCCCAGTCTGGGGCTGCCAGCTCACATTCCTGGCAGATGGACCATCTAGGATTTTCTGTAGCCAGAGCTGAAATGGGGAGGGAGGCAGGCTCACTGGCCCTCAGAATAGAAATCCTGGCTGCCAATGATCAAACACCTACTGTGTATGGAGTGTAACAACGCAGCTCTGTTATTATCCCACCTTTCGCAAACAGTGAGGCTGAAAGAGGTTAAGTAACTTGCCTAAGGTCACACCACAGGCAGTCAGGAGTAGCCAGAAATCCAAACCGAGTGTTCTTTCTATAATGATCAAGTGCCGCAGCCTCCTCCCCAGTCTCCCGGCTTCCACTTTTGCCCCTGCAATCCATTCCCCACATAGCAGCCAAAGTGAGCTTTTCAAAATGTAAATTGGATCACATTATTCATCTGCTTAAAATCCTCCAGAAGTTTCCCATCACACTCAAAATAAAATTCAGACTTTTCATCCTGGCATACAAGGCCCAGGCAGAATCTGGCCCCCATGACCTCTCTGGGCTCATCTCTTTTGATCTCCTCTGGTTCACTTGGCTCCAGCCCCACTGGCCTTGCTGTTCCATAAACAGGCCAGAGTTTATCTGACCTCAGGACCCTTGCACTTGCTGTTTCCGCTGCCTGGAATGCTCTTCCCCAGATTCCCCCTTGGCCAGCCCCTTCTCCCCCTTCCTCATTTGAGCAGGTCCCTGCTCACATGTCCCCTCCTCATACAGACCTTCCTTGACCGCTGTTCTAAACAGTTTCCCTCCCCTCACTCTCTGTTGCATCATGCAATGCCTTTCCTGCAGAGGCCTTAAACGCCATCTGAAATTATATTTCCTTCTTTGTGTGTCTCTGTTTCACACCCACAAGAATGTGAGTACCATGAGTTGATTCACTGCTTGATTCCCAGCACCCATGATGGTGCCTGGCACTGAGGAGCATGTGGAATGAATAAATGAATGAATGAACGAATGAATGAATGAACGAATGAATGAATCAAGCAAGCAAGCAAGCAGTCAGTCACTGTGTCTCAGGGTTTGGGGACCTGTCACCCCTTCTCACTGCCCACCTGCAACCCAGGTCCCTGTGCCTCTGGCCTCCTTTGAGTCATCTGCACCTTGCCCATCCCATCCCCACCCATCCCCCCAGCTTGGATGCCTTGCTTGTCAAAACAAGCAAAGCCTGTGGAAATTGCTTAGAACTCACAGAGTGACAGGACCAAATGGAGGATCATTTCTAGGTGATTGTAAGATACAAAAGTGGCCATATCTCATATGCTGAAGAGCAAGGATGGATCTGGTTCTGTGCCACTCCCCACTTCCATAGCTTTTAGCTAATTTCTCCAACTTTCCAAGTCCCAACCTTCCACCTGTAAAATGGAGATAAAAGGCTCACCTTACAGGGTCTTCATTAAATCACATTTGTCAAAATTTTGCTCAAAGCCTAGCACATAGCAGGTGGGGATTGTTGTTATAAATGCTAAGGAAAAGAGTCTTTTTTCTAGGGCTGGGTGGGCCGAGTTGCTGCAAACCCTTTCCTTCTGAGAGCAGCAGGGCCAGGGAGACTGAGCTGACACTGTTAATAATTGATGGGATGTTCTGGCAACTCGGAGACAAACCAAAGCACAGGCCCTAGGCTTTGCCATCAGGGGAGCGAAAATCAAAACCCATTAGGCAAAAGGCAGTGTGATTGATTCTTGTTTAGAAGATGGGGACAGCCCCATTGGTGTGACAGGGTTGCGGTGCTGGGGCTACCACGGGGCTTTGGCTTTCTCGGAAAACTCGACAGGCTTTTCTCAGTAGGAGAGACAGGGAACTGATTTGCCAGCCCAGGAGTGTCTGTGATCCCTGGGATAGTCTCAGGATTAAAGCCCTGAGATAACTTCCTAATTTCCAGGGTAGCTTATGTTTGTTGTGCCCAGCACTGATTAGTGGTGCTTCATATCTGCTATCTCATTGAAATTCCTCCAACAGGGATACAACCAGGTAGTATGCCAGTTAGGGATGCTTTGGGCTGCAAGCAGCAGAATAGAAAACTCAAAGTAGCTTCAATAAGGAGGAAGATGCATCATTGAATATAATATGAAGTTCCAAGGCAGTTGGTTTTAGGTTGAGTTAATGGCTCAATGATGCCACCAGGATTCTAGATTCTTTTCATCTCTCTGCTCCTCTGCTCCCCAACCCCTGCAAGTGGCTTGGTCCTCATGCTTGATGCTTCATATCACAAGATGGCTGCCCAGTTCCAGCCCTCAGACGTACATTCAGTGATGTTTAATCCGTGAAGAGAAACATTTTCTCCTATGCTCCACTTTCTTTCTTTTGTTTTTGAAATGGAGTCTTGCTCTGTCGCCCAGGCTGGAGTGCAGTGGCATGATCTCGGCAGCTCACTGCAACCTCCGCCTCCTGGGTTCAAGCAATTCTCCTGCCTCAGCCTCCTGCCGAGTAGCTGGGATTACAGGCATGTACCACAATGCCTAGGTAATTTTGGGGTTTTTAGTAGAGACAGAGTTTCACCATGTTGGCCAGGCTGGTCTCAAATGTCTGACCTTAAGTGATCTGCCCGCCTTGGCCTCCCATAGTGATGGGATTACAGGTGTGAGCCACAGCGCCTGGCCCACTTTCTTTTTTTTTCTGAGAGGAAACCCTTTCCCAGGAGCACCCTAGCAGACTTCTTTTAAAATCCCATTGGCCAGGACAGGTCACATGCTCATGCTCTAGCTCTGAGGGAACCTGAGAAAGCAAGTGTCTGGCATTTTCAGATGAGAGAGGGAATGGATCTGATAAGTGGTATGAAGACTCTTTTACAGAACAGGAAATGGAGGCTCTGAGAGGCGAAGTCACTTGCCTGAGCCCACACAGCTAGGTTCTCAGTAAATATTTATCAAAGGAATGAAAATTGCAGAGCCAAGGTTTGAACCCAAGTTTGTCTGGTTCCCAAGCCTATGTTTCTAAATCCTGGGACCTTGGGTGGATCATTTTAGCTCTCAGGTCCAGTGAATTCATCTGCCTGATGGTGATAATAGTCATAGCTCCCTTTCAGGGCTCTTTTGATGATTCAATGAGATTTCAGATGTGAATGTAATTTGTAAATGGAAAGTACTTTATAAGTATGAAGTATTATTGTATTCAAAAGTGGGAGTGGCCTTTATTTATTTATTTTTAATTTTTTAACTTTTTTCAGAGACAGGGTCTTGCTCTGTCACCCAGGCTGGAGTGCAGTGGTGCAATCAGAGCTCACTGTAACCTCAAACTCCTGGGCTCAAGTGATCCTCCTGCCTCAGCCTCCTGAGTAGCTGGGACTACAGGTGCACACCATCACTCCTGGCTACATTAGAAATTTTTTTTTGTGGAGACAGGGTTTTGCTACATTGTGCTGGCTGGTCTCGAACTCCTGGGTTCAAGTGATCCTCCCATCTAAGCTTCTCAAAGCACTGGGATTAAAGGTGACAGCCATCATGCCCAGCTTAGAGTGGCCTTTCTTTAGGAACAGTGGTCAATATTTTTCCCATCACAGACTTGATTAAGAATCAGCTCTGGAGTCCAACAGATGCGGTTGATTTCTTGTCTCCATTGCTTACCATGAATATGACCTTGGGCAAGCCCCTTTCCTTCTCTGAGTGTCACTTTCCTTATCTAGGAAATGAGAATTATAACAGAGGCAACCATGAAGAGCTGTTAGGAGATGCCCCTAATGTAAAGAGCCTAGCCCAGCGCCTGACTCATGGGAAGCATTCAGTAAGTGGCAGCAACGATTGTTAGTGTTTTCACGGAATTCCTCTGCTCCAGCTACACGTCTCTAGTGTAATGAGGTTCCAGCTTCCTTGACCTGAGCCACAAGGATCTGTGTATTATCATCAAAAGAAATGCGGGAACCAACTCAGAATCTATGGGGCCCCTTCAGTGTGATGAGTCATCGACTTAGGCTCTTGCTGGCCCCAGCTTGGTCAAACCAGATGCCTGTTTTTATCCTGGCAGATAATATGCCAGCAATTCTGAATCCTGATTGTGGGGTCACACAGACCTGGCTTCGAATCGCAGCCCAGCCTTGTCCTAGCTGTGGACTTTGGCCAATTTGCTTCACCTCTCATCACTTCCATTTCCTAATCTGTAAGTGAGGGCGATAATAAAACCTACTCCACAGGGTTGTCTGAAGGATGAAGGATGATAGCACATGATCAGAGTTGAAGCTGTGCCTGAGAAATCCCACATCCCCACAGGATAAAGAAACCCAGAGACCCAGGATGCTCCAGTGACCTGCTGAGGATCACACAGCCCATCATAGCCTTTCAAATCCCCTGAGAGACCAGCTGCTAAGAGATGATCCTGGTCAAACATCCTGGAGTAACAGAAAGATCCCTGAGCCTCAGCGGGTACGGGTGGCGGGGCCAGAAAGGCCTGGGCATGGCCCCTGATCTTTCACCGACTTGCTGTGTGAATGTGAAATGCTAGGAAGAAAAAGAGATGGTCAAATGAATGGGTTGGCCAAAGCTTAACTAACTAGAAGAGAACAAGCATGCGTTAGGCACCAACTCCATACCCAGCACTTTGTGTACTTCCTGTACTTGATAATGTCATCAGGATGGGAAGCACTTGACCTTAGCACTGGATTGCCCAAGTTCAGAGTTTGGCTTCTCTACTCACTAACCATGTGATTTGGGGTCAACTATTGCAGCCCTCTGTGCCCTGGTTCCTTCAGCCAACAGCAATTTTGGGCCAATCACTGTGCCTGCCTCATTGGATTGAGTTACATGCATTAATGTATGCAAAGCACTTAGACTAGGACCTGGTATGTAGAAAGCTCTCAATAACTGTTGGGTTTTGCTGTTGTTGTTTTTTTTCTTTTTTACTGTCCTCTCATGTAATCCTCCTGACAATCCTGCAAGATAAATAAGCTCCTTTTCAAAAAACTGCTCTCATCAAATGATACCTGCTCATTGTAAGGTTAGAGGCTTTCTCTGGCCACTGGAGTCCAGTAAAGGCAGGGCACTAACACCCCAGCAGGAACTAGTGGGATACTCACCTGCCGGCTGATGGGGACGATGTGTACGTGCTTCTCCCCTGGCTGGGGGTATAACTCAGAGGTGTGTGTTCTACACTGGTCCCCAGGGCAGCTTCAGTTGCTCACAGCAATTACTTGTTTGATAACAGACCCTGTTTGACCTCTTTCCTATCCCTGTCTCATGTTCCCTCCCCTCTTCCAGAGTTTTCTGGGATCACTTATCATATAAGCCACTTGTACTCAGAACCTTGTCTTAGGATCTGAGATTCTGGGGAAACCAACCAAAGCTCTGTAGGACATATCATTTATTCAGAATGACCTGGTGTTGTATTATAGACAGCCCACCCCCGATAGAGAGAACCTCTAGGAGGTTGTCGTAAAAGAAGAAATTCTAGGTCTGGCAGGGCACAGTCAGCCTCATCTCTGTCTCTTAGATAAAATGAAAACCACAGTGGTGGCAGCAACAGCTAACACTGAGTGCTTACAATGTGCTTGCCTGGCATAGTGCAAAGGGCATTAAATGCCCCATCACATCTGATTTTCACAGCCCCCCCATAAGGGAGGGATAACTACCCTCATCTTACAGCCGTGGAAACTGAGGCTCAGAGAGGGGAAGTGTCTGGCCCAGGGTCACACAGTGAATGGAAGGCTGGGACAGATCCCACCCAGGACTCCCTGACTGCCCAGCCCATGACTTTGATCTCTGAGTTGTATGAGTGACCTTCAGAAAGTGAGAAGCAAGATCCCAGTATTCCCTTCTCATGCTGGGGCAGTGCTGAGAGGAGAGAGATTTGTCCAGAATCACCCTATGACTTAGGAGTGTTCTTAGCTCTGGATCTAGGACGACTTTACCCCCAAAGGCTCCTGGATGGGACTATGGGAGAGACAGATTTAGCATTAAGCATTATTTTAATAGATAAACTAAATGCATAAGGTCCTACCTTCTCCCTGAGGTGAAATCAACTTGATTTTGGTGTCTCCAGCAGGAGTGGGCATGACTAGGTGGGGCCAGAAATGGGAGGAATCTCTCAGCCCCCGTATCGGGAGTGGGTGGGGTGGGAGCTAGAATTCTCATGTTAATATCCAGGGCGCCAATGCTCCTTAAATGTTTTCTCTGATGACATAAATAACAAATAAGATGTAATGTTGCCATGTGAGACACACTTCTGTGGACCTGGGTACAGGCCTGGATTCAAATCCCACCTCCTCTGCTTCCTGGCTATATGAGCCCCCAAGGCGCCTCACCTCTCTGAGACTGGGAGGTGGGGGTAATACCTGGGGCACACCTCACAGAGTAGCGCTTCTCCATGCTGCCTGCACATAAGGATCACCTGGGCTTTGCAAAATACTCATGCCTAGGCCCCACAGTTGAAACTCACCCCCTAAGTGGTTTCTTTTTAGTTCTGGTAAAATACACATAATATGAAATTTTCCATCTTAACCGTTTTAAAATGTATAGTTCAGTAAAGTATATTCACATTGTTGTCCAACCAATCTCCAGAACTTTTTCATTTTGCAAAACTGAAACTCTGTGCCCATTAAATTCTCCTGGGCCCACCTCCTAGGCCCTGGCAACCCCCTTCCTACTTTCTGTCCCTTTGAACTCAACTGTTCTAGGTACCTCATATAAGTGGAATCATACAGTATTTGTCCTTTTGTGACTGGCTTATTTCACTTATCATGCTGTCCTTCAGCTTCGTCCATGTTGTAATGTGTCAGAATTTCCTTCCTTTTAAAGACTGAATAATTTTCCATTGTATGTATACACTACATTTTGTTTATCCATTCCTCCATCAAAAGACACTTGGTTGCTTCAGCCTCTTGGCTATTGTGAATAATGCTGCTATTCACATGGGGTACAGATATCTCTTAGAGTTCATGCTTTCAATTCTTCTGGGCATGGATAAGCAGAAACCAACTAGATTTTTAACAATTCTTTTGGGTATATACTCAGAAGTGGAATTGCTGAATCATATGGTAATTCTATTTTGAATTTTTTGAAGAACTGCTGCTCTGTTTTTCATAGTGACTGTTACCATTTTACATTCCCACCAATGGTGTACAAGGGTTCCAATTTCTTCCTATCTGTATTAGTCCATTTTGCATTGCTATAGAGAAAAACCTGAAGCTGGGTAATTTATAAAGAAGAGAGTTTTATTTTGGCTCACAGTTCTGCAGACTGTACCAGAAGCATAGTGCTGGCATCTGCTTCTGATGGGGCCTCAAGAAGCTTACAGTCATGCAGAAGGCAAAGGGGAAGCACGTGTGTCACATGAAGAGAGAGGGAGCAAGAGAGAAGCCAGGCCTTTTTAAACAAGCAGATCTCACAAGAACTCATTACCGTAAGGAGGGCATCAAGCCATCCGTGAGGGATCCACCCCCATGACCCAAAGACCTCCCACTAGGCAGGCCCCTCTTCCAACATTGGGGATCACATTTCAACATGAGATTTGGAGGGGACAAATAGCCACTATATCAACATCCTTGTCAATGCTTGCTATTTTTTTGTTTACGTTTTTTTTTTTAGTAGCTATCCAAATGGGCATGAGGTGGTATCTCATTGCAGTCTTGGTTTGCATTTCCCTGATGTTTAGTGACGCTGAGCATCTTTTCATGTGTTTTTTGGCCATTTGTATATACTAGCACCCCCTTATCAGGATGCCTAAACCTCGGATAGTACCAAACCCTGTATATTATATGTTTTTTCCTACACATACATACCTATGATAAAGTTTAATTTATAAATTAGGCACGGTAAGAGATTAACAACAAAAACTAATAATAAAATAGAATAATTACAACAAAATACTATAATAAAAGCTATGTGAAAGTGGTCTCTCTTTCTCAAAATATCTTATAGTATGTAATACTTTTGGACCACAGCTGACTGCAGGTAACTAAAACCTTGGAAAGTGATATTGCTGTGATAAGGGGGGACTACTGTATTTTCTTTGGAGAAATGTCTACTCAAGTACTTTGCCTATTTTTAAATTGGGGTTTTTGTTGTTGTTGTTGTTATTGAGTTGTAAGAATTCTTTATATATTCTGGATATTAATCCCTAATAAGATATACGATTTGCAAATATTTTCTTCCATTCCATAGGTTGTCTTTGCACCCTGTTGATTGTGTCCTTCAATACACAGAAGTTTTGTATTTTGTTGAAGACCGAGTTGTCTGTTTTTTCTTTTGTTGCCTGTGTTTTGGTATTATATTCGAGGAATCTTTGGCAATAGGGGGAAATCATAAAGCTTTTCCCCAAATTTTTTCTGAGAGTTTGACAGTTGTAGTCTTATTTTAGGTCTTTGCATGTGGTGTGTAAGATAAGGAACCAACTTCATTCCATTGCATGGGGATATCCCCATTTTCCCCACACCATTTGTTGCCCTGGGTGATTCTGCACACGGCCAGGAAGCCCAGCCACAGAAGACAACATGGGATGGCGGAGATCAGAGGTGCTAAGCTGTGGAGCACCATGTGCAGTGCTGGGAACAGAGGGAGTCGCCATCTGGGGCAGCTGCTGTTATCATTGTTGCCAGGATAAGGGGCAATCTCTGACACACCCAGCATGGCTCATCCCTTCCTCTTCCACTCAGGACGGCTTGGCAGAATGCAAGTGAGAGAGTGAGATGCAAGTGTGAGTGACGTGTCTAGGTTGTGGCCACTTCTTGCCACCCCACTGCTGCCTTCCTGACCCTATCCTCTCCCTCCTGTACCATTGCAGGAGCCTCTAGTCCCATCTGCTGCCTCCAGCCTCCCATCCCCCGTCTGGTCTCCACACACAGCAACTCACGCCCCCGCTCAAAACCCTCCTATGGCTCCTGCCTCACTCCGAGAAAAAGCCCAACTCCTCAGTCCCACTCACAGGGCCCATTATCTGGCATCTTTCCCCTTTTCCCAGCACCCTTACAGCCTCCTTCCCTACCACTCTCCCTCTCCATCACTCTGTTGCATCCACAGTGGCCTCCTTGCTGTTCTAGGCACCCTCCCACCTCAGGGCTTTTGCACTTACTGTCCGTCCCTTCTGCCTGGTACGGTCTTCCTGCTGATGCCACGAGACTCACCCCTCACATTGTTCAAGTCTCAGCTCAAATGTCATCTCAGCAAGGCCATCCTTGACCACCACATATAAAATAGCACTGTTCATTCCCCATGGCTGCTTTATTTGTTTCAACCTGACATATAATTACTTAATTATATGATTCCTTTCTCTCTCTCCCACTTTGATGTAAGCTTCAAAGGGCAGGGATTTTGTGTGCTTTGTCCACTGTTGTGTCTTCAGTGCCTGCCATAGAGCAGGCATGAAATACATGCATTGAATAAATGAATGAATGATGTTATCCTAGAGATAACTGAGAATACTAATTGATGAAAAAGGAATTTGTTTACAAACTTTGGGACTTTCACTCTTATTACTAACACATTGCTAGAAGTCTGACTCTCAGCTGCTTATGCCAGGCTCTGGATGAAGAATGTGTCTGGTTTTTCAACCAGAGCCCAGTTTCTCAACCTTAGTGCTACTGACATTTGGCGATGGAGAATTCTTTGCCGTGGGGCTGTCCTGTGCATTGGAGGATGTTTAGCAGTGGAGAATGGACATTAGAGAAAGAAGGGATAAGCCGCTGCCAGGAGGATATTGCATTATTCCAGGAAAGAGAAGAAAGATGACAGCCCAGAAGAGGGTGGTGGCAGGGAAGATCGGTGAAAAGTGGCTGGACTCTGGATGTAAGGTGTGGAGGCAGCTCCTGGGAAGCCACAACGCCCCTGCCTCCACCAGTGGTCACAGACCCTCAGGCTGTGCAATGGGTCTTAAGCCCTAGCCTTTTTTTAAGCTGTGAGTCCTTGGGTCACGTAGCTGTTTCCTCATCTGTAAAATGGACCTAATCACAGCACGTACCTCATAAGGAGATTGTAAGGATTTGATAATTATGGCAAATAACAGTAACAGACACATAATGCCCAACAGGTCAATAACAAACTTTTATTATCAGGATTGGTTGTGTATATTCATTCAGTGGAACTTATTGAGCACCTACTATGTGTCAAGCATTGTGCTGGGTGCTGGGGACAAAGCAGAGATCAAAACAAAGATCCCAGCTCTCATGGCACTGATATTCCAGTAGAAGAAGGAGCAAGACTGTTAAAAAAATAAACACAGATACTGATTGGACCAAAACAACCATGCAAAATAAATCATGAGACTGTAAGACAATCAGGGAAAGAAAGATGAATGCTAACTGAATATTGGATGATATTGAGGAATGAATGCTGTGTTTTTAGATGTGATAATGCTATTACGACTATGTTTTAAAATCTTTATCTTTTAGATACACATACTGAAGTGTTTATGGACGAAATGACAAGATCAAATAATTATGTAGTTTTTTTTTTTTTTTGAGACAGAGTCTTGCTCTGTCGCCCAGGCTGGAGTGCAGTGGCTCAATCTCGGCTCACTGCAACCTCTGCCTCCCAGGTTCAAGCAATTCCCCTGCGTCAGCCTCCCAGGTAGCTGGGATTACAGGCACCCGCCACCATGCCCAGCTAATTTTTTGTATTTTTAATAGAGATGGGATTTCACCATGTTGGCCAGGCTGGTCTCAAACTCCTGACCTCAAGTGATCTACCCACCTTGGCCTCCCAAAGTGCTGGGATTACAGGCGTGAGCCACCGTGCCCGGCCTGATATAATATTTTGGATGGCACTGTGGAGAAAGTTCTGCAGGGAAGGAGGGGAGTGCTGGGGCTTAACCAGGCTGGTCAGGAAAGGAGAAGGTGCCAAGTAGAAAGGGAGGGAGACAGGCATGTGGGCATGTGGGGGAAGAGTGCTCTGGGTGGAGAGAAAAGCAGTGCTAAGGCCCTGGGACAGGAACGTGCCTGGGGCACTCAAGGAACATTCAGGTATTAATGTGGTTGGAGCAGAGTGTACCGGAGGCAAGAGAGTAGAAGGAGGTGAGATCAGAGGTGCGACCTTGTGGGTCACTGCTGAACTCTGACCCTTCCTGGGAGCCTCTGAGCCCCAGAATAGGCTCCCTGCTTCCAGCCTTTCCCATCCAGTTCAACCTCTGCAGAGCAGCCAGAGCCGACTTTCTCAAATGCAGTCTGCTCAACTTCATCACCCCCTTCCCAAAACTTCCATAGTTCCCACTGCCCCCAGGATAGTCCACACTCCTTAGCCTGGCTTTCGACATCCCAACCCAACTCTCCACCTTCATCTCCTCCCCATCCCTTCTTCAGACACCCTCTGCGACCACCACACTAACCTTTCTGCATGCCCCCAAAAGCTCCAGCCTTCCTCAGCGCTGGTCACCCTCTTGCCCAAGCTGTTCCTCTGCCTTGCACCCATTTCTTCCTCTTCTCTGCCTGCAGCCTCTCTCTTTCCACCTTCAAGGCCCAGCTTCCCCACCACCTCCTCTGTGAAGCCTTCTTTAACCACCCCCCGCCCCCCTACCACCACCTACACTTCCCTTCAGGCAGCACTGACTGCTCCCTCCTCTGTGCACCGGAAACCTGACGTTCATACCTTCCTCGCACAAAACATCGTGAAAATTCACTTGTGGGTTGTTCTGTGGATGCCAGGCCTGGCCTACAGAGAAACAGGAAAGCTTAAGCGTGCAGGCTGTGCAGCCTGACTGCCTGGGTTCAAATCCCAGCTCAGCCACTTTTGAGCTGTGTGCCCTTTGGGGAATTACATAACTTCTCTAGGTTTCAATGTCCTGATCCGTAATTTGGAAAGCCTCATAACAACCAGGGTTGTTGGGCAAATTCTATATGAAACACTCAAGCCGTGCCTGGCACTCAGCAGGTGTTCAGTATATTTCACTATTACTATTGTTACTGCAGGTAGGTGTTGGTAAACGTTTGTTGAGTGAATAAATGAGCAAATGTGCATGATCTTGTGATGACTGATCAGAGGGGTCTTCCTTAAAAGGTAAGGGTCTCTTCCAGGTACACCCTGCTCCTTCCACCTTTCTTGTCTCTACCTGCCTGCAGAAAGAAGTGGCCTTTTGCCTTCCATTTACAGAGAGGAGACACACAATTAAGTTAGACACTTGAGGTGTTCCCTCACACCCTGACTGTTTTTGAGACAAGGTCTCGCTCTATTGCCCAGGCTGGAATGCAGTGGCGCGATCATGGCTCACTGTAACCTTGACCTCCTGGGCTCAAATGATCCTCCCACCTCAGCCCCTTGAGTAGCTGGGACTACAAGTGTGCACCACCGCCACACCCGGCTAATTTTTGTACTCTTTTTTTGTAGAGACAGGGTCTTCCTATGTTACCCAGGCCAGTTTCAAACTCCTGGGCTTCAGCAATCCTCTCACCTTGGCCTCCCAAAGTGTTGGGATTACAGGTATGAGCCACTGCACCTGGCAGCTGCTCCATTTTTGCTCTGAAATGAGACTGGTTTCTACCACAACTGCCCACCATGGGCTGGCAGGCAGGCACTGTCTTTGAGAGAATAATATTGCATTTGCCAATTCCACACCATCACTTACATCCACCAGGTAATGGGCCTAGAACCAAACAGTTTCTAAAAACAGATCATCAATTGTCACTAATCACTCCCTACAGGCCATCCCTGAGTCTTTCTAAGCTTTGTGTGATCCTTGGAGCCCTTGAGCTTGGCCAGCCCCACCTCTCAGAGTCTTTGTAGACTCAGTTGTACCGAAGAGGCAGCCGATGATTGCCCTGTCAGGGGCATATGAGAGGCAAAAGGAAAGATGGAGACAAGACAAGGCAGAACCAGCCTTTCCTTTGCTTATCACTTGTCTGGAATTCCCACTGTCTCTGTGAATGGATCGAGTTTCTTTTATCTCTTTTCAGTGGATACATTTGCACAACC
Source organism: Homo sapiens (assembly GCF_000001405.40). Taxonomy (NCBI): domain Eukaryota; kingdom Metazoa; phylum Chordata; class Mammalia; order Primates; family Hominidae; genus Homo; species Homo sapiens. The sequence continues at coordinate 49,467,260 of NC_000020.11, read as the reverse complement.
TTTATTGTTTCTTGAAATAGTGACTGTAATTCGACTCAGTCATTCCTCCTGTTTCTAGATCATTCTTTCTGTTTCAAGGTGGCTTCCATTCTAGGCTTCTCTGGTCCTTCTAAGTTTAGGTGGGAGTATGTGCATGCTTTGAGGACCTGTTTCAATCCTGCCTGTGGTTTGTCTGATAAACAATTTAGTGCATGTTACTGTGGGCCAGGCAACCTGCTGGGTGCTTGAAAATCACGTGTGTATCTATTTGTTAGGATTCTTCTAGCTGCAGGTGACAGAAAGGTAGCTCCAATGGACTTAGGCAAAATGTTAAAAAAAAAAAAGTCTTGGGTTGGGTAAGGTTTCCAGCAAGGTTGGATCCAGGGGCTTAAATATGTCATCAAGACTTGGTATCCTACATCTCTAAGCTCTATTCTTCTTTGTCATGGCTTCTCAGCAGGCTGCACCAACATGGCAGGAAAGATGGCCCCCTCAAATCCAGGCTTTCTTCCTGGGGCAAAGCAAGTCTCTTTTCCAATAGGCCCAGCAAAATCCCAGGGCTGATTTTCATTGGCCCAGCCCTGAGCCAATCACATAGCTGCGTCTGGGTCACATGTCAATGGCTGGAGCTGGGATGGGATTGAGAATGGGAAAGAGGTGCTTTCCCAAAGAAAAATTGAAGTCCTCTTACCAAGAGTGGGGAGAATAAATGTAAACCGGCAGAAATAATCCATGGCCATCATAGAGTTTATAACCTACTGGAGGGAGATACGCATTAAACAAATTAAAAATTAAATGAAAGAATAATCACACTAAGTGTAATATGTATGTTGGAAGGAGAGAAACAAGGTGTTTTGACAGAGATTAATGGGGCAAGGTCAAAGAAAACTTCTCAGTGTATGTGAACTTTTCTGAGAGCGTGCACTTTTCTGAGAGCCTGAACTTGATGTCTGCCCTGCTGAGCTACAGGAGTGATCTTTCTCCTATAAGATCGCCATTCCGCTTATCCTGCACTGTTCAGTGTGCTCTCTCTCGTATTCTATTTTCTTCTTAACTTGTTTCATCTCTCCACATAAAACAGGATGTTCTCAAAGTCTAAGACTGTATCTTACTCACTTCTGTGCTCAAAACAGGGTGGGTGGGCTGCCTGTTTTGTAAATACGGTTTTAATGGAACACAGGCAGGCCTATTCATTCACCTGCCATGTACAGCTGCTTTTGGATGTATGGCCATAAAGCCTAAAACGCATTTATTATCTAAACCTTTATAGAAAAAGTTTGCTGACCTGTGTTCTGAAGTTGCATCAGGGCCTGGTGCAGAGGAGGGGCTTATTGGGTGTTTGTGGGTGGATTGGTGGGAAGGAAGATGCAAGCTAGCTGTGTGACCTTGAGTGAATCACTTAACTTCTCTGGGCCTCTGGCTTCATATCTTGCAGTGTCAGCCAGCCCCTTCTCCTTCTTCAGATCTCAGCTCATAGGTCACCTCTTCAGAGAGGCCCTCCCTGACCTTGAATGGCCAGTTTGGACTTGGTAATGTTTACAGTCTTCCCATCATAACATGTTTCTCTGGTTTATTTTGAGATTATGCCCACTTGGGGTAGGCATCTTTCCCTTTCTCTGCACCAATGTTTTTCCTCCTCTCATGTGCCGTCTCCCTGGCAGGGTAGGTGGAAAGAGCTCTGGTTTGGAACTCTGGAGGTCTGGGTTCATACTCCCCACATATGAGCAATGAGACCCTGGGCAGACCCTTCTTCTCTCTGAGTTTCCATTTCCTTGGCTGGAAAACGGGCATGGTGACTTTACCAAGCAAAGCTACTGGAAAGACAGGTGTACTTAACCGTGCCAGAGGGCCCAGCACTGTGCTGGGCTGAGCACAGGTACTTCATTCGTGTTAAGTTGTTTTTCCTTCTCTCCTTCCTCTCCTCAAGAGAGTCTACCCCTGACCTTGCTTTAGTCCTGCCCCTGATGATACCCTTGCCTGCTCAAACCCTTCATGCAATGACTGTGCCAAGGAATGGTTGGAGAGGAAGTGTTAGATACTTCCTCCACCTCCCACCCCCAGGCCCCATCACACTCCCCCATTCTTTGATGGAGCGTCCTCCATGTTACATAAAGCTCTATGCAAATGCAACCCAAGAAAAGTCCTCTTGTTCCCCTCCCCACCCCAGGTTACTGTCCCCAAGCCCCTCTTGTATAAAAATTTGGGACCCTTGCTGGCCTCATGCCTGGGAGAACTGGCCAATCCAAAGAGGTGGTTTTCTAGATGGATGAGAGCAGTCCTTGGGGGCAGGGTGTATGGGGGACTGGGTGTCCCTAATTACCAAGTGACCTACTGGCAGGGCCAGCTACAGAATTCGTGGGGTGCCGTACAATATAAAAATGCAGTCCCCTTGTTCAAAAGTAAGAAAGAATTTTGAGATGGTGATAGCAGAGTAGCAAACCGAGCATGGAGCCCTTGTGAGCGCAGGGCCCTGTGCAACTGTGCAGGTTGCACACCCTTGAAGCCAGCTCTGCCCGCAGGGCAGAATGACTCAGAGGTCCTTATGGGTTAGGAGGAGAAGGCCTTAACCTCCCTGCCTAGGCAAGAGCCGGGGCCTCAGACTCTGATGGCTACCGGAGCTAGGTAGGCCTTGTCACCCAGTGAAGCAGTTGCTGGAAGAACTGTAGGAGGGCAAGTTCAAGGAGGACACTGGTCAACACCCAGCCTAACATGCCTATTCCATGGCCAGCCACTTTTCAGGCAGGGAGTGGAGGGGGCTAGTGGTGAACTGGAGCAGAAGCCTGCCTGAGAAGGCAGCAGCCATTCAGCTCCAGACTGGGTCTGGACTTAGCCAGAAATTTTAATTTTCATGGGAGCTATCCCGGTTTTTCAACGTTGGCAAATCATTTTAAAAGTTAAAAACATGCCCAAGTGCAGTGTCTCATTCCTGTAATCCCAGCACTTACGGAGGCCAAGGTGGGAGGATCCCTTGAGCCCAGGAGTTTGAGACCAGCCTGGGCAACTTAGTGAGACCCCATCTCTACAAAAAGTAGCCAGGTGTGGTGGCATGTGCCTGTGGTCCCAGCTACTCAGGAAACTGAGGTGGGGGGATTGCTTGAGCCCAGGGAGTCAAGGCTGCAGTGAGCCATGATTGTACTACGGCAATCCAGTCTGGGTGACAGAGCAAGACCCTGTCTCAAAACAACAACAAAAGGCCGGGTGCGGTGGCTCACGCCTGTAATCCTAGCACTTTGGGTGGCTGAGGCGGGCTGATCACGAGGTCAGGAGATCGAAACCATCCTGGCTAACACAGTGAAACCCCGTGTCTACTAAAAATACAAAAAAAAAAAAAATTAGCCGGGTGTGGTGGCAGGCGCCTGTAGTCCCAGCTACTCGGGAGGCTGAGGCAGGAGAATGGCGTGAACCCAGGAGGCGGAGCTTGCAGTGAGCCGAGATCGCGCCACTGCACTCCAGCCTGGGTGACAGAGCGTGACACCGTCTCAAAACAACAACAACAACAACAACAACAAAAACTCCAATACTGTGGTGACTGTCTTTGCACTTAACATCTGTGTGTGTGTGTGTGTGTGTCTGTGAGTATATCTGTGGGAGAAATCTCTGGAAGTCAGATTTTATAACAGATTTGTGCATTTTACATTTTGATCCATATGACCAAACTGCACTTTGTAGAGGTTGTACCAATTTATTCTCCCACCAACGATGTGTGAGGGTGCCTGTTTCCCCACAACTTCATCAGCACCATGTATTGTGAACTTTCTGATTTTTTTGTCACTCTAACAGATGGAAGCGGGTATCTCGGTATGGTTTCAATTTCCATTTTAAAATGAAGAGTGAAGCAGGTACCTTTTGCTTGTTGAGTGAAACAGCATCAGTGTCACATGTCAGGAAGCTCCATTGTTTTCCTGTCTCAAAAAAAATAATTGAAAACAATTTGAGTGGGCCAAACAGAATATGTTTGGAACCATATGCAGCCCTCGTGGCTCTAATTTTTGACCTCTGGAGCATAGAGCCTTCACGTGGCTGGAAATGTTGGGGGTGCATTTCTTGCCTCTGAGGCCCCCACCTGGAAGGGAGGAAAGAGACAGAGCTTGGATGACAGAAGCAATAGGTCCCCTGTATTAATTAAGGTTCTCCAGAGAAACAGAATCACTAAGAGATTTGTTTATTTATTCATTTATTTGAGAGACCGGGTCTCACTCTGTCATCCAGGCTGGAATGCTGTGGCACAATTATAGCTCACTGCAGCCTCGAACTCCTGGCCTCAAGCAATCCTTCCGCCTTGACCTCCAAAATAGCTGGGTTACACGCGTGAGCCCCCATGCCCAGCTTCCCAGTAAGACATTTATTCTGAGGAGTTGGCTCACATGAGTAAGGAGGCTGAGAAGTTCCACAATCTGAACATTCAGGAGAAAGCTGGTGATGTAATTTGGTCTGAGTCCCAATGCCTGAGAACCAGAGAAGCCGATGGTATAAATCCCAGTGCAAAGGCAGGAGAAGACCCATGTCCCAGCTCAGAAGGCAGGCAGGAAGCAAAAGGGGCAAATTTCTCCGTCCTCTGCCTCTTTTTTTTCTATTCAGGCTCTCAGAGGCTTGGATGATGTCCATTCACATTGGGCAGGGCTAGGTACTTTTCTGAGTCCACCGACTGAAATACTAATCTCATCCAGAAACACCTGCACAGACACACAAATAAATGTTTAATCTGGCCACCCCATGGCGCAGTCGGATTCACACATAAAATCAACCATCATATCCCACCTTCCCTCTTCTTATTTCTGGCATCAAGCACAACCTCGGGTGGCAAATCTTTGTTGAATGAATGACTATCCCCCCAAGGCGGGACTTGGCTCCAAAAATCAAGGCAGTTCATGCCTGATGGATGGCAACACAAGTCGGGGAAATTCTCAGGCAAATCGTAAATTGATTAGCTAATGAGTTACAACTTCCCAAACCCAATCTCCAACCAGGGCAGGAAGAAACAGCTACTGCAGTGGCTAGAAAAAGCTCTCGATGTCACGTCAGCAAACTGAACTGGCTCTAGGCCTCAGGTTCCTAATCTGTAAAATGGGAATAATAAGATCCCTGGGGTGACCCAGAGGATGGATAAGATGAAACATGTAAAGTGCACAGCAAAGTGCCTGATGTGTAACAGATGTAAGCCAGTATTATTTGTGTTGTTATCATCATCATCATCATCATCATCATCATTATCATCATCGAAGCATTTGGCTTATTTCTAGGGGCTGTGGGCCTGTGGAAAAGCTTATTGTGTAGAATTAAACTTTGTATCCTGTGGAGTCATGTCAGCTCTACTATTTCAGGCTGGAAAGCTTGGGCATTGAGAGATTCAGTAGAGATTAGGGGGCCCAGGATTGGGATTCTGGTGCTCAAGATTGCTGCTGTTGTGTCCAGTATTGGAGCAACATCATTCAAGGTCACAACTCTGAAGTTCAAGATCAGACAACTGCCATCTGAGGTCAGAATCCTCTAATCCATCATTGGAGCCAAGGAGTCCATGGCCAGAGAGTTGCTCTTCATAATTAAAACTCTAGCGGGCAAGGTCAGAATGCTGATGTCCCAGGTTGGAACTAATGTACGGGGTTGGAATTCTGAGGTTCAAGGTCAGAACACTTCGGCAGTCTTCATGATCAGAATTCTGGCAGGCACATTCAGAAGACTGGTGTTTGGAGTTGGAAGTCTTATTCCCTGCTTGTTATATTGGGAGTCTCATCTCTTCTGTGTGTCCTTAACCCTTCATCATCCGTCTTCCTGGCAGCAGTTATTGAAGAAATGCAAATCACAGAAGATCCCCAAACCCCCATTTATCCAGCGGGGTCCTGATACATAGGCCTCTCTCTCTTATTGTGTCTGATGCCCATCCACTCAGGTCGTGCTGATAAGGGCGACAGGATCCTCAGGAAGGTGACCAAAGTGTGGCCCCCTTACCCCACCCCTGCCAAAGACCCTGGAACCTGTTGTCAACTCTGTTTAAATCCACCCTTAAATCCATCTTGTTGGCTGACCTGGAGCAGATCCAAGTAAGCAGCTCTGCCAAGCCCCTGGGGGGCACCTGGATGATCTCACTGCTCCATCATCCAAAGAAAGGCAAACACTGTCAGGCAAGGGGCAGAAGAAAGTGCCAAGGGCTTGCGGCTTTCCAGCCCGGGAGATGGGCTGGCAGCAGAACGTGGGGAAGTGCAACAGTTTGTTGGTCACTGCGGTCACCACAAGTGTACTGTTGGTGCCAACTGGAGAGGGAGGTTTATTGCTCATGGGGTGGAGGGAGCTAAAAAATAATCTTTAAACTGTATTTATGATGGTGCAAGTAATGAGTGCTCAGTGGAACAAGGGCGGGCAGGAAGGATTGGCTTGGTCATGTTCGCAAGGAAATTGTAACACACCTCCCGTCCCTGCCTTTATGCTCCATTTCTCGGCCTTCCTTTATTTTTTTCATAGCCCTTTTGCCACGTGTTATCTTATAGGTTTATCTGGCTCTTATCTGTCTCATTTCACTACAGTATCAGCTCCATTAGAAAGGAACTTGGTCAAATTTTACTGCTCACTCCCCAGTGCCTAAAACTGTGCCTCACACAGAGCAAGTAATAAATATTTGTTGAGTGGATGAATGAATGAATGGATGGATGATTATTACCCCTTCAGAGACAGTATTAGAGTTTTCTGAGTTCCCAAATCATTCCATGCATGGCCCACCTCCAAGCCTGTTCGCTGTGTCTCCAGATTTTGTGGATGGGGGTGAGGGGAAACAGCAGGAGGGAGAGGGATTGGTCACTCCACGGCTTCTTGTTGCTCTCGGGATAACTTCCAAAATCTTTTTCTGGCCACCAAGGCCCTGGAAGGTCTACCACCCTACCTTCGTAACACATGCCTGTTATCTTGCCCCTTTTTTTCTCCTAGCTGTACTAGATAGCTTTCTCAGAGCGTCAGCACGTGGTGCTGGGTCACAACTCAGGGCCTTTGCACATGCTGCCATCTGACTAGGATGATCTTATGGCCCCTACCCTGGCTCCCTTGGCCTCCCTTACTCATGCTTCAGGGCTCTGCCTAAACATCCCACCCCTAACTTACTGAACGTGATGTCATTCCCTCCATGATAGGCCCTGGTATTTCTTGCAAGAGTTTATCCATAGATCCCCTTGGTCACTGTTTTGGGTTCCAGTGTTCATCACTGTGGGGATAAATCTTCCCTGAACTGGAGGTTCTTTATGAGGGAGGTAGCCAGAGCCCTTTCCCTATCACTAAGAAAAATGCAGAAACTCGCTTCTTCTCCCAGAAATGAGGCATTCTCGCTCTAGCAGGGAGGAATTTTGGTCTCCCAGGAAGATTTCTTAGCTGCCTCTCCAAAGCCTGTCCCATACTAGCCCCATCACAATGGGGTTCTCTGTTTCCTCTCACCGTCCAGCTGTCCAGGCTAAGTCTATGGCTTCCCCCAGGACACTGCAGAGGTTAGAGGGTGCAACCCAGCCTCTGAAGACAATGGCAAAATAGCTAACACTCATATACCACGTTTTACACACATCGCCTCATTTAACCCTTACGACATCCTATAAGGAAGGTATTATTATTATCCCTATTTTACAGATGTGGAAACTGAGTCCCAGAGAGGTTAAGTAACACATGCAAGGATGCAGCTAACAGGTGGCAGGGTAGCATTTGAACCCCAGTTGTTACCCCCAGAGCCCAGGCCCTGAACCACTACACCCCCTCCCCTGTCCACTCCGTTTCCTCCCCACAGCCTTCTCCTCACTTACTTCTTCCTTTTATTCTTAGTCTTCTTGCCTTTCTCTTTGCTCTTCTTCCTTTTCTCCTTAAGTAACTCAAACTCCCCAAGTTATAAGCAACCCCAATTGTATGGATGCGTTGTTCTATTTTTCAAATTGCAAAAATCGTAAGAGCAGTGGAATTTTTTCACATCCTTATGCTATAAGCGAGGGTGGATGGAAAGGTGGGAGTTTTCTGTTTGATTTGCTGCAGAACGGGTTGGGAGGAGAGGGTAAATTTCCTCACAGTGGCCTATAAGACTCCATGAGGCCAGAGTCATTTAACACTCTCTGACTTCATCTTCCACTACCATCTCCTGCCTCCCCGTGTCCAGCCATGCTGATCTCATACTTACTATTATAAATTCCTTCCTGCCTTGAGTCTTTGCACATGCTGTTCCCTCTGCCTCGAATGCTCTTCCTCTCTTCTTCATCCAGTTATTTGCCTCCTCACCCTAGAGCTCCCAGATAGAATGCCACCTCCTCCTGCAAGCCTTTCCTAATCTCTCAATAGGTCAGATCCCCCAGTTATGGATTTTCAAAGTTCTCTGTGTCTCTCTTGGGTGGCCTCCATTCCAGTTGTAATTTCACATAGGTTTAAGCAACGATCTGATTAGCGCCTGCCTCCCCATCTGGGCTGTGATCTCCCCAGTAGTAGGACCTTGTCTGCTATAGGCATGTCTCTCCTGCATCTAGCACTTTGCCTACCTCCATGCAAATCTTCCATAAAATTTTGCTGGATGAATGGATGGATGAATTCAGAGGTTAGTCAAAGTTGGCAGAAACCACAATTCACCTTCCTTTGGTTGAGGAGTGGTGAGATGGTCTGAAATGTTCAGCTCGAACTCCAGCCAGAAGTTTCTTATCATCCACTGAAAGCACAGGGCACTAAATTCTTTACAAGTGGCCAAATACCTTCTCCAGTGCCCAGAATGTGTTGAATGATCATTACAGTGTCTTCTATCAGCTTTTCAAAGGTACCTATTTGGGTTATATTTTATGGGGTGCCATTACATTTTACTTAAGTAAACCCTACGTATGAAGACTCAAAACCCAGGAAACAGAAGTTCTGAGGGAACTATAGGCAGTGGCTCACGCCTATAATCCCAGCACTTTGGGAGGCCGAGGCGGGCAGATCACGAGGTCAGGAGATTGAGACTAGCCTGGCTAACAAGGTGAAACCCTGTCTCTACTAAAAATACAAAAAATTAGCCGGGCGTGGTGGCGGATGCCTGTAATCCCAGCTACTCGGGAGGCTGAGGCAGGAGACTGGTGTGAACCCGGGAGGAGGAGCTTGCAGTGAGCCGAGATAGGGCCACTGTACTCCAGCCTAGGCAACAGAGCAAGACTCTGTCTAAAAAACAAAAAAGAAAAGGAAAGAAATAAAATGAAGAATCCCAGGGAATTCACCAGAAATGTGGTTTAGCGGGAAGTTGTACTACCTTTGTGGGCAGGTGGGCCTAGTTCAAATCCCTGCTCCACCACTAATGCCGGTGGCCTTGGAAAGTCATTCCTCATCTCTCAGCTGACATTGCCTCCAGATTCCACCCTCCCAGCATGAAGGCCAGCAGATAAAATGGCCATTTTTTTCCTGACTCTTCCCATGAAGATTGCCTCTGACTGGACAGACTTGAGCCACATGATCATCTCTGAGCCAATCCCTGTGGCCAGAAGGGATCATGAGTGAGGGAACCAGTTTGGGTCAGAGACCACCATTAGGTCCAGGGGAAATACCTGAAATAGGATTTGCTTAATAGTCTTCTTTAGATTAAGTCATTAATTTTACTAAATCGAGTTGTTTTAACAGGAAATTTGATATTATGAAGAACTGGTGCCATTTGCCATAAATCATGTCATAAAATTCCAGCCAGATGCTGAAGCCTGATACCTACTCTCTGGGTTAAAAGGGAAGATGTGTGTTAGAGAGGTGTTAAAATGTCACTGGCTTCATACTGGGACTTTCCACTTCAGGGAGTCTGGGGGTCTGAAGACAATTGGAAAGGGTAGCACCTTCTCACTCTGTGAATCAATGTGATTCTGATGGCTTGTCCCTGGGCAGCTAAACCAGTCTTGGCTGCACATGAGAATCAGCTGAGGATCTTTGAAAAATCCCAATGCCAGACCACCCGCCAGACCTGTGAAATCGGGATCTCTGGGGATGGGACCCAGGGATTGGTGTTTTTCAAAGCTCGCAAGGTGATTCCACTGTGCAGCCAAGGTTGAGAAATCCAGATTTCAATGTAACTAATACTGGTGGTGTGTGCCCCACATTGCTACCCACAAGGGTTCAGCAAGTCCATTGGGCTGCAGGAAGGGGCTTATTGGAGACTGGGGTGGCCTGGCTGGCCAAAGAGTGTCACAGAAAATGGGCTCCTGTTTCTCCAAAGCATTAGCTGAACAGGAGTCTGGGAGAGTCATTTAACACTCTCAAATGGGAAGAAACCACATGTCTCTCTCCCAAGTCCAGAAGGATTTGATTCCCAAAATGAAATTCAACTCTGACCTGGATCCTACCCGCACTGTCTGGATCCAATTGCTTGTTACCTGAACCAGCTGTTACCTTTCCACCTATCCATCAACCATCCCAGACCCAGCTCTGCTGCTTCCCAGCTGTGTGGCCTCAGGCAAGGCACTCGGCTTCTCTGGTCTTCGGGTTTCTCATTTGCCTAACGGGGGTAGGCTGCTGGGCTCTGTGATCTTTAAAGACATTTCCACTTGGGAACCTGCAAGTCTTGAGAGGCAGCCACAGGCTCTTTAATTGGACACCCAAGCCCTAGGTCAGGAGTTCTCAAAACCCAGGCAGTTCAGATTCCGGGTCCATCGCCCAGACCACAGAATCAAAGTCTCTAGAGGCAGCCCAGGATCTGCATCCCTAACAAGGATCTCAACTGATTCTGACGCAGGTGATCCTCAAAACACTTTAAAAGCATATTGCCTATGCCTCAGTGTTCATCATAAAAGCCCCTTATCCAGAGATCCAGCCCACACGAAACATGCCCTCCTTTTTGCAGGTGAGGAAACTGAGGCTCAGAGAGGCAAGTCCTTCTTTACCTGAGGTTCTGCAGTGAGTCCACGGCAGAGCTGGGATTCAGACAATGACCCTGCCTAACTCCAAAGCTGGTGTCCTTCCCCTGTCTATGTGACATTCCTCAAACTTAACATCTCCAAAACTAAGCCCCACGTCCTCCCACTGCGAACTCGCTCCTGCCGATTTCCCCCCATCTCAGTATCTCTTTCCAGCCACAGAGGCCAAAAACCTGGGAGCTACTCATGACTCCTCCTTTGTTCACACTCCGTGTGGGACCTCTGCATAAATCCCAAGGCCCTGCTTTCAAAGTGTATCAGCCTCCAACCCCTTTTCATCACCCCCATGAACACTCCTGACCAAGAGTCGGCACGCTTTTCTTGAAAGGGCCAGATAGTAAATATTTGAGGTTTGCAGGCCAAGAGGCAAAATTGAGGATATTCTGTAGGTACTTACATAATCACTTAAAACGGAACCATTTAAAAATGTGAAATCTGCTCTCAGCTTGCTCTCGGGTTGTACAAGCAGGTGGCAGGTTGCATTTGGCCCGTGAGCCATAGCTGGCTGACTCCTGCTCCAGACCAGAAGTTCTCAACGGGGGGTGATTTTTGCCCCTCAGAGAGCATTTGGCATTGTCTGGAGATATTTTTGGTATCATACCAGGTGGGATGGTACTATTGGCACCTAGTGGGTAGATGCCGGGATGCCGCTAAACATCCACAGTGCACAGGACAGCCCCACAACAAAGATTCATTCAGCCCAAATGATGATAGTGCTGAAGTTGAGAAACTCTACTTTAGGACCAGGTACGGTGGCTTGTGCCTGTAATCCCAGCACTTTGGGAAGCTGAGGCAGGAGGATCACTTGAGCCCAGGGGTTCAAGACCAGCCTGGGTAACATATTGAGACCCCATCTCTACAAAAAATAATTTCAAAAAATTAGCCGGGCATGGTGGCACATGCCTGTGGTCCCAGCTACTTGAGAGGCTAAAATGGGAGGATCACTTGGGCCCCAGAGGTTGAGGCTGCAGTAATCCATGATTGCACCACTACGCTCCAGCCTGGGTGAAAGAGTAAGACCCTGTCTCACAAAAAAAAAAAAAAAAAAAAAAAAAAAAAAAAATTCTACTTTAGAGCAAGCCACTGTCATTTCTCACCTGGACTATTACAGTTACTTTCTCGCTGCTCACCTGCATCCACACTCACACGCTTCCCTGAAAGCCAGAGGGATCCTGTGAGAACCCACGTCAGGTCATGTCACCTCCCACTCAAAGCCTTCCAGTGGCTCCCATATCACTCAGTGTAACAGCAAAGTCCTCATGGCCCTGCAGGACCTGCCCCTACAAGACCTCTCTGACCTCATCTCTCCGTCTCCCATTGCAAATCTACCTGGGGGAGCTTAGCATCGGCTATTCCCGCTGTTCCCTGCACGACTTCTCTCACCTCCAAGTTCTTATTCAAGCATCCTCTCTTTAGGAAGTGACACCTTCCCTGACCCTCTATTTTCAAATGGCAGTTTCCACCCCCAGCCTTCCTTTTTTTTTTTTTTGAGGCAGTGTCTCACTCTGTCGCCCAGGCTGGAGTGCAGTGGTGCCATCTCGGCTCACTGCAACCTCCGCCTCCCGGGTTCAAGCAATTTTCTCGTGCCTCAGCCTCCCGAGTAGCTGGGATTACAGGCAAGCACCACCACATTCTGGCTGATTTTTTTGTACTTTTAGTAGAGATGGGGTTTTGCCATGTTGGCCAGGCTGGTCTCAAACTCCTGGCCTCAAGTGATCTGCCTGCCTCAGCCTCCCAAAGTGTTGGGATCACAGGTGTGAGCCACCGCGCCCAGCCCTCCTGCCTTCTTATCTCCCTTCCCTGCTTCATTCTTTTTCTCCACAGCAATAATTACTTCCTTCCCCAACCCCCTCCTCGCCCACCTGAATATGTGCTCCATGTGGGCAGGGGTTTCTCTTTTGTTTACTGAAGTATCTCAGGACCTGAATTAGTGCCTGGCACAGAGTAGGTGCTTCATCAGAATTTGCTAGTGAAGTAAGTTAGTGCACTTCTCTAGGCCTCAGTTTCCCCCTGCGTCAAATTTAGCCCCCAACTCACCCACCTCCAGATGCTGAGCTATTAGATTGTTTGCTCACTGTAGAGTGCTGTACCCAGGTGAAAGGGGTTCAGTTTGGCATGGGTGGTGTTGAAGTGTGGCCCTGCTCTAAGCGCTACTCAGAGCCGAAGCATCCAGGTCGTTTTGCAGCTGGGGTCAGGGCTGCAGCCAGGTCCTCACCTACCCCAAGGCTGCTCCACTGGTACCTAATTTCCTACACCTTCTCACAATCTCAGGTCTCGCCATCCTCTCCACGGTCTGTCGTGGGGCCTCCCGTGAGACCTGGTCAAGCCACCTTGTCTTTCCTCACCTTGTAACTTCATCTGCCCAGCCTGGTCCTCGAGCCAGGCCCCATTCTGTCTTCCCCTGGGGAGGCCCCCTTTGTGGGTACATTAGCTCAGAGAGCCTGAAAGCTACAATTCTGAAGTTCTGCCCTCAGTGTCTTGAAGGTTCTAGAGTCCTACAACTGGAATAGGCACAGCTTGCATGCTGTGAGCCTAGATGTGTGAGCAGGGCTGTTGTTTTGTTCGTACACTGGATGCAATGGCCGTGATGGAGGGTGGTGGAAACTGTATCTTGGTTCAATTCAGTCTCCCTTTTCTTCTAAGGGTTGACCCTAAGTTTGGGAGGTTTAGGTAGTGATGAATTAATACAATAAGAGGACACCCAACATTTTAAAATAACTAAAAGAGTGTAATTGGATTGTTTATAACACAAAGGTAAATGTTTCAGGGGATGGATACCCCGTCCTCCATCATACGATTATGAGGCATTGCATGCCTGGATCAAAACATTTCATGTACCCCATAGATACCCCTACTAAGTACCCACAAAAATAAAAAATACACACATTTTAAATTTAAAAGAAAAGAGGACAGCCAGTGTGGTGGACACTGTGAGTTCCTCACCTACACTCCATTTACGAGCTGGTGCACCCACACCCCAACTGCTGGCATTCCCCGCTGCTAACAGTTCACCACTGCCCCCTTCTCACGACTCCTGCCTCTCACAATTGCCCTTGGCCCATGGGAGTCGCCTGCCAGGGGATTTTAACCTGTGGCAGCTCTCCCGTCCTCCCACCAGGCAGACTGTGGACTCATTGAGTCAGGGGTACAAAAGCTCAGCCCTCTTTCTGCAAGGTGGGATCAACACCTGGTGCAATTCAGGCCGAAGCTAGACCTCAGCTGAGGCTACATCCTGGCTTAGCTCCTTCCCTATCCTGTCCTGCTTCTCTCTCTCCCCCATCTCCTAAAGGAGACGTGGAGCAAGAATGAATCACGTGCCTAAGAATCCCTGTCTCAGGCTCTGCTTTTAGGGATGCCCTGACATGAAGGGAGGTGATCGGTGTTATTTTTTTTTTTTTTTTTTTTTTTTTGAGACGGAGTCTTGCTGTCTCCCAGGCTGGAGTGCAGTGGTGCAGTCTTGGCTCACTGCAAGCTCCGCCTCCCAGGTTCTCGCCATTCTCCTGCTTCAGCCTCCCAAGCAGCTGGGACTACAGGCGCCCGCCACCACACCTGGCTAATTTTTTTGTATTTTTAGTAGAGACGGGGTTTCGCCATGTTAGCCAAGATGGTCTCGATCTCCTGACCTCGTGATCCGCTGGCCTTTGCTTCCCAAAGTGCTGGGATTACAGGCGTGAGCCACCGTGCCCGGCCAATCAGTGTTATTTAAAACTGACCTCCATGCCCAAGGGCTGGGGACTGGCAACTAAGAGTTACCCTCAGGATGGGATGGTCTCCCCCTACCTAGCTTCACCATCTTCCTGCCTTTTCCCTTCCATCTTCAGGGTGGGCTCTCATTGGCACTGTCCCCACACACACAGACTCCAGTCCATTCTCCATTTTCCCTGCTAGACTGAAGAGTTTGGCTGTTTCTGCTGACTTGGAGGGGACAATGACCAGAGCAGGCTGCAGTCCAAGCATTTGTTCACGAAGGGCTTTGAAAGGCTGGCCCGGTCCTCCCTCCCCACCTTGTTTGCCAGGAATGGTCCCCATCCCAGCGCAAAAGCTCTGGCAAGCCTTGTTTCCTTTCAGCCGGCGTTTTCTGAGGGTTAGCTTGGCAGGCTTCCGTGCTGACCTTGGATGGCTTAATGAAGTTGGGAGAGGCTCCATGCCAGCTCCCCATTAACGTGGCCTTTGAGAGAGCCTCAGGGGCTCCCAAATCTTTTGGCTTGCTCAGGCCCAAGGGTAGAGGAGGTGAGCCAGGCAAGGGAGAAAACAATAGCTTCAACGGCACCAAGATGCTGTGTGACCTTGGATGAGTCACATCCTCTCTATAGGTCTTGGGTCCCCCAGCTGTAACGGGAGGGCATTGGGCTGGGTGATTCCTCCCAACTCCCTGCTGTACTCATTCATTGGAAAACATGTATTGAGTGTCAAGTATGTGCCAGGCACTCTTCTAGGTGCTGAGGACATAGCAGCAAACAAAACAAAGCATCTGCCTTGTGGAATAGAATATCCCCAGCTGGGGGAATAGAAAGAATGTGGGATTTAGAACCAGAAGACCAGAATCTTTTGCCACTGACTTCTGAGCCTCAGTTTCCTCATCTGTAAAATGGGGCTGTTCTGAGGCATCAGTGAGATAGTGGATGTAAATGTTCTTGGTAGTAATCTTATGCAATACTTATTTAGCACCTACTGGGTTCCAAGGCATGGACATAATCAATAATTCTCATAATCCCTTCATAAAGAGGGATAATGGTGGCAGGTGAAGGCTCTGGAGCTGGACCGGGTCCAAATCGCAGCTCTGCCCCTTCCTGTGTGACCTCAGACAAGCTGCTGGGCCTCTCTGTGCCTCAGGTTCCTTTCCCATAAGACAGGTAATGATGATACCTGGATTATAGGGTTGCTGGGAGGACAGAGTGGACTCGAACTTGCGCAGTCCTTAGAACAGTGCCTACTGCATAATAAGTGCTCAATACAGGGGAGTTATGAGCTGTATGTTATTATTATTCATTTCATTTCACAGGAGAAAACAGATTTTCAGTTCTTGTCTGAGGTCACTCAGTAAGGGAAGCTGAAGAAAATGTGGAAGGAGCCCCCCACGGTGGCTGGACCCAGCATCAGGGGCTCTCCCCATCTCCTTTAGTCCTCTGAACCCAGAGAGGCTTAGCTGAACTGCAAGCTGAGGCCAAGGGATTTACAGCTCAGAAATCCCCATTTCTGAATGAGTCTGACTGAGTATCCATGCACATGTGTGTAAGTGTGAGTGGCTGTGCACACATCTGAGCATCCACAATAGGCATTGCCAAGAAGGACACACCATATGATTCCATTTATATGAGGCTCAAGAACAAGCAAAATTCAACTATAACAAGAGAAATCAGAACAGTGATTGCTTTTGGAGGTATTGACTGGAAGGGAACCCGAGAGAACTTCCTGGATGATGGAAATATTCTGGACCTTAACTGAGTTGGTGGGTACACAAGTGTATCTATTTATCAAAAGGCACTGCACTAAACACTTAAAACTTGTGCATTTTATTATGTGTAAGTTATACCTCAATAAATAAAGGAGCACTGGGAAAAAATAATAAGAGATCTAATTTACTGAGGAGTAATTAACCACATGCCGGGCGCTGTTCAAGACGCCTTACAGGTGTTCTGTAATGTAATCCTAACACAACCCCATGTAGCATTGCCTGTTATGTACATGCATGTACTCCATCCTGTGCGTATGTGTCTGAGGCTGCTTCTTAGCCGGCGTATGAGTAGTTCACAGAATGCATATGCACACGTGACACTGACTCATTCCTATACTTGGGGGCTAAGTGGGCACGTATGAGGGTGCACGTGTCCACAGATTTGTCCACGGGAATAGATTTCTGCCAGCACCTGTTTGCTCCCCTCAAGAGCATTAATGAACCGTGCTTCATGCGCCGTGCTGGCTGGTAGTTAGATGCTAACAGCATGCATGCAGGGGCCCTGGTCTGTGTAGACAAATCAAGCACTGTTATCAGACAATAATGGCAGGGGATCGACAGCCAGCCGCCTGTGCCAGGGAGGGGTGGGGACGCATGAGCACTGGGCAATTAGCATCTCTAAAGGGTGTCTCTGCTGAATGGTGGCTAATTTGCCGACATGGCCCCATCAGTCAAACTCAGCAGTCACTGAGTGGGGAATGCCGGGCCTCTCCAAAGATTTGTGAGTTGCTGCTGTTGGTGCCAGCTTTTGCACTGGGAGCAACTCATACCTTAAGACCTCACCCTTAAGAGGATAAGGGTGAACAGAGCCTGCCTGCCCACAACAGAGCCTGCCTGCCCTCTGACCTCTCCCCACCTCTGAGGATGGTTGGCCTTGTGAGCTTGGGATGATGTGGAGGCTCGGAGAGGGCAAGCAACCTGTTTAGAGTCAAACGGCCAGTGGGCCACCAACCCAGGAACTGAGCTTGGGTTTCCAGACTTGCAGGCATTGTACATTTCTCAACACCATCACTCACTCACATGACACAGTATTCACAATATTTTTGCCATTTCTTTTCACCAAAGGTACTATTAGTTTCTTGGTATTTTCCCTCAAGTGACTCTCTTTTTAAATTTTTAAAATTATTTTGTTTTATTTTTACTATTATTATTTTGATGCGGAGTCTTGCTCTGTCGCCCAGGCTGGACTGCAGTTGCACGATCTTGGTTCACTGCAACCTCCGCCTCCCAGGTTCAAGCGATTCTCCTGCCTCAGCTTCCCGAATAGCCGGGATTACAGGCGTGCACCACCACGCCCGGCTAATTTTTGTATTTTTAGTAGAGATGGGGTTTCGCCATGTTGGCCAGGCTGGTCTCAAACCCCTGGCCTCAAATGATCTGCCCGCCTCGGCCTCCCAAAGTGCTGGGATTACAGGCGTGAGCCACTGCGTCCGGCCCCTTTTTAAATTCAAATGTTTATTTTAAAAGGAAGCTGCCATTAATGGAAAACCAGTATCTGATACCCATAAGTTGAAGCAGGGGTGACCAACCACCCTTGCCTCCATTCACCTGTGAACTTTCAGTTTTAAAACCTAGATGGTTCTGGCAAACTGTATGGAGTTAATCACCTTAAATTGAACACAGGGTTAAAAATGAATACCACAAAAATAAACTAGGTTATTAAACTCGAACTGGCAGCTCTGAGCCTGGAGCCTGTCCTTACCTGTGCTGAAGGCGGAGCTCCATTAGAATGCTGGAGCTTCTCTTTCCGGTAGTCCCATGACAAGTCCCAGGGTTCACTCTGATTGGCTTGATTGGGGTCACATGCCCAGACTCTGCCAATCGTTGTTGCCAGGGGAATGCACCGTTCTGATTGGCCAGACCTGGAGCCAGAGGTGAGGCCAGGCTACAAGCCACGTGGCTTGAGAGCTGGGAAGGGATAGTTCCCCCAAAGGGTGAGATGGTTTGTTGCTAAAAAGAAGCCCCCTCTTCCTCCAGGTATGAGCAGCAGGTGACTCCTCTGCCCTTGCAGGAACAATGTCCTCTTGCTGTCCCAGGCTCTGGCTCCCAATCTGCCTCCTGCTGCCTGTGTCTCTTCCCCGCTCTGGTCCTCAGTCTCCTCATTTGTGAAATGGAGGGTTGTGCTGAATGATCTCTAAGCGTCTTCCAGGCTTTGATGTTATGTGATTGGTCTTCCCTGGGATGATTATTACTGGAGTTTGGTGGTGGCTGTTACTGTTTTACTCCCTCCCACTTGCCCAGAGATAGATGAGAAAAGAGAAGGTCTTATAACATGGTGAGAAGAGCATAAGGCATTTCCAGGTTCAAATCCCAGCACTGACAGTTTCTGGCTGTGAGATTTCAGACAAGTCACTTCACTCTCTGAGCCTCAGTTTCCTCATCTCTAAAATGGGAAGAACAATAGTATCTATGTAGAAGAGTCACATTGAGGATTAAAACTGGCAATAAGTCTAGACTGTTGGGGTGTATTTGGGTCTTTTGGGGTGTATTTGGGTGCAGGAAACTGAAAGTCAAATGAAACTGGCATGGACAATAAAGGGCATTTATTGGATAGTGCAACTGAAAAGCCCAGGCAGTGTGTAGCAAGGGTAGGGAGGGGATCATGATGTCATCATTGTGTCAAGGATTTACTCTGCTTTGTCCTCCTCTGTGAGCCAATTTTTCTCTTGGGCTGGCTCCCCTCATGGGAGTCCCAAAGGCTGCAGCATTTCTAGGCGTCACACATGCACTCTACGTTATCCAGAAGAGAAGGGAACTCCCAGCATTCCTGGCCAAAGCTCAGAAGTCAATAAATTGGCTTAGCTTGAATCACATGCCCCACTCAGCAAGCTCTCTAGCTGGGGGATGCCATGTGCTGACTGGCTTATCCCTGGGGCAGGGGGCAGGGTCAGCTTCCTCAGAACCACAGGGATCCCCACGGAGTGGTTGGGAAGGGCCCCTGCATGCTGGGAATGATGCAATCAAGCATTGAGGATCACCAGCGACTCTAGCGCTGAGGCTCTGAAAGGGCTTTCCAGACATCTCCTGTCCCGAGCTATCATTTTACACAAGGGGGACACTGAGGCTAAGAGACGGGCTGATTTCAGGAGGGTGTCACTTGGAAAATGACGATCAAGATCTGCCTTGGCTGATTGCTGTAAGACCCCAGTGAGATGAAAATAATGCTTTGAGAAAGAAGGAAAGAAAGGAGGAAGGACTCAAATAGATCACAGACCTACTAGGTGCTAGATTTTCTGTACCTGTCATGTCATTTAATCCTCGTAGCCACCCCGGGAAGCGGGTTTTGCCATTACTCCCAGTTTACAGAGGGGAAATGTGAGGCTGAGAGAGCTGAGGTCACTTGCCTAGGGTCACACCCTAGGAAGCAGTGCCAAAGGGCTGCGAAGCTAGTTGTGTACGATTCTGGTCCAAGGACACTTGCATTTAGTGTGCACCTACTGTGTGCTAGGTGCTTCCCAGGCCACCATCTCTTATGTGAGTGCTCAGTGGGTCTGCCCATAGCGGGGGATGTGTTCTCAGGAGAGAGCAGGGATCCCTTCTTGGCCACCAGAAATGGTCCATTTTTCAAGTTGTCTTTACCAGTGGAGACTCTATGACTTCTTTCTTGTTCTTTCTGTAACCTGGTCCCCTCCCCAATCCCGAACATTTTCTGGCCTGGCAGCTCCACTAAGAGTCTCGAATCTTCCAGGTACCTGTACCCAGCCCTGGGACTGGATGAGGAGGTTCTTCTGGAGACACCCAGGCCTTTGTGTCCCTGGGCCCCAGGGCTCCGTCCCACCCCTGGCTGCCCCCTCCTGGGCCCCTCCCCAGCACTGGTTTTGTGCCAATGTTTGGGCTGCTACAGCCCTGGCCAGGCTCGAAAAAGGAATTATTTCTGTCTCTTGCATAGTTCTCAGCCCAATTCCCAAAATGGGAAGTGGCCTGGGAGGGCCGCCCAACCCCCACTCCAGTGGAGGAGGGAGGCGAGGAGAACTTGGCAGAGCTGAGACACACACACACACACACACACGCACACACACACACACACACAGCTCCTTCTCTAGGCCTGTGGCCTGTAGAGGGAGGCCAGGCACTTCAGAGGGAGATGAGGGATGGCTCTTGGAGTGGGGTGCCTCTTCCCTCCTCTTCCAGAATGCTTTCCCTGATTGTTGAGGGGCTGTATCAGGCTCTTGAGAGGGGTGTTGGGACCCCCGGTTATTCTGTGAGCTTAGGACCCCCATTTCTTAACATTCCTCATAGCATCCAGTGTTTGTCTCTGCCCAGCCTGGATGTCTGTCATAATGGCCAGCTGCATCACTGGCCAGAAGGTAGGTTGGTTCTGACGGACACTGACTGACTGACTTGTCCACCGCAAGTCTGAGAGCCTGACAGACAGGATAGCTGACTGACTGGATGAATGGCTGTGCCTGCCTGCCTGCCTGCCTGCCTGCCTGCCTCCATGTCTGACTGAATGTCCCTCTCTGAGACAGAGAGACTCTCTCCCTGTCTACCTGGCTGCGGCTCTTGTACCTGACTAATTAGATGCAAAACAAATTGCCTTTCTCTCCATCTCCTCATTCAAATGCCTGTTGGAGTGTCTGTCTGTCTGTCTTCCTGGGTGTTTGGCTGGCTGTAATTAGATGAGTAACTAAGACTAGCTGTCCATCTCCTGTCTGACTGACTGACTAGCTGTCTCTATAGCTGACTGACAAGATGGCTGATGGACAGCCTGTCTGTCTGTCTGTCTGTCTATGTCTGTCTGTCTGCCTGTCTGTCTGCTGGGTATCTATTGTATCTGACTAACAGATGAAGAAGCCTGTCTGTTCATCTCCTCCTCTGACTGACTGACCGTCTGTCTGTCAGCCTGCTTGTCTGACTGCAGGCCTGATCAAATGGCTGAGTGACGGCCTGCCCATCTGCCTGTCTCTACGTCTAACTGACAAGATGACTGTCAGGCTGATCACCTGTTTCCCACCTCGGTATCCGAATGACCAGCTCACTGGATACTTGACTCTTGACTCTCCTAACTAGACACAACTCCCAGGCTGTCCTAGATGGTCGGAAGGGCATGGGTGACACCCATCTGGAAGCCCCCACCCAGCCTCAGCAACCATGCCTCTCCCCTCCCTCCAGGGCTCCCTGGCCCAGAGGAGCAAAAGTCCTTTCCCTGCCAGAGCAGGGAGGGGGAACTGAGTGGAAACCTCAACGCCTGCCCATGTGTTCATGTTTCACATGTTTGCACTGCCTGGAGATGGGGGTGGAGGGTGAGCCCTGTGTTCCTCATCCATCCTGCACCCCTGTTTTCAGGGGTCTTAAGGGGGAAACATCCTTCCCCAAAGAGGCCACAAGGACTCTCCCAATATGTAAGGCCCTACCCAGGCCCTGCAATCCTGGAAAGCACCTTGGGGAACCATTTCAAACTCTTCACCCCTGTGTTGCTCAGACACTGGGGCAGATTCCCAGAACAGGGGCCAGGTCTGGGGCAGCCAGCCACCGGTGGGAGCACGGGCTCCCTGGTCAACATCAGCAGACGTCCACCACCTCCACCTGTCAGGAACTCCACAGCCCTTCAGAAGGAAGCCAAGCTGGGGAGAGTGAGTAACACTTTGCCGGGAGGGAGGGCACAGTCCTTCCTGCTGGCTGCATTTCCTCCTGATAATAGAATTCTGCCCAGCTGCTGGGCTGGCTGCTGTCTGACCTCCCTTCTTAAAGACAGAATTTGCTGATGAATTTTGTTTCAGGAGAAATATGTGTGTGAATGGGGGAAGAGACGAGACAGAGAGAAATAGGAAGAGTTTGGGAGCCTCTAGATGAAAAGCAGCATCTCGAGAATTTAGCTCTGTCTAAATCATGCCTTCCCTGTCTTTTTTAGAGCCCTGTAGGTCCCCCAGATGGGCCCCGGGGATGACAGGCTGGGTGACCTCTGCACAGGCCAGTGGAATCACTTTAAGCTCTGGGGAAAGGTGGGAAGAGGGCATTCTGGGAGTCTCTGAATCCCTGGGCAGTAGACAGCAGCAATTGGAGATGGCTGGGCATCTGAGGCCAGGGCTGAACTCAGTGTATGACTAGGGTTAGAGATCAATATGTGACAAAGATTATGGTTCACCCTAGGACCAGATTATGGTTGACTCTATGGCCAGGATCAGGGATCAGTCAGTGAGGAGTGCCAGGACTCAGTGTCTCTCCAGGGTCAAAGCTCAGTCTGTGTCCTGCGTCAGAGCTCAACCAGTGAGCAGGGTCAGGACTCAGTGTGTGATGAGGGTCAGGGCTTATCCTTGACAAGGATCAGGGTTCAGTCTGAGACTGAGGTCAGTACATGACCTGGGTCATAGATCACACTAGGAGTTAGTCTGTGATCAGAGTCAGGGATCAGTATGCAACTAGGGTTAAGGATCAGTGTGTGACCAGGGTCAAGGCTTAGCCTAGGACCAGGGTTATGAAGGAATGTGCGGCCAGGGTCAAGATTCAGTGTGACCCGGGTTAGGACTCAGTTTGTGGCTCATTCAGGGGCTGGAGTTAGAATCAATCTGGACACTTGGGCTCTAGGAGTAACCCAGATTCTTATGCCTGAAGGACAGGCAGACGGGGGACCAGCGTATACCTGGCTGGCTCCTGCTCCCCCTCGTCCCCTCTTCTACTTGGGCTCCAAGGGCAAAACCAGGACACTTTAGGAGCCCCTGGGACAGGGGAAGATTGGAGAGTGTCCTCCAATCCTTGCATGTTCTGCTGCAGCTGGGGCCAGAGAGGGTCATCCTCATGTCTGGGGAGGACAGGGAGACAGAGGACTGGCTCTGATAAGCAGGGAAGAGGAGAAGAAAGTCATGAAAGGAAGTAGTTATAAGTATGGCATCTGTAGCAGAATACCTGGGTTTGAATTCTGGTTCCGCCACCTACTAGCTGTGTGGCCTTCAGCAAGTTACTCAATCTCTCTGTGCCTTGACTTTCTCATCTCTAGAATGAGCATAAAAATAGTATCCATAGGGTTGTAGTAAGGATTCTAAGTAAGTTAATACATGTAAAGTATTTACAGTGTGCCTGTTGGCTGTATGTATTCCATCAATTTTAGCTGTTTTTGTTTGCTCTGAAGCCATGGAGGGGTCCAACCTTGTGAACTGCCCAGGCTTGAGGATAGAGGGCTGGAGCCCAGGCTCCGATCCCTGGGCAACTCCCTAGACCTGCAAGCCTCCCCTCTGTTAGGTTCCGATGCCATCATAATCCCCAACTGTTGTAACACTAATGACATTTGCAGTTACTTCTCTGATTCCTGTGTCCCCCCACCTAGAGCACCTGCTCCTGAGGACCAATATTTTTATCTTTCTTGCTCACTACGTATCTTCAGCACCTAGCAAAGTACCTGGCACACAGTAGGTGCTCAAGAGACAGTTAATAAATGTTTTATTACTATGATAATAATAAAAGCAACCATTTGCATTGAGCCAAACACTGCTCGTTGCTTTCTCTCTCATTTTTTTAATCCAGTCTTTTAAAAACTGATCATTAAAATAAATGCATTCAGCCGGCCACAGTGACTCACACCTGTAGTCCCAGCACTTTGGGAAGCTGAGGTGGGTGGATCATTTGAGGTCAGGAGTTTGAGACCAGCCTGGCCAACATGATGAAACCCTGTCTCTACTAAAAATACAAAAAAATTAGCCAGGTGGCGCACACCTGTAATCCCAGCTACTCGGGAGGCTGGGAGAATAGCTTGAACCCGGGAGGCAGAGGTTACAGTGAGCCGAGATCGTGCCACTGCACTCCAGCCTGGGCAACAGAGCAAAACTCCATCTAAATAAATAAATAAATAAATGCATTCAACAGTAAGACTAATTCAAATACCAGAGGGCATACAATGGAAAGACAGAAATCTCACTCCCACATCTCCAGGCTCAGAAGAAGCCATTTTCTTGCACGTCTTTATATTAGGTTGATGCAATTGCTTTTGCACCAACCTCCATGGAAATAGGAGTTTTGTTTTATCCACACTGTATTCCTCCTGCTTACTCCAGTTCCTGGCAAGCAGTAGGTGCTCAATAAGGCTATGTAGAAAGATTATTTTTATTTCTAATACCAATGGGATTATGTCATATATACTGTTGGGTACCTTACTTTTTAACTATTAATAAATGAATAAGCCACCGGGCGCGGTGGCTTACACCTGTAATCCCAGCACTTTGGGAGGCCAAGATGGATGGATCACGAAGTCAAGAGATTGAAACCATCCTGGCCAACATGGTGAAACCCATCTCTACTAAAAATACAAAAATTAGCCAGGCATGGTGGCGTGCGCCTGTAGTCTCAGCTACTTGGGAGGCTGAGGCAGGAGAATCACTTGAACCCGGGAGGCAGAGGTTGCAGTGGGCTGAGATTGCGCCACTTCATTCCAGCCTGGGCAACAGAGCGAGACTCCATCTCAAAAAATAAATAAATAAATAAGCCTTAGAGATCTTTCCATATCAGCAAAAACTAGATTTACCTCATTCATTTTAATGGCTGCATAATCTTTCATGGCTTAGATGTACCATACATTATTTAACTAGACTCTTCGTGGATATAGTTTTTGGTTTTGTTTTTCTTCACCCATCATGACAATACTTTATTTAAGTATCACACCTCAACTCTACAAGGGTTAACTCTGATTTTGGCTGAGAAGACTGCATCTCAGAGAATCTAAAGCACTTGCCTAAGGTCAGAGAATCTCAGCACTTGCCTAAGGTCACTCAGCCAACCTCCAAGCCCATTCCACCACCCAAGCTTTTTCTTTGCTGCCCGCCAATGCCCCTCGCTGAGTTGTCCCATCGCCAGCCTCAGAGAAGGCTGCCCTGCGACGCTTCTATCGCCTGCACAGGGCATTGCCCTCTTGCAAGGTTCTTCTCTAGGCCTTTGTCAGTGTCTTTCCAGAGCCTGAAGCAGGCTCAGAAGGGTTAAGAATCAGCTGGGTGCGGTAGCTCACATCTGTAAGCCCAGCATTTGGGAGGCCAAAGTGGGTAGATCACTTGAACCGAGGAGTTCAAGACCAGCCTGGCCAACGTGGCAAAACCCCGTCTCTACAAAAAATAAAAACATTAGCCAGGCATGGTGGTACATGCCTGTAATCTCAGCTACTCAGGAGGCTGAGACACGAGAATTGTTTGAACCCAGGAGGTGGAGGTTGCAGTGAGCTGAGATCGCACCACTGCCCTCCAGCCCAGGCAGCAGAGCAAGACTCTGTCTCAAAAAAAAAAAAAAAAAAAAACCCAAGAGTCCCCAGATGGGCCTAGAATCCACATCTCCAGAGCTGTGTTAAGATAGTTCTCAGCTGGAGGTGATTTTGACCTCCAGGGGACGCTTGACAATGTCTGGGTCATTTTGGTTGTCATACCCAGGGGGCATCTAGTGGGTGGAGGCCAGAGATGCTGCTGAACATCCCAGAATGCACAAGGCAGCCCCCTACCTGAGTGAGCCAACCCAAAACGCCAATAGGTCGAGGTTGAGAAATGCTCGGTGAAGGGCACAGATTCTTGCACCAGACTTCCTGGGGCCAAATCCTGGCTGCCGCTTACTGGCCGAATGACCTCAGACAAGTTGATCGATCTCTCTGTGCCCCTGTTTCCTTATCTGTAAAATGGGGATAAGAGTAGCCCCTCTCTTCCAGATTAGATATGTAAATCACTTTGGAAAATACTCAGTATCTGAAACCATAACTGGAATATTTGTCCTCAGAATCTGGCTGTCAGAGCTGGGAGAAGATGTACCCTACAGAGAAAACAGGGCAGCGGACTGCTGCCCCACCATGGCCCAGCCTCCCCCAGGGAATGTGACCTCAGTCCACAGATAGAAGTAGATGCCCCTGACGCTGCTGACCTCTGCTCGGTCAGGAATAGAGGAAAAATCGCTGTTTCCATTTTGAGGTCTGAAAAGCAGCTCCCAAGATACCCTCAGACTTGGGGATTTTCAAGAAGCCTAACATTAAAGGATTTTAGGAACCAGCAACTCCAAGCCATCCATTTGACAGGTGGAAAGACTGAGGCCCAGAGAGAGGGTAAGGGGCAGGACTTGCTCACACAGCAAGGCCATGACAGACCTGAGCTGGGACGCGGCCCAGGACAAACACGGGCCTCCCCACAGCCCAGCCCAAAGGCTCTTCTCAGGTACAGACCAGCGCCTGGGTCAGATTCGTTCTTCCCTCTTTTCTGAGAGTCTCTGGAATCCAGGCTGCCTGAAAAGCAATGTCATGTGTTTACAAGCACAGCTTTGACATCAGACAGACCCTGGTACAAATCCCCATCTCACCAGTTGCCTGTGATGACTTTGGGCAGGCCATGTACAATTCTCTGAGCCTCAGCAAAATGGACACCATCTAGTTTGTTGTTGAAAGGATTAGAGACAACGTGTGGGTACACTCCCACATTGCTGGTGGAATGCACGTCAGCCAGACTTCTTTGCAGGGAAATTTGACAAAATCTAAGAACACTGAAAAAGCATCTGCCCTTGCATTCAGCAATTCTTCTGAAGACAAACCCTCACATGTGGGATATGAACAATGTCCCTGTTTTGTCTCTGCAGTATTATCTGTGATAGCAAGAAGTTGAGAACGACCCACACCAAGAGGGACTTGGTGGAACACTCTAGGGAGCATCTGTACAAGGTCTTAGACACATTCATTTAAAAGTTCAGGGCAGCTCTGTGTGTACCTATTTGTAACAACCTTCAAGATATATTGTTAAGTGAAGACGTAAGATCCTGAAGGGTAGGTGGAGTATATGCTACCGTTTTTGTGGGGAAGAAAGAACATAGATAAATACAAATGCTTATTTAGGCACGGTTTCAGTTAAGAAGGCATGTAGCTGCAAGGATGAGAAAAATCCAACAGACGATGGCTTGAGCAAACACAGTAAGTCCAGAGCCGGGCAGCGCAGCACTGGTGCAGCTGCTGAAGGACTCAAGCATCGTTCTTTCCTTTCCCCATTCTGAGTACGTGTCTCTGATCCTTACGGTCTCAAGGTGGCTGCTCCTCCACCTCCAGGTATCAAGTCCACATTCCAGGCAGAATATATATATATATTTTTAATTGAGATGGAGTCTCACCCAGGCAAGAAATTTTTTTTAAGGGCAAAGGGCAAAAGCAAAACAAAAACACAAAAGTCTTCTTTTCCGGGCACTTTGACTTTTGAGGGAGTGAAAAGAAATTCCCTGCCCAGGGACTTCCACCTACATCTCGCTGTACAGACCAGGTCACATGGCTGCTGCTAACTGCAAGGGAGTCAGGAATGTGAGTGTTTTTATCTGGGCATATGGCCACCTGTGAGCAAAATTGGGGTTCTGTTAGCAAGGAGGAGGTGGAGGCTGGATACTGGGTGGGCAACTAGTAGGTTCTGCCATTCCTAGTCCGTCACTGGAAAGATCCCTAAGAAACAAAATAGTAGTCACTTCTGAGGCAGAGAGCTGGTTGACAGGGGACAGGGGCGGGAGGAAGATCCCCCTTTTTAACTGTGTACCCTTTTGTACCTTTTTGATTTTCAAACTGTGTGCAGGTACTGCCCTTCAAAATTAATATAATTTATATAAAAAGTGAAATTTTTAAAAACTCAATGCAGGCTGAGCACAGTGGCTCACGCTTGTAATCCCAGCCCTTTGAGACACCAAGGCGAGCCAATCACCAGAGGCTGAGAGTTCAAGACCAGCCTGGCCAGCATGGTGAAACCCCCGTCTCTACTAAAAATACAAAAATTAGCTGGGTGTGGTGGCACATGCCTGTAATCCTAGCTACTTGGGAGGCTGAGGCACGAGAATCACTTGAACCTGGGAGGTGGAGGTTGCAGGGAGCCGAGATCACGCCACTGCACTCCAGCCCAGGTGACAGAGTGAGACTGTGCCTCAAAAAATAAATTAAATAAAATAAATAAATAAATAAATAAAAGCACAGTGCATACAAAGATGCCTGGAATATAACATGCACTCAATAAAACTGGCTTTCCTTCTTTTATCACCTGGCTTAGCATCAAATGCACATTGAATTCTCAGCTCTGCTACACCTAAGTTTTGTGACCTTGGGCCTGGTTCTCCAGCTGTCTGTGCTTTCATTTCCTCCTGGATGCGTTATGAGATGCAGGTCAAGCATACTGTTTTAGTGGCTGTCAGGAGAATTCCTCCCAGGGGCCCACTTTTGTTGAGGAGATGGCTTCTTAAGACCTGTTGAAATGGGAGAGCCCCATCGGATGTGGGTGGATGGGGCCAATGTTTCCCAGAAAGGGAGCTACCTACCCAACACCCCTTACGCTAGCCACGTGATAATAACAGAAGCCAGGACGGGGCACGGTGGCTCTCACCTGTAAGCCCAGCACTTTGGGAGACTGAAGCGGGAGGATTACTTGAAGCCAGGAGTTCAAGACCAGCCTGGGCAATATCACAAGACTCTGTCTCTAAAAAAAAACAAAAACAAACAAACAAACAAAAACTTAAAAATTAGTCTGGTGTGGTGGTGCGTTCCTGTAGTCCCAGCTACTCAGGAGGCTGAGGCGGGAGGATGGATTGGGCTCAGGAGTTCAAGGCTGCCGTGAGCTATGATCGCACCACTGCACTCCAGCCTGGGTGACAGAGCGAGATCCTGTCTCTAAAAGAATAACAATCTGCAGCCATAAAAAAGAACGAGATTACATCCTTTGCAGCAACATGGATGCAGCTGGAGGCCATTATCCCAAGTGTATTAATGCAGAAACGGAAACCCAAATACCACATGTTCTCACTTATAAGTGAGAGCTGAACATTGGGTACATACGGACACAAAGATGGGAACGATAAGCACTGGGAAGTCCAGAAAAGGGGAAGGAGGGGAGGGAGAGGGGGAAAAGGATTGAAAAACTACCTGTTGGGTACCACGTTCACTGCTTGGGTGATGGGATCGTTAGAAGCCCAAACCTCCGCATCACAAAATATACCCGTGTAACAAACCTGCACATGTACCCCCTGAATCTAAAATGAAAATAAATAAATAATAGGAGTGAACATTCATTGAGTGCCAACCATGTGCCAGGCACTGTTCTAAGTGCTTTTACATACATTAACTCATCTAACCTGGAGAAGAATCTTACAAGGTGTTTACTACTATTGACTCTTCTGTTAAGTCTGCCAGAATGATAACATGTTTGATGGGTTGAGTTTCTCATGGAAATCGGTGGCAGAGGCTGAGACAGCATCCAGATGGATTCAGGACATTTGAACCCAAGGGACAGAAGAAGCAAGGACCCCGGCATTTATAGCGTTCTGGGGAGGGGCTGTGATTGACCTTGGCGATTGGGAGGCATTCAAAGACTGTTCATCAGGTAGGAAGCTTTTGATCTCAGCTGACATCTGGGTCAAGTTAAATGGCAATAAAAATCCCTGCAAGTGGAGGTTCCATGGATAGAATTGCTAGTCCACAACTAGCATCTGACCACTTCACACCTCCGCCTCCACCCCCTGGCCGAGCCCCCTTCGTCTCTCACCTGGTCTATTTCAGTAGCCTAGTCACTGGTCTCCCAGCTTCCATCCTGCCCACATCCACCCCACAGTCCATTCTCCACTCACAGCCAGAGAGATTTGGTGCAAACCTAAGTCAGAGCATGTCCCTCTTCTGCTCAAAGCCCTCCACGGCTCCCACTTCACTCAGAACCAAGCCATGGGTCTCGGCAGAACCTCCCTGGCCCTCCAGGGTCCAGCCCCCATCAGTTCTCCCTCCTTACCTCTTAGCTTCCTCTGGCTCAGTGCTCCCACCCCAGGGCCTTTGCACTTGCTATTTCTCCTGTTGCAAATACTCTTCCACCCAATTTCTGTGCCCCACCCCACCCAATCTCTTCATTCAAGTCTCTGTTCAAAAGCTACCTCCTCAGTGTGTCTTCCTTGGACCACAGTGCCTCTCCTCCATCTAAAGCAACTCCAGTCCTGGCCAACCCTAACCCAGCCCGCTTTATTTTTCTTAAAGTCAAATTGCGCTTTTCATATTTCGAGTCAAATTGCACTTGTATCTGTTCCTCTGTCTCTTCATGGTTAGCTTCCTGAGCAAGCAGAGATTTTGTGCTCTTCACTTGGCTCATATTAGATGCCTTACAAATGCATTTTATTCAAATCCATACACACATATACATATAACAGCTTTATTGAGATATTATTGAGATGTACAATTTACCCATTAAATTAAAGCTACAATTTACCCCCATTAAAGTGTACAATTCGATGGTTTTTAGTACATACACAGAGTGGTGCAACCATCATCATAATCAATTTCGGAACATTTTTATCATCCCAAGAAGAAACTCCTACCCCTTAGTAGTCACTCTCCATCTCTCCCCACCTCCATCCCAGCCCTGGGCAGCCACTAACCTAATTGTTATCTCTCTACATTGCCCTATTCTGGACACTTCATGTAAATGAAATCACACAATAAGTGACCTTTTGTGTCTGGCTTCTTTTGCTCAGCATAATGTTTTCAAGATTTTATATCCATGTTGCAGCATGCGTCAGTACTTCATTCCTTTTTATGGCTGAATAAGCTTCCATTATGTGGATATACCACATTTTGTTTATCCATTCATCAGCTGATGGACATTTGAGTTGTTTCCACTTTGGGCTATCATGAATAATGCTGCTATGAACATTTGTGCACAAATTTTTATGTGGACATATGTTTTTCTTTCTCTTGGTATGTACCTAGAAGTGGAATTGCTGGATCATATGGTAATTCTATGTTTAACCTTTAGAGGAACTCCCAGACTGTTTTCCAAAGTGATTTTGCCATTTTACATTTCCTCCAGCTATATATGAGGGTTCCAGTCCCTCTACATCCTTGCCAGCACTTGTTCTGTCTTTTTTATTCTAGCCATCCTAGTGGGTGTGAAGTGGTATTTCACTGTGATTTTGGCTTGCATTTCCCTGATTGTTATCATAGTATTTCTTGACAGAGTGGATTGAATGACATGCTGTCAGGTGAGAGTCCACACAGCAGTCTGAATGGCTGAGCCCCCTCCACCGCCCTCCAGGCCAGGACCAGGCTGAGGTCTAGAGCCCAGGTGATCGCTAGGAAGGATGCTCTCTGAGGCTGGGCAGCCTCCCAGGTCAGGCCAGGTGGTTGGACTAACCTTCTATGCCATCTGGTGGCCAGTAGCCAGCTGGGTGTGAAAATCCAAGGTGGGCACCAAGTTATGGCACCTTAGCCGAGCCTGGGCTGTTGACTGGCAGCTGTGGCCAGATTTGCAGGCCGGGCTCTAGGAACTGTGATATCGCTGCACTCCCTCACCAGCTCACAGTGCCTTTGCAGGGTGTGGCCTCCTTTCATCTGCTCCTCAGCCTTTGCAAGAGCTGCTGTTACCTCTTTTTTACAGGTGAGGAAAGGGAGACTCAGAGAGGTGGCTTCCTGGCCCCAGGACACACAGCATCCCTGCCCACCTTTCCAAGATTTGTGTGTACATTCTACAAATACCTATTGAGTGTCTTTGATGTGCTGAGCCCTGTGCTAACTCTGGGGTTCCAGAGTGAATAAGACAAAGTCCCTGTCCTCGTGGAGTCCACCCTTCGGTCTGGGAGACAGATAGCACACAAGCAGATAGATATGCACTATAATATCAGGAGGGGACAAGGGCAGTGAAGAAAAGTAAAGAAGAAAAGGAAGGAGCTGAGTAATAGGAGGGGGCAGAGTTTGCAAATTTAGATAATAAAAATAATAATAATACTCAATACTTCTGCAGTGTTTAGTTTGGAGGCTATGCTGGCCATAAGCACCTCCACTTCTGCCAACACAAAAACCATAGGCCAGGAGTAAAATAAAGGATCACTCTTTCTGGGGGAAGGTGGAGGAGGGAGGAGAGAGAGGATCCAGGGCACAGCCCCCTGGAGAGGGATCGTTACCAGGTGCCAAGCCGGGCCCAGTGATCCAGCTTCCACCCTGGTGGGGACAGGCCTCATCTGCCATGGTGGGCCCTGTGTTAGGGGAATGAGAGAATGAACTAGAACTTCTTAGGCACCTACAACATGCCAGGCACTGTACTAGGTGAAGGTGGAGTTGGGGGAAATCAAACAGCATCATCATCACTGCTGTCCCCTCCCCGGCCACTGCCACACCCGTCCTCCCAGCTGCAAGCTAACAACAGGCTTTGTCACGGGTGTGCAACCAGTGCAGTAGTACCAGACGCCCCTCTCAGAAGGGCCCCACACTTTGTTAGAGGCTCTGCTGTCACTGTCATGAAATCCATAGTTTTTGAACAAGGGTCCCCACATTTTCATCTGCACTGGGTATTGCAAACCCCAGTGTGTCCAGTCCCAGCAGTAAAGGAACAAGGAGGCCCCCAACTCCCTCCCCTTGCTGGAGCCCGTCATAATGGCTGCTTTCTTTCCGTTGGAATTTAAAGGCATTATTTGATCCATCTAGTATACTCAAGTGCCTTGTGAGTTTTCTCAGAGGGTCAAGAAAAGCATTTGCTCTTTAGAGAAACCAGGGAGCCCAGGAAGATGATGGGTCAGACCCGAGAGAAGGGTCTGACGGTGCATTTAGCTTGGGGAGCCCATAGGGAGCATTACCAGGGACTCCATCCACTGAGATTTTCAAATACATCACCCGCCTAACTCCCAGGATCCCAGAGCCTCCTGAAAAGGAGGCAAACACCACTTTGTGGCCAAAGCTTTTTCTAATATTATTTTACTTCATCCTGCTTGGGAAGGCATCACCATTATTAGCCCATTTGCAAAGGATGAAACCGAGACTCCATAAGGCAATGCTAATTGCTTAGGGCCCCGTGGTTAGTGGGAGGAGGGGTGGGGAGCAGAAAGTAGGGCCATGTGATGAATTTTGTGGCCCCCGGGCACTTAGGCCTCTCTCCATGAAAAAAAAACAAACATGCTATATTATGGCTACATTGGTATAAAGATGAATATATTAATATCACATACAGTATTACAACATTTTCTTCCTGCTGAAAGTTCTTTTTTTCTTCTAATTATAAAAGAAATTAAAACATTGGAGAAGGGGCCCTAGAGGTAGTGTGAACCCCAGGCTGTGTCTATTGGGCCTAATGGAGAAGTCAGCCCTGGCAGGAGGAGAGGAGAGGAAGAGAAGGAAGATGGAGAGGAGGGAAAGGAGGTAGAGGAAGAAGAGAATGTCTGTGTCGCTTAGCAAAGGCGCCAAGGTCTGCAGTGAAATGCCACAGGCAGCAGCTCAAAGCGTGGCCCTCTGCTCTTAACCCAAGTGTCTGAAGTCTTGGTGCCACCTCCCTCTGAGACACCCTCTCCCTACCCACCCGGCCCCTTCTCTCCCCTCCTACCTACACCTAGTGACCCTGGGAGCTTCATCTGCCCCAGACATCACCTGTCTAAAGCAGGTCCCTGTTAGATCAGATCGGCCCAAGGGCCTTGCGTGGGATGTGTGTCTGCGGCCACACTCTGCCCCGTCACTCCACCTGCCCCCATGCCACTGCCTGTCTTCACAGATTGGACGTGTCCTTCCTGATTTATACTGTCATCCTGGCAGGCATCAACTGGCATGCAGCCAGCAACGCCGTTACCTTTTGCTGCCATTAACGCAGCTATTTACTCCACGGAAAATGACCTTAATTTACAAGGCATTATAACTAATACTGGATGATTACGGTTATTAATATTTATGGATTGACACTCCCAGGAGGGGACCTGGGTGCTAATTGGCACTCCTCTCTGTGCCTCTTTTCTCAATGAGATTTCTTCTGATTTCTGCTGCTGTTCCAGCTCTCAGCCTCTTAGTTTCAAAGGAAAATACCGCACGGTGCCCTGCCTTATTTCTGGCTGATTCTCTTATTTCATTCCCTTATTTCCTTCAGGTTCTGTAGGTAGCCTAGAAACAGGCCTGCTGCCCTAGGGGCTCCTGGGTATTGGGAAAGGTCTGGGGTCCTGGCTGAGGGGAATTTGGCTGTGAGGAGTAGTAAGGAGAGGGAGTCTATGCTTCTACTTTAGAGGACGTGGAGAGAAGAGAGGCATCAGGGAATGTGTACATTTGCCCAGAAACAAAGCACTGTCTCAGACTCCCACACCTTCCTCCATCACTAATCAAAAATGTTCTGGTCTTTTTATATAAGATGGAATCTAAATCAACCCCTCCCAACGCCTCATCTCTGGGTTGGTTGAACAAATGGGGGTGTTTGGGGCATCTGCATTTGGGGCCCAGATTGGAGAAGACAGATCACACTCCCCCTTCTCGCTCTTAGGTTTTGGGGGGTGCCAGGAGCTGATGTTGCCTGGGCTGAGAAGAGAGATGTACTTGTCATCTCCTCTCCTTTTCAGGTGGAAGATGTGTTACAAACAGCAGCATGTTGCTATGGTAACCAAGGTGCTTCCTTCCAAGAGAGAGGGAGAGTGTCCTGCTTGTGGTCCCTGCATGGCCTCACTACTCACGCCTGTGTCCCATCAGCTGGGCTGGGGCCAGGCAGCCCTGTACAAGAGTGATATAGCCAGGAGGGCACTGGGATGAAATGGGGCACTTGTATCCTGACAAAAGGAGCAGCCACTGCCCAACTCCTGTAAATAGCTGCCATGCAGAAAAATGGGCACAATGCTGTCAAACCTTCTGATTACCGAAGAGAAGTGGGAAATTTGGATTAAGGCACACTGTCCCAATTATTTTTATTGTTGGCAAAGAATGCAAATAATAATTTTTTTTTAAGAATTAAACAAACATGGACCAAACAAAACGTGTCCATGAACCGGCCATTTGGGTTGGGCAGTTTGGTAGCCATTTTGCCATCTGAGCAGAGTACACACTCACAGAAGGTGGCCCCACTCAGCATCCTTCTGGGGTCCCAAGGTAAGTGAATCCAGGAAGAAAGCTTTCTAAGGAGATAAGAGGTGGGAAACGCCCAAATTCAGGAACTCGGAACTGTGTTCAGCTGGACCGTGAGTCTCTAAACAATTGTTCAGGATCCACCAGCTGCTGTTGATCACGGGTTAAGAAAGGGGCACATGGGTTCTGGCTGTGTCTGACCCCCTTTCTGAGTGACCTTGAACCATTTTCTCCCCTTTTGTGTGTCTTAGTCTCCCCATCTGTACAATGATAGGACTGAACCAAATGTTTTCTTGGGGTTTCCTCATGTTGACTGATATCCTCCTATACTTATTCCAGAGTCATTGCCCCCAACATTCACTCTGTGTGACTCCCAGGAATTTTCAAAGTTGGGGCTTCAGCCTCCAGAGAGGGTTTCTCCCCATTTTAGTCCCTCATTCTTTGACAACAATGTGTTGAACAACTATGGTAATGGGCATCAAATGGGAATGGGGATGGAGAAGTGAATGGGTCAGGTGAGGTCCCTGACCATATGGGGCTCACATCGACTAGAAGAGGCAGAAAAGAGGGAAGGGCTGCGTTTTTGCTCATCCACGTGGCCAGCTGGTTATTACCTGGATTTATTAACCAGTGTCCATCTTTCAAGACTCAGTTGAGCTGTTACATCATCCAGGAAAGCTTTCTTAAGCAATTCCCCTACGCCTTTCTACTGTGTGCCCCATGACTCAGGATTTTGTTCTAACTGGTCTAAAGCAGGCACTATTGACATCTGAATAATTATCTCTCATGGGGTCTGTACTGTGCACTGTAGGATGCCTAGCAACATCCCTGGCCTCTACCCACAAGATGCCAGTAGCAATGCCCCCAAAACACACACATAATTATGCCACTGAAAATGTTTCTAAACGTCCCCTGGGGTGCAAAATCAGGGCCAGTTGCAAACAGCTGATCTGAGACAATCATGGTGGCCCCATTCCTTTTGCTCGTGATGGTCTGAGTATGAATGTGGGCATGTCTTCACCTGATGGCCAGAGCAGAGGCAGCTATCTTGTGTCCATGAAGTAAGCCAGCCTGGGAATGAAGCCAGTCCTCTGAGGGTGGTAGAGTAGATGGTAGAGAGTCTGGATATTTAACTATGTTGTCAAGTCCCTCAGTGATGGGGTAACCCTATTTCAGGACTTTTGGTTATGTGGGATCATAACCCTAACTGCTGGAGCCTCTTTTGGTTAGCATTTTCTACTTCTTAAACCAAGAGCATTCCTAACTGATAAATCATAAATCATACTTCAGATCTCATCTTAAATGTCAACTTTCTCAGAAAAGCCTCCTCCATCTCCCAATGGAAATTAGGCATCTTTATCATTCTGGACTTTGTTTTGGTAGCATTCATCCCAATTTATGCTTACATTTTGTGTGTCTATTGAGGCCTATCTTCCTTCAGTGGACTGTGAGCTCCATGAGGAGAAGAACCTCATTTTGTCTTTTCTTCCACTGTATCCATTGGCCAACATGGTGCCTGGCATATAGTCGGCTTTTGGTAAATATTTATTGAATTAATGAATGAATAAAGGAAATGGGAAAATAAATGAATGGGTAGATAGATGAGTAGATGAATATATGATTTAATGGATGCATGAGTGGATGGATGAATGAGTGGATGAATGGATGGATTAGTAGGTGGATGGATGGGCAATTGGATGTGTAGATGAGTGGATGGATGGATGGATAAATGGATGGGTGGATGAGTGGATGGATGGATGATGGATGGATGGATGGATGGATGGATGGATGAGTAAATGGATTGATGGGTGAATGAATGGATGGATGGATGGAGATATAAAAGGGTGTGTGTTTGCATCTCTGCCTGTACGCTTTGATGGAAAATTCTCTGCAAGTCTACAAACTCCAAAGTTGAACCTAAAGCATCAGAAGTAAAGGAAGGGCCCCACAAAAGCACCTTATTTAGTGCTGAAGAAGAAAGCCTGTGAAATCACATCATCTGCCTTGAACCCAATGGCAGGCAACATCAGGGTTTTTTGAGAAGTGGCACAGCGTGCCAAGCACTGGAAGGACAGAGTGGAGAAAAACAGCATAGATGTGGACTAGGATCCCTGGGCAGGTGAGGCACTGAGAAAAGATGTTTGGCTTTGTTCACATGAAATCTGATGAAATGTGAAGCACCATTATATCAGAGGCAGGTGGTGATGCTCTGGCTGAAGCCCCCACCAGGACAATGAAGGAGTAAGCTGGGATTTAATGGAACAGATGGGGAAACTAAGGCCCACAGTGTCAAGGAACTTGCTTGGGTTCCCTCGGAAAGTGGCCTCAGGCCTTACTCTGGGTGTGTCCCACGCACTATGATGTAGCTGAGAGAGCCAAAAGCTGTGTGACCCCAGACAAGTCATTTTATCTCTGTGAGCTTCCATTTCTTCACCTGGATAACAAGGGTGATGGTACTACCTCACATTCAGCAAGGTTGTTGCATGGCTTCAGTGAGATATCACAAGCAGAGCACCAGGGCACTGAGTGGTGCCCAGTTATCATGAGTTCATTTTCTTGTCTGTGGTTGGGATATCTGGGAGAGTTACCTGGAGGAGGTATCCTACAGATTCTCAACTCCATAGGAACAAGCCCTCAGGTGAATCCTTGGAGCTGGGGGTTGAAATACTTTCTTGAAATTCTTCCTGGGACATCCAAGAAGACAGCATGGAGCTGTCCATGCTGGGGACCCTTCCTCATTTGTATGTTCCCCCTTCTAAAACTCCCTTGCCATGGAAATGCTCCTCTTGGTATTTTTTTTAAGGGTTTGATTGGGGTATAATTCAAATGCCATAAAATTCACCCATTTAAAATGTATAATTCAATAGTTTTTAGCATATTCAAAAAGTTGTGAAGCCATCATCACATCTAATTTTAGAACATTCTAATCACCCCAAAAAGAAACCCTGTACCCATTAACAGTCACCCCCCATTCCTTCCTCCCCTCATCTCCTGGCAACCAGTAATCTATACTTTCTGTCTCGTTAGGTGTACCTATTCTGGACATTTCTCATAAATGGAATCATACAATATGGGGCCTTTTGTGACTAACTTCTTTCACTTAGCAAAATGTTTTCAAGGCTCGCCCACAGTGCAGCTTGTATCCGTTTTTGTTCCTTTTTATGGATGAATACTACTTTATTGTATGGATAGGCCACATTTTATTTATCTTTCATCAGTTGATGAACATTTGGGGTGTCTCTACTTTTTGGTTATTATGAATAAAGCTGCTATGAATGTATAATTTTTTGCACAGACATAGGTTTTCAATTCTCTTGGATGTATACCTAGAAGTGGACTTGCTAGGTCATATGGTAACTCTTTTGAACATTTTTGAGGACCTGCTTTCTTGTTCCCCTCACTCCAAATGTTGTAGTATAATTAAAGTCAGAGTTGTCCTTGTAGACCAAGGCTTTTACCTCCCAGCTGGACATTTCCAAGGTCTCTTCCTCTACCAAAATTTAAGTGATGCCCCAGCCTGCATCAAGATGACATGGATTCAAATTCAGTCTCTACCTAGGCTGTGTGATCTCGGATAGGCAACTAAGCCTCTCTTAACTTCCATTTCCTCACCTGCAAAATAAGGACAAAAGCAATTCTTGGCTACAAAGACAATCATGACGTTGAAATGAGGGAATGTGTGAGAGAATTCTTTGTGAAAGCTGAAAACAGCAGTAGAGATGTTGTTCATTCATCCAATGTATATCAAGGGCCTATTATTTGCCATGTACTATGTTTTGTGATGGGACACGATGTTGACCAAGACAGATAAGGTACATGCCCTCTGAGATTTTATGTTCTGGTCTTTTTGGTCATAGATTGCCACCAAATGTTCTATAAACCTGAACAAACTATGCTTCCTCTTCAGGCCTCAGTTTTACCATCTGTAAAATGGGTGGGCTGGATCCACCCATTTGCCATAGAATTTCTACTTCTGCTTTCAGCCCAACAGTAAAATGAGCACAAGTGTCTCATACAATGCAGACTTCTAAATTCTGTCCCTCAGGGGATAGCAAGGGTGGGCTCTTCCTAGCTGCTCAGGATAGTCGAAGGGGACAGATCAAAAAAGGCAGTCCGTCTGGGATAGCCATGTGGACGGGAATGAGCTACCTTCCCCCTCACCTCCACGTCTTCTGGAACTTAATGATAACATCATCCCCACGCAGCTCCTGGCCTAATTGGCATGATTCCATTACATCTGCTGGTTCTTTCCCATAACGGAACCCAGCCTGGTGGTCCAGACCCGACTGCTGGGCCACAGCTGAGAAAAGGGCCCCCCGGGAGTGTGTGTTCCTCACGAAGAACAAAGATGTAGGCAGCAGCCTAAAATAGACACGGAAAAACACTGCTTTTTGTTTTCTCCCTGGAAGGGTGGCTGAGTGATTCGCGGCAGGGAACCCAGAAGGTCTGCATTGAAAACACTGTTATTATAAGACAGTCAGGAGGGACTGGAAGCTGCGGGTGCTGAGGGAAGACACCCTCTCTCACCACTGCATGCACTCTGGGCTGGAGTTGGATCCCAGGAGAACCCTGAACCAGACTTAATATCCAGAATAATCCTCACTCCCACTGCCCCACACCATTGCCAACTCTGGCAGGTCCTTTCCCATGGCTCCCTGTTACCCTTAGGATAAAGTCAAAGTGACTTAGCAAGGCATTCAAAGCTCCCCAGGTTCTGGCTTTAAGTGAGTTTACTGGCCTCTTCCCACTGCAGGTTATTCATTGGAAATCCCAGAACTTGTTCTGCATTTTCCTGCTTCTGGGCCTTTGCTTACCCAACACCTTCACCTACCATGCCTGGATGAATCCAGAATCTTGATTCTAACTGATCGTAGCAAAAAAAGAGGAAGGCAGAAGGGACTGATTGGCTTATGTAACTGAAAAGCCCAGGGGTACACGCCTTCAGGCTCAGCTGAATCAAGTTGCTCAAATTATGTTCTAAGGTTTCTGTTTTCCTCCATCACCTGGACCTTTTTTCCTTTGTGTTGGCATCCTCGCAGGCAGCTCCCCAAGTCATAGCAAAAATGGCTCTCAGCAGCCCCAGGCTTGTATCTAACCAGCCCAGCAGCTCCAGTGGGTACCAGTAGTTCCTAAGAGCTCTGTGGTTGACATGCATTGGCCTGGATTGCATCATATGGCCATCTCTGAGCCAACCACTGTGGTCATGAACCACATGCCCATACCTGGAGCCATTTCCTGGGGATCAGAAGAGGGATGGTGCCAGGGAAAAATCAGGGAGCTGTTACAGATAAAGAGCAAGTAGATACTGGGCAGTTAAAAGCAAGTGTTCACAACAATGCCCATAGCTCTGGCCCACACTCAGCCAATTCCAACTTTAAGCAAATTTCACCGGGAAACAAATACCTGGGGGAAGAATGGTTAGAAACTCTTCTGGGCAAGACTCATCCTCTGGTCTTGGTTTACTCACCCGAGAACAAAAAAGGTTAGACTTGAAGCTTTGTCCGAGGTCTTTCCTGCTTTGACATCAAGTGAATTGCAGCAAAACAGCCCTTCCTTGTCTCCCAAATTTCTGATCGAAGAGACCTAGTGAGTCAGATCAAGGAATGGACTGTCATTAAAGGCCAGAAAAAGCTCTTTTTTAAGTTTCCACTTATTGTGTTCTATTTCCTAGGCTCTGTGTTAAGCATTTTTCCAGGTACATTGTTTTGTTCAGTTCGCACATTAACTCTCTGAGATTCCATACTACATGTGAGGAAACTGAAGCTGTGAACACTGAAGTGAGTGAGGATTGCAGCCCCATCGGCCTGACTCTTAACCACTATGCCACACTCTTTCCATCCCAAACCAAAGACCCTTAGAGACCTCGGATTAGAGACTTGGGCTGCAAGCCCAAAGACTCCCATAGGTAGAACATGGCCACATAAATGAATGAAGAGGTCCACATAGGGCCTTTGGCACTGGAATGCTCATGCCTCAGCCAGTTGCTTTTACAGATGCAGAATGCACAGCTTAATATTTTTCTTTGTTTTCTTTTCTTTTCTTTTTTTTTTTTTTTTTTTTTTGAGACAGGGTCTCACTCTGTCTCCCAGGATGGAGTGCAGTAGCATGATCATGGCTCACTGCAGCTTCAACCTCCCAGCCTCAAGTGATCCTCCCACCTCAGCCTTCCAAGTAGCTGGGACTACAGGTACATGCCCCCACACACAGCTAATTTTTGTATTTTTTGTAGAGACGAGGTTTTGTCCTGTTGGCCAGGCTGGTCTCAAACTCCTTGGGCTCAAGTGATCCACCCTCCTCAGCCTCTCAGAGTGCTAGGATTACAGGCATGAGCCACCACACCCAACCTTAGTTTTTCGAGATAAATTGAAAATTTGCATTCTAAAACAAAATCTCTCAACTTTATAACTGTTAGCAACTTGCTCAGTTCTTGAAACACTATGTAAACCAAACAAAACAGGTCTGTGAGTTAGATTCAACTTACAGGCCACCAATTTTCAGCTTGTCTCTCTTTGCTTCGTACGGATGGGGGAAACTAAGTCACAGATATATGTCATATTATACATAATATATATATATATATATATTTGGCCTTATCACTGAGGCTGAATTAGGTGCTTTCTCCTAGGGTGGTCTTGGTAGTGTGTCTCTGAGAAGGTGACATATGAGCAGAAACCTAAAGGGAGAGCTTCCCTTCTGGGGGAAGAGCTTTCCAGGCAGATGGAGGAGCAAGTGCAAAGGCTCTGAGGCAGAAAAGCAACTGTATGTTTGAGGAACAGCAGTAAGACTAGTGAGCTAGAGTAGAATAAGAGAGGGGGAGTGAAAGGGGATGAGGACGGGATAACCAAATCCACTTCTACATAGGGCCTGTAGGACCCAGGTTCTAATTAAAATGAACAACTGAGAGGACAAGGTGATGAATGGATTTATGAATGAATGAATGGATTCCAAGCTGCTTTCATGGGATATTCGTATTTGGTGTTAGTGTGTGGGTGTGGCTGATTCGCCCTAGGTTCTGAAGTCTTCAGAATTATCCTGGAAGATGATCTTGGTTACCTTCCCAAGTTGCTGTCAGTCTTCAGAGGTTGTGACACTTGGATAGAAGCCTCAAATTGGGCAGGGCCTCTGGGAGAGCAACTATGAGACAGACAAACCAAGAAGAACCAAGGCAGGAAGAGATGGTGCTCACCAAAATACCCATCACGCCAAGTGTGCTCATTCCCACCAGCCAGGGACCCCAGGCTTCCATAGAGTACTGTGACCTGGACAGTGAGCCCATGAATCTCCCTTGTCACCAAGTCCTCACATCCCTCCCATCAATCCCTGGCAAACCCATTGGGGATGCCGTGCAGGGGGCCTGCTCCTGTCCTCGGCCGCACTCAGCCTGTGAGACTATTTTGTGCCTTGGTTCAGGCACTGGCATCCCAGCTGCTGGCAAGCGACTCAGATGGCGTTGTCATGGCGACCCTCAGGCACGGATTTCCAGAGATGCTCCCTGCATCCTCCCGAGCCTGCCACTGCTGATTGCTGGGGGAGAGCATGACTCACCGTTAAATATATCACGGTCGTCCCAAATTGGCTGCTCAGCCCCAGCAGCCGGATGTAGGGACAGGCAGCATCTGGGGGTGTGTGGGTTTGGGAAGCTGAGAGGCATGACCTTCTGTGTACCTTTGGGGCCTTCAGCTCCTGTCATTTCCAGCGGTTCTCTTCTCCAATCCCCTACTCATCTCTCCTTCCTTTCCCAATCGGTCTGGGTAACAGTCCTAGCTTTGTTACTTGTTAGCTGTGTGATCTTGAACAAGAAGCTTCAATTCTCTGGGCCTCAAAGTCCTCATCTGTAAAACAGGGGTGATGTGAGTATGACGGAAGAACTACGAAGGGTCCGAGATTTTGCACTGCTCACAAGCTAATGAGTTAGCCTGCCACAATGCCATACATGACGGCAGAAGACACGAGATCCCAGGTCAGAGACAAAGGACTTTATTAGTCACAGTATAGCAAGCAGCACAAGCTTCATATTTGCGTCAGTTCTAATTGTCTCCCAAGTTCCATGAGAGCAATGAAAACAACCCAAATGGATTCTGCACACACAGCAGCAGATCTGTGTCTCAATGGAGGATCCCAGAGCTTAGGAAACCTGCAATCTTATAAAGGGGCTATTGCCAAACCTGTCTAGCCTTTGCCTCAGATAGAGACATTATTGTACTGGTTGGGAAACAACTCTATCCTCTTCTTTCTGCTCCAGAGAGAGATATTGTCTCTGTCCTCCAAGTGTGTTTGCTACACAGATGTCCTTGAGATGATAGTCTAGAACAAAGGTCTCAGTGTCTTTTGAGCTGAAGACATGCAGACCTTGGAGAGACCCATGGAGAATTATCTCCCAATACCACTTCAAAGGGCTTCTTGGAGGAGCAGATGGGTTCATACCTGTAACATGCTCTGTATAGTTGCCTGGCATGTGCCTGGCACTTAATCAGTGTTAGCACTTGTCATTATTACTCTCAGCTTTTATCACTTGTCAGCTAGTAGGAACTCAGAGGCCTCCTGTTCTGGGATTTCCCCAGTTAGGTGACTAAGAAAATCACAGCTTCTATCCTTTCCAGCCAGTACATATCCATTTATCTCCTATGCCCCATGAAGCTCTAACAACTCCACCCTCCACCCCTTGTCCCCTCCCTCTGACTCCCCTCTGTT
Source organism: Homo sapiens (assembly GCF_000001405.40). NCBI lineage: Eukaryota > Metazoa > Chordata > Mammalia > Primates > Hominidae > Homo > Homo sapiens. The sequence goes on along the minus strand of NC_000020.11, from coordinate 49,423,543 downwards.
CTTTTTTTTTTTTTAAATAGCTTTATACCATAAAAAATTTTAAACAGCCTTATGGAACTTTATACCATAAAATTCATTCATTTTAAGTGTGCAATTCAATAATTTTTAGTAAATTTACAGCATTGTGCAGCCATCACTACAATCCAATTTCAGAACATTTCCAAAAGAAACCCCATGCCAATTTGCATTCACTCCCCACACCCCTTTCACCCAGGCCCAGGCAACCACCAAGCTGCTTTCTTTCTCTATGGATTTGTCTCTTTGGGACATTTCACGTAAATGGCATCATACAGTGTGTGGCCTTTTGCATCTGGCTGCCTTCACTCAGTATCATGGTTTTGAGGTCCGTCCATGGTGTGGCATGCATCAGTAGCTCACTCCATTTTATTGCTGAGTAGTATTCCTTTGTACAGGCATACCATAGTTTTTGTCCAGTCACCTTCACTGGATTCCTGAAAGGATATTCCAAGATCATGAGAATAAAAGCTCTTGTGCACCATCAAGTGTAGAGCAGACATTGACTGCTATTGCCCACATCACCCCTTGGAGCTTGTCCTGCCATCCTGGCCCCTTGGGGTGTTCTAGCTAACATAAAATAAGACAGATGGATACTTTGGCAGGCAGAGTTTTAGAGACTTTTAAAATCACATGACAAACCCACTTTGATGAAAAGCAAGCAAAGAACCAGTCCAAACCCTACTCCAACAAAAAGAGGCATTCACAGTTTTTTTTTAAGAGAGGGGATCTCAGGCTGGGCGCGGTGGCTCACACCTGTAATCCCAGTACTTTGGGAGGCCAAGGTGGGCGGATCATTTGAAGTCAAGAGTTTGAGACTAGCCTGACGAACACGGTAAAACCCCATCTCTACTGAAAATACAAAAATTAGCCAGGCATGGTGTCATGCACCTGTAATCCCAGCTACTCGGGAGGCTGAGGCAAGAGAATCACTTGAACCTGGGAGGCAGAGGTTGCAGTGAGCTGAGATCGCACCACTGCACTCCAGCCCGAGCAACATGGTGAGACTCCATCTCAAAAAAAAAAAAAAAAAGAGATGGGGTCTCATTCTCTTACCCAGGCTGGAGTGCAGTGGTGCAACCAGAGCTCACAGCACACTTGATCTCCTGAGCTCAAGCACCCCTCCCACCTCAGCCTCCCGAATAGCTGGGACTACAGGCATGCGCCACTGCACCCAGCTTCACAAAGATTTTGTAGGCTGAACTTCCCCTGTCTCTTCCCAGCTCCATCTCCATGGCAGCCCCACACAATAAATAAAACAGGAAAGGAATAGAAGGAGAGGTTTCTGATGCTTGCCTATAGAGCGGCCTTATTTCCTTTGATAGTCCAAGTAGGACGATAGCCACCAGGTAATTCCACATTCTGTGAAAAATATATAAGATCCTGAATTAAGGGAAAACATTTGTTCTCCACTTTTGCCACCTCCACCCTGGCCATAGAGGATCCCGAGGTGTGTTTGATTAGCAGAGGATTCTATCTCAAATAGGGAAGACTCCTAGACTGTTCTCAGCTATTCTCATTGACAAGGCTAGGGAGTGCCAGAGGGAAGTCAGCAGATGATGTTTCCTGACCTGATTTATTGGTCTTCCTTAAAATAACCCCAGGCCTCTCTGTTATTATTAAAATCCTACATCTGGATTGGGTTCCTGCAGGGCCCAGGAAATTCCTTCCCAGTTGGGAAGATGTTCTATTTCTCTACAGCCACATAACACACCACCCTCCAAAACTTAGTGGCTTAAAACAAAACATTTATTTGCTCGTGAATCTGCAGTGTGGGCCAGGATGGACAGGCCTGGTTCATTTCTGCTCTGCACACAGCCTCCACCGGGGCGGCTCAACTGGGGCTCACTTGCTCGCAGGGCTGGAAAGATGTTGCTGTCTGACAGTTCCCCTCCATGAGGTGGCTTGAGTTTCCTCACAGGAGGCATCTGGTTCCAAGAGTGATCATACCAATGAGCAGGAAGTGAAAGATACCAGTTTCTCAAGGTCTGGGTCCTGAAACTGGCACTGGGTCATTTCTGCCATATTCTACTGAACAAGCAGTTGCAGAGCCCAAACTCAAAGGGAAGAGACAAAAGCCTTGTCTCTTGATGGAGGAATGGCAGAGAATGTGGGGATTATGTTTTGAGACTCACATGGTTGGCAAGTCCATGGCATGTCAGTAGGCCAGAAGGTTTTGGAAGAAAATGCTCTGCAGGACTGTTACACCATAAGTGCTCATCCCAGAACAAGATATTTCTTAGAACTTCACATTGGCCAAAGTTGGTTTCGGCCAAATGTCACGTGGCCTAGCAGGCCAAATGTGAAGTGGTTCCCCAGCTTGTCTGTTCTCTGTCCTCAGGCCAGTGTCCCTACCCCCCACCTCCTTGAAGGGCTGTGCAGGAAATCCAGACCTTCTTGCCCAGCCTTGGCCACGTGTTTTCTCCGAACTGGGGAGACCCACAGGTGAGTCAGCAGGACATCATGCACATGGTGGCCTGGGTCCCGAGAACATCTGCTTTAATGGAGTCCAGAGAATGTTTCCAAACACGTCTTCCCTCTCCTCTCACCAAAGCTTTTAGGAGAAAATGTCCAGAGCTCTCTGGATGTCTTCCAGGAACACATTGACAATGAGTTGTAACCTCACCCTGAACTCATGGTGCTGCATGACTGGCCACCTTTGTTGTTTGGAAGACCTAGAATCCTTGTTTTTCTCAGGCCCTGATCAGCAGGGCTGTGCTTATCTGCATGGTTGTCTTAACAACAAATCACCAGTGCCAGTGTCCTCTGAGGATCTTTTCTTGGCTTCATGGTGAGAAGACCAGAGTTTGAGGGCTGACTTTTCCTCTTAGTGGTGAGAGACATTGGGCAAGGTATTTTACTTCTCTTAGCCTTGGTTTCCTTTTCTGGCAGGAAAGTTTGGAGCTCACAGTTTCCTTCAAGCTCCACATAGTTCTCATGGTGTTTGTTTGACTACCTTGAGGAAACAGAGTGTACCTTGCCTTCAACCACAAAAATACACTGACTAATGAGTATTGTTGCTACAGCCACCTGGACATGTGGCCATAAACTGCCCAACCCATGGTGTAATGCTGGGTTTGCCTTTCATGGAGAGAGAGATTCATGAGACATTTCAGAGGACTCTCTGTTGTCCCGGAGTCCTGAGGAGTCTGCCTGGAGACCTGGAACTCATTTGTTTGTTCTTTAATTTGTGTCTACTGTATGCCAGCCCCTTGCTAGGCATGAAGGACACAACAATACAATCAAGAAAAAGAACAAAGACCTGTGGCTCTTAAAGCTTGCATTCTAGAAGCAAAAGGAGAACACTAAAGAAATAAGAGACAAATATATAATATCACTGCATATATGCAAAATGTCAGGAGTAAGGGGACTGGTATTCATGGGGTGTGGGTGCCATTTGAAATAGAGTGGTCAGGGAGAGCCATTCTGGGGATGTGAGATTTAAGCAGAGACCTGAAAGACACAAAGAAAGGAAACAGGCCTATATATGGGGCTGGAGTGTTCTAGGCAGAGGGCACAGCAAGTGCAAAGGCCCTGAGGCCAGACCATGCCTGTTGTGCTCCAGGAACAGAGGGGAGGCCAGCATGGCTGGAGGGGAGTGAGCAAGGGGAGGAGTAAAGGGGATCAGGCCAGAGAGATACGGAGGGGCCAGGCCCTGCAGAGCCTTGTGGGCTGTTCTAAGGACTTTGGCTGTTGTCCTCAGTATGCTGGGAGATAGGGAGGTGTTTTGAGCAAAGAAAAGTGCCCTGGTCTGGCTTAGGTTCTAACAGGATCCGTATGGATGAATCTGGAGAATGGACTGTGTTTTATTGTACGGGCCAGGATGGAAGCAGAAAGACAGTGAGGAGGCAACTACAATCATTCAGGTAGAAGAGGATGTGGCCTGGCCCAGGGCAGATCTCTGGGGGTGGTGAGAGGTGGGCATGTTCCAGGTGCCTCCTGCAGGCAGATCTGGAAGGTCTTGCTGATGTGGTAGATATTCTGAGACTCCCTGTAGCTGGTGGCTCAGCGAGCCTCCCCCATCACCAGCCTCAGCAGGACAGTCTAGACTAGAGTCATCCGCCTCTGCCCTGCACTCTGCCTGCCTGGTGATGAGGGGCCTCTCCCATCCATGCCGTGGGCACTGAGGCACCGAGCTAGGCCCACCCCTGGCTTCCCCAGGTGGTGAATCAGAGGGAGCTCTGGATTGGAGACTTTTACTCTATGCATGACACTCCTTAGCTCTGTGACCTTAGACAAGTTCCTTCCCCACTCGGAACCTCAGCTTTCTTGTCTGTAAAGTGGGAATAATGAAACCAACACTGCTACCTCCTAGGGTGGCTGGGAGAATCAAGTGAGATACAGGCTGGACACAGGGTTTGAAGCCAGCGCAGGGGGATGGTCATGAATGAGTTAAGCGTGTGTACATTATTAATAGTATCATTTCATCCTTTCTACCATCTCATGGGCTGTTGGGAAACTTTAACGTCGATTCAGATCAGGCCATGGCTACACTAAGTCAACATCTCTCACTTTGATTTAGTGGCTAAAAAGCCTGGGCTCTGGAATTGTTCAGAACTGGGTAGCACTCCTAGCTCGGCGCTGTGAGATGCTGTTTCCAGAGGAGACAGCTTAAAAACCACAGACATTCCCCTCCAGTCCGCAGCAAGACCAGCTTCACAGGGTGGGAATTTTCTCTTGCCCATGTTCAGCAGATCTACATCCCCAGGGGTAGGCCTGGCCCTGCCTCTGTGCCTTGGTCAGCCTGTCCCCATCCCCTGGGAGCACCTAAATTGGGACTGTGGGCTGCTGTTCCTCCTGAGAACTCGGGTTTACTGTCCCTGTTCTCGGGCCTCCCTTGTCTCTTTCACTCCCTAAGGAGAATTGGGACAGGGTCCCTCCAGCGGAGAGAAGCCTGGAAGACTTCTATTTTTTTGAGACTCCTGGAATATTAATTTATAAAGAAAACAACAACAAAATGAAGACATCCCTAAAGTTGCAGTACATTTAAGATGTAACATTGAGCAAATCGTGACAACCTGCATAAAATCACAACATAATATAAATGTGTAACTCACATAACTCACAAGATAACCCCAGGATTTATTCGATTTGTTTATATATTCGTATTTTAAACCCATGGCATTCTCTAGGAGTGGTTCAGTAAGGGATGCAGGGGTAGTGTTGTTTGAGGAATGCAGTCTTTTTTCGTTGTTATCATTCTGTCCCTGTTTGTGTACCTAACCCATTTAGAGATAAGGTCAAAATTCTAAAAATACTGGAATGTCAGTTTTCTGAATAGCTACTATATTTCCCTAGTATGAAAGTCAAAGTGTTCAAAAGGGCACACAGTGAAAAGTTCTCTCCCACCCTGTCCCCCAGCCACCCCGTCCTCCTCCCCAGGGGCAGCCACTGTTACCAATTTCCTGTGATCGCTTCCACAAATAACATATCCATATATAAGTGAATGCATATATGTACATATTCTTTTTTCCTTGTTTTATTGAAATGGGAGTTTGTTATACATTCTGTTCTCGCGGTGCTTTGCTTGCTAACAGCATACCTCGGGGACTGTTCCCTATTTATGCATATTGAGCCATCTCTGTTCTTTTTACAGCTGCATAGTGTTCATATTTACAGCTGCATATAAATGACCCTCTGTTGAGTTAATTTTTCCCTGTTGATGGACATTGAGGTTGTTTCCAAACTTTTTGATCGAATAAACAATGCTGCAGTGAATAATCTTATACCTATATCATGAAAACTCTTGTTTAAGATCCTTAGAAGCCAGGCGCCTGGGTCCTGCCCATAGTTACATCTACTCAGGAGGCTGAGGCGGGAGGTTCCCTTGAGCCCAGCAGTTCGAGGCTGCAGTGAGCTATGATTGTGCTACTGCACTCCAGCCTGGGTGATGGAGTGAGATCCTGCCTTTAAAATAACAATAATAAAATAAAATAAAGATCCTTAGGGATTGTGAGGTCTGCAAGGAATGGCACTCCCTTTTGCCCACACCAACCCCTTCCTGGGAGCTGAGGCTTGAATGAGGAGGGCAGTCCCAGAGTGGGGGAAGAGCATTCCAGGCAGAGGGAGCTATAGTGCAAAGGCCTGGGGTAGAAATGAGCTCAATCTATGGGAGAACAGCAAGAAGGCCACTGTGGCTGCATGGGACCATGTGAGAGAAGGGTAGTAGGAGATGAGGTTAGAGAGGACTTTGGGGGACAGGTGAGATTTGGTGAGATGGGAGGGAATGAATGAATGAAGCCTCCAATACGATAAGCGAAAAAACATGATATTCCAAGAGATAGGCGTGGTCCTCCCCCAAATTTTGGTTGCTGGGAAGACTGGCAGTCCCTCCCCAGCTGGATCCCCTAGGCCTTTTGCCAGCATCACCTACAGAGAGGAAAGAGCCGTGGGCTCTGTCACAAGGCTGGGGCTCACAGCATCACAGCCCCCACCCCCTGCACCACCCCAATAGCTTCCTTCAGTGGACTTAGCTATGGCCTCTCCCAATACCCACGCTGGCCTGGGCCAATCACATTTCAGGTGGATGGGAACTCGCGGGACCACCACTTCAGCCACCTTGGGCTCTTTGCCGTATTTATATTCTCAAGGCGTCTGCTGCTTCCCTTATTCTTCCCCCTGTCCTTACATGGCCAGACCCACTGTTCAGCTCACAGGTCACCTTCTCAGGCCACTGAATATCAAGTTGCATCCCCACCTTCTTTCTCCCACCACCTACCCAGCCTGTCCCATCCCCTCAATGTTTGGAGCCACCGTGAAGGGCGATGGTTAACAGCTTGAGTTCCAAAGCCAGGCTGCTCAAGTGGAACCCAGGAGAAGCTGTGAGCAACCTACTTTCCAGCTCATCCCCTCATGAGGTGGAGGTGATAGAGCTTCCACCTCTCAGACCGGAGCAAGATTCAACAGGTAAATACACACAAGCCATTCTGAACGGTGCCGGGCAGATGGTCCTCAAAAAGCTTAGTCCTTTGCCTTTCCACCTGGTGCTGATCCCTGTCTTAAATGATCTGTCTTGTTTTTTAGTAGAGACAGCGTCTCACTGTGTTGCCCAGGCTGGAGTGCAGTGACACAATCATAGCTCACTGCAACCTCAAACTTCTGGGCCCAAGTGATCCTCCTGTCTCAGCCTGCCAAGTAGCTAGGACTACCGGTGTGTGCCACCACACCTAAGTGTGTTTTGTTTTGTTTTGTTTTGTTTTTAGAAATGGGGGTCTCACTATGTTCCCCAGGCTGGTCTTGAACTTATGGCCTCAAACAATCCTCCTGCCTTGGCCTCCCAATGTGCTGGGATTACAGGTGTGAGCCACTGTGCCCGGCTGATCTATCCTTTTATGCGTTTATGTATGTGTTGTCTGTCTCCCCTCTGAACCATGAGCACAGGAAGCATGTATTATCATTTGGGTTCAGCTCTATGCCCCAAGTGACATTTAAACAGGCCTTCAAGGAAGAGCTGGAGTTAGCCCAGGCAAGAGGAGTAGGGAGAGAACACAGCCCATGTGAGACCTCTGGGATCGGAATGGTGTGGGAAGCAGGGAGCTGCATGGCAATAGGGGTGCCGTTAGTAGGACTCAGATCCCGTAGGGCCTTCAAACCTCAGTGAGAAGTGTGGATTTATTCTGAAGGCACTGGGGAGCCATAGAAGACTCTAAAGCAGAGGAGCGACAAGATTAGATCTTATAGAAAGATCCTTGGGATTCTCTGGAAGGAGGAGTCAGAGGAGACAAGAGTGAGAGCAAAACCACATCGAAACATTATTGCCTTTCTAGAGTCAGACAGACTTTCTCCCTCTGCTCGTGCTCTCCCTCCGCCCCTCTCCATGAACAAAACCGTAACTCATTTTCTCCCTCTGGCTGGCCCTGGCATCCTTCCTCTAATACCACTCATTATTTTAATTAAACTCTGGGATCTGTTTTACTAACCTGACATCTTGCTTAGGAAAACCAAAAGAGGAGTTGCCCGGAGCCAAGGAAGGGAAGTTGCCAGAGGATCGAGGAAAGGTTTCCATCTGCCCTGTGGCAGGAGGGGGCCCCTCTTACCCAGGTCCAGCACTTAAAGGGGCAGCCATGCACCATGCTTAAGGATATGAGCACTGCGGTGGCCTCTGAGCTCCATCACTTACTGGGGAGAGTGACGCAACCTCTGAAGCTGCTTCCTCATCTATAAAATGGGGATATTAATAGTTCTTCTCTTATAGGGTTTTGTGAGGTTTAAATGAGTTAACACAGTGCTTTTCAAACTGATGGTCATAAAATCAATCTAAGGGATCACAACCACCACTGAAAACCCAAGAACAGAAAGTATCAGAGTACATTATCATCATGGGGATACGTCTTGTGGGTGGAGCGTTTATTTCAGGGTATGTGTACTCGCCGGGTTTTTTTTTTAGAACTATATTTATTACTCTGGTCCCCAGTCCAGAAGGCTTGAAAGCTACAATTAAAGTACTTAGGCAAGTGCATGCAGCAGGTGCTCAAACTGTGGTTGCTGATATTTCTTGTGGTAGCAAGAAGATTTTCCTTTTTATTTCCCTGCAATGTCATTGGGTTTTGCTCCATCTTACTCATGGGGAGACTGAGGCTCACAGAGAGAAGAAGCCATTCCAAAGCTACATGACCACACTGAGCTGTGAACTGTGGCCTGACCCTGCCTGAATATGGCCTGAACTCCCATCCAGAATCTTCGTGAGGTCGAGGGAGGGTCATGTGGCTGCCAATGGCATAATGAGAGCTCCCGGCAGCCAGGGTCTGGCAGGATGCAGGAAAGAGGCTGGTAGGGGCATCTGGGGCTGGGCCACCCTTGGCTGTGGCCCTGGAGGCAGCACAAACCCCTACCCTGGAGATCTCTCCTCTCCACACCCACACCTGCCCACAGCCCATACCCCACAGTTACCAAGGGAAACAGGCGCCAGAGGGGAAAGGCTGCATTTCCCTCCTTCCTTGTGGGCTTTCCAGAAACCAACCCATCTAGAAGAGCTCTCCACGTGGAGCAGGGGAAGATGAGCGGCTGAAGTAGGGCAGATCTGCAAACTTCGGGGGCTTTCAGGAAGATTCCATGAGGCAAGGACTGGGAACCAGTGCCTGCCTGAGAGGCTGAGGGGCAGAAGATCTGGGTCCCAGCCTTGGTTCTGCTCTGGCAGGGCTATGTGCCTGGGGCCCCGTTCCTTCCCTTTCCTTCTGGACCTCAGCTTCCACATCTGTACAGTGGGTGTGGTAGCTCCCATGATCTTCAGGGGCCACACCACTCAGATGTCTCGAAAATGCTCCCGTTGAGTGTGTTTCTAGTTATGAGAGGTCGCTTCAACATCCCCACTAGGGAAGGTATTGTGTATTCATTCATCCAGCAAACATTTACTGAGTACCTACTGTGTAACAGGCAGCTAGTGTTGCACAGGGATCAAGACAGACATAGTTCCTGTCCTCTCAGGGAAACTTCATTCTAGTGAATGAGACAATTACCAAGTCAAGAAGGAAATGATGAGTGCTTCCAAAACCCTGAAAGAGGGTCATGAGATAATAGATGAGGATAAAGTGGCTAGGGTGGCCAGGGAGGTCCCTCTGGGGATAACGGATGAGCTGAACGCTGAAAGATAAGAAAGACCTGCAGAGATCTAGGAGAGGAGCATTCCTGGCAGGAACTGTAAGTGCAAAGGCCCTGAGGCTGGACCCAGTCTGGGATATTGGAGGAGCAGCAGGGCCAGTGGCTGCAGCAGGTTTAGCTCAGCTGGTGGATGTGAGTGGAGAGAGGTAGCCGGGGCCAGATCAGACAGGGTCTTGAAGGCTGTGTGAGGCGCTGGCTTTCATTCCAGGTGCACTGGGACTCCACTGGGGGCTTTTGAGGAGGGCAGTGGCAGGATCAATGCATGCTTTAAAAAGAGTGTTCTGATTGGAAAACAGACTGCGGGGGTGAGGGAGGACATAGGGACAGCACAGGGACAGCAGTGAGGAGGCCACTGTAACAGTCCTGGTAGGATACATCAGGGGCCTGGCCCAGGGTGATGATCGGGGAGGCAGGAGAAGTGCTCAGACTACTTTGAAGGTGGAACCCATGGGATTTGCCGATGAACAGAAAGGAGTCGAGGAGGGCTCTTGGGTCACAGCCTGAAGATCTGGGAGGATGGAGGCACCATTTGCCAAAAAAGGCAAAACATAGTACAGAGCAGGTAGTGGGGGATCAAGAGCTCTTTGGCCTTGTTAAGTTTGAGAAGCCCAAGCGACATCCAAGTGTCAAAACAATCTTCCTCCCACCCAGCAAGGCCCGAGAGCCCAGATAGAGGGTGGAGGGGAGCCTGCCCGGGGTGGAGATTAATGCACATAACCCAGTTCTCTCTGCCCGTGGCTATTTGGGTCACTTGGACTGCAGGTCCTCACCCCTCTGAGCCTGTCAATCACCCCCACCCCACCCTGTCCCTGTCCTTTTCAGTCTCTGGAACCTGCTGCCAGGAGAATGCTCAGGGAGGGAAATGCTCAGGGAGGCACACCTCTCTCACTGGCTCCTCGATGAACCCTAAATTTCCCTGCCCCTTTGCCTTTGCTCTTACCGTACCCTCTGCCCAGAATTCCCTTTCTCCTCTTCCAATCTCACACATCCAAATTCTTTTCATCCTTTTATGTCAAGCCCAGAAGCCTCCAAGAAACTTCCCCAGTTCCCACGTAGACTAATAAGAAGAGTATTTTGAATGCCTGCTGTGTGCCAGGCTCTCTAAAAAGTGCTCTACCTTTCTGATCTCATCGAATCTTCAGAGGCAGAGATTATCATCTCCATTGTATTCATGAGAAAGTTAAGGTTCAAAGGGGTAAAAAGTCACTATCTTGAGGTCATATGAGCAAAGTGGCAGAGTGGAATTTGAACTCTATGATTTCTGTTATGTTTCATAAAGCAACTTAGGTGCTTACTCTGCTGAAGGGGCTCTGGGCTTCTTGAGGGGATAGATTGAGTTTATTTAGTTTTTGCATCCCCAGAATCTGCCACAGGCTCTCCATAAATGCTTGCCGAATGGATGGATGGATGGATGGATGGATGGATGGATGGATGGATGGATAGATAACAGATGAACAAATGGACAGATTACTGAACATATAGATGGTGCATAAGTAGACAGATAGATAGATAGAGTAGGAAAAGAGAGATAAGAGAGGTATGAGAGAGAGAATTTCTAGCTGGTGGAAGAGGGAAAGAGCAAGTGCCAGGCGCACGCTTCTATGCCTGTGGACACGTAAGGCCCCAGGCATCTGCTCACTTCTACCATATCCATTGGCCATGCCTAGCTGTAAGGGAGGCTGGGAAACAGTCTCTATTCTGGGCAGTATGTTTCCCAATGCACATCAGTGGATCTATAACACTAAGAAAAGGAGAGGTTGGATAACAGGGACATATTCTGCCCCACTTAATATCCCATCTCAGTATTTTTTTTCCTTCATAGCACTTATCACAATCTGCTATTACCTTGTTTATTTGTTTATTGTCTGACTCCCCTACTAGAAAGTAAGCTTCATTGTGGTAAGGAATCTTGACTATCATGTTCACCACTATATCGCCAACAGTACAAATGAATGAAAATTAATTAACTTATTAATTAAGGCAGCTTGAGCTTTTTCCTTCCACACTAAATTTTTTCAGAGTTTTCTTTTGTCAACATGTAATTGCACCCTGGGGGAGATGTCAGACATGTGGCTGTCATCATGAATGCAGCAGTGCCGAGAGAGTGGCAAGTCCCTATTCTACAAAAACACAGTTTAGCTGAATGTCACTTAGGGAATGTCATGTCAAAATAATGTAATAAAAATACCAAACATGAATAAGACGGAGGAGAATGTTGGGAGCGTGAAGTCCTCAGCGGGCCTGCAGCAGTCAGACCTAATTACTCAGGCAGGCTCACCCCTACCAGATAGGGTCAGCGCAGGAAAGGGGACTGCAAAGCGTGCCCGGGGCTGCAGCTCAGGTGGCCAATGGCCCTAGAAGCCCCCTCCACCCTCTAAGCTCAAAAGACTGTCTTTCCTGCCTGACCAGCCCAGCCTTTCCCACCTAGGCTCATATGAAGGCAGAGATTCTGGTTTTAAGAGATAAGGTCACTGGTTCTGAAATGTGGTGTATCTGTGGCCTGTGTGGCTTCCACGAGACAGTGTACTGTGGTTAATAACAGGGGCTCTGAGCCCAGCTCTGCCTGAGTTCAAATCTCACAGTTATCTCTTGCAACAGAGACCAAATGGTGCACAAAGACTAAAATATCTACTATTTCTGCTGTGGAACCTTGCCCGAGGATTCCAGTCTCTCTGAGACTCCGTTTCTTCATCTGAACATAGGGCTGCCTATCTCATCAGGGTCCTATGAGCTAAGACATGTAAAGCCTCTGGAGCGGGGGCCAGCAATCCAGGGCCTGTGGGCCACATCTAGCCCACCCCCTGTTTTGGTACAGCCCTCAAGCTAAGAACAGTTTTTACATTTTCAAGTGGCTGAAAAACATCCAAAGAAAAATATTGTTTCGTGACATGTGAAAACCATATAAAATTTAAATTTTAGGACCATCAGGGTTTTTGGAACAGAGCCATAACTCACAAACTCATTTCTGTTTATCTGTGGCCGCGTCTGTGCTGCCCTGCAGAGTTTAAGGGTTGTGACAGAGATCATGCGGCCCCCAAAGCCTAAAATATTTACTCTCTGACCCTTTTACAGACAAAGTTTGCTGAGCCCTGGTTTAGAGAGCATTGCCTTATTCAGGCCCTTAGGGAAGCAAGTGTGGAGTGGGCCCCAGGCTGCATCTATTAAGCACCAACTGTGGGCAACCTCTTGGGTTAGGCACATTATATTTGTCATCCCTTTCACAATACTCTGAGGTCAGTGTGACTGTCCCCACCTTATAAATGAAGAAACTGAGACTCAGCCAGGCACGGTGGCTCACGCCTATAATCCCAGCACTTTGGCAGGCCAAGGCAGGTGGATCACCTGAGGTCAGGAGTTCCAGACCAGCCTGGCGAACATAGTGAAACCCCATCTCTACTAAAAACACAAAAATTAGCCAGGCATGGTGGCAGGCACTTGTAATCCCAGCTATTCAGGAGGCTGAGGCAGGAGAATGGTGTGAACCCAGGAGGTGGAGGTTGCAGTGAGCCAAGCTCACACCACTGCACTCCAGCTTGGGTGACAGAACAAGACTCTGTCTCCAAAAAAAAAAAAAGAAAGAAACTGAGGCTCTAAGAGGTGGTGGAAGCTCCTCACCCTGGCCTTCAAAGCTCTGCCTGATTAGCCCACAGTCGCCCAGCTGGGTAAGTGTTAAAGCTGAGATGTGAACCCAGGGCCTTCTGATTCCACTGAGCCCCCTGCTTCTCCCCCTCACACATACTGCGTGCCCTGTTGCCTGAAGTAGCTCTGGAAACATGCCAGCAGCTATGTCTCTCCAATGCCGGACAGAGGAATCACGTGGAAGTGTTTGTAAAGATGTGAACTCCTGGGTCCTAGCACAGATCACCTGAATCATTATCTCTGTGGAAGACCCTGGGATCTTCATTGACAGCAAACTACCCCAGTGGATTTCAACACCAGGAGAGTGGTTGGGAGGAGGAGGGCCCCATAGGCTCTAGCTGCCAGGGAAGGTTTCCTGAGGAAGAGTGGGCAAATCAGGGAGAGGAGAGGCCACCCCAGGCAGGGGATCCTGTCTGAGCAAAGGTAGGGAGGCAGGAATGAGGCTGCTGTGTGCAGCGAGGTGTCGCTTGGCCCCTCCTGATGCGGGGACAGGCTGCATACAAGCCAGCCAGGTTTCGGGGGTTGAGTGACGGTCAGGTTCTCCCATGAGCCCTGGTGCTTCCAAGAAGTAAGGCAGCTCATCCACCCAGGGCCCAGAGCCTCCTCTTCCTCTAGGTCCTTAAAATAAATTGCAAGTTCCTCACCCCGGCCTTCAAAGCTCTGCCCGATCTGCCACCCGCCTGCCTCTCCATTATCATCTCTGGCCACTCTTTCCTTTGCTTCTTCCACACCGGCCACACTGGCCTCCTTTCTGGTGCCCAAACACGACCGTTCCTATCTCAGGGCCTTTGCACACGCTGTATCCTCTTCCCCACAGTGCTTGGCCTCAGACCTCTGCTTAGCAGGCATCCTCAGAGGGGCTTTCTTAACCCTCTGCCTCCCTCCCATTGGCACTCTCTCCATCGCCCACTAACTCCCTCCCTGCCATTTCATCTGTTTGTTGGCTCCTCTGCTGTCTTGGGGACAGTGACTCCCAGAGCCCAGCACAGTGCCTGGCACACAGAAAGCACTCAGGACATGCAACCGAATGGACATGCAACGTGGAGTGTGTCCAAGCCAGAGAAGGGCTGAATGGCGGCTCAGGACTCCCCTCTTGGTTACGTACTCAGCACCCAGGGGACTGCTGGTTAAAGGCTTGGGGTGATAACTGTGGCATGAGAGTGGACAGAGGGGCACTGGGGAGAATTCTCCAAGGATAAAGCAAGGCAGTCAGAGAGGCGCTTGCCTTCGTCCACCCTCCAGAGAGGAGAGCCCACTGTCATCTTCTGGAATCCACCAGAGCATCCCCTGCCTCCACAGGCCCAGGAGCTAGTGGCCACCCCAGGTCCCCTCATTGAACAAGCCCTGGGCCAGCCCTCCACATCCGCGTTCCCATTAAATATTCACAGTTCCACGATTAAGGAAGTCTCACTGTCTCCCACTGCAGATGGGGAAAGCAAGGCTTGGAGCGGTGAAGGAATTTGTCCTGGGTCTAGCATGAAGCTCCAATGCTGGAACCCAGTGCGGAGCCTGTTTTTCCCACCATTGTGTTGTGGCTGCCACCTCAGTTCCCACCATTCATACCATTCTCCCATCCTCCCTCGTGTGACATTGTCAGAGAGTCCTTCTGAGACCGCAGCACATCACCCTGGGAGACGGTCTCAAAGACACCTTCTGTTTCCATTTCCAATGTAACTTTGTGGCTCAGTTCAAACCAGGAAGGCAATGAATGTTGAGGAGAGGAGGCATAGAAAACCCAGACCCAAAGGAAGTCAATTTTCAGAAACAAAACTGCAGGGAGGCCGGGCGTGGTGGCTCACGCCTGTAATCCCAGCACTTTGGGAGGCCAAGGCGGGCGGATCATGAGGTCAGCAGATCGAGACCATCTGGCTAACATGGTGAAACCCCGTCTCTACTAAAAAATACAAAAAATTAGCCAGGCGTGGTGGCGGGCGCCTGTAGTCCCAGCTACTCCAGAGGCTGAGGCAGGAGAATGGCGTGAACCCAGGAGGCGGAGCTTGCAGTGAGCCGAGATCGCGCCACTGCCCTCCAGCCTGGGCGACAGAGCGAGACTCCGTCTCAAAAAAAAATAAAAAAAAAAATTTAAAAAATTGCAGTAAATGGGCTGGGGGCGGGGGGGGTCAAGGTATCTGGGCTCAAATCCCAGCCCCAACACTCCCTTTGCTGTGCGACTTTGATCAAGCTAGTGACACTCTCTGTGCATCTGTCTGCAATTGTGGAAAACAGGAGTCTTAACAGACAGGCGCCTATGTCCAGGGTGCTATCAGGTTTGACCCAGTATAGTCAAAATGTGAGCTGGAGAGGCAGGCCCTGCCCTGGAAAGCGGAGGCTAGAGGGAGCCAGGGCCTAGTGGGGAGAAAGCATGGTGACGGTGCAGTCAGAGGACAGCTCCAGACAGCGGCAGGAAGGCTGGAGATCAGTCACCAAGTACAAAGACCACGGGGTCCTGGGGCCTTCCCAGGAGCCAGAGTGGCCCAGAAGGACTGGACTTTTAGGCGGGGCTTCTCAGCCTCCGCACTGGTGACATTTGGGGCTGGAGAGTTCTCTGCTGTGGGGCCGTCCTGTGATTGTTCAGCAGCATCCCTGGCGTATACTCATTAGAGGCCAGTAGCGACCCCACACACAACCCCCACCCAGTGTGACAATCAAAAATGTCTCCAGACATTGCCAAATGTCCCCTGGGGGGTAAAACCGCCCCTGATCAAGAATCACCGCTTTTAGGTGGCATCTAATTTACAAAGTTGGTAACCTTCACACAGGTCTCAGCTCAAACACCTCCTGGTCTCTGGCAGGTAACAGCCAGGAGCAGGAGAATTCAGCCCAGGAGCTGCCAGTTTGAGACTTCTGTCCCAGAAGGTGAGGCTGACCCTAGAGGTCATCTCATTGTACAGATGGGAAGACTGAAGAAGAAAGACTTGGCCAAGGTCGTACAGCGGGACGGTGGCAGAGCCGGGCCTAGAACCATTCTCAGTTTCCCCACCAGTCTCAGTTTCCCCATCTGTAAAATAATGAGCTGGACCATGTGGTCGGTGGCTGCTTGGCAAACTCTTCTCCCCACAAGACTCAAGTGGTGTTTCCTGCAGGAAGTCTTCCCTCACCTGCCCCCAGCTAACGTAGACGTGTTTCTCCCAAGCAGTGGGAGGGTCCCTGTCTCCCTTGCCTCAGCTTTGCATCTGTCTCTCCCCGCTGCCAGACGGAGGAAGACTAGGTCTTACTTGCTTTCGCAGACCCTCTCTGTGCTGACCCAGGGCTGATCATCTTTTAGCCTTGCCATAAATTTAAAATTTATTCATTTTTATTTGCCTATGATGTATATGAAATATACAGCCCTTCACTCATTCAATCAGTGACTAAAACACACCAGGCACTGCGCTAAGCACGGCAGATATAGCAATAAATGCAGCAAGCACGATCCCCGCACTGGAGCGCCCAGCTTGGTTGGGGAGATGGGCATTACAGCTAATTCTACAAATAGCTGAAGCTAGTTCGCAGGACCCAGAAGAGGGTGGAAGAGTGAGGTGCCCAGGATGCAAAATTGAAGGAGGAGCTCGCTCTCAGGGTGGTGCATGTGCACTTTGGTTCTGATAAGTGCCGCAAAGAAAAAAAGTGCAGACGCTCTGAAAATATGAGCAGAGAGTTGGAGCCTAATCAGGGAGGTAGAAGACAGCCAAGGAAGGCCACCTTGCATGGGTGAGACGTATAAACACGTGCACCTTCCAGGGTCACAGTTTTCCACTCCCAGAGCCCAAGTCCCCTTTATAAATAACAAATATTTTGTTAACTTCTCCCACCACTTCGTATTCTAAAATGAAATTCACAGATAATATACTATATATGTAACTTCAAAAAAATCAATATCATTCCCTAACTTTAGAACGAATAATTACAAGGACGTTTGTATTAAACTTGTGTGTGTTTCAGTATGCAAATGCCTGGTCAGGACAACAACACCAGAAAACACCATGAGGTTGTCAGATGCTTCCACTATACATAGAAGCACCATGAGTGTGACCGTGACAAAAACAGAGGTACAGGTGTGCTGGCAGCTCTGATATCCCAAGCAGCACTGACATCAGCTGCATGACTTTTCCAATACGATGAATAACTCCTGGTAAAGTTCTGAACAGAAGAAAGTCCAGTTCTTCCCTTGCTTCACCAGGCGTTGCCATTTCTGGAAAATTCAGGGTAGATTAAAACATTGGCAAAACATATTTGGCGGGTTTATATATAAAATGAAGTTACAGTCTAAAATTAATTTAAACAAGTTGTTGTTCACCTACCTGAGTATCCACTGGGACACTCCAACATTGAGCAGGACAAGAGAAGGTTATCCATGAGCAGGGCTGTCTCGTGCATTACAGGTCGCCTGGTGTCCTCAGCCTCTGCTCACTTCATGCCTGTGGCATCCTCTCCCATCCTTGTGACACCCTCGCACATTTTCAGGGCATGTCCTTATGGGTAGTGCCACCCTGCTGAGAATCACTGGATCCAACCTCCAGCTAACAGTGGCTCCTGCTCAGAAGATCTTGTTTTTTGTTTGTTTGTTTGTTTGTTTGAGACAGAGTCTCGCTCTGTCACTCAGGCTGGAGTGCAGTGGTGCGATCTCGGCTCACTGCAACCTCCACCTCCCTGGTTCAAGCAATTCCCCTGCCTCAGCCTCCCAAGTAGCTGAGATTACAGGCACCCACCACCACACCCAGCTAATTTCTGTATTTTCAGTAGAGACAGGGTTTCACCATGTTGGCCACACAGGTCTTGAACTCCTGACCTCAGGCAATCCGCCCACCTCGGCCTCCCAAAGTGCTGGGATTACCAGCTGTGAGCCACCACACCTGCCCACGGATCTTGTTTGTTATCTGTCAATCTTTGCATTCCTAATGGTTTGTTTACTTGCACTGTCACGATCAGGGTCCTTTGCACACTACGAGTGGCTTGTCTTTGCCTCCAATTTGTGCACCTCCCTGGTAATTATCCTTGGAAGCAGAGGAGGCAACACAAGCACAAATAAAGATTCCCAAGGCAGCAGCCCCTGGCTAAATCCACGGTGATTGTCTTGGCCACTCCAGCCTGACTCCGGGGACATTAGCCAGCTCCCACGTGTGATTACAGCCAGAAACAGGCCATTTGTGTGGTCTGGAACCCCTGCTGATTGTTCCTTGGAAAACCTGAACCAGAATGAGCTCTTCTATATGCCAGAGAATTTTAGCTAGAACAGAGTTTCACACCTGGGCATCTAATGTATGAGACTTGAGAAGGAAGAGAGACAAAGAAAAATTCTTTTATTTTTCTCCTTCACCTGTTGGCCTTTCCCTAACCACCCCCACCCTACCCTCTGCATTAGCTGGTTACCTTCCTGCCTCAAACAGAGAGGCCACATCTGGGATAAAATGCATCATTTCCTGGCTTCTGAGCTTCCAGTTTTCAGGTCCTCACAATATAAAGGTAGGGATTTTCAAAAGTAGGTGATAGATATTCATCTTACTGGTTATCGTTGGAACCAAACCCATGAGGATATGACTCTACTGTCCATTAATCCTAATCTTCCCCATCACCAGCAAGGTAGGTGTTCTCATTCCCATTACACATGAGAAAGCAGAGGCTCAGAGAGGGCCGTGACTTGCTCAGCCCCACACTGCCAGTGAGTGGTGGGGTGGGGTTTGTCCCAGATCTGCTGCCACCAGAGCACACCCTTGTCATAGCCACCCCACTGTAAAGCCATTTTCCCTCTCTTAGGGTACAAATAGCTGTTTACCCTATTTTCTATGAACAAATTTCCAAAGATGCCTCCGGGATGTGTGTGATCAAGCCAGTGAATTCAAAAATACAGTGCTTATTACGGAACTTAGTATTATGGAACTTAGTATTAGCTGGCCACCCACCCGCCTGGCTCTAATTAAAGGCCTGTCCGTCTTCTGCTTTAGAAATCATGGCTTTCTGGAGCCTGTAATTTCACCATTCGTGCTGAAGTCCTGGAGCACTGGGAGTGGAAGAATGGACTCCCCACATCTTATTGAGGCTGGTGAGACAGAGACAGATACAATTAGCATGGCCTGCCACTCAGGGACAAGACTAAAGTGAGTTAAGCGAAGCACTCACCTTGGGCACAAAAATCCAAGATCAGGCCAGGCACAGTGGCTCACGCCTGTAATCCTGTAATCCCAGCACTCTGGGAGGCCGAGGCGGGCGGATCACCTGAAGTCAGGAGTTAGAGATCAGCCTGGCCAACACGGTGAAACCCTGTCTGTACTAAAAAGACAAAACAAAAAAAAATTAGCTGGGCATAGTGGCCCATGCCTGTGATCCCAGCTATTCGGGAGGCTGAGGCAGGAGAATCACTTCAACCCGGGAGGCAGAGGTTGCCTGCCATGAGCCGAGCTAGTGCCACTGCACTCCAGCCTGGGCGACAAAGCAAGACTCTGTCTCAAAAAAACGAAACAAAACAAGATCAGTATTAATTTTTTCCTTTTCCCTTTCACTCCCATATGGCTTAGCACACCAGTGTTGCTGATCCTGTCTTTATTGAAAATATAGATATTTTGTTCATCATGGGGGGTTTTACATTAAGTTTGATTTTTTAAATGTTACATTAAAGTAGTATTTATCTTGCTTACTGAGTTATTTGGCAATGCCTTAAATTTCACACCCTTAATTTTTTTCACCCTGGACTCAGCCCTGCTGCCATTTCCCAGTTCATGTGACCTTTGTTAAGTCACCTCCCCTCTTTGAACTGCAGTTTTCCCATCTGTAAAATGGAGATACTAAAAGTACCTACCTTATTGGACTGCTGGATCTAAAGTCCCTGGCATACACTAGGCACTCAATAATGGCTGCCATTGTGGGGGAAGAGGGAAAACCGTGGTACTATTAGCATTGGGAACAAGACAAGACTTCACGACACAGGACTGTGCATTGCAAGACGTCTCTTATCCCTGGGTCCCACTCACTGAATGCCAGTATCACCATGATAACCAGAAACACCTGTCCTCCCTAACATTTCCAAAATGCCTCCTGTGGCAAAATGCCACCACCACTGGGCTAGATCACTGTCTTTGGAGTCACACAGCCCTGGGCTCAAATTCAGTTTGTCACTTAGCTGTGTGACCTTAGGCAAGTTCCTTAACTTCTCTGAGCCTTTTGCTTTCTTCATTTGTAAAACAATGATAACAATAGAGGTGACTTGAGTACTTGGATGTTCAGTTTTGGGTAGCAGCTATTATGAGCAGTATTTTGTTTGTATTCAAAGCAATAAGCTCTTCTTGGAGTTGAGCTCTCTTGTGGCAATTTGCAGGGTAGGGAGGGAAAGAGGGGGCCAGTGACCAGAGGGGTTGTAAAGAGAAGAGAGGCAGCTCTATCCTGTAAGCATGTATTGTTTGAACTGAACTGCATTTACATATTTTAATTAGTTACCCACATTAACAAATTGGGAAGAGTTCACCAAAAGAACCCCTAGACTTTCACTTGTTTGTTTCTACTGAGAAACTGGAAAATTAGACCACTCTGGGCCACATCTATTCCCTCTTGGAGCTGGTAGTGGCCGCCCACTTGAGAGGTGGCCCATGCACTCCTTCCTGGAGTTCGATATCCAGCCTGCTTTGGTCATTTGCACTTCCTGCCTAGCTGCAGTAGCTGGTTAGGTTTTCTTTTCTTTTTGTTTGAGACAGGCCCTTGTTCTGTCACCAAGGCTGGAATGCAGTGATGCAATCATAGCTCACTGCAGCCTCAATCTCCTGGGTTCAAGCAATCCTCCCACCTCAGCCTCCTGAGTAATATTAGAAATAAGTTTTCAGTGCCGCAAAAGAAACAGCACTCAAACATAAATTTAATTTTCTCAGCAAGGCAATTGTACTTCTATAGAAGGGTGCATCTCGCAGATGGAGCAATGGGGAGAGCACACCAGACAAGGGAGGGGAAGGGATTCTCATCCCAACGCAGCTAGTTCCTGCTGCTGTGTCTTTCCCCTATTGGCTAGGGTTGGACTGCACAGTCTAAGGTAATTCCGATTGGCTATTTTAAAGAGGCAGAGGTACAAGCTGGAGTGGCAGGGTGAGTAGTTTGGCGGGAAGGATGGTTACAGAACAGGTGACTCGGGATGATTAAGAACAGAGCAGGTGACCCAGGATGACTAAGAACAGACCAGGTGGCCAAAGATGACTAAGGTCAGAGCAGGTGATAGAGGCTAGGAGAAGATTGGTTGCTGAAACTAGGGGCAAGGAGACGTAAAGAACGAGAAAGTTAAACTTTAAAATGAAGAACAAAGAACAGGGGAGCTGAACATACTGATACATTGGTTCTTTGAAGAGGATCTCAGAACTCATTGTACTTAACAATTTACAGGCTAAAACCTTTGAAGACGAATTTATTATATTCTACAGTAGCTGGGACCACAGGTGTGTGCCACCACATCCGGCTACGTTTTTAATTTTTAGTAGTGACAGGATCTCACTATGTTCCCCAGACTGGTCTCAAACTCCTGGGCTCAAGCAATCCTCCTGCCTTGGCCTCCCAAAGTGCTGGGATTACAGGGGTGAGTCACTGCTCTGGCCTGGTTGAGTTTTCAATCCCAAACTGGCAGTAGAGGGGAGGAGAGAGAGCACACTATGCAGGAAACCAGAAAAAAGAGTTTTAAAAGTAAGCATAGGATTGCTACTGGGTTGTCAGGAAAGATAAGAAATCTAGTAGGAATTCGGAGTGCCTCAAAAAGTGGATGAAGGCTGGGTGCGGTGGCTCATGCCTGTAATCTCAGCAGTCAGGGAGGCCGAGGTAGGAGGATCACTTGAGATCAGGAGTTTGAGACCAGCCTCGAAACCCCATCTCTACAAAAAATACAAAAAGTAACTGGACATGGTGGCTCATGCCTGTAGTCCCAGCTACATGGGGGGCTGAGACAGGAGAATTGCTTGAGCCCAGGAGGTGGAGGTTGCAGTAAGCCAAGATCACGCTACTGCACTCCAACCTGGATGACAGAGCAAGACTCTGTCTCAAAAAAAAAAAAAAAAAAAAAAGAAAAGAAAAAGAAAAGAAAAAAAAAAAGAAAATAAGTGGTTGAGAGAATCTGGATTTTTGTTTGTTTGTTCAGTCTCCCAAGCTCTTTGCAAATTGCTAAGAGCCAGGAAAATGTTAACATCCTGGGGAAGGAGCCTTCGGAGTAGCCACAGCAGGAGCAAAAACCTGGAGGCTGGACTAATTCTTCATTGCCCAAGGAGAACAGGGGAGGGACGGGGAGAGAAGGAAGGAGGGAGGAAGCAAGGTAGGAAAATGCACGGATGGACAGATGGACAGGTGGATAGGTGGGTAGGTGGATGGATGGATGAATAGAAGAAGGAAGGAAATTGATAGATATTAGACAAATAGAAGAATAGAAAGTTGGGTAGATGGAAGGAGGCCTAGTTCTGCCTCTGAGCAGCAATCCATTAATAAGCACTTACAGAGTGCCTACTCTGTGCCCGACCCTGTGCTAGGCACTGTAGCAGAGACAGAAAAATTAAGTCAGGACTCTCCTTGCCAAGGAATTCACTGTCTTGTTGGAAGGCTCAAAGGCTGGGTCTGTTGCCCAAGGCAGCTCAGGTAAGAAGTAAAATCCACAGCAGTGCTTCAATTCTGCTCACAAACTGGGCTCCTCCACTCTGGTCTCAGAATTCTGAGGAGAACAGAATGATCCTGGCCTGGCTTCCTGTGGGGCCTGTGAGGGAGGCTCTTGGAATGTTCTGGAGCCCACCCAAAGGGCAGCTCAGCGAAGGCAGGAACGATGTCGGTGTTGTTCACTGCTGCGTCCCAGCATCTAGCAGAGTCCATCCTCATACCGAAGGCGTTCAGTGCCACCTCGTCAATAAATGAATGAGTAGGTGGGTCTGAGTCCCATTGGCTATGGCTGCAAGCAGTTCCTCTCACTTCTGCAACCTCGATTCCCCTGCCCCTACGATGGAACTAACAGTAGTGACTGTGCCCCACTCATGGGGGAGTGTGGTGAGGTTTAGAAGAGAATGAGAGGATTTTGAAAGTGCTTTGTAAACTCAGGAGAGGTTTACAAATGGGAAGTGCGATGCTAATAGCAGAAAGAGTAGTAGAAACAGCATCAGTGTAGCAATAATGGCCCCTGTGTTCACTGTGTTAAAAGTAGGATGATGCTGTCATTCCTGGCAGTGGCAATAGAAGTATTCATGAGAATAGTCGCTGTACTGGCGATGGCAGTGATGGTCATATTAATGGTGGTCATAAGAATAACATTACTGGGGCCAGGCGCGGTGACTCATTCCTGTAATCCTAACACTTTGGGAGGCTGAGGCGGGCAGATCACCTGAGGTCAGGAGTTCGAGACCAGCCTGGCCAACATGGTGAAACCCTGTCTCTACTAAAAATACAAAAATTATTCTCTGGTTTCTCTTCAGATCGTATAAATCTTTTGCCTTTTACTAAAAATACAAAAATTAGCCTGGCATGGTGGTACACTCCTGTAATCCCAGCTACTTGGGAGGCTGAGGCAGGAGAATTGCTTGAACCTGGGAGGCAGAGGTTGCAATGAACCAAGATTGTACCACTGCACTCTAGCTTGGGCAATAGAACAAGACTGCATCTAAAAATAAAAAATAAATAAGAGTAACATTAATTGGTAGCAAGAGAGAAAAGAAGGAAGAACATTCCAGGAGGAAAACAAGGTTCTGATTGCAGTTATAAGAGACAGAAATCCAATTCAAATTGGCTTAAGCTTGAAAAAAAATGGGAGGGGTGATGCAACTGCGAAGTTCAGAAGTGGTTCTGGCTCTGGCCCAGATACACAGGCCTCGAACAATACCATCAGTGCTTGTCATTGCAACTCAGTCTCTCTCCATCTTTTGTCTCTGCCCTCCTCTACGAGGGCTTCACTCTCAAGCAAGCTCTTTGGGCTCCAGGCTTCCTATCTCCCAGCTAGACATTTTCCCTCAAAAGAGAACTCCTGGCCGGGCACGATGGCTCATACCTGTAATCCCAGCACTTTGGGAGGCCAAGGCAGGCAGATCACAAGGTCAGGAGATCGAGACCATCCTGGCTAACATGGTGAAACCCCGTCTCTACTAAAAATACAAAAAATTAGCTGGGCGTGGTGGCATATGCCTGTAGTCCCAGCTACTCAGGAGGCTGAGTCAGGAGAATTGCTCGAACCCAGGAGGCGGAGGTTGCAGTGAGCTGAGATTGTGCCACTGCACTCCAGCCTGCACACAGAGTGAGACCCCGTCTCAAAAAAACAAACAAACAAAAAACAAAAAAACAAAGAGAACTCCTCCTCCCCCATGGTTGCAAAGTTCCAAGATCCACTCTCATGAAGCCATCTTGTGTCACATGCCCATCCCTCAGTCAATCACAAAGGCTGGGAGGGTTGGTCTATGCTGATTGGACCAGGCAGAGCCACATGGCCACTCCTGGAGCTGGAGGTGGCCTCAGAGTAGAGACATCAGAAGAGGGTGAGAGAGAGGTGCAGGGCAGAGGATCAGTGGGTGGCCTTCAGAGGTAGGACCAGATAAAGACGCCATGGGTCCCAGGACCTGGTGCTTGGTAATGCTCAACAATTAATGTTTTTAATTGTAAAACATTAATGTGCTGTAAAGATAGGGAACAACCCATAGGTTGTGAGGTAGAGCAGCCCTGGGTTCAAATCCCAGCTCTGCTACTTGTTAGCTGTGTGGCCTTGGGCAAAGCACTTGACCTCTCTGTGGCTTGGTTTCTTCATCTGTAAAATTGGATGAAAATGATCGATTGTTTTGAGTATTAAATGAGTTATTGCATTCAAAGCACTTAGAAAAGGGCCTGACACATTGTCGGTACTCAGTAAATGTTAGTTATTATGTTCATTATCTATTCAGTGTACTCAATGGTGCCAACTTATATGACTCACTAGGATTAAAATCTCTTCCCTCCACCTGGATGCTCCTTTCCCAGATCTTCATACAACTCGATACTCCATCTTTGGGTCTCAGCTCAGATGTCACCTCCTCAGAGAAGCCCTCCCTGACTACCATAGTTGATGATGTCCCTACAGCCAGTCTCTATCCCATTAGCCCATTTTCTTGCACCTTGAAGAGATCCTTTTTAATTTACCTATTTCCTCATTTCATGTCTGCTTCCCCCACCCAAATATCAGTTCCCTGAAGACAGAGTCTGTCTTGATCACTGCTGTGTCCTCAGGATCTGGAAAAGTGTTTGGCACATAGCTTGGCTCCATAAATGTTTGATGAATGAATGCCCCTTTTCTTCCCCGATAGTATTTCTGTGCCGCATCATCCATCAGGGAGGACACTGGGGCAAAGATGTAGCAAGGGGGGAGGGGTGCAGAGATGCATACCCCAAATAGCTGGGTTGGAGCTTCGGGGGGAGACCTAGGTGAGCCTGCCACCCCTCTGTCCCCCAAGAAGGGTCTTTTAGATCCCTGTCCCCGGTTGTGTAGAGGGTCTCAGCTCTGGGTGGCCTAAGAGGACAGGAGCGTTCTTCTTGACTTGGGTCATCCTAGCCAAGGTCAGGCTAAAGCCAGCAGGCCTGGGATTACACACCCTTGCACATCCAGCTGCTTAGCCGGATTAGTGCAGACGCCATGCCCACAGGCCTAGGCCCAAGACAGGGGCCCCGGGAGGGTGAGTCACAGGCCACCTCACCCTCCTACTCCTCTGGCCTTTCCTACACTGGAGAAGCCTCAAGACCTACCAGGGACCTGACAGAGTGGCTGTATTTTCTGTGTATATTTTCATTACTGTTTATTGAATGTCTACTGTATACCAGGCCCTGAACGGGGCACTTTACAGGCTCTCAGTCAGTCCTTCAGTCTGAGAGACTAGGGCTCATTTATTTATTTTTAAAATTCAGTTCCTCAATAGTTATTAAGCACCTACTATGTACCAGACACAGGTCTAGGCATGAGAGATGCTGAAGTTACAAAGATGGTCCCTGCTTTCATGGAGCTTTTAGAGGAAAAGACAGGCAGGGAGTAAATAAATATTTTCATTTTTTAATTTTTTTAATTTTTTTTTTTTTAGAGATAGGGTCTCGCTCTGTCACTCAAACTGGAGTGCTGTGGCGGTGACATGGTTCACTGCAGCCTCGACCTCCTAGGCTCAAGCGATCCTCCCACCTCAGCCCCCCAAGTAGCTGGGACTACAGGTGCACGCCAACTCACCCGGCTAATTTTTGTATTTTTTGTAGAGACGGGGTTTTACCATGTTGCCCAGGCTGGTCTCAAACTCCTGAGCTCAGGCGATCTGCCTATCTCGGCCTCCCAAAGTGCTGGGATTACAGGCATGAGCCACTGCGCCCAGCCATGAATATTTTTTAAATGCTCTTCAGCTCCTCAAGCCAGAGGTGAAGAAGTCGGGAAGGGAAAATGTGGATGGGCAGGTAGAGCTTTCTCGTGCACTCTATAGGCCCAGGAAGGATGTTTGTGGCCCATAACCCACGGCTGCTTGTGGGGAGCTTTGCCGTCTGTGAGAGAATAGAATATGGACAAGCTTTTACCACAAATGTTTGTTGAATGACTGAATGAATATTCTGCTGTTGCTCAGAAGCCTTCCCAAGCTCCCCATTGTCTGCGGGGTCTGGTCCAGACCCCTCAGCTGATGTTCACAGCACCCCCATGATCTGGCCCCAGGTGCTCCTCCGATTCCTCTCCATCTCAGGAAACACCACCACTATCCTCCCAGTTGCTCAGGATGAAAACCTGGGATTCCATCTTGACTCTTCTTTCCCTCGCCCCACACATCTGAGCCATCAGCAATTGGTTGATTTCACCTCCAAAATATAACTTGAATTTGTCTTCCGTACTGTGAACAGACACAGTCTCTTGCCTGGACACCTACCACAGCCTCCTCACTTTGATTCCTGTTTCTATTCCAGTCCCCCTACAGGCTGTTCCTAGGTGCAGCTCGGGGATTATTTTATTTTATTTTATTTATTTTATTTTATTTTATTTTATTTTATTTTACTATTTTTTGAAACAAAGTTTCACGTTGCCCAGGTTGGAGTGCAATGGCACAATCTCGGCTCACTTTAACCTCTGCCTCCCAGGTTCAAGCGATCCTCATGTCTCAGCCTCCCGAGTAGCTGGGATTACAGGCGCCCACCCCCGTGCCCGGCTAATTTTTGTATTTTTAGTAGAGACAGGGTTTCACCATGTTGGCCAGGCTGGTCTCGAATTCCTGACCTCAGGTAATCTGCCCACCTCCGCCTCCCAAAGTGCTGGGATTACAGGCATGAGCCACTGCGCCTGGCTAGAGCTAGGGGATCTTTAAACCTACATTAGGCCATGGCCGTGTGGCTCCCAGGATTCTCAGGTTCAAAACATCCTATCAGGTCTTAAAGGCCTGCCTCTCTTCTCTCTTTGACCTCAACTCTCACGCCCTTTGTCTTCCTCCCTAGCACCAGGGACACTGGTCGCCTTTCTCCTCCTCTTCTTGCCAATCTCTTCCCTGCCCCAGGACCCTTGCACTTGCCGTGACTGCTGCCCGGACCGGCCTTTCCCCAGATCTTTGCGAGCTGGCTCCTTTGCATTCCTCAGATCCGCACTCACGCATCACCTCCTCAGTGAGGCCCTCCAAAGCCGTTGGGCTAAAGTAGTCCCCTATCTCCTGCCCGTCTTTTTTAATCCTCTAATTCTGCTTTACTGAGGTGTGGTAGGATGAGCGGTGGGGACTAGGAGGAGCTTCAGAGCAGTCTAGAAGCAGGAGAGACGAGGGGAAAATGCAGCCAGGGGCTCTAAGGAAGCAGCAACATGGCTTCTCTGCAGCCATATACGGATGGATGAGGGGCTGGCCCAGGCAGGGATTCCATCCGCATATTCCTGATCCAGGGCATCTCGCGGACCCAGCTCTTGGCCCAGCATTCCCTAAGGAACCCATGACTGCTTCTCTGGCACTGTTTAATCTTTTCCCTCATCGCTGGCTACACGTCTAATGATTTATTCCTGGGCTCCCAAACCAGATTCCTGCAGAAGCCAAGCGAGCCTCATAAACAACACGCACAGGGTGCACGTGAGATTTTAGAGTACAGGACTGGACTTAACACCGCGCAGCGGCAGCCTGGGCTTGCCACGGAGCAGCGTGGACCAAGAGTACCCAGAGCTTCAGATTTTTCTTGAGAAGCTCAAATGTGAATTCATAGGGAAAATAAATATTGGCAACGAATTCACTGTGTGGGCCAAAACTCCCTGCCGGTGGATGAGTGGGGGGCCGTCCTGCTGGCAGGGTGTCCTCGGTTCACATGCGTACCCTGGGGTACGCATTTTCCATGCATGATTTCATTGCTGCCTGACAACCACCTGTGCAGGGGGTATTATTCTGAGCCCCATTTTACAGATGAGGAAGCTGAGGCTCAGAGAGTTAATGTGATCATACATGCCAGAGTTCAACCTATATCTAGAACTAATCTGCTTGCCCAAAAGCTGAAGTGGTTCCAAACTCTGTACTAAGAGTGTCTACCTGTTTTGTCTGACTTCATCTTCCGATTCTGCCTGTTTCACACGGGAGACTCAGAGAGGTTAAGTAATGTACCGAAAGTCACCCAGCTGCCAAGGGCCAGGATTGGAACCCAACTTTGTCCAAAGTCAAAGTTTGTAGGCTAACCCCTTACTCTCTATCCAGTTTCAATATGAAGGAGCTTTGAGAAGTTCAAGTGACCACAGAATCCTTGGTGGTACTGAAACAATTATCTGTACAAGATCCTACTAAGCGTAAGCCCTGAGAAGTGCTAAGACTTCTGGCCCTTCTATGGAAACCCTGTGTTGCAGCCAGGGCTCTTAGATGACACTTTTTTGGAGAGAGTGGGATCCTCAGGAATTTTGTTCAAATGCTGACATCTGACCGCTTGTTCACTTTATGTGTCAACTCCTGGGCTTTGGTTGCTCCTGCCAGACCCCAGTGCAGGCTGGGAGAGTTTGGAGGATTCCAGATGCAATCTAGAATCTGCCCAGAAGCTTGCGGCTCATGGGGGAGCTTCCACCAGTGGGTATACCTCCTCCCGTCCTTCTCTCCACCACTCCTTGATCTATGGAAGAAGGGAACAGGCATTTCTTGAGGACCTGGTAGATGCCATGCACTTTCTTTGTGATATCTCAGTGTGATTCAGCCCCTTCCTTCCTGTGGATCCTAAACGCAAGTCATTTTACCTCTATGAATCTTAGCTCTCTCACCTGTAAAATTAAGATAACAATTTTGTTCAGTCAGATCACTTTTTATTTGCAAGGGTCAGAAATCCAGCCCAACTGGCCTAATCCAAAAAGAGCATTCATCAGTTCATATTGTTGGAAAATCCAAAGGGATGGCTTCAGGGATGGCTGGATCCAGGTGCTCAAATAATGTCATTAGAAACCTGTCTTTGTGTCTTGGCACAGAGTCCCTCTGCTTTGGCTACACTCTTGGGCAGATTTTTTTTCCCCAGAGAGCCAGAGTTGACCCTCCAGCCACTTCTGGTTGATATCCTGTTAACCCAACAGCCCCTGATGAAAGAGACCACCTCTTTCCCAATAATTTGAGAAAAAGTTCCAGGATGAACCCTGATTGACCAATTTTAGTCATGCCCACACTACTAAAGTAATCCCTGTGGCCAGGGAGATGAATTATCCTAACTGGTAAGCTTGGATCTCACTCTTACCCCCTGAAACGGAGAAACAGGGTCAACTTCACTTAATGCGTGATTGTGGAGGAGGAACAATTCCCAAAAAATGATGCTAAACTATCCAAAAACATATCCACCACACTAATACCTACCTCCTGGGTACTTGTGAGGATTAATTGAGATAGTATGCTGTGCCTGGCTCCCAGTACATGCTCAGTTACTCCATAGCCAGCCTTGTCAACTCCTTCCTGAACCTCTGACTATCCATCTCTGACCCAGCCTCAGAGTGAGACAGGCATGAATTCAAGTCCTAATCCTGCTGTGTGGCTCTGGGCATGTTATTTAGGGGCTCCAAGCCTCAGATCCATCCTCTGAAAAATGAAGGTGAAAAGAGGAGCTACTTCCTGGGGTGATGGTGAATAAATGCTTTGGTACCTCACATGTCGCGGGTGTGCAGTAAATGGTGGTCTCCCCTCTTGCCAGTTTTCTCTCTGTGTGCACACCTGCCCTAGCCAAACTGGCTTGACTGTTATTCCCCACCTCCAACCCTTTGAATATGCAGCTGCCTCTGCCTAGAACACCCCTACTCCCATCTCTGCCTGCTGGAATCCATCTCTAGCCCTCAAGCCCCAGCCCAAATGTTTCCTCCTCCAATGGAACCTCACCTTTTTGAGGCTTGGTTTTCACAATTGCAAAGCAGGAATTACGAGAGTATCTACCTCCTGGGGTTGATATAAGGAGTAAATGAGATCGGTCATGCAATGCAGTTGGCGCAGTGCCTGCTTTGGTGAGAAATCAATAAATCTCAGCTGTTATTATATCATTAGTATCAGGCATCCAGCTGCTAATTCAAGCTTGCATTTTCCAATAGTGCCTTGCATAGGAGGGGTGCTCAGTAAACATATTGCATTTGGGTGGTCCGATTGGGGTCATGGCTTCTAAACCCATCCATCCAAACTTCCATCCATCCATCCATCCCTCCATCCAACTGACCAACTCACAAACCATTCACCTGTTCATTCATTCAGGCAGTCATTTAGTGCACCAGTATTTGTTGAGTGCCAATGCCACATCTGGCTCTGTGCTGGGCAGTGGGGACCCAGCCTTGTGAAATAGACACAGTCCCTGCCCTTGATGTGCTAACCTAGGTTGGTGGAGAAGCGGAAAATAAATGAGTAAACAAACAAATAAACAAAATGATTTGGCCAGGCATGGTGGCTCACATCTATAATCCCGTCCCTTTGGGAGGCTGAGGCGGAAGGATTCCTTGAGCCCAAGAGTTTGAGACCAGCCTGGGTAACATAGTGAGATCTTATCTCTACAAAAAGAAAAAAAAATAGCTGGGCATTGTGGCGCACATCTGTGGTCCCAGCTACTCAGGAGGCTGAGGTGGGAGGATTGCTGGAGCCTGGGAGGTCAAGGATGCAGTGAACCATGATAACATCACTGCACCCTTTTGAGACCCTGTCAAAAAAAAAAAAAAATGACTGCAGATTGTGACAAATCACCAAGGAGGTAAAACAGTGCAGCAAGAGTGAGTGACTGAGGAAGAGGTATTTTTAATCAGGCA
Organism: Homo sapiens; assembly: GCF_000001405.40. NCBI lineage: Eukaryota > Metazoa > Chordata > Mammalia > Primates > Hominidae > Homo > Homo sapiens. Next base: position 49,392,156 of record NC_000020.11, on the reverse strand, counting down.
GTGAGGGACAGTCTCTCTAAGGAGAGACTGTGAGGGATAAGAAGGAGCCAGTCACAGACAATCTGGGATGAGGATGTTCTAGACAGAGAAACAGCAAGTGCAAACGTCCTGAGGCAGGAGTGGGCTTGGCATGTGGAAGAGCAGACAGGTGGCCAGTGTGGCTGGAAGGGAGTGACTATGTGCAAGAGCACAGAGAAAAAGAGATCAGAGAGGTCAACAGGGGCCAAGTCAGGCAGGGCCGTGCAGCCTCCATAAGAGTTTGGACCTTGTTTCAAGTGCAGCAGGACACCACTGGAGGACTTTAAGAAGGCGAGTGATGAAACTTCACAAAGACTGCTGTGACAGGGCAATGAAAGGGCTGACTCAACTTAATTCAGTCTAGGAAAAGCTGGTGACATTGCTACTGAGTCCCGAAAGAAGGAAGAAAGCAAACTGGTGAAGGGGCAGGGGAGGTGGCAGGAAAAGGTCTCTCCAGGCCAGGCCCAGGGAACAGCAAATGAAAAGGTGCCGAGGTCTCTGTTGACCTCCCTCTTAGAACAGGAAAATGAGAGGCTACTGAGAGTCCAGAAAGGGAAGGAAGGAAGGGTGTGGAGTGGAGCCAGTTAAGGACACAGGGAACTACTCAAGTTCCATGGAATGGAGTTGTTTTCTGAGCAACTTGTTCCCAGTCCATTGCTACGTTATTCTGGGCAACCGGTGTCTTTTTGCCTGTGTTACTATCAGATGGGTTGGCAGTCCATGTGTAAGTTGTACTCCATATTCTCCATATACTGGAGAATTACTGGGCTAACCACTGCAGTGCTGATTAGAATCTAGGCCTGGCTCTATAACAAAGTGAGACCCAGGGAGAGAAGTATATTTCTCTCATCAGTCCAGATGAAAATAGTCCACGACTAGTACCATGGCTCTATAAAGTCATCATGGCCCCAGCCTCATTCCACCTTTCTGCTCTGCTTTTCCCAGAGTGGGGTTTTCAGTCTCACGACTCTCAGTGGCTGCTAGAGTTCCAGCAATCATGTAATCATCCCTGGCAGCAGGATGGAGGAAGATCTAAAAAGAGGAGGCAGCCTTCCCTGCTTTAAAGAGATTCTGGGGCTGGGTGCAGTGGCTCATGCCTGTAATCCCAACACTTTGGGGGGCCAAAGCGGGCAGATCGCCTGAGCTCAGGAGTTAGAAACCACCCTGGGCAACATGGTGAAACCCCATCTCTACTAAAATACAAAAAAATTAGCCAGGCATGGTGGCGCGCACCTGTAATCCCAGCTACTCCGGAGGCTGAGGCAGAGAATCGCTTAAGCCTGGGAGGCAGAGGTTGTAGTGAGCCAAGATCGTGCCACTACACTCCAGCTTGGGCGATAGAGTGAGACTCCTTCTCAAAAAAAAAAAAAAGAAAAAAAATACGAAAAACAAAAAAGAAAAAAGAGATTCTAGAAGTCCCACACAACACTCCGACTCCCATCTTATTGACCAGATCCAAGCATGTGACCTCCATCCAGCTGCAGGGGAGGCTGGGCGGTGTTATCTTCAAGCAAAGTAGTCACGTAAGCACAAAATCAGGATTCTGTGAAAGAGTAGAAAATGGATACTTGTCTCGTGCACGCATGGCTTTCCTCAAAGTGGCCCGAGGCCCATAGAAATCTCACCCCTGAGCATTAAGAATTGAGAGAATGGGAGGTGGCAGGGCGAGGCCCCCAAAGGTTGAAGCCAAAGCTCAAAATTGCATGACCAGAGTCACCTCCTTGTCACTTTCCTGGACAATTAATGCAATCATTCCTTACACTCTAGTGAGTCAACCTCCCCTTCAACAACCAGACCAAGGACTTGGAGTGTTGCTGCCCTGAATGTTTTCATGTGGGACAGTTGAATAACTGAAGGGATCTTCCAGGAGAACCACAAGAATGGATGTCCTTGTTTTCCAAAGCAGGTCCTTAGTGGGGGACAAACAAGGGAGTCAGAGGAAGACTGCTGCTAATGATACTAATAATAATAGCATGTTCTGCACTCATTGTGTGTGGCCTGGAGGCACTCTAAGATCTGCCCCCCTTACCACATTCCTTACTGTCCCCTCCACTTAACCTACTTCAGCCACGCTTGCCAAACACGTTCTTACCTCAGGACCTTTGCACTTGCTGTTCCCTCTGCCTGGAATGCTTTTCCCACTGATGGTCATGTGGCCAGCTCCTCTTTATCATTCAGGTCTCAGCTCAAATGTCACATCCACAAGGAGGCCCTCCTTGATCACCCCAGCTAAAGTAAACCATCTCATAGTCATTCTCTTTCCCCTGACCAGCTTCATTTTTTCATAGCCATTATCATAGCCTGAAATGATCCTGTTGACTTATTATTGTTCACTGTGTGCCCCTTCCCTCTACAAAACCATCAGCTCCGTGCAAACTGGGATTTTTGCCTGAATTGTTTACTGCAGTATTACCAGGGCCTAAAAGATTACCTGGCACATCCCCACATGAATGAATGAATGAATGAATGAGGTAAATCCTTATAAGAATCTGACCATGTTGGTATTAATAGTCCCTTTTTATAGATGAGGAAAGTGAAGCTCATGGAGATGAAGTTCCTTGTGTAAATTCAAACAGCCAGTAAATGTCAGGGGCAAGATTTGAACCCAGATCTTGCTGATTCCATCCTTCTCTTTGGCCTCCCTCCATTGCATAATAACAATAGCTCATTGTAACAGCTCCCACCATTAGAACGGTCGTCCTTATATCGAGGCGAAGTACTCCTCGCAGCTTTAAAACAAACGAACATCTAACATTCATCGAGGCCTTACTGCGTGCCAGGCACCCCCGCGCATTATCTCATTGAATTCCCACATGACAACCCAGTGAGGGAGGAACTCTGGTGATCCCCATTGCACAGATGAAGAAATTGAGGCTCAGGGAGGTTAAGAAACTTGTCCGAGGCCTCACAGCTGGAAAATTGAAAACAGATTAAAATGCAAGTCCTGGTTCTTAACCAACACATTCTAGTGCCTCCCTCCCCCTGGATCTAGCTCATTCATTCCTTATCAAATTTCATTTATCCTGCCTTCTTTCTTTCTTTGATGAATGAATGAGAATAGGGCTCACTGTAAAAGAGAGTAGATGAAAATTCACATACAAAGAGTCTTCCTGATCATTTCAACCCTTTTCTGGCCAACCTCTTGTCAGATCTGATGAGATCATCATTATTTTTAACTTTGTGTTTTCACTGCCAAAGGGCTCAGACCACTGGGGTGGGGGAAGCATCAGTTCAGCCACTGTCTTGATGTTCTCCTGTGTTTCCATTGCTAATACTACCCCCAAACCCTTGTGGCTTTACCAAGATCTTTATGTTTTATTTTTATTTCTTTAGAGACAGGGGGGAGGGAGGGTCTCACTATGTTCCCCAGGCTGGTCTCAAACTCCTGGCCTTAAGTGATCCTCCCGCCTCAGCTTCCCAAAGTGCCAGGATCATAGGTGTGAGCCACCATGCCCGTTTTCCAGGATCTTTGTAAGCCATTCATCTTTGTCTGAGAGGACTAGTTAGCTTAAAATCAGAAAATAGAATCTGTAACCTGACTCGACCAGATGAATTAGTGAGAAGATGCTAGATTGTGCTACAGTAATGAAGAAATCCACAATCTCTTGACTTTACCCATCAAAGTTTTGTGTGAAGAACTCACACCCACTCTTAAATGCCTCTGCCAGTACCCACACAGAGCCCATACAGAACCAGATATCCCCGCCCCACTGCCTCGAGGAAATAGACATTTTGCCCAGGAAGAAGACTGGAACCAGACACCCATGAGTGCTAGAAGTCTCTTCACCCCAGACACACATACATGGCACTGCGGCCATCAAACAAAGATGTGAGGGCTTCCTTGCCAACCCCGCTAAGCTGAAGCACCCCTACTCTCCCGCCAGGGGTCTTCTCCTTTCTCCATGGCTGCCTGACATACTGAGTGAACAAGGATCCCGATGTTAATTCATGGACTTAACATCAGGAAAACTTGATTTCTTGGTTTGTTTGTTTGTTTGTTTTTAACAGTAAAGGGTAGAAATGCCAGTCATTTGTTTCTGCACTGCAGTGTGTCATATTGTGCACACACCCATATTGGGGACCATCTCCTTAGCCTGTTATAAAGCATTTTGTAAGTTTCAAAGCACTTACTGTGTCCCCCTGGAGGACACAGTAAGAGACCAGAGGCCTCACTGTTGAGGGAGGGAATGATGTGTATCACTTTTGGGTGCGGGCATTTAAGAGCAAGTGTGACTTGCCCACACTGTCCCTTCCTCTGCCTTGGCAAGACTGGAGGCTACCAATTGAGATGGTAGAGCCACTAGGTTCTTGAGTCACCACCTAGAAAGGAACTGTACTGGAGACCCATTAGACTCTCAGTGGATCCTGCATGAGAAAGATCAGAGATGTGACGACACTTGCCGAAGCATGCCCAGCCAGAATTAAAAGTAGGTCTCCTGACTACCCACGTGTCCATTTCACCTCAATATGAATCTCTGGTGAGACTAAACTGCTATAATTTCATAATAGATGAGAAAGATCTATTGTTAAGCCACCAAAATGTCTCTTTCAAAAAGTAGATTGGACATTAACCAGTAAATCTGGCTATTGTCAAAAAAAGACCACTCACAGAGCCATTATTCTGACATTAGCCAGAGTACTACCTAACCCCAGCATCTCTCCAGACTCATATAATTAGCTTCCATTAGCAACCCCAGCCACCTTGGTCAAGCTCTCAGAGACTACCCTCCCCAGTCCCCTCCAGCCAGACTCAGAGGACAAGGAAACCGGTTTGTGGCCGGCAGAACCTGGGGACACTGTCCTTGCCTAACACTTCCTGTGCTCCTCATTTTTCATTCAATACATTGCTCTCTACAACAGGAATGGACCCGTGCCATTCATCACGGTTAACACTGACAGTTCCTCCCCCACCTGCTCATGTCCTCAGCAAATATAGGGAATTGGCAACCACCCAGGCAGGGAGCACACTGTCTCGCATTTCTCCCCTTCAGAAACAAGCCTCTTCATCCCCTCTTCCCTCTGCAGGGATCAGTTTTGAGTCCCTCTTCCTCCTCCACCAGAGACCATTGTCCTCAGGTTGGCAGGAGATGGTGACATCACCATCTCCCAGAATTCCTGCCTTTGGAGAGGCTTGTGGGAACCTGGCTGGCCTGTTAGGAAGAGGTTGCCCAACCCAGAGCTTGTTAAGAAGAGTGCAGTTACCTCAGAGAGACGGTTCAAGTGAAGGCATAAGTTAAAAACCAGACCCCAGGATACTAGGATAAGAAAGGTCCCAGGTATGTATATTTTTTAAAATAAAGAAGGGCATCAAAGTCTAGTATACATCAGTTTAAACTCTCTCTCTACTACTTTCTTCTTCTTCTTCTTCTTCTTTTTTTTTTTTTTTTTTTTTTTTTTTGACAGAGTTTTGCTCTGTTGCCCAGGCTAGAGTACAGTGGCATGATCTCGGCTCACTACTCTGCCTCCCGGGTTCAAGCGATTCTCCTGCCTCAGCCTCCTGAGTAGCTGGGATTACAGGCATGTGCCAACACACCTGACTAATTTTTGTATTTTTAGTAAAGACAAGGTTTCACCTTGTTGGCCAGGCTGGTCTCAAACTCCTGACCTCAAGTGATCTGCCCAACTCGGCCTCCCAAAGTGCTGGGATTACAGGCCTGCACCACCATGCCTGGCCATCTACTATTTTCTTAATTGTTCCTCTGGACATTTGTTCTTAAGCCTCAGTTTCCCCAATTATAAAACAGGTGGAGGCACAGCACAGCCTGTAGGATTGTTATCAGGATGAAATGAGATCCTTTGTTCCATAGATATGTATTGAGCACCAACTATGTGCTCTAAGGATTCAAGATTGAGAAAAATCAGATATAACCCCTGCCCTCACACTGCTTACAGTCTGCAGAGGTGGACATTACTGCAAAATTGCAACTTGAACAGTGTTATGAGGAGAAGGATAATAGTACTATGAGAGTCTGTGATTGGGATTTGACTTGGTCAGGAAAGTCAAGGATGGCTTCCTTGAACAGGTGATCTTGAGCTAAGAAGGATGAGTAGGAAGTAACCAGGCAGAGTGAAGGGAAAAGCACTCCGGGTGGAGGGAACAGTGTGGGAAAGGTCCCGTGGCAAGAAGATAGTGAAGACTATGAACGACCAAAGGAAGGTTACTGGTTAATGTACCTGAGATGAGGGGGCAGAGAAGAGCATGGAACAAGAGAAGGCTGGAGAGTTAGTCAGGCAGGGAGAGACTAAGCGGCTGTAACAATGAGACCCCAAAATACAGTGAGTGGCTTCAACAAGATGGATGTCATGAGATAGACCAGGAGCTGGCAAACTTTTTCCATAAAGGGCCAGTCTAGCACTGAGATTCGCTTCCATCTCAGATCCAAGACAGTTGCTCCAGCTCTGCCCAGCACATCTGCCTGCCAGCCAGCAAGGAGGAAAAGGAGACAGGGCTTCTATTATTTCTGCTCACCTTCCATTGGCCAATGTTAATCACATGGCCACATCTAACTGCAAGGGAAGCTGGGAAATGTAGTCTTTATTCTGGGCAGCCCTGGGTCCAGCTAAAACTCTGTGACAATGGAAGAGGGGAAGAATAGATGTTGGTGACAGCTAGTGGTCTTTGCAATAGTGGGCCAGAGAGTGGTTTTGGGGAGGCCAGAAAGAAGTCCTGATGCGGGAGGGTGGGGACTGTGCAGGTGGAGAGAATGGAACAGATGCGCAGATGTTGGTGAACTTGAATTGATCAGACTTAGCAACCACTATCTTCTTGCCATGGGGCCTTTCCCACACTGTTCCTTTCGCCTGGAATGCTTTTCCCTTCACTCTGCATGGTTACTTCCTACTTATCCTTCTTAGCTCTTAGCCTGCCCCCTGCAGGCTCCTGTCTCCTGATCCCTGGGTATGGGGATAGGGCAGGGTATAGCAAGTGTGACCCCCATGTTCCTGGCTTGTGGAGTCTGATGCAGATCTTGTCTGGAAAGTTCTTCATACCCTATGGCAGGTGTTGTCTTCATTATCGCCTCAGGTGGGTCAGTGACTGCAAACCCAGCTGCCTGCAGAGACAGATCACAAAACAGGTGAAGGGCCTGTGGCACACTAGGGAGCTGGTTCACTCTCCCAAGGGGTTGCTGTTCCTTAGCTCTAGCCAGTGGTTGCCACTGGGAATGCAGGTTGAGTGAAGACGAGCATCTAATTTTCCAAAAGAATGTGAAAATCTGGATTTTTATGTAAAATCTCCCAATTTTGAAACTCGGTCAACCAAGTAAAAATAAACTTCCCAGCAGCAAAGCCTCTGGGTTATAAGGGCTAGGGCGCCCTCCACAGTGGCCCTCCATCCTCTTTCCATCTTTGTGACTGTTTTCTTCTCATGGCAAAGCCCTCTGCTTTCATCCTTTGTTGTACACGCACAGGATTCCTGTCCCTTTGTGCCCACGAGCGCCCCCTGCAGGCTTCTGACTCCAATGTCTTACCAATCCTCTGCCAGGGACCCCTCCCTGCCTGTAGGGGATGCGGGCAACCCCATCAGCCTGCTCCCAATCCCCTTAATCGGATCTGCACCAGTGACCCTTCTAATTAAAACTCCCCAGCTGTAATCCCCCCTTAAAGCTGGGGGAAGCGGAAGCACCATAAAAGGACCGAAGGTTTGATGGGCCAGCAGCCGCCTCCTCCTACGTCCTTGAAAACGTCTTGGGAGACCCACAGACCTGAGATCAAGTCCATGGGTCTGGAACCACCGCTTACAAGTTGCGAGACTCTGGAAAAGTCACTTCATTCTCTCAGCCTCCATTTTCTTTATTCACTTGTTCATTCATTTGTCAGCTATATAGAAAGCTCCCATCTGTACCAAGCACTGTTTCAGGAGCTGAGGACACAGCACTGGACAAGACCGACCCAGTTCGGGCCCTCATGGAGGTGACACTTTAGTGTGGGACAGAAAGGAGAAAACAGTTTCAGCTCAGCAGCACCAGGGCTGTGATCAGAGATGCGCAGGGGCTGTGTGAGCTCAGAGAACTGATGTACCTAATGCAGACCGGGGGCCCAGAGAGGGCTCGCTGGGGCAAGTGGCCCCAAAGCTGAGGCCTGAATAGGCAGTAGGAACCAGCCAGGAGAAGTGGGTTTGGAGTAGGAGGAAGGGTACTCCAGGCAGAGGGAACAGCAAAGATCTAGAGGTGGAAGCACCCATGGTGGTGAGTTTGGGAACTTTAAGTGGTTTCTGCAGGATTCAGTGTGGGTTACAATGGGAAATAGGGGAAATGGTCAGGAGAGAGAAGAAAAGGGATCTTAATATAAAACCCAGATCTCTTCATCAGGTCTCATCAGGCCCACCCCGCTCTCCCGCTCTCGCTCATGCAGCCCCAGCCATGCTGAGCTTCTTTGGGTTGCTTGATATACCAGGCTTATTCCCACCCAAGGCTTTCATACGTGCCGTGCCTTCTGCCTAGAATGTTCGCATCTTTGAATGACACACACTTCTTATTTTTAAGTCTCAGCAACGAGACACCTCCTAAGAGAGGCCTGCCCTGACCACTCTGCCTCCCGTGGACACCCCTAGTGCTTCTGCATCGATCCCCCTGGTTTGCTTTTCTCAATAACTCACAGCATCTAACACTATCTGACATCACCTTGCCTCTTTCCTGGTTTACGTTTTTGGGTTTTTTTGGTCTGCCTCTCCCTGCTAGCTCCATGAGGCTAGGAAATTTTCTTCCTTATTCATGCAGCACCCTCAGCAACTAGCATAGCACTTAGGAAGTGCTCAATAAGCACATGCCAACTAAAGGCACAGGAACTGGAACTTAACTGGGAGAATGGGGAGTCGCTGCAGGGCTTACAGCAGCTCTGTGGCTTGCTCAGCTTCTTCTCTCCTATGAACTATCCATATGTTGTGGGGATGGAAAGCAATGGGCTGACATGGGCAATGTGGCAAAACCCCATCTCTACAAAAAATACAAAAAGGGAGGTTGAGGCTGCGGTGAGCCAAGATCACATCCCTGCACCCCAGCCTGGGCAACAGAGTGAGATCCTGTCTCAAAAGAAAAAAAAAGGCCCGGTGCGGTGGTTCACACCTGTAATCCCAACACTTTGAGAGGCCAAGGCGGGTGGATGACATGAGGTCAGGGGTTCAAGACCAGTCTGGCTAACATGGTGAAACTCTGTCTCTACTAAAAATATAAAAATTAGCTGGACGTGGTGGCCTGTAATCCCAGCTACTCAGGAGGCTGAGGCACAAGAATCGCTTGAACCCGGGAGGCGGAGGTTGCAGTGAGTCGTGATCGCGATACTGCACTCCAGCCTCGGCTACAGAGCAAGACTCCGTCTCAAAAAAAAAAAAAAAAAAAAAGAAAGAAAGAAAAAAGAAAAGAAAAGCAATAGCAATGGGCTGCCCTTTATGGAAAGCAACTTTTTATATAACTTTATCGAGGCTTACTTTATGTATCATATAATGCACACCCATTTCCAGCATACAATTTGATAATTTTTATTAAATTTTACCAAATCGTGCAGGCTTTGCCCTAAGTCAGTTTTTAGAACACGACGTCCTTTATGATCATTAACTGTTAATCCCTATCCCCCACCCTGGCAACCACTAACCTACTTTCTGTCTCTATAGATTTGCTTTATCTGAACATTTCATATAAATGGAATCATATAATAAGTGGCTTTTTGTGTCTGACTTCTCTCACTTATCATAATGTTTTCATGGTTCGTCTGTGTTGTAGCATATATCAGCACTTCATTCCTTTTTATGGATGAAGAATATTCCATTGTATGGATAGCTGCATTTCGTTTATCCATTCATCAGTTGACGGACATTGGGGTTGTTTCCACTGTGGGGCTATTATGAATACTGCAGCTATAAACCTGCATGTTTACGAAGAGCAATTTGCAAGCCCTAAACACTAGGTGCAGCTTCCAGCTTGCCAAAGCTTCTAGTGTTACTGAACAGTGTTGACAGCAATGGGCTGTGTGACCGTGGGCAAGTCACTTCCGTTCTCTGCTTGAGTTTCCCCATCTTCCCAGCAGGAAGCTTGAGCCCTTTTCTGCATGGACAGTCTGTGCCTCATCCACATTCCTGGAACAGCAGGGAAGTGTGCAGAGGCCACGATAAACAGTCCGTAGGCCTCTCTGTGATTAACCACCAGAGCCGACGATTAGGATGAGGAGGGCCTGGCTCCAGCACTCCTGAATTCCACCCTGGGGATCCCCACCTGCCAATCTCTTCCCCCAGAGGACCAAAGCCCCCTCTCCCATTTGGTGCAGACAGGTAGGCTCCAGGATCCAGAACCTCTTCACAGGGAATTTGGGGACAGCCTCCCAGTCTCTGGAGCTGGCTCCTGCCTCTGCTCCCCGGGTTCCTGGAGTTCTGCCAAGCCCAACTGGGCTCAGATCCCAGAAAAGCAGAGGCCTGTCCAGGCCTGAGCTGGGGCTGGGAGGACTCCCAGGTGGTAGTCAGTTCCCCATTCCTGGGGCTTATCCCAGAAACCAAATCAACACAGTCCATCTGGGTCCACGAGCTGTTTAGAGGACGCACGCTGCCTTAGGCAGTCACTGGGGTCTACACAGCTACTCCTGGCTTCCAAAAGCAACCAGTACAGAGGTTAGGGATGGGGTTGACCATAAATTACCTGAATAATAATTTATTTATTTGAGACAGAGTTTCCCTCTTGTCGCCCAGGCTGGAGTGCAGTGGCTCAATCTTGGCTCACTGCAACCTCCGCCTCCCGGGTTCAAGCGATTCTCCTGCCTCAGCCTCCCAAGTAGCTGGGATTAAAGGCACCCACCACCACACCCGGCTAATTTGTGTATATTTAGTAGAGATGGGTTTCACCATGTTGGCCAGGCTGGTTTCGAACTCCTCAGGTGATCTGCCCACCTCGGCCTCCCAAAGTGCTGGGATTACAGGCGTGAGCCACCACACCCGGCCCTGAATAATAATTTAATAACATTATATATTAAGTGGCTTTTAGGTGAGTACTCAGTTACCTTCATCTTCATTTCAGAGAAAAGGAAATAGAGGCTCAGAGAGGGGGAGTGGCTTGTCCAAAGCCACACAGCTGGGGAATAATAGCCTTGGGACTCAAACTCAAGTCCAAAACCAGCTATAAATAAATGTAAAGAAATGTGGAGAAATAAATACAATTAAAGTTTAAAGTGATTGTGCCACTAGCTAAGGGCATTTTGAGTTCAATGAATTTTCATTGCAGTCTTGCAATGATCCCTGTCTTACATATAGGGAAACTGAGGCACAGAGGGCTTAAATCACGTTGGGAAGTTCCCCAGGCAGGAAGTGTGGCCCTGATTCTAAGGGCCTCACTGAGTCTGGGAAAGAAAAAGTTCTTGCAGGTGGGGTCAGGAGGGGTGGGGCAGGGGAGACCCCCCACACTGCATTACCGCATACGCTGTGTGATGCACATTCACACAGACCGATGGCAGGTGTGCTCTGACCCTCCCAACCCAACCCTGAGCAGCAGGCACTCCCCCACACCCTCCACCTTGGAGTCCAGTGGAGCCCCTCCCCCTGCTTTGCTCGTTTCCTAGGCTTCCTTGGGCTGAGGGAAGGGGAGAGGGAGGGCACAGTCTCAAGTACAAAAGGGGTGCCTGCTTTAGGTCTGTACAATAGCTGGGTGCATAATTCATGCATCTGTCGCCAGAACATCAATTATGTGGGCCTTCCCTGGAGTTGTCTGGGGGTTAGAAACCAAAGCAGGCTTCCCCTGCTAGCCTTTGGGGGAAAATAAGACTGCCCAGCTCTTAAAGGAACAGACTCCCAGGGAACCCATTCCTCCCTGTGCAGGCGCCCTCCTGCCAGAAGTCACCAGACGAGAGCAGCTTCCTGTAGGGCTCAGCCCAAAGCCCACTGGCTGCCCACTCTGACCCACTCTGTGTCCCCAACTCCACAATTGTGAGGGGCTGACTATTGGCATGTCCCAGAGTTTCTCAATCTCAGTACTGATGGCATTTCAGGCTAGATCATTCTTTGCCGTGGGAGCTGTCCTGTGCATTGTAGGGCATTTAGTGACATCCCAGACCTCCACCCCCAAGATGTCAGGAGCACCCCTCCCACCAGTTGTAACGACCAAAAATTTCTGCCAAAATTGCCAAGTGTCCCCCAGGAGTAAAAATCATCCCCTTAAAAACCACTAGTATGTCCTCATTTTACAAATAAGGAAACTGAGGCAGTGAACATTTGGATGCCCAAGGCCATTCCACCAATGAATGGCAAGAGCTAGAATTTCAACTCCAGGACCCACACTCCTCAGCTCAACACAGGAGCACCAAAAAGTGTGCTGCCAAGATGTTATTCCAACAATTACATATTTATTTTGGTGAATATTTAATACATATAGCCCTGGCATGAAAAATCAGCAATTTTGCATATGATTTCTTAGAATAAAGCTAAAATAAAATAAAGAAGGTGAGTGGGCTTTTTTGATTTTTTGTTTTTACCATTAAGGAAAGAGTGATACAAGTAGCAAAATACATACAGTATAACGTCAAAACTGAGCAAAGTCCAGGTGCGGTGGCTCACGCTTGTAATCCTAGCACTTTGGGGGCCCTGGTGGGAGGATTGCTTGAGGCCAGGAGTTCAAGACCAGCCTGGGCAACATAGTGAGACCCCATCTCTACAAAATATAGCCAGGCATGGTAGCATGCACCTGTAGTCCAAGTTACCTCGGAGGCTAAAGCAGGAGGATCGTTTGAACCTAGGTATTCGAGCTGTGATTGCACCACTGCACTCCAGCCTGGGCCACAGAGTGAGACTCTACCTCTTAAAAAAAAAAAAAAAAAAAAAAAAAAAAACGCAACAAAATGACAATTTAGGGACCCATATATTCTTATTGAAAATCATACAGAGAAACAAAGGGACGAAAAACTGCACACAGAGGTTATCTCTGGAGTGGGAAAGACACAAAGGAAGTGTCAGTGTTACTGCTGCCTGCTCTGTCTCTCCATTTGGGTGGCGGGTTCTAGGTGTTCATTTGATTATGGTTCATAAATTATATATAAATTAGGTCTATTTTTGTATATATCAAACATTTTATTTTCTTTATTTTATTTTTCAGACAGAGTTTCACTCTTGTTGCCCAGGCTGGAGTGCAATGGCATGATCTCAGCTCACTGCCACCCCCACCTCCCGGGTTCAAGCAATTTTCCAGCCTCAGCCTCCCGAGTAGTTGGGATTACAGGCGCCTGCCACCACACCTGGCTAATTTTTTTGTATTTTTAGTAGAGACGGGGTTTCACCACATTGGCCAGGCTGGTCTTGCACTCCTGACCTCAGGTGATCCACCTGTCTCAGCCTCCCAAAGTGCTGGGATTACAGGTTTGAGCTACTGCACCCTGCCTCAAACATTTCATTTATAAAGTATTACAGAATCTTCCTTTTTCAATGGGTGCAAATCAAGAAACTCAAACCTATTTTTTTTTAAACATAGGATGTGTCAGACTTAACTATAGCAAAAAAATCAGAAGTTATGGAACCCCTGAGGCTGGGGAGGCACCACACCTTGGAACATTCCCTTTCATCTTCAGAGCTGGCCCATCAGGGCACTGGCACTCTCTTGCCCCCTGTGGCATCCCCAATGTCTGGCCTAGTGCCTCACGCAGAGTAGATGACCAAGAAATATTTCCCAGGCCAGTGCAGTGGCTCACACCTGTAATCCCAGTGCTTTGGGAGGCCAAGGCAGGAGGACAGCTTGAGCCCAGGAGTTCGAGACCAGCCTGGGCAACAAAGTGAGATCCCATCGTTACAAAAAAGGTTAAAAATTAGTTGGGCTTGGTTGTGCTCTCCTGTATTCCTAGCTACTTGGGAGGCTGAGGTGGGAGAATTGCTTGAGCATGGGAGTTTGAGGCTGCAGTAAGCTATGATCACACCCTTGCACTCTAGCTTGGGCAACAGAGAAAGATACTGTCTCTAAAAAAAAAAAAAAAAAAACCTGAATTCTGGTACTGACCCTTCTACTTCTAACTCCATGAACTTGAGCAACGGCCAACAAATACTTGGTGAGCACCTGTCAGGTGTCCCACCCTGGGTTAGGTGCTGGGGGCACATAGATAAACCTCAGAACCCATCCCCATCCTCCCAGTACTCACCAATTCTGGGCAGCAATAAGCACACTCACTCACGTGCACACACACACACGCATGCACACACACACACGCACGCACCTGTGATGGGATATGAGTGGTAAGTATCCCCAAGGTATGGTAAAATGGTGAGGAAACCCAAGGATGGAGCAGTCAACCCTGCCTGGGGAAAGCAGGGAGAACTCCAAAGGGAAGGGGTCACATGGGCTGGATTTGAAAAGATGGATTGGAGTTCACCAGACAGCAAGCAAGAAGCTCGGACATGCAGAATTGACCAATGATAGTGTGCGGCTAGAGGAGTGTGAATTTTGAGAACCGATGGCAGGAGTGGCCAGAGAGAGAGGTCAGAGTCAAAATGAGAAGGACTTGACAACCAAGTGTCCTTACTGGGGATTCATTGCAGGGCCAGAAACCTCCCACACTCACCCATGTAGCAATTGGGTTGACTTACAGGATACAGCAGACAGTCTCAGAACAAGGACAGGAGGCAAAGACCGAGACCGGGCCACCCCGAGGCTGGTGATCTGAGTGGGTGGGGTGATGTGGGCTGAGATTTCCCCTGTGATGACAGCTGGCATCTATTAGACACTCACCGTGTGCTGCTGGAAGCTGTCCTAGCACTTTGCCTGTGCTAACACATTTCATCTTCACAGCAGTTCTCTGAGGTAGATACTGTTATTATCAGCCCATTTGCTAGATGAGGAAACTGGGGCTTAGAGAGGTTAAATAACATGCTCAATGTAAGGAAATGGCAGAGCTGAGGCTTGAACCTCAAACAGGCTGACACCAGAGCCTCAGCTCTTAACTGCTGCCCTCGGCACCCTGCTATGACCCTCCTGCGGTCCCCACTCCTCCTTCATCTGCACCTTCCCTTCATTCTCTGGCTTCTCTTGAAGGTTCAGCTTTCTTTGTCTTTTTCTTTCGTTTGTTTGTTTGTTTGTTTGTTTGTTTTTTGAGATGGAATCTCACTCTGTCGCCCAGGCTGGAGCGCAGTCGTGCAATCTCGGCTCACTGCAACCTCTGCCTGCCGGGTTCAAGCCATTCTCCTGCCTCACCTGCCAAGTAGCTGGGAATACAGGTGCCGCCACTATGCCCGGCTAATTTCGTTTCTTTTTTTTTTTTCCTTTTTCTTTTCTTTTGTTTTCTTTCAAGACAGGGTTTCTCTCTCTGTCACCCAGGCTGGAGTGCAGTGGTGTGGTCATGGCTCACCACAGCCTCAACCTCCTTGGGCTCAAGAGATTCTCCCGCCTCAGCCTTCCAAGTAGCTGGGACTATAGACATGTGCCAATACACCCAGCAGATTTTTTTATTTTTTGTAGAGACGGGGTCTCACTGTGTTGCCCAGGCTGGTCTCGAACTCCTGGGCTCAAGCAATCCCCCCACCTTAGCCTCCCAAAGTGTTGGGATTACAAATGTAAGCCACCATGTCTAGGCTAAGGCTCAGCTTTCTCTGATGTTTTTATGGCATCTCTGTCCCCTACATTTGGGAGACAGTTGCTTGAGGGTTGGGCTTATCATGAAGCTGATTCAAGCCTAGATTCTACTTAACATTTAATTCAGGGACTTACCCTCCCGTAACCCACTCACCGCCTGGGTTCCTGAACTCAAATTTCTCAAAGGTAGGCTGGCTAAGCCCCAGTGTACGGATTGGCTTAACTTGGATTTTTTTATCCAAACTTCATGCTCTGATCATTGGCAGGCAGGATCAAATGATACAACCATGGTGACCAGGCCCCCCCCTTCCCACTTAGCAGGGGCAGAGGAAGAGAAAGGGAAAATCTACAAAAGCAAGACAGGTATAGGGGACCCAATAGACAGGTTTAGGGGTTTGGATTTTTTCATGAGGAGCCCTGGAGATTTATTAAACAAAGGAGTAATGTGATTGGATTTGTATTTTTGAAAAAAAAAAAAAAGACCCTCAGAGCAATTGATTACATCTGTTTGCTTTTCTGCATAGTCTGTAGACTGGCCTACTGGCCTAGATTCCATTAATTTCAACATATATCCATTGAGCCCTTTCTCTGGGCCAAGCTCTCTTCTTGATCCAGGGGACTCAAAGGTAGTTAAGCCAAGGTCTTTAGCCCCCAAAAGCACATAGTTCCAATCAGGAGTTAACATGGGCCCAGAATGTCTGTGCCTCCCTAGGAATTACCTGCAAAATCTTGAGTGTCTAGGCATTTTTCTAGCAAAAGGTTAGCTTTCATCTGATTTTTTTCCCCTTTGTTCTTCTATAGAGACAGAGTCTCACTATGTTGCCCAGGCTAGACTCGAACTCCTGGCCTCAAACGATCCTCCTGCCTAGGTCTCCCAAAGTGCTGGGATTACAGACATGAGGCACCATACCCAGCCAAATCTGATTTTTAACACAGCCTTAAGAGCTCATGTTCTTGGGTCACACAGACCTGGGTTAAAATGCTGGCTCTTCCACTTACTAGCTGTGGAAACCCAAGTGTCCGCATCTGTTCAATGGAGCTAATAGCACTGAACGGGGTTATTATAAGAATGAAATGAGCTATTTCATGGAAAGTGCCTAGCACACAATGAACACTCAATCAAGGATAGTTATTATCATTAGTATCATCTCTGTGAAGGTAGTTCCCCATCCAGTGTGAGCCACTGGTCTAGATCAGAAGTCAGCAAATCATGGTTCACAGGCCAAATTCAGTCCACTGCCTATTTTTGTAAATAAAGTTTTATTGAAACACAGCTATGCCCATTCATGTATGTATTATCCAAGGTTGGTTTTATGCTACAGCTGCAGAGTCGAGTCGTTGTGACAGACAATGCAGGGTTTCAGGGCCTATAAAATGGTTACTATCTGAAAAAGTATGCTTGAACCCTGGGCTTGCTGATAGCTTTAAAACATTTCATTTCTCTGGGCCTTGGTTTCCACATCTAGACAATAAATGGATTACAACAAATTCTCTTTTTGGCTCATTAAATGACTAGTGAAATGTGAAAATGCTCTTGAACATTGAGGAGTGCCCTGTAGATCCAGGATATTATGATGATCATCCTGTGGGGTGGTTGATAACTAAATCCCACTCTCTTCTCCTCACAGATCCTTGCCATAATTTCCATCATGTTCATCGTCCTCTCCACCATTGCCCTGTCCCTCAACACGCTGCCTGAGCTACAGAGCCTCGATGAGTTCGGCCAGTCCACAGACAACCCCCAGCTGGCCCACGTGGAGGCCGTGTGCATCGCATGGTTCACCATGGAGTACCTGCTGAGGTTCCTCTCCTCGCCCAAGAAGTGGAAGTTCTTCAAGGGCCCACTCAATGCCATTGACTTGTTGGCCATTCTGCCATACTATGTCACCATTTTCCTCACCGAATCCAACAAGAGCGTGCTGCAATTCCAGAATGTCCGCCGCGTGGTCCAGATCTTCCGCATCATGCGAATTCTCCGCATCCTTAAGCTTGCACGCCACTCCACTGGCCTCCAGTCTCTGGGCTTCACTTTGCGGAGGAGCTACAATGAGTTGGGCTTGCTCATCCTCTTCCTTGCCATGGGCATTATGATCTTCTCCAGCCTTGTCTTCTTTGCTGAGAAGGATGAGGACGACACCAAGTTCAAAAGCATCCCAGCCTCTTTCTGGTGGGCCACCATCACCATGACTACTGTTGGGTATGGAGACATCTACCCCAAGACTCTCCTGGGGAAAATTGTTGGGGGACTCTGCTGCATTGCAGGAGTCCTGGTGATTGCTCTTCCCATCCCCATCATCGTCAATAACTTCTCTGAGTTCTATAAGGAGCAGAAGAGACAGGAGAAAGCAATCAAACGGCGAGAGGCTCTGGAGAGAGCCAAGAGGAATGGCAGCATCGTATCCATGAACATGAAGGATGCTTTTGCCCGGAGCATTGAGATGATGGACATTGTGGTTGAGAAAAATGGGGAGAATATGGGTAAGAAAGACAAAGTACAAGATAACCACTTGTCTCCTAACAAATGGAAATGGACAAAGAGGACACTGTCTGAAACCAGCTCAAGTAAGTCCTTTGAAACCAAGGAACAGGGATCCCCTGAAAAAGCCAGATCGTCTTCTAGTCCTCAGCACCTGAACGTTCAGCAGTTGGAAGACATGTACAATAAGATGGCCAAGACCCAATCCCAACCCATCCTCAATACCAAGGAGTCAGCAGCACAGAGCAAACCAAAGGAAGAACTTGAAATGGAGAGTATCCCCAGCCCCGTAGCCCCTCTGCCCACTCGCACAGAAGGGGTCATTGACATGCGAAGTATGTCAAGCATTGATAGTTTCATTAGCTGTGCCACAGACTTCCCTGAGGCCACCAGATTCTCCCACAGCCCTTTGACATCACTCCCCAGCAAGACTGGGGGCAGCACAGCCCCAGAAGTGGGCTGGCGGGGAGCTCTGGGTGCCAGTGGTGGTAGGTTTGTGGAGGCCAACCCCAGCCCTGATGCCAGCCAGCACTCTAGTTTCTTCATCGAGAGCCCCAAGAGTTCCATGAAAACTAACAACCCTTTGAAGCTCCGAGCACTTAAAGTCAACTTCATGGAGGGTGACCCCAGTCCACTCCTCCCCGTTCTAGGGATGTACCATGACCCTCTCAGGAACCGGGGGAGTGCTGCGGCTGCTGTCGCTGGACTGGAGTGTGCCACGCTTTTGGACAAGGCTGTGCTGAGCCCAGAGTCCTCCATCTACACCACAGCAAGTGCTAAGACACCCCCCCGGTCTCCTGAGAAACACACAGCAATAGCGTTCAACTTTGAGGCGGGTGTCCACCAGTACATTGACGCAGACACAGATGATGAGGGACAGCTGCTCTACAGTGTGGACTCCAGCCCCCCCAAAAGCCTCCCTGGGAGCACCAGTCCGAAGTTCAGCACGGGGACAAGATCGGAGAAAAACCACTTTGAAAGCTCCCCTTTACCCACCTCCCCTAAGTTCTTAAGGCAGAACTGTATTTACTCCACAGAAGCATTGACTGGAAAAGGCCCCAGTGGTCAGGAAAAGTGCAAACTTGAGAACCACATCTCCCCTGACGTCCGTGTGTTGCCAGGGGGAGGAGCCCATGGAAGCACACGAGATCAGAGCATCTGAACTGCCCTGCCTTGGAGGAGAGACTTTTGGGTGAGGTCCAAAGAGGAGAGCTGTTCAGCTTACCTGCCACAGAGCTTTTCTGCATGAACTCTGGAACAGAAAGGCCCTGTAAAGCCCTCAGAGAGAAGAGAGACTCCAGAGAAGGCTCCCTAAGACCTTGAGAGCCATGACAGGTCCATCAGCATGAAGTTGGCCAAGCCATAGGGCACAGCACCTCCTTGTAACAACTCTATAGCCCTCTTTGGGAGATGACATGAGTGGAACTCACAGCCACCACTACCACCACTTTAGACAGGACCGAGGCCACATACTCCCCATTCTCTCGTGGCTTTCCATCTCAGCCTCGGAGGGCAACATTGACAGTCCTCCTGGCTTCAGCTAGAGAAGGATGCTGGAACAAGCGGCTGGTGTTGAAAGAGTGGGTTGACCAATTTGGTATTGAATGTTGCCCAGCCACCCCTAGGAACACCTGTCCATCACCTCCTGGATGGATTCCACTGTTAGACAGCTACAGGGAATGATTGGTCATGGGGAAGTCTCTGCGCCATAAGCCACGATCCCAGCGCAAAACCCTTACTCAAATGTCTTCATTGACTTCGGTATTTCATAGTACCTGAGATTTTATTTTGAGATACCATCAGGGTGAGTTGCACCACTTGTACTCAATTCTAATTGCCCCCTGGCAATCTGGGAAGGGTTCAGAAGGTGGGCACCCAGCCAACAGCATGAACTCAGAGCATTGTTTTAGGGTTGGAGGAGGAACACGCTTTCTTTACATCACTAGTGTAGACTCAAAAGATATGCAAGTGTCAAATATGCAAAAGAAATAGTTTATTCAAAGAGACTGTGTGTTACTGAAGAACAGCATAAAAATATGATTTTTTTACTTGCAAAAATGAAAGGAAAAAAATACCACGCATTGAAATGCCCAGTTCAGACTGAATAATTCCTGCTGCAGCAAGGAAAGTACCTACTATAATAGAAATTCTGTTTTGTTTTCTGTGGTTTTCAAGTTAAAAAAAAAAAAGTTAAAATAAAAAGCACTTTATGTTTTTCAAAAATAGGTTCTGCCAGGGACAGTGTCAACATCTTGCACTTTAAAATAAGCACTATTTCCCATAGCCCAATTGTTGGGACTGTAGTTGGATTGTTGCTACCTGCCCATTTCTGGCCAGCATGGGTAATATTGTGCTGGTATTACTGTCTGCCATATCAAAGTCTGTGGGCTCCTTCCCTGCCCCTCTGAAACCTTCCCTTAACCCTCATGGGTCAGGAGGGGTTCTTGCCCCTTGGGTGGGGCCTCTCATGAAGTCAAGTATACAGGAGACATGCACATCTCAAAAGGACACAGTGACAGTTGGACATTGGGTGTTTTACTCTGTTCTCTTTCTTGTCAACCAGCTATTGGTTTTTCAGTGTCACTGTCTGTACTAAAAGCTCAACTCTCCTTCCTGCAGCCATCGATGCAGCCAGTACAGACAAAAGCAATAAGTATTTGTGTGCATCCTGAGTGGTTCTGGTGTATTTCTTGGTGTTGGTTTTCCTGTCCTCGTTTGATGACCTGGCATTGTCCTGCCTGCTTTTAGTCCAACAGCATGGTGTTGTTGGCCATTCCTCAGTACAGTGGCATTAGGTTGAACCACTGATGAATACAATGCTATAGTGTTGGCTCACCTGTCAGTAAAGATGACATGTTATTGGTCTGCCTGTCTGTAGTACAATGGAACAATGTTGTTCTCTTAATGTAATGTTGATGGATGATGTCCCAAGTACAATAGTGTAGTTCTGTCTATCCTCAATACAGTAACAGGCATATGTCTTCCCAGTGGAAGAAAGATATGGTATTGGTTCACCTAGTCTTAAGTCTCAATATCATCTGTTGCTGGTCTGCCTGTTAGTACAATGGCATGATCCACCTCTCAGTACACAAATATCATGGAGCTGTTCTGCCTGCTCTTCATACATAAGGCATAAGGTTGAGCCACCTGCCACACATATGATGAGATGGGATCATTCCACCACCCTTAAAAATATGTCTTCTCTGCTGTATACAAACCCAATTCATAACACTTCTCAGCATCTCCAGAGACTGTAGATCCCCCCAAGAGGGTGCAGTCCTGTTCTTTGCCGCATTAACAGAGAAAACGAGAACGTCACTCTTCCTAGGTATCTTCAGAGTATTCGCGCAGCAACTGCAAAGGGACTTAGGGGCAGGGAGAGTGTGAGGTCATCCCGTGCCAGGCAGAGGAAGCAGCACTCCCAAAACACTTTGCTGAACACGCAGTCTGAGCTGGGGGCCTCTTGAGGAATGACTGTGGGACAGTTCTCCGCCGACCATCTCACATGTCTCTTCTTTGTTTTCATCACCATTAATGTCCACCATCAGCACAAATGTGAAAATTCAGGGAAAAAAACAAATGCTTTTTGATAAAAGTAAATAGTTGTGATTTCCAATTCAGATATTTTTAGAGCTGATGCTATCTGTAAAAAATAATAATAATAATAATATAGTCTATTTTACATATCAGGAAAGTGAACATGTTTCAATATAGCCATATATATTGAGAAGGAACTTACCACCCCTTCTTCCAATCGAGGCATTTCATTTGTTGGTTGAAGCAGATGAGAACTGTACAGATTGAAAATGATTTGTTTTTTTTTTTTTTTAAAAAAAACGAAAACCAATTGGTGCAACTCTCCTTGTAACCAAAGGCCCTTTCTGCCTTCTGTGGTCATGTAGGACCTGGCCCTTCCTTCCTTGTGTATTTTGTCCAACCGTAAAGTAGCATTTTATTGAGTCACTTTTGAAGGACGAATTCAGAAGTATCATTAAGAACCTACCTTTTCAGGCTTCATAGCCAGAGTCCTATAGAGTTCTTATAGAAACAGAATAATTGAAATTCAGCATATACTATGCTTAGAAAGTATTTTGTTTGGGTTTGATTGGGTTTTTTTTTCTTTTACTTGTGTGTGTATGTACTGGGGGAGTATAGCTTTTATTCTGTGCTCAATTCGAAAGAGAGTATTATAAGTTTTCCCAGCCCATCCACCCGCTAAAAAAGAACATATCCAAATTTTAATATGTATACACCCAACCTGTACCTATGTACGTGAATATACATGCACTGGGAAATCTACTTAAGAGTCTTCACTGAGAAGTTCACTCGATAGAAAGGTCTTGATAGAGAAGAGAAGAGGAAAGCAATGGTCTGAAGGCAAATCCTGCTTTAACTTGGTGGTCCATTTCCCATTCATTCCTGAACCAATGAGAGCAGAAAGAAACAAGTCAACCCAAACAAGCAAACTAGGGGCTGGACGCGGCGAATGGATGCTGGTCAGTTTGGCAAATTCACTGAAACTCATCAAGAACCCAGCTGAACTTGCATTCCAACTTCCACAATTATCTGAAAGGGCTAGGGACCAGGTAGCCATGTGTCCCAATCACACGGGGGAGAGTCTGCCACCGGCGGTGAGAGAGGTGGGGAAGCTTTGGAGGAGACAGTATATTCACCTTTTTATCTTTGGGTAAAAGAAACCAACAGGACTTTGGTGCAGTAGATTTCTCAGTGCCTTCTTTAGGAATTCTATCTTAAGCACACTTCAAGGGGAAAGAAAAAAGGAGGAGAGAACATTTGTTCCCGTGAAGTCCCTTTCTCCAAAGGACTGGGGATCAAGAAGGAAGAAGAGTAAGAAGGAAAAACAACAAAATCCTGAGGAGGCCATTTCTTTTAACCCACCCAGCTTGCCCCTGAAAACTGCTGGTGATACAAACTTTTTCAAACTGACTTCCAGCTTCTCCATGTGTCTTGGTAACTGTAGCCTCGTCTCTGCCCTTTCTCCTAATAAGATCCATGTTTCTAAGGAGAAAAACAAAACAGTATTCTCTTCTGTAAAACTGTAATGTATTGTTGATATTTGTAACTATTGTATATTTCTGTCTTGCTCCAGTCCCAGCTGGAGTGTCTAGTTCCATGGACAAGGGGATATTTAAAATTCACCACGGACAAGAGCCACTAAAGCCAGGTCTCTATCGCTAATCTCTCTCCTATTCTTATTTCTCTACCAACTAATCTCAAGTAACAATACCCCAGGCTTTTTTTCAGCCTCAATTCAAGTAACTTTGAATCAAAAGAGAGCAAGGCAAAAAGCCTCCGGACATGCTTCTTTGGGAAAGGACTTTTTCTGTAGCTGCAGAGTGGGCAGGAGGGAGAAGGGGCTCCCCTGAGACCCCGGCAGGACAATGGAAAGCTTCCAGCCCCGAGCTGATGTTTCCTCACCTATCACTGCTTATAGGACAGCATCCAAATGCTTTCATGTCACTCAGCCCAGGCAACCCAAACCAGTCCTGGCTACACCCAGAAATAAGAGTTACCTCTGCATTTTCTGTTGCCATTTTTCTGGCTCTAGAAGTATCTGATGCGCGACTATGTCATAGAATGTCCACGCATCTCAGAGTAGTCTATTTTTCTGTTCAGATAAAATATATATATATATGTATTTTTAGCAAATTTATAATAGGGCAATTGAGTCTAATTTCTTCTTTTGTAATACAGAACAATATCTTAGGAGTTTCATTGTTGGTCATTATCGTAGCTGATGTTTTCTGGTCTTTTGCAGTTCCTACCATTGTCCCTTGGGCTGTTTGGGTTTTCTTCCTTTTGATTCTGATTTCTTGAGGGTGGGGAAAGACTTTGGGGTTTGACTTCCTTGTGTAGGCATTTCTTGACACTAGGCCTGGACTCTGTCAATGCTGTGACTTTCCTCATTCATTTCTGTGTGTTTCTCCCATTCGTTGTTCTTAAGAATCCAGGGCATGAATGCAGGAATGAGACCCAGGGAAGCAGAGCTACAGATGGCCCTCAAAATCAGGATGGGATGTGGGCTGGTTTCACTTATATCCCACACCCCTTTAGGGATCTGAAGGGACTGAGTTTTCTCATCCCCAGAGATCTTGGAACCAAAAATCTCATGCAAGCAAACTCATCACTGGCATTTCTGAGATCCAGAACACATGTGAGTCCCTCCTGGCTGGGCTGCTCCCACATGTCCAGCACCCTGTCGGCCTGTAACATCAATCAGAGCTGAAGGTCAGAGGTTTTTCAGGTTCTCGTGAACCTCACAAGAACATGCTGGGCCTCCGATCTCACCAACTTGTTTATCAGTTCCTTGTTTCGATCTGTTTATTTATTTATTTTTTTGTTATTATTATTTTGAGACAAAGTCTTGCTCTGTTGCCCAGGCTGCAGTGCAATGGCGCAATCTCGGCTCACTGCAACCTCCTCCACCCAGGTTCAAGTGATTCTCATGTCTCAGCCTCCTGAGTAACTGGGATTACAAGAGCGCACCATCACGCCCAGCTAATTTTTGTATTTTTAGTAGAGGCAGAGTTTCTCCATGTTGGCCAGGCTGGTCTTGAACTCCTGACCTCAGGTGATCTGCCTGCCTCGGCCTCCCAGTGCTAGGATTACAGGTGTGAGCCACCACTGCACCCAGTCCATTTCAATCCATTTCTAACAGCTTCACCAAAAAACAGTGGCCAGACACCCTTGCAGCCAAACCCTGAGAAGAGATGTCCCCGAATCTGCTAGCTCATCTCCCCTTCCCTTGCCAGCTGCCTGGCTCCATAGAGCAGGAGGTGTGTGGCAAGGACAGGGGCAGTTTTCCAGCTTCCACCTATCCACGCCTGGGGGAGTTTTTGGACTGTCCTGATAATTAATTCCAGAGGCAGTTTTCAGTCCTGGGTGGGCGGAGGACATCTCACTAGGCAGGATCTTCAGCAGAAAGTGATTCTCCATCCGTCAACTCATGCAGGAAGATGAAGAAAGCCCAGATAATCTCCAACTTGCATTCGTTTAGGTTTTGGTATACCACCCACCTCACTGTCAGCTGCAGGGCTTGGGGCTCTGCCTAGAATCAGAAATTTGAGCCAAACTGGGACCCTCAGATGGCAGTGAGCCATCCCATCAGATAACTCCCAAGAGGAAGCCAACTCAAATATGAATTTTATTATTCTGGACTATGACCCTGATCAGAGTTCTCCCACCCCGAAAACCTCTGATAGTCTGGTTTGAACCAGAGTCAAATAAAACAGACAAGATTTTTTTTTCCTCTGCACAAAAGCAAAAAAACAAAACAAAAAAAAGTCTGCCAGTAGTTTCCTGGGTTTGATGCCCAGATAAGCAAACACTGTTGCCTATGGCTGTTGCTGTTTTCATCAAGAAAGAGGTTATATAGTTTGCATTTCCATCCACTCTCCCTGATTTTATCTTAACCTAGAATTTCTCCTGAACTACCCCAAATGCCAACTTGAATTTGGGTAGGGCTCTGTTAATCGAGGGAACCCTCATCTTCACTTATAAACCTAATTCTCTGTTCCTCCCTCCAAAGATCCTGAAAAGATCTCCTAAAGGCTGGCCAGGATGGGGTGGAGTGGGGCAGTGCACCTGAAGAAAAAAACTTAGCTGCCAGCTGGCTGTATGCAAGTTCTCCGAAAATTTCTATTGTATGAAAGGGATGGGGTCAATTGCAGCTCAAATTAAGGAAGCCCTCCTAACAGGCTGGGTTGTCTGACCATGGAGCTCAATGCCATGGTGGACAGTGAGCTCCCTTATATCACAGGTGTTTAAAGAGAGGCTGGCTAGATGGTGTAAAAAATGGGCATTGCAGAGGGGCCCTAGCATTGCATGGAAACTGGGCTGAACAACCACAGAAATTCCTCTTTGTTTCTTGGAGTGTGTGTGTGTGTGTGTGTGTGTGTGTGTGTGTGTGTGTGTGTAGGTGGTTTCAACACTCTGGATATAAGCTCAAGCCACTGAGGCAAAGGCATGCAGCACAATTAGCAGGAATGCAACTTCTGGGCTTTGGAGCTCTCAGAGGGGGTGTCCAAGAGACAAGTCTGCTTCCTTCCGGCTCCGTCTTGGAACATTTTAATGACTGTCAGTCACCAATCCAACCCATCCCCAGTGGCCTACCAGGCACCACATTGGGATGAGACTCATGCTACCCTTCCCCAGGCCAGCCAAGGAGCAATCCACGCTGTCCCCCATCCCTGGCTGGCTGTCTTATGGTGCTTCAGCCCCTCCGCCCAGCTCCTGTGCCCTCATGAGCCTGGGGCTTTCTGTATAAAAGATGCAATGATATCTGTTCCCCACTAGCCATCCCCACAATGAACAACTTCCCAGGCAATAGCAAATGGCTCCATTCCAAAAGGGCTTGTTTTTTTGGTAAATCAAATAAGAGACCCCACTCAAGACCTTTGAAAGTCCCCGTCAATGAAAAAAATCCAGAAGGGTCAAAAGAGAAAGGCAGCTTTTAATCCAGTTTCACAGCAAAACCAGGCTCTTGGCTGCCTCCAAGCAGAATGCCACTCTCCTGCAGCTGTGGCCTCCATCCCAAATCATCCTGCATACTGCATTCTCTAAGGAAAGCATTTGACAAGAGAGGGTTTATGTATGGTGGATTGGGAGAAAGTGAGACTTCAACCTCAGGGTGAACCGAAGACTGGTTTGTCTTTGGTTGTTTTAGTATGAGGTTGGGCAGGATGATATGTTTGGATGGGTAGAATGAGCAGCCGCCTTCCTCTGAAACCAAAATAAAATAAAAACCAGTTTTCAAGATTCCTCCCAACTCCTCACTGGAGGCTCTGCCCTGCAGAATCACTCAAGTTGCAACAACACAAGGAGACAAAAATAGGATATTTCATGAAAATATAAGAAACTCCCAATTCCGTCCCATTAGGATGCCCTCAAGGGGCCATGCAGGGATCTTCCCATACTTCCTGCTTCCCTGATCTGAACCAAGATTGGAAAGAGGCAGGCAGCAGAGAAGATGCCCAAGAAACTCTGACATATCCACAGCTTGGCTCTGCCCCTTGGGCTTCACTGGGGTTTGGGCCTCCCTCTTGGTTGAGCTGAGTGTGCCTGAGTGGGTGGGGACAGGGAGGATTCTCCAGGTCTATCTTGATTTCATAGGTCCTTCTCAATCCAAGGTCAAAAACTGAGAATCTTATTTTCTGCACCAGGAACTCAGGGTTATCCCCAACCTATGCCGCTGGCACATGATGGTCATCCAACCTGTGTTTTTGTGAGTGAGTGAATGTGTGACTGGTTGGCCTCTGAGTGGATGACTGGATGCGTGAATGTGTGAGTGAATGGGGGAGTTAATGAATCCCTACCTAACTGTGAAGAGAAGAAAAATGAGGAGCCCCTCTCCCACTGAAACCCATAACTGCCCCATCAAGGTCATCTTTCTTTGACTCAAGATGACATCTCAATTTGATGCTTGTAGGCCCCAAGCTGATAAGGGCCACAGCCCTCTCAGAGCCACACTTCCTGGGGGCCCACAGAGCAGCTCTGCCCTCCTTCCTCTTCCCCTACCCTGCATTTCTCAGCCTCATGTTCTATTTTAGCTCACACACGACCCATGGGGGGGACCACCAAGTGGTTTTCCAATGGACTAAGCCAAGGGTTCGAAGTTGGGACTTCCTTTGGTCTGGGACTTCCTGGGGCAGAAACATAGGAGCCAACATCTGGAAACTGGATTGCATTCCCTGAGCCATGGGAGTCCAGCTGGATATTAAGGCCAGCCTGCCCTCCAGCTTTTAGAGCCGAAGATCTTTTTTTCTGAGCCCCAAAGCCGTCATGATAGTATGCCCCCAGATCCCATCAGCTAAGACCCTGTCTCTCCCAGGAACCCGTCGTGTGAGGTTGGGGCTTTTCTGCCAGTAAAGCCATTCTGATCACCTCACCCTTGACAGGGGCCAAGCCAATCACATTAGCCATAAATGACCAATGTCCTCAGCCACTCTTTTCTCGGGGGTGCATTCGTGGGTCCTATTCATCTCTCGTCAGTTAATGTCTCTAGTCCTTCCTGTAAAGGTGAAAATAAGCATTGCGCATGTGCGCAACACACACGCACACACACACACACACACACACACACAAATCCCAGTGTCTTTTTATGCATGTGGTGAGATGAAATTGTGATCTTTGTGTGACCTCCAGCTGCTGTCTTGTCTTGTAAAATATGTCCAAATGTTTAAGAATTTCTAAGCAAATGGTCCCTTAATGAAGTCTGCAGAGTTCAATAAAAGGTATGGAAAAAACAAGCCTGGAGGAGTTTATTTTTTGGAGGGCACAGGGAGGCGAGATGGGAAGCGCTGTAAGGGGACTTGAATCAGGAATCCTGTCTCCAGGCGGCATCAGCTTTCTCTCTTCCCCCCAGAAGAGGGAGGACATGAAAATATAACTGGCTTTTCACCCCCACTATGCAACCCAGTGGTAACCCATCCTACATGATATTCATGAATCAAAGTTCCAACTCTGGTCATTTAGTTCTCATGTCAACTATGCCTGGGCATCTCATTAAAAACTGTCTCACAATAGAAGGCATAAGCTCAAATGACTACTGGGGCAGAGCAGGTAACATAAATGAGTAAAGCAACTTAACTAAGAGACTTAAGGGGGTGGTGGTGAGTGTGATAAAAAACAGAACACACACCCTGTCTAAAGGGGTGAACACCATTCATCTCCAGCTGGTTGTTACCCCATAGGGATGTGGGCCCAGCAATATTAGATCTTTCTAAGAGAAGTCAGAAATCTGGATTTTTAAAGGAAATACCCAACTTTTAAATGTTAGCAACTATGGCTGGGCATGTGGCTCACAACTGAAATCCCAGGACTTTGGGAGGCCAAGGCGGAGTTCGAGACCAACCTGGCCAGCATGATGAAATCCTGTCTCTGCTAAAAGATAAAATAAATAAAAAATAAAAATAAATAAACATTAGTGATTAATTCCATTTTTTGTAGTCCTGTACTGGCCAAAGGAAATATATCTGTAGGCAGACCAGAGCCCATAGGCTACCTTTCTGTGATCTCTGCCTTACTGATAGGGCTCAAAGATTTCTATATTTGTTTTTGGGAGGTTTTTTGTTGTTGTTTTTGAAACATAGTCTCACTCTGTTGCCCAGGATGGAGTGCAGTGGCACAATCTCTGCTCGCTGCAGCCTCCACCTGCCGAGTTCAAGCAATTCTCGTGACTCAGCCTCCAGAGTAGCTAGGATTACAGGCATGTGCCACCACACCTGGCTAATTTTTTGTATTTTTTAATAGAGACAGGGTTTTGCCATGTTGGCCAGGCTGGTCTTGAACTCCTGGCCTCAAGTGATACACCCACCTCAGCCTCTCAAAGTACAGAGATTACAGGCATGAGCCACTGTGCCCAGCCTTCTGTATTTATCTACTGCTGTGTAACAAATTACCCCCCAAACTCTAGCAAGTTGAACCATTTATTATCTCATGGTTTTTGTGGGTCAGGAATTCAGGAGCATCTTTAGCTGAGTGGTTCTGGCTAGGGGTCTCTCACAAGGTTGCAATCAAGACACCAGCTGCAGTCCTCTGCTTGACTGGGATGGAAGACCTGCCTCTAAGTTGGCTGAGGAGGCCTCAGTTCCTTACTGGCTGTTGGCAGGAGGCCTCAGTTGCTCACCATGTGGACTTCTCCATAGGGCTCTTGAATATCCTCACAGCATGGAAGCTGGCATCCCCCAGGGGCAGTGGTCCAAGAGAGAGGGGTAAGGAGAAAGGCACAATGCGTCTTGTGGCCTAGTCTCAGAAATCAGAAACCATCACTCGCACCAAATTCTATTTGTTAGCAGTGAGTCACCAAATCTGGTTCACACTTAGAGAGAGGTAATTCTACCTCTTGGGGAAAAAGGATCAAATATTTTGTGGACATATTTTAAAATCATTACCTTTCAAAAGCCCATTGAGTGAAAAGGGTAGTTTCCAGACTTTAGGATTTCATAGCCCAGTAAAAAAAAAAAATTTATTCTTATTTGTCTAGAGATGTGGTCTCACTCTGACACCCAGGCTGGGGAACAGTGGTGCAGTCTTAGCTCACTGCAGCCTCGAAATCCTGGACACAAGCCACCCTTTTGCCTCAGCCTTCCAAGTAGCTGGGACTACAAGTACCTACCACCATGCCCGGATAATTTTTTATTCAGCTTAGAGAAGTGTATAAGGCTTGCTGACATTTTATTTTGCCAAGTAAAGATGTGGAAAAAATGACTATCATGTACTATATATTATCTTAGTAAAACAAAGGATATATCAAACCCATAAAATATACAACCTCAGAATAAAGACCATCCTGAAAAAAAAAAAACTTCTATTCTTTCTTTCTTTCTCTCTTTCTCTCTCTCTCTCTTTCTCTCTCTCTCTCTCTTGCTCTCTCTCTCTCTTTCTTTCTTTCTTCTTTCTTTCTTGAGACTGAGTTTTGCTCTGTCGCCCAGGCTGGAGTGCAGTGGCACGGTCTCGGCTCACTGCAATCTCTGTCTCCCAGGTTCAAGCAATTCTCCTGCCTCCTGTAGCTGGGATTACAAGCACCCGCCACCACACCTGGCTAATTTTTGTATTTTTGGTAGAGAGGGGGTTTCACCATGTTGGCCAGGCTGGTCTCAAACTCCCGGCCTCAGGTGATCCACCCGCCTTGCTCTCCCAAAGTGCTGGGATTACAGGCATGAGCCAACACACCCAGCCTTATTATGTTTTTTAATAGATCAAACCTTCTCAAATTCAGCACTACTGACATTTAGGGCCAGCTCTTGCTCTGTTGTGGGGTCTGCCCTGGGCACTGCAGGGTGTTTAGCAACATCTCTGACCTCTACTCACCAGATGCCAGTAATACCTCCCCCCAGTTGCAACAACCAAAAATGTCTCCAGAAATTGCTAGATGTCCCCTGGGGGACATCACCTCCAGTTGAGAAGAGGCACAAAATCTCAAATCCAAAAGATGCAATGAAAAGTGAAATTTCCCTTATACCCCTGGACCCCTGTCCCCCTGTCCCTAGAGGCCGCCAGTTTCTCACGTATCCTTCCAGAGATCATTTTTGCAAACACACACACACACACACACACACACACACACACACACACATACATATAACCGATGTGTAGCGTGCGTGTGTTGTTTTGTTTTGCTTTGATTTTACCCCATACAAATAGTAAGAGTGCCATATACACTGCTCTGCATCTTGCTTTTTTCATTTAATGTATCTTGGAAATCATTCTGTATTAATACACGAAGAGCCTCCTCATTCTTTCATAAGCCTATGTTGTGTTCTATTATACATGGTAATTGCCAGTCTCCTACTCCTGAACGTTCAAGTTGCTTTCAACTTTTGCTATAACAAACAGTGCTGAAATGAATGGCTTGTCAGCCGTTCCTCTGGGCTCTGCCTTCAAAATAGATCTGGGATCTGCATTTCTTGCTCCTCCACTGCTGCAGCTTGGGGCCAGGCCACCATTGTTTATTGCCTTCATATTGTACCACGTCCAGACCAGCTTCCCTATTTCTGCCCTTGATCTTTCAGGTTCTTCTCAACATAATGGCCAGAGGGGTCCTGTCAAGCTGTCAGTCTGATCATGTCACTTTGCCATCAAAACCTTCCAAAGGCTTTCTGTTACGTGTTAAATAAAGTCCAAAGTCCCTGGCTTGGTCTGCAAATACTTACATCCACTGGCTCCTGCATGCTTCTCTATTTCATCTCCCACAGCTCTCACCCAAGGGTGCCTGCTCTAACATCCCGGTCTCCCCACTCTTTCTCAGACACACCCACAGTGGACCCACCTAATGAAGTAGCCACATTCTGATCCCCTTCCAGTCCCCTCTGCCCTCTTTAATCTGTGTACAGAGCATTGAGATGACTGGCCCAAGATCACCCAGCTAGGAAGGGGCAAAATTGAATTTTTTTTTTTTTTTTTTTTTGAGACAGAGTCCCGCTCTGTTGCCCAAGCTGGAGTGCAGTGGTGTGATCTCGGCTCACTGCAATCTCCGCCTCCCGGATTCAAGCAATTCTCCTGCCTCAGTAGCTGGGATTACAGGCATGCGCCATCATGCCCAGCTAATTTTTGTACTTTTAGTAGAGATGGGATTTCGCCATGTTGGCCAGGCTAATCTCAAACTCCTGACCTCAAGTGATCTGCCCACCTTGGCCTCCCAAAGTGCTGGGATTACAGGCGTGAGCCACTGCACCCAGCCAAAACTGGGGTTTTAACTCAAACCTATCTGATTTTACCAGTTTACTGCCTCTACCAAAAAGATCAAGCATGATAATTCATGAGGCTGGCTGTGCAGGGTTTAAGAAAGATGGGGCTGGAACTCAATTGCCTGAGTTCAAAATCCTAACTGCTCCACTTACTGGCTATTGGCACCGAGGGGGTCTTTAGCATCCTTGCTTCAATGTCCCCATCTGCAAAATGAGACTAATTCACTTTAGCAACCGTTAGGTTTTAAGCCCCTCAGGACCAGTAACAGGATAAGGAGATCCAGGCAGTAATGTACACATGCAGGAGGTTGGATCCTATCTTTACTTGAAATGTTGATATTTTGTTTATGGGTTTGGGGCATTATTTTTTATTTTTTTAAATATTACAGACAGGGTACAGTGGCTCATGCCTATAATCCCAACACTTTGGAGGCCAAAGCAAGGGGATCACTTGAGCCCAGGAGTTGCCAAGACCAGCCTGGGCAACGTGGTGAAATCCCATCTCTATAAGAAATACAAAAATTAGGCTGGGCGCAGTGTCTCACGCCTGTAATTCCAGCACTTTGGGAGGCCGAGGTGGGCAGATCACGAGGTCAAGAGATTGCGGCCATCCTGACCAACATGGTGAAACCCCATCTCTACTAAAAACACAAAAATTAGCTGGACGTAGTGGTGCACGCCTGTAGTCCCAGCTACTCGGGAGGCTGAGGCAGGAGAATCGCTTGAACCCAGGAGGCAGAGGTTGCAGTGAGCTGAGATCGCGCCACTGTACTCCAGCCTGGTGAAAGAGTGAGACTGTTGTCTCAAAAAAAAAAATTAGCCAGGTGTGGTGGCGTGTGCCTGTAGTCTCAGCTACTTGGGAGGCTGAGGCAAGAGGATCTTTTGAGCCTAGGAGTTCAAGGCTGCAGTGAGCCATGATCACACCACTGCACTTCAGCATGGGTGACAGATCGAGACCCTGTCCCAGAAAAAAAAAGGCAGTAAAATGTTCCTTATTTCGATTTCTGAGGTTGTGGGTGTGTGTGTGAACATGATATGTGACATGGCATGATTCCTGAGTTTTTGGTACCCCCTTAAGTCTTGCATATTTTGATATTTTGGAGATGAAGCACTCAGCAAAGCAAATTCCTGCCTTCAAGAGACACACATCCCAGTGGGGGAGGCTGCCAATAAACAGATAAAAATATATGACACTTCTGGTGCTAAGAAGAAAAATGAAGTAGGGTAAAGAGACAGAGACATGGGGCTAAGAATAGTACCCCTCACACAAGAGTTGGTGTAAAGATTAAAAGAAATAATCCATGTGAAGGGCCTCGTACAGAGGCTGGCACCATATGTGCTATGGAAACATTGGCCACCGATGTGATTTCCATGCTGGGCTCGAGGTTCAAGACTCCGGAGCTCTGCCCCCCAAGAGCTTTCAGCATGGGGTAGCGTTTCATGAACTGTGTATCAGGACTCACTGGGGCAGCAGCTCTCAAACTCTGTGTGCCATGGACCCTCTCACAAATCCAGTGAAACCCACAGACCCCCTTCTCAGACTCAGAATAATATTTAAATGCCAATACATAAGGGTTTTTTTTCCTCACGCTCCTTTTTTTTTCTTTTTTTTTTTTTAAAGAGACAGGGTCTCACTCTGTCACCTAGGCAGGAATGCAGTGGCATGATCACGGCTCACTGCAGTCTCAGTCTTTCTGGTCAAGTGATCCTCCCACCTCAGCCTCCCAGGTAGCAGGGACTACAGGGGCTTGCCACCACACCCAGTTATTTTTTAAAAGACGGGGTCTCTTATCAATTTTGTAGAAACAGGGTCTCACTATGTTGCCCAAGCTGCTCTCCGAACTCCTGGCCTCAAGCAATTTTCCTGCCTCGGCCTCCCAAGTGCTGGGATTATGGGTGTGAGCCACTGCACTTAGCCAAATACATAGGTTTACAAAGGAAACCTACTGAAATGCAATTTTCAAAATATTTTAGATGTGTGATGTAGTAATACAAGTGCTTCTTTATTAACAAATTAAATAACAAGATCGGGCCAGGCCTGGTGCTCACACCTGTAATCCTAGCACTTTGGGAGGCTGAGGCAGGAGGATCACTTGAGGCCAGGAATTCAAGGCTCCAATGAGCTATGACTGAGCCACTGAACTCCAGCCTGGATGACACAGCGAGACCCTGTCTCAAATAAATAAAAAGTTCCAGCAATTAGTAACGACCACAATTTTGAGGTAGTGAAGATCATAAATGTTATTTTGAGACATCTGCAACAAACATAACGAGATACAAAACAATCTGTGATTTTTCTTCTAGAGACAAGATCTTACTCTGTCGCTCCAGCTGAAGTGCAATGGCGTGATCATAGTTCACTGCAGCCTTGAACTCCTGGGCTCAAACGATCCTCCCACCTCAGCCTCCTGAGTAGCTGGGACTGCAGGTGCATGCCACCACTCCCAGCCTGTGATTTTTGTGTGTGTGAAACATAATTACTATGAAACATATTACTATGATTTGTTGCCTATATTCATACCTAAAGGAAGTGCTGTATTTCAACTAGAGGTCAGTGAAAATAAAATTATATCGTTTTGTTCTATACAAGTTTGTAGACCCAGATTATGAACTCCTGCATTTGGGGGTTTTGACATATTTCATGGGTCATGACTAGCAATTTTGTAATGAAAGAATAAAATAGACTGGAGTAGAATAAACTAGAATCGAATCAAAGTCAGCATGCATTGCTCATAAAAGGTAAGTACAGATTCATGAAACTTTCATGTCAATTGTGTGTGCATGTGTGTGTGTTACAGGTCATGCTGCAAAATATACTTCTTCCTGCAACTTGACAGTCAAAAATATCTGAAACACAATGGTGTACAGGCACACAGGCCCAGCTCAGCCACTGCCACATTGCAGGCACCCGCAAACACCCCTGTCCTTCCCTCTGATCCCTGTCAGCCTTGGCTTGGTCCCTGTCTGCTCTCCTGCCCATGCACAAGTATGCACATCACATTCAAGCTTATAAAAGGCCACGTTGTCTGTGACTGCACAGCTTTCCCCCCTCCTTGGGGAGAGGAACAGGTGTGGCAATGCCCATGTCCTGAGCTCATCGCCTGTTTGAGGACCTATCCCTCCTGATGATCACATGGCCCCACAGCAAATATTAGGAGAGCCAGCTGGTGGCATGTCTGAAGGTGCCAGGCTGCAAAGGGTTGGGGCTAATGAAACCACCTCTGATGAGACCCTGTAGGGAACTAAGGCAGGGCAGATGTTTCTGTGCTTTTCTGTACATGTGTGCATTCTTATTCCCAATCCTAGCTATTGAAGGGGATAGCCTGGGAGAGGGAACGTGAATCACAAGAACAAACTTCTAAAGGAATCTACTCTCCAGTCTCCCGAGTGCAAAGGAGTTTGACATTCTGCAGATAGGAGGTGAATGAACTAATGATTGCACTCAGATGTGTGGGCAATTAACTCTGTACTAATAAGCAGGAAATTGGTAAAGGGAAAAGATAAGCTTTGTGTCAGGGGTGGGCGTGGGGGATGGGGAGCCAAGCTGCAGCTCAGCCTAGTGGTTCAGAATAGAAACTTTGGGGTCTGAAACATCTGAGTTCAGATCCTGGCTACCCCACTTCTTCGGTGTGTGATTTAGGGCCAGTCATTGTCTCTCTCTGCACCTTGATTTTCTAGTCTGTCAAATGGGGAAATAATAGCATCTACCTCAAAGGGCTGCTGCTGAGGCTTCGATGGAAGGATATGAAGTGCTTATGAACAGGCATTGAGTGAGTGTTCAATAGCGGTAGCTCTCATCCTAACCATCTCTATTATCCCACTGCAGCCTGGGGCCTAGCTATGTTCCTTAATGGGTATCTATGCCAGGTGCTGTGGCTCACACCTGTAATCCCAGCACTTTGGGAGGCCGAGGTGGGTGGATCACCTGAGGTCAGGAGTTCGAGACCAGACTGGCCAACATGGTGAAACCCGTCTCTACTAATAATACAAAAATTAGCCAGGCATGGTGGCACATGCATGTAATCCCAGCTACTTGGGAGGCTGAGGCAGGAGAATCACTTGAACCCGGGAGGCGGAGGTTGCAGTGAGCCGAGTTTGTGCCATTGCACTCCAGCCTGGGTGACAAGAGCAAGACTCTGTCTCAGAAAAAAAAGGGGGGCGGGGAATCTATTGTTCAGGCTCAGCATCTCACAGTGCCAGAAATAACAAAGAACATATAATCAAACCAGTTAACATTTACTCAGAATCTACTGGGTGCCAGACACTGCTCCAAGCACTAATTAGCATTTGCTAATTTCTTAGCAACAACCGTATGAAATACAACCTATGAAGTCATCATCAAAGGAGTCATCATGAAATTATTATCATCAATGACACTGTGAAATTACCACAATATTTAGTTTACAGATGAAAAACTGTATTCATTACCTATTGCTGTGTAACAAATTATCCCAACACTTAGCAGCTTAAAACAACAATCGTCACTTACATTTCACACAGTTTCTGTGGCTCAGGTATTTGAGAGTGGCTTAGCTGGACGGTTCCTGTACAGACTCTCTTGTGAAGTTGCAGTCAAGACAGACATCAGCCGGCGCCAGGCACAGTGGCTCATGCCTGTAATCCCAGCACTTTGGGAGGCTGAGGCAGGAGGATCACTTGAGGCCAGGAGTTTGAGACCAACCTGGGCAACATAGTGAGACCCTGTCTCTACAAAAATAAAAATAAAACTAGACAGGCATGGTGGTACACGCCCGGAGTCCCAGCTACTTGGAAGGCTGAGGTGGGAGGATAGCTTGAGCCCAGGAGCTGAATAATATTCCATTGTTAGAATATCCTTTATTATCTAGCTGTGGAAGTCACACACACTGTCACTTCCAAAATACCCTGTTGGTCCCACAGGTCAGCCCTATTCACTGCCAAAGAGGGCCACACAAAAGAGTGAGCGCTGGAAGGTGAGAGTCATTGGAGCCATCTTGGAGCCCAGCTATCACAGAGCCAAGGCCCAAGAGGTTTTGTGATTTACCTAAGGTCATGCAGCAGGCCAGGGACAGCCCCAGGATTTGAGCCCAGATTGTGTAACACCAGTGTGACGTGTGACCACCCTACTGTAGGTGATAACTACAGAGGTATCACCACCCCTCTGTCCACACCTCGGCATGGCTTCCGCCAGTAAAGGAAGAGGTACCTGGAGAAGTGGAGACCCCCTGGACAGGTTAGAAGGCCTGGAGTAGAGTCTCAATTCTTTGTTTGTTTGTTTGTTTGTTTGTGATAGAGTCTCGCTGTGTCACCCAGGCTGGAGTGCAGTGGCTCGATCTCGGCTCACTGCAACCTCCATCACCCAGGTTCATGTGATTCTCCTGCCTCAGCTTCCCAAGTAGCTGGGACTACATTGCACACCACCATGCCTAGCTAACTGTTGTATTTTTTATTTTAGTAGAAACAGGGTCTCACCATGTTGCCCAGGCTGGTCTCAAACTCCTGGGCTCAAGCGATCTACCTGCCTCAGCCTCTCAAAGTACTGAGATTATAGGCGTGGGCCACTGCACCCAGTGGAGTCTCAGTTCTGGCACTAATTCACCATGTGACCTTGGGCAAGGCACAGCCCATCTCCAGTCCTCAGGCTTTTTTTGTTGTTGTCAGGAAGAGGCAATAATAGCTACTTCCCACATTTGAGGTAAATAAAGAGAATGAATGCATCGTATAAAGCTTAGTCCACAGACCGATATGCAGAAATAATACATTAACTTCTACATTTTTTAAAAAAAAGTTTTTTTTAAACTCGGTAATAATTTCACGTGGTGCCCAATGGGAAAGATATAAAAGGATCTGCAAAGAAAATCTCCTTTTTTTTTTTTTCTTTGAGACAGGGTCTCTGTCACCCAGGCTGGAGTGCAGTGGTGCAACTACAGCTCATTGGAGCCTCAAATTCTCAGGCTTAGGTGATCCTCCAAGCTCAGCCTCCTAGGTAGCTGGGACTACAGGCATGCACCACCAGACCCAGCTAATTTTGAAGGGCTTTTTTGTAGAGACAGGGTTTGGCCATGTTGTCCAGGCTGGTCTCGAATTCCTGGACTCAGTTCAAGGGATCCACTCGCCTCAGCCTCCCAAAGTGCTGGGATTACAGGTGTGAGCCACAGCGCCTGGCCCGAAAATTTCCCTCTTACCCCATCCTTTGGCCACCCAGTTTCCCTCTGCAGAGGCAACCGCTGTTCCTAGTGTCTTGTTGAAATATCACATTTCTTTATTTCCTTAAAACAACCTAATTTCCAAGGACCTGCTGAGCTGGAGATAATGTAAGCTCAGCCCTTCTTGGGGCAGAGGAGCCTGGATCTCACCTGGCATCAAGACAAGGATGGTGGAGGGGGCAGGCACTTCTAGTTATCCATTATCTAGCCACGTTAGTGACTTTGGAGATGTGCCTTGTTCCAGGCATGTAGAATCCTCAGAGCCAAGTAAAGGGAGGAGCCGAAACCTGAGCGCTACATTACTCCAGTAAGTCCAGGGTGTTGGTCCTCAAAGCATTAAAGAGAACCTCAAAATTGCAAGCATGAAACTCCCCAACAGTGATGGATGGTGCTGCCTCTCACTGGAATAATATGCATTACTTAAAATTTTAACTGTGGACAGCATGGAGATATTAAAAGTTCTTAAGCTATAATGTAAAGTTAAAAATAAATACATTCTAGACACAACTAAGGTACTGCATCTTTCAGGAGGCTTTGCTCATCTTTTCTCCTATCAAAAGCTATTAGGTTGTGAAAAGCAATTGCAGTTCTTGCCATCACTTTCAATGGCAAGAACCACAATTACTTTTGCACCAGCCTAATAGGTCAGGTGCTTTTTCTGGGCTCCCACAGCCTTCAGAGCCTCCCCCATCACAGGTTTCACAGCACAAGGCTTTAACTCCCAGTGGCTTCAGTGAGCTTGTTAAACCAGCAGAGTGGGGAGCCGGATGGCCTGGCCACAATCTTGGCTCCTCTGTTTTCTAACTGTATGGCCTTGAGCAAGCTATTTCACCTCTCTGTGCCTCATGAACTGGTACAAATAATAGTTCCAAGGGCTGTAGTTAGGATTAAATGTGATGTCTCTTTGTAAAATCCTTGTCACACTCAATAAATGTTCGTTACTATGGTGTTTTCCTCTCTGCGCCAGACCACGAGTTCCATGCAGCCAACAATCTTGTCTTGTTTTTGTTTTTTTTTTAATTGAGACAGAGTCTCACTGTGTTGCCTAGGCTGGAGTGCAGTGGCACGATCTCGGCTCACTGTAACCTTCACCTCCCAGGTTCAAGCAATTCTTGTGCCTCAGCCTCCTCAGTAGCTGGGATTACAGGCACATGCCACCACACCTGGCTAATTTTTCCATCCTTAGTAGAGACAGGGTTTCACCATGTTGGCCAGGCTGGTCTCAAACTCCTGACCTCAAGTGATCCACCCGCCTTGGCCTCCCAAATTGCTGCGATTACAGGCGTGAGCCACCGTGCCCTGCCTCTTGTCTTTTTCTTAGCTGTGTTCCCAGCACCCAGAATAGAGCCTGGCACCAGGAAGGCACTCAGAAAGGGTTTGCTGAATGAGTGCAGGCATTCATTCCACAAATATTTATTAAGGTGCTTAAGAAATCTGTCTCTCTGAGCCAGATCCTAGGGGGACAAAGCTGAAGGAGACACGTAGTCTGTGCTCTAATGGGGTTTATACTCTCATGGGAAAGACAGCCAATAAATAAATAGGCAAATAAGTAAACAAGAAAATACAAACTATTGCTCAGTGTGATGGAGAAAATGAAATGGGTGTGATACAGAGTAACTGGAGAGTGTTTCTCCAGATGGGCAATCAAGGAAGGCCTCCCTGAGGTGCTGTCTGTGAGACAAGCCATGGAAGGAGCTAGCCACGGGATGAGCTAGGAGAACAACCTTTCAGGCAGAGAGCACGGCAAGTGCAAAGGCCCTGAGGCAGGAATGCTCTCAGGAGGCCAGCCAGACTGAAGAAGGATGAGGGAGGAGAGTGGTGGGCAGGAGCAGGGAGGTTAGCAGGGGTCCATCACGCAGCCCCTTGTCAAGCAGGATAAGCAGACTGGAGTTCCCTCTGAGAGAGTGAGCAGCCATTGGGAAGTTTCAGTGGGGGAGGGGTGACAACACCGCCCTTGCATCCAGGAGCTCCCCACACAACGAGAACAGTCCCAGCCTAAATCTGGAGGCATCTGCTTCTCAAGGCAGTGTCTGAGCTCAGCCTGGATGGCTGGGCCTAGGAGCTGCTGCCATCCATCCTTGTCTCTGCCACGTCTCAAGTCAGGCTCGAGTCCCCATTAATATAAATGAGGCCCTTTGCTGACTCGATTTCCAAATGAGTCCAGACATTCAAGCTCTCTATTCCAGGAAATGTGAAATTTATGTAACGAAAATTAAAAGAGAAAGCGGGGAAGCGCCTCCTTAAGTGCCTGCTTCCCGGGTAAGCGAGCCAGTTCTGTGTGTCTGGCAGAAGATGGATGAAGGTGCCATCAAGGGCTGCTGGGAGCCTGTGGCCATCAGGGAGGATGGGAGCAGGGTGGCCGGGGAGCCCCCTGGGTCCCCTTTCTTCCCTCAAAGAGGGAGCCATGGTAGGAATGGAAAACCAACATTATGTTCTCACTCATAAGTGGGAGCTAAGCTATGAGGATGCAAAGGCATAAGAATGATACAATGAACTTTGGGAACTTGCGGGGCAAGGTGGGAAGTGGGTGAGGGATGGAAAGCTATAAATTGGGTTCAGTGTATACTGCTCTGGTGAAGTGTATACCACTCGGGTGATGGGTGCACCAACATTTCACAAATCACCACTAAAGATGTAACCAAATACCACCTACTCCCCAAAAACCTATGAAATTTAAAAAAAAATTTTCTAAAAAAAAAAAAAGAGAGCCATGGTAATAATAGTTTATGTTCATTGCTGCATGTCTAGCCCTGTTCTGAGTACTTTACTTTCATGGATCATCTCACGACAGCATGATGGGGTAAGCACTACCATTTTTCCAGATGGGAAACTGAGGCTCATATTAGAGAAATGACTTGATCAAGGTCACAGAGCAAAACAGTGGCCATAACAGGACTCGGGTCTATGTCACTAATACTCACACAAACCCTCTTGTCCAGAGGTCAGACCATGTGGAATGGCAGAACGGCTCAGGAGTAGAGACCTGGGCTTGAATTCAAGCTCCAACTACCAACCTGCTGTGACCTTGGATAAGTCACCTCCCTCCCTGAGGATCAGTTCTTGTACAATCAGAGCCCCTTCCCCATGGGATTCATCTCTGAATTAAAGGAGATAATGTACAAAGATGCCAAGCACAGGATTTCAGCTTCCCTCTCAAACTGGCTTTTAAAAAGAAAAACAAGTATAAACTCACAGAATTGAAAAATCTTAGGGTAACTGACTTCAGGTGTGGCTGGATCCAGGGGCTTTAAAGATGTCATAAGGGATGAGTTTTTCCTCTCTCTCTCTCTCTCCATGTAGTAGACTCTCACTGGGAATTCCAGGGTTACAGAATTCTCACAGCTAGAAATCCTGATGAAAAGAGAGCTCTTTTTCCCAACAGGGCAGCAAAAATCCCAGGATTCACTCTGATTGAACCAACTTGGGTTAGATACTCGTCCTATAACTAATCTCTGGAGCAAAAGGGATGGAGTATGCTGATTGGGTCGCCTGGATCACACCCCCACCCCTGGAGTCTGAGGGAGGGGTACAGAAAGCCCAGGTGAAACCACTTGGACAGTAAAGGGAAGAGGCTAGGTTCCCTAAAGGAAAACTGGGGTGCTTTTACCAGAAAAATCAGGAGTGGCTGCCAGACCAGCACAAATGCCAGCTTATACTCTTGGCACATAGTAGGCCCTAAGCAAATGTCTGTTCAATGGAATGAGCAAATATCTACCCCCAGAGATGGTGGTAAGGATAAAATAAAATAATGTATGCAGAGTCCCTGGCGCACAGTCAGCACTCAATAAATCTTGTTTTAAAGGAACAAAATGTGTTCAGATTAGGTTTGGATTCTAGTCATGTGCTGATGAGCCCAGATGCTGGAAGGAGCCAGAAGGAGAGGCTTCCCTTGCCTCATCCCTGCCTCCCGCACATTCATTGCCCAACTCCAAGGCAGGGCGAGGACCAGCATTAAGAGAGTGAGGCACTTGCCTCTGATGCAAATGTAAGATGCACCCAAAAACTGAG
Source organism: Homo sapiens (assembly GCF_000001405.40). Lineage (NCBI taxonomy): Eukaryota > Metazoa > Chordata > Mammalia > Primates > Hominidae > Homo > Homo sapiens. Next base: position 49,349,744 of record NC_000020.11, on the reverse strand, counting down.
TAATCAAGAGAAATAATATCTTAATGCAATATTTTTTAAAAATCAATACTGAAGCAAAAGTCCATGAGGAATGAAATATCAACATCTTAAAGACATTCATATATACATATTTGCATATCGTTATATTTAAATATCCGGACACATACACGTGTGAACATTTTCACAGACATTTTACATTGATTTCCTTATATATATGCTCGGGGCCACTGCGCTGCACTACACCAGGGGGTCCCATTTCATGGCAATCAGTGTGAATGTCACTCCCTGAATTGTTCAGGCACAGCCTCTGTGACTGAACACAGCAGCTCTGTACATGAACAAACATGTATGTGCATTGCCACCCATGTGGACAGGCATAACCACCTATATGCCACCAATGTGTGCCACATAACATCACACACACAGACTTGCCAAGAGATATGACTACATGATACAGTCACATACATGCTCATGCTCCTGCCTCAGGGCCTTTGCGCTTACTGTTCCCTCTGCCTGGAATGCTCTTGCAAATAACCTGTGACTCCCTCTTTTACCTTCTTCAAGTTGTACTCAAAGGTTACTCTCTCAGTGAGGCCTTCCCTGACACACTCACATCCCCATGCATCAATTTTTCTAAAATTGCAACAGCTCCCCTGCAGTTGGAATCCTCCAGCCCTGCTTTCTTTTTCTTCTTATTGTCATCTGATATAATATCTATTTTCCTTTTTGTCATATTTAATGTCTATCTATCCCTACTAGAATGTTAGCTCTACTCTGCCAGGGATTTTTGTTTGCTTTGTTCACTGCTGTGGTCTCAGCCTCTAGAACAATACGTGGCATGCAGTAGGTGCTCAATAAGTATTTGTTGAATGAATGACAAAAGCCAGGGAAGTAGGGATCCCTGAGGATGATTGAGACCAAATTTCCCACTACCCCAGCAAGAAGACAACCTAGAGTCAGATGTAGATTGATGTCAAGAATTAAGGCACAATGCAAGGTGCATTGTAAGTGCCGTGAGACTATTATCTCATTTAATCCTCATAACAGTCCTATGAGGTACTACTGTCCACCTTATTTTACATTAGAGGGAACTAAGGCACCGAGAGATTAACTCACTTGCCCAAAATGCCACGGCACAGAAGAGGCAAAGCTGAGATTCAGACCCAGGCAGCTTGGCTCCACACAGCCCAGACACTACACACACACACACACACACACACACACACACACACACACACACACTTAGGTAGCATCACCAGGCCCTCCCAGCCTTCAAGCAACTCTCAGAAATGAGAACTCCCAGCCGGGCATGGTGGCTAATACCTGTAATCCCAGCACTTTGGGAGGCTGAGTTAGTCAGATCACTTGAGGTCAAGAGTTCCAGACCAGCCTGGGCAACATGGTGAAACCCCATCTCTACTACAACTACAAAAATTAGCCGGGCATGGTAGCACACGCCTGTAATCCCAGCTACTCAGGAGGCTGAGGCAGGAGAATCACTTGAACCCGGGAGGCAGAGGTTGCAGTGAGTCGAGATCGCACCACTGCACTCCAGCTTGGGCGACAGAGCGAGACTCCATCTCAAAAAAAAAAAAAAAACCAGAAATGAGAACTGCCTCCCCCCAAGACTGAGTGTTTAGGGTCCCCCCATTTCCCAGCCCCCACTCCATTGTCCCCACTGCTTCCCAGCCAAGAGCAAACCTGCGTCCCTGGTGACGCAGGAAGCTGTAGGCTGTCCGGTTGTCATGGCGACAGCCGCTAGCCCCTGTAAACAGTCTCGCCTCCTGGCTGCCTGGGTGAATCGCTCTCACCACCCTCAGACGCTGTGCTCTGGGCCTTGCTGCACACTTGACCCGTTCTTGGTGGCTGGTCGAGCCAAAGATCCAAATGTCTCTGCTGCTTCCCACCTGGGGGGTTGAGGGGACAGGGGGTGTAGAAGCAGAAAACCTAGGTCCTCATCACCCTTTCTGCCCCTTCTGGGCTGTGCGACCTTGAGGAGTCCCTTCTCTTCTCCATGACTCAGGTCTCTTGTCCCTGCTTTACAGGGTGGTCATGAGGAGTTGATGAATTCTTTTCTTCCTTCCTTCATTCATTCAATAAATAATTATCAAACATCTACCATGTGCCAGGCAATGGCCTAAGTGCTAGGGATATCACAGTGACCAAGGCAGACCTGGTCCTCTGGGAGATACACAACAAACCAGTTCTGGGAAGAAAATAATATAGGCGAATGTGTATGACAGGGGAAAGAAAACAGGGCTACTTTTCTTAGGCGATCAGGAAAAGCCTCCCTGAGGAAGTACCATTTGAGCTAGACCAAAAGGAGAAGATGGCCAAGCAAAGCGATGGGAAAAGAAGTATTCTAGGAAGCAAGTGCAGCGTGTGCAAAGGCCCTGAGGCAGGGATGACTCAGCCTATTTACAGGACAGAAGGCCCTTTTCTCAAAATAATGCTAGGAGGGCGGGCCCAAGGTGTGAACTCTGGTGCTGCAGGTGGAGGGAGAGAAAGTGGACATTGACAACGGCTGCTGTGTGGGACAGCAGAAAGAGACGCTTTCATAGCCAGCTGCCACAGGCGCAGCTTCCAGCTCCCGGAGGGGCAGCCCTCAGACTGGGGGTCTGAGCTTCTGCACCAGGATAAAGCAGAACAGTAGCAATAACAGTGCAACATATTCCAGATGCTTTGCCTATATTAACTAGTTTAATCCTTACTACCCTAAGAGAGAGGTTACTGTGATGATTAACAGAAAAGCTGAACACATACCTGGCTGCAAAGCCCATGATCCCAGCTACCATGCTGGAAGCTCTATAAATGAGCAAAGAGACTCAGTCCAAAGCCTCCAGGAGTGGTGGGGACAGTGGCGGATGTGGCCTGTATAGAGGACTCCAGCTCCAGCCCATGTGGCAGTGTGTGGGAATGCAGACTCACAGTGGCAAGATGTTCTAATTTTCTAAAATAAGCCAGACTGTTGTGTGAACTCTCCTGATTTTAAAACGTTGACTCTATTGTTATTTTAAATATCAGACGGTCAAATAAGACATAGCATCATTCTAGACCTCCAGATGAGACCAGCTGCATAATTTGTGGGGTCCAGTACAAAATGAAAATGCAGGGCCCCTTGTTCAAAAATTAAGAATGTCAAGCCAGCGACAGCAGAACGCTAAACCAAGCTCAGCATTCTTGTGAGTGTGGGGCCCTGTGCAAATGGCTGTGCATGTGCATGATGCCAGCTCTGCCTCAAACGTGGGCACTTCCTAAGAACTTGTTGAATTAAATGGAAGGAAGGGGCCGGGCACGGTGGCCCACGCCTGTAATCCCAGCACTTTGGGAAGCCAAGGCTGATGGATCACTTGAGGTCAGGAGTTCCAGACCAGCCTGGCCAACATGGTGAAACCCCGTCTCTACCAAAAAAAATACAAAAAATTAGTCAGGTGTGGTGGTGCATGCCTGTAGTTCCAGCTACTCAGGGAGCTGAAGTGGGAGAATTGCTTGAACCTGGGAGGTGAAGGCCGCAGTGAGCTGAGATTGCACCACTGTGCTCCAGCCTAGGCAACAGAGCAAGACCCTGTCTCTAAATAAATAAATAAATAAAGGGAAGGGAAAAAGGAAGGAAAATGAACATGTGTTGGCACCTACTATGCATCAGACATAGCTTTATAAAATAGCAACACTTTATAAAGCACTCACCACGTGCCAGGCACCGTAGGCATTAATGCATTTAAACCTCACAAGATGGTGCTCTTGTGAATCCCATTTTCCAGATGAGGAAATTGGGACTCAGGGAAGTAAAGCCACTTGGTCACTGCTAATACTGGGGTAGCAAGGGGTGAGGGAGAACAAATGGAAAAAATAAGAGGAAGACCAAGGCAAGAGGAAAAGAAGCCACCCCAAGCCTGTCTCCCAAGCTGGGCTGCACTCAGGTCTCTGCCAAGACCGCGTGGAATTTGGGGAGGCCGCCACACCCCGGAGAAGGGCCCGTGGCATTTCTGAATCACGGTGCCATCCGCCCCGGTTTGGCTTCTCTCCGGCGATCCAATTACTAAATGTAGCCGCATTCTTTAAAAATGTCTTTCCTCTTATGTAATGCAATAGTGACAAACGCCAAACAGATGGTGCTGTGACAAGCTTTTTAAAAGTTGATTAGGAGCTCATCTTTCAAAATTAATGTATGGGCATTTAAACAAGCTCCAGCCGGCCACAAAACTCAATTGAGAATCCATATGGGACAAATCGCTTGATGGACTGGCTACATTGACCACCTTCCCGGCCAGGGTTTGACGTGAAAAGTTTGGGGAATGGTAATAGCACGGGTCACGTTGACTTGTGAGCAATGGGCAAAAGATACCTGGTTTGGGCAGAGGGGAAAAATGCCTTGGGCCTCCCAAAAGCCCAGGAGGCTGGAGCCTCCTCAATCTATTTACCAAGACTTTTTTATTTTTTTTTTCAAAATTGTACATTGTCTTCGAGAGAGCGGACCGTCTCTCCCTGCCTCGGGAGGGAAGCGGGTTAGTCATAAACTATGTCAGATGCTGCCAGCGAGCAGCTTCACCCCCACCCTTTCTTCCTCAGTGTTCAGGGATGAGATCATTTCATTTGGAGCCAATTATAGACGGAGAATGCTGGGGATGTGCAAAGAAACCTCCTCAGAACCCTTCCCTCCCACATCACAGGCTGTACCCTGCCAGGATGGGCAAGAACAAGAGGCCAGGCGCCCAGCCCCAGGTTCGACCCCAGGGTTTCTGAAGGCCATGCATTCCTAAGCCTTAGCTTGGACCTGTCAAGCTAGGATGCCAGGCTGTTGGCTAGACAAACCCTGTTGGCCTCAAAAGTTCAGGGCTGTATGGGCCCTTAAAGATCATCGCTGTTCAGATGAGGAAACTGAGGCTCAGAGAAGGGAAGTGGCTTGCTCAAGGTCCCATGGCAAGTTGGCAGCAAAGCCACAGAGATGAATGGTGGCTTCTCTGCCACCCACGAGGAGGATGTCTGTGGCCTGAAACATTCCCAGCATCCATTCCCATTGCTTCTGATACAAGGGTCCCGAGTTTTCCTTCTTGGTTCACGTGGTTCAAGTAGGACTGACCATGCCTCCACTTCCAAGGATATGCACCTGACCCAGCACCGGCCAATCAAAACAGTGCATTCCCCCACCCTCCCCCCACCCATTGATTCAGGAATATGAACCAGGGGTGTGAGATGAGCCTGGTCAATAAGCAGCAACCCCAGACCTGTAGCTGAGACTGAGACCATTGGAAGTGAGATGCTGTCTTCAGCTTTGTGATGCAGAATGGGGAGGAAGAAAGCCTAGAGCTGCTGGCAGCCATTAGTGCCACCACAGGATGCCTACCTAAGCACAAAGTCAACAGAGAGGAGAGCAAGGCCAAAAGAAAGTGAGGCAGTGGCTTCAACCTTTAAACCCCTGGATCCAGCCATACCTGAAGGCAGTCTTATCCTGGATATTTTCTTTACATGAGTCAATAAATTATCCTTGCTCGAGCTGGTTGAGTTCTTTCACTCATTTCCCAAAGGGCCTTGACTGATAGACTTGGAGGTCCTCAGGTGTAGGACAAGGCTCCAAAACATAACACTGAGTGCTCCTCGTCTCCATCCCCAACACATTGCTGGCCTCTTCCCCAGAAGATTCCCTAAGTCCCTGCACAAGTTCCAGCAACACACTCCAAAGGGAGTACCCAAGGTAAATGTCCCATTTTATGGTACGCAAGAAACGGCTCTGCCTTCTGGGTACCCATAACCAAGCTGCTCCCCACCACAGCCTCTGCCTTCCTATTTCGTCAAGAGCACAAGCTTTGCAGTCCAGTTCAAAGCCCAGCTCCAACGTTTCCTAATCATGAGAACTTGGACAAGTCATGTGACTATCCTGAAGCTCAGTTTCCCATCTGTGAATGGGGAAAAGATCACCTACTTTACACGATCCATGAGAGGATTAAAACAGGCACCACCACTATTTAGAGGCTGAAAAAATGGGTAGCTACCAAGAGCTACAAAAAGTCTATCCTGCAGAGCTGGGGCAATTGTCGAGCACGGTGTGTTTGGGAAGACAGCACCTACACACATCAAATGATTTCCACCTAAAACAGCTTCCTGCAGCCAAAACAAGTGTACGGGTAGAGGCAGGGAATGCTGGCTGTGGGGTACGAGTCGGACAGCCCCTTGCTGGCCTCGTGGCCATCTGCTTCTTTCTCCCCTCCGCTGCCCCTTGGCCCAGGATTCTCGCCCCAGACCAGCACACACAGGTGCTACTGACATTCTCACCCAGTGATTCATTCACACTCCCAGAGAGCAGCAACAGACAGTGATTCCCAGGAGCGTCCAGAGTCCTGATTTAGGAAGGAGGATAGAGTAGCAGTAACATTTGAACAAGTTCCTGCCCAGTCCCAAGGACAGCTGAAAGATAAACCTCCTGCTCCAACCCCACCGCAGGGAAGCCTGAACCTGCCCGCTTAGAACCAGGAAGAGATTGAGCTATGATTCCCCCAAAAGGTTCTTTATTCATTACAGCGGCGCTTCCTGAAGCGGGGGACTCACATTTTAGGTCGTTTTACCCGAACCCAGGATGTAGCATTAAATAACTGACTCCAGTACTGATCCAGGCTACAAGATGGGAGAACCTTGAAAACATTCTGCCAAGTGAAAGCAGCTAGTCACGAAAGACCACATATTGTGTGATTCCATTTATATGAAATGTCCGGAATAGGCAAATCCATAAAGACAGAAAAAGATTAGTGATTGCTGAGGGCTAGAGGGGTCGGAGGAAGGAGAGGCTGCTAACGAGTACAGGGTTTCTTTCAGAGGAGGATAAAAATGCTCTAAATTGGACTGTGGTGATGGTTGTACAATTTTTTCTATATACTGAAAAGAATTGAACTGTACACTTTAAATGGGTGAATGGCATGGTATGTGAATTCACTGTTAAAAATGTTTATAACAACTGACTCCTAAAGGAAAAAAATTAGCCTCCTTTTAAGCCTTTTTTTTTTTTTTAATTTATTTTGAGACAGGGTTTCCCTCTGTTGCTCAGGCTGGAGTGCAGTGGCCCGATCTCGGCTCACTGCAACCTCTGCCTCGCAGGCTCAGGTGATCCTCCCACCTCAACCCCCTGAGTAGCTGAGACTACAGGCACCCACTACCACACCCAGCTAATTTTTGTATCTTTTTTTTTTTTTTTAGAGATGGGGTTTTGCCATTTTGCCCAGGCTGGTCTCAAACTCCTGGGCTTAAGCAATCCTCCCACCTAGGCCTCCCAAAGTGCCAAGATTCCAGTATAATTTTTCTAATTTGTCAAGGAGCAAGTCTCCATTGGCTATGAGTGTGTTCTTCCTATCACTCCACACTGGCTGGTTTCTTGTCTGAATCAGGAGAACAGGCTTCATGCTCAGCATCTTGAGCAGGCAACAGTGGACTTCTCTGGTTTCCATTGTATTTATTTTTCTGATTGTCTTTTTTTTTTTTTTTTTTTTTTTTGAGACAGAGTCTCATGCTGTCACCCAGGCTGGAGCGCAGTGGTGGTGCCATCTCGGCTCACTGCAACTCCATCTCCCGGGTTTCAAGCAATTCTCTGCCTCAGCCTCCCAAGTAGCTGAGATTACAGGTGCCCACGACCATGCCTGGCTCATTTTTGTATTTTTAGTAGAGATGGAGTTTCACCATGTTAGCCAGGCTGGTCTCAAACTCCTGACCTCAGGTGATCCACCCGCCTCGGCCTCCCAAAGTGCTGGGATCATAGGCGTGAGCCACCATGCCCAGCCTGATTGTCTTCTTAGTATAGCAACTGATCATTCATTTATTCATTTGTTTTTATCAACAAGTATTTATTGAGCATTATTGTGTGTCAGGCACTATTTTAGGCCCAGGGACACAGAAACCAAAACCCCTGCCCTCATGAGGCTGATATACTGTGCAGGGAACCTAAGCAGTAGGTGCAGCTCCTGAGTTCGAATCCCCACTCTGCCACTCACTAACTGCAACTTCCAGCAAAGTGGCCAAACCTCTCTGAACCTCAGTTTTCTCACATGTAAAATGGGGATAATCATTGCATCTAACTCAGAATCCAATGAGTGAGTATGTATAAAAGGCTGAGACAGTGCTTGGCACTCTTACGGGTGCTTAATAAATGTTTGCTATTATTGTTTATTTTATTTTATAATTGTGATAAAATGTTTCCTCTTTAAACATATATTTAAGTAGTTTTCTTTTCAAATAAATTTATTTGAGTAAAGAAAAGAAGGCTGGGCATGGTGACTCACACCTGTCATCCCAGTACTTTGGGAGGCCGAGATGGGTGGATCACTTGAGGTCAGGAGTTCGAGACCAGCCTAGCCAACATGGTGAAACTCCATTTCTACTAAAAATACAAAAATTAGCTGGGCATGGTGGTGTGCACCTGTAGTCCCAGCTACTAGGGAGGCTGAAGTGACAGAATCGCTTGAACCTGGGAGGCCGAGGTTGTAGCAAGCAGAGATTGTGCCACTGCACTCCAGCCTGGGTGACAGAGGGAGATTCTGTCAAGAAAGAGGGAAGGAAGGAAGGAAGGAAGGAAGGAAGGAAGGAAGGAAGGAAGGGAGGAAGGGAGGGAGGGAGGGAGGGAGGGGGGAGGGGGAGAGGGAAGGGGGGGAAGGGGGAGAGAGAAGGGGGGGAGAGGGAAGTGGGGGAGGGAGACAAGGGAGGGAAGGAGGGGCTGCGCACGGTGGCTCATGCCGGTAATCCCAGCACTTTGGGAGGTCGAGTTAGGCACATCACCTGAGGTCAGGAGTTCAAGACCAGCCTGGTCAAATGGTGAAACCCCATCTCTACTAAAAATACAAAAATTAGCCAGGCATGGTGGTGCACGCCTGTAATCCCAGCTACTCAGGAGGCTGAGGCAGGAGAATCGCTTGAACCCTGGGAGGTGGAAGTTGCAGTGAGCTAAGATCACCCCACTGTACTCCAACCTGGGTGACAAGAGTGAAACTCCATCCAAAAAAGAGAAAAGAAAGAAAGAGAGAGAGAGAGGGAAGGAAAGGGAAGGGAAGGGAGAGAGTTCATTAAAAAATTAAGTATACAATAAGGAGAATAGGGCAAGGGCCAGGAGAGTGTGTCTGGGAGATGAAATGTGGGAAGCCCTGAATGGGCAGGAGATGTCAGTAGGACCGTGACTCAGCTGGCACTGAGTGGAAGCATAAAGCTATTTTCAGTGTCAACATAACGACAAGGCTTGTTCCTTCAGTCTCAAAATTGCAGATTTCTCCCAACTCTTTGGTTCTGCGGGATCCCAAGCCCTGCAGTTTCCCTGCCATCCCCGAGGCTTTGGAAAGACGGTTAGGGGGTGCAGACGCTAGATGAAGACGAGGCTGTGGACCACAGGGCAGGAACAATGCCGGAGCTGCCCTAGCTTCTCCCAGGTCCCTCGGCACCGGGGATGGCTGGCCGCTTGCCACAGCCACATCTTGTTCCTGCAAGAGATGGGGCTGGCTCAGTCGAATGATGGCTTTCCTGGGCTCCAGGGATGTTTGCTTTCAGGGACCCTCCCTCTAGCTTGTGACTGCACTGTATAAAGACAAGTAAAATCCAGGCTGGATTTGTGATCCACTAATATTATTATTATTATTATTATTATTATTATTATTATTATTATAGCATCAGTTTTTTTCTTCTGGTTTTAAAAGAAATTAAAATTAAAATGTCTTTGTGGGCCCTAAAAGTGTATGGGCACTGGGCCCTTGTAAGTCACCCTGGGGATGGCCACAGAGCCAGCGACCCTCAGAGGCCACAAGGGCATTCCAGAGTCAGTTCTGAGGGTCTGGGGAGGTGGCTCGATCACGTCCCTGCTGGGCAAGGCTGGGCAAGTTGCTTAACTGCTCTGTGCCCCCTTTTCCTCCTCTGTTGAGGGGCCACACCACGGAGTGGCTAAGAGCACAGGCTCTGGAATCAGGTGGCGTTTGGGACCTGGCTCCTAGGAGCCTCTCTCTCCTCAGTGGAAGATGGAGATATCAATAATCTTTGCCCCTCTGAGGTGTTGGTGGGGAGGTCATCTGAGATGCTGTGTGCAAAGAAAATAAAAATGATCATAATAATAGCTAACTGACTGGGCGTGGTGGCTCATGCCTGTAATCCCAGCACTTTGGGAGGCTGAGGCAGATAGATTGCTTGAGGTCAGGAGTTCAAGACCATCCTGGCCAACATAGTGAAACCTCACCTCTACTAAAAATACAAAAATTAGCTGGGCATAGTGGCACTTGCCTGTAATCCCAGTTACTCAGGAGGCTGAGGCATAAGAATCTCTTGAATCTGGGAGGTGGAGGTTGCAGTGAACTGAATCCGTGCCACTGCACTCCAACCTGGGCGACAGAGCCAGACTCTGTCTCAAAATAATAATAGTAATAGCTAACTATTTCAGCAACAAGAATGAACCAGCTAATGCTGCAAGTGCAACCACGTGGATGAACGTTGGAAACCTCATGTGGAACAAAGGCAGTCGAATTCCAAAGAGCACATCCTGCGTGGTTTCACTGATGCAAAGTTGGAAAGAAACAAAACAAAACGAAATGAAATGGAACTATAGTGTTGAGGGCTCCACATCGAGTTCCTAAAGCTGGCAAGGATGTCGCACAATGGATCACCAGAGAAGTCAGGGCAGAGGCCTCCTTTATGGGGAGGGAGGGACTGAGGGAGGGGGCGTGTGCAGGTCTCGGGGGCTGGCCAGGCTCTGTTCCTTGCCTGGGCAGTGTCTACCTAGGTGTGTGACCTTCCCAAATGTTTGTGAACCTGTTCATATATTTTAAAGCCAATTTTCTGTAGGTGTAATCCAAATCTTTTGTAAAAATGCAAAATAATATCAATAATGACAAACACTGGGCCTGGTGCAGTGGCTCACACCTGTAATCCCCACACTTTAAGCCAAGGCAGGCAGATCGCTTGAGCCCAGGAATTCCAGACCAGCCTGGGCAACATGGCAGAACCATGTTGCTACAAAAATACAAAAATTAGCCCGGCATGGTGGCATGCACTGTAGTCCCAGCTACTTGGGAGGCTGAGGCAGGAGGATGGCTTGAACCCAGGAGGTGGAGGTTGCAGTGAGTCGAGATCGTGCCACTGCACTCCAGCCTGGGCGACAGAGCAAGACCCCCATCAAAAAAATAGAAAAAAAAAAAAAAAAACACTGATTAAGCGCCTCCCACGTGGTACCAGGCACCGTTGTAAGCCTGTAAGCCCAGTACGTGGCAGATAATAAGTGTTTTACAAATGATAACATTTTAAAGTTACTATTATTATTGCCATCATCATTATATAAAATGGAGTTCATGTCCCTTGTCTAAAAGTGCCCCTAAGGCCTAACTGTGAACACACGTGTGAAGCACCTGCTTGGTGCGTGCCCAGCACGCAGTAGGTGAGTGGCTCATGGCAGATGTTCCTTATGCTTGACCCAAACTCAGGGATACTTCTTAAGCTAAATAAACCCTCCAAAAATTCCCAACTGATAGGCTAATCCCTCTCCAGGCCCATGCCCTTGGCACGCCCGCTCTCACAGCTGCCCGTGGAAAGAATTCGGCTGACGGCTCATGCCTCTCCTCTCTTGGATCCCCCTGCTCCGCCAGTCCTTCCTGGTGAGCTCATGCCCCCATGAGACCTTCCGTCACCTGCTCTGCCAGCCTGGCCCCAGGTGGGGAGTGTGGAGAGATGCCTGTCTCGGACACAGCCCTGGCTCTCCTTTCTGTCCCTTCCCATTCCTGGTGGGTACTGTGGCCCCTGGGACCCACATCTCAGCCTTGCCAAAGTGCCATGTTTCACATCCCAGAGTATTTGTGTCCAAAAAGAGAAATTTGGGATTAATCAGAGTCTTAAGACTAGAAAGTGTTTCCAAAAATTGATGAATAAACTGAAGCTCTAAAAAGTGAGCGCCTATCCCAAAGAATGAAACTCTAACAGTGGAATCTCAGGTCTAGGACAAGTAAGCGGGAGGGAGGTTGGAAGGGAGGCTGGCAGGAAGGGCCACCCTATAGTGTGATAATATTGTTGGACGTGTATTTACTGGGAACCTACTATGTGCCAGGTTCATCACATCCATTACATCTCATTTTCACAAACTACGTCTTATTATATCTATTCTGCAGATTAGAGATAATGACAGCAGCCCCCACTAGTGGGTATCTACAAGGGGTCAGGTGCTGTGCAAAATTGTGGGTGCTCCCCACAATCGTACGTGGTGGTGACTGTCCGGGTCACGTGCAGGCCTTGCCCAGAGTCACATAGCCAATCAGGGCCAGAGGTGGAATCTGAACCCAGATCTGTGTAATCCAATGCCTCCTGCCTAAATGCGTTTCTCCCTAACACCCTAACTGGCCTTGGCATTCCCTGTTCTAAGTTTACAGTGATCAGGGCTGCTTAATTTTTAAAAGAAGGAAATTAACACCCTTGGAAATGGTAGAACTCCCTGTACAGACCCCAGAGAGAGCTCATATTCCAACAGTGTGATAATCCCTGCACCGGAAAAGCATGTTCAGTAAGAAACAGTCTAGACTAGAGTTTAGAGCTTGGCTTGGGGGTCTGAGCAGTTCAGGGTCAAATCTCATTTCTGCCATTTGCTAGGTATGTGACCTTGGGCACCTCTTTGTATCTCAGTCAACTCATCTGGAAAGCAGAGATCCTAAAAGTATCCATGTTAGATTCTTGCAATGTTTCATTGGCATACGGTGTGTTAGTGTGACTTCACCTCCTTCTACGCTCTCCCTCACTCACTCTGCTCCTGCCCAATGGCCTCTCTTGCTCCTCAGTGCAGCAGGCACGCTCTACCTCAGGGCCTTTGCACTCGCCGTCCCTCTGCCTGGAAAGCTATTCCTCCAGAGATCCACATGGCTCCTCCCTCATTTCCTTTGGGTGTCCGTCCAAATATCACCTCCTTTCTGTTACCCTCCTTGATCAGGCTTTTAAAAATAATGGCTGGGCACGGTGGCTCACACCCATAATCCCAGCACTTTGGGAGGCTGAGGCGGGCAGATCGCTTGAGCCAAGGTGTTCAAGACCAGCCTAGGTAACATGGTGAAACCCCGTCTCTACAAAAAATACAAAAGTTAGCCAAGCATGGTGGTGCATCCTGTAGTCCCAGCTACTCGGGAGGCTGAGGTGAGAGGATCACCTGAGCCCAGGAGGTTGAGGCTGCAGTGAGCTGGGATTACACCACTGCACTTCAGCCTGGGCAACAGGGCAAGACCCAGAAAAGAAAAAAAAAATTAACAACCCCCAGGACATCATCCTTACTCTGCTTTCTCTCCTAACATTCATCTCCCATCTGACAAATTATAGATTTATTTGCCCGATGTCTGCCTCCTCCCAGCATAAGGGAAGGGACCTTACTGTCTGCATAAGGGAAGGGACCTCAGCTGTTTTCTTCACTGCAGAATCCCTAGTGCCCAGAACAGTACCTAGCACATGCTCAACACTGAATGAATGAAGGAATATAAAGAGCTTGGAATAATCCTCAACTCATAGGAAGCGCTCAATCGATGTAAGCCAGTATTATAATTAGTATGTGTGAAGTGCTTTCCAAGATACCCTCACCCCACGGGAGGCAGTCTAGAGGGATAATGTAAGCCAAATCTGGGTCAAACCCTGCTGTGTGACCTTGACTAAGTCACACTGCCTCTCTGAGTTGGTTTGCCCATCTATAAAATGAGAGTAACCAAATCTGGCCTTTAAGGGACTCGTGAGGGTTCAATGACCATGCAAGCTCCCTTTTCTTGGATACTTTCTGGATGTCAGAAACTGTCCTAGGTCCTCACCTTGCACAATCTCACTTAGCCCTCACCCCTGACCGATGGGGAAGTCCTCTCATTATCTGTATCTTCAGATGAGGCACTTAGTGATCCGAGAGGTGATGAGATTTGCCCAAGTTTACACCACCGGAAGTGGCAGGAGTCCGGCTCCTAACTGGCTGGTCTCTTTGGACCCTGGGATTGGGACCCTGCTGGCCCCCGCCCTGGCCAGGGAGCAGCATCTCTCTCCCAGGGTGCTATCTCAGGCAGCAGAGATGCCCTGGGCTCTACAGCCACACCTGCCCATGCCCGAGTCCTGTCGCTCACCCTTTGGCCCCACCACCGTCCCCGTAGCAGCGCCGGCTCCTGGTGTCCTGGGCAGGCCATTCACTCCTCACACAGACCGTGTGGCCCTGACTCAGATACCTTGTCCACTGGGCATGGGGTGCCCTCGCCTGCCCGCAGCTCCCTGGAATGGACCCCAACTGGAACTGGACACAGTACCTGCAGCCACACAGGGAGATACCACCTCAAGTACCCATGAGCATTTATGAAGCACCTACTGTACATCCAGCCCTATCTTAGGCCCAGGTTGGTACAATTTCTCCCTGATACAGGAATCTTTTGTGCAACCCAATTGGCCTCAACAGGTTGCATACAACAAGATTCAACTTCTGCTTTTCAAGTTAACATTATTCAGGGTTTACCATGTACCAGGCAGACCCTATTCTAAGCACTTTATCCAAAAGACTGAGTGTTTTATTTCTCATCTGTTTTCCCCATTAGAAGGCTGGCTCCATAATGCCAGGAATGTTCATTTGTTTTGTTTACTGTTGGGTCCAACTCCTAGAATTATATCCAGCTCAGTTTTTAAAATGTTAAATAAGTCATTGGGGCCGATGGAATATGGAACCCCTGCAAGGTAGGTGTTTCCCCTAGTTTACAGATTAGGAAACGGAGGATCAGAGAGAAAACTCGCCCAAGGCCACATACCTAATAAGCAGTGGGATGTAAAATGGAACCATCTCTGCTGAAAATAAGCCTAAATAGATACTCTTAAGCTCTCCACTGTGTTTTTTCTTTTCTTTGTTTGTTTGTTTGTTTGTTTGAGACGGAGTTTTGCTGGTGTTGCCCGGGCTGGAGTGCAATGGCACAATCTCGGTTCACCGCAACAAACTCCACCTCCCTGACTCAAGTGATTCTCCTGCCTCAGCTTCCCGAGTAGCTGGATTTACAGGCATGTGCCACCACGCCTGGCTAATTTTGTATTTTTAGTAGAGACGGGGTTTCTCCATGTTAGTCAGGCTGGTCTTGAACTCCTGACCTCAGGTGATCCACCCACCTCAGCCTCCCAAAGTGCTGGAATTACAGGCGTGAGCCACCGCGCCCGGCACGTTCTTTCAAAAGATCCTATTTTATTAAAAAGATTTGCCACAAAAAAAAAAAAAAAGAAAGAAAGAAAAAGAAGAGAAAAGAAAAAGATTTGCCTCAAAAAAAAAGAGGGAAAAAAAAAAAAAAAAGGCCAGGCGCGGTGGCTCACTGCAGTGGCCAACTTGATGAAACCCTGTCTCTACTAAAAATACAAAAATTAGCCAGGCGTGGTGGCTCGCGCCTGTAGTCCCAGCTACTTGGTAGGCTGAGACAGGAGAACGGCTTGAACCCCGGAGGCAGAGGTTGCAGTGAGCTGAGATGGCGCCACTGCACTCCAGCCTGGTCAACAGAGTGAGACTCGGTCTCAAAAAACAGAAGAAAAAAAGATTTGCAATGAGAATTCTTTAAAAGGAAAGCCCCCCCATTCAAGGGTATCTGAAATAAGACCCAGAATTTGCCAAATTTTACTTCCACCCAACTTTTTCTACAAGGAGCAGTAAATAGCACCCCCTGCTGGAGGAGACGCGGCGTGTCAAGGACTCGTGAATGACTCTGTGTGAATCTGCTGCCCCCTGGTGGCCAGAGGAGCCCACGGTTTTCTTCCAGGTGCAGCCGAAAGCCCATCCCCAGTCCTTCCCTCTCTGATCTGCCCCCATATCCCCTCGGGAATCTGTCCCCTACCAGAAGTCTGTGATAACTAGAAATTGCGTCTTCCCCATACAATTTCTCTTCCCCTTTTGGCAGTTTGTTTGGAAACTTCTTGCCCTCGCCCTATGGTCTTGGAGGGGCCATCACTCAGCCGGCCTGGCCGTGGCTCCCACAGCTGCCACTAAGGCGGGTATGTGATTGGAGTTGACCGACCAGAGTTCCCCATCTTCCTGGCCACGACGACTGGTTCAGGGATGGGCCCAGGATCCAAGCAGACCCAATCGGGGTCTCCTCCAGATATGATCCGCTGAGACTTCCAAGAGGACACTTTTGGGGTTACTGATCTGGGAGGATGTGGGGCTGCTTATCCCCACAATCTCTGCAAGATGCCCATCTTGACCACCACAGGGAAAGAGCCTGCTTGAGAATAAAGTCAACCCATGGAGCGAGTGACAGAAAGAGAGGGGACGAGAGCCAGCCCTGACGGCCTTACACACACCGTTGGCGCCAGCCCTGCTTGAAGTAATGTTATTTCAGAACTTCCCTCCCGGTTATCTAAACCAATACTTCACCTTTTCACTTGACGCAGTCTGAGCTAAGTTTCTGTCACTTGCAATCAAAAGAATCCTAACCCTTTTAGTTCTCCTGTCCATCTCCATTGCCACTGACTTAGTTCAGACCTTATTCTTTCAACTGATATTTACTGAGTACCTATCATGAGCCAGGCACTGTCCTGGAAATTTGACCTCAGCTCCGCGATCCCACAACACGCTGATCTGTCGCCAGTCCCCACAATCCATCCTTCACAAGGTACGACGAAACCACCCTGGTCCAAACCACCTTCTTCCCTCGCCTGGACCACTGCAATTGCCTCCTCATTGGTCTCCCGAGTTACCCCCTTGCTTCTCCTCTATCCATTGTCCAAGTAGGATCCCAAGGAATCCTGTGAAGACTTAAGTCAGATCATGTCACTCCTCTGCTAAAAACCCTACCATGACTCCCACCTCATGAGAGAAAGTGCGCAACTCCTCAACACAGCCTACAGGCCCCACAGGATCTACCTCCTACCTTGTTATCTTTTCAACCTCATTTCCTACTCTCTCCCTGCACTCAAACTATACCCGCCTTCTTGCTGATCCTTGAACACACTAGGCATGCCCTGCCCCAGAACTTTTGCACTTGCTGTTTCCCTCTTCCAGGCACACTCTTCCCCCAGATCTCCTCCTCCAGATCTTAGTTCAAATGTCACCTTCTCAGGGCACCCCTACCCCCTTCCCTGCTTTATCTTCTCCATGGCACTTAGGCTCCAACATGTTATTTGTTTTTTGTCTCTCTCCTCCCACTAGACTGTCCACTCAATGAGGACCAAGTATTTCTGTCTTTTTTGTTCCTTGCCATAACCCAAGGACTAGCACAGTACCTGTCACATAGTAGGCACTCAATCAAAGTTGAATGAATGGGTGAATGAATGAAGTTGAATGGAGACCAATCATTGGGGACTTTAAAATCCATGTTAATGAGCTTGCAGGTGTAACAAGGTGACAAACGGGGAGATATGGATGTTGCCAAAGTAAGAGAAAGACGTGATAAATGAAATTTTGGGCCGGGCACGGTGGCTCACGCCTGTAATCCCAGCAATTTGGGAGGCTGAGGCAGGCAGATCACCTGAGGTCAGGAGTTCGAGATCAGTCTGGCCAACATGATGAAACCCCGTCTCTACTAAAAATACAAAAATTAGCCTGGCGTGGTGGTGTGTGCCTGTAATCCCAGCTACTCAGGAGGCTGAGGCACAAGAATGGCTTGAACCCGGGTGGCGGATGTTGCAGTGAGCTGAGATCACACCACTGAGCTCCAGCCTGGGCAACAGAGCAAGACTCCATCTCCAGAAAAAAAAAAAGAAAAAGAAAAAAAAGAAACTTAGTTCAAGGAAACATGTTCACAAATTTTAGTTTGACTTTAGGTTGATTGATTTTCACTTACCCTGCTGTTGCCTGTTTCTTGGGACTATCTCACTTTTCCCACTCTTTCCCGTAGCTGCCTGTGGTTATCAAAGCAGGGACTGTGGGTCAAGGAGAAAACAGAGTTAGGGCGGACCACATCCCAGGCTATGGCACCATAGGGACACCGAGCTTGGTACCTCTGGTATCCAAGTCACTTACAAGACAGCCCTAAAGAGACTGTAGGATCTTTGAACTGGGTAGATAATCCCTACCAGTGCCCTTTATAGTGCTGGAAGCAGGATCATAGTTATCTCTGAGACTTCAGGGCCTGGTGTGGTCTCAAAAATTCTTTTTGAATGAATGATTTGCTGAATGAATAAGTGAATGATTTTTTTAATAGAGTAGATAAAAGAGTTAGTCAGCCAGGAGCAATGTCTCATGCCTGTAATCCCACCATTTTGGGAGGCCGAGGGAGGAGGATTGCTAGAGCCCAAAAATTTGAGACCAGCCTAGGCAACATGGTGAAACCTCATCCTGCAAAAATTAGCCAGATGTGATGGCGTGCACCTGTAGTCTCAGCTACCTGGGAAGCTAAAAGGGGAGGATCACCTGAGCTCAGAAGATCAAGGCTGCAGGGAGCCATGATTGCATCACTGTCCTCCAGCCTTGGGCAATACAGCAAGACCTAGACTCAAAAAAACAAAACAAAAAAAAAACAGAAAAACAAACAAACAAAAAAAAAAAACAAAGAAAAAAGAGTCAATAACTATCAGCACCATAGGAAAGGCAAAAAATTAATTAAATAATTTTAAAAGAAGAAAATAAAATGTTTAAAGTCAATGACTAAATGAATAAATGGATAGATAGCTGAAATGATGGAAGAAAGGAAGAATGGATGTATAATAGGTAGATAAATGGGAAGATGAGAGGCTGGAAGAAAAGGAGAGACAGAGAGATGAGTAGAAAGATGGATGGGTGGAAGAGAGGATGAATGGAAAGGATGGATGGAGAGTTGACAAGTGGATGGATAGGTGAATGAATAAAAAATGGATGGGTAGATAGATGGATGGATAGCTGGATGGATGGATGGATGGATGGATGGATGGATGGATGGGAAGATAGAAGAATGGAAGAAGGTAGAATGGAAGAAGATAGAAGAATGCAGAGAGATGAGTGGAAATGGCTAGATGAACGAGTAGATGGATGGATGGATGGATGGATGGATGGATGGGAGAATAGATGAATGAGTGAATGTAACAATGGAAGGATGGAAGAAAGGAGGTATAGGGGGATGGATTGATAGAAAGACAAATGAATGAATAAAATTATTTTACTTGGCCAGCTTCCAAGTTTCTTCCTTTCTAGATCAAACAGAGGAGAACATAGAAGAGAATTGATAATCATTTCACAAGAGGTTCGTGATTCCTTAGGAATCCCTAACACACAGCCTCCCTTCCCTCTTCCAACAGCTGTAGTTGTACTTTTGGTGTCACCTAGAGCAGTAAGGAGAGCCCCAGCTAAGCCCAGGTTAGTCCCAACTCCCCTTGTTATAGCTGAGTGACCTTGATCAAGTTACTGCACCTGTCTGAGCCTCATTCTTCTTAACTGCAAAATGGGGATAATATCAGTATCTACATCCTGGTGTTATTGTCAGAATGTAATGTAACATTGGTCGAGGGTCTGGCACAAGGCAGGTACTCAGTGAGTGTTTCTTCCCTTTGTAATTTGCTTGACATTGTTAGCTACTGTGATGCAGCTGTTGCTCTCATGCTATGGTGAAGGGACAAGCCCTCAAATACAGAGGTGAGATGTTTTGAAAGAAGATTCAAGGGATCAGTCATAAAGATCAGAGCCTCATGGCTGTAACGGTGAGCAAAGAAAATAATTCAGCTGCTGTTTATTGAGCACTTATGTAGTAGGTGCTCATCATATATCACCTTACTACATTCTGACAGCACTTGGGGAGGCCGAGGCAGGTGGACCACCTGAGGTCAGGAGCTCGGGATCAGCCTGGCCAACATGGTGAAACCTCGTCTCAACAAAAAATACAAAAAATTAGCCAGGCATGGTGGCGGGTGCCTGTAATCCCAGCTACTCGGGAGGCTGAGGCAGGAGAATGGCTTGGACCCGGGAGGAGGAGGCTGCAGTGAGCTGAGATTGCACCATTGCACTCCAGCCTGGGCAACAAGAGCAAAACCTTGTCTTAAAAAAAAAAAACAAAAAACAAACAACAACAACAACAACAAAAAACAGTACAACGAAAAGATTGTAGGTGGGTGATATCAAAGGTCAGAATGGGAGGGTCCTGGTCCTCTAGTCAATAGCCATGTGACTTGGACAAGCTTTGTCACCTCCTTGAGCCTCGGTTTCCCTGTCTGTAAGAAGAGAATAGTAACACTGACCTCACAGAGTCAGGTCATGTGGTGAGGCACTTGGCACATATTAGCAAGTCAGGATGATCTTCCCGATCTTCCTCAGGGAAACTGACATCTTTACAGGAAGTGATGACCCAGGAATGGCTGGATGGGAGTGGCTGGGGGTAGGGAGAAGGATTTCAAGCAGAGGAAGCAACACTCCCACTTTTCATCACCCCACTGCCACCTCCCTGGTTCAACCACCATAGTCTCTTGCCTGAACCATTGCAGCCACCTCTTCCCTAGGCTCCCTGATTCCCTCTGACCCCTCTCAGTCTGCTGTCCACATAACAGTCAGAACGACCTTTTGATTGATTGACTGATTGATTGATCTCTAGAGACAGGGTCTTGTAGTGCAATCAGTTCACTACAACCTCAAACTTCTGGGCTCAAGTGATCCTCCTGCGTCAGCTTCCCGAGCAGCTGGGACTTCGGGTGTGCGCACCACCACAAATATCCTAGGATATTTGCTGGAACTATGGGGAAAGAGGCCTTCTCTTCAGCTGTTAGGCTGGTTAGAGGGAAGCCTGAAGCTGTCAAAGACCATTACAGGGAAAAGCCTGCCTGAGAATGAGGCCAACTGAGAGGAAAACAGAGCTGAGACATGGAGAGAGATTCCTGGCAACATTGCTTGAGCTCCTGGATCCAGCCATGCCTGAATGCAGCCCCTGGAATTTTAGTTACAGGAGCCACACAGTTTTGCTCAGTTCAGGTTAAGTTGGGTCTCCTATCACCTGCATACAAAGTCCTGACTGATTCACACAGGGAGAGGAGCAGAAAGAAGACTGAGAAGCCCAGTGGAGTTCAGAGCTTCTGAACTCATTCACAAGATGAGAAGGGGGATCAGGGCAAAGGAAGGCAAAGCCCCATTCCAAACTCAGACCCTACCCAAGAACTCATGGAGGGCCCTGCAGTCCAGCCTGACTGTTCCCACTGAGAGCCACCCCTGGGGCCCATCCCCACTCATGCAATGACTGCTGGCACTCCACTCCCTGGTGGCTCCAGTACTCCACACAGCCAGCCCGCTCTTCCAGCAGCGGGAAGGGGACACCCCCATTCCTCGGCTCCTGCAGGACACGCCTCCGGTGTACATGGTAGGAGACCTGGCAGGTTTCACACAGCGACTGCAGCCACTCCACTGTGCCACAGTGCAGGAGACTGCTGGAAGAGAAGGTGGTGTCTGCAAGGGAGACCTCTGTGGGGTTTAGCTAGCCAGCATCCAGGTCTTCTCCACCTTCCCCACAATCTGAACCCCCAAAACACCACACCAAGTGCTAGAACTCTTGCAAACCTCAGTCTATGCCTTCCTTGAAAGTTTCCCTATGACAACTCTTCATATGTTCACCTAAACTTAGAATTCCACCTTTATCCAATCATCTTATTGATGATCACTTAGGTCGTCTCCATCACTCATTCCTTCAATAAACATTTCCTAAGCACTTAGGGCAACTGATGCTTCAATTTCTTCTTTTGTCAAATGGGAATAAGAATAGTATCTAACTGATAGGGTGGCCTTAAGGGTTCAACCAAATATGAAATATAAAGCATTTGCTCCCAGCACATAGCAGGTGTTTAATAAGCACTAACTATTCCTCTACATCAGTGAAAATGAGCCACAGCTACACTGTCAGTAACCTGAAGGGGAAATAAATTACTTGCAAAAGGATTCACATGTCTAATGTGATGCTTTTTATATACAGTCTTGTTTGTTTGTTTGTTTGTTTGTTTGAGACGGTGTCTAGCTCTGTTGCCCAGGCTGAAGTGCAGTGGTGTGATCTCGGCTCACTGCTACCTCTGCCTCCCAGGTTCAAGCGATTCTCCTGCCTCAGCCTCCTGAGAAGCTGGGATTACAGGCACCCACCACCATGCCTGGCTAATTTTTTGTATTTTTAGCAGAGAAAGCGTTTCTCCATGCTAGCCAGACTGATCTCAAACTCCTCACCTCAAGTGATCTGCCCACCTCGGCCTCCCAAAGTGCTGGGATTACAGGCGTGAGCCACTGCGCCTGGCCTATATAGTTTTTTAAAACTGCAAAACGGTACTATAAAGTATTTAGGCATTCATACAGGCATAGTAAATACATATATATGCAGCCAGTCCTCATGATTTACAGATTCTGTATTTGCTACTTTGCTTATTTGCTGAAATTATTTTTAACCCTAAAATCAATACTTGCAGCACATTTATAGTTACTCACAGACAAGCGAAGATTAGTGAAAAATTTGAGTAACTCAATGTGCAGGTTCCAAGCTGAAGTTAAACAGGGCCCCACTCTGTCTTCTTGTTCCAGCTTCATACAGATGTTACCAGAGGACAGAGACAGTAGGGACAGGTCTATGTAGTGCAAGAAGCTCCAGCCCTGGGCCAGTTGGATGGGGTTTGAATCCCAACTCCAGCAACTGTTAGGGAGGCAGCCTCGGGCGAGTCTCTTAACACTTCCTAACACTCTTTGGTAAAATGAAGAAAATGGAATTGACCAGGATGAGTTGTTTTTAGGATCTAAAGTATAAACTAAGTGAGATATGTGTGTACATATTTCCCCTAGGGGCCATTGGTTAATTCAGTATTGGTTAATTCAGTCTTTGTGGCAACTTTACAGAACATAACTACTGTGAATCACAAGAAAGTCCTGTAGCCAGGCGCTATTACTCACACCTGTAATCCCAGCACTTTGGGAGGCCAAGGCAGGAGGATCGCTTGAGCCCAGGAGTTTCAGACCAGCCTGGGCAACATGGTGAAATCCCATCTCTACCAAAAAAGAAAAATACAAAGACTAGCCAGGTATGGTGGTGCACGCCTGTAGTCCCAGCTACTAGGGAAAGTGAGGCAGAAGGATCACTTGAGCCTGGGAGGTAGAGGTTGCAGTGAGCCAAGACTGTGCCACTGCATTCCAGCCTGGGCGACGGATCGAGATTCTGTTTCAAAAAAAAAAAAAAGAATGTACAGTGTATGTTTATGTACATAAACACACACATACCCCCATATATGCATGGGAATTTTAAATGTCAAATTCAGCATTGTGACAATCTCTGGGGAGAGTGGGACAGCAGGTGACTACAGGAGGGAAACAGACACTGCAGTGGCAATTGTCAAGGTTTGTTTCTTAGCTTTTCCCGAGGGTTTGTTGTATTATCTCTCTACATTGGTGGTGTATGTCGGAAATATTTCATCATCACAAAAGGAACGTGCTGGGTTCCCCCATCCTTGAGGTGCTTCACATGTCTACCACAGGTGGTATTTCTAATGATGTCCCCGCTGGGACCGACACTTCTTCATTCCAAGTCCACACTCCCAGATCAGGACCAGAGCAAATCAGACAGGGAAAGGCAGTCTAGCAGAAACGGAATCTGGGCACTTCCCCAGCGAGAGACTTTCTACGGATGTGCCAGCAAGTTTTGTCAGCGGCACACACACACATTTGCTGCACATGCAAGGCGGCCACCACTGTCAGAATTAATTCACTCATACCCCAAATATTTACCAAGCATCTGCAGCGAGCCCAGAACTGTCTTGGGTGCTGGAGACACAGCGTTTAACAAGAAAGATGAGGTCTGTCTTCAGGAAAAGCCCTCCCAGCTATGAGACATGTCCTAATTCAGCAACGTGAAAATGTGAAGAGGGAAAAAATCATGTGCATCCTTGATGAAGGAATGGCGTTATTGTGCCAAAGACAAGCAGCAGTGCCTCTGGAAGGTCAGGAAGTCACATATTCTTTGCATAAATCTCAGAGGTTTAAAATTTTTTTCTTGGAGCAAACAATCCTTCAATCTGCCCATCTTAGCAGAGTTGAAAAGCTCAGAGGGAAGGAAGGAAAAAGAAAGAAAGGAAGGTAAACAAGAGAAGAAAGGAAACAGAAAGAGGGAGGGCAAGAAGGAGGAGGGAGGGGAGACACCCAGTGTGGCAACCTAAGACTGATCAAGTGCTTTCATCATCCATCTAATAACCCCGTTCATTGTGCTTTGGATGCTAAACCAAGCAAGTCCCATACATGACTTCATTTAATCCTCACAACAGTCTCCTGAAACTCTGTACTCCCTCTC
This sequence comes from Homo sapiens, assembly GCF_000001405.40. Taxonomy (NCBI): domain Eukaryota; kingdom Metazoa; phylum Chordata; class Mammalia; order Primates; family Hominidae; genus Homo; species Homo sapiens. The sequence goes on along the minus strand of NC_000020.11, from coordinate 49,325,610 downwards.
CATACTCAACCCCCAGCAAGCCTGTGCATCTCCCAGCCTCTCCCTGGCTGCCAGTAGAGTTGAACCAGTGGGGAACACCAGCGGGGATGAGAGGAGCAGAGGGCAGGAGGAGAGTGCACCCAAGGTGTTTATTGTCCCCCATTTTGGGGAAGGGGGCCCTTGGCTGCAGATCCTACTCTCACAGGCTCCAATAACACCATTTCCTCCTGTCCTGTACTGCTGCCCCCACCTCTGTGAATAGAGCCCTTGTTTTCTATTATACCCTTCTGGGGGTACCATCTGTCACTTGCCAGGTCCCCAACTCCTAATGTGTTTGCACTATTGTCAAACCCAGCTCAGAGATGAGGCCACTGGGGCTTAAGAGGCAGAATCCCTAAGTTGAGCCAAGGATGTAGAGTCAGACAAACCTGGATTTGAACCACAGTCTCGGGTTTGTTGCAATGGCGAATGCAAAGCACTGGCCATACTGTAAATGCCCAGTTCAATGGTCTTTATGCATTCGTTCAACAACAATTTAGGACCTACTGTGTGCAGAGCACTGGGCTGGGTGCTGGGAACACAGATGACCAAAACAGGTACAGCCCTGCCCTCAAGGAGCTGACATTCAGTGGGGGAAACAGACAATAAACAATAACATGCAACCATGTAATTTCAACTAGTGATCTGTGCTTTGAGAAAAAACAGCAGGTCAAGAGTGGCCAGGGTTGAGAGAGAGGCAGGGAAAAAAAGAAAGAGTGCCAAGGGTGGTGTAACAAGAAACTATTTTAGGCAGGAGTCAAGGAAGTCCTCCAAGACAAGGACATCTGAACAGAGCCCCCAAGAAAGTGATGAAGGGAACTGTGTAGGAAGGGAACTGTATTCCAGGCACAAAACAGGCAGTGCAAAGTCGCTGAGGCAGGGTAAAGGTAGGATATCAGAGGGACAGTGAGGAGGCCAGTGTCGCTGCAGGAAAATAAGCCAGAGGAAAAGTGGTAGGAGGTGACATCAGAGAGGGAGGGGACAAAGATAGCATATAGGGCCTTGAGGACTGTTGTAAGGAGTTCAGATTTTATTCTAGGCATGACGAAAAGCCATTGCCGAGTTCTGAGCAGAGATGTGACGTGGTGATACCAAAGGTTTCAAAAGGATGACTGCCCATCTCTCTGGGTGGGGGTGAGGGCAGAAGCATGATGGCTCCTGCGGTTTCCCAGGAGAGAAAGGATTATCTACAGTAGAAGAAGCTGCTAGAAGAATGAGTTTTGTGTCACTGAAAGTGTTCACAATGTGGCTAAAAAACCTGGCAGGAAGACTGCAGACCAGATTCAGGCACTGGCTGGACAGCTGGACCAAGGGGTATCCCCAAAGTCCACCACGATCTCCTGCCCTGCCTGCCAGGCAGGTGAGAGATTTTGCGGAAAATTAGGCAGGCACCACCCTGCACGTGTTCTACCCGTCTCACTGGCAGCACGCACACAAGAGGGAACCATCATCACCCCTCGCATAGGCCCAGGATCACAAACTCAGTACATCTGTGGTTATTCTCGTAGTGTCTGCCTCCTCCATTAGAGTGTCAGCTCCACAACAATAGGGTCCTCATTTGTCATGTTCCCTGCTGTATCCCATCACCAAGCACAGGGCCTGGCACACAGCAACTCAGGAAGTGATGTGCCACTGAACAATGAGTGAGCAAATCTTGCCTTAGCAACAACAAAGGAAATATAACCACAGGCTGACATTGCAAAAAGGCAACACCAGATAGCAGTGTTTCTCAAAGCAAAGCCCAGCCCACTTTTCCTGACCAAAGAAGAAATTCTAGCTTCCCAGCCTTACAGAAAGGGGTAGGGCGGTGGTAAGGCTGCTCACTGAGTCCTGGATACCCAGATGACATCGTGCCAGCTGAGCCTGCCATGGCCAGACCACATTTCCCACAGACCCCTTAGAATCGCTTCACCCCACCCTTACAGGCCCAGGCTCATGAAGGAACACCTTTTTTTTTTTTTTTTTTTTTTTTTAAGATGGAGTCTCTCTCTGTCGCCCAGGCTGGAGTGCAGTGGCACCATCTCGGCTCCCTGCAACCTCCGCCTCCCAGGTTCAAACGATCCTCCTGCCTCAGCCTCCGGAGTAGCTGGGACTATAGGCACGTGCCACCACACCCAGCTAATTTTTGTATTTTTAGTAGAGACAGGGTTTCACTATGTTGGCCAGGCTGGTCTCAAACTCCTGACCTTGTGATCCACCCACCTCAGCCTCTCAAAATGCTGGCATGAGCCACGGGGCCCAGCCAAGGAATGTCTTTCTGCATTATCCAAACCCCGCTTTCTCCTCTGAACCACACTGCCCAGCCTCCTTACCATCTGCCCTCCTTATTGTCTACCAAAAGGATTTTCTAGAATACAGTTCTGGCCTGTTCCCTGAAATCCCTCAGTGGTTCCCATCTCCTATTGAGGGGGTTCACGAAGGATCTTTTTTGACAGTGGATCATAGATGGAGACCCCCAAGCTCAGTGGCTAAAAATCTACATTTTCCTGCAACTCATCCACAGTCATTTACCGTGCCCTCCTCCTATTCAACATCTCAGCACACTTTACCCAAAGTTTCCCAAAGCACGTGGTCTCCCACAGCTGAGTAGTACCCTCCCAGCCTCCTTTCCCCCATCTTCTGGGAATACCACCTCAGTTTTCTTCTGAGAAACCAAAACTCCCCACTCTCAATCCACATGGTTTGGACAGGGCTGATCGCACCCTCTCGTTCCTGGTATGAGGCAGGTGACCCCCACATGGCCAGTTGATATATTCCTTCTCCCTGGGTTCAGTGATTGATTGGGTCAGCAATGACCATTTAATCCAAACTGAGCCCATGAGAACCAGCCCTGGGATTTTGGCTGGAACTGGGGAAAAATGCTCTCAATCCATTAAGGATGGCAGTTTACAGCTACTGTCTTTGACCACTAGCTTTGCTACCACTTGGTGACAGCATGCCTGTAAATGAAGTTAACACAAGAAAAGCCGAAGAATGGAAAGAGATAGAGTCCTGATGACATCCTTGGAGCCCCTGGATCCAGTCATGCCTGAAGCTCTGGAATCCCTGGGTTGTTCTTTAGTTACCTAAGCCAATAAATATCCTTGTTAACTTAAGTTAAATTGTGTCACAACCCTAAGAGTACTAAGTCTACAGGAAACACATAAGTGTATATGTAGGGACATCAACCATACAGGGTTGAGATGATATTTAAGAAGTATAGAATACATGGAAACATTCTGTAAATAACTTGGAAAATACAGTGGTGTCTATCTTTCAAGGCCTTACTAATCACTCCAGCCCCACTCTCTCCCTGCCTCCACACCATCCTCACCAATCATTTCCAAGCTTCACCTTGCTCAGACTGAAATTATTTATTCCTTTCCCAACTACCTTGTCTCCCAAAAATAGACAATAAGCTTGAGGGGTACCAGAACTCCAGCCTTGCTTCCATCCCCCAGTGCTTCTAGCTGAATTGGGCACACAGAAGGTGGCCACCAATTGTAATTGAGGCTGGGTGTGGAGGCTCACACTGGTAATTCCAGCACTTTGGGAGGCCAAGGCTGGAGGATAGCTTGAGCCCAGGAGTTTGAGACCAGCCTGGAAAAGATGGTAAAACTCCATCTCTACAAAAAATACAAAAAAAAAAAAAAAAAAAAAAAAAAAAAGCTGGGTGTGGTGGCCCACACCTGTAGTCCCAGCTACTCAGGAGACTGAGGTAGGAGGATCACTTGAGCCTGGGAGGCAGAGGTTGCAGTGAGCCATGATTGCACCACTGCACTCCAGCCTGGGTGACACAGTGAAACCCTGAAAAATAAAAAGAAAGGAAGGAAGAAAGAGAGAGAGAAAAAGAAAAGAAAAGAGAGAAGGAAGGAAAGAAAGAAAAAGAAAAAAAAAGAAAATTTTAATTGAACTAAATGGGGAAGATGTCAAGGGGTCTCCTTACACCTGTAGACTCAAGCTTCCCTCTCCTAACATTCTTGAGTCTCTGCCACCCTTGAGCTGCTATACAATATTGAGATCTGGAGTCAGACTGCTGGAGTGCAAATCCCAGATCTGCTGTTTAAGAGCTGTGCAACCCAGAACACGTCACTTAACCTCTCTGTGCCTTAGTTCCTCATCTGTAAAACAGACATGATAACACTGTTCCATAGCGTTATTATGAGGCTTAAATGAGACAATTTACTTCAAGCACTTAAAATAGTACCTTCCTGACATTTGGTATTTCATAAATATTAGATTTGTTGTTTGCGGATTTTGTTTGTTTTTTAAGTCATCTTCAACATCTCCCTCTATTACAATTGATCACTTAAGGCAGTTGACTTTATCTCCTAAAAATAGCCCATGAAAAAAGCAAATACTTCTCTACATCTTTTGCCTCCTAACTAGTCCCCTCCTGCCTGCTCCCCTGGGAGGTGGAAAGTGAACTTTTCCCTGCGTCTCTTCACAAGACCCTGCTCCAGATAAGGAGGCAGATCCCAAAAGAGCAAAACAAAGGTGAAAGCAAAGCTTTGAGGCTCCTGGTTCCTCCAGCCCCCACTCCGTATAGAAAGGACATCTCTTGGGAGGGGCTAACATTGTGTGATTCTGTGGGTGTCGGTCAGACCATGAGAAAGTATCACTGATGCCTTTGCCTGGACCCATCCTGGGCCCCCACTCCTGCGCTGTGGCAGGGGAGCCCCTGTTGGTGGTGCTAACCTGGGACTTCAGCTCCAATCAGTACAGACCCGCGGCTGCATGAACTCTCTACACAGAAAACCAACCAGTACAAAAGCACCCCCAGGCAGTCCTTCCCCAAATTTAATCTGGAAGGAGTTCTCTTTTGCCTATGGCTTGAGAAGACACCACATCCAAAATTACTTTCTCATCTCACTGCTGCCTGAATTTCCAACGTTGGCCACTCCTGGCAGCAAGGAGCTAGAAGACTCAGAATCAGACCCAGCTCCTCCACTGGCTGGGAATTCTTGACTGCCCAAAGCCCTCTCCTCTCTGAGCCTTGCTTTTCTTGACTGCTAAACAGGGATGTTATTCCATACCTGAACCCCAGAGGGCAGGGAGAATGTATTCAGGTTCCAGGGGACATCCAGCCCAGCTTCTGGGCACAGAGGGATAGGTGATTAATGGATGTTAGGTCCCTTACATTTTTATTTATTTATTTATTTATTTATTTATTTTTGAGACATGATCTCGCTCTGTCACCCAGGCTGGAGTGCAGTGGCATAATCATAGCTCACTGCAGGCTCAACCTCCTGGGCTCAAGTGATTCTCCCACCTCAGTCTCCTGAGTAGCTGGTGCTACAGGCAGTCATCACCATTTGAGGCTAATTTTTTTTTAATTTTTTGTAGAGACTGGGTCTTCCAATATTGCCCAGGCTGGTCTCGAACTCCTGGCCTCAAATGATCCTCCCACAGCCTCCCCAAGTGTTGGGATTACAAGCATGAGCCACTGTGCCCGACCCATTATGCATTTTTTTAAAAGCGCCCTCTCTGTCTTTTAAAACAAATTTCTGAAGGAAGCTCTAGTGATATCACACGGTAGAGGGGCCCAATCAATCACTTTCCTCCCTGACATAGGAAAGTTGGGTCATAACCGTTTTACAGGGTGACAGAATTTAGATTTTTTTTTTGTCTCCAGTGGGTGTGAAAACTTTACTTCTGGGATTTAAAAAGGATAGAGAGCCAGACATGGTGGTGCGTGCCTGTCATCCAGCTACTTGGGAGGCTGAGGCAGAAGAATCGCTTGAGCCCAGGAGTTCGAGGCTGCAGTGAATGATGATCGCACCACGGCACTCCAGCCTGGGCGACAGAGCAAGGCTCCATCTCTAGAAGAAGGGAGTGGGGTGGCGGGGGGGGAGGGGATAGGCAGCGTCCTTCCCACTAATGACTCAACTAAAATAGCCCTTAATAGAGCGCTGTGGGTACCACTCTGGAGGAGCCTTTACCAGGAATGCTTGGACTAGCCCGGTGGCCACGCCCAGCACGCGGACCACAGATGGACTTCACCTGCGTATCTGTCAGGCCCCTCGGCTTCTGGACCCGCCTGCCTGAGTTCTAACCAGCTTGGACACACTAGTTTTGGAATCACTCAGACCGTTCCGCCTCCGCTTTGAGCGTCTTTCCATCCTTGCTCTCCAAGCGTTAGCCCTTTTCTTGGTTTCTCCATGCTCCTTGTCACCTTCTCCATTCGCCTTGTGACCCCTCCGCCCGAAAGAAGCTTGCAACCCCTCCTCCCTCGCAGCTCTCTTGGCCCCGCGCCCGTCCCCAGCTGGGGCTCTCAGATAAAATACAGGACTCCGAGTTAGATTTCAATTTCAGAAAAACAACAAATAATTTTTTAGTATAAGTATATCCCATGCGATATTTAGGACATATTTTTCTCTAGAAAGATTTGTTTATCTGAAATTCGAGTTTAACTGGGTGTGCTGTATTTTGATTTGCGAAATCTGGCGCCCTACCTCAACCCAAGCGCCTCCCTCCCCTCGAGGCCCTCCAAGCTTCACGACCCCCCCGACACCGCTTACTGGGTGCGCTCCTTCCTCTCTCGCACCAGGCGCTCTCCTTCCTGCCTGCGCCTCTTGTGCTCATTTCCCTTCCACCGCCTGCGTCCCGCACCTGGGCCGAATCCTCCACCTTCCTGCCGCCCTTCAAGTCCTGTGAGCAGTCCTTGCGCCCCTCCTCCGAAACACCCCTCAACTCTCCACGAGTCCCTCTCCTTCAGGTCCCCCGAGATGAACGCACCCAGGTTCATAACCTGCGCGTCTTTCTCGGCTCGCAGCTCCACAGCCAGTGCTTCCCCTTTAGGTCCTGAGTGTCTGCGTCCCTCCTTGCCCGCGCGACCCCCTGCACGTCCCGTCTGCCCCGCGGCGCACCCTTCCAGTCCCCAAGCGCCGCGCCCCGCCCTCGGCTCGTGTGACCCCTCCAAGCCCAGAGCCCCCTAGGTGCTGGGCTCCCTTCCTCCGCTCATCCCCCGCCCCAGCTCCCCTCCGCTCCGAGCGTTCCGCTAGTGCCTTGCCTTTCCCCGGGTGCACCTGGGCAGACCCGCGTATAGTCTGCGCAGCAGTCCCGCGCCGCGCCGCGCCGCACGCTTGGTCGCAGAAGCAGCGCGGGGGCCCGCGGGCGACAAACATCGGGTCACGGCCAGGACAGCAGCGGCCCAGCGCGGCGGAGCCCTGCCAGGGCAAGAGCACGCCCAGCGGCCCCCGCTCCCAGGCCCCCGTGGCCACCGCGGCCAGGACGAGCGACAGGGACAGGATTCGCGCCACGCCACGCATGCCCATGGTCGGGCTCAAGCTAGGTACCGGGACGCCAACGGAGACAGATCTTGTGTAGCCTGCCTTGAGTTGGGGGCGGAGGCTCCCAGACCCGACCCCTCCTCGGACCCACCTCCTACCTGTCACCGAGCTGATGTCCACCCCGATTCCTACCGTCCAAACTTTGCGCAGCTCTTTGTAGTGGTGAAATACCCAGATATGGTCATAATAATCTCAACAACTTTGCAGAGCTCCTCATTGCCTCCAGGTTCCAGGAAGACAGGGGCGATACAGCCCCTATGCCATTAATTGTAATAGCAAAAATACCAACCGTAACTGCTAATATTATTAAAATAGTAGTAACCGCCATAATAATTGCCAGGGAACCAGGCTCTATGTGTCATCAGTATTGCCCAAACCTGAGGCTCTTGGGTGCCCTTTCATTTTTTCACCATATTCTACCACCTTGGCTATTATTTCCTGGGTGTTTCTCTTTAAATGGACTTGCTTTTTAAACTTAAAGTAATTTTATTTTTTTAAATGCCACATCACTCAAGAGAATGAGAAGACAAACCCACCAAACCCACAGAATGGGAAAAATTATTTGCAAAAGACACACCTGATAAAGAACTGCTGTCCAAAATATATAAAGAACTTTTAGAACTCAATAACAAGAAGACAAAAGACCTCATTAAAAAATTGGCAAAAGAGGCCAGGCACCATGGCTCAGGTCTGTAAAATCCCAGCACTTTGGGAGGCCGAGGCGGGTGGATCACCTGAGGTCAGGAGTTCGAGACCAGCCTGACCAACATGGTGAAACCCCATCTCTACTAAAAATACAAAAAATTAGCCAAGTGTGGTGGCGGGTACCTGTAATCCCAGCTACTCAGGAGGCTGAGGCAGGAGAATCCCTTGAACCCAGGAGGGGGAGGTAGCAGTGAGCCAAGATTGCACCATTGCGCTCCAGCCTGGGCAACAAGAGCAAAACGCCGTCTCAAAAAAAAAAAAAAAAAAAATAGGCAAAAGAACTAAGCAGATACCTCAACCAAAGAAGATATACAGATGGCAAATAAACATATGAAATGATGCTCAACATCACCTGTCGTTAGGAGATTGCAAATGAAAATACTAATGAGATAACACTACATGCCTATTCAAAGGATTAAAATCCTAAACGCTGGTGAGGACGTGGAGCAACGGGAACTCTTTTTCATTTCTGGTAGGAAAACAAAATGGTATAGCCATTGTGGGAGACAGTTTGGCAGTTTCTTACAAAATGAAATGTACACTTACCATATGATCCAATATTCATGCTCCTTGGTATTTACCCAAATGAGCTGAAAATTTATGTCCACACAAAGACCTGCACACAGATGTTCCTAGAAGTTTTATTAATGATTCCCCAAACTTGGGAGCAACCACGATTTCCTTCAGGAGGTGAATGGATAAATATACTGTGGTAAATCCAGGCAATGGAATATTATTCAGCACTAAAAAGAAATAAGCTATCAAGCCACAAAAAGACGTGGAAGAAACTTAAGTGCATTTTATTAACTGAAAGAAGACAATCTGAAAAAGACTACATACTGTATGATTCCAACTACATGACATTGTGGAAAAAGCAAAACCATGAAGACAGTAAAATTATCAGTGGTTTCCTGGGGTTAGGCTGGAGGGAGGGATGAATAGGTGGAGCACAGAGGATTTTTAGGGCAGTTAAACTATTCTGCATGATACTATAATGGTGGATACATGTCATTGTACATTTGTCCAAACCCATAGAATGTGCAGCACCAAGAGTGAACCCTAAGGCAAACTATGGGCTTTGGATGATAAGGATGTATCAGTGCAGGTTCATCGATTGTAACAAATGTACCACTGGTGTAGGACCTTGGTAGTGGGAAAAACTGAGGGGTGGGAGGAGCAGGGAATATATGAGAACTCTGTACTTTCTGTTCAATTTTGCCGTGAACCAAAAACTTCTCTAAAAAATAGTCTATTTTAATAAGAAAAGGAAAGGAAAAAAATATATCACTACTATAAATGGAAAACCAGCAATATTTTTCATAAAGAGAAGAGACCAGGCACGGTGGCTCACGCCTGTAATCCCAGCACTTTGGGAGGACGAGGTGGGTGCATCACCTGAGGTCAGGAGTTCAAGACCAGCCTGACCAATGTGGTGAAACCCCATCTTTACTAAAAATACAAAAATTAGCTGGGCTTGGCAGTGGGCGCCTGTAATCCCAACTACTTGGGAGGCTGTGGTAGGAGAATCACTTGAACCTGGGAGGCAGAGGTTGCAGTGAACCAAGATTGTGCCACTGCACTCTACCCTGGGCAACAAGCAAGACTCCGTCTCAAAAAAAAAATAAAAATAAAAAAGAGAGAAGGAAGGAAGGGTAGAAAGATAGAGGAGGTGCAAGGATGACACTGTAAGTGAGCTAAATCCTCATGTATTGGAGCAAAAATCAATAGATAACACCTAAAGCTGATAAATCAATGAATGGCTACATTCAAACATTATTTAGCTCTATGGAAATAAACAACTAGAAGAAATCGCTACACAGGCTAGAAGTGGTTGCCATGACAATTAAGCATATGAAGATGCTCAACCTTCTAACAATATATTTCAAATGTAAAAGTGCAGAGATACATTTCTTACCAATTCTACAGCACAGATTAAAGATGTTGATTTTTATTTGAATAGAATTGGGGAAGGTGTAGGGAAAGGGGCACTTAAGTATGAAGTCTGCAAACAAGAACATCAATACAGTCTCATTTTGTCAATACCTATTAAAAGTACAAAAGCACAGCCTATAATACTGGGATTCCAGTATTTTGGGAGGCTGAGGCGGGAGGATTGCTTGAGCCCAGACGTTTGAGACCAGCCTGGGCAACATAGGAAGACCCTGTCTCTACTAAAAATAAAATTTAAATATTAGCCAGGCATGGGGGCACACACCTGTGGTCCCAGCTACTCAGGAGGCTGAGACAGGAGGATCACTTCAGCCCGGGAAGTCAAGCTACAGTGAGCCATGATCGTGCCACTGCAATCCAGCCTGGGTGACAGAGCGAGACCCTGTCTCAAAAATAAATGAATAAATAAAAATTTTAAAAAATGACAAAAGCACACGTCTTTTGATTCAGGAATCTTTACTGAGAGAGGCATACATGTGCAAGAAAACATGAGTACAAGATTATTTGCTGTTTCACTGTAATATCAAAAGGTTGGCATCAACCTCAGTGTCCCTCAGTAGGGGCTGGTTACATGAATTACGGTCCATCCCTACAGTGGAATATTGTGCAGTCCCCTAAAATAATAAAGCAGTTATTTACCTACTGATATGGAAGACCTTCAAAATATATGGTTAAGTGGAAAAGCAAGGTGCAGAACAGCATTTGTAGCAAGTTACCCTTTCTGGGTTGGTGGTGGTGGTTGTTTTTGAGACGGTGTTTTCCTCTTGTTGCCCAGGCTAGAGTGCAATGGCACAACCTCAGCTCACTGCAACCTCCGCCTCCCAAGTTCAAGCAATTCTCCTGCCTCAGCCTCCCAAGTAGGTGGGATTACAGGCATGAGCCACCACGCCCAGCTAATTTTGTATTTTTAGTAGAGACAAGCGTTTCACCATGTTGGTCAGGCTGGTCTTGAACTCCTGACCTCAGGTGATGCACCCACCGTGGCCTCCCAAAGTGCTGGGATTACAGGCATGAACCACCATTCCCAGCCCTGTTTTATTTTTTAAGGCTGTTTATATTATATGCTGACATATGCATAGCATATCTCTGGAAGGAGATGTAATACACTGGTAGAAGTGGTTGTCTTTAGGGAGAGGAGCTGGGTGGGGAGAAGGAAGGAGGGAGACTTAATCTCTTTACCTTTTTTGTACCTTTTGAAATTTTTAGCACACGCCTTGTGTTACCTATTCCAATAAATGTGAAAGAAATGTTAAGCAATTGCCTCTGGGGAACTGAACAGGCAGTGGGAGAAAAGGACAGGTTTTTTTCTGTTTTGTTTTGTTTTGTTTTGTTTTGTTCAAGACAAGGTCTCACTCTGTCACTCAGGCTGGAGTGTAGTGGCACAATCACGGCTCACTGCAGCCTGGACCTCCCAGGCTCAGGTGATCCTCCCACTTCAGCTTCTCCAGTAGCTGGGACTACAGCCATGTGCCACCACATCCAGCTAATTTTTGTATTTTTTGTAGAGATAGGGTTTCACCATGTTTGCCAGGCTGGTCTCGAACTCCTGGCCTCAAGTGATCTGCCCACCTCAGACTCCCAAAGTGCTGGGATTACAGATGTGATCTCAGCTCACTGCAACCTCTTTCTCCTGGGTTCAAGTGATTCTCCTGCCTCACCCTCCCGAGTAGCTGGGATTACAGATGCCCACCACCATGCCCAGCTAATTTTTCTATTTTTAGTAGAGATAGGGTTTCACCATGTTGGCCAAGCTGGTCTTGAACTCCTGACCTCGAGTGATCTGCCCGCCTCGGCCTCCCAAAGTGCTGGGATTAAATGCGTGAGCCATCGTGTCTGGCCTGATTAATGCATACTTTCCAAAATGTTTACAAAGAAAGATTTACAAACATTTACAAAGAAAGAGAGAGCTCTCTAGAAGAGAGGAGGTCCCTATGACATAAGGGTCCAGAGAGGGCAGGCAGCCACTCTCTGGTGGCTTGTCATGGTGTGTCCCCATGACAAGGACCAGCAGCTTCCTATGAAGTTCCCAGTCTCCTTTATCTGATGTTTCTCTGTTCTGCCAGGTTTGAAGCATCTAAGTAACCGGTGACCCAGTTCTCAGAAAAACCTCCCCTGCAGTCTTTTTGTAAGGGCCCTGGGGACAGCAGGGCACTTGGCAGTTGCCAGCTCTCTGGGCACAAAGAGAAAATTATTATTCTTGCCACTAAGGCAGGAAAGGGGGAGCCTTCAGAGTGTGGAGGGCTGCCCAGCTGAGGTCTGCTCAGCCACCTCTCCATGGGTCTGGGTGAAGAGGGCTGTGCTCTGTTGCGGGCAGGGGACTGGTCAGTCTCCCTTTGCAATGAACTCCTGTCTCCATTATCCACTGTAGAATGAGCCATCCCAGAATATAGAGCCTTAAAATGACAGTGTGTCACTGTCTCTCCTAGTCCTGTGGGTTTCTCCCTCAGGGTTTCTCATGCTGGTGCAGCTGTAGCCAAAGTCATGGCAAGGTTTGATTGGACTGGATGTCTAAAACAAATTCTTCACTCCTGTGGCTGGTGCCTCAGCTGAGATGGCTGGAACAACCATGGCCCTGGTTGGCCATCTTTTCCCTCCATCCTGGGCTTCCCACATGCTTAGCTTGGGCTTCCTCACATCGTGGTGGCTCAGAGTAGTCAAACTTCTTTGATGGCAACTGGCTTATCCCAGAGCAGCATTCAAAAACACTAAGGTAGAAGCTGCAAGATTTCCTGTGACCTGGCCTCAGAAGGCAGGCTGCCACTTCTGCTGCTTTTTGTTAGTTCTATGGTGACAGCCCAGAGGAAAGTGGCTGGGGCCGAGCAAGAGTGTGAACCGCAGTGTGCAGTTTTTGGCGGGCCATTTCCCATGGCCAGCTACCATGATGCTGCTTGTCATTCAGCACTTTCTTCTCTTAGTTCTCTTCCTACCTCACTGTCCACAACTTCTTAGTCTTTTCAGGTGGTTCTTCCTCATCTTGTGGCTTTGAATTAATCAAGTGCCCAAAGCTCAGGCTTGGGCCTCTTCTCTCTCTCCCATCTCATCCAGACTCATGGCTCTAAACACTAATAAACTGACAACTTCTGAGTTTACATCCCCAGCCTGGACCTCTCCCGTGAAGTCTAGACTCTAGTCTCCAACTGCCAACTTGGCATCTCTGCTCGGATGTCTCACAGGGACCTTGATGTTAGCAGCGCCAAAGCCACCTTTCAGCCGGGTGTGGTGGTTCACGCCTGGGATTCCAGCACTTTGGGAGGCCAAAATGGGAGGATCACTTCAAGCCAAGAGTTTGGGACCTGCCTGAGCAACATAGGGAGATCCTGCCTCTACAAAAAAATTAAAAAATTAACCAGGTGTGGTGGCATGCATCTATAGTCCCAACTACTCAGGAGGCTAAGGTAGGTGGATCTCTTGAGCCTGGGAGGTCAAGGCTGCAGTGAACCATGATTGCGCCACCACACTCCAGCCTGAGTGACAGAGAAAGACCCTGTCTCAAAAAAACAAAACAAAACAAAACAAATAACACACATACACACACACATACAAATAAAATAAAATAAAATAAAATAAAGGGGCCTTTCATCCTTTGCTCCCAGTCAATGTTCACCTTACAAAGTTTCCCCAAATCAGTTACTAGCAGCTCTATCTTTCCAGTTGCTCAGGCCGAATATCTTGTAGTTGGCCTGGATTCCTCTGTGTTGTCACCCTTAGCAAATTCTTCAAATATCCATCATGGCTCACTTGAACCAGGTAAAAAAAAACCTCATAATTTGTTTTCTTCCACCTTTGTCTCCCAAGGTCTGTCCTCCAACCAGCAGCCAGGGACTCTATTAAATTTAAGTCAGATCACATCCCTTCTCTGCTCAGAAACTTCTAATGTTTTCTCATCATCTCACTCAGTGGCCCTACAAGGGCCTACATGACCCGACGCCCTGTTATCGCTTTTTTTTTTTTTTTTTTTTTGAGACAGAGTCTCTCTGTGTCACCCAGGCTGGAGTGTAGTGGCGAGATCTCAACCCAATGTAATCTCCGCCTTTTGGGTTCAAGCAATTCTCGTGCCTCAGCCTCCCGAGTAGCTGGGACTACAGGCACCCGCCACCACACCCGGCTAATTTTTGTATTTTTAGTAGAGACCAGGTTTCACCATGTTGGCCAGGCTGGTCTCAAACTCCTGACCTCAGCCTCCCAAAGTGGTGGGATTACAGGTGTGAGCCACCATGCCCGGCCGCCCTGTTATCTCTCTAACCCCATGACTTGGTACTCTCTCTCTTGCCATCATCACTGGAGTCACACTGACCTTCGCTGTTCTTAGAACACTTCAGGCAGGTTTGTGATGCGGGGCCTTTGCTCCTGCTGTTCTTGCTGCTGGAATGCTCTTTCCCGTATCCTTTTGGCTTGTTGTTTCATTTCCTTCAGCTCTCTATTCAGATGTCTCCCTCTCACCCAGGTCTCTGCGGACCACCTGATATAAAGTAAGAATGCTTAGTCTCCTCCTGCACCCAGCCCTCCATAACCTCCTCCACATGATTTTCTGCAAGCATTTTAGCATCATCTGATGTGTTATATTTTTATTTATTTGTTTGCTTTTTGTGCACTTCCCCTGACCAGAAGTTAAGCTACATGAGAAAGAGACTTAGTTTAAGTGGTAGGCAGGCTTCTCAGATGACTCCCACTGACCTGGGCATTCACAAACTTGTTTTCACTTATGTAATTTCCTTCCCTGAAGTGTGGGCTGGACTTAGTGACTCACTTCCAATGAATAGAACAAGGCAAACATGATGGGATGTCACTTCCATGATGAGGCTACAAGATACCATGACTTCCTTTCTGCTCACTTTTTCCCACTCACTCACTCCTTTGATAAAACCAGGTGCCATGCTGTGAGCTGCCCAAGGGACAGGCCCATGTGGCAAGGAATGGACCTCAACCAAGAACCCTCAGAACTGAATCCCTCCAACAAAAAAGAGAGAGAGCTTGGAAGCAAATCCTTCCCTAAGCAGATCCTTCCCCAGTCAAGCCTTAAGATGAGAATGCAGCCCCAGCCAACACCTGGACTGTGGCCTATGAGAGGCCCCAAAGCAGAGGACCTAACTAAGCCACACCTGGATCCCAACCTACAGAAATCATGAGTTAATAAATGTTGTTTCAAGCCACCAAGGTTGGGAAGTAATTTGTTATGAAGCAATAGATAAATAACACAGTTTATTTCAGAGGTATCTGCCATGCCTAAGCAGTGTTTGTTGTGGAAAATTATGTTCAGTTTGCAAGGAGTCATTTAGGGTGCTGAGGAAGAGCACAAGCTCTGAAGTTGGACAGCCCCGAATTCACATTCCAGCTCTGCTCCTGACTTGCTGTGCGATTTGGGGAGAGTCATTTCACCTCTCTGGACCTCAGTTTTCTCATGCACAAATGTAGCTTCCTACATTCACTCAACAAGTATTTATTAAGTCTCAAGTTTCTATTTCTCCCACATCCAGCATGCATCCAATTCCTCAGCAAATCCTGTCATCTTCACGTTCAAAATATACGGATAGGCTATACCAATGCTGGGGACTCAAGAGTGAACAAAAGAGATGCAGCCCCAGTTTCATGGAGCTTGCAGTCTGGAGGGCAGAAATTTATTACACAGATAATCATACAAATATTTAGTTAATAGCTGTGATAAGTGCTGTGCATGAAAGATCAGCGAGCTAACTGAGCACATCAGAGATGCCTCATCTCTTCTGCAAGTCAGGGAGGGCTTCTCTGAGGAGGTGGCTGAGGAAGGAGGTGGCTGAGGAGGAAGCTGAGACCAATACAAAGAGTCACTCCAGCAAAAGTCCTAAAGTTGAATCCCATTGGATCCATCTGAGTTACATGCACATTACAGAGCCAGGAAGATGAAAATGCTGATTGGCCAGGCCAAGGTCATACCCCTCCCCAGGAGCCAGGGTTTAGGGTCAGCTTCACCCAAACCGCAGGTACTAAAAATGGTGGAAGAATAATTCTCCCTTGAAAACATTGGGGTGAGTTGTTATCAGAAAAGGTGTAAATGCTGGGCAGAAAGAAACAACAGCCATCCACAGCAGGACTTAAAATTTTATCTAGAGTTTTTATCTTAGAGTTTGAACCTCACCTTCCCCATGGA
Organism: Homo sapiens; assembly: GCF_000001405.40. Lineage (NCBI taxonomy): Eukaryota > Metazoa > Chordata > Mammalia > Primates > Hominidae > Homo > Homo sapiens. Next base: position 49,309,542 of record NC_000020.11, on the reverse strand, counting down.
TGGGCTTCCAGAGCACAACTCCTCCCCTGACCATGACAAAATTAGATAAAATTCATCACTCCCACTTTGAGGACACCACTATATTAAAATGTAGCATTTTAGACATTTAACATATATAAAGAACCCTTATTACTCAACAATAAGAAAACAGCCCAATAAAAGAAAGAGCAACAAAATTTTCAACAGACACTTCACAAAATAATACATGCAAATGGCCAATAAGCACATAAAAAGATACTCAATAGCGTTAGACATTAGGGAAATGCATGTTAAAATCATAATGAGATACCGCTTCACACTCATTAGAATGGCAAATATTAGAAAGACTGATCATCACAGGGTTGGTGAGGATGTGGAGCGCATAAAACTCTCACCCAGGGCTGGTGAGAACACAAAATGAGATAAACCACTTTGGAAAACAGTTCGGTAGTTTCTTGAAAAGTTAAATGTACCTACCATGTGACATGACTCAGTCTTTCCACTCCTAGGTATCTGCCTAAGAGAAGCTAAAATATCTGTTCACACAAAGATTTGTACACAAATGTTCAGAGCAGCTTTATTTGTAATCACCATAAATTAGAAGCAACTTAAAAAGTCCATCCACAGATGAATGGATAGACAAATTGTGATATATCCATACCATGGGATATACTCAGCAATTAAAAGCAACATATTGTTGATTTCTACAACATAGATGAATCTCAAAATCATTATGTTGAGTGAAAGAAGCCAGGCAAAAGCATATACATATGCTGCATAATTCCATTTCCATAAAACCTAGAAAATGCAAACTAATTTATAGTGACAGTTGTTGTTCAGTAGTGGAGGGGATGCAGGTAGGAAGGAATCACAAAGGGACACATGGAAACTTTTGGGGGTGAGGGACATGTGCTCTATCCTAGTTGGAGAGATGGTTTAATGGGTCTATGTCAAGAGTAATCAGGAGAGTGGCGTGAACCAGGGAGGTGGAGTTTGCAGTGAGCCAACATCGCGCCACTGCACTCCAGCCTGGGCGACAGAGCAAGACTCCATCTCAAAAAATAATAATAATAGGCCGGGCGCAGTGGCTCAACCCCAGCACTTTGAGAGGCCAAGGCAGGCGGATCACGAGGTCAGGAGATCGAAACCCTCTTGGCTAACACGGTGAAACCCCGTCTCTACTAAAAATATTAAAAAAAAAAAAAATGTAGCCGGGCGTGGTGGGCACCTGTAGTCCCAGCTACTCAGGAGGCTGAGGCAGGAGAATGGCGTGAACCGGGAAGGCAGAGCTTGCAGTGAGCCAAGATCATGCCACCACACTCCAGCCTGGGCGACAGAGTGGGACTCCATCTCAAAAAAAAAAAAAAAGAGTAATCAAATTGGGGCTGGGCTTGGAGGTTCATGTCTGTAATCCCAACACCTTGGGAGGCCAAGGCAGGAGGACTACTTGAGCCCAGGAGTTCCAGACCAGCCCTAGGCAACAAAGTGAGGAAGGAAGATTGTTTTATTTATTAAGGAAGATTTATTATCTCTGCAAATAATAAAATAATTTTAAAGACCAATCAAGTTATATACTTTAAATATGTGCCACCATCCAGGCACAGTGTCTCAAGTCCTGTAATCCCAACACTTTGGGAGGCCGAGGAGGGCTGATCACTTGAGGTCAGGAGTTCAAGACCAGCCTGGCCAACATGGTGAAACCTCATCTTTACTAAAAATACAAAAATTAGCCGGGCATGGTGGCAGGTGCCTGTAATCCCAGCTACTCGGGAGGCTGAGTCAGGAGAATCACTTGAACCCAGGAGGTGAAGGTTGCAGTGAGCCAAGATTGTGCCACTGCGCTCCAGCCTGAGCGACAGAGTGACTCCATCTCAAATAAATAAATAAATAAATGTACTATAATTATGCCCCAATAAAATTTGGGGGGAAACTTTATCTGGAGAAGAAAACAAACAGAAAAAGAAATATATTTGGAAGACTATACGCCAAAGAGTTAAGTATAATAGTTACCTTCAAAGAGTGGGAAAGGAGACAAGAGCTGTCACTTTAAGTTGTTTACAACAGGCACGTATTTCTTAATGAGTTTAAGGAAACAAGTAACATTGGTTTTGCCAGCAAGCCTTGGCCCAGCCTTTAGGAGACCTGTCACATGCCCACAAACGACCAGGTTATTCTGCCAAAAAAAGATACTTCCCGAATTTGAGTCAAGGGTTTCTGGGGGCAAATTCCCATCTGAAGACAATGAAAAATGTCCTCCCTCAGAACAAGGACTTTATTTACACCTTATGTCTACATTCCGGACTGGGGCCCGCACGGGATGATAGCCTAGGAAGATAATGGAGTCATTAATCTCTGTCAAGGTTAGACTCCACCTGCCAGCTTCCCATCTGGGTAATTAAACCAGCTGGCAGCCCTGTTATCAGTCTCCGTGGTGTCTGCAGCGCAGAGGAGGGCACCTCTGGACATGGCACTGGCTTCTCCAGAAAGACAGGTTCCTGAGTAACCTCAGGAGAAGCAAACTAAGCCCACGCTGGGTATTCAGGCCTGACTCTGGCTAGGAAGTAGAGCCAAAACCTAGGCAAACATGGCCCTCCTGGCACATCAGGGAGTTGGGAACAGATGTCTGAGCTTTTGCATTTGTATGGTTGCCCAGGTGTAAGCTTCTAACCTCACCCTAACCTTTAATTCTTTGAATGCCACGGGAGTTGCCTACCCCACAGCTAGTCTCCAATGAGCCCCACTTTCTTCCTTCCTCACTAAGACCACCAAGATGTTTCAGGGGAGCAGCCCTCTGCCTGCCCCAGAAGGTAAACGTTAACCAGGCCTGGCCCTCGCTCCCTAGAGCATGGTCCAGCATCAGCATCCCCTGGGAGTGTGGTGGAAATGCACAATTTCAGGCCCACCCAGACCCGCTGAATCAGAACCTTCACTTTAACTCCCTGGAGATTTGATCGTGTTCATTCACAAATCTGGCTGAACGTGAGAAACGTCTGGAGAGTATTCCATGATACCAATGCCTGGGATCTTCTCCTAGAGATTTTGACTTAATCAATCTGGAATACAACCTGGACATCAGTATTTTTTTAAGTTGTGATGTACACTTAGTAGCATGTGTAAGGTGCACAAACTTTAAACGGATAGCTTGATTTTTTTTTTTAAGACAGTCTCACTCTGTTGTCCAGGCTGAAGCACAGTGGCGCGATCATGGCTCACTGCAGCCTCTACCTCCTGGGCTCAAACGATCCTCCTGCCTCAGCCTGCCTAGTAGCTGGGCCTACAGGCATACATCACCATGCCTGGCTAATGCTAAAGTTTTTTTTAAATTTATTTTTAGTACAGGTGGGGTCTTGCCATATTGCCCAGGCAGGCTGATCTCAAACTCCTGTGCTCAAACAATCCTCCTGCCTTGTCCTCCCAAAGTGCTGGGATTACAGGCTCGAGCCACAGTGCCCAGCTCAGCTTGATATTTTTTACACATGCGTACACACATGCAACCACCACCCAGATGATGGGATAGAACATTTTCAACACCCCAGAAAATTCCCTCTTGCTCCATCAAGGTAAGGTGACAAACCATCCTAATTTGCCCAGGATTGAGGGGATTTTCCAGGACAGAGGACTTTCAGTACTAAAACCAAGAAACTCCCAAGCAAACCACAAGTTGGTCACACTACTTCAGGGTCTATACTCCAGTGCAGCCTGCAGGGGTAACCACCATTCTGACGTCTATCTAGCGGTAGCTTTAAGAGTTCCTTGGATAATTCCAATGCGCAGCCAGGGCCAATTCTAGTGTGTATCACAATTATCTGGAGCCCTTGTTAGAATCCATTGCTGGGCCTCACCCCTAGACTTTCTAATTCAGTAGGTCTGGGGTGCAGGCCCAAAATATGTTTTTGTTTTTGTTTTTTTTGAGACAGAGTCTCGCTCTATTGCCCAGGCTGGAGTGCAGTGGCATGATCTTGGCTCACCACAACCTCTGCCTCCCAGGTTCAAGCGATTCTTCTGCCTCAGCCTCCCAAGTAGCTGAGACTACAGGCATGCATCACCATGCCCGGCTAACTTTTGTATTTTTAGTAGAGACAGGGTTTCACTATGTTGGCCAGGCTGGTCTTGAACTCCAGACCTTGTGATCCACCCGCCTCGGCCTCCCGAAGTGCTGGGATTACAGGCGTGAGCCACCGTGCCCAGCCTAAAATATGTATTTCTAACAAGCTTCCCAGGCGATGTGATGCAGGTACAGCTGGTCCCAGCACCTCACTTTGAGACTTCTGGCCTGAGCCAGTCACAGTCATTCTACTCTCCTTGCCAATGACTGGCTTAAGCTTGAAGCACACGACACACATCTGGCTAATAAGATGTGAGGAGAAGGCTGCTAGAACTTCTGGGACAACATTCCCAGAGAGTCTATTAAAATGGTACTCCTGGCTTGTGCCACACGGCAGCCATTGGCTGGGGTGAGGGGTGGGGGTCAGAAGAATGGGCTCCTGGGGAAAGATTTCTCCACTGATAGAGAGATGCCTGGAAGGGTACATGCTCCTCTTCCTTTGAAAGTTCAGTTATGTCTGGGTGTGGTCGCTGGCATTGTGTCCTTGACCTTGTGACCTTCACACAACAAGCCTGGGGACAGCACACCAACCATCCAGGATGGCAGGGAGAAAAGTGGGAGAGATCTTGAGCCCTTGAAGAACTTGTTGAAATGGTGGATCAGCCAACCCTAAATGGTCCTCCTTAGGAACATCTCTCAAGCTCCACCACAGACCTACTGAACCAGAATCTGCATTTTTAGCTGAGAAGCATCCAAAAGCACTGCTCCAACTTACACAGCAGAACACATGCTTTGGATTTTCTGGGCCTTTCTATTTAGCCCCAGGTACTTTTTTTTTTTTTTTTTTTTTTTTTGAGACAGAGTCTCACTCTGTCATCCAGGCTGGAGTGCAGTGGCGTGATCTCGGGTCACTGCAACCTCCACCTCCCAGGCACAAGCAATTCTGCCTCAGCCTCCTGAGCAGCTGAGATTACAAGCATGTGCCACCATGCCCAGCTAATTTTTGTATTTTTAGTAGAAATGGGGTTTTACCATGTTGCCCAGGGTGGTCTTGAACTCCTGACCTCAGGTGATTCGCCGCCTCAGCCTCTCAAAGTGCTAGGGTTACAGGCATGAGCCACCACGCCTGGCCCCATCTAGTAATAGCTGCATGAAATCATATTATTAATCATGTGAAAACAAAAAATCACAGGCACTACATACAGAAGCTCCCTAGCCAATTTTTCCATGCATCTCATTGGCCAGAACTAGGCTGCATTCATTAGCTGCAGAGGAGGTTGGGAAGGTGAAGGTCTGGCCACATCTGCTTCTGTCATGGGAGAAGGAAGCAAAGACCCAGGAGGGGAAAACAACTGTTGGGTAGAAACCATCAGTGTCTACCACAAATAAGTATTATTAATGCCTATTTTCAGAGTAAGTCAAGGCTCAGAGGTGTGAACTCACTTGCCTAAGGTCACACAGCTAAAAAGTACCTGCCACTTTGTAAGAAACTGGTGTAAATTTTTACAAATGAGAGGGCTGAGTCAGTTAGTGCATGAAATGGGCCTTGAACCCAGATTCTGTGAAGTTCAATATGGTGATCTAGCCACTTCCTCAAGTTGCCTTCCTTTTGCCTTTTGTGTGTGTTTATATCTTAAGGAAGATTTTTTTGGCTGGGCATGGTGGCTCATGCCTGTAATCCCAGCACTTTGGGAGGCCGAGGCGGGTGGATCACCTGAGGTCAGGAGTTCAAGACCAGCCTGGCCAACATGGTGAAACCCCACCTTTACTAAAAAAATACAAAAAATTAGCTGAGCATGGTGGTGGGCACCTGTAATCCCAGCTACTTGGGAAGCTGAGGCAGGAGAATCGCTTGAACCCAAGAGGCAGAGGTTGCAGTGAGCCAAGATGGCGCCATTGCACTCTAGCCTGGGCAACAAGAGCAAGACTCCATCTCAAAAAAAAAAGAAACATTTTTATATATTTTTTAAAGACAGAGCTAAATTAGGGAGCAGTAAGGTACCCATGTGACTTCCTGAGTGGCTAGCCACAGAGAGAAGAGATGAATGCCTGATACAACTGGAATTTTCCCAGCTGCTTCTGGATGCCACCCAACCCAAAACGCATATGGAACCATTAGACACACAGGCAAATGTTATTTTCACCGTTTTCTGCCAAATGTCTAGCTGACTCCACTGATAAATGATAAAGCTCAGGGTGGAGCCGGGTGCTTAATTTTCTCTGATGGTTCACTTTCCAGCTCAATTTCCCTTCCTGGCAGAGAGTTTGGGAAACTGGAACCCCATGATTTAGAGATGAGGAAAATTCCTCCTAAGCAAATGAAGCATGTTGAGTGTTTATGGAAATGTCTGGAGTTTGACATTTTTATTCTACTTTAACATGACTCCAGCTCTGATAAGTGTTTAACTGATGTCTGTTATATGTGTCTGAGTCCCAAGTTTATCATGAACAAGTTTTTCAGCAGCTGAAGAATGTTGGACAGAATTCTGTGTAGTGTTGCCGAGTTCATTCTCATCTCTGAGCCTTTGCACTTTCTGTCTCCGCTCCCAGAATGCTCTTCCCTTTCAGATTTTCTTGTGCCCAGCTCCTATTCATCCTTCAGATCTTGGCTCACATGTCACATCCTCAGAGAGGCCTTCCCTGAATACTGTAATCAAAGTAACCCTCTAGTAATTTTCAATTTTCTTTCCCATCCCTTTTTTTTGAGACACGGTCTTGCTTTGTTGCCCCAGGCTGGAGTGCAATGGTGCGATCTCAGCTCACTGCAACCTCTGCCTCCCAGGTTCAAGTGATTCTCATTCCTCAGCCTCCTGAGTAGCTGGGATTACAGGTGTGTGTCACCACACCTGGCTAATTTCTGTGTTTTTCGTAGAGAAGAGCTTTCACCAAGTTGGCCAGGCTGGTCTCGAACTTCTGGCCTCAAGCAATCCACCCGCCTTGGCCTCCCAAAGTGCTGGGATTACAGGTGTGAGCCACTGTGCCTGGCCTGTAAATCTCTTTAATGTCTGGGAGGCTGAAACACAAGAATTGCTTGAACCTGGGAGGCAGAAGTTGCAGTGAGCTGAAATCACACCACCACACTACAGCCTGGGCAACAGAGTGAGACTCTGCCTCAAAAAGAGAGAGAGAGAGCCTAAGGAGAGAGGACATCTAAATAGAACATGTTTCGACGTTAGCTCTTCATGCACATGTATTTTCATCACAGCACTGTTCACAATAGCAAAGACATGGCATCAACCTAGGTGCCCATCAGCAGTGGAATAAAGAAAATGTGGTACATATACACAACAGAATACTACACAGCCCTGAAAGAAAATGAAATCCCCAGGCACAGTGGCTCACACCTGTAACCCCAGCACTTTGGGAGGCTGAGGTTGGTGGATCACCTGAGGTTGGGAGTTCGAGACCAGCCTGACCAACATGAAGAAACCCCGTTTCTACTAAAAATACAAAAATTAGTCAGGTGTGGTGGCGCATGCCTATAATCCCAGCTACTCGGGAGGCTGAGGCAGGAGAATCGCTTGAGCCCAGGAAGCGGAGGTTGCAGTAAGCCGAGATCACCCCACTGCACTCCAGCCTGGCGACAGAGCGAGACTGTGTCTCAAAAAAAAAAAAAAAAAAGAAGGAAATCATGCCCTTTGCAGCAACATGGATGCAGCTGGAGGCCACTATCATAAGCAAATTACCACAGAAACAGAAAAACAAATACCATATGTTCTCACATACACATGGGAGCTATACATTGGGTACACGTGGACACATACAGATGAAACATTAGACACCAGAGACTACAAGAAGGGGAAGAGAGGGATGGGGCAGGGGGTGAAAAACCCCCTACTGGGTACCTTGCTCACTACCTGGATGACAGGCTTGAGGGGGAAGAGAGGGACGGGGCAGGGGGTGAAAAACCCCTTACTGGGTACCTTGCTCGCTACCTGGATGACAGGCTCAATCATACCCCAAACCTCAGCACCACGAAATATATCCTTGTAACAATCCTACATGTGTACCGCCTGAATCTAAAGTAAAAGTTGATATTTTTTTTAAATGTGCTCTTGGGTTAGATCTTAGACCATAACAAGGATATTAGTAGGAAAATTGGCAACATTTGAATGAAGTCTATAGAACAGATTGGTGATTCTTAAAGTATGGTGTTTAAGACACTTTCAGGGGGCTGCAAGGTCAAAAGAATTTTCTTTTTTTTTTTTTTGAGGTGGAGTCTCGCTCTGTCACACAGGCTGGAGTGCAGTGGCGCCATCTCGGCTCACTGCAAGCTCCGCATCCCAGGTTCACGCCATTCTCCTGCCTCAGCCTCCTGAGTAGCTGGGACTACAGGCGCCTGCCACCATGCTCGCCTAATTTTCTGTATTTTTAGTAGAGATGGGTTTTCACCGTGTTGGCCAGGATCGTCTCAATCTCCTGACCTCATGATCCACCCGCCTCGGCCTCCCAGAGTGCTAGGATTACGCGTGAGCTACCGCGCCCGGCCAAGAATTTTCATAATGATAGTAAGACTTTATCTTTTAACATTCCCCTGTGACATTTGCGTTAAATGGTACAAAAACAACAGAGGACAAAGCTGCTGGCTCCTTAGCATGAATCAAAGTGGTGGCACCTAATTCTATTAGTAATCACTGTATTCTTCACCCCTACAAGCCCACAGTAACAAGAAGAGAGCCAGTTTCACTTAGGAATGTCCTTGATAAAGCAGTAAAAATTGCTAATTCTATTGCATGTCAACCCTTGAATACACTTTTAAAATGTGTTTTTAAAATTCTGTGTGAGGCCAGACATGGTGGCTCACACCTGTAATCCTAACACTTTGGGAGGCCGAGGCAGGTGGATCACTTGAGGTCGAGAGTTGAAGACCAGCCTGGCTAACATGGCGAAACCCCGTCTCTACTAAAAATACAAAAATTCGCTGGGCGTGGTGGTGGGCACGTGTAGTCCCAGCTACTCAGGAGGCTGAGGCAGGAAAATCACTTGAACCCAGGAGGCAGAGGTTGCAGTGAGCCAAGATCCCGCCACTGCACTCCAGCCTGGGCAACAGAGTGAGACTGTCTTAGAAACAGTCTCAGCTGAGCATGGTGGCTCACGCCTGAAATCCCAGCACTTTGGGAGGCCTAGGCAGGCAGAGATCGCTTGAGCCCAGGAGTTCAAGATCAGCCTGGGCAACCTGGCAAAACCCATCTCTACAAAAAAATACAAAAATTAGCCAGGCGTAGTGGTGCATGCCTGTAGTCCCAGCTACTCGGGAGGCTGAAGTGGGAGGACCACCTGAGCCCAGGAGGCAGAATTGCAGTGAGCCGAGATCATCCTGGGCCACAGAGTGAGACTGTCTCCAAAAAAAAAAAAGAAACAAACAAACAAAACCAGAATCTCACTCTGTTGCCCAGGCTGGAAGATATCACTTCTATGTGGCATCTACACATATAAGTCAAAGTCATAAGAGAGAAGCAGAGAAAATTGTTTTCAGGAGATATTGATCAAAGGGTACAAATTTCCAGTTAAACAAGAGGAATAACTTCAAGAGCTCTATTGTACATCATGGTGACTATAGTCAATAAGAATATACTGTGTACTTAAAAATTGCTCAAGAGATTTTGTGTTCTTATCACAAAAAATAAGTGAAGTATCATGCCTGCAATCACAGCACTTTGGGAGGCCGAGGGGGGCAGATCACCTGAAGTCAGGAGTTTGAGACCAGCCTGAGCAAAATGGTGAAACCCGTCTCTACTAAATACAAAAAATTAACCGGGCATGGTGGCAGATGTAATCCCACCTACTTGGGAGGCTGAAGCAGAAGAATCGCTTGAACCCTGGAGGCAGAGGATGCAGTGAGCCGAGATCATGCCACTGTACTCCAGCCTGGGTAACGAGAGCAAAACTCTGTCTCTTAAAAAAAAAAAAAGTGAAGTAATGCATATTTTAATTAGCTTGATTTAGCCATTCCACAACATATACATATTCCAAAACATCGTGTTGTACACAGTAAATATATACAACTTTTATTTGTCCATTAAATATAAAATGTGATGTCACCTGATGTGCCCAGCATCATCATGTATGACGCTTTCTTGCCAAAATATTTAACTTGATCTTATCAAAACTTTAGATTGACTCTCCAATTTACAGGGGATGCAGGATACAGAGGAACAAATGAAGTGACACCCCCAGAAGGCAACACTCAGATGAATCCAGAAGGTGAGACGTTCTCTAGGACAAGCCCCTATGGTAAAGGGGAAGAAAGGGTGGTGCTAGGCTGGAAGAACCTGAAGGACCTAATGGCCTCCAGTCACACATATCCTCTGCCAGCTGTACAGGACTTTTGTGGACAAATGGGAAATTTATTGATGTGAAAAAATGGAGATGGTTAACTGACAGAGGTTACAAAACAGCACTATAGGCCGGGCGTGGTGGCTTACACCTAGAATCCCAGCACTTTGGGAGGCCAAGGCAGGTGGATCACATGAGGTTGGGAATTCGAGACCAGTGTGGCCAACACAGCAAAACCCCGTCCCTACCAAAAATACAAAAATTAGCTGGGCGTGGTGGTGGGCACCTGTAGTCCCAACTACTCGGGAGGCTGAGGCAGGAGAATCACTTGAACCTGGGAGGCAGAGATTGCAGTGAGCCGAGATCACACCACTGCATTCCAGCCTGGGAAACAGAGTAAGACTGTCTTAAAAACAAAAACAAAAAACAAAACAAAACAAAAAAAAAACAGCATTATGGTATGATCCCACTTTGGTAAAGAATACATACAGTGTATATATAAACATGTAGAAAAAGACCTAGAAGTGGCCTGACGCAGTGGCTCACACCTGTAATCCCAGCACTTTGGGAGGCCGAGGCGGGCGAATCACCTGAATCAGGAGTTCGAGACCAGCCTGCACAACATGGTGAAACCCCGTCTCTACTAAAAATACAAAAATTAGCCAGGCATGGTGGCAGGCACCTGTAATCCCAGCTACTCGGGAGGCTGAGGCAGGAGAATCGCTTGAACCTGGGAGGCAGAGGTTGCAGTGAGCTGAGACTCTTCTCAAAAAAAAAAAAAAAAAAGACCTAGAAGTATATAAAATAAAATAAGGTTCAACAGTGGAGTCTGAGTTGTGTCAGTATTTTCTTGTTTTTATCCTTCTGTACTTCCCTCAACAGTGCACCACATATTCTGCTTTGGTTTTTGTTGTTGTTTGTTGTTGTTTTTTTCTGATTTAGTAATAAAGTTTTTTTTAACATTTTATTTGGAAATAACTATTGATTCACAGAGAACTGCGAAAATAGTATGTAGAATATCAAGTACACTTCAACCAGCTTCCCCCAAGTGTGACATCTTTTTTTTTTTCTGTTTTGTAATTTTAATTGAAGAAATTGCTTTTTTTGTTGTTGCTTTGTTTTTAACAGGGTCACCAGCCTGGCAGTCACAGAAAACGCATTTGGCAACTTCCTGCAACTGTTGTGGAAATGACAGCAGGCCATGGTCCAAGCCAAAATGGAGAAGCCAGGCCTCGCAGAAGAAACCAGCAGGCAGCTCTGGGAGGCCATTTGCACAGAGCTTATTTTGAAGTCTTGGGGTTCAAATCCCAACTCTGCCTCTAGATAGTCACAACCCACTGGATAGAGAATAGTTCAAGCAGAATGTAATTTGAGACTAACAAAGGTGCGCCCAGGATATAAGGAAACCACATAAGCTAATGTTGACCCATGAAGCACCCCCTACACCTGATGGGGCAGGCAGGAAGCGGTTACCAGAGCCCAGAAAGTCAGGTGGGGAAGCACTTGAGGGGCTGTGGCCTTAGACAGAGGCAGCCAGGCTGAGGCATGTGCCTTAGGGGAGCACACATCTCAGCCTCACCCTCCCTGCCTCCTGGGGAACCTTGAGGCCACCAGACAAGGAGCCATTAATGCAGTTCACGCTCCCAGGAGCATTGAGCAGAGAGGAGCAGAGAGGACAAGGGTGAGAAGGGGATCGGAGGCGCTAAGGAAGACACTGGCAGAGCCATTTATTGTGCATCTGAGGCAAGTCACTTCCCCTGCCCAATCTGTTTCCTTGTCTGTAAAACTGGGATGTTACCTCACTCACTTGAGGTGAGGAATAAATTATTTAAAACATATAATGGTGGCTCACACCAGTAATCCCAATACTTTGGGAGGTTGAGGCAGGAGGATCGCTTGAGCCCAGGAGAGATCAGCCTGGGAAACAAAGGGAGACACTGTCTCTACAAAAAAATAGAAAAATTAGCCGGGCACAGTAGCACAAACCTGTAGTCCCAGCTATTCGGGAGGCTGAGGCAGGAGGCTCGCTTGAGCCCAGGAGTTTGAGGCTGCAGTGAGCTGCGATCACACCACTGCACTCCAGCGTGGGTGACAGAGTGAGACTCTGTCTCAAAAAATAAATAAATAAAAATAAAACGTGGAAAGTACCTAGCATGAAGCCCAGTAGGAAATTTTTTAAAAGGCAGTTGTTGTTATTATAACTCAAGTGGGGAGAAATCAGGCTGAGAGAGGTACATTAGAGTTGGCTGAAAGGTACGACAGCGAGGGATGTTTGAGGCAGCCTAACATACACTATGATAAATACCACCACACTCAACAAGCAGCCTCTCTCCCTGTAAAAACATCAGGTCAACCTGGGCAGAGGCAGAAGACTGCACATGCTGCCATTTTAACATCAAGGCAAAAAAAAAAAGTTCTCACTCACTTGGCCCACTCCCATCTCAACCCTTCCTACCCACACAGTGGGGCCAGTCTATTTTAGCAAAAGACCATTTAGTTAAAGGAGGCTGACAAGGAAAGGATCCAGATTTCTCCTTTTCTGTCTTTTAAAAAAAGCCACAGATATAAATAAGCCCAAGACCGTCTGTTTCTGCCACCTTCTAAACAGACCTGTGATGAATTAATATCAGGACCATGGGAGACTGTGACCGAAGGATGGGTTAGGCTGGCCGCAGACCCAGCCAATTCCACAAGCCCAGGCTTTGAAGCCAGTTTGGAAACTAGCCATCAGGAAACTCCACAAACCTCAATTTATCCCAGACAATTTTGGAGGAAAAACCCAAGTCAGCAAAGAATATGGAAATTACTGAGAAGGTACGAGGTCCACGGAGGCTGCATCTTAAAGAATGATTGCCATCGGCCGGGCGCAGTGGTTCACACCTGTAATCACAGCACTTTGGGAGGCCGAGGCGGGCAGATCATGAGGTTAGGAGATCAAGACCATCCTGGCCAACATGGTGAAACTCTGTCTCTACTAAAAATACAAAAATTAGCTGGGTGTGGTGGTGCATGCCTGTAATCCCAGCTACTCGGGAGGCTGAGGCAGGAGAATCACTTGAACTAGGGAGGTGGAGGTTGCAGTGAGCTGAGATCACGCCACAGCACTCCAGCCTGGCGACAGAGCGACACTCCATTTCAAGGAAAAAAAAAAAGAAATTCAAATTTAACTGAGCATCCTATGTTTCAGGGGGCATCCCAGCTCAGGAATGACAAGAACAGTGCTGAAAGGGACACAGCTCAAGCTACAGAGGTCTCCAACTGGTGGCCTCCAGGCCATATGAGGCCCATGCATTGTGTGTTGCTCAGTCTTCACAGTTTATAAAATTGGAACAGGCTACAAACATTTCAAAGAACTTTAAAGGATTTCTTGCCTCTTTAAAAATGGGAAGCTCCAACCATGCAGGTAGAAGCTGCCCCACTATGGGAACATAATGGGGACAGAAGGGAATGTGGAAAAGTGAAAACTGATCACTGACTTGTTAGGATGGAGAAATTGTGAATAAATCTGTTTAGGGGTTGTTTATTGCATAAGGAGTCTGGAAGTGACAATGTCAGTAGCCCATGCCTGGAGAACCGGCCCTCTGCAGGCTCCACTGCTGCGGTCCCAGAAGTGCTGGCTGCAGTGTCTGAAAAACTTGCCCATCTGCACCATCTCTGCCAGACGGACTTGTACTTCCCTCTTTCCAGGCACAAGATGAAGGCCTCTTGCCATGGGCTGGAGAAATCAGTCGCTACAACACCCCTTGCAGACACAGGCTGGAGCTGCAAGTCCTGGGAGAGACCTGCTCTATCTTCTCTGGCAATTGTGGCCACTACTAGAGGAGCTCAGGCAGGCAAAATCTAGGAAAAGAAAAAGAAGATTGAGCCAATGGCTAATACATAACAGAGCCGGGATTTAAACCCAAGTCTAGCTCCAGAGCCTATGTTTGTTTTTAACATTTTTAAAAAGCACTTTCGGAGGGTGAGGCAGGAGGATCACTTGAGACCAGGAGTTTGAGATCAACTCCAGCAACATAGTGAGACCCCTATCTCTAAAAAAATTTAAAAATTAGCTGAGTGTGGTAGCACGCACCTGTAGTCACAGCTACTCAGGAGGCTGAGGTGGGAGGATTGCTTGAACCCGGAAGGTGGAGGCTGCAGTGAGCTAAGATCGCACCATTGCACTCCAGCCTGGGTGACAGAGCAAGACCCTGTCTCAAAAATAAATAATAAAAAAATTGTCATACAATAAAACTATTTTTTTATTTTGCTGTACAGTTCTATAAATCTGGGTTTTTGTTTTGTTTCGAGACGGAGTCTCACTCTATTGCCCAGGCTGGAGTGCAATGGTGCGATCTCAGCTCACTGCAGCCTCCACCTTCCAGGTTCAAGTGATTCTCCTGCCTCAGCCTCCCAAGTAGCTGGGATTACAGGCACGCGCCACCACGCCTAGCTAATTTTTGTATTTTTAGTAGAGATGGAGAGATGGGGTTTCACGATGTTGGCCGGGGTGGTCTCAAATTCCTAACCTCAGGTGATCCACCCACCTGGGCCTCCCAAAGTGCTGGGATTACAGGCGTGAGCCACCATGCCTGGCCCAGTACATTCATATAACCACTACGGCAATCATGACACCCCAAACACTTCCTTGTGCGATCCCTTTACATCCACATCCGCCACCCATCCTAACTTCTGGCAACACCATCATCTCTTCCCTTCATCATACCTTTGTCTTTTCCAGAATGTCAAATAAATGGAATCACACAGCATGTAACCATTTGAGGCTGGCTTCCCTCAGTCAGCATCGCATCTCTGGGGTTCATCCAAGTTGTTGCACAATCACTAGTTTATTCCTTTTCACTCGGATGAAGATGACTATTACTTATCGGGGGACCTGCCCTGATAATCACGTAGGTTCTTTTCTATTTTCCTAAGCATCAGCTGGCTTGAGAAATAAAGGGACAGAGTACAAAAGAGAGAAATTTTAAAGCTGGGCGTCCGGGGGTGATATCACACGTTGGTAGGATCCGTGATGCCCCACAAGCCACAAAAACCAGCCAAGTTTTTGTTAGGGATTTTCAAAAGGGGAGGGAGTGTGTGAATAGGCGTGGGTGACAGACATCAAGTACTTAACAGGGTAATAGAATATCACAAGGCAAGTGGAGGCAGGGCGAGATCACAGGACCACAGGACCGAGGCGAAATTAAAATTGCTAATGAAGTTTCGGGCACCATTGTCATTGATAACATCTTATCAGGAGACAGGGTTTTGAGATCAACCAAAATTTATTAGGCAGGAATTTCCTCTTCCTAATAAGCCTGGGAGCGCTATGGGAGACCGGAGTTTATTTCACCTCTGCAATCTCGACCATAAGAGACAGGTACGCCCCGGTGGGGCCAGTTCAGATACCTATCCCTAGGTGCACATTCTCTTTCTCAGGGATGTTCCATGCTGAGAAAAAGAATTCAGCGATATTTCTCCCATTTGCTTTTGAAAGAAGAGAAATATGACTGTTCTGCGCGGCTCACCAGCAGTCAGAGTTTAAGGTTATCTCTCTTATTCCCTGAACAATTGCTGTTATCCTGTTCTTTTTTCAGGATGCCCACATTTCATATTGCTCAAACACACATGCTGTACAATTTTTGTAGTTAACGCAATTATTACAGGGTCCTGGAACGATATACATCCTCCTCAACTGACAGGATTAAGAGATTAAAGTAAAGACAGGCATAGGAAATCACAAGGGTATTGATTGGGGAAGTCCATGAAATCTTTACAATTTACGTTTAGAGATTGCAGTAAAGACAGGCGTAAGAAATTACAAAAGTATTAACTTGGAGAACTAATAAATGTCCATAAAATCTTCACAATCCACGTTCTTCTGTCATGGCTTCAGGCGGTCCCTCCGTTTGGGGTCCCTGACTTCCCGCAACAATTACTGACCTAACCCTGTGGTCAAGCATTTAGAGGACACATTGTCTCACTTGATCCTCACAGTAACTCCAGGAGGAAAGACATGTTATGCCCACTTTACAGATAGGAGATCTGGGGAAGTTACTGCTGTCTGCCAGGAGCTGGGAATAAGCCCAAGCTCCAAACCATTTGTAAAACTGCTCTGTTCCCAGAAAATGAGTAGTGGGGTATGGGGGAGATAATACCACCACCTCTCAGCTAAAATTCTGGAAGACATTGTGAATCTCTTATTTTTTCCCACAGCTTTCCAGAAATGCTTGTGTGGGTTTTTCTTTGTTTTTGTTTTGTTTTTATTTTGAGATGGAGTCTCACTCCATTGTCAAGGTGTAGTGCAGTGGTGCAATCTCGGCTCACTGTAACCTCCACCTCCAGGGTTCAAGTGATTCTCCTGCCTCAGCCTGCCAAGTAGCTGGGACTACAGGCACGGGCCACCACGCCCAGCCAATTTTTGTATTTTTAGTAGAGACGGGTTTTCACCATGTTGGCCAGGATGGTCTCAATCTCTTGACCTTGTGATCTGCCCGGCTCGGCCTCCCAAAGTGCTGGGATTACAGGCGTGAGCCACCGCGCCTGGCCATGCTTGTGCTTTTACCCATGCAGTTGGTGAGGGTCTTAAGCAAAGGCCCTTGGAAATTAGGGGCCTAGGATAGTACTGGTTCACATCCCAGCTTTCAAGAACCACCTTCAAGGTACATGAACTCACCAAACCTCCCTGAGCCTGTTTTGCTATCTATAAAATAGGGTAATAACAGAGTTGGGGTATAGATTAAATGAGATAATAGCACAATATTGGCACGTGGCAAGCACCCAATAAACCTCATTTCACAGATGAGGAAACTGAAGCTTATAGAAGGAAAGGACTCCTCAGTCAATAAGACAAAGAGGTAAAACGAGACTGAAGCATCAAATGTTTGGTGGGACTGGTAGGAGCTAAAGCTAGAGACGGGTTGCCAATAGTTTGATCATTAGAGGCCTACAACTGCCTTGGAGCTCAGAGAAGCAACAGCAAAGCTGAGACTATGGGTGTGGCTGGGAGTTCTCCAGGAAGCTTCTCTGGCCCCTGGCTGGCAGGTATTTGGGGCCATTTCTGACCTCAGTGGTATCTCATCAACACAGAAGTCCAGCAAAAGCATTTGAGCTTTTAAGAGCCAGAAATTATCTCCTTCCTGTATCCATTAGACTGCATTGAAGTAACATGTTGCAATTAAGCCAAGGGTTACAAATACAAGTGCCAGGCCAGGCACGTGGGTCATGCCTGTAATCCCAGCACTTTGGGAGGCCTAGGCAGGTGGATCACTTGAGGTCAGGAGTTCGAGACCAGTCTGGCCAACATGGTGAAACCCCACCTCTACTAAAAATACAAAAATTAAGGGGCACCGTGCAGGCTTCTGTAATCCCAGCTACTCAGGAGGCTGAAACAGGAGAATCCCTTGAACCCAAGAGGCGAAGGTTATAGGGAGCTGAGATTGCACTCCAGCCTGGGGGACACAGCAAGACTCCGTCTCAAAAAACAAAACAAACACCCCACAAATACAAGAGCAGACTGACAGAATCAAATGCATGCTCTGCCACTTAACAGCTGTATGACAAACTATATATACACATATACATAGATGTATATGTACATGCATGTATATACTATACACATAGGCAGTACCTGTTAGGCACTAAGTAAAAACATGGCCAGGCATGGTGGCTCATGCCTGTAATTCTAGCACTTTGGGAGGCCAAATAGGGAGGATCCCTTAAGCCCAGGAGTTTGAGACCCGCCTGAGCAACAGTTTCTATTTAAAAAAATAAAAAACAAGATAAGGGAATAGAAAGTGATAGAGATGATTAGACAGTTCCCCAGAGGGAGTGAGAGCAAATACCTGAATGACACAAGGCAGAGGGCTGTGCAAAGCTCTGGGGGTCTAGGGCTGATCATTCCAGGCAGTGGGAAAATCAAGTGCTAAGATACTGAGGTTGGAGTAATCCTAAAGGAATGGAGAAGTCAGGGGGCCCATGTGGCTAAGATTGAAAGGGAAGAGATGAAGTTAGAGGTTAAGGGAAGGGGAAGATCATGTAGGCCCTGATGGACTTTGGCTTTTACTGTGTGAGGTGGGGAAGACACTGGAGGCTTCTGAGCAGAGAGCTCCATACCTAATTCAGGTTTTCACAGATCGCTCTGGTTGCATCTCAATTGATCGTAGGGAGCAAAGGCTGAAGTAGAGACCAGTATTCCAAGCTTGTTTGATGGTTTGTACCAAGGTGGTAGCAATGAAGACGCTAAGAGGGGGTGGGTTTCAGATGTATTTTGAAGGTAGAACCAATAGCATTTGCCAAGGGATTCACATGGTACATGAGGTTGATTCCACAGCTCCTGACCAACTGGACTTCTGGTGTTGCCAATACCTGGGAAGGGAAGATCGCAGGAAGCACAGACTTGCAGGGAATGGGGTTAGGTGAGTGAAGCATCAGGCATTTAGTTTTGGACATGTTAAGTCAAATGCACAAATAAGTCTGAAAATGTAGGCTGGGGCCAGACATAAACGCTTCAAATGCTACGTGGAGAAATTGAAGTAGCATCAGTTGACTTAGGTAATGGAGATGCCCATGTCAGGACCTTTAGAGTGGGCATTATAGAGTTGTGAATTTACTGCTTTGTAGCAAGTTATCTCAAAACCTAGTGGCTTGAAATACATTTCCCATAGGTCAGAAATCCAAGCACAATCTGGGTGGGTCCGCTCTCAGGGTTTCTCACAAGCCTCCGCTACAGAAAGACGTGCTTACAAACTCACATGGTTGTTGGGTAACTCCTCCCACACTAATGGTTCAACCTCAGTTGATTGCTACGCTGGCCTCTCCCAACATGGCAGCTTAATTAAAAGTGAGCAAGCTAGGCCAGGCGTGGTGGCTCACGCCTGTAATTCCAACACTTTGGGAGGCTTGACGCAGGCAGATCACTTGAGGTCAGGAGTTCAAGACCAGCCTGGCCAACATGGTGAACCCCCTCTACTAAATATACAAAAATTAGCCAGGCGTGGTAATCCAAGCTACTCGGGAGGGTGAGGCAGGAGAATTTGCTTAAACCCAGGGGACGGAGGTTGCAGTGAGCTGAGATCTCAAAAAAAAAAAAAAAAAGTGAGCAAGCCAAGGAGAATGAGAAAAAGAGCTAGCAAGTCTCAGAAGTTACACTAGGTCCAGCCTAGTCAAGGGGAGGGGATTCTGAGTCAATACCAGGAGTCATTTTAGAAATCTAGAGGTCCCAGGCTGGGCGCAGTGGCTCATGCCTGTTATCCCAGCACTTTGGGAGGCCGAAGTGGGCAGATCACAAGGTCAGGAGATCAAGACCATCCTGGCTAAAACAGCGAAAACCCGTCTCTACTAAAAATACAAAAAATTAGCCGGGCGTGGTGACGGGCACCTGTAGTCCCAGCTACTTGGGAGGCTGAGGCAGGAGAATGTGAACCCAGGAAGCAGAGCTCGCAGTGAGCTGAGATCATGCCACTGCACTCCAGCCTGGGTGACACAGCGAGACTCTGCCTCAGAAAAAAAAAAGAAATCTAGAGGTCCCATCTTTGAGGTGAGATTTTAAGATACTTAAAAAATTATTCACTGTGTATTTTAAATAAAAAATCATCACATATTGATAAATGATGCAGCCTATTTTTGCAATTTCCTATGAAGTTTATAAACAAATACCATAGCCCACATCATCCTTACTCATCTCATGCAACCATTAAGGCCTAATACCCACGATTTAACATACACGATCTTGTGCAGGTGTAAGCATACAAGTGAGATACCTCTGTATTGACCCTCTGCTTTGAATTCTGGCCCAAGTGTGCTTGCTTATTCTTAGGTTTCCAATGCAGAAGCCAATCACGAGGCACAATACCTGTGGAAAGCAGGCTTTGCCCACAGAAACCAACTGCCCACTAGGGTGATTCTCCCCTCAAAAAACTAAAACCAAATGAAACTGCAAATACCTAACTACTACTTGTTATCCCTGTTCAATGGTTATCTCCAATGGCCAAACAAAACAGCATTTTGATTTAAAAGATTTTATTTTCTTTATGCAGGTAGGCAGTTAGAAATTTCAAAGTCTAACAATGACATTCTTGAAGTGGGCACAGCCTTTTAAACTCAGGCTATGTATACAGTAACCTTGTGGAACTGGTTCAGCCAGATCTTCACTTTCATGAAAGCACAGGGTCTGTCCTTTTCTTTCCAGAGGGCTCCTCTCATATTCCATCGCCAGTTTCTAAGAAAGAAGGTGGATTACAATCAGTGCTCCATTCTGGTCTATACCGCTTCTTGTTTAGGGTATGAAAATACATGTGACTAAGACCTGGTCACTCCAAGTCCATCCCCTTTATCGGTACGGCCAAGTACCGATAAACGGAGCTGGGAAACTTCCCAATCTCTAATAAGACAACTTTAATTCTGTACTTTTATTGAATCCCATATTGTACCTGCGTTGGCAAAATGTTTAACCTTCATCTAAAAATGACTTCATGTCACAGTAAACACAGAAGACAAAAACCCAGAATGAGGACACTACCAGTAAAAATCTTTTAAAGGATGAGAAGCTGAGCAGTGGGGGGTATGGCTGTAGTTGCAGCTACTGAGGATATTGAGGGTGGGAGTTTCCCTTGAAGCCATGAGTTTCAAGCAATCATGCCTGTGAATAGCTACTACACTCCAGCCTGGGTCACGTAGCAAGGCTGCAACTCTACAAAATATGAAAACATTAGCCAGGGATGGCAGTGTGTGCTTTCAGTCCCATCTACTTGGGAGGCTGAGGCAGGAGGATCATGGATGCAGTAAGCCATGACTGCACCACTGCACTCCAGCCTGGGTGACAGAGCAAGACCCCATTCTCTTAAAAACAGAAATTGGGATACCTGTATGTTCATTCAAGAAATAACCCAAGTAATGTGTATTAAAGACATTTTAGGGGCAAATAAGGATACTTGAATAAAGTTATACCAGGCTTAGGATCTATTTAACATCTTAGACGTAAGGGTCATTGTTATATGCAAGATGTCTTATTACATGAATGTTGGACTTTAAGAACTATGCACATTCACACATCCAAAAACAAAATACTTCTAAGATGAGTCATCACTGACTGACATGAACTACAATTTTTGAGGTTTTGGTTTTTTAATATAAAAGTTGGAGAATTATGAGGAGCCACATCTATGATGGCAAAAACACTATACTCAAAAGGTGTAAGAAAACTCAGTTTGCTTATTCCCCTTCCATTGATTAAGGACACCAGGCAAACTGGAGGATGATGCAACACAGTTATTTGGTAAAAAAGCTTCCCTGTGTTAGCTCAATTTATTGAGGGATTGTAAAGGTCAGCAGAAGGAAAGCATACAATCATGGTCTCAGGCCACAGTATGCTTATCTGCTGTAAAGTCCAGCCATGTGACCAGACATGGAGGTAGTGTCCCCAAGGGACACAGAAAAGGAGTGGTGTTACTTTCTCTTTAAAGGGGGTGGAAGGTATAGACTTCAAACATCCATCTCTGCTATGTCTTTCTCTCCTGGGTTTGCTTATAGACAAAGCTGCCATGTTAACAGGCCCATGTAACAAGGAGCTGAGGATGGCTCATGGTAGTAGTATGATGAATCTTATAACTGAACCTCACAAGAATTAAGTAAAATCAATTGACTCCCAACTTAAATATGATTTGGAGCTCCTTATCTTACTAAGTGAATTGGCCAAGGAAAATTAGCTCCACCCAATGTTCAATCACTTTGTCATCCTTTCTTACAAGACTGTTAGGTATGATGGGTTTCTCTTCAAAGTTTAACTTCCTTGTTCTTTGTTCTTAAGGTCAACTTCCTCATACCTTCCCACTCCTAATTACCCATTCTGTAAACATTTCTCCCACCAATCCCAACCTGTAACCCGCATTTGTTCCTTATCTGGAAAAGTCTCCCTCGCTCGTGGCAACTGCTCTTCCCACTGCTGTAACCCACACCCCTCCTGTTTAAAATAGCCAATCAGGACTAGTTTAGATTGGACTCTAGCCAATGGGGATAGAACACAGAAGCAGGAACTAGCTGTGTTAGGGATAAAAACCACTTCACCTCCTTTGTTCGGGGTGCTCTCACTGTGACCAGGAGTGCAAGCAGCACCATTCTGCAGAAGTAAATCTGCCTTGCTGAGAAATCTTTTGGAGATCATTTTCTTTGCAACTCTGAGCTCTTATTGCCAACAATTTGGGAGCTCATCTGGGATTACCGTTCTCCTTCAGGAGAAGCCCACGATCACCTCTCTTGAGGAGAGGCATCCCACCACCTCTTTGCGGTGGCCTCACAAACAGGAGATTGGGTCCCACCCAAGGTGACACATAAACCCAGACTCTCAGCAACACAGGCGGAAAGGATCCTCACATACTGCGGTGACCAGGTAACTGCACAGACCAAGTTAAGAAAAGTCACAGGGGCGACAAAGTATTTCCTTGGTGGTCAGGGCATTTTAGAGGTTGAAAGTGTGTCAATGAGACGCACAACTGAGTGCGAAGCGAGCGATGATTCCGGATCTGTGATTCCATGGTCACCTCGTATAGCTTATGGTGGATTCCTGTCATGGGGCTTATACTGACACACCAATGCTAAGGAGGACCTGAAATATTCCCTCCTGGGAAGCAGCCAGAGAAGGATGAAGCAAAAGGAGAAGAGTGCAAGAAATCTCCAGTAGCCAGGGGCTGACCCTCTAGAGAAAGGAATGGCAAGAAATCTCCAGTAAGGGAGGTTGAGCCTATGAGGAAAGGCAATAAATCTAATTTTGGGCCTCACACCAAACCTTCATTATGCAAAATACCTCAAGAAAGACAGTAAATAGAAAGGATCAAATTAATGACAGTAACATCCCCTCTGACAGTCCCCTAGGTTCTCATGCTAAAAGGATAGTGAAAGGACTAAACATAACTACAGGAAGCAAGCCAGAAGCCAACTCCTCTGAAAGGAGTAAGGTCTCTACCCCCGAACAGCCTGCTAACATATGGGACCCACCAGACCACTTGCCTCTGCCAAACCCCATGCATCAAGCCGGTACACAGGATCCCCCCACTCATCAGTCCCTCCCCCATATAATCCTGAATCAATACCCCATGTTCCCCCTAGCCACACACTTAAGCCCTACAGCATGAAATAGAACAATGTAAAAAGGATACTCAGAACTTCCCTTTCCCCTTTCCACCTCCAAAGAATTGCCCCCAACTCTCTTCCCCTTGAAGAAGTGCCCCTTGGGAGAGGAGGCATCAGCTTCGTAAATGCCCCCTTAACCAGCTCAGAAGTACAAAATCTAAAAAAAAAGAAAAACTCAAGCCCTTGTTAGATGACCCTTATGGGGTAGCAGATCAAATCATTTTTTAGGACCCCAGTTGTATGGGCCGAGCTTATGTCCATTTTAGGCATTCCCTTCTTGGGAGAAGAACCATGATCCATAGGGCTGCTTTGGTAGTCTGGGAACATTAACACCCTACCGGTCAAAATGTTCCATCAGTATCCCGAACTGAGAGTATTTCCCAAGCATTCAACATACAAGGGATGGATGAAGGACCCATGAATTCCTAAATAGGCTTAAAGAACAGATGAGAAAATATGCAGGTTTAGAAATGGAAGACCCACTGGGGCAAGGGATGCTAAAGCTTCATTTTGTTACTAAGACTTGGCCAAACACCTCTAAAAACAACTACAAAAGATAGAGAATTGGAAAGATTGTCCCAGAGACTAACTTCTTAGAGAAGCATATAAGTAGGGACAAAGAGCAGCAGAAACAAAAGGCAAAAATCATGCTGTCTACCTTACAACAGAGAACTCTGCAGTAGGAGACACAAGGAAGTAAAACTTACAAACCCTCTAGGCCACCAGCGACCAAACTGTATACAAGGAGTAAGGGAATAAAACCTGGAAGTCACAGTGCAGGACAGGGAAGAGGGGAAAACAAATGTTTCAAATGTGGAAGAGTAGGTCACTTCAAAAGAGAATGCCCCAAATGGGAAAAAGAAAAAATATTCCACTTATGGCCTTCCAGGAAAATAGGGAGGTCAGGGGCTGTCTCTTTTACCTTGAGTCCCACCAAGAGCCCCTGATAAATTTAGAGGTGGGACCCAAATGTGAACTTAAAACCTTCTTACAGATTCAGCAGCAGCTCGCTCCCGTTCCCTCCCATCTGGTATCTATCACCTGTTCTTCAGAAGAACTTTCTATCTCAGGGATAAAAGATTTAAAGCAAAAATCTTAAAAGACAGAGGTCTATACAAAAATTGATCAGCCCATGTTAAATTCCTGTTAATCCCTGAGGCAGGAACGAACTTATTAGGAAGAGACTTACCACCGCAGAAGAAAAATACATTCATCCTCATGTATGGGCAGGAAAAAGAAATCAGGGAGGCTGGGCTTGCTGGCTCACACTTGAAATACCAGCACTTTGGGAGGCCAAGGTGGGTGGATCACGAGGTCAGGAGTTTGAGACCAGCCTGGCCAACATGGTGAAACCCCATCTCTACTAAAAATACAAAAATTAGCTGGGTGCAGTGGCAGGCGCCTGTAATCCCAGCTACTCAGGAGGCCGAGGCAGGAGAATTGTTTGAACCCAGGAGGCAAAGGTTGCAGTGGCTTAAGATCACACCATTGCACTCCAGCTTGGGTGACAGAGACTCCAACTCAAAAAAAAAAAAGAAAGAAAAAAAGAAACTTCAAGTCACTCCAATCCATACAAAGTTAAAGACCCCAGGGGAAATAGTAAGAAAAAGGTAATATCCCATTCCCCTAGAGGGCAGAATAGAATTAAAGCCTGTAGTTGAAGTTCTCATTCAGGACTGATTCCCTGAACCCTGTATGTCCCCCTATTAACACCCCAGTATTACCTGTAAAGAAATCAGACAGGTCTCATCAACTAGTACAAGATCTCCAGGCTATCAACCAAATAGTCCAGACTACCCACCCTGTTGTCCCCAATCCTTTTACCATCCTCAGCAGAATTCCATGACAATCAATGGTTCAGAGTAACAGATTTAAAAGATGCCTTCTGGGCATGTCCCTTGGCTGAAGACAAGAGAAGTATTTGCTTTTGAGTGGGAAAACCCTCATTCTGGATGGAAGCAGCAGTACCAATGGAGAGTCCTACCCCAAGGGTTTACAGATTCACCTAATTCAGTCAGGACTGCCTCTCAGAAAGATACTGGCCTATCTCTCTGTTATGTGGACTGCCTTATTTACACTCTTACTACTGACATTCCTACCTTTGAAACAAAGGATCAAATTATATACTTGGCTTTCCACTTTCTCTTACCTCAGAACTAAAGGTATTTTAGCACAGATGCCACCCTTACAGTTCCTGGTACATCAATACCAGCCTGGAGATCACATCCTTATCAAAAGCTGGAAGGAGCCAGCTTGGGAAGGACCATACCTAGCACTCCTAACTGAAACAGCAGCCCGAACAGCCGAAAAGGGGTGGACCCATCATACCCCAGTCAAAACAGCATCACCATCTTCAGAGTCATGGGCTATTGTTCCAGGGCCAATTTCTACCAACCTAAAGCTACGAAAACTTTAACCCTCTTATACTGCCTTGTCTTCTTTCCTCTCTCTACCGTCAGCTATTTTATCATTAATGTAACTAGATCAAGCTCACCTCAATCACATTTGATGCCTGTCTTGTCATATCCTGTGGGGATCTCCAAAACCAGAGGCAACTGGCCTTCTCAGAAAAATATCTCTGCCCTTCCAAGATAAATTCTAAATCCTCACACAATGCTTGCCTAATCGAAACTAAATCCATTACATTCTTTGCAGTTTGGGAATGGGAAGGGTTTGAGGAGAGGTTCTGCCCATCCCGGAATGACGTCCTATGGAATACCGATCCTCAAGGGTAGACTTCCCCAAAAAGCTGCATCTCTCTACAACCCTACCTTCGTTTCAAAGGGAAGGCCCCCTCTAATTGCCAATATCACCAATGTAACCCAGTGCAAATTTCTATTCTTACCTCTACCTCCACCAATCCTAATCCCACTTTAAGTAGCTTCTACAGCATGGGAGCCGCAACATTAGGGATAGACCCTACAGGATCTTTCGAAATGCGCTTCATTGTTCCCCCACCCCCTTCATCCCCTTCTAAACAAACACCCAATGACAAAACCAAAGTGACCATTGTAGAGGTTAAAGATCTAAAGCAAACTCTACCAATTGAAACGGTACCGAGATGCAAATGCATGGCTGGAATGGATTAAACATTCTGTCCGCTCGCTAAACAAAGCGATTGTTATGCTTACGCACGTGGTAAGCCAGAGCCCCAGATTGTTCCCTTTCCACTCGGATCGTCCTCCAGCCGATCAGGCATTAAGTTGTATGGCAGCTCTCTTCCAAGACCCCACAACCTGGGGCAATAAGCTATGCCAAACTCTCTCGCTGCTGTTTCCTGAAGTCCCCTGAAGTCCGACACCCTGCGGGTCAGCCCCCGAGGGCCATCAAGCATCCGTCTTCCAATGCCAATTTTACCTCGTGTCTCTCACAGGGGGAGAACTTGAATTTGCTTGGAGACCTAACGAGATGCAGTGAGCTTAAGCCCTTCCAGGAGCTTACCAATCAGTCGTCCCTTATTCATCCCCAAGCAAACGTATGGTGGTGTTGTGGTGGACCATTACTGAATACTCTGCCAAGTTACTTGGCGTGGCACTTGAGCTCTAATCCAATTGGCTATCTCCCTTTCACCCTGGTATTTCATCCAGAAAACATACATAAAAACAGAACATCATAAAACAATGGATGTCCCTCGTGACTCTCATGTTTATATAGATGCCATTGGAATCCCACGAGGAGTGCCAGATAGATTTAAGGCCCAAAATCAAATAGCTGCAAGTTTGAATCCATGTTGTTCTGGTGGTCAACTCTAAATAAAAATGTAGATTGGGCCGGGAGTGGTGGCACACGCCTGTAATCCCAGCATGTTAGGAGGCTGAGGCGGGTGGATCACAAGATCAGGAGTTTGAGACCAGCCTGACCAACATGGTGACAGCCCCCAGCTACTCAGGAGGCTGAAGGAGAGTAGGTTGAACCCAGGAGGTGGAAGTTGCAGTGAACCATTGCACCATTGCACTCCAGCCTGGGCGACAGAGTGAGACTCCATCTCAAAAAAAACACAAAAAATGTAACCCAGCAACGATTCATTAATTATACTAGGGATGCTATTAAGGGAACAGTTTAACAATTAGGGCCCACCAGTCAAACGGCCTGAGAAAATACAATAGCATTAGACATGATACTAGCGGAGAAAGGTGTAGTTTGTGTCATGATTGGAACCCAGTGTTGTACTTTCATCCCTAATAATACTGCTCCCGATGGAACCATAACAAAGGCCCAAGGACTTACTGCTTTATCCAATGAGCTAGCTAGAAATTCTGGAATAAATGACCCCTTCACGATTTTAATGGAAAAATAGTTCCGCAAATGGAAAGGACTTACGTCCTCAATCTCCTGCCATCAGAATAGGTTTGCTCATTCTTGTAGGATGCTGTATCATACCCTGTATCTGAGGATTAATACAAAAGCTTATTTTAACAGCTCTCACCCACCAAAATCTTCCTCAATCCTCCCTCGCATCATTCAGTTAAGCTTCTAATTTCAGAGGACCAAGAGGAACAAAATCAAGACACGCTAAAACAAGTCTGAAGAGAAATAATTATAAAAATCAAAAGGGGGAAATCGTTAGATACAATGGATTTCTCTTCAAAGTTTTAACTTCCTTGTTCTTTGTTCTTAAGGTCAACTTCCTCATACCTTCCTGCTCCGAGTTACCCGTTCTATAAACAACTTCTCCGGCCAATCTCAACCTGTAACCTGTTCCCTATTTGGAAAAGTCCCCCTCACTCCTAGCAACCAGCTCTGTAAACAAGTTTCCTGCCCTTCCCACAGCTGTAACCCACATGCCTCCTGTTTAAAATAGCCAATCAGGACTAGTTTAGATTGCGCTGTCGACTCCAGCCAATGGGGATAGGACACAGAAGCAGGGACTACTTGTTAGGAATAAAAACCCTTTCTCTCTTTTGTTAGGTGTGCTCTTGCCAGGAATGCCAGCAGCAGCACCCTACGGCAGAAGTAAATTTGCCTTGCTGAGAAATCTTTTGTTCAAGTGCTCGTTTTCTTTGGAACTCCAAGCTCTTATTTCCAACAAAGACCTAGTAATACCAACAGGCCAATGTCAGTCCTAATGACTTATTCTCCCAGTTTTATACCCAACTTGGAAATGGGTCCTGAGGTTAGGCCCAGTTGGACAAATTTTGCGGTGGGGTTTGGCAGATAGAAAGCAGAAACCTCACCTGTTACAAGGCAGACTGAATCAAGCCAAGATCAACACACACTGGTACACGTGGCTCCCAACCTATAGAAAGTTAACAGGTCAAAAGAAGCCATCTGAATGCTGGAAAAAATAGAGAAAGCCCAGTTCCCATGAACAAGCAATAGTCTCTGATAAAGATAAGCAGAAAACAAAGATAGGAGTTATTACTGGGGCCAATGCATCAGACAAAACTGGCCAATAGTGTAGAGATCAACAGGGTCGATCTGATGGGGAAAGAAGCTGTATCATCAGCTGCAAAGGCCACATTTGAGTCGTACAAGAAGTAGGGTGACAAACCCACACTGAAAAGCAGCTACTACCCCCTCCAGAGCCTGTGTCTACTCAGCCAGGGAAGACGTGTTGGCACCACTTACCAATTTTATATGTATATATATATTCTACTTCCAACACCCGCATTCATCCTGGTTCAATCAAAGCCTGGTTTTGGCCAACAATAAACCTGAAATGAAAAAACAGAAAAATGAGCTCCCATCAGCTAGATGCCCAGGGGAGCTGGGACAAAGGAGCTGCTCAAGCTGGCATATCAGACAGAAACTGGCTTAGAAAAGTTAGATCAACATAGTCGATCTGTCGGGGAAAAAAGCTAAGTCATCATATATGCCAGCAGGAAGTTCTTGAGTGAGGAGTAAGATTTGAAAGCCATGAGGAGTAAGATTTGGTTGGTATGCTTCATATTTGCAAATTTGCATTCGGTGTTTGAGCACTTCTGTGTTGTATCCTGTAGCTGGCAATAACTTGGTAGCCAAACCAAACACCCCTGTCTTCAGTGCTTACACTCTGAGTACAGGCCCATGATAGAAGCCAGTGTGGCTGGAAGAGTTGAGGAAGTAGTTGGCATTTACTGAGTTGGGAAGTGAACAAGTACCAAGAGATTGCATTTTAACACAAGTTACCACAAGTTACCTGACAAAAGAACAATCTGGAACAATAAGCTTCACATGTGTTCCCATGAAGCCCAGACTTTGTAAACGCCTCACTCCTGGACTCTAGCAAAAATATTAGTTATGTAGTCGGGCACTGGTTTGAGTGGCTAGTTCAACAGAAAAACACATTTGGCTTTCCAAAATATGTCAATAAATCATCCCTCCACTTGGAAATTTAAGCGCCCCAACACACAGGAAGAATGGAATCCAAAAATATGTTTAAGTGGCATTAAAATGTTAAACGCCTCTTCACTAACAAGGTTCTTTCACTTCAGGCATTTCTCTTAAACCTGTTTCTTCACCAGAAACCTAGTTCCAATATTTGAACTGTGAGAATAAAACATTCAGAACATGTTTTTCTTTTTTTTTTTTTTTTGAGACGGAGTCTGGCTCTGTTGCCCCGACTGTAGGGCAGTGGCGCAATCTCAACTCACTACAACCTCCGCCGCCCGGGTTCGGGCAATTCTCCTGCCTCAGCCTTGTGAGTTGCTGGGATTACAGGCGCGTACCACCACGCCCAGCTAATTTCTGTATTTTTAATAGAGTCAGGGTTTCACCATGTTGGCCAGGCTGGTCTCCAAATCTTGACCTCAGGTGACCCATCTGCCTTGGCCTCCCCAAGTGCTGGGGTTACAGGCGTCAGCCACAGCGCCCGGCCGTCAGAACACTTTTTTAAATACCTAATAAATGCTCGATAGAAAGTGCTTTGTTAAATCCCACGTTTTCCTAGAAAACTAAAGCTTCTCAAAGCACGTGTTTTCTACAGTAGACCCATAGGAGACAAAGACTTACTCGTCAGGAGATCGAAGGTTGTAGATGTCTGCACGTGGCTTCCTTGGAGGTCCAGTGGTGACTCCCTCTTCCAAAATCCATTCTGTACCCGCTGGCTGCTCTAACCTGTGAACCAACAAATAAAGGGCGTTAACCGCCATCTTCCCACGGTCAGAAACGAACAAGGCCGGGCCTTTTGAGGCCGATGTATCAGAACTAACTGGCAAAATATAAGACGTCAGCATTGTCGATCTGATGGGGAAAAAAGTGAAGTCATCATTTACACCAGCCAAGGGCTTCTCAGGCCCGTGCAGAAGGCAGTGGCTTTTCCAGCTCCAGAAACTCATTTCTCCCACGCCCTTAAGGCCTATTTGGGGTCAGAGACGGAGAAGCCACGAGAAGGAGATTAGGGCTGGCCGCAGAGACGACGGCACAAAGAAGGGAAGGGAGGACCAGAGGTCTCCAACGAAGAACATGGAGTTTCCACTCACCACACACAAAACGGGAACTTACGGGCAGGACAATAGCGTATGAAGCCTGACTGCAACTAGGAGAAGTACCACACTCCGGGCACCGCAGACGCGAAAGAACGAATGGCTTCCTGAACCTCCCTTATATAACCAAAGATGGCTTTCGCACCTGCGCACTGGACCCGAAACGCTCTCTTTCCCGCCCGCTCCGCGCGCGTCGCTCTGGGAAATGTAGTCTCGAGCAGCACAGCCCGAGGCGCTCTAGTAGTTGTCCAGGCCGCGTCTAGCCCCGCCCCCTTCCCTCTACACGCCGGGCCACCCGGGCTTGTCCGCTTCCTCGCCATGTCGCGCTTCACACGCACCAAACCGCTCGACGGGTTCCCCTTCCTCTGGGGCCGGCTGAGGCCCGCAAAGGCCTTGGGCGCAGTCATCTCCCGCCCCCCGCGGTCCGCTCCCCTCAGCCGCGCCCGCCTGAGCCCGCCGGCTCCGCCGCCGGGGGGAGCTGAGGTGACGCCCTCCTCGAGGGCGGAGGCGCCGGCCGTGCCTGGGCCAGGCCCTCGTGCTCTCCACCCTGGGCCCCCGCCTCCTCCTTCTCCTCCTCTGGGCCGCCCGCCCGGCTCCGCCCAGGGTCTGCGGGGAACGGAAACCGAAAGTGCGCGGCGCCGGGCGGGGCCACCGACCTGCCTGGGCCGAAGCCCCAGCACTCGCCGGCGGCAGTGAAAGGACGCGCCGGAGCCGGGTGAGTGGCCCCGCAACTGCCCCTGCCCCTGATTCTTCCTTGCCTCGCCGCGAACCCCGGCGCCCGCGCCGACCCGCCACTGCCTCTGCCCGTAAGACCTGTCACCCTCTCAAGCCCCCAACGCACCCGTCACCCGCTCAGAGCCCCTGGCCCCTCAGCGCCCCGTCGCCCCCTCAATCCCCAGACCCCCATCACCCACTCAGAGCCTTGTCACCTCTTTGGCCCCCAGCGGCATCAGCACCCACTCAGAGCGCCTCTCAGCGCCCCGTCTCCCCCTCAGACCCCAGACCTCCATCGCCTACTCAGCGCCCCGTCACCCACTCAGCCCCTGGCCCATCTCAGCGCCCCGTCGCCCCTTCGGCTCCCCTGTACTCTCTTTAGTGTCCCCATCCCCTCAGCTGGCCCGTCGCTCTCCCCAGCACCCCCGACACCGTCACCGCTTCTGCCCTCAGCACTTCGATCTCCTCTGCCCCTACCCCTGTCTGTGCCCTCCCTTCTGCCACTCGCACCCCCCTCATTCCTCCGGCCTCACCTCCTGTCACCTTATCAATCCCCCTCTTCTACAGAGCACCTCGGCACCCCCTTCAGCCTGCTCCCTGCCCCCACCCCGCCGCCTCCGTCCTCAGCAAGCACCCCCTGGTGCTCGCTACCACCCTCTCCCCAAGGCCCCCATAACCCCGCCACCTCACAGCCTTGGCGCTCCCTGACCCCATAACATTTCCATTAGGGACCGTGGGCTCCCTGGGTCAGGGATTCCCCAGGACCCTGGAGACTTCCCCCAAACCCAGCTCTGCCTCCGACCTCAGCCTCCTGCGTCCCACTCTGGTGATGACTAGCCCCTCTCATTCTGACTCCAGGCCAGCTTGATCATCACTGATTTTCTTCTTCGTGCCCTTTAGGCCTTGATTCCCCCCACCAAAAAAAAACACTTCAGTCTGTTTTCGATCCCAGCATTTCCTGTTCATGTCTACTCCTCCCTTCCTTCCCTTGCCTTTTTTTTAACATCTTTTTTTCTTTTCTTCCGTTTCTTTTAAATTTTCTGGAGTTTCTATTTTAGCATTTTTCAACAAGGGGAAGAAGGAATTTTCCCCTCGGAGAATTGAAAATAAACAAACAAACTCTAAATACTGAGCCTGCGCCAGGAGGGCTGGGTTTGATAAGATGAGGGAGGGGACTCACCAGAGATATTCCCAGGGGGAAGAAAAGAGACTCCTTTTTCAGATGAGGAAAAAAGCTGCCCCTCATATAATGCCAAATGTAGTCACAGTTTCCAATTATGAATATTTTAGAACTCAGTGAAGACAGTCTCAAAAATCCCTTTGCTGAGGACTCTGAGTCACCCACTCTTTCCTTAGCCCCAGCCCACACCATGTGTATGAGTTGGGTTGAGAAGCTCCCTTAAAGGGGCTTCCTCTTCCTCTTACAGGACCAGTGTCAAAAATCACCAAGGTAGAAGAATGAGGAGGAAGAAAGAATATCAGATTTCTAGCTGGTCCTGAGGAAACAGCACCTCGTAGTTGCCAAACCTCCTGGTTATTGAAACATGTAATTTCTTTCTCTTGATTCAGTAGAGCAGAGAGCTTAATCATTTGGCTCCATTCCAAAGAGTAGGCTAAGGGGATAACTGCTCACTAATTATTTATAAACTGTAGGGTACTGCAAGCTATTGGGTACTATATAAGTGGCAGATATGTAAATGCCAGATAAGGTGGTGAGCACATGGTTTTGGATTAACAAAAATGTACTCCTTTTTGTCCTGGCAACAATATTGTCTGCTTCTTAGGAAAGGAAAATGAAACCTAGCAACTGATTAAGTAACTTGGCTAAAGGCATAAACCAAACAGCAGTTTTGAATGGGAATTGATGACATTCCCTCTACCCCAAGAAAGTGCCAGGGTAAAAGAAAGGGGAATTCTATCTCTTGAAATCAGCTAAATTGTGAATTTAATATTTTATATCATAATTGGGCATTTGCAGAGTCGAGCACTTGTGCTCTAGATTAAAATCTGTATTTAACCCTTAGTTAACAAATCATTAAAATGTTAACAAAGGCAGAAGGACTGGCTTGATGGTGTTTGGGTTTTTGCTGCTAGATGCTATGTTTCGAGGACACTGATAACTCAACATGTGCAGTTTTCCAGATAACAGAAAGTAACGTGAAGGAATTCAGGTGACTCAGACATGGAGGAGAGAAGACCTCATCTGGATGCCAGGCCCAGGAATTCCCATACCAACCACAGAGGTAAGCAAGGTTTCCTACCTAATGAGAAGGAAATTCTAGTAATAAAAGAAGGAAATAGGGCTCTCTATAAATGAGCAGGCCTACCTAAGATTGTCTGCATCTCTCAAGTAAAGAATGACTATGGCTGGATGCAGTGGCTCAAGCCTATAATCCTAGCATTTTGGGAGCCTGAGGCGGGAGGATTGTTTACGCCCAGGGGATTGAGACCAGCCTGGGCAACATGGCAATAGGCTTTCTCTACAAAAAAATATATAAATTAGCCGGGCTTGGTGCTGCGTGCCTGTAGTCCCAGCTACTTAGGCTACTTGGGAGGCTGAAGTGGGAGGATCCCTTGAACCTCAGGAAGGGGTGGGTGTAGAAGGCAGAGGTTGCTCTGGACTGTGATCTGGCCTCTGCACTCCAGCCTGGGTGACAGAAAGACCTTGTCTCAAAAAAAAAAAGAATGAGTTATTTCTTAATTACTTCATGAATTACTCTGAAAAACAGCCAACCCTCCACTTTTCCTAAGAGAGCTGATGAATGGGTGCAGTTCACTTTAACAAAAACAGTGATAGAGTTTCAGAAAGGGAAATGACGTTTGGTGTAGAGCAGCATCCAATAGAAACAATGTAAGCCAAGAGCATAAGTTTTTATTTTTTATTTTATTTTTTTTTTTTGAGACAGAGTCTCGCTCTTTCGCCCAGGCTGGAGTGCAGTGGCGCGATCTCTGCTCACTGCAAGCTCCGCCTCCCGGGTTCACGCCATTCTCCTGCCTCAGCCTCCCAAGTAGCTGGGATTACAGGTGCCCACCACCACGCCCGGCTAATTTTTTTGTATTTTCAGTAGAGACGGGGTTTCACCGTGTTAGCCAGGATGGTCTTGATCTCCTGACCTCGTGATCCGCCTGCCTCGGCCTCCCAAAGTGCTGGGATTACAGGCGTGAGCCACCACGCCCGGCCTAGTTTTTATTTTCTAGAAACATCATTTTAAAACGTAAGAAGAAACAGATGAAATTTATTTATGTATTTATTTATTTATTTTGAGACGGAGTCTCGCTCTGTTGCCCAGGCTGGAGTGCAGTGGTGCGATCTCGGTTCACTGCAACCTCCACCTCCCAGGTTCAAGCGATTCTCCTGCCTCAGCCTCCCAAGTAGCTGGGATTACAGGTGCCTGCCACCATGCCCAGCTAATTTTCGTGTTTTTAGTAGAGACAGGGTTTCACTATGTTGGACCAGAATGGTCTCAAACTCCTAACCTCAGGTGATCCACCCACCTTGGCCTCCCAAAGTGCTAGCATTACAGGCGTGAGCCACTGTGCCTGGCCTTGAAATTTATTTTTTCAATTTGATGACAATTTAATAAAATTTAGGAATTTAATAATGTCTTATTTAACCCAGTATAACCAAAATGTTATTTGATTATAATAATTGACTATAGTTTATTATCATACTTTAATAATTCACATATATTTATTTCCCTCAAATACTCATTTTAAGATATTATCAACATAAAAATTTTTAATGTAATGCTTAACAGTCTTTGGTACTAGCTTTCAAAATCTCGTGTGTTTTACACGTCTTAATTCAAAGTAGTTACATTTCACAAACATAGCAGCCACATGTGGCTAATGGCTTTGTATTGGATAGTGCAGATCGTGAATCCTAGTCACCAAAGCTAAATTAGTTCCAAGACCATCACTCTACTAAAGGAATTATTCTGCTTGCTCAGCACTTTCTAAAACTAAACAACCAAATGGATTCCTGCTTTTCCATAAGTTTGAAATGTGTCTTCCAAAGAGTTTTAGCTGTGGAACAAATGAGGAAGAACTATGGGCTCTTGTGAGCTATGTGAATGGTTTGTTTTTTGTTTTGAGACAGGGTCTTGCTCTGTTGCCCAGGCTGGAGTGCCATGGCATGATCTTGGCTTACTGCAGCCCCGACCTCCCGGGCTCAAGCAATCATCCCACCTCAGCCTCCCAAGTAGCTGGGACCACAAGCGTGCACCATCACGTGTGGCTCATTTTTGTATTTTTAGTAGAGACAGGGTTTCTCCATGTTGCCCAGGCTGGTCTGAAACTCCTGAGCTCAAGCGATCTGCCTGCCTTAGCCTCCCAAAGTGCTGGGATTACAGGCATGAGCCACCACACCTGGCCATGAATGTTGAAAGAATAAGAAATGATACGATTTTCCATTCTTCCAAGACATAGAGTCTTCTAATCAGATAAAAATATTAAAAGTAGTACTTTCTTCTGATTTTGGAGGTAGTTTGAAAAGTAAATATGTAAGTAACAATTATAAAAATTTAGAGTTCAGTTGTAGATCATTTATATTTTACCAAATATTCCTTTATGTTGTCACATTAAAGTCTCGGCTGGGCACGGTGGCTGACACCTGTAATCCCAGCACTTTGGGAGGCCGAGGCAGGCGGATCACGAGGTCAGGAGATTGAGACCATCGAGGCTAACATGGTGAAACCCCATCTCTACTAAAAACACAAAAAAGTAGCCAGGTGTGTCAGCAGGTACCTGTAGTCCCAGCTACTCAGGAGGCTGAGTCAGGAGAATTGCTTGAACCCGGGAGGCGGAGGTTGCAGTGAGCCAAGATCATGCCACTGGACTCCAGCCTGGGCGACAGAGCCAGACTCCCTCTCAAAAAATAAAAAATAAAAAATAAAATTCTCTACAAAATGCAAAACAAGGAAGAGTGTGCATAAATCAATTTAGTATCTGATGTCAGGAAATGGTATAATCATCTCAAATATAACATGCATTTGAAGCTTTTACAACTTTTTTATCAAATCATTGTATACAGTCGTATTTTATTTGTTTTTAAAATCTTCATGTCATTCTGCTAAGTTAGGTCAGCCCCAGAATCAGTTTTAGCAAAAAGGAAAGTGAAAAAAACTGGACTTTGGGTATGTTAGGCTTCCTGTATAAGGGTTGGTAATTGGTAAGTACTATGAGGGTGAAGTTCATGCTACAGAAAGGAGGAAAACTTGAGTTTCATTTTTCAGTTTCTTTCATAGTCTGTTAGCTCAAAAACATCTTGGTAAGGAAACCCCACCTTTCTCTTTCCCATTCAAACTGCATTTGCTGATGCTGGACAGCATTCAGGTAGTACTTCCCTTTGTAATATTATTTCACTTGATGTCTCTGTTGGCTGTGATAATTGTTTAGTGGTAGAACCAGTGGCCCCCTTAGAATCAATAGGATATTCCCAATTATTGCTACTAGTAATAACTAACATTTATTGAGAGTTTTTAATGTGTCCAGTACTATACTAAGCACTTTATAAACATTTAATCTTTATAAAATCCCCACCAGGCACGGTGGCTTACGCCTGTAATCCCAGCACTTCCAGCACTTTGGGAGGCTGAGGCGGGTGGATCACAATGTCAGGAGTTCAAGACCAGCCTGGCCAAGATGGTGAAACCCCATCTCTACTAAAAATATAAAAATTAGCCAGGCGCGGTGGCAGGTGTGTGTAATCCCAGCTGCTCGGGAGCCGAGGCAGGAGAATCACTTGAACCTAGGAGGCAGAGGTTGCAGTGAGCTGAGATCGCACCACTGCACTCCAGCCTGGGAGACAGAGCAAGATTCCATCTCAAAAAAAAAAAAAAAGCAGAAACTGAGACTTAGAGAAATTATACAACTTGGCCAAGGTTATATAGTAAGGCAGTGGCCAGGCCAATGTTTGAACCAAGTCAGTTTGGCCTTTAAACTCATGTTCTGACTGTTATTTGGTACTGGCATGAGATTAGAAGCAATGAGACATACTGTATGTATTTATTCTCTAACACACATCAGGTACTCAATAACTGTTTATTCCTTTTCCCTTTTGCGTCCTTTGTAAAAATAATATTTTCCTAACCTCTACAGCAACAGTAATTATCTTTCATTTATCATATGACTTGGTAGAAACCGTTTTTCTTACCGTATAAAACCTGAGCTCTTTAGTTATTTTGGAAAATGAAAGCACGTTCATTGTCGTTCTGTTGGGTTTCCAACAGAACTTGGTTCTTGTGGTTACTCAATATTTCATTGTGTTTAGGCCCTGTGGATGGAGAGTTACCACCAAGAGCTAGAAATCAGGCCAATAACCCACCAGCCAATGCTCTCCGAGGAGGAGCCAGCCACCCTGGAAGGCATCCTAGGGCCAACAACCATCCTGCTGCTTACTGGCAGAGGGAAGAGAGATTTAGGGCCATGGGCAGGAACCCACATCAAGGAAGGAGGAACCAGGAGGGGCATGCCAGCGACGAAGCTAGAGACCAAAGACATGACCAGGAGAATGACACCAGGTGGAGAAATGGCAACCAGGACTGTAGGAACCGCAGACCACCATGGTCCAATGACAACTTCCAGCAGTGGCGGACTCCCCACCAGAAGCCTACAGAACAGCCACAGCAGGCGAAGAAACTGGGCTACAAGTTCTTAGAAAGTCTTCTGCAGAAAGACCCTTCTGAGGTGGTCATCACACTTGCCACAAGTTTAGGGCTGAAAGAGCTCCTTTCTCATTCTTCCATGAAATCTAACTTCCTTGAGCTCATCTGTCAGGTTCTTCGGAAGGCTTGTAGCTCCAAAATGGATCGCCAGAGTGTTCTCCATGTACTGGGCATATTGAAAAACTCCAAATTTCTCAAAGTCTGCCTGCCTGCTTATGTGGTAGGGATGATCACTGAACCCATCCCTGACATCCGAAACCAGTATCCAGAGCACATAAGCAACATCATCTCCCTCCTCCAGGACCTTGTAAGTGTCTTCCCTGCCAGCTCTGTGCAGGAAACTTCCATGCTGGTTTCCCTCCTGCCAACCTCTCTTAATGCTCTGAGAGCCTCTGGTGTTGACATAGAAGAGGAAACGGAGAAGAACCTGGAAAAGGTACAGACTATCATTGAACATCTGCAGGAAAAGAGGCGAGAGGGCACTTTGAGAGTGGATACCTACACTCTAGTGCAGCCTGAGGCAGAAGACCATGTTGAGAGCTACCGAACCATGCCCATTTACCCTACCTACAATGAAGTGCACTTGGATGAGAGGCCCTTCCTTCGCCCCAATATCATTTCTGGAAAATACGACAGCACTGCTATCTATCTGGATACCCACTTCCGGCTCCTGCGAGAAGATTTCGTCAGACCTTTACGGGAAGGTATTTTGGAACTTCTCCAAAGCTTTGAAGACCAGGGCCTGAGGAAGAGAAAGTTTGATGACATCCGAATCTACTTTGACACCAGGATTATCACCCCCATGTGTTCATCATCAGGCATAGTCTACAAGGTGCAGTTTGACACAAAACCACTGAAGTTTGTTCGCTGGCAGAATTCCAAACGATTGCTCTATGGGTCTTTGGTATGCATGTCCAAGGACAACTTCGAGACATTTCTTTTTGCCACCGTATCTAACAGGGAGCAGGAAGATCTCTGCCGAGGAATTGTCCAGCTCTGCTTCAATGAGCAAAGCCAACAGCTGCTAGCAGAGGTCCAGCCCTCTGACTCTTTCCTCATGGTAGAGACAACTGCATACTTTGAGGCCTACAGGCACGTCCTGGAAGGACTCCAGGAGGTCCAGGAGGAAGATGTTCCCTTCCAGAGGAATATCGTGGAGTGTAACTCTCATGTGAAGGAGCCAAGGTACTTGCTAATGGGGGGCAGATACGACTTTACCCCCTTAATAGAGAATCCTTCAGCCACTGGGGAATTTCTAAGAAATGTCGAGGGTTTGAGACATCCCAGAATTAATGTCTTAGATCCTGGCCAGTGGCCCTCAAAAGAAGCCCTGAAGCTGGATGACTCCCAGATGGAAGCCTTGCAGTTTGCTCTCACAAGGGAACTGGCTATTATTCAAGGACCTCCTGGAACAGGTAAGACAAAATTTTTTAGAGTACATAAGATCTGCTTTGTAAGATAAGCAAGGGACGGAGCCTTCACTCTAGGTTTCTAGAATGTCTTCTTATTTACTTATTTTATTTTCCAACTTTTATTTTAGGTTTAGGGGTACATGTGCAGGTTTGTTACATGTGTAAATTGCCATGTTGCAGAGGTTTGGTGTACAGATTATTTTGTCATCCAGGTAATGAGCATAGTACCTGATAGGTAGTTTTTTGTTGTCGTCATTGTTTTTGGAGACAGAGTCTTACTCTGTCACCCAGGCTGGAGTGCAGTGGCACGATTCCGGCTCACTGCGACCTCTGCCTCCTGGGTTCAAGCAATTCTCCTGCCTCAGCCTCCCAAGTAGCTGGGATTATAGGCATGCACCACCACGCCCAGCTAATTTTGTATTTTTAGTAGAGACAGGGTTTCACCATGTTAGACAGGCTGATCTCGAACTCCCGACCTCAGGTGATCCACCTGCCTTGGCCTCCCAAAGTGCTGGGATTACAGGTGTGAGCCGCTGCACTCAGCCCTTGATAGGTAGTTTTTAGATCCTCACCCTCCTCCCACTCTATCCTGAAGTAGGCCCTGGTGTCTGTTCCCTTCTTTGTGTCCATGTGTATTCAATGTTTAGCTCCCACTTATGAGTGAGAACATGTGGTATTTAATTTTCTGTTCCTGCATTAATTTGCTTTGGAGAATGGCCTCCAACTCCATCCACTTTGCTGCAAAGGACATGATTTTCTTCTTTTTCATAGCTGCATAGTATTCCGTGGTGTATATATGCCACATTTTCTTTATTCAGTCCACCATTGTTGGGCATCTAGGTTGAGTCCATATCTTTGCTATTGTGAATAGTGCTACAATGAACATGCATATGCATGTGTCTTTATGGGAGAATGATTTATATTCCTTCCCATTATATACCCAATAATGGGACTGCTAGGTC
Source organism: Homo sapiens (assembly GCF_000001405.40). Taxonomy (NCBI): domain Eukaryota; kingdom Metazoa; phylum Chordata; class Mammalia; order Primates; family Hominidae; genus Homo; species Homo sapiens. The sequence continues at coordinate 49,268,982 of NC_000020.11, read as the reverse complement.
AAATGGCATTTCTGTTTTAAGCTGTTTGAGAAATCTCCAAACTACTTTCCACAGTGGCTGAACTAATGTACATTCCCACCAGCAGTGTATAAACTTTCCCTTTGCTCTGCAACCTCACTAGCATCTGTTATTTTTTGACTTTTTTTTGACTGTTTATTAATAGCCATTCTGACTAGTGTGAGATGGAATCTCATTGTGGTTTTGATTTGCATTTCTCTAATGATTAGTGATGTTGATGTTGAGCATTTTTTTCCTCTGCTTGTTGGCCATGTGTATGTCTTCTTTTGAGAAGTGTCTGTTCATGTCCTTTGCTCATTTTTTAATGGGGTTGTTTAATTGCAGATATTAGACCTTAGATGGATCCAGAGTTTGCAAATATTTTGTCTCATTTTGTAGGTTGTCTGTTTATTCTGTTGATAGTTTCTTTTGCTGTACAGAAGCTCTTTAGTTTAATTAGGTACCACTTGTCAATTTTTGGTTTTGTTGCAATAGAATGTTTAGTTAATAACATTCCTCCCGAAATGGGCATAAAATTTGTTTATAAAGTAGCTGCTCATAGGGATTTTCCAATAGGAACCCATTGTCATGCATAGTAATAGATACAAGATTGCTAGAGGTCAAATGTAGTGAGATGTGTGATTTCTGCTTTATATAATTGGTTCAATTTTATATTATTTTAAATTAAATAGTATCAAATATATAATAGCACTATGTGTGAAGCAACATTTTACTTACTTTACATACCTTAACTAATTGCATCCTCACAACCTTGTGAAATAGAAGCCATTACTAAAACCATTATACAGTTGGTCAGGCACGGTGGCTCACACCTGTAATCCCAGCACTTTGGGAGGCTGAGGCGGGTGGATCACAAGGTCAGGAGATCAAGACCATCCTGGCTAACACGACGAAACCCTGTCTCTACTAAAAAATATAAAAAAATTAGCCGGGCATGGTGGCAGGCGCCTGTAGTCCCAGCTACTCGGGAGGCTGAGGCAGGAGAATGGCGTGAACCCAGGAGGCGGAGCTTGCAGTGAGCTGAGATCGCTCCACTGCACTCTAGCCTGGGCAACAGAGCAAGACTCCACCTCAAAAAAAAAAACAAAACTGTTATACGGATGAAGAAAGCTAAGGCAAAGAAGGGTTAAATAACCTCTTAAGAGGTGGGAAGTATGTACTGAAGCTCACACAAATGTTAAGTGACAAGTTTAGGAATTGAATTCAGGCAGTCTAGCTGTAGAATCCTGGCTCCTATCTGCCACATTGTACTTGTCGTGGAACTATACCTTCCCATACCTTTCTCCCCAGGTGCCACTCTCTAATTCTACTCTGGGGTCATAACTATTATTAGAAGTGGGAATTTACATTAACAGTTAAAATAGCTACTGCTAAATTACTCTCCGAAAGGAAGTACCAAAAGAAAACAAAACCCCAAACAGGAAGAAGTCTTTAAAAAACACCAATGAAGTAATGGCAACTCATGATTTAAAAAAAAAAAAAAAAAACTTTATGTAACAAAGCTGGACGTCTTGACGAGTACCTGTAGTACCAAGTACTTGGGAGGCTGAGATGGGAGGATCCCTTGAAAACAGGTGTTCAGGCTGCAGTACACATAGCCCCTGCACTCCAGTCTGGACAACATAGGGCCTTAAAAAAGAAGGAAGAAATTGTTACTTATCCTGCTGTAGTGAAATCTTTGATTATCTTATATCACTCCCTCCCTCAACTTTGAGATTTTTGAGGACAGTGTCTACCTTACCAGCCTGACACAATGTAAGAATTTAGCAGGCCAGGCATGGTGGCTCACGCCTGTAATCCCAGCACTTTGGGAGGCCAAGGCGGACAGATCACAAGGGTCAAGAGATCAAGACCATCCTGCCCAACATGGTGAAACCCCATCTATACTAAAAATACAAAAATTAGCTGGGCATGGTGGCATGCGCCTGTGGTCCCAGCTACTTGGGAGGCTGAGGCAGGAGAATCACTTGAACCCGGGAGGCAGAGGTTGCGGTGAGCCAAGATCACACCATTGCATTCCAGCCTGGGCAACAAGAGCGAAACTCCATCTCAAACAAAAAGAGAGAATTTAGCAGTTTTTAGCCTAATTAATTAATTAATGGCCATTTACTAATGAGCCTATAACTCTTATTCCAATGTTGATTTCTACAAGTTTTCCCCTCCCATCACAAAAGCAAATCTACCATGTATATAAAAAGTATTTCTAATTTGCCACAAGATTGGAAACAATATATACAGCATCAATAGAAAACTGGCTAAAAAATACCTTAACAGCTGTAAAAAGGAAAGGGGGGGGTGGGGGGGATGGGATTCTCCTATGTATTGATAGAGAATGACCTTCAAGATACATTAAGTGAAAAAAATCAAGATGTAGAATGGTAAAAATTGTCTGTTACTATTCATATTTTAAGGAGAAAAGGGGAAGTCTAGAAAAAGAATACACATTTGTATTGTTTGTATATGCGTGGATATACTGTCTCTGTAAAGTTACAAAAGAAACTGGTAACATTGGTTGCTTCCACCCAGAGAACTGGGTGACAGAGTGCAAGAGGGACTTTTCACAATATACAATGTACGCTTCTTAGATTTTAAACTATCTTAATGTATTATATTAAATTTAAAAAAAGATTTTGCTCTGAGTAATTACTTTATTTAGAAAATGTCTAAATTGTTAAATTCCTTTTTCCTTATTTTCTAGGCAAAACCTATGTGGGTCTAAAAATTGTTCAGGCCCTCCTAACCAACGAGTCTGTTTGGCAAATTAGCCTCCAGAAGTTCCCCATCTTGGTTGTGTGTTATACTAATCATGCTTTGGACCAGTTTCTGGAAGGTAATACTTATAGGCAAATTTGTTCTCTATCAAGATGTTGATGATTGAACCATCAGCAACTTCAGTAGCTTTCTATTGCTCTTCAAACAAAGTCAACAGTCCTTATCATTACTTACATGGCCGTTTGTGATCTGTCCCAGCTGGACTGTGAACCACAGCTCCTACTTCTTAACCTTGTTCTCCCTAACTCCAGCAACACTGGTTATCTTCAGTTCCTTGAAAGCCTCTACGTCCTCCATTGGCCCATGCCATCCTCTGGCCTGGAATAGTTTTTTCCCTCTCCATCTTGAGCTTATTCAACCTGGCCCTACTCAACCTGGCCCTACTCATTCTTCTGGTCCCACTTTAAATCTCTCTTCTCAGGTGGACTTTTTCTATAGCCCCAAAGTGAAGTCTCTTTTGCATTTTTTATTTTTTTATAATCTATTTTATGTATCGCTACCCTAGATGAGGATTGGTCCTTTTCTTGCTGTATTCACATATCCTGGCACATATTAGGCACTCAAAAAATACTAAATAACATTAATGGATGAATAAATATATGCTTTTCCTTTATTTTTATTCTTCTATACCTCCCTTTCACCTAGATAAATCTTTATTCTTAGAGTCTGAGTTTAAATATTAGATTCTTAAAAATAGATCCCTACCCCACCCAGACTAGGTAATGTCCCCTGCTACCAGTACTCACTACATTTATTGCTGCCGTATTAATTATTTAATGAGTAACTTCCTGCCAGAGACAAAGAAATGATAACAAATCAGAAACTGGGCCTATGTTTCTACTGCTATATCTTCAGAACTTGGCACATGCCTAAAACATATGAGCAATCAGTAAATCTGCAGAGTGAAAAATATGTAACATATCCTGGGTGCTTGCTTTGTGCTGGGCCCTAGCTAGGAGCTTTAAAGATTTTCTTTCATTTATCCAGACTGTAGCCCTATATGGGAGATATTGCCATCTCTAAATCACAGACAGAGAAACTGAGACTCAAGTCACTTGCCCCAGGTTACACAGCAATAAGTGGTAGAGCTAAGAGTTGGATCCCTAGTTGTCTGATTCCAGAACCTGTACTCTTTAAGTGCTACACTTTACTGCTCTGCAGGTCACATCTTCTCGGGGACCTTCTCACTCATTAATGGGGTAAATTTCCTTTAAGCACAAGTTTATTCTCTAAGGGACCAGACTAGATCCCAAATACACACAGCTCTCACCTGAGAGAACCTAGCATAAGCTCCTCTCAACCCTGCCATGCTCCACTTTGTTCCACAGGCATCTACAATTGTCAGAAGACCAGCATTGTGCGGGTGGGTGGAAGGAGCAACAGTGAAATCCTGAAGCAGTTCACCCTAAGGGAGCTGAGGAACAAGCGGGAATTCCGCCGCAACCTCCCCATGCACCTCCGAAGGGCCTACATGAGTGTAAGTCCCAGCTCTGAAATATCTGGGGTAGTTCAAGAGGGACCTAAACAAGATAGCAGTGGCTTTCTGGGTAGGCAGCCCAGGGTAGATTTGGAGGCTCCTCAAAGCTCTGGAGGACCCAGGTTCCTTTCAGCATTCTATTCTGCCAATCCCTTGGTATGACCTTTGCCTTCACAATCCAAGATGGAGAAAAGACAAGGAAACACTGCCCATCCCCACCCTACCTTAACGCTCCTTCCCCCATACCACCCACAGCACCTCTGTGTACAGCCAACTGACCAGGGAAATGTCATCTTTTAGCTGGGCAGCAATGTGCCCAGTCAAAAATCTGAGTTCTTATTACTAAGGAAAAGAGAGAGAACAGATATTGTGAGCCTTGAAGTCTCTCCCACAGTATTCTTGGCCTGTTTGTTTTTCTGTTGTGTAGGTTGAGCATCTCAAATTGGAAAATCCAAATCCAAAACTTTCTGAGTGCCAACATTATTTCTTTTTTTGAGACAGGGTCTTGCTCAGTCACCCAGGCTGGAGTGCAGTGGCACAATCTCGGCTCACTGCAACCTCCACCTCCTAGGTTCAAGCGATTCTCTTGCCTCAGCCTCCTGAGTAGCTGGGATTACAGGCGCCCGCCATCACACCTGGCTAATTTTTGTATTTTTAGTAGAGACAAGATTTCACCATGTTGGCCAGGCTGGTCTCGATCTCTTGACCTCATGGTCCACCCGCCTCGGCCTCCCAAAGTGCTGGGATTACAGGCGTGAGCCACCGCGCCCGGCCCAACATTATTTCACATTTTGGATTTCCAGATTTGCAATGCTCAACCAGTAAGTATAAACGCAAATATTCCAAAATCTGAAACACTTCTAGTCCCAAGCATTTTGGATAAGGGATATTCAACCTGCCACCACGCCTGGCTAATTTTTGCATTTTTAGTAGAGACAGTGTTTTGCCATGTTGGCCAGGCTGGTCTTGAACTACAGACCTCAAGTGATCCACCTGCCTTGGCCTCCTAAAATGCTGGTATTACAGGCATGAGCCACCACACTCAACCGATACTAGTTCTTTGGTTTCAAGACCACAATAATGTGCCTTGGGAAATTGGTTTGTTGACCAGTCTATTTATTTATTCTCCCTCCTTACTGTTCCTGTCTTAGCTTTGCTTTCCCTCAAGGTGAGGACTGAGTTTGGGGGATGATGATATTTCCTCATCATTTCTTTCCCTCTGTTCTTGGAAGATCATGACACAGATGAAGGAGTCAGAGCAAGAGCTTCATGAAGGAGCCAAGACCCTGGAGTGCACCATGCGTGGTGTCCTACGGGAACAGTACCTGCAGAAGTACATCTCACCCCAGCACTGGGAAAGTCTCATGAATGGACCAGTGCAGGTAGGGGTCATCCTGGGGGACACAAATATGTCTCTGGCCTCAGTACTTTGAGGTAGCCTCCAGGAGAAGCATCAGTCCAAAACTTTACCTGTTTGATAATCTGATGCTGCCACAATGTGTAAAGTTCCCTTTTGTGATGAGAGGCAGCTGAATATGCTGGTCAGGAACAAAACTCGAACCAGCCTGTTGGGTTTTAGTCTGAGCTTGGCTCTGGACAAGTTACTTAATTTTCTGTGGCTGTTTCCCCTTTTATAAAATGGGGATAATAATAAGCATTAAGTTGAACCATATGAAATTGCCAACATCTGTAATATTGATTTGCAAAAAAGGCAATTTCTTACAGATCTTTGTTCTTACAGGATTGTTATTTAGATGAGCAAGGTGATATTTGTAAACTTATTAATTTAGTAACTGTACTATAAGTGTTTGTTAAATGAAATGAAGAAAATCATAACCAGAGGCAAACTAGCACAGATAGAGAACTTGGGAGTTGATAGATATAGTCATGCAGACTGACTGTGTGACTTGGGTTCATGTGATCCTCAGCAATCAAACATGGATAATAATAATGCCTACCTTCAAAAGATATGGTAAGAAATAACTGAGACAGTCTCTGTAAAGTGGCAGGCTAGGAACCCAGTGAAATGGTAGCTTTGTTACCATTAGGTTGCTGATTTACAGGATTACAAACCAAAAGCTTACAGAGGTCATTCAGGTCTTACAAATAAGTGAAGCAATCTAGATTTGAAATATTAAGAAGCGGAGAGGACTGTGGCAAACTAGAACAGATGTGGTAGCAACCCAGCTCCAGCCATTTGTTGCCATTCAGTAATAAACAGTCATTGCTGCCATAGCTCCTGATTTTGTCAAAATAGGCTGGAAAATTTTTTTAATTCTTTTTTTTTTTTCTTCTTTTTTTTTTTTTTGAGACAGAGTTCTCACTCTCTCACCCCAGGCTGCAGTGCAATGGCGCGATCTTGGCTTACTACAACCTCCGCCTCCCGGGTTCAAGCGATTCTCTTACCTTGGCCTCTTGAGTAGCTAGGATTACAGGCACCTGCCATCATGCCTGGCTAATTTTTGTAGAGACAGGGTTTCACCACATTCGCCAGGCTGGTCTTGAACTCCTGACCTCAGGTGACCCGCCCACCTCGGCTCTCCAAAGTGCTGGGATTATAGGCATGAGCCACCGTGCCCAGCCCTTTGATTTTTAAAATTCTATACAAGTCATGTTAAATGTTCCAGTTGCCCAAGGAGATGCCAGTTCACAGCCTCTGAACTTTTTTTTTTTTTAACAATATGATGTTTCTTTTTTAATTTTTTTTTTAACTTTTAAGTTCAGGGGTACGTGTGCAGGTTTGTTACGTAGGTAAACTTGTGTCATGAGGCCAAGCGCGCAGTGGCTCACGCCTGTAATCCCAGCACTTTGGGAGGCCGAGGCAGGCGGATCACGAGGTCAGGAGATTGAGACCATCCTGGCTAACACGCTGAAACCCCGTCTCTACTAAAAAAATAAAAAAATTAGCCGGGCATGGTGGCGGGCGCCTGTAGTCCCAGCTACTCAGGAGGCTGAGGCAGGAGAATGGTGTGAACCTGGGAGGCAGAGCTTGCAGTGAGCCGAGATCGTGCCACTGCACTCCAGCCTGGGCGACAGAGCAAGACTGTCTCAAAAAAAAAAAAAAAAACTTGTGTCATGGCGGTTTGTTGTACATCACCTAGATATTAAGCCTAGTACTCATCAGTTATTTTTCCTGCTCCTCTCCCTCCTCCCATCCTCCACCCTTCAATAGGCCCCAGTGTGTTGATCCCCTCTATGTGACCATGTGTTCTCATCATTTAACTTATAAGTGAGAACATGCAGTATTTGGTTTTCTGTTCTTGTGTTAGTTTGCTAAAGATAATGCCCTCAAACTCCATTCAGGTCCTCGCAAAGGACATGATCTCATTCTTTTTTATGGCTGCATAGTATTCCATGGTATATATGTACCACGTTTTCTTTATCCAGTCCTTCATTGATGCGCATTTAGGTTGATTAGATGTCTTTGCTGTTGTGAATAGTACAGCCTATAAACTTTAAGGGAATTACTTTTGATTCTTTTTTCTTTTGAGATAGGGTCTTGAGCCCAGGCTGGAGGGCAGTGGCATAATCATAGCTCACTGCAGCCTCGGCCTCCTGGGCTCAAGCAGTCCTCCCACCTCAGCCTCCTGGGTAACTGGGATTATATGTGCATGCCATCACACCCAGCTTTTTTGAGACAGAATCTTGCTTTTGTCACCCAGGCCGGAGTGTAGTGGCACAATCTCCACTCACTGCAACCTCTGCCTCCCGGGTTCAAGCAGTTCTTCTGCCTCAACCTCCTGAGTAGCTGGGACTACAGGCATGCACCACTATGCCTGGCTAATTTTTGTAGTTTTAATAAAGACAGGGTTTCACCATGTTGGCCAGGCTGGTCTCAAACTCGTGACCTCAGGTGATCCGCCTGCCTCAGCCTCCCAAAGTGTTGGGATTACAGGCGCAAGCCACCACGCCCAGTCTTTTTTTTTTCTCTCTTTTTAAAGACATAGGGTCTCACCGTATTGCCCAGGCTGGTCTTGAATTTCTGGGCTCAGGCAGTCTTCCTGCCTTGGCCTTCCAAATTGCTGGGATTACAGGCATGAGCTACCATGCCCCAATCTGCTTTTGATTCTTTGAGGAGACCCAGCCTTCACATTGGTTGTCATAGAATCCTCACAAATGATCATTCTTCTTTCCTTAGGATAGTGAATGGATTTGCTTCCAGCACTGGAAGCATTCCATGATGCTGGAGTGGCTAGGTCTTGGTGTCGGTTCTTTCACGCAAAGTGTTTCTCCAGCAGGACCTGAGAATACAGGTAAGAAGTGCATGTCTTCCTAGAATCAAATCTTAACGTAGAATATAGTAAATACCAGAACAGTGAGACTTAAAAATAATTCCCAGAATAAATAAAGAGCTATGAGTCAATCAGAGAAAGACAAATAGCTTAATATAAGGAAAAGAGATAAAATACTTTTTTTTTTTTTTTTTGAGATGGAGTTTCACTCTTGTTGCCCAGGCTGGAGTGCAGTGGTGTGATCTCGGCTCACTGCAACCTCCACCTTCCAGGTTCAAGCGATTCTCCTCTCCTGCCTTAGCCTCCCAAGTAGCTGGCATTACAGGCAAGTGCCACCACGCGCAGCTAATGAGATAAAAGACTTTTAACAGGCACATCACAAAATAGGAAATTGTTCAATAGATATATGAAAAGTGCTCATTAAAAACTAGAGGAATTAAAACCACAATGAGATAACTATTACTTACACACCAGTTTGGCAACAATTAAAGTTTGATATAACCCCATGTTGATGAGAATTTGAAGCAATGGAAACTCTGATGCACTGCTGCTGGGGATATTTAAATTTACATAACCACTTTATCATAGCAGAAAATCAGAAAGAACTCAAATGTTCATCAACATTTCTTCAATGGATGGATCAATTAAGTCAACTCAGATAATGAAATACTGTACAACAGTGAAAAGGAATGAAACACAGCATATACAGTAACACATATGAATCTCAAAAACATGCTGAATGAAAAAGGCAAGTTAGCCGGGCATAGTGGCCCATGCATGTAATCCCAGCACTTTGCAAGTGCAAGGCAGGAGGATCGTTTCAGCCCAGAAGTTGGAGACCAGCCTGGGCAACATAATGAGACCCTGTCTTTACTAAAAAAAAAAAGGAAAAAGTTTAGCTGGGTGTGGTGGTGCGTGCCTGTAGTCCCAGCTACTTAGGTGGCTGAGGCGAGAGGATGGCTTGAGCTCAGGAGGTTGAGGCTGCAGTGAGCCATGACTGCAATGCTGCACTACAGCCTGAGTGACAGACATAGTCTCAAAAAAAAAAAAGGCAAGTTATGGAAACATATATACTAGACAATGTGTTACTTAGATACAGTATAAATGTGGTAACATTATTATCTTTTAAAAAGGAAATGAGTAATATAAAATTCGGGTTAGGAAGGCTAACAAAGGTCTTCAAAAAATTTGTCAGTTTTCTACTTAAATTGGGTGGAAGGTACTTGGGTATTCATTTTATATATTTTTATTATCCTTTATATTACATATTTACATTGTATGCCCTCCATTGTATATGTATTTGGTATAAGTAAAACCTTTATTTATTTATTGTGTATTTATTTTATTTATTTATTTATTTATTTATTTTTTTTTGAGACTGAGTCTCACAGTCTCACTCTGTCCACCAGGCTGCAGTGCAATGGTGTGATCTCGGCTCACTGCAACCTCTGCCTCCTAGGTTCGAGCAATTCTCCTGCCTCAGCTTCCCAAGTAGCTGGGATTACAGGCACACTCACCACACCCAGCTTATTTTGTATTTTTAGTAAAGATGGGGTTTCCCCATGTTGGCCAGGCTGGTCTTGAGCTCCTGACCTCAGGTGATCTGCCCACCTCGGCCTCCCAGAGTGCTGGGATTACAGGCATGAGCCACCACGCCCAGCCTTATTTATTTATTTTTGAGATGGAGTCTCACTCTGTTGCCCAGGCTGGAGTGCAATGGCACGATCTCGGCTCACTGCAACTTCCACCTCCTGGGTTCAAGTGATTCTCCTGCCTCAGCCTCCCAGGTAGCTAGAAATACAGGCATGCGCCACCACACTTGGCTAATTTTTGTATTTTTAGTAAAGACAGAGTTTCACCGTGTTGGCCAGGCTGGTCTCGAACTCCTGACGTCAGGTGATCCACCCACCTCAGCCTCCCAGAGTGCTGGGATACAGGCATAAGCCCCACGCACAGCCAAAACCTTTCTTTAAAAGGCATATATTCGTATGATTTTTTAACGTAAAACGTAACAAAAAGTATATAAGGAGACCTTAAGCCTTTCCTAACTCTCCTCTCATTCCTTTTAGTTTCTCTTCTCAAAAATAATCACATAGGGCTGGGTGCAGTGGCTCACACCTGTAATCCCAGCACTTTGGGAGGCCGAGGCAGGCCTGAGGTCGGGAGTTCGAGACCAGCCTGACCAACATGGAGAAACCCTGTCTCTACTAAAAATACAAAATTAGCTGGGCGTGGTGGTGCATGCCTGTAATGCCAACTACTCGGGAGGCTGAGGCAGGAGAATCGCTTGAACCCGGGAGGTGGAGGTTGTGGTGAGCCAAGATTGTGCCATTGCACTCCAGCCTGGGCAACGAGTGAAACTCCGTCTCAAAAAAAAAAAAAAAATCACATAAACCCTTGATAATGTCTTCATGCATCTGAGCTCTTGCAGGTGCCGTCTTCTGTCCCTTAGCTTCAAGAGTTTCCATCTCTGGCCAGGCACGGTGGCTCACGCCTGTAATCCCAGCACTTTGGGAAGCCAAGGCGGGCAGATCACGAGGTCAGGAGTTCGAGACCAGCCTGACCAACATGGTGAAACCCCATCTCTACTAAAAATACAAAATTAGCCTACAAAATTAGCCAGGCGTGGTGGTGGGTGCATGTAATCCCAGCTACTCAGGAGGCTGAGGCCGGAGAATCACTTGAACCCAGGAGGCAGAGGTTGCAATGAGCCAAGATCGCACCACCGCACTCCACCCTGGGCAAAAGAGCGAGATTCCATATCAAAAAAAAAAAAAAAAAGAGTTTTCATCTCTCTCCTGCCTGTTTCTCTCTCTTAGCCCAGGCAGAAGGGGATGAGGAGGAAGAAGGGGAGGAGGAGAGTTCGCTGATAGAGATCGCAGAGGAAGCTGACCTGATTCAAGCAGACCGGGTGATTGAGGAGGAAGAGGTGGTGAGGCCCCAGCGGCGGAAGAAGGAAGAGAGTGGAGCAGACCAGGAGTTGGCTAAAATGCTTCTGGCCATGAGGCTAGACCATTGTGGCACTGGGACAGCAGCTGGACAGGAGCAAGCCACAGGAGAGTGGCAGGTAAACTCACTTCCTTGGGTTGAAACAGGCCTGAGAGTGTTCTGACCGCTTGTTTTCCCCCACTTCTGATACAGTATATTCACTTCACCATTACAATTAGCTAAGTACCTGTATTACAGCCTACCCCTGGTATGAGATGGCTTTAGTGATTCCCAAGGATATAAATACGATGGTTCTTCAGAGGGCCTCTGGCAAGAAATGCCAACTTAGAAAGACAGGAAGCAGGTAGCCAAGTGCTTCTGTAGAACTTGTGGAAGAATGTAGCACATATGAGTCAGGTCAAACACGGTCTCAGTACTTAATGCCTTCAGGAGTGTTGTTTTCTCTATTTCAAATGAGTTTGTGAACATGTACTAAGATTTTAGAGGATTAAAGTAAGCAATGAAGCGAGACCTCCAGGCTGGATGGAATATTCCTCCTTCATTCAGCCTGGAATTTGACACTTCTCTTAAAGCCAGAATTGTATGAATGCCCAGGTGTCTTCATGTAGCCTTCCCTCTGCTCCTTTTGGTGGAGCCTAGTAGTCCTCACTGTTTACCATGCATAACTATGATGATCGAGGATTAGATATTCAAAATAAGAATTTGTAAACCTTACCAATGATTTGAGAACTTTCAAGGGCAACTTTGGATGCAGTTTTCATCTGAGTGCTGGCTTTGCACCTGATCTAGTTCAGTTCAGTATCACTATATGTGGTGAGCGGAGTCATGATCTCAATTCTTAGAAGCACAGATTCAGCATCTCTCCCAGGAGGCATCAGGAAAGGTTGATTTGTTTCATTTTGAAGCAGCGGGAAGATCTTTATTTAGTGACATCTGTCTGACTTGCGAGCCTTCTAAAGGCTCATAGCCTCAGACTCAGTGACGGCCAGAAGAGAGCACTTTCTCATAAACAGTGCTTTCCACCACTTGTTAAAGGTACTGTGTTGATACGATGGCAGTAGGACCGTTTTAGCAGGCACTGTGCCAAGTCCTGTGTGAAGCACCAGTTGCTAGGCACTGGTTGTACAGCATTCAACAAGAAAGTACCACCCCCATGACTTTCATGGCATGCATTTTAGGAACAAGAAACAGGCTATGGTCAAAGATGTTTAATGATAACTAGTGCTAGTACTAGTATAAATGCTTTCCACGTATTTACTCCTGACAAGCCAACAATCCTATAAAGAGATACCATTATTATTCCCATTTTATAGAAGGTGATACTGAGGGACACAGAGGTTAGGTCATTTACCTTACTAGGTCCCACAACCTAGTAAGAGGTAGAGTAGGGCTTTGAAGCCAGGCAAACTGGCTCCAGAGTCCTTGTTTAGCCACTCTACAGTGGAAGAGCTGTTGGGAGAATGTAAGACACTTGACATTAATCAGTGATGCCAGCCCTTTTTCTTACGTGCTGTGACCCCTGCCTTGGGCTTAAAACCAAGCCTGCCTCTGCTCAGACAGTACCCTGCCTGGTATTGATGTCTGCAGACCCAGCGCAACCAGAAAAAGAAAATGAAAAAAAGAGTGAAGGATGAGCTTCGCAAACTGAACACCATGACTGCAGCCGAGGCCAACGAGATCGAGGATGTTTGGCAGCTGGACCTCAGTTCTCGCTGGCAGCTTTATAGGTACTGTGTTCCACATCTAGCCAACCCATGTAGGGAGTTCCTCTTCTGTTCCTAGAACATTCTCCACCTCCAAGACCTTCAACGATGTTAACTAATTATTGATTGAGCACCACCACTGAGCTGAGTGATAGGGATACAGCCATGGGATAGAATAGACACTTTGCTCTACTTTCATGGAGCTTATAGAGTCTATCCAGGGTAACAAATTAATTATTACCTTCGTGGAGCCTATGGAGTCTATCCAGGGTAACAAATTAATCACGTAATTCCACAAATAAAAAGTTACAAATGGGTATAAAAACTCAGAAAAGAACAGAGAGGTAACAGGCACAATGACTCACACCTGTAATCTCACCACTTTGGGAGGCTGAGGCTAGAGGATCTCTTGAGGCCCAGGGTTCAAGACCAGCCTGGGCAACATAGTGAGACCTCATCTCTACAGGAAAAAAAAAAAAGAGTAGGAGAGGCCGGGCGCAGTAGCTCACGCCTTTAATGCTAGCACTTCGGGAGGCCGAGACAGGCGGATCACAAGGTCAGGAGATTGAGACCATCCTGGCTAACACAGTGAAACCCCGTCTCTACTAAAAACACAAAAAATTAGCTGGGCGTGGTGGCCGGTGCCTATAATCCCAGCTACTCGGGAGGCTGAGGCAGGAGAATCGCTTGAACCCGGAGGTGGAGGTTGTAGTGAGCCAAGATCACGCCATTGCACTCCAGCCTGGGTGACAGAGCAAGACTCCGTCTTTTAAAAAAAAAAAAAAAAAAGTAGTAGAAAGCCGTTGGAAAGTTTTACAGCGATTAGTGACATCATCAGTTTTACTAATAAAATAAATACTCTATGGAGAATTAGAGGAGGGGAGGGAAATTAGGCAGGGATGCTGCAGCTGGGAGAATTCTTCCCAAAGTTTTTAAAGTCTCTTATTTTCTTCCCATAGTTAACCTTTGTTCTTTATCTCACCCCTTTCCTTAGCTCCTGACTACTCTGCACATCTTTTTGTTGGGCATTTTGGATTCTTAGGTCCCTGAATGTATCTCTCTGTTTGTCACTATGCTCCAAGGGTCCAAGGTTCACTTCATACACTGGGCACACTGAAGGGCGTTCTTCCACCTTCTCAAAGAGCATGTGGCTTTCTTTCCTTGGTTCTTCCCATTCTCCAGGCTCTGGCTACAGTTGTACCAGGCTGACACCCGCCGGAAGATCCTCAGCTATGAACGCCAGTACCGCACATCAGCAGAAAGAATGGCCGAGCTGAGACTCCAGGAAGACCTGCACATTCTTAAAGATGCCCAGGTTGTAGGAATGACAACCACAGGTAAGAAACTGTGGAGAAATTTGCCTGTTGCATCTAAGTTCACTTCTGGTGCCAGATTATCTAAGGACAGGTAAAGAGGAGCTTCTTTGGTAGGTTAGAGGAAAATACCATGAAAAGCTACTGAAAGCACCCATATTTTGAGAACTCTTGGTGAAATTCACTCACTTTCGCCAGGCGCAGTGGCTCACGCCTATAATCCCAACACTTTGGGAGGCCAAGGCAGGTGGATCACCTGAGGTCATAAGTTTGCAATCAGCCTGGCCAACATGGTGAAATCTCATCTCTACTAAAAATACAAAAATTAGCTGGGTGTAGTGGTGGGTGCCTGTAATCCTGGCTACTCGGGAGGCTGGGGCACAAGAATCACTTGAACCTGGGAGGTGGAGGTTGCAGTCAGCTGAGATCGCACCACTGCACTCCAGCCTGGGTGACAGAGTGAGACTGTCTCAAAGAAAAAAAAAAAAAGAAAAAAGAAATTCACTCACTTTCTCCTGCTGGGTTTGAAACTCCAACAGTGACCAACACAGTTTTAATGTTCTGGAGACCACCCAGAACACTATAAGGACCAGCTGTCGCTGATGCAGGTTCAGGGAAGATACAGAAGTGGATTCCCAGAGGCCCAGTGGCCCTGTGGGTCCTGTGCCTCAGCTCAGAGGAGCCTTTCTCTTCTTTCCTCACTTGAGGTGCTGCCAAATACCGCCAGATCCTACAGAAGGTGGAGCCGAGGATTGTCATAGTGGAAGAAGCTGCGGAAGTCCTTGAGGCCCATACCATTGCCACATTGAGCAAAGCTTGCCAGCACCTCATTTTGATTGGGGACCACCAGCAGGTAAAACGAGAGTCCCCCTAGAAGATGGGCTGGCTCTCCGTGGGGGTGAGATCATAAAGGAAGACCCTGGCCTCTGCTTCAACAGTCCTCAAGCTTATTAGTAGCTTCTTGTGATTCCTCTTGTCTTCACCTCCCACGTTCAGTCTAAGAGCAGATGCTATTAGATTTGGGGTATATTTTAGTGGCAACGTCATTTATTTCATCCATTCCCTCTGCTATTTACCTAGTCCACCATGGCCTCTTGAGTGGACTGTATTGTAATAGCATGCTCCTCAGTCTCTCTGCTTCCATTTTTGCTACCTTTTAATGCACTCTACATAAAGGAGCCAAAGTGAATTTTTTTAAAAAAAAGGTAGATAGATAATATCACTTTCCAGCTGAAAACCCTCCAGTGGTGTCCCATTGCACTTGCATAAAAATCAAGCTTCTTAAAGTGGCCCACAAAGGCTTATGTGATCAGGTTTCAGCTTATTTCTCTGACTTCATCCCATTTGCTCTTGGTGTCCCACTGTGTCCTTTCCGCTCCCCATTATGGATCTTGCTTTTCAAATGACTGAAGAACTGGCAACTTCTGCCATGCTAGTGTCTACTCAGATGTCACTGTTCAGAGGCCTAGCTAGAAAAAACCCACCATGGGGCACTCTGTCATATCACCTTTAGTTCTACTAATCCTTAACCCTTGTCATTATTAATCCTTAAACTGTGAGTATGTAGAATAGTGCCTGGCACATAGTCAACACTTGAAAAACATTTGATGGTTGGTTGGATGGATGGAAGTATGGATGGTTAAATGACTTTATCAGTAGAGAATCCTCAGCCATGTTTCTCTTCTCAGCTGCGCCCCAGTGCCAACGTGTATGATCTGGCCAAGAACTTCAACCTTGAGGTGTCCCTTTTTGAACGGCTAGTGAAAGTAAACATTCCCTTTGTCCGTCTGAATTACCAGGTGAGAAGCTGGGCCTCTGTTGTTACCAAATGCCCAGGAGAAAGCTCCTGGGAAGCTGCCAGTTGCCAGCAAAAGAGGTCTCATATAAATAAAAATAATTTAATACTGAAATGACTCTGTCAACCTTACATTTTCTGTTTTAAAACACCACAAGATCACCGTGTTGAGTTTTTGTTGGACAAAGGAGCTGTTTATGTTATGCTTTCTCCTTATTTTTTTCAAATGATAATCTCTATCTCTCTAGATTTTCTTTCCTTTTTTTTTTTAAGAAAAATAGAGGCCAGGTGCGGTGGCTCACACCTGCAATCCCAGCACTTTGGGAGGCCAAGGTGGGCAGATCACCTGAGGTCAGGAGTTCGAGACCAGCCTGGCCAACATGGTGAAAGCCTGTCTCTACTAAAAATGCAAAAATTAGCCGGGCATGGTGGTGGGCACCTGTAATCCCAGCTACTCAGGAGGCTGAGGCAGGAGAATTGCTTGAACCTGGGAGGCGGTGGTTGCAGTGAGCCGAGATCATGCCACTGTACTCCAGCCTGGCAATAGAGCTAGATTCTGTCTCAGAAAAAAAAAAAAGAAAAGAAAAATAGAGGCCAGGTGTGGTGGCTCACACCTTAATCCTAGCACTTTGGGAGGCCAAGGCGGGCGGATCCCTTGAGTTCAGGAGCTCGTGACCAGCCTCGCCAACATGGCGAAACACTGTCTCTGCTAAAAATACAAAAAATTAGCCAGGCGTGGTGCCTCATGCCTGTAGTCCCAGCTACTTTTGGAAGGCTGAGGCAGGAGAATCACTAGAACCTGGGAGGCAGAGGTTGCAATGAGCTGAGATTGCGCCACTGCACCCCAGCCTTGGTGACACGTCTCAAAAAAAAAAAAAAAAGAAAGAAAAATAGAGATGAGGGCTCACTATGTTGCCAGGCTGGTCTTGAAATCCTGACCTGAAGTGATCCTCCTGCCTTGGCTTCCCAAAGTGATGGGATTACAGATACAAGCCATCACAACTGGCCCTCCCTAAATTTTCTAACAGCAACCTTATCTTTAAAGAAATTGTCCGTGTGTGCTCTGCCCATGTTTCTAATGACATGCATGTGTTTTTTCAGCACCGTATGTGCCCTGAAATTGCCCGCCTTTTGACCC
Source organism: Homo sapiens (assembly GCF_000001405.40). NCBI lineage: Eukaryota > Metazoa > Chordata > Mammalia > Primates > Hominidae > Homo > Homo sapiens. The sequence continues at coordinate 49,251,585 of NC_000020.11, read as the reverse complement.
CCCACATTTACCAGGATCTGGAGAATCATCCATCTGTTCTTAAGTATGAGAAGATTAAGGTGAGTCTGTCTTACCCGATCTTTCTTGGATGGTGTCAGCAACCTAAAAAGGCTATAATTTCCTCAAGATAAAAAAGCTTTTCAGCGGCCAGGCGCGGTGGCTCACACCTGTAATCCCAGCACTTTGGGAAGCTGAGGTGGGCAGATCACTTGAGGTCAGAGTTCGAGACCAGCCTAACTAACATGGTGAAACCCTGTCTCTACTAAAATACAAAAACTAGCTGAGCATGGTGGCAAGCACCTGTAATCCCAGCTACTCAGAAGGCTGAGGTGGGAGAATTGCTTGAACCCAGGAGGTGGAGGTTGCAGTGAGCTGAGATCGTGCCATGCTACTGCACTCCAGGCTGGGCAGCGGAGAGAGACTCCCTGTCAAAAAAAAAAAGAAAGCCTTCAGAAGGGAGTAGAGCCAGCTTTTTAAAAGCTGGTTACTGGGAGAAAATTGAAATACAGACCAGGGTTTTTTAATCCCAATTCTGCCTGTTAGCCATGTAACCTTAAGCAAGTTATATAAGAATTCTGGCCAGGCGCGGTGGCTTACGCCTGTAATCCCAGAGCTTTGTGAGGCCGAGGCGGGCGAATCACAAGGTCAAGGGATCAAGACCATCCTGGCCAACATGGTGAAATCCCATCTCTACTAAAAATACAAAAATTAGCTGGGTGCGGTGGCATGTGCCTGGCTGGGTGTGGTGGCTCATGCCTATAATCTCAGCACTTTCGGAGGCCAAGATGGGTGGATCACCTGAGGTCAGGAGTTGGAGACTAGCCTGGCCAACATGGTGAAACCCCGTCTCTACTAAAAATACAAAAATTAACTGGGCATGGTGGTGGGCGCCTGTAATCCCAGCTACTTGGGAGGCTGAGGCGAGAGGATCGCTTGAACCTGGGAAGTGGAGGTTGTGGTGAGCCAACAAGACCGTGCCACTGTACTTCAGCCTACGCAACAAGAGTGAACTCTGTCTCAAAAAAAAAAAATTGTCAGCTGAGGCCAAGAGTTCAAAACCAGGCTGGGGCACATAGCAAGACTGTCTCTTTTTTTAAAATAAATAAATAAATTCTGAGTATCAGGTTCTTCTGGACAATAAGAATAATGGCTCCTGCCATATCCCATTACTGTATGGAAGGAGGTAATGTATATAAAGCAGTCAGCACAGTGGAGTGCTCAGTAAGTTAGCTGCTCTGTCATTATCATCATCCTCCTCACAGCACTGCTTGTTCTTTCAGCTATAATGGTTGGATTGTGGATGGCTGTTTTATTTTCTATTTTTTTTGAGATGGAGTCTCACTCTGTCTGTCACCCAGGCTGGAGTGCAGTGGCATGATCTCGGCTCACTGCAATCTCTGCATCCTGGGTTCAAACTATTCTCCCATCTCAGCCTCCTGAATAGCTGGGATTATAGGCGCCCACTACCACGCCCAGCTAATTTTTGTATTTTTAGTAGAGACGGGGTTTCACCATGTGGGCCAGGCTGGTCTCAAACTCCTGACCTCAGGTGATCCACCCACCTCGGCCTCTCAAAGTGCTGGGATTACAGACGTGAGCCACTGTACCCAGCCAGCTTTTTTAAATATTAACATCAAACAAGTATCTTGAAAACTGAAAGAGACATAATCTTTTATTTTCATAACTTGCTGTGGCCCCAAAATGAAGCACACAATGACTAACTAAAGAACTAAAGATAGTGATGTTGAGTGGACAAAAAGCTTTCCAAGGTCTCTCTCTGGAGCAGAGTAAGTGGCCAGTGCATGTCAAGAGAGGAAGAAAAAAACAAGTGCCATGAGTGAACCTTTTAACATGTCACTTCTTTTCCCTGTCAGGGGGTGTCTTCCAACCTTTTCTTTGTAGAACACAACTTTCCTGAACAGGAAATCCAAGAGGGCAAAAGCCATCAGAACCAGCATGAGGCTCACTTTGTGGTAGAGCTGTGCAAGTACTTCCTGTGCCAGGAATACCTGCCTTCCCAGATCACCATCCTCACTACCTATACCGGGCAGCTCTTCTGCCTGCGCAAACTGATGCCTGCCAAGACATTTGCTGGCGTCAGGGTCCATGTTGTGGACAAATACCAAGGGGAAGAGAATGACATCATCCTCCTCTCGCTAGTGCGGAGCAACCAAGAAGGCAAGGTGGGTTTTCTGCAGATATCCAACCGCATCTGTGTGGCCTTGTCCCGAGCCAAGAAGGGAATGTACTGCATCGGAAACATGCAGATGCTGGCCAAGGTGCCCCTGTGGAGCAAGATCATTCATACACTTCGAGAGAACAATCAAATAGGCCCCATGCTCCGGCTCTGCTGCCAGAACCACCCTGAAACCCACACCTTAGTATCCAAAGCTTCTGACTTCCAAAAAGTACCCGAAGGAGGCTGCAGCCTGCCCTGCGAGTTCCGCCTGGGCTGTGGGCATGTCTGCACCCGTGCCTGCCACCCTTATGACTCTTCACACAAGGAGTTCCAATGCATGAAGCCATGCCAGAAGGTCATCTGTCAGGAAGGGCACCGGTGTCCCCTTGTTTGCTTCCAGGAGTGTCAGCCTTGTCAGGTGAAGGTGCCCAAAACCATTCCTCGGTGCGGCCATGAACAAATGGTCCCTTGTTCCGTGCCTGAGTCAGATTTCTGCTGCCAGGAGCCTTGCTCCAAGTCTCTGAGATGTGGGCACAGATGCAGCCACCCATGTGGTGAGGACTGTGTGCAGCTGTGTTCAGAAATGGTCACCATAAAACTCAAGTGTGGGCACAGTCAACCGGTAAAATGTGGTCATGTGGAAGGCCTCCTGTATGGTGGTCTGCTAGTCAAGTGTACCACAAAGTGTGGCACTATCTTGGACTGCGGGCATCCTTGCCCAGGCTCCTGCCACAGCTGCTTCGAAGGGCGTTTCCATGAACGCTGTCAGCAGCCCTGCAAGCGCCTGCTTATCTGCTCACACAAGTGCCAGGAACCATGCATTGGTGAGTGCCCACCCTGCCAGCGGACCTGTCAGAACCGCTGTGTCCACAGCCAGTGCAAGAAGAAATGTGGGGAGCTGTGTAGTCCCTGCGTGGAACCCTGTGTCTGGCGCTGCCAGCACTACCAGTGCACCAAACTCTGCTCTGAGCCCTGCAACCGACCCCCATGCTATGTGCCTTGTACTAAGCTGCTAGTTTGTGGCCACCCCTGCATTGGTCTCTGTGGGGAGCCATGCCCCAAGAAATGCCGGATCTGCCACATGGATGAGGTCACCCAAATATTCTTTGGCTTTGAGGATGAGCCTGATGCCCGCTTTGTGCAGCTGGAAGACTGCAGCCACATCTTTGAGGTGCAAGCCCTAGACCGCTACATGAATGAACAGAAGGATGATGAAGTCGCCATCAGATTGAAAGTCTGCCCTATCTGCCAGGTGCCCATCCGCAAAAACCTGAGGTATGGAACTAGCATAAAACAGCGGCTAGAAGAGATTGAAATCATCAAGGAAAAGATCCAGGGCTCAGCAGGGGAAATAGCAACCAGCCAGGAACGGCTTAAGGCCCTGCTGGAGAGGAAGAGCCTCCTCCACCAGCTGCTTCCTGAAGACTTCCTGATGTTAAAGGAGAAGCTGGCCCAGAAAAATCTGTCAGTGAAGGACCTGGGTCTGGTTGAGAATTACATCAGCTTCTATGACCACCTGGCCAGCCTGTGGGATTCCCTGAAAAAGATGCATGTCTTAGAAGAGAAAAGAGTGAGGACTCGACTAGAACAGGTCCATGAGTGGCTGGCCAAGAAGCGCTTGAGCTTCACTAGCCAGGAACTAAGTGACCTCCGAAGTGAAATCCAGAGGCTCACATACCTGGTGAACCTTCTGACCCGCTACAAGATAGCAGAGAAGAAGGTGAAAGATAGCATAGCAGTAGAGGTCTATAGTGTCCAGAATATCCTTGAGAAAACATGTAAGTTCACCCAAGAGGATGAACAACTTGTGCAGGAAAAGATGGAAGCTCTGAAAGCCACCCTTCCCTGCTCTGGCCTGGGCATCTCAGAGGAAGAGCGAGTGCAGATTGTCAGTGCCATAGGTTATCCTCGTGGTCACTGGTTCAAGTGCCGCAATGGCCATATCTATGTGATTGGCGATTGTGGGGGAGCCATGGAGAGGGGCACGTGTCCTGACTGTAAGGAAGTGATTGGTGGCACAAATCATACTCTGGAAAGAAGCAACCAGCTTGCTTCTGAAATGGATGGAGCCCAGCATGCTGCCTGGTCTGACACGGCCAACAACCTGATGAACTTTGAGGAGATCCAGGGGATGATGTAGGAAGATGGTACACCACTGCCTTTTGCCCTCGCCACTGAATGACTGGGGCCAGCTCCCTAATGAAGGAACTGAAGTTTGTTTTTTATTATCATCCTTTTTAGGCTGGGCGCAGTGGCTTACGCCTGTAATCCCAGCACTTTGGGAGGCCGAGGCAGGCGGATCACGAGGTCAGGAGTTCGAGACCAGCCTGACCAACATGGCGAAACCCCGTCTCTACTAAAAATACAAAAATTAGCTGGGCGTTATGGCGGGCGCCTGTAATCCCAGCTACTTGGGAGGCTGAGGCAGAAGAATCGCTTAAACCCAGGAGGCGGAGGTTGCAGTGAGCTGAGATCATGCCATTGCACTCCAGTCTGGGCGACAGGAGCAAGACTCTGTCTCAAAAAAAAAAAAATCATTCTTTTTAGTCTTAGCACCTACTTAAGGATCCACTTTTAGGGCTCACCCACATTTGTTTCTAGATTTACCCCTGCGCTAGAGTAAGCACTTTATCTCCAGAACTGAGAGCAAAGTTAACAAATCTCACCCCTTCTCTCCTGCAAATTAGTGGACAGACTCCCTGGAACATGTTTGGGGCTTCCACCTAGGGCCACCTAGTGGTATCTCTGGGTCTTTACTTGGTCAGATGTTTATTCTACATTGTTCCCCAGGAACAGAGTATGAGCTCATTGATGCAGACCGATTCTAATTGCCAGGCCCTAATTTGCAGACTAACTCTCATAATAAACAGAGGCCCATAGTTGTTTATGAACTGCTTATCCCTTAAAGGAGCACAAGAACCCCTCCCTGCCCTCCTTGGGCACCCTGCCTCCAGGAGATGGAGGCACGTGATAAGACAAAAGACTGCACCAACTCACCCTGACACAGTTACATAGTCACTGAGAGTGGGGAAGATGGGACAGCCCACATGCTGCATAAGATGGGCCTTATGCAGCAGGCCCAGGTCGTCATTAAGGAGTGACCCCTTTCCTGTAACCTGCACTTTGGGATGGTAGAAGTTTCTTTACCTGCTGACAGGTTTGGTGGCACTGCTGGTTACCCCTGGGCCCTGAATGGAGCTAAAATCACATTTGGTACCAGCAGCACCTATCCCAAGTGTGATCCTTCATCCCAACACTCCCTCTTGGAGCTGTTCCCTGGGTAGAGCTAGCATGCCAGCAGCTTCTGCAGGCTCCAAACCCAGGCCAGAAGCCAGACCCAGGCCTGCTGCCTGCATCTGCATTCCCTCCTTCCAGTGTTCCTTAGAACAGACATTTAGGTATCTCAGGTCCTTTCTAAGTGTCCCTTTCCTATGTATGCATTTCCTTTTTTTGTCTTTACTATGCACTTTAGCTTATAAAGCCAATTAAAAACAATGATTGAGAAAATCAGTGGTCCACGTGTATCCTCAATTTTCAGAAGCAACTCAGCCAAAGACAGTGAAGACGGGCACAGGGAAGGCACTGTCTACAGTGAGGCTGTGATTTTGTTTTTGTGATACAGGATTTTTATTTAGCTGGTGAATGAATCATTTTTACCCACGGTAAAAAGAACATTTTTTCAGCCTGTACAAAAGGGTATACCTGAAGTTTCTTTCTCCAGAGGCAAACCCTGTTAACTTCCTGAGTCCTCCCAGAGAGAACTTATGCACATGCAATACACATCCCTTAGGCCAGGCATGGTGGCTCACATCTGTAATCCCAGCACTTTGGGAGGCCACATTGGGCAGATGGCCTGAGCCCAGGAGTTCAAGACCAGCCTGGGCAACAGGGCGAAACCATCTCCACAAAAAAAAAAATACAAAAATAAGCCAGGTGTTGTTGCTTGCACTTGTAGTCCTAGCTACTCCAAAGGCTGAGGTAGGAGGATCACCTGAGCCTGGGGAGGTCGAGGTTGCAGTGAGCAGTGAAGCCACTGCACTCCAGCCTGGGCAAGAGTGAGACCCTGCTTCAAAAAAAGGAAAAGGAAAAGAAAAAGTACACAGTTCTGCACTTGGCTTTTTTAGCCTAATAACCTACTTTCTGTAAAATCCAGTAAGACAGTAGTCTGAACTGTACTCCATCACACAGTTGTGCCATCATTTTCTGAATTGGACCCTCTGTTGGTGACTTAGGTGCAGCCTGAATGAATAGCTTTGAACACACTCTTTAGTATCTAGGGTATGTGCTACTGGATAACTTATAATTTTTAAGCTGGGGGTAGGGTGGTAAGTACTCCCTGAAATTATAACAAACTATACAGTTTTCCAGGTGGGGCCCCACAGCTTTCATCTCATTCTGAGTCAGAAAAGGATGAGAACCGACGTTCTTACAGGATCAAAACTGGTTTTTGGCCAGGTACAGTGGTTCAAGCCTGTAATCCCAGCACTTTGGGAGGCTGAGGTGGTGGATCACCTGAGGTCAGGAGTTCAAGACCAGCCTGGCCAACATGGTGAAACCCTGTCTCTCCTAAAAATACAAAAATTAGCCAGGCATGGTAGCGGGCACCTGTAATCACCGGTATTTGGGAGGCTGAGGCAGGAGATTCGCTTGAACCCGGGAGGTGGAGGTTGCAATGAGCCAAGATCGTGTCATTGCACTCCAGCCTGGAGGACAAGAGACTCTGGTTTTTGCAGCAAGTAACTAATTTATGGTGTCAAGGCTCCTTCTGTCCTTTTCGGGCTTCCATTTCTCCAGCAGCATTTCCACAGCACAGCAGCAAGAGGTAAGGTGAGGGTTCAAGTAGATGTTGGTTGAAAACCTGAATTCCCAGCTGTGCAACTCTGGAAAGTTAGTCTTTCCAAGCCTCTGTTTATTGGAAAATGAGGATATCACTGCCTGCCTCACAGGAGTGCAGTGAGTTGACTGGATTCTATTCAGCACACAGAATATCTGGTGCATGGTTGGCATTCATGCTAAAGTTCTCCCCTGTTGATGTTTTAGAACTAAGAGTTATCATTTAGCTATCTTCTTCAGCTATCATTTAGCTCTTAGTTCTAGAGTATCAACAGAAGAGAACTTTTCTGTTGTTGTTGTTTTTTTTTAAGAGACAGGGTCTTGTTATGTTCCCCAGGCTAGAAGAGAACTTCTACCAAGAATTTCCTCACTCCATACCCTGTTCCTCTACAAGCATAAAGATTATGCATACCAACTGTATGTGGTGATACCAAGCTAGTAGACTGTGGGCACATTTGCCATTGAGGAAGAGATAGTAATAAGATATACACTTGGATTGGTTTCTCTTTTCCCAAAAATACTTCCATTTAATATAGTCATATGAAAGCTAATCAGCAAGAAGGGAGATTGACAGACATGCTTAGGAAAATAGCTACGTACCATACCACCACACCAAAGTGTTGTTTTTTGTTTTTGTTTTTTTTTTAAACAAATGGAGAAAAGACAGACCAGCCAGGATGACTTCCCACAGGGAAGGGATTTAAGGGCTGCCCCCATGAATTTCTTCAGGCCACGACAGCTACTTCCTCCTCTTGTATCTGTAAGAAAATCAGAGTTAAGACCAGAATGAGGATGGAGAAGCTTCTTTTCCATGAAAGGTTTTTATCTCTAATCCCAAAACCTATGCCCCTCCAAAACAGCCAGTATCACCTGGATTTAGATTTAAAGTTTCCTCCTCGTCTCTGGTGGGGCAAGCCCAACTGTTTCCTTTCTTCAAAGGAAGGGCTGTGAGAGAAGATGACATGCTGAAATGAGCAAACTGTTGAACAAATGGGTGTTGTCTCACCCCCACCCTCCCCAGCTCCTACATGAAGCAGTAGCATCTCTGGGATGCATCATTTTCAGGCCCTAAGTTCTAAGCCTTTATGTGTTTCCACCTGATAACGTGTTTCTGGAAGTCAGGGCCCAATTTTAAAACAAGGTTGGAAGAGGCCCTTCTTAGGTATATACCACTACTTGGGAAGCTTAGTCTGCCCCTGCCCCAACCTTGGGCTGGGGAAAATGGTGTGGGACAACATATTCCTAAGAGCAAGCCAGGATTCTCTGGGGTTCTGCAGGATGGAACTTGAGATGAAAGAGTTATCACTCCCCTGAAGGAAAGCTCCATTTCTGAACCCAACAATGTACTATTTCACCTCCAAGGCAGGAACAGTGCTAACTGAACACCCCTCTCCTGTTCTCACCTTGGGATCCTCAGGTGGCTCTGAGAGGGGTGGGGGGTGGAGAACAGACAGGTACCCTTGAATTTACATAGTATAAAGCTATAGGTGTGCAAAAACTGGAAATGGGGAAGGAGGCAGAAGACTCATAGCTTCCATTAGAATACCAAGGGCTCGCCGGGCACGGTGGCTCAAGCCTGTAATCCCAGCACTTTGGGAGGCTGAGGCGGGTGGATCAGGAGGTCAAGAGATCGAGACCATCCTGGCAAACATGGTGAAACCCCATCTCTACTAAAAATACAAAAATTAGTTGGGCATGGTGGCGTGCGCCTATAGTCCCAGCTTCTTGGGAGACTGAGGCAGGAGAATTGCTTGAACCCAGGAGGTGGAGCTTGCAGTGAGCTAAGATGCACCACTGCACTCCACCCTGGGCGACAGAGCGAGACTCCGTCTCAAAAAAAAAAAAAAAAAAAAAAAGAATACCAAGGGCTCCATGATGACTTAAAATCCTACCCAGCTCGATACTGTTTCAGGGCCTTCTTGCTTGTGTTGGTGAGTTCTTCATCAAATACAGATTTCTTCCCCTGCTTTTGCTTCTTGGCTGTGCACAGAGAGAATGGGTTACATATGGTTGTCTTTGGCCCAAGCTCCTAAATCCCCTTAAGTTCAAGGTAATGATTCCAAGTTCAGTGGATACTCTGGCATCCAAAGACTATTTTCATTCTGTCCTCACCAGCTCCTCCAAGTAGCAGCTGGTGAGGCCTTAGGCTCCGGAGTCAGAAAAGCTGGCGTTCAAATCCTAGTTCTCAACAACCACAAGGTCACTGCGCCCCTTAGACCGTGGAGGGATAGCTGTACACATTGGTACATACTAATTACTCAAATAATGTGGGCTACTGTCATCATCCCTCAGATTTTCTCCCTGACCCAAAGCACAGGTTTCAGGGAAAACCTTGTACAAGCTCCTTTGGGCTCCCCATTCACCTACCAGGACCTCTCACTGGCTCCTCCTCGGGCATTGCTCGGGCCCGCTTGGCTCTGCGATTCCTCTTCGCTAGCCGTTCAGCAAACATCTGCGCCTTGAGGATTTCAAACTGAGACCTTTCCTCTGCCTAGGGGGAGTGGGGAGGTGTGAGTGTGGAACACACCAGGCCACTCTGACCCACCCCACCGAGTGGGCCCAAACTCCAAAAGGGAGGCCACTCACTGTCATCTCCCCCTTTTTTTTGGCATCCTTCATAAACTTCTTCCTTTTCTTCTTTCCTCTTAAGGCCAAGTCAAATTCCTGCAGAGCTTTGGCAACTGGGATGAGAAGAAAGCATAAGATTTCAGGGATGATTTTATCTTTTTTTAAGCTTACGATAAGAAGTGCACGTTTTCAATTGGTAAGTTAGCAGATTAAAATGAAAAGCGGCAAGCACTTCTTGGCCGAGTGCAGTAGCTCGTGCCTGTAGTCTCAGCACTTTGGGAGGCTGAGGTGGGTGGATCACCTGAGGTCAGGAGTTTGGGATCAGCATGGCCAACATGGTGAAACCCCGACTACTAAAAATACAAAAATTAGCTGGGCATGGTGGTGCACCTGTAATCCCAGCTACTTGGGAGGCTGAGGTGAGAGAATTGCTTGAACTTAGGAAGGGGAGGCTGCAGTGAGCTGAGATCGCGCCACTGCACTCCAGCCTGGGCGACAGAGCGAGACCCTGCCTCAAAAAAAAAAAAGAAAAGAAAAGCCGCAAGCACTTCTTCCACTGATTACCTCCATCTCACTAAATAACATGCTTTTTTGACTATTTCTCAATCCACTTAAGATACTCATTACAAACCTCCTGCTATGAAGGATGAAGATTTAGGTCACTTTACTACTTTACCCACCAATACAGTTATAACTCTATTTTTATCAGAAATTTAAGTTATATACACCCTTATTTTGTCCCATCAAATATAGACAGCATTTCTAAAACTGCTGGTATACCCTCTAGGAGGGAAATTTTGCAACCTCTAACAAAACTAGAAATACAAATATCCTCTGACCCACTATTCCACTTTTAGGAATTAATCCTGCAAGCCAAATATACACTTGCTTAATTGTAAAAGGGCATATGTGCAAGGTTATTCCCTACATCACTTGTTTGTAATGACAAATGATTATTTTTTGGGTTTTTTGTTGTTGGTGGTGGTGGTTTGAGTCGGGGTCTCATTCTGCCGCCCAGGCTGCAGTTCAGTGGCAGAATCTTAGCTCACTGCAACCTTGACCTCCCCAGGCTCAGGTGATCCTCCTACCTCAGCCTCTCAAGTAGTTGGACTATAGGCATGCACCACCATGTCTGGCTAATTTTTTGATTTTTAGTAGAGATGGGGTTTTGCCATGCTGCCCAGGCTGGATGACAAATGATTGTAAACAACCTCAATGTCCCTCAACAATCTACTCATATGATGGAAGAACATGAAGCCATTAAAAAAAACAAAAAGGGGGCCGAGTGCAGTGGCTCACACCTGTAATCCCAGCACTTTGGGAGGCCAAGGCAGGCGGATCACGAGGTCAGGAGATCGAGACCATCCTGGCTAACACGGTGAAATCCCATCTCTACTAAAAATACAAAAAATTACCCAGGTGCGGTGGCAGGCACCTGTAGTCCCAGCTACTCAGGAGGCTGAGGCAGGAGAATGGGGTGAACCCAGGAGGCAGAGCTTGCAGTGAGCCGAGATTGCGCCACTGCACTCCAGCCTCAGTGACAGAGCAAGACTCCGTCTGAAAACAAAAAACAAAAAGGGCAGCATATGTGGGCCTATATAAAACATATCTCTAAGCTTCAAAATTAAGTGAAAAGGCGAGGCATAGAACAATGTGAACTTATAAGTGTTTTGGGTCTTTTTTAAAGGGAGATGGAGAGGAAATCTGTATTAAATATCTCCTAACTTTTTTAAAATTATTTTTATTGTGGTTATATATACACATATAAAACAAAGGCTGCCATTTTACCCAATCTTAAGTATACAATTCAGTGGCATTACTTACATTCACAACATTGTACAACCATCACCACTATCTGTTTCCAAAACTCCTATCAGGAGGCTACTCACTGACATCATTGAAAACAGAAGCTCTGCAACCACTAATAATTTCCTATAACCCCCCTTCCCCTAGCCCTAAGTAATCTATAATCTATTTCTGTCTCTGTGAATTTGCCTAGCTAGATATCTCAGGTAAGTGAAATCAGACAGTATTTGTCCCTTTGTGTCTGGATTATTTCATTCAGCTTAAGATTTTCAAGGTTCATCCTTATGGCATGTATCAGAACTTCATGGCTGAATAATATTCCATTGTGTGTATATAAACACACACCCCAAATTTTGTTTATCCATTCACTTGTTGATGAACATAGTTTGTTTCCACCTTTTTGCTATTATGAACAGTAATTCAAAGAGCACTGGCATCTAAGTATCTGTTTGAGTCCCTGTTTACATCCTTTACAACAGTGGTCCCCAACCCCAGGCTGCATACCGGTTCCAGTCCATGGCGTATTAGGAACCAGGCTGCACAGCAGGACGTGAGCATTGGGCAACCAAGCATTGCCACCTGTGCTTGGCCTCCTGTCAGATCAGCAGCAGCATTAGATTCTCATAAGAGCACTAACCCTATTGTGAAGTGCGCATGCGAGGGATCTAGGGTGTGCACTCCTTATGAGAATCTAATGCAACCCCCACACCCCAAATGTGGAAACATTGTCTTCCACGATACTGGTCCTTGGTGCCGAAAGGTTGGGGACCGCTGCTTTACAGTATAGAACTAGGAAATGGAACTGCTGAGTCCTGTGGGGTAATTCTGTATTTAGATTTCTGCGGAACCTCCCTGACTTACTTTTCTCCTTCTTCCTCTCTTCTTTGGTCTGGAACCAGCTCCTCTCGGGCTCTTGGACCACTGCCTCCTTCCCCTTCTCCAGGAGCCGCTTTGCTGTATTGATCTGTAGAGATAACAAAAGGATGCCTGCCGTGAAACCCGTATCTACTAACACAGGAAGCCACGGGCTGCAAATGCCTGGGGCTCTGATGGGAGAAACATTTCAGAAGGGCAGCACCAGCAGGGATGCAGCAGCTTGCTTACTGAGCAGCCTTGTGAACAAGATCCCGCCTCGCAGCCTCACCTGGGCTTCTGACTGCTGCATCTCTTTTTCCTCCGCCTCTAGCTGCAGAACTGCATACACATCTTTCTCCATTTTCTCAATCTTGTCCCGGAATTTGAGGATGACATCTCAATGGGAGAAAATAAAAAGGATTTACAAATAAGGGTAGGCCAGGCATGGTGGCTCACACCTGTAACCCGGCACTCTGGGAGATTGAGGTGGGAGGATTGCTTGAGCCCAGGAATTTGAGGCCAGCCTGGGCAACGTGGCCAGACTCTGTCTCTACAAAAAAAAAAAAAAAAAAAAAAAAAGCCAGGCACAGTGGCTCATGCCTGTAATCCCACGCTTTGGGAGGCCAAGGCAGGTGGATCACCTGAGGTCAGGAGTTTGAGACCAGCTTGGCCAATGCTGTGAAACCCCGTCTCTATTAAAAATACAAAAATCAGCTGGGTGTGGGGGCACACGCCTGTAATCCCAGCTACTACTCAGAAGGCTGAGGCAGGAGAACTGCTTGAACCCACGAGGCGGAGGCTGCAGTAAGCCAAGATGACACCACTACACTCCAGCCTGGGCAAAAGAGCGAGACTCCATCTAAAAAAAAAAAAAAAATTAGCCATCATGGTGGCACACACCTGTAGTCCCACCTACTCAGGAGGCTGAGGAGAAGAACTGCTTGAACCCAGGAGTTCGAGGCAACAGTAAGCTATGATCGCACCCCTGTACCCCAGCCTGGGCAACAAAGCAAGACCTTATCTTAAACAAAATAAGGCAGTGGCTCAAGCCTGTAATCCCAGCACTTTGGGAGGCCAAGGCGGGTGGATCACGAGGTCAAGAGATCGAGACCATCCTGGACAACATGGTGAAACCCCACCTGTACTAAAAATATAAAAATTAGCTGGGCGTGGTGGCATGCACCTGTAGTCCCAGCTACTTGGGAGGCTGAGGCAGGAGGATCACTTGAACCCGGGACGCAGAGGTTGCAATGGGCCGAGATCGCACCACTGCACTCCAGCCTGGCAACAGAGCAAGACTCCATCTCAAAAATAAATTAAATAAAATAAAATAAGGGTGACTACTAATACTGTGTAACTGATGAAAATAATTTAGCTGTGCATTTACTGACATAGGAAATGGTGTCTGTAATGTGTGCCTTCTCTGCTTCATATCCCCCAGACTCAGAGTGGCCCCTGCCTACCGCTCTGATCTTCTGTGTGTCCCTGCTCACCACGCCTGAGCCTCCTGACCTTTCTCTTGTTCTCACACACTAAGCTCGTTCCTACCTCACAGCCTCCACCCTTGTTCTCTCAGCTCAGCACTTTGCCCTCAGACCTCTCATGGCTGCCTCATTCCGATCACCCAGGACTCAGCTCCAATGCCAGCTGTGCAGAGGCCTTTCCTTAACAGCTTAATGAGGCAGTCTCCTCCTGCTGTTCTCAATCACATCTACTGTTAGCTTATTTATTGTCTCTTTCTCCCAGAACCACAGCTCTGCTTTGTTCCCTGCTGTATCCCCAGCACCTAGAACAGAATCAATAGCACTAGGCCCACAGCAGGACTCAATAACTAGTCGCTGATTAAATGAAGACAATGAAAATGAAAAAAATAAAAGGGACATTTAAGAAAGGAAAAATGGTTTGAAAAGACATACACCTAAATGCTACCAGTGGTGAGCTCTTTGACACAGAATTACATTTTTTTTTATTTACTAATTTCCAACAATAAATACGTACTTTTCATTTCATTTTTTAGAGACAGGGTCTTGCACTTTTGCCCAGGCTGCAGTGCAGTGGCACAATCATAGCTCACTGCAGCCTCAACCTCCTGGATTTAAGAGATCTCCTGCCTCAGCCTTCTGAATAGCTGGGACTACAGGCACACACCACCATGCCCAGCTAATTTTTTTTTTTTAGAGACAGGCAGCTCACTATATTGCTCAGGTTGGTCTTGAACTCCTGGCCTCTAGCAATCCTCCTGCCTTGGCCTCCCAAAGTGCTGGGTTATAGGCAAGAGCTACCATGCTCAGGCTAAATATGTATTATTTTTATAACTTTAAAAATTTTTAAGGCTGGGCATGGTGGCTCATTACTGTTAATCCCGGCACTTTGGGAGGCAGAAGGTGGGTGGATTGCTTGAGCCTAGGAATTCAAGAACAAAACAAAACAAAAAAAGACTTTAAAGAGGATGTGCTTTATAAGACCCCCACAGATCAGAGGAACAAAATCAATGAAAGGACCCAAAAAGAATGAGTACTGATCTCTCTCTTCCCCACCACCAACAGTAAGGGAAAGAGGAGTTTAGTGAGAATTTTGCCCCAAGCAACCTTCTCTTCTCAATTTCCACCTAAATGGGGCACTGTGTTTACAATTCTGTCATAATTCCCTTCTACACACAGGAGGCAAGCTCAGAGAGGTGAGGTGAAACCTGCACATGGTCACTCGGCAAGGAAGCAGCAGGGCTGGAATTCAAATCTGGCTCTGAACTGCAAAGTACCTGCTCTCAGCCATTACACTCTGTCCTTGCCCCGCCCACCGAGCCATTCTGCACTGCCACAGGGGTGCCTGCTCACCTTGGGGAAGTATCCTGGCCTTCACAGGGGCCTTGGCAGCTTTTACAATCTCCTTCAGCATCTTCCGCTCATCTTCTCCCACCAGAGAGACTGAGCGCCCAGCCCTGCCAGCACGTGCTGTTCGCCCCACCCGGTGGACATAATGTTTGATGGTATTAGGCATTGTGAAGTTGATTACCTAGAAGGTCAAAAATGAACGTCAGGCCTGGCAAGGGAAGGGGGGTGCGAAGAGGCAAAAAGACTTCCACCAAAAGTCCAAGGAAGATAGTGTCTGCTCACCGTTTTGACCCCCTCAATGTCAAGTCCACGGGCTGCCACATCAGTGGCCACGAGGATGTCAATCTGTTCATCCTTAAAACGCCTAGAAACAGTCACAAACAGCTGTTCATCCAGACACCCTCCCCTAATAATGCTCCACAAGAGCCTGAGCCAGCAGAGGACAGAACAGGGCATTAAAATGGGGATAGAGGCTGGGCACGGTGGCTCACGCCTGTAATCCCAGCACTTTGGGAGGCCGAGGTGGGCAGATCACGAGGTCAGGAGATCGAGACCATCCTCGCTAACACGGTGAAACCCCGTCTCTACTAAAAATACAAAAAATTAGCCAGGCATGGTGGCGGGCGCCTGTAGTCCCAGCTACTTGGGAGGCTGAGGCAGGAGAATGGCGTGAACCTGGGAGGCGGAGCTTGCAGTAAGCCAAGATTGCGCCACTGCACTCCAGCCTGGGCGACAGAGCGAGACTCCGTCTCAAAAAAAAAAAAAAATAGGGATAGATTCTAAATGTGAGCACATGGGATATTTACACCCACCCTTCAACAACCCATCATACAGAGCAAACGTAGTTCTGTATCTGCTAACAGCATAGGCAATTGTCTCAGTTTAAATCAGCCTATCTTTAACAAACACCTTTCAGCACCCACTGATGAACAGGGTTAGGTGGAGAGTTCTAAAGGGTTCCTCCTTGCCAACCACCTTGATGCCATTCTCTGAGGACTAAACAAGAAATCACATGGAAAGCACGCAGCACAGTGCCTGGCAAAGTAGATGCTCAAGTAATGGCTGCTAACTTTGACTCTAAATCTTGTTCAATCAGACCCAGGAATGTTCACCACTCTCAGAAAGCTTCCAAGAAGAGACCATGTGTTGCCTTTCCAAGCCAGCTTCCTCTGTCACGCCACACAACAGCTCCCATGCTAGGGACAAGCATCCAAGGACATGAGGGTCATCTCTGACTATGAAGTTAGAGTTCTAAACACATCTAAGACATGACCTCACAGTGGTTAGGTTAAAATGTTCAAGGCCAAGATCATGCTATGTGTCCCCTGCTAATGTTCTAATAGAATGCTCAGGGTCCTCTTCTTCCTTCTATCCTCTCTGCCCCAGAAGGATGGTGGGAGCCTCAGTCCCCACCCCAAATGTTACCGGAGGGCCTCCAGCCGCTGCGTCTGTGACAAGTTGCCATGGAGCTCACCCACCTGCAGCCCCATGAGCCCCAGGAGGATGTGCATGCGGTGGGCCTGCTTCTTGGTTTGCGTGAACAGCATCACATGGTCAGTGAAGGTCCTCGTCAACAAAGCTGGCAGGAAGAGAGGACTGAGCTGGCAGCTGTTTCTAGGCTCTTATTCAACATGTACCCCCTCCTCATCCACAAAGTATGGTCACTGTGCCTGGCACTGGATAGACAGGCACTGTCCCTGTCCTGTGGAACTCAAATTCCAGGGTGGATACAGAGAAGCCAATTCCTGGGGGGTGAAAAATGCTGTGAGAGAGAGTGCAGGGACGAGGGGGAAGCAGCTAAGGGCTGGCCTCTCTGAAGAGGTGACATTAGGTTGAATGACAAGGCAGATGATCCATGGGAAGATCCAGGGGAAGATTCTAGACAGAGGAAATGGCAAACATGAAGGCCCGGAGGCAGGAACCAGCTTATAGTGAGAAGTGCAAGCAGGCGGCTGGATGTAGTGGCTCATGCCCGTAATCCCAGCACTTTGGGAGACCAAGGAGGACAGATCACTTGAAGCCAGGAGTTCAAGACCAGCCTGGCAAACACGGTGAAACCCCATCTCTACTAAAAATACAAAAATTAGCCAGAAGTGGTGGCAAGTGCCTGTAATCCCAGCTACTCGGGAGGCTGAGGCAGGAGAATCGTTTGAACCCAGGAGGCAAAGGCTGCATTGAGCCAAGATCGTGCCAGTGTACTCCAGCCTGGGCGACAGAGCAAGACTCTGCCTCAAAGAAAAAAAAAAAAAAGTGCAAGCAGGCGAATGTGGCTGGAGCCATGAGCAAGCCTCCAAGGCTGGGATCCCGGGCAGGCAAGGGCCAGGCCCGAAGAGTCCTAAAAAACTAAGATGTTTGGATTTTAGTCTAAGACCAATGGAAGCCACCGCAGGGTGTTCAAATAAGGACATAATAAGTACGAATGTCTTCTGCAAGCAATCATTGTAAATGCTCTGCAATGCAGAGAGTCACAAAAGGCCGAGTGGAAGCAGGGAGCTCGAGCAAGAGGCTGCGCAACGATCCAGGCGACAGAGAACAGTGGTCTGGACTGACGGGTACAACAGCAGCTGATGCCAAGTGGTTGGGAGTTGAACAGGACACAAAGAGGATTGGTGAGGCGATAAAGCAAAGGGAGGAAGGACCCGTGGAGAAGAGAGGCAGCGGATCATCATTAGTGCAGTGCAGCCTCTGCGCTGGGGAAGACTGGACGGCAGAGGCGCAGGGGAAACCAAGCACTTCAGCATGGATACTACGAGCTCAAGGAAGCTGACCAGCCCACCCTGCCCAGGCTTGCCCTGTGCTGCCACCTGCCACGATGGCTTCCCGGTCTCCTTCACGATTAGGCCGGATCCGGATGAACTCCTGCCGCAGGAAGGGAGCCACATCTGTGTTGCTGTTCACAAATATCCGGACAGGATTCTTCAAGGAGACAGAAGCCAGATCTTTCACCTGCCAAGCACAAAGCCAGGTTTCCTCAGCTCTCTGCAAGGTGGTAGGGAAGGAGGAAGCAGTGCTCACCCCAGGCAAACCCCCTCAAGCCCAGCCAGGGTCCTCTGCATGGCCCCCTCTGGGCACACCTGCCACCCGCCACAGAGAAGTCCCTCGGCCCACCTCGTCTGTCATGGTGGCCGAGAAGAGCATGGTCTGGCGGTGGTGGGAACACATTCGGATGATCTCCTTCATCTGCTCCTCAAAGTACTCATCCAGCATCCTGGGAGCAGAGAAAGACATGGCAGAAATGGAGAGAGTGCTCTTCGGTCACAGTGAGGGACACGGGATTGCATACCGGCTGCTGTTTGTTGTCATTGGTTACATTTAGGACTCATCTATTTTATTATTTTATCTTTTCACCAAGAATTATCATTTTGCCACATTTGCTTTGTCTTTTTGTGGCAAGTCAGTCACAGATGTTATAACACCTTACCCCAAATATTTCAGCACACAACTCCTAAGCACTAGGACCTTCTCTTACAGAAACACAACTTCATCAACACACCCAAGACTTTCAAGTGCGTGAATATCTAAAGCACAGGCCACGTTCAAATTCCTTCAGCTGCCTCCAGGTTCCAAGTGTCTTTTTTTTTTTTTTTTTGAGATGGAGTTTCACTCTTGTTGCCCAGGCTGGAGTGCAATGGCACAATCTCGGCCTCCCGGGTTCAAGCGATTCTCCCGCCTCAGCCTCCTGAATAGCTGGGATTACAGGCATGCACCACCACACCCACTTAATTTTTTTTTTTTTTTTTTTTTTTTTTTGAGACGGAGTCTCGCTCTGTCGCCCAGGATGGAGTGCAGTGGCGCGATCTCCGCTCACTGCAAGCTCCGCCTCCCAGGTTCACGCCATTCTCCTGCCTCAGCCTCCGGAGTAGCTGGGACCACAGGCGCCCGCCACCACACCCGGCTAATATTTTTGTATTTTTAGTAGAGACAGGGTTTCACTGTGTTAGCCAGGATGGTCTCAATCTCCTGACCTCATGATCCGCCTGCCTTGGCCTCCCAAAGTGCTGGGATTACAGGCGTGAGCCACCGCACCCGGCTAATTTTGTATTTTTAGTAGAGATGGGGTTTCTCCATGTTGGTCAGGCTGGTCTTGAACTCCCTACCTCAGGTGATCCGCCTGCCTCGGCCTCCCAAAGTGCTGGGGTTATAGGCATGAGCCACTACGCCAGGCCAAGTTTTATTTTATAGTTACCTTTTGTTTTAGTGCAAGAACCAAAGTTCCTGCCTTGCAACTGGCTGCCACGTCTCTAGTCTTCCTGCATCTAGAAAAGCCCCCTCAGCCTGGGCAGCATAGCAAAACCTCATCTCCACAAAAAATACAAAAATGAGCTGGGGCCGGGCAAGGTGGCTCATGCCTATAATCCCAAAACTTTGGGAAGCCGAGGCAGAAGGGTGTCTTAAGCCCAGGAGTTCAAGACCAGCCTTGACAACATAGCGAGACCCCGTCTCTATTTATTTAATATAAAATAAGCCAGGCATGGTAGCATGTGCCTGTAGTAGTAGCTACGTCGGGGGACTGAGATGGGAGGATCACCTGAGTCTAGGAAGTAGAGGCTGCAATGAGCTGGTGTTCACACCATGGCACTCCAGCCTGGGTGACAAAGCAAGACCCTGACTCAAAAAAAAAAAAAAAAGGAACGAAAAGGCCCCTCATCCTTCTCACAGTCTGGATTCGTATAATTATTTCTCAGTAACTGGATTCAGAGAAATCCTCATGGGGACAGCGCTGCTGGGCACAGCTGTGCCCTGCATTCACGCTCCATCATGAGATACTGACGGCCGGTTTGTTCCAGAACTGTGGATGTGAGGTTGGTCACTTGGCTATAGTGTCTGCCAGATCACGCCACTGTAAAGGATCCTCTTTCTCTTTATACATAATAGTAATCTGTGAGATTCCTTGGATTCCATGTTTTCAGCAAGCCCAACCCCTTACAGCATTTCTCTCCCCAGTGCAGGCTACAGTCTAGGTCCAGGTATCACACAGAGCTGTCTCCTGATCTAAATCTCAAATACTTCCTCCGCCTTTTTTGGTCTTTTGAGGTACATACTTGAATAGTTTCCCTCCCCCTTTAAAACCTAAACCAGATCACATCCCCTTGGCTTAAAATGATCTCTTTTTCATCCTTTAGGCCTCAGGAATGGGTCTTCTGTTCTGGGGGAGTCAGCCAATTGGTTATTCAACAAGTATTTACTGAGCGCCTGCTATATACTAGACATGCCCTTGTTCATGGGAGTATAGCAGTAGCCCCTTCATGAATACTGTATCCTAGGGAGAGAGGGGGACTTGGCACTCCATGAACCCTCAGTGACAATGCAGGCAGGACGGGAGGAGCAAGTCAGGGCAGGACCGTCACAGGGCAGCCAGCAAAGGCCCCACTAACAAGATAACAACTGGAACAGAAACCTGAAGGGGCAGGAGATGGCTCCAGGCTGAGGAAATGGCAAATGCAGAAGCCACAAAGTGGGGGCGTGTGGCCAGGCTGTGTCGACAGGCGGGCTGTGGAATGTGAAAACAGGAGGACACGCTAAGAATTCAGAACAGCTGGAAGGATGGAGCTGCCATTCCCCAAGCTGGTGAAGAGTCAGGGATTAAGGGCCTGCAACCTTAGCATGCCCTGGGGCTGTCTGCGAGCTCCTTCCCCTGCCCCACCTCCAGCCTCAGTCCAGAGTTCAGGAAGAGTTCCTTCTGTTCAGTCCCAGAGCAAAGAGGTGAGCAGATGGCACAGAGAGGAACAGAGAGCTGGGGGGCGGGGTGGGGGGAGAGGGAGTCCCCACTGCAGTCACAGAGGCCCTGTGGGAGCCACGCTGGCACTTCCTCTTCCTCCCTCCTCAGCTCCTCAACACTATGGTGTGCGTATGTCCTTATCTCCCATTTACAAATGAGAAAAGATTTGTTTTGAGAATCTAAATATTTCCAAATCTCCCTTAGGAAGTGGCAGGACCAACATTTGACCAGCCTTATCACTTAACCACCATAATAGAGAAAGAGAAAAAAGAGGAAAACATGGGCTAAGGCTGGGCAGAGGCCCCAGCACAAGTGGCTGATCTGGTATCGCACACCAACAGCCATGGCCCAGAGCCACAAAGAATAACGCAGTGTGGCAGGTCCACATCCAGGTTCTGGGCCTTGGAACCCCACAGTGCCCTGGGCCCCAGGCTGTGAGGAGCACCTGTCAGCCTCGTCCAGGATGAGCACCTCGATGCTGCTCAGGTGGAAGGAAGGGCAGTTGTGGAGGTGATCGATGAGCCGGCCTGGGGTGGCGATGAGGATGTCAGGCGCTGCCCGAAGAGCTGCTTCCTGAGACTTCACATCCAAGCCGCCTGCAAAGAGAAGAGAGCCCCACCAGGCGGCCAGGTCAGCTGCTCATGGGTGTTGACTGAGCACCAGCCACTCACCAGGCCTCAGGCCAGATGCAGAGAAAACCACTGAGAGAGTAAGACTGACAAAGGCCCAAGCACATGGGTTTCCCAGAAACGCACTGGGAAAGACAGATCATGTCATTAAAATTGTGCTAAGTGCAAAAATCAACAATGATGATGACACAAAAGCACTTCAGAAGAGAATGCATGGGCTGGGCGAGGTGGCTCATGCCTGTAATCAATCCCAGCACTTTGGGAGGCCAAGGCAGGTGGATCACCTCAGGTCAGGAATTCGAGACCAGCCTACCCAACATGGCGAAACCCCATCTCTATTAAAAATACATAAATTAGCTGTGCATGGTGGTGCACACCTATAATTCCAGCTACTTGGAAAGCAGTGGGAGAATCACTTGAACCCAGGAGGTGGAGGTTGCAGTGAGCCAAGATCATGCCATTGCATTCCCACCTGGGCAACAGAGTGAGACTTCCTCTCAAAAAAAAAAAAAAAAGAGAATGCCTGAAACATTCAAGGACTAAGAGAAGCAGCTGAGGAAAGTGATGAGGTGTCTGTTACAGGGAGACAAAGATCACTTCTGACTTCCAATAGCACAAGGAGGGCAAAATGCAGGCTAGATAACACTATCATATAACTTCATTGGAAAAACGCTGCCCAAAGTAATATTTGATTCATTATTCTCACAGAGCAGAAATTATACCCCAAATTTGTTCAGTACCACGAAAAAAATGTTCATAGTTTTCAGGTTTCATTTGTGAAGGTTGGTTAAGTCTCAATCAAATCCCACCCACCTAAAGCACTATGAAAACATGTCGGCTGGGTGCGGTGGCTCATGCCTGTAATTCCAGCACTTTGGGAGGCCAAGGCAGGCGGATCACGAGGTCAGGAGATCGAGACTATCCTGGCTAACACGGTGAAAACCTGTCTCTACTAAAAATACAAAAAATTAGCCAGGCGTGGTGGCGGTAGTCCCAGCTACTGGGGAGGCTGAGGCAGGAGAATGGCGTGAACCCGGGAGGCGGAGCTTGCAGTGAGCCAAGATTGCGCCACTGCACTCCAGCCTGGGCGACAGAGCGAGACTCCTCCGTCTCAAAAAAAAAAAAAAAAAAAAAAGTCTTCCAGTTTTTAAGTGGATTCAATCAACACAAAGGCCTCTCCTGGCACCTGTCACCAACACCAACAGATGGCGGGGCACATCCATCCTCCACCCCACCACAGTCTCTCAGGGGCTGGCAGCCCTTGGCCAGAAACTCACCCACAGCCAGGCAGGTGGTGATGTTGCAGAACTGGGCCAGCTGTCTGGTGACAGAGTGCACCTGGATGCCCAGCTCTCGGGTGGGCACTAGCACCAGCACGCGGGTGACTGGAGCCTGGCGGGGTTTATAAATCAGACGCTCCAAAACAGGCAGGGCAAAGGCGGCAGTTTTACCTGGAGGGAGGGACAGCAAGGAAGCAATGAGAAGAAGTTTAGCTCCCTCCAGGGTTAGGTTTTCACCAGAGCACAGAAAAACTACGTCTGGTTGGGGAAAATAAAGGAACTTATTTTTCATAGAATATTTTTTCTGCTTTCAAATCACATGGTCAGGCTCACATATGTAATCCCAGCACTTTGGGACGCCGAGGCAGGCGGATCACCTGAGGTCAGGAGTTCAAGACCAGCCTGGCCAACATAGTGAAGCCCCAATTCTACTAAAAATACAAAAAACTTAGCTGGGCATGGTGGCGGGAGCCTGTAATCCCAGCACTTTGTGAGGCCAAGGCAGGCGAATCACCTGAGGTCAGGAGTTCGAGACCAGCCTGGCCAATATGGTGAAATCCTGTCTCTACTAAATATATAAAAATTAGCCAGGCTTGGTGGTGGGCACCTGTAATCCCAGCTACTCAGGAGGCTGAGGAAGGAGATTCACTTGAAGGCAGAGGTTGCAGTGAGCTGAGAACGCACCACTGCACTCTAGCCTGGGTGACAACAGCAAAACTCTGTCTCAAAAAAAAAAAGAAAAAATACAGCCAGGCACAGTGGCTCATGCCTGTAATCCCAGCACTTTGGGAGGCTGAGGCAGGTGGATCATGAGGTCAGGGGTTCAAGACCAGCCTGGCCAAGATAGTAAAACCCTGTCTCTACTAAAAATACAAAAATTAGCCGGGCATGGTGGCGTGTATCTGTAATCCCAGCTACTCAGGAGGCTGAGGCAGGAGAATCGCTTGAACCCGGGAGGCGGAGGTTGCAGTGAGCCAAGATTGCGCCACTGCACTCCAGCCTGGGCAACAGAGCGAGACTCTGTCTCAAAAAAAAAAAAAAAAAAAATTTCCTCCTCTGATATGGCAGGGCCAGGAGGCCATGGTCACAGAGATCAGGGATACCCCAAGAGGATTAAATGAAAATGACCTTCATCAGACCCTTTGAAACTTGTGGCCCACTACTAGACCGGACATCCTCTCATGCACTGTTTATCTTACAAAATTAATCCTTCAGTATGCCAGGCACGGTGGCTCACACCTGTAAATCCCAGCACTCTTGAGAGGCTGAGGCAGGTGTATCACTTGAGGTCAGGAATTCGAGACCAGCCTGGCCAACATGGTGAAACCCTCTCTCTACTAAAAATACAAAAATCAGCCGGGTGTGGTGGCGGGCACCTGTAAACCCAGCTACTGGGGAGGCTGAGGCAGGAGAATCACCTGAACACAGGAGGCAGAGGTTGCAGTGAGCCGAGATTGCGCCACCGCACTCCAGCCTGGGTGACAGAGTGAGACTCCATCTCAAAACAAAAAATTAATCCTTCAGTAAACTGAGTAAGCTCTGCAGTCTAGGAAACACTGTTGTATCAGTGCCAATTTCCTGGTTTTGATTTTGTCCTACAGTTATGTGGGATGTCACCATTGATGAAGGATTCGAGAGACCCTATGCACTATTTTTGCAACTTGCCACTGATCTACAAATACTTCAAAATAAAGTGGTTAAAAATTTAAAAGTCCTTTACTCTCGGCCGGGCGCGGTGGCTCACGCCTGTAATCCCAGCACTTTGGGAGGCCAAGGCGGGCGGATCACGAGGTCAGGAGATCAAGACCATCCCGGCTAAAACGGTGAAACCCCGTCTCTACTAAAAATACAAAAAATTAGCCGGGCGTAGTGGCGGGCGCCTGTAGTCCCAGCTACTTGGGAGGCTGAGGCAGGAGAATGGCGTGAACCCGGGAGGCGGAGCTTGCAGTGAGCCGAGATCCCGCCACTGCACTCCAGCCTGGGCGACAGAGCGAGACTCCGTCTCAAAAAAAAAAAAAAAAAAAAAAAGTCCTTTACTCTCTCAATTGCACCAGTATATCTTTTTTGTGTTACAAAAATTTTATGGCCAGGCACAGTGGCTCATGCCTGTAATCCCAGAACTTTGGGAGGCCAAGATGGGAAAATCGATCGCTTGAACCTGAACCTAGGAATTCAAGACCAGCCTGGACAACAAAGTGAGACCCCTATCTCTACAAAATAAAAAATAAAAATGAAATAGTTCAAAAAACCAAGAATATTTATTTAGCAAACCAGCCTTTGGTAAGTCAACCTAGAGCCCAGCCCTGGCCGTAACACCCTTCTGCCCACCCTGGGTCCCTATCCTTTTCACCTGTCCCAGTGGCTGCACAGGCACAGATGTCCTTCCCCAATAGACCCACAGGTATGCACGCCTTCTGGATCGGGGTGGGCTGCTTGAAGCCCATGGCTGTAATGGCCTGAGGAAAAAAGAACTGGGTCAGACAGGGTTGAGCGGGGGAAGTCTCAGCACAACACAAACAGGGCAGGTTTCCAGACAAGTGGGGACCACACCAATCCCCACCAATCATTCGTTCCACAAACATTCACTGAACGCCTACTATGTGTGAGGTGGTGCTCTAGACACTGAGGACACAGCAGTAAATAAAAGAAATAAAAACCCTGCCCTCAGGAATCTTACAGTCTGGTAGAAACAGACCAAAAAACAAACACATGTCATATGGAGAGATGCTGCGGAAAACAATGCAGCGGCCAGACGGGCAGCAGGGGGAGTGCTATTCACGGTAGGGCTGCCAGGGAAGGTCTCACTGAGCAAGGGATACTGAGTTGAACCCTGAAGGAAGCTAGAGAGCACCCCAAAAGATTTCTGGAAGAGTTTTCCAGGCAGAGGGAACAGAAAGTGCAAGGGCCCTGAGGAAGAGGAGGCCTAACCTATTTGAGGGCCAGCAAGGAGGCCAGTGTGGCCAGAGCAGAACGAGTGCCAGGAGGTGTCGTCAGAGAGGGCCAGAAGGGGCAGAGCCTTGTAGGTCAATATAAGGACTCAGGCTTCTAAGAAGAGTGAGACTGGGAAGTACTGAAGGACTCAGAGAAGAAGAGGAGGGACACGATGGAACTCATTGCTTAAGAGAGTTCTCGGCCGGGCGCGGTGGCTCACGCCTGTAGTCCCAGCACTTTGGGAGGCTGAGGCGGGCGGATCACGAGGTCAGGAGATCGAGACCATCCTGGCTAACACGGTGAAACCCCATCTCTACTAAAAATACAAAAAATTAGCAGGGCGTGGCAGCGTGTGCCTGTAGTCCCAGCTGCTGGGGAGGCTGAGGCAGGAGAATGGCGTGAACCCGGGAGGTGGAGGTTGCAGTGAGCCGAGATTGTGCCACTGCACTCCAGCCTGGGCGACAGAGTGAGACTCCGTCTCAAAAAAAAAAAAAAAAAAAAGGGAGTTCTCTGGCAACTGTATGGACAAGAGTTGAGGGAGGCAAAGAGAGAAGCAGAAAGTCCAGTTAGGGGTGGCTGCAATAATCCCATGGTTGCCAAAATAAGCCACTACTGGCCAGGCACAGTGGCTCAAATCCCAGCACTCTGGGAGGTTGAGGCAAGAGGATTGCTTGATGCCAGGAATTTGAGACCATCTTGGACAACATAGCAAGACCATGCTTCTACAAAGAAAATTTTTGACAAGAAGCTGCTACCTTCAGAAGAGGGCGGGAAAGGTTCATGTCCTGGAACGAGAGGTTTTCATCGTACTGAGATGCATCTTCAAAAAATCCTCCTGCTTCCTACACCAGAAAACCAAAAGAGAGAAGAGAATTCAACAAAAAGAGCCAAGAAACCCAAACGACCTTAAACTCCTTTCGGTTTGCCAACAAGCTGCATACTGTCTTGCAGCCCCAAGCTCACCTGTCCTTTCTTCTTCTTCTTCTTCCGATCCTTTACTTTGAGTGTATCTATGGAGAAAAACTTAGCTGATGACCACGGCTCAGACTTACAAAGCACTTGCATCCTGCTGGACACTGTCCTAAGTGCCAATGCCACACTTCAGCCTCTGAGGGGTGACCATCGTCAACCTTGTTTCACAGATGAGGACACTTTGTGGCAGCATGGTGAAGTAACTTGCCTAAGGTCAGAGAGAAAGCTAACCCAGTGACTCTGGTCCAGAGACCAGGCTCTCGACCACTACACTGTATTATGATGCTTTAGCACACATTTCTGCAAGAAATACTTATTGAGGGCGGAAGCAGTGGCTCCCGCCTAAAATCCCAGCACTTTAGGAGGCCGAGGCAGGTGGATCACCTGAGGTCAGGAGTTCGGGACCAGCCTGTCCAACATGGTGAAACCCCATCTCTACTAAAAATACAAAAATTAGCCAGGTGTGTTGGCGTGTGCCTGTAGTCCCAGCTACTTGGGAGGCTGAGACAGGAGAGTTGCTTGCACCCGGGAGGCAGAGGTTGCAGTGAGCTGAAATTGTACCACTTGCACTCCAGCCTGAGTGACAGAGTAAGACTCCATCTCAAAAAAAAAAAAAGAAAGAAAGAAATACTTATTGAGCACCCACTATGTGGCTGGACCCATCTGAGTATGTCACCCCAAATGAGTTTGTATCACAGTGGCATCTGGCAGCCGCATGGGGCTAGATGGGAAAAGAGTAAACTACCTATGAAGTACAACAACCCAAACAAAATCCCAAGAGAAAAGAAAACCTAAAAGAAAGGATTCAGCGGGCACAGTGGCTCACGCCTGTAATGCCAGCACTTTTAGAGGTCAAGGCGGGAGGACTGCTCGAGCCTAGAAATTTGAGACTAGCCTGAGCAACAAAGCAAGACCCCGTCCCTACAAAAAAAAAAAATTAGCCAGGCGCAGGGGCATGCACCTGTAGGCCCAGCTACTTAGGAAGCTAAAGCAGGAGGATCACTTAAGCCAGTGAGTTCAAGCCTTCCAGTGAGGTATGATTGCACTACTGCACTCCAGCCTGTGGATGGAGTGAGACCACATCTCTTTTGTTTTGTTTTTTGAGACAGGGTCTCATTCTGTGGCCCAGGGTTAAGTTCAGTGGGACAATCTCAGCTCACTGCAACCTCTGCCTCCCAGTTTCAAGTGATTCTCGTACCTCAGCCACCTGAGTGGCTGGGATTACAGGTGCATGCCACTACACCAAGCTTATTTTTGTATTTTCAGTAGAGATGGGGTTTTACCATGTTGCCCAGGCTGGTCTCAAACTCCTGGCTTCAAGCGATACACCCACCTCAGCCTCCCAAAGTACTGGGATTACAGGCATGAGCCACTGCACCCAGCCAACATCTCTTAAAAAAAAAAAAAAAAGAAAGAAAGGAGTTCAATGTAGTAGGCAGAACAGCTTAAAGATAAACTGTGCAGAAGAGTGGAGGAAACCCTACAAAGTAAAGGAGGATGCCTTCTGATCTCCTGTCCCCATTACTGACACCTCCGCCGTAACGTCTACCTGCTTTGGTGAGGATGTTCTCATCAGCTGATGAGTAGTCAGTCTCCGAGGCTTCATCTTCTGAGCCTTCCTCATCATTCTCTTGAAGGTCTTCCTGCTCCTTTGGTTCAGAGCCTTCCTTTGCTTCTTTCTCCTTTTCCAACTTCCCAGACTTGGCTTCTTTATCCTGGGAAAAAAATTAAAGTGAGGGTGATGAGAAACTTCTAGAAATCCAGAACCTAAGTAGAGCGATAGGAAGCTCTCCGGCCTGAATGAACGGCTGTGGGGATTCTCAGTACAGATTCACAGCAAACACACAGAAGAGTGCGCCTGCCCCAGCCATGCCCCGCTCTATAAGGGCTTCCAGAGAGATGCTGGGGTCGTGGTGAGAGTAAAGAGTGGGCCCTAACAACGAAAAATAGCCACTTTTCTTCTCACCTCTGTTTTCCTTTTCTTTCGAACTTTCTCAATCTTCTCATCTAATGTAGTGGCTGCCCTCTGCAGATAAAAATAAAGAGGTGAAAAAGAAATTTTCATTGAAACATCGAATAAGAGAACAAACTCTTCATAATTAACTTGAAAAAGAAAAAATTTTGGCCTTCTCTGAAAATACATATACATATTATATATATAAAAATTTTAGGCCGGGCGCGGTGGCTCACGCCTGTAATCCCAGCACTTTGGGAGGCCGAGGTGGGTAGATCACCTGAGGTCAGGAGTTCGAGACCAGCCTCAACATGGAGAAACCCTGTCTCTACTAAAAAAATACAAAATTAGCCGGGTGTGGTGGTGCATGCCTGTAATCCCAGCTACTCGGGAGGCTGAGGCAAGAGAATTGCTTGAACCTGGGAGGCGGAGGTGGCAGTGAGCCGAGATCACGCCATTGCACTCCAGCCTGGGCAACAAGAGCAAAACTCCGTCTCAAAAAAAAAAATTTTTTTAATCCTCTCCAGACGATCTTGAAAATGCAGTGCTGGTAAGGCTGAGCACAGTGGCTCATGCCTGTAATCCCAGCTACTCAAGAGGCTGAGGCAGGAGAATCGCTTGAACCCAGGAGGCAGAGGTTGCAGTGAGTCAAGATGGTACCATTGCACTCCGGCCTGGGTGATAGAGTGAGACTCCATCTCAAAAACAACAAAAAAAAACTACAAAAAATTAGCTGGGCGTGGTGGTGGGCACCTGTAATCCCAGCAACTCGGGAGGCTAAAGCACAAGAATCGCTTAAACCCAGGAGGCAGAGGTTGCAGTGAGCTGAGATGGCGCCATTACACTCCAGCCTAAGCAATGGAGAGAGACTCTGTCTCAAAAAAAAAAAGAAAAGGCAATGCTGGTTTACTTCAATCAGAGTAAGGACCAGCAAAGCCTGGATTAAACTGTTCTGGACAGGCAATATTTCTCTTTGAAGACATGAAATGGAAAATAACTTAGATGCATCTTCTAGTTTAACCAGATTCACAGAAAGGCATGGGATCTTGGCAAACAAACAGATGACAATGACATCTGTGGTAGCTTTGGCTGTGCTGTGTGGGAACCAGGGACACTGCACAGTGACACCACCGGAGACCACCTGGCAAGTGCTCATACTTTGTTTGGTATTAAAGAGGAGTCTCCCCAGCAAGCAGACTCAGAAAAAAAAAAAAAAAAAAGACAGTGAGTCATTTGTGATCCCTGTGCCCATCTCATCAAAAGTATACCAGATATTTTCTTTTGTTTTTTTTTAACCAGTTATTTTCAAAGGAGTTGTAGTATCTGCTGAATGTAAACAGATGGTCAGTCAGGTCAGGGCTAGGCCCTGAAACTCACAGTCCAATCTTAATAGCCCAAAGTCTGGAGCTGTCCATCACTGTCAGTCTCACCTTCTTCTTGAGTTGGCTCATGACATCAGCCAGGGCCCAGCTGCCATCGTACGTCCCCTCCTTCTCAGTGAAAACGAAATCAGGGTTGAAATCAGCACTGCGGTTCTTCCCCAAAGCTTTTTGTCGTCTGCCCAGCACAATGGGCCCCTGGGAAGAGTAAGAGACAGAGTGACTTTGGGGCTGAGATAAAGAATGATAGAAAGCAAGAAGGGGCCAGGCACAGTGGCTCACACCTGTAATCCCAGCACTTTAGGAGGCGAAGGCACGCAGACAAGGTCAGGAGTTCAAGACCAGCCTGACCAACATGATGAAACGCAGTCTCTACTAAAAATACAAAAAAGACGGGTGTGGTGGCTCACGCCTGTAATCCCAGCACTTTGGGAGGCCGAGGTGGGTGGATCACAAGGTCAGGAGTTCAAGACCAGCCTGGCCAATATGGTGAAACCCTGTCTCTACTAAAAATACAAAAATTAGCCGGGCGTGGTGGCGCATGCCTGTAGTCCCAGCTACTAGGGAGGCTGAGGCAGGAGGATTGCCTGAACCCGGGAGGGGGAGGCTGCGGTGAGCCGAGATCGCGCCACTGCACTCCACCCTGGGCGACCGAGCAAGACTCTGTCTTAAAAAAAAATGAAGTGAATGAGACTGGAGTGTTGGTCATGAAGAGGAGAGCTGTGAGAGATGAAAGTCAAGGTGGAAAGGACAAGATCGTGAGGACCTTGAAAGCCACGTGAAAGCAGGCTGGAGAGTTTTTTTTGTTTTGTTTTGTTTTGTTTTTAGCAATTTGAATCATTTCTTGAAAAACAAACACAAACAATTCCCCCCGCATCATGGGTGTGACAAACACACCCCGCATCATGGGTGTGACCGGGCACTGTACAGGGGCCTGGCTCCTCGGGGACTGGCCCATGACCTCCCACGCAGCGGGCTGAGCCAAGGCCTGTCCGAGAGGGGGCCGCAGCCAGCAGGCCTGGGTGGCCGCCCGCGCCCACAGGGGACATCGGGGAAATGGCGACAGTGTACGGGACCCAGACGCTGCCTGAGGAGTCTTTGCAAGGTGGACAGGCCCGGGGGTCTCTACCAGCAGGCTGGAGAGTTTTAAGCAAGGGAGGTCTCTAACGTGACTGTATCGCAGAGATCCCTCTGCTGCTAAGCGAAGAATACACTGGAAGTGCTCAAGATAAAGAGATGAAGATGAAGTATGTTTGGACTGCAGGTGTGCTGGTGTGCAAGCATGAGACAGCAGTAGCCGGAGCTAGGGTGGGTACAGTGTGAATGGAGAGAGGCGGGAGAAGCTTAAGAGAGATTCATGAGCTAGCTTGCAGAGCACTGGCGGCGGTGAGGAAGAAAAAACTGTCAAGAATAACTCTAAGGTTTCTGGCTTGAGAAGGGAACAGGATGAGAGTGAACACAAGTTCATCTTTGGAGGAGTTGAATTTGTAGAGGCCATGGGACATCTGGATAAACCTATCAGGCGGACAGATGAGAGTGCAGAGGGGACAACATCTGGGCTGAATGTTTGAAGGGCAAGCATCCTTTTCAGAACACCAATACCTCTTTAATTGCCATACTGCTTAATGTCTGCAAGCCCCCACACCACCATACGCTTCAGGAGAGTGGCACTCACCTTGTTCATTGCTACGCCCCCAACGCTTAACACTAAGTCTAGCAGGCGTTAAGTATTCAATAAACACTGGCTCGATGAACATACGAAAGGACAGCTAACCATGGCTCCTTGAGCAGGAACCATGGCTGACTTCACCTCTTACAAGGTGTAAGAAACCTGCCGTCTCTTACACAGGGCGTGGTTAAATATCAGTTCAGTGAATAGATACTGAGTTCAGCAAGGAGACAGGGAACGACATGGCCAAAGAAGCAGGCGGACGTAGAGATAACCTAGTGGCGGGGAAACTGAGGAAGATCTTGGGGTCCCGGTGAGATCCTTTTCGGGAAACTTCCGGGGCTGGCAGGGGATGATGAGGATTCGGGGACAGGGACCTGAGGAATCGCGAGGAAGGGAAGCAGTCAAGGAAACCCAAAGACCAGAACCGTGCTCATACCTCCTCTTCCTCGTCCCCGGAGTCAGACTCGGGCTCCACCGGCACCTCGTCATCCTCGCCTATGGTTCCGATTAAGCCGAGGTCCGCAAGCATGTTGTCGCAGAAGCCACTTCCGGAAGCGAGCACAGCCTGCGGTCCGGCCCTTAACTTTTCGCAGCCTCCTCGTCGTCTTTGCGCAAGTACCATGCGTCACTTCCGTTCCAGAGCCCCTGCCGCCCTCCCCGTTCGACCTCTTAAGAGTGCGCATGCGGCAATATGGGGCGTGGTTGGTTTCGTGTGACGCCATCAAGGGGCGGAGCTTTTTAGGTAAGCAAATTCCATTGTCTCCGGCCTCAAAACGGTGGCAGTATTTGAGGAGGGTGGAAGGGTGAGAGAGTCTAAAGAGTTGCATTTATAAACTCTAGATGTGTATATTTAGATACAAAAAAAAGCTGTGGAAGAAAATACAATAAGCAGTTAGCTGTGATTGCTTCTGGGTGGTAAAATTCTAAGTAATTTTTTGTCTTTTTTTTTTTTTTTTTTTTTTTTGAGGCAGGGTTTGGCTCTGTCGCCCAGGCTGGGGTGCAGTGGAGATCATGGATCACTGCAACCCCGACTTCCCGGGCTCAAGCGATCCTCCCGCCTCAGCCTTCTGAGTAACTGGAGGTACAGGCGCCACCACCACGCCCGGCGGAGTTTCACCATGTTGCCCAGGCTGGTGTCGAACTCCTGGGCTCAAGCAATCCTCCTGCCTCGGCCTCCCAAACTGCTGGGATTACAGGTGTGAGCCACTGCGCACAGCCCCGAAACTTTTTAATTAAAATTAATGTTTATTGTAGGGGAAAAAAAATCTCAGAAGAAAATAAAAATCAAGACCAGGCAAGGTGGTTCACACCTTTAGTCACGGCACTTTGGGAAGCCAGGTGGGTGCATCGCTTGTGCTCAGGAGTTCCAGACAACCCTGGGCAACATGACAAGACCCCATCATGTTTTTTTTGTTTGTTTGTTTGTTTGTTTGTTTTTAATTAAAAACGTGTTGGCTGGGCGTGGTGGCTCACGCCTGTAATCCCAACACTTCGGGAGGCCGAGGCGGGCGGATCACGAGGTCAGGAGATCGAGACCATCCTGGCTAACACGGTGAAACCCCGTCTCTACTAAAAATACAAAAAAATTAGCCGGGCGTGGTGGCGGGCGCCTGTAGTCCCAGCTACTCGGGAGGCTGAGGCAGGAGAATGGTGTGAACCCAGGAGGCAGAGCTTGCAGTGAGCCGAGATCGTGCCACTGCACTCCAGCCTGGGCGACAGAGCAAGACTCCATCTCAAAAAAAAAAAAAGATTGGGCTTTGTAGGGAGTGATGGAAAATGTGAATTAAAAAAATATATATTGCTAGCTGGGCGCGGTGACTCGCGCCTGTAATCCCAGCACTTTGGGAGGCCGAGGCAGGTGGATCACCTGAGGTCAGGAGTTTAAAACCAGCCTGACCAACATGGTGAAACTCCGTCTGCACTAAAAATACAAAAAATTAGCCGGGCATGGTGGTGTGTGCCTGTAATCCCAGCTACTCGGGAGGCTGAAGCAGGAGAATCGCTTGAACCCAGGAGGCGGAAGTTGCGGTGAGCTGAGATCACACCATTGCACTCCAGCCTGGGCAACAAGAGGGAAACTCCGTCTCAAAAAAAAATTATTTTATTTTATTTTATTTTTATTTTTATTTTTGAGACAGGGTCTCACTCTGTCGCCCAGGTGAGAGTGTAGTGGCGCGATCTCGGCTTACTGCAGCCTCCACCTCCTGGGTTCAAGCGACTCTCCTGCCTCAGCCTCCCGAGTAGCTGGGATTACAGGCATGAGCCACTGCGCCTGGCCTAAAAATATATATATATATATATTTTAAAAGGAAAAAAAAAACAGGATGGGCTTTGGAGCCACACAGCCTTGATTCAAATCCTGCTTCTGCTCCTTACTGTGTGGTCTTGGGTAACTTCCTAGTTATTTATAAAATAAAGACACTGTTAGGAAGGATATACAACAGCTAAAGAAAAACTCCGGATACAAAGGATGCAAAATGGTACTGGGGAACACAAGTTTTTGTTCTTGGTTCTTTGTGTAGTTTCATCTAATAGTTTTCAAATTAATAAGCTGTGCCCGTTATTACGGTACTGTCAGCTTCAAACTAACCCTTCTATACCTGACTCATGTACCTGGGGTGGGACTCCAGGAACCATGTTTGTACTTTGCCATCAAGTTCCTTGTTAGGATCTGCCAGCAGGGGGCGCATGTGAGAGAGAACGGAGCACTGGAGGAGGAAGCGGGAACTTGGGTCTTGTTCTATTTCGCATTCCTGTGTCACTCCAGCAGCACTTCTCCCTAGAAGCAGCAATTCATTCCATTTGGCAGCGCCGGGGAGTGGGGGGTTGCTTGTTTTTCTTTTTAATACTCACAGAACCAGCTTTTCTGTACCCAGCCAGAGCACCAGCAACGCTGAGCAGCGCCTCATTCTCCAAGGTTTGGGTCCCAGCCCCATGGGAGCCTCTGGGCTCAGAGACATCAGCACCATCTCTTTGGAGATCTGTGCCCCGTGGGTTGCAATCTTATTACCTCTTTATTTGATGGGGCCAAATCCTGGCTGCCTTCACATCCTAATTCCCCAGAATGATTTGCAATGGATAAGATGTAGGCAGATATGAAGATCTTGAAAGCCTTGCCCAAGAATGAGCAAGTCTTCTGAGATCCTTGGAGGTCAAAGATGTTGGGAGCTTCAGAGATCTGCTTCACCTTCCTATGAAATCGATCTCAACTTTCACCCCCAGCCTACTTCCCTGCCACGTCCCATGTCATTCTTTTTATCTCCCTCCCAAACCCAAGTCTAAAAGGAATAGACTGGGAAAAAGGAAAAAAAAATTTCTTATTTTTCTCTTTGGGGGTTTCACATCAGTCCCAGATCATTAGCTATGCTCAGGAGAATGAAGTTTTCTCCCCTCAATTCATTTTTTTTATTTTGAGAGTTTTTAATTTTTTTTAATTAATTACTTATTTTTTGAGATGAGTCTCACTTTGTCGCCCAGGCTGGAGTGCAGTGGCATGATCTCGGCTCACTGCAACCTCTGCCTCCTGGGTCCAAGCGACTCTTGTGCCTCAGCCTCCTGAGTAGCTGGGATTACAGGCACCCGCCACCATGCCTGGCCAATTTTTTTGTATTTTTAGTAGAGATAGGGTTACACCATGTTAGCCAGGTTGGTCTCGAGCTCCTGACCTCAAGGGATCTGCCTGCCTTGGCCTCCCAAAATGCTAGGATTACAGGTGTGAGCCACCGCACCCAGCCTTGAGGGATTTTTTTTTAAGATATAAGGGTCTTGCCATGTTGCCCACACTGGACTGGAACTCCTGGGCTCAAGTGATCCTCCAGCCTCAGCCTCTTGCATAGCTGGAACTATAGGTGTGGGCCACTGCACCCAGCTATGCCCCCCAATTCAAAGCAAAGAGTTTTCTTCTTCTTTTTCTCTTCTTCTTTTTTTTTCTTCTTCTTCTTCTTTTTTTTTTTTTTTTTTTTTTTTTTTTGAGACATAGTCTTGCTATATCACCCAGGCTGGAGTACAGTGGTGCAACCTTGGCTCACTGCAACCTCTGCCTCCTGGGTTCAAATGATTCTCCTGCCTCAGCCTCCCAAGTACCTGGGATTATAGGCATGTGCCACCACACCCAGCTAATTTTTGTATTTTTAGAAGAAACTGGGGTCTCACCATGTTGGCCAGTCTGGTCTCAAACTCCTGGCCTCAATCAATCCACCCACCTCAGCCTCCTAAAGTGCTGGAATTACAGGCGTCAGCCACTGCGCCTGGCAAAGCAGGGAGTTTTCTACTGATTTTATTCTCGGAGACTCAAGGTGAATGTTACTCAGTAATCAATGTTGAGCAATATTCTACTATTGAGTAGTGGCACCAACTGAAGATGAGTTTATTAACATAATATTTTCCTTAATCCCACAAATATTATTGAGATTCTACTTTGTTCTAAGCTCTGCTGTGGACACTGTAGATATCACCGTTTCTTTTCTCCCCAACACTCAAGAGCCAACCACTCTCATGAATCTAAAGTGTAAGTTTCCTATGGGTGCTGTTATATCCCCATTTTACAGGTGAAGAAATTGAGGCTCTTGAGGAAATTAAGGAAATTGCCCAAGGTCAGAAGGTTGGTAGGTATCAGAACCAGGTGATACATACAGGTGATATAAGTGAGATGAAGAATAAAAGGCGGGTCAACAAGAGGGGCCTGAGGCATGTGGTTAGGGGAGCCCTCTCTGAGACGGTGACCACATTCCAAAGCTGAGACTCAAAGGCAGAGAAAGAGGCTCAGATGAAGATTTCTAAGAAAAAAACCCAGCAAGTGCAAAAGCCCCAAAGTGGGAACAGACTTGGATGGAGTGGCTGTCACTCTCATTCCCATCTTGGGCCAGGAGGATGAGGATGGTGGATCAGAGAGCTGGAAGGAGCCTGCGCTTCTAAGGTCTTTAGGGAGCACAGCCATGTAAGCCTTGGACTAGCAACCTCAGACTTCCTCAGCCTTCATTTATGTGAGGTCAAATTGTCTGCTATGTTGTTGAAACCACTGTTGTTTTGTTTTGTTGTCACATGCAACTGAATCTAATCCTAACTGATCCCATGTTCCTTCTGTTATGGACTAAATGTTTGTGTCCCCCACAAATTCATGTGTTGAAATTCTAACCCCAACTGATGCATTAGGAGGTGGGAGCTTTGGGAAGTAATTAGGTCATGAGGCTGAACTTGATTAGCAATGTGGAGTCAGAGAAAAAGCAAGAGAGCTAAATTCATGCCTGATGCTTCACAAGCATGATCTAATTTAATCCTCATGACTCTATGAGCTATTCCCATTGGACAGATGAGGAACCCAAGCCCAGAAAGTGAGTAGCTTACCTTCTATACAGTAAGAGGGGTGGCAGGCATTTGACTCTAGGTCTGTTTGAGATCTAGACATTATCTCCTAGACATGGACCCAAATCTTCTTCTTGTTATTGTTTTTTTTTTTTTTTTGAGACGGAATCTCACTCTGTCACCCAGGCTGTAATGCAATGGCACAATCTCAGCTCACTACAACTTCTGCCTCCCGGGTTCAAGCGGTTCTCCTGCCTCAGCCTCCCAAGTAGTTGGGACTACAGGCACATGCCACCATGCCTGGCTAATTTTTGTATGTTTAGTAGTGACGGGTTTTCACCTTGTTGGCTAGGCTGGTCTTGAACTCCTGACCTCAGGTGATCCACCTGCCTTGGCCTCCCAAAGTGCTGGGATTACAGGCGTGAGCCACCACACCCAGTCTTTCTTTTTGTTTTGTTTTGTTTTGTGATAGAGTCTAGCTCTGTCGCCCAGGCTGGAATGCAGTGGCATGATCTCAGCTCATTGCAACCTCTGCCTCCTGGGTTCAAGCAATTTCCCTGCCTCAGCTTCCCAAGAAACTGGGATTACAGGGGTGCATCACCATGCCTAGCTAATTTTTTGTACTTTTATTAGAAACAGTATTTCACCATGTTGGCGAGGCTGGTCTTGAACTCCTGACCCAGGTGACCCACCCGCCTCGGCCTCCCAAAGTGCTGGGATTACAGGCATGAGCCACCCACCTGGCCATGGCCCCAAATCTTCTGATTCAAGCATAGAATGATTATCACTTGGACATTATCTGTGTTCCATGGGCAAGCCTTGATCTTTTCGTGGTTTTCAGTTTTCCATCTCCATTTTACTTGATTGCTTATACCTCACCTTTTGAAAACAGAGTTTGAAAGAGACAGTAGTGATATTTTTTATCTACTTTATATGGCTGTTGGGAGGACTAAATAGGGTGGCATTGGTGAGGCTGGATTTATTTTCTCCAGCCCATTTACCTGCTTCCTGAAACTGAATTGTGACTCATCTTAACCATCTTTAAGATTTTCCAATGGGAATTAATTAATTGGGTAAGTAAGCATGTTTTAAAATGCAAGAGTGTTCTTTTCAGCATTGATTATAATCGCCCCACATTAAAAGCAAATAGGCCAGGCGCGGTGGCTCACGCCTGTAATCTCAGCACTTTGGGAGCCCGAGGCAGGTGGATCACGAGGTCAGGAGTTTGAGACTAGCCTGACCAACATGGTGAAACCCCATCTCTAATAAAAATACAAAAATTAGCCGGGTTGGTGGCCCACACCTGTAATCCCAGCTGCTCAGGAGGCTGAGACAGGAGAATTGTTTGAATCCAGGAGGCGGAGGTTGCAGTGAGCCAAGATTGCGCCACGGCACTCCAGCCTGGGTGACAGAGAGAAACTCTGTCTAAAAAAAAAAATTGAGAAATGAGCCTGGGCAACATAGTGAGACCCCCATTGCTGCAAAAAATACAAAATTACAAAAAGTAGCCAAACATGGTAGTGTGCGCCTATAATCCCAGCTACTCAGGAGTCTGAGGCAGGAGGATTGCCTGAGCCCAGGAGGTGAAGGCTGCAGTGAACCAGGATCATGCCACTGCACTCTAGCCTGGATGACAGAGCGAGACCCTGTCTCAAAAATAAATAAATAAATAAAATAAAATAAAAAAGTTTGAGAAATGGCTATTGTTAAGCAACAAATGGTTGCTCCCACATTGGGTAACACATATTACCCGATATTACAACAGTAAAAATTCCAGTAGGCCGGGCACGATGGCTCAAGCCTTTAATCCCAGCACTTTGGGAGGCCAAGGTGGGTGGACCACCTGAGGTCAGGAGTTCGAGACCAGCCTGACCAACATGGAGAAACCCCATCTCTACTAAAAATACAAAAAATTAGCCAGACATGGTGGCACATGCCTGTAATCCCAGCTACTCAGGAGAATTGCTTGAACTTGGGAGGTGGAGGTTGTGGTGAGCTGAGATGACGCCATTGCACTCCAGCCTGGGCAACAAGAGCAAAACTCTGCCTAAAAAAAAAAAATTCCAATAGCTTCCGTTTTTAAGGGGAATATCCAGAAAATATAAACAACTTTAACAACTCAACAACTACAAACCAAACAACTCAATGAAAAAACAGAGAAAGGACATGAATAAGCCTTTATCTAAAAGATGGTAACCATGTGTGGTGATGAGTATGTTAATTTGATTGTGGCAACCATTTCCCAATGAATACATATATTCAATCATGACATTGTATACCTTGAATTATGCAAAATTTGTTAATTATACCTCAATAAAGCTAGAAAAATAAACAAAATTTCTCCAAAGAAGATATACAAGTGGCCAAAAAGCACATGAAAAGGTGCTCACCTGGGCATGGTGGCTCATGCCTGTAATCCCATAACTTTGGGAGGCCAAGGAAGGGGCATCACTTGAGCTCAGGAGTTGGAGACCAGCCTGGGCAACATGGCAAAACCCTGTCTCTACAAAAAATACAAAATTAGCCAGGCATGGTGGTATGTACCTGTAGTCCCAGCTACTCAGGAGGCTGAGATGAGAGCATCACTTGAGTCTGGGGAGGTTGAAGCTGCACTGAGCCATGACCGTGCCACTGCACTCCAGCCTGGATGACAGAGTAAGACCCTGTCTCAAAACAAAACAAAAAAACCAACTGTTCATGAAGATATGAACATTTTGAACCCCTGTACCTTGCCAGTGGGGATGTAAAATGGTTAGCTGGTGTGGAAAACAGTTTGGTAGTTCTTCAAAAAAGTTAACATAGAATTAGCATATGACAGCCAGGTACTCTGGCACATGCCATAGTCCCAGCTACTCAGGAGGCTGAGGCAGAGTGGGAGCAGTGGCACACACCTATAATCTCAGCACTTTGGGAGGCTGAGGTGGGCTGATCACTTGAGGCCAGGAGTTCAAGATCAGCCTGGCCAACATGGTAAAACCCCGTCTCTACTAAAAATACAAAAATTAATGAGGTGTGGTGTCATGTGCCTCTAATCCCAGCTACTCAGGAGGCCGAGACAGGAGAATCACTTGAACCCAAGAGGTGGAGGGTGCAGTGAGCCTAGATCGCACCATTGCACTCCAGCCTGGGCAACAGAACTAGACTACATTTCCAAAAAAGAAAAGAAAAAAAGGAGGCTGAGGCAGGAGGATCACTTGAGGAGAGGAGCTCAAGACTGCATTGTGCTATGATTGTGCCTATGAATAGCCACTACACTCCAGCCTGGGTAACATACAGAGACCCTGCCTCTATTAAAAGAAAAAAAAAAAGAATTACTATATGAACCAGCAATTCAACTCCTAAGTATACACCCAAAAGAAGTGAAAGCAAGGACTCAAACAAATCCTTGTACACGAGTGTTCACAGCAGCACTATTCACAGTAGACAAAAGGCAGAAACAACTCAAATGTCCATTAATACATGAATGGATAAACAATTTGTGGTATATCCATATAATGGCATATTATTCAGTTATAAAAATGAATGAAGTGAGATACATGCTACATTGTGGATGAACCTCAAAAACATTATACTAAGTAGAAGAAGCCAGACACCAAAGGTTACATATTATTTTATTCCATTTATACTGATTATCTAGAATAGGTAAATCCTATTTAGGTAAACAGGAAGCAGATTGGTAGTTGCCAGAAATGTGGGGGATTAGGGAATTGGGGGATGGGGACTAACTGCTTAATGAATGCCAGGTTTCCTTTTGGAGTGATTAAAATGTTTTGGAACTACATAGAGATTACGGTTGCATAACATTGTGAATGTACTAAATGTCACTGAATTGTTCACTGTGAAATGGCTAATTTTATATTATGTGAATTCACTTCAATATATAATTTCTA
The DNA here is from genome assembly GCF_000001405.40 of Homo sapiens. Taxonomy (NCBI): domain Eukaryota; kingdom Metazoa; phylum Chordata; class Mammalia; order Primates; family Hominidae; genus Homo; species Homo sapiens. The sequence goes on along the minus strand of NC_000020.11, from coordinate 49,210,786 downwards.
AAAAGAAAAAATTAAAAGGAAGAGTTGCAGTATGGGGGATGATAGAAAAGTCATTTTTACCATTTATGAAGATACAAGAACAAGTTTTTCAACCAAGAAAAGCCAGACTTGATTACATAAGCCTGCTCTCCCTGTTAACAGTAATTCAAACAATATGCAAAGTGTAAGTGCCAAGTCCTTTTTCTGCTATGTAAATAAAGTCTGTGTTAGGAAAACAGCTGTGTGCTTTTTGACAGCTCTAGAGTTTGAAAACCTAGTGATGTAGAATTTTCCCCCACCACTACCAGAAACAAGGAGGAGAAGGAGGAAAAAAAGGAGAGAGAGAAGAGGAGGAAGAAAAAAGTTGGTTTCTCATACATGTGTAAAGTAGCTAAGAAACACATTTGCCCCCTGGAATGAGAAAGAACTCCATTCCTGAAGGACAATGATTTCTAACCTAGCATTGTATACCCAGCTAAATTATCCATGAAGTGTGAGAACGAAAAGACATTTCCAGATATGTAGTGTCCACCCCTTTGACAGGAAGTGAGTGGAGCATGAGGCAGAAAACTATGCAAAAGGAACTCATGGAATTCAGGAAACAGGAGATCCAGCCCAGGAAAAAGGTTAAAGCAAGACACAGTGCCACAGCTGCCCAACTGGTCAGGAGAGGAACCCACACCAATCAGAGATAAGTATACAGAAAACTAAGCGTAGCGAATTTATTTATTTTTTTGATTATTATTATTATTTTTTTTTGAGACAGAGTGTTGCCCTGTCACCCAGGCTGGAGTGCAATGGCACTATCTCGGCTCACTGCAACCTCTGCCTCCCAGGTTCAAGGGATTCTCCTGCCTCAGCTTCCTGAGTAGCTAGGGCTACAGGTGCCTGCCACCATGCCTGGCTAATTTTTTTGTATTTTTAGTAGAGACGGGGTTTCACCATGTTGGCTAGGATAGTCTCGATCTCCTGACCTCGTGATCCGCCTGCCTCGGCCTCACAAAGTGCTGGGATTACAGGCATGAGCCACCACACCTGGCCAATTATCATTATGTATATTTTTTGGGACAGAGTTTTGCTCTTGTTGCCCAGGCTGCAGTGCAATGGTATGATCTCAGCTCACTGCAACCTCCACCTCTTGGGTTCAAGTGATTCTCCTGCCTCAGCCTTCAAGTAGCTAGGATTACAGGCATCCGACACCCTGCCCGGCTAAATTTTGTGCTTTTAGTAGTGACAGGGTTTCACCGTGTTGGTCAGGCTGGTCTTGAACTCCTGACCTCATGTGATCCACCCAACTTGGCCTCGCAAACTGTGAGATTACAGGTGGGAGGCACCATGTCTGGCCTTCCTTTTTTTTTTTTTTTTTTTTAACTGTACAGATGTGGTTTCACTATGTTGTAAGCCAATTTATTGATCAGGTGGTGGGACTCATGCATAGGGTATAGACAGAAAACAACTTTATTCTTTGCATGTTCAGTTTGTCTCTGGGAAGCCAGTTCTTCCCCATACCTTGAATGAAATCTAGGGTAAGTCCCATGGCTTTTTTTTTTTTTTCTTTTTAGATAGAGACAGGGGCCTGGCGCGGTGGCTTACACCCATAATCCCAGCGCTTTGGAAGGCCGAGGCAGGCAAATCACCTGAGCCAAGGAGTTCGACACCACTCTGGCCAACATGATGAAACCCGTCTCTTCTAAAAATACAAAAATTAGCTGGGCGTGGCGGTATGTGCCTGTAATCCCAGCTTCTCGGGAGGCTGAGGTAGGAGAATCACTTGAGCCTGGGAGGCAGAGGTTGCAGTGAGCTGAGATTGTGCCACTGCACTCCAGCATGGGTGACAGAGTAAGACACTTTCTCTAAATAAATGAATAAAAAAAAAAGACAGGATCGGCCGGGCGCAGTGGCTCACGCCTGTAATCCCAGCACTTTGGGAGGCCGAGGCAGGCGGATCAGGAGGTCAGGAGATCGAGACCATCCTGGCTAACATGTTGAAACCCCGTCTCCATTAAAAAAATACAAAAAAATTAGCCGAGCATGGTGACAGGCACCTGTAGTCCCACCTACTCGGGAGGCTGAGACAGGAGAATGGCGTGAACCCAGGAGGCAGAGCTTGCAGTGAGCCGAGATCACGCCACTGTACTCCAATCTGGGCGACAGAGCGAGACTCTGTCTCAAAAAAAAAAAAAAAGACAGGATCTCACTATGTTGCTCAGGTTGGTTTTGAACTCCTAGCCTCAAGCAATCCTCCTGCCTTGGTCTCCCAAAGCCATTGCTTTCTTAGTGACTCTCAGGCAATACAATTTTCTTGTGCCAGGCATGGTGGCTCACGCCTGTAATCCCAGCACTTTGAGAGGCCAAGGCAGGCAGATCACTTGAGGTCAGGAATTCAAGACCAGCCTGGCCAACATGGTGAAACCCCATCTCTACTAAAAATACAAAAAAATATATATATAGGCCACGTGCGGTGGCTCACACCTGTAATCCTAGCACTTTGGGTCACTGAGGTGGGCAGATCACGAGGTCAAGAGATCGAGACCATCCTGGAGAACATGGTGAAACCCCGTCTCTACTAAAAATACAAAAATTAGCTGGGCTTGGTGGTATATGCCTGTAGTCCCAGCTACTTGGAAGGCTCAGGCAGGAGAATCGCTTGAACCCAGGAAGCTGAGGTTGCAGTGAGCTGAGATGGCGCCACTGCACTCCAGCCTGGAGACAGAGTGAGACTCCGTCTCAAAACAAACAAACAAACAAACAAACAAAAAATTAGCTGGGTGTGGTGGTGTGCACCTGTAATCGCAGCTACTCGGGAGGCTGAGGTGGGAGAATCACTTGAACCCGGGAGGCAGCGGTTACAGTGAGCCGAGATCATGCCACCGCACTCCAGCCTGGGTGACAGAGCGAGACTCCATCTCAAAATAAATAAAATAAAATTATCTTGGTCACTTACAACCCCCAAACAGTCTCGGTTCAGTAATTTAAAAGCCCATTTGGAGCCGGGCGTGGTGGCTCACGCCTATAATCCCAGCACTTTGGGAGGCCGAGATGGGTGGATCACGAGGTCAGCCGTTTGAGACCAGCTTGGCCAACACAGTGAAAGCCTGTCTCTACTAAAAAAAAAATACAAAAAATTACGCAGGTGTGGTGGTGGGTGCCTGTAATGCCAGCTACTCGGGAGGGTGAGGCAGGAGAATTGCTTGAACCTGGGAGGCGGAGGTTGCAGTGAGCCGAGATCACACCACTGCTCTCCAACCCAGGCAACAGTGCGAGACTCTGTCTCAAAAACAAACCAACCAAACAAAAAAAATTTAAAATTCATTTAAAGTTAATTAAATTCCCTTCTTCCACTTCAGCCTGCTTGGACTGGCCACATGAAGACAGAAAAAGAGGCCTGCCCGGAGGACTTCTCTATTTCTTCCACCCAAGCCTTCCACTAACCCTGCTCCACTCACAAGTCAGCCCCTGGCTCCTCCAGGACAGAAGGGGGCAGTGGAGGCGAGAGAAAAGTGGCATGGTGGACACTCTGACTTGGCAGGTGCTCATAAGGGGCTATTCCTATCCCAGGGAACTTTTGGCTTCTTTTTTTTTTTTGCAGGGTCTCACTCGGTCGCCTAGGCTGGAAGGCAGGGGCATAATCATAGCTCGCTGCAGCCTCAAATTCTTGGGCTCAAGTGGTCCTCCCACCTCAGCCTCCTAAGTAGCTGGGACTACAGGTACATGCACCACCGTGCCTAGCTAATTTTTTAAAAATTATTTTTTTGGCCAGGCGAGGTGGCTGACGCCTGTAATCCCAGCACTTGGGGAGGCCAAGGCGGGTGGATCACAAGGTCAGAAAATCAAGACTATCCTGGCCAACATGGTGAAACCCCGTCTCTACTAAAAATACAAAAATTAGCTGGGTGTGGTGGCGCACGCCTGTAATCCCAGCTACTCGGGAGGCTGAGGCAGGAGAATTGCTTGAACCCGGGAGGTGAATATTTCAGTGAGCTGAGATCATGCCACTGCACTCCAGCCTGGTGACAGAGCCAGACTCTGTCTCAAAAAAAAAAAAATAAAATAAAATATATATATATATATATATATATATATATATAAAATTTCATTTAAAAATTTATTATTTTTTAAAAAATAGAGGGAGGGTCTTGCTATGTTGGCCAGGCATGGTGGCTCATGCCTATAATCTCAGTACTTTGGGCGGTTCACTCGAGCCCAGGAGGTCGAGGCTACAGTAAACCATGACCATGCCACTGCACTCCAGCCTGGGTGACAGAGCAAGACCCTGTCTCAAAAAAAAAAACGGAAGATGGCCGGGCACGGTGGCCCAGGATCACACCACTGCACTCCAGCCTGGGCGACAGAGCAAGACTCCGCCTCAAAAAAAAAAAAAAAAAAAAAAAAACCAGAAGGAAGATGCCAAGAGGAAGAGTTGAGTGGACATTGTTTTTCATGATAAGCTTCTTAAAATTATTTGACTCTCTAAACTATGGACACACATTACTTTGATTAAGAAAATTAATTTTGGCCGGGTGCGGTGGCTCACGCCTGTAATCCCAGCACTTTGGGAGGCCAAGGCGGGTGGATCACTTGAGGTCAGGAGTTCCAGACCAGCCTAGCCAATATGGTAAAACCCCGTACTTACAAAAAATACAAAAAAAAAAAAAAAATCAGCTGGGCGTGGTGGCGAGCGCCTGTAGTCCCAGCTACTTGGGAGACTGAGGCAGAGAATCGCTTGAACCCAGGAGGCGGAGATTACAGTGAGCCGAGATCGTGCCACTGCACCCCAGCCTGGGTGACAGAGCTAGACTCTGTCTCAAAAAAAAAAAAAAAAGAAAAGAAAATTAGCCGGACACGGTAGCTCACACCTGTAATCCCAGCACTTTGGGAGGCCGAGTTGGGCAGATCACCTGAGGTCAGGAGTTTGAGACCAGCCTGACCAACATGGAGAAACCCCGTCTCTACTAAAAATACAAAATTAGCTGGGTGTGGTGGTATATGCCTGTATTCCCAGCTACTCGGGAGGCTGAGGCAGGAGAATCGCTTGAACCCAGGAGGCGGAGCTTGTGATGAGCCAAGATTGTGTGCCATTGCACTCCAGCCTGGGCAACAAGAGCAAAACTCTGTCTCAAAAAAAAAAAAAGAAAGCTAACTTTGGCCAGGCACAGTGGCTCATGTCTGTAATCCCAGCACTTTGGGAGGCCGAGGTGGGTGGATCACGAGGTCAGAAGTTCGAGACCAGCCTGACCAACATGGTGAAACCCCGTCTCTACTAAAAATGCAAAAATTAGCTGGGCATGGAGGTGCGTGCCTGTAATCCCAGCTACTCAGGAGGACGGGGCAGGAGAATCTCTTGAACCCGGGAGGCGGAGGTTGCAGTGAGCCGAGATCGTGCCGCTGCACTCCAGCCTGGGCCACAGGGCAAGACTCCATCTCAAAAAAAAAAAAAAAAAAAACTGTCATAAAGCATAGAAATTATCTAGAGACCAGGCAATATGTGGATATAATAAGAGCACTTGTGTGCGTAATGAGAAGTAACTTGCACAAGGCCACCAAAAGCTATTTTGCATGACCAAAACGCTCTCCATCATTATGAGGAGAATGACTCCCTTTAGCCTTCTGCCTCCAGTATAATACGAAAATACGTTTTAAATTTATATAGCACGGGATTTGCTTTTCCCATTGGGTTACTTGGTATTAAATTTGAGAAATAACCAGGTCAGCTAAGCCAACAGGGGCTATCTTGTTGACCTAAAATGAACTCATGATCACTGCTTCTCTCCTCAATTACCCTTGAGCCCATAATATTTCTGTACAAAATCTTGTGAATTTTTTTTTATGACAGTGGGTGGAGAAAAAGACCAGGAGTGGGCCAGGCACAGTGGCTCACGCCTGTAATCCCAACACTTTGGGAGGCTGAGGCAGGTGGATCACCTGAGGTCAGGAGTTTGAGACCAGCCGGGCCAAAATGGCAAAACCCTGTCTCTACTAAAAATACAAAAAATTAGCCAGGCATGGTGGCGGGTGCCTGTAATCCCAGCTACTCAGGAGGCTGAGGCAGGAGAATGGCTTAAACCTGGGAGGCAGAGGTTGCAGTGAGCTGAGATTGCACCACTGCACTTCAGCCTGGGTGACAGACTCCATCTCAAAAAAAAAAAAAAAAAAAAAAAAAATATATATATATATATATATACACATATATATATATATATATATATATATATATAATGTAAAATCCACCAATTGCATAAGGAGATATACAAGAATGTTGACAGCAGCATTGTTTACTATAGCAACAAAGGACACCAACCTAAGTGATCCTCAGAACGAGCCTGGGTAAATATAAAAATAACATATCCATTTGTTGGAATACTGTATAGCACTGAAAATGAAAAAATAGAACTATGCATGTAAATATAGGTGAACCATTCAGAATGTAATGTTGAAGGGAAAAACACAAGTCACAGAAGAATTCAGATAACATGATGCCATTTACATAAAATTTTAAAGTACACAATAAAAAATACAAAAAATAGGGTGTGGTGGTGAGGGCCTGTGGCACCAGCTACTTGGGAGGCTGAGGTGGGAGGATTGCTTAAGCCTGGGATTGGGAGGTTTCAGTGAGCAGAGATCATGCCACCGCACTCCAGCTTGGGTGACAGAGTGACAGAGTGAGACTCTAAAAAAAAAAAAAGTAAATACACAAAACAATATTGTTTTAGAAAACCTTCATTTGCAGTATTCTGTAAGTATTAAAAAAGTGTAAGTATTGTAGAAATAATAAACAGCAATTATTAAATGAATGGATAAATATATCTTTTAAAACTACTACCCCCTGGCCAGGCGAGGTGGCCCTTGCCTGTTATCCCAGCACTTGGGAGGCCAAGGCGGCGGATCACAAGGTCAGGATTTCGAGACCAGTCTGGCCAACATGATGAAACCCCGTCTCTACTAAAAATGCAAAAATTAGCCAGGCGTGGTGGCGCACGCCTGTAATCCCAGCTACTCAGGAAGCTGAAGCAGGGGATTTGCTTGAACCAGGGAGGTGGAGGTTGCAGTAAGCCGAGATTGTGCCACTGCATTCCATCCTGGGCAGCAGAGCGAGACTCCGTCTCAAAAAAATAAATAAATAAAATAAAAATATATAGCATTTTATTTGTGAATAATTATTGCATATGTAATTATATATGCATATTTAAAAGAATACTAAAAGGTATTTCAATGAAAGGGCTCTTTCTTCTCTTATCCCCAAGCTTTCCTCTCGAATCGTCACCTTAAAATCCAGAGAAGCTATGTCCATTACAAAGCATATATGTATGTTCTGGACCTGTCACAAATATTCTGGCTTTTTTTATTGATCATCCTGGTTAGAAACTTATCAATTTTATTGATTTTCCCTCCTCAAAGAGATCACTTTTGGTTTCACAGATTTTCTCTATTGTTCTTGGTTCGCTGCAACCTCTGCCTCCCCGGGTCAAGCGATCTTCCTGCCTTAGCCTCCCTAATAGCTCGGACTAAAGGCATGCACCACTACACCTGGGTAAGTTTTGTATTTTTGGTAGAGATGGGGTTTCATCATGTTGGCCAGGTTGGTCTCAAACTGCTGACGTCAGGTGATCTGCCCGCCTCGGGCTCCTAAAGTATTGGGATTACAGGTGTGAGCCACCATGCCCACCCCTCATTGATATGTACTCTTGTCTTTTATTATTTATTTTCTTACACTTACTTTGGGTTTAATTTGATCTTATTCTAATTTCTTTTTCCTTTTTTCTTTTTTTGAGACAGAGCATCCCTCTGTCATCCAGGCTGGAGTGCAGTGGTGTGATCTCAGCTCACTGCAATCTCCACCTCCTGGGTTCAAGCGATTCTCATGCCTCAGCCTCCCAAGTAGCTGGGGTTACAGGCAGGCGTACCACCTTGCTGGCTAATTTTTGTATTTTTAGTAGAGACAGGGTTTCACCATGTTGGCCAGGCTGGTCTCAAACTCCTGGCCTCAAGTGATCCACCCACCTCAGCCTCCCAAAAGTGCTGGGACTACAGGCGTTGAGCCACGGAGCCTGGCCTCCTTCTCCTTCTTCTTCTTTTTTTTCTTTTTGTAGAGACATGGTTTCCCTACGTTGTTGAAGCTGGTCTTGAACTACTGAGCTGAGCTAAAGCGATCCTCCTGCCTCAGCCTCCCAAAGTGCTAGAAATACAGGTATGAGCCACTACTTTCAGCCTATTTTATTTATTTATTTATTTATTTTTTAGTTTTTTGAGATGGAGTCTTGCTCTGTCACCCAGGCTGGAGTGCAGTGGTGTGATCTTGGCTCACTGCAGCCTCCACCTCCTGGGTTCAAGCAAGTCTCCTGCCTCAGCCTCCCCAGTAGCTGGGATTACAGGTGTGCACCACCAAGCCCGGCTAATTTTTATGTTTTTTAAGTAGAGATCGAGTTTTACCATGTTGGCCAGGCTGATCTCGAACTCCCGACCTCAAGAGATCTGCCCAGCTCGGCCTCCTAAAGTGCTGGGATTACAATGTGAGCCATCACGCCCGGTGTCCCAGCCTATTCTAGTTGATTCTTTCTTTCTTTCTTTCTTTCTTTCTTTTTTTTTTTTTTGAGATGGAGTCTCGCTCTGTCGCCCAGGCTGGAGTGCAGTGGCACGATGTTGGCTCACTGCAAGCTCCGCCTCCCGGGTTCACGCCATTCTCCTGCCTCAGCCTCCTGAGTAGCTGGGACTACAGGCACCCACCACCATGCCCAGCTAATTTTTTGTATTTTTAGTAGAGACGGGGTTTCACCGTGTTAGCCAGGATGGTCTCAATCTCCTGGCCTCGTGATCTGCCTGCCTCGGCCTCCCAAAGTGCTGGGATTACAGGCGTGAGCCACCGCGCCTGGCCTCTAGTTTCTTAAGGTAGAAAATTAGGTTACTGATTTGAGGCATTTCTTATTTTCTAATATAAACATTTAATGCTACAACTTTCCCTCTAAGTATTTCTTTAGCTGCATCTCCAAATTTCTGACATGTAATTTTGTCTTCATTCAGTTCACAATATTTTAATATTCCCCCCTCCCCATTTTTTTTTTTTTTTTTTTTGAGACAGAGTCTTGCCCTGTCACCCAGGCTGGAGTGCAGTGGTGTGATCTTGACTCACTGCAACCTCTGCCTCCCGGATTCAAGCGATTCTACTGCGTCAGCCTCCTGAATAGCTGGAATTACAGGTGCCTGCCACAACGCCCGGCTAATTTTTATATTTTTAGTAGAGATGGTGTTTTGCCATATTGGCCAGGGTGCTCTTGAACTCCTGATCTCAGGTGATCCTCCCGCCTCAGCCCCCCAAAGTGCTGGGATTACAAGCGTTAGTCACCATGCCCAGGCCAATATTCCCCATTTTTGTGAGAGACAAATTTACCAACTGGAGTACAGTGTCAATGTGCAGTTCTTTTGGCTTTTGCCTTAGCCAGTCAAAACACATTTTCCAAAGTTAATTAAGTCAGTGACTTTTTTTTCTCCCTTCCTCATCAATGACATTAGTTTGTCACAGTTTTCATTCCATCCTCGTATCCTCAGACATCCTTGTTTATTCTTAAATATTTGTGTACAATAAAGGTTACTGCATAAGGGTTTTGAAATATTCGGTCATATATCTACCATTTTAGTAGCATAGAGAACAGTTCCATCAACTTCCTTTCCCTTCCCCAGCCCTTGACAACCACTGATCTCACTGATCTGTTTTCTTTTCTTTTCTTTTCTTCTTCTTCTTCTTTTTTTTTTTTTTTTTTTTTTTTTTTTTGAGAGTGGGTCTTACTCTGTGCCCAGGCTGAAGTGCAGAGTGCAGTGGCATGATCACGGCTCACTGCAGCTTCAGTCCCCCAGGCTTAAGTGATCCTCCTGCCTCAGCCTCCTGAGCAGCTGAGACTACAGGCGTGCACCACCATACCTGGCTACTTTTTGTGGGTTTTTTTGGTAGAGACGGCATCTCACTATATTGCCCAGGCTGGTCTCAAACTCCTGGGCTCAGGTGATCCTCCCTCCTGGGCTTCCCAAAGTGCCACTGCACTGGGCCTGATGTATTTGCTGTCCCTATAATTTTACCTTTTCCAGAATGCCATAGAAATGGAAGCAAACAATATGGGGGCTTTTGGGTCTAAGTTTTTTCCACCTAGAGAGATGCAATTAAAGCTTATCCATGTTGTTTCATGGACACAGCTCCTGTTTGTTTGTTTGTTTTTTTTTTGAGACGGAGTCTTGCTCTGTCGCCCAGGCTGGAGTGCAGTGGTGCGATCTCGGCTCACTGCAAGCTCCGCCTCCCAGGTTCATGCCATTCTCCTGCCTCAGCCTCCCGAGTAGCTGTGACTACAGGCGCCCGCCACCACGCCCAGCTAAATTTTTTTTGTATTTTTAGTAGAGACGGTGTTTCACCCTGTTAGCCAGGATGGTCTCGATTTCCTGACCTTGTGATCCGCCCGCGTCGGCCTTCCAAAGTGCTGGGATTACAGGCGTGAGCCACCGCACCTGGCCGCTCCTGTTCTTTATTATTACTGAGTTGGATTCCATTTTACAAATGTACCAGTTTGTTTATCCAGTCACCTGTTGAAGGACATTTTGATTGTCTCCAGGTTTTGGCTCTTATGAATTAAGCTACTATAAACATGGGTGTAAGATTTTAGTGTGAATATAAGTTTTTAATTAAGTTGTGTAAACACCTAGGACTGGGACTGCTGGGTTGTATGATAAGTATATCTTAAACTTTGTAAGAAACTGCCAAACTGTCATACCAGGTGGCTGTACCATTTTGCATTCCCATCAGCAATGAATAAGAGTTCCTGGCTGGGTGCAGCAGTTCACACCTGTAACCCCAACACTTTGGGAGGCCAAGGTGGGAGGACCTCTTGAGGCCACGAGTTGCAGACCAGCCTGGGCAATATAGTGAGATCCCATCTCTACAAATTATAAAAAAATATGGCCGGGTGCAGTGGCTGACATCTGTAATCCCAACACTTTGGGAAGCTGAGGCAGTTGGATCACCTGAGGTCTGGAGTTCAAGACCAGCCTGGCCAATGTGGTGAAACCCCGTCTCTACTAAAAAATACAAAACTTAGCTGGGCGTGGTGGCAGGCGCCTGTAATCCCAGCTACTCGGGAGGCTGAGGCAGGAGAATCACTTGAACCTGGGAGGCAGAGGTTGCAGTGAGCCAAGATCGCACCACTGCACTCCAGCCTGGGCAACAGAGCAAGACTCTGTCTCAAAAAAATAAGTAAATAAAAGAAAAATAAAATAAAAATAAAAATAAAGAATAAAATAAACATGGCCGGGCGCGGTGGCTCAGGCCTGTAATCCCAGCACTTTGGGAGGCCGAGGTGGGCGGATCACAAGGTCAAGAGATTGAGACCATCCTGGCCAACATGGTGAAACCCCATCTCTACTAAAAATACAAAACTTAGCTGGGCGTGGTGGCGCATGCCTGTAGTCCCAGCTACTCGGGAGGCTGAGGCAGGAGAAGCACTTCAACCCAGGAGGTGGAGGTTGCAGTGAGCCGAGATCGCGCCACTGCAATCCAGCCTGGCAACAGAGCGAGACTCCATCTCAAAATAAAAAAAATCAGCCAGGCGTGATGGTATGCACCTGTAGTCCAAAAAGTTCCAGTTGCTCTACATTCTCCTATTTGGTGTTGTCCGTTTTGTTTTGTTTCGAGATGGAGTCTCTCTCTGTTGCCCAGGCTGGAGTGCAGTGGCACGATCTCGGCTTACTGCAACCTCTGCCTCCCGGGTTCAAGTGATTCTCCTGCCTCAGCCTCCCGAGTGGCTGGGATTACAGGTGCCCACCACCACGCCCAGCTAATTTTTGTATTTTTTTGGCGGGGGGGCAGGGGGACGGGGTCTCATCTTGTTCTGTCACCCAGGCTGGAGTGTAGTGGCACGATCTTGGCTCACTGCAACCTCTGCCTCCTGGGTTCAAGCGATTTTCCTGCCTCAGCCTCAAAAGTAGCTGGGACTATAGGCACATGCCACCATGCCCAGCTAATTTTTTGTATTTCTAGTAGAGACAAGGTTTCACAGTGTTAGTCAGGATGGTCTTGATCTCCTGACCTCGTGATCTGCCCGCCTCGGCCTCCCAAAGTGCTGAAATTACAGGCGGGAGCCACAGTGCCTGGCCATTTTTGTATTTTTAGTAGAGATGGAGTTTTATCATGTGGGCCAGGCTAGTCTTGAATTAGTGACCTCAAGTGATCTGTCTGTCTTGGGCTTCCAAAGTGCTGGGATTCCAGGCATAAGCCACCATGCCCATCCCATTCTTATTTTTATATATTATTTCTTTATTTTTTATTTGTAAGATGGAGTCTTGCTGTGTTGCCCAGGCTGGAGTGCAGTTGCATGATCTCAGCTTACTACAACCTCCACCTGCTGGGTTCAAGTCATTCTCCTGACTCAGGCTCCTGAGTAAACTGGGATAACAGGCACACACCCAGCTAATTTTTCTATTTTTAGTAGAGACAGGGTTTCACCAGGTTGATCAGGCTGGTTTTGAACTCCTGACCTCATAATCTGCCCACCTCGGCCTCCCAAAGTGCTGGCATTACAGTCGTGAGCCACCGCGCCCGGCCTATTTTTATTTTTAATTTTAGACATTCTAATAAATGTGTAATGGTATATCCCATGTGTATGTATATGTGTGTTTTATTTGCATTTCCTAATGACATCTTTTTATATGCTCATTTGCCACTCATATACTTTTATAAACTTCTGTGGCAAAATGTCTGTACAGATCTTTTGCCCATTTGTTTTTCTTATTGCTAAGCTGTAAGAGTTCTTAATATATTCCAGATATGGCTGGGCAGTGTGGCTCACGCCTATAATCCCAGCACTTTTGGTAGGCTGAGGCCAGAGGATTTCTTGAGGCCAGGAGTTAGAGACCAGCCTGAGCAACATAGTGAGCCCCTTGTCTCTAATAAGAATTAAAAAAAATGAGTTGGCGGTGGTGGTGTGCACCTGTATTCCCAGCTACTTGGGAGGCTGAGGCAGGAAGTTTGCTTCAACCTAGGTGTTTGAGGCTGCAGTGATCCAAGATCAAGCTATCCAGACTGGGCAACAGAACAAGATTCTGACTGGAAGAAAAAAATAAAAATGAAAATCGTAGGCCCAGCACCGTGGCTCATGACTGTAATTCTAGCACTTTGGGAGGCCGAGGAGGTTGGATCACGTGAGGTCGGGAGTTCGAGACCAGCCTGGGCAACATGGCAAAACCCCCGTCTCTACTAAAAATACAAAAATTAGCTGGGCCTGGTGGCACATGCCTGTAATCCCAGCTACCCGGGAGGCTGAGGCAGGAGAAGCAGTGGAACCCGGCAGGCAGAGGTGGAGTGAGCTGAGATCGCGCCACTGCACTCCAGTCTGGGCAACAGAGCAAGACTCCATCGCAAAAAAAAAAAAAGAAAAGAAAAAGAAAAGAAAATTATGTATATGTATATATGTATGTATTCCAAATACAACTTTTTATTTTACAAATGTTTTCTCCAAATCTGCGACTTGCTTTTTCATTCTCTTTATGGGGTCCTTCCTCGTTTTTTTTTTTTTTCTTAACTACTGATCATTATTCTATTGTATGAATATGTCATGACTTATTTAGCCAAGCTTAGGTTGATGGACATTGATGTTATTTTGTTTTATTTTATTTTATTTTTTGGAGACAGAGTCTCACTCTGTCACCCAGGCTGGAGTGCAGTGGTGCGATCTCGGCTCACTGCAACCTCCACCTCCCGCGTTCAAGCTATTCTCCTGCCTCAGCCTCCCGAGTAGCTGGGACTACAGGTGCATGCCGCCACGCCTGGCTAATTTTTTTGTATTTTAGTAGAGACGTTTCACCATGTTGCCCAGGCTGGTTTTGAACTCCCGAGCTCAGGCAATCCGCCTGCCTCGGCCTCCCAAAGTGCTAGGATTACAGGCGTGAGCCACCACGTCCGAACCATTGATGTTATTTCTAAACTTTTGTTATTACAAACTGTGCTTCTGTTAATATCCTTGAATTCACGTTGCTGTTTCTTTTTTTTTTTTTTCTTTTTTTCCTTTTTGAGACAGAGTCTCGCTGTCACCCAGGCTGGGGTACTGTGGTGCCATGTCTGTTCACTGCAGCCTGCAGCCTCCGGCTCCTGGGTTTCAACGATTCATGATTCTCCCCTCGAGAGGAGCTGGGATTACAGGCATGCGCCACCACGCCGGGCTATTTTTATTTCGTCATGTTGGCCACGCTGGTCTCAAACTCCTGAGCTCAGGAGATCTGCCGGCCTCGGCCTCCCAAAGTGCTGGGATTACAGGCGTGAGCTGCCACACCTGGCCTCATGTTGCTATTTCTTTTCTTTCTTTTCTTCTTCTTCTTCTTCTTTTTTTTTTTTTTTTGTTTTGTTTTGAGACGGAGTCTCGCTGTCGCCCAGGCTGGAGTGCAGTGGCGCGATCTCAGTTCACTGCAGGCTCCGCCCCCCGGGGTTCACGCCATTCTCCGGCCTCAGCCTCCCGAGTAGCTGGGACTACAGGCGCCCGCCACCTTGCCCGGCTAATTTTTTGTATTTTTAGTAGAGACGGGGTTTCACTGTGTTAGCCAGGATGGTCTTGATCTCCTGACCTCGTGATCCGCCCGCCTCGGCCTCCCAATGTGCTGGGATTACAGGCGTGAGCCACCGCGCCCGGCCTCTTTTTTTCTCTTTCTTTCTTTTTTTTTTTTAGATGGAGTCTTGCTTTGTCGCCCAGGCTGGAGTGCAGTGGTGTGATCTCGGCTCACTGCAACCTCCGCCTCCTTGGGTTCAGGCTATTCTCCTGACCTCAAGTGATCCACCCGCCTCGGCCTCCCAAAGTGCCAGGATTACAGGCATGAGCCAGCGGCCCAGCCATTACGTTGTTGTTTCTTTGTTTTTTTTTTTTCTTTTTTCTTTTTTTTTTTTTTTTTTTGAGAGGAAGTTTCACTCTTGTTGCCCAGGCTGGAGTGCAATGGCGCTATCTCACTGCAACCTCCGCCTCCTGGGTGCAAGCAATTCTCCTGCCTCAGCCTCCCAAGTAGCTGGAATTACAGGCATGTGCCACCATGCCTGGCTAATTTTGTATTTTTAGTAGAGACGGGGTTTTTCCATGTTGGTCAGGCTGGTATCAAATTCCCAGCCTCAGGTGATCTGCCCACCTTGGGCTCCCAAAGTGTTGGGATTACAGGCGTGAGCCACGGCGCCCAGCCTACATTGTTATTTCTAAGAACCATTTGTTTTTCCTTTCCCATGAACTGTCTGTTGCTATCTTTTTTTTTTTTTTTTTTTTTTTTTTGAGACGGAGTCTTGCTCTGTCGCCCAGGCTGGAGTGCAGTGGCACGATCTCGGCTCACAAAGCTCCGCCTCCCGGGTTCACGCCATTCTCTTGCCTCAGCCTCCCGAGTAGCTGGGACTACAGGCACCTGCCACCACACCTGGCTAATTTTTTTGTATTTTTAGTGGAGACGGGGTTTCACCGTGTTAGCCAGGATGGTCTTCATGTCTTGACTTCGTGATCCGCCTGCCTCGGCCTCCCAAAGTGCTGGGATTACAGGCGTGAGCCACAGCGCCCAGCCTGTTGCTATCTTTTAATCATTTTTCATTGGGTTGTTAATCATTCTGCTATTCAAAGTAATTCCTTACATGTCATGAAATTTGTGAAATCATCCTCTCTGAGATGCAAATTTTTTCCAGTTTATCATTTGTCTTTGTATTTCCTCTTATCACATTTTTTATTTTCCTGAGTCAATGAATTGATCTTTTCCTTTAAGGATTCCGAATTTTGTGTTATAGTTAAAAGAGTCTTCTCCACTTCAGAGTGATACAAACATTCTTGCAGGAATTCTTCTGGTACTTTTATGGTTTCCCGTTATTATTATTTTTTTTTTTACTTTGACACAGGGTTTCACTGTTGCCCAGGCTGGAGTGCAGTGGTGAGATCATAGCTCATTACAAGCTGACAGGGTGGCTCATGCCTGTAATTCCAACACTTTGGGAGGCTGAGGTGGGTGGATCACTTGAGGTCAGGAGTTGGAGACCAGCCTGGCCAACAGAGTGAAACCCCATCTCTGCTGAAAATGCAAAAATAAGCCAGGTGTAGTGGTGTGCGCCTGTAATCCCAGCTACTTGGGCTGCCGAGGCACGAGGAATTGCTTGAACCCAGGAGGTGGAGGTTGCAGTGAGTTGAGATCGTGCCACTGCACTGCAGTCTGGGCGACAGAGCGAGACTCTGTCTCAAAATAATAATAGTAATAATAATAGTTCTCTGCAGCCTCGAACTCCTGGGCTCAAGCAATCCTCCCACCTTGGCCTCCCACAGTGCTGGGATTATAGACATGGGTGACCATGCCTGGCCAGTTTCCTTTCTTTTTTCTTTTTCTTTTCTTTTTTTTTTTTTTTTTTGAGACGGAGTTTCGCTCTTGTTGCCCTGGCTAGAGTGCAATGGCACGATTTTGGCTCACTGCAACCTCTGCCTCCCAGGTTCAAGTGATTCTCCTGCCTCAGCCTCCTGAGTAGCTGGGATTACAGGCGTGCGCCACCATGCCCAGCTAATTTTGTATTTTTAGTAGAGACGGGGTTTCTCCATGTTTCTCAGGCTGGTCTCTCAAGTCCCAATCTCAGGTGATCTGCCCGCCCTGGCCTCTCAAAGTGCTGGGATTACAGGTGGGAGCCACAGTGCCCAGCCCAGTTTCCTTTCTTCTATTTAAATATTTGATCAATTTGGTATGTTCCCTGGTATGTAATATGAAGTACACATTTAATTCCCCCTGCCCCAGAAGCTACCTTGTTGTCTCAAAGTATTTATAAAATGAAATCTATCTTTTCCTCACCAATTTGAAATACCACTTTTTTTTTTTTCTTTTTTCTGAGATGGAGTCTCTGTTGCCCACAGTGGAGTGCATTGTGGCGATCTCTGCTCACTGCAAGCTCCGCCTCCCGGGTTCACGCCATTCTCCTGACTCAGCCTCCTGAGTAGCTGGGACTACAGCCACCCGCCACCACGCCTGGCTAAGTTTTTGGATTTTTTAGTAGAGACGTTGTTTCACTGTGTTCGCCAGGATGGTCTTGATCTCCTGACCTCGTGATCCGCCTGCCTTGGCCTCCCAAAGTGCTGGGATTACAGGGCGTGAGCCACCGCGCCCGGCCCGTTTTTTTGAGACGGATTCTTGCGCTGTTGCCAGGCCCAGGCTGGAGTTGCAGTGGTATGATATTGGCTCAGTGCAACCTCCGCCTCCCGCGTTCAAGCGATTATCCTGCCTCAACCTCCTGAGTAGCTGGGACTACAGGTGGGCACCATCACGCCCAGCTACTTTTTGTATTTTTAGTAGAGATGGGGTTTCACCATGTTTGCCAGGATGGTCTCTATCTCTTGACCTTGTGATCCCCTGGCATTGGCCTCCCAAAGAACTCGGATTACAGGTGTGAGCTACCGGCCCGGCCTTTTTTTTTTCTTTAGAGACAGAGTCTTGCTCTGTTGGCCAGGCTGCAGTGCAGTGGTGTGATCTCGGCTCACTGCAACCTCCACTTCCTGGGTTCAAGCGATTCTCGTGCCTCAGCCTCCCCAGTAGCTGGGATTACAGGCGCCTGCCACCATGCCCAGCTAATTTTTCTATTTTTAGTAACGATGGGATCTCACCATGTTGGCCGGGCTGATCTCAAACTCCTGACCTCAAGTGATCCGCCCACCTTGGCCTCCCAAAGTGCTGGGATTACAGGCGTGAGTCACTGCACCCAGCCTTGAAATACCACTTTTACTGAGTATTAAATTCATACATGTGTTTGTGTCTATCTGGAAATATCTCTTCCATTGATTGTGGAACTAATCAGGCACTAGCATCTAACTATTTTAATTGGTAATGCTTTACCAATAGTATGTTTGCTATTTGGTCAGGAGTTTTCAGAAAGTTCTTGGTTATTTTTCTTATTAATTTTTCCATAAGACTTTAGACATGGCTCATAGAGATCCAAAACAAAATCCTGTTTGTTATTTTTCTTGGGATCTCATTCAATGTCTTTTTAAATTTTAATGTATTTTTTGAGTCAGGGTCTCACTCCAAGCCTGGAGTGCAGTGGTGCAATCACAGCTCACTGCAGCCTCAACCTCCTGGGCTCACGCGATTCTCCCACTTCAGCCTCCCAAGTAGCTGGGGCCACAGGCACATGCCACCACACCCGGCTAATTATTTTTGTACTTTTTTTGTAGAGTTGGGATTTTGCCACGTTGGCCAGGCTGTCCTTCAATGTCTTGATCAACTGATATCTTAATGATCTGGATGGAACCTTCCTAGCCAATACCATAACCTGTATTTCTCTTTGTTCAAGTCTTTTTCTGTATTCTTTTGCAGAATTAAACATTTTTTCTTCACACAGATTGTGCATATTTCTTGTAAAGTTTATTTCTAGGTATTTTTATTTTTCCACTGCTTTGTAAATGGGATCTTCCATTATATCTTTTTTCTCTTGTTTTTTCTTTTTTTTTTTTTTTTGAGATGGAGTCTCGCTCTGTTTCCCAGGCTGCAGTGCAGTGACTCGATCTCAGCTCACTGCAAGCTCTGCCTCCTGGGTTCACGCCATTCTCCTGCCTCAGCCTCCCGAGTAGCTGGGACTACAGGTGCCTGCCACCACGCCCAGCTAATTTTTTGTATTTTTAGTAGAGATGGGGTTTCACCATGTTAGCCAGGATGGTCTCGATCTCCTGACCTCATGATCTGCCCTCCTCGGCCTCCCAAAGTGCTGGGATTACAGGCGTGAACCACCGTGCCCAGCCTCATTTTGTTTTTTGAGATGGAGTCTCGCTCTCTTGCCTAGGCTGGAATACAGTGGCGTGATCTCAGCTCACTGAAACCTCTGCCTCCCAGGTTCAAGTGATTCTCCTGCCTCACATGCCCGAGTACCTGGGACTAAAGTTGCATACCACCACGGCTGGCTAATTTCTGTATGTTTAGTAGCGATGGGGTTTCACCATGTTGGCCAGGCTGGTCTCGAACTCCTGACCTCAAGAGATCCGCCTGCCTTGGCCTCCCAAAGTGCTGGGATTACAGGTGTAAGCCACTGCGCCCGGCCCCATTATATTTTTATGTCTTCTAATTGTTGCTCTTAGATTCTGATATATCCCTAGGAGTGCAGGCTACCTCAAATAAGCTTGGGAATTACTTATTTAGGCCAGCAAGTAGTTCTCAACCTTGTTCTCCTGTGCTACACATACCACAGGTGACCCTGACATACACCAATCAACCCTACAGGTGTTCCCTGTTTCTTAGGGACTTGCGCAGAGATAAGCAAGGCTGTAATTTTTCAGCAGTCTACGGAAATTTATCATGTACTATTGTGTCCCTGGCACTGTGTTATGGGCCAGGGACCATCATGACTACTAAGACAGGCTGAGTCTCTGCTGTCATGGAAGTTGATCACTTAGTTCTAGCCTAATAGATATACTCAACAGATAATTGAAAATTATAAGGGTGCAAAGTTCTACTAAGAGGCTATGAGAGTGGAACAGATAATTCATCAGAGGTTAACATTCACACTTGTAATCCCAGCACCTTGGGAGGCCGAGGCGGGTGGATCACCTGAGGCCAGGAGTTCGAGACCAGCCTGGCCAACATGGCGAAACCCCGTCTGTACTAAAAACACAAAAATTACAGGGCATGGTGGCAAGCGCCTGTAGTCTCAGCTACTCGGGAGGCTGAGGCAGGAGAATTGCTTGAGCCCGGGAGGTGGAGGTTGCAGTGAGCCGAGATCGCGCCACTGCACTTTAGCCTGGGTGACTGAGGGAGACTCTGTCTCAAAAAAAAAAAATAATTAAAAATAAAAATAAATGTCTCACAGGGCTTTTATGAGCTTTGCATCAGAGAGCCGAGATCACACCATTGCACTTCAGCTTGGGCAACAGAGTGAGATTCTGTCTCAAAAAAAAAAAAAAAAAATTCAGCATCTCACAGGGCTTTTATGAGTTTTGCATGTTCCCATTCCTTAGTACAGATGCACATAATTTATCTTGTGAGAAGGAACACACATAATTTATCGTAACATACTTAATGCTCACAGTTTCTTGTGAACCAAGAACACACAGCTTCCATCTTTTTCTCAAGGTAAAGAAAAATGATTCCTTAATTACTTAGCAAGACTCAAGAGGTCTTCAGGACCTTGGAAGAGAACTTGACTGATAGTTTCTAGGTACAAACAGAAGAAAACAAATCTAGGTGACCTACTCCTGGTCAGGTATGGTGGCCCACACCTGGAATAATCCCCCCAGTACTTTGGAAGATTGAGGCAAGAGGATTGCTTGAGCCTAGAATTTGAGACCAGCCTGGTCAACTTAGTAACTTAGTAAGACCCTGGGCAACTTAGTAAAACCCTGTCTCTATAAAAAATTAAAAAATTAGCTGGGAGTGGTGGCACATGCCTGTGGTCCCAGCTACTCAGGAGGCTGAGGTAGGAGGATTTCTTGAGCTCAGGAGGTTGAGGCTGCAGTTAGCTGTGCTCATGCCACTGCACTCTAGTTAGGTGACAGAGCGAGACCCTGTCTCAAGAAAAAAACAAAAAAGATGCGGAAGGAGGAAAGAGGGAAGAAAATTGAGACTGGAAGTCATAGACCCACCACTTTTGTCCCTATGGGTGATAGCAAAATCACCTTTGACGAGATTGTCTGATTGTGCGCAGCTTTGGGTTTAGGGAGACCTCTCTGCATCTGCTCCTTTACCCAAGGAGGTATGGGATCCACACTGCTTGGAAGTTAGAAAGAAAAGATCACTTTTAGCAGAGGGCTGGACAATATCTGAATGTTGCTTACTACTGTCTTGGATGGGCACTAAAGGGACGGTGAAAGTCCTTTGACTATTTTTGGTGTTCTGAAATTCAGTGTCATTGCACTTCACAAGAAGCAATGTAAGGAGGCAAGTGTCCTCCCAGGCTTCGCTAAGGCTCCAAAGCCTTGTTTGGAGGGGCCTCTTCAGACACAGCAGCTCGTATTTTGAATTTATATTCCGTTGGCAAGAGAGATTGAGCAATTATTAGATTGAGAGACATTTAAGAAAGAGAGAATTATTTTTAAATAGTGGGGCGGCAGTCCCAGAGTGAGCGGGAGAGAGAAGCTCTGTGCACCTGCAGTTCCTTCATTCATTCTCAGTTTCTTGGACCTCTCACAACGCGAGCATAATTTTCGCTGAGTGTGCAGAAGTTCAAGATTCTTTTTTTTTTTTTTTTTTTTTTTGAGACAGAGTCTCACTCTGTTGCCCAGGTTGGAGTGCAATGGCGTGATCTCGGCTCACTGCAACCTCCGTCTCCCGGGTTCAAGAGATTCTCCTGCCTCAGCCTCCCAAGTAGCTGTGATTACAGGCGCCCACCACTGCATCCGGCTAGTAGAGACGGGGTTTCACCATGTTAGTCAGGCTGGTCTCGAACTCCTGACCTCAGGTGATCCGCCCACCTCGGCCTCCCAAAGTGCCGGGATTACAGGCGTGAGCCACTGCGCCTGGCCAAGATTCTTTACTGGCCACCCTCTCTCCAACCTCCCATACAATACAGCTGCTAAAAACCACTTAGTTTATCTAGGTCTGGGTGAAATAAATAGTAATCTGGCACTTCTCGTCTTTTTTTTTTTTTTTTTTTTTTTTTTTTTTTTTTTTTTTGAGACCAGTGTCTCTTTGTCGCCAAGGCTGGAGTGCAGCGGCGCGATCTCAGCTCACTGCAATCTCCGCCTCCCGGGTTCAAGCGATTCTCCTGCCTCAGCCTCCCGAGTAGCTGTTTACCTACAGGCGCCCGCCACCACGCCCGGCTAATTTTTTGTATTTTCAGTAGAGACGGGGGTTTCACCGTGGTAGCCAGGATGGTCTCGATCTCTTGACCTAGTGATCCGCCCGCCTCGGCCTCCCAAAGTGCCGGGATTAGAGGCCTGAGCCAACGCGCCCGGGCCATTGTCTTTTATCTCACTACACATTTTTCAATTTTATTTATTGTGTATTTTACTTACACAAGAATGTAAGCTCCACGAGGGCAGGGATTTTTGTCAGTTCACCACTACATTCTTAGCTCTTGGAGCAATGCCTTGCATATGGCAAGCATTTAATGAACATTTACAGATGGAGGAAGAAACAACTGCAGGAAGGAGAGAAAGGAAGGCCAGAGGCAGGACAAGAGGAAGAAGCGACAGCAAGGAAGGAAAAAGGAAGTGGAGGAGGAAAGAAGGTAGGCTGGGTTCTCCCAGACCCGCTTCGAGTCCAGCAGGCAGCGCGAAACTCCCACCAGAACTACAACTCCCGGCAGGCCCCGGGACTCAGGACGGGCCGCTGCGGTCCAGGCGGGACAGGGCGCTCCTCCCGCTGGGCCCCCGGCGTGCCTTGCGAGCGCAGGCTCCGCCGCAGTGCCAGCCGGAACTTGTGGTTCGGACCGTGGGTGGGGGTGGGGCCGGGGCCGGGCCTGGAGGCGGGCGGGGGCCGGGGGCGGGCGCCTGCCCCTCCCCCGTCACTTCCTGCCGGGCTGCGGGCGCCTGAGCGGCTCTTCAGCGTTTGCGCCGGCGGCTGCCGCGTCTCTCTCGGCTCCCGCTTCCTTTGACCGCCTCCCCCCCCCGGCCCGGCGGCGCCCGCCTCCTCCACGGCCACTCCGCCTCTTCCCTCCCTTCGTCCCTTCTTCCTCTCCCTTTTTTCCTTCTTCCTTCCCCTCCTCGCCGCCACCGCCCAGGACCGCCGGCCGGGGGACGAGCTCGGAGCAGCAGCCAGGTGAGGCGGCCGGGCCGGGCCGGGCCTGGTGGGGCCCTCGCGGGCGCCGCCGCGGTGGGGAGGTGGGCGGCGGGTGGGGCCTAGGCCTCGGCGGGCCCGCGCACCCCTCCGCCTTCTCCCGGGCCTCTCTCTAGCCCGCGGGGCCTTCCCGGAGGAGGCGGGTCCTCTTGCGTTCCCTCGCCTCGGGGCGCCCTGAGGCCTGGCCCCGGGCGCCCCCATCCCCTCCAGCCCTCACCGGTGCCACAAACAGGTGCTGCGGCCGCCTTTCCTCGTCCCGCATGGCGCGCGCGGGGATGCCGAAGTTATTCCCGGGGCTGGGGCGCAGGCGGGGGGGGGGGGGGGTCCCTGCTTCAGGTCCCCGAGGGCTGGAGCCTCTCAGTGTCGCCGGCCCAGGTCTGTAGCTTAGTGGTTAAGAGCACGGCCCAGGTGTCCAAAACGGGTGCCGAACCCGGCTCTGCCCCGTTAGGCAAGACACTTAAAAAGTCTTTGTGTCTTGGTTGGAAAAGGGGCTGCTAATACCGTCCCTGCCTCTTAAGGTTCAGTGAAATGGGGCGTGTAAAGCGCTTATCAGAGTGCCAGACCCACAGCGTGTCCCAGTAAACCGTCTGCATAATTTATTAGCGTGATATGAAGGTATAATTTAATGGGCAGAGTGGATAGAAGTTGACCTACCTATCCGTTTGGGTTTCTTAGAGGCTGCAGTGTTCCGCGTGCCCATGTCCAGAGCCAGGGCATTGTTTTCAGTTGTTAACATCTGAAAGGGGCGTACGCTTAATTGGGACACTGTAGTTGACAGTCTGTAAACGATGGATGCTGTTTCTTTCCATCTCCGCTTAGGCAACTGCAGGATATTCACCATCTCCCGCAGGATGAGCAACCTGTCCATTTCTCCCCGCCCCGCCATCATCCAGCTTCTTCTTGTCATTCCATTTCTGGGAAAGTTGCTGGCAGAAGCTTCCCTTGAGTTGAGCAAACCTATCTAGAGCACTTGCTGTGTGTTGGGCTCTGAAGGGGGGTGTACGGAGATGGAAAAATTTGTCTGTCTTGTCTTGCTCTACACCTCGATAAGTTTTTTTTCACGGAAGCTTTGCTTATATTCACCCCTCCCTGTTGGCTGACTTTCCTTTTAAGCCCTTGCCCCGCCTCCGTGTTGCAGTATTGCTTGTGTGGAAGTTTTCTTCTGTTCCGCGAAGATACGTGCTTCAGTCTGTTCTGCCACTGTTCTTCGGCTGTGTGGAAGTTTTTAAGGTCACACTTCTCTTCTGCTTGTAGCTTTCATTGTTAAGAGCGTGGTGGAGTTAAATCAGGTTCCCGGTTGATTTTGGCGTTTCAGGAATCCGTGCTTACCAAGTGTAAATTGCATTGCTACTTGTTGAGGTAAAAACTAAAAATACAGTTGGAGTGTAGAGGGAGCAGTTTCGGTTATCCTGGTGACAGGTGGGATTTTTAGAACAGCAACTTTACTAAAACATACTGGGTTTTTAAAAATTCTGTACTTAGTTTTATAGGTGTACTCTAAGGAAATGCAACTTATGGGTGTTCAATTTTATATGAGTAAGGAGTGTGTGTTTACCTGAGTGATCCTCCTGTATCTTAGGATTGTTTTAGGCATTAAATTTCCTTAGTGAACTGAAACTATTTTGATTTATACCCATCTCTTAACACACATGCGGCAAAGTGGCCTCCTTGTTTTTGACATTTTCCTAGAATTTTCTGACAGTCTTACCATTGTTTGTAATTTAAAATGTTTGTTTGAATTTTTTTTTTTTTTTGAGACAGTCTCACGCTGTCGCCCAGGCTGGAGTGCAGTGGCGCGATTTCGGCTCATTTCAACCTCTGCCACCCTGGTTCAAAAGATTCTCCCGTCTCAGCCTCCCGAGTAGCTGGGATTACAGACGCCCGCCACCGCGCCGTGTTAATTTTTGTAGTTTTCGTAGAGACGGGGTTTTGCCATGTTGGCCAGACTGGTCTCGAACTCCTAACCTCGTGATCCACCCTCCTAGGCCTCCATAAGCAGGTTAGGCGCGGTGGCTCACGCCTGTAATCCCAGAACTTTTGGGAGGCCGAGGCGGGTGGATCACGAGGTCAGGAGATGGAGACTATCTCTTGAGCCTGGTGTGGTGGCGGGCGCCTGCAGTCCCAGCTACTCCCGAGGCTGAGACAGGAGAATCGCTTGAACCCGGGAGGTGGAGGTTGCCTGGGCGACAGAGAGAGACTCTCTCCAAAAAAACAAAACAAAAAAAACACATAAGCAAACAACTATACAAGCAGTATAAAGCATGTCTAATACTGCCATATCACAATGGCATATTTCAATAGGGAAATGGTATTTTAAATACCATTTTTTAAAAACCTTTTATTCTGGAAAACATGCGAAACTCGAATAGTATGGAGAACCCCATGTGTTAGTCACTCACTTAGCTTTGACAATTATTAACTCATAGCCAAGGTCGGTTTTGTTTCATGTTGTATCCCCCCACACAAACTAGATTATTTTGAAACAAATCTTAAACATTGTGTCACAACATTAGCGATTTTGACTTTTACCAGATTGCCCCAGATTAAGGTCACAAAATTTACTTTTAGTAGAATAATAGTTCTCATTTTTGTTTGTTGGGCTTCCCTTCTCTGTTTATACATGATTTCTGTACAGCAGAAAAGAAGAAGAAAATTAACTCTTGATCCAATGCCTTCAGCTCCTCAAAATCAAAATACAACCTTGCTGCTTTATTGTGTACAAAAGCAAAAATTCTTGAGCTATTAATGACTATAATTGAAAAGCGAACAAATACAGATTTCCCCAGTCCTGTTTTGGCAGAGACCTGCCTTTTAACCCACTTTAATAGAGATAACTTTGTGTCAAAGTTAAACTACAGTTAATAATTCATAATGAAAACTTAAAATGTTTCTTTACAGTAGTTGTGTAAAGATACTGCTGTTACCTTAGGTTAAGAATTAAGCAAAAGATAATCTTCTAACATAGAATTGTTTTCCAAAGTGCCCCCGTCTGCCCTATTTCCAAATAACAAATTTAGCAAATATGAATGAAACCTTAATTTTTGTGAATAGTATGAAATCACAGCATAAGTGTTCACGTTTTTCTTTCTTGTGTCTAAAGGATCTCTCTTACAATGGAAGTTGACAGGAATATTATAAATATTATAAATGTCTTTGTTGCATAACTTTCAAATTTCTGGTCGTGAATAGTTTTCAGCTTTTAGGTCTGTTATTTGAGTTTTGTAGGTGTACTTTGAGCTTGATCAGGTACAGTGGAAATGTTACATGTTATGTTTTAGTTATGACTACCTGGAAGATGGGGAAAGATACACCTCTTAAAATTGATTTAGGAAAGAAACGCCAATTTAGTATCTGGGAAAGGACACAACACATTTTTAAAAATGTGTAGTGCTTCCCATTAAGCTTAACGTAAAACTTTTAAGCATTGAGAATTGTTACCATAAATATAGTTTCTTGAGAATAAGTTGCTCTCTTTTAGGTTTCAGCCAGAAAGTCCATGTATATACAGATTACAGCAGGTCCTTGAATAATGTTGTTTCAAGATAATGTTGAGAAAAAAAACTGTCTGTGGAGTTTACACGTTCTCCCTATCCCTGCATGGGTTTTCTCTGGGTACTCTTGATTTCCTCCCACATCCCAAAGCTGTGCACGTGAGGTTCACTGGTGTGTGGAGCTGTGTGTGTAAGTGTGAGTGCTTTCTGCAGTGGATGTCCTGTCCAGGACTGGTTCCGGCCTTGCACCCTAAGCTGCTGAGATAGGCTCCAGCCACCCCAACCCTGAACTGGAATAAGTGGTAAAAAAAAAAATTTTTTTTTTTGAGATGGAGTTTAGCTCTTGTCACCCAGGCTGCAGTGCAATGGTGCAGTCTCGGCTTACTGCAACCCCATGCCTGTAATCCCAGCACTTTTGGAGGCTGAGGTGGGCAGATCACCTGAGGTCAGGAGTTGGAGACCAGCCTGGCCAGCATGGCGAAACCCTGTCTCTACTAAAAATAAAAAAAATTAGCCGGGCTGGGTGGCGGGCACCTGTAATCCCAGCTACTCAGGAGGCTGAGGCAGGAGAGTTGCTTGAACCTGGGAAGCAGAGGTTGCAGTGAGCGGTTATCGTGCCATTGCACTCCAGCCGGGGCAACAAGAGCAAAAGTACTTCTCAAAAAAAAAAAAAAGGCATGTATACTTCACATTTATTTCAGTGTTTAATATTCGAAGTGTTTGGTCTTTATTTAAAAGTTTGGTGATATTTTTCTGATGAGAAATATGCCCTAGAACCTAACTCTTGTTTGTATCAATAAGCGTGTGTTAGTCGGAAGTCTCAGTTTCCAAGAACCTACCCCTTATGTTAAGAGAGGATTTACTGTATTTTAAGTTTAGAAATGGCCATGACTCATGGAACTCTCCTCCATCCCCATTCTAAAGTCCAGATCATTGATATCATTCTGGGTGTTATCAAAATGGATACTGCTTCATCCAGTCTCTCTCCCCAATACCACAAGGTAGTCTCAGTTTGTGGGGCAACTTTCTTTGAGCCTTTTTACTGGATTGAGTAAGAGTGTAATTCAGTATAAAGATGAAACTTTCATGAAAAGGGTATCTTTTTGTGGGATTCCACAAGTCAATCCCAGAGTTTGTCGCCCAGGCTGGTCTTGAACTCCTGAGCTCAAGTCATCTTCCCACCTCAGCCTCCTTAGTAGCTGGGATTATAGGCAGAGGCCTTGTTTTCATGAGCCTCTAAATTGGATCTTCTTATTTGATGTGATACCCAGTGACACAGAATTGTTCAATTTGAGGAAATATAAATTCCTCCCCTCTCAAATAAGAGCTTTGGAGTTGCTTTTCTCTCAGAATGGGATTTTAGAGCTTTCAAAAATGTTTAGAGAATTTTATGACAGATTTGTTTCACACTAGACCTATAACAGGTTATTTTACATTGACTTCTGGTGATGGAGACATTTGTGGTTGAAATGCTTCTCGTGTAATTTTCTACATGAGCTTTTCTTTAAATAAAACTTCACCAGAGTCAAGGCTGTATACCATTTGTGCTGTTCCAAAAAATATAAATTGCCAGTTATCAGTTGAACTATGAGAGGACATGTTAGTTGCTATGGTTATTTACCCCCACCATTTTATTATGAAAAATTTCAAACATATAACAAAGTTTATGAAGTTTTATTGTACATCTCTTTAGATACCATCTACTTTCTATTTTTGCCTCCCTGTTTCATGGTGCTGAACACCGTCTACTATTTTTTTTTTTTTTTTTGAGACGGAGTCTGGCTCTGTTACCCAGGCTGGAGTGCAGTGGTGTGATCTCGGCTCACTGCAAGCTCCACCTCCTGGGTTCATGCCATTCTCCTGCCTCAGCCTCTCGAGTAGCTGGGACTACAGGTGCCCGCCACCATGCCTGGCTAATTTTTTTGTGTTTTTAGTAGAGATGGGGTTTCACCGTGTTAGCTAGAATGGTCTCGATCTCCTGACCTTGTGATCCGCCCACCTCGGCCTCCCGAAGTGCTGGGATTACAGGCGTGAGCCACTGTGCCCGGCATACCTTCTGCTCTTTGTCATGAACATTTTACCATACAGTATTATGAAGCTTGAATAATGTTGGCCAAATCCATTGTTCTCACCTGCTAAGGAGATAATAGGATTATAAATATATAGCTGTGTTGATCTTATCAAATGCCACGGGATGGATGGGCTTGGATATCTGTCTTGTTGACAGCTTAATGCTCTGAACTAGAAAACCTTACTGCAGAGAAAAGTAATATTTTTAAAGTGGTAAAATGGGAATTACTGCAAATAGCTTAATTTGTTTTTTAAGTGTTTACATTCCCATACTGGTGAATAAGGTTGATGTAACAGTGATTTATGTCACCAGATAAATGGAAGTAGAGAAAAATTTCTGCAGGCTGTTAATTGCTGTATATTTTCTGGGATTACATATGTTTATTTGTTAAAGAAGTAGACTCAGGGAACTCCCTCAAAGTATATTTACTGGAAGCAAAAGTGGAAAAATCTATTTGAGAAAGTGTTTGCTTTCGATTAAAAATTAGTCTTCTGAATATCAAATCTGTAACCCATCTGGCATCTGTTTAATCTGGAATCTAATTTGGGAAAGAAGTGTGATGACTATGTGGGTTTATAACAGTAATGGAAGCAAAACTGGCCATTTTATTATGATAGAAATTTTGTGTCATGTCTCCCAGACAATAAAGGCTAAGAAAATCTATTTAAATACATTGGGGTCTTTTCCCCTGAATGAACATGATTGCTGAGGGTTAAACCTTCATTAGATTGCCTCTGCTTTTTTTTTTTTTTTTTTTTTTTTTTTTTTTGTTGAGATAGTCTTGCTCTGTTGCCCAGGCTGGAATGCAGAGGTATCATCTCGGCTCACTGCAACCTCCACCTCCTGGGTTCAAGCAATTCTCCTGCCTTAGCCTCCCGAGTAGCTGAGACTACAATTGAGCACCACCACGCCCGGCTAATTTTTTGTATTTTTAGCAGAGATGGGGTTTTGCCATGTTGCCTAGGCTGGTCTCGAACTCCTGAGCTCAGGCAATCCGCCTGCCTTAGCCTCGCAAAGTGATAGGATTACAGGCTTGAGCCACTGTTCCCGGCCTTGCCCCTATACTTGATGTAGCTACAGAACTGGTTGCTCAGTGAGTGGGTTGGTTTTAGTCAGCATATTCTCTGATCCTATTTAAAATTTTTTACAAGTGGAGTGTTGCTGTAAGTTTTATAGATGTTTATGTGTAAGGACAGGTTTAGTGAATTTGCTGGATAATAATATTTACTGCTATTGAGCTCTTACCATGTGCCAGGTTAGAATTACAGGGTGAAAGTTATTTTATGCAGAAAAGGAATTAAAAGGTCAGGTTGAATTTACCTAATAATATAAAAGTTGCAGTTCATTTAGCTCTTTCCTTGAACCAAAGAAAAGGGTTTCTTAGACCCTTTATGTTGTATTTCTAATACTCATAAACATCTTTGCAGCGTAAAGCTCATAATAATTGCTGAGGATGCTGATGCGCTTCCGAGGGGCCAGATAACTGGCTCAGAGTCCTGAGGCACCAAGTATTAGTTCTAGAGCACAGGCTGGTCTGGCTCCAAAGTCAGTGTTCTTTCCACTGAACCATGCTTTGTCTCTAAATTATGCTTAGGTGCTTTTTGTTTAGGATAATTGATTCTGCTTGTCACTGGTGGCCCTCCCCTGACTCTCCCCACCGCAGCAGCTAGGATGAATTTTGCTCATTAGAACCCTAGATCAATTTGAAAGAAAGTCTGGTTAAGTAATAGTCTTTTAGATGGACCCTTGAAATAGCTTTCCAGTTTACTTTTATTTGTTATGTCAAATTAAGCTAAAACTTAAAGCTGATCCACAGGTTTGTGTGTGGGGAGGGGCTGTCTTATTAACCTTTGTGTTAAAGGAGGCCAGCTCCTAAATTACTGCTATCGTGTGTCATCAGGTTTGTTAAAAATTGCTGGCATGGTGGCCCACGCCTGTAATTCCGTCACTTTGGGAGGCCAAGGCAGGCGCATCACCTGAGGTCAGGAGTTCGAGACCAGCCTGGCCAACATGGTGAAACCCCATCTCTACTAAAAATACAAAAATTAGCTGGGTGTGGTGGTACGTGCCTGTAATCCCAGCTACCCCGGGGGCTGAGGCAGGAGAATGGCTTGAACCCGGGAGGTGGAGTTTGCAGTGACCTGACATCGTGCCGCTGCACTTCAGCCTGGGCAACAGAGCAAGACTCTGTATCCAGGGGGGGA
Source organism: Homo sapiens (assembly GCF_000001405.40). Lineage (NCBI taxonomy): Eukaryota > Metazoa > Chordata > Mammalia > Primates > Hominidae > Homo > Homo sapiens. The sequence continues at coordinate 49,180,331 of NC_000020.11, read as the reverse complement.
AAAAAAAAAAAAGAACTGTAGTCCAGGTTGTTGCTAAAAAAAAAAATTCATTTCTTCTGAATTCTAACATTCTGCTTTAGTGGAAATGAGTTAACTAAGCTTCCAATTAACTTTATAGGATAGGTGCTGGTTGTCCTCTTTGCTTCCTAGCCCTTTCTAACATCCCTCTTGTGGCTAATACTGTTGGGAGTATTTAGTACAGCTTCCTGTTTGGAATTGAACTGCTTCCTGAACAATTTTGTTTTACTTTTGTTTGAAACGGTGATCTGAATCAGAAGCTTCTTTGGTATTCCACCTGGGCAGTCTTCTCTTATGGTTAGTCTTGAAAGGCTGGATCAGTGAAATTAAATCTGCCTTTGGATGTGAGCTTTTAGTGAAATGGTGTCTGAAGTTCCATTTTGTGTTTAACCTCAACTGAGGCTACCCTGTAGTCTGTAATGACATAGCATGTCTCATTAATCACTAATAGGTGTTGGAAATACCCCTTGGCATGAAGTGAGCAGATAATGCTGCTTACATTGTCACTATATTAGCTCCCTTCAGAGATGAGCTTTAGGATCTAACTAGATCTTGTCTGATTCTCTCCTATCTTTGCTGTTTTGAAATCCATGCCTTCTATAGATTACAATTAACTGAGGCATGAATTTTCTACCCTTGCAGATTCCACCCTGATTCAAATAGGGCCATTGTCTGCTGAAGCCATTGTGATTTTATGCAGAATGCTAGGCAGTCCTTTCCTCTGTCAGAAAGAACAATTTATATGTAATAATAAGTCTCATTATGCTTGGAAGCTTATTTTCCTTGTTGCACAATTGAACCAACCTGCTCATGAAAGCTCCATGACCCTTTACCTAGATGACAGTCAAATATAGTTAGGCAAATAAGTTTCCTTTTGGTTTGTCATTGAGTAAACCTTTGCAACCTGTAATGTTTAGCAAGTGACTACTTCTGTATAGTAATTTTCCTTTTAGTTGAGAATTTATTCAAGCACCAAACATAAAAAAGAATAAAAGTGAAATAAGCTTTCTTTTGCATAAGGGACTTTCTATAATTTGCTACTTTTTATCTTCTTTTTTTTTTTTTTGAGGTGGAGTTTTGCTCTTGTCGCCCAGGCTGGAGTGCAGTGGCGTGATCTCGGCTCACTGCAACCTCCACCTCCCAGGTTCAAGCGATTTTCCCACTTCAGCCTCCCGATAAGCTGAGATTACAGGTGCGTACCACCATGCCTGGCTAATTTTTTTTTTTTTTTTTTAGATGGAGTCTTGCTCTATCGCCCAGGCTGGAGTGCAGTGGCGCGATCTTGACTCACTGCAAGCTCTGCCTCCCGGGTTCACGCCATTGTCCTGCCTCAGCCTCTGGAGTAGCTGGGACTACAGGTGCCCGCCACCATGCCCAGCTAGTTGTTTTTTTTTTTTTTTTTTTAGTGGAGACGGTGTTTCACCGTGTTAGCCAGGATGATTTTGATCTCCTGACCTTGTGATCCACTCGCCTTGGCCTCCCAAAGTGCTGGGATTACAGGCGTGAGCCACCGCGCCCGGCCATGCCTGGCTAATTTTTATATTTTTATTTTATTTTATTTTTGAAGCAGAGTCTCGCTCTGTTACTCAGGCTGGAGTGCAGTGACCCAATCTCAGTTCACTGCAACCTCTGCCTCCCGGGTTCAAGTGATTGTTCAGCCTCAGCCTCCCAAGTAGCTGGGATTACAGGCATGTGCCACCATGCCAGACTAATTTTTTTTTATTTTTAGTAGAGACAGTGTTTCACCATGTTAGCCAGGCTGATCTTGAACTCCTGATCTCAGGTGATCCACCTGCCTTGGCCTCCCAAAGTGTTGGGATTACAGGTGTGAGTCACTGCGCCGGCCTAATTTTTGTATTTTTAGTAGAGATGGGATTTCACCATGTTGGCCAGCCTAGCCTCAAACTCCTGACTTCAGGTGATTGGCCCACCTTGGCCTCCCAAAGTGCTGGGATTACAGGCCTGAGCCACGGTGCCTGGTTTAGTATGCATTCTTGACTGGGGAAAATTGCAGTGGTAAGTGTGCACTATATAGATATATTGATAATGATCATGATGGCTTTGGATTATCTTTTGAAATTGGAGGATTTCAAAAAATAGATTTGCATATGGAAATGTGCATTTTTGTTGGTTTTTTGAGATGGAGTCTTGCTTCATTGCCTAGGCTGGAGTGCAGTGGTGCACTCAGGGCTCACTGCAGCCTCAATCTTCTGGTCTCAAGCAGTCCTCCCATCTCAGCCTTCCAAGTAGCTGAGACTACAGGTGCATGCCATCATGCCTAGCTAGTTTTAAACTTTTTGGAGAGATGGGGTCTTCCTCTGTTTCCTAGGCTGGCCTTGAACTCCTGGGCTCAAGCAGTTCTGTCTTGGCCTCCCAAAGTGTTGGGATTACAGGCGTGAGCCACCACACCTGGCCAAAACATGAATGTTTGTATGAATCTCAGCTATCACTGTGTAAAAGTATTTGAGATCCAAATGACTGCTGTATTTCTCCCCTCTCTCTCTCTCTTCTTTCTTTGCTAAGTTGATGATGGTTATTTTTTAGCATTGTCTTTATGTCTGACTCTAACAGCTCCTTTTTCCGTTCTTATATTTAGCTTTTTTTATGTGTGTTTTAAAATTTTTTTTTTGTTTTTGAGACGGAGTCTCACTCTGTCATCCAGGCTGGAGTGCAGTGGTGTGATCTCGGCTCACTGCAAGCTCCGCCTCCTGAATTCATGCCAGTCTCCTGCCTCAGCCTCCCGAGTAGCTGAGACTACAGGCGCCCGCCACCATGCCTGGCTAATTATTTTGTATTTTTAGTAGAGACGGGGTTTCACTGTGTTAGCCAGGATGGTCTCGATCTCCTGACTTCGGGATCTGCCACCCTCGGCCTCCCAAAGTGCTGGGATTATAGGCGTGAGTCCACATGCCCGGCCCTTAAATTTTTAAATTTTATTTTAATAGAGACAGGGTCTTGCCATGTTGCCCAGGCTGGTCTCAAACACCTGAGCTCAAGCGATCCACCTGCCTCGGCCTCCCAAAGTGCTGGGGTTACAAGCATGAGCCATCACACCTGGCCTTTATTTTTTACTTCTGCTTTGGGCTAGAAAACTGAACACCCTGGGCCAGGTGCGGTGGCTCACGCCTGTAATCGCAGCACTTTGGGAGGCCGAGGTGGGCGGATCACGAGGTCAGGAGATCGAGACCAGCCTGGCTAACATGGTGAGACCCATCTCTACTAAAAATACAAAAAATTAGCCGGGCATGGTGGCATGCACCTGTAATCCCAGCTACTCGGGAGGCTGAGGCAGGAGAATCGCTTGAACCCGGGAGGCGGAGGTTGCAGTGAGCGGAGATCACGCCATTGCACTCCAGCCTGGGCAACAGAGCGAGACTCTGTCTCAAAAAAAAAAAAAAAAACTAGACACCCTGCTTCTCAGAATAGGGGATAGGGAATTTGGAAACAAAACAAAAACTAGACACCCAAACTTACAAAAATTGTTCAACATAGAAAACTTCTTGGCTCAGGTGAGGCCCCTATTGGTAAAAGGCATGGGCTATGTTAGAAGGTCTTTGGTATTTGGGCTGCTCAGAGGCCTTTTTCAGTTCCCATTCATGCCAGTCTTTGAATAGCTGAGATATTAGAACAACTGAGCTCTAGACTGGAAAGTTGTTAGTATAATATACTATCTATGAAAAGAACCTGAGCTGTTAAAATACCAGAAAATAAACTAGAGCTCATGATTTATTTCTGGAATCAATCAGACAATGAACAGCAATTTTTTATTGCCTGTTAAGCCATAGTAGCAGTGAGAAACTGAAACAAGCAAAAACACTTAGTGTTGTAAGAATGTATAAAAGCATCTCAAGGTAAGAAATTCTGTGTTACTACTGACAACTACCATTTAAGTTGAGGAACCTCTAGATAAATCAGACCGCAGAATTTGAGAATTAAACTCAAATTCTGTAATGTAAAGTTCACTTCTAAAAATGATTATGATTTGGACTTATTAGAGATAATGTGCTTTTTTCATATTCTGCAATTTAATATGCCACTATTTATGTACCCAATGCCTTTTGGTAAAATTTTCCATAAAATTGTATTTGGGTCACCAAGCATATGCCAACGACATTTACGAATAAAGTGGTAGGTATAAAGGGAAAGAAAACACAGGTTTGAAAATCAGTCTTATGTGATCGGACGATATGTAATGTACAGTTCCTTTTAAAAAGCATTATTGCCGGGCGCGGTGGCTCACGCCTGTAATCCCAGCACTTTGGGAGGCCGAGGCGGGCGGATCACGAGGTCAGGAGATCGAGACCATCCTGGCTAACACGATGAAACCCCGTCTCTACTAAAAATACAAAAAATTAGCCGGGCGAGGTGGCGGGCGCCTGTAGTCCCAGCTACTTGGGAGGCTGAGGCAGGAGAATGGCGTGAACCCTGGAGGCGGAGCTTGCAGTGAGCCGAGATTGCGCCACTGCACTCCAGCCTGGACGACAGCGAGACTCCGTCTCAAAAAAAAAAAAAAAAGGCATTATGAGGTTGGGTGTGGTGGCTCATGCCTGTAATCCCAGCACTTTGGGAGGCTGAGGTGGGTGGAGCACCTGAGGTCAGGTGTTCGAGACCAGCCTGGACAACTTGGCAAAACCCTGCCATTTCTACTAAAAATAAAAATAAAAAAATTAGCCAGGCGTGGTAGCGGGCACCTGTAACCCCAGCTACTCAGGAGTCTGAGGCAGGAGAATTGCTTGAACCCGGGAGGCGGAGGTTGCAGGGAGCCGACATCACGCCACTGCACTCCATCCTGGGGGACAGGGTAAGACTCCATCTCAAAAAAAAACCTGAACAAACAAAGCCTAAACATTATGAGATATTCATATTACTCTCATCAGGGAATAATTGGGACTGGAAAAGGAAAGTTCTGCTGTCTCTTATAAATGTGTCTCTGCAAAATATTCTTCACCCAGCTTCCAGGCAATTGTGTCTTTTTTTTTTTTCCCAGAGGAGTCTCACTCTGTGGCCCAGGCTGGAGGGCAGTGGTGCGATCTTGGCTCACTGCAACCTCTGCCTCCTGCATTCAAGCCATTTTTGTGCCACAGCCTCCCAAGTAGCTGGGATTACAGGCCTGCGCCACCATGCCTGGCTAATTTTTGTATTATTTATTTATTTTCTTTGAGACGGAGTCTCGCTCTTTTGCCAGGCTGGAGTGCAGTGGCGCGATCCTGAGTCACTGCAACCTCCACCTCCCAGGTTCAAGCGATTCTCCTGCTTCAGCCTGCCAAGTAGCTGGGACTACAGGTGTGCCATCACGCCCAGCTAATTTTTGTATTTTTAGTAGAGATGGGTTTCCCCATGTTGGCCAGGGTGGTCTCAATCTCTTTTTTTTTTTTTTTTTGTGACGGAGTCTCACTCTGTCACCCAGGCTGGAGTGCAGTGGTGCGATCTCTGCTCACTGCAAGCTCCGTCTCCCGGGTTCACACCATTCTGCCTCAGCCTCCCAAGTAGCTGGGACTACAGGCCCCCGCCATCACGCCTGGCTAATTTTTTGTACATTTAGTAGAGACGGAGTTTCACCGTGTTAGCCAGGATGGTCTCGATCTCCTGACCTCGTGATCCACCCGCCTCGGCCTCCCAAAGTGCTGGGATTACAGGCGTGCGCCACCATGCCTGGCAGTCTCAATCTCTTAACCTCGTAATTTCCCACCTCGGCCTTCCAAAGTGCTGGGATTACAGGCATGAGCCACCATGCCCAGCCTAATTTTTGTATTTTTAGTAGAGATGGGGTTTCATCATGTTGGCCAGGCTGGTCTTGAACTCCGGGTCTCAGGTGGTCTGCCCGCCTCGGCCTCCCAAAGTGTTGGGATTACAGGCCATGAGCCACCATGTCTGGCCGCTTGTGTCTTTTGAAGACTCTACTGCATGCTGCCTCAAACCATGACGTCATGCCTTCAGTCTTCCCTACTTGTAAATTATAGGTTTCCCCAAAACTTGAGCAGTATGTCTTCAGTTTCAGAGAAAAGACCTACCCTACTAAATTATTATTATTTTTTATTTTCCAGAGTTTATTAACCACTTAACCTCTCAGAACTGAACAAAGACAACATTGTTCCTGGAACGCCCTCTTTTTAAAAAAGGTACATATAATTTGGCTTTATAATTTCTGGCCTGTTGATAATCAGTGGTACTTTTGAATTCTTTAATGAGTTGTGTGGAGAATGATTTTTACTTCTGGCTATAATATTAGAGAAACAAATTTTATGCAGTTTGAATTTCATCTTTACTCTTGATTTAATTAGAAAGTAAGTACAGGAAAAGTTATTGGCAAGAATGTAAAGCCTATGTTCTTTAAATATAGAGACATGAGAATTGATGACTGAAGCTGTCATTAAACATGACTGGCTCAATAAGCTTCTTGGTCATAGTATCTTTTGTAGTTTGCTTTTTTTAAAAAAACCCTTTGATTTCTCAGATTGTTTATGTTAAACATGATTTTCAAACTCATAGAACGAATTTAGCATTGTTTTCTATTGTGAGATAGGGTTACGAATCAAGCTTCGTTGACCACTAGCAGCTTGTGAACATTCAGATAAAAAAGGAGTTTTCTAAGAGTGTTCAAGATTTTCTGGTCTTTTGTCAGGGCAATGCAAAATACACTATGTGGGTTAATACTGCTTCCTGCTTTTAACACTTTCCCTCTAGAAGCTGAAAGCACATTGCTGTACCATATCTCTGAGGTAGTAATTAGTAGACAAGTTAACCTACTTTGAGGATGAGGAAATGGAAGCATAAGGAAATTATTGAAGTTGTACAAAGCTCAGTGAATGGTTTTAAACTCACCACACTGGATTTGTATAATGCTTTTCTTTTCTTTCTTTCTGAAACGGAGTTTCGCTCTTGTTGCCCAGGTTGGAGTGCAATGGCGCCATGTTGGCTCACCTCGGCCTCCTGGGTTCAAGCAGTTCTCCTGCCTCAGCCTCCCAAGTAGCTGGGATTACAGGCGTGTGCCACCACACCTGGCTAATTTTGTATTTTTAGTAGAGACAGGGTTTCACCGTGTTGGTCAGGCTGGTCTCGAACTCCTGACATGAGGTGATCCACCCACCTTGGCCTCCCAAAGTGTTGGGATTACAGGCGTGAGCCACTGTGCCCGGCCTAATGCTTTTCTTTTTAAAGAATTGTATTATCGGCTGGGCGCAGTGGCTCACGCCTGTAATCCCAGCACTTTGGGAGGCCAAGGTGGGCGGATCAAGAGGTCAGGAGATCGAGACCCTCCTGGCTAACACGGTGAAACCCCGTCTTTACTAAAAATACAAAAAACATTAGCCAGGTGTTGGGGGGCGGGAGAATGGCGTGAACCCGGGAGGCAGAGCTTGCAGTGAGCCGAGATTGTTTCACTGCACTCTAGCCTGGGCAACACAGCGAGACTCCATCTCAAAAAAAAAAAAAATGTATTATCATGCCTCAGGATTCCTTTAGTGTTTTGACTCAGTGATTGCTACAAGTGAGGCTTTGTCAAATATCCTATTATAAAGTGTTTTGGGGAAACTGAGGCACAGGGGAGTGGATTGCCAAGAGCTGGGAGTGGAATTGAAAGCTACATCTCAGAAGTTTGATCTGATTTAACATTGTTGGTTGCTACTTAGCAGCAAGGGTGGTTTCTTAGAAACTGAGTCTTGGCACTGGTCTGTTTTGCATGAAGATGGTGGTAAATGCAGTCGTGTTTCTAGGTAGATGGCACATGGTTACAGATTACAGTTTCCCTTTTCTGAAAGGAAAAGCCTGTTAACCATTATGTTGAACCAAGCCCCTTCATAGTCAAGAAAATATCACACAGAACTACTTTTAAAAGTCTCCAGCAGATCATGAACAGGTATTCATTTTTATTGTGTTAAAAGTTTTCTATGTTTGTATAAGTTTAGATTAAAAACTGTTTACAAATGTATGTGCTTGAATTTTGTTATTTTTGAGAATGTCTCCTAGAGAAGGAGAGACGGAAGCTTGATAAAGTTTTAAAACTAGAAAAGAAAATAAGGCTTATAGTTTTTTAGGCTATAGAGGTAAATTGTTTTTCACTTTAGCATGGTGTGATGGGTTTTCTAGGATGAAAATAATGAAAATCTCTTTTAGGAAGTGTTTCTTTAAGCAGACCATCTGACCTCCCAACTGTTACATTTGTGTGGAAAGAAAGTCCTCCATTGCCCATGGCATTGGGCCAAGTGTGAGACAGGGACCACATTCAGTCTCACTTGTATTGCAAGTGCAAAGATCCTGAACAGCCTGGGTTGTTTCCAGGCATTATTTTTGGTTAATTTTACTGTCTTGCAAGTGAGTGTGCCTCCTCAGGGCTAATCTCTGTCTTTGTCTTGAGCATCAGGTACTTAGTGATTTGTTTCTTTTTTTTTTTTTTTTTAAAGTAGTTTGGTCATATTTCTTTTCAAAAACGTTTTATTATTGGGTGATTTAGTATATATAGGCCTGCTATTGGACATTATTTGCTTGACATTGACCTTAAAGCGGTCATTTTGGAAATGATCCTATAAGACGATAGTGATTGACATGCTTCTGTACTAGCGTCTGCCCTGCCTGCAGGTATTTGGATAATGTTTGGAGTCAATGAATTACTATTTTGGGGGGCTGGGAGGGAGAAGTAATGGTGGAGAGTGAGTTTACTTTCAGAAAACATTCAACCATATTGCAGCAAGAAAGATGTGTCAGAAAAGAATCTTAGAAATAACTGGTATAGGCTGGGTGCGGTGGCTCACGCTTGTAATCCCAGCACTTCGGGAGGCCGAGGCAGGCGGATCACAAGGTCAGGAGATAGAGACCACGGTGAAACCCCGTCTCTACTAAAAATACAAAAAAAAAATTAGCCGGGCGTGGTGGCGGGCACCTGTAGTCCCAGCTACTTGGAGAGGCTGAGGCAGGAGAATGGTGTGAACCTGGCAGGCGGAACTTGCAGTGAGCTGAGATCGTGCCACTGCACTCCAGCCTGGGCAACAGAGCGAGACTCCGTCTCAATAAAAATAAATAAATAAATAACTGGTATAAGGAATGATGTGGGTATTTTAGGTGTATTTAAAGGCTATTGAAAAGGACTTTATTTTGTAGAAAAAGTGGTTTATTCCTTGATGTTTTTTAATTGACCAAGTTTCTCTGGGAGTGGAGCCTCTCAACAAACTAAAGAGAACAGAATAATAGATTTACATGTGATTGCTGAAAGATGTCGTCTTGTGTCTTTGAGGAAGAGTTTAACACACAGATCCTTTCCAGCATTTAAGAATGTGCAATCTGCCATTTATGGGTTCACATGTAATAGATGCTTAATAAGTTTTTGTAGACTATTGAGTGAATATATTTTAGAATTGCTATTGCTTTATAACAGCGAGGCACAGGAGTGCTCCTTTGTATCTGTATATCCATCTTACATCAGATTTACCAAAGGACTTGCAAGGGGAGACATTTAGTGAAATGTTTGTGATGATCTGAAAAGGAGGCTTCTCCAGAATTGGGATGACTTCTTTCCTTCTTTTTTTTTTTTTTTTTCCCAGACACATCTTGTTTGGAAATATCACTTATTATGAAGGAGACTGATATGTTGATTAAACAAAAGTATAGCTACTGCATTATAAGTTGTGTTAATCCGGTTTAAAAATTACTTATTAAAAATGTTTTTCTGGCTGGGCACGGTGGCTCATGTCTATAATCCCAGCACTTTGTTGAGGCCAAGACAGGCGGATCACTTGAGGCCAGGAGTTAAAGACCAGCCTGACCAACATGGTGAAACCCCATTTCTACTAAAAACACAAAATAATTAGCCAGGTGTGGTGGTACACACCTGTAGTTCCCGCTACTCGGGAGGCTGACACAGGAGAATCACTTGAACCTGGGAGGCAGAGGTTACGGTGAGCCAAGATCGTGCCACTGCACTCCAACCTGGACGACAGAGTGAGACTGTCTCCAGAAAAAAAATGTTTTTCCATAATTGCTTAAGTATTTCATAGTACAAAGATTTAACAGTCTGTAAGTTGAAAGTGGATAAGACTAACCATGTATTAGTAGCACAAGATAATTAAAAGACTAAGCACGATTGCAGATAGTTCTGTAAACCATTTCTAGAAGGGTCTGCCTTCTTGTATATTAAATCACTCGGACTGTGCTCAGTATGGTCTAGTCTTGGTAGGTTCACTGCTGAGTGCTGAATACACATTTTGTGACCACTTTTTAGTACATCATGTATAATTTAAAAAAAACTTTCGTAGCGCTCATGTGCCCAGATTCTCCTTCACCACAACCCATAGAAACTATTTGGCACTTGTAAAACGGTAACTGCCAGCCAAAGCAAGATTCTGTTTTTATGAGAAGATTTTTGTGTTACCAAGCCAATCTTAAGAACCAGGAGGACATGGAATTAAGGAATCTTTTAAAAGAAACACCTATAACTCTATCATTTTGCAGCTTGTATTATGGTGCTTATGTATGCTATGTAAAATTAGGGCTTGAGCCTAAGATGAGTATGTTTTGTTGATCTGGTGTCTAAAGCCCTTCAAATAGGGAAAGAACCAGGAGATGAAAGGTCCTCATCTGTGTGGGAGGCAGAAAGGCAGGAAAATGGCAGCACAACACAATTCACAGTAAGAGGTGTTTTCCAGCACCAGCGAGATCTGAAGAATCTTTGCGTTTCAAACTTCTCAACCTAATTTTACTGTGTATAAAATAGTGTTTGTCTCTAAGAAGACTCTAACAAAACATTTTGATCTCTCAAGTCCTTAATTTACCTGGTGGAAAACAATCCTTAAAGACAGGTTTAAAGGAAAAGACTTATTTGCATTTAAGGACTTAGTCTTCAGGACAGTACTGTTGAGCAACAGGTTTAGAATTTACACAGAAGTTCTATTTCCAAAGTTCCACAGTTCCTTGAAGGCTGCTATGAACTATATCTATATCAGTAATGAAAAACTTAATTTGTTCCTTGAGTTATGTGGGCAAATGATATATTTTCCCCCATTCATCACTGTGATGTCTGTTCCGGCTTCTCTTTGGGAGAGGAGCATCTGTTTGGGTGCTAAAACATTAGCATCAGGCCAGGCGCAGTGGCTCATGCCTGTAATCCTAGCACTTAGGGAGGCTGAGGCAGGAGGATCACTTGAGATCAGGAGTTCAAGATCAGCCTGGCCAGCATGGTGAAACGCTGTCTCTACTAAAAATACAAAATTAGCCGGGTGTGGTGGTACACGCCTGTAATCCTAAGTACTCGGGAGACTAAGGCAGGAAAATCGCTTGAACCCAGAAGGCGGAGTTTGCAGTGAGCGGAGATCACACCACTGCACTCCACCCTAGGCAACAGAGCGAGACTGTCTCAAAAAAAAAAAAAAAATTAGCATCTATTTTTTAGGGCCTTTCGAGATAGAAAGGGGATTTTCTTTTCCTGTCTAAGAATATAAGCTACTTGTTACATTAGTAAGATTGTATTGTGTGGGTTAGTATATGTGTGCTTGTAACAGTATCCCTGGCTCCTCTATCCACTAAATATCAGTAGGTTCCCCATTCTGCACACTGGTTGTGACAACCAAAAAATGTCTCCAGACATTGGCAGATGTCTCCTGGGGGAACAAAATTGCTCCCTTTTGAGAATCACTACCTTAGATGCTCTGTTCAGGCTTAAATAAGACACATAAAAATTTTAAACTAGCAGGTGACTAATAATTTGTGAGTATTGTTTGTTGCATTTTCATATTTATCATGTTGGAAATTTAAATTTACCTAGTCTTATTTGGAGAGTTTAACTTTTTTTTTTTGGTTTGTTTTGTTTTGAACTACATATTTCAACCAACTGTTAGATGTTAAGTCCTTTAAGTGAATTTAAGGGTAACATTTTTGAGGCAGTCTTAATTTAAAAAGCCTATTCCTTTCTCAGCTTCTAGAAAACTTACATATTTATGACTGACTTGAGCAGAGTGCGGTGCCTCACACTTGTAATCCCAGGACTTTGGGAGGCTGAAGTGGGCAGATCACCTGAGGTCAGGAGTTTGAGAGCAGCCTGGCCAACCTGGCGAAATGCTGTCTCTGCTAAAAATACAAAAACTAGCCAGGCATGGTGGCTCATGCCTGTAATCCTAGCTACTTGGGAGACTGAGGCAGGAAAATTGCTTGAGCCCAGGAGGCAGAGGTTGCAGTGAGCTAAGTTTGCAACACTGCACTCCAGCCTGGGCGACAAAGCTCTGTCTCGGAAAAAAAAAAAAAAAATTAAAAATTTATCACTGACTTGAAATCCTGGCAGTCAGCCTGCTTTAGAGAACATTAACCAAAAATCCCTTGGTCCACACCCTTTCTAAATTTAGGCATTCATTCAGAGTCTTAAACTCTAAGAGCCACTCAGGACACAGTTGGGTTGCTCTTTCTGGGATGGGGGTAGATTCTGGAGCAGATACTTTACTCCTAGCTCATTTTTTGACCTTGAGACCTGTGGTTGGTGTTGTGAAGTCGTACATACACAAGTGACTTTTTTGTTTTAAAAAGTGCTCTCAAGATAGTTTACAAAAAGCAGGAAAAGGAGGAGTGAGTGAATAAATGAAGAGAGGGGAAGAGAGGAGGAAAAAAGTGTTTCTATTTTAGCAGCTGACGGAAAAAAAACCCAATGAAATAAGGTCATAGCTGACTTCTGAATGGTTCTGGACTTGTTTCTTGACACTGGCGACTTGTCTTCTAAGACCATTATGTAGATCTTCAATGGAACGCCTCTGTTATTTTGTTCTGATTCTGAAAGTAAAAAGGAACAACTGCACTCTTGGGGAATTTTGTTGAATAAGGTAATACTTATGCCTCTGCTATCCAGAGTCACATTTCGCTTGAGTTTCTTTTGAGTTTTGCAGTCCTTTTTGCTCTCAGTAAGAGAGAATGTGTTAGGACTCCTCAAGTAGCTTAATTGCTCTGGTCATTCATCTCTTTCTTGAGGACCAGCTTTAAAAATCATTTTGATACTTAAAAAAAATTAAAGTAACTGTTTCTTTATAATAGAACTTCTAATTAGTTGGTTTGCTGGTTTCTGCATTGGTTGGCTATTTCCTGAGAGACCTGTCATTTCTGTTCTTTGTTGCCACTGGTTATTTTTAAGTACTTTGACTCATTAAAAACATTTTCAGCTTTTAAAGGATGGCCATGAAAATGAACACAACTGTCCTTATTTTTGTCTCGTGAAGAAATTTAATGTATTTAGAAGTAATGCCTTCATTATTCTCTTAATTTACAATATGAAGTAAACAAGCTCCAGTGCTCCCCCACCCAACCACACCAGTAAAATTGCCAGTCTAAAATCCATTCCTGTCTTCTTCATCTCCACTTTTGCTTTTAATAGTATAAATTCTCTAGTATGGTCTTTGTTACTCACATCACTTCTCAGGATCTGTGAGCCTGGGTAGGGTTGTGATAGTTTCCTTGTTTGGGTTCTATAATTAAATGAGACCTCAAACAAGCCTTTTAGGAAAACAATACATCTCTCATCACCATAAAGAAAAAGAAACAGCAGAAGTATCCTACCTTCCTTCTGTCAACTTAAGGCCCTAAGGTTGTCAGTCTGAGCCTTGGTCCTTAAGAGGAAGCAGTGTTCACATTCACCTGTTCCTGGTATGATAAACCTAGTTTGCTTTCAGTTTCTTGTAATTTTGAGACCAGAAAGAAACCTTACTGTGCCCCAATTACTATGGAAACCTCTCCATACTTTCAAATTTGCATTTTTGAATGTAAGCTATAGTTTGCAATTCTTAATACTCACCAATAAATATTATACCCTACTGATTCTCTTTGTATAATGAATATGCAGAGCACACAGGTATTGTAAATCACTTAAAAAACACTGTGGGAAAGTCACAAGGCCAAGAAACTTACTGTATACCAAGGAGAAACATATTTCGAATAAATCAACATAGCTACATGCTAAATGGAGCTATTTTCATAAGTCAGTAGGTGACACCATTTTGACTGAATATTGGCAATTACATATCTCCTCTATAATTTACCTTTTTATTTTCTTTCCCTTACAACTTTTAGGTAGAACTTTAGACTTCATAGCACTGAATTAACCTGCACTGAAAGCTGTTTACCTGCATTTGTTCACTTTTGTTGAAAGTGACCATGTCTCAAGTTCAAGTGCAAGTTCAGAACCCATCTGCTGCTCTCTCAGGGAGCCAAATACTGAACAAGAACCAGTCTCTTCTCTCACAGCCTTTGATGAGTATTCCTTCTACTACTAGCTCTCTGCCCTCTGAAAATGCAGGTAGACCCATTCAAAACTCTGCTTTACCCTCTGCATCTATTACATCCACCAGTGCAGCTGCAGGTAAGCATATGAATCCAAGTGTCTTCTATTTCAAATGTTTTCTTACCCTGTTTTCTGATCTGATAGGTTGCAGATTTAGGGAGCTCTCACATTTACCTTCAAAAAGCAAAAGAAAGTATCACCACCCACACTTCTTTATCCCAGATATAGAACACTGGTTGTGTAAGGGGTTGACAGGGGCCTCAGTTGACAGACGATTGTAGGTTGTGAGAAAGAGAATTGAAAGCTGAAAACTACTCACACTATAAAGCCTCATCTGTTAAAGAGCGGTGGCTGGCAGAAAGAATTGAGCAGTAAATACCACCTTGGATATTCATCGTTGTATGGGATAATTCTGCATTTAAAATTATTTCCCAGAACAAGCCAGGTGCCGTGGCTCACGCCTGTAATCCCAGCACTTTGGGAGGTTGAGGCAGGTGGATCAGCAGAGGTCAGGAGTTTGAGACCAGCCTGGCCAACATGGTGAAACCCTGCCTCTACAAAAAATACACAAACTAGCTGGGCTTGGTGATGCACGCCCATAACAGCTACTCAGGAGGCTGAGGCAGGATAATTGCCTGAACCCTGGAGGTGGAGGTTGCAGTGAGCTGAGACTGTGCCACTTCACTCCAGCCTGGGCAAGAGGGAGACACTGTCTCAAAAAAAGAAAAAATAGGCCGGGCGCGGTGGCTCACGCCTGTAATCCCAGCACTTTGGGAGGCCAAGGCGGGCAGATCACGAGGTCATGAGTTCGAGACCAGCCTGGCCAATATGGTGAGACTCCGTCTCTACTAAAAATACAAAAAATAGCTGGGCATGGTGGTGCGTGCCTGTAGTCCCAGCTATTCGGGAGGCTGATATAGAAGAATCACTTGAACCCAGGAGGCAGAGGTTGTAGTGAGCTGAGATCATGGCACTGCACTCCAGCCTGGGCAACAAGGCAAGACTCCGTCTCAAAAATAAATAAAAAATAAATAAATAAAATTCCCACAACTGACGAAGAGCTCTTAAATCTACATAAGCCTTCTTTTTGAATGTCCGTAAGATTTTATCCCAAGCAAGGGGGCAGCCAGATTTACTAGAAAGCAAAAAAGTACATTGACATTTATTTATTTTTATTTTTGTTTTGAACAAGTAAGTTTAAGTCTGGAAGGTTCCAGAAGTAGTTTAGAAATCATAATGAGGATCAATTAGAAATGGAATAAAGAAGCAGAGTTTTTTTTCTCTTCTTTCCTTTCTTATCTCTCGTTTGTTTCACGGGGTCTCTATTGCCTAGGCTGGAGTACGGTAGTGTGAGATTATGGTTCACTGCAGCATCAACCTCCTGGGCTCAAGTGGATCCTCCTGCCTCAGCCTCCTGAATAGCTGGATTATAGGTGTGAGCTACAATGCCCAAATTTATTTTCTTGTTAAAATTTTCTGCGTCATGGCCAGGCGTGGTGGTTCACACCTGTAATCCCAGTACTTTGGGAGGCCGAGTGGGGAGATTGCTTGAGCCCAGGAGTTGGAGACCAGCCTGGGCAACATGGTGAAATCCCATCTATACAAAAAAAAAAATACAAAAATTGGCTGAGCTGTGGTCCCAGCTACTCCAGAGGCTGAGGCAGGAGGGTCACTTGAGTCCAGGAGGTCGAGGCTGCCATGAGCTGTAATTATACCACTGTATTCCATCCAGCCTGGGAGACAGAGCGAGACCCTGTCTCAAAAGAAAAAAAGTCTCCTTCTTGGCTGGCAAGGTGGTTCACACCTGTAATTTCAGTGTTTTGGGATGCCTATTTATTTATTTATGAGACAGAGTCTCACTTTGTTGCTTAGGCTGGAGTGCAGTGGTGTGATCTTGGCTCACTGCAACCTCTGGCTCCTGGGTTCAAGCGATTCTCCTGCCTCAGCCTCCCGAGTAGCTGGGATTACAGGTGCCTGCCACTACGCTCGGCTGTTTTGTATTTTTAGTAGAGATGGGGTTTCACTGTGTTGCCCAGGCTCATCTCCAACTCCTGATCTCAAGTGATCAGCTTGCCTTGGCCTCCCAAATTGCTGGAATTACAGGTGTGAGTCATTGTGCCAGGCTGCGAGGCCAATTTAAAAATTAGCTGGGCTTGATGGTGTGCACCTGTTGTCCCAGCTACTTGGGAGGCTGAGGCAGGAGGATTGCTTGAGCCCAGAAGTTTGAGGCTGCAATGAACTGTGATCGTGCTGTCTTACTCCAGCCTGGGCAACAGACTGAGACTGACTCAAAACAAAAAGTATAGAAACATTCAAATCTGATAATTAGGAAAATGAACTAAAGGTACCTTGCCGGTTGCAGTGGCTCATGCCCATAATCCCAGCACTTGGGAGGCCAAGGCAGGTGGATCACCTGAGGTCTGGAGTTTGAGACCAGCCTGGCCAACATGGTGAAACCCTGTCTCTATTAAAAATACAAAAATTAGCCAGGTGTAGCGGTGTGTGCCTATATTCCCAGCTACTTGGGAGGGTGAGGCAGGAAAATCGCTTGAACCTGGGAGGCAGAGGCTGCAGCAAGCCAAGATCATGTCACCGCACTCCAGTCTGGGCAACAGAGCGAGATTCCATCTCAAAAAAAAAAAAAAAAAAAAAAAAGGTTTAAACACTTGAAAAATACCTAAAAATATTATAGACAAGAAACTAAGGCTAAAGAAAGAAAACCTAAAACCAATATTCTTATGAATAGGAGACAGGGTCTGACTAGAAAAAAAAAGGGAGTGGGGATAATAAATAAAAACAATATTCTGCTTCCCAACACCCTCCCTGCAACATGGCAAGACCAGTGAAATAAATGGGGTGTCAGTGTCAATTTTTTTTTTTTTTTGAAATGGAGTCTCGCTCTGTCGCCGGGCTAGAGTGCAGTGGCACAATCTTGGCTCACTGCAACTTCCTCCTCCCGGGTTCAAGCAATTCTCCTGCCTCAGCCTCCTGAGTAGCTGGGACTATAGGCACACGCCACCATGCCCAGCTAATTTTTGTATTTTTAGTAGAGATGGGGTTTCACCATGTTGGCCAGGATGGTTTCAATCTCTTGACCTCGTGATCCGCCTACCTTGGCCTCCTAAAGTGCTGGGATTATAGGCGTGAGCCACCACATCCAGCCTAGTATGTGGGTATTTCTATACCAGAGTTACCTTATAACAAAGTCTTTTCATCCCCTTCCTTGTGCCTGTTTCCTTTCAGTTTCCTCCTTTGTCTTCTCATTTCCTTTACTTTATAAATCTGTTTTTTTTTTTTTTGAGACGGAGTCTCGCTCTGTCGCCCAGGCTGGAGTGCAGTGGCATGGTCTCGGCTCACTGCAAGCTCTGCCTCCCGGGTTCACGCCATTCTCCTGCCTCAGTCTCCTGAGTAGCTGGGACTACAGGCGCCCGCCACCATGCCCGGCTAATTTTTTTGGTATTTTTAGTAGAGATGGGGTTTCACCTTGTTAGCCAGGATGGTTTTGATCTTCTGACCTCGTGATCCGCCTGCCTCGGCCTCCCAAAGTGTTGGGATTACAGGCGTGAGCCACCATGTCTGGCCTATAAATCTGTTCTTAGAGTGTTTGCTTCTCCCACTCAGCTGCGTGGCATCTTCCATGCCACCCCCACAATTCCTTGGACTGGTTCACCAGATAGCATTCTTGATTTTTTGTAGTCCTGGAGAGATGTTATTTTCCCCATATTTGCCATGTGAGACTCTCTTAAAAGGAAAAGGCACAGACTGTTTCCGTCCTCTGGGATTTATTGCTTTTTCTTCTAATGAATTCTGGTGTCCAAATCCTATTGACTTTGTAAAACTCCTGCCCACCAACATCATTTTATTTTATTTATATAATTGTTAGAAATAGATAAGGTCTGAGGATGGCAGCCTTTGGAGAAAAGACTAGAGGATGCCCAGGAATGAGAGTTTCACTGTATGGAAGATGACAAGTGTTGTTTGAGAGATGGTAGTGGCATGTTGAGTTTAGCGAAATAATGGGCGGGGTACAGCTGGCGGCTGTTTCAGTAACCAGTGTCTGCTCAGAAGACCTTGTATTCCAGTTGGTTTTAATAGCAGTGATTCATCTGATTTCAAATCTTGCTTGCCTGCCATGGGTTAGTTACTCCCCTGACTTCACTCTCTTTTGAAGACACACCCTCTCCTAGATTACCTGGCTTCAACTGGTTCAGAAAAGACCCTAGTTGCGTCTTCTCTGGGAGTGTACTCCTGGAATGATTTGCAGTTTTGTATCATGGCTGCCTACATTTGTAGACCTTCCATTTGTTTTTCCTCTATTTTCATATCCCTAGGAGAATAGTAGTCTTATATACTGCTAGTTGACTTCAGTGCTCTTAACGTTTTCACTTCCTTCTCATGTGGCGAACCCCATAGAGAAAAATCCCAGTTGTGTCTTGTGAATGAGTTAGTTTGTTTCAGCAAGATCCAGCTTGAGTATAGGCTTTTGTGTGAGCAAGGTCCAGCTCACTGTAAGGTAAATATTGTCCATACTGCTTGTGCATTTATAACCCACCTGGAATGTTCTCTATTTTTTATACTCTTGAAAGTGGTGCTGTAATTCAAAATACATGTTTTCAAACTGATGAGGTTGTCTTAAACAAAAACTATACTTAGACAAGATTATAGATTTTTGAAGTTGCTTCTTTTTTCATCCTTGCCAATGGGTCAAAGAAAATATGTGTTGCTTTTTGGAATATTTGGGTTTTAGTTTTTTTAGAGTCTTTCTTTGCCGCCTAGGCTGGAGTGAGTGGTGTGATCATGTCTCACTGCAGCCTCGACCTCCCAGGCTTAAGCAATCCTCCCACCTTGGCCTCCTGAGTAGCTGGGACCTCAGGTGCATGCCACCACGCCCAGCTAGTTTTTTTTTTTTTTAATTCTTTGTGGAGATGAAGTCTCACTATGTTGCCCAGGCTTGTTTTGAGTTGCTGGGCTCAAACAATCTGCCTGCCTTGGCCTCCCAAAATGCTGGGATTACAGGTGTTAGCCACCCCGCCTGGCCATATTTTGCTTTTAAAACTCCAAATAGTGTATGGTTGTTTGGGATTCTGAACAGAGACAATTCTCAAGCACCTGTGATTGATTGCCCGTAAGTTTTCCAGCTTTGGGCCACCTCTTGTCTGCAGCTTACTTCTGGCTCCTCTCCTGCTTGTTTGCACAAGGACCTTAGGGCAGGGAGAAGAGGTGATGGGAAAACAGTTTTTTCACTTGTTAGCAATCTGGGCAAAAGGTTTGAAGATGCAATTGCCTGGCTAATTTTGCATTTTAGTAGAGACGGGGTTTCACCATGTAGTCTCAAAGTGAGTATTTTGTATTGTCTTTGGTTTCAGTTATCCTTGTCATTCCCCTTATCTTAGAGAATGAAAGTCTGACTATAATTTTAAAATTTGCTAATCATTATTCAAGAATTCAGTCTTTTTAGAACATGGAAAGGAAAAAAATAATTCAGTCTTTGAAACTTGTTTGTTATCTGTATTAACAGCACATTCTGGAACTTAATTCTTGCATATCTGGAGTTAACTTTTTTCCCAACCATCTAAGGACACGGAGATACGGAGTTGTCTTTTGCAGCTGTAGCGTAAGATGATATAGTATGAGAGATAAGGAATTGACGCTGTCTGTTTCTGATCCTAACCTTGCAGCAAAGATAATATAATTAAGGATGAGTTATTTATCTCATTTTGCCTCATTTTCCTTCACACGCAAACCTCAAGCCTTGAATAAAATCAAGTGTTTCTTTTCATTTGACTGAAAGTAACATAAGGCACAAACATGAATAGTCACCGTAGCATAATACGGTTCAGTTGCCTTTGAAGTCAGACACATCTAGGTTTGAGTCTCAGCTTGTTACTAGCTGTGTGATCTTGTGCAAGTTACTACTTTTTTGTTGTCGTTGTTTCCTCATGTGTAAAACAGGGATAATACCCACCAAATAGGTTTATTGTGAGAATTAAATGAGAGCATATATGTTAACCTGTGGAGCACAATGCCTAGTAAATGCTTGAGAAATGGTAGCTGTAATTCTGGCTACTTGGGTAGCTGAGGCAGGATTAAGCATTTAATTAAGCATTTAAGAAAAACAGTATTTACCACTCACACAAAACTAGCTTAAAAATGTTGTTTTAAAACATAATTCTATTTGAAATGTGTCTTTATAGACACATTTAGGCAACTAGGGACTGGGAGCAGTGGCTCATGCTTGTATTCACAGCACTTTGGAAGGCCAAGGCCGACAGATCACTTGAGGTCAGGAGTTTGAGACCAGACTGGCCAACATGGTGAAACCCTGTATCTACCAAGAAACACAAAAATTAGCTGGATGTGGTGGTGCGCACCTGTAGTCCCAGCTACTCAGGAGGCTGAGGCAGGAGAATCACCTGAACCTGGGAGGTGGGGGCTGTGATGAGCTGAGATGGCACCACTGCATTCCAGCCTGGGTGACAGAGTGAGACCCTTTATCAAAAAATAATTAATTAAAATAAAAATAGAAGTCAGTCATTTTTCTATAACTGTTGTATTTCCTCTCCAGGATTTTTTTGCAGACCTTAACTTCGGGATTCCCTTTATTAACTTTTTATTATATTTTGGCTAATGCACTTTCTCACTTGAACTTTTAATAATTTAGGTAGTTTGGCTGTGTGTTCATCTCTAACCGCATATTTTCTTTTTACCCACAAGTTGTTCAAAGAGGAGAAGTTGTTCTCTCTTGGGTGATTTAGATTATTTGAAAAATCAAGAGATGTGGTATACTTTTGGTTCTATCAAAACCAAGATTCTAGCCTTGCTACACCAACAGAATGCAGCAGAGTGGCAGGTAGCACCGGATGGGGAAAGTCCTAGAGAAAGGCAAGACGGTTCACGAGAATAACTTTGTGTGTTTTTTTTTTTTTAGCTTTTTCCCCTTCAGCATTTATCCATGAGACAATCACCAAGATGACCCAGGGATTGTACTGCGTTGCAGGCTTCTGCCATTTGACCTTCCTGCCTGCCAGGGTTTTGAGTTCATGCTGTTGTTTGTACTTAAATGAGTAGCCTGATGGACTGCAGAACATATAATAAAGGAGACCCCTGATGTCCTGATGTGTGAAGTGTCAAGGGGGGTAAAGGATTATTTATTTATTTATTTATTTATTTTTGAGATGGAGTCTCATTCTGTGGCCCAGGCTGGAGTGCAGTGGCGCGATCTGCTGGGATTACAGGCATGAGCCACCGCGCCCGGCTTTTTTTTATTTTGAAATGGAGTCTCTGTTGCCCATACTGGAGTGCAGTGGTGCAATCTTGGCTCACTGCAACCTCTGCCTCCCGGGTTCAAGTGATTCTCCTGCCTCAGCTACCCAAGTAGCTGGAATTACAGGTGCATGCCACCACGCCTGGCTAATTTTTGCATTTTTAGTAGAGATGGGGTTTCACTATGTAGGCCAGGCTGGTCTCGAACTCCTGACCTCAAGTGATCTGCCTGCCTTGGCCTCCCAAAGTGCTAGGATTACAGGCATGAGCCACTGCACCTGGCCAATAAAGGATTCTTTGTTTTTTTCCTTTAGTGGAAGCCGTGCACTGAGGGAATCCTAAAAGTAAGACCTACAAGAAAAATCAGCTATGAAGGCAAGTTGCCTCACCCCTTAAGGCACCAAATTTAAATGACCTAGACATACTGAAATCCAGGTTTCCCTTGTAAATTATTTGTAAGTGAGATAAAGTGATATTCAGTGATTACATCAGAAGAATAAAAGCTTCAATTAATTTTTTCTTTTTTTGAGACGGAGTTTTACTCTGTCATCACCCAGGCTGGAGTGCCATAGCGTGTTCTCGGCTCACTGCAACCGCAACCTCCCGGGTTCAAGTGATTCTCTTGCCTCAGCCTCCTGAGTAGCTGGGATTACAGACACGTACTACCACACGTGGCTAATTTTTGTATTTTTAGTAGAGGCAGGGTCTCACCATGTTGGCCAGGCGGGTCTTGAACTCCTGACCTCAGGTGATCTGCCCGCCTCTGCCTCCCAAAGTGCTGGGATTACAGTTGTGAGCCACCACACCCGGCCGCTTCAATTGATTTGTTAAATTCCAAAGTAGTGAATCTCAAATCTTTGGGGTGCATCAGAATTACTTTGAGAACTTAATAAAAATAGAAACGCTCATGCCTTAAATCCTATCACTTTGGAAGGCTGAGGCGAGAGGATCACTGGAGCCCAGGAGTTTAAGACCAGCCTAGGCAACATAGGGAGACCCTGCCTCCGCAAAAATTAAAAAATTACCCAGGTATGGGCCGGGCATGGTGGCTCACGCCTGTAATCCCAGCACTTTGAGAGTCCAAGGCGGGCAGTTCACAAGGTCAAGAGACCAAGACCATCCTGGCCAACATGGTGAAACCCCATCCCTACTAAAAATTCAAAAATTAGCTGGGCGTGGTGGTGCATGCCTGTAGTCCCAGCTACTCAGGAGGCTGAGGCAGGAGAATCGCTTGAACCTGGGAGGCGGAGGTTGCAGTGAGCTGAGATCATGCCACTACACTCCAGCCTGGCGACAGAGCAAGACTGTCTCAAAAAAATAAAAAAAAAAAATTAGCCAAGTATGGTGGTGTGTGCCTGTAGTCCCAGCTACTCAGGAGGTTGAGGTGGGAGGATTATTTCAACCCAGGAGGCTGCAGTGAGCTATGATTGTGCCATTTGAGCTCCAGCCTGGACAGCAGAGCAAGACCCCATTTCAAAAACTGAAAAAAAGGGTGGTTATGTTTTCAAACAAGAGCCCACAAACACATTGCAGCATCAAAACAAACATTGTCTTAATTTGTGTGAAGTACTGCTGTGTGTTTAAATCAAGTTTGCAAAATATCTTTCATGAGAAGTAATTGGAAGAGAATTTTGAGGCTGGACGTGGTGGGTCATGCCTGTAATCCCAGCACTTTGGGAGACTGAGGCAGGTGGATCACTTGAGGTCAGGAGTTCGAGACCAGCCTGGCCAACATGGTGAAACCCTGTCTCTACTAAAAGTACAGAAATTAGCCGGGCATGGTGGCAGGTGCCTGTAATCCCAGCTACTCGGGAGACTGAGGCAGGAGAATTTCTTGAACCCAGGAGGTGGAGGTTGCATTGAGCCAAGATCACACCACTGCACTCTAACCTGGGGACAGAGTGAGACTGTGTCTCTTAAAAAAAAAAAAAAATTTCAGTGCATACACACACAATCTCTTTTTTTTGTTGTTGTTTATAAAAAACAACAAAAAAGGATAAGAAGGGGATGACAGGATGAATTATCAAGATAAGACCAGGCCTCTTAAACCATGACCATAGAAAGTGTTCAAGGTTCAAGTGACATATTACAGTCAATGTCAGGTTTCATGAATTTGAGAGCTCACACTTTTCATTTCTAGGAATTTACAGTACTGCTGACACTTGGAAATCAGCAATGGGGAGCTGAGTGAACTGGTATTAAAAAGGTCAAACACACAGCTGCTGCTAAAGCTTTGGAGGGAACAAAATTTCCTAAGCCCATAGTCAGCCCTTTTGGTAGCGAAGGAAGGAATCCAGGTCTTATGCATGGGCCAAACAGGTACCTTTCAAAAGTGTGTCTAGAGGTACCATGTAGTATGTATATGAATGGTTTCTTAACTTGTTGATTTTGAAAGCACAGATTCTACACTACCAGTGACAAATGCTTATTTTTTAGGAATCCTTAACCTCATTGTAAAGCAGTGGTTTCCAATCTATGATGCCTTAACGCCTGACAATCTGGAAAGGCGGTCATAGGAAGGATGGCGGGTGACCAGATAATTTCAAAGATTTCCGAAGTTTAATGAAAATATATTTTTGATAAGAGTGTATAGATTAGCAAGAATATAAGTTTAATTTAGAGTCACATCAAGTCAGTGTGGTAATATTGATTGTAATTTTGTTGGTCAGAAGTGCTTATTGCCAGTTGTATGTCTCTTAGTTATTAAAAAGAATGAGAAAAATGTAAATATTACTTAAATACAAGCCAGCAGGTAGTATCTCCTCAGACAAGGAGCCCATTCAGGGAGCATACTAATCAAGAAGGCATGGCTGGTGAAGGGTTGGGGATCAGTGACCTGGAGGCTGTGTCATTAATGGCTGTTTTAGCAGAGACCCCCTCACATGCATGAAGTCATCCCAGGTCTTCGTATGTAGGAAGGAATCTGGGAAGTTACCAGTCACATCTTTCTTGTTACTTTTGATTTCTTTGCAGTATACTTTCTTCATGTTTATTCTCTATTGCAGACAAATTCTGTGGATCAGAGCTGCTCTTAAAATGATTCAGACTGTACTTAAAATGCAATTATATGAATTTTGTAAAAAATATAATTCTAATGCAAGGAAGAGAGAGATCTGTAATTCATGTGGCCCTCTGTGCAAACCCCAAAGATATTCTTATAGATTTGATTCATGCATTAAATTTAGTTGAACCAGTTATAGTACAGAATCAGGTCTTTTTTATTTCTCTCTATATACATCCTAAAGAGGCATTTTAAAGTGGATTTTTATGTGCATTTAGATTTTGCCATTTCTAGTGTTCTGTTTTTGATATGAAAGTGTTGTTTTTAAATATTGTGCACTGACACTAATCTTTCCAGGCTGGTTTTCTTTTTAAATGGTTTTTAAAGGTTTATGGATTGGATGAACTGAAAGAAAAAAAAATTGGAAAATGAATAGCATGTATTTTCTGAAGTTGATAATTTTGAGATAACTTGTTGTGTATGAAAATGGAACTCATTTTCGTAGCAAGTATGACCACAGGTCAAATTCATTAGAAATGTCAAGAATGGAAATACCTGAATATTTTGTGGGCCTTGTGTGACTTCTGTGAAGAGAATTGGGTTGCCACCTCCTCACTGATTTTTCACCTTTAAGTTGCACATCATGTTGTATTGTAACTCTTTGAGTGTGCTTTGTGTTTTTTGAACTCCTCTGGGGCAGGAATTGTGTTTCTTTTTTTTTTTTAAGACAGAGTTTTGCTCTTGTTTCCTCATCTGGAGTACAGTGACGCAATCTCGACTCACTGCAACCTCTGCTTCCTGGGTTCAGGCGATTCTCCTGCCTCAGCCTCCTGAGTAGATGGGATTACAGGCATGCGCCACCATGCCTGGCTAATTTTTTGTATTTTTAGTAGAAACGGGGTTTCACCGTGTTAGCCAGGCTGGTCTCGAACTCCTGACCTCAGGTGATCCACCCGCCTCGGCCTTCCAAAGTGCTGGGATTACAGGTGTGAGCCACCCTCACTGCAAGGTCCGCCTCCCAGGTTCACACCATTCTTCTGCCTCAGCCTCCTGAGTAGCTGGGACTGCAGGCACCCGCCACCATGCCTGGCTAATTTTTTGTATTTTTTAGTAGAGATAGGGTTTCACCATGTTAGCCAAGATGGTCTCGATACCCTGACCTTGTGATCCTCCTGCCTTGGCCTCCCAAAGTGCTGGGATTACAGGCGTGAGCCACCACGCCTGGCCAGGAATTGTGTTTCTTAAGCTTAGCACAGTGCTTTGCATCCAGTTAGTAATGTAATAAATGCATCGTTCAATACTGTGTACGGACATACTTCTGAGTGCAAGCCAATAATCCTGTAAATCAGTACAACCAAGGTTATATTGATTAAGTATTCTCAAACAGTAAAACAATTTGGACATTTACATGGGATTTTTTAATCGTGAAATTTGATGTGTTTTGGAACTTATTTCTGACAGCTGTACCATATAGCTTTCACTGATAATGTCTTGGGTTAAATTGTGGCTCCTCTGGTAACCCTCAGAGTAGATTTTGTGCTGTCGACTGTGTATAAATATCTAGAAATCACAGCATATTCTTGGATTTCCTTGTCTGATGCCTAGCAGTGAGCCACCCAGGTCCTTTTATGTAAAGTATCATGAATCCAATTAGCAGAAAGCATGCTATTACATTTTATTTTAGTGAGTATCATTCTCATACCAGAAAAAAACAGTTCTTTGTCGATTCTTTCTTGCAGAAAGCATAACCCCTACTGTAGAACTAAATGCACTGTGCATGAAACTTGGAAAAAAACCAATGTATAAGCCTGTTGACCCTTACTCTCGGATGCAGTCCACCTATAACTACAACATGAGAGGAGGTGCTTATCCCCCGAGGTATGTGTTTTTTTTTTTTTTTTTTTGTAAAATACAGGAGAAAACGTGTCTGATCTTTTACATAAACCAGTACCTCTAGATTGTGGAGGGAGTAATGATTTGGTTTGGGCCTGCCAAGTGTTGAAGTTGGTCTTAATTACTCTTGTGCCTTTGTGCCCCTCCCCCGCCTTTTCTTTTTTTTCTTTCTTTCTTTTTTTTTTTTTTTTTTTTTTTTTTTTTTTTGAGACAGAGTCTTGCTCTGTCACCCAGGCTGGAGTGCAGTGGTGCAGTCTCGGCTCACTGTATCCTCTGCCTCCTGGGTTCAAGTGAGGAGGCTGTCTCAGCCTCCCGAATAGCTGGGATTACAGGCACCTGCCACCACGCCTGGCTGATTTTTTTTTGTATTTTTTAGTAGAGACGGGGTTTTGCCATGTTGGCTGGGGTGGTCTTGAACTCCGGACCTCAGATGATCTGCCCACCTTGGCCTCCCAAAGTGCTGGGATTACAGGCGTGAGCCACCACACCTGGCTGCGCCTCTTTTTTTTTTTTTTAATTCATTGAGACAGGGTCTCCGTATGTTGCCCAGACTGGTCTTGAACTTCTGGGCTCAAGGAGTCCTCCTGTCTTGGCCTCCCGCAGTGCTAGGATTAAAGTGTGAGCCACCACACCCGGCCCTTTGTGCTTCTTTTTTTTTTTTTTTTTCTGAGACGGAGTCTCGCTCTGTTGCCCAGGCTGGAGTGCAGTGGCATGATCTCGGCTCACTGCAAGCTCTGCCTCCCGGGTTCATGCTATTCTCCTGCCTCAGCCTCCCAAGTAGCTGGGACTACAGGCGCCTGCCACCACACCCGGCTAATTTTTTGTATTTTTAGTAGAGACGGGGTTTCACCTTGTTAGCCAGGATAGTCTCAATCTCCTGACCTCATGATCCGCCCACCTCGGCCTCCCAAAGTGCTGGGATTACAGGCATGAGCCACCACGCCCGGCTCCTTTGTGCTTCTTTAACTACTGCTCTTGGGTAGGGCCTGAGCATATTTCTTGCTGGCAGTGTGGCTTGTGCCCTCAAGCAGCCTGGCTAAAGATAACCCTTGTAACTGCTTTGTGTAACTGAATCATATTTAAACATGATTCCCATAGCATCATGATTCCTGCAAGACAATGATTCCCAGCATTTGTAGATTACCTGATTATTGGGTACTTTTTGACTTTTGAACTTGTGCGTTTTGTAAATAGCTTTGGTGCAATAAAATATTAATTGAAACCTGAAAATGCCATGGATTAAAAATCTTCTGCTGGCAGTAATAAGACATTAGTGGAGGCCAGGTGTGGTGGCTCACGCCTGTAATCCCAGCTCTTTGGGAGGCCAAGGCAGGCGGATCATGAGGTCAGGAGTTTGAGACCAGCCTGGCCAACATGGTGAAACCCTGTCTCTACTAAAAATACTAAAAATACAGGCATGGTGGCAGGTGCCTGTAATCCCAGCTACTCGGGAGGCTGAGGCAGGAGAATCGCTTGAACCCAGGAAGCGGAGGTTGCAGTGAGCCGAGATCGCACCACTGCACTCCAGCCTGGGCAACAAGAGAAACTCCATCTCACAAAAAAAAAAAAAAAAAAAAGACATTAGTGGATAGATGATGAGCAAAATGGAATTCTTCATTTCCCTGCTCTCTGTTGGGGGATAGTCATTTTAAAAATATAAGCTATGAAATGGATAAGAAACTGGGTTCTGCTAGGGAAATGGATAAGAAACTGGGTTCTGCTAGGTAGGCTACAGCTTATTGGGATTTCTTGAAATGAGGGTCCTTTTGAAAGACTTGTGCATTAAAATTCCCAGCCTCCTATTGGAGACATGCAAATTTAAAGCTAAGGTTTGAGAAGGCAGAGCAAGCCAAGTTTTTGTCTCAGCCAAAGCCTAATTCATTTTAGATTTTGTCAGTGCAGGTTAGTGTGATAAACTCATAATTTATAAGCCATTGTATTTTGTGAGATGTAAGTTTGGATTGCTAAACACTCTTTGCTTATACTGTGTAGCAATTCTAATCCAGTTTAAGCTTTTATGAAATCTCTGGATATATTGATGAAGAGTGATTAGCATCAAACACTAATGTGAGTAGGATCGTGATGAAGGAAATACTTGCATTTGCCAGAGAGTGTATAGGTGACTTATCAACTTGAGACTGTAATTTGCCTAACCTCCTTTTATTTCTAGGTACTTTTACCCATTTCCAGTTCCACCTTTACTTTATCAAGTGGAACTTTCTGTGGGAGGACAGCAATTTAATGGCAAAGGAAAGACAAGACAGGCTGCGAAACACGATGCTGCTGCCAAAGCGTTGAGGATCCTGCAGAATGAGCCCCTGCCAGAGAGGCTGGAGGTGAGGAGTTGAGCCCAGGCTCCCTGACGCTTCGACAGGGTAGGAGGGTAGTGGGGAGATGTCACCGCACATTATCTTTTCTAAGAAGGCACATTGACAGCTGTCCATAATTTTTATTTGAATGCCTCCAAGATTTTATGCTCTGTAGCTTTCTTGCTTTTTACTCCTTTTTTCCTTTTAAAATTTCTTAACAAGAAAGTCAGTTGCCTTCTTTTTCAGTCTGTAGCATGGTTTTGAGTGACATGATACGGTGTGAACACGTTAGAAAGTTTGTGATTCAGTTGAGTTGTGAAGAACATGTATGGATGAAGTCTTCGGTGCTCAAGATTATGCTTGCCAGAATCTACTGTGATATATGGGTACCAGGTTAGAGGATTTTCTGAAGCTGTTTTTTACCAGCCACTCTTGATTATATAGAAGCGCCAGTTACCTTTTGCCTCATAACAGACCATCATAGAATTTAGTGATGGTTTAAACATCTCCAGGCATTTATTTTGCTTATGAGTCTGTGATTGAGGCTGGGCTTGGCAAGGGTGTAGCTTGTCTTCGTTCCACACAGCTTTGGTTGAAGTGGATCTGCACGGGGCCGGAGGATCTGCTTTTAAGGTGGCTCACTCACGTGGCTGGTAAGTTGGTGCTTGCTGTCAGCTAGGAGCTCAGCTGGGGGTTCTGGCCCCAGGACCTCAGTTCATCCCTGGGTGACCTATGGAAGGATTGCTTATACTTCTTCATGTTATGGTGGCTGGTTGCCAAGAGTAAGCATCCTAGAAGATGGGAAATGGAAGCAGCTGCCAGTTTCTTAAGGCTTAGGCTCAGAAATCACAGCATCGTGTCTGCCATATTCTACAGGTCAAGCAGTCATGGAGCCCAGATTCAAAGGAAGGAGATATAGAATGTCACTTAGAAAAAAAAAATTGAGGTGGCTGGGCGCAGTGGCTCACGCCTGTAATCCCAGCACTTTGGGAGGCCAAGGCGGGTGGATCATGAGGTCAGGAGATTGAGACCATCCTGGCTAAGATGGTGAAACCCCATCTCTACTAAAAATACAAAAAATTCGCCGGGCGTGGTGGTGGGCGCCTGTAGTCCCAGCTATTCGAGAGGCTGAGGCAGGAGAATGGCATGAACCCGGGAGGCGGAGCTTGCGGTGAGCCGAGATTGTGCCACTGCACTCCAGCCTCAGGGACAGAGCGAGACTCTGTCTCAAAAAAAAAAAAATGGAGGTAAAAATTATATAACCTAAATTGACTATTGTAAGTGTACAATTCAGTGGATTTTAGTACGTTCACAATATGGAGAATCCCATTTCCAGATGATGAAAGGATTGTCAAAGAATTAGGGGCCATGTTTTAAAACCACCATGATAGGAAAAGGATTTTAACATTTTTGTGACTAAATAGCAATATAATTCTTAGGGAATCAGTAACTCCATGCCATTGAGGGGTCAAAGCATTAGTGAATATCTTTGGCCAGGCAGAATCTTATCACAGATAGAGTCACAAAGTCTAGAAGAAGTCCAGTGAATTGAAAACATTGAGATTTCATAATTCTGTTTAATCACAACAGGAAATGCCACCTGAAAATATCTCTGGGTAGCATTTGACTTTTCTTCACCAGGAAACATGTTCACAAAGAACAGGAGGATCCTGCACAGAACAGTGGGCTATGTGATGAGAGGTGTAGACCCGAGTGGACCTTGGGCAGGGTGCCTGCTGAGTCTGTTGTATCCAGCTGCCACCCAGGGTGACCCAACTTGGGCTTCATGGCTGGCCGCACAGGAGCGATTTGTTTTTCTTTTGTTACGCTGCATTTCCATTTTCCGCTATAATCACCTATTCTAACAGATGATCTGTTTCCAGGGCTCACTAAGGACCAAATCAAAGAAAATGAGGCTGTAACTAAAAGAGGAGGATTTAGTGAAGTTAAAAGAATGAGCTTTTCAGTGGTGAGATTTGTTAAAACACCAAAAAGGTAGTGTAATTTGAGTTATTTTGGAGGCTTTTCAGCTTTTTACTTGACTGTTGCTAATCTAATTGGAGTCAGATGGAGTAGGTATTTCTAGTCCTTCCAGCCAATAGTTGATGAACAATTGCTGGACACTGCTATATGGCTTTTCTGCATCACAATCACTTGAGAAGTTAAAAAAATAAATTCTAGGCCCAACCCCGGGATTCTAATGCAATAGGTGTAGGGTGAGACCCAGGAATCTGGCTTTTGCTTTTGTTGTACTTGCTTGGGGGTGTGTGTGTGTGTGTTTTGAGACAGTCTCTCCCTGCTTTTGTTGTTCTTGCTGGTGTGTGTG
This sequence comes from Homo sapiens, assembly GCF_000001405.40. Lineage (NCBI taxonomy): Eukaryota > Metazoa > Chordata > Mammalia > Primates > Hominidae > Homo > Homo sapiens. Next base: position 49,149,282 of record NC_000020.11, on the reverse strand, counting down.
TGTGTGTGTGTGTGTGTGTGTGTGTGTGTGTTTTGAGACAGTCTCTCCCTGTCACCCAGGCTGGAGTGTAGTGGCATGATCTTGGTTCACTGCAACCTCCACCTCCTGGGTTCAAGCAATTCTTGTGCTTCAGCTTCCTGAGTAGCTGGGACTACAGGTGCTCACCACCACGCCCAGCTAATTTTTGTATTTTTAGTAGAGATGGGGTTTCACTGTACTGCCCAGGCTGGTCTCAAGCTCCTGAGCTCAGGTGATCTGACCACCTTGGCCTTCCAAAGTGCTGGGATTATGGGCATGAGCCACCATACCTGGCCATGTTGTTGTTAATGAGCTCTTGGAGTGATTCTGAGGTATGGTCAAGGTTGGGGAACCACAGATCTAAGAGCTGTCAGCACTTCCCCAGCAGTTCCTCCCCTTGAGTCCTCCATGAGAGTGATCACAGTATTGCTACAAAGGATAAGTGCCTGTTGGTGTTTCTGAGTCTCCCGCCTTCACTCACTAGAGCAGCGTTGGTTGGCACAGTCCTGAGGGCAGCGGCTGTTGTAGACATGTTCTTCTGGGCTGAGTTTTCACCGGGTCCTATGAAATCTCTGAGGAGCTTTGCTGGGAGTGGTGTTTAAATCTACTTGTGCCCTTTGGCGTTTCTTCTCTATGCCCCTTTTCTAGCTCTGTAGAGTTGGAAGTAGAGACCGTGCCTGTCAGAAATGGCTTAAAGACTGGCCTTAGCCAGTGAAGTGAAGAGTCATTAATTCAGAAAAGACTTATTTGAAGTACTAGATGAATATCCCTTACCCTAAACGCTTGCGACTAGAAGTGTTTTGGATTTCAGAGCTTTTTTTGATTTTGGAATATTTCCATCATACGTAATGGGATATCTTGGGAATGGGACCCAAGTCTAAACATGAAATTTATTTGTGTTTCGTATACACCTTATACAGAAAGCCTGAATGTAATTTTATTTTTTTCTTGGGGGTATTGAATAAACTGTTTTGACTGCGACACGTTGCATGAGGTCATGTACGGAATTTCCACTTGTGGCATTGTGTTGGTGTTCAAAAAGTTTGATTTTTGGAGCATTTTAGGTTTTGGATTTTTGAATTAGGAATGCTCAGCCTGCAATAAGTGAAACACTTGGCCTCTTTCGTAAATGTGCTGCCCTTGATTTTACCAGGCTCTCTGATAGCAGGCAGTAGGGGAATAAAGAGAGACAGTTTTAAAAGATAACTTTTTTTTTCTTAAAAATAGTGCATATGGACTATAAAAAATTTTAAATTCAAAAACAAGGAACAATGAATGATTTATAAATTTACCACTTGCGGATAATCACTGTAACCATTTGGTGTATATTCACTGACAAGCACATATACAAGTAAATACAGATGCCTATCTATTTCATAAAAATGGCATGACAGTGTACAGTAACCACCTTTTTTCACTGATGTGTATATCTTGAATATGTTACGTCATTTACTTAAAATTCCTTGGAGGACCCAAATTCAGCACACACCTAAGCACTTTCTAATGGCTACAAAATGTTCCACTATGTGAATGCACTGCTTTATTTTCCAACAGGGACTTGATTATTTAGGTTGTTTGCATTTTCCCTCTTATAAAATGGGTCGGGAAGAACATCGTTGCAGTTAAAGTCTTTGTCCACGGTCCTAGAAGTGGAATTGCTGAACCAGCGGGTATGCATGGTGGTACATATGGCCAAGTTCTCCACAGAAAGAGGGTGCCATTTTACAACCTGCTGACAGGCCATAAGCAGCCCGTCTGTCCACAGCCTGCCAGCATTGGAAATGATCATTTTAAACAAATTGTCAGTTTAGCTGTGGCATATTTGTGGAGCATGTGATTGTGTGGTGGATCAGTGCATCTTCTCTAGAAGATATGCAGTAAAGCCAGCGCTTGCTGTCTACAGGGCAGGCATAGTCTGGGCCCTCCATGCCAGGCGCTGTGCTAGACCCTGAGTTGAAACAGTCAGCGCCATCCCTTTTCCTGTGAACTTAGTCAAATGGAGCTGCCAGACATTAACATTAATATCAGCAAAAAGTGCATTTAGTGCAAGGATGGAAAAATGACAAGAATTAGAAGAACGTAAAGTATCTCATTTAGGTTGGAATAATGGTGGTGAGTTCAGAGCAGTCTTTTCAGAGGAAGAGACATTTCGGCTGATACTAAAGATCAGCAAAGGGCAGGGACAGTGTATGCCCAGAGAGGGAGTGGCAGTTGCAAAGGCCCCAAGTTAAGAAAGTGCATGGGTTATTTGTTTATTTAATCTAAGGTTTGTGCTAATGAAGTATGAGTTTTACTCAGTGTCTGAGCTATTAGGAGCAGTATGGTCATAGCTGCAGTATCTGTAATAGAGAAAAACGGGGGCTAGCTTAAATGTCTGTTACTAGGAAAGTGGTTAAAAACTTGGCTACGTTTATCCCCTGAGTACCAGAGTGAGATATCTCATATAGGCAGGCATGAAAAGGGATGAAGATGCAGAGCTGTTACTGTGCATACAGTGTGATCCTGTTGGTGTTTCAGTGTGTATGTATTTTTGTTTCTTTCTTTCCTTTTTTTTTTTTTGGAGATAGGGTCTCACTCTGTTGCCCAGGCTGGAGTGCGGAGGCCCTCCATGCAGGCTCACTGCAGCCTTGACCTCCCTGGGCTTAGGTGATCCTCCCATCTCAGCCTCCTAAGTAGCTGGGACTATAGATTCATGCCACCACTCCCTGTTAATTTTTGTATTTTTTGTAGAGATGGGGTTTTGCCATGTTGCCCTGGCTGGTCTTAAACTCCTAGTCTTAAATGATCTGCCCAGCTTGGCCTCCCAGAATCCTGGGATTACAGGCATGAGCCACCGTAAACATCCTGAAGTTTTTAAAATACTTTTTTATACTTTTGTAAAAATGAATAAATGCAGCTCTTTCTGGTTTTGAGTCTTTATCTTCACTTGGGATAGGTGCATACTTAATTAGGAGTAAAGTTAAAATTAGAGACCCATTTGTTTATTTATTTATTTTCTTGAGATGGTGTCTCACTCTGTCACTCAGGCTGGAGTGTAGTGGTGTGATTTTGGCTCACTGCAACCTCCGCCTCCTGGACTCAAGCAGTCCTTCCACCTCAGCCTCCCAAGTAGCTAGGACCACAGGTGCATGCCACCACACCTAATTTTTGTATCTTTGGTAGAGACGAGGTTTCACCATGTTTCCCAGGCTGGTGTCGAACTCCTGAGCTCAAGTGACCACCACCTGCCTCGGCCTCCCAAAATGCTGGGATTACTGGCATGAGCCATAGCGCCTGGCCTGAAATTGGAGACTTTAACCCTTCTTGTTTCCTCAGTGTTCATTGGACCTAGTTTTCTTTTTCTTTTTTATTTTTTTCTAACAGAGACAGGTCTCACTATTGTTGCCCAGGCTGGAGTGCAGTGGCTGTACACAGACATGATCATAGTACCCTGTGGCCTTGAAGTCCTGGATTCAAGTGATCCTTTTGCCTCTTGATTATCTGGGACTGCAGGCATGCTTGTGCCTGGCTCAGGTTTTCTTTTCTTTTTTTTTTTTAAGACGGAGTCTCGCTCTGTTGCCAGGCTGCAGTGCAGTGGTGCGATCTCGGCTCACTGCAACCTCCGACTCCCTGATTCAAGCTATTCTCCTGCCATAGCCTCCCGAGTAGCTGGGATTACAGGCATGTGCCACCACACCCAGCTAATTTTGTATTTTTAGTAGAGACGGGGTTTCACCATGTTGGCCAGGATGGTCTCAATCTCCTGACCTTGTGATCCACCTGCCTCGGCCTCCCAAAGTGCTGGGATTACAGACGTGAGCCACCACGCTTGGTCTTTTTTTTTTTTTTTTTTTTTTTTTTTGAGACGGAGTCTCGCTTTGTTGCCCAGGCTGGAGTGCAGTGGTGTAATCTCGGCTCACTGCAACCTCCGCCTCCCAGCTTCAAGCAATTCTTCTGCCTCAGCCTCCCAAGTAGCTGGGACTACAGGTGCGTGCCACTACCGCCGGCTAATTTTTGTATTTTTAGTAGAGATGGGGTTTCACCATGTTGGCCAGGCTCATCTCGAACTCCTGACCTCGTGATCCACCCGCCTCAGCCTCCCAAAGTGCTGGGATTACAGGCGTGAGCCACCACGCCCAGCCAGGTTTTCATTTTTTAAGCTGCTTTTTCAAGCTCTTTAAGGAATGATATTGCATGAGTTGTATTCTTTTTTAGAGGTATTACAAAGAACTGAGAGAAAGTATACTTATATTTTAAAATAGTGCAAAACTCTTTCTGTCTTACAATTATCATAGGGGTCTTTTGGATCCTTTTGTAAGTCTTTACATGATGGGATCTTAGGGATCTTAATTTTCCTGTGTTTTGAACGTTTTGCTATTTGTTATTCCACATAATTATTTCAATACTATTCATCATCTACTCCCAAATATGCCAGATGAGATGAAAATCATAAGAAAATGGAAGAATGATAAAGCCTCTGGGGTGGATATACAATAGTGAAGTAATTGTCATGATGACACCTTCTTTTATTGTCCTATGGCCTTGCCTAGGCTATTGCATTGTCTTCCAAGAGGTTAAAAAAAGAAGACTAGAGACACCATCTTTTGAGTCTCCTTTTTGCTTTCATTGAACCCAGGTGAGAATCCAGAATTTTTCTATTTTTCATCTGTAATGTCAAGGAGAAGAGAATTGACAGAGGAAGACATTTCTGATGATTAACAAATCAGAAGATGAACACAAAAAGACAGATAGATGGCAGCACTCCAGACTGTAATGATGATGGTGAGATTGTCTAAGCAAAATCGCAGACTGTGAGTCTTCAGATGCTAGCATAGATGAATTTCCCCAAACTCAAGAATCAGCTAGTGATTATTTATCTGATGTATGGAAAGGAAATGTGGTATATTCTCATCTAGTCATTCAACAGAAAGGACTTCATCATGCAACATTTTTCGACAAGAACCTCTCCCATCCTGTTTGCATTTAAAAAAAAAAAAGTACGTGTGACAACATTCTTTTATCTTTTATGTTTGGCCGCCAACATTTATTTCTTACCACTTATTGTCAACAAAATAACTGGACAAATGCACAAGGAGGTGTGTGTCCAAAGGTGATTGGAAGAAAATAGATATAAAAATGACAAAAATAACTGGATTGATCCTTCTGTTGGTGTTTATAATCCAAAAATGAAAGCATTTTGCACTTAATGGAGCAAGGAAATGGCTGCTTTCTCTTCAACAGAATTATGAGTCTGTTTCAAAAGTAGTGTGTTTGACAGTGCCAGTACACGAAGAATCTGAAGTCCTGTTAAGTTAGAACCTGTTGGAGATGGACTTGGAATCTGACATCGCTACAGGTGGGCTGTGCCCCAGCTGCAGGTGCATCAGGTGATGAGCAGTTAGTTGCATATAGAGGACCTTGCTTTTTTTCAGGTATATATGCCTTCCAAATTAGAAACATTGGGATAAGAAGCTGGGTTTGCTGTGTTTAAGTTCTTATTAAAATGTCTAATAAAATGGCTTTTGTCATCCTTTTATTTGGTAAATTATTTGTAAAATGACTTTAGATATAGAAAAACAGAAGAGTCTGTTGGAGCCAGATAATAAATGGTGATGGCTAATTTTCCTAGCATACTGTGAGGGTTAAGTGTGGTTCAGAGCATTTCTTTCTTTTCTGTTGTTTTGTTTTGTTTTGAAATAGGGTCTTCCTCTGTCGCCCTAGCTGGAGTGCAGTGGCACGATTGTGGCTTACTACAGCCTTGACCTCTTGGCCTCAAGTGATCTTCCCATCTCAGTCTCCCTCGTAGCTGGGACTACAGGTGTATGCCACCACACCTGGCTAGTTTTTGTATTTTTTGTAGAGATGCGGGTTTTGCCATGTTGCCCAGGCTGGTTTTGAACTCCTGGGCTCAAGTGATCCGCCCACCGTGGCCTCTCAAAGTGCAGAGATTATAGGGATGAGCTATCACACCTGGCCTCTTTCTTAATGTTGCCTAGATTTTATTGCTGAACTATACACTATGGAATCAGTGTTAACAGTAATTCCTACATTGTGAAGATAAGACTAAGTGCCCACTAAACCTTCCTCATTTTACTGGGAATGGTTTTTGTAGATTAGTTTTGAACCATTTGCTGCCTCCCTACTTGGAACATTTTGTCAGTCTGGATAATAGGAAATTTTTAATGAGCCAGGCACGGTGGCTCACTCCTATAATTCCAGTACTTTGGGAGGCTGAGGTGGGAGGATCACTTGAGCCTAGGAGTTTGAGACCATCCTGGACAAGATGGAGAGACCTCATCTCTACCAAAAATATTTGAAAAAACGAAATGGTGGCATGTACCTGTAGTCTCAGCTAATGAGGAGGCTGAGGCAGGAGAATTGCTTGAGCCTGGGAGATCAAGGCCGCAGTGAGCTCTGATTATGCCATTGCACTGCAGCTGAGGGCACAGAGCTGAGGCCCTGTCTCAAAAGAAAAAAATTGTGTAAAAGAGCAAAATAATTTCATTTTCAAATATGTTTTTTTGCATTTTTATTTTACTGGCTGCTTTGTTCCTAATGATACTCCTCTGGAAGCAATGGCTTAGAGCAGTGAATCGCAACTCCAGTCACCTGGGGACTTATTTAAAAAATAAACAAATACTATAAATAAAACTGCTATCCAGGCCATGCCCTCAAAAATTTGAGTTCAGTTGTCTGGAGCGGGCTCCAGAATCTGAACTTGTGAAGCTCCCAAGTGATTGTAGTGCTGCTGTGGTTGAGAACCACTGGCTTAGGGTGTAGAACGGAGCAGTAGACCCATTGTTTTCTATCAGTCTTACGTGGAACCTTGATACATGTATATAAAATAGAAAAGGAGCATTTCGTTAGTATAAATTGTTATTTAAAAAAATTTTTTTTTGGCTGGGCACGGTGGCTCACGCCTGTAATTCCAGCACTTTGGGAGGCCGAGGTGGGTGGATCACCTGAGGTCAGGAGTTCGAGATCAGCCTGGCCAGCATGACGAAACCCCATCTCTACTAAAAATACAAAAAATTAGCCAGGCATGGTGGCTTGTGCCTGTAGTCCCAGCTCCTTGGGAGGCTGAGGCAGGAGAATCACTGGAACCCAGGAGGCGGAGGTTGCAGTGAGCCAAGATTGCACCACTGCACTCCAGTCTGGGCAACAGAGCGAGACTTCATCTCAAAAACAAAATAAAAAATAAATATTTGTTGTTGTTGTTGTTCTTGTTGAGATGAGGTCTTATTATGTTGCCCAGGCTGGTCTCAAACTCCAGGCCTCAAGTGACCCTCCCGCCTTGACCTCCCAAAGTGCTGGAATTACAGTTATTAGTATAAACTTATAAGTTTGGATTTATAATAATGGTAAAGGCAATTTCTGAGAATGAGGTATATGAGTTTTCAAAAACACCAAATTATATTCATTTAAAAACACGGCTGGGAAAGATACAGTCCCACTTTAGGATAGTGATTAACTGCCCTGGGAATGATAGTGAGATGGCCTTCATTGCCTCTTTTTTTGAGACAGAGTCTCACCCGGCTACTTTCTGTATTTTTAGTAGAGATGGGGTTTCGTCATGTTGGCCAGGCTGGTCTCGAACTCCTGACCTCAAGTGATCCGCCTGCCTTGGCCTTCCAGAGTGCTGGGATTACAGGCATGAGCCACCTCGCCTGGCCCGTTGCCTTGTGTTTTGAGATGGAGTCTTGCTCTGCCACCCAGGCTGGAGTGCAGTGGCACGATCATAGCTCACTGCAGCCTTAAACTCCTGGGCAATCAATCAAGTGATCTTTTTGCTTCAGCCACCCCAGTAGCTGGGACTATAGGCACACTCCACTGCACCTGGGTAATCTTAAAATTTTTTTGTAGAGATTAAGGTCTCACTTTGTTGCCTAGACTGATCTTGAACTCCTGACTTCAAACAAACCATCCATCTCAGCCTCCAGAAGTGTTGGGACTACAGGCGTGAGCCACCATGCGTGGCTCATTGTTTTTCTTAAAACAGAAAAAAACAGTCCGACGTCAGTAGTACTTAACTATTGACATTGGATAAATCCAGGAAATTGCCTGTTATGTTATTATCTGTACTTTTCTGTATGTTTGAAATAGGTTGTAAATAAAAATAAAAGTTAAACCTAATTGGGCTGATACAATGAACAAAACATTGAAAATTGGGGCATGTACGTGGCATTCAAAGTCTTACGACAGTCTGAGCACCTAGTTTATTTCCAAGTTGTGTTCTGGCTGCTCATAAAGAGCATTCTCATTGGCACAGTTCTTAGCATGTGGACCTTTTTTTTTTTTTTTTTAAACAGATCATCTATTAAAAAAAACTCTGGATGCTCTTCAGGGAAACAGCTGTCAAGCTTTATTCTGTTGTGCACAAAAATGAGTTAATCTGGGGTTAGCACAAGTTACTGTGTTGATGATTTCTGGTATCTTAATATTTGGTGTGAAACATTTTTGTTGCTGCTTTTTAAAAAATTCAGGCAAAATATACATCTAAAATTATTAAACATTTTTAAGTGCACCAGTGGCATTAAAATACATTCTTGGTTTTGCACAACTGTCACTACTAATTTTCAGAACCTTTCCATCATTCCAAATAGAAATTCTGGACTCATTGAAGAGTTACTCCCCACTCCCTTGCTCGTGGCCCTTGGTAACCTCTACTTTACTTTCTGTTTCTATGCATTTGCCTAGCCTAGGCACTTCATAAAAATGGATTTTTTTTTTAATGTGTGGCTTATGTTACTTACTGTAATGTTTTCAAGGTTCGTCTCTGTTATAGCATGTTTCAGAATTTCATTTCTTTTTTAAGGGTGAATGTTTTATGGTATGAATAGTAAATATTTGTTTTTCCAGTCATCTGTTGATGGACATTTGGGTTGTTTTTACCTTCTGGCTATTGTGAATGCTGCTGTGAACCCTGGTGTATAAAAATGTGTTCAAGTTGCTACTTTCAGGTCTTTTGGGTGTATATCTAGAAGTGGAATTCCTGGATCATATAATAATTATATGTTTAATTTTTTGAGGAACTACCAAGCTGTTTTCCATAGCAACTGTACCATTTTACATTTTCTATTAAATTAATTAACTTACTTTTTTTTTTTTTGAGACGGAGTCTCACTGGACTGGAATGCAGTGGCGTGATCTCGGCTCACTGCAACCTCCGCCTCCTGGGTTCAAGCGATTCTCCTGCCTCAGCCTCCCGAGTAGCTGGGACTACAGGTGCGCGTCACCACGCTCAGCTAATTTTTGTATTTTTAGTAGAGATGGTGTTTCACCATGTTGGCCAGGCTGGTCTCGAACTCCTGACCTCAGGTGATCCGCCTGCCTCGGCCTCCCAAAGTGCTGGGATTACAGGTGTGAGCCACCGCACGCACTGCCCATTTTCTATTTTATTTTTAATAAAATCCAAATCTGGTACAACCATTTTACATTTTCATAAGTGACTGGAAGCTTCTCATTTCTCCATATCCAAAAACTTGTTATTTCCATTTCTTTTGATAGCAGCCATCCTTATGGGTGTGAGTGGTATCTTACTGTGGATTTTTTTTTTTTTGAAACAGAGTTTCGCTCTTGTTGCCCAAGCTGGAGTGCAGTGGCATAATCTCAGCTCACTGCAATCTCTGCCTCCTGGGTTCAAGTGATTCTCCTGCCTCAGCCTCCCAAGTAGCTGGGATTACAGACGTCTGCTACCACACCCGGCTAGTTTTTTGTATTTTTAGTGGAGATGGTATTTCACCATGTTGGCCAGGCTGGTCTCGAACCTCTGACCTCAGGTGACCCACCTGCTTCGGCCTCCCAAAGTGCTGGGATTACGGGCATGAGCCACTGTGCCCAGCCGACTATTTGTATTTCTTTAGAGAAATGCCTGTGTAAGTGCTTTGCCCATTTTCTAATTGGGTTGTTTTATTGTTGAGTTGTAGTTCTTTATATATTCTGGATATTAATCCCTTATGAGATAAATGATTTGCAAATCCCATTCTGTGGGTTTTCTTCACTCTCTTGATAGTGTCCTTTGATGCATGAATGTTTTAAATTTTGATGAAGTCTAATATTAATGTTTCTTTTGTTGTCTGCGGTTTTCATGTCATATGTAAGAAATCACCAGATGGTGTCATAACACTTTTCCCCTATGTTTTCATCTAGGAACTTTACTGTTTTAGCTCTTATGTTTAAGTATTTGATCCATTTTGAGTTTTTAGTGGTGTGGGGTAAGGGTCCTGCCTTATTATTTTGCATGTGGATATCTAGTTTTCCTAGCACCATTTGTTGAACAAGCTTACAGTATTTTTTTTTTAAGTTTAATATCTATTTAACTATTAGATTGGTAATTACTTTTGCACCAACCTGTAAATTTCAAGCCAAACCTCTGTAGAACTCCAGCCTTTAAGGTACCTTGCTTGCAAATTGCCAGTTTTAAGGATTCACTCATAAAAAAGTAGACCCTTTTTCTGCTTAGGATTTAAACAAAAATACAAGTGTGGGCTGGGTATGGTGGCTCACACCTATAAATCCCAACACTTTGGGAGGTTGAGGTGGGAGGGTTGCTTGAGCCCAGTTCAAGACCAGCCTGGACAACATAGTGAGACCCCATCTCTACAAAACATTAAAAAAAATAGCTGGGAGTGGTGCCTATGCCAGTAGTCCCAGCTACTCAGGAGGGTGAGATGGGAATATTGCTTGAGGTCAGGAGTTTGAAGCTGCAGTGAGCTATGTTTGTACCACTGTCCTTCAGACTGGGCAACAGTGTGAGACACTGTCTCCAAAAAACAAAAAAAAGTATGTGTAGGTTAATAAACCACCACAAGTGCTATGAAAGTAGTTTTGACTCAGGTGAGATACACTGAAACCAGATTGGAAAGAAAAGATTATGGAAGGATAGAAGGAATTACAAAGAGCATCTGGAATAAATTTATTTGTCCAGGATTATACCCTTGGTTATATATATATTTTTTTAACCTAGAGTTTGTTTTATTTTAATTATAGCTTTTTTTGGTGGGTGTGACACGGTCTCACACTGTCACTGAGGCTAGAATGCAGTGGCGTGATCATAGCCACCTCAGCCTCAACACCCTAGGCTCAGGTGATCCTCTCCCCTCAGCCTCCCAAGTAGCTGGGACCACAGATGTGCGACACCGCACCTGCTAATATTTGTATTTTTTTTATAAAGATGGGGTTTTGCCATGTTGCCCACGCTGGTCTCAAACTGGGCATAAGCAATCCACCCACCTTGTCCTTAAAAAGTTTTGGGATCACAGGCGCTAGCCACCATGCCCAGCCAATTACAGCTTTTAATATTCAGTGGCCAGACACGGTGGCTCATGTCTGTAATCCCAGCACTTCAGGAGGCCAAGGTGGGCGGATCACCTGAAGTCAGGAGTTCGAGAATAGCCTGGCCAAGATGGTGAAACCCCATCTGTGCTAAAGATACAAAAAAAAAAAAAAAAAAATTAGCCGGGTGTGGTGGTGGGTGCCTGTAATCCCACCTACTTGGGAGGCTGAGGCAGGAGAATCGCTTGAACCCAGGAGGCAGACGTTGCAGTGATCCAAGGTCATGCCATTGGACTCCAGCCTGGGCGACACGAGCAAAACTCCATCTCAAAAAAAAAAAAGTTGAGTGTAGGTGGAATATACCTGATAAACATAAGGAAATGCACAACAGATAAAATCTTGGATAGTCCTATACCTTGCCTATTTAGCAGTTTCAGCCATGGGTTCCTTTTCAGATAGTTCTAATCTCAGAAGCAGGACTTTATAAATTCTTTGACAAAATAAGCAATAATGTGAAGAAAAACAGCTCTTTTTGTTTTGGGGGACTTTGCTAGATAAGCTTTGAGCTTATCTAGTTCCTCTTATTATCACTACAGCACAGTATAAAATCCATGTTATCAGCACGCAGAAGTAAGATCCTTGCTCCTCTTTAATCTCATCCCTGATTGGACGACTCTTAAGTGAACCTTGTTCCAAAGATGGAATCTCTGCCTTTGTTGAGGAGACTTTATTAGTTTGCGCCTTGTATTTTTTTGCCAACAGCCGTTGAGTATGAGATACATGGCAGTTTTGTAATGTGTTTCATCGCATCCTTATTTATTTCTTTATTTTTAATTATAGAGATAGAGAGTCTTTGTTGCCCATGCTGGAGTTCAGTGGCTGTTTACAGGCATGATCACAGCTCACTGTAGCCTTGAACTATTGGGCTCAACTGATCCTCAACTGTCACCTTGCTGAGTACTGGGGCAATAGTCGTGTACTGCCATGCGCATGGCTGCATTCTCTTAAAGTGGTTTCCCGCCGGGCGTGGTGGCTCACGCCTTAATCCCAGCACTTTGGGAGCCGAGGTGGGTGGATCATGAGGTCAGGAGTTCGAGACCAGCCTGACCAACATGGTGAAACCCCGTATCTACTAAAAATACAAAAATTAGCTGGGTGTGGTGGCGCATGCCTGCAATCCCAGCTACTCAGGAGGCTGAGGCAGGAGAATCGCTTGAACCTGGGAGGTGGAGGTAGCAGTGAGCCAAAATCGCGCCACTGCACTCCATCCTGGGCAACAGAGCGAGACTCCATCTCAAAAAAAAAAAGTGGTTTCCAGGGAATTTATGTTCAAATAAGCCTGCATACTCATGTGGACAGACTTAATCTGAATTTGCCACGTCCCACATATATCTGTCTGTATTTTGACTTTTCCAAAATGTGGCTTCCCACTACTTGAGAAGGACTTTTGGAAGTCACTGTTCCGAGCAGCAGTGACATCTTGCTGAACCACAGTCAGGCTGACACATATCCAAAGGTCTATTATGTGCGGATTGTTTTTGGTGAACTTATGAGGTACAATTTGACTCAAACTTGACAGGACATGTATCTTTTTAACCTCTTAAATTCAGTGACACTTGGTATGTGTGTGGTTAAATTCATAAAGCCAAAGCTCAGTGCTTTTAAGGTTTACCATTGCAGCTAGGATGTTGATGGGTGTTTTTTTGTGGGGGACAGCGTCTCGCTGTGTCACCCAGGCTGGAGTGCAGTGGCGCATGATCATGGCTTACTGCAGCCTCGATCTCCTGGGCTCAAGCAATGCTCCTGCCTCAGCCCTCCAAGTAGTTGGAACTACAGGCATGTACCACCACCACATCCACCTAAGTTTTGTTTTTTTGTTTTTGTTTTTGTTTTTGTTTTAGAGACAAGGTTGCTCAGGCTGGTCTCAAACTGCCATGTTGCTCAGGCTGGTCTCAGACTCCTGGGCTCAAGCTATCCTCCTGCCTTAGCCTTCAAAGTGCTGGGATTACAAGCATGAACCAACTCACCTGGCCATTGACTATTTTAATAAGAGCTAACTACTAAACAATTATTCTTACAGGTGAATGGAAGAGAATCCGAAGAAGAAAATCTCAATAAATCTGAAATAAGTCAAGTGTTTGAGATTGCACTTAAACGGAACTTGCCTGTGAATTTCGAGGTAAGCTAATTTTACATGTAGGACTTTGTATTCTAAAATCCTGTTAGCATTCATCATAAGAGTTATTTTTTCCCCTAAATATCATTGGAATAATCTTCACATAATGTGAACCTCCAAATTTAAGATTCATACTTTATATTTAGTGAAGCAGTGTTTATTCTCTTCTTCTGGGAGTCCGTAACTAAGGGGCATTCATGGATGTGTAGAGAGTTCATGATGGCTTCAGTTGGTGTGTGGACCTCCTGAAGCAGTCTGAAGATGGTTGTGTTAGTGTTCATATGTGTATTCTTCTGGATAGGGAAGGGTGGAGGGGCTAGTTCATCACTTAGATCAGTCTCAAAAGCATTTGTGGTCCCTAAAGGTCTCTTCAGAGTAATTTTGAAAAGGACTCAGTTTTTGTCATTGTCTAGCGTCTGCCCTCAATTCCTGTTTAATAACTTCATTTGTTGTTGAGACCTTGTGTTCTAAAAACAATAATCAATGAATTGTCTGATCAAAGTGGGAAATAAGGTACATTTTAATATATGTTGCCTTAAAAGACATATAGTTCATCCAAATGGACGAGGGAGGTAAGGGAGAATTTTTTTTGTTACTTATTTTTATTAAGCGCCAGCTTAATGCTGCAGAAAATTTCACATCACCCTTGATAACCCACTTTCTTTTCTCCCACCCAAATTCTTGATCAAGAGTTTTTCAAGTAAAGACATGCTCTTCTCTCTTCTATATAAAACGTTACGAATAAAGGCAAAAGATTGTGTACATCTTGCTGGAAAATGCTGCCCAGGGCTCTGGAGATGGCGGCTGCCCGGGCTCCCTTCGCTGTCCAGGTCCTGAAAGACTCTTGTTCATGAACTGTCTCTTCACAAAGCAAGTCCACCACGTGCTGGGTTTATCATTCTTAGGGTCGAAAACTTCCTCACAAAGTCTCAGTCCAGTCTCTTGCCTTAGCTGTTGTAAATAGGCTCTCATCACTTCATCTTCCTGTTTGTTTGCAGGTTTGGTATAAATTGCGTGAAGTGGAAAACCAGGCTCTCCAGGAATGGGAAAACTAATGATTCCCAGTGTATACATTTCTTTCTCACCTTGACTTTTGGAATTGCACTTTTGGAGTTTTTTCAGACATTCAGAAATGTAGAGAGTTAAATATATCAAGGTCCTATCAGCTTCATTCTTAATTTCATAGTTTTTGAAGAAGACATTGGCCTTGAAGTAATAGTTGGCTTCATCCACAATATCTGTATCTTTTGTCTCTCTGGGGGCAGGTCCTTTGAATTGACTTCTGATAGGTAACAGTGCTATGTTTCCGATGAGTTTGGTGTCAGGATCCATGAGAGAAGAGTAATGAGCCGGCATCTTGGCGGCGCCCGGGTTTCAACCCAGAGCTTTTTTTTTTTTTTTCCCTGAGATGAGTTTCACTCTTGTCGCCCAGGCTGTAGTGCAATGGTGTGTTCTCGGCTCACTGCAACCTCCACCTCCCAGATTCAAGCGATTCTCCTGCCTCAGCCTCCTGAGTAGCTGGGATTACAGGCATACGCCACCATGCCGAGCTAATTTTGTATTTTTAGTAGAAACGGGGTTTCTCCATATTGGTCAGGCTGGTCTCGAACTCCTAACCTCAGGTGATCCACCCATCTCGGCCTCCCAAAGTGCTGGGATTACAGGCGTGAGCCACCTTGCCCGGCCCAGTAAGGGAGAATTTTTAATGTTTACCTTAGAAATAAGGTCTGACCCACAGCAGATTCTTTGCAGATTCTTTTGATTTACGTGCTTGATTATGGCTTATTTCTTAAAAAGCCTATCTGAAGCTTATATTCCTGTAAAATATCTTTGAAGTATTCTTTACAGTTACAGGTGATGTATACCTTCTCCTCCTATGTGCTAGCACCCTAAACTTAACCCAGCTTCAGTGCTCCATCCTTTGGCCGAGTGATGATGATTTCTCACCTCACCCTGCTGATGCCTCTCTGCCTGCCATGGGCCAGAGGTGGGATTGTAGTTGCCAGGGCTCCCTACTGTGGCCCACCTGGGTACGAGGGCTTGTTTGTTCCTCTCCATTCCTCTGACACTCATTCCTGCCCCTCCACCCTCAGTGGGTAAGAGCAGGTTTACACTGTTCTCTTGGAGTCCAGAGCACCGACATGGATCTAGGGCTGGAATCTTCTCACCTGGCCCTACATTCCCTCCCTGGCCTTTCTCCCTCCATCAGTGGAGGCTGGGATGCACTTGGGGAGGGAATGAGACAGGGGACATTCAGAATGGCTGTTTGGGCTCACAGTTGAGTGGGAAAAAGATGGGAGCTGCATCCCAAGGAGTCATGAGGTCTCCCCCGGCACCTGTTTCAGGAAAGGGGAGAAGTGTTGCTTTTCTCCCCTGCTGACAGATTAGTCTGTCATGAGAGTGGATTTTTGCAGGTTGTGGGGGAGGGGTACCAAGACCGTGGGGAGTGGGAGATGCCTGGCTGGCTTCCCGGGTCACCTCATGTGCAGAGTTGACGGCTTGGGCCAGAGCCTTGGATTCCTGAGAAGCTTACCACCTGCTCACTCTTGCTGCTACCCAGAGTCACTGAGATTTCTGGAAACTTAGAGATTGCTATTTTATGTTTTTGTTCTGTGGGATTTGGGGTCAGATTGCTTCCTTTCCTCCTTCACTTTTGTTAAGGTTTCAGATCTGGCTCTCAACTCTGTGTTCAGGAATCTTGACAGTAGTCACATAAAAGAATTGTAGGAGTGCCCTCTCGTGGTGATCTTTTAAAGTAATTTATCACAGCTTGCATGTAGTTGGTGGCGTGAGTGCTTATATTCATTAACTCAAATATCAGGAATTTTTTACTAGCTTGCATTATTATGTTGAGCAAGGTCTTTCCTTTCTTTTGCCGCTGGAAGGTTGCCTGGCATGTATTAGATGTTTAGGAAATAGTTACTGAATAAATGAACAGAATAATTTTTGATTAAGTTTTTGGTAATTAAATCTGTCACATAGGAAGCTTCGTTAGGTGTTTTAATAGGGGAAGACAGGAACAGTTTTTTGGAAAAATATATACAGCTTGACTTTTGTTTTGTTTTGTTTTGTTTTGGAGATGGAGTTTTGCTCTTGTTGCGCAGGCTGGAGTACAATGGCACGATCTCAGCTTATGGCAACCTCCACCTCCTGGCTTCAAGCAATTCTCCTGCCTCAGCCCCCTGAGTAGCTGGGATTACAGGTGCACACCACCATGCCTCACTAATTTTTGTATTTTTAGTAGAGACAGGGTTTCACCACGTTAGCCAGTCTGGTCTTGAACTCCTGACCTCAGGTGATCCACTCACCTTGATCTCCTAAAGTGATGGGATTATAGGCATGAGCCACCGTGCCCAGCCAGTTTGACTTCTGATAAAACATACAGTTTTAGTTAGAAAATGTGATGGTGCTGATGGATACGGTCATCGGGAGACAATTGTGACATGCTCACACCACATGCAATCCAGGTGATCCTCCAGATTTAGATTGGGGGGATCTTGATGTGGGCAGACAATGCAAGCCGTTGGAGAGGGCCAGGGTGGGCTGTGCATTTGAAGTGAGCCATCAGGGTGGCTGACCTGTCCCTCCAAAGTCTAACCTGAGGACAGGGAAAGCACTGTTGTGGGAAGAAGTGTTTCAGAATCTCTGCCCTTGGGTGTGGGCGGCACCTATGGGAGTTCTTTAAAATCAGTCCACGGGTGCCTAAGCAGGCCAGGTCCTTCCCACACCTCTGCTCCTGGCCACTGTGCTGAATTCCTACCCCCCATTCTCCGCTACCTCCTTCCCCTACACCAAAAAAAAAAAGAGTGCATCCATTTTGGAGGCTCACTTTTCTTACCTAGACATTTTTTCAATTTTTTACTTCAAAAATTTCAAATCTATCTAAAAGTTACAAGAATAGGACAATGAATATAACTTTCACTTAGATTAACCAGTGGTTAACATTTTACCATATTTGCTTGCTCCTTCCTTCCTTTTGTTTTTTTTTTTTTTGTGACGGAGCCTAACTCTGTTGCCCAGGCTAGAGAACAGTGGCATGATCTCGGCTCACTGCAACCTCTGCCTCCTGGATTCAAGCAATTCTCCTGCCTCAGCCTCCTGAGTAGCTGGGATTACAGGTGCACGCCACCACACTCGGCTAATTTTTGTATTTTTAGTAGAGATGGGATTTCACCATGTTGGCCAGGCTGGTCTTGAACTCCTGACCTCAAGCGATCTGCCTGCCTTGGCCTCCCAAAGTGCTGGGATTACAGGTGTGAGCCACTGCACCCAGCCTGCTTTTTCTTTTTCCATAAATATACATATTATTTTCTGTTTTTTACTTTGCTGGATTATTTGACAGAAAGTGGTAGATATCATACCCTTTAACTCCTAATATTTCAGCATGTATCTCTTAAGAGCAAGGACATTCTCTTAAATAACCACAATCTATTAAGTAGAGGAAATTTAGCATTGCTATAGTACTGTTACCTAATACACATCCTACATTCACATTTCACCAGTTGTCTCAATGATGTCCTTTATAGAAATGTTTCTTCCGCTCTAGTGTCTGATGCAGACTCACACCTTACATTTAGCTGACCTTTCTCTTTAGTCTCTGCAGTATCTTTAGTATCTGCAGTACATTCTCAGCCTTTCTCTGTGTTTCATGACATTGACATGTTTAAAGGTCAGTTATTTTTGTACAGTGGCCCTCAATTTGGGTATTTCTGATGGATTACTTATGATTAGGTCTGGTTATGTGTTTTTTGGCAGGATCACCATGGGAGTGATATTGATCCTTCTCAGAGCATCATTTCATGTCACTTTGTAATTAACTCCTAACCTCTGAGGAGATGTTTGAAGGCTGGGCCTTCACAGGTCTCCCCGGTGGTTCCAGCAATCTTTTTTTTTTTTTTGAGACGGAGTCTCGCTCTGTTGCCCAGGCTGGGGTGCAGTGATGTGATCTCAGCTCACTGCAACCTCTGGCTCCCGGGTTCAAATGATTCTCCTGCCTCAGCCTCCCAAGTAGCTAGGATTAGGCATGCACCTTGGCCTCCCAGAGTGCTGGGATTACAGGCGTGAGCCACCACACCCACCCCTCAGGGATCTTGATGATTCTTGCTGGCATTGATTATCACTGTGGTAGATGTCAAAATTATGATTTTTGGCATTTCCAAGCTGGCATTCTACAGTAAAGAAAAAGTTTCCTTCCTCCCCTCTTATAGTAATTATATCGGTATAGATGCATTGCTGCTTTTTTTTAAACCCAAAGTATTACTCCATTGTTATCGTCACCCATTTTGATGTCCAAATTGTCCTTTAAATTGGCCCTTGTGCCCTTTAACATGCCCCCATCAGTTATTTTTTGGATGAAGGGGTGGTCAGGCTTCTTGAGGTATAATTTACAGTGAAAGTCACCCTGTGTAAGTGCACAGTTCGATGTGTTTTGATAAGTGTATATGGTTCTGTAACCAGCACCATAGTCAAAACAGAACATCTCCCACCCAGTAAAGTTCCCTGTGTCCCTTTGCAGTCAGTCTCTCCCCTCTGTCCTCAGGCTCTGGCAAGCATTGATCTCATTCTGTCCCTATAGTGTTGCCTTTTTAAGAATATTACATAAATGGAAAATAGAGTATATTGCCTTTTGTCTGACTTCTTTAACTTAGCTTGGAGTCATTATTCATGCTGTTGTGTGTTTCAGTAGTTTGTTCCTTTTTATCACCAAGAGTGTTACATAGTGTGTACACACTACAGTGTATCTATTTACCAGTTGAAGATTTGTATTGTTGTGAGTTTTTGGTGATTATTAATAAATCTACTGTAAACATTTATATACATCTGTGGAGACATGTTTTCATTTTTCTTGAATAAATACTTGAGTGGATTTGCTGAGTTGCATGATAAATAAATAACTTTATAAGAAGTTGGCTGGGCTCATGGGCTCATGCCTGTAATCCCAACACTTCAGGAAACCAAGGTGGGCGGATCACTTGAGGTCAGGAGTTAGAGACCAGCCTGGCCAACATGGTGAAACCTCGTCTCTACTAAAAATACAAAAAATTAGCCAGGCATGTGCCTGTAATCCCAGCTACTCATTAGACTGAGGCATGAGAATCGCTTGAACCTGGGAGTCAGAGGTTGCAGTGAGCCGAGATCATGCTACTGCACTCCAACCTGGGCGACAGGGCGAGACTGTCTCAAAAAAAAAAAAAAAAAAAAAAAAGTTGCCAAACTGTTTTCTAAACCAGATGTATCATTGTGCATTTCACCTGCAATATATGAGAGAGGCTTAGTTGCTCTACATCCTCTCCAACACTTGGGTATTGTCAGCTTTTAAAATTTTAGTTATTCCAGCCTGGCCAACATAGCGTAACCCCTTCTCTACTAAAAATACAAAAATTAGGTGGGCATGGTTGTGTGCACCTGTAGTCCCAGGTACTCAGGGGGCTGAGGGAGGAGAAACGCTTGAACCCAGGAGGCAGAGGTTGCAGTGAGCCAAGATCGCGCCACTGCGTTCCACCCTGGGTGACAGAGTGAGACTCCGTCTCAAAAAAAAAAAAAAAAAAAAAAAAATTTTTTTTTAAAGTCATTCTAGCAGGTAGTCAGTAGTATCTTGTTGTGGTTTTAATTTATATATCTCCATGAAGACTAGCAATACTGAGCTTCTTTTCGTGTTTTTATTTTACTATTTTCTTTGATGAAATATAGGTTTATATCTTGCCAGTTTTTTTGAGTGTCTTTTTATTATTGAGTTTTGGAGGTTCTATATATATTCTGAATTCAAGTTTTTTCTCAGATAAGTATTTTGCAGATATTTTCTCTTAAGTCTGTGGCTTGTCGTTTGATTTTAAGTGACTTTCAAAAAGCAGAAGTATTGAATTTTGGTGAGGTGTAGTTTGTTAAATTTTTTATAGTTAATAATTTTTGTGTATGCTGAGATACATTTGGCTAACCTAAAGTCATTTTCCTTAGAAATTTTAGTTTTAGCTCTTACATTTAGGTTTATAATTCATTTCGAGTTAGTTTTCATATATACTGTGACATAAGGGATGTTTTTGTCTTTTTTTTTTTTTTTTTTTTGGATTTGGATGTCTAATTGTGCCTGCACTGTTTGTTGAAGAGACAGTCCTTTATTTTTTGAGACAGAGTTTTGCTCTTGTCGCCCAGGCTGGGATTACAGGCTTGAGCCACCATGCCTGGCTGAGACAGTCCTTTATTAAATAACCTTTGCACCTCCCCTCTTCACATTTTGAGAACTTCCATGCTTTCTGATACAACAAAATGTTTTAGCCTCACTTTGAACTTCCCCTGCTCTAGCTTTAGCCCCAGTGGAAACATAAATTTCTAATAGAAATGGTCTTGGCCATTCCTCCAAGAAGATCCGGTTCCTTCTAATTGGGAGTGGTGTGTAGAGACAGGACAGGGTGCTAGCATGCTTGTTCCTGCTGGAGAGCCATGGCTCTCGGTTAGGAGATAGAGCTAGGAAATATGTATATTTTGAAATAACAAGTTTATTTTATTTGATTTTAGAGAAAAGAACTCACTTGGTACCCGGGCTGTAGTGCAGTGGCATGATCTCACCTCACTGCAACCTCGACCTCCTGAGCTCAAGTGATCCTGCTGTCTCAGCCTCCCAAGTAGCTGGGGCTACAGGCACACGCCACCACACACTGGGCTAATTTTTGTATTTTTTTTTTTTCCTCTGAGACAGAGTTTCGCTCTTGTTGCCCAGGCTGGAGTGCAATGGCGTGATCTCAGCTTACCGCAACCTCTGCCTCCTGGGTTCAAGCGATTCTCCTGCCTCAGCCTCCCGAGTAGCTGGGATTATGGGCATGCGCTACCACGCCCAGGTAATTTTGTATTTTTAGTAGAGATGGGGTTTCTCCATGTTGGTCAGGCTGGTCTCAAACTCCTGGCCTCAGGTGATCCGCCTGCCTCGGCCTCCCAAAGTGCTGGGATTACAGGCGTGAGCCACCGAGCCCAGCCAATTTTTGTATTTTTTTTGTAGAGACGGGGTTTTGCCATGTTGCCCAGGCTGGTCTCAAACTCCTGGACTGAAGCCATCCACCCGCCTTGGCCTTCTCAAAGTGCTGGGATTACAAGAGTGAGCCAATGTGCCTGGCCCCTTTTTTAGTTTTTTTTGTTTTTTAGACAAAGTCTTGCTCTGTCATCCGGGCTGGAATGCAATGGCGCGATCTCAGCTCACTGCAACCTCCGCCTCTGGGGTTCAAGCATTTCTCCTGTGTTAGCCTCTTAAGTAACTGGGATTACAGTCATGTGTCACCACACTCAGCTAATTTTTGTATTTTTAGTAGAGACAGGGTTTCACCCTGTTGGCCAAGCTGGTCTCAAACTCCTGACCTCAGGTGATCCACCCGCCTCGGCCTACCACAGTGTTGGTATTACAGGCGTGAGCCACTGCACCTGGCCCCCTTTTTTACTTTTTAAATGTCTTTTGATGAGCAGTTTATTTTTTATTTTATTCATTTATTTATTTTTGAGATGGTGTTTCGCTCTTGTTGTCCAGGCTGGAGTGCAGTGGTGCCATCTCAGCTCACTGCAACCTCCGTCTCCTGGGTTCAAGCAATTCTCCTGTCTCAGCCTCCTAAGTAGCTGGGATTACAGGTGCCCGCCACCACGCCCAGCTAATTTTTTATATTTTTAGTAGAGACGGGGTTTCACTATGTTGGCCAGGCTGATCTCGAACTCCTGACCTCGTGATCTGCCCACCTCGGCCTCCCAAAGTGCTGGGATTACAGGCGTGAGCCACCGCGCCCGGCCAGTGGTTTTTAATTTTGAGGAATTTCTTTTTTCTTTATGGTGGATATCTTTTGTGTTCAACTCTTTGCCAGCCTTACAGTCTTGAGGCTTTCTCCTGTTATAAAGTCTTTGTAATTTTAGTTTAGATCACATTTAAGTGATCCTAGGTCTAATTTTTGTTGTGGTATGAGTTAGAGATCATGGTTTGATTTTTTTTTCTTCCCCCCACCCCGCTCCATGCAGATACCTAGTTAGTTGCTCTGGTACTATTTTTTTAAGAGATTTTTAATTTGTTTTGGTGTGTTTGCCAAAAATCGAGTGACCTTATATGTGCAGGTCTTTTTCGTGCTGTTCTGTTGATCTATTTATCCTTACACAAAACCATATCCTAGTTGTTGTGACTTTATAGGAAGTTTTAAAATCTGGTAGTGTAAGTCTTCTATTTTTCTTTTTGAGTGTCTTGGCTAATATCGGTTAGATTTTTAAGTTTTTTTGTTTTTTTTTTGTTTTTTTTTTTTTGCTTTTTGAGACGAGGTTTTGCTCTGTTGCCCAGGCTGGGGTGCAGTTGTGTGATCATAGCTCCCTGTAGCCTTGATCTCCTGGGCTTAAGTGATCCTCCTGTTTTAGCCTCCCACATAGCTAGGACTACATACAGGGGCACACTACCACACCTGGCTAATTTTGTTTTTATTTTTGTAGAGTCAAGGTCTTGCTGTATTGGCCAGGCTGGTCTTGAACTTCTGAGCTCAAGTGATCCTCCCACCCTGGCCTCCCAGAGCGTTGGGATTACAGGCATGAGCCACCCTGCCCAGCCTGATTTTCTATCTGTGTTATTGTAATCACTTTCTTGATAATGTCCATGATACACAAAAGTTTTAAAGTTTGATTAAGTGTGACTTTTTTTTTTCCCTCTTGTTGATTGTGCTTTTAGTTTCATATCTTAAAAACCAATTGCCAAACCCAAAGTCATGAAGACTCGCCTGTTTTTGCTTCTGAGAGTTGTGCATGTTAGCGCCTCTGTGTAGGTCTTTGGTCCATTTGGAGATTGTAATCACTTTAATATGCAGCTAACTTTCTGTTCATGTTTAATTTTAGATTCTTTCCCCATCTTTGTTGACTTAGTTTTATTTCTTTAATATGTAAAACAGTAAATGCTTCCAGAAGTCAAAACTATCATTCCCGTCTCATCCCGTCTGTCTACCCTAATCCCTCACACCTGTTGTAGGTAACTAATTTCATTGCTTGCTTTTTGAGACGGAGTCCCACTCTGTCACCCAGGCTGGAGTGGCGCAATCTCAGCTCACTGCAAGCTCCGCCTCCCAGGTTCACGCCATTCTCCTGCTTCAGCCTCCCGAGTAGCTGGGACTACAGGCGCCTGCCACCACGCCCGGCTAATTTTTTTTGTATTTTTAGTAGAGACGGGGTTTCACCATGTTAGCCAGGATGGTCTCGATCTCCTGACCTCGTGATCCACCTGCCTCGGCCTCCCAAAGTGCTGGGATTACAGGCGTGAGCCACCGCGCCTGGCCCATTGCTTGCTTTTTTTTTTTTTTTTTTTTCCTTTGAGACAGGGTCTTACTCTATCGCTTAGGCTGGAGTGCAGTTTTGTGATCTTGGATCACTGCAACCTCCGTCTCTCAGGTTCAAGGGGTTTTTGTGCCTCAGCCTCCCAAGTAGCTGGGATTACAGGTGTGCACCACCACCCCTAGCTAATTTTTGTATTTTTAGTAGAGATGGGGGTTTCACCATGTTGGCCAGGCTGGTCTTGAACTCCTGACCTCAAGTGATCCACCCGCTTTGGTCTCCCAAATTGCTGGGATTACAGGTGTGAGCCACCATGTCCAGCCCATTGATTTTTTTTATCCTTCGTTTTTTTTTTTTTTTTTTTTTTTTTTGCAAAAATGAGCTTATAAATGTGTGTCTGTTTATATATGTGTAGATATTTGTATAAAATCCTATTTTTCTTAAACTAAAGCTACCATACCATATACTCTTTTGTGGGTTTTTTTTTTTTTTTTTTTTACTTAATGTGTGCGGGGAATCCCTCTTTATCAGTGCTTAAGAGATTTGTCTCGTTCTCTTTTGTGGCCACATAGCAACCAGTATTTAGTAGGCCTAGTCCTGGCTGGAGGCTCAGAGCAGATACTAAACTTGAGCATTTGTACTGCATTTATTTCTGGACTTTGCTGGGCTAGCTTCCTTTTTGCCAGTTGCAGTGGACCACACTAAACTCAGGACAGCCTGTGAGCCAGGGGCATGGGAGTAAAAAGGTCTCCCTATTTCATGCCTGACTGTTTGGGACTCACCAGACTCAAGAGCATAAACCAGTTTGAGAAGTAAGAAGAAAGGCGAGAAAGCATTTGAAATGATCCCCGCTTCCTTTCATTTAGTAGGTCTTGTCCTTGGTTCCCCTTCCCTGTGTCTGTGTGAAGTGTGCCAGCCAGTGTGCCTTGGAGCTTTTAATAAGTGTCTGTCCGCTTTCACTCAGTCTTTCCCTCTGAAACAGGTGGCCCGGGAGAGTGGCCCACCCCACATGAAGAACTTTGTGACCAAGGTTTCGGTTGGGGAGTTTGTGGGGGAAGGTGAAGGGAAAAGCAAGAAGATTTCAAAGAAAAATGCCGCCATAGCTGTTCTTGAGGAGCTGAAGAAGTTACCGCCCCTGCCTGCAGTTGAACGAGTAAAGCCTAGAATCAAAAAGAAAACAAAACCCATAGTCAAGGTGAGAACTTTTCTGAACACAGAAGGTGTTTTCATTACTTATAGATGGGTGGGGGGTTTAGAAGGCTGGTCGCTGTCCCCAAGGTGAAAGGGGATGAGACCAACGTGCCACACCCCAGGCCTGCCAGACCCCTTAGAGGTGCTGCAAGAGCCACCTGTTAGGTAAGATAAGGACATTGTGTCAGTTCAGTAGAGGTACCCGCAGACGGGCACACACATCTGTGCAGGAGGGCGCTCATCACAGCCCTGGCGATCACAGTGGGGTATTGGGCAGGAACGCCATGCCGGTCTGTGGGGCGCGTGGTGAAATAACAGTGCCTGTGTCTCAGTGACCATGTTGCTGTTCTGAAGGTGGAGGAGATTTGTGCCAGGCAGGAGGCCCATAGTGGGAGGGTAGGAGTGAGACATTTTGCTGTGTGCCTTTTCTTTTGGATTTTTGAGCCACACTAATGGATCTATCAAAGCATTATATTGACCCCTTCCCCAACCCCAGAAAGGGGACATAATTCCATGGGGAACTTTGTGATTTTCAGTATATGTAGTTTCATGCTGTATCAAGATCCAAATTTTTCTTACATAAAAGCATACTATGTATACCTTTTGTTTCCCTTTTTTGCTTAATATAGCCTGGAAGTCACTTCTGATCAGCAGAGTGAGGGTTCCTTGGCACAAAAGGTGGCCTCAAGGAAGTAACTGGGATTCTGAGGTTCTTCTTGCCATGTGGCATCAGCTTGAGCTTTTTTAAAAAAGTGGTTCCTGGATTTTGAGTTCTTTTCAAGAAAATTGGGAACCCATCATAGCTCAGACTTTTGGGGAGTTGTAGGAATAGTGTTTTATGTTTTTTCTGCCCATTTACTGTCATATGTTGAAATATGTTAAAAAACAGCCGTCGCAGTCATAGTGACGCTTCGTTATAGTGAAATGTTGATGTTGGTTTGCTAAGACCTTAAAATCACCTAGAACAATCATAAAAAAAATAAAGCATCTTTTCATTGTTAAAATGTTAAATTAAAAAAAATCGAATTCTGAGCCATTAGGTCAACCCAAAATCTCTTATCTCCTCTCATATCCTGATCTCTGAGTTGACCAAGTTCATGCGGTGAATAACATTACAGAGTTTCTGCCTTGTTTGTTCCTCAGCCACAGACAAGCCCAGAATATGGCCAGGGGATCAATCCGATTAGCCGACTGGCCCAGATCCAGCAGGCAAAAAAGGAGAAGGAGCCAGAGTACACGCTCCTCACAGAGCGAGGCCTCCCGCGCCGCAGGGAGTTTGTGATGCAGGTGGGTCCGCATGGATGATGGGCGCCCCTTCCTCTGACCACGTCCAGCCTTGGGGGCTGATGGCGGTTCAAGGTCTGGACACCTTCCTGAGGAGGCTGGATCCTGTGGGCCATGTTCTGCCAGCGACTGTGATCCTTATTTATTTATTTATTTATTTATTTATTTATTTATTTTTGAGATGGAGTCTCACTCTGTCGCCCAGGCTGGAGTGCAGTGGTGCTGTCTCAGCTCACTACAACCTCCGACTCCCTGATTGAAGCGATTCTCCTGCCTCAGCCTCCCGAGTAGCTGGGATTACAGGCACGTGCCACCATGCCCAGCTAATTTTTTGTATTTTTAGCAGAGACGGAGTTTCGCCATGTTGGCCAGGATGGTTTTGATCTCCTGACCTTGTGATCCTCCCACCTCAGCCTCCCAAAGTGCTGGGATTACAGGCGTGAGCCACCTCGCCCAGCCAACTGTGATCCTTATTAAGACCTTGTGGCTTGCAATAATTTGATAGCTTAAACATACCACAGAAATCTGTAAAGGCTACATATCAAAGATTAAGTTGTTTATCTTAATGCTTAAAAAAATGAATGTAATGTCTGCACACCAGCACTACTGCTGGGTGCACTGGTGGGAATGTGGGTGTGTTGCACTGAAATTTGGAAGAAAGAGTCCTGGGGTGGTGGGTGCTGGGAGAAGTTTTTCTTCATTACATCTCCTTGAAGGTTTATGACATTGCTCTTTACCAAAGGTAAATTTTGTAAGTAGTATCAAGAGATCTGTTCCTCTTCCTCCTAATTCTTATGGAGTCTGGAATCTAGGGTTACCTCTTCCTTAGATTGGGTGACACTTCAGATTAGTATGGAACATTTCTTTGTACTTAGCTGATTAAGTTCAAAGCTAAGTGGTCATTTCACATAGGCAGCTTAACTTAATTGTGATTTGAATTTAAGTGCTTTCTGATGTAAGACAGAATCCTTATCTCTTGTATAGCAATTTATAACTTAGAAAGTTGACCTCGTATATTTTACCTATGCAGTCAGAAGGTAGGAAAAGAATGATCCTTTCATTCCACAAAAGGAAGTTGCAGTTTGCTGAGAGGATCAGTAGTTTGCCCAAGATGAAATGGCTGGTAGATGGCCAGGTTGGAATTTAGTCCCAGGCCAGGGAATGGTTTCTTTGACTCTCTGAGTCTTGTGACCTGGGCTTTTGGTTTTAGCAGCCAGGTGCCTGTTATTACAATCAACTTGGAAGGGGGTTGTAAGTAGTGATGTGCTGGAACATGTTTAACAACCAGCTCTTCTTCGGGGAGGGTGGTTTGGTGGAATGAGCTGAATATGTATGTTATAGATATATACATGGGTGTTATATACATGTGTGTTATAAATTTTACTGACACAAAGGATGTGTGTTATAAATTATACTGACATATATGTGTGTTTTATAAATTTTACTGACAGAAAGGATGTGTAGTACAATTTATAAATAATATACACTTTATTGTAAATTTCATACATATTTCAGTGTGACAGTTACCAACGATAGTGTTATAAAATCAGACAGCACATAATGGTTTATTACTATCCAGTTCAGCAAAGGTGTTGCTCATGTCACTGACAAATACATACTGTAGATTTGAGATTTTGGTTGTAGCATGAATACTGGTTGAGATACATTTTTTTTGGGGTAGAGGGGAATGGAGTCAACTTGCTCTGTTGTCCAGGCTGCAGGGCAGTGGTGTGATCTCGGCTCACTGCAACCTCTGCCTCCCAGGTTCAAGTGATTCTCCTGCCTCAGCCTCCCGAGTAGCTGGGATTCACGGGTGCCCACCATCACGCCCAGCTACTTTTTGTATTTTTAGTAGAGATGGGGTTTCACCATGTTGGCCAGACTGGTCTCGAACTCCTGACCTCAGGTGATCCACCCACCTCAGCCTCCCAAAGTGCTGGGATTACAGGCGTGAGCCACCACGCCCGGCTGGTTGATGTTTTTTATTTATGTTAATAGGTAAGATGAAAGTAAAACAGGCTGGGCTTGATGGCTTACGCCTGTAATCCCAGCATGACGGATCACTTGAGGTCAGGGGTTCGAGACCAGCCTGACCAACATGGTGAACCCTCATTTCTGCTAAAAATAGAAAAGTTAGCCAGGCATGGTGGCACACGCCTGTAATCCCAGCTACTCGGGTGGCTGAGGCAGGAGAATCGCTTGAACCTGGGAAGTGGAGGTTGCAGTGAGCTGAGATCATGCCATTGCACTCCATCCTGGGTGAAGAAGTGAGACCCTGTCTATCCCAAAAAAGAAAAAAGAAAAAGTGAAACAATGAAGACATGTAACATCACTCATTTGTAAATGATATGAGTGGCTTCTCTGCAAAATTAGATAATTTTCAAAGACGGGAAGATATTTCAGTTTTTTGTGCTAGTTACAATGTAATGGCTGCAGACTTCTCATGCTTTTAAGATTAACCTGCTTTATTAACCTTTTCATCATTGTAGGTTTAGAGTTAGACAATAAACAGCTTATGATCTTTGATACGTAGCATTTGTATATTTCTGTGGTATAAATAGTCCCACCATGGCTGATTTCAAGCTCTCAAAGTGATACTTCCAATGGCAATGCTGGGAATAGATGTACAGTAGTTCACCATCACAGACTGTTTCCATTGTACAAATGCAATAGCTGGGCAGACCCTCAGAACACAGATGATTATAAAATGCAGTCAAAAATTACCTCTGTTAAAATAATTATCAGCTTATATAATTAAATGTTTAATACTGGCTGTGTTTAACAGCCAGCTTCCCAAACTCCTGACTATTTAATAATTAGCTCTCAGAGACAAGGAGGCCAGGTTCGGGGCACTGCTGTTATCTTGCTTCTGACCATAGTTGGTTATTTTGCTGACACACCAATTCCTGCCTGGTTGTTATTCTGAAGGTTTAAGCACTGGTCTGTGTTTTGACTTCTTTGTGCAGGTGAAGGTTGGAAACCACACTGCAGAAGGAACGGGCACCAACAAGAAGGTGGCCAAGCGCAATGCAGCCGAGAACATGCTGGAGATCCTTGGTTTCAAAGTCCCGCAGGCGCAGCCCACCAAACCCGCACTCAAGTCAGAGGAGAAGGTGAGTGCTGTGGGCTCTCTGATTGCAAGATGGTCTCTCGCCTCACCCTAGGGAACTGGGGCACCTCCAGGGGCAGGCTTCAAGGCAAGGCTTTATCTGCCTGACAGTTCAAGGAGTCCTGCTGAGGAGTGTCTCATCCATTTGGACCATAATGTGCTCAGAGGGGCCTCGCATGTCCACTGGCCCCAGGAGGCTCTGGGTTAGATCGTTGATTGTGTCAGTATCTTTGTGGTCTGGGGACGCTTTGTGGAGGGCAGCTTGCTCCTCTCTATTTGTAGGATGAGGATGAAGGGTAATTAGGACTGAAATTACTAAGTGTGATTTGCACTCTAGAAATGAAGCCTGTGTGAAAGATTTATAACTGTTAGGCTTTCGTTAATTGTGGAATAGGCTTTGATTTTTCTGGCAAAATAAGACAGTGTGACAGTAGAGACAGGCCAAATCCAAAGTTTAGGTTTGGGATTTCTTTTTTCCTATGTGAGTTAAACATCAGATGAAAATAATCCCCTGTTGAAAAATTCACGGCCAGGTGTGGTGGCTCAAACTTGTAATTTGGGAGGCTGAGGCCTTGAATCCAGGAGTTCAAGACCAGTCTGAGCAACATGATGAAACCCTGTCTCTACAAAAAATTAAAATATCAGCCAGGTATGGTGGCTTGTACCTGTAGCCCGAGCTACAAGGCTGAGATGGGAGGATTGAGCCTTGGAAGGTCAAGGCTGCAGTGAGCTGTGATCATGCCACTGCACTCAGCCTGGGCGACAGACCCTGTCTCAACAACAACAAAAAAGGAACGTAAAAAGAAAAATTCGTGTCTGCCAGAAGTGGTAAGCAGGACCTCAGCAAAAGCCATGGCTGACCTTCTTCTTTCCCATCACTGAATGGTCCTGGTGAGATAAACTTGAAATCAGGCCTGATTCATTCATGTCTGCCAGTCATATTGACAGAAACAGCATCAGTCATGGCCAGTTAATAACTGACTGGGACCCCAGATACCACCAGTATAGATCTTAGACTTGGCTTTAGGGTTTTTCATTTCAGAATCTTGTAGGACATTCAGAGTGTCCTTTGTTACTTCTTAGAAAGGTGATGTTGTGTTAGACAAAATTCTTAGGTAATAACATTTTCCCCGTAAGGGTGTTAATTTTGGAATGTCACCTTATTTTTTAATTGGATATCAGCTCCAGGAAATATTCTTGATTTATTTGTTTAGCTTCAGTCTGAAAGCTTCTTTCCCCACCTTGGTGGGCTCTACCGTCTAGCATCTCTGCTCTTTCTGGTTAAATGCTTCCCGTCTTCCTGTGGGTGCAGAGTGCAGCTCAGCATTCACAGGTTAGTGCACTTTGTTAGATGCTCTTTGTGGGCAGGGGTGTGGGCAGGAGGGTGCATTAGGAGAAGGAGGCAGGCTCTGCCCAGGTGTCTGTCAGGGTGCCAGTGGTCAGGTGGGGCAGGGTTTTTCTGCCGATTGCCACAGTTATTGCTGACTGGACTTTGTGTAGATTTAGACAGCAGGAGCTAATTTTTCAGTGATCTGATTTATGCTCATGGCCTTTTTTTTTTCTTCTTCTTTTTTAAGACACCCATAAAGAAACCAGGGGATGGAAGAAAAGTAACCTTTTTTGAACCTGGCTCTGGGGATGAAAATGGGACTAGTAAGTGTGATCTTAATATCGTCTTCCTCTGAACGTGATTCTGGGATTTGCATGGGTCCTGAATAACAGCAGGAGCCCAGCCAGTGAGGTCCCGCATGCAAAGTGTCTTTATCATTCCCTGATTCCCTGCGCTGCCATGCGTGCCAAGGGGAGGGCCAGCGTGGGGTTTGATGGTGTCATTGCGTTTTTCCAGGCTGTGGATGTGGATTCGTGTTTACCGTGTATGTCCCTCCCAGGTAATAAAGAGGATGAGTTCAGGATGCCTTATCTAAGTCATCAGCAGCTGCCTGCTGGAATTCTTCCCATGGTGCCCGAGGTCGCCCAGGCTGTAGGAGTTAGTCAAGGACATCACACCAAAGATTTTACCAGGGCAGCTCCGAATCCTGCCAAGGCCACGGTAACTGCCATGATAGCCCGAGAGTTGTTGTATGGGGGCACCTCGCCCACAGCCGAGACCATTTTAAAGAATAACATCTCTTCAGGCCACGTACCCCATGGACCTCTCACGAGACCCTCTGAGCAACTGGACTATCTTTCCAGAGTCCAGGGATTCCAGGTAACTGTCTGGCCTGAGCTGTGATGGCTGTGCCTCAGGACAGTCATCTTTTGGCTTCTCTCAGAAAATGAACTTTGAACTTTGTACTTTTTTCTTAAATCAAGTTCTGTCCAGGGATGGGCTGGGGAGCAGTGATGGAAGGGTAGGAGGTATAGAAGTATTGTAAGCATATGTGGTAAGAGAAATATCTTTATCCTTTGGTAGTAAGATTTCAACATGCAAGCCAACCCTAAAAGCTTCTAACCACTAGCAGTGGTTGTAAATTTGGATTTCAAAGAACAGACTCATCGTGCTGACACTTTCTGTCTGGTAGGAAAGGATATGGCTTCTCCCAGTCTTGGGCTTCTGAGCAGACACCTAGGTTCCTGGAAGGTTCTGGGCTGACAGGGCAGGTGTTAGTATGGCCACAGTGGGGCTGAGTTGGAAAAAAGAGCTGGTGATCTTGCTTGTGGGGCCTGGAGCTGCAGCCCTCCAGCCCACTCATACTTGCTGTTCCCTACCTAGCCTCAGCTCTCTTTTCCCCCTTAGGTTGAATACAAAGACTTCCCCAAAAACAACAAGAACGAATTTGTATCTCTTATCAATTGCTCCTCTCAGCCACCTCTGATCAGCCATGGTATCGGCAAGGATGTGGAGTCCTGCCATGATATGGTACGTCACACCTTGGGTGAGGGATTGGGGTGTTGTGTGTTTATGTGGAGCCTGCCTTGGTTCAGCTTGTTACTAGCCTGAGGAAGATGGGAGAAAGATTGTCCCATAGACCTTGAGAGCAATGAATCGTTTGATAGTGTTCATATTTTTGAAGACTTTTTGTCATAGCTGATTGGATCGATTTCTCACTCTTGATCAGAACTCATCAGCTTTAGCCCACCTTTCCCTTCCTTTTCCCTGCTGGCCTGGAGGGGCAACTGGGATCCTGCAGCTCACCCAGAGACTGCACTCACTTCATCTCTCACCAGAACAAGGAATTGCAGGTCCACGTTCTGGCAGCTGTAAAAACCACTTGCTTTGGTCTTCTGTTCAGATGAAATTATTGTTATAAGAAAACTGAGAAAAGGAATTGATCAGATCAACAAATCTAAGTAAACTGTGATGTATTCACTTGATGGGATGTCATGCATGCATGAAATTAATGTCTCTGGGTGGGGTGTGGTGGCTCACACTAATCCCAGCACTGCGGGAGGCTGAGGCAGGCGGATCACCTGAGCTCAGGAGTTCAAGACCAGCCTGGCCAACGTGGTGAAACCCCATCTCTACTAAAAATACAAAAAAAAATTAGCCAGGTGTGGTGGTGGGTGCCTGTAATCCCAGCTACTTGGGAGGCCAAGGCAGGAGAATCGCTTGAACCCGGGAGGTGGAGGTTGCAGTGAGCCAAGATTGCACTACTGCACTCCAGCCTGGGCAGCTGGGTGAGACTGCGTTTCAAAACAAAACAGTGTCTCCGAAGATAATGTAATAAGAAGAAAAATACATGATAGGCCGGGTGTGGAGGCTCACACCTGTAATTCCAGCACTTTGGGAGGCCAAGGTGGAAGGATCGCTTGAGCCTAGGAGTTTGAGACCAGCCTGGGCAACTTAGTGAGACCCTGTCTCTATAGAAAGAAAAATACATGATAGATTTTTGTTAGAAAGCAGGATATAACATTTATACAGTCTGGTTACCACATGGTTAAAAATACTAGAAGGAAAAATATAACATTTTCAGAGGTTATGATTCAGTGAGGTAACTGAATATTTTTTAATTTGTATTTTAAATTAAAAATTCAAAGTTTTATTTAGTAGTACCAGAGTTGAAGAAGTTGCCACCTGTTTGCTGGGCAGCAGGAACTCTCTTGCCTGCCTGACCAGTGTATTATGCTGTGGTCCCAAGCGGTGGCTGTGGCTTTACCCTTCTTTCCATCCCCACTAGGCTGCGCTGAACATCTTAAAGTTGC
The DNA here is from genome assembly GCF_000001405.40 of Homo sapiens. Classification (NCBI taxonomy): domain Eukaryota; kingdom Metazoa; phylum Chordata; class Mammalia; order Primates; family Hominidae; genus Homo; species Homo sapiens. Next base: position 49,115,842 of record NC_000020.11, on the reverse strand, counting down.
TGTCTGAGTTGGACCAACAAAGTACAGAGATGCCAAGAACAGGAAACGGACCAATGTCTGTGTGAGTGCACTGATGAAGGGGAAGGCGCTGATGATGGGGAGGCTGCCCCTCGTTTGTGTTGAGTTTACACTATCTGCTGACTCAGCGGGGAAATATTTGCCTGAGTTACTTTCTGGCCCTTTTGCCTGAAAGTTTTCCAGATTCTCTGGGCAGAAAGCTCTACTTTTAAAAGACATTTTGAGGCTGGGAACAGCGGCTCACACCTGTAATCCCAGCACTTTGGGTGGCCAAGGCAGGTGGATCATGAGGTGTCAGGTGTTTAAGACCAGCCTGGCCAAGATGGTGAAACCCTGTCTCTACTAAAAATACAAAAATTAGCCAGGTGTGGTGGCAGGCACCTGTAATCCCAGCTACTTGGGAGGCCGAGGCAGAGAACTGCTTAAAACCTGGGAGGCGGAGGTTGCAGTGAGCCGACATAGCGCCACTGCACTCCAGCCTGGGCGACAGAGCAAGACTCCGTCCCAAAAAAAAACAAAAAAACCTTTTTGAGTTGGTCATACCTTCACATGGTCAGAACTCTGCATTATTTTACAAGGTACAATCTTCCCCTCGGACAGCCCCCATCCCATCCCTCCTATTCTCCCCACCGCCTCCCCCATAGATCACATTTTTACTAGTTTCTCCTGTATCTTTCCTGTATGTTTCTTTATACAAATATAGACATATATTTCTTCCCTCATTTTCTTCCTTTCCCCCCACAGAGATAAGTACACACACTCTCCTTGCGTATTTTACTTACTGGCATACCCTGGGAAAACTTTTGTTATCATAAACTGGGGCTTTTAGTATTGTACTTCCTGATGTTTGCCAATTTCTTTTCATTTTTAACAGTACTTTAATTCTCTTACATTTCAAAACTAGTGTCATTTTCATTTTTCTTCCTTAAAGGTGTGGGAGGTGCTGAACCTTTTCTGGCCATGAACCATTATAAAATCCCAACATATATACTGAAAATACTGAAACTGCTTTGAAAATTTGGAATTTCTGATACCTCCAGTGGGCCGAGAGACACGGTGGGTAAAGGATGTGGGCAGCAGCAGGGAAGACAACAGAAACACAAGGAGGCGGCTGTGGCCGGGCTGGACTGTGCTGGGGTTTGTTGTGATGGCCACTCGGTGACCTGGCGGTCCCTACGCAATAGCAGCTGCCTGTGGGGAAGAAGGGCTGCCCAGCCAGCTGGTTCTCCCGGGACACCAGCAGATCCACACCCTGGGCACCTCCGTGTTTGGTCTTTTTTTTCCCCTGTGTGAAAGAAGAAACGGCACGACCCCTTCTCAAGCTGGCTCACTCAGACACATTGGGACAAACCCTGGACAGCCATGCCAGAGAGAGGCCTTTGACCGGCCCCAGAGCTAAAAGCACCAGAGAAAATCAAATGCTTCCTACTCAGCGTGACCCAACTTTTCTAGTGTGCCACGGCCCCACCACCTCCTGCAGTACCCACACCATCACCACTGCTTTCTCTTCCAACAGTGATCTGTATTCTTAGTTTCATTATTTTCTTTTGATTGATATGACACTATATAAAATTTTCATTTGAGAATTTCTCAATTGTATCTAGTTAAATAGCACAGTTTGGAAACTTGTCTGAGACTGACTTTATCAATAATCTAACCGACAAAGATCATATCCATGTGTATGTGGTTAGACATTTTTATTTCATTGACTAACCCAGGACAGTTTCAGTGATGCAAATTGTGTGCCCTCTGGTTCAGCTGAAACAGTCCTGGACTTTCAAAAACCTTGAATAAGTCTCCCACAGTTGTATAAATTGGACAATTTAGGAATTTTAAACTTTAGATGATCATTTGGTTCCATTTTTATTTCATTTTTATTTTTGTTAATGCAAACAGGACTTAAATGAACTTTGATCTCTGTTTTAAAGATTATTAAAAAACATTGTGTATCTATACATATGGCTCTTGAGGACTTAGCTTTCACTACACTACAGGATATGATCTCCATGTAGTCCATATAAACCTGCAGAGTGATTTTCCAGAGTGCTCGATACTGTTAATTACATCTCCATTAGGGCTGAAAAGAATGACCTACGTTTCTGTATACAGCTGTGTTGCTTTTGATGTTGTGTTACTGTACACAGAAGTGTGTGCACTGAGGCTCTGCGTGTGGTCCGTATGGAAAGCCTGGTAGCCCTGCGAGTTAAGTACTGCTTCCATTCATTGTTTACGCTGGAATTTTTCTCCCCATGGAATGTAAGTAAAACTTAAGTGTTTGTCATCAATAAATGGTAATACTAAATTTTTTTGTTAATTTATTCTCAAATGCCACTACTGCTAGGTTGGTCCCCTCCCAACTTGCCCCTATCCTTTTTTTATTTTTAAGAAAAAAACTTTGTAATGCTTGTGATTCCATCTGGGCAAAAGTCTGAAGATCTGAAATAACTTTATATCAAACCATTGATCAATAAACAGCTACTAATGAAGTGTTTGGTCCTGTTGAGCAGTAACTAAAATAAGGGAAGATGTGAGTAAGGGGATGGAAGCTCGTCGTGGGGGGACCAGGGCCAGCCCCTCTGGGAAGCGTTGCTGCCTCAGAGGCATGTTGGGTACCTGGATGTAGGGACTTGTGCCCCGTCCAGACCTGACATTGCTACCCAAAGAAATGACCCCAAGGAGCTGAGAGGAGACTGCCGGACACTTCCCAGGGCATCCTCATCTCTCACCATAACTGAGCACTGAGGAGGACATGCGTTCCAGCCTGGTTGAGGGTTGGGCTAGTTGGTTTTCATTTTTTAATTTTAGAAGAAGTGGAAGAAGATTATAAAGGCTTCACTGTAAAGCCAGCCTATGATTGTACTGCCGGAATAACTGAAAGTGATCAGAAGGTTATGGAAAACACTAAGGGCAGAAGGAAATGCAACATTTTGAGGAGAAAAGCAGTGAAAGGAGAAAAAGTGTCTTTACGTCTTTAAAAACAACAAAAAAAGAATTCATGGACCTGTGACTCACATCACAACCCTCCCCCAGACTGAAGGTTCTTAGAGAAGCTGAGCCTGGGGCCCTGACTTGATGCACTTTCGCAGGGAGCGTACTTGCTGGCGGCAACACTGGAAGCCGACCAGTGTGATCTTTTGTGTCTTCGACTATTTATAAAAATTCATTCTGGGCCGGGCGCAGTGGCTCACACCTGTAATCCCAGCACTTTGGGGGGCCGAGGCAGGTGGATCATGAGGTCAGGAGATCGAGACCATCCTGGCTAACACGGTGAAACCCCACCTCTACTAAAAATACAAAAAAATTAGCCGGGCATGGTGGCAGGTGCCTGTAGTCCCAGCTACTCGGGAGGCTGAGGCAGGAGAATGGTGTGAACCCGGGAGGCGGAGCTTGCCGTGAGCAGAGATCGCGCCACTGCACTCCAGCCTGGGCGACAGAGCGAGACTCCGTCTCAAAAAAAAAAAAAAAACTCATTCTGGGTACTTCATTGAAGAAGGGGTGCCCTGGGGTAACTTTGGTAATACACTCAAGTAAGCATTAAGTGTTAAAAATATTACAATAAAAAATTATAGTTCAAAAACAGTAGTAAGTTTTTCTTCTTTTTATTTTTATTTTTTTGAGATGGAGTCTGGCTCTGTCACCCAGGCTGGAGTGCAGTGGTGCAATCTGGAATCACTGCAACCTCCTCTTCCCGGGTTCAGGCAATTCTCTTGTCTCAGCCTCCCTCCTGAGTAGCTGGGATCATAGGCACGTGCCAGTGCGCTTGGCCAATTTTTGTATTTTTAGTAGAGATGGGATTTCACCATGTTGGCCAGGCTGGTCTCGAACTGACCTCAAGTGATCTGGCCACCTCGGCCTCCCAAAGTGCTGGGATTACAGGTGTGAGCCACTGCGCCTGGCTTAAGTTTTTCATGAGTAGCTTTGCATAGTAAGACATTACAATATAGCTTTTTTTTTCCTTTTTGAGACAGTAGCTTGCTCTGTTACCCAGGCTGGGTTGCAGTGGCCTCAAGCGATCCTCCTGCCTTGACTTCCCAGAGTGTTGGGATTACAGGTGTGAGCCACTGCACCCAGCAGTATATAGCCTTTCTTTACTACTTTTTTTTTTAAAGACAGTGTCCTGCTCTGTCACCCACACTGGAGTGTAGTGGCATGATCACAGCTCACTGCAGCCTTGACTGGGCTCAGGTGATTCTCCCACCTCAGTTTCCTGAGTAGCTGGGACTACAGGCACATGACACCATTCCTGGCTAATGATTTTTTTTTTTTTTTAAGAGAGAGGGTCTCACTACATTGCCCAGGCCAGTCCAACTGGGTTCAAGTGATCCTGTCATCTCATCCTCCCAAAGTGCTGGGATTGCAGGTGTGAGTCACTGCACCTAGTCCTTTAACTTTTAAAATTTTATTTTAAAATAATTTCACAGATAAAAGGTACATTTTACTGAAATTATGTGTACATTGTCTCCCCTGGTCTCCCTCTCTCTTCAAAATTTAGATATTCCCCCAAGTCAGGGAGTGAACACTGCATCCAGTCCATGGACCCCATGCAGATCTCGCCAGCTGTCCCAACAGTGTCTTGTCCTTTCCTGGTCCAGGGTCCCTGTCAAGAGGTGTGTGTTGCCTTTAGTTTTCTCCTGCTGTCTGCATCAGTCCTCTCGGCATCTGTGTTTCACGTCCTAGTGGGGTGAAGCCCGCAGACCTCTCTGTAGTACACCCTCAGCCTGGGTCTGGATGATGGTGACCAGACCTAGGCAGCACTTTTGTGGCAGGAAAGCCACAGAAATGCTGCGCTCTTCTCTGTATGTCACTCCAGGGGCATACAGTTTGTTAACCTTGGTGACCCAGGCAGATTGCTCCACTGTCAGTCAGGTCACACTATGTCTCTTGGTAATCAAGGAGTATTTTGTGGGGAGGCATCCTCAAAGCACATGACCAGCCTGTTCCTCTTCAGACCTCTACCCTCCATCCTTGTCCTTCACTTACAACTTCCATGTGAATCCACCACCACTGCCCATCCATGAGCTTCCATGTCCAATGTTCCTTCTGCCGACACCCTGCCCCTGCATGGAGGCGCCTTCCCTCCCCATTGATGCAGTGTGTCAGCTAATGGACTCCTAGTCTGGGTCGCAATCCATTGCAACCATTTATTTGATGTTCAAATTACTTCAAATTTGGACATCAGAAGACCTGTCAAGGTGACTCTTGTGTCCTTTTGGCATGTTTCCATCTTAAAATTGTAAAAAATTGTGGTAAGACACATAGAAAATTTACCATCCTATTAACCACTTTTTTTTTTTTTTTTTTAAAACAGCATCCCAATCTGTCATCCAGGCTGGAGTGCAGCAGTGTGATCCTGGCTCACTGCAACCTTGCTCTCCTGGGCTTTCCTCCTACCTCAGCCTCCCGAATAGCTGAGACTACAGGTGTGCACATCCATGCCCAGCTAATTTTTTTTTGTACAGTCGAGGTCTTGCTATGTTGCCCAGACTGCTAACTACTTTTAAGTGTACAGTTTATTCATAATGTGTAGCCACCACAATCCAACTCCATAACTTTTCATTTTGTAAAACTTAAACTGTTCCCATGAAACACTAACTCCCCTCGCATGCTCCTTCCAGCCCCTGGAAACCACCACTTGTTTATGATTTTCACTCTAGGAACCTCCTATAAATGGACAGTATCTGCCCTTCTGTGGCTGGTTTATCTTACATAGCCTAATGTCCTTAAGGTTTATCCGTGTTGTAATATGTCAATTTCCCTCCTTTGTTAAGGCTGAGTAATATTCCATTGTGTGTATATATTCCACATTTTGCTTATCAATACATTGTCAGTAGGCACTTGGGGTTGGACACGGTGACTGACACCTGTAATCCCAGCACTTTGGGAGGCCGAGGCAGGTGGATTCCCTGAGATCAGGAGTTCAAGACCAGCCTGGTCAACATAGTGAAACCCCATAGCTACTAAAAATATGCAAATTAGCTGGGCATGGTGGCGCGCACCTGTAGTCCCAGCTACTCGGGAGGCTGAGGCAGGAGAATCACTTGAACCCAGGAGGTGGAGGTTGTAGTGAGCTGAGACTGTGCCACTGTACTCCAGCTTGGGCAATAGAGTGAGACTCAGTCTAAAAAAAAAAAAGCACTTGGGTTGCTTCCACATGTGAATATTGGTATACAAAATCTTTGAGACCCTGCTTTCAACTCTTTGGGGTATGTACCCAGAAGTGGAATTGCTGCATATAATTTTTTTTTTTTTTGAGATGGAGTCTCCCTTTGCTGCCCAGGCTGGAGTCAGTGGCACGATCTCGGTTCACTGCAACCTCTGCCTCCCAGGGTCAAGTGATTCTCCTGCCTCAGCCTCCCGAGTACCTGGGATTACGGGGGCCCACCACTACACCTGGCTAATTTTTGTATTTTTAGTAGAGACGGGGGTTTACCATGTTGGCCAGGCTGGTCTTGAACTCCGGACCTCAAGTGATCTGCCCGCCTTGGCCTCCCAAAGTGTTGGGATTACAGGCGTGAGCCACTGCGTCTGACCTATTATTTTTAACATATTGAGGAACTGCCAGTTTCCCACTGCAGCCATCACTTTCCAACAGTGCATGATGGTTCCAGTTTCTCCACATTGTCGCCAATGTTTATTGTTTCGTTAAATAGTAGCTGTCCTAGTGGATATGAGGTGGTATCTCATGGGGGTTTTGGTTTGCATTTCCCTAACGATGTTGAACATCTTTTCGTATTTATTGGCCATTTGTCTATCTTCTTTGGATAAATGTCTGTCCAAGTCTTGCCCATTTTTTTTGAATCATGTTGCTTGTTGTTGAATTTTAGGAGTATTGTGTGTATTCTGGATATTAATCCCTTAACAGATGTGACTTGCAGTTTTTTTCTTCCCATTCTGTGAGTTGTTTTTTCATTCTGCAAAAGCTTTTTGCAGAAAAGCTTTTGATGCAAAAAAGGTTTTAATTTTGATGAAGTCTAGTTTGTCTATTACTTTCTTTTGTTGCCTGTTTCTGGTGTCATACTTAAGAAAACATTGCTAAGTCCAACTCATGAAGATTTGCGGATTTGCCTCATGTTTTAGTTTTAGTCTTAGATTTAGGTCTTTCATCCATTTTAAGCTAATTTTGTGTATGGTGTTAGGTAAGGGTCCAGCTTCATTCCTTGGCAAGTGCACACTGTTTTCCCAACAGTATTTGTGAAAAGACTGTCCCTCCCCCATTGAATGGTCTTGGCACCCTTGTCAAAAATTACATGGAAGGACTTCTGGATTCTCTTCCTTTGGGGGGGGGGGGGGTGTGTGTGTGTGTGTGTGTGTGTGTGTGTGTGTGTGTGTGTGTGTGTATATATATATATATATATTTTTTTTTTTTTTTTTTTTTTTTTTTTTGAGACGGAGTCTCGCTCTGTCGCCCAGGCCGGACTGCGGACTGCAGTGGCGCAATCTCGGCTCACTGCAAGCTCCGCTTCCCGGGTTCACGCCATTCTCCTGCCTCAGCCTCCCGAGTAGCTGGGACTACAGGCGCCCGCCACCGCGCCCGCCACCGCGCCCGGCTAATTTTTTGTATTTTTAGTAGAGACGGGGTTTCACCTTGTTAGCCAGGATGGTCTCGATCTCCTGACCTCATGATCCACCCGCCTCGGTCTCCCAAAGTGCTGGGATTACAGGCGTGAGCCACCGCGCCTGGCCTTTTTTTTTTTTTGAGACAGGGTCTTACTCTGTTGCCCAGACTGGAGTGCAGTGGTGCAGTCTTGGCTCACAGCCTACCAGGTAGCTGGGACTATAGGCGTGTGTCACCATGTCACCATGCCTGGCTGATTTTTTCTTTTTTTTTTTGTAGAGACAAGGTTTTACCAAGTTGCTCAGGCTGGTCTTGAACTCCTGGGCTCAAGTGATCCTCCCACCTCAGCCTCCAAAGTGCTGGGATTACAGGCGTGAACCACCGCAACCAGCCTCCTATATGTCTGTTGTTGTGCTGGTACCACACTGATTTGATTACTGTAGTAAATTTTGAAATCTTAACCTATGAGTCCTTCAGCTAAGTTTTCAAGATTGTTTTTGGTTATTCAGGGTCCCTTAGGATTCCTTATAAATTTTAGGATGGGCTTTTCTATGTCCACAAAAACTGTCATTTGTCCCCATCATTTTTTGAAGACTAACTTGACACATTGAGATATTTGGGGTTCATCTTGTTCTTTTCCTTCCCCTAGTCCTGATTCAGCCTTTTTTTTTTTTTTTTCTGAGATGGAGTCTCACTCTGTCGCCCAGGCTGGAGTGCAGTGGCACCATCTCAGCTCACTGCAACCTCCGCCTCGTGGGTTCAAGCGATTCTCCTGCCTCAGCCTCCCAAGTAGCTGGGACTACAGGTGTGCACACCACATCTGGCTAATTTTTGTATTTATGTTTAGTAGAGATGGGGTTTCACCATATTGGCCAGGCTGGTCTTGAACTTCTCACCTTATGATCCGCCCGCCTCAGCCCCCCAAAGTGCTGAGATTACAGGCGTGACCCACCACGCCTAGCCTGATTCAGCCATTTTCCTAAGGAGCCCTGGTTCCCTCTACTAGAAGACAGCATTTAGAAACCAAGATCTGAATGCTCTGAGGGCTTACTGCTACTGGGGTGTTATTGTTTCTAGACCTCTGTAGCGGACAGGAAATCTATGTGTATATATATCTATACACATCTATCTGTATGCATTTGTATACTCAGTGTTCTTTGTAGCCTTCTCCTCTATGTTCTCAGTGCATTCTCCAACACTGAGATTGTCTCTCTCTTGGATCCTACAGTAGATAAGCTTGGGACTCAGTCGGTTCCCACATTGGCATTGTTTTTTTTTTTCAAAAAGTGGGTGGTGACTGCATTGTCATGACTTTGTCCTCATGGTCATTAAAGGGAAAACTTAACGGGTAATGGTTATTTCCTCATAGCTGTCTTGAGTTTGTTGTTCTTGTCTCATCCTCCCCATTATTTTTTTCCTGAAGTATCTTAATGCTAATCCTAGACTAAAACATTCACCTGTAAGTATTTTCACCCATAGCTGGGTGTTTTTCTGGGTTTTCAGGCCTTCTTAAGCCAGAGTAATGTGGATAGGTCTTACAAACAAGTATCACTTCTGAATCTAGTTTACTGAGCTGTTTTTTTAAGTGGCTTTGTTGGGTGAATGCTCAGTGATGGACACCATAGTCTGGATCCCTCCTGTTAGGAGGGCGCCTGGGATTGGTATGATCGACAGGAAAACATATTGGCCTTTCCCAAAAGCGTGATGTTGCTGCTTGCTTTATAGGGATCAGTGTGAGTTCAGTAGAATAGGATCATCCCAGGAAGCAAACCTGAGGCCCGAGAGGTCTGGCTTTGTTTGCACATAACATGTCAGAAGCATCCACTGGCTGGGCATGGTGGCTCATCCCTGTATTCCCAGCCTTTTGGGAAGCCACGGTGAGTGGACTGCTTGAGCCCGGGAGTTTGAAACCAGCCTGAGCAACATAGAGACCCCCATCTCTACAAAACAAAAAAAAAACAGAAAACTAGCCCGGCATGGCACCATGGTGGTACCATGGGCTTGTAGTCCTAGCTACTTGGGAGGCTGATGTGGAAGAATCACTTGAGCCCGAGGTCAAGGCTGCAGTGAGCTGAGATCACGCTACTGCAACTATAGCCTAGGTGTTGGAGACTCAGCCTCAATAAAAAGCAGCAGTATTTATCACTACTTCTGGTTTAAGGGCTTAAATGCCTGTGTGCTCTTAAAAACAAAAAACTTACTTGAAATTCCAAATCAATAAATACTGGATTTGTCAAGCACTTAATCAGAGCAGGATTAGCAGAGGGAAGAGTGGAGGAGTTGGCCAATGTTCTTAAATAGGGCTTTTAAAGAGATACATTGTTTTAAGAAGCAATGGCTAACTCAAAGATAGGAGGTGGGAGTTTGTTAATGGGCAGCATAGCCATCTTCTTGGATTTTTTGTAAACCTTTCCTGTGGTGCTGAGTTCGTGGAACTTGTTACTTTGTGTACTGTACTGATGTGTTTAATGTCTGTATACAAAGCATGTAAGGACAGCATGTGCATGTGAAACTAGTCTGTAGGACATTCTCCTCAGACTTCTTTGTAATTTAAATGGCATCCCAATTTTCATTAGTGAAAACTGTAGGAGATGTGTACAGCTTTATTATGTGCTTCTAACCTAAGTTTAATATTTAAAAAATGCATTCATCTGGCCGGGTAAAGTGGCTCAGCTGCAGTCAGGAGTTCAAGACCACCAGCCTGGCCAACATGATGGAACCCCGTCTCTACTAAAAATTAGCCGGGCGTGGTGGTGGGCACCTGTAATCCCAGCTACTGGGGAGGCTGAGGTTGCAGCGAACCGAGACTGCACCATGGCACTCCAGCCTGGGTGACAAGAGCGAAACTCTGTCTCAAAAACAACAACAAAACCGTTCATCCACACATTCTTTTACATTCACTGAAACCTACAAACATCAGGTCTGCAATGACAACAGTAAAGCAGTCTATGTATAGTAGCAATTTTGTTTTGCTTTTTGAGACCGAGTTTCAGTCTTGTCCCCCAGGCTGGAGTGCAATGGCACAATCTCAGCTCACTACAACCTCCACCTCCCAGGTTCAAGTGATTCTCTTGCCTCATCCTGAGTAGCTGTGATTACAGGTGCGTGCCCTCACACCAGGCTCATTTTGTATTTTTAGTAGAGACAGGGTTGCACCATGTTGGCCAGACTGGTCTCGAACTCCTGGCCTCAGGTAACCCACCTGCCTTGGCCTCCCAAAGTGCGGGATTATAGGTGTGAGCCACCATGCCCAGCCAGTAATTTTTAAAATTATTTTTTGTTTGGGGTTTTTTGGAGACAGGGTCCCCCTGTCACCCAGGCTCAGACCAGTGTGATCATGGCTGACTGCAGCCTTGACTTCCCAGGCTCAGGCTGATCTTCCTGCCTCAGCCTACTGAATAGCTGGGACTACAGGTATGTGCCATTATGCCCAGCTAATTACAAAAATTTTTTTTGTAGAGATGTGGTCTCACTGTGTACCCAGGCTGGTCTCAAACTTGAGGTCAAGCAATCCTCCCACTTTTGGCTCCCAGAGTGCTGGGAGGCATGGGTCACCATGCCTGGCCTAAGATGGTTTTTTAATTTAAAAGTAGATTATGAAAAATTTGGAAGTTGCCCACAAGCCCTGTATCCAATCATAAATCTTAGTGTGTCTTCCACCCTTTCCCAGGCAGCTCTACCACGACCTTACCTACAGTGCACACACAATGGCTCTTTCAGTTGTCAAGCGAGCTTTGAGGTGTGCCTGGAGCTTTGATTTTGCTTGGTCTCCAGAGCTTGATGGGGCACAGGCAGGATCAGGTGACAGCCCCTCCTCTTCAGAGCTGGGCTGCTCCAGTCTGGCTAGTGATTGTTCCCACTCCTTAGACTGCAGTAGCGGCCTCACTAGGAATCTCCTCCTGACCCTGGATGGATTAGCAGGCAGCTGATGCCCCTTTGGAATAAGGATCTCTACTAAGGGTCTGTCAGCATCCTGTGCGTCACTTCTTCAGACTCTGTTCTTTGTAGTAGTTGCCTTTTTGAGTCTATTTGTTATGGCTGCCAAAAGACCTCCCAAGGCAGATGGCCTGAGATTCTCTGTAGTTTGGAAGTCGCTTGGCCCTTTTGCTGTGCAAACCTCTGACTGGTGTCTGTTCTGTACGCAGAGTGTATGTGCACCTGGTGGGTGGCTGAAAATGTGCTGGCAACTTTGTAATGTGTGCCTGAAAATTCTGAGTCTTAGTAAGTTTCTTTCCTGGTTCCTTGGATTTATGAACAAGTACAATGTAAACACCGTTCAAGGCTGAATCAAACTTCAGCTAAGAAAACTGGAAATGCTCAGAACTTCTGCAGCCCAGGGGCCACATTATTTTTGGCCCAGCGAGGCCCATAGCTCCCGGGGTGATGATGCTCAGCCCCATGGGCCCTAATTACCACAGCTCATCTTTTTTCTGCCACCTCTTGCACAAAAGTAAAGCTGTTAATTTCACATCTTTAAAATGTGGTCCCTTCCAATTTTTGTGGTCATGAAGCTTTAGACCACTGTTCTCAAACCTGATCTTCACAATTTTTGCTACCGTCTATGTCTTACTTACTTTTACTTAGCTTTATCCTAAGTCATGGCTCACCAAATTGAACATGCATCCCATCACCTGGATGGGTTGTTAAAAGGTTGCTGGGTCTCATTCCCAGAGTTTTTGATGAAGTAGTTTCTACTAAGCACTTAGGTGCTAAGTGATGTTGACGGTACTTTAAGAACCACTGTCCTAAGCAATATCACCCATGAATTCCTAGTGACTTTTTTCTAGTACAAAATATACAGCCATAAATGACTGCGGTTCCTCTGACAGCACTCCAAATCTTGTGAATCCTGGTGGGAACTGCTGCCTCAGGGGAAGTGCAGGGTGACTTTGGCCTGATGTGCCTCAGCTGGCTCTGGAGCACCTCTGGCCCATCCCGTGGCCAAATCCATCCTTTAGTTTCCTAAGCACTCAGTTCCTAAGCACAGTGGGGAGGGCCAGGTGTTCCCATGGCTGGGGTTTGGAAGGGCCAACCTGTGGCAGTTGGCTTAGGTTGCTGCTTCCTCCTGACTGGCCAGGATGCTGTGCAGGCACCACTTTAGAGACGTCTTCCCTGGTTCCCGCCTGAGATCGATAAACATGGCAGAGGAGGCTCTTTGTGTGGGGCTGCCTCCACCTGGACATCAAACCTGTGGCAGGGGTTGCCTGGCCTTTCCAGGACACCAAGACTTCCTCTGTCTTGGATGGGGAGGACCTGGCGAGTGCCAAGCTTCTCCTCCCCGTGCCCTGCTGGACCCACTTAAGAGGGACTCGGGATCTGTCTTCTCTGCTATTTGCTGCAGAAGCACAGGTTGCTGGGAGCAGCGATCCTTTTCCCCTCTGGATCCAAAAGCGTTGCCTCTAACTGCTTACAAGGCGTTATCTTTCCAGTCCAAGGTGAATAAACCTGTTCTCGTTTTGCTTCTCACTTCTCCAAGAGGTCTCCTTTTCCATGAGGTCTGAGAAAACAGTCTTGGGACTTACCTATTGTGGCTCTTTCTTGACATGAACACTGCGTCTATGTTGCCAGATTTTTATCTCACACCATCCCATGTGTAAGGGAAAAAACCCAGAAATCGGCACAACTTCATAGTTTGTCTCCCTTCCCCAACCACACAGTGAGCTGCTTTACCAGACACCTTCCTAGAATGGAGGGGCTGGAGGAACTGACCATCAGCCCACAGCAGTTCCTTATTATCAGGGGTTCTTAGCTCATTCAGAGAAACCAAAGGAAAATGCCTCTAAATTATTTTCAAAGGGTCCATGAAACTCCTTTGCCCTATCAAAGAGCAGTCCTACTAAGAATACCTCAGGGTAGACCCTAAGGATGAGCCCTGCCTTGCAGTCACAAAGCTCAGCCACCATGTTTCTCAGACAAGGAGTAAGAGCAAGGACCAAGCAGGAGGAGGTTTGCAGAGCAAATGCTTAGGGTTTACGAAATGGAATAAACGGTCATGTCCAGCAGGCTGGATACAGGATTGTGCCTAGGGATTGGTGCGGGGGATGCTCCTATGAATAGGGACCCAAGAATTGTCACAACCAAAAAACACCCATAGTGTATATTTTAAAAACTTATTAGCAAAATGCCTTGTGATCATGCCCTTATTAGCTGATTAGCTGTTTCTAACTTTTGCCAAACCATGGCATAAGTGGCTAAGCCAGAATGCTCTGGAAACCAGACTGCCAGGGTTTCAATCCCGGCTTTATCCAGCTGTGTGATTCGGTAAGTTTCTGTACTCAGGAATAAGAGTGTGAACCTGTTTGATTCTCAAAGACTGCATGAATAGTATTTAGGCACAGTTTTGGGGTGGGGGTCATTGAGGGGAAAGGAAAAGTAGAGTAGAAAAATGAACTACTTTAGAACAACAAGGCTAACAGGCAAAAGCAATGAATCAAGAAAAAAAAAATCATGTGGTATTCTAGGCTGAGCACACGTTTATCTCCCACAATGAGAATCCATTAATGACAGCAAAGAGGAGAGGGAGGTCAGCAGTAGGGAGTTTCTGACACAGCAAAGTGGATACACATGAATCCTGAAAGGTGACCTCGCAAAGTGGAAGCCAGGGCCCTGAACACCAGCAAGACAGGCCAGTGGGGATAGGAGCTCATCTGCCCCCTGGAACACTGGAATGGAGAGGCTCCAATGGGGAACCCTAGCAGCCTACCTCAAGAACTGTTGTGGCCCACAAGAGCCAGGGCTGTAAAAAGAAATCCAGGGGCAGAGTGGAAGGCACGCCATGTAATACCCAGGATGAAAAAGAAAGCTAATAAAAGTCCAGAAAAACCACCATGAGAAAGTCAGGATCCAAACAGAACACAAGCTAAAATGGGGAGTACCTTTGAGCAACTGATGAAATATGAGGAGCAAACTCCATTCCATTTGACCTTAACCTTACGAACATTCATTCTCTCTTGAGGGATGCAGAAGTCAAGACATGAGGAGAGGGAAATGTAATCTTTGCACACTGCTTGACACAGCATTAAGCCCAGTTCACACTGTCATAACAAGTGTTTATCAGCTTCACCTTTTAAAAGGGAACTACAGATAATGCACAGAAAACAACTGGAAATATCTCCTTCAACAATGTGAAAGTGAAAGCAGAACCCAGCAATTAGCAAGCCTGAGAGGCAGAGGGTAGGGACACATCTTCGTTGTCAACGCTGAGGATTCAAGAGACATTGACAAAGATGATTAAATATTTTTAAAAAACAAAATGCTATTACAGATGCTCCTCAACTTACGATGGGGTCACATCCTGATAAACTCACCATAAACTGAAAATATCATAAGTTAAAATGCATTTTAATACACTTAACCGACCCACCATCCTAGCTCAGTCTAGCCTACTTCAAACATGCTCAGAACGCTTACATTCACCTACAGCTGGGCAAAATCACCTAACACAAAACCAATTTAATAATGAAGAGTTGAGGCCATGTGTGGTAGCTCAAGCCAGTAATCCCAGCACTTTGTGAGACCCAGGTAGGCAGTTCACTTGAGGCCAGGAGTTCGAGACCAGCCTGGCCAACATGGTGAAACCCCCGTCTCTACTAAAAAATACAAAAAATTAGCTCGGCATGGTGGTGTGCACCTGTAGTCCCAGCTACTTGGGAGGCTGAGACAGGAGAATTGCTTGAACCTGGGAGATGGAGGTTGCAGTGAGCTGAGATCGTGCCAATGCACTACAGCCTGGGTAGGAGAGTTAGACTCCGTCTCAAATAAATAAATAAATAAATAAATAAATAAATAAATAAATAAATAAAGTAAATTGGAAAGCAGCTATGCTCACCACTATACCAACGTGGCCAACATGGTGAAACTGTCTCTACTAAAAATACAAAAATTAGCCAAGCATGGTGGAAGGTGCCTGTAATCCCAGCTACTCAGGAGGCTGAGGCAGGAGAATTGCTTGAAACCAGGAGGCAGAGGTTGCAGTGAGCTGAGATTGCACCACTGTACTCCAGCCTGGGCGGCAGAGCAAGACTCCCTCTCAACAACAACAAAGTTAAATTTAAAAAAAATGAATTCTACCACATGTATGTAATAGTTTGATTAAATGCCAATCTGATTATGCCTCAGAAGTAAGGAAAAGTACCATTTTTACTTATCAAAATGGCAACCAAATAATGCCCAGTGTAGGTAAAGGTGTGTTAAAGAAACTGACATGAACTTTGCACAAGAAAATTGGCTCTAATTCCACCTTCAGGAACTAAAAATTGATGCATAAAGATGTTCATCTCAAGAGTTGTCTACAAAATCAGAAAACCTCCAAGACATCCAGCAATGACTACAATTACATAATCTGGTAATGATATATCCTAATGATAAATCACATATATCCACTGAATGTTTACCAAGTAAATATGGTTTAAAAAAATTACAAAACTATATACAGAATGATCTCAAATGAACCAAAATGCTTAATGTAGGTAGGAATATGAATTATTTTTAATTTTTAAATATTTTTTCTTTATTTTCCAAGTTTCCCACAAAGAAAATACATTTAAAATAAAAAGTCGGTGGCCAGATGTGGTGGCTCACACCTGTACTCCCAGCACTTTGGGAGGCCGAGGCAGGTGGATCACTTGAGGTCAGGAGTTTGAGACCAGCCTGACAAAACATGGTGAAACCCTGTCTCTACTAAAAATACAAAAGTTAGCTGGGCGTGGTGGCGCGTGCCTGTAATTCCAGCTACTCGGGAGGCTGAGGCTGGGGAATCACTTGAAACCAGGAGGTGGAGGTTGCAGTGAGCCGAGATCACGCCTCTGCACTTCAGCCTGGGCTGAGCAAGACTCCATCTCAAAAAAATAAATACATAAAAATAATTTAAAAACTCAATTATTTAAAAATCAGCTTGTTAAAAGACATGATTGAATACCATGGAGAATGAATGCACCTAGCAGGAAGCTCTGATGAGAAACCTGGCAATACTTCCCTTCTGTAAAAACACCCTGGGGTACAGGTGGGGCCGCCCATGCCAGGACTCTTCTCCACAAAGCCTTCCCGCCTTCCAGGTATGCAGCACATTGGTAAGTGTGCTCAGTAACAAACGCTTCCTCCCACCCAAGCCCTCTGCTCCCCCAGCAGCTTTTCCTGATGTGTGCTTACTCTGCACAGGTTCTCTGCTTGAGTACTCTACATGCATCATCTCATTTTATTCTTACAACCACCTTGAAGGTAAATAATATGCTCATTTTTCAGAAGAGAAAAAAAAGGCATAGAGGTCAACTCATTTGCTCAAGGTCATAGTCAGTAGCAGTGCTGTAACTCAAACCCTGATCTTCATACCCACAGTGTGCATCACCACTGAGCTACAGTCAGTAAGGCTTGTGAAGAAAAAAGAAAAAAACCACTCCAGCAGTTTCTGTCCACCATGTCCTAAAATCTTTAAAGCCAGATATAAAAACTGTCTTGGACGATTGAATAAGCAACTTCAATAGAAGGCATTTAAAAAAATTATTTGATAATTAATGAACTGTGCTAAAGTAAGTAAATGTACTAGTCTTGCTGTTCAGTAACTATTTTAAAAGGCACACCATCTACTACTCAGCCTTTTGAACTGAAGAAGGAAAACGTTTCGAACTCGATCTGAGTTTAAGATGTTGAATCAAGCAGCCTCCAGAACGGTATCTGACTGACTGTTCACAAGCAGCTTCAGGAAGAGCAAAGCCAAATAAATACTTAAGGAGCTCATGTGAGTGAAAAACATACAGAAACCATCACTAGCAATTCCCTGTTGTCCCAGACTTTCCAAATAAATTGTGGCTTAAAAATGGCTTCAGTAATATTTCAGTATCTTTCTACCAACGACCACTTAAGCCAAAGTAATAACGTAAAATGTAGTATTCCCATTACTGTGTCAAAACCAACAACAACAACAACAACAACAACAACAACAACAACAACAAAAAGCCCTTAAATGACTAGATGGTACAAATAGACTTAAGAGAACTTGAAATTTCTCATGCAACATTACAGAAACAAGTGGCTGGGCACAGTGGCTCAAGCCTCTAATCCCAGCACTTTGGTAAGCCGAGGCAGGCGGATCACAAGGTCAGGAGTTTGAAACCAGCCTGGCCAACATGGTGAAACCCTGTCTCTACTAAAAATACAAAAAATAGCCAGGCATGGTGATGCATGCCTGTATCCCAGCTACTCAGGAGGCTGAGGCAGGAGAATCGCTTGAACCTGGGAGGCGGAGGTTGCAGTCAGCTGAGATTGTGCCACTGCACTCCAGCCTGGGCAAGAGTGAGACTCCGTCTCAAAAAAAAAAAAAAAAAAAAAAAAAAAAATTCAAAATAAGAAAAACCATTCGAGTCAAGTGCCTAAGATTAAAAAAGTTATCACCAGGCACAGTGGCTCACGCGTGTAATCCCAGCACTTTGGGAGGCCGAGGCAGGCAGATCATGAGGTCAGGAGTTCGAGACCAGCCTGACAAATATGGTGAAACCCCATCTCTAATAAAAATACAAAAATTAGCTGGGCGTGGTGGCGGACGCCTGTAATCCCAGCTACTCGAGAGGCTGAGGCAGGAGAATTGCTCAAACCCAGGAAGTGGAGGTTGCAGTGAACTGAGATTGTGCCACTGCACTCCAGCCTGGTCAACAGAACAAGACTCTTATCTTGGGGGTAAAAAAGAAAAAAAAAAGGGATATCGATAACTCCTGTGACAAATCACTTGAGCTGGGAAGACAAAAGTTCCAGTTTAACTACACTGAATGGACAATGAACAATTCCAGCATAAACTGTGCCTCACAAAATTTAGATATTCTGATTCTTCATTCCTCAGAAACGAATGCTGTACAATTCCATGGGCCAGGCCAAGGGAGGGAGCCAGTGCAACCAAGCTCACCAGGCATCCGGCCGGATCCACCACTGGACTGGACTTCACGGTTCTAAGGTGTCAGGGTTTGAAAAGTTCCAAGTAACCTCCACTCTCCAGGGAACAGCAGAGATGAAAGAGATCAAAACATCCACAGTCTCAAGTACTCTCGACCGCCATCCCATTAAGCGAGGCAGAGCATTTCTCCCAGAGGAGCCACCTACCCAAAACTCACACTGCCACCTAGGAACTGCTACAGAAAATTCTAGTAAATAAGCCCCAAATCTATATTAATGTCCCCTTCCCCCATATAAAAAAAAAGACTAAATAATCTGAGTTTACATGATTTAGAAATTAGGATTTTACAGAGTCCAGGAAAGGAAAAGGAAGAAATTTAAAGAAATTCTTCATTTTTATAAAAGCATGAGAGAGCACTGAAAACCTGCCCTTAAGATGTTCTTAGGTACATATTTTAGGATTTTTATTGCTGATTACAGATTTGAAACTATGAAATGTGCACTGCTTGGCAAGTAACACAAGTAATTCTTTACTTATTCACATTTCCAATAAAAGCGTAAATAAACAGACAAAAAATATAAAGGACAAGAGAAATACAAATAGCAACAGCTTCAAAACAAAAGGATTTAGTAACAGAAAGTCTCCACAGTGTCCGTCAAAATTTAAGATTATCCAAACCGTGCAAACGCTCAACACAAACCAACGCCATACACTGAACTATTAATACTTGTCCCTTGAAGTTGCAAACTAGAAGCCACCCACATAACTGTATGATCACACAAACCAACTAATTTGCTCAAGGTTCAGGTTAAAGCAACATTTAATATCCTTTACAAGATGGAATTCGTGACAAGTTCAAAAGGAGAACTTCCTTTGTTTTAATGCAGCTGTGCTCAGAAGCCTGTGATTTCCTAGGAAACCATCTGGGTTTAGCCCATTAGAAAAATGCAGTTTAAAGCAGTGTCACACTGGCTGCCTGAAGGTACCCTTGGAGATACTGGAGCGCTTCTGCATTCAGGCTGGTGCTCACCATTGATGGAACCTACAAGAGATGGGAAACACACACTGGCTGTTGGAGATCTTGGTGCGCCAATACAAACCCCATCTTCTACGGGAGAGCTGCCACAGCTCTGGGAAGAGCAGCCAGTCAAGTCATTAATCACCATCCAAAAATTCTCCAGAAACTCAACTGCTTTTATGCCTTCAAAAATAGGTCTAAAGAAAAGATCCATAAGGAATTACTATTATTAGGTGTGATAGTGGTATTGTGGTTAATTAAAAAGTCCTTACTGGTTAATGATGTAGAATAAGGTACTTACGCGTGAAACGTATGATGTCTAAGACTTGCTCAATACAGAGAATAAAAGGAGAAACGAAACAAAACTGGCAAGATATTGGTAATTATTGAAGCTGGGCACATGCAGGCTTCATTATGCTCTTTCTATATATGTTTGAAAGTCTCCGTAATAATACAATGAAAAAATATATATACATATATATACACACGCCACACACATATATGTTTTTTAAGAAACGGGACCTCGCTCTGTTGCCCAGGCTGGATTGCAGTGGCACTGTAATAGCTCACTGCAGCCCTGGCCTCCCAAAGCACTAGAACTACAGGCATAAACCACTGTGTCTGGCTTGAAAAATATATATTTTATCAGGTAACATGTAAGAACTCTATAATAAGTGCTGACAAAATGCAACTATACAGTCATTATTAGGTTTATGCCATGATCTATTAATTTCTGAGTATGCTGCAATTAAAAAAAAATAACTGTGTCCAGGCTCACACTTGTAATCCCAGCACTTTGGGAGGCTGAGGGAGGAGGATGGCTTGAGCCCAGGAGGTTGAGACCAACCTGAACAACATAGGGAGACCCTGTCTCCACAAAAAAATAAAAAATTAGCTGGGCATAGTGGGTCCTAGCTACTTGGAAGGCTGACAGGCAGTAGGATCACTTGAACCTGGGAGGTTGAGGCTGCAGTGAGCCATAATCGTACTACTGCATTCCAGCCTGGATAAGAGTGAGACCCTGTCTAAAAAAATAAATAAATAAAAATAAAAATAAAAAAATGCTACCACATTTTAATAATAGATGGATTACTTCGATCTGGGAAATAAACTCTTATTATAAAGTGCTGACAAAATGCAACTATACAGCCTTATTACATTTCTATTGAAGGGATTTTTCCTCCTTTGTTCTCACTCCTAAATCCATTCACTTAAAATATATTTGTAGTACATAATACAAGAAAAAAAGGGCTCAGTGTTTTTAATTAAAGAAAATAAGCTTGCTGTAACTCAATGAGATTTAGTTTTATTACGCCCACCAATGAAAACAGACACCAGAACTACTACTATCCTTTTGCCCTCCCATTAAAGTCTCCATTTATCACAGAGTTCTTTGACAACACACTTACCCTTCCTGGACAGGCGGTAGACAACTTGTGAAGTGACTGTGCCAGGTGAATTTTGGGGTTATTCACCATTTGACCTACAGGATCATGCTCTTTTTTCCCAGCAAATGCCAACTGTGAGAAGGCAGTCTGATATCCTGGTGTATCTTCTATGTCAATAAAATGTTCCTCATCAGGAATGGTATCATCTTCGGGTAACTCAAAAAGACCAATCAAAGACTGTAATAATGGAGTCCTGGATTGGAAGAAAGCAAGAGATAAAAAGGTCAAGAAAATACTCGGAAGACTTAAAACCAGCAATTGCTCAGAGACACAAAATTACAGACTCATAGTCTCAAGAATAAAAGGGGACCTTTGAAATTAAGATGGTTCTTTTCTTGGCTTATTCAGTTCTTCCCCTTAAAGATAAGTCAGTTTAGTTGGGCTTCTGTCATAAAATTGTCTTAGAGATCACCTAGATCAGACTCTTAAAGGGGTCCATGAATCCCCCTGAAAAAGAAGCAGGAAACAAGATCATTCTAAGCCCAGAAGGATCCAGAAATCATGTCTTGGATCTGATTGTGGAGAAGCTGAGATCAGACCAAGATTCTCTTGGCCCCCAAGAGAATAAGCTTTGTTAATTTTGCAGTCATATGGGAAGGAAGCTGTAACTTACAAAAATATTAAAATGAAGTACTTACCACAGTTTGGTATACTCAGTGTCCATCATTGGGGGACATTCTGTTAGTAATTTGGTTATGCCAACCGCACAGATCTTTTTCTCTACATTTCCAGATACCTTCTGAATTTCAGGAATAATAATTTTTTCCAAAACCATTCCAAACATTCTATTAAAGCAAAATAAATCAACTTAATATTAGATTATCACTATAATGAAATAGTAAAATGCTTAGATGTTAGTTACTTCTTATGAATATGATAAATTACTAAATAACAAGACTGCTGTTTTTGATCATCTGAAGAGACTGAAAGTCAAAACATAAAAAAACCCCATCACACCTCTACCCTGTAGCCAAATGCCATAATCTTTTTCTTTTCTTTTTTTTTTTGAGACGGAGTTTCGCTCTTGTTGCCCAGGCTGGAGTGGAACGGTGTGATCTCAGCTCACTACAACCTCCACCTCCTGGGTTCAAGCAATTTGCCTGCCTCAGCCCCCTGAGTAGGTGGGATTACAGGTGCCCACCACCACGCCCGGCAAATTTTTGTATTTTTAGTAGAGATGGGGTTTCATTGTGTTGGCCAGGCTGATCTCGAACTCCTGACCTCAGGTGATCCACCTGCCTCAGCCTCCCAAAGTGCTAGGATTACAGGCGTGAGCCACCATTCCTGGCCCTCTCTGCTTTTTTCTTTAAAAATTACACCTGGCCAGTCTCAAAAAAAAAAAAGAAAAAAAAAAAAAAAAGAGAGAGGAGCAAGGAGGGAAAAAAGGAATCATCCCACCACCCAGAAACAACTAGTTTTAACATTTTTGGGTTATAAGCTTCCCAACTGTCTTTGCTTACATACCTGCAGGTACATAAATGCTAATGGCTATTTAAAATAATTCGGCCAATCATTCTATGTTGTTGCAAACATGCTAGAAGTGAAGTTTTCCGTAATTCTAAATGATGCAAAATCCTCAGTTTATGCGTTAATAGAACCAATTCTTTGAAGTGGAAATATGGCTCAAAGGGTATGGCAATTCTAATGCTCTGGATAAAAAGTGCATACATTTTGCTCTCTAGAAAGATCAGGCTAATTCAGGCTCCCACTAGCAGTGCATGAGATTTCCTCAAAATCCCCTACTGCCGGAAGCCATGTTTTCTGGTCTCCTTTCCAGAGTAATTCATTTTTTAGTCAATGTAGAATTTTTGAGACATAACTGAGGTACAGGGATCTAACTGTCCCCGAAGAAATTTTCCCTAAGAGTTGTTCTTTATCTTATCGTTATAATTGTTTTATTCCCTACTAATGGGAAATGCCACCTAAATACATTCTTTGCATATATACCAGATAAGTCAAAAACAAAGTTAATTTATTGGTCCTAAGTATTTCTCATTTGAAAAATTCTGCTGTGTTTGCATTAGCAGCACATATACTAAAATTGGAACGATATGGATTAGCACGATTTTTTAAAAAAGGGGGAAGGAAAATTCTGGTTTTTTTTTTTAATTATACTTTAAGTTCTAGGGTACATGTGCACAACGTGCAGGTTTGTTACATATGTATACATGTGCCAAGTTGGTTTACTGCACCCATTAACTCGTCATTTACATTAGGTATTTCTGCTAATGCTATCCCTCCCTCTGCCCTCCCTTCCCCTGCCCCCCATCCCACGACAGGCCCCAGAGTGTGATGTTCCCCGCCCTGTGTCCAAGTGTTCTCATTGTTCAATTCCCACCTATGAGTGAGAACATGTGGTGTTTTCTGCTGTTAGTTTTAATAAGGCAGGCTCCTGGAGACAACACTGACCATTTAACATAATATAGAACACTGGCTGTGGAGAATGCCAGTGTGTAGAGTAGATGGTCCTCTAATCTAGAGGATTAGAACAATGATTCCAGGGTGTTTTTTCTTTTTTTGAGATGGAGTCTCACTATATTGCCCAGGCTGGTCTCAAACTCCTGAGCTAAATCCGCCCTCCTCAGCCTCTCAGAGTGTGGGATTACGGGCGTGAGCCACCATGCTGGGCCAGGATTACTTTTTCTTTACTCCCAATACCTAAGAATATTTTGAAAACCATAGACACTATCTCCATACCAAGAACCACATCATCATCTATAAGACAGAGATACTGATTTGTACTAAAAAAAAAGTCAAAACATTTTCTTCCTTTAAAAAATAATAAAAACAAACTTACTTTGGTTGTATACCATCAAATATTTCTTGTAGTGCTAGTGCCCCATATTTTATGCAATACAAATTAATAAAGACTAAAAAACCTGTTGAAAGAAGATGCAGAATATCAGCATAGAGAACTCACGCACTAAACTGGTAACTGATAAGTCTGCAAAATAAACCTATGCTTAATCATTAACATCCAAAGGCTGTGGCATCAATACCTGCCTTCTAGTAAATAGAAAACTTGTCTTTCTGTCATAGACCTTTACATGCTGTCTCTCTTTGATTTATATTTCCTTATAATATTCTCTCTACTGAAAAAATGTTTTGGTATCCAACCATAAACCAACCTCTGGAACACAATATGACTAACACTAACTTAATGTTTGGAGAACACAAACATCTTAAAATATTTTCTTTTTTCTTGTGAGAAGGTTTCACTCTATCACCTAGGCTGGGTGCAGGAGCGTGATCACAGCTCACGCAGCCTTAACTTCCCAGGGTCAAGTGATCCTCCCACCTCAGCCTCCTGAGTAGCTGGGGCTACAGGCACACACCACCATGCTTGGCTGTTTTGTAGAGACAGGGTCTTACCATGTTGCCCAGGCTGGTCGTTAACTCCTGGACTCAAGGAATACTCCCACTTTCACCTCCCAAAGTGCTGGGATTACAGATGAGAGCCACTGCACCAGGCCCTTACAATATTTTCTTTTTTTTTTTTGAGACAGGGTCTCACTCTGTCACCTAGGATGGAGTGCAGTGGGTGTAATCTTGGCTCACTGCAGCCTCAACCTCTGGGACTTAGGTGATGCTCCTACTTCAGCCTCCCAAGCAGCTGCGACTACAGGCACATGCCACCATGCCTGGCTAATTTTGTTGTACTTTTCGTAGGGACAGGGTTTCGCCATGTTGCCCAGGCTGGTCTTGAACTCCTGAGCTCAAGCGATCGGCCTCCCTTGGCCACCCAAAGTGCTGCGATTACAGGCATGAACCTCCACACGTGGCCAAGTATTTTTTGCATAAAGTTTAAAACGGATAAAAAATGTATCTGCAACCATAAAGTCTAAGGGTTTTAGCTACCTTCTTTCATTACTTCTGTAGAACATCCAGATGATTTTACTTACTCTTGATAAACTTGGTTGTTTTGGAATTCTGAAGTCTCTGGAATAGCAGAATGAAGATTTGTTTCCTATATTGGTCAACTGATTCACTAAAGAATTAAAAAAAATCAACAATATAAATTTAGGACTTTTCTGAGCACCTAACAAAATTTCTAAATAAATGCACAAAGTTCTAGTCATACTCACGGAGGCATGTGCTCTATTATACTGTTTAGAAGATAAAAACCTTGGTGGTCATTTGCTTTGGATGCAATCAGCTTCTGAAAGACACCTAGTAACCCAGGCTGTTAAGAAATGAGATCCAACAGAAAATGGTTAACAGGAATAATTATTCGAAAAGTTAAACATGATATATGTCTTAAAACAGAGTTCATACTGTAATAATCTATCCTTTTCTCTTTAATTATTTCTGAAACATATGGGGAACAATTCCTCCCGCGTAGCCATTAAAGTAATTTTTTTTTTCTTTGAGACGGAGTTTCACTCTTGTTGCCCAGGCTAGAGTGCAATGGGGCGATCTTGGCTCACTGCAACCTCTGCTTCCCAGGTTCAAGCGATTCTCCTGCCTCAGCCTTCTGAGTAGCTGGGATTACAGGCACGTGCCACCACACCCACCTAATTTTTATTTTTAGTAGAGACGGGGTTTCGCCATGTTGGCCAGGCTGGTCTTGAACTCCTGACCTCAGGTGATCTGCCCACCTCGGCCTCCCAAAGTGCTGAGATTACAGGTGTGAGCCACCACGCCCGACCAAAGTTAAGTTCTTAAAATCAACCTGTTTGGCTCTGTTTTTAAAATTTTCCATCATGGATATAAATAACTAAAGGATACAGAATTCTGATAAAACATACCATAACATTTTCTACTAATTATTTCCGTTATTATTATTATTATTTTTTTTAAGAGACAGGGTCTAGCTCTGTTGCCCAGGATGGAGTGCAATGGTGAGATCATGGCTCACTGCAGCCTTAAACTCCTGGGCTCAAGCGACCCTCTCACCTTAGCCTCCCAAGTAGATGGGACCACAGGCATGCTCCACTGTGTCCAACTAATTAAAAAGCTTTTTTTTCCTTTGTAGAGATAGATCTCACCACGTTGCCTAGGCTGGTCTTAAACTCCTCGGCTCAAGGGATCCTCCCACTAGAGGCTCCCAAAGTGGTGGGCTTGAGCCACTGCCCCCAGCCTTAAATTTATTTTAAATAAAAAAATTTCAAACATCTGCCATCCCCAGTTTCTCCAAGCTACTTTATAAAATTACAGTTATATCAAAACCTGACGCACAATTTTGTCAGCTGCAGCACTTGCTATTGTGTTTGAACCGCGTTCTAAGAATGCTTGAAGAAGCCTCACTAGAGCAGGAATATTTCCTGTTCTTTCCCAAAGCACTGGCTGAAGGAGATGAGGAAATAAGGCCATATAGGAAGACGGGATGTCATTTTTGTGTGTTTCCAGAAGCAAAGACATCACTTGAAAGACGTATGGAATAAATTCTGTTGATAAAAGTAAAAACAGAGCTGTGAGCTTCAGAAGGAATGACTGACACAAAAGGCCCACATCGCTTAGGTGGGCTGCATTTTATAGCCATGTTAATTTTATTCCATTACAAAGAAAATAATTTCCGTTAACTTACCTTGCACATCATTTTGTAAGATTTCAGTAAACACCAAAAACAAAGCCTCCTCAAAATTTACAACAGCAGCAGGGTTAGCTTTGCAAGTTATTCTTATGGATAAACATATTGCTTCAAACATGTAGTGATTAAAGTGAGGTTTGCTTGGGTTCTGAAATTAAAAAAAAAAAACCTAATTATGCTAATAATCCACACCTAACCTTTATAAAACACATTTAAAATAGAGGCCATCTTATTTTTTAAAAATCAAAATTAAGAAAAAAACACCAATTATACCCTAGTGCTTGTTCATTTGAATTTTTTTTTAAATGGCCCAAAGTCCACCATGAAAAAAATACTTCAGAGTTACAGAGTTGCTTATACAAACCTCAGATCCCAGAGCTGTAACTTGTCTTAAGCCCACGTGCCCTCGCAGAGAAGAAATACTAAGTCCTAGTAATGCCACTAGCCTTAACTTCTGTGGGCCTCAATGTCTATGTCTACTTACTGATAATCCCCCAAATGAGTAGTTTTTTATGTTCTTTTTAAGCAACAAAACCCCATTTTTCTTTAAACAAGTTCTTGGAAGGCTACTAGCATACAAATCTAACTCAATCAGAACATGAGATGGTAATACATATGGGAGGCGGAGACTTGGGTTCCCTCCCCGCTCCATCCCTCAAGGCCCTAAGTAGTCCAAAGACCCTTAGCCCTAACTCAGTTGAATAATAATCACTCTGTTCTCCAAAATCCCTCCAACACTTCCTATGAATTGATCTAATTCTCATAAGATCAAGAATAGCATCTAAAAAGGAATTCTGTCAGCCTTAAACGGATTTATTTTCTAAAATTTAGTGTTAATAAACATGAATCTAAGTATCTGTAAAATTTTGATCAGAGTGAACTTTCCTTTTGAGAAATAAGAGTAAGGAAGAAAAGACAACACAAAGGATTTTAATCATCATTTCATAGAAGTCCAGACAGCCTCTTTTATATCCATTTAGTGCAAAGCCTACTTAACTCCATTTAAGGTAATTTTGGATCATCTGCACTTTCTTTTTCTACAATAAACATGTTACTTTTGTAATGAGAATGAAAATGTATTCAAGCTTCTAGCACACACTTAAAGGTGACTGCTATTACGTCTCCAATCTAACAGCATGCCCACACTTTCAGAAAAGTCCATTAGTGGCTGGTCAGGAAGAATTCACAGACCTTCTCTAAAGCTTCACGTAATGCCAAAGAGTTCTGAGGCCCAAACAGTTTGGAGCAAATAAAAAAGGAACCCCACTTTCAAAATTGGCTCTATTACCTTACTAACAGCTAATAGCTTCTGTGTAAGCTGAGTGATGAGAGTAGGGATGTAGGGGATTATGGCTTCTTGTAGGAGAGAAAAACTTCTCATGATAGCTGTAAAATACAAAAACAGCAAAAACAAATAGAGTTTAGTTAAACTTCAGAATAAGAGAGCGACTGGGGGGAAAAAAGCGCACTAATTCATCAACTAAATTTTAAGATGCTTAGACAACCCCGAGATAGCTCTCTACATTTAAAAATAATCTAAATTTCCCTTCCTTTTAAAATTAGGACGGGTTGGCAACAAAATTTAGCTGGGAAATACTGAGTATTTCTAGAAGGCTCAAGGTTTAAAAAATAATTAAAGAGGTTGACTAAGAGGAAGAAACAGTGAGCTGACATGAATGGAGCAGGTGAGTCTGAGAGAGAACTGTTTGGGGTCTCTTTCTCTTAGAAATCAGTAGCAGAGGCCATGCTTGGTGGCTCACACCTGTAACCCCAGCACTTTGGGAGGCCGAGGCTGGCGGATCACTTGAGGCTAGAGTCTGAGACCAACCTGGCTAACATGGCAAAACCCATCTCCATTAAAAATAGCAAAATTAGCCAGGTATGTGGTGCACGTCTGTAGTCCCAGCTACTCGGGAGGCTGAGGCTTGAGAATCGCTTGAACCTGGGAAGTGGAGGTTGCAGTGAGCCAAGATCATGCCACTGCACTCCAGCCTGGGAGACAGAGCGAGACTCCCTCTCTCTCTCAAAAAAAAAAAAAAAAAAGAAAAAGAAAAAGAAACCAGCATCAGAAAATGTTTAGCCCTAGCCTAAAGGAAACATGATCACAAACTACAGGAAACTGAAGAGAAAACTGCCTATCCACCTCCCTCAAAAAAAGAGATTAGGAGCCTAAAAAAATTCTAAAAATACATGTAAAGCCACAGAGTCCAAATTGCAAAAATATTGCTCAAAAGACCATAAATGGGTTAAAAATAGGAAGCATGGGAGAAAAATAAATTTGTCAGCTAAAAATGTATAAAAGCTCTCTTTCCACAAATAACATTTCTAAAATAAATGTTTACTAAGCAGAGCCCCAAATACATGCCAAGCATAAAGGACAGAAAGCTATCTGCTCTTGCCTCCTGAACTCTGCACATCATGTTTCCTCCTCTACTGGAGTCAAAGACTCATCCACCCTTCAACAGATTGCTACCTATCCCTCACACCTAACGTTCGGTTAGGTCATATCTCAGCTTAGAGATCACTTCCTAGAGAAAATCCTTCCCTGACCTGGGTTAAAAGGGCTAGAGGATAAATTGGTGCTCCTCCACTAGGCTGGCGCAGAATTATTTCATTCACTCATACAACCGTACAGAGAAGGTATTACATACTGTGTATTCTTACATACCCTAAAAACACAGTAATGAAGATTACAGACTAGTTAGCCGCTCTCATAGAAATGGACATTAAGGCTGGGCGCAGTGGCTCACACCTGTAATCCCAGCACTTTGGGAGGCTGAGGCGGGTGGATCACCTGAGGTCGGGAGTTCAAGACCAGCCTGACCAACATGCAGAAACCCTGTCTCTACTAAAAATACAAAATTAGCTGGGCATGGTAGCACACGCCTGTAATCCTAGCTACTCGGGAGGCTGAGGCAGGCGAATCGCTTGAACCCAGGAGAGTGAGGCTGCAGTGAGCTGAGATTGTGCCATTGCACTCCAGCCTGGGCAACAAGAGTGAAACTCCATCTCAAAAAAAAAAAAAAAAAAAAAAAGGACATTAAACAACAATAATTACACAATTATACATCATTGTTGGGGGAAGGATAGTGTTGGAAACATACACCCAGATACACACATCCACTCTAGGATTTCTGATCCAGACTGAAAAGATCAGGGAGTTTCTCTGAAAAGTGCTTCCTACAACCCAATGTGCTAGGCTTTTGGGATGCAACAGTGAAAAACACTGAGACTATCTCTAAATTCAGAGCTGGCACCAGGACACTCAACTAATGTAGTGCCTGGTGGATGGATACACCAGCCTGTGGATGGATACAGCTGCCTGTGTCCTTGGCAGTACGTAAGAAGACACGATTTGTGCAGAGTCTACCACAGGCACCCACATTTCACCCCTACCTAGGTGAGCATGCAGTTAATAAACGTTGCATGATCTCTTCTTTGCCTTAAAGAAACTCAATCTAGGGAAGGAAAAAAGGGCTTTGCTACATTTTCTGTAATGAGAAGTTCCATATCAAATTAAGATTACTGTTGGCCAGGTGCAGTGGCCTCTAATCCCAGCACTTTGGGAGGCTGAGGCGGGCAGATATTTGAGGTCAGGAGTTTGAGACCAGCCTGGCCAATATGGCAAAACCCTGTCTCTACTAAAAATACAAAAATTAACCGGGCATGGTGGAGTGCACCTGTAATCCCAGTTACTCGGGAGGCTGAGGCAGGAGAATCGCTTGAACCCAGGAGGGAGAGGTGGCAGTGAGCTGAGATCAAGCCACTGCACTTCAGCCTGGGCAACAGAGCAAGGCTCCATCTCAAAAAAAAAAAAAAAAAAAAAAAAAAATTATTGTTAGTAGTAAACAAGATAATGTTTTTCATTTTGAAATATCTAAACTAACTTACTACTTGGTAAACATTATCTGGTTCATAGACTGTATAACCTGAAGTATAACTCAGAGTGCTCACCCTTACAATCTGAGATTGGATACCTGTAGTCTGCACACCAGGGAAACAGCCTACCTTTCATAATATATTCATTTTCTGAAGAGCCAGGAAGTGTGAGAGCTTTGAAAAGGTTTGTTAGCAGAATCTCAACAAACGGTGCGATTTCTGCAGCTGTAAAGCTATAGATGAAAAAACAGCTTTCAGTCACTACCAACTCTTGAGCTTGTCACTGCAGATTACCCTTGGCAACCACTATGTCACCCTTCTCAGCATAAAACTGAGCCATCTCCCACCACTGACAATTGATAGACAGTTTAGGAAAATAATTTTTTTACATGTGCTCATGTTAGGCTCCTAAGAAGGCACATCGAGAACCAAACACAACTGAACCAAAAAGCCAGCTAAACCCAACAACATCTGAAGTTGAAACAGTTGTCCCTGGTTTATATCTATTACCACTGAGAAAGAACTCAGAATCTCAGGGGACTCTGTCATTTATTTTGTTTTTGGAGGTGGAGCCAAGATTCAGAACTGTTTTCTGCATAAATTCTGGGCCTGAAGATAGGTACTGGCTTGACTCACCTCAAAGGATGTCCTTTCTACCCTTAATTGGCCACTGAGAGTATCTGTACTTCAAGTTCTTGATGAAGGAAAGAACCTAGAACTGTTTTCCATCTCTTACCCAAAGCTCATTTCAAGAAATAATACTGTTGAATAGTGGCCTGAAAGACATGCAGACCATCCATTCCTCTACATTTCATCCTGGTTCAGGCCAGAAGACCTATTTTCTTGGTCCCCAGTGAATTACTTTCATTCGGTTAGGTCATATCTCAGAAATAAGTGACCTTACGCAAATAGCCACATGAAAATAACTGTTACATGATTGTTGCTGAGAACACTACTACTACTATTGTACAGTATTCTCTGCTTTAACTTTTATCTCATAGACCCTGTGAAAATTTTAACTTCCCAAGTTTCCCTCTTTGCCCTGGCTGCTAAGAGACTCCAAATAAAATTTGGAGTTTCTTGGACTACTATATAGGATCCTTTGACACACATTTCTGTTTATTAACTTTATCTCAGTTACTTTCCTTGGCTCCAGTTTATTAAATTGTATTGTCATAATGCACCTATTTTAGTAAGCAGCCTCAAATGCTTTTAGAATGAAACAGAGTATAAAGGAATAGAAAGCAGACATTTGTTTTCCCACTAGTGAAATTATGAAAACATTCAGATATCTTTGACCAGCACAGTACAGCCCCTACCCCAGGCTAAAAAACTTTAGAATAAAATACTCACAGAGTGGCATTGTTAGGCCCTCGCATAGTAAAGAGCCGTTCAAGAGCATGAGCTGCGTAAGTATGAACAACAATACTTTCAGCTTGAAGATGATTAATCAAGAGAGGAATCGAGACTAAAAGATGTTCTTTTGGCACCTAAAAAACACAATAATATACATGCTCTAAATGCAATGATTCCATATTTGAGTAAAAGACAATTGGAAGAGAAGGACCTGTTGATTTAAAGAACAATTTGCTATTTTTAAGCTCTGTTATAATAGGAGATGCTGCTGCCCAGAAACCAAAACTTTCACTTGCACATAATGGTTCAATTTCCACTTTCTAAATTCTCCTTTTCAGAGCACAAAACTATGAGGATAACATCTTGCAGATAAATCAACATACCATAAAATAATAATATCACAGAGAAGGAGACTAAGATTTCACCAAACTTAAGAATCATCACTAGCAGATATTTCTTGAAAAAGTTATTTAACCTTTTTGTGTCTCATTTTTTGTTCTCTTCCCACCCCCAAAAAGCAACAAATACGAGAACAATCTTCATTAAAAACCTCTAAATTTGAAACATTCATTAGTCTAAACTAGAAAAGCCTCCTGGGTGTGGTGGTTCATTCCTGTCTATAATCCCAATACTTCAGGAAGCCAAGGTAGAACAATTGCTTAAGCCCAGGAGCTCAAGACCAGCCTGGGCAACATAGTGAGACCTCATCTCTATTAAGAAAAAATTAAATAAAAAATTAGCTGGGCATGGTAGTGAATTCCTGTAGTCCCAGCAACTTGAGAGGCTGAGGTAGCTGGATCGCTTTAGGCACTAAATGAATAACTCAAAAATGATGTTAGGCCGGGCGCAGTGGCGGCTCACGCCTGTAATCCCAGCACTTTGGGAGGCCGAGGTGGGTAGATCACGAGGTCATGAGATCAAGACCATCCTGGCTAACATGGTGAAACCTCTACTAAAAATACAAAAAATTAGCCAGACGTGGTGGCATGCGCCTGTAGTCCCAGCTACTCGGGAGGCTGAGGCAGAAGAATGGCTTCAACCCAGGAGGCGGAGGTTGCAGTGAGCTGAGACTGCACCACTGCACTCCAGCGTGGGCAACAGAGCAAGACTCCATCTCAGAAAAAAAAAAGAAAAAAGAAAAAAAAAAAGATGTTAAGGACAAACAGTCATGATGTAGGTGGGTACGGTGGAGCATGCCCGTAATCCCATCAACTAGGGAGGCTAAGGCAGGAGGATCGCTTGAGTCCAGAATTTCCTGGCTGAAGTAAGCTATGATCGCACCACTGCACTCCAGCCTGGGCAACAGAGCAAGACCTCATTCTCAAAATAAAACAGAAAAGGCCAGGCACGGTGGCTCATGCCTGTAATCCCAGCACTTTGGGAGGCCAAGGCGGGCGGATCACAACGTCAGGAGATCGAGACCATCCTGGCTAACACAGTGAAACCCCGTCTCTACTAAAAAATACAAAAAAAATTAGCCGGGCATGGTGGCGGTAGCCTGTAGTCCCAGCTATCGCGAGGCTGAGGCAGGAGAATGGCATGAACCCAGGAGGTGAAGCTTGCAGTGAGCCAAGATCGTGCCACTGCATGACTTGATTGTGTTACTGCACTGAGCGACAGAGCGAAGACTCCGTCTCAAAACAAACAAGTAACAAAAAACAGAAAAATGAAACCCATAGTATGATGTCATTTATACAAACAAAAATTTAAAACCTAGGCCAGGCGTGGTGAATCACGACTGTAATCCCAGCACTTTGGGAGGCCAAGGCGGGTGGATCACCTGAGGTCAGGAGTTCAAGACCAGCCTGGCCAAGATGGCAAAACCCTGTCTCTACCAAAAAATTGCTGGGCGTGGTGGTGGGCACCTGCAGTCCCAGCTACTTGGGAGGCTGAGGCAGGAGAATGGCTTGAACCTGGGTAACAGAGCAAGACTCCATCTAAAAAAAAATTAAAACCTACAGCATACTAAATAATTTCTGCAGAAACATAAACACATAGTGAAAGTATAAAAAAAGCATGGCTTGAACCTGGGCAACAGAGCAAGACTCCATCTAAAAAAAAAAAATTAAAACCTACATAATACTAAATAATTTTTGCAGAAACATAAATGCGTAGTGAAAGCGTAAGAAAAGCACTTCCATGGGTGTCAAATACACCGAATTCACTACAGTAATTACCTATAGAGAGAAAGGGACTGACTGGGCAGGGAGCACCTGGAATACCTCCATTGTATATGTATGTATACATAAATATGGCCTGGAGTTTTAAGATTTGTGAGGATTATTTCAGTAATCATCATATTGTTTTATTCCTGCTTGTGTGTTTAAAATATTTTGCAAGATGGCACCATTGTTACTGGGCAAAGACATCAAAGAAATAAGATGAGTGCAAGTTTTGATTTTTTTCTCAGTACAATTAAAGTGACCTAGGCATTCAGAATCAGAAGAAAAACTACACGTTCTCTAAAAATTAAGACCAATAATCAGATAGAAAAATGGGCAAAAGAAGATGAATTCACAGTTCACCGAAAAGAAATGAAAATGGACCCTTCAAGTGGAAAGATGCTTAACTGAACTCAAAATAAAACAAACGTAAATTAAAACTGCAATGAGATACCATTTAAGATTGGCAAAATTCCAACATACTCTAACTGGGGAAGCAGGTATTCTCTATAATTTTTCTCAATTGATTTTTTAAAAGTAATGCAATATGGCTGGGTGTGGTGGCACGTGCCTGGGTTCCAGCTACTCGGGAGGCTGAAAGTGGGAGGACTGCTTGAGCCCAGGAGTTCAAGGCTGCAGTGAGCTGTGGTCATGTCACTGCACTCCAGCCTGGGCGACAGAACGAGACCCTGTTTCAAAAAATAAAGAAATGGGCCGGGCGTGGTAGCTCACGCCTATAATCCCAGCACTTTCGGAGACCGAGGCAGGGGTGGATCACCTGAGGTCAGGAGTTTGAGACCAGTCTGGCCAACATGGTGAAACCCTGTCTCTTCTAACAAGACAAAAATTAGCTGGGTATGGTGGCAGGCACGTGTAATCCCAGCTACTCAGGAGGCTGAGGCAAGAGAATCACTTGAACCTGGGAGGTGGAGGCTGCAGTGAGCCGAGATCACACCACTGTACTCCAGCCTGGGCAACAGAGCAAAACTACCTCTCAAAAAAAAAAAAGAAGGAGAAAGAAAGAAACAATAAACTAAGTAAAAAGTATAAAAAATTAGCCAGGTGGTGTGGCACACACCTATAGTCTTGGCTACTCAGGGAGGCTTAGGCAAAAGGGTCACTTGAGCCTACAAGTTTAAGGCTGCATTGAGCTATGATTGTAGTAGTTCACTCTAGACTGGCCAACAGACTGTAAGACTTTGTCTCAAAAATAAATGAATAAGGCCGGGCGCGGTGGCTCATGCCTGTAATCCTAGCATTTTGGGAGGCCGAGGCAGGCGGATCGCCTGAGGTAGGGGGTTCGAGACCAGCCTGACCAACATGGAGAAACCCCGTCTCTACTAAAAATACAAAATTAGCCAGGCGTGGTGGTGGATGCTTGTAATCCCAGCTACTCAGGAGGCTGAGGCAAGAAAATCGCTTGAACTCGGGAGACGCATGTTGCGGTGAGCCGAGATCGTTCCATTGCCTGGGCAACGAGAGCGAAACTCCGTCTCCAAAAAAAAGAATAAAGTATATCTCAATTTTTAAAATGCTATTTAAAAAATGTTGACAATGTAACGTTCTCCTTCATCTGAATCCACTGATCTGTCTTAACATCATTAAAAATTGATAACCAGGGCCAGGCATGGTGCCTGACGCCTGTAGTCCCAGCTACTTGGGACGCTGAGGCAGGAGAATGGCGTGAACCCAGGAGGCTGAGCTTGCAGTGAGCAAAAAAAAAAAAACAAAAAAAATAAAAAAAAACAAAACAACCAGATATTGTGTATATCCTGATAAAATGAAACAGAAAGTATACCTATGATGCTTTCTTGTGTCACCCCCGACCAAGGAATCTAAGTCTAATCAAGCCCCCAGATTTACCAATATAGAAATATGGGGACTAGAGGGACAACATAAACTTCAGGAGACCCTTGAACAACACGGGTTTGAGTCTTGCTCTGTTGTCCAGGCTGGAGTGCAATGGCATGATCTTGGCTCACTGCAACCTTCGCCTCCTGGGTTCAAGTGATTCTCATGTCT
Organism: Homo sapiens; assembly: GCF_000001405.40. Taxonomy (NCBI): domain Eukaryota; kingdom Metazoa; phylum Chordata; class Mammalia; order Primates; family Hominidae; genus Homo; species Homo sapiens. Next base: position 49,079,975 of record NC_000020.11, on the reverse strand, counting down.
CAGCCTCCCGAGTAGATGGGATTATAGGCATGTGCCACCACACCCAGCTAGTATTTTTAGTAGAGATGGGGTTTCGTCATGTTGGCCAAGGTGGTCTTGAACTCCTGACCTCAAATGATCTGCCTGCCTCAGCCTCTCAAAGTGTTGGGATTACAGGCACAAGCCACCATGCCTGGCTGGATTTGTTTTAGACCAAATGCAAATAGAAAACACAGTATTCCTGGGATGTAAAATCTGTATGTGGAAGGCTGGCTTTTCATATATGAGGATTCCGCAGGCCCAAATGTGGGACCTAAGTATTCATCAATTTTGGGATATTCAGGCGTCCTGGAACCAATACCCCTTGAATACTGAGAGATTCAAGGTGCAATCAGCCAAAAGTAAAATGTGAGAAAGTCTCTAAGATAAATGAGTGTTTTCTCCAACAACAAGCATAAGAAAGGGTAGAGGCCAGGTGCAGTGGCTCACAGCTGTAATCCCAGCACTTTGGGAGGCCAAGGCTGGTGGATCACCTGAGGTCAGGAGTTTGAGACCAGCTTGGCCAACATGGGGAAACCCCATCACTACTAAAAATACAAAAAATCAGCCAGGCGTGGTGGCAGATGCCTGTAATCCCAGCTACTAGGGAGGCCGAGGCAGGAGAATCACTTGAACCCGGAAGGCAGAGGTTACAGTGATCTGAGATCAGGCCACTGCATTCCAGCCTGGGTGACAGAGTGAGATCCGTCTCAAAAAAATAAAAAAAAATTTTTTTTAAATAAATAAATAAAAGGAAAGGAAGGCAGTTGGGTGCAGTGGCTCACACCTGTAGTCCCAGCACTTTGGGAGGCCGAGGTGAACAGATCACCTGAGGTCAGGAGTTTGAGACCAGCCTGGTCAACATGGGGAAACCCCGGATCTACTGAAAATACAAAAAATTAGCTAGGTGTGGTGGCAGGTGCCTGTAATCCTAGCTATTTGGGAGGCTGAGACAGGAGAATCACGTGAACCCAGGAGGTAGAGGTTGCAGTGAGCCAAGATGGTGCCACTGCACTCCAGCTTGGGTGACAGAATGAGACTCCATCTCAAACAAAAAGTGGCAGAGAAGGACCTCTCTATTGTAAATTAAGAGACTTAAGACACAATCAACTGTAAGCAATGTGTGGACATTATCTAGATCCCAATTCTATTACTATTATTGCAAAAAGACATCTGAGGAAAATTAAGCATGGTCTAAAATTCTAAGTTATAAAGAAATCATTGTTAATTTTGTTAGATGTGGATATAAAATGACTGCACAGTAGATGAGAAGGTGGTACATAATAAAACTCTTAAAGAGATTAAGTGGCGTGTAACAAATAAAAAGCTACTTACTTGATTTCTAAAAATCATAATATATTTGATACCGTCAGCTTTAAGGACAGGAAATTCATTCACTATATAAAAAAACAGAAAGCCACAGTTACTTAAGTGGTAAGGATCATTACTTCCAAATTAGTGACATCATCAGAGTTATAAAAAAAGATAAAATGTCAAGTAATTAAAGCACAGTTAATTATATTATGATTTACTATTTAGTCATTAATTTTGGTAGGATTATAAATGATTTTATTTTTCCCCATGCCTGTTTCATGACTAAGGAACACATATTACATAATTGAGTAAAAATGAGCTGGACCATGCATCGGTGAGCATGTCTACCTACATTCCCAGAAGTGAAGCTATTCTGAATTAGAAACATGTCTCTCTAGCTGGAATTTGCTTTACATTATTCTAGTGGGTAGGGAAATAAATTAATGAAAGGAATAGATCACCAAATGTTAATAATTCTTGAAGCTAAATGATGGTCACATGGGAGCTCATTACAATATTCTCTTCACCTTTGGGTGTACATAAATTTCCTACATTAAAATATTTTTTTTAAAAAGGAATATATCTGGATCTAGATCAATACATTCATAAACATCAGAAACTATCCTTAATTTTTTTTTTTGAGACAGAGTCTCGCTCTGTATCCCAGGCTAGAGTGCAGTGGCACGATCTCGGCTCACTGCAACCCCTGCCTCCTGGATTCAAGCGATTCTCCTGCCTCAGCCTCCCAAATAGCTGGGATTACAGGCACACGCCACCACGCCCGGCTAGTTTTTGTATTCTTAGTAGAGACGGGGTTTCACCATTTTGACCAGGCTGGTCTCAATCTCTTGACCTCACGATCCTCCCGCCTCAGTCTCCCAAAGTGCTGGGATTACAGGTGTGAGCCACCGCACCCGGCCAAAAGATATCCTTAATATTTATCAATTTTCTAGTACTTTGAAATGTACTCCAATTTTTAAGAATTCGTCTTTCAAATAAAAAAGAAAAGGAAGCCAATGTATAATCCTTATTTATACACTAGGTAGCAAAGCTGAGTTACAGTTTAGTTGTATTTATTCCTATTTTCCTCCTAATCAAGCAATATTTTCTTTATCAATAATTAATTTCACATGGACAAGATCTGGGGAAACCATTTGAGATTTTATTCAATAAAAGAAATAATAGGCAGGGCATGGAGGCTCACGCCTGCAATCCCAGCACTTTGGCAGGCCGACGCAGGTGGATCACCTGAGGTCAGGAGTTTGAGACCAGCCTGGCCAACATGGGGAAACCCCGTCTCTACTAAAAATACAAAAATTAGCCGGGCATGGTGGTACGTGCCTGTAGTCCCAGCTGCTTGGGAAGCTGAGGCAGGAGAATCGCTTGAACCCAGGAGGCAGGAGTTGCAGTGAGCAGAGACTGTGCCACTGCACTCCAGCCTGGGTAACAGAGTAAGACACCATCTCAAAAGAAAAAAAAAAAAAAAAAAAGAACAAAAGGGAACAAGGATAGGAAGCTGTTTTTTGAATTCAGGTATAGTGTGGCAAGCTGTAAAAAAAGCAAGAATTTCACAACTCACCATTAGCTGATTTTAAATCAGGGAGGATGTGATTCACAAAGAACTCAGTTAGGTTTACAAGTTCATTTGCTTGTGTAATTCCATGCTGAAAAGCAAATTCATAACATAGTAAAATAACAAAATACCTGTATATATCTATCACATTAGAAATTCAGGCAATTTTAGAAAACCATGTTAAAATGGAGATGAACACTTCAAAATACAAATTGCTTATGTATAAAATGAGACTGTACTGGCTGTGTACAGGAGCTCACGGCTGTAATCCCAGCACTTTGGGAGGCCGAGGCGGGTAGATCACTTGAAGTCAGGAGTTCAAGACTAGCCTGGCCAACATGGCAAAACCCCGTCTCTACTAAAAACACAAAAAATTAGCCAGGTGTAGTTGCATGCACCTGTAATTCTAGCTACTCGGGAGGCTGAGGCATGAGAATTGCTTGAACCCGGGAGGCAGAGGTTGCAGTAATCTGAGATGTTGCCATTGCATTCCAGCCTGGATGACAGAGCAAGACAACGTCTCAAAAAAAAAAAAAAAAAAAAAAAAAAAGAGAGAGAGGGACACTTCAAAACATGAACTGCTTAGGCTAGGCATGGTGGCTCATGCTTGTAATCCCAGCACTTTGGGAGGCCAAGGCAGGTGGATCACCTGAGGTCAGGAGTTCAAGAACAGCCTGACCAACATGGAGAAACCCCATCTCTACTACAAATACAAAATTAGCCAGGGTGGTGGCGCATGCCTGTAATCCCAGCTACTCGGGAGGCTGAGGCAGGAGAATCACTTGAACCCGGCAAACGGAGGTTGCGGTGAGCCAAGATCGTGCCATTGCACTCCAGCCTGGGCAACAAGAGCGAAACTCCGTCTCAAAACAAAACAAAACAAAACAACAACAACAAAACACAACCTGCTTATGTATAAAATATAAAATAAGACTATACTGTCTAGGCACGGTGACTCACACCTGTATCCCAGCACTCTGGGAGGCTGAGGTGTGAGGATCACACGAGGTCAGGAATTTGAGACCATCCTGACCAATATGGTGAAACCTTGTCTCTACTAAAAATACAAAAATTAGCCAGGTGTGGTAGTGCACACTTGTAATCCCAGTTACTTGGGACGCTGAGGCAGGAGAGTCGCTCGAACTCGGGAGGTGGAGGTTGCAGTGAGCTGAGATCACGCCATTGCACTCCAGCCTGGTGACAAAGTGAGACTCCATCTCAAAAATATAAAAATGTAAAATAAGACTATACTAATAGACAATAAAGAAACTTTCCTCAATTAAAGAACAGCTAAGTTTAAGTTAAGCATATTTGATACAGCGGGTCTCAGCTAAGGTAACAAGTGTGGCCATCTATCAATTTTCTGGTCTATAAGAAACTTAAGTGCTCAATACATCAACATAAAGCCATCTTCAGAGATTATATAAATCTTAATCAGAATAGGTTATCTGGCAGAGTAAGCTCTATTATCAGAGACGTTATTTCTTTTTGACTTGTGTGGGTGTCACTGATGTCTGTTTTAGAAACAAAACCACATTAAAAATATTTACCTTCTGTGTTTGGGCTTTTGATGCCAAAGATGTCACTAGGTAGATGGCTGCATCTTTGTGTTTCCAGTTGACAGATGGATTTTTTGCGTATTCCTGCAGCATGGAATTAACATAACCAGAGAAGATTCCTGTCACAGGTCCCTCAAAAAACTTGCATAATCCTCGTACCAGATCACAAGCAGCCCTGCGTCTAGTATCAATATCTATGAAATGAAAAGAAAATATATTATGGGGAAAAAAAACAACCACCAACAAGCTGATCCAATTTATAAGAAAACAAATTGCCTGGAATAATTTGGCTACGATTGTAAAACGGAAAAAAAAGAACGAAAAACAAAGGGCCACCCAATAGCTATCAGCAACACAAACAATGAAAAAAACATTCCCGCCCCCAAGAAATACAAAATCAAAATGAAACTAAAGAGGTCACAGAATCACAGAATTTTGATAAATACTATGTAAGAACAGACAAATGATTCAACTTTTGATATTTTCATTCAGGTCATATAAGAGCTTTTTAAGACAAGTTGAAGAAAGACAACAGTTCTCAATGAAAGCCCGCTGAAAAAACACTCTTATTCTCAATCCCACTTCTCCCATTTACTAGAAAGAGAACCACCTTAAAACTGGCTTGCTAAGAGACTAGTAACTAAAAAACCAAGATACACACCAGATCCTTCCAAATCTCTCCTTATGTACTCCTCAGAATTATCTTCAAATGCTTCTTCATCAGCAGCTACAAGGAGAGATGATATTTCAGATAACACTCCAAAAGACGTCACTGTACTTTACAGCTGAGAATGCAGAAGAGTATGTAAAACTGCCTTGTTCTACAGCAAAGAATTCGTTCCCATCAGATGACTACTTCATATACTCTTAATCATTATCTAGAGCAGCAAATGCTACCCTGAAAGGTGAGGTATTAGGTAATTCACACAACTATGAGATAGGCTCACTTGTTCTAATGTGACAGTTTCCCCAGAATTGGATTATACCTGCAACTGTCAAAAATGTTAGGGATCAGTATCAGAATGCTAACTTTTAATTTCACCAAATAAGAACATTAAAATACCAACAACCTAATTTTAATCACTATTATTTCATTAAAGTCATTTCAACAACAAATAAGTAGAGTGGACAATGTCAGAAATGGCCGGCATGGTGGCTCACGCGTGTAACCTAGCACTTTGGGAGGCTGAAATGGGAGGATCGCTTGAGCCCAGGAGTTTGAGACCAGCCTGGTCAACACAGCGAGATCTCATCTCTATTTTTATCATATAAATTAAAAAAAAAAAAAAGTCTACACACACACACACACACACACACACACACACACACACACACTGCAGTTGTATGATCATGTCTCACTGCAGCCTCCACCTCCTGAGCTCAAGCAAAACTCCCACCTAAGCTGCTTGAGTACCTGGGACCACAGGCCCATGCCACCATACCCAACTAATTTATTTATTGTAGAGATAAGGTTTTGCCATTTTGGCCAGGCTGGTCTTTAACTCCTGGGCTCAAGTGTTCCTCCCACCTCAGCCTCCCAAAGTGTTGGGATTAAAGGTATGGGCCACCACACCCAGCCAGAAGATTTATCCTTTAAACATATTTTTATGAAAACACAACAGGAAATAAAATCTCACGCTATATTGTCCTTAATTTCCTTATTTTGTTCCAGATGTAATTTGAAAACCACTGATCTAATAACTATTTTGATATAAAACAAAATCTTGGCCTGGCATGGTGGCTCATGCCTGTAATCCCAGCACTTTGAGAGGCTGAGGCAGAAGGATTGTTTGAAGCTAGGAGTTTGAGACCAGCCTGTGCAACATAGGAAGACCCCCATCTTTATAAAAAATAAAAAACTAGCTGAGCATGGTGGTGCACGTCTGTAGTCCCAGCTACTCAGGAGGCCAGGGTGGGACAATGACTTGAGCCTGGGAAGTTGAGGTTGCAGTAAGCCATAACTGTGCTACTGCACTCCAGCCTGGGTGACACAGTGAGACCCTGTCCCCAAAACAAAAAACACAATCCCTCCCACCTTCATTACTTGTTCTTCACAACTGTTAGAACAAGGACATACATTTTATAAATATAGGCTCTTAGCACTATAGTTTAACCTTAAGCACAAACTAAGTGGGCTTCAACCTTGTATTTATAAAGTTATCATTTCTATTCTCAAGTCGATTGTTTAAAAACAGCTATTTCTGGGCGAGGTGGCTCAGAAATGCAATCCCAGCACTTTGGGAGGCTAAAGCGGGTGGACTGCTTGAGCTCAAGAGTTTGAGACTACCCTGAACAACATGGTGAAACCCTGTCTCTACCAAAAATACAAGAAATTAGCCAGGCATGGTGATGTGTGCCTGTGGTCCCAGCTACTCAGAAGACTGAGGTAGGAGGATCACTTGAGCCTGGGAGGCTAAGGTTGCAGTGAGCCAAGATTGCATCACTGCACTCCAGCCTGGGTGACAGAGCGAGACCCCTGTCTCAAATAAATATATAAATAAATAAAGCCAGCTAAAAATTCATTGAAATAATAAATGAAACAAAATCAAATTCTTTCTCTAAATAGAAATTCCAGATAGTTTATCTTCTTAGTGTAAAGGAATTTTTGAAGTCTTATTTAATATTTCCATGAGAAAACCCTCACAGGGCACAACAAAACTCATTACAGATACTACATTTTCTGTCTTGGTTTAGAAAATAAGAAATAAATGACATACAAGTTTTATCCAGTAATAAATGAATTAGACTGAATATGTTACAAAAAACAAACACAGACTTAGTAGATTTATACTAATATACTTTTGCCATAATTACCTCTAAATTCCATGTTAGGCACAATAACCTTTTCACAGATACTTGTCAGCGTGTTCTGGTCCTCAAATAGATTCTTATAATGAGGTCTCTCACAAACTGAAGCCAGAAATTGAATTGCATTACTTACCAACTGGAACAAAACACAAAAACAAGAATATTTTTAAAAGCAAAACTCAACAGCTTATTTCTTGGAGGAGATAGGGAGAGAATGTCTTTTAATTATTTGTCTCCACCATCATCTTACCAAATCATATTTAACCTCTTGACCCGTTGTAACTAGTAAATTCCAGATGGCTGTAACAAAACGAGGCAGGTATCGCTGGAATTCTTCATCGTACTTTTGTGCATAGAGTGCGGCATTATCACAAATCTGGGATTTTAAGAGCTCCAATAAGCCGGCTTCCTCTTCATCCTCACATAAAAGAAAACAAAAACTCCAACATACAACTCTAATGCTAACATAAGTAAGAGGAGTAACTGAAATTCCTGAACTAGACTCTTTATCAATTAAATCCAAATCAAATCAGTTATTGTAAACTACAGCTATGCCACCACCAATCTTTTCACCAAGTCTTTCAAATAAGTTGCTGAATTACAAAATATTTCCGTATTAGATTCAAACAGTATATTCTGGCTGAGTGTAGTGGCTCACGCCGGTAATCCCAACCCTCTGGGAGGCTGAGGCTGGAGGATGGCCTGAGGCCAGGAGTGGTTTTTTTTTTTTTTTTTTGAGACGCAGTCTCCCTCTGTTGCCCAGGCTGGAGTGCAGTGGCGCGATCTCAGCTCACTGCAAGCTCCGCCTCCTGGGTTCACGTCATTCTCCTGCCTCAGCCTCCCAAGTAGCTGGGACTACAGGCACCCGCCATCACGCCCGGCTAATTTTTGTATTTTTTTTTTTTAGTAGAGACGGGGTTTCACCGTGTTAGCCAGGATGGCCTCGGCCTCCCAAAGTGCTGGGATTATAGGCGTGGGCCACTGCGACGGGCCAAGCCCAGGAGTTTTGAGTCTAGCCTGGGCAACACAGCAAGCCCCCAAAATAAAAAAAATCAGCTGGGCATGGTGGTGCATACCCATAGTCCCTGCTACTTGGGAGGCTGAGGTGGGAGGATCACTTGAGCCCAGGGAGGTCGAAGCTGCAGTAAGTCATGATCATGCCACTGCACTCCAGCCTTGGTGACAGAGTGAGACAAGGGAAGACATCAGAGTAAGAACAAAAACCAAAGCCAAAACCAAAACTCCCTCACACTGATTACTTAAGGCATAAATAGTAGCACAAGGTAGCACATGGTTAACTGGGCAAAAAGGTCCTTGTAAGAATTCTATCCAAAAAATTTCCTTGTGACTTTTGTGTGAAGAAAAGTTTTGTTTTCTGAAGGAGTGTTTTTCCCTCCCATTGGACTGAAATAATTATTTTATGAGAGCTACATCTTTTAAAGTTCCTATTAATATAGTCAAACTCTGAGACAAAATCTGTTGTACAACGATAGTAACAATTTCTTTCTGTACCCCACTCTTAAAACCTGATTTGAATCACCAATTCTAATTTTTAGTTTATTTGGTATTGAAATATTTTTAATATTTTGTCTTTTGTCTCTTCGGAAAGAAGGTCATAAATATATTAACAAATGAGTAGCACAGAATAAGTGTTATATGTTTAAAAGTACACAATATAAAACCCATATCAGAAATATTTACAAATTACAATCTTTTACCATTTTCTCTCTTTCTCGAGCTGTGGATAATTTTTTCTTTTTCTGAGACGAGGTCTCCCTCTGTCTCCCAGGCTGGAGTGCAGTGGCATGGTCACAGCTCATTGCAGCCTTGCCCTCCTGGGCTCAAGGTCAAGGGATCCTCACAACTAAGCCTTCTGAGTAGCTGTGACCATTAGCATGAGCCAACACATCTGGCTAATTTTATTTTTATTTTTTGTAGTGATGGGGGTCTCCTTACATTGCCAAGGCTGGTCTTGAACTCCTGGGCTCAAGGGATCCTCCCCACCTTGGCCGCCCAAAGTGCTGGGATTACAGGTGTGAACCACCATGCCTAGCCAGATGATTTTTAAAAAGGGGCTACCATTATAGAGTTTTAAGTTTTCTTAGTATCTTCAATGAAAAATAATTTTATTTCATGAAATATCCATAATGTCACTACTTTAAAGACCTACTTTCAATAATGTAATGAAACAGCCTTATATGTACACTATGGCTTAAGCCAAGCCCATGATAAGAGTAATTCTGTATACTACACACACCAAACATGTAACATCAAATAGAATCAAATATTATTACAGTATTGAAATTTTATCTTTTAACAATGCAAGAGTAAATAGGTTTCCAGACTGTAGCCAAATAACTCTTAATGAAAGAAAAAGACCACTCAGGCAACATTTTAAATACTTACATCAGTTTGTAAAAGCTTATTATCCAATGTTAAGAGAGTATGAAAATTATTCATCCAAGTTTCCATATTATCTTCAAAAAATTCAGGGAGATCCTACAGAATAAACACTGACTTGAAACTTTTGATTAAAATATTAAGAACACCACTTTTATAAGTTCCCTTACCACGTGGACAAAACATTTTATACACAGGCTTCACAGCCTGAGCATTACCTATTCTGACAAGAATTCTCTGCTCCAGCTACATCTGGCAGCTGCATAAAGCATTCTGACTTCTGCCTCTGTTTGTATGCTATAAATGATGCCACCTCTAGTTCTCATCCTAATCTAAATCTTCCTTCAAGGTTCAGCTAAGACTATATGAAGACTTTCCTTACAAAGCTCAAGCTCAGTGCATACTAATACATCCCCTTTCTTTTCTGAACTACGTTTATTGTAAGATGACCACCAAGGCAGATAAACTAATTGTCTTTTAGTTACTGATTTCTTGTGGCATAGTACTGCCTTCTTAATGAGGGTACAAGTCCCCTGAGGGTAGATTATGCCTCTTTCCTTGGTCTCCCTGCCAGACAAGTTCTCAAGAGCTTCATTAAACCTGACTTCTCAGAATTCAAAAGGTGTAAGCAAAAATAGTAGTACTCATTTAAGTAAGAACTTCTCAAACTGCTATCCAGCTGAACACTGATGTGGGACATGTCCTTTTGGGCTGTTCATCTCCTATTCTAGCTAAAACAACCCAATTTCCTTTTGGGGAATGCTTTCCCTACCACTATGAGTTTATTCATGTTGTGAAGGTAAGTCCAGGTACTGGCTACAAACAATGAATGGGCTAGGCCCTCCTTGCATCGCAGTATAGCAACAGTTTGTACCAATTAACACCCCTTTCTTGGTCCTGAATCTTGAATTAATGATTAAGAACAGAAAGAATGATTGGAGGCCACTATCTCAGTAGCAACAGGGTAACTAGGCATTCCCTGCTATAGCCCTGTGGCTATGTTTCCTCTGAAATACTACTAGTTCCTACCCCTTTCAAAGTCTGGTACTTCAAGTCTTTTGTCTCCCTCATATGGCTTCCAATAAAAGTCATTTTGTATAAGCTGGACAGCAACCCCTAACCAAAACATGATTCCCCAAATGTTAATACCCATATAAATGAACGAAAGAGGAAGGCCTCAGAAATCTAGCTTCTTAATGCCACCAGTAAAACAGTGTACAGGGTGACTCTCCAAGAGTGAGTTAGGATGTGGGGTTTTGCTAACCTACTAGATATAAGAGAATACTGCTTTTTTCCATGAAACATCTCATTAGCATCTGAAAGAACTACTGTAGAACAGAACACTATAGATAAATAGAGTCAGAAAAAACCTTTTCTTTCAGAAAAATCAATGCTGGCAAAGAAGTCTTTATCAAACAGAAAGAAAACTCTATTTAAAATCAAAGAGTAAGAACCAAAAGCAAGAAATCAAATGAACTTACCTGAAAGTTTAAACTATAGAACAATTTTGAGATCAGGATCAGGGAAGAAAACAGAATCCTCAGGGCAGAGGCATCATTTGCATGGGTACTGCAGAGTTCAATAGTGGCCTTGGAAAGGAATTTAGCAACATGGTTTTAGTGCATCATAAACCCAGCATGCTGATCTTAGTGAAACAGCCTTGCACTAAGCTGAGACTATTCATATTTTACTTATTTATTTTTTTGAGACGGAGTCTTGCTCTGTCGTCCAGGCTGGAGCGCAGTGGCACAATCTCGGCTCGCTGCAAGCTCCACCTCCTGGGTTCACACCATTCTCCTGCCTCAGCCTCCCAAGTAGCTGGGACTATAGGTGCCTGCCACCACGCCCGGCTAATTTTGTTTTTGTTTTTTGTATTTTTAGTAGAGACGGGGTTTCACCACGTTAGCCATGGTGGTCTCGATCTCCTGACCTCGTGATCCGCCCGCCTCGGCCTCTCAAAGTGCTGGGATTACAGGCGTGAGCCACCATGCCCAGCCTTGGCTTTTAAATAATACAGTCACTTAAGAGATTGTGGAAAATAGGTTAAAGTATGTATTTTTGAACTGTTCATAATGGCACTAAAAAGTCCAGTGTTAATATTCTGAACTACGTCTTCCCAATCTGTGCATATATAAAAATATATTACACAAAACTATCTTTATATGCTCTTATTAAACAATTCATCTGCCACTTGGTATTTAGGTTGTTTCCAATTCTTTATTATTCTAAATGCGATTAACAGGTTTTACTGGCCAGGCCCAGTGGCACAGGCTGTAATCCCAGTGTACTCGGAGAATTGCTTGAACCCGGGAGGCGGAGGTTGCAGTGAGCAAGAGCGAAACTCCATCTCAAAAAAAAAAAAAAAAAAAAAAAAAGAGAGAGGGAAAAAAAAAGAGAAAAAGCAGCCAGGCATGGTAGTGTGCACCTGTAGTCCCAGCTACTTGGAATGCTGAGGTGGGAGAATCACCTGAGCTTGGGTAGTTGAGGCTGCAGTGAGCTATAATCATGCCCCACTGCACTCCAGCCTGGGCAATGAGAGTGAGACCCTGTCTTTAAAAAAGAAAAAAGAAAAAAAGTATATATATATTTCTTTAAATCTTATAGGATTTTCACAAACACCAAGAACACATTCAGGAAAGTATCCTGTAAACTGTAAAATAATGTATAAATATATAATTAATTAAACTCCAAACATAGTCAAATAAAAATATGTATTTCTTCCTTTAGAGACACATACTTTAAAATACTTGGGTGAAATGATATGATGCTTGGGATTTGCTTTTATAACATTCCTAAGAAAGGGAACAGAGAAAATAAAACGTTGCTAACCATTAAATTTGTGTAATAATAGATGGGAGTTCACTATAGCATCTCTATTTCTGTGTAGGTTTGAAATTTTTCAAAAGAAATGCTCTAAACATTATCTATCAAATAAGCTTTCAAAGCATTCTCTTAACATGTATACAAACATTCAAGCAATTTAAAATATTAATTTAAAAATATCACCAAGATGCATTCCATACCTTAAAAAGATTAGTCAAAGGCAAAGCAAAGGCATCCAGAACAAGCTTAATTTCAGTCCATAACTCGTTTGACTTAAATTCATGACGGTATCTAGAAAATTAAGGTAAAACAGATAAATTTACAAGTTTTTTTTATTTACTCACTTTAGGTCTTCAAGGAGAGATGCTGATTGGACATCTATGAATAGATGGGTTTCCGAAATTCCGAAATTCAAAGGGAATTCTTTTTTTTTTTTTTTTTTTTTTTTTGAGACGGAGTCTCGCTCTGTCGCCCAGGCTGGAGTGCAGTGGTTTGATCTCGGCTCACTGCAGCCTCCACCTCCCAGGCTCAAGTGATTCTCCTGTCTCAGCCTCCTGAGTAGCTGGGATGACAGGCACATACCACCATGCCTGGCTAGTTTTTTTTGTATTTTTAGTAGAGACGGGGTTTTACCATGTTGGCCAGGCTGGTCTCAAACTCCTGACCTCAGGTGATCCGCCCACTTTGCCCTCCTAAAGTGCTAGGATTATAGGTGTGAGCCATCATGCCCAGCCAGTTTTCTTTTTAAAGGGATCAAGCAGTTTATCAAGACTAAGTATTTCACAGGTAATAGAGCAATATGAAATAAACATCCTAGTTGAGAAGAAACAAACGCAATACAGAAACTTCTGCTCTCATTCCAAGATGATCAGATTCAAAGGAATGACAACAGTCACAAAAACACAACTGTTTACACAAGCAAATAAAACTTTAGAAAGTATTTTAAAAACATGAATCTATGCATCAATACCTTTTAAATAATGAATGTGCTGTACGGAGGACTCCATTAATAACATGGAAATCTCCACTCTGAAAGCGATTCACCATTTCTGTCAGCAAGTCAGGCCATTTCTGTGGAAAATCTTCTCTGCCAATAATGCTAATTGCATCACTTAACTAGGAGAGGAAAAGATTAATTAGATCAGAGCTTTACAGAGGAGCCCATCTAAAAAGTGGAGCGACATTACCTGCTTCTGAATTTGCTCTGGGCTGCTAAGCATCAAGTGCACTATGTTGGCTTTAATGGCCACTCGATCGGCTTCACAAATTTTGTTTGGTTCATCTTCAACCTAAAAGCAAAGCAGTAACTGAGGAAGTAACACAAAATCCACATTCATGTCCACATGATTTTAGGTAAAACATAACTGTTTTTTTATTTACTAATTTTCTAAGAAAACAAATAGAGGAAGGTTTGGTCTTTCTTCAGTTTCCCTCTACATGAATGGGTCACAGATTCCTTCAATAATCTGATGACAGCGTGAATCCTTTTCCCAGAAAAACGTACATTGCCTCCCAAATGCAAATATTTTACATACAAATTAGTGAACTTCCCTTACTCCTTGATGCCAATTAAGAATTTCCATTTTAGACTGGGCGCAGTGGCTCACGCCTATAATCCCAGCACTTTGAGAGGCCAAGGCAGGTGGATCACCTGAGGTCAGGAGTTTGAGACCAGCCTGGCCAACATGGTGAAACCATGTCTCTACTAAACATACAAAAATTAGCCGGACATGGTGGCAGGCACCTATAATCCCAGTTACTCGGGAGGCTGAAGCAGGAGAATTGCTTGAACCCAGGAGGTGGAGGTTGCAGGGAGCCGAGATGGTGCCGCTGCACTCCAGCCTGGGCAACAAGAGTGACTCTGTCTCAAAAAAAAAAAAAAAAAAAAAAAAAATTTCCATTTTAGGCCAGGTGCGATGGCTCACTCAAGGTCAGGAGTTTGAGACCAGCCTGGCCAACATGGTGAAACCATTTCTACTAAAAATACAAAATTAGCTGAACATGGTGGTGGGCACCTGTAACACTAACTACTCAGGAGGCTGAGGCAGGACAATCATTTGGACCTGAGAGGCAGAGGCTGCAATGAGCCAAGATCGCACCATTGCATTCCAGCCTGGGCAACAGAGCAAGACTCCCTCTCAAAAAAAAAAAAAAAAAAAAAAAAAAATTTTTTTTTCATTTCATATGTAAACTAATCAGGACACATAATTAAAATCTTTACAGATATATGCTACTTAATCCATACACATCCTCAAAAGCTTCAATTTAACTCTCACTTTAGAACAAAAATCTTTCCAATTTTTTTTATTCTTTTTTTTTTTTTGAGACTGGGTTTCCATCTGTCACCCAGGCTGGAGGGTAGCACAAAACCTTGGCTCACTGCAGCCTTCACCTCCCAGACTCAAGACAATCCCTCCCACTGCAGCCTCCCAAGGACCACAGATGCACACCACACACGACCACACCTGGCTAATTTTAAATTTTTTTGTAGAGAAGAGGGGTCTCACTTTGTTGTCCAGGCTGGTCTCCAACTCCTGGCCTCAAGCAATCCTCCCATCTGAGCCTCCTAAAGTGCTGGGATTACAGGTGTGAGCCACCATACCCAGCCCTCTGTGAAAATTTCTTGACCATTACTAGTTAGAATGCATCCTAGATTATATCACCCAAAGAGATTCTGTTAAGTCTCACTAGTTTTACAAATCAAAATAGAGGGAGAGGGCTGGCATGTCTACCAGTAGAGATGGACTTTTAAACATTCTGAGATTTAAAAGACAGTGTCTGGCACTGTTGCCCAAGCTGAAGTGCAGTGGCACCATCTCAGTTCATTGCAACCTCTGCCTCCCAGGCACAAGTGATCCCCTCATCTCAGCCTCCCTAATGGCTGGGACTACAGGCCGTGCACCACCATATGCCTCGCTAATTTTTGTATTTTTTGGAAAGATGGGATCTCACTTTATTGCCCAAGCTGGTCTTGAATTGCTGAGCTCAAGCAATCCACCCACCTCAGCCTCCCAAAGTGCTGAAATTACAGGCATGGGCCACCAAGCCCGGCCTCTAAGATTTCTTTACCACTCATGGTGATACTTGAGAAATCATACAGGCTTAAAACAATATTTACTCTCTCTTTTATGGAATGAGAAAAAAAGTAAGACTCTAAGATGTTTTTGAGCAGTTTAAAGTTGACTTTTTAGATAAACTGATGATTTTTGTCAACTGCTAATACTTTGTAACATCATAACTGCTATCACTATAGAAAAGCCTCATCTTTTTCTCTATCATGAGCCAGGCTTTCTCAATCTGACATTTTGGCTCAGATAATTCTTTGTTGTGGAAAGCTATCTTGTGCATTGTAGGATGCTTAGCAGCATCTCTGGCCTCTACCCACTAGATTCCAGTAGCAATCCTCCAGCTATGATGTCTCCAAATATACTGCCAAATGTCCCCTGGTGAGCCAAACTGCCCCCAGTTGAGAATCACTGTCCTAAGCTAAGGAAAAAAAATGCCTGTTTCTTAATTTATAATTTACTAATCATTAAACCTGTTATAAAATAGGTTTAATCTCAAAATTAGTATATATATACATATCCCACAAGACATAGGGCAAAATACCTTATCAAAAAGTTGAAATCTAAATTATTTTGCATTCTGCAAATGTTTTATGTATCTGATTTCTTCTCAGCTTTATTTTTCCAACATCAGAAATCACTTCATTTATTCAGACTGTCTTCCCACAATGTCTCTTCAGTAGGCGGTGAGTAAAGCATAAATTCCAAACATAATGGAGATTAAGACCAAGTCTCACTCCCTAGCAACCCGAGGTATGAAGCTGGACAAATTTATATAAATTCAAATGAAATAACAGAAGCTTTGGAAAAGGGTCCTGTTTAATTTTATCTTTGATCCATATCTGAATCCTTTTTTTTGAGACAAGGTCTCATTCTGTCACTAAAAGGCTAGAGTACAGTGGTGCAATCATAGCTCACTGCAGCCTTGAACTCCTGGACTCAAGTGATCCTTCCGCCTCAGCCTCCAGAGTAG
Source organism: Homo sapiens (assembly GCF_000001405.40). Lineage (NCBI taxonomy): Eukaryota > Metazoa > Chordata > Mammalia > Primates > Hominidae > Homo > Homo sapiens. Next base: position 49,063,442 of record NC_000020.11, on the reverse strand, counting down.
TTGGGACTACAAGCACGTGCCTTATCTTTGAAGAACACTGCTTATATAAACCTTATAAACATACAGGGTATTAAATTATGTATTCACAAAATACTTACAATTCTCCAGTTCCTTTTAATATAGTTTTTGAATGTTACTGAAGCACATACTTTGATAACATTATCCTGGGACTTCTCCAGTAATGTCAAAAGCAACAGTGGATAATTCTGATTTCCTTCAACAGATTCAAGAAATTTCTCAGCTGTAAAAGAATTTTCATGTTAAAAGACTAAGATAAAAATCTTTCCACCTTATATATATCAAATATATATATATAAAAAAAAATCAAAAAAAGAGAAAAGATTAGGTTATTTGTGGGTCTACAGGGCCTCACTTTTCTTATCTATTAAGTGGATTATATATGTTACATTAAACTTATATAATGCTTCAGTTTTCAAATAACTTTACCATCAATTAACTCACATGATTCTCACAAACCTATACAGTGGCCTAATTGGATGATCATCTCATCTGCAAGAGAAGCTGCTTCCCAGGCAGATTAAGTGGCTTCAAGACTTCATATACCCAGGTCTTATTTCAGAAAGGAGTATTATTAGTACTATTAGTAGTAATATTTCTTTTATAGGCTAGTGATGAAGAGCAAATGAGTCAATTCATCCTAATATATTATTATTAGCCAAATGGGTCCAACGATTTACATATATATTATATATGTAAAATTATAAAATTTCATTTAGTTGTCACTATTACCCAGAAAAGTAGATAGCATTTAAAAAACCAAGGCACTAAGGTTAAGTAACTTGTTCAAGATCACACAGCTAGGCTTCACTACTGAAAGTTTTAGTGCAGTCCTTATTTTACCTTACCAGCCCTAAGCTTTCTTGTCGAACTAAAAAAAAACCTAAAAACTTCTTAATACCAGCAATGAATTTATCCAAAAAATTTACCAATAGATTTTCAACCCAGATTACATTCTGGGATAAATTTCCTAGGTTAATGATCACATGTGATGGCAGTACAGTATTTCTCTTAATTTTTTTCTACCTTTGGCTTCATAGGGCAACACCCAATATTCCAATATTTTTTGAAAAATTAATTTCATGTATCATTTAACACCTTCCCTCTTTCTGACTGAGTCCCAAGAGTTTCACTGATATTTTCAAACTCTCCTTGCTTTGTGCTTATCATGTCTTTCTTGAAGGATGAAGATTGTTAAACTGAAAAATGTTTTTCAGGAGGGGACATACTATGGTTTTATATGAGTACAGAACAATTTGTTTCCTCCACTTAGTAGCCAGCATTTTGTACAGGGCAACACACTACATCCATGATTTGAGGAAAAGCCCATATAAATTGCCAAGTCTCTTTCCTAAATTGTAATCAATATCCAGGAAGTGAGTTTGAGTCTGTTCCTTTCTGTGTTCATTTCTTTCAACTTATCACAATATTCACATGCATATGTTTCTGCGCACTCAAGGAGTCTCAAAAGGTCTAGTTGAGTCAGTCTAGTCAGTCAGTCTCGATCCCTGAGAAATGCTATGTTCCTAACTTCCCAGAAATACCAGATTATTTTTATACTCTGTCCTGAATACATAAAGCAACAGAACTCTTGCCTCACACATTATTAAAAAAAAAATAATTGCCGGGTGCGGTGGCTCACACCTGTAATCCCAGCACTATGGGAGGCCGAGACGAGTGGATCACAAGGTCAGGAAATCGAGACCATCCTGACTAACCTGGTGAAACACCCGTCTCTACTAAAAATACAAAAAATTAGCCGGGTGTGGTGGCGGGCGCCTGTAGTCCCAGCTACTCGGGAGGCTGAGGCACAACAATGGGGTGAACCCGGGAGGTGGAGCTTGCAGTGAGCCAAGATGGCGCCACTGCACTCCAGCCTGGGCAAGAGTGAGACTCTGTCTCAAAAATAAATAAATAAATAAATAAATAAATAAATAATAATAATAATTTTTCCACCGGGCACGGTGGCTCATGCCTGTAATCCCAGCACTTTGGGAGGCTGAGGCGGGTGGATCACGAGGTCAGGAGATGGAGACCATCCTGGCTAACACGGTGAAACCCTGTCTCTACTAAAAATACAAATAATTAGGTAGGCATGGTGGCGGGCGCCTGTAGTCCCAGCTACTCAGGAGGCTGAGGCAGGAGAATGGCGTGGACCCGGGAGGCGGAGCTTGCAGTGAGCCAAGATGGCGCCACTGCACTCTAGCCTGGGCGACAGAGGGAGACTCCGTCTCCAAAAAAAAAAAAAAAAAAAAAATTTTTAATAGTGTTGGCAACAGCTTTCTTTGAAAGTCTAAGAAGATTAAAGATTAGAGCCATTAACTTCCCTTTATCCAGGAACACATTACTTCTTTATACACTAATAAACTAATTTTTCCTCTCAAAAATCACAAAGACTTTTCTAGAAGAGGATAGATGCATTAACATGTTCATGATTCTAGTCATCATACATAATATATAACACACATTCTCTTCCTCATGGAACCCTTCCAACATCCTCTATGAGCATGCACATTGGTAAGTTTTGAAGAAACAGGTCAAGAGCATTTTAATATGGCCCATATCAAGGATCAATAACTGACTGCTCACAAGATATATCTGGCCCAGAAGTAGTTTGGCTTGCACTGTATTTCAATTTTTTTTTTTTTTGAGACAAAGTCTCACTCTGTCACCTAGGCTGGAGTGCAGTTGGGCAATCTTGGCTCACTGGAACCTTCACCTCCTGGGTTCAAGCGATTCTTGCACCTCAGCCTCCCAAGTAGCTGGGGTTACAGGCACATGCTACCATGCCTGGCTAATGTTTGTATTTTTAGTAAAGACAGGGTTTCACCATGTTGGCCAGGCTGGTCTCAAACTCCTGACCTCAGGTGATCTGCCCTCCTGGGCTTCCCAAAGTGCTGGGATTACAGGCGTGAGCAAATGTGCCTGTCCAATTTTTTTTTTTCTTTTGAGACGGAGTCTTGCTCTGTCACCAGGCTGGAGTGCAGTGGCCTCGGTTAACTGCAACCTCCGCTTCCTGGATTCAAGCAATTCTCCTGCCTCAGCCTCCCAAGTATCTGGGACTACAGCCGTGCACCACCACGCCCAGCTAATTTTTGTATTTTTAGTAGAGACAGGGTTTCACCACATTGGCCAGGATGGTCTAGATCTCTTGACCTCATGATCCGCCTGCCTTGGCTTCCCAAAATGCTGGGATTACAGGCGTGAGCAAATGCACCTGGCCTTTTTTTTTTTTTTTTTAAGACAAGATTTCCCTCTGTCACCCAGGCTAGAGTGCACTGACATGATCATAACTCACTGCAGCTCCGACCTCTTGGGTATAAGTGAAGCTTTTGTCTCAGCCTCCCCAGTTGCTAGGAATACAGGCACACATCACCACACTTGGCTAATTTTTAAATTTTTTGTAGAGACAGGGTCTTGCTTTGTTGCCCAGGCTGGTCTCGAACTCCTGGACTCAAGGGATCTTCCTGCCTTGGCCTCCCAAATTACTGGGATTAAAGGCGTGACCACCAACCCTGGCTGTGTTTCAAAATATTTTTTTTTTTGGGACTACGTCTCGCTCTGTCACCCAGGCTGGAGTGCAGTGGCGCAATCTCAACTCACTGCAACCTCCACCTCCCAGGTTCAAGCAATTCTCCTGCCTCAGCCTCTTGAGCAGCTGGGACTACAGGTGTGTGCCACCACACCCAGCTAAGTTTTTGTATTTTTTAGTAGAGAAGGGGTTTCACCATATTAGCCACGATGGTCTCGATCTCCTGCCCTCGTGATCTGCCCACCTCGGCCTCCCAAAGTGCTGGGATTACAAGCGTGAGCCACCGCACCCGGCCCCAAAATCTTTTGAAGTTACTTGCTAACATTTAAAAATGAGGGCACTTCATATAAATATCCTTATTTTTCAAGCAAAACTGGAAATCTGATCTTGCAAAACTAGTCTGAATCCCCAAAATTAGCTAGTTCCAAAAAGTACTTGCCACTTAATCAGGGCATGTATTCTCCTGATATTACCAGTCTCCACTTGGCCTATCTCCCTCATTTAACTTAACAGCTGAGTCCTGTGAACACCTGAGTTCAATATTTTAATTCTACGTTTTTAATGGAATCTGGTCAGATTCAGGAAGGAAAAAAAAAGCTCTAGGTCTTAAAATATATTAGTTAAATCAAACCCAATAGAAAATTAAAATTAAGAGACAGTAACTGATTACTTGGCTTCATTCACTTAATCACTTTTTAGGCAATTACTCTCCTTTCTATGCCCTAATTATTTTATCTCTAAAGCAGGCTTTTTTTTTTTTTTGAGACGGAGTCTTGCTCTGTCGCCCAGGCTGGAGTGCAGTGGCGCAATCTCGGCTCACTGCAAGCTCTGCCTCCGGGGTTCACGCCATTCTCCTGACTCAGCCTCCTGAGTAGCTGGGACCACAGGCACCCGCCACCACGCCCGGCTAATTTTTTGTACTTTTAGTAGAGACGGGGTTTCACCGTGTTAGCCAGGATGGTCTCCATCTCCTGACCTCGTGATCCGCCTGCCTCAGCCTCCCAAAGTGCTGGGATTACAGGTGTGAGCCACCGCATCCGGCCTAAAGCAGGCATGTTTTAAGTGGGTATTTTGGAAAAGGTCAAAGACAAAGCATTCTAAACATGTCAGTACTTTTTATCCGAAAACTAGTACTTTTTAATCCCAGAAGATGCCAAATAAAAGCTATTTTACTCAAAAAAGAAACAACACACCATGGTATAGCAGCTGTAACACTTATAAACTACGCTTGAGAACCCAAGTATGAATTTTTTAAAATATATTTATAAGGAGGCAGATAATACATAGGTTTCTCTCACCTGTCCTGAAGGAATTAATCAACCAAAAAACGTTTATTTTCTTTACCTGGACGTCGGATGGCAGGATCAGGATCAAGTGTTTTCTTTAAATATTCTGTTAGTGTTTGCAGATTTGCATCGCTGAGTTCCATTGCTATAGGATCTAAAATATAAAATAAGGTTTGGATAACTGGTCACTTACGGAAAAAGTGATTTACATTTAAAGAAATCCGTTTATATTATGGGTTATTCTCTCTGAAAGTCATCCATCTGTTGTTTTTTATATGGGCAGTAAACCTGACTCTGAGACAAGAGTCCAGCAAATGAGATGTGCCTTTTCCCCCAAAAACAATAGTGAGACAATTTTGTGATAAGGGAGATGAAAAAAAATCCCAAAATTTCAAAAAGATAGTCATAGAAAAAAAAGCTGAAGGACTGCTCGAAGTCACCAAGAAGTTTATATGATTTAATGCTATGGGAAAGGGCTAATAAAGGTTAAGAAAAAAAAAATCACTGGAGGAACTTATTAAAGAAGCCCCATAAGGAGCCCGGGCAGTGGCTCAGGCCTGTAAATCCCGACACTTTGGGAGGCTGAGGTGGGTGGACTGCTTGAGCTCAGGAGTTAAGAGACCAGCCTGTCAACAGGGTGAGACCCCATCTCTACCAAAACTACAAAAAAATTGAAGCCGGGCATGGTGGCTCATGCCTGTAATCCCAGCACTTTGGGAGGCTGAGGCAGGCGGATCACCTGAGGTCAAGAATTTGAGACCAGCCTGGTCAACATGGTAAAATCCCGTCTCTACTAAAAATACAAAAATTAGCTGGACATGGTGGCAGGAGCCTGTAATCTCAGCTACTTGGGAGGCTGAGGCAGGAGAATCGCTTGAACCCGGGAGGCAAAGGTTTCAGTGAGCTGAGATCGCACCATAGCACTGCAGCCTGGGCGATAAGAGCAAAACTCCGTCTCAAAACAAACCAACCAACCAACCCAAAAAATTAGCCAGGCATGGTAGTGGGTGCCTTCAGTCCCAGCTACTCGGAAGGCTGAGGTGGGAAGATGTCTTGAGCCTGGGGGCAGAGGTTGCAGTGAGCTGAGATGGTGCCACTGCACTCCAACTTGGGTGATGGAGCAAGACCTGTCTTAAAAAAAAAAAAAAAAAAGGCCCCACAACGAGAAATTAAAATTTTAAACAGCAAATAAATATCCCACATAAAGTTCTGAGATTAAAGAAACAAGAAATTCCTTCATGTACAACATGTAATCGCAAATACTACAAAGTGCTAAGAATTTGCATCTAGGGAGATAAATTCTAGAGTTCAGAAGATGACAGCTAAGATTATGATTCTAGAAGTTTTCATATTTAAAGCTTAAACAAAACTAAATCACATAATATGCTTATAACTGACCAAAAAACTTCACATCTAACAGATGACAAATTAAAAAAAAAATTTTGTAGAGACAGGGTCTCACAATGTTGCCCAAGCTGGTCTCAAACTCCTGGACTCAAGTGATCCTCCTGCCTTGGCCTCCCAGTGTGCTAGGATTACAGGCGTGAGCCACCGTGCCCAGCCCACAAATTTTAAGCTAACTAAATGGCCTACGTCGATTTAACTACTAACAACATAGGCTAAGAAATACACAGTTCAAGAGATTTATTGTACAACAAGGTGACTATAATAATGTATTGTACACTTGAAAATTACTGGGTATATTTTAAGTGCTTTCACCACACACACACACACACACACACACACACACACACACACAGCATGTGAAGTAATATGTTAATTAGCTTGATTTAGCCATTATACAATGTATACATATTTCAAAACATGCATACCACAAATATATACAATTTTGTCCATTAAAAATGGGAAAAAAAGGAGTCTGAACCCACTCAATTAAAAGGAAAATGAAAAAACACACAGAAACAGCACATACACAGAGTACAAGTGTCAGATGTGCATGATTACCAACAGATCACAAATCCTGGGAATCTTATCAATTGAGCTTTATGGTCTCCAACTTGTTGGTGAGACGATAAAATTAGGTGCAAACTGAGGGAACTTTTTGGGGGTGACAGAGTGTTCTAAAATTGGACTGTGGTGACACATGCATAATCTACATAAATTTACTAACATTTCCCAAACAGTTCACTTAAAATGGATAAATCTTATAGTATGTAAATTGTACTTCAATAAAGCTATTTTAGGCTGGGCGCGGTTGCTCACGCCTGTAATCCCAGCACTTTGGGAGGCTGAGGGGGGTGGATCACCTGAGGTCAGGAGTTTGAGACCAGCCTGGCCAGCATGGTGAATCCCGTCTCTACTAAAAATACAAAATCAGCCGGGCATGGTGGCATGCACCTGTAATCCCAGTTACTTGGGTGGCTGAGGCAGGAGAATCGCTTGAACCTGGAGGCAGAAGCTGCAGTGAACCAAGATTGTGCCACTGCACTCCAGCCTCAGAAAGAGCGAGACTTTGTCTCCAAAAAAAAAAAAAGCGATTTTAGAAAACTCCACTTATGCTTAGATTCCATTAGGCAGCTTTTAGATATATAGCCACATGTAGATGGGAAAGTGGAGCCCTTTCAGGGAAATCATGCACCAAATTAACCAGAGGCTTCTATGAAAAAGAAGAAAAAAACTAAACACACAATTTTTGTAAAATGTAAAAAAGGTCAGTGGAAAAAGTTCAAGGATATCATAATTCAAATTATGAAAAAAAACTTCACATATAGAAGAAAACAAAAAACACACTCCAAAATGTAGAACAGTGATAACATCTCGGTGATAGATATAAGGAGAGTTTTATTCTCTTCATACTTTTCTAATCTTACAATCACATATCTATTATACATTTACAGTAAGGAATTTAAAAAATTTTATTATTTTTTCAGACAGAGTCTTGCTCTGTGGCCCAGGTTGGACTGCAGGGGCATGATCATAGCTCACCACAGCCTCAACCTCCAGGGCTCAAGCCCCAACCTCCCACCTCAGCCTCTTGAGTAGCTGGGACTACAGGCGCAATCAACCATGCCTGGCTAATTTTTGTATTTTTTGTAGAGATGGGGTTTCACCATATTGCGCAGGCTGGTCTTGAACTCCTGACCTCAAGCAATTTTCCTGCCTCGGCATCCCAAAACACTGGGATTACAGGCATGACCCACCATACCGGGACCCATTTATTTTTAAAATGCCTATGACAATATGCAATCAAGTTCCTGTCCTAGAAGGAGCTTCTGTAATAGTTCAGAAGACAAGACACAACTGAAATGCCAAGTACAGGCCTATATACCCTTTACTAAAGTGATGAAATCCAAAAATAAAAAAACTTAAAAGTTTGTTTTTTAACAAGTTTGTGGCAAACTCACTTGGCAGCAAAACCAGCCTGAACTGCCTGAGGCTATCAACATAGATTTATCTCACTTAGTATGCAAATTTGTTTCACTAAAGAAATATCAATACGTTTGATTACAGGGTGCTACCCCAAGCCCCACTGGGGATGTTGTATAATCCACAGTACATGCATCCAAAAAAAATCCCAAATTCTGAAACATCTGTCCTCTGAAGTGCCAAATGAATCACAAAGACAGCACCTTAAACGTTAGAAAATTAAGAAGGGAGTCACGGGGTTATGTGGCCATCCAAGAGTTTCCCAGAGCCTGAGCCTTGAGCTGAACCTTGAAAAATATGTGTATCTGAATAGGCAAAGTAGGATGAGGGCGCATCTGCCAAAATGAATTGTGAGAGCAAAGTAACAGAGATGGGAAGAGAGAATAGTGGGCTAGGAGATCAAGACCAGATCATATAGGTTCCTCCATACTTGGCTGAAGAGTGCCATGATTTAATGTATGGGGAAGTCATGAAGGTTTTCTTAAGTGGGTAAAAATGTAATGAAAGTGGAGTAGAGGACCTTTGGGCTGGTAATGGTTTGCAGAATGGGGGAAGTGTCACATGTATGAACCAGGCACACGATGCTAGATGTTTTCATAGGCTTCATATCATTTATTCCACACAATGATTTTACACACAAAGAAGGGCACTCAGGTTGACATATATTAACTATATATGGTTAATAAATAAAGATCAGATTTAAATCAGTCCAACTCCGTAGGTCTACCCTCTTTCTATTACCCAAGGCTGCCTCTTAGGTGGAAATGACAGACGGCTGACCAAGAGTGAAAGCACTCACAACACAATAGAAAGGCTGATGTGAAAAGAGGGCAGCCAGAGGACAACTGAGCGGTGGGGAGCCAGAAAATAAGAAAATATTATCTAATGCTGTGCTTATGCAGGGCACTCCCCAACAGCCAGAAACCCCAACCTTCTAAAGAGAATTATCTGTATTCTACATGCTGCAGTCCTTCCCCTTAATTAGAAAATGTGTTTATCACAGGAAGCTAATGTTCTGACTGAGTAGATCCCACCACCTACCTAATCACTCCCTCTAATCCAGGTGTTCCACTCTATAGGTGTGAAAATCAAGTCCCATTAAACCACACATACAATCTATTGAGAGGCTATACCCTTTATGGTTTTTTATATCACAAGTTTGGAAAATGCTACACATTATATCCTGCCCCACTTTGGAGATTCACAATACAAAGCACTTTAAACTCACAAAGTTACTGGTTCACATCAATTAATCCAGAGTCTCCACTGGTGGGAGGCTGAGGCAGACGATCGCTTGAGCCCAGGAGTTCAAGACCTGCCTGGGCAACATGGCAAAACCCCATCTCTACTAAAAATACAAAAAATTAGCCGGGCGTGGTGGTGTGGCCCTGTAGTCCTAGCTACTTGGGAGGCTAAGGTGGGAGGATTGCCCAGTCTCTCCCATTATTTGGCTATAGAACTCCTTTTCAATAGAACACACTTTGGAAAGCAATGATTTAATCCATTTATTTTCCTATTCCTTTTTTCTGTATTGAAATGGTGGATCAGTTATGAAATCATGAAAGTTTGGGCCAGGTGTGGTGGCTCACACCTATAATCCCAGCACTCTGGGAGGCTGAGAGGGGCAGATCACCTGAGGTCAAGAGTTTGAGACCAGCCTGGCCAACATGGTGAAACCCCGTCTCTACTAAAAATTAGCCATGCCTGGTAGCACATGCCTGTAATCCCAGCTACTTGGGAGGCTGAGGCAGGAGAATTGCTTGAACCTGGGAGGCAAAGGTTGCAATGAGGCGAGATTGCGCCATTGCACTCCAGCCTGGGCAACAAGAGAGAAACGCAGTCTCAAAAAAAAAAAAAAAAAAAAAAAAAAAAGTTAGTTTGCTGTGGTCAAGTTAAATCATTAACATCAGTGTATCTGAGTTAAAGGAAATTGGCCTTTCTTTGCCATATGCAAATTTATTCTACCTTTGGGGATTCATGCAAGGCAGATTGTTAGAAACTTGGGTGGGGAGGGTGCAGGGGCAGATTTACAGATCTATTTTGTCTTTAAAAAAAAAAAAAAAAAAAAAAAAGAGAGACAGGGGGTCTCACTGTATTGTCCAGATTGGATTCTAACTCCTGAGCTCAAACAATCCTCCTGCCTCAGCCTCTGGAATAGCTGGGACTACAGGCATATGCCACCACACAGGGCTTATTTTCTTGATTTTTAAAAATACACTTCTTAATAAATCTGCATTTCACTTTCTTCATTATGTTTCTCTAGCATTTGTATATTTCTCAACTAAAACTCCTTAGATTCCTCATAATTACTTGTCTTAAACACCCAAACTCCTGGCCAGGTGCAGTGGCTGCCGCCTGTTAGCCCAGCATTTTGGGAGGCCAAGGCAGGTGGATTGCTTCAGCCGGCTTCAGACCAGCCTGGGCTAACACAGCAAGACCCTGTCTCTACTAAATATACAAAAAATTAGCCAGGTGTGGTGGCACACACCTGTAGATCCAGCAAATTGAGACTGCTGTGAGTTGTGATCAGGCCACTGCACTACAGACTGGGCAATGGGAGTGAGACCCTATCTCCAAAACAACCACCACCACCACCACCACCACCAAATCCCTTACCACAGCAGGGTCTAAGCAATCTGGTATCTACTGACCTCATCTCCTACCTCCTCCTGGCTCTTGCTACATTCCAGGCACAAAAGCCTTCTGTTCTACAAACTGGCCACAAGAGTTCTCCCTGACCATAATAATGCTCATCCTCTAATTTGATAATGGACACCATTCAGCACTCAGCCCACTGTCAACTCTTCAAAAAGGCCTTCTACGATTACCATCTACATCATCCTTGTTTTACTGTGTTAGCAATTACCCTCATTTGAAATAAACTTCTTTGTCGTCTCATACACACACTAGACTGCAAGCTCCTGAGGGCAGGGACTTTCGTCTGTATGCTCAGGACCTTCAGCATTACCTGGCACACAGTACATATTTAGTAAGCATTTGTTGTATGAACTAAAGGATAAGTCACAACATGTCAGTCACCCAGCAAAACATGAGTTTCCAGTCAAGACTGGAGACTATCCCTTCAGATCAATCATTAGCAGCCCCAACATAATGTGGGAACTCAGTTGCATGAATGTCAGATGAACAAATGACCAACTTAACTGCCACAATTAAATTTGTTTATTCAAAAGTACTTCAAGAAAGTGAATTTTTAGATTTGTTCTGGCCTGGCAGAATGGCTCATGCCTGTAATCCCAGCGCTTTGGAAGGCCGAGGCGGAAGGATCACTTGAGGCTAGGATTTCAAGACCAGCGTGGGCAACATAGTGAGACCCTGTCTCTACAATAAATAAAAATTAGCCAGGCATGGTGGCGAGCACTTGTAGTCTCAGCTGCTCTGGAGGCTGAGGCAGAAGGACTGGTTAAGCTCAGAATTTTAAGGCTGCAGTGAGCTATGATCATGCCATTGCATTCCAATCTGGGCAACAGAGTAAGACTCTGTCTCTGAAAAAAGATAAAATTTATCCTGTATTACCTGTTCAAACATGCCAGTGATTTTACTTTTGTTTCAGGGTTCTGTACTTACCATTCCTTCTGCCTGCAGAGCTCTGCACACGGAAAGCTACAAGGTTTGCACTGCCCACTTCATTCTCATTCAGGACTCTTGTTTTTTTTGGAGACAGGGGTCTTTGCTCTGTCACCCAGGCTGGAGTGCAGTGGCGTGATCTCAGCTCACCGCAGTCCCCGCCTCCCAGGTTCAAGCAATTCTCCTGCCTCAACCTCCCAAGTAGCTGGGACTACAGGTGCGTGCCACCACGCCCGGCTGAGTTTTATATACAGTAAAGATGCGGTTTCACCGTGTTGGCCAGGCTAATCTCAAACTCTTGACCTCAGGTGATCTGCCGCCTCAGCCTCCCAAAGTGCTGGGATTACAGGCATGAGCCACCGTGCCCGGCCTGGAAGGACTCTTTTCAAATGTCATCTTTTTTTCAGAGATGCCTTGCTGCACCATCCTATCTAAAAGAGCATTCACCTCAGTTACTCTCCATGCCCTTACTCTACTATTTTCCAAGTACATTTTATCAGGCATATTAATTTCTTTTGTCATTTACTGTGCTTCTCTCTTCACTAGATTGTAAACTCCACTGATAGTAGGGACTTTGTGCTTTGTTCACTGCTCTCTCCCTAGAGCCTTACAATAGTGATGAGCACCCGTTATATATTTGTTGTACTATTTTAAAAAGCTAGATACCTTTGATGTTTCCATCAAAAATATTATTCTTCATCTTTATTTTGGTTGGTTGACTGTGTCAAACAGAAAGAGGTGGACACAACCTTCTAGATTCTAAAACCACAACAGGCTGAGCAAGGTGGCTCACTTCTGTAATCCCAGCACTTTGGGAGGTGGAGATGGGACGATCACTTGACCCCAAGGACCGTTCAAGACCAGACTTGGCAACAATAGTGAGATCCTGTCTCTACAAAAAATTTTAAAAATTAGCTGGGCTCAGGCCGGGCGCGGTGGCTTACGTCTGTAATCCCAGCACTTTGGGAGGCCGAAGCAGGCGGATCATCTGAGGTCAGGAGTTCGAGACCAGCCTGACCAATGTGATGAAACCCCGTCTCTACTAAAAATACAAAAAAAAAAAAATTAGCCGGGCGTGGTGGCATGCGCCTGTAATCCCAGCTACTCAGGAGGCTGAGACAGGAGAATTGCTTGAACCCGGGAGGCAGAGGTTTCAATGAGCCAAGACTGCACCATTGCACTCTAGCTCTAGCCTGGGCAACAAAAGTGAAACTCCCATCTCAAAAAAAAAAAAAAAAAAAAAAAAAAATTAGCTGGGCTTGGTGATACCCTCCTGTGGTCCTAGCTACTAGGGAAGTTGAGGCAGGAGGATTGCTTGAGCCCGGGAGGTCTAGGCTGCAATAAGCTGAGGTCTTGCCACTGCAGTCCAGTATGGGTGACTGAGTGAAACCCTGTCTCCAAAAATAAAATAAAATAAAATAAAATAAAATAAAAATAAATAAATAAAACCACATAATAGAATGAAACCTAAAATGATTAAGTTGAGATGCTAGGGTAGGACTATTTTTAAGTTTAAAAAAAAGTGAGGGGTTATATAAATATGCATGTTATAATCCCTCAAAGTTAAAATACTACATAGATCCCAGAATCTTAATACTCTTTTTTGAGACAGGGTCTGGGTCTGTTACCTAGGCTGGAGAAATGCAGTGGTGTAATTCTGGCCCACTGAAACCTCTGCCTCCTGGGCTCAAGCCATCCTCCTACTTCAACCTCCCAAGTAGCTGGGACTACAGGCACACACCACCACACCTGGCTAATTTTTGTGTTGTTTCTGTAGACATGGTTCCAGTGTTGCCCAGGCTGGTCTGGAACTCCTGAGCTCAAGTGATCCGCCCACCTTGGCCTTCCAAAGTTTATTCTTTGGGAATATTCTTTAAGGAACTATTTGTCAACAAATCCTTTTTATATCGCCTTGCAGATATAGTCTATAAAACCGAATTCTAAGCTTATCCTTAATTTGAGAAAATAAGAGAAATCAGGGACTTTTAGAGAACATTTTACAGGTATTCATAATTATCAACAAGATCAAGCTCTAATTATCTTATGCAACCACAAGTAAAGGTACTTTGACACTCTGAAATATTAGCAATATATAAATGCAAAAAGTGTTACTGATCTAAAAATGACTCAAACTAGAAACAAAACATTCATTTTGGCCAAGTAGGGTGGCTCATGCCTGTAATCCCAGCTCTTTGGGGGGCCAAGGTAAGCAGATTGGTTGAGTCCAGGAGTTTGAGACCAACCTGGGCAACATGGTGCCATCTCTACAAAAAAAAAATAAAAATTAGTTGAGTGTGGTGGTGCACGCCTGTAGTCCTAGCTACTCGGGAGGCTGAGGTAGGAGGATAGACTGAGCCCAGGTCAGCCCAGGCAACACAGTGAGATGGTGTCTCCAAAAAAAAAAGGGAGGGAGAAGATAAGAATTCATTTTTATCACCTTTAAATGAGGGGGTGATACTTTTCTTTCTCCACGTAACTATCTTTGGAAATCTCTACCAATACACAATTAAGAAACTTAAAAAAGCATCACAATAAATCAGTTATGGCAGACATCTAAATTTCCAAGTTCTTCTTGTTGAATGAATGGCCAGACCTAAGTCTAGCATCTTCCCACAGGCCCTCAATTACAGGTGGAGATTTCTGGAATAAAAGCTTTGTTTTCCAAAGCCATCTCACAGACATCTGTGACATAAGCTGATCCAAGATGTCTGCCTTTTTCTTAGATATGTCCTCAACACATTAGAGAACCATTCCCGAGGCCTTACATTTGGGAAGAGGGAAAGAGATCCAATGAATGAAAACTATCTGGCACCCACACATGAAGAACATATCCCAACACCTCAACCTACCCTCTGCTTTCTAACCATAGGAATATACCACTTAGAATCAAATCCAAACTCCTTACATTGCCTACAAAGCCTTCTATGATCCGGGTCCTGGATATTTCTCCCTTCTTCATGTAACACTCTAGGAACCTAAGATATTCCTTAAATATTTCAATATTCCAAGCCGGTTCCTGTCCTTGAGCCTTGAGCCTTCTATTCCCTCTACCTGGAATGTTCTGCCCCTCACCTTTTAATGGCTGGTCTCTACCCAAATGTCACCTCCTCAGAAAAGCCTTCTTCACCTGTCACATAATTCTGTCACTATCTGAAATTATCTAATGTTTTTTCTTTCGCCCACGAGAATACATGGTCCTCAAGGGAAGGGACCTTGTCCATTTTTGTTTTTTCACTATATTCCCAGAGATTAAGTGGATGCTCAATAAAGTTATTAAATGAATAAAGAAACAAATTAATTCCAAAACTAGAGCACTGCTCTTGCATCCATCCAATCCTGTCCCAGACCCCAACCAGCAGAAGTAATCAGAAGGGGAGAGAGACTTCCCTTGCACTGATGGTAAGAAGTGAAAGATAAAGGGTTGTAGGAGCGGAGAGACGAGGTCCATTAGGATCCTCTGAAAGCATGTCAAAAAAAAAAAAAAAAAAGAGAGAGACACACACAGAGAAAGGCCAAAGATATGACTATGTGGGCCCAAGGTGAGAAAAAGAGCAATTGGTGGAATCCAAGACTAAAGGGTCCCCTTCTGTGCCTCCAAGGAAGAATAATACTTGTGCATCTACCATGTGGCAAGCACAGGTGGGATGGCACCCACCAGGGAGAGAGAAGTAAGCAAGACAGACAAGGTCCTTGCTCTCAAACAGCTTACATTCTAGCAGTTGAGAAAGATAACAAGTAAGCAATAAGTAAGTGTTAGTAAATGCTATGAAGTAACTAAAACCAGGTGATGTTGATGGAGAGCCATGGGAGAAAGGTCCTAGACAGGTTGATTAGACAGCCTGATCAACATGGTGAAACCCCGTCTCTAATAAAAATACAAAAATTAGCCGGGTGTGGTGGCGTGTAGTCTCAGACCTGTAGTCTCAGCTATTCGGGAGGCTGAGGCAGGAGAATCGCTTGAATCCGGGAGGCGGAGGTTGCAGTGAGTCGAGATCGCGCCACTGCACTCCAGCCTGGGAGGCAGAGCGAGACTCTCTCTCTCAAAAAAAAAAAAAAAAAAAAAAAAAAAAGAAAAGAGAAAAGAAAAAGAAAAAGAAAACAAAAGAAGAGGTTGGTTAGGGGAGGCCTAAGGTGAGGGAAACTTGGGAGAGGCGGCCTGCCTTGCAAAAATGTTGGTACTTCCCCAGCAAACAAAAGGCATGTGCAAATAATTTTAAATCGGAATAACCCTGGAATATGGAAGAAACAGAAAGCCACACTGGCTAAGGAGAAAGATGGGTGGGAGAGATGAATAAACAACCGTCAGCTCCCAGGGAACCTTTGTAAACCACGGTAAATAACTCAGCGCATCCTCAAAGCCACTTTCCGAGGTAGATTCTGTTATTAACCCCATTTTGCAGCTAAGGAAATGGAGGCTCAGTGAGATGAGGTGACCAGCCTCAAGTTACACCCCTAACGAGAGGCTACGTCTGGAATGAACCCAGGCGATCTAATTCCAAAGTCTATGCTCCGAACCACCACAGCACAGCGTTTCTCCCAAAACGAGGGAACCCTCCCCCAACCCGCGTTACAGGGGATTTCTATGTCCCGGGTGTACCGACTAGAATTCTCACAAACAATTCAGCAAAGTGAGATCACGATGCCCGTTTTACAGTCAGGGATACAAGTACAGAGGTTAGAGAAGGGTGAGTTCGGGGGCTTCACTAGAGTTAGGGCAAGGGACGACGCGAGGCAGCCGCAGCTCCACGCGCCCGCAGTCCCCGCCCGGGCAGGCCTCGCCGCCGCACACTCAGCTCGCGCGGCTAGCAGCCACCGTCGCAGAGAATGGACATGCGAGCGCGACCAATAAGGAGCGGCCTTCCCGAGCGGAGAGGCGGCGGCGCAGCCAATCAGCGCCGTGATGGAGAGGAAAGGGCGGGCAATCCGCAGGCTCGCGTTAGGCCGCGCCTCAGTTGCCCTCAGCCCTCACAGGCCCTGGGGTCGCCGCACCTGGGCCAGAGACCTAGGATGCCGCGAGGCGCGGCAAGCGCTCCCTAGGGAAGCCGAAGACCTTGCCTGAGCGCACCACCCGAACCCCGGGCCCACATTCCGCTCTCGCCCAGAGGCGCGGTTCTCACTCCCTAGCGCTCGTTAGTACCGGGAGCGCCTCATCCCTTCCTCAGCTGGGCCCCAAGAGCCACTCTGGTAGGCCGTGCACGCCCCGCGCCTCACCTCGTGGGGATACAGAAACGGAGGAGGGAACCCCAGCCGCGGACCGTAGCTGGCACTACCCGCTCCTGCCGCCGCTCCGCCTCACATTCAAACCCCGGCAAAATGGCGCGACAGCGAGCCTGAGGCCAGAGCGCATGAGCGAGCGGCCCGCTGCAGGGGGCGGGGCCAGGAATGCTCTGGCCCCACCCAAGTTCGAAGGGCCAATCGGGGCCCCGCTCTGTTTCTGCGCTGATCTCACAAGTGACAATGCTCTTTGGCTCTGACCATGCCAGCAGGCTTCACGGTTCTCGTTTTCCAAAGAGGAACACAGATTCAGCGAGCGGCTGCTGGCTTCTGACCCATTTTGATGTCAGGGCTTGGCACGTAGGAGGTGTTCAATGTTGATCGATCCAAGGTCGTGCACATAGGGTCTAAGACGGAAGAGAACTTCCTGCCCCTCTTGGAGCTTCTATTTTAGAGGGAGACACGGCCAGACAGGTCTCGAACTCCTGGCCTCAAGTGATCCGCACACCTTGGCCTCCCAAAATGCTGGGATTCCAGGCGTGAGCCACCGCGCCTGGCCTGGTATGTAAGTTTTGGTACTCTTATTACAGCCCACAAACCATATGGGATCTGGCCCCTGCCAGCCTGCCTGCCCTCATCACCTTCCGCTTCCCTCCTCTCCTCACCCTCACTCAGCTCCGCCACCCCACCTTCTTCCTGTTCCTCTAAGCTCCAAGCTTATTTCCACTTTAGAGCATTTATACTTGCTGTTCCCTGTGCTGGGATGTTCTAGATTCCTGAATGATTGGCTCCTTCTTTACATTTAGGTTCCAGCTCAAATGTCACCTCCACAAAAGAGGCCTATCTGAAATTGCCCACTCACCACCACCCAGCACACAAATTAGGGTTGCCAGGTTTAGCAAATAAAATGCAGGCTGCCCAGGTCAATGTAAATTTTAGAAAAAAATTTATAATTTTCTAGTATAAATACTGTGTAGGACATATTTATACTTAAAAATCATGCATTGCTTATCTGAAATTCACATTGAACTGGGTGCCCAGTGTTTGATCTGGTAAGCCTAGTTCCATGATATCATTATGGTATTTATCACTCTCCAACTAATTGTCTCTTCTTTATTTTGTTCCTCCTTCCGCTTCTCCCCTCCTAAACCCCTGCCCTCCTCCCCATCCATAACCTAAGGGATTCTATACAGCAAGGGCTTTTCTTTTTTTTTTTTTTTTTTAAAGACAGAGTCTTGCTCTGTCGCCCAGGCTGGAGGGCTGGAGTGCAGTGGTGCTGTCACAGCTCACTGCAACCTCTGCCTCCCAGGTTCAAGCAATTTTCCTGACTCAGCCCCCCAAGTTACTGGGACTACAGGTGCCCGCCACCATGCCCCGCTGATTTTTGTATTTTTAGTAGACACGGGGTTTCACCATATTGGCCAGGCTGATCTTGAACTCCTGACCTTGTGATCCGCCAGCCTTGGCCTCCCAAAGTGCTGGGATTACAGGCATGAGCCACCACGCCTGGCCAGGGCTTTTTTTTTTTTTTTTTTTTTCTTTTAAGAGGCAGGGTCTTGCTCTGTCACCCAGGCTGCAGTGCAATGGCACAATCATAGCTCATTGCAACCTCGACCTCCTAGGCTAAAGCAATCCTCCCACCTCAGCCTCCTGAGTAGCTAGGACTACAGGCACCTGCCACCACACCTGGCTAATTTTGAATTTTTTTGTAGAGATGAGCTCTCACTATGTTGCCCAGGCAAACTCCTGGCCTCAAGTGATCCTCCCACCTCCGCCTCCTAAAGCACTGGGATAGGGCTGGGCATGGTGGCTCACGCCGGTAATCCCAGTGATTTGGGAGACCGAGGCAGGCAGATCACCTGAGATTGGGAGTTTGAGACCTGACCAACATGGAGAAACCCCGTCTCTACTAAAAATACAAAATTAGCCGGGTGTGGTGGCGCACGTCTGCAATCCCAGCTACTTGGGAGGCTGAGGCAGGAGAGTCGTTTGAACCCGGGAGGCAGAGGTTGCGGTGAGCTGAGATCTTGCCATTGCACTCCAGCCTGGGCAACAAGAGCGAAACTCCATCTCAAAAAAAAAAAAAGCCCCGGGATTACAGGTGTGAGCCACCACATCTAGCCCCATATTGATGGTATTCACAGCTGTACCCCCAGCACTAGGCACACAGTAGCTGCTTAATAAATGTTTGTTGCATGTTGAATGAAATGCCATATATAAATAAGTGAAGTCCATGGAGAAAGATACATGAGTGAAAGACATTGGTGAGGCCGGGCACGGTGGCTCATGCCTGTAATCCCAGCACTTTGGAAGGCTGAGGCAGGCGGATCATGAGGTCAGGAGATCGAGACCATCCTGGCCAACATGGTAAAACCCTGTCTCTACAAAAATACAAAAATTAGCCAGATGTGGTGGCATGCGCCTGTAGTCCCAGCTACTCAGGAGGCTGAGGCAGGAGAATCGCTTGAACCTGGGAGGCAGAGGCTGCAGTGAGCCGAGATCGAGCCACTGCACTCCAGCCTGGGTGACAGCGAGACTGTGTCTTAAAAAAATAAATAAATAAATAAAATAAAAATAAAAATAAACCATGATGGTCAGAAGACGGTGGAACATTTTAAAAAAAAACAAAGACATTGGTGAAAAAGATGTATTTTTACTATTGCAGCAATAGTACCAGTAATCACCAGTAATCATTTTAATCGTTCTAATCTGCATTTTTTTTTTTTTTTGAGACGGAGTCTCACACTGTTGCCCAAGCTGGAGTGCAGTGGTGCGATCTCGGCTCACTGCAAACTCCACCTCCTGGGTTCACGCCATTTTCCTGCCTCAGCCTCCCGAGCAGCTGGGACTACAGGCGCCCGCCACCATGCCCAGCTAATTTTTTGTATTCTTAGTAGAGACAGGGTTTCACCGTGTTAGCCAGGATGGTCTTGATCTCCTGACCTCATGATCCGCCCGCCTCGGCCTCCCAAAGTGCTGGGATTACAAGCGTGAGCCACCACACCCGGCCCACTAATCTACTTTAATATAATTAACATGTTCCTCTAGTCCTAGGGAGAATGAGCCTGATGACTTTACCATTTTCCACCTCTAAGAGCCAATCGCAAAGGAGGCTGGCTGGCATCTTGTGTCTGTCTAGCATCTCTACCAGTTTCTGTAGAAAACCCTCAAGCTGTGCCAAGACGATCATGTCTGGACACAGCTCTTGGTGTCACGGGGTGTCTCCTCCTACTGCCTATCGCCCTTTGCAGCCACCAGAATAATCATGCAGGTGAGAGCCACAGAAAGGCTGAGTGTCCTTCTCCACTCTGCATGGTTCATGGGTGACAGCTAAAGATTCCCTTGGGAATCCTCCCCATCCCAGCTCCACTACATGCACATACTCTTGGGGCGTGCTACAACTCTTAACAGACTGTGTTGGAAACCAAAGAAAACAATTCATCCACTTCAAGGAGCAGGAGACTAAGTACTCATTCATGTAGTTTCCTTTCTTTCTAAACCCTTATAAAACAATCTGTCTAGGTTGGGCATGGTGGCTCACGCCTGTAATCCCAACACTTTGGGAGGACAGGATGGGTCACCCGAGGTCAGGAGTTCGAGACCAGTCTGGCCAACATTGTGAAACCCCATCTCTACTAAAAATACAAAAATTAGCCGGGTGTGGTGGTGGGTGCCTGTAATCCCAGCTACTTGGGAGGCTGAGGCAGGAGAATCACTTGAACCTGGGAGGTAGAGGTTGCAGTGAGCTGAGGTCGCACCACTGCACTCCAGCCTGGGCGACAAAGCAAGATTCTGTCCCCCCGCGCAAAAACAAAAAAAACCCCAATCTGTCTAATGTAAGGAAAGACATTCTGAAAAGACACATTGTCTATGGTGTGCTCCTTGAGGAAGATAACTTTACATTTTATTTGGATCCAGAAGGGCGTGGACACATCTGGTTATGCTGGGAAAGAACAAGTCTTATGTCTCAATCTCGCTTTTAAAGCCCAACTGAGATGCAGAAGAGTGTTAACAGCTAAACATTGAGAAGTATCTGATTGTTGTTTCTTATCTTTTTTAAAATGGAGGCACTTTAATTTTTTTTTTTTTTTTTGAGATGGAATCTCACTCTGTTGCCCAGGCTGTACAGTACAGTGGCGCGATTTTGGCTTACTACAACCTCCGCCTCCCAGGTTCAAGCAATTCTCCTGCCTCAGCCTCCCAAGTAGCTGGGACTACAGGCGCCCACTACCACACTCAGCTAATTTTTGTATTTTTAGTAGAGATGGTTTCACCATGTTGGCCAGGCTGGTCTTGACCTGACCTCAGGTGATCTGCCCACCTTGGCCTCCCAAAATGCTGGGATTACAGGCGTGAGCCACTGCACCTGGCTTATTTCTGTTTAAATATATGTTTATATGTTATAAAAATCTACACGTTTGAGACTAGCCTGATCAACATGGTGAAACCCCATCTCTACTAAAAATATGAAAATTAGCCGGGCGTGGTACTGTGTGCCTATAATCCCAGCTATTTGGGAGGCTGAGGCAGGAGAATTGCTTGAACCCAGGAGGCAGAGGTTGCAGTGAGCTGAGATTGCACCATTGCACTCCAGCTGGGCAACAGAGCGAGACTCCATCTCAAAAAAACAAATCTACTCATACAAAATGGGAAATCTCCTTTATTAATTAGGATATAAGTTGTAGGTAATATATTATGTCCTCTATTTCCTTATTTTATATTTTTTTAATTAAAAATTTTTAAATGTATATATTTAAATTTTTTTTTGTAGGGATTGGGTCTCTCTGTGTTGCCCAGGTTGGTCTCAAACCTCTGGGCTCAAGTGTTCCACCCACCTTGGCCTCCCAAAGTGCTGGGATTACAGTGGCTCACTGCAATCTCCGCCTCCCAGGTTCAAGCGATTCTCCTGCCTCAGCCTCCCAAATAGCTGGGATTACAGGCATGTGCCACCACACCCAGCTAACTTTTGTACTTTTAGTAGAGATGGGGTTTCACCATGTTGGTCAGGCTGGTCTTGAACTCCTGAGCTCAGGTGATCCACCTGCCTCCGCCTCCCAAAGTGCTGGAATTACAGGTGTGAGGCACCACGCCTGACCTAGAAGTGTATTTTTCATGCTTCTTGATGGGAAATTATATTTTTTCCATCCCTTCAAGTGGGATTTTTAGACCTGCCTTAGACCTGGGCAAGCCTGCAGACCTTTGCCGTGCCCTTGCTTTAGAGGGCTTCGTCCTGGCCCTCCTCCAGCTGCTCCCTCCTGCCCGTTAGCCGAATGGGTGTGCACATCTAGAACCCATGCCACTCCCTTTGAGACCACACTGCAGTTGGACAGGGCCCTGGAATTCCCAACCCATAGGGCCCTGGCCTGTGGATACCCTTGCCTGGGTCACTTCTTCAGAGGGTGGGCTGCACAGCAGCTTGTGAGCACTCCCATGCTGGAAGGGTGACTTGGGTCAGAAAGGGGTTTGCAGGGAGTTTGGACAGGAATGGGCTTCCATGCACACATGCAAAGCCTTATGGTGCAGGGTGAAGCCTGAGGTGGAGAGAGCAGGGTGCTGGTCTTGGGCCAGCCACCCGGTGCTGCTGCTTTCTGGTGTGGAGCTCTGAGGAGCCTGAGAATTCCATCTTTGACCTGCCCTTCCAGATCTTTACAAAGGTACATTTATAAAGGAAGGAAGATAGACTGTCTTATTCAAAAGTTTTACGTATAGTTTTTCAATGTTGACCCTCAGAGCATGGGAGCCGACATTTGTATTTCTGCCCTAGAGCCTGCAAATGTTAGTCCTGTGCTAAGTGTGTTCTCTGTCCACAGGAGCCAGGGCCCCATATTATCTACCGCTGTCCATCTGCTCTCCAGCACATCAGAGCAGCCCTTCCCCTGTGTGAGATTCCTCTCCAGGGCAAGACTTGAAGGGAGCATCAAGGTTGCAGTGGAAGAAATAAATTGGAAGTGGAGCTGGGCAGTTATTTATTTATTTAAATAGAGACAAGGCCGAATGCGATGGCTCACACCCGTAATCCCAGCACTTTAGGAGGCCGAGGTGGGTAGACGACCTGAGGTCAGGAGTTCAAGACCAGCCTGATCAACATGGCGAAATCCCGTCTCTACTAAAACTACAAAAATTACCTGGGCACGGTGACACGCACCTGTAGTCCCAGCTACTCAGGAGGCTGAGGCACAAGAATTGCTTGAACCTGGGAGGCCAAAATTGCAGTGAGCCAAGATTGCACTACTGCACTCCAGCCTGGGCGACAGAGCCAGACTCCATCTCAAAAAATATATATATATAAATAAAAAATAAATAAATAGAGACAAGTCTCACTGTGTTGCCCAGGCTGGTCTCGAACTCCTGGGCTGAAGCAATCTGCCTGCCTTGGCCTCCCAGAGAGCTGGGGTTACAGGTGTGAGGCACGGTGCCAGGCTAGATCTGGGCAATGTTTAGGAGGCGGGCTCTAGAGCCAGGCTGCAGGGCTTCAAATCCCTCTGAGTGTCCTAAGTCAAGTTTGTCAACCTCTCTGAGCCCGTACCCCTCTATAAAAAGGAGGGATGCTGGTGATGATGATAATAGTACCTACTTTACGGGGGTTATTGTGCGAATTAATGGCTGAAGAATGGTTGAAATAGCAAGAGTCAAAAACATGATCAATATGGAAAGCCTAGCAGGAGAAAGTACTAAAGTTCATTGATGGGGAGATGGGGAGGGGGACAGATGGGGTCTCACCGTTTCCCAGGCTGGTCTCAAACTTCTGGCCTCAAGTGATCCTCCTGCCTTAGCCTCCCAAAGTGTTGGGATTATAGGCATGAGCCACTGTGCCCAGCCATTAAATTCTCCTTCTTTCCTCTTTTGGTGGAAGGGAAGGGAGAAGTGAGACTTTACCAGGAGTCCATGGAATGTGGCCCAAAGGCCAAGGACAGAGTACCTTCCAGGACTCTCTCAGAGGGCAGCAGGAGCCCAGGGCTGCTTTCTGCCTATGACAGGTGTGCAGTAGAAGTGGGTCTTCAGAGGCTGGGCGCAGTGTCTCAGGCCTGTAATCCTAGCACTTCGGGAGGCAGAGGCGGGCAAATCACCTGAGGTCAGGAGTTTGAGACCAGCCTGGCCAACATGGTGAAAGCCAGTCTCTACTAAAAATACAAAAATTAGCCAAGTAATTTTTTTTTTTTTTTTTTTTTTTTGAGGAATCTTGCTCTGTGGCCCAGGCTAGAGTGCAGTGGTGTGATCTCAGCTCACTGCAACCTTGGCCTCCCAGGTTCAAGTGATTCTTGTTCCTTAGCCTTCCAAGTAGCTGGGACTATGGGACTACAGGTGTGTGTCACCATGCCCAGCTAATTTTTGTATTTTTCGTAGAGACAGGGTTTTGCCACATTGGCCAGGCTGGTCACAAACTCTTGACCTCTAGTGATCTGCCCGCCTCAGCCTCCCAAAGTGCTGGGATTACAGGTGTAAGCCACCACACCTGGCCCATGCCTGATAGTTTTGATTCATCATGGATAATCTGTCATTAAAAGAAATTCAGGGCCAAGTCCAGTGGCTCATGCCTGTAAATTCCAGCACTTTAGGAGGCTGAGGTGGGAAGATGACTTGGGCCTAGGAGTTTGAGACCAGCTGGGGCAACGTAGCAAGACCCTGTCTCTACAATAAAATTTAAAAAAATTAGCTGGGCATAGTGAGGTGTGCCTGTAGTCCCAGCTACTGGGGAGGCTGAGGCAGGAAGATTGCTTGAGCCCAAGAATTTGAGGCTGCAGTAAGCTATGATGGTGCCACTGCCACTGCACTCCAGCCTGGGAGCCACAGCAAGATCCTGAATCAAAAAGAATTCATCTGAGGGTTCACCAAGTTGCTGATGAGTCTCTAGAAAGTACAAGGAGAATCCTGGGTTTAGCCATTGAGTCTCAGGATGCAGGAATCAAGATCATCACAATACTGGATAAACAAGGGGAACAACTCAACCACATAGAAGACATGGGCCACAAAAATACAGACATGAGAGAGGCAGAGAAGACTTTAACAGAACTTAACAAATGCCATGCCCTTCGTGTCTGTCCACATAATAGAACAAAGAACTTTGGATGGCTTGGGCACGAGAAATTGAGGCTGCAGTCAGCTGCAATGAGGCCACTCACCCCAGCCTGGGTGACAAAGCAAGATCACGTCTCTTAAAAAAAAAAATTGGAAACATTGACAAAGACAGCCAAGAAGAAGGAAGCTGTAGAAGTGTTTTTTGTTTGTGGTTTTTGTGGTGGAGGGAGGGACAAGAGATAAGAGGTTAACCTCAGCAAAAACCTAGCTGGGCATGGTGGCACGTGCCTGTAATCCCAGCATTTTGGGAGGCTGAGGTGGAAAGATTGCTTTCTTTCCACCTGGGATGTGGAATCACACATTCTATGCACACCTATGAATCACTAAGACTTCAGAAGTTAAGCTCCCTTTAAGAAAACTCATTCTTTTTGGAGCAGAGGTTGCAGAACTGTGATCCCTAACAAAAATACTGTGTATAAAAGCTCCAAAACGAAGTATTAGCTTAAAGTGGCAATAACTACAACTTTATAACCAACTAAATCTTTACCGTGGCTATGCAACTTTTTGCTTTGTGGCCAGAAGGTTTTTTTGGTTTTTGTTTTTTTGAGACAGGCTGTCACCCAGG
Source organism: Homo sapiens (assembly GCF_000001405.40). Lineage (NCBI taxonomy): Eukaryota > Metazoa > Chordata > Mammalia > Primates > Hominidae > Homo > Homo sapiens. The sequence continues at coordinate 49,037,779 of NC_000020.11, read as the reverse complement.
CTGAAGTGCAGTGGCACAAACAAAGCTCACTGCAGCCTCGACCTCCTGGGCTCAAGCAGTCCTCCCCACCCCAGTCTCCTGGGTAGCTGGGACTACAGGCGTGTGCCACCACACTTGCTATTATTATTTTGTAGAGATAGGGTCTCACTACATTCCCCAGATTGGTCTCAAACTCCTGGCTTCTAGCAATCCTCCCACCATGCCAGACCCTAGACTTAAAAAGTTAGAATTGGCTGGATGTAGTGGCTTACACCTATAATCCCAATACATTGGGAGGCTGAGGTGGGAGGATCACTTGAGCCCAGGAGCTGAAGACCAATTTGGCCAACATAGTGAGACCCCCATCTCTATTTTTAAAAAAAGTTAGAATTTATTGTGTTACTAAAAGTGATTTGGAAAATTATACCTTTAGTTTAATTATTGGGGAATTACACTGTCAGTCTCTTACCCTTGTGTATAGAACTATGTCCAGAATCAAATTTATGTAGATCCTAAACACTGTTATGGGAATCTGATTAGTATTTGTCACATTGACTTAAAAATTAGCATCTCAGTTGGCGTGGTACTCACACCTGTAATTTCAGCACTTTGGGAGGCCAAGGTGGGAGGATCACTGAGGCCAGGAGTTCAAGACCAGCCTGGGCAACATGGTGAAACCCCAACTCTACAAAAAAATACAAAAATTAGCCAGGCAAGGTGTCTCACTACTGGCCCTATAGTTCCGGCTAATCAGGAAGCTGAGGTGGGAGAATTACTTGAACCAAGAAGGTTAAGGCTGCAGTGAGCTGTGATTGCACCACTGCTCTCAGCCTGGGCTACAGGGCAAGACCCTGTCTCAAAAATAAATAAATAAATTAGCATCTGAATATTTCAAAGCTGTCAATGTGTACTGGCTGAACCAATAGCCACTACTTGATCCTTACAATTACATTTTGTAACTAGCAACAACAAAGTTAATAGATTCAAGAGGCATATAAAGAATCTCATGACTAGAATTTTCCCCCTTTCATTGGTGAGGGACATAAACTGACCCAAAACTACGGCTTGATATATGTTTTTTAAATTACTACACATTAGAAACAGCTATACTTTTTAAAATTTTATTGATGTACCACCTGATCAAAGCATGGGATATTTTAATAGTATTATACATAATATTTTTACATAGAAAACTTTACATAGCATTTCATATTATATAATTCTGCTTATTCTTTCAAAAATTTATACATCCATTGGGCAAGGAATGGTTTTCATTAAATTACCAATATTAAATGCACTTAATCATTGTGTATAGGTTAAACCAAAGTAACTATTAACTAACTTTTAGGCATTTTAAGGAGGTAAAACATACATTTTACACATAAATATTTGATGCAAATATGCAGATAAAATTTTTTAAAAATTAGAACACTGAGTAAAACACCTTTGATAGATTATATTGTTTTGTTTTGAGAGCAAGGATTTCCAGATATGTTCATTCTTTAAAACACTCAGCTTTGGTTTCTTTGTTTCCCAAACTGCAAAGCTGCTGATAACAAAACTCCAGGATTCCATGTGAGTTCAGCTATGTCTACTTTAACACAAATATTAAAACAGAATTCAGAAAATGCAGTATTAAGGATCCAGCTTCTATTGAAACCAATATCCATTTGCATCATAACAACAAACATTTGAATGAGATGGTCACACTTGTACTTATCAGCAGGTTCCTTTAATAACAAAGACTACTAAATGTATATCCTTAATCACAAAAGAACAACAAAAAAAATACAGGTTTTTTTTTTTTCATTTCGTACAAAAGTCACCTGCCAGAGGAAAATGTTGTGTTTCCAGATATTATAATACAATTTTCATAATGTATGTTCTTTGGTTGTACATGAGGAGTACAGGGAAAAGATATATTTGACTCTAAAGATGCGTATCAGAAATAAAAATTACCCATCCACTGTTTGTTGTTAAGATGCCAAAGCTGGTGATTTCCCTAACAGACAATGAAGAGAAACAAAATTGCTCAAAGCAGCAGTATTGTAACAAATAAAAACTTCTCTAGAGACCCAGCACATATAATCAACACTTAAAGCATTCTGAAAAAGAAATAAGGCCTTGGAAAATGTTTCACTCTCCTCCATTACTTGGTTAAATAAATGGTGTCCTGGCCTGATGTTGCGGTTGTACATACCCTTTCACTAGTGTTTGAGTGGCACAAGCCACATTTACCATGAGAAAGAAGAGATTTATTCATAAAAATGAATTTAGGCTGAATGGCTTATTATTGGAGGTAAGGGATTTCAAATCTCTGTTCGTCACTGTCCACTGACAAGAAAAATCACCCTGAATGGTTTTACATCCAATTTTTTAAAAGTCCATTGCTGGTACAATTCAAATGCCTCATTCAGAAAATTAAATCTTTTAAAATACTAAACTAATAAGAAATGTAAGCCTGAATGTTTCAGCAAGTAATAAAATGCACTGACACATCTGCTACCCCTCAAGAGGCAAAATTAAAGAGAGGGCAGAAGACACCAGAAAAATTTTAGTCACATCCGATGAAGAAAATGACATGAGAACCTCAGAAGGAAAGGAAAAATAACCAATCAGGGATATAGCTGCACGCAAGATGGACTTAATGAATGAACACGTGTTCCCCATGTATACCTTTTGTACAAATATCAATGGAGACGACTGACTTGTTGAGGTGATGACGCGCTATGATACCAGGGAGTGTAGGTTTCATGGTGCAGTGTAAAGGTGCAGTGGATTCCAGGGCAAACCAGTCAAATGTGCTAACATTTTCCACTCACAGTAAAGTATTCTCCCATAGTCCCTTCCTGCTAAATTATACAGCTCCTTTTATCTAATGTATATAAGTCATGTAAAAACCTAAACCTGCTCATTTTTTCTTTGGTAGAGAAATTAAAAAACACTTTTTGGGAAAGAAAAAAGTAGACAAGAATTCTGCTGGCCAAAACCAAACATTTCTCAAGGCTGTTAAAACAAGAAAACAACTTAAGAATATCGGTCTCTTAGTAAGCAAAAGCACCAGAAATCCTTCTCTACAAAGAAAAAACATCTGATTTTACAGATAGGTTCCCAAACTACTAACTTCTAAGGCACCAGAGTTGACATCAATACAACCCAATTTACAGGACTAAAGAGCATAGGTAGAAGTCTGAAAGTTTTAATCATTCTGTGTAACACTTTGTCTAACGCTCAGCGATGCTCTAGGTGAGCAGTGGGTGAGGGCAGAGAATGAGGCGTGTGTGCTCCTTCTCATGGGTGAGCATCCACGTATACTGCTCACAGGCTTTGGGACGTACTTGTGTACTGCCCACTTTTACACAAGCTGCAGCAGAACTCAGTTCTACTGCAGGTGAGAGTATTGCACCATCATTAACATAATAAGGACCTCAGAATCCAACCTTGCCAAAGAATTCAACTCCTAGGCTCAGATTAATGGAAGTGCTGGGCACATGCCACCTCCTGCCATTGTCACAGTTCAGCTGTGCTGGCCCCGACACAGCTCCAGTTCCACCCATGACATCTGGCTGAGGAGGCTTATGGGAGCGGCTTCTCATGCACAGTTACTGTCCCTCTCTGGAGGGTCCTTTAATGGGGACTGTGCAAAGCAGTGACACTAACTGCCAGTACACTCACTTTTCTGAGGTGAAAATAAAAAGGTTTATTCAAGGATAAATGAACTCTGGTTAAATTACTACTTCATTTTCATTACTACTTCATATATTAGATTTCAGAGTGTGTGAGATGGACAGTGTATTCTGGAAATTTTAATTTAACACCCATCCACAAATACTTATTTCAAGGAAGGCTAATCATCTTCATTAAATTGTTCACTTTTTCGTGTAGACTTTTTCTCTCCATGTTACTAAAACAGGGAGATCCACGAGGCACATTTTTTTAACCTCGCAAAACTCTTAATTCTAACTTAATTACTAAACTCTGCCTTCAACCAAATTTTCAATATCTTTTTGTAAAATACTTTAAAAATCACTCAGACATTAACAAAACACAAAAACAACTCTTCTCTAATCCTGACCTGTCCTTAAACTAATCTAATTACGGCTGACTCGTAACTGACAAAAACATTCAAATTTCTCTAACACACTCAAACAACAGAAAACCCAGCATATTTTAGGTGGCAGTTAGCCGTTACAAGAAGTTTTATTAACATATTCTCTAATAATCACAAACCTATACAGCTATGTTCAGTATTTTCAAGGAGAGTGACTTCTTACAAAACGTTTATAGCCAATCATGGGATTTTGCTAGAAAACGATGGCATATGCAATGACAGATTTGACAGTTTAATCAGAAAAATGGAATGATAGAAATGAAGCAGACTCCCCACCTACTGTGCTAACTGGGTATGCAACAGTTTAATGAAATACCATAAGCCTTAGTTGGAGACTGTGATGGAACAGCGTAGAGGCCATCCGTTTCCAGGCCATTCTGAGATCCAAGATGCCAACTCCTTGTTTCTATGAAACTTCACGAGATGTGCCAGTCAGAAATGGCATGCTGAACATTCTGCAGAGCTGCAGCACTGGCCTGGGCAGCCAGGGCTACCACACTGGTGACAGTGCTGCTGGTACCTGTGATGGCTCTTCTGGTATCCATATCTTATACACAACACCTATCCGTAGGAAGAACTTCCGCAGAACTGCTCGGAGCTCAGGGATCAGGTCAAACTGCATAATTTCACACAAGTAGGGGTAGTACATTGAAGCATGTGCTTTGAACTTGAGGTGGGAGAGAAACAGATAAAATTAGACAATTTTTTTTTTTTTTGGGCACCAGTTTTTCAGAAGTGTTAATCTCACCCTGGAACTTATTACAATATTGGTGCTTTTCTTGCTATTAGAAAGTTGGGGCCGAGCGCAGTGATTCACGCCTATAATCCCAGCACTTGGGGAGGCCGAGGCAGGTGGATCGCTTGAGCTCAGGAGATCGAGACCAGCCTAGGCAACACGGTGAAACCCTGTCTCTACCAAAAATACAAAAACTTAGCTGGGCATAGTGGCGCGTGTCTGTGGTCCCAGCTACTCAGGAGGCTGAGGTGGGAGGATCGCTTGAGCCTGGGAGGCAGAAATTGCAGTGAGCTAGATTACGTCACTGCATTCCAGCCTGTGTGACAGACCAAGACTCTGTCTCAAAAAAAAAAAAAGAAGTTGAAGAAACCTTGCAAATTAAAGCTTCTTTCAGTTATATTTAACTTTAATTAAATTTGGATAGTCTTGCTGCCAAAAGTCAACAGCTCTTTTATTTTGTAAAGCAGGTTCCTAGGTCAAAACTGGTGCTTCACAATCTTAACCCTCTCTTCCTGCACTGAAACTCACCATACCATTCCTAACAGCAACACATGAGGTCTACACTTCAGCCGTTCTCAACTACTGTTCTTCCAGGCAAAAAGCCCTAATATCCTGTGGCACCCATTGTCCATAACGGATTAACTTCTCTCCAATGCATCTAGAATGGTGCTAGTCACGTAACCATCCTTGGGAGAACTGAGAAAATAGTTACTGCAAACTCTTGAGTAAAAAGCCAACCCAAACTTTATGTCCTAGTGAAAATTGGTCAGAGTTTACTTGTTCATACCTTTTCATCATTTATTTTGAGGGTTTTAGTTAGAAGTAACAACAAGAGACTTGTCCAGGCCTCCCGATGGCTCTCAGAATTCACAGTGATGAAATAGGCAAGAGCTTCACTGCAAACACTAGAAGAATTAGAGAGGGGGAGGCATATCAAACAATTGATTAACATCTCACATTCAGGGGAGAACTATTCATTCTTGTGCTATTTTTAAAATTATTTTAACATGTTTTTTTTAATTACTTTTTTTTTTTTGAGACAGGGTCTTGCTCTGCGGCCCAGGCTGGAGTGCAGTGGTGTGATCAAGGTTCACTGTAGCCTTGACCTCCTCGGGCTCAAGCTGATCCTCCCACCTCTGCCTCTGAAGCAGCTAACACTACATGCTTGCGCCACCATGCCTGGCTAATTTTTTTGATTTTTAGTAGAGATGGGGTTTCACCACGTTGCCCAGGCTGGTCTTGAACTCCTGGGCTCAGCAATCTGTCTGCCTTGGCTTCCCAAAGTGCTGGGATTATAGATGTGAGCCTGAGCCTCTGAGCCCAGCCACTGCAATAACTATTGAGCACCCACTCTGGCTGTGCTATCTTGGGCAAATCACTGAGCCTTAGTTTCTTCAGCTATAAAATGGAGATAAAAAATTGCCTGGCCAGGTGCAGTGACTCATGCCTATAATCCCAGCACTCTGGGAGGCCAACGCAAGCAGATCACTTGAAGCCAGGAGTTCGAGACAGCCCGGCCAATGTAGCAAACCCCCATTTCTACTAAAAATAGAAAAATTAGCTGGGTGTGGTGGTGCGTATCTGTAATTCCAGCTACTCAGGTGGCTGAGGCACAAGAATCACTTGAACTCAGGAGGTGGAGGTTGCAGTAAACTGAGATTGCACCACTGCACTCCAGCCTGGGCGATAGAGTGAGACTATCTCAAAAAAAAAAAAAAAAAAAAAAAAAAAAAGTCCAAACTCAAGGGGTTGTTGTGAGGATTAAATGAAGTAAATATGTTAAGTCATAACTTGGCTCAGTCCTGGCACATGGCTAGGGCTGAACTCAATCAATGTCTGTAGCACAAGAGCTTATTACTCATAATTATATAACTGCCTTTCTCTCCTCACAATCACATTTAATTGCTTTTTTAAAAAACATGCCAAAAACTTGACATTTACATATCTCTTTTTTTTATTTTGAGACGGAGTCTTGCTCTTGTTGCCCAGGCTGGAGTGCAACAGCACAATCTTGGCTCACTGCAACCTCTGCCTCCTGGGTTCAAGTGATTCTCCTGCCTCAGCCTCCCGAGTAGCTGGGATTACAGGCGCCTGCCACCATGCCTGGTTAATTTTTGTATTTTTAGTAGAGACAGGGCCATGTTGGCCAGGCTGGTCTCAAACTCCTGACCTTGTGATCCACCTGGCTCGGCCTCCCAAAGTGCTGGGATTACAGATGTGACCCACCGCGCCCGGCCCTACATATCTCCTTTAGAGAAACTTTATGAGACTGTAGGTATTTGTCTTTTGGGCTTAAGCTGAAATGAGCCATTGGTGCCTCCTTTAATTAATTAATTCTTTTTTCACTTTATGACTTGTTATTCTCATTGTAAGGTAACTGATATATGTAAAAAATTATGAAAAAAATTATAAAGAAAAATAGCTACATCATTCTAAGGGATACATGACAATATTTTGGCATATTTCCTTCCAGTTTTTTTTTTTTTTGCTAAGATTTCAAAAGAAAAATTGCTCGCCTGTAGTCCCAGCTACTCAGGAGGCTGAGGCAGGAAGAGCTCGTAAGCCCAGGAGTTCGAGACCAGCCTAGGCAACATAGCAAGACCCTGACTCTAAAAAAACAAATAAAATGCCCCAATTGCTGAAAATTCCAAGTAAAAACACTTTTGCAGCTTTTTTTGGGGTAAAAATTATTGTATTATGAAAAAGTTCCCACATTAAGTAAAATTATTTCTTAAAAATTTCACTTTTAGGCCGGGCGCAGTGGCTCACGCCCATCCCTGCACTTTGGGAGGCCGAGGTGGGGGGATCACGAGGTCAGGAGTTCAAGACCATCCTGGCCAATATCGTGAAACTTTGTCTCTACTAAAAACACAAAAATTAGCCAGGTGTGTGATGGCACACGCCTGTAGTCCCAGCTACTCGGGAGGCTGATGCAGAAGAATCACTTGAACCCGGGAGGCAGAGGTGGCAGTGAGCCAAGATCACGCCACTGCACTCCAGCCTGAGTGACAGAGCAAGACTCTGTCTCAAAAAAAAAAAAAAAAAAAAAAATTCACTTTTAGGCTGGGCACGGTGGCTCATGCCTGTAATCCCAGCACTTTGGGAGGCGGAGGTCGGCAGATCACCTGAGGTCAGGAGTTTGAGACTAGCCTGACCAACATGGTGAAACCCCATCTCCACTAAAAATACAAAAAACCAGCCAGGTATGGTGGCACGCGCCTGTAATCCTGGCTACTCAGGAGGCCGAGGCAGGAGAATTGGTTGAACCCAGGAAGTGGACCTTGCAGTGAGCTGAGATTGCACCACTGCACTCCAGCCTGGGCGACAGAGCAAGACTCCGTCTCAAAAAAAAAAAAAATTCACTTTTAATGACTATGTTTCATAATATCATAATTTAGGACATATTACAGCTTAGTTATTCATTCCACAGTTGAGCTGCTTAAAATTTTTTCTCCTGATAAGTCTGCAGTGAATATTCCATGTGGTATTCCTGGTTCCTATTTCTAAAATATTTTCTGAAGCAGATTCCATAACAGTGGAATTACTGAGTCACAGAGAATGAACACTTTAGGGCTCCTGGTATATAGTCTCACCTACTTTCCAGAAAGATCATGCCATTATACACTCCAACTAGCTACGCAGGAGAGTGCATTCTTACCACACATTTGCCAGCACTGTGTGTTACTGTTTTTATACCTTAGAGGAAGAAAAGAAAGCTCAGGCATCAGAATCTTGCTGATGCCCAGGAAGCTGAGTGACAAAGACCTACTTTTCTGGCTGGGGCTTCCTCATCAGTATTCCACTCTCTCCCCATTGGTGGATTTCTAGATAATTTTGTAGGCACATCCTGGTTATATGATTTCAATTACACTCTTCTTGGAAAGAAGGAATGATGGGATGTTATTGCTGACAACAATTCTAAAGAGGACCTGGTCCCAAGAGGGATAGTAACCTGCCTAAGGCCACAGGGCTCTAGCCACAGTCAGGACTTCCATCCAGCCTGCTGACCGCTCGGAGCACTTTTCACTGTCCATGTTTCTATGCATAGCTCACAGCACCCTTCCACTCCTGGGCTCAAGCAAGGGCTTAACAGTGAAACAGATGAGGCTCTGCCCTCTTCAGGGCATTAAGAAAAGTGAAATGGGAGAGTCACCAAATAGAAAGAAAAAAAAATTTGTCAGAGTGTCAGCATGTATTTTTCTCTTACTCTTTTCAATCCACAGTATTGCTGTGATGCATTTTGTATATAGCAGATAGAAATCTAATCAGAAACTAATTTTCTTACGTTAAAAGTCTCTGCTGTATTTCTTCCCAGGAATCCCTGCGGTTCTCATCAACATACATTCGAAACAGGATCCTCAAACAACAGGCCAGGCTGCTGGTTTCTTGTTTTAGAAGATTGGGTTTAGACTTGCCCTTAAAACCTAGAGATCAGACAGTCATATAATTAGTGCACATTTCTAAGATAATGCTGATAACTGTGTATGACTAGAAATCTAGTTATTTTATGAAATATGAAACATCTGTTTTTTTCTTGAGATAGTCTTGCTCTGTCACCTAAGCTGGAGTGCAGTGGCATGATCATAGCTCACTGCAGCCTCCAATTTCTGGGCTCAATGATCCTCCTGCCTCAGCCTCCTGAGTAGCCAGGAACATAGATGTGTGCCACCATGCCTGGCTAATTTTTTTTTGTTTTTGAGACAGTTTCACTCTTGTTGCCCAGGCTGGAGTGCAATGGCATTATCTCGGCTCACTGCAACCTCCGCCTCCCAGGTTCAAGCGATTCTCCTGCCTCAGCCTCCCTAGTAGCTGGGATTACAGGTGCCCACCACCATGCCGGGCTAATTTTTGTATTTTTAGTAGAGACAGGGTTTCTCCATGTTGGTCAGGCTGGTCTCGAACTCCTGACCTCAAGTGATCTGCCTGCCTCGGCCTCCCAAAGTTCTGGGATTACGGGAGCCACCGCACCCAGCTAATTTTTTAGTGTTTGTACAGAGAGGGTTTTACTATGTGGCCCTGGCCGGTTTCAAATTCCTGGGCTCAAGCAATCCTCCTGTCTTAGCTTTCCAAAGGAATGGGATTACAGACATGAGCCACTGAGCCTGGCCTGAAACATTTTATATATATTCTTAATACAGATCGTTTGTGATACCAGATGAAGGCAGTTACGACTCCCCAGAAGTCATCCTCTGTATTACAAGATAACTTCATTTTTCAATGCCCTGTACTGTTCTTCATTTATTTATTGGTATTTTATTTTGAGACAGTCTTGCTCTGTCACCCAGGCTGGAGTGCAGTGACACAATCTTGACTAACTGCAACCTCGACCTCCCAGGCTCAAGTTACCCTCCTGCCTCAGCCTCCTGCGTAGCTGGGACTACAAGCGCACGCCACCACGCCTCACTAATTTTTGTATTTTTTGTAGAGATGGGGTTTTACCATGTTGCCAGGCTGGTCTTGAACCCCTGACTTTAAGTGATCCACCCGCCTCAGCCTCCCAAAGTGCTGGGATTATAGGTGTGAACCACCTTGCCTGGCCTGCTCTCCATTTAGACTTTGCTTATTGGCTGGCGAAACCATTAGTTTTGTCTTTTCAAATGTAACAGCTCTTAAGAATTCTAGGCTGGGCGCAGCGGCTCACGCCTGTAATCCCAGCACTTTGGGAGGCCAAGGCAGGTGGATCATGAGGTCAAGAGAGTGAGACCACTGGCGTGGTGGTGCGTGCCTGTAGTTCCAGCTACTTGGGAGGCTGAGGCAGGAGAATCGCTTGAACCCAGGAGGCTAGAGGTTGCAGTGAGCCAAGATCACGCCACTGCACTCCAGCCTAGCAACAGAGTGAGACTCCATCTCCAAAAAATAAAAAAATAAATAATAAAAAAAAAAGAACACATTCTTAAAAACAAACTAGTACCAATCAGCTTAAGAGATATGCAAACGACTCTCACAAACAAAATCTTATTACAGGCAAAGGCATAAAAGAGCTGGATATTTTAAGGCTGTAGAGAAAAATGACATTCTTTAATTGTGGGTTAAAATAAATATTTGGGGACAAAAAGTAATGATAACAAGGCCAGGTGCAGTGGCTCATGCCTGTAATCCTAGAACTTTGGGAGGCTAAGATGAGTGGATTACTTGAGGTCAGGAGTTCAAGACCAGCTAGGCCAACATGGTGAAACCCTGTTTCTACTAAAAATATAAAAATTAGTCAGGCATGGTGGCATGTGCCTGTAAACCCAACTACTTGGAAGGCTGAGGCATGAGAATTGCTTGAACCCGGGAGGTAGAGACTGCAGTGAGCCGAGACTGCGCCACTGCACTCCAGCCTGGGCAACAGAGTAAGACTCTGCCTCAAAAAAAAAAAAAAAAAAAGTAATGGTAAAAATTAACAATACAAAAATTATATAAAGTATCACTTGTATGCAAAGTTCAAAATAATGAGAATCCCACCACCATCTTGGAAAAAAAATGTATTTACCTCCAGGGTTTTTGTATTTATTTTTGGAGGTAGGAAAGTAAATATAAGGCTTGGAAAATTGATGAATGGTTTCTGTTTTTCCTAGACTACCACACTTTTTATGTCATATTTAACTTTTAATTTAATGTAAAATTTCTTTTTTTTTTCTTGAGACAAGGTCTCCCCCTGTCACCCAGGCTGCAGTGCAGTATGCAATCTTGGCTCACTGCAACCTCCACCTCCTAGGCTCAAGTGATTCTCCCACCTCAGCCTCCTGAGTATGGTGTGTGCTACAATGCCCAGCTAATTTTCATATACTTTTTTTTGGGTGGAGATGGGGTTTTGCTATGTTGCCCAGGCTGGTCTTGAACTCCTGGGCTCAAGCAATCCGCCTGCCTTAGCCTCCCAGAGTGCTGGGATTACAGGCGTGAGCCACCGCACCCAGCCCATAAAATGTTTTGACTTGCTAGATCAATTCAATTCTCCAACTTTCAATTTGTCTTTTTTTTTTTTTTTTCCAGATGGAGTCTTGCTCTGTCACTCAGGCTGGAGTGCAGTGGCGCAATCTCGGCTCACCGCAACCTCCGCCTTCCGGGTACAAGCGATTCTCCTGCCTCGGCCTCCCAAGTAGCTGGGATTATGGGTTTGCACCACCACACCTGGCTAATTTTTATATTTTTAGTAGAGATGGGGTTTCGCCATGTTGGCCAGGCTGGTCTCGAACTCCTGGCCTCAAGTGATCTTGGCTGAGGCCTGCCTCAGCCTCCCAAAGTGTTGGGATTACAGGCATGGACCACCGCATCCGGCCTCAATTTGTCTTTTTATCAAATACGTACTGAGAATCTACCATGTACTGGGATGAAACCTATCCAACATTTCCCTTCTCTCCCCCTCAAGCATGAAAATATCTGTTAAGTTATTCTAGCTATGTTTAAAATTTTGGGCATTTTCCAAGCACTTTAATGTTTTAGGAAGGTGACCAGTGTGGCCATCTATCTTATCTGCTGTGTGGCCTTACCTGCTCGCCACAGGACAGTCCGCTGCTCGTAATTGGAGTTGAAGGCCTTTGAGAATGAATGGGATTCCTGCAAACAGTCCAACAGCTTGAAGAGGTGCTGGGAAGACATGTACTTATACATGCCCTGATCCTCCGTCTCTATGTGGATATCTGCATCCAGCGTGTCTTGCTAGAGGACAGGACAGAGGATAGAAGAGCTAATGAAGAAGATGGAATGCTCTGGGCATTGTGATTGCAGACAACGGCAGTCATGACTCTCCAAAAGTCATCCCTGTCTATAAGACACACTTATTCCCCAACACCCTGAAACATTTCCATTTAGACTCTGCTCACTGGCTGGTGAAGGAACACACTGAGCCGTTCCATGATGGCAGGCTTGGCTGGCCAAAGTTTCAGTTTCATCAGTGCTGCCTCCACTGCATAAGCAGGAGTGTGTGTGTCTCCAATTATTTCATTACAGGAATGAATTATTATTATTATTATTATTTTGAGACAAGAGTTTCTGTCGCCCAGGCTGGAGTGCAGTGGCGCAATCTTGGCTCACTGCAACCTCCGCCTCCCGGGTTCAAGTGATTCTCCTGCCTCAGCCTCCTGACTAGCTGGGATTACAGGTGCTCGCCACCATGCCCAGCTCATTTTTGTATTTTTAGTAAAGACGGGGTTTCACCATGTTGGTCAGAATGATCTCAGACTCGACCTCGTGATCCGCCTGCCTCGGCCTCCCAAAGTGCTGGGATTACAGGCGTGAGCCACTGCACCTAGCCCAGGAATGCATTCTTGAAACATGTATGAAACCCTAGGAAACTTTACTGAACAAGCTGCCTAAAATTTTAAAATCAAAAGGACAGCCTCTGGCTCACAGCTGTATTTTTTCCAGCAGTAATAAAATTTACATTACTTTTGCTAGTATTTAAAACATGACTTCCTCTATGAAAAAAAATCTTGATTTTGGCTACTCTTGAAACACGAGAAACTGTCACAACTTAACCCACTTGGATGGTAATCGGGCGCTAAAGCTGAGAGGTGGCAGCCGCTTTGACTGGGCTAGAGATTTCTGGTTTACCACAATCCTTACCCAGCCTGCCTCACTCACTCACTCTCACAGGATCTGCTAGCCCCTGAAGCACTGACATTTGTAACCCATGGTGTAGGATAACTGTCCAACTTTTGGACACTGAATTCTCTATGTTTTCAAGAATCTGATATGTAGGCCAGGCATGGTGGTGCACGCCTGCAATCCCAACACTTTGGGAGGCTGAGGTGGGCAGATTGCTTGAGTCCAAGAGTTTGAGACCAGGCTGGGCAACATGGCAAAACCCCATCTCTACAAAAAATGTAAAAAATTAACTGGGCATGGCGGCATGTGCCTGTAGTCCCAGCTACTTAAGAGGCTGAGATGGGGGAATCACCTGAGCCTGGGAGGTTGAAACCCCAGTTACCTGTGATTCTGTGATTGCACCACTGCACTCCAGCCTGGGTGACAGAGTGAGACTTTGTCTCGCCAAAAAAAGAAAAAAAGGAAAAGAATCCCATATGTAGAAAGTTGCATATAGAAAACAAAAAAAGCGAAATTCTTGAAGGAAAAACTGGGATCTTTATATATATCTTTTCCTCCTCACTTATTTGTGATTAAACTGTATATCAGGCCGGGCGCGGTGGCTCACGCCTGTAATCCCAGCACTTTGGGAGGCCGAGGCGGGCGGATCACGAGGTCAGGAGATCGAGACCATCCTGGCTAACACGGTGAAACCCCGTCTCTACTAAAAATACAAAAAATTAGCCGGGCGTGGTAGCGGGCGCCTGTAGTCCCAGCTACTCGGGAGGCTGAGGCAGGAGAATGGCGTGAACCCAGGAGGCGGAGCTTGCAGTGAGCCGAGATCGCGCCACTGCACTCCAGCCTGGGCGACAGAGCGAGACTCCGTCTCAAAAAAACAAAAAAAAAAACAAAAAAAAAAAAACCAGAAAAAAAACTGTATATCAATTGTGGGGAATAGTTCCTGTGATAACTAACACTAGTGGGGTGGCATTTGAGCAGTGGTATGCTCATAAACTCACTCTCTGGGGTATATACATAAAAAAAATGAAGCCCTGATGTTTAGTGTTTGCTGTTTTTCTCTGATGTAAATAACTCCCATCAAGGCCAATTTTAAGCATCAACATGCCATCACTGAATGTGAGGTTGGAAAGAGATGAGCATGACAGGCTCTGGAAAGCCAGTACAAGCTGGCTTCCGCACACCACTACATCAAAGCAACCTCCCTATGGACAGGGATGCTCTTCCTGAGGCCTCCTGTTCTTACCTGGGCGGCAACCATGTGCTCTGCATCCTCCTTTTTGCTCGTCGCAGGGTAGAACACAATGTTGTCAATGGTCTGTATCAATTCCAACTGGACCACACACTTGATGAGGAGGCTGGCAAACAGTTTCTGATCTATGTTAGATGATAAAGATTAACCCTAATAATGATTCAGCCAATACTGAAGAAATATCCACTGAGCTCCTACTATGTGCAAGGCATGATTTATTTTTTTAAGAGATGGGGTCTCACTACGTTCTCCAGGCTGGTCCTGAACTCCTGGTTTCAAGTGATGCTCCCACTTCAGCCTCCCAAAGTGCTGGGATTACAGCATGAGCCACCACACCCAGTCAAGGCACAATTCTTGATGTTGTGGCACAGCAATGAATAAACTGGACAAAAAAAAATCTCTGCTCCCATGGTGTTGACAGACAATAAATGAAATATTTTAAGAATATTATATATTAAATATTGATGATAGGTAGAGACAGGGATAGAAAGTGTCAGGGTAGGACTGCACGTTTAAGCAAACTAGTTGGGAAAAGTCTCTATAAAAATGTGACATTTGAGCAAAGACCTGAAGAAAGTGAGGGAATCAGCTATGCAGGTTCTGTGTCCTCCAGCAAGTTTCTCTGCCACCCAGTGGGCTACTCCTAAAGACCACCACTGGACTGTGCCCTAACCAGAGGACGTTTCAGGTTCCTGCAGTAGCCAGCCCCTCTGAAGAGGCCAGAAGCTTGTGGGTTTTTTTTTTTTGTTGTTGTTGTTGTTGTTTTTTAAATAGAGATGGGATTTCCTCATGTTGCCCAGGCTGGTCTTGAACTCCTGTGCCACAATATCAAGCGATCTGCCTGCCTCGGCCTCCCAAAGTGCTAGGATTACAGGTGTGAGCCATTGCTTGCCTGGCCAAGAAGCTCAGTTTTGTTGCTTTCTGCATTTTCTACTTCTGTATCCCTTAAGAGTGGTCTTTTATTCCTCTTAGTGGTTAACAACCTTTGACTAGTTAACATTTTTTTTTTTTTTTTTTTTTTGAGACGGAGTCTCGCTTTGTCACCCTGGCTGGAGTGCAGTGGCATGATCTCAGCTCACTGCAACCTCTGCCTCCCGGGTTCAAGTGATTCTCCCGCCTCAGCCTCCCAAGTAGCTGGTAGCTGGGATTACAGGTGTGCGCCACTGTGTCAGCTAGTTTTTTGTAATTTTAGGAGAGATGGGGTTTCGCCATCTTAGCCAGGCTGGTCTCAAACTCCTGACCTCAGGTGATCTGCCCGCCTCAGCCCAAAGTGCTGGGATTACAGGCATGAGCCACTGTGCCTCGCCAACAATTCTTTTTTTTTTTTTTTTGAGACAGAGTCTCGCTGTGTCACCCAGGCTGAAGTGCAGTGGCGTGATCTTTGCTTACTGCAACCTCCGCCTTCAGGTTCAAGCAATTCTCCTGCCTCCTCCCAAGTAGCTGGGACTACAGGCACCCGGCACCATGCCCGGCTAATTTTTTTTGTAGTTTTAATAGAGATGGGGTTTCACTATGTTGGCCAGGCTGGTCTTGAACTCCTGACCTCATGATCTGCCCGCCTCAGCCTCCCAAAGTGTTAGGATTACAGGTGTGAGCCACCGCGCCCGGCCCCAACAATTCTTAATATTGAATTTTCCCTGTTCAAATTAGCGGTGTGGTTTCTGCTTACTGAGTAGACTAACTATATCCTCTTTGTGTTCTCAATCCCTGAGGGCCCAAGGGTGGCCCATGTCAAATACATCATAAGTGTTCACTGGTTTGTCTACAGTAACAGTAGAGATTCCTTTCCCAACTTATTTTATAAAATCAGAATGTTGAAAACATTAAATATTTCAGTGATAGAAAACAAGGAGGTTGAGTTGTCTTTAAGTTTTTGAAAGTGGCTGTGAAATTATTTTTTCATTTTTTTCATTAAAAAAAAAATTTTTTTTTTCTTCTTAGAGATGGGGTCTCACCATGTTGCCCAGGCTGGTCTCAAATTCCTGGGCTCAAGCTATCCATTGGTCCTGGTCTCCCAAAGTGCTGGGATTACAGGTGTGAGCCACTGCACCTCGCCAGTTATGAAATTATAAAAACACGTAACAATTCTCCATGTAGATTGTTTTAAATTTTTTTTTTTAATACAGTGGAGTTCCAGAAGATGTACATTCAACTTATGCCAAGTCAATTAAAACATTTTGGGCCAAAAATAAAAAGGAAACGATAATAATAGTGCAAAGATTTTTGTCTGCCTGAGCTTATGGCTGAGCTGGGAGACTGGGAGCAGCAAAGGCACTGTTCCCTGGGGGAATGGGAGGTGGATTGAGTCCTAGGTACTTCTCAGAGTGTAGACTCTCACTGCACGGAGAGTGCTTCTCCTATTGAAAGAAATGTATACTTGGCCTCCACACAGAAACTAACTACTTTATCTGGAGCTCGTGAAGAAAAAGAGCCTGGGCATGGTGGCTCACGCATGTAATCCCAACACTTTGGGAGGCCAAGGCAGGAGGATGGCTTGAGTCCAAGAATTCAAGACCAGCCTGGGCAACAAAGTGAGACCCCATCTCTACAAAAAATAAAATAATTAGCCGAATGTGGTGGCACATGCCTATAGTCCCAGCTACTCAGGAGCCTGAGGCAGGAGGATTGCTTGAGCCCAGGAGTTCAAGGCTGCAATGAGCTATGATTGCACTAGTGTACTCCAGCTTGGGAGACAGAGTATGTCCCTGTCTCTAAAAAAAGAGAAA
The DNA here is from genome assembly GCF_000001405.40 of Homo sapiens. Taxonomy (NCBI): domain Eukaryota; kingdom Metazoa; phylum Chordata; class Mammalia; order Primates; family Hominidae; genus Homo; species Homo sapiens. The sequence goes on along the minus strand of NC_000020.11, from coordinate 49,020,449 downwards.
ATGAAAAAGGTATCATTCTATCACTGGGCATTGGAGAGAAGCTGGCTGCAGCAGTTAGTGAAAGACAGCATGCCAGTCCCAACACGATACCTCTTTAATGAATTTCAAGGGTGACTACTTTTATTCCTTCTAAAGAAAAAGGTGACCGCACACTGTTTTGGTCAAATGTGCTGCTTCAGAAGTTAACTTCAATGTTAACAGCTATGGCCTAGCATGTTGAGGACAGGGTGGGACTGCTATAAAGGCAAACAATGGGGCACACAACTTTCAAAGGACCAGAACAACCTTCACAAGTTCCCATTCCTCAGGCTGCCAAAAATGTGTCTGAATCCCCACTCTACTACATGTTGTCAAGTTCTATGATCTGTCTAAGCCCCAGTTCCCTCAAACGTAAGACAGTACCTCTTCAAAGGCTACTATGAGGATTACATGAAACAATACACATGGAACACACAGTACAGTGCCTGGTACATGACAGCTGTTAAACTTATTTTTTTAAATGACAGTAAAACACATCATAAGCAACATTAAGAGACAATTTGGCAAAAATAATTTGAAACTCATATCAGAAAAAGGATTTCTAGTACATAAGAGCTCCTCCAAACCAATAAAAAAGGGGCCAACAATCAACAGAAAATGAGCAAAGATTACAGAGTTCATAGAGAAGAAAACAGAAGTGGTGCTTTAACATACGAAAAACTATTCAATTTGACTCATAATTTGAAAATTCCAAGTTAAATTAGTCCAAAGTTGTATTTCATCTAAAAAGATCACGTAAACAGCTACAAATGTAATAGATAGCAATGTGGAAATATTTAAAAATGGCAAATTCACTTATCCACTGACTCCAGTACATTTTTAGGAATTTATTACATAAATTCACAAATGACATATGTATTGGGTTATTCAATGCAGTATTGCTCCTAACAGCAAAAGATTATAAGTAATATAAATGTCTGTTAAGAGCAACTCAATTAAGCAATAAATGCATGTCTACAAACTGGAATAATAGACAATCGTATAAAACAACGTGAAAGCTCCTTATGTACTGATTTTGAATGATCTCTAAAATATATTAACTGAAAAAAGAATAAGGCATACTATTCCATAACTGGTAAAAGGAGAAAATTCATATGTACTATATATGTATGTGTGTGAATGTATATGTCAATGTATATGGAATGTACTATTCCATAACTGGTAAAAGGAGAAAATTCGTATGTACTATATATGTATGTATATGAATGTATATGTGCATGTACTTGCCTGCACATGGATAAAATGACTCTGGAAAGGTACAGAGAAACAGGTAACCTTGGCTGCTACAGAGAACTGGCAGACTGAGGCACAGGGCAGAAGAAGGCTTATCATGTTTACCCTTTTGTGCCTTCTGAATATATGAATCACATAAACATGTTACTTATTTAAAACAAATTAAAAAGTGGCCTTACTTGCGTATGGTCTACCCTTCCAGCTGTCATCTGTTGGGTTAGAGAGCTGGCTCTGTCCCCTCTCAGAGGGATTTTTATCTATGCTGCTTAAAGACTGGCGGTCCAGATCCACATCCTAAATGTAAACCAGAGGGAAACACAATGCTCACTTTTCTTCATGATAATTTGGGCAGAGATGTGCCTGTTTTAACACGGCTGGTCCAGCCTGTATTTAAGTGCCTTGCTTAGCTCAAAATAAAATGATACTACATGCTTAATGTAGCATGCCTCACAGGCTGCAATGGAGAGATTAAGAATTTAAATTACTTCTCCTCCCATTAAAATTCCCTATTTTCCTATTCCAACCCAGAGGACATTTCTCTACATATTAGGATTTAACAATAAGTGTGACAAATTTTTTATGCGAGCAAGTTCAAAGATAAATTACTAGTGCAGTAACTAGTTTTTTAAAAAGTTGACAACAGGCCAGGCACAGTGGCTCATGCCTGTAATCCCAGCACTTTGGGAGGCCAAGGAAGGCGGATCACCTGAGGTCAGGAGTTCAAGACCAGCCTGGTCAACATGGCGAAACCCCATCTCTGCTAAAAATACAAAAATTAGCTGGACATGGTGGCGGGCACCTGTAATCCCAGCTACTTGGCGGGAGGCTGAGGCATGAGAATCGCTTGAACCCAGGAGGTGGAGGTTGCAGTGAGCCGAGATCGCACTGCTGCACTCCAGCCTGGGGACAGAGCGAGACTCTGTCTCGAGAAAAATAAAATAAAATAAAAAATAAAAAAATTTAACAGCAGAAGACAGTTGCTGTATCCCAAATGCTTTTTAAAATCTAATGGTCTTAGAGTCACTTAGGAATAAAAGTTAATTCAACTCCTCTCTGTAAACCAAAGTATTTAAAAGTGAGATCTGAATTAAAACTTCTTTATGTGGACTCACACAAAAAGTAAGAACTACCACTTCTTTGGTGAAGAGGAAAGCACTATTAATTTAGGAGGGCAACAAACAAGCACAGTTACGCCAAAGCACTATTTACAATGTTGAAAGCCTAGAACTAACCTGAGAGTCCGATAAGGGAGAAGTAAAGAAATTATAATACTATGCAGCCACTGAAAAGACTGCTCTCAAAGAACCGTTTAAAATATGGAAAAATGCTCAGATGTTGTTATATGCTAACTGATCCCTCATTTCAAATATGGCTGGTTTTCCTAGGCATGCACGGTCACACAAAGCGGCAGCTAGAAATGTAAACTGTGCTTTTTACTTGGTGAGGTTACTTATTTGCTTAATGCTTTTCTGGACTTTCTAAAAAATATATTATGAATATATACTATTTTTAGATCTTATAATTTTACTCACTTCCCATTAAAAAAAGTACAAACTATACAGGCTTATTGATCTTTTACTAAGATAGAAAAAAGAAAAGACAACCAAAGAAAAACCCCAAATCCTACCAAATGCTTTTCTGATGAATCTTCCTCCATTCCTACAGGTCTCCATGTCAGCAAACTGAAGAAAAAAATAGAGAAAAAAAATAATCAATGTGAAAGGCAATCAGGAGCTTTAAGACATCCACTGAACACAGAGATAAACGGGAACAACTGCATGAACACTTACACATGTGGGATGGTTGTTTTGAAAATATCCAACATACAGTTGCAGGTTTCATCCCAGACTTCAGGACTGAATTTCTCTCCATTGGATATTACTAAGTTTTCTAAGCAATTTGTACCTGATCGCGCCAACTGTTCATTATCTGTAAAATAAAGCAGTATCTATCATTAAACTTCTACTGCTATTTTGATGCCAACCAGGTCTCAAATACTGTATATTGTGAGTTGGAGACAGCAACTGGTGAGTTTCTAGGCTTTTAATTAATGAAGCCATGCTACAGACAGTATTAAAATTTTTATTAAAATTTTTTTGAAGAGTTAAAATTGTTTATCATAGTTTTATTGCTAAAGAAGAAAGGTCAACATTTTGCTACTTTAAATTAAGTGGCTCATGTATGAAAAATGGTAATAGAAGAGAGAAAACATTAGACCAGGTTTTCAAAAATTTAGTCACTCATACATTACATTTCCAATTTTTGCCACCTGAACAATATCAAATGTTTTGTCATTTATTTTAAAATTAAGTCACTTTTTCAAAAATGTAACTAAATTTCTTGCCCTAAGCCAAAATTATCTATGGAATCCAGTTCTAATGTGCTAGCTGGGTATTTTTCCTGACAAACTCTAAAATAATTGTCTGTTGATGAAGCTGTTGATCTTGACTGAAACAATACATTTTAAAAACATTTTACTAGAGAAAATTTCAAACATATACAAAAGTAAAAAGAACAGTATAATACATGAAGGTACATCTTGTAGAATACAAAAATAACTATATCCCATCTTTAAGAAATGCTTTATGAACTGACTTGGGGGGGGCACTGTTTTTTATACTGTAATTAAAACGTATACATTTCACCAACTAAATTATATATTGTACTCCATGGCACTACATCCATGCTTTTAAATATTGAAAAAACTAACCTCTCATTAAAGACTATGTAAGAAAAATGATGCCTAGAGGCTTAAAGAGTACCTTGTTTGACACACCACTGCAATTGTGCAAATACATCAGAAAGAAGAACTTCATTCAAAGCTTCATAAAACTGGGTAAAAACATCACAAATAGCATAAAGTGCGTGATTGCAGGTTGTTGTCATCCACTCAGATTTCTGGGAAAACAAAAAGATGACACTTAAAAGCTATTCTCCCTGCAGTGAGATGGGCATTCTTGTACACTCCTGGCAAAACTGTTGTAGAAAGCAATTTGGTGATATGTATCAAGAATACGTCTTAAAAATGTTAATACATTCATATGTACAGAGGATATACAGAGGGATCTTTATAAAATTATGGTAATGATGCCAAAAGTGGAAGCCAGAAGTGGAATAAAAAAATAAATAAAAAACGCATAGATTTGGTTACTTAAAAGCTAAATTTTCCAAAATGAAAAGGAAATAATAAAGTGGGCAAATCATCTGCAACTCATGTATGCATATGCTACATTATTTATATATTTAAAAATGCATAAATCAATAGGAGAAAGATGAATAATCCAGTAGATGAGCTAAGAGTAATTCATAAAAGAATTCATAAAAGGCAATTCTTAAGAATGATCAATCCTATGAGAGAAAATATGCCACCTCACTAGCAGTTTGAAACACTTTTTCAATGTGATACAGTTGGCTTATCAAATTAGCAATGACTAAAACAAATTAAAATGAGAAGACCTGGAATGAATATGGAGAAATAGGAACTCTCATGCATTGCTGACAGAAGTGTAAATGGCTACAGAGATATCTGCAGGTCAGCTTAGTGGTACGTATCAAAAGGCTTAGTAATACGCAGGCCCCAAACCTGGCAGTTGGGCCACTTGTCTTTAAAGAAGAAAACACCACCACTAGAAGTGTAGCTGCAAAAAATGTTCATTTCAGTGCTGTCCAGAAAAACCGGAAAGCAACCTAAATGTTCATAAGCTGTGGAACATCCACAACTAAGACTATTTTGTAGCCATTATTAAAACAACATTGTAGAAGAAAGGCTGGGTGTGGTGGCTCACACCTGTAATCCCTGCACTTTGGAGGCTGAGGCGGGTGGATCACTTGAGGTCAGGAGTTTGAGACCAGCCTGGCCAACATGGTGAGATCTTGTCTCTATTTAAATTACAAAAATTACCTGGACATGGTGGCATTAGCCTGCAGTCCCAGCTACTTGGGAGGCTGAGGCAGGAGAATTGCTTAACCCAGGAGACAGAGGTTGCTGTGAGCCGAGATCACACCACTGCACTCCAGCCTGGGCAACAGAGCAAGACTCTGTCTCAAAAAAACGAAACAAAGCAAAGGAACAAACAAACAAAACATTCTAGAAGAAAAGTTATGGCTACGAAAAAATACTCATGTATTAAGTTTAAGAAGTAGTTTATATACGTGTGTTGGAATTCTATTTTCATAGAAGAAAAAAGTGGATCACAAATGCATGTGTGGGTGGACACACAGATGAAAGCAACACTTGAAGGTCTTAACGGTGGCTGCCTATGAAAAACCGCAACTGTGAGTGTTTAAATTCTTCTTTGTTTTTGTCTGTGTTCTGTAGTTCTACTTGTTTTATAATGAGGAAAAACATATTTAAATTTAAAAAGATTAGAAAACTCTATCTATACTATGACCTCAACCATATTTATTTATTTATTTAAGAGATATGGTCTCACTATGTTGCCTAGGCTGGTCCCAAACTCTTGGCCTCAAGTAATCCTCCCACCTCACCTTCCCAAAATGCTGGGATTATAGGCATGAGCCATTGTGCCTGGCCTCCGAATCATATTTAAACCATGTAGAAGATGGAGAAAATTTTGCAAAAACATTAACTCTAATTTTGGATGGTAAAAGGAAGAATTTTTTTGTGTTTGCCTAATATTCCATATTAAGCATATGTCACTTTTATGTTGCGGTGAGAGAAGGAATGGTGTTCCCAAAAGAAATAAAAAGGTTACTTTTCCATCTAAAAATCCTGAGCCTAGAATACCCTTTCACTATCCCTGTACCTCTAAGGGACAAATAAAAATACCTACAGGCATCAAACTTCCTTTTAAAAAAAAGGCTTAATATTCAACATCATCTCCAAATGCAACTTCATTAAAAACCCTTAAGGGGCCAGAGACATTCCACTTTCTGACTGCTCAGAGGTTGATATGAACAAAACAACTACAACGACCAGTCAGGAGCCCTGCTGAACTGGAAGGTGCAATGCCTGAGGGCCAAGCAGCAGACCACAGAGATGTATTTCCTCTCATTCTTCTGAACATGGGGAGAGTCACTCAGGACTAGCTGATACTGGTAGGAGAGTATCAGAAAGGTGTTTCCATTTTTAAAACCTTAAGTTGCTCAGTATTTAAGAACTCTGGGTAGACGATGATGCAGCCCCCAGAGGCAAATACCGGCCAGAAAGGCTTTCCTCTCCATCATACCTAGGGCAGTGCTGTAGTTATCACCTACCTCTGACAGTTGCTCAGGGAGTTTCATATTGTCAAAAATCCGAAACACGATTCTGAACAGGTCCTGCCACCAGTGCTTTTCAAAGGTGTGGCCATAGCTCTTCATGATCTCAAACATGACTGTGAGTCCCCTGGAGGAAACAAAGTCAGGCACAGAAGAGAGAATGGTGGAGAAGAGAACAACAGAGAAGAGAGTGGGGTCAGGTGAGCAAGTGACTGAGGTTCATTTCAGTGATGTAAGGGGCCACCGCACGGGAACATGGTTACCTTGTTCGTACATCTAACTTGCATCTATTAATGATGCAGGAGAGTTCGAATAAGATGGGGAACCAGCCTCGGACCCAGACTCTGTCACCAGGAGCTACATTCATGTCATCACTTGTGTATTCTTGTAGCACCTAGGATGAAAAATCACATCTCAGGTGTAAACTAAGCATGCAAAAGGAAGGAACTGAAAGGGAACTATATGCAGATTAAGGCCCCACACATTTTTCTCTCCCAAAAATCTCCATTCAGCAAGGGTACAGTGGGAACAGACTACACAAAGACATTATCTGTCCCAAAGGGCATATGAGCAGTTTCCCAGTACAAACCTATGGACCTCTGCGGGTTTTAGAACAAGTTGAAGGGGGGCAGATCACAAGAGTCCTGGGGGTGGGAGGTGTTATACTAAGAAGAGCTTAAAGGTCAAATAGTATTGACAAAATATCCAGGATGTATCATTATCTTAGGTCTTTCTGGAATGTTACTGTCATACACATTACTTAAAATAATACCAGCAGCTACTATTGACTGAGTGCTTGCTATGGGCCAGGCACTGTTAAAGTTCTTTTCATGGATTAACAATTCTCACAAGGATTCCAAGTGGCAGGTAGAAACAATGGTCCTAGGTTATAGATGAATTAACTGAGGCATCAAGAGCTTCAGTAAGCTGCTCAAGGTCATACAGCTAGGACCTGGCAGTCTTTCTACAGTCTGCATGTATAGCCCTACTCTCTGCCCTATTTCTGGGATTTTGACCCCTCTGCTCTGTAACCACTCTTGAAGTGGTACTGAAATTTCTTTAGCAACTCTGGTTATGTAATGTTAGGCAATTTCTCTCTGTGCTTCAGTAACTCTCCTGTACAATGGGATATAATTACATCTCATAGGTCTGACATGGGGACTAAATGAATCAACATACAGAAAATACCTAGAATGGTGCCCAACAAGTACTAAGTGCTCAATCAACATTGGCTCCCATTATCATCACATCTTAGTGAGCTGTTGTAAGAGATGAGACATATCACCTTACAGGTTTATAGCTCTTTCTGTAAAGGAAACTTAAGTAGAGATCTACACAGGACATCATAGTTTAGATGGACTTGTTTTCACCCTATTTCAGTGTTTTGGGACTCTGTCATTTAAACCAAATAGGCCTCTTTAGAAAGATGAGACACATCAAAAAAACAAACAAACAAACAAAAACCCCATCATTTTCAGGAGAAAACAAAAGGTGATTTTTAAATATGATTTCTCAGGCACATTACAAAGACATAATGCCATTTCCTACAAGGGAGGTTTGTTTTCTTTCAAATAGAAACGTCTAGCTTCTTGAGCTTTGCCAAAATACAAAAGCTAAAATACAACTAACTTCTACAAAAACAATTTGTAGAATACCATAGATTCAGTATGAATAAAATACAGAATTTCACATATACCAAATAATGAAAAGGCCTAACTCCCTGTCATGGCAGCATTTTGAAATAAACACCTAATTTAGGGCAAACACACATTTCTAAAAGAGTAGCTGGAAAGCTCTTTGTTAGGAGCAAGAATTTCTGCTCCATGACCTTTTCCCTTCACTGCCCATCTGAGTAAGGTGGGGAAAAACGAACCCGAGGCCTCTCAGAGACGTATTTGCCACAGAAGCGGATGAGCCGAATCGCTTCCATGCTCGTGTCAGGGAAAGCGGCGTTGCAGGCGAACTCTGATAAGCACTTCACAGCATCCTGAAAGGAATCGATGGCTGCAGGAAAATGGTGCTGGAAAATAGTTGCTGGGGGAACACAAGGCACATTTTTCATAAGACCAGGATTTAGAAATGGGGATGAAAAAATGCACGTGCGTGCACACACACACACACACACATACATCAGAGATAATTAACTGTGAAAATCTAAGAAAAGCATGTCAGTATCTTTGGAAGACAGTTTTTCTTATTAAATTACTCAGGAATGAATGCACTGGGTACAGCTTGGGCTAGACAGTCTTCCTGCGCTCAAGCAATGATGTAAAGGCCCAAATATCAATTCATTCATTTATTGAACGCCAACTATGTGCAAAGATAACTCGATGCCTAAAAATTTCCATAGAGATGAAGTAAACATCTTGTTACGTGCTCGCAGGCAGAACCCAGGACTCCTGGTCAGTCCAGAGGAGGGGGACACTAAACTAACTCTGGGCTCGACTGCCCGAGTGCAAGTCCTGGTTCCACTACATCGAAACTGTGTGTCCTCAGGCAAGTTGTTGTATTTATTTTTCTGTGCCTCAATTTCCTCTTTAGTAACATGGGGGAAATAATGAGATAGTCTGTTCTCATTATTCCTGATAGTTACATTCTATAAAGTTGCCATAAACACTGAATTCAAGAATACTGAACCATGGCTCTTAGGGAAAATATGGAGATAAGGAACTAGATTCCTGCAAGTCTCTGGTCAGAACATTTTCATCAGCTGATCAAGACATAACCTTGTTGTATGTGTGTTCCTGTTGAAAAGACACCTTATTTAATACATATTGTTGATTCATTAACACCGAACTCACAGCCAATATAGCACTGTAACTCATGCCTGAAGGAAGCTCATCTAACACACATATTTTTTCCATAAGACACATCACAGCCTTTCTGCACGTAGAATACTACCCAGCATTCAGCACTATGCTTGGGGGGGCATTTTAAACAGTGAAATCACCAACAAAAAGCACGAAAATGTAAAAAAACATGGCACTCGATAGGCCACATTAAGCACACTTGTTTATGTCATGACAGCTCAAACAAGAAGGCAGGGTGCCACCTTCTTCCACCACAACTGGGAACGTGCGCCTTGGGTGACTCAAGTTTTTGCTCTTCTGTGCATGCACATGTTGGCAAATGACCACAAAAGCACCATGAGTACTGGTTGTGGAGTTATTAATGTATATACATTTTAGTGAGTATACACACGGAATCCACCAATAATGAGGATTGACTGTAATTCTTTCATAGTCATTAGAGTGGCCTTGGGATTGATTTGACTTTCAAATTTCATCTGGCTTGAAATAACATTCACGTTTATCTGCTGGACCCCAACTGACTGATAACAGGAAAGGCCATTTAGAGAAGGCAAGGAGAAAGTCAAAACAGAGTTAAGATCAAGATTAATACTCATCAAGCGCTTACAACACGGCCTGGCACATTACTATATCACAGTAGAGCCAAGGTAGGGAAGCCCCTGTAGGTAGTAAAATAGACAGCAAGTGACACTCTTCTAGACTTGCAGGTGGGACATTAGTAGGGAGGGAACAGAGCCACTTACTGACAATGTGGCAAGTGGTCTGGAAGGCCAGCTCCACAATGTTCCCATCATGATCAGAGGCTGCCTGGTGGAACACGGCAAAGATGTTCTTCCAACCTGAGCGGATGTTGGCCGCCTGGGAGTTCACCATCTGGGCAATGCAGCGGATCGCCATGTCCCGGATGGTGGGAGACCTGAGGAAAGAATGGGACGGCCATATCGTCTGTACTTTGGAGAATGGGAAGAGAAATGAACATAGCTCATCCCTTAGAAGCAGCACTTAAACATTTCTTATAGCACACAGCAATCCACATTTGGGCTCTGCCCCGTTTCCTCTCACTTCCATTCCAAACCTAGCATGCTGCATAGAGCTACAACCACCATCCTGCAATCACGAAACAATAAACTCAAGGTTGAGAAGCTGACCCTCTGAATGGAAGAACAAAAGGAAAAAGCCTGGGTCTCAAATAAATGGTCCCTATCCAGGCCATGGAACCAAAGTTGAATGCTTGCCTCTGACTTCTTTCTTGTTACGAAAACAATAAATAGCCTTGTGGTTTAAGTCACTGCTGGTCAGTTTTTCTGGCCAAAAACATTTCAAATAATATAATTCTGCCACCTAGAGATAATCATTACTAAATTCTTGTGTGTATCTTCTTAAGATTTTTGGGTAGGGATATACCTATGTGATAAACACATATATGTGGATTGGAGTATACATATATAGTTTAAGGTGCAATGTTTACCTAAATTATTATAAAGTAAAACCTGAAGACAGAGAAAATGGCTGATTTTCTGGAACAGCTGCAATTGTCTCTCAACCTGTTAAGACATACAATTATGGAGGAACCTTATTATCTCACAAATAGCAAGAAGGAAAGCTATATAAGCCTACTGCTTCGATAGTACTATCTTTAAAAGTCAGTACAGTGGCCTTGGGACTACAGGTTTGACTTTCAATTTTTTTTTTTTTTTTGAAACAAGGTCTTGCTCTGTTGCCCAGGCTGGAATGCAGTAGAGCGACCTCGACTCATTGCAACCTCTGCCTCCCAGGCTCATGACTTTCAAATTTTATCTGGCTTAGAATGACATTCATGTTTGTCTTCCAGGCTCACACTAACCAATAACAGGAAAGGCCATTTAGAGAAGGCAAGGAGAAAGTCAAAACAGTTAAAAATTAGCTGAAAGTTCACAAAGTAAACATGTCACCTGCAGATAACAAAGGACTGACTACACAACATAAGTAACTTCCAATATATAATAAAAATGAATTCATGGTTGTCTCCCCATGGAGAATAAAGCAACTTGTTGACAAAACTATATTTATTATAATGTTTTTTTGCCTGATTGTTAAAAGAAAGATATGATGATAGTAAAAGTTTTGGAAAATACAGAAAAAGTATGATAAAAAAAAATTTACCTGTGCATGGTGGTTCACACCTGTAATCCCAGCACTTCGGGAGGCCGAAGCAGGTGGATCACTTGAGGTCAGGAGTTCAAGACCAGCCTGGCCAACACGGTGAAACCCCGTCTCTACTAAAAATACAAAAATTAGCTGGACATAGTGATGCACGCCTGTGATTCCAGGTACTTGGGAGGCTGAGGGAGGAAAATAGTTTGAACCTGGGAGGCAGAGATTGTAGTGAGCCGAGATTGCACCACTGTACTCCAGCCTGGGCGACAGGGCAAGACATCTCAAAAAAAAAAAAAAAAAAAAACCTTTACATGATATATGGTATTTCATATGGAGAGATACACGTTTCACTATCTCTATTATATTGTCTGTCCAATTCTATAACCTGTCCATTTCTCTAAAGTATTAGTCATTTCCCACATTATAAACATTGTGAACTTTTTTTTTTTTGAGATGGAGTTTCTCTCGTCATTCAGGCTGGAGTGCAGTGGTGCGATCTTGGCTCACTGCAACCTCCACCTCCCAGGTTCAAGTGATTCTCCTACCTCAGCCTCCTGAGTAGCTGGGACTACAGGCATACACCACCACACCCGGCTAATTTTTGTATTTTTAGTAGAGACGGGGTTTCAGCATGTTGGCCAGGCTGGTCTCGAATTCCTGACTTCAGGTGATCCGCCTGCCTCGACCTCCCAAAGTGCTGGGATTACAGGTGTGAGCCACCACACCCGGCCAAACATTGTGAACATTTTTAACAGCAAAACAATATCCCATGTTGTACCGGTACCAACATTTACTTTAACACTTGTTTATTTAGATAGTTTGTTTTTTTCTAGAAAACTATTTTCTGTGACATATAACGCTTTACTATATTTCACATTAACTGCTTTGGAGAATTACAGAAGTGTGGAATTACTGAGTCAAAGGGGCATAAAAATATCAGGATTCTTGACACTTATCACCAAAATGCTTTTAGAAATGTTACAGTTAAGTTACAGTTCCACCAACAGTATCTGAGAGTGCCTGGCAACATGTGATTCTAAACTCACTCTGCCCCTTTTCAAATGGGAATAGGATAGGCAGGGAAGGCCTGGAGTTAGGAGTTGAGGGCTTCCGTGCAATTAGGCTTGCACACGTGGCTTGGCCATGTGAGGACTCAGTCTCCTCAGGCACTCTCAATGGTGTTCCTAAAGGTAGGAAAATACTTTTGTGTATTTGCTAAAGTAAAGGGTGATGCCAGACTCTGGGTTTAATTTTGGTTCTCTTAAAATGAGCAATAAAGCAGACATACAGACACTAGGAGAAAGAGAGACATGTCAAGGAAACTTTTCTGGTACCCTTTTATTCACTACCCTAACAGCCTGCTCTGGCATCCAGCTTGGGAGCTCCCATTTTCTTAAAAAAAAAAAAAAAAAAAAAAAAGCAACACCAGGTGTGGCGGCTCACGCCTGTAATCCCAGCACTTTGGGAGGCCAAGGCAGGTGGATCACTTGAGGTCAGGGGTTTGAGACCAGCCTGACCAGCATGGTGAAACCCCATCTCTACCAAAAATACAAAATTAGCTGGGCATGGTGGTGCATGCCTGTAATCCCAGCTACTTGGGAGGCTGAGGCAGGAGAATTGTTTGAACCAAAGAGGCAAAGGTTGCAGTAAGCTGAGATCATACCATTACACTCCAGCCTCGGCAAAAAGAGCAAAACTCCGTCTCAAAAAAAAAAAAAAAAGATCCAGGCTGATCTGAAGTACACTTTTTAGGGGAATAGCAGACAAGAGGAATTAGGTCCAAAAGTCATCCTTGACATCTCTTCCTTTATGCTCCATGGCCAATTCATCAGCACATGGTGTAAGATTCCCTTTCCAAATGTGCACAGAATCTAATCCATCACTGCCACTGCTCCCACCTTGGTCCAAACCTGGACAACTACAATGGCCTCCTACCTCATCCTAATGGTCCTCATTTTCCATGGATAAATGCAGGGTGATCCTTTAAAATGTCAGATCATTTCACTTCTCTGCTTAAAATCCTCCAATGGCAGGCCGGCCACGGTAGCTCGTGCCTGTAATCCCAGCACTTTGGGAGGCCCAGGTGGGCGGATCATGAGGTCAGGAGAGACTCCGTCAAAAAAAAAAACAAAAACCTCCAACGGCTTCCATCTTTCACAGAGAGCAAACCAAAGTGCTGACAATGGCCGACAGCTCCTATGTGAGCTAGGCACCCTGCCACCACTGGGAGGGACTTCACCTTCTACTACCTGCCTTGTTCCCTCCATTCAAGCCACACTGGCCTCCCCACCTATGCCAAGCACTACCTGCTACGGGCCTTTTGCTTTTGCTCTTCCCTGTTCATAATTCTCATGCCAAGGCAGCATATGGCCACTCTCAGATTATTCCTGACTTCCTTCAGGCCTTTTCCTAAGGGTGCCCTTACCAAACACATGTTAGCTGGCTGCCCTGGATAAAAGAGTGCTTCCATCCCTATCCCCTTACCTTGATATATATAATGTCCTTCAGAGCCCATTACCACCACTGATATTTATTTGTTTTTCTATTGGAATTAAACAGAGATTTGTTTTTAAATTTTATTATGGAAAGTTTAAAACACAGAGAAAAGTAGAGTAATATATAATGAACTCCTGTATGCCCATCACACCCAGGTGCAACTATTTAAGGCTGAATGAAAACAGGGATTTTATTTTATTTCATTTTTATTTATTTTTTTTGAGACAGCATTTCGCTCTTGTTGCCCAGGCTGGAGTGCAATGGTGTGATCTTGGCTCACTATAACCTCCACCTCCCGGGTTCAAGCGATTCTCCTGCCTCAGTCTCCTGAGTAGCTGGGATTACAGGCGCCCACCACCACGCCCGGCTAACTTTTGTAGTTTTAGTAGAGACGGGGTTTCACCATGTTGGCCAGGCTGGTCTTGAACTCCTGCTCAGGTGATCCACCTGACTCGGCCTCCCAAAGTGTTGGGATTACAGGCATGAGCCACCGCGCCCGGCCAAACACAGGATTTTAAAATGTCTTCTTTATAGTACCTAGCAGATGGCAAGTCTCAATAAGTCCAGGCCGAGTGAATAAATGAACAGTACGGCTGCTTCACAGGGCCCGGTATCCTGACCTCTTTTATGACCTCCCTGGGGGAGAAGTGATGGGTCACATAATTCTTATCCTGGTTTGAGGATGCTTCTGCAGTGGCTCTTCCTTTAATCTCCCTGAGAACCAGCCCCAAAAGGGGTTCATGACATATTTCTTTTCTTTTTTTTTTTTTTTTTTTTTGAGACGGAGTCTTGCTCTTTCACCCAGGCTGGAGTGCAGTGGCGCAATCTTGGCTCACTGCAAGCTCTGCCTCCTGAGTTCACGCCATTCTCCTGCCTCAGCCTCCCAAGTAGCTGGACCTATAGGCGCCCGCCACCATGCCCGGCTAATTTTTTGTATTTTTAGTAAAGACGGGGTTTCACCGTGTTAGCCAGGATGGTCTCGATCTCCTGACCTCGTGATCCACCCGCCTCGGCCTCCTAAAGTGTTGGGATTACAGGTGTGAGCCACTGTGCCCAGCCGGTTCACGACATATTTCTACAAGTTGCAGGGTGACATCTGTCCTCCTAGGAAAGGCTACACATAGATTTTAGTGAGATTTGTTTAAGGAAAATCGATGTGAATCACAGTCTATTCATTCTATTTGTTTCCACTGACAAGGGAGGAAAAAAATTAATCATGTGGTTAGTGTTAGGAGGGCTTCTGGGAGCCCCAACGGGGAATTTGACCAAGCGTCTTCCAGAGCAAAACACATACCTGTTTTTCTTCATAATATGCTCAAAGGGCCTCAGAAAATCTTTCTGGAAACGGAAGTTGGCTAATTCACCCTTCTCAAGAAACTTCATGGAGAGTTGCCTTAATGAGTCAACAGCAAAGATAGCCACATCTTCATTAGGGTTGCAGCCAACCTGAACAAGAACAGGAACTGATGTGAAACAGGTATAGTGTAATAATGACCGACGTGGGTCTCTCAACAGCAAAGATGGACAGCCTACCTTCAAAACAAACATTCAGGGAAAACACACCTAAGGAGAAAAGAAAATGCTATTTCTTGGCTATGATCTGTCCAGTTTTATTTTAAGTGTAATGACGAAATCAGTATTGCATAGTTAATTAAATATGCATTTAAAATGTGCTACTTTCTGCTTTTTTAAATTTCATTTTATTATTATTATTATTATTTTCTAAGATGGAGTCTGGCTCTGTCGCCCAGACTGGAGTGCAGTGGTGTGATCTCGGCTCACTGCAACCTCCATCTCCCCGGTTCAAGCAATTCTCCTGCCTCAACCTCCCAAGTAGCTGGGATTACAGGTGCCTGCCGGCTGATTTTTGTATTTTTAGTAGAGATGGGGTTTCACCATGTTGGCCAAGCTGGTCTCGAACTCCTGACCTCAGGTGATCCACCTGCCTTGGCCTCCCAAAGTGCTGGAATTACAGGGTGAGCCACCGCGCCCAACCTATTTTTTTCTTTTCTTTTTTTTTTCTTTTGCTATTAAACTTGCAACTATACCCAATTTTTCTAATTGTAAAATATACATAACATAAAATCTACCATCTTAACCATTTTAAGTGAACAGTTCAGTAGTATACATTCATACTATTGTGAAGCCAATCAGAACTCTTTTCTTTTCTTGTTTCTTTTAAGATAAAGTCTAACTCTGTTGCCCAGGCTGGCAACCTCCACCTCCTGGGTTTAAGCGATTCTCCTGCCTCAGCCTCCCGAGTAGCTGGGATTACAGGCGCCTGCCACCCCGTCCAGCTACTTTTTTTTGTATTTTTAGAAGAGACAGGGTTTCACCATGTTGGCCAGGCTGGTCTCGAACTCCTGAACTCAAGTGATCAGGCCGCCTCAATCAAAATGCTGCGATTACAGGAGTAAGCCACCACGCCCGGCAGAGAACTCTTTTCATCTTGAAAAAATGAAACTCTATATCCATTAAACAACATCTCCCAAGGTGCTATTTAATTTTCTCCAAATATATATATATGAAGGGTCAAAAGCCTTTACAGTCTATGGAAAGCCTTTTCACACTTTCCCAATGTCTGTCATCTAAAGCAAATGACTATAAAATAAATATCATCAATCTCCAAAACTTCTGCAAAATTATTGAGGCTTTTCAATTTCCTTAAAAATTGTACTTGTCTATGGTTTGCCTACTTTTAGGAACTGGAGTTATGGGTAAATATTTGGCTGGTGCTTTTCAGACTTTTCTCTCAAGGAGAATCTCTAAAAACAGCAAGAGAATGTTTCCCACCCACACCCCCTGCCAGGAGATCTGGGGATATCTTGCAGAGGCCTGCTCCAAGTGAGCCATTTCATTGATATGTGGTCTGACCTGATGTTTTATTTTATTTTATTTTATTTTATTTTTTGAGACGGAGTCTTGCTCTGTTGCTCAGGCTGGAGTGCAATGGTGTGGTCTCAGCTCACTGCAATCTCCACCTCCCCAGTTCAAGCAATTCTCCTGCCTCAACCTCCTGAGTAGCTAGGATTACAGGTGCCCGCCACCAAGATCGGCTAATTTTTGTATTTTTAGTAGAGACGGGGTTTCACCACGTTGGCCAGGCTGGTCTCAAACTCCTGACTTCAGGTGATCCAACCGCCTCAGCCTCCCAAAGTGCTGGGATTACAGGCATGAGCCACCGTGCCCGGCCAATGTTTTATTTTTAATAGAATGCAGCAATATCATTTGTAATAATGAAAAATTGGGGCTGGGTGTGGTGGCTCACACTTGTAATCCCAGCACTTTGGGAGGCTCAGGCGGGAGGATCACCTGAGGCCAGGAGTTCAAGACCAACCTGGCCAACATGGTGAAACCCTGTCTCTACTAAAAATACAAAAATTAGCTGTGCGTGGTTGCATATGCCTGTAGTCCCAGCTACTGGGGAGGCTGAGGCAGGAGAATTGCCTGAACCTGGGAGGTAGAGGTTGTAGTGAGCCAAAATGGTGCCACTGCACTCCAGCCTGGGTGACAGAGCAAGATCCGTCTCTAAAAAAAAAAAAAAAAAAAAAGTTAAAAAAATAAAAATTGGGCCAAGCGTGGTGGCTCACGCCTGTAATCCCAGCACTTTGGGAGGCTGAGGCGGGTGGATCATCTGAGGTCTGGTATTCAAGACCAGCCTGGCCAATGTGGTGAAACTGTGTCTCTACTAAAAATACAAAAAATTAGCCAGGCATGGTGGTGGGTGCCTATAATCCCAGCTACTTGGGAGGGCTGAGGCAGGAGAATTGCTTGTACTTGGGAGGCTGAGGCAAGAGAATTGCTTGAACCTGGCAGGCAGAGGTTGCAGTGAGCCGACATTTTGCCACTTCACTCCAGCCTGGGCAATAAGAGCAAAATGCTATCTCAAAAATAAATAAATAAATAATAAAGTCAGCCTTGAAAAGGATGGAAATTCTGATACACGCTACAACACAGATGAACCTTGAAGACATTACTATGCTGAATGAAATAAGGCAGTCACAAAAGGACAAACACAGCATGATTCTACTTATATGAGGTACCCATAGTAGTCAAGTTCCTAGGGGCACAGAGTAGAATGGTGGTTGCCTGTGGTCAGGAGGGTGAAAGTGGGAGTTACTGTTTAATGGGTATGCAGTTTTAGTTTTGCAAGATGAAAAGGGTCCTTGAGATCTGTTGCCCAACAATGTGAGTGTACCTAACACTACTGAACCGCACACTTAAAATTGTTAAGATGGTTATTCTATTTTTTTAATCTTATTTTATTTATTTTATTTTTGAGACAGAGCTTTGCTCGTCACCCAGACTGGTGTGCAATGGCACGATCTCTGCTCACTGCAACCTCCACCCCCCGGGTTCGAGATAGTCTCCTGCCTCAGCCTCCCGTGTAGCTGGGATTACAGGCGTCCACTACCGCGCCCTGCTAATTTTTGTATTTGGCTAATTTTGTATTTGTTGGCCAGGTTAGTCTCGAACTCCTGACCTCAGATGATCTGCCTGCCTCAGCTTCCCAAACTGCTGGGATTCAGGAGTGAGCTACTGTGCCCGGCCTGTTATGTGTATTTTATTACAATTTCTTAAAAGAGAACAAATCTACATATGCTAACATGGTTAAATCTTTATGATTCCTTGCTAAGTGGAAGAAACAAGTTACAAAATGCTATGTATAATTTTTTTAAAAAGCGAAACAAACCAAGACAATATTATCTGTAATATTTCTATGAGTACATACATATGCACATGAATACAAAAATGTCTGGAAAGATATACAACAAACTAGTAAGAATAATTAGCTTTGGGGAGGGCCAGATGTGTGGGGGAGGGTGGCCAAAGATGTTTTAGCTGTAATTTTTGTGTAAAGGGGAGTATGTTAATGTAATTAGAGACTAACAAAAAGAATATTCCTTTCTTAAATATCCAGGTAAAACAGATGCTCCAGGCATACACACCATGCTTAGTGTGAAGCTTTGCTCATCCAGGACACAGGGCTGGTGCCCCTAGTTCAAGAGAATCATGTGACTGTGCGAACAACTCTGCCAGCAACCTGAGGGCTAAGTTACAGCTGGATTGAGCCATATCTATTTCTTCAAATCTGCAAGATTCTTAAGTGCCCCAGTTCACAATGGGAAGAACATCTTTCCAAGGTGGTGGAAAAAGTTAAGAGTCCCAGAGTGAGGGCCGGGCACGGTGGTTCATGCCTGTAATCGCAACACTTTCGGAGGCTGAGGCGAGCAGATCACCCGAGGTCAGGAGTTCCAGACCAGCCTGGCCAACATGGTGAAACCCTGTCTTTACTGAAAATACAAAAATTAGCTAGGTGTGGTGATGCATGTGTGTAGTCCCAGGAGAATAGCTTGAACCTGGAAGGCAGAGGTTGCAATGAGAGGAGATCAAGCTACTGCCGTCCAGCCTGGCAACAGTGCGAAACTCTGTCTCAAAAAAAAAAAAAAAAAAAAAAAAAGAGTTCCTGAGTTTTCCATGACCTGGTGCTTAAACAGCACTGATTAAATAAACAGACATTTGTAATGAAGTTGATGACAATTAAATGTCTGGTTCCCACCTGCCACCCTATGTCCCAACCTTGCCTGTAAGTGGTCCATACATACTGAGAATTGGCACACACAGATTCTTCACAACAGAATCACAGGTGGGAAGAGTAACTTGAGCAAACTGATGTTCCCCTCCCAAAACAGAAGTCCCAATGAACACAAAATGCAGACTTTAAAGAGTTGGGAAAACGTTTACCAAAACACTTTTAGCTAGTCATTTCTGAGAGAACAAAGGATTCCACAGTTGCTAGCCAAATGATCTTGTGGAATAAATGAGCAGCGTTTGTTCTGGCTTAGCTGTCACATGTTTGGACAAGAATACAAGGTACAGTAGTCGCAATGATTCACATTTTCTTTCTCAAGCAAATTCACATCAATTATTTCAATTGGTCCAATTAGGAATTTGTTTACTCAGAATAGTGGGTAAGATGGTGCTGAGTTAGTTGATTATTTAAAGTGATACCATCCACTCAACAAATAGTTCCCCTGGATCATCCACAGGCTCCTGTGCCTCTCAAGGCCACCTCCAAAGAGGGACCTTCCCTGACCATGTTTTCTCAATAACCCTGATATATGACATGCTTGATCCTTTCCCATCAGTTATCTTATCATAAAATGACAGGGAGCTCCATGCAGGCAGGGGTCTCATCTGTCCACTGCCCAGCATGAAGCACTCAGATTATTTTGTAAAACAGACAGTGTGCTGTGAGGTGCCTTAATTTGAGCTGATGGAAAAACAAGGAACTTTCATTAGCTGATGCACCAAGTTAGAAGCAAGCCTACATATGACAATGCTTCATTTCAGGGGAGTGGTGGAGTAGACTAGCACCTGTCCACAAGAGGTAATGAGGTGCCCATCTCTTCCCTAGTTACATCATATTGCTAACTTTAAATTGGCTGTGGCAGGGTGTTTACACACAGAAACTGGCAGATGCTACAAATCATTTACCAGCACCCCATTGATTATTCTATACCCCAATGGTAGACTACTTTTTAAGATTTTCCTCTATTCAATGTACAGAATTTCTGGATTGTTTTTTTACTAACACTATTTTTAAGCATTGGTATTATAACTCTTCACCACCAGGTTTGAGAAAATTTTCTTGAGATCATGAAATGTGTTTTGGTAGGAAGCTGTTATTATTACCTTTCCCTTAAGAGGCAAATGACATCACAGATACATACATACATACATTTCTTTTTTTTTTTTTTTTTTTTTTAAGACGGAGTCTCGCTCTGTCGCCCAGGCTGGAGGGCAGTGGCACGATCTCAGCTCACTGCAAGCTCTGCCTCCCGGGTTCACGCCATTCTTCTGCCTCAGCCTCCTGAGTAGCTGGGACTACAGGCGCTCGCCACCACGCCGGGCTAAACTTTTGTATTTTTAGTAGAGATGGGGTTTCACCATGTTAGCCAGGACGGTCTCGATCTCCTGACCTGTGATCCACCTGCCTCAGCCTCCCAAAGTGCTGGGATTACAGGCGTGAGCCATGACGCCCGGCCACATACATTTCTTTTGATTGCTTTGTTCCCAGTTTTTTGGCCGTGATAAAACACATATCTGACATTTTATTTATTCAACATGTGTGCATATGTCTGTATGTATATAATAAAACTTCTGGTAACGAGGAAGAAGTTCAGTCTGGTTTATTCCCAACAGTTGTCAGTTTTAGAACCCAGATGGGTCTTTGGCTTGTTACTGATTTAAAAACAATTATTAATTTTTTTTTCTGAGACGAAGTCTTGCTCCGTTACCCAGGCTGGGGTGCAGTGGTGCGATCTCGACTCACTGCAACCTCCACCTCCCAGGTTCAAGCAATTCTCCTGCCTCAATCTCCCTAGTAGCTGGGATTACAGGTGCACACCACCACGCCCAGCTAATTTTTTTGCATTTTTAATGGTGACGGGGTTTCACTATGTTGGCCAGGCTGGTCTCAAACTCCTGACCTTGTGATCTGCCCATCTTGGCCTCTCGAAGTGCTGGGATTACAGGCGTGAGCCACTACGCCCGGCCCAAATATTAATTTTTTCAATAAAAGTTTCAGAAGAATGGTGGCAATAGGTGCCGGAATACAAGAAGCAGTGACATTGAAGAGTAAAACTACCTGGAACGTAACTTAACATTAGGTCATTTAAAAGGCCTTTCTGGATTTCATTTCACAATGCTTCCAAGCATCAGTGTATTTGTCTAGTGGCTGTAATAATCTTTGTGGTCTTAGCCTACATCCTGCATGTGGGATATTAAAGTATTTTCAATACCACTGGATTTTTAATTCATTCTACATGAATGCTACCAATATATAAGTATGATATTACTCCTATCAAGCTGTCCTTGACTGCACAGGGAAAATGAATTAGAGGCATCTAAAAAACAGGGCAAATTATTTATCACTTCTTTTTTTGAATTCAGTTGTCTACTTTTTTTTTTTTTTAACAGGAATGGTTTTTAAATTTGAAGAGTTACCTTATTGAAGTGATCTCCAATCACATGCCATATTCGAGACCACTGTAGTCGGATCCGATTCATGTTGTAGTATGATATCTCCACAATCTTCTGCAAGCTGAACATGCGAGGATGGTGGGGGGAAGCCAGTTCATCCATGGACACAGCACACAGCCAGCGGACAAAGTCAACTACAGGCCAGACCCAACAACACAAGCAAAGCCTCGTTAGGAACAGTCAGACGGTCACAGCGTGAGGCTTCTGCAGTTTTCACAGGTAAGTCAAATACATACCTATTGCATTTCCATCCAGTCTGGTAGACCCAGTAAAAATCCTAGGAAGATAATTCCAGACAAAATAAACATTAGACCGGGTGTGGTGGCTCACACCTGTAATCTCAGCACTTTGGGAGGCCGAGGAGGGTGTATCACTTGAGGT
This sequence comes from Homo sapiens, assembly GCF_000001405.40. Lineage (NCBI taxonomy): Eukaryota > Metazoa > Chordata > Mammalia > Primates > Hominidae > Homo > Homo sapiens. Next base: position 48,998,088 of record NC_000020.11, on the reverse strand, counting down.
CAGGAGTTCAAAACCAGCCTGGCCAACATGGTGAAACCTTGTCTCTAATAAAAAATACAAAAAATTAGCTGGGCGTGGTGGCGGGCACCTGTAATCCCAGCTACTTGGGAGGCTGAAGCAGAAGATTCGCTTGAACTCGGGAGGCAGAAGTTGCAGTAAGCCGAGATTGCGCCACTGCACTCCAGCCTGGGCAACACAGACAGACTCTGTCTCAAAAAAACAAAAAATAAACATTAGATTTGGTAGACTGAGGGCAATTCTGCTTCTGTCTTAGTACTGGGCATAAAAGCCAGATGATCTCTGGTCACACAGGTTTTTTCTTTTTAATTAGATTTGGAAGCTGAAGTTTCTCAAACTCTCAGACAAGGTAGAGAGGAAACATCAGGTCTGACACCTCCACCGAAATAAATGATGTGGTATTACAAGTATAGAACGGTTCAAGGAAAGTGAACTGAGTTGAAAGCAGAAAAACCTATAGTGAGCAGAAGAGAAAGTGACACATCAAAAGACGGGGGAGCCCAGGCGCAGTGGCTCATGCCTGCAATCCCAGCACTTTGAGAGGCCAAGGCAGGTGGATCACTTGAGGTCAAGAGTTCGAGACCAGCCTGTCCAATACGGTGAAACCCTGTCTCTACTAAAAATACAAAAATTAGCCAGGCATGGTGGTGCATGCCTGTAGTCCCAGCTACTTGGGCGGCTGAGGCAGCAGAATCACTTGAACCTGGGAGGCAGAGGTTGCAGTGAGCCAAGATCACATCACTGCACTCCAGACTGGGTGATAGAGCGAGACTGTCTCAATCAATCAATCAATCAATCAATCAATACATAAGATATAGTACAAGAAATGACCAGAAGTAAAATGATATACTAGAAAATATCTATTTAACACAAAGAAGGCAGAAGGCAGTAACAGTGGAAGAAGATGGGAACACAAAAGACACGACATTATATGCACTTAACAATAGAGGCAACATACATGAGTTGAAAAAGGATAGAATTAAAGGGAAAGATGTTAGTATAAGGAAACTACGTGGTTAATAAATAGAATATAATGAATATTAAAATAATAAAAAGGGAAAGATGGACAATGGAACAATGTCCAGAACAGGCAAATCTGTAGATCAGTGGTTACAGTGACTAAGGAATGGGGGAAGGAAAGAAAAGAAAACGGAGAGTGATTGCTAATAAGTACGAAGCTTCTTTATGGGAAATATCTCTCCTGGATTTTTAGGTCAAGTTTTGAGTAAAGAGAAATAATGGAAAAGTTTTGAGGGGAGAAAAAAAAAAAAGGAAACTGTCAACTCAGCCAACTCTCATTCATGGGTAGGCTTTTTTTTTTTTTTTTTTAGACGGAGTCTCGTTCTGTTGCTAGGCTGGAGTGCAATGGCGCGATCTCGGCCCACTACAACCTCTGCCTCCTGGGTTCAAGATATTCCCCTGCCTCAGCCTCCCGAGTAGCTGGGATTACTGGCATGCGTCACCATGCCCAGTTAATTTCTTTTTTTTTGTATTTTAGTAGAGACATGGTTTCACCATGTTGGCCAGGATGGTCTCGATTTCCTGACCTTGTGATCCACCTGCCTCCCAAAGTGCTGGGATTACAGGCATGAGCATGGGTAGGCGTTTTTTTTTTGCAGATGGAGTCTCACTCTGTCGCCTAGGCTAGAGTGCAGTGGCACCATCTCCGCTCACTGCAAGCTCTGCCTCCTGGGTTCACGCCATTCTCCTGCCTCAGCCTCCAGAGTAGCTGGGACTACAGGTGCCCACCACCACGCCTGACTAATTTTTTGTATTTTTTAGTAGAACGGGGTTTCACTGTGTTAGCCAAAATGGTCTCGATTTCCTGATCTAGTGATCTGCCTGCCTTGACCTCCCAAAGTGCTGGGATTACAGGCGTGAGCATGGGTAGGCTTTTAATCCTAAACTCTTCTTGTGATTTTTAAAAAAATAATTTCTACTAAGGAAACAAGGTAATTTAAAACATCAACATAAGCGAAAAACTCTTATTTTTGACATAATTTGTCACAATGTTAAAGTTATACCTTTTCTAAAAGGTCAAAATGCAAATAAATGTGACACTTAAGCAATTTGTAGCTAACAACACTTGTATCAGTTAAAGAAATTAGGAATCATTCATGTCCAGTAACTACAGAGAGGCCACCAAACCACTGTGTAGTTCAGGGTCACTGAAGAATAAAATCATTACCTGTCCACAGCTACAACCACACTCTGCGAGCTGGTCTCACCAACCGATTCTTGGAAGCTGGCCATCTGTCTTTTATCCACTCCGCCACTCACCAAATTACCTGAAACACAATGCACAAAATCAGCAGTACTTCAAAAACAGTCAAGTATTTAGAACAAAGCATCCTGTTATGTCAACACGCAGGGACAGGGGACATAAATGGGAATGACTCTGCAAGTTCAAAAAAGAAACAAAAACCCACTGATGATAAAATTAAAGTTTTGTTTTGGCATTGGGCATTTAAAATATATCCTTAGTATAAGCTTTCTTGTTTCTACCAACCATCTACCTTTCTCTATAATCTTTTACATTTTTATAGTATTAAAGGCCTATATTTAGGAAAACAAATTTGAATCAATTGATATTAATCCAGAGCTCCTAGAACATTAATGGCTCACACCTGCTGAATGCTTGGTGTGCTTCACAGACTTTCATTACACTCATCCTCACGAGAACCCTAAGAAGTGGGTGCTATTACAATTCCCCATTTTTCCAGAGTCCATACTTTTAACCATGACACTGTACTATTCCACTCACTAAATGGGACCTAGAAGCCTACACTCCGTAGTTGGATGGCTTAGGGCTTGAATCCTACCTCTGCCACTCCTTTGCAGTATGATGCTGCTCATATCTTTTCACTCCGTGCCTCAGTTTTCTCAATTGCAAAATGGGGAATATAACAGTCCCTGTTCTCATTGGATTGTTTTGAGCATTAAATGAGTTAAAATATATAAACTGAGTGCTCAGAATATGACTTGGCACATCTGTTTGCCCTATTTACTATTATTACCATGTTACATCAATCAGAAGAGTTTCTCAATCCAATGTATAGCCAGAGAAATAATTCTACTTGCATAAGAATACTGTTTAATAAAAGCCCCCCAATAAAGATGGAAGAAATGTTGAACCTACCCTTTAAAACCTAGAGACACAAATACACACCCCTCTAATGTCAGGCACTAGAGATCTGAACATTTTAAAGCAAATGGTTTTTCTCCCCAATATAGTGATAGGTATAGAAAGAAAAGTAATGCACCCTACTGACTTTGGTAAAATAGACATTTTACTCAACAGTTTAATCACAATTAAGAGGCCAAAGCAGCACGTCCACTTGCATTCATGAACACTGTCAGATGGCACAAAAGGAAGAGACGGTTTACAGGACAGTCCTGATGAGACAAGAAGGGTTTCATCCCCGTTAGCTTGCAAATCCGTGACTGTTAGCTGTGGGGCCTGGTGTCTTACCGAGGCCAAGGCCCATGAACTCTTCTCCTGCCAATGTGTGGCCCTTCAGGCTCCCTTCTCTTTCACGCCCAGATCCAGACAGGTAGCGCGTCTTCACACCGGTTCCTATCAGCTGAGCGAGCTCCAGCTGGCTGATGCATTTCAAGATCTAAGAGAAAGAAGGCATGAAGAAATGAGTTCCTACCTTACAGCTAGAAAAAGGGCACTGTAATCTTAAGTTAGTCATTAAAAAAAAGTTGGTTCAATGGAGTTATGCCATATAGATGTTTATGCAAATTTAGTAAGCTCTCAATAAAGAGAGAAAAAGCATTTGACTGGGGCGGCGGATTCCTCCCACCATGTCACTTAATAGGCACATCATTTAGTCACCCCCACCTCCTTTTTCCACCCTCCTCGTGAGACGACAAGACACCAGCCTCATTGGCCTCACTGTTGCTCCTTTAACTTGTCATCTCTTGTCCCACCTCAGGGCCTTGGCACTCACTGTTCCTTATGCCTGGAATGTTGTCTCCCCATGGCTCACTCCTTCAATTCCCAGCTCAGACATGTGTGTCCCTCTCAAAGAGATCTTTCTTGTGAGATCGTACCTTCCCATTACCATGTCCTGCTCATACTTTTTTTTTCTTAGTGCTTACCACTTTTTGGCATTATACCATATATCTATTTGTTTGTTTCCTGCCTTAGGTGCCAAGAGGGCATTAACTCTGTCTTGTTCACTGCTGAACACTTAAGTCCCTGGCACTTAAAGTTGTTGGCAATCGTTAATTGGTTTAACTGAAGGAATGAGAATATGCTCTACATCAGGCATGCAGTGGGAGATGAGGCTGGATCTCCTGGTCCTGAGGGGTGCCTCTGGTGCTTGAGAATGCAGATCTGCACACGGGCCCTCCTACCTGAAGCTCAGCTGTAGAAACAGAAACTGGTCCCAACTTCTGTCAGAGGAAACACTGGCTACATGAAACTTACCAAGGAATGGCACACAGACCTCCAGGGAAACCCTAAGGAATTTTCATGGGAACTTCTGACTGAACTTCAGTGTTGCTTTTTACGCTGACCTTACAACTCAGTCCCAGAGTCCAGGACTCCACTATACCACTGAGCACTGCCGAGTATCTTTACTTATAAATTGCTTTCTTCTTGACTGAGAAATAGACTTAATTCCACCAAAGAGAATCATCCCCTGATTTCTTCACACACTATTAAATTATTATTAGTAAGCTAGTAATGTCCTCCCTTTTGCAGAAGCTGGGGACAGCTGGAATCTCAAGTACGTCACCAATACTGAAAGGTCAAGGGCTTATTAGTTCCAAGCTGATTTCTCAGGGCTTCTGACAACCGCAGAGGTAGCTAATTAATTTTTAACATTTCTAGATTCTGCCATATACTTGGCTGGCAGCAGGAACCTCATATTGATAATACCTCCCAGGCTAAAAAAATGTTTTAGAAGAAAAAGCAACTATTCATTGATTCTCTACGTATTATGGCTCCTTAGAAGGCAGGAAATGATTTTAAAAAGCACACAATTCAAAATATATATTTTTTTATTTTAGAGATGAGGTCTTGCTCTGTTGCCCAGGCTGCAGCACAGTGGTGCAATCAAGGCTCACTACAGCCTTGAACTCCTGGGCTCAAGCAATCCTGCTGCCTCAGCCTCCTGAGTAGCTGGGACTACAGGCATGAACCACCATGCCTAGCTAATTAAAAAAATAATTTTTTTTTAAAGATATGGGGTCTTGCTATGTTGCCCAGGCTGGTCTGGAACTCCTGGCCTCAAGCCATCCTTCTGCCTCAACCTCCAAAAGTTCTGGGATTACAGGTGTGAGCCACTGTGCCCAGCCATAACTCAGTTATTTCTAACATGGACTACTCAGAGTTGTGACAGAGAGAGGAAAGGCTGGTGAAGAGGAGCAAAGCCATACGCCACGGAGATGACAGCAGGTAACACTATTGAGTTCTTATTACTTGCCAAATACAGTCCCAAGCCCTCTTCATTTTCATAACCACCCTGTGAAGATTGTAGAGATGAAGAAGGTGGGACTCGGTGACTAAGTAACCTGCCTGTGCCATCCAGGCAGGAAGAGGTGGAGCCCCAAATCAGACCCCAGTTGCCAGGCTCTAGAGCCTTTACTCTGAATCTGAGCCATGTGGTCCACATGGGGAAGAAGGATGACAGCAATTTTCTATGTCAAACTGTCCTTTACATTCTCCACAGCCTCATCTCTATTCTTTCACAGTTTTCTCTCTAAACAAAAAAGTAATACATGTAGATGGCAGAAAAAATTAGAAATTAAGAAAAAAAAGAATAAAACAGTTTCCATAATTCTATTTCTCAGACAGAATGTTAATGCTTTGGTCTATCCTTTCAAACTGCATTCTCTGTGTATTTTGCCACGAGAGACAATGCCTCACAATCTCTTATAACAACTTGTAATTTTACTGTGACCATTTTCCCACAATAGTCTTTAAAATCATCTTTTATCTTCTTTTCTGAAATCTCTTTTAATTCATAGGTAACCCTCCTCCCTTATTTTTCTTGCAATTTTTTTGCTGAAAAACCTGGTCATCTGCTCTGCAGGTCTGTCACACCTAGAATTTCCAAGCTGCACCCTCATATCTAACATGCTTCTCTGTCCACTGTATTTCCTGTAAACTGGCAATATAGGCTTGAATCAATTCAGATTTGAGTTGGGGCTAGAACATTTCTTAGGTAGTATTGTGTACTTCCATCAGAGAGCACATACTATCTGCCTGTCTTTTTTTTCCACAACATTATTTTAAATGGCCACATAACATTCTAAAAAATGCTGTACCATACTTTTTAAAAAAAGTAGCAATCTCTTATATTGTTGGGACATCTAGCTCTTTTTAACCCAAACTTTTCCCTAGAACAACTAAAACTGCAACAAATATCCTTTTAAATACATTGTTGTACACATAAGTAACTATATCCTTGGGTGAGAATCTTAGAATACTGTTTTAAAAACATGTGAATTCACTGGCACTCTCCCTAACAGCTCATTGTGACTATCAACCATTTCTAATCAGGCTCCTGGCTTTGTCTTAAAATTACACATTGATCACAGGAGCTCCCAAGCTCCCAAGAGGTACATAAGGACTAAAAAAAAAAAAAAAAATGGCACTAATATGGAAAGAAAGTTGCAACAACAGAAGTACACTTCATGGGGGACACTGGCTGCTGGGTGCAAGGGTGCTCACTGTGAGCTGGTGCGCCTGAACTCGCCCCCGCCTTTCACAGCCCCAGAGAGGGTGACTTCCAGATACATGAGGTACAGTGATTTGACTTCAAGAAAAACAGAACTGACCAAATGAGATCAACAATGAATAAAAGGAAGCCAGGAGTCATCCTAACTGAGAAAAGGCAATTCAAAGAGACACGTACCTCATGCCAGGAATTCCCAAGGTAGTTGCCATCGGTGTGAGCCACTGTGATAAGCGTCTTAATGGTGTCGATGTTTTTCTGCTTCATTTCTGTGATGCTGGAGCTGGCTGTGAGTAGGGAGAAGCGAGCAAGAGCCTGAACATAGGCATCTCGTTCCAGCTGTAACAGAAACCCAAGAGAGAACACTGTGACTCCAACCTTAGTGTGGCCATTCTCACATCTGCAGGGCTGGCACACTGGGCTTCTCTGATACTTTTTGTATGCACATTGACTGGCTTTCTGCACATTAGCACAACAGTTATTCCATGCTAATGCCCTCTTGCTTTTGGAACATCTTGCAGAGGTATCTATGCACTGCCACATGTTTGAGAAGCAGCTCTCTCCTTTCTAATTGACTTCAGTCAAACTCACCTGTCCCATGTTCCACTATGTCTGTTGAATACTAAGACTGTCACACAAATTGACATCTGCAACAATTCTGCCAGGCAGGTCTGTTTTCTCAAGTTTACAAATGAGGAAATGAATTGGTGTCTCAGAGAGACTTTAGCTGAGCCAATGTCACATGGTTGGAGAGGTGGCAGAGTGGGGTCTTGAAACCTAGATGGTCTAACGTCAAAGCTTGTGGTCTTGGTATAAAAGAAAATGTCTAACTGTAAAATGAATAGGAACAGAAGATTGAGTTTTTAAAAATAAATGGGGTGCAACTTCTGACTTACAAAGTGATGCATGGGATTGTCAACCTCCTAATTTCGTAACAGTTTCAGAATTACATTTCATTTATTTGCTTGAACTTTTCAAGTTTCAAAGGTTTACAGACATATTCATATTGCATTGAACTACTTGTTTCTCCAGGGAAGAGTTGGAAATATGCGAAATTATAATAAAAACTGATGTTAAAAAGGAAATAGTATTTTTAAGCACCAAAGCAGGCAAGTTAGGCAGATGAACACGAAGTCTGCTTTGTCAAATCCAGTCAAGAAGCTTGGACCCTACCTATTATTATTATTATTATTTTCTTTGAGATGGAGTTTCGTTCTTGTCACCCAGGCTGGAGTAAAATGGCGCGATCTCGGCTCACCGCAACCTCCACCTCCTGGGTTCAAGCCGGTCTCCTGCCTCAGCCTCCCGAGTAGCTGGGATTATAGGCATGTACCACCACACCCGGCTAATTTTATATTTTTAGTAGAGATGGGGTTTCTCCATGTTGGTTAGGCTGGTCTCGAACTCCCAACTTCAGGTGATCTGCCTGCCTTGGCCTCCCAAAGTGCTGGGATTACAGGCGTGAGCCACTGTGCCCAGCCTACCCATTCTTAAAGACAGTTTTAATCCGTATCTCCATTTTTGCCCCTAACGAGCTGTCATCACAAAGCTACGGATTTCTTGTCAGTAGGCATAAGTAAGTAGCTTGCTAAGAGTCTTGATTAACTGAAAATTTCTGATAATTTCTAAGTTTTGCCAAATCTAAAAGAGCACAACCCACCAGTATCTCTGGAGTGTTGCTGACTTACACCTACCTGCATTCCAAAGATGCAGGCGATTCGGATTGCACATCGGATGCCTTCCAAACACAAGGAGGCCACTTCAGTGTCATCACAGTTCTGGAGTCCGATGCTGTAGGCTGCCAATAGTGGCGTCCACACCAGCTATCATGGAAGGAAGATTTCAATAACATCCAGAGTTTTAGCGTGGAAAGAGTACTTCTCGCTGGCCAGCTTCAGAATCAGGCTTAGCCACATGCTTGCTAAGTTCTCAGGATACTCACTTTGAACATTGGCCGGACATGGTCCAGGTGAGTGGCACTGGTAAACGGGGCTTTGGCATGGCTCACAGCCTCCATCAGAGCTTTGGCTGTTTTAGCCATTTGCTCCATCTCTAAGTTGTACAGCAGCCGCCGCTGCTTTTCACTAGCTACATCTGTAAAGTAAGAGCATGATAGGTGTGGCTAGCAGTCACTGAGGGCTGGCTACATGCCATACACTGTTTCAAAAGATGCACAATGATTAACTCCTAAATCCTCCCAACCATCTCGTGAGTCCATTACAAATATTATTATTACCATTTTACAGATGGGAAAAATGAGGCAGAGGGGGTAAGTCACTTGCCCAGGGTCATACAATTACTAAGTAGAGGAGCTGGGACTTGATCTAAGGCAGTGTGGCTCTAGAGCCACACTCTAAACCACTACCCTTTGCTGCTTCTCAAACAGTGAAACTGACAGCTCCCCAGGGGCCATAACTAATAGAATTCTAATCAAGGCGGACACAATCTGAATTAAAGAAAAGTTTTAAAGAACACTTTTTGGGAGTAATTTAGTTCTCAGATTACTAATTTTAAATTCCTTCTTGCTCCTCATCAGAAATCTAGCAAGACAGTGACATTATAAAAGTCCCAACATAATCACAATAATTAATTCAATCACATTTCCTATTCAGATATCCAGCTATGCACATTAAATTTATCACCAGAGTATTTAATCATGCATTCTGATACACTAAAAAATTAGAACTAAAAGAAATAATTTGCCATTAGACCTTACTCTGCTTAGTAGATTTGGTTGCAATCGTTAGCTCTTTTGTTTCTTTCATTGCAATTTTCTTGCCTTCTATCTCTTCATAGATGCTTGAGAGATACTCTTCTGGCAGATCTTTACTATCATTGATACCCCGATTCATTTTAATATACTGCTCTTTCGTCATTTTATTTTTTACCTGTAATTAAAAAAAATTAAAAACCATTTAAAAAACATCCAATTGCCCAAGTAAAGCCACTTATTTAGCTAATACAACATGTAAATCATTAAAGTGCTTTACCTGAGGACTGTGCAAGTCTGTAGTCAGCATAATAATTGAATACGCTAGGACATAAGCAGTGTCAGCACTAGCAAACAGAGTTTGCCTGGAGAAAAAAATTCGAGACATCAATATTCATGGTGATGCGGTTTGGAAGGTACAATGCTAACAGAGACACACTTCACGAGAAAAGCAGCCGACTACTCCCCTTGATTCCAAATGAGGCAAGAGTTTTTACGCTTTCATCATCACTGAACAAGACTTAGCAACCCAGAGTGTAGAAAAAGCTCATTAACAATCTGTATCAAATTTTAGCTTCTTTGGCAGGGCGTGGTGGCTCAGGCCTGTAATCCCAGCACTTTGGGAGGCCGAGATGGGTGGATCACCTGAGGTCAGGAGTTCGAGACCAGCCTGGCCAACATGGTGAAACCCAATCTCTACTAAAAATACAAAAATTAGCTGGGCGTGGCAGCGGGTGCCCATAATCCCAGCTATTCGGGAGACTGAGGCAGGAGAATTGCCTGAACCCGGGAGGTGGAGGTTGCAGTGAGCTGAGATTGTGACACTGCACTCCAGCCTGGGTGACAGAGCGAGACTGTCTCAAAAATAAATAAATAAATAATAAAAATTGAGGCTTCTTTGAATAAAGCAATTTCAAATAATTTTTTTTAAAAAGACTCTAAGAAGCATCTGGGGCCAAGACTAGGGTGAAGCAAGTGAGCACATCAGGAGACCTTACACTTGGTGCTGACCCTGAGAGAGGGCATCTCACTATATTTCACACACTAAGCGCTTGAGTGCCTCCCCCACCTTGTCCTGTTCCTGAGAACATCTATTTTGTGCCATGTACTGTGCTAGACATGAGATATAAAGATGACTAAAACTGCTGTTTAGCTGTTATTTATAGTCTATATTACCCATTATAACATTTAATAGTAGAAATACCATGGAAAATATTTATGTTGTTCTAAACAATATGTTGGTGAAGTCTGACTTTTTTGCCTTAGGCAAGAAGAGAAGGACAACATGTGGATGTACAGCTTCATACGATATGAGGCTGAAGCTAGAAACTGTTCTGTCCAAACTGTCCATAACAGGAACAGTAGAAATTTTGAAGAACACAACAAAGGTCTTTTAATATGAGATGAAACTGGGTCACATATTTACTGACTGAGCAAAACAGACCAAGGCTCCCAGGTCCACATAGGAGATACGTTTAAAGTAAACAGCATCTAATTATGCCTTCATAGAGAGTTCTAATGTCCATTTGGTTAAAATGATGATATGCTGCCTTTGCCAATCCTGCCACCTCCTGGGGACAGCCTGCCATACACTTGGAAGACTGGGAGCAATTAATATGAAAACAAAGTTGACCTGAGAGGCAAAACAGTTATTAAAATGTTTCAATCAGGTGTGGTAGCTCACATTTGTAAATCCCCCACTTTGGGAGGCTGAGGCAGGAGGATCCCTTGAGGCTAGGAGTTCAAGACCAGACTGGGCAACACGGTGAAACTCTATCTCTGCAGAAATATTATACAAAAAATTAGCCAGGCACAGTGGCATGCACCTGTAGTCCCAGCAGTTCAGGAGGCTGAGGTGGGAGGACTGATTGAGCCCAGGAGATCCAGGCTGCAGTGATCTGTGATCACCCCACTGTACTTCAACCTGGGCAAGAGAGCAAGACCCTGTCTCAAAAAAAATAGTTTCCACTGAACAATTTCCACATCATGGTCACAGCATATTCAGACATATTTCTAATTTAATGTTCAGTGGAGAGAACATGAGTTTTTTTTTTTGAGACAGAGTCTGCCTCTGTCATCCAGGCTGGTGTGCAGTGGTGTGGTCTCGGCTCACTGTAGCCTCTGCCTCCCAGGTTGAAGCAATTCTCCTGCCTCAGCCTCTGAGCAGCTGGGATTACCCAGCTAATTTTTTTTTGTATTTTTGGAAGAGACGGGATTTCACCATATTGGCCAGGCTGGTCTCGAACTCCTGACCCCAAGTGATCTGCCCGTCCCGGCCTCCCAAAGTGCTGGGATTACAGGCAAGAGCTACTGCATCCAGCCCGAACATGAGCTTCTGAGTTAGAGAAATCCATATTCAACCCTGGCTCTGCTCCTTACTAGCTGATTAATTTTGGACAGGTTGCTCAATCTCTCAGATTCTCAATTTCCTCATCTGTAAAACAGGGATACTATTCCTGGGCTTGCCATTAATTAAATTAAATGCATGTAAAACCCATGGCATGGCCCACACACAGGAGGTATTTAATAATGGTTTGTTCCCCTTCCTATTTCCACTTCTTACAAAATCACGAACCGCCCATCAAAAAAGGTCCCCAGATAAAATCATGTACTTTGGTGGTTTTTATTAGTTATGTAGCTATTTCTGTAACCTGCTCATCAGTATGCAATTAAAGAAAAACCAAAATCCTTGAGATCTACCCCATATATTAAATCAGGGGAACTGTTTTTGATTAGGGAAGAGGTGCCCAATTGTCTCCTCTCAACTTATGAAACTACTCTTTTATAGTTGCTAACAGCATGGGCTTTAGCTGTGTGATCTTGGGCAAGTTAACCTCTCTGGTCCTCAATCTTTTTGTCTGTAGAATAGGGACATAAACAGGTTGCTGTGAGGTCTTATGTGAAATAATCCCTTAGCACAGTGCCTGGCACACGGTAAACAAAAGCTTCAGTTGCTTGGCACAGATATACAAAGATTAAACCCCAACCAAATTAGAATTAGCGTTCTGAGGCAGGCAAACAGATGATCTGGAAGGGACTCAAAATCGGCGCTCACCCTTGGTTGCATTCTATGTATCTTGCGGCAAACTTCTCCATTAATCGGTCAATCTTTTGGGCTTCTCCAGGTAGGCGGAAACCTTCTAGGAATGTCCGCAGGGCTGAGACAAATTCTTTTTCACAGAAGTCAAGTTGGTCCACGTAGGCATACATCACCTCCTTGTTGAACCTTGCGCTATCTCCCAGAAAATCGCCTACTTGGGTCTGAAACATACACACTCACTTATATCCAGAAATTGTCAAATACGAACCCTCAGCAAAAGCCAGCAGCCAAAGGGTGGAGTCAGAATAGCCTGGCCCTAACTGCCCAGAATAGGCTGGACTGGTAAAAAAGCTAGGGAACTCCCTGACCTGCCCACCCACCCACCCATTCCAGAAGCAGCCTGTCCTGCATGGATGAAGGAAGAGGAGGGGGCACAAGAGACTTAAAATGGAGAGAATGACGGGGCACACTAAGGAGGTTAGTTGCAGACAGGCAGCCGTAAGAACTTTCTAGCAGTCAAGGAACACTTCCAGCTCTGACTCTCTTCCAGCAAATATGCAGCCACCTGCTGGGAGGCTAGTTTATTCCCATCAAAGAGCTTTCTGCAACACTAGCCAACGGGATACACAGGACTGCTGTAACCCGGGGGTGGACAATAGACAATGTATAACCCGGGGGTGGACAACAGACAATGTACTTAGGGCCAGACAATCTCGAGGTTAAAACTGGTAAGGGCTCACAATCACCTGACAGAACTCACATGCAAGTGCTACACCCCCAAGCCTTACGGAATCCAGGCGCTCCTCCTGGTGCAGGAATTGGGCTATGTCTTCAACTGACGTTCCCAGCATGCCCTGCTCCTGGAGAAACTGGATCCCCCTCTTGGGTTTCTTGTTGAACCTGTTTCAAGCAGAGATGGGACACAAGTTGCTTATTTCAAAATCTGGAGGATAGCAAAAGCTGGTATTTGAGATAAATAATAATAGAATACTATGAACATGCCATCACGTATAAGCTAGCAAGGTCATGTCTGTCCTGGCAGCTTTTCTAAATTCCACCTTCAATTTCTGACCCAGCTATACCTGGTCAGAGTCTGCTGATTGTCACCTCATATCCACTCTCCCCTTCTCCAACACTAATAGAACCCTACGTGTTAGCTGGACACACTGCCATGTGGAATAAAAAGAACATTTCCCTGCCTCCCTTAAATAAAGGATGGCCATGTGATAAACTTCTAGCCAGTGAGATATGAGCAGAAGTGGTGTGGGTACTTCTAGGAAGGACCCTTAAACAAAGCTGACTCAGGTGGGAAGTCTGCTTTTTTCTCTTTTTGTTCTTTCCCTCCTCCTCTCCAGAATGTTTGTGGGATGGCTGGTACTCCAGCAGTCATCTTATACCATGAGGCCACCCTCTCTGGCTAAGTATGGTGAAGCAGACAGATAAAAGGAGCCTGGATCTCTGATGTCCTTAAGGGCCACCGTAGCAGCCTTAGACTGTCCACTTTTGGATTTCCTTGAGAGAGAAATACATAGTTAAGCATGTTATTTTGTATTTATTTTTTTCTTTCTCTACTTTTTTTTTTTTTTAAGAGACAGGGTCTCACTGTGTTGACCAGGCTGGTCTGGAACTCCAAGTGATCCTCCCACCTTAGCCTCCCAACGTGCTGGGATAACGGGCATGAGCCACCATGCCCAGCCCATTTTTTATTTCCTGCTAAAGGAAGGCAAAGCTAACCAATGTATAGACTCAACTTATTATTTACCAGGCCTGAGCTGGAGGGTGATATTCATGAGTAAGCACAAACTGGCAAGCGTCATGAAAGATACAAATAGGGGCAAGGGCAGAACTTAACTTGGGACCTGTTTAGATAGTGCAGTTGCTGAAGGCCTCTTTGAGTAAGAGATGTTTTACCAAGTCTGAGGGATGGAAAAAAGCCAAGAGAATTTCAAGCACAAGGCACCATGGTAAAAAGAGCTGAAGGTGTTCAAGGGACTGAAAATACATTGTGTGACTCAGGGGAATTGGCAGGAGATGAGATCAGCAAGGGAGGCCAGGGGCTGGGTCAGGCCATGGTGCAGAACAGGAAACCTGGAATGATTTAGGCAGGAGAGTGATAAGACTTGATTTATGTTTTAAAAAGATTACTTTAGCTGCTGTGGGCAGAATACACTAGAGGGAGGTGGAGTGGCGGCAGTAGAAATGAGAAGATCAAACATGTCAGTTAATAAGTGAGTACTGTAATTTCAACTCTTAAGTTGAACTTACTAAGTTAACTAATCATTTACAAGTTGGAATATATGATTGTGTATGTGTTGATGTGTGTAAAAGACTGGAAAGAAACATAAAGATTTGCCAATGATTGTGATGATGGTGCTGTGGTTATATGGGAGAATGTCCTTTATTTTTCAAAGAGATTCAGTTAAGGTCTCATGATGGCTACCAATTACTTTCAAAATGGTTCAGAAAAATATATACGTAAATAAAACAAGTAAGATTCCGTCCCAAGATGGCCAAATAGGAACAGCTCCGGTCTGCAGCTCCCAGTGTGATCGACGCAGAAGACGGTGATTTCTGCATTTCCAACTGAGGTACCTGGTTCATCTCACTGGGACTGGTTGGACAGTGGGTGCAGCCCACGTAGGGTGAGCTGAAGCAGGGCGGGGCATCGCTTTACCCGGGAAGCGTAAGGGGTCGGAGGATTTTCCATTCCTAGCCAAGGGAAGCCATGACAGACTGTACCTGGAAAATCGGGACACTCCTGCCCAAATACTGCACTTCTCCAATGGTCTTAGCAAATGGCACACCAGGAGATTATATCCTGTGCCTGGCTCAGCAGGTCCCACGCCCACGGAGCCTTGCTCACTGCTGGCTCAGCAGTCTGAGATTGACCTGTGAGGCAGCAGCCTGGCAGGGGGAGGGGTGTCTGCCATTGCTGAGGCTTGAGTAGGTAAACAAAGTGCTGGTGAAGCTCGAACTGGGCAGAGCCCACCACAGCTCTGCAAGGGCTGCTGCCTCTATAGACCCTACCTCTGGGGGCAGGGCATAGCTGAACAAAAGGCAGCAGAAACTTCTGCAGACTTAAACATCCCTGTCTGACAGCTCTCAGCAGTGGTTCTCCCAGCATGGTGTTTGAGCTCTGAGAACAGCCTGCCTCCTCAAGTGGGACCCTGACCCCCATGTAGCCTAACTGGGAGACACCTCCCAGAAAGGGCCGACTGACACCTCATACAGGCGGGTGCCCCTCTGGGACGATGCTTCCAGAGGAAGGATCAGGCAGCAATATTTGCTGTTCTGCAATATTTGCTGTTCTGCAGCCTCTGCTGGTGATACCCAGGCAAACAGGGTCTGGAGTGGACCTCCAGCAAACTCCCACAGACCTGCAGCTGAGGGACCTGACTGTTAGAAGGAAAGCTACAAACAGAAAGGAATAGCAACATCAACAAATAAAATGACATCCACACCAAAACCCCATCTGTAGGTCACCAGCATCAAAGACCAAAGATAGATAAAACCACAAAGATGGGGAGACACCAGAGCAGAAAAGCTGAAAATTCTAAAAACCAGAGCACCTCTTTTCCTCCAAAGGATTGCAGCTCCTCCCCAGCAACAGAACAAAGATGGATGGAAATGACTTTGACAAGCTGACAGAAGTAGGCTTCAGAAAGTCACTAATAACAAACTTCTCCAAGCTAAAGGAGGATGTTCGAACCCATCGCAAGGAAGCTAAGAACCTTGAAAAAAGATTAGACGAATGGCTAACTAGAATAAACAGTGTAGAGAAGACCTTAAATGACCTGGTGGAGCTGAAAACCATGGCATGAGAACTACATGACGCATGCACAAGCTTCAATAGCAGATTTGATCAAGTGGAAGAAAGGGTATCAGTGACTGAAGATCAAATTAATGAAATAAAGTGAGAAGAGAAGTTTACAGAAAAAAGAATAAAAAGAAACGAACAAAGCCTCCAAGAAATATGGGACTATGTGAAAAGACCAAATCTACGTTTGATTGGTATGCCTGAAAGTGACAGGGAGAATGGAACCAAGTTGGAAAACACTCTGCAGGATATTATCCAGGAGAACTTCCCCAACCTAGCAAGGCAGGCCAACTTTCAAATTCAGGAAATACAGAGAACACCACAAAGATACTCCTAGAGAAGAGCAACCCCAAGACATATAATTGTCAGATTCACCAAGGTTGAAATGAAGGAAAAAATGTTAAGGGCAGCCAGAGAGAAAGGTCGGGTTACCCACTATGGGAAGCCCATCAGACTAATAGCGGATCTCTCAGCAGAAACTCTACAAGCCAGAAGAGAGTGAGGGCCAATATTCAACATTCTTAAAGAAAAGAACTTTCAACCCAGAATTTCATATCCAGCCAAACTAAACTTCATAAGTGAAGGAGAAATAAAATCTTTTACAGACAAGCAAATGCTGAGAGATTTTGTCACCACCAGGCCTGCCTTACAAGAGCTCCTGAAGGAAGCACTAAACATAGAAAGGAACAACTGGTACAAGCCACTGCAAAACCATGCCAAATTGTAAAGACCATCGATGCTAGGAAGAAACTGCATCAACTAACGGGCAAAATAACCAGCTAACATTATAATGACAGGATCAAATTCACACATAACAATATTAACTTGAAATGTAATGGGGATAAATGCCCCAATTAAAAGACACAGACTGGCAAACTGGATAAAGAGTCAAGACCTCAGTGTGCTATATTCAGGAGACCCATCTCACGTGCAGAGACACACACAGGCTCAAAATATAGGGATGGAGGAAGATCTACCAAGCAAATGGAAAGCAAAAAAAAGCATGGGTTGCAATCCTAGTCTCTGATAAAACAGACTTTAAACCAACAAAGATCGAAAGAGACAAAGAAGGCCATTACATAATGGTAAAGGGATCAATTCAACAAGAAGAGCTAACTATCCTAAATATATATGCACCCAATACGGGAGCACCTAGATTCATAAAGCAAGTCCTTAGAGACCTACAAAGAGACTTAGACTCCCAAACAAAAATACTGGGAGACTTTAACACCCCACTGTCAATATTAGACAGATCAACAAGACAGAAGGTTAACAAGGATATCCACAACTTGAACTCAGCTCTGCACCAAGTGGACCTAATAGACATCTACAGAACTCTCCACCCCAAACCAACAGAATATACATTCTTCTCAGCACCACATTGCACTTATTCCAAAATTGACCACATAGTTGGAAGTAAAGCACTCCTCAGCAAATGCAAAAGAACAGAAATCACAACAAACTGTCTCTCAGACCACAGTGCAATCAAATTAGAACTCAGGATTAAGAAACTCACTCAAAACCACACAACTACATGGAAACTGAACAACCTCCTCCTGAATGACTACTGGGTACATAACGAAATTAAGGCAGAAATAAAGATGTTATTTGGAACCAAGGAGAACAAAGAAACAACGTACCAGAGTCTCTGGGACACATTTAAAGCAGTGTGTAGAGGGAAATTTATAGCACTAAATGCCCACAAGAGAAAGCAGGAAAGATCTAAAATTGACACACTAACATCACAATTAAAAGAACTAGAGAAGCAAGAACAAACAAATTCAAAAGCTAACAGAAGGCAAGAAATAACTAAGATCAGAGCAGAACTGAAGGAGATAGAGACATAAAAAACCCTTCAAAAAAAAATCAACGAATCCAGGAGCTGTTTTTTTAAAAAAGATCAACAAAATTGATAGACTGCTAGCAAGACTAATAAAGAAGAAAATAAAGAGAAGAATCAAACAGACACAATAAAAAATGATAAAGGGGATATCACCACCGATCCCACAGAAATACAAATTACCATCAGAAAATACTATAAACACCTCTACGCAAATAAACTAGAAAATCTAGAAGCAATGGATAAATTCCTCGACACATACACCCTCCCAAGACTAAACCAGGAAGAAGTTGAATCCCTGAATAGACCAATAACAGGCTCTGAAATTGAGGCAATAATTAATAGCCTACCAACCAGAAAAAGTCCAGGACCAGATGGATTCAAAGTCGAATCCTATCAGAGGTACAAAGAGGAGCTGGTACCATTCCTTCTGAAACTATTCCAATCAATAGAAAAAGAGGGAATCCTCCCTAACTCATTTTATGAGGCCAGCATCATCCTGATACCAAAGCCTGGCAGAGACACAATAAAAAAAGAGAATTTTAGACGAATATCCCTGATGAACATCAATGTGAAAATCCTCAATAAAATACTGGCAAACCGAATCCAGCAGCACATCAAAAAGCTTATCCACCACGATCAAGTCAGCTTCATCCCTGGGAAGCAAGGCTGGTTCAACATACACAAATCAATAAACGTAATCCATCACATAAACAGAACCAATGACAAAGACCACATGATTATCTCAATAGATGCAAAAAAGGCCTTCAACAAAATTCAACAGCCCTTCATGCTAAAAACTCTCAATAAACTAGGTACTGACGGAACATATCTCAAAATAATAAGAGCTATTTATGACAAACCCACAGCCAATTATCATACTGAATGGGCAAAAACTGGAAGCATTTCCTTTGAAAACTGGCACAAGATAGGGATGCTGTCTCTCACCACTCCCATTCAACACAGTGTTGGGAGTTCTGGCCAGGGCAATCAGGCAAGAGAAAGAAATAAAGCGTATTCAATCAGGAAAAGAGGAAGTCAAATTGTCCCTGTTTGCAGATGACATGATTGTATGTTTAGAAAACCCCATCGTCTCAGCCCAAAATCTCCTTAAGCTGATAAGCAACTTCAGCAAAGTCTCAGAATATAAAATCAATGTGCAAAAATCACAAGTATTCCTTTATGCCAATAAGAGACAAACTGAGAGCCAAATCATGAGTGAACTCCCATTCACAATTGCTACAAAGAGAATAAAATACCTAGGAATCCAACTTACAAGGGATGTGAAGGACCTCTTCTTCAAGGAGAACTATAAACCACTGTTCAACGAAATAACAGAGGACACAAACAAATGGAAGAACATTCCATGCTCATGGATAGGAAGAATCAATATCATGAAAATGGCCATACTGCCCAAGGTAATTTATAGATTCAATGCCATCCCCATCAAGCTACCAATGACTTTCTTCACAGAATTGGAAAAAACTACTTTAAAGTTCATATGGAACCGAAAAAGAGCGCACATTGCCAAGACAATCCTAAGCAAAAAGAACAAATCTAGAGGCATCACACTACCTGACTTCAAACTATACTACAACGCTAACCAAAACAGCATGGTACTGGTACCAAAACAGAGAGACAGACCAATGGAACAGCACAGAGTCCTCAGAAATACCATGCATCTACAACCATCTGATCTTTGACAAACCTGACAAAAACAAGAAATGGGGAAAGGATTTCCTATTTAATAAATGGTGCTGGGAAAACTGGCTAGCCATATGTAGAAAGCTGAAACTGGATCCCTTCCTTATACCTTAGACAAAAATTAATTCAAGATGGATTAAAGACTTAAATGTTAGACCTAAAACCATAAAAACTCTAGAAGAAAACCTAGGCAATACCATTCAGGAACTAGGCGTGGGCAAGGACTTCATGACTAAAACACCAAAAGCAATGGCAACAAAAGCCAAAATAGACAAATGGGATCTAATTAAACGAAAGAGCTTCTGCACAGCAAAAGAAACTACCATCAGAGTGAACAGGCAACCTACAGAATGGGAGAAAATTTTTGCAATCTACCCATCTGACAAAGGGCTAATATCCAGAATCTACAAAGAACTTAAACAAATTTACAAGAAAAAAACAAGCAACCCCATCAAAAAGTGGGCAAAGGATATGAACAGACACTGCTCAAAAGAAGACATTTATGTAGCCAACGGACACATGAAAAAATGCTCATCATCACTGGTCGTAAGAGAAATGCAAATCCAAACCACAATGCGATACCATCTCACACCAGTTAGAATGGCGATCATTAAAAAGTCAGGAAACAACAGATGCTGGAGAGGATGTGGAGAAATAGGAACGCTTTTACACTGTTGGTGGGAATGTAAACTAGTCCAACCATTGTGGAAGACAGTGTGGTGATTCCTTAAGGATCTAGAACTAGAAATAGCATTTGACTCAGCGATCCCATTACTGGGTATATACCCAAAGGATTATACATCATGCTACTATAAAGACACATGCACACGTATGTTTATTGCGGCACTATTCACAGTAGCAAAAACTTGGAATCAACCCAAATGTCCATCAATTGTAGACTGGATTAAGAAAATGTGGCACATATACACCATGGAATACTATGCCTCATAAGAAAGGATGAGTTCATGTCCTTTGCAGGGACATGGATGAAGCTGGAAACCATCATTCTGAGCAAACTATCACAAGGACAGAAAACCAAACACCACGTTTTCACTCATAGGTGGGTACCAAACAATGAGAACACTCAGACACAGGGCGGGGAATATCACACACAGGGGGGCCTGCTATGGGGTGGGGCGCAGGGGGAGGGATAGCATTAGGAGTAATACCTAATGTAAATGACGAGTTAATGGGTGCAGCAAACCAACATGGCACATGTATACCTATGTAACAAACCTGCACGTTGTGCACACGTACCCTAGAACTTAAAGTATAAGAAAACAACATAAAATAAAATAAAATAAAATAAAATAAAATAAAATAAAATAAAATGCCTAAAAAAATAAAACAAATAAGACAAACAGTAATGTTTTGGTATGCTGAAATTTTTCATGTAATATATAGTTGGAAAAAAATGCACCAATGGTGATTCCCTCAGGCAGTAATTTTTTGTTGTTGTTGAGATGGAGTCTCACTCTGTCACCCAGGCTGGAGTGCAGTGGCGCAATCTCTGCTCACTGCAAGCTCCGCCTCCCAGGTTCACGCCATTCTCCTGCCTCAGCCTCCCGAGTAGCTGGGACTACAGGCACCCGCCACCACGCCCGGCTAATTTTTTGTATTTTTAGTAGAGACAGGGGTTCACCGTGTTAGCCAGGATGGTCTTGATCTCCTGACCTCATGATCCACCTGCCTCAGCCTCCTAAAGTGCTGGGATTACAGGCGTGAGCCACTGCGCCGGGCCATCTCAGGCAGTAATTTTATGAGTGATTTTTACATTCTTACTTTATACTTTTCTGTATTTTCTAAATTGGTTTTATTATTTTCATTAGAAAAGGGGGGAAAAAAGGCTGCATCAACCACACAAAGGTATTAAAGTTTTCTCTCTCTGTGTGCACAGACACACACACATACGCTCATTTACTGATTGCCTGGCTCAATCAGGCTTAGCTACAAGTGCCAGCACCAGCCTTTTGTAAACAGGCATTTCCTTTTTAGGAATCAGTTCCAGGTTCCCAGAGAAAATATGGCTTTGCTAGAATCCCTGCTAGTTAACGGCAGCCCCACTCACAGCTCGATGCCGTGTTCAATGATTTCTTTTTGTTGCTTGATGACCTCAAATTGCTCAGGGTCATCCTGAACAGTTGTCTGGGTCCCCGAGGACACTGTGGACTCCATGGACGTCACACTACACCGTCTTGCCATGTCAAGGCCTTTCCCATCCCCTATTTCCTGATCCGTGAGCCTCTCCTGACCTGCGGAGAAACAAAAGTAAAGGAAGCCAAATAAGCAAGTGGGACACAGACACAGCCGAGCTAGGTCTGGCTGCACGGCTCCCTTTCCCAAACCTGTAATAGCAACAAGTCAATACTATAAGGATTATAAGCATGAAACCTTAGTATCATTCAGATACTTTACTTAAAAACTTGTTTCCTCATGAAACTTGATGAGCTAATTCTTTTTTTTTTTTGAGATGGAGTCTCGCACTGTCACCCTGGCTGGAGTGCAGTGGCACGATCTCGGCTCAGTGCAACCTCCACCTCACAGGTTCAAGCTGTTCTCCTGCCTCAGCCTCCAGAGCACCTGGGATTACAGGCGCCTGCCACCACACCCGGCTAATTTTTTGTATTTTTAGTAGAGACAGGGTTTCACTATGTTGGCCAGGCTGGTCTTGAACACCTGACCTCGTGATCCACCACCCTCGACCTCCCAAAGTGCTGGGGTTACAGGCATGATCTGCCGTGCCCAGCCTTGATGAGCTAATTCTAAAATTCACATGAAAGAGTAAAAAAGGCAAAAAAAGATCAAGACAACTTAAAGAACAACGAATAGGAGGACTTGCCCTACAAGATACCAAAAACAAGTGTGGTACTGGTGTTAAAACAGACAAATAAACAGAACAGAATAGAAAATCCAGAAAGAAGGCCAGGCACAGTGGCTCACGTCTGTAATCCCAGAGCTTTGGGAGGCTGAGGTGGGAGGATCGCTTGAGCCCAGGAGTTTAAGGCTGCAGTGAGCTATGATTGCACCACTGTATTCCAGCCGGGTAATGGAAACAGACTCTGTCTCTTTAAAAAAATTAAAACTCCAGAAACAGACTTACGTACATAGGAAAATGTGGTATATCATAAAGGTGATGCTTTGAATCAGTGAGGGAATGAACAACTACTAAAAAGGCACTAGAGCAACTGGCTCTGTATTTGAAACAATGAAGTTACAGCATAACTTCACACAACTCCAGATGCAATAAAAAGCAGGACTTTCAAAATAATATAGGTATTTAGCAAACTAAAAAGGCTTTTTCAATTCTAAGACAACTATACTAAGACAACTGTTCCTAGCAGTCGTAGGAGCCTATTATGAATGGAGGTGGGTGTGGCAGCAATGCTGTCTCACCGAGGCTGGTCTGGTGGTTGGGATTCACATACAGGTCTTTGCTCCACTCCACCATGCACTTGAGAATGGACACGAGGCACTCCAGGCCTTTCTTCCTCAGGCTGAGCTCCTAAGGGACGAAGTCACACAGGAAAGAGACTTAACAGAAAAATGAAGAGAACAGACATCTACGAGGCTTTCTGGGACCCCAGTGAGGCTAAGAAAGAAATCACTGACAGTCAGTGCTATTAAGAATGAAACAAACCCAGAGCTAAGAAGTGACAAGTATCAAGGATACATTGCAAAAGCCCTGGACATCTCTAAAGGTGCTCATTATAAACACCCCAGCAGCAAAAATATGGGATATGTGTTTTCCTAAAATGAACAATGTTATTTGGATTTTCAAAAGAAGTTTTCATTCATTGCTTATGTGATTAAAAAAAAATTTTAAATTTTTCTATTTTTAAAAAAATAACAAGATCTTGGGCAGGCGCTGTGGCTCACGCCTGTAATCCCAGCACTCTGGGAGGCTGAGGTGGGTGGACCACCTGAGGTAAGGAGTTCAAGACCAGCCTGGACAATATGGTGAAACCCCATCTCAAATCAGCCGGGTGTGGTGGCAGGCACCTGTAATCCCTGCCACTCAGGAGGCTGAGGCAGGAGAATCACTTGAACCTGGGAGGTGGAGGTTGCAGTGAGCTGAGATCGCGCCACTGCACTCCAGCCTGGGTGACAGAGTGAGATTCTGTCTCAAAAAAAAAAAAAAAAAAAAAAAAATTCACACTCAAATAATAAATAACAAGGTCTCAACCAGTGACTGAAAAAAAGGAGAAAAGAACCTTGAATTATGCTGTAAGTGACTCTGGATACAACGTATCCCCTAAATACCCACAAATGCATTCAATTTTAAGGCTCACCCTTTAAGTAAATAAAAATACTGATTTTCAAAAATAAACAGCATTCTTAAATAACAAGTTGAATATGAGTTGCAGATCATCTAAAAAAATTGCAAATATTTTAGATTCAAAACAGCAACTCGGACAGCATAGATCTCTGTGATTCTAATGACAACTATGACCATCTTTTAGGAAAAATGCCCATATACCAAAATTCTACACACAATTCCAGGGAGCTCGGAGACCCTCTGACCAGTTCATTCAGAAACCTACAGTTAAGCATCCTATTTTCTTTGTAGGTGCTCTAATGAGGTATTCTGCTACTAGCCAATCTCCTTTGCCCCTATTGCAGACTGGGATCCTGTTTTCCACGCTATCTTTGGAAGGGTGACTGAGAATGAATTTGCTTCCTATGGGTCTCAGCTCAAAGGTCACCTTCTAAGGGATACTACCCTAATGGCCCCATTAAGAATTACAGCACCCCACCTTCAGCACTTCCTCTCTGCCGTCCCTGCTTTATTTTTCTCTGCAGCCCCTATGATCATCTGAACTGACTTCTTTAATGTCGTTTCATGATGGCAGGAAGTGTGTGAATATGCATTCCTGTTTTGTTCACTGCTGTATCAAGGACAGTGCCTGGCATGTGGTGGCACTCAATAAATGTTTATTGGAATGAATAAACTTTAATATAATTGAGTGTCCACAGTGTTTTTACCTGCAGAGGTGTCATTCCCAGCTCATGTCCACTTCTTCCCTGAGCAATTTTGGATAAATCATTTACAAGGCGCTCAAAAATGTTAGCAGCATTTAAATCACAGTCGTAGTTGACATAAATATCCACAACACACTGGGCATCTTGGAAAATAACATACAAGTATCAGAAATTCTGATCAAATAGCAGTTAGGTTTTCTTATCAAACAAGATGTTTGCCAACAAATTTCCCCAGTGAACTACAGACTCCGGTGGCCACATCTCACTCAGGAAACACATGTTGGAAGTACTAGGAAGCTGGAAGACAGGAGGTTGTTTTTAGGCCTGCTTCTGAGCAAATTGAAATCTCAGGCAGTTCATTCCACCCATCCAAGCCTCAATTTTCTCATCAAGGAAGGGGTTAACAATTGCCTGACCCACCTCTTAAAGTTGTGTCACTCTTACAAAATTACATTTGATGCCAGACAAGCAGGATGCTTACTTTGAGGCCACACAATTGTATAGTGTAAGGTAAATCCACATTTACCGTAGCACCCAATCAAAAATTGGCAGCACCAGTATCTTAGGTCCTGTGATTAACAGTACTCAGCTTGTAGGTAACGTAACCAAGTGTCCCAGTTTGACGAGATTAGGGGGTTTCTGGGACATGAGACTTTTAGTGCTAAAACCAGGAAGTCCTTGGCAAACCAGCCTAAGTTGGTCATCCTCTAAAAAAGGAGAGGTGGGGCAGGACTAGGTTAGAATTAGCCTTTTATTGCCAATCCTTTAAAACTCTAAAAGGAGGGGTTAGAAGTCTTAATCTGAGCTGTGGCAAATTAAAGCATCAGAAGTCCAGTGGATGAGTGTCCCCAGGTGGAAATACCTGCACAGATCCTCGTCAGAGTCTGAATGACCATCCACCTGTGCTCAAAAGAACTTGTTGATGTTTCTAAAATGTTCAGGAAAATCTCTTTGAAAAAGACCTATATGACATAAAGACAAAGGAGGACACTAATTAACAGTTTCAACCAGGGCTCAAAACCTCCAAAGTCTTCAGCAGCCAACCCAGTCGTGCAGTAAGTAAAGCACCCTGGGCAGAAGAAGAGTGGAGTGCCCACCTGGCTGGGCAGCAACGGGACCCTGGCCTTGGTGGGGACGGCTGGCAGGGTGGGGCCCACTGGGGAGCTGCCAAGTGGAAATGCAGGACCCATACTGTGACTTTTTGGAGAGAAACCAGAAATCTGGATTTTCATGTAAAATAGGATTTCTCAATTTGGCGACTAATCTAAATGATTTCAAACAATTTACAGACCAAACAGATATGTTTAGGGGGCTGAGCCCAGCAGACAGACCATATTGGTTAAAATGAAAGGCACATAAGATCCGGGGGCAGTAACTTTTTTTTTTTGAGATGGAGTCTCGCCCTGTTGCCCAGGCTGGAGTGCAGTGGTGCAATCTTGGCTCACTGCAAGCTCCGCCTCCCGGGTTCATGCCATTCTCCTGCCTCAGCCTCCCGAGTAGCTGGGACTACAGGCGCCTGCCACCACGCCTGGCTAATTTTTTGTATTTTTAGTAGAGACGGGGTTTCACCATGTTAGCCAGGATGGTCTCGATCTCCTGACCTCATGATCCGCCCGCCTCAGCTTCCCAAAGTGCTGGGATTACAGGCGTGAGCCATGGCGCCCAGGCTGGGGGCAGTAACTTTTTATAAAAAGATATTCTCTTACTCATTCAAAAAGTTCTGATTTACTGGGGTGCCAGCCGATGAATATGCCATTTACCCTCCCTGCCCCTGCCCACTTCTGAGTTCCAGGATGGTAAGATATGAAACATTTTCATGAACCATTTTCCTAATGCTTAGTGTAATATTAGCAGCATTCTCAATATTGAGTATTATAATTAATGACTAATAATAATAGTAAATAATGAAATGAAAAAACTTTGGAATCCGTACCTCTATCTGCATTTTCAAGTGCATTTTAAAGTTTGAAAGAAGAGTAAGAAAAATGGCAAGAGAGAGCTCAAAGACATCAGGCACTGAAGAGACGCCGTTTTTGGACAAGGCCACACAGAGATATTGCTTGATTGCATTGATGAACATCTCGTGAGTCCTGAATACGGGGCCAGCATTTTGCAACACAGAGAGGAGCAGCTGCAGGGAAACCACCTTGGAACGCAGCTCATGGGATCTGGCAAAGAAAATGAAAAACCACAACAGTGCTAAAAGAAAAAATGTCAAACAGTATGTTTCTTGAGAAGGCCTTGCTCCTTTACCAATGAGTAGAATTTTAAAGAATTAATAGCACCTAAATGTCAGGAGAATGAGGGCAGATGGCATGAGTTGGGTCCTTCTGGAATCGCAGGCCCTTTGAGAACAAGAGCTGCCAACTCCTATTTGTCTCTTTCCATCACAAAGTAGAGAATACAGCAGGAGCAAAGTGTCAACTGATTCTGGAGAGCGAGTTCTGCAACTGTACTGCAAGAATCAATGACTTTACATCACTTGTGGGAGGCTGAGACACCTGGCTCACTCTGTTTCACACACCATGAAGATGGCGCTCTTTATCCACCTACCTCACAGCCCTCCCTCCCCACTGCCCATGCCGGAGTTCAGGTATGGTAAGAAATGGTACATTTTCATGAACTATTTTCTTAACACTTATTTTTATTTTATTTTATTTATTTATTTATTTTTTTGAGACGGAGTTTTGCTCTTTTTGTCCAGGCTGGAGTGCAATGGCACAAATCTCGGCTCACTGCAACCTCCGTCTCCTGGGTTCAAGCGATTCTCCTGCCTCAGCCTCCAGAGTAGCTGGGATTACAGGCGCCTGCCACCATGCCCGGCTAATTTTTTGTATTTTTAGTAGAGATGGGGTTTCACCATGTTGGCCAGGATGGTCTCGATCTCTTGACCTCATGATCCGCCCGCCTCGGCCTCCCAAAGTGCTGGGATTACAGGCGTGAGCTACCGCGCCCGGCCTATTTTTATTTTTTAAAATTTATTGTTGCTCTGTTGCCCAGGCTAGAGTTCAGTGACACGATCTCAGCTCACTGCAACCTCTGCCTCCTGGGTTCAAGCGATTCTCTTGCCTCAGCTTCCCGAGTGGCTGGGATTACAGGCATGTACTAGCATACCCAGCTAATTTTTGTATTTTTAGTAGAAGTGGGGTTTCATCTTGTTGGCCAGGCTGGTCTCGAACTCCTGGCCTCAAGTGATCCACCCGCCTTGGCCTCCCAGAGTGCTGGGATTATAGGTGTGAGCCACCGCACCCAGCCTATTTTCCTAATACCTATCACAGTATTAGCAGCATTAGTAATAGATGAATTGAGGATTATTATTAATGACTAATGACAGGAACAATAGAGATAATTTATAAAGTACAAGGCCCCATGCTCAGGACAACACCGATATTTCATTTAATCAATCCTGTAAGATGATTTTCCATATTCCCATTTTTCAGATGAGGCTTGGCAAGTCATATAGCCAAGGAACTGCTCTCAAGTGGAGGATCCAAGATCTAAATGCAGCTCTCTCTGGCTCTGAAGCCTCTGCTTTCTTCACTCCACAGCGCTGACATCCTTGTAGTAGTTTGTTTACTACAAAGAAATGTTTGGCTTCCCTGTGTCGAATCTGGGGCTTACATCTGTATCGATGAAGCAGAGGTTTCCAACAGAACAGGGAACTGAGGTTTGCAGGCATCCTGTCCCTCCACACCCCACATCAAGAGATTCAATCCACTAGCTAGTAAAAATGTGTTTTTTATGTGTTCAATAAACAGACTTTTTTAGCATTCATATGCCAAGAAAAGCAAAACTGGGCAAAATCTTGGTTGGTGGGGATACAGAGACAATTCCATATGAAAGGACTCTAGAGACTGCATGAGTCTGAAAAGTTGTAAAACCGTTCCTGCACTTACACTGACAAAGAGACATGACACTGAAACTTCTTGGAACAAGGGAAGTGTGAAACACAGTACCATGTGCTGCTGGATCATTGGACTGAAGGTGGCCAAGAACTGCTGTCTGCTTACTTTGGGTCTGGAGGGCCTTCACCAAGGGGTTTCATGGACAGCTTGCACAGGGAGCGGAACACAAGGAAGGCATCCTTCTGCAGAACGTGGGAGAACCTGGCAGCCACTTGATGTCCTTGTGCATCCGATTCCTAGGATCAGAAACAAACATCAGCTGGGTGTGGTGGCACCCACCTGTAGTCCCAGCTACTCCAGAGGCTGAGGCAGGAGGATCCACTGAGCCGAGGAGGTCAAGGCTGCAGTAAGCCATGATGGCACCATTGCACTCCAATCTGGGGAACATAGTGAGACCGTATCTCAAAAAATAAAAAGGGAGAGGACAAAACAAAAGCTAACTCTTATCAAAAATTAGAAATGTAATTATCTCTTGGAAATTCAAATTCTTCTATTTAATAGAGAGATGAGGGATGTGGGGGAGGGAAGGATATGACAAAATAGGAGCTATGGAGAAGCCATCACAGCAATTCTACAACCTTGTTCCTTGTTCTTCAGAGTTGGTATGGGTGGTTTAAAATGAAAAATGATCAAAAGTTAAGCTGTAAAAAAACCAAAACTAATACAGGTAATTATACTAGCTTGGGTAAGAAAGATATTTCTAAGAATACTATTGTAAGCCAGGTGCGATGAATGGCTCACGCCTGTAATCCCAACACTTTGGGAGGCCAAGGTGGGCAGATCAGTTCAGGTAAGGAGTTCCAGACCAACTTGGCCAACATAGTGAAACCTCATCTCTGCTAATCCCAGCTTCTTGGGAGGCTAAGACAGGAGAATCGCTTGAACCTGGGAGGTAAAGGTTGCAGTGAGCCGAGATCGCGGCACTGCACTCCAGCCTGGGTGACCAAAAAAAAAAAGTAAAAAAAAGAATACTATTGCAACTATTGCAGGATAAACGGGTAACAAAGTATAGGTATTACGAAATAAACTTTTTTCACCTAAAAAAAAGGTAAATTACATTTAAAAGCAAAACATAAAAATAAAATTTTTTGGCCAGGCACGGTGGCTCACGCCTGTAATCCCAGCACTTTGGGAGGCTGAGGCGGGCGAATCACGAGGTCAGGAGATCGAGATCATCCTGGCTAACACGGTGAAACCCCGTCTCTACTAAAAATACAAAAAATTAGCCAGGCGTGGTGGTGGGCACCTGTAGTCCCAGCTACTCAAGAGGCTAAGGCAGGAGAATGGCATGAACCTGGGAGGCAGAGCTTGCAGTGAGCCAAGATTGCGCCACTGCACTCCAGCCTGGGCAACAGAGCGAGACTCCAACTCAAAAAAATAAAATAAAAATTTTAAAAACATATAATAAAGATTAATATCCCCCACATATAAAAGTTCTCATAATTCATTAAGGAAATATGAAAACCTTCCTCCAAAATGAAAACAACATGGATAAGCAATGTACCAATAGATGCAAATGATAAAGAAATCTAAATGACCTTATTACTCATCATTAGAGTAGGAGCTTTCTCCTATCAGACTAGCAAAGATTTGAATAAAGGCTGCTGCCTAGTTTTAATGAGGGAATGGGAAAATGGGTATTGAGAGATTAAAGGTGGACAGGTATTCAAGTAGTACCTTCCCAGAAGACTGACTTGGTGTTAAATGTCAAAAGCCTTAACACTTCCAACTCCCACTCTCTTTCATTCATTTACTTATGAGACATGATCTTGCTACAGTTATTTATTTATGAGATGGGGTCTCGCTATGTTCCCCTGGCTAGACTTCTGGGCTCAAGCGATCCTCCAGCCTCAGCCTCCTGAGTAGCTGGGAATACAGAAGCATGCTATTACACTCAGCTAAAACTTCCAACTCTTGAACCATCAATACTACTTGCAGGCATTTATTCCTAAGAAAGAATTAAGAGTTATCTATAAGGATATTCATTATAGAACCATTTCCTATGATAAAACTGGAATAATCTAAAAACCCAATAGGGAATTGGTTAATAGATTACAGTGATCCATACAGAATTTTACATGGCCATTAAAAATTTCTGTTAGCTCTACATATACTGACAGGGGAAGATGCCCATCATATAGTGTTGAGTAAACAAAGCAAATTGCAGCTTAGCATATAACACGAGTCCCTTGTATAGATTTAAGCGCATCCTCAAGGGGGGAAAAAAACATTATTCTGGTTGGATACAGTGGCTCAAGCCTGTAAACCCAGCACTTTGGGAAGCTGAGGTGGGCAGATTGCTTGAGCCTAGTTCAAGATCACCCTGGGCAATATAGTGAGACCATGTCTCTACAAATAATAATAAAAAATTAGCCAGGTATGGTGGTGCATGCCTGTAGTCCCAGATACTCAGGGGGCTGAAGTGGCAGGATCATTTGAGCCCAGGAAGTGAAGGCTGCAGTGAGTCGAGATCACACCACTGCACTCTAGCCTAGGTGAGAGTGAGACTGTGTCTCAAACAAACAACAAGAACAACAAACCCTTATTATTTTTATGTATAAAGCACAGATATACATGTAGCATATGGATATCCAGTTTATTGCTGGCATTACAACTTAATGGGGAATGATGATTAGGAAAAAATGTCTACAAAGTTTTCTTGGAGGAAGGGGCAATAATGAAAAAGATTGAGAAACACTGGTAAAAAGACAAAGAAAATGGGGTCTAGAGGGACACTCACATCATATTACTTCCTATTTTGAATGTTTATATTTAATTTTAAAGCAACTTTTAAGAGAACAGTAAGGCTATTTAAAAATATAATGTGGCAGACATATCTATGGGCCTGAGAGAATGTTCATAATATAAATTGTTTAAAAAGCAGGTTGCAACACAGGATACATACTGTATTATTCTATTTAAGTGGAAAAATACGTGAGATGGAGAAAAATCTAGATGGATTTAAGTAAGATGTTAACAAGGGCAATCTATGGGTTATGGATGGCTTTCAATACAGTCATACTGACTTTTCAATACAGAGAAGGAAAGACGGGTAACTATATATTTTATTTTTCTATAATGAATGTATACTATTTTGAGAGAGAAGAAAAGTGGCAAGAAATTTAAGTATTAGAAGTCTGAGTAAACAGGGTTTAATAATGATGTTATATACCAAGCAACATTAGCACGTTCTAAGAACTGAACCTGCTAATACAAAGAATATCAGCCCAGGACTGTGTGACTAATAAAGGAACAGGGCTTGCTTATTTTAGTTGCTTCTTTTGAGGAAAGACTTAATTCTGCATCTTTTGAAAAAGTAAAAATGGCAATAAGTCCACAGAGGATGATCACCAACATACCAGATTATCTGCTGACGACAAGGACTGCCTGTCATCGGCTATCCCGTTGGTCTGTGAGTTTTCATCAACTCCTGGGGGAATAGCACATTCCTGGCACTCCAGTTCACCTAGAACTCTCTCAGGTTCTGTCAGACCATGCTTTTCCGCTGCTTCTTAAAACACAAGTACAAAGTCATAGCCAAATTAGTACTGTACTTACCCTAAAGGGCTGCCTGACACCAAAAAGAAGTTATCTGTGAACCTCCCAGCTGTTGCTTTTTCCCCTTTTCCTGTGCCACCAGCCCATGACTGACATAATCCTGGAAAAGCCTTGGCCAAAGTGATGCTTAAGCCTTACGAGTGTTTGTTATCCACAGCCCCACTGCCAGGGCCACAGCAATATACAATTCTCTCCAGATCAATGGTGCCTCCAGAACTGTGCAATGCAGCAGCCCTACCCACCCCCATTCACTTTTGAAAAAGATTAGAAGCAGCTAAACATGAAAGGTACAGATTTTTTTAAAGTACCATTAATAAAGGAATTAGAGAAGAGCCAGTTATGACAGAAAACCTTAGTCACAGAGAAAAAATGTAAACCTGAGCTTCTTGGCAGCCATGTGAAAAAAGGGAATTAAAATAAAGAATTACACAGATTTCATCATTTAATGAAGGAAAGCATATCTGATGATCAGCAGAGCAATGAAACTCTAAGAAAAATTTATAATGTGGTTCTATAAAGGGACATGAAACAATGAGAACAATTTTCAATAATAGCCCTACAAAGCATATTTCATTCAATAAATATTTATCAAGTGCCAATTATGTACCAGGCTCTGCAGTAGCGGCTGGAGGACACAAAGTAAACAAGACAAACATCCATTATGTGATGACTTCTTGTATAGATCCCAGAAACAAATCTAAAGGTATGAAATAAAATTTTTCTATTTTACAGGCATTTCTATAAGAAGTTAAATAAATAATAGAATATGTATATAGCTTTGTGGTACCTAAACAAAAAGATAGGGCTTAGAAAAGTGGCTTTCAAATCTTGACCTCTGTAAGAAATTAATTTATAAAACTGTATCCCAGTATAGACATGGGCACATAAGTAACTGAAACACATTTCATGAAACAATACTTAACATTATATGTGATACAGTCAGATCATTTGTACTCTGTTTCATTTTACTCTCTTTCATTTAAAAAAAAGCTGATGAAAACCCATTAAGATTTTGATTTCTGGACAAATTCATAATTTACTGGCATTGGAACAAAGTGTTCAACATATACCCACTGACCTGAGATTTTGGGCAGAAACAAAGAAAAAAGATCATCTAACAGTCATTCTGAGCCATACAAGTTTAATTCCACTGAAACCATACCATGAGGCACTTATGAATGAAGCCTAACAAAACAAAGCTTCCCTGTACACCTGATACCTGCTGACATGTGGACTGTCCCCTTGACACATCAATGGCTGGCCATGAAAACTCAGCTCCAATGGACATGGATCTCAGGGCTCCAGCCCACTCCTAGAAAAACCTGGACATCCCCTAATCTACAAGGCATATGGAATGGCCCTTGGCATCTCTATGTGGAGCATCTAAGCCTAACACAGTCAGACTATGTGTCTTTTTTTTGAGATGGAGTCTCGCTCTGTCACCCAGGCTGAAGTGCAGTGGTGCGTTCTCGGCTCACTGCAACCTCCACCATCCAGGTTCAAGCAATTCTCCTGCCTCAGCCTCCCGAATAGCTGGGACTACAGGCGTGCGCCACCACGCCCGGCTACTTTTTGTATTTTTAGTAGACAGGGTTTCACCATATTGGCTGGGCTGGTCTTGAACTCCTGACCTCGTGAACCGCCCGCCTTGGCCTCCCAAAGAGCTGGGATTACAGGCATGAGCCACCGCGCCTGGCCCAGACTATGTTTCCTAAACCCAACCCAAATGAGACTAAAATCAGTCAGTAAAAACAAGTCATTTTTGAATCCCATATAAAAGATGGGCAGACGTGGGAAGATTCAGTTTCCATGAGCTCCACCAGTTCTTAGGGCAGGGAAGAGGAAACTCCACCACTAAAATATTTTGCTGAGGACTTTTTGGAGGAATGAGGGAAGAGGAAAGGCTGGGTTGTCCTTGGTTCTTACCTTTAATGGCAGATGTGACTACATCTTCCAAGATGTCCTTCACCACCTCCTGGGCTCCGTCATCAGTCCCTACACACACATCCAAATATACAAAACACACGTGGGCATTTTCAGGAAAAACAAAGGAAGAGAGGAAAAGGAGATTATGGGGAGTTACATTTCAGAAGGCAAAGGGTGCAAATAAGTTCTCCCCAAGGCCAAATCTGATTGTGTCAATGGAGGACAACTTCCTTGAAATCTGGAAACTTAGGCAGCATCTGTTCTGCTTTTGAGGTTCCCTTTGTGGAACACTAAAACCCCACTGGCTTATACTACTCTCTTCCTTCCTAAGTCCCAGTGGCTCGGCCCAGGGCCCTCCCCACCACCCCCAACTTGGAGGCAGGAGCTCGATTTTATCCAGCCAGAGTTCCTGGCAGAACAAATGGAGCTTTCTCTTGTGCCTTAGCCTCGGGGACCAACGAGCCTTGGTAAATGACATGCCTTCTGCTGCTTCGCCTTCTCACACTGTAAACCCAGAATCTGGCATGAGATTTCCAATGTGATAGTTAAGGATTTACTAAACTTTTATGAAATTATTCTGTAAAATGTTAACTGTTTAAGTAGAAGAGGTTCAGTATCTCTTACTCCCCCCGCCGCAGAAAACTAGCTCTGGGAAAGAGCTTACGTAAAGTAAACAGTTCTTGACCAGATATTTAGAAGTAAACATTACTTTTTTTTTTTTTTGAGACAGAGTTTTGCTGTCTTGCCCAGGCTGGAGTGCAATGGCACCATCCCAGCTTACTGCAACCTCCACCTCCTTGGCTCAAGCAATCCTCCCGCCTCCTCACCACGCCCGGCTAATTTTTGTAGTTTTAGTAGAGATGAGGTTTCTCTATGTTGCCTAGGCTGGTCTTGAACTCCTGAGTTCAAGTGATCTACCACCTTGGCATCGCAAAGTGCTGGGATTACAAGCGTGAGCCATTGTACCTGGCCTAACATTACTCATTTATAAAACATCACGTTGACCAAAAAAGCCATCACCTTAAAAAAGCAAAACCAAAATAATCCTTTGACTGTGTATTAATGAGAATTTTCAACCCAGCCACCATTTTTATGAGTTCTATGCTTGATCTATAAGGTCCCGGAGGGCAGTGCTAAGTATTTTCATTTCCACTGGGCACTTAACACTCTGGAACTATCTACGTGGCAAAGTAAATTCGTGTGGGAAATACTGATGTTATAAGCTTTTCCTAGAAGGCAAAGGGAACTTGAAATTAGAAAACCCCAGAAACAGTCACAATTGCTAAACTCACTTCTTCATCTAAAAAGGATGATTTAGACTAGATCACTGTTACTCAAACTTTAGTCATTCTCAAACCACCTTCATGGCTTTTGCCACATTCATGCACCACTATAATATTATATATTATTATGTATTTTAAATATACTGTTATGCACCACATAACAACGTTTGGTCAATGAGGAACCACATATACAATAGTGGTCCAGGAAGATTACAAATGGAGCTGAAAAATTCCTATCGTCTAGTGACATCATAGCCGTCATTATGTCACAGCACAACTTATTACTTATATTCGTGGTGATGCTGGTGTGAACAAACCTACTGTGCTACCAGTCATATAAAAGAATAGCACATGCAGTTCTGTATAGTACATAATAATTGGTAATAAACCACTATGTTATTAGTTTGTTATTTATTTATTTTTTATTTATTATTTGAGACGGAGTTTCACTCTTGTTGCCCAGGCTGGAGTGCAATGGAGCAATCCCAGCTCACTACAGCCTCCGCCTCCCAGGTTCAAGCAATTCTCCTGTCTCAGCCTCCTGAGCAGCTGGGATTACAGGCATGAGCCACCACGCCCAGCTAATTTTTTGTATTTTTAGCAGAGATAGGGTTTCTCCATGTTGGTCAGGCTAGTCTTGAACTCCCAGCCTCAGGTGATCCACCCACCTCGGCCTCCCAAAGTGCTGGGATGACAGGCATGAGCCACTGCGCCCGGCTAGTTTATGTATTTATTATACTTTTTTTTTTTTTTTGAGAGAGTCTCACTCTGTTGCCCAGGTTGGAGTGCAGTGACACGATCTTGGCTCACTGCAACCTCCGCCTCCCAGGTTCAAGCAATTCTCCTGCCTCAGCCTCCTGAGTAACTGGGATTATAGGCGTCTGCCACCACACCCAGCTAATTTTTGTATTTTTAGTAGAGACAGGGTTTTGCCATGTTGGCCAGGCTGGCCTCAAACTCCTGACCTCAAGTGATCTGCCTGCCTCAGCCTCCCAAAGTGTTGGGATTACAGGTGTGAGCCACCGTGCTCAGCCTATACTATACTCTTTATTGTCATTGCCTTCTACTTATTTAAAAAAGAAAAAGTTAGCTGTAAAAAAGTCTCAGGCAGGTTCAGGAGGCATTCCGGAAGAAAGTATTGTTATTATAGGAGATACCAACTTCATGTGTGTTATTGCCCCTGAAGACCTTCCAAGGGACAAGATGTGGAGGTGGAAGACAGTGATATGAATGATCCTGACCCTGTGCAGGCCTAGGCTAATCTGTGTGTTTTGTGGCTTAGTTTTTAACAAAAATAATTTTAAAGTTTTAAAAACCTAAAAATTTAAGAAATAGAAAAAAAAGTATAGAATAAGAATATAAAGAAAAAATATTTTTGTGCATCTGTACCATGTGTTTGTTTTAAACTAGGTGCTATTACAAGAGCCAAAAAGTTAAAAAAAATTGTTTATAAGGTAAAAATGTTACAGTAAGCTAAAATTAATTTATTATTGAATAAAGAAAATTATTATTATTATTATTATTATTATTATATTTTGAGACAGAGTCTCGCTCTGTTGCCAGGGTCGAGTGCAGTGGCACAATCTCGGTTCACTGCAACCTCCGCCTCCCGGGTTCAAGAGATTCTCCTGCCTCAGCCTCCTGAGTAGCTGGGACTACAGGTGTGCACCACCATGCCCAGCTAATTTTTGTATTTTTAGTAGAGAAGGGGTTTCACTATGTTGGCCAGGATGGTCTCGATCTCTTGACCTCGTGATCTGCCTGCCTCGGCCTCCCAAAATGCTGGGATTACAGGCATAAGCCACCGCGCCCAGCCAGAAAATTAATTTTATAGGCTGGGCACAGTGGCTCATGCCTGTAATCCCAGCACTTTGGGAGGCCAAGGCGGGTGGATCACCTGAGATCTGGAGTTCGAGACCAGCCTGGTCAACAACAGAAACCCAGTCTCTACCAAAAATACAAAAATTAGCCAGGTGTGGTAGCGGGCACCTGTAATCCCAGCTACTCGGGAGGCTGAGGCAGGAGAATCACTTGAACCTGGGAGGTGGAGGTTGCAGTGAGCAGTGATCGTGCCACTGCACTCCAGCCTAGGCGACAGGAGCAAAACTCGGTCTCAAAAAAAAAAAAGAAAATTATTTTTATAAATTTAGGGTAGCCTAAGTGTACAGTGTTTATAAAGCCTGCAGTGGCATACGGTCATGTCCCAGGCCTTCACATTCACTCACTGCTCACTCACTGACTCACTGGAGTAACTTCCAGTCCTGCAAGCTCCATCCATGGTAAGTGCCCCATACAGGTATATCAGTTTTTATCTTTTGTACTGCATTGTGACTGTACTTTTTCAAATACTTACCACTGTGTTACCAAAGCGTACAGTATTCAATACAGTAACATGGTGTACAGGTTTATAGCCTAGGAGCAATAGGCTATACCATATGCCCATACCAACAAGCTATACATATGGTATGTAGTAGGCTATACCATCTAGGTTTGTGTAAGTATACCCATAATATTCTTTCGCAAAACAGTGAAACTGCCTATGACTCATTTCTCAGAACGTATCCCTGTTGTTAAGCAATGCATGACTGCGAGTATTTACTAGTGCTCTTTAACTCACCTTAAGCAATAAAATTCACAAAATAACAGTTTTCATACATTAGTTATATTTTCTGAATGCATATTAAAATAAATAACCATTAAAATATAAAACGTTCTGGTGGGGCATGGTGGCTCATGCCTGTAATCCCAGCACTTTGGGAGGTTGAGGTGGGGAGGATCACCTGAACTTAGGAGTTTGAGACTAGCTTGGACAACACAGCAAAACCCCATCTCTACAAAAAGTATAAAAATCAGCAGGGCACACCTGTAGTCCCAGCTCCTCGGGAGGCTGAGTCAGGAGGATCACTTGAGCCTGAGAGGCAGAGGTTGCAGTGATTTGAGATTGCGCCACTGCACTCCAGCCTGGGTGACAGAGTGAGAACCTGTCTCAAAATGGAAGGAAGGAAGGAGGGAAGGAGGGAAAGAGGGAGGGAGGGAAGGAAGGAGGGAGGGAGGGAGGGAAGGAAGGAGGGACAGAGGGAGGGAGGGAAAGAGGGAGGGTGGAAAGGAGGGAAGGAAGGAGGGAGGGAGGAAAAGAGAAGGAGAGAAGAAGGGAGGGAGGGAGGGAAGGAGGGACGGAGGGAAGGAAGAAGGGAGGGAGGGAGGGAAGGAAGGAGGGAAGGAAGGGTTCACTTATCATGACATCTCACCTCTTGTAATTTGGAAAACATATGACTAGATATTTCCAAGTTCCTTTCCAGTCCCAACCTTCTCTGATGCTATGATATTAATAAAATTATGGTGACAGTTTCCAATCTGTATCATACATTCCAAAGTACACAGCACCTCATTTACATTCAACACCCAAGAAATATCAACTCATTTTATCAAAGAAGCTACAGCCTCAGTGAGTTAGACCAGAGGCTATAGAGTGGTGACTGGCAAGTACCTCTGCCTGTACATATGTATTGCTTAGCCTATGTGCTGCTTTTTAAAACTTCTGAATTAGCTGCCAACATTTAAAAACCAGGAGACTACTCACAAAAACCAGAATGGGCTTCTATTTAAAAAACCCAACTATGTGGCAACACTGGGCCACAACTGGCTGGAACCAGGTGAAGCTGCCCTCTTCAGCCAGGGCATGAACTCAGCTGATACCCTGTTGCCTCAGTCCTCACCACTCCCAATCGACTCCCTTCCCTTGGGGCCAAATGCGAGGTGCCATCACACTTGGACCACTGTTGTTACTACACAGTAAGCAGGAAAGTAACATGTCTGTCAAG
Source organism: Homo sapiens (assembly GCF_000001405.40). Lineage (NCBI taxonomy): Eukaryota > Metazoa > Chordata > Mammalia > Primates > Hominidae > Homo > Homo sapiens. The sequence continues at coordinate 48,958,794 of NC_000020.11, read as the reverse complement.
AGCAGAGAAAATGGGAGGCTGACTGGGCAGGGTGTTTTAAGAACATCAGAGAAGGCTGGGCACGGTGGCTCACACCTGTAATCCCAGCACTTTGGGAAGCCGAGGTGGGCAGATCACGAGGTCAGGAGATCGAGACCATCCTGGCTAGCGCGGTGAAACACCATCTCTACTAAAAATACAAAAAAAAAAAATTAGCCAGGCGTAGTGGCGGGCTCCTGTAGTCCCAGCTACTCGGGAGGCTGAGGCAGGAGAATGGCGTGAACCCAGGAGGCGGAGCTTGCAGTGAGCCGAGATTGTGCCACTGCACTCCAGCCTGGGCGACAGAGCGAGACTCCGTCTCAAAAAAAAAAAAAAGAACATCAGAGAAAAAATGTTCCCTTGTAGAAGTGAATTCAGCATGATGAATAACAGCGAGGGCTCTGGAGCCTGCATGCCTGGTCCGGGTCCCTGCTCTGCCACTTCCCACTGTGGGGACTTAAGTTACTTAACCTCCCCAAGCCTCAGTTTCCTTACCAGTAAACAAAGCCCTGTGAGAATGATACACATAAAGCATTTAAAACAGTGCCTGAAAAAAGTGAGCTCTCAAATGCTACTTTTTATTAGGCCTGTGTGTTTATATGTAGGTGCTTGTGTGAAGACATTTATGATGTCCTCATGATAGAAGCCTGCTCATTTCTGTCACCCGCCTGGCCCTGCAGACTAAATCCATAATGAAAATTTCCAACGAATCACACTGCAAGTAGTTCCAGTTAGTTAAAACCTTCACTATCTTTCATTCCTAAGGAGAAAAACAAAATTTCACATCAGCATGGATCTCCTCTTTCCCTCACTGCAGTTTTTCCATTTAAACAGCATCAAGAGCAACGTTTTTTGGAGGGATAGAGTATATAACTCATATTCCTTAATAGGCAGGATCCATAATAGTACTTATGCAAAATCAAAACATTCTCAGGCCAGGAAGAGCTAAGGAGAGTCAGAAAGCCCGAATACCAGCAGAAGGTTCCTGAAGAGGGAGCTGCTAAGGAAAAATCCCAGTAGAGGCCCCAAAGCAGGAAGACTCCACCCAGTAACTGTGGACTGCTTCCCCTGCTGACATGACAGCCTTGGATAGGTCTCAGAAGAGGCTTTTCTGGATGTTGTGATAACCACTACTAAGTCCATTGTATCTAAGTTTCAAGCATGCTGTGAAAGTGTTTGATAATTAAATCAAATCAAACCTTTGAGAGGTACAAAGAATCTACTTAAAAACCACTGGTTCTGCTCTTCCCTGGGATATCACCACCACTACTGATTAGGCACCAGACCCTATCTGTTTCAGACTCTGCCCCGAAGCAAAATAAGAGGGCCACCTTGAATAGGCTCACATAGGAGAAACCTTGCTGCCATTCCCTCCCTAGCCAGCTGGAGAACACTCTGTGGCAGGCACTGCCAGTTCTCTAACTCATATCCTTCCTAACAGATCCTGAATTTTGTTTTGGGAGGGAATGTGCCTACATTTCTCAGCCTTTCTTGCAGAAAGGGTGATCATGTGATGAAGTTATAGCCAATGAGGGGTAAGCATAAGTTATCAGGGTTGGCAACAAGCTCCAGAAGACTCCTCTTTAGAAGGGGGGTGACTCAGCTGGCAGAGTTCTTCAGTCCTATCTCTTCCTCTTTCTTCCTACCTGGAACAAAATGACAGGATCCTGAGCCATAAGATGACCCTAAGGATAGAAGTCACATGCTAAGAATAACGGGGAAAAAATGGGAGGAGTCTGAGATAAGGCCTCCCCACATCCCTGTTCTCTGTCCAGTTAAATAGGGAGCATGGGGGATGGTGGGGCGGTAAGATTCATTCAATCAACAAACTGAGTGTGTATGTGTCCGGCACAGTTCCAGGCATTTGGAACATATTGCTGTCTAAAACAAAGATCCTGGTTGGGCGTGGTGGCTCACGCCTGTAATCCCATTACTTTGGGAGGCCGAGACGGGTGGATCACCTGAGGTCAGGAGTTCGAGATCAGCCTGGCCAACATGGTGAAACTCCGTTTCTACTAAAAAATACAAAATTAGCCAGACGTGGTGGTGTGAGCCTGTGGTCCCAGCTACTCGGGAGGCTGAGGCAGGGGAATCACTTGAACCTGGGAGGCAGAGGCAGAGGTTGCAGTGAGCCAAGATCTCACCACTGCACTACAGCCTGGGCAAGATGGCGAGACTCATTCTCAAAAAAAAAGATGCAAAAAGTGAGCTAAGAAATCCACACAAACACATAGGTAATTCTACACAGTATCTGTAAAAATGTACACACACTGATGTCTGATGCTGGGAGTTAAAAGTCAGAATCCTAAAAACAAACTTTAACTCCTGGCCTCAAGTGGCCCGCCTGCCTTGGCCTCCCAAAGTGCTGGGATTGGAGGCGTGAGCCACCACAGATGTCCAGGTCTATTGGTGAATTCTCTTCATCTACACAAATAACATGGGAGGCAAATTATCCTAGGAAGGCTGTGGGGGGGATTCCCAGTTAATTAAATTGGAAAACATTATGTTGAATGCCAAGTCAGCAGTACAGTGAGTGTCCAGTTAGGGTTGGCCATGTGATGGTGATTACTACAGGACAGTCTGTGGGAGAGCCCCATGGTTGTGTCCAACATCCATGCACTTTAGTAATATGTAAAAATAATAGCCACAGAGGCACTAGAGCTCAGGCCTTTCACTGGGCCTTGATGCCTGGACTCCGCCCCTGGGTACGTGTCTCCCTTGTTCAACTCCCTCTTCTGAAGGACCTGTTCTTTCTTTAGAGCCTAGTCCTGAGAACTGGAAGTCATTTGCTCCTTTAAGATTGACTGACTGATTTAGAGATGGGGTGTTTATTTATTTAGAGAGGGGGTCTTGTTTTGTTGCCTAGGCTGGAGCACAGAGGCTATTCACAGACACACTGCAGCCTCAAACTCCTGGCCTCAAGTGATCCTCTTGCCTCAACCTCCCAAGTAACTGGGAATACAGGTGTGTGCCATGGCACCCAGCCCACTTGCTCTTTTTAAAGGTAACAGCACACTTCCGTTCTGACCCACTATTTGCAGGTCTGGGGTTTGCTTCTCCCAGGCAATCTGATTCCCATGTTCCTGGGAAAGTCTCACAGGATGCACCAAGTATTGGCCACAAAATCCACAGCAACATGCTAACAGCAAATTATTTTCTCTTTGTTAGAGCAGAACTTCAAGTTACTGCGTTTCTACAAAATTATGTTCTAGCAATAACGTTTTTTCCCCATTCATTCAAAAAATGTATTTGCTCAATGTCTGCTGCGTGTGCCAGGCACCATTCTAGGTGTTGGGAATATGGTGGTGAGCAGGGCAGCCTAGGCTTCAGTGCAGGAACAAGTGAACAGAACCCTTCAGTAATTTCAGGTATTGTAAGTACTATGGAAAAAAATAAAAGATAATGGGACAGATATGATGAGGAGCTACAGAAGTTGATCAGAGAAGCCTCTCTCAGTCTGAACTGAGAGACCTGAAGATACAAGGGGTTCAGAGGCAGGGAAGGGACAGTAAGTGCAAAGGCACTGAGGGAGAAACAAGCACAGCCGTTCAATAACCAGAAAGGGCACCTGTGCACTGTGTAGCAAAAAAGAGAAAGAGAGGTATAAGCTATGAGGACAGGGCATGGATTTCAGTCAGAATGGCACAGGATGGGGAATTACCAAAGGGGTTTGAGCAGGGGTCATGCTCTAATTCACGCTTTTAAGAGATCACTTTGGCTGCTGTACAGAAAATGGGCTAAAGTGGAAGCACTTTTATGCAGGTCAGAGAGACTTGGTTTTATATCTGCACAGCTATGCTTATTACAGTGTATTTAAATATTAATATTTATTGACTGATCACAGCTTAATAAGGGTTACAGTAAAAACCTGGTCCTTTCCCTAGAGAGTTACAAAGGCAAAGATGATAACAGACACAGAGGGTGGGCCGGGGGATTCTGAGCACCTTCCTTAGGACTCTCGACAGCAGAAGTAAGTAGAAGGCAACTCCGTGCTCACCCTGAGACACAACACCATTCTTGGTGGCAATTTTTTCTTTTGTGCTTTCCTTGAGTAAATGAATACCAAACAACATTCCAGCAACAACACTTGGTCTGTTCTCATGTACATCAAGCAGTCTGGTAAATTATAAAGGAATAAAACCTGCTCAAATATGTGCACTCCAGTAGGGAACATACTACCAACAGAAATCATTATCAGTAATGTGGCTGAAGAAGAAATGAGATCAGTTATGAAGACAGGTCAGATATTTTGTATAGAACAACCTGCTTGAGTGAAGAAGCATTTGACAGAATCACTTGGGAAAGGAAATTCCTGAAAAAATACCAATTTTGGATCTGGTTCCTACAAACTGCCCAGGGAGAGATATGAACAGTCAGAAGTATCATCTTATAACAACTCAATCCAGTATTTCATTTCATTTACTTTAAGAATATAATCAGGTGTGGGTTAGTCTCTCACTTAAAAACCCAACAAAAACAAGTGATGTACATGGTCACCAGAAGAAGAAAACAAAGCTATCTGTCCATCTGTCTATCCGTCCATCCACCTGCTACCTTCTGGCTCCTTCCATGGATATCTATGAGTGGCTACTGCTAGGCACTGGGCAAGGCATGGAGATCCAGTGTAGACATGAGAATCTAAGCCCTTGTCCTCCTGTGGACACTGAGTGACTAATCACCCAATCAATTAACTACTGAAAGATAAGTGTCCCAACCTGAACCTGTTGCACTGAGGCTGACATGAAGAAGTAGCAGCTAGATACATCCCAGTACTATTTAGAGAAAACAGCACAGCTGACAACGGGACACTTGACATCATGCCTCACTGGTTGTGTTCCCTAAGAGAAAAGCAAAGGGAAAGGCCCAGAAAGAGATAAGCTGTTATCAGAGGTTTCCTTCAGATGTTATGACATACACTTCTTCTGCCCCTCACAGGCTGATTCCCTCTCACACTTGGAAAAAGAGCCATACCGTATCAGCCCGTACCTGACAGTGATGAGCCTCTTTCTCTGGGTGCGTCTCCATTTTCTGTGCTTACTTTTCCAGAATCACTCCTGGCATGTTCACCGTTGGTTAAATCTGTTTTTTCGGGAGTTGTTGGTTTGCTTTGTGCCTGACTGTGCTTCAAACGAACGAACTTTGGGGATACTGCTGCAGCTTGGATCACAGGGGACTGGGGTTTTGACTGGATTGGTTTTTCCAGTTCTCTGGCCTCCTGCAACTAAAAGGCAACAAAAGGGGGATACAGCATTTTGGTAAGGAAGAAAAATTATGCCAGCCTATTACTTAAAAAATTTCCTGGGCTGGGCGCGGTGGTTAACGCCTATAATTTCAGCACTTTGGAAGGCTGAGGCAGCAGGAATTCTTGAACCCAGGAGTTCGAGACCAACCTGGGCAACATGGTGAAACTCTGTCTCTATAGAAAATAAAAAAATTAGCTGGGTGTGGTGGCACATGCCTGTAGTCCCAGCTACTTGGGAGGTTGAGGTGGGAAGATTGCTTGAGCTGGGAAGGTCAAGCCTGCAGTGAGCCATGATCCTGTCACTGCGCTCCAGCTTGGATAACAGAACAAGACCCTCTCTCCAAAAAAAAAGAAAAAAGAAAAAAAAAAAAAGAAAGAAAGAAAGAAAGAAAAATTCCAGCCAAAAGGATAACATATTTAAAAGGAAATAAATTCCTTTGACAGTCTCCAAACAAATTCTGAACACAAATTTCAAAACCCTTTAGTTTCTCTGATTTTTAAAGCAAGAACAAAAGCACAGTACAGAGAATCCACAGGAAGAAGGGGTAGCTTTAAAATGCTAGTGATTCTTCACAGGCACCAAGGTCACACATGATAGAGTTCAGAGAGCAATGATGTCTTGCCCCTAGCACGTAAGTGCTGTCACTCACCACTTGGTTTTCCATGCGGGTGAAAATGACGTTCAGCATCTGAGTAAGGGTAGCCTTGGCAGTGGTTTGATTGATGAGATTTTTGCTGGCCAAATAGATATTGTAACATGTTCTCACTGTCTGCAGGATAGTACCCTCATGAATTTCAATGTGTGGGGAAGTCACTGCAGTCAGAAGAGCCTAAAATAGAAATCCGCGACCTTCACCATCAGGAACGCACATCACCTTCCTGCCCTCCTATGGCCACACTTTTCTAGAGGGTCTGGTTTTGTTTTTCTTTTCTGTGTGCTTTTTTCAAATAAATTGTAAGATGGCTCTGCAAATTAAACTAGGTGATTATTATGAAGAGCCAACTCCTATGGCTGTTAGTTGAAAAACAATGAACAGTTCTATGAAATCCAAATCACTCGAAACAATTAAATTGTGTTGAAGCAGGCTTTCTACTGGCTCACTTTTTAAAAAGCCAAACTTCCAGCCAGGCAGGGTGGCTCACTTGAGGTCACGAGTTCAAGACCAGCCTGGCCAACATGGTAAAACCCCATCTCTATTAAAAATATAAAAATAGTCCAGGAGTGGTGGCACACACCTGTAGTCCCAGCTACTCGGGAGGATGAGGAACAAGAACTGCTTGAACCTGTGAGGTGGAGTTTGCAGCGAGCCGAGATTGCACCACTGCACTCCAGCCTAGGCGACAGAGCAAGACTATGTCTCAAAAAAAAAAAAAAAAAAAAAAAAAGGCCAAACTTCTGAATTTTCATACTGACTGAAAAACCTAAAATGAATAATACAGACAATTATCTCATGACATATAACACTCCAACGTGATCTCACCCAGATTAATCAGAAAATATACGTTTCGATGTGGTCAGTTTCCCAATTCCCTAGTGGGTTTTCAAGGGAGCTTTAAGAAAGGTTTATCTAGCATGGAGCCCTCCCCTCATAATGTTAATACTTTCAGGACTTAATATTTGGATCCTTGGCTACACCTGTCCTGATCCTGTTCTCAGACAAGCAGATGGTACTATCTGTGCCAAACCATTCCTGGCAGCAGAAATCGAACAGGGAAGTAGGACAGAGGCAAGTCAGAGATAAGAATATCAACAAAGACCCACTGAGAAACCCAGACTGGGAATCCAGGGTTAACCAGAGGATTTCAAGACGATTTAATTCACAAGAAATTTACATTGTTATTAGCTGAACAGTTTACTTTGAAAACACACCTGGTTCCATTTTTCTTGTCTCAGTCCACGCTAATAAATTCTGACACCTAACAAAAGATCTAAGTGACGCTTAAATCTTTCTGTTCCACCTCAGCACCACCTGAGACAACTAACACATAGTAAATTAGAAATCCAGATTCCCACAGGGACTTGCTTTCTAATTTAAAAACCAGACAGGCAAACAAATAGGCATACCTTAATTATTTGTAACTGAACCCCTTCATCAGTCTGAGGGCCCTGAAAACAACTGCAAATGGTTTCAACAATTCTGTCGATCAGCCGCTTCCCAGGGGCTCCACTGTCAGGGGCGTTGCCAGTGATGTGCCCGTATGCGATGAGTTTCTAAAGAGAGAAAGAACAGAGATTATACATTTCTGCTTGGCTAGGACTGAGGCCTTCCGTGGCAGCCCACAAGAGCAAAAGACAGGCACTTCCAGTTCCTACAGAGTCCTCTGCTCCCCAGGAGCCAGGCAGGCATAACCACTCTGTGACTGCAACCTTCGTCCTGTCGCCTGACAGCAAAAGATGCCTGGAATGGTGATACAGTATCCGATGAAAAATGCAAGGTATAGAGCACTCCCCAGTACGCAACCATCTCTGCAAGCCTGAGGAATTAATAGCTACACATACTCAAGACAGAGAGATTAGTGGTTGTCTAGAGTTAGGGGGGCGGCGTAGGGAGACATAGGGAGTGATCGTCAATGATAACATAAAAATGGTCTAAAGTTAGGTTGTGGTAATGGTTGCACAACTCTGTCAATAAACTAAAAATCACAAAATTTTGTGTGTGTGTGTGTGTGTGCATGTATATACATACATATATATATATATATATATATATATATATATATATTTTTTTTTTTTTTTTTTAGACAGGGTCTTATTCTGTTACCTAGGCTGGAATGAAGTGGTACGGTCATGGCTCACTGATGCCTCCACCTCCCAGGCTCAAGCAATCCTCCTACCTCAGCCTCTTGAGTAGCTGGGACCACAGGCACATGCCACCAAGCTAGTCTAATTTTTCTTTATTCTTTGTAGAGATGGGGTCTTGCTATATTGCTCAGATTGGTCCCAAACTCTTGGGCTCAAGCGATCCTCCTGCCTGTAATCTCAAAGTGTTGGAATTACAGATGTGAGCCACCGCGCCTGGCTTGAATTACACTTTAAATGGATGAATTGTATGCATGTTAATTTTATCTCAAAAAGCTGTTAAAATTATATATATATATGAATATGTATTTTCTTTCAATGGAAAGATACCTAAGAAACTAATAACATGGTTGCTTGAGGGAGGAGAACTAAGTAGCTGTGAGCTGGGGTGGGACTAAGACACTCTGTAGTACATCTTTTCATTTTTTTCAACGTTGAATCCTGTCAGTGTATTTTCTACCCCAAAAATTAATGTAAAAACTTCATCTGCATTTCACACCTACATCAATAGTAGTGTGTGTCACCCACGAGCAGCTGCTTGGAACGTGCCCTCTCTGAGAGGTTACAAATTGGTCTGTGCCACCTCACACACAACCGGGATGTCAGCATGGAGGACAGAGCTGGAAGGAACCTCAAAGGTCAGCAGCAGGATGATTTCTAAGCCTGGCTGAGAAACATAATCACCTGAGGGAGCTCACTAAAAACACAGGTTCCTGGACTCCGACCCAGACCTACTGAAGCAGAACTTCCAGGTGGAGCCCAGGAATCAGTGTTTTTCTCCAAGCTATCCACGTTATATTGATGGTTGATCAGATAAAAGAATCACTCATCTGGCACATATACATGTGAACTCTAAGGCATTCTCTGCCTCCAGTGACTTGGTGAAGACTCCTAAAACTGCTGTTCTGTTCTTTCCCCTTTTTGGCTTCTACTGGTCACATGCTTCTGCCCCCACCAGGGGGACTCAGGTTCCTGAGGTTATCTATAGAGCAGCCACCACTGTGGGAGGAAGACTGGCCGCTCTGCAAAGGTCCGACACCGTTTCTCAATGGCTTTTCCCCTTCCTTAGCTAGTGAAGTGTCACCACTCAACAAGCAGAAAGAAAAATGGATTGAGAGAGTGGCTGAGAGTAGAAATGCAATACTACTGGATGGAGTAACTGAAGGAGCAGGAGAGAGGCCTGCGTACACTCTGCTGCTCAAGTCCAACCCCCAAATCTCCAGGTGAGGGGTGTGGCCTGTGAAGGGCAAGTCCAGATGCCCTTTACCTCACCCCTCACATTGCTGCTGCAGGTGCAGGCTTCCTAGGAGGGCAGGGCTGTCTACCTGGAAAATGAGCTCTGGTTTTGACATTGCTTGTTCTTACATCTAACAGACTCAAGTCTGTTTTGTGCACTGGATTGCAAGTGGGGTGGTCTAGGAACTCCTCAAATGTGAATGCTGAAAAGTAGGCTGCAATACTGATGCCACAAAGCAGGCTGGACATGGATTACGACTTTCGCACTTTAACTAAAGTATGAAAAGGACAGAAAGTATCCTCCCCTCTCCAGACTCCTTAAGGGGCACATTACTCTTCAAATCAGAAAGGGTTTTAAGCATGACTTCCCCCCTCATCTGTGCAGTGAGACAAGGCCAGGAGAAAGGAGAGTTCCTGTATCCTGTGGATCTTTCTGGTTCTGCTTTCTCATCCTTCTTTGTGACAGACCCTGTTCTGGGCACTGGGGATACAATAGTAAGACAAACGTAATTATTTTTCTTATAGAGTCTATATTCTCCAGGGAGGTGCACCAAAGCTCAAAGTCCTAACTGGGACCTACAGGGCTGTGTGTGACTTGTAGATACTGCCCCCTATCTCCCACTATCCCCCAGGTAGATGTCCCCACCTTGTTCCTTGCTAACGCAATGAGCGGCGGGAAGACGGACAGGGAGGGAGGCCTCTAGGCAGCTGGCCCACTGACACATGAGTCAGGGCTTGCACAGGGACATTCTGCCATGGAGGGGAAGATGATGACAATATAATACACTATAACAGGCCTTTATAGGACTCACTGCATGAAGGAAAATGCTATGCGGTTGGTTTCTTGGTACAGAATAGGACATACTGTACCTCTGTACTGTAATAAACAGAGGTTAGGGTAAGTAAGCTGTATTACAAGTTATCCCACCCACATGAATGAATATATTTGGTACAAATTAAGTCTTCTACCTCACTGGTCTCTTCTGAAGTTGGTTCTATTTACTTTGCCTCAGTGATAGGAATCCAAAGAGTCACCTCTGACCAGAGAAACTGAGGCATGTCTCCAAGGAGGCTTGCACAGAGATGTTCACTATAACCCTGTGTGTGCCTCTGTACAGGGGAGCGAGAGATGGAATGGTGGCATGACACGTCATATGCCAGTCAAAAGAATGCACTAGATCCACATGGAGAGATATAGCTAGAGCCTGATAACGGTGTTGAATGTAAAAAGCTGCAGAGAAACTTGTACAAGTGATATCACTTATTGAAAAAAAAAGAGAGGAAAGAAAAGTATACACCTAAACAGGCAATTGGGTTTGGGGCTGGTGGCCCAAGGAACTTCATTTTATCTGTAAAGTTCTAAAAACCTTTTAACAGAGACTGTAGTCATGTACAACTTACATAATTAAAAATTGATTTTTCATTGTGCATTTAAAAAATCAAAAGTTTTCTGGAAATAAGAGCTAAAAGATAATGTTTATGGTATAAACAGGGCAGCTTAGATTAATGGTTTCCTACAGCCTTCACTGGGATGTAAAAAGAAAATGTTAGAATTTTATTTATATTTTTCCAATTGTCCTGTCAAAGTTGTATTTTTGTATGCTTTACAATATATGTAATTTATTTATTTATATATTTATTTTGAGATGGGGTCTCACTCTGTCACCCAGGCTGGAGTGCAGTGGCACGATCTCTGCTCATTGCAACCTCTGCCTCCCAGGCTCAAGTGATCCTCCCACCTCAGCCTCCTGAGTAGTTGGAACCACAGGCGCATGCCACTATGCCTGGCTAATTTTTTGTATTTTTAGTACAGGCACCCCATGTTGCCCAGGCTGGTCTTAAACTCCTGAGTTCAGGCAATCCACCTGCCTCGGCCTTCCAAAGTGCTGGGATTACAGGCGTGAGCTACTGCGCCTGGCCATATATATACTTTAATAACAGGAACATGTGTAAATAAAGAGGTTTTTGTAGAAATGAGGTCTCCCTATGTTGAGCTCAAACTCCTGGGCTCAAGCAATCCTTCCACCTTGGCCTCCCAAAGCACTGGGATTATAGGCGTGAACCATCATGCCCAACCCATAACTTTATTTTAATTTTTGGAGGCAGAGTCTCACTCTGTTGCCCAGGCTGGAGTGCAGTGACACAATCCTGGCTCACTGCAACCTCCATCTCCTGGGTTCAAGTGATTCTCCTGCCTCAGCCTCCCAAGTAGCTGGGATTATAGGCATGTGCTACCACACCCAGCTAATTTTTTGTATTTTTAGCAGAGATGGGGTCTCACCATGTTGCCCAAGCTGGTCTTGAACTCCTGAGCTCAGGCAATCTGCCCGTCTCGGCCTCCCAAAGTGCTGGGATTATAGGCATGAGCTACCGCACCTGGCCCTAACCTATAATTTTAAATTAAAGAAATATGAATATATTGGCAGGATATCCTCAAAAATGGTTTTATTATTCACTTGAGGCCAGGAGTTCGAGACCAGCCTGGGCAACAAAGTAAGACCCCGGTCTCTACAAAAAGTAAAAAAAATAACTAGCTGGGTGTGGCGGCACACACCTGTAGTCCCAGCTACTCGGGAGGCTGAGGTGGGAGGATTACATGAGTCCAGGAGTTTGAGGCTGCAGTGAGCTATGATCAAGCCACTGCACTCTAGTCTGGACAACAGAGTGAGACCCTGTCTCTAAAAAAAACCAAAAAAACTGGCTGGGCACAGTGGCTCACGCCTGTAATCCTAACACTTTAGGAAGCCAAGGTGGGCTTAAGCTCAGGAGTTCAGGACCAGCCTGGACAACATGGCAAAACCTTGCCTTTACAAAAAATAGAAAAATTAGCCCGTGGTCCCAGCTACTTGGGAGGCTGAGATGGGAGGATCACCTGAGCCTGGGGAAGTCGGGGTTTTCGGAAGCCTGATCACGCCACTGCACTCCAGCCTAGGTAACAGAATGAAAGGTGTTTCCTTTCTCTAAAAAATACCTATCTTTCTCTAAAAAAATAAAAAATAAAAATATATATATATATATATAAAATTGATATGTGACCAGAAAAACTTGGGGACTACTTAGTAGCTTAGACAAGACTGACCTTAACCCCCCTTACACTGAGCCCTGGCTGCGGGGAAGCGTGTAGCAGACCAAATGCTGGAGAAAGGGAAGACAGAATCTTTTTCACCTGGTAGAAGCAAGCCGCAGGGGAAGTCTCCAGGCTTCTCCCAGTGGAGAGGAAGCCTGAGCTAACTGTGCTTATGGCAAATCAATCCCAGAAGCACCTTTGCCACTCCTACTGCTGCGCCAAGCTCAAGGAATGGCAGGGCATAGCACTGATGTATCTGCAGCTGGTTTCAATTCTGCCCAAACCAAACTTTACCCCGATGCTGGCCTTCCATTTCTAAGACAGAGGTTACCTTGCCCACACTGGGAAAAGCCAGTCAAACAGGCTTGGCAAGGGCAGCCACCATGGGGAAGTACATTTTTTCCATTCAGTAGCCCAGGGAGCACCGAGCCACTTTCTCATGTCATAAAAAGGATGACTCATTTTGTATACTAAACAAAGAAATCCTAGTGTACCTATTACATCTCAGAGAATCTATTACATCTCAGAGAACTTCCATTCCTTTCTGTGTGTTTTTCCTTTTTTTAAAGAGACAGGGTCTTGCTTTGTCACTCAGGCTAGAGTTAGGTGTCACCATCACGGCTCACTGCAGCCTCAACCTCCTGGGCCCAAGCAATTCTCCTGCCTCTGCCTTCTGAGTAACTGGGACTAAAGGTGTGCACCACATGGCCCAGCTAACTTTTTATTTTTACTTTACTTTGTAGAGATGGGGTCTCAATATGTTGCCCAGGCTGTTCTCAAATACCTGGCCTCAAGTGATCCTCCTGCCTCAAAGTGCTGGGATTACAGGCGTGAGCCACTGCACCCAGCCAGAACTTCCATTCTAAAAAGAGAGATAACCATACCCCATAAGACTCAAGATTCACAGTGGGTTGAAACAAGGCAGGGTGTGTTTCCGTTTGAAATCATACTCAGATGCAAGGAGTTCCAGAAACAAACGATTTCTGTTACTAAACAGGCCAGAACCACATGGGTACAGTCAAGAGCAGGGGCCAGTTAAGAGCAGCAACCTTTTTCCATAAAGGAACACATACTAAATGTTTAGGCTCTGCGGGTCATTTGGTCTCCTTTACAGCTACTCCGCTAGGTCACAGTAGCAGGAAGGCAGCCACAGGTAATACATAAACGAATGGGCATAGCTGTTGCTACAGACTGAAAGTTTGTGTCCCCCTAAAATTTGTATGTTGAAGCCTTAAGCCTGCAATGTGATGGTATTAGGAGGCTGGGCCTTTGAGAAATAATCAGGCTTAGATGCAGTCATGAGGGTAGGTCCCTCATGACAGGATTAGTGTCCTCTAAGAAGAAACCAGAAACCTAGCTCTCTCTCCATGACACGTGAGAACACAGCTGTCTGCAGCCAGAAGGAGTGTACCCTCACCAGGAACCAAATCAGCCAGTACCTTGATCTTATACTGCCTAGCTTTCAAAACTGTAAGAAATAAATGCCTGTTGTTGAAGACATCCAGTCTATGATATTCTGTTACACCAACCCAAGCAGACTAAGACAGCTGTGTTCCAATAAAACTTTATTTGCAAAAGCAGACAGTAGGCCAGATTTGGCTCATGGGCCAAAGCTGATGACCCCTGGTTAAGAACACAGACACAGAGTCAAGAAGTCCTAGAAACCCACTGGGTGCAGTGGCTCATGTTTGTAATCCCCAAACTTTGGGAGGCCTAGGCGGGAGGATCACTTGAGCTTAGGAGTTCTAGACCAGCCTGGGCAACTTGGTGAAACCCTGTCTCTACAAAAAATATAAAAATAAAATTATCTGGGTGTGGTTGTGCAAGCCTGTGGTCCCAGCTACTTGAGAGGCTGAGGTGGGAGAATCACTTGAGCCCGGGGAGAATCACTTGACTTTGCAGTGAGCCACGATCGCGCCACTGCACTGCAGCCTACCTTGGACTAGGCTGGTCACTTCATTCCCTAAGCCTTGGTTTCCTTGATTCTAAAATGAGGACAAGAGTAAGTACCTCAGAGGGCTGTCGAGGGGACTACACACGGTACGGTGAATGAAGCACACAGGGCCCACTACAGGCTAAGAGCTCAATGCATGTCAGCCACTGTTCTTAGAACGTCAATTACATTATCAGCACTCCCTTCAAAAGAAAACCTTAACATGCGGAGAGAACAACTAAAATTCAAATTCTGCCAAATCTCCTCAGAACACGTTCACAGCAAAAAATATTTTAGGATAGAAGTAGGACTGAAGCCTGCCATTTAACAATTCTTGGCTCACTGTATGTCTCACATAGGACAATCTGTACAGAATTACACTGAATAACAAAATGGCTTTGCATTTGGAAGAGTTGTTTCCGTGAAGAAACTCTCATCAATTCTCAAGTACATGTAACAAAGAAGAGAGATTAATAGAGTAAATATTAGACCAGAGATGCCAAAAATGTGGCATGCTCACTGCCACTTTGCAGTCCTGTGCCTTGGTAGATAAAACCAATCAATCACAGTACTCTTTCTCGAGAAAGCTGTACACCTCTTCAGACACCTCTTCTACACAGCAATCAGAATACAGAATCTGGTCACCATTCCTGTTCTAGAAAGTATTGGCAAGCTGTGGATCACTTCAACATATTTTTAAATTTTATTAAACTTTATTCATTGATGTGGACTGCCCACTGAGGTCAAGAATAAATGTTCTTTGAGCCAGGTGTGGTGGCTCATGCCTATAATCCCAACTACTTGGGAGGCTGAGGCAGGAGGACTGTTTGAGCCCAGGAGTTAGAGGCTCTAGTGAGCTATTATCAAGGCACTGCACTACAGCCTGGGCAACAGAGTGAGACCCTGACTCAAAATAAACAAAAAAGAGAATAAATGTTCTTTGGGGTAATCAGAAACCTAAGGAGTAGGTCCTGAGCAAAAGTACAAGAATGGTGGGCCAGGAATTAAGAAACCCAAGTTATAGTCCTGTTTCTCGTACTACCTGTATATTACTGGACAAGTCACCTTAACTTCTCTACTCTTGCTTCTTCTTCAGTAAAAGGTAATTTATAACAAAGTTACTTGTGACTCTAAATACAGTCAGTCTTCATTATTTGCAGCTATACTTGCAAATGCACCTACTCACTAAAATTTATTTATAAGCCCAAATCAATACGTCTGGGGCTTTTTTGGTCATTTGTAGACATGCACAGAGCAGTAAAAAATTTGAAATCACTTGATGTTCATGTTCCTGAGGTCAAACAAGGCAACACTATGCCTCCTTGTTTCACTCTCCTACTGAAAACAAGTATCTTTTTAGTGGTGTAGTTAGTGCTGTGTTTTTTGCATTTTGGTGCTTTTTGTTGGTGATTTTGCTGTTTACAATGGACCCCGAGGGTGTGCTGATGTGCTTTCCAGTGTTCCTAACAGCAAGAAGGTGGTGATGTGCCTCACACAGAAATTATGTGTGTTAGATAAGCTTTGTTCAGGCATGTGTTATAGCACCGTGGCCCCTGAGTTCAATGTTAATGCATCAACAATAGATATTAGATAGTCTCTTTAAATAGAAACACATGAAGACTAAAGGCTTGCAGGAACCTAACCCTGTAGTTCCTCCAGGAACAAAGATTCAATGTTTGCTAATTCAGTATGGGAGGTGACTTTATAGCACATAACTACCAAAAACAACAGATTCAACTGTCTCTATTTCTCTACTTGATATGAATTTTAACGCCATTAAGAAAGAGGCTTTTGAGACCAGCTTGACCAAAATAGTGAAACCCCATCTGTACTAAAAATACAAAAAATTAGCCGGGCTTGGTGGCGGGTGCATGTAATCTCAGCTACTCGGGAGGCTGAGGCAGGAGAATCCCTTGAACCCGAGAAGCAGACGTTGCAGTGAGCTGAGGTCGCGCCATTGCACTCCAGTCTGGGCAACAAGAGCAAACCTCCATCTCCAAAAAAAAAAAAAAAAAAAAAAAAAAACCAAGTAAGAAAGAAAGGCTGAGCCAGGAGGTGTGGTGGCTCATGCCTATAAACCCAGCACTTTGGAAAGCCAAGGTGGTAGGACTGCTTGAGGCCAGAAGTGTAAGACCAGCCTGGGCAACATAGCAAGACTGCATCTCTACAAAATGGAAAAAATAAAAAAGAGGCTGTATAAAAATGCCTTATGTGCCCATGTGTGTCAAATATTCCAATTAATGCTAAAGGTTTCATTTAGAAAAACATACACAAGACATGAACAAATAAGATATTTCTAGGGGAAAAAATTTCTGGTTTTAAGCTAAAGAGCTCACACCTTTCTCTTTTCCCTCCCTCATGAGATCTCCAAAAAGAATACGTTAAACTGCTCCTTTCTGCATCGCCTCTGACAGCACTGAGTGCCAGCGTGGTCCCCAGCATAGTTCTGTGTAAGGACCAACTGTGGCTTGGAGAGAACCCCCTTGACAACACGAAGTTTAAACATGGTACCTGCAAGCAGTCAAGGGATGTGCTGACTACCCTTGGGGACTTGGACTGGCAAGCTAGCTCGAATGGAAGAAAATACTTGTCAGCTTCAATGAAGTTTGCCTTTGGTGGTGCAGCAGTGCCAAGCCTAGGAGAAAAGCAAGAGAGGGTCGGGAGAAGAAATGAATTTTCTACACCTTACTCTAACTTCCCATTCCATCTGCAACCATTTAATTTAAAGTGCCTGCAAACTATATCCTGGGGCTAGGCATTAAAAGTTGAATACATGCATTAGCAAAAACACCACTGAAGTGCCACATGCAGAGAGCAAGTTCTCTGATTGGCATGCTGAATTAACAACATCCTGGACTGAATCCTGGTGGCAGCCACGCCAGAGCTATATCTCTGAAACGTGACTAACGGCCTTCCTTACTATGAAGATCAGGAGTAACCACTCATGGTGCAAGCTGTCCTCATGCCTAAGGAAGCAGGCCATACAAGAGACAAGGGCTTTGCCTGTTCTGTTAAGAAAAGATACAACAGCATTACCTCGATCTTGATCCTTCCTTCCAAGTATACAAGTACTGAGGCAGTAGCCTGTGAACCTAGCATCAGTTCAAACATACACAGAGTTGTGCCGTGTGCCTAGCACCATGCTTGCAGAGTGTGTGCCACCCCTGAGGATTAGAAATATGAGAAACCAAGCAGAGAAAGAGGCTCCCCCAGTTGCTACCTACTCCCTTCATGCCGTATCTCAGCAAGGAGGTAGTGCTATAGCTTACCTCTGCTTTTCTATTTCTGCTTTAATTTCATCTGGTAAGGAAGGAAGAAAAAACACATTAGGAAAATGCAACATTTATGTAAAGGAAAACTTTACTAAAAGATATTTGGAGACCACTGAAAAGATTGTTAACGAGATGTTTAAATACAAAAATGCTGATATGAAGTGAAAGAAATAATTGTAACAGCAATAATAATAGCTAACACTTACATGGAGTGACTGGCTAGGCATTACTGTAAGTGTTTTAGCTCATTTAGCCCTCACAACGATCCTATGAGGTCCATACTCTTATTATATCCATCTCATTTAGAGGAGGATTTCTCAGCCTTGGCACCACTGACATTTGGGGATGAAGAATTCTTTGTTATGAGGCTGCCCTGTGCACTCTAGGATGTTTAGTAGCATCCCTGTCCTCCATCCACTGGATACCAGGAGCACCCCTGACCCCTCTGCCATCTTGAAAACCAAAAACGTCTGTAGACATTGCCAAGTGTCTCCTGAGCAAAACTGCTCTTGATGAGAAGCAATGATTTTGATGAGGAAACCAAGGCACAGGAGGTTAGGTAACTTGGCTACTGTTGCACATCAAGAACTAGGGAGCCAGAATTTGAACCGAGGCTTTCTGGCTCTACAGCCACGTTCTTACCTGTTTCTTGTTCTGCAGAATGCATGTTCATGACAGTTAGCTGACACAATAACATGGTAATATCACAACATCTCAACTGTGTGCAAATATGCATAGAAGACTGGAAACGAATATAACAAAGTATTGAAACCAATAAAATATTGAAAGTTGTCTAAGTAGTGGGATGATGATTTTTTCTTTTTTCACATTTTCTATGATAAGCATACATACTTTTTCTTAATCAGCACTTTTTAAAACAATTATAATAAAATATACATAACCTAAAATTTACCATCTTAACCATCTTTTAAGTTTACAGTTGAATGGCATTAAGTACATTCACATTGTGCTAAGGCACGTGTGACTTTTTTGAATTAAAATTAATTTTAAAATCTTAACCACAGAGGTTGCACTACCCTTGGCAGGGTTATAGGAATAAAATGTCATTTTTCAGAAATCACAATCTCAGAGATAGTGTTATTTCCAGGAAAACAAGGTTTCGTACCATTAAAACAACAAAACACCCTGTCTAAATACACAGAATTACCCCACATCCACTCAGTTGAGTGTATTTCTACATGTTAGACCCACAAACTCACATATTATCAAATCAGCCTTGGGAAGGAGGTTTGTCCTCAATACCATGTATTCAGATCATCTCCAAAAGGCCAGCCTCCTTTACACAATCTCTAGAGAGCCAGTAGAGTGGATATGGCACTAGTTATTCTAGCAACCCCAGGACACGGTACTGAAGGCTGCAAATTTCCTTTTCTTAGGTAACTCCATTCTAGACTCAACTTGAAGATGTGAAAACCAAGTAAACTGACTCACTGGAAGTAGCAATTTCTAATCTTCAAGCCCGACTTTGTATATCTTATTACACACATAAGAAAACAGAAGAGAAATGCCCAAATGACTACTAGCAACCATTTTGCTCATGGACCATAAGGGTTGTGACACACAGGGTCAGAGAGCTGTGTGGCATGGATCTTGCCCCTCAGGGAAAAGAATTCACCAAGGAAATGCTCCAGCTTCCACTAGAAGAGGCCCATGAAGTTGTGGGTGATCCAGCCCATGAGGCTGGCAGCCAAGCTATCAGCTTTTAGAAACCTGTATCTATAATGCCAAGGCTCTGCTTGGGTGACAAGATATGTCACTGTGACATGCCAGAGGGGTGCTGCTGCCCAAACTCAAATGTAGGTTTTCCTTCCAATCACCATTACCTTGTTAGAGTCAAGTTTAAGTCCTAAACCTATCTAAAGCAATGAGGTCTTCGCTAGCATTGGTGCTGGGCTGTGAGCTCTAAAACAATCTGTTTTGAAATGCCACTATAGGCCAGGCGCGGTGGCTCATGCCTGTAATCCCAGCATTTTGGGAGGCCGAGGCAGGCAGATCACGAGGTCAGGAGTTTGAGACCAGCCTGACCAACATGGTGAAACCCCATCTCTACTAAAAATATGAAAATTAGCAGGGCGTGGTACCACACACCTGTAACCCCAGCTACTCAGGAGGCTGAGGCAGGAGAATCGCTTGAACCCGGGAAGCAGTAATTGCAGTGAGCCGAGATGGTGCCACTGCACTTCAGCCTGGGTGACATAGTGAGACTTTCTCAAAAAAAAAAAAAACAAACAAAAAAAACCCATAAAACAAACCAAACACAAAAGTTACACCAACTACAAAGGCCCATGGAGGCCAGACGGGAAATGTCAAGAAAAAACACGGTGGGTGTAAGATCAAAGAATGACAGGACCCCCTCTCCACCCAGTACAGGAAGGGGTGCGGCAGCTCCTCAGCTCCAGCTGACTGGAATCTTTAGAGTCCCTCAGCTCACAGGTGCTAGTTGTTCTGATTTTTCCAGAGGTCGAAATCCAGATTTTAAGTGAAACCTCTGATTGTAATTCAAACACCTTCAATTGTTTTAAAATTATGTTAAATAGAAAAAATAAGATCTGGTGTTCGTTAGATCAGTAGGATGACTACAGTTAACATTAACCAACTGTACATTTCAAAATAGCTAGGAAAGAATAATTCAAATGTTCCTAATATAAAGAAAAAATAAATATTTAAAGTGATGGATATCCCAGCTACCCTGATTTGACTATATGAAAGCATCCAATTATCAATGCACCTCAAAAATATGTACAGCTATATGTATCAATAAAAATATATTTAAAAAATATTATGGCTTAAATAAGACTGGTTTGCAAGCTGCCTAGCCCTGAGGCTACCGGTTTGCCAATTTTGCTTTAAGGGATGGAGAAGAGCCGAGGAGAAAGTGCTTCAGTGGCTGCAGAAAAGTAGCTGCAGGGGCTAAAAGTGGCTTTTAAGGACTGTGATCAGTGCTATGAGGACAAAACATCAAGTTTTCTATAAGCGAAATGTTGTCCAGCCAAAGAACAAAGAACTAAGGAGCCAGAGGACTGAAGTTCAAGGCCAAACTCCATTATAAATTTTATAGATGAAAATCAAGATCCACAGAGGTTACAAGTTATTAAGTACTGGAGATGGGACTTAAACCCAGAAAATCAGGCTCCAGAGTCTGTGTTCTCCTGGATACCTCGACTCTCGAACAAGCATATGGAATTACTCTGTAAACCATAAATGCAGAAGAGTTTAAATGTGTGGTTTTCCTAGCACTGACACTAACCATGAAAGCTACAACCACGGTTCAAAACACTGGTGTTTTACTGCTCTGTGAACCCATCCAGCTGGGAAGGCTAGTTTACAAGCCTTCTGAAATCTCCAAAGTCTGTTTCTGGCCTGGCATGACCACAGCAAAGGTAAAACCTGGTTTTGGAATGGGAATGAGCAAGCGTTGACAGGACTGGCAGCAGCAGCAGTGCAGGGCACAGGGACCGAAGAGAGCAGCCCTCTCCTGTGACCAGGAAAGAGTTGCTACCTGGAAGAGTAACTGCAGAAACCCAAGAAACTCCAGTTGCAAATCCTATGTTCACAGATTTTCTTTGGTTTTCTAAATTTACCCTTAAGTATTCCCACAAGAATTAGGAATTGCTGCACTTTCTAAACTACTCTTTTGTTGAAGAAAAAAAAATCTTGAGGCCAGTCCCAGTGGCTCACGCCTGTAATCCCAGCACTTTGGGAGGCTGAGGTGGGCAGATCAGTTTAAGCTCAGGAGCTCAGACCAGCCTGAGCAACATGGTAAAAAGACTTGGAGTCCATCTAATAAAAAAGAAATAAAGAAAGAAAGACACTCTTGAAAAGTCTTCTCCACTAGGCCCAGTAGGGGCCCAGATGATAACGGCATCTTTGTAAGGGATGGGAGGAAGCCCATGGAGGGGCTGGGAGAGGGCGGCCTGACTCAACTTTTCTTCGGACAGATCACTCTGGCTGCTGTGAGGATAAAGAGGAAGGTGGCCAGGACAGAAGCAGGGAAACCAATCAGGAAGTTACTGCTAATAATCCAGCCTAGCAGCAATGGGGGCTTAGAGCAGGACAGAGCCCGTGCAGGTGGAGAGAAGGCACAGTCTGAAGCACACCAGCACCTTTTGTTTTTGTTTTGGAGACAGAGTCTCACCCTCTCACCCAGGCTGGAAATGCTCAAATAGCAGTAGTCTCATATGGCCCAACCTAAAAGTTGGGTTCTTGATATATCTGGATAATGCAATCTTTTTTTTTTCCATTAAAAGAGGGAAGAACAATCCCAACAAAAAATGGGCGAAGGATATGAACAGACACTTCTCAAAAGAAGACATTTATGTGGCCAAAAAACATATGAAAAACAGCTCATCATCTCTGGTCATTAGAGAAACGTAAATCAAGGCCCGATGTGGTGGCTCATGCCTGTAATCCCAGCACTTTGGGAGGCCCAGGCAGGCAGATCACCTGAGGTAGGGAGTTCAAAACCAGCCTGGCCAACATAGAGAAACC
This sequence comes from Homo sapiens, assembly GCF_000001405.40. Lineage (NCBI taxonomy): Eukaryota > Metazoa > Chordata > Mammalia > Primates > Hominidae > Homo > Homo sapiens. Next base: position 48,936,717 of record NC_000020.11, on the reverse strand, counting down.
CCATCTCTACTAAAAATATAAAAAAATTAGCTGGGCGTGGTGGTGCACGCCTGTAGTCCCAGCTACTCAGGAAGCTGAGGCAGGAGAACTGCTTGAACCCTGGAGGCAAAGGGCGCAGTGAGCTGAGATCATGCCAATGCACTCCAGCCTGGGCAACAAGAGGGAAACTCCGTCTCAAAAAAAAAAGAGAGAAGTGAGGAGACCCTCTGCCCGGCAACCGCCCCGTCCGAGAAGTGAGGAGCCCCTCCGCCCGGCAGCCGCCCCGTCTGAGAAGTGAGGAGCCCCTCCGCCCAGCAGCCACCCCGTCTGGGAAGTGAGGAGCATCTCCACCCGGCAGCCACCTCGTCCGGGAGGGAGGTGGGGGGGTCAGCCCCCCGCCCAGCCAGCCGCCCCGTCCGGGAGGGAGGTGGGGGGGGTCAGCCCCCCGCCTGGCCAGCCGCCCCGTCCGGCAGGGGTGGGGGGGTCAGCCCCCCGCCCGGCCAGCCGCCCCGTCCGGGAGGTGAGGGGCGCCTCTGCCCGGCCGCCCCTACTGGGAAGTGAGGAGCCCCTCTGCCCGGCCAGCCGCCCCGTCCGGGAGGGAGGTGGGGGGGTCAGCCCCCCGCCCGGCCAGCCGCCCCGTCCGGGAGGGAGGTGGGGGTTCAGCCCCCGGCCCGGCCAGCCGCCCCATGCGGGAAGTGAGGGGCGCCTCTGCCCGGCCGCCCCTACTGGGAAGTGAGGAGCCCCTCTGCCCGGCCAGCCGCCCCGTCCGGGAGGGAGGTAGGGGGGTCAGCCCCCCCCCCCGGCCAGCCGCCCCATGCGGGAAGTGAGGGGTGCCTCTGCCCGGCCGCCCCTACTGGGAAGTAAGGAGCTCCTCTGCCCGGCCAGCCGCCCCGTCCGGGAGGGAGGTTGGGGGGTCAGCCCCCCGCCCGGCCAGCCGCCCCGTCCGGGAGGGAGGTGGGGGGGTCAGCCCCCCGCCCAGCCAGCCGCCCTGTCCGGGAGGGAGGTGGGGGTGTCAGCCCCCCGCCCGGCTAGCCGCCCCGTCCAGGAGGTGAGGGGCGCCTCTGCCCGGCCGCCCCTACTGGGAAGTGAGGAGCCCCTCTGCCCGGCCACCACCCCGTCTGCAAGGTGTACCCAACAGCTCATTGAGAACGGGCCATGATGACAGTGGCGGTTTTGTGGAATAGAAAGGGGGGAAAGGTGGGGAAAAGATTGAGAAATCGGATGGTTGCCGTGTCTGTGTAGAAAGAGGTAGACATGGGAGACTTTTCATTTTGTTCTGTACTAAGAAAAATTCTTCTGCCTTGGGATCCTGTTGATCTGTGACCTTACCCCCAACCCTGTGCTCTCTGAAACATGTGCTGTATCCACTCAGGGTTGAATGGATTAAGGGCGGTGCAAGATGTGCTTTGTTAAACAGATGCTTGAAGGCAGCAAGCTCCTTAAGAGTCATCACCACTCCCTAATCTCAAGTACCCAGGGACACAAACACTGCGGAAGGCCGCAGGGTCCTCTGCCTAGGAAAACCAGGGACCTTTGTTCACTTGTTTATCTGCTGACCTTCCCTCCACTATTGTCCTGTGACCCTGCCAAATCCCCCCCTGCGAGAAACACCCAAGAATGATCAATAAAAAAAGAAAAAAAGAGAGAAATGCAAATCAAAACCACAACGAGATACCATCTCACGCCAGTTAGAATGGCAATCATTAACAAGTCAGGAAACAACAGATGCTGGAGAGGATGTGGAGAAATAGGAACGCTTTTACACTGTTGGTGGGAGTGTAAATTAGTTCAACCATTGTGGAAGACAGTGTGGCGATTCCTCAAGGATCTAGAATGAGGAATACCATTTGACCCAGCAATCCCATCACTGGGTATATACCCAAAGGATTACAAATCATTATACTATAAAGACACATGCACATGTATGTTTACTGCAGCACTATTCACAATAGCAAAGACTTGGAACCAACCCGAATGCCCATTAATGATAGACTGGATAAAGAAAATGTGGCACATATACACCATGGACTACTATGCAACCATAAAAAAGAATGAGTTCATGTCCTTTGCAGGGACATGGATGAGGCTGGAAGCCATCATTCTCAGCAAACTAACATAGGAACAGAAAACCAAACACCACATGTTCTCACTCATAAGTGGGAGCTGAACAATGAGAACACATGGACACAGGGAGGCACACATCACACACCAGGGCCTGTTGAGGGGTGGGAGGCAAGGGGAAGGAAGAGCATTAGGACAAATACCTAATACATGCTGGGCTGAAAACCCAGATTACGGGTTGATGGGTGCAGCAAACCACCATGGCACACGTACACCTATGTAACAAACCTGCTTGTTCTGCACATGTATCCCAGAAGTTAAAAGTGTAATAATTTTTTTTTTAAACGGAGGGAGAAAAAGGAACAGCGAAAAAGTGTGTGTGGCAGGGTGCCTCACAGATAGCATGGCACAGCCTGATATGGCAGAAAGAAAAGATACAGGTGTGAGACAGAGCTGGGTTCAAGTCCTGGCACAGACATCTATTAGCTGAATGATGCCAGATGGGTTATTGGGTTATTAAACTTCCCTGAATCTTTTTTTTTTTTTTTTTTTTTTTTTGAGATGAAGTCCCACTCTGTTGCCCAGGCTGGAGTGCAGTGGCGCCTTCTTGGCTCACTGCAACCTCCGCCTCCTGGGTTCAAGAGATTCTCCTGCCTCAGCCTCCCAAATAGCTGGGACTACAGGCACGTGCCACCATGCCCGGTTAATTTTTATATTTTTAGTAGAGACAGGGTTTCGCCATGTTGGCCAGGCAGTTCTTGAACTCCTGACCCCAGGTGACACACCCGCCTCAGCCTTCCAAAGTGCTGGGATTACAGGCATGAGCCACCGCACCCGGCCAACTTCCCTGAATCTTGATTTCCTATTCTAAAAAATGGGAGTGATAAAAAACAGCCCCACATGCTCCAGAGACCATAACTAGGCACCAAGAGTGCAGATAATTCTCTTGACACCGCCATGAGAGAGGTCTTGGTGGTGACTAAGGCGGCAGCTGGCACACAGCAGGTGGTCAATAAATGTCAGTTCTCTTGCTCTTATTTTAAAACAAGTCAGTATTAAAGCAAAATCTCTAGTGGGATCTCCGTGGGATCAAGCAATGCCAAGGGAAAAGGAGAATGAGTGGAACCCTAATAATAATAATGATGATAGCTGACTCACTGATTGCCTCCTAGTGGCAGGTGCTCATTCAGTCCTCACCACAACCCAGGGAGGCAGGAACACTCTAATCATCCATTAACTGTTTTACAGGTGAGGAATCTGAGCACAGGGAGGTTAAGCCATCTGCCCACGTCACAGCCAGAAGTGCTACTCTGCAGTCAGGATCCACGCCCAGGCAGTCTGTTAGAGGGCCAGCACTCCTGAGCCACTCAACGATGACAGAAGGAGGACGGTGCAGGAAGAGGGGCATACGGCACAGCATACCTGCTCCACTTTATTGCTCCACATCTTAACAGGCGTTGCCTTCCCAACTGCCAATGGGGCAATTAGCAACAATTTCCAGGCTGGAAATGAGGGAGACTGGAGCAGGGTGGGGCAGCTGCAGCTGAAAAGCCGCGCTGTCTTTGCGGGAAATCCTTTCTGGATGTTACCGCTCGGGTCACACACCTCCATTCACCAGCACCTCTGACACTGGCTCGCATTCTCTCTTCCACTCCCAAGGCAAGTCCAACAATCACCATCACCAACCTCAAACCCAGCACTGCCCAACAATCCCATCAGTGGCCAATGCCCCCAGATCCCACAGTAACCCTTCCACACTCCTCAGACTTCTATCTGTCGCAGGCTTCCCCCACAGAAACCAACGCTGCCCCTAAATTCCTTTAGCTCCCAGTCACCTACCACATCCTCCTCCACTCCAAGCCAGCCTGGTGAGGCTGGTCACACTGACTCTTGTCCCTATATGGAACTGGGGAACTTCCAGCTCCTTCCTCTTCTCTCCTTCCAGCTGACCCTCTCAATTGCTCCCAGTAGAACCTGTCTTTGTCCTGTCAAACCTTGAGATGGCCAACCTCTCGGCTTTCCTTTTTCCTCATTTTCCAGGGTAGATCCCATCAGCAGGACTATTATCAGATGACACGCAATCAATAGCCTGGACTCTCTCTGACCTTTAGTCTTAACTTCTGGCAAAATCCCAAACTTAGATTGTACTAGCGTCCCCTTTTCACCTGTCTCCGCCTAAGCAGACCTCTGACAACAGGGCAGGTTGGCAGGCCTACAGAGCCCCAATTACCCACCACGAATGAAACCTGAAATGCTGCCCAGTAATTTGGTCACCTCTCACTCTCCACGATGGCTACTGCACATTTCTCCACCCTCAATGGCCCAACTCTCCCCTCCCAATCATCGCTGTTCTGCTGCCGTCCTCTTTACTCACAACCAATGGAGTGGCCTCCTACTTCACTCAGAAATTAGAAGTGGGCACAAGGAGACTCCCTCAGCTTGCTGTTAGCAAACCTACAACCTGACCCACTTCGGGCCTACTCTCTGCTCTCTCCTGCTATAAGGGAGTGGGTGTCCAACCCCTCCACCTCTGTCACCTCCCATCCCTATCCGCCTTCTCAGGAACTTCACACTATCCATAATATCTAGAACCTGATCCCTTCTTACCACACTAGGCCACCACTATCACCCTAGGCCAAGCAACTGTTATCTCCCACCTGGGCCATCACAATGGTCTTGTAACTGGTCTCCATGCTTCAGCAATTATCCTCCCTTCCACCCCACAGCTTTTCTCAACAGCAGCCAGAGGGATGCCCTCAAAATGTAACTCAGATCACAACACTCCTTTGCTCAAAATGCTCCAGTAGCTTTCCATCCCACTCCGCGTAAAATTAAAACTCTCGATCTTGGCCTCCAAACCTCTATGTGATCTGGCCCCTGCTATCCCTCTGCTCTCACCTTCTACCACCCTGGCCCTGGCCTACTTGCTCGAACACACCAAGCACATTTCTGCCCCGGGGCCTTTGCATGAGCTATTCCTGCTCCTGGGAATGCCCTCCCTCCCCCCAGATATCTCCATGGCTCACCCCCTCACTTCCTTCAGATCTCTGCTCTGATGTCCTCCTCAGGGGACTTCCTCAGCACCTAATACTGCCACCCCCTTGTCACCCTGTATCTCCTTACCTGGTTTGTTCTCTCACTTTACTAATTCATTTTTTTAGTCTTTTTTTAGTATTTATCACCCTTGACATATTATATATCAGTTCATTTACTATCTGCCTTCCCCAGCAGAACATAAACTCTATGACAACAGACACTTTGCCTGTTCTGTTCACTGCTGAATTCCCAAGTACTGAGAATTCTTCAGCACAGAGTGGCAGGCACTCAACATTTGTTGAAAAAATGAAACACTGTCCTTTCTTCTTTCTGCATTACCAAACCTCTCCTTGAACTGGCTCCCTCCCCAATGACATTTAAACAAGTTCAAGTCTCTTCTACCTTAAAAAAAAGAAAAAACAAAATACTTTTAACATCCACATCTCCCTCCTCCCACAGCCAACCTTCGGGAAAGAGTTGTCTATGTTCACCGTCTGTTTCCTCACCTCCCACGCCAGTCTGGCTTTCACCTCCATCATGCCACCAAAACAGCTCAAGCTAAGGCCACCAATGACCCACATGTCTCTAAATCTGATGGGCATTTTTCCAGTCTTTACCTCACTTGACCTCTCTGTAGCATTTCACCTTACTGACCTCACTCTCAAATTTTCTCGACTTCGGGCTTCATAACCACATATTTTCCTCATCTTTCCTCCGCTTCTTACCCATCTCTGCTCTATTTCGTCTGCAGACTCAGCCTCCTCTGCCCAGCCAGAAAAGGCCTGGAGGGTTCTCAGGCCCAGGCCTCCTGCCTCTCCCTCTGTATACCGTCTCACCAGGCTTCCCATTCCCACCTAGACTCTGCTGACTCCCAAATTCCTATCTTAAGCCCAGACCTCTCTTATGAACATCAGGCTCATACAACTGGCCACTTCCCATTTCACATGTCCAACTGAATGCTCAAAGGCAGACCAAACTCCACACATCCAAGTCCCAACTCAGATCAACTTCCTCCCTCCACCACTCCATGTAGTCCTCTTCCCACATTCCCATCTTAAAAAATAGGCACCATCCACCCAGCTGGGTGAGTCAGAAATCGGAGAGTCAAGCTTATCAATCCTCTTTCCCATGCTCTTACTCGCTCCATCACAAGGTTTTGTTGGCTTCATCTTCTAACCAGGTTGGAAATTCATTTTCTTTGCTCTATTTCTACTGTCACCACTAGTCCAGGCCACCAATATCTCTCACCTGAACAATGGTAACTGCCTGCGATGGTTTGAATGTCCCTACCAAAACTCTGCTGCAAATTAATTGCCACTGTGATGGTGTAAGAGTGGAGCCTTTAAGAAGTGATTAGGTCACGAGGGCTCTGCCCTCATGAATGGACTAATACGTTACTGCATGAGTGTGCTCCTGATAAAAAGATGAGTTCAACCCCCATTTCCTCTCTCGCCTTCCGCCATAGGATGACCCTGGCCAGATGCTAGTGCCATGCTCTTGGACTGTGAGCCAAATAAACTTCTGTTCTTTATAAATCGCCCAGTGAGTAGCATTCTGTTAAAGCAGCACAAAATGGACTAAGACAGTCTCTTCATTGGTTCCTTGGCAATCCCTCTGGTCTTCCCCTAAGATGTTCTGAACACAGTGGTCCAAATGATTTTTCCAAAATAATACACCTGGTCATCCTATCACCTGCTTCCCGGTTTAAAACTCTTCAGTGTCATCTCACTGCCTTTGACCTAAAAAATAAAACTCCTAGCCATGACCTCCAGGCCTTGCATGTTGGGGTCTTGGCCTACCTCTCCCACTCCCACTCCATCTCCACTCTCTTTGCTCAAGTACAATGTTCCAACCACACACTGGCCTCTTTCAGTTTCCCCAACAACTGTTTTCCTCTCTGCCATAGAGCCTTCACTCAGGTTGTTCCCTCTGCTGAAATGCCTCCTGCCCCCAACTACTTAATTCTCACTCATCATTAATTCTCAATGAATGAGTGAGACTTCCTCAGGGAAGTCTTCCCTCACCCCACTGTTCACTGCCCTGGCAGAACCAGGTTTCTTTCCTTCAGTACTTCTCGGGTTGTTATTATGACCTAGAGGGCATATCCTCTGAACAATGCCCATCTACCCCATTCAACTGCAAACTCCTTCAGAACATGGTCCTTGTTTGTTTTGATCCCTCTGCATCATGACACCAGGGGTGACACCCAAATAAATATCTTCTGAATAAATGTTGGGTCTGGTTTAGTCAACAGGCAAAAGGGCTATATTCAGAACGACAAATATACACTGACCACTCCCTAGGACGGAAGGAAAACTTAAGAATTTTGTGTCCTAGCACAAGAAGGCTGTTCTCCTCACAAAGGTATAAAACCTAATAAAATATCAAGCCAGAAGGCTTGTTTACACCCAAGGCACTAAACAGAAATGAGCTTCTCACTGGAAAATTTCAGAAATGAATCAGCAAATGCAAAACTATTTTTTCTAGGATAACCTTGCTGGAAAGAAAGTCAAGTATTTTCCTGGCAGGCCCCCTAAGCCTGGTGAAACTGGCAAGAGCTAAACACAGCTCTGAGCTATTTATATAGGACACTCCATGTTCTTGCTGATTAAGTACACATTTTCACAAGTTCACTCTTTTTCATGAAGAATGGTCTTACTGTTTTCCCTAGCACTGCTTTCAGACTCTCCCCTGAGATTTACAAGTACAGGATAGAGCTCTAAATTCATTCTATCCAACCACTGCTTCACTCATGTTGGAGACTTACAAAAAGGTCTATAAACCAACTAATAGGGGAGGTAGAGAAAGGCAAGCATTCAGTTCCTTTTCCTTTAAAGACTGCAACACCGGCTGGGCGCAGTGGCTCACGCCTGTAATCCCAGCACTTTAGGAGGCTGAGGCGGGCAGATCACGAGGTCAGGAGATCGAAACCATCCTGGCTAACACGGTGAAACCCCGTCTCTACTAAAAATACAAAAAATTAGCTGGGTGTGGTGGCGGGCGCCTGTGGTCCCAGCTACTTGGGAGGCTGAGGCAGGAGAATGGCGTGAACCCAGGAGGCAGAGCTTGCAGTGAGCCGAGATCACGCCACTGCACTCCAGCCTGGGCGACAGAGCGAGACTGGCTCAAAAAAAAAAAGATTGCGGCCGGGCGCGGTGGCTCACGCCTGTAATCCCAGCACTTTGGGAGGCCGAGGCGGGCGGATCACGAGGTCAGGAGATCGAGACCATCCTGGCTAACACGGTGAAACCCCGTCTCTACTAAAAATACAAAAAATTAGCCGGGCGTGGTAGCGGGCGCCTGTAGTCCCAGCTACTCGGGAGGCTGAGGCAGGAGAATGGCGTGAACCCGGGAGGCGGAGCTTGCAGTGAGCCGAGATCGCGCCACTGCACTCCAGCCTGGGCGACAGAGCGAGACTCCGTCTCAAAAAAAAAAAAAAAAAAAAAAAAGATTGCAACACCAATGCCTCTGAATTTCAGCAGGTCATCTGTTAGGTGCCAGGTACTGTGCCAGTTACTTACTGCACTAGTCCATTTAACCTTTGCAATAATCCTGTGACAAAGGTATTACTATCTTTATCACCTTGGGAAACTGCGGCCCAAAGAGGGATCACTGGACTATCAATAAGCAAATCAAACTTTCAAAGTCTCAATCAACTCTCTGCCAATCCTACATATAAATGCTTTTCAATAATCAAGAACAATCCAGTTTTTTGATGCTGCTTCCAGACAGATAACCTCCTCCTGAAGAATCCACAGTGGTTTTCAACAAAAAGTAATCTTCCAGGGTCCTGAGTCCTGTTATTTCTCAAAATTTTTATGATACATAGCACTTATAAACGAAATGTCTCATCAAAACACTAGAATTTGCTAAAATTAAAGGCTTTATTCTGCATTTCAATTTAAAGTCTTGTTATGTCAATTTATTTATTTATTTTTTAATTTTTTTTTTTTTGAGACAGAGTCTCGCTCTGTTGCCAAGGCTGGAGTGCAGTGGCGCCATCTTGGCTCACTGCAACCTCCACCTCCCGGGTTCAAGCAATTCTCCTGCCTCAGCCTCCCAAGTAGCTGGGATTACGGGTGTGCGCCACCACGCCCAGCTAATTTTTGTATTTTAGTACAGATGGGGTTTCGCCATTTTGGCCAGGCTAGTCTTGAACCCCTGGCCTCAACTGAGCCGCCCGCCTCGACCTCCCAAAGTACTGAGATTACAGGCGTGAGCCACCATGCCCCGCCACGTTACATCAATTTAGAGATGTTTTTTATATTTTTCAAGTTTCACAGTAATCCTCATGATGAGAATGGTTTTTCTGAACACATCAAAATTAGAATAAAAGGATCATATGGAAGAAAAAGCAATTTATGTATCATATGGACACACAGATGTCCATATGATAAATGCCCATTTGTATGTCTTACACACATTCATATACAACTAAGATTTAGGAATATACTTCCTTAACTGGATCCCTTAACAATATTTAAAGTTAAAATCTTTTCTACCTTTAAATAAACAAACAACTCCCAGGAGCCACTCCTTCTTCCTCTTTACAACACAACCAAACTTTGGGAGAGCTGACTATGCTCACCATCTGTTTCCTCACCTCCCACGCCTCAACCCATGCCAGTCTGGCTTTCACCTCCATCACAGCATCAAAAAAGCTCAAGCTAAGGTCACCAATGACCCATCCACATCCTAAATCTCGTATATTAAACAGAGGAGCAAATCTAAGAATGGATGTTATGATCTATGTGAAGCTACATCATGTGCTGCAGCTACGTTTCCCCACCCAGCTGTGTGGATGTGGATGGGCAAGTTGCTCTCTTCCTTAGCCTTGGTCTCCCATTGCCTGCTGTACCCAAAGAAATGAATCACAATCCAGAATTAATAACAGGTCACAACTCCAGAATTAATAAGAGGGAGTTTACTGCTGATGAAGAGATATCATCAATTAGAAAAACTGATTAACTCCAGCCCAGACAACAGAAAAACCCCGTCTCTACTAAAAACAGAAAAATTAGCCAGGTGGGTGGTACGCCCCTGTAGTCCTAGCTACTTGGGAGGCTGAAATGGGAGGATCACCTGAGCCAGGGATGGAGAGGTTGCAGTGACCTGAGATCGCACCCCACCACTGCACTCCAGCCTGGGCCACAGAGCAAGATCCTGTCTCAAAAAAAAAAAAGAAAAACTGAATAACTCAAATGAAACTTATGTGTAACCAGCTCTTTACTCTCATTTCCTTCTTTCCATTAGCCCCTAATTAAAGTAAACCTAGTATATATGTAGTAAAAACCTGAAGAAAAGAGCTGTGATCTTTTTGACTCAAGGCTTTCAAACATATCTCAAAATTCAGCTATAGAAAATACAGTCTCCTGAAACTCCACTGCGGTATACTGATTGTTTTAAAAACTCTACTGAGTATTTCAAACATAACAACTTTCATATGGAGAAGCAAGAAAACATGGTAGTAATAGTTAAGATCTTGGACTATGGAGCCAGATTGCCTGTGTTTATACCCTGGTTCCATCACTTACTGAGTTACCCTGGCCAACTTAACTTCTCTGGGCCTCAGTGGGAATGATGATAATAGTGAGAACTAAATTGCATGAAAAGCCCACTTTACTGTGCCTGGAACTCAGAAATGCTTAGTACATAGGAGATATAATACAACATGTGATCTTTAAAAGTCATTCAATTTCATATGAAAATACGTATGTTTACTATTCTTTTTAAATTTTCTTGATAATGGCTGAGAATAATGACAACTAGTAATTATAGAGCACCTAGCCATTACTTAGCACTTTTGTGTGAGGGTCTCACCCTGCTGTCTCGGCTGGAGTGCAATGGCATGATCTCAACTCACTGCAACCTCCATTTCCTAGGTTCAAGTCATCCTCCCACCTCAGCCTCCCAAGTAGCCGGGACTACAGGCATGCACTACCACACCCAGCTAATTTTTATATATTTTTTTAGAGATGGGGTTTTGCCATGTTGCACAGGCTGGTCTCAAACTCCTGGGCTCATGCAATCTGCCCACCTTGGCCTCCTAAAGCGCTGGAATTACAGGCATGAACCACAGTGCCCAGCCATAGATAAATTTTTCCATATCGAATTTTAAATAGATTATCCTATTAAGCCTCCAAACTTCATATAGTTTAAGAGCAGAAACATAACTTAAAGATACATGATGGGAGAAGATGAGTCTTAAATAAGACAATTATAAAAGGGAGGTTTAAGAATGTAATTATATTCTCCAACAGAGGGCTGAAAGGTTGAAGATTATTAATATATATCAAAGTTTCATAACAAGGTAAAGAGCAACAGTATCCTTGGGGCGATGAATACTCTCACAGGCTGTCTTGATTTCTCCAGATAAAGGTTGGAAGGGCACTATCCCCTACTTGGGCAGTCCCTATTTATGCTTTTGGTGTATAGTGCGGACGAATCATTGAGATTACTCCAAATCTGCTCCATCATGATTATCACAATTTTTACAAAGGACAACCCCTGTCTTCATTGAGTTTAGGAAGTTAATACTCCAACACAGCCTTTCAATCACGTAATTACATTCTTATTTACTGCATCTACAAACCAAATAGAGCAGTAAGTCATTCCTGAACGAGGAACTAAGGTTAAGAACATCAAACCAGAGTAATTACAGCTGCTGTGGTTTGTCACAGCTTAAAATAATAATAATAAAAAAGTAATAGCAAGCATTTACTGAGCACCTACTACATGCCAAGTTTTTTGCACATGTCAATTAACTTAATCTTTACAATAATCCTATAAGGAAGTAACTTGTCCAAGATCACAAACGTAGCAAGTGGAAGGCAGGAGGTTTGAACACAGAAGTCTAGGGTCCCAAAGAATACACTCCTAGCTAACATCTACACTATACAGTCCCTGCAGCCCTGATCCTCTCCCCTAATATGCTACAGCTGGTGGAATCATATCACAGAAGCTGTTTCCTGTAAATGCTCTCTATCATCCAAGCATTTCAACTTTGAGCCGTCATTTACAGTTCCTCTTATCACAATTAACAACAATCTATACATGGTAATCTCTAAAATACCACATAGCTGCTCCTTATACACTGGCTCGTTTCAGCCTTTTTTTTTTTTTTTTTTTTTGAGACAGAGTCTTGTTTTGTCGCCCAGGCTGGAGTGCAGTGGCGCAATCTCAGCTCACTGCAAGCTCCACCTCCTGGGTTCACGCCATTCTCCTGCCTCAGCCTCCCGAGTAGGTGGGACTACAGGTGCCCGCCACAGCGCCCAGCTAATTTTTTTTGTTATTTTTAGTAGAGGCGGGGTTTCACCGTGTTAGCCAGGATGGTTTCGATCTCCTGACCTCGTGATCTGCCTGCCTCAGCCTCCTAAAGTGCTGGGATTACAGGCGTGAGCCACCGCACCTGGCCCCAAATTTCTCTTCTTAAATGGGACTACTGGACACAAGACTGGGCCTTGAGAGACAGAGAGAAATATCACCAGGCATTCTGCTATGTGTTCTACTCTAAGTAAAAGCAGTCATTTCTATTTAACAGCAATGACACACAATTATTCTCTTAAAAAAGATGGTCACTTAACAATATGCATACGTTCCCTTATGACAGTTCCTATTATGCCATTGGCACAACCCCAATTTGTGATTCATATAACCTGTAGTCAAATTACTTCCTATCTAGGCCATTTTTTACAATTCACTACTAAAAACTGAAAACATGCATTCCACTACTTGTGTTAGGAAAACTTGAACTTCTGAACAAAGATACGATCCGAAAATATCTATTAAATTCTCAGCGTTAATGGCCCTTCATGACCCAGATGAAAATTTTATAAGTAGGTTCCAATAATATGATGCACACTTTGGTGAAAATTTTATGTTAAGAAGTTTTCTGAAGAAAAAATAAAAACTCTTCTGCCAAATAACTATTCTGAAACCTCCACAACAATATCGAGAAGATAGAGTCCAGGCAGATTTCAACGTGGAGTTATAAATACCAGGCTCTTGCCTAACAAACTGCTTTGCAGTGCTTATCCCACATTGCTGATAAAATACCCAACAGCCTTGGTTATTGGAAGAGAAAAGCTTTAAAAATCTACATCTCAGTAAATTCCTTCCACTGATCCTGAATTTCACGGACTAGCAACTGTTTCCAGATTATCTAGACTACCACCTCTGCATCAATAGTTGGCCCCTGAGGGAGTCTCAGGGCCCTCTGAAAATCTGATGAAAGCCAGGGACCTTCTTTCCAGGGAAGTGCAAAGTTCACCAGCCTATTTCTAAATGCCAAAAGAACACTACTCTATACTTTGTAGCAAATGAAAGGAGAAAGGTGATAACAATCTCAAACTATGTGACTAAAAATCAAACTTTCCATTTGCTCATTTTGTTAGGAAAAACAGGCCTTTACAGATTCCAAACCAAAGACGTTGGGGCAGTGAATTAGCTTGAAAACAGCTCTGGTCAAATGCATGGATTCTCCCACCAAGAACTCTCTTCTGAAACTCCATATGGTGGATAGTTCTTGCCTTTCAGTATTCAGCTCAAGTGTCACCCTCTTGGAAAAGATTACTTTCCTGACCACCTGATTACTTTTCCTCTTGGAAAAGATTACTTTCCTGACCATGGAAAGCAGTCCTCAAGCCCTCTTTATCACATCTTGCTGTTTTATTTTCAAAATAGTATTTATCAGTATTCCAAAATACCTCACCTATTTTCTTAATTAATTATTTTGTCTCCTCTATTCGAGTATAAGCTCCATAGGGGTAAGGACCATGTCCGTCTTGTTCCCCACTGAATTCTCAGTACCTGGTATGCAGTGGGCACTTGATAAATATTTGTTAAATGATTAAAACTGAAAGATAGGATAGTGATTTTGCTATCAATTATCAAGCCTTTAACTATTAGTTAGAATTCTCCCTCTTTCCATAATCTGAGGGTCCATTCAATCAGCAAATATTTATCGAGCACCTACTGTGCGCCAGGCACTGTTGCAAGCGCAAGGGATACAGCAATGAATAAGTCAGACAAGTATCTTCGCGCTGAAGACCTTGTATTTTAGTGGACTGCTAGGAATAAGCAGATGTCTTGCTCACTACAATGCCTGGGAGATCCAGAACACCTTCTACAATCCTTCCTTGAGGGAAAGAGCTATGGGAGATCCCCAAACCAAAGGAAAACATTCTCCAACGGGCACTTCCAAAACAAGAATCAGGGGTTTCCCTAAACCAGTTGGACGGCTCTTCCTACATGCTCTGTTCACCTAGGGGAACCCCAATCAGCAGAGCTCAGGTAACGAAAAAACTTGGGGCAAGGGCTACTGTTTCTAGGACTTGGAGGTGGTGAGGGGAGGAACCAGGAAACAGGGCGACAAGGAATCGTGGCAAAAGCCCTGAGCTGGAACCCTGAGGAACAAGCTCTGGTTGTCACCAACTTGCTAGGTGACCTTGGGCCAGTCCCGAGCTGCCCGGGCAACACTTCCTCCGGGGGTATAATGAGGAGGAGGCCGGAAGGGTGGAATTCGGGATCGGGGGGAAGCGGAGGCCAGGAGGCCGGGCCAAGGCCGAGTAGGATAGGGCAACGGCCGACGTGCTGAGGCCAGCGCGGGGCAGGGCGGGAGCGGCTCACCCACCGAGCGCCACCTGGCAGGCCCTGCGCAGCTGGGAGTGCTGGGGCCGCTTCACCTCCTTGTCGGCTAGGATCTTCTCCAGGGCCCGGGACACGAACATGCTCTTGGTCTGGCTCTCCTGCATGGCCCCGGCCCGGCGGGGGCTGACGGCCCCGCGGGCGGGCGGCGTGAGCGAGATGGCGAGCTAGGCTGCGGGCCCGGCGTCCCGGCCGGCACCGGCCGCGTCCGTCCGCGCCGCCCCGTCAGGAAGCGACACCTCGGCCCCACGGCGCCGCCATGTTGGAGCGCGTCACGTGACCACGTGACTGGCGAGGCCGCTACGGCCGCCTAGCGTCCGTCGGCCCCGTGACCCCCAGCGGGGCGGAGCCTAAGGCTGGGGGCGGAGCGGAGTCAGGTGGGCGAGAGACAGAAGGCGAGGGTGGAGGGTGGAAGAAGAGAAGGTGGGGAGGGGAGTGGGCATGGGCGAAGGGTATAGGGGACGCGGGGGCTAAAGAAAGGCGAAAGCGGGGAGAGGTGGTGATGGAGATGAGAGGAGAGAAGCGCAAGGTAACGGGAGGTGAAGGGGAGCACGAGAATGGAGATGACGTGGGTAAGAGAGGAGATGAGGAAAGGAAGGGGAACGAGAGGATTGGCAAAAAAGAACGGTGACAAGGAGAGATGATAAAGGGGCAGGAGGAGAAGGCGAGTAGGAAAGAAAAGAGGTGAGGGAGCGAGGACTGGAAGCTGGTGAATGAATGAGAAGTGATCGGGAGTAAGGGGCGTCAGGAGGAAGGAGGAAGGGCGATGAGAAGGCGGCGGCGGAGGGGAAGGGGGGAGGCCCGGCGCGGCGGCTCACGCCTCTAATCCCAGCGCTTCCGGAGGCCAAGGCGGGAGCATCGCTTGAGCCCAGGAGTTCGAGACCAGCCTGGGCAACATAGGGAGACCCTTTCTCTACAAAATAAAAAGTAAAACAGCCGGGCCTGGTGGCGCTGCTTGTGGTCCCAGCTACTGGGGAGGCTGAGGTGGGAGGATCGCTTGAGCCTCGGAGGTTGAGGCCGCAGTGAGCTGTGATGGCACCACTGCACTCCAGCCTGGGCCACAGAAGGAGACCCTGTCTCAAAAAACAAACAAACAAAAAGGAGGTGAGTTAGTTATGGAGGAGATGAGGTGGTGTGGGAAGAGGTGAGAGGGAGGCACAGAGGTAAAAGAAAAAGGAGAAAGACAGGAGGGAGAGGGGAAGTGAAAAGGAAAGAGAGGTAGAAATGAGAGGAGGGGAAAGAGTAGGAGAAAGGGTGAAGGGAGAGGAGGTAGGAAGGGGAGCTGTCAGGAAGAACAGAAAAGAAAGAAAAAGATGAGAGTAACAAGTTAGGAAAACAGGAAAGAGATGGAAAAAGGAATGGTGTAGGAAGGAGGTGAAGGGGAAGGAGGTGAGGAAGAGTGGAAAGAACATGCTGGGAGAATAGGAAATGGAAGGGGTGGAGGGAGAGGGGAGGTGAAAGGAAGACAGAGAGGGAGAGAGAGAAGGTGTGTTTATGTCTATTCTCCACAAGCAGGGTTTCACCACAGCCACTGGCAAGATACACACATCCATATGACCCTCCTGTCACAGCAGCAGTGACCTTGCAGTTCAGTGAACTTCTGTTTATTGAGTGTCGCAGCTGTGCATAGTATACCAGGAAGCACTGACCTCTCTCTGTAGTTTATCCTGTTATAAACCTGTGAACCCTCACAGTGCAGTGAACTGGACCTGGGCTTTGGGAGTCAGGGGAAGAAACCCAGATGGCCAGTGTCACACAGCCTGCAAATGAGTGCTGGGGGACAGATACTCTGGCCCCAAGGCAGCTTCCACTCCATTCCACAATGATGCTATCACAGCAACCATTAGTGGTGTCCCCTGGGCCCCTTCCCCCAAGGGCAGCCATGGGCTTATGCAAAGACAGTTGTCTTCCTTGGAAACCTCAGAGGCACAGACATCCCAGGCAGGCATGCTCCAGTGCTCGGGTCTTAGCTCAGACGTCTCTGGGAAGCCTTCCCTGACCTGTCTCAAGTAGCCCCCTCTCTCCCTAGCTGATGTTTTCCACAGCACTTTCTGAGCTTTTGTACGTGTTGACTATTTGTTGTCTCACTAAAGCACGGTTGCAGAGGGGCAGGCCATATCCCCAGGGCCCGGTCTACAGTCACGTTGAATATTTCATGGCCTTAAATTCTGCAAGTTCCACTGCTTGTAATGCGATTTCGCAGTCACTCCCAGCAAGAGGTAGAGTTTGTTTCTCCACCAGCCTGAACCTAGACTAGCCTTGTGGCTGGTCTTGACCAATAGAATGTGACAGAAAAGAGGCTGCACAAGTCCCAGAGCATCAACAGCCCTGGCTCACTTCTTCCTTTACTGCCTGGGAATGCTGAATGACACTCAGAAGCAGCCCTGGGCAGGTCAGTGGCTCATGCCTGTAATTCCAACACTGGGAGGCTGAAGTAGGAGGATCACTTGAGCCCAGGAGTTCGAGACCAGCCTGGGCAACATATCAAGACCCTGATGCTACAAAAAATTTAAAAAATTATCCAGGAATAGTGATGCCTGCCTGTAGTCCCAGCTACTTGGAGGGCTGAGGTGGGAAGATTGCTTGAGCCCAGGAGGTGGAGGCTGTAGTGAGCCGTGACTGCCCCTCTGCCCTCCAGCCTGGGAGACAGAGCAAGACTCTGTCTCAAACAACAACAACAATAATAACAACAAAATGGTAGCAGCCCCAGAAGAAAGAGCACGTGGATAGGGAGCCCAGTCATTGCAGCTCTCCCAGCCGACCCACCAGCTGAATACAGCAGCACAAGTGACTAGTGAGACCAGCAGAAAAACTGCCCAGCTGAGCCACAGAATAGCAGAAAACAAAAAATCATTACTTTATGCCACTACATTCTGGGGTCTTGCTTGTTACACAGCAATAGATCACTGAGACACACCTCAATCCTTATGTGTTGAATGAATGAATGAATGAATGAAATTCTCTAGAGTACAGTGCAGTCTGCTGAGTAACATGTTTTGATCCCACCCCACTCCCCCCAACACACACACACAGCAAGGCCAGACTATGTCACTCCCCTGCCGAAAATCCAACAGAGGCTCCCTATTGCCCTTGGAATTGAGTCCAAGTTCAGTATCATACTGTGGCCAACAAGGTGTGATAGAGGCCCTGCCATTTTCTCTGAGCTCATCTCCTTCCTGCTTTTCTTCAGGACTCTGGCCACTCTGGGCTCCTTTTTGTTCCCATCAAGGGCTTGTCTTACATTTTTCTGTCCCTCTTAATCAGTGCTTCTCCATGAAGGCAGTACCACCCCCAGACGCATTTTGAAATTTTGTTGGGGGGATATTTCTGTTGTCGTAATAGAGGGAACAGGAATGCTAGATAACATCCTGCAGAGAGCTGAACAATCCTATGTAACAAACAATTCAATGTATGCCACATGGCCAGACACTCCTGGAGATGAAAAACTTATTGATAATGATCTGAGCCTAGAATCTAAATCTGCTTTACATATAAAATGTTTTTTGCTGTAGTTTTTTTGTTTGTTTGTTTGTTTGTTTTGAGATGGAGTCTCGCACTGTCGCCTAGGCTGAAGTGCAGTGGTGTGATCTCCACTCACTGCAACCTCTGCCTCCCAGGTTCAAGCGATTCTCCTGCCTCAGCCTCCTGAGTAGCTGGGATTACAGGCACCCGCCACCACGCCTGGCTAATTTTATTTGTATTTTTAGTAGAGACGAGGTTTCACTATGTTGGCCAGGCTGGTCTCCAACTCCTGACCTCAAGTGATCTGCCCGCCTTGGCCTCCCAAAGTGCTGGGATTACAGGCGTGAGCCACCATGCCCGGCCCTTGTGTAGATTTAATATCACCACATTTTCCAGAAATGCAAATATCATTGCAATTCAAGGGAAATATATATGTATATGTATATGTATATGTATATATACATATGTATTTTGAGACAAGGTTTCACTCCATCACCCAGGCTGGAGTGCAGTGGTGTGATCGAAGCATGCAACACCATGCCCAGCTAATTTGAAAAAATATTTTTGTAGAGATGGGGGTCTCCCTATGTTGTCCCTGCTGGTCTGGAACTTCTGGCTGAAGCGATCCTCCCACCTTTGCCTCCCAAAGTGCTGGGATTACAGATGTGTGCCACCATGCCTGGCTAATTTTACAATTTTTTTTTTTGAGGCAGAGTCTCACTCTGTTGCCCAGGCTGGAGTGCAGTGGTGTGATCATGGCTCACTGCAGCCTCCACCTCTTGGGCTCAAATGATCCTCCAAATTCAGCCTCCAGAGTAGCTGGGACTACAGGTGTGTGCCACCGTACCTGACTAATTGTTAAATATTTTTGTGGAGATAGGGTCTCCCTGTGTTGCCCAGGTTGGTCTCAAACTCCTGGTCTCAAGCGATCCTCCTACCTCCACCTTCCAAAGTGCTGGGATTACAGGAGTAAGCCAGCACACCTGGCCAGAAAAATGTATTTTGTCTGGAACTTTACCAAATATCATTTACCACTTCAAAGCCACATTGCTGTCATTTACACCAGCTATGGTATCTGATTTGCTGCTAGGGCACTCCAATCAGCCTGCACATATGGCTGTGGCAATTCCAGGGGATCCCACTTTTAGGTTCCAGCATCCGCCTGCTTCATTACACCTTCTAGTGTAATTGTATCTGAGCATTTATCTATTGAAATAAAATTTGCAAATTATACATTGCATTCCTTTTGTTTCACCTTCGTAGTCTTATTAAAACTGTGTGTGGGAAGATTTTATTACCTATGAATTTCATTTCAGAACAGCTAACAAAGGCCTTGCAGTTATAAAAGGGGGTGTGTAGTATCTGCTAGGGTTGGAAAGCACTGATGGCTGCCCCCTTCCCACCACTCTGCCCTCAACTCAATGTCACCCACAAGGTCACCAACCTCCCAGTTTTATCCCTCCTACCTCCACTACTTGCTTCCATATCATCTTTTGTTAGTTGCACTGAACTGAATTTTAAATGATGGTGTTTATTTATCTGTATATTAGTTATCTGTTGCTGCATGATAAATGACCTGACACTTAGCAGCTTAAAAGCAAACATTTCTTATCTCACAGTTTCTGTGGGTCAGGAATTTGGGAGCAGCATGGGTGTTTCTGGATCAGGATCTGTTGAGATTGCTGTTGAGCTGTCATCTGGGGCTGCAGTCAGATGAGGCTCAACTGGGGCTGGAGGATCAACTTCCAAAGAGGCTCCCTCTCATGGGACAGAGGCCTCAGTTCCACTCCTCTCGGTAGAGCTGCTTGCATGTGCTCATGCTGTGGTATCTCCTGTTTCCCAGAGTGAGTGACCCAAGAGAAAATGAGAGGAAGAGAGAGAGAGAGGGAGAAAAAGGGAAAGAGACTGAAGGAAGCAGAAGCAATTTTTGTTTGTTTGTTTTTTGAGATGGAGTCTTGCTCTGTCGCCCAGACTGGAGTGCAGTGGCACCATCTTGGCTCACTGCAACCTACTCATCCCAGGTTCAAGTGATTCTCCTGCCTCAGCCTCCCAAGTAGCTGAGACTACAGGCTTGCACCCCCACACCCAGCTAATTTTTGCATTTTTGGTAAAGATGGGGTTTCACCATGTTGACCAGGATGGTCTCAATCTCTTGACCTCGTGATCCACCCGCCTTGGCCTCCCAAAGTGCTGGGATTACAGGCATGAACCACCGCGCCCAGCCAGCAGAAGCAATTTTTATCACCAGTTCCAAAGTGGCCCACCATGCAGTCTGACCAGGAGTGCTGTTTTGGTGACTCAAATACCATGGTAGGCATAAATATGGGTGATGTGGTCTTAAAATGGTGAACAGTATTTGGTAAAGTTCCAGACAGAATGCAATTTTCCTTTACACATAGTCGTGTGAGAAGTGAGTGGCTAAGTCCAGCTCACACTCAAGGGGAGAATTATTAGGCTCCATCTTTAAAGGAAAGTTGGGTTTCCACAATGTGTTTGCTCACTTATCATCATGCCTTCCACAGGCAGAATGTGAATTCCATGAAGGCAGAGACATTGTCTTTTTCGTAGCTCTATGCCCAGAACACATAGTAGACGCTTAATAACTATTTGTGGAATGAATGAATGAATGGAACTGGCTTGAGTAGAGTTTACGGATTTAATATTAAATCAGCAGTTATTTGGAGGACCACTTGTTTCTATATGGTAGGCACAATAGTGGTCTTTAAAGATACCACAGTTGCTGGCTCACGCCTGTAATCCCAGCACTTTGGGAGGCCGAGGCAGGTGGATCACGAGGTCAGGAGATCAAGACCATCCTGGCTAACATGGTGAAACCCCCTCTACTAAAAATACAAAAACAAAATTAGCCAGGCTTGGTGGTGGGCGCCTGTAGTCCCTGCTACTTGGGAGGCTGAGGCAGGAGAATGGCATGAACCCAGGAGGTGGAGCTTGCAGTGAGCCAAGATCACTCCACTGCACTCCACCCTGGGTGACAGAGTGAGACTCTGTATCAAAAAAAAAAAAAAAAAAAAAAAAGATGCCACAGTTGCAGGCAAAACATCCCTATTCCAGCAAGAAAGATGAAGGGACAGTGTCAGGATCCATTTTCCTCTTCTTTCTTAAAAATAGAAACTTTGTCTGGGACTGGTGGCTCATGCCTGTAATCCCAGCACTTTGGGAGGCTGAGGCGGGTGGATCACCAGAGGTCAGGGATTCGAGACCAGCCTGGCTAACATGGCGAGACTCTGTCGCTACTAAAAATACAAAAATTAGCTGGGCGTGGTGGTGCGCACCTGTAGTCCCAGCTACTTGGGAGGCTGGGGCAGGATAATCACTTGAACCTGGGAGGTAGAGGTCGCAGCAAGCCAAGATTGTGCCACTGCATTCCAGCCTGGGCAACAGAGCAAGACTCTGTCTAAAAAAAAAAAAAAAGAAAGAAACTTCAGACTTCAGTTGGGCTCAGTGACTCACACCTGTAATCCCAGCACTTTGAGAGGCTGAGGCAGGAGGATTACTTGAGCCAGGAGTTTGAGACCAGATGGGAACATGGTGAGACTGCCATCCCCACAAAAAATAAAAAAAATAGCTGGGTGTGGTGGCATGCACCTGTGGTTCCAGCTACTCGGGAGGCTGAGACAGGAGGATTGCTTGAGCCTCAGGAGGTTGAGGCTACAGTGAGCCATGATCATGCTACTGCCCTCCAGCCTGGGTGATAGAGCAAGACCCTGTCTCTAAAAAAACAAAAAAAAAGAAAAAGAAAAAGAAAAGAACCTTCAAATTTTAGCCGGGTACATGGCCACCTGGATTAAGGACCACATTTTTCGGCTCCTCTGGTTGTGCCCATGTGACTAAATTCTGGCAGATTGGATGCAATTTACAGGAAGTGCCTTTCTTCTACTCTTCCTTGGTTCTGTTGACTGGAATGCAGACTTTATGGCTAGAGTTCTGGCAGCAATTTTATTTATTTATTTATTTTTTGAGACTGAGTCTTGCTCTGTCACCCAGGCTGGAGTGGAGTGGTGCGATCTCAGCTCACTGCAACCTCCCCCTCCCGGGTTCAAGTGATTCTCCTGTCTCAGCCTCCTGAGTAGCTGGGACTACAGGCGCATGCCACCACACCCAGCTAAGTTTTTGTATTTTTTTTTTTAAGTAGAGATGGGGTTTCACCACGTTAGCCAGGATGGTCTCCATCTCCTGACCTCGTGATCTGCCCGCCTCAGCCTCCGAAAGTGCTGGGATTACAGGTATGAGCCACTGCACCTGGTCAGCAATTTTTTTTAAAACTGTGCCCTCCTGTAGGTGCTTCTCTCCCTAGCCTTGCCTGGGGAAGGAACTCTGGCTAGGCCCCTGTCCACGCTGGGCTGTTCCCCTTCTATCTTCCCCAGTCTAGGAGGTGGTCTCTGGGTCTGCCCCCTTTCTGCCTCTTCTTCTGTTTTCCTACTGCAGGCATCTTGTGGCCATATCTGTGTTTGTCCATCTCTCCTTTATTCTTTCTCTATTTGTCCCTATTTCTCTGTCTGTCCCCATTTTTGTGTCCCTGTGGTCTTATGTCTCGCTTTCCCTCTCACTGTTCTCTCTCTCTCTTTCAGTTATGGTGGCCAGATTTAGAAAATAAAAATACAGGATGTTCAGTTACATCTGAACTTCAGATAAACAACAAATACTTTTTTTAGTAAAAGAGGGTCCCATGCAATAATTGGGATGTGGTTATACTAAAAAGTATTCACTGTTTACCAGAAATTCGAATCTAGCTGGGCATATTGTGTTTTGTCTAGCAATCCTACTCCCAGTGCCCCTCTGTCCAGCAGCTGTGCTAGACTACTAGACAATTTTTAAAAAAATTTTTAAGGCAAAGTCTTGCTCTGACTGTCAGGCTGGAGTGCAGTGATGTGATCATAGCTCACTGCAGCCTCGAACTCCCGAGCTTAGGCAATCCTCCCACCTCAGCCTCCTGAGTGGCTGGGACTGCAGGTAAGCACTACCACACTGGCTAGTTTTTAAATTTTTTTGTTGGGACTGAGTTTCACCATGTTGACCAGGCTGGTCTGAAACTCCTGACCTCAAGTGATCTGCCCGCCTCAGCCTCCCAAAGTGCTGAGATTACAGGAGTAAGCCACCACACCCGGCCTGAAATGTGTATTTTCCATGTGTACTTTAAGACAAAACTCAAATACAACCCCCTCAATTCTGAGGTCAGGGCTAGGAGGGGTATTCGAGGCAGAAGCATCATTTGGCTGGGCCTCATATGAAGGAGGAGCCTCAAATATAGACTTTTGGAATTCTCTACAAAGGAGACAGCATGTGTGTGTGTATGTATAATATAGCTGCATTGTGTGTACATGTGTGTTTTATGTATTTATTTATTTACGTATGTGTGTATTTTGAGACAGAGTCTTGCTCTGTCGCCCAAGCTGGAGTGCAGTGGCGCTATCTTGGCTAACTGCAACCTCCACCTCCCTGGTTCAAGCAATTCCCCTGCCTCAGCCTCCCGAGTAGCTGGGATTACAGGTGCCCGCCACCACACCTGGTTGATTTTTTTGTATTTTTAGTAGAGACTGGTTGCGAACTCCTGACCTCAGGGAATCTACCAGCATGTAATTTATAATGTAAATTATATTCTGCTTATTTGTGTTCTTTGTGTCCAGCTGCACTAAAAAAATGTGAATTTCTTCAATGTAAATATGTAACACACCGCAGTTGTGTGGTTTAAGTTGTGGGGTTTATTTTTGTCCCTGTGTCTTGGTTTGGGCTCCCCCAAAAGACAACCCTATGACAGGGATTCCCATATATTTGGGTGGTGATCCCAGGACCCATCAGCAGGGATGTGGGATGGAGCAGGGAAGAGAAGGGAAGGCAGCCAATGCAGGTGTGACACCAGCTGGTGACCTCCGAGGGCACCAGAGTTCAACCCCACTGGGGAGCTGGGGAGCCAATGTAGACCCGTCTGAGTTACCCCAGCTGAGGGATTAGGAAGCTGGGATGTTCATTCGCCAGGTTCCCATCTGCCATTGCATAAGGGCTGTTCTAGGGACATTAACTCTGACACTTGGTCCTGCACTCAGACTGCCAGCCCCTAGAGCCCCAGGGCCAGAACATAGCAGGTGCCCTCAGACAGCAGCTACCTCCAGTGAGTAGAAGTGAGTGCCCAGGGCAGACAGCTGGGGGCACCAACAGTGTCTGCTACACACTGTTTCGGTACTTTATTGGTTTTAAATATGCCAGACTCTAGGCCTGAGTGCTGTCTCTGGCTGCAGATGTGTGTTCAGCCAAGACGGGGCAGACCAGAAGTGCCAGATGGTGAACAGCCTGGGGAAAGCCCCACAGGGAAGAACAGACAGCGCTGTAGGGTTCTCTGCTCAGTTTCCTAGAGGTGCCCTGGGGACTCAGCCTCAGGTGCCCGCAGAGGTGTCTGGCTGGATGACCCCCTCAGGCTTCCTTCCCTTCCCAGTTTCACTTCTCCACTCTTCCACTGCTGCTTCCTGGAAGCACCCCCAAATAAACCATTTGCACCCAAATCCTTGTCTGAGGATGTGCTTCTGGGGAACCTAACTGTAGTGGACAGATTCATATTAGACCCCAAAGATTCCAGTATCTTGAGCCCCTAGGATCTGTGAATACGTGGCCTCACGTGGCAAACTTTGCAGATGGGATTAAATGAAGACTCTTGAGACGGGAAGATTATTCTGGATTATCTGGGTGGGCCAAATGTAATCACAGGGGTACTTAGGGAGGCAGGGAGGTCAGGGAGAGGGAGGCAGGGAGGTCAGGGTCAGAGAAGGAGATATGATGACAGAAGCAGAGGTTGGGGTGATGCCGTTACTGGCTTTTTATTTTTTATTTAACAAGGGAGCCTTCAGAATGACATTACCGGCTTTAAAGATTGAGGCGGGGGCCAGGCACGGTGGCTCAGGCTTGTAATCTCAGCACTCTGGGAGGCTGAGGCAGAAGGATGGCTTGAGCCCAGGAATTTGAGACCAGCCTCGACCCTGTCTCTATAAAAAATGAAAAAATTAGTCGGGCGCGGTGGTACACACCTGTGGTTCCAGCTACACAGAAGGCTGAAGTGGGAGGATTGCTTGAGCCCAGGAAGTTGAGGCTGCAGTGAGCAGTGATTGCACCACTGCACTCCAGCTCAGTCTCAAAAAAACAAACAAAAGATACTGGGTGGCCAAGAAGCATGACAAATGCTCCTCACAGGTAACCTTTAGATAAGCCACAGGGAGAAGGAGGGCCCTTCCAGGTGAAAGGAACAGCATGTATAAAGGCATGGGAGCTAGACTGGCCAGGAAGTGGGTTGGGACTGTGGGTTTTCCTTGGATAGAAAATGGATCAGGAAAATGAGGGGATCCAGGGTCAGGGAAGTGCTGGTGGGAGTTTAAGACAAATGAGGTGGAAGGGTTTAAAAAAACTGGAGAAGGCCAGGCACAGTGGCTCACACCTGTAATCCCAGGAGTTTGAGAGGCTGAGGCAGGCAGATCACCTGAGGTCAGGAGTTCGAGACCAGCCTGGCCAACATGGTGAAACCCCGTCTCTACCAAAAATACAAAAAATTAGGCATTGTGGTGGGTGCCTATAGTCCCAGCTACTTGGGAGGCTGAGACAGGAGAATCGCTTGAACCCGGGAAGCAGAGGTTGCAGTAAGCTGAACTCCAGCCTATGTGACAGAGTGAGACTCCATCTCAAAAATAAAAAAGAATTGGAGAAAATTAAGAGAGGAGCCAGCTGGGTCAACGTGATTAGGCATTGTCAGGGTCCCTCCTCTCCCGTGGCCACCATCTCGCAGTCTTGAGGTAAATCAGCAGGACTTGTTTTCCGAGCACTGATCACAACCACCATAGCAACCCAGCTCATCAGAGCAGGATCTGGTTGAAACAGGATGCAGTGAAGAAACAGAACATGGCAAAGAAAGTGACCTCTAGTTGCCCTCACTGCTCGTTAGCACAAAGACGCTCCCACCAGCACCCTGACAGTTTACAAATGCCATGGCAACAGCCAGGAAGTTACTTTATATGGTTTCAGAAACTCCTCACCCTTTTTCCAGAAAGTTCTGGATAACGTGCCTCTTCATTAACATATAATTATAAGTGGATATAAATACAGCTGCCAACAACCCCTATGCCCAGGGGTTAGCCCTGCTCTGCAAGGAGCAGTACCTCTGCTGTTGCCGTACACTGCTGCTTCAATAAAAGTTGCTGTCTAACACCACTGACTTGCCCTTGAATTCTCTGCTGGGTAAAGCCAAGAACCCTCCCAGGTGAAGCCCCAGTTTTGGAGCTCACTTGCCTTGCATCAGTCTGGCTTGGCTCTCCCATGCAGAGTTCTTGGTTGAACACAGCAGAGGCAGACCCAGGCAGAGATCTCCAGTAGCCTCCTTCAGCATCATTCTTTCTTTCCTCTTTAGCAACATAACTCTTATTTTTAGTTGAGGACCTAACCGCTCAGCTAAGGACTGCTCATTCCTGCCTTCCTTGTACCTAAGCGTGGTCTTGTGATTAAGTTCTAGCTATGAGATATAAGCAAAGGATTAGGAGGGACTTCCAAGTGGTTTCCTAAAAAGGGAGGGGCATGTTTTTCTTTAACCTTTCCTCTTCTCTCCTGGCCAGAATGTGAACACAATGGCTGGAGCTTGGGCAGCTATTTTAGACCCTGAGGCAATGTGCCACGTGGAGCGGAGCCAGAGCACCAAGACACAAGGATACTGGGTCTCTGAAGACCTGGTGGGACCTGGACTGCTGAGTTCTGTACATTTTTCACAAAGAGAAAATCAACTATCTTGTTTAAGCCACAGTTGTTTGGGAGTTTTCTGTTGCATGCAAACAAACCCAATCAATACACAAACTACTGCTAACTTCAGCTGCAAAAGTGCTTTCCTGGAATGATGAGAGTCTTTTTCAAAATGAATCAGAAGACTGGAGAATCAGGCTCAGAAAATAGGTGGAAAATGAGGGATGTGAAGGGTTCAGAAATTGCACCAAAGAAGATTCTGGAAAGGATGCTGTTGCTGTCTTGGCTGGATGCTGCATCCCCACTCTTGGCCTTGCCTCAGGGGCTGCCACTGGAAACAAGATGCTAGTCAGATGTCACCACCACTCCTTTCAGAACAAGTCTAAACCTCCTGGTCTTTTGTGTTGCTTACTCCAGATTCAAAGTCCTGAGCCAACACATCTGACCAGCTGAGTGAAGGTCATGAATCTGCACCCCAGCTGCTGGCTGGAGCAGACACTCAGCTCTTCTGATTAGCTTTCTACCCTCTTCTTTGAGTCAGCAGGAGACTGTGGAATCATGAGGTCAGACCCTTCATGGGTCTTCTGTCCACAGAAGTGGTCTTACTCCTTGTTTTGATTATCTACTGCTGTTTGACTGTCTACTCCTTAGTGGCTTAAAACAATAGTTGATGATTACTCACCATGCTCTGGGTTGACTAGGATCAGCTGGGCGGCTCTTCTGCTGCATGTGGTCTTAACTAAATCTGAGGTCATCAGTGGGAGCTCAACTGTGCTAGAATGTCTGCAATGGTTCACTCACATGTCTGGGACTTTGAGGGGGGACAGCCAAAATGCTGGGATAGCTGGGATACCTGGAGCGCTCCCTGTGTAGACTGAGGGCCTCTTCCTATGTGGTTTCTTCAGCAGGGTGGCCAGATCTCTTACATTGTGACTCAGAGTTCTAAAAAGTGACAAAACAGAAGCCACCAGGATTTTTTTTTTTTTTTTTGAGACAGGGTTTCACTCTACCACCCAGGCTGGAGTGCAGTGGTGCAATCATGGCTCACTACACCCTTGACCTCCTGGGCTCAAGCAGTCTTCCCACTTCAGCCTCCTGAGTAGCTGGGACTACAGGAGTGCACCACCACTCTGGCTAATTTAAAAAAAAAAATTTCATAGAGATGGGGTCTCACTATGTTCCCCAGGCTGGTTTCAAAATCCTGGGCTCAAGGGATCCAGCTGGCTTGGTCTCCCAATGTACTGTAAAGATGTGAGCCACTGTGCCCTGCCAGGCCTTCTTTAGGCTTTGACTTGGAGTGGCACAGCGTCCCTTCTACTACATTCTATTGGTTAAATCAAGTTGCTAGAGCAGTCCAGAATACACACTTGAGGAGCTACACAAGGCTGTGAAATACTAAGGGACGTAGTTGGCTGGTGGTGGTTGGTGGGGGGAGCATCTACAGCAGCTTCCACCTTGCTCTTTCCCAGCCCCCGTGCAGGTTTCCTGGAACTGCTCGCAAATGAAGGCCCATCCACTTGGCCTCACAGGAGAAAGTGTGGTGCAGTGGTGGAGTGCAGACTCCAGGCATAAATGTCCAGGTTTGAATTCTGGCTTTGCCTCCTTGCTGGCTATGTCACTCTGGCAAGGTACTCAACTTCTCCTGTCTCAGTTTCCCTATCAGTCAGGTGGGGATAATAACAGTGCCTGTGTCATGGATTTCTGTGTAAGGATCATATGAGTTAATGTATATGCAGCACCTGGAATATTACCCGATGCATTGTAGATGCTCTGTGCTTGTTCTCAGTCAAAGGGCCAGTGTATTACTTGATCAGCAGATGCCCATTAGGTGAATCACTCACTGAAGTCCAGGAAGGGACACAAAAGAGAGGACAGAGTGTCCAGGGTCTTATGGTTTATTATTATTGGGAGGCAGAAAACAAGACAAAGATGAAAGGATGCAAGAAACAAAATACCATGGATATAGGCAAATCCACAGACACTGAGAGTAGATTCGTGGTTGTCAGGCATTAGGAGGAGGGGGAAATGAGGAGTAAATGCTCATGGGTACTGGCTTTCATTTTCAGGATGATGAAAATGTTCCCAAATTAGATGGTGGTGATGGTTGCACGACTCTGAATATACTGAAGGCCACTGAATTGTACACTTTAAATGGGTGAATTCTATGGTATGTGAAGTGTATCTTGATAAAGCGGTTTAGGAAAAGAAAATACAGCCAGGCATGGTGGCTCATGCCTGCAGTCCAGCTACTTGGTCGGGGGGCTTAGGTGGGAGAATCACTTGAGCACAGAAGTTCAAGACCATCCTGGGTAACACACCAAAGCTCCATCTCAAAAAAGAAAGAGGCTGAGCATGGTGGCTCACGTCTGTAATCCCAGCACTTTGGGATGCCAAGGCGGGCAGATCACTTGAGGTCAGGAGTTGGAGACCAGCCTGGCCAACATAGCAAAACCCCGTCTCTACTAAAAATACAAAAATTAGATGGGTGTGGTGGCACATGCCTGTAATCCCAGCTACTCAGGAGGCTGAGGCAGGAGAATCGCTTGAACCCGTGAGGCGGAGGTTGCAGTGAGCCAAGATCACACCACTGCACTCCAGCCTGGGTGACAGAGTGAGACTCTGACTCAAAAAAAAAAAAAGAAAGAGAAAGAGAGAGGGAGAGAGAGAGAGAAGAAGAGAAAAGGAGAAAGAAAGAAAGAAAGGAAAGGAAGGAAGAAAGAGAGAGAGAGAGAGAAAGGAAGGAAGGAAAGAAGGAGAGAAAGAAAGGAAGTAAGGAAGGAGAGAGAAAGAAGGAAGAAGGAAAGAAAAAGAAAGAAAGAGGAAGGAAGGAGAGAAAGAAGGAAGAAGGAAAGAAAGAGAAAGAAAAAGAAAGAAAAGAAAGAAAGAAAGAAAGAAAGAAGGAAAGAAAGAAAAAATTGATGGATAAAGAACCCTACAATGCAGAGATACAAGAGGCAATAGTGGCTAACACTACTTCTCTGGTGCTTCCTATAGGCCAGGGACTGTTCTGAGTGCTTTACTTAAATTGGCTCATTGAATCCTTACAAAATCCCCAATATTTCCCCCATTTAACAGAAGAGAAAACTGAGGTTTCTTGTCCAAGGTTACATGGCTGGTTCACATGAGAGCTGGGATTTGGGTCCAGGGTGTCAGGCTCCAGCAGCTGAACTGGTAATACTGGATGCTGTAATTTAAGACGTGACAACTTAGTATAGCACAAAGTGACCCTCAGGTGAATAGGCAAAGAAAAACTGGAGTTTAGAAGACCACGGAGAAGAGCTGTGAGCTGGATGTTGAAGGATGCTTTGGCCTAAAATAGACAGGAGGAGGGGAGACGGTGATATTTCCTCTGATCTAATCACCGTGTAATTCTTCAGCCCTGTCCTTGGCCTCAGGGACACTGCAGTGGGCAAAATGCCCAAGTCTTTACCCTCATCAAGCTTAATTTGTAGCGTGGGAAACAGATCATAAACACATAAACAAACGTGGGGGTGGTTAAAGCCTTATTATGTCATATTTTCAGTTTTTATCAGGAATTAGTTGTTGTGGCTGTTTTGAAATAAAGTCCACAAATTCGTTGACACTCTTCTCATTGAAAGGTGAGGTCTACATCCCCTCCCCTTGAAACTGGTTGGGCTTTGGAGAGTGTTGCTAACAGAATATGACAGAAGCGATGCTAGGTAGGCAGGGCCCAGTGACTCGCACCTGTAATCCCAGTGACTCGCACCTGTAATCCCAGTGGCTCGCACCTGTAATCCCAGTGACTCGCACCTGTAATCCCAGTGGTTTGCACCTGTAATCCCAGTGGTTTTGGAGACGGAGGTGGGACTGTTGCTTGAGCCCAGGAATTTGAGGTCTCAGAGAGCTCTGTCACCCACTGCACTCCAGCTTGGGTGACAGAGCAGACCCAAACTTTAAAAAAAAAAAAAGAAAAGAAAAGAAAAAAGAAATAAAGAAAAAAGGCCAGGCATGGTGGCTCACGCTTATAATCCCAGCACTTTGGGAGGCTGAGGTGGGCAGATCGCCTGAGGCCAGGAGTTGGAGACCAGCCTGGCCAACATGGTGAAACTCTGTCTCTACTAAAAATACAAAAATTAGCTGGGCGTGGTGGCATATGCCTGTAATCCCAGCTACTCCAGAGGCTGAGGCAGGAGAATCGCTTGACCCGGGAGGTGGAGGTTGCAGTGAGCCGAGATCACACCATTGTACTCCAACCCAGGTGACAGAATGAGATTCCGTCTCAGGAAAAAAAAAAAAAAAAGAAGAAGAAAAAGGCAAATTTAGACAGTTAAGGGCACAAGCCTCAGGGACTGCCTGAGTGTGAAGATGAGGGAGAGTAGGTGTCTAGTGTGACCCCCACGTTTCTTACTTGGGGAACAATGGGTGGTCAGGCCATTTACCAAGACAGAGAACGAGGAAAAGCTGGTTTCAGAAGAAGCATGTTAAAGATTCTAACTCCAAGATTACACCTTCCAATAAACATCCCTCTTAAGCAATGCTAGCTTCTGCAACACCTCTTAGATTATCTGACTTTTTTCATAAAAAGGAAAACTTTTGCACCGCTGCCAATGCAATTTCTATATTGGCCACCAGAGAGCACCAATGCTCGAGCAGTTCAACTAGACTCACCACCTGGTCCTGTTTTACACTTTAGAAAAAAAAAAAAAAAAAAAAAAAGCCGGGGGAAAGATTTTGGCTTCATCATCTTGTCTCAGAATCATTCTCGTGAGCTTCCCTGGCACCGGGATAAAATCTGATAGCTATGTCATGTGTGAAAAAGGTTTGGCTTATTGGATCCCTCAGTGCTAATTAGGAAAAAATCTCCTCCCTCACCACAATTTTCCATGTGTGCCTGAGCCCACCTCACGAAGTCCAGGGGACTTTCCTGATTTGTTTTGCATTGCTAGCCTTAGGCAAAACCCAGCACATTTTGCTTCTGATACATTTCCACTGCTGCCTCGTTTTCCCCACTGTCACCCGTGACCTCTGTGCTTCCCTCTCATTGCTGTGCTTCCAGCCCCGGGAACTTGCTCCTTCAGTTGCCTGATGGGAAAGCACAGAGGGTAGTTCCTTCCTAGAAGTGATTTCAGCCCCATTGCCTCCCATCCCCTCGCCTCTCATTCTCCAAGGACATTCAGCAGCTTGTGGGGGGCGGGGTATCAGAGCCTCACAGACCAAAGCCTGGTGTCTGCTGCCCTAGGTCTTTCTCTCTCTCTTTCTTTCTTTCTTTTCTTTCTTTCTCTTCTTTCTTTCTCTCTCTCTCTCTCTCTCTTTCTTTCTTGCTCTGTCGCCCAGGCTGGAGTGCAGTGGCAGTGGCGCCTTCTCGGCTCACTGCAACCTCCGCCTCCCGGGTTCAGGTGATTCTCCTGCCTCAGCCTCCCGAATAGCTGGGACTAAAGGAACGTGCCACCACACCCAGCTAATTTTTTGTATTTTTAGTGGAGATGAGGTTTCACCGTGTTAGCCAGGATGGTCTTGAGCTCCTGACCTCGTGATCCTCCCACTTTGGCCTCCCCATGTGCTGGGATTACAGGCATGAACCACTGTGCCTGGCCCTTTTTTTTTTTTTTTTTGAGATAGATTCTTGCTCTGTCGCCCAGGCTGGAGTGCAGAGGCACGATCATGACTCACTGCAGCCTCCACCTCTCGGGTTCAAGCAATTCTCCTGCCTTAGCCTCCCCAGTAGCTGGGATTACAGGCGCCCACCACCATGCCCAACTAATTTTTTTTGGTATTTTTAGTAGAGACGGGGTTTCGCCATGTCGGCCAGGCTGGTGTCAAACACCTGACCTCAGCTGGTCTGCCCACCTTGGCCTCCCAAAGTGCTAGCATTACCGGCGTGAGCCACCGCGCCTGACCTGCCCTAGGTATTTCTTTCTGTTGTTCTTCTAGATGACTCTAGGACCCCTGACCTCCTGGGGGGCCACTGCTTCCCCTCTAAACCCGCTCCCATGGCAGGCGATTTAGGGCCAACTCCCAAGCCAGATCCCACCAAGGGTGATGGTTCCCAGAGTCCCCTGGGCCCAGCGGCAGAGGGGACCAAAACTACCCACTGTTGTCATTAATGCACCACCTGGAAGTCATTATTTGGCAATAGAATCTCTCTATTCCTGAAGGTACCAAGGCCGTAGGAATTACAGATTCTCTCTGGTCTGGTAAACATTATCTCCCAGACTTGTGGCTGCATAGAATTCATCTCAGCCTGCTGAGATCATTGCTACTCACCTGGTTTTCCCATGATCAGAACTAATTTCTTTCTTCTTTTTTTTTGAGACTGAGTCTCACTCTGTCGCCCAGGCTGGAGTGCAGTGGCGTGATCTCGGCTCACTGCAACCTCTGCCTCCCAGGTTCAAGCAAGTCTCCTGCCTCAGCCTCCTGAGTAGCTGGGACTACAGGTGTGCTCCACCACGCCTGGCTGATTTTTGTATTTTTAGTAGACATGGGGTCTCGTTATGTTGGCCAGGCTGGTCTTGAACTCCTGACCTCATGTGATCCGCCCGCCTCGGCTTCCCAACGTGCTGGGATTATAGGTGTGAGCCACCGTTCCCAGCCAATCAGAACTAATTTCTGTCTTGGGGTTCTCTTGTTGCTTGTGCCTCCATTAAAGCAGTTATCCTGGGATTTTATTCTTTTCAGAGCCTGAAAACCTCCTTTGGGCAAAACAATCCCTTTTACACATCTCAGAATTCCTTAGAGTTGGGATATCTGACATCCGACATCCTCTGACCACACACACACACACACACACACACACACACACACACTCTCTCTCTCTCTCTCTCTCTCTCTCTCTTTCTCTCTCCGCCCCCCCCCCCACCATCACCTGGCTAGACTGTAGATGGTGAGGAGGTCGTTTGCTTCTTTGTTTATCAGTTCCTGGTACTATGGGGGAACACACAGGCATGTAGTGAAATTTTCATGAAAGTAAACTTAAACAACTACCATTTATGTTAATATATTAATCTCCTTTCCTTTTTGGGGGTAGTGATGTTGGTGGTTAAAATGTTCTTTTACTGTGAAGTAATGGAAAAAATATTTCTTTAATTTTATTTTATCCTGTAGTCTTTACTTGGCAATATAAAAAGTAGACCATCTTATTTCGGTTGCCCAATCATTCATTTTATTTTTAAGAATTTTTACTGCCTTTGAGAAGTCCAAGAGGCTGGAAACTGTTGTCCCACCATTTTCAGCACAGTCCTCAAAGCAGAGCCATCCTCAGGAAACACCAAATTGCCATAAGACACAGCAGTTCCACTCCCAGATATACACCCAAGAAAATGGTACAAGGTACACACACACAATCTCGTAAAAAATGGATGTTTATAGCAGCGTTATTCACAATAGCCAAACAGTGGAAACAGCCCAAATGTCCATGGATGGATGGAAGGATAAATGAAGTGTGGTCTATCCATACAATGGGATATTATCCAGCCACAAAAAGGCGTGAAGCCTTGATACATGCTGCAATATGGACAGATCTTGAAACCGTGATGCTAAATGAAAGAAGCCAGACCCAAAAGGCCACATATTACATGAAATGCCCAGAGCAGGCAAATGTATAGAAACAAAAAGCAGGTGGCAGCTGCCAGAGGATGGGAGGAGGGGTTAAATGGGAGTGGTTGCTCATCGGTATAAGTGTCCTTTGGGGTGATGAAAATGTTCAAAAATTGATTGTGGTGATGGTTACACAACTCTGTGAATATACTAGAAACCATTGAATTGTACACTTTAAAAGGGTAATTTTGACATATGTGTATTATATCTCAATAGAAAAATAAAACAGGCTGGGGTGGTGGCTCATGCCTGTAATCCCAGGACTTCGGGGGTGCGAAGGCTGGAGGATCTCTTGAGGCCACGAGTTTGAGACAAGTCTGGGAAACATAGTGAGATCTTGCCTCTACAATAAATAAATAAATAAACAAATAAATAACCGGGCACGGTGGTGCATGCTTATTGCCCCAGCTACTCGGGAGGCTGAGGTGGAAGGATCGCTTGAGCTCAGGAAGTTGAGGCTGCGAAGAGCTATGATTATGCCACTGCACTCCAGCCTGAGTGACAGAGTGAGGCCCTATCACACACACAAAAAAAAAAAAAAAAGAGAGAGAAAGAAAGAAAGAAAAAAGAAAAAGAAAACGACACATCACATTGTTGCTCATGGGTTCAAAGGGATTAAATTTTTTCTAGCGGGCCTACCACCCAGCTGGCCTCACTGTTCTGGTTCCCTTGTTGACTGTAAGCCTGACCGTGGCTGTTATGTCTGCAGAGCGCATGAAGCCCACTGTGGTTTGGTGGCATAGCCTCTGACCTGCTAGCTTGTGAGTTCCTGTGACATGTCACTGAGAGGGACAGAAGGTTCCCCATTTTGGAAACACTTTGGGGCTTCTACTAGATCTTGATCTTCTTGGGGGTAAGGTCTGTGTGTTCTTCACTGTGTGGACCCCAGTACTGCACTGCATCAGGCATTCATTCATTTGTTCATTCATGCAACTCAAGAACTATTAATTGAACACCTACTATGTGCCAAGAAATTGTGCTACGTGCGGAAGACACAGCTGTAAAGCAAACAGGCAACCTGCTCTTATGGAACTTAGACTGTAGAAATGCAGTGCATCTCAACTGGGGGCTATTTTGCCCAGCAGAGGACATTGGACAATGTCTAGGAGATGATTTTGGTTGTCATGACTGGGGATGGGGTCTAGGGTTAGAGGTCAGGGATGCTGTGAAATATCCTACAATCAACAGGATAGCTAGCCCCCACAACAGAGAAGCATTACATTCTTTTTTTTTTTTTTTTTTTGAGATGGAGTCTAGCTCTGACGCCCAGGCTGGAGTGGAGTGCAGTGGTGCAATCTCAGCTCACTGCAACCTCTGCTTCCCAGGTTCACACGATTCTCCTGCCTCAGCCTCCTGAGTAGCTGGGATTACAGGCGGACACCACCACGCCCGGCTAATTTTTGTATTTTTAGTAGAGACGGGGGATTCACCATGTTGGTCAGGCTGGTCTCGAACTCCTGACCTCGTGATCCGCCCGCCTCGGCCTCCCAAAGTGCTGGGATTACAGGCGTGATCCACCGCACCCGGCCCAGAATCATTACATTCTGTCCAAAATGTCAGTAGTGCCAAGATAGAAAAACCTTGCATGGCATTATTGCCCAGTGAGTGGTTGTAGGATTTCATTGAACTGAAACTGCAGCCTTGGGCAAAATTGCATAAGATGGTTTGCCTGAGGCGTGTTGACTTTTGTCCTCAATTCCTTTCTCCCTGTTCTTCGAGGTTGGAGGAGCCTGTGAAAGTACTGTACTCTTCACCCAAAAGCTCTTCACAACCCCTTTCCCCTTGCCTTTTGCTCTTTTTGGAGGCTGGCAAGATAAAGCCTCCACTTTCCCAAAGGTGCTTGAAGCTGGGAATGACCAGCGAGTTTGGGCTAATGAGCTGGAGGCAGAGTTGCTGAGTGGGGCCATCAGAAAAGCTTCTGGAAGGTTCACACTCCCCTGGCTGCCTCCTGGGCTTTCAGCCCTTTAGAGCTGTCCATCCTCTGGCCACAGTGATTGGGAATAGACACATGACCCAAATTGTTCCCTTGAGACTTGAAATCCTGCAGGAATAATGGGAAAAGGGGAAAGAGCTGCAATTGCCATGCTTGGGGAGTTAGCCTGTGAGTGAGGTTAACCCAGAGGAAAACACAGCCAAGGCATGGAAAGAATGAGTTCTGATGGTATTGAGCTCCTGGATTTAGCCATGCCTGAAGCTATCCCAGTCCCAGATTTTTTCAGGTCTATTAGCCAACAAGTCCTTTTTTTTTTGGCTTAGTTTGTGTTAATTCAGTTAACAGATATGTGTCAGTTACTGTTTTAGGTGCTGGGGCTACTCCAGGGAGCAAGTCCTCATCTCTTCCTTGCATTCCAGTGCAGGCAGACAGACAGTGAACAGGACAATATGTAACATGTACAGCATGGTAGATGGAGATGAGTGCTCTAGAGAAAAATAAAGCAGAGAATGGGGTAAGGGCAGGGCACGGTGGCTCACACCTGTAATCCCAGCACTTTGGGAGGTTGAGGCAGGCAGATCACATGAGGCCAGTAGTTTGAGACCAGCCTGGCCAACATGGCAAAACCCAGTCTCTCTACTAAAAATACAAAAATTAGCTAAGCATGGTGGTGTGTGCCTGTAGTCCCAGTTACTCAGGCGGGTGAGGCACGAAAATTGCCTGAACTCGGGAGGTAGAGGTTGCAGGGAGCCCAGATTGCTCCACTGCACTCCAACCTGGGAAACAGAGCAAGACTTTGTTTCCAAAAAAAAAGAAAGAAAAAGAAAGAGGTAGGAAGTGTTGGGGGGATAATGTTAAGTAGGTTTGCAAGGAAAGTCTCACTGAGAAAAAAATGGAAGGAGGTAAAGGAAGTTGGTGTGGGAAGAGCATTTCAGCAGAAGGAACAGAAAGTCTAAGAGCCATGCAGTGAGAGTGTGACTGGAGTTTTGAAGAAATAGCCATGAGGCTGGTATGGCTGGAATAGAGGGAACCAGGGTGAGAGTGGGAGGAGGTGAAGGCAGAGAGGCAATGGGGAGGAGACATGTCCTATAGGACCCCGTGGGCCATTGTGGGGACTATGGCTGCTCTCTGGGTGAGCTGGGAGCCGTGGAAGGCTCTGAGTAAAGAAAGCCCTGACCTGACGTTGGGTGCTAACAGGATCCTTCAGGCAATGTGGGAGAATAGACTGTCGGGGCAGGGATGGGACACAGACACCAGGGAGAAGGTGATTGCTAGAGTCCAGGTGAGACATGTGATGACCTGGCCCTGCGGTAGGGCAGAGGTGGATGAGGTGAAGGGTGATTGGCTCTTGGGTACATTTTTGTTTTTAAGCTACAGGATCTCTGTTGCCCAGGCTGGTGTACTATAGTGTGATCATAGTTCACTGCAACCTCGAACTCCTGGGTTCAAGTGATCCTCCCATCTCAGCTTCCCAAGTAGCTGGGACTACAGGCATGCACTACCATGCCTAATTTTTTTTTTTTTTTGAGACAGAGTCTCACCCTTGTCATCCAGGCTGGAGTGCAATGGCACAATCTTGGCTCGCTGCAACCTCTGCCTCCCCAGTTCAAGTGATTCTCCTGCCTCAGCCTCCCAAGTAGCTGGGATTACAGGTTCCCGCCACCACGCCTGGCTAATTTTTGTATTTTTAGTAGAGATGGGGTTTCACCATGTTGGCCAGGCTTGTCTTGAACTCCCAACTTCAAGTGATCCGCCCGCCTTGGCCTCCCAAAATGCTAGGATTACAGGTGTGAGCCACCCTGCCCAGCCTGGCTAATTAAAAAAATTTTTTTGTAGTGATGAGGTCTACTATGTTGCCCAGGCTGGTTTCCAGCTCCTGGCCTCGGGGGATTCTCCGGCCTCGGCCTTCCAAAGTGCTGAGATTATAGGCATGAGTCGCCATGCCTGGCTGTTTTGTGTGTGTGTGTGTGTGTGTGTACACGTGTGTGTGTTTGTTGTTGTTAAGAGCCAGAGTCTCACTCTGTTGCTCAGGCTGGAGTGTAGTGGCACAGTCATGGTTCACTGCAGCCTCGAACTCCTGGGCTCAAGCGATCCTCGGATCCTGGGTACATTTTGAAGGCAGAGCCAGCAGGATTTGCTGATGGATTGGAGGTAGAGTGTGGGAAAAAAAGAGGAATCCAGGATGATTCCAAGGTTTTGGCCAGCACAATGGGAAAAATGAAGGTGCCGTTTACTGAGATGGGGAGCCTGTGGGAGGAACAGATTTGTGGGCATGATCCCAGTCTCCACTCTGGACCGGTGGGGATGTCAGGTGGCAGTTGGATGTACAAGGGGAGCCTGAAGTTCAGTGAAGAGGCAGAGATACAAATTTGGAGTCATCCGCATATACAGAGATTTTCAAAGTCAGAGCCCAAATGGGATCCCTAGGGAGTAGGTGTGGGTAGAATAGAGAACAGGGCCTGTCTGGGATCCCCTGGGGCACGTCACATCTGGCAGGTGGAGAGGAAGAGAGAGAGCCAGGAAAGGAAGCTAAGAAGTAGCGGACACAGCAGGAGGAAGCCAAATGTGTCCTGGAAGCTAAGAAAGAAAATTGTTTCAGGAGGGAAGAAGTTAAATTTACCATGGGATTCACTAATTTCACTCCTAGGTGAGAAAATCTGTGTCCGTGCAAAGGTCCTCTGTGAATGTTCATAGTAGCATTATTCACAGTGACCAAAAAGTGGAGAGAGCTCACATGTCCATCAGTGGATAAATGCATAAACAAATGTGGTCTATCCCTACAATGGAATATGATTCAGACATAAAGGAATGAAGTATGACACATGCTACAACCTGGGTGAGTCTCAAAAACATAATGGTGCATGAAAGAAGCTAGACTCAAAGGACAAATATTACATGATTCTACTTTTTGAAATATCTAGAATCTGCACATTCATTGAGACAGAAAATAGATTAGAGGTTACCAGGGTCTGGAGGGGGTGGGGTGGAAAGAATTGGGAGTGAATGCAGAATTTCTTTCTTTTTTTTTTTTTTCTTTCTTTCTTTCTTTCCTTTCTTTCTTTCTTTCTTTCTTTCTTTCTTTCTTTCTTTCTTTCTTTCCTTTCTTTCTTTCCTTTCTTTCTTTCTTTCTTTCTTTCTTTCTTTCTTTCTTTCTTTCTTTCTTTCTTTCTTTCTTTCTTTCTTTCCTTCTTTCTTTCTTTCTTTCTTTCTTCACGGAGTCTCACTCTGTCACCAGGCTGGAGTGCAGTGGCATGATCTTGGCTCACTGCAACCTCCACCTCCCAGATTCAAGCGATTCTCTTGCCTCAGCCTCCTGAGTAGCTGGGATTACAGGTGCCCGCCACCACACCTGGCTAATTATTGTCTTTTTAGTAGAGACAGGGTTTCACCATGTTGGCCAGGCTGGTCTTGAACTCCTGACCTCAGGTGATCTGCCACCTAGGCCTCCCAAAATGCTGGGATTACAGGTGTGAGCCACCATGCTTGGCCTCCTTTTTTTTTTTTTTTCTTTTGGAGACAGTGCTTCACTCTGTCTCCCAAGCTGGAGTGTGGTGGCATGAGCATAGCTCACTGCAGCCTCGAACTCCTGGGCTCAAGTCATCCTCCTGCTCTAGCCTCCTGAGTAGCTGGGACTACGGGTGCACACTACAATGTCTGGCTAATTTTTCAATTCTTTGTAGAAATGGAGTCTTGCTATGTTGCCCAAGCTAATCTCAAACTCCTGGACTCAAGTGATCCTCCTGCATTGGCCTCCCGAGTAGCTGGGATTACAGGTGTGAGCCACTGTGCTTGGCTTGGATGCAAATTTTCAATTTGAGGAGACAAAAAAGTTTTGGAGGTGGATGTTGGTGACAGTTGTAAAACAGTGCAAATGTACTTAATGCTTCAGAACTGTACCCTTTTTTAAAGTTATTTATCAGATAATTTTTTATATACCTTAAGTTATAGGGTACATGTGCACAACATGCAGGTTTGTTACATATGTATACATGTGCCATGTTGGTTTGCTGCACCCATTAACTCGTCATTTACATTAAGTATTTCTCCTAATGCTATCCCTCCCCCATCCCCCCACCCCACAACAGGCCCCGGTGTGTGATGTTCCCCGCCCTGTGTCCAACTCTTCTCATTGGAACTGTACCCTTAATACCACTGGTTAAAATGGTCAATTTTATGTTATGTATATTTTACCAAACTTTTTGAAAAAGGAGAGAGAGAGCAACTGTGTCACATGCTGCTGAGGGGTCCAGGATGGATGAGGACTTTGAAGTGACCCTGGGATAGAGCCACATGCAGGGCGGGGGTGAGTAAGAAGAGAGAAATTTGAGATATAGACTCTTTGAGTTTTGCTGCAAAGAGAAGGAAAGAGATGGAGTTATAGCTGGAGATGAGGTCAAGAGACATTTTTTCACATAAAGATGAGAGAAAGGCTGGGCGCGGTGGCTAAGGTCTGTAATCCCAGCACTTTGGGGGACCAAGATGGGTGGATCACTTGAGGCCAGGAGTTCGAGACCAGCCTGGGCAACATGGCGAAACCCCATCTCTACTAAAAATATAAAAATTAGCCAGGCATGGTGGTACATACACGTAATCCCAGCTACTGGGGAGGCTGGGGCAGGAGAATCACTTGAACCCAGGAATCAGAGGTTGCAGTGAGTCAAGATTGTGCCACTGCACTCCAGCCTGGGCAACAGAGCAAGACTCTGTCTCAAAAAAGAAAAAAGAAAAAAAAGATGAGAGAAATGAGGGGCAAGATCCAGTAGTTAACCCCTCATGGTCCAAGCTGCCTGCTCTGCCAGCTGTCATCTTATGCACATTTCAGGTACCAGGGAAGCCGAAGGAGCACCTAGGTGCCTCGTTTCTTCCTTTAAGAACACCCCCTTGGCTGGGCGTGGTGGCTCACACCTTTAATCTCAGCGCTTTGGGAGGCCAAAATGGGAGGATTACTTGAGGCCAAGTGCTTGAAACCAGCCTGGGCAACATGGTGAGACCCTGTCTGTACAAAAAAAAAAATTAAAGAAATTAGCCAGTTGTGGTGGTGTGTGCCTGTAGTCTCAACTGCTCAGGAAGCTGAGGCAGGAAAATCACTTGAGTCCAGGAATTGGAGGCTGCAGTGAACTATGATTGCACCACCGCACTCCAGCCTGGGCAACAGAGCAAGACTCCGTCTCACACAGAAAAAGAACACTCCCTGCCCCCTCCACTCCCAGCTCCCCTCCATACTACATTTTCACACACATCCCCTTGACTACAACTTAGTCATGTGTAGTCTTTTTTTTTTTTTTTTTTTTTTTTTTTGAGACAGTCTAGCTCTGTCGCCAGGGCTGGAGTGCAATGGTGTGATCTTGGCTCACTACAAGCTCCGTCTCCCGGCTCCACGCCATTCTCCTGCCTCAGCCTCCCGAGTATCTGGGACTACAGGCGCCTGCCACCACACCCGCCTAATTTTTTTGGTATTTTTAGTAGAGACGGGGTTTCACCTTGTTAGCCAGTATGGCCTCTATCTCCTGACCTCGTGATCCGCCCGCCTCAACCTCCCAAAGTGCTGGGATTACAGGCGTGAGTCGCTGCACCAGGCCAGTCACGTGTAGTCTTAATTCCAGGCAACCATGAGCCTAACTAAGGTAGAAACGGAGAAAAGCCACGGTGTACTCCTCTCAGCCTTTGCCATAGTAGTCTATACTTTATAAGGGCCTTTCTCTCTTTTCTTCAAACTTCAACTCAACCACTACCTTCTGAGGCCCTGATAGGGGCTCAGCGAGGCATTTTGCACAAAGAATCTCAAGTAGTTCTTACAGCTACATGTGCACTTCAGGGGATATTGACTCTATTTTTCTTTCCTTCACGTCTGTATTTCTGGAGCCTACATAAGTGCCTGGTATATAATTGCCATTCACTTAATGTTTGTGATTATTATTATTATTATTATTTTTGTTGTTGTTGTTGAGACGGAGTCTTGCTCTGTCACCCAGGCTGGAGTGCAGTGGTGTGAGTTTGGCTCACTGCAAGCTCCGCCTCCCGGGTTCACGCCATTCTCTGGCCTCAGCCTCCCGAGTAGCTGGGACTACAGGCGCCCGCCACCGTGCCTGGCTAATTTTTTGTATTTTTAGTAGAGACAGGGTTTCACCATGTTAGCCAGGATGGTCTCGATCTCCTGACCTCGTGATCTGCCCATCTCGGCCTCCCAAAGTGCTGGGATTATAGGCGTGAGCCACTGCGCCCGGCCGGTTATTGTTTTTTGTTGAATTTTATGCATGAGAAAATTGCAGTTCAGAGAAGGGTGCCTGAAGACCCTGAGCTCAAACATGGGTCTTCTGATTGCTAATCTTCTGCTCCTCCTGATCTGCTGGTTAGCTCGGCATCACCATCGAGTAAACCAAATAACATGTATCTATCAGTGCACATGCATTGATGTTTGGTAACAACACCCCTTCACTATTCTCAGGAACCACCTCACTCCCATTCTTGGACTTTGTGGTTTGGGGGATGCTGACCCCACTGTCCAGCTGCAGGGGTTCGATGTATAACCCAGTATCTTGCCTTGTCACAGTAATTGGCTCAGAAACAGGCATGTGTTCCAAGCTGGACCAATGAGAATCCTGCCTGGGACTTCAGCTGGAAATATTGAGAAAGAGGACTTTCTACTGAAGTTGGTAAACTTGAAGGGTGTAGGTTTGTTGATGCTGAAACCATTGTCTGTCACCTTAGTGGAAGAGCTTGCCTAAGCATGAGGTCAACACAGAGGAAAGAAGAGCTAGAGATGGAGACATACTGACAACAGCATTGCAGTTGCTGGATCAAACTGTACCTGAAGCCAAACATCCCCTGGACTTTTCAGTTACATAAGCCAATAAATTCCCTTCTTCTGCTTAAACCAATTAAGGCTGGTTTTCTGTCACTTGCAATCAAAAGAGTCCTGACTAATACATCTATCAAACACATTTATCTTTATATTCAGGAGATATACTCCATGTACAGCAAAGAGCTGATTATTGTGGTGTCCAAGAGCATGAACTAGGAAACCAAATCTCATATGGAGCCGTCAGAGACCAATCAGAGAAGCAGAAATCCCACTAGGTATTCAAATAGAGGGAATATAATACAAGGAATTG
Source organism: Homo sapiens (assembly GCF_000001405.40). Classification (NCBI taxonomy): domain Eukaryota; kingdom Metazoa; phylum Chordata; class Mammalia; order Primates; family Hominidae; genus Homo; species Homo sapiens. The sequence continues at coordinate 48,893,211 of NC_000020.11, read as the reverse complement.
GTCACACAGATGATAGAAGTGAGAAGCCAAATGGCATGTTAGACAACTCAGTGCTAAACCATAGCAGGAAGATGATGCCATCTTTGTTGGGGGAGGAGCAGAGAACAGTTGGTGCTACCATGCTGTGAAGTTGAAGCTGGGCCACCTGGCAGGAGACAGAATCCTGATGGCCTGCCCAGCTAGATCCAGGATCACCAAGGGACAGACTGTACAGCTGGATCTGCAGCCACAGATGAGGCACAGCAGCTGCTGATGATGCTTTGGAGGCACAGAGAGAGAGAACGAGAGAAAATATCCTGGATTCTCCCCTCCTTTCACCCTTCGGTCTACTGTGAGTGGTTCTCAACTAGCCAAACCCACCCAGAAACCAGTGAGATTACATATGTGCCACAATCCCTCCCAGAATCCTGGCACATAAGAGGCCCTTCCTTGGGAGGTATTGGTTGAATGTGAATGTGATGAAAAGAAAGATGTTTACAGTTTCTTCATCTATGTAGGGAGGATGAGGGTAAAAGCACCATGTGGGATGGGCTATGGGAGGAGGGGAGCTGATGCATGAAAGCATGAGCACAGCCACTGGCATCTAGTAAATGCTCAAGAAATGCCCTGGCTAGGTACAGGGGCTCACACCTGTAATCCCGGGGCTTTGGGAGGCTGAGGCAGGAGGATGGATTGAGGCTAGGAGTTCGAGACCACGCTGGGCAACATAGCGAGACCCTCATCTCCACAAAAAAATTTTTTAAAATTAGCTGGGCATGGTGGCACATGCTTGTAGTCTCAGCTATTTAGGAGGGTGAAGCAGGAGGATCGTTTGAACCCAGGAGGTCGAGGGTGCAGTGAGCCATGATTGCACTACTGCACTCCAGCCTGGGTAACAAAGTGAGACCCTGTCTCTAAAAGTAAAGAAAGAAAGAGAAAAGGAAGGAAGGAAGGAAGGAAGGAAGGAAGGAAGGAAGGAAGGAGGGAAGGAAGGAAATCCTCACAGCCACCATACAAGGCAGTATTACTATCACTGTTATCCCAATTTGACCAGGAAGGCTTAATTAGATTTAAAGCTGTAGTTCTCAACTGGGGATGATTTTGTGCCCCTGGGGACACTTGGCAATGTCGACAATGTCAATGGAGACATTTTTTTAGTTGTCACAACTTGGGGGGAGGAGCTGCTCCTGGCACCTAGTGGGTAGAGACGGTGCATACTGCTAAACATCCTACAATACCCAGGACAGCCCCCACTGCAAAGAGTGATCTGGCTGTCACTGTCCATAGAGCAATGGCTGAGAAGTTGTGCTTCAGAGACTTGCTCCAAGCCTGAGGCTCATAAGGGGCTCAAGCCAGCCAGGTCTGTCCGTGTCCTAGGCCACGTTCTTTTCAGTGCCCTGTACCACTGCACACACCAGCACCTTGTTTTCCCGGCAAGGTGTGTCATCCCCAGCAGGTGGGTGTCTTCCCTGGGGAGAGCCCAGCACACTTGACAACTGCAGCTGAACAAAGCTTGAGTTTCCTTTGCCCCTTCAAGTCCCTTCTTCTTCTCACCCAACTCCAGATACTGCTTTCAATTCCCAACTGGTTCTAGGAAGCATTCTTCCTCTTCTTCTTCCTCTTCCTCTTCTTCTTCTTCCTCTTCTTCTTCTTCTTCTTCCTCTTCCTCTTCCTCTTCTTCTTCTTCTTCCCCTTCTTCTTGTTCTTGTTCTTGTTCTTCTTCTTCTTTTCTTCTTCTTCCTCTTCCTCTTCTTTTTCCTCTTCTTTTTCCTCTTCTTCTTCCTCTTCTTCCTCTTCTTCTCCTTCTCCTCCTTCTCCTTCCTCTTCCTCTTCTTCTTCCTCTTCCTCTTCTTCTTCTTCTTCTTCTTCCCCTTCTTCTTGTTCTTGTTCTTCTTCTTCTTTTCTTCTTCTTCCTCTTCCTCTTCTTTTTCCTCTTTTTCTTCCTCTTCTTCCTCTTCTCCTTCTCCTCCTTCTCCTTCCTCTTCCTCTTCCTCTTTGTCTTCTTCTTCTCCTTCTCCTTCCTCTTCCTGTTCTTCTTCTTTATTCTTCCTTCTTCTTCCTTCTCCTTCTTCTCCTTCTCCTTCTTCTTATTCTTCTTTTTTTGAGACACAGTTTCACTGTCACCCAGGCTGGAGTGCAGTGGCATGATCTCGGCTCACTGAAACCTCCACCTCCCGGGTTCAAGCGATTCTCCTGCCTCAGCCTTCTGAATAGCTGGGATTACAGCCACATGCTACCACGCCTGGCTAATTTTTGTATTTTTAGTAGAGACAGGGTTTCTTCATGTTGGCCAGGCTGGTCTCGAACTCCTGACCTCAAGTGATCCGCCCACCTCAGCCTCCCAAAGTGCTGGGATTACAAGCATGAGCCACTGTGCCCAGCCACATTTCTTCTTATTTATAGAATCTCAAGTTTGTTGGGAAGGGCCTATCCAAGTGGCTTAGCCAGCCAGGCAGGCCCTCTGCAGGGAGCTTTGAAGATGCCATCTCAATTAATCCTTGCAACAACACTGCAAGGCTCATGCTGTTATTTCCTGCCCTTTACAGAGGTGGAGACAGAGGCTTACAAAGGTTAAGTGAATTCCCACAGGCACACAGCTAGGAAATGCTTGAGCTGGGACTAGAACCTAGGGCTATGTGATTGCAGAGGCTGGAGTCAACATCACCTGCCAAGGACCCTTCCAATCTCTCTTGAACACTTCCAGGAGATGGAGAACCAACCAACAAGAATGATCTATTTCTCCCTTGCTGGCCACCAGACCAATAACAAGAGTCAATTTCCCGCACAGCCCAACTGGTAGATATTCTGGGATGCTGAGGGATTTGGCACCAAAGGGGCTCCAGAATTTGTGTCATAAGTGCTGATGGGAGCTTGAGATTGTGGAGGAAATGGATCCAGAAGGTTTCGGATGGAGGGGTAGGAGTGCAGGGAGGAAATATGGTATTGGATAAGGGAGAGTTTATCATTCAGGAGCACTGTCCTGGGATACAGGCTCAAACACCCTGGCATTTCCCCAGGAGATGATGCTCACATGCTCCCAGGAGGGCAGCTTGGAAAAACGCTGGTGCAGACCAAGTGTGGTAGAAACGTCAGATCTGCCCCTGAAGCCCATGGAGGAAGGAAGCAAAGACCTAGAGAGGCAGGCCTGCAGGAATGAAGTGAAAAAACCCACCCGGCAAGTCCATTCTGCCAAAGAGCCCAGAAGATGCTCTATTTTCCAAACCCTTAAGACATGTGTGGGTGACAATTTCAGGGGTGGGAGCTGGCCTCTGTAGACCCGGGCTAATGATGGGAGATGCTGCTCCTGGCCTGGACTGGGCTCCCAGATAGGAGAAGGACTGCTAAGGTTGGCTGAGACAAAAGGTGGTTCCTTCCCTGGCATGGGGCACGGTGCCACCCAGACAAAGTTGGAGATTATTAGCAAAGAAGAAGGCAATGACTGTTGGATAGTCGGCCAATGAGAACTTCTTCAGTACTGTTTTTTTCCTGGTTGTTTTTGCAAGCACAAGTGGCAACATACAGTGCATATGGCTCTACCACTTGCTTTTGCACCCCAAAATTAATAGCATGATCTACCTTAAAAATAAACCCTGTAGCTTCTACTTCATAGAATGACTATACTGTGGTTTATTGATCAGTTCCCTTTTTGAGGGGCATTTAGGGTGTTTCCAACTTACTGCCATTCAGAGCAAAGTTTTGATAAATATCCTCATGCACATGTGTACGTGTTTCTCTGGCGCAGACAAAAGTGAAATAGCTCAGTCAGTGGGTGTATGCAATTTCACTTTAATAGAGATCCTGAATTTCCCTCCAAAAAGGCTATATCAGTTTATAATCAGTTTATAATCCCATTTCCTTACACTCTTCCCAACCCTTGATAACATCACACTTCCAAATGTGTATTTCATAACCAGTGAGGCTAAAGTTTTTTTCATATGTTTACTGACCATCTGTTTTTCCTCTTTGGTGAACTGCCCATTTCTGTCCTTTGCCTGCTGTTGTATTGGGTAGTTTGTCTTTTTAAAAATGAATCTGTAGTAGTTCTTTATATATTTTGAGCACCAATCTTTTGCCTGTATAAACTACAGATATTTTCTCCTGTCCTGTCACTTGCTTTTCAACTTGGTTTCTGATTTTTCTTCTTCTTGTTGTTGAGGTGATGTATACTTATAAAACTTCTAACAGCAATTCTTGGCATATAGTTAGCATTCAACAAGTAGTGGGATGACACTAGCTAGTGTGTATTAAAGGATTCCCCCATGCAAAGCAGGGCCAGGACTAGGGTGAAGCAAGCCAGACAAAATTTAAGGGAGCGTTAACAAACTTGGTAATTAAGATAAAGTATTTGTAATGCAATATTTACCAAAATCGAAATGAATACAAAAATCCATGACAAACAAAATGGCTTTTTTTTTTTTTTTTTTTTTTTAGACAGGATATTGCTCTGCTGCCCAGGCTGGAGTGTGGTGGTGCAATCTCGGCCCACTTCAACCTCTGCCTCCTGGGCTCAAGAGATCCTCCCACCTCAACCTCCCAAGTAGTTGAGATTACAAGCATGTGCCACCATGCTTGGCTAATTTTTTTTTTTTTTTTTTTTTTTGAGTTGGAGTCTCGCTCTGTCGCCAGGCTGGAGTGCAGTGCTGCGATCTTGGCTCACTGCAACCTCCACCTCCCAGGTTCAAGCAATTCTCCTACCTCAGCCTCCCGAGTAGCTGAGTGCACCACCACGGCCAGCTAATTTTTGTATTTTTTTAGTAGCGATGGGGTTTCACTATGTTGTCCAGGCTGGTCTCAAACTCCTGGACTCAAGTTATCCACCTGCCTTAGCCTCCCAAAGTGTTCGGATTACAGTGTGATATGGTTTGACTGTGTCCCAACCCAAATCTCAACTTGAATTGTATCTCCCAGAATTCCCACGTGTTGTGGGAGAGACCCAGAGGGAGGTAATTGAATCATGGGGGCCAGTCTTTCCCGTGCTATTCTCGTGATAGTGAATAAGTCTCACGAGATCTGATGGGTTTATCAGGGGTTTCTGCTTTTGCTTCTTCCCTCATTCTTTCTTGCGGCCACCATGTAAGAAGTGCTTTTCGCCCTGCACAATGATTCTGAGAAATTCCCCAGACATGTGGAACTGTAAGTCCAATTAAACCTCTTTTTGTTCCCAGTTTCGGGTGTCTTTAGCAGCAGTGTGAAAACCTAATACAACAGGTGTGACCCACAGTGCTTGGCCCAAAATACCAGCATTTTATTATTTATTTATTTATTTATTTAATTTATTTTTTTGAGACGGAATCTCACTCTGTCGCCCAGGCTGGAGTGCGGCGGCGTGATCTCGGCTCACTGCAAGCTCCGCCTCCCGGGTTTACGCCATTCTCCCGCCTCAGCCTCCCCAGGAACTGGAACTACAGGAGCCCGCCACCACGCCCGGCTAATTTTGTTTTAGTATTTTTAGTAGAGACGGGGTTTCGCTGTGTTAGCCAGGATGGTCTCCATCTCTTGACATCGTGATCCGCCCACCTCGGCCTCCCAAAGTGCTGGGATTACAGGCGTGAATCACCGCACCCGGCAAACAACATTTTATTTTTATTTATTTATTTGTTTATTTATTATTTTGAGTTGGGGTCTCACTCTGTCGCCCAGGCTGGAGTGCAGTGGTGTGATCTTGGCTCACTGCAACCTCTGCTTCCCGGGCTCAAGCTGTCTTTCAGCCTCAGTCTCCCAAGTAGCTGGGACCACAGGTGTGAGCCACTATGCCTGGCTAATTTTTGTATATTTTGTAGAGACAGGGTTTTGTCATGTTGGCCAGGCTGAGTCAACCATGTTGGCCAGGTTTTGCCATGTTTTCCATGTTGACCAGTCTCTGACTCCTGAGCTCAAAGTGATCCGCATGCCTTGGCCTCCCAAAGTGCTGGGATTACAGGTGTGACCCACTGCTCCTGGCCACCAACATTTTAAATAAAGTGCTTTCCATGTATTGACTTGCTTAATCCTCATAAAAACTCTAAGAAAGATGGGGAAACTGAGGCACGGAGGTATGTATTAACTTGTTCAAGATTATGAGGCTGATCAGTAATAGCTGGGGTTTGAACCTATGCCACCTGCCTCCAGAGCCTTTGCTGTTTATCATGCAACTTTGGGCAAATCACCTACCTTCTCTAGGCTTCAGCTTCCTCATTTGCTGTTCCCTCATTGCCATTCCTCTTAAAGATAGTATTACCTGCCCTACCTACCTCCGATGGTTGTGAGGCTTAAATGAGATACTATATTGCTAAAGGGATTTTGCAAACTGTAAAGTACTGTGTACATGGAAGGGAGAACAACAGAGAGATCAACAGGGTCTTGGAGCCAGCCTGCTTGGATTCACCACCCAGCTCTGACATGTTAACAGATTGACTGGTTTTATGGCTACTGACTTAGCCTTTCTGTGCCTCAGTTTCTTCATCCGTAACATGGTGATAATACTAGTCCCTACCTTGTGGGATTGTGGAGAAAGTTAAATGAATTTATGTTTGTAAAAGCTAAGAAGAGTGCAGACACAAGCTTAATGCTATATAAATGTTTGCTTCTGTTTTTGTCTTTTACTTAACTTGTGAGACTGAGCGCCTTTGTCCCTTTGGGAACTGATTTTGTCTGGGCCTAGCTTCTGGGGGCTTTCTTTAAAAACACCACCATGAGGCCTGGGGAGATCAGGCTTCTGGTCACACATAGATGCAGAGAGTTTGTAAGTGCTTCTGGGTGGCCAGACCCAGCTGAGCAGTGGTTCCATGGTGGGGGTATTTGGCTCACTAAGGGTGGCCTGGCCAGCGCCTGGGGGTGTGCCAGGCTTCTGTTCTTAGCTTTGGCTGTGCAAGTGGCCCACTGCCAGGAGAAGGAAGTGAGAAGCCCAATCTCTGGATGACCAGTGCTAGGGTACATCAGAGCACCTGCGTGTGACTGGCCTTACCACGGAGGCTTCCAGAATTTCTTACACTAATGAATAAACTTTACTTTTAAGAGCAGTTTTAAGTTCACAGCAGAATTGAGTGGAAAATAGAATTTCTGTAGAAATTTTCAACATACCCCCATCCCTACATATTCACAACCTCCCCTACTACTGACATCCTGCACCACAATAATATATTTGCTACAACTGATGAACCTACATTGACACATTATTATCACCCATCATTATCCCCCGGAGTCCATAGTTTACATTAGGTTTCGGGATTGCACATTCTATGGGTTTTGACAAACATATAATGGCATGTATCCACCATTATGGTATCACACAGAACAATTTCACTGCCTTAAAAATCCTCTGTGCTCCAACTATTCATCTCTCCCTTTTCTCTAACCCCTGGCAACTACTAATCTTTTTACAGTCCCCATAGTTTTGCCTTTTCCAGAATGTCATGTCGTTGAAATCAGACAGGATGTAGCCTTTCAGACTGAAAGACTTCTTTTGCTTAGTAATATGCATTTAAGTTTCCTCCATGTCTTTCCACGGCTTGATAGTGCCCCCACCCCCGACCCCTGTTTTTAAAGTTTCTGGTCTGAAGGTGTCACAGTTTATTCATCCATTTGCCTATTGGAGGACATCTTGGTTGCTTCCAAGATTTTGGCAACTATGAATAAAGCTGCTATAAACATGATGTACAGGTTTTTGTGTGGAAATACGTTTTCAATTCCTTTGGGTAAATACCAAACAGTGTGATTGCTGGATCATATGGTAAGAGTAGGTTTAGTTTTGTAAGAAACTGCCAACCTGTCTTCAGAAGTGGCTGTGCCATTTTGCATTACTACTAGCAATGAATGAGAGTTTCTGTTGCTCCACATCCTTGCCAGCATTTGGTGTTGTCATCTTCCACTTTTAAACCAAAGCTCTACTATACCCATATTTTCTTCATCCATTCATTCATGTATTCGCTGTCATGTACTTATTCAAGAGATATTTATTAAGCGCCTGCAATATGCCACACACACTCTTTTAGGTGCTGGACCTACGACAGTGAAACAGGACAATGTTTGTACCAGGGCTGTATCTGTTATATCCAAATGACCTATAGTGATGATGATGATAGTGGCTAGTATTAGACTCCTTATTATGCTCTTCTTTATATGCGTTAACTCATTTACTCCTCAAACATCCCTAAAAGTGGTACTACTATATTTATCCCCATTTTATAGATGAGATAACAAAAGCAGAGAGAGGTTGAGTAATTTGCCTGAGGTCACACAGCTAGGTATAATGGACCTGGGGGTCCAACACAGGTGGTCAGGCTCTTTCATGCATGGACATTATCCAGATTTAAAACCCAGGATTTAGGCCAGGTGTAGTGGTCTTGAACCCCTGATCTCAAATGATCCATCCACCTCTGCCTCCCAAAGTGCTAGGATTACAGGCATGAGCCACCGTGCCCTGCCGGTTTATTTGTCTTTTTACTATTGGGTTGTATTCTTTAGATATTCTGGATATAAGCCCTTTATCACATATGATTTGCAAATATTTCCTCCCATTCAGTTGCTTGTCTTTTAACTTTCTTGATAGTGTCCTTTGAAACACAAGTGTTTAATTCTGATGAAGTCCAATGTATCTATTGTTTTTCTTTAGTCATTTATATTTTTTGACATCATATGTAACAAGGCCTTGCTTTACCCAAAGTCACAAATATTTATTCCAATGTTTTCTTCTAAGAAGTTTATAGTTTTAGTTCTTATCCTTAGGTCTGTGATCCACTTTTAGTTATTGTTTGCATATGATGTGATGAAGGAGTCCAAACTCATTGTTTTCACGTGACCACTTATTGAAAAGATTATATTGTCACATCAAACTATTTTGGTTCCATTGTAATAAGTCAACTGACTATAAATGTAAGGGTTTATTTCTGTCCTCTTAATCTGTTCCATTGACTTATCTGTCTATCCTTATGCCAACGCCACACTGTCTTGATTATTGTGACCTTATAGTAAGTTTTAAAATCAGGAATTGTGAGTTTTCCAATTTTGTTATTTGTCAAAGTTGTCTTGGCTGTTCTGGGTTGCTTATATTTCCACATGAATTTTAGGGTCAGCCAACTAAAAAGAAACCAGCTGGGATTTTTTTTTTTTTTTTTTTTAGACGGAGTTTTGCTCTGTCGTCCAGGCTGGAGTGCAGTGGTGATCTCGGCTCACTGCAAGCTCCGCCTCCTGAGTTCACGGCCGTTCTCCTGCCTCAGCCTCCCGAGTAGCTGAGACTACAGGCGTCCACCACCACGCCTGGCTAGTTTTTTGTATTTTTAGTAGAGACGGGGTTTCACCGTGTTAGCCAGGATGGTCTGGATCTGCTGACCTCGTGATCTGCCCACCTCAGCCCCCCAAAGTGCTGGGATTACAGGCCTGAGCCACTGCGCCCGGCCCCAGCTGGGAGTTTTATAGGAATTGCTTTAAACCTGTAGATTAGTTTGGGGAGTATTGCTACATTGATAATATTAAGTCTATCAGTCCATGAAAATGCAATGACTTTCCTTTTATTTCGGTCTTCTTTAATATTTCAACAGTGTTTTCAAGTCTTCACAGCATAAGTTTTGTACTTCTGTAAATTTATTCCTAAGTATTTTATCCTTTTTGATGCTATTGTAAAATGAATTGTTTGCTTAATTTTATTTTCTGATTTTTCATTGACACTTCATAGAGATAAATTTTTGTATGTTGATCTTATATCCCACAGCTTTGCTAAGCTTGTTTATTAATTCTAACAATTTTTAGTGGATTCCATGCCATTTATAATATACAGGATCAAGACATCTGAAAGTAGAATAAAATTTTATGTCTTCCTTTCTAAACTGGATGCCTTTTCCCCCTTATGTAATTGCCCTGGCTAGAATGTCCAGTACAATAATTAATAGATGCAATGAGAGCAGACATCTTGTCTTGTTGCTAATTTTAGGGGGAAAGCATTCATTCACCATCAAGTATGATGTTAGCTGTGGGATTTTTTACAATGCCCTTTCTATTTGTGGTTTTGATCATGAAAAGACAATGGGCCAGGCACGGTGTCTCATGCCTGTAATCCCAGCACTTTGGGAGGCCAAGGTGGACAGATACCTGAGGTCAGGAGTTTAAGACCAGTCTGGCCAACATGGTGAAACCCCGTCTCTACTAAAAAAATACAAAAAGTAGCTGGGCGTGGTGGCATGTGCCTGTAATTCCAGCTGCCTGGAGGCTGAGGCAAGAGAGTCGCTTGAACCCGGGAGGCTGAGAGGTCGCAGTGGGCCAAGATTGCATCACTGCGCTTCAGCCTGGGTGACAGAGCAAGACTTCATCTAAAAAAAAAAAAAAAAAAAGGACAACCCAACTGAAGGATGGACAAAGAATTTGAATAGACACTCCTTTAAAGAAGATATACAAATGACCAATAAGCTTATGAAAAGATGATTAAATTTATTATCACTGGGAAAATGCAAATTAAAGCCACAATGAAATACCAGTCCACACCCACTAGTGAGGATAAAATAAAAGACAGATAATAACAAGTGTCAGTGAGGCTGTGGAGAAGTTGCAGTCCTTATATATTGCTGGCAAAAATGTAAGATACCACAGCCACTTTGGAAAACAGTTTGGCAGTTCCTCAAAATATTAAGCATAGAATTGCCATTTAACCCAGCAATTCTACTCCTAGGTATATATACCCCAGAGACACAAAAATATACATACACATAGAAACTTCATAGAAACATGAAGATTCTCTCTTTTTTTTTTTTTTTTTTTTTTTTTGAGACGGAGTCTCACTGTGTTGCCCAGGCTTGAGTGCAGTGGCGCGATCTCGGCTCATTGCAAGCTCCACCTCCTGGGTTCACGCCATTCTCCTGCCTCAACCTCCCGAGTAGCTGGGACTACAGGCGCCCGCCACCACACCCGGCTAATTTTTTGTATTTTTAGTAGAGACGGGGTTTCACCGTGTTAGCCAGGATGGTCTTGATCTCCTGACCTCGTGATCCGCCTGCCTCCGCCTCCCAAAGTGCTGGGATTACAGGCGTGAGCCACCGCGCCCAGCAACATGAAGATTCTTAACAACATAATTCATAATACCCCAAACCTGGAAGCAATGCAAATGTCCATCAATTGATGGTTGTCTAAACAAAATGTATATCAAAATAATGGAATATTCTTTAGCTGTAAAAAGTTATAAAGAACTGATACATGCTGTAGCATGGATGAAGCTTGAAGACATCATGTTAAGTGGAAGAAGCTCGTCATAAAAAACATATTGTATGATGATCTGTATGATATATACAGAATAGGGGAGTGCATAGAGACAGAAAGTAGATTAGTAGTTGTCTAGGGCTGGGGGTGGGGGTGGGGAAAGGAGCATGGGTAGAGATGGGGATGGGGTTTCTTTTGAGAGTGATGAAAACATTCCGAAATTAGATTGTAGTGATGGTTGCACAACTACAAGAAACCATTGAATTGCACACTTAAAGATGAATTGTAGGCCAGGTGCTGTGGCTTACGCCTGTAATCCCAGCACTTTGGGAGGGCAAGGTGGGCAGATCATAAAGTCAGGCGTTTGAGACCAGCCCGGCCAATAGGGTGAAACCCCGTCTCTACTAAAAGTACAAAAATTAGCTGGGCGTCGTGGCAGGTGCCTGTAGACCCAGCTACTCAGGAGGCTGAGGCAGGAGAATCCCTTGAACCCGGAAGGCAGAGGTTGTAGTGAGCTGAGATCGTACCATTGCACTCCAGCCTGGGTGACAGAGTGAGACCCTGTCTCAAAAAAAAAAAAAAAATGAATTGTATGTAAATTCTATCTCAATAAAACTGTTAAAAATAAGTTAATAAATAAGGACAGTAGATACAAAGGCCAAAAATATGAGGGAGGAGTTATGATAAAAACCACCTGTCAATTGAACTTAAAAGCAAGTTTATTAAAAGGAGCATTTTAAAAAGCAATTGTTGGAAAGGATTTATTGCTGGGTTTAAATTCTTTTTTTATTATGGAAAAATGTTAAATGTACACCACAGTAAAGGGAAACATATAACAAAGCAGTCTCCATCACCCAGTCCAACAATTATCAACTCATGGCCCATCTGGTTTTCGCTATACTCCTACCCACTCCCCCACGCTGAATATTTGAAGCAAGTCCCAGAATCATGTTGTTTCATTATTGCAGAAATATTGTGAGGATATCGTCCACATGTCCCATGTCTTCCTCACAAAGACCTGTGGGTAGAGTTGCTTTTTAATCTCTGTATTGAGAAAAGAAGCTTTTTTTTTTTTTTTTTTTTTTTTTTTTAGCAATGGTTTGCTCTCTTTGCTTAGATATTACACTTAGTATTTAGTCATAGATTCCCCTTCTGCTATCATTACTAGGATTCTCAGAGACAATTTGGCAGCTGGACACCTTAAAGGTCCTTATAGTAGGCAGTTTTGTGAACCAGCTAAATGTCTCGCTTTATTTCATTTTCTTACCTGTGGCAGAAATGACTAGTGGCCTATGTATTATCCATTTGCCCTTCTTTCCTAGTAAATAAGCCCTGAACTTTATTTGGGGTGGCATCAGGCACAACTAAGAGATTACATTTCTCAGCCTCCTTTGTAGCTAGGACTACATTCTGGCCAATTATATGTAAGCTGAAGTTTTGGGCTGGAACTTCCAAAATGATCCTTAAAGAAAACTGGGATTACAGGATTTTTTCATTTCCTTCTTCTTGCTGCCCGAAATGTGGCTGCAATAGCTGGAGCTCCTGCAGTCATCCTGCAGCACGAGGTGGACTTTAGGATGGAGGCCACATTCTAAGGATAGTGAGGCAGGATGATAGAAAGAGATCGTATCCTCAATTTTGTGGAGCTACCACATCAGCTCTGGGTTTCCTCTCTCTAGATTTCATTTGTGTAAGAGAAAAATAAACATCTGTGGTGTTTATGCCACTGTTATTCCTGGTCTCTCTTACCAGCAGCTGAACACAATACCAATCGGATATACTACTCCTTATTTTTCCTTCTCCTTGACCACCTCATGTATTGATTTCAAGGTGTATATATTTGTATAAACCACTTTGAGTCCTTTGTGGACTTAGAGTCAAAATGAATAATTTATTAAACTACAGCATTACACAATTGAGCACATGGGTTCTTATTTCAAAGAACAGCAACAGAAAACATTTGCAGACAAAAAGTTAAACTGTGTCTTGTGATTCACAAAACTGAAGTTTGAATCAGGAAGGAAATCCATGGCTTATTACCAGAAAGATGGGCACCACATGGAAATTCAATTTCCAGCAGAGTGAGTTTTTAACATTTGAAAAGCTGAACAAAAATGGACCATATGTCCCACCATGGAGGAAGAGTTAGGCCAGCCATAGTGTATTAAAACAAAGGAATATCAGATTGCAACTAGGAATGACAAATATGACCATGATGTAGAAATAAGGGTAGAGGCTCTGTAAAGTAACAGGAAGGGGAAAGATAGGACTTGGCCTGGTGCCCATGCCTGCTTTGTCACCACTGTGCATAATTATGTCTCTGGCATTTTTAGGATCAGAAGAGGTTACATAGTTATCAATAATTGGTGATTTGGAGGGGAGTAAGGGTCTTATTTCATGGAGCTGTTGATAATTTAGTGTTTCCATTTAATGCAGGCATATTGACGAGTTGACAGATGTACCCAGAGGTGATATTAAAAATATGTAGCATGAATGAGACGCTAATCATAAACAGAATACAGGAGGCCCTGCTAGACCTGGTGTTAACCTTTTAGGTGCTAGATAGTAGAATGAGCTAGAGGATTCCAACAGACGAGTTGGGTGCATTCTGGAGAGCCACAGAGCATGTGGGAGATTCAGAACAGTACTGTTTATCAACTATTATGAATGTATTTCAGTATTTAAATAACCAGTATAACTACACTGGTCCCAAGTGAATACCAGCTTTGATTATAGATAAGTTTAAACATTTTTTTCTTAGGTAAAGAACGTAAAAGGGAAAACAGATTTAAATATGTGTATGGAAGATGAAACTGCAAAATAATAATGACTTTTTCTTTTGGAGCACGTATTGTACTAAACACTTCATGTAATTCACCATCTCATTTAATCCTCGCAATAGCAGCCCTTCAAAATGGTCTCTTGGTTACAAGTGACTACAACCCAAGTCACAATGGCTTGAGCAAAGAAGGGTACCTACTACAATATGTAACTGAAAAGTCTAGTGGGATTCAGGCATGGCTGAATCCAGGGGCTCAAAGATGTCACCGGAACTCAGTTTTCCTCTTCCTGCTTCACCGCTCTGCTTTCCCTGGCACTGATTTTACTCACAAGTGAGTTTTCTCTCCAGCGGGTGGCTTGGGAGCCTCAATACTTCCATTATCCTTCTAATAATATCAACATACAGAAAGCTTTTCATTTCTAATCATCCCAATAAAGGTTCAGGATTGAATCTCATTAGATTGAGTTGGGTCACATGCCCATCCCTGAACCACATGCTATGAGTGGTTCTGGAATGCTGTTGGATGTTCTGATTGGCCAGGCCTAAGTCACACGTCCATCTCTGGATCTGGGATAGGTCAACACTTCCTAAAACACATGGAAGGAAGGTGTGGTAGGGCAGATGCCAGAGAGTTGCCAGAAAAAGGGGAATGTGGCCGGGCGCGGTGGCTCATGCCTATAATCCCAGCACTTTGGGAGGCTGAGGCGGATGGATCACAAGGTCAGTAGATCAAGACCATCCTGGCTAACACAGTGAAACCCATCACTACTAAAAATACAAAAAATTAACTGGGTGTGGTGGCACGTGCCTGTAATCCCAGCTACTCGGGAGGCTGAGGCAGGAGAATCGTTTGAACCAGGGAGGTGGAGGTTTCAGTGAGCCGAGATCGTGCCACTGCACTCCAGCCTAGGCAACAGAGTGAGACTCCATCTCAAAAAAAAAGAAAAAGGGGAATTCTGGGCAAAGTATCAGGTGTCTACTAGAAGAGGTCTCATTTTATTAGCAAAGAAAATGAGGCTACTGCATGTATACTTTTTGTGGCTATGCAAGGAGAGCAGCCTGGCTGGAGCAGAGTGAACGAAGGGGAGACTAGGAGGTCAGTGAATAACTGGGGTTGGGGCAGGGTGCATGTTGGGTAGGGCCTTGTGGGCTATTGTAAGAACTTGGGCTTTTTTTGTGTGTGAGACAGAGTCTCACTCTGTTGCCCAGGCTGGAGTGCAGTGGTGTGATCTGAGCTCACTGCAACCTCCGCTTCCTGGGTTCAAGCGATTATCCTGCCTCAGCCTTCCAAGTAGCTGGGATTATAGGCATACACCACCATGCCCGGCTAATTTTTGTATTTTTAGTAGAGATGGAGCTTCGCCATGTTGGCCAGGCTGGTCTCAAACTCCTGATCTCAGGTGATCCGCCCGCCTCAGCCTCCCAAAGTGCTGGGATTATAGGCGTGAGCCACCACGCCTGGCTCAGAACTTGGGCTTTTGTTCTGAAGAACTTGGGCTTTTGTTCTGAGTGAGGAGCTTTTAGAGCAGAGGAGTCAAATGATTTGTTGTAGGTTTTAAAAAGGATCACTCTAGTTGCTCTATTGTTCAAATGTAAAATGTTTTATTGCTGTCTCTAATCTTTCGTATTTATTAATGTAACAAATATGAAATGGACATGGGGCCTACACCAGGCCAATCAGTGTAGCCCATTTCCCTGCCCAGTGATTGTATCAGAGATCAGCATGTGACCCACACTGATCCAGCTAGAGCCAGTTTAAGCATTTCTATTACTATTGGGAGAAAAGAAACCCAACTGGTGTTGCTAAGCTATTTTGCCACTGAGAGCCACCACTGAGTTAGAATCTAACTGAGGCTGGCACAAAGAGTGCAGAAAAAAGTGCTGAGGGAAAAGAAAGTCTGATCTTGGTGATGTTCTTTGACTCCTAGATCTATCCATGCCTGAAGTCATTCTAGACCTGGATTTCTCTATTCCGTGAGTTAATATATCATACTTTTTTTTCTTTCTTTTTTTTTTTTTGAGATGGAGTTTCGCTCTTGTTGACCAGGCTGGAGTGCAATGGCACGATCTTGGCTCACTGCAACCTCCACCTTCTGGGTTCAAGCAATTCTCCTGCCTCAGCCTCCTGAGTAGCTGAGATTATAGGCATGTGAATCACCACGCCTGGCTAATTTTGTATTTTTAGTAGAGAGGGGGTTTCACCATGTTGGTCAGGCTGGTCTTGAACTCCTGACCTCAGGTGATCCACCCGTCTCAGCCTCCCAAAGTGTTGGGATCACAGGTGTGAGCCATTGCGCCCGGCCTATATATCATACTTTTCAATGAAGCCTTTTTGAGCTGAGTTGCTAATACTTACAACTGAAAGAATCCTGAATGAGGTGACAGGTAGACTGAGCCCCACTACATGCTTGGGTCCAGATTCAGATACCCCAATGGTTCTGACTGGGTTCTGGTTCCCAAAGAGCTCATGGTTAAGTGATGGAAATAGATAAAGACCCTGTAAAAATAAAAGATGGTAAATATTGTGCCTCTTTACCTGCTTCCATCTAGATTATAGACTTGTTTTGAGCAATGATAGTCTTTTCCCCTTTTCATCTTCCCAAGAATATTTAGGCCATAATGGAGCTGTTTGGGGAGTGCTCCCTAAATAGTGCCTAAGAGTTTGCTTGAGGATGTGACTTCCAACAAGAAAATGTTAAAAATCCAGGGTGACTGGGAAACCTACCTGCCTCCCAGGCGAGATCACACATCCAAGAGTCGCCCTCAACCACCACCCATCCCACAGACCCCTTGCTGGCAATTAATCAGGAAGATAAAAAGAGAAAACAAGCAAAGCTCTATTCCCTTTCTTTGGTTCCAAGGAGCAGTTTGTTTGATAAGATAAGCACTTGGCCACCTCTTGCCATCTTTTATGTTGCATTGGGTTTCATTTGTGTCCTCCAAAGGGCGGATCCCACAGACAGAACTGTCTCCAGAGGGCTCTGGTTGGCTCCCGTCCTGCCCACCTGAGGCTGGGTGGATGAGAAAAACACTTCTCCAACCTCAGTCTTAACAGCAGTCTTGGGTGGGAGCCTGCTGGGGAAAGAACTTCCTGACCCCTGGACTGGGGATAGGATTACAGGATCTATCACCCCCATCTGCCACCTTGGCCTCCCCAAAAGTCGTGTGTTTGTGTGGAGGGAGAGGAGGAAGGGCCCCAATGACTCACTCAAGTCCCTTGGGGTGAGAGAGCACAGGAGGTGAATCTGCCAAGTTATTACGAACCATCTGATCAGGCCACTCCCTCGTTCCCATGTCAGGCATCGGAGGCTCTGCATAACCAACCCCCAGGTGAACGGTCCAGCATTCCCCTATGCCTTTCTCCTCCAGGAGCCTGAGCTTGAATCCTTCCCAGTCTCTTCTCCACACCAGCTGGGCATGTTCCAAACACCCCGCCTTGGCCTTTGCTGTGCCTTCTGCCCGTCGTCCCTTTCTTCCCAGCCTTGCTTAGCAATGTCCTATTTGTTCGGCTCACCTGTCGCCTCGTGACACCCTCCAAACCCAATCCCTCCCCACTTCTTCCCTTACCCTGCACTGAAACACGTCAGACTTCTCTCCTGTGCCTTTTTCAAACTCCATTAAAGGGCTTCTCCAGTTTTGCTATTTGAAACACGCTTTTGAGAACTTGAATGTTTAGCTGCATACCCAGATTCAGTCCCCTCCAGAGTCATCACACAACGTACACAATACTGATCGCGGCCCTGCTTCTAAGCCACTTACCGCCCTGACTGTGCCCTCTTAGATGCCCAGGAAGCCACTCTTCTGTGGTCACTCTGGCACCAGCTTGTGGTCATGTCACACCTTTCCCTAAACAGCTTAGCTCAAGTCCCTGCACAGCCCAGCGTCTGCCAGCTGCTCAGCCTTCTCCTTTCCTCCTCACAGTCATCCTTACCCTGCTGCCCTCCTTTCTGTGTCTACAATGCCCAGCCCTCTCCAGCTTCAATGCTTTCGCACCCGCCGTTCCCTCTGCGGGGATCTCTCTTCCCTTGTTCTTCAGCTGCTTCCCACTTGGCCTTCAGGTTTTGGCTGGAATGTTCATTCCCCAAGAAACCTTCCCTGACACCCAGTCTGAATGAAGCCCCCTGAGCGCACACTCATGTCACACCGGATGCTGCTGAAGACTGTAGTATTTGTCACTGTTCCCACTTCATGTGAGAGTACGTTCTTTCTCCTTTCGCTCAGTCTTACCCATTTTCTGGGAAGATGGCTAAGACCTGTGTCCTCCCCAAACTCTGATCAGGGATACTAGCTTCTGGCTGAGCTCTCTGTCAAGGGACAGCTTTGAGACAGACAGATAATAAAACTCCCCATGGGTACCCAAGGCTTACACTAGCACATCCCACCATCTTTTCTTTTCTTTCTTTTTTTTTTTTTGAGACACAGTTTCACTCCCGTTGCCCAGGGTGGAGTGCAGTGGTGTGATCTCGGCTCACTACAACCTCCACCTCCTGGGTTCAAGTGATCCTCCTGCCTCAGCCTCCCCCGTAGCTGGGACTATAGCCGTGTGTCACCATGCCCAGCTAATTTTTGTATTTTTAGTAGAGACCGGGTTTTACCATGTTGGTCAGGCTGGTCTCAAACTCCTGACCTCAAGTCATCTGCCTGCCTTAGCCTCCCAAAGTGCTGGGATTACAGGTGGGAGCCACCATGCCTGGCCACATCCTGCCATCTTATTAAACTGCTTCAAGAGAGGCTCCTGGTTTCTTTGGCTTAATTGTAAGTGACCTGAGGGTGAAGGTCTTTCCTCCTCTTCATCATGTCTCCCAAACTCCCGCCACAACGCTAGTCATAGTGAACACTCTCCTAAATCACACGACACCACCCACCCCCTACACACACACACACACACACACACACACACACACACACACACACACACGGACACCCCTCCTCTGTGGTCCCAAAGGATAAATGTAGGGGGCTGATAACAACAGGTTTTGTGGTGCAACCTCTTGTGCTTTTATAGAGGCAGCTCACTGTAAATCAAAAGAATTTTTGGAAAGTCGTGGGTTCGAATTCTGGTTCAGCTATGTAAGAGGTGGGTGATCTTGGATAAGCATTTTAACCCCAGATTCCTCATTTATAAAATGGTGACCCCAAATGCCTAATTGTAGAGTCCATATAATAATTACATGACTAGATGCTTATAATTGTCAGGTACAAATACATGTAGAATGATCTCATTGTATTAAGTAAACGTTTCTGACCTGGGTGTGGTAGCATGCCTGTAGTCCCAGCTACTCGGGAGGCTGAGATGGGAGGATTGCTTGAGCCCAGGAGGTAGAGGCTGCAGTGGGCTGCGATTGCCCCACTGTAATCCAGCCTGGGTGACAGAGCAAGACTGTCTCGGCACCAAGGGGGCAAAATAGCTTTCTCTGTGTGTAAACGCCTGGGAAAAGTGTTTACCTCTAGGGAGTAGGGGGAAGATGGTGGGATGAGGAGCATGGTGACGTATTTTCCGCTGTTGTTGTGCTTTTATATTTTCTTGCTTGAATTTTTATTTTTTTAATTTTTATTTATTTATTTTTTTTGAGACAGAGTCTCGCTATTGTCATCCAGGCTAGAGTGAAGTGGCACAATCTCAGCTCACTGCAACCTCCACCTCCAGGGTTCAAGCTATTCTCCTGCCTCAGCCTCCCAAGTAGCTGGGATTATAGGCGCCCGCCACCATACCGGCTTTTTTTTTTTTTTTTTTTTGTATTTTTACTAGAGACTGGGTTTCACCATGTTGGCCAGGCCGGTCTTGAACTCCTGACCTCAGGTGACCTGCCCGTCTTGGCCTCCCAAAGTGCTGGGATTACAGGAGTGAGCCACTGCACCCGGCCTCTTGCTTGAATTTTTAATAAGACTGCACTCCTGTATTACTTGTTGCTGTAGATTAGACTGCCGTAGAGCAAACATTTCCCTTTTCCTCTTCCATTTCCCTGGAATGAATGGACTTCTCCATCTCATCTTTAGTCTTGGCCATGTGACTTGCTTTGGCCACTGAGATGGCAGTGGACATGAACCAAACAAAGGTTTGAAATGTACAGTGGAGGTGAACTTTTCCCTTGTGTGCCTGGCTTTCATGATACTGAGAACATGCCCTGAGTAGCCCACAAGTCCCAAAGGATGAGTGACACGCAGGGTAGATCAGAGCTGAGTCCAATGGCCAGAGGCCCAGCTGAGCTCATGAGACCAACAGCATCTCCTCAGAAAATCCACAGATCCATGAGCAAGAAATAAATGAGAGTTTGTTATGTAGCCAAAGCTGACTGGTACATGGTGTTATTTTGAAAAGAGAAAAAAAATTAAACAGAAAAAAATAAAATCAGGAAACAGAGTGCCCAGCAAATTGCTGTTGAGTAAATGTTACTTCCTCTTTCATCCTCTTACCCTCCTGAAAGGGCTGACTCAGGAGCCTCCGGAAATACTTCCGGGGCTCTGTTTGAACAGGTTGTCCTTCCTCATGGCACTTTGTACCCATTGCTTATTTTGTTATTTATTTATTTATTTATTTGTTTATTGAGACAGAGTCTCGCTCTGTTGCCCAGGCTGGAGTGCAATGACACGATCTCGGCTCACTGCAACCTCTGCCTCCCAGATTCAAGTGATTCTCCTGCCTCAGCCTCCTGAATAGTTGGAATTACAGGTGCCTGGCACCATACCCGGCTAATTTTTTATATTTTTTAGTATAGATGGGGTTTCACCATGTTAGCCAGGCTGCTCTTGAACTCCTGACCTCTAGTGATCTGCCTGCCTCGGCCTCCCCAAGTGCTGAGATTACAGGCATGAGCTGCCGATCCCGGCCACTTATCTTGTTCTGTCTTGTAAAATACTTAGTTGATCTCAAGCCTGTCTTGCCAACTGGAAGACAATTCCTTCCTTCAAGGAGTGTACAATCTAGTTGCACAAACACTGCAAATATAGAAAGGAATTGCTTTACATGTATATTCAACTTATACGTATCCAACTCTATGTGCTCAGTGAAAAAAAACCACAACATGGTGTGACGCATGTGGATGATTCTGCCCACTGCTCTTGTCTCAGTGAAGGTATGTCACGGAGGAGAACAAGTGAGAGAGGTACCCTGAATCTTTTTTTTTTTTTTTTTGAGACAGAGTCTTGCTCTGCCACCCAGGCTGGAGTGCAGTGGCATGATCTCGGCTCACTGCAAGCTCCGTCTCCCAGGTTCACGCCATTCTCCTGCCTCAGCCTCCCGAGTAGCTGGGACTACAGGTGCCCGCCACCACGCCCGGCTAGTTTTTTGTATTTTTAGTAGAGACGGGGTTTCACCATGTTAGCCAGGATGGTCTCGATCTCCTGACCTCGTGATCCGCCCGCCTCAGCCTCCCAAAGTGCTGGGATTACAGGCGTGAACCACCACGCCCGGCCGAGGTGCCCTGAATCTTGTCAGCCTTTCATAGCCTGAGTATTTTGGTGAGCTGGACCTGACTCTAATGTTTAAAGGTATATATTTTGTGTCTGGTGTGATTACCAAGCACAATTCACAATATAGACTATTATTATCTCCATATTATAGTTAAGAAAACTGAAGCTTAGGAGGGACAAGTAAATTACCCAAAATCATACAGCTTGCAGGAGGTTGAGCCAGGACTGACGCTCCAAGTCTGTCTGAATCCTAAGCTTCCTCAAGCACTTGGATAAAAGAACAGAAGTAAATATGGTTTTTTTTTTTTTTTTTTTTTTTTTTTTGAGATGGAGTCTCACTCTGTTGCCCAGGCTGGAGTGCAGTGCCACAATCTCATCTTGTTGCAACCTCTGCCTCCCGGGTTCAAGTGATTATCATGCTTCAGTCTCTTGAGTAGCTGGGATTACAGGCACCTGCCACTGCACCCAGCTAATTTTTGTATTTTTCATAGTAGAGACAGGGTTTTGCCATGTTACCCAGGTAGGTCTCGAATTCCTGACCTCAAGTGACCTGCCTGCTTTGGCCTCCCAAAGTGCTGGGATTACAGGCGTGAACCACCACGCCCGGCCGAGGTGCCCTGAATCTTGTCAGCCTTTCATAGCCTGAGTATTTTGGTGAGCTGGACCTGACTCTAATGTTTAAAGGTATATATTTTGTGTCTGGTGTGATTACCAAGCACAATTCACAATATAGACTATTATTATCTCCATATTATAGTTAAGAAAACTGAAGCTTAGGAGGGACAAGTAAATTACCCAAAATCATACAGCTTGCAGGAGGTTGAGCCAGGACTGACGCTCCAAGTCTGTCTGAATCCTAAGCTTCCTCAAGCACTTGGATAAAAGAACAGAAGTAAATATGGTTTTTTTTTTTTTTTTTTTTTTTTTTTTGAGATGGAGTCTCACTCTGTTGCCCAGGCTGGAGTGCAGTGCCACAATCTCATCTTGTTGCAACCTCTGCCTCCCGGGTTCAAGTGATTATCATGCTTCAGTCTCTTGAGTAGCTGGGATTACAGGCACCTGCCACTGCACCCAGCTAATTTTTGTATTTTTCATAGTAGAGACAGGGTTTTGCCATGTTACCCAGGTAGGTCTCGAATTCCTGACCTCAAGTGACCTGCCTGCTTTGGCCTCCCAAAGTGCTGGGATTACAGGCGTGAGCCACTGTGCCCTGCCTAAATATGATTTTTACGGTTGGTTGTTACACAACACAAGCTGACATCTGAGAGCAGGGCACTTGGTGGATGTGGGGCAGCCCCATCCACAGTCACCACCCTCAAGTAAGATTGGAACTTTTTCAACTTTTTGAACGGACAAAGGCTCCACGTGACTTTGCAGAAGCCACAGTTTCTCACTGCCAAAGTTGAGGGATCCCAGAAGTTAGTAGTCAGCTGGGAAGCGGATCAGGTGCAGCCATAGAAATCAGACAGTGCAGATTCAAGTCCTGGGCAACTTGAGGCGAGTCACTCAACATTCTGGGCTTTGAAGAGTTGGAGTTGGGAAAGTTGGGGCCTGCTGGCTTGATGTGGCCCACTGGCATGTTTGTTTGTATCGCACATTATTTTTATTTTGTTTTGTTTTAGTTTTTTAAATCAGTATTAAAACAATAAGGTGTGTAATTGTGAAAAAAATAGTCCCTCATACATGGCTGCAGGAATGGATCTTGGTACAACCACTATGAGGGGACAAGTAGGCAAATTCCTTACATATTAGAAATGCACATACAGAAATTCTAATTTGGAGAATTTAGTTACAGATACATTTGCATATGTGAAAAATATATATGTAGGAGGTTATTCAGGCAGCATTGTTTATTTTATTTTACTTTTTAATTTTACGTTAAGTTCTGGGATACATGTGCAGAGTTTGCAGGTTTGTTACATAGGTATACATGTGCCATGGTGGTTTGCTGCACCTATCAACCTGTCATTTAGGTTTTAAGCCCAGCGTGCATTAGGTGTTTGTCCTAATGCTCTCTCCCCGCTTACCCTGCAACTCCCAAAAGGCCCTGGTATGTGTTGTTCCCCTCCTGTATCCATGTGTTCTTGTTGTTCAACTCCCACTTATGAGTGAGAACATGCAGTGTTTGGTTTTCTGTTCCTGTGTTACTTTGCTGAGGATGATAGCTTCCAGCTTCATCCATGTCCCTGCAAAGGACATGATCTTATTCTTTTTTATGGCTGCATAGTATTCCATGGTGTATATGTACCACCTTTTCTTTATCCTATCTATCATTGATGGACATTTGGGTTGGTTCCATGCCTTTGCTATTGTAAATAGTGCTCAGCACTATCAATACCTATGCAGCATTGTTTAAAATGCAACAGTCTAGAAAAACAATCTAAATGGGGGTGGGTTAAATCAAATATGGGTCATCCAACCAGTCAAGGTAGCTCATGCCTGTAATCCCAGCACTTTGGGAGGCCAAAGCAGGAGGACAGCTTGAGCCCAGGAGTTTGAGACTGCAATGAGCCATAATCACACCACTGCACTCCAGCCTGGGCAACAGAGTGAGACCCCGTCTAAAAAAAAAAACAAAACAACAAAAACAAAACAAAACAAAAAAACACTGCAAAAAAATAGATCATCCGTATGGTGGAATACAGCTGTGCAACTGTAAAAATAATGAGGATACATATAGTCTATGTACTAATAAAGAAGATTCTTGGCTGGGTATGGTGGCTCACACCTGTAATTCCAGCATTTTAGGAGGTCAAGGCAGGAGGATCACTTGAGCCCAGCAGTTTGAGACCAGCCTGAGTGACATAGTGAGACCCCCATCTCTACAAATAAAAAAATTAGCCAGGCATGGTGGCACGTGCCTGTAGTCCCAGCTACTTGGGAGGCTGAGGTGAGAGGATTGCTTGAACCCAAGAGGTCGAGGCTGCAATGAGCTCTGTTTGTGCCACTGCACTCCAGCCTGGGTGATAGCGCAAAACTCTGTCTCAAAGAAAAAAAAGAAAAAAAAAGATTCTTTAGGATAGATTATTTAATTAAAAAGCACGGTGTAAAACAATGTGTTTGTTATGCTCTCTTTTATGTAAAATGGGATAAAACACGGAAAAAAGGTATGTTTATGTTACTATTTGTTTGTATAATTATAAAGACACTTTATCCACAATAAATCAGTAATTGTGGTTACCTGTGGAGTGGGAAACTGTAGTAGGAGGGAGACATTTTCTGTACCTTTTCAACTGTTTTGAATTTTGAGTTTTGAAAAGAAAAGTTAAAAAAATCAGGTTTTTCTTACTTTGGGAGGCTGAGGCAGTTGGATCACTTGAGGTCAGGAGTTTGAGACCAGCCTGACCAACATGTTGAAACCCTGTCTCTACTAAAAATACACACAAAAAATTAGCTAGGTGTGGTGACACACACCTGTAATCCCAGCTACTTTGGATTTGGAGGCTGAGGCAGGAGAATCACTTGAACCTGGGAGGCGGAGGTTGCAGTGAGCCGAGATCATGCCATTGCACTCCAGCTTGGGTAACAAGAGCGAAACTCTGTCTCAAAAAAAAAAAATTAAGTGTTTTCCTGTATAGATGATGTAGCATTCCTGCAGGCAAAAGCAGATTGGAGCTGATTAGTGACTGTCTCCTAGAAGGGGTTTGGGTTTTCCTGTTTGCCATAGCTTCCACCACTCCCTCTTGTCTCCCTGGCTCCAAGCACCAGTGTCTGTTACCATTTATCACTTTGTTCACTGTTGTTTTTCTTAGACAGGAGTATAAGAAGTGTTTCAAGAAACTTATATTCATGTCTGTCAAAAGTAGCAAATTTGTTGCATGACAGTGAGAATGTACTGAACACTACTAAACTGTACACTTCAAACAGGTTAATGAGTGGCACAGTGGCTCACGCCTGCAATCCCAGCACTTTGGGAGGCCAAGGTGGTAGGATCACTTGAGGCAAGGACTTCCAGACCAGCCTGGGCAATATGGTGAGACTCCATCTGTACAGGAAAAAAAAAAAAAAAAGGTTAAGATGGTAAATTTTAGGTTATGTGTATTGTACACAATTGTTTTATTTATTTATTTGTTTGTTTGTTTGTTTGAGACAGAGTCTCACTCTGTCACCCAGGCAGGAGTGCAGTGGCACAATCTTGGCTCACTGCAACCTCCACCTCCCCGGTTCAAGTGATTCTCCTGCCTCAGCCTCTCAAGCGATTCTCCTGCCTCAGCCTCTCAAGCGATTCTCCTGCCTCAGCCTCTCAAGTAACTGGGATTACAGGTGCATGCCACCACACCCAGCTAATTTTATATACAATTATTTTTAAAAAGTGGCAGACTCTACACCTGTGGAGAGATGCAAAGATGGATGACTCCTTTGACCAACAAAAGTTCTAGGATGGATTCTCATCCGCCCAGCTTGGCTCAGGTGCCTGGCCTGTGGCCAGTGGAGAGGGAATAGCTGATCTGTGCCTCTTCTAGACATTCCCTGGGGGGCCCTCGAAGGTGTAACTCTGGGGTAGGTGCTTTCAAGGTCTCTCCTGCCTCTATGATTCTGGCACTGCTTCTGCCCCTAACTTGCTGGGTGGCCTTGGACAAACCATGTCCCCTCTCCAAGCCTCTATTTTCCCACCTGTTACATGAGAAACTTGAAGTGGATTGGCTTGCAGGCTCTTCAGCTCCAAGAGCTTCCCACTTGATTTCTCCTTGAACAATTCCTCTGTTCCTGTCTCCAAAGAGAGATTAAGTGGGCTTGAGGCTGGGCTGGGGAGCAGGAGGCCTCCTTTTCTTGTTGGGGTTGTGTGGGCTGCAGTGGGAGGTTCCCTTTTCTTCCTTCCTTACTTTCCTTTTTTAAAATTTCAACCAGAAAGTTATTTTAAACCCTAAGTGGGGAGCTGCTAAAAGTCACACACCTTAGAACTCATGTGCTACAACCTCTTATGGAGGAAGAGCAAGCGATTCTTTTTTTTTGAGATAGGATCTCCCTCTGTTTCCCAGGCTGGAGTGCAGTGGGGTGATCTCGGCTAACTGCAACCTCCACCTCCCAGGCTCAAGTGATCCTCCCACCTTAGCCTCCTAAGTAGCTAGGACCATAGGCAAGTGCCACCATACTTGGCTAATTTTATATTTTTGGGGGTAGAGATGGATTTTTGCCATGTTGCCCAGGCTGGTCTCTAGCGCCCAGACTCAAGCGACCCGCCCACCTCTGCCTTCCAAAGTGCTAGGATTACAGGTGTGAGCCACTGTGCCTGGCCAAGCAGTTCTTAATTCTTGCTGTTCTCTCTTCTCCCCAACCCTCGCCCCATGGGAGGGGCAACCCATCCCATTTATCCTCTGGCTGAGCTGAGTCAAAAAACTGAGAAACTTTGGTGTCCTCTATGACTGCAGTCCTCAGACCACTGCCTCTCCAACTTGCGCCTGCCTGTGGCTCACCTGGACAGCTTGTTAACACACATTCTGCTCCAGTGGTCCTGGGCTGGAGTTCTGCATTTCTAACAGTTTCCCAGACAATGCCCATGAGCAGCCAGGCCTTGAGCCACAGGACCCAGGTTGCTGTTAGCTCAAAAAATCCATCTGGAAAATGGCCTGAAAATCGCTTACCTGCTCCTTCTCATTTTGATTTGGACCTGCTACCCTATTTTAAATAATATTTTTTAAAAAACATTAAAACATGCACAAAGTAAAAAATTAAAAGTTTAGCCAGAGGATCCCTTGAGGCCAGGAGTTTGAGACCAGCCTGGGCAACACAAGGAGAAGATCTTGTCTCTACAAAAACTTTAATAATTAGCCAGGTATGGTGGCACACACTTGTAGTCCCAGCTTCTCAGGAGGCTGAGGTGAGAGGATTGCTTGAGCCGAGGAAGTTGAGGCTTTAGTGAGTTACGATCTCACCATTGCACTCCAGCAGGGCAACAGAGTGAGATCCTGTCTCAAAAAAAAAAAAAAAAAGTTTAACACTTCGAAAAGGGCATACACTGAAAAATTGGTCACCCCTTGTCCCGTCTCCCAGTTTTCCCAGTGCCCAGAGGTAATAGCCCATTATCCATGTTTTTGTGCCTTCTTCCAGGGAGAGTTTGTGCACAATAATTATTATACAGCTGTTCCTTATTGACCATTTCCTACGTCCTAGGCATTGAGAAATGCCTCTTGTGTAGATGACTTTATTTAATTTTTCCAACAAGTCCAATTTTACAGTTAAGGAAACTGGAGCACAGAGAGGTTGAAACTTCGATCTTCATTGCACAGCAAGGGAGGGCCAATACTGGGATGCCAGGCCTCAGGATGCTAAAAGCTCTTGTGGAGGAACTCCCAGTTCAACACCTCTATAGACAGAGCCCCTGCCCACCTCTTTTTGTTTCTTTTGTAACAATCAGGATAGCATATAATGTTCTGAACCTTTCTTTTTCACCCTTAACAGTTTATGCTGAAGAGGGCTCAATTGCAATACATGGAGACCCGTCTTCCTTTGAACAGCTGCCAAAGATTTCTTTGCAAGCACGGACCTGGTTTCTTTAACCAGGGACCTGTGTGGGGGGTAGGAGAAGAAAGGGGTCATTCCAGTTCTTTCTACAAATTTCTGTCAAGCGTAGCATTGCACATACTTCATTTTACACATGTGCGAAGATATCTGTACGATGAACCCCTAGACCTGAAACTGCTGGCCAAAGGCTGTGTTCCTGTAAAACTTGGTAGTTGATGACAATTGTTTTAGAAAACTGCTCTGGCACCTTCCACTCCCCAGGGGTGTATGGGAGTACCTGTTTCCCCCAGAGACTCCCCAGTACCATTTTATAAGCTTATGGCTTTTTCTGCTACTGATTTGAATGATCCCACAGGAAGCAGGGTTGGGTAAGACCCCCCCCAACCCTGCCTCCTTGCCTGATTGTCAAAAACTTTGCCTGAGGTGTGTGGCTTCTCCCTGCCCAGTGACTCTGTTCTCCTGGTCAGGTCAGCCTGCTCCTCTGAAGAGCAGCATGTGTCACCAGGGATTTAATGGCTTAAAAATAAAGGTGATCTGATTGCACACAGGGCCCTGGCCAGCCATGAGCTCCAAGCCCTTCCCCCTGGTCCACAGGGACCACAGCTAAGCAACTGGAAGAACCCACGAAGAACAATGAAGTTTGGCTTCTCAGAACCATGAAAAACAAAGTGCCCGACACAAAGGCGTAAGAAGGTGAAGGTCAGGGTTCAGCTGGGCTCTGTCCCTAACCCTCCATCTGAAATGATCTTCCCATATTTTAGAGCAGTGGTTAAGTGCATAGACGGGAGAGCCATGACCTGGGTTTAAATCTTGCTCCCCTGACTTCGATGAGCGATGTGACCTCAGGTTCATGATTTCACCTCTCTGAACTATACTTTTCTCATCTGCAAAATTGAGATAACAGGCTTACTTCCCAGTGTGCTTGTGAAGACCAAATGTCATAAAGTACACAAAGTTTTTTGAACAACATTTGGCACAAAGAAAGCACACAATAAATATTAGCTGTGATTTCGTTACAAATATGATTCATTTATTTACTTGGTTATTGTCTGTCTGGAATATTAACCCCAGTAACGGACATCTCTCTTGTTCCCAGTGGTGTCTCCTGTCCCAGCACAGTGCCTGAACATAATAGGTCCTCTGTAAATATTCACTGGAGGAATAAGTGAAGGCATGAATGAATGAACAAGGAGAACTTGTCATTTCCTCTCCCTTAGCCTCAGTTTCTTTCTTTGTGAAATGAAAGATCGAAATTTCATTCTCTGCGTCCTCTTGTATTTTCCTAATCTGCAGTGATCATGTGTCATTGCTTTTTCCAATGGCAAGAAAAACTATAAAAAATGTATAAGCCTTTGTTCATAATTGCCAAAACGTGGAAGCAATCAAGATATCCTTCAATAGTTGAATGAAAAAGCAAACTGTGGCACGTCCAGACAAAGGAATATTATTCATTGATTAGAAAAAAAGATCTATCAAGCCATGAAAAGACATGGAAGAATCTTAAATGTGTATTGCTAAGTGAAATAAGACAATATGGGCTGGGCACAGTGGCTCATGCCTGTAATCTCAGCACTTTGGGAAGCCAAGGCAGGCAGATCACCTGAGGTCAGGAGTTTGAGACCAGCCTGGCCAAGAAAACCCCATCTCTACTAAAAATACAAAAATTAGCCAGGCGTGGTGGTGTGTGCCTGTAGTCCCAGCTACTCAGGAGGCTGAGGTAGGAGAATGACTTGAACCTGGGAGGCGGAGGCTGCAGTGAGCCAAGATCATGCCACTGCATCCCAGCCTGGGCGACAGAGCGAGACTGTGTCAAAAAAAAAAAAAAAAAAAAAGACAATATGAAAAGTCTACACACCATATGGCTCCAACTATATGACATTCTGGATAAACCAAAACTATAGAGAAAGAAAAAAAAAAAACAAAAAAACCCCACAAAACTGTGGTTGCCAGGGGTTTGTGGAGAAGGAGCGGGGAGGGATGAAAAGGTGAAGCACAGGAGAATTTTAGGGCAGTGAAACTATTCTACCTAATAAGGTAATGGTGGATGCATGTCATACATTTGCCAAGACCTGCAGACTGCATAACACAGTCAACTCTAATATAAACTATGGGCCTTAGTTAATAATAATGTACCCATATCAGCTCATCAATTGTAACAAATGTACTGCACTAATACAAGGTGTTAATAATGGGGAAAAGTAGGGGAGGGAGAGAGGGAGTATAAGGGAACTCTCTGTACTTTCCTTTCAATTTTTCTGTAAACATAAAATTCTCTGAAAAAATAAAGTCTAGGCTAAGCACAGTGGCTTACGCCTATAATCCTAGCACTTTGGGAGGCTGAGGTGGGAGGATCACTTGAGGTCAGGAGTTTGAGATCAGCCCAGGCAACCTGGTGTGACCCCATCTCTACAAAGAAAAAATAAAAAATGAGTTGGATGTGGTGGTGTATGCCTATAGTCCCAGCTGCTACTCAGGAGGCTGAGGTGGGAGGATCGTTTGAGCCTAGAAGTTTGAGGCTGCAGTGAGCTGTGATTGCACCACTGTGCTCCAGCCTGGGCAACACAGTGAGGCCCTGTCTCCAAAAAAAAAAAATAACGTTTATTAGTATATATATATATATATATATATTTTTTTTTTTAGGCTTTTTTAGCTTTTAAAGTTTCACTAGTTGGCTCTTCAAACACACACATATACCCCCTATACAGGCAGTGTTGTTTCCAATTTTTCATTCTTTTTTTTTAATGTGTGCTTTGATTTTTAGTAAAAGAGTTCAAGGAGTAACAAACTGTTTAGACCAGAATGATCACCTTGTACAACTTAGAGATTGAAGCCTGGAGAGGGGAAGTGGCTTGTCCAAGGTCACGTGATGAGAGATGAGAAAGCTAAAGTCTTTTACAGGCCTTCTCACCACCAATGTGCAGGTTCTGCCTCAGTTTTCTTCTCTGTAAAATGGGTTATAATAGTGCCTATCTCCTTGGATTGTTATGAGGATTCAATGAAATAATATGCATGGTGCTTAGAAGAAGGCATGGCACACAGTAAATGCTCAATAAAAGCTATCCTTTATTAGTATCAAATTATGGTGAGGAGGAGTTCAAGGGATGATGATGTCAGTTCCTGTCTTTCCTGTCTGGGTTGTCATGAAGAATCGTTTTAATAAGAGCCTTTTTGGTTTTTGCTTTTTTATTTTATTTTATTTTTTCTTTTGTTGAGACAGAGTCTCGCTCTGTCGCCCAGGCCAGAGTGCAGTGGGGCAGTCTCGGCTCACTGGAACCTCGCCTCCTGGGTTCAAGCAATTCTACTGCCTCAGCCTCCAGAGTAGCTGGGACTACAGGTGTGTGCCACCAAGCTTGTCTAACTTTTGTATTTTTAGTAGAGACAGGGTTTTGCCATGTTGGTCAGGCTGGTCTCAAACTCCTGACCTCAGGTGATCTGCCCACCTTAGCCTCTTGCAGTGCTGGGATTACAGGTGTGAGCCACCGCGCCTGGCCTGCTTTTTCATTTTCTCTATTTTTCGAGGGGAGGCAAGAGGGAGGTTATTGTTTGGAAGCCCCGCAAGCAGGCCTGGAGACTTCCTTTCCTGCTGGGAATCCCAACAAATTGAGAGGGAGTCAAGTTGTGGGGTGCCAGTGGGGCTTGCAGAGCCTCTTGTGAGGTCCCCCTATTTGGGAAACTGGTCCGAGGAATCCAGGGTTGGAGTTAAAAAAGGAGAGTCTCAGAGATAGTGTGTCCCATGATGGAAAACCCCTAAATTGTGTTTTAGAAGAAATCTTCACCCACAAAACCCTGAACCAGCTGTCACTGAAGTGTGAGGTCCCTCCACTGTCATTTTGTCCAGGCTTTGCAAACTCAGCTGCCTGCAAGGTCCTGGCAGGGAAGTTTTGTGCCTGTGGCAGGGGTGGAACTGAGGAGCACTAGCCCCATCCAAGGGGGAACCCTTCCAGACAGTGCACTTCCAGACTATGGTGACCTCGGAAAAACATAGCCCCCGGGTGGCCGGACCTTCTAATGGGATATCTCTCAGCTTTTAAATCTTGTGATGGCCGAACAAGACATGTCTGGGGTCAGATATAATTCCTGGACAACTTGCGAAGTCCAGCCTCCTCACTTGGAAAGATTGGGAAACTGAGGTCCAGGGAGGTGGAGTGAATTGTTTAAGGTTCCCCAAAGTCAATGTTAGAACTCCAGCTCCATTTCTCTCGACCTCTCCTTTCACTGTGATGCTGTTCTGGGGCTAAAGAGTGTCACTGAAAGTCTGAGATGGCTTATTTTGGGGTCACAAAGATCTGCTCCAGGCTATTAACATCTATAGAAGGAGCTGGGTGTGACTGCAATGCTGCTGGGGGCCCTTTCCTTCCCGTCAGAAAGTGAGATCTCTTTCTGGGCCCCAGGAAGGAGGCAGGGCCATCTTATTTGTTCTTACTACAATTTTTTTTCTTTTATTTTCTTTTGTAGAGACATGGTTTGACTATGTTGACCAGGATGGTTTCAAACTCCTGCCCTCAAGCAATCCTCCCACCTCGGCCTCCCAAAGTGCTAGGATTGCAGACATGAGCCACTGCGTCTGGCCTTTTTTTTTTTTTTTGAGGCAGAGTCTCACTTTGTCGCCCAGCCAGAGTGCAGTGGTGCGATCTCGGCTCACTGCAACCTCCACCTCCTGGGTTCAAGCGACTCTCCTGCTTCAGCTTCCTGAGTAGGCTACTGGCACGTGCCACCACACCTGGCTAATTTTTTGCATTTTTATTAGAGACGGGGTTTCACCATGTTAGCCAGGATGGTCTCGATCTCCTGACCTCATGATCCACCCGCCTCGGGGTCCCAAAGTGCTGGAATTACAGACGTGGCACCTGGCCTTTTAAGGAATTTTTAGTTGTGGTAAAATACGCATAACATAAAATGTAACATCTTAACTATTTCTAAATGTACAGTTCAGACGCGTTAAGTACATCCACATTGTTGTGCAACCTTCGCCACCGTCCAGCTCCAGAATTCTTTTCATCTTGCAAAGCCGAACTCCATGCCCATTAAACAACTCCCCATTCTGCCCTTCTGCCCCTGGCAACTGCCATTCTACCTTCTGTCTCTATGATTTTGACTACTCTAGGGACCTCATCTCAGTGTAATTGTATAGTATTTGTCTTTTGGTGACTGGCTTGTTTCATTAGCATAATATCCTCAAGGTTCACCCATGTTGTAGCATGTATCAGAATGTCCTTCATTTTTAAGGTTGGAATCTATTTCACTGCATGTAGATGCCACACTTGGTTAATCTATTCATCTGTGGTTGGACACTTGCATTGCTTCCAGCTTTTGGCTATTGTGAATAATGCTGCTATGAACACTGTTGCACAAATATCTGTTCAAGACCTTGGTTTCTTTTCTTTTCTTTTTTTTGTTTTTTGAGACAGAGTCACACTCTGTTGCCCAGGCTGGAGTGCAGTGGTGCAATCTCAGCTCACTGCAACCTCCACCTCCCATGTTCAAGCCATTCTCCTGCCTCAGCCTCTTAAGTAGCTGGGATTACAAGCATGCGCCACCATGCCTGGCCAATTTTTGTATTTTTAGTAGAGACAGGGTTTCGCCATGTTGGCCAGGCTGGTCTCAAACTCCTGACCTCAGGTGGTCTGTCCACCTCGGCCTCCCAAAGTGCTGGGATTACAGGCATGAGCTACCATGCCCGGTCAAGACCTTGCTTTCCATTCTTTTGGTTATATACCCAGAAGTGGAATTGCTGGGTCATATGGTAATCCTAATTTTAATTTTTTGAGGAACTGCCATTCTGTGGTCTACAGCAGCTGTACCATTTTACATTCCTACCAGTAATGCATACAGGTTCAAATTTTTCCCACATCCTCACCCAACACTTGTTATTTTCTGTGTATATTTGTTTTGTTTTGTTTTACTTTTTGATAGTAGTCATCCTGACAGGTGTGAGGTGAGGCAGGGGCTCCCTGATTTGTGTCTGGAAGTTCTTCCTGAAGGGTGGCTCCAGAATAGTCACATGGGAGAATCTTCATGGGGCATTTTGTGGGACTTATGGGGTGGGTGACTGGGTTTGTATTAAAGCAGTGTTGGCAGACAAACTCACTGGTTCTGTTTCTGGTATTGTTACAAGGTAGCCAGCCTGTTAAAATTCACAGGAATCACCAAGTTTTCTAAGAATCTTTTTGTTTCCGTTTGACATAGATGTATAAATGAGTTAAAATTCTAAAGTACTGGCCCAAGTGCTGTGGCTCCCACCTGTAATCCTAGCACTTTGGGAGTTTGAGGCAGGAGGATCGCTTGAGGTCAGGAGTTCAAAATCAGCCTGGGCAACATGGCAAGATCTTGCCTCTACAAAAAATTTAAAAAAATAATGAGCTGGGCAGGGTGGCACATGCCTGTAGTCCTAGCTACTCGGGAGGCTGAGATGGGAGGATCACTTGAGCCAAAGAGTTGGAGGTTGCAGTGAGCTATGATTCCACCACCCCACTCCAGCCTCGGTGACAAAGCTAGACCCTATCTCTAAATAAAATAATAAAATAAAATAAAATAAAAATAAAATAAAGTACGCAGTACAGTGAGTAGCACACATTAAGTGCTCAATAAAAGTGAATTATTATTGTTAATATCAGGACTTCAGCTGCCTACATTAAAGAAAGATAACACCAAAGAAGGTGGTCTGATGGTGATTTGATGGTAGAGAGTTAGAACCTCACAAGGGACCACTAATGGCTGCCCCTGCTGCCTGTCTATTTTCAGCCAGACTCACCCTGGGATCCTGTCTGTCACCTCTTAACACAGGAGTGAGGCCAGAGGAGACAGCTCAGACCTCTGGGAGCCTACACCCCAGGACAGAGCTGATAAGCTCCCCAGGTTGGGTCTGGCCTGTGTTCTCTCTGCCTTCCTATCCAGTTTGCAGACTGATTCGCTCCTGAAAGGTCTCTCTGTTCTCTCCTTTTCCCCATCCCCAATTTCTGCTGCTGTTGAGGATTGGGGGCAGATGCAAATTCATTTGCTGGGGCAAGGCTCCCAGAGAGTGTGACCTGCAGAAGCCGAGGAGAATATCTGCCTGTGTGTGAGAGGAGATTGATGCTGAGTGAGTTTGTGGGAAATCAGGGCTGTGGGAGTCACTTGACAGCCCAAGGCGGACGAGACAGAGTCACATGCCCGGAGTATAACCAGGAAGTTCCAGGGTTGACAGAGGAAGTCTTGGGATACATAGAAGGCCAAGGGGAGTTGCAGGCCTGTGAGCCTTGGCTCTGAAGAATGAGATCCAGGTTTTAAGGCCCAGCTCTCCCACCAACCATGGAGGCCTCGACTGGCAGCCACTGCCCTTAGGATTAAATCCACATTTCTTACAGTGGCCGGGAAGGCCTGAGACATGGCCCCTGCCGCTGCCATCGGCCCGTACCCTCCCCAGGTCTGCTCTGCTCTGCTCCAGCCCCACTGGACTTTCCTTTTTGCTGCTCCAAGGCCAAGCTTGCCCCCGCCACAGGGCCTTTGCATTTGCCACCCCTTGGCCCAGACCCCCCTTTTACCTGGCTCTGGGCATGGCTGCTTGTTGCTCAAGCTACAGGACCAGCTCATATGCAAACTCCCCCGGGACCCTTCACTGACCACCACTAAAGTAGTCCTGCCAATCCTACCTTTTTTTGTTTTGTTTTGACACAGGGTCTTACTCTGTCACCCAGGCTGGAGTGCAGTGGCGAAATCACAGCTCACTGCAACCTCAACCTTCTTGGTTCAAGTGATCCTGCCACCTCAGCCTCCCGAGTAATTGGGACCACAGGCATGCACCACCATGCTCTGTTAATTTTTGAATTTTTTGTAAAGATGAGGCGAGGGTTTCGCTATTTGCCCAGGCTGGTCTCAAACTCCTGAGCTCAAGGCTGGTTTTTTTAAAAAACTGTCTCCCAGGCTGGAGTGCAGTGGTGTGATCATAGCTCATTGCAGGTTCAAACTCCTGGGCTCAAGTGATTCCCCCGCCATGGCATCTCAAAGGGCTGGGATTACAGGCATGAGCCACTGTGCCCGGCCAAGCCCTCTGGTTTATTTCATCCATAGCTCTTGGCATCCTCTGAAATTACCTTTCTCATTATGTTATCTTATACCGGTTTATAGTCACTTCTTTTAGAGAGAAGGTCAGCTCCTAACTGTGGAGCCCAAGTGTCTCAGATGAGGTGTGTTTCCCTACTCTGGGCCTCAGTTTCCTCATCTGTGGAAAGGGGCCAAAGAGCCCAATATCTTCTCTGACTCTTATACACCATGGGTGGCAAGGACCTAAGAAATTTAGGGGTAGGCTGGGCACCGTGCCTCATGCCTATAATCTCAGCCCTTGGGGAGGCCGAGGAGTGTGGATCACCTGACGTTGGGAGTTCGAGACCAGCCTGGCCAACATGGTGAAACCCTGTCTCTACTAAAATACAAAAATTAGCCGGGCATGGTGGCATGCACCTGTAATCCCAGCTACTCGGGAGGCTGAGGCAGGAGAATTGCTTGAACCTGGGAGGCAGAGGATGCAGTGAACCGAGATCATGCTACTGCATTCCAACCTGGGTGATAAAGCAAGACTGTCACAAAACAAAACAAAAAAAGAAATTTAGGGGAATGTTTTGAAAACCACAAAGGAGAAGTTGAGAAGTCACTTGCTGAGGGCAAAGAGACCCACTGGTGGGAGAAACTGGCCATTTAACACATTTAATTTGTTTTGCAAACTGTTGTTTTTCCCAGCCCATCCACCCGGCAAAGAGTCTCATCCCCCTCTTGCCCTAGGGGAAGTAACAACCTTTTAGGAAGAAAAGAAAAGAAAAGTGATTTTACTTACTCTCCTGTCACCTGGGAATGGGATGGTTCAGTATTTTTTCAGTCTTGAGCCTGATCCTGACACTGGGGCTCTGGCAGGAACTTGCAACGTGGCCTTGGATGGTTCTCCTGCCTTCTCTAGGCCCTGCTGTTTCCATTCCTTGAAGGAGAGGATGGGAATGTTTGAAGTTTGGGCTCTCTCAGTGCTGGTATTTAGGATAACATGGACTCACCAGGAGGGAGAAGAAACCACTTTGTCCTAAAGTGCCCCTGGCATGGGCGTCGTCCAGTGCATCCATTAATAACACTCCTACTGGACCCTGTGCAGCCTCTCAGAGCAATTTCCCATCCATTACCTCCCAGCAACTCTGGGATGGATGTGGGCCAGCAGGCCGCTGTCCTCACCCTAGTTTGGCAGAGAAGAAAGGAGGAGACAGCAAGGCCTTGTCTGCCGCTCCAGACTTAGGCCCTACCACTGTCTCCCTGGGTTCTGCCTCAGGGCCATTGCACCTGCCACTCCCTGTCTCCACCTGGAATACTCTTTCCCCAGGTACACACACTTCATTAGCTCTCCTCTGTCATGTTTCCAAGAGGCCTTCTCTGATCACCTTGTTTAAAATAACAGCCGCTCCCTCGTCACTCTCCATCCCTTTACTCTGTTTTATTTTTCTTCATGGCATTTTTTGAAACTTAAACATTAGATGATCTCTTTACTTATTTATTTATTTATTTGAGACAGAGTCTCTCGCTCTATCGCCCAGGCCGGAGTACAGTGGTATGATCTTGGCTCACTGCAACAATCTCCGCCTCCTGGGTTCAAGTGATTCTCCTGCTTCAGCCTCCTGAGTAACTGGGATTACAGGCACATGCCACCACAACCGGCTAATTTTGTAGGTTTAGTAGAGATGGGGTTTCGCCATGTTGGCCAGGCTGGTCTTGAACTCCTGACCTCAAGTGATCCACCCTCCTTGGCCTCCCAAAGTGCTGGGATTACAGGCGTGAGCCACTGAGCCTGGCCTCTTTACTTACTTATTTTCTGTCTCCTCTGCCGGAGTGTCAGCTCCATGAGCTGAAGAATGTTGTCTGCCTTGTTCGGTGCTGTGTCCCCAGTGCCTAACAGATGACTGGAACAGAGTCTGTGCTCACTAAATAACTGTAGGATTGAATGAGTCTCCCAGGGATGTGGAAGTGGAAGCAACCTTGAAAGAGGAATTTCATCTGTCCCCCTGCCGCCAGGATGGACTTGGTACCCAGGGTCTCTCTCCTGTGAGCGTCTCTCAGCAGAAATCAAGATTATTAAAACCAAAACCAAAAAATAAAGTGGTTAAAATGATGACCAAGATATAGGCACTTTCTTTTCTAGCCCTATCTTGCTTTCTTAGAAGGGTTGACGGCAACAGGAAGAAAAGGCAAGATGTATTGGTTACATGTTGCTGATGAATGATATGGACAAACTGCTTAAGAAGGAGATTTTGATTCCTTCTTGCCCAGGATTAGGGGTTTTCTAGCTATTTTTTATACCTTGCTCACTAGTACTGGATAATAATCGGTATGATAATCATATTAACAAGGTCTTGTGTGGAGGACTTTAAGTATGTTATTACTAAGCCCTAAAACAGCCCTGAGAGGTGGATATGGTTGTGATGATCCTCATTTTAGGGGAGGAAAGTGAGGCTCTAAAATGTGAAGCACAGGAGGTAATCAATTTGCCCAGGGTCACACAGCCAGGTGCAAACATGGTTGACTGTTTCCATCATCTCACTCACTGCACTGGGCCAAATGACCTCTGGAAACCCCCTTCAAGGAATGAAATTCCCTGTAGCTGAGAGGTTAAGAGCGGAGGCTCTAGAATCAGACTGTCTCTGAACCTGGGCTATATGACTGACCTTGGTAAAATTCATTACCTGTTTTGGGCCTCGGCCTCTTCATCTGGAAAGTGAGGATGATCGTAATGGTGATGGTGATACCAGTATCAATGGAGATTCAATGAGTTTAATCTTCGAGGTGCTCAGGATAGAGGTTGGCATGTGGTAAGTGCTTAGTACATGTGGTTTTTTTTAGTTTTTATTTTTTAGAGAGGGTGTCTCACTCTGTTGCCCAGGCTGGAGTGCAGTGGTGTAATCATAGCTCACTGTAGTCTCAAACTCCTGGGCTCAAGTGATCCTCCCACCTCAGCCTCCCAAGTAGCAGGGATTATAGGCATGAGCCACAGGTGCCTGGCTAGTTATTTTTAGTATCATTCTTTTGTACACACTCTGCCCCTCCCTCTGTCAGACACACACACACATATACACATCCAGTGGGCTTCCCGGAGGAAGAATTCTGCCAGACAGGCCAGGCAGCCACTTGAGTTCCGACCTAGAGTCAGGCTTAGATCTCCTCCCCTGGAGGTGAAATTTCCTACTAAGTGGGGAGTAATCACCTCTTGTGGTCTTTACTACCCTCCCCCAACCACTACACTCACACCAGCTCCACACACAAGTCATGTGCCTGTCCCTCGGCCTGCGTGTGACTCAGCCCAGCAGCTGGACCCGATGGTGAGAGGAGAGTTGGAGATTAGCACTGCCAGGGGTTGTTCGGAGCAGCTGCCTGACTGCAAAGGTCAAGGGATTGGGTTTCCACCTTGCAGTGACGTCCTGAGAGGTGTGCACGGGACCCCATGGAGAGAAGGCTGTGGATTGCCCCATCTGGCTCACCCATCCAGGTTCATATTATAATGAGTCTTTTCATGTGTATGCTTGACAGTTTATGAAGAGTTTTCTCACCACCCAAGGTCTGCAGGGCAGCCAGGACTATTTTGATCATCCCCATCGAGGCTAAGTGTCTTGCTTGATGTCACTCAGCTGGTGGAGCTGGGATCCAACTGAGGTTTGCAGAGTTTAAGCTCAGCAGGCTTTCAACACACTGTATTGACTGTCCTTAAAGGTGTATGCAAGTGTGTGTGTGTTCATATGTGTGCATGTGCGTTGGATGTGTGTGTGTGCATGGTGTACCAAGGCAGAAGGTATCCTACTGATATGGTTTGGCTCTGTGTCCCCACCCAAATCCCACCTTGAATTGTAATCTCCATAATCCCCACATGTCAAGGGCAGGACCAGGTGGAGGTAATTGAATCATGGGGGTGGTTCCCCCCATGCTATCTCGTGATAATGAGGGAGTCTTCTGAGATCTGATGGTTGCATAAGCCTCTGGCATTTCCCCTGCTTGCACTCATTCTCTCTCCTAATGCCCTGTGAAGAGGTGCCTTCAGCCATGATTGTAAGTTTCCTGAGGCTTCCTCAGCCATGCAGAACTGTGAGTCAATTAAATCTCTTTTCTTTATAAATTACCCAGTCTTGGGTATTTCTTCATAGCAGCATGAGAATAGACTAATACATCCACCATGTTACCTGCAGCTCAGCTTTTCTGATGGTCTAAATTCATGTCTGAGCATTAGAAGTATGTGGTGAGTCTTTCTATTTATGTATAATTATAATTTAAAATTTTTGTTTATTTTTAAACAGGTATCATATTCACGTAGTTCAAAATTCAAATGGGTACAGTAAAATGTCACCCTCCCTTCCCTGTCACCCATCCACTCAGTTTCCCTTTCCAGTTACTAGTGTCTTCTACCAGGCAATTCTGTGCATTTACAAGTGAATATAAATATAAATATTCCCCACATACCCACCCAGCCAACACTCTTTATATAAGTGGTTACCCACTCCACTCACTATTCTCCTCCTTGCTTTTAAAATAATATGCCCTAGAGTTCATTCCATACCAGTACCTAAAGCACTGCCTTGATACTTGATACTTTTCAAGGCTGTATAATGCTCCTCCTTTCTGAGATGCACCATAATTTATTGGGCTAGTCCCCTATTGATGGACAATTAGGTTATTTCCCATACTTGCAATTACATACTATGATACAATGCATCATCTTGTACATACATCACTGGGTGTGTGTGTGGGAGATCTAGGGCCTTGCTACTCAGAATGTTCCAGGACCATCAGCTGGGCATCAGATGGGAGCTTTGTTAGAACTGCAGCATTACAGGCTCCAACCCAGATCTGCTCCATCAGGATCTGCATTTTAAAAAGATGACCGGGGTGTGTATGCACATTAAAGTTTAAAAAGCATTGGTTTAGAAGACAGATTCCCAGAAATGGAATTGCTAGGTCAAGAGATAGGTGCATTTATAATTTTGACAGGTCCAGCCAAATTGACATCTGCAGATATTGATTCAATACATATTCCCATAATGGATAAGCATTTTGGGAGGATCTTGAAAAAAATTCCGCCTCCAGCACCATGACCTATGGGAGAGTAGGTTTCGGTGGGTCTGGGTGGGCCTAGGGATCTGTGTTTTATATACTGCTTGAGTCATTTGATTTCACCAGGTTTAGGAACAACTGACCTAAATATATCCTTAACCTTTGACTGTAGAACCATTTTTGGGGTCCTGGGTGACATGGTTATAATGGTCTTTAACTCTCCATCCAGGAATGGCAAACTCAAATGCCTGAAAGGGGCAGATAGATAGTACTGGTGACTAAAGTGGGCTGGGTTAGGTTTCCATTGACATCTAAGTTAAAAAAAAAAATAGGTGCAGACCCAGCAAAACACGTTTGGGCTAAAACCTGGCCCACAGTCTATGAATTTGTGGCTTATGGAATTCTCGAAAGGTCCTTTTAAATATTTTTGGCAAATAATCCCATACTGCCTGGTGAGGTCTTGGCTGTCCTTCCCCCACAGACTATTAGAGATCGTAGGGACCAAGTTCAAGGCTCTCACAGATGAGAAAACTAGACTCAGAGTGGTGAATGGGTGAACTTCAATATTTAAATATTTAAAATATTTAAATCAATATTTACGGACGATCAGGCAATGTCCCCATGCTGGGGGATTGAAGCCTACAGGGCAAGGTTCAGGTCCTTCAGGAAGGCGGGGACAAATGCATAACAAACAAGTGACAGCCAACCAGCGTGCACCATGCCATACTATGACTTGGTTCCCAGTGCTAAAGGGGCTCACAGGACCAAGGGATGGTCACAAAGGAGGTAAGGCTGAGAAAGACAGTGGTAGTTTTTGTTCATCTCAAGTAGAGATTTATTTATTATTTATTTATTTATTTTTATTTATTTTTAAACGGAGTCTTGCTCCGTCACCCATGCTGGAGTGCAATGGCGTGATCTCAGCTCACTGCAACCTCCACCTCCTGGGTTCAAGCAATTATCCTGCCTCAGCCTCCCACATAGCTGGGATTACAAGCACCTGCCACCACGCCTGGGTAATTTTTGTCTTTTCAGTAGAGATGGGGTTTCACCATGTTGGCCAGGCTGGTCTTGAACTCCTAACCTCAAGAGATCCGCCCGCTTCAGCCTCCCAAAGTGCTGGGATTACAGGCGTGAACCACCATGCCCGGCCTCAAGTAGCGATTTAGACCAGAGATCAGCAAACATTTCCTGTAAAAGGCCAGATAGGGAATTTTTCAGACTTTGCAGGACCCATGGTCTGTCACAACTGTTCCACTTTGCCACTGTAGCAAGAAAGCAGCCACAGACAATAGGTAAACAAAGGAGTGTGGCTGTGTGCCAATAAAACTTTATTTATGGAAGCCAAAATTTGAATTTCATATAATGTTCATGTGTCACGAAATAGTCTTCTTTTGATTCCCCCCATCCCAGCCATTTAAAATGTGAAAACCATTCTTAGCTCACAAGCTGTACAAAAGCAGGCAGGGGGCGGGGGGCTGGATTTGGCTGGTGGCCAGAGTTTGTCAACCCCTAATTTAGAAGATGAAGAGGAGTTTGCCAGGCAGACAGAGGAAGGGTGCTCCTGGCAGGGAGGTTGGCAGGTGCAGAGGCACGGAGATGGCGGGGAAGAAAAGATTCAGCAGAAATGTTGGGATCAAAATGCCGGGCTCTTGGCTCCCATTCCAGTCCCAGCTCCCCTCCTCTCAGATCCTGTAGTCATGGCTCTTGAAATAAGTTTCCCCTCTTAAACCTGCTCAGAGCTTCTTATCCTTAAAAAAAAACAAAATATTTTCTCTCTCCTTCAAGATATGGTCCAATTTGGCCAGGTTTCTCAGAAGAGCAGTTGGCAGCTCCTGGAAGACTCCCCAGCCCCAGCTCAGGCCCTGTCCCTGTCCCTGTCCCTGTCCCTCTGAAGCTGGCTTCTGCCCCAGCGTTTCTCCCAAAGGTCACCGGTGACTTCCCTGCTGCCAAATTGCAACCGCCTAATCTGGGTCCACATCGTTACCCCTCTGCTAGAGCTTTTGTCACTGTTTACCAGCCCTGGCTTCTGGAAACTCCTTTCTCTCCTGGTTCCTATAAAGCTGCTCCTCCCTGGGTTTCCTCCCCTCGGCCCTCCGCTTGCCCCGGGTCACTCTCTACTCTGCAATAAAGGTTCTAGCTCAGTGGATGGGAAAGCCAGAGCCCACCCGGGCCAGAAAGGTAGAGAAAATGACTGAAGGGAGCTGGATGTGTTCCTTAGAGGCAAACACCCTTTGGTTGTTGAATAATAACAGTAGATAACACCAGAGTATTTAACAAGTGCTCATTGCTGCTCTATAGACTTTTAATTCTCATAACAACCCTTGGAGGTTACTATTATTATTCCCATCTTTCAGATGGAAAACTGATGCACAGAGAAGTTGAGTAACTTGCCCAAGATCACACAGCATGACAGTGGTGGTCATGATATGAACCCAGAACATCTGGCTCCAGAGTGAGCATAACCACCCCACTACAACTTTGATGCTACCTTTCTCCCCACTACCACCCTCACTTGCCAAATTATAAAGATTCTACCTATTTACCATTATTCCCCCCCACTCCCCACCAAGTAGGCAATGTGTTGAGCTCCTTGAAGTATGTGGTGGTAGAAATCCTGACCCTTTGGCTGATTTTACTAAAACCTACAAACAGAGGGATGTAAAAGACATTTTGCACATTCATATCACAGAATATGCTATGCGGCAGT
This sequence comes from Homo sapiens, assembly GCF_000001405.40. Taxonomy (NCBI): domain Eukaryota; kingdom Metazoa; phylum Chordata; class Mammalia; order Primates; family Hominidae; genus Homo; species Homo sapiens. The sequence goes on along the minus strand of NC_000020.11, from coordinate 48,849,667 downwards.
TTACAGAGGGAAATAGATCTGTAAGTGTGGATGTGGAAAGATCTATGAGTTATATTTATAGAGTGAAGCCAGCAAATTGCAGAACAATATGTCCACTATCCTTTCATTCCACAGATATTGATGGAGCAGCCACTCTATGCTGGACACTGGGAATCTAGCAGTGAACAAAACAAATTCCCTGCCCCAGCTGAGCTAACATCCTAGGCAGGGAATCAAACAATACGGCCTGGGTGGTAAGTACAATGAAGAAATATATAATGCAAGATTTTTGTAAAAAGAGTCACCACAAAACAATACTATATATATATCCATAGAAGACACATAGTATTGTTCTGTTTCTAGTATTGTATTTGTTTCTAGTATTGTTTTGTTTATTTCTATGGAGACACATATATAATCACACATATATAGTGATATGTATATATATATCTATAGAAAACAGAGGAATACTCTGACATGTTAAGGATGTTTAAGCTACATGGTGGAAATGGAGGTGATTTTCATTTTCTTCTACATGCTTCTCCGGGTTTCCAAGGTTTTAGCAATGCACAAACATTCCTTTTTTTTTTTTTGAGACAGGGTCTTCCTCTGTTTCCCAGGCTGGAGTGCAGTGGCACAGTCAATATATCAGGCCAGGCATGGTGGCTCACGCCTGTAATCCCAGCACTTTGGGAGGCTGAGGTGGGTGGATCACCTGAGGTCAGGAGTTCGAGACCAGCCTGACCAATATGGTGAAACCCCCGTCTCTACTAAAAACACAAAAATTAGCTGAGCACAGTGGTGTGTGCCTGTAGTCCCAGCTACTCAGGAGGGTGAGGCAGGAGAATTCCTTGAATGCCAGAGGCGGAGGTTGCAGTGAGCCGAGATCCCGCCACTGAACTCCAGCCTGAGCGACAGAGCGAGACTCCAACCACCCCCCCTAAAAATGTTATATATCTATACATATAAATGTACAAGAAAAGGTCTGCAAACGTCTGCGAAGCAGCATCCCAAACTGCTGATGGTAGTTATTCTGGGGGGACTGGTGGGTGCCAGGTGGTTATCCAAAGGTATTTTAGCCTTGCAGGAGACTATACTCATGTATTACTTGTGTAATTAATAAGTAATAATAGGCCGGGTGTGGTGGCTCACATCTGTAATCCTAGCACTTTGGGAGGATGAGGCGGGCAGATTGCTTGAGACCAGGAGTTCAAGACCAGTCTGGGCAACATGGCAAAATGCTCTGTCTACAAAAAAAATATAAAAATTAGCTGGGTGTGGTAGTGTGTACCTGTGGTCTCAGCTACTCGGGAGGCTGAGGTGGGAGGATCAATTGAGCCTGAAAGGTTGAGGGTGCAGTGAGCCACAATTGTGCCACTGGACTCCAGACTGGATAACAGAACGAGAGCTTGTCTCAAAAAGAAACAAAAAAAAAAAAAAGAAAAAATGTAATGATATCGAGAAATTGGAACCCTCATATAGTGCTGGTGGAAATATAAAATGGTACAACCACTTTGGAAAACTGTTGACAATTTCTCATAAAAGTTAATCATATGACTCAGTTATCCCACTCCTAAGTATTTGCTCAGGAAAAATGAAAACCTACATCCATGCACAGACTTGGCCAATATTTATAAGTGGCTCTTTCATAATAGCCCCAAAGTGGAGACAACCCAAAAGATTCTTGCAGGATGAACACACTGTGATTTATCCACACAATGGGACACTACTCAACAATGAAAAAGAACAAGCTACTGATACGTGGAGAAATCTAAAAACATTGTTTATGTTGAGTGAAAGAAACCAGACACAAAAAAGCACATAGCACATGATTCCAATTACATGGCAGGCAAAACTAATTTATAGAAATCAGAAGGATGGGGGCTGACTGGAAGGGGACCCGGGGGAAATTTCTGGGGTGAGGGGAATGTTCTAGATCTCGATTGGAAGGGTGTACACACGGGTGTAGACATTTGTCAAAATGCATTGAGTCATATATTCCAGACATGTGCATTTCACTGCAAGTAAATTTCACCTTAGTAATAATATGAAAAAACACCACCAAAGCCTGGAAAGGAATACTCTGACAAGTTAAGAGTGTTTTATCTCTATATGGTGGAAATAGAGGCAATTTTCATTTTCTTCTATATGCTGCTCTGGGTTTTCCAAGGTTTCCGTGATGCACACACATTCCTTTACAGAGCAGAAAAGAGTTTCAAAAACAACACGGCCTATACATTATAGATAAAGCATATGTGTCTCTTTTGTGTGTCTTTTATTTATTAGTCATTTGGGGAGGGTTTGTTTTTTTTTTTTTTTTTTTTATAAGAGAAGGAAGAGGGAGGGCAGGGCAAAGAAAGGAATCCTCTCAGTTTTTTCAGAGCACTCTCAAAGGCCCCCTCCTCCATGAAGTATTCCTTGATCTCTCCCCCAAATCTCTGCCTCTGCATAACTCATCTTAACTCCACTCTGACCCAGAAGGACAGGGTGCTTTCCTATTCTCTGAGAGCCTAGAGCACAGAGCTTTGCACAAGGTGTCTTGTTGGTCTGGGATCCTAGCACTGTCTTTTTAAGAAAGCCCCAAAGCAGGCCCCGGGTGTGGGTAGGCCCCTTGCTGGTCATATTTTCCACCCACCGCTGAACCTATCCCAGGCTGATGAGGAACTGAGAGGGTGACCTCCTAGCCCCTGGAGGGTAGGAACACATACTTAGGGGACTCCCAGAGGCTTTGTAGAAACTCCTGCCTCCCCTTGAAAGGTCAAGCAGCCATCTCTGGCCTGTCCTCTCCTACTTTTGGGTTTTCTTCGCCTAGAGTGAGGCACGTGGGTGGGTGGGGGCTGCAGCCGGCTGTAGACGGGAGTGTCCAGCAGGCACATGTTGCTTCTCTCCTGGCCCTCTGGTCCCCGAGGGAGCTCTGTTAACACTCCCAGGCACCCCATCCATGGGGCTGGGAGACTGTTTGCTGGGGCCACCTTTGGCTGGGGAGCAACTGGGCCACTGGCATTGTTTCTGTCTCCAGCAACACAATAGAAGTTTTGCTGGGGTCCAGGGAGCGTCTACAAAGTGCTCTCCTTTGACCGCCAGGAGCGGCTGCCTGGCTTTTAATCTCTGGTGTGGAGTGGGCAGGGCAAGACCAAGGTGGAGACTGTTGTACTGTAGGAGGGTCGGGCTGTTTTCAAGGGGAGTGGTTGTGTGAGATGAACGAGGTGCCAGACAGCAGGATGGTGGGGGAGGAGACAGCGAGGACATCCCCATCTATTAATATAAGGTGGGCTGGGAGACCACCAAGCCAGAAGTCAAGTTCAAAAACCTGCTGGAGAAAGGAGTGAGAATGGACAGAGGATAAGACCACCTGCAAGTTCTTTCCTCTCCGCCGTGAAATTATATGCGGGATCCTCCCTTGCACTTCTCCCCTGGGCCAATCCAAGCCCCACTGCCTGCAGCCCCCTTTCTGGACATGCACCACAGCCTGTAGCTAGTCTCCTTGTTTCCTCTAGGCCAGGCTTTGATTTATTGGCTATGTGACCGTAGGCAAGTTTCTGTAATTCTCTGTGCCTCAGTTTCTTCATCAATAAAATGGGAATGATTATGGTGCTGACCTCATGGGGTCGGTGGGAGGACTTAATGAGTTAATATATACGGAATGTGCTTAGAACAATGCCTGGCACACAGTATCTACTATCAAAGTGTTAGCTGTGATCATTTTTATTATTATGGGCCATCGTCCATGCAATAGCCTGTGAGACCATTTAAAAACCTGAGTCACATCATGTTACATCCTTGTTTAAATTCCTCCCCTGGCTGCCCACTGCACTTAGCATAAAATCCACACATCACTTTTGAGGCCCTGCTGGATCTGCCTGTCTCCACATTACCACCTCACTGGCCTCCTCGCGGCTTCTGGAAAGCTCAAATTTGGTCCAGCCTTGGGGCCTTTGCACTTGCTATTTCCTCTGCCTAGAAAGCTCTTTTTTTTTTTTTTTTTTGGAAACAAGGTCTTGCTTTGTCACCCAGGCTGGAGTGTAGTGGCACAGTCACGGCTCATTACAACCTCAGCCTCCTGGGCTCAAGTGATCCTTCCACCTCAGCCTCCAGAGTAGCTGGGACTAAAGGCATGGACCATCACACCTGGCTAATTTTTTTGTATGTTGTAGAGACACTTTTCGTCATGTTGCCCAGGCTGGTCACAAACTCCTGGCCCCAAGCAATCTTCCTGCCTTGGCCTCCCAAAGTGCTGAGATTACAGCGTGAGCCACTGCGCCCAGCCTAGAAAACTCTTCTCATGCTTTGCAGAGTTGGTTTTGGCTGTGCATTTAGATCTCAGCTTATTTATTACCTGCCTATGGAAGCCTCCCCTGATCACCTTATCTAGGTGTGTGCCTCCCTGTATTTTTCTATGAGAACATCCTGTTTATTTCTTAGCTGCTGTCAGTTATGGGTTAATTGTTTAATATCTCCCTCTAACCGGAAATATAAGCTTCACGAGGGATGGAACTTTGTCTTAGTCACTGTGTTATCCCCTACATCTTGCATAATGCCCAGTGCATAGAGGAGCTTAGTAAATGAGAGTTCGTTACATGAATGAATAAAGGAATGGAAAAAAGACTTGAGGATCACTCATGAGAGAAATCACATAGATGGCGATGCCATTTATCTAGTGAATAAAAGTCTTTTGGGGAATGTGGCAGATAATTGATTCAAGTTGGGACACATTTTTAAAGTGCTTGTAGGACTGCTTGGGAAGATGTCCATTAAACATCCCACGTAGGTCTGGAGTGATGTGAGAAAGAAGGTTATAGCTGGAGTCATGTTTCTGGAAGTTTTACCATACAAGCAGTATATCCATCAAGATGACTTTTGCTATAAGTAAATGAAGACTGAACCCAATGTGTTTTATGCAATGTGTCCTGAGATAGGACAGTCCCAGGGTTGGGTAATTCGGCTCAAGAGCAGCATTGAGGATCCAGGTTCCTTGCATCTTTCCATCTACCATGATGGCACGGTCTCCGTTCGTGGGTCCAAGTTGGCTGCCATAGCCCCTAGACATCGTGCTGTCACAACAACATCCACAAGCCACAAGAGCAGAACAAGTCACTTTCCTTTCCTGTATCTTGTTTTGAGAGGGAAGAAGACCTTCCCTGAAGCCTCCAGCAGATTTCCATCAAGTCTTATTGGTTAGAAATGAGTCACATGCCTCTTCATGATTGGCTGAATTTCATTAAGATCTGCCTGCTGGGGGTGAGGAGGGTTCATTCTCTCCAGAAGCATATGGTGGCCAAACTTGGGGTTTCAATAGGGAGAAGGGGAAAATGTTGCTGGTTTGCAACCAATGGTGTCTTCAATGGGTGTAGAAGATAGAGTCTGAGCACATATCTGCTGCCAGAGAAGGCCAGTAGAACATGGCCGTGCAAGGGAATGGGGGGTACAGGGTATCCCAAATATTTCCTGCAAAAAGCATGTTTTAAGAAGGAGAGAAATATCACTGTGCTGAGTGCTACTGAATAATTGAATATGATAAGGATGGAGACACAGCTACTAGATTTTTTTTTGAGACAGGGTCTTGCTGTGTTGCCCAGGCTGGAGTGCAGTGGTGCAATCACAGTTCACTGCAGCCTCGACCTCCCAGACTCAAGTGAGGTTTCTACCTCAGCCTCTCAAGTAGCTGGGACTAGTGTTGCATGCCACCATGCCTGGCTAACTTTTTTTAAATTAATTTTTTAGATAATATGTTGCCCAGGCTGGTCTTGAACTCCTGGCCTCAAGCAATCTTCCTGCCTTGGCCTCCCAAAGTGCTGGGATTACAGGTATGAGCCACCATGCCAGGTCACAGCTACTAGATTTGGACTTGGCAGTCCAAATTTTTGACCTTGATGAAGGCAGTTTCAGTGAAATTATGGATTTTTCTGAAATCCACATCTGCATCCCCACTCTTGCTGTCCAAACTCCATGCCTCACCATTGCTTGTCCGGATTCTTAGAACAGCTTTCTCACTGATCCCTCAGCCTGGAGAAGACAGGTATATTGCAAAGGACTTTCCATGCCACGCTGAGCAAACTATAATTACTTTAGTCAGCAGTAGGGAGCCAGTGAAGGTGCTTGAGCACAGGGATAAGTAACTTGATCATGTTTGCCCTTTATAGCATTAACCTGGCAGAGTGTTCAGGAGGGAATGTAGACTGGTGAGTCTGGAGGAGCCTCCCTCAATTCTTTGTTATTGCCTAGCCAGCATTTATTTCTCTTCTTGTAGTACTGGGGCTCCAGTTAACCTTGTGGGGACCATTCCTCCCTTCCTTTCTAGTAGAAAATACATGACTCAGGCCTGGCCATTCAGAGTCATAGTGATTGAACACATGACCCAATCCTGACCAATCAGAGACAGCCTTCTGAGTTACACTCTTGGGAAAGAAGCAATCTTTGAGCACCTGGATCCAGCCATGCCCGAAGTTAGACAGGCTTAGATGACCCAATATATTCCGTATTTTCCCTGAACTGGTTTGAGTTGGATTTCTGTCACTTGCATCTTTAGGATCATTGAGTAATACGGAAACTAAGCAATTTGAGGAATTAGAATTCTAGACACAGATAATACGAGAGTCAAGGTTGACCTTGGAGTCTCTTCCTGGGAGGATGGTGAGGCATCTTAAGATTAGGCAAGTATGGGAAACAATCCATTAATTCATTTATTCAAAAAATGTTTGTTGATTATCTAAATGGTGCCAGGCTCTGTGCTAGCCCCGACCATACAGCAATGAGCAAAATAGATGAAAAACCCTTGTTTATATTGAGCATATATTATGATTAGTGGCTCAGGAAACATTATCTACCTTTATTCTGTTATTATGATTATCATCATTATCATCCCCATTTATAGATGCAAAAACTGGGGCCCCCAAGAAGTGAAGTCACATAGCCAGTGAGGGGCCAAGTGGATGTTTGGCTTCATCTCTTCATAATTCCCAAATCAACTCTGTCTGATTTGGTGCAAAAAGCATATTTTAAGAAGGAGAGAGAAATCACTGTGCTGAGTGCTACTGAATAATTGAATATGATAAGGATGGAGACACGGCTACTAGATTTTTATTTTGAGACAGTGTCTTGCTGTGTTGCCCAGCCTGGAGTTCAGTGGCACAATCACGGTTCACTGCACCACGCTGGAGAGAGAGAATATACCCACGTGGAAGAGACTTCACACTCCAGAAAGCAAGCTACAAATTATTTGAAAGGGGTAGAATAGGAATTTTCTACACAAAGGCTGCAGGAATACACTGCAAGACAGAAATGAGATCAGAAGAGGGTGAGATTTGATTTGCAAATCATAGTGGTTTTAGAGCTGCTCTGAGAGCTGGTCTTTGAGATTAGATTAATCAAGGCTTTCCGAAAGAAGAGGTGTTTGTGGCAGGGTCTTAAAAAAAGGGAAAGTTATTGGTAGGAGAAAGTATAAGTCTGTGGCCGCCTAAATCACTCTATGTGCCACATTCTTAATCAGACACTAAGTCCATTTTTTTTTCTTTTTTTATTTCTTTCATGCTGATAGGCATGGGGGAAAGAAGTCCTGGTTAGCATGACTTGACAGCTTTTGTTGTTGCTGCTGAAATCATTAGCCCCCTGTCAACAGCACCCAGACCTTGCAGGTCTGCAGGCCAGAGATATACACGCAATGATGCATTAAAAAAAAATTATCCAGGAGCTGTGACTCATACACATTTCTGCTGGGACAAATAAAAATACTGGGAATGAAAGATGGATTAGTCACTGGAACAGTTTGCTGTTAAGAACTGAACCCCCCACAGTTGCCCTTGTTCCTCATTAACTTCTGAAATTCAGAAACTGAGCCCCTAAATGGATGCCTACCAGGGATGTGGGATAAAGCCAGGTAGGGTGGGCGGGGGGTTAGTTGTGAAGAAGGTAGTCTTCATGCAACAGCTGAAGGACAAAGAATGATACTCTGTACTCCGCTGGTTCTGTGGCACAGGTTGTCTACAGCCGGCTGCGGTTCTGATTGGTCTCTGCCTGGGTTGTTCATTGAGACCACCTCTAAATTAAGGCCATTCATTCATTCACTCATTCATTTATTCATCCAGTCTATTTCAGGCAAGGTAATGTGTTAGGCCATGTGTGAGGACCCCTCTGTGTGGATGAGAACAAGCGTTTACCAAGTAGCTAAGACTAAGAAACATGGCATAAATGTCTACATAGAGATTTAGAGAAAGGAGATGTCTCTTTTTTATCTAGCTCAGGGATTAACAAGTTATGTCTTGTGGGCCATTGTTTTTATAAATAAAGTTTTATTGGAACACAGCCACACCCATTCATTATTATTGTCTTTGGCTGCTTTATTGCTACAACAGCAGAATCGAGAAGCTGAGAAGATACTGTATGACTTGCAAAGCCAAAAATACTTACTTTCTGGCTCTCTGCAGAAGAAGTTTGCCTTCCCCTGAATCTAGCATATGAAAAGGGATTTGCAGACCTGGTGAAGTGGCTCCCATCGGTAATCCAAGCCCTTGGGGAGGCTGAGGCGTGGAGGATCCCTTGAGGCCAAGAGTTTGGGACCAGCCTGGGCAACATAGTGAAACCCCGTATCTGCAAAACATGAAATTAGCTGGGCATGGTGGCACGTGCCTGTAGTCCTAGCTACTCAGGAGGCTAAGGCTTGAGCCTAGGAGTTCGAGACCAGTCTGGGCAACATAGTGAGACCCCCATCTGCACATTTTTTTTTTTAATCAGCTACTAGCTACTTGGGAGGCTGAGGTGTGAGGATCATTTGAGCCCAGGAGTTTTGAGGTCTCAGTGAGCCATGATCATGCCACTGCACTCCAGCCTGGGCTACAGTGTAAGACCCTGTCTCTAAATAAATAAATACATAAATAAGGGGATTTGCAATTGTAAGCAACAGAACTCGCTCTAATTTTATTAACAGCTATGGGAGCTCACAGAATCTCAAGGATGCTTAGAAGGCCAGCCTTAAAGGCTGTGCCAAAAACAATGCCCAAAGCACTCTGTGGGGTTGATCTAGCAATGACCCCTTGGTAGCCCCATTGAGCCTGCCCACCCCAAGCAGCCATGCTGACTTTGGCTAGCTGAATATGAACATCTCTGCTGTCACTGCCCCACACACCTGAATGTCTCTGCCATTGCTTTGGTCAGGTAAACAAAATATGTACAAACCCCATGGCGCAGGCATTCCATTTCTGTTAGATAACCTGAAAACGCTTGCTCACAGATGCATATGGAAATGTGTATGAGGAGGTTCATCATGGCATTGCTTCAAGGAGTTTGGAGCAACAGTGTCTAGCACTAGGAAATGGATAAATAGAATATGCTTTTTTTTTTCTTTTTTTTTTTTTTTGGTTAAGGTTAATACTTGCCGTCGTGGTCAGGCACGGTGGCTCACACCTGTAACCCTAGCACTTTGGGAGGCCAAGGCAGGAGGATCACCTGAGCCCAGGAAATTGAGACCAGCATAGGGAACATAGTGAAATCCTGTCCTTACAAAAAATACAAAAATTAGCCTGATGTGGTGGCAAGCGCCTGTAGTCACAGTTACTTGGGAGGCTGAGGTGGGAAGATGGCTTGAGTCCGGGAGGTCAAGGCTGCAGTGAGCCATGATTGTGCCACTGCACTCCAGCCTGGGCAACAGAGCAAGACTCTGTCTCAAACACAAACAAACAAACAAAAATAATTGCAATTGTAATAAACAGGCCTTAAAGCATATAAAGGGTCAAATGTAATGGAAGTTTTATGGCTCATAATAATCCAAGGTGACTGTTAGCGATCAGTAGTCTGGCTCTCCTCCAGGGAGACATTCAGACCCAGACTGAGAGTTACTCTGCCACCTTCAACCGCGGCTTCCAAGGTCACTGTGGGGGACGTCATCCCTATCAGCTATAAGGGAAAGGAGCAAGGAGGAGCATGTGTGGGAGAAATTTCATGGGCCAGCACTAGAGGTGATGATGCACATCTCACCTAACAGCATCCACGAGTTAAAACTCAGTTATGGGGCTCCACCCACCTGCAAGAGGCCTGGGAAATGTAGTCCGCAGCCTCGACCAGGTAGCACAAGCATGGACCAGGTAGCGCAAGCATGCAATGGAACACTGAGCATGGAGTTGTATCTACAAAGAGCAACAAAGCAGGATCTCAGAAACAGGATGTTGAGTGAAAAAGGTAACATAGTATGAAATGCGTAACTCTGTACCATTTACATAAACATTTGAAAACACAGATAAAACACTATGTCTTTATCTCTGTATATATTTTCTACTATGCCTGTTTGAATACCCATAGATCCAAACAAATGTGTGGCAGATGGATCTAAAGAACAAGCTTTAAATATATCCAAGTGGGTGTCTGTGGGGGAGAGGGAAATGGGAGGAGTTGGAGACGGGTGACAGAGGCAAAAATAAGAAGTGAAAATAAAACAAAACCTAGGCCATAGTCTAATGCAGTTGACGGTCAAATGGCCCAAGGAGTGTGACCAACTGATTCTGTGCATCTGGGGTCCAAATCAAAAGAGGAGGAAAAGCAGTGTAGTAAAGAATTAAAGCCATATACATCCATGGCAGAAAATTGGGGAAATGTGAAAAAAGTATAAAGAAAACAAACACCCATAATTATCCCACTCCCCAGATGTAACTACTCTTGTTATTTTAAAATATATTTCCTTGCTTTTTTTTTTTTTTTTTTTTTTTTTTTGAGACAGAGTCACGATCTTGGCTCACTGCAACCTCCACCTCCTGGTTTCAAGCAATTCTCATGCCTCAGCCTCCCAAGTAGCTGGGATTACAGGCGCCTGCCACCACACCCGGCTAATTTTTGTATTTTTAGTAGAGATGGGGTTTTGCCATGTTGGCCAGGATGGTTTCAAACTCGACTTCAAGTGATCCAGCAGCCTCCACCTCCCAAAGTTCTGGGATTACAGGCATGAGGCACTGTGCCTGGCCCCTTGCTGTCATTTTCCTATGAATATGTAATACATGTTGACAATATTGGGATCACAGTCTGCATATCATTTATTTATTGGAGTACATGTTTAATTATCACATAATTTATTTTCTGCTCTTTTCCTCCCCATTCATCTATGTATCATGAGCATTTTTTTCTATTCTATTAAATATTCTTTGACATCAGACTTTTCAATGGCTAAATAATTTTCCAAATTGGGGACATACTATATTTAAGTATTTACTTACTTGTGAGAATTTAGGTTCTTTCAAATATAGGGCTATTATAAATGATGCTGCAATGCACATCTTTGCGCATCGAAGTTTGTCTGAATGTGTGATTCTTTTCTGTAGTTTAGATGAACAGAATGGGAATAACTTGGTTAAAGGCTGTAAATATAGGTGTATATATATTTATTTTTAAGGTTTTTGATGCATCTTTAAATTAGGAAACAGAGAACACATAGGGAAAAGTGCATAAGACATCAATATAAAACCTAACAAATGATTCCAGAGTGAATCCCTGTGAAGTCACCATGTGGGTTAGGAAATAGAACGTTTCCAGCCCCGCTTAAGCCTTTGTGCGGCTCATCTGAATCCCAGACCCCTCCCAACCGGAGAGGAAACCGCTGCCTGGCTTCTTTTCTTTGCAGCTTTGCCATGCAGTGCTATATTCACACTGCATCCTCTGAGCACTGTAGTTCAATACTGCCTGCTTTTGAGCTCTGTATAAATGGAATCATACCTACATCATGTATAATACCTTTTTGTATCTGGCTTCGTTGGCTCAATATCATGTTTCTAAAATTCATTCATGTTATTGCATGGAGTTGTAAGTAGTTCTTTCTCTGCCACCACTCTTTTTTTTTTTCTTTCAATTTTTAAATTTCTTTCTCTCTGTCTCTCTCTCTCTCATTAAACTTTTATTTTAGGTTCAGGGGTACCTGTGCAGGTTTGTTATACAGGTAGACTTGTGTCACAGGGGTGTGTTGTGCAGACAATTTTATCACCCAGATACTAAGCCTAGTACCAAATAGTTATTTTTTCTGCTCCTCTCCCTCCTCCCAATCTTCACCCTCAAGTAGGCCCTAGTGTCTGTTGCTCCCCTCTGCGTCCATGAGTTCTCGTCATTTAGCTCCTGCTTATAAGTGAGAACGTGAGGTATTTGGTTTTCTGTTCCTGCTTTAGATTGCTAAGGATAATGGCCTACAGCTCCGTCCACGTTCCTGCCAAGGACATGATCTTGTTATTTTTTATGGCTTCATGGTATTCATGGCGTAAATGTGCCACATTGTCTTTATCCAGTCTGCCACTGATGGGCATTCAGGTTGATTCCATGTCCTTGCTATTGTGAACAGTGCTGAAATGAACATACGTGTGTATGTGTCTTTATGGTAGAATGATTTATATTCCTTTGGGTAGTACCCAGTAACAGCATTGCTGGGTCTAATGGTAGTTCTGTTTTTAGGTCTTTGAGGAATCGCCACACTGCTTCCCACAGTGGTTAAACTAATTTACACTCCCACCAGCAGTGCATAAGCATTCCCTTTTCTTCGCAACCTCAGGGCATCTGTGATTTTTTTGGCTTTTTAGTAATAGTCATTCTGATTAGTGTGAGATGATATCTCACTGGCCACTACTTCTCTTTGGTTTTCTCTGAATCTATGTAAGTATTTTCCTATGCTTCAGTTTCACATTTCTGAAAGATTAAGGTTAGATGGTGGGGGAAGGAACTCCTTTTCACTTTTTCTAGCAGTTTGGGGTCTGTAAGTTCTTTTTATGTCGCTGTGTCCCTCAGAGAGCTGGCAGAGCGAGGTTCTTTTTTTTTTTTTTTTTTTTTTTTGGAGACAGAGTCTCACTCTGTCGCCCAGGTGGAGTGCAGTGGTGCGATCTCGCTCCACCTCCTGGGTTCAAGCGATTTTCCTGCCTTAGCCTCCAGAGTAGTGGGGATTACAAGTGTGTGCCACCACGACCTACTAATTTTTGTATTTTTAGTAGAGATGGAGTTTTGCCAGGTTGACCAGGTTGGTCTCGAACTCCTGACCTCAAGTGATCTTCCCACCATGGCCTCCCAAAGTGCTAGGATTACAGGCGTGAGCCACCGCACCCAGCCAGAGTGGGGTTCTTAATGTCCTCATTTAACAAAATAAGAAATTGGGGCTCAGGGCTCTGGAGGAGATGACAGAGCCATGGTTGTGCCACTGCACTCCAGACTTTGCCCTCTGTCTATTTCACGAGGGAAAATGAGATCACAGGAGAGTCCATTGCTATGTCTAGTCTTAAAGGAGTCAGGGAACACCTGTGGACAATTGGAACTGTCCCTCACCCCTGTTCCAGCCTCCATTCACTGGCTGCCTCATTCTGAATGCTGGTGTGACCCAGACCTCTGTCCTTGTCCTGGTCTCCATCCACATACCCTCCCTGGGTGATCTCGCCCAGCCCCAAGGCTTTAACTATCACTTATATCCTGACAATGGCTACATTTCTATCTCCAGCCTGACCTCTCCCTGGAACCTCAGGATTGTGGATGTGACTGCCCACTCAACATCTGACTTGGGTATTTAATTTGACATTGAACATGGCCAAAACCAAACGCTCCATCTTCTCCACCAAAGCAGCACCCCACCGACCCCTGCCATCTTTCCCATCGTGGTTAATGCCAACTCCAAAAATCATAGATTATAGGCGTGAGCCACTAATAGAGTCGAGTCGTGTTTAACTCTATTTCACTCTATTTCACCCCTAGATCCTCTGCAAATCCTGCTGGCTCCATCTTTAGAGCATATCCAGAATCAACTGTTTCTCTCCATCTCCTCTGGTATCACCCTGGCCCAAGTCATCAATGTCTCTTGCCTGGACTAGTGCAGTATCCTCCTCATAGGTCTTACTGCTTCTGACCTCACCCTGCTCTTAGTTTACTTCCCATAGAGCTGTCAGAGGGATTCTATTAGAACCTAAGTTAGGTCATAGCTCTCCTCTGTTTAGCTCCCAGTTCATCCAAAGAAAAAGCCAAAGTCCTATGGTCAACTATATGGCTCATACATCTGGTTTTCCTCTCCTTTCTAGATGCATCTCAACTACCCTTCCCCCTTGCTGTTCCTTGAACAAGTGGACACACTCCTACCTCCAAGCCTTTGCACCTGCTGTTCCTGCTGCCCGGAACACAGGTGGGGCCCACTCCCTCACTTCTTTCAGTTCTTTGCTTAAATGTCACCTTCTCAGGGAGGCCTTCTCTCATCCCCTCCAGGCATGTGCTGGCCCCAGTGCTCCCTGTTGTTTAATCCATTTTGTTTTTCTCCGTAACTCTTACCATGATCTGGCTGACTCTGTCAACTTATTGGGGGTCTTTATTTATTGTCTCTTCTGTCCCTAGAACGTAAGCAACAGGAGGACACAGAGTTTTGCTTTATTCACTATTCTAGTCCCAGTACCTAGAACAGTCCCAGGCATTCACGGTGAGGTTTCTCTCAACCTGGAGTCCAAAACATATACTGGAGATATTGATTCATTCAATGATTATTTACACATGCCTGGTGCTGTTTCAGCGCAAGGAAACAAGATTCCCACAGCCCACCTGCAACACCTGGGCAGTGGCTTGGCATGGCTTGGCAAAGAATCACAGAGCCATCTGGGTGGCAAGATCTGGCCAGTAGGGTGGGAGCAGAAGTGATGTATAAAACTTCCAGCTCAGGGCCAGGCACAGTGGCTCACACCTGTAATCCCAGCACTTTGGGAGGCTGAGGCTGGTGTCAGCTGAGGTCAGGAGTTCGAGACCAGCCTGGCCAACATGGTGAAACCCCATCTCTACTAAAAAGACAAAAATTACCTGGGCGTGGTGGCAGGTGCCTGTAATCCAACAGTGCCTTGCACAGAGTGAGCACTCAAAAAATGGGTGTGGTGCCTCACACCTGTAATCCCAGCACTTTGGGAGGCTGAGGTGGGAGGACTGCTTGAGGCCAGGAGTTCAAGACCAGCCTGGGCAACATAGTGGGATCCCCATCTCTACAAAAAAAATAAAATTAGCCAGTTCTGGTGGCATATGCCTGGGGTCCCAGCTACTTAGGAGGTGGAGATGGGAGGAGTGTTTGAGCCTGGAAGGTTGAGGCTGCAGTGAGCTGTGATTGTGCCACTGCACTCTAGCCTGGGTGACAAGAGTGAGACCCTATCTCAAAAAAAAAAGGCTCAGGAATGGAATTTGCCCTGGAAATTTGGAAGGCAGGCTGCGGCTTAAATGGCATTTGGAGAGGGTGTGGCTGTTTGTGTTTCTGCCGGCTACAGAGGAAACCATCAGCTTTCAGTAAAAGTTACCACTGGGGTTGCCAGGTGTCTGGATTTGGACTGGGCAGCTTTATTTTTGAGCTTTCAGTTCTGGGAAAAAAAAAATAACCCAGACATATAAATGTGTGTCCAGTATGTCTGTTGAAACCATCTGGCATTCCTGGCTGCAAAATTTCAAGATATTTCCTCCAGGTCGATCTCTGGCCTTGACGAAATTGCAGAATTTACCTTCTATGTATCAGTCTCTTTCTGAACCCTTTTCTCAACTTTTACTCCCAATCCAGCCTTCACGTTATAAACCTTAGGTCTCTGCTCCATTAGGAAAGCAATAGGGTGAAGACCAGCACCCTTCTGAGGCATTTGCATTTTTTTTTTTTTTGAGACTGAGTCTCGCTCTGTCGCCCAGGCTGGAATGCAGTGGCGCTATCTCGGCTCACTGGCTCACTGCAATCTCCGCCTCCCGGGTTCACGCCATTCTCCGCCTCAGCTTCTGAGTAGCTGGGACTACAGGTGCTCGCCACCAGGACCGGCTAATATTTTGTATTTTTAGTAAAGATGGGGTTTCACCGTGTTAGCCAGGATGGTCTCAATTTCCTCACCTCGCTATCCGCCCGTCTCGGCCTCCCAAAGTGCTGGGATTACAGGTGTGAGCCACCGCGCCCGGCTGGCATTTGCATTTTAAAAGTAGCAAGAAGTCAGGTCAATGCTTATTTGAAAGGATAGGGTCGGCCAGGCGCCGTGCTCATGCCTGTAATCCCAGCATTTTGGGAGGTCGAGGCGGATGGATCACCTGAGATCAGGAGTTTGAGACCAGCCTGGCCAACATGGTGAAATCTTGTCTCTACTAAAAACACAAAAATTAGCTGGGCGTGGTGGCGGGCACCTGTAATCCCAGATACTTGGGAGGCTGAGGCAGGAGAATCACTTGAACCCAGGAGGCTGAGGTTGCAGTGAGCCGAGATCGCGGCATTGCATTCCACTCTGGGCAACAGAATGAGACTCCATCTCAAAAAAAAAAAAAAAAGAAAGAAAAGATAGGGTGACCATAAGGTCCAAAATGGGATGTTATACATTTTATTATCTTTTAATACAAGAAGTCTAGAGGCAGGGTGGTTCCATGGTTGGTTAATTCAGGATCTCAGTGACATCAAAGATCCAGATTCTTTCCATCTGTCATTTTGCACCTTCAGTTAGTTAGAAGTGTCCTATCTCAGGGTCTCAAGATGGCTGTCATAGCTCCAGACATCATGGCTTCATCCACTTACAATAGCAAACACCCATCCAAGGATCGGGCAGCATACTATGCACTTTGGATCTATTAAATATTTTAACCTGCACAACAACGCTGTGAGGTAGAAGCTCTTACTGACCCCATTTTACAGATATGGATATTGAAGCCCAGAGAGGTTAAGTCACTTACACAAAGTGACACAATTAGGAAGCAGTGGGACTGGGATTTGAAGCTGAGAAGCTGGTCTCTGGTGCTACAACAATGTCCAAAGGCTGGAGAAGAAGTCGTGCATGTTGGTGGCAGAGTGGGATTGGAACTGAGGGTCCTAGATGTTTTCCTTTCTGCTTCCTCAAAGCAGTGTCTCCAATGCCTCCTGGCAAAAGTATGATTTGGCAAAGCTGTGGAGCCCTGACTTAATTGGATACCTATTATGCTTAAATCAGACCTTGAACCAGAGCCCCCTGGAGAATGTGCTTCCAACAGCAAGGCTTCCCTTAGAGACGTTTTGACTTGGGCAGCTGGGGGTAGCTCAACTACTAGGAAGACGATTATATTTTGGTGGGAAGAAGTGAACCCTGGGCTGTGTGTCCAGCGTTGATTTGAGTTGTCCAGCTGCTCTAATTCCAAGGGTGGAGAGGCCTCCCTCTTCTTCTCAGACAGCTGCTCTTGGTTCTCAGAATGAGGAACAGCCCTGCTCTGGGCTGCTGGTCTGACTTTTGAGAACTCATTTGCATTTGGGAAATGATGGCACCCTCGGGCAGTGCAGTAACTCACTTCTCAATTGGCTCATTCAACTTGGGATGGGAAAGAAAATCACTTGTTTTTCCTTGCTTTAACTTAATTAGTTTTCCTTTTAAACAGAGCTTGGGAAGGGGGCCTTCAAATCCTCAGCCTGCAGAAGCTGACAGGGGCTTGTCAGGGAATAAGAAACTCTGATGTTTCCAAGCAGCAGAATCTTCTCCCCCTCAACTGTGAAACTTATGTAACAGAAACGAAATGGTATTTCCCACTATTTGCAAAGTACATGGCAACGGAAACTCTAAAATTGTCCCTGCAAAAGAGAATTTCCCTATCATTATCATCACTTTTTTTTTCTTCCCCCTGAACTGCAATTTTTTTTTTTTCTTCTTCCTCCCTGTTCTTTTTGAGAACGTTACCCAGCTGCCGGCTGTTTCAGGCCCTGCCCTGACATACACATGAGACAGATAGGCTCCCCACTAGATATTCCGGACGGGTGATGGGGAAGAAGGGAATAGAGGTCAAAGTTGAAATGGGGATAGGAAGAGATCTACTCCAGCCTGACTGCTTAGTCATGTTTGGTTTAGGGAGTTGCCTATGCCAGGATTAGCTGGGAGGCAGCCAGGTTTTGAAGAGAGGGAGTCCCCACTGATCCCGCCAAGGCTGAGGCCCCTGGCTGAATCCTGATGGCTGAATCATGACACTGGGGTAGTGACCTGAGGCAGAGTCCTGGAGGTGCCACCAACCAATGGTGCTTCCCCAGGCCCATCCCTTGCAGGCCTTAGAGAAGCTGAAAGGACCTTGTTTATTTATTGTCCTTCTCTCCCTGCTCTTGACTGGACACACCAGGAAGCCAGGGACCTTATCTGTTCTGTTCACTGCTGTATCCCTGCCTGGAGCATAGGAGGCCCTCAGTATATAATAGTTGAATGCATGAGAGGAGGAACTTGTCTTCATCCTCACCTATCCCCCTTGCTGGAATAATGCCGGCAGCACAAGGGCCTCAGCTGTTGGGGTGCTCAGTGCTGCAGCCTCAGGACCCCGCCCAATGCCCAGTGTGTAGTAGATGCTTGTGGCCGACACTTATAGATGCCCACCATGCTAGCTCCTCTTCTCTCTTGACAACAGATCTCCAAGTTGTCTGGGCAGCCTTGTGCCAGGGGACTAAGCAGGTCTTTTCTAAGTTGATGGTGGCAATCTATGCCCTCGGTCAGGGACTTTTCAAGGGTGACCATGGCTTCTAGTGCTGACCTGCTGGGAGCTTAAGTTTATTCCCCCAAAGAGAGAAGCACAGAGGAGACAGAGTCTTCTTCGTACTTTTCTTTCCTTCATTGGAGGTGTGTGAGGAGGCAATGTTGCTGTTTCAGCAGCCATTTTGTGCCTCTGAGGCCCTAAAGCTTGGGAGGAAAAGCCACCATGCTGAGGATAGGAGGGTCAAAGGTGCCATGATCCTTGATGACATCATGAAGTCCTACACCAGCCTCAGGAACCAACTGCCTCTGGACCTCTTGCTAAATAATGTCCTTATGCTTTAAGCTATCAATAGCCCAGTTTTCTTCTCCTTGCAGCCAAATGCATCCTATTAGATTCAGCACTCAATCCACGCATTGTAAAAGACTTCACTTATTGAGCACCTACTGTGTGCTCTAAGCACCCTCCATGTATGCACTCAGGAACCTTGCAACGACTTTATGATGTAGGTACTGATATTATTCTTAGTTCACAGATGAGGAAAGCAAGGCACAGAGAGCTTAAGTATGTTACTAAACGCTGTATTATCTTTTAGTGTCATCATTACCACTGGGGATGGGGATGGAAGGGGAAAAAGATCCCAGCAGAATCTGAGGAAGTAACGATGTATAAAACATTGGGGTGGGCCAGAGATGGGACCCATCCACAACGTGGAAATGTTTTTTGGCAGTGTGGGCCAATTCTTGGGTGAAATGTGGGATTTGTGTGTAAACTTGAGGCTAACCTTCCTTGGTCATGGGCTGAGAAGGGAACTAACATTTGTTGAGCACCTACTCTGTGCCAGCTATGTGTGTCAGGTACTTTACATCAGTGGTTCTCAACAGGGGGCAATTCTGTCCCCAGGGATATCTGGCAATGTCTGGAGACACTTTTTCTGTTTATTTTTGAGGCAAGGCTTACTCTGTTGTCCAGGTTGGAGTGCAGTGGTGTGATCACAGCTTACTTGCAGCCCTGACCTCCTGGGCTCAAGCAAGCTCCCCACCTCAGCCCAGCAGCTGGTACTACAGGTGTGTGCCACCATGCCCAGCTAATTTTTAAAATTTTTTTGTAGAGACAGGGTCTTGCTATGTTGCCCAGGCTGGTCTTGAACTTCTGGGATCAAACAATCCTCCCACTTGGACCTCCTAAAATTCTGGGATTAGAGGCCGGAGCCACTGTGCCCAGCCTGGAGACATTTTTGATTCTCAGATTGGGGAGGGAGTGCTACTGGCATCTAGTGGGTAGGGGACGCGGCTAAATGTCCTGAAATGCACAGGACACGCCCCTCCCCCAACAAAGAGTTATGTGACTCCAAATGTCAATAGTCCCAAGGTTGAGAAAGTCTGTATTGCATAGAATTCGCTCTCACAAAGACTCCCCTTTTACAGATTAGACGACTGAGGCCCAGAGAAATAACGTGTCTTGGCCAAGGTTACCCTGCCAGTTGGATTTGGACTGGGATACAAATGCAAGCCCGCTTCATTCCATGGTCCATTATGTTCCAGCCATGTTCTCCCCTCGTGGTAGACAGAATTAATTTAAAGATGAGGAAACGGAGGCTCAGAAAGGTACCGTGAACAGTTTAAAGTCACAAAGCAGAGATACTCCAGAGGCCTTTATTAGGAATAAAAATATAAATAAAAAACCAGCTACCTTTGGACACAATTGACTCCACTACCCAAGCGTGACAGGCTCACCTATCTCATGTCCTTTACTCCCTGCCCAGGGGAACTTCACTCAGCCCAAGGCCCAGATCAAATGCTACCTTGCCCATGATCCCAAAGAAAGAAGTCAGAGAGGGCAGAAGCCACCCCATTCTCTCCCTGTGTCCTTAGGCACTTACAGTATTGAGAGGCCAATGGGAGGAAAATCCTAGGCTTTTGGAACAGGAATAAATAAGCAATGTTTCTGTCCATAAAATGACTACAGTCTAGAGGCGGATACTATGTGGATCACTTTATCCCCTGCAGAGACGA
Source organism: Homo sapiens (assembly GCF_000001405.40). NCBI lineage: Eukaryota > Metazoa > Chordata > Mammalia > Primates > Hominidae > Homo > Homo sapiens. Next base: position 48,829,292 of record NC_000020.11, on the reverse strand, counting down.
TACAATCTCTGGTCCGGAAACACGGGTGATTAGGGATTGTATGGGCCATTTGAGAGTGGGGCCAGGCTTAGAGGGCCGTTCACACATGCAATAATAGTAAGAACAAACATTTACAGAGAACTTTCTAGGTGTTGGGCTTCACACATGCAATAATAGTAAGAACAAACATTTACAGAGAACTTTCTAGGTGCTAAGTACTTCCCATGGAACCCCGGGGAGGACCTTGGAGCTAGGTACCATGATCGTTCCCGTTATACTGATGAAAACACTGAGGATCTTGAAGCAAGGAAACCAGCCCAAGGCCACCCGGCCAGCAAGTGGGGAGCTAGGATTTGAACCTGAGCAGCTGACTCTAGGCCCCAGAACTTCCTCCCCTCTCCATACCTTCCGATAAGGCGGGTGATGATCAACATTGCCCAGAGCAACCTGACAAGAAGCTGGGTTTCCCAAGGCCTTATCCCATGGGGTGGGTGGATGGAAGGGGGAGCAGGCAGGGTACCTGCCACTTGATCAATAACTCAAGAGCAGGTAATAATTTCTTCTGGGAAAGGTGGAAAGGGCAGGGTCAGGGGGCAAAGAAGTTCAGAAAGAAAAGGAAGGAAGGAAAGAGAGAGATGGGAAAGGAAACGGGAAAGAGAAAAGTGAGAGCGAGCGCGCGCCACGCATGTTCCTTCCCAAGGTCGTGGTAGCACCGAGGGCACCGCGAGGGCCCGGCGTTCCCGGGAGGGGCCGTCACTGCCCAGAGAGGGGCCGTCACTGCCCAGGCAGCGGTCGCCCCTGACTTCCCGGGGCCGCGGAGGCGCGCGTGGCGGGGCTGGCTTGCCCCCGAGCGGCTCCGCAGCGAGCTTTCCCAGCCCGGTGTTTACTTGGCCCGAGCAGCGGCCGGACCTGCAAGCAGGAGCCTGCGCGCGGCGGGTGTCGCGTGTGCCGGGTGGGAGTGGCGTAGCCCGCGGTGACTGCGGGTTGGGGGGGCGCCACGCGTCCGGGCGCGGAGTTGGTACGCTCGGTTCGGCGTGCGCGCGGCCTCGGACTCCCGGCTCCGCGGGGCCCTTCCGGAGGCTCCCGCCCGACCCCCGAGCTTCCGACGGAGGCGCCGAGCGCCGCGCCGCGTCCCCAGGGGCCCCGTGCACGCGCAGAGCGCCTCTGCGGCCGAGCGCGGCGTGGCACTTGGCAGACGGTCCCTGGCGCGGGGGCGGGGGGCCAGCCGTCTGGGAGCCCCGAGGGCCGCCCCCTCCCGCCCCTCGCCCGGCCCCCGCGCGCTGCCTCCGCCCCCGGCCCAGCCGCCCGGCCCCCAGTCCCGCCCGCCGCGCCGGGAGCCCGGCCCGCCGCTGAGCCCGGCCCGCCGGCGCGCCCCGTCCGGGATGGGGCGCCTGGACGCCTGAGTTGCCGCTCGGCGCGACGGAAGGAGCCGGCGCCGCGCGGCCGCGCTAGAATGGAGGCGCCCAGCGGCAGCGAGCCCGGCGGCGACGGGGCCGGGGACTGCGCCCACCCGGACCCCCGGGCCCCTGGCGCCGCGGCGCCCAGCTCCGGCCCCGGCCCGTGCGCGGCCGCCCGGGAGTCCGAGCGCCAGCTGCGCCTCCGCCTCTGCGTCCTCAACGAGATCTTGGGCACCGAGAGGGACTACGTGGGCACCTTGCGCTTCTTGCAGTCGGTGAGTGTCGCTCGGGAGCTTGGGGACAGCTTTCCCTCCAGCCGCTCGCCCCGCTGCGGTCCCCACAACCTGTGGCCGTGGTCCCCGTGGGTGGAGAATTGCCTCGGGGGCGCCCCGCAGGGCGCGCGGAAAGCGGGGGGGATCCGAGCTCCTCCAGAGCTGTCGCGTCGCCTCCCTCCCTGGCCGGCGCACGGTCCTGCTCCGACCGGGGCTCTCCCGCACTCCACTTCCCCGCGGCGCGCGCTGCCCTTTTGTCTTTTCTTCCCCGTCCCCGCCTTTCAAATAGTTTTAAAATTAGTTACATCCGCGATGCAGGGGCTTGGGGACCCCGGCGGCGCCGGGAGCTGGCGCTCCTGCGTCTTTTTCCCAGGAATAACTACGCGCCCGGTGCACCACTCATCTAGGACATACCGTAGGAGCCCCAGAGCCCAACGTCCCTGCGCGTTGATGGAGTAGGATAAAACCTGAAGCTCAGAGGAGGGGCGGGGATTGACAGAACCCCAGGGTAGAATCCCCCATGCACAGGTTTTTGCTGGAGTTCGGGGAGAGTGGGTTTCGAACTCAAAACTCGGCAGTCCAGGCTCCCTAACTGCATCCACCCCCACCAACTCCCCATCTCCAAGTGCAAAACCACGGCCTCAGACTTTGTAAAATAACAACCGACCACTTACTATGTGCCAGACACCTTACATGTGTCATTAATTAGCAGGTTTAACCTTCACAGGCGGTCTATGAAGTAGGGACGAGTATTTCCCCCATTTTTAATTAAAAAAATTTTTTTTTGAGACGGAGTCTCCCTCAGTCACCCAGGCTGGAGTACAGTGGCGCAATCTCGGTTCACTGCAACCTCCGCCTCCCGGGTTCAAGCAATTCTCTTGCCTCAGCCTCCCGAGTAGCTGGGATTACAGGCACGCGCCAGCCACCACGGCCGACTAATTTTTGTATTTTTATCAGAGAGGGGATTTCACCATGTTGGCCATGCTGGTCTTGGACTCCTGGCCTCAAGTGATCCGCCGACCTCGGCCTCCAAAGTGCAGGGATTACAGGCGTGAGCTACTGGGTCCTGCCTCCTCCGTTTTTAAGATTGGGAAAGTTTAGCTCCAGAGGGGCCGGGTAGCTTGTCTGGGATCGCACAGCTGATTAAGTGGGGGTACTGGGCTTTGAACCGGGACTATCCCAGCTGGTGTTCTAAACCCCTATTCTATGCTGCATTTTTCTTTTGCTTTTTTTCTGTGAGAGGGAGGAAGGGGCCACTTCCCTACTCTCCTAGGAAGTGAGAAAAGTGGCCAGCGGGTGGAGGGGGTGGGACGGGGCAGAGCCTTGGATGGAAGTTAGGAGACTCTAAAGTCTTTAATCTCCATGCCTCCTGCTGGGGCCTCATTTACTCCCCTTCTCTGCTCTAGGAAGTCTTTTAATCCTGGTTCAGGAAGGGCTGGTGTGGGGGTGGCTCTTTCAAAGACCCTAGAGCCAGGCTTTGTAGCTCCTAGTCTTTGGGAGAAAGAGGGAGACTCTGGGGTCCTCTGGGGCTCCTCATGGCTTAGGGGTGCAGCTGAGGCTGTGTGAGATCAGAGTTCCAGCTCAGGGAGGAGACAGCCTTAGACTAGAGCCCTTCTGCCTGTGAAAGGAGATGTACTGGGGGCAGGGGGATGTGGGAGAGGGGGTTGTGCAGAAGCATTGAAAACCATTTGGCTAAAGGACCCTTCTAGGAAGGCCTGTAAGAATAAGGCAGGATTGGCTTTCTTTCCCATCCCTTCTTCTCTCACAGTTTCGGGGGTGGGGGGTGGGGGAAGAATTTGTTCTGTTAGAAGCTGGCAGTTTTTGAATTAAACATGTAGACAACCCTGGTGTCTCTGAGCAATGTCAAATTCTAGGGAACTCCTGACTTCTCCTTCTGAGCCACTCCATGCTCCTCTGCTTGGAAGAGAAACAGGAAATACAAACCAATTTTGATATTAATGGGAAAGAAAATATACCTCTCCCTCCCACGCCCCTGCCCTAGATGGTGTGTTTCATTTTAGAACAGATCTAGATTGTGTTTGAGTTAACTGTGGTTTTAAATCGTCCACGTGTAGAGTAGGAGGAAGCTGGAATAATGGAAATTGATTGGAGCCAACCATTCTTATTATTCAAGAAACAGGAAAAAAAAAGATTTCTCTACTTTCACATTATCTCCTTAACACTTTACATTTGCTGACTTCATCACATTTTTCTTTTTGTATCTGATGTGTCAGTTCTGAGATGAATTGGTTCTGACTTGGACATGTGTCTTGGACCAATCATGCTACGTGTCCTGACCTCAGTTTCCCCACCTGTGAAACAAGGAGCGGGGAATCCGGGCTTCCTTTCTGCCTGGGCCTTTTGTGTGTCCCCAAGCTGGTGCCAGAAACAGACGGATTGTGTAACCTGACCAGCCATACGTTGTTTGTGAGCCACAGGAGTCCTCTCTCATCTTGGCCCGTCAGGAATGGCCCCTAAACATCCCAAGGCATTTTCGTTTTCAAAACTAACCTGGGGCTTAGAGCTTCAGGAACTGCTAATTACCAAGGCTTTCCATGGTTGCAAGGCTGGCAGCCTCAGGTTGTGATTCTCTTCTGTCTTCCCACTCTCTCTTCTCAGCCTTTATATTTGCTAAGGGATTTTCCCTGCTGTCTCCTGGCTTGGAAGAATGCACGGTAATCCCTCCCTGCTTTTATTTCCATGTGGTTAGAGGCAGGCCTTAAAGGACCACCCTGGTCTCCGTGTGTCCTTGGTGTGAAGGTCCCATCGGCCCATGGAAACCGTGGAAAGTAACCCCCGTGATAGGGGCCATGTGTGGCTTCTGTCCTCAAGGAGAGGACGGTGTAGTGGAGGATGGCCAAATGGGTGTTTAAAAAAAACAATCCAAGTGCAAGGCTCTGGAGCCAGACTGCTTGAGGTTAAATCCTTGGACTTGTGACCTTGGGCAAACACCTTAACCTGTTTGAGCCTTATTTGTAAAAAGAGGGATGTTAATAGGTCCTATTTTATAGGTTTTTAAAGAAGATAAGTGAGTTATAGAAATTGATGTAAAGCACTTAGAACAGTGTCTGGCAGTAAGGTATATAAATATTGGTTATTATTGTTGTTGTAGGAAAATTAAATAATACAGATAATTAGGGTTGTGGGACTTCAGCATCCAGAGAGCAGGGGTGATCAGAGAGGGCTTCCTGGAGGAAGTGAGGTCTGAGTTAAGTCAGCACTGAGAGGAGGATGGGGGCTCTGAGTGAGTTTCCTTTTGACACCCTAAACTCCGGCCACAGGAACCAGTGGTTTTGTTTGGTTCCAGGCCGAGGGCTTTGTGGTTCCTTGAGAATCTTCCCATCTTTCCCCATCTCCTTCAGGAACTGGGTTGCACTCCCTCCCTCATCTCCAGGGAGTCCTCTGAGTTTGGTGTTTTGCGTGTGTTTATTAAATAATCATGAAAAGGCAAGGACAGCCCTTTCACAGAGATGCTGGATCGGTCTTGGGGGAAACAGTGCCTGGGGTTTTGACTCAGAACCTTGGCTCGAATCATTTCGAGGCCCTGGCTATGTGGGGTACTCCCCGTGTGCTCTGGGCAGCGTTAGTCATGATGAAAACAATGACAGTCATTGCTGTGCAGGAACTGACTTTGATTCATCACTTGCCATTCTAAGCACTTTGCATGTGTCAACTCATTTAATTTTCTTTATGAAGGGGATGCTGTTTTTATCCCCATTGAGAGGTGAGGAAACTGAGGCAAAGTGAATCTAAGTGAGCTGCTCTGGGTCAGGTGGACAGCATTGCCAGGATTTGATCCTAGGCTGCCTGACCCCACAACTCATGTCCCCAGCCACTTGATAGACCGCCTTTGGCTGATCCAAGAAGGGCTTGGCACATGATTTATTAAGGTGGCAGAACTGGGATTTGAACCCAGGTCTGTGTGATGTTTCACCTCCGCCTGCGCTTCCTCCTGTTACTTGCCCTCTGTGACTCCCATTCTTTTCTCCACAGAATGGGAAGAACTGTGGACGGATAGAAATGGCAGGCTGCCGAGTTCTTGCTCTGGGCTCCGGGTCTGTTCATGGCACGAGGGTTGAGTGAGGCTCTGGAGTCATGCTGCTGGTGTTCAAATCCAGGCTTCTTCCACTTGGACTGTAGGTGACCTTGGGCTGATCACTGACTTGCTCTGTGCCTCAGTTTCCACATCTGTCCAACGGGCACAGTGTAGCACCTGCGTCACAGGGATGTGGTGAAGCTTGCCCCCCACTCCCCTAGAGGAGGCTGAGTAGACCTTGGGCCCACCTGCCAAGGGGAGGCACCTCAGGGGCAGGTGCCAGTAACTCCCATGATGGGGTGTGTCAGCTGGGCAGTGGTCGAAAGAGAAGAGAGGGCCTGGGTGGGTGGGCAGAGAGGCCGGTGGGTGGGAGTTGGTCAGCAGCTCCTCGAAGGTCTCCCCGTGGCTGAGGACAGAGAGCTATAGAGACACAGAGGGTCTGCCCGGAACCGACCAGGATGGGAGTCTCTGAGGAACAGGGATTGTGGGCAGAAAGCTCCCAGAATGCTTTCTGTGGTTCTGCTTTTTGGAGGGAGGAGACAAAAGTTTTTCTTCTCATTGGAGCTCCGCTTGCCAAACAAGAAACTGTGGTTTTTTGTTGTCACTATTTTTTTTTCTGTTTTAAAAGATTCTGTACTCCTAGTCTCACACTAGGGAGAAATGCCACGGGTGGTTGGGGTGGGGGCAGGTCTTTGATTTCACAGTCATTGAGGCAGAGGGACCTCCCCAGTAACTTGGGGGGATTTTCACGTGGTCCTCATATGAAAAGTAGGATGCTGAGAGGTATATGTAACACAGTTCTTTTGGAAAATAAACAATAACCATAATATACACGTGTGTTATATGTATAAGGTGACATTAGGTTGGAGAAAAGGATGGAAGGATGTGTATCTTTTACAGAAAGGCAACCAGGAAGATAAGGAAGTAAAATCCTGTTTATAATACCCTTTTCATATAAAATTATGCATATGTATGCGAATATATTTTTTAAGAAGCCGACAGGAAGAATTGTATTTTCAACATGGTTATTAGATTAATGCAACAGTAATAATGGTAACAATTTGCTAATATTTATATACTTGCAAGCCCTGTTTATAAGTTCCTTAAGCATTAACTCAAAAGTTGCAGGTATTCTTATGCTTCCTGTTTTACAAATGAAACAAAGACACAGAGAGGCCAAGTCAGTTTCCCAAGGTCACACAGCCTGACAGAACTGGCACTTGGACCCAGGTAATGCGGCTGCATGGCCCACATTCTTCACCACTATCCTGAATTGCACCAAAATGAGGCTGTGTTCATGAGCAAAATTACTGCCCCTGTGAGACCTCTGGGCTGCCCAGGTGGGCAAGAATTAAGTCAAAAAGTCCACCTTATTTCAGTTTTCAGATGCCGGAGAGCCTGGAACAGGCCACCTTGTGTTGGGCTCATCATCATCAGGAAGTCAGTGAAAATCTTTTGATGGTAAAAACTGAGTGTCAGCAGGATTTAGATGGGTTACATTTTTTTTAATGTATGGCAGACAGAGAGCTCTGTACAGATAAAACCATGAAGATATGAGACTGCTTTTCTCTGTGTGCAGGTATTTATGGAGCATCTGCTGTATATCCTGGGCAGTGTTCTGGGCCACGAGAATGAAGTCATCAACAGGTCGTTGTCCTTATAAGAAGGACAACCCTGTGGGGATTCTACAACTCATTCTTCAGACAAACCTTCTGGAAGCCTACCTACTTTTATTCTGGTGTTTGCCCTGGTAGCAATTTAACTGTCACTTTAAGAAGACGCGAATGGGGTTGGTGTCTCTGGCTTTTGAGACTTCAGGGCACCCCTTTCTTGGAGAGAAAGATACTCCTTTATCAGGCCAGAGAGCTGAAGACCTGTTGGGCTTGGGGCCACTCCCTTTAATAAAGAAACCCACATCCTATTTGCTTCACAGCCGCTCTCCCTTAAAGGTTTTGCAAGAGTTTAAGTGTTTGAAGCAGGTCATGCCTGGCTGCAGGAGAACCTGACCTCTCCAGATTTTTGGGGCTTTTCTTTTTTTCCAACAGACACAGGCATGCTGGCTAGAATACTGGAGGGAGGTGGGTGATAGGGTGGGCTGCCCCTCAAACCTGTGTGCTGTGTCCCACAGCATCATTCCCCAGACATGGGGCCAGGTCGGAGCTGATTCCTGCCCTGCGTTTCGGAGATCTTGAACAGAAGCCAGGTGGGTCATTCGGTCTGAATCTCCTTGTTTTGCAGGTGACATAAATTGCGTCCCCAGAGGGGAGGTGAGCACCAGTTAAGGGCAGTAGCCACTCAGTTTGTTAGAGTTCCATCCCCAGATACCTGGGAAGAGAGCTTGGTGGCCCACATCCTTTTCTGGGGATCTGTGTTTTAGCCAGGATCAAAAATCCCCCCGTTTTTTTTTAAGATGGAGTCTTGTACTGTCGCCCAGTCTGGAGTGCAGTGGCGTGATCTTGGCTCACTTCAACCTCTGCCTCCCGGGTTCAAGCGATTCTCTTGCCTCATCCTCCCGAATAGCTGGGACTACAGGCACGTGCCACCATGCCCGGCTACTTTTTGTATTTTTTTAGTAGAGACAGGGTTTCACCATGTTGACCAGGCTGGTATTGAACTCCTGACCTCAAGTGTTCTGCCCGCCTTGGCCTCCCACAGTGCTGGGATTATAGGCGTGAGCCACCATGCCCGGCCAAAAGTCCCTCTTGAAGAGGTTTCACGGGGTCATTTCTGGCCCTAGCGTTGGTCTGGAGCAAATCCCACTAGTCTCTCAGCCTTCAGCACTGTCGACATACGGGGCTGGACCATTCTTTGCTGTGGGGGTGCTGTCCTGTGCATTGTAAGATGTTTAGCAGCATCGCTGGCCTCTACCTACCAGATGCCAGTAGGACCCCTCTTCCCCAGTTGTGACAACCACAGATGTCTCCAGATATTCCAGGTATCCACTAGAGGTGGTTGGGTGTGAAAAATAGCCCCCAGTTGAGAACCACTGGGCTAAAAGCTCCTTTGACTACCACCTGTGCTCTCAGATCGTGTGGGGGCATTAGCATGCCTGTGTGGAAATACGTGAGATTGATGTGTTTATGTAAGTAGCATAATACGGTTTGCCCTTTTCACCCAGCAGAGTGTCTGGGAGGCTCCCTCTCTTGCGGTTCATGGTTTAGAGCACAGACTCTCGAGCCACCTTGCCTGGGTTCAGATCCCAGCTCTTCCCCTGTGTGACCTTGGGGATGTTGCTTTGCCTCTCTGAGTCCTGGTTTCCCCATCTGCAAAATGGGGATGACCCCAGCACTCCTAGGGTTACTCTGGGGAGTACAGTGACTGTGTGCGGGCTCACCCCTCCTCCCGGAGGAAGTCCCAAGGAAGAAGCAGAGCCCTCCAGCCTTCCAGCCCTGTGTAGATTTTTGAGCTTATTTTTATTTTCTTGGCTCCTTGAGGACCAGAAGGGAATCTGTCTGCTCTTCTTTTGTCTTGTGGTCAGACACTCAATCTGTGTTTACCCGCCTGATTCCTTCCCCAGGATGGAACTGACAGACGATCCCTTGATTCTGGGCCAGGGGAGGCGAGACTATTTCAGGCTGGCGGGACTGGGGCCACTGAAAGCTGGTGCAGGCAGGTGGCCATTGGCCGTCAGGACCCAGGGTCTTGTGCTTCCCCCCTTGCTGGGAGGGTGGGTGGCTTCTGTGCATCTCTCAGGAGGAGCGAGGCCGGGGTCAGGGTGTGGGCAGTTGATGCTTTCATCCACTAATCGACTTATTCATTCAATAAATGGCCATTCAGCACCCACTGTGTGCCAGGCACTGTGCTAGGTGCTGGCATGTGGCTGGAACAAGACAGACAAGGTCTCTGCCCTCAGGGAATCTTCAGACACCGCAAAAAGAAATCCCTTGAGAAAAGGACCAGAGTTGTCATAATAAGGACACCCACTGAGGCCTTGCTCTGTTCCAGGTACTGTGCCACATGCTTCTTGAGCCCTTGCAGCAACTCCCTGAGGTCAATATCATCATTATACCTATTTTGCAGATGGGGAAACTAAAGCCGGGAGAGGCTGAGTAACTTGCTGAAGTCCACACAGCTGGGGAGTGGATTCAGACAGAAGGAAATAAAATGAGGTGATGTTTGTGACAGGGATGGTCGCATCTACTTTAGATGGGATGGGCAAGGAAGGCTTTTCTAGGGAGATGACATTTGACCAAGTCCTGAAGGAGGAGAAGGAGCCCTGGTGGAAAGAGTGGAGAAAAGTGTGTTCCAGGCAGTGGGAGCAGCAGATGCAAAGGCCCTGAGGCAGGACTGTGCCAGGCTTGTTTGAGGAACAGTAAGAGGCCAGGGTGGCTGGAGGGGAGAGTAAGGGAGATGAGATTGGCATGTTGGTGGGGTCCAGGTCGCATGGGCCTCAGATGCATGGTGAGCAGTTTGGGTTTTATTTCTGGTGGTGTGAGGAGCCACCAGAGTGCTTTCAGTTGGATATGGCATGGGTCAGTTGGTGACGTGGAAACCAAGACTGTGCAATGGTCTTACTAAGGTCTCAGAGAGGAATGGGTGTACCGTCCCCTCCCACAGCAGATCCCCTGCCTGCTCCCAGGCTGCTCTGTGACCTACGGCTGGTTCTGTCCTCTCTTTGGGTTTCAGCTTTCCTGTGGGTACTGGGTTACCAAGTAACCAGGGCAGGCTTCCTGGAGGAGGCCAGTGGACCCAACCACACCCAAAGAGGAGTTTGGGCCCCCATCTGTGGCCAGAATGTGGATGAGCTGTGAAGGCAGCTGCCTCTGGGCTGGGAGGGCTGTTGATGCGAGATGAACCTCTGCTTCCTGAGACAAAGGAAGGTGCCCCTTGTTTTCTGTTCAGGAAACTCATTTGCATAATTAAAAACTGTTTGGCGGGATCGGTACTCCACCCTCCATGCATAGGCATCATAACAGCACTTTACTGTCTATTAGCTCTCACCTCTGCCCTGTGGGGGATGGATTTTTCAGGCCCACTTCCTGCATGAGGAAAATAGCTGCAGAGAGGGGAAGTGGCGTACCTGAGGACGCGCAGCCGGGAATGGCCAGGGCCGTTGCAGTTGACTCTTTTGATCTCGCCCTGGCCTCCCGCATTCTGTTCTCCTTACGCAGTCAGAGGGATCCAGTGAGACCCTAATCAGTTACAGTTACATCTCACTTAGCATAAAAGCAGTCCTTAGTCTGGCCTGGAATGTCGCACAAGACCTGCCCCTCTTGGCTCTCTCAGCTCCTCTTTCATTACTCCTTTTTCCCCATAAAGTTTTAAAAACTGAGATGTGAATTCACAAATCATAAACCTCACCCTTTCAAACTGTACGATTCGGTGGTTTTGAGTATATTCACCAAGTTATGCAGTCATCCCCATTATCCAGTTCCAGAATCTTCTGGGTAGCTCTTACCCCCTCGCCCACTTCCTCCAAGCGCATTTGCCTTTTCTCAAATGCACCAAGCACGCACCTGCCTCAGGGCCCTTGCACCTGTGCTGTCTGGAATGCGCTCCCTCCCACCTCCCAGTGTCCCCGTGGCTCAGCCCTCCACCTCCTTCAGGCCTTTGCTCAAAATCATGTTCTTGACTGGGTCTTTTCTGACACCGCACATCCCCACCTCACCATTTCTTCCTTTGCTTGCGTTGTTTTTTTCCCACTAGCTAACACACTGGACATTTTACTTATTTATTACTTATTGTCTGCCTCCCTCGCTGGAATGTCACAGGCATGCCAAGAGAATAGAGATTTTGATCTCCAGCACCAACAATGCCTGCTACATAGTAGATGCTCATTAAGTATTTTTTGAATGAAAAAAATTGCTTCTATATGTGCCTATGTTTTATTACATGATGTGATTGTTTTGAATTATATAATTGCTAAGCATTTTTGTGCAGACTTCTGGGGACTAAGATGGTCTGGTGTCTTTTGACTATGTGGGTATGTGAGCTGGGGGATTTTGCACAGGAGAATTTTTTACAGTGTGGCATTGTGCTCAAGTGCCAGGGGCCTAGCCAGATTGTCTGGGTCTGAATCTTATCTCTGCGCCTCAGCAGCTGTGTGACCTTGGGCAAGAAGCTTTCCCTCTCTGAACCTTGGTTTCCTCATCTATAAAATATGTTGAGACACTTGGCTCACTGCCTGGCACCTGAGCAGGCCCCAGTAATTAGTGAGGTTATTTTTAAACATTCTGTTTTAGAATCTTAGTATTTCCCTACTTTTTGCAGAGGAACAGTTACAGCATATCATCTTGAACACACTGCCTGAGATCCTTCCTGGGACTTGAAATAAGTGACTGAATTTATTTTGACCAAGTGGTCCCTTGCCCTGGACATTGGTCTGTGCACTCTGAAGGCAGTTGGGAGTAACTGGGATGGCTGTAAGTTGGAGCTAGAAGTTGCTGTTCACTCTCTTCTCCAAGCAATCCCTCCGAAGATTGAAAAAACAGATTGGTGTCTCAAAAATACATGACAGCACCTCCCATTGCCCTGCTGTGAAATCCCTCCATGAACCTGAAAGGGCACAGAACACGCTGCTTCCCACTTTCTGGGTGAGGCTGTTACACATCCTGTTTCATTTACAGCCTTGCAGTTTTGCAGATGAGGAAACTGAGGCCCAGAGAGGGTGAGGTCACTTGCCTAGGATCACACAGAGATGGCGTATTAGTTATCTGTTGCTGCCAAACAAGTTACCACACATTTAGTGGCTTAAAATAACGCCTGTTAATTACCTCGAAGTTTCTGTGGGCCAGAAGTCTGGGTGCAATGTAACTGGGTTTTCTACTGAAGGTCTCATGAGGCTGCCATCAGGGTGTTGACCCGGGCTGTGATCTCATCTGATGCTTGGAGCGAGGAGGGTGTGGGGCATGGGAGGGATCTGCATAGGGTTGTTGGCAGAATTTAGTTGCGTGCATTGTGGAGCCGGGGTCCCCATTTTTTGCAGGGTATTGGCTGGTGATCACCCTCACTTCCTAGAGGTGCCTTGAGTCTTAGGGGTGTGGTCCTGCCACAACATAGCCACATCACGGCCAGCAGGTGAATCACTTGCTTTGAATCTCTTCCTTTAGGAAGGGCCTAGAAGTGTACTTGTACTCTTCTCCCTGCTTTATCCCCCGCAGGCGTCTTTTAAGGCTTTACCTGATTAGGTCAGGCTCACTCAGTCAGCTGATTTTGGACCCTGATTATATCTGCAAAATCCCTTCGCCTCTGTCATTTACCAGTCACAATGACAGTCCCACTTACATGAAATGGGAAAGGATCCTCCAGGGCGTGGACACAGGGGGCAGTGATCCTGGGGCCATCTCAGGGTTCTGCCCACCAACAATGGTCAGTGGTGGGTTTGAACTCAGGATTATTCTACTCCAGAGCCCATATTTGTGACCACTGTGCTTTACTTTATTTACTCCCTCTCTGGCCCTGCCCAGAGTGAACCCTGAGTAAGGTGAACTGATTGGCTGTTGGCCTCATTCTGGCTCATTCTGAGCGAGACGGGGCAGGTGGGCTGTATTATGAGGTGTGGTTTCCTCGCTGGTAAGACCTGGTCTCTCCAACACAGTACACAGACCCCCAGCATCTCTCTGTTTTTTTTTTTTTTTTTCCTTTTTTTCTTTTTTTTTTGAGACAGAGTCTCACTCTGTTGCCAAGGCTGGAGTGCAATGGTGCAATCTCGGCTCACTGCAACCTCCACTTCCCAGGTTCGAGCGATTCTCCTGCCTCAGCCTCCCGAGTAGCGGGGATTACAGGCATGTGCCAACACGTCTGGCTGATTTTTGTAATTTTAGTAGAGACAGGGTTTCGCCACATTGGCCAGGCTGGTGGTCTCAAACCCCTGACCTCAGGTGATTTGCCCACTCGGCTGACTCCCAAAGTGCTGAGATTACAGGCAATGAGCCACTGTGCCCGGCCGCCCCAGCATCTCTTGAAATGATTTGCCAACTGGGTTGTTGAAGTTGAAACCAGAGCATCTACCCCATCCTGGTACCCCCGTTACCTAGGAGTGTAGGCTTAGACCTGGCCACGGGACAGATGCCTGACTGCTTTCTCCCAGGGGACATTTACGCCAGATGTTGTCTGTGCTGTTTACTCTGAGTGTGGGGTGGGGAGTGAGGAAGCCCATCTGATTGCATTGATCTCCACATATTAGGGCTTTTCCAGATAACTCATTGTTTAGTGATTTCCAATTTGTGTTCAGAGAACATATTCTGTGGGTTTTCAATCCTTTGAAATTGAGACTTGGTTTATGACCCAGCAGATAGTCTACCTTAGGGACCATTTCATGTACATTTGAAAAGAATGTGTCTTCTGCTGTCGTTGGGTGCAGTGTTCTACAAATGTCATTTGGATCAAGGTGGTTGTTAGTGTTGTTCAGATCTGTATATCCTTACAGATGCTTGGTCTCCTTGTTCTGGTAGTTATTGAGAGAAGGCTCTGGAAGTCTCCATCTGTGACTATAGATTTATGTTTTTCTCCTTTGAGTTCTGTCAGTTATTACTTTTTGCATTTTAAAGTTCTCTTGCTGGAAATACACATTTATGATTATGTCTTCCTGGTGAATTGATCCTTTTATCATTATGAAATACTCCTTTTTATCTCTGATAATGCTCCTTGTCTTGAAGCCTATTTTGTCTGATATTGCTATAGCCATGTTGCCTTTCTTCTGCTTACTGTTTTCCATTTTTTTCGTTTCTGCCTCTGTGTCTTTATATTCCAAGTGCATCTCCTACAGGCATCATATAGTTGGGTCTTGCTTTTCTAAATCCATTCTGACAGTCGCAACCTTTTAATTAGACTGTTTAGCTTATGTATATTTAATGTAATTACTGACAGGGTTCGGTTTAGCTCCAACACCCTGCCATTTCATTCTGGTTTGTTTGCTACGGACATTAACAGCACAAGGAGTCCTCTTCCTCCCCCATCCTCACTCTGCTGGAGGTGGAACATGGAGGTTAATCGAATCCCAGCTCCTTATGATGGCTTAGAAGGTATTATGTGATCCAGCTTTAGCTCACTGTGCAGACCTCATCTCCCCGCCTTGTTCATTCTGTCCAGGCCCCACCACATTTCTTTCTATTCTTGCACTGTATTCAACTGGCTCCAGCCTCTAAGCCTTTTCCTTTGCTCTTCCTATTACCTGGAGCTCTTGGAACCCTGATTTGTACCAAGGACCCCCCTTTCTCTTTCAGCTCTCAGCTCAAGTGCCGCTTCCTCAGAGAGCCTTCTAGTCCCTTTCTCTACGCCACTGCACTGATTTTCTTCTTGACCTGTCACTGCCTGGAATTATCTTGTTGATTTATTTGTTTAGTATCTGTCTCTCCCATTAGAATGTAAGTTGCATGAGGTCACAGCCCTTGTCTGCTGTGTTCATGGCCAAGTCCCTGGTGATTAGCACTTAATGGGGACTGTGTTAGCATTTGTGGAAGAAATGAATGCATGAGCAAAAGGGGCTGAATGGGGCCCACTCTGTGGCAGAGGCCTTCCTGGCCATGACTGTGTCTTGGGAGCATGAACCCACGTGTAGGGGCAGCCGCAGCCTGGGTTCCTTGGCCTCCTGCCCTTACCACACTGGGGAGGGCAAAGGGATTGGAAAGTTTTATTTGCCACGTCAGGGAGCTCTGGGTGGTCTCAGCCACCAGCCAGTGGCCCACCAAGCTGTTGATTGGGTGGTTTTAAAGATTTATTTCCCCTTGAACACAAAGGTAGTAAATACAGTGGAGGTGTCAGTATCAAAAGCACATTCCCTTATGTCTGTTCAGCTACAGGCGCTCTTATGGAACCCAGTATGGTAAAATGATATTTTGTGTGTATACCTGGCTGCATATATTATTCATTTCTACACACATATGGCAGTCTAGGCACAAAACCAAACATGTTGTATTTCTGGGCAATTTAATATGTTCTTTTCAGAGTTAACTTTTTGGTAACTTTTTATTTGATCGCTCCCCCTCTCCCTTTCCTTTCTTCTTCCCTGTCTCCATCATGCACACACACGTTATTATTATTTTGATCTATTTGAGAGTAATTGCAGACAGGATGCCCCTGCAAACCTTGGCATGCATCACTTAGGAAGACAGACGTTCTCTTGTGTAACCACAGTGCCTTCAACAACAAAATCAGGCAAGTCAACATTTATACTAAATGATACAATGCACAGTCTATATTCAGATTTCACTATTTCTCCCCAAGTGTTCCCTATACCCATCTCCTCGCCCATCCCCACCCCCAGTCCAGGATCTAGTCCTGGATCACGCATTGTATTTGGCAGTCCAGCTCTGGTGATTTTGATTGTCCTCAGTAGAGAGTCTCCACTGAGATGTGCTCATGCTTGTCCCAGAGCCAAGCTCTGTGACCAGCTCTGTGACCTCGGGAAGCTGATTCTTGGACCTCAGTTTCTTCAGCTATAAAATGGGGAAATCGCTGTCCCTACCTCATAGACTTGTTCCCTTGTTCCAACACATTGTGTTAAGCACCTACTGTGTGCCTGGCCCAGATGCTGGGATACAGCAGGATGCAGGGCAGGCCGACATCTGGGCCGTTGGGGGTGGAGTAGAGTAGGTGAGTGCTGGGTGTGGAGCCGGCTCCCTAGGACGCCCACCACGTATGACTGTGTTTGCAGTTACTGCGCTCATTTTAGAAAATTTGGGAAATAAAGATGAATAAAAAGATCTCACCCTTCCAAATAGCTGTTTCATCTTTGGGTATATTTCCTCTTTGTTCCTTGCATTTGGTCTGAGCCTGGTACACGACAGCAGGTACTGCTTGTGCATACTTCCTCGTGTCACTGCTAAATGCTCTCCATCAGCAAGCCTTTCATGGCTTCGTAATGAAATGTGGGGGCTGGATCATGGCCACTGTCCAGTTCAAATCCTGACTGCCTGCCTGCTGTGTGGTCAGTGGCCCAGCTGCTCCATCTGTGTGTGCCTCGGTTTCCTCATCTCCTAAAATAGTGCCCTCTTCTTAGATTGAGGGGGGAATTAGGTGAATTAGGACCTGCAAAGCTATCAGAACAATGCGAGGTACATAGTAAGCATTCCATATATATTAGCTATACTTATAAGAATTATTATACTAATATATAATTTAATAATAGCATTCTAGTAAAATTATTATTTACCCATTCCTCTTATATTATTTACCCATTCCTCTTACATTATTTACCCATTCCTCTTATATTTTTTACCCATTCCTCTTACATTATTTACCCATTCCTCTTACATTATTTACCCATTCCTCTTATATTATTTACCCATTCCTCTTATATTATTTACCCATTCCTCTTATGTTATTTACCCATTCCTCTTATGTTATTTACCCATTCCTCTTATATTATTTACCCATTCCTCTTATGTTATTTACCCATTCCTCTTATATTATTTACCCATTCCTCTTATATTGGGGCATTTAGGTAGTTTTCAGTTTTTCACAATGACAGTCCATCTGCATCTTTGTTGATTGCTACCGGTTCTTTTGTCAATTTAGTAACTGAGGGCTGAAAAAACCTGGGTTTAGGACCCTTTGGTCCTTATTAGCCCAAAGAAATTATTAGCACTAGAATCCTGGAAACCGGCTGTTGGAGCTGGAAGACACTGAGACATCATCTCATCCAATCATCTCGCTTTTCAGGAAGGGGAAATTGAGGCACCGAGCTGTTCAGTCACTTGGCCTGGGGATCCCAAGTGGGTCTGCGGTTGAGATGGAACCGAAACCCAGGTTTTCTGACTCCTATTCCGTGATAGTCTGCTTTTGTCCAACAGCTAAGACTCCTTGGAGGACAGAGAGGGAGGTTTAAGTTGTATCCAAATGAGTTGGATGAATGTTTTGTCCTAGGGGATTCCCTTGTCTCTAGGAAACTTCACTTTCAGATTCTTTGACTTCAGTGATCAGTAGTGTGAGGGGTGTGTGTGTGTATCCAGGTCTGGTCAGTAGTGTGCATGCACACGTGTGTGTGTGTATCCAGGTCTGGTCAGTAGTGTGCATGCACACGTACGTGTGTGTGTGTGTGGGGGGGTGTGTATCCAGGTCTTGTCAGTAGAGTGCATGCACACGTGTGTGTGTGTATCCAGGTCTGGTCAGTAGTTTGCATGCACACGTGTGTGTGTGTGTGTATCCAACTCTGGTCAGAAGTCATTGATCGTACCCTTGCTGTGGGCCAGGCCTTGTACAAGCTACTGAGGCCACAGATGTGATGAAAGCAGGGCCCCTCCTTTTACTTATGATCAGAACCACTGGTTCCAAACCCAGGGGTCCTAAGTCCAGGTTAGGCTCATATGTGGGTTTTGTCAGCCTGCACGGGATTGTTTTAAAATTTTTTGTTTAGGCTGGGTACAGTGGCTCAGGCCTGTAATCCCAGCACTTTGGGAGGCTGAGGTGGGTGGATCACCTGAGGTCGGGAGTTCGTGACCAGCCTGGCAAACATAGTGAAACCCCATGTTTAATAATAATAAAAAAAAAATTGTTATTTACTTGCCAGCAATGAAAAATGAAGACATTTCATACAAAAACCTATTATTTCTGGCTTCTTAGTAATCAGAAGATGTGTCACTTGCTCTTCTGCAGGCAACGTTTGGTTTGGCTGGACCTGAAGAGCAGCTGCCCCTTCTGCAGGGCACAGGGCTTCAGTCTTCATTTAGCCACAGTCTCCACCCCTCCATAACATGTTCCTAACACTGAGACCAAACATTGGTTGCCATTTATTATGGCACTTGCCCTGCTGGTTTTTAATTATTATTATTATTTTTTTTTTGAGGAGGAGTCTGGCTCTTGTCGCCCAGGCTGGAGTGCAGTGGTGCGATCTCAGCTCACTGCAGCCCCTGCCTCCCGGGTTCAAGTGATTCTTCTACCTCAGCCTCCCAAGTAGCTGGGACTACAGGTGTGCACCACCATGCCTGGCTAATTTTTGTATTTTTAATAGAGATGGGGTTTTGCTATGTTGGCCAGGCTGGTCTCAAACTCTTGATCTGAGATGATCCACCTGCTTCAGCCTCCCAAAGTGCTGGGATTACAAGAGTGAGCCACCGTGCCCTGCCTTTTTTTTTTTTTTTTTTTAATTGAGGTGAGATCTTGCCTTGCTGCCCAGGCTGGAGTGCAGTGGTGTGATCATAGCTCACTGCAGCCTCCAACCCCTCCTGGGGTGACCTTCCCACCTCAGCCTCCTGAGTAGCTGTAACTACAGGTGTGTGTCACCATGCCCAGCTAATTAAAAAATTTTTTTTAGAGATAAGGGTCTCACTATGTTGCCCAGGCTGGTCTTGAACTCCTGGACTTAAGCGATTCTCCTGCCTCAGCCTCCCAAAGTGTTGGGATTACAGGCATGAGCCACTGTACTAGGCCTGGTTTTTTTTTTTTAATTGTAGAATTAAGAGGACAGAGGAATGTTTCTTCTAACCCTTGCGTGTATCAGATGGAAAACTGAAAGACCAAGAGGGTTATGTGTTTTAAGGAAAGTGGAAGGTAGCAGGTTTCTCTTTGGAAGAGAAGAGTATTCCTGTGTGTTTACTAGGCAAAGACACTCTTCTCTGTTAAAAGGATACAATAGTCATTGCTTTTACTAAGGAGCCGCGCACAGCATTCCCTGTTACCTGCCCAGCTCCTATAGGGGTTTTAAGTTGGAGACTTGTTTTCCAGTTTGTGAGTGGTCCTTCTTGTTCTTTGAGATGAAAAGGGGAGAAGGTGGGTCTCTCTTAGAGGGTGCGAATCTGTTTCCCAGACTTCCACTTCCTGTGGCCTGTGGGCAATGGCTCCCTTCTCTTTTCTGCAACATCAGCTATTAAACAGGAGGTTCCCACATGGTCCGTCCTACTTCCTGCACTTATGCCCCTTTGGGAGAACCTGGGAGGAAGTAGTGGGTTCCTCCAGGGGCGTTAGAGGGTCCCTGCCTGGGCCTCTTCTTAGGTTGCAGGACCCTGATACCATCCCGGTCAGGTTTGGTGTCTTCCTGCTCTTGGGCAGCCTATTGGTGGCCTCTCCCCTGGCCTCGTTTCTCCCTCATCTTGAAGATTTTGAAATAACAAGAACAATAATAAAGACAATGGCATTGCTACCACTGCTGAGATTGGCAAGAGCCGGCTGGTTGTCAGGATCCTTTGGTTGCAAGTGACAGAAAACCCATCTCAAACCACCTTCAGTAAGAATGGGAATTTCTCTCTGTTTCCCTGGGGCAGCTGCCTCCTGGGTGAGGGATGTAGCTCTACCACATGGTAGTGGGGGAGGAGTGGTTCCCAGAAGGAAGCCCCCAGGGTGCTGGGACCAGAAGATGGGGAGGGATGCCAGGTGGGAGCATCTCTTCTCCCCTGTGCTGGTGCCTCGATCCCAGATTGGAAGGCTTTGCCTTCCCCCAAGTCTTGGGTCCCAGGGGAGCCCCGTTGGCCCATGGCCTGCTTGCAGTGGCTCTTGGCCTTTCCATGTCTGACCTCAGAATCCTTGCTCCTATCCTGCCTCCTTGGGAGGCCTTCCTTGACTATTCCAGCTCTCCCTGTGGATGTCATTATAACACTGGTGCCCACATGTGTGAGGAACTGTGCCCAGTGGACACTTTCCAAGCAACATAGCCCCCCAAGAACCTGGTGGGGAAGGTGTTCCTGCGTTGCCTGTTTATTGTGTCGATGAGGAAGCAGAGGCTCAGAAAGGTTCCCTGACCTACCCAGAGTCACACAGCATCTTTCTCTTCTATTGAAGACTCAGCTGTGTGCATTTTGTCTTCCCTGAATCCAGGCTCTGCCCCTTCTAGGGGTGTAACATCAGGAAAAGGACTTTGCCTCTGTCTTTATGGGGAGAGCATTCCAAGCATGGGAAACAGCAAGTGCAAAGGCCCTGAGGCAGGAGCCTGTTTTAGGATCCACACGGAGGCCGGAATGGCCAGGGGCAGAGCAATGGGAGGTCAAGTCAGAGAGGTGGCAGTAGGAGTAGGGAGGCTGGTGGGCAGATTGCACAGGGCCTTGAGGGCCATTGTAAGGGCTTTGCTTTCTACGCTGAGTGAGGTGGTGTCGCTGAGTGAGGTGGTGTTGTCCTTGGAGTGTTTCAGCAGAGGAGGGGCAGATCTGACTCAGTTTTCGCAGGATCCCTCTGGCTACTTGTGCGGGTAGATGATAGGAGGTGGGGTGGAGGCTGAGGAGGAGGCTGCCACAGCAGCCCGGGCAGGAGAGCCTGTTCTGCAGGTGGCTAGATGGCAGTCCACTGCCCCTGCTTTGTCCTCCTGTGCTGCTCACGAGCTGTGTGACCTCGAGTCCTGGCTGCTTTTCTTGGAGCTCTATTTTCTCATCTGCACAGTGGTGTTAATGATGTGACCTCGCTGATGGGGCTGTGGGGATGAACTGCATGAGCTGATAAATGTAAAGTGCTCCCGGAGTGCCTGGCACAGCCTAAGCTCTCAGCAAATGTTTGTGGAGTGTGCCAGTGAGGGGATGGCAGGGAATTTGGGGCCGCTCCAGCTCTGCCCACGGTGCCTGTGCCTGAGGTCAGCCCCAGAGCAGGAAGCACCCCGTTGTTCCCCAACTCTGCCCTCTCCATCCCCACACACAGAGCTTTGAATGAACAGGATCCAGAATGTTCCGACAACAGTGCCCCCCTCCCCTTTCCTACTGACAAAGCCATCTTTGTTACTCCTGGGTGTGAAATCCATTTCAGAAATGAGGATGGTGCAGGCTCAGGAGTCGGCTTGCAAGGATGGGGAGGGGCTTGGGAGGAAGGTGTCCCCATCTTGCTCAGGGCCCCCTGAGTGGACAGCCTGCTCCCCCACACCCCTCTAGCCTCATTTGGGCCCAGAATGCTCTGGAATTGGCAGTGTTTTTTGGAACTGTGTGGAGCTGCATTTCCGCTGAGAAACCCTATCAGTCAACGTCACCTTCCATCCCTTACTGTCGTCACACGTACACAAGAGGCATAATGCCCAGCGCTGGCCTGGCTGCAGGCAAGCAAGCAGTCCCAGAGGACACTGGTGGGAGTGTTCATGATTGCTGCCTTGGGGGAAAATACATTGGCAGTGTCTTTAAAAATAAAAACCCACGATACCCTTTGATTCAGTTCCTTTAGGAACTTCTCCTATAGAAACAAGAAAAAAAAAGTAGGTAAAGATGTAAGTTACAAAGATGTTTATTCCAGTTTTGTTTCTAATGGCAAAAGAAATTGGCAACTCTGTGAGTGGCCGTTAGCAGAGAAAAGTCTCATTAGGATGGTTGTTGATCCACATGTTGGGGTAACGGACAGCTGTTGGAAAGAATGAGGTTGGTCTCTATGGACATGAGGGGCTGTATGTGCTGTACCTTTAAGGAGGGATAAGTTGCTGAGTGAAATGTAGAGCAGGACCCCAATTTTGTAGAGAAAAAAAAACACAAAAAAGGCTCTCTCAATGGGTATTTATGAGTGTGGAGAAAGATACTGCAGGATGTGCACCAGATGTTAGCCTTGGTAGCCTCAGGCTGAGAATGGGGGGGAGTGTAGAAAAAGAATTTTCACTTTATCTTTGTATACTTTTTTGGCATTGCTACACTAGTTCTAATTAACACACTATTTTTCAAATTAATATAGACTAACAATAATTTAAAAAAGACAGTTCCCTGCCAGTTGTCTTTTCCCTCATGTCAGCATGGCTCACCTCCATCTTCAGCTATGTTCTGTTGAGATGTCACCTTGAAGAGGCGTTCTCTGACTGTTCCATGGATGAATGGATATCGGATTCCTTTGAACTGTCCCTATACCTCTTCTGAGAAGCCATTCCTGCTACTCTTATGCATCTCTGACTTCCTTTTCCCCAGCCCCAGCCCTCCATACTGGCACTGAGCCCTCTTCACCTTCTGCCTGCTGTTGGAGCTGTTTGGGGGCCATCTTGACCTTGGTATCCCTGATGCTGAGCCCAGTGCCTGGCATACAGTCAGTGCTCATTAAATGCTTGTTGCTCCCTTGTCAGGGAACTTACCAATCTGAAAGCCCAAAGTCTGAGAGGCGCTGGTATGTTATCTTTCAGTCCCGGCTCCTCCTCTTACTGGGAGTGTGACCTGGGGCAAGTCATTTAACATGTTTGAACCTTAGTTTTGTCCTTAATAAAGTGGGAGTAATAGTAATCCCTTCCTTCTAGGATCATTGTACCTCTGAAATGAGTGATGGTGTGCAAAAGATGTTTCATTTGGTACCTGGCACATAATAAATGCTTAATTATGTTAGCTGTTATTAATAATAATGAACCAAGTCTAGAGTTTAGAACAAACAAAAAATGACCATTTAGAAACACCTACTGTGGGGCAGACCTGTATGTAATATTGGGTCACATAAACCCTCCCATAGGCCTTTGAGAATCAGGATAGCAGGTGTCTGAGCAAGTTGTGCAACCAGGTCCCTTAAGTTCAAATCCAGGCCCTAGATTTGATGAATGGACAAAGATCTTTGTCCTCCTGGAGCTGATGTTCTGGTGGGCTTAGAACAGTGGTTCTCAAACAAGGGCAGTTTGGCCCCTCCCCCAAAGGGGACATATGGCAATGTCTGGAGATATTTTTGGTTGTCACAACTGGGGAGGAAGGATGTCTGGACTCTACCTGCTACTGTCATGAAGCAGGTAGAGTCCAGGGATGCTGCTGAACGTCCTACAGTGCCTAGCACAGCCTTATCACACAGTATTACCTGGCCCCAATTGTCAGTGGCACTGAGCGGGAGAAGCCCTGGTCTAGAGCAGTGTCTGGCACATCCTGAGAGCTCAGCACATGTTCGCTGCTTTGGCGGCAGTGATGATGGAAGTGTTTCTGTATTTGCCACCTGTCTTACAGGTGGGGACATTGAAGCTTGGAGAGGTGTTACAGCTGGTTCTAAGTCTCATTGTCAGTTGGCACTGGAGCTGGGATTTGAACCTGGGTCTCGATCCCTGAGGCTGAGCCCTGTGGCTGAGGTGGGAGCAGGATGCCCCATCCCTGGTGTCTCTCTCAAGAGTTGGTGGCTGTTGGGGGGCACAGAGGGGTGAGGTGGGATTCTGGGCTTGGGGCTGGCCTGTAAGTCCAGGAAGAAGGGAGCCCCCGGTGCTGAGGGGACCCTGGAGACCCAGCCCTGTGTGTGGTGCTGGCTGCCCCTCCTGGCTCCCTAATTCGCTGCCAGCACTTGTTGTCTGCCAGTCACCACAACACTTCGGGCCAAGACATATTCTCAGCCCCTCCCCGTGTGTCAGGTCTTTGGCAGCCGCAGAAGGTAGGGTGGAGGGGGTCTCTCTGTTTCTGCTCCTGAAGAGCTGCACTTGGCAGAGAGCACGTGGTGTCTGCAGCCTGGCCTTGGCCGGGTGGCTCAGCCAGCTGAGTTAGCCTGGATCACCTTGCACCCGCCTGTCCTTCTCTGACTGAGCCTCAGTTTCTTATCTGGGTGATGAGTTGGGGTGGGGAATGCTAATTCCTGCCCTACCTACCTCTTTGGAGCAGGCTAAACAGTGGATGTGAAACTCCATTGTCCATAGCAAGCTGTTCTAGAACAAGGAGTTGATGTCCTGCTGCTATCACCGTTTCTTCTCCCCGGCACATAGCCAGGAGGCTGGTGGGCACTGGCAGCCCGGTGGTAAGGAGATGGGGACCATTTCTTCCCTCTCTTCCTCTGTCACTTCATTATCATTCTGTAGTTGAGCTCATCTTGCTCAATCATTTAAAATGCCCTGCCAGCATTTCTCAAATTTATATTCCTTGCCCTGACCTCTGTCCCGACCTCTAGATGATGACCCGACATCTCCATGAGGGCATTCAGCAGGCATCACAAACTTGCTGCCTCCTCCCCGCCACTCCTCTTGCGGCCCCCTCCTTCCAGTCACTCTGGCACCTCCTTGGGCCATCTTGACGCCACTCTTCCTCTTACATCCCACATCCAACCCATCAGGAAATCCTGTCAGCTCCAACTTGGACAAGCAGCCAGGATCCGGCCACTTCTCACCTCCCATGGGTAGCCCCGGGTCTCAGCCACCATGGTCTCCTGCTGGGACTCTTGCAGTCGTCTCCTCCCTTGTCCCATGCTTCCACCCTTGCCCCTGGTTCTCCACATGTACCCTGCGTAAATCAGGTCACATTCGTCCTATCTGAGCCCCCGCTGCCTCCCACCTCACCCAGAGGAAATCCCAACGCCCTGTAGTCTGTGGTCTTCTGACTCCTTCGCCAAAAGTGCCCAGCACACTCCTGCCTCAGGGCCTTTGCACATGCTGTCCTGTTGGTCGGGAACATTCTCCAGGTATTTGTGCACTCATGACCTCTTCAGGTCTTGGGCCTCTCCCTCTCAGCCCAGCCTTCCCTGGCCTCCCATCGAAAGTCACCCCTCCTCCCATGCTCCCCCTCTGTCTCCCTCTTCTCCGTGGCACTTGTATTTGATTGACTCCTCTGCTTCTTGCCTGCTCTTCCTTCGCTAGAATTTAAGCTCCCAGAGGGCAGGGGGTTTTGTCTCTTTTATTCCCTGTTGTGTCCCCACACCTAGAACAGTGCCTGGCACATAGTGGGTGCTTAGTAGATATTTGCAGAGTGAAAGAAGGACGAGCTATCCAGTCGTTGTCACGTATTTCCTGAAGATTATATTATATCCCAGGCCTTCTTCTGGGCGTCAGAAACGCAGATGACTCAAACAATGGTGTGTGTCCTCAAGGGCTCCAGTCCAGGGGAGAAAATGGGCACCTAAGTGAGACATTACAGGATGATAGGTGCTGTAACAGCTGTATCACTCAGGACTGTTTGGGTTGTAAGTGACAGAAACCCTAACTTGAAGAGTCTGAAGCAAACAGACAAACAAAAAAAGACTTTCTGGGCTTACTTGACTCAGGAGTAATGGCCTCAGGCACAGTTGGATCCAGGTGTTCCCTGGCCTGACCTTGAGGTCATGGACCCATCCATGAACCAAGTATCACCCATCCAGAGGGCCCCAGAGCTCTGATTGCCCACGCCTGGGTCACAGGTTCGTCAGTGTAGATGGGGTGAGGTGCCGGCTGCCCCACAACCACATGTACTAAGAGCAGGACTCAGGGCACGACTTCCAGGATATCAGACCTCGGGAAGCTGCAGAAGGGGTGATGCTATGTGGATTACAAGCTGTTTTTGGCGTGTGTGGCCCTGTGTGTTGCAGGTGGTTGGGAAGTGGAATTGGGGTGCTGCTGGTCTTGGTGACAGGTGGCCCTCCCTCTCCCTGTACATACCTCTTTTGCCCCCTTACCCCACTCCTTGAAAATACTCCTGGCTCTCACTCTGTTCCCCTTCCCTTTATCACAAAGGGGCTCCAGATGGCATGGCTTTCGGGGAGTCTGCCATGCAAATCTGTTGGGTTCATCTCCCTGTTCTCCCTCCCCCACCCGCATATGCTGGCTCTGAGCTTCTTGGATCCTATTTTGGGTCTGAGGGAGGAAGGATGCTTGGGGTCCCTGGATGGGCCTCAGTGCTTTTTCTGGTCTGGCCTGTGCTGCTGGGAAGCCATGTTTTGCATGAGATTGGCCTCGTGGGCCTGCCGTGAGCCTTTTGGTTCCCAGGGATGCCCTGAACCAGCCATGCCTGCTATTACCTACTTATCTGGGGGTTTAAACCAGGATATCGCAAATCTGACTATACCTCTGAACTACCTGCAAACCTAGTTCCAATGCAGATTTTGGATCAGCAGGTCTGGAGTAGGGCCTGAGATGCCGCATTTCTAAGCAAGCTCCCAGGAGATGAGACGCTGATGCCACTGGTCCAGGGAGCACGCTGGGTGGTGGGGGTCTAAGGCGTCTTCTCAGGAAAGCCCCCCTTGGCTTGCCCGCTCCTCACTCCCCAGCTTGGGCCAGGGCCCCTGTTACAAGCTCGCAGAACGGCCTGGCTTCTCTCAGAGCCCTTGTTGCAAAGGGAATGGGGGATTCCCACACCATGTCAGGCATACTTAGAGCTCCAGGAATCTTGTTTTCTGCTGTCTTCATGCTGTCAGCAGATACTGACTAAGGTCCTACTGTGTGCCAGGCATGGGGGAAACAGCAGTGATCAAAACAGATACAATCCCTGCTCTCATATCTCTGATGTTTGGGATGGGGGAGATGAATAATGAAGAAATAACAAATGAGAAAAATCTTGTAAGTGACAAGTGCTATGCAGACAGTAACACAGAGATATGAATTAGAGTCGGGGGCTGTTTTGGATCTGATGATCAGGGAAGGCCTGCCTGTCTGATGAGGTGGCCTTTGAGCTGGGACCTGGACACTGAGAAGCCAGCCATGGGAATTAAGGCAGGAAGAGTAGCCTGTGCAAAGGCCCCGAGGCAGGGATGAGCTTGGCCAATTTCAGGATCATCAAGGAGGCTGGTGTGGCTGGGTAGAGTGAGTGAGGGGAGAATGGGTGGGAGAAGAGATCTGAGCACCATGTGGGGGCTGCATTGGGCAGGGTCTTGGAGGCCATGGCAAAGGGTTGGGCTTTTATTGTAAGAGGTAGAGAAGCTGTAGGAGCATTAGGCCAGGCAGTGACAGTGAATGACTTACCTTTTAAAAGAACCCCTCTGGCTACCTGGCTACCGTGAAGAAAGTAGATGGTTTGGCGGGGGTGGGGATGGGGTGTGTGCAGGGTGTCTTAGTTTGTTTTCTGCTGCTTATAACAGAACGCCTGAAGCTGGGTAATTTATAAAGAAAAGAGATTTATTTAGCTCACAGTTGCACAGGCTGGGAAGTTCAAGGGCATGGCCATGGTGTCTGATGAAGACCTTCCTGCTGCATCATGGCATGGCAGAGAAGGTCAGAGAGAAAGCAGACATGAGTGAAGAGACAAAACCCAAGGGGCGTCTTGGCTTTATAACAACCCACTCTTGGGGAACTAATCCAGACTCCCCAGAGTGAGAGCTCACTACTGTGAGGATGGCACCAGCCCACTCATGAGGGGTCCGCCTCCATGACTCAAACACCTCCCATGCGACCCTGCCTCTCAACATCGCCTCACTGGGGACCAGATTTCAACATGAGTTTTGGTGGGGACAAATAAGCCATAGCTAAACCATAGCAGGGGACAAAGATAAGTGGGGAGACCAGTGAGGAGGTGACTGCAACAGCCCCGGGGAGAGACGTGGGTGTCCTGGCCCAGGGTGGTGGTGGGAGGAGAGGAGCGACTGGATGCAGGACGCAGGCTGGTTTCTCAACAGAAAGCCTATATCCACGGAGGTGAAACTGTGCCTTGGCCCTTACCTACTGGAGGATGGTGCTCTGACCAGAAGGGACTCTGTCGCAGGATGGTTTTAGGAAGCTCTTTGGGTGTCTCTGCGTGGTGGGGCTGGGCTTGCTTCAAGATGACTTAGGGCAGGCAGGTGTGTGGTTGTCAGGCCTGGTGTGGTCTCATTTTCTCAGCAAGAGGGAGAGCCCGACTGGCCAGCTTCTCAGAATTAGACCTTCAGTGTCACCGATGCATGAGGCATGGAGAGTTGCTGAAAGAGGAGATGTTCCTTGGTGCTTACGCAGCTCGCATGGTTTCCACAAAAGACCACGCTGCCTATGATGGCATAGACACTAATGCCAGTACGAATACTGCTACTAGTAGCTGGTTCTTCACACGAGCTAGACCATGTCTTAAGCTCTTCAGCTGCACAATCTTGTGGGATACTCACTGCAGCCTGTGAGGGAAGGATTCTTATTATCCCCATTTTATCCTGGTGATAGGCAGGAACTCTCCAAAGGTTACCCAGCTAGTAAGTGGCAGATTTTAAGCTAACATATCTTTAGAAATCCCATAATTATTTGCATCCACAGGCTGAGTGCGGTGGCCCACACCTGTAATCCCTGCACTTTGGGAGGCCATGGCGGGAGGATTGCTTGAGGTTAAGAGTTCAAGACCAGCCTGGGCAACATAGTGAGATCCTGTCACTACAAAAAAAAAAAATTAGATATTTGCATCCAGAGTGGTTAGGTCATGTGTCATGTATGTTAAAGGCATTGGTCTCATTATAAAGGCCCGTGTTCAGTATGTACCATGGTGCTTGGGGCCTTGTTTTAGCCCTGCCCGAGAGGCTCAGTACATGGATAGCTGGCTGCTTTTGCCATCTGAGAGGCTGTACTCCCTTTTACGCCTCGTAGGTAAGTTCTGCAGCTTCCCTGGTCCTTGGTTTCCTCGTCTGTGACATGAGGGAGGGAAAGAGAGGGAACAAAAGCTCCCACCTCACAGGACCACTGTGTGGTGAGGCTTTGGGGTTTGCATGATGCCGGGCACACATCCTAAGTGCCCAGGGATTGTTGGCTGCTGTCGCTGTTACTATTATTATCTTTATTCTCACTGATAAGTCAAGTGGTAAATAGAGTGACCAACTGCCCCAGTTTGCTTAGGACTGTTCTGGTTTTAAAACTAAAAGTCCCACATCTCAGGAAACCCCTCAGACCTCAGTAAACTGGGGCTGTTGGTCGCCCTACTGATAAGGGGCTTATCAATAAATCCAGGCCCTTAATGTCAGCTCAGCCTGCATTTGAATTAGCCCTGCCACTTCCCAGCGGTGTGACCTTGAGCAGGCTATTTAGGCTCTCTGTGCCTCAGTTTTCCACTTGTAAAACGTGGGGTGATTATAGTAGCTACCTTAAGGGTTGTAGTGAAGTTTAAATGAGTGTAAAGTTTGGTGAAATAGCTTTATTCAAATTCTCCAGAGTCCCACATGGACAGGAGAGAAGCTGAGACTGTTTTGAAGCTCCTTAGGCTCTCCCCTCCGCCACAGCTGGCCCACAAGTCAGGCTGGCTCTGTCCTCTACCACATCAAAGTCCCCCAAGGCCCCCTTTATGGCAGGGGTCTGCTGGCCCCTGGCGCAGAGGCAGATTAGAGTGAGATCCTATCTGGATGGGTGGAGGTGCCCAGCCAGGGAGAGGTACTGGTGGCCACTGATAAGCAGGGCCCTTGTGCCCGCAGCCCCTGCCCCCTCACCCAGGAGAACACGGGTACTTTCTTCTTGGGTTTCAACCCAGCTGGCCCCTCTGCCCTGTTGTGGGGGGACAGAGGCCCGCTTGCCTGCAGGACAACCTCTCTGTACCCCATTTTCCACCTATCTAAAATGGGGCTGGAAAACCCTTACCCATGGGGTACACAGGAAGCCAAGGCCCCTCCAGTCTTTGGCTGTATTATTAACAAAATGCATGTAGGATAAGACTGGGGCCCCAGAGGGTGGCTTTTGAAATACTTAAGTTTGAACCAGCTAACGCTTTTAGCACATGCAGTCTCCAGGGTGATAGACCGCGCTGCTCGGGGCAGGGCCACAGGGTTTATAGGAGTTGCTCTTCGTTTTAGGATGCCACTGACAGTGTGCTTGGGTGGACACAGGCTTAGAGGGATGTTTCGAACGTTTTCCTCTTCCAGGCCTGTCTGCATGTCCTTGTGGTGGGCAGTGGGGATCTCACTTGGGGACTGTGAGGGGCTTCCATGCAGCAAGCTCCTGCCACCCTCAACCAAGTGTATATGAGAGTCTTGAGAATTAAATGAAAGAAAATGTGTGGGCACTCAAGAAATGATAGCTGTTATATTTTAAATTAAAATGCTATTTATTCAGGGCCAGGTGGGGTGGCTCATGCCTGTAATTTCAGCACTCTGGGAGGCTGAGGTGGGCGGATCACTTGATCAGGAGTTCAAGACCAGTCTGGCCAACGTGGTGAAACCCCGTCTCTACTAAAAATACAAAAATTAGCTGTGGGTGGTGGCGCGTGCCTGTAATCTCAGCTATTCAGGAGAATTGCTTGAACTCGGGAGGTGGAGGTTTCAGTGAGCCGAGATCTCGCCATTGCACTGGAGCCTAGGCGACAGAGCGAGACTCTGTCTCAAAAAGAAAAAAGTTATTTAATTCATATTTAGAGATTTAAGTCAGGGTCTTGCATAGATCTGAAGCGATTCCAATTTAATCCCAGCAGGAGGGTCAGATACACAGTTCCTTCTAAATTTAGTCAGGTGAATATAACACCAGGAGATGAATTTTGTTGAGCACCTACTGCATGCCAAAGCTCCTCCACGTGTGCTCCAGGGACTTGGCAGTATCACCGTGGGAGCTTGGGCTCACCTCACATCCACCGCAGCAGAATCTGCTTTTGACAAGGCCCCCAGCTGATTGACAGGTACACTTCAGTTTGCAAGCGCATGGGCTGGGAGGTGGGAAAGGACTTGTCAGAGTTTAAGTGCAGCGGGGAGGCTGGTGCTGGTGTGGAGGGAGGGAAGGCTGAGGAGGGTAATGGGACAGAGCATGCAGGGCCTTCCAGGAAGAGGTGAGGAGCAGGGATTTCCTCCCAGTGTGGCAGCCTGCCGGGGAGGGCTTTAAGCAGAGCAGAAGAGTGGTCTGATGGATGATTTAAAAAGGACCCTTAGGTGTGGGTATGGAGGCTGGACCGTAGGAGCAGCAAGATTGGTTAGGTAGCTGCCTCAGTGTCCAGTGAGGGATGGTGGTGGCTTGGACCAGGAGGTGGATGGAGATAGAGCTGGGTTGGACTTGAATTGGTAGTGGAGGAATGTGGGTGATAAAGTTTTTCAGTGGAGGAGGGGAAACTAGACCTTGACCCATACAACCTGGAAGGCTTCCTGGAGGAGGTGGAGACTTTCAGGATAGATGCGGCAGACTTGAGGACATTCCAGAGGTAGGAACCCCATGGGCAAGGGCAAAAGTGAGTTCATGCAAAAGGCAGGAGATTGACTTACGTGACTTCTTCCCAACCCTTAAAGGTTACAGATGAGCTCAGCGTCGTCCCTGGAATTGCAAAGCTAGAGAAGAGATTAAGAGTCAAAGGCTTTGGGCACCCCCTTGAATGGGGACAAGAAGGCAGCTTAGGGAAAGTCACAGATCCAGGCTGAGGAATCTTGAGGGTCTGAGCACTGGCTCTGTCAGGACTGCAGGCCTGTCATCGACTCTCCTGGGCCTCAGTGTTCTCAGGCATCAGGTGGGGTTACAGCGGGGTGCAAAGTGGATGTGCCGCTGGCCGGGAAAGTCGGGACAGAGCTGCCATTGCAGGCCTGGCGCCCTGTGCCAGGGCCACGAGCAGCTCGCTTTGCCAGACTGTGCTTTCTGGGTGAGAACAGGGTTGTTTGAGGAAGGTGACAAGCGGGGACCGACGGGGGTGTCGTTCTCTTTCTCTCTGGGGAAGATCATTGAGAAAGAGCGGGCACACAGGGGCAGTGAACAGAGACAGCGCTGTGGGCCTCTTTTTTGGGGGGATGGGAGGGGAGAGAGAGCTGGGTCAGCTGTATGGGCCACTTAATACCCATGAACTTGCAATTAAATGCGGAAGTGAGAGACAAGAGGGGTGGTAAAAGGGGATATTGTTCCCAGCTCCTGAGAGGAGGGGGCTGGAGCCCTGGGGAAATGGCCAGCCTCCAACATGAATGGGCTTCAGTGTCCTGGGGGGGGTCTGGGGGGAGCAGGGGGCCGTCATTTGGCCCTTTGTCCTGCTCTGCTGGACTCAACCACAAAGGCCAGCTTGATTCCCATTTGGCTTTTTTCTGGGGAAGTTGTGGTGCGGGGCTGGACCCTAGCTTGGCCACCTCTCAGGGACCCAAGCAAAGAGCTCCCTCTGGTAAAGGGGGATGATAGAATTTAGAGAATTTCCAGAAATGCTTTCCACCGTGATCAGTCCTTTTTCTTCCATTAAAATTTTAAAATTTTAATTATTTTAGGTATATCTTGTATGCAAAATGTACAATACACCAAGTAAACGGCTTGGTGAGCTTATAATAAGATATATCTGAATAACTGTCACTCAGATCAGATATTGCCAGCACCCCAGAGGGTGTCTTCTCCCAGTCAGTATCCCCAAAAGTAACCACTGTTCTGATTTGTATCTGCGAAGATTAGTTTTGCCTGTTTTTGAACTTTATGTAAAATGGAATTATATAGTATATGATCTTTTGTGTCTTTTAAATTAATTTAAAATGTTACAGCTATACATGTGTATATAATTATATGTGTATATAACTGTATATATAACTATATATGTATATATAATTACGCATATACATATATAAAACTATTTTATATACATTTTATATCACATCTATGTTATATATACCATATATGATGTACGACACATATAACTGGATATTTATATATACAGTATATATGTATATGTACACATATAAATATATAAATATATAAATGTGTAATCATTTTCATGGTTCAAATTAAAAAGCATACAGTGAGATAGAATGAAATGTTAGCCTCCAAGTTCCCTCCCCAGAGGCAGCCACTGGCCCCGGTGTCATACAGGCCCCTTCAGATAGTCTGGGTGTACCCCTTTTGTTACACAAGTGGGGCCCACAGTACACGTTTCTGCATTTTGCTTTGTGCCTGTATGATGGAGGTTGTTCCATGATAGCACATGGAATTGCCTCATTTCAAAAATGATAGCTGTATAGAATTCTGTTGAATGGAGGTACTTTTTTTTTTTTTTTAATTATTATTAAATTAGTCCCCTGTTGATGGACACTGAGGTTGTGCCCATCTTTTGC
The DNA here is from genome assembly GCF_000001405.40 of Homo sapiens. NCBI lineage: Eukaryota > Metazoa > Chordata > Mammalia > Primates > Hominidae > Homo > Homo sapiens. The sequence continues at coordinate 48,796,248 of NC_000020.11, read as the reverse complement.
CATTACAAATCATGGTGGGACAGACACATGCCACTTCATACCTGTAAGTTTATTCATTTCTGGGAATGGAATTTCTGGGTTAAAGAGTGTATGTATTTGTAATTTTTCATTAATGTTTCATAACATGACAAATACAAATGCATTCTTCTTGTAGAAAATTAATGCATTGTGGATGAGGTAACCTACCCCTTCGTGTTCCTGGTTGCCTCCAGCCCCAGTTGCTCTTGTTAATAGGCTGGTGTGCAGCTTTCCAGATCTTTCCCTGTGTGTTTGTTCATGTCATTGCCACACATCGATGTGAACCTGCAGCAGTGACATAGCATGCTTTCGAGCACGTGCATTTGTTTTGGTAAAAGATACAGAGCAGAGGCTGGTGGAGCAGGTGGTTAAATCTGTAGGCTTGGGGCTGAGCTCCTGGGTTCAAATTCTGGGTCCCTGAGGGTAAACGTAGGATCACCTAGCATTCTGAGCTGGCTTTGCTCATGGGATGTGTATGTCTGGATAATCTTTTTATGTTGTTTTACACAGTTTCAGGCCCTTCCTTCTGACTTCTGCCTACCATTTTGCAGGGCGATTCTGCTGGAGTTTATACATTCATTCCCTTCTTGATGGGCATCTTGGTGGTTCCTGCCTTTTTCTTTTTCTTCTGGATTTCTCAGCCTCAGCTCTAGTGACATTTGGGGCTTTGTTGTGGGGGATTATCCTATCCTGTGCATTGTAGAATGTTTAGGAGCGTCCCTGGCTCTACCCACCAGCCAAAAGCACCCTCCTCCTCAGTTGTGACAACCAAAAATATCTCCAGACAGTGCCATATGTCCTCAGGGGTGGGGGGTTGGGGCAAGCAAAATTGCCCTCATTTGAAAGTCACTGGTCTGTACTAAGCAGTGCTGCAGGAGCATCCTTCTTTGAGCCTCTCTGTATGTGGGCAAGGTCATCATCATTGTATTCCCATTCCACAGATAAGGAAATGGAGGCTCAGAGGGGTTGAGTCATTTGTCTTGGGTCACACAGCAAATACGTGGCAGAACCAGCATCCCAGCTCTGCCAGGTACAGTTCTGGGCTGAGCTGAGTGTTTAGTGGGTGATGGAACAGACCCGAGCCCCTGTCCTTATGGATCTAACCCTCTGGTAAGAGGCAGACAGTAAGCCGGTCATCAAATACATACATGACACATCAGGTGTCATGTTAGTGACTGAGGATAAGGACGCAAGAGAATTACATTAACAATGTCACCTGACTTTTGGTGACATTTTGCAATAATAGTTGACATGTGAGGGTTTCAATACATTGGGAACTGTACTAAAGAGTTTCACTTAATCAACTCATAGGCTAGTCACAAAAACCCCTATGAGATACTGCAGTGGCTCGCTTCTGTGCCTCAGTTTCTTTATCTGTAAAACAGCTTCCCCATAGGACTGCTGTCTGGTACCCAGCAAGCACTCAATAAATGTTAAATAGCACTGCTGTCTCCCCAACATCCAAGGCCCAGTCCCCGAGGACTGTAGGCAGCCGGGGCCCCTCTTAGGGACCCTGTCCCTGGGCCTCTCCTCAGCCCCTCTCTTTGTCTCCGTGGCCATGGCAACCTGGCTGGGTGCTTGGCACTTCCCGGCCCAGCCCCCAGCCTGACCAGCCGGCCTCCTCCTCTGCAGAGGCTGCCCTGGCAGGCTCCAGCCTGGCTGGGAAGCCACCCCCACCACCCACTGATGGGGGCTCCTGGGCAGTACTGGTGCTGCCCTGCAGTGTGGGAAGGACCCCAAGCAAAGGCTCCTGCTGGGCCTCCTCTCTGCCTCCTGGCCTCTTTCCTTCTGGAGTGGAGAGAGAGCTCTTGTTTTCATTGTCCTGGTTAGCTCTGTCTTCCCAGCTTTGCCTCCAGCTTCCTTCAGGACTCTCTGTCCGCCCCTTGCCTTCCCTCTCTCTGTTTTTCTGTCTCAGTCTCATTCTCTGTGCCCCTATCTCCCTCTGTTTCTCCCTCTCACTGTCTGGCTTCTGATACTTCATTCACAGGCTGGTCCCTGCATCTGAGAATGAGGTGCAGGGCACCTTGAGGTCCCTTCCGTGCTCAGAGACAGGGCCTTGGTTTAGAGGGGCTCGTTTGCAGCTCCCAGTAGCTCAGTGAGAGCCTGCTGCTCCAAATTATGGGGGTGTTCATAAGGGGGTCCTCCCACTCTGTGGGGTAGGGGTCCTCTTGTCCCATGGGGGCTTCTAGTGAGTGAGGGGATCCTTTAGCCCGGTGAGGTCATATTCTGCCTGGTGAGTAAGGGGTTCTTCTCCTGGCCAGACACTTGGGAGGAGATGGGCTACTGAGCCACTTGCTTTGACATCTGAGCCAGCCATGTGAAGGGCTTGGACCTAGAAAACCCAGAATGGTTTCTTCCCATTTCCCTGGGAGTGGACCACTGTGAGTCGTTAAAATCATCATTTATTAATGGCCAGAACTGACCCTTACATATGAATAAGTAATGCTTCCATGTAATGCTCCAGACTTGTAGGGTCCTTGGGGACCCGAGAGGGATCAAGATTAAGAGAAAAGCCATTCCTGTCTGGCCTTTGCCTCGGGCTCAGAGAGAGTAAATGATTTGCCCGAGCAAGGGTTGCAAATCCAGATCCCTATGGCTGTGACCGGTAAAGCAGCCAGTGCAGGAAAAATCACGTAACCCTCTCCCCCTAACTTTGTCTCTCTACTTTCAACATCGATGTGGATATAGAGGAACATCTCTTTACCCTTAATCTCTCTGTACCTTGGTTTTCTCATCTGTAAAATGGGAATAACAAGAATGCCTATCTCATAGGTGTTTCTCTTTTTAATTTTTTAATTGAGTATAATTCACATGCCATAAGGAATTCCCCAAAGTGTCCACTCCAGTGGCTTTTGGTATATTCAGAAGCTTGTGTAACTGTCACTATCTTCTAATTTCAGAACGTTTTAATCACACCTGAAAAACAACCCAAACCCATTGGTAGTCACTCCCCATTATTCCACTTCCCCAATCCCTGGAACCATTAGTCTACTTATTTATGTATGTATGTATTTATTTATTTATTTTGAGACAGTTTCTTGCTCTGTTATCCAGGATGGAGTGCAGTGGCACGATCTCAGCTCACTGTAGCCTCTGCCTTCCGGTTCAAGCAATTCTCCCCCCTCAGCCTTCCAAGTAGCTGGAACTACAGGCGCATACCACCATGTCAGGCTAATTTTTGTATTTTTAGTAGATATGGGGTATCGCAATGTTGGCCAGGCTGGTCTCGAACTCCTGACCTCAAGTGATCCACCCAACTTGCCTCTCAAAGTGCTGGGATTACAGGCATGAGCCACCATGCCTGGCCCACTAATGTACTTTCTATCTCTACAGATTTGGACATTTCATATAAATGGATATAAATGGAATCATACTATGTGTGTGTGTGTGTGTGTGTGTGTGTGTGTGTGTGTATTTTTTTTTTTTTTGTATCTGGCTTCTTCCACATTGTAATATGTGTCAGAATTTCATTCCTTTTTTATGGCTGTATCATATTCCATTATATGGATATACATTTTGTTTATCCATTCATTAGCTGATGGACATTTGGGTTTTGACAGTTTGGCTACTATGAATAATACTGCTATGCACATGAGTGTACAAGTTTTTGTATGGAGATAGTTTTTATTTCTCTTGGGCTTTTACCTAGGAATGGTCTCATAGGTTTCTTGGGACGATTGAGTGAGTTCATAAAGTACAGCTCTCAGAACAGAGCCTGGGACAGCGCGGGTGCTAGATGTGTGTTAGCTCCTTTTTTTTTGAGATGGAGTTTTGCTCTTGTTGCCCAGGCTGGAGTGCAGTGGCGCGATCTTGGCTCACAGCAACCTCTGCCTTCTGGGTTCAAGTGATTCTCCTGCCTCAGCCTCCTGAGTAGCTAGGATTACAGGCATGAGCCACCATGCCCAGCTAATTTTGTGTTTTTAGTAGAGACCGGGTTTCTCCATGTTGGTCAGGCTGGTCTCGAACTCCTGACCTCAGGTGATCCACCTGGCCTCCCAAAGTGCTGGGATTACAGGCATGAGCCACCACGCCTGGCCTTAGCTCTTATTTTTATAAAACAATGCCTCAAGCCCTGGGCCTTGGATGTTGGGGAGACAGCAGTGCTATTTAACATTTATTGAGTGCTTGCTGGGTGCCAGACACCAGTCCTATGGGGAAGCTGTTTTACAGATGAAGAAACTGAGGCACAGAAGTGAGCCCCCACAGGCAGGCCCCCAACCCCAATCTGTGCCTTCTGGAGCACATGTCCCATGTCAAGCAAGCAGCCACCTCTCAGCCCCAGGCAGCAGTCCCCGTGCGGGAACTCGAGCCCGGTATTGCCAGATCTCTTGACTTCTTAAAGACATTTTCCAATGGCAGGAAATGTGGAGTTTTTGGTATGAAATCACTCGATTTTTAAAAGTTGGCAACTCAATCACATTTTTAACAAACACTTCATGGGCCAAACCAAACATGACTGTGGGCCAAACCTGTGGGTTGCCAGTTTGCATACTCTGCCCCCGGGTTGACTTGTTGCTGGTGGTGAGGACTTTGCTGGACACTGAACTTGATTTCAAACATTTCTGAACCTTGGGCACCCCTCTTTCCTGGGGAGTTCTGGCTCTTGTCCGTTTCAATTGTGTTGAAACCTGACCCATCACTGGGACGGTGGGCTTGTTGAGGACCCCCATGGCAGCTGGTCATCTTGGGATTCCTCCCTGTCACCCCCCAGGGTCATAAAACGAGACTTGCTCATATTGGGTGCTTATTCTGTAGTCCTTGACTTTACCCCTCACCAGCAGGGTGACCTTGGGGCAAATGACTTGACCTCTGTGCCTTGGTTTCCCCAGCTATGAAACGGGTAATAATAACACCTCCTCTGGGTTTGATGCAGCACTTAGGACAGCGTCCAGCACGTGGTAGGAGCTCAGTCATGTCAGCCACCGTTATTATTACACACAAATGCACAGACGTGCAGACACAGCAATGCCAGGCTCTGCCATCTGGCAGCAGCAGCGCGAAGGTAACGATTTATTTCTGTGTGCTTTGTCTGTCTGTGTTTACCGAAGGGAGTGATATTAGTGTGTGTGTGTGTGTGTGTGCATGAATCTGCACAGTTCCAAGTCAGCTAGCTGGGGTGCCGTTTTCTGCATGCATATCTCCTTGCATAAGTACAGTGTATGCATTATTCATGCACATGCGCACACTCTCACCCTCTCACATATTCCTGGGAATAAATATGTGTTGGGGTTCCCGGGTGGTGATAGCAGTCACCTGAGCAGCCAGTAATGTTTCAGTTGACTGGGGAGGGTGGGAGCTGATGGGGACAGGGTGGGTAGAGGTAAGCAGATGTTCTGGAGAATCTGGGTGGCTGCTGCTGGGGATGTTGGGATATGGCAGGGAAAGTGTTGAGTGCACTGAGGGCTGGGCTGTGGGACTTGGGTGCAACCCACAGCTTGTGGCTGTGGCTGTGGGGAAAGGTGCTGGGATTTGACTTTCACTGTCTCGGCATTCAGTGTTGGAGTGGATGGAACAGCCAGGCTTCCTCTAGGGCGTGCCTAACAGGCCCCTGATCCTTTCTCTGCCTCCCTTCACCTTCCCTTTCTTCTCTTCAGCATATTGCAGGCTCTAATTTAGGCAAAAACTCCTCAGAGTCTAAGAAAAGCTGAAGCATGCAGAATGAGCACAACAGAATTTAGCTGTCTCGAGAGGCAGCCTGGACCATTGAATTTATCTTTTTTTTTTCCGCACTCATGTTGAAGACTTTTTTTCCCTGTTAAACTTCTTAAATTACCTTGCAGCCCTCCACCCTCCTTTTTCCTTGGAGCCTGGGGAGAGTGGAGCCTTTTGTTCCTCTGTTTCCTCTCTTCCGTTCCTACTTTCGGGGGAGGCTCGTGGAACTTGAGGTTGCTTCTGAAATAGAGAGGTGGTTAGACTGGGTCAGCCCTAGAATGGATTTGACAACTTACTCATCATATTGTTAGCTGACACTTACCAAGCACTTAGGATGCATCCGGCTGTGTCCTGAGCATTCTGCATTCATTAACTGACTTATTTCTTCTGGCTGCCTTGATGGAAGTGTTCCTATTGTCCCATTTCACAGTCCAGGAGACTGGGGCACAGAGAGGTTTTGTCACATGCCCAGGGTTCCTCAGCGAGGAAAGGCTGAGCCAAGTCATGAACCAGCAGTCTGACTTCAAAGCCCACACTCTTAACTACAGCACTCTACTACTTCTTTGCTAATGGGTTCATTCAGCATATTGGTTGAGCACCTACTACGTGCCAGGCCCATTTTTCTCCTTCTTTCCTCCCCTTCTTCACTTCATTCTTTTTCTCCCTTCTTCTTTCCTCCTTATCCATCACCCATCCATCTCCCCACCCACCCACCTGTCCATCCATCTGTCCATCCATTTGTCATCCGTCCGTCTGTTCATCTGTCCGTCCAGTATTTCCTGCAATATACTCATTTCAGTATCAGTCTTATGATTTGTATAATATTCAAATACCAGTCACAACATTGTCTATATAATATTTTTACTCAATCTGAACCTCCTCCCTTTTTAAAAACTTTATAGTCTCAGCTTAATAATGTTCATGAAATAATGGTTTTGATATGATAGCCATAGTTACTCATATCAACATAAAAATACTCATTTCAAGTGGCTGCGTGGGGGCTGGCTGATAGCCTGGCCCTGCCACAGACAAGCTGTGTGACTCTGGGCAGGTGACTCCGCTCCCTTATCTATAGCACGGGGAGACTAATGATACCCACTGCTAAGGGTGTTGTATTAAATGAGATAACCATATGAACGTGCTTAGAGCAAGCCCACTGGCCCATCCTGAGCTCTCAGCAAGCCCTGACTGTTGATGATGTTGTTATTACCATCATTATTACTCAGAAAACCTCTGTGGTGAGGAGCAGAGTCAGGGCCTGAGGCTCTGCAGGTTGTCCCGTGATGAAGGTGGATGGAGATGTTGAGGAAGCAGATGGTAGATCGCACTGTGAAGTTGGGTGAAGCTGGGAACCTTCCATGACATTGGAGGAACTTGTTCCATTCTGAATTGGTGGTTATTTGGAAGGGGTAGACATGGCCGAACTTTGAAGGTTCTAGCTAAAGTCAGGGTTTTATTTAATCCTTGCATGGTGGGGCTCAATGTGTGAGTGAGTGTCTTAGTCTATCTTCTGTTGCTCATAACAGAATACCTGAAACTGGGTAATTTATAAAGAAAAGAAACTTTCTTCTTACAGTTATGGAAGCTGAGAAGTCCCAGGTGGAGGGGCCACATCTGGTGAGAACGTTCTTGGGGGTTCTAAAGAGACTCGAGGCAGTTTAGGGAATCACGTGGCAGGGGGGCTGAGCACACTAACACGCCAGCTCAGGTTTCTCTTCCTCTTCTTACAAAGCCACCGGTTCCACTCCCATGATACCCCATTCATCCATTAGCCCGTTAATCCGTGAATGCATTAATTCATTCATGAGGGCAGAGCCTCTTATGAGCCAGTCACCTCTTACAGGCCCCACCTCTGAATCTTGCCACAGCGGGTATTTGTTTCCAACACATGAAATGTGGGGGATGCCTTCAAACCATAGCAGTGACTGAAAACCCAAACCAGTCAGACTCATATAAGAGAAGAAGTATAATAGCCCATGAAGCTAGACCTACAGCTTCAGGTAGAGTTTGATCTAGGGGCTCAACGTACAAAGAATTGGCTTCATCCTGTGCTCTGTGTGCCTCAGGTGGGGGATGAGCAACACCTTTCAAGCAGCATCAGGGTACTTTACGGTAAAATGAGGGAATAGAAGCTGGTGGCCAAAGAGCTGAAGCCTGCCATCATCCTCAGGGCCAGAGCTTCTTTGAAAGAGGGGAGCTTCCTGTTTGAGGGTGGTAGGTGGGCATTTGGGTCCAAGCTCTGTGTTCTGCTACTGAGATTTCTGAAGGACATTTGAGGGCTGCTTTCATGACTCATCTTTGAATGAATTCACTCACCCAGGTTACATCATATCTCCAAACATCTGCCTCTATCCTGCAAAAGGCTCGAGGACACTGCCCGCCTGTTCCCTGGGTGGTGGGGCTTTCTTAGCAGCAAAATGTTCCCGGCTTACAGAAAACTTCCCACGGGCCTTTTAAATCCATCAAGTGAATTACAAGTTCAATTTGGGTTTGCACACATTCTCTCATGGTCCCCCGCTCTAGGGCTGGATGTGGCTGATTCCTGGGTGCGTTAATCTCGAAGCCTCCGCCATCTGCAAGTGAAGTTTAGCTCCCACATCGGCAGTTTTCCTGCCTTGCCTTTGCTTGTGTATATGTGACTTCCCTAATTTTGAGGTTTCTTAAAAACAGAGAAGATAAAACAAACCACAGCCATATTTCCCTCCTCCAGCATCTGGTGGCCACTTGTAATTTGTAATGTTGGGGAAAAAAAGTGTTTTGATCATTTTTCAAAATTAGACTTAAAAAATGTATCATTGGGTGTTCCTGTGTTAAAAGTTTGTTTTTTCTTTTCAGAACATTTTGCAACCAGACTTCTTTAGGGGTTTCCTTAGTCCTTCTTCTGTTCTCCAGATCAGCTTATAAAATTCCTTGCAAAAATGTTTTTTTGTTTTGTTTTGTTTTTTGTTTTATGGTTGCTTTTTTTTTTTTTAATGTAAGGGGGAAGACGAGGGTTTTCGTCGTCCTGCTTACATAAATCCATAATGTGGGGAGCAGCAGAGAGAGTAAATGAGCTCGAGAGTGCTCAGGCCTCTGAAACATTCTCTTGTGGACCCCGGCTGGCCGGGGGCTGTTTGCTGCCAGCGGGCATTCGCTGTTCCTTCAAACACTTGTAATGTGTGATGTTTTGGAATCAGCCTTTTTTCTTTCTTTCTTTTTTTTTTTTGTTTGTTTATAAAGGACCTTTATGATGTCTTTGAAAAGAAATCACTAGACAGAGCCAGCTTTTACATGATTATGAGATTTATGTATTCATAAGTGCCGTGTCGTCCTGGGATCGGGGGAAGCAGACACGAGTGTCAGGGTCTGTTTCCAGGGCTAAAAGGAAGAATCCTCCCCAGGCCTCCTCAGGGAGGGCCAGGGTTGAGGGGCGGTGGGCACTGTCGCCCGTCACCATGGTGAGGAAGGAGGGTGTCAGGAATGGCCTTCCAGCCCGCTTCTCGCAGCCTTTGCTGGACGTTTCTAGCCACCAGTGAGGCCCAGAGAATGGGTCCCCAGAGGGTCATCAGCATCTTATGCTCAAGGGGGCTTCTGAGAGGTTCTTGGAGTGTGTTGTGGGGAGGGGGGGCTGGGAGGGTCAGGAGTCGCATCCTTGTGACCTCTTGTCCTTCCCACGCCTCCTCCTCTTTCCCTCCCCTCCACCTCTCCCTTTCCTCTCCTCCCTACCCTCCTCTCTCTTTCTCTTTCTCTCTCTCTTTTTCTTTCTTTCTCTCTCTCTCTTTTTCTTTCCTTCCTTCTCTTTCTTTTCTTTTCTACTCTTCTCTTTTTTTTCTTTTCTTTCTTTCTCTTTTTTTTTTGACAGAGTCTTGCTTTGTGACCCAGGCTGGAGTGCAGTGGCATGATCTTGGCTCACTGCAACCTCTGCCTCCCGGGTTCAAGCGATTTTTCCCACCTCAGCCTCCTGAGTAGCTGGGATTACAGGTGTGCACCACCACACCTAGCTAATTTTTGTATTTTTAGTAGAGATCTGGTTTTGCCATGTTGGCCAGGCTGGTCTCGAACTCCTGACCTCAGGTGATCCACCTGCCTCGGCCTCCCAAAGTGCTGGGATTATAGGCGTGAGCCACCGTGCCCGGCCCCCATCCTCCCTTTTCTACCCTATCCCGTTTCCCCGCCACTTTCTTTCTCTCCTGCTCTCCCTCCTCTCCCTGAGTCTCCTTGTTGGTCATGTCTTGGGCCCAGGTTCTAGGGTCTCTGTAGGATGGGTCCCCAAGGGTAGGTTTGCCTAGCCCTTTAGAAAGTCCAAAACCTACATGCCCTGAAAGGAGGCAAATAGATTTGTTGCTTATTTGTCCTCCAAGGGGGTCCAGCTGCTTACCACCCCCCGCCCCCAGCATGCCACCAGGACCCCTCCCAGGGAGTTTTGTTCAGGCCTAGATTCCAGGTTTGACCTCACCTCCCCGACTCACCCCCTTTCTCTGCCCAGAGCCATCCTGGCCCCTGGCTGCTCCTCAGATGCTCGGGTCCAGCCCAGCCCCATTCTCTTCCTGCTGTGATCCATGAGCCCGCTCAGGCCCCACTGTCTTCATGGACCCTCCTCATGGCCTTTTCTGAACCCCCTGCTGGAAGGCACCGGCCCATCCATCCCGGCTCTTTCTGCCCTGTGGCTTTGCCTGCTGCTGTGTTGTCTGTCTCCCTTTGCTAGAGGTAAGCTCTGTCTTCCTGTGCCCTCCGTCTCCACCGCCTGCCACATGATGGGGGCTCGTCAGTATTTATGGAATGAATTTGGGGACATTGGTGCACTTTTTTTTTCCTGCTGATGCCTTGGATCAAAACCCTCTGAGTGCACAGGCTTACTGAGGGAAAGCAGAGGGGCTGCTGGCACCGGTGGAGGTGGTGACATCTTGAAGGTTGGAGGTAAAAGCCCAAAGAGACTGGCCAGCTGGGACAGGTACTTCTGTAGGGTGAGAGGGGGTGTCCCTGGAGTCCGAACATCAGCGATGAGGCCTGAGCTCAGCCCTGGCTGGCCGCTCTGCTATCTGGTGCCAGGCTCTGTGGATGAGTTTGGGGAACCTTGGGTGGTCACAGTGGCTGGAGCCAAGCCTTGGCACCACCAGGGGGTCCCACCCAAAGCCAGTTTCTTGAGCAGAATGGATGGCAGTGGAGGTACCAGTGGCGCTCAGCATCTTTGCAGCTTCGATGAGTGGGCCCTAAAGGTGTCCTCTGGGCTGGTGTTGGCTGCCACCCATCACAGGTGTGGGAGCGGGGCAGCCACTGCTGGTAAACCTCCTGTGGGCTTGTCAGAGGAGACCCCAGGCAGGAAGTAGGCTGACAGGCAGATCAGCACTTTAAAAAAATATGCTTCATCGAAATAGAAATTATATCTGGCTGGGTGCAGTGGCTCACGCCTGTAATCCCAGCACTTTGGGAGGCTGAGGCAGGCGAATCACCTGAAGTCAGGAGTTCCAGACCAGCCTGGCCAACATGGTGAAACCCCATCTCTACTAAATATACAGAAATTAGGTGGGTGTGGTGGCAGGTGCCTGTAATCCCAGCTACTTGGGAGGCTTAGGTAGGAGAATCGTTTGAACCTGGGAGATGGAGGCTGCAGTGAGCCGAGATCATGCCATTGCACTCCAGCCTGAGTGACAAGAGCGAAACTCGGTCTCAAAAAAAAAAAAGAGAGAAAGAAATAGAAATGATATCTGGAAGAACCTACCCATTTTAAGTATATACTTCAATGAGATTGCACAAGGGAGGGTCTGCTGGCTACACACAGGGAGCTGTGGCTGCTTCTGTCCAGCCAGTGGAGTGGGAAGGAGCTGCTGTGGGCTCAGGTGGGGTCAGGAGGACCCAGGACATTTAATTCCCAAGGTTTCATGCCCAGTCGCCCACTTGCCTTTCTCTTCTGGTGGGCTCCCAGTTCCTGTGGGCAGGTCGGCTTCTTGACCCCCAGAAAAGGGGCTTCTTTAGGGAAGAGGGGGAGGCCTTTCGGTCCAGCAGTGTGCAGATCAGGACGGCCTCACTGTCACAGAATAATTGTTACCAAAATGAGGCCTGCTGCTGAGAACTCATTGAAAATGGGCCCTAACATAGCAATATTGAGAATGTGGGGTGGCGGGGGTAGAGTCTAGATGAGTCCTTCACTTTGAAGAAGAAAACCACAATCCTAAAAATAGGTGGAATTTTATCCCGTCAGTAACTGTATTTAGAATGTAATAACAACATTGCATGAATTCTTAGAATCAACAAGGAGGGAACCAAGTGTTATTTTTTACTGTTGGGGGTATGTGTAATTTTTCTGATAAAATTAAATGATTACACGATGCCACATCATTCATGTAAGGTTTCACTTTATAGCATGATGATAAAGAGTCATTTTGCAAAACCCCTGGAGCCCGTTTTTGGACTTCTTGTGCACTCTCTGATGGTCAGAAAAGTTCCTTTGGAACTTCTTATGTGGTCTTCCTGGGCTTTCTTCACTCTCATTGTGAGCCAGCGACTCCTGGGTCTTTATTTGTTTATAGCTTTGCCTGGCAGCCAGCTGTGGTTCTCCAGCATCACTTTCACTGATGTCATAAAACCCTGCATCTTTTGCAGGATTTGCAGTTTCCTTTTGCAACTGATTTGCTTTCCGTTCACCTTGTGTTGTGACTGTGGTATATTCAGGAGCGTGAGATCCATAAAGACATGGAGGGGACATTAGCAGGTGAGCTGTTTGAGCAGGAATCACTTTAGAAGTGGCCAGCTCATTTGGGGTATTTTGAAGACAATGACTTTTCTTCCTTGGGGTACTTGGGTAACAGGTAGTGGTGAAGTGGATACTGAAGAAACATTTTAAGATGTGTCTTTGTTCTGGGAGATGCTGCTGAGTAGTCGAGACCAATCTCACTCCTGAGACAGGCAGGGTATGATTGAGACACGGTGTCAGGGTGCTGTGGGCTCTCGGTTTTCCTCCCGTACATCTGCTTAGGTCCTTTGTTATTTCTCCTCTGCCTCCTGGGTTCCGATGGTTTGGGGGTGCCAGCCCCCACCTGTGGGCCTCTTCTCTTCCTGGTGATGTCACTTGTGTCCTTTGTACCATCCCCACCTCTGGATTGCACCCGGGTATGGCCACTGTCTCTTTGCCATTGCTACTTGGATCTAAAATAACACCTGAAACTACACATGTGCTGAACCAAATTCCTCATCTTGCCCCTGTAACTGGTTCCTCCCTCTCTCTCTCATCTCAGCTAATGGCACCTCCATTCTTCCACTTGCTCAGGCCAAAAACTTCGGAGTCACTCTCCATCCTCTGTTTCTGTCTCACCATCCCATCCAGTGGCCAGTCTCATTGTTCTGCCTTCCAAGCCTCTCATCCTCACTACCCTCTCTGCCACCACCCCATCTAACAGACATTTCCTCTTTCACACACTTTACAAATGGTATTTTCTTTAGTCTTCATTCAACCATATCAGGCATGTATCCTTCTTTTTCATTTCACAAATGAGGATGTTGAAGTTCGGAGAGGTGAAGTCTCTTGCCCAAGGTCACGCAGCTGGTGAGTGGCAGCGCTGTGTAAACCCAGGCAACCTGGTTCCGGAGGCTGTGCTGTTAACCAGCACTCTGGTTTAAGGCCTTCTCCTCTTTTGCTTGGCCTGTTGCTGTAGCCCCGTCACCTCCTACAGTCCTTTTTGTCCACAGCAACCAGAGCGATCTTGCTAACCCCACCTTAGACTATGACACTCGCCTGTTCACTTCTTCTCCCTTGTGATGCCCCTCCTGGGACTCCTCATCACACTGCAGTGAGAGCGAGAATCCTTTATTGAGCCTGCTGCTCCATGGACCCTCTAAACACAGCCCGGCCTCTAGGTTCTTGCCTGTGCTGTTTCCTCTACCTGGGAAGTCCTTTCCCCAGATCTGCCCCTGGCTTGGTCTCCTCATCATGCTTTCAGTTCTGTGCTCAAATTTTCCCTTCTCAGAAGACCTTCCCTGGCCGGCCATTATTTTAAGCCAGACCATCCCAAACCTTTCCTCTACATTTAATGAGACTTTCTCACCACTTTAACAGGACATATTCATAGAAATGGATATATGGGTGTATTAGTCCATTTTCACGCTGCTGATAAAGACATACTCGAGACTGGGTAATTTATAGAGGTAAAGAGGTTTAATGGACTCACAGTTTCACGTGGCTGGGGAGGCCTCACAATCATGGGGGAAGGCAAAAGGCATATCTTAGGTGGGCAAGAGACAATGAGAACCAAGTGAAAGGGGTTTCCTTTTATGAAACCATCAGATCTTGTAAGACTTATTCAATACCACGAGAACCGCATGGGGGAAACTTCCCCCATGATTCAATTATCTCCCACTGTGTCCCTCCCACAACACATGGGAATTATGAGAGCTACAATTCGAGATGAGATTTGAGTGAGGACACAGCCAAACAATATCAGTGACCCAGCCTGACTTTTTCCTTTGCTAATTGTTGACTGAGTCACCCATGAGGACCCTGAGACTCAGCAGGAGAAGGACTTGCCAGACATCTGTGGCCAGGTCAAGGCACAGGTGGTCCCAGAGTCCAAATCTCCTGAGCATTGGCTCCCCTGATTTTTGTATAGTACAAATTCATCACCATCTGTAACAGGGTAAGTCATTTAAAATCTGTGGGCCTCCATTTCCTCAATTGTAACATGTTGCTGTGGTTTGAATGTGTCCCCCAAGGTTCAATTGTTGGAAACTTAATCCTTAATGCAACAGGAAATAGGGCCTAATAGGAGGTGACTGGGTCATGAGGGCATGCAAATTCGTAGCAAATTCATAGCTAGACATTCTCATCTGAGCTTCATAATAGCTCCTGGAGGTGGACCCCTTCCCTGTTTTCAGAAGAGGAAGGGGGAGTCCCTTACCCAGGATTCCACAGTGAGTTTGTGGCAGGGCCTGGGTTCAAACCAGGCTGTGTGCTTTTCTAGCTATAGACTCTTGGTGTGGCCATGAAAAACAAATTAGGGGGATGAGGCAGGGGGTGTCTGACTTGGGGACTCTTCTCTGCACCAAGTTCAGAGTTCTTCTTGGGTCTTCTTTTGGGGAGGAGTGGGGTGTCAGCTGTAGGCCAGGGGCTGCACCATTGTGGCCCATGAGTCACATTCCTTGTGTAGTTGTGCATTGTCTGGCCAGTAGGTGATTTGGTTTGGTCAGCACAGGGCTTTAAGAAACTTTTTATTTTGAGATAATTGTAGGCTTACAGAAAACTTGCAAATATAGTACAGAGTTCTTGTACATCCTTCACCCAGCTTCCCATTACGTTGACATTTTATATTACTGTAGTATAATTACCTAAGTACAAAGTACTTCTTTGTAGTAGAAAAAATTAATCTTGATACAGTACTATTAACTATAAGATTCAGTAGAATTTTGTTAGTTTCCCTACAAACGTTCTTTTTATTTTCAGGATCCAACCTAGGGCACCATGTTGCATTTAGATAGCATGGCCCCTTAGTCTCCTGTAATCTGTGAGAGTTCCCCAGTCTTTCTTTGCCTTTCATGACCTTGACACTTTTTTGAAGAGTCCTGGTCAGGTATTTTGTAGACTGTCTGCCACTTTGGACTTGAGCTTATGCGTAATTAGGAGGGATACCCCAGGAGCGATGTGCCCCTCTCTGTGCATTTTAATCAGGGGGCATGTGATGTTGATATGTTCAAGGGGAGATGTTAACACTTAATTAAGATGGTGAAAGCCAGGATACTCCATGGTGAGGTTACTAATTTTCCTTTGTAATTACTAGACATTTTGGGGGAGATTCTTTGAGACTGTGGAAATACCCTGTTTTTGTTTGAACCTTTGCCCACTAGTTTTAGCATCCACCGGTGGGTCTGGCCTGTGATAGCTCTTACTGTGGTCTTCCAGTCGTGGCTTTCTATTTCCTTCACTCCTCCTACTTTTATTAACTAAAATCCTTGTGTAAAAAGAATTCTCCCTGATTCATTCCATTATTTATATTATCATAAACCAGTATTGTCATTATTTATTTTGTTGTTCAAGTTGTCCCAACTTTGGCCATTAGGAGTTCTTTCTGGTTGACCCCGTGCCCTTTTGACATGCCTCCTCTATTTTTTTTCTTCTTTCTCTTTTTTTTGAACATTAAAAAACATTATTTTGTAGAGATGGTAGAGATGGGTCTTGCTGTGTTGCCCAGGCTGGTCTTGAACTGTTGGTCTCAAGCAGTCCTCCTGCTTTGACCTCCCAAAGTGCTGGGATTATAGGTGTGAGCCACTGCACCTGGTCTCTTTTGAGCATTTCTTTACTAGTTGAAATCTAACCACAAGATATTCTGGCTCATCTTGTATTTTCCCTGCCTCAGCCCTGAAATCAACCAGTTCTTTAAGGACCCCTAGCTCTTTTAATTGGAGAATGGTATTTAGAAACCTAATCTGGGCAGTAGTTATGCTCATTGTTACTGGATGCCATGGTATCCAGGAATATATGTATAGACACTTACACAATCTATATTTACTTCTGTATCTTTCTATCTGCACATATATTTGAAAAACCCAGTGTCCATACTGATACCCAGTGTGAAATTTTTCAAACATTTAATTTGACTTTTGAAGCTTACATAGAGTAAAAATGACTTTTTGGGGGTTTAGAGTTTTATGAATTTTAACACATATGTAGAGTTATATACTTACCACTACAGTCTGGATAGAGAAGACTTCCATCACCCAAAAAACACTCTCATGCCACCCCTTAGTAGTCACACCTTCCCCCATCGTTACCCCTGACAACCACTCATCCATTTCCTCTCCCTGTAGTTCTGCCTTTTCTAAAACATACACATTCCGTATAAATGGAATCATGCTGTACACCACCTTTTGAGACTGGCTTCTTTCAGTCACCATAAAGCCTTTGAGATTCATCTGCATTGTTGTGTGTATCAACAGTTTGTTCCTTTTCATTACCGAGTAGTACTCCCTTGTTTGGATATACCACAGTTTGTTTATCCATTCACATGTTGAATTGCTTGTTTCCAGTTTTTGGTGATTTTTAATAGAGCTGCTATAAATATTTATGTATAGCTTTTTGTGTGAACATAAGTTTTCATTTCTCTAGGGTAAACATCCAGGAGCAGGGTTGTTGGGCCATATGGTAAGTAGATATTTGACTTTATGGGAAGCTGCCAAAAAACTTTGTGGGAAGTTTTCCAAAGATGCTGTACTAATTTACTTTCCCCACAGCAGTATAGGAGAGATTCTGTGGTTCCACATCCTCATCAGCACTTGGTATTGTCGGGTTTTTCAAAAGCCGTTTAAGTAGAAGCATAGAGGTATCCCATTGTAATTTTAACTTACATTCTCCTAATCGCTAATGATGCTGCCTATCTTTTCATGTGCATATTTACCATTTATATACTTCTTGGGTGAAGAAAATGTTCAAGTTTTTTAATCCATTAAAAATTTTGGCTTGTTTCCTTTGTTAATTTAGGGTTGTATTCTGAATATAAATCCTTTGTCAGATATGTCATTTGTAAATATTTTCTCCCCATCTGTAGCTTGTCTTTTGTTCTCTTGACAGTGTATTTTGCATGGCAAAAGTTTTCATTTTTGTTCTAATTTATCCCTTTTCTTCTTTTACGGATCTTGCTTTTTTTAATGTCACATCTAAGAACTCTTTTCTTAATCTCAGGTCACAAGGATTTTCTCCTGTTTTCTTCTAAAGTTTTATGTTTTGAATTTAGATCTGTGATCCATTTTGAGTTTACTTTTGTATGAAGTGTGTAGTTTAGGTTGAGGTTCATTAATTTGCATATCGTGTGTGGTTGTTCCAAGATCATTGGTTTAAAGCAACAGTTTAAAAGACTGTCCTTTCTCTACGGAATTGCCTTTGCATCCTTATGAAAAGTCAAACGGCCATATTTGTGTGGGTCAATTCCTGTACTCTCTTTTCTGTTCCATTGATCTGTGTGTCTCCCCTTTCACCAGTACCATATCATCATAATTATTGTAACTTTATAATAGTTCCTTTTTTTTTTTAGAGACGGAGTCTCACTCTGTCACCCAGGCTGGAGTACAGTGGCACCATCTTGGCTCACTGCAACCTCCACCTCCTGGGTTCAAGCGATTGTCCCACCTCAGCCTCTGGAGTAGCTAGGATTACAGGCGTGTGCCATGCCTGGCTAATTTTTTTTTTTTTTTTTTGATTTTTGACTTTTAGTAGAGACGGGATTTCATCCTTTTGGCCAGGCTGATCTTGAACTCCTCACCTCAAGTGATCTGCCCGCCTTGGCCTCCCAAAGTGCTGGGATTACAGGCATGAGCCACTGTGCCTGGCCATAATAATTCTTAAAACTGGATAATGTGAATCCTCCAACACTGTTCTTTTACAGAATTGTTTTGGCTATTCTAGTTTCTTTGCCTTACCATGAACATATTAGAATTAAGTAGCACAGGGTTTTAAAAGTAGGACTTTTTTTTGCAAAAATATGGCTTTCCAATTTCTGTAGGGAAACAGAAATCCGGCTGTACTTTTGCCTGGCGACATTTGATTGGAACACAGTCACAGCTTACCCTTTAGATGGATGTCTGCTCTCCAGTTTGCCACAGTCCCCACCCTTCCCTTTTGTACTACTCCTGGCCAGCTTCACTCAGTCACTTTCCTTGCATGGCTTCTGTTGGCATTGGTGTTTGTAGCCCCTGGTGTAGACGTCTTGGGCACCTCTGGCTGTGGGATCTGAAATACTGATAATCCCGATAATGATGCTGCTGCTGCTGATGATGATGATAGCAACCCCACTTCCAGTCAGAGCTGTGTTTTTGGCATTGTTCTTAGTTCTTGATCCACAGCCTCTCCGCAGGTCTTTGTCACTACAGAGTACTGCTGTCGTTATGCCCATTTTACAGATGTGGATGCAGAGTCTCAGAGAGGTACAGCTGCCGGCCCCAAGCCATACAGCTTGGCTTTGCCGTGACCCTTCAGGCCTTGGTCTTTATATCAGAGTCCATTATGTGTGGTTGTGGCTACCTTGAGACTGTTAACCTCTTGAGGGCAACAGCATTTCAGGTTCTTACCTCCCTGCCTGACTCTAGCTGTCAAGTTTTGTTCTCAGATATTTGTGATGTGATGTTAGGGAGCCTTGGATTCCGCCGGAGGCCCTGTCTGTAGGCACTTCTGGGTGGTAGGCATGGGATCAGCATCAACCGTAATGGTCAGTTCTGAAGGTTGCTGGGGTTGAACAGCCTTCCGTTCACTGTCTGGGTTTGGGATTCCAGCGAAAGCCTTCATACCCTCAAGAGAATGGTGGTGTGTGGCCGGGGGCTCCTGGGCCTCATGCTGGAGGCTGGAGAGTTAGAGAATTGGGGCATGACCAGCTCATGTTGTTCAGACCTGGTCTGGTGTTTGTGCCTCGTGTGGTGTGGCGGGTTTTGGCATCAGAAAGCCTGTATTTAGGCTGTACTTCCCCCTTCCCAGTGTGCCTTTGTGGGCCACTTACCTCACTTCCCCGTTGCTCATAAACGTTAGCTCACTTCCCAGTTGCTAAATAGTTGCCAATAAACAACAGCAACTATTATTATTCATATTGATGAGTGGAATTACTTGTTGACTGGACCAAGGGGCGGGAGAAACCCCTCGGACCTTTCGCACATCGCAGGGTGTTGGAGTGGTTATGGGCCTGGAGTGGAGGTCAGTCTCTGGCTCTGCCACTCGCTGTGTGTGATGCTTTACCTGTGAGTGTGCCTCAGTTTTCTCATCTGTAAAATGGGATTAACAGTACTACCACTGACTCTTAGGAGAAATACGTAGCACAGAGCCTGGCACAGGGTAGCTGCTTCCTGAATGCCTGCTGTTCTGATTTTTTGTGTTAATGCTGAATCTTCACGTGTGCCCGCATAGTAGGCATTGGTCTCCCTTCCAGAGAGGAGACTGAGTGGCCATGGGAGCAAATACCTCAGTGACTGGACACTAAGTAGTTTCCAGGCAGAGAGCAAAGTAGAGGCCTCCAGCCCTACAAGCAGTGTTCTGGAATTCAGGGGCCTGCTGGGTTTTCCGAGGGCCTGTGAGTCATGTGCTTTAGAAAGGAGCCTGAGAAACTCTGTCCCCAGCCCCGCCCCGTGGACTCCCCCTCTGAAGTGATGCCTGGCTTCCAGGCTCCAGCGGCTGGTTGCCAAGGAGTCCAGCTGCCATCCCCTCCCACAGCTGCTAAGCAGGCATCTGGTTGCCAGGTGCCACCTCCTTGGACATCTTGGCTCTCAGAGCGCCTGTCTCGGCTGTCTGAGGGGGGCGGGGTCCATGGGGGACATTGGACTTTAGAACCTGGGAGGCTGTTGGGGTGTAGGGGCCAGAGCAGCCCTGAGGTTGTGGTCCAGGATGACCCGGACTCTAGCTTCACTCTTTTAGCCTCATTCCTCATTAGATGCCCCTGCAGGAGGCTGGGCAGGACTTGTGTCCCCATTTTACAGAGGGGGAAAATAAGCCTCAGGGGGTGAGGGGAGTCTCCAGCTGGGCCTTGGGGTCCTCTACCGTCCAGGGGAAAGGTCACTGTGCTCACCTCCATTGGTGAGGATGTGATGCTTGTCTCTTCCCCCTGCTTGTTAGATGTGAGAGCCCTCCTTCCTCAGGGCCTTGCCTGCTGAGCTTACAACAGAACCCTGTCTCCTTAGCTGCACCTCTGGCCCCCACCTACCTTCTTGCCCAGATTTCCAAAACCGCCTGTATTAGTCCATTTTCATACTGCTGATAAAGACATACCCGACACTGGGCAATTTACAAAAGCAAGAGGTTTAATGGACTTACAGTTCCACACACCTGGAGAGGCCTTAAAATCGTGGTGGAAGGCAAGGAGGAGCAAGTCACATTTTACATGGATGGCGGCAGGCAAAGAGAGAGCTTGTGCAGGGAAACCGCACCTTATAAAGCCATCTGATCTCTTGAGACTTATTCACTATCACGAGAACAGCACGGGAAAGACCTGCCCCCATTTAATTACCTCCCATTGCATCCCTCCCATAACATGTGGGAACTCAAGATGAGATTTGGGTGGGGACACAGCCAAACCATATCACCCCCTGCCTGAGTCCCCTTTCCCAGTCCTTACTCTCACCTGTTCACTCTGCTCCAGCCATTGTGGTCTCCTTGTTGTCCCTGTGCACCAAGCAGGCCCCTGCTGCCCCACTGCCCATGGTGTGCTCTCCCTTGGTAACCCATGGCTTACCTCCTTACCTCATCTGGGTCTCAGCTGGACGTGTTCTTATCAGGGAGGCTTTTCCTGGCCACCACATTTAAAAAAGCACCCGTCTCCTTGCTTTATCTCTCCCTTTCCTGCTTGATTTCTTCGTAAGGCTTCGCAGTCTATTCTGGTGAATCTCCCTGGCTCCAGCTCCACCCCTGTAGAATATCAGCTCCGTGAGGGCAGGAGCTTCATCTCTTTTGTTCATGCTCATCCCCAGGGCCTACAGCAGTGCCTGTCCTTCTGGACGTGCTACATGCGTCATTTGCCGAGAGAACCAATGAGTGCCTGGTGTGGTCAGGGATGCAGGAGCAGCGTGTGCGGTGGTGGAAACCGTGTGAGCAAGGGTGTGGTATAGGTGCCTGTTTCCCCAAAGCTGAGGCTGGAAGCAGGTTCCTGTCTCCCACTGGCTAGTACCTGCTTCTCTTTTCGGAGGGTAGTGGCCCCTGCCACCCTGCAGAGCCATTTAACGCTGAATTCAGCCTCGCTCTGTGGAAAAACACCTTGCCCCATGGCAGGCTGAGGCTGTGCGTTTCCATGGAGTTCCTGTTTTGACCTGATGGAAAATCTCTGTGGGCCACCATGTGCCTGGCCAGGGCAGCGGAGGGGCCGGAGATTTGCCTGGATCTGTGGCCTCAGCCAGTGGTTTCAGCCGTGCGGGTCCAGCCACTCCCTGCCCTGTCACATCCTTCCAGCTTCCCTGGCAAAGCAGCTTCTCACTGAGGCTGGAAGGAGGTGCCCAGGTTGGGGGAGAGAGGTGGGCATCTTTATCTGGGTTTCCAGAGCCTGACACACCCTGAAAACATGGCAGAATCACCCTCTTTTATGAATGTAGAAACTGAGGCAGGGAGTGGTGAAGGCACCAGCTTCAGGCCATGCAACAAGAAAAGGGTAGGTCTGGGATTTGAAGCTATCTCTGTCTGACCCCAGAGCTCTGAACCCCAGAAACCACACTTCCTTCATTCTCGGGCTCTGTCCTCACTGGATGTGAAGTGGGAGGTGAAGTGATGAGGAAAGTGGAAGACACACAGAGATAGCAGCTTTCAACCCCTCCCTCGTGTGTCCCCAGCTCCTCAGCCTTCAGGCCTCCGCTCTGGTGTCCTCCTCCAGGCAGCCTTCACTGAATGCCTCTGCCTAGGTCACCCTGCCCAGCACTCAGCACGATTGCAGTTGAATGCACATTGTGCAAGGATTTGCTGACGGACGGTCTGTCTCCTTCACCAGACTGCCTTGCGTGAGGTCAGACTTAAAATGTCCGAGATTGAACTCTCTACCCGCCCCCCAAACCACAGTCTTCCTGTCTCAATAAAAGTGGCCTTCATCCTTGCCAGTGGTACAGGCCAGAAACCAGGGAGACGGCCTCGACTTCCCTCTCTCTCGTCCCTCACATCCCATCTCTCAGAAAATCCCGTGGGCTCTGTCTTGGAATACCTCTGGATTCTGACCACAGCTCACCACCACCCTGGTCAAATCCTCCATCACCTCCCGCCTGGACGATTGCAGGAGACTCCTCCTGAGCTCCCTGCTACAGTCTGTTGTTCACACACAGCCAGATGGCCCCTTAAGAACTCAGGTCAGATCCTGTCCTTCCCCTGCTCAGAACCCTCCATGGCTCCCACCTTACCCAGAGAAAAGCTGAAGACCCCACTGTGGCCCAGAAGGCACTGCACATTCTGGCTCCTGGTTAAGTCTCTTGCCTCGTTTCTTCCTGCTCTCACCTCGCCCTCTCTCAGCTTTCCTTGCTGTTCTTTGAACACACCGGGCTCACTCCTGCCTCAGTTCCTCTGCAGGTGGTATTCCTGCTGTCTGGAACAGTCTCCCCTAGATAGCCACATGTCCCCACCTCTTCATGTCAGTCTCAGCTCATCTGCTTCTCAGTAAGTACCTGCTGAATGAATGAATGAGGTCCCAGAGGTTCTGTCCTGAGACAGTTCCTTGCTGCTCTGTGGTTGGTGCATTGCTGGTGCATCACATGCTTAGCGGTGATCAGGAAAGGGGCTAGTGTGGGGCACTTGGAGGCCAGAGGTGCCTCTGGTAGGATGTGGTAGCTAGATGCCAGGATGAGAAGCTTGAACTTAATAATTGGTATGGACATTCCTTTTTCTTTCCTTTTTTTTTTTTTTTTTTTTTTTTGAGACCAAGTCTCACTCTATCACTCAGGCTGGAGTGCAGTGGCGTGATCTCGGCTCACTACAACCTTTGCCTCCTAGGTTCAAGTGATTCTCCTGCCTCAGCCTCCCGAGTAGCAGAGATTACCGACACCTGCCACCTCACCCAGATAATTTTTGTATTTTTAGTAGAGACGAGGTTTTGCCATGTTGGCGAGGCTGGTCTTGAACTCCTGACCTCAGGTGATTTGCCTCCCTCGGCCTCCTAAAGTGCTGGGATTACAGGCATGAGCCACCGCGCCTGGCCAGTTATGGACATTTCTTGAGCACCTACTGTGTGCTGGTAAGCACTTTACAGGTCCTCTCTTACTTAAATCTTTTTAGTAGCTCTTGTTGTGGATCCTGTTTTGCCCATTTTACAGATGAGTAAAACTGAGGTCGGCGAACGTAGTGACCTGCCCAGGGATATGTGGTCCCTGAGTACACTTGTTTTGATTTCTCCAGACAACTTCGCCATTGGCCTTGGCACTCAGCCATGCGGCCATCCTGGCTGGACGGCAGTGGACAGGGTGAGTCCTAGCCCAGCCTGCTCTGCCCCTTCCTCCTTCCTCAGCCCTCAGTTTCAGGGCAGTAAATTTCCTCAGCAGACATGAAGCGATTTGTATACTGTCGCCTTTCCTCCCGCTGAGCTGCCGACTTCCTTTCCAGCTTGATGTGGTGGGAAGTTCCGCAAAGAGAAAAAGGGAACTGCTGGGTCTGTGTCCCGTGGTTGGTGGCTGGGGCAGTATTTGGGGCATTGGAGTGCTGTCCTCCTATGGCACTGCTTGGGCTGGGGCATCTCTTCTGCAGGTATGGCCATGGGCACGTCTCACCCAGTGTCACAGGGACAGGGGCCGGCCTGATTCACCAGAAACAGGGCTGCCACGAGCTGCGCACCTGCGCCTTCTTGGGGGCATGGGCACCCTGCAGGGCCATACCTGTGCCACCCAAGAAACCTGGCCCAGCTTTCTGGAACCCCAGTTTTGCTCAGTGATATGGCTGGACACATTATTTTTACTTTTTTATTTTTTTAGTTATTTTATTTATTTATTTATTTTGAGACAGAGTCTCGCTCTGTTCAGCCAGGCCGGAGTGCAGTGGCTCGATCTCAGCTCACAGCAACCTCCGCCTCCCAGGTTCGAGCGATTCTCTTGCCTCAGCTTCCTGAGTAGCTGGGACTACAGGTGCCCGCCACCACGCCTAGCTAATTTTTGTATTTTTAGTAGAGATGGGATTTCACCATGTTGGCCAGGGTGGTCTCGAACTCCTGAACTCAGGTGATTCGCCCACCTCAGCCTCTCAAAGTGCTGGGATTATAGATGGGAGCCACCGCGCCCAGCCTAGACACATCATTTTTAGAGGAAAATCAAATGCAAGTAATAATAATAGCAAAACACGCTTGCTGAATGCTTCTTCTATGCTAGTGCGTGGCATCACACCCTGCCCACAGGGCTGTGGTGAGGATTTATGGGTTTCTGTTGAGAAAGCACTTGGAACCGTGTCCGGCATGAAGGAATTCTTAATGAGCATCAGCTGGGCCTCGGGTTCCTCCTCCGCATGGTGATGGGGCTGCACGGCTGATAAGGCTTGAACTTTTGTTGCCTTTTTTTATTTTGAGATGGAGTTTTGCTCCTGTCGCCCAGGCTGGAGTGTAATGGCACAGTCTCAGCTCACTGTAACTTCTGCCTCCTGGGTTCAAGCCATTCACCTGCCTCGGCCTCCCAAAGTGTTGGGATTACAGGCGTGAGCCACCACGCCCGGCTAGAACTTGTTGCCTTTGGCATCATTTTAGAGCAATAAATTGGTGCAAACCCTTTGGCAAAACACTTAGCGGAGACAACAAGAGACTCCCAAACAGTGATTCCCCTGGAATTGCAGGGGATCCCACTGCTGAAAAAAATCCTAAGCATGGGGGGAAAATCCCCAGATACTTTTATGTACCAGGTTACTCATTGAAACACCACTGTGAGCGCTCAAAATCGGCAACAACCTAAAGGTCGGATAGGGAAATGGTTAGGGACATGAGCCACACCCATTTCCTTAGCCACTGTGGACCACTGGAAAGGTGACATGCAAAATTATGTGCAACCGGTGATGACAGCCATGCCTAAAAACTGCAGGAGACGCCATGGAAGGTGACATGTTGAAATATTGACAGTGGGCACTGTCAGAATGTGTGATTTCCAGTTTTCTTCCTATGACTTTATTAATTTTCCTGATGAAAGGCAACTGTACATACTGAAACCAGAAGACTCAACCAGCACCTTCTAAACCTGGTGCCCCATCGCAGGTGCCTGGGGAAGCATGTTAACAAGGCAGATGCCCAGGCTCCTCCCTCTCCCACTGCGTTGGAGCCTCTCAGTCTTCAGGGCCCAGGAATCAGCATTTCCACTGAGTGCCCCAGGTGATTCAGACGCCTGCTGTAGCCTGAGGGTCATGGATTAGGGCTGCCAAGGGGTTGCCTTGTGATTGCAAAGGTTTGCAAATCTGGGTCTCCAGTTTCCTTTCCTTCCTCACTTCTGCATGGCCAGATTTTTTTTTTTGAGATGGAGATTCACTTTGTCACCCAGGCTGGAATGCAGTGGAGCAATCTTGGCTCACTGCAACCTCTGCATCCCAGGTTTAAGTGATTCTCCTGCCTCTGCCTCCCAAGTAGCTGGGATTACAGGCATGCACCACCATGTCTGGCTAATTTTTTATTTTTAGTAGAGATGGGGTTTTGCCTTGTTGGCCAGGCTGGTCTCGAACTCCTGACCTCAGGTGATCCACCTGCCTCAGCCTTCCAAAGTGCTGGGATTACAGATGTGAGCCACTGTGCCTGGCTGGCCAGATCTTGCCTGTTTGTCAAGGTCATGCTCAGGGTCCTCCCTGACCTCCTCTGAGCTGCTTTCCCTGCCCTGCTGCCCATTCTCGGGTTCGTGTACCTCCTGGAGCCCTTCAGGGTTATCTGGGAGCTTTGGAAAAAGAGCTGATTTCCTGGCTTTTCCAGACCTCTTGAGTCAGACTGTCATTTCCTGGTATACCTCCTGGGCAAAACATGTGTTTTGAAAAGCTTGACAGGTAATTCTTATGCCCGCTTCCTGGGCATCAGACCCACTGACCTAGAGATGGCTCCCACCTGGCTTTTAAAACCAGATTTCTAATTGTTCTTTTTAATTGGTAAAGATAGCACATATTCTTAGCAGACAATTGAAATCCTGCAGAAAATTTTAGAAAGTCCATTCCGTGATAAACCTCAAATTTACCTCCTTGGGCTTACAAGTGATTTATGGAGCACCTGCTGTGTACTGAGTGTCCAGGCTGCCGCAGTGCACAATACAGACAAAAGCTCTCTCCCTCACCGTGTGTGCAGTGAAGACAGACAGTGAAGGTGTCAGCCAAGGAAAATTTGTAGTGTTCTCAGGTGGTAAGTGCTATGGAAAAACATGAAGCAAAATTAGAGGGCTGGGCTGCTGGGAAGATGTGGCAGTTTTCAATGGTGTGGGCAGGGCAGGCTTCACTGAGGAGGTGACGTTTGAGCAGAGACCTGAAGGAGCAGAGTGAATGAGTCATGTGGTTACGTGGTGACAGGCGTTCCAGGCAGAGGGGACAGCCAGTGCAAAGGTCCTGTGGCAAGAGCCTGTCTCATGTGTTTCTGCACCTTCAAGGGTGCCAGTGTGGGAGGAGATGAGGGAGAAGGGAGTTGCGTAGGAGGTGAGGTCACAGAGTGTGAGCTCATTCTGATAGCGCAGCCTCTGTTGGAGGATTTTAAGCAGAAAGGCAACATGCAAGGGCTCTTTGATGTACGAAGCCGGCCCCATGCCTAGTGGGTGCTGGGGCTCCTAGAGATGCCCCAGCGACGACGGTAGAGTAGGTGTTTGTGGCTGTCCCTGTGCCTGTGGTGGGCGGGGGACACCTCTCACACACCTGGAGAGGATCCCCTCAGGATTCAAGGCACGTCTCATTCAACGGGGCAGCCCCTCATCTCCCCTCCCCCGCACCACCACCCCCAGCCTCTTTGCTTCAGAACCTGAGAGCAGACACAGGCTTCCTGTTCCCGAATCTTCTTAGAAGCAGGGTTGGGAGGCAGCGAGGGGGTGTGTGTGGAGGGTGGCTCGTCTCTTTGGCAACGGGCCTCAAAGAAGCCAGGGCTTCGTGGATGCACAGTTGTAGAAGGAATGGGAATGGGGTCTGGCTCTGCCTGAAGCCAGAACGATGTATTGGCCCTCAGGGCTTGAGCCAGGACAACCCATGCGTGGACAGTAGACAAACCAGGGTGGACGGTGACAATCTCCTTTTAAACCCTTTGCTGAAAAAAAAAAAAGGGAATAGTTTCTGTTGCAGGATAATTACAGACAGTGAAGTGCACAGCTCCATTGGTGATTACGTATGCATCACCACCAGGTGAAGATCTAGAACATTCTTTGCCTCCAGAGTCCCCTTGAGCCCCTTGCCAGTCTTTATCCAGCCTTGAATGACGACTTTTCTTTTTTTTTTTTGAGGCAGAGTCTCGCTTTGTCACCCAGGCTGGAGTGCAGTGGCATGATCTCAGCTCACTGCAACCTCTGTCTCCTGGGTTCAAATGATTCTCCTGCCTCAGTCTCCTGAGTAGCCACCATGCCTGGCTAATTTTTATATTTTTAGCAGAGACGGGGTTTCATCGTGTTGGCCAGGCTGGTCTCGAACTCCTGAACTCAAGTGATCGGCCGCCTCTGCCTCCCAAAGTGCTGGTATTACAGGCGTGAGCCACTGGGCCCGGCCGAGTGACGGCTTTTCTAACCTCTGTCATCAAAGAAGGGTCTTGCCAGTTTTGGGACTTCGTAGATGTGGAATCCCACGGGTGGCTGCACCCTTTTGTGTCTGGCTTCTTTCGCTTGGGCCATGTTTTTGAGATGCGTCCAGTTTGCTGCGTGTGTTAGCAATTTTCTTTTGATTACTGAATCATTTTCTGTTGTGTGAGAACACCACCATTTGTTCATCCGTTCTCCTGTTGATGGACATTGGTAATTTTAAAATTTGAGTTTTTATTGTGTTCCATTCTCTGTGCTAAGCACTTTATGTTTTGAGTGATATTTCCTTGAATCCTCAAAAGAACACTGAGAGATAGAGGCTTTTACTCTGTGTTACATACATAGGAATGGAAGCTTGGAGGCTTATGGAACTTCACCTCCTTTCCCCTCTTAACCAGTATTTATTCAGCATCTTCTGTCTACCTCAACCCATGCTGTGGATTCAGCACAAGCAGCCAGAGACCCTCACCATCACGGAGCTGGCAGTGCGCAGAGAGGAGGACTCTAAATTAGCAAAATGCATAGAACAACACTTTGTGCTACCTGCATTACAGGGAATTAAAACAGATTATCGAGGTAGAGGGTGGCTCGGGGGCGACTTGTGGCTTGGGTGAGGCTGCTTCAGCCAGGATGGTCAGGGGAGGCTCTCTGTGGAGGTGATATTTGAGCATCCTGTGCAGTGACGATGAGGGGCGGGGAACAGCACGTGCAAAGTCCCTGAGGTAAGAAAAAGCCTGGGGTGACCTAGGAAGGGCAGACTAGGCATTGGGGCTGCAGTGGAATGAGACACACGACTCTGGGGAAATGTCGGGAAAGTACAGCGTGGTCTGTAGTTGGAGAGGGCTGCTTTTACGTCGATGCACTGACAGATAAGAACCCCATCAGTGATGGTAACGTAAGCGTTGGCATTTCACTCTGGTGCGACTCTGAAGTTAGGGTTCGTTATCTATTTCCTTCTCTGAGTTAGGTGGAAACTGAGGTTCAGAGGCCCACGTACCCTCCCCCGCTGACAGGTGGGGACTTGAACCAGCTTGTCTGACACCAGAACCTCCATCTTCCAGCTCTCAGCCATCCCCTCTTCAGGGCCCTCGTTTGAGGGGGCTTCTTCATGCTTCTCTGGTTCCATCATCTCCCCTCCCTCCTCGGGGGCTCTGTCCCATAGTCAGGTCCCCCAGGGAAGGAGCCATTGAAAGACTCCCTTGCAGAATCCCTGGTGAGCTGTCGTAGTCTGTGGTGTGGCTGGTTGTCACTGGTCTGGCTGGAAGGCAGGGAGTCGAGGTGGTTAGAATGTGTGGGCCTGACCTCATAGCCCCAGAGCTGGGAGCCCTTTGAGATCCTCTCATCTGACCACTGTTCCCCGTTTCGCGGACGAGGGAACAGAGTGTGGGAGCAGCTTTCTCAGGGTCCCACAGCGAGTCTGTGGCAGGGCTACATTTGGCAACCAGGTCAGCAGGCCCTGAGTGGTGGGCGCTGTGCAGATGGGGAAACTGAGGCCCAGAGAGGAGGAATCAGTCATCTGAAATCATTCAGCTAGTGTGCAGCATTTCTCGTAGTCCTCATGGTAATCCATGAAGCCGGCAGTGTTATCACACAGTGTCTATTTTACAGGTGAGGAACCTGCCCCAGAGAAAGGGGTCTCCCTCCCTCTACCCGTCCATCCACTCACTCACCAAGAATGAGCATAAATGAAAGAAGATGGAAACTGGGACTAAGTGGGACCTCTGAGAGGTCTTAGGCTGGTGGGCAAGCCTGTTATTAATTGAATCATCACATAAATCAAGGTTAAGTTATAGTCATGGTGGCACTAAGTATGGGAGCCTATGCATGGGTTTCCTGGGCCCTGACCAACCTTGGATCTCACTGGGGAGGGCAGGGAATGTGAGACTTGAAGCAGCTGGCAGGAGGGAGATGAGTGTTGCAGGTGGAGGGAGCACCTGTGCTGAGGCCTGGGGGCAGGAGCAAGCTGGGTGTGTTTGGGGAACAGCTGAGGATCCTGGAGGCCGGTCTGGCTGCAGCACAGCTTGGAGGCTGAGGTCAGGTCCTGCAGAGCCCTTCTGGATGGGGTTCTCAGAGAAGCGGGGAGCGGCTGATGGGCTGGGCAGGGCAGTGGGTGACCACATTTGCCTTTTGTGACGATCCCTTTGTGTCACTCCACCCAGGGATGCCTAAGTGATCTAGGCCAGTGGTCCCCAGCCGTTTTGGCACCAGGGACGGGTTTCCTGGAAGACATTTTTTTCCACGGACCTAGGGGTGGGGAAGGGATGGTTTCAGGATGATTCAAACACATTACATTTGTTGTATACTTTGTTTCTATTATTATTACATTGTAACATATAATGAAATAATTATGCAACTCACCATAATGTAGAATCAGTGGGAACCCTGAGCTTGTTTTCCTGCAACTAGACAGTCCCATCTGGGGGTGATGGGAGACAGTGACAGATCATCAGGCATTAGATTCTCGTAAGGAGGGTGCAACCTAGATCCCCGGCATGGGTGGTTTGCAGTAGGGTTTGTGCTCCTATGAGAATCTGATGCTGCTGCTGATGTGACAGGAGGCGGAGCTCAGGTGGTCATGCGGGCAATGGGGATGGCTCTAAATACAGATGAAGCTTTGCTTCTTGCCTGCTGCTCACCTCCTGCTGTGTGGCCCGGTTCCTAACAGCCCACGGCCCAGGGATTGGGGACGCTGATTTAGGCCTCCCAACTCCTGGTCTTCCCACGAGGCTACACTATTCTCCTTCCCCTAATTAAATTCTCCCAATTTTTGAACTGAAGAAGCAGTATAGCCCCATGGGAAAGAGACTTGGCTCTGAAGCCCCTGGGGCCTGCACTTAGGTCTGGCTCCGTCCTCCTCCTCTGCATGACTTTGAGCAAATAACTCTGTTCCTTGTCTGTGAAATGGGGGTGTAGGAGTCGCTTCCTCCTGTACCCCTGGCATTGGCATGCAGTAAGCACTTAATATGTGTTGCAGCTGGTTGTCGTGTCCACGTTTCATTGGAAATGCAGGCATTATCTAGTTCTGACAGCTTAGTATCCCAAGGTTTCCCTTATCTGATCTTTCTAAATGGCTTCTTGCTTTCTAAACTCAGGAACTGAATAGATCTGAATAGTGAAAGATACTTGATGTTGCTGTAATTATTATAGTAATTACTGTTATTAGACCATCTGTCCTTAATGAATATTTGTTTGTAGATACTTTTGTGGGTGGGGAAAGAAAGCATTTTGCAGCTTACTAAACATATGCCAAACAATGTATGAAATGTATAGCTAGACTGTATGATAATATCTGTTTTGTAGTAATCATAATAACAGAGTATTAGGATTGTGTTTGGCCGTGATTCATGGAGATACAACAGGTTTGCTTTTCTTTCGTGTACATGTTTCGAGCTAGCAGTCGTATTAGTTTCTTGTGCCTTTAAACAGCACAGATTTATTATCTTACACTTCTGGAGGTCAGGAGTCTGAACTGGGTCTTACGGGGCTGAAATCAAGGTGCCAGCAGGGCTGTGCTCCTGGGGGGTCTGGGGAGAATCCGTTTCCTTGCCTTTTCCAGCTTCCAGAGGCCCCTGCATTCCTTGGCTTGTGGCCTCGTCCATCTCCCAGCCAGCAGCATAGCGTCTTCTGGTCTTCCTCTGACCCCTGGCACTCACTCTCCTACCTCCCTCTTTTTCTTTCTTTCTTTCTTTTTTTTTTTTTTTTGAGAAAGAGTCTTGCTCTGTCTCCCAGGTTGGAGTGTAGTGGCGCTATCTTGGCTCACTGCAACCACTGCTTCCCGTGTTCAAGCAATTCTCACGCCTCAGCCTTCCAAGAGCTGGGACCACAGGTGTGCACCACCACATCTGGCTAATTTTTTAATTTTTACTAGAGATTGGGTTTTGGTATGTTGGCCAGGCTGGTCTCAAAATCCTGACCTCAAGTGATCCACCCACCTCGGCCTCCCAAAGTGCTGGGATTATAGGCTTCAGCCATCGTGCCTAGCCCCTCTTTTCCTTTTAAGGATCCTTGTGATTATGTTGGGCCCACCTCAATGCTATTGATAATCCCCCCCTTTCCAAGATCCTTACCTTAATCACATCTGCAGAGTCCCTTTTGCCATGGAAGGTGGTGTATTCACAGGTTCCGTGGATTAGTATGTGGACGTCTTTGAGGGATTATTGTTCAGCCCACCACAATGGTCAAGGGCTGTTGGGGCCTCTCTGAGAGTCCTCTGATGTCTGCAAGCTCTGGGTCCTTTCTGTCCTGCAAGTTCTCCCTCCTTTCACGTTGGATCAGAAGGCCTGGCACTGTATTGGGCTCCAGGGACAGAAGTTTCTTCCCTTGTGGAGCTTGGGGGTCACAACTTTAATGATGTGGCCCCATCACTAGTGGGAAGTGAGTGGCTGGTCAGGGAAGCTGAGATCGCAAGAGAGGGTTAGAGTGGATGTGGCAGAAAGTCAGAGCCTGGACTCTGATGGCCCCGAGGTCAGAGGCCAGCTTTGTCTGCTTAGCTGCATGCTCTGAGGCTGCCGCGTCAGCCACTGAGAACCTCGGTCTCCTTTTTCGTAAAATGGAGATGAGATTGTCTAGGATGAGGCAATCGTGGGAAGCATTGGGTACATAGTTGACACTCCCTAAACTGAAGACCCCAAGCTGCAGCCAAGCAGCCAGTGTCTGTACTCCTAAGACTGGCCCTTCTGCTGCCAGAATTCCCTCCCTGGGGCCGAGCAGGCTCTGGGAAAAATCAATGGGAGGAAACCTCCATGGCTGCACCTCCCTCACTGAGGCCTGGGCCCTGAATGCCACTATTTTTACATTCTCTCACTTTTGTGCATTGTTTCCTGACTCTACAAATACAATCCTTCACCAGCTAAGGGGGGACTGCTCGCCCTCCAGCCCCAGGAACAATTGTTTGGGAAGATGGAAAAAAAATAGTTGGACTGAGGAAAAAACAAAACCTCTTGAAAGTCATTGTCTTCAGATGTCAAGTGTCAGCCCCACAGAGAGGAGACCGCATTCCACTCATTGTCCTGCTGCAGACAGGCACAAGGACCCCAGGATGTCCAGCCACCCCGCCCTGCATCCTGGGGCCCCGAGTGACTTGGTTCTCTTTGTCCAGGACATTCCGGCGGGAAATGCCACCCAAAGCAGGGCCTGTTCCCAGCCACCACTGTCTCCGTCACTTGAGGCTTTTCCTTCCAGCCACACGCCCATGCAGGCCCCAGATGGGCGAGGGCTGGTGCTGACGATAAGGGCTACAGTTCGTACAGTGCTTCCTAGTGCATTTTATCCTAACCCATCAAATTCTCCCCATGCCCCCGTGATGCAGGTATCTATTTCTTTTTTCTTCTTTTGGTGTAATAGTGTGAGATATAATTCACGTACCACCATACAGTTTACCCATTTGAAGTGTACAGGTGAATGGTTTTCGGTATATTCATAGAGTTGTACCACCATCTAATTTTAGGACCATTTCATCACTTCAGAAAGAAACTTCATATTGGCTGGGCATGATGGCTTACGCCTGTAATCCCAGAACTTTGGGAGGCCAAGGCAGGTGCATCACCTGAGGTCCGTAGTTTGAGACCAGCATGGCCAACATAGTGAAACCCTGTCTCTACTAAAAATACAAACATTAGCCAGGTGTGGAGGCATGCACCTGTAATCCCAGCTACTTGGGAGGTTGAGGCAGAAGAATCGCTTGAACCCAGAAGGCGGAGGTTGCAGTGAGCTGAGATGGTGCCACTGCACTCCAGCCTGGGTGACAGAGCGAGACTTTGTCTCAAAAAAAAAAAAAAAAAAAGAAACTTCATACCATTAGCAGTCAGGTACCATTTTTATATCCCCATTTCATAGAGAGGGAAGCTGAGACACAGAGAGGCTGTTTAGGGTCACACAGCCAGCAAATGACCGAACCAGGATTTGAACCCAAAATACTTGGCTCTGTCTAGAGGCCATTTTCTTAGCTTTGCTATAATGCAATGGTTCTTAACCAAGGATGATTTTGCCTCCAGGGGACATGGGCAATGTCTGGACACATTTTTGATTGTCACAACTGAGGAGAGGAGGGTTGTTATTTGTATCTAGAGGGTAGAGGGCAGGGAAGCTGCTGAGTGTCTTATAATACTCAGGACATCCCTCACAGCAAAGAACTATCCACTGAACTGTCAAGGTACCAAAGTTGAGAATCTCTGCTAGAATCCCACTCTGATGAGCCCATTTTTCAGGAAAAAAATCAACAACTGAGGAGCCCAAAGGAGTAGGGAGAAGCTGGGTTGTGAATGGGAAGGATTTTAGACCATTTCTGACAACAGTGAAGGGAGATAAATTCTGAACGGCTTGGAGAAGACTTAGCAGGAAAAAGATCTGCATTCCATTAGTGATGTCTGCCCTGGGTGAGGGTAAAGGCGAAGTAGCAGGTTCAGGTTTGCCTTGCCTGTGTCTAGGACAGAAGTCTCACACTCAGGTGTTCACAGGGCGCAGCAGTGGGTTGGGTGGTGGGAAATTGAGGAGCACTTGTCCTGGGTGAAGGTGATGGCTATCACTCTGCTCTACAGCACCTGCAGCCTTGTGGGCATTTGAGACCCATGTGTCAGTTTTTTCAAAAGAAGCTTGGAATTTGGATTTTAATGGGAAACCTGATATTCAAACTTAGGCCCAAGTTTCTCAAACCCCTCTGCAGGCCAAAGGAATGATGCCTCTGAGTTACCAGTTTGAGACCCATAAGGTAGCCCCATCATGTAGAGGAGGCTCTGCATAAATATCTGTTGAAGGAAGGATGGGTTGTTGGTGAACTCAGGAAAGTTTGTAGGCCAGGCCCCAGCCCCTTGATGGGGGCTGCGTGAAGAAAAGCATTGGGTTCCTCTCAGTGTCCCCCACTGCCTTCCCCCACTGTTGCATCAGACCTCTTCATGACAGGTTGTTGCAACTTGTTTTTTGCATCAACTTCCTCTCCCGATGTGGTGGGGAACGGGGCGGGGTGGGGTGAGAACTGGGCACCTTTTACCAGGGCCTAGAATCTGGGTGGGGGTGGGAGTAGTCTACTCTAGATGATTGATTGACTAATTAATTAAACACATCCTTTTCGAGGGTCTGCTGTGTGCTGGGTCCAATCCTAGGCTCTGGGACACCACAGTGACCTAGACAGACAAACATCCTTGCCTTCCTGGAGGTGAGACTCAAGTGGGCTAGATGGATAATAGACTGATATAAACACACATAATGTCCATGGTGACAGGTGCTGTGAGGAAAACAGAGCAGGGATAGACGTTTTCGATAGGATTGTCCTGGAAAGACTGAATGTGCCTCGGGGCCTTTGCCCCGGCTGTTGACCCTGCCCATGATGCTGTGTCCTCCGATACACGCAATGCTGTTTGCTCCCTGTGTCTGCTCAAATGCCATCTTCTCAGAACGGCTTTCTCTGAACAGCTCCTTGAAATGGCATTCCCACCTTATCCTTCTCTGTTTTCTTACCCTGCTTTAGTTTTCTTTGTAGCAATCATTCCTACCTGCCATTTTATTTTAAAATCAGTGTATAGTCTGTCTCTGCCACTACTTTGTGAAGGTGGGGAGTTAGTCTGATTTGTTCATTCACTGATGTGTCATTGGCTCTTAGCGCAGTGCCTGGCACATAATAGGTGTGCAGTAAGTATTTGCTGACTACACAGGCGAATGTAAGAATGCATAAGTCCTTCCGTGGCAGGGTCATGGCTTATATCTGTGTCTCCAGCACCCAGCTCGGTGCCTGGTGCACGGCAGGCCCTGGTTAACACTTGCTGGGATGGTTGGTACTCGGAGAGGACTTGTCCCCCTAGAATATCATCACAAGCAACTTCCTGCCCCTTTCCTAGTCCAGCCTCCCTCTCCTGGCTCAGCCTTTCTGCCACTTTTTCCAGGAAGTGTTTGTAGTTACAAAGTGTTCACCTGCATCATTTCACTTAAACCTCAACAACTACTCCTCCCCCCCTTTTTGTTTGGTCCAGGAAATTGACTCAGAAGTGTGGTGACTTGCTGAAGTCACGTGGTTGGCAGTCAGCAAGGAGGATGGGGCAGGGCAGAGGGGTGCGCTGGTGGTGATGAGGATGTGGGGGGCTCTGCAGTTTATAAAGCCTTCCCCTTCTCATCTCACCTCAGGAGACTCGGAAGCAGGCAGTCTATAATAATAGAGCTATTTGCAGGATGGAAAAAACTAATAAAAATAAGTAAAAATAGTGTGGGATAAATGTGAGTGTGCTTGGTGCATGTAGAAGCCCTACAGATGTGGTTGATCCAAATCCAGGTTTCCTTAGGAAGCACAGTGGGTTCTGTCTACCTGCACCAGGGCTTGGACTCCCTGCAGACACTCTAGAAACTCAAGATGGGGAGATCATAATAGCCAATGCTTTTTTTTTTTTGAGGCAGGGTCTTGCTTTGTCATCCAGGCTGAAGTGCAGTGGTGCGATCTTGGCTCACTGCAACCTCTGCCTCCTAGGCTGAAGTGATGCTCTCACCTCAGCCTCTCGAGTAGCTGGGACTACAGGTGTGCGCCACCACACCTGGCTATTTTGTTTGTTTGTTTGTATTTTTGGTAGAGATGAGGTTTTGCCGTATTGATTGATTGCTCGAACTCCTGGGTTCAAGCAATCAGCCTGCCTCGGCCTCCCACAGTGTTAGGATTACAGGTGTGAGCTCACAGGTGTGAGCCTGGCCAATAATAGCTAATGTTTTTTGAGCACCTGCTATGCACCAGGGACCATTCAAGTGCTTGTTATGTGTGTTAGCTTCTGTAATTCTCATTGTAATCCTGTGTACTCATTTTATCCCCCGTTATAGAGGAGGAAATGGAGGCAGAGAGAATAAATAATTTACTTCAGGTCTTAGAGCTTGTAAGCAGCAGAGCTGGGATTTGAGCCCATTTAAATGCTTTGCCTGTAGTATTTCTTTTTTTCTTTCTTTTCTTTTTTTTTTTTTTTTTTTGAGATGGAATCTTGCTCTGTTACCCAGGCTGGAGTGCAGTGGTGCGATTTCAGTTCATTGTAACCTCTGCTTCCCAGGTTCAAATGATTCTCCTGTCTTAGCCTCGCAAGTAGCTGGGATTACAGATGTGAGCCACCATGGCTGGCTAATTTTTGTATTTTTTGTAGAGACAGGGTTTCACTATGTTGGTCAGGCTGGTCGCGAACTCCTGACCTCAGGTGATCCACCCATCTCAGCCTCCCAAAGTGCTGGTATTATAGGCGTGAGCTACCGCGCCTGGCCTGCCTGCAGTATTTCATATCAGCCTCACAATAGCCCATGAAGTCAGTAGTTTTATGGTCCCCATCCATGTTATAGATGAGGCCCAGAGAGATGGAGTCAGTTGCCTAGGTCACAGAGCAGTAGGTGGCAGGGGCAGGATTTGAACCAGGTGGCTAGTTCTAGCCTTTGAGCCTCATCCACTCTTACATACTGCTTGCTTAGGAGATACAGTGCCCTTCTAGCAAGGAGTAGAGAGAGTTTCTAAGGGTAGGGAGGGCTTCTGAGAGTTGGGGCATGGGAGGAGGAGGTGGAATGCTGGCCATATCTTTGGCCTCCGCAGGGGAATGTGTATGGGTTCCCCGCAGATGCAGCCTGGATTCAGGTGGGCTAGATGGATAATAGACTGATAATGAACACACATAATGTCCATGGTGACAGGTGCTGTGAGGAAAACAGAGCAGGGATAGGCGTTTTCGATAGGATTGTCTTGGAAAGACTGAATGTGCCTTGGGGCCTTTGCCCCAGCTGTTGACCCTGCCCGTGATGCTGTATCCTCAGATACACGCAATGCTGTTTGCTCCCTGTGTCTGCTCCACGTGAAACCTGCCTCCACGTCTGACCGGGGACTGCCTGTGGTTCCGCAGCCACCTCCTCTGACCTTCAGCCCTGCACATGTAGAGATTTTCCCCATCAGCTCAGAAGTATTTTGGTGTTTTAACAGGCAGCGAGGCCGTCCTGGTGTGTATTAGGAGAACATCTGCTGAAGTGCCTGGCCTGTGTGGCTGCGGTGCTGCAAAGCCCTGTCTTTCACCCCCCCAAGCTCGGGGGGGCCCTACACCCTCTTTCTTTTTGAGGCTGCATTGCGACACCTCAACCACTCCAGGGCACACCAGAGGGACGCTCCACTGCCAGCACCTGCGCTCCTCTGCCTGATGGCTTTGTCTGCTCTGAGCTGCTCTGTCACTTTCAGGGAAGATGGGGAGTGCCAGGATCACCCCCACTGCCCTTAAACTAGTGACAGACAGGGCTGATGTACAGACTCCCTGGCCTCCTCACTCCCTGAGGGTGGCTGTGAGGTGTGCGTTCCACACGGTCTGTCTGGGGCCTCATGGTGGTAACTTGCTTGGTCTCATACCCTTCGTGGGCTGCCTTCCCTTCTTGGTTCCACCTCCCTGTTGGTGTTTCCAGGGACCATCTCCCACCTCCCACCTCCCAAAGAAACTACTTGTACTCCACTTCTTGCCTCAGGGTCTGCTGCATCTGGGGAACCACCCCAAGGGTCCTGTCATGGTACACCCGCTAAGATGCACCCACAGCACACACTCCCTGCATTCTCTGTGCACATAGCCACAGGCAGAGTTGATTGGTAATTTTGTAGACATTTAAATCAAGATTTATTCTTTTTGACAATGCAGTTTTCCTTTTGTATTTGGAGCCAATGCACGTATTTTTAAAGGCCTCCAACATTTCTATAGGTCCAAGGAATGGTGCCAAGGAAATGTGCCCAGGGAAGGGGCCTGGTCTGAGCTGGTCCAGGGGCTACACGGAATTGAAAGTGCCCACCCCTTCACTGGACATTTACTGAGGACTTATTGGGCACCTCCTGTGATCCTGGCTGGATCCTGGGGGCCGGGGGCTCCCACCGTGGGCAGAGGCAACAAGTTATTTACAAGCAGTGTCAGATTTAATCCTCATGTCAGCGACTTGCAAGGTGAGGCTCCATTACACAGATTTTATAGATGAGGCAACTGAGGTGCGAGGCTTGGCCGACTCCAGAGCCTAATGTGTGATTCATGCCCTGTTTTCCTCTTTCCTAAAAAGGGGATGCAGTAGCCCACCTTGTGGGATTGTTATGCAGGACGAACATGCTGACCATCAGTCACCTGCTGAACCCCTTGTTACTGGGCATCTGCTCTGTGTCCAGTCCAGCACGGTTCTAGGTCCAGTGGGTGGACACTGCCCAAACAAGCTGCCACCCTCCTGGGACTGACTTTGTAGGGGACACAGGAACTGTAAGTGAAGAAACAGCTCAGTGCAGGTGGAGGGCAGTGCTGTGGGGGATGGAGGAGGATGAGATACAGTGTGCAGGGGAATGGGTGTCTGTTTCAAATGGAGCAGTCGGGGAAGGCCTCAGAAGAACTGGCATTTGATTCTAGAGGGGAATTGATATGGTTTGGCTGTGTCCCCACCCAAATCTCACCTTGAATTGTAGCTCCCATAATTCCCATGTGTCATGGGAGGGACCTGGTGGGAGGTAATTGAATCATGGGGGCGGGTCTTTCCCATGCCGTTCTCGTGATAGTGAGTAAGTCTCACGAGATCTGATGGTTTTATAAAGGGGAGTTCCCCTACACAAGCTCTCTTGCCTGCCGCCATGTAAGACATAACTTTACTTCTCATTTGCCTTCTGCCTTGATTGTGAGGCCTCCTCAGCCATGTGGAACTGTGAGTCAATTAAACCTCTTTATAAATTACCCAGTCTCTGGTATATCTTTATTAGCAGTGTGAGAACAGACTAATACAGGAATGAATTGAGGGTGGGGCCCTGCAGATATCTGGAGAAAGAGTCTTCCAGGCAAAGGGAACAGCAAGTACAAAGGCCCCGGGGTGGATGGTGCCTTGGTATATTCCCAGGAGGCCTCAGTTGTAGGTTCTTTGTATGCTTTCAGGAAGAAATTAGCCTGTTAAAGATACAATTCAAAGCAATATGTTTGTGCTGTGGACTATATAATGAAATGAGTTATAGATACATATATGGACTTTGTAAATGTGCCATGGGAGTAAAGGAGTAGTAAGTCTGACTTTGTAAAAAAAAAAAAGCTATCTCTTCCCAGTCCTCTCAGAGTATGTCTGTGACTGAATGAGTCAGCGGTGGAATCCTTGGGGAGGATGTTTCAAATCCAAAATTTGGGTCTTTTGGGAAAGCCTCAGTTGGTTCTGAGCCAGTGGCTCTCTGTTTCTGGCCCCTGGCATGGACGTGATGAAGGAATGCTAGGTGGGAACAGAGTGGAGAGGGTTTTAATCAGCCTGGGCAGTGGTGTGGGCTCTGGGTGGTGGACATTCTTGTGTTCTGGCCCAGGCTGTGGAAGCTCCAGGCCAGCTTGTGGGGGTCCCCAGGTTTCCAGAGTTGACTCAGAGAAGGAGGGCTGGTCGGCAGCTCAGAGGCTCTTCTGCAGAAGGTAAATCTTTCCATCTCATATTTGCCTTGCCGCTGCTCTGTTCCCCACTGGCGGGCACTGCCTTCCCTGCACAGGGATACACATATCCAAGGAGGAGAAGACAGAAGCCAG
Organism: Homo sapiens; assembly: GCF_000001405.40. Taxonomy (NCBI): domain Eukaryota; kingdom Metazoa; phylum Chordata; class Mammalia; order Primates; family Hominidae; genus Homo; species Homo sapiens. Next base: position 48,755,998 of record NC_000020.11, on the reverse strand, counting down.
GGGTCCTGATGATTGGGGCAGGTGATGGGGTGGGCGAGAGAGAGCCTGTGTGTTTAGTACCCCTCCCATCCAGAAAAATAAAAACATGCATTTATGTTAAAAATGACTTTTGCTTAAAAAGTAGCATGTTCATTGTAGAAATCTGGAAAGGGAAATAAATGAAGAAAGAAGAAAATGGAAATTCTTTAGAATGCCCCTCTGTCAGTTAGGATTAGGTTCAGTGGCTTGTGATAAAACCCAAATAACAGTGTCTTAAATGTGATGAAAGTTTATTTCCTTATTCTGTAATTATAGGTGACCCAGGGCGGATATGTTGGCTGTACCATCACTAGGAACATAAGTGCCTACTGAATGCTGCTCTGTTTTCCCCAACACGTGGCTTCTACCTCATGGTATAAGATGTCTGCTTCACTTCCAGGCATCGCATTTGCAATCCAATCAGTAGGAAAAGGGAATAGCAGAAGAGAATCCCTACCCATTCCTCCCCCAACCCACAAGGATACTTCCAAGATGTTGTACATAATATGCCATGTATGCTGTACTGACCTGAACTTAGTTGCATGCCCACACCTAGCTGCAAGGGATGCTGGGAAATACAGTCCTTATTTTTAAATCTGGAGTTCTGTTTCTAAAGGAAAAGGAGAGAATGATATTGGGGGACAGCTAGTAATTTTGGCCACATTCCTACATAGTTTCTTGTAGTATGGGTATTTCCTTCCATACTTCATTTTTCTATGCCTAGGGAGAGAGAATTTATTTAACCAACAGTGAGATTATATTTTATGTACTTGTTTGTAACTTGATTTTTTTTCCTAGTTAAGGATACATCAACAGTCCTTTTCCGTGTTATTAAATAGACTTCTGCAAACTATTTTTAGCATGATCATTCCTTGTTGAGCTGGATGGTAATTTATTTAACTAAACCCCCAGTGATGGAATTATAAATCAGATATTGAAGGTAAAGCTTCATGCCACATATGAGATTTATTTTCCCCTGTAGGATAAATACCCAGAACTTGGATGGATGGAGCATAGGATTTGGGCATTTGAAGGGGTCATTGGGCAATTGGGGAGCTCCCCAGACTCTGGGCTGTGTGGGGCGGCTTGCAGCAGGCTGTGTAAGCCCCCTTCTGCTGTTATAGCGATTTTATTATCATCGCTCAGATTCCAAGGCCCTTGCTGTTCCATGACACTGTGCTTCCGACTCCCCGCCACCCAGATCATGTTGGGGATGGGGTCCTCAGGGCACCCCCTTTTGTCTTGGCTGTGTTCTGGAGCTCCCCCCACCCACCCCCACTCATCGCTTCCCTTTGCTCCCAGCCCATACCCTGGCCCTCTCAAGTTTCACCATATGTCTGGTGAGGTCACCCCAGCCACGGCAGAGGTGTCCTTGGGGGCAGTCGGGCCCCCTCCCCAAGCAGATCAGGTTGCCGGCATCAGTCTCAGGGAGTGACTTCAAGGCCTCTTTCTGTCCTTTTTATCTCCAGGGAGAGATTTATCCTCCCCAGGCAACAGCAGCCATGGGTTCCAGGCAGATGGCAGCTCCCCAGGGGCACCCCTAAGGGCAGCTGCTACCTGTTTTAAAGGCTGATGCGGTTCATTGTCCACAGTCACTCACTGATGGCGCGTGATGGAGACTGTCTGGGTTTAAGGCCCAGCTCCTTCACTTGCCAGCCGTGTGGCTTTAAATAAGGTCTTTACTGCGCTGGGCCTTAGGCTCTTCTGTAGAATGGACATAGTAATAACAATGCCTGCCTCCTCGAGTTTGAGGATTAAAACACCTAGAGCAGCACCTGCACATAATGAGGCCTAAAGGTGTAGTTAGTGAGTTAAAAAGGTGTTCTTATTCTAGTTGCCTCTCCCAGCTCGATATCAGCTTACTTTCTGGAGCCTGTTCTCAGTTTCTCCCTGTCTCTCCCATCCTTTCTCCACATACCAGTCTCTCTTGAGCACCTGCTGTGTGCCAGCCTCTGTCCCAGGCGCTGCGTAGACGGCCAAGGAAATTGACTTCTGCCCTGAGGGAGCTGATACTTTAGTGAGGGAGATGATACTGAATGATCAAACCTATCCATACTTAATTGATAAGAGCACAGCCAATAGCGGAGACGTCTGTGAAGGGTAACAGGGTTCAGGTGGCTATGTAGTGGGTGAGATCCTCTCTTATATGGGTCCAGGGGTGGCCTGTGAGAGGAGGGACCTCTCCTGCCAATTGAATGTCTTGGGAAAAGCTCTGTAGGCAAAGAACAGCACGTGCGAAGGCCTGGATGCTGGGGGCCTGGTGTGTTCAAGAAACAAAAAGGAGACCAGTGTACCTGCAGCTGAGCCAGTGGGGTGAGAAGAGCCCGCATTAGACAGTATTTGGGCGGTGGAAGAGGTTGGATTTTTTTCTAGGTTTTAATTAGAGCCTTTTCTGAGGCAAGGATTTCTTGACCTTGTCACTGTTGTTTGCGGTCAGCTGTGTCTTTGTGGGGTTGTCCTGTGCACTGTAGGGTGTTTCGCAGCATCCCTGGCCTCTACACACTAGATGCCAGGAGCACCCCTGTCCTCAGTTGTGACAACCCAAAATGTCTCTAGACATTGGCACATGTCTTCTAGGGGGTAAAATCACCCCCAAGTTGAGAACCACTGGGCTCAGGTTAGGGCGACAGGTGAGACCTGGCCTGGCATCGGGAGACCTGGTTCTAATCTGTGTTTTGTCACCAGTTTGCTGTTTGACCTCAGACCAGTGTCTCATACTCTTGGTATCTCCATTAAGTGGGAGCTTGTTGGAGATGGCAAACTCATCATCCTTCTAACCCTCTCCCTGCCACATCCATGGCAGACATCACTAATCAATTATGATGTGGCTTCCTGCTCAGTCTAGAGCTCTGGGGACCCTGGAAACACTCAGGCTGGGAGCTGAGTAAACAGTCTCTCTGGTCCTTCTCTTATGCCCCAGAAGACCTGGATATACATTTAGAGGAACTTGAACGCCTGGGCTCGAGGAAACATGTGCATCACCTAGAGGAACTTGTATACCCATACCCCAGTCGACGAGAGTATACAGCTGAAAGAACTTACACCTGAGTGCCATTGTTTACAGTAAGGATGTTTGAAACAAGTGTCTGCAGCATGGCAGTGGTTACTTCATGCTGTGATTTTGACTAGTAAGCAATGAAATGAACAACTTGAGGTCTGTCTTATTGTGGATTCCCCAAAGAACATGACCCGAGACTGATTCAAGGGCAAGTAGCATACTTGGGAGGTCACCCCAGGAAGCATCAATAGGAGAGTGGGGGAGTGAGGCAGGGAGGAGAAGGCAGCCAAGAAAGGTGTGTCATCAAGCGGGTTACCATGGGGGCCACCGGAGCTGAATCCATCAAGGCACTCGGGGAGATAGTGTCCATCGAGTGCCTCAGTTTCCTCATCTGTCTTTTCATGCCAGGTCCTGCTGGCCATCACTGAGGGCTGCTCCCAGGCAGTCTTACTTCTTCCGCACCTCTGGCCTGCCCTGCACATGAGAGCGGGGTCTTCAGGCCAAGAGATGCAGGTGCTGGCAGCTCGATGTGGTGTGGGGTAAGGGTGGGGTCTGGATAGCAGATGTTGCCCAGTGTACATATCAACATGGGTAAATGTGGAAGACATGATGTTGAGTGAGAAAATCAAGTTGCTGAAAGCATGCTACTTATAAAAATGTTGTGAACATGCAAAACAATATTCTCTCTTGCTTATAGATGCACACAGCTTGGTAAGTGGGCAGAGGCATGCGTGGGAATGAGGAGCACCAGCTCCAAGTACCTTGCAGGGAGAGAAGGTGCCCAGTGGCTCACCTCTCTCTGTAATGATTCCTTTCTGCCTTTTCTACTTAATACATGGAGGTTTGATATTTGCATGGTACTGTGGGTAAACTGAACTAATCTCGAGTGCATACTGCTGGGGCTTTGCATATGCAGTGACCTGTGTCTCCACTGCTCAGATCAAGATATAGAACATTTCCAGCACCCCCAAGAGCCTCCTCATCCCGTTTCCAGTCTGTGCCTCCCCTAGACTTGTTGAATTTCTTTTTGCAAATGGTTTCAAGCAAATTCGGTGTAGTATTAAGATTTGCCAAAGCTGGGTAGTGATGAGTTTGTGGGTGTTTGTTGTTTCTCTCTATTCTTTTCTGTATCCCTGACGTATTTCATCATCACATTCATAAAATGAAGAGGAGGACTTGGGCAGATGTGAGGACAAGTGGTCCAGGCATGGGCAAAGCTTCCGAGGCTGGAGGAGTTTCTCAGGCAGCCCTGGAAATCCTGAGAACAGTATTGTGTCTAAGGGAGGCTTCGGAGATGAGAGCTGCTTTTGACCTGAGTGTTTCAAAGCTGTCAAGCCTTGGACAAAGGAAGAGTCGCCCTGGAGGGTCCCTTTCACCATCCTGCCAGTGCAGGGGACGCCGTGCTGCCTGGAAAAGCCAGTCGTGCCTTGGGCAGCAGGAGGGCTGGTCCCAGAGCCTCTGCTGCCCATTCTTTCCGGGTCACGAGCTGCCCATTGTGGCCTTCACACCGGCTTGTTTGCAGTTCCTCAGTGGGTGGCCCGAGCCTCCCATTGTTGCAGCACAATAGCGGTGGCAGAGCTCGTGTGAAGAAACCAGGACAGGAAGCCCCAATCTAGGCCAGCGGAGTGCGGCACTCCCAGCTTCCTGCCCTCCCTGGCTGTGCTGGGTGAGGCTGCCTTTGTCTCCCTCTAGTCTGGGGAGGCTGGAGCTTGACTTCCTGTCAGTATCCCAGGCCCTGTTAAAACATCCTCTAGGAACCCCAGTCCCTGTCCCCTCCGCTCATTGTCGTTTCAAAAACAGGATCCACAGACTTCCAAGGAGCCTGAGTCGAGGTCTCCGGCATGGGTCAGGCACTGTGCCAGGCGCATTCCAAACCTTCCTTTGATTTTCAAGCACCTGCTATTTGCTGAGCACTACATTTGGCCCTGAAGACGTAGCTGTGAACAAGACAGGCAGGGTCCCTGCCTTCAGGGAGCTTCCATTCACTTTATCCCATGACATTCTAAAAGGTGCTGTATTCCTATGATTCCACTGGGAAGAGTAAATGAAGACTTAGAGAGGCTAGTGCACTTTCCTGAGGTCACACAGCAGGAAGGACCCATGGTTGAAACTCAGACTCACCAGTTTCCAAACCTGGCCTCTGATGTTGGATTGGGGGTTATGGTTTCATCCCAGCCATGATCCCTGCTTATCCTGGCCTTTCCCTTAGGAGCTTGTATAGATTGCTTAACCTCAGTTTCCTCATCTGTCAAATGAGCTCCTAACGCAAGATGGGAAGATAGGAGTTTGCATTAAGAAGAGGAGGGCCTCTTGGCGGAGGTGACATTTGAACTAAGGCCGGATGGATGAGGAGGCTGCTCAGGGCAGAATGGGGGAGAACATCTTGCAAGCAGGAACAGCATATGCAAAGGTCCTGAGGCAGGAGTGTATTTGGCAGGTGGATAGAATCTAGAATGAGAGTGTGGCTGAAGATTATTTATATTGAGGTGTGTGGGAGGATGAAGTACTGGAAGATGAGATCAGAGAGATTAACAAGGACAAGATCATGGGGACCATGGAAAGATTTGGATTTTAAGTGCAGTGGGAAGCCATGGAGATTTTAAAGGCATGGATTGACTGATCTCCTGTACATATTTAAAGGGATCTCCCTGGCTGTGTGTGTAGAGAACAGACTTTTGGGAGGGTGAAGGGGACCAGGAGGGAAATGGCTGTGTTAGTCCAGGCAGGAGATGATGATGGCTTGGACTGGGGGGGTGGTGGCTGTGGAGATGGGGACCAGTGGTTGTAGTATTCAGGTAAAGCTGGTAACATTTGCTGATGTATTGGAAATGGAGTGTCAGAGGAGAGGGGCTGAGGACGGCTAGTGGGTTTTGGCTAGAGCCCTTGAAAGACAGAGGTGCCATTAAGTGGGGAAGAGTTCGGTGTGAGTTTGGGAAAGGTCATTAATTAAGTGTTGGACAGGCTGAGTTTGGACATCCAGGTGGAGACACTGAATCTGCAGCTGGAGATAAGAGTCTGGGGGTTTCAGGGGAGAAGTCCAGGCTGGGGATATAAACATGGGGGTCATAAAAAAAGGGGATTTAACCCATTTATGCTGGAGGTTGCAATTTTTTTTTTTAATAAAAAATCAGACCTTGGCAATGACCTTGAAGAGTAGGATATAAGTAACTCCCACAAGCTTAGCATTCCAGTAATGGAACACTAGGCATAAATGGGTTAAAGCCCCAAGACTGGCTGAGATGGCTCTGCACTCTGTGTGGACAGAGACGAAGCTGCTTCCTGTGTCTTGCCTTCCTCTGTGACTCGCCATGTGGACTGTCATTGCGCCCCCTCCCAAGAGGCTTGAGTCTGGGCAGGTGGCCGGGCTCCCGGGGGCAGGCATGGACGTGTCGTGTCTCTGGGTGATGGAAAGGATCTGACAGCCTTGTGCAGAGGGCTAGCCTCCTCTCTGCTTACCTGCTCCGCTTCCCCTGACCCCAGCACTATCTTGGGCTGTCCCCGCCATCTCTCCTGCACTCAGAGATCTCCCTAGACAAGCGTGGTGGGATGAGACAGGCCCCTGCAGCCCATGTCTTAATCAGCCTGCACCTGGGCTCTGTGACAGGGAGACCATGTGCTCACCTGGAGCAGCCCCCGTGTGGACCCCCAATCTGTCATCCATCTTGGCAGGGCAGGTGACTGATAGGCCCCACAGCTCCCCGTGGCCCTGTGGCTATGACAGCACCATGAATTCCTTTTCCCAGGGGTCTCCATGTGGCTGCTTCCAGGTTAGCCTACAGCCAGATCCCACATCCTGGAGTTCCGGCAAACCAGGCGGAGGTGGCTGTGGGTGCTGGGCCTCGGTCTCCCTTAGGTGCTGACTCTGCTGTCTCTCCTTTCCCCAACATTTATCCCTGTGACTCTCTCAGCCCATACGTGTGACCCCTCGGCAGCTCTTCTTTCTGCCACTTTTCTACCCACACCACCTGGTGCCAGGCCACCGTCATCTCTTGTTGGCACCATTGCACCCTACTGCCCTGGTCCCCCCACTTTTACTCACAACCCCTAAAATCCAGTTCCTTGCAATAACAGAGGGCTTTTTCACCAACACTTCAAAACTGGGAGACTTTTCTTTTGAAAAAAAATTCTAATTTCTGGCTTCATTAAAAACCACAACAACACCCAAATCCGAACCTCTGGTGGTCCTGGGCCTGCGGCCTCCCCACGTGACCCCACATGAATGGTGCACCCTCGGCTCCCGCAGCCCCTGTCACTCCTGCCCTGGTGTCGTCACACTCATCTACTGCGTCTCACAGAGGAGAGACGTGATTTGTCTGTTCCAAGCCCCTGAAAGGGTGGTAGAAGGACCATGGTCCATTCAAACAGTACATTCCTGGCATCTGCAAGGAAGCTTCTTGTGAGATGATCTGGAAGGATCTCTGAGCTATATTAAGTAGAAAATCCAGGTGCGGGTCATCCAGTATACGTTGCTATTTTTTGGTGTGTAAAGAGGTTAAAAAAAAAAAGGAATAGATGTGTATGTGTGTGTGTTTGTTTTTGCATAGATTTTTTGGAAGAATACCCAAGAAACTAGTAGCTGGGGTTCCTGTAGGGGTTGGGGAGGGACTAGATGGTTTGGGGCTGGGGTAAGGAGAGAGACTTTCTCTGTTTTTGCCATTTTTATTTTTGACTTTTGAGCCATGTGACTGTGTTATTACTCAGAGGTTAAATTGTAAAGCAAAGTAAAAAAAAAATTGAAAGGGGAAATGAATTAGAGTCTGAGAGGCGCCCCTGGGTGAGGAAGCAGGTGTGTATCTTTTTGGGCCAAAGGTTCCTCGAAGGCAGGGGCTTTGAGATTTTCTCTGCTGTATCTTCAGGGCCCAGTGCAGGGCCTGGCGTCGTAGGTGCACAGCACACCCCTGGTGACCGTGTGGGAGTGAGGGCTGCTCCAGTGTGTTTAAGGTGTAAGCAGAGCACGTTTTTCCTCGTCCTCTGCCTGTGTCCCTGGACTCGTGGTACCTCCCAGATCCTAGTTGGCATTTGAACTTGAGAGCCTTCTGTAGGGCCGTCCATGGGAGAGCTGGAGACGCGGACACTCACCTCTCTCTGCTTCTCTCCTCCAGGCATTCCTGCATCGCATCCGGCAGAACGTGGCCGACTCAGTGGAGAAGGGCCTCACGGAGGAGAATGTCAAGGTGTGGACGCTGGGGCTGGCCCCTGTTCTAGAGCATCTGTGTTGCTTTGTGCCTTGCTCTTCCCGTGCGATGCTCAGAGGGTGTGCATGCAGGGGGAGGCGCATCACCCGCTGGCTGCTGGCCGCCAGCTTTGCCCTGCCCCAGCTTGCTCCCTTCAGCCCCTGGAGGCCTCTTGTCCTGTGAGCAAGCTGTGCTTGGTGGATGTCAGCAGGAATTTTTAGCCCCGGGCCCCACTTTCCAACCCGAGACTTTCCCTCTGTGCTCATTGTGACCCCCCAGTCTTCCGGGCTCCTCGTGTCAGGCCCTCTGGCTTGGAGCCAGTGGAAAATCCTCTCCCAAGTGCCCCCGGGAGCCGGGCACCTCCAGTCCCTCTCCTGGCAGTCCCGGCCCCCGCTCCCGCCCTGGGCATCCAGTGTCCAGGCAGGGCTGATGAGTAATTGGGTCCAGTTTGGCCTTGGCCATGGCTCTGGGGAGTTTGAGGAGGAGATCAATAGGCCTTCTGTGTGCATGGCTCAGCCCCAGCCTGGCTCTCCAGGCCTGGCTTTCTGTGTGACCTCACTCTCTGAGCTGCCTTTCAGGCCTCGGGGCTCTGAGGGTCCTGGTGTCCAAGGTGCCCAGTATTTACAGCACACAAAGGACTCGGTCATAGAAGACATTCCCCCCAAACGCCCTGATTAATCTGGACGGTGGCCTTGCATGTTGACAGCTCTACACCGAATTATTTGCATAAGAAAGCTGAGTCTTAGAGATGTCAAGGACTTGCTCAAGGTCTCTGCATGGCTCCTCCTGGGGGTGGGGTGTGTGTGTGTGTGTGTGTGTGTGTGTGTGTGTGTGTGTGTGTGTGTGTGTGTGTGTGTGTGTGTGTGTTCATGCACTGGGATCTAAACTCTATGCCTGCATTCATTTATTCACTCATTCATTCAGCAAATATGGCTGAGCACCTCCTGTTTATTCCACTTATTTATTACACTGTTTGTTATAGTTTACAAATTATTTATTATAATTTTAAGCTGCGACTTATTACAGTTTATAAAAAATTACCTTTTTTTTTAATGAGGTAGAAGTCTCATACAGTAAAGGGTGCAAACCTTAGTGCTGAATGCAGTGCGTGTCTACGTACGAATGCACCAGTGTACCATGAAACCAAATGAAGGCAGAGAGCATTTCCCAGCCCCAACTGCCCACTCTGGGCCCCCCTCAGTCAGTCCTCCCTCCCTAAAGGTAATCCCTGGTTCCTAGTACCATGGATTGGTTTTGCCTGTTCTTGAAATTTACATTAAAGTGAGCTCTTTCGTGTCCCTGCCTGCCTCTGGGATTTGCCCATGATGTTGTGTGTAGCTGTGGTTCACTCTTTTTCATTGCTGTGTGGTGTTCCATTGTAGGAATGCAACACAGTTTACTTACCCATTCTCCTGTGGATGGATATTTTAGTTATTTCCAGTTTTTGGCTGTTAACAACTATTCTTAAAAAACATACAATCATGAGGGCCAGGCGAGGTGGCTCACGCCTGTAATCCTAGCACTTTGGGAGGCTGAGGCAGGCAGATTGCCTGAGCTCAGGAGTTCGAAACCAGCCTGGGCAACACGGTGAAACCCTGTCTCTACTAAAATACAAAAAAAGTTAGCCAGGCATGGCGGCATGCATCTGTATTCCCAGCTACTCGGGAGGCTGAGGCAGGAGAATTGCTTGAACCCTGGAGACGGAGGTTGCACTGAGCCAAGTTTGTGCCACTGTACTTCACACTCCAGCCTGGGCGACAGAGCGAGATTCCGTCTCTAAAAAAGAAAATAATAATAATAATTTAAAAAATACAATCATAAAAGACTCAGAGAGGCAAAGTAATAATAATAATTGCTCATTGCGGGGTCTGTCCTGTACATTGCAGGAAGGGTTAACAGCATCCCTGGCCTCTGTCTACGAAACACCCCTTTTCCTCCCAATTTGTGACAACCAAAAATGTCCCTTGACAATTGCCGCATATCCTGTGTGTGTGGCGGGGTGGTGGGTAAAATTGCCCCTTGTTGGGAACAACTGATCAGAAGGTTAAATTCTAAAATGTAGGATTGCTGGGTCAAATTGTATTAGTGTTTTACACTTTTAGATTGATGTGGGGAAACAGGGTATCTCATATATTGTTTGTGAGAGTTTAGACAGCGTATTTCTAACCTCCTTCCTTATTGTGTTTTCTTCTACCACGTCATTTTAATGAGTGCATGGAAATATACTTGTAATTTCAACATCGTCCTGTAGCTGGACACAGCAGTTGTGTCTGACTGTGATGAATGTCTGCATACTAAATGTGGAGCTGCTTGCAAGACTTTGACCTTGGGAATATTATTTTATCTGAGCCTTGGTTCTTCATCTGTAAATTGGGCATAACAATAGTTTCTATCTCACAGATTTACAGTGGGGATTAGATTCTATGAATGCGTATAAAGTTCTTAACACACGATTAGTCACTAATTCCGATTATAGTAAATAAATATTGGTAATATTTCTGTTATTACAAAGATTTCTATTAGTGGTAAACCAGTTCCGGTGTTTGAGAGTTCTTCTTTGACTACAATGTCACCCGCACCGAGGTTTGTATTTTTTCAGTGCTTGGCTTTGCTCTCCCTCTGAGCCTTAACGCTGTCCTCTGGCCTCTCTTTTCCTCACAGGTCCTGTTCTCGAACATCGAAGACATCCTGGAAGTTCATAAGGATTTCTTGGCCGCCTTGGAGTATTGTTTACACCCGGAGCCGCAGTCTCAGCATGAACTTGGGAATGTTTTCTTAAAATTCGTGAGTACCATGCCACTGCCCCTGGTGGACTCTAGTTTTTGAAAAGTGGGCTTCTCCCTGGGTCCCTGCCCCATCCGCCTTCACCAGCTTCCTCTGTAGGCCTGTCTGGGAGATGGGGTAGCAAGGTGGGCAGGTGGGCCCAGTCTGCATCCCTGGAACTATGGGAAGTAGGTCAGGCCCAGCAGGCTGTGGGCATTTTTAGTGACTCTCCTTTCCCTCAGCTCCACATAGAGGGTGGGCCCTCACTGAATGCATGTGTCCTGGAGTCCTGCGACCTCCTGGCCTGGCGGGGCCCCTCTGCCACAGTGACCATCAGAGGTAGCTAGTGGCCAAGAAGAGATGGACTTGGCATCAGACAGACCTGGGTTTGAGTCCCGGCTCAGGCACCCACTGGACAGTAAGGGTGTCTGATCCTGGGGTGCCCCGTTGGGCTGTTGGTCAGAGAGGCTGACGCTTGTTGCAATAGCCTCTCTCTTCCTGCAAGATTACTAACGCATTTGGAATTGTGGGTGGTAGGCTGGAAGAAGGAAGGCAACTGCTTTTCCATACCCTCTTTTTCTGTACTACCTGGGACCCCCCTCACAGACAGAAGAACCCAAGCTAGCCTCACGGGCACGAGATGTGAGCCAAACTCCTTTGCCTCTCTGAGCCTCTATTTCCTCCTGTAATTGCAAAGTAGGGACAATTCCGTATACCTCCTAAGGTTGATGGCCAGACTCAGAGGTAAAGCAATCGGGTAGAGAGTCTAGAGCAGAGCTTCTCAGCTGGGGTGATTCTGGCCCCCAGGGGACAATGGGCAATGTCCAGACACATTTTTGGTTGTCCTAGCTCTAGAGTGCTACTGGTTTCTAGTAAGTAGAGGCCAGGGATGCCACCAAACATCCTATAATGCACATGACAGCCCCGACAACAGAGAATCATCTGACCTCAAATGTCAGTGGTGCCAAGGTGGAGAAACTTTGGTGTATCAGCACTCGGCCACTGTTAACTCATCATCATCATCATCATCATCATCATCATCATCATCATCATCACTAACTCACTTCTCCAAGGGATCACATCTGAGTGGCTAGAGCCTAAGATGATGGAGCTGTGTGACTTTGCCCTCAGAGGGCAATGGGGGGCAAGTCTCATGTGCGATCAGGCGTGCAGACTACCCCAAGATGCAGTCATTCAGCCAAGGGCCAGCCACTCTCTACGTGAAAGTGAGGGCAAGGAGAGCTTCTGGCCAGGCTGCTGAGCCACTCATGAACTGTGGTCCTCTCAGCAAGTTGACTGATCTTGTCTGTGCCTCATTGTCCTTTTACCCATAAACGGGATAAATCCAGGACATTGTGAGGATTAAGCAAGATAATACAAGGAGCCTGCTCAGTGCAGCTCCTGGCACAGTAAGTGCTCAATAAATGTCGACGTTATCTTCCTATTCACATAGCGGACGCTCCTCCATCTTTGGAATTGGACAAATAAGAGCACAATGGGGCGCAGGTGGGCTGGGTGCTAGCGGAGGGCATTGAGCAGAGGAGGGAAGTGGTCCACAGGCCCTTTGGCTGCTGTGAGGGGGAGTAGCTGTGGAGGGAGAACTGGAAGCCGGGAGACATCTAAGAGGTTACCCCACCAAGTGAGATGACGGTGCCTCGGACCAGCATGGTAGCAGTGGAGATGGTGAGAAGGGGCAAGTGGCCACAGTGTGCAGTAAAGGTGTTTGAATAGGAAAATGAAAAGGATGGGAGGGACAGTCTTTCCTTTGGGTTCAGAGGAGACAGGAAGTGCTTTTTCTCTGGAGCCAACAGCCAACGTTCAAATCCCTGTTCTACTGCTCGCCAGCCCAGTGACCTTGGGCAAGTCCTTTCACCTCTCAGGGCCTCAGTCTCCAACTCTGTAAAGTGGGGGTAACGACAATTCCTGCTGCAGGGGGCTGTCATGAGGATGAATGACCTGGCTCAGCACCAAGCTAATGCCGCGTGTCAGCTGTGAGTGTTACTCCGGCCTGCTTCCTGGAGGGGGTGGGCTTGGGGTTGGCTGTGATGTCATGATCCGAGCTTGCTTAGGATTGCCTATACTTAGCAAAAGTGGGAGAAAGGGTCCTCAAGGTGCACTGTCCAGTTTGCCAAAAGCCCTGGCCCCCCTCATTCCTTTGGCTTCTCTGTCTGAGCCCCAGAGGCTGTGGGGAAGTGGGTTTAACTCGCTTGTCAGTGAGGAGCCCTGGACCCTGAGGACACAGCGGGGCTATTCTCACCTCTCTCTTTCTGCAGGATTCCTGACTTGCTCAGAGATGCAGCGGAGGGCTGGGGGGCTGGGGACGGGGAGTTCAGTGTGCATGAAGCAACCTCTTTTCCGTGTCCTCTCTTCTGCTACCTGGGACCCTCCTCATGTAGCCTCATCAAACTAGGCACCTGGTGAAGGCTGCACTTACCATCAGAGTCATGACGTGTGGAGGGTGGATGTTTAGGCCTTTGTGGGAAGTTGTTCTGTGCTGGGGCCTTCCTGGCATCCTCCCTGGGCCTGGGAGATCAAGCATTTTAGAGCCCAGCTGCTCGACTTTGCATCCTAGCTCTGCTACTTCCTTGCTCTGGGATCCTGGGAGAATGACCTTACCTCTCTGTGCCTCAGTTTTCTCATCTGTAAAGTGGGTATCACAAAACTCACCTTCTAGGGTGGTTGAGAGAATGAATGACGTTGGTAGAACCTGGCACATAATAAGTGCTCAGGAATTGTTTCTCACTTGGGTAATGTGCGCATCTGTTCACGTGATCCAGCGCTTTCTGGCACCTCCCAGGCTTCTCTGGAGTGTGACTTTGTGCAGGGTGCCCAGACCTGGGATCACTGAGCCCCATTCCAGGCGATCTATCATGAGCCCCCCTGCACCTCAGCAGGGCTCCCGTCCTTCCAGCCTCACAAAGCTGCTGTGATGCCCGGGCACAAGGATGAATGTCGGAGGCTTTGACAGAGATGAAGTATTTTGGAGATTGGTTCTCCCCTGAGCCAACAGAGAGACCTGCTGGAAACATCAATCAGATCTCTTCAACCCCTCTCCCAGCACCCTCCAAAGGTTCCTGCCTCATTGGAATAAAATCCCCACAGCCCGCCAGGCCCTGTTCATTCCTCGGAACTTGCTCCCCTGGCTCTAGCCACACGGATCTCCTCGCTGTTCCAGAACATGGCAAGCCCATTCTCACCCCAGGCCGCTTCCTCTGCTGGACCAGTTCCCTCAGACATCCCTGCGGCTCTCTCCCTTCTTGCCTTGAAAGCTTTTTGGAAATGCCATCTTCTCCGCAAAGGCCTCCATGCCCTCCTGTTTAAGTTGCTGCACTCCTGCCCTTCCGCGCCCCTCCCCTACTCTGTCATTCTCAACAGAACAGTCCGCATCACCCTTTGACACATCGGATCTTTTGCCCCTTTTTGCTTATTGTCTGTCTCTCCCTAGAATATAAACAACATGAGGACAGGGACTCTGTCATGTTCACTGCTCTGTCTCTGCATCAGAAATAGTTCAGCCCCTTAGCCGGGCATGGTAATGTGCACCTGTAGTTCTAGGTACTTGAGAGGCTGAGGTGGGAGGATTGCTTGAGCCCAAGAGGTTGAGGCTGCAGTGAGTTGAGATCATGCCGCTGCACTCCAGCCTGGGTGACAGGGTGAGACATTGTCTGAAAACAAACAAAACAAAACAAAAAATAAAATAAAAAAAAAATCGAGCCCCAAGCTCACTTGCCCTCTGGACATGCAAGCAAACTGAGAGAAAGGTTAAGCTCAAGGTCACGACTGTGCCAGCCGCAGAAGTGGGCTTTAGGCCATCCTAAGGGCTAAGCCAGTGTTCTTCAGTTCAGCTCACACGCTAAGTTTGTAATTTTTGCTATATCTGAGTATTCTTTGTATTATTATTTGTTTAATGCTTTAAAAAATTGATTCACTTATCGTTTGAACCCGGGAGGCAGAGGTTGCAGTGAGTCGAGATTGTGCCACTGCACACCAGCCCCTGCAACAGTGTGAGACTCCGTCTCAAAAAAAAAAAAAATTGATTCACTTAACAAAACTTCAGTGAACTTATTTAAAAAGAGAAATTTGCATCATCATTGAAAATAGAAAATGAGTGCTATAAATAGAAGGTAATTGTCAAAATAAATGCAGTAGAAACCAAACGGTATTACCGCATTCTATCTAGAAACTCTTAACTACTTGAGCCTTTCAGCCTGAGGCTGCTTACATCACACCAGCTAAGACCCTCCTTGAGCTAACTGGACCTATTGAAAAAGGAGCCAGCGTTCTCAGTGTGTGATACAGTGTTTTTTAATTTAAAATCATCTTTTTAATTAAAAATTAAAATTATCACGCCTCTTCCTGCCTGCTCACGGAGGATAGGTTGAGTCAGTCTGTCTCAGGAGTTTTAAAGGCCACACCTCTGTAGGTTGGGTTTCTGGAAGCTGGCGATTTGCACACAGGTGGGCCCTTGGAAGCAGCTAAAGGAGAGGTTGCAGAGGCTCCACCCCAGCCACTGATAGTCCCATCTGGAAGGAACTCTGGAACTAGGATAGCTCTTCAGATTATGCACAATTGCAGCAAGTGGGCAAGGCCTTTGCACCCTTGTTGCCCAGTGGGCTGTCCTCAGGAGTGGGTGTACCGCCTCAGACAGGTGGCCCTCTTAGGCTGAAGGCAGCTCTAGGAGAGGGCCTTAGCTGAGGGTCATTGTCAGCCAGCACTCCCAGCACCTGGGGTAAGGGGTGTCTCTGTCTCTGTGACAGGCATTTGAGGAGTGCACCATGGCATCCACTGCAGCCCCAAAGGAAAGAGGTGCTGGGTCCACTCTCCTTCCCAGGCTTGTTTACTCCATTTACTCCCTGCTTGGAAACATTTTCCCATGGCCATGGCAGCATCTGGGCTGGTGAGATGCTAATCGGGAACAGAGCTCTTGCAGACAGGCTCTCCAGGAGAGGAAGGGGCCCTGGCCCACAGTCCAGCCCGCTAGTGTCACCTAACTGATCAGATGGGGGAAGAGTCCCTCACCCCCTTTCCCCAAAACCCAACCACTAACTACTGAGTTTATCATAAACTAGCACCGAGTGGACATTTTCTTTGTGCTGGGTTCTGTTCTCTGTGCCTTACAGATATGCATTCATTAAAACTTCACAACACTCTTTAAAGGTGGTTACTATTATTGTACCCATTTTACAGATGAGGAAACCAAGGCCCAGAGAGATTAAGTTATAGGGCAAGCTTACAGAGCTAGGAAGCATCAGAGCCAGGATTTGAGCTGACACAGTCAGGCTGTAGAGTCTGTGTTTTTTACTCTTATGTGATGAGGTCTCCTGAAATACATAGTAAGCATCTCCTGTGTGCCAGGCTCTGCACTAGACCCTGGGGATGCTGTACTAAGTAAGACAGACTTGCTCCGTGCTGCCACGCGGCTCGTAGGTGGGAGAAACAGAGGGTAATTTAACAAATGAGGTCATTTCAGATGCCAGTGCAGACTGTGAAGAACATAAAATGCAGATGTGGTAAAGAGTGACTCTGCCTGAGGTTGCTTTCAATCGGGAGGTCAGGGCCAGGGCTGCTAGATTTAGCAAATGAAAACAAAGGACACCCAGGGAAATTGGAATTTCAGGTAAACATCAAATAATTTTTTAGTGGAAACATGTCTTATGGAATATTTGAGACATACTTATACTAAAAAAAATATGTGTCTGAAATGAGCATTCACCTGGGCATCCTGGGGTTTATTTTATATCTGGCAACCCAAGGGTGGGATGGCCTTTCTGAGGGGTTGGAATGGGATGATCTTGGGGAGGGTGGTCTGGACCAAGGTGAGAAAGGGCAGAAGCCCTGAGCTGGGAGCAAGCTTAGCTCATTTGAGAGAAGAAGGGAGACTGGCGTGGCCAGAGCAGAGTGAGTGATAGAGAGAGTTTGAGGGTGTCATAGTGGGGGCAGGGCAGATCCTGTAGGGCTTTGCGTGCCGAGGTGAGGACTGTAGATCTTATTCTGAGTCAGTGAAAGCCATTGCAGGTTTTAAGCACGGGAGTAGTGTGGTCTGATTTCTGTTTTAACCCCCCTCTCCCCACAGCTGTATGGATGGGTAAATAATTTGGGGAGACTGTTGAGAAACTGAGACCTGATTCTCACTTCTCTCCTCCCCACTGGAGAATATGTCTGCATGGGCCAGCTCCTTCCCTCTTCTGGGTCTTAGTCTTGCTGGCTGTGAAATGAGTGGTTTGGAGCTGATGGTCTCTGTGGAGCCACTGTCACCTGGGTATTGTGGACAGCAGCTGCCACCTCTCACAATCCTTGAGCCTTTCCTGGGGGTGAGCTCCCCTCCCCTGGCTGTTTCCAGCCAGCAGCTGTCCCCTTCTCCCCCCAAACCCACAGCCACATGTTCCGTACCCACCACATCTGTGTATGCACAACTGTTTGTCCGTTTCTTCCTGGCAAAGCAATCAGAGCCCCATGTCGGGCCTCCAGGAGGAAATGGAACACTTGGACTCTGAGCTGTCAAGAGCAGCGTTTCCGTATTTGCAGGGTCTCAGGCCTGAGATGCAGCTGGGGTCAGGCTGGATGAAAGGACACAGGCGTGATTGAACTGGGCACGGTGCTGCAGAGGGGATGTTGTCCTTTGCTAAATTTAACTTCTCCAAGCCTCAAGCGTTGGGCCCCTGCCCTTCCCACAGGCTGAAGGAGAGGAAAACATTGCAGACCTTGTCGTAGAAGGGGGCTCAGGGGATGAGGAATGACAAACCAGTGGTGAGCTTGTTACCCCCTCTCCTGCACCTGTGGCAGACATTCCTAATCAATCACAGCATTCTGTCTCTAGGCTTCCTGTGGGGCCCCAGAATCCTCCTCACCAGTGTTCCAGCTGGCACTACCCAGTGACTGGGGTTGGTATGTGGGAAGAAACCGATTTGTCCCTGCTTTCTGGCCCAGTCCCTTCCCTTCATCTCTGTGGAGATGGACAGAGAGACCCTGTCACCTCACTAAGATTTGGGTCCATGTCTTTCATTTTCTGCCTTTAAGAGTGTGCATGTATCAAAACTGTCTTTGCTGTACGTGACAGAAACACCAGTTCAGATAGGCTTAAACAAATACAGGACTTTACTGATGCATGTCAGTGAAATTGTTCAGGAGTGTAGGTTGGCTTCAGGCATAGCTAGATCCAGGACTCCGTATGATGATTTCAGGACCAGGTCTTTCTCTGATCTCAGGCTCTGCTTTTATCTGTGCAGTGCTGATTTCACTCTTGGAGAATGGGAGGGGCTTATGGGGTGCATGCCTCACATGGTGGCAGGGGTTCAACAGCAGCTCAAAGAGAGTTTCTCTTCCCAGTGATTCCAGCTCGAGTCCTTGCGGGCTCTTGCGGCCCAGCTTGGGTCACATGGCCACTGTTATTAGGACGGGGAACTCTGATTGGTTTTGTCTGGGTCATGTGCTCACTTATGGTCCCTGGGGTGGGGTGGGACCAGCCTGGGAAGAAGCACAGAGCTGGTCTGAGGGCCCTTTAGCCTCTCCGTTCCTCCTTCTCTTTTCTTCCTTTCATTCATCAAATAGTCACAATACCTGCTCTCTGCCAGTGGCCGCTGACCCCATTGACATCACAGCAGTGACCTCAACAGATGAAAACGCCGTCCCGATGGAGCTGACAGTCCCAGGAGATTCAGGGGAGAAGGACAGTGCATGAATGAGACGTAAAACATCCTGGGGTCAGGGACCATCATAATTCCCAAAATCTGCCTGGGACCCTCCCGATGCTTTCCCTAAACCCACGAGTCTATCTGCTGCCTTCCTCCTGACTCTGCCTGTCTTTTTTTTTTTTTTTTTTTTTTTTTTTTTGCTGTCAAAACCTTCCCACCTACTGCCCTACCCTGTTCAATAAAAAAGGTAATGAAGTTTCTGAAATAATCATGCTGGTGATAATAGCAACAACATTATTAAGCAATAATAATACTAGTTAATATTTAGTGAACACTTACTATGCACCATTGGAAGTCCCTTAATATAAATTCACCTGCCAATCCTCACAACACCATTATGGTAATGATATTGTTGTCTGTACTTTATGGATGAGAATGCAGAGGCCAAGAAATGTTACTTGTCTTGACCAAGAGCTGGTGACCGGGAGACTTGGGCTATGAACCTAGATGGTCTGGCTGCAGAACTTCTCCTTGGCACTTACAGGGTTGATGCTGATAGTGGTTGGTGAGAGTGGTCATGGTGGCTTTTTATGTCACTGCAAGTCTTCTCTGCAGGAGCAGGTTTCCAGACAGGCCAGTTCCTGTCACCTACAACAAAATAGTTGTACTCTTTCTTCCTCTTCCTCTTCCCTGCAGCCTGCATCACCACAGTCTGCAGCTGAAATCCTGGTTCCAGGTGTGTCCAGCAGCCCCCACTCACAAGGTTTTACCTACGGCTGAGTGATCCCCTGCAGCTCAGACATCTACTCACCCAGCTCTTTTGGCCTTGATGGTCCCTTAGGCCCATTTGAGACAAGTGGGAATAGAAAAAGGTCTGCCTGGGCAGTGTTGGGGGTGCTGGGGTCCCCTCTTCTCCTTCCTTGCCATGTGTTGGCATCTCAGTGGACTGCAGATACTTGATGAGTGAGTGGTGGTTTGTGACTCAGTGCATGTGTCCATGTGCATGCTGACATTGGTGGTGGTGTTTGGAGCATGTAGTTTGCATGCTGTAATGCTTGAGATCATTGTGTGGTTTCTTGGAATATGCATCAAGATTGTGTGTCTTGTGGTATGTGTGTGTGTATGGGGGTGCACTGTGGGTAATTGTAACATGGTTTGTCTGATATTTTCCCCCATTGATCCATGTTTGTCGATTGTGTTTATGTTTGTTGTTAATACTTGTAGAGTACTTTGAAGTATTGTGTGGTATTGAAGTATTGTGAAGTATTGTGTGCCAGACACCGTTCTACTCATTTCACATATATTAAGTTATTTCATCCTCCAGCATCCTAAGTGTTGAAGGTCAGTTATGATGTCCATTTTGCAGGTGAGGAAACCAAGGCCTAGGGAGGAGAAGCACTTGCCCAAGGTCACCCTCTACTTAGGGAATGTGGAACTGGGTTTCTGGAGTCACTCTGTGCCCTTCAGTATTCTGGTGTAGTGCCCTTGGGATGCAGCTTAGTCTAGATTTGTGGCTTGAAATTTGTACCCTGGGTATTTGCCTCCCACTCCCATCCCTACCCTATGCCATGACCTTGAGCTGACACTGTCACTGGGGTTAAGGGGGTTTGAGTCCTGGTTCTGCCACTGCACTAGCGGCGAGACCCTGGGGAAGCAACTTTTCCTTGGTTTTGTCATGGGTATGTGAGTCTGTTACAGTAGTTACCATGTAAGGCTGTCGTGGGGAATGAGTGAGTTCACCCCCATTCCAGGAGAGCAGCGTGCAGCCTGTACTACATGCTGGGCAGCCTGTACTACATGCTGGGCAGCCTGTACTATGTGCTGGGTATGTACTCTGTGTTAGCCATCAGCACTGACCTGGGCACTTTGTGGCTCAGGGTGTCTGCTCAGATGATGCACACAGAGCCCCCAGAGTGAGCTGGGGTGGGCTGGGGATGCCTGTTAATTCTAAACCCATCCTCCCTTCTCTTTGGTTTCCTATTTCCTGCAGCCTCCCATCGGAAGGCCATCTGGGGGCTTGTTTAGAAACAAGATGAGCTGCTTGCTTTGTGGACCCACCTCTTCCTTCCTTAGCTTGTTCGGGTCTCTTGCACACCCCCATCCCTAGCTCAGGATTGAGGCCTTGCAACCCTTCCTCCTCCAGTGACCTCACCCACGCCATCCTTGTTTAGGGTTTGGCGGGTTCTGTGAACCATCTGGAACCAAGAATGCTCAGTTGAGAGCTTCCTGCTAAGAAGGCTCCTGTCTCTTCCAGTACGGGAAACCCTGACTGATGGTTCTGGACCTAGTGACCCACAGGTGACCTTTAGTCTGGAAGGAGTACATCTTTGGGCTCAGGGGCATCTGGAGGTCAACAGAGCTAGCCCCCAGCTATAACAACTCTGACTTAGGGACTTTTATTAACTCTACCTTACAGATAAGGAGACCGAGGCACAGGGAAGTCAGGTAACCTGCCCAGGTTCACAGGAAATACAGAGCCGTGGTGCAAGCCCAGGCTGCTCTTCTTGAGTCTATGCTCTTGACCCCCAGGCCACACTGCTTCCCAAAAAGTTATTCAGGCCCCTGAGTGCAGACCTGGGGCAAGAGTGGAGGCTGGGAAGCTGGTAGTGAGTGGAGCCGCTTTACCTGAGATACCTCCTGCTGTAGCTTCTCCTGGGTCAGGGTAGTCCTTACCCCTACCCTACCAGCCCAGTGGTCAGCATGTGTCAGGGCACCTGCCTGCTACCATGACCTGCCTCCCACAGGCTCTGTCCTTGTCTTGCAGAAGGACAAGTTCTGCGTGTACGAGGAGTATTGCAGCAACCATGAGAAAGCCCTGAGGCTGCTGGTGGAGCTGAACAAGATCCCTACCGTGCGCGCCTTCCTTTTGGTAAGTTGACCCGTCAGCCCTGGTGCTCCCTTGCACTCGGCCTCATCCTTGTGGAATCTGGGCACAAGAGGACTTCATGCTGCCCCATGGTGCCAAATCCTTTCCTTGGCTGGGGTAATCTCCTGCCTAAAGCAGGGATCGCCAAGCCTTTTCCATAAAGGGCCAGCTGGGGAATATTTTTGGCTCTGCGTACCATACAGTTTCTGTCACCACGACTCAGCTCATGCCATTGTAGCATGAAAGCAGCCCTAGAGAATGTGTAGAGGAGTGGGTGTGGCTGTGTGGCAATAAAACTTTATTTACAAAAACAGGCAGAGGGCCAGATTAGGGTTGACTTTGCCCATTCCTGGTCTAAAGTAAGGGTTCTATTAAAAATGGCAGCAAGAGTAGTAATTATTAATACTACTGTCATTATGATGGTTATTAGGATTACTAGTATTTTTAGGATTATTTAATTATAAATGAAAGAAAATCCAATTAAAACTGGCTTAAGCGGCCAGGTGCGGGGACTCACGCCTGTAATCCCAGCACTTGGGAGGCCGAGGCGGGTGGATCACTTGAGACCAGGAGTTCAAGACTAGCCTGGCCAACATGGTGAAACCCTGTCTCTACTAAAAATACAAAAAAATTAACTGGGCGTGGCGGCATGTGCCTCTAGTCCCAGCTGTTTGGGAGGCTGAAGCAGGAGAATTGCTTGAACCTGAGAGGCAGAGATTGCAGTGAGCTGAGATGGTACCACTGTACTCCAACCTGGGAGACAGAATGAGACTCGGCCTCAAAAAAAACAAAAAACAAAAAAACCCAAAAACTGGCAGAAGCAAAACAACAACAACAACAACAGCAACAACAACAACAGAGGGATTTACTTTTCTGGGGAGTTTAAGACCTGAGAGGGCTACAGAGATGGCAGAGTCTGGGTGTTCAAATGATGTCATCAGTAATGTATGTCTCTTGACTCTCCTTTTCTCTGCTGTGGCTTTATTCCCAGGCAGGCTCTCCCGAAGTGGTAACAGGGTGGCCTCCAGCAGCTCCAGACTTATACCTCTGATAGCTGAGCAGCTTCAGGATAGAGAGAACTTCCCTTTCCCCATAGTAACAGCAAAAATCCTAGGTCTGATGCTCGTTGGCTCAAAACCTTATCCCTGAACCAATTGCTGTAGACAGAGTAATTGGTGGTGGTGTTCTGATTGGTCACTTCTGGAGATGGAAGGTGGGGTCAGGTCTACCCATACAATAGAGCCTAAGGGTAGAGTGGATCCCTAAAGCAGTTGGTTTGCATTTCTGGGGATATTTGTGTTTGCATTTCTGGGTATATTTGCATTTGCATTTGGTCAGGAAAAACTGTAGACATCCATGATGGTCTTCCCTACACTTGTAGAGAGCCTCACTTATGTATAAAACGGATTGTCATTTGTGACCTCCTTTGAGCCTTTCAAACCACTATCTGTTGTGTATGAGTCAAGATAAACATTTGTCTGCTTTGCAGACATCTCAAAGGACAGTGGTTTGAACAAGGTGGGCTCTTATTTCTCCCTCTTGTTAACAGTGTGGGTGCAGACAGTCTGGGGCTGGTATAGTGGCTCCAGTGTCAGGGGCTAAGGCCCTAGGTTATGATGCTCATTGACCTGGTCTCAGATGACCTTTGACTACATCCTACTTCCAGGTGGTGGGGTGGAGGGAGGGCGGGAAGGAGAGCATACCCTTCTCCTTTTCAGGGCGTAACAGGAAGCTGCACACATCTCCTCCCCTCACGTCCCATCGGCCAGCACTCAGCCACATGGTCACCCCTAGATCCAAGGAAGGCTGGGAAATACAGGCTTTATTCTGAGCAGCCATGTGCCCAGCTAGAAATGTGATCACTGTGGAAGAAGAATACATTAGGGGACACTGCATAGCCTTTGTCACAGGTGATTTTGATGACTTCACAATATTAAGTGACTTTCTAGGGGTCCATCCTAGAAAAGTGGTTGAGCTTATCCTGGGTTTCAGTCCCAGTCTTTCACCTCTGAATCCCTTCTCATTCGGTCACAGACGTCTCTCCACCCCCATACTGTTTGTTTTCCCAACAGCACATACCGAATTCAGTATATAAAAGTAGAACAATTAACTAACATAGCATACGGAGTATGAACCACGTTCCCAGAGTGCTAAACTATAAAATAATATTCCTAATTGCACTTCTCCTTCACTCAGTCTCCAACAAAGTAGTTCCAGAATTTCGATTCCAAATGTGTGTTTCCTTCACAAGTGAGTTCATGTTGCTTGGCCCGGCTCCAGTGAACATCTGAGGAAGGGCAAATTGGCAGACTGATTTACTGATTTCCATCTTTGTCTCAAGTGAATTAAGCTTTCAGGACTGTTGCTTTTCATAGCCGGTACCTACATCTTCACATTTCCATGTTTGCACTTATATTCATAAAATAGTCTGGGCAGAATGCAAAGATGAAGTCACGTTACTGCAAGACCCCACATGGACAGAAATGGCCATGTCTGCATTGACCTGTTGGCTTGCAGGCAGCACCACCCTGTGACAGTCCCTGCTGCCCAGGCTCTGGGCTCCCTGGCTGAGGGTCCCACCCTCTGACAGTATTCCCTCAGGTTCAGCTAGGTCCTGGGAAGGAGGAAGATGCCAGGAAGGTGTGTGCAGGGTGTGGGAAGGGAAGGGAAGGACTGACTTCTTTCTTTCTTTCCTTCCTATCTCAAGCAGTCTTCCTGGTGGGTCAAACTGCCCTATTCCTAGCAGCAGCTGGGTGGGCCGGTCTGGGCAGGGGAGGATGCGTGGGGTGCCAGCACATGTGCCATCTGTCTCCCTCCTTGCTGGCGTCTCCCAGCTTTTGGCCACGTGCAGAAGAGCTGTCATGAGTCTGTTATGGGACATTAAGGCTTTGGGAACAGACAGAATCTGGCTTTCCATCCATGTTGTGCTGGGCACCAGCTGAGTGATGGAGAATGATGGAGTAGTGTCTTAATTTTTCTCTGCCTCAGTTTTCTTGTCTGTAAAATGGGGATGATTTATTCATTTACTCATCCAGCAACTTCTTACTAAGCACCTATAATGCGGTAGGGATCATTCTACGGGCTAAAGATCCGACATGAACAAGGCAAGAAAAGTCCTTATTCTCATAGAGTGGCCATTCTAGTCGGGGGAACTTCAATGATAATGTGATGTTAAATTCTCTGGAGGATGTAAAATAAGGGTGACAGGATGTTTTGAGGAAGTTAGGATGGTGGATGCTGTTTTAGATTGGTCTTTGGGAAAACTGCATCTTGGGTGACATGTAACCAGGGATGTGGAGGAAGTGAAGGAGAGAGAGAGAGGCAGGGGCTATGTAGCATTTCAGAGAGATAGATGACCTGCGTGTGCAAAGGCCCTGAGGTAGGAGTGTGTTTGAGGAATTGCAAGAAAGCCAAGGGTGACTAGAGTGAAGGCCATAAGAGGAAAAGCAGGAGGAGATGAGGTCAGAGAGATTGAAAGAAACCAGGTAATGAAGGAGCATTTAGTCAATGGAAAGAGTCTGAAATTTTTTGTTTTGTTTTGTTTTTGCTTTTTGAGATAGGGTCTCGCTGCGTCACCCAGGCTGGAATGTAATGGCTTGATCATGGCCCACTGCAGCCTCGACATCCTAGACTCAAGCCATCCTCCCATTTAGTCTTCTGAGAAGCTGGGACTATAGTGTGCACCACCATGCCCAGCTAATTTTTAATTTTTTTTTTGTGGAGATGGGGTCTTGCTATGTTACCCAGGCTGGTGTTGAACTCCTGGGCTAAAGCAATCCTCCCTCTTTGGCCTCCCAAAGTGCTGGGAGTACAGGTGTGAGTCACTCTGCCCAGTCCAAGTATGAGATTTTAAAAAAGCTTTTTAATTAAAGTGTAGCATCCATGCAGTAAGTCCACCCCCAGGATGACAAATGCTTACATATGTCTATAGCATGGAACCACCAAGATCGAAGAACATTCCCATCACTCCAGAAGGTTCCCTCTTGCCCATTCCCAGTCATGGCCCCCAGACCTCCAGAATCCCTCTGCTGACTTCTCTTACCAAAGCTTAGTTTTTCCTATTCTAGCATCGTCTATGAACGGCATCATTCAGGATGTGCGTGTGTGTGTGTGTGTGTGTGTGTGTGTGTGTGTGGTGGCTTTTGCGCAGCATGATGTCTGTAGGATCGCTCTGTGGGATCCCTTCACGTTGGAGCTCGTGGCTTTGCCTTAGAGAATGTTCCGTTTTATTCTGAGTGGGATGGGAAGCCGTGGGAGGGTTTTGAGCAGAGGCATGAATGAAGCTAATTTGCATGGTGAAAGGCCCCCCTTTAGTATCTGGGTAGAAGTGCAGGTCCAGGGAGGGTCTTGTTTGCATTTCCTAGGGGACCGGGACAATTGCCACAGATGGGGTTGCTTAAAACAACAAAATTGATTCTCTTTCAGTTGTGGAGGCCAGAAGTCTGAAATCAGGGTGTCGGTGGGTGCTCCCTCCTGGGGCTCCAGGGAAGGATCCTGTCTTTCCTCTTTAATCTTCCAGCGGCCGTCGGTGCTCCCTGGCTTGTGGCAGCATTGCTCCAATCTCTGCCTCTGTCTTCACATGGCCTTCTTTGGTGTCTTCTCCCCTCATAAGGACATGAGTCATTGGATTTAGGGTCCCCCCTCTAATCCAGCATCACCTTATTTTAACTAATTACCATACATCTGTAAAGATCCAATTTCCAAATAAGGTTGCATTTTGAGGTTTTGTGGGGGCCTGGCATTTTGGGGAACACCATTCAACCGACTGCAGGGCTACTGCAATGTCCGGGCAGGAAGCGATGGTGTCTGCGAACAGCGTGGTTGTGGTGGGAGAGGTGGTTGGATTCACATAGAGCATGAGGGCCTGAGCTGACACAATTTGCCTGATCATTGACTTTGGATATAAATGAACGAGAGGAGTCAAATATGACTTTAGGGTTTTGGGCCCAAGCAACTGGAAGAATGGAGTTGCATTTTCCCAAGAGGGTGCAGGCTAGGGTAGGAGAGGGAAATAAACATTCCCTTTTGGATGTGTGAGGCTTAAGATACCTGCAGTACATCCAGGTGGGGCATTGGGGGGGCAGCAGAGACTCTAGTCGGGAGTTTAGGGGCTAGAGAGATAAACCTGAGTGTTTTCAATATAAAGAAAGATGGTGTTTAAAGCCAAGTCAGGGCCAGGCACGGTGGCTCACACCTGTAATCCTAGCACTTTAGGAGGCCGAGGCAGGCAGATCACCTGAGGTCAGGAGTTCAAGACCAGCCTAGATGACATGGCAAAACCCTGTCTCTACTAAAAATACAAAAATTAGCTGGGCATGGTGGTGTGCACCTGTAATCCCAGCTACTCAGGAGACTGAGGCAGGAGAATCACTTGAACCTAGGAGGCAGAGGTTGCAGTGAGCCGAGATTGCACACTGCACTCCAGCCTGGGCGACAGAATGAGATTCTGTCCAGGAAAAAAAAGAAAAAAAAGCCGAGTCAGGGTGGGATCAGCCAGGGGGGCAGCATGGGCAGAAAGGGAGGACTCAGGATAGTCCAGGAACGTGCTGCCATTAGGAGGTTGGGAAGACCATGAGGTTGACGCCTCATCTAACTCACTTCTGTGAATTTTGAGCATTTAAGGACTTCTCAGAAGTTCTTCCCATAGTGCCTGAAATGTAGTGAGAATAGTGAATGCTAGCTCTGTGTGTGTTTGCCTGTTTTTTTTGTTTTTGTTTTTTTTTAAAAGAAAATAAAGTGAAACCACAATCTAGAGTGTTTGTGGGGAAGTGTCCTTGGTGGCTGTGAAAATCTTGTGAAAACTCCTTGATCCTGGACAAAGATGGGCCCTTCTCACGCCAAGCCCTGGGGGCTTCTAGAAAGCACTTCCCCACCCCCAGGCGCCCTGCACTCTGCCCAGAGCTGACATCACCAGGGCAGCCTGTGGCAAGTGCTGGCTCCTAGGACAAAGGCCTGAGTGTGAGCAGCGTGGGGCCCGGCATCTCCCAGCTGCCGCAGCCTCAATCCCCCATCTGTGCCAGGGGTAAACACTGGTGGGGGCCATTCAGCTCAGCTAGAGCTGGGACCTGGGGTCCCCAGAATTCTGCTTTTCCAGGCAGAGCTTATTGTGATCCCTAAGAGGCAGTGGAAGTAGCTCTGAGACTTGGGCCAGCTCTTCGTGCCACGATTTCCCCATGTGTGGTAGGGGACAGTGGTCCATGCTTATTTCCTTAGGCTTTCGGCATGAACTTTCTGTGTATGTGAAGCACAAGGCACAGCGTGTGGCATATGGTGGGCACATGGTATGTGTTCTTATGGTCTTATTTTCACTTGAATATAAGCAGGGAATTTGTTTTGTTGGGCAGCCCCCCAGTGCTTGGAACTGTGCACAGCACACAGCACACAGCACACAATGTGTATTTGTTGAATGAATGAATAAATGATAGGATGGGAATCCCTTTTCCCAAGAGTCTGGATTCATTTCCAGTTTGCCAGGGTGGTGTTGAGGAGGAATGGCTGGATGTGCTGGTGGGTGGTTCCTTCATTAGTTAGTTGGTTAGTTCATTCACTTACACATAATGGGCACATAGTGAGCCTGAGGGACCCAGGACTGTGAAGGGCATGGCAGGGAAACACAGCAGAACTCATGGTTCCTGCCAAACAAAAATGGATTCTTAAGTTGGAGCCTCTCTGAAGGAGAGGGTAGTGCCTGTAATGTGATTGAGAGCCACGTGGAACAAATGGCCACCTATGAAGGCTCTAGGAGGAAGAAGTCCTGGGAATTGAGAGCAGGTTGGGTGGCAGGGATGGCCTTGGTGCATGGGTGGGCTTGGGGTAAGGGCACATGGGCATCATGGTTTCAATCCCAGACTCGGTGTCAACCCGCCTGGCTCTAGGTCCCAGCTCTGTGACTCACTTTTCTGGGATGGTCTTGGAGTAAAAGACTAAACCTCTCACACCCCAGGGATCTAAGCTGTGAGATGAGAATAATCATAGTTTTCAGTTGATAGGGTGGTTGGTGGTTGGGAGCCCTAGAGGCCTGCTGGACACATGATTAGCTCTTGGTCAGTGTTTACGATGGATGATAGCAGTATTATTATTATTATTATTTTTATTGGGGAAGAGAATACATTCCAGAGAAGAGGCATGGAATGAGCCGAGAGAGGCAAGGGGGCTGCAGGGCGGAAGTATTGACATGGAGAACACTGGGTTGATTCATGTGGACAGGAGCTTAGGGCTGAGCGTGGGAGTTAGGGTAACGGTATTCCATTCCTAAGAGAGCTGTACTTTTTAACTCTGCAAGCCAAAATAGAGGTATGCATATGACAGAATCACGTACACTCCTCCCAGCTAAAGAACTAGGACATTTTCAGTAACAGTTGAAGGTTCTTGGTTCACTTTCCAACCCAAAACTCTCCCTCCACAGAGGGAACCCCCACTGGAATTGGGTGCATTCCTTTAACACGCATGTCTTTATATTTGACCTCATACATGCTCTCCATAAACAGCGCATAGTTTTATGTGCCATGTCTTTAAAAGATCTCTGTAAGTGGCTTCATACTGTACATATCCTTCTTTCTTTTGCACAAGAGTACATTTTTGGGGTTCGCCCGTGTTGCTACGTGTGGCCCTGGTTATCTCATTTTAACTGCTGCATAGCTAGCTACCATTGTATAAATCTGCTGCAAACAGACTGAAACAAAAATACAGATGTTTCCATTCTCAGGTGATGGATATTTAGGTCGCGTCCCATTTTTTACTGTTGTAAGCAAGGCATTTTTGAGTCTCCTGGTGTGTATATGTGAAAGCTTCTCTAGACCAGGAATGGGTGAATTTTTCTGTAAAAGGCCAGATAGTCAATATTTTAAGTTTTGCCACTATATGGCCTTTTTTTCCCCAACAACTCAGCTCTGCCGTTGTAGCTTGTAGGGGGCCACAGCCAATGTGATGGATGTGGCTGTGTTTCTAATAAAACTTACCAAAATGGGGAGTAGGCAAGATTTGGCCCAGTAGGGTTTGTGTTGGTTGTAGATGATGCACGTTTTCACTTCTACGGGTCGCTAAATCGCTTGCCAAGTGATTGTAGCTGTGCTCTGAGAGCGTTTCTCATGGTTGAGGGTGGCTATGTCCCTGTGCTATCCTTGGTGGGTTTCATGAAGGTCTCCTGTCCCTTTGCAGAGCTGCATGCTTCTGGGAGGCCGGAAGACCACGGACATCCCTTTGGAAGGCTACCTGTTGTCTCCGATCCAGAGGATCTGCAAGTACCCGCTCCTCCTTAAGGTGAGACTTTCCCGTATTTGAAGTGACAGAAAACTCTTTGGCTTCAGCATAACATAAAATTTGTTAGTTCAAGTATCTGAGAAGTCTAGCAGCAGTGTCAGCTTTGGGCCGGGCTGGATTTAAACCAGGACCCTGCCTCTTTCTCTCTCGTTCACCCTGCTTTCCACCATTCAGGCTTATTTTCAGTGTGGCAGCAGGTGGCTGTGGTTCTCCTGGCCTCACATCCTCTCAAGTTTAAGGTCAGTGGGAAAGAGTGAACCTCTCTACTAAGAGCTGAGGAAAGTCCTGAGATTCATTCTGTCTTTGGCTATCTGCAGCCAGGGGAAGGTCATATGCCAAATGGTTTGGGCCTGAGTCATGCGCTTTGACCTGGACAAATTACATGAAGCCTTTGCATGTACCATTTATCATCCTCCAGTCAGCTTAGACCCGTGCTTTACCCCTGAACCAATCACTATTGCTGTGCTCTGATTAGCTGAGACATGGTCTCACTCCACTCTGATCCAATGACAGTGAGCAGGGCAGTGTTGTGTTCTGATTGGCTGAGACCTGGGTCAGGTGCTGCACTCCTGAACCAATCATTTTGAGCAAGGGAATTCTAATTGGCTCAGACTTGGGTCATGTGCTCCAACCTTGAACCAATCACTAGGTCCCACAGGCCATGAGTGAGGACAGATGAACCCCACGTGACCAAAGTCTGAGCTGTTTGTGGAAGGCAGGGTGAGGGCAGGCATAGGTGTTGGCTGGGCAAATGCAGCCTTCCATACACCTGCTGTTTCCTTCCCTGCCGCCAGCCCTGGCTTTGTCTTGGCTGGGCAAAGCAGGGAAGGTTTGCTGCTTCTGTGGGGATGGAGAAGTCTTGATTCTAGGCTTCAGCCTGGCTGCTGGACAGATCCTGAGCCCAGGGGACGGCTCTTCCGCCTTCCACTGCTCTCAGCCCAGGGTTTCAGCCCTTGGAAATGGCTGAACAAAATGGCTATTGGCCGGAGCCTGTCCTGGCTCTGTCCTGAAGGCAGCTGTGTTTTAGGTTCCCTGTGGGGGGATTAATTTGGCTGGTGGGGCCTCATTCACGCACCTGCTCACAGGGGTTTGTGTATTTTTGCTCCATGAACTGGAAGCAAAAGGGGAGGGGAAGGGTACCAGGGCATTCTTCATCTTGGTTTTCTGCTGGAGAAGGTGGGTGATGCTGGAGCCTCTGAACTGGGCCAGACCCTGGGGCCATCAGCTCTGCCCACGAACACAGGACTTTGCTGTGCGCAGCCGTGGGGGTGGGACGCAGCTCTCCCATGCCTCCTCTGGTCTGCTCCTGCTGTTGATCTCTCCCAGCAATCTCGAAAGGAACTTCAGCACTTGTTGTTGCCATGGCTTCGATCCCTAGATAGGTCTTAGAAATGCTGTAGCTCAGGTCTTCACCTGGTTGTGGAAGAAGCTTCAGGTGAAACTTATAAACTGGTAGCCTGTGGACCAAATCGGGCCTGCAGATGTGCTTTGTGTGATCTGTGTGATGTGTCTTTCGAACTTGGATTAGCTACCAGCATTAAGAGACAGTGTACTGTAGTGGTTAGAGACAGGGTGGGCAAAACTGTGGCCTCTGGGCCAAATATAGCCCATGGCCTGTTTTTATACAGCCTATGAGCTAAGAATGATGTTTACTCTTTTTTTTAAAAGCTTTGTTAAACGAACAAGCAAAACCCCAGAAGAATATGTAGCAGAGAGTGGATGTAGCCAGCAGAGCCTAAAATATTTACCATCTGGCCCTTTACAGCAAAAATGTGCTGACCCCTGGATGAGAGTCAGCCGTTGCAGCCATAAGCAGTCTGGATTTGAATTTCTCTGTCATTTACGAGTGTGTAACCTTGGGCAAGTCACTATCCGTCCCTGTGCCTCAGTTTCTCATTGAAACATAGGGTTCATGTTAATGGTACTTACGGGGTTGTTATGACAAGTAAGCATGGACTTAGTTCTAACGGCAACTCAGCAAGGTAGGCACTGTGATTAGCCCCCTCTTGGAGATGGGGCAGCTGAGGCACAGAGAAAGGAAGTGGCCTTTCCAAGGCCACGTAGTAGATAAGCAGTAGAATCATGATTAGAACCCGGGCATTCTGATTCCAGAGGACCACCCCTAACCATATGGCTCTACTGCCTGCTGAGAAGGATTTTGGGGAGTTAAACTGCCAAAGTGCTGGAGTGTCAGCGATGCTGCCCTTCTCAGTTCCCTAAATGGCGTCTAAGGTCGGTGGCTCTGTGTTTTGAGGCCAGTGTCCTTCTTCTCTGCGTTTCAAAACCTTGAACATCTGACCCATAAGAAGAACCAGCAGCCATGGCCCAGAGCTGAACTGAGGTTTGGTTTCTGGATCTTGCGAAAGTCTGGGTTCCAGCAGGCACTTGGAGCTGCAGCTTCCGTGACATATTTTAACACATGGTGTCGCTGGACCTGTGTGTACGGTGGACTCTAGGCTCGATGTGAGGCCCAGGCATTTCTGAGGCCTGTTCCCATCTCCCCAGGGGCCAGAGTTTGGTCTGGTGGGATTCCTGGGCTCTGGATTCCCAGGAGAACAGAGAGAGCAGGGGCAGAACCGCCCGGCGACCCGTGGAGGAAATGGCCCGCAGGAAAAGCGATGGGGTGGCTGCGGTTTGCTCTCCTGGCCAGACGGCTGTTTACTCTGCCCACTTGCGCTCCGTCGGGGCACGCCTTGTTTCCTTGGTCTCTAGCTGTGTTTATCAAGTAGGAGATTGTGGGGTGGGGGGTGCTGTTTGGGAGAGAACAAGCAGGGCCTTAGACTCCCGTTGGGGCCATGCCTTGCTCCCCGCCTGACAGAACTCCTCAGTGTGTCCGGCCTTTGGCCCCAGAGCGGGAACATTTGCATCAGCAAACACCCGGGGCTCAGGGGAATTCTGTCCCCCCCACCTCCGGAGTTCCTTCTTTCTGTCACATTTTCCAGTGGATTTTCAAAGATGATCCCATGAACTTGAAGCAGCTGAGCTCAACCCCCCAGCCCACCCCCTCTGGCTTCTCCAGATTCAGATGCCCTTGCAGGGGTCCCCGTGGCCCTCTGAGCCCTCTTGTTTGAGCTGAACTCCCACTTGGGGTGGGCACACAATGTTGAGGAGCCTGGGTAGGAAGAGGGAAGAGGCGAGAATGAAAGCCTTTTTGGGAACAGCCCCCAAAAGCTGAACTTGAACGTTGCCTAAGAATAGCTGGAACATTCTATCTCGACTCCTCAGCCGAGGCCCAGGATAGGCAGTTGGCATTTCAGGCTTTGTTGACTTTTCCATTCACGTTGCCAGGGGAATGATTCAGGTTTGGGGTAATGCCCCTGGTGCACAGCTGGCTGGTGCCGGTGGGGGGCCTGACTGTCACTGATCTTCTTAGTTATTTCCTGGTGATGCACACATCTGTGTCGCTGCTCACTGTCCACAGCTGAGAACAAGACAGACCCGGGCCCTGCCCCTTGGAGCTTCCAGACTTGGGCTGGGCCCTGCAGGAGCTTGGAGTGTGTGGCAGGGGACATCCTGGGGCTGACTGCAGGGGACATACCCTGTCTCAGGGGGCAGTTGCCACCTTTGCCCCCAGCTCTCTGGCCGCTTGATCTTGGTCTCCTTTGCTGCTTCCTCATCTCCGGGGCCTCTGAGGAGAGATGGGCCCTGGGCTTAGTCCTCTGGCCGTTTGTTTACCCATCTAGACTTGCTCCTGTGGTGGCCTTATCTACTCTGTGGCCTTTTTTAAAAAAGCATACTCAAGGGTTGTGCAACCATTACCACAATAATTTTAGAACATTTCTGTCACCCCCAAAAGAAACCCCAGACCTATAAACACTTACTGTCCATCCTCCCCTCCTCCAGCCCCTGCCGACCACTTGTCTACTTTCTGCCTCTGTCAGTTCACCTATTCTGGATATTTCCTCCAAGTGGAATCACACAGTGCTGGTCTTTCGTGCCTGGCTGGCTTCACTTAGGCTCATGTCCTCAAGGTTCAGCCACATTGGAGCGTGTCGGTGCCTCCTTCCTTTTTGTGGCTGAATCATCTTCCGTTGTGTGGCTGGACCACGTTGTGTTTATGCACTCATTAGCTGATGGACATTTGGGTCGTTTCCACTTTCTGGCTATTGTGAGTCATGTTGCTCTGAAGGTCCATGTACAGGATTTGTGTGGACATTCCCATGGCCTTAAACTCCGTTTCCACCTGGATGACTTCAGCCCGGACCTCTCCCCTAGACCCTGGGCTTGTCTTCCGGCCCGTTGAGTTTCTGCATTTGAGTGTCTGGCAGGCATCTCTTACCAAGCATACTCATGCCTTTCCCCAGACCACCTCCCCACCACCCCCTCCATCCCCAGCTCAGCAGACAGCCCCTCTGTCCTTCTGGTTGCTCAGGCCAAACCTTGGGATTACATTTGGTGTCCCTCTTTCCCCACCCCCATGTCTCGCCATGAGGAGGTCCTGTCGGCTCTGCTCTCAGACTCTGTCCAGAGTCCAGCTGTTTCCGAATGCCTTCACTTCCCCCATGCTGGGACACTGCCACGGCCCCAGCGGGCCTCCCTGCCTCTGTTCTT
This sequence comes from Homo sapiens, assembly GCF_000001405.40. Classification (NCBI taxonomy): domain Eukaryota; kingdom Metazoa; phylum Chordata; class Mammalia; order Primates; family Hominidae; genus Homo; species Homo sapiens. The sequence goes on along the minus strand of NC_000020.11, from coordinate 48,721,738 downwards.
GTCCTCTGCAGGCTGCTCCCAGCTCAGCAGCTAAACTGAAGTCAGTTCATGTCACTCCTCCCCGGACTACCCTCCCAGGACTCTCTGCTCACTCCGAGTAAGGTCCAAGTTCTTTGCTGTTGCCATCTGCAGTGTCCTACCGATCTCACCCATGTTCCTCTCTGACCTTGTCATCTTCTCTGCTCAGCCAGGCTTGCTTCCTGAAGTTCTGAACACAACAAGCAGGTTTCTGCCTCAGGGCCTTTGCACCTGCTCTTTCTTCTGCTGGGACATTTTACCCCATGTCTCCTGAGGCTCACTCTTCATCTTTGTCAGGCTTCTGCTGCTCCAGTGCCTCCTGCCCAAGGCCTTCCCTGGCCACCTCTGCGATAGAGGAGCTGCCTCTGCCATTCTCTGTCCCCTTCACCTTGCTTTTATTTTTCTTCATAGCACTGCTCGCTGGCTCACATTCTGTCCTGGGACGCTTGGTGTCCTGATTGATTTTGAGACATCAGCTCCCCAAGGGCAGGGATATGGGCCTGTTTCCTCAGTGCCTGGAATGGTGCCTGCACAGGGTAGATACCCCTGGTCACTTATTGAATGAATGTGGAAAGGCCACCCCTGTCTTCTTGCCAACTGTTTCTGAATCCAGAAATTGGGACTTTTATGTGAAAGTTACTTATGTCCAAGTATCAGCTTGATTCAGAACTTGTTAAACACTGTGGGCCCCAACAGGACACATCCTGGGACCTGTCCATTCGGAACAGCTGCTCTAGTGGGGTTGCATCCAGGGAGGTTTTTTGCAGAGTGGCTGCTTGGGGTACAGCCTTGGGTCTGTGCACGGCCGCTGGTGTCTCCTGCACCTCCCATGTCTGTCTGTGGGTGATGCAGCTGTCACCCAAGTGCAGCGCAAGGACCTTGTCATTCGGCTGTTACCTCTGTCTACTTGGCTGGGAGGAAAGTGGCTGATACTGAGGTCCGCGCTCCTGGGATGGACTGAGTGAGGTCCATTGCCAGGGAGGTGTTGACCTCAATTCTCGGTGAAGGGGGACAACTGGGAGTGACGTGTTTCCCGGAGCATGGACGTATACTACTCATAGCTTTCCAGAAGATTTTAGGTGGCACCAGAGCAGACTTTATGTAGGATGGGTGGAGGGGGAAGGGGAGAAGCCAACATTAAAAAACAGTGACTCACACAGTAGAATACTACTCTCTTAGCAAATCCCTTTCCGTCTTCCTAGTGTCCTCTGAGAGACAGCCACGGTTGGTGCTGCAGTGTTTAGGGTTTTTGAAGCCATTCATTCATTCACCACCTATTTATTGAGCAACTGTTATGTGTCAGGCACTGCTTGAGGTGCTAGAGGTACAAAGTGAACAAAACCAGCTTGAACCCCTGTCCCCTTGGAACGGACATTCTTCTTGGGGGAGATGGTGACAAATGAGTAAGAAATGTGTATGCTTGTTTAGATGGAATATTTGGATGCTGTGGAAAAAATAAATATCAGGTTCAGAAGATCAGTAAGGACCAGGAGTCACTCAGGGGGTTGCAGGTTTAGATAATGTGGTCAGGGAAGGCTGGACTGAGAAGGAAACATTTGAGCAAAGACCTGAAAGAGGTGAAGGAGGAAGTCAAGCAGGTACCTTGGGGAAAATTGTTCCAGAGGGAACAGCCAGTGCAAAGGCCCTGGGGCAGGACTGTTGCTGGTGTGTCTGGGGAACAGTGAGGAGGCCAGGGTGACTGGAAAGGAAGAGGATAGGGAGAGAGCGAGGGAGTAAGGTTAGAGAGGTAATGGAGCCAGGTCAGGTATGGCCTTGTGGGCCATCGTGGGGTCTTTATTTTCCATCTTGGTGAGGTGGGAGCCATGGGAAGGTTCTGAGCAGGGAGGAATGGGATCTGCCTTAGTTCTAATGGGGTCCCTCTGGCTGTGTGTGGAGGATGGACCGTGGGGTGGTCAGGATGGAGTCAGGGAGACCAGAAAGTGCTTGGCTTCAGTGGTTCGGGTAGGAGATGTCTTGACCTGGTGGTGGCAGTGGAGGTGGGTGCATTTCATGAGAGTTGCCTTTTCACATCCTTTGCCCATTTTCTATTGGACAATTGTCCTTTTGATTTCCCAGAGTCCTTCTATTATTCTGGATACTTTGGGTTATCTCTTTGGAGTTTTTGTCTGACTGATGTTATGCAGTGAGCTCCTCATCTGCTGGGGATCGGGCATTGTCACCGTCTTGCTGAGAAAGCACAGGAAGTCAGAGATCTCTTCACTGCAGCCCCCTCTACCCTGACCCCATCCTCCCCCAACCACAGTGCCCACCCCTTCATCCTGTCTCTCGGGCCGAGCACCAACACCTCGCCCACAGCTGCCCCAGAGACTCAACCTGTGTCAGCCTGTGCTTAGGCTCTTTCCTGTGTGGTGAGCACTAACCTCGGGACACCCCTTGTTGGGGAGTTGGGGGGGGGGTCCTGCCATCACCTCTTCCTTTCAAAGCCATGCTCAGCTGCCCCATCTTCGAAGGAGCCTTCCTAGATCACCTTTTGTGGGGTCCAACCTGGATTCTACTTTCTCTTGTACTGTGTGTGGTTAAGAGTGAATTCGGAAGTCCAACTCCACTTCTTAGCTGTGTGACCAAGGGCAAGTTGCTGAACCTCTCTTTGTCTCCATTTTCCCATCTGTAAAATGGGCATGGTAGTTACCTCCCAGGCTTGCTGTGAAGATCAGATGAGACAATGCATGAAAAAACTCATGAAAGCATTTTGCATACTACTGAGTAAATGGTCATGCTTGTTAAATGTTGGTGACTCAAATATTGTAATGGTTTTTATGCTTATTAATCCTAGCTCCTGACCTTATTAGCATTGCCTCTTTGAAATCTGACTTAAACTCTGTGTGCCTCAGTTTTCTCCTGTGAAATAGTGCCCTAGTTATTGGTTATTATAAAGATGAAATGAAAAATATCTGTAAAATGCTGAGATGTGCTTAATATTAGTTATTTTTATTGTTTCAACGTCTGTTTTTTCCAATATTAATATAACTACATTAAGTTTCTTTTGACTAGTGTTTTCCTGAAATATCTTATTTCTCCTTTTGTGGTTGACCTATCTGAATCCTTAGACTTTAGGTGCTTTTTTTGTTAACTCCATAGAGTTCAATTTAAAATCTGATCTGATAATATCTTCTAACAGGAGCGTTTCGTCCACTTATATTTATTGTGTTTATTAATATATTTGAACTTGGTTCTGCCGTCCTTCTTTTTGATTTCTGTTTATCCTCTTTTTTTGATGCTTTTGCGTCTTTCCGTGTTTTATTTTGGATTGTTTTAGTTTCTTTGGCTTAGTTGCTCTTTTTCCTTTATTTATTTTATTTTTATTTATTTTTGCTTCCACTAAGTTGAAATTTATAGCTATCATCACCACTACCACCACCATTACCATCACCATCAATCACCACCATCTCTCACCATTTTACCCTTTTCTCTAGAGAAATGCCTGTGCAGAGCCTGGAAGTGGGAGCAAGAGGTGTAGAACTTCACGGTGAGCCGTGCTAGGGCCTCTTTGAAAGGCTGGATATAGAGCTCCTGAATGTCAGAGCCTGGAGGGTCAGTAGAGACCTACCACCCTAGGGTCACAAACACAGATACCTGCAGGGCACGTGCAGGAAACGAGTGAGTAGGGTGGTTGTAACTTAGCGAGTTGGGTGGGAACTGTGGCAGACTAGAGGACACACATCCCTTCTAAGGAACAGCCACTGCTCAGCCCAGCCAACTGTTACTGTAAGGTGGAAACGCAAGTCCAGGGTGGCCAGAGCTTCTGCTTTGCTGACAGAGGCTGGCGATAACATTTAGCTTGGTCTCATCACTACCTTGCATACCCAAGAGGCATAGGCACAGAAAGGGGAGGCAACTTGTCCAAGGTCACACAGCACATCCTCATCAAAGCCAGAACAGGAACTTCCTGATAGGAACCCTCTTCCCACTTTACCCCCCTTTCCTCTCTGAGTAGAAGAAAGGAGTTTTTAAAACCCACGAGCATTATTTCCTTTCTCCTGCTAATTCCTAATTGGTGGGACTACAGTTTTCCTAGACATGCAGCAGAGGCTGAAATTGTTAAAATTGGAAATACATTTGCATGAAGTCTGCATATGATTTGCATGCATGCAGGGTGTTTGTGGGTTTTTTTTTGCAATGCTGGGGAGCTCTTCACTTCTGGGTTCTCTTGGACTTCCAGATGTTTTTCGCTTCTTGTTTTCTTTTCCTTTTTTTTTTTTTTTAAAGTGGTGGTGGGTATCCTTAGCACCTCTTCATTTGCATTCTGCTGTCACCCTAGGTATGGCCGCAGGGGACTTCAGCACTGTGGGTACAGGAGCAAGCCAGGCTTCCTGAGCTTAGATGGCAGAGCCTTGGGCAGGCCTGTGTGACTGGAGGCAAGTCACTGAGTGCAGGATCAGCCCCTTCCTGGAGTTGGCTGAGGTGTCCCCAGAAAGTTGGTGTTGTTCTGCTTGACCCAGACCCTGTTGGTGACACCACCCTCCTGCCTTTTTCTCTTTGTGGAGAGGACAATATGGCTTTCCAACCCCCACCAACCCCAAGTCACAGAGAATGGTGGGTATTATCACATCTTCCAGTGACAATTGCAGCTTTGTTTTCACACTGTGGGTTTATGGGTTCATTTTCTTATGATTTCGCTTGCCAGTGACTGAAAATCTACTTTATTGTTTTTATGACATTGTTAATTAAACTTACTTTTAAAAAAAGAATAGAAAACAGAAAAGACCAAGGGTAGGTCTGACTTCAGGCATAGCTGCATCCAGGGCTCAGGCGATACTATCCTGACTCCGTCTGTCCATGTCCTGCTGTGTTTCCCTCAGTGCCAGCCTTGTGCTCAGGAGGCTGCTTTCTTACAGTGGCGTCGTTGGTCACCAGCAGCCTCAGGCCTGTGTGTGACCAGTGTACCCACCCAGGGAGAGGAGAGCATGCCTTTCCCAGCGTTTGCGTAGGAAGTCCCAGCCTGAGGCCCACCGGCTCAGCATGGGTCCCACACTCTCCCTGTGTGGCTGGGAGGATGGAAGGTCAGGCTTTAGTCACAGATCCACACTGGGAGCTGGCTGGGGTGACCTCTCCTGGACTCCATGGCCCGAGAGAGGAGCAGGTGGAAGCAGTAGACCTCTGCAGCTCATCCTCCTCTCTCCTTACCACCTCCTCTTCCTCTGAGCCCTTTGTTCTTCCCCCAGTCCTCTCCTGGGCCTTGGGATAAGGCTGAGTGAGCTGGGCCTTCGGTGAAGCTGAGTGAGCCAGTAGGAGCTGGCTCTAGCCACGTTTGTTTGTTGCCCTTGGGTTTGAGGCCCTGCGCCTCAGGCTGCCTCTTACGGCCATGCTGGGAGCTGATGACACAGTTTTGGGGACATGAAGGGGCTGCTCAGAGCGGGCACCTTTGGACATCCTTTGAGTAAATGTGATTGCAGGGGCGAGAGGGAGGTGAGGCATCTCGCGGAAGCCCAGGCTTCTCTGCGCCAACATCCTCTCTTCTAGGAAGCCTTCGCTTGGGGCCCCACTCGCGAAACCACACAGGACTCGAGGGGCGGATGCTGGGGAAGGCCATCAGCCTGGCTCCTGGAGGGGCTAATGCTGCTGGTTCACAGGGTAGCCCTGGCACACCCCTCTCTTCCCTGCACTCAGTTTTTCTAAAGGATCCCCAGGACCTGCCCTACTTAGACACTTTGTGTTCTAAGAGTCTGATTTGGAGGTGTTCATTTCCAGCTATTACTATTTCTAGAGGGGCCTGTAGATGTGGTTGGCATCTGCCAAGTCCCACTTTCTGTCTCTGTGGCCTTGGGCAAGAGGGTTTTAACCTCTCTGTGCCTCAGTTTCCTTATATATAGAGTGGGATGATAATAGTACCCACCTCACTGGGATGATTCGAGGATGAAATGACTTAATACACTTAAATTTCGAGCAGTGCTTGGTGCACAGTAAGTACTTAGTAGATGCTAGCTATTAGGACTATTACCACGACTTCTATTTTCACTATTATTCCTACTATGCAGAAATCATAAGAAATAGCCACTATTACCACAGACATAATGACGATGATGATAAATATTGTGTCCTTATTGGGTACCAAGACTTTTACATTCATCACCCCATTGGATCCTTACATTAGCCTTAGGGGGTGAGTCTTAGCCTCCTTCACAGATGCACACACTTGGCTTTAGAGAGGTGAGGCCACTTGTGCAAGGCCCCACAGCTGAGATGTGGTGGAGGCGAAGTAGAGACCATGCCTCCCTTTTCCCAGCACCCATTCTCTTGACCACAGAGCTCTCCAGTTTCATCATCTGATAATGGGTTTGAGCTAGAATAAGGCATTAGTGGGCCTGAATCTATCATTGATACTTCTATTGATGGGGAACTTACTACCTTACAAGGTAGCCCTCTCTCTTGCGAGAAAGCTCCAAGTGGTGTAAGAATGGATTAATTCATTCAAACAGTGGTCTCTTGCACTGGTCCCATTGGACTCCTTGAGGTCTTACAGATTCACCGGGCCTCTTAGTCATGTAGTTCTCCCAAGACGCTTAGCAAGCAAGCAAGCAAGCACCTCTTGGGTTCCTTCCAGAAATACTCTTCTCTGGGCCAAACCCTGGAAGTTCATGTATCTGTTCCACTTTGGATATGGATTCCAGGGTTTTCAGTACCATAGTATGTCTCCTTTGAATGTGACTCTATTCTGATTTATTAGTACAGTCTGTTCAGTTCTGAATTGGGCAGGAGCCTTCTCACCTCCCTCCTTTCGCATGTTAGACCTTTGTTAGTATCGCTCAAGCTCTCGTTGGCTTTGAAGATACCCACATTTTATGCCTGTCTGAGACCAGCTGGGACACCTTCGAGTTTCCATATCTGTGCACTCCCTCTGAGACTGTGAAGCAGTAGGAACTTTTTCAAATAAGAGATGGAAAAACTAGCCCAAGCTGACTTACACAACATATATATGTAAAAAATAAATAGGCTCACATAACTGACAAGCCATGGATAGATGGCTTCAGGTATGGCTGGATCATGGTGTCTCAAGGGAATTGCCCAACTGCTTTCCTAAGCTGCTGCAGCATTTTATATTTTTACCAGCAATGTAGGAGGGCTCTATTTTTTTCATATCTCCACCAACAGTTGTTATTCATGTTTTGGATTATAGCTATTCCAGTAGATGTGAAGTGGTATCTCATTTTGGTTTTGTTTTGCATTTTCCCACATGATGTTGAACATCTTTTCATCTGCTTATTGGACATTTGTGTATCTTCTTTGGAGAAATGTCTGTTCAAGTCCTATGCCTGTTTTTTACTTGTATTATTTATCTTTTTGTTGTTAAGTTGTAAGGGTTCTTTACATATTCTGGGTACAAGTTCCTCATCAGATGTGTAATTGATACTATTTTCCTCATTAGGCAGATTGTCTTTTCCCTTCCTTTTAAATTTTATTTATTTTTTGGCTTTCACGTTGGGGTAGTGTCATTTGAAGCACAGAAGTTTTAAATTGTGGTGAAATTCACGTTATCTATTTTTTTTAAGTTGCTTGTGCATTTGGTCATATCTAAGAGCACTTCGCCTAACTTAAGGTCACAAGGGGTTTACTCCTGTGTTTTCTCTGACAGTTTTATAGTTTTAGTTCTTACATTTAGGTCTGTGATCCATTTTGAGTCCATTTTTGTGTGTGGCATGAGGAAGGGGCCAGCCTCATTTTGTTGCACATGGATATTCAGTTGCATCATTTGTTGAAAAGACAGTTCTTTTGTCCATTTAATTGCCTTGGCATCCTTGTGGAAAATTAACTGACCATAAATGTAAGGATTTATTTCTGGACTCTCAATTTTTTTTGATATGCATTGATTTTTACTTTTGATTTTCTTTTTTTTTTTTTTTTTTTATAGTTCTGGGATACATGTGCAGAATGTGCAGCTTTGTTACATATGTCTACATGTGCCATGGTGGTTTGCTGCACCTATCAACCTATCTCTCTCTCTCTTTTTTTTTTTTAAAAGAGATAATAGAGACAGGTTCGTTCTGTCACTCAGGCTGGAGTGCAGTGGCCCGATTATAACTCACTGTAACCTGGAGCTCCTGGGCCCAAGTGATCCTCCCACCTCAGCCTTCCAAAAGCTGGAACTACAGGTGCACATCACTGTGTCTGGCTAAGTTTTTAAAATTTTTTGGTAAAGATGGTGTCCTTCTGTGTTGCCCAGGCTGGTCTTGAACTGCTGGCCACCGCCTACAATTCTTTTCCATTGATCTCTAGGCCTATCTTTATACAGTACTATGTTGCCTCTTTTTTTATGATGGAGTCTCACTCTGTTGCCCAGGCTGGAGTGCAGGGGCTTAATCTTGGCTCACTGCAACCTCTGCCTCCCGGGTTCAAGCGATTCTCCTGCCTCAGCCTCCCAAGTAGCTGAGATTACAGGTGTGCACCACCATGCCTGGCTAATTTTTATATTTTTAGTAGAGATGGGGTTTTGCCATGTTGGCTAGGCTGGTCTTGAAGTCCTTACCTCAGGTGATCCGCCCGCCTTGGCTTCCCAAAGTGCTGGGATCACAGGCGTGAGCCACCATGCCTGGCTTGTGTTATTTCTTCTTTTTTCTTTTTTTTAAGATGGAGTCTTGCTCTGTCACCCAGGCTGGAGTGCAGTGGCGCAATCTTGGCTCACCGCAACCTTTGGCTCACTGCAACCTCCGCCTCCCAGGTTCAACTGATTCTCCTCCCTCAGCCTCCCAAGTAGCTGGGACTACAGGCACGTGCCGCCACGCCCGGCTAATTTTTGTATTTTTAATAGAGACGGGGTTTCACCATGCTGGCCAGGCTGGTCTCGAACTCCTGACCTCGTGATCTGCCTGCCTGGGCCTCCCAAAGTGTTGAGATTACAGGCGTGAGCCACTGTGGCCGTTACTTCTTGAGATCTTGAGGAGTGTGCCGGGAGAGGAAACAGCAAGTCCAAAGGCCTGGAGGCAGGAATGGGCCCTCATTTTTTGGAGCTCCACAGAGTGGAGCCAACATGCCCCGTGAACCAAGACACCAAAGCTAACACTTCCCCTGCGGTTTTGGTCCAGCTATGGGCCTGGCCAGGTCTTGCTTGGTTTCAATTCCCTACCCCTACCACTGACCTAGAGCAAGAATAGAGATAGAGGCGGACAGATAGAAAAGGGAAGCAGCCTTTTTTTCACTTTTACTAACTACTGGGTGTTGGCAGCCCCACAGGGAACCACTGGAGGAGGGTCACTGAGATTCCAACTTCCAGGGTTTGGGAGGAGCAGATATGGTGGCAGTGCCCATCAGAGGGGTGCCATGGACCCATCAGGTTTTAGCTTCAAGAATAAAAGTGGTGAGAGCTTCCTATTTGTTGGGGGAGGTGGGAAGAGGCCCAGGGCCTCAGGCTGGAGAATCACAGAATAGTGATTCAGAAATGTGAGCTCTGGAGCTGGACCGTGTAGCCGCTTAGCTGTCCGTGCCCTTGGGTAGGGGACCTTGCCTCTGTGTGAGCCTCAACTTTCTCATCTGTCAAGTGGGGATAGTAAAAGCACCTGCCTGCTAGGGCCATTGGGAGGCAAAGTAATTTCACTGATGGCCAAGCTTAACAGAGCCAGCAGAAGGAAGAACACAGTTTCATGGTGAATTTATCCCAAGTGCCACAACACGGTGGGGTCTTTTGTAATAGGATATGTTTTAGCTGCAGTGACATAGCTCTGAAACAAGAGTGGCTTAAACAACGTCTAAGCTTATTTCTGTCAAGGCAGTCCAGGGCAGCATGGTGGCTCCATGCTGACAGCACCAAGTTCTGCCAACCCTGAGGTGTGCCCCTCACCACCAGGGTTTCAGGTGCTCGCACCATGCCCACATTCCAGCCAAGGAAGAGGGAAAGGAGAAGGGAAACTGCACCCGGCACTTCTGCTCGCGCCCCATCCATGAGAACCTTGTGTCCAGGCAGACTGGGCGTGTGGCCTTTATTCCAGGTGCCCTCATGCTCAGCTAAGAATCAGTTCTGTTGCTTTTAACAAAGGGCCAGCAAACTTTTCCATTAAAGGATCAGATAGTAAATAGTTTAGGCCTTGGGGTCCATACAATCTGTCATTGTAGTGTAAAAGCAACCACTGACAATATATCAGTGAAATGAGGATACTTGGTTCCGACAAAACTTTTTTTTACAAAAACGGGTGATGGGTTGGACTCAGTCCTTGGACTGTCATTTGACCCCTGCTTTGGATGAAAGGGATGATGGGTAGAACCTGGGGCGGGGGTCTCACTAACTGGCAGCCTCTGTCCCTGCCCACCGGGAGCTGACTGGCCACATTCACTCCCTGGCCTCGGCTGGCCTCACAAAGGTCCAGATGCCAAAAACCACTTCAGGGAACCTGGGACTGGGGTAGCTTTGCAGGATCGAATGGAATTACTGAATATGGTCATAAGATCACGGTCTTATATTGTAACTTTGTGGACATGCCTACAAGCAGGCTGATGGCTTAGGGGAGTGTCTGCCGTCATCTGTGTACAACAGAGAGCCCAACATGGGGCCAGGTACACTGGAGCCTGGCTGAGTGGATACATGCATGCATGGAGTGAATGAGGCACAGAGCTTCTGTGCCACCCTCTGCTCTTGCCTGGACTTTGGCAGTAGCCATAACTGGTCTTCCCACTTTATATTCACTGCACATTCCATCCCGTGCATCCTCCTGTCAGCAGCCAGGGAGGTCCTTTAAAGGGTGAGAAGGTGGTGTCAGGCCTCTGCTCATACCCCCATCACCTCCCCATGGCTCTTGGGAGGAAACCCAAACACCCCACTGCGGCCTCATGTGATCTGGCCTTGGCATGCTTGTCTGAATCTGTGGTCCATCCCTCTCGCTCACTTGCTCTGCTGCAGCTCCGCTGGCCTCCCTGCTGCTTCTCGCTGCCTCAGGGCCTTTGCACGTGCTCTTCTCCTTCCTGGAGTGCTGTTCCTGCAGACGCAGTGTGGCCCGTGGCCTCACCTCATTCAAGCTTCGCTCGCAAGCCTGTCTTTCCAGAGAGACCTTCTCAGACCACGGCACTTCCCTCACTCATTGTCCCTTTAATTCTATAAATTATATATTTATTTGAGAGGAAAGTATTTGTACTTAACTGTCTGAAAAGTCGTAAATAGCACGGGGATTTAGAGCACAAACTCTGGAGTCAGACTGGGTGGGCTCAGATGTGCTGTGTGACCTTGGACAAACGGTCTGACCTCTCTGTGCCTCAGGTCTTGCATCTGCCAATCGAGAAGAATAATGGTGCCTACCTGATAGAGAGTTGACATGAGGATCAAATGAGCTTGACAGGAGCTTGAGGGCTTGCTGAGTATTAGCTGTTGTTACTGTTGGTAGTAGTAATAGTCATTACCTTGTTGACCGGTCTACTCTTGACCATGAGCTCCCAGAGGACCATCTTGTTCTTTGCCCAGCCTCCACAGCTCAGGCTCACACCAGTTGCTCAGCCAGTATTTGCTGAGTGAAGAATGAGTCGAAATACACTCCGCATTAGCAGAGCTGGCCCTGGGTGCCCTGCCTGCCTTTGTGTTGCTTCCTCCTGAAGCCTTCTGGGCTTGCTTCTCTTTTGATTGATCACCAGCATTTTCAGGATATGGTGCTGCTCTCTGGGCCTTTCTCAAGCCCCCAGGGAAGTGCCTTTCCAGCCTCATTGCTGGGGCCTCCAGAGGAAGAGCAGGGCTCCATCTCCCTTCTTTTGCATCCTTTGGGCACATTGCCTGGGTGCGTGGCAAGAGCTCAGCAAAGTCCCAGGGGCCTGATGATGCAGACCAGCTGGGCCTTGGGAATCTTAGGACCTGGTCTTCAGAAAATAGGATGTTTGTTTTCGGACAGGGAAGAAAATAAGTGAATGAAGAAGGGATGTGTTTGAAGTTGGTTTACTCCAGGGAGTGCTCAGAACAATACCCTTTTGTGGCAAATTGCTGCTCACAGTTACAGCTAGCGTGTTGTCATACAGCAAGGAGAATGCTAATGGCTCGCATATATTGAGTGCTTACTATATATGTACTTGGTGCTTTTCCTACAGTACCTCATTTATTGCTTACCACAACCATGAGCAGCACCAGGCAGCCTGGGTTCAAATCCCAGTTCCTCCTTGTACTTCTTCGAGGCCTTAGGCTTTCTTGCTGTGCCTCAGTCCGCCCATCTGTTAAATGGTCTAATAACAGAAGCCACCTTAAAACCGTGGGGCGAAGGCTCAGTAGACATTAATTGCTGTCATCGTCATCACCATCATCCTCATCATCACAGGTTTGCAGATGATGAAGCCGAGGCCCGGGATAGAGAGGGGACTGGCCCAAGGTCACCCAGACAGTGAGGGGCAGAGTCAGCCCTTGAACCTACATTTGTGCTCGTAACTACGATGCAAGAGTGTCACATCTGCGGGGATGTTATCTGGATCGTCGAGGGAGCAGAGAGCTAGGGCATAGGGGAGAGACTGGAGCTATTGGGCGTGTTTCTGGGTCAGATGATTAAAGAAAATTATCTCTGCCAGCACAGTTCGGGATGAAAGACTGACGGGGGCGGTTGGGTGATTTGGGTAATTTGGCCTGAAAAATCTTCCTTGATATCTCAAGTCCCAGCTGATCCCTTCCTCCTCAGTTCCTCTCCCATCACATTTACTGGCTGGAATGTTCGATTAAGACTGGCCTGGCCTTTGCAATGTCCCAGCCTGCGTCTGAGTTGAGGGGTGAGCTGGCAGTGGGAAACGGTGGGGGCAGGGGGCTTCTCATGGATTAAGAGCCACTTCATTTGCTCAGTCCCATATCCTTGTGAAGGTGGGGTATTTTTTATGCCCATCTTATGATAAGAAAACCGGGCCTGGGGAGGAGCAGTGTTGGGGCCGCCTCTGTGACCGCGGATCTCTCTGTTTTTCTCTCTCTCGTTTATTCCACCCCAGACACACTGCCTCCTTTCTGTTCCTCATTACATACCAGACATGTGCCCGCCTCAGACCCTTCGCACCACGGTGCCCCCTGCCCGGCAGGCTCTCCCCTCGGGTTTTTGCAGGGCTCTCTCTCTTGCTCTGTCCAGGGCCTCTGCTCAAACATCACCTCCAGAGAGAGGCCTCCCCTGACCTCCTTGTGAAACAATGCTTCCCTCTCCCTCATTCTGATTTGTCTTTCTAGTGTTTACCACTGCTTGACATTGGATTCCATACCTGAGTTTTCTTTGCTTTGGCTCATCTCCTTTACTAGAATGTAATGTCCACCAGGCGAGGAGTTTTTGTCTGTTTTCTTGGGTTCAGCTCTGGCCTGGGTCTCCTCTGGATTGATTGATGTCTTGCTTTCTTCTCCCCACCTCTATTCTACCCCAGGAGCTGGCCAAGAGGACTCCCGGCAAGCACCCAGACCACCCCGCGGTCCAGAGTGCCCTGCAGGCCATGAAGACCGTTTGCTCCAACATCAATGAGACCAAGCGGCAGATGGAGAAGCTGGAAGCCCTGGAGCAGCTGCAGTCCCACATCGAAGGCTGGGAGGTGTGTACAGGACAGGAGGGGGCTTCCTGGGCCGCAGGGGGCCAGGAGGTGCACAGGTGCAGTCATGAACTGAGGCCTGGGCACCTGTCAGTCTGCAATGTATTTTGTTTGGCCTACAGTGTTTGCAAAAGATTGCTTAATTATTTTTCAATTAAATCCAAATACAAATTTGCATTTCAAGTTTCTCTTAAAAACTTGGTGACACTGGGCCCCTATATCTCATGGAAATAGTCACTGGAGCCTCTAGTTTCCTTCAGTCCCCACCACCCCCTGTTATCTCCCCACCCCTTCTCTTTCATGCATTGCCTGGTATGTGGAGGCCTTTGAGCTGTTGATGCCAACGTCAAGGGTCGGGTTCTAGTGTCCACTCCAGGACAGAATTCTGGCTTTGACACTCCTTTGCTGGGTGACTTTAGGCAAATGTCATCACTTCTCTGAACTTCAGTATCCTCATCTGTACCTGGTACATAGTAGGTACTCAATAAATGGTAGCTGTTAGTATTACTATCATGATTATTAGGGGATGGGGTTCTTGAGATCATTGGATTTAAGCCCCCTTGCCTTCCTTAGATTATTAGAGGTTTCCTGTGAATCCGTAGAAGGAAATGGGAAAATATGAATAAATGAAAAAAATCCATATCAGAGTAAATACAGCTGGAACAGGAGATTAAGAGGGAAGATGAAAGTCTCTTGGGCAGAGATTGTTACGTGAATCATATGCCGTAGGCCCTTTGGATTTTCTGGCCTTTGGAGTCACTTGCCATATTTGAGATTTCTAGTTCTTTTCTCCGTGCTGGGGAATCCTAAATGTGAGGCTGTATTGCTGTGAGGTTACGGGTTTGGCTGCAGAGAGGAGAGGGGCTGCATTCAGGGAGGGGTGGATATTGTGGATTGGTCAATCCACTTGCCATGTCCCCTGCGCTCTTTCTGCTGGGCCTTCCTGCCCAGCCGAGGCTGGAGAGTGAAGAGCTCTATTTCCCGGCTTCAGTTTGGGATATGATTTGGGGTCTGGCCAAGATCAGATCCAGCTGCTTGAGATTTGGAAGGTGGAAGTGGGGTGGAGGCCACCCCTTGTGCTATTTTTGCAGCAAAGCACAGCCATGGTTGTGTTTGGCTTTCCGTGGTAACGTTAGAAGAGGGCCCGGGCGCCAGCTTCCTGTGCGTCAGATGCATGGCCTAGGCTTTCCTTTTTTATTGTTGGTGGGGTAGCAGCCATGGGATGGCTTTGCAGTTAACAGTTGAGGCAACAACTACTGAATCCTTGATGCCACCTGAGGAGCCTTTTCCTGGAGCCTGAGCTTGGACAGGTGATGTTCTGATTCTCCTTTCCCACCTGGGGCAGGGGCAGTGGCTCCCCTGGTGGGTGAGTTCTGCATTGTGGCTGGTTTCCTGGGGCCCTCGGCCTGGATTCCTGGCTCCTCTAGCCCCTTCAGTGAATAAGTAAAGCCCCTCATTCCTTTTTGCTTAAAAGTACGTGGCTTGGTTTCTGTTTCCTGCATCTGAAAGTTGCCTGATCCTCAGGTGCGTCAGTTAGGATGCATCCTCGAAGACTCTCATCTCAGCCTTGTGATGTCAGAGCTCTGATTTGGTCTCTGGTGAGCCTCTTCTTTCTCTCATGCTTCCATGAAGGCGGCAGCTCCAGGCACCATGTGTTCAAAACCGGAGGAGACAGGGGCATGGCCAGGGTAGTTAGTGGGGAGATCTCTTCCCTGGTGGAGGAAAACCTTTTCTAGAAGCCCCATACAGGTGTCCCCTTTCATTGCATTGGCCAGAAATGGGTCACATGGCCACTTTGAACTTCAAGAGCAAATAGAGGTGACTAATTTAAACATCTGTCTATATGGGTTTTGAGTTTCCTGGAAGCCAAGGTGAAAAGAGCAACATACATAAGTTACCTAATATTGTCAGAAAAGGAAGAAGCAGAGCAGTTCTTCTGGGAGACAGAGAGTTTCCTGGCACTCAGTTGGAAAAGAAATTTCTCACATGGGCCCCAAAGGAGAGGGTATTGAGCAAGCTCCTCAGCAGCTGCAGCAGAAGTGATTTCCAGATGCCTTTTTTCTGGTAAGGGCCTAGGCAAATGGAAACCAAGGGTCTCTAAAACCCTTTATGACCCTAAACATGTACAGTTTGAGAACTCAGTGGCCCTCAGTGGCCAGTGTTGCTGGATGCAATAGGAAATAAAGTGCCTTAAAATAAGAATTGTTGGCAGTTATTTAGTACCTGTTACAAGCTTCCAACCCTACAAGGGAGGTGCTATTATCCCCATTTTACAGATGAGGCAGCTGAGGCACAGGGACTTGGTTTTGAGGCCCAGCCCTGTAACTTATAGACTGCCCTGTCTCGAGTAAGTTTGCCCTGCCTCGAGTAAGTTTGTCCTGCCTGGTGTGCCTTATTTTCTCCTATTTGTTTAATTTTAGTGATAATATCTCTGAAGTTATTTTTTTGGTTTCATTTGGAAGATAAAGTGAGGTGTGGAATATGAATGTCCTTTGAAAAACGTGAAATTGTTTTCTATGAAGTAGAAAGGTTTTTAAAATGCAGTTTGTTCCTCAAGGTGACTTGTGAAAATAATACGTTCTAGCTAGAAAAAATGACGTCTAATAGTGGAGTTGCTTCCATGCTATCTGTTAGTAGTTACAGTCTCTGAGGACAGCATGCCTTAGGGGGTAGTTCATGTTAATGATGCGATTGCACATCTTTATTTGACATATTCTTTTGATCCTTTCCCATCTTTCTGTGTGACCTCTTGCTGATCTGATCAGATAGCTGTCATCTCTCTCTTGAAAGATGTCTGACAAGGGGCTTGTTTTTGGAGCAAGAGGAGTCTTGTTTTGGCCACTTTCTTGCTGTGTGCTTGAGGTTGCATCATTCATGAATTTGATCTCCCATATGTGTGTTTTTTACCCCCTGATCCTTTGTGAGCCACTGTTTGTCGTGAGACTGGTTTAGATAAAACCAGATAAGTGAATCCACGAATCCATTTTGCTGAGCACAAGGAAATGGCAGTGTGTCACAATACCTTGCAAGTGAGTGAATGAGACAACCCCCTCCGTGGGGAGAGATTCCTTTGCCTCAGTTTCCTCATCTGCGAAGTCAGGATCATGGGAGTACCCCCGTCATGGGTCACTTGAGGACGGGGGAGTTGATGCTTACAGAGTCCTCGGCAGTGCCTGGCTCAGAGAAAACGCCCAATACATGTCAGGAGGAGCCCTGGCAGCAAAGTGGGATCTCTTTATTTATTTATTTTTTTAGATGGAAAAAGTATCCAAGAGCTTTGACTGGAACTTGTGCCCAGCGTGGGCTGCGCCTCCTCAGAGGCACACTCCAGATGCAGCCGCATGGACTTCCATGTGAAGCTCACAGTGATAAAAAAGGAAATGTGTACTCTTAAGAAGAAAGAAACAAGCCTGGCGCGGTGGCTCACACCTGTAATCCTAGCACTGTGGGAGGCCGAGGCAGGTGGATCACCTGAGGCCAGGAGTTTGAGACCAGCCTGGCCAACACGGTGAAACCCCTTCTCTATTAAACATACAAAAATTAGCCAGGTGTGGTGGAGCATGCCTGTAATCCCAGTTACTCGGGAGACTGCGGCAGGAGAATCGCTTGAACCTGGGAGGTGGTTGCAGTGAGCTGAGATCACACCACTGCACTCCAGCCTGGTCGACAGAGCTAGACTCCATCAAAAAAAAAGAGAGGGAGGGAGGAAGGAAGGAAGGAAAGGAAGGAAGGAAAGGAAGGAAGGAAGGCACTCCATTTTCTGGCTCTGGCTCTGGCTCTGGCAGCCCTGGTTTAAGAGATGATCAACTGCTCACTCGCCCTCACCCACAAGGGGAGAGAAGGAAACAGGAGTGAGGAAACAAAATCAATACAAAAGCTCTCATATTTTTTTCCTACCCTCCCTGGAGTGCTTTGGGCTCCCAGTGGGACATGGTCTCTCCCCTTGGAGACTCCTGCTCTAGACTATCGATTGCAAAGAAAAATCTTCAGGTTGTCTTCGAAGAGCGGCCTGAGTTAGAGGTGAGCAGGTCGGGGGAGTGGAGGCTGCTTGTCTGGGTTCAAGTTCCACCTCACTGCCTTACCACCTATGTGACCATGAACAAGTCACTTCACCACGCTGTGCCTCGGTCTCCTCATCTGTAAAATGAGAATTGTCCTGAGGATTAGCTGAGTTTGTACAAGATATTTAGAACAGTGCGTGGCATGTGGCCGCCCCTACGCATGTATTGGCTTTGAGTGTGTAAGGTTTTGTCATCTCCAGCGTGGCTGAGTGTGCATGTCTGGAAGGAAGGAGGTCTCTAGTCCTGACTGGTCCACATGTCTTGGTGCTCAGCCTCTTCCCTGTGCATCCAACCCCTAGCACCACCCTTGACCTAGATTCAAGGATTTCAGGGAGATCAAGAGTGCGGCTGGGCTTCTCAGCAGGGCTGGGGTGGAGGGGGTATCCCCCTGTAGTGTGCTCGGCATTTCAGCTGCAGTTTGCCAGGTGGTGCTTGGCCAAGGCTGGAGAGGCAGCTTCCCAGGCTGGCGGACTTCCTCTCCTAGGTCCCCCGAGACGGACTTGGCAGCAGGGTTCTAGGGCTGTGTGATCTTGGGGCTTGGCAGCTGGGCCAGGTACCAGATTCTTCTTCAACTTCCCCTTTGGAGCCTGGAAGAGCTGGTGGGTGGGCATAAGGGAGCCAAGGCAAAAGGAAGGGGAGGCACGTGGGCTCCAGGGACTGCTGAACCGGTTGTCTGCCGTGTGCTGCGCATGGGCCATGATGAAGCCCCAGGGAGTTCGCGAGGATGCTGGGGGTCCCAGGGGCTCTTCCTCATGACAGCCCTGAGTCTTGGTGCGGCAGGCTGCTACCTCACTGGAAAGCTGAGATCTGCCTGTGGGCATGCCAGCATCCATGCCCACCTGGCCCCCAGCCAAGCCGAAGGCCGTGATGTGTGATAACGAATGCAGGCTCCTGTCCCGGCTGCACAGCTCTCGACCACAAGGAAGCTGCTTCCCCAGTCTCCAGAGGGGTCTCTGGCACTGTTGAGTGAATGGGTTTGTTGTACCCAACTGGACCACGGACACAGAGCAGACCAGCCCTAACAGCAGCGAGAGAGCCCCTTGTAGGCCGTTAGCAGACAGCCTGGCTTCTCAGCTGCCGGAACCAGTTCTCCTTACTGGGTCTCAGAAAGAATTCAGTCAGCAGGTCCCAGTGGGGTAGGAGCTCCATGTTGGTTCTGGGTGTTGACTGTTTGGGGAAGGAGATTTTGTGAATAATTCTCCCTCTCTCCTCCCCAAGTTCATTTCCAGGCAGGGACAACATCACTTCTTGTTTCTTTGTTCAGTGTAATCTGCTGGTCTGTCACGTGAAACTCCCTTAAAACACTGCTTTTGCATAATATTCCTTGGGCCTAAATGTCCGTGGCACCCTGTTGTCTGTACCTTATTGTATTAATTAAAGTCTGTGGTTGACTGCTGTAAGGAAGCGATGCAGCGGCCTCAGGGAGGTGGCTCATTAGCGTTGCAACGCTGTTCTCATTAGCAGTGCAGAGGCGGACAGTCAGACTGGGGTGGGCAGCTTTGCTCTGCCAGGACCCAGGTTCCCTCCAGCTCCTTGCCCCACCATCTGCTGCAGTGTATCCCACCACCCGCTGCAGTGTATCCCACCACCCCAGCCTCTGGAAAGAGGAAAGGGAGGAAAGCCATTTTCTTTCGAGGATGTGCCCTGGCAGGGAGGCACATTGGTGATGACTTAGTCATGTGACCACACCTGGCACAAGGGGGGCTGGGAGATGTAGTCTGTGGCTGGGCAGCCAAGTACCAGGGAAGACTCCATTCCCCAAAATCACAGAAGAGGGACGTGGATTGAGGGTCAGCGGAGGGGCTGCCTCATTTGGCATTCTGTGCCCACCAAGGTCTCTTTTCTTCTCTCTTTGGACTTTGGGATCTCTCTGCCCTTGCCTGGGTCCTCTTGGTTTCAGGGAGACCTGTGTGATCCCAGGCTCTAAGGATCCCTCCCAGCTAGGACCTTCCCATCCCTGCCCTCAGCCTCTTTATCTTTTTTTTTTTTTTTTTTAGACAGAGTCCTGCTCAGTCGCCCAGGCTGGAGTTCAGTGGCGTTATCTCAGCTCACTGCAACCTTTGCCTCCCGGGTTCAAGCGATTCTCTGCCTCAGCCTCCCGAGTAGCTGGGATTACAGGCATCTGCCATCATGCCTGGCTAATTTTTGTATTTTTGTAGAGATGGGGTTTCACCATGTTGCCAGGCTGGTCTTGAACTTCTGACCTCAGGTAATCCTCCTGCCTCAACCTCCCAAAGGATTACAGGCATGAACCACTGCGCCCGGCCAGCCTCTTTATCTTAATTTTTGTCTTCCAAGGTCTGCTCACTCCTCCCTGATGCCTTTCCCAGCCACGCTGCCCGGAACCTCACTGACATTCAGTGAACTTCATGCACGTCTTTGTCACCCCTTCCCCTGCTGCTCAACATAGGTGACCAGGTTTGGGATTGACGTGTAAATCTTTAGCTTAGCTAGATGAAATGCCCACAGGATCCTGCCCCCGATGGTTTGCACATTGCATTTGTTGAGCACCTACTGTGTGCCAGAGAGTGTTGTGGGTGCTGGGCATACGTAGGGCACATAGTTGATTCGGGCCCTGTCCTTACCAAAGGGGCATTTAGGTGGGGGAGATATAGTAACAAGTCAAGACATAAATAAGTAGTGGGGAAGGAATAGGTGAAAAAAAAACCCACAATAAAAACTGAACGAGGCCAGGCGTGGTGGCTCATGTCTGTAATCCCTACACTTTGGGAAGCTGAGGCGGTTGGATCACCTGAGGTCAGGAGTTCAAGACCAGCCTGACCAACGTGGTGAAACCCTGTCTCTTCTAAAAAAATACAAAATTAGCTGGGCATGGTGGCGCATGCCTGTAATCCCAGCTACTCGGGAGGCTGAGGCAGGAAGAATCCCTTGAACCCAAGCGGCGGAGGTTGCAGGGAGCCGAGATCGCGCCATTGCACTCCAGCCTGGGCAACGAGTGAAATTCCGTTTAAAAAAAATAAACCCAAAAACCAAAAACTGAACCAAAATATACCCAGATGTTGACTAGGACCTACTATTACCTGTATGAGCTGGGTGAGTCACTCCTCCCTGAGCCCCAAGTCCCTCTCCTGTAAAAGGGACATGCGGTCATATCAGTGTGCCCTCCCCAGGATTTTCATGGCATGCTCAGCAGATAGAAGCCACTAATCACGTTGTGTTGATTTTCTGTCCATTGACAGACTTGCTGGTGGAGTTTTTGGCATGTGGCAGGAGGTGGTAGTAGGTTCTGTCTCTGGGAAAGGAAGGGGATGTTCCTGGGTTGGCTCATTCACTGTGTCCTCATTGCGCTTCCAGGGTTCCAACCTCACAGACATCTGCACTCAGCTCCTCCTGCAAGGGACTTTGTTAAAGATCTCTGCGGGCAACATCCAGGAAAGGGCCTTCTTCCTCTTCGACAACCTTCTCGTCTACTGCAAGCGGAAATCCAGGTGAGTGGCCAGGAGGCTGGGATGGGGTCTGGCCTGCTGCCTTCTCCAGGTGATGCCTTGGGCTTGTCACTTCCCTCTCTGGGCCTCCCTTTCCTGTGAGTTGAGGGGTTTGTTCTACATCAGTGCTGTCTAGTAGGAATACAATGCAAGCCACGTGTTATGTTAAATGTTCTAGTAGCCACATTTAAAAAAGTAAAAAGAAACAGGTAAAATGAATTTAAATAATATATTTTAGTTAACCTAATAGATCCCCAAATATGAGAATATTTTATTCAATTATAATTATACATGTAATTATTATTTAAAAAAATTATTAAAGAGATATTTTGTGTTGTTTTTTAACACTAAGTTCTCAAAATCTGGTGTGTATGTTATACTCACAAAACACCTAAATTTGTCGTGGGTACGTTTGGAGTGCCCAGTAGCTACCTGTGGCTCGTGGCTACCATATTGGATAGCACAGGTCTAGATGACTGTGGAAACTGAGAGGTTCTTTGTGACACCCACATCCTGTAATTCTAAGCTCTAAAAGTTGAGGGTTCAAGAGGAGCGAAGCTCTTTCACTATTCAGTTTTTGGAGGGTCAGGATAGTTTCTTCACCTTCTTTGTGTCTTTCACTGGTGCTTCTTGCGCTCTGTAGAGTCTAGGAGTAAGTAGATGGTTGGCTGAGTAGGTAGATGGAGGCAGGTGCATGTGTGATGGGAAGTGTGGTGACGGGTTGTGTGGGCACACGGGATGAGGCGCAGATGGCTGGGGGTTTGGGAGGTGAATGGATGGTAGAAGGAGGCAGGGAGGGAAGGAAGGAATGTGGACGGATGTTGGAATTGACGTGTGTGTGAGTGAATGAGTGTTTGAATGCTTGGAGGTTTAGGAGATGGCTGGATGGAGGAATAGATGGAAAGCTGGGGGCATGTGTGGATATTCAGGCAGTTAGAGAAATGGATATGAAGACTGGCAGATATGTGTCTAGATGAATGGTAGATTGGGGCCTTCAGGTATGGTGTGTTGAGTGAATGGATAGATGGATGGAAGGCTGGGTGGTTATATAATTGGGAAGGTGGGTTGGTGACGGAGGTTTGGAGATTAGTAGATGGATGGCCAATTGGTTGGCATGTTGATGGATGGGTAAGTGGTTGGTTGATAGTTGCCGAAGTGGTTGGGCTCTGGGAGGGAAAGTGGGACAGTTGGACTACTGAGTGAATGGATGGGTGAATGATTGGAGAGAGGGGAAATTAGGAGATGGATGTGGGGGTTGGATGACTGTAGTAGCTGGTGGGAACTGATGGTTGGATGCATGGGTGGGTGGGTGGATTGGCACAGAGAGATTCCTGACCTTAAGTTTTCATGTTCAGCAGGTATAGGATGGTCTCAGCTGACCCCTGCAGCACTTTTCAAATTCTCTTTGCTGTTACTTTGTCTTAGGAACAAAATAGTGATGTTCCAGAGGCTTCTTAACTCCTCTGTCTAGCAAAGACTAGAGCTGAGGCCTGAGGTCCAGGTCTTAGGCCCTACTTTCAGCATTTTCCTGTAACTTGCTTTGTGTCCTAGGCCATGCCACTGACCGTCTCTGAGCCTCAGTTTCCTTGTCTGTCTGTGCTGGCCTCCTAAGGTGTGGTGAGAAACCTTACCACTGGATGAGTAATGGATGCTCCATGCCCGTGTGTGGGCTTCCCACTGTCCTCCTCCTCTAGAGGGCCTCCCTGAGCCTTTGTTTTCTCTTCTGTAAAGTGAGACGATCAGCCCCTCCTTGTAGTAGTGTTTGGTTAAGAGCTAGGCCCGCCATTGGATCCCCGTTTAACCTCTTTTGTAGCTCTGTGACTTTGCCTCTCTGTGCCTCAGTTTCCTCATCCGTAAAACAGAGTGAATGATCGTATGTACCTCTTAGGACCACGGAAGATCAGATATGTGAGTGTGCCTGGGACATAGTGAGTGCACAGCACAGTAGCTGCCAGCACCATTGTTGTTAACTTGGCTCTGGTGTGGTCGCACAGGTACAGCACCTGGTGCACAGGAGGCTCTGAAACCACAGGCCCTTCCCCATTGCCCTTTCCCCCCTGTTCTGGGCTTGACCCTTCCTGTGAGGGCCTGGACCTCCTGCTTCCGCTATCTCCCAGTGGCTGGCTCAGCATGGCTCTTTCTCATTTGCTCCTTCATTCTCGCCCACTCCTTGAGGTCTGTCTATCTCACGTCCTGCTGTCCCCTCATGAACGCCCCCTTCTTCTCTTTCCCTGCCTCCTTTCTGGTCTCTCTGGGGCTGTCCTCAGAGTCCTTCTTGGGTAGTTTCAGGGCTGCTGCCAATGTCCACCCTGAGCCCTGCCCCGCCGCTCTGCCCCAAGCAGTCTGGAGCAGGCACTTTTCCCAGAACACTGGGGTTTGGAAAACAGAACGTCCCTTTAGGCCTCTGTGACCTGCTCCCAACTTTTAGATGAGTTTACTCAACCTTTGGCTTCCGGGTGCAGGCTCTGCCTCCTCTGGGGCCGTCTCACCTGTGCAGGGACAGCAGCTGATTCTGATACTGGATTCCAAGTGGGCTCCCTGGGGCCTTCCTTGTGGGCACCCTGAGCTCTTTCAAGGCCATTCCCCACCTCACTTCCACAAGTGAGCTGGGCTGGCTGCAGGGAAAGGGCGCATGTGTCTCTTGAGAGAAGCTGGCAGGCGGCCAGCATTCCTGCCTCTGGATGGAGAGCCAGAGGGCTGAGCTCTGAGAGGCCCAGGAGATTGGGCAATGGTGGGTGGATCTCCCCACCTGAGTCTGATGTGGGTGCAGGCAATGCCTGGAGTGACTTGGTGACTGCTGACTGTGTTTGTCCTTGCCTGGGTCATGCAGGGCACCACCCATCCAGGATATGGGTCAGGGGAGGTCTCTGACTCACAGTGCTTCTGGGCGAATTCAAAAGCAGAGGCTCCTTGGGTGTCAGAAGTGGAAAACGGGAGGGAGTGTTTTAAAAACCCACCTCCCATCCTCCAGAAGGGGAAACCAGGACCCAGAAGAGCAAAGTCTCATGCATCTCAACTACCTGCTTAGCATCTTAGAGGCAGCAGTAGTGTGTCGCCATTAAGAACACAGAGGGCCGGGCGCAGTAGCTCACGCCTGTAATCCCAGCACTTTGGGAGACCGAGGAGGGTGGATCATGAGGTCAGAAGATCGAGGCCATCCTGGCTAACACAGTGAAACCCCCCCATCTCTACTAAAAATATAAAAAAATTAGCCAGGTGTGGTGGCACACGCTTGTAATCCCAGCTACTCGGGAGGCTGAGGCAGGAGAATCACTTGAACCCAGGAGGCGGAGGTTGCAGTGAGCTGAGGTGGCACCGCTGCACTCCAGCCTGGGGGACAGAGCGAGACTCTGTCTCAAAAAAAAAAAAAAGAAAAGAAAAAAAGAACACAGAGGCTCTGCTTACTATCTGTGCTACCTTGAGCAAATTATGTCAGCTGTTTGCGCCTGTCTTTTCCTACCTGTTATATGGGGATAAAAGTAGTCCTCATTTCATGGGGTTGTTTTTATAGAGTAAAACATGTAAAGGTACACATGTAATGTGGTTAGAATAAGGCCTGGTGCGTGGTCAAGTGGAAGAAATACAAATACATATATCTTTATTTGGGTGTCTCACACATAGCCCACACTTAAATTGTGTCTAAAGGGGCTCTTGTTTTTTGTCTTAACTT
This sequence comes from Homo sapiens, assembly GCF_000001405.40. Classification (NCBI taxonomy): domain Eukaryota; kingdom Metazoa; phylum Chordata; class Mammalia; order Primates; family Hominidae; genus Homo; species Homo sapiens. Next base: position 48,697,085 of record NC_000020.11, on the reverse strand, counting down.
CTGCCCCTTGGATCTTCCTCATTACCAGTAAATGGTACCAAAATTTGTATTAAGTCAAGATTCTCCAGATAGACCCAATAGGGTGTGTGTGTGTGTGTGTGTGTGTGTAAAGAGATTTATAATAAGCAGTTGACTCGTGATTATGGAGGCTGACAAGTCCCAAGATCTGTCGTCTGCAAGCTGAAGACAAGCCAATAGTGTCGTTCTGATCCTAGGATTGGCAGGCTCAGGAAGAGCTGATATCTGCTTGAGTCTGGAGGCAGGAGAAGAAATTTGCCCAGGAGCCGAAGCCAGAATCTTCTTGATTTTGAGCTATCATTATCCCCATACCAACTACATCAGCAAGTCCTTTCCATCCTGTCATCAAACTTTGCCCAGAACCTCAGTGCAATTCCAATAAATACTCTAGGAGGGGGTTTGTGTACGTGTGTACGTGTGTATGTGTGTATGTATGTATGTATGTATGTATGTATGTATGTGTGTGTGTGTAAATGATCAGCTGACTGTAAAATTTACAGGAAAATCCAGAGATAGAAATAGCTAAGACAATTATGAAGAAGGTCAAGCTAGGGGACCGTTATTACTGGATTCCAAGTCCTGCTGTAAGGTCGTAGTAATTAAGACAGTGTGGTATTGGTATGAAAACAGACACGTAGAGTAATGGAATCGAATAGTGAGTTTAGGAGTAGACCCACATGTAAGCAGTCATTTGAATTTCAACAAAAACACCAATGCAGTACAATAAATGGTGCTTGGTCAGTTTGATATCCAGTGGGGGAAAAAGTGATTCTTGACCCTTATCTCATACCAAACACAAAAATCAACTTCAGCTGGATTATAGATTTAAATGTAAACGGTAGAACAATAACACTTCTACAAGAAAGCATGGGAGAATATCTTCATGATTTAGGAGTAAGCAAATATCTTAAACAGGACAAAGAGTATAGTTATAAAGGAGAACTAAATTCATTAGACTATACTGTAATTAAGAATTTCATTAAAAAATACTGTAAGGAGAGTGAAAAGACAAGCCACAGACTGTGAAAAGGTCTTTACAGTTTGTATAATGGCCAGAGTATTCACATCCAGAATATATGAAGAGGCCCTTCTGTAGCCAGACTTGGCCCTGTGCCTATTTTTGTCAATAAAGTTTTATTGGAACACTGCTATGCCCATTTGTTTGTATACAGTCTTAGCTGCTTTGATGCCATAAGGGCAGAGTTGAATAGTTTGTAACAGAGACCATATGGCCTACAAAACTGAAAATGTGTACTATTTGGCCCTTTTCAGAAAAAAAATTGCCAACCTCTGCTATAAGTAATTAAGAAAAAGACAGACAGTTCAACAAAAAGTGACAAGGGACAGTCATTTCACAAAAGAAGGCACCAGATCGCCAATAAACATACAGTGGTTGAGGTTATTTACTCATCAGGGAACTACAAATTAAATATTAATGAGCTCCTACTGTACACATACCATAATGGCCAAAATGAGACATAAAATACCAGTTATAGAGGATGTGGGACAACTGGAATGTTCCTACACTGTTGGGCATGGGAAAATCAGTACAACTATTTTGGAAAACAGCTTGGCAGTATCTCCTAAAGCTAATCATTCACATTCCTTATCACTCAGTAATTCAGCTCCTCAGGTATCTAACCCAAAGAAATGCACACACATGTTCTTTGTCAGGCACGTGCAGGAATGTCACAGCAGCACCACACTGGAAGGAAGCCAGATGTCTGGCCATGTCACTATACCCAGCAGCACGGGTAACTCACAGCCATGAGGTTGGGTGAAGGAAGCTGGACACAAAAGTACACACTTGTGATTCCATTTGTGTAAAGTTCAAAAACAGGCAAAGCAAATCTATGGGGTTAGACTCAGGACAGTGGTTACCCTTGTCAGGGGAAGAGGGCAGTGATGGGAAAGGGGCATAAGGGGGTGCCTGTGGGGAGCTAAACATGTTGATACAGGTGTGTTCACTTGCAAAAGTTAATTGAGCCATATTAATGCTTCTTTGGGCATTTTTTTTCTGTGTGGATTTTATACTTTAATACAAAGTTTACAAAAATATGTATATGCACATATGTATGTATATGTTTATATGTGTGTGTATACACACACAAACACACACATACACACCCTCATCCTTTCTCATCTTGTTGATTGCAGTGGTCTCCCCTCTGGTTCTAGTCCCTTCTCCACCGGCAGACACAGGGAGTCTCTTGAAACTGAAGTCCATCCCATTCTGCCTGTGCTCCAACCCTCCGTGGCTCCCATCTCACACACAGCAGAAGCCCACATCTTCACCACTTACAACTTAATTTTCAGAGAGATAAGTCTCTTCCACGTTCCTGAATCCTCAGCCTATCTCCTATTTCATTTACCCACTTACAGTAACAAGTACACATCAGCCAAGTCGGCGTGGGAACAAACCCACTGGCTCTTGGTGAGCATACAGCCCACCTGCTGGAGCAGAGGCCTGTGCACACCACCAAGTGGCCTTTGAGCTCTGGGAGTTCATTTTCTGCCGTATCTTCACCAGAGCGTTTAGTACCTCTGACCTGATGTATGGTTTACCTTGCTTAGGGACTGTCTCTGTGCCCTGCCTCCAACCCCATGTTAGAAGTTGAGTTCCCAGAGATGTTTTGTTCAGCAGTGCAACCCCAGTACCTAAAACAGTGCCTGGCACATAGTAGGCGTTCTCCACATGCTTGTTGGATCCACAGATGAGTGACTTCCCGTGGCTCCTGACTTGGTATCCTCCTCATAGGAAGCTCTGGCCAGATGTTTGTTGAGTGACTGTTTTAGTCCCTTCAGGCTGCTATAACAAAATACCAGAAACTGGGGTTTTTAAACAACAGAAATTCGGGCTGGGCGTGGTGGCTCATACCTGTAATCCCAAGACTTTGGGAGGCCGAGGGGGGTGGATAACTTGAGGTCAGGAGTTCGAGACCAGCCTGGCCAACATGGTGAAACCCTGTCTCTACTAAAAATACAAAAATTACCCGGCCATGGTGGCACATGCGTGTAGTCCCAGCTACTTGAGAGGCTGAGGCAGGAGAATCGCTTGAACCTGGGAGGTGGAGGTTGCAGTGGGATGAGATTGTGCCACTGTACTCCAGCCTGGGTGACAGAATGAGACTCTATCTCAAAAAAATAAATAAATAAAATAAGGCCGGCACGGTGGCTCACACCTGTAATCTCAGCACTTTGGGAGGCCAAGGCAGGCAGATCATGAGGTCAGGAGATTGAGACCATCCTGGCTAACACAGTGAAACCCTGTCTGTACTAAAAATATAAAAAAATTAGCTGGGCGTGGTGAGACATGCCTGTAGTCCCAGTTACTCGGGAGGCTGAGGCAGGAGAATCGCTTGTAACCCAGCAGGCGGAGGTTGCAGTGAGCTGAGATCATGCCACTGCACTCCAGCCTGGGCGACAGAGTGAGACTCCATCTCAAAAAAATAAAATAAATTAATAAAATAAAATAAGTAAACAACAGAAATGTATTTTGTACAGTTCTGGAGGCTGTGGACTCCAAGATGAAAGGTGCTAGTAGACTCGGTGCTGGCGAGGGCCTGCTTTCTGCTTCATAGATGGTGCCGTCTTGCTGTGTCCTCCCGTGGTGGAAGAGGCGAGCCAGCTCTCTGGGGCCTCTTTTATAAGGGCCTAATCTCATTCATGAGGTCCTTTTCCCCCTGACTTCTTCATCTCTCAAAGGCCCTACCTCCTAATACCATTACCTTGGGGGTTAGGATATAACATGAATTTTGGAGGGACACCAACATTTAGACTATAGGAGTGGGTGAATGATAGAATTCACTCGAGTGAATGATTGAACCCTGGGAAGGTGGATGATGGATGGATGGATGGATGGATGGATGGATGGATGGACGGACTGCCAGTTCCAAGCCCTCCTTCCATTCTGGTCGTATTTCAGGAAGTTCCTGTCTTTGAGAAACTTAACAGGTCTTTCCTCATTTTCTAGCCAAGAAGAATGGGTTTCTGTTACCTCCTGTTGGTCTCCCATGTCTCCTTTTAGCTGAAAAGTAGCTTTGTGGGGTCAGCAAGGCTATTAGCCTGTTTTCCAGATGAGAAAGCTGTGGCTGGAAGAGAAGTGACTTGTTCAAGTTACCCCAGCACCAGCCAAACACTCCTGCTCCTGACCCCTACCTGGGGCTCCTCTCTGTCCCCTGGATGCCCCTCAGTGTTGTGTTCCCCTTTGCGCTGTTGAAAACAGTTGCATCTGGGAGGTGACGTGTAGGGGACACTGACTTCTCACTGTCTATCAGGGTCACCGGGAGCAAGAAGTCCACCAAGAGGACCAAATCCATCAACGGCTCCCTCTACATCTTCAGGGGTCGAATCAACACTGAAGTCATGGAGGTGGAGAATGTGGAAGATGGGACAGGTAGCCCCTCCCCCAGCCTTGCCTGAGCCCTGCCTGAGCCCTGCCTGCTCCCTGGCACTCTCTCTGTTTCATTTAAATATATTTTTTTCTTTTATCATGAGATGTAATCTACCTACAGAAAAGTGCCCAGAGCATAGATGCATGAAGCGAACATCTGGGTGGTTAGCATTCAAGTTAAGAAATAAAACACTGCACCCCAAATCCTTCCTCCTTGCAATGCCTTCTTCCCCCTAGAAGTAACCACTGTCTGAATTTTGTGATGATCATTTTCTTGCTTTTTAAAGACATTTTTACCTCCTAAGCATTTATGACTAAACATTTTAATTAAAATTTCTATTTTTGAGCCTTATGTAAGTGGTTACATGATTACATATGTTTAAGTGGCTTTACATATATGTAATTATATATGTGCATGTATATACAGCCCACCTGGTCATATAATGGTCATGACCATTTTACTTAAATGGTCATAAAATATGGTCGGCTGGGTGTGGTGGCTCATGCCTGTAATCCTAGCACTTTGAGAGGTTGAGATGGGCAGACCGCTTGAGCCCAGGAATTTGAGACCAGCCTGGGCAACATGGAGAAAACCTGTCTCTACAAAAAATACAAAAACTAGCTGGACATGGTGGCGTGCAACTGTGGTCCCAGCTACTGTGGAGGCTGAGGTGGGAGGATCATCTTAGCCCAGGAGTTCGATGCTGCAGTGAGCCATGATTTCACCAGTGCACTCCAGCCTGGGTGACAGAGCGACACCTAGTCTCCCCGCCCAGAAAATATGGTCTACATTTTTTTTTAAACAAACTGCTTTCACTCAACACCACGTTAGTGGGGTTCATCCATGTCTCTGCATGTAGCTGTTTGCAGCCTGTTGGTTTCCATTGCTGCAGAGTGTTCCGTCACGTGAACATTTCACACTTCATCCATTCTTTGGGTGATGGATGTTTGGCCTGTTGCCACCACTCACAGTCATGCAGTCACTGATGGCTCATGTGAGCATCTCCTAGTATGTGTGCTTTTGAGCTTGTCCAGAGCAGGGGTTCTTGCTTGGTTTTGAGCCACAGTCCCCTTTGGCAGTCTCATGAAGCCCGTGGAGCCCTCCTCAGATTCAGGCTTTCGCTTCCCTAGATCATGCCAATCTGTTTGAGAGGTTTTCCAGGTCCCATCCCAGCCAGCACTGGGTAAGGGTCCCACGTTTGACTTGGCTTGTCAGGCTGGCACTAAGGTTTTAAGTAACTCCAGTGCCCGAGTGAGATGGGAGGAGCCCAGGAAGCATTTTGGGGCTCCAAGCAAGTGTCTCCCCATGAGTCACTGCTGTGTTTGTGCCTAGATGCAAGGTCTTAAAATGAAGCCCCCTGTCATTGAGTGGTTGAGAGGGGTCTTTGTTTGCAGAAGGTCTTCCTTGCCCACTGGAAAAGGATAAGAAGTGAGCGTTTGAAGGGCTGGAAGTCCAGCTCCCCATCCTGATCCAGGCGAGGGCCCTGCCTGTGCTGGGGCGGAAGGGCTTGGCAATGGGGAGTGTTGAAGGTCACGCGGCTGAGTCTCTGCTGCACCTTTGCCTCCTGCCCCCACCAGCGGATTACCATAGCAACGGCTATACCGTCACCAACGGCTGGAAGATCCACAACACGGCCAAGAATAAGTGGTTTGTCTGCATGGCCAAGACGGCAGAGGAGAAGCAGAAGTGGCTGGATGCCATCATCCGCGAGCGGGAGCAGCGCGAGAGTGAGCAGCAGCTTTGGGGTGCTCGCCTGGGATCCCTGAGCTATGCGTGGCTTCTTCTGAGTGGGGGCTGTGTCTAGGGAAGGGGCATAGGGTCCTTTTCAGGAGGATCAGAGCTGTAAGAAGCAGGTATTTGAAGGGACAGGGAGCTCTGGGACTATTCCAACTTGGTGGTACCTCAGAGATTGCCCACTAGACAAATGGGGAAACTGAGGCCCAAAAGAAGGGTCTTGCCCGAAGGTCTTCACCCTTAAGCATTAGGACTCAAGATGCTCCCCTTTCCTGCGCATAGCCCTGTGCCCTCCGCCTGAGGTTTTATTTGATATTCACTGAATCTAATTCTGGGAGGAGGGTCCATTGGAGCTGCCCATTAACCTCAGTCAGGAGTCCCTCTGGGCACAGGCACCCCCGAAGCAGTTCACATGAGGAAGTGCAGGGGCTGGATATAATTGGAGGGTGGGCTTGGGGGTGGGCGTGCAACAACTGTGTGGAGGCACCGGGCTGTTTTGTGCAGAGACCACCAGGCTGGGAAAAGGAGGCTTTGGTGTGTTTTGGGGCAAGTTACTCCAGCTTTCCAGACCTCAGTGATCTCATCTGATAAATGGGGATCCAAGTTCCTGCTGTAGAGGGTTGCAATGCTACAGGAGGTCTTGGATTTGAGCACATTTCAAAATCTGACATATAACCCTAAAAACCCTCCCCACCTCCCAGTTTTACTGAGGAGGAAACTGGGCCTCAGTTTTCTCCAAATGTGTATCCTGCTTACTTGAAATTGCCACTTGGAGGTGTCGTAGATGCTCACACTTGCTGTGTCTAAATCATAGCTCTTCATTTCCCCCGGCCTTCTGCCCCAAACCTGCTCTTCCCCTCGACTGCTACATACCAGTCAGTGGCTCCTCCCTTCGCCCCACAGCTCAGAGTCAAACTCTTCGTATCACCCCTGGTCTCCCCTGCAACACCTGCTCCCCAAATTCAATAGATCAACAAGTCCCTGTAACTCTGCCTTTCACATATATGTCACACCCATCCGCTTCTCCTCTCTTCTCCCTACTTCCACCCAAGACAAGCCACCATCCTCTCTCAGGAATATGGGCCCAGCGGGGCCAAATCCATGGATTATTTGTCTAGAGGAACTAGACATCTGGATTTTTAGGTGGCATTTTCTGATCCTAAACGTTGCACCAACATTTATTAAAATGATATTAGGCCCGATAAACCACTGAACTGGGGGCCTGGTTAGGCAGTGTTGTGACTTCTGAAATTGATCGGGGCTGAGTATGTGGTCAGGACTGGGATGGGGTTCAGGGATGTGGCCTAGGTGAGGCCGATCAGTATCTTTGTGGTCTTTGTTGGGCACATGGGATCACGGGTGGGGATGTGGCCCAAGTGGGTCTTAGTTGTTAGAATTGGGTGTTGTCCACATCCTGACCTCAGGGCTGGGGTGGTCACGAGCACGAATATGGAACCAACTTCCTGGGTCTAAATTCTGGTTTCACCACTTCCAATTGGGCAACCTTGGGCAGAGAACCGAACTTCTCTGGACCTCAGTTTCTTTATCTGTAAAACGGGGATAATTATGGCACCTTATTATTGCGGGTTTCTCATGTGGCGTACTGGCATGTAGTAGGTGCTATAAAAGCATTTGCTGTTGTCAAAATTAGATGGGGGTCAAAACAGAAAAATGTGGGCAGAGATTAGGGTCAGGTCCTATGAGTGTTGGCTGGAAGAACGACCAGACTTTTATCACTGGGCTGGAATGGAGATACTGACAAGTTTTCTGATAACCTGTGAATCTAGAAACCCACCCTCAGGTTGGGGAGGCAGCATAGGAAAGTGATGAAGAACATAGCACTAGAGCTTGATTCCTGGGTTGAAGGCATGACCCCCTGTCATCCCAGGACTTAACCTCTCTGGGTCTCAACTTTGCCATCTGTAAAATGGTTGTTTTGAGGTGTCATTGGCAGGTGCCTAGGGCAGCGACAGTCAGTGCCCTCTAGCTGCTGCTGGCGTGGTGGTGGTGGAGGGCAGGTGGTGGGGCAGGTGGCAGGCCAGCTTTCAGGAGCTGTGGGCCTGCCCCTTGTCTCCCCCTACCCCCCCTGCCCTGGGCCTGGTGCTCTCTCCAGTGCTGACCGTGCCCCTGTGTAGGCCTGAAGCTGGGCATGGAGCGTGATGCCTACGTCATGATTGCGGAGAAGGGGGAGAAGCTGTACCACATGATGATGAACAAGAAGGTGAACCTCATCAAGGACCGCCGGAGAAAGCTGAGCACTGTCCCCAAGTGCTTTCTTGGCAAGTGAGTAGCCTCACTCTGAACTCCCTGGGTCCCTGGGCTCTCAGCTGGAGGTGGGGCAGATCATCCCCATCCACCCATGCAGCCTGGCCCTGCCCAGGAGCCATCCTGGGCAGAGTGACAAAAGGACCTGAATCCTTATGGAGCAGCCCTCAGAGATCAAGAAGGCTAGTGGGGTCCCTAAATCAGGTCTTTCAACCTACTACCAGACATAATTTTCCATTGTGACCTGGTACACCCATTCATGTAATATATGATTGAAGCTGAGGTTTCACAGAGCTTACTGTGCTTGATCCCACTCTGAAAATATCTGTTTCTGTTCTCTTCTGTTCTTTCTATTCTATTCAAGTTGCTTCTTCATTCATTTCAAAATTAATGCTGGCAAGACCCATGACATTGTTTCACAAAGCACTAACGGTTTGAAAAATGCTGCTGTAGCACTTGGGAAAAGAGAAGCCACTCTAGGCATTTCAAGCAGAGAGGTATTGAACACAGGTAATTGATTACAAAGGTGTTTTAAGGGCTGGAAGAATAAAGGTAGGCCCCCCACCCCCACCCCATTTTTTTTTTGGCTGGGGCTGCCATAACAAAGTGCACAAAACTGGTGTGGCTTAAACAACAGAAATGTATTGCTTCACAGTTCTGGAGGCTGGCAGTCCTAGGTCAGGGTGTTGGCAGGGAGAGTATCTGGTGAGGCGTCTCTTCCTGAGTTACATGTGAGGGGCGAGGGAAGCTTCTATAAACTTCTCAGTGCCCAGAGCCTCCACTTTCTCTGTTTGGGAAATACAGCCCCATTTTATAACTGGAGTTCAAAGGGGTCAGAACACAGGTGTGACAGGCTGGCTCTTACACGCAGGTCACCTGAGGGAGAGGGCTGGGGCACGGGAGAGGTAGAAGAAATCCAGTCCTTGTAAAATGGTCAGGCTGTTTTAAGGCCCTACAATGTGCTAGACACTCCGGAGAGGACAGTGCCAAGGGCTTGCAACCTCATGAAGCTTGTGGTGCAGCTGGGGAGAGAGGTTTGCCGGCAATGCGGGAACTTTATTTAGAATGTAAGGACTTAAACTCCCCCCAACTTCCCTAAAGCCTTTGCAGAGGCCTAGGGTAAAAGCTGCCACTTTATCACAGTGCTGTGGACCAGGTGAGAGGTTGTGTGGGCCAGGCTTGAGCCAGGATGGTCATTGTGGAGACAGGGAGCAGTGGCTGTGTTCTGGATAACTTGAAAGGCAACAGCATTTGCTGATGGGGTGGAAAAGTAAAGGGAGTTCAGGACTTTAAGGCGCTGGAAAGCTGCAGTTGCTCCTTTGAGAAGGAGAAGAAGATGGCGGGAGGAGCAGGCTGCAGGGGGCCGTGGGAAGCCCACGAGTGCAGTTGTGGACGGGTTATGTCAGGCTGGTAGACACCCACATGGAGATGTGGGCTTGTTGGTTGGTTGCAAAATCTTGACTTGGGGAGAAAGGTCTGCATTGGGGACCTACACATGGGAGATGGTGTTAAATGGTCTTTAAAGCCATGAGACGGCCTGAACTGTGCAGGGGAACCTGAAGGGATAGAAGAGGCAGGCCTGGGCCCTGGGGCCCGATGATGGCATTGGAAGGAGGAGGGGGCAGAGACCTCTGAGTGGAGCTGCTGGCGAGAAGGTGGCACTCCTCCGGAAGCCAAGGGGAGGAAGAGGCGGGGAGGCAGGAGCAGGTCCCTGGGAAGGAGCAGGAGCCCGGTGGAGGCTGAAATGCTGATAGACATTCAGGGTGCAGTATGGATGTTGGGCAGGCCACGGAGGCTTAGTGTGGACTTGGGGACAGCTGGCACTCATGGCCTGAGGCTTGTGGTGGAGGGGCAGCAAGTAGAAGGGTTCAAACCTGCAGGGCGCCATGGACTCTATTGCCCTGTTGCCCTCAAGGGCCTTGGTGCCCTATTTTCCTCAAAGATCAGGAACTCCAGCTCTGAGCTTCCATGGAGAGGAGAGTTTGGGCCTTGGAGTCCTGCTGGCTGGGGCAGGCGGGGCGGGGCAGCCTGGCTGGCCTTTTCAGCCAACTCCTAATCCCACAGGAAAGGAGGTTTTTCTCTCAGGAGGGGCCTGCTTCCGGGCCCCCTGGGGCCAGAGAACCTTCCCATCTCCTGCCAAACTGCTCAGTCCGGACCGATGAGGCAGCCTGTCTGTGATCAGAACTTCGAGGAGTTCTGCCTCCTCAGGAAGGATTAGAGAGATTTCTTTTACTGCCCATTTGAAATGGGGCCAAGATAGCAGCTTGTTTTGTAACTGCAGGTCCGAAAGGGCCAGCCTTTCTGCAGGAGATTATTCTGATAAACTCTTCTCCCTGCACGGCTTTGCTCTGCACACAGCCGTAGGGTGTGTGATCCTGCTACCCCCGCCAGGGTCCCGCTACTGAATCTTCTTGTCCAAGATGCGTCCCTGGTCCTCCAGGGTAGAAGGACTTGGTAGCCTCCGAGATATTGATCAAGCCCTTTGCTGCATGTGCTGGCATTCAGCCATGTCTTTTAATCCCCACACAACACCGTGAAACAGTCACTGCCACTACCCCCATTTTAAAAGTGAGGAAACCGAGGCACAGAGAGGGGAAGGGTTCTGTACAAGATCACAAAGCGACACTGGTGCTGTCTCCCACTGTACTTTGCCTGTCTATTCATTTTTATTTCTACTCAGCACATTTTATTTTTCCCTAGCAGTTCCTCTCTCTACATCTGTCTCCACTGTTAGGGAACTGCATGAATATAAAAAGTGTCTGATTTATCTTTTGGTTTTTAGAGACAGGGTCTCGCTCTGTTGCCCAGGCTGGAGTACAGTGGTGTGATCATAACTCACTGTAGCCTCAAACTCCTGGGCTCAAGCGATCTTCCTGCCTCCTGAGTAGCTGAGACTACAGGTGTGTGCCACTGTGCTAGGCTTCTATAGCTAATTTTTATTTTTTTTTGTACAGATGGGGGTCTTGCAAATGCTCTCGCCTTGGCTTCCCAAGGTGCTGGGATTACAGGCGTGAGCCACTGCACCTGGCCTGATTTGTCTTTATCACCCCCAAGGGTTGGCTTTGAGTTAGACTTGGACTCAAGTCTTGGTTCCCTCACTTTCTAGCTGTGTGACATTGGGGAAGTTTCTTAACCTCTCTGAACCTCAGTGAACGATCAGTTAAAGGGAGATAATAAAATGTGCCTCTGAGGACTGTCGGAGGATACAGTGAGAGAACACGTGACGTGTGCAGCACAGTGCTGGTGAGACTCGTGGGAATCGTACTGGCTGTGCATGATGAGTGTATGAAGGAGGGGCCTCTTTCTGCCCTACTCAGAGAAAAATCTCTTAGATGCCACATTTAAAAAGCAAAGAATAAAATCTGTGTGTATTAATGTGGAGGGTGTCCTGGGAGGAGCATGGCCTGTGCCCTCTGGCATCGTCAGATTAGTAGGGGAGACAAAACAGATTCACTCATTCATTCACCCACTCAGTGTTACCGAGTCCCTGCTATGTGCCAGTCGGGAATAGGACAGATGAAGTCCCTGCCCTCATAGAGGTAAGCATCCAGTGGGGGAAATCAGACAACAGAAGAGGAGACAGATAGAAAGAAGGGAATTTCAGCAACTTGATGAATGCGCTAAGGAAATACTTAGCGTGAAGTCAGGACAAGAGGAAATGGGGCTGGTTCAGAAGAGTGGGCAGTCAGGACCTCTCAGGGGAAGTGACATTTAACCACGATCTGAAAGACAAGCAAGAGCCAGCCATGAGAGGGTGTGGGGAACAGCATTCCTGGCTTAGGAAGCAGTAGGCGCGAAAGCCCTGAGGCTGCAGTGAGCTTTGAGTGATGGTGGAACAGGAGGAGGCCATTGTGGCTGGAGCCTGAGTGGTCAGAGGGGCAGGAGATGTGGCCTCAGCAGTTAAAGTGGGTCACCTCAGGCAGGGCCTTGGCAGGCAGCTCACATTTCCGTCTTGGTGCTGTGGGAAGCCACTGGAGGAGTCTCGGTAGTGGAGTGAGATGAGGATCCAGATCGAGGGCATTGGTGGAGCTGTCGGAGCTCAGGGTTACCAGGTATGACGCGGCGTGTCTGGCAGGGGCCGTCAGGAAAAGCTTCCTGGACGAAGGCCTTGGGTTTCACCCTTGGCAGAGATTAGATGCTGTTCAGTTATGGACGTCTGCCAGAGGGAAAGCTCCAAGGTGGAAGGGGCCTTGGTGTCTTGGCCACCTGTACGCACAGGTGCAGGGTGTTAGTGTGCACGAGAGGGTCGGTAAGGATTTGTCCAACATTGTCATCTCCAGGAGGCATCCCTGAGCCGTGGAGTCACAGGGATGGGTATTCCACTGGGTACCCCCCAGTCCCTACCCTCTTGGAGCCCACGGCCCATGGAGGAATCAGGCAAGAACAAGGGATTCTTGTGTTGGGTCATAAGTGGTACCTTGGGCCTGAGCTCAGGCGGCTTTCTTAGGAAGACTGCAGAATGTATTCCTTGTGCCTCACCCTGGCCGTGGCCCATTGTAGGCTAAATAGATGTTTAGTGGGTGAATGATTCTAGGAGGCGGGAAGGAAGGAGGGATGAAAGCTGACACATCCTAACTCTCAGCTCACCATGCCATCCCTGACTCTCAGACTGCCCATCAAGCTAGATTGCCTTCTCCTTGTATCTCCAGCTCTCCTCACACTGTCCTGAGCTGTGTCTTTCTGGGAGCTTGGACCTAGCTGCCCTTTGCATGCCAGCGCCCCTCCCCACTGGCAGATCGCTGGTTTCCTGACCTTACCTCTCAGGGCTTCTGTGTGCGCTGATCCCCTTGCCCAGAACACTCTCCCCTGTACCCCAGAGGTGGCTAGCAGTGCCCCACTGACCTGATAGAGTTAGCAGACATGTTTTCCTCGGCCCACGTAGTGCTTTCAGAAAATGTTGGACTCGATATGAACATTTAATGATGGGGAGATTTCACAGGAAATGCTGGATTTCCTCACTCTCCCGAGAAGCTGTTAGATGCGTTCGTCTTCTAACATAATGGGCCATGATGGGCTACACTGAAGAGTGGCTGCCAGCTTTAGACACGGCAGGCCCCGGCTGGTTCTGCACAGTCTCCTCCTGGCCTGTTTTGCCTATTTACAAGTTTGAGACCCCTGCACTAGAGATGAATTTTATTGGGTTTTTGCATACTGCATCCCAGCTCAGGATTTCATATGACTAGAAATTTTGCCTGCTAAATCCAGAAGGTGACTGAGTGAGCCACTTCCCAGGTGGGCCCTGATGAGGCCCAGAGAGGCACAGGGACCCGCCCAGCTTTGCCCAGCAAGCTGTGAACCCTCCTTGATCCACCAGAAGATGGCAAGACCCAGTTTGGGCAGAAACGTAGGGCAGAGTTGCTGTCCTCTGGGCCGTCTTCTTCTGCCCCAGCAGCTGCTGTGGGATACTTCCTGTCCCCTAACCCTGGCCAGAGAGTTGCTGATCAGTGCCAGAGGCGGCCCCCAATTAGACAGCTGGTGGGCTTCCGAGAGTGGGCACTCAAACATCTGTTCCCCTCCTTCAGCTGCTGGCAGCATTCTCCCTGTCCCTGAGTTCCAAGACTTTGAGAATGGAACTGGGGGTGGACAGGACCCAGAACAATCCCTTCCCCACCTGGGGCGCCTGTCCCACAAAGCAGATGCATTTCTTCTGCAGCCCACTCTGCCTCCAGCCAGGGCATTCTGAATGCTCCAGCACGCACCGCTACCTACACACCAGGCAGGTCTTTGCTCTGCCAAACACTAGGAAGCTAAAAATAGCCCTGCCCCCCTCTGGCCCTGTAATTGGAGGCGGGACAGCTGGTTTCGATAAGCAGGGTGCTCAGGCTCTGGCCAGCTGCCACCTGCTTTCATTGAACACAGATTGCCTCGGCGGAAACAGCCCCATTCCAGGCTCTCCCTTTTCCTGCTGAGTTTGAGTGGGTTGAGCTCTGGGCTGAGCCTGAGAAGCACCCGCAAGAACTAGGACCTGGGGCCCCGGCTGAGCCTCTCACCACCGGGCAGTCACGTGGGAGCTGGGAAAGCTGCCTGTCTTCCTCTGGCCTGGGAGCACTTCTGTCTCCCCGAGACCTTCCTGCCGACCTCAGAACATTCCTTTCTGTCGGATGGTTCATTACTTCATTTGTTCCATAAATGATCATTGAGCCCTGCTCTGCATCAGGCCCTCTGGTAGGTGCTGGGATAGTGCCATGAATAAGACAGAGAAAACACCCTGTTCATGTCATTACATTCTGGTTGGGGGAGATGGCCAATAAATACGTAAAATAAATCTGTAAACAAGACCACTTCAGACAGTGAAAAGTGCAAAAAAGGAAGCAACACAGAGATGTGATGGATTGGATAGGGGTCGGGGACCATTTTAAATGAGGTAGTCAGGGAAGGCTTCTCTGAGGAGGTGATGTTTGTGCTGAGACCTGAAGGATGAGAAGGCACAGTTGCATGAAGAGCTGAGGAAGGGCATTCCAGGCAGAAGGAACAGCAAGTGCAGCAGCCCCGAGGCAGGGAGGAGTCTGGTATTTTTTAATAAGGGAAAGGTGGTAGGTGTGGCTTAGGCATAACTAATGAGAGGTATTGGGGGTGAGATCAGTCAGGGTGGGAGTGGGTCATGCTGGGCCTTGTTTATGTCCGTGTGGGAAGAGTTGGGATTTTTTTTGTGAGTAGTAAGCCTGTGGGAGGGTTTTGAATATGGAAATGACATGGTTTCATCACTGTTAGCTCGCCTGACTCCCCGCCATCATCTTTCTGGCCCCCTATTATTTCTTCCTGCATGTTTGTCCATTCCTTCTGTTCATCTGTCCAGCCACCACTCCATCTAGCCATCTGTGATCCATCCCTGACCCATCCACCCATCTACTCACTCTCTTCTTCATCCACCCCATATTAAGTCATCTGTCTGTTCATTCATCCACTTACCCACTTACCTACCTGCCCATGTGCTGCTGGCTGTCTGTCTGGCCGGACATCCATCCGTCCGTCCATCCATCCATCCATCCATCCATCTATGTAGTCACTCATCCACCAACCTGCCTGCCCAGCTTCCTTCCCTCCTTCCCTCTCTCCCTCCCTCCCTCTCTCCCTTCCTTCCTTCCTTCCATCCATCCATGCATCCATCCAGTGAGCCTGAGGCAGACCTGGAATCTGGTCACACTCTCCTCTCTGCTATTGGTAATAAGCATGAAGCCTCAGTACAACCCCAAGGGCTATAGACTACTACACTCGGCTTCCCTGTGGGAAGTTCTAGCTGTCATTCCCAGGGGTGGATGTGGCCAGGCCAGCTTAGTGCTGATTCCTGTGGTCCCAGAATTGGGGAAATCCTCTCAACCACATATTGTGTTCCTGGCAGTGAGTTCGTTGCCTGGCTCCTAGAAATTGGTGAAATCAGCAAGACGGAAGAAGGAGTCAACTTGGGCCAAGCCCTGTTGGAGAATGGCATCATCCACCATGGTGAGTGGAGGGCTGGGCCCAGCTGGGCCAAGGGGTGGGAACAGGTCAGACCCCAACTGTGCCATGCTTCCACTAGCTCAGGCAGCTCCTATCCTTTCGTGCAGCCGCCGTGTTTTCTGGGCACAGTGTGGCCCGCAGGAACATGGATGCCCTTGTAAAACTGCCTCTTAGGCACCAGCAAATCAGGGATACCTCAAAAACCTGGGGGCAGGGGAGTAGAATCTTTTATCTGTCCCTTCAAGAAATGTCAAGAACCATTTGGTTAAGTTTTAGTTATTCAGCAAATATTTATTGAGTGCCTATAATGTGGCAGGCACTGTTCACACCACAATGAACGGGAGGAGGACGTGCCTGTCGTCATGGAGCCGACCTTGTAGTTGGAGGGGACGATAAGATCTTTACTTGCTTATCTTTACAAAGCAAGATAGTAAAACATGATAGGTGCTAGGGAAGGAGGGTAAAGAGTGTGGTGTTGGCGTTCACTTTTGAATAGGGGAGATGGGGAAGGCCTCACCGAGAAGGTAACATTGGAACCAGGACCTGAGCCACCAGTGAGGGAGGGACCCAGGTGGGCATGATGGTTCCAGGCAGAGGGAACAGCCAGTGCAAAGTCCTCAGGCAGAGTCTAAGTGGGTTGTGCAGGGAATAGCAGGGAGGGAGTGTGGCTGCCTCAGAGTGAGGAGGGGGCGTGGTAGGAGACGAGGTCAGAGGGCACAGGGCTGATGGGAGAGTCCAGGAGGTGAGATGAGATCCTATAGAGAATTGTAGGGTCTTTGGCTTTTACTCTGAGTGAGCTATGAAGCTGTTGCTGAGCTCTGCGTAGAGGAAAGACCTGCTTGGACGAACACGCTGGCAGAATCCCTCTGGCTGCCCTGTGGAGACTGTTGGGACCAAGGGTGACAGCAGGGAGCCCAGCAAAGAGGCTGCTGTGATAGTCCAGGTGGGAGGCGAAGGTGGTTCGGGCCAGTGTAGGAGTGAGGTGATTGGTATCTTGAAGGTTAGGGCCTTATAGGCATTGCTAATGGATCTGAAGCATCAAGCATGACTTTGTGGGATAGAGATGGCTCCGTAAATCTCAGCAATGTGGTCTCAGGCCCCAGCATGCTTGTCCCCACCCATCCATTGGTGATCTAGATCTAAGGACATGCTGAGCCAGAGGGGTCCCAGTGCAGGCTGGATCAGGGGCATTTCTGGGTCCCTCACCCCTGTAGATGCCCCACCCCAAGCTGCGAGTCTCAGCAGGGTCCTGCACGTAGCAGGAGGATGGGGTATCCTCATGTGCAAAATGGGGAAGTCATAGCACCCACCTCGTGGGGTTTCAGTGAAAAAAAAGCCTGGCCAGCAGTGAAGCCTGATGCTGGTGGGTGTGACTGGGAGGGGCAGAGGGGGCGTGGCTGGCAGTGAAGGCCAATGCTGGGGGGCGTGGCTGGGAGGGGCTGAGGGGGCGTGCCCAGCGTCACAGGTCCTCCTGTCTCTCCAGTTTCCGACAAGCACCAGTTCAAGAATGAGCAGGTGATGTATCGCTTCCGCTACGACGATGGCACCTACAAGGCCCGAAGTGAGCTGGAGGACATCATGTCCAAGGTAGGGGCCCTCCGCCCCTGTGACTCTGACTCAGCTGGCCTCGTTCACCTCCACCCTGGGTTCGCCTCAGAGCAGGCCTGTGCCCCTTGGCTTGTTTGCCTTCTCCACTGCCCACAACTCACCCCTGCCCCCATTACCCTGCCCTGCCCCGTCCTGGAAGCCATCTCTCCCATCAGCCTGGATTTGGAGGCTCGTGAAGGATGTGGCCTGATCCCAGAATTCCTCCCCTTTTTTCTTTCAGGGTGTGAGGCTTTACTGCCGTCTTCACAGCCTCTACACCCCGGTGATCAAGTAAGTTACTCTTTCCAAGCTCCAATTTCACCTCTACCTCTTCTCAGCTGTGTGGCCTTGGGCTGGCAACTTAACCTCTCTGAGCTCCAGTCTCCTTCTCCATTAAATGGGGCTTGCAGTGGCACCTATCCTTTAGATTTGTCATTAGGATTAACTGAATTAAATTGTGGGAAGCACTGCAGTGTAGTGATGCAGGTGTCAGTTCTGGAGCCAGACAGACTGAGCTTGAACCTCCCTCCTAGTTAGCAGCTGTGTGACCTTGGGCAGAGTTACTTAACCTCTCTGTGCCTCAACCGTTTCCTCTGTGAAATGGGGATAATAATGGGCTCCACCTTAGGGCCTTTGTGCCTGCTGTTCCCTTTGCTTAGGATGCCTTTCCTCTGCATACCTTCATATTCGTTCCCTCACTTCCTTCAAACGCCTCCATATCACAGGGGTCTTCCCTGCCTACCTGCATAAAGTGTCACCAACCTGGTACTTTCTGTCCTCTGTATTAGTCTGTTTTCATGCTCCTGATAAAGACATAGCCAAGACTGGGTAATTTATAAAGAAAAGGAGGTTTAATGGATTCACAGTCCCACATGGCTGGGGAGGCCTCTCAATCGTGGAGGTATGTGAAAGGCACGTCTTACCTGGCAGGCAAAAGGAAAATGACAGCCAAGTGAAAGGAGTTTCCTCTTATGAAACCATCAGATCTTGTGAGACTTATTCACTACCACAAGAACAGTATGGGGGAACTGCCCCACGATTCAGTAGTTTCCCACTGGGTCCCTCCCACAGTATGTGGGAATTATGAGAGCTGCCATTCAAGATGAGATTTGGGTGGGGACACAACCCAACGATATCAGCTCCCTTTGTTCATTTTAATTTTCTTCTTCTTTTTTTTTTTTGAGACAGGGTCTTGCTCCGTTACCCAGGCTGGATTGCAGTGGTGCAATCACAGCTCACTGCAGTCTCAACCTCCAGGCTCAGGCAGTCCTCCCACCTGAGCCTCCTAGGTAGCTGGGACTACAGGCGTGCACCACCATGCCTAGCTAATTTTTTTTTTTTGAGACAGAGCCTCGTTCTGTCCCCCAAGTTGGAGTGCAGTGGCGCAATCTTGGCTTACTGCAACCTCCGCCGGGTTCAAGTGATTCTCATGCCTCAGTTGCCTGAGTGGCTGGCATTACAGGTGCCTACCACCAGGCCCGGCTAATTTTTGTATTTTTAGTAGAAGTGGGGTTTCACCATGTTGGCCAGGCTGGGCTCGAACTCCTGACTTCAAGTGATCTGCCTGCCTTGGCCTCCCAAAGTGCTGGAATTACAGGCGTGAACCACTGCACCTGGCCTTTTTTTATATGTTTGGTTTTTTCTTTTTCTTTTTTTTCTTTTTTTGAGACGGAGTCTCGGTCTGTTGCCCAGGCTGGAGTGCATTGGCATGATCTCGGCTCACTGCAACCTCTGCCTCCTGGATTCAAGCGATTCTCCTGCATCAGCCTCCCGAGTAGCTGGGATTACAGGCATGCACCACCATGCCTGGGTAATTTCTATATTGTTAGTAGAGATGGGGTTTCACCATGTTGGCCAGGCTGGTCTCAAAACTCCTGATCTCAAGTGATCTGCCTGCCTCAGCCTCCCAGAGTGCTGGGATTACAGGTGTGAGCCACCGTGCCTGGCCTTATTGATTGAAATTTAAATTAAAATGGCTACCTATTGGAGAGCAGAGGCCTAGGGACTCAGTAAAAGCTTGTCAGTGAATGTTGAAAGATGATTAACTTCTTTTGCTTCTGTTTCTGCATCTGTTAAGTGGACATAAGAATAGCTCTCACCTCTTGGGTTGCCATGAGGATTAAATTCACGGAAGGTGCTTTGAATGGCTCCTGGCATTGTATAATGAACGCCAGAGATTGGTTATTCTTTTTACCACAAAGCTCACAGTTGTGGATGAAGGGAGAGAGGGTGACCTGATTCTTATCCCAGCTGCAGATTTTTCTGTCCTCTGACCTGATAGCTCTTATCACCTCTCGGAAGAGTGGAGAGGAAGGACCATTTCCTAGCATTTGCTGGCCCCGTGGGATGTCAGGCCCTGGGAACCACTTTCATCTGCCATCCTGCCTCCGCCCTCCTGGGCTCCTCTGCTGCTGCTCTTGTGCAAGCCCCAGAAGGCAGGTGGGGCTCCTTGGCCAGCCTCAAAGAAGGAAGCGGCTGGGGAAGGTAGCAGACCCCCACCAACTGCACGTGGAGCCTGTCAGACCCCCCCAGTCCTAAAGCCTGAGAGAAATCCTCCAACTAGACTTTATCAGCCTTGGCATGGACTGGCCACAGAAGCGCGTTTTTGTCACAGCTTCAGAGGCTGAGAAGTTGTTGCAGTTCGGCTGCAAGGTTAGCGGAACCCATGGGATCCAGGCTCGGCAGGGATTCAGATGCTGTCACAGGCCAGGGCAGTTACCTCAGGAAAGAACCGTGAAACTCACAGGCCTCTGTGCTGCTCGGCCCTGATAGACCACACCAGCCCCTTGCAGGGGCTTTCCACAATGGTTTGGTTTAAATACATCAATGTCAACCACAAAACAAAAAGGAAAAAGGAAAGGAAAGAATGGAGGGTCTCCCCTGCCACTCTGTGAGAGTCAACATGGCTCCCCAGCCTCGGCGCCGGTGGCATCGTAGCCAGGATGAGTCTCTGTTGGGGGCTGCCTGGCATTGTAGGATCTTCAGCAGCATCCCCGGCCTCTACACACGGGATGCCAGCAGCACCCCTGCCCTAGCCCCTCCAGGTCTTGACAGCCAAAAATGTCTCCAGACATACCCTGAGGGCAAAATCACCCCCAGCTGAGATCTCCTGGGCTAGAGACAGAAAGTTTCCAGAGCCCTGGAGCTGCTGCCTCCTGCCTCCCACTCTGTAGGTGGAAGGAGGCCTGGTTTGGAACAGCCCTGCCCTCGGTCACACTGCAAGTGATGTGTGGAGTCTGGGCTGAGACTCGGACCCCTGCCCAATGCCTAGAGAGCCTGGAGATCCTTGACTCGTGGGCACGTCCTGCAGGGAAGTCAGGACCACCCCCACCTCTGTCCTCCCCGCCCTGCCCTGCTCACTGTGCGCTCACCTTCTCCACAGAGACCGTGATTACCACCTGAAGACCTACAAGTCAGTGCTTCCCGGGAGCAAGCTGGTGGACTGGCTGCTGGCTCAGGTGAGGGCCTCCTCAGGGGTGTGTGACCAGTGTTCTGCTTTGTCCGTCAGTGTGGGGCTTTCTGTTTTGTTTAAAGATTTTTTCTTATTGCTTTTAATTGTGGCAAACTGCACAGAACATAAAATTTACCATCTTGATCTTTTTTTTTTTTTTCTTGAGACAGAGTCTTGCTCTGGCACCCAGACTGGAGTGCAGTAGTGCAGTCTTAGCTCACTGCAACCTCCGCCTCCCAGGTTCAAGCAATTCTCCTGCCTCAGCCTCCCAAGTAGCTGGTATTACAGGCGCACGCCACCACACCCAGCTGATTTTTGTAATTTTAGTAGAGTCGGGGTTTCACTGTGTTGGCCAGGCTGGTCTCGAACTCCTGACCTTGTGATCTGCCCGCCTCGGCCTCCCAAATCACTGGGATTACAGGTGTGAGCCACCACGCCCGGCCATCTTGATAATTTTTAAGTGGATAGTTCATTAGGATTAAATTCATTGATAATGTTGTGCAACCGTCACCACTACCCAACCACAGACCTTCTAATCTTCCCAAACTGAAGTTCTGTTCCCATTCAACTCTCCACTCCCCCTCCTCCAGTCCCGATGAGCACCATTCTACTTTCTGTCTCTATGAACTTGACTACTCTAGTTACCTCATAGCAGTGGAATTGTGCAGTATTTGTCCTTTTGTGCCTGGCTCATTTTACTGAGCATCCATCCTAAAGCCTCATCCATGTTGTAGCGTATGTTGGAATCTCCTTCCTTTTTAAGGTTGAATAATATTCCATTGATTGTGTGTTAGTCTATTTGTGCTGCTATAACAAAATACCTGAGACTGGGTAATTTATAAAGAACAGAAACTTCTCACAGTTCCGGAGGTTGGGAGTTCCAGACCAAGGTGCCGGCAGGTTCGGTGTCTGTCGAAGGCTGCCGTCTGTTTCCAAGATGCTGCCTTGCTGCTGTGTCCTCTCATGGGGAAAGGGATGGGAGGGGCAGACTCCCTGCGTCACACCCATTTCTAAGGGATGCCTAATGCCCTCCTGACTCAGTCCCCTCCTGATGGCCATACCTCTCAATACTGTTGCATTGGGGATCACATTTCAACAAGAATTTTGGAAGGGACAAAAGCATTCAAACCGTAGCAGTATGTCTGTACCACATTTTGTTTATCCATTCATTCCTCAGTAGACCCAGGGGTTGCTTCCACACTAGGGCTTTCTTTCAGTTTTAAAACTGGGATGGTCTTGGGCAAACTAGGACAAGATGGTTTTATTCTGGTACCAAACTGCAGCCTCTGTTTGGAGTTGGCCAAGTTACTACTTTCAAAAAAGTTCCCAGTGGGTAGGGGTTGACCAGAAGCTTAGAAAATCTATGCATCAGTTTTGGTGCAATATCCCGAAGGTGTTTGCTCCATTCAGGTGCCACATACAGGCCTGTTGCCTGTCTCTTCTCCTTTATTGCTCAGGATTATGGATGCTTACTCTGGATAAGGCCCCAGCAGGCATTGTGTGTTATCCTTTTGAGTCCTCTAACCTACTTGCAGATGGGGAAGTGGGCCCAGAGAGGCTGAGTGCCTGGTCCAAGGGTGCACAGCTTCATAGTAGCAAAGCTGGGACTCACCCACTGTGCCTCGGTTCTGTGAATTTTTCAGCGAGTCCTCAAGAATATCTATTCATGGTTTGTAAAAAGAACACATTGGCTCCCAAAGATGAGAAGAAACCTGTGAAATAAAAATGGATAAATGTTTAAACATCTACAGAGTGCAGCTTTATGTTGGCCTCATTAATTGTTAAACATTCATAAAAACTTCATTTGAAAACAATTTGCTGCCTGGATTTTCTCATGTTGCACAAATTCCTGATACGTGCTGATAAATCACAGCCAATTTTTAAAGTGAATGTTTTTCAGCACCAAATAACTTCAAAAGAAAGTTGAGAAACATCCTTGAAAATAAGTTATCTAGCCCAAAGAGATATCAAATGTGAAATATGGGTGCATTTTAATATGTTTGCTATGATATGGGACCCTATGTCCTGGGAGGTCTTGAAATATCTGGATTTGAATTCCAATTTGCATGTCTGTGAAGGGCAGAGCTGCTAACCATTGTACCACACTCCCCAGCCCTCGTGAGAATCACATGCAGTCAGCCCAGAACTCATGCTTTTATAGCCAGACAGACGTGGGTTCAAGTCCCAGCCTTGCTACTTCCTAGGTTAGTGACCTTGGACAAGTTGCTCAGCCTGTCCGGGCCTCAGTTGTAGAATGAAGCTAAAACCAATACCTTCTCCTTTAGATTGTTTTGAGGTTTTGATGAGATAATTGTGTAAAGTGCTTAGAATGGTGCCTGACATAGAGTAATTGCTCAATAAACGTTAACTATTACTATGATTCCTCATCTCTTTCACAAAAGATTCAAGGTGGCCCAAGATTACATGCAATATAGAAGACTAAAGAAATTGTGCAAGGGTTTGGGGACCACGAGACCAGTAAGACCAGGAAACAAACAGAGGTGGGGGGGTTAGCAATCTGCACAGAGTCCCGCCTTCTGAATTTGCTACAAATAGGTGACAGGGGTGCCATGTGGGAGTTTCTTTTGTGGTTTAGGTGCTTCAGTCAGAGCCCAGAGGAGCCTGGGTTTCAAGGCTCTCAGAGCTGCCCACTTCTTACTGCTGTGGACGTTTCTGGGGCCTCATATTTCCCAAGCTCCTTCAGTGCTCAGAGCTGCCTGTTGGTGTCAAAGCATAGGGGAGGCATTGCTCCCAGGGTGAATCCCATGCCTAACTCAGGGTGGGTTGGCTCACGGAGACAACAGGACGTCGGGTCTGAGAGGTATTTGGAGATAGAAGAGACGGGTTGCACTGCTGTGGGAATGGCTGGGAATCAAGGATGAGCCCTGAGATTTGGGTGCATTAGGCCGATGGAAATACCATTTGTGGAGATGGGAAGATGGGCAAGAATGTATGGGGAAAATGACTTTCTCCTTGGGCACGCAAGATGCCATGGGGCTTTCCAGCGGATGGGCAGGGGAGAGGGTGGGCTTTACACACACACCCAGACCTCAGGCAGCCCCCACTGCAGAGTCCGCTCCTTGTCAGCTTTTGGGTAACATTTGACACAGGTTAGAAGAGAGTGTAGGGAAGTTAGACAAGCGAGCTCATTAGCTAACTTTTTTTTTTTTAATTATTTTTGAGCACCTGCCGTGTATCAGGGGCTGTTTTTGGTTCTAGAGACACAGCAGGGAACAAGACAGACAAAAGCTCCTGTTCTCCCAGATATTACGTTCTGGTGAGGATAGGAGAGACACTTAATAAATAAGAATAAGAGGAATACATCACATGCCCGCTGGTGCTAGGTGCAATGTGGTGGAGGGAACGGTGTGGGAGCGGGGGCAGGGGATCTCCCCCTCACATGGGCGGGGTGGTGCAGTTTACACAGGGGGTCAGGGACGGCCATACTGAGGAGGGACATTTGAGCAGAGGGCTGAGGGAAGTGGGGAGTGAGCCCAGGCCACATCTGGGGAGCAGCAGCTCAGAGGCTCTTAGGCAGAGCGAGCCAGGTATGTCTGGGGAGCAGAGAGGGGGCCAGGGTGGCTGAATGGAGTGAGAGGGGAGAGGAGTGGCGAGGAAGCCGCGTGGGCGCACCATGCCAGGCTGTGTCCACTCCTGGAAGGGCCCAGACCCCTGCCCGGCTCGGAGTACAGGAGCAGTGTGTGTGGCTTCAGTTCAGACAGGTCCCCTGGCTCTGTGTGGAGACTTTAGGGATGATGCTGGCAGCAGGGAGGGCAGTAGGAGGCAACGCTAGAATTCCAGCAGGGGAGGATGCTGGCTGAGAACAGGGTGGTGGGGGTGGCAGGAGAAATGGTCAGATTCTGGATGTTTTGAAGGTGGACCTAATAGGTTGCTCATGGGTGAGTAGGGCGTTGCAGGTGAGAGACAGAAAGGAGCAGAGAATGACTCCAAAGCCTTTGGCTTGAGCTGCCATTGACTGAGCTGGGATGCTATGAAAGAGGCAGGTGTGCGGGAGGCTCAGGCCTTCACCCTGGAACACTCCAGCATTTAGAGACTGGAGGAGGAGGAACCAGTAAAAGCCACTTCCAGTGTTGGTGGCTGGTGCTGGGCATGCGGGGGGCTTTCTCGTGGCCAGTGCTGGCCGAGGAGTTGTGGGCTCGGCCAGAGGCCCCTTGGAGTAGCTTGCGTCACTGTCACTCTGTCCTGAGCCCCCCAACCCCAGGCACCCGCATCTTGTTGCAAGTGGAGACGGGGAGGATGTCGAGCAAAGGCTGTAGCCGACCATGCAATGTGTCCATCCACTTCAGCAGCCTATCTGTGGCTTGGCCTGGTGTGGGGACACAGGGTGGGTAACTGGAGCTGACGCAGGAGGATGACTTCCAGGAGATGGTTGGAAAGGCAACTGGCCTTCGGCTTGGGTCAGGGAAAGGGGAGGAGGGTGTGCCCGCGTGGGTCTTTCTGTGCGGGAGAGATCTGTGACAAGGATGTGACCTCGGAGTGTGGTTACAGCCCGTCTTGATTTCAGGAGTCACCCCCACCTTGCATCTTAGCAGGAAAGTGGGAAGAACACATAATTGTGTAGGGCGGGAGGGTATTTTTTGGACACGTCTTCATTTCTAACTCTAGGTTATTTTACCCCTTAAAATAAAATGTTGATTAAATCCCTGCTGGATCAGTTACACATGCGTTTGGCTGCACATAACAGGAAACCTGACTTATTAATACGATATTCTTCTCTCACATAATTTATTGTCTGGAGTTTGTGGTCCTAGAGCTCAACAATGCCGTCTGTACCCAGGCATCTCCTGCCTTTCTGTTCTGCTATCCTGGTATCTTCTTATGAGTTGCCTCATAGTCACAGTGTGGCAGCCATGGCTCCAGACATCACATCTGCACAGAACTATGGCCAAAGGCTGTCCTGTTGGAGAACATTTTTTCTTTCTGTGTATTAGGGGAGGAAACTTCCTACAATCCTCCCTTCCCCTGCATGGTCTTTTCCTTAGGTCTCATTGGCTGGATGGGTCTGACATACACCCCTAAACCAGCCCCTGGGGAAGAGAACCGAGATTGCTGATAGTGGCTTAGAATTCCTCGGGATTCATTTCTTCTGACTTCGGGAGGTGGCTTGCTAGGCACTATTCAGACAATCAGAGTTCTTTAAACTCTGAGGATGAGGTGGGCATTGGCCGTTGGAGAGACAACTTGCACTCTCTGTCAGCTCCGGAACGGCTTGGTGCATTATCTTATTTAATCCTCAGAACAACTTGAGACAAATGCAGTTGTTCCCATTTTACTGATGAAGAAACTGAGGCTTGGGTTATGTAACTTGCCGCAGGGCACACAGCCACCAGGATCCTCTGTGTGTTTGTGTGTGGCAGGGGTTGTCCTGATGCCTTCATAGTCAATAACAATCATAACGCTTGGTATTAATGATCGCTGATTGAGTCTGAGCAGAGACCACCTCTCAGGGGTGTCAGAGGCCTAGGAGAATCAAGGGCAAATCTGAGAATGAAATAAAAATATGGATGAGGAAAGGATACTCAGAGAGGCTAAGGGATTGCCCAAGGACGTGGCCAGGGCAGAGCGGGGCTTTGAATCGGGGGAAGCCAGCTCTGGAGTTTGCTCTCTTCACCTCTCCACTGGGTGATTTCTGGGTCTGTGTCACTTGGGCTCCAGGATGCCCCAGGCTGCGACCGTCACATGCAGGGCAGGGGGTCAGCAGGCTGAGCAGGAGAGAGCAGAGGCCAGGCCAAGGAGCCAGGTGTGGGGCGGGCACAGATCTGCATGCTCCCATGCTGGCTCTGCAGAAATGCACCTGGAATGCCCGCCACGTGGGCTCCCACTACCAGGCAGATGGCAGGTACTGATGGTAGCAGGGTTCTCAGCAGGGGCAGGGGCAGAGAGGGGTTGGGGTAGGAGAGGCGGGGGTCAGGCTGGCAGCTTGAGGTACTACTGGGAGAAGAGACGCAGGAGAAATGGGAACAGGAAACTTGGCTGCAACCCTAGGCAACTAACCTCCCCTCTCAGCCTCACTTCCCCTCTCCATGGCATGGTGGCGGGGGGTGTCCAGCTCTGAGCAGTCTCCATTGTTACTGTGTAAGCTTGAGCAACTGCCAAGTCTGTCTATGCCTCTGTTTCCTCCTCTGTCGAGTGGGGTTAATAAGAGTGATTGTCTCCAGGTCAACCATACAGTCTGAGTGAAATCCTGCAGCTCCTTGTACATGGTGGGTCGGTGAGAGGCATCCTTGGGCATCTTTATGGGGTCTCGGAATTCATGGGTAAAGAGGCTGTCTGGGGTCCTGTGTAACTGACACCTCTTTCCCCCATTACTCCGTCTCTCCACCCCACTTTGCCTTCTCCATCTTCATTCCTCAGTGGTTCTCTCCAGTGAAAAAATAACTAATCAGGAACAGCTAACATTTATCAAATGCTGCCTGTGTGCCAGGCTTTGGGCCAAGGGTCTTGCACAGAGTGTCTCATTCAATCCTCACGAGAACTTGGTGGGATGGAGACACTCTCCCCACCACTATAGACAGAGACCGAGACAGGGAGGTGAGTTCAGAATCAGTTTTCAAACTAGGTCCTCTCTTCTCCCTTCTTTCTGTCCCTCCTCCCCTCTCCCATCACATCCCTTTTCTTCCCTTCCTTCCACTTTTTGTGCCCCACCAAGTAGGAGACTTTGAATTTTGATGTGGGATGATGAGGTGAACATGGCAGGCAGTGTCCCTGCCCGCATGGAGCTTATACCCGGTGGGCAACAGACCTTAAGCAAAATGTATACATGGGTGAGTTAATTTCAGACTGGGACAGGGTGGCACAGATGCCTTGCAGGGTACTGAGTGTGTGTGACTGGTGAGCGTTTATTGAGAGGATGGGTGGAGGAATGTTTGGGGGGCTACTTTCAGGTAGTTAAGGATGGGACTCTCTGAGGAGGTGGTACGGCCCTGAGACCTGCAAAGCCGGGGCAGGGCATTCCAGGTGTGCAGGAAAGGACGAGTGCAAAGGCCTTGAGGTGTGCAGAGGGCACCTGGGGGTGGGCAGGCGGGTGGGGGAGTCAAGGCAGGGAAGCATGGCGGGGGAGGTTGCAGGGGTCTCGTGTGTGGCGGCTTCCTCTGGGAGAGGAGAAATTGCATCCTTCCCAGAGGGCTGCAGGGAGGTGGCAGGGCTTCCTGTTCAGGTGGCACATCTGGGCCTTCTGTATCACTGTTGACCTGAGAGTCCCTGCTGGCCTAGCTTTAGGAGCTCCAAGACCCTGTGGGGAGGCTGGGACTGTGAGCGCCTCAGAAGGCCAGGTGGCTCCAGCTGCCTGCCGGGCCTCCCATCTGCAGAGCTAGGGCCTGCCGCCATTGGGCCCTGCTGGCCTCCCCACTGCCGGCCCCTCACGGCGTGGGGGAGGCTGCTCTGGATATGGCCTCTCATAGCCACCACCCCTGGCAGGGTTCCCAACCCGCAGGCCCTCCAGCTACTGGCTTGGGGTCCTGTGGGAGAAATGTGTCTTTATGGAGTCAGCCAGGGCAGGCAGTGTGGTGAAATGCCAAGGCCAGAGGCTCTGCCCCAGGCCTTCTGCCCAGGGCTGAGTCCTGCTGCCTCTGAATAGCACCCCTGTCTCCTCTGGTTGGAAAATCCCCTCTGGCTGTGGACGGGAGGGTACAGGCGGGGCCTCTCAGGGCTCCTCATTCTGGGAGGCGTTTCAGTGAGACTAGGTGGTGCCTGTGGCTTTCTCTTTGGAGTTCAAGCTCATTGACCTGGCTGCAAGCTCCTACACAATCTGGCCCCTGCTGACCACTCCTTTATTAAATCAGCAGACAGCTATTGAGCAGGGACTCTAGGTCAGCCCCGTTCCCAGCACTTAGGATTGAGCGGGGACACAGCAGTGCCGGCTCCTGGCCCCCACGGGCCTGACTCAGCTTGTCCTCCCCTGGTCGGCCGTGCTGCCTTCTGGTTCCTCTGCGCTCCAAGCTTCTGCCCATCTCCAGACCTTTGCCCCTGCTGTTTCCTCTGCTTGACAGTCCCTCCCACCTGCACATGCGCATGCACGCACACACACACACACGTGTCACACACTTGGCCGGGACGTATTGAGTGTATTTGGGTTGCAAGCAACAGAAACAGGCCCTGGCTAATTGAAGGGGGGATAACAAAGGATGACTCACTGAAGGGAGGTGGGGCACTCAGAAAGCCAGGGCAGGCCTAGGAGGCCTTAGGAAGAACTGGCACCGGGAAATGCTGAGAAGCTAGCAGGTGGAGGCTCTGTCCAGCACACCGCTGTGAGGGACAATCAGCGCTGCTTTTCCTTGTCCTTGGGGTCCTCCACTCAAGTGTCATGTTCTTGGGGCAGGGAGCATCCCTTTGGCCTCAGCCTGGCCTAGGAGGGCTGCAAACCTTGATCAACTGCCCCACCAAGATGACATCCCACCTGGGAGAGTTGGCCCCAAAGGCCAAACCCGCAGGGTCCAGCACACGGGCCGTGCCTGTTCATTCTTCACGTTTCGGGTTGGATGTCACTTCCTTCGGGAAGTCCTGAGATGAGTCAGATTGCCTTGGTTCAAATTGTATCAGTTTGGAATATTTTCATTTGCCAGGATAACAAGCCCAACTGAACAGTGGCTTACAGAGATGCCACCTATCAAGAAGCATGGAGCTAGGTGGTTCCAGGGCTGGTTTGTGGGCTCAGTAGCAGACAGAAGAATCTTCCATTCTTCACCCCACCATCCTGAGCATCACTTCCTCACATGACTTTATCCCAGGCAGGGAGGAGTGGTGCTGCTTTTCCCTTTTACCTGGGGGGGAAGATGTTTTTCAGAAGCCCCTGGTAGGCTTCCCCAGTCGTCTTATTAGCTGGTGCTTGGTCAGTTAGCAATTGAACTTGATTTCTAGTATTAGAGACACAATTATGGAAGCTGAGCCAAATTAGGGTTTGTGTTTCTGTAGCATGAGAGAAGTCCAGAGGTGGGTGGTTCAGAGCTGCTGGAGTGTCTCCTGATATCTTTGGGGACCACACTCTCTGTGTCTTTCTGCTCTGCCTTCCTTAGTGTGTTTCCAGCCATGAGGGCACCTTGTAGTCTAAAGTGACTGCAAGAGTTCCAGCCACCACATCTTTGTTCCAGGCGGGAGGAAGAGAAAGAAAGGGCCAGGGACAAGGGGTTTTTGCCAGAGCATCCCACCAGTGATTTCTGCTTATAGCTCATTGGCCACCTGTAGCTGCAAGGGAGGCTGGAGATGGATGAGGGCTTCTTGACCAGGGAGGAATGGGAAAGGTGTTGCTAGGCAACCAACATTGTCTGCCGCTTAAAATCTCCATTTTTTCTTTGCGGTATTGATCACAGTACAATAAAATAGTCTTGTTTGGAGTTTATTAATAATAATCACAAATGGGGCCAGGCGTGGTGGCTCATGCCTGTAATTCCAGCACTTTGGGAGGCCAAGACGGACGGATCACGAGGTCAGGAGATTGAGACCATCCTGGCTAACACAGTGAAACCCCGTCTCTACTAAAAATACAAAAAATTAGCCGGGCGTGGTGGCAGGTGCCTGTAGTCCCAGCTACTCGGGAGGCTGAGGCAGGAGAATGGCTTGAACCCAGGAGGTGGAGCTTGCAGTAAGCCGAGATCGTGCCACTGCACTCCAGCCTGGGCGATAGAGTGAGACTCTGTCTCAAAAAAATAATAATAATAATAAAAAATAATAATCACAAACCCGTTTTGGGGTTACTGCAGTAAACAAAACAGACAACCCCTGGCCCTCGTGGAGCCTACCTTCTTGGGTGGTTGTGGGCTTCTCGTTGGCCATGCATGGCCTCTCGGATGCTGCCACCTAACACCCTCCCCTTCTTGTTCCATTCCAGGGAGACTGCCAGACTCGGGAGGAGGCAGTGGCGCTCGGCGTGGGTCTGTGCAACAATGGCTTCATGCACCACGGTAACCACCCCCACCTGCAGCCCAGCCCCCGGGACCTTGCTCCCTGGAGCTGATGGTTTGGGGGAGTATGGGAGGACTGAAGCCAGGTCTGTGGCTCTCTAGACCCCCGGGGGTTTGGGGAGGCTCACGAATCCCACCTCCCTCCCCTTCCCGTTCTGAACCGATCGAGAAATGGCTTCTGGTGTCCACTGGGGACCAAAATGGCTGGAAGGACATGGGCTAGATTTGAAGTCCAACCCATGGGTTTCCTGTGCCCTTCTTCCTGGGGGGGATGTGGCCTTCCAGGGTAGGCAGCAAGGCCAGATGAGGCAGGCCTGGCCCGAAGGCCTCCGTGAGGAAGGAGGAGCTGTGCCCTGTGGGACAGTGGGCAGGTGGGTTGTGAATGTGAGAGGCAGGAAGCCCTTCCTGGGATGTCTGCCTCTTTCCCCGGCCTCCTCCCTCAGATAAGTGACTTTTCTTTCCATTGGGAGAGAGGCAGGTATTGGGGGGTGAGTTCTGAGATGTTCCTGAGGCAGGAAGATGGCAAGAAGGAGGACGAAGTGGCTCCATGGACACCGGTTTAAATTACAACAAAAGTTAGTGTTCAGTGTGCCTGGGCTCTTTCTAGACACTTCACATATATTTATTAGTTTAATACAGCAGCCCTTTGATGTGAGTATTAACATCAGCCCCATTTTATAGATGAGGGTATAGAAGCTCAGATAGTTAAGAAACTTTCTCAAGGTTACATGGCAAGTAGAAATCGGGATTAGAACGCAGGCCATCTGGAGCCAGGATTAGAACTCAGGCCGTCTGGAGTCGGGATTAGAATTCAGGCCATCTGGAGCCAGGATTAGAACTCAGGCCGTCTGGAGTCAGGATTAGAATTCAGGCCATCTGGGGCGGGATTAGAATTCAGGCCATCTGGAGCCAGGATTAGAACTCAGGCCGTCTGGAGTCGGGATTAGAATTCAGGCCGTCTGGAACCAGGATTAGAATTCAGGCCGTCTGGAGCCGGGATTAGAATTCAGGCCGTCTGGGGCGGGATTAGAATTCAGGCCATCTGGAGCCAGGATTATAATTCAGGCCGTCTGGGGCAGGATTAGAACTCAGGCCGTCTGGAGTTAGGATTATAATTCAGGCCGTCTGGGGCCGGGATTAGAATTCAGGCCGTCTGGGGTGGGATTAGAATTCAGGCCGTCTGGAGCCGGGATTAGAATTCAGGCCGTCTGGAGTCGGGATTAGAATTCAGGCCGTCTGGAGTCGGGATTAGAATTCAGGCCGTCTGGAGTCGGGATTAGAATTCAGGCCGTCTGGGGCGGGATTAGAATTCAGGCCGTCTGGAGTCAGGATTAGAATTCAGGCCGTCTGGAGTCGGGATTAGAATTCAGGCCGTCTGGGCCGGGATTAGAATTCAGGCCGTCTGGAGCCGGGATTAGAATTCAGGCCGTCTGGAGCCGGGATTAGAATTCAGGCCGTCTGGAGCCGGGATTAGAATTCAGGCCGTCTGGAGCCGGGATTAGAATTCAGGCCGTCTGGAGTCGGGATTAGAATTCAGGCCGTCTGGAGCTGGGATTAGAACCCAGATCGTGCGGGTTTAGAGGCTGCACACTCAACTACTGTGCTATGTAGCCTCTCCCCTTGAAGGTCCTGGGGGATCCCTGAGTTTCCTGTCCTTTCAACAGGACAGGTAAACCTTTAACCCCCGCCAAGGTGCCATTTTCCTGTTTCTAGAACATTCCTCAGAGCCTTTGCACTTGCAGTTTCCCTTGCCAGGGTGCCCTGCCTGCCTCATCCCTGCAGGTAACTCAGTGTTTCTGCTCAGTTGACCCCTCCCCAGTGAGGGCCTCCCCACAACCCCAGCTAAAATAGCTCCTCCCCGTCATCACTCTGCTCCTAGCTCGGATTCTCTCTCTTTTTTTTTTTTTTCAGACGGAGTCTTGCTCTGTCGCCCAGGCTGGAGTGCAGTGGCAGGATCTCGGCTCACTGCAAGCTCCACCTCCTGGGTTCACGCCATTCTCCTGCCTCAGCCTCCCGAGTAGCTGGGACCGCAGGCACCCGCCACCACACCCGGCTAATTTTTTGTATTTTTTAGTAGAGATGGCATTTCACCGTGTTAGCCAGGATGGTCTTGATCTCCTGACCTCGTGATCTGCCCGCCTTGGCTTCCCAAAGTGCTGGGATTACAGGCGTGAGCCACCGCGCCCGACCAGATTCTCTTTTTTTTAAGGGCCTGTTCTCTCCCTGTTAGGCAGATCCCATCACTCCTTTCTGTCTTTGTTCATTCTGACATCACGTGTGGTGTCTTTGGTGTTCCAGGCACCGTGCCAGGTTCTGGGAGCAGAGTGTGATGACCAGGACAGATAACAGTCCCGTGTGTGTGTGTGTGTGTGCGCGCACTCACACTTGTATGTGTGTGCACACATGTGCATGTGGTGTGTGCAGGGGAAGGAAACAGGGATGCCAGCGAGGAGGTGGTCATGATAGTCCAGGGGAAGGAGGATATGGCTGGGACCTGGTGGTTGCAAGGGGTTAGAAGTGGTCAGATTCAGAAAACCCTGAGCCACAAGAAGGCCTTTTGGCTGTTTCTCCTTTCTGATATTGGCTTTTTTAGTTCTAACTCAGAGATCTGCAAACTCCGTCACAGCTGCTTAACTCTTAACTCTTCCTTTGTAGCACAAAAGCAGCTATAGAGAGTATGTAAACAAATGGGCATGGTTGTGTGCCAATAAAACTTTATTTAGAAAAGCAGGTGGTGAGCCATAGTTTGTTTTTTGAGACGAAGTCTCACTCTTGTCACCCAGGCTGGAGTGCAATGGTGTGATCTCGGCTCACCACAACCTCCGCCTCCCAGGTTCAAGTGATTCTCCTGCCTCAGCCTCCTGAGTAGCTAGGATTACAGGCATGCGCCACCACACCCAGCCGGGCCATAGTTTGTTGAGCCCTGGTCGGCCTGCTGGATTTGCGGTTCCCTTGGCAGAGTGAGCCACGTGCTGGAGACCTGAGAGGCCTTTGGATCTATCCCCTGCCTTGTGGCCAGCAGGTCCCTGACTCAGCTGACTCCCAATAGGCCCATATGCCTCTCTGGGCCTCAGTTTCTCCAGTTTTCCATTGGAGGCCTTGCATTCCCCTCCTGTGCGCTCAGCATGCCCAGAGTTCTGTGGGAATAGGACTCACTCTTTAGCTTCCAGTTTCCCCAGCTGAGGTGGGCAGGTAAGGGCCAGTCTGGACAGCTGAGGGCATTTTCATGTGTCTACCTCATCTCACCAAAGTCCTTCATTCCCAGAAGCTGCTCTGTTTGCCTCGGGGCCCTCTGACAGCCCCGAGCCTCCCGCCAGTCAGCTGGGCACAACCTCTCATTTGTGGGTGAGGGTAATTAGGGGTCCTCCCCAGCTGCTATTCCGGGAAGGCTGCTGGCTGTGGACATTCTGCTGGGTGGTGACTCCCAGGCAATCCTGATGTCCTCAAGGGCTCTCAGGGAGAGAAATTGCAGGGCGTGACCCTGCTCCTCTGTTCCCTGCCACGAACTCAAAAATAGGCTAAAATAGGAAAGGGCCAATTCCAGGATTGTGGCTGCAGCAAAATACAGGGTGAGGTGCAGGATGGGCGATTGGGAGGGGCCTCTGTGGCACCTTTTGAGGCGCCTCGAACTGGGGCCAAACTGAGCCTGCAGACACTAAGGTATTCCCACCTTAGGGCTGACCAGGGGTCCGGCCCTCTTGCTTTAGGCACATATGGGGAAACTGAGGCTTGCCATTTAATCCCCACAGCCACCCCAGCATGTTGGTCCTGTTGTTATTCTTGTAGACAAGGAAACTGAGGCTCAGAGAGGCTAAAGGGCATGAAGTCAGGAAGGGGCTGAGCAGGGATTTGAACCCAGATCTGAGATTATCCTATAAAGCCGGACCAGCAGCCTCGAGGGAAAGGTATTGAGGTTGGTAGCTCGCTTGGCTGAGCTCGTGGACTTGAGGGATTCCACGCTGTTTTCCACAAATATTTTGGCCAATATGCAACATTGCAATTCTTCCTCCCACTCCTGGAATCTTCTAACTTAATGTTTATAGTGGAGTCGAAGCCAGCGGCCCCCTGGTGCCTGGCTCCCCAGCTCTGGGGAAAGTGGCAATTTGTGTGTCTGTTTTCTCAAAAAGGTAACAGGGGTGGCCTGAGAAAGGGGCTCACAAACAGGTAGAGTTCCAGGTGAAATGTCCTATAAAACTAAGGAGAAAGAAAGAAATGCCCCCGGCTGCTTTCCACTGAGTCACCACATCCAGAAAAAGCCTCTGTCTTCAGGGACGAGGGGGATGTCTTGTGGCTAAGGCAGCTGGTTTCCCTTGTTTCAGGCACCCACTGGCGTCCGACAGCTGCCTTTACCTCTCCGAGCCTTGATTTCCACCTTTGTCCACTGTTTATACTCAGCCCTGCCTCATCTAACAGGCCTGCCTGGACAGTGTGGGGAGAGGAGGAGGAGAGGAAGGAGGCTCGATGAGGGCCCTTCTGCTGCCTGCTGGCTGCTGGCTGTGTGACCTAGGGGCCTGAGTCTTAGTCTCCCCGTCTATGAAAGGGGCACAGCAAATCCTTATCCAAGGAGCAGATGAACTTAGCATGCCTCCCCAGTGTGCCTGGCACTGGGAGGTGCCCAGTTAAGTTGTAAGTTACAGGGATCAGATCACCAATTGGTTGATACTGGTTATTTTTATTCATTTTCCTGGCTTGTCCTAGAAAGGGGTCAGTGTGTGTGTGTGTGTGTATATATATATATACACACACACACACACATTATATATATTATATATGTTATATACATACTATATATTATATTATATATATGTGTGTGTATATATATATATATATATATATATTTTTTTTTTTTTTTTTTTTTTTTTTGAGATGGAGTTTTGCTCTTGTTGCCCATGCTGGAGTGCAATGGCGTGATCTCAGCTCACTGCAACCTCCACCTCCCGGGTTCAAGCAGTTCTCCTGCCTCAGCCTTGCGAGTAGCTGGGATTACAGGCATGCGCCACCATGCCCAGCTAATTTTGTATTTTTAGTGGAGACAGGGTTTCTCCATGTTGTGTCAGGCTGGTCTGGGACTCCCCACCTTGGGTAATCTGCCTGCCTCGACCTCTCAAAGTGCTGGGATTACAGGCGGAGCCACCGCCTCTGGCCGGCGTCAGTATATTTTTTTATGTAAAGGGCCACTTAGTAACAATTTAGGCTTTGTGGGCCGTACAGCTTGTCACAGTATCCAACTTTGTCCTTGTGGCTCAAAAGCAGCCACAGATAATACAAGTACAAATACAAATGGCCGTAGCTGTGTGCCAATAAAACTTTATTCATAAGGTCAGGTAGTGGAGCAGATTTGGCCTGCGGGGACTGAGTTTGCCAACTTTTGGTCTAAAGTGTCTCAGCATCATTTCCTTCTGAGAGGTCTGAGCGCCTTTTCACAAATTACTGCTCATTGGAGTTTGCTTATGTTAATTGACTGTTCATATCCTTTGCCCATTTATCTGTGAGCTTCTGAGCTTTTTCTAGTTGATTTGTTAGAGGTTTTTATATTCTAGATATTTATTCCTGTTGGTTTTGGACACTATAGTTACCTTCACATCTGCCATCTACCTATGGAGTTGTTATCGAATGGAGGTCCTTAATTTTAGTCTAGTACAAGAGGGTCTTATACACAGACTCCTTTTCTTCTCTAGGACAAAGATGTCATCCTATATTTAGTTTTGTTAGCTTTGGTTTTACTGTTCATACGTAGGTCTTTAATCCATTAGCTTATTGTTGCATATGGTGTGAGGTAGGGATTCAATTTTTTTCCCCCCTGGGCAAGTCAGTTTTCCATGCACCATCTGCAGAATACTCTATGATCATAAATCATCATCATAGACTAAGTTCCTGCAAACACTTAGTCCTCTTATGTGACTTCTATTCCCTTCTGCTGGTTATTGATCTGTTTCTACTGCATTTCCACACTGTGTGTTACTATGGCTTTGTAAAATATTAATGTCTTTTTATAGCAGGTGAGGCAAGTTCAGACTTTTCAAGAGAAGTCAGAAAGCCAGATCGCTTTGTGAAATATCCTAATATGTTAGTGTTGGCATATGATTCCATTTTAATAGAATAGTGTTTGCCAAACCAAACGTGTCCATGGCCTAGTTCCAGCCTGTGCCTGCCAGTTGGCAAACATGGCTGAAACTTTCCCTGTGAATCTGACCACTGAGTGCACATCTGTGGATCTGCAGTGCTGGAGAAGAGCGAGTTCAGGGATGAGTCCCAGTACTTCCGCTTTCATGCTGACGAGGAGATGGAGGGGACCAGCAGCAAGAACAAACAGCTTCGCAACGACTTCAAGCTGGTGGAGAACATTCTGGCCAAGCGCCTGCTGGTAGGAGCACAGCTGAGCAGCTGTCCCTTCCTTGCCAGAGCCCCCTGCAGGCATGGGAGCTGGGCGACCTTCTGGTTATGCACAGGGAAGGGGGCTCAGCTTGGAGTACCAGAATAGGTGGATTCTAGGTGGTAGGGGGCAACTCTGCCAAGAAGCCAGGCTGCATCACTGGCTGAGACTACCCTCCTAACAAAAGAGATTGGGCTTGCAGGTCTCCCTTTCTGTTCCCTTGCCTCTCCTGTCCCCTCCCCGTACACTGTATAGAGAGGTTGGCCTCCTGAAGCAACTCATCCTGCATACCCCACAGCAGCCCCCATCTTAACGCGTGGCCTGCAGCAGGCAGTCAAGACAGAGGCTCAGAGGTTAGGTTTCTGGTCACTGCCAGGGTTGGAGCTGAAGCCTGACTCATATGAAGACGGCTCCATTAACTTCTCTCCCATAGTACTGCAGGGACTGCTGTTCCCTCTGATTTCATGCCCCTCACTGTAAAGTCCCCCAATGCTTCCCGTCACACTTAGGATAAAATTAAACCTCTCACTCCCCTCCCCTCCCCTTCTCTCTTTCCTCTTTCCCTCCCTTCCTCCTTCCTTCCTCTCTCTTCTTTCTTTTCTCTTTTCTTGTTTTCTTTTCTTCTTTCTCTCTCTCTCTCGTGCCCGTCCTTCCTTCCTTCCTTCCTTCCTTCCTTTTCTTTCTCTCCTCCCCTTTCTTTCTTCCCTCCCCTCCCCTCCATTCCCCTCTCTCCCCTCCCTTCCCCTTTCTCCCCTCCCCTCTCTCCTCTCTCCTCTCCTCTGCCTCCCCAGTGGCTAGGACAACAGACCTGCGCCACCACACCCAGCTAATTTTTGTATTTTTTATAAAGACAGGGTTTTGCTATGTTGCCCAGGCTGGTCTTGAACTCCTGGGATCAAGCGATCAACCCGTCTCGGCCTCCCAAAGTGCTGGGATTACAAGCGTGAGCCATTGCGCCTGACCTCCTGATCTCTTTTCTTATCCTCCAGTGCCTTGGGGCCTCCCTCAGGACCTTTGTACGTGCTGTGTCTGCTGCCTGGAGCATGTTCCTCCACTCTTTATGAAGTTTTGTTTTTCATTTCGTTCAGGCCTCAGCTCCGATAGCACCTTCTCTGCCCCCTTGCCGTGCCCTATCCCATTAAGTGCTTTAATTCCAACTACGTACACTCCCTGCATCACATCCTGTATTTCTTTTGTTTATTTGTTTATAGTTGGCCTCCCGCACTAAGCAGGGCTGGGCTTGTTTGTCTTGTTCTAGATGGTGTCTCCAGCACCCATGAGAACTGCCTGGCCCGTGTGATGGGCAGCATCTCAATCAATGTCTGTTGACTGAATGAGTGCCTTTCCCTGTATCCCCCGCACTGGGGAACCCCCAGACCTGTTTCTAGCATGCCTGCCATCCTGCCCTGGGGTGGGACCGCTCCTCCCTAAACTCCCTGACTCCACATTCTTGGTGGCTGGACACCTTTGGATCCGTGTGATTCGTTAAGCCAGTGGCAGGCACAGAGTGAGCACTGGCTCTGCCAGGTGCTGTTTGCGTTTTGCTCTGTCTCGCCCACCTGGATCTGGCCACTTCCCTACTAGACCTGGGACGAGGTCATGGTCCTGTGGGGGCCACGGTGGGGCTGGCCGTAGGCCCACCTCGCTCCCTGACCGGGTTCCTTCTGCCCTGGGCCCCCAGATCCTGCCCCAGGAGGAGGACTATGGCTTTGACATCGAGGAGAAGAACAAGGCTGTGGTGGTGAAGTCCGTCCAGAGGGGCTCGCTGGCTGAGGTGAGGCCCTCGGGGGAGCTGGCAGGGACCGTGTGCAGGTGGCAGAGCGGGGTGTCTCTCTTCACCCTCCTTGAGGCAGCCCAGCCCAGGAGATTCTGGAATGATCGCTGACTCCTCTTCTCTCATTGCTCACGTGGAGAAACTGAGTCCAGGACCCACTGTCTGCAGTGGCTACAGTAGCTGGGAGTGAGTGCAGAGTCCCGGGGCTGTGCTCCTGGTGTGTTCCACCACTGCCCTCTGCTGGACATTGTGGGGAGGTACAGGAAAAAAGCAGGTGTCTCAGTTTTCTGCAACCAGTCACAGTGGCTTGAATAAGATAAGCTCATTGCTGTCTGATGCAAAGCCTACAGGAGGATAGGTTAGGAGAGTGAGGGTGTGGCTGGCCGAGGATTCAGCCCTGGGGCCTTCCGGCTTTGCCTGGGGCGTGTGCAGGTGGGTGGGGGAGATGCACCTGCCGTGCTGGCTGGAGCCCAGCTTGCCCCTGTGGCAATTAGGAATGCTTTGGGCTGCAAGGAGCGACATACCCATGGCCGGAGCGGCTAGGTTGACCTTGCCAGTGATGTGAGCGGTTGGAAGGAGGCAGTTGTGAATCTTGGTTCGGGTCAGCAGGTCTTCATCTTTCTTCGCCAGGCCCTAACAGACATAAGATGGCCACCCCGGTGTGACCCTCGTGTCCCCACACAACAGGGTCAGGCCCCAGCAGAGTTTCCCCTCAGGAGGAATACCTTTCCCAGCTGCCCTCCCATGAGCTTCCCTTTGTGGCTCATGAGGCAGAACCAGGTCCCTTGTGCCCCTCAACTGCTTACCACAGACAGCACGCAGTCACCCAGTCCTGCTGGATCCCTTGGGCCAGCACCCTTCTGCTGAACACATTTGAGCTTCCTTGGTGAGGAGGGAAGGAGCTTAGTAACTGGTGTGCACGTCTGTCCTCTGCCGTCCCTACCCAGGTGGCTGGCCTGCAGGTGGGGAGGAAGATCTACTCCATCAATGAGGACCTGGTGTTCCTGCGGCCGTTTTCAGAGGTGGAGTCCATCCTCAACCAGTCCTTCTGCTCCCGCCGCCCTCTGCGCCTCCTGGTGGCCACGAAGGCCAAAGAGTGAGTGTCCCAGGGCGGGGTGTCCGGCAGCCCTCCCTCTCAGGCTGAGTGGTGGCTGAGGGCTGGGGTGGCATGAACTGTCCTGGTCCCCCGTGGCTGGGACCCATTGTTGGAGTCACACAACACAAGCTGGACCTTCATTAATTCGGCAGATGTTTACAGAGTGCCACTCTGTGCTTGGTGGCAGTTTGGGCCCTGGGAATCCAGCCACGTGGGGATGCATGCGGTTCCTGCCATTCATAGATCTCAGATCTAGTTGGGGGAGGAGGCAGGAGACAGACAATGTGCAGATACAGAAGTAAGACACTGAGCCTGTGCTGGTGAGCGTGGCACAGATAAGTTTCTATAAACCCGGGAAAGGGGCCAGAGTGTGCAGAGGGATGGCTGTCAGGGAGACGTCACTGCGAGTCGGGGTGAAGACCCGAAGCAGATGAGGGGGGAGTCAAGGGGATTTCTGGAGGAAGAGGGCTCCAGGCAGGGGAAGCAGCTAGGGCAGAGGCCCTGAAGTGGGACCGTGTCTGGCGCATTGGAAGAGCAGAAGGAAGCTGATGGGGCTGGAGCAGTGAGTGAGAGGGAGGGCTGGGTAGTGAGGTCTGTAGGGTAACGGGGTCCAGCCCT
The DNA here is from genome assembly GCF_000001405.40 of Homo sapiens. Taxonomy (NCBI): domain Eukaryota; kingdom Metazoa; phylum Chordata; class Mammalia; order Primates; family Hominidae; genus Homo; species Homo sapiens. Next base: position 48,656,421 of record NC_000020.11, on the reverse strand, counting down.
GGAGGCCCCTGGCAAGGACCCATGGGGAGCCACTGGAAGCTTCTGATCGAAGTCCTGTGGCTGCAAGTGGAGCTCAGATTGTCAGGGGCAAAGGTGGCTCTCGGGGGAGCTGAGGAGGTGGTGGCTCAGCAGAGTGCGAGAGCAGGGGTGGGAGGAGCAGACCCGTGCTAGGGGTAGGTACCGGGGAGCAAAGCATTTTGTCTTTGAAAAATTATGCATCTGGTTTTTCACTTTTCCCTTTTATTTAACACAGATCTTCTCTTGACAGGAGGGGTGGAAAGTTTTAAATATGATTATTTCAGTAAAAAGGCGAGCTGACTTAGGGAAAATGTGGTTGATCGATGGGTTGGTATGTGGAAGTGGCAGAAAGCACCAAGGTGGAATGTGTCTGCTGAAAGCTGTGGAAACACCTGGTTTGAGAGCAGGCTCCCAGCTCGGCTTTATCTGCAGGGGGGAATGGGAGGGACAATTGTGCAGCATAGGGTTGGAGACCTGCCTTAGACGGGGATGTGGGCAGGGTACTGATGCTCCAGGAGCAGTGACACCCATTGCCCTCCCTGGCAGGTGCTGCCTCTCTGCTTTGGGGATCGACCCACAGAATGGCCCAGACCTGCCTTCCTAGGGGACTTGTGTGGGTGTTTTTCTAGGGTCAGCACCGAGATGTACCAGCAGATCACTTCTCACCCTCCCACCTGCGATTGTTAAACTATTGACTGGTTGGAGTGCTGGTCTCACCTCCAAGGGTCTTAGGACAGGAGAATGATGGAGGTGTGGGAGGATGGTCTGGAATTTCTGTTCGAGGACAGAAGCTCCAAGGGCAGGCCAGTGGGTTGTGCTTAATCAAAGATCCTGGTGGCATGGGCTCTGCCTGATTGACATTTCTCTCTGTATTTGGGAGCTGGAAAGCCTGGTGGTGCTACTACTATTTTGGGCTGAATTTTCCCAGTGTTTCCAAGGCAGAAAGTCTCTGGGTTGGCACCGGGGTTATTGAGAGTGATGCTGGTTTTCCTCATGGCCTTTTTCCCTGCCTCTTCTACCTGGTGCAGGATCATCAAAATCCCCGACCAGCCGGACACACTGTGCTTCCAGATTCGTGGAGCTGCCCCACCGTACGTCTATGCTGTGGGGAGAGGTGAGTGGGAGCCTTGGGAGAGAGGGGAAAGGTGCAGAAGATGGTGGATCTGTCTGTGTGGCAGGAGTTCAGAGCCTTCTGAACTCTAGGCTTCTGCCAGACAATGTACCATCAGCACTTATTTTCTTTGCCTGATGCCAAGACTTGCAAACACAAATGCCTGTTGGGGTCAGGCAGGCTACAAGTGGGTAGCCATCCCAGTGGAAGACAGTGGGTAGTGGTGAGGACTATGGCAAGGTGAAAAAATACATGTTCACTCTGGAAGGAGCAGTGGCTCCTCAGCTGGAGCTCCTTATTGCCAGACAGGAATGTGGGTCCACTCTCACCAGACTTGATTTTCTAAGAGAAGCCACCAATGCAAATTTGGGGGCTCTGCCGCAATACTTCTATGGCCGGATCCAGCCGAAAGGCCACCAGTTCAAGACCTCTGCTTTCTGCATTGCCTATTCCTTGTGTGCTATTAAAGGCGTCACTATGTCTTGGAGATGGAACCAAGTAGGTCTATGATACTGGGCCCCCAAACTTTTTTTGCATCTAAGTGCCCCTCCCTTTAAAGTTTAAACATAAATTTTTCACTTGTGTGGTCATAGTTGTGTGTTTACTAGGTGTTCATTAAGAAAACGCATACCATGACAGAAGGTTACTGAGAATTTGATAATATTTTAAAGTAGGTTTTCATTTTGTCCTAAAGCAGTGATTCTCACCTTGGGACAACTTAGCCTCCTCTCCAGAGGACATCGGCCCTGCCCGGAGACATTTTTGTTTGTCGTAACTGGGGAGGGGGTGTTTCTGGCGGTTAGTGGGTAGACCAGGGATCCTGCTAAACGTGCTGCAGTGCACAGGACAGCCCCAGAGAACCACACAGAATTATCTGGCCCAAAATGTCAGCAGTGCCTTGGTGAGAAATCCTGCCTCAGAACATCTGCAGAGATACTGATAATGGGTAGTAATAGGTGTTCATAGGCAAAGACGGTAAAAAGAATAAACCAGCTGCTATTCCTTGAGCACTTACCGAGTGCCAGGCACGATGCTAAATGCTGCACACGTGTTAGCTCGTCGGATCTCCCCGCGACCCTCAGCGTAGGGATTATGAGCGTTCCCATTTCACAGATGAGGAAGCCAGCCTCCAGAGAGTGAAGGGACTTGCCGAAGGTTCCAGGGTCGGTCTATGGCAGAGCCAGGGTTTGAAGCCATGCAAGTCCCCAGGGGCTGTACTTGGCACCACCACACCATTCAGGCCTGGTATTGCCCCATGTCTGGGCAAAGCTTGACATTTGTTTGCATTTCCAGACCTTTCACATGAACTACAAAAAAAACCCTGGGTTCAAGACCTACGGTTTGGGGATTGTGGAATAGCTGAAAAACCTTGCCCTTGGAGTCTCATAGGCCTGGTTGGAATCCTGGCTTCTGGCCATTCGGCCTAGAGAGCATGGCTTTGCCTCTCTGAGCCCATCACGCTTTCTGCCAAATGCGGCCCAGTAGCACAAGGCGGCTGCAGGACTTTAAAGGAGACGAGGTTCTAGAGTGAAACGGGCCTGAATCGGATCCCGTTTGCCTTGCTGCGTGACCTTGGGCCAGCTACTACTTCTCTGAACCTTAGTTTCTTCTGCAAAATGGGAACATCAATCCATTCTTTGCACTGGAGTGTCAGAGGGCGGCTCTGGGGTGGGAGGGGTGGAGGTGGAGTCCTTGCGCGTGTCTGGGGTTGCAGTGGTGGGTGGTGGGGGACAGTGTTCAGCGGGCTGCTTGTACTTGCCTGGCATCCAGCCTCATGTGCTCCTGTTCCCCTTAGGCTCTGAGGCCATGGCTGCAGGGCTCTGTGCTGGTCAGTGCATTCTGAAGGTCAATGGCAGCAACGTGATGAACGATGGTGCCCCTGAGGTCCTGGAGCACTTCCAGGCATTCCGGAGTCGGCGCGAAGAGGCCCTGGTAAGTTTACTGGAAACCGGGGCCGTCAAAGAAGTCCTGCTGAGTGGGGGTGGGTGGCTGAGGGCTGTCCTCTCTTTAGAGAAAAGCCTGCATGTACCACTGGTTGTGAGTAGGGTGGAGCTGCTGACCCAACAAGAGGGAGCTGGGCCTGAGCTTTGTGCTCCCGCTGCATCCTTAAACCAGAGTTGCTGAGCCATGATACCCGGGGGTCTCGGTTTTCACAGCTGTGAAATGGGTGTGACCAGACCCTCTCTCCTCACCACATAGGCATGTTGGGCACATAGTCAAGTGGGTTGGGAAAGTGGATACTCCATTTGGTTGGGGGCCAGGGTTCTGGTGGAGGGCGAGATTCCCTCATTGATTGATTCACTGGTTCACTCAGTGTGTGTGTGTTGGGCACCTGCTGTGCACCAGGCATGTTTGTAGACCCTGGGGACACAGGAGAGACGTGTCTGCACCCATGTCCCTGCCTCACATTTTCACATCCCCTGGCTTCTGTATGGAGCATAGACTGTGCACGGTGAGGGCTGAGTGTGACTGGTGGTCAGTGAGTTTCCAGAGCTCTGGAACCCAGGGGCAGTTCACACCTCGGCCCTGTCCCCTCCTCCCTACCTGCCGGCACCATGGCTGTCCCCTTACTCTGGCTTCTGGCAGGGCCTGTACCAGTGGATCTACCACACCCATGAGGATGCCCAGGAAGCACGAGCCAGTCAGGAGGCCTCCACTGAGGACCCCAGTGGCGAGCAGGCCCAGGAGGAAGACCAGGCTGATTCAGGTAATAGACGGGGCATGGCATGACAGGAGCTTCCAGAGGGACTGAGACTCCGGAGGGGCTGGGTCCTCTCCTGTTGTCCCCTCCCCTCCCCTCCTCCCAGCCAGTCCACCTCCATGCCAGCAGGTTTGTTTTTTTTTTCCTTTTTGGAGACAGGTTCTGGCTCTGTCACCCAGGCTGGAGTGTAGTGTTGTGACCACAGCTCACTGCAGCCCCAACCTCCCTGGTTCAAGTGATCCACCTCAGCCTCCGGAGTAGCCAGGATCACAAGCGTGTACCACCACACCTGGCTAATTTTTTAAATTTTAGAGTTTTTTTTTTAGAGATGAGGTCTCCCTATGTTGCCCAGGCTGGTCTCTTAACTCCTGGGCTGAAGCAATCTTCTTGCCTCGGCCTCGCAGAGTGCTGGGATTACAGGTGTGCACCACTGCGCACGGCCGCGATGCCCACGATGTTATGTCAGTTTCTGATGGCTGCTATAGCAAAGTGCCCCAAACCCAGCAGCTTAAACAACACACAGTTACTACTTAAATTTTGGAGGTCAGAAGTCCGAGTCCCACTGGGCTGAAATCATGGTGTCCACAGGGCTGTGGTCCTCCTTGGGCTCTCGGGGAGAATCTGTTTCCTTGCCCGTTTCAGCTCCCTGGTCCAAGCCACTATCATTTCTTACCAGGACGGTGGCAGTAGCCTGCTCATGGCTCTCCCTGTTCTGACTTCCTCTCCTCCAAGGGGCTATTCCCCCAGATGAGAAGAGAACCTTCCGATGGCTCCCTCTGTCCTCAGGGCCAGGCCTTGGATGGCTTGTGTGACCTTGTCCAGACTGGCTCTCCAACACCTTCCATCACTTCCCCACTCGCCTCTCTACTCTGGCGGAATGTACTCCTGCCCTGGGGCCTTTGCACTTGCTGTTCCCACTGCCTGGAAGGCTTCCTCCAGAATCCTCCTCGCCTCGCCTTCCTCCCTCCCTCTGATCTCTGCTCAGATGTCACCTCTTTTGGCTTCCAGCCTTCCCACTGCTGTCCCTGGGTCCCCGGCTGAGCCTGTGTGAGGACAGCCCCATGGTCACCCTGACTGTGGACAACGTGCACCTGGAACACGGCGTGGTGTATGAGTATGTGAGCACGGCAGGCGTCAGGTGCCATGTGCTGGAGAAGATCGTGGAGCCCCGCGGCTGCTTCGGCCTCACCGCCAAGGTCTCCTTGGGCACTGCCTGGCCCTGCCCTACCCTGGGGGATTGAAGCCAGTTTCTCTTATCAAAGGTTGGGAGAAGGAGTTGGGTGGGACACCCGAATCCCATTTCCTCAGGCTTAGCCTGGAGTCCTGAATTCTGGTCCTTGTCCCACCACTAGGTAGCGTGGGACTGTGCAGAGTGGCTTGTCCCTTTAGCCTCAGTTTACTCCCGTGCAATATGGGCCAGCAACACACCTGACTTCCCGGGGGGTATTACGAGTAGTACAGGAGTCACTGTGGGTGAACCGCTTAAAATCTTCCCGGCACACAGGGAATGCTCAGTAGCTGTTGACATTTCTGCAGATCCTCGAGGCCTTTGCTGCCAATGACAGCGTCTTCGTGGAGAACTGCAGGCGGCTCATGGCCCTGAGCAGCGCCATCGTGACCATGCCCCACTTTGAGTTCCGCAACATCTGTGACACCAAGCTGGAGAGCATTGGCCAGAGGATTGCCTGCTACCAGGAGGTGCCTGCGTGCTCCCTCCGGGGTCTCTGCCACAGGTCCCAGACATAGCATCTCAGCCTGGGATATTTGGGTTGTAAATTACAAAGCCCAACCCAACTCAGCTGAAACAAACAGGAGAATGTATGGTGTGTATTACTGAAAAGGACGGAGGTGAACTTATCACATCATAGCAGTGCGGCCTCTCCGCATCTCCTGGCTTCGTTTTCCTTAGCGCTGGGTTCACTCTCAGGCAAACCCTTCTCATGTGGTGGGGACACGTTGGCCCTTGATAGCTCTAGCCTCAGCAAGCCCAGGAGAAAATTAACTCCAAGGGAGTTCTGGTTGGCTTGGCTTAGGTCACTTGCCTCACCTGGTTCCAATCGCCATAGGGATGGAGAGGCACGTTGACCCTGAACCTCATGAACTGAGGGTGGGGCAGAGACAATGCCTCAAGGATGGTTCAGGGGCAGCCAAAATGGAGCCATGCATGGGGTGGGCACCCCGAGGCCTTGGGTTCCTCCAGGCCTTCCCTGCAGTCCTGAGCCGTGAAACACAGTCCAGGGGTTCCCCTTCTCATTTGGAGCTACTGGCATTTTGTCCAACTGTGGGGCATCTGGCCTAGGCCAGGATAAAGTGGGTACTGGGTATGGGCCAATATTTCCAGACCCTGCCCTGTGATTCACGACCTTACGGCCTCCACTTTCTCAGTTTGCAGCCCAACTGAAGAGCAGGGTCAGCCCACCCTTCAAACAAGCCCCCCTGGAGCCCCACCCGCTGTGTGGCCTGGACTTCTGCCCCACCAATTGCCACATCAACCTCATGGAAGTGTCCTACCCCAAGACCACCCCCTCAGTGGGCAGGTCCTTCAGCATCCGCTTTGGACGCAAACCCTCCCTCATCGGCCTTGACCCGGAGCAAGGTACCTGTGTGTGTCTATTAGAAACTGTGTTCAGATGTTGCACTCCAGATACTTAAACCAAAACTTGTCTGAAGGTCAGCCGTCCAGGGCTGGAATGGCGGCTCCATGGTCATCAGGGATGACCTTCTCTCTTTATGGGACAGCATCTCTAGATGTGGCTTTATGCCTTGTGGATGATATCTGCTGGGGTACCAGCCATCATGTCTGCATTGCAGGCAGGAAAAGATCACAGTAGTTAAAAGCATGTTAGCACCAGACTGGAACAGTCTTCTTGAAGTAACTGAATGAATTAAGAGTATTTAGAAGGGACATTTTTCTCCTTCATTGGGATCCTTGAAATGGGTTTGTATTGTTCCGCCCAAAGGCCCAGTGGATGCTGGGGGCTGTTTTCCAGTGAGCTCTCTCTTCCTCCACTGCAGGCCACCTGAACCCCATGTCGTACACCCAGCACTGCATCACCACCATGGCTGCTCCCTCCTGGAAGTGCTTGCCTGCTGCAGAGGGTGATCCCCAAGGCCAGGGTCTCCATGATGGCAGCTTCGGGCCAGCCAGTGGGACCCTTGGTCAGGAAGACCGGGGCCTCAGCTTCCTACTCAAGCAGGAGGACCGTGAGATCCAGGATGCCTACCTGCAGCTCTTCACCAAGCTGGATGTGGCCCTGAAGGAGATGAAGCAATATGTCACCCAGATCAACAGGTGAGCGCTGGCCGGGGGTGTCCGGCGTGAGCAGGGGCAGGTGTTCTCAATCCTGGCCTTACTGACATTGTGGGTAGCATCATTCTTTGTAGTGGGGGGTGGGCTGTCCTGGACATTATAGGCTATTTAGCAGTATCTTTTTCGTCTATCCACTAGCTGCCAGTAGCACCCCCTCACCTGATTGTGACAACCAAAAATGTCTTCAGACATTGCTAAATATCCCCTGCAGGGAAAATCATCCCTGACTGAGAACCACTGGTGTAATGAAATATTATGGATATAGCAGCGCTCATCAGTGAGGCTAAAACTATCTGCTGAAAGATTCTGGAGAGAACTTTATAATTTTAACATCATAGAAAGGAGGCAGCTGTACAAGCCGTCCTTTTGCTGTAATACAACAGGACACAGACGCAGCCCCGCCCACGAGGCTCTTGCCAGCAGATACAGAGCTGTCATCTCCTGAAGGTTCAAGGTCTCCTTACTCAGCTCTAGGATGTGGGGCAGAGGGTGGTTCAATGGCACCTTGGGGAGGCATCCGGCCAAATCATCAACGAATGATGGGGAAGCAGGTGTGGGGAAGAGGAACTGCTGGAGATTAAAGAGACTCAAGAGACGGACCTGCCAGATGCAGCCTCTGAACCTGCTTAGCAGGTTTCTAGCACGTCCATGTGGGGAGGCATTTTGAGACAATCAGGGGTGTTTGTCCACAGACTGGGTGCTTGATGGTATTGAGGACTCCTTCCTTCTGTTGGGCACAGTTGAGCAGTGTGGTCTGTGTAAAGCAGTGTCTCTCACCCTTGACACTGGTGACATTTGGGGCTGGATTATTCCTTGTTGGGGAGCTGTCCTGGGCATCGGAGGATGTTCAGCAGCATCTGGGGTCTCTACCTACGAGATGCTGGTGGCAAAATCCCTCTTCAGTTAAGACAAGTAGAAGTGTCTTTGGACATAGCTAAAGATTTCCTAGGGGGCAAAATTGCCCCCACTTGAGAACCACATGTTTAAAAGAAAGTCTGTATGTATTAGAGACACCTGCGGAAGTAGGTGTGGTGGAATTACGTGTTATCTTGGACTTGTTTTAAATACTCCAGTGGGCTGGGTACAGTGGCTCATGCCTGTAATTTCAGCACTTTGGGAGGCTGAGTTGGAGGGATTCCTTGAGCCCAGGACTTTGAGACCAGCCTGGGCAACGTAGTGAAACCCTATCTCTATAAAAAAAAAATCCTAAAATTAGCCAGGCGTGATGGCATACACCTGTTGTCCCAGCTCCTCAGTGTGCTGAGGCAGGATGACTTGAGCCCAGAAGATCGAGGCTGCAGTAAGCCATGATTGCACCACTGCACTCCAGCCTGGGTGAAAGAACGAGACCCTGTCTCAAAACAAAACAAAATGCTCCAGGGAAATAAAAAGTGATGGGGATCATGGGGGAAACAAGGTGGACCCTGAGTGGCTGTTGTTGAAGCTGCCTGTTGGATACCTGGGTTCATGATATTCTCTCTACTTTTGTGTATGATGGAAATATTCCATGATAAGGGAAAAAAAGAATGTAGACTCTAGAGCCAGGAGGCCTGGGTTCAAATCCTGGCCCTGCTACTTATCCACTGTGCAAACTTAGGCAAGTCACTTAACCACTCTGAGCCTTGGTTTCCTCGTTTGTCAAATGGGGCTAATCATGCTACTGACTGTGGAGATGTGGTGGGATTGCATCTAGCTGGGCGTATTCATCACTGCTCACTTAGAAGGCACGAGACACTGTTCTTTTTTTTTTTTTTTTTTTTTTGAGATGTTGTCTCACTGTGTCACCAGGCTGCAATGCAGTGGTGTGATCTCTGCTCACTGCAACCTCCGCCTCCTGGGTTCAACCAATTCTCCTGCCTCAGCCTCCCAAGTAGCTGGGACTATAGGCACACGCCACCACTCCCAGCTAATTTTTGTATTTTTAGTAGAGATGGGGTTTCACCATGTTGGCCAGGATGGTCTTGATCTCTTGATCTCGTGACCCACCCGCCTTGGCCTCCCAAAGTGCTGGGATTACAGATATGAGCCACCACGCCTAGCAGAGACACTGTTCTGAGCACTTTATCCAACTGTCACCAGGCTAGAGTGTGATGGTGTGATCATAGGTTGCCACAGCCTCGAACTCCTGGGCTCAAGTGATCCTCCTGCCTCAGCCTCCCAAGTGACTAGGACTACAGGCACATGCCGCCATGCCTGGCTAATTTTTGTATTTGTTACAGAGATGCGGTCTCACAGCTGGTCTTGAAGTCTTGAGCTAAAGAGATCCTCCTGCCTCAGCCTCCCAAAGTGTTGGGATTACAGGCGTGAGCCACTGGGCCTAGCCTGTTTACACATTTTAACTCCCTTAATTGTCACAGAAGCCTAAGATATAGATACTGATATGATCCCATTTTACATATGAGGAAACAGAGTCTCCGAGAGTTTAAATAATTAGCTTGAGGAATGGCAATACTGGGATTTGAATCTGGGGTTTAGCTAGCTTCAAAACCTGTGCTCTTAACCGTCACACCCTACAGTGGGGATTGATGAGCTATGGCCTAGGGGCCCAGTCCAGACTTCAGCCTATTGTTTTCTTTTTCTTTTCTTTTCTTTTTTTTTTTTTTTTTGAGATGGGTTCTCTCGCTCTGTGCAGTGGTGCGATCTTGGCTCACTTCAACCTCCGCCTCCCAGGTTCAAGCGATTCTCATACGAGCCTCCCGAGTAGCTGGGATTACAGGCACCCGCCACCACACCCAGTTAATTTTTGTTTGTTAGTAGAGACAGGGTTTCGCCATGTTGGCCATGTTGGCCAGGCTGGTCTCAAACTCCTGACCTCAGGTGATCAGCCCACCTCAGCCTCCCAAAGTACTGGGATTACAGGTGTGAACCACTGCGCCCAGCTGATTGTTTTCATTTTTAAACAAGGTGTCATTGGAACACAGCCACGCCCATTTGCTTCCACACTGTCCAGGTCTTTCCCACTGCAACAGCAGGTTGAATGGTTGTCACTGAGACCCTACAGCCTATTGAGGTGGAAGGATTTGCTCTCAGGGTCTTCACAGGAAAGGCTTCCTGCCTCACCTTCTGGTAGAGCCTTGTGTAGCTTGGCCGTGAAAGAACTTGCGAGTCTCCCACCCCCAACAGGAGGGCCAGTGCTCACACCTGCAGCTGCTGGTGGGATTTTCAGGGAAGGGACACAAAGGGCCAGGCCTGTATCTTTGACTTCAAGGTCTTTGCTTCCGTAGGCTGCTGTCCACCATCACAGAGCCCACCTCGGGTGGGTCCTGCGACGCATCCTTGGCTGAGGAGGCCTCCTCCCTGCCCCTGGTCAGTGAAGAGAGCGAGATGGACAGGAGTGACCATGGGGGCATCAAGAAGGTGTGCTTCAAGGTGGCCGAGGAGGACCAGGAGGACTCAGGCCACGACACCATGAGTTATCGCGACTCCTACAGGTGGGTGTCACCGTCAGGGGGCTGAGGTTAGATGAGGATGGCCCTGGACAGGTGAGGCCACGGACCCGTGGCAACATCAGAATCAGTGGACACTTCTCAGGGTGCAGTGGGCTCAGGGTGCTGTTGCTGATAGCGTGGTTCTGGGGGATTATCTGAGACCCCTGAGCCTGGAAGACCCACTTAGGCTCCCCAGTTGCAAAGCTGACATTTTAGGGTTGTCCCCACGTGGACCCATCTGTTCTGCCTCAGTGTCACCCCACACATGCTGACACGATGTTGTCAGGCACAAGGGCAAGATTCTGTGGTGTGTTTGCAAACTCAGTGTAAGACATACGGTTTCTGAAACAAGCACTATTTATGTTTATTTGGTCCAAGGAGGAAGAGTGCAGTTTTTTCCCCTCCTAACCTGAGAAGATCTAAATTTTCTACTGGTTAATTATAACAAGATCAGTGAGGTCCTAACTAGTTGGTTAAATAGACTAAAACTCAGTTTCCTGTAATAAGCCATATAATGGGTAAGTTTAATTCCTTACTGCAGATAAACCAGCACTGTGGTCCCAGTGAAAGGTGACATCACATTTGCCCATGGTGGTTACAGTGGAATCTTAGAGGGTGCTTCAACTGTTTGTGGGCAAAAATCAGAACTGATACAGTTTGAGAAGGCAGACCTTCCCCCCAGTCCTCGCAGCGTGAATGTTCTTCCAGTCGTCAAGGGATCTGCCTGATCCCCCGTTGGCTGCTCGCCTGGCGTCTGTATCTGGCTGCTGCGGCACTTTGTGCCCCCAGAGCCTCATGTCCATAGTCTCAGATTTTGCCCTCTCTCTGGGATTTCATTCTTACATTTTTGGGTCCTCCAGTTTTTCCTTTAATTTTCAAAAAGGTGAAGGAAAAAATGTCAGGATCCTGGGTTTTGATCTCCCACACCTTCCGAGTTCCTGGGCCGTAGGGAATCCAATCCAGTCCCTGTCCTCATGAGGTTTCCAGCCAGGCTGGGGGCTGAGGAGACGGAAGACAGAGCCCTGTGGAATGGGCAGGTGTCTCAGGGCAAGGCTGTCCCCTGGGGACACTGGACAGAGTGACACCTGCGTGAAAATGATTCACCGTCTTCCTCCTATTTCTGTGTTTCTGTGCTAGAGCCTAGAAACGTTTCCCAGCCCTCAGGCGTGGAAAACCCACCAGGCCGGCCTTCCCTGCCTTTGGGACCCAGGACCGGTGCTCGGTGCCCTCTCTGGGCTGCACGCCCACCTGAGGGCCCAGGGGTTTTGTCTACACTGTAGAAAGTGGGTTTTGGGTGCCAGGACCAGATGGCCTGAGCTCAGGGTGACTCAGCCCCTTCTCTGGGCCCCTTTGCAGCGAGTGTAACAGCAATCGAGACTCGGTCCTGTCCTACACCAGCGTGAGAAGTAACAGCTCCTACTTGGGCAGCGACGAGATGGGGTCTGGTGAGTGGAGTGGCAGCGGCCTGTGCTCAGGGAGAGAGGCTCCTCCCCATGAGATTTAGTTTTAGTTTATTTTATTATACTTTCCTCTGCATTATATTGTTTTGTGTTTTATTGCATGGTCCTGTACTTGATTTCCTTCCATTCAGTCATTCAACAAGTATTTCTTGAGCCCATATTATGTGCTGGGCACTGGGAATGCGGCAGCGAAAGAAACAAACATCTCCGCCCTCTTAGAGCTGATGTTCTCCGTGAATGTCATGGAGATGGAGCAAATGGAAGCATGCACGGTTCAATTCTGTGTACTTCATGTTCGATGAATGTTGTGATGCGTGTGCTGACAACTAAACAGGGTGACCTCATGGTTTATGTAAAAATGATACATGTGTAAACCGAAAATCCAAATGACACAGAGCAGTTCAAAGAAGTACCCATGGCTGAGCGTGGTGGCTCACGCCTGTAATCCCAGCACTTTGGGAGGCCAAGGCAGGCGGATCACTTTAGGTCAGGAGTTTGAGACCAGCCTGGCCAACATGGTGAAACCCCGTCTCTACTAAAAATACAAAAAATTAGCTGGGTGTGGTGGTGCACGCACCTGTAATCCCAGCTATTTGGGAGGCTGAGGCAGGAGAATCACTTGAACTTGGGAGGGGGAGGTTGCAGTGGACTCAGATCATGCCACTGCACTCCAGCCTGGGTGACAGAGTGAGACTCCATCTCAAGAAACAAGCAAACAAACAAACAACAAAAAGAAGTCCATAAAAATGAATGAGAGTCTTATCATCTCCCCCAGAAATGACCCTCGCCAGCATTTGGAGCTCATTGGTGGGGCCTGTGAATGCATGGATGGGCAGGTGGGTGGATGGATGGATAGACAGACATAGACAATATTTTATAAATTAGATCATACTCTACTTACAGCTTTTTTTTTTAAATTTTTTTTTGAGACAGAGTCTCACTCTGTTGTCAGGCTGGAGTGCAGTGGCACGATCTCAGCTCACTGCAACCTCCACCTCCCGGGTTCAAGCGATTTTCCTGCCTCAGGCTCCTGAGTAGCTGGGATTACAGGCGCCCGCCACCACATTCAGATAATTTTTGTATTTTTAGTAGACATAGGGTTTCACCATGTTGGCCAGGATGGTCTTGATCTCTTGACCTTGTGATCCGCCTGCCCCGGCCTCCCAAATTGCTGGGATTAAAGGCGTTACTGAAAGCCTGAAATTGTTTTTTATTTTAGTCTTGTTTACTTCAGACTTTAAAGCAGTTCATTTTGCAAATGGGTTGTGTATCCACATGGTACATAATTCAGAAGGCCCCGGAGGGTGCATGGTGACAAGTCTCCCCCCCACCCTTGGTTCTCAGGCTGTCACTGCTGTTCCCACTGTCACTGCAGTCTTGTGTGTCTTTTCAGAGATAGTCTGTGCATAAAAATTTAATTTTAATTATACTTCAATTAACAGAAGAAAAAGAAGCTCAAGTAAAATGGAAGAAATTGTTGAACTTTAGATACAGATTTCATCACATAAGATAGTCAACTGCACAAACTGTCCCCAGGTGGCTCTAGGAAGGAGTTGGGTGTGACAGCTGATGTAACTGAACCAGCTGGGTGAGGAATCAGGAGACGTGGCCTCCAGGTCCTTTTCTCTGTTCCTCAGTCCCTCATTTGCAGAATGGAAACAGTAGCAGTGCTTTACAATCTTGTCATGCGTTAGTGCCTGTTGTCCATTTTGCAGATGAAGAAACTGAGGCTCAGAGAGGTCAGGTGATTTGCCCTGTGGCTCACAGCCAGGACCTGGTCTTCAGACTCCACATCCCTTGTGGGTTTGGAGTTCTGTAGCTGTATCCCCCTCTTAGGAAAGTGCTGGGGATGGTGTGAGGTGGGGCAGGAATGACTGATGGCTGCTGCTTCTACCTCCTGCCAGGAGATGAGCTGCCCTGTGACATGCGGATCCCATCTGACAAGCAGGACAAGCTTCATGGCTGCCTGGAGCACCTCTTTAACCAGGTAGGACCTTTGCCCCACTCCTGGCGCAACTTTGGGTTCCTCCTGTCACACCTGGGGAGGGCCCATGACCCGGGGGCTGTGGGTCCCAGATGTCTGCAGTGTGTAGGGCCACGGGGCCCAAACCAACCCCAGGCTTCTTGCCACCCAGGTGGACTCCATCAATGCTCTCCTCAAGGGGCCAGTCATGAGCCGGGCTTTCGAAGAGACCAAGCATTTCCCTATGAACCACAGCTTACAAGGTGAGGGGATAGCCAGTCCAAGGTGACAGCCTGCGATGGGGAAGGGTGTTAGACAGGGCGGCGTACCCGGGCTAATGCTCAGCTCTGCCCTCCTACTGCTGAACGACTGTAGGATCATCAGGACAGCGATTTTAGCCCATGGGCCACATCCAGTCCATGACCTGTTTTTGTAGGCTCTGAGCCAAGAATGGTTCTTTTTCTTTTTCTTTTGACCTTTCCCCTTCCCCTCCCCTCCCCTTCCCTCCCCTCCTGTTTCTTTTCCTTCCTTCCTTCCTTCCTTCCTTCCTTCCTTCCTTCCTTCCTTCCTTCCTTCCTTCCTTCCTTCCTCTCTCTCTCTCTCTCTTTCTTTCTTTCTTTCTTTCTTTCTTGTTTTTTGGAGAAAGGGTCTCACTCTATCACTCAGGCTGGAGTACAGTGGTATGATCACAGCTCACTGCAGCCTTGACCTCCCAGGCTCAAGTTATCCTCACAACTCAGCCTCCTAAGTAGCTGGGACTACAGGTGCACGCCACTTCTCCTGGCTAATTTTGGATTTTTTTTTTTTGGTAGAGACATGGTTTGCCTTGTAGCCATGGCTGGTTTTGAACTCCTGGGCTCAAGTGGTCCTCCTGCCTTGGCCTCCCAAAGTGCTGGGATTCCAGGTATGAGCCACTGTGCCCAGCCTTCCTTCATGTCTTTTAAACCATACTCATTTTTTTCTTATTATTGACATCACTTTTTAAAAAGTATCACTCTTAAAAAATTTAATTTTGAAAGGACCTTATTGAACTCCCTATATATGAAAAGCCAGCATAATATGCCAAAATTTGATGATAAACCATAATGATAATGATAAATTAAATGCAAACAACGGCAACGAAATATCATTATACCGCAGTTAGGCACTGTTGCCTGCCAAGGGCTCTTTGTTCTTCATTTAAGAGAGGGATTTGTGAATTAAAGAAGTGTTAAGGGCTTACCAACACCAAATTGAGGCTTTCTTCTTGAAATGATTGAGAGAAAAGGAATTGAAATTTCTTATGTTCTCCCACCTACCTCTCCTCCCATTTACCCACCTACCCACCCTACTCATCCACCCAACCTACTATCCGTGCATCCACCCATCTACCCTCCCACTGTCTATCCATCTATCCACCCATCTATCCATCCACTCATCCATTTATCATCTAGCTATCCATCCATTCACCCACTCAGCCACCCATGCACCCATCAATCCATCCGTCCATCCACCCCTCCACCCAACTACCCACTTACCATCTATCCATCCACCCACCCACCCACCCACCCATCCATCCATCTACCCACCTACCCATCCATCCATCCATCTTCTTGTCTGTCCATCCATCCATCCTTCCCTCCTTCCATCTGTGTGCCCACTCTTTCACCCTTCTACCCATTCATTCATCATCTACCTGTCCATTCATGCTTCTGTACATCCAGTAAATAATTTCCCAGAACCAGCTTGTGCCAGGCCTTGTACTGGGCACTGGAGACCCTGAGATGAATTTGATACTGCCCTGACCTCAAGGAGCTCATTGTAGATTGTAGGAGATAGAAATGCAGATGGGCAGTTGCCACCAAGAGAGGGTGGGAAGTGGTGAGGACTTGGGGCTCCCCAGCTCAGCTGCACATCCTGCTGTCTCAGGATCAGCTTTCAGGGATGGACCTCAGAAAGCAGAAACAGCAAACCCACAAATATCTCAGAAACTGGGACCTTGCAGGAGGAAAGAGCCTTTGTCTTTTGCAGGGGCCTTTTTCTTCCTGGCCTCTGAATGGTGGGGCCAGAGGTAAGTCCCAGCGCTGTCACTGCCCAGTTGCATGACTTAAGGCATGTCACTTTCCCACTCTGTGTGTGGGCTTCCTCCTCTGTGTAGGGAAAGGGATAGAACTCATGTGCCATCTCAATTGGTTGTGGCTATGAGGAGGTAGTTCCTGAGAATCCTTCTGTGGCTACAACATCCAGGCTTAGACGAAAGGAAAGCCGTGATTGATTTGTGAGGTCTGCACTGGATTGGCTATAGCTGTGGGGAGTCTTGGTCTCAGAGCAGCAGGAAGGAGTGCTGAGATTGATGAATAATGCCTGCCATGGGTGTGGTACCATGAAATAGCACACTTACCCTCTGTGGACCCGATAATGCCCAGGAGTCCTGCCAGCTCCCTTGATCTAGGATTATGAGCTCTGGGATCTGTGATGGGACATAGGCCTTTGTGCCACCGTTCTCCAACACTACCTCCGTCCCTTCCCTGGCCCTCATGCCACTTTCCTGCCCCAGAGTTTAAACAGAAAGAAGAGTGTACAATCCGTGGCCGGAGCCTGATCCAGATTAGCATCCAGGAGGACCCCTGGAACCTCCCCAACTCCATCAAGACCCTGGTGGACAACATTCAGAGATATGTGGAAGGTCGGTGGGCAGGGAGGGTGCATCATGGTGGGGAGGGGGCCATGGCTTTTGGTGTGGAACCTGAGAGAATCAGGAATGGATCCAGTTCTGTGACCCCTGTTTCTCCATGACCAGGGAGAGGACAAGAGAAGTGATGCCCT
Organism: Homo sapiens; assembly: GCF_000001405.40. Lineage (NCBI taxonomy): Eukaryota > Metazoa > Chordata > Mammalia > Primates > Hominidae > Homo > Homo sapiens. Next base: position 48,639,625 of record NC_000020.11, on the reverse strand, counting down.
CTCTCAGCTGAGTGTCCTGCCCTGGGCAGGATGTGACTTGAGCCCAGGAGTTTGAGACCTGGGCAACATAGTGAGACCCTGTCTCTATCAAAACAAAAATCAGAAACAAAACAAAACAAAACAAAGCCCTGACTTTGGAGGTTGAAAAGGCTGAACCTGTTCTTTCTCAGCTTCCAAAGCATTGGATGTGTGAGTTCCTGTTATTATCAGGGTATGAGGGACACCGGCTGGCAGCCCACTGACCAGATTCAGGCCCACAGATAGGTTTCGATGCTGCAGCAGCAAAAACTGTGACTCTGCTTCCAGCTTGACAAAGGTTCTCACATAGAAACTTGGATTTCTGGCTGCTCTTGAACAACACGAAGATCTGGTGACTCTAGGCCCAGTCTCCCATCCTCCCTTGGTGGAGAGGAGTGGCGGCCGCTCTGTGTACGTGGGGCCGAGGTGCTTTCCAGTTCACCCCAGTCTCCACCACTCCCTGTGGCTTGGCGTCTGCTCCACGCATCTTACATCACCTGCCTGGCCCTTGCCGGCATTTGCGTCTGAGACTCCTGCGTTAGAAGGATCCGGACGAGGGAGATGTTTGACCAGGACAGTGGGAGATTAGAGGACTCTGGGCTGTTCCCTCGGGGAATGGCAGCCTCTGAGTCGGAGTCTCTGCTGCTTCTGATCTGTCCTGTTCTCCAAAAGTGTAACCAGTGAGGAGCATCGACTCTGGGTCCAGACCACCAGGGCTTGAATCCCAGCTCACCCACTTACTGGCTGTGTGATCATGGCGAGTTCCTTGACGCCTCTGGCCTTAGCTTCTTCCTGTGTCAAATGGGCCCACAGTGCTGCCTCCTTCCCGTGTGGTCAGGAGGATTAAATGAGTCAGCATAGGTCATGCGCTCAGTGCCCTGGCTGCCTGGCGTGGTGACTCCTGGCCTGGCTTCCTGGTGTGGTGAGTTCTGGCCTGGCTGCCTGGCGTGGTGAGTCCTGCCGTGGTGCCTGGCGTGGTGAGTCCTGACAAGAGCGCACCACTGCAGCTGCTCTCGTTCTTACCCTGCCCAGCCCTGAGTCCTGCAGTCCTCCCTGGGGAAGAAGGCACCTAATAAACCAAATCCAAAGCCCTTCCACATCTTTCTAAGCCCTTTTGTGGGCCGAGGAGCATCTTTTTTAAGGAAAGAGAACAGGATGTTGGGCCTGGAAGAATTGAGCTTTTTTTGCAGGACAGGGCGTGTGTAGGGCCATGCCCATGTAGGATGAGAATATGTATGTGAGGCTGTTAGGAGTGTGTGTCTTATGTGTGCACTCGTGTGTCTGTTGTGTGTCTGTGTGGATGTGTGTGTACCTGTGTGTGTACATATGTATGTGAGTCTGCAGATGAGTGCACGTGTGTGGTGTGCACTTGTGTGTCTGCTGTGTGCTTGTGTGGGCGCATGTGTACCTGCGTGTGTACATATGTGAGTCTACGTATGAGTATATGTGTGTGTCTCTGTGTGTGGCATGCACTTGGGTGTCTGTTGATGTGTGAGTGTGTGTGTGTATGGATACGTGTGTATCTAGGTTGTACGTGTGTGTGACCATACTTATGTGAACAAGGTGTGGGGCAGGGGCTGTGGCCCAGGGATTAAAGGGGCTGGTTCCATCTGTGTCCCAGGCTTGCACGTACAGATGGGGCTCACAGTTGGGGTTCCACTGCCTGAGGTCAGGGGTTCCTGGAGTTTACCTGACAATCAATAAAACCTCCTTGAGCACAGCCTTGGGTGCCAGGGCTTTGCTGTGAAGGGTCAGAGCACCTTGGGAGGTGCCATGGGGAGGGGCCCGGTTCTGCCCTCACCTCTTGCTGCCCCCTCCCAGCCCGTCCCCCTTTCTGTCTCCCTTCTCCTTCCAGATGGGAAGAACCAGCTGCTCCTGGCCTTGCTGAAGTGCACAGGTGAGGCCTTTAAAGGTGTGTGGGGGGCACATACCCGGCCTCTTCCACCACCCAAGGCCGACCATCCATGCCCTCGGGGCCTGGACGGGGGGAGGCAACGCTTTGGCCTGGAGCCCCTCCAAGAGCTACTTGAAACTTGCTTCTTCCTCTTGTGTCCAAGGGACAAGTCTCAGGGCACTGGAGCCAGGAGCCCTGTCCTGTGCCACTGCCCAGGCCTGGGTGGATGTTGACGGGGCCCCGGGATAGAGGACGATGTTAGGGGGCCTTGTGCCGGTAGAGCCTTCAGCCCCAGCCTGGGGGCTTCCACCCAGCAGAGAGTGGGGAAGAGGAAGGGGGAGGAGGTAGCGGGAGAATCTTGGAGACCTTCTCTATCCCTGCCTTCTTTCTAGAAATTAGCCAAGGGGGTGCTACTGCAGGATCTGGGTCAAATTTGGTCACTAAAAAACTCACTGGCCAGAAGCCGGCCATTGGAAATAATTCCTTCCAGAAGATTGGGACCCTGAGAGACCAATTGCTTGAAACTGGCCAGTTCTTCAGACCATGCCAAGGTCAAGGACAGGGGCAAGGGCAGAGGTGGGGGAAGGAAGAAAGCATAGTTCTCCAAAATAGAGAAAATGCTAAACTGCATTTCTGAACATGTGCAGCTTGGCAGAAGAGCTTAGCACCATTGGCATTCTACTGGCCAAGGCCAAGGAATCCCATAATGAGAGGAGAAATGGCTGAGGGTGAGGGTCTTGGGAAACCCTTAGGAAAATCACAAGATGTTTGTTTGTTTGTTTGGTTTTCAAAGCAGGCAGATGAGTCACTGAGAGAACAGTTTTGGCAAATGGGCTTGCTTTTCGTAGAATTGATTTTTGTGGAATTGGCTTTTGGTGGCTGGGATGTCCACCAAAAAGTAATTTCTGGCCTGATGTTAGCCCTTTGCTGGGGGTTCCATGAGGGGTCCTGGACCCAGGGTTTTGGGGGGTGGGCCTCCTGGTGGCACGGGAGCGCCCCTCCAGCAAGGCCTCCTGCCCTCTGCCCCCAGACACGGAGCTGCAGCTGCGCAGAGACGCGATCTTCTGCCAGGCCCTGGTGGCCGCCGTGTGCACCTTCTCCAAGCAGCTGCTGGCGGCCCTGGGCTACCGCTACAACAACAATGGCGAGTACGAGGAGAGCAGCCGCGACGCCAGCCGCAAGTGGCTGGAGCAGGTGGCGGCCACGGGCGTCCTGCTGCACTGCCAGTCCCTGCTCTCGCCAGCCACAGTGGTGAGTGAGTGGGGCGGGAGGGCGGCCCCGCTGGCCCACCCACTGGTGCCCGCCCAGGCCGGGTCGAGGGAGCCCTTGCCCACTTACTCAGGCTCCCCCTGGCCTCGTCATTCCCGCAGCAGCTATTTGTTGAGCACCTGTGTGCTGTTTTATAGGCACTGAAGGTCCAGCAGTGAACAAAACAGAGTCCCTGTACCCAGGGATCTTCTGTCCCAGTGGGAGGGAGGGAGGCACACACACACAGATAACAGAATCCATGCTACAGACCAGCGGCTCTCAGCCCAGGGCAGTTTCCCCACTAGGGGACACTTGGTAATGTCTGGAGATGTTTTTGGTTGTGACAACTGAGGGCCTGAGGTGGGAGTGGGGTGGTGGAAGCCAGGGATGCTGCTGGACATCCGGCCAGGACCTGAGAGTCACCAGTGCCTCTGAGGTTGGCTCCTGGAGCCCCTGCTGCTGGCTGGTGGGGAGGCCTGGCCTTGGAGCGCCCTCTGCTGGCTGCTGCTGCACAAGACGCCTGCCTGGCACAGATTGGCCATCACTTGATTCTCAGAATGCACAACCTGGGGCCCAGGGAGGAAGCAGGGAACACTCAGCCCTCCCCTTCCTCTTCTCACATGGGGATGCTGGGCCAAGTTCCTTCATTCTCCAAACACCACGATGTGCCAGGCCCTGAGCTGGGAGCTGGGGGCCTGAAGCTGACTTCCTAGTTGGGGGAAGCAGCTTGAGAAGAAGAAAGGACAGAGGAGGGAAGGAAGGTGGGGAGAAGGCAATCTCTACAGGAAGCTTGGCGGGCACTGCAGCTTCTCTGTCAGAGACAGCCTGTGTGAGGTGGTGACGCTTGAGCTGAGACCTCAGCCAGCCAGGCAGACAGTGTGAGGAAGAGTGTGCGGGGTAGAGGGACCAGCATGTACAAAGGCCCCGAAGAGTGGCTGGTGTGACCAGAGGGGAGCGGCAGGGGCTAGGGAGATGTGGGGACCAGTTCTGTAGGGCCTGAGACTTTAATCTGGAAGCAGTGGAGGGTTCAGAGGCTTGGAGCTGGGTGAGTGATATAATTTGGGTTAAGTTTTCAAAACATGACTTGTAGGATGTATTGTTTGGGGGCAGAGAGTGGCAGAAGGGAAACCTGGTGTCATCTTGACAAGAGATGGTGGACCCTTGAACCTGGGTGGTGGCCAGGAAGCTGGAGGGAGATGGGTGGGTCTGGAGGATGTTTTAGTGTCACCCCATCAGACTTGGTGATGGACCAGGCCCAGGGTGAGCGGGAGAGAAACTGAGAAGTCAAAGGTTTGGATCTTGGATGACCGAATGAACGCTGGTGCTATTTGCTGACATGGGACCGACTGGGGGAGGTTGAGGAAGGAATTGGGGACTTTTATTTGAGTGTGTTAGGCTCAAAAAGGTTAAGTTAGAAGCCTGGTTGGTGATCCAGGCAAGAGAGGCAGTGACTTTACTAGGATCACTCAGTGAATTAAGGCAGAGATGGGTTCTATGACCCTTGAAAGTGCAGGACAAGCCACAGAGCACACCATGATTTCACATCCACTCTGGAGAGTCACGCTCAGGACCTGGCACCCAGGGGGCCCACAGTGTGGAGTGCCGACTAGAGTTGAATTCAGCATCTTGATAGGAAACCCTGGGGCAGGGTTGGCATCTGAGACTCCTCCGCGCTGTCTTCTTCCTGCAGAAGGAGGAACGGACCATGCTGGAGGACATCTGGGTGACGCTGTCAGAGCTGGACAATGTCACCTTCTCCTTTAAGCAGCTGGACGAGAACTATGTGGCCAGTGAGTGATTTCTCCCATCCCCCACTGTGAGAGGTGGGGTCCTGGGGTGGAAGGGACAGCTCTCTGGGGTCACCCTGTCCTTCCCCTGCCTCTGGGCCAGCTGCCCAAGGTGGGCTCAGTACTCAGTGCTGTCAAACCTCATGCCTCCAACATGAGTGTGAGAGCCGAACTTTGGGGCACACATGGAAAAAGAGGGGTTTCTTTTTGTATGAACCCGGCTATTTCCAACAGCTCTTAAAAGAGAATGACACTGGTACCCAATTCTTAATAAAATTATTCCCTAGAGATGTGAAAACTTAAGATTTTTAAAGGGCTTAAATAAGTACCATAATTAAGTTCCATCCTCCCTTCCTCCCTTGCTCGTGTCCTCACCTCTCCTTCCTCCACGCTTTCTCCCCTTTCTCCCTTTTTCTTTCTGTCTTTCTCTCTGTGTCTATTTTCCACCCATCCTTCCACCTGCCCACCCATTTATTTATCCATCCATCCATCCATCCATCCATGCATCCATCCATCCATCCATCCATCCATCCACCCACCCATGTGTCCATGCATCCATCCATCCAGGCATCCATGCATCCATCCATCCATCCGTCCATCCATCCATCCATCCCACTCATCCATCCATCCATGCATCCATTCATCCATCGATCCATCCAAACATCTGTCCATCCATCCATCCATCCATCCAACCATCATCCATCCGTCCATCCATCCATCTATTTACATGTCCATAATTTTGAGCACATAGTATATGTCAGGCTGCGTTTTGGGCCATGTAACATGGTCCTCATTCCTACCCTCCTGGAGCTCATAGTCTAGACCAGTGCGTCTCAGCCCTGCTTGCACTCTGGAATCATTGAGGGAACTTTGCAACGATCCCAGGGCCCTGGGCCCTAGCGATTCTGATCGGTTTGTGGGGTGGGGTCTGGGTGCTGGGTAGTCTGGATGTGCAGCCAGGGCTGGGAACTTCTGGGCTTGCTTCTGAAAGCAGGGGTTCTCAGAGCGTGGCCCCTGGACCAGCAGCACCTGGGGGCTTGATAGAAAGGCATATTCTCCGGCCCAGCCAGAACTACGGCCTCAGAAACTCTGGAGGTGGAGTCCAGAGGCCTGTATGCTGAAAGCCCTCCAGGGGCTTCTGAGGCATGTGGGTTTAATTAGGAACCAGGCACTGGATTAGTGTTTCTCAGTTTTTTCATTTCATTAGATTTTATTTAATTTCATAAAAAACCTTTTTAGTCAATTTTTCCTAATTGCTGCACCCCCATGAAATTATACTACTACGGGTATACCCTGTGTCTGTTTATCTGTGCATCTGTGCTTATTATACATTAAAAGAGGAAAGTGTTTTCATTCTCCTTCCCACGAGCCAGTTTTCACCTCCTTGGGGACAGTGTCTCTCCTGCTGAAAATGCATGGACTAGAGTCTAGATGAAGGGCAGGTTCTCTTTGAGTAGCAATTGGAATTGATAGGCAGCAGCAGCTGCCTGTCTCCAGGCTGAGATTGGCTCGGGCAGAGCTTTGATCGATGAGTGATGTCTGCCATGGGTGCAGGATGGGGTCTGGGTGCCATATTTTGCACCCCCTGCCCTAAGCGCTTCCTTCTGGCTATGAATCAGATGTATACCCTGTTTGAGGGCAGCTTTTCCCAGGCAGGGGCCATGGGCTACCGGGTGAGGGTACAAGGAGCGCTGGGGAAGCTCTGACCCCAAATGCTGTGGACCCCCTAAGTAGGCAGAGTCCGCATCAGGTTCAAGAATTAAGCAGCGGAACTAGGAGCTGATGAAGCAGGCGAAAGGGAGGTGTCAGCTGCAGTTCTTCGGAGAGTGAGAGGGAAGGGCTGCTGGAGGCTGTCCCTAGAGGGCAGGAGGGCAGGGAGGTCTGAGGCTACCCCTGTAGAGTCGGGAGAACAGGGAGGTCCCAGGGTGCCCCCCTGGACCTGGGGGCAGGGAGGTGCCAGCTGTTCTGGAGAGGTGTGCCAGGGCTTCCCCTGGCCTTGGCCTCGGTGGTGAGTCATCCTGCCCCATATCCTTCCGCAGACACCAACGTCTTCTACCACATTGAGGGCAGCCGGCAGGCGCTGAAGGTCATCTTCTACCTCGACAGCTACCACTTCTCCAAGCTGCCCTCCCGCCTGGAGGGTGGGGCCAGCCTGAGGCTGCACACAGCGCTGTTCACGAAAGGTGAGCTTCAGGCCTGGGGCAGGGAGGACCACGGGGGCCGGGCCAAGGCCACCAAGCACACCGGCTCCCAACCGCCTGCCCGCCCCCGACATCTCCCCTCCCAGTGCTGGAGAACGTGGAGGGGCTGCCTTCTCCAGGCAGCCAGGCCGCGGAGGATTTGCAGCAGGACATCAACGCGCAGTCCCTGGAGAAAGTTCAGCAGTATTACCGCAAACTCAGGTATCCGCCTGGGGTCCCCGTTGGGGGCAGGAGTCAGGAAACCTCCACGTGGAGTGGGCATTAGCATGGAAGGTGCCAGGCGGACCCCCAGCATGGGCAGTGGGCCGCACACCCTTTCTTGAGCACCTTCTGTGTGACAGCACTCTTGCCTGCGTGAGATTCTCAATGGCAGCAGGCCATGGATCCCACTTTACAGAGGAGGCGACTGAGGCCCAGAAAGTGTACACACTTGCCCAAGGTCACACAGCCAGGCAGTGGCTGAGCTTTGAACTGGGGTCTGTTTGGTTTCAAAGTGGGTCTTTCCTACTGAGAGGAGCCGGCTTCATTCTACAGAGGGTGGGAGCTAGGACAGGGGACCTTGGGACTCTTGGGCCTGTGAGTGAGGGGTGCGGCTCCCAGGGTCTTGGCTGCTCAGAAGAGAACCCCAGGGGAGGAGGGGTGAGAGCAGGAGCCAGGTATCACCAGGAGGAACCACAGGTTCTGGGAGGCAGCTTCTAAGTTCTGCAGCTCCCACTCCTACCACCCTCCCCCACAGCCCTTCCTGCGTGTGTCTCACCACCTCCCTCTGTGACAGAGGCAGGCCGAGAATTAAGACCCCAGGGAGATGAGTACGGGTCTGGGCTTCATCATTTGGAAATGAGAGAATGAGGCTTCATTCGTTTGCTCAGAGAAAGCATCCAGCCCAGTTACTGAAAACTGGCATCTGTTTGGATTGATCAGGGCTGTCATCAGTCTGTTCTGCGCCATCTGTGGAATACTCTGAGTCCTGCCTGTGTGATGATTCATTCATCCCTTCATTCACACATGTTGAGGCCTTCTGCGGGCCGGGCACTGTTCCGGGTGCTTGTTTGGGAATGTGCAGTGAGCAAAACAAAGTCCTGTTCTTCATGGAGCATATATTCTAGAGCAGGGGTTGTCAAAATCTGGCCCTCCTTGTCTCCCTGTTTTGTAAATAAAGTTTTATTAGCACACCTGCATTCACTCATTTTCACATCCTCTGTGGCTGCTTTTGTGCTGCAATGGCAGAGCTGAGTGGCCGCGATCGAGACTTTCCAGTGCACAAAGCATAAAATGTTTACCGTTGGGCTCTTCACAGAAGAAGTTCGCTGACCCCTGTTCTGGAGGGGGAGACGAACAGTAAACCAGTAAGCCCAGAGCCATGAGATGCCAAGTGGTGAGAAGTGCTCAGAAGAGAGAAAAAGCAGGACCAGGGCCTGGGGAGCAGAGGGCTGGGGGCTGCTGTGGACGGGCAGGCAGGGAGGGGTGGCATTGGAGGAGTGCTCAGGAGGCCCCTCTTTCCCCCCCGGCTGTTGTAGGAACAGGTGCCTGCGGGTGAGCACAGCCTGCAGGCGCTCTCAGGGATTTCATTCTGAGAGTCGGCAGAGGGCGGAGTCACGGTGGCTGCAGGAGTTGAGACCTGGGTAGGGGCAGGAGGATGGTGGGTGTGGTGGCCCCCGCCTCATTCCCATCTTTCTCTCGCAGGGCATTTTACCTGGAGCGGTCTAACCTGCCCACGGATGCCAGCACCACGGCGGTAAAGATAGACCAGGTATGTCCACGTGCCCTCCTGCTGCAGGGAGCTTGGGCAGGGTGGGGCGCTCAGGAGTCAGGACTCAGCAGACAGGCCCAGGGTTGTGCCCCAGCAGATTCTAGCCCCAAAGCCCTTGAGACCCTGCAGTCTCTCCTCCTCCAGGAAGTCTCCCATGATAGCTTCCTCCCCATTCCCAACTTCCTGGGATGATTTATTTTCGCTGGCAGCCGCCCATCTCTGCCACTCCAATCCGCCTTATTAACCACAGCATTTCTCTGAGGCTGGAGCCTGGACCTCATGACAGATGTAACCTGTATGGTATTCTTTTTGTTTATGTGTTTCAAATTTGCTGTCAACCTTTAGAAATCAAAAGATTTCCCATAAAAACAGAGGCTTCCAGCTTTTCTGGAGGAATGGGAAGATCTGGCTGTTGGGGACCATGTTGCCACATGTCCCCGTTGCTCCGAGCTGGGAGCAGCTCCCTCTGAGGGGCCTCGATAGTTCGGCTCCTTGGGCTCCTTGCCTCTGACCCTCAACACATGTCTTTTGGCCTCCTGGTTTTCTAGGGTCAGGCAGGCCTTGAATGTGCTGATGATTTTGGGGTGCTGTCTTGGGGCTGTGAGCTGGGGGCTCCGGGAGGAGGGTGGGCACAGCCGTTTGGGACTTTCCACTCTGGCTGGCAGAATGTCCCCGCAGCACAGCTCGTTAGTGAACCACCCCTTGCACCTCCACGTGGGGGTCAGGGAATGCTGGGGGCAGAAGGGAAGGCTTTTTCTGGAGAGGGGGCGCTTGTGTTGGTCTTGACAGGCTGGGAGAGGGCACTTTCTTCAGGCTTCACTGGGGACACACCTGGGCAGGTGAAGAGAATTAGGTTGGAAGGTTAGACCTGAAATATATGGTCAACACTGACTGCCAGCTTGTAGGGCAGTGGGGAGCCACAGAGGGTTCTTGAGCAGAGGTTATAGAAGATTGAATTGCATTGTTATCCCCAGAGGGGTGAGCTGGGAGGCAGCTGCAGGAACAGCTGGATTAGAAGGATATGGTGGGGGAGGAGGGCCAGATGGGGGCTGAGGGGCTGTGAGGACCTCCTCCAACTCCCCGGTTATGTGTGGTACCCCCTACAGCTGATCCGCCCCATCAATGCCCTGGATGAGCTCTGCCGCCTCATGAAGTCCTTTGTCCACCCAAAGCCTGGTGCTGCTGGGAGTGTGGGCGCCGGCCTCATCCCCATCTCCTCGGAGCTCTGCTACCGCCTGGGGGCCTGCCAGATGGTCATGTGTGGCACAGGCATGCAGAGGTGAGCTGCTGCCCGCTGAGTCGGGGTGTGGGGAGGGGCTGGCCTAGCTTCTGGTCAGTTTGGGGTCCTGTGGCAAGGAGGCAGGAAGGCTGGGTTCCAATCCTGGTTCTGCCATTGCCTGTAGAGCCTTGGCTCTGTCTGCACCTCAGTTTGTCTGTCTGTGAAACGGAATGGCAGCAGCAGGTGGTCCTAGCAGGGCTGTGGAGCCACCTGCTTCTCTAACGCCGTAGTGAGTGTGTGTGAGAGCTGTGCCCTGTAGTTCCGCCGGAAGCCTCCTTCAACATTAACAATAGCAATGGCTGGTTTATGGGGCCTGCTGACCTCACTGGAGGCTCCCCTGCCTCCTACCTCCATCCTTTGTCCCCAGTGCTCATCCCAGGGAGGAAGAGGTCACCTTCTCCAGAGTGCTTCCTGACCTTCCGTTACAAACTGTGCCCACTCTCCCCACTCAGTGCCCTCCCAACCCTCTCTTCCTCTGCAGCCCTCACCCCCACTCCCCAGACAGCCTTCATTGGGGTATTTATTTCCTCCTTGGCTCCCTCAGGGCAGGGCTGGATCTGGGAGGGCAGGGGCCCCTTTTGTTCTCTGCTGTTCCCCAGAGGCTAGAGCAGTGCCTGGCCTGAGACAGGTGCTCAAGAAACATTTGCTGAATAAATGTTTCACGGGGCCAGTGCTCTCTGCCTCCTAGGTCATTGACGTTCCATGCAGATTAACTCCTTTCCGTCTTTCTCTACCAGTGCAGTAGTGGGGCCTATTTTAGGGGATCTCACCTAGGGGCAGTTTTATCCCCGGGGAACATTTGGCAATGTCTGGACACATTTTTGGTTGTCACAACTTAGGGGAGGGAGGAGCTCCTGGCCTTTAGTGGGTAGAGGCCGGGATGCTGCTCAGCTTCCTGTGGTTCCCAGGACAGCCCCTCCAGCTGGGCCAGGTCCTCTGTGCACCACCATGCTCCCTGTTTCATAGTTAATAGTATAGGGAGGCTGAGGTTAACTCAGCTACCCAGGGTCACAGAGGAGTTACATGGAGGGACAGGATTGGAATCCTAGAGGTCTTGCTGCAGAATCCACGTTCTAGAACTGTTGAGAAACCCAGAGAGGTGTGAATCGATGTGTCCATCTCAAACCCCACGGAGCCGACAAGTCGTGAGGCTCCCAGGGAGTCCCCCACTCACTCAGCAGATATTTACCGAGTCCTCCTCTGAGCGAGGCACTGGGAATGTCACAGGGAACTCAACAGGGCTTCTGCAGACGGGGAAGCACCAGAGTGCCTGCCAGTGAGGGTGGTGGCTGCCTGGAGGAAGAGGAGCAAGCGGGGAGGGACGGCAGGAGGAGGCGTTGCCGTGATGGTCAGGATTGGGTCTGGGAGGCCTCGGAGGGACAGGAAGTTGCCCCAGCTCTCACCCACTGTCCTCTGACTCCCGCTGTCCTCCCCCGACCCCTGTCCCCCCACCGCCAACCCGCTGTCCTCCCTCCCCTGCTGCAGGAGCACCCTGAGCGTGTCCCTGGAGCAGGCGGCCATCTTGGCACGGAGCCACGGGTTGCTGCCCAAGTGCATCATGCAGGCCACGGACATCATGCGGAAGCAGGTGAGGCCGCTTGGCCACAGGGTCCTCCAGCACCCTGGGCTGAGGGCGTGGCATGCTTGCAGCCAGGGTGGGATGAGGGGCTGGTAGCCACCAGCCCCAGACCTGAGCCTTCTCTGAATCTGGAGGGGAGCAAGGATCTTAGCTTCTGGGTCCTTGGGCTTCTGGGCCCCACCCCCACCCCCCAGTGTGCTTCCTCACGTGCCCTGAACCTGCAGAGGCCCCTGCCTGATGGTTCCTTCTTCCAGGGCCCAAGGGTGGAGATTCTGGCCAAAAACCTGCGAGTCAAGGACCAGATGCCCCAGGGTGCTCCGCGGTGAGTGGCTGCCTCGTCCGCCCCTTCCTGTCCACTCCCAGCTGGCGACCCAGGCCTGGCTTTGGCATCATGCTCCTGGCCTAACCCCTAATGCTCAGATGGGGCTTCCCCTCTCATTTATGGGGAACCTCTTTGAGGAGCAACAGACACAACTTTGTCACCTCCCAAAGGAGCTCCTGCTCCCACCGGGAAGATGAGCCCCCAGGTGTGCCGTGAGGCGGTGACTCTATGAGATCCTCCCACCTCACTACACTGTGCCCTCAGCCCCATGCCCTCTCAGCCCTGAGCCCCCGCCCCGTGCCCTCCACCCTGTGTCCCATGCCATGTGCCCCCCACCCCGTGCCCCCTACCCTGAGTCCCTGACCCCTGAGCGGCTCGCTTTAACCTGGGGTGGAATTAAGAATTCTGTGATTTTAGCTGATCCAACCTAAGCTAACCTTTTAGCCATTTACAGAAATGCGAACTGAACAGCAGCCTGGGCCCAGGCCTGCGATGCCTGATTTGCAGGAATGCTCTCTGTTCCTGCCGTCTTTGGCATGGGGAGTGCTGTTTCCTCCTGTCCTCCCACCCTGCCCTCTCTTCATGTGGTTTTCAGTCTTCCTCTTGGTGCCACATGTAGGCCCTTTAGGATCATGACGTTGTTTCCGTCTGATCCTCTCTCCATCTCCACAGCCCTAGTTTGCTGTCGTCATCTGCCCACAAGTTTTAAATAACTCTTGTTTTGAAATAATGTGACTCCCAAGAAGTTGTAAAAATAGTCCACAGTTCCATGGACCCTTCAGGCAGCTCCCCGCCAGCGGCAACGTCTTACGTAACCACAGAGCGCCGGCAACACCTGCTGCCAGTGGTGACGAGAGTCACTGTGCGTGCTGTGGCGCTGGGGGCTCCACACACACCTTGTTTGTGTCTCACGAGTGGCACGTGGTTCCTTTCAATACCTTCACGGCCTTTGCCCTGTGCCACGCACTGTCCAATTGCTTCCCCTCTGTGGACTCATTAATCCAAACAGCTGCCCTGTGAGCCAAGTCCGGCTGTCATCCCCACTTGGCAGGTGGGGACGCTAAGGCACAGAGAGGTTAAGTATCTTGTCCAATGTCACACAGCTAGTAAATGGAAAAGCTGGGATTCTGAACCCAGGCAGTCTGGGCGTGGAGTCCGAGCGCTGACCACATCAGACCACATGTGCAGCATTGCAGTCTGCTTGCCCTGGACACCACGCAGCCTCCTGTCTGGTCCCCCGGCTCCAAAACCATCTCTGCATATAGAGTTTCCCAGGATAGAGCAAGTGAAACTGCGTAAGGGGCAGAGTGCTGTGGCCATCTGGCCCCCACTAGTGTGGAATGTGCACCCCACCCCCACATGGCTGAACGCACACGTGCACCTGTAGACACGTCTTCATTTGTAAATGCCAGTCTCTGAGTGGGCAGAGACTGCCTGTGGGTAGGGGCCTGGCAGTCAGCAGAAGGCATGGACAGCATAGATATTTTTCTCTGCATCTTTTATATACCTGTGAGTTTGGGTTTCTGGGCATGAATTACATGTTCAGGTAAAAATGGAAATAATACAAATAGGTCCTGGCCCGCCCCGGCCTCTCCTCATTCTCTTTGCCTCCATCCCCAGCCTCTACCGCCTCTGCCAGCCGCCGGTGGATGGGGACCTCTGAACACCCAAATGCCCCACGCTGGGCCGCGGCCTCTGGAGCTGGGATTTGGGAGGACACAGCAGGCAGCGCTGGCCTTCTCCAGGGATGGCCCAAGGCTTCCGCAGCCGCCCGTTCCGGGACCTGCCCAGCGTCCTCCCTGCCTCCTTCCGGGACAAGCCTGGCCACCCTCGCTGTGATGACGAGCTGGCTGATTGGCCCTGGGCCGGCCCATTCTTCACACGCCTGCCAGAAGCTGGAGGGGTGCTGGAGACCCATAGAGCTGATGGGAGCAGCTGGTGCCTGGCCTTCGGCTCCTGCGTCCCCAGAACCCAAGGGAACGTCATGGAGGCCACATGGGGCCACCCGGCTCCCTCGGGATGGCTCCGCCTGCACTTTTGAAACCCCGGTTTCCTTCAACGTCCACATTCCAGGTGACCACACGTGTCTCCTCCTCCTCATCTTAGCTTCCAGGTTCACCCTAACCCTGTACTAACCTGCTTGGTGGACTTGGAAAAGACTTGGCTCTGTCGGGAAAGGAGAGACGGGGCCTCCATCACGCCTGTTACCAGAGGATCCCCGAGAGCCACACCAGCTCTGGACATCACCGCCCCTGGAACTGGGGCCACCAGCCCTGGGCACGAGATTTGCTCTGACTTTATTTATATGGCATGAAATCTCTGGTTTATTTTGGGATTTTTTGTTGTTGGTGTTGTCAAAGTTTGTTTTTTCTAAAGTTGTGTGATTATATATTTGACATTTTACATTTCAAAGAAAGGTATGTTGTCTAACAGGGGACCAACAGAAGGTAGTATTGACAACTGTTCCTGCTTCTACTAAAAAAAAAAGAGCACAAAAGAAAAACTAAATTATTGAAAAATTAAAAAATGTCATTGTTTCCTGTTTGTTAATATTAGGGTTGTAAGGTGTCGTTTTGAGGTATCGACTGTGATTCCTTCCCCCACCCTCCATTCTCCAGCGGTTGGCCGGTGTTAGAACTCGCTCTCTTTGAGTGACTGGCTACAAGGGCCTGAGAGGTGGCCAGCCAGGGTTGGAGCTGGAGGGGATGGAGCCCCACCTGAGGTGCCGTGTCACACGGGTTAGAGGGTCACTGGGAAACACCGGGCGGTGGCTTCTGTGATTTATTTTCTTGATGGTAACTTCTCAGAGCAGGGCGATTGGGACATCACCAGCCAGAGCACAGGAAGCCACCCTGCCTGCTGGGGAGGAGGGACCCACACAAGCCCCCTCGGCAGTTTGTCCCCCCAGCTTCGGTATGCCTTCAGGGAAAGGTCACAGCTGGGGAGGAAGCGGGGGGACGCCTGTCACCCCTGGCAGGTGGTGAGTTCAGGTGGGGGCTCCCTGCTGCCCCCAGGCCTGGGAGCTTGAAGCCCTCCCGGCATCTGGCATCCGAGCCTCCCGCCCTCCAGGGTGCGCTTCCCTCTCTTGCCGCAGCATACACGAGGGCAGGCAGTGGCCTTGTCACTGTATCTTGCATCAGAGACAAAGGAGGACCCGCTTTAGCCCTGCTGCGGGAAATGGGGGAGGGCCCAGGGCCAGCGCATTGTGCACTGGTTTACTTTAAAATGTACAGATTCTTCTCGTTAAATTCTTGATAGATTTTTTATTATTATTAAAAGTCAGTTTATAATACAAAGAACGAGGCTGTGATCTGCTTCATCTGCGGTGGGTGGCTTGGGGGGTGGGTGCGGCCGGGGGCACTAGGGGATGAGCTCGCGCTTTAAAAGCCTCATGGAGGACAGTGCTGATCTCTGCATCGGGGCCTTGAACCAGCGACCCCGAAGTCAGTGATGTTTTCACTCTGTGCCTCAGTTTCCTCCTTGATAATGGGGCGATGCAGCTTCTCTCGCGGGGTGATTGCTGAGGACGACCCGAGGTTGCACGGATTGCCTGCAACCCAGGTATACAGGAAAATAACAGGCCTTATTTGATATTTCAGCTTTTTTCCCCCCTGGATTCTGAGCTCCCATTTCACTGTGAAGGTAGGAAAAAGTGACTGTTTTCCCAGGAATTCCACACCTCCTCCTGGGTGGCTTACTTGTGCTGAGGGGACAGTGTGGATCCAAGGGGTGCCATAGAATCCTCCTCGCTCCAACCTGCAAGGCCTGTTGGATCCAGGCGGGAGTGGAGTTCAAAATACCCACAACATGGTCGTGCCGGACCCCCAGTCAGCCAGAACTTACGCTGGCCACAAACAGGCCTATTGGGCAGACGTGAAATGCACCAATGAGAATAGAGAGTCTGCGTGCACACCTGGGCCTGGTGGCTGCATCCTAGGCTGTCAGCAGGTTCTCCACCTGCCTGGGCCCAGGTGATCTTTATGAAGCTGCCTGGGTTTGTTTGCATAGTCAGAGAAACCTCATTCCCTGGGCTGCAGACCTGTTCTGCTGTGCCAGCCCTGTGCCCCCTCGTCCTTTTTTTTTTTTTTTGAGACAGGGTCTTTTGCTCTTATCACCCAGGGTAGAGTGCAGTGGCGCGATCATGACTCACTTAAGCTTCGACCTCCTGGGCTCAATTTATCCTCCCACCTCAGCATCCCAAGTAACTGCAACTACAGGCACGTGCCACCACGCCTGGCTAATTTGTTAAATTTTTTGTGGAGACCAGGTTTCAGTATGCTGCCTACCAAGTAGCCTGGACTACAGGCACACACCACCATGCCTGGCTAATTTTTAAAAATTTTTATAGAGACCGGGTTTCGGTATGTTGCGTATGGCCTCTTCTTTATTCCATCTTTTCCCGATTTCCAATCCTTTGGAAAATGCTGAAATCGATGACAGTTTCCTCTGGGTCATGGCCACCCTTGGGACTCCCCTGTACCATGGTGCTGCACCCAGCCCTGCCATTTCACACTCGAGCCCCTTCTCTTTCAGTCTCTTTTCCTTCCAAACTAACCTGTTGCAGATTACATTCTCTGAAGGCCCAGATTGGATCCCTCCCAGAGAGAGATCCTCGCGTCTCTCAGTTACAGGTTTCAAAGGACTCAATACTCTAACAGGCAAGAGGGAATCCTGGTGGGGTTTCAGGCACAGTCATGGATTGATTATTTAGAATTATCTGAGGCCAGTGTTTGGATCCAGGGAAAATCACTTCGAGGGAAGACCTGTTACCTCAATCTATATTTGAGGTCAACAGGGAGGATTGGACGTCTTCCTTCAGGCAGACACGTTTCTAGAAAGCATCGATTTCAGCCTCTCCTCCACCCTGGGGGCCCGCAGAAGGAACATACATTCTCCTGGGGCCGTAGGCAGGAGCAGCTTGGGTTTCCAGCCGGCTCTCTGTGGCCTTGAGCAAGTTGCATACTTTACAGGCTCAGAGCTGTGCTTGCAGAGTTGGGAGGGAGAGCCGGGCCCACCTCCCTCTCCGAGATGTGTTTCTCCAAGTATAAAACTAAGCACGAAGGGCCTCTCAGAGCAAGCGGACATTTTTGCAGGAGACAAGAGGTCTCAAACTGATGGCTCCAGGCTGAAACTTGGAACTAAATGTGGGTTTTTTTTTTTACTTCCTTCCTGATATGGTGTTTTAAAAAAATGAATTATATTTATGAACCAGCAAATTTCATCTCTGAATTCTGATTTTTAGTTTGTCTCGAAAATCAGAAGCTCTGAGCTGGGTGTGGTGGTGCGCACCTGTGGTCCCAGCTACTTGGAGGCAAAGGTGGGAGGATTGCTTGAGACCAGGAGTTCAAGGCTGTCGTGCGCTTTGATCACACCTGTGAATAGCCAACTGCACTCCAGCCTGGGCAACGTAGTGTGGTCCTGCCTCTTAAAAAAAAGATTAAAGAAAAAATCAGAAGCTCTGGTCACACTGGTCCACATTCCCACCTGGCTACATGTCAGCTGGAGCTGAGGAGCGGCTGTCTTCTTGAGGAGGGTGCCAGCTCTCCAGCTCCCCGGAGCCACGTGGTCCGAGCACTCATCCGGCCTGCTCACGCTGACGGCCAGATCCTTAGCTCTGGACTTGCCATGGCGATGTCAGCTCGGGGAGGACCTGGTGACCCGGAGTCACTGTGCCGTCCAATGGAGAATCAAGGGGCAGGCGCAGCCCCGCATTGACGTCTCTCGGAGCCTCTCCTTCTCTGCTCCTCCAGGATGAGGGCAGGGCCCAGGTGGTTGAATTCCTCTGAGCCTCAGTTTTTTCATCTGTCAAAAGGTGCTGACCCAGAGATGGCCCCTTGGCGTGGACTGCAACAGAGGCCACCCAGGAAGTGGAAGGTACGATGGGGTGTGTTGACCGCTTTATGATTTTATCTAAATAACTGTTGGTGTACTTCCTGTCCACCTTCCCCCCAGCAGTAAGAGCAGGAACCACACCCCTTCCATACTGTAGCCCAGGGCCAGACAGTGGTGAATCACGGCTAAATATTAATAGAAGAAAGCAGGGTTAGCACAGTGATCAGAGCGGGGGGCGCAAGCCACACCCATCTGTGGCCAAGCGGGCCCCTCTAACCTCTGTGTCTGCCACGTGGGTTCATTCATGGGGGGCTGGACTAGGACCTTTGAAGTCAGACACCCTCGCCTGCTCCTGAATCTGTCAACACCTGATACTTGCTGAGTGGCCATATCTGAGATTCTCTGTCTTTCTGGGACCCTCAGCTTCCTTCTTTGAGAAATGGAGACTTTACGCCCACCTGGCTGCCTTGCGGGGGTACCAGGAGTCTCCTCCAGGGCCCCAAAGTGGAACTTCCCGGGATAAGTGTAGTGCCCTGTCTGTCCAGCAGGTGGTGCTGGGGACCGCGTAGTGCCCAGAGGCTGCTGTTCCCCGGGCTCCAGCACTCAGACCGAAGGCTGGCTCCTGGGTGCAGGTATTTGGGACAGAGCCAGCCTGGAGGCGGGGCCTGGAATCGTCTGGACAATGGGCACTGGCGCTATCCCTCTCCTGGGCTGGGCTTGCCGTGAATATTTTCTCTTTTTTTCTCTCTTTTTAAAAACTTTTTAAAATTTGTCTCTTTCTTACTTTCGTCCCCCTCATTTTCTTTCTCTCTCTCTAAGCTTTTCTATATTTGTCTTTGTCCCATAACATATGTCTGTGAGCTTGACTCGATTTTTCAATTCTTTCCTTTCGGGGATCTTTCCCTTCTCTCTTTTCTCTTTTTTCCCTTCCTCTCTTCTGATTGGAGGAGAAGGATATGAAAGGCCCTTATGCACTGTAAAGCGGGGTGCTTACGAAGCTTGTGACCAGAAACCCACAGTCACTGGTGCACCTTTGTGGAAGTGACGGCCACTAGATGGCGCTGTGGGCCAGGGCGCCCCGCCTAGCCTTGCGGGCCTCCTGCCCAGAGCTCCTGGGAGGCTCCCACTGCAAGCCTGGAGCTCGGGGTTTGCAGGCAGGGGAGGCCGAAAGCCAAGCCTGAAGCTGCCTCCCTCCGGGCACTGGTAGCGTTCCCTGGAGGGCTGGAGTGGGGCAGGGGTGGTTAGGAGAGGGATGCTAAGGAAATGCCTCCGCTGCCAGCGCCTTCACCAGCTGCACCTCCCATTATTGCAGCCAAAGTTTGCTCACAAGGACAGTGGCTGGATTTGAGCCCAGGCCGTGTGGCTCCAGACCCTGAGCCCGGGGCTCTGTCTGGGGTGTGGCCCAGGGGCAGGTCCTTGGGTGCGTGAGGGTGGCTTGGCTCAGCTCCTCTCCCTGGGTCACTGCAGCGGCCCTGTGCTGTTCTGTTTTCCCATCCCGAAGTCCTGAGGGTCTCAGCAGAGGGGCCCAGGATTCAAGTCCATCCACTCCCAGGGCGGGTCCCTAGCCAGCCTCTGCCCAGCATGTGGGGTGGGTGCTTCCCTGTCCTCCTGCTTCCTGCAATGTTTCCCTTCCAGCACTTTCCAGGCTCCAGTTCCCCATGCTGGGCTGCCCGAGCACCCCCACCCTGCAGCTGGCCCTGCTGCCCTGGCTTCCACCTCCAGATCCTTCTTGCCATGTCCGCTCCAATCAGAGCCAACCCACCCTGTGCCCCTCCCAGTGGCTCTGCTGCCTGCTGGACACATGTCACCGCCACGGGGCTGATGGGTAACGGGAGATGCTCTCAGGTCCTGATTTGTGCTTCGCCAGAGCCCTCCTAGAGCTGTAGGTGATGATGGGCACTTTCCAGACACTGGCAGGGCTGAGATGAGCTGCTCCAGGGACAGGAGGTTCAGAGATGAAGAGCTGGAGGAGGGCCAGCCCTGCAGGGCACACAGACTTGCATTGCTGGCTTTTGGCCCAAACAGCTCTTTGAAAAACAGCACAGGAATGGCCCCGGTGGGTGGTATCTGTTTTCATGGTGCGTGGCTGACACTGGAAGACGATGGACCCGTGGCTGCTGGGTATCAGGGGAGGGGAGGGGGCCTGGGTGTGGGATGCAGGGCTGCCCTCCTTCCCTCACATCCCCTGCTGTCAGGAAGAGGGCAGGGGGTCCTGGGGCACTGAGGCTGGGGAGACATGAGGGCTGTCACATCTGTGTCCTATCCAAGCCAGATCCATGTCCTGTTTGCAGAGTCTTGGCCATAAAGAGGGACTGGGAACACTCTGCCTCACCCTCACCCTCGCACCCTCCTCTGATCCATCTGGGTCTGTCTGGATGGCAGAGGCTCAGAAGGTCTGACCCTACCCGATGGTGGAGGCTCAGAATGTCTGAGCCAGAAAGGACGTCGACGAAAGTCTAGAGCCAGGTGCCCTGACTCACGCCTGTCATCCCAGCACTTTGGGAGGCTGAGGCTGGAGGATTGCTTGAGCGCAGGAGTTTGAGACCAGCCTGGGTAACATAGTGAGACCCTGTCTCTATTAAAAATAAAGAAAAAAAATTAGCTTGGGGTGGTGGTGCAAGCCTGTGGTCCCAGGCTGAGGTGGGAGGATCACCCGAGCCTAGGGAGGTCGAGGCTGCAGTGAGCCATGATCAAACCACTGCTCCGCTCCAGCCTGGGTGATGGAGTGAGAGACTGACTCCAAAAAGAAAAGGAAAGACTCGCCTTCCTCCTCCTGATTAACAGGTGAGGCAGATCCCCGTGCCCCATAGGGACTGCAGGGACACTGATGCTTGGTGCTGATTGAACCCCTACTGTGTGTCGCAGGCTGTGCACATCACCTCACTGAATCCTCACGAGAGCCCTAGGGGGGCACCATGGTTGTCGCTGTCCTCCCACTGTGGAGCTGAAGGAGCTGAAGGGGGAAGGCGCTCCCCGAGGGGCACGCAGTCAAGGAGCCTCTGAGCCGGGATTTGTCCTGTCCCAGGTCCTGGGTCCCCACCCGCAGCCCCACTCGCTGCTGGCAGAAGCAGGTCACCAAGGAAAGACCCAGGGGGCTTCCCTCTTGGGGCTTCCAGTGTATTAAAAGTGAAGGAATGCCAAGAAAGGGCTATAGAAACCACGGGCTGGCTGAAATGTTGAAGGAACAAACGAACTCTTTATCGTGGTGCTGTTCAGGAAATAAGAACTACATTGACTTTGTAAAAGTACGTTCATCCCAGGTGCATCTGGGCGTGAGGACGGGAAGGAGGGGGCTGTAAAGATGGGGATTAGGGCTCGTGGGTCAGTGCCTGAGCTTTGTGGCCGGACTCCCTGGGTCCGGATTCCTGGGTTTGGATTCCTGGGCAAGTCACTTGACTCGTCTGTGTCTCGGTTTCCCCATCTGCAGCATGGGCTCCCAACCGCATGTTCCCGGTGTCGGGGTTGGAGGGGCAGGCAAAGCCTTTGATCAGCGCCAGGCTGTGGGTGACTGCCCCAAGGGGGCTACTGGGTCCTCACAGTCCTCGTTTCTCTGAGACTCTAGACGCAGCCTCATTTGAAGGTGACTCCCACATTTAGGAATCCAGGCCTTCTGGGAAAGTGAGGCCCAGGGCCCATGTTAGACTCAGGCCCTGGGGACCAATTGCATCCATTCAGTTTGCAGAGAGGTGTGTTCGCCTGCGTCTCCACCTCCGTGCTCCAGGGAGATCCGCCATGGAGGCTGCTCCCAGAGTAACTGGGGATTTCATATGAAGAGCTAATTAGGCAGAATCAGTAGGGTTTACTCGAAAGAGGAGACCATTCCAGACAAAGCTGGGAGATGAGAGGATGAAGCCTGTGGCTGAGTGTGGGGTGGGGAAGGGTTCTGCCAATTCCACAGAACCTCTGCCCACGGGCATCCCCTCCCCTCCAGCTGCCAGAACTGCGGGATTAAAGTCTATGCTGGGTTCTGACCCTGAATGGGTGCTCTGAGGGCTGGATGTGGCAGAGGGCGCAGAGCCTACAGCTGCTGGGCCACTGCTCCCTGCACACCTGCCCTAGCCCTCAGTGTCACCACCGATGCCCCACAGTGGCTTCAGCCTGATCCCAGAATGAGGAGCCGCCAGATGGGCCTCGGCTCAGATTCCAGCTCTGCCACTTGCTGGCTGTGTGTTCTTGGACGTGACCACTCTGAGCCTCAGTTTTCTCACCTGTCAAAGGGGAGTAAATGAAAGTACCTCCCTCCCAGGGTTATCGTGGGACTTGGAGCAATCAGCTGGTTCAAGTGCTTAGCAAATGCCTCCAGCATTGTAAATGCACAGTGAGTGCCAACTGTTATTATTATTTCCTCCCCTCTTACCTGGAGAGTAAACACACACACAGTCATCATATAGATTATGCATCGTATGGCCGGGTGTGATGGCTCACACCTGTAATCCCAGCACCTTGGGAGGCTGAGGCAGGTGGATCACTTGAGGTGAGGCATTCGAGACTAGCCTGGCCAATGTGGTGAAACCCCATCTCTACTAAAAATATAAAAATTAGCCAGCAGTGGTGTCACACACCTGTAATCCCAGCTACTTGGGTGGCTGAGGCATGAGAATTGCTTAAACCCGGGAGGCGGAGGTTGCAATGAGCCGAGATTGCACTGCTGCACTCCAGCCTGGCAAGACTCCGTCTAAAAAAAAAACAAAACCCACAAACTGGGCACAGAATCCAGGACCCAGGATCTGCCCTGAGAGCAGAGGTGTTCACAGAGCCTGGGTGGAGGAATGCTCCTTAGTCCTGTTGCTTTTGAGTGAACTCTTGAGTGTCTATCCTGCACATCCAGGAAGTGGCATCGGGGCACAGAACATTCCAGGGCACACAGTCCGGTCTGGCCCTGGGTCACCGGGTCCTCTGCCTGATCTGACAGTGCCCTCCTGAGTTTCCAGTCCTCCATAGAGTAAGGATTCAGGGTTTCTCTCTGGCCTCTTTCGATCCTGCTGCCCGCTCTGCATGCTGTCACTCTTCCCTCATGCCAGGCTCCCCGGGCACAATGGGCCATACTCACAGGCCCGTGCTGCAGTGGGAGCAGGGCCTGTCCCATTGTGGGCCTTCCCAGTCCTGATGCCTACACCCACAAGACAGTCCTGTGCAGTGCAGCTTGTACCTTGTATCCTGGACCCCAGCCCATGGACAGCATGCCCTCCAAGTTCCATCCATGGCTCACACCTTGTCCATGACCTCCTAATCCAAGCTGGTGGACTGAGACAGCCTCCTATGGGGCCTCCTCGATCTGTGCTTGCTTCCATGATCCATTCTTCCAGCCACCAGAGCGAGCATTATAAAGTGCAAGAGAGATGATGCCACTCTGTCATCTACAATCTTCAATGACTTCCCATTGCTCTTGAAATAAAATCCAAGATCCTATGTGATCTGGTCCCTACCTTCACTGCACACCTCCCTCCCCTGCTCACTTGGCATCAAGCACATGCCCACCTCAGGGCCTTTGCACTTGCTGGGCCTAAAATGCTCTCCCTCCAGATCTTGTCATGGCTGGCTTCCTCATCCTCTGGGTCTTAGCTCACATTTCTCCTCCACCAGGGGACCCTCACTGACCGCCCTGACTAAGGGAGTCCCTGTGGAGTCACATTTGATTCCATCAGGCTGTACAAGTTCCTCCTTGGGGTTTATCGAATCTGCGATTATCTTGCTTATGGTTTTGACTGTGCCATCCCACTAGAAGGCCAGCTCCATGAGGGCAGGAGCCATGGAGAGTAGGAGGCTGTGGCTCCAGGACATAGCCCAGTGTCCAGCACATAGGATGTGCCTCCTAAATATTCATTGAGTGAATGAGTAAATGAAAGCTCACCCTGGCACGATGAATGAACTCAGCTCAAAACTCACCCGTCTCATGTCTTATTTCTTTCAAAGCCTGCCATATCTGAGAACTAATGAAGAATTTATTTGTGCTAATGAATATGTATTAGTTCTTTTAAGATGAGATATGCATATTTTAGTAGGAAATGCCGAGAGTCACAGTTCTTCAATCCAGGGACGCCACCCCAAGAATGAGAATGTGAAATGGTGATGAGGGTGGGGTAGATATTTAGAGCATGGAGTCCCAAAGAGGCATCAGATCACAGAATAGCAAAGGCTTCCTGGGTGCAGTGGGGGAGAGGAGGAGCACTGCCCTGGGGCAACACAGGGCCTGGCGCTGGGCAAATCACTTCCCCTCCTCCCTGGTCTCAGTGCTCCTGTCTGTACATGGGGATCATAATCCATAACTCACAGGGAGTGAGGTTCCAATGATAAGATGGTTAGTCTGGCGCTTTGCACATTTCAAAGGTTTTGCTTATCAAGTAGAAGGGATTATGGTAATAAGCAAAAAGACTCTACCTGTCACAGGTGGGATGCTTTTGGCTTCAAGCAGCAGAGAAATCCACAATAAGTATCCTATTGTTCTTACATCATAGGGACAATATCTTATGTCTCCATGAATCAAGAAATCCAGTGGACTTCCTAGCACTTCTGGTTTGGCTGGTACAGAGGTGGGGATCACCAGGGACCCTGATTCTTTTCAACTTCCCACTGTGCTCTCCACATTGGCCTGACCCTCAGGCTTGCACTCTGAAGCTCGTAGGATTGCGCCACAGCTCCAGGCGTCCCACCCTTGTGCAAGAGGTGAAAGCAAAAGAAAGAACGCGTCTCTTCCTAGTGCCTCTTTATAAGAGACTGGAACCCTTTCCCAGAAGCCCCCAGCAGATTGGATTGCCTGTAACTTTGGCCAAAATTGCATCCCAAGCGCATTGTTAGGCCTGGTGCTGGCAGAGGAAGTGGAATTATCATGGTTTGGCCAGTGCTTTTTCACCAGAGAGGTACAGCCTCTGAGGTTGTATGGAAATGTGGGGGTGGCTTGGCTCAATGACTGGTAATATTGCTGGCATTCAGCTGGGTGGGGCTGGGAATGCTGGATGCCTCCAAGGCGCAGGACAGTCCACATAAGACAGACCGTCCTGTTTCCCACACGAATTTCACTTCTCCTCTGGTCGCTCTTGTGTGAAGAGCCATTTAATCATCTTAGCCTAGAACCGACATCAATTTAATATCAAAACAAGATATTTTTGTAAGATTTTACCGTACACCGAATATAATATTTATATTCAAGTGTCTTTATTTTTCTGCCCTTCTGTTGTAGCGCAACTCCTGATCTTCTCTTCCATCCAAACTTCTTCTGTAGAAGTTGGCTAGGATCTAACTATTGGTTATATCTCTGTGTGTGCCTGTGTCTGTGTCTGTTCATTTGCCTATTGAAATATGATTTAATTTATTACAAGTTATTATTTCATTAAAAATTATTGTCCTTTTATTTCTTTTTATAGTCCACTTAGGGCATTGTAATGAGTTTTTAAGTAGGTGTATGATGTTATAGGTTAATTATTTATGACTTTCATTTCAGGGCAGTAAAGAGACATTAAGCACAATTCTTCTTTGGAAGAGGTCATGGGTCTGACAAAGTTGAGAACTCTGGCTTGGATCCATCAAGATTCATGTCCGGGGGCTGGGGCAGAGCCTGTGTTCTGAAACTCGTGGCTCCCAAGTGCTTGGACCACACAGGGGTTGAGTCAGGTTGGAAGGCGAGGAGGGACTCTCAGGTTGGCACCAGTGATGTTGACTGTATTACCCGTGCTAAGGCCTCAACCAATCATCTATGCTGTCACTGATTATAGAGGGTGCCTGGGAAGGAGCTGCTTCCCTGGAGAGGATGAGGGTACCAAGAGGGCCATTGAGGCAAGGCTGGATTTGCATTCAGCCCTGAGATCTGACAGCGGGAACCCACCACACTCATGGTCGGCTAGCTGTTGGTCACTAGAATGGTATCAGTTTATGAGCGGAAGAGGATTTTCACCAGGAAAGTAAGATCAGTTTATCTCTTTGAGTGCAACCCAGAGAAGGAAGGTGAAGTGTGACCAGTGCCCAGCTGATACAGGTAGCTCTGGAAAAGCCCTCTGGAGGCAAAATCCCCACATCCATTCACTCAGCCGACATCTACTGAGCACCTAATAGGTACAAGGGATCATGTTTCCAGATGTGGAGACTTGGGGGGATCAGCCCCCAGCCTGGTCTGTAGGGGCTTCCCACTGAGCCAGAGTAGGAGCTTCTTAGGAGGTAGACAGGTGTTCTGTTTAAATGAGGTTTAACTGGGGGGAAAGACTGAATTTTGGAAGTTACTTTATTATAAATTAAAAAATAGAATTTCAAATGCTTGGCCCTTATCCTTATCGAGACCATCCTGGCTAACATGGTGAAACCCTGACTCTACTAAAAATACAAAAAAATTAGCCGAGCGTGGTGGCGGATGCCTGTCGTCCCAGCTACTCGGGAGGCTGAGGCAGGAGAATGGCAGAGCTTGCAGTGAGTCGAGATCGCACCACTGCCCTCCAGCCTGGGCGACAGAGTGAGACTCCGTCTCAAAGAAAAAAAAATGTTGTTTATTCATTCATTTAAAAAGTATCTATTATAAACCTACTAAGTATCTGCCTTCATAGTGGGCATTGAAAACCACATTTTTTTTTAATGGAAAAGGAACCAAGTAGAAGCAGCCTCCCTCCCGTGTCTCCTTACAAGGTCATTAGAAGGCTGCCTTGAAAGAAGCTACCTAGACTCCACCTTTGCTGCTACTAATCTAGGGTCAGATATCAGCCTATTGCAGGGGGACCAGCACAAAGTCCCCCTAAGAGGAAATAGCATATACACCAAAACATTGGAAAGATCTTGCTAATTTACATTAGCAGAAACCTGCAGAATATGTGTATGAATAGATGATAAGAGTGTTAGACTAAAGAGGTCAGCATATAACACTGCCTCATGGTAAAGGTATTGATATGGGTGCACTTACTAGGAATTCTGAATTTCACAGTAAGTTCGTTAAGGCTGGAAGTGGCTCCGATTACTTGGTTGATAACTACACTTGGTCCCAGTGGCAGCCCTCATTTAATAAGAGTGGGATAGGAGAATGCTCATTGCACAATGTAAGGGAAAATATCCAAAGGGTTCGGGAGATAGGAATGTTGGAGTGGCTTTACCATGAATGACATGCACCATCACTCCCCCAGCACATTACATGCCCTCAGAGGGGCTGACAGACACTCTGTTCACTTAGGCATCGAGAAATATGCTAAGGAGGGAGCACCTGCATCCTTAAAAATCTCCGTGGTGGCTGCTCTGAATGGGCCAGGCAGGGCGGTGGAGATGCCGGGGGAGATGCCAGGTGGGAGATATCAGTGAGGATGAGGACATGTGACAGCATTTATCCCCTGAAGACAAGATGGGCATATTTGCCGTGTTTTCCAGAAGAAAAGAAGTGGTAATTACAATGTTTTGACTTTCAGGGAATCTTTAGCAATGGCTTATTCATTATGATGTCCTCAGACATGAAGTAGATGGGCAATGTATCAAAACATTATTTGATCTACCTACGTAATAGAAAAACTCCAGATCTGATGGCCACAAACTATCACTATGGAGTCATAGCCTCTTGCCTGATTTCTTTACAGAAGTCAAATAATAAGTGGAATTTTGACCCAACTTCAAATCACAGTGGACCCCATAGACCTGCAGACACACTCTATAGCTGTTTTCCAAGTTTCCTGGCAATGGGAAAGACTCATAGAGTAAAATCTGTTATAGTAGTAAGGCCCAAGTGGAATCCCCGGATAATTTCCCTCCTAGCCAGGATAGCATTTTTAGGTGCCTTGCAGAGATGAGTGCCATCCTCAAAGACTTGAAAGATGCAGAGGTGGTAAATACAATGATCTCCCATTTAATTTTCCTCTTTGGCCATGTAGAGGCAGATGGTTCTTGGAGAATGGCTGTGGATTACTATAAACCTAATCAGGTGGTGAAGTGAATTGCAGCCCCTATTCTTGACATGCTATCTTTGCTTAAGCAAATCAACAAACTCTCTGACACCTCAAATGCAGCTATTGACCTGGCAGATACTTTATTTTTTCTAGATCAATTTTTAAGGACTATAAGAAGCAGTTTGCTTTTACCTATGAGAGCCAACAGTACACATTCACAGCCTTGCCTCAAGGCTATGCTACCTCTTCTGCTTTTGGCCACAGTATAGTCTTTGGAGATTCTTGATGATCTTTTCATTGTACAAAACTTGCACTGGTCCACTACATTAATGACACTTTGCTCTTTGGACCTGAAGAACAAAAAGTAGCAAGTACATTAAATGACTTATTCAGTAAGACAGATGTGAACCATAATTGTGATTCTGATTTCTGAGTAAGGGTCCAGTCAGGGGACTTTTATTGTTGTTATCACAATCCACACCTCACGGGGAGTGAGGTTCCAATGATAAGATGGTTAATCTGGTGCTTTGTAAATTTCATACTATGGTTTCTGAACCATACTAGTTATTTTAACAAAAATTGTGTGTGTGTGTGTGTGTGTGTGTAAACGTTAAATAGGTATTGAAGAATTGAAATGCAAACAGAGAACACTAAGGCAGGGGTGAGCTGTTTTTGTAAATAAAGTTTTATTGGAACACAGCCATGCCCATTTGTCTATATATTGTTTATGACTACGAGACCAGAGACGCATAGTTGCAACAAAGATCATAGGGCTTACAAGACTAAAATATTTACTATGTGACCCTTTTAAAAAAAACCAACCCCTGCACTGAGGTATCACAGAGGTAGCAACTGGGACCTTGCAGAGTGAGAAGATGGGGCTGAAAATTATCTAGCACTGGCTGATTAACAACGCTGGTGTGTTTGAGGGTACTACAGTGACATTGACAGGGAAACAAACGAAGAAGAAGAAGAAGAAGAAGAAGAAGAAGAAGAAGAGGAAGAGGAAGAGGAAGAGGAAGAGGAAGAGGAAGAAGAAGAAGAAGAAGAAGAAGAAGAACAGAAAGTATACACAAAAGAGCAAGTCCTCTCTTTCTTCTCCAGCCTCTAAGTCTTCCTCTAGTGCCCCCATTGGCAAAGCCCAACAGGAAGTCACTAGCAAAGTCAAAAGGTCATTTGCAGGGTCAGTCACTGCCCAATATCACCAAGCAGCTTGGAGGAGAGTGGGTTTTTGGCTGAGAGACAGTAGCTTAAGAACTCAAAGGAACAAGACATACCTTTCCTACTCAACTCCAGGCAAAGGAGTTTAGAGAAGGAAGACAGGATGCATATCAAAGAGAGATGTCTTGCTGATGACTGATTCCATGGTAGGAGAGAGTTTCTGCATCTATAAAATGGTAACGTAAAGAATAACAGTAATGGTAATAATAATACATCTGTTAATGAATGCATTTATTTGGCTGCATTCAGTCCTGACACCCAGCATCAAAACCCAGCATGCCCATGGCTGGTGGCTGCTGGTTATCAAATTGGCATGGATTTATGGCTCTAACTGGCTCCACGAAAGAAAGAAAGAAAGAAAGAGAGAGAGAGAAAAAGACAGAAAGGAAGGGAGGGAGGGAGAGAAAGAGAAAAAGAGAATGATGGTGGAATGTTTACTGCGTATGTCTTGAAATGTTGTAGTTATTATTTTTGATTGGTTCATCTTTTAATCTTTCTACTTAAGAGTGTTTACACATCACAGTTATAGTGTTATAATATTCTGTGTTTTTCAGTGTACTTACTATTGCCAGTGAATTTTGTACCTTCAGATGATGTCTTATTGCTCATTATCATTATTTTCTTTTAGATTGAAGAACTCTCTTTTGCATTTCTTTTGGACAGGTCTGGTGTTGATGAAATCCCCTAGCTTTTGTTTGTCTGGGAAAGTATTTCTCCCTCATGTTTGAAGGGTATTTTCACCAGATATACTATTCTACGGTAACAGTTTCCGTTACCCTAGTTTCTGTTCGTAGTTTCTGTTACACGGTCAGGTCAGGGTATGAGAGGGCTGTGCTCATCAACAGCCATTGTCATAGTGTTGAGTCTCTGTTATCTGGTAAATGTTACTGTCCTCTCCCCAGTCACTCTCACAAGCCTTGTCATAGTCTGAGGTTACCCAGTCAACAGCTTTCTTCCCTGGCCTGTTCTCTCTGGGCACCCTGAGGTCAAGGTCCTGCCTATCATGGTCTCCACTATTTACCCAGACCCCAGGCCAGGGCCTGGCAGGCACAGAAGCTGCCTAACAAAGATTCCATCCAGGACTGCATTTAACCCTCGGCTGTCTGGTTTGGTGACAGGTGAGGAAACTGAAGCCCAGAAGGGTTGAGCCACCTTCCCACTCAATGTCACAAAGCAACAAAGGTGCATAGCCAGGCTTCAAAGCCAGCTCTCTCTTAGTGTGTTCTTGCTACAACCCTGAGCATGCTACCTTCCTGCCTTGCCTTCCAGGGGTCTTTCTTTAGGCCAATTTAGCCCAAGATCAGGATGGGCCAGCCCCAGCCCCAGACAGCCCAAGAGTTTGCCCGAGACAGAAATCCGCTCTCCTCTTCATTTTGTTGATTGCACACAGGATATAAATCTGACAATATGTTTGTGATCAGCAACCTTACGTATTTTTTTTCCTAAGAGGCAAATATATGGGATGTCCATGCTTGGGCTGGTAGTGGGGGGGCGTTCATTATTTCCCAATAGTTTATAGTATCAACGCTCTTTATTTGCCCCAGTAAATCTAATGTATATGGACTGGCAGATCAAACAGTGCATTTCCTGGACTGGGAGGCTGCGAATCACACAGTGCTTTAGGAAACCTGGGGAGATTAAGGTTTTGCATAATGCAAGCCAGGAGGAGAAGATGTTTGCTCTGCCTCACTGTGGATGCAATTAGAGCAATGAACACTGGGAGAAATTCATTTGCCTGGGACAGAGAAAGGTCAGGTTGGTATGTGAAAGAGCACAGTTATTGGCAACACAGGAGCCCAGGACATGGTTAGCAAAGCACCCAGTGACTGTTTGATTTGTAGCTTTAAAGCATTTAAGGATGAATAAAACATTGAATTAATTTTCAAAGACCCGTTCTCCAATGGCATAAGTCTGAGCCTCTGGGAGGGAACAAAAGTCAAGACTGCGCCTGTGATATCCCTGCTCTGGGCCCTGGGTTTTGAATGCCTTATGCTCCCTGGAATTTACTCCCACCAACTTTCTGCCTCTCTTAATCCCATTGTCCCCACTCAAGTCCCCTCTTCTAGGAAGTCCTCTCTGCTTACTCGAGTCACAGTCTGCTGGGAAAACAGAGAATAAGCAAATAATCAAATAAATAAGGTAATTTCAGAGAGCGATCAGGAGGCATGAGAGAGAGAAGTGGAAGAGAAGGTGTCTGGGAAATCCAATCCCCACTGGGCTCCAGGCGCACGATGCAGGCAGAATCCTCTCAGGTAACTCCTGTCTTCCCCCAGTCCCCTATTGCAGATGAGAAAACGGAGGCTCCTTAGGGCCAGGGATCCTGGTTTCTGCTTTTTGGCCTTTCCCCATTGATTCTGGAAATTTAGGGCAGTAAATTTAACTCATTTTTAATGAGGCCAGCACAAGGCTCTGGGGAGGTTCTGAGACAGGAAGCATCCTACGGCGTCTCCTACCAGCAGGCCGTGCCAGGCACTCCCACGAAAAGCTGTGTTAGTCCTTCAGCAACATTTTTGTTTGTTTGTTTATTTGTTTGTTTTTTGTTTGAGACAGAGTCTTGCTCTGTCGCCCAGGCTGGAGTGCCATGGTGCAATCTCGGCTGACTGCAACCCCCGCCTCGTGGGCTCTAGTGATTCTCCTGCCTCAGCCTCCGGTAGCTGGGATTACAGGTGCCCACCACAACACCCAGCAAATTTTTGTATTTTTAGTAGAGATAAGATTTCATCATGTTGGCCAAAAAGCCAGACTGGTCTCAAACTCCTGGCCTCAAGTGATCCGCGTGCTTTGGCCTCCCAAAGTGCTGAGATTACAGGCATGAGCTACGGCCCTCCAACAACATTTGAGCAGGCTGTCGTCATCCCCTCCTTTCTGAGTGGGGAGACCCTGTCAGCATTTGCTGAATGAAGGAAGGAAGAAATAAATGAAGAAGCAGTTGGGTGAAATGCCAGTCCACTTCTGTTCCGAGACCCCGGGCCTTGTGAGGTGCAGAGGAGGGGCCGGGAAGCTCAGTGGCAGCTGTTCCCTTTTGGGGCTGTTTCGTTTTCGTCCTAGCAGCAAGGTTCGGCTCTGCTCCTCACCCTGGGTATCTGGGTGTCACTTTAAAATAAAGGGACCGCTCGTGCTCACCAGGCCATGGGACATTCAGAGGCTGGGCTGGCTGTTCCCATCCTGTGGTCGCAGAGTGCTGGGGGAGGGGAGATAACAGGTGTGATTTCTGTGCAGAGGATGGACAGGGCTCCAGGGACAGAGGCTGCAGGAGTGACAGGCACCAGCAGAGGCCATTTGTCAAGCAGCTACTCCAGCCACCTGGTGGGGACATGGCCTTGCGTCCACACTGCCCAGTGCACCTGGCTTCGTATACATCTGCCTGGCTGTCTCTCCCATTTTCATGTGAAAGGCAGGTGGGGCAGGACATGGGGACTGGACGCTGCCATCTGCTCCCGGGGGCTGCACTGTGCTGACAGCCATGTGTCCCCCTGACGGGGGCTGCAAGGACGGGCCAGGCAGAGGTCAAGGAGAAGGAAGAAGCCAACAGAAGGTGGCTTTCAGGGCTGGTCATGCAGAGGGTGGATTCTGATGGACAGGGCTGCTGTGGGTGGCCGTCACCATCTATGCTCATCCCTGCCCAGGCAGCTCTGGGCTCCCCCAGCCCAGGTGGGCCCTCTCCTCACCCAGGGCACAGCTGTGGCTGGCAGCAGACACTCACCCCTTCTCAGCTGCTCAGCCGTGGAGCCAGGAGCTGACCCAGCTCCTCTGTCCCCAAAGTCTGCGGCCACCAGGCCACCCTGCCCCAAAAACTTGGTGACCAGGGCCTGGGGATGGTCCCCAGGCTGCACCTGGTCAGTGGTCAAGAGGCTGCACCTCTAGGAGCCTCCTCTGTCATTCACCTGCCCAGGCCTGGACAGCCTGGACACTCCAGCCAGAGGCAGCCCAGAGGGTGCAGGAGGGGCTCTCTGGGGAGAGAGCAGGAGGGGACACTGCTGTGACCCTGTAGCTGCAGACATGTGACATGTGTCTCCACGAAGGGAAGAGGCTGCCGTCCACTGTCGCTTTCTGCAGTGACACTGTGCCCTGGCCCGGGCTCTCTGCTGGGTTGCAGAAGTGCCTGGGTCAGGACAGCTCGCATCTGCCTTCACCGCAGACCCCTCTCTGCAGCCCATCTGAGGCAATGTGGTCTCTGCTGTCCTTAGCTCACCTCGAGGGGATCCTTTTCTCCTTGTTTTAGTGGAAACTTGATGTCCTCCCTTTGAGCACTTTTAGGGGCTGGGGAGTAGGTGGCTATTGGCGGCAGTGCGGGGGCTTCATGCTCTGCCTGCGTGCAGCAGAGAACACGGCTTCATTGGTGGGATTTGTCCGGTGACTGGGCAGGTGGGTCGCCTGGACATGTGCTCCCAGCCTTCAGATGTGACAAGAAGGGGACCATTTGCAGGGGTGCTGTGTGCTGGGGACAGAGCAGGAAATGCCAGGCGGCACCATTTTTCCCCCTCCCCACCCGCCCGTGCTCACTCAGAGGGAATGTACAGATATTCTGTTTGTAATTAAAAAGTAATTTAATTATCCGCTGAAAATGAGGTTTCAGAATTAATATTGGAATGAATTCTAGCTGTGCCGTATGATGTCTTTTCTCCCTGCTCATTAGAACATCGGGAGGGGTGAGGAGAGAAGGCCCTGGGAGGAGGGGCGTCCTTCTCAGGCGGCTGTCACAGGCCCCCGGGTGAGCTCTCATGGCAGACACAGCCCAGGACACTCAGACCTAGAGTGACCAAGAGCCCCGGCAAGACGTAGAGGAGCAGAGTTATAGCCTGTCAAGAGCCTGATTTCAAGTTGAAACCAGGCTTTGCCATGCAGCAGCTGTGTGGCCTCAGGGAAGTTACTGAACTCCTCTGAGCCTCCCGTGGAAAATAAGGATGATGATCGTGTCCCTCACAGGGAGGATTTGGTGTCCTCCTTCTGGTCATGACCCAGATGTTGCTTCTCAGTGAGGCCATCCTTGGTCACCCCATTTAAAGTCCCAGACCCGGACCCCGCCACTTCCATCCCCTCTGTCCCTCTGTCCTCTTGCTGGCTTCTGTCACCATCAAACTTTTCTCTTCCCTGTCTTACCAGGGCCCTTGTCACACTGGGTCTGGGGGTGTCCTGGGCTGTGCCTGCCATGACAGCTCGCCGGGACCTGTGACAGCTGCCTAGGAAGGAAACCCCTTCCTCCTGGGACCTTCTCTCCTCACCCCTCCCAATTGAGGTGATAGGGGCGAGGTAAACACCTTCCACTATGGAACTTTAAAGTCTTTGAAGGAATTTTGGTTTGTTTTGCTCATTGCTTTACTCACAGAACCCATAGTAGCTGCTGGCACAGGGCAGGTGTTCAGCAAAGGCCTGTTTGGGTGAAATAATAAATGAATGAATGGGTGGTGAATGAATGAAGGCACAAGACATGGAGCCCTGGGGGCGGTGACTTTGCCATAAGGTTCCCTGAGTGTCCCAAGGCCAGCGCTGCCCGTCAGCCCGTGCCTCCCTCCCCAGGCCTTTTCTTTCCATCTGTTTCCCCAACACTCATCCATGAGTACTTGTAAGTTCCTGGTGGCGTGTCCAGGCGCCCTGAGAACATAGCAGTGGAAAAAATGCCACAAATTTCTGCCCTCCTGGAGTTGATATTTCAAGACAGGAGACAGACATTGAAGAGGCGAATGGTTAAATATAAACTATAATGTCAGATTGGGATAAGTCTTAGGAAGAAACAGTGGAGGGAGGGAGGGATGGA
Organism: Homo sapiens; assembly: GCF_000001405.40. Taxonomy (NCBI): domain Eukaryota; kingdom Metazoa; phylum Chordata; class Mammalia; order Primates; family Hominidae; genus Homo; species Homo sapiens. The sequence goes on along the minus strand of NC_000020.11, from coordinate 48,604,897 downwards.
CTGAGAGTCTTGGGTGCTGGGTCAACAAGGGAGGTCCCAGGGGACTGCCGCAGAAGGAATCCTGAGACCTGGAGGAGATGGGGGAGCCCGGAAGAATTGGGGGTGGAATGGGTGGGGACACGGGGCTCCAGCACAGGGAACAGCAAGGCCAAGCCTGGGTGGGTGTGGCCTGGAGAGTTTAGGGGGCTGCAAATGGGGGATCAGGCAGTGGGGAGTGACCCCGTCCCATGTGGCGGCAGCCTCAGCAGCAGGAGGTCCAGGACACGTGAGTTACTGCACCTGGGCCTGTGGTCCTTAAAGTGGGGACGGTGCCCTGGGGAGACGCTGGGAAGAAGAAGAGGGCACTGTGAGCCGAGAGCTGGGTGCAGGGTGGGCACAGAGTTGCCATCAGTGGAGGCTGTTGGGAGTCCATGGCAGGAGCAGGGCTGAAATTGAGGCCAGAGCCCTACAGGGCCTCCAGGTATTTGTACGTCAGGGAGACTAAAGGGCTGGTCCTGTTCATTACCTGTAATAAGGGTGGAAAGTAAGAATGCCTACTTTAGGGCCAAGATGGTGGCAGAGCACAGCCCTGGGTCCTGACTTGCCCTGGGGTCTTCTGTGTGTGCCCTGAAGCCCACCCTCCTGCCTCCTGCAGAAGCCCCGGGATGCTCTTCTCCGCCCTGGGAGGACGGGCTCCTGGAACCGAGGATCACCGAATCTTGCAGGAACCTGGGCAGCTCAAGGCTCCTATCATCCAATGGGCTGATCAATACTTTGTCGGCTGAAGCTTCCTGGAAGGCCAGAATTGGGCTTTTAGAACTAGGGCTGTGACTGGCTTCCTGGATGTCCTGGCTGGTGGGTGCACACAGGCCTCCTCAAGTGGCTCTGACAAGAGCCTCATCAATCATAGCACGTGGGTGCCAGGATCTGCAGCAGGCAAATGAGGGCAGGACCACAGGGCACAGCCACAGGGCACATGCCCAGGGCACGTATTTACACAGTGAGCACCCACCGGGCATTGCTGGTGTCTGTCCTAACTTACTGAGTGTTGGGTGTGTTGAACATGCCCGGCCCTTGCAAATGCCCGTGGGCTGCATTTGAGTCTGGGACGTCCAGTTGTGACCCCTGCGGCGGGCCCTCCATAAATACCTGTGGATTTGGTGGGGAGGCCAATCTCAGTGCACCATGAGTCCTCACAGCTGCTGCAGGGGTGGATTTCCCAGGGCCGCCAAGTATTTCCCTTCCCTTGTCTCCTCCTCTGCATCACTCCGCCCCTCCTCCTCCCTCCTTCTCTGATCAGGCACAACTGACACTTGAGCCCGTGGAGGTCTGGGGATTACGGAGTCTGGGCAGACACATGCCAGGGGCTGAGGAATTACCCAGCAGCTGTTGGGCCCCAGGCTGTTGGGGGCAGGGGGCTGGGGGCAGCAGTCTGTTCCAGCTCCCAGGGCCAGGGAAGGATGCAGCCTCCTGACCCCCTACCTGGCAGAGGCCACAAAGAGGCAGCTTACATCCACCCCTGGGTGTTGGGGATGCAGGGAGGGAATGGGCCCTGTTCCCACCCTCAGGGACATCCCAGGCCTGAACTATGAGCATTAGTCAGACTGTGGACTGAGTCTGGTCCTCATACTTAGGTGAGCGGGAAATTCATCATCCCCATCCCCCCACGCCCCTGATTTAGCTTTCTTATTCTAAGCAGCCTTCCACTGGAGGAGCAGGAGTTTTATAATTTTGTGTTTTACATTTGGATTTATGATACATTTTGAGTTAATTTTTGCACCAGATGTGAGATATAGGTTGAGGTTCAGTTTTGTTTTTGTTTTTTTTGCATGTAGATGACCAGTTGTTCAAACACCATTTGTTGAGTGTACTACCTGTTCTCCATTGATTGGCTTTTTTTGCACCGCTGTTAAAAGTCAACTGCCCATATTTGTGTAGGTTTGTTTCTGGGCTCTTCATTCTCCTTCACTGATCTATGTATGAATTCCTTCATCAATACCACAGTCTTGATACTACAGCTTTACAGTTAGTCTAAGTAGGGTGGTGATGCTTCTGACATTATTGTTCTTTTTCTACTCTAGTTTCTTTGCTTTTGCCTGTACATTTTACAATAAGTTTGTACGTATAAAAATTCCTGCTGGCATTTTTATTAACATTGCACTAAATCTGAAGATCAGCTTGGGGAGAACTGACATCTTGACTGCTTTTGTCCTCCATCTTTACTGCTACAATCCATGGACATGGTATGTATTTCCATTTATTTAGGTCTTCCTTGATTTCTTTCATCAATATTTTGTAGTTTAAAGCATACAAATCCTGTACATGTTTGTTAGATTTATACTTAAGTATTTCATTTTTGGGAATCTTTTTCAAGTGGTATTAATTTTTTTTCTAATCATACGTGATTATCGTACAGAAATATGATTGATTTTTCTTTGTCGACCTTGCTAATCTCACTATTAGTTCTAGTGGTTCTAGGAGGAGTTCGTTTCATTTTTGTTTTTGAGATTTGCTGGAATTATCTATATAGACAAGTGTGTCGAATGCAAATAGGGATAGTTTCATTTCTTCCTTTCCAATATGTTTGCCTTCACATGGTTCTTTGAACATTTTTTTGCCAATTTTTTTTTTTAATAGGTTATTTCACACAAACGACTCTGGCTTCTTTAAAAACAGAAAAGCTCTACAGGGTCTGCCTTCCCTTATACAACTGCTTGGCAGAGCTGAGAAGTGGCCACCCTTATACATAGGGCTCTTCTGCAGCCCCGCTAGCCCATCTACCCACTTAGGTCATTTGCCCACCCCTTTAGAAATCTGCGTTTGTAACTCCTGGATTGGCAGTCGGGTCCTGAGGGTGGCGGAGTGCCTGCCCTTCACCTCCCTCCCCTGGTGCAGGATCTATGAGGTGTTTTACATGTGCCTCAAGCAACACTGAAGTAGTAGAGATTGGCAGGAAGGACCATCATTCAGCCACAAGGAGCACTTCCGTGGCAACCACTTGAGCTGACACTCATGATCCAGGCTGAAGAATGGATGTCCCAGCAAGTACTGGCTCTGGGAGGTGGTGCCTGGGCACCATGTTGGTCCCTGCTGTCACCTGGTACCAGGTAAAGACTCAGAAAAGGGAAAGCATCAATCCCAAATTGTCTAAGATTACGTTTCCACTGCCCGTGCAGAATATTGACTCAAATAGAAATAATAAGATCTATCATTACAGGCATTGATCTAAGTACTCTTATGGGAAAGAGTTTTTAATCTTCTCAGCCATACTAAGGAAAGATTCTGTTATCCCCACAACATGGATGAAGAAACTGAGGCACAGCATGCTCAGTGGAGAAACAGTGTGTTCCAGTAAACTTGGCCAGGGTCACACTGCTGGGAGGAAGTGGATGCAAACCAGGCATTCTAGATCCAGAGTCTATGCTTCAACCAGCTTGCTCTAATGCTGCCAAGACTAAGTGAAGTTTTAGAAAATAACGAAGGTACATTTTCCCCATTTGAGCGGTGGGCTGAGATGGGCCTCATCTGGTCTCTAAATAGGACTCGTTTGCACCCAGCTGCTTTCTTGACATCTCTGAGGATGAACACACTGGAATGGGGCCATCAGGTGGTCACACCTCACAGCAGGACAGGGAATGCAGGTGGGTGACAAATGCAGACTGGCACACGTGTGATGGTGGGGTGCGGTGACCTCACACTGCAAGAGCATGGCAGTGGATGGGCCACAAGGCGGAAAATCTTCCCTCAATGTCAAGTTAATGCTGTCCTTAAAAATTCAGTGCGTCTTAAAATCACGGGGAGAGGATACGAGGAAGAGCCACCGTAGTGACAGCACAGCGTAGGGTTCAAGAGGGTGGACTCCTGGGCGCAGCTGTCTGAGATCAGATCCCCACTTTGCCACTTCATTGCTGTGTGACCTTGGGTAAGTTACTAACCTGTCTGCCATTCACTTGCCTCATCAGTAACCGTTTTTTTATTTTTGGGACAGAGTCTTGCTCTGCTGCCCAGGCTGGAGTGCAGTGGCACGATCTCAGCCGACTGCAACCTGCACCTCTTGGGTTCAAGCAGTTCTCCTGCCTCAGCCTCAAATGTGGGTGATCAAACTCACACCGACTTCCTGGGGCTGTGGAGATTGAATGAGCTCAGGCACCTGGAGCACCCAGGCCCCAGCTGCCCACAGTGAACGCATCGATAAGCAGCAGCTGCACGTGTGTTAGAGCTATTGTTCCTCAGCACTCCCTACCTCACCCAAGCCCCCATGAACTTTGGATGCCACTTCAGGTCCTCTTCTGGAAGGCTCTCCCTGACCATCACAGGCTATGAGCACCTCACATAAACACGCTTCTGATCAGTGCCCAGATCTCCCCAAGTCAGCATGTCAGGTGTGCGTCTCCACAACCCATAACAATCACAATGGTGACGATGGTGATAATGGCCACACGAATGGTTATTGAGTCCTGAAAACAGACCAGGAGTTGCATTTCACGCTCCGAGCCACTTTGTTTAATTGACCAAGGGCAGATGTGGACTCAGTTGTCATTCCTGCACCCACCAGGCCTCTTGGCAGGAGGGAAAAACCAGGGCGCACATTCCAAGCACCTGCCATGTACCAGGCACTTTCATACATGTCGACTCCCTTAAGCCTCCCTTAATCTATGTTACCATTACCCCCATTCCACCGACCAGGAAACTGAGGCTGGGAGGGCGAGGTGACCGGCCTGGGGTCACACAGCCAGTGAGTGACAGAGGGTATCAGGCACTCAGGTGTGTTTGGTGCCAAATACCAGGCTCTGCCCATATCTCCATGAGGCGTTTTCTCCAGGTGTGAGTGGGAAGAAGATTCCACAACGCTGCTGCCCTGGGTGGGCTGTTGGCACAGAGAACAGGGCAACAGTTGGAAGCAGATGTCTGGGGTCCCTTCCCTGCCCTCCGATAAACTCCCTTGGACACACTCCACATCAGGACCCTGGGTCCCCTGGGAGGATGTCTGCTCACCTCTGGGAGGGGAGAGGAGCTGATGAGAATGGAGGGCCCCTCCCTGCAGTGCCCGGACCCCTGCCCCAGGTCTTCATGTCACAGATGGTGGAATCCCATCACCTTGAGGATATGGGTAAGAAGTGCATGGGGCTCTCATCTCTCTCCTTTCCTCACCTCCACTGCTCACCTCTAACACCCTCCTCCCCCAGTGTTGGAATTAACACTGACCTATGGCATGCCAGGTGTTTTCTTGTATTATTTTTTGATCTTTCGGCTGCAAGTGGCAGAACCCAAATCAAGGACTGCAACAAAACCAAGAACAAAGACACAAAAATGTCTGGTTTGCTGTTCCACATTCACAATGTGGCTTCAGGCACAGCTGCATCCAGGGGCTCTTACAGTGTCACTAGGGTGCCTTCTCTCCATCTCTCAGCCCTGCTTCCCTCTGTGTCAGTGGAGTTCTCAGACTGGCCCTTCAGGTAGTGGCAAGGCAGGTCCCCAGCAGCCAGGCTTCCATCCTCCAACTTAGCACCCTCAGCAGAAACTGGGCTCTTTCCCAGTGAGTCTGGCACAACCTTGGGGTGACGTTCATTGGCCCAGACAGTCTACGGATCTTACTGGCCAGACCCAGGTCACGTGACATCTCTGTGCGGAGAAGGGGCTTGAACCACCTGGACTGAGTGTGGGGGAGGAATTTGCACCGTGGCCCCTGGGTGGGTGTCAGGGTGCAGGCTGCGGTATCTGTGGCCACAGCAGCAATGCTGGATCCCCAGGGATCAGTCCTGCCAGGGATCCTATGTCCTGCTGCCTGCATAGCCCCCCACACTTGTCTCTCTGTCCTCGCAGAGTTTCCAAAGCCCCTGACAACCCTTTAATCTATTGCTTTCTCTGCTCAAACCAGTGGAGCCTCTGGTTGCAAGAGGAGCGCTGATACTCTCATGGTAAACCTCATTTTACAGACAGGGAGGCTGTGCCCCAGGGAGGGGAAGTGACTCCCAGGGTCACAGGTCCCATGAGTGGTGGAGACAGGATTTGAACTGGGGATGCAGGACAGCTGCGCCTGCTCCACTCCAGGCTGACGTGGTCTCCTTTCTGCAGGGCCAGGGCCAGGGCCGGGGCCAGGCCCTCAGCAAGGCTGCCGGGGGGTCTTGGGGACAGAGCTGCTGCCCTGGCTGGAGTGGCCTTGCAGGAGGGGCGGGGCCTGCTGTCCTTCCTGGGTAGGCTGAGTCTTGCTCTGTCCTGGCCAGTTTTAATAGCCTGAGGGCAGAGGGGAAGCAAAGGTGAACTCTAATGAGCCATTGATTTCTCAGCAGGAAGCCGGCTGTGGCCCCAGTGCATTTCCTCCTAATGGATGGGAAAGAAAATGTGAGGACAGCGGTGCCCTGGCGCGGGGCCACCCTTGGGCACCTCGCTCATTCCCGCTGTCTGCACCTTCTGAGGCCCGAGGTGGACTTTTCTGGAGGTGGCCCAGGGCGAGAGGCTGTTTGTCCCATTCCAGCTCTCACCCCCAGCATCCAGCAGGGTCTGGATCCCGCCATTTGCTCAGACGTTCAGGCTGCTTCTGTCCAGGGACGGGGCTGTCACTCTACTGTTCAAGGCAGACCTGAGAGCCACCTGGAGTCCCTCAGTGTGGCTTTTCCACTCTGACCCAAGGCAGGCCGCCTCTGCACACCTGCCCTGTCCACACTTAGGCAGAGCCCCCATCACTTCTCCCTGGGTCACCGCAGATGCCTCCACCCGGGGCCTCTGCAGTTTACTGTCTCCATGGCAAAGACAGGACACTTTAAACCTGCAAGTCAGGCCTTGTCATCTCTCTGCCTGCTGCCCCCACGGCTTCCCACCTGACTCAGAATGAATGCCAGCGCCCCGGCCTTGGCCCCAGCCTGTGCCACATGACTGCCCTTTGTCCTCCGGGTCCTCTCCCCACCTTCCCCTTCTCTGTGACCTGCAGGCTGACCAGGTGGCCCACACCACAAGGCTCCCTTGCTTCTGATTCTTGATGTGTCCCCCCAGTGGGGAGTCCCAGTGGGAGGTCAGCAGGGTGGTGTTGGGGCTCACCTGGCTCCTTCATTTCAGGGTCACCTGGGGCTGGCTGTGCCCTGGCCTCCTTTCTATCCTCCACTAGAGGATTGTCTTTCCTGCCCCAGGGACTTTGCACTGCTGCTTTCTCTGCCTGGACTGCTCCTTACCCAGCCCCTCCAGCATTCAGTACATAGTGCATCCACGGGCTGCATGAGGCAGCCTGAGGGAGGGAGGGGCAGGTTGTGCAAGAGAAACAGGAGCTTCCCTTGGGCCACGTGGACCTGGGGCAGAATAAACTTTGGTGGCATCTGGAGCTCAGCGCCTGGAGCTCTGAGAAGGGGAGTGAGCTGGAAACAAATGCCTGGCGGTACCTGGGCCGATGGGTTTTCTTCAATGTCACCTCCTCAGGGACACCCTCCACAACCCTCCTGTCCGTCATGGGTGCACCCTGTTCTCCCCATTGATCCCTAAAGCACCACACTGTTTATTTTCTTCATTACACAAATGTCATGATGATATTATCTTACTTGATTATTCATGTACTTGGGTTTTGTCCATCTCTTCCAATAGACTAAATTTCATGAGATCAATGACCTTGACTGCCATGTTACCATGCTAAATCACAAGTGTGTGAAACAGTCCCAGACACATAGTAGGGGCTCAGGAAATACTAGCTGAATAAATAAGCAAATTAGGGAATACATATGTGAGCATGAGCATACACAATTACACTTATACCCATATCTATTCGTATACATATATTTATTTCCATAGAATCCATGGCCCATATGCATTTATTATCCATGCATTTTCTTACACAGCAGAATTTCTTGAGTGGATGCTTAATAACTGATGGTGAACAATGCTTCCAACACAGGTGTGGACACATTCCCACAATACACCTAGGGGCCTCACCTGTGCAAACATTCATGTACAGAATGGAAGAGACTGCTGACTTCCTCCAATTTTGTTCTCCCTTTCCTCTTTCAGGAAGAAAGAATTCAGCTGGCACATAGCTACCCAAAATAATGACTACATTTCTCAGCCTCCCTTGCGATTATATATGTGAATGTGTAATTAAGGTGTTGTCAATGGAACAGGAACAGAAGGGCCATGTGTAATTTCCAGAAAGTGTCTTCAGGGAACAGGAACACATGTTTCTGCACCTCCCTCCCCACTGCTAAGTGGAATGTGAGTGTGATGGCTGGAGCTCAAGCAGCCATATTGAATTATGAGGTGTGTAATGCGTTGTGCTTGACTGAATAACTGGTTTGTGCCTGAATCCTTTTTCCAAGTGAAGCTATTCCATCAGCCCTGGCTACTTACTTCTGGGCTTTGCTTACCACAGAGGCAAATCATTTTATGTCTTCCCTAAGGCACATTTATAATGGGTTTATTGTCACTTGCAGCTGACTCTGCTGCTAATTTACACACACACAACCTTTAGTCTCCTTTCGTCACTGTGGAAACCACTGGGATGTGGGAGGGGTCTTTTTCAATGGGTTCACTCAGATCCTTTGGAGAGAGCTGCGTATTGATCCCACCCATGTCACCAGTGCCTCCCTACAGTTCCTGCTTACAACCATGCATCCAGAACCAGACATTGACCTAGACTCTCCCTCCCAAAATAAGGATCGTCCAACTTCTGTGGATTTATGCTTTGTCCTTCTTTCTCTACTCTGTCTGGGGAAGATTTATGGAGACACAACAGCATGAAACCTGAGTGACTTAGAGCTTGGGGACGTCGACCACAGCATCATGTGGTTTCTCTTGGGAAGCCCCGCCCCCCAGCTGCTCCCTTCCTAAGGCCCCACTTGCCCTTCCAGGCTCAGCCCAGTCCTGCCTCTTCCCAGGAGTCTCCTCTGAGCTTCTGGGTCACAGGGAAGGGTCTCCTCTGAGCCCTGAGACAGACCTGCCCGCCCACCCACTGGGGTTCATGTCTGCTCAGAACTCCTCCTCCTCCCCAGGGCCTCCTGTGGGGTCCTCAGAGAGCTGCTTGTCCCCAAAAGGCCCAGGGCTGTCCTCGGGGTTTTTCTAAATGAGGACTGAGTATTAAACACATCACAGACAGGACCACAGTATCCCACACTACGCCATAAAAGGAAAGTTACAACTTTCAGCCTCTGTAAATATTTAAAAGTAATGAAATTATACTCCAAGTCTTATAAAGATGGCCATAAATCTCTAGTCCACGTTGATTATATGTGGGTGCGCCAATGTAGTAAACATGCACACATCATACATTATAAATGTACTGCTCCAGGCCCATAAACTTGATGTAAAACTAACCTGTGAGCTACAACAGGCATTATACATTTCATTAACACTGGCTTTGCTTGTCTTCTTAGAATTTAGATGGTCTATTTTGGAATACTTTGGGTGGCCCGATACTGTGATGAAAAGCTGATGTGGGAATGTGTGTGAGTTTAGCGAGCAGGGGGAGGTGAGGCTCCTGTTGTTCACCTTGGAATGTGAATTTGAGAAATAGCCTGCAGCTTCCTTCCTTTTTTCTGGCTGGCAAGCTCATGCCTGAGTCCTCCTAGGGGACTGAAAGGTGAGTGACAGGTACGGAGGCACTGCTGTGCGCTGCGTTCTCACATTTAGTTAGTTACACCATTTGTCCATGAAGAAATGCGGAGATTGCAATTTGTTTCAGGGTGTTGTAGTCTCTGTGTTAAACAGAAGCGTGTTTTGATTGCAAAGGATGTAAGCCCAATTCCACTGACTTAAGTCAAAATGGGACATCATTGGCCCAGCAGTGGGAAAGTCTAGGGGTTTCAGGAGAGGCTGGATCTAGGAGCTCTAGTGATACTATGAAGCATTTGTCTCCCTTTCTCATCTGTGATTTTTGCTGTTGACTTCATCCCCTGGAAAGCTCTTCCCTCACAGTGATGGTGATGGCCCCCATCAACTCTGGTCTGCTATCCTACCAGCTCAGCAAAGCCCAGTGGAAAGACACTTTCTCCCTTGTGAGAGTTCCAGCAATATCCCAGTGACTCTCAGTAAACTAGAGTGAGGCCCACTGACTGTTGGCTGCTCTGATTGGCCTGGCTTAGGCGACATGCCCACCCTGAAGTAGACTGTAGGAGTCATTCCCCTACAAAACACATGCACTGTGTGTGGGGGGGAGCTATCCAGTCGGGTTCTTTGGTTTCCAGCAACAGAAACTGGATCTGGCTCACTGAGGCCGATGGGGTTTACTGGATGCAGAAAGGAGGCTCAGATGATCAGCTAAGCCTGAGAAGCAGACTTGGGACAGGTGGGAACCAGGAGAGCTCCAGATGGCCCTGTGGCAGAGACTGCATAAGTGGTGACCTTGTGACCAACATACAATGAAATGATCCCAGTAACTATTTGTTTTGTGGGTTTTTTTTTGTCTGTTTTGGAGACTGGGTCTCACTCTGTCGCCCAGGCTGGAGTGCAGTGGTGCTATCTCAGCTCACGGCAACCTCCACGTCGAAGGCTCAAGTAATCCTCCCACCTTGGCCTCCCAAATAGCTGTGACTACAGGCACATACCACCATGCCCAGCTAATTTTTGTAGAGACAAGATTTCGCCATGTTCAACAGGATTCAAGTGATTCTGCTGTCTCAGCCTCCCAAGTAGCTAGGACTACAGGCACCCGCCACCACGCCCGGCTAATTTTTGTATTTTTAGTAGAGATGGGGCTTCACCATGTTGGCCAGGCTGGTCTTGAACTGCTGGACTCAAGTGATACACCCACCTTGGCCTCCCAAAGTGTTGGGATTACAGGCATGAACCACCACTCCAGGCCCAGTAAATATTTGCTGGCTGAAAGAATGCATAGATGAATGAACAAGTGAATGAATGAAAAGGATGGGGCTTAGAAACTGCTCAGACAAAAGCACAGATATCGATTTTATCTTTCTTTCCCCCAGAACCTTTCTCCACCACTCAGACCCTGGTAATAACCTCCAGCTTCCTGATGCCCATCATTCCCTTTGCTTTCAAGATCCTGAGGCCAGGATACACCTCCTTTCTTACCACCTGTGCTAACTGTCTCCCTCCTAGGGTCCTCAGTGGCTCATGTCCTGGGACCTCTGCCTCCTTGTCTCTCCTCAACTGCTTTCTTGCACAATCCCTCTTTGCTCACAGCTTCAGGTCATCTCATTTCTGGTCCTAATCTCTTTATCAAATTCTCTTCTGAGGTCTCCCAAATCTAATACCCAGACTCCATTTGTTAGACACCGTCTATATGCTGAACCCTTTGCTAAGCACATGTGATGCTTCGTGTAATCCCCATGACAATCCAGAAAAGATGCCAGTTATTCTGTCCATTGTATGGATGGGGAACAAGAGGTTCAGGGAGGTAAAGGGCCTTGCCCAAGGTCACTCTGGTGCTCACAGATCTAGGATCCAAACCCCAAAGGCTATAATCCTATCCTCGCCTTAGCACCTGCAACTAAGTTGGCTGAGACTCAGTTCTTCACCCATCCCCCTTCAGATGACCAAACCATCCTTTTAGGTGCCAGGATCCAAATTTGGGAAACTTCCTAATTGCCTCTCTCTGTCCACCATATCCAAGCAAATACCTAGGGCTACTGTGTCCATCTTCCTGGGCCCCTTCTTCCTAAAAAGAAATAAATTAAACTTATATTTTATGACTATGTTGGCATAAAAGCAAATATAATCCAGGCTAAAGTATAGTCACTTTTTCTTCTGATTTTCTTTTCCTTTTTTTAGGTGGAAGCTCGCTCTGTCACCCAGGCTGGAGTGCAGTGGTGCCACCTCGGCTCACTACAACCTCCGCCTCCAGGATTCAAGTGATTCTCTTGTCTCAGCCTCCCAAATAGCTGGGACTACAGGCACCCGCCACCATGCCCGGCTAATTTTTGTATTTTTAGTAGAGATGGGGCTTCACCATGTTGGTCAGGCTGGTCTCAAACTCCTGATCCGCTCGCCTTGGCCTCTCAAACTGCTGGGATTATTGGCATGAGCCACCGCACCTGGCCCTGATTTTCAAAGAAATGAAAATATTTGTGTGGGCTCCTACAAGTGCCATGAGCCCTAAGCACTGCTCCCTCTGGGCCTAACGGACAATTGCCCCCACCTTGTTCATTTCTTGACTGGCCAGTGACAATAGCTGACCTCTCACCTGCAGCCTGTCCTGAACACACTGGCAGAGTCCTTCCGGATCTGGGGTTGGTGCCCATTAAGCATCTGTCTCTCCTCTGTCTTCTGGTGACGGTAGCCCAGTTTCACTTGGAGAATCTTTTGTCCCCCACTTTCAGGCTGATCCTAATTCTGGTTCCATGGGAGGACACATGACCCAGGCCTAGTCAGTCAGAGCAGGGGTCCCCAGCCCCTGGGCCACGGGCCAGTACTGATCCGTGGTCTGCTGGGAACTGGGCCGCCCAGCAGGAGGTGAGTGGCCATCAGATCAGCAGCGGCATTAGATTCTTATAGGAGCGGGAACCCTATTGTGAACTCCACATGTGAGAGCTCCAGGTTTCATGCTCTTTATTAGAATCTAAGTAATGCCTGTTGATCTGAGGTTGAACAGTTCATCCCCAAACCATCCCTACCCCTGCCCCCTGGTCTGTGGAAAAATTGTCTTCTACCAAACCAGTGCCTGGTACCAAAAAGGTTAGGGAACTGCTGTTGGGGGAAGCTGGGCAAAGGGGATTCTACATGGGATTCTTTGTAATATGTTTTTTTTTTTATTTTGATGGTAATATTTTATTTTTTCAGAATATATTTTCCTGAGTAATATTAACACAGGTCTCAAAACCACATGGGGTTTTTAATGTTCTTAATCTCTGAATATGTGCTGTCAATTTTAATTAAAATTATTATGTTAAGCTCCTGTAAACCACAGAAATAACCAAATGTCTTTGTCTATTATGTTTCTAACCACCCTAGATATTTTGTGATTTACAGAGGTTTAAACTTCCTCAAGAAAAACAGCATATAACTAGCTGTAGAGCTTTACCAGGTGTTCTCAACTCTTACATTTTTTATAACAGAAAAAATTTTTTATAACAGAAAAAATGAACAGAACTTAGGAATAGCTAAAATGTTTATAAATATCAAGCAGGACAAATGTTAAAATAGACTAAACTAACAAAAGAAGGAAGCAATCTATTTATCTTTATTTTAGAATATTTATAATTCTTGTTTTGTTTTTTAAAGTCAGGTACACTTTATTTTAAACTAGCTACAGCTTTTAACACTGTCGATCAGTATACTCCTCTTAACAAAACTTGGAACATGTTTTTTTCCTCTGTGCCTGGTTCCTCTAAAATTCGGACACTATGTGTAATTATTCTTTTTTTTGTTTTGTTTTGTTTTGTTTTTTGTTTTTTAATTTTATTATTATTATACTTTAAGTTTTAGGGTAGATGCGTACAGTGTGCACGTTTGTTACATATGTATACATGTGCCATGTTGGTGTGCTGCACCCATTAACTCGTCATTTAGCATTAGGTATATCTCCTAATGCTATCCCTCCCCCCTCCCCCCACCCCACAACAGTCCCTGGAGTGTGATGTTCCGCTTCCTGTGTCCATATGTTCTCATTGTTCAATTCCCACCTATGAATGAGAACATGCGGTGTTTGTTTTTTTGTCCTTGTGATAGTTTGCTGAGAATGATGGTTTCCAGTTTCATCCACGTCCCTACAAAGGACGTGAACTCATCATTTTTTATGGCTGCATAGTATTCTATGGTGTATATGTGCCACATTTTCTTAATCCAGTCTATTGTTGTTGGACATTTGGGTTGGTTCCAAGTCTTGCTATTGTGAATAGTGCCGCAATAAACATACGTGTGCATGTGTCTTTATAGCAGCATAATTTATAATCCTTTGGGTATATACCCAGTAATGGGATGGCTGGGTCAAATGGTATTTCTAGTTCTAGATCCCTGAGGAATCACCACACTGACTTCCACAATGGTTGAACTAGTTTACAGTCCCACCAACAGTGTAAAAGTGTTCCTATTTCTCCACATCCTCTCCAGCACCTGTTGTTTCCTGACTTTTTAATGATCGCCATTCTAACTGGTGTGAGATGGTATCTCATTGTGGTTTTGATTTGCATTTCTCTGATGGCCAGTGATGATGAGCATTTTTTCATGTGTTTTTTGGCTGCATAAATGTCTTCTTTTGAGAAGTGTCTGTTCATATCCTTCCCCCACTTTTTGATGGGGTTGTTTGTTTTTTTCTTGTAAATTTGAGTTCATTGTAGACTCTGGATATTAGCCCTTTGTCAGATGAGTAGGTTGCGAAAATTTTCTCCCATTTTGTAGGTTGCCTGTTCACTCTGATGGTAGTTTCTTTTGCTGTGAAGAAGCTCTTTAGTTTAATTAGATCCCATTTGTCAACTTTGGCTTTTGTTGCCATTGCTTTTGGTGTTTTAGACATGAAGTCCTTGCCCATGCCTATGTCCTGAATGGTATTGCCTAGGTTTTCTTTTAGGGTTTTTATGGTTTTAGGTCTAACTTGTAAGTCTTTAATCCATCTTGAATTAATTTTTGTATAAGGTGTAAGGAAGGGATCCAGTTTCAGCTTTCTACATATGGCTAGCCAGTTTTCCCAGCACCATTTATTAAATAGGGAATCCTTTCCCCATTTCTTGTTTTTGTCACGTTTGTCAAAGATCAGATGGTTGTAGATATGTGGCATTATTTCTGAGGGCTCTGTTCTGTTCCATTGATCTATATCTCTGTTTTGGTATCAGTACCATGCTGTTTTGGTTACTGTAGCCTTGTAGTATAGTTTGAAGTCAGGTAGCATGATGCCTCCGGCTTTGTTCTTTTGGCTTAGGATTGACTTGGCGATGCGGGCTCTTTTTTGGTTCCATATGAACTTTAAAGTAGTTTTTTCCAATTCTGTGAAGAAAGTCATTGGTAGCTTGATGGGGATGGCATTGAATCTATAAATTACCTTGGGCAGTATGGCCATTTTCACGATATTGATTCTTCCTACCCGTGAGCATGGAATGTTCTTCCATTTGTTTGTATCCTCTTTTATTTCATTGAGCAGTGGTTTGTAGTTCTCCTTGAAGAGGTCCTTCACATCCCTTGTAAGTTGGATTCCTAGGTATTTTCTTCTCTTTGAAGCAATTGTGAATGGGAGTTCACTCATGATTTGGCTCTCTGTTTGTCTGTTATTGGTGTATAAGAATGCTTGTGATTTTTGTACATTGATTTTGTATTCTGAGACTTTGCTGAAGTTGCTTATCAGCTTAAGGAGATTTTGGACTGAGACGATGGGGTTTTCTAGATATACAATCATGTCATTTGCAAACAAGGACAATTTGACTTCCTCTTTTCCTAATTGAATACTCTTTATTTCTTTCTCCTGCCTGATTGCCCTGGCCAGAACTTCCAACACTATGTTGAATAGGAGTGGTGAGAGAGGGCATCACTGTCTTGTGCCAGTTTTCAAAGGGAATGCTTCCAGTTTTTGCCCATTCAGTATGATATTGGCTGTGGGTTTGTAATAAATAGTTCTTATTATTTTTAGATACGTCCCATCAATACCTAATTTATTGAAAGTTTTTAGCATGAAGGGCTGTTGAATTTTGTCAAAGGCCTTTTCTGCATCTATTGAGATAATCATGTGGTTTTTGTCTTTGGTTCTGTTTATATGCTGGATTACATTTATTGATTTGCATATGTTGAACCAGCCTTGCATCCCAGGGATGAAGCCCACTTGATCATGGTGGATAAGCTTTTTCATGTGCTGCTGAATTCGGTTTGCCAGTATTTTATTGAGGATTTTTGCATCAATGTTTATCAAGGATATTGGTCTAAAATTCTTTTTTGGTTGTGTCTCTGCCAGGCTTTGGTATCAGGATGATGCTGGCCTCATAAAATGAGTTATGGAGGATTCCCTCTTTTTCTATTGATTGGAATAGTTTCAGAAGGAATGGTACCAGCTCCTCCTTGTACCTCTGGTAGAATTCGGCTGTGAATCCATCTGGTCCTCGACTTTTTTTGGTTGGTAAGCTATTGATTACTGCCACAATTTCAGAGCCTGTTATTGGTCTATTCAGAGATTCAACTTCTTCCTGGTTTAGTCTTGGGAGGGTGTATGTGTCGAGGAATTTATCCATTTCTTCTAGATTTTCCAGTTTATTTGCGTAGAGGTGTTTGCTCTTCTCTAGGAGTATCTTTGTGGCGTTCTCTGTATTTCCTGAATCTGAATGTTGGCCTGCCTTGCTAGATTGGGGAAGTTCTCCTGGATAATATCCTGCGAGTGTTTTCCAACTTGGTTCCATTCTCCCCATCACTTTCAGGTACACCAATCAGACGTAGATTTGGTCTTTTCACATAGTCCCATATTTCTTGGAGGCTTTGTTCATTTCTTTTTATTCTTTTTTCTCTAAACTTCCCTTCTCGCTTCATTTCATTCATTTCGTCTTCCATCACTGATACCCTTTCTTCCAGTTGATCGCATCGGCTCCTGAGGCTTTTGCATTCTTCACATAGTTCTTGAGCCTTGGCTTTCAGCTCTGTCAGCTCCTTTAAGGACTTCTCTGCTTTGGTTATTCTAGTTATCCATTCGTCTAATTTTTTTTTCACAGTTTTTAACTTCTTTGCCATTGGTTTGAATTTCCTCCTGTAGCTCAGAGTAGTTTGATCATCTGAAGTCTTCTTCTCTCAACTTGTCAAAGTCATTCTCTGTCCAGCTTTGTTCTGTTGCTGGTGAGGAGCTGCGTTCCTTTGGAGGAGGAGAGGCGCTCTGCTTTTTAGAGTTTCCAGTTTTTCTGCTCTGTTTTTTCCCCATCTTTGTGGTTTTATCTACTTTTGGTCTTTGATGATGGTGATGTACAGAAGGGTTTTTGGTGTGGATGTCCTTTCTGTTTGTTAGTTTTCCTTCTAACAGACAGGACCCTCAGCTGCAGGTCTGTTGGAGCTTGCTAGAGGTCCACTCCAGACCCTGTTTGCCTGGGTATCAGCAGCAGTGGCTGCAGAACAGCGGTGGCTGTAGGACAGCGGATCTTGGTGAACCGCAAATGCTGCTGCCTGATCGTTCCTCTGGAAGTTTTGTCTCAGAGGAGTACCCGGCCCTGTGAGGTGTCAGTCTGCCCCTACTGGTGGGTGCCTCCCAGTTAGGCTGCTCGGGGGTCAGGGGTCAGGGACCCACTTGAGGAGGCAGTCTGCCCATTCTCAGATCTCCAGCTGCATGCTGGGAGAACCACTACTCTCTTCAAAGCTGTCAGACAGGGACATTTAAGTCTGCAGAGGTTACTGCTGTCTTTTTGTTTGTCTGTGCCCTGCCCCCAGAGGTGGAGCCTACAGAGGCAGGCAGGCCTCCTTGAGCTGTGGTGGGCTCCACCCAGTTCGAGCTTCCCGGCTGCTTTGTTTACCTAATCAAGCCTGGGCAATGGCAGGCACCTCTCCCTGAGCCTTGCTGCCGCCTTGCAGTTTGATCTCAGACTGCTATGCTAGCAATCAGCAAGACTCTGGGGGCGTAGGACCCTCCAAGCCATGTGCAGGATATAATCTCCTGGTGTTCCGTTTTTTAAGCCCATTGGAAAAGCGCAGTATTAGGGTGGGAGTGACCTGATTTTCCAGGTGCCGTCTGTCACCCCTTTCTTTGACTAGGAAAGGGAACTCCCTGACCCCTTGCGCTTCCCAAATGAGGCAATGCTTTGCCCTGCTTCGGCTCGCGCACGGTGCGCTGCACCCACTGTCCTGCACCCACTGTCTGGCACTCCCTAGTGAGATGAACCCGGTACCTCAGATGGAAATGCAGAAATCACCCATCTTCTGTGTCGCTCACGCTGGGAGCTATAGACTGGAGCTGTTCCTATTCGGCCATCTTGGCTCCACCCCTCTGTAATATGTTTTGTAGTTTCCTATGAGTCTATACTTGCTTTAAAATGGAAAGTTAAAAAATTCCAATGAAATATGGCCACTTCTCTAATTGGCTGAAGTCCAGCTGCTCCCTGTTCAGAGGCAGAAAATGCGAGAAGCGGTAGCGAGGTGTGGTGGAAGGAAGGCACTTTTATTGATCCAGTACAAGCAGCTGGAAGACGGCCAGGCTTCTGCTTCAAAGAAGTCATCTCTGCCTTTTGGGCTGAATGAGGAGTTTAAGAAGGAAAACTTGGGCCCGTCACGGTGGCTCATATCTGTAATCCCAACACTTTGGGAGGCCGAGGTGGGTGGATCACCTGAGGTCAGGAGTTTGAGACCAGCCTGGCCAACACGGTGAACCCCCTTCTCTACTAAAAATACAAAAATTAGCTGGGCATAGTGGCATGTGCCTGTAATCTCAGCTACTCAGGAGGCTGAAGCAGGAGAATTGCTTGAACCTGGGAGGCAGATGTTGCAGTGAGCTGAGATTGCGCCATTGCACTCCAGCCTGGGCAACAGAGCGAGACTCTGTCTCCAAAAAAAAAAAAAAAAAAAAAAGGAAAACTTAGTGCAGGAAGCCTGCAGGGGTGGAGCAGGAGTGGAGCAGGGGTGGAGCATGAGTGGAGCAGGAGGGTGCGGGGCTGTGGGTTTTGTTCTGATGGTCATCTCGAACAATCGCCCATCTCGAGGTCTGATTTGTGTCGTCCTGGCTCCTGCCTGGTAGTGGTGGGCTAACGGTTCATAACTCCGCCTAAGCGGGATGATTCTACAGCTTGGTCTCTCTGCCCAGTTTGTTTCAAAATGAGCCTCTGGAATTTCTTAGCAAGCACACAGTTAGATAAGCGAGCCCTGTGCCCGGGAGCGCCTGGTGGGAAAGGGATACCAGAGCATTTCAAAGAATGTTTCAAGGCTGAAAACAAGAAAGGAAAAAAGTTTCCAAATGCATTTTGAGGCTGGGATACTCAGTTACAGCCCCACTCCTCAAGCATACCCTTTCCTTTCCCAGGTTCTTGTCCCTCTGTGTGAGTTTACACCGCCTGGGAAAACCTCACCACTGCCTTCTATGCTTTCCCACCAAAGGGTAACTGTGTGGTTCAAAGCATGGATCTTACATAGGGTCAACAACAGTTCCTCTTAGCCTGGGATCTTCGCAGGTTTCCAGGTTGTGGGACTGTACGTTTTCAAACAGAGACGGTCCTAGACAAACCAGGGGGGGTTGGGCACCCTAGCTTTTGATCAGTCAGGGTGGACCTGGGTTTAAGTCTTTTTTTTTTTTTTGATACAGAGTTTCGCTTTTGTTGCCCAGGCTGGAGTGCAATGGCGCGATCTCAGTTCACTGCAACCTCCACCTCCAGGTTCATGTGATTCTCCTGCCTCAGCCTCCCGAGTAGCTGGAATTACAGGCATGTGCCACCACATGCCTAGCTAATTTTGTATTTTTAGTAGAGACGGGGTTTTTCCATGTTGATCAGGCTAGTGTCGAACTCCCAACCTCAGTTGATCCACCCGCCTTGGCCTCCCAAAGTGCTGGGATTACGGGCGTGAGCCACTGCACCCAGCTGGATTTAAGTCTTTACTCTGCAACTTGAGAACTGTGTGACCTTGGGAAAAACACTAGACCCCTCTGTTCTGCAGTGCTGTCATCTGTAAAATGGAATTAGTCCAGGACCGTCCCTCAAGCGCTGTCTGAGGATTCAATGAAACCACACACGTGAACGGCTGACACATGGCCTGGAAACTGCACATTAAATCAGAAGCCTTCATTGTCACTCTGCTACACGGCTGTCCCTCTCCCCCGCAGGGAGTCCCCTTGAGGCCCCAGGCTCTGCTGATCTCCTGGCACAGAGTCTCCGAGCTACACCTCCATCATAGTTAAGACAATGAACATACGCCCTGAGACTGAATAGCGCATATTGATTACACAAGTGGCCCCAGTGCGATAACACGTGTACACACAGCACTTTGCAATACGACTCTCTCTGGCCCATAAATTTGACCTACAGCTTACACATGAGCTGCAGGCAGACATCAAACATTTCATGAACGCACGTTTGTTTGCCCTCTTGGAATTTAGAACAAGGCCTGGGACGCATGTCACTTTCTGCTGGGTGATTCAGTTCCTGGCAGACACATCTGTTGTCCCCACTTGGATCTGTGTTTCTGGAATTTGGCATTTACTCCAGTCTCCAACCAACCCTGACCCTGACAAGGTGTTTTCCATCTGCTCAGGACTCGCGGGGATTCACCCATTTGATGGATATTTATGGAGCACCCACTCTGTGCCAAGCAAGGTCTTGGGCCCTGGAAATAGGGCAATAAGCAACGTAGATCCAAGTCACAGTCCTCATAGAAGTTAACAGTTTAATGACAAAAAAAGGAAGGCAGGAAAGTAGGAAGGAAGGAAGGAGGAAGGAAGGAAGGAGGAAGGAAGGAGGAAGGAGGGAAGGAAGAAGGAAGGAAGGAAAGAGTAAGGAAAGAATGAGGAAGAAGGAAGAAGAAGAAGGAAGGAAGGAGGAAAGAAAGGAGGAAGGAAGGGGACGTAGAAGAAGGAAGGGGAAGCAGAAGAAGGAAGCAGGAAAAAAGGAAGAAGGAAGTGGTACCGTTTGACCCCCATTGTTCATCTGAGACAACCTAAGCCCAGAGAAGTTAAGGTCTTTGGTCAAAGTCACCCAGCTAGGAAGTGGTGGAGCTGGCCATTGAACCCAACTTTATCTGTCTCCAAAACCTCTGCTAGGTCTGAAGTGAATGAATGAAAAAATGCAAGCAGAGAGCCCAAGAAAGCCCTTTGGAGCCCCCAGGGAAGAGTTAAAACCTCTCCTCTCCTCTGTTTCTCCGCTGTGCGATCCTTGAGAGTCATTCAGAATCAAAGATAAGAAACATGGCCCTCCTTCGGCAAACCTACTCCATAGTCATCACTGCTCCCGAACCAGTGCTTGTCTGGGCCCTGATGGTTGATATCCTCACAGAGGGGTTCTGTTTAGACCTCTTCTGCTCCAGACCTTCCCTCAGCTCCCACCTCACCCAGAGCAAAAGCCAGAGTCCAGCCGTAGCCTCCAGCCCCTGGCCTCCACCTCATCTCCCCTCCCCTACTCACTCTGCCCCGGCCACGGTGGCCTCCTCCACGCTCCTCAAACACAACAGGCATGGGCTGGCCCCAGGGCCTTTGCGCCTGCTTTTCCCTCTGCCCGGAGCACTCTTCCCCCAGACATCTGCACGGAGTCCCTCCTCCCGCTAAGGTCTTCACCTGTGTGTCACCTCTTCTGCGAAGCCCACCCTGACCACCCGGCTTCTAAGTACAGCCTTGCCTCCCTTCCCGTCTTCGTTTTCCTCATAGCGCTTTTCATTATTTGGCATCTTTTTTTGTCTTCTTTACCCAGCTGGCAGTTTTTGTACACTTCTCCCACCATCTGGACCAGGATATAACTCCATGAAACAGGGTTTTTGTCCATCTTATTTGTTGCCATATCCCCAGGGCCTTGAATGTGGCTGGAACACGAAAGGTGTTTACCAGGTGTCTGTGGATTGAAGGGATGTGAAGGGGATACATAGCAACCAAGGACAGTGACATTCGCCTGGGTGGGGGAGTCACGTTTGAATCAAGGCGAGAAAGATAAAACTGAGCAGCCAGGAAAAGATGTGGCAAACAGCACGTGCAAAGGGCCCAGGGCAGGAATGAGCAAGGCAACGTGAAGGAATAGCAAGGAGGCCCGCGTGGCTGCAATGGAGGGAGCCAGGGGAGAGGCTGGGAGGTCGGCAGAAGCCAGGCCACGTGGGTCCCTGAGTGCCGTGATGAGGAGTTTAGATTTTATTCTAACAGCAATGGTTTCAGCACTGGAGGGTGACATGATTTGATTTGTATTTTAAAAGCTCAGTCTGGCTGGGCGTGGTGGCTGGTATCTATAATCCCAGCACTTTGGGAGGCTGAGGTGGGAGGATCACTTGAGGTCAGGAGTTTGAGACCAGCCTGGCCAACATAGCAAAACCCCATCTCTACTAAAAATAACAAACATTAGTCAGGTGTGGTGGCAGGCATCTGTAGTCCCAGCTACTTGGGAGGCTGAGGCAGGAGAATTGCATGAACCCAGGAGGCAGAGGTTGCAGTGAAATGAGATTGCACCACTATATTCCAGCCTGGGCAACAGAGCAAGACTCTGTCTCAAAAATACATACATACATCATACATACATACATGAATGAAGATTTTAAAAAAATAAAAGCTCAATCTGACTGCAGTGTACATTGCATGAATGTGGGTGTGGGTTGAAGGCGGCCAGAGTGGAAGCCTGGAGAGAGAGAGGTGCTGTTATCATTACCCAGGGGGGCCATGATGGATGATGGGGCTCCGCTCAGGGAGGCAGTGGCGGTAGAGAAACGTGGGCTGACTCAGGACACACGTTGACAAGAAAGACTTTGCATTGGAGCTTGCTGTGGGGAGTCTTGTTGAAATTTGAGAACAGTGAAGCATGGCTTTACCTGTTAAGTCTCTTGATTCCAGGGACCTTGTGGGAGGGAGAGGGGACAAAATGCAATCCTGATACTGCGCCCAAAGCCTCGCTTCCTTCAGGAGGCTCCGGGGGTCCCTCCCAGGCTTCCCTCCTGGGCTTCCTGTCTCTGAGATCATTCTTCATTGCGAGTTTGCACAAAGCTCATTTTTGCTAATTGATATAAATGATTTGCTTTTCGCTTCCGCACATCAGCGCTGTGCACTTTCATATTAATTGGGTTGGAGGGGGAAAATTAAGTGCTCCAATTTGCCATCTTTCAAGATGACAAAATAGGAAGGGAGAAAATCACTCAGCTGAGAGAGAGGAGCTGTGAGTGCTGAAACTTTCTTTGAGGAGGGGGCAGAGGCTGCACTGGGGAGGGGAACAGACTCCTGTGGGGAGCAGCCCTGGGCAGAGGAAGGAGGTGATGAAGTCGGAGGCTGCCAGCATCCCCAGCAGCCCTTCATATGCCTCAAGTGTTTAAAAAGGACACGGTGCTTTTCAAGGGCAGGGTCTAATTTAGCTACATGGCTGTCCTGCAGGGTGTTGTTATCTCACTTCCTGGGTCAGACAAGGATCCTGTGGTTGTTAATGACAGAAACTCAACCCCAGCCAGTTTAGGCAAAAACAGAATGGATGGGCTCATAGCACTGAAAGTCCCGGGCCAGCCTGGTGGCTCATGCCTGTAATCCCAGCACTTTGGGAGGCTGAGGCAGGCAGATTATGAGGTTAGGAGTTCAAGACCAGCCTGACCAATATGGTGAAACCCTGTCTCTACTAAAAATACAAAATTTAGCCAGGTGTGATGGTGGGCACCTGTAATCCCAGCTACTCGGGAGGCTGAAGCAGGATAATTGCTTGAGCCCAGGAGGCGGAGGTTGCAGTGAGCCAAGATTGTGCCACTATACTCCAGCCTGGGTGATAGAGCAAGACTCTGTCTCAAAAAAAAAAAAAAAAAAAAAAAAAAAAAATCCCAGGAATGGTTCCAGCCTGGGGTAGGGCTGGATCCAGGGAGCCAGTTAGTTTCTCCCAGCCACGCAGTGGTGCTCCCGCCTCTTCCCTCGCTGGTGGGGGGATGCTACCTACAAGCACAGCAACCCTAGAAGAAAGACCTTCTCTTCCTGGTGGCCCCTGAGGACTTCACAGGATTCACCTGATTTAACATCCCTGCATGTGCCAACCTGGCCCCATGTCCGTCCCTGATTCAAACACTGCAGTCAAGGTGATGGGATTTGCTCGTGGTCAGGGCTATCCCTGGGTGCCTTGGTGTGAGTTAGAAAAAGGGTGCCCCTTCCTCTCAGGAGAAACAGCTCTGTGCCAGGACACAAGGCTTGGTGGGAAGGGTTTCAGTTCCTTGTGTGGGGGGACAGCTGCCCAGCTGTACCCAGTGGCCTCAAATATGCCAATTGCCAGGGCTAGATCTTGTCCTTGCGTGGAGCTGGGTGTGGGGTTCACCCATCCGCAGCACATGAACTGAGAGTAAAGGACGGAGGCTTCCCAAGGGGCAATCAGGGCACTGGGCCCAGAAGACAGAGCTCGTTCATTCATTTCCCATTTAGAAAATGCTCGTTATGAACAGAGGAGAAAGTGGACCAAGGTCCCTGCCCTCATGGCACTGAGAGCCTAATTTGGGGACATAAACAAAAAAATCAATGAGTGTATTACTTATATAATAATAGTGACTGACAGAGCCATGGAGAAAAAGAGAGCAGGAGGGGAGGATGGGGTGTGCAGTGTGGATGGGGTGGCTGGGGACAGCCTCACTAACAAGGTGACATTTGAGTAAAAATGGGAGGAAATGAGTAACGTGCATGTCTTAGGGTAGAGAATTCCTGTAAGATGGAAGGAAGTGCAAAGGCCCTGAGGTGAAAGCTGACAGGGCAGTGGGGTGAGACCAGTGGATTAAGGCCTCATGTGCCATTGCGAGGACTTTGGCTTTTTTTTTTTTTTTTTGAGACGGAGTTTCACTCTTGTCGCCCAGGCTGGAGTGCAATGGCATAATCTTGGCCCACTGAAACCTCTGCCTCCCGGGTTCAAGCGACTCTCCTGCCTCAGCCTCCTGAGTAGCTTGGATTACAGGCCTGCACCATGATGCCTGGCTAATATTTTGTATTATTAGTAGAGATGGGATTAGTATGTTGGCCAGGCTGGTCTCGAACTCCTGACCTCAGGTGATCCACCCACCTCAGCCTCCCAAAGTGCTGGGATTACAGGCGTGAGCCACTGTGCCTGGTCCCCGACTTTGGCTTTTGTTCTGAGTGAGTTGGGAGCCACTGCAGGGCTTGAGCAGAGGAGGGATAGGATCTGAGTTGGATTCTGGGAGGCCACGACCCTAGAAGGGGTGAACTGCAGGTGCACCAGCCCTACCTTTAGGAGCATCCAGGCCCGGGGAGGGGAGGGGGATGGACATTGGACAAATGACTCATATTCGACTTTTTTTTTTTTTTTTTTTTGAGACAGGGTCTCTCTCTGTTGTCCAGGCTGGAGTGCAGTGGCGCAATCATGGCTCACTGAAGCCTTGGCCTCCCAGGCTCAAGTGATCCTCCCACCTCAGCCTCCCATGTAGCTGGGACTGCAGGTCTGCACCACCACACCCTCATATTCCATTTTTTCAAGCATGGTATGTGCTCTGTATACCTCTCCCTTCCTTCATCTGGCTCAAGTCCTGCCCTCTCCAGGGAGCCACTGCCAATTGCAGACACATCTGACTGGGATCAGCTGAGTTCATTGGTCAGACCCTGCATGATCCTTGGGAAGAGGGGCTGAGAGCTCGGCACCGTGGCTCCCCATTGTGACCTGAGCCTGAGGCCATCCTGAAGGTGGGAGAGGGGACTCTGCACAGCCCTGCCCCTCCTGGAGAAACTGCTCAGCAGCCTCTGGTCCCCAGATAGACAGGACACGGCCTTTGTGAAGCAACAGTTTCTTCCATAGGTCTGCCTGGTCCCATCATTTAGGTGACCCCAAGAATAACCCCGAGCTCTGTTGGTCAAGATTCCTGTGGTTGGCCGGGAGCGGTGGCTCAGGCCTGTAATCCCAGCACTTTGGGAGGCCGAGGCGGGCGGATCACGAGGTCAGGAGATCGAGACCATCCTGGCTAACATGGTGAAACACCGTCTCTACTAAAAATACAAAAAATTAGCCAGGTGTGGTGGCGGGTGCCTGTAATCCCAGCTACTCGGGAGGCTGAGGCAGGAGAATGGCGTGAACCCTGGGGGGTGGAGCCTGCAGTGAGCTGAGATCGCGCCACTGCACTCCAGCCTGGGCGGCAGCGAGACTCCGTCTCAAAAAATAAATAAATAAATAAATAAATAAATAAATAAATAAATAAATAAATAAATAAGATTCCTCTGGTTGTAAGGGACAGAAGCTCAGTTCAAACAGAAATAAGTGAAACAAGAAAACCTCCCAGCCCATGTAATGAAGTCAGGCGTATTGGGCTTCTGACCCAGCTGGCTCCAGGGCTCCAACAATCTGGCCACGACGCAGTCCGTCTCCATCTCTGTGCTCTGCTGTCCTCTGTGTTGGCTTCACTCCCAAGTAGGTAGTTTCCATGGGGGACCATGACGACCACTGGCAGCTCCTGGCTTCCACCCCTCAGCTCAGCAGCCTCGGGGCACAGAGAACGTCTCTTTCCCGCAAAACCTGCAGAAGCCCCAGGGCAGGCTCCCATTGGCCTATTGTGGTCACATGTCTGTGAAAACCCACAGAACAGCCCCCAGGAAAGATGTCCACATCAAATACCTGGAACCTGCGGTGCCCACGTATTTGGAAAAGAGGTCTTTGCAGATGTGACTAAGGTAAGGATCCTGGGATGAGGAAATGATTCTGGATTATTTTGAGTGGACCCTAAATACTGTCACGGGTCCTTATGAGAGGGAAGAGAAGACAGAGGAGGAGGCAATGTGGCCATGGTGGCAGAGACTGGAGCGATGTGGCCACAGCCAAGGAATGCCGGCAGCCATCTGAAGCTGGAAAAGGCCAAGAACGAATTCTCCCCCCATGCCCTGAGCCTCCAGAGGGAGCCACAGCCACCCTGACTTCAGGCTTCCAGCCTTAGGGCCATGAGATGTGAATGTCTTTGTTGTGAGCCACCTTGTTTGTGGTGACTTGTTACAGTGGCCACAGGAAACAATGTCCCTCCCACTTCCAATCAGAGTCCAGGAGGATGGAGCATTCTGCATGGTCGCCCTGGGGTCACACATCCCCCCAGGCCAGTGCTGGGTCAGCCCCACCTGGTCCATACCATGGCTCAGCGTGAGGCGGACCAAGTCCACAAGGGAAGGTCAAAGGTGGGCAGGACGGACACATCCAGACAGAAATCACGGATGCCGCTGTGGCTTCTTCTCCCAGAGCAGGAAACCGAGTCTGAGAGGTGGGAGGCACCTCTCCAGGGTCACGGAGCTCAAACTGGCCAGGAAAACTTTCAGCCCAGGGCTTCGCGCCCAGCTCCAGGGCAGGGTGTCTCCAATCTTCCACCTGTAACACCCTGAGAAGTTCCCGGGAGGCGCTAGGTCATGAGTGAGGCCTGTCTTGGGGCCATACCCCTTGTCTCAGTAAGACCAGCCTCATATGTGTCCCCTAAAAGCAATCTGTGCAATAAGGAGCAGCCCAGGAGGCCCTTCTCTCCACATCCCTCATTCTCCAAGGGCGGCTGACACCCGTTAGTGCTCCATCCCCCGGTTTGGAAAACACAAATGTGCAGCGTGGAATGCAACTCACAGAGCAGGCTGCTCTCCTCCCAGAGAGCTTGGCTTCCCTCTGTTCTCTGCCAGGGCCCCGAGGTTCCCCTCTATCATGCTGGGGTGCAAATTCACACGTCCCCACCAATGTGCCTGTGCACATGCCCAAGCACCCACCCATGGGGACACTGGTAGATGCACACGTGTGAGCACAAACCTGCATGTGTGTGCAAAGCCTGTCTACAACACATGCCTGTACCTACACACACGTACACTCCACCATGTATGCACACACGCAGAACCTTTCCCGCCATCTCACACACAGGTGCACACCCCCTGAAACAGTTGAATGCAAACGCCCCGCTGTCTACACAGACCCCACAGACATGGGCCACATCACTCATTCTGAGACCAGACAGCCTGGGTCCAACCCCCAGCTTCACCACTTCTGAACCTGTCATTTGGGTCACATGGTTTAACCCTTGTGAGCCTCAGTTTCCTCAAACCTGAGAAACAATCTCAGATAAAGCCATCATGGGGGTTGCGTGAGTTAATGCATGGAAAGTGCTTAGAAGAATGGCTGGCAAGCAACAGGCATGAGATAAATGTGAGCCCCAAGCACACAGCCCCAGTGCACGTCCACACGCTCCCACATATGCACATGTGTGCACCCACATGCATGCACCTGCATGGATACCTGGCCCAGGCACCACACATGGAGATGAACATTCACATGTGTACAAACAGGTCAAGCCCCCACAGATCATGCTGTGCTGCGCCACACCTGTGTATAGTACTCAAGCATCAGCATCCCCACCCAATCACAGAATGTATATACAGCTGTGCACACACAAATGTGCATCCATGTGTATATGCCCCCCACCCCGCACACACATCCCTCCTCTTCTCAGCAGGGCCAACTGTTCTGTCCCCACTATCTCAGCCCCAACATGGTGCCCTACAGACCTGGGCCTCATCCGGAGCTCCAGGCAGAGGGAGATGGCTGCCCCTGGTTAAGCTCCATGGAACTTTCTTGGATTCTCTTTGTGGAATCACAGAATTATGGAACATTTGTGCTGGAAGGGCCTTAACCTGATCAGGTCTCAAATTGTAAAGATGGGGAGACTGAGGCCCAGGAAGGGGCACCCCCTTGTCCATAGTCACCCATGGAGCAAGGGCCCAGACCAGGAGCTAGTGCACAGAACCCACCTGGCAGCCACTGGACCAGGTCCACAGCAGGGAGAGGGGCATGGGTGATGCTGGGAGGGTGGCAGGGTGGGAAGCCGGGGCATTATGCTGAGATGCCCACACCACAGGGCCAGGGTGAGAGCCCCAAGGGGGCCTCAAACCCAGACCCAGGAGCCTGGATGAGAGCAGGGCTTCCCCAGGGCTGGGGTAGGGTGAAGGCGTCTGTATATATTCAACCAATGTTCACCAGGGGCACAAGGTAATTCAATGGGGAAAAGAAAGTCTTTTCAACAAATGGTTTAGAAGTAAATGAATACTCAAAAAGGGTAAAAATGAACTTCAACCTCTAACTCATACCATACAAAAATTAACGTTAAATAGATTGCAGACTTAAACATAGAAGCTGAAACTCTAAAACTTCTAGAAGGGAACACAGGCATTCCTTAGATAGGATGTAAATAGCACCAGCCATCAAAAAAGATGAATTGGGTTGCATCAAAATTAAAAACTGCTGCTTTTTCTTTTATTTATTTAAACATATGTTCGACAAAAGGCTTGCAGTGCAGAGGCTGGCAGAGCTGAGTTTCTCTTCCCAAGGCCGTGCTCATGCCGGGCAGTGGATCCTCTCCTGCACATGCAGCGCTTGCTGGCTTCCGCATCATCTTCTTCCTTGGCGGCTTCAGGCCTGGGGTCCTAACAGCTTCCCTTCCCTCTGATGCTAGTCCTGGGGGCCGTCACCATCTCTTTGGGGTCCTTTAACCTGCTATCTCCTTGTAAACACTCCCTCCATTGTACACTCCTCAGTTTCCCTCTGCAGATCTGCTATCTGCCTCCTGCTGGGATCCTGCCTGGGACAGAACTGTCGCAGTTGCAGATATGAAGTTTGTCTGGAAGCTCAAACACAGATATGTCAGCAGAATAAAGTTCAACTTCCTACACTGTGGGGGCAAGAGCAAGGGTCAAGGGGAAAGGGTTACCCTTGGAAGCACTGGCTTTCAGACCTTGGGCCTCCCTCCCTCCCTCCCCTCCTCCCCTCTGCTCCCTCCCTCCCTCCTTCACTCCCTCCCTCCCTTCCTTCCTTCTTTCCTTCCTTCCTTCCTTCTTTCCTCCTTCCCTCCCTCCCTCCTTCCTTCCCTTCCTCTATTTCTCTTTCTTTCTTTCTTCTAGGGTTTTGCTCTGTCACCCCGGCTGAAGTGCAGTGGCAAGATCATAGCTCACTACAGCCTTGAACTCCTGGGCTCAAGTGATCCTCTCACTTCAACCTCCTGAGTAGCTGGAACTATAGGTACGTGACAACATGCCTGGCTAATTTATTTTTAATTTTTTTTTTGTAGAGAGGGGGATCTCACCATGTTGCCCAGGCTGGTTTTGAACTCCTGGGCTCAAGTGATCTTCCCACCTTGGCCTCCCAAAGTGCTGGGATTACACGCATAAGCCACCATACCCAGCCCTCCTCTGCCTTTTTGTTCTATTCAGGTCCTCAAGGGATTGGAGGATGCCTACCAGTACTGCGGAGGCCCATCCATTTTTCTCAGTGTGCAGATTCAAATGCTCATCCTTCTGAGAAGCACCCTCACAGACACCCCCAGAAATCATGTTAGACATCTGGGCATCCCTTGGTCCAGTCAAGTTGACACATAAAGTCAACCATCACAGTCAGTGTCACACTAAAGCTTGCAACCCAGCTTAGTCGCATTAAATAAAGCAATATAGACAGTGAATGGCAAGTACTAGATGATTAACGTTGGCTCCTCCCCTTTTCCTGTCTTCTGCTTGGAGCCTTAGTTGTATCACCTGTCAAATGGGGCACTAGTCTTTGCCCTACAGTAGCTAGAGGTTACTTGTAACTACAAGTGGTGGGAGGCCCAACTTGCTGAAAGGGAACTTATTGGCTCATATAAAGCTCAGCTCAATCCTGATGCTGACACTGTTTTCTGGACTCTCATATTATCTCCATGGTGGCTATACTCTAAGGCAGATTTTCCCCTAGGAGCAACAGGGACAATCCCTCAGCAGCTCTGGATTAATATCCCAGCTCAGCCACCCCAGCAGATGGCAGGCACCTCTTTCCCAACAGAGATGAAAAGTCCTTGGTCCAGCTGCTTTTGGAGTGACTTGGTTCACATGCACAACCCTGAGAGCCAATCACCACAGCTGGGGAAATGGGATGCTCTGATTGGTCAGATCTTGATCCCATGATAACCTGGGTCCACTATTGACCCCTCCCCACTCCCAGGAGTCACCACTGCCAACCAGTAGGTTGCTTAGCAACCAGCCCCTGCCTCGTTTCTGTCATCTAGGACTGGAAACACCCTGCCAAGTTCCAAATATTGAATTTTAGGGCTGATTATCTGACTTCAGCCATGGCAGCTCCCTGGAGGAGGGGATGGCAGAGTGATTAAAACAGAGACTGTGAAGTTCAACAAACTATGGTTCAAATTCTGGCTGTTTCATTTATGCACTGGGTTGAATTTCTTAACTCTACGTGACTCAGTTTCCTTGTCAATGAAATGGGGTTAGTAATACTATGCACCACATGGAGTTGTAAAGATTAAATAACATGCTTTAAACAGATGGCTTAGGGCCGGGCATGGTGGCTCATGCCTGTAATCCCAGCACTTTGGGAGACTGAGGTGGGTGGATCACCTGAGGTTAGAAGTTCGAGACCAGCCTGACCAACATGGTGAAACCCCATCTCTACTAAAAATACAAAAATTAGCCAGGTGTGATGGCAAATGCCTGTAATCCCAGGTACTGGGGAGGCTGAGGCAAGAGAATCACTTGAACCCGGGAGGCAGTGGTTGCACGGAGCCAAGATCATGCCCTGGACTCCAGCCTAGGTGACAAAGTGAGTGAGACTCAGTCTTAAAAAAAAAAAAAAAAAAAGGGAAGAAAATATGGCTTAGAACCACACTTCACCCTCTGGGGGTGCCATGTGAGCTCACTAAAAGTGAGCTAAAAATCAGAAACTGGCTGGAGGAGGCAGCAGTCACACCAACTAGCCAGAGCCACCTCACCATCTCCACCCTACCCCTCCATCTCCCAGGGAGCAGCCTGCAGCCACGGGGTATTGTAGTTCATGTTATTTCTACGCCAAAAGCCCTTTGGTGTCTTGATGAAGTACAGTGCCTGGCACGTAGAAGGTGCAAATATTTGTTGAATGCGTGAATCCAGACCAGTCCAAGCAGAATCAATCCTTTGCCCGCTCTTCTCAAACCAGGATGAGGCAGTTGGTGATGAGAACCTGTCTTCAAACCAGGATGAGGCAGTTGGTGATGAGAACTTGTCTTCTCTGGGTCTGCAGATTCTGCCTTAGAAGCAAAAGGAGCAAAGCCTGGCAGTTTACCCGACCTGCCAGACTCTTCTCCGAGAATGCAGGGGAAGCTGTCACCTTGTGCATAATTCACCTGCTGTAGTCAGCAGCCCTGAATGCTGTGTTGGCAAAAAGCAAGCAGACTGTGGAATGGTGCCTTTTTTTTTTTTTTTTTTTTTTTGAGATGGAGTCTCACTCTGTTGCCAGGCTAGAGTGCAGTGGCACGATCTCGGCTCACTGTAACCTCTGTCTCCTGAGTTCAGGCAATTCTCCTGCCTCAGCCTCCCAAGTAGCTGGGACTACAGGCACCTGCCACCATGCCCAGCTAATTTTTGTATTTTTAGTAGGGACAGGGTTTCACCATGTTGGCCAGGCTGGTCTCCATCTCCTGACCTCATGATCTGC
The DNA here is from genome assembly GCF_000001405.40 of Homo sapiens. Lineage (NCBI taxonomy): Eukaryota > Metazoa > Chordata > Mammalia > Primates > Hominidae > Homo > Homo sapiens. The sequence goes on along the minus strand of NC_000020.11, from coordinate 48,573,023 downwards.
CTGCCTCGGCCTCCCAAAGTGCTGGGATTACACATGTGAGCCACTGTGCCTGGCCGGAATGGTGTCTTATTTTTACCGGGGATAAAACCACTGTCTTGAGTGCTTGTGTTTCCATGGCACTAACTTCAGAGGCGATTCGCTGGTGGGAGCTCGTGTCTGTAGCTCCCTTACACATCTACTTGTTGGGTGCATTCACCCCTGTCCAAATAAGCCATTGAAGATTTATATCAACTCACTATTAAAGTACAATTTTAACAATTCTTTTCAATGACAGCAGCATCTATGCATTAGCGGCATTACAAGTTAAGTCTCCCCTTGGGGACAGTAACCTGCTTCATTAAAACAGCCATAATAAAGAGGTTCTATAAATCAGCATCTTTTACACAAAAACAGGATCTATGCTCCTTCGGCAACTCAGCCCTAATGCAGACAGACAGCTCAGATGGGAGGTAAGAACCTGGGAGATATTGCTGTGAAGGGCAAAAGAAGCCAGTTTTAAATATTTTAAGCGAAGCTGGGCCAGCCAACCAAAACTTGTTTTCTCCAGATTAACCCCGGGGACATGTGGAGAAAAACAGATCCAATTTCTTTCCATGACTAAACCTTCCCACCCGCTCTGGGCCGGGGGTAAGGTCACCCTGACACCTCTTTCTGTGACTCTGATGGGCTGGAAGATCCTCTGCTCGCCTTGACCAAAGGAAATTAAATACCCGGGCCCAAACCACCCAGCTTGGCAGGAACTCCCCGTTTCTCAATGTCTTCCATTTGCACACCCCCTCATGAGTGCTGCTCAGGCCATCTCAGGGCACGCCCTGTACGACTATGGATTATTTCTCTTGAAATGGACTCGCTTTTCTAAATTCAACCTCAGCCCATGGAATTATGGCTGAGTCATCATGGATCTCATATCCTTGTTTTCTATTTTTTTTTAAAATAAGGTTGGTGCTAAAGTCATTGCGGTTTTTGTCGTTACCTTCAGTGGCAAAAACCATAATTACTTTTGCACCAACCTAGTAATATATATTGAAATAAATACAGAATGTAAAAGAGGGCCTTTGTCACATAAAAGAGGGCCTTTATCACATGGCATGTAATATTATCTCACCTGCTCTAGCGTCACTGCTCGCGGCCACTCATTTTTGGAAATGATGAGTTCACTCAGCATTGTAAAGGACCAGGTCCAAACCACCACTGTTTTGGGGGGACTTGGCATTTCCCAGATACTTTGAAGGTTTAGACCTAATTTGCCAGTCTGGAGACTTCTACCCAAGAGAAGTCTGAGTAGCAGATGCCCACAGCACCCTCTCCAGACCTGTTCCTGGGACACCTGACTTGGGTGACACAGGAGCACAGGGTGTGACAGATGACTAACATGGCTATGTTTTTAAATGATAGATATAGCCAGAGTACGTGAGGTCGGGAACTCTTTGGGAAGGTAGAGGGAGGGAGGGTGAGACAGGGAGAAGAATGAAGCTGGAGTCAGTCAAGCCAGGATCTTGACTTGTCTGTATCTCACCATTGTCATCTCTTGCCTGGACTAGTGTCCAAGTCTCCTAGTTGGGTTCCTGGCTCCGCCTCCGGCCACTGCCTTGTGTTCTCCATTCAGCAGCCAGGGTGGGCCTTTCATCCTATTAGGTCAGCTCATCAGATTCCATCACTCAGAGTCCTCTAGGGACCCACCCTCTCATGCAGAATAAAAGCCAAAATATTCCTCATGGCCTGCAAGGCCCTCCATGGCCTGACCCCTCATCCTCTCTTCAACCTCCGCCCCTGCCACTCCCCACCTCACTCCCCTGCTGCAGCCACATGGGCCTCTGTGCTGCTCCCCAACCCCCTTGAGAACCCTCCTGCCTCAGGGCCTTTGCACTTGCAGGTCCCTCTGCCAAGGCTGCTCTTCCCCAGATATCTGCCTGGCTTGTCCTCTCACTCCAGGCTCTGCAGATGTCACCTCGTCCGAGAGGCCCTCTCTGGAGTCACCCTCTAGAGAGCACCCTGTTGCTCTTTGCCTTGGCCCCAAAACCCATGTGTGTTTGTGTGTGTGTGTTTGTGTATTCTTAGAGGACACACATCACGTTGAATAGGATACTGGCCTGGGGTGATGAGTGTGAAAACTGGGAAATGAGGAACTACTTTTGCTTCGTGTTCTTTGAGTTTTAAAAATGACAGTTTATTATTTATGTAATAAAGATCACTTGGGGGGTTGTAGAAAGAAGAAAAGCACCTGGAAACCCCAGGCCAAGGTGTGCCCTTTGCAATTCCTTGGTCCACATTCCTAACTATATGGAAATTGGATCCAAGAGGGAACATGTCTGTCTTGTCTCAGGTTTGAAAATTGTCCAGAAGCAGAGTCAAGCGGGGAACTGAGCTGGGAGCCTCATATGGTCTTTGTCCTGTTCTCCTGAGGGACTCCTGCTTCCCCTGGGGGCTCTGGGAGTTGTAGACACACTCTTGCCTGTGGCTGAGTTAGTTGGCACCCTCAGGAATGGGCTCACAGCGCAGCCCTGTGCTTCAGCAATCACTCTTCTTCCCAGATGTCACAGAGATGTTGCAAAATCATGAGACTGTAGGCAGACGGCTGTTTTTCGGGGACCTGAGCTAGACAATTTGCTCCCCAAGTCAGAGACCACACTCATCAGGGTGCCCCAGTGCCTGGCTGAGCCCTGGCACCTAAAGAGGCTCATCAAAGGTCGTCTGAATTGAATTAAGCCAGTAACACCCTGGCAGGACCCACAACTGCCATGGCCTCCTTGACCAAAGGAAACCACACAAACAAGGTCTCAGCTTCTAAACTTTTCTCTTCTTTCTTAGCCTCCTGGTGACAAAAGCCTAAAGGTCTTTGAACATCACCCAAACAGATTTTCCTAATGGATTTGAAACTTTGATGACACTTTCGAGCACTTTCTGATCAGTAAGCTCACAAAACCAGTTCCGCTGAGCTTTCGATACTTCCAAGAGGCAGCTCAGGGAGGAGTGACCACTTCACGTAGGGAAAGGAAAAGCCATTCTCAGTAAAAACCTGCACACTCAACCCCCAAAATAGGAAACAGAATGAGCCCCTCATCTTGCGTGTCCGGCTTCATCCTCCTAACCGGACCCTAATGAGGATGGACGGCTGTTCTCTGCCCCGGAACTGGATGGAATGCTGGGATTATCTCAGTGGAGAAGTCTCTGGCCCTGAGGACTGTCAGAACTCCTGCATGGATGAGCAGAAAATAGCAAATGATAAATTTTTCAGGAGGCCGCCTGCTTGCTGGCTGAAGCCGGCCATGAGATAATGTGTTGGACTTTAGGGGATGAGCCTTGTTGACCTGGGTCTATTTAGAGGTTCAGAAGACGCATTCTCCCCCCACCCCTCACCTCCTGGAAGGAGCTTGGCCACCTTCCAAGGCCAGTTCAACAGTTGGGCAGGGGGCCCTGGCTCATTCGTAGAAAGGAGGACTTTCGGGCAAAGATGTGAGAGTGGAGGGCTGCCAGGTGGAAGCTGACAGACTCCACAGAACATGAGGGACCCTAAGACCGCTGTCTCCACTCCCTAGAGAGTTTATCTTCAGAAATACTTGCTCAAGGAGGCAAAGATGAATATATAAAGACATTCCCAGTCACACTGTGTATTACAATTAAAAATAAACTTTCAAATTGGAACAATTCAATATCCTCTACCTGAAGACTGGTTCAATAGTGCAGTGATTAAAAAACGTGGCTCTATGGCTGGGCATGGTGGCTCACACCTGTAATCCCAGAACTTTGGGAGGCCAAGATGGGAGGATCACTTGAGCCCAGGAGTTCAAGATCAGCCTGGGCAACTTAGGGAGACCCTCGTCTCTACAAAAAATACAAAAATTGAACAATGAGAACACTTGGACACAGGGCGGGGGACATCACACACCCAGGGCCTGTTGTGGGGTTGGGGGAGGGATAACATTAAGAGAAACACCTAATGTAAATGACCAGTTAATGGGTGCAGCACACCAACATGGTACATGTATACCTATGTAACAAACCTGCATGTTGTGCACATGTACCCTAGAACTTAAAGTATAATAATAAAAAAAAAAATTAGCTGGGTGTGGTGGCACTCTCCTGTAGTCCCAGCTACTTGGGAAGCTGAGGTGGGAGGATTGCTCGAGCTCAGGAGGTTGAGGCTCAAGAGGTTGAGGCTGCAGTGAGCTGTGATCACGCTACTGCACTCAAGCTTGGGTGACCAAGTGAGACCTTGTCTTAAAAAAAAAATTAAAAATAAGTAAATAAAAACATGGCACTAGGTTTAAATATTGGCTTTACTGCTTTCTGGCTGTGTGACCTGGAGCAAGTTTCTTAACCTTTCTGTGCCCTAGTTGCTCCACCTTTATAATGGCGAGAAAAAATAATACGTCTATGTTGAGGCTTCCATGGTTTCCTTTGTGCTGCTCTCCTGTGTCCCCATCAGACTTTCTTATGCCAGGATATTTTCTTGGTTTTCATCAAGAGTCGCTGACACAAAGTTATAATCTGAGCTTAATATTAAGCTTATTTGAATCACAGATCTTATAGCAAATGTTTATCGCTCCCAGGAGAGAAGAGCTGGGGCTCAATCATCAACCTAGTGGCTCAGCTTAAAATGCAGGTGTTGTTTTTCCTCTTCTCTTTGCCTCAACCCCACCTCCAGTCCCCCAGATACGTACAGGGTCTGACGGCGTTTCACTATCTGCACTATGCACTCCAGTCCAAGCATCACCAGCTCCTGCCTGACAATTACAGTGGCTTCGCTTCCACCCAGAGAGGATGGTCTCTCTGCTTCCACCCTCACCCTTGACAATCTGTTCTCCACACTCAGCCAGAAGGATGGTGTTAGAATACATGTCTGGTCATGTCCCTTCCCCATCTAAGCCCCCTAACCCATTTTCATTTTATGGGAATGTAATCCAAGCTCCTCACCATGGCCTTGGACAGTCTCCCCAGTTTGTCCATCTAAAGTAGCCCCACTACCACCCTTGCTGTCTGGCCCATTGCCTCCCTTTGTTCTCTTCTTATAATTTATTTCTCTTTGAAATGACTGCATGTATTCATTTGCTAACATCATCACCTCCACTTCCTGAGGGAAGGAATTGTGTCTGTCTTCATTACTGTAGCCCTAGGCTGTAGAATAGTGCCCGACATAGGGAGTACTCAAAAGATACTGGGTGGAAACATGATTTGGTCTGACCCTTTCTTCGTCTTTAGGCTTTGGGGGAAACCCTTTTCCTTGTGAATCCAACTCGAATCCCATTCTGTGTCTATGTGTGTCGTCTTGCACCAGGAACCCGAGGCTAGGCATGGCGACTCTGGGCAGACGCAGCTTGTGATGTGAGTGGAAGAAGCTGGATTCTCTGAGTCTTGTGCCTCTGTTTCCTCATTTGTCAAAAACAAATACAAAAATGGGTCTAAAAGAAGGCCTTTCCTTCAAAGGCCTTTCTGGCTCTGGGGTCTCTGATGTGAAGTTAAGGGGGTCTGGGAGCTGCAGCCTGTGTCTGGGGCCCTGAAGCAGGTGGGCTTTCCAGGAAGAGGGGTGCTGTGGACTCTGTCCTCGGTGGCCTGGCGCTCGTGCTGGTCCCTTGAGAGTGCTCCCAGGCGGTAATGATCCCTCTGCAGGTTTCTCTGGGGTCAGCTGGGTTTCTGCTCTGTGGGCAGCAGCTGGTACAGCAAGTGCAAAGGCCCTGGGGTCAGGTGGGATTTTAACTGGCTTCCCCAGAGTGTTGGGTGGAGAAATGTGATTGGCACAGACAATCATCAGCCCTTATCCACCAGGGGATACATTCCAGGACTCCCAGTGGACCCTGAAACCACAGCTAATACAGAACCTGACTGAACACGTTTCTGTTCATGTCTCCCATCCACAAATTTAATGGTTTTTTCCATCTTAACTAAGCACTTGTGCACTGTGGCCATATCTTTTGCAGTTTGAGGTGCAGCAGCAAAACTAGCATGAGTTTCTTTTTCCTTCTCAATTTCAAGGATAGAAGATTTATTCTTACTGAAGATCTTAGCAACCTCAGCATACAATTTTTATTTCTTAATTTAAAAACTTTCATCTCTTAAGGCTTAAAGGAAGCCCTTTATGGCTTCCCTTTGGCATATCCAAATGGTTGGCATCACTACTGTTGTGTTTGTTTTGCCAAGGTCTGTGAGAAGACACAGGACAAAAAGAAGGAGCCCATTGGTGTGACCATGAAATGTGCAAATGAGGACTGAAGGGTTTCCATGCCGTAAACAGGGTCAGGTCAACTAGGATATCAGAGACACTCTCAGCTCGCCCACTGTCAACCTTTTACTTAAAAGGAATTAAAAAAACAAAAGGACTGTGTGTCACTTACCCCAATATTTTATTTTAAACGTTTTTAAACAAAAAATTTTACAGTGAACACCTTATACTCACCACCTAGACTCCACCATTAACATTTTACTATTCTTGCTTTATAATATATCTATTTGTTTCATGTCCTTTCAATGATTTCTTCAGCATCTGGGGAGAACCGTAGCCCCAGCACAGAAGAAGACAGCGTTATCTTCAGACACTGGTCCATCCATGACTCCATTTGATGGACTGATTCACTCCTGTTTCCCTCCAGCTGCTGTCCACAGAGCAGAAACCCCAGCTGACCCCGGAGAAACCCACAGAGGGATCATTACTGCCTGGGAGTGCTCTCAAGGCACCAGCACGAGTGCCAGGGCAACGAGCACAGAGTCCACAGCGCCCCTCTTTCTGGCTTTATCCCACCTGCTTCAGCCCCCCGTGGATAAGGGCTGATGACTGTCTGTGCCAATCACGTTTCTCCACCCAACATCCAGGGGAAGCCAGTTAAAATCCCTCCTGACCTCAGGGCCTTTGCACTTGCTGTGCTCTGTGCCTGGATGGCTCTTTCACCAGATGTCTTTGTGGCTTCCTCCCTCAGCTACCTCAGCTCTCTCTTCAAATGTCACCTTCTCAGTAAGGCCCTCCTTGCCTGCTCCATTTGAAATTGCAGCCTCTTACGATTCCTGCCCGTTCTCTGTCCTCCTTGCCAACACCCACCACTATCTGACATGACACATATTTTGCATGTGCTTATTTATCTTACTTCACTAGAATGTCTGTTTCAGGAGCATTGTATGGGCTTCGTTCATGGCTGTATCCCATCACTGAAGCAATGTCTGGCGTACTAGTAGATGCTTGAATACATTTATTTGAAAAAATGCTTTCCCTCTGTTTTAAAGTACACTGGATTGATGGAAAATTCGAGGTATAATAAGTCAGGAAAGGACTGCCACTCAAAAGAGGGTTTGTTACAGGTCCCGACAGGAGGGGACACACCATACCATGGGGACCACCCAGGGAAGCGCTGGGGTTGGCAGAGGAAGAAGGAGAGGGAGTGAATGTGGGAAAGAGCCTTGATTGTGGCTTTGGAGGGACGAAATGAGGAAGGCGAGGTAAGCAGGTTTTGGGATTGGCTAGTTAGTTTCAATAATTTCAGGGGGCCCTGGGGCATAGGGACTGCCCCTAGCTGTCTGGCACCTGGCCCTGGCGTGACTAGGGAATGGAATAGGAGGGTCCAATAAAGGAGGGGGTTGGAGCATTGGCTCTGGGTTGGTTGGTTTGTATTTGAAAAGCATGCTTTATCAAGAATTGGCTAACCCTCAGAAAGGCAGGTCAGGGTCAGCATGGTCCCAGATACCAAAGTGTCGGAATACAGAAAATAAAACACGTGGTTAGTGCACCCTCCTCCTAGTTACAGCCTTTCGCCTCGATAAGGGAGGTAACGCCTTCTCCCTTATCCACCTTACATGTTTGGCTGTAGGATGGAGCATGTGACCCAGGCTAAGCCAGTCAGCACATCCCATTTCTCTAGCCAGCGATTGGCTCAGAGACAAACATGTGACCCAGGTCTGGCCAATAAGAGAGAGGAACTCAGGCTCAGCTAAGGATAAAGGGACGGGTTAATTAGAGGGTGGGCTGGAGGCTAAACCAAGTGTAATCATCCTAGTTCCCTTTGTCAATTATTGGTATATGGGTGGATGTATTAAATATTACTAGGGCCAGAGGAAGCACAGGATGCCTAGTTACATTCACCTTCCAGAAAAACAATGAATAATTGTTTAGCATAAACTTGTCCCAATTTAAATTTAGTACGTTTATTTGCTGAATATGGCAACCACATATATAACCCACACCTGGCAAAAAGACAAAGTGATGTCTGTTGTGTGGGTGGAGGGGCTGAGTTCCATGAAAGTTCCTGCTGAAGAGAGAGACAGCAAAGTGTCCTGCCATTTCTTCCTACCCTGTGGGTGGATATGATGTCTGGAACTCTGCAGCCATCTTGAGACCGTGAGGCATTAAGGTTGAAGACATGATAAGGATGGTGGAACACAAGGATGGAAAGATTCTGGCTCCTAATTCCACCATAGTGAGAGGTGACAGCATGTTGGCAGCCCTGCAGCCCTTGCTTGCTCTCGGTGCCTCCTGGGCCTTGGCGCCCACTCTGGCCGCGCTTGAGGAGCCCTTCAGCCCACCTCTGCACCGTGGGAGCCCCTTTCTGGGCTGGCCAAGGCCGGAGCCGGCTCCCTCAGCTTGCAGGGAGGTGTGGAGGGAGAGGCGCAGGCGGGAACCGGGGCTGCACACGGCGCTTGCCGGCCAGCGTGAGTTCCGGGTGGGCGTGGGCTCAGGGGGCCCGCACTCGGAGCGGCTGGCCGGCCTGCAAGCCCCAGGCAGTGAGGGGCTTACCACCTGGGCCAGCAGCTGCTGTGCTCGACTTCTTGCCGGGCCTTAGCTGCCTCCCTGCGGGGCAGGGCTCGGGACCCACAGCCCGCCATACCTGAGCCTACCCTCCGCGGTGGGTTCCTGCGCGGCCCCAGCCTCCCAGACGAGTGCTGCCCCCTGCTCCACGGCACCCAGTGCCATCAACCACCCAAGGGCTGAGGAGTGCAGGTGCATAGCACGGGACTGGCAGGCAGCTCCACCTGCGGCCCCAGTATGGGATCCACTGGGTGAAGCCAACTGGGCTCCTGAGTTTGGTGGGGACTTGGAGAACCTTTATGTCTAGCTAAGGGATTGTAAATACACCAATCAGCACTCTGTATCTAGCTCAAGGTTTGTAAACACACCAATCAGCACCCTGTGTCTAGCTCAGGGTTTGTGAATGCACCAATTGACGCTCTGTTTCTAGCTACTCTGCTGGGGACTTGGAGAACCTCTGTGTGGACACTCTGTATCTAGCTAATCTAGGGGGGAGGTGGAGAACTTTTACGTCTAGCTCAGGGATTGTAAATGGCACCAATCAGCACCCTGTCAAAATGGACCAATCAGCTCTCTGTAAAACAGACCAATCGGCTCTCTGTAAAATGGACCAATCAGCAGCATGTGGGCGGGGCCAGATAAGAGAATAAAAGCAGGCTGCCAGACCTAGCAGTGGCAATTCATTTGGGTCCCCTTGCCGTTCTGTGGGAGGTTTGTTCTTTTGCTCTTTGCAATAACTTGCTGCTGCTTACTTTTTGGGTCCACACTGCTTTTATGGGCTGTAACACTCACGACGAAGGTCTGCAGCTTCACTTCTGAAGCCAGCGAGACCACGAACCCACCGGGAGAGAACGAACAACTCCAGACGCACCGCCTTAAAAGCTGTAACACTCCCCGAGAGGGTCCGCGGCTTCATTCTTGAAGTCAGTGAGACCAAGAACCCACCAATTCCGGACACGATAGTGCTGCCAAACCAGCCTGGAAAACGCGGCCTTCTGGACTTCTTGTACCGTGCGGTAAGGAAAAGTCTCTATTGCTTAAGTCAGTGGTTCTTGTCTTAGCTGTGCACTAGAAGCACCTGGGGGGATTTAAAATTTGCCAATTCCCAGACCACACCCCATACCAATTAAATTGGAATTCTGGAGGATTCCAATTAAGTTGGAAGCTCCCTGGTAGTTGCAGTGTACACCCCTCTGCTACTCAAATTATGGTCCCTGGACTAGAAGCGTGGACTTTACTTAAGAGCTTATTATAGATGCCATTCCATGCCCAATGAATTAGAAGCTGCTGTTTAACAAGGAACCCAGGTGATTTGTATGCACACGAAAGTTTCAGAAGCACTGACTAAGCAACTGTTAATTTACTCTACTCCTTGCAGCTGAACAAATCCTGATTCACATTCAAATAGTCAGCACTCCAAGTCACTAAGAATCCCAGCCCATCAAGGGTTCCCTTTTTCAGAAAGAGCCAGATGATCTGCATTCAGAAGCGTGGTGTCTCCTGGCTACTGTCCATCTCTACAGCAGGTCACACACAATTTTTTGGATCATCTGATTTTCACCAGAGCATGAATCTCTTCGGGACTTCTGTGTAAACAGTTTTCTCAAACTTTTAGCCAAAAAGCTTCTCTCCTCCAGCCCCTGGGGTGGGTCACGTCACTCCTGAGGCCCTGAATGGGAGCCAGTGAGAAGGGCTGTTGGCAACTTTCTTCCCTTAACACGCTTGGCTTCCACTTGGTCAGACACTTCTTGGGTAGTGGTTATGGTACCCAGGGATGGACCTGTCCATCAATCCACATAAGAAAGCTGCGCAAAACGATCCTGGGGTTGGGATAGAAATTATCTAAGTCTCCATCAGGGCCCAGGTGTACAAAACTGGGGGCTAGGATTTTCATAAGATGAAGCTATGGGTCAGAGGCCAGGACCACTGGGCAACGCAGACTCAAAGTCATAAGATGTGGGTTTCAAAATCATAAGCGAGCATGAAGAGCTGCAGATGAAGCAGTCTCTGGGTGGAGAGAATTCCCTGCTTCTGAGGGAGATGATGTCTAAGAACTGGTAGTCTCTATTATGGGACAGGATGGGCTGGGAATATTCCCCATACAGCCTAAATCAGGAGACTAGAACCATCTCTGTGATGCAGGTCTCAACACTTCACCAATTCCAGAACAGTGGAGAGAAAAATCATCCCTCAATCAAAGGGGAATGAGCGCCAAATGCCAGCGGTGTTCTCTGTATGATTGTATTGCCTTTATAAATACATTAACCAGGTGTTCAAGATCATTGCATAGGAGCCATATTCTGGGCAACAGACACACGTAGGTTCATTTGGACACACGGGCGTGCACGCACACCCAGGGGCATATTGTCACTCTCCAACCCGGCGTTTTATAGTCAACTCATCACTCAGCTGATAAGTTTGGAAACTTAGCATGTTATTAATGCTTCAGGGGAAGTAATATATTTAAAAAACCCAAAAAACCCCCAAAAAAACAAGCCAGCAAGTATCACCAAAGCCTGAACCTCACACCCACCTTCTAAGCCATGGTGTGTACTTAAACTTGGCCCAGGGCAGGAAGGGTCTTCATGAACAAATGTCCTATGTGCCACCAGCCTAGCCCAGCACCATTACTCTTTGAGTTGCTTATGAGGACACTAAAGTTGCTTATGAGGACACCTTGTGGGCTGCCTTGAGTTTTCTCTCCTCCTCGATGCTGCACAAGCAAGAGGCCAGGGGTCTTCAGTCTGTCCTCTCCACCCCGTTTCTATATTTAATGAATGACTTTTTTTTTTTGGATACAGAGTCTCATTCTGTTGCCCAGGCTGGAGTGCAGTGGCACGATCTCTGCTCATTGTAACCTCTGCCTCCCGGCAGCTGGGATTACAGGTGCCCGCCACAGTGCCCTGCTAATTTTCTTATTTTTAGTAGAGAGAGGGTTTCACCATGTTGTCCAGGCTGGTCTTGAACTTCTGATCTCAAGTGATCTGCCCACCTTGGCCCCTCAAGTTCTGAGATTACAGGCATGAGCCACTGTGCCCAGCCATTAATGACTTTAAGTTAATTAGAACACTCTGGTGGCTCTGTAACAGGAGATGGAGATGCAGTAAGAAATCCCTTTCACAGTTCGCTACAAGGTGAACAAATCTGGGGGTGTCCTCTAGGGAAAGTCTGTCTCCCTGCTCTCTGTCTCCACTGAGAACCTGCTTTAGAGCAGCCTCCTCTTCTCTTCCCCAGTGACAGGGAGCCTGGTGGGAAAGAGACGGGTGACAAGAGGGGCGAGAGGGCAGTGTTCCAACACACACATGAGCAAATACCCAGATTCAAACATAAACCTAAGTTTATGGAAAAATTAATGCTCAAAGACGTAAAGGGTCTTGCTCAAGGTCACGAGGCTGGCAAGTGGGGTTTGAACCAGGTGGAACTGTACCTTGACGTGGAACGCATACCCTTTCCACCGCGCTGGTGCTTTTTTTTTTTTTTGAGACGGAGTTTTGCTCTTGTTGCCCAGTCTGGAGTGTAGTGGTGTGATCTCAGCTCACTGCAACCTCCGGCTCCTGGGTTCAAGCGATTCTCCTGCCTCAGCCTCCAGAATAGCTGGAATTACAGGCGTGCACCACCACACCCAGCTAATTTTTGTATATCTAGAGATGGACTTTCACTATGTTGGCCAGGCTAGTCTCGAACTCCTAACCTCAGGTGATCCACCCACCTCGGCCTCCTAAAGTACTGGGATTACAGGCATAAGCCACCATGCCCAACTGCACCAGTGATTTTCTAATTGGGCCCTTAGAGTCCAAGAAAGTGCCATCAGGGTCTAGGGGCTGGGGCAGGGAGGCCCAGGGGTAGGACCTGCTTTTTAGCTGCTTTTTATGTTGAGTCCTAGATAAGATGTGTGAGAGTGTGTGTGTGTGTGTGTTGCCAAATAAAATACAGGATTCTTGGTTAAATCTGAATTTTTGATAAATTAATTTTTTAGTATAACCATGTCCTATGTGATATTTGGTGCATACTTACATAAAAAATTATTCTTTGCTTTTCTGAAATACATTTTTTTGTGTGCTGAATCTGGTGAATCTGGTTGTGTGTATGTAGAGAGGAAAAATAGTTTTGGAAACCACTGTGTCACCGCATATTGCCTTCCCTCGGGCCTTGAGTTTTTGAGGCCTCTCTTCCCCACACTGGGCCCTGCCTATAATTTTCTACTCTATCCCTTTCCTGCCATCAAGGAAACACCATGAAGGGGACGTGGCAAATTGAATTTAGCATAGAAGAGGGGGCTGTGGCTGGGCTGGTGGTATCACTTGTTTACTTGGGTTTTCTTTCCATTGTCACTGTTCAAAGGTCCCGTGTGGTGATGTCTGCATTTTGCCCCTTCTCCTTTAGGGGAGAGGGGACAAATCTTGTTTGTGACTGTGTGTGTGTGTGTGTGTGTGTGTGTGTGTGTGTGTGTGTGTGTGTGTATATGTATGCATGTGTGTGTTTGCCTGTGAGTCCCGCTGTAAGTCTGTGCGTGTGTGTGTATGCATGTGTGTTTGCCTGTGAGTGCCTCTGTGTGTGCGTGTGTATGCATGTGTGTTTGCCTGTGAGTGCCTCTGTAAGTGTGTGCGTGTGTGTGTGTGTGTGTGTGTGTGTGTGTGTTCATTGTAGGCAGGTGCTGTAGGTCAGGTGTTTTAGGCTGATCTTAACTTACCAGCTCAGACACCCATGAGCTCAGGGAGTCTGCAAAGCTCCTTCAGCCACCTTTCTTCCCCATAATTCCCAGCAAACTACTTGGTCCTCTGGGTTCAAGGCCTCAGCCTGTTTTCCAGGTCCTTCCATGCAGGTGGGGACTGTTGGCCGCATTCTGGAGCTCGGTGTCTGCCTGGGAGACTTAGGGGCCTCAGGGTCTCAGATGTCCCTGGCGTGGGAAATCTCTCAGCCATGACTCAGCTGGGCCTGGGTGGGGCTCAGCAGAATCCTTGGGGCCCCCACAGCCTCCTGATGCTCCAGCCCCTGCTGCCTCCATCCACAGTGTCTGGCACAGCCTTTCCCCTCCCATGTCTCTCGCCCCTCATGACATCTCTCACTGGTATCATCCTGGATGGACAATTGGGCCTTTCAAGCTCTTCATGCCACCCCGACTCTTCCCAAACCCCCTTGAGGGGATCTTTCTTTTGATGTGTATAAGTCATGCTATTCCTTCTATGGCTTTCTTGGCAGCATTTTGTGAAGAATGCCTGACTTACGTTTAATGACAAAGAGAGAGAGAATTGCTCTTGCTTTGTGTGTCCTTCCATTGAGAGGCTGAAGTATAATCCGAACAGTTTGTCTGAGCATGTTCTGGCTGAGTTTGGATTGGAGCTTGGAGCAGATGGGATTTTATGAGGGTTGTAAAAGTCAGGCTTTTAATATGTGTCAACCAAATCAATGTGTAAAGGAGAAATGTTAAAAGTAGGGAAATGACTGGGGTCTGGAGCACAAGGACACTAAACTGGGGCACAGGTGGCTTTAATAGCTCACGAAATTTGGCTCAAACTCTTCCACGAGAGCAGAAGAGGCTGCAGAGTCACCCTCATGGGATTGGGATAAAGGTCTAAGCTCCTGAGTGGGGACAGTTGTGCATGGGGCTTTATAACAAAATTCTAGCATCATCCATACAATACACTCTTGTGGTTAATTCTGCCTGAGTTTTCATTTAAACCCAGGCTGTCTCATTGGTAGAACGCAATTACATTAGAGAGAAACTGTTTCTGTGTCTTGAGATATTATGATTATGAAAAATAGCAACATAAACAACTATTAAGTCAGAAGAAATTTAATTGTATTTTATGCCGCCTCTCTGGGCTGGCACGCCGGCATAGACATGATTCACATCAACAAAGCACGGCTAATTTTTGTAGCACAGTACACATTTTCTCCCTTAATTACAAATAATTGTGTAGTGTAGTTTATACTAATGCCCAAGGCCTCAAAGTGCACATTCAGGAATAAAGGGTTAGTTTGGGGGTGGATTCTAAACGGTGTAACTGTGGTCTCCTGGGGTGGCATGCGTTTAACCTTGGAAAGCAATGAGGTTTAATCAGAATTCTTACCAGTGAAAGACAGCAGGGCTGCCTCCAATTAGGAGGAAAATTTGCAGAGAGCAGTGACAGTTTGTCTAGCTGCTTAACCATCCACCCATAGTTCTTTTTTGGATAAGCAGGCAAGGAAGATTAAACTTGTAGATTTCACTGTGTGATGAAACTGAGGCACACAGGCCTTTGTTAAGCAGCATTAATCACATGTAAGTGAATATTAAAATAAGGTGTCCCCAGGCAGCACAGCTCCAGATCTCTGCGGAAAAGGTAGAGCTCATGGATCTTTGGTGGACAAAAGTTCTTGAAAGGGGGAAGCAGGATCTATTTGACCATAAATGCAATTCAGTTTAGGGCTCTCTCTAAGATAGCACACCTGGTTTTGCAATCCCCGTCCAGAAAAATCACTTATGAGCTGATATATTATGGTGGTGATTTAATAAAAGAGCAGTACAGCCCCAAGGCCAATGTTCTAACTAACCTGGGCTCTGCCTCCACTGGCTGGCCCCTCCTTCCTCCTTAGCTGACCTCCCTGGGCCTCAGTTTCCTCATCTTAAGAATGGGGTTACTATCAAGGACACTGCAAGCTGTCATGTGGATTAAGATTAATGAAGGTAAAATGCATACTCGGTGTCTGGTTTAGGGCGGTGCACAATGAGTATTCATGGAATCAGAAACGTGCTGTCATATGAGGCCCTGGGATGTTCTTCCATTGCCTGCAAAACTTGACTATGAAAATCCAGGGCAGTGGGTCCTCATGAATCCAGTTTCCACCATCAGCCCTCTAAAGGGTTCCCCTGTGGATAAAACAAATTTTATAGTCTGTTTGCAGCTGCATTCACTGAGATTCATAAAGAATCATAAGCTGGGCTATAGGAGTTATCAGCTGGTGTTGTCTGTTTAGACGATTAGTGAATTAAGGGCTTTTTTCTTTGACTTCGACAGGGACCATACTCCAGTGGGCCATTAACAGATGCTATTTGGGACTGATGGCCACAGGCTGTCTGTCTCAGCAGCGAGGAACCCCTCAAATAGGCACTGTTCTTGGATTACTCACAGGCTGAGTTCTGACCCTGCAGTGTCACTGCAGAGCAGGCAGCCAACCTTCCCTGGAGGAAGGGGAGGGAAAGGGAAGATATCCGAGCTGCTTTGCAGGGGATCTGCTGCCGTCATGGAGCCCAGGAAGCAGATGGCTGCTTTGTGTTTTGGAGGCTATCTGCATGGGCTCCAGGAAGGTATTTTGACCAAGGTGACCGGATTGTGCAGCAGCCTTGGACATCTTTGGTGAGATCCTCATTTTTTCATTCATTTGACAAATGTGTGTTAGGTTGTTAAGCCCTGGGCGACAGCAAACACTGGGGTATAGAGTCTGACCCTGTTCTAGGGTTGCCAGATCAAACACAGGACACCCAGTTAAGTGTGAATTTCAAATAAACAAGGAATAGTATTTTAGTATAAATACAAGTACAGGCCAGGCGCAGTGGCTCACACTTGTAATCCTAGCACTTTGGGAAGCAGAGGTGGGCAGATTGCCTGAGCTCAGGAGTTTGAGACCAGCCTGGGCAACACGGTGAAACCCCGTCTCTACTAAAATACAAAAAATTAGCCGGGCATGGTGGCGGGTGCCTGTAATCCCAGCTGCTCGGGAGGCTGAGGCAGGAGAATCACTTGAACCCAGGAGGTGGAATTTGCAGCGAGCCAAGATCGCGCCATGCACTCCAGTCTGGATGACAGAGCGAGATTCCGTCTCCCCCGCACCAAAAAAAATATGAATACACCTCTTGGTAAACCTGGCACCCCTATCCTGCTCCCAAGGGATTAGGTCAGAGTTTCTTAACCTCAGCACTGTTGACATTTGCAATCGGATCATTCTTCATTGTGGGGCTGTCATGTGCATTGTAGAATGCTTGACAGCGTCCCTGGCCTCTCTCTACCCACTAGATGCCAGTAGAAACATCCCCCATGATATGACTCCAAATATGTCTCCAAATACTGCCACATGTTCCTATGACATACAGTCGCCCCTGGCTGAGAACTGGGTTAAGCCTGGTAGGCTACCCCAAGTAAGCATACAAAGAGTTTGTGGCAGCGACTACTAGTTGCTTACCCAATATCTAGTCTCTCTTGTTAATAGAATTCTGCTTTTTTTTTTCGGTGCACATGATGAACTTTCAAAAACTCTCAGTGAGATTGACACTGCCAAGGAATGGCTGTTGCCACTCCCCTAAGGAAGTGTCTCCCAAAACCTGGGGAACAAGAGGGCTCAGAGGAGAAGGAACCAAAATGGGCAGAGTGCTAGCCACAAGTCTGGAGGCTCTGATGAGGCAGGTGTTGCAATCTTGCAGAAAGGAGCTTTCTTTGTGACTTGTCCAGTCTGTGTCCCTCATGTCCTATTGTCAGAATCTTGACACAAAGAAGCAATTTGGAGGGAGTGGGTTAATCTCTCAGGACCTGGGAACCTGGAAGAGAGCTCAGAGTAGAATGTTATACTCTCCCCTCAGGCAGGAACCTGTCCCTCAAGGGGGAGGAACCAACACTCTGCAGTCCCAGAGTGAGCCTATGATCAATTCTGGCCAATGAGATGTAAAAGGAAGTGTTCTGGGCTTTGCAGGAATCATTGTTCTCTTCATTAAATCCAGAGGTCTTGAGCATCTGGAGGCCCCTGACTTCTGTGCCCTTCATCCTGCTTAGACATTGTCCCGTGAGGTGCTGATGCTGGAGTTATGGCGGCCATACTATGATTGTGGGCAGAGACGTTACCAACCTGAAGGCTGAGCAAAAGGAGGGAGAGTCTGAGTGGCTGAATCAGCCCCAAGACCTCTTGTTAAGTCAGCAGGAAATGTCCTCACAGTATTGTTACTTACAGTCAAAGAGTCCCCCAAGGATCCAGGTTTATGTGGTCAATAATAATGTGAGTTCAGCTGTATTAGCTTTCTGTGGCTGCTGTAACTAATTGCTACAAACTTAGTGGTCTAAAAGAACACATATTGACACTCTTACAGCTCTGGAGGTCAGAAGTCAGAAATGAGTTTTATGGGGCTCACATCGAGGTGTCAGCAGTGGCTCCTCCTGGATCTCCGTGGAGAATGTGCTCCTTATCTCTTCCAGCTTCCAGGGGCTGCCTTCCTTGTCTTCATTGCGCCAATCTCTGCTTCTCTCACCACATCGTCTTCTCCTCTAACAGAACCCCTTGTGATTACGTTGAACCCACCTGGATTATCCTGAATCCGGGATAATCTCCCCAGCTCAAGATGCTTAATTTAATCACATCTGCAGAGCCCCCTTCTAGCAAGTAAGGTAACATCTTGGCAAGTTCCGGGGATTAGGATGTGGACATCTTTGGAGGGTCATTACTGAGCCCTCCACAATGACAATTGACATGTTCCAGGGATTAGGATGTGGAGACCTTTGGAGGGTTGTTACTGAGCCCACCACACTGACGATATTGTGCTGCTAGGCCACTGAGACTGTGAACCTTGTTAGATCTCTTTCCTGTTCTATGCCTTTGTTTCCTGGTCTGTAATTAAAGATTCTCTTCCTTCCTTTACCATCTCCAGGCTGGTGGTCTCTATAGCTCATGCCTCTCCTCTGAGTTCCAGAACCCTGTACCTACCTGGCTTCCTGGAATCTCCACCAGGATGTTTCAAAGGCACCCAAAACTAAGCGCATCTAAGAATGAAGCCAGGATCTCCCACCCCGGTCCTTTGCCTGCTCCCCTCCTATGCTTGTCTTCTCAGACAATGGTACCTTCACCTGTCTGCTTGCTAATTCCCACCATACGGTCCATTACCCAGGCCTGTGGATTTCACCTCCCATGTATCTCCCAGATCTGGTCCCTCCATCTGCACCACCACTACCCTTGTCTAAGCTGCCATCATCTCCTGCCTGAGTCTTTGCAATGACCTCCTGATCAGTGTTATGTGTCCTTGCTGACATTGCTCAAGTTCCTTCTCTACAGCAGCAGCCAGAGTGATCGTCTCTAATTGCAAATCTGATCAACTCCATTCCTGTTCATTTTTTCAGTAATCAATGCCATATGAAAATATTTCATAAACAGCAGCTGCCCCTCCCAGTGGAAATCTCTAGGCAGCCCCTTCCTGAGCTGACTCTACTCCTGGTTCTCAACAGTCAAGACGCCTCCAGGATTTTTCTGGACTGAATGTCATGGTCTGAGGTCTGTCATAGGGCATAGAGAGAAAAGCTGGGGAGACCTCTCAGCCTGTTTGTGAAAAAGTGCTCTTTTTGAGGACAGTGAGATTATGACCAGTTTCCTAATCCCACTCTGTAAAAGATGTGCTTTTCTAGACTTCACAAGGTAGATTTGAAAGTTCTGATCTCAGGAAAAAGCAGTGGATCAGACCAAGAACCTCCCCAGAAGAGGGAGGTCACGCAGGGCTCCTGGCTCCCCATATCTTATCATTAGAGGCGGCGCAGTCCCTCGCATGGGTTGCCGCCCATGGTGCCAGGTAACTTAGTTTGGACCCCCCAGAAGCAGACCCTGAGATAAGAAATTTTTAAAATCGAGGTGAAATTCACAAAACCTAAAATTAACCTTTTTTTAATTTTTTTTTTTTTTTGAGACAGAATCTCTTCTGCCCAGGCTGGAGTGCAGTGGTGCCATCTCGGCTCACTGCAACCTCCGCCTCCTGGGTTCAAGCCATTCTCCTGCCTCAGCTTGCCGAGTAGCTGAGATTACAGGCATGCACCACCACAGCTGGTTAATTTTTGTATTTTTAATAGAGATGGGGTTTTGCCATGTTGGCCAGGCTGGTCCTGAACTCCTAACCTCAAGTGATCTGCCCGCCTCGGCCTCCCAAAGTGCTGGCATTACAGGTGTGAGCCACCTTTCCTGGCCTAAAATTAACCATTTAAAGTGAACAAAATGGCATTTAGTACATTCACAATGTTGTACAACAACCACCTCTATCTAGTTTCAAAATATTTTGTATCACCTATAACCATGAAACCCAAACCCGTTGCTCCCATTTCCCATCCTCCAGCCCCTGAGCTGCGTTCTGTCTCTATGGATTTTACCTATTCTGAACCTTTTGCATGAATGGGATCATGTGAGCTTTTATGTGTGGCTCCTTTCAAGGACTTAGCATCGTGTTTTCAAGGTTCATCCATGTTGCAGCATGGATCAGAACCCCATTCATTTTTAGGGCTGAATAACATTTCATCCCGTGGATAGATCACAGTTTGGTTCTCCGTTCATCTGCTGATGGACGCCTGGGCTGTTTCTACTTTTTGGTTATTGTGAGTAATGCTGCTGTGAACATGTGTATACATGTATTTGTTTGAGTTCCCGAGACAAGGATTTGAGTGCAAATTATTCCTTTACCAGAAGTTGGGAAAGAGGGGAAATGCAACAGAAAGCAAAGAACCAAGAGGTTGTGAGAGGGTGCGTTACTAAGTGGGCTACTGCAGAGGGCCGTGGGAGCTTCATCCTACGGAGAGCTGCAGACAGCATGAGCCACAGGGCAGAGTTGCCCCGCCTGCAGGTCCGGAGGCCTGGGTTATTTATGCTCCAACTCTCAGGACTCATTGGTTGGAAGTTGCTGGTGGTGGTGATAGTGGTGGGTTTTTTTATTCCCTGTGATTTCCAGCTTGCTGTGTGTGTGTGTGTGTGTGTGTGTGCATATGTTTGTGTGTATGTGTGTGTGTGCGCGCATGTGTGTGCTGGAAGAATGGCCACCTTGTGT
The DNA here is from genome assembly GCF_000001405.40 of Homo sapiens. NCBI lineage: Eukaryota > Metazoa > Chordata > Mammalia > Primates > Hominidae > Homo > Homo sapiens. Next base: position 48,552,543 of record NC_000020.11, on the reverse strand, counting down.
TCTGGAAGAAGCCCTCAAGCAAGAGATGCAGACATCAGCAGGCGTAAGGGGGCTTGAGCCCAGTGAAGTGTTTGAGGATGTGGGTAGGGCAGAAGGTTTTCCACGATCGAGGATGACACGGAACGTCACTCCAGCAAAATCACACAGACACTCACTGTGTAACGCGGAGACACATCGTGAGGAAGGTGGCCCTTCAAACCCCCCTTTCTTTTAACTCTCCTTCCTTGAGGGAAGTCTCAAGTTCACGCACTATGTCTTTAACATTTCTCCAAAACGCGATCTTTCTTTTTAACAGGCCTCTGGCTCAGGGCCTTCAGAAGAAAACAGCGCCTAGCAGGAATTTATAACATTATTTTATTTTCCAGTTTATATTCCAATTAAGTAGATGAGTTACTGTTAAAATAAGCATATATATAATTATAAATAATAACTTGATCTTTGAAGTGTTTAATGCCATCACAGGCTACGCTCTGTTATCAGGTGGCAGGTGCTGCCTAAATCAAGGGGACAGTCCACGCTCTGCTGAGGCGTCGGTGAGTCCTGGCAGTGCGGGAACTGGGTATTTGGGCAGGGATGGGGGCTTGGAGGAGGCCCAGTGTGGAGCTTGCAATGTTGGCTGGGATTCAGAACCTTAGTTTAGAGCTTTGGTTGCACGTACCCCAGAGGCTTCATGTGTGTGAGTCTGTGTGAGTGTGTATGTGTGTGTTTTTGACTATGTTCATGTGTGAGGGTGTGTAACTGTATACATTTGAATGAGTGAGTATGAGTGTGTGAGTCTGTACGTGTGAATGTGCATGATGTGTGTGAGCATGTGTGTGTGAGTGTGTGTGTGTGTGTGGGAGACAGGGTGTCTGGAGGAGGTGGGCAGTGGCATATGGAAGCAGAGAGAGCAAGGTCACCTCTGAGAAGAAATGGCATTCAAGTGGCCCCGTGAGTCTGAGATGTGGCCTGGGGGTTATCATGGACGGGAGGGAAGCAGGAGGGTCAGGATGACTCACGCTCTGGTCCTTGTCACTAAAAGCATCACTTACATCAGACATTGGCCTAAGCACTATACGTGTGTTCTCCATATTTTTATTTAACAAATACTTATATTGCGCTTGCTGTGTGGAGGCACTGCTCTGGTTGTTTTCCAAAACAAAACAAGAAGCATTGAAAGAAACCAGTGAAACATCACCATCAGTTCTCACAACTGCCTTGTGCCAGAGGTGCTGCCATTATTTCCATCTGCAAAGGGGTCGGGGGAGCCTCAGAGCCTGTGGGTGGAGGGGCGGGTGGGGTGGAACTGGCATCTGCCTCCAGGGCTGGGCTCCTCCCATTGGTGATGCCTGGGTTTCATTGTGCTCGTAAAAGCCACAGGTCAATTACGCTTATTACCAGTTCTATAGATGGAGAAACTGAGGCACACAGGGGTGAGCAATTTGCTCAGCTTGAAAGTGGCAGAGCCAGGACCTAGCCCAGGCCACGACTCAGGGCCCACACTGTAACCATCTTGCTGGGGCCCCACAGTAATTAGCTCTTTGAAGAAAGGTGAGTCACTGACCTTGGCTGTGCCTCAGCTTCTTTGTTTGCCAAGTGGGGCTCTGCTGCCCCTGTCTCTGCCCTGCTGACTTGCAAGAAGGGTGAGAGAATGGAATTGGGTAAAGACTCCTAGAATCTTCCATCGAGAAAGTGCTCTGCGGTGGGAGAAAGCTGGTCTTGCCGACTCTGCCTGCAACGCTCTCAGTGGCCAGTCATGTCCCTCCTCTGCCTGCAGGTTCCTCACTAGAGCGGGGGTGGCCTGAGATGAGCCCTCAGGATTCACCAAGCTCTACACCCTAATTGTCTAGCTCTGTCCTAATGGATAGGGGAGCTGCCTGGGGTGACTGTCCAGGAACTGGGTTGTTGGAGATGGGCAGATCCGAAGGTCTGAGGCTCGTTCTAGGAGAGCATGTTCACCGAGGCCAAGCTTGGTGACTGGCTTCTGCGATGGTTCCCATGGCCAGAAAATTGCAAAAAGGTCCTCTGGGCTGAGAAGAAAAACACAAATGCAACCTTAGCTCTTACCCTGAAGGAACACTGGACAAGGAGTCCAGCCGCTGGGTTCAGATACCCTGGGCCAGGCAGCTTGTGTCTGTCTCCCTGAGTTCTCCATGGAGGCAACACTTTCAGAAGAGTGTACCGTTCATTCATTCATCTGCTCTTTACAGAGCAGCTCCTACGTGTCAGGCACGCTCTAGGCACCAGCGATGCAGCTGTGGATGAAACAGACCAGGGCCGTTTTCCGGGAGCTGATGTTCCAGGGGAGTTCAGGGGCAGTGAACAATAGGCACAGCCTGCCCCACCACAGATACAGTCACATAGACATACATGTGCATGCACATATGCCACACAAACATGTACATACATATATGAGTATGTGTGCTATTCTAGGTAGTAATAGATGCCATAAAAAACAAGCAATAAAGCAGGGCTTTTCAATCAAGTGTCTAGGGCCTACTTTACTTTAGATCATGGGGGCGTGGAAGTCCTCTCTGAAGTGTGCCATTTGAGCACAGGCTTGGAGGAATCAAAGGAGTCTTTCAGGTGCACATCTGGGGGAAGCATGCTCCAGTTGGAGGGAACAGCCGGTGCAGAGGCCCTCCATGTGGTAGGAGTGTGCCTGGCATGTTCTAGAATGAACAAGAATGCCTGTGTGGCCACTGTAGTGGAGTGAGCAAGGGGGAGGATGGTCTGAGTTATGTGGGGGCCTTGAATGTTGTGATCCTGGGGTGACCAACCCTCCTGGTTTGCCTGGACTGAGGTTTGCCAGGACACAGGACTTTGAGTGATACAACTGGGGCAGTCTTCAGAAAGCTGGGACAAGTCGTTCACTCTACACGATACGGAATTTTGGATTGTGTTCTGATGAGATGGGACATGCCCAGGGGTTTTGGACAGAGGATTTGGTAGCGAGTACCTCTGGCTGTGTGTGAAGAATGAACTGCATGGAGAACAGGAGTGGAGTTGGGGAGATGAGAGAGGAGGCACTGCTGCGGTCTGGTGTGAGGTGATGGATGCCTGGGCTGTGGTATTCATGGTGGAGGTGAAAGAGGTGGCTAGACCACTGGAAGGGCTGAGTTGCCGTTTACTATTGAGGTAGGAGACAGGACTCAACTCGAGAGGCAGGGCTCAGACACCAGATCAAATTGGGGACTAGCTGAAACAGGGCCAGGGCAAAAGTAGCTTTCTATCAGACACACCCCCACCAGTGTGCCATGTCAACTTACTGTTGCCATAACACCTGAGAGTTACTGCCCCTTTCCATGGCAATGACTCGGTGATCCAAAGGTTACTACCCCTTCCCCCAAAATTTCTGCGTAAACTGCCCCTTAACTTGTGTGCAATTAAAGGTGGGTATGAATGTGACTGCAAAACTGTCCTGAGCTGCTACTCTCTGCCTATGGGGTAGCCCCGCTCTGCAGAAGCAGTCACAGAGCTGTAATACTTCAGCTGTAACACTGCTGCTACAATAAAGCTGTTTTCTTCTACCTCTGGCTTGCCCTTGAATTCTTTCCTGGGCAAAGCCAAGAACCCTCTCAGGCTAAGCTCCACTTTGGAGCTTCCCTGGCCTACATCACTATGGTAAGTAAGATGGTGAGAGGGGTAGGCTTTCGGGGAGATGAGATTTCAGAAACGTGCAGTGGTGTGCCATGGTCCCAAGCTGGATGTTGGGGGTTCCTGCTCTTGGTTTCCACAGCCTCCGTAAGATCAGGTCCACTCTGACCTTACAGCACGACCACCACTCCCCTTCCTGAAATCCTATTCTGAGGTCACCCAAGGGAGTCTGTATTTCCTCTTTGCAAGGCCCAGCCTGCGTCGTATCCTGGGATGTCAAGGTTTATTTGTGATAAGGATGGGTGGCCCTCACAGTTCATGGGGGGATGAATTGTTGAAAATCTCACTGGTGGCCCCGAGTCCCATTTTGGACCTATTTTGGAGAGTTATCTTGGTAACCACCTGTCCAGATGTGTTTGTTGGAATTTCTACATCTGTTAAAGAGAGTGTGAACTTTAAAGAGGGACATCATTTGCTGGAAGAAAGTTGCTGAGTCTTCAGATGCTGTTGACTGGGGGAAAAGAGGGATAGGGCGTTTATGGACATGCAGTTTATTACAACAAAACATCTTAACATTCATCTCTACTGACATAAAAATACTTCCATACAGTCTGAAAGAGCAGTTGAAGTAACAGTAATGTGTTTCTTTACATAAATCTAAAGTGGAGATACCTGGCTTCTAAATTATTCTTTCATTTGTGCCATGACATTTACAAAGCCCCTGTTAAGTGTAAGGCCCTGGGCTCAGGAGGAGAGAAATGACTTAGATCTTATTCTCCTTGGGCCCATGGCTCATGGGGGCGATACGACATAAATGGCACACACGATACAGCGGGTTAGTCTGGTGAGAAAAGTCCCTGAGGCTCCGAGAAGGGGGGAATTGCTGGTTGCTGGGGGGATCAGAGAAGGATTTTTGGAAAAGATGCTGTGTCGATTAGCTTGCTTTTTGCCTGCAAGTAACTGAAACCTCTAATGACTCTAACATGGTAAGGGAACTTGTTATCTCCCAGTTCAAAGACCAGCCAGGAGCTGGACCTCTGGGGAGGTTGATTCAGCAGCTTTACGATGTCCGCAGAGATCCAGGGTTAATTGGCCTCCGCTTTGCTGCTCACTCTATTGGCTATGTTCTGAGGTTGGTTCACCTCCTCGTCACAAGACCGCTGCCACCAGCGTGTGAGGCCACATGGCAGTATGTGCAGGCCCATTGGGTAAAGACAGGAGAAAAACTCCCCCAAAGCATGCACTACAAGTCCTTTCCTTTAGTGTATTTGGCCTATTTTGGCATACCTGCCCCCAGCCCTGGGCAAATACCAATCAGCAGGGGCATATGCCGTATGCGAACAGGCTCAGACTGAACAGAATCACCCTGGAGTGGAGGATCCTAGGCCACAGGGGTTGCATGGGAAGAGGTGAACCCCTTGACAACACTGAAGTTATCTTAGGAAAGGAGAATGTGAGCTTGTTCTCCCATTTTTGCCCTGTAAGGATGTAGCAAGAAGGTGCCATAAGTGAGCCAGGAAGCAGGCCCACACCAGACATTGAATTTGCTGGTGCCTCGATCTTGGGCTTCCCAGCCTCTAGAGCTGTGGGACATAAATTTTTGTTGTTTAAGCCACCTGGTCAATAATATTTTGTTATAGCAGCCCAAACTGATTTAAGACTCTGTCTTAGTCCATTTATGCTGCTATAAAGGAATACCTGAAGCTGGGTAATTGATAAAGAGGTTTGTTTGGCTCATGGTTCTACAGGCTATACAGGAAGCATGGTGCCAGCGTCTGCTTCTGGTGAGGCCTCAGGCTGCTTGCACTCATGGCATGGGAAGGGAGCTGGTGTATGCAGATCACGTGGTGAGAGGAGAGGGGTGCCAGGCTTTTTTAACTAGTCATTTCTCACAGGAACTCATAGACTAAGAAGCCATTACCATGGGGAGGGTATGAAGCTCTTCATGAGGCAGCTGCCCCATGACCCAAACACCTCCCTTTAGGCCCCAACTCCAACTTTGGGGACCCCACTTCAGCGTGGGATTTGGAGGGGTCCAATATCCAAACTCTTATCACACACCCTCCCAGGAATCACCTTTCCAATGTCTCTCTCTTGTTGGGGTGGAGGCCAGGGACTCTTGTGGATGTTTGCACACTCGCTTTGAAGCTGTAGAACTGCAGCCATGATTCTGAGAGCTCTGGAAAAGTCTGTTCACTGTCCTGTTATGCTGGATTCACTGTCTCAGAAGAGGACTGTTTCCTGGAAAGAGGCACTTGGAGCAATATTGGTATCTGGGGCTGTCGCTGAGGCCCCTCTTCCATCACAGAGCACCGTCAGTGGTCAGTGGTGTGGGCCTTGTGCTGGCCGGGGGTCCTGGAAGTGGCTCTGCTGTCCTGCAGCCATGGGCCCAGGGAGCATTGATTCTGCCCAGCCTGGCTCTGTTCATCTGTGAGCTGAATCCCAATAGCATCGTTGAGTTCAGGTGATGATTAAGTAAGTTCACACACCCGGAGAGCTCAGAACTGCACTCCCCGGTCTAAAGTAAGCACGGTGTGTGTCAGCCCATTGTCGTCTGCTGGTGCCAGTCAGGGTCCCAGATGAGTTGGGTCAAGAGGCAGCCCAGAATCAGGGCTTTGAGCTTAGGAAGTGAGATTTCTGTAGGAACGCTTTGATATTTAGCCTGTAATGGGCAGCTTTGCTTCTAATCACTCTTGAGAGACAAGCCATCAAACATTGGTTATCCCTAAACTGAGAGCAGAAAGGGCTGAAGGGAGGAATGGTGGCCCTGGCTCCCCCTGCCATGCACCCGCTCTGCCAGCTGATGACAGATGCAGATGGATGGAGGACATTCCAAAGTCGAGGCTCAGGGCTGCTGCCTTTTCTCCTTCTGCTTCTTAATTTAAAAGAATTTATCCCAGAGTCTTCGTTACTACAGATTCCCTGACACTCTGCTGTGGGCTAATTTTTGAATAAAGCATCATGTTTTTTGAGTGCTTTTCTCCTCTGGGTATCCTCTTTTATCTTGAAGCCAGGAAGAAACATATGCTCTCGCTCATTTTTAAACCTTTCCGTCTTCCCTTCATTTTCTGGCTAAACGTCTGGATTTGTGTTTATCTTTCTCTTTCAGGGATGGTGGGTGCTTAAGTTCTGCAGGTTGTGAAGCAGGCTGTAAACACAGGTGACATTATTATTACAACCCCCCATGCTGCCGAGGGGGCGCTGCTCCCACCTGCAGTCCCAGGCCACTTTGATTCATCACGTGCCCCACAAATGTCACTGAGTACCTACTGGGTCCTGGGCGCTGGGTGCTGGGGATGCAGCAGTGGCCAGCACTGCCAGCATCCCTGTCCTCTTGGGACTTACATTCCAGGAGGGGAGAGTGACCTAACAGATGGGAGGGGGTGGCTGATGTTGGACTGGGGTGTCGGGAGGGCTTTTGAGGTGGTGCCGCTTGATCTTCGTAACGAGGAGGAGCCAGTTGAGGGTGGGCATATTCAGGGACGGTCACTCTTGATAGAAGGACCTAAGGTGGGACAAGCTGAGGTGGAGAGTAGGACACTGCAGTGAGGCTGGAGTGACCGAGGGCAAGTGTGAGGGGAGCCTGGGCAGAGATGGGAACTGAGAGGAGGCAGGACCTGATCAGTCTGTCCTGTGATGGGGGCACTGGAGGGTTGTGGTCAGAGAGGTGCCTGGAGCTGATTCAGCATGAGAAGGATTCCTCTAACTGCTGTGTGGGGAAGGGGATGCTCATGAGCAGGAAGGGAGGCCAGGGCAAGGCTGGGCAGCCATCCAGGATTAGCAGATGCTGGAAGGTGGAATGGGAAGCACATGTTCTGTAGAGCGTAGAGTGCCACCTTCTGAGGGACGATGGGCCAGCACCTGCTCTGGGCTCTCAGGGACATCCGTGGCTGCTGATTGTGGTAAAGATGGGGGATAACCTCAGAGCTCCTTTCCCTGGCTGTGTTTCTGCAGGGAAAGGTCGGATGAAGGGAATGGAATTGATCCCAGCATGAAAAACACATGATGCTGTAGGGCCAGGAATGAAGAATGAAGGTCATGAGAATGTTATCAGATGCCATATAATACTCAATATAAAACCAATCAGTAATAATCAGAAGTAATCAATATAAAGCCAATAATCAATATAAAACATCAGTAATAATATAAAGCCAATAATCAACATGAAATTCAGTGCAACCAAATGAGGGTGATGATGCCTAACATTTTAAACCCTTGCCTCCCATAGGCAGATGGTGCACTGAGCACTTTGCTGATATTGTTTGCCTTAACTTGTCCAATAATCCTATGTAACAGGAACTATCATTATCCTCAGTTTACAGATGAGGACACTCAGGCACAGAGAGGTTAAGTAACCTGCCCAAGGTCACACAGCTAGTAAACAGTGGACTGGGATTTGAACCCAGAGAATCTGCCTCCGGAGGCTGTGCTCTAGAAAGCTCAGGGTTCTAACCTGTTCACATCCGTGGAAAACTGTTTGTGAAAATGTTCTCACTGTGTTACTGTGAGTAGAATTTCTTTGCATTCCAACATCTGGCTTCTGAAATGACAAAATGCAAATAGCTTCTCCCAGGTGTTTCCTCTCCCCAGATGCCATCTTCCCCTCGGTGACCTCCCACTCTCTTATTCCAGACTCCAGTCCCTGACCCCACCAGGAAAAGGCAGAGGCACCTGATTTCCCCGCACCTGTGGAGCTGCAGGGGGTGTCTGGGTCTCCAACTCCAGTGGGGAATGATGTTCAACTTCCTGTTACACTGGGATCCACCTGTGGGTGAGAATGAAGGGCTTGGAGCCTTGACCCTGGATGGAGACATGTCTTCCCTTTCACAGGAGATCATAAAACCAGAGCTGACAGCAAAGATGGTCCTTCCTGAGAGTAGGTATTAGTCGAATTCAAGCAAACATCCCGTGCTGTGGAGACGGATCCGTCCCAGCTGGGCTGGAGCAGCCTTCTGAGGCTATCACCTGACTGGCCCACCAGAGGTCAATGTCAGTGATATGAGAAACTCCACAGCAATTCTGCCCGTGAGCGATAAAGATAGAAACACCATTTCCAGGAGCAGGCAATTGAATATTCATGCCAGGTGAACTTTGCATTTGGTGACTTTGTGCAGCATCCTGCTGTGTGAACTTTTGCAGGTTGTGGGTGTGATGTCTATACAGCATGTCTGTCTCCACAGCAGCGTACCCCCTTCTGACCATATAGAACCCAGCAGCAGCCTCAATACTCAGCTTGCAGGGAAACGGCCCTCTTTGAAGCTTTGAGGAATTTATAACTGGGGGAACCCTCTTCTGACCCTCCATTTAGGGTGTCATCGATTCTAGGTCGGACCCTTCTAAAGCCTGAGTGCTGGCTGTGACCTTCCTCCTGTGGGCTCATTCACAGGTGATGCCCCAGGGGTCATTGCACATAGGGGCAGGGGCCAGTTTCTCTGGTCTGGGGCATCTCTGCAGGGGTAGGAGGAGCCAGTCTCAGGGGATGCAGGGGCCTCTGGCACCATGGACCCCTCTCAAGCTGCAGCCAATGTCGAGTTTCCTGGGGCAGGAAGACGGCTGTTCCTCCCACTCTTGGCCCATTTCTTAGCACTGGTGGACTCTGGCCTCCCTGGGCAGGGGGTGTTGTCCTTTGCACAGGATCACGGGAGTAGGCAGAGGAAATGTTGTGTTTGGAAGTTCAGGAGTGGGTGGAGGGGCGAGCCTGGGTGGTGAGTAGCAGGGGTAGTCCCACCTGGCCTGGCCACCTGCTCCACTGCCCTCCTTTCTTTGCTTCCTGAGTAGAGCCTGGATGTTAAAAATGGCATTTCCCAAAATCTCACGCAACTTGGGTCTGTATGTGAATTTGGCTCTGCCAACTGGATCCTCTTATCTAGATCCGGAAGGTGGAAGTGAGGTGAAGCTTCCCCTGCCGTCTGGCTTGCTTGGACCCTGTGGTCATGTCCCCAGAGTGAGGGGGAATATCAGGGCTGAGGGTGCTGGTTTGAACCTTCGAAGGGCACAAGAGAGAAACTGAGCAGCAGATGTGGCCAGGTGGGAAAGCCAATACCTCCTGGACCTGGAAGGCTGAACTGGAGACCCAGGGACAAGGATGGGAGGGTCCCATGGAAGTCCCCAGCTCTTGTCATCCTTTCCTTGTTGGTTTGTGATATGGTTTGGCTATGTCCCCACCCAAGTCTTATCTTGAATTGTAACTCCCACAATTCCCATGTGTTGTGGGAGGAACCTGGTGGGAGGTGACTGAATTATGGGGCAGGTCTTTCCTGCACTCTTCCTGTGATAGTGAATGGGTTTCATGAGCTTTGATGGTTTTAAAAATGGAAGTTTCCCTGCACAAGCTCTCTCTCTTTGCCTGCTGCCATCCATGTAATATGTGACTTGCTCCTCCTTGCCCTCTGCCATGATCGTGAGGCCTCCCCAGCCACGTGGAACTGGAAGTCCATGAGACCCTTTTTCTTGTTTAAATTACCCAGTCTAGGGTATGTCTTTATCAGCAGAGCGAAAACGGACATATACAATTTGTTCTTGGGAAAGGAACATCAGACTCTCCCTCCCTAATTAGAATTCAAGCTCCAAGAGGGAGGGGTTTTTCTTTACTGTGTGTCTCCAGTGCCTAGGTCAGTTCCTGACTCCATATATGTTGAAATATATTTTAATAAATGAGGGCAGCGACCTTATCTGTCACTTTAACCCAGAACTTAGCAGAGTGCCTGGTGCATAGTAGGACTCAATAAATATTTGTAGAATAAATGAATGAACAAATGATATCTCTCAATCCTTCCCCATACCTGCCTCCTCTACTGTCTTTGGGACCTTCTCCTCCCCATCTCATTCCAACATCCCTGTTTTCGGGCTTTCTTGGATGGATTGGGGGGCCCCATTGCACTCCCTCAGTGCCTGTTTTAACAGTCTCCCTCCTGCCGAGATGACGAATGTCTGTCAGCCCTGGAAGCTGAGGCTGCCTCCACTGCGAGCCTGAGCCTGGAAGACGCTTCCTCCCACAGTTAGCTCTGCTCTGTTGTGCCCCTGGGGTTGCAGCACTTCCTCTGCCTGGCCCTTCACATCGGTCACACTCCTGGAAACAAGTTCCCAGACAGACAGACGCTGTCCCCAAGAGTCTAGGATTCGGTTGTCTCCTTGTACTCATGCTAAAAACAGCATTATTTCCCCCAACTCGGCTGCACCTGCAGAGACTAGAATAAGACAGCGTATTTTTAGCAGGTAACAGACTGTACATGGAGGCTATAATTAGCATTTCATTCAAAGGTGGGAGTTTCCCATCCAATGCAAGAGTGACTGACCATGAGATCCTCTCACCGCAGCCTCTGTCTCAGATGTCTGGTGTGGGAAGAAGCCAGCAGCACCCAGGAAAGGTGTGGGGCCTTTGTGGATATTGCTCCCTTCATTGCTTACGCCTTTCCCCTCTGGCCTGTCCAGAGCCTTGGTTCTGCCCAGACCCCAGTGCTGTCCTCCTCTGGGGATGACCTGGCCAGGCTATGTGATGAAGATGTCCTGCCAGGTTGGTGTGAGGCTTGTGGGTCCTCTGTCCTGCACTCAAAGTTGCCCCATGGGGGACAGGGACAGGTGGGGGTTACCCAGCTATGGCAGAGACTGCTGGATGACCTCAGCATTCCTCCTGGTAGCAGGGAGCCTGGCTTCCTGGAATAAAGACTACATTTTCCAGGCCTCCTTGTGACAAAAACATGGCCAATGGGGTGTGAGCATTATCTCTTTTTCTCTTTGCTTTGGCTGGGAGAGAACAGAGGTGGGCAATCCAGGCGTGGCAGGGTGTAAGGTGGAAGTACCCTCAGTGTCTTTGTCTGTATAACGGGTGAGATGGAGCAGGGACCCCTTTTAGAGGTCTGCCAGGCTCCCCCCCACCCCCCCGCAACACCCACCCACATAAAGATAAAGGAAAAAATTTGAGTCCCTTCAAGGAAGATTCCAAGCACCTAACTAGTTCTGCAGCCAGCAATTAGGGAAGTAAATGAATAACCTGCTATATTAGTCCATTCTTGCACTGCTGTAGAGAAATACCTGAGACTGGGCAATTTATAAAGACAGGAGGTTTAGTTGGCTCATGCTTCCACAGACTGTACAGGAAGCATGGCAGCATCTGCTTCTGGGGAGGCCTTAGGGGGCTCACAATCATGGCGGAAGGCAAAGGGGGAGCCCGCACTTCACATGGTTGAGCAGGAGAAAGAGAAGGGGGAGTGGGTGCTACACATTTTTAAACAACCGGATTTCACGAGCTCTATCACGAGCAGCACCAAGAGGATGCTGTTAACCCATCCATGAGAAACCGCTCCCATGATCCAGTCGCCTCCCTTCAGGCCTCACCTCCAACATCGGGGATTACAATTCCACGTGAGATTTGGACAGGGACACAGATCCAAACCATGTCACCTGCTAAGCAAGAAGGTAATAATAAAAGCCACCCAAGTAAGCCAGAGTCACAAGATGTTAGGTTCCTGTATTAGGGTTCCCTAGAGGGAAAGAACTGATAGGATTGATGTATATACGAAAGGGAATTTATTAATGAGTATTGACTCACACAATCACAAGGTGAAGTCCCACAATAGGTCATCTGCAAGCTGAGGAGCAAGGAAGCCAGTCCAAGTCCCAAAACCTCAAAAGCAGGGAAGCCGACATTGCAGACTTCGGTCTGTGGCTGAAGGCCCTAGAGCCGTTGGCAAACTCTTGGTGTAAGTCCAAGAGTGCAAAAGCTGAAGAACTTGGAGTCTGATGTTTGAGTGCAGGAAGCATCCAGCGGAAAGATGAAGGCTGGAAGACTCAGCAAGCCTAGTCGGTCCGTGTTCTTCTGCCTGCTTACATTCTAGCTGCACTGGCAGCTGATTAGATGGTACCCAGCCAGATTGAGGGTGGGTCTGCCTTTCCTAGTCCACTGACTCAAATGTTAATCTCCTTTGGCAACACTCTCACAGACACACCCAGAAACAATACTTTGTATCCTTTAATCCAATCAAGTTGACACTCAACCATCCCAGTTCCCTATAGAAAGTAAAAGAGAACATCTTGACCCATGTCCTTGAGTGAGTTGTTTTTCAGGAGCTAGGACCCCACCAGATGGAAAATGCTGACTGTTTTCATGCAGACCTCAGATAAAGGGGAACTGGGACTGAACCTGACCCCCAATTTTGTTCTAAATCTCTTCCTGAGGGGCCTGTAGAGAGTCACACCTATAGGCCAAACCTTAACATTCCTTTCAGCTGACCCTAAGTATTTTAGACAAACCTTGTTTTTTAAATCCATTGCAAATCAAAGAATCTCTGAATCCACCTGTGACCTTCAAGCCCCCAATCCAAAATATCCTGCCTTTTTAAAGGTAGACCAATATGTAACATCCATGTATTGGTTTATGATTTTGCTGGCAACTTCTCCTTTCCTGAAACTTACCCCTGCCTTTAAAAACCCTTCCTTATAAGCCCCTAAGAAGTTTGCATCTCAAGCATCAGCTGCCTGATTCTCCTTGCTGGTGCCCTACCTTAAAGCCTTGTTTCTCTTGCTACAAACCTCAGTGTCAGTGCTTGGCTTTGCTGCACCAGGTGAGCAGACCCAGCTTTGGTTCAGTAACATTGGGAGGGTAATTGTACCTACCTTCTCTGGTTTCTATAAATTGGGAATTGTTCATTTGCTGAACGATGGAAAACCCAACCCCACAGTCTGAGGGGAAAAAAGGATTTATTGGTGCAGATAACTGGAGGGTTCCAGAAAGGGACTGCCTCAGGCATGACTCAGGAAGAAGTGGGGACCAAAGGGAGGAATTTGGTAACAAGGTAAATATTTACCCCAAACCCAAGTTCCAAATAATAGTCTTTGGCTTTTGTGGCATATCCAGGTCAAATGATGGTAACACTGACAAATACGGGCGTAATCTCACACAAGCTCAAGGAAAAAGCAGATTCGTGGAGAGATGAACAGCTGAGGTCAGAACCCCTGTGTTCATGGAATGCAGGACACATCCCCTGTCTGTGTATCTATGGCCTGAGGGTCCTGACTGGCTTACCTGTTCCTGTTATTTTCACAATAAATTTGTTCAGGTCACCAACAATTCCAGCTTGAAAGGACCACAGAATCTCATCATAACCTGGGTGTTTGAATCCCAAATGTAGACTGTCCAAATGTCCATAGCTATCCTCAAGATTTCCGCAGCATGAAGCTGACATTTTTTCCTGCTCCTCCCAGCTCTCGTTTCTGGCCTCTGCTGAGCTCTTAACTCTCCACATTGTTTCTTGTAGCTGCCCGTCTTGTTTCTGCAGGAGTCCATTCATCTTGGGAAAAAAAATAGCCCAGAGAAATCTGAGCTATGTTAGGTATGCAGAAGGTATCAGGTCCAGGGAGACATGAGTATGAAACTTCAGTCACCCCTCTGGCCCCATGCCCAGGAGCAAGAGTTTAAAGGCGTTTTAGTCATGACTAGCTGCCTTCCCGATTATCTTGATGTTCCTGGAGTTTGTGATACAAAGAACAATGTGTAGCCAGTCAATGGTCTGTGTTATTTTAATGCAAATTCTTGGTGAACAACTTAGAAAGTGCCTCTTCTTTTTTCCTTAAAAACCCACTTGTAACTCTGGCTAATTATCTTGCATGTTCAGGGCAAATTGGATCTATGCTTCCGGGTGGTCATCCTCAAGCTTCGAGCTCAAACACTATAGTTAGTCATAATTTCTGAAACTCATTATTTAAGGTTGACACATCCAAGCATGGTGTGGGCTCCTCCTTGTATTTTTTTTTTTTGTTTTTGTTTCCTTAGAGTCAGGGTCTTGCCGTCACCCAGGCTGGAGTGCAGTGGTGCAATCATAGCTTGCTGCAGCCTTGAACTCCTGGGCTCAAGCGATCCTCTCGCTTCAGCCTCCTGAGTAGCTGAGACTACAGGTGTGTGCCACCATGCCCTGCTAATTTTTAAAAAATTTTTTTTGTAGAGACAGATTCTCACTGTGTTGCCCAGACTGGTGTAAACCAAAAAATAAAATTCTGAGGCCCTCAACCAAGTGAATGGATCCCTCCTCTCAGCAAAGGGCATTCCAAAGTAAACCTGGAACGAGAGTGCAGGGCACGATGGGAATGGCTTATGCCTTCCTCTTGTTGGAATTGAGGCACAGCTGACCAGCATTAACATTAAGGCAGAGACCTAAAGGCTGACAAATGACTCTTTGTAGCATTGTGACACATCACAAAATGACAGCAGGTTCTGAAAGAAATCCAAGTATTTTACCCTAAAATATATTAATTGGACCTATTTTGAAATGGCCCTGCAAAGCTGTCTCTGGTGGGAAAAATCTACATTCTGTAGAGAATCTCTTTCCCTTTCCAGGCCTAATTCCTGACCTGGGAGAGAATTAACTAAGAGTCTAAAAAAGAGACCTTTTTAGGCCTGATTAGAGCTCTGAAGGCTGCTCCTGGAGGCTTCATCTGTATGATAAAACCTTGGTCTCCATAACCCCTTATCTTAACCCAGACACTCCCTTCTATTGATTCCAGGACTTTAGGTAATAAGTTAGCACTTTCAACCAATTGCCAATCAGAAAATCTTTGAATCCACCTATGACCTGGAAGCCCCACCCCTCGCACCCTTCGAGTTGTCCCACCTTTCCTGACCAAACCAATATATATCTTACCTGTATTGATTGATGTCTTATGTCTCCCTTAAACATATAAAACCAAGCCATAGCCCAACACCTTGGGCACATGTTCTAGGATCTCCTGGGGCTGTGTCATGAGCCCCTAATATGGTCACTCATATTTGGCTCAGAATAAATCTCTTCAAATATTTTACAGAGTTTCAATCTTTTTGTTGGCACTGGTCTTGAACTCCTGGCCTCAAGCAATCATCCCACCTTGGCCTCTTGAAGCTCTATAGGCATGAGCCACCAGTCCTGGCCTTTCCTTGTTATTAGTCTTCTCAAATTCCATGTTCCTGGCAGCTGTGACGGACAGATTTTACTGGTGACGTTGGAGCAACACAGGTGGGTAATTTTATCTGTGCCCTGGTCCCTTGGCCACTTCTGCCACCTCCAGCATCTGGATGTGTTGCTTAGCAACCCCATCCCTTTCTACCTCCTGCCTTTGACCTCAACTTCACATCCCTACTCAAGTCTGAATAGTTCTTCTCTGGGCAACTCTTATCTCAGCTGGTGATAAATGGATTTTCTCACCTCCTGCCCTGGTAATACTCAAGGTGGCCACTTACTGGCTGTCTACCTTGCGGCAGGCACAGACCTATGCCTTGCACGCAGTATCTCACCAGTCTGCACAAGAGCCTCATGTGGGGCCTGTTCTCCCACTTTACAGATGAGGGAGCCTAGGATCCTCCACGAGAAGGGACTCAATGGTCTATAGGGGAGTTGGGGTTCACCTTGTGCTGTCTCACCCTGGGGTCCAAGCTCCTAACCAGGGTTCCCTATTTACTCAATTTAAATCATTCACCTGCCACTGTCTCCACTTTCCCCAGGATGATCCTTTGCTCCTGGGGTGGCCAAACATTTTCTGGCAAGTGCCAGAGAGTGAATATTTTGGGCTTTGTGGGACACATGGCCTCTGTTGCAAGTGCCCTGCTTTGCTGTCATAATGCCAGGCAGCCATAGCCAGAGACGATTTATACACAGATCAGCACTGCGGTGTCCCAGGAAAACTTGATTTACAAAAATAGGCAGTTGGCCTCAGGGCTGTAGTTTGCTGATCTCTGATAGCTTTCTTTAAATAAACCCATTTTTTTTTCACTAAAAAACTTTTATTTGAAAGAAACACTTAAATCATCCAGAGTAAATGTGAAACCAGCATCTCTTGCTGGGAAGGAAGGTAACTGTAAAAATAAAAACAGTAAACTTAAGCAGAGGTGCCATATTCTGCAGTAAGCCTGGGGGCTTCTCTTTCTTTGTTGGAAAGGATGAAAAGCTGGGCTTGGAGAGGTGGGAGAGGCACATCAGCACCAAATCAAGATGTTTTCTTTGAGGTAATTGGAAGAACCAAGAGAGACTGTATAGGATGTAATGTTACCGAGTGCCATGTTTGGTTTGTGCAAAGATTTCACACTCTGGGATTCGTGAAGCTCTGAGTAGAAGAGAGCAGGCAGTGGTGTTGGAATGTATTGCGCTCACCCTGGAGTGGGGATTTGGGGACATCTGTGCAGGCAGTGAGGATGTAGGATTCACAGGACAAAGAATGGGCAATGCGGCCTTGGCCCTGGCTCCCTGACAGCTCTAAGGGGCTGCTGTGGTTCCTGCAAAGCCTGGGACCTGGAAGTGTGAGGTAGGAGGCGGGACTCAACTCCAGAGGTGGGGCTCAGACACTGGACCAAAATCTGTGCTTGCTAAAACAGAGCTTGGGTGGAAGCAGCTTTTCATCAGACATGCCCACCAGTGTGCCATGTCAGTTTACCATTGCCATGGCAACACCCGGGAGTTAATACCCCTTTCCATGGCAATGACGTGAATACCCAAAAGTTACTCTCCTTTCCCTAGAAGAATGTTTTTAAAAGTAGGTATAAGGCCGGGCATGGTGGCTCACACCTGTAATCACAGCCCTTTGGGAGGCCGAGGGAGGTGGATCACTTGAGGCCAGGACTCCAAGACTAGCCTGGCCAACGTGGCAAAACCCCATCTCTACTAAAAATATAAAAATTAGCTGAGTGTGGTGGTGCACACCTGTAATCCCAGCTACTCAGGTGGCTGAGGCAGGAGAATCACTTGAACCCAGGAGGCAGAGGTTGCAGTGAGCTGAGATGGCCTACTGAACTGCAGCCTGGGCAACAGAGCGAGACTCTGTCTCAAACAAAAACAAAAACAAAAACAAAAGTGGGTATAAATATGACTGCAAAACTGCTCTGAGCTGCTCCTCTCTGCCTATGCGGTAGCCCTGCTCTGCAGGAGCGGTCACAGAGCAGTAATACTGGCTCTCTAATAAAGCTGTTTTCTTCTGCCTCCGGTTTGCCCTTGAATTCTTTCTTGCACAAAGCCAAGAACCCTCCTGAACTAAGCCCCACTGTGGGGCTTACCTGCCCTGCATGAGGTAAGTATCAACTATGGCTCAAAAGGCAGGTCAAAGGCAGCTTTTCAAGTATATTTGTGTCACAGAAACTCCCACTGTAACATCAAAAAATGAATGATTTTTTCAATTCCCTTTATTAGGGTTTCTTTCCCTGCCCCCCTCATTTCTCCACTTCTTTCTCTTCTCTCCGTAGGTATATAGTTATACTCCCCCCTCACACACTCATTTTGTGTATGTTCAAAAATATTTTGGTTATCTTTTATTTCTGGTAACTGCTTTTTCATCCTGCATGAGCAGCCAAGAAAAGAATTAATTTAGACTTTCTGCAATGTCAGGGCCTCTCATTCAATTACTCTCCTTGTCTCTTGGAAGCTCTGGTAACTTAGTTTAATGACCTCTCACACCTTACATCCTTAAAAAATGCCCCGTGTGTCTCCTGGCTCGGGCAGTCTTAATTATGTTGGCAGCTTTAGGTTTCCTTATTACCCGCACTCCAGGACCTCATCCCCACCCTGTCCCCATCTTCATCTTCACCCAGAGCTTCCCATCTCCCCACCTCCCTTATCGCCAATTTCTGTCTGCACTTTATCCACGATATTCCCATGTTTTCTGCTCTTACTAGAAACATTATTTTACCCAGCACTGCATTTTTAAACTGAAAGAAGATGGTGATTATTATGCCCTTATCGAAATCCATTACTTGAAAAGCTCGAGGTGAGGTTTGGGGAGGACTGTGGACTTCCATGCAGTTGGAGCAACAGATATGCAGCCGTTTAATTCCCTAAGTCAGGTGCGGAGGGAAGGGACGTTATCTCCTTAGTATGGGCGCTTGATTAACTGTGACGGAGATAAGAATTACACACATCCCCACAGCAGGCTGGGAAATAAAATTGAAGGAAGGGGTTTAAATCCCTTCACATCAAGCTGGAAGAAGCTCTATATGAACAATTCCATGTGATTAAGCCTTGGGAATGTTGCCTCTGCAAATCCCCAAGGGCTCTTATGTACATTTCCATTTTGTTTCCATAAGACTTTGGCTCCCAGGTGTCTGAGACTGCAGGAAAGTTAACCAGCAATAGCGTTGGGGCTAGGGAAGGGCAAAGCTCTCGGAGACCTTGAGAGTGAAGCTTGGAAGTCCCCACCTTCATTCGAGCCTCTGGCTCAGGCTGGGAGAGAAGATGGAGTCGGTCCTGGAAGGTTCGGTGGTGAAAGAGGATGACAGGACATTTCCAAATCATCATAGGAAAGTGGTAAGTGCTCTACCATGGCTCAGCATGCTGTGTGCCAGGGTTACACCCTGAGGAGCAGGAGTGCTCATGGAGGGCTGGATGTTATTCTTTCATCCAAAAAGTATCTCTTGAGCCCCTACCATGAGCCAAACATTGGGATGCAACAGGGAAGAAATCAGACAACCTCCCTGCCCTCAGGGAGCTTACACTCCTGGGGAGGAGGTAGACAAAAAACACAATTCATAATATATTTTGTTGATTTGGAAATACACCATTTGTTGCACATTTTAATATTTAAAATTGGAGTGCATCTTAATAGTGTCATTGTGTTGCAGTTTGTCAGTGTTTTTCCCTTCTCAGCAGTGTGTAAAATAATGGTGCATCTTATAGTTGCTGGCATCTTAGATTTGATGACATTCTCCAGTACTTCAGGTCATAATAATGACTATGAAAGGAAACAAATAGCCAGGTGTACCTGTCAGAGAACAAATGGCAGGACACAAATGGCTCAATCACCAAGGTGTGGTTGAAGAGTTTATTTGTATAAATCAAAGGGGCAGGAGTACGGTTTTGTTAATGTGGATATGCCACATAGTGCTGAAGCTTGGGCTTTTAGTGTCATCATCGCTCCACTAATGTACATTGTACCCATTAAGGAATTTCTCATCCGTAACCCTGCTGTAGCCCTCCCACCCTTTGGAGTCTCCAATGTCTATTATTCCACACTCTATATCCACATGCACACATAATTTAGGTCCCACTTATAAGTGAGAACATGCAGTTTTGACTTTCTGAGTTATTTAACTTAAGGTAAATGGCCTCTGGTTCCATCCATGTTGCTGCAAAAGACATAATTTCATTCTTTTTTTTTTTTTTTTTGAGATGGAGTCTCGCCCTTTCACCCAAGCTGGAGTGCAATGGTGCTATCTCAGCTCACTGCAACCTCTGCCTCCCAGGTTCAAGCGATTCTTCTGCCTCAGCCTCCTGAGTAACTGGGATTACAGGTGTGTGCCACCATGCCTGGCTTATTTTTTGTATCTTTAGTAGAGACGGGGTTTCACCATGTTGGTCAGGCTGGTCTCAAACTCCTGACCTTGTGATCTGCCCACCTCGGCCTCCCAAAGTGCTGGGATTACAGGTGTCAGCCACCGCGCCTGGCCAATTTCATTCTTTTTTATGTCAGAATAGTATTCCTATTCTATTGAATGCTATTCCTATTCATAGAATGTAGTATTCCTACCCTATGTTCTATTCTGTGAATATATATATGTGTATATTTTTCACATTTAGGAATACTATGGCAGAAAGTATATATGCCACATTTTCTTTATCCAATCATCTGTTGATGGATGCTCTCCATCTATTTATTTTTATAATAGAGAGGTGGGTAGAAAGATTTGTTTTCATGAATGGAAATAAAGGCCAGCAGCATGAGAGGTAATAAGTAGTGATGACTCTCGCCTTCTCTGTTGAGGGACAGCAGGTGGTGAGCACTGTGGCAAGTCTAGGCTCACTGGCCG
Source organism: Homo sapiens (assembly GCF_000001405.40). Classification (NCBI taxonomy): domain Eukaryota; kingdom Metazoa; phylum Chordata; class Mammalia; order Primates; family Hominidae; genus Homo; species Homo sapiens. Next base: position 48,532,217 of record NC_000020.11, on the reverse strand, counting down.
GTGCAATGAGGTGGCTGTGACATCCTCAGGCCATGAGTCACCCAGTAAAAAGGGCACAAGTTTGCTGTGTCTTTGATTTTTCAGAGGAAGATGGAAATCTATATTTTAATATAAAATTTTTTTTTGAGACAAGGTCTCACTCTCACCCAGGCTGGAGTACAGTGATGTGATCACCACTCACTGCAGCCTTGACCTTCCAGGCTCAAGCGATCCTCCCACCTCAGCATCCTGAGTAGCAGCTGGGACTACAGAAACACGCCACGATTCCCAGATCATTTTTAATTTTTTTTTTTTTGTAGAGACAGGATCTCACCATGTTGCCCAGGCTGGTCTCAAACTCCTGGGCTCAAGTGTTCCTCCTGCCTTGGCCTCCCAAAGTATTGAGATTATGGCATGAGCCACTGCACCTGGCCTCATTTTTAAATGTTGAAAACAAACTGTACAGACCCGAGTGCTGTGGGCTGATCACATCCTCTAGCCAGATGTGGCCTGTGGTCCTTCACTTTGTGTTTGGGATAGACCATTAATATGCAAATTGTAGGAAACATGCTTCTAATTTTGGTGAGTAATTCATTCCATCTGTTTAGGACTCATTTTTTCCACCCACAAAATCAGCTCCTTCTATTTCTGGCCCAGTTTATGTTTAACGGCTCTAAAACCTGCATATTTATCCTCAATTGAGTTTGATTGTGTAGAAAATACCCAGAGAAACCCAGTCTCCACAGACCAGATCAGAATATCCATAGGTCATCACTTGGTGTCTCTGGGCTCTGGATCCATTGGGATTTAGCTTTGGCTACTGTGGTAGAGACAGTGGCTTATACAAGCTGGAAGTGCATTTCTCACTCATGTCAACAGCTGAGCTGGTGTGCCAGTTCCAGTTTGTGAAGTTTTGAGGGACCCCGTTTCCCTCTGTCTTTTTGCTCTGCTATCCCTAGGCCATTGGCTTCCTTCACTTGGTCCAGATGCCCCACCCCTGTCTGCATTTCAGCCAGTGAGAAGTGAGAAAAGAGCTGGGCACACCCTTTCCTCCTTGGGCACAACTTGGCAGGGGCGCCACTCTTGCACTCACATTCCACTGGGCAGCACTTACTCACCTGACCACACATCGCTGCAAGAAAGGCTGGAAACGGCCGTCCTTCTTCTGGGCTGCCATGCACCAGCTAAACTGCTAATTAACAGGGGTTCTATTACTAAGGGAAAGCTGTACAGATAATGGGAGACACCCAGTCATTGTAAGCACATAAGGTGGACAATTCCAAGTAAAGCACACAAACAAAATTCCAAGATCTCAACTGGGATTCTCAATTAGCTTTCAGTTTCACTCCTGACAGATAGAATATTTTTTTAACCTCTTTAACCAGTTTTGAAGTAAAATGGCTTTTCCAACTAATGCCACAATATCAAGTTACAAACCTCAATAACTTCTGTTTTTCTTTTGTAAAGACAGGGTCTCACCATGTTGCCCAGGCTGGTTTCGAACTCCCGGGCTCAAGCGATCCTCTCACCTTCGCTATGGAGGGAGGATCTTTTGGCTAAATTTGTGCACCAGTTGAACTATGGTTTGCTTCATATTTTGTTCTAAATCATTCCAGTGTTTAGTCCAAATGAACTTAAGAGGGAATTTTGCCAAATGATAAGATACAACATCAAAATTTGGGGGCCACAGCTAAAGCGGTGCAGAGGGAAAGAATTATATCTTTAAAGGTAATGTAATGTAATATAACAAAAAAGAAAGGTAAAAAATCAGTGACCTAAGATTCTACCTCAAGACACTAGAAAAAAAAGTAAACCAGAAGTATGTAGAATTAATACGTAGATATGTACAATGAATACGTCGATACGTATCTATGAAATATGTAGGTAAAGGGAAGAGCAGAAGTAAACGAAATAGTACATGAAAGGCAATAGATAAGATTAACAAAGATAAAAGTTAGCTCCTTAAAGAGATCACCAGGATTGACAGACCCATAACTAACATTTTTCTACATCTTGATTTTATCACTTAACTCCTTGTTGATATACCTTCAAGACATCTTATATGGCTCTAAATTAAAGTTGTTCTTTACAATAGCTGTGGAAATTCCATTGGGTGGCTATACATGCAAAATGCTCAGCCATTTTTCTCATAATGGGAATGTGTTTTGTTTCCAGTTCTGGGAAGCTATAAACAACACTTGCAGTAAACATCTGTGCATTTTAGGATAAGGTTTGGGTACTTTTATTTTTACAGTTTGCATTTCTAGCAGTTCAAGAGCAGAGAGATGCTTTTCTGTGAATTACCTCTTTATAGCTATCACCTCCTTTTCTTGTCAATTTGTAAGAATTTGTATATTACAGAAATTAGCTCCTTGTCTAGTATTCACTTACAAATACAGGTTTATATAGCTTGTTTAATCATTTTATGTACAAAATTTTCAAATTTTTTTATTTTCGGTTTTTTAAATATCAAGATTATCCATCTTGGTTTGTAAAGTCTTATCAACCTCCCTAGATTATAATTGTAATATCTTAGATTTTCTTGCAATTTTTTTTTATATATATAAGGGATAAAGCTATAGAGAGCCCTCCTGTCCATGGTCATGACCTTTCCAGGACAGCTCACTCCTGGTGGCTGGGGAAGTCAGGGAATAAAAGCCTGGTAATTTGGGCCCAACATGGGTTGACTCCTACAAGCAATATTTGTTTCAGAACCTCTGCAAATTTGTGGAGGCCACGTCAGGCCTGCCTTGAAGATCAACTTCTCCCCTGCCCAGCGTGCCTTTCCCCACCAAGTACCTTTCACAAGTGTTGGTCCTTAGAAGTATTTTGAACTGAAAACTCCATCTCAGTTTCTGCTTCTGGAGACCCCAGCCCGGGGCAAGAGCAATGGGTTGGTGTGGGGCTATGGTGGGGGATCCATGTAGTCCAGCTCCAACAGCATAGGTCCTCATCTGGCTCCTAGTTTGCATCACAAGTCTATGTATTCCACAGATGGGGGGTCCAAGATTGAAAAGGATCATGTGACATATTTTGGGGATTTTGACCTGATTTGATTTTTATTTTTAAATGTTTACTTCTCTGTCCAGCCCAGACCTTTAGCTGATGTCCAGGTTCATGCATTCAGCTGTGGTTGGGCTCTCTCCAACTCAAATAGTCATGGGTTTTCCTCTCCACCTCCTCAATTCACCCCCACCACCTCCGTGATGGTGGCTATTCCTGCCCAGGTGCTCAGGCCGACATGGCCAGCTCCTCTCCCCTCCTGGCACCCACCCTCTGACCGCTCAGCACCTCCATCCCTCTGCTGTCCACATGGACTGATTCCTGCACTCCGCCCACCTGCCTGCTCCTGCCTGGCTGCTCTCGAAGGATGATCACACCATGGGCCTCCCTGGTCTCCCTGCCTAGCCTCCACCACAGTCTATTCTATTCAATGATTCAGATTAGCCATGCCCTGCACCGAGCCCAGGTCTGCAGCCTCACTCTGTCAGCCACAGCCTTTCCCTGGTCAACAGGGCCCTGAGCCTCTGGTGCCTTCCACCTGCTGGTCTCTTTCCTGCTTCTCTCCTGTGTCCCCTTGCTCTGGTCACATGGCCTCTTGGTCTTCCTAGGACAGGCCAGGAGCTCCCCACCTCGGGATCTTACCCTTAGTCCTGGCCGCCCTGGGATGCTCCTCTCCGGGACATCCACCCGCTGAGCCCTCACCGCCTGGGCAGCTGCTGCAAGGCCCCCTTCTTGGGGGGCTCCTCAGATGTCCATGAGCAATCACAGCCCCCCAACCACCACCCCCTCCCTTCCCAGCTTTGTCTTTTTCCAGTGCACTTCCCACCATCTGACATAGTTTGCGTGTCACACATGGCCTTCGGTTGGATTCTTCTGGAAGCTGACTCTGAGAGTGGGCATGACTCAGTTCACCTGGAGAAGTCCCCAGGAAGCTCGGGCAAGACGGTGGGGAGGGAAATGGGAAGGAAAAAATGCCCTTTCTGGTGGGATAAGTAGGAGGTGCCCACGGTGGGCTGCTGGTGCTCAGCTGCACTGGAGACCTCATGGAGACGCTTAGGAGCAGCATCAGAGGACTGCACTGGAGAGGCGGGGAAGCCAGGTCTGCTCCCCGCCAGCTTCCGTTCACCCAGGGCAGCTTCCCAGGACTCCACTCCCAGGCCACACAGGCTCCTGCAGCCTGAGGAGGAGCCGCAGGAGAGCAGGGGCAGCAAGAAGCCATCGCAGGGCAAAGACTCTGAGGCCTGCGGGACCCAGGCGGCACCACCAGCTTCTGCTTTGTGCACTGTCTTGGGCTGTCACCTGCTTGTCCTCTGTCCCTCTGTGGGTCGTGAGCTCCCTGAAGCCAGGGGTCTTTGTTTTGTTCTTTGCTGTGGCCAGAGACTACAATCGTTCCTGGTGCACAGTCGGCCCTGCTTAAATATGCACTGAGTGAGTGACGCCTCCTGGGTCCACCTCTGCAGCCTTCTGAAGTGAATATTTGGCATCTCTAAAGAACCCAGATCCCAGGCAAAGTCACCCCTAATTTGGCTGTTGCAGACTCCACCTCCTGCTGCTTCTGGGCTGACTCTGAAGCCTGTTGCTACTGTCTGCAGCCAAGTTGGCTTTTCCAACAGCAGCAGCAATGGAGAGGGGCTCAGACTACTGATAAAAGCTCCCTTTACACCAGGTGCTTTTCCAATGCTTCTACAGCGCCTTTTGATGTTGCAGTCACGAATCCTGATGGCAGAGTGACGATAGTGGTCCCTATTTCGTCCGATGTCTCACTTGATAGGACGACCAAGAGTCCACAAATCGTTCCTGAGTATACCTCTAACAACAGATTTTTTCCTAAACGGTTCCACCTGGTTTGATCAGGAAGAAGAAACAACAGATACGTGTATTTTCATTTCTTCCTTCAGTGGAGGAGTCACAGTTGTTTTGGAAGCTGTCCAAGTGCCAGAGACCCCGGACACAGATTCCTGAGCATCCTTCCCATCCTTCCCATCCTTGAAGGCAAATCATCCATCTCTGTATCTGTAACTCCAGCACAGGTCTGGACGGGGCAGAGCTCAAAGCAAGGAGTGTCTGTGGACCAGTGTCTGTACCACCCAGGTGAAGTGAGACGAGCCTGTGTCGCTGGCCTGCAGAAGGGCCACAGTCTGCCCGAGTCTGCTTCTTCCCTGGGGAGGTGCAGGCCGAATGCCGTGGCCAGGATTGCTACAGAGGGAGGCTCTGCCCAGCTCATTACAGCCGGAGTGAGGCTTGAGATGTCTGTTCACTGCTCGTGTTGAGCTTGAGCACTTGGTTAAAGTGCTGGCCATCAGATTTCTCTATTGCAAAGGATCATTTTTCCCTTGTGTAATTGCCAAGCAACATATGCGGTGATGCTTTGGGACCTTATGGATATCCTGTTCTTCAAAATCTGTCCCCCAATGGTTTTGGCATCCACAGATGGTCCTCAAATGAGTCAATTGTAACATTTTCAAATTCCGTCATTCTTCATATATATCAGCTGCTGTTATTCTGTAAAGAATTCTTCCTGGCTCCAATCAGCTTTTTTTAGTATCACTATGAACTCATAGATCCTTTTTTAAAAAATTCAGTGTGTTCATTCTTGCTCCCATATATTTTTGATGCTCAAATACTTCTACATTTGTCCATTGAAAGTCCTCTGACTATAGCTTCTGTTTCCTTTTGACCAATTTCCATCATCTTTTGAGCACTTCTTGGCTTTCTGGTACAATACGACTGGCTGGAATCTTCAAAGAAGTCAACATCCCAAGAGATGAAATGATGGACTCGCTGCTTGACATTGCAGGGAATGAAAGAATCATGTCAAGCCATGCAGTGTGGTCCTAGATTGGATGCTAAATTGAAAATAAAAGCTCTCACTTTGGACTGTATTTTAGATTATATCACTGCATCAACATGAAATGTTTGGGTGTGAAAATGGCATTGAGATTATGTAAGAAATTATTTTTTTCTTTAGGAGATATACACTGAAGTGTTTAGGGGTGAACTATCATGACCCCTGCACCATACTTTCAAATAGTTTTGCCAGAAAAGGAAACACACACGCACAATTGTGTGCACACATGCATGCACACACACACAGTCACATGCGCACACACAATTTTCTTTAAATAATGCTCGTGGAGATAGGTGACCCACACACATGGTGTTATCAGTTGATGAAGCTATTTGAAGGGTATGTGATCACTGTACTACTCTGTATGTTTCTGAATAGTTGACATTTTTTAAAGCTAAGAAATTGGGGAAAAAATGAAAAAAAAAAAATCAGAAGGGACAGGTATTGTGGTCAGGACTGTGGGCAGCTGGGCTTAGCCTGCCCTGAGAAAGCTCATCCTTTTACTGCAATTAATGCTATTGTTACCAGATGGAAAGTCCTGACTGTGAGTTGTCCAGGTTCTTGGCAAAGACTTGAACAAAATGCACAGACAAAGCAACAGAAAAACAAAGCAACGAAAGAAAGTGCAGATTTACTGATGTGAAAGTACACTTCACAGAGTGGGAGTGGGCTCAAGCAAGTTGCTCAAGAGCCCCAATTACAATGTTCTTTAGGGATTTTTATTAAGCTAAAAGAATTTGGTAACACCTCTAGGTGCTCTTTTAGAGGCATCTGATTGGATACGCCCTATGAAGGATTGGTCCATGACCAATCAGAGGCTGAAGTGGAACCTTGTGTCTCATTATTGCAGAAGTGAGGGTGTGGACTGTGTGCTGCCTAATCTTGCCTAAAATTGGCTGCACCTGCTGTTCTTTATGTCTTAACCTTTGGTTACCCCAATTCCCTATTCTCCTGCCTCACTATGACATGGGTAACTGGCCAATGTTTTTGAACTTCCAAAGGCTAAAATCTAGACAGCTTTGAAGAAAAGTTGTCTCTTTTATACTACAGAAAGAGATAATGCAGAAAACAGAGAGGAGGACAGACTGGAGGCAGGTAGCTGCTGATAGAATGTCTGAGCCAGGCACTGTGCTAGGTACTTTCGTGCTACATTGTCGATCTATTTCCAATGGTGACCTTTAAGAGACAAGGAAGGCAAGGCTCATTGAAGTCACAAACCTGCCCCAGTAAAAAATTGCTCATCTCAGATAATGACTTCCAGTAAAGAAATATGATTAAACAAATTCACCAAAGATTGGCCAAAAGCTACCTGAATGTAAAGATTTTAGAAGTCCTGGCCAGGGTTTATCTGCTTGTAAAAGGAAGCTTTGTAGCAGGAAGGGTTTTATCCCCTGAGCTGAAACATGGGTAGGGATAGCCGGGCCCTCTCACCTAAGCTGAACCTTGGCCCATTGGGCAGGCCTTGGAAAGCAGGTGCTGTCTCCTTTGCTTACACAGTTTGTGGGACATGACCCTGGCAGGGCCATTCCCCATCAGGGTGCTCCACTTCTTGCTTCACAGTGAGTACTGGGGACCCCTGGGGGACTTGGGGTGAGCCCTGAGTGGAGGGTGGGGCACAGCCTCCCCACCCCTGGCCAGCCCTTTGCAGGGTTCAGAGCTCCACGGGCATAAACTCAGGGGCTTCCGCCACAATTTGAAGACGCTCCTGAGGAAGAATGTTAGGCACAGGAATGTTTTGCCCAGTGCTCTGTTACAATGGAGTCAGCGGCTGGGTGTGGAAATTAGGGTGAGTGGGTGGGAATATATTGCCCCTTCCCCAGGTCCAGCTGCCCAGGACATCTGTGGCTGTGGAAGGGAAGGACACTTTTGCAAACTTAAACAGCACCTACAAGGACTCTTTCTGATTGCTCTCCAGTGAGACATGAGTAAATTAGCTAATTAAGGCAGCTCCACTGAATACATTCTACATGCAGGCAATTTGCTGTTTACTTCCCACATGGACAAAGAAACGAAAATAGGAACTAAACATCTCAGAAAGAAAAAATACCCTTGAATAAATTACAATTAAGTATTTCTTGATTATTGAAAGTGTGTGTGAAATGGTTCTCACCCTAAGGTCAAAAAGTTAATAGCCCCCGTCCAAACCAAAGTGTTCATCATTTGTTCAGGAAAGTATTTGTTTAGCGCCTGCAACGTGCCAAGCCTGTGGCTGGGCCTGATGATGAAATGGTGGGGAAGGCAGAGCAAGGGAGGATATTAATCAAATAGTCAAACAGATGAGACAGATCAGAGCCCCTCTGTCCACATTTCCTGGGGTCTGGCATCTCTTGAGATTCTGATAACAACAAGCCAGGAAGGAGGCAGATGCTGTTTGTGCAAAGAAGACAGAATCTGTGGATGGGACTTGCTGGCAGTTGAAGCTTCACAAGGCGATGCCTCCGATGTGTTTTAGATGCTCTTTTTCTGAGGCCAGGTCATCCTGGAGGGTCCTGTCCTCCCCCTGCTCTCTCACCCTCATGGACATTTCTGGACTAGGGAGGAATGGCTGACAGTCACGACACAGTGGGGGCAGAAGAGAGAAGGTCTGGGGCTGAGTGGACAGTCCAGGGAGTTGAGGAGTGTCAGTGGAGGAGGGGAGAAAGTGAGGGGGTGAATGGGGAAGAGGGTGGGGCAAGCTTCCTGCCGGCTGAGGGGGGTTTTGTGGTTCTCCCTGACAGCTTGGGAGCAAGATGCTTTCCCATGGATGAGCTTGGGAGGCAAGTGGCTAGAGAACTCCTCTCCCACCCCGTTCCTGTGTCACAGGGAGGATACCACATAGGTCGGGATGTGTTGCTTGAATCTGGGTGAAGTACTGACTGTTCACTGTTGCTTCTTTGTGTGTGTCCCTGGATGGCAAATGAGGGGCCTATTTTATTGCAAACTGTTGCACTTCTTTCCTGCTCCAATAAGGGCATTCAGCCAGGGTCAAATGTCTGAGATTCCTGGACTAGGCAGCCTCTGATTGCTCCTGATGAAATCATTTCAGCACCTAGGACAGCTCAGTGCTCAGTGCACATCTATGTAACTGCTGAATCCCTGTCTTAGAACAAAGGCCAGTGTGCTGTTAGTGAATGGTGCTGATGCCTAGAAGTGGTTTCAGCACAGTGGTTTTGAGGCTCCCAATCCAAAGTGGGTGAAGAGAGAAAGAGAAAGCTGGGGTCTTGGACATGGGAGCCACTGGGAAGCGACCCCAAATAGGATAACGGTAGTTTCCATCCAAAAGTCAGGGCTGTGCGTGAGGTATAACTTCAGTGCTGGGCCGATAAACCAGCACTTTAGGGTCAAGAAAAGCCCAGTTTTCCTGGTATAAATACTCCCAACATGGCTGATTTCAAACTACCAGAGGTTTAACACCAATTAACAAAATTTCTGAACATTTCACAGTTGGTTCTCAGAGCTGGCTGCCTGCACTCCACTGGGTGTGAATGATTGGTCTGGTCCTTACTAGGGGTTTCACAGCGGATGTGGGGTGGGTTCACCATGGGGCTGTGGGTGAGCCTGTATATCCCACCATGCAATAGGAAGTATTCCTTGCGTCACCCACAGAGTCCAACAGTGAGGACCTGGAACATGTAGACTGATGAACACTGAAAGAAGTGGAACCAGCAGGAATGAGGATCTCCTCAAATCCAGCAGAATATCCCAAAGGGAATAGAGACAATGCCAGGAGGAAGAGGGGCCCCTGTGGAGGCTCTGGAGCCCCTGGGGGTTTTTGAAAATGACTCTTTTGATCAGGCTGCAAAACTCAAACCTGGGGGAAAGAGGTTGACTGTGGCTACAGTTTTATCAGAAAAAAATATGCAAAAAAATTAGTACTTGATTCATTCTTTGATTACTTAAGAATGGGGGTACATCTGCCACTATAACCCAAATGTTAGACAGGAAATAAAAACTTATTTTCATCACATTTAGCTTTACTTTTCTAGAGAAGACCCTCATTAGACCTTTTTTGATTGTTTGTTTTGTTTTTTAGAAGAAGTGGCAAGTACATGGCTGAGAGCAGGGGGTCTGGTGCAGGGTGACCTAATCCAGTCCTGATGATGCCGATTTCTACACAAGCAACCACCTTTCTGTGCCTCTGTGTTTTCATCTGCAAAATGGGGACGGTGATGTAGTAGTGCCTGTTTTGGAGAGTACATGATTTAATACACATGGAGTATGGGGAACAGCGCCTGGCCTAAAGTGAATCCAAGGTAAATGTTTGTTAACTAAATCACAAAGCATTTGTTGTGAAACTTTGGTACTCAATTTAATTGAATTTACCTTGAATGGGCTTTTTAGTTGTATGGGTTGTCCTCAGATAACAATGGCCTTGTTTCATTACACGTGGTCCTGGCTGGGAAGAAAAGACACTACAGTGTGATAAGAGGGGCCTTGGGGGACCTGACCTGGGCCCTGGGCCTGGGCGAGGAGGTGATGAGGACACAGGAGAATCCCCCCAAGGAGGTGACATTCATCTGAGACCTAACAGGTGACGAGGTTCCTGGAGGTAACTGGGTGAGGATCAGGGTGGGGGTGGGGAACATACCAGGAGGAAGGGCCAGCACGTGCCAAGGCCCTGAGGTTCCTGGAAGCCTGGTCTGTCCAAGGCCAGCGGAGAGACCAGTGTGGCCATGACCAAGTGGACACAGGAGTGAGTGGTGGGAGGTGGGACTGGACGGGGGCAGGGACCTGTGGGGGTTTGGATGCCATCCTGAGGTCCAAGGGCAGCCTCTGAGGTTTGATGGGTCCGATCTTTCTCTTTGGACGTCCCCATGGGAGGGCCTCCTTGTCTGGGGCTGAACCTTTCCTCCCCATTCCCACCATGTCCTGTTTCACAGGTAAGAACCTGTGTGGGAGGGAGACTCTGTTTCAGGGCCTTGGCCACATCTCAGAAGAAAATCTGAGAAGACCGTTTTCAGGAAATGCTTGGCTGGGAAGTCTGCCATGGGAAGCAGTGGTCTGAGATCCAGGTCAGGATCCTCCTGAAACATGCGGGTCTATGCAGGGAATTGCCAGGGGTCAGAATGAAGGCGTCTGGCTTCAGGAGCATACAGTGGGAAGCAGCCCAGGCTGGAAAGTGCAGATTTTACCGGAGCTGTAGGTTTTCATGAGGAACCTGGGGGTCCCTCAGGCATCTCCCTGCAAACAGCTGCCTACCCATGGTGAACATCCAGAGGCCGGGTCCCAGGGCTTCTCCTGGCTTCCCTGCCTCCAGTTCAGTCCCAAGAACAAGATGGTGTCACTGACCTTGCTCTCAGACACCCGCTTCCCATGGCAGAGTTCCCGGCCTGCCTGGGTTCCTCTGCCTCCTGGGTTCAAGTGATTCTTGTGCCTCACACCCAGCTGATTTGTGTATATTTAGAAGAGACAAAGGTTTCTCCTTGTAGACCAGGCTGGCCTTGAACTCCTGACCTCAGGTGATCTGCCCACTTCAGCCTCCCAAAGTGCTGGGATTACAGGAGTGAGCCACTGTGCCCAGTCTTGTCTGTTTTCTCTTAACAAGTGCACAATATCAATGGGAGAAGCAACCCTGGCCTGAGCCCCTAAGTCAAACATCTGGGTGCACCTGGGGACAGTCAACATGGACCCGGTTACTGTGGCCCTGATGGTAGATTGTGGTCCTGGTTGGCACAGGTGGGTCATCACAGTCTTACCTGTAGCTGGTTTATGGAAGGTCTGAACTAGATACGAGCAGGAAATGGATTCATTTTTCTCCAACCGCTGCCTTCGAGCAGCTTCTGTGAGGCAGGGTTGGGTTAGGGTGAGTAAGTGAGGCCAAATCATGCAAATGCAGGGTTGGATTGTATCTTAGTTGAAATGTTGATAACTTTTCCCACTAGGGTTTTTTTTTTTTTTTTGCATTAAATTTGATTTTTTTTAAACCTGCATTAAAATATTATTTTATTTATATTAAATACTTATTTTATTTATATTAAATAATATTTATTATTTATTTATCAGTGAATTTTTTGTTTGTTTATTTGTTTGTTTTTGAGATGGAGTCTTGCTCTGTCATCCAGGCTGGAGTGCAGTGGCGCGATCTCGGCTCACTGGAGCCTCTGCTTCCCAGGTTCAAGCGATTCTCCTGCCTCAGCCTCCCGAGTAGCTGGGACTACAGGTGCACACCACCGCGCCCGGCTAATTTTTTGTATTTTTAGTAGAGACGGGGTTTCAACATGTTAGCCAGGATGGTCTCGATCTCCTGACCTCATAATCCGCCTGCCTCAGCCTCCCAAAGTGCTGGGATTACAGGCGTGAGCCACCACGCCCGGCCTGATCAGTAAATTTTTTGGTGCCCCCTTAAACTTTATACCTCCCTTGCTGGACCCTGATAATCCAGAGATGAGCGCCTCCCTCCCCTGCCTCGCCCTAGTCCCCATCCTGCTGATAGGTCTCTGGTCTCTGCTTCTTGATGACATCTGGGGAAGTTTCCCTAGGATTTTGGTCACTTTGATTTATCATAACAGACTTCTTAATAATGAATGGAATATGTCAGGGCCTGGTGGCTCATGCCTGTAATCCCAGCACTTTGGGAGGCTGAGGTGGGCAGATTACTTGAGGTGAGGAGTTCAAGACCAGCCTGGTCAACATAGAGAAACCCCTTCTCTACTGAAAATAGAAAAACTACCTGGGCGTGGTAACATGTGCCTATAATCCCAGCTACTCAGGAGGCTGAGGCAGGAGAAACACTTGAACCTGGGAGGCGGAGGTTGCAGTGAGCTGAGATCACACCACTGCACTCCAGTCTAGGAGACAGAGCAAGACTCTGTCTCAAAAAAACAAAAACAAAAATGAATGGAATAACTCGTGTTTAGGTGTTACAAAATCCAGGCCAGACAAATCTAAACTTTTATCTCACACCCAGTTCCTACATTAGTCCTTTCTCCAGCTCAAGTTCAGCCTAAGCCTCGAGGGTCCTTAGTTGCGGGGGGAACCACCTGCTCTTTTCCCCACCTTTGTTCCTGTTTTTTCTCTGCTGGCTCCTGTGGGGTTGGGTGCATTCAGAAGTAGGGACAGGCTAAAGGTCTTTGGCTTTTTGGTTCTGTTGATGGGTGAGTTCCAAATACTAGCTTTCTCTTGTAGGATATTTCATTTATTTATTTGTTAAAAATATTTATTAAGAACACACCATTCATGTGCTGGAGACTGTTCCAGCCACTGGGGATAGGGTGATAAATGAGACAAACAAAAGTACCTGCCCATATTAAGCTCCTATTCTAGGGAAGAGAAAAAAGAAAGAAAATACACGTCTACTTAGTACATTAGAACGTTCCAGGTACTGTAAAGAAAAATAAAGCAGGCTGGACTCAGTGATTCATGTCTGTAATCCCTGCCCTTTGGGAGGTCGAGGTGGACAGATTGCTTGAGCTCAGGAGTTCTACACCAGCCTGGGCAAGGCAAAATCCTGTGTCTACAAAAAAAAAAAAAAAAAAAAAAAAAAAAATTAGCTGGGTGTGATGGCATGCACCTGTGGTCTCAGCCACTGGGGAGGCTGAGGTGGGAGGATTGCTTGAGCCTGGGAGGCGGAGGTTGGAGTAAGCCAAGATCGCAACATTGCACTCCAGCCTGGGTGACAGAGTCAGACCCTGTCTCAAGAAAAAAAAAAAAAGGAAAAAAAAGAAAGCGGAGATGGGACAAGAGGGGGAGGGAGGGGACTGGGGATGGGAAGCTCCCTGAGCTCCCACAGTTCTTCCTGCCCCTCTCCTGTCTCAATGGGCACGGGCCACCTGGGGCTTGTGGTTGTTTTATGCCAACCTAATATCTTGTTCTTGCCAACAGTCGGAGGCCAATTGAGGCTTCTCTGTCCTTCACAGGGAACAGCATTGGCCTAAACCTGCAGGCACCATTGCAAAGGGGAGTCGGTTCAGGTAAACCCGCTGGTGAAGCATGATTCCAGCGTGGGGACACAGAGGCTGACATATCTTGCTGTAGGTGATTTAACGTTGGGCCTCAATATTTCACTACCCCTGTAAGAGTATGACACATCCACATCCTTACCAGGGCCCGAGGGAGGGTGGACAGACTTATCTATCCCATAGGTATTGCTCGTGGCTGGGTAACTTGCTTATGCCAACAAGATTTTCATAGACACGGCACAGGCAGAAGCCTGGAATGTGTTGGCACTGCCAGGCCTGCCCTCTAATGCTCTTGATTTTTCCCACGAGACGAGCGTGCCCCAGGGAACTTTGACTCCAGCTGCAGGATGAGAGGCGTGTGGAGCACGCAGGGTTCCAACCCTCAGCCTGGAGTCAAGCCCAGACTAGATCAGCCTAAGCCCAGCCAAGCCACAGGTGCAGGAGTGAAAAGCAAATGCTAACTGTCCATGACATTGACTTTCAAAGGGGCGTGTCATGTTATGTGGCTCATCCCAGCAACAATGAAGATATTTCTCTATCAGTCAGTCGGTAAATAATTATTGACAATGTGCTAGGAAGCTGGAGTGGTTGGAGTAGATTTGGTCCCTATTCTCATGGAGCTTACTTTCTAGAGGGCAAGACAGATGATAGGTGAATAAATATAAATTATTCTATTAGGTCGATGCAGCAGTAATTCCGGCTTTTGCCAGTAAAGGTAATGGCAAACAAAAGCGGGGAGGAGCTGGCGCTGCCGTTCATTAAGAGTAATGACAAAAACTGCGATGACTTTTGCACCAACCTAATAGAATAAATTACGAGTGCGCAAAACGTTGTAATGGGAAAGTTCCAAGTGCCAGGATAGCATCTAGCTTCCTGGAGTCAGGAGATGGGGGTTTTCAACCTAAGCAAGGTTAAGTCCAAGTGGTGGGGGCAGGCGGGGGGCGATATTTCAGGGGAGACTCCAAGGATGAATGGAAATTAGAAAAGTGAACGCAGATGGTGAGGGGGGACGGGTTTCAGGCACAGAGAACAGCATGTGCAAAGGCCTGGGGGGAGGACATCGTGTGTTCATGGACTGAGAGGCGGCCAGCAGGCTGGAGCTGAGCGGGTTGAGGAGGATGGGGAGCCGGGGAAAGGCGCTCCACGCAGGGGGCACAGCAGGGGCAAAGGCCCGGAGTCAGGCCTGAGCCTGTGTGGTTTGAGGAAGTGACAGAGGCCTGTCTGGGAGGAAAGTAACAGCAGAGGGGAGACCATAAGGTCAGGGCAGAGGGCAGGGCCGTGCTGGGCACTGTGGGCTGTGGATAGGAAACTGGCATTTATGCTCGGGTGAGGGGAACTTGTTAGAAGATTTTAAGGAGGGCAGGAACATCTGGGGATAATGTGTATTCTAGGAATCTCAACCAAGTAAATTCATAGTTTGAATGTTCACAAGACTTCTGCACAGGCAAAGTGAAAGATCGTTTCTAGAGCTGTGAGATAAGATCATAGTAAAAAAGAACTACTAAGTTTTTAAAGGTTATTTCAAATGATGGATTTCCATCTTACAATTGAATGCAAGTAGGTTGCAAGGTTGATGGAAAGTAGAAAAGTTTCCTGACTTGCGTGAACAGAAAAGAAACATCAATTTGAAAGGAAACCATTTATTTATTTACTTCCTCTACAGTTTTCCTGACTGCTACATTTCATAAGAAGGGATTGTTTATGAGGGTCAAGGAGCTGGAGGCCTGGGGAGGAGCTGGTGTTTCTGTTCAAGTTTGAGGGTCCTGGAGCTGGAGCCCAGGGGAGGAGCCAGTGCTGCCACTGATGTCTTAGGGTCGTGGAGCTGAAGATCCCAGAGGAGCCGGTGCTGCTATTCTAGCTTGAGTTTCGTGGAGCTGGAGACCCAGGGAGAAGATGGTGCTGCTGTTCTAATTTAAGGATCGTGAAACAGAAGACCCAGAAAGGAGCTGGTGCTGCCGCTGCTCAGATCTGAGGGTGTTGGAGCTGGAGCCTGGGGGTGGAGCCATTGCTGCCATTGAAGTGTGAGAGTCATTGAGCTGGAAGTCCAGGAAGCAGCTGGTGCTGCTGTTCTAGTTTGAGGGTTGTGGAGTGCAGACCCAGGCAGGAGCAACATTGCTGTAGTTCGAGGGTCAGAAAGCTGGCGACCCAGGGAGGAGAGGTCTTGTTCTAGTTTGATTTTCGTGGAGCTGCAGACCCAGGCAGGAGCAATGTTGCTGTAGTTCGAGGGTCCGGTAGCTGGCAACCCGGGGAGGAGAAGTCTTGTTCGAGTTTGAGGGTCGTGGAGCTGCCGACCCAGGGAGGAGCAATTTGGTTGTAATTTGAGGGTCCAGAAGCTGGAGACCCAGGGAGGAGAGAGATCTTGTTCTGGTCTGAGGGTTGTGGAGCCACAGACCCAGGGAGGAGCAATTTTGTTGTAATTTGAGGGTCAGGAAGCTGGCGACCCAGGGAGGAGAGGTCTTGTTCTAGTTTGAGGGTCGTGGAGCTGCCGACCCAGGGAGGAGCAATTTTGTTGTAATTCGAGGATCAGGAAGCTGGCGACCCAGTGGAGGAGAGGTCTTGTTCTGGTCTGAGGGTCATGGAGCTGCAGACCCAGGGAGGAGCAATGTTGTTGTAATTCGAGGGTGTGGTAGCTGGCAACCTGGGGAGGAGAAGTCTTGTTCGAGTTTGAGGCTCGTGGAGCTGCCGACCAGGGAGGAGCAATTTTGTTGCAGTTCGAGGGTCAGGAAGCTGGCGACCCAGGGAGGAGAGGTCTTGTTCTAGTTTGAGGGTCGTGGAGCTGCAGACCCATGGAGGAGCAATTTTGTTGTAATTCGAGGGTCTGGAAGCTGGAGACCCAGGGAGGAGAGGTCTTGTTCTAGTTTGAGGGTCGTGGAGCTGCCGAACCAGGGAGGAGCAATGTTGTTGTAATTGGAGGGTCCGGAAGCTGGCGACCCAGGGAGGAGAGGTCTTGTTCTGGTGTGAAGGTCGTGGAGCTGCAGACCCAGGGAGGAGCAATTTTGTTGTAATTCAAGGGTCCGGTAGCTGGCAACCCAGGGAAGAGAAGTGTTGTTGGAGTTTGAGGGTCGTGGAGCTGCCGACCCAGGGAGGAGCAGTTTGGTTGTAATTCGAGGGTCAGGAAGCTGGCGACCCAGGGGAGGAGAGGTCTTCTTCTGGTCTGAGGGTCGTGGAGCTGCAGACCCAGGGAGGAGCAATGTTGTTGTAATTCGAGGGTCTGGTAGCTGGCAACCTGGGGAGGAGAAGTCTTGTTCGAGTTTGAGGCTGGTGGAGCTGCTGATCAGGGAGGAGCAATTTTGTTGTAGTTCGAGGGTCAGGAAGCTGGTGACCCAGGGAGGAGAGGTCTTGTTTTAGTTTGAGGGTGGTGGAGCTGCAGACCCAGGGAGGAGCAATTTGGTTGTAATTCGAGGGTCTGGAAGCTGGAGACCCAGGGAGGAGAGGTCTTGTTCTAGTTTGAGGGTCGTGGAGCTGCCGAACCAGGGAGGAGAAGTCTTGTTTTAGTTTGAGGGTCGTGGAGCTGCCGAACCAGGGAGGCGCAATTTGGTTGTAATTGGAGGGTCCGGAAGCTGGTGACCCACGGAGGAGATGTCTTGTTCTGGTCTGAGGGTCGTGGAGCTACATACCCAGGGAGGAGCAATGTTGTTGTAATTCGAGGGTGTGGTAGCTGGCAACCTGGGGAGGAGAAGTCTTGTTCGAGTTTGAGGCTCGTGGAGCTGCCGACCAGGGAGGAGCAATTTTGTTGTAGTTCGTGGGTCAGGAATCTGGCGACCCAGGGAGGAGAGGTCTTTAGTTTGAGGGTTGTGGAACTGCAGACCCAGGCAGGAGCAATGTTGTTGTAATTCAAGGGTCCGGAAGCTGGTGACCCAGGGAGGAGAGGTCTTGTTCTAGTTTGAGGGTCGTGGAGCTGCCGACCCAGGGAGGAGCAATTTGGTTGTAATTGGAGAGTCCGGAAGCTGGAGACCCAGGGAGGAGAGGTCTTGTTCTAGTTTGAGGGTCGTAGAGCTGCAGACCCAGGGAGGAGCAATTCTGTTGTAATTCGAGGGTCTGGAAGCTGGAGACCGAGGGAGGAGAGGTCTTGTTGTAGTTTGAGGGTCGTGGAGCTGCCGAACCAGGGAGGAGCAATGTTGTTTTAATTGGAGGGTCCGAAAGCTGGCGACCCAGGGAGGAGAGGCCTTGTTCTGGTGTGAGGGTCGTGGAGCTGCAGACCCAGGGAGGAGCAATTTTGTTGTAATTCAAGGGTCCGGTAGCTGGCAACCCAGGGAAGAGAAGTGTTGTTGGAGTTTGAGGGTCGTGGAGCTGCCGACCCAGGGAGGAGCAATTTGGTTGTAATTCGAGGGTCAGGAAGCTGGCGACCCAGGTGAGGAGAGGTCTTCTTCTGGTCTGAGGGTCGTGGAGCTGCAGACCCAGGGAGGAGCAATGTTGTTGTAATTCGAGGGTCTGGTAGCTGGCAACCTGGGAAGGAGAAGTCTTGTTCGAGTTTGAGGCTGCTGGAGCTGCTGATCAGGGAGGAGCAATTTTGTTGTAGTTCGAGGGTCAGGAAGCTGGTGACCCAGGGAGGAGAGGTCTTGTTTTAGTTTGAGGGTGGTGGAGCTGCAGACCCAGGGAGGAGCAATTTGGTTGTAATTCGAGGGTCTGGAAGCTGGAGACCCAGGGAGGAGAGGTCTTGTTCTGGTTTGAGGGTCATGGAGCTGCCGAACCAGGGAGGAGCAATTTGGTTGTAATTGGAGGGTCCGGAAGCTGGTGACCCAGGGAGGAGAGGTCTTGTTTTAGTTTGAGGGTTGCGGAACTGCAGACCCAGGCAGGAGCTATGTTGTTGTAATTCAAGGGTCTGGAAGCTGGCGACCCAGGGAGGAGAGGTCTTGTTCTAGTTTGAGGGTCGTGGAGCTGCCGACCCAGGGAGGAGCAATTTGGTTGTAATTCGAGGGTCAGGAAGCTGGCGACCCAGGGAGGAGAGGTCTTCTTCTGGTCTGAGGGTCATGGAGCTGCAGACCCAGGGAGGAGCAATATTGTTGTAATTCGAGGGTCTGGAAGCTGGAGACCGAGGGAGGAGAGGTCTTGTTCTAGTTTGAGGGTCGTGGAGCTGCCGAACCAGGGAGGAGCAATGTTGTTGTAATTGGAGGGTCGGAAAGCTGGCGACCCAGGGAGGAGAGGTCTTGTTCTGGTGTGAGGGTCGTGGAGCTGCAGACCCAGGGAGGAGCAATTTTGTTGTAATTCAAGGGTCCGGTAGCTGGCAAACCAGGGAAGAGAAGTGTTGTTGGAGTTTGAGGGTCATGGAGCTGCCGACCCAGGGAGGAGCAATTTGGTTGTAATTCGAGGGTCAGGAAGCTGGCGACCCAGGGGAGGAGAGGTCTTCTTCTGGTCTGAGGGTCGTGGAGCTGCAGACCCAGGGAGGAGCAATGTTGTTGTAATTCGAGGGTCTGGTAGCTGGCAACCTGGGAAGTAGAAGTCTTGTTCGAGTTTGAGGCTGGTGGAGCTGCTGATCAGGGAGGAGCAATTTTGTTGTAGTTCGAGGGTCAGGAAGCTGGTGACCCAGGAAGGAGAGGTCTTGTCTTAGTTTGAGGGTGGTGGAGCTGCAGACCCAGGGAGGAGCAATTTGGTTGTAATTCGAGGGTCTGGAAGCTGGAGACCCAGGGAGGAGAGGTCTTGTTCTAGTTTGAGGGTCGTGGAGCTGCCGAACCAGGGAGGAGCAATGCTGTTGTAATTCGAGGGTCCGGAAGCTGGCGACCGAGGGAGGAGAGGTCTTGTTCTAGTTTGAGGGTCGTGGAGCTGCCGAACCAGGGAGGCGCAATTTGGTTGTAATTGGAGGGTCCGGAAGCTGGTGACCCAGGGAGGAGATGTCTTGTTCTGGTCTGAGTGTCGTGGAGCTACATACCCAGGGAGGAGCAATGTTGTTGTAATTCGAGGGTGTGGTAGCTGGCAACCTGGGGAGGAGAAGTCTTGTTCGAGTTTGAGGCTCGTGGAGCTGCCGACCAGGGAGGAGCAATTTTGTTGTAGTTTGTGGGTCAGGAATCTGGCGACCCAGGGAGGAGAGGTCTTGCTTTAGTTTGAGGGTTGTGGAACTGCAGACCCAGGCAGGAGCAATGTTGTTGTAATTCAAGGGTCCGGAAGCTGGTGACCCAGGGAGGAGAGGTCTTGTTCTAGTTTGAGGGTCGTGGAGCTGCCGACCCAGGGAGGAGCAATTTGGTTGTAATTGGAGGGTCCGGAAGCTGGAGACCCAGGGAGGAGAGGTCTTGTTCTAGTTTTAGGGTCGTAGAGCTGAAGACCCAGGGAGGAGCAATTCTGTTGTAATTCGAGGGTCTGGAAGCTGGAGACCCAGGGAGGAGAGGTCTTGTTGTAGTTTGAGGGTCGTGGAGCTGCCGAACCAGGGAGGAGCAATGTTGTTGTAATTGGAGGGTCCGAAAGCTGGCGACCCAGGGAGGAGAGGTCTTGTTCTGGTGTGAGGGTCGTGGAGCTGCAGACCCAGGGAGGAGCAATTTTGTTGTAATTCAAGGGTCCGGTAGCTGGCAACCCAGGGAAGAGAAGTGTTCTTGGAGTTTGAGGGTCGTGGAGCTGCCGACCCAGGGAGGAGCAATTTGGTTCTAATTCGAGGGTCAGGAAGCTGGCGACCCAGGTGAGGAGAGGTCTTCTTCTGGTATGAGGGTCGTGGAGCTGCAGACCCAGGGAGGAGCAATTTTGTTGTAATTCAAGGGTCCGGTAGCTGGCAACCCGGGTAGGAGAAGTCTTGTTCGAGTTTGAGGGTCGTGGATCTGCCGACCCAGGGAGGAGCAGTTTGGTTGTAATTTGAGGGTCCGGAAGCTGGAGACCCAGGGAGGAGAGAGGTCTTGTTCTCGTCTGAGGGTCGTGGAGCTGCAGACCCAGGGAGGAGCAATTTGGTTGTAATTCGAGGGTCAGGAAGCTGGCGACCCAGGGAGGAGAGGTCTTGTTCTGGTCTGAGGGTCATGGAGCTACATACCCAGGGAGGAGCAATGTTGTTGTAATTCGAGGGTGTGGTAGCTGGCAACCTGGGGAGGAGAAGTCTTCTTCGAGTTTGAGGCTCGTGGAGTTGCCGACCAGGGACGAGCAATTTTGTTGTAGTTCGTGGGTCAGGAATCTGGCGACCCAGGGAGGAGAGGTCTTGTTTTAGTTTGAGGGTTGTGGAACTGCAGACCCAGGCAGGAGCAATGTTGTTGTAATTCAAGGGTCCGGAAGCTGGAGACCCCGGGAGGAGAGGTCTTGTTCTAATTTGAGGGTCGTAGAGCTGCGGAACCAGGGAGGAGCAATGTTGTTGTAATTGGAGGGTCCGAAAGCTGGCGACCCAGGGAGGAGAGGTCTTGTTCTGGTGTGAGGGTCGTGGAGCTGCAGACCCAGGGAGGAGCAATTTTGTTGTAATTCAAGGGTCCAGTAGCTGGCAACCCAGGGAAGAGAAGTGTTGTTGGAGTTTGAGGGTCGTGGAGCTGCCGACCCAGGGAGGAGCAATTTGGTTGTAATTCGAGGGTCAGGAAGCTGGCGACCCAGGGGAGGAGAGGTCTTCTTCTGGTCTGAGGGTCGTGGAGCTGCAGACCCAGGGAGGAGCAATGTTGTTGTAATTCGAGGGTCTGGTAGCTGGCAACCTGGGGAGGAGAAGTCTTGTTCGAGTTTTAGGCTGGTGGAGCTGCTGATCAGGGAGGAGCAATTTTGTTGTAGTTCGAGGGTCAGGAAGCTGGTGACCCAGGGAGGAGAGGTCTTGTTTTAGTTTGAGGTTGTTGGAGGTGCAGACCCAGGGAGGAGCAATATTGTTGTAATTCGAGGGTCTGGAAGCTGGAGACCCAGGGAGGAGAGGTCTTGTTCTAGTTTGAGGGTCGTGGAGCTGCCGAACCAGGGAGGAGCAATGCTGTTGTAATTGGAGGGTCCGGAAGCTGGCGACCCAGGGAGGAGAGGTCTTGTTCTAGTTTGAGGGTCGTGGAGCTGCCGAACCAGAGAGGCGCAATTTGGTTGTAATTGGAGGGTCCGGAAGCTGGTGACCCAGGGAGGAGATGTCTTGTTCTGGTCTGAGGGTCGTGGAGCTACATATCCAGGGAGGAGCAATGTTGTTGTAATTCGAGGGTGTGGTAGCTGGCAACCTGGGGAGGAGAAGTCTTGTTCGAGTTTGTGGCTCGTGGAGCTGCCGACCAGGGAGGAGCAATTTTGTTGTAGTTCGTGGGTCAGGAATCTGGCGACCCAGGGAGGAGAGGTCTTGTTTTAGTTTGAGGGTTGTGGAACTGCAGACCCAGGCAGGAGCAATGTTGTTGTAATTCAAGGGTCCGGAAGCTGGTGACCCAGGGAGGAGAGGTCTTGTTCTAGTTTGAGGGTCGTGGAGCTGCCGACCCAGGGAGGAGCAATTTGGTTGTAATTGGAGAGTCCGGAAGCTGGAGACCCAGGGAGGAGAGGTCTTGTTCTAGTTTGAGGGTCGTAGAGCTGCAGACCCAGGGAGGAGCAATTCTGTTGTAATTCGAGGGTCTGGAAGCTGGAGACCGAGGGAGGAGAGGTCTTGTTGTAGTTTGAGGGTCGTGGAGCTGCCGAACCAGGGAGGAGCAATGTTGTTGTAATTGGAGGGTCCGAAAGCTGGCGACCCAGGGAGGAGAGGTCTTGTTCTGGTGTGAGGGTCGTGGAGCTGCAGACCCAGGGAGGAGCAATTTTGTTGTAATTCAAGGGTCCGGTAGCTGGCAACCCAGGGAAGAGAAGTGTTGTTGGAGTTTGAGGGTCGTGGAGCTGCCGACCCAGGGAGGAGCAATTTGGTTGTAATTCGAGGGTCAGGAAGCTGGCGACCCAGGTGAGGAGAGGTCTTCTTCTGGTCTGAGGGTCGTGGAGCTGCAGACCCAGGGAGGAGCAATGTTGTTGTAATTCGAGGGTCTGGTAGCTGGCAACCTGGGGAGGAGAAGTCTTGTTCGAGTTTGAGGCTGGTGGAGCTGCTGATCAGGGAGGAGCAATTTTTTTGTAGTTCGAGGGTCAGGAAGCTGGTGACCCAGGGAGGAGAGGTCTTGTTTTAGTTTGAGGGTGGTGGAGCTGCAGACCCAGGGAGGAGCAATTTGGTTGTAATTCGAGGGTCTGGAAGCTGGAGACCCAGGGAGGAGAGGTCTTGTTCTGGTTTGAGGGTCATGGAGCTGCCGAACCAGGGAGGAGCAATTTGGTTGTAATTGGAGGGTCCGGAAGCTGGTGACCCAGGGAGGAGAGGTCTTGTTTTAGTTTGAGGGTTGCGGAACTGCAGACCCAGGCAGGAGCTATGTTGTTGTAATTCAAGGGTCCGGAAGCTGGCGACCCAGGGAGGAGAGGTCTTGTTCTAGTTTGAGGGTCGTAGAGCTGCCGACCCATGGAGGAGCAATTTGGTTGTAATTCGAGGGTCAGGAAGCTGGCGACGCAGGGAGGAGAGGTCTTGTTCTGGTATGAGGGTCGTGGAGCTGCAGACCCAGGGAGGAGCAATTTTGTTGTAATTCAAGGGTCCGGTAGCTGGCAACCCGGGTAGGAGAAGTCTTGTTCGAGTTTGAGGGTCGTGGAGCTGCCGAACCAGGGAGGCGCAATTTGGTTGTAATTGGAGGGTCCGGAAGCTGGTGACCCAGGGAGGAGATGTCTTCTTCTGGTCTGATGGTCGTGGAGCTACATACCCAGGGAGGAGCAATGTTGTTGTAATTCGAGGGTGTGGTAGCTGGCAACCTGGGGAGGAGAAGTCTTGTTGGAGTCTGAGGCTCGTGGAGCTGCCGACCAGGGAGGAGCAATTTTGTTGTAGTTCGTGGGTCAGGAATCTGGCGACCCAGGGAGGAGAGGTCTTGTTTTAGTTTGAGGGTTGTGGAACTGCAGACCCAGGCAGGAGCAATGTTGTTGTAATTCAAAGGTCCGGAAGCTGGAGACACAGGGAGGAGAGGTCTTGTTCTAGTTTGAGGGTCGTAGAGCTGCAGACCCAGGGAGGAGCAATTCTGTTGTAATCCGAGGGTCTGGAAGCTGGAGACCCAGGGAGGAGAGGTCTTGTTGTAGTTTGAGGGTCGTGGAGCTGCCGAACCAGGGAGGAGCAATGTTGTTGTAATTGGAGGGTCCGAAATCTGGCGACCCAGGGAGGAGAGGTCTTGTTCTGGTGTGAGGGTCATGGAGCTGCAGACCCAGGGAGGAGCAATTTTGTTGTAATTCAAGGGTCCGGTAGCTGGCAACCCAGGGAAGAGAAGTGTTGTTGGAGTTTGAGGGTCGTGGAGCTGCCGACCCAGAGAGGAGCAATTTGGTTGTAATTCGAGGGTCAGGAAGCTGGCGACCAAGGGGAGGAGAGGTCTTCTTCTGGTCTGAGGGTCGTGGAGCTGCAGACCCAGGGAGGAGCAATGTTGTTGTAATTCGAGGGTCTGGTAGCTGGCAACCTGGGGAGGAGAAGTCTTGTTCGAGTTTGAGGCTGGTGGAGCTGCTGATCAGGGAGGAGCAATTTTGTTGTAGTTCGAGGGTCAGGAAGCTGGTGACCCAGGAAGGAGAGGTCTTGTTTTAGTTTGAGGGTGGTGGAGCTGCAGACCCAGGGAGGAGCAATTTGGTTGTAATTCGAGGGTCTGGAAGCTGGAGACCCAGGGAGGAGAGGTCTTGTTCTAGTTTGAGGGTCGTGGAGCTGCCGAACCAGGGAGGAGCAATGCTGTTGTAATTCGAGGGTCCGGAAGCTGGCGACCCAGGGAGGAGAGGTCTTGTTCTGGTGTGAGGGTCGTGGAGCTGCAGACCCAGGGAGGAGCAATTTTGTTGTAATTCAAGGGTCCGGTAGCTGGCAACCCAGGGAAGAGAAGTGTTGTTGGAGTTTGAGGGTCGTGGAGCTGCCGACCCAGGGAGGAGCAATTTGGTTGTAATTTGAGGGTCCGGAAGCTGGAGACCCAGGGAGGAGAGAGGTCTTGTTCTCGTCTGAGGGTCGTGGAGCTGCCGACCCAGGGAGGAGCAATTTGGTTGTAATTCGAGGGTCAGGAAGCTGGCGACCCAGGGAGGAGAGGTCTTGTTCTGGTCTGAGGGTCGTGGAGCTACATACCCAGGGAGGAGCAATGTTGTTGTAATTCGAGGGTGTGGTAGCTGGCAACCTGGGGAGGAGAAGTCTTCTTCGAGTTTGAGGCTCGTGGAGCTGCCGACCAGGGACGAGCAATTTTGTTGTAGTTCGTGGGTCAGGAATCTGGCGACCCAGGGAGGAGAGGTCTTGTTTTAGTTTGAGGGTTGTGGAACTGCAGACCCAGGCAGGAGCAATGTTGTTGTAATTCAAGGGTCCGGAAGCTGGAGACCCCGGGAGGAGAGGTCTTGTTCTAGTTTGAGGGTCGTAGAGCTGCAGACCCAGGGAGGAGCAATTCTGTTGTAATTCGAGGGTCTGGAAGCTGGAGACCCAGGGAGGAGAGGTCTTGTTGTAGTTTGAGGGTCGTGGAGCTGCCGAACCAGGGAGGAGCAATTTGGTTCTAATTCGAGGGTCAGGAAGCTGGCGACCCAGGGGAGGAGAGGTCTTGTTCTGGTATGAGGGTCGTGGAGCTGCAGACCCAGGGAGGAGCAATTTTGTTGTAATTCAAGGGTCCGGTAGCTGGCAACCCGGGTAGGAGAAGTCTTGTTCGAGTTTGAGGGTCGTGAAGCTGCCGACCCAGGGAGGAGCAATTTGGTTGTAATTTGAGGGTCCGGAAGCTGGAGACCCAGGGAGGAGAGAGGTCTTGTTCTGGTCTGAGGGTCGTGGAGCTGCAGACCCAGGGAGGAGCAATTTGGTTGTAATTCGAGGGTCAGGAAGCTGGCGACCCAGGGAGGAGAGGTCTTGTTCTGGTCTGAGGGTCGTGGAGCTGCAGACCCAGGGAGGAGCAATTTTGTTGTAATTCAAGGGTCCAGTAGCTGGCAACCCAGGGAAGAGAAGTGTTGTTGGAGTTTGAGGGTCGTGGAGCTGCCGACCCAGGGAGGAGCAATTTGGTTGTAATTCGAGGGTCAGGAAGCTGGCGACCCAGGGGAGGAGAGGTCTTCTTCTGGTCTGAGGGTCGTGGAGCTGCAGACCCACTGAGGAGCAATGTTGTTGTAATTCGAGGGTCTGGTAGCTGGCAACCTCGGGAGGAGAAGTCTTGTTCGAGTTTGAGGCTGCTGGAGCTGCTGATCAGGGAGGAGCAATTTGGTTGTAATTCGAGGGACAGGAAGCTGGCGACCCAGGGGAGGAGAGGTCTTGTTCTGGTATGAGGGTCGTGGAGCTGCAGACCCAGGGAGGAGCAATGTTGTTGTAATTCGAGGGTCTGGTAGCTGGCAACCTGGGAAGGAGAAGTCTTGTTCGAGTTTGAGGCTGGTGGAGCTGCTGATCAGGGAGGAGCAATTTTGTTGTAGTTCGAGGGTCAGGAAGCTGGTGACCCAGGGAGGAGAGGTCTTGTTTTAGTTTGAGGGTGGTGGAGCTGCAGACCCAGGGAGGAGGAATTTGGTTGTAATTCGAGGGTCTGGAAGCTGGAGACCCAGGGAGGAGAGGTCTTGTTCTGGTTTGAGGGTCATGGAGCTGCCGAACCAGGGAGGAGCAATTTGGTTGTAATTGGAGGGTCCGGAAGCTGGTGTCCCAGGGAGGAGAGGTCTTGTTTTAGTTTGAGGGTTGCGGAACTGCAGACCCAGGCAGGAGCTATGTTGTTGTAATTCAAGGGTCCGGAAGCTGGCGACCCAGGGAGGAGAGGTCTTGTTCTAGTTTGAGGGTCGTAGAGCTGCCGACCCAGGGAGGAGCAATTTGGTTGTAATTCGAGGGTCAGGAAGCTGGCGACGCAGGGAGGAGAGGTCTTGTTCTGGTATGAGGGTCGTGGAGCTGCAGACCCAGGGAGGAGCAATTTTGTTGTAATTCAAGGGTCCGGTAGCTGGCAACCCGGGTAGGAGAAGTCTTGTTCGAGTTTGAGGGTCGTGGAGCTGCCGACCCAGGGAGGAGCAATTTGGTTGTAATTCGAGGGTCAGGAAGCTGGCGACCCAGGGAGGAGAGGTCTTCTTCTGGTCTGAGGGTCATGGAGCTGCAGACCCAGGGAGGAGCAATATTGTTGTAATTCGAGGGTCTGGTAGCTGGCAACCTGGGAAGGAGAAGTCTTGTTCGAGTTTGAGGCTGGTGGAGCTGCTGATCAGGGAGGAGCAATTTTGTTGTAGTTCGAGGGTCAGGAAGCTGGTGACCCAGGGAGGAGAGGTCTTCTTTTAGTTTGAGGGTGGTGGAGCTGCAGACCCAGGGAGGAGCAATTTGGTTGTAATTCGAGGGTCTGGAAGCTGGAGACCCAGGGAGGAGAGGTCTTGTTCTAGTTTGAGGGTCGTGGAGCTGCCGAACTAGGGAGGAGCAATGCTGTTGTAATTCGAGGGTCCGGAAGCTGGCTACCCAGGGAGGAGAGGTCTTGTTCTAGTTTGAGGGTCGTGGAGCTGCCGAACCAGGGAGGCGCAATTTGGTTGTAATTGGGGGGTCCGGAAGCTGGTGACCAAGGGAAGAGATGTCTTCTTCTGGTCTGAGGGTCGTGGAGCTACATACCCAGGGAGGAGCAATGTTGTTGTAATTCGAGGGTGTGGTAGCTGGCAACCTGGGGAGGAGAAGTCTTGTTCGAGTTTGAGGCTCGTGGAGGTGCCGACCAGGGAGGAGCAATTTTGTTGTAATTCGTGCGTCAGGAATCTGGCGACCCAGGGAGGAGAGGTCTTGTTTTAGTTTGAGGGTTGTGGAACTGCAGACCCAGGCAGGAGCAATGTTGTTGTAATTCTGGGGTCCGGAAGCTGGTGACCCAGGGAGGAGAGGTCTTGTTCTAGTTTGAGGGTCGTAGAGCTGCAGACCCAGGGAGGAGCAATTCTGTTGTAATTCGAGGGTCTGGAAGCTGGAGACCCAGGGAGGAGAGGTCTTGTTGTAGTTTGAGGGTCGTGGAGCTGCCGAACCAGAGAGGAGCAATGTTGTTGTAATTGGAGGGTCCGAAAGCTGGCGACCCAGGGAGGAGAGGTCTTGTTCTGGTGTGAGGGTCGTGGAGCTGCAGACCCAGGGAGGAGCAATTTTGTTGTAATTCAAGGGTCCGGTAGCTGGCAACCCAGGGAAGAGAAGTGTTGTTGGAGTTTGAGGGTCGTGGAGCTGCCGACCCAGGGAGGAGCAATTTGGTTGTAATTCGAGGGTCAGGAAGCTGGCGACCCAGGGGAGGAGAGGTCTTCTTCTGGTCTGAGGGTCGTGGAGCTGCAGACCCAGGGAGGAGCAATGTTGTTGTAATTCGAGGGTCTGGTAGCTGGCAACCTGGGAAGGAGAAGTCTTGTTCGAGTTTGAGGCTGTTGGAGCTGCTGATCAGGGAGGAGCAATTTTGTTGTAGTTCGAGGGTCAGGAAGCTGGTGACCCAGGGAGGAGAGGTCTTGTTTTAGTTTGAGGGTGGTGGAGCTGCAGACCCAGGGAGGAGCAATTTGGTTGTCATTCGAGGGTCTGGAAGCTGGAGACCCAGGGAGGAGAGGTCTTGTTCTAGTTTGAGGGTTGTGGAGCTGCCGAACCAGGGAGGAGCAATTTGGTTGTAATTGGTGGGTCCGGAAACTGGCGACCCAGGGAGGAGAGGTCTTGTTCTAGTTTGAAGATCGTGGAGCTGCCGGACCAGGGAGGAGCAATTTTGTTGTAATTCAAGGGTCCGGTAGCAGGCAACCCGGGGAGGAGAAGTCTTGTTCGAGTTTGAGGGTCGTGGAGCTGTCGACCCAGGGAGGAGCAATTTGGTTGTAATTCGAGGGTCAGGAAGCTGGCGACCCAGGGGAGGCGAGGTCTTGTTCTGGTCTGAGGGTCGTGGAGCTGCAGACCCACGGAGGAGCAATTTTGGTATAATTCAAGGTTCCGGTAACTGGCAACCGGGGGAAGAGAAGTCTTGTTCGAATTTCAGGGTCGTGGAGCTTCCGAACCAGGGAGGAGCCATTTGGTTGTAGTTTGAGGGTGAGGAAGCTGGCGACCCAGGGAGGAGAGGTCTTGTTTTCGTTTGAGGGTCATGGAGCTGCAGACCCAGGCAGGAGCACTGTTGTTTTAGTTTGAGTGTCAGAAGGCTGGCGACCCAGGGAGGAGAAGTCTTGTTCTAGTTTGATGTTCATGGAGCTGCAGACCCAGGCAGGAGCAATGTTGCTGTAGTTCGTGGGTTAGGAAGCTGGTGACTCAGGGTGGAGAAGTCTTGTTCTAGTTTCAGGGTCGTGGAGCTGCAGACCCAGGCAGGAGCATTGTTGTTTTAGTTCGAGGGTCACGAAGCTGGTGACCCAGGGAGGAGAGATCTTGTTTTAATTTGAGGGTTGTGGAGATGCAGACCCAGGCAGGAGCAATGTTGTTGTAATTCAAGGGTCCGGAAGCTGGAGACTCAGGGAGGAGAGGTCTTGTTCTGGTCTGAGGGTCCTGGAGCTACAGACCCAGGGAGGAGCAATGTTGTTGTAATTTGAGGGTTCGGTAGCTGGCACCCTGGGGAGGAGAAGTCTTGTTCTAGTTTGAGGGTGGTGGAGCTGCAGAGCCAGGGAGGAGCAGTGTTGTTGTAGTTTGAGGGTCATGGAGGTACAGACCCAGGGAGGAGCCGTGTTGTTTTGAGTGTCGTGGAGCCGGAGATCCACGGAGGAGCTGGTGCTGCCTTTCCAGTCTGAGAGTCATTTAGCTGGAGATCCAGGGAGGAACCGGTTTTGCTGTACTAGTCTGAGGGTAGTGAATCTTGAGCCGGAAGGAGGAGTGGGTGCTGCTGTTCATGCCTGAGTGTTATGGAACTGGAGAACCAGAAAGGAGCTGGTGCTGCTGTTTTAGTTTGAGGGTAGTGGCGCTGGAGATCCTGGGAAGAGCCGGTGCCATCGTTTACATCTGTGGGTTCTGCAGCTGGAGCCCTAGGCAGGAGCTGGTGTTGTTGTTGTTCAAATCCGAGGTCATGGGGCTTGAGGTACAGGAAGGAGCTGCTGCTGGTGTTCAAGTCTGAGGGTCGTGTAGCTGGAGAGAGGGGCAGAGGTAGTCTTGGTGTCTAGTGTGATGGTGGTGGAGCTGGAGACCTGTGGAGGAGCCAGTGCTGCTGTGTAATTTGAGGATCATGGAACTGGAGATCTAGGGAGGAACCAGTGCTACCGCCATTTAAGTCAGAAGGTTGTGGATCTGGAGTTTTGGGGAACAGCCCATGCTGCTGTTTAACTGTGGGGAGGATCCTGTGTGTCAGTTGAAGTTTGAGGGTTTGGGAGCTGGAGAGCCAGGGAGGAGCTGATGCTGCTGTTCTAGTTTGAGGGGAGTGGAGCTGGAGATCCTGGGAAGAGCCGGTGCTGTCATTTAAATCTATAGGTCCCGAAGCTGGAACCCTGGTGGGGAGCCAGTTCTGCCATTCGTGTCTTAAGGTCGTGGAGCTGGAAACCCAGGGAGGCAGCGGTGCTGCTGTTCTAGTTTAAGGATCATGAAGCTGGAGACCTGGTCAGGAGGTCGTGCTACGGTTGTTCAAATCTGAGGGTGGTGGAGCTGGAGCCTTGGGGAGTTGCCGGTGCTGCCTCTCAAGTCTGAGAGTTGTTGAGCTGGAGATTCAGGGAGGAGCCTGTGTTGCTGTTGTAGTTTGAGGGTCATGGAACTGGAGACCTGGGGAGGAGCTGGTGCTACCGCCATTTAAGTCAGAGGGATCTGGAGTTTTGGGGAACAGCCCATGCTGCTGTTTAACTGTGGGGAGGATCTGCTGTGTCAGTTGAAGTTTGAGGGTTTGGGAGCTGGAGACCCAGGGAGGAGCTGGTGATGCCATTCTATTTTGAGGGTCGTGGATCTGGAGACCTGGGTAGAGGCTGGTACTGCTGTTGTAGTTTGAGGGTCATGGAACGGGAGACAGGGGGAGGAGCCGGTGCTGCTGTTCATGTCTGAGGGTTGTAGAGCTGGAGACCCAGGGAGAAGCCCGTACTACGGCTTTTTAAGTCTGAGGGTCGTGGAGCCTGAGACCTGGGGAGGGGCCAGTGCTGCTGTTCAAATGACTCCTTCCCGGGTCTCCAGCTCCATGACCCTCACACTAGAACAGCAGCAGCAGCTCCTCCCGGGGTCTTCCAGCTCCATGACCCTCAAACTAGAACAGCAGCACCGGCTCCACCCTGGGTCTCCAGATCCACGACCCTCAAACTAGAACAGCAGCACTGACTCCTCCCTGCGTCTCCAGCTCTACAACACTCAGACTTGAGGAGCTGGAGAGGCAGGGAGGAGC
Organism: Homo sapiens; assembly: GCF_000001405.40. Classification (NCBI taxonomy): domain Eukaryota; kingdom Metazoa; phylum Chordata; class Mammalia; order Primates; family Hominidae; genus Homo; species Homo sapiens. Next base: position 48,501,450 of record NC_000020.11, on the reverse strand, counting down.
CAGGGCTGCTTTTCTACTTTGAGGGTTGTGGAGCTGGAGACCCAAGATGCAGCAGCTGCTGCTATTCTAGTTTGAGGGCCTTGGAGCCAGAAACTTTGTGAGGAGCCGGTGCTGCCTTTCAAATCTGAGAGTCGTTGAGCTGGAGACCCAGGGAGGAACCGGTGTTGCTGTTCCAGCCTGACAGTAGTGAAGCTGGAGACCCAAAGAGGAGCCGGTGCTGCTATTCTAGTTTGAGGTTAGTGGAGCTGGAGATCACAGGAAGAGCCGGTGCTGCTGTTTAAATCTGTAGGTCCCCGAGCTGGAGCCCTGGGGGGAGATGGTGTTGTTCTTGTTCAAGTCTGAGGGTCGTGGGGCTTGAGGTACAGAGAGGAGCTGCTGCTGTTCAAGACTGAGGGTCGTGTAGCTGGAGAGCAGGGAGGAGGTAGTCTTGGTGTCTAGTATGAGGGTGGTGGAGCTGTGGACCTGGGGAGGAGCCGGTGCTGCTGTGTAGTTTGAGGGTTGTGGAACTGGAGACCTGGGGAGGAGCCGGTGCTACCGCCATTTAAGTCAGAGGATCATGGATCTGGAGCTTTTGGGAACAGCCTGTGCTGCTGTTTAACTGTGGGGAGGATCCGGTGTGTCAATTGAAGTTTGAGGGTTTGGGAGCTGGAGACCCAGGAGGGATCCGATGATGCCATTCTATTTTGAGGGTCATGGATGTGGAGACCTGGGGAGAGGCCGGTACTGCTGTTGTAGTTTGAGGGTCGTGGAAGTGGAGACAAGGGTAGGAGCCGGTGGTGCTGCTGTTTATGTCTGAGGATTGTAGAGCTGGAGACCCAGGGAGGAACCAGTGTTGCTGTTCTAGTCTGAGGGTAGTGAAGCTGGAGACCCAGGGAGGAGCCGGTGCTATTGTTCATGTCTGAGGATTGTGTAGCTGGAGACCCAGGGAGGAGCCGGTGCTGCTGATCTAGTTTGAAGGCTGTGGAGCTGCAGATCCCAGGAAGAGCCGGTGCTGCCGTTCAAATCTGTGGGTCTTGGAGTTGGAGCCCTGGGGTGACCCAGTTCTTTCATTCATGTCTTAGGGTCATGGAGCTGGAAACCCAGGGAGGCGGCAGTGCTGCTGTTCTAGTTTAAGGATCATGAAGCTGGAGACCTGGACAGGAGCTGGTGCTACCGCTGTTCAAATCTGAGGGTCATGGAGCTGGAGCCTTGGGGAAGGTGTCGGTGCTACCTCTCAAGTCTGAGGGTTGTTGCGCTGGAGATTCAGGGAGGAGCCGGTGTTGCTGTTGTTGTTGGAGGATTGTGGAGCTGGAGGCCGAAGAGGAGCTGGTGTTGCAGTTCAAGTTTGACGGTCGTGTAGCTGGAGACCTAGGGAGGAGCTGGTGCTACCACTGTGTAAGTTGAGGGTTGTGGAGCTGGTGGCTCGGGGAAGAGCCAGTGCTATAGTTGAATTTTGAGGGAGCTGGAGACCCAGGGGGTAGCCGGTGCTGCTGTTCTAGTTTGAAGGTTGTGGAGCTGGAGGCTTGGTGGGGAGCCGGTGCCGCCTCCCAAGTCTGAGAGTCATTGAGCTGGAGATCCACAGGGGAGCTGGTGCTGCTGTTGTAGTTTGAGGATTGTGGAGCTGGAGACCCGGGGCGGAGCTGGTGCTGCAGTTGGAGTTTGAGGGTCAGGGAGCTGGAGATCTGGGGAGGGGCCAGTACTGCTGTTTAAGCCTGAGGGTCGTGGAGCTAAACATGGAGCCAAAGTTGGGGAAGTAGAGAGAGTTACAGGATGACCCTGGAAATGGTAGATGTAGCTGTACCCCAAGCAAGCTAAACTTGGGAACTTCTCAATGCTAGTGATGAGTGCATTCTTTTTCCTCTTACACAGTTTGGATTTGTTTTCTGTGTCTCATGAGACAGAAAGATCTTGATTAATACCCTTAGGAATTGAAAAGCTTAAAAAAACGAAAGGATGTTGGTAATAAAAATAATAAGAATTAAACTATGATTATCCTGGCTGACAGAGACAAAATCACACACATACAATATATATCTTTCCATCAGTTAGTAAAACAAAAAATAAATGGAAAAATAGACCCAAGGAAAGCTATAAAAAGTTGTTCCATGGAGAAGTGATGGAGGAGAGATTAATCTGAGAGTTGCTATTAATGGAGAAACTGAGAACTTACCATTTTTCCCATGAGGTTTTGGTGTAGAATGATATTGTGTGAGTTCTGGCAGCTGAGTCACTTCACACAGCCCGGTGATGCAGTAGGTGTCACAGAAGGACCCTCTCCCAGTTGGTCCTGCCTCTCTGCTACGATGAGTGTGGCCTCTGATCCCCAACAGCTGACTGTGTCTTGAGACCACGCCCATGAGCACAAGGGTTTCCACGGTGAAGGTTCCTGGATGGAACACTGTGGATGTTCCTAATGTTCCTTCCTGATGTTCATCTGCCATCTTGCTATTTAATGTAATGTCTTCTAAATATTGAATAGAAAAAAGTATTTGTACAATATGGGCAAGGTATAAATAATAGCCACACACTGGACACACAGACAGGGAGGGGCACCCACAGCAAACTCCCTTTGCCTGGGAGCAGGTGTGGTCCTTGAGTCCTATGTTGCCTGTTTCTTCCTCCGCCTTGGCCTACAGGCCCCATGTGATCTGACCTCTGCCTGCCTCTCCGACTCCATCCCCCCTCCCGCTCCTGTTCTTTCTAACAATTATGTTACAGCCTCAGTGAATGTGACAAGGACCCTGAATCACGGTGGCTTTACTAAGACAGAGGTTCATTCCTTTCACATGAAAGTTCAAGCCAGTCAGGTGATTCTTCTCTGTGCATTTTTCAGGGTCTTAGGGTACTTCCATCTTGCTGCTTTGACTTCCTTAGGGTGTAGCTTCCCCCACAGTGTCCATCCTATCTACTGCCAGCCAGCAGGGAGGGGAGAAGAGAACAAGAGGACACAAATCTTCCTTCCTCTAATGGCAGTTGCTGTGCACTGGCCTCATGTGCATTGGCCACTGCCTGGTCACGTGGCCACTGCTTGCTGCAAGGGATGCTGGGAAGTTTTCATCCTGGATGTCAGTGCCCACCTGGGTGACTCCTGAGGTTGAGGGGAGAGAGGACATGAAAGAGAGTCACTGGCTCTTCCCACCGTCATGCACGTTGCTCCAGTCTAGGGCAATCCACTGTCTCAGCTTGCTCAGGACTGAGGGGGGTCGTGGGGCACAGACCTCTCAGTTTTATAACAGGGGCAGTTCCAGGCAAATCATCCCAGCTTGGCTGAGACTCAGAAGTTTTCTAGGACATGGGATTTCTAGTGTTAAAACTGGGAAAGTTCTGGGCAAACCTGTATGAGTTGGTGCCTGCCATGGGGCCTTTGCATCTACTGTTACCCCTGTCTGGGATTCCCTTTCTGCAGCTCTCTGTGGTGCTCACTCCTTTTCTGTTGAGGAAAGGCTGCTCTCTGGGTGTCCCCAGGTGCCTGGGCCGCTGTACTCAGCACTACATGCTCTGTGAATATCCCTCCATGCACTTCGTAGAATGAGATCTGTTCTTTCCACCCTGCCCTGCCCACTTCAGTTTCAAAGTCTCTGATGATTATTAATTTTTATTCTCTTCAGCACTGAAAGATACATCTCTTTCCCTAAGGCTGTGGCTGGGTTCACGCATAGTTAGATAAATCTGATATTAATAATAACCTGAATGAAAAACATGTATTAAATCCCAAGATTATGTTGTAGGAAGCAGGGATTCTGAAGAGATGTCTAAGCCTAATAAAGGCCAAAGGGTGTGGATTAAAAGGAAATGTGGGGTGGAGAAACATTTCATGAAATAGAACCCCACCTCTTGGGTGAGTTCGTTGGTACAACTTTTCTAGAGGGCAATTTTGCAACTGGCCAATGAAAGTGCGTAACTTTTGGTCCCAAATTTCATTTATAGGCATTGATCCCTAGGAAATAGTCAGAAAAACATGCAAAGATGAATCTCAAGGATTTTTATAAGAAGAAAGAAGTAGGAAGCATAAATGCCCGCTGGTGGTCCCGCACCCTGGCAAAAGTGCTCCCCTCTCCTGGTGGGTGGGCACAGGCTACATTTTCCCAGGCTTCCTTGCAGTGAGTTGTGGCCATGTGACCAGGTTCTGGCCAATGGGAGGCAATAAAAGTGTTGGGTGGTATTTTTGGAGACCCCTTTCTATAACTTCTGTCTTGTTATGGTTTGGATGTTGGTCCCCTCCAAATCTCATGTTGAAATGTGATCCCTGATGTTGGAGGTGGGGCCTGGTGGGAGGTGTTTTGGTGATGTGGGCAGATCCCTTTGACAATGGCTTGGTGCCGTCCCGATGGCAATGACTGAATTCTTGCTCTGAGTTTATGGGAGATCTGGTTGTTTAAAGGGGTTGGCACATCCTCCTCCCTCTCTTGCTCTTTCTCTCACCATGTGATGTACCTGCTTCCCTTTCACCTTCTGCCATGATTGGAAGCTTCCTGAGGCCTCCCCAGGAGCAGATGCTGGTGCCATGCTTGTACAGCCTGCAGAACTGTGAGCCAATTAAACCTCTCTTCTATAAATAACCAGCCTCAGGTATTCCTTTATAGCAACGCAGATGGACTGACACATATCTTTAATGTCATTTCTTAGTTGTTCCATCCTTTGACCTGCTTCCTGGAATAAGCGTATGATGGTTGGAGCTATTCTTGTCACCTTGAACCTTGAGGATTAGGCTTCTACCCTGTGGATAGCAGAATGTCCTCTGGAAGGAAATGAAAGTCCCTAACGCCACCCTAGACTGACAACCTCCAGTTTTGTTTTTACTTTTTTATTTTTTGAGACAGAGTCTTGTCCTGTTGCCCAGGCTGGAATGCAATGGCGTGATCTCAGCTCACTGCAACTTCCGCTTCCTGGATTCAAGTGATTCTCATGCCTCAGCCTCCCGAATAGCTGGGATTACAGGTGCGTGCCACCATATTCAGCTAATTTTTTAAATTTTTAGTAGAGACAGGGTTTCACCACGTTGAGCAGGCTAGTGTCGAACTCATGACCTCAAGTGAAACACTCACCTCAGCCTCGCAAAGTGCTGGGATTACAGGCGTGAGCCTCTGTGCCCGGCCCAGTCTTGGTTATTATGAGATAAACTTCTGTCTTGGCTGAAGTTAAATCACTGATAGGTGATATAACCATAACTGGATAAAAAGTAGGAAATTCATGTAATACTTATATCTACATATGCCCATACCAAAAATGATAGTGATCTGTTGTTATCTATGTGTAAATATGGACACAAAATATTGTTTAGTGTAAACAAAGCTCTTCTTTTTTTTTTTTTTTTGAGACAGAGTCTCACTCTGTTATGCAGGCTGGAGTGCAATGGTGAGATCTCGGCTCACTGCACCCTCCGCCTCCTGGGTTCAAACAATTCTCCTGCCTCAGCCTTCCGAGTAGCTGAGATTACAGGCACATGCACCACATCCAGCTATTTTTTGTATTTTTAGTAGAGCTGGGGTTTCACCATGTTGTCCAAGCTGGTCTCAAACTCCTGACCTTCAGTGATCCGCCTGTCTTGGCTGCCAAAATGCTGTGATTACAGGCATGAACCACTGCACCTGGCCCATAAAGCTTTATTCTATTTTAATGAAGCAAAAATGCATAAGTGTGTAAGTGTGATCATATGTGTGTGTATGTCTAACAGGAGCACTCCATAGCAAAATGCGAATACTGCTTATCTTTGGTGTTGGAATCAATCACGCGTGATTTAAAATCTTGTTTTCTTCTATTTTTAAAAACTTTCAAAATGAATCATGACTTTGATTATTAGAAAAGAAATCTATAATAATTGAGAGGAAAGAAAACCCCACCTGTTGTTGAAACTGGCTGGAGCTGGGAGAAATGAGAGGTTCCTTTGCAGGTGTCACCTCCCTACCAGAAAAGTGGCCTTGCAGGACTGTCCCACAAGCCAGACTTGCCTCTTTCCCCTGGTCCCTGTACCTGGTGTGAGGTCGCACAGACAGTGAGCGTCCTTCACAGAGTCTGATCTGCCAAGGTGGGGGGAAGTGGGGGTTTAGTGACATTCAAAACCCGGGGGAGCCGAACAGGTGTGACTGTACATTTGCAGGGTGACCTCTCCCCTCAAAGAGCAAGAAATAACTCTAGTGCAATTTCCAAACATTTACAAGAGAGGATTTTTAAACTTTTCACTTCTTTATTCCAACTAGCACATTTGGAAGCACAAAATGCACAAAGAAGACCTGCTATTTACAATCACTTTTACTAAGTCAGCGTTATATTCAAAAACAGCAGATAAAGCTCATGGCTTTGATGAAAGGGGCAGTCTTTTCATTGGAAACAATTAATACTGTTCCCCGTTCTGGGGAGAATTTAAAGAAAATAATTTGGAAGGGGATATGGCTTGATACAATCAAATGATTTCAGATCACAAATGTAATCATTTGATCTTGCTTTAAAACCAAACATTTCAGAACAATCTAGCATCACATTCTCTTCTGAGTCTGTGAAACTCTGAATTCTGGGTGAGTCTGAATTCCCAAGGCAGGACTGAGGATAGAAAAGATTTGATGGCAGAAACCTGGTACTGTGGTTATCACGTGGGTTAAAGATGTAGGCTTGGTTAACCCACTGAACCTGCTTATGTATGAGGCTCACCTGAGAAGGTGATATGGACAAGCCCATCTTATGGGTCTGAGGGCTCTTCACCAGGAGTGGAGCAAGGAGGATGGCCCCAGCGTCCCCGTCTCTGAACACGTTTAGCGGGAGGGCTGTAGAGCCTGGACAGATCACCACTGGCTCCATGGGGAACTTTCAGCAGCACTCATTGCCTGTGTCTGTTCTGTGCCAGGCACTGCGCTCAGGGCAGGGATTTGGGATTCACCAGGGCACAAGGCGACGTGCGTCTGTCCTCACGGAGCCTAAGTGCTGGTGGAGACGGACAGTGCAGATGCCAACCGCAAATGACGAGGCACTTGCAGGTAGGGGTCAGCGCCAAGAAGGAAATGAAGGGTGCGTGTCGCTGACTGAGGCTCTGGTGGGGGCTACTTAAATAGGGCCAAGGGGGAGGGCTTCTCTGAGGAGGTGACATTTGAGCTGAGGCCTCACCAATCAGAAGGAAAAAGCTGTAAAGGGTCTGGGATTAACTCAACCTGGGGACTTTTAAAATAATGTAAGGTGTTACAGCTCTTTCAGAATTTGTCTAGCACGTTTTCCGGTTGTCACTCCCAGGTAGGCTGGGGAAGAGGCATCTGTGCCCAGCTCGTGGCCTGTTCTTTGCACTTGGTGGGGGGGTTCCTATCTCCCACAGCTTTTCCCCCCGGGGCCTGCTCCCAGGTGGGGTCAGGTTTTCACCAGAAAGCCTCCATGAAAAAAAAAAATTAATTTGAACTAGTTGCCAACATTTGCATTTTAATTCTAAAAATCTGTATTTTCGACTTCGTTGGAAAGTCAGACTATCTGGCCACGGTGGGCTGGGATCTGGTGGATTTCGGTAGTTTGGTTTCTGGTTAGGGAGGGTATTTGGGGTTTGCCCCTCCAGCATCTGTTCCAGTGTGGAGTGGGGATGGGGGCAGGCTCAGTGGGGGGAACTGCAGTGGCCAAGGGTCTCGGCTATCTCCAGACGGCCGGATGGACTCTGCCACCTCCTGCTTGGGGTGGGCTGGGGTTCTTTGCTGCCCCTCCTCCCAGCCCACATCCTCTTGAACTCCACGGAGACCACCTCCATGTGAGGCTGGGAAGGGAAACCTGCCTTTGTAAGTGGAATCAGGTGAAATGGGGCTGTGACTGTGTCAGTCAGAAACTAAAAGGCCCTGTCACACCCGTGGCCAGGAAGACTGTCACCACGGTGGCATGCAAATGACAGAGATGCGTGGGACAGCGTCTGCCAAGAGACGAGCCAGGTAAGGGCAGGTCGTCATGAAGGAGGGAGGTGGGGTCCTCCCCACAGAGCAGCGCCATCCCACAGAGAAACGGCCCCTGGGGAGGGACGCGTTCCAAGGAGGCCCCGTGCAGTGCAGAGTGGGTGGCTCGAGGCCTGAATGCCGGGCACTCGGAGCGGTCAGTGTCCCCGTGGGAGCAGGGCTGCTCGCAGCCAGGTGATTGGGGTCCTTGGATGGTCAGCCCCTGTGTGCGTGTGAGGGGGTGGCCCTCTCCTCTGTCTCTTCTGAAGGCAGCAGTAAAGGAGGGAGGCCAAAGAGCTCAGTGTCAGACGAGCCTGGGTGCAGGTCCCACTGCCTGCCAGGCCAGTGCCTCTGAGCCTCAGTTTCCTCATCTGTATAGTGGGGTTAATCCCAACCATGTATACTGTCTGCCTGCCATGTGCCAAGCCCTTCTAACACACCTTTGATTGCTTGAGGGCAGGGACTTTATTATCCACCTTTAGAGTTGAGAAAGAAGAGGCACAGAAAGGTTAAACCGCTTACCGGGGGTCACACAGCTGCTATGGCAGAGTAAAGACTCCAGACTCAAATGGAGCACTAAGCCCCGCCCTGGGTGCCAACAGGTGCTCCAGGAATGTCCAGTGCCATTTATCACCCTCATCACCTGCTGGGAGCGCTCCTCCCATCGTGCAAACCCCATGAGCGTGAAGTGAGGGGACACGTGCAGGATCGAGTGTACTGGCGTGTAACTTAAGTAAAGTAATAACCACAGGATGATATTCACAACCCATATTAGTGCTACCAACAGCCGCATCTGCCTGCTTCTCTGGGCCCAGGATTGTCCGCAAGCTCCCAGGAGCTGGTCCTAGGTGGGTGAGAAGAAGGGTCTGAGGTTATGGGAAGGAGCAGCTTGCCCAGCTCATGGCCTGTTCCGTGCATTGGGAGTCCCTGCCCCCAACAGCTGTCCCCCAGGGCCTGCTCCCAGGTGGGCTCAAGAGGCCACAGGCCTAAGCAGCTTCAGGCCAGGGTTCTGCCGGGTGCTGTGTGCCTGTGGGAGTGACACCCCCACCCCCAATCTTCCTGCCCTGCCAGCTGCTGGACACACAGCAGCCACAGGGCACTAACCCTGAGACCAGGACCTCTGCAGGTCCCATGGCACAGAGCCCCCTCCTCCCTGCCTGACTGAGAAGGAGGAGGCGCGCCTCAGGGTGAATCCTGTCCCCCTGCTCACTGCAGGATAAATGGCCTTTGGGTCGAACACCTCACAACGGGATGTGTCTTAGCGTGGAGTTTATCAAGTCACAGGCTGTGATGCATTAGTGGGTCTTGAAATCAATTTAGAGTGTCAAGCCCGGCATTGAAAATCTGCAATAGACCAGAATAGACTAGGTCAGGAGGCATCAGAGTGCGTTGTGTGCAGCGAGGGTGAGTGCCGTTTGGGGAAACGTGCTGCGTTTCTGTATAAATGGATGTGCGTGTGTGTGCTGGGTGGCAGTTTGCAATGGGTTTCTTACGGTGGGTTGCACTAAAAACATTAGAGAATCTCTGTCTCACCGCCTTACGGTAACACAGAGGGGAATCACCTAGTTGTGATCATTTTCCTCAGAACCTTACATTTCCCTGATTTGAGACCGTTTATAAGACTGAGAAACAGGTCTAAGCTGGTGCCAAGAGTTTTGGTTACGTCAGGGATAAGGCTGTGGCTCTCTCATCCCACAGTCCATGCTGAGGGGTGGAGGGGAATTGAACTGCAGGACGAAGAAGTGATGAACATGCAAGAAATGAGACTGGGAAAGGGAGAGGCACAGAAGGCAAACAGAGGGAGAGGAAGGGACGTGGGGAGGGGTCTGTGACTGGGAGGGAGAGAAAGTGGGGGTCATTCCTGGAACTCCAGGAGCTGCTTTCCTGCATTGCTGAGTCAGTGCCACCTGGACTCAGAAACACTCATTGTGCATTCAGTGACCCTTTCAAGCTTAAGAGCTCTGTTAGGATCTGAAATGTGTCCAGTAGATCTTTAGAGCTATTCAATTTTCATCCCATGTGGGACCTGGACACCTGTGCATGCAAACTAACATGCTTACACATATACACACACAGATACACATGCCCACACACACTCATGCATCCATTTGCTCATCATACATATACACACATGCACATGTGTACAAACACATGCCCACGCACATATGTACACTCGTACATACACACACAGACACACTCATATGCACACACATAGACACACTTATATGTACACTCACACACATGCTCACTCCTACATGCACTCTCCCACACCCACACACGCCCACACACTCACAGACACAGTGAGTCAGGTGTATTTAATACGCAGTTCGTGCCTGTGCCTCCCTCTAAATCCCCATGTGACCTGCTCATCAGAGGAGGCCTGGAGTCCTGGGGGGAACCCTAGTGTCCCTCCACCTGATCTCTATGACAGCCCAGCCTGACGCCGGTTTGTGAGTGTGAAAGCTTCAGGGCCCACATGACCTCACACGTTAATTCATGCAGATCAGCTGTTCACTACTCAATGCTCCCATGTTATGTGAGGCAGCGAGGCACAAAATTGGCATCTCTTGTGGAGTATGTGTGTGTCTGTGTGTGTATGTGGTGAGCTTGGCACACAGGTAGGATGAGGTTTGGGGCAAAAGAGCATGAAAGATACAGCCAATAGTAATTGGATTACAGTTGTTGATTGCTTTCAAAGGACTTAACATAGAATATTCATCCCAAAGATATATTACATCTGGTGAATTCTAGAGCATCTCACAGATAGAATGGGGGTAAAAGGAGAAACAACACACTTGCAAATTTGATGAAATTTCCCACACGGTACTGAAATCACTGGTGGAATGGGGGATTGCAGTCCGGGTATGAGGCATTCGAGAGAATCTGAATGTGTCCCCCAAAGTGCTCCCCAGAGACTAGCACTGATCAGGCCGTGGAAAGCCCAAGGCCCCACACAACAGGTTCTGGGCTCTGCCTTCCTTGAACATGGCGGGTGGAGGGGCTGGGGAGAGAGGCAGAGGCTGAGAATGGCTGAAGACAAATGGTCGGATTCGGTTCTTTTATCCGTAGCAGGGACTCAAACCCAGGGTGTCCTGGCTGCTGGAAGGTTGAGCAATGCTGAGCTGTATTTCCACACATGGCTTCACTGGCTGAAGCAGGGCTGTCCTGTGGCTGAGAACCCCTCTTCCAGCCCTGCACAGGTCCCCTGATCCCCAGGCCTGCAGGCATTCACATACCCCCCTGCAAAGCCCCCAACCCTCCTTGGGCAAGGACAGGCACAGCTTCAGGACATCGTCCTCCTGCCCTATGTGGGCAGAGTTGAGCCCCCAGAGCTGAGAGGGAGGCTCCCCAATACCCATCTCCCCGATAATGGTCAGTGCTCCTCAAAGAGTCACTTCCAAAGAATGCCAGGTGGCAGGCACCAGGTTTTGGCATCTGATATGCTCCCATCCGCTCCCTGGGTCCAAAGCATTCATCCTTTGTAATCTCTGACAGGGAACAACTGGCTGCTGTCCTTTAATTAGCAGGGGACACACTAAGCTATGGTCTCCTGCAGGCTCCATAAACATCCATGAAATCAGCCTGGTGACTCCAAGCTCGGTGCAGACTGCAGGGACCCATAGTGGCCAAGGGGCCCCCACCCCCGGTCTGGCTCTCAGAACAGCCTCCAGGAGAAAATGCCAAGCCATCCGGACTCGTGGCAGCTGCTCAACCTGGCAAGTTCTTTCTTGCAAATTGAGATCCAGGCTGTGATCTGGGCTGGCTCTGCACATTCTGGTGCCTGTTATCTGCTGGTTGGAGCTGCCTGGACGCCTCTGAGGGCTGCTTGTGCGTGGGTGGGGGCTGCTTTTGAACACATGGCGGCCCCATCAGCCTCGCCTTCTCCACTTCTGGCCTTATTAAATGATGGTTATTGTAGGGAGGATGCAGGGCCAAGCATCCTCTTATGCAGCACCGTGAGATGCGGGGTGTCCAGTGTGCCAGGAGAAATTCAAGCCTCATTTCCCTCTGAGACACTGGGATGAGGCCACGTGCAGAGTCTCAGCGCCCGGATCGCAGGTGCGTTGTCTGAGTCTGTGCATGAGGTGCCAAGGCCTGGCCCTGGGCTGTGTGGGATGAGATTGAAGTGTGTCTGATGGGAGGGCCCAGGTCACACCCACTAGGGGCCAAGAGTACACAGATGTAGACGCCAGTGCCTGCCCAAGTCACCCAAAACGGAGAAAGGGAGGCTCTGGGAAGCCCTCGGGCCAGAGGCTGATGACGTGGCATCTTCGAGGGGACTGCCCGCTGCTCAGGGCAGAAGGGGACATCCTGATGCGGCACCTGTGATAGCCCCCCCACCGTTCCTGCCCCTCAGACCCACTGTCCCTGGAGACCTGCAGAGGGAATCCCCGCAGACGAGAAGGCATCTCTGTCACTTGCTTTGTCTCCCCTTGGTCACGGCAAACACATGCTCACAGCCCTCAGGTGACAAGCCTCTGTTTCTGCCCCCTTCTGATTCCTCTGCTCCACGGGTGTGGCCACTGCTCCTGGCTTGCAGTGTCTGTGCGGCTATGACAGCCCAGGTTCCTCTCAGGGCGGGTGTCCCTCCTGCAGAAAGCTCACCCTGTCTCCTGGGCCCCGGCCCTGCTCCTGAACAGAGGAGGGAAGGATTGGGGTGGTGGCTGATGAGTTCTCATGTGAAGGACTGGGGTGGTGGCTAATGGATTCTCATGTCACCTCTTTCCCATATTCCCCTGGGCTCTTCCTTCAGAGCCTCCACCCTGCACCCTGATGACTCACTGCGTCTCATGTAGGAAGTCCCCAATGACATCTCATGCCCTGTACACAGGTCCCTGCAGCCTGGGCCCCTCCCCAGCTCTGCTACCTCTGGCGGAAACCCCACTTTCACCCCTCCCTCCTTACATCTGGTGGGGATTGCAGGGGGCTTGTTGGAGGGAAGCTACATGTGAGACCCACATGATGCACCAACCCTCACTGTGCAGACCCCACCCCATCTATTTTCTTCTATCCCTTCTGCAGTCAACACAGCCCTGGCTGTGCATTTGGCCCTCTCTTCACGGGGCTGTGTCTGGGCAGATGGGGCTGGAAAACAACTCGCTGGGCCCAGCTGGGGTGTGTTGTGAATGTCACAGCCCGGCCTGTGCAACAGGAGGCTCCAGGATCCCTTTAGGGATAGGGCAGGGGGCGGGAGAGTGCAGGTTAAATGGGATGGGCAGGGGCAGGAAGGCAGCAGGGGTGATTAATTTTTCTCGAATCGTTGCCAGGCTACCTTTCAATTCCTTGTCTATGGCCCAGGCACAAAGAAAGCTGATGTTCTGCTGCCAACCTGGCTTGTCTTTTAATCATACCCTTTGCTTGTCAGTTTAGACACCTTGGTATACTCTCATTGCTTTTTAGCAATCTTTGCAACTTGCTGGACTTTTCCACCCAAATAGGAAGAGCAGATCATGTGTACTGTGTGTCAGGCACTGTGCTAAATGCATTAGCTATTTCAATCCTCACAATAGCCCTATGAGATGGGCACTATCATTATCCTTATTCTGTAGATGTGGAAATTAGCACAGAGAGGTTAATTAACTAGCCCAGAGTCACTCAGCTACTGAGTGGCAGAGCTGAGATTTGAACCTAGGCAGCCTGGCTTCAGGGCCTATGCTCTTAATCTCTCACTGTAGGGGCTCTTAAGTGAGTTTCCAGCTTCCATGGCTTCAGTTGAAGGGACTTCTCTGTGGAGGCAGGGCTAGGAGGAAGTTTATCCATGGGTCCTACAGCAGCCATCTAGAAGGATGGGATTGGTTGTGACTCAGACTCTACCCTTGCTTCTGCCTCTGCCGGGAGCTCTGTCCCCTGGCTCATCCCAGTATCTGCTCCTCCTCCCTCCTCAGGACTCAGGTACAGCATTGCAGAGGATGTTTGCTGAGCACTTGCTATCTGCCAGGCACTGTGCTAGGTGCAGGGGATCTTGCAACAAACAAAATTCCTGCTTTTATGAAGCAGACATTCAGTAAGTGGAGAAGGAGAAACAAATCAGTGAAAGGTACACATGTCAGCTGCTAATCCATGCTACAGGGAGACATTCAGCAGGCTTGGGGATAGGAAGCTCCAGGTATGTGGGAGGGTGTGTTAGCTTCCTGTGGTTGCTGTGACAAATCACCACCAACTTGATAGCTTCAAACAGCACAGATGGACTCTGTCCTAGCTCTGGAGGTCAGGAGTCTGCCGTCGGTTTTACTGGGCTAAGTCAAGGCGTCAGTAGGGCTGGCTCCTGCTAGAAGCGCTGAGGGCAGGATTCTTTGCGTTTTCAGTGTCTGTATTTTCTTTCTTTCTATTTCTTTCTTTCTTTCTTTCTTTTTTCTCTTTCTTTCTTTCTTTCTTTCTTTCTTTCTTTCTTTCTTTCTTTCTTTCTTTCTTTCTTTCTTTCTTTCTTTCTTTCCTTCTTTCTCCTCTCCTCTCCTTTCCTTTCCCTTCCTCCTGTCCTTCCTTCCTTCCTTCCTTCCTTCTTTTCTCTCTCTCTCTCTCTCTCCCCAACACCCCGCCCTGCCATCTTTCTTTGTCTCTTTCTTTTTTTTAGAGGCAGAATCTCACTCTATTGCCCAGGCTGCAGTGCAGTGGTCCAATCTTGGCTCACTGCAGCCTCTGCCTCCTGGGTTCAAGATATTCTTCTGCCTCAACTTCCCAAGTAGCTGGGACTACATGTGTGTGCACCATGTCCGGCTAATTTTTTTTGTGTTAGTAGAGATGGTATTTCACCATGTTGGCCTGGCTGGTCTCGAACTCCTGACCTCAAGTGATCCACCTGCCTCTGCCTCCCAAAGTGCTGGTCTGGCCTGTGTTTTCCTTTAAGCCCCTTGTATTCCTGGGCTCGCGGCCCCTTCCTCCATATTCAAGCACATGATTCCAGTCTCTGCCCTGTCACTATAGCTCCTCTGACTCAGACTCTCCTGCCTCCCTCTTATAAGGACCCCTGTGATTACACTGGGCCCAGCCAGGTCATCTAGAGTCATCTTTCTATCTCAAGATCCTTTACTTAATTACATCAGCAAAACCTCTTTGCAATGGACATATACACAGGTCCCAGGGGTTTGAATGTAGACATGTATGGGGGGCCCTTGTTCAACCCCCTATGGGGGGTGGTTGTTGATTTTCAGTAGGATGGTCAGGGAAGACCCCGCTGAGAAGCCACCATTTGAGCAAAGACCGGAGGAGCTGAGGCTGTGGGCCAGGATGACAAGGGTGGAGCCTTCCAGGCAAAAGAATAGTGAGTACAAAGCCAGCAACAGGTGTGCTGGCATGTTCCAGGAAAATCAGGGAGGGAGCCACAGCTGCGGCCGAGTGAGGAGAGGAGCAGCGGGAGGTGAGGTCAGAGAAGCCTTGGGGGCAGAAGCTGCGGGCCTCATGGTTATCATGAAGCTCGGGGTTTTACTCTGAGTATGTGGAAACCATGGAGAGTTCTGAGCAGAGGAAGCACAGGACCTGACCTGGGTTTCACAGGCTTCCTCTGGCTGCTGTGTGGAAAATAGGGAAAGCAAGAGTGGAAGAAGGGAGGCCTGTCAGGAAGCTTTTGCACAATGGCCTTGGTGAGAAAGATTCATGGCTTGGAGCAGATGCTGGGATGTGTCCCCCACATCCCCTTTCAGGAGCAGGCATGCATGCCCCACTGCCCAGGGGGTTGCCTGCTGAGAGCTCACAGCTGAGACCCTCCCCAGAAAATGCCCCTGGCTGACAGGAGCTGCTTTGCCCAGTCACCCTTCCTGGGGTCCCTCCATCTCCAAAGACTAGTAGTAAACACAGGGGTCTAAAGGTCCAGCCCCTTGACTCGATTCATCACAGCTCTGAAGGGCCGTCTTTGCTGCAGACTTCCTCAAAGGATGGATTGCAAAGTCATGCGTAGAGTGTGCAGGGCTCAGGTGACTATCTATATGTCTGTCTATATTTTAGGATCCCTGTCTATATGAGCAATTTGTTAAAATATATATTTCAAAATTCCTGAGCCCACATGAAATCTATTGATGTATCCACAAAGGTGTAGAATAATGGATAGAGAAGGGGTACTTATGTGGTTTATTGTCCAACAGATTGTGTGAAAGTTTTTTGTCATGTCCAAGCAGCACCTCCTTCTGGTCAGGCCCACGTTATATACGAGAACAATGGAACAAGTCGAAGACAAAGCAACACGTCCCCCTGTAAAAACTGTCAGTGTAACTGTCCACTTCCGTATCTGTCCAGTCACTTAACAAATATTGACAGACCATCTTTAAACACAGGCTGCTGTGCTGGTGTCTGGGACACAGCGGTGAGTAAGAGCCGTAAGAGCCATCTGATCTCATGACACTCTCAGGAAGTTCCAGTCTATGAGGATGGACAGCATGCAGGTCAACACATAAACATCATTCAGACTGTGAAAGATACAATAAAGGACACAGATTGGGAGATGGGATAAAGAGTCATGGGGGTGGAGCTACTGTCTCATTTTGGGTGGTCTGGGAAGGCCTCTCTGAGGAGGTGACATGTGGGCTGAGTCCTGAAGGATAAGAAGGGGCTGCCATGGGTGATTTGAGGGAACAGCACACTAGGTGGAAGGAACAGCAAGTGCAAAGGCCAGAGATCAGGAGGATCAGAGATGGGGACAGAGTATCTAAGAAATTGGGAGAGTGGTAAGAGATGGGGATGTAGAGACACTGTCAGGTGAGATAGGGAAGGGAGCCAGGTGTGGTGGCTGACACCTGTAATCCACCAGCCTGGGCAATGTGGCGAGACTTCATGTCTTAAAAAAAAAAAAAAGCCAGATGTGGTGGCACATGCCTGTGGTCCCAGCTACTGAGGAGGCAGGAGGATCATCTGAGCCTGGAAGGTTGAGGCTGCAGTGAGTCAAGATCATGCCCCTGTAATCCAGCCTGGGTGGGTGACAGAACAAGAACCTGTGTCCAAAAAAAAAAAAAAAAAAGGAAAAAAAAGGGAAGAGAATGTCACATTGCAATGACAGTGTTTTGTTTCATTTAAACAATTTTCTCTCCCTTTTGAGTCCAGCCTGACACTCAGGAGACGGAGAGAGCCTTCCGCTCATTCTGCCTCAGGAGGAGCTCGAACCTGCTCCCTTAAATCTCCATCAGCTCCGGCAAGCCCTTGGGCTCTGCTGGCTGTAACGCTGCTCCCTGTTTACCAGAGGCTTTTGCTGGCACATTAAATGTATCACTCATACCCTGAACTAGATCGAGCCACAGAAAGCTTTGATTCATGGAGCTGCTGGTCCCCGTTACCACAAGATATGCATTCTTTCTCTTTGTTAAGGAATTAAGGTGCCATATTGAAACTTTAATCTTTAAATACAGGTAAATAAAACATGATTATAGAAATCATTTTCAGTAAGAAATTCATCATGAGCTAAAGTTTCTGCCTTACTGAATTCATCTTTTGGCAGTGGGTGGTTGTCCCTGCTGCAGATAATTGTGATCCTGAATAGCTGGACCTGTCTGTGTTCACTGTGAACCAACGGTTTCCTTCGAGGGCCCCAAAGACCCCGAGTGTGAATTGCCTAAGTGGGTGGGGTCTCTTACCCTGTGAGTCCTCCCACCAGGGGCCCCATCCTTCCACCCATCTTTCCTCAGGCCTGTTTCCCTTGAGGTCTGAGCTGGGGTGCCCAGTGAGGGGTCATCCCTGCTGTGAGATAAAACCAACGGGTGATTCCCCACCCCCATGCAGGGCCCTAGAGGGTGTGCGCGACTTCAGCCATCTGATCAAGGATGGATTCGACTCCCTGCTCAGGGCAGCAGCTCGTGGTTCATTCAGCCCCAGTGGCGTCTAGATGGGACACACAGAACTGAGGTTTGGGTCTGATGTGATTAAGCCGCCAACTGGTGTCCCTGTGTCTTCTCTTTCCTGACACCAGACACCAAAAAAGAAACAGCTCCAGACACACCAGTTAGTGAATTCCGAGGGTGAATTTGGAGCCAGGTGGCCTTTGAAGGCTCCACCTGGGTTTTGAGCTTTTGTTTTCTGCAGCAGCAGCAAACCCACTGCTCTGGGCTGCGAATTGTTGTTTACTAAATGCACAGGTGGTCTGGAGTGATGTTTTCCTTCTTTAGCAAAGTAGCACATGTTCCTTATGACAGTTAGACATGCAAAGAGGCAGGCATGTTTTTTAAGGATAAGTTAAACATTCAACAGGTCCACAGGGACTGAGTAAAAGATCTCCCCGCAGGTCAGCCCCTCAGCCTCCCAGTTTCTTCTTGGTGAAGCCAGTGCAGGGACCCACAGTGGGGCTGGTGGGTGGGAGGCTATCTCAAGACACCAGGAAGCAAATGAAGGGTCCCAGTCCATTTTGACCCCTATGCACGGATGTCGCTGGCTTGGACCAGCCTTCTGCAGGCCCCCAGTGAGAAGGGGACAAACCAGGCTGTGACCCTGGCCATTTTCTCCTACGTTATTACCATTCCCTCGCTGCATACCCTCTTTCTGGCCCATCCACAGAATACAGACCTGTCCTTGTAAGCTGGCCGTTCTTGCTCCTTGGGGCTGATCTGGGAGAAACCTGAGCATGTTGATGGGCAGCCTGTACTTTCCCCTCCAAATAGAACCCTATTGACTGCTGCTCTTTTATTACAGAAGTGACAGGCTCATGGCCAGAGATGACACAACAGAGAAAATGAATCAAGATGAAAACAAGAATAAGAATAATTTCCCTTCCTGGCCGGGCGCGGTAGCTCACTTTGGGAGACCAAGGTGGGTGGATCACGAGGTCAGGAGGTTGAGACCATCCTGGCTAACACAGTGAAACCCCGTCTCTACTAGCCGGGCGTGGTGGCAGGTGCCTGTAGTCCCAGCTACTCGGGAGGCTGAGGCAGGAGAATGGCGTGAACCTGGGAGGCGGAGCTTGCAGTGAGCGGAGCTCACACCACTGCACTCCAGCCTGGGTGACAGAGCGAGACTCTGTCTCAAAAAAAAAAAAAAAAAAAAGAATCATTCCCTTTCCTACCCCTACACGGAGCTGCATTTTAAATAAATAAACTCCTTGATTGCATCCCTTGGGAAGATCTGACTTCCTATAACTGAGACTTACTTCTCTTAACAAGTTCTCAATGTCAATGAGAGAAGCAACCCTGGCCTGAGGCTTTAAGTCAAAGTGTCTGAGCGCAGCTGGGAACGGGCAACACAGACCCGGTTATCGTGGTCCTGATGGTAGATTTCAGCCCTGTTTGGCACAGGTGGGTCATCACTGTCTCTCCTGTAGCTGGTTTACGGAAGGTCTGAACTAAATACAAGTGGGAAACGGCTTCACTTTTCTCCAGCAGCTGCCTTCCAGTAGCTTCTGTGAGGCAGGGCTGGGTTAGGGTGAGCAAGTGAGGCCAAATTGTGCAAGTGCTGCCTTGAATCCTGTCTCCTTTCCTCCTCATCCCCCTCCTCCTCCTTCCCCCTGCTCCTCCTCCTCTTCCTCCGTCTTTCTTCTTCCTCCTCCTCCTCCTTCCTCACAAAGGATCCTGTCTTTAAATTTTTAATATTTTGTTAATCGGTTTTTTTGCATGAAGTTTGAGTTTTAAAAAGTACTGTGTTATGATGTTATTTATGATGATTATTGAATTTTTTGGTACCCATTTAGATTTTATGCCTGGGGTGAGTGTCTCCCTTGCCTCATCCTAATCCTTGCCCTATTATTAGGTCTCAGGCCCCTGCTTCTGGATGACATTTTGGGAAGATCCCTTGGGCTTTTGTTCACTTTTTTTTTTTTTTTTTTTTTTTTCGTGACAGAGTCTCGCTCTGTCGCCCAGGCTGGAGTGCAGTGGCGCGATCTCGGCTCACTGCAAGCTCCACCTCCTGGGTTTATGCCATTCTCCTGCCTCAGCCTCCCGAGTAGCTGGGACTACAGGCACCCGCCACCATGCCCGGCTAATTTTTTTTGTATTTTTTTTAGTAGAGACGGGGTTTCACTGTGTTAGCCAGGATGGTCTCGATCTCCTGACCTTGTGATCCGCCTGCCTCAGCCTCCCAAAGTGCTGGGATTACAGGCGTGACCCACCACACCTGGCCCACTTCTATTTATAAGAACAAGCTCATCAATCATTCTCACTCTCATCCAGGTAGTAAAAGCCTAGGCTGGTCCAAATCTAAATTTTAATCTCACATTTAATTCCAAGCTTTTCCTCTCCCCCTACTCACTTCTAACTAAGGCTTGGGGTCCCCTTCTCCGCTGTTCCTTCTGGTGGTTCCAGGGCTGGGACAGGTACAGGGATGGATGTCATACAGGAGAAAGGGTCTTTTCCTTTTGGATGCCATTAATGACTGATGTGTAGCAGGTGAACAGATACTGGTGCTCTTGTGTGGTGTGTTTCATTCCTTCATGGATCCATCTAGTCTTGTTCCCCCATTCCCATCCCAGCATAGGGAGGCAGCTGGAGGCTTCTCTGTCCTCCACAGGGACTGTCATTTCACTAAACCTGCAGGTAGTATGACAAAGGAAATTCCACTCAGGTAAAGTGGCTTAATATACAAGCACAGAATGATTCCAGCACAGGGCACAAAAGCCTAAATGCTGTGCAAATCTACCAGTCATTCAATTAATCTTTGTTAACAGGCAACCTGCTGGGGTGAGTGCATGACTTTCATTCTCTGCCCTCATGGAGTTTCCAGACCAGACGGGAAGCCAACTATTCAAAGACTCAATGAAAATACCATCCAGTAACTGAATGTGCAAAATGCTGCAAAGGAAACATTTGGGGGATTATAGAGTTTGATCCTGGGTCGGGGACAGGAGCTTGGGGCATAGGGTTTGAGAATGGAGGGAAAGTCTATCAAAGGGAAGCAGGAATTAGCCAGGTAACTGCAGGTGGTGGGAGGGGAAGAATGTTTTAGCAAAGGGAACAGCGTGTGCAAAGGACTGGGGGTGAGGAGGATGCCGTGCCTTCTTGGAACTAAGGAACATCCCACAGGGTGGAGCTGAGTGGGGCAAGAACTGGATGGGAGCTCTGCGAAGCACAGCAAGTGCCAAGGTGCTGGGTTGGGCTGAGCCTGTTCAGTTTGAGGAACTGTGATAAGGCCAGGGGTAGCAGAGAGGGCAAGACGGCCAGATGCTGCTGGGAATGTAAGCTGGTGAGGAATCAGGGCGTCCTAGAGCAAAGGGATGATATTAAAGGACTTTAGGGAGGGTAGTAATGTTTGGGGATTATGCATATCTTGGGAATCTCAGTAAAGTGAACTCATCACTTGAATGTTAATAAGTCATTTGCATGTGCAGAGACAAATGGGACTGTTTCTATTGCTGTGATCAAATCATGTAAAAGCACTCAATACTGATTTTCACAAAGGTTATTCAAATGATAGATTTATTTCAGAAATTTGTGGTAATTAAGCACTTTAAGGTTGTCAGGGAGCAGATAGGTTACTGAAGTCACATGAAGGTGTTAGAGGTAGCAATTTAAAATGAAACCACCAATTTTTACACTTTCCAAAGTAATTTGACTGCTCTGTATCTTTCTCAAACATGAGTACAAGATCAAAATGAATACTTTGAATGTTTCTTTCCTTATTTTACATCAGAATTTTTATTGAAAAATTGAACATATCAATTATTAAAGGACCTGTATATTTTATGAAGGATCCTATAGTTTGCAGAAATTGCTAGAGAATATTGTGGTTTTCACCTGGTAGCAATTGGTGCTCTTGCTTCTGATTTTCCTTCTGATTTTCAAAGACCTGATCATTTTTGAAACATACCAACAACTATGAAAAAGAAAATGAAAACCATCTATAATGTTACCACTGACATGTTACTACTGTTGGTACCTTGCTCTGTCTCTTATTTAACTATTTCCTCTGAATATGGGTGTGTGTGTGATAAAAGTGTAAAATCCACGTTTTTGTATCCATTTTTTTCACTTCACATGAAATCACGAGCACTTTCCACACTATTGAAAATTTCAGGCAAGCATATGATCAAATCATCCTTCAATATTTCCCTGTCTGGAAAACCCGTGCACTCTTCTCCATTCCTATGTTGCTGGACATTTGTACTGCTTCCAACTTTTGCTGTTGCAGTTTATGTGGCAATGATCATATTACTACATAATCTTGGTTTGCATTTATAAACAGCTCCTTAAGATAATATCTTATGTGTGTGATAACTGCATCAGGGATTAAGTGCTTTTTAAATTTAAGCTCTTGATACATCCAGCAAGTTGCTTTTGGAGACATTGGGCCCTGGTGGCCCCCCACTGATGGGCATCCTGTGCTCATGTTTCTGTTGCCTCACAGGCACTGTGTTGAAAAGTGTTTGTGTTAATCCTATTTGATATGCTTTGTTATTCTTCTAATTTTCAGAGAATTCATGGCTGGGACCAGCTAGTCCTTGGCTCCACCTTCTTGGGAGCAGATTAAATACGACTTCAAGCCAGTGAGGTGATTTGAGTCCCAGCAGCCTCATCTGCCAAGTCAACCCC
Source organism: Homo sapiens (assembly GCF_000001405.40). Classification (NCBI taxonomy): domain Eukaryota; kingdom Metazoa; phylum Chordata; class Mammalia; order Primates; family Hominidae; genus Homo; species Homo sapiens. The sequence continues at coordinate 48,479,156 of NC_000020.11, read as the reverse complement.
AGCACTGCATTGAGAAAGGTCAGAGATTCGGAGTGCAGACAAGAGCTGTCCCATGCCAGAGCCCAAACTTGTCCCCTGGTTGGGAAGCTGAGGAGTGATTCTTTGGTTCTCAGATGCTCCGAGGGTGCCTCAGGTGGCATGCAGTCAGTGCACACATCCCAGGTATGTTAGCTGCACCCCGGCCAGCCTCCCGAGTTTGGGGTGCTGCCGACACAGGATGCGTCTACTGCGCATCATGATAGGCCTCCCCAAGTACCCTGTCCTGCTGGTGCCCTGTCTTCTGACCCCTCATCAGATCTTGGTGCCAAGCCCTGACAACCACTTCACTCTGGAGGCCGTTCTCAGAGCCTATTTCACAGCTCATTCAGAAGGAAAATGAGGGGGCCTTTTCCATTTCCAGTATTAAATGATTTAATTCACAAGGGACTTGGTCAACACAAGTATCCCAACAGAGCCCAGGCCCTGTATCATTTGCAATTTACCATTCTGATTAAAACCAACCCAACCCCATCAAGCTCTGCATGGGGTGAACCAGCCGAAACTGCACCACAGGCCCCAGCAGGACATCCGGCCCAGGGAACTGAGGCCGGGGAGGGGAGGGGGAGCCGGGAGTGCCTCTGCCTCATTTCAGGAGACTGATATGAATGGTAGGAAATCCGGTCCCCCCTTAAGATGGATGTTTCTGTAGAAATACATCTGATAAATGTTTAATTACATTTTAAGAGGGACCATTATTCATGGAACAGTCATTAGCCCCAGAGGACTTCAAGCCCCTCACCTGGTTAAGAGCCACGTTCATATGCAGATCAGCCCCCCACTTCCAACACTCCCTGCTCCAAGAGGAGAGCAGCTGGGAGAGCCTGGTGAGCTCTCCATCAAAACAGGGTGACACAGGGCAGCAGTGGGGTGGCCAGTGGCTTGGCTGTGGGTGGGAGATTTCAGACAGGTCGACATAAGCCAGGAACCTGAATCAAGGCGTCGAGACCTCAGCCCCACCCCGACCCACCTGTTCTAAGGGTCCCTGCAGGGCTCCGTAATCCCCACCTGTGACAGACTCCCCTCCTGAAGCTCTTGATGCTTCCCAGGCCCCCTCGAAGTCCTGTGGTTCCCTGGAGATGCTGTCAGCCCACAAGGTGCCAGGAAGGACCTTCTTGGGATGAAAGACTTGGGTGAACCTGTCCTGGGTGACATGCAGTGGGTGTGTCGCTCAGAGTTCTGAGGTGGCAGGTGACAGAATCCACGTAAGGTCCTGAAGCAAGGAAAAGCAGAACCGACCAGAAGGTCCCAGGAGCAGGAGTCCCAGGTCTTTGAGGGGCAGGAACTAGGGCATCCTGGAGCTCTGGGTGGCAGGGGCAAGTGAGAAGAGCTTGCTGAGGGCTGCTCAGTATAAGCCCAGGTGACTTAAGTCCCAGAAAAAAAACCGGTGGGCCCTTACCCATAGAAGGCAGCAGAGCCAGACCATTGCCGTGCACTCCAGGAGGTGCAGGCACCATTCTGCCTCTCAGCCCTGCCAGGAAACTTCTCCCTTCCTCTTTCCCCTCGCCCTCCTCTACCAGGTGGAATTAATTAGCAAAAAAACACAAACACAAAAACAAACTCTCAATGCCTAAATAGCATTGTTTATTTGTCACTGACTTCACCTTGTATTTGCCTGTCTTTGTGCCTCAGTCTCTAAAATGAGCACAAAATGAACATTCAAGGGAGATAAGTGTGCACTGGCCTGGGGAGTGGGGGGAGACAGCTTCAATCTGTCAAACAGCCTATTCCATGTGAGAAATGTCAGCAGATAGAAATGGATTAAGTCTGCCACTGAGTTGGTTACAATCCAGAGGTGAGGGTCTTTGGAGTGACCTTTATTTAAGAAATATCACAGCAAAGTCTGTTGGAAAGACGCTCTGGTGAATGATGGAGCCTGATGCACGGTGTGTTCACTGGGCTCTCCGGAAAAAGAGCCAGCAGGAGGTGTCCATATCCTACATACAGAGAAAGAGGTTGAGTTTAAGGAATTGGCTAATGTGATCCTGAAGGCTAGCAAGTCCAAAATCTGCAGGCTGGGCAGGTTCGAGACCCAGGGAGGAGCCGGCGCTGCCGTTCAAGTCTGAAGGTCATGGAGCTGGAGAGGGGAGGAGCCAGTGCTGCCGTTCAAGTCTGAAGGTCATGGAGCTGAAGACCCAGGGAAAAGTTGGTGCTGCCATTCAAGTCTGAATATCGTGGAGCTGGAGACCCAGAAAGGAACCGGTGCTGCTGTTCTAGTTTGAGGGTCATGGAGCTGGAGACCAGGGGAAGAGCCGGATTGCTGTCGAAGTCTGAGGGTCGTGGAGCTGGAGACGTGGGGAGAAGCTGGTGTTGCCATTCAAGTCTGAAGATAGGAGAGCTGGAGACCCAGAAAGGAGCTGGTGCTGCTGTTCAAGTCTGAGGGTCATGGAGCTGGAGACCCAGAAAGGAAATGGTGCTACTCTTCGAGTTTGAGGGTCATGGAGCTAGAGACTGGGGGAGGAGCTACCGTTCGAGTGGCGGCTCCCTGGGTCTCCAGCTCCAAGATGCTCAAACTTGAACAGCGGTAGCACCAGCTCCTCCCCGGGTCTCCAGTTCCATGACCCTCAGACTTGAAGAGTAGCACCATTGCCTTTCTGGGTCTCCAGCTCCATGATCCTCAGACTTGAGGAGCTGGAGACCCAGGGAGGAGCCGGTGCTGCTGTTCCTGTTTGAGGGTCATGGAGCTGGAGACCTGGGGAGAAGCTGGTGCTGCTGTTCAAGTCTGAAGATAGTGGAGCTGGAGACCCAGAAAGGAGTTGGCACTGCTGTTCAAGTCTGAGGGTCGTGGAGCTGGAGACCCAGAAAGGAAATGGTGCTAGTCTTCAAGTTTGATGGTCATGGAGCTGGAGATATGGGGAGGAGTCAGTGCTGCTGTTCTAGTTTGAGGGTCTGGGATCTGGTGACCCGGGGAGGAGCCAGTGCTGCAGTTCAGGTTTGAGGGTCATGGAGGTGCTGACCCAGGGAGGAGCTGGTGCTGCTTTTTAAATTTGAGGGTCGTGGAGCTGGGGATCTGGGGAAAAGCCAGTGCTGCTGTTTTATTTTCAGGGTCACGGAGCTAAAGACCCGGGAAGGAGCTGGTACTGCAGTTCAAGTTTGAGGTTCGTGGAGCTGGATATCTGGGCAGGAGTCAGTGCTCCTGTTCTAGTTTGAGGGTCTGTAGCTGGGGACCTCTGGAGGAGCCGGTGCTGTTGTTTAAGGTTTGTGGAGCTGGAGACCTGGGTGGAGCTGTTGCTGCGGTTCAAGCTTGAGGGTCATGGAGCTGGAGACCTGGCAAGAAGTCAGTGCTGCTGTTCTAGTTTGAGAGTCTTGGAGCTGGTGACCTGGGTAGGAGCCGGTCTGCTGTTCTAGTTTTAGGGTCTTGGAGTTGGTGACCTGGGGAGGAGCAGGTGTTGCTGTAATAGTTAGGGTCGTGAAACTGAACACCTGGGGAGGAGCCAGTGCTGCTGTTCACATTTGAGGGTCATGGGAGCTGGAGACTTTGTGGCGAGCTAGTGCTGCCATTCAAGTTTGATGATGGTGGAGCTGGAGACCTGGGTTGGAGCCAGTTCTGCTTTTTAAATTTGAAGGTCATGAGGCTGGAGACCTGGGCAGGAATTGGTGCTGCTGTTCAAGTATAAGGGTCATGGAGCTGGAGACTCAGGAAGGATCAAGTGCTGCAGTTCACGTGTCGTGGAGCTGGAGACCCGGGGAGGAACGGGTGCCCCAGTTCAAGTTTGAGGGTCATGAAGCTGGAGACACAGGGAGGAGCAACAGTTTGAGGGATGAGTGGCTGGAGACCTGGAGAGGAGCCAGTGTTGCAATTCAAGTTTGAGTTTCATGGAGCTGGAAACCTGGACAGGAGTCAGTGTGGCTATTCTAGTTTGAAAGTCTTGGAGCTGGTGACCTGGACAGGAGTCAGTGTGGCTATTCTAGTTTGAGAGTCTTGGAGCTGGTGACCTGGGCAGGAGTCAGTGCTGCTGTTCTGGTTTGAGGGTCTTGGAGCTGGTGACCTGGGCAGGAGTCAGTGCTGCTGTTCTGGTTTGAGGATCTTGGAGCTGGTGAGCCAGGGAGGAGCTGGTGCTGCTGTTGTAGTTAGTGTCGGGGAGCTGGAGACTTTGGGTTGAGCCGCTGTTGTAGTTCAAGTTTGATGTTCCTGGAGATGGAGATTGGTGGTGGGGGGGAGTCAGTGTTTCTTTTCTAGTTTCAAGGTCGTGGAGCTGGAGAACTGGAGAGGAGATGGTGCTGCTATTCTAGTTTGAGGGTCTGTAGCTGGGGACCTGCAGAGGAGCTGGTGCTGCTATTTTAGTTTAAGGTCCCTGGAGCTGGAGACCTGGGCGGAGCTGTTGCTGTAGTTCCAGTGTGAGGGTCGTGGAGCTGGAGACCTGGTGAGAAATCAGTGCTGCTGTTCTAGTTTAACAGTCTTGGAGCTGGTGTCCTGAGTAGGAGCCGGTCTGCTGTTCTAGTTTTAGGGTCTTGGAGCTGGCAACCTGGGGAGGAGCGGGTGTTGCTGTAAGAGTTAGGGTTGTGAAGCTGAAGACCTGGGGAGGAGCCAATGCTGCTCTTCATGTTTTAGGGTCGTGGGGCTGGAGACTTTGGGAGGAGCTAGTGCTGCCGTTCAAGTTTGACGATGGTGGAGCTGGAGACCTGGGTTAGAGCCAGGGCTGCTTTTTAAATTTGAGGTTCGTGGAGCTGGAGACCTAGAGAGGAGCTGGTGCTGCTGTTTTATTTTCAGGGTCATGGATCATGAGACCCAGGAAGGAGCTGGTGCTGGAGTTCAAGTTGGAGGCGTGGAGATGGAGACTTTGGTTGGAGCTGGTGCTGCTGTTCTAGTTTGAGGGTCGTGAAGCTGGAGAACCAGGGAGGAGGTGGTGCTGCAGTTCAAGTTTGAGGTTCATGGAGCTGGAAACCTGGGCAGGCGTCAGTGCTGCTGTACTAGTTTGAGAGTCTTGGAGCTGGTGACCTGCAGAGGAGCTGGTGCTGCTATTACAGTTAGCATCCTGGAGCTGGAGAATTTGGGTGGAGCCAGTGTTGCAACTCAAGTTTGATGGTCGTGGAGATGGAGACCTGGGATTGGGGAGCCAGTGTTGCTATTGTAGTTTGAGGGTCGTGGAGCTGGAGACGCGGGAAGGAGTTGGTACTGAAGTTTAACTTTGAGGTTCGTGGAGCTGGATATGTGGGCAGAAGTCAGTGCTCCTGTTTAGTTTGAGGGTCTGTAGCTGGGGACCTGGGGAGGAGCAAGTGCTGCAGTTCAAGTTTAAGGGTCGTGGAGTTGGAGATTTGGCGAGAAGTTAAGGCTGCTGTTCTAGTTTGAGAGTCTCGGAGCTGGTGACCTGGGTAGAAGCTGGTCTGCTGTTCTAGTTTTAGAGTCTTGGAGCTGTTGACCCCGGAAGAGCGGGTGGTGCTGTTATAGTTAGGGTCGTGAAGCTGAAGACCAGGGGAGGAGCCGGTGCTGCTGTTTGAGAGTGGCGGATATTGAGACTCGGGGAGGAGCGGGTGCTGGAGTTCTAGTTTGAGGTGGGGAGCTGGAGACTTTGGGTGGAGCTGGTGCTGCTGTAGTTTGAGGGTCTGTAGATGGGGACCTCGGGAGGAGCTGGTGCTGCTGTTTTAGTTTAAGGTCCATGGAGCTGGAGACCCAGAGAGGAGATGGTGCTGCTGTTCTAGTTTGAGGGTCATGGGGCTGGAGACTTCAGCCAGTGCTGAAGTTCAAGTTTGAGGTTTGTAAACCTGGGCAGGAGTCAGGGCTGCTGTTGTAGTTTGAGGGTCTTAAAGCTGTTGTCCCAAGGAGGAGCTGGTGCTGCTGTTCTAGTTTTAGGGTCCTGGAGCTGGAGACCAGGAGAGGAGCTGGTGCTGCTGTTCTAGTTTAAGGTCCATGGAGCTGGAGACCCAGAGAGGAGATGGTGCTGCTGTTGCAGTTTGAGGGTCTGCAGCTGGGGACCTGGGGAGGAGCGAGTACTGCTGTTTTAGTTTAAGGTCCGTGGAGCTGGAGATCCAGGGAGGAGCAGGTGCTGCAGTTCAAGTTTGAGGTTCGTGGAGCTGGAGACCCAGAGAGGAGATGGTGCTGCTGTTCTAGTTTGAGGGTCAGGGAGCTGGAGACTTCAGCTAGTGCTGAAGTTCAAGTTTGACGTTTGTGGAGCTGTAAACCTGGGCAGGAGTCAGGGCTGCTGTTGTAGTTTGAGGGTCTTGGAGCTGTTGTCCCAAGGAGGAGCTGGTGCTGCTGTTCTAGTTTAAGGTCCATGGAGCTGGAGACCTGGAGAGGAGATGGTGCTGCTGTTGCAGCTTGAGGGTCTGCAGCTGGGGATCTGGGGAGGAGTGAGTACTGCTGTTTTAGTTTAAGGTTCGTGGAGCTGGAGACCCGGGGAGGAGCAGGTGCTGCAGTTCAAGTTTGAGGTTCGCAGAGCTGGAGACCTTGGGAGGAGCGAGTGCTGCTGTTCAAGTTTGAGGTTCGTGGAGCTGGAGACCCGGGGAGGAGCGGGTACTGCTGTTCAAGTTTGAGGTTCATGGAGCTGGAGACGCTGGGAGGAGCGGGTGCTGCTGTTCAAGTTTGAGGTTCGTGGAGCTGGAGACCCGGGGAGGAGCGGGTGCTGCCGTTCAAGTTTCAGGATCGTGGAGCTGGAGACCTGGTGAGAGAAGTCAGTGCTGCTGTTCTTGTTTGAGAGTCTCGGAGCTGGTGTTTTAGGTAGAAGCTGGTCTGCTGTTCTAGTTTTAGCGTCGGAGCTGTTGACCCCGGAGGAGCGGGTGGTGCTGTTACAGTTAAGGTCGTGAAGCTGAAGACCAGAGGAGGAGCTGGTCCTGCTGTTTTATTTTGAGGGTCACAGATATTGAGACTCGGGGAGGAGCGGGTGCTGAAGTTCTAGTTTGAGGTGTGGAGCTGGAGACTTTAGGTGGAGCTGGTGCTGCTGTTCTTCTTGTTTGAGGGTCTGTAGCTGGGGACCTGGGGAGGAGCCAGTGCTGCTGTTTTCGTTTAAGGTCTGTGGAGCCGGAGACCCAGGAAGGAGCTGGTGGCTGTAGTTCAAGTTAGAGGTGTAGAGCTGGAGACTGGGTGTAGCCAGTGCTGCTGTTCTAATTTGAGGTTTGTGGAGCTGGAGACCCAGGGAGGAGCTGGTGCCGCTGCTGTTGTTTAAGTCTGAGGGTTGTGTAGCTGGAGACCTGGGAGGAGCCTGTTGTGCTGTTTAAGTCTGAGGTTCGTGATGCTAAATATGGTGCCGGTGTTGGGTAAGGAGAGAGAGAAGAGAGGAGGAGAGAGAGAATGAATCACAGGATGCCACTTGAAACCATTGGTGTAACTGTTTCTCAAGCAGATTAAACCTGGGAACTTGTGAGTCCTAGTGATCAATGCATTCGTTTTTCTCTTGCACAGTTTGGATTTGTTTTCTGTCTCAGGAGGCAGAAAGAACTTGATTACCCTTAGGAATTGAAAAGCTTAAAAAAACTAAAGGATGTTGGTAATAATAATAATAGGAATTAAACCATGATTATCCTGGCTGATAGAGACAAAATCACACACGTACAGTATATATCTTTCAATCAGTTAGTAAAATAAAAAATAAATGGAAAAATAGACCCAAGCAAAGGTATAAAACGTTGTTTCATGGAGAAGCGATGGAGGACAGAGATTAATCTGAGAGTTGCTACTAATGGAGAAACTTCAAACTTACCATTTTTCCCGTGAGGTTTTGGTGCAGAATATTGTGTGAGTTCTGGCAGCTGAGTCACTTCACAGAGCCCAGTGATGCAGTAGATGTCACAGAAGGACCCTCGCCCAGCTGTTCCTGCCTCTCTGCTACGATGAGTGTGGCCTCTGATCCCCAACTGACTGTGTCTTGAGACCAGGCCCATGAGCACAGGGGTTTCCATGGTGAAGGTTCCTGGATGGAACACCATGGATGTTCCTAATGTTCCTTCCTGATGTTCATCTGCCATCTTGCTATTTAATGCATCTTGTGTATAACTGTCTTCTAAATATTAAATAGAAAAAAGCATTTGTACAATATGGGCAAGGTATAAAGAACATCGACACACTGGACACACAGGACCTCCACCAAGTTTAGGGAACAGAATCTGAAGAGACATAACTGTGGATGTTCCCTGGCGGCCCCTCCCGAATCCCAGTCCCTTCCCTTCTGCAGAGGGAATCACTTTCCACTTTAGTCTTTATTAATCCCGTACTTTTCTTCATAGCACGTTTCTTTCACCACGTATGTGTACATCCCTAAACAATATGCCATTTAGTGTTTGAACTTTCTGTTGTCTTTTTGAGACAGGGTCTTGCTCTGTTGCCTCGGCTGTAGTTTTGAACTTGGATGTGAAGAAATTCTCCTGTGTGGCTGCTCCTATGCTGCATTGGGTCTGAGCATTTGCATTTGCTCGATGTCTATTTTTGTCCTGCATTCTCTTCCTGAGACCCATCCACACTGACATGGTTCATTTTCATTGCTGCGTGATCGCCCGTGGTATGAGGGGAACGTGGGAAATGTCTTCATTTTCCTGTGGATGAGGGTTTGGGCAGGTTGGGCCCTTAGGACTGTGTTGCTAGAACGTTCTTGGGCATTTCTTTTGTACACAAATGCAAGTTTCTTCTGGTCAGTAGCTTTCAATTTTTAAAATTTCATCCCAGTTAAGAAATGTAATTTTCCTCATAACCCACAACACACAGCCTTTCATATGGAAGCATAACAACAACAACAAAAGTTCACAACCTTTCTTAGCAGTGGCTGAGTGTTCTTGTTGCTCTCCATTCTCCCCAACCCTTGCATTTCTTGGGTTGTGGGATTTTTGCCAGTCTGGTGGGTGTCACGTGGTACCTCATCCTGTTAGGCTGAGACCCTCTTCATGTGTTTGTTGGCCATTCCTTCACATTTCCCCTTCTGTGAAGGGCTGGTTCAACTCTTTTGTCCAGTTTCTGTTTAGCTGTTTGAATTTTTGCCTTTTTCTTTTTTCTTTTATTTTTTTTGAGATGGAGTCTCGCTGTCACCCAGGCTGGAGTGTAGTGGTGCCATCTCGGCTTACTGCAGGCTCTGCCCCGCCGGGTTCATGCCATTCTCCTGCCTCAGCCTCCCGAGTAGCTTGGACTACAGGCGCCCGCCACCTTGCCTGGCTAATTTTTTGTATTTTTAGTAGAGACAGGGTTTCACCGTGTTAGCCAGGATGGTCTCGATCTCCTGACCTTGTGATCCGCCCACCTCGGCCTCCCAAAGTGCTGGGATTACAGGCATGAGCCACCGTGCCCGGCCATAATTTTTGCCTTTTTCTTTTTAAATTATTATTATTTTTTGAGACAGAGTGTCGCTCTGTCACCCAGGTTGGAGTGAAGTGGCATGATCTCTACTCCTTCAACCTCCACCTTCCGTGTTCAAGCGATTCTCCTGCCTCAGCCTCCAGAGTAGCTGGGACTACAGGTGCATGCCACCAATGCCCAGCTAATTTTCATGGTTTTAGTAGAGAAGGGGTTCTACCATGTCGGCCAGGCTGGTCTCAGACTCCTGACCTCAGGTGATCCACCCTCCTCGGCCTCCCAAAGTGCTGGGATTACAGGCATGAGCCACTGAGCCCGGCCTGCCTTTCTCTTTTTCAAGAGGGCTGTTTATGGTTTATGCACATTCATTTGGTGACTGTGTAACAAAGATGGGTTTTGAATCCACCAGGATGAACCTGTAGGATCCCCTCTCTGTGGTGGGAGAGGAGACAGAGAAGGGTAGAGGGGCACGGAGAATCTGAGCTGAGAGGAGGCCGAGTCAGGTGGGACTTGCAAGCTATTATGAGGACTTGGTTCCTCCTCTGAGCCAGGTGGAATTAGCAGGGGATTTAACCAGAGGAGCCATCGTCTCCCCTATGTATTTCTGCCACGGTTGGCTCAGTTGAACTCACCTGTTGAATAAGACTTGGCCTTGGCCACCCAGAGGCCCATGGCTGAGGGCTTAACTCCTGGCATGGCCACTGACACATCCATGTTTGGCACACACATGGCTGGGCAGCCCTGAGACCTGCTCTGCCTGGGGCTCTCATTGGTGGCATTTCTCGTGTTTGTCCCCTCTCAAGTCTGGCCTATTTATGAGCCTCATTACACCTTGGCATGAAGAAGGAGGTTTGGCAAATGACTCATAAAGCATCTTTTTAAAGGTTAATGGTCACTATTGGGGGGAGAAAGGGCCACTGAACATGGATGCTCTCTTTGCTGGTGTGGTTTTTTCAGTTAAGTGAAAATAGAGTCATGCCTCTTTGCACATACCTGGTCTGATTACCAAGCAGCCAAGGAAGCCTTGGGGTGTCTTGGAAGCTGGAACCGTCAGCCCTGTGTGAACTACATGTGTTGTTACATAAGTTGCTCCCAGGTGAGGGCAAGTGGGTCAGGCGATCCCAAGCTCTGCTTCCTGCTTGGCATGAGTGAGCTGTGTGTGAGGAGGTGGTTGTGGAGGAATCTCACAGTCTGAGCAGACCAGACAGTTACCTGCAGGAGGGCAGGGATGATGCCGTTCTCGCATTCATCATCCACAGTGCCTGGCACCTGCTCCAGGCCATGCAGGTGTACAGGTGTCCAACTGATCTTAGATAATGTGGGTCCTGCTCAGCGGCCCTGGGGATAGAAGGGAAGTCAGCTTGAGAGCTTTCCTGGGTCATGCCTCACCTAACTTACATGGCGTTTCCAGGAGAGAGGGCTACCAGCGGTGTCTGTGTATCAGTCAGGATGAGTAACAGCAGCCGCTACAACCACACCTCCCAGTGCTCAGAGGGGATGCACACAAGGGTTCTTTCCTGCTCTAGTCACAGTCTCACTGTTGGGGCAGCTCACCTGAAAGGACCCTTAGGAGACAAGCACCTGTGACTGATGTGCATCTTGCAAAGTCCTAAGGGAAGTGGGTAAAATTTGCTTATTCCAGCAGACAGGGAGGGGCACCCAGGGCAAACTCCCTTTGCCTGGGAGCAGGTGCAGTCCTTGAGTCCTGGGTCACCTGTTTCTTCCTCTGCCTTGGCCTACAGGCCAGATGTGATCTGACCTCTGCCTGCCTCTCTGACTCCATCTCCCCTCCCCTTCCTTTCTTTCTACCAATTAGATTATGGCCTCAGTGAATGTGACCAAGGACCCTGGATCACAGTGGCTTAGCCAAGGTGGAGGTTCATTCCTGTTTCACAAGAAAGTCAAAGCTAATCAAGTGATTCTTCTCTGCAGTTTTCAGGGTCTCAGCCTCCTTCTATCTTGTTAGTCTGACTTCCTTAGAGTGTGGCTTCCCCCGCCCAGTGTCCATCCTGTCTCCTGCCAGCCAGCAGGGAGGGGAGAAGAGAACAAGAGGGCACAAACCTTCCTTCCTCTAAAGGCAGCCACTGTGCACAGGCCTAACCTCCCAGTGACCACAGCCTGGTCACATGACCTCTGTTTGCTGCAAGGGATGCTGGGAAATGTAGTCTTCATCCTGGATGTCGGTACCCAGATTTGTCACTCCTGTGGCTAAGGGGAGAGAGGACATGGGAGAGAGTCACTTGTTCTGCCCACCCTTGCACACATTTCTCCAGCATAAGGTGACCTACTGCCTCAGCTTGCTCAGGACTGAGGGGGTTTGTGGGACACAGACCTTTCCATTTTAAAACAGGGGCAGTTCTGGACAAATCATCCCAGCTTGGCTGTAACTCAGAAGTTTCCTGGGACATAAGATTTCTAGTGTTAAAACCAAGAGAGTTCTGGGCAAACCTGGACAAGTTGGTCCCCTCTACTCCAGACACACTGGCTTCCTTTCTGCTCCTCCAGCAGGCCAAGTCAGTGCCTGCTGTAGTGTCTTTGTATCTGCTGTTACCCCTGTCTGGGATTCCCTTTCTGCAACTCTGTGTGGTGCTCACTCCTCTTCTGTTGAGGAAAGGCTGCTCTCTGGGTGTCCCCGGGTGCTTGGTCTGCTGTACTCAGCACTACATGCTCTGTGAAAATCCCTCCATGCTCTTCATAGAATGAGATCTGTTCTTTCCACCCTTCCCTGCCCACTTCAGTTTCAAATCTCTGAGGATTTTTGATTTTTATTCTCTTCACCACTGAAAGATACATCTCTTTCCCTAAAGCTGTGGCTGGGCTCACACACAGCCAGATAAATCTGATATTAATAATAACCTGAACGAAAAACATGTATTAAATCCCAAGATTATGATGTAGGAAGCAAGGATTCTGAAGAGATGTGTAAGCCTAATAAAGGCCAAAGGGTGTGGATTAAAAGGAAATGTGGGGTGGAGAAACATTTCATGAAATAGAACCCCACCTCTTGGGTGAGTTCATTGGTACAACCTTTCTAGAGGGCAATTGGCAATTGGCCAGTGAAAGTGCCGCATATCTTTTAGTCCTGAATTCCATTTATAGGCATTTATCCCTAGGAAATAGTCAGAAAAATATGCAAAGATGAATCTCTAAAGATGTTTATAAGAAGAAAGTAGGAAGCCTAAATGCTTGCTGGTAGCCTCCTGCCCTTCCTCCGGTGCTCCTCTCTCCCCAGTGGCTGGACACTTGCTACGTTTTCCCAGCCTCCCTTGCAGCAAGCTGTGACCATGTGACCAGATTCTGACCAATGCAAAGTAATGAAAGTGTTGTGTGGCATTTTTTGAAACCTTACATCTATCTTCTGCCTCATTTCTTATTTTTTTGTTTCCTCTCTCCTCCTTGGCCTATGGATGTGATGGTTGGTGCTCTTCCCATCAATTTGTTCTGTGAAGGTGAGATTCACATCCTAGGAAGTGCAGAACAGTTCACTGGAAAAAAAACAGGGTCCCTCAAATTTTGTATACACACTAGACTGTCAAGCTCCAGCTTTGGTTTCTGTGAAAAATACACTTTTGTCTTAGTTGAAGTTAGAGCTCTGCTAGATGAAGCTGACTCACATCCTAACTTGATTAAAACACAAAATTCATTGAATACATTGTGGTACATCCATAAATGCCAGTGCTAAAAAACAATAATGTTGATATGCAGAGTTCTCATTGTCAAGTTGATAAAATATTGTTGAGTGTACACGAGGCGGGTTTACATCTGTATGTATTAAAACCACTATTCCATTTTCATAAGACAAAAAGCACATGTGTGTCTTGTGTGATATGTTTTTATTAGGTTGCTCTATCTAACCATCCATCCATCCACCTATCCATCCATCCATCCATCCATCCATCCATCCAACCATCCATCCATCCACCCATCCGTCCATCCTTCCATTTGGCCATCCATCAATCCATTCATCCACCCATCTATCCATCCATCCAGGTAAGCCATACACCAAAATAACATTGCTCATCTTTAGTTGATTGTGTCAGTGGTGATGTTAAAATTTTTTCTTCAAGTTTTACTTTATATTTGAACCTCTAAGATACCCCCCAAAGTCTCCCTCTCCTGGTATTCATGCCTGTGTGTGACCCCTTCCCCTTGAGTGTAGATGAGGCCTGTGACTTGATCCTAAGCAATAGAATATGGAAAATCAAATGGGATGCCACTCCTGTGGTTATGTCACAGAAGGTCGTGACTTCTGTCTTGCTGCTAGCTGACTCCTTTGCTTCGATGAAGAAGTTGTCATATTGGAAAAATGCTTGTGGCCAGGAACTGAGGGTGACCTCTGGCCAACAGCCTGCAAGGGACTAAAGCCCCCATTCTGAGGCCTACCAGGACCTGACTCCTGCCCAGAGCCATGTGAGCCTGGGAGCAGAACCTTCCCTGGTGGCTTCGTCCGCTGAGCCTCCACCCTTGGCCAACACCTTGATGATCACCTGCAAGACCCCCTGGGGTAGAGGACCCAGTTGAGCCATGCCCAGACTCCTGACCCCTAGAAACTGTGAAATAATAAACATGTGTTGCTCTAAGCTGCTAAGTTTGTGGTAATCTGTGAGGCAGCAGTAAGAAAACTTAACACCTACTTAATCCCAGACACTGAGCTGGGCCTTATAAAAAGGTTCCACTAAAGAGAATAGCTTTGGAAATGCTCTGACATTTGTCACACACAGGCAATTTCAATCGAACACCTCTTATAACCTCTTTTCATGTTTGGGTGGAAAAACAGTGATTAACAAATCCTAGGAAAGTGCGAGGCATTTAAATGGATGTACAATTTCAAGCCTTTCAGAGCCGGCTGAGAGCTGCTGCACTGATGAAAGGGCTGATGATAACTTCTCAGCAGAAAGGTTAACGGGTGTGTGCGATTTTATCTGCAGCAGAGACTGTGAGGAGGTGGAGGGGAGGGGGCTTCAGAATGGTCTTCGGGTTGATGATGGATTGTTCAAAACTGCTCTAGGTGGCTGGGCGCGGTGGCTCATGCCTGTAATCCCAGTACTTTGGGAGGCCGAGGCGGGCGGATTACGAGGTCAGGAGATCAAGACCATCCTGGCTAACACAGTGAAAGCCCGTCTCTACTAAAAATACAAAAAATCAGCCGGGCATGGTGGCGGGTGCCTGTTAGTCCCAGCTACTTGGGAGGCTGAGGCAGGAGAATGGCATGAACCCGGGAGGCAGAGCTTGCAGTGAGCCGAGATCGTGCCACTGCACTCCAGCCTGGGTGACAGAGTGAGACTCCGTCTCATAAATAAATAAATAAAATGCTCTAGGTGTAGAACAAGAGAAGGAATGAGAAGGGGCTCAGAGGAGGCAAATTAGTCACTAGAAAGCCCCAAAGATCAGCCTTCTCTGTCTGCCATTCCCATGTGGTCACCTGGTCTGGCCTCTCTTCTGGTGGATGCCAACAGCCTCCTCAAGGGGCCTCTGGATTCCTCTCTCATACCCTGTTGTAAATTCTCAGTACCGTAGCTAAATGGATGTTTAAAATTTCTCAAGCTACAAATCCTCCCATTACGCTTTGGATGAAATCCCAGACCTGACCATGGGCACTGTGGCCCAGGGTCATGGGGTCCTGCTGGCTCCTCGGGCCCCATCATGACCCGCTTTCTGCTGGGCTTGCTGCAGTGTCCACACGGCCTGCTCTTTATCCACAGACATGGCACTGTCATACCAGTTCCAGCCTGAGTCGCTTTCCCTTTTTCCCCTTCTCATCTTTCACGTCTCTGCTCCAAACCCCCACCCTCAGGAGCCTTTCCCAATTGCTCACACTGACACATGCAACCCCATGACACTTTGGATCACATGAGTCTGCTTCATTCTGCTGCTGTTGGAAATGACTTCTCTGCTTTCTGTCGTCACTTGCTTAGCAACAGTCTTCCCCAGTGACCTGCTGAGCTCAGGGGTGCAAGGAGCTTGTTTTGTTTCCACATCCCCCCTATGCTGAGGGTGCAGCCTGGCACAGAGTAGGCACCAGTCAGCATTTGCCAGATTAATTGTCTGTCTTCAGGATGGGTGGTGGAAGAAGTGAAGGAATCTTTTAAGACGACATTTATACCTAATGAGAGATTCCTGGCGTCGAGGCTGGTTTCAACATGGGGTTTCAACATGGGGTCTGCAGAAGGTGACATGAAGGCCTGCAGGACCCCTTCAGGCCCCCTCAGGCTGATTCTTGGATTAGGAGTGATTGCTGGTTTCCAGACTCGCTGACATCTGACAAGTCGCCATCCCTGGGAGGTTTGCTTGCTCTTTGCCAAAGGATTCCCTTCAAATCTCCGCCTGGCTCTGACCCAGATGAAGGGCACCAGCTGCCCAGCTCGTTCCCTTCTACAGTGATTCACAGCCATGAACACCTCCCAGAGGGGCCTCCTCAGACATCCCTGTCCTGTGGGTCTGGGATCTGATGACCAGGAGGGGAGCAGTTAGGATGACTCCAGTGTCTCTGTCTCTGAATGTCACACATTTGGGTGGGGAGGGAAGGGTAGAGAACCTGGAAAGACCACCGCTGGCCCCATTCCCTGAGGTGCATATGTAAGAAGCACTGCCTAAGTGCCTCCTCCGTGCCAGGCATGGTGCCCGTGCTGGGCTTCATCAGGGCACAGACGTGTTCCCATCTCATGGCACCGGTGGAGGGTGACAGTGAAGACACAAACTCGCAGATGAATTAGACTCTGACCTGCAGCGGTAGGTGCTGTAAAGGAGATAAATGGAGCCTGGGGCTGACAGTGACTCAGCTGGGGGCCACATTAATGAAGTGACCAGGAGGATCTCTCTGAAGAGGTGGCATTTGAGGCCTGGAGGATCAGAAAAAGACAGCTGTGTAAAACTCTGGGGCAGTGTTCCTGGCAGAGGGAAGAGACAGTGCAAACGCCCTGAGGTGGAAAAGGGTTCAGCAAGTTCAAAGGTCAGAGAGAAGGTCTGTTTGGGGTGCCCTGAGGTTGGAGCAGGACAGAGAGGCTGGCAGGGAGCAGTCTTGAGTGCCATGATGAGGAAGGAGGGTTTCGTGCAATGTCATGAGCATCATAGATGTCTGAGCAGGGGGCACTGTGACCTTCACACTCCACAATGAGCTCTCTGGCTGCCACATGGACAACAGGCTGGAAAGGGCAGGAGTGGACCCGGGAGAAAGGATGAGGCTGGTGCAGTAGCAATTATGCCCATCAGGATGGTCAGGGGAAAGAAAAGTAGTGCAAAAACGTCTCTCCTTCTCCTGTAGCCCATGGTTATCTCCTAAACAACTATGCAAAAGATAAACACCCAAACGCTCCAGCAAAACCCAAAACCAAAACCAAAGCAACATCCCCATGGCTTCTGAAGGTAAAGGGTAGAGATGAATATCTATGAAGCATTTACCACCATGTGTTTGAGGAGGAAAAGATAAAAATCTTATGATTTTGTTCCCTTGAGGACCTTAAATATCAAATTGAAAATATACTGTATTTCAAAATGGTGTTTCCCCAAAGAGTGGAGGGGTGCCCACCAAAGATACGTGAGATAGGCCAGGCGTTGTGGCTCTCAGCTGTAATCCTAGCGCTCTGGGAGTCTGAGGCAGGTGGATCACCTGAGGTTAGGAGTTCAAGACCAGCCTGGCCAACGTGGCAAAACTCCGTCTCTACTAAAAATACAAAAATTAGTTGGGCATGGTGGCGGACATCTATAACACCAGCTACCCAGGAGGCTGAGGCAGGAGGATCGCTTGAACCCGGGAGATGGAGGTTGCAGTGAGCCGAGATCGCGCCACTGTACTCCAGCCTGGGTGAAAGAGCGAAACACCGTCTCAAAAAAAAAAAAAAAATGATATGTGAATATGTGAGATGATTTTGGGTGGTTCCTGAACCAGCATGAAACGCTGTGGAATCCCACAGTGTGAAATGTATTCCCTTGCCCAGTGTCTTTCAGTCTCTCTGAGATAGTCATGGAGATAGTTTCAGTTCAATGCTCATGTGACTTCAATACCTCTCTACTGCTTGAGAGAGACAAAGGTGAAACTGCCTTCACACAAATTATAACTGAGGAAATTATGACAGTCAAAGACATCACACCTAACTGACTCTATCTTGCTTCTAACCTTTAAACTGCCCTTGTTCCTTGCTGGGCACAGGCCAAACTAACTTTGAGAAAGAATTCAGTTCATGATTTGACTCAAACAAAATTGGTTATAGCCTTTTCTTGCCTGGGGAGCCGTCTGCCTTTGCAGGACTAACAAATTACAGCCTCTGGCTGCAAGAGTCTGAACCTCCCCAAATTGCTCCTGGGAATAACATCACTGTTGTAAAACCTAAGATCAGCGCTTGAGATATTTTGCAGCCCCTGCACTTGATGGATCAGCTGACACCACCCAGACCGGTCATCTGCCTCAACCAGTTCCGCCGTCCCACCCAGGAACAGAAGACAGCATGAAAACCTCACTTCTACCCCCATGATTCCATCTCCAACCTGACCAATCAGCTCTCCCCACTTTCTGAGCGCCTACTTACCAAATTATCTTTAAGAACTCTGATCCCCGAATGCTCAGGGAGACTGATTTGAGTAACAATAAAGCTCCAGTCTCCCGCACAGCCGGCTCTGCATGGGTTACTTTCTCCATTGCAATTTCCCCTGTCTTGATAAGTCGGCTCAGTCTAGGCAGTGGGCAAGGTGAACCCCTTGGGTGGTTACAAAGGGAGCACAGGTTTCAGGTGCATCGTCTTTAGCAGCCTCTGGCTAGAAAGTAATAACACGGCTCTGTTTTTGTTGTGTGTTTTCATGGATACTCTTCTATTCATGGAAGTGATACTGATTTTTCATTTGCAGTAGTGGAATATCAAAGTTCCTTTAAAAAATTCTAAAAATGTAACTGATTTAGAGATAAATTTTGACTAGATCAGAATATAGATGAGATGCAGCTATTTCGAAAGTCATGACGGAGGCAGATGCAAATCAGATCATGTCACTCACATCTCGGCTCACTGCCCTGAACCTTCCAATGGCTTCTTCCCTCACTCAGAAGCAGATCCACACTCCTGGCTGTGGCCTGGAGAGCCCCACATGATCTGGGCCTCAGGTAGCTCTCAGACCTCCTCTCCTCCCTCTCTGTCACTCCACTGTGGTCACACTGACCTTTCCCAGCGCAGGGACTCTGCACTTGCTGTTTTCTCTGCCTGCACTCTCTTCCTCTAGAAATGTGTATTGCTCATCACTCAGTCCATCCAGCTCTCTACACATTTCTCCTCCTCCTAGCAGCCCTCCAAGACCACCACATCTAATATAATTCCTCCCGTGACTTTCAGGCCCATGGTGTGGTCTCATCCAGGGGTCCCCAACTTCATCCAGAGCATGAAGTGAGGGGATGTGTGCAGGATCAAGTGGCTGGGGTAAAGTAAGTAAAGTAATAATAACTACCAGGTGATATTCACAACCCATATTAGTGCTACCAACAGCCACATCTGCCTGCTTCTCTGGGCCCAGGATTGTCTGCAAGCTCCCGGTCCTAGGTGGGTCAGCAGAAGGGTCTGACATTATGAGAAGGAGCAGCTTGTCCAGCTCATGGCCTGTTCTGTGCACTGGGAGTCCCTGTCCCCCATAGCTGTTCCCCAGGGCCTGATCCCAGGTGGGCTCGGGAGGTCCCAGGGCTGAGCGGCTTCCAGCCAGGGTTCTGCCCTGTGCTGTGTGTCTGTGGGAGTGACACCCCCACCCCCAACCCACCCGCCCTGCCAGCTGCTGGACACACAGCAGCTACAGGGCACGAACTCTGAGACCGGGACCTCTGCGGGTCCCATGGCACAGAGCCCCCTCCTCCCAGCCCGACTGAGAAGGAGGAGACGCGCCTCAGGGTGAATCCTGCCCCCCCCACCCGGCTCACTGCAGGATAAATGGCCTCTGGGTCGAACACCTCACAACGGGATGTGTCTTAGCGTGGAGTTTATCAAATCGCAGGCTGTGACGCATTAGCGGGTCTTGAAATCAATTTAGAGTGTCGAGCCCGGCATTGAAAATCTGCAATAGACCAGAACAGACTAGGTCAGGAGACATCAGCGCATTGTGTGCAGCGGGGGTGAGTGCCGTTTGGGGAAACATGCTGCATTTCTGTGTAAATGGATGTGCGTGTGTGTGCTGGGTGGCAGTTTGCAACGGGTTTCATGCAAGGGGCCGCACTAAAAACGTTAAGAGAATCTCTGTCTCACGGCCTTAGGGTAACACCAAGAAAAATCACCTGGGGGCCGGGCAGGTCTGTGCTCTGTTATTTTGGGGATGAGATTGTAAAGCCTGAAAAACAAAGGCGAAGAGAGCAAGATGGCAGATTAGAGGTCCGGTGACATTTTACCACGACTGGTACGTGGACAGCTCCCCGGGCCTCTCCCCTCATTTCCTCCCTGGTCAACCTGCTCTGGCGTCCACTGTCACTCTGTTTATCCCACGTGCCTGCTCTACCCTGTTCATAGCTGGTCACCATCTGACGTTACCTTCGTGATTTTGGATTTCTCTGCCTCTCGCCTGCCTGCCCTACTGTTATGTCTGCCTTGCCAAGGGAAGGAGCCTTTTCTCTTGATCCCTGATGTGCCCTCGTGCAAGGAGAGTGCTGGCATAGATCTGTGCTCAAGGGCTGAGGAACCCAGACTTACCCCTGGGAAATGGAGCCCGAGCCATTTGTGGGAAAGTCCAGAGTTGCTGGTGGGTGGGGACGGGTCCAAGGCAGGAAGTGAGCAACAGCGAGGTTTCCCCAGAGAGGGGGTCTCCCTCAGTTGAGCTGAGACATGTGGCAGACCCTGTCGAGGTCCCCCTGTCCCCTGGCCCTTCCCCTGCTGTGCTCCTGCCCCCCAACTTGGGCTGCCAGCACCTGTGTCTCCTGCTGCCAGGGTCGGGGCTGCATGGGAGAGACGGAGGTGCTGGGAAATTAATGCTTCCAGGGGATCCCATAGCAGCGCCTGATGGAGTTGGGGGTGGGCCCCAGCCCCTGTGGCCCTTAGATCGATACCTCTGAGGTACGTGTTCTATGCTGTAGGGCCCTGAAAGGCTGTGCTTTGTTTACCACATTGGTAACTTGCTTGTGGTAGGCATGGCCGCCCCTGCCCCAGGCCCATCTCCTGGCTGGCACTGCAAGGCCAGGCTCTATGGGCTTGCAGACCATGCCTGGGCCATTTCCCAGAGAAGGCAGAATGCCATATTGGCTTCCACCTTGCTGACCTCCCTGCCCCGCACCCCAACTGGTATTGCTTGTGATGACCTCCCAGATAAACTACTTGAACTTGAAAGCTTGCCTCAGGGTCTGCTTTGGGGGAAACCAAAACTAAACACTGGATGGAGGGCTTGATTGCGGCCTGTTTGAACATTCCTTGTATATGATTCATGTATTATGTCCAAATGTATGTATGCACGTGAATATTTTCCCTGAGTTGGGGTGGGCTCCCAAGACTGAGAAATGGGTACAAACCAGTGTCAAGCATTTTCCGCGGCCAGGTTGCAAGGCTGCGGCTGTCTCATCCCACAGTCCACGCTGAGGAGTGGAGGGGAATTACACCGCAGGACGAAGAGGTGATGAATGTGCGAGAAATGAGACCAGGAAGGGGAGACGCATGGAAGGCAAACAGAGAGAGGGAGAGGAAGGGACGTGGGGAGGGGTCTGTGACTGTGAGGGAGAGAAAGGGGGTGGGGGGGTTATTTGTGAAGCTCCAAGAGCTGCCTTCCTGCATTGCTGAGTCAGCGCTGCCTAGACTCAGAAACCCTCATTGTCCGTCCATTCAGTGACCCCTTGGAGCTTAAGAGCTCTGTTAGGATCTGAAATGTGTCCAGCAGATCTTTAGAGCCATTCAGTTTTCATCCCATGTAGGACCTGGACACATGTGCATGCAAACGAACATCCTTACACATAGGCACACACATACATACACATGCCCCCATGCACACCACACACATGCATACATGCACTCACACAGGCATTCTCATATGTGTACACACTCACACACATGCACATGCATATGTACACATGCCCATGCAAATATGCATACTCATACATACACAGACACACTCATAGACACATGCTCACACACATAGACACACTCATACATACACTCATACACATGCCCACACACTCATGCATACACACGCTCACACACAGATATACGCTTACATATACACACATGCCCCTGCATACATACATATGCTCTTATACTGACACACTCTTGCACACACACTGACACACGCAGACACCCTCATACATATACTCTTGCACACACATACTACACACAGTCATACAGACACTTACATGTACACTCACACACATGCTCACTCCTATATGCACTCTCCCACACCCACACACGCCCACACACTCACAGACACAGTGAGTCAGGTGTATTTAATATGCAGTTCGTGCCTGTGCCTCCCCCCAGATCCCCATGTGACCTGCTCATCAGAGGAGGCCCAGAGTCTTGGGGGGAACCCTAGTGTCCTCCCACCTGATCTCTATGACAACCCATCCTGACACCGGTTTGTAAGTGTGAAAGCTTCAGGGCCCACACGACCTCCCACGTTAATTCATGCAGATCAGCTGTTCACTACTCAATGCTCCCATGTTATGTGAGGCAACGAGGCACAAAATTGGCATCTGCTGTGGGGTGTGTGTGTGTGTGTGTGTTTGTGTGTATGTGTATAGTGAGCTTGGCTTGAGGTTTGGGGCAAAATAGCGTGAAAGATACAGCCAATAGTAATTGGATTACAGTTGTTGATTGCTTTCAAAGGATTTAACATGGAATATTAATCCCAAAGGTATATTACATCTGGTGAATTATAAAGCATCTCACAGATAGAATGTTGGGTAAAAAGAGAAACAAACACACTTGCAAATTTGATGAACCCTCCCCCGCAGTCCTGAAATTGCTGGTGGATGGCAGATTGCAGTCTGGGTATGAGATAATTGTGAGAATCTGAATGTGTCCCCCAAAGGGCTCCCCAGAGACTGGCACTCATCAGGCCGTGGAAAGCCCAAGGCCTCACACAACAGGTTCTGGGCTCTGCCTTCCTTGAACACAGGGGTGGAGGGGCTGGGGAGAGAGGCAGAGGCTGAGAATGGCTGGAGACAAATGGTTGGATTTGGTTCTTTTTATCTGTAGCAGGGACTCAGACCCAGGCTGTCCTGGCTGCCAGGGAAGTCAAGCAATGCTGGGCGGTACTTCCACACATGGCTACACTGGCTGAAGCAGGGCTGGTCCTGAGGCCAAGACCCCCTCTTCCAGCCCTACATGGGTCCCCTGACCCCCAGGCATTCACATCCCACCATGCAAAGACCCCAATCTCTCTTGTGTGAGGACAGGCATAGTTTCAGGCATCATCCTCCTGCCCTGTGTGGGCGGAGCTGAGCCCCTGAGAGCCAGGAGGGCGGCCCCCTGATACCCGTCTCTCCCACAATGGCTGATGCTCCTCGAAGGGTCACTTCCAAAGAATGCCAGGTGTCAGGCATCAGGTTTTGGCATCTGACGCTCTCCCATCTGCTCCCTGGGACACTCCAGATTACAAAGCAATCATCCTTTGTAAACTCTGACCGAGAACAACTGGCCACTGTCCTTTAATTAGCAGGGGACATGCTAAGCTATGGTCTCCTGCAGGCTCCGTAAATGTCCGTGAAATCAGCCTGGTGACTCCAAGCCTGGTGCAGACTGCAGGGGCCCACAGAGGCCAAGGGGGAGCCCCGCCCCCAGTCTGGCTCTAAAAACAGCCTCCAGGAGAAAATGCCAGGCCGCTGGGACTCATGGCAGCTCCTCAATCCAACAAGTTCTTTCTTGCAAATCACTTATCCCTGCTGAGATCTGGGCTGGCTCTGCACATTCCGGACACCCATTATCTGCTGGTTGGAGCTGCCTGGACACCTCTGAGGGGTGCTCCCATGCAGGAAGGGGCTGCTTCTGAACAACTGGCTACCCCGTTAATGGCACCTTCTCCTCCACTTCTCCTGGCCCTATTAGATGATGGTTATTGCAAGGAGGTCGCAGCGCCAAGCATCCTCTTACACAGCACGTGAGACACCGGGTGTCTGGTGTCTCATGAGAAATTCAAGCCCCATTTCCTCCCGAGACACCGGGATAGGGCCACATCCCTGAGCCCGGGCTATGTGGGACAGGACTGAAATGTGTCTAAGGGGAGGGCCTACTTTACGTCACTCAGGGGTCAGGAGTGCACAGATGGAGATGCCAGTACCCGCCCAAATCCCCCAAAACAGAGAAAGGGAGAGGCTGGGAAGCCCTTCAACCAGAGGCTGAGGACATGGAATCCCCAGGGAGTGCCTGCTGCTCATGGTAGAAGTGGCCAGATCTCGATGCGGCACCTGTAAGAGCCCCCTGCTGCTTCCTGCCCCCAGACCCACTGTCCCCAGAGACCTCTCAGGCTTGCTGAGGAGCATGCATCTCTGTCACTTGCTTTGGGTCCCCTCGGTCACCTCAAAGATAGATGCTTACAGCCCGTGGGTGACCTGCTGTTTCCACCCCCTCCCGATGCCCCTGCCCCACTGGTGTGACCACTGCTCCTGGCTTGCAATGTCTGTGCAGCTATGACAGCCTGAGTTCCTCTCAGGGTGGGTGTCCCTCCTGCAGAAAGCCCGCCCTGTCTCCCAGGCCCCAGCTCTGGTCCTGGGCAGAGGAGGGAAGGACTGGGGTGGTGGCTGATGGATTCTCATGTTGCCTCTTTCCCGTATTCCCCTGGGCTCTTCTCTCAGAACATGCCCCCTGAATCCTGACGGCTCACTGTGTCTCATGTAGGAAGCCCCCAGTGACATCTCGTGCCCTGCACACAAGTCCCTGCAACCTGGGCCCCTCCCCAGCTCTGCTGCCTCACTTTCTCCCCTCCCTCCCTTCCTCCCCACGTCTGACCAGGAATGCAGAGGGCTTGTTGGAGGGAAGCCACGTGTGAGACCCACACAATGCACGAACCCCCGACTGCCCAGACCCTCACCCCATCATCTTCTGTCCTTTCTGCAGTCAACACAGCCCTGGCTGCCACACTGAGCTCTTTTCATGGGGTTATGTCTGAGCAGATGGGCCTGGGAGACAACTCTCTCAGAGCCCTGGAGGGGCTGGGCTGAGCTGGGATGTGTTGTGAATGTAGCAGCCTGGCCTGTGATAGAAACCTCCAGGACCCTTCTGGGAAGGGGAGTCGGGGGCAGGAGAGTACAGGTTAAACAAGGGACGGGCAGGAGCAGACAGCAAGGGTGATTAGTTTTTCTCGAAGTTTTATCACTCTGCTGTTAATTTCCATGTTGCATGCAAAAATGTAGGCACAGGCTCAATTAAAAGTGATGTTCTGGTGCCAACCACACTTTCAATCGCACCCTCTACATGCTGATTTTGACATCTTGGTCGAATCACGGGCTATTGTGCTGCTGTTGTGGAATCCTTGTGTAATTTCCAGAGCTCTCCTACATCTCCAGGCCTTTGGGGAAGAATTGAGACAGGAGTCACCGGCGGCACCCCTCCCCTGAAGTGCTTCTGAACAGTGAGAACGTGAAGATCTCGCCGGTGCTGGGTTGCTTTCTAAGGAATGCAGGCAACAGACACAGTTCAAGGTTTCCAGAGGACCTTGCACTGGGATGTTTGAAATGAAGAATCCAGCAAGACAGGAGCAAAGGAGCTCACAATGAAGGGAAATGTGGACGAGGCTAGAGGCCTGGAAGGTGGCAGTTACTGGGGTCTGTCACTTGTGTAATCAAATAGCGATGGGGAGGATCCCAACAAAGTCCCTTGGGACCAGAACACAGGAGCATGGCTCCCTTCTTAGCTGTGGCTGGCAGATCAAGGCTGAAGAGGTCTCAGTGGTTTATCTCCCGGCCCCAGTGATGACTGTGATGAGTGTGGATGGGTCTCCCTCCACCACTTTTGAGGTTCTGCCTGCAAATCTTACCAGTCTCAAGAATTTCAGGCCGTCCTTGTCCTGGGCGATGACAATAAGTTGAACGATCATGACTCACATTCACGTGATGCTATGTTACATGAATATGTGGATGGATGGACTCAGGAAATGTATTCCTTACAGTTACTCTATGATGACTATCGTCATTCTACAGATGAGGAAACAGGCCTAGACAGGTTAAAAAACTTGCTCAAGGTCACGTAACAGGTAAGTGGTTGGCGTGCCTGTGTGGCAGTGCCACCGGGTGGTCATGAGCACAGCCTCAGGGGCCATCTCATGCCCCCTGCTCCTGTGGCTTCCTGTGTTCAGTGCACAGGTTGGATGGGGCCGCCTTGGCGGTTTCTTCCAGCATCTTCCAGGGGCAGCGCCTCCCGCTCATCCTGCAGGTGTTTGTTGAACAATGCTTGTGCCAGGCATGGTTCCAGGTACTAGGGATGCAGATGCAGCTGTGCCCCAGTTCCTGCCCCCATGGACCTGACACTCGCAGTCAAAGACACGCAACAAGCAAGAAGTCAAAGCGACACTCAAGATGACTTTGGACAGTGAAATGTGCTAGAAAGAAACTTAACCAGGCTGAAGTGGTGGAGCGACGACCGGTGGGGACTCAGTAAATGAGGGGAGGACATTTGACCTGAGTCCTGAAGGAGGAGGTGGAGGAGATCTTGAGACAGGTCTTGGGGGGTGACTTCCAGCAAAGACAGCAGCTAAGCTGAAATCTGAATCACAGCCAACCTCACCCTTCCTGATGGACACTGCAGGACCCAAGGAAAAACTGACTTCAAGCCCTGCCCCCATAAAGATGTCCTTGCAGTTGGAACCTGGGACACATTTCAAGGGCCACATGGTGTAGTGAAGTGTGTGGACCCCATCAGCACCAGGCTTCCTGGGTTGAAATCTCAGCTCTATCACTGACACATTAACTTAATTAGCCTTTCTGGGCCTGTTTCTGCGTTTATGAATGGGGATGATTATGGAACTATTGTGAGGAACAAATGAATAAATCCTCATGCAGCGTTTAAGCACACAGCAGCGTGGAGTGTGAGTGACTGCACACCATGTTAGCAGATGTCCTTGGAGGTCAGAGCAGCCGCTTTTAAACCAACCCACAATTACACTGGACCTCTAGGGCATCTCTGATGATTAAATGGCTTCTTTTCAGAAGGAGCAGGGAAATGACTGCTCAGACATGGAAACATCTGTGTTCTGTCCTGACAATAAATGATATTCCAGAAAAACTGAGGCTTGCTCTGCTTCCTTGGACTGAGGATGGCAAATGTCTGGCTTGTCTCCCCTTTACACTTAATCCTAAGTAACGTGGGGCTGTGGGAGAGATGCTTGGGTTGGGTCCATGAACCACAGGCTCTGATATGGTTTGGCTGTGTCCCCACTCAAATCTTATCTTGAATTGTAGCTCCCGTAATTCCCATAAATTGTGGGAGGGACCAGGTGGGAGATAATTGAATCATGGGGGTGGTTCTTGTGGTAGTGAATAAGATAAAACCATCACAAGATCTGATGGTTTTATAAGGGCTTTCCCCTTTTGCTGCTCTCATTCTCTCTTGTCTGCCACCATGTAAGACATGCCTTTCATCCTCTGCCATGATTGTGAGGCCCCCCCCCAGCCATGTGGAACTGTGAGTTCATTAAACCTCCTTTTCTTTATAAATTAGTCTCAGGTATGTCTTTATCAGCAGTGTGAAAATGGACTAATACAGGCTCTAAGAAGAGGAAGGACTCTGGGGACTATTGTCATGGTTATGTGTCAGGGCCCTGAGGCCAGTCACTCTGGGTTCAAATCCCAAGCCCACCAGGGACCCTGGTTTGTGACTTTGAACAAGTTTCTCAGCCTGTCTAAGCCTCAGTTCTTGCTGGAAGGTCATGGATTTCGTGGTGTAATGAACACACGTGACACAGGTCATCACGGAAACTTCTGACCTCCCAGCAAGAGTGAAGCCATCTGTGCTCAAGACTTGGCTCAGTCTCCACTGAGTCCACTTCATGCCGACACCCCCAAATCAGCAAACCAGGGCGCTGTGCCCCTCAGACAGACACTGAGATGGAAAAGACCCTCTTTCACACACTCCTGTGGTTGGGGTGGAGCGCTGAACATAGACAAGGGTGGAGGGGATGTTTGCCGATCCCCAGCCAGGACAGCGTTTCAATCTGCGTGTTTCCTTCTGTGCTCTCCTTCTGGAGAAACCTTGACATTTCACTTTTTTTTCTCTTTTAGTCTGAGGGGCGGTGGGCCATGGGCTGTGTTGGAATAAAAGCCCTTGGAAGAGTTGCTTCCCCCAGCCAGATTGCAGTGTCAGGAGTGTCAGGTCCATGGGGCAGGGACTGGGGCCCAGCTGCATCCCTAGCACCTGGAACTGTGCCTGGCACTGAGCATTGCTCAAAAAACACCTGCAGGATGAGCAGGACGCACTGCCCCTGGAGGGTGCTGGAAGGAACTGCCAAGGTGGCGCCATCCAACCTGCTCGATGGACATGGCTCCTTAGGAACTGACAGCCAAACACATTAACAACCGAGAGTCAGAAGTTACAGTGGGAAGGTTTTCTCTCAGGATAGAAGTGTGGAGAGTTTGTGCCCGTGAAATCTTGGTAGGGAGTCTTTTGTCAAAAACCCAATTGAGGCCGGGCGCGGTGGCTCACACCTGTAATCCCAGCACTTTGGGAGGCCGAGGTGGGCGGATCATGAGGTCAGGAGATCGAGACCATCCTGGCTAACACGGTGAAACCCTGTCTCTACTAAAAATACAAAAAAATTAGCCGGGCGAGGTGGCGGGCGCCTGTAGTCCCAGCTACTTGGGAGGCTGAGGCAGGAGAATGGCATGAACCCTGGGGGACGGAGCCTGCAGTGAGCTGAGATTGCGCCACTGTACTCCAGCCTGGGTGACAGTGAGACTCCGTCTCAAAAAAACAAAAACGAAAACAAAAACAAAAAACAAATTGAATGCCCTCAACCTACCTGTTGCTGTAACTGCAGAGGTGCCTGGAGATAGTTCAGGTGGCAGATGCCATGTGGCAGACAGACGCTGTGTGGCAGATACTGCATGATGCTGGGCGAAGCTGTGTTTTTGGTGGCAGTGGGCACAGCAGGACCCTCCACACTGGGAGCTGGGCTGTGGGACCCCCAGGTCTGGTGCTCTGACCTCTCAGCTGTCAACCTCCAGAGAGTCTCTCAGCCTTGCCAAGTCCCCATCGTCTCAGCTTTGCAAGGAGAAGCATGATCCTATCTTGCCACCTCCCAGGGTTGTTGGGGGAATCATCTAAATAATCAGATATAAAAATGCGTTTGTGGTGTGTGAGGTTGCTTTATAACTAAAATTATTCAAAAAATCTGACATCAAGTGTCCAATTCATGACTCATTTTCATACCAGTTTTCAGGTAAATTATTGCAAAAGCAGCTCCTAAGGGACTGTAGTCCCTTACACTGTGTGGTTTTAAGTGCTTTGTCCATGATCTTTAGTAAGAAATGTATTTTGCATCACAAGCCATTATGCACTCATATTTATATTTTGAAGACAAAATATGAACACTTCTTACTTTTGCCATCTGATAATATCCCATCCCCTCCCACCCATCCCATGCCATCCATCTCATCTCATCCCATCGCATCCCACCCCATCCAATCCCATCCCACCCCACCCCATCCCATCCCATCCCACCCCACCCCACCCCATCCCATCCCATCCATCCCATCCCATCCATCCATCCCATCCCATCCATCCATCCATCCCATCCACCCCATCCCATCCCATCCCATCCATCCATCCCATCCCATCCATCCATCCATCCCATCCCATCCATCCCATCCATCTCATCCCACCCCATCCATCCCATCCCATCCCATCCATCCATTCCATCCATCCCATCCCATCCCATCCCATCCATCCATTGCATCCATCCCATCCCATCCATCCATCCCATCCCATCCATCCCATCCCATCCATCCATTCCATCCCATCCATCCATCCCATCCATCCATCCCATCCCACCCCATCCAATCCCATCCCATCCCATCCATCCCATTCCATCCCATCCATCCCATCCATCCCATCCCATCCATCCCATCCCATCCATCCCATCCCATCCATCCATCCCATCCCATCCATTCCATCCCATCTCACCCCATCCATCCTATCCCATCCCATCCATCCATCCCATCCATCCATCCCATCCCATCCCATCCCATCCCACCCCATCCATCCATCCATCCCATCCCATCCATCCCATCCCATACCATCATGCTCCACTCCACTCCTTCCTATTCCACTTATCCCAGCTTAAAAATACTGTTCAAGATGCACTAAATAGATTTAAGGACCCACAGATAGCCCACTGCCTGCAGATTTAACGCCACTGCCTTATCACTGAGCATATTCTCATGGCTTTTGCTGCAGTGGGTGACTTTTCTCTGTTGCCCAGAGAGGAGGAGTGAGCTCCCTGAGTCCAGGGCAGCGCCCTTTATTCTTCTTGTATTACCCATCAGGCATAGTGCCTGGCATGGAGTAAGTGCTCCAAGAACGTCTGCTGGCTGGGTACCATGAATCCCTCTCTCCTTTTCTCACATTTTGTTATAACTGTCTCAGTTTAGGATACTGAATGCCTTCCCTTCTCTTTGCAGAAATAGTGAAGATTTAATGAGATTCTTTGACAGGTGTGAGAGCTTAGAACTAAATGGGTTGGCACCCTGTGGAGAGCCCTGCCCAGCTAGTAATGCTGTTGGGAGCATGTCTCCTCCTTCCCCCACTTAGTTTTAAAGGCATTTTTTAAGTGTCAGATTTGCATGCAAACCCATGTGAGTGGGAAGGGGTGAGGGTGTTTTATGCTGTCACAGTGGTTAGGGAAAGAAGTGATCTACTGACCTCTATTGAGCATGAGCCAGGGACATGAAATGTTCTGCAGTATCTCAGACAGTTCCACACAATGAAAATTGCCCTGCACGAAATGCCAAAGGCACCCACAATTGAGATGCTCTGAGTGCGACTCGAAGTGTCAAAGTCAACTCTAGAATAGAAGAGGTCACAGGAGAGTTTGTTTCATCTCCTCCCACTCCTATTTTATTTCTTTGCAAATATCAGAATCAGTAAGGCTTACATCCAGGGAGGCTGGCCCTGGGACAACTGGTAGGCATGTTTTGGAGAACTGCCTGGCCCTGATATGCCAGCCAGATTCGGCTCCAGGAGAGGCACATCCCCACAGATTCAAGCTCCTGGCGTCCCTGGTGGATAGAATGCACTGTGGCTCTAACTACCGTGGAGGGAGGGAGCCACGCTCCTTCGGCTGCAGTCACACCTCAGCATGCCTTTCTAAGTTCTAATCACTGCCCAGCCACAGAAAATGTGTCCCCTCCCTGTGCACAGTTCTGGGGCTCTGAGCTCCCTGGGAACCATCTCCCAGGAATGAGGGAATGCAAAGCTCAGACCCTGCTGCCCTCTTCCCACCATGGGCTGGGCTTTGAGGGCAGGTGGATTGGCTCCTCCTTTCAGTGCCAAAGCCAGGAAGTCCCAGGCAAACCAGGGCCACTTGGTCACCCTGTTCTGCACAAAGCCCCCTGAGCTGGGGTGTGGCTGAATGGAGTGAGCCAGCTGGATCTTCATAGCCAGAGTAAAGAATTCCATTCCAGGCTGGGCACAGTGGCTCACACCTGTAATCCCAGCACTTTGGGAGGCTGAGGCGGGAGGATCACCTGAGGTCAGGAGTTCGAGACCAGCCTGGCCAATGTGGTGAAACCCCATCTCTACTAAAAGTACAAAAATTAGCTGGGCGTGGTGGTGCACGCCTGTAGTCCCAGCTACTCCGGAGGCTGAGGCAGAAGAATCGCTTGAACCCAGGAGGTGGAGGTTGCTGTGAGCCGAGAACATGCCACTCCAGCCTGGGCAAAAGAGCGAAATTCTGTCTCAAATAATAATAATAATAAAGATTTAAAAAAATTAAAATTCCATCCAGACAGGATGGGGAGACACTGAAGGAATGGAGCAGGGTGTCATGCTTGTGACTTGCTCTCTTAAACAGCCCCTGGCATCAGTATGGTGAACCAATCCTAATGAAGACAGAGTGAGTACCTGGAGACCAGTGGGGCTTGTTGCATTCATCCAGGTGAATGAGGCTGGTGGCTTGGATGAGGGAGGTTGTAGGGGATGTTGTGGTTGCCACCTGATCTTCCCTTTGGGACTTGGTGCCCATTGCCCCAGGAGCCAGGAGTGTTGGCTGCAGACAGCTCACAGCAGTGTCCCTCGCCAGGAGTTGCCAACCTATAAAGGAAGCTGCCATGACCTAGGCTGCGACCTCTCCCTAGAGGCAGCCAGCATCCCACAACTGGGTGACTCAGGAGTGCAAAGACTCAGCCCCTGTCCTCAACCATGCATAAGTCTGAAAGGCCATCCCACTGCCAGGTCCGGTGGATCTGCTGAGGCCTTAGTTGTAACTGCCGCCTCTCCCTCCTCCCTCCCCTGCCTCCTCAGCATCCTCACACATGCTATGCTGGAGACACCTCAGTAAACTATCCACTCACCAATTCCATGTCAACCACTGGGTCCTGGTAAACCCCATCTGCAGGGAAAGCCGTGAGAACGTACAGACACACACAGACACACACACTCACTGAAGTACAATCTACACAGAGCAAAATGCACAAATCTTAAATGCACAGCTTGCTGAATTTTAAAATATATACTCATCTTTGTAATTCAGAAGATTTCCTTTGCTACTAAAAAAATCCCCTTGTGGCCTTTTGCAGTAAATAATACCCCCAAGATAACTACACTCCGACTTCCCTAATACTTGATGATTGTAGGTTAATTTTTTGTTCATTCTTGAGCTTCATATAAATTTCATCATAAGTAGGCACTCTTTTGCCCACCTATGCTTTGAGATTCCCCATGTTGTTGGGTTCATGGACTGTTTGTTCTTTTTCACTTCTGTTTCAAGTCTGTTTCTTGTAAACAGCTTGTAGTTGGGTTTAGGTCTTCATTGGTTTTCTTATTTTAATCTTGTGTGCTGATCTCTGCCTTTTAAGTGAAGGATTTAGTTCATCTCACCTAATCTTTGTTCTTTTGGTCTTCCTTTTCTGTCTCTGATTAATCAAGTGTTTTTCATTACTCCATTGTATTTCCTCTGTTGTCTTTGCATCTATACGTTCCTAATTTGTTGCAATTAATCTTCAATTAGTACCATACTTATTCATGTGCCTAATAAGAACTTTACGACAGTATAATTCCATTTTCCACTCTTGTCTGTTCTATTATTGTCATATGTTTTCCTCTACATATGTAATAAAACTTACAATACATTGTCGTTCTTGTTACTTTAGATCAGTGCTTTTTAATGCAAGTAGTGTTTTCTATTCAGCCACATAGTTATCCTCTTGCTGTTCTTCATTCCTTCTGTGGACTGTGGATGTGTGCTTTCGTCTGAGATCATTTTGCCTAAGTCTGAAGAACTTTCTTTATAATTTCTTAATAGGGTAGATCTGTTGGTATCAAATTCTCTCAGATTTTATTTGTTTGAAAAATATCTTTATTTCAACTTCTTTTTTTTTCTTTTTTTGAATTTATTTTTTATTTTTTGAGACGGAGTGTTGCTCTCGTTGCCCAGGCTGGAGTGCAATGGCGCGATCTCGGCTCACTGCAACCTCCGCCTCCTGGATTCAAGTGATTCTCCTGCCTCAGCCTCCCAAGTAGCTGGGATTACAGGTATGTGCCACCATGCCCAGCTAATTTTGTATTTTTTAGTAGAGACGGGGTTTCTCCATGTTGGTTAGTCTGGTCTCAAACTCCTGACCTCAGGTGATCCACCCACCTCAGCCTCCCAAACTGCTGGGATTATAGGCATGAACCGCTGTGCCTGGCCTCAACTTCATTTTTGAAGATTATTTATACCGGATATAGAAATCCAAGTTGGCAGTATGTTTTTATTAATCCCCTAGCACTTTTGTTACTTTAGTAAAAGGAGCTTGTTGCGTAATGCGTTAGAAGTCAATATTATGTCACAGGTTTTTGAGAAAATAGAGGTTTTATATTGAAAGTCAACTCCCAAGAAGATAGGAGTCGGATTCAAATCTGTCTTCTTGTGCCAACCTCAAGGCAGTATTTTCATTAGGAAATACAGTGGGTGGATTTCAAGATTAGTAAGTGTTGGTAAAGAAAACGGGAGGTCTGGAAAATCCTTGGGCGTGTGTAGTTTTCTTTTATGTTAACTCACGGGTAGCACGTGTAAATTTGGAGAAGAGTTAGTGTGAAACATGGTGGAAATTTAGGCTGTGACATCAGCAAGCGCATCTGTGTAAACTCTAGCTGGCCATCTTGGTTCTAACTGATGTTAGCCGGTTTTAAAATTTTATAAGTGGAGGGAGTTTCAGCATTTCAGGAAGTTGTTTTTTCTTCTTATCTGTTATCTTGAAAACTCAATTTTCTTTTTCTTTTTTTTTGAGACAGAGTCTCACACCCTGTTGTCCTGGCTGGAATGTAGTGGCGTGATCTCTGCTCACTGCAACCTCTGCCTCCTGGGTTCAAACGATTCTTCTGCCTCAGCCTCCTGAGTAGCTGGGTTTATAGGTGGGTGCCACCACGCCTGGCTAATTTTTGTATTATTTGGTAGAGATAGGGTTTTGCTATGTTGGCTAGGCTGGTCTCGAACTCCTAGCCTCAAGTGACCTTCCTTCCTCAGCCTCCTGAAGTGCTGGGATTACAGGCATGATCCACTGCATCCAGTCAAGAATTTTTGTTAGTTACTTGTTACTTACTCTTTAAGAGCACAGTTTCAGTTTTTGTTTTTTTTAAATCTGTTTTAAAAATCAGATATTTTGTTTGTTTGTTTTAAAAATCTGTTATCCTGTAAGCCCAAGAATTTAGTCATTGGCTTCTTTAACCCTTTGGGACAGACACAGTTTTACTTTGAAAATACAATTTTTATCCTTATGATTTCCATGATTTCTGAGAGAAGTCACCCATCATTCTGATTGTTCTGATGTATAGGATATATTTTCTTTAGCTGTCTTAAAGATTTTCTCCGTATCTTTGATTTTTAGAAGTTTGATTGTAATGTACCTAAATGTAACTTCCTTTGTATTTCTCCTACTCAGCATTCACAGAGCTTCTTGTTTTTTTTTTTTTTAATTGTTTTGTTTTAGACAAGGTCTTGCTTCATCCCCAGGCTGGAGTGCAGTGGTACAATCTCGGTTTGCTGCAGCCTCTGCCTCCCAGGTTCAAGTGATTCTCCTGCTTCAGCTTCCTGAGTAGCTGGGCTTACAGGCATGCACCACCACCCTTGGTTAATTTTTTATTTTTTGTAGAGATGGGGGTTTGCCATGTTGGCCAAGCTGGTCTCGAACTCCCGACCTCAAGTGATCCACCCACCTCAGCCTTCAAAAATGCTGGGATTACAGGTGTGAACCACCATGCCAGGCCATAGAGCTTCTTGAATCTGTGGCTTAATGTCTTTAATCAATTCTGGGGAAATTTCAGCCATTTTAACTGTCAATATTGTTTATTCTCTATTGCCTCTTTTCTTTCCTTCTGAATCTCCAATTATACATATGTTTGACTGTTTGATGTTGCTCTACACTTCTTTCTTTTTCCACTTCAGTTAGATAATTATTATCAACTTGACTTTGGATTTACTGATTCTTCTTTTAAGTCTGGTCTACTATTATGTTCACCCAAGAGATTCTAATTTCAGATATTGAATTTTTTAGTTCTAGAATTTCCTTTTGGTTCCATTTCAGAGTTCTTAATTTTTTTGTTGAAATTCTCCATCTTTATATTTATTCTGTCTTTTCCTCTAAATTATTATTATTATTATTATTTGAGACAGAGTCTTGCTGTGTTGCCAGACTGATCTCAAACTCTGGGGCTCAAGCAATCCTCCCACCTTGGCCTCCTGAGTAGCCGGGATTATAGGCATGTACCACCATGCCCAACTCTTCTATATTCTTTAAAATGGTTATGACTTTGATGTTAAAGTCCTTTTGGTATTTTCAGACCCTTTATAACTGTGGTTAAGAGCACAGATTTTGTTGCAGACTGCCTAGGTTCAAATTCTGGCTCTTGAATTTACTAGGTGAGTGATTTAGGAAAAGCTAATTCTCTGATAATCAGTTTTCTCATCAGTAAGAAATAGATGATGATAATAGCTACCCAACAGATTTTCTGTGGAGATTAAATGAGTCATGGGAAATAAGTAATTGTCAAAACAATGTACTGAACAAATTAATATTTTAGTGTTAGCTGCTATTATTATTAACATTTATGTATTGAGCTTGCCTAGGGATTTATACGGACTTCCAGAGTACCAGAATCCAACCAAAGTGGACACACTTTCTTCATTTCCAACATTTCCAAAGGAATTTACTGTTGCTTTCACTTACATTTTTTGGGTTTGTAGTGACATGGAGTATCTTTTCTCACCTAGGGTTCACCATTGGTTTCCCCCAAAACCAGTCTGGGCCCTGATTTACTTCCAGATTCCCTGATGGAGCCAACTTACTCATCTCTCTCTTTAGGATAAAAACAGGCCCCCGATGCAATATCTTCAGAGCCGCCAAGATTATCAGTTTCTTTTGGTGTTTCAATCCCTGCTCCTCCTGGAGGTCTTTCAGTAGCCAATATTTCTTGAGTGGCTCCTGTGGGCCAGGACATGCTCTTTGTTCTGGAGTGTGGCTGGAACAAAACAGAGCTTCTGCTTTATGAAGCCCCTGCCCTTCCAGCCTGACCGCCCCCTTCCTTGGTGCTGCCCTAACCTCCATCGTGGCCTTCATGGTAGGACCTGTCACAGCCTGATATTTTTTGTTCATTTCCCCTGATAGACATGAGTTCTTTGAGTCCAGGACTGGATCATGCTGTTCTGGATCTTCAGTGCCCAGAACAGAGGGCCTGTATTTCACAAGTGCTCATCAGGTGCTTGAGGAGTGAACTGAAGCATTAGCAAAGGTGCAAGATTTTAGGAGAGTGATGGTCTAAAATCCTCGAGGCAGGTAAAACTGAAGTGCACTTTCTCATCCAACAAGACTGCATTGAGCACTCATTTGGTGCTTATTATGATGCTAGTTTAGTACAAGGACTCTCTACCAACGCCAATTGTAGAACCTAGGGAATATCAGCAATATTTACAGACAGTTTTGGTTGTAACAACTGTGTGTGTGTGTGTGTGTGTGTGTGTGTGTGTGTGTGCATGCACATGCATCCATACCTGCTACTGGCATCCAGTGGATAAAGTCCAAGGATGCTAGTAAATATCCTGCAATGTAAAAGCCAACTCCCAGCAGCAAAGAATTATCTGGATAAAAAATGTCAGTAGTGCTGAGGCTGAGAAGCTCTGGGGTTATTCTAGTGGTTGACCCCCTCAACCTCATCATTTCACTAGAGATCAGATACACACAAAAGAAATGGAACAAAGCAACACATCCCTAAAAAGATGAGTGATACCACATTTCATTGATGAGGGAATACATTCATTCAACAAATATCTATTGAGTGCCTCTTTCACACCAGCTACCGGGCTAGGTAGCTGAATGTTTGTCTGAATGTTTGTGGTCTGAATGTTTGTGTTCCTGCAAAACTCATGTGTTGAAACCTAATTAGCAATGTGAGGATATTACAGGTGGGGCCTTTGGGAGGTGATTACATCAAGAGGGCAGAGCCCTCAAGAATGGGATTAGTGCTCTTATAAAAGAGGCCCTGGAAAATTGCCTTGCCCCTTCTGTCGTTTGAGGACACAGGAAGAAGGTGCCATCTATGAATCAGAAAGCAGGCCCTCACCAGACACCAAATCTGATACTGCCTTGATCTTGGCCTTCTCAGCCTCCAGAACTGTGGGAAATGAATTCCTGTTGTGTATAAGGTACCGGTTTATGGTATTCTGTTATAACAGCCTAAATGGACTAAGAGACTAGGTTATAAGCAAACAGCAGTGAACAACCTAGATGAGGTTCATCTGTTTCAAGGAATTTCAATCTACTAGGACCAGAATCTTCGAAGGACCAGAACTGAGGCCAGCGTTCCTGGGGTATATGGAGTGGGGAGTGTGGTGGGAACATGGAGAAATTTCACAAACTGTTGACTGGGACAGAAAGAGAGGGGAGTAGAAAGAGAGGGGAATAGTGATATTTGCTTCCTGCAGCCACAATGAGGTTTTTGCTTCTTAATCCTTTCTCTCCTTTTTTGATCCACTCTTATTATCAGGGGATAGGAGAATTTTCTCATGGACACCCCAAGGAGCCTGTTCTCTGTAGCCAGTTTCCGTCTGTGGCACCGTTCTTTACTTAACAGAGGCTAAGTGCAGACACATCAGCAAAGCCCTGAGTCAGATAAAAGATTTAGAGAGAGCTTTAGCTTTAGATCAAATGGAGCTGATGATCCACATTATATAAAGACATACATTCTTTCTCTTAAAGAACTAAGGCACAAAACTGAAAGTTTAATATTTAAAACAGGTAAACAAAACCTAATCTCTCTATAAAAACCAGAGATCCCGAGGGAATAAGGATTTACTATCTTCGGTCTTCAGTGGTAATTTCCACGTTGCCTTTTGTTTGCATAATACATTACACCTCACAAAACACTTTCCTCTTTTTCAAAGCATTGACGTGTTACGCATCTTTACAATTCTTTTCTCAATCAAACAACAATAACAAGATACCCACAAATACCAGCCCCACCGACTTCCTCATAATCGTATTTTTTCCCTGCCTCTAATGTCATTGTCTTCTTTCCCATAGTACAGCGGTCCTCAACTTTTTTGGCACCAAGGACCAGTTTCATGGAAGACAATTTTTCCATGGACTGGAGTAGGGGGGATAGTTTCAGGATGAAACTGTTCCACCTCAGATCATCAGGCATTAGGTTCTTCTAAGGAGGACACAACCTAGATCCCTCGCTTGCGCAATTCACAATAGGGTTCACGTTCCTATGAGCATTTAATGCCGCCGCTGATCTGACAGGAGGCAGAGGTCAGGTGGTAATGCTCACTGGCCCGCCACTCACCTCCTGCTGTGTAGCCCTGTTCCTAACAGGCCATGGACTGGTACTGGCCCGTGGCCCAGGGGTTGGGGACTCCTGCTACAGTGTGTTGAATACACAAGTTTCCTACCTGTCTCATTCACAGAATGTCATGGGGTCAGCTGTCGCTTCTGTCTGCAGAGCATCTGTTCCTTCTTCTCCTGGAAGCCCGGTCCTGATTTTATTTTTGGCGACCTCTCCTATTGCCCCTTCACTCTATATGGAAGAATTGGCCCTACTCCTCTCCAGTTCCAGATATAGGCTCATGATCCAATGATCCAGGTCTGGCCAATCAGTATATTCTACTCCCCACTTCTCCTTGGCCAGAGTGACTCACTAACCATCACATGATCCAATTCAGGTCAATAAAAGCTAGTGGGAAAAATAACCTGGGATCTGTTACTGTCAGGATGTAAAACTGGACCAGCAAACAGAGAGGGACTTGCCTGTGTGTGTGTGTAGAATGCAGAAAACAGTGCAAGTAATGGAGCCTTGAAGACAGGATTTGAGCTACTGGATCCAGCCATGCCTGAAACCCCTCACCCCAAACTATTTTTTTTTCCAAGATGGAGTCTTGCTCTGTCACCCAGGCGGGAGTGCAGTGGCACAATCTTGGCTCACTGCAACCTCCACCTTCCGGGTTCAAGCAATTCTCCTGCCTCAGCCTCTCAAGCAGCTGGGATTACAGACACATGCCACCGTGCCAAGCTAATTTTTGTATTTTTAGTAGAGATGGGGTTTCACCATTGTTGGCCAGGCTGGTCTCGAACTTTGCCCAGCTTGGCCTCCCAAAGTGCTGGGATTATAGGCGTGAGCCACCACACCTGGCCACCAAACTATTAATTATGCAAACCACATATGAATTTTTTGTGTATGCCTATTTGAGTTGGATTTCAGTGACCTGCTGTTCTTAAGGGGCTTTTTGCCCAAAAGAGAATTTGCACCTTTAGGATGGGTAGGGGGTATCTTTGCAACTAAAATCCCAAGCCTTCTAAAAACAATGCCCTCTGATGGTCTCTGGTGAGAGGCAGTGTCTGTATTTTAGGGACATCACTCAGGGAGAAAGCACCAGATGGGTTGTGGAGAAAGCACAAAGGAGACATTCAAGCGATAGGCACCATAGGCAGCCAGGAGAGGAAAAGATCTCAGAGGAGCTGGCATGCAGGGAAGGCTTCTTGGAGGGGGTAAAGCATGAGCTGGGTCTCAAAGGATTCACACGAGCAAGATGAGGGGTGGGGGACATGGCAGGTGGGAGAAACCCATGAGCATGAGGTGGTTAGTTCAGGGGATGCTGAGAAAACGTCTGGCAAAAATATGGATGTTTTAGATAGTAGTCATGCTGGGAGCAAGACTGGCTCAGAGAGTCAATATTCTTTTTTTTCCAAACTAATTTAGAATTTATCCTGTGGGTCAGGACTTTTCAGACTTTAATAATCCGTTTACTACCACCATCATTTGTCCCTACCTGCCTTCCATTTGGATATTAATTTACTTATTATATTTATTTGAATGGATTCCATTTTCTTTACTTCACCTACAGCTGCATCCTAAGCATAAATATTTGTGAAGACATGAGTTTCATTTTCCGACTACTCTTTACCCTGAAACTGATAAAATAAACATGGGCCTTTAAAAAGATGTTCATCTGGGTTATCCTGGAAATCATCTTGTGTATTCTCAGGGTCTGCTTTGGGCCAGATTGCTGGGGTGAGGAGAGGCATGGAAGGCTTTTGATCAAGGGAAGGAACATGCTGGAAAATGCTGTTGTTTTAGTGAACTCCACAGCAGAAGAGCAAACCTCATGGGGGCTTGGCAGAGGAGACAGAGTCAGGGTTGGGTTGGGGTTTGCAATAGTCAGCAGAGTGGCAAGGAATGTGCTTTAGCAGAGGTGTGGAAATGTGGAATGGGAGGAGAATCCAATAGGATAGGAAAGAAGAATTGTTGGGATCATTACTGCTTGGATAGACAGAAAGCTAGAACGTGATGAGAGGAATATGCCAAGAAAAAACAGGGCTGCTGAATTTGTGGTAATTTTTAAATTAATTAATTAATTAATTAATTTTTTTTTGAGATAGGGTCTCCCTCTGTCGCCCAGGCTGGAGTGCAGTGGCAGGATCTCTGTTCACTGCAACCTCCGCCACCCAGGTTCAAGCAATTCTCCTGCCTCAGCCTCCCGAGTTGCTGGGATTACAGGTACGTGCCACCATGGCTGGCTACTTTTGTATTTTTAGTAGAGACGGGGTTTCGCCATGTTGGCCAGGCTGGTCTCAAACTCCTGACCTCAGGTGATTCATCCACCTCAACCTCCCAATGTCCTGGGATTATAGGCGTGAACCACTGTGCCTGTCCCTGCAGTAATTTATTATGACAGCAAATAGGAAACTAACATAACACCCCAGATTGTCCCCCTCTACAAAGGAAATCCTTTTTCACCATCTCAAAAGAGGAAAAGAGTTAGGACCTTGCAGTGACTTCAGCAGTAGCCCCTAAAAAGACATGTCCACATCCTAATGCTTGGAGCCTAAAATATCACCTTGTATGGCAAAAGAGTGACCATTACCTTATGTGGCAAATAGTGTGATTAAGTTAAGAATCTTGGGGAGTTGATTCTGAACTATCCAGGCAGGCTGTAAGTGCTAGCACACATGTCCTTACAAGAGAAAGACAGAGGGAGATCAGACAGCTGGTCACAAGAGGAGGAGGCAATGTGACCACAAAGGTAGAGATTGAAGGGATGTGGCCACAAGCCAAGGAATGCCAACGGCCACCTGCAGCTAGAGGAAGCAAGGAATGCATTTTCCCCTAGAGTCTCTGAGAACTGGAGAGACTTGCACTAGGAACTCAAAATTAGGATTAATTTATTATTTTCTTGATGTCAAATCTCATTTTAAAATGTACAACCATGTGAACCATAGCTTATTAAAAGAATTCTGGCCAGGTGTGGTGGCTCATGCCTGTAATCCCAGCACTTTGGAAAGCCAAGATGGGAGGTTCGCTTGAGCTCAGGGGTTTGAGACCAGCATAGGCCAACATAGCAAGACCTCATCTCTACAAAAAACACAAAAATTAGCTGGGTATGGTGGTATGCACCTGTCATCCCAGCTACTCAGGAGGCTGAGGTGGGAGGACTGCCTGAGCCCAGGAGGTGGAGGCTGCAGTGAGGTGTGATTGTGCCACTGTACTGTGGCCTGGGCAACAGAGTAAGACCTTGTCTCGAAAAAAAAAAAAGAATTCTAACAAGCCAATTTAAGTAACAAACCAGTGCAATTTGTATATAGCCACTGAGCCATACTATCATAATATTCTTGCATCTGAATAGTTGTCTCACCTGGGCTGAGTCACTGATGGGAAAGTACAACCAAGTCAGCTGACCACAGAAACAATCAAACCATAATTCCAGGTACAAACCTCTTTGGGGTTCATAAATCCAGTCACCAAAATTCTTGTAAGTTTCCCACTTTGGAGCCATGCCTGCTCGTCTGTCAATTTCATTGGTCCAGTTAATCAGACTCATCTTATCCTCTGTCCCAAAGGACCCTCCCCTGTGTCTTGCAATACATTCCAGAAGAGAAGAGTATTTCTCAGGCCTTCAGAAACCAAGAGAAGAAAACTCATTTTATGATCTGAAAGGAGATGAAAAGCATATTTTAGCAGGGCATTGCAAATGCGTTCCGTGCTCATCACAGAAGCATCTACAATACCTACATTATTTAGAACGCTGCAGGAGACAGAATAATGAATGTAGAATATGTGAACGATTCATTTTGATTTTTAAAAATGCAACCAAGCTAGAGAAAGTGTTGCAAGGTATCTGAAGACAAAATAAAATCTCTGCTATTTGTGAAGTCACAAAATTAAAGGGATGATTAAACGAAAGCAAACCTGAGATTTAACCTGAAAGGAATCGAGGATTTTAATTTTTGAAAAGGTGTCAAAAAGTGCTGTAAAGAGTGTCTGAAGGTTAAGGAAACTGTTATTAAAATGAGAATTATGAGCTCGGAGCTGTTCTCAGCTCTGTCCCTGGAGTGTGAAATTAGTGACTGAAGGCAGATTTCACAGGCACTTCGTTGGAGCGTGTTGGTGTGGCAGTGGATTTGTGATGGGGCCTCGCCGCCAAGTCCTGCCCACTTGCAAGCTGCTGTCGTTATTCATGCACAGCACAGATAATCATGAATGTCTGGAGCGTTTTGCATTTATATTGAACGCAGCCTCCTTCCTAGCTGGAGTGAGTCTAGGGCTGTGTGCATGGGTGGAATACATGGGAGGAAGCAGCTGCAAGACCAGCATTCCCACCAAGGCCATATTTTCTTTAAAAAAAAAATCTACATAAATTACATTGGGAATTATATTGAGAAATTGGTAGGAAATAGGAATGTAGTTAAAATGTGGAGCATCAAAATCTCTCCGAGGAGTTCCCTGTTGGTCTGGGTCTCAGGAGTAAGCCACTGATGACATTGTCTCCATCACATCACGGTACTTGGGAGGGGGTCAGAGGAAGTTTAACAGATTTTAAAAAATGTGGGAGGTAATGTATTTGGACGGCTGAGCTGTATTTTCCTCAGTCTCTCTGTCTCTCCATGCAACCGTCATTCATTCATGTTGTACATACACAAACAATGATCAAATGTAAAATGTGGGCTGGGCGTGGTGGCACTCACCTGGAATCTCAGCACTTTGGGAGGCCGAGGCAGGCCAATCACCTGAGCCCGGGAGTTCGAAACCAGCCTGAGCAATATAAGACCACCCCGTTTCTACCAAAAAAAAAAAAAAAAAAAAAAAAAGCCTGGTTTGGTAGCTCGTGCCTGTAGTCTTACCTACTCTGGAGGCTGAGTTGGAAGGATCTCTGGAGTCCAGGAATTCGAGGCTGCAGTGAGCTATGATCATGCCACTGCACTCCACTCTGGAAGACACAGCAGGACCCCGTCTCTGGAAAAAAAATGGAGGAAAAGAAAATATCCTTTTAGAGATATTGGTGAATCAAGCTTACCCCACAGAGGTGCATGCTGAAGATGACTGAGTGGACTGGAGACTGTCCCCTGGGCCACTGTGAGAGGCCTGTGCTGTAGATGGGAGGGCCACAGGTGGGAAGAAGCCTGGTCACTGTGTCACCCTGGGGGAGAGGTGGGGGTGTGCTCCTTCTGTTCCATTTTTGTGTAAACCTAAACACCGCTCTAAAAAAAAATTAAGCCTTTTAAAAATTCCAAAACAAAAAGGTCCCAGAAAAAAAGAGACACTTTTAAGTAACTTAGTTGCCCATAGAGCCAGAGAAAGTCTGGTCTTAGGTACAAATCATCTTGGTTTATCACCTGAGGAAGCACTTGTGAGTTTTAAAATTCATCAATTAATAATCATGTTATGTTTCAAACTCCAACCCACTTGTGATCATTAAAAAATCACCTCTATTTTAAAATCTAGTGTTCCCCTTATATGACATTCATGGCTATAACAGTGGTCTGAATATTCTTGGTAAAATAAAATTTCAACCATGGTCTGAGGGTAAAAAGCAAAGAGTAAGAAAATGAACAATGATAACCACAACAAACTGTAAAACATCAGCTCAAAGCCCTCTGTCAACACCGTAAATGGGATGAATTATGAATCAAGATAGCTTTGCCTGCACTCACAGAGCCCACATTGCACAGAGGCTCCATCTGTAACGTAGTGTGCTGGCTTGTGTATCTCGACCATTAAGGCAGGGTGGGCTGCAAGCTTGGTTCATTCAGCTACCTGAAGATGTCCTTGAGGGCCCAGAGGTTTTCCATCTTTCTGGTCTGCTGCCCACAGTCTGCCTGCTTCCTGTTTGACCTCTGTTCCCGTCCAGCAGGAGTAACGGGGTCATTTCTGGAATGTCTCCCAAAAGTGCAAGGAAGGCATTGCTTGCAAGGATCCAGCAGACACCTCCTAGAACACCCTTGGCTCAGGTGGGTATCCTGTTCACCCTTGACTCAATCACAGTCCAGGAAGATGGGATTAAATTTGAGCAGCTCCATAGCTGGAGCGCAGTCAGCATCTCCGAGGCCCATGAGATGCAGAGGGGAGCAGGAGGCTCGTAAACAAGTCCAGGACTCTTGGGAAGGAGGATGGGGTTGGGGGTTGGATGCTGGCTGCACCATCAATGACACCCCACACCTGTGCAGTCACAGAGATGTCTTGGGCAGCACATAAGCGCATTTCCTGTGTGTGCTGGGCTGAATTGGTCAGGATGCCAAATGGATTTAATGTAGTGTTG
Organism: Homo sapiens; assembly: GCF_000001405.40. Taxonomy (NCBI): domain Eukaryota; kingdom Metazoa; phylum Chordata; class Mammalia; order Primates; family Hominidae; genus Homo; species Homo sapiens. Next base: position 48,434,767 of record NC_000020.11, on the reverse strand, counting down.
AATGGATCTTTCCTCCTCCAAGACAAAGTTCCTCAAAGATGTGCAAAGGATGAAAACCACACAAACTAGAACTTAGAACAGCGCATGACGTATGGTAAGTACCTTGTAAGTGTTGACTATCGTTATTTTCTCCACTAGGATGTAAGTTCTGTGGTGCTTAGATTCTATACTTGATGCATAGCAGGTGCTCAATAAATACTTGTTGAATGAGTGAATTGGCGGTTAGACCAAATGACATTCAAAAGTCTGGGCTGGGCAGAGTGTAGTGGCTCATGCCTATAATCCCAGCACTTTGGGAGGCCAAGGCGAGCAGATCACTTGAGGTCAGGAGTTCAAGACCAGCCTGGCCAACATGTGGAAACCCCATCTCTAGTAAAAATACAAAAATTAGCTGGGTGTGTTGGTGGGTGCCTGTAATCCTAGCTACTCTGGAGGCTGAGGCAGGAGAATCTCTTGAACCCAGGAGGCAGAGATTGCAGTAAGCTGAGATTGCACCACTGCACTCCAGCCTAGGCAACAAGAATGAAACTCTGTCTTTAAAAAAAAAAAAATCTGAAAGTAAGTTATCCCCTGCTGAAATGGTAATTCCCTTTCCTCCTTTATCAGTTTTGGAGGGCTAAATATTTGGCATATGAGGTTTATTTCTTTTCAAGGGAGCATCCAGCAGACATTAAATTCTCCAAGGGAGGCCCTGTTGAGACGAAGTGCCCCTTCATCCCCACTCCACTTCAAGAGCCTTGTTGCTTGGGAGGGAACTCCCTGTTTTTATCTGTGAAGGGAAAAACAAAGGGTGGTGGGCGGGGGCGCCCTTAAAAGAAATGCCTGGAGTTTTGTTGACTTTCAAAGCTTTCCTTAAATGAAACTATCTTCTATTATCGTTGATGAAAACAATCAACCCCTGTCAAGTATTTGGAGAGATTTATTCTGATGTGAGTGACCACGATCCATGGTCACATTCAGATTTGAGTGACCATGACCCATGACAAAGCCCCAGGAGAGCCTGAGAACACGTGCCCAAGGGGGTCAGACTATAGCTTGGTTTTATACATGTTAGAGAGACATAAGACATCAATCGATACATGTAAGATGTACACTGGTTTGGTTCAAAAAGGTGGGACAACTCAAAGTGGGGTGCTTCCAGGACATAGGTGGATTCAAAGATTTTCTGATTGGCAATTGGTTGAAAGAGTTAAGTGGTTACCTAAAGTCTCGGAATCAATAGAAAGGAGTGTCTGGGTTAAGATAAGGGGCTGTGGTGACTGAGGTTCTTATTACACAGATGAAGCCTCCAAGTAGCTGGCTTTAGAGAGAAGAGATTGTATTACTTTTAATGGCATTACAATTACTTTTAATACCATTACTTTAAATGGCAAAAACCGCAATTACTTTTGCACCAACCTAATACATGTTTCTTATCAGGGCTATTTCACAATATGTCAAAGAAATATATTTTAGGGTAAAATACTTCAATTTCTTTCAGAGCCCGCTGTCATGTTGGTATCTTATTGCTATAAAAAGTCTATTGTCAGTCTTTAGGACTCTGTTTTAATGTTAATGCTGGTCAGCTGTGCCTCAACTGCAAAAGGACGAGGTGTAATGAGGCCTGTCTGACCATCCATTCCCATCGTGGCTTGAACTAGTGTTTCAGGTTGATTTAGGGTACCCTTGGCTGACAGGAGGGGTCCATTCAGTTGCTTGGGGGGCTTAGAATTTTATTCTTGGTTTACAATTCAGAAGAATAGAAGAAATCCTTCATTTGCTTTTCAGGCGGGAAATCCCACAGACTCATGCTAATTGCCACTTGGACTTGGCATTTCCATGAACCTTCAACAAATGGCAACTCAGACATTTGCTACTTTTTAGGGGCCATTCAGTCACTGTAGCTCCTGCTGAACCCACCGGCTGAAAAATTCCTCCTACCCTCCAAGGGTAAAAAAAACTCCAAAGATGGATTCATCCATTTAGTCAGCAGACACGCTGGGAATGTGGAGGTGAAAATAAAGCCAAGCCTGGTTTTGTAGGAAGCATGTAAACCGGAGCAGCTCCATCTTAAATAGGAGCTGGGTAAAATGAGGCTGAGATCTACTGGGCTGCATTCCCAGACAGGCACTCTAAGTCACAGGATGAGAAGGTTGGCACGAGATACAGGTCATAAAGGGCATTCCCAGACAGGCATTCTAAGTCACAGGATGAGAAGGTTGGCACGAGATACAGGTCATAAAGACCTCGCTGATAAAACAGGCTGCAGTAGAGAAGCCAGCCAAAGCCCACCAAAACCAAAATGGCCACGAGAGTGACCTCTGGTTGTCCTCACTGCTACACTCCCCCCAGCACCATGACAGTTTACAAATGCCATGGCAACGTCAGGAAGTTACCCTATATGGTCTAAAAATAGGAGGCATGAATAATCCGCCCCTTGTTTGGCATATCACCAAGAAATAACCATAAAAATGGGCCCACCCTCAGGGCTGCTCTGTCTGCGGACTAGCCATTCTTTTATTCCTTTACTTTTCTAATAAACTTGCTTTCACTTTACTCTGTGGACTTGCCCTGAATTCTTTCTTGTGTGAGATCCAAGAACCCTCTCTTGGGGTCTGGATTGGTACTCCTTTCCTGTAACAGTTTTAGCTACTCGCAGACTCACCCCAGCTGCAGGGACAGTGTGACAGAGGCTTTTGTGCCTGGTCCTTAGGCTCCTGGTTTACATCTATGCAACGGCTTCCTATAACCAGCCCCTCCAACTGTGGGCCAGGGGCTTTCTCTGGCTGCTGGGGCATGCTCAGCCCATGTAGGGGGAAGGGTCAGGCAGTTATGACTCTAGGAACCTTCCACAACCAGCGACAGACAGGAGTCAGTGCACAAACAGCCCAGCTCTTCAAGAGGCCCCCAGTGGGAGGAAGCCCTAGTGGCCCAGATCAGAACCTCCTTGGGTCCTCGGTCTGTACTGACTTCCTTTCTTCTCCTCAGATACTTGCTCTGTACTGACTTCTTTCCTTCTCCTCAGATACTCTCTACTGACTTCTTTCCTTCTCTTCAGATACTCACTCTGTACTGACTTCCTTCCTTCTTCTCGGGTCTTCACTCTGTACTGACTTCCTTCCTTCTCCTCAGATACTCACTCTCTACTGACTTCCTTCTCCTCAGATACTCACTCTGTACTGACTTCCTTCCTTCTCCTCGGGTCCTCACTGTATAGTGACTTCCTTCTCCTCAGATACTTGCTCTGTACTGACTTCCTTCCTTCTCCTCGGGTCTTCACTCCGTACTGACTTCCTTCCTTCTCCTCAGATACTCACTCTGTACTGACTTCCTTCCTTCTCCTCGGGTCCTCACTGTATAGTGACTTCCTTCTCCTCAGATACTTGCTCTGTACTGACTTCCTTCCTTCTCCTCGGGTCTTCACTCCGTACTGACTTCCTTCCTTCTCCTCAGATACTCGCTCTGTACTGACTCCCTTCCTTCTCCTCAGGTCCTCACTCTGTACTGACTTCCTTCCTTCTCCTCAGATACTCGCTCTGTACTGACTTCCTTCCTTCTCCTCAGATACTCGCTCTGTACTGACTTCCTTCCTTCTCCTCGGGTCCTCACTCCGTACTGACTTCCTTCCTTCTCCTCAGATACTCACTCTGTACTGACTTCCTTCCTTCTCCTCGGGTCCTCACTCTGTACTGACTTCCTTCCTTCTCTTGCTTCAATTCCCCTCCTGGTGCTTCCTGACATTGCCTCCCAAATCAACCCACTGCACTCAAATTCTTTCTTAGGGCTGCTTCTGGGAGATCTGCATTCAGGCCATCCGTATGACTGTTTCTACTGCAAGTGACAGAAACCCTAGGTTGGAGTTGTTTCAACAAATGAGGCATTTCATGACATACTAAAATATAGGGTTGGGAAGTAAATCTGAGTTAGGCATGGCTCAATCTAGGGACTCAACTAATACCTTTAGCCCAAGGTTTCTTCCTTGTTCTCAGAAATTCTGGAAACTTCCGGTTTTCCCCTCAGGCTTAATCAAGCTGCCTCAGGATCAGCCTGATCCTCCTCTCCCACCCCTCAAAGTCTCTCCTGAAATCTTCCATAAAAGTCTTAAGACTTGCCCTGATGGGACCAGCTTGGGTAATGTGACAGCCACTGACTCAATCACTGTGGCCCAGAGAATATGATACAGGGACAGGCTTTTAAAAAAATTTTTAAAATTTTTTAGAGATGGAGTCTTTCTCTGTCACCCAGGCTGGAGTGCAGTGGCATGATTGTGGTTCACTGCAGCCTGGAATTCCTGGCTTCAAGCGATTCTTCCACTTCAGCCTCCTTAAGTGCTGGAATCGTAGGCATGAATTACTGTGTTTGCCCAGGACAGGCTTTTATCTCTAAAGGTTAGGAAAAAGGCACCTCTTGATCACATGAATTGGGGAACAGGGAGAGAAGGAGCCCCAAATATTATTGTCAGAAGAGGGAAGAATGGATATTGGGAAAGAAAACACAAAGTGTCCACAACATGTCTGTAGATGTTGACAACGTAATGAAAGACACTGAATAATGCACGTAGAATCATTGGTCCCTCAGGGGACCAGGGGAGGCAGCCCAGAGGAGCTGTTATGTGCACAGAACTAGAAGAACAGAGGCCAAGGAGGAAAGGTGAGGGATGTGGGCTCAAAGAGGTCACAGAGTCCTTTCCACCTGAGCTCGTCATTTCCTTCCACACATGACTTTATAGCCTGAGTTTGATCTTCTTTTCATGTTGTTTTTGCTGCATCAAGAACCATGTCATTTAAAAATATGATAAGAAAAGGAAGAAATAAATGAAACCTCAGTTCAGACAAGCTGGGATGATTACATTACCTCCCTTCTTAGTCCCATATATTGAAAAGCAAACAGCAAAGCCCTTTGGCTCTGCAGACACAGACTGTTTTCATATTTCATTCTGTGGCCTCTTGGTGCATTTGACATCTCTTATGATTGATGAGAAACAGATTAAAATTAAAGTATTCATAGGATTACATTCTGCTGTGAGTGACCCAGGCCCAAGATAACAAGAGGTTGAGCACAGTATAAATTTATTTTTGTCTCCTGTGTGACAGGCTGAGGTAGACAATCCAAGGTTGGGTGTGGGGTTGTGCTCTACCAAGCCCTCATGGTGCCACATTTATTTATTTTTGTTCATCTGCCATGAGTGGCCTCCATTCCCTGGGCCGCCTCATGGTACAAAATGTTAGCCCCAGCTCCAGCCATTACACCCACTGCCCAGCCAGCAGGAAAGAGGAAGAAATGAAATTGAAGGGGGACAAAGGACATACAACAGCCTTTTTCTAAGTTACTTAAACTTTTTCTAAGTTTCCTTCAGTTACAAACCACACCTGGCTGCAACATTTTTTCTGATGGGTTCAATATGAACACTACATAACAATAATGATAATCATAATATTAATTATTAATGCCTAATTAATGATTACATAGGTGCCAGGAATGCTTGTAAGTGCTCAACATATTTAATCTTCATAACAATTCCATGATGGTGGGTTAAATAATGTCCCATCAAAGATGTCTATATCCTCATTCCCAAAAGTGGAATGTGTTATTTCACATGGCAAAGAAACTTTGCATGTGTGATTAAATTAAGGATCTTTAGGCAGGGAGATTCTCCTCACTTATCTGGATGGACCCAAGGTAACCTTGAGGGATTTTATATGAATGGACAGTAGGAGGTCAAAGTAAAGAGAAGATTCTATGCTGCTGGCTTTGAGGATGGAAGGAGGGACCATGAGCCAATAAATGCAGTCTGTCTCTAGAAGCTGGAAAGTATAAGAAAACAGAGAGGACCTCTAGAAGGAACACAATTCTCTAGGCCAAGGGTCCCCAACCCCTGTTTCATGGACTGGTACCGGTCGGTGGCCTTTTAGTAACCAGGCTGCACAGCAGGAGGTGAGCGGCGGGCAAGCGAGTGAAGCTTCATCTGTATTTACAGCCACTCACCATTGCTCACATTACTGCCTGAGCTCCACCCTGTCAGATTAGCAGCAGCATTAGATTCTCATAGGAGCGCAGACCCTATTGTGAACTGCACATGTGGGGGATCTAGGTGGTGTCCTCCTTATGAGAATCTAATGCCTGATGATCGGACACATCTCCCATCACCCCCAGATGGGACCCGTCTAGCTGCAGGAAAACAAGCTCAGGCTCCCACTGATTTCTACATGAGGGTGAGTTGTATAGTTATTTCATTATATGTTACAGTGTAATCATAATAGAAATAAAGTGAACCATAAATGTAATGCGCTTGGATCATCCCGAAAACGTGCCCATCCCTGGTCTGTGAAAAAATTGTCTTCCACAAAACCAGTCCCTGGTTCCAAAAAGGTTGGGGACTGCTGCTGTAGACCTATTTTGACTTCTGACTTCCAGAATTGTAAGATCATAAATATGCATAGTTTTAAGCCACAGAGTTAATGGCAGCCTGTCAAAGCAGTCATAGGGAAGGAGTACCCTGACCCCACTGTATAGATACAGTATTCTTATCCCCACTCACGAAGGAGGGAACTGCAGCACAGAGAGGTTACATAACTCTCCCAGGGTCACACAGCTTACAGGTGAGGGGCAATGTCTGGATCCGTACCCAGACTGTCCCACTCTAGAATCCACCATTACAGCCACACAACCTGCCACACTGATCACATATGCTGTCTGTTTGGGGTTTGATTTGGTTTTGTCTATGATTTTTTAATGTAGTAAATTTCTCCAGTCTTTTCAAAATTTTATTTCAGATTTTAGAAAATTTCAAACATGCAAAAGTAAAAGGAATGATGGAGTGAGCCTTGTATACCCATCACCCAGCCTCAGCCCCTGTGGCCAAACTGGTTTCAGCTACAGCCATCCCCTACTTGTTTTTTTTTTTTGCCCCCTCATTCTGTTACTTGGAAGTAAATCTCAAATACATCTGTCCATCTGTAAATATTTCTAAAAAATAACATTTTTTGTAACAAAATTATCACACTTAAAAAATAATTAATAATGTTTCTTTCATATCCTCAAACACCCCATTTTCAAATTTCCCCAGTGGTCTCAATTTTTTTCAGTTGGTTTCTTTGGATTGTTGGTCAGTTCCACAATATTACCATGTGAGTCACATGCATCATTTAAAATTTTCCAAGAGCCAACTTAAAAAAAAAAGTAAAAAGAAATACGTAAAATTAATTTTGATAATTTATTTAACCCAGTATATCCAAAGTACCATTTTAACATGTAACAGTAAAATTATTGAACGAGATACTTTACAATCTTTCTGCATGCAAAGTCTTCAGAACCAGGGGTGTATTTTATACTTAGAGAACATCTCAGTTTGGACCAGCCGTAGTTCAAGGGCTCAGTGGACGCCTGTGGCTTGTGGCTTGTGGCTGCCGAATCGGACAGCACGAATCTATCACATCCTCCGTTTTTAAAAATAATTATTGGGCCAGGCGCGGTGGCTCACATCTGTAATCCCAGCACTTTGGGAGGCTGAGGCGGGCAGATCACTTGAGGTCAGGAGTTCGAGAGCAGCCTGGCCAACATGGTGAAACCTCATCTCTATTAAAAATACAAAAATTGGCCGGGCATGGTGGCGCGTGCCTGTAATCCCAGCTACTCAGGAGGCTGAGGCAGGAGAATCGCTTGAACCTGGGAGGCAGAGGTTGCAGTGAGCCGATACCGAGCCATTGCACTCCAGCCTGGGCGACAGAACAAGACCCTGTCTCAAAAATAAATAAATAAATAAAATAATAATAATTATTATTTTTTGAAACAACCAGGTCATCTCTTGCATTGTGGGTTTTGCTCACTGCATCTCCAGAGTCATAGGAATCTTTCATTGAACAAAATCTATTATTTCTTGATGCTGTGATGCAAGGCTTCCAGAGGAAAAGAGTTCAGCTTGCCTCTAGGGATCTCGTCAAGTGAGATATCTGGAGGGGCTTGGCTTTCCATGATGAAAGGACAATGCCATCATACAGCACAGTTTCCAAACCACACCTGCCACCCCTTAATGAGTCATGAAATCAATTCAGTTGATCTAGCCAGCATTAAAAAAAGATGAAATTGAATGAAATATATCAGAATTGATAGGATAGAATGCAATAGAAGAGAAAATGCCCTGTGCCTGTATGTGGTAAGGATAACTGTTGTTTTCTGTGCTAACTCTCGCTTTTTCTCTCTCTCTGTCTCTCTAAGTGCACAAGTGTGTTTACACCATGTCTGATAAAACACATATCTCTAACCGAGGGTTACAGTAAAAAGTGAGAAGCCCGATCTAGAGAATTTGCACACTCATCTTTTCCATAGACGGTAGCATCATCCTTCCTTGCAAGCTCTTCTGTCGGACTGAGCTGTCATGGGATCCTGGCCAAGGCACCCTGTCTGACTCTCAGGGACCAAGAGGTATTTCCCCTCTTGGGAAAATGCAGGAAACAAGGGTCTTGTGCATTTTTTAAAAAGGCAAATGCTTGTAGAGAATACACTACAGGTCTTCCCCTCCCCTCAAGTGACTAAACATGCTGGTGCCCCCAGTTTTAGAGGCAGAAATAATTACATAAATGGGCATAAAGATCTTTTTGCATTTTTAAAGCCAGATTCATGTCTGGGAAAGCCGTGTCTGCCATATCTGTAATAACCACCTTAAAAATGCAGGAGGGAGAAGGGACGTGTATGGAGTTGAAAAGTGTTGAATGCAGAGCAAGTCAGTAATTATGGCACAGAGTGAGGGAGGGCAGTAAATGTGCCTGATTATGCAAATCCAGGTGGAATGTGGATGCCAGTTGTGTTCTCATCTCCAGCTAAGAGGACAGCTGTCAGGACCAGAGCCCTGAACTGAGGGAGCAAGAGGGAGGGGGCAGACCAGCAGGGGCAGGAGCCCCGGAAGCTGGTTGTGGTCCTGGGTGGGCACAGCTTTAGGCAGTGAAGGGCCCTGTGTGCAGGGACAGCCAGATGCGAAGTGTGTGCAGGGGCCCCAGATGGAAATAAGACTCCACCAGCATCAGGCAGGTCCACTAAGGTGAGCAGACCGGGGCCCCGAGGTAGAAACCACCTGAGGCTGGATTGATGCTTCCAAAATTGTGATCCTCCTGCCACTGGTGGCTCATGGAATGAGTTAGGCAGCACGCGGAGAAGTCTTGCTGTCTGGAGTTCCATTTGTGACTGTGTTGCATGATGACAGGATGCAGGGAGCAAACGGCTGGATCCCTTCACTCATTTACTCACCCATGCTCACTGCGTTTCTATGTGCACCAGCTCTGGCGGAACAATGGGGGCTTCACAATGAGCAAACCAGACCCAGGCTGCAGGGGGGCAGGGAACAAAGATTTAACTAAGATTTCTAATATAGTGTCCAAAAGGGATAGGGCTTTAAGAAAAATTAAAGAGGGCAACAGTTTGGAGAGTGATGGTGTGGTCTGCTATTAGATACATCAGTTAGAGAGTCTATCTGATTAGGTGACATTTGAGCAGAGTCCTGAAGGGGAGAAGGAGTGAGCTACTTTTTTCTTTTCTTTTCTCTTTCTTTCCTTCTTTCTTTCTTTCTTTCTTTCTTTCTTTCTTTCTTTCTTTCTTTCTTTCTTTCTTTCTTTCCTTCTTTCTTTCTTTCTTTCTTTCTTTTTTTTTTTTTGAGATGGAGTCTTGCTCTTGTTGCCCAGGCTGGAGTGCGATGGCACGATCTTGGCTCACTGCAACCTCTGCCTCCTGGGTTCAAGTGATTCCCTTGCCTCAGCCTCCTGAGTAGCTGGGATTACAGGCATGCACCATCACACCCGGCTAAATTTTGTATTTTTAGTAGAGATGGGATTTCACCATGTTGGCCAGGCTGGTCTCGAACTCCTGACCTCCCGATCCACCCACCTCGGCCTCCCAAAGTGCTGGGATTACAAGCATGAGCCACCACACCCGACCAGAGTGAGCTACTTTCTTATAGGCGGGAACAGCATTCCAGGTGGAGGGACAGCAGGCACAGAGCCCATGAGGGCGGGTGTGCCTGGATTGTGCAGGAATAGCAGGAGCCCTCTGTGGCTGCCTTGGAGTGACAGAGTGACTGGGGAGTGATAAGGGAGTGTGCTAGGGGGCAGTGGGAGGGGAGATGGTAGGTGGAATGGTATGGGAATGGAAGGCAATGCACAGAGGGGCTCCAGGGCTCAGGGGTAAGTGCCTTGTGGATCATTACAAGGATGCTAGCATGTACTTTGGCTGTTGTGATAATTCAGGTGAGAGATGACCAGGACTTGGGTGGCACTGTGGACGGGGTAGGAAGTGACTGGATTTGAGATGCATTCCGAAGATGAAGCCAGCAGGATTCCTGATGGAGTGCATATGCTGAGTGAAAGGGAGAAGTCCAAGATGACTCTCTGGTTTGGGGCCTGAGCAACTGGAGGATGCAGTTGCCAATTATAGTAAATTAATGTTTATGTCAAATTCTCAGGACAGCAATTGACATAAAGTAGGCACTGTGTACATTTATAGTATTATCATCTGGTAACTGGGGAGCCAAGGGTTATGTCCATAGATGGATGAAGAAAGAAAGACTTTCAAGTTTGGCTGGTCGCAGTGGCTCATGCCTATTGTCTTAGCAGTCTAGGGGGCCAAGGCAGGAGGATTCGTTGAGCCCAGGAGTTTGGGACCAGCCTGGGCAACATAAGGAGACCTTTCTCTACAGATAATTTAAAAAATTACCTGGGCATGCTGGCACAGGTCCATAGTCCCAGCTAATTGGGAGGCTGAGCTGGGAGGATCGCTCAAGCCTAGGATGTCAAGGCTGCAGTGAGCCATGATCATGCCATTACATTCCAACCTGGACAACACAGCAAGACCCTGTCTCAAAAAAAAAAAAGATATTCAAGTGTTACTTAAAATGTGAAAGAAAAAACAAAGGAATCATCATGTACGGACTGTTTCTTATATACAAGAAGCTCTTCACTTTGGTTTTACGTGAATTAACACATGCAGTCTTCTCAAGGACACTATGAGACCATTTCTATTATTATTCCATATTACAGACGTAAAAATAGAGGGTCAAAAGAAGTAAAATAACTTATTTACCAGAACGTATTAGTATTGGAATTTCAAATCCAGACTGTTTAGCTTCAGAGAAGTGAACTAATAAGCTCCACTACTTCTAAAGCAGAAAATAAAAATTATATCATTGGCAGGATGTCAGCCTTCCTAGTCAATAGCCACTCTCTGAAGTTGACAAGTCTAGAGCTAGAACTTGAAGGTTAATATTTAGAGTTCCAGAAGCACCAAAAAATTTGAAACTATCAAAAGTGGTCAACCCTAGGCATGGACTGAAGGTGAAAACATAGGACCTGAGGACTGTTGCTTTTTGTTTTCAATCCGATTTAATTTAATAAAATATAAAACCTTAAAAAGTGTGTTTTTCTTTTCTTTCTATTGACTCTGAGCCAAATTCCCATTAAAGAACTAGAAACTCCATCCACTCAAGTTCAGCTTCAAGATGCAGGGTAAGGAGGAGCCAGAGGTCACACTTACAGAATTACCCAAACCAGGGCAATTAGGCAAAACCAAGGAAGTTAATTATCTAGGTCAGTAGTTGGCAAACGTTTTCTAAAAAGAACCAGAGGGTATAAAATAGAAAGTATTTTGGCTGGGTGTGGTGGTTCTTGCCTGTAATCCCAGCACTTTGGGAGGCCGAGGCAGGCGATGGCTTGAGGTCAGGAGTTTGAGACCAACCCGACCAACACAGTGAAACCCCGTCTCCACTAAAAAAAATACAAAATTAGTTGGGCATGGTGGTGCATGCCTGTAGTACCAGCTAATCAGGAGGCTGAGGCAGGAGAATCACTTGAACCTGGTAGATGGAGGCTGCAGTGAGCTGAGATCATGCCACTGCACTCCAGTCTGGGCGACAGAGTGAGACTCCATCTTGGACAAAATATATATATATATTTTAGGTTGTGGAGGCCATTCTGCCCTCAATTCTCCCCATTTTATTGCAAAAGCAGCCACAGTCAATATGTAAATGAATGAGTGTGTCCGTGTTGCAATAAAACTTTATTTACAAAATCAAGTGTAATCAGGTTTGGCCCACAGGCTGTAGTTTGTTGACTTCTGAGCCAGAAATTCAGAATGAGATGGTGCAGGCCAAAGGATGGCTCTGCAGGATGTACCTTCCTGGAGAAACCTACCAGAAGGGATGCATTGGGAACATCTGGGAGTTCACCCAGTCTCACCATGAGAATGGAGACCCCTGTATCTGTAGGTCATTTGTGCACGCCTGAAAGATGCCACCAGGCTTGACAGAGGCCTGGCCAGAGCCTCAGAATAAACTGAAACAAAGTGGAAGGGGAATGGGCTGTTTTGCATAAATTACTGATGCATTGAGAAGATGGTTTTTCATGCTGATTGGCAATAGGTCTCTGGTGGATTTAAAATGTCAATGTAAACAACCTTTGCTGAACCAGAGTGCACTGCCTTTAGAAAACCAGACAAAGAATCCAGAACTTACAGAAGATGAAACAAGAAAAAGTGGGGATTTGTTGCTTATATTATGAAAGCATTCATCATTTTACACCAAGAAAGATTTCTAAAGCAGAAAATAAAATTATATCATTGGCAGGAAGTCAGAATGTGATTTGTTTCACGAAAATTCGATTAACACACCTCCTTCCATAAAAATCCCTGCAGTACTGACCTGTCCGCTGACTGTCCCCATCATATGCTCCAGGAGAGCAGGGACCCTACAGGTTCCTTTTCCATTCTGTCACCACTGTGCTCAAGTTGAAGCTCAATGGGTATTTGCTGTGCAAGTGGATGACTGACAGGTTTCTTTCTACCAATTAATTTATGAATATTTTATGCAGAAATTCCAGAAAGACCTAGATCTTTTTCTTTTGTGTGCTCAGGGCTCTTTGATTAGGATGTAGAGAGCTGGGACATAAACTTGAATTAATTAAGGTCATACAAGGTATCAAACTCCAAAATGTGAGTGGCTTTACCAAATAAAGGTTTGTTTCTTGTTCCTCTAATTGTCCAAGCGAATGCTCCTGGTTGTGTGTAGGGAGTGCCCCCCTGTGGTTTGGGGACCCAGGATCCTTCTCTCCTGTGGCACTGCCACCTTCAGCTTGTGGCTCTCAAGATAGCTCTGTGGGGCGTTCATCTTTGTTCTGGATGCCCTGAAGCATCCACCATGAAAGCTTACACTCCATACCTGCACCTGATACAGAGGACGCTGGAAATGTGGTCTCCATGTGAATCCAGGAAGAAGAAATGGGTTTGTGATGAGCACACGCTTTGCCACACACAAAATAACAGTATGTTAAGATAGAAGTTTATTTCTCTAGCACACAATAGTCAAAAGCAATGGCCCAGGGCTGCTGTGGCGGCTCCATTGTCAGGGACCCCAGCTCCTCCTGTCTTCCTGTTTTGCCATCACTAGGCTAGGACCTTTGGCAGCAAGCTCCAAGATGCTTCCTTTCTGTACTCAGAGTCCTGCCAGCAGGACTCTTATATCTAAGGGTACACAGAGTCCGGCTAGCAGGACTCATCTCTAAGGGTACACATAACCTGCATCCCTCACTTCTCACATCCCTTTGGACAGATCGTGGTCAGGTGGCACATCTCCTGCAGGGGGACTGGGAACAGCAATCTTTAGCCTAGGTGACCAAGCACCCAACTAAAAATCACTGTCTGAAGGAAGGGAAGGACACTGGGGTACAAGGAGCCATCTCTACCCAGGAATTAAACAGAAAAGACCTTTCTGGAGGAATGGAAAGAGCTGGAAGGAGAACAGAGAAATGAACTAAAATGGAATAGAAGGGGAATGTGCTGTTTTGCATAAATTACTGATGCTTTGAGAAGATGACTTCTCATGCTGATTGGCACTGGGTCTCTGGTGGATTTCAAATGTCAGTGCAAACAACCTTTGCCAAACTAAGACCGCCCATCAAGGTCGTCAAGACTGGGTCCAGTAGATAAATATTCCCCACAGTAAAATCAGGATGTTCTTGCTGGAAAAATCCGATTCTGGGCCTCTTAGCAAACGTCCATAGCAGAGTTCCACGGGAACAGCGATCCTCAGCCCTATTAGACTGAACTGTATTTTATGATATCTTATGATGATGCTTTACTATTCTAAAATGAAATTCAAAAATAATAGGAATTACCTATATGTATAACCTAAAAGCAAATCAGGATGATGTCTTAATTGTAATATAAAAGAGGGAAAAGGGAACAAGCTTGTTATAAAATAATACAGATAATACAAAATAATAACTTCTATAAAATGAACTTATAATAAATATGTGAAAATGATTACGTGTAGCTACACTAGACAAACCCCAGAAGCAGCGAGACGTCTGCACCTCCAGTGATGAGTAGGCCAATCAAAGAGCAGGAAGCCACACGGCTCAGCAGCACTCTGCACAGGCAGTTAGGGAAAAAGGAACAGTGGTGTCTGTGGGCAGAGACTACAAACTCTATGTTCAATGTCCTTTGAAAGCTGCCATCAATACCTAGAGTTCTGTGTAAAATGGAGTGAGTTTCTAGGCTCATGAATTATTCTAAGGGATATGGATAAGTCATGGGACTTTGTTGTGTCTGAGTGTCCTGAATGTGGCAGAATTCTAGTGTCCCTGGACTCCTATTGAATAATTGAATAAATGTCAGTGTCCCCAATCAAAACACAACCAAAACCATCCCCACAATATCCAAAATGCCCCCAGAAGGGTATGATGTCCACCATAGATCACTACACTGAAGGGCTGGGCGTGGTGGCTCAGGCCTGTAATCCCAACAATTTGGGAGGCTGAGGTGGAAGGATCACTTGAGCCCAGGAGTTCAAGACCAGCCTGAACAATATAGCAAGATTCCATCTTTACTAAAAAAAAAAACCATAAAAAAAATTAACCAGGTATAGTGGCGCATGCCTGTAGTCCCAGCTACATGGAAAGCTGAGGCTGGAGGATCACTTGAGCCCAGGAAGTCAAGGCTGCAGTGAGCCACCACTGCCTGCAAGACAGAACAAGACCTTGTCTAAAAAAAAAAAAAAAAAAAAAAAAAAGGAAAAACTGGAATTCGCAAACCTAAAAAGACTCAGTCCTCTTCTCTCAAATGCAGCTATGTAGTGCAGTACTTGGCCAAACAGAAATTATTCTTGTTTTTCAAATGGTCCCCTTTGGGAGCTTAGGATTTGAAGCCTCAACCCCAAGGAGGGGTCCTTAAGTCCACACTCTACTTACATGTAGCCTACTCTGTGTCTTTATTTAAACAAATCCTCATTTTTCGGCTCCTTGCAGCAAAGTCACAGCTCCAGGGGTGACACTCTTCAGCGTTTATGTGAAAGGGAATTACATCCTGTGTAATTCTAGTCTTTTCAGCCATGGTTGTTTCTTTGGTGTCGTGGGGGTATGTTTAAGCATCAAAAGGAAAAAGAAGGAGAAAATCCAAAGAGACCACCACTAAGTCTGAAATCCTGTTAAACCTTAAACAAAACCAAACCCAACAGGCCTTGACAGAATAAGCTCATAAACAGAACAGACCACAGTCTTAGCAGTGAGACCCTGTGGGGTCTTTTGTAAGCCCAATTCCTTCCATCTGGACTGCGGGGGAAGCTAGGGTTTCCTGGTTCCTAGATATTCTTGTCAGGCTACTTGGAATGGAAGGAACCAGTCTTTGATCTTTGGATTTTTTTTCTCATTTTAAGGTTACTTACATAATAAAACGTATTTTTGTTTGTTTGTTTGTTTGTTAAGTTCAGAGCTACAAGTGCAGGTTCGTTACATAGGTAAACTTGTGTCATGGGGGTTTGTTGTCCAGATTATTTCATCACCCAGGTATTCTGCCTAGTACCCATTAGTTATTTTTCCTGATCCTCTCCTTCCTCCCACCCTCCACCCTCTGAAAGGCACCAGTGTGTATTGTTCCTCACTACGTGTCCATGTGCTTTCATCTTTAGGCTCCCACTTATAAGTGAGAACATGTGGTATTTGGTTTTCTGTTCCTGTGTTACTTTGCTAAGGATAATGGCCTCCAGCTCCATCCATGTCCCTGCAAAGGACATGATCTTATTATTTATTTATTTTTTTATGACTGCATAGTATTTGCAGTGTGTATGTACCACGTTTTCTTTATCCAGTCAATCACTGATGGGCATTTAGATTGATTCCATATCTTTGTTACAATTAAAAAAAACATTAAAAAGTGGGCAAAAGACATGAACAGACACTTTTCAAAAGAAGACATATATGAGAAATGTATTATTTTAAAAAATAGTTATGGCTCATTTAAAAGGAAAGGGCAGAAACTATTACCTCACTCACGTAGTAGAGCTAGAAACAAGGCTTAGAAATATGCTGTTTTAAGTGAACATCCTGAGAAATTCGGGGTCTGCCATCAGGAGATGGGGAAGGGGAGAGAATCTCCTCCCTAAAATCCTTATATGCTAATCAGTGAAGGACATATTCCTAATACAGAGCAGAACTTCCATCTAAAGCACTTTTCTGAAACTCATTACCAGATATAGAGTGTAATTGCTGTGAAATTCTCAAAAATAACCAGAAGACACAAAAATCTAGAAGCTTGAAACAGCCCTAATGTTCTCCAACAACGAGTGAATGGATAAATAAACTGGGATGCCCATACTCCAGAATGACGCTCAGCTGTGGAAAGGAAGGAACCATTACCACATTGCAGCCATGGGCCTGTGTCTCAAAGGCATTATGCTGAGGGGCAGAGCCAGTGTCCCAAAATTATGTACTTTATGATCCTATTTATTTGGCATCCTCAGAAAAACCAAGTTATAGTGATGGAGACAGATCAGCAGTTTCCAGGGGTTCACTATAGGGATGGCACCGGACAATTGTTGGGGGGTTGAAACTCTTTTGGATCCTGATGGTGGTGGTGGTTATATGAATTTCTACATGGGTCAAAAATCCTTAGAAATCAGCTGGGTGCAGTGGCTCCCATCTGTAATCCCGGCAGTTTGGGAGGCTGAGGCGGGTAGGTCACTTGAAGTCGGGAGTTTGAGATCAGCCTGGCCAACGTGGTGAAACCCCGCCTCTACTAAAAATACAAAAATTAGCCAGGCATGGTGGCGGGCACCTGTAATTCCAGCTACTCAGGAGGCTGAGGCGGGAAGATCGCTTGAGCTCAGGAGGCGGAGGTTGCAGTGAGCCAAGATTGTGCCACTGCATTCCAGCCTGGGTGACAGAAAAAGACAAAGGCTCAAAAAAAAAAAAAAAAATCCACAGAAATCTGTACCAAAAATGTCAACTTTCCTATATGATAATTTCTTTAAATTAGGAAAATAATCATCTCAGGGAGTAAAATTTGAATTCACAGTGGCATCTAACCCACACGTCAGCTCCCATACACTGTGCATGTACCTGCCCACACTCCCTAGTGGACTAAATCTGCCTCTGCTTCCCTGCCCACCCTCCTTGCCCCACTCAGCCTCGGGGGCCCTTCTTCTAACAGGCCAAACTCGCTCCACCACAAGTCCCTTCCACTCCATGTTTCTTACTCTTGACATTCTTTCCCTGGGTACTCCGGTTCACCTGAGACTGAGGAGCTTTTTGGGACCTGAGACTTTCAGTGTTGGGAAAGTCACCAGAAAGCTGGGACGGGTTGGTCGCCTTTTGCCAGATTTACACCCTCACTGCATCCAGATCTCTGCTCAAATGTCTCCTTCTCAAATAGCACTTCCCTGAGCACTCCCCCGTCTCCCCTGCATCCTTGTACCCCACTTCATTACCCTCCCTCCTACTTGTCACGTCCTGTCATGATACAGCTTGTCTGCTTTTATTTGGTTATTCCATATACATCCAGTGAGTGTGTTATGGGAGTTAAGTTTAAATAAGAAAGCAAGCTGTTGAAAGTGACAAGCCATTCATGTATGGTTTAAACACATCAACTGGACAGTGTAATGTTTACAGGCACATATGTGTGGCAAAGCATAAAGCCCTGGAGAGGAACAAGGAGCACCAAGTGTGGACCTGTGGGCGGTGGGAGAAGGGACGGTAGAAGGGGCACCAGGGACATTAATCATTCCATGTGTTTTATTTTGAAAAAAAAATCTGAAGCAAATATAGCATGATAAGCTTTCACTGAGCTGGTTCGATGGGATCACAGATATTCATTACATTCTTCTTTATATTTTTCTGTAGGCTTGAACTATTTCCTAACAAGCTGGGCCTAGCAGCTCATGTCTGTAATCCCAGCACTTTGGGAGGCTGAGGTGGGAGGATCACTTGAGGCTAGGAGTTCAAGACCAGGCTGGGTAGCATAGTGAAACTTTATCTCTACAAAAAGTTTAAAAATTAGCCAGGTGTGTTAGCCTGTGCCTGTAGTACCAGCTACTCAGGAGACTGAGGTGGGAGGAGATCTTGAGCCCATGAGGTTGAGGCTGCAGTGAGCCACGATCATACCACTGTACTCCATCCAGCCTGGTTGAAAGCAAGACTGTGTCTCTTAAAAAAAAAAAAAAAAAGAAATGAATATTGTATAACAACAAAAAAGTAAGACCAGAGATCTGCTGCTTAAGAAAAAGTGATTGCTCTGATTGGGAAATCCCCAGAGTGACCAAACTTTCTAGATGACTCTGTTGGCTTTTCATGTCCCTCTCACAGAACACACATGACATCACATGACGTCACACCTGAGATGTCATCTGAGCTCCTGCCTCATGAAAGGGAGACATGAAGATGCATGCAACACGACCCTCGCCCTCATGGAACTCTCAGTCTAGCAACGGCTCCAAAAAAGCCAGAATCAAACATCTGTGTTCAAGGCATCAATAGGTGATCACTGAGCACATGTGCATGAAATTTGCTGCCCAATTTATTCAGCAAAGAAAAGTAGAAAATATCATTAGGGCCTTTCTAGGCCACAGAAATGGTGCTGGGAAAAGTTTTTCACTTCCGTGGCGCGTTCCCATGGCTGCCTCCTGTGCCTTCACACTGGCAGGCCCAGGGCTGCCAGGATGTGGGGTGGAGAATGGACAGTGCCCATTGCTGTGGGGTGTTGCTGTTGCCAATCAGGTCAAGTAACCAGCAAGATGGGGGTTCATATGGGCCTCAAGGAAGAGCACTCAGCAGTTCTAGGCAAATGACTCAGTTACAAAGGTTTATTTGGCTCTGGAGAGATAGTGACCAAGATGTTCATTCATCCATTTGTTCATTCACCAAACAAGGATGTATGCAGTACCTATGCTATGTGCCTGGTATGTTCTAGGTGTTTGGGAGAGAGAGGCAAGCAGGAAAGATGAGATCCTTGCCCTCCTGGAGTGCACATTGAGAATGCATCCAAAATAGAGTAGTGATGAGGGCTATGAGGAAAATGTAACAGGGCCATGGACTAGTGGAGGGTGGGGACAACAGGGTGGGCCCCTTAGATACAGAGTGGGGGCAGAGAGCCCCTCTGACTGCTGTAAGGGCTAAGCCCTGAATGTGGGGGATGAGGCAGACATGCAAAGGTCCCAGCAGAGGAACAGCAAGTTCAAGTCTGGGAGGTGGGGACAGCCATGCGGGTATGCTTGGGGAACAGCAGCGCCAGTGTGGCCGAGAATGAGAGAAGAGTGGAGTTGTCGTGGAAGAGACAGGCAGGGCCCATCTCGTTGGTCTTGGGGATGCAGAGAATGAAATTCATCCTTTTCAACTCACTGTTTGGAGGGGCCCATTCTTTCTCTAACTGGAAACTTGTGATATGAAGAAAGCACTGACAAGTTTTAATTTAATTTAGATTGTTAAAGCCCATCACACTATTCAATTTCCATCCCCTGGGCCCTTCTCTTTCCTGCCCTTGAGTCTCATGCTTCCACTTGGTCTGTTGACAAGGATGACTCACTCATTTGACGCAGAGTCCCTAAGCCATCCAATTTCCTGTGCATTATTAAAATTATTAAAACACAAAACCCAGGTACAGTTGTTATCTTTTTGTTGTTGTTGGTCCATACAGAAAAGAAACAGCAAACAAAAGAAAGAAAAAATCATGTGACCTTGGATTCTATGGGTCAGCACAGCAAAACAAAGGCTGGGAGGATTTTCTGGTTGACGTGCAACTGTTCCTTTGGGCACTGGGAAAAATGAGGCTTAGAAACAATGATTTCAGCCATAGCTTTTATTTATGGAGGGCACACAGGGTCTGTCTCGTGCTGGGGAGTTAGGGAGTAAACTACTTATGCATGGGGCATTTGTTATATCAGCAAACATTTATTGAGCACTTACTGTGTGCCAAGCATGGCTCTAAGCACTTTACACAGGTTATGTCGTGCTCCAAACAGCCATTGCAGAGGGCTGACCCTGTCCACTCCGTTTCACAGATGAGGAGCCTGCAGCAGGCAAACACCACTGCGGGAGGAGTGCTGACCTCCAGGCTGTGCAGAGCATCGTCAGTGAGACCCGTGAGGGTGTTCTTACTAATTGTGAGTGAATTTCAGCTCTTTGGTTTATAATCACATGCAAGTAGGGACTAGGGTAGCATGAAATCCTGAACTCTGTAATTTCAAAATTTGATCATCTGCTTTCTTCCCTTCCAATGGAGCCTCCGCAATCAGCTGACTGTGATCAAATCCTGGTACTGTGTCTTACAAACAATGTGACCAGTAGAAAAATTCTTCTCTCTCTGGGGTTAAATTCCCATATCTTATGTGTGCATGCATGTGCATGTGTGTATGTGCGCACCAACAAGTGTGTGCATGCTTACAGCATTTATGAATAGGGCTCTGGCGTCAAATAACCTGGATTTGAATTCTGGCTCAGCCACTCACCGGCCCACAACCTCAGGCAAATGACTTAACCTCTAGGTGCCTCAGTTTCTTCCTCTGTCACATGGTGACAATCAGCCCTCACCTCATAGGGTTGATGTGAGAATTAGATGAATTGGTCCATTTAAAACTCTTAGAAGGGAGCCTGGAACAGGGTTAGTGCTGGATGAATGCCCCTGTTATTACTGCTCATGGTTCTGCAGTGTGTCCATGTGCAGCTCTGTGCAGGGCACAGTAGGCATCAGGGGTGAATACATTATGAGCCCTACCTCCCCCACCTGCCACTGCCATCATCAGCGGAGGGGGTAACATCTTGGCCCCACCACTAGCTGGGTGACTTTGGGCCAAGTGCGTCATCTCCCTGTGCTTTGGTTTCCTCGCCCAGAAAATGAGGACAATGATCACACTTGTCTCCTGAGGCTGCTGGGAGGATGTGCATCAAGTCCCTAGAGCAGTGCCTGGCCTGCAGTTGGTGCTATGCATGCATTAGCTGCTATTCCTATTCTTATTAATACTATTAGTGCTTGTCCCATTTAGATTCATCCTAGAGGCGTATGGGCCAGTATGCTAAGCTCGTTTCTGATTTGGGGCCTTGCCATTTCCTCAGCTTGGGACACCCTTCCCCTGCATCTTCACCCGGCAGCTCCTATTCCTAGGTTGCCTCCTCAGGGAGGCCTCCTGGACTGCCCTCTCTGACAGCTCCTTGCTCACCCCTGCCCACTCTCTATCAAGTTATCCCATGTTCCCAATTGCTTTCCACCTGGCTTTGGTTTCCCAGAAGCAGATCCCAAGACAAGGATTTTAGTGCAAGTATTAGGTAGGTGCAAAAATAATTGCCATTATGCAAAAACCGTGATTACTTTTGCACCAACCTAATATAATAGTTTATGTGGGAGGTGGTCCCAGGAAATACCAACAGGGGAGTGGGGAAGTGAGACAGGGTGTTGCCACTGTGGGCAACTGGAGCTTAGTCCTCTACCAGCTGAATGTTTATCCTCCAATTTCTTTGCCCCGTTAGCCGAGGGCTTGTCCCAGGGCCATCAACTGTCAGCATTTCTGGCCACAGGGTAAGAGAAAGCTCTCAGGTGGACAGTCTCAGGATGCCCATGATGGCGGGACTGTGTCTGTTTTTTCACTGCTGCTTCTAGGACATTCCTTCACATTTAGAAGATGGTCTCTAAATGTGTGTGGAAGGAAGAAAAAAGAAAACAGGAAGGAAGGAAGGAACAGAAGATGGACTTTGCCCTTCTGTAACACCTTAAGAAGAAAGACAGAAGGAAGGAAGGAAGGAAGGAACAGAAGATGGACTTTGCCCTTCTGTAACACCTTAAGAAGAAAGAAAGAAGGAAGGAAGGAGGAAAGGAGGAAGGGAGGGAGGAAAGGAGGAAAAGAAAGAAGGCAGGAAAGGAGGAAGGGAGGGAAGGAAGTAGGAAAGGAAGAAAGGGAGGGAGGAAGGGAGGGAGGGAAGATGGATTTCTGCCCTTCTAGAACACCCTAAGAAAAAAGAAAGAAGGAAGGAGGGAAGGAAGAAAGGGAGGGAGGGAGGGACACCTTTGTTTCTTGTGGTGCAGGTTAATGCCAAAACTGGGGCTCAGCCTGGGAGGGTTCCTGGTGTTGTGGAGGAAAGAACTCAAGAGTGAGCCAGGAGTGAAAGAAAGCAGGTTTATTAGAGCAGCAGTGTGCAGCAGAAGGACTGCTCCATAGGCAGAGCAGCCCAGAGCAGCAGTCCCTGAAGACCAGGGCTAGCTGTATTTATACCACTTTTAATTATATGCTAATTAAGGGGTGGGTTATTTAGAATTTTCTGGAAAAGGGGCAGACGGTTCCCAGAACCATATAAGGTAACTTCTGGATAGTTTCCATGGCATTCGTAAACTGTCCTGGCGCTGGTAGGAGGTGGGAGTGTCTTTATGCTATTGAGCAGTGAGGGCAACTAGAGATCGCTTTTGCCACCATCTGCTGGTTTTGGCCAGTTGCTTTACTGCATCCTGCTTCGATCAGCAGGATCATGATCTGTGCTTGGAAAACAAGTCCTGCTGATCTCCTACCTCACTTGCAGTATTAAGGGAGCCATTCTCTGCCCATTCCCCATCACGGGTGGGATCTGGATCATCAAGGCTCTGAGGTTGAGCCTATAACCCTTTTTGAGGCACTGCCACTTAGATTCCAAGTGTGACTCCTCCAACACTAGTTCAATCATCTCCTCATTGCTTTAAGGGAAACAGGTTCAAAGCTCAGAGGCCTGGAGGGCTTTTTTTTTTTTTTTTTTTTTATCACTGTCAGTTGCACCAGCCCTAGAAGAGACAGTGGTTAATTTTATGTGTCAACTTGACCGGACCATAAAGTGCCCAGATATTTTGCTTAACCATTATTCTGAGTGATGCTATGAGGGTGTTTTTGGTGAGGTTAACATTTAAATCATTAGGCTGAGTGAAGCCAGTTGCCTGTCTCAGGAGGGTGGGCCGCATGCAATCAGTTAAAGGCCTGAATAGAACAAAAAGATGACTCTCTCTGAGTGAGAGGGAACTCCTCCAGCCTGACTGCCTGTGAACTGGAACTCAGCTGTTTCCTGCTTTTGGACTAGAACTGAGACATTGTCTTTTCTTTGGTCATGAGCCTGCTGGCTTTTGGACTAGAAGACTATTGGCTCTCCTATGTCTCCAGCTTGCAACTCACCCGACAGATGTTGGGATTTATCAGCCTCCATAATCATGTGAGCTAACTCCTTACAATAAATCTCTCTCTCTCTCTCTTTCTTTCTCTCTCTCTCTCTCCCTCCCTCCCCGTCTCTTCTCTGTCTCCCTCCACACACACAGACCCTAGTGTTCCTGTTTCTTTAGAGAACCTTGACTCAAACAGAAGGTAACTGGGGTAACTGGGGATGGTTCAGAACAGCCCTCTGGTGTGATGAGCGCAGTGGCTAGGAGGACACAATGGCTCTCTGTGATCATTTGCCTAAAGAGTTTAGTGGACATTTGTTCTTCCTTTTTGCCAACCACTGATGGGTGATTTCTATGGAAGGAGCTACAGTTAGTCCCTCAGGGGGCAGTTGCAGGATTCTGGATACATCTTCAGTGTCTCATACCTGTGCTATTGGCAGCATGGGCTGGGATGTGTGTGCTGGGTGAAGGCACCAGAGACATCAGGGGACCAGTTATGATTGGGGGGTGTGTAATTTGGGGGCCATGTTTCCTGGCTGTGTGGCCTGCAAGTCTAATTCTTTGGTAGGCATGAGCCCAAGCTACCCAATAGGATTTCATAAATAAACCCCCTTCCTAATTGAACTGGCTGGAGTAGGTTCCATTAGCAACTAAAAGCCCTGATCCATATGTGGTAAAAGTTTATGAAACATTTTAATCAGTACAAAAAAATATATAGTAAGGAATGTGTGCTTGGCTCTGGATTTAAATGGAAAGGCAGGGCCAGCAGGTGGGAAAGAGATATGAGAGAACAAAGTAAGGTTGTCTACAGCTGATCCATTTCCTCAGTGTATTAATTCAACCAGTAACCATTGAGCTCCTCCCGTTCCAGGCATTGTGCTCCGTGCATAGGATTCAGTGATGTCCAAGGCAGATGAGACCCCTGTCTTCATGCAGCTTCTGTTCTAGTAGGGAGACAGCAAGAGACAAGCACACAGTGAATAAGATGATTTCAGATTGCAGTGAGTGCTTTGAAGAAAATAAATCAGAGTGGGGATAGAGAGTGATGGAGATACACACCTCCTTTGGACAGGGCGGTTGTGAAAAGCTTCTCAGAGGAGGTGACACTTGAGCTGCGACCTGGAGGGTGAGAAGCAGCCATCTGGGCTAAGTGTCCCAGGCAGAAAAAAGTATGTGCAGAAGCCTTGAGACTAGAAAGAACTTAGCATGTTTCAGAAGCAGCAAGGAGCCCATCATGCATGGCTTTGTGGCCACAGTAAGGAGACTGGATTTTACTCTAAAAGCTTGGGGAAACCACTGGGAGTCTTAGGCAAGGGAACAACATAGTCTTATTTTCCTTTTACAAACTGACTTTGACTGCTGAGTGCAGGATGGATTATGAGGGGTTGGTAGACCAGGTGACCAGCCAGGGTTGTTGCAGTTGTCCTGAGGTTGGGGATGAGAGATGATGGCAGGTTGGGTGCAGGTGGGGGTGGCAGAGGGTAGAGAAGAGAGAAGTGAGCAGATTCAGAATCTACTTTGGAAGCAGAGCTATTAGGAGGTGCTTATGGGATTGGGTGTGGGGTGTGAGAAAAAGGAAAGTGTTGGACGTAACCAAATGGACATAGATGATCATAAGAAGAATCCATTACCATCTACCAAACAAATCATAGCATTAAACACTTTAGAGTTCAGAAAGCCCCATCATATACATTGTTCTCATTGAACCATACAAAGTTCACAGGGAAGAGGCCTTAAGGATCATCTAGTGCAGCTGCTTAATTTGAAGAGAGGAGGAAACTAGAGCCAGAGAGGGGAAGTGACTCACCCAAGGTCACCTGGAGAGAGAATTCCAGACCCCAAGTCAGAGTCCAGGCCTTCCAATTTCCAAATCATTGCTTTTTACACTATGGAATTTGGTTAGGAAGACTTCCTTTGCGTCGGTTTCTTTCTCTTATCTGCACAGTGGGGTACTGTTGGCTGCCTTAGGGATCACTCCTGGGAGCACCTTTCTCGGCCCATGCACTCTCCTTGCCCTTCACAAACTCAGATGGCTCCTCCAGCAAGAATCAAGTCCTGTCTTGCCCTAGGCAGAATCCATCACTCCAGTGCCTCTAGCTTCAACATATGCATGTTCTTCCACCCAACAAATCCTATATTTAGAAACGTATCCCATAGAAACCAAAGCTCTACAGTACAAGAATACATATTCAAAGATATTTATTCCAGTGCTGATCATACTTAGTTGATTATAGTTGAATCATTGAATCTGAAAACACTCTGAATATCCATTAGCAGGGGAATGGTTGATTAATGTAAAATTTATTCATATTATGGAATATTAGATGGTTATTTTGAAATACTGAGTTGGATCCTGATATATCAATTGAGATGATGTCTATACCATATTGAGGATTAAGAAAACACAGTATGAAGTATTTATGTAGTCAGATTATAGTTTGCAAAAGAAACCTAAGCCCTTATAAAGAGAGGTCAGGAAATCCTTGTCAGTGTGTATATGCCTGTGTATGAACCTGTGTAGAAGTGTGTAGAAAGTTGTGGAAGGAGACACATTTGGGAGTGGGGTTGGGAAGGAGGAGACAGGCAGGGGGCAGGGAAATTAGAGAAGGATTGAAAAGGAAGCGTGGTAGAATCCTGGGAGAAAATGTAGACAGAGTCTCCCTGTGTGTGAAAATTGACCATGTACATAGAAATGCACCAAGTTGACAAGATGTGGTTGCATTGGCCATTTTTATCTTGACTTATGTGATTATCTTGACATATTTTGGTAACAAAGATAATATACAAGTGAATGAACAAACTGATAAAAAGGAAAGAGCCCCTTGGTGGAGGACCTCAAGACCCACACAGAAGGTACAGTTGGCTTTGAGGGATTTCCCAAGACAGAGGAATAGGAGTGAGGTTGTCAGGCCCTGGGGGAACCAGGAACAAATGTGTGTGCAGCCCTCAGACCCAGGAGGTTGATTCACTCTCTGGGGACAGGGTTTCAGGACTCTATTCTTCTCTGCCTGGGGAGGGGGAGAGGGTGGGTGAGACCTGAGGTAGCTGAGTGTCCTTGGATTCCCTGCCTCATCCTGGGCAGGGTGGAGAGCCAGCCAGGGAAAGGTTACAGGACAAGAAAAACTTCAGGTGGAGACAACAGTAGATTTTAGCCTCTGTGAGCACACGCGGCTGTGCAAGGGGTGGTGGTTATCAATGACGGTCTCGCCCCTAAAGAGGTGCTTTGGGTGCACAATGCTGAGAGGAGCGTGATGTTGGCATTTGGGGTGTGAGCTGAGGATACTATGCGGCTGTAATACATAGGACAATCCCACACCATGCAGAATTTATCTTGTATCTTGCACTAGTTTTGAATGTTTCACTGGACATTCATGTAAGCAAACCCTATTTACAATGATCTGAGCCTCCAGTGAAAAGTCCAGTTTACATAGAGACGATCATAATGTTTTAATAATCACTGACTTTCCTGGGACAGCAACTCTGGTGTAAATCAAGGGAAACTCGTGTTTGTTTTGTTCAGAAGTTCACCACCAGCGGGTCAGCATCCTGAGCCCTCTCCTCACTAGCGGCAATGTGCATGACATTTGAGG
This sequence comes from Homo sapiens, assembly GCF_000001405.40. Classification (NCBI taxonomy): domain Eukaryota; kingdom Metazoa; phylum Chordata; class Mammalia; order Primates; family Hominidae; genus Homo; species Homo sapiens. The sequence goes on along the minus strand of NC_000020.11, from coordinate 48,407,795 downwards.
TGGCAACTCAACAGGCTTGTCACCAGTCTGCATTTACAGCTTAATCACTTCTAGTGCGGTCAGTCAGAGCATTTGCATGTTGAAGTATGCATTAATTTGTTACAAATTACTTTACATAAATTACTTTTCTTATACTTCTGTCTTTATATTATAGTTAGGGCATTATATTGAACTTTTAAAAAGATGTGGATAGGCTGTATTTATGAATTATATTTCAAGATACAAGTGTGGAAATTATAAAATATTGGTTTAAAAAAGGTGGCATAGGTTTGGACACAGCTGAGAACCACATTTCTAAAACTCAGCAGTACCTTCTCTTTCCCCAGGGAAACTGCAGCCTCATTTGGAGAGGCTTTTGAGCTTTTTTGTTAAATTAAGCCAGATCTTTTACCATGAAAGAGGATCTTTTCTTTTCTTCTTACTCATCAAGTCTTCCTTTGCCAAGATTCCCCTTAATGAGTCTGCTGGAGGCCAGTGTAATTTTGATCATTACAACCTTGGGCCATATAAATTCTCCTGGAATTGTCCCTACAAATACAAGTATAACTGTCTGGCTCCAGTTTGCTGCAGACATGGCTGGGGCTTCTGCCAAATTTAGGTCACTGCCTGGTGGGCGAATGATTTGTCCCTCCATAGGGGACAGATCAATAATCAACAAACAAACACATTAAAAAGATAAAAAGGCAGAAAGCTTAGTTATGCAAATCAGGGTGGAAGAGAGAGAGGGCAAAGAAAAGGGCCTCATTCATATTCTGCAACTTCAGCACGCCCTGGCCCATTGGCCGATTTCTATTAAAACACTCCGCCCAGAGCAGCCAACACTCTGGCTCATTAATAAAGGTTTGTCCCAACTGGAGTAAACACCACCCGTTCCCAGGACACCCAGAAGCAGAAAATTAACCAGAGGTGAACTGGGTCATTAGCTGCTGCACAATATGGGTCATCCTAGATTAATTTAGTTCCCTTCAACTGGAGGCTCAAAGAGAGTGACCGGTTCTCATGGAGTGGGACAGTGACTTAGCAGCATGTTGAGGTCTCTTGGATACCAGGCCAGGAGCTGTCATTATGATTCATGGCACCTCTGACATCACTCGGTGGTTTTGTGATGCAAAGTTTCATGTTGTCTAAACACACACAAGGGAACCGGTGAGTTTGTGTGTGGTTGTTGTGTGCACACCCACAGAATGGGACACAGACACACAGAGGACTAAATGACACACTGGGTTCCTACAAGTGTCATCATGTCACAGTCCCTGAGTAGCCTGTTATACGATGGTGTTCTTGAACTATGTGAATATTTGGGCGATTGCAGGGATGAAGTTAGACAAATCCAAGCGTTATAATTCTGCATTATGCCTATGTTTTGACTTTTCGTCTTTTATTTGGAGAATAAGAAAGCCAAATAGAGAAAAGGAAGCCCAGCCAACCAGCCCAGTTTCACGTGGGCAGAACCAGGAGGAAATTCAAAGGGGAGGGAATCCCCCTCGCCAGAGTCGCCTCCGCGTGCACCAGGAAGCCCACCGCAGGCCCACCATCTGGGCTGGGAGATTCGTCAGCAGACATTGGCCTGCGACAGTCACACTTCCTGCTCCTCAGTCTGAGATGCCCCAACCAGATAGCGGAGGCCCAATGGGGAAGGAGCAGCCTCGGCGGAGGCCCGCCTGGTTTTCCAGCCCTGGACTTGTAGCCAGGACATCAGGACTCCCTCCTGCTCCCCAACTCCTCCTGCTGGTGAAGCAAGCCCCTCCTGCCCAGAGTGGAGCCTTCTCTGCCCTGGAAAGATGCTTGGAAACTTGGCGATGCTTCCAGACGTGCAGGCGCCAGGGGCCTGTTCTCTTCTCCTCCCCTTTCTCCTGGACTTGCTGACCTTCCTTCTGTGCCACAAACGGCCAGGTTCATTCCCCTGTGTGGCCGTGTTCCTGTCCCCAGCCCTGTGCATGGTTGCACCTCCTCACTTTTCAGGGCTCTGTCAAGTGTCACCTCCTGGGTGAGTGCCTCCCTGACCACCCTGTCTCCAGGAGCCCCCTCCACCCAGGCACTTCCTAGCATGTCACCCCATTTCCTCTTCTCAGGACCCCTCACCACCATCTGAAATGAACTTGAGTGCGTGATGAGTTGGGGAACATCTCTCTCCCTCCTTACCTGTGTATGAGCTCAAGGAGGAAGGGACTGACCTGACTTAAGAACCCGTGTGCCCAGCGCCTATGGCAGCACCTGGCACGGAGCTGCTGGCTGCCCACCATGCTGGATGACTCATGGGAGAGCCGGGGATCCGAGTCTTGCTGTGGCTGTTCACAGGCACCTGACTGTGGGAAGGACCTTTCCTCTAGGGATCAAGGTTTTTTCCTTGGTAAAATAGAGCAAATTCCTAATACTCATCACTCATGACTGCTGGGAGCTCAGACTGAGGTGACATATGTCAAAGCGCTTGGCCAACTCAGCTACAGAAAGAGAAGCGGCCATGTTAAGTTGCTGGCACACACCCGAGTAGAATTCAGGGAGTGGGCTAAGGGAGAGCACGGTGATGGGCAGTCCGGTGGAAGTCTGCAATGTGTGTGCTGAAAATACTGGTTAATATTGACCACCGGGGAGAGGGGAAGAAAATACTGGCTACCCTCTCCCTACGAACATTATTTCATGCCTACTGCATGCTGGGCTCTGTTCTGAAAGTTTCATAGGAATTCCCTTGTTAAATTCTCACCACTATACCTGAGATTATTATCATCTCCATTGCACAGATAAGGAAACTGAGGCACAGGGAGGTTAGGGTACCTCCGAAATCCATACTCTAAGCCACTGTGTTGCACTCTGTCTCCAGAAAAAAAAATGCATGGAATAACAGATTCAATTCTGTTAAAGTCAAGGGAGAATGGAAATGCATCTTGTTAGCTTATTAATCAAATAAGAACTTCAGTGTCAGAGGGGATCTTGACAGATTCTCTAAATGCGTCTTTTTTGAGCAGCACTTCTTTTCGCCAAGAGGAAGTACGTGACTCTGGTGGACACAGGTGGCATTACCTCCAGCATGTGTGACTCAGAGGGTGTTTCAGCAGGGTTTCAAGGACCCAGCTTCTGCATGGGCCCCAGTAGGAAGCAAATGTGGAAATGGCTGGACCATTTCTACAGATGTGGAAATGCTTCGTTTTAATTTTTCCTTGAGCTTTGCAAGGCCTAGGTGGCCCGAGAATGAGATACTTTATCTAGCCACATGTCTCTTTGTAGACACGTCTAACTGTTACTCAACGCTCCTGCTCTCTTCTTTGATATCAACAGAACCTCAGGCTGCCCAGAATGAAGTCCACCTTCTCTGGCATCCCTCATCCTGGGGTGGCCCCCTGGACTCAGTTCTGGTCAATAGGATGGAAAGAGAAGGGATGGGTCTGACGTCCAGGCGCATCCTGCAACACGAGTGTCTCCTTCCTTCCCCCACCCACTGGCTGGAATGCAGACCGGGTGGCAAGCCATACTGGGCCACCTGGAGGAGAGCGACACCCCAGGAAGGGCGACCACAAGGCAGGCAAAGGCTGGGCCCCAGCCCCTTGTAGCTGCCTGTTTTCAGGTAGGGGCAGATTCAGGAACGATGTGGGGGCAGAGAGAGCACAGTTTAGGGTTTGAAGTTTGGTCTTGCCCATCAGGACCCAAGGCTCTTCTCTCCCTCCCCCCATGAAGAAGCCTCCTCTGTCCCCCCAGGGTTAGAACCCCTGCCCCCTGACTTCCTGCCCCACCCTCTACCCCCTTGTCTTCCAAATCACCTCGTGGTTCCTGCTCCAGGGCAGTGATGAACCCCCAACCCATTGCCTCAGGGTCTCAAAAGCAGCCCAGGGTCTCCCTCCTTTGCCTTCCCTGGCCTTGCCTGTGGCCTCTAATCCTGGACAGAAATATCAGAAAAAGCCCTGGGTCTAATCTGCAGGAGCCCTGCCCTTCCCTAGGGATTAGGGAAGCTGAGCAATCACTAAAGGCCCAGACAGCTCCTAACTGGCTTGAGCTCCAGGGACCACATCCCCAAAGACAGGCCGTCAGGCCCCCTGGAGGGGTGTGTTCGTAATGGAAGGTGTGCACTCTGATGAACACAGGGTTCATGAGCCATGCATCAGGCCGAGCTGCTGAAAACTACCCAGTGATCCCCGAGTCAGAAAGAAGCCCGGCTGCCTGTAATGGGTGGAGGAGAGACACCTGAAGGACAGACACAGCCTTTATGTGGAAGAGGAAGGCACTGCAAAGGAAGCTCAGGGCTCAACACCTGTCTGCACTCTGGGCTCCCGGCCAACCTTGTATCCATCACTTAAGACTGCAGCCCTGCTAGGCAGGGCTGCTCTAGCATCCTAGATACAGGATGAGGGATGCTATGATCAGGAGAGGCTGGATTGTAGCTCAAGAAAGTCTACACCCACCAGAGGGTTGCAGTTCTCAAAGCCCAAATGATGGCTGGAAGTTTCAGGCAGTGTGGATGCCGACATTTCTCTCCTGGGGCTCAGGGGGACAGTCCCATTGAAGGGGGCTCCACAGGGTCGTGGAAGCTCCCTTTGTACTAAGCACTCTTGCTGGAGATAGATTCTAGGATTATCTGAGGGTAGCTTGGGGAGGGAAATGGAAATCATACTTAGGTCTAAAACCTCCCTTAGTACCTCTCAGCCGCTGCCTAGTTGTGGGGACCTGGGCTTCTTTTCAACACAAGGAAGAACTTTCTAACTGAACTCTAATGATGATTGGAGCTCCCTGGGAAGGAAGTGAGCTCACTGTCACTGGTGGTAATCAAGAGGTGAATGATGCTTGGTGGGATGTGTGGAGGAATTCCTGCATCGCCTGAATAACTAGAAGGAAGAACTTTGACGTTTGTGATCATTTTTGCAGTGCTGTGAACTATACGATGGTAAAGCCCCAGAAAGAGCTATTTCCCATTCATTTTGCTCACCACACAGGGCTTAGTGCAACGCATGGCTCAGAGCACCCACGGGATAAATGCTTGTGGAAGGACAGAGCCGTGTTTCTCTGTCATCCCATTTATCCCATCGGATGCCACTGCTCATGGTGATCTCTGGGGAGTAGGGGCAGTGGGGGTGGAAACTAGGATCCCCAGAGAGTAAAATTACCCACTTCTTGTACTTTTGTACATACTCTATGTAAGTTGTGCACATTTACTTAGAGCATTATTACTTTTAATTTGTTTTTCAATTATAAAACTATCAAATACATGCTTACTTTAAAAATCACACAGGCCGGGCATGGTGGCTCATGCCTGTAATTCCAGCACTTTGGGAAGCCGAGGTGGGCAGATCAGCTGAGGTCAGGAGTTCGAGACAAGCTTGGCCAACATGGTGAAACCCCATCTCTACTAAAAATACAAAAATTAGCCGGATGCAGTGGCACGTGCTTATAATCCCAGCTACTTGGGAGGCTAAGGCATGAGGATCGCTTGAACCCTGGAGGCAGAGGTTGCAGTGAGCTGAGACCGCACCACTGCACTCCAGCCTGGGTGACAGAAGGAGACTCTGTCTCAAAACAAAACAAAACAAAACAAAAAACAAAACAAACAACAAAAAAAAAAACACAACCACACAGAGAAGCATGGCAATCAATGAAAAGTGAAATTCTTCCTCTTTCCCAGGCATTGATTCCCTTGTAACTTCTAGTTCTAGCCTTTCTGGTGGTCATTGCCAATATTCTAGATAATATGCTCAGACAACCTAGTTCTAGCTTTGTCATCTTTAGATAACATACGTCAGCGCTCTCATGATGAAAAATGAACATTTTAGCTCCTTTGTGGCAGCTCACCTTTCTTTCCCCATCCTGAGATGTATTAAGGACATTACCATTTTAAATTCTTCTGTTGGTCAACTTGACAGTTTTAATAACTTGAGCCTCTCTTTCCCCTTCCACTCAGCTTAGACAAGAGTGTTGTACACCCACAGCACTTGATGAGGAATTGGCTTCTCAACGCTATTCTGCATCTTGCCCTGAAATCCCCTTCCCTGTCCCCCATGCTCTACAGTCCTGACCATAGTCTATTATAGCACTACCTTTAGTCATCAAGGTTTATAAGATCCAGCTTCTTGTCCACAGCCAAGTGAGGTCTTCTGGGCTTTGACCATTGTGGGATTCTACCAGGAGAAAAGCAGTAAGTGCATTTGTAGCATCAGGATCGCCTGGGCAGATGGTCCCTTGATTGCCTCCCTCCTCAACTGTGAGCCTTGTGAGGACAAGGGCCGTGCCCATCCCAGTCACTCCCCCATCTCTGGCACCAGCACAGGCCTGGCACTTGGTAGATGTTCCATAAATATCCACTGCATGAGTGAGTGAAGTTGGAAGTGTTTTTCGAGGAGTCAGGAGACAATATTAGGAGGACCATGTAAAGTTGCTCATATGTAACTATTATGACCTGTAAAATCAATTTCATTTGATTCAACTTAATGTCAGCGAAGCCTCGAGCACAGAACGTGGCTCCTGGGAGGTCTGTGATAGGTGCTAAAACTCTTTCTTCCCACTTTTTCCATTTGACTGTGAATTTGACCTGGGGCTTCAGGATTGGTTTTGACATAAATATGCTGGCCTTAAAGAGCTGTTAGGCTCTGACAGTCTTTCTCCCAACGAGTGACAGAACAGCAGGTAAACTGTACGCAGAAATGACTTTTGTGTGGAAAGATCCTCCTTGCATGTTCTGGGGTCTGCAGGATGACAACAGGGGCGCATAGCAGGGGGTGACGGAGAGGGTGACGAGAAATTCACGGAGCATCTGATCGTCTCAGACCAGGTCTCAGCGCTTCCCAGGACTGTGCGATCTCATTGTTAAAGTGGCTGGGGCAGAGGCTGTGGGTCCTGTTCACTCCCACGCAGGAGGGAAGCGATAAGCACCTGGAAGGGCCCTCAGGGATGCCAGGCGGTGCCCGGCCTCCTGGCAGAGGCTCAGAGGTGATGCCCTGTGGGACTAGGAGGCCCATTAGCAATACCTCTGCATGTAATGGGCGATTTTGCCAGAGATGGGAATGCTCAGAGGGAAGTGCAGGGCCCGCCTTCTGAGCCCAAGGCCCAGGTTCCTCCTCCTCAGAGAAAGGGAAGAGTTGGTGAGAGTGAGGAGCAAGCAGGCCAGGCCACGTGGGATGGGGACCGGAGGCTCCCGGGTGACCTGCAGCTGGGCTTGCTTGGTGCTGCTTCTGCGACCTGCTCTGTGCTGCATGTTCCTTGCTCTCTGGTCTCCCTGAGCTGGTCTTGGAGCAAGGCTAGGGGTTCAGAGCCCGAGGCTGCTTTGAGGCCACCCCCAGGTGTTGCCAGAGCAGCCACAGAGGGGAACTGTCTGCTGGCTCACCTGGCCATGCCTGTTTGAACACCTCCTCCCGTCTCTGCAGCCTTTCAGGCTGTCTGGAAAAAGCAAAGGGAAGCTGAGGTAGGACATCATTTTTCCTGATTACTGGTGCAGCTCCCTAGCAGAGTCGGTCACTCCTCCAGACCTCGAGGGAGGCCCTTCCCTTGGGGACCCACGGTCGATGTTCCTCCTGCTGGCTCATTCTGGAGTGGCCTTCCCGGCCCTGCACTGGGCAGTCATGCTCCCCTCCCGGCACCTCTCACCCCTGACAGCCATCCTCAGCTCTGCCTGCTCTGTGCCCAGGGTCTGTCCTGCAGGCCCCTGCCAGGCTCCCTCGGCCTGTGGCTTTGGGTCAGTTTCAGTCAATGGGAGACACCAGCAGGAGGAGAGGGGGCAGAGGAGCAACAAAGGGGGGGCGCTCTTTCTTTCCTGGCCCCCTGCTTCAGCATCCTGTCTCTCAGGGTCCCTCTGTCCTTCCCTGATGATTGGTCAGGTGGGTGGCTGCTTCTTCTCCTTGTCCCATCCTCCCCGGGGATGGTAACAGCTTCTGACTGCTGCTAATCTCTGTGTGCCTCAACTTCCCAATTCATTCTTTAGCCCTGACTGCCCCTCTGCAAAGGGTCCCTTCATTCATATCTGATTTGAACCATAGGGGGTGAACTCTGCTTCCTCTTGAGACCTTAACCCTGATGTCTCTGAAGGATTTGGGGTCCTCTGATGTGAACCCAGTCCTGTGTCAATAATTGATAAAGCTGGCAGGAAAATGTGAGATCAGAGTACTAATTATCAAATTAATATTTAATCCAAGGTTAGAGTAATAATGATTAATATGACTACTAACAAAGCACATATATATAATTTTGTTCTTGTGACATCAGCTCCAAAACCTATGCAGGGCACATGTGATTATGTCCATACTGAAAGTGAGTGTATTTATTAATCAATGTTCTTCAGAGAAACAGAACTAAAGGGAAATGTATATATATATGCATGCGTGTGTGTGTGTGTGTGTGCACGTGGAGAGAGAGAGAGAAATTTAAGGAATTGGCTCACATGATTGTAGAGGCTCGGTAAGTCCAAAATCTGCAGGTTAGGCCAGCAGGCTGGAGACCCAGGGCAGAGTTGCTGTTGAGTTCAAAGGTCATCTGCTAGGAGAATTCCTTCTTGCTTGGGGGCCCTCAAAGCAGCTGCAGCAACAGAGTCTGACCTCCCAGCAAGGAGCTCCTGCTGGAGGTTTGTTTACTTTGAACAAAAGCTCACAAAGATGCCTACGATTCCCTCTGCAAATAGGAACTTTCCATTTCTGCATTACGCAGGGCATACGTGTGTCATTTAGGTGTTAAAACAGACCAGAATGTGTTCTCCTGGCCAGAAGTGAGCAAAGCCAACTCCAGCTGCAGTTCCCTGACAGCCCAGTGAATTAGGCTGAAGGAAATGGCCCCACGTGGAGGTGGGAAAGGCCCACAGAGGATGGTCGTGGTGGGAAACTCAGCAGGCAGAAATGTTCTCTTGGTTTCTGGGAGGCTGGAGGTTTCCCAAGGGGCCGATGAAGTTTCAGCCTCAACTGATGGCAGCAGCCTCTCCAGATGGCCTGCCACTGCCATCACACCAGCTGTAGCAGGGAGGTGCAGCCGGGGTTGACCGCTCCATGGAGTTGACAGGAGCTGGGGACAAGTGGGAGCCCTGCCCCTTCCAAGCTGGGGCAGGAGCTCCCCAGGTGCCGCTGCAGCCATTCATACCACGGCTGCAGGCCTGGGCTTCCCACTCCACAGAGCGCGCAGGAGCCCCACCCTCCTGTGAGGGGTTGCACCAGCCCAAGTCATGGCTGCAGATCTGAGCCTCCCTGTGCTCTTTGGGGGCTGGGAGCAGGCAGGAGCCCTGCCTTTCCAGGTGCAGCTGCAGCTGCCCAAACTGTCGCTGCAGACCCGGGCCTCCTGCTCCATGCAGCAGGCAGGAGCCTCACCACCTGCAACCCGCCCCCCAGCCCCCTCCAGGTACAGCTGCAGTCACCCAAACCCTGGCTGCAGACTCGGGCATCCCTGCACTCTTGGGGACCCAGGGAGGCCCTCCTGCCATCGCAGGCTCGGAAGTGCCTGCTCCTGCTGCCTGGCTTCTCCCTACTATGGGTGCCAGCTTCATTCTTGAAGCAAAGTCTGGGCCTAGCCCGGGTGCCATGAAAGGCAGCAGGAGGCAGACAGATTCCTGGGTGGAAGGGGATGGGTCCCCGGTGATTCCCAGCCACATGTCCAAAGAATCTTGAAGGAATAGGATGGTTGGTGTGGAAGAAGGCTTGTGAATTCTGGATTTAGCTTTGAGTGCTTCAGCCGACCTGGAATGTATACCTGTGCAGGTGGTTGCTGGGTAGGGTGACCACTACTGTCTCTCTCCATCACCCAGGGCTGTGCTCAGCTCAAAGCAACAGAAGCCCAGGCATGGTGGCATCTCCGGGGGGACGTTGCCTTATTCCAGATTCTCAGGTCCAGGGGCAGAGGGTCCAGGGGAAGTCTGGGGCCGCAGGATATCGCCCAGAGCCTGGCTTCTTCTGCCTTTCTGCCACCATCCTCAGCTGGTGCCTTCACCTTGAGGCCTCCTGTGGCTGCTGGTGCTGCCGCTCTTGGCCTCCTGTCTGCCTTCAGCCAGGAGAGGAGAAAGGAGGAGGTGAGAGGAGGAAGGGGCTTAAATAGAAGGCCACACTTACCCAGAATCCCTAGTAGCCGCCTGTTCTGCAACCCCCTCCTTCCCGCACCCCCCCACCACTGGCTAGAGCTGTGTCACACAAGGATGAGCAGCCAGAGAGCTGGGCACCATCCAGGGAGCGCGTGATCATCAGGGTCTTGTTGGTAAGAAAAGGGCATGTGGGTAGACATCTGGAGTGCCTGTCATGGTCCAATTAACTGGCTAAAGGGATTTGTGGGTGTGCAGCTGTTTTCAATCAAAAGTACGTAATTCACATCTTCCCAAACACAGATTCCTGCTTTTGAGTAATGAAGGCGGCCAAACCACATGACCCTGCCTGCAAAGATTCCACCTGGACTCCCGGTTCCTCCAAGGAACCGTCGTGTGGTTCAAATCCAACAGAAATTCTCCAAATCTCCACCCTCCTCAGGGTGCAGAGTTGGCTGCTTCTCTGTGCCCCCTGCTGATCACCACAACCCCTGGGTGCCTCAGCCTGCGAAGCCCCAGCTGTCCTCCGTCTGCAGACAAGCCAAGGTGTGAAAGCCTCCTCGCTGGCCCAGGAGCCTGTCATTGTCCTCCAGCAGCTCTAGCCTGGATGCGGTCCCAGAGATAAATCATATCTCTTTAAAAAGCCACAGTGGCCCATTATTTCTGCTTGAAAACACCCCTGGCTCTCTGCTGGTGAGCTGGGTGACAGGCCCCGGCTGTTGTGCTCAGCGCTGCATACAGTCACATCAGTCTGTCGACTTGTGTAGTGAGCAAGCTGGTAGCTTCAGATGGCGTGCACATGAAATCCCGTCCTGGCATCCAGGACTTGGCCGGGGGTTGCAGGGAGCCATGTCTCCTGAACAGGTAGTAATATTTTACAGTCCCCGCCTCATGCCCATGCGAAATGCCCTGTTCATACCTGGCTACATGGGCAGTAGCAAAAAAGACACAATGGCAATCCCCGGGCTACCTTTTGCAATATTCAGCAACACTTTCTCAAAGAAATTGCAATCTTGAAAAATAAACTGAATACAATTAAAGAATTACTCTGGATATCTCAACCGGAAGAACATTGTGAACCACCATACACCCATCACACAGGCTCACAGTTATCAGGGTTTGCTCCTTCCTTCGAGCTCTCTCCCTTCTTCCTGCCAACTTATTTTAAGGCAAACCCCAGACCTCACGTGGATGTTTTCTAACATAGCTGCAATATCTTTATCACCTCCAACAAAATTAAAAATAATTCCCCATAATTGTCTAACATTCAGTCCATGTTCGAATTTCTCCAGTTGTCTCCCAAATGTCTTTTTCCTGTTGCTTTTTGTCAATCAAGATTCAACAAGGGCCACATGGCATCTGGTTGTTAAGTCTCTAGTGTCTCTTTGGTTGACAGTGATCCCTTCTCCCTCATTTTACTTTTCATGTCGCTGCTTGTTGAATTCCCAGGAGCAGTTGCCTCTGGGGTGCTACACTTACCCAGAATCCCTGGCAGCCAGCTGTTCAAAGAATCTTGAAGCAATCAGATGGTTGGTGCGGAATAAGGTTCGTGAATTCTGGATTTAGCTTTGAATGCTTCAGCCAACCTGGAATTTGTCTGAATTTGTCTGCCTGCTGCCTCATGGTGGCCCATTTTATTCCCTCTACCTGGAAGGACAAGTGGATACCTCTGAGCAATCTTGGGGAAGAGATCATGGTTTCCGTTGTTAGGAACAACGCTCAAAATCCTAAGGAAATTGAACACTTGAACAAAAGATTCTTAGCAAAGCAATTTTACTTCTGCGCAGAGGAGTGCCTCCTTGGCCAGTTGCCATGAGAACACATCTGAACAAATGGCACGAGAGCCTTTATTCCTGAGGCAAGTCCTGCCCCTGTACCCTTTCCCCATTGGCTGGGGTCGGGTTGTACAATCTAAACTAATCCCGGTTGGCTAAACATTTGATTTTTTTTTTAGATAGGGTGGGTATGTAAAAGAAAGTGGAGAGAAAGGGGAAGGGGGTGTCTGTAATGAGCTAGAAAGTTAGTCCCCTTTCCGTGTAAGGAAAGGAATGTGAGCTGGTACTGATAACGCTTGGTACTGAGGCGTGCCTGGGCATCTAACAAACAAAGGCAAAAAGGAAAAAGAAGAAAAGGTGGGGGAGGGAGTACTATGAATTAAAGGATAAAAGATTGATCAGAGTATTTAAAGAGAAACCCCATTATATCCCACACCATTAAACCCAGCCTGGGGTTTGAAAACTCTGAGCAAGGGAAAATATGTGCTTCAAGAAGATTTCCTGGATTCTTGCTGAACTAGCAAGGCAAGTGTTTGCTCTTAAGCCTTACCACCTCATTCCCTAACAGCTCTGCTCTAGGTTGAGTCACTTTAATGAACTGCCCTGCCATTCCCAGGTGAGATGTGAATTAGAACCTGCGGTCCCGATACCAGGACCGTGTTCTCAGTATGTGAAGAAACCCTAACAGTCTAGACAGAATGAACGCCGAACCGATGAAGGGGCCAGGTCTACACAAGCACACCCATGGGGCAACCCGAGGGCGCGTTATTTTGGCCTGAGTTATCTCCTGGGTCACAGGTGTGAGACTAGGAAGGTCAAGGTTCACTCATTATTGTTATGGAAAGACACTGACCCTGTGTGCTGGGCTCTGCCTTGGGCGCCTTCTTGTTACATCCTCAGATCAGCCTCAGGATGGCTCATGATTCCCTCATTCACAGACGAGGACCTGAGGCTCAGGAAAGACGCATTTGCACAAGGTCTCGCATCTTGTAGGTCTGGATTCAGCCTGGACCCACGGTTTCCACTCTTGCCCTAATCCTCCATTCCCTCCCAGCAGCCAGTCAGTGGCTGTCCAGACATGTGCACCAGCTGTGCTGCACCCCCACCATATAAACTCCAATCACCTCCCACTGCTCCCGTGAACCCCAGAAGAGCTTACCCTGTCCCAGGAGGCTCTGCCTGATCCACACCCCGCACCGCTTTCTGCATCCCTGCAACCTGCTCTCCCTACGTCCTCAGTCCTGGCATCCTCTCTGTTCCCTGGACTTGTCCAGCCCAGTCCTGCCTCCAGGCCTTGGCACCTGCTGTGTCCTTGACCTGGCGTGATCTCCTGATAGCTGTTACTGGGCTGGAATCTTCTCAGTGCTCAGCTTGAGCTCAAAGCTCACCTCTTCAGAGAGGCCGTCCTCACCTCCCCATCCAATGTGGCCTTTCTTCCCTTTGCTCTTTCAATTCCCAGTTTGTTTCCTGTAGAGCAGTTTCACCCTCTTCAATCTTGTTTTTTATTTCCTTGTTTATTGTGCCTCCTTTACCAGAACACTCACCCTCTGAGGGCCCGGGCCAGGTCTGTCCTGGTCAGAGCTGTATTCTAGGACCTAGAAAAGTGCCTGGCACAATACCTGCTCAGCAAATGAAGGATGGATTGATGGACAGAAGCCTGTCTTAGCTGAAGGCCCACTTACTGAGCCTTCAAAGTGAATCTAGGCCCTTGGCTGTTTATATCTCTTTTGTGGTTAAATACCAAAGGGCCTTGACAAATCCCTGTTTTGTTTTATGTTTTTTCTCTGTCTCAGTAGCCTTCTCTGCCCATCAGTCCACCTCGAGGAGTTGTAAGTCACCAAGGGCTCTGGGCAGCAAAGCCGTTCCTCAGCAACAAGGAAATGATGTGTGGGATTTCTGTTCCCGCTTTGTCCGTGAGTTAGGCTGAATAAAGGCAGCTTCTTCTCCCCACTCTTGCATCAGCTTCCTAGGGCTGCTAGAACAAGTTCCCACTCAGTTGGTGCCTTAAAACAATAGAAATTCGTTCTCCCACAGTTCTGGAGGCCAGAAGTCCAAAATCCCAGGGCTGTGTTCCCTCCAGGGGCTCCCCAGGCGACTCGGTCCCTCACCTCCTCCCACTTCTCGGGCTTGTGACTGCATCGCTCCAGTCTCTGCCCCTTCCTCCTCTGTGCGTCTGTGTCATCTCCCTCTGCCTGTTTCCCATAAGGACTCTTGCGATAGCATTTAGGGGCCACCTGGGTGATCTAGCGCAATCCTTCCATGTCAAAGTCCTTAACTTCATGACATCTGCAAACCCTTTTGACAAGCAAGGTTGCATGTACAGGTTGCAAGGATGAGGACTTGTGTCTCTGGGTGGCCATTGTGTAACCTACGGTGCGGCTCTACCTCCTCCCGTGACCCTCCTGGAAGCTGGGCTCATTGGCTGCTCTTTCTCTGTGACTCCATATTCTGTTCATGATGTTTTAATCTCTAACCACCTCAGCACCTGAGGGAAAGGCACCTGGCTGTAAAAAAGAAACACTTCTCTTAATTACCCTTGTACCCAGAATACGCACTGGGCAGGGAGCGGCGGGGCCTGGGGCCATCCATCACCCGGTCCTGTCTCTGGCTCTGAGCTGCCGTCCACAGACCCCATCACCACTCTCCTCCGTGGCATTTAATCAGTGGCCTTTCTGGGGGTTCTGAGTGATGCTGCCTCTGTGAGATGAGAAGCTGCAGCTGCCTCTGGAAAGACTGTTTCAGAAGAGGGGGATCCCAGGTTCTCCCTTTGCTGGGTGGGGGCAGGTCACAGGAGATGCTTTGGCCCCTGGGCAGCCCTTGGGGCTCCTGAAACTCCACAGGGGCAGCAACACCATGGACCATGCTACGGACCAGTCTCCTCTAGGCCTGGCCCAGGGACGGGACGGAAGAGATGCCAGAGCTCTGCGCCGCTGCAAGACCCAGTTCCCTGGTTTGCTCATAGCCGCAGCCCTACCATTGCTTCCCTGGGAACTGGCCGGCTGTTCCCATCTCCCCTTTATCCCCAGGCAGCCAAGGAGGCCCAGGACCCAAGTCCTCCCTCATCCCCACTACGGTCTTCCCCAGCTCTGAGGCATGAGGATCCCCCACTCTCCCTGAGACCTTTGACCCCTCCCACTCCCCGAGCCCAAGTGCCCTTCCCATCCTCCATCCCCTCCCTGCCTGCCTTGTCCCACAACCCAGCCACCCCTGCACATACTCAGTTTCTCAGTCATTTACTTGTTTGAGTTCTAGAACACATGCTCTGGGCAGTGAGAGCTTTTGTCTGCAGTGGCTCTGAAGAGGGGGAAGCCCCATGGCTGCCCATCAGGGAAGCAGCTCAGGGCAGCAGGCACCTGCGTGGGGGTGGCAGAGGGTGCAGTCCACTTGGTCTTGGCCAGTCCTTGGTGACCAGGGACAGAGAATGGTGAGGGGCACTAAGACCAGGGCTCTCCAGGGCCTCCTATGGCTGTGGGAGAGGCCTAGCAGGGCTCCTGCTTGGAGGTGATAATGAGGCATCAGAGCCATGGAGGTGAGACCAGTCCCTCCTCCGGTTGCATCCTGTGTTCCCTGCAGCTTTGCGCCTGTACTTGGTGGGGTAATTGTCCCGAAAACCAGCCCAATTGTCCCATAGAACTGATGTTTATGGTTTCTTTTGAGTAAACATAGAAATTGACCCTCCCAGTCTCAACTTGAGAAAGTTACATTTGTCTTATCTGAGTTCCTTTCTCAAGAAAGCAGCCATCAGTCCTCCCACATAGCATCAAGAAACTGAAACTCACCAGATCACTGTATCTGGACAATGAGAGACACCAGATCCCTCACCCATCACGACTGCTGACCACCTGCCTCTTGTTGACCAACTCTTCTTCCCTAATTCCTGTTTTCCCACACATGGTTACATTTATTCCCTGCTGTATAAACCCCTGATTAAAGAAGACATTCAACCCCCAAAGGGATGGATACATGATTTTTTTTTCCTTTTTCTCTCCTTTTTTTCCTGTTGTTTGCTTGTTTGTCTTTCATTTGTTTTTCCCTTCAGAAGGAGAGCTGTATTTAGAAGGATGCTCACTCACATGCTATTTTCTAGTAGCAAAATTCTGGAAACAATCAAGATAGGGAATAGGAGAATAAAGTATGGTATAACTGAAACCAACCCAATTGCCCCATAGACAGTTCTTTTTGATACACATAGACATTGGCCCTCTGGTCTTAAAAAGCTTGAAACTTATGTTTGTTTCATCTGAGTTCTTTCCTCAGGAAATGACCTTTAGGCCTCTCACAAAAAGTTCCAAAGGACTGAAACCAGATCACTGCAGGACCCCTCATCCACCATGATTGCTTTCTTGCCCCTTCCAAGTTCCTGTTTTCTTGCACATTGTTACATTTCTTGCCTGCTATAAAAACACCTGATTTTAGTCAGTTAGGGAGATGGATTTGAGGATAAGCTCCCACCTCCTTGGGGGCCCCAGCTGATTAAAGCCTTCTTCCTTGGCAATACTTTTCATCTCAGTGCTTGGCTTTCTGTGTGATGAGCAGCAGGACCTAGTCCAAACCCTGATGTTTTGGTAATATAACTGCTCAGCGGACTGTTATGGAGACAATTAAAAATAACTCCATGTTGAATGTGTAGTGTGAACGTCTATGAAAACTGTAAGACTGCACAAAAATATTTTAAAGGAGAAGTAACCAATAGGAGATTAATATACATAAAATTAAAAACTGGCTTGCACAGTTATGGAGACTGAGAAGTCCTATGATCTCTCATTTGCAAGCTAGGGACCTAGGAAAGCCAGTGATTTGGTAGATGGCAGTTCAAGTCTGAAGGTCAGAGACTCATTTCAGCTCAAGCAGTCAGGCAGAGAGGCAGAGATAATCCAGTCCCTCCCTCCCTTCCTTCCTTCCTTCCTTCCTTCTCTCCCTCCCCTCACTCCTTTCCTCCTTCCCCTCCTCTTCCCTGCCCCCTCCTTCCCTTCCTTCCTTCCTTCCCTCCCTCCTTCCACTTCCTTCCTTCCTCCTTCCCCTCCTCTCCCCTACCCCCTCCTTCTCTTCCTTCCTTCCCTCCCTCCTTCCCCTTCCTTCCTTCTTTCCTTCCTTCCTTCTTTTACTTCCCTCCTCTCTCCCTTTTCTTTCTTTCTTGTTTAGAGATGGGGTCTTGCTCTTTTGCCCAGGCTGGAGTGTAGTGGTGTGATCATAGCTCAATGTAGTCTCAAATTTCTGGGCTCAAGTGATCCTCCCACTTCAGCCTCCCAAGCAGCTGAGACTGTATGTGTGCACCACCATACTTCGCTGATTTGTTTTTTAAGTTTATTTTTTGTAGAGATGGGGTCTCCCTATGTTGCCCAGGCTGTTCTCATAGTCCTGGCCTCAAGTGATCTTCCTGCCTTGGACTCCCAAAGTCCTGGAATTACAAGCATGAGCCCCTGCACCCAGCCAGAATTCAACCTTTCTAAGCCCTTTCGTTCTATTCAGTCATCCTCAGTGGGTTGAATGTTGCTCCCCCACAGTGGGGAGGTTCTGCCTCTATGCTCAGTCTACTAATTCAAATGCTAATTTCTCTCAGAAAAATCCTCACAAACATACCCAGAAATAATGTTTAATCAGATATCTGGGCATCCCCTGGCTCAGTCAAGTTGACCCAAAATTAGCTGTCACACACAATAAGAACCTATACCAATAGCCAGACTATGTTGAGTCCCTGCCATTCACCTAGCAACATGCAAAGTGCTTTAAGGCAGTGCTTCTCACACTTTAATTTGCTCACAAACCACCTGGGGGTCTTGCTAAACTCGAATTCCCATTCGGTAGGATTTGGATGGAATCCCAAACTCTGCATTTTTGATAAGCCTCTAGGTGATGAAGAGGCTGCTGGTTTACAGACTATACATTGAGAAGCAAGGTCTTAAGATATATTGACTTTGAGCTTTCCCAACAATCCTTGAAATGAGAGGATTGGTTCAGCGAAGGGAAGCGACCTCTCAGGTAAGTGACCTCTTCAGTTACGTGACATTGTCAAGTGAGTGATGTCCTTAAGTAAGTACCCTCCCTAGGGTCACATGGGTAGGTACATGGTAGAGCCAGGATTCGAACACCCATATCCCTGATTCCAAAGCTCCCATTCTCAAATCTGCTGTAACTACAACCACATGGGTGATTTCTCTAAAATTTCTCTTAAAATGTGTTTTGCATCATTATCTTATCAGGTAAAAATTGATTAACAAGATGACTTCTCCCAATCACCAGACTATAAAAATTGCTTTTGTATTAAACTGTTCTGATGGGATTGTAGGAAGTAAGTCAATGTGAAAATTCCTTGGAAGGATGGCAGATAATGAGTATCTATCACATAAGCTCTTACTGTCTGTAGCTCAGCACAAACCAAAGACATTTTACAGTGGCCTAAAATTGCAGTCATTTTTACCATAAAAATCTGTCACTGCAAGAGTAACACAGTCTTGACGGGTCTGCTATTACCTTGATAAACATTTTCCACCAGGTGAAACTCTGAGAGCCTGTTCTCACTTGCACACTGCCACTGTGCTCAACAAAGCTGTAATATGTCTGGCTCCTGCCTTCTTCACCCTTGGATGCGACCATGTAGAAAAAAGTTCCAATTTAGGATACATCTCTCATAGTCATGCTTTAGAAAACCAGGAGAATGTATATCTCAGTCTATGCGTTCTTATTTTAGGAAAAGTTAGGAAAGAAGAAATTATTAAAATAAATAAAATGAAAACCAAACCTCAGCATAGTCAGAGAGTCCAAAGGGAGTGGGGGCAGAATGAAATGGATGTTATTATTTCACATTTCTTCTTTGCTCTGTTTTAAGATTTTGTATTTTTATTTCTTGATAGAAATATGCACTTAAGGTGACACTGAAAATCTATACCCAAGAAACAGTATCAATTACAAAAAAGGCCCTGTCATCTAATTTTTCAAAGAAAAGCAAAAGTACGTTTATATCCAGATACTTGGGACAGAGAGGTTTTATCACTGATTGATCTACAACTGCCATTGTTTGCCACTTCATTTTGGGCGTGCAGATACAGACTTTCCTTCATTTTGGGCATGCAGATACAGACTTTGCTTCATTTTGGGCGTGCAGATACAGACTTTGCTTCATTTCGGGCGTGCAGATACAGACTTTGCTTCATTTCGGGCGTGCAGATACAGACTTTGCTTCATTTTGGGCGTGCAGATACAGACTTTGCTTCATTTTGGGTTTGCAGATACAGACTTTGCTTCATTTTGGGTGTGCAGATACAGAGTTTGCATTGACACATGAAGCTCAGGTTGTCTTGTCACAGGTGGTCTCTTAGATCATGTTAACCTAAAAACAGGAGCAATCGGGGATAGAAAGTCCAGCCCTGTGATCCAGGCTCACGACTTCTTCCCAGGCCTCACTTTGCTCAGGGGTTACACTAAGGGGCTGCACTAGATGACCTCTAGGGTCTCTCGTCTGACTCTGAAGTTTAGATGTAAAGAACCAGGTTGGCTGTGAGAAGGTGTGTATTACACACAAAGAGCCAGCCAGGGAAGGCCTTAGTTTAATAATCTACCCCTTACTATCATGCGACACGAGAGTCAGAATCAGATAGAGAGCTATGGCTGCAGGGAACAGAAAATTTAGTGGGAACAGGTGTGACCAACAGGGAAATTTGTGGGCTCAAGCCTTCAAAAATCCCAGAGATAAACACCATCAGGAATGATTGGATCAGGCTGTGGCTCAGTTTCCCTCAAGTTCTCTTGGTTCCTTCCTCTCTCATGGGTCATGCTTTCAGACTGTCTTCTCTCATGGCAGCAGAGAAGGCTGCAGTGGTTCTAAGAGCTGCATCCCGTCCAACTTACCCAGAGCAAACCATGGAAAAGCCAGGGAGCCCAGGCAACATCTTACCTTTCACTGGCCCCCTTGGGCCAGGTGCCCATTCTTGAATCAGTCAAGGTCAGAGAGTGGGAAGAGCTGACCTGACTGCATCAGGCCAGTCACAGCCCACTGCTGGGGCTGGGGGCAGGGTCAGGGCTACGGGCTACTGGGCTGTGAGATTCAGGGTCAGGTGAAGAAGAGCCTGGTGAATTGTTGCTGTAATCCTTCAATAGGAACCCATTGCAGGGAGAAAGTCACTCCACCTCCTTCAGCAAAAGAGAAACAGTCATAATCTTCTTCCAACTTTGCCTCATTGTCCTGAGGACCGAAAGAGGTCGTGAGAGGCAAAGCTTTGGTATGAGCAAAGCCCTGCGTAACTGTTAGCAGGAGGAGCAGGCATTGTAGCTGTTGCTGATCTTGTTATTAAGGCACCAAAATTTGTTTACTGTGAAGCTGGTTCTTTCTGAATGACGAAGTGCCTGGTGTCAAATATCTCCATCAAGGAAACTAAAAAAATCTATTTCTTTATTGTGAAATCGATATTGCATGAAATTGATTTTTAAATTAAAATTAATTTTCATGACACAATTAATACATAAGTGTATTTCCCTGTAAGAAAACCAAGACATTAAAGACAAGCTCAGGTCTCCATTGATCTCCCCCAGGCTACCAGCCTGCCCACAGATCATCACTGCTGGGTTGGGCATGAGTCCTCTCAGAGGCTTTTCCTATGCAGTCGTCTATGTGGTTACTCAGATAAGATATAGAAATTAATTCAACAAATGCTTATTAAGTACCTACTGTGTGCCACTCCATCACCTCCAAGGAGTGTACATTCTGCCGAGAATGAGGCAGATGATAAGTAAAATACAGAGCAGAGTAAGAAATGGAAGGAACCTGGGTGGGGACTGGTGGTGGTGGTCAGGGGAGGCCTCTGGCAGGAGGTGGCATCTGAGCAGAAGGAGGTTGTCATGGGTCACCTGGAGGAGGACTGGTCCCCCAGAGGGGACAGCAGGAGCAGCAGCCTAAAGCGGGAACATGCTGCATTTCCAGGGCATGGTGGCTGGTGGGTGGCACTTGGGGAATGGCAGGAGCAGGGCAGGGAGGACAGGAGAAGTGGGGATCAGAGAACAGCTGGGCAGGGCCAGGTCTGTGCAGCCTGGGCTTGGAGTGGACTCTAGAGGCTTTCGGGCAGTTGATGTATTTATATAAGTGTTCCAGTCCATCTCATGTATTATATAGAATGCTCTTGAGGGGTTTTGAAATACATGTATGTCTGTGTCCATATGTGTGTGTGTTTATATGGGTGAATTTATGTCTATGTCCGTGTGTGTGTTTATATGGGTGAATTTATGTCTAGGTCCATATGTGTGTGTGTTTATGTGGGTGAATGTAGACATTGTTTGCATCCTCCTGCATTTTGCCTTTTCACACCGGGCAGCCCAGACCCCGTCGATGGCTGTGCATGAGGTTCTGCCTCATTCCTCACTGTGCCCAGTGTTCCTTGGGGAGGCTCCACCAGGGTTGGCTTTGGCCCCTCTGTGTTGATGGGCGTTCTGGTGGGTTCCAATTTTCTGCCATTACAAACAGCCCTGCAGGTCCACGTCTCCTCATGGACGTGGGTGGAGGATCCTCCAGGGCACAGCTGGAGAGGGGGAGGTGCTGGGTCCAGGGCATAAGCATTTGAAATCTTTCTTGTTCCTGCCACATTCTCTTCTGAAAGGGACGTTTGACCTGAGATCACTCCGTCTGGGGTGCTCATCAGTGGGGACCTAGCAGACACCTTCTTAGGGCTAAAATTCCTTTACATATGAACCAGGTTGTGTTCACCCGGAGAATGACCCCTGAAGGCCAGGCTGAAGTCAGGTGCATGCAGGTCCCCAGAGAATAGCACCACGTCCATGCAGGAGCTGCTGGGTGTGAGTTGGCTATGGGGAGGTAGGACGTGTCCTCTTTGCAGAGTGGTGGGAGCTGGCACACGCCGGGCACTATTCCCCATGCCCTGTATCTATGATCTCACTTAGTCCTCACACCAACCCAATGAGACACAGCACTATTACTAAGCTCCCCATGCTACAGATGGGGAAGCTGAGGCAGAGTGCTCAAGGCACCTGCTTAGTGGGGCAGTTTGGCTCCAGAGACCATGTTCTTAACCACTAGGCCATTTGGCTCCATCCGTTGAATCAGGCTAGGAGGCAGGAATCATTAATCAGGGAACTATACACAGTCAACCCCAACACACACCCCCCCGCCACACACACACACACACACCACACACTCCCCGCCACACACCACACACATCCACACATCACACACTTCCTCCCACACCACACACACACCACACACACCCCCACATGCCACACACTCACACCCACAAGCCACACACTCATACACCACACACAATCACACATACCCCTCCACACACACACACCCACACGCCACACACACACCCACATGCCACACACACACCACACACATACATCACACATACCCCCCACACACACCACACACATACGTCACACATACTCCCCCACACACACACCACACACACACATACATCACACATACCCCCCCACACGCCACACCACACACACCCACATGCCACACACACCACACACACACACACACACACATCACACATACCCCCCCACACACACACCCCACACACACCCACACAGGCATGGTTGGCTGGAATACTGGGGCAAATCCATGAATGTTTCACAATTCCATCTTCAGATTCCCTGTGCATCCAGAATTAACCTTCCCGTCACTCGGCTTAACCCCACCTGTGAGTCTCAATTCCCCTTCATGGCTGACAATGGAAACCCACAGACAGGACTGGCCAGGTCGAGCGGAAGGGGCAGGGCCATTCCTCTGGGCTCAGGTTTCCACTTGGTGGAGGCTGGACCGTCTCTTCCCAGCGTGGGCACACAGCGGGACCTGCTGTCTCTTTCTGAGGGGACACAGCCCCCGTCTTATGTCCTCCGGGCCGCGGTGGTGGGGTCAGGACTGAGCATCCCCCGCGCCCACCCCCACGCTCAGCCCGAGTCGAAGCCTTCGAGACTCCCCAGTGCCATCTGCACAGGACCCAGGTGCCATCGCCCCAGGACTCTCAGAAACTCAGGGCGGTCCCCGAGCAGCTCGCATCTCTTGGGGCTGAGCGTCCGCAGATGCTGTAGGCAGGAGGCGACCGGGTGAGAAGGATCGGGAAGCAGTGTTTGTCCAAGACTTTGTCAGAGCCATGGGTCCCACGCGCACGGAGCTCTAAGCAGTTCCTGCCTCCCTGAGATAGGGGCGGGCCAGGCCCCCCATCAACCTCTCGCTCTCTGGACTTGGGTTGTAAATCGCCTCAAGGGGACAGAAACCACCCAGAAAGCTGGGAGGGGCCCCACGAGCTTACGACTGAGGTGGGATAATCCGCGGAGTGGTCACCCACGTGCTCGTGGCCCTGGAGTCCCTGTGACCAGCCCTGGAGACGTCACCTCAGAGGGAGGGGGCTTTGCCCGCTTCCTTCACCGCTGGGGCCGGGACCTGGATCTTGAGCACAGAGTAGATCTCGGTAGGTATCTACTGAGTGATGCGGAGTCTGCCTGTCCCAAATACACTACGAGGAGGCCTCCGGGGCGTCAGGAAAGGAGGCGGCTGGGGCGGAAATGCAAGCATTCCTACCAGGTTTCATCTGTACAGAAAGAGGAGACTGAAGTGCCCTCTGAGCCCTTTGGAAAACTGGCAGGGTCTACTTTAGCTAAAAATGTGTTTGCCAGGCTAGGGGTGGGACCGGTTAGGGGTGTGGCCAGCGAGGAGGCGGGGTCAGTCTAGGAGGCTGGGCCATGGGGGAGGAGCCAAGCTGTGGGCGGGGTCAGGCCGGGGAAGGGTGGGGGCGGAAGGGGCGGGGTGGCCAAGCTAGGGTGTGACCTGGCTGGAGGTGGGGCCAGGGCCTTGTAGATTACGGAAGGGCTGAACCTACCTAAAGGATGTAGTCTGTTAGGGCCTTCTCTCGGTGTCTCATGATGGGTCCTACATTTTTCACTGCCTCTGCTAACATTTTTCATGATAGTCTCAGCAACTGTCATGCCAACATCTTGCTTTGAAAATCACTACTGAAAAAGGCACCACTTTGGAGAAATTTGCCGTTAGTTTTGCCTGCTTGCCTCTTAGATTATGGGAACTTTCTGGAATGGAATAAATCAGCTCAATGCCTTTTCTTTAGCACAGAAAAAGCCAGCACTATTACTTGGTAAAGCTAACCCTCTCTCTAACGGAGAAGGGCACAGCCCATTGTAGAAGAACCTCTCATGAACTATCAAGGGTTTCTAGTCTGGTGACTTTCAAACATTTTGAAGAATGACCTACAATAAAAGAAATACATTTTACATTGACCCCAGTATGCATACATGCACCAGCGCACGCGCGCATGTGCACACGCACACACACACACAAATGCCTACACAAATCAAAATGAAATTTGTACAAGATAACACATGGCCTTACTCTATGTAATGCGCCCTGATAGTTTCCAATCCATTTATGCTCTCTAATTGTTTAAAGTGTTGGTTCAAACTCATCAAATTAGTGTTATGACCCACTTCTTGGTCACAAAGTGACTAGGCTCTAGGCTGAATTCCTAGTGAATGTATGACTATCTTTGTGAAAATCCTACCACTTCTGTTATTTGTCTTTTCTTCTTTCCTCTTTCTCCAAATGCCTAAAATTGCGCTATTGCTGCAGGTGAGATGACATCATCGCCATTAAAGTCAAAAGAAGTCTGTCTTTTCATAAAGATACAAATGTCTGGAGGAGATAATTGATTTGGCTAAGTGATAACATGTGCCCCATTTATTAAACAAAATTTTTCAATAAAAAGGATTTTTTATGATTCTCTGATATAAAATGTGTCATAGGATACAGGAAGGTTGAATTATTTTTATAAACTATATACAGCTCACGACCCAGCTCCATGGTTAACAGCAGGTCCCGAAAACACCATTAGCCTGGTCATTTCAGCAAAAAGCAGATCATCAGACCAACAAATTCCAGAGAGACATGTTCTTCCTTGGAGGACTGTGACACATCTCCTAACTCCGTCACTCTGTCCCTGCTGCCCTGTGTCTCTTGCAGTTGGCAGAGGGGCTTTATCTGAGCACAGTCCTTCCTCAGTCTTCCCCATCTCTAAATGGCAGCCCCACTCTCCCAGCTCTCAGGCCATCACCTGGGAGTCATCCTCTACTCCTCTCTTTCTTCCCCACTCCACTTCTCATCTGCCAGCAAATCCTGCCAGCTCTACCTGCAAGATGGGCAGCATCAGAGCCCCTCACCCCCATCACTCTGACCACCTGGCTCAGGCCACTATCACCTCCACCTGGCCTCCCTGCTGGTCTCCCTGCCCCAGCCCATGCCTCCCATCCACAGTCCTTTCTCCATCTGCAGCCAGTGGAATCCACTTAGAACCTGCGGCAGACCTTATCCCTCCTCAGGACCCTCTTGTGGCTCCTATTTCAGAATAAAACCCCAAGCCCTTTCAACAGACCAACATTCTCATGCCCAGGTTCCCTGTCACCTCCCTGATCCCACCTGCTATTCCTTTCCCTTTGCTCTTGAGCTCCATTTGCACTGGCCTGCCTGCTGTTCCTGGCATCTGGCAGACGTGCTCCTGACTCAGGGCCCTTTGCCTTTGCTATTCCCGGTTCCTGGAGTGCCCTTCCACCAGACATATGCAAGGCTCACCTAAGTCTCTACTCAAAGGTCACCTTCTCAGCGAGGTCTTCTCTGGACCCTCAGCATGCACCCCGGTTGCATTCACTCTTAACTTTCTTCCTGCTTTATTTTCCTGCATAGCACCCTGTCACGTCCTCACTACACTTAGGCATCTGGTTGATAAATGTGCACCTCCTTCCACTACAACATGACCTCTGCAAAGGGAAGCTTTTGGCTCACTTCTGACCCCTGCCTCATCCTAGATGCTCAAGAAGTATTTGCTGAGTAAACCTCCAGCCTCCCTGCTCTTCCCCCTCCCACCCTCACCTACTTTCTGACCTCTGCTTAACATACTTAATGGCTTTCCCTTACCATTCTGTGAAAGGTGAATATTTAACATGGACAGCAAGGCCTGGGTGGTCTGGCCTCACCCTCACCATTCTCAGCCTTACCGTCTCTTCTCCACCCAGACAGGCTCCCTTCAGTCCCTGACATCCACCCTGTCTTGCCCGCTCCTGCCATGGGGCCTTCGCAAACGCAGTTTCCACTGCTGGAAGCTCCCTCTTCACCCTTCCACACCTCTGTGATCTTTGTCTTTGCCTAGTTAACTTATAGGCGCCCATCAGATCTCCCTCCTCAGGCAAGCTGACCCTGACCTCCTGTGTAGGTCTGTCTCCTCCCATTCTAGGTTCCCATAACTCTCTGTCTCTTTCCTTCCCAACACTCACGATGGTTGAAATAATCTCTTTGTTTTTGCGATTATTTGGTACGTCTCTTCTACTGGACTCTGAACTCCATGACGGGTGAGGCTGGGTCTGTTTTGCTGCCCAGTGTATTTTTGGGACCTGCAGCTGTGTCTTGGATGGAGTAGGGCTCAGTAAATACTTTGGAGTTAAAATGTATAAGACCTTGGAGACCCTGAAAGTGGGAATTGAGATTCAAGACTTTTAACAACTGTTTGGCAAGAGCACAGGCGTCTCAGAAAAGACCTGGCTGGAGGCCAGCAATGTTCAGGCCATCACACCGTCAGGCCCAGGGCACAGTAGGCCTCACGTCTCAGGGCAAGCACTGATGCCTCCCTTTGAAAGCCCACCCTGACAGTGAAGGGTCTCCCCTGAGAGGTCAGCACTTTGGGAATGAACTTTTGAGACCAGTGCACAGGGTAACCTCAAGGGAGACCTGAGCTGTGATTAAGGACCCCAGAATGGATGGAAGAAAGGAAAGCCTTTTAAAGTGTAACCCAGATAATGGCCTATTCCCCAGTCCAAGATTCCCGAGTTAGAGAGCAGCAAAGCTTAAATATTTACGCTTTAGTCACAGAGAGATGGGGCCTGGCGTCTTTCTGTTTTTGTTGTCCAGATTTTTTCCTTTATTCTATGTAAGTCCTGAAAGGCAAAATTAGGCCATTCCTTTTCCTGATTCTTAAAATCTGACACCATGAAGACCAAAACTTAAAATCCCCAGGCTAAGTGCAACATCTCTATAGAAAATCTTCTCTAATGGGCTTTTAGGTACAAGTTACCCTCTGATTCTTTCAGGGATAGAATGCAAACAGGGTAAGATGTTGGCCTGAGAGGATCTACTAAATATTCATGAACTAGCAGGATATTAGTGTCTTGGTTATTCTAATCTCATTATAACTTCATCTATCCAGTAACCTGATACGGCAATGCAGCCGTGCGAGACTGTACAAATGATTCTGCTCTCAATGTCAACTGTGCAAGTTCTTTCTTATAAGGTACAACTCTTCCACTGATTTTCCTCAGTATAGGCTGTAAAATTCCATGCTCGTCAATCTCTTCTTAGAGCACAGCTCCACAAATCCCTGCCTCTTCCCCAGGCACACCCTGGGTTGAGGGCCCAGTCTCCCATAGCCCCTGCACACTCAAAAAAGGTAGAAGAGCTGATAGCCCTTCTACTCTTCATTACCTCTCCCAAATCTCTAATCCTTGACTCCCATAAAAACAGAAAAAATACTCTACGTCCCGGCATCTTTATCTGGGGAAATATGTTGAACAAAGCAGGTTTCCTAGAGCTGGAGAAACATTTTAAATCATCTCAAATTGTGCTTCATTTTCCCTTTTTCCCCCTACAAATGAAATAATTTTATTACAAGTTTCCACTGAAGGAAAATCCACTAGAAAGATTTTAGGCTCTGATATACAGAATCATATACATTGGGACATTAAAACATAAAAGTAGGTGTTTATTCCTGAGCTCAATCCATTGTCTTATTTTGTGAAGTGAGACCAGGCCAGAGATTTGCTCACTCAATGGCCATTAAGGTGAATTTGGTCACTGGTCAGAATGAAAAGGGGCCTTTCCCTGGCAGATCCAAAAGGGACACATTTTTGTCTAATTTACTAAGAAACCTTGATACACAGGCTCAGTGTGGGTCATTTGTCATTTAAAATTTATCATCTTCACGGAAGGTCAATTCACAAGTATGTGAGCTGTTATAGGTCCAGGGTAGTTAGGACTTTCAGGCATTTTTCACCCTGAATTCCAGCAAGAAATATCAAACCAATTGTATATATATATATATATCCTATTATTATGTATAATAAGGTATCCCATTAGTTTATACATATCCATTTATGTATGTGTCTGTGTGTGTGTGTGTGTATATATATATATATATATATATATATATATATATATATATATATGAGAGAGAGAGAGAGAGAGAAAGATATTTACTATAAAGAATTGGTTCATGTGATAATGGAGCTCAAGAAATCCAATATCTGCAGGTGATGAGCTAGAGAGTGAGGAGAGCTGGCAGTGTAAGTTCTAGCCCAGGTCCAAAGGTGTGAGAACCAGGAAAGCTAACGTGTGAGTTCCAGTCTGAATCTGAGTCTGAAGACAGAAGAAGGCCAATGTTGCATCTCAGAGACAGTCATGCAAAGACGAAGAATTCTCTCTTACTCAGCCTTTTACTCTATTCAGGCCTTCAGTGAATTTGACGAGGCCCACTCACATTGGGGAGAACAGACTACTTTACTCAGTCTACAGATTCAAATGCTAATCTCATCCAGAAACAACCTCACAGACACATCCAGAAATAATGTTTAACCAAATCTCTGGGCACCCAATGACTCAGTCAAGTTAATACAAAATTAACCATCACACCTAGTGACCCAGAACATAGTTATATAGAACTAACATTTCAAGAGATAATACTCTTACTTTGTACAATGCATTTCATATTTTACATTTTCTTTAGTCTATTTCATTTGTAAATGGTGGTCAAGACCCACCCATGAATCTCCTAATGGGTGACTATTTGTAGTATTGCAGATATTCCAAATACAGATGAAACTGTTTAGGATGAATTCATTCATTTGTTCACTCAGTATTTATGAGTCATTTATGGAGCATCAGAAGCATGCAAGAAACTGGGGACGCGTAGATTTTGCTTTCCTGGACCCACGGTCCAGTGTGGGACCAATGGGAAATCCATCAGGGGCCGCACAATGAGAAGGACACAGTGAAAGAGAGGCATGGGGTCAGCGTGACAAGAGGCATCTTAACTAAGCCTTACATGGGGTACAAAGTGGTGGGGATAGAGGGGCTCATCATAGAAGGGTGTCTTAGTCCACTTGCATTGCTATAAAGGAATACCCAAAACTGGGTATTAGGTTGGTGCAAAAGTAATTGCAGTCTTTGCCATTAATTTTAATGTCAAAAGCACAATTCCTTTTGCACCAATCTAATAATTTATAAAGAAAAGAGCTTTACTTGGCTCATGGTCCTGTAGGCTGTATAAGAAGCATGGTGCCAGCATCTGCTTGGCTTTTGGTGAGGGCCACAGAAGCTTTCACTCATGGTGGAAGGCAAGGGGAGCTGGCAAGCCACTTGGTGAGAGAGTGAGCAAGAGAGAAGGGGAGGGGCGGGAGGCGCCAGGCTCTTTTTAACAATCAGTTCTCAGGGGGACTAACATAGTGAGTGAGAACTCACTCATTACCATGAGGATGAGGATGGCACCAAGACGTTCATGAGTGATCCACCCCCATCACCCAAACGTCTCCTATCAGGCCCCACCTCCAACATTGGGAATAACATTGCAACACAAGATTTGGAGGGGACAAACATCCGAATTATATCAAAGGGGTGACCACCTGGAGGAGATACCAGTAAGTCTCAAGTAGGAAGGGACAAGGTGAAGACAGGAAGTACAGACCACCACCAGGTGTGGGGGCAAAGCTAGAGGCTAGCTGGCAGCTTTATAGGCAGCACCTTGGGAAAAATGTATCTTTGGTAGGACTGAAACACAGCTAGGATGCACCAGTACCTTAGTGAAATACAGTCCATCCTCAATATTCACAGATTCCATATTTGTAAATTTGCCTGCTTGCTAAAATTGATTTGTAACCTCAAAATCAATACTTGGCAGGTTTTTGTGGTCATTTGCAAACAGAAGCAGAGCAGAGAATATTTGAGCTGCTGGAAGCGCAGAACATGCTGAGGTTGAACAAGGCAGTGCTCTGCCTTGCTTTAGCTTTTAAACTAAACGAGCATCTTTTCATGGTATATTTAGTGCCATGTTTTTTGGCATTTTTGTGCTTTTTTTTGGGGTGATTTTGCTTTCTAAAATGGCCCCCAAGAGTAGTGCTGGAGTGCCGTCTGGTGTTCCAAAGGGTGGGAAGGCTCGGGTGGGAGAAACGTGGGTTGGATAAACTTGGCTCAGTCATGGGTTGTAGCACTGTTGGCCGTGAGTTCAATGTTAATGAAACAACATCTATTAAATAAAGTGCCTTTAAACAGAAACACACATAAAACAAGGTTATGTATTGATCAGTAGATGAAAATATTGTGACCACAGGCTCATGGGGACCTAACCCTGAAGGAGCAATGGCTTAGTATTTGCCAATTCAGTGTTTGCGTGACTTTATAGAACATATCTACCATGAGTAACAACAATAGGTTGTACCGAACTGGGGTAGAGAAAGAGAATTTGTCTGCATTTTGCTACTGCAGAGCCTGGATATTTGCATGAGGGGGGAGGGAGCCTGAGGGTTGCCACTGCTTGTTGTCAGCAGGGCCAAGGGGAGGGTGAGCTCTTCGGTGGGGGTCTTGTGGGAAGGTGGGACTCCAGGGTGCACTTGGCTGTGATGTGCTGGTGGCATAGCCACCTGTCCTTGTCTGTAATGACTCCTCGGTGCCAGGGACCTAATGACCATTCATTTAATCAAGAGGTGGTTGGAAGAGGTGGCTGTGGCTCCCTCATCCATTAGTTTCAGATAGGAGCATTGCTTAGCTAGTGGCGGCTGTGCCAAACAACACATTATACCACCAATGTTTAAAAACCGACAGACAACCGACAAATTAGTGACAAATTGGATGAGTGATTTGTGCCACAGCTTATATCTTTCTTAGTTAAGAAGTATCTTATCAGAGTTTAGTTTGCTTAGAAAATGAAAGCAAATAAATTTTAAAATTTATTTTACTATATTTGTTACTATTTTGATGATCACTGCTAAGATCCAGGCTTTTGACTTTTCTTAGCTCCAAGGACCTGGTTGGAGTGTTTAGCTGGGTAAGGCAGACCGAGTTCTTAGGCAGGGATCCCAGAGCACTGGTGTCGCAGATGAAAGGGGCTGCAGCTTGGTGGAGGAAATGGTGAGATTCAGGGGCTGGCCAAGGATTAAGGCAGCGGTATTTGAGAAAGCTTGCGGCTACTCTGTAAAGCAATGGCTACTGCAGAGAGACTGACCAGGAGGTAGCCAGCACTCCAGTTTACACTTTTATATCCCAAATAACCCAAGTATCACAGCAGGGTGGTCATGAGTGTAGCCTCTGCCCAAGTTCAAACCCTGACTCTGACTCTTGGTAGTGTAATCTCTGAGGACTGTATTTAGCCTTTCTGTGTCTCAGTCTCCCATTAAGAGAATGCATAACTGCCTCATAGCCTCATTGGGAGGATAAGAAGTTAATACCAGTAAAAGAGGGGGTACCTGATGAGCCTTTGACAGCTCTGGGGTGATACCCTTCTTAGCAAACCGTGCCAGTGCTCTACCTCCAAAACAGATCAAGGATACGGCCACTTCCCACCTCCCTCACAGCTACCCTCTGGTCCAAGCCACCATCATCTCCTGCTTGGACCATTGCAGTAGACCCCGCTGGCCTCCTTCTCCAGCTCTGACCCCACAACCCCAACCTGTCCTCACACAGATCATCCATTAAAAAATAAACCAGACCATGTCCTGTCTCTGCTGAAACCCTCTAATGGCTCCCACTTCCCTCAGAGTAAAAGCTGAAGTCCTCACAGGGTCCCCTAAGGCCTGAGATGATCCATCTCCGCCCCCCACCCCCGGCCCCTGCCCTGTAGTCACCCATCACTCCTCTACCCTCAACTCCCCCTGGCCCCAGCCACACGGGGCTCCTGGCTGCTCCTCGGCCTCATCCCTCCCCTCCCCTCTCCGGACTCTGTCCTCTCTGTCCCCTCTCCCGAATCGCTCTGCCCCAAGGCCCCAGGCAGCTCCTGCACCTCCTCCCAAAATCAACAAAAGAAGGAATGGGAGCAGGCCTTCTTAGCGGAGAATACTGCTCCCATGGGGGCCAGAGCTGGCTCCCAGAGGTGAAAAGATTTTTGTCTTTATGTAAAAATGTAGATGTCCACACAGTGCATAAACCATTCTGCAGTAATTATGTAGTATTAAAATTCATAGGGGGGCAAGTAAGAAAAAATTGCCTATAAAGATTCCTTAGGGGGTGATTATGAAATAAAGCTTGAGAAACGCTGAATTAGAGGACAGTCTGCTGAAATCACAGGCTTCTCCCCTACACATTGCCAGGGCGTTGGGGAGACTGTGGAAGAGAAATCAAGATCCATGCAAGTGCCTAAAAGAATCACAGCCCTTCTTCCTGGCATTTAAAAGAGGAGAAGTAATGCCTCACTGCTTTGGGGAAACCTTTTTTTTTTTTTAAATTTCCTGCCAACGGACAGACTTACGAAGGATGATATTTGCATTTTCCTGAAGCGTCTAATTTTCCCATTTATCATTTGTCAGAGCCCGAGGCCCTTCCTCAGCGAGTGTAATGTTTGCAAACATGTAAGGATTCCTTTTACCAAAGAACGTCACAGGCTCCACATGCAAATGTGTTTGTGTTGCAGAGGCTGCTAATTTAATGCATTAATGTCACTCTGCACCATGGTGGGGTCTCAGCGTGTCCCATGTCACCATGAGCGAGCTGGTCTAAGACACAGGAACCATGGAAACCATCCCGTGCCTGGTTAGTGAGTAGATGCGCAGTGGGGTGCCGTTCACTGCCTTGAGGGTGAACGTGGACTCCAGGAGCGAGGGCCAGGCCTTCTAGAGCTCCACCCACCCTGAGATCACAGGCCTGGCTCAGGCTTGCTGGACTTGCCCAATGGGGAACTTTCAGGGGGGAATTTAACCAGCCTGAGGGGCAGGCAGAGGAGCCAGAGGCCAAAGGCACCCGTGGGGCTCCCAGGACGGCTGTGAATCCCCTTCCCCTCCCTCTCTCCATCAGCGCCTCTGTCCTTCCCACCTGCCCAGCCCAGGTGCTGGCCAAACACCGGCCTCATCCGAAAAGTCCAAATGGGCCCAGGACAGTGATTCCCAGACCCAGCTGATCCCGCAGGGAGCTTTGGGTCCTGCTGGTCCCCGGGTTCTGGTGACAAAAGGACATGCAGGAAGGCAAAGTCCCCTCTGGATTTTTCATCATGAGCCACCCTAGGTGCTGCGCACTGCCAGGCTGCCTGATTCCACCAAGAGAATCTCAGGAAATGAAAAATAAGGTTTTAGTTGTTAAATTTCAGGCGTCGGGGCTCTTTGAGAGACTGAAAACACCTGGAGGTTGGGTGCACAATGGAGAAGGGGCTGTGGGGATGTTTTCTCTTCCCAGTGGAATCCGTGATTATTTACCGAGCAGCCTGGAGAAGCCCAGTCTTCATGGAACGGAAAAGCTGAGCCGGGTTTTCATGCACAAACCGGAAGCCGGGTGGCGCCCTCACAGCAGAGCTCCTGACCTCCCTGCCTCGCACGTCCTGGCAACGGGAGGGCGGCTGCCTTGGAGACAGTTTATTGTGTGGCGAGGAGGGAGACAGGAGAGTACAAGGCAAAAAAACCCCCAACAAATGGCTACGCCTTAAAAACTAACTTTAAAATGCCCAGTTCTGGCATTTTACCAAATCAGGCAGGTTTTTTTTGGCTTTTCCCACCATGTGACTGGGTCTGCCTTGCCCTGCCCCACCCCTGCTTGGGCAATCGTGCCCCCCGCTGAGCTCAGCAGCCTGGCGTGAGGTGAGGTGTCTGTGTGGCTGCTGTTAGCAAATCCACCATTCCGGGGATCAGCGCCTGGGAGCGGCTTCCCTGAATGGTGATGTGGCTGTTCCCTAACTTGCTTCTGGCCCAGTGACCTGTGGTGGCTGTAGGAGCCGCTGCAGGGTTCGGGCAGCAGTAGTGAAGGGCTTTGCTGCTCTCTGCAGTTTCCATGTTGCCCTCCTTGTCCATTTCCTCAGCCTAAGGAGACCCGGTGGCCTGGTGGACTTGGCTTCGTTCCTTCTTTCAGCTCAGGGGGACATGCATTTTTCTCCTTTGAGTCGAATTAGCAATGAACTTCCCCTCCCCAGATGGACAGCGTGGCATCGTCAGGGCCCAGCTGCAGCTTTCCGGGCCAACGGGTCTTCGTGCATTGTCTGATTTTGTTCTGACAAGCACACGAGGCCGTGCGGTCATTATTCCCACTTTACAGATGAGGAAACACAAGGTAAGGAACTCGCCCGAGGTCACAGGGACGGCTGGATATAAAACAGACTCCTGCGTGTACAGATTTAAAGATCGGTAAGAAGAGAATTTCAAATCTCAGCCAAAGCGAAGGTCAAGTCACTGCTCTTGGGGACGTTCCCTTCACACCCCAGAACGTTCCAACATGGCCAGTGAAGACATTGTGTCCCCGTAACCCTGGGGGAGAAGAGGACGGGGCTTAATGAAAAGTAGAAAGTTTCCTCTTTCCCACTGTTGGAGATGCCGGCGTCCCCACATCACCGTCGGCGCTGCATCTGGTCCACTTCTGGGACCCATTTGGGTCCCTGGGCCGGGGCTTCCTGTGGATGAGCCGGGATCACACAGCGATGTGGGGTTGCTCAGGGCGCCCCGTTCACTCCAGAGTGACCCCTGACCCAAAGCCAGTGCTGGGTGTTTGCCGAAACTGAAACCAGGGCAGGTCTGAATCAGACCCTGCAGAACAATGAGGCCTTTTGTGCGAATGAGGCGGGGGAGGGACTGGAGGAGACCAGGAGCTTCCTGACGGGGTCCGCAGCACAGGTCACAGCGATTGAATTCAGGAGGTGACCCTCGAAGGTCAGGTCACAGCCGAGCAGCACAGGCGCTGAGCTAAGTGTCCACAAAGGAGACGAACAAAGCGGCCGCTGTGGGAACAGAGTCAGTGTCGGTCAAGGCTGAGTCCAGGAGCTCGGGTCCGCCGGGCGGCGACGGGGGCTTTGTGCTCGGTCCCCCTACAGTCAAGAGCGTCCTCAGCATTCCCTGGACATGGGTTCGTCGGTTCCCTCGTGTTTTTCTAAGAGGAAGTTTGGTGCCTCTGACCCCTCACCCTGACTGCTTTGCTGCTCCAGAGTCCCCCACATGGTCACCTGTCCCAAGTGGACGAGCTTCAGTCACTCCAGGATGATCGTGATTGTTGCCAAACCCTTGTCATGCCCATGCTGTTTTCTGGCGTTTTCTTTTAAACTAAACCGGCTCACATTTTTACTCATGGTAAAAGTAAAAAATGTGTTACCTACTTTAACGTCCTCTGTCGCCATAATGAAATCACAGGTTTGATTAATAAGTTGGAATTTTTTTTCTAATACACATTAAAGTGAATAACTATTGAAATAAAAAATGTACTCCCCCTACTTATTGATATACAAGTTCACTAGCTTGTGCAGAGGCTCCAAATACCTGCAATTTCATGAACCAGAGGTTTGCTTTTCTCCCACATGACAGCCTCGCCATCGGGGGATTGTGGGGGCTGGGGGGCGGGGGCGAGGGGCGAGCTAGTTGGGCGGCTCCCGGGGCTGATCCTCGACCTGCCCATCTTGGGCTCTGTCATTGACGGAGGCTTTTCTTGTCCACCTGGTCCAAGGAGGTGCAAGTCACATCAGGCAGGAGGGAAGAGGAAAAGGGTAAGTGGGGCGTACTCATGCATTTAAGGGTACACTGGGAAGGTACACACCAGCTGCAAGGCAGGATGGGAAATTCAGTTCCGGTCCAGGCAACTAAACTTTGGGATTTCTAATGTTAAATGAAGGGGATGAGGGGTATCAAGGGTCAGCCCGCAGCCTCTGCCCCCTCTATGTGCTCCTGGAAGTCATCTACTCTCCTACCACGGGATCCCACCAGGGCATCCCACATTTTGTGAAAATTAGCTGATTAGGAAAGCATCCTTTCTGCACTACTGTCCGGGGTGGGTGGGGGGGTTGGTTAGGAACCAGCAGTTCCCTAAGTCATGGTACCGGACCTCCCCCATCTTGGGAGAGCAAAGGCTGTCTACTGTGTCCACCAACCCTGATGCACACCCACACAGCTTTCCTGCTGCCTGTGCTGAGCCAGGCACTGTGCTTGAGATGTGCACGGTATTTGACATGGAGTCAGGGTGGGTGGTACCCAGACTCCCAAGTCACTCCGTGGTGAGACAGACTCACAGGGCTCCAAGGACAAGTCAAAATAATTTGGCCTGGCCTCTTTGTTTTAGAGGTTGGCCAACTGGTGTCAAAAGCTGGAGAGGGACTCGTTCAAGGGCATGGGGTTCTAGGTGATGGAGCCAAGAGCCACCTGGGTCCCTGGGCTCTTTCCAATGAACACCACCATGGCCTCACTGGTCCTGAATGATCCCTTTTTAAATTAAAGAGATATATGGTCACCAAATCAAACACCGTTGAATCTTTCTGTTCCCTGCCCATCTTTTCCCAGAGACATCCACAAGTAAAGACACTTTACTGTTTGTGCAAGTTTCTTCCAAATCTTGTAAGAGCAAGTGCTTCACGGGGATTCAAGTTGCTCTGTGATCTCTCAATGCCGGCCCCCAGAGGAGGGATTAGCTCTCTTCCTCCACTTGCCACCATAACTCACAGCCTCCTGCATGGCTAAATTACCGTTTTCAATGACATCATCATAATCAGCATTTATGTCATGTGGCCAAGTAGATGTTATTTACAGCAGAGCCAAGTATGGCAATATGGTTGCATTTTCTTTCTTATACTACTTTTGATTTCTCTTGAATTAATAATTTCCTTGTTCTTTTCACTGCAAAATTTGCTTACAAATATTTAGTTCTTACCAAATCCTCCATCATTTCATCTGCTCCCATATTTTACAAGCTGTTTTGAACACAACCCATTATAAGAAGTATATTTTACAACAAGGCCTGGCGTGCGCGTGCACACACACACACACACACTCAATATAAAACTAAAATTTCGCAGAATATTCTTACCTCACTATAAGTAATGCCCTTTGATATTTTCTACTGAGTTCTGTTATTTCACATTTTAAAATGCTGGTCAAGACTCACTGAATGGAATTCAGGCTCCATTATAGAGGCTTAACCTGCAGTTTGAGAATTGAGAAGCTTGGGCTTATCCCCCAAGGCCCAGCTTCTCCTGTAGTCAGTCTCACCCTGGGCTCTATTGACTGCAGCCTCTGTCCATAGTTCAAGTCTGTCATGGGTGGGCTCTCAGGTGATGGATGCAGGGGCAAAGGGAAAGCCTTCTGAAGGCTTCCGTCTTTAACTCTGTGGCTGCTTTAAACTGACAATAAACAGATTACCCGGAGGAAAGGCATACACATGTATTACCATGCACATATGCCTAAGAGCCACACAAAACATGAGACTCATGGAGAAGCCAGATGGTTGAAGTCTTTATAGCTTGTAGGAGTGGAGGCTTGAGGCTTTTGGGGGAGGTGGTGACAAGTTAGAAAGGAAAGGGGAGGAACTGAATGGTAAACAAAAGTTGCCTTGTTATTCAGATAAAGTCTCTAGAAGAATGGACAACAGCCTTTCTGAGTGCAGTGAGGACTTCCAATCTCCTCTCAGGTGACCAGTCTTTCCCGGCTGTTTGAAGAGATTCCTAGGGAGGAGGTCATGCCAGTCACATTTCTTTTGGAAGTACATCCCTCAGGCAGATAAGGGAATCCCAGAGAGATCCCCTGGCCAAAGATCATGCTTTGGAAGTGAAGGAGAGACAGGAGAAGGTCAGAGAGACATGTGAGTTCTGAGGCCCTCTTCTGAGGTCTTTCAATATCCTTTGTTCAAAGCACTCAGGTTTGAACATTATCTTGGGGTATTGTTTTCTGAGTCCTGACACTGAGCAACTCTCATCTGCAGACTTCTCTTTGCTCCTTTCCTGGGATGCTGAACTTTTTCATGAAACCTGTGTTTTCTGTCTTCATTAATTTTCTGCTTTCCCAAACTACTTTTTTTTTTAATTAAAGAAAACATCATTGAGTAACTTCTAAATTACTTCTTTTTAATTGAGGAAAACAAAATTTTGAGTGACTCTCCAGCCTATTCTTTTTCTTCATCATTTCTCTAGTAACAATAAAAAAGGTGGGAAGAAAAAATTACAATAGGAAGGAGGCAGGAGAGCAAGTATGAGAACTGATTTGCACATGGTTTCAGTTCTGCAGGAGGCTCGTGAAACCCAGATGAAAAGCCAGACATCCAGCTACATACATTCCTGGAGATACCCAGATGATGGAATGCAATGTTCACTGTGGCTCTGTCAGAGCATCTCACCCTGGCTCTACGGACAGTCTGGGCAGGATACAACTGTGTGAGGACTTTCCTGTGTATCCTATGGGTACCTCCTTTCCTAGTTGTGACAATTGCAAACATATCCAGACATTGCCAAATGTCCTCTGGGGGGCAAAGTTGCCCCAGCTGGGAGCCACTGCTCTGCAGGTTTGGACACTGTGCCTGCAATTCCATGCAGCATCACGGGCTATTGATCATGTGTCAGACGGAGCTTAAATTGGTCGATCGCATCCTCAAGTAGCCACTCCAGAGCGTGATTATCTGACACCTGTAATTTACCATCCTGGTTACATGAGGGGCAAACGTGGAATTATGCACATCAGCGGGCCCAGGGCCTGTTTTCCATGGACTCAGTGTTCCTGCTGAGCGTGGCCTCCGTCTCCCCGAATTGTTAAAGACATTGACGCCTCAGAACTGACTCTGCCTCCACTTAATCAGCTCACCAGAAAATTACAATAAAAATCATCTGCCACTTATGAAATTGCCATTAAAATGGACTATTTCCTGCCACTTGGGGACAGGCTGCTGTTTCTCTTTCAGCATCGGTATCTGAGATGCTGTCTCTGGGAAACAGCGATCATAGATGCTGTTGAGACACTCCACTGGCCACGGTG
This sequence comes from Homo sapiens, assembly GCF_000001405.40. Lineage (NCBI taxonomy): Eukaryota > Metazoa > Chordata > Mammalia > Primates > Hominidae > Homo > Homo sapiens. The sequence goes on along the minus strand of NC_000020.11, from coordinate 48,369,107 downwards.
TGTCCCTGGATTAAAACCAAAGTCACAACAACGAGTCTGAAATGTACTGAGGAATCCATTCCAAAGATGGCAAGAGCAATTTCAAACAGTGCTGCGAGGGCCCTTTGGGGTAGGACAGGCCTTTCCTGGCTATCAAGGCGTTGATCAGCTGAGAGCACAGGCCCTGTGCCGCCACGGCTCCTCCAAGCCAGCACTGCTCACTCCGTCCGTGAAATCCCAGCCAGGAAGGCCAATGTATCTGTGCCAGTGCCTGAAATGTCAGTATCACAAAGCCAACAGGAGGGGTGACCCGGTGGAGCTCAGCAAAGATGACATAAAACAGGCCACAAAGCTGGTTTGCCAGGATGCAGGAGGATTTGTCTGTTTTCTCCTGAGAACGGCTGCTTAGCTCACTCCACACAGCATTTCCATGCTTCATCTGTTAGCCCTGGAACGGGTGCCCTGGGAGGCACGGACCTTGGCAAGCTCCACTGTAGGGGAACCTCATGCTGACAGCTCACTCTTGTGGATTAATCCTGACTGTTTGCTGTATCTGGAGCCACCCCAAGAACCTGATCATACAGCACACAGGAGGGGCTGTGAGCGGAGATGAAATCTGGGCATTGTCTTGGTTGTTATTAATTTAATTGTCATTCTGTCTGAGCAGTTTCATTTTCGGAGAGTAATTTGATCGCCCTTTTAGAACCTTGATCATCTCAGTGTCATGTTCTTAGAGGGAGACATCCCTGGAAGAGGTGCCCACTGTGGTGTTCTTTTAATTAAATTCATCTGTTCCTGCAATAATGTGGATGAAACACCTGCCCTGCAAGCAAAATACATACTTGCTCCTATTCCCGGGACCCATAGTGGGGTGGAGCTGACCACAGTGTGTGCGTTAGACGCCACTCTTCAGGCAGGTTCACTCCTGAGTCTGCACTCCGGGGACTTCCGCTGTTTCCCATCGTTGTGCTCACACCCACGCGGTTAGCAAGTGTGCATCGGGAGACGGATTTCGCAGGTGCTGAGCTGCTGGGTGGGTGAGCCGGGAGCTGGTGGAGAGAACGCAAAGGCCGGATGTCGTTTGGTTCTTATCTGGAAGATTTGAGGTTGCAAGAAGAGAACTTTCCTTCTCTGCAGTCAGGCAGAGCTCAAGGCAGAGCTGGGCAGAGCCCGCCTCGGAGGCTCCTGGCTGCCCCTCTCTGGGTGTGGGGCCTGTGGGGCGACTCTATTCAGGAAGGATCTGTCTACTTGATGCAGGAACAAGCCCAGTAAAGCCTGCACTGCAGCTGAAGGAACGATCTGTTTGTTCTCTAAGAGGCCCCTGCAGGCGGGAGATGTCTTAAATAACCACCCGCAGGCAGAGAGTAAAGGACTCAGTGAAGAAAGAAACTGGAGCTCAGTCCTTTGAGGGCAGAAACGCATCCCCCACACCCGTCCGTGAGCTGAGCACGGCCACGCCTGGGCTTTGTGGGAGCCTGGCCAGGCCCAGCTCCTGCCCTTTGCTGAACAGGGAGTAAGGGGAAGTTAGATAGCTGCAGGGACGTCCTTAGCCTGACTGGTCCAGCCACCTCACTAGCACGTGGGGCAGATGAAGCTCAGGGAAGCCAAGGGACTTTTCCCGGATCCCCAGGGAATAGGACCTGAGGTCCCAGCTCCTGACTCCAAAATCAGTGCTCTCTCTATGGCCTGAGGTTGCTCAGCACCTGCCAGGCCTGCGCGGAGCACTTCAGAATCATTAGCCCATTTAACCCCGACTGCCACAAACACATGAGGTTGGGATTGTACCCCTTCTACACATGAGGAACCAAGGCTCAGAAAGGCAGGTAGGAGGAGGAATGAGACCCAAACCCAGCACCGTGACTCCAAAGAGCCCTTAACTTCTATACGCTCATCAGATAAATATTCTACCCTGTGACAATTAGTATTTTCTCAGATTCAAAGAAAAAAAAAACAAAATAACTGTTAATTGTTGGGGACATGATTCTCTAATTAGACTTTCGAGGAAATTCCCAGAATTTTGCGGGTTAACAGTGATGCTACTCATTATTATTGGCTTCTGTCCCTCCTACCTGGCCTTGCTCTAAGCACTTTTCTGGCGTTCAGTTGTTGAAACATCATCACAGACTTATAAGATATGATTCGATGCGACGTCATTGCCCCTGTGTTAAGGGTATGGAAACTAAGCTGGGAGAGCAGAAATTGCTTGCTCTAAAACCCTGAACCCATGATTCCGTTTCCTTGGAAATATGCTCAGGTTGGGGATTTGGAAACCTGTGGGAGGTTGTGTTATTGAGGGTCATTGTTCTCATTCTCCAGCTTCCTTCCCTAGATCTGTGTTCTCTGTCCGTGACTCTGTAGTTTGTGCACCTAGAGGTGGAGTCTGTTTTCTTGTCCTGTTGATATTGGGTTTGGTTGTGTTACTTGCTTTGAACAATGGGATGTTAGCAGGTGTGATGTGGGAAAGGGGTGCCATGTGCTAGCACAGCTGGTCTTGCCTGCTTGTTCTCCTGCCTTCCGTCATGAAAGAAATAGGCCTCTGATTGTCACTGGCTCAAGGAAGATGGGAGAACCTTGGTTCAGCAGACCTGGACCCAGCTCTCAGCTTGCAGCCAAGAAAAGCCAGGCCTGGCTCAGATGGGATGAACCCCAGTAGACCTGTGGACATGAGAATGAGAAATAAATATCATTGTTTGCAACTGAGTTTGGGGTGGTTTGTTACACAGCATTGTTGTGAGAGTAGCTGACTGATACAAAACTAGAGACCCAACATGCTGCAGCGTTCACAAGCACCTGAATGCACCTGCCCTCAGGGCCATCTTCTCCCGACACACCGTGCTTTCCATTGCCCTCAGGGCATCTTCTTGTCAGATGATGGGTCCCTGCCCACCGCATCATGTTGACCCCTGTTCCCAAGGGGCAGGCCCAAGCTCTTCTGGTCTAGTTCAATGGAGCAGTACCTCTGTGCATCGGAGGAGCTTTTGCTTGTTTGTTTTGTTTTTCTCTAATCAGACATGCAAGGGTATATTTAGCTCTTCTAATGCAGAGAAAGCCTGTTTGGCTACCATTATGTCAGTTTCTTTTCTACTTTTGCAAACTTTCTTTCACTAAACATTCATCAAACCTAGAGCTGGCCTTTTCCTGGTGACAAGAAAATAGCAGGGGTGTTTGTGTCCTCTTTGGATTACGCTGACATTTCTGTCCATCCTGACATCTTCACTGGAGAGAATCCAACTGTGCCCCCTCCTGATGACTGTTCCTGTTGGGAAGTTTCTTACTAAATAACCATCAGCATCATTATCATTGTGCATCTTTGGGACAGGAAGAAGGGAGGGCAAAGTTCTGTCCTAGACTATTAGGAGTCAAGAGGGAAGGAGACGGGAGCTGCTGACCTCTGACGGCTTCCCCAGGGGGCTCTGGCTGGGCTGCTCAGCTGTGTTGTCTCACAGCATATGCTTCACAGCTCCCTAGTACCTCAGTATCATTCTTACCATAGGACAGAAGACGATGGCAAAGCTCAGAGAGGTTGTGTAACTAGCCTGAGGTCACACAACTACAGAATTTCCATATGGAAGAAACTTTTGGCAATTACCTGGAAGGGGCTTCTGGGGGGCTGTGTGCTGCTGCTTTTGCAGAGCAACGTCACTGTGTATTTGTGGTGGATGTGGAGGTGAGATGAAAATGAACAGACGGTTACAACCATTCCAAGCCACCTCTTGACATCACCAGTGATAATAAATGGTCATCAGCTCTCATGTCAGGACCCAGGGGCACAGGCCTGGGGAGGCTGCTGAGAGACGCCACCGTGCCTCAGCTGTTCGGTGTTCTCATGATCCCTGGTGGGTGTCGGCTCATCCAAGCAGGTGCTCACTCATCCATTCTCTCCCTCACTTCCTCATTCTCTCTCCCACTCTCCCGCTCACTTGCTGCTCACCTGCCACGTCTTCCAGGTAAAGGCGTCTGAATGGGGCCATTCACGGGTTGACTGCTCCTCTCCCACCTTTTCCGTTCTCACTGTCTCCACACCAGACCCCACAACCACAGGGCCTCCAAAGACTCACTTTGCTTCAACTGCTCTCCCCTGCCCTGGGTTTGACTTAAGCAACACCTTTGCTTGACCAAGCATGAAGGTTGCTGAGACAGAAAGAAAGTCTTCATGTCTTGGTAATCCCCCTGGCCTAGGGCTGCCCACTGGCCTGTGTGTTATCCTTCGAGAATCATCTGAGGAGTGATGAGGCCTATCCTAGCAGAAAGAAGACAATTGTTGGGATGGCAGGATGACCCTGTGGGTATTTCTTTACTGCTAACTTGAAAGCATCCTCAATGCCTCAGTGCCCAGTCCTGTATATTTCTTCAATCAGAAGTTCAGTAATGGGGGAACGGAAAGTAAGCAGGAAATAGAAGAAACCAGACTAATTGATCTGATGAGGAGAAAGGGAAGGCAGGTGTAAAGATAGTTGCTGTAAAAGTTGTTGTGAAAACATCTGAAAGAATCATATTCTCTATGGCCACTGGAGCTCAGTAAGATCAAGCCACAGTTTGAATACTGTTAGAATAAGCTATATATAAAAACACATTTTTTGCCTACTGAGGCAGTGGGGCACTTATATAGTCATTTCATTAGTGCCTTGTTTTAAGTAAATATGTTAGAACTTAGGGAGGAGTAAGGACTAGCCTCAGGTTCAAGAAAGATAGGATCATCTTCTCCCAGATCTGTAGCAGGTGTGGAAAGCTCTTTGTTCTGGACTTAGAGATGTGAAGATGAGGGTGAGAGCCTAGAGCTGCCATTGACCATCTTGCTGCAGAGCAAGAGAGTGGCCCAAGAATGGAGCCCAAACCTGAGCAATCAGAGCCAATGATGGAGAGAGCATGGGTCCTGAGAATGTCATTTGACACCTGGATCTACCCATGCCTGCAACCCACACTGCCCCCAGAGTTCTCTGCTAACAGAATCAACACATTTAATTAGAAATCTTCTTTTAAAAAGCTGGGTTGAATTGGCTTCCTGTTGTTTGTAATCTAAAACTCCAGACTCATACTCACCTAAAATTTCAGGAGTCATTGATTAAAAAGCAACATCATGTCCAGTTAAAATGGTTTGTCCACCAGGTTCCATAACAAGGCTCCTAAGGACTGTGAAGTCAGATAGAGCTTTTCCTTCCAGAAAATGGCATTGTGGTGACAATGGTGCAGTTGACCCCTTAGATATAGAGCCAGAGCCAGAGTCATTTTTTTTTTTTTGAGACAGAGTCTCACTCTGTCACCAGGCTGGAGTGCAGCAGCGCAATCTAGGCTCACTGCAACCTCTGCCTCCTGGGTTCAAGTGATTCTCCTGCCTCAGCCTCCTGAGCAGCTGGGATTACAGGCACGTGCCACCACGCCCAGCTAACTTGTATCTTTAGTAGAGATGGGTTTTCACCATGTTGGCCAGGATGGTCTCCATCTCCTGACCTCGTGATCTGCCCGGCTTGCCTCCCAAAGTGCTGGGATTACAGGTGTTAGCCACTGCACCTGGCCACCAGAGTCACTTTTTATAAAAAGAAGAGAAACTTGTGAAAAATCATTCATGATTCCATGAAAGGAACAATTCAATATTAAACAGTAGGCCAAAAGCTTAAACTTTTATATTAAATCCAAATGAGCTTAAAACTATATGGACTGGGCCTGGCAGGGTGGCTCACATCTGTAATCCTAGCACTTTGGGAGGCCGAGGCGGGCAGATCACTTGAGCCAGGAATTCAACACCAGCTTGAGCAACATGGCGAAACCTCATCTCTCCCAAAAATGCAAAAATTAGCCAGATGTGGTGGCACACGCCTGTAGTCCCAGCTACTCAGGAGGCTGAGGCAGGAGGATCTCTTGAACCCTGGAGGTGGAGGTTGCAGTGGGCTGAGATCGTGCCACTGGACTCCAGCCTGGGTGACCGTGTGAAACCCTACCTCAAAAAACAAACAAACAAACAAACAAACAAACAAAAACCTATATGAACTGATTTCTTAAGCCCAAAGAGCCTTAGTTGACCCATCAACTTTAAACTGGAGATAACTGATTTTCCACTGTTTTTCTGTCTGGTACAAAGAAATGGGAAAGTGAAGTGTCCCTCACATAATGCCCACCCAGCAACTGGCCACCTAACAACTTTGAAGTGGCCCAGTGTCTCTTCCACCCTCTCATGGCAGAGACGGAAGCACCAGAGGCTTATGTGTGCCTCAGTGGAGCTTCCATTCCCAGTGGTACTCAGGGCCTCGTGGACTTGCCCCAGAGCAGACTCTTTCATATGGAGCTAAAAAATAAGACAGAAAGCTGTAGGGATGCCCTATGTTTAAGAAAGAAATTACTTTGCATCAAATTATTTAGTGTTTCCCATGGTTCGGTGGCTCTTTGTGCTAAAAGGTCAGACCCAGCAGGGGCCCTGTGCCTTGGTCTGGATTTGTACTTGAAAGAGGAGGTGCTGGAGTGGCCGGGCACGGTGGCTCACGCCTGTAATCCCAGCACTTTGGGAGGCTGAGATGGGCAGATCACAAGGTCAAGAGATTGAGGCCATCCTGGCTAACACGGTGAAACGCTGTTTCAACTAAAAATACAAAAAAATTAGCTGGTGTCGTGGTGGGCACCTGTAGTCCCAGCTACTTGGGAGGCTGAGGCAGGAGAATGGCATGAACCTGGGAGGCGGAGCTTGCAGTGAGCCGAGATCGCGCCACTGCACTCCAGCCTGGGCGACAGAGGGAGACTCCGCCTCAAAAAAACAAAAAACAACAACAACAAAAAAACAGGAGGTGCTGGTGGGGTCACTGGGAGCCCGCGCTCACTCCTGGTGGAGACCCGCAGTTCCTCGGTGCAACTGCAGCCTAGTGGGTTCAACAACATCCTTCATACCCACCTTAACCTCAGCAAATAGAACTGCGAGAAAGCATTAGGATTTGGTTTCAAACTTAAAGTTAGGTTTTCTTTCTTCCTGTTTATAAAGTGAAATTAGGGCAACAAAGTGAGACCCTGTCTCTACAAAAAAATTTTAAAAACTAGTGGGGTGTGGCGGGGTGCGCCTTTAGTTCCAGTTACTCAGGAGGCTGAGGTGGGAGGATCGCTTGAGCCCAGGATTTTGAGGCTGCAGTGAACTACGATTGCGCCACTGTAATGTAGCCTGAGTAACAGAGTGAGACCTTGTCTCAAAAAATACATTAAATTAACAAATAAACTGAAATTATAATGAGAGTGATTCAAATCTTTCGAAACTAAGGAAGTTCATGGCAGTGTTATTTATAATAACCAAACAAAACAAAACAAAACAAAAAAAACTGGCATCCAGCAATAGAGGACTACTGAAGGCAATTATCATATATCTATGTGATGGAATATTCTGAAGAGATTAAAATTTCTGTTTTGAAGCCTGCTTTATGACATAAAGAAATGTAAGCAACCAGCCTGACCAACATGGCGAAATTCCGTCTCTACCAGAAATACAAAAAATTAGCCGGGCGCCTATAATCCCAGCTACTCAGGGAGGCTGAGACGGGAATTGCTTGAACCTTGGAGGTGGAGGCTGCAGTGAGCCGAGATCGCGCCATTGCACTCCAGCCTGAGCAATAAGAGCGAAACTCTGAAAAAAAAAAAAGAAAGAAAAGAAAAATGAATAAATGTAGGTGATGTAATTTGATGTCAACTCAAGGCAGATTCTGAAGAGTACACGTTCAAACTAAATCCCAGTTTCATAAACCAAGTAGAGTTTTTTATTTTATTTTATTTATTTTTATTTTTATTTTTATTTTTTTTTGAGACGGAGTCTCACTCTGTTGCCCAGGCTGGAGTGCAGTGGTGCGATCTCAGCTCACTGCAAGCTCCGTCTCCCGGGTTCACGCCATTCTCCTGCCTCAGCCTCCCGAGTAGCTGGGACTACAGGCGCCTGCTTACCACACCCGGCTAATTTTTTGTATTTTTAGCAAGAGATGGGGTTTCACCATGTTAGCCAGGATGGTCTCGATCTCCTGACCTCATGATCCGTCCGCCTCAGCCTCCCAAAGTGCTGGGATTACAGGCGTGAGCCACCGCGCCCGGCCATAAACCAAGTAGAGTTCTTACATGTGCATTAAAAATGCTGGACGAAGTCGAATTTTATTTTTTGTCTATATTCTAGGAATAGTTTATAAACTTTCTATTACCTTTTACATCAGAAAATAAATAAACAGCCTTAAGAATAAAACTATAATAAAAGTATAGAGCAGCCTTGAGGTATGACGTGTAACTGTTTTACCATCTGGGACATTTTTAAGCTTCACAAACTCTCCCTTCTTTGTTGGGATGCCCCAGGGCAGGGACCCTGTCTCCTTTCGGTCTTGGTGGCGCCAGGAACACATCAGGGCTCAATAAATAATTGATAACAACAAAGACCCCCAAAGGAGTCCCTTCACTTTGGGTGGCCTGCTGAACTCCTCAAGGCTTTCTCTTAAGTGCATTTCATTTGTTTTGAATTTTTTTCAACTTAAATGGTTGAAAATCAAAGCCAGGAGAGAGCTGTTGGCTTGTGGAGAGCTGGAAAAGAGAAAAATAAAGAGTGAGTACAGTCCCTGCGGGGCCACAGCGTGGGGCCTGGACCTGGGCACCTGCAGCTTCTGAAAGTCCCTTCTCGGGAGACGGAAGGAGAGGCTTTCATTCACATCCTAAAGCGAGATGAAACCACTTTCTGGTTCCTTTTTTGAAAACGGGTGTTTTTGTACCCAGATGGGCTCTGAGGCATATGATCTAAGAGTCAAAAAAGATTGGATGGTGCATGAAAAAACACTGAAAATCCTTAGTATAAGAAAGGTGGACTTGGAGATTAGAGAGAACGGTCCCTGCATCGGAGTCACTTGCTAACAGGTGTGTACTGAGTACCCACCCCTGCCAGGCACTGCTCTGAGTGCCGGGACAGAGCAGGGAACAAAACACCCCCACCCCTCCCGCCCCCGCCCCCGCCCCCGCCCCGCCCCACCTCACGAGTTACTCACGAGTCTGGAGGACAAGCAGTAGCCATTGAACCTGCAACTGCATGATGTGCGGGAGGTGGGGGCTGTTCTAAAGGACGATAGAGGTGAAGGGCAAGGCCGTGTCAGGGGTCAGGAGGCCTCTCTGAGGAGGTGGGCAAGCCCTGGGAAGAGCACCCCAAGCAGAGGCACAGCAGGTGCACAGGCCCCGGGGTAGGAGAGACCTTGGTGATCCTGGGTGAGGAACAGCAGGGAGGTGGGTGTGGCTGGAGCCACGTGACCCAGGGGGAGGTGGGAGGAGATGAGGTCACAGGAGAGGGCGTGGAGTGAAGCAGTGAGGGGTGACCTGTGGCCTGTGGTCACTGTCTCCAGGTGAGCAGGCTCTGGTGGAGAGCCAGGGCTCTCAGGGGTGGTCCTAGGGGCAGCAGCATCAGCACCCCGGGGCCCTGCTGGGAAAGCCAGCTCTGGGCTCTGCTGAGACCTCCTGAATCAGAACCTCAGGGTGGGCCTGGCCATCGGAGTTTTAACAAGGCCTCCAAAACATTCTGACACTCACCAGAGTCTGAGAGACACAGCAGAGCTAGAATCTGGGCTCCAGTTTTCACCCAGGAGACAGGAGGATTCTGGGTGGAAGGGCAGGAGGGACTGGGGTCCCCCCTAGAAGGAGCGCCCCAGGAGGACGCCACACAGGTGGACATTCGCTCCTCCTGGGAATGGTCTCTAAGGGTTCCTTGGACAGGAAAGTGGCTCTCTGAGCTGCCTTAGCGTTGGAGATGCTGGGGTGAGTGCCCCAGGAGCAGGCCTGCACCTGTGACTGAGGGGCGGGGAATAAACACCCCAGCTTCCCCTGTGTCTGGGTGACTCTGAGGGGCGTCCCGTACACAGATCCCAGGCTGCTCAGCAGGATCGAGTTGGGAAGGGGGTGTCAGGACAGGAAGCAGCATGACTAGAGGTGGAAGAACCTTGGCATATGCAGGGCACTGTGTGTAATTCCATCGGGCTGCAGTGTAAGCTTGCAGAGAGGAGGAGGGAGAGTGGAGTGAGATGGAAAGTGACTGATGAAATGTATGTCTCCCCAGGAACGTCGGTCACGGATAAGCCCCCAGTGAAGGGACTTAGGAAGCCTCTCCCCCTTCGTGTTCTTTCCCCAGAGAGTCTTCCGAGATGGAAATGCTTGCAAGGAAGGAAGAGACACTTTCTATCTTCTGCCATCAGAAGCACAGAAGGGTGAAGCCAGGCACACCCAGAGAAGCATCTCATGTTGTGTGTGGCTGCTGCAGCGCTCTCTTGGGCCCTGGGGCAGGAGATGCTCAAAGGTCAACAGGACTTGGGAAGGCAGCTGTGAGTAAAGCCCCCAGTCCTGGTCCTGGACTCACTGCACCAGGGACCCCAAGGGGCTAAACATGACTGGATTGTAGCAAGCCATTTTCAACATGCAAAGAAGCAACCAGGAAGAATGTCTAATTACAGATGTGCTATTTCTCTCCTCTTTCTTCTTCAACTTTCTCATTACCCTCAGTGACATCACAGCAGCTTCCCCTTGTCCTGTGACAAACCCAGAGCAAGGTGCTTTGGGTGGTAGTCAGAGTGACATGGGAGACCCTGAGTTCCACGTGTCTAAGCCCATATTTCCCTCCTTCCTCCCTAGTTCAAGGAGGTAACCAGGCATGGCGACTCCTCCTGGCAGGCACGTTCACAGGACAGAGGCAGGAGCTACTTGAGAGAGATTTAGCTCATTGGAGCGAGGGGCGGGGCAGAGAGGGAAAGAGATGGAGGAGAAGTTTATTGAAGAATGGAAAGGTGCAATGTTCCCCAGGTCCTAGAGATGCGCTGCACTGCAGAGGGTGGCTGTGAGGTCCCACACCTGCAAGCGGGAGTCACTGGATTCTGCTGGTGGCTGACCTGCTGACCAGAGATGTGAGCCCAGTTTCCTCTTCTATAAAATCAGGCGTAGCCCAGTGGCTTTCAATCCTGGTTATATGTTAGTGACATCTGGGAAGGTTTAAAGATTCCTGATGGCCAAGCTGGACCCCAAATCTATCAGATCAGATCATCTGGGTAGAACACAGAAGCACCAGAGTCGATAATGTCCCTCAGGTGACTCAAATGTGCAGCCAACATGGAGACCACTGACCTAAGCTAAGTCCTGTTTATGAGAATGTTGAGACCATGAAATGCTTAGAGCAGGCAAGGCCCTAAGAAATCACCTGACCCAACTTCTGCCATTCACAGGGGAGGAAACTGGTTTTCAGAGAGGCCAAATCACTTGCCCAAGGACACACAGCACATGAGCGGCAGAGCCATTTCCAGTGTTCCCTCCACCTCTCAACGTCCGAATATGACTAATCTGAAGCTCTCAATTTCACAAGAGAGCTGGGCCTGAGAGACCCACATGGAATCCCTGATTTTCAGGATAGAATCCTAGGCCTCTTGGTGGTTCAGCAGGCCATCCTGTTGCAGTGACCCTGAGGTCCCTCCTTGGTGAAAAATTCCAGGAGGCTTGAAATGTTCTCCAAGGCATAGAAAAGGATGATATGCCTGGAAACTGGAAAAGACTGGGAAATAGATGACAATTTGGGTTTTGTGGCTTCTTTCCCAAAATAAACATGGCAGAATTGCTTCTCACTGAAAGGGCGTCTGGGTTTCATAAACAGACCATAAAGAGGCAATCGAAGACCCAGAACATCCCCAAATCAGCATCTGTCCCTGCGATCTGGCTCTACCTCCATCCTCCTCCATCTCTCTCTCACCCAGGCTCACAACACCAGGAAGTGCTCTTGCCTTTTGGAAGGAGGATGGTCTTCTCCCCAAGCACTTGTCTCTCGGCTCCTCCCACAGGTGGAGGAGGGTGAATCTGATTGATGGGAAGATGAGACTCTGGGTTCCATCCAGTGGGTGGGGCTACTATGCAAATGGTCAAAAGAGTTAGGATGCTTTTGGCAGCAAGTAACAGAATATGCAGCTAAAAGTGGCTTATAGTCTAATGACTCAAAGTGGGGTCCATGGACCAGCAACATCAGCATCAAGAGTTTGTTAGAAATTCAGAATCTTATATTTTACCTTAGATCTACAGAATAAGAATCTGCATTTTGCATAAGAGCCCCAGGTGATTCATGTCCACATTGAAGTTTCAGAAGCACCATCTTAAGTTAAGAAGATATTTATTAACTCACTTAACAAGAAGCCCAGAAAAGACAACTCTAATTTGGTTTACTCTCTAGCTCTAGAATGTCAGGCCTCTGTCTCTGCATCTCTGAGATTCTCTGGCCTTTGCCTTGAGGTTTCCAGTGGCTGCCATGGCTCAAGCATCACCAGCCTTTGTCCAAAACAGAGGTTGGGAAGGAGAGCTGGGGGATTTTTCTCCTGTGTGGCTTGGGAATTCTTTCCCAGAAGCCTCTAGTAGATGTCCCTTAAGTCCCTTTGGCTAGAACTGGATGACAGGCCTGCTTGCAAAACAATCACAAAGGGGAAGAGGATTACTATGCTTTGATTGGCCTTGAACCATTGAGCAATCATGTTTGTCCCTTAGGGCTGAGGCAGGGCCACCTTTCCTCAGCACATTGTTTTCTACTGGAGGGGTGAACAAAAGTAGGGCTCTGTTACCAAGGAAAAAAGGAGAGTGGTGGCCAGGCGTGGTGGCTCATGCCTGTAATCCCAGCACTTCGGGAGGCCGAGGCGGGTGGATCACAAGGTCAGGAGATCGAGACCATCCTGGCTAACATGGTGAAACCCCATCTCTACTAAAAATACAAAAAATTAGCCGGGCATGGTGGCAGGTGTCTGTAGTCCCAGCTACTCGGGAGGCTGAGGCAGGAGAATGGCATGAACCCGGGAGGTGGAGCTTGCAATGAGCCGAGATCGTGCCACTGCACTCCAGCCTGGGTGACAGAGTGAGACTCCGTCTCAAGAAAAAAAAAAAAAAAAAAAGAAGAAAGGAGAGTGGCTGCTCAGTGTCGGCCACGAACCTGGCTGTCCCTATGTGTCCTCTCTCATGTGTGTGTGTTTATGTGTGTGTGTATGTGTGTGTTGCTGCCATCAGTGCACAGCACACCACAGTCCTCTATTCAGTGGACTATTTTTCTGCTTGGTGAAACCAGCTGTCCCTAGAGTTAGGGTCCAGGCACGAGAAGGCCCGAGCCACAGACTCCCAACCAATGTTGAGTGAAAGCAACAGAAACCACCTCTGGATTCCTTGATTTAATTTTTTGAAGACATTTATTGGCAAGATATGAGGTAAGTCACAGAACTCTAGGAAAATTAAATGTGAAGAGCCAAATTCAGAGGGTTGGGGCATCAGGGCAGCTCCTGGTTCCCCTGTGCTGGCAATGATTCCACTGCAACCTCTAGGGTCCTCTTGTCACTGTTCATGATTCAGGTCCCCAGAGGAGGACGGGATGGTCCTGTCTTGGCCACATGTTACCCCCTGGACTGCGGGAGGTTGTAGTTTGACTGAAAGTCCCTCCTGACCACATGGACAGGGATGGGGAGTTTCTCAGAGGAAGCCTGAGGATTTGCTCAGGCCTGGAGAGCAAACCCCACACGCCCTCCACACATCGCCTGCACAAACACCCCTCCAGCCGAGCCAGCCTGTTTATCGCCCCTCAAACATCCTTCTCTCCCATCCTTGCTTGTGCTGGGACCCTTCCTGGAATACTTCACTCTCCTGTTTGCTCTTCTAACTTTCTTGGTCCTTCAAGACTCAGATTAAACCACCCTCCTCCCCCAGCAAGCACCAGCCATTGCTGCTGCCCTGTCTCAAGGTTTCTGAACCTCAGAACTATTGACATTTGCAGCTGGGAAATCTCTGTTGTGGGACTGCCCTGCATATTGTAGGATGCTCAGCAGCATTTCTGGCCACTACTCTGTAAATGCCAGTTATGCCCTTACCCAGTTGTGACAACCAAAACTGTGTCCAGCTGTTGGCAAGTGTACCTGGAGGGAAAAATTGCCCAGGTTGAGAGCCACCCATTTTCTGAACCTGAGACCCTAAGATTTACTGCCATAGCAATTTAATGACATTGTGATGTTTACTTAACTTCTCGCTGCTGCTTAGTGCCTTCACAGACTGTAGCCAGCCAGAGAGAAGCCAGTTTTGCTACAACCCACAACCCTACATTAAGTTGCCTCCCACACTGTGGAGGGATGGCTCAGGGCAAAGGAGCATGGCAGACCACATGCTTTGGGCTTGATGGCTTTAAAGCCTCTGCCAGACTGGGAGGCTCACAGCTTGGTACCAGGTCTGGATGCAATGCCATATTCCTGAGGCAGGATGATCTTTATGTACTTGATAAATTAAATAAGCAGAAGGCCGTTAGCCTAAGGCTATCCCCCTACTTTAAGCTCCTAAGTAACAAATTACAACCTAACTTGGTAAGTAAACAAACAGAAACCTAACTTAGGAGTATTTTTTTTTTGTAACAAATAGCCAGATTTCAGGCAATCAGAAACAGCTAAGTTTCAACCAATCATTGGCAGCCCACTCATCACACCATGCCTAAATAAGGCAGATGCCTAGTGGTAGCCAATCAGGTGATTTATCTGCTTTCATGTTTAACCTATAGAAGCTCACTGTCCAGACTACTGGGTGGCAGTCTCTGAACCTCTTCTGGTTCTGAGTGCTGCCCAACTCATGAATAGTTCTTTGCTCAAATAAACTCTGTTAATTTGTAAGAAGCTTTTCTTTTATCATGCTGTAGACACTCTTTCTGGCTACATTGCCTGTCAGCGTTCTCCTTGGACCCAGTAGGAACCAAAACTTGCTGTGACTCTCCAATAGTGACAGCCACCCCCTCCCACCCTCTGAGCTCCAGGAATGGCTCACAAGAGCTCTCTACATGCACTGTCTCATTCACAATGAATTAGGTACTAGTGTCCAGTTTTTAGAGCTTGGGAAACTGAGGCATGGAGCATTTCAATGTCCTATGCACATCCAGAGTGAGTAAGGGTAGAGACGGCTTTGTCCTGAGGGGCCTGAGTCCAGAGCCAGTGCCCACAGTTATAATTTTCACAGATCACCACAGCCCACCATCTCTCTGAGCACCCACCCACATTCTCCATGCAGCATGTAACTTGTAGGAAATGAAGGCATGCCCCAGACTTTGCCTGTGTCCAATGTTAACTCATTTCCTCTTTAGCACAAAGCATTTACTAAACGAGAGTTACTGATTTAGTGGATGCACCACTTGACTCTGTCATCTCTTCAGTGATAAGATCTGCATTTTGCTCACTACCTCATCTCAGAATCTAGCAGACTTCTTGATGCATGGCAGGAACTCATCATTATTTGCCTCATTTAATTGAATTGTATTACACTTCTTTTTACACTTCATCACACCTAACAGTGTTTTGCACAGAGAAGTCATTCAAAAAATTCTTGCTGAATGACCATATAACTGATCAATTAGTCACTTTTCAATTGAACAGTTTCCATTGTCCTTACAAGTGAAAAAAGTAAAACGACTGCAAAAGTGCTTTTATTATTGCACATTGATTGCTCCAATTAAATGGTTCTCTAAGCTTCAGAGAGCACAGTGATTCAGCTCTTTTGATTTTAAGCTCAGGTCTTTTCAGTTCTGATACATGCAGGTTTGGAAATCTGTGAAATGTGTAATGTGGATGCCATAAAACCATAATACTGGTAGCCAATTTAAACATTTCCTAAGGAAATTTATATCATTTAGAAATGAGGGAAAGTTCTGGATTGGGACTCAACAGAGTCAGTTTTAGGAAATTTGTTTCAGGGAGTCAGCTGAAGAGCAGCAGGCTGAGAAGCCAACCTGGATGTGACACCCCATGAGAGAAAAACTCACTTTAATGAATAAAGCAAATCCTGGCAAAGTGCATAGAGCTGATCTCAGAGGGGCTGCCTATTTTCTGACAATTGGCAATTCTATCTGTTAACTACAAGTGTGTCATGGGACAAGGAGGAAGACTGCCTGCAGCCCTCAGAGAATAGGATAGTTATCCTCTTTATTGGCACACAATCATGCTTCTAAGTAATTCTTTAGAGCTCATCAGTGGTGAGACCCTTGGGTATTAACTATATCCCTCTGAAGGCTGTGACCCAGAAGTGTCGGGAAATATATCTTGGGGGCAGAGAGGAAAGGAAGCTGAAAAGTAGCTTTTATCCTGAGCGCATTCTCCAAAATAGGCTTTACAACAATCTTTGCATGTGTGATGGGGTGTGTGTACACATACGCATATGTTCTGGTGGTGTGTGTGCCATGGTGTGTGCATAAGTGTACATGTGCCGATATGTATATGCACATGGACAGATGTGCTGGAGTGTGTGTGTACATGGGCAATTATGGACTGGGGTATATGCCAGGGTATGGGTGTACTGGGGTGTATGTATGCACATGGGCAGGTGTGTTGGGGTGTGTGTGCACATGGGCAGGTGTGTTAGGGTGTGTGTGCCCATGGGCAGGTGTGTTGGGGTATGTGTGCACATGGGAGGGTATGTTGGGGGGTGTGTGCACATGGGCAGGTGTACTTGGATGTATGCATGTATACTGGGGTATTTGTGTATGCCCACGTATGTGTGCATGTGTGTGCATGTGGGCATGTGTATTGAGATGTGGGCAGGTGTGCTGGGGTGTTTGCATGTACTGGGGTGTGTTTGTCTATGTGGTCACACACATGTGTGCATTTTTACTCCTCTATTACCATGAAGGGCCTGGAGGCCAGCTCTCTGCATCCATTTCCTCTGTGAGTCCTGCAGCCCCCACCTCTAGGACTTAAGGGTGTTTGGTGAACTCAGGAGTGTGGGAAGATGAACTGGAGGAAGAGTCAATTAGTTTCTCAGTCTGGATCATCAAAAGTGGCTGAGATAAAAGAAATACTTCATCATGAAAACATTTAGCAATCTTAAGATGGGTCCACAAAAGGATCACATTCGTCTAACCACTGTGATTGATTCAGGGTGATCACGTGACCCAGGGCTAGGCCAGTGAGCATGTGGTATTCCCCTTGACCACTGGAATTGGTTCAGAGCTGGGCATGTGACCCACAGTCAATCATTTAGAGTGGATAGGACTTTGAATGCATGCATGGAGTTTTTGGAATAGAAACCTCCTCTGACCAGGCACAGTGGCTCATACCTGTAATCCCAGCACTTTGGAGGGCCAAGGTGAGAGGATTGCTTGAGGCCAGGAGTTTGAGACCAGCCTGGGCCACATAGTGAGACCCCATCCCTAAACAAAAATAAATAAATAAACATTTAAAAGTTAGCCAGTCACAGTGGCATACATCTGTAGTCCCAACTTCTTGGGAAGCTGAGGTGGGAGGATTGCTTGAGCCCAGGAGTTTGAGGCTGCAGTGAGCTATGATTGTGCCACTGCACTCCAGCCTGGGTGACAGAGTAAGCCTCCATCTCTAAAAATAATAAATAAATAAATAAAATACAATAAAAATTGACCAAAAAATAAACTTTTTCCCACCTGGAGAATGGGGAGTGCAGACAACAATCTGGGGCAGTGACAGCCATTATGTGACCATGAGGAAGGCCAGTGGGAATAGAGGCTTCAGAGTTGAGGACAAAGCAAGACCACCAGAAAAAATTGACCCCAAGGCTGTGGAGCCTGCCTGAGCTTCCTCCAACTCAATTTCAGCAGCCAATACATTCCCTTTAATGTTTTGTTCAGTTTGACTTTTTGTTGCCATTTGCAACCCGAAACTTACTAAGTGATACTGTACTCACCCCTGGGGTGTTCAAGGAAAGAGAGGCTGAGAAGGCTCCAGGGATGCTGAAAAAGGAATTTCTGTCATGGGTTGAAGATCAGGCTAAAAGCTTGGTAAGGTTTCTTCAAACTCAATGACATGACAAAAGCCACTTGACCAGTGGAAAATGGGTGTGTGTGTGTGCATCTGAGTATGTATTTTCCAGCTTAAACTGACCATTTTGGTATACCTAGAAAGGATATTTAATTATATATTTATATGCATATGTAAGAGAAATATTAAAAGAGGCAAAATACAGAGAATTAAAGGAATAAAAGGAATATGGTTTTCAAACCTCAGCCAAGCTGGTGGGAAGAACAGCTTAGATGCAATTTGTGAGCTGAAGGTTCCATGAACCCAGCTGGGGCCTGATCACTTCCAGGGAGGATGCTTGGCTTCTTGTTGCAGGATGGGGCACCCGTGGTCTATGGAGGAAGCTCCTGGACTACTGTTGACCAGAGAAACAACTTGACCAATGAGGAAGCAGAGCAAATGCTTCAATATGTTTGCCTCACTGTTTAGGCTTGACCTTGAAGAGGGCAGGGCAGAGCCCTTCAAGCACATCACCAAGATCAGAGTGGCTGCCAAGTTCTCCCTGTTGACTCCATTTTGTTGGGTCATCACCATGGCAACTACAGGGACCAGGGCCCTGGCCTGGCTGGTGAGTGTTTGCAGCAGCACCTCCTGCTGGTGATTCTGGAGCATGCCAGGTCCATGGAGTCTTGCCTGCAGTCACTGCAACTTACCCTAGAGCGTTAGTCTACCCAGCAGCAGGTCCAAATTATCTGAGCTAGAGGCCTCAATGTTGGCGTAAACTGACAACATGGGACTTGCTAGGACGCATTCTTTTGTTTAATCATAATTACTATTCAGTTCAGTTCCTCTGTTCTGGCTTCATGAAGCTTAATGATATTTCTTGTATCTGCTATAAGTAGAGTCAACGCCTCCACCCACATGCCATCAACTAATGGTTGCTAAGTAACCTCTCCTCTCCCAGCCCAGATCTAAGAACACCCCATGGCTAGACTTCAGCCATGGAATAGAAGTAAAATGCAACTGCTTTCATATATACTAATCAATATGACGCTGTCAGGCCATCTACTATCCCTAAGTCTGAACACAGTCAGAGCATATCTCTGTGTTTGTGAATAAACCAAAACCCAGGAACTCCTGTGAAGTGTTTGTGCTTCCAAACCCAGGAGCCACACAGCAACATCACGGGGCTGGAATGAGATGATTCTTCCAGAGCAACTTGCAGGAAATCTGTGTTAGGTCCACCTAGGGCTGGGGGCATACATCAGGTAAGTTTAAAGTCTTTGTGGGAACCCGTAGGAGAGAGACCATTTTTAAGTAAACTGTTTAGTAAATATAGTACACAAGCAGAATAATGCACAGTTCATAAGTGTAAAACTCACTGAATTTTCCCAAATGGAACACATTCATGAAAGGGCATCCAAATCTAGAAGGAGAACGGAATCAGCACCCAGAATCTTCCCTTCTCTCTTCTTGTCACTCCCTGCCCCCGCAGGGATAATCACTGTCCTGATTTCCATCCTCAGTAATTAGCATTGCCTATTTTTAGACTCTGTACAAATGGAATCACACAGTCTGTACCCTTTGTGTTTCGTTTTCTCACTCAGCATTATGTTTGTTACCCATGCTTTGTGTGCAGTTGTGGTTAGTTCATTCCATTATTTTATACTGGCCTATTATGGGGAAAATCACAATTTAATTATCTTTCTATTGCTGATCACCGTAGACTCCTGGAGTGCTTTTAAAGGAAAAATGCCAATAAACAAACTACAAGACTGTAGTTTTAACCACAATCAAAATAAGCAATCCTCTTGATGCAAGCAGGTCACTCCTACTCCCTGTTGCTGATTGTGAATCCATTTTTCAGGAGGCACAGCTTTTATGGAGACCTTCAGAAATTGCAGATCAGCTCTGTTCCATTGGTTAAGACCCTGCTCATCTCTGGCCTCTTTTTCCTCTAAAATGATGGGCTTAGAACTGAACATCTTTAAGGCCCCTCTGAGTAGCATCTGAGTAACCTACAATTCTGAGAAGAGAAAGCAATTGCTTATGAGAAAAAAAGTATGGTTTCTTAAGCCGCAGATTGCAAACTGGCAGTGCTTGGGGCATATCTGGCCGGTGCACAAGTTTTCTTTGGCCCACCCAAGAGTTTTCTGATTTTTTAAAAATAAGATGCAACACTGTATTTAACGTAAATGATCTGGACATCAGTGGGAATAGCAGAATAAGGACCTGAAAATCTTCTCCTTCATCAATTCAGTGAGCAAACTGCCAAAATTGTCCAAATCATTTTTTTTATAACTCTAGGAAATTAACCAGAGGCTTGCAGCAACCCAGGGATGTTTATTTAACAAAAATGGTTGAATCTTGTTAAGATTAACAAAATTTATGGATTTTAAAGTAATCCAATTATCACCTCCCTTGTCCCAGCTTTTTAAAAACCAATAGCCCACAATTTTGGTGAGAACCAGCAGCCAGGCAACTACTAGAGGGATCAGAACAGGGTTGGAGTTCCTTCTGAGCCCCATTCCCTGCTTGGTGGTTCCCTGAAAAACCCCAGTCTCAAGGCTATCTTTACTGGACTTGATTTTTAATGAGCATAAACAGCCTTTTCCCCCAGCAACATTTGCCAAAACAATCAGAGGCAATTGTTTAGCATTTCAGCTGCCTACAGTGGTAGTAATAGTTGGGGCAAACAATAGACTAATCAGAAAGCATAAATGTGAAATCCAGGGAGTTAGATGCCCACAGGGGGATCTGAAAAGTTCCCATGTTCTTAATCTAGAAGGGCACATACATGTGCAGGGCTGTGTGCATGCTCAGGAAAGAACCGAGAGGGTCCTAAACTCTCACCTCTGGCTGGCCTTAAAGCTGTGCTCAAGCAAGAAGTGAAGGCTTTGCCAGAGTTGTCAACTGCCTGAGAGTGAAGATATACCCCAAGAGATATAGAGGTCCTCGGCAGAGACTGGAAACATTAGTTCCGGGCATTTAAGGAAGTCTTTCTTCAATCACGCAGAGACTTGTTTCCATACATGACAAGGAATATAGACTTTAAAGAATTGGTTCAGAAAAGCCACTAAACAAACATCATGAACAACAAAAAACAAAAAGCAACAAACTCTGGGGGAGGAAAAGAACCAGATTTCAAGAGTTGCCAAAAAATATTATCTAAACAATCTATTTTTCAACAAAAAAATTGATGAGCTATGCAATAAAAAAAGAAAGTATATACCACACACAAGAAACAAAAGCAGCCAATAGAAACTGTCCCTGAGGACGTCCGTACATAGGACTTAACTAGACAAAGACTTTAAGTCAGTCATTTTAAATTTGTTCAAAGAATTAAAGAAAACCATGTTTAAAAAACTAAAGAGTGTAGGAAGATGATATTTGCTATTAAGAATAGCAATAAAAATACAGAAATTATTCTTAAAATATAAAAAAGAACTAGTTAGAAGTCTTGGAGTTGAAAAGTACAATAATAGAAATAAAAATTGACTAGAAGGGGCTCAAGAATATATTTGAGCAGGCAGTGGAAAGACTCAATGAACTTGAAGATGGGTCTATTGAGATAATACGGTCTGAGGAACAGAAAGAGAAAAGAATGAAGAGATGTGAACAGAGCTCAGAGACCTGTGGGACACCATCAAGTGTGACAACATACACATAATAGGTGTCCTAGGAGGAAAGGAGGGACAGAAAGGGAAGGAAAGAATCACTGAGAAATACTAGCCAAAAAAATTCCCAAGTTTGATAAAAACCAGCCAGGAAGCTCGATGACCTCCAAGTAGAATAAACTCAGACATCCACACTAGTCACATCATAATCAAACTGTCAGAAGACAAAGGTAAAAAAAAAATCTTGAAAGCAGCAAAGGACTTGAAAATACATTTCTGAAAAGACATACAAATGGAGACTAAGCACAGAAAAGATGCTCGACATTGTGAGTCATTAGAGAAATGCAAGTTAAAACAATGAAATCCATTTCACATGTACTAGTATGGCTGTAATAGAAAAGATGGACACTAACAAGTATTGGAAAGAATGTGGAAAAATTAAACCCTCATGCATTGCTTATGAACATGTAAAATGGTACTGTTACTGTGGAAAACAGTTTAGCAGTTCCTCCAATGTTAAATATAGACATATCATATGATCTAGCAACATATGCCATTCCCAGACATATACGTAAAAGAATTGAAAACATATGTCTACACAAAAGCTTGTATATAAACGTTTATAGCAAATTGTTCATAATAACCAATAAGTGGCAACAACACATATGTCCATCATTTTATGAATAACTCATAACAGATAGATAACATATTTAAATATGGATAGGTAATAGATAACAGATTTAAATGTGGTATACCCATTCAATGGCATTATACAGCCATAAAAAGGAATATAGTACTGATGCATGCCACAATATAGATTAACCTTGAAAACATTATGCTAAGTCAAAGAAACCAGTCACAAAAGGCCACATAGTGAGCAATTTCATTTATGTGATACATCCAAAACAGGCAAATTCATAAAGACAGACAATAGGTAAGTGGTTGCTGGGGCTGGGAGGTGGGGAGAGGAATGGGAGATGGCTGCTAATGAATGTGGGGGTTCTTTTTTTTTTCTTTTTTTCTTTCTTTCTTTCTTTTTTTTTTTTTTGAGGCAGAGTCTCGCTGTCACCAGGCTGGAGTGCAGTGGCATGATCTCAGCTCACTGCAAGCTCTGCCTCCCATTCACAGCATTCTCCTGCCTCAGCCTCCCTAGTAGCTGGGACAACAGGCGTGTGCCACCATGCCCAGCTAATTTTTGTATTTTTAGTAGAGACACGGTTTCACCATGTTGGCCAGGCTGGTCTCGAACTCCTGACCTTGTGATAGGCCCGCCTCGGCCTCCCAAAGTGCTGAGATTACAAGCATGAGCCACTGTACCCGGTGAATGTGGGGTTTCTTTTGGGGATGATTAAAATATTCTAGAATTGAAGCCAGGTACAGTGGCCTGTGCCTGTAATCCCAGCTACTCAGGAGGCTGAGGTAGGAGAATCCTTTGAGCCCAGGAGTTCCAGATCAGCCTGGGCAACATAGGAAAGCTCCACTTCTAAATAAATAAAAATAAATAAAATGTTCTAGAATGAGATAGTGGTGATGGCTATGCAAGTTTGTGAATATACTAAGAACCATTCAACTACATACTTCAAAATGGTGAATTTTAGGGTATATGGATGACATAACAATAAAAAAATTACCTAAGAATAAAATTAAATGATGCACAACCAAGAGAGATATATTAAATTAAATTAAAGCAGAGAGAGAGAAAAAGGTCCAGATTTGAGGCAGTCATTGAAAACCTATAAAACTGTAAAATGTGGACCCATATTTTCCCACAGTAACAGAGGCTGAAGCTGAGGGGCCGATGCTCCTTTAGAAGGTGCTTGGGCTCCCCAATTGGCCTCATTCCACACCCCTCACTATAGTCACCTGGCTTCATTTGTTTATGTTGTCATCTAGTTCCTGAGGAACTCACAGTGTGACACTTGCAGGGACAAAACCCTGGGGCCACCACATTGGACAGCCCAGTGGCACCACTGACATTGTGTTTCCCGGAAGCAGTGCCCCAAGGACTTTACCAGAGAGGTGGCCCTGCTGATTTGCCCCTACTCGTCTCACCCTAAGAAGCTCCTACCAGCCTGGAATCTTATACCAGCATTTCTGAAACCCCACCCAGGCAGTACAGCCTAGTGGTTCCATGTGGGAGCTCAGGCTCCAGACTCCTGAGGTTGGAGTCATCATCACTACAATGTCTGGATTTGGATACTTGGACAAGTTACTTGATCTCTCTGTGCTTGGCTTCATCCTCATAAATGCAAATGATAACAAGACTGTCTCCCTTGGAGGAGTTTGGTGAGAATGTAATGAATTGATATAGGCAAAGTACTTAATCTGCACCTGGCCTAATAAGTAAATGGTGGCTCTTGTCATTATTGCCTGGAAGATAGCACACATCAGTGAGGTGTGGTGAAAGCAACCGTGAGCTGCTGAGAAATGCAGAAAACAGTCCTGGTTCCACCCCTCTCTCCCTGAAGCACCCTGGACAAGCACCCCAGAAAGGACCCCTTTCCTGTCCCTTTTCGTCCCTGTGAAATGAAAGGACAGGTCACTGGTTGACCTCTGTTTGAGGTTCCTTTCAGCCCAGATAGTCTAGGACTCTGTCATTACCACTGTACTGTTTGCTAGTTGAACAGAAAACTAACCACATTAATCAGGAATGCTTTCAGCTTCCAGGAACAGAAAGCGTAGCTATAGAAACTTAATTACATAACTGTTTTCCTCAAATCTTGAGAAATCTGGGGTAGGAAATTGCTGGTCGTGGTTCAGCATCTTGGAGATGGCATCACCGAGACTTCCACAAGCCTCTTGGCCTTTCCCTCAAGGCTGCAAACCGGCTGCTGCTGCTCCATCTTTCACATCCATCATACCCATCACATCAACTGCAGGAAGATGGGGAAGAGAGGGCAAGACAGTGACTAAATCAAGAAAGCAAAACAGTTTCAGGAAACCCACAGCAGACTTCTACTTATATTTCATTGTCCAGGACTCTGTTTCCTGCAATGCCTAGCTGGAAGGTAGCTAGGGAGAGAGGGTTAAGAACAGATGATAGGTGAGCTAAGCAACAGTATTGCTTGTACCAACTATGAGATAACTACCCATAGACAAATCAACAGCCTGAGATGAGATGGATGGTAACGTGGACCAAGAGTCTCCAGACCTGGTCCTGGAATAGCTCTGCCAATGACCTCCACTCTCTGGATGGGGTGACTAGGGGTGGTGGAGAAATCAGTCCCACTCACATCTGATTAACTGAGGGGGTTCCCAAAGGAAAGCCCAGCCATTTTAACAGAAGGCAGGAGCTTGATGCGCAAAATCATGGCAGTGTCCATCACAATGCCATAAAGAGGGGTAAGCCAAGTGTTGTGGGGGCCCCAGGGGAAAATGTAAAGAATTCCGCCTTGAAAAGTCAGGAATGAAATCACATCTGAGCTGGGCCTTGGAGCATGAGTACTAGTTATCTAGGAGGAGAGAAAAGAAAGGGCACTTGAAGTCCTAAGATAGGAGTCCATCAGATGAAATAGTAACTGTCCCACGCTGAAGCCTTAGTTAATGAGGCTTCGAGGGCTGGCCCCTCCCACTTCTATTTCCTTAGGCTTCTCCAGACCCAGGGGAAATGTTGCGGGAGGGGATTCTGGCAGAGGACCATCCTGGCACATGTCAGGGATTCCCTGTTACCTTTGAGATCTCAACTCCAAGGGACCCTTGGGGGCCCACATTCAGGCAGCTCCGGGAGTGCTGGAAATTAATACCTCGTGGGGCAGACATTGACGAATGGGACATGGGATTTGGTGAGCAAATCCCTCTCCCTCTTTCCCAGGTAGACTGAACCTACAGCAGCTCCTGTCCCATCTCTGAGAACGTTCTGCAAGACCGTGCAGTGAGGCTGTCCCCAGTCTGTGCCCAGCTTGATAGAAGCTTCCTTGTATTTTCTTTTCATCCTTTTCTGCCTCCTTCTCCTTTTTCCTCACTCCTGCAGCCTGGGAATGCACTCTTCCAACAATGCACTTTATGTGCTAAAGCACATAAGCTTTTGCCTCATCTTTGTTTTCTGGGAAACACAGGCAACTATGATTGTTGTTGTTATTTATCAGGAAACTCTGTCCAAGCTGAAGTTGGATGATCCAAAGGACTTTATCCCTGATAAAGGATAGCCGTGGTTTATTGGAAACAGCACTGAACTAAGATTGAGAAGATGCAAAGGGTGTCCCAGTTTCTCCACTTAGCGGCTGCCTGTTTTTAAGGAATGAAAGCGAACTCACCACGCGGCTCCGAGCCCATGGTGGCAGCCAGGGACCTGGGAGCTCAGCACTTCACACCTTCACAACGCTCCCCGCAGACCTCGCTGCCCTGACTCACGATTTCTTCCCCCAGTCTCTGACGGAGTCAAGGCCATGGGTGTTAATCTGCCCATTTGACTGATTGGGAGGCTGAGCCCCAGGGAAAGGGAAAGGCTGGAGCCCACCAGGGCGGAGCGAGTATGGGCGGAGCTGAGGCGCTGCGCCGGAGACCCTGTCTCCAAGGCCACGGCCGTGGCAAGCCACGGGGCATCAACCGTCGGGGCAGCTGTGACATCATTGCCCTCGTGTCCACCTGGTCCCTGGGCCAGTCCTGGTCAACGTCGGCCAGGAGGGCCCCTGACAGGCCCTCACTCCAGCAGATTTCTGGGGAAGCCAGCTTCCATCAGTGCACAGAGGCCTCGCTGATCTCCTAAGTGCACTCCAAGGCTCTGGGAAGCTGGAGGAGGAATCACTGCCACCAACTCCAGAACTTCAGTGTGGGTGCGATTCTGAGCAGGCTGGGCTGGCTGTGGACGCCTACACATTTCCTCTCTGCTGAGGCCGCCTCAGGCACAACCTACTTCAGAAAGGCAGCATCTCCCCCTTTCTTGGGTGTAGACCCGATGGAAATACCGACAGGTGGTGGCATTTGCCCCATGCCCTCAACGCGTGAAGTCACTGCTAATTTCACAGGAGTCGCTGGTGACATTGGGCTCTGATTGCCATGGGCTCAGTGACGGGAAGGCGCTGCCTTCTATCCTCCCCAGGGCTGCCTTCGAGGGTGACTTTCACCACGATTGGAAGGAAACAGCCAGAGACTGCAGGGCCTGAGCTGACTCAGTCACTCAGTCAAATGTTTGCGAACTGTGAGCTGTTGAGGGGAGCCCGGAGAGTGTTGCCCCCAGTAACTTCCCCAGGAGCTCGTGATCCAGCTGAGGAGCCCAGAGGATAAAATAATTCTTTAATTCACTCTGCAGACACTTGCTGAGACCTCCTCCCACCGCACTGTGTCAAGCACTGTCCTGGGCAGTGGGCCAGGGGGTCACCGTCCTTTGCTCATGGAAATGAGAAAGCACCCAGCAGTGACACCACAGGGCTTATCTGTGTGTTTGGGCAGCTCAGGTGTTATGGGAGCAGGTAGGAGCAGGAAACCCAGGACAGACTTCCAGGAGGGTGTGCTGCTGTGATGATGAGGACTCAGGCAGATGAAAAGAGCAGGGAAGAGTCCCAGGCAGGGGAACTGCACGTGCAAAATCCTGGAGGCAAGATGGAGCAGCAGAGTGAAGAAACTGAATGAAGTTCAGTGGGGTTTAAGCAGCGTTGGGGTGAGGATGACGAGGGAAGAAGGCAGGGGTTGGGGCTGGAGGAGCAGACAGTGCAGGGCCTTTCCAGCCATGTTGTGGCACGGGGGGTGTCTTTAAATGCAGTGGGAGACCTCAGTGAGGTTAGCAGGGATGTGATGTGGCCAGAAGGTCCCTCTGTCCATGGTATGGGGAATGGGGAGGAGGGGCTGCCCAGGGCCAGGGTGGTCTGTGAGGTGGGTGAAGCCATCATGTGGGTGAGAGAGGACGGTCAGCTGAGCTAGGAGGGTGACAGCAGAGGAAGAAGGAATGGAACAGAGCCAAGAGCCATTTAGCAGTCAACTCAGTAGGACTTGGGTTTGAGACGAGAGGGAGAGGAAGGGACAGGGGATGGGAGAGCTGCCCAGGGTTCTGGATGGGCCTGGAGGGACGGGGTCACCAGTCACTGAGGTGGTGACCCCCAAAGAGCCTACGTTTGGGGGTGAATTTATTGGGCTGAGTTGAAGGTGCCGTGGGACAGCCATGTGGACCTGCAGGTCTGAAGCCAGGAGAGCGGTTGGCTGGTGTGGCTAAGGAGTCCCCTGTGTGGCTGTGGCCCAAGGGTGGCTGAGACCCCCAGGAGGGGGAACAGAGCGAATGAGAAGGCAGACTCCACGGAACCTGAGGGACACCCGCATTTAGGCCCCCTGCAGGAGGATGAGATGACAAAAGTTGCTGAGAAGGCCTGGCTAGGTGGAGAGAGGAAGGAGAGGAGACAAGGAGGAAAGAGGCCCCAGGGCCACCCTCTGCAGACACCCAGGAGGGACTGGGCGGGTCCTTGTGGGGAGCACAGGGAGCTCCACAGGAAAGGCTCTGGGGAGCAGGGCTGGGAAGCCCAGTGGGAGGGCCGGGGTGAGTGGTGGTGAGGCAGAGGTGTGGACACTGCCTGGGAGACATGGAATTTCCTTAAAGGCAGGGAAGAGGGCTGCAGGGGGACTTGAGGAAAATGTATATGCAGTCATCCCTCGCCATCCACAGGGGACTGCTTCCAGGACCTCCTGCAAATACCAAAATTCACAGATGCTCAAGTCCCTAATACAAAATGGCCTAGTATTTGCATATAACCTACGCACATCCTCCCATGCACTTTAAATCATCTCTAGATTACTTATAACCCCTAACAGAATGTAACTGCTATGTAAATAGTTGTTATACGGTATTGCTTAGGGAATCGTGACAAGGAAAACAGTCTGTGCATGTTCAGTACAGACGCACATTTTTTTTCAAACATTTTTGATCAGCAGTTGGTTGAATCCATGGGTGTGGAACCCACCCACAGATACAGAGGGCAGATTGAATACGGAAGGGTAGAAACCTGTGCAGTGTGCATAGTCTACAGAGAGGCCTGGGCTGCGGGAGGCAAGCTGGGCAGGGCATCCCAGGCACAGGAAAATCCCCAGAGCTCGGGTTTACTGAGCCCGTCCTGTGCAGGCCTGGATCTGAACACTGTGCCTGCAGCATATCACTGAAGCCCCCTCCCACCCCACGAGGCAGGTCCATCATGCCACCCATTTTACAGGGGAGGAGACTGAGGCCAGAGAGGGCAAATAACCTCCCTACAGCCACACAGCTTGGAAGGGGCTGAGCCAGGGTTCCAAGGAGAGCTTGCACCCCTCCCTGCTGCTCTGTAGCCTGGTTCAGCTGCAGGAGCCAAGCCTCAGGGCAGGTTGTGGTGTGGGGCACCCCGTGGCGATGTGTGCACAGGGCCAATGAGGCGCAGGCGCAGGACTGGGGATGTGGGTGGCCATGTGCGGCGTTGCTGGTTTCTGTGGTAGGAAGAGTCGCAGCACCCAGGGCTGCAGACTTAGGTTCCTCTCTGCTGAGCCTCCTTTGGGTCAGCGACTCGGTTCCTGATTGTTTCCTGGGCTCTGGTCTAGCAGATTCTTTCGCACCTAGTCCCGGTGGGAAACACAGGCATGCAAGGCAGGGGTTTGGGGCAGAATTAAGGAAACTGGGAGCACCTGGGGACCAGCAAGTGAGGGAGCTGCCCAGAGCCCAGGGCTGGAGGGGCAGGTGGAGGGGAGTGCATGGGCAACCCTGGGAAACTCCTGCAGGGAAGGGGCTGCCCACAGGGCTGCGGTCACACCACAGCGAGAGTAAAGAAGAGGCACCCCAACCTTTCCCCTCCTGTCCTTAACCTTTAGGGGAGCCTCCCTTTTGCTGAACCCCAACTGAATGCCAGAGGGCAGGGAGCCCAGGAGATACAGTTCTCAGGGGCCAGTTCTGGGACAGGGAGCCCCAGGCAGAGAAGGGGTCCAGGTATTGGAGAGGGAGAAGGGGAATGACCAGCTGAAGCATCTGCACCTTGTCCCCACACTTGTGCCCCTGGCTGCAGGCACATCGGGTACCAGCCAGGGGAGGAGAGGGAGCTTTGGAGCCCTGGTAAAGCAGGCAGGGAGGAGGAGATTTAAGGAGAGAGAGAGGTTTGTGATGAGGGAGTGGAGGGAGGGAAGCTGTGACTGAGGAGCAATGAGTGGGCTCATGCTCAGCGTGAAGTGAACATGGGTTATTCTAATAATCTAGTTGTGATGCATTAATTTTTGGTCAGTGTACACCCTCTTGTTGCCAAGGTCTGTACAATACCAACTGCCTGGCCCATCTGTGTCCCCTGCCCGGTAGCTGTCGTGGCCTGAGTTCTCCTTTGTGGGGCTTGTAAATTCTGCTCAGATGAACGCAGTGTGGAGACCTGGCAGGCTTTGTGTGTGTGGCGGGGAGCTGGGGGGAGTCCAGATAGTAATATTGAAGGATGATTCCACTTTTCTCTCTATTTGAGTTTACGAATCGTTTTAGACTGTTAGGGACTGGGAATTTTCCAGCAGCTGCATCTGACCAGGTACAAATTGAGAACTGATCTTAGGTTCACACTGCGGTCACTCTCAGCTGTGATACGAAGTGTGAGTCATATTTCATGCATGGGCCTCCTGCCCGAAAACAGTGTCAGCTTCTGAGAAAATACAGCCCATGTGCAAGGGAACATTACGATTCCTCACAAAATGAAGACGCCCCTTCTTTGTAACCCTCCCAGCCCAAAGTGAGATCTGTCTTCCCAGGCTTCCCAGCGTCGCTAGGTTGTCAACCAAAATTGATTGAGGACTTCTTATTCTTCGGCTCGAGCGGTGGTAGATGATGCCTGGACCATCAAAACTTAGACTGACTGGGAATTCTAACATCTACAGGAGAAGGAAGAATACTTAATTAAAACACATACTTTTCAGAAGACGCGGGTATAACCACAGCAAAATGCATCATTTATAATGGAAGCACTTTTCTGTAGATGGAGACTCAGGGAATTGGAATTTTTAGCATGTTCATCTGGCACCGTGACATCACACATACGTCCTTCTTGTACATTTTAAAATCTTGTCTCTGTCTACATCTTGAGGGTTCCCTGAAGAGAGACACTTCTCTTTGTGTTTCTTTCATAACCTCTAAAATGTTCCCATGACACTTATTCTTTTCTGAGAAATTTTTTAAATTAAATTTAATTTTTTAAATTTTTATTTCAATAGCTTTTGGGGTACAGGTGGTTTTGGGTTACATGAATTAGTTATTTAGTGGTGATTTCTGAGATTTTGGTGCACCCATCACCCAAGCAGTGTACACTGTACCCAGTATGTAGTTTTTTGTTGTTGTTTTTTGTTTTCTTTTTTTTGAGACAGTGTCTTGCTTTGTTACCCAAGCTAGAGTACCATGGCACGATCTTGGCTCATTGCAACCTCCCCTCCTGGGTTCAAGCCATTCTCCTGCCTCAGCCTCCCAAGTGGCTGGGATTACAGGGGTGCACCACCACACCCAGCTAATTTTTGTATTTTTAGTAGAGACGGGGTTTCACCATGTTGGCCAGGCTGGTCTCAAACTCCTGACCTCGTGATCTACCCGCCTCCGCCTCCCAAAGTCCTGGGATTACAGGCGTGAGCCACCCCGTCTGGACCTGGTATGTAGTCTTTTAACGCTCAGCCCCTCCCAACTTTCCCCCCTTGTCCCCAAAGTCTATTATATCACTCCTACGCCTTTGCATCCTCACAGTTTAGCTCCCACTTATAAGTGAGAACATAATGATATTTGGTTTTTCATTCCTGAGTTACTTCACTTAGAATAATGGCCTCCAGCTCCATCCAAATTGCTGCAGAAGACATCATTTTATTCCTTTTTATGGCTGAGTAGTATTCCATTGTGTATATATACCACATTTTATTTTATTTTTTTAAGATGAAATCCATACTTTATTTTTTTTTCCAACTTTTATTTTAAGTTCAGGGGTACAGGTGCAGGTGTGTAGGTTTGTTACATAGGTAAACGTGTGCCATGGTGGTTTGCTGCACAGAGCACCCCTAGGTATGAAGCCCAATATCCCTAAGGTATTCTTCCTGATGTTCTCCCTCCTCCCACTCCCCACCCTCTGACAGGACCCAGTGTGTGTTGTTCCTTCACATGTGTTCGTGTGTTCTCATCATTCAGCTCCCACTTATAAGTGAGAACATGCGGTATTTGGTTTTCTGTTCCTGCATTAGTTTGCTGACAATAATGGCTTCCAGCTCCGCCCATGTCTCTGCAAAAGACATGATCTCATTCTTTTTTATAACTGCATAATATTCCATGGTATACCACATTCTCTTTATCCATTCCTTGGTTGATGGACATTTAGGTTGGTTCCATATCTTTGCAATTGCAAATTGTGCTGCTATAAACATGTGTGTGCATGTGTCTTTTTCATATAAAGACTTCTTTTCCTTTGGGTAGTTACCCAGTAATGGGATTGCTGGATCAAATGGTAGTCCTACTTTTAGTTCTTTAAGGAATCTCCATACTGTTTTCCATAGTGGCTGTACTAATTTACATTCCCACCGGCAGTGTAAAAGTGTTCCCTTTTCACCACATCCATGCCAACATCCATTGTTTTTTGACTTTTTAATTATGGCCATTCTTGCAGGAGTAAGATGGTATCTCACTGTCATTTTAATTTGCATTTCCCTGATGATTAGTGATGTTGGACCTCTTTTCATATGTTTGTTGGCCATTTGTATATCTTCTTTTGAGAAATATCTATTCATATCTTTTGCCTGCTTTTGATGGGATTATTGGTTTTTTTCTTGCTGATTTGTTCGAGTTTCTTGCAGATTCTGGATATTAGTCCTTTGCATGTCACTTATTTCTTGACTTGTCTAGATTTTGACAGGTGGCCAGAAAGACTCCTTTTTTCTGTTTTTGGGAAAAGTTCTACTAAAGGAAGATCCTTCTTGGAGAGCAGCAGAGATTCATTTGTCTGTTATTTTGGTCTCTTCAGGGATATGCTGAGTGTTGCTTTTCTACTAACAGACCCCATATCTCTGCCCACATGTATGCCGAACATCAGGCCATTCCCATTCCAGTGACTCAGCAGTGAAGAAGTCACCCATCTCGGGTTTAAAATTAACTGCAATATGCGAAAGAGACAATTCCGCCTGGTGGGGAGGTAAGTGGTAAGCACGTTTTGCAACATAAAAAACATTCTGGGATGGAAATCTGGAAAACTGGAAAGCGAAGGAAGCAAGAGCTGCCAATTTAGGGGCAGAAAATGTTATGTAGCTTAAAACTCTTTAGGAATATATTATCAAAAGATCTTTTCCCTGTGATGTTATTTTGGAAATCTCTTTTATACTGGCTGATGGGCTTCCATTTAGCATTTCACTGACTTGAAAAATCAGAGCGCTCAAATTACAGCCTCTTACAAAAAAGGGAGCAGGTCTGTGAATGGTGCCTAATCAATACATTCATTTCTATACCCATCTCCATCTTATCTCAGATGATCGGGGTGAAAATGTTCACAAGTTATTTACTTTGAAATCAAAGAGCAGGAAGATGAAAGGAGTGAGCTCAGGAGTGTGCTCTTCTCTTCTTCTTTATTCTCTTCTTCTTCCTGGGCCATCCACTGTTGGAGGAGGTTGCTGGACACTGCCTGGCTCAAGGGTGGTGAACTTGGCTGACCTGCTTTAAGGTAGAAGGACTGAGAAAACCACGAAGACCTGTGCTTTCTGCTATTGATGGCGAGAGAAAACCATTCTCTCAATGTGCCCCTGACCTAGTGCCTTTGTCTATCCACAGCATGAGATACTTCTTAGGAGCCCATTTCCAATAAATGCAGACAAAGAAGGGCTCAGTTTTAAAATACAGAGATATATCAGTTTTTGCCATCATGGTAATATGTAGCACACCAACCCAAAATTCAGTGACCTACAACAACAAATGTTTATTTTCACACTCAAGAGCCTATAGTGTAGATGGGTTTGGCTGATGTTGGCTCAGGCTGCAGACCAGCTGGGCTTGGCTACAGCCTGTAAAATGATCTCAGTTCAGTTTTGTGCCTCTCTTGTTCTGGGACCTTGGCTAGAAGAGGAACAATTGCTTGAAGAAATACTTACATGTGCAATTTGTGTCGGATGTACAAGCTTTGCTCAGGTGGATTCTATGCAAAGTCTTCTCACATGGCTCAAAGCAAGTTACATGACCAAGCTCAAAGTGTATGGGGTGGGAGATCCACTCTGCCCATGTGGGAGGGCCCTGCAGAGGTACATGACAAAAGGTCACAGTGTATAACCCTCTTACAGAGGCATGCAGGATTAGTATCAATTACCGGATATGCCACAAAAATCTGCCTCCAGTGTATCTTCAACAAAGAAGGCCTTTCCCAAAATAAATTCATAACTGATCCTCTTCAATTGTTTGCAATTCATGGCATGAGCGGCTTTGAACTAAAGTAACAGAAATCTCCATGAGAACCACTCCTATAACACCCATTAAAGAGAACCCAGCCCTGGAAGTGACTGCCATATGGGTTTGTCAGGGCTCAGCTGGGAGTTGTTTCTGGCTGGTTGATTTTCTCTCATTAAGATTTTTAAGTGATTATTCAAGAATAGCTCAACAGAGTTAAAATTATAAATGAATTTCCTAAGGAGTCAAATTAATATATTAAAATGAATATTTTTGTATCCATTAGTATAAATTTATATGCATAATGTCCCTTATTTCAACCAATATTTCCTGATGGGTAGTACCCATTCACTGTAACACGAAAAATAACCTTAGGCATTATTTGGACAGGGTTTTTTTTTTTTGTTTTTTGGGGTTTTTTTTTTTGAGATGGAGTTTCACTCTTGTTGCCCAGGCTGGAATGCAATGGCGCAATCTCAGGTCATTGCCACCTCTGTCTCCTGGGTTCAAGCGATTTTCCTGCCTCAGCCTCCTGAGTAGCCAGGATTACAGGCACCTGCTACCACGCCTGGCTAATTTTTGTATTTTTAGTAGAGAAGGGGTTTCACCATGTTGTCCAGGCTGGTCTTGAACTCCTGACCTCAGGTGATCCACCTGCCTCAGCCTCCCAAAGTGTTGGGATTACAGATGTGAGCCACCGTGCCTGGCCTATTTGGACAATTTTTAAGTTATGTATATGTCCTTACAGTGTATTAGTCTGTTCTGGCGCTGCTAATACACACCCAAGACTGGGTAATCTATAAAAAAACAGATTTAATTGACTCATAGTTCAGCATGGCTAGAGAAGCCTCAGGAAACTTACAATCATGGCAGAAGGGGAACCAAACATGTCCTTCTTCTCATGGTGGCAGGAAGGAGAAGTGCAGAGTGAAGGGAAGGAAAAGCCCCTTATAAAACCATCAGATCTCATGAGAACTCACTCACTATCACGTGAACAGCATGGAGGTAGCTGCCTCTGTGATTCAAGCACTTCCCACCAGGGTCCTCCCACAACATGTGGGGATTATGAGAACTACAGTTCAAGATGAGATTTGGGTGAGGATATAGCCGAACCATATCATATAGTAACCTTCAACTTACAGCAAATGATAATAGTTTTACTTTTACAGTGGTGATATCAAGTGTTCTGTTTGAATATATTTATTTATGTAAAACAGTGAGTCAAATTAAAGAAAAAAGTAAAACATAGTACAAGTGGGGTATAGATAGGGAAAATTTTTGAGGACGTTTTTGAAACACTTTCCTGAACGCTATGCAGACGTGCCATGAATTTAGATGACCAGTGTCTCTTCACAAGGATGCCTGTTATCATTTTCCTTCTAGACGTAGCCACACATTTCAACCTGTTCCTTTTGTCCTCTTGGTGTGCCTCGTCACCCTCTTCACAGGTCTCATGGTGACGATATCAGTCCCACGGGCCACGTTTCCTGCTTTGTCTCTGGTCATCTGTGGAGGACTCTGTGCTGGGCCATGTTGTCAGCACTGGAGATTCAGCCAGGAGAATCTAAGATTGCCAGATTCATTCCAGGACCATGCAATATTTAGATATTCATTGTGTAACTGGGCAGGCATCCTGTGCTTTTATTTGCTAAATCTGGTCACCCTAGAAGACTCCCTTGCAAAGGTGATGCATGGTTATTGGCCCAAGCTCTGGAGTTGGAGTTCTAGGTTCAAGATGAGGTTGTACCATCTACAAGCTAGTTACATGAGCTCTTGGGGCCTCTGTTTTCTCCTGTTTGTGCTTGGGGTAGAAAATAATATCTTCTTCAGAGGGTGTTGAAAGTATTAAACAGATGAATTGTTTATATGTTATTGGGTATACAGTACATATACAAGAAGACTGTCTAGGCACAGAGCAAACAGCCAACTTGATGTTGTTGATAAACTTCAGGTTTTCTGACATGTAAACAAGATAGCATCCTCTCAACCCACAGTGCCATTTGGTTGTATGAGAATCCAACCAGCAAGGCGACAGTCTATCTTGTGCTTTACTTGTCTACTTGAGGAGCTTTGGGGGTCTTCATGACCTGGGGTGTCCCAGCACTATCATCAACTTATGAAAAAACCCATTTTAAAAACAGCTTTGCTGGGCATAGTGGCTCACAGTTATAATTCAGGTACTTTGGGAGGCTGAGGCGGGAGCATCATTTGAAGCCAGGAGTTCAAGACCAGCCTGGGCAACATAGTGAGACTCCGTATCTACAAAAAAAATATTTAAAAATTAGCCAAGTATGGTGATGCATGCCTGTAGTCCCAGCCGTTCAGGAGGCTGAATGGGGAGGATCGCTTTAGTCCAGGAATTCAAGGCTGCGGTGGGCTACGATTGTGCCACTGTCCAGCCTGGGTGACAGAGCAATACCCAGTCTCTAAAATAAAAAATTTAAAAAGATAACAAAATAGCATCCCCTAAGTAAGATAAAGTAAATCAACCAGAAGACCTCTTTGAAATAACTCCTAAATCAGCAAAGATGTTAAGCATGCTAACTGTTCTTCTGGTCAAAAAAGTCGCAGGTTGCTTCTTTTAGGAAAGGGAAAAAAATCAAGGCTTAAGTATGACCCAGGTAAATGGTGAATACTTTAACATAAACCAGCATTGTATGCGACCTCCAGTTCTGAACTTTATTTGTCTGAGGTTTATGGAGGTAAAGTGACTCAGCAGAGAAAGCAAATTCAAACTCCCAGGCAACTTCTTTTTAATGAGCTACTCAGATGTGTAATTTGAGTCAAACCAGACCCTGCCACGTTGTAACAAAAGGATTATAAAGTTAAATAAAAAGGGGGGAGCAATGTTTCATCTCCCTTTTATACATGCTAATGCATCTGAAAATTGAGAAAGAATTAAAAGATAATTAAAGAGCTCTTCCAATTATGCAAAGTTCAGGGAATGCAGGCAACCATTAATGGAAGAGATGGGAAAAGTAGAAGGTAAAGTAGTCTTTTGAAAGAAAGCAGAATATGTGTTTATGTTGGAATTTACCCCTGGGTGAATTTCCTTTATCTCAAGGATAATCACAAATTCCACCTGAAGCAGGTTCAGTATAGAACTCATTTCCATCTAAAACAAACCATATCCGATAAGCCTGAAGGGGCTATGGACAGTGTCTTTGCCTGGGATCCTCCACATGCAGGACCTGAGACAAGAGCAGGTAGATTATTTCCCAGAAATGATCCCAGGATCTGGATTTGGGGGACTGGCAAGAATAAAATGCGGGAAGAGGAAAAGCCAATCTAGGATGTGTTTTGAGCTGACTACCAACTATGGTGGTTTTAAAAACATGCTGCATGGTTTTAAA
This sequence comes from Homo sapiens, assembly GCF_000001405.40. Lineage (NCBI taxonomy): Eukaryota > Metazoa > Chordata > Mammalia > Primates > Hominidae > Homo > Homo sapiens. The sequence goes on along the minus strand of NC_000020.11, from coordinate 48,332,155 downwards.
CACTCCTCCCATGAAAGGTGGGTCTAGGTACCCTGTCATTCAATCTGAATGGGCTTGTTTTGCTATGTCACCTCCTTGTTTTGCCAGGTCATGAAAAGCCACTAGTAACTGGTGAGTTCTCTGTCCTCCTTCCTTCCTGCAGCATGGCTCTTCTAAACAGCAAAACATTGTTTGAAAAGCTTGAGTCTGGGTTCTTTTGCTATCTTTTGCTGTAACAGCAGTGAGTTTGAGCCATTAGAAAATTCTATGCCCTTGGACAGAGATTGGATCATAGGTGGACATGTGAGACTCAATTCTGAGACTTTTGTTGAAACTGTGGGACAGAAAATTTATTTTTCTCTCAGAGCTCCTGAGGATGTGAATAGGTGCCAGGACAGAAGAGCTTGCCTGAGAATGGGATTCACAGAGAACAAGTCACAGCTAGGAGGTGGGGGGGTGGGTGTCACTTCCTGATACCATCATTTGAGTACCTGGATCCAGCCATGCCTGAAGCTATTGCTCTTGGACTTTTTAATGACATGAGCCAATTACTCCTCATTATGCCTTTTTTAATAAGATAAATTTTTATTTAGATGCCATCAGTTGGAATTAGGACAGTCTGACTAAAACAGACCAACTTGGGAAAGATCTTAGATTCTCCAATACATGCTAACTTACTGGTAGGAGACTTCAACTATAAGACCACACAGAGAAAATCCTCTCTGGTCAGAACAAAATAGTGCCTCTTAATTCAGGCTAATTGGGGTTTTCATTTTAACATTGTTCTCACTTTTGCAAGACTCAGAGTAGACCGTGGTGTTCATTATGATCCCCTGATGTTGTATAAATCCAGTGGCTTCCTATGAATATGGAGACTTCATAGGCTGAACCACGCCTGAAACACATTCGTCTCTTTATCCTTTATCTTTTCTTATAAGACAAAGAAAATAAATACAATATGTATAATTATGAATGTTCATCAGAAACAGATACATAAGATAAAAGTTAAAATCTTAAGTTTTCGACATTACAAAGTGATATTATTTTGTCTGGGCTTCCTTTTTATAATCCAAGTGTTTTCTTCTCATCCATTGTGAGATCAATAATTAACTTTAGTGTAGCTTTTTATTCCTTCCTAAAGACTGGCTTTAATTCTCCCATGCCTCCATGTCTACTAAAGACATTTGAAGATGATGCATTCAATGTTTGTAACAATGCTTAAAAAATTTTCTTAAAAACGATTTTAGTTTTGGCAAGATTTAGAACTCATAAACGCATGCTGATATGCATTCTCTTACTATTTGCACTTCTCCTTAAAAATCAGTGATTTTTCTTCTGTTTTAGAGTTAGGTTTATGCTCATTCTTGTTCATCTCATAGTTTGCTGCCACAAAACAAAAATCAATTTAAAAAGAAAAAAGCAATTCCTATGTCTTTCCCCAATAACCTCTGAATATATATACACACACACACACACACACACACACACACACACACACACGCACATATATATATGACAAATCTGCTCTGAGATTATGAAGCCTCTTTTTCTTCTGGAAGGAATAAAATGGACCTTGAAAATCCATATCACAATGTGTCTATCACAGAGGAGGAAAAGGCCTTCGGGCATTCATAGGCTGTCAGGAGCTGCAATGGTGAGAGGCAGCATTGCATCCTTCCCATGAGAGAAACAGGCACCTTCAGGCAGGATCTTAGAAAAGCATAGAAAAATGACCTTTTCATGGAAGCTGGAACTTTGCTTAATGTGAATAAGGGTGACTCACTGCTTTGTGAAACTGTATATGTGTAATAATAAAAGAAGCCCTACAGTGTCTATTTATAATTCATTTTTTTGGTTTCCATTCTTTTTAGCTAGGGAAAATGTACAATGACCCCATAGTAGGTTCCTGACACTCTTCACACAGGCTGACTTTCATCTCTAGATTTTGCTGGGACGCATCTTGAGGACCTCTTGCCTTGTGGCTGCAACATTTAAGAGGCAACATGGATTGTCCACCTCTGTCTCCTGACTTTGGGTCCTGCAGAGCAGGCGGCTGTCTGGGGGCTGGTGGACGAGGCCCCAGCAGGGGGAGCACATGGTCTCTGGGCCTCCCCTACCAGGAAACCTAAGCTTTGCTTTGCCAGGTTCCCAGGGGCTGGCTCCATCTGGAACTCCCCATGAATTCACCAAAGACAGTCAGTCCCACCCTCCTGGCAAACTCGGTGCAAGTCCTCCAAAGACCAAGGCCAACCAGGAAGGAATCAGTTATCTGGCCAGGATAAATGGGGGGGCTGCTTTGTTGGAGAAAGGCCTGTGGGAGGGGGCCCTGGGGACACAACCTGCCCTGAGGGCCCACCTCTAACCTGGGAAAGTTCCCCACCTCCTGTGCTTCCCCAGCAGAGAGTGGGCTAAAAGCAGCTCTGTCTTCACAGGTCCTGGGAAGCACGAACGGGTTGGTGCGTGCTGAGCATTGCAAACTGGCATGTGGTAGGGCTACCCTGTCTCAGTTATTTTCACATTGGTAATTATTTTAGCCAAAGGGGAGTTTCTAGTGCTGATCTGAGAAAGTTACCAGTGCCCACAAAAGGGAAAAAGTAGACAGAGGCTGGATGCTTAGGAGGGTGCTCTTGTGCCCAACATCCAACATCAAGGAGCACTCGTCACAAAAACTGAAACAGGCAAAACTGGCTGAACATGGGGTGCCCCGTCAACAGAACGTCAGAACAGATCTGTAAATCTTTTGTTATCTGAATGTTCAGAGTCCTCTTTCTCCTTTCTTGCCTTTTCCCTCCTTCTTTCTTTCCTTCCTTCCTTCCCTCCCTCCTTCCCTCCTTCTCTCTCCCTCCCTCCCTCCCTCTCTCCCTCCCTCCCTCCTTCCTTCCTTCCTTCTAATTTCACTTACAAGATGATTCAGTCTCTCATGCAATCCCTGGGGTCTCCTGAGAAGTACAACAGTCCGAGGAATGAAGAATGTGTCCTTGATTAAGCTGGGTATCTGAATCTTGACATTTTTTTGCAGCTAAATTTATCTCCAGTTGATAGCCCAGGCTTATGGGGAGGGTTGGGGCTAAGAAAGCACAGCTTTGTTCAAATGCAAGTGGTAATTTTGAAGGACCCTATGAGACTGCCATCTTCTAATGATTCTCCATCCTGTGGTTGAGGGTGCCACCGAGGATGGTGATGAGTGAGGCAATCTTCGAAGGAATTTTTCCGCTCCTGCCAGCTTCCTTCATAAATCCTGGGCTTGGCTCTGCCCAGGCAGCAGCAGATCTGGGCTTTGTGCTGCTCTGTGGTCTTCCTGGGGCTCAGTCCCTGGGTTGGGCCTGGGACATGGGAACCAGGATGCCAGTTCCTTTGTACCCATGGCCTCCTATCCAGAAGGCCCTTGGGAGGACAGCCTGGAGGCTCAGTTATCGGAGCGTCTCAGGCTTTCATATCTGGCAAGTTTTCAATGAAGCCACCAAAGACTCAGTGTCCCCTTTCAGTTGGTGGCGCCACCAAACGCCCGGTTCCTCAAGCCAGTGAGCAGGCAGCATCCTCAGGCCCTCCCTCATCTTCCAGCTGCCATGGAATCTATTGAATTGAAAATGCACCCCGTCTGTCCACTCCTGTCCACACCCTGCTGCTGTCCCAAAGTCTGCACCTCTGTCCTCACCTGGGTCATTACAACAGCCCCCATGGGACCTCCTGCTCCCACTCCTCTTCCCACGCCTGAAATCTACTCTCCACACGCACCCAGAGTGAGCTCCTGAAAATGGTCATGTGGCCCTGAGCGGATGTTTCAGCGGCTCACACTGCACTGGGAACAGCAGACTCCACCTCCTCATCACCTCCCACAAGGCCCAGCAGAGTCCTGCTGGTTCCCCAGATCACTTCCCACCACCTCCCCTCACTCCCCCATCCCAGCCGCACTGGCCTCTGGCTCCTCCTCCCACGCCCCAGTCCTCCTGCCCCAGGGCCTGTGCACCTGCTGCTCCTGCGTCCTGGAATGCTCTTCCCACAGCCGCCCTCTGACCTGCGCCCTCTTGCCCTTTGTTCTTCACCCAGGTGTCACCCACTCAGAGAACACCCCTGACCTTCCCAAGGAAGCCCTCTGCACTCCGACGCCATGTCCCCGTGACCTGCACAGGACTGTCACCATCTGGAATTGATGCCCTCTCTTGCAGTTTTGCTATTGTCATTTGCACCCACAGGAATGTCACCCACATGAGTGTGGAATTTCATCTGTCTGTTCGCTGCTGGATCCCTGCTCTAAGTAAGAAAATGGCCTGTGGCAGAGTGAGCTCTGCATGAGGATTTGCTGAAGAATTGGATGAGGGAAAGACTCAGAGAATGGAATACTGAGAATTCTACAATAAATATTTGAATCCTAGAATGTTGGATTCAGGAGAAGCCCTTGGAAGCCATTTAGGCAAACCCATTCATTTGCAAAGGGGTAAACTGAGGCTGAGGAGAAAAAAGTGACTTGCTCCACATCCCAAGGCCCAAGGGTCTTCTCCCTGCTCTGATGGGAGAGGGCCCCACTTTGTGCTGTTGTGTGTGTAAGGGTGATGTGTGGCTGGAGGGTGAAGGGGCTTCTTCTGCTCTTTGACTCATTGCCTAGGAAAATAGGGACAAAAGGCACAAATTTGTTAAAATGCAAATGACTGAAGGCAACCTCATTTATGAGAGACAGAGCTGTTGTTTGGATTAACAGAGGAACAGAAATGCCGCCCTGAGGATGAGGAGATAAGAAGGGGCTGAAAGGTGGGTGAGCCCCAAATGTGACCTTCAACTCTTGGGAGGCCATAGGCAAGGACTCAGCCAAGGCAAAACCCTCAAGAATTTAATTTACCGACAGAAACATTCACAGACCGCCCTCGGGGCCTGAGGTCTTTCCAAAGACAAGTCCGAGTGTGTGTTCCCGGCCGAGGCCCTTCCTCCGGCTTCTGTATTAGCTTCCCGGGTCCGCTCTAACAAACAACCACAAACTGGTGGCTGAAACCATCAGAACACTTTTCCTTACAGTTCAGGAGGCCAGAAAGCTGGAGTCGGGGTATTGGCAAGGTCAGTCCTTCCGGAGGCTCCAGGGAGAAACTGTTCCCCGCCTCCTCCCAAGCTCCCGCGGTCCCGGTCCCTGCAAACCTTGGGATCCTTGGCTGGCAGATGCTTGGCTCTGATCTCTGCCTCTGTGGTCACATGATGTCCTCCCCATGTGTCCTCACGCGGCCTGCTTACAAGGACACAAATCACTGCACCCAGGACCCACTGTAATCCAGTGTGGCTTCAGTTTTACCTAACTAAGTACATTTGCAAAGGCCCTGTTTCCAACTAAGATGCACGCTGAGGTTCTGGATGGACCTGAACTTGCAGGGGACACTCTTCAACCCAGGACAGCTTCCCCTTACCCCCCGATTAGCATCCAAACCCCTCCCATGACTGAGGCTACAGGGCGGATGTGGGTGAAGGTGCAGAGCCCGATGCCCAGGTGAGGGCCCAGCTGGTCACCACCCCATCTGCCTGTGCTCAGCAGGTCAGGGTCCCAGCTGTCCACTCCCTGCTATAGGTTGGCACACCCCCTTCTCTTGCCCTGTGCTGTCCCAGGGCCCCCTCCTTGCCCTGTGCAGTGAAAGTGACCTGCTTTGGACATGCAGCCCCTGTGGTTCTGATGCAGGCGGGGACTGGGGATGCGCCTGGGGCTCTGGTTTGGTTCTGGGCTTCTGTCATTCACTACAAAAGGACCCTGAGGAGCCGCCGCCCTGAGGCTGAGGAGAGCTCCGCAGGGTGGACGGGAACCTGATCCCGGGGCCCAGCCCCCGTGCCTCTCAGCAGGAAGCAGAGTCCCCCGATGGAGCCCAACAAGCCCAAGGGACCCCAGCTCAGATCAGCTGAGCCCCGACGACCTGCAGCCCCAGGAGCTGAGACGTGGCGGCGGTTGTGCGTCACTGAGTTTGGGATGGTTTGTGATGGGGTATTACCGTGACAACAGCTGAGTAGTACAGAAATGTGATGCTGGGCACAGACTGACCTCTCAGTCTCCCCATCTGTACAATGGGCTAATAACAGATTAGCAGGTGGCTGTGAAGATTAAAAGAGAACATACGTGTAAAGTGGCGCACGGATCAATGCGCATCGGCTCCCAGCATCATCACACGGGCCACACGACCCTGCCGTCTCATACTGTCCTCCTCGGTCACCCTGGCTGGAGGCAAAGCCCTCCCCCGTTTCCGGAAATCTCCGACTCTTTGCACTCTTCATCAGTCTTCACTTGGGTGGATTGTTCTGCTGTCTAGAGCTCAACTCGAACAGCCCCTCCGCCAAAGGGCTTCCCTGAGAGCCGTGTCTGCAGCCGAGGCTCCTCCCCCTCCTGCTGGAGGTCCAGGGTCCGTGGGTGCACGGGGGGCAGCCCAGGATGGCAGGGACTCTGGCTCTTTTGCCCTCTGGTGTGTCCCCAGGACCTAGACCCGGCCTGACACTACTCCTGGTGGACTTATTGTTAGAAATTGGCAGGTCCTTGCTATTCATGTCTGTTTCCTCCAGTCTTGCTGCTGAGCACCTGATGAACTTCAAACAATAGCAATGTCTGGAGCCAGGTGCTGATGACCCCCAGGAGGAAAGTTGCAGAGGATGACGGGAACAAGGGGGATGGGCAGGAGTCTAAGCAGGCGCTCAGGGAGGCACCTTTGAGAAGGTGACATGGGGCAAGGATGCTGAAGGAATGGAGGTCTCATGGATTCTAGGGGAGATGGTCCAAGGCAGAGGGACAGCCAGTGTGGGCCTGGACAGGTGTGTGTAGTGTGTCTGAGGGGCAGGGGGCAATGTGTCTAGAGGAAGATGTGCAAGGAGGACACTGGGGGCTGAGGTCAGAGGGGACACAACTGGATCTGTGCGTGACCTTGCATGCCGCTGAAAGGGCGCTGGCTGTCACTGTCATGACCAGAGCCTCTAAGCAGGTCTTCACAGAGGTCAGGCTGACTGCACTTGTGGATGGATTGAACAGCAGTAGTAAGAGGACAGCATGCATAGATGAGGGAGGACTCCCAGGATTTGGGCTGCACAGCTGGAAGAAGGGAGGAGCTCCTGAATGAGGAGTGGGAGGTCCGGGAAGGGCAGCCTTGGTGGAGAGAGATGCCGGGACCTGCAGAGAAACCCCCTGAAAAGAAGGGGGCTGAGCCAGCTCTACCCCAGGCTCAGGGCCTTCCTTCACTGTAACTGCCAGGACGATCCACCATGCTGTCACTCAGAGAGTGAAACCAGCCTGACTTTGCACTTGTGTCTCTGAGGGATAAAGGTCAATGTCACAGCAGACTCCACTCTGATGCTGTCTTCAAGCCAAAACCTTAATATTCAATGAGAAATCTGCATTGATGAAATGTTCATTAAATAAACTTTATCCCTTTCATTCCCCTTATTATTCGTGGCTTTGAGTATCAGGCTAATTTAGGTTTGATGCCCCAGTGATCTGCAGATTGGAGCATTATTAAACATTTAGATGAGCAATCATGAGCCTGAGCCTCCCTCTCCTCTCTCAGCCGGAGCACAAGGGTCTCTGCTAATGATCACAATGGATTTGGGGCAGACACAGCAATTAGAGAATTATCTATAGTTTGAGGGAGATTTGACCCCTCTGCCTTCAAGGGAAATTAGCTACTTCACTTACAGAGCACACAATTTAATTGATAAAATGCATCAAAAGAAAATTCCAGTCCTACCTCCAGTTTTACATCTAACCACCTGTGCGAATGCCTGAGCAGGCCCCTTCTTTCTATACCTCCCCTTGTCCCTATCTGTAGAGCATGGAGGGCTGGACCAGGGCAGAGGCTTCAGTATGGTGGGCTGTGGGCTGAAATCAGCTTAGAGAGGGCCTCTGTCCAGCAAACTGTTTGGTTCATTTGTTTAGTGAATGTTTTCCTAGCAGTCATGATTTTGGGTTCTATGTGTTTCATGTATGTTAACTTGTCTAATCCTCCCAGCATCCCTTGAGATTGGCATACTTATCTTTTCCATTTTAGAGATGGGGAAACTGACCAAGAGGGGTTAAATAACTTACTATAGGTCACCTGCTAGGCAGGAGTAAAGCAGGACTTGGACCCAAGCAGTGTGACCTCAGAATCTGTGCTTTAACATCCATGCTGCAATCCTTCAAATTTCTTAACTTTGATTATGTTTTTCAAGCACCGTGTTTCAAGAGTAAGTAGGTACCAAAATTTAAAACATTCATATTTTTCTATAAACTTAGAACTTACAAATTGAAAAAATGGGAGCTCTGCATAGGTGCTCTTAAGTGTTTGTCCATCTCTGGAATATTTCCATTTTGGACATTCACGAGGCCCTAATAACTGATGTGATTTAGCACTTATCTGTTTTGAGAGATGGCAAGTTTCGAAAAGATAATCTCATCTTTCAAAAAGACCCATAGAACAACTAGCAGTATACTGAGGAAAAGACCTATTTGAAAGTATCAGGGAGGAATTTTGGCTGCCAGGACTTAAAGGACCAAGGCCTTAGAGAGAAGGGAAATGCATTGATCTAAGCCTGACATTCTCGGCTTCTTTTCCCTTTTGGGAGTTTGCCAGTTTGTAAATAAGGGGAGCTACGAGTCACAAGAACTGAGCTTTTCAGCAAGTTATGGTTCTGGGGACACAAAACTTGATGTTTGGGGCTACCAAGAAAGCCAGGGTCTGAGACCCCGAGATCTTAAAGAAAATAGAACTTCTAGCAGTGAGTCTGCTTTTCTGCAGTACTTTCCTTTTGCAGCAATTATGCATTCCTAAGTTGCACAGAGACAGAGTGAGAGGTTTGAAGCCCATCTGAAACTGTGCAGCTGAGAGGCTAAAAAACAAAGCTAGGTTTTCCCCAGTATAATGATGCCATAGCAGCAAAACTTAGAGTTCAGGGATTCATCATTAAATAATTGGAGCCATGGAAAATAAACAGTGGTTTCTGTTGAGTACCTCAAAGTACTCGATCTAGGGAAGGAACAACAAACCAAATAAAACAGATCTCAGAAAGATGAAAAATCAGCCTTGAATCCTTACAGTTATGGTAATCTAGCCTCACTATAGTAGCTGTCAGGAAAAAAAAAAAAAAAACATTAAATCTTCCCTGGGGAAAGGTACATCATCCAGAGATGCAATATTTAAAAAGAATGCCCCGCATTCATACAAACATTATGAGGCGTATCAGAAATAAGACCAAATAACCAAAACCATAAGAAAAAAAGACAAGGAAAACTCACAGACGATTGGCTAATGAGACTATCACAGATAATTTTTTTAAATCTATTATTAACATGTTCAATAAAAAGATGAAAAGATGGAGAATTTTATTAGAGAAATGGAATATCTAAAAATGAATTACTTGAAGAGTTGCTAAATGAAATGTAGAATAACTGTAAGTGAAAACACAGTTGGTGTAACAGCGGATTAGCCAAAGCAGAAAACAGGTTTGCTGGAAATAACCATATTAAAACATGAAGACCAGAAAGAATTGCAAATGCACAAAACAGCATTAGACCACAGGGAGCATGATTTTATAAAGGTCTAGGCCGGGCGCGGTGGCTCACGCATGTAATCCCAGCACTTTGGGAGGCCGAGGCGGGCAGATCACGAGGTCAGGAGATTGAGACCACCCTGGCTAACACGGTGAAACCCCGTCTCTACTAAAAAATACAAAAAAAAAATTAGTCGGGCGTGGTGGTGGGTGCCTGTAGTCCCAGCTACTGGGGAGGCTGAGGAAGGAGAATGGCGTGAACCTGGGAGGCGGAGCTTGTAGTGAGCCGAGATCACGCCACTGCACTACAGCCTGGGCAACAGAGCAAGACTCCGTCTCAAAAAAAAAACAAAAAACAAAAACGGTCTAACATATATGTAACTTAAATTCTAAAAAGAATGGAAAGAGAAAGCCAGGAAGAAGTGCTATATGAAGATATTCAAGTGAAGATTCTTCAAAGATGATGAAACATTAAATCACAGAATCACAGAATCAAGAACCCCAGCAAGATAAAGAGAAAGAAATATATACCTAGCCACATTATAGTAAAACTGCTGAGAACTACAGATATGACTATTAAAAGACAAACAGTAAGAAAACAGCTAACTCACCAACAGGAACAATTAAACCAGAAGATGATGGAATGATACATTTAAATGCTGAAAGAAAGCAACTGTCAATCTAAAATTCTATTTTATTAAAAAATATCCTTTGAAAGTGATATAAATAGTTTCATATAAGCAAAAATGGATAATTTATTGTCAGCAGATGTGCATTCACATAAATACTGAGTGCAGTTCTTCAGTTAGAAGGAAAAATAATTTTAAATGGAAAATGCAATAAAAATGAAGAGCAATAGAAAGGGCAAATATATTGGGAAATTTAAATTAACCATGAGTATACAAAACAGCAGTAACTATTAGCTGTGGAAATTTATATATAGAATTAAATTATTTGACAAGAATAATACAACAGTCAGAAGGAGGTTAAATGATTTTAGAGAGTTCTGAAGCTCTTCCATTGCCCAAGCAGTAATGTTGTGGTTTACGGAGACTCCAATAAATCAGAGATATATATTGTCATCTGTAGGATGTTTACTAAAGAATAATAGGGTTGGGCGTGGTGGCTGATGCCTGTAATCCCAGTACTTTGGGAGGCCGAGACAGGCGGATCACTTGAGGCCAGGAGTTAGAGACCAGCCTGACTAACATGGCAAAACCCCATTTCTACTAAAAATAGAAGAATCAGCCAGGCGTGGTGCATGCCTGTAATCCCAGCTACTTGGAAGGCTGTGGCATGAAAATTGCTTGAACCCAGGAGGCAGAGGTTGCAGTGAGCTAAGATAATCACACTGCACTCCAGCCTGGGTGACAGAGCAAGACTCTGTCTCAAACCAAAAAAAAAGACTAGAAGTCAAACTGACAAACTCACGGAAGATTACAAAATAGGAATATATATATATATTTTAAAAAATACCTGATTAATGCAAAATAAACAAGGAAAGAAGAGAAAAGGTGATGCAAATAGAAAACAAATCCTAAGAAGTTATCATGAAATGATAAGACTAATTACATTAAATATAAACAGTTGAAATTCCAAAAGAGAAGGGCCAGTCTTTTTTTCTTCTATAGAAAAACATAGATCTATTTCTTGGCTGGGCGCGGGGGCTCATGCCTGTAATCCCAGCACTTTGGGAGGCCGAGGCAGGCAGATCACGAGGTCAGGAGATTGAGACCATCCTGGCTAACACGGCAAAACCCCGTCTCTACTAAAAATACAAAAAAAAAAAAAAAAAAGAAAAAAAAGAAAAGCATAGATCTGTTTCTTATCTACTTCAAAGTGTTTCAAAGGTAGATATGCACATAAGTCACCTGAAGAGCCAGCAAAGATATCTGATTCCCTGGCCCAACTTCTATCATTTAGGGGTGGGATTTGGGAACCTGCATTTTTTAATGCACCCAGATCACTCTTGGAGAAAGAATGACCTCTCCTATGGAATGGGAAGGATCAGGATGAGGGATGAACTGTTAACATATTGCTTTACTTGTTGTGGAGCTTAGAGCTTAGCAAGGGGCTGATACCAATACACAAATCAATACAAATGCAAGAAATTGTGAAATAATTGTCTTTAGGGAGGGACGTTTGCCCTCCTGCAAATGGCCCAGATGAGAAGAGTCAGAGGATTTCCCTTATCTTAACTATTCAGATCTTGGCAACTCGGGAGCAGACCAACTGGGGTTAGGAATCCAAAGCAGGGCAGGATCCGTCCACACACTCGTGTGTTTATTTATTTATGCAGCTCCAGCAAAGAAAGTTAAAAACAGGGACTGGGCCCTGACTGGGAGACGAAGCCTGACACTGCCTGTGGATCTGTGAGGCTCCGTCTAGTCCAGGACTGACTTCCTGAGGCCCATGAGTGCACCGAGCCAAGACCCTGCTGGCCACAGAACATGGGAGGTGAGGGCTACACAGGGAAGGGCTGTGGTTTCAGGGGCTACTGCAGCTGGCTGACCTCCTGCTCCTGGTCTCTCAGAGGTTCTCTGCCCTCAGCAATGGAAGGTAGGACAGGGATCACATCCCAAGGTGGGAGGGGGCTCGTGTCAGCCTTGAAGGTGCTTGGAAGGTCCTTTTGTGGCAGCCAGAAAGGGCTGGCTCTACTTCTAGATCCACAAAGCTGCTCGGATAGGGGCCATCTCAGGCAGAGGACCACGAGGGGTGGGGAGCGCAGCTGTGCTCTGCCTCGGGCTGCCCAGGTGACATGCCCAGGGGTCTGAGTTACTCCGGAGTCTGATGGGTTTGGAGGAGCATTGAGGGAGCACCCAGCATGGTGGTCCAAGGTCCAAGATCCAGTCCAGGATGGCATTGGTGTAGGTGAATCTGGCCATGCTAATTTTGCTTAATTTTGCCAAAAAACAAAAAAAAGTGGGCTATGTGTGATTTTCCCCTTTGCCATTTTTGTAATCTTACAATTAATTTATAATGACACAATTAACAGATAGACGTACTTTCTGGGCCCTCATGGTACCATAATAATTAATTTTAAAAGACCCAGCACTGGCGACACCATCATGCATTCATAAAAACCCAAGAAGAAGAGAAAACCCTCAAAGCCTCCAGAGTGATGGAGCTGATCTCATATTAAGGACTAAGACCGAGAACGCAACTCTGGAAGCAAGAATGGAGCAGTGCCTACAAACTTCTTGGGAAATTTACTTCCCATGTGGAATGGGGAGCACTAGATCAAGGGCAAGGACAGAATAAGGACATTGCAGACCTGCAGGGTCATGGAGAACCAGCTTCTTGGGCCCTTTCTCAGAGCTGTGAGAGGAAGATGTGTTCCACCCAAAGGAGAGACAGATCTAGAATGGAGATGCTGTGGGATCCCAGACACAGGATGTAGGAAAGGGTCCCCAGGATGGATCTGAAGCACCACGGAAATGTCTAGATCACTGTTCTGAAGCAGATCCAAAGAGCAGCCGTTACTCCGAGGAGTGTTGCCAGTGAAACACAAAACCATCCCCCTAACCTGAGGGTGTGATCACATTGAGACATGGGTTATAGACAGAGCTAAGAATTTAAGGATGAATTAGTGACAGCTATGGAGAAAACTAAAGAAGTGGAAGTAGATCGTTTATATCTAGGGAAAGCAAAAATGCTATAGAAACAAGGCAATTAAAGTCTACACCACACGAGTCAACTATGAAGACTTTTTACTCCATTACATTAGTGTGGACACTGCATGAAGTCTCGGTAACTCTACCAGTTGATGGGCCAGGGAGAATGGGTAGAGGAGCACCTCTATGAAGCAAATATTCATTGATCATAGCAGATAGGCGATAGATAATGTTTACAGAAAAAAACTGGTAGCAACAGAAACATATTACTTAGAAATATAGACATAGGGCCGGGCTCTGTGGCTCATGCCTGTAATCCCAGCACTTTTGGAGGCTGAGGCGGGCAGATCACGAGGTCGGGAGATCGAGACCATCCTGGCCAACATGGTGAAACCCCCTCTCTACTAAAAATACAAAAATTAGCTGGGTGTGGTGGCAGGCACCTGTAATCCCAGCTACTTGGGAGGCTGAGGCAGGAGAATCACTTGAACCTGGGAGACAGAGGTTGCTGTGAGCCGAGATCGTGCCACTGTACTCCAGCCTGGAGACAGAGCAAGACTCCATCTGAAAGAAAAGAAAAGAAAAGCAAAGAAAAGAAAGAAAGAAAGAAAGAGAATGATAAACAGCTAGAAGAGATAAAAAGTGGTGCTTTCTGGAGAGCAGAAATCATTGGGGATGACGGGGGCCGGGGTCTGCAGTTTTCCTGCGGAGGCTTAGAGCGCTGTTTGTTCAATCCTTTTTCTATTTTCTCTCTGTTGTTCAGGATAACTCATTTCTACTGGTCGATTTTCCAGCTCGCAGAAGCTTCCCTCCATCTTTTCCATTCTTCTATTGAGCCCAGGTATTTAGTATTTTTTTAAAAAATTGGTTATTGTGTGTTCTCAGTTCTAAAATTTCCACTTGGTTCTTTGTTATATTTTCTATTTCCTTACTGAAACTTTTCTTTTCTTCGCTAAAACTTTCTATATTTTGACTCATTTTCAGCACATGAAAGTATTTTTACAATGACCATTCTAAAATAACTATGAAATCATTCCGACATCTGTGTTATCTTGATGTTGGCATCTGTTGCTTGTCTTTTCCCATTAACTTAAGCTGCTACTGGTTCTTGGTAGGAGTGATTTTTGATGGACTCCTTGCCATGTTGGGCAGCATGCTAGGAGACTCGAGATCTTACCCAAATCTCCAGGTGTTAGCAGACGTCCTTTCATACCACACTGGGGGTGGGGGTTCAGCAACAGCGCCTCGTTATTGCCAGGTTGGGTGGAGCCCCAGTTCCCCACTTGGCCTCCACTTATACCCTGGGGTGGGAGGCACATCGCATTACTGCTGGGTGGGGGTGAGGACTCAGTGTCCCAACGAGTCTCTGAGCACCCTGGTTTGGAGGTGCAATGATATCTCATTAGGGCTCCTCACCAGCCTCCACTGGGCACCATGTGGGTGGGAGGCTCCTTACATCAGGTGAGAGTGGAAGTCTAGGCTCCTGCCCAGCCTTCTCCAACACCACCCCAGTCGGGGTTTGGGTGCCTTGCTACAGCTAGGTGGAGGTGGAAGTTCAGGTTCCTCACTTGCTCTTCACTGGCATGGATGAGGGTGGGCTGAGGTTTTTCCATGTCGTTTGTCCGGCATGGGGTGGTTGTCCAAAAGTTTTGTGTCTTGCTAGGCTGCCCTATTTCTTGCCCTTCAGGTAGAGAAGACAGGCTCTTCCTGATATTTCCCTTTTGTCTGTGCTTGTTGGCATTTCCAGGTTGTCAGCTTCTCCAGCACCCAGTCCACAATAAAGAAGGCAAAAGAAAACCCCAGGAACTCACTGTCCTGTCATTTCTCCTATCCCGAGGGCCCTGCTGGTCTGCCTTCTTCTCTCCACTGTTCAGAGGCTTAGGTTTGTTTTATACATACTTGCAGGGGTTTTAGCTGTACTTAGCAAGAAGAGGAGGAAAAATGTATCCACTCTCTTTCTGGAAGTGAAGATCTGAACACTTCTTTTCTCTTCTCTTACTTTGCCTCAAACAGTAACCATGCTTCCTCCGTGGCTTCAGCTTCTGAAGAGCCCCTGTGTGCTTCTCTGTCTTCTCCTGGGTCACCCCAGATGTGGGTGCCAGGAGTTACACTTCTTCATTTTCTCATTATGCCTAGAGCTGCTAGAGGCTTCCTTCTTCTCTGTCTTGACTCAGTTTCTGCCATTTGGCCCCTAGCCTTTCCATCACCTGTGGAACTGACTCTTGCTCTCTGTTTTTCAGATTGGAGTGGTTCCCATTTTCCTGCATGGAACCTGATTTACACAAAAGGTCTGAGCATTCTTATTTTAATTTGATAGCTATTGACAAGTTACCTGCCAAGCTGCCCGTACCTATTTAGTTAGAACAATAGGAGTATCTGTTTACCCACAGCCTTGAAGGGTTTGTCTTGCCAATCTGATAGGTGAATTTAATAGTCATTTTCATTTGTTTAATTAAAGGTCAAATTCTCATCTTTGTTGTGTTTATTGGTTATTTGCATTTCACTTCTGTAAACAATCCATTCATATCCTTTATCCATTTTTCTGTCAAATTATCTGTATTTTTCTTGTTGCTTTACAGCATATTAAATTAATCCTTTGTAATGTATGAGCCGGAAAGCTCTTCCTTGTCTTCGTTTATGCCATCCTTTGTTATGCCGAAGTTATAAGTTTTGATGTTTTTAATTATAAAAAGCACATACACTTTGGGAGGCCAAAGTGGGCAAATCACCTGAGGTCAGGAGATCGAGACCAGCCTGGCCAACATGGGGAAACCCCGTCTCTACTAAAAATACAAAAATTAGCCGGGCATGGTGGTGCACACCTGTAATCCCAGCTACTCGGGAGGCTGAGACAGGAGAATCGCTTGAACCTAGGAGGCAGAGGTTGCAGTGAGCCAAGATCATGCCACTGCACTCTAGCCTGCGTGACAGAGTGAGACTCCGTCTTAAAAAAAAAAAAAAAAAAAAAAGGTACATAACCCCCCACCATCGAATTAGCAAAAAGAAAATGCATTGGCTCATGTAATGGAACAACTCAGAGGTAAGGTTCCAGGTACAGGTGGATCTAGGGGCTCAAAGAAAGCCACCAAGACAGTTTCAGTCCTGCTCTTCTTTATGATAGCATCATTCCAGGGCTCAATAGGATAGCAACACGGCTCCCAGTAGCTCTGTTTACACATCAATATAAGTAACAGAATCTTGTCTAAAAGTAGCTTACTTATGAAGTTTCTTTTTTCTTTTTACACAAGGAGCCTGAAAGTATAGTTAGCTCTGAGAGTGATTCAGTAACTCCAAATGTAAGCACTCTGAGTATATATGTACTTTTTCTTTCTTATGAAAAAATGGCTGCCCTAGCTCTAAGCTTGTGGCATTCACCCAACAGCATCCAATACAGGTAGAAAGGGAAGCCTCTTGTCAAGAACATCTCTTTTACCAGATGGGGCAAATCCCCCCCAGAACCCTCCACCTCCCCACCCCACACCCCACACCCCACCAGATGCTCTCTCAGATTCCACTGGCTGGACTGGGTCATGTGACTCTGCCCTCTCTGCAAAGGAGGATGGGAAAGCAAGGAACGGGCACTCTCAGCCTGTGGACTGGGGAACTAAGGGGTGGGGAGCTGTTGGGTGGACATCTAACACCGCCTGTCCCAGGGAGCATCTCTCCTGGTCACTCCTGCTCTAGAACCAAGGCTCATTCTGCTTGGATTAACTCATGTCACGTGCTCATCCTGAACCACTTCCTGGTCACGGGGATTTACCAGCTGATTGGCCAGACCTGGTCACATGCTCCACCCTTAGATCCAAACATGGAGCTCCTCCTGAACCCAGTGATGGGCAATGGGAGAGTGACTGCTTAGTTACTAGGGTCTGGTTACCGCAAGATGGGAAAATGGATGCCAGAAACTCAAATTAGGAAATTTACACCAAAGAAGCCATGTTCACATGGAATAATCATTATTGCTGATCATGTCAATTTCTGGGAGTTAATTTCTGGCCAATGCTAGACAAACCTTAGCTTTCATCATTCTCTCATCCCTCCCAAAAAGGGACTTGTAAATGAACTATTTTCCTTCTTCTCTGGACTGCCCATGCCTCCCCACCCCCTAGCCATGCCAGTCATCACCCATTTGGAAACGATCTTTATTTTAGTGGAACCCAGATATCCCTGGCCTGACCAGTGTCTTACTGGCCAAGTTGAGTGCCCAGTAAACAGCACAGTTGCTTAAACGTTCTTGCTTCCCACCTCTAGAGGTGTGGACGCCATTGTGAAGGTTAATGATGATTCCTCTACTTCTGTTCAGATTTCCATTTCTGCCATCCTAAATGGAAGCCATCCAATCTCGCTTTATGCTCCCCACATACCCATTATCGGCTTATGAAGAATCAGAGCTGCACAAAGGCTCAAAATTGCTACGTTCTAGAATAGGCTCAGCTCTGAAGCAATTTGAATGTTCACAGGTTTAAAATGACTTGGCAGTCTGTCTATAACATGTCCTGTGGCCTGAAAGGGAATGAAAAACTCATCAGCCTGAATTTGTTAGTGATTAATTGATCTGCTGATGGAGCTCAGTTAATCTTTGCAGCCAAACAGAGACCGGCTCAGCCTTGAGCAATCAAACCAGCTGTGAAGAATCCTGCCTAGTCCACAGGCCTGTTCCATCTTAGGGTCCTAGGGAGAAATTATAATGGGGAAAAGGAAAGGGGTTTTAACCATAAATGCAGGGAATGTGCAGACAGGCCTGAGCAAAGGTTGGCAAGGTTGAAGACTTCACTGCATGGGCAGTTTGTGACTTTCCCTAACCCCCTTCCTGGGCTAAATACAGGGGAGCAAAATGCAAAATGACATTGGGGTTCTGAGACCAGGAAAAAACCCTGCAAGGTGATTGTCTGCCATTTCCTGCAGCTGCAGATCTACACACAGCAGAGGGTGCACATTTATGGTCAGGACAAATAAACACAGGGGAGGGGACTGGGGAAAGGATGCTGAATTTGTCTCTTCTCAGCAAGAGGTTCTCTGTGAGTCCTTTCCAGCCAAGAGACTCAAAATTTCACCATCCCTGGGCTAACCACAAATTACAACTGTGCCTAATTCAACAAAAAGCCAGATGTGGAGAATGGATGCCAATTACCTGGAGCTTCATATTAAATGGGTAGTGATGGATTAAATATTTAAGTTCAGGCATTTTCAAAGTTTCCAATGAAATTTCATTTAGCAGAAAGCTTATTTTTACTCTTTGAGAAGAAAATACAGTTTTGTACGATACACTTTTTTGTTTAAAAATCTAACTTGAAGCAACACTCACACAGGTCAAGGAAAAGTTGAGAAGGCTGTTCATTGCAGCGTTGTTTGTGTTGGAGAAACAGAGGAAGAATTTGCATCCACTGGGGTAGATGAGATGCTGCTGCGATAACAAACAACACCGAAATCCCAGGAGCCTGAACAGCTAAAGTTGTTTTTTGCTCATGCTGCTTGTGTGTCTCAGGGAGGCTGGGCCTCTGCTCTACGTCATCTCCACTCAGGGATCTAGTGGAGGACAGCTCCTTCTTCACGCTCCTATGACAGCCCAGGCAGGACAGAGGGCCTCTGACAAATCAGGGAGGGTCTCTTAAGCTTCTACCCAGAAGTGACACATGGGACTTGTGCTCCCATTCCATTGGTCAGTGTAAGTCCCATGACCATGACTATCTTCAGTGCAGGGCAGAGAAAGACAGTTGCACCATCTAGTTCTAGAGAACTAGAACTAGTTCACAAACATACTCATGACCACTTACAGCCTAAGTGTCCATCCTTAGGGGAAAGGGGATATGAACTGGGAGTTTCACCCCTAGACATTAACACATACAAACACAGCAGTATAAGGGAAGAGGTATCTGTATGCAGCAAGGTGGACAGGTCTCTAGTGCATATGGTTCAGGGGGGAAAAGCAAGATGCTAGACCCTATGTGATGTGAGAAGCTGTTTATAGAAACATGTGTGCACCAAAATATGGCCTAATTTTTTGTTGTTGTTGTTTTTTGCTGTTTCTTTTTTGTTGTTTGTTTGGGGTTCTTTTTGTCTCTGTCGCCAGGCTGGAGTACAGTGGCGCAATCTCAGCTCACTGCAACCTCCGCCTCCCAGGTTCAAGTTATTCTCCTGCCTCAGCCTCCCATAGCTGGGACAACAGG
Organism: Homo sapiens; assembly: GCF_000001405.40. Taxonomy (NCBI): domain Eukaryota; kingdom Metazoa; phylum Chordata; class Mammalia; order Primates; family Hominidae; genus Homo; species Homo sapiens. The sequence goes on along the minus strand of NC_000020.11, from coordinate 48,312,924 downwards.
CATATGCCACCACACCCAGCTAATTTTTGTATTTTTAGTAGAGACAGGGTTTCACCATGTTGGCCAGGATGGTCTTGATCTCATGACCTCATGATCTGCCCACCTTGGCCTCCCAAAGTGCTGGGATTACAGGCATTAGCCACTGCGCCTGGCCAATATGGTCTAGTTTCTATGGAAAGTCATAACTGTAGTACTTTGGAATCACTTCCAGAAGCTGATACACTGTTATTGACACAGGTGACTCTTGGGGAGGGGGTCAGGCCCAGGACTGGGAGATGGTCATTAGGACTGGACAGCTGTCACTGCAGAGGGGGCTTGTGTGCAGCCCCAGCCCCCTGTCCCTTCTACCCCCCACCTCTCCCTGTCTGGCAACTGTTCTGTGCCAAGGACATTGGAGCCCACAACCTCCATTAGAAAAAGCTTCCTAAAACAGTGGTACCTGAACTTGCTCTCCAAACTCAAAGGGGCCCACAAGCAATAGGGTAGGTGCTCCTGGACAAATGAATGCAAGTAACTGAGGACTGTACTCAGAGCAGAGTCCACGGCACAGTTTTGACTTGTTTTAATTTGATTTCAGACAGATTGAAAATGATCCTAACAGTCTCAGAAGAGTAGGAAACATGCTGACCTAGAGATGCTGATGGAATGCAACTCTTTCTATTAAGCCCAAGGAGTTTTTCTTTAAGCCTAGCTGGAAAAACATTGTAGAAATTCAGGGACTTAAAGAGAAACAACCACAATAATTGTATAATTGTAGTCTTACTTCTTCCACTGGCCCTTTAATTAAATACTTTGGAAACTGGCCCCACTTCTTTCTCCTACATATTTGGATTCTGGGAAGTGGAAGGAGGGGAAGCTGACATTGATACAGGCGTGCTGGGAAGGGAAGTGCATGGTCCCTTTAAATAATATGGAAGTGGGGAAGGAAGTGCTGGGTATAGGAGGGCGTGGTACCTGGCTAGGGCTCCACCCCCACGGACCTAGGTGAGGAAAGGCATTTCCTGCCCAAATGTTGCATTTCCCAAGACCACCCTGACCTGCCACACCCCCTTCCGGGGCCTTTAAAAACCCGAGACCCTAGTGGGCAGACACACAGGCGGCCAGACATCTGAGGAGTAGTACATCAGTGGAAGAAAGCACAAACGGCTGGTCGTTGAGAGGGCATCGAGAGGAGCACACCAGCAGAAAAGCACACCAACAGGCACCCAGGCTGGCAAGCCATCAACCAGTGGGGTGAGGCAGAGTTTGGCTGGGCAGTTGGAGGAGAGAGGAGAGCCAGGGCCCCTGAGCGGCCCAACTCCAGGGGAAGATCATCTCCCTTCTGGCCTCCCCATCGGCTGAGAGCGACTTCCACTCAATAAAACTTGATACTCATTCTCCAAGCCTATGTGTGATCCGATTCTTCAGGTACACCAAGGCAAGAACCTGGGATACAAGAAAACCCTCTGTCCTTGTGACAAAGTAAAAGAGGTAATTGTGCTGGTTAACTCAAGCCACCTATAGACGGCAAACTAAGACAGCCTTCTAGCTACACGCCAACTGGCACTTCAGGAGCTGTAAACGTTCAACTCTAGACATATCGTGGGTCGGAGCCGAGCCCCACAACCTGCCCATCTATATGCTCCCTTAGAGAGGTTTGAGCAGCAGGGCACTGAAGAAGCGAGCCGCAGTCCTCCATTCCACGCCCTGTGAGGGGGACAAGGGAACCTTTCCCATTTCATCATGACCTGTGGTGAATCCCTATTCCCTTTTCCACTATCCCGTGATTTTTGCATCATGTGACATTGTCACCTGCCTCAGGCTGGACCAATGACCCCTTGTGTGGCCTCCATCAGCCACGGTGCCTTTGGTTTGGCTGGCACTGGGTCCTTAGAGGGCAGTTCACCATGCGCTGGGTCTGGGGTTGGGGGCTGTCAGGGGAAACAAGGTCTTCATGGCACCCCTAAGCTGCCTGGGCATCAAACTTTTGCATTCTTCAGATTTAGGGCTCAAGGAATGGCCCAGATACCAGTGACCAATGATCACACAAGCCAACAGCAGGAGGGAAAATGATCCTTTCATAGAATCAAACCTGTCAGTGGGACAGGGCCGGCCCCTGAGCTCAGGACGCTGGGGCTTTTGCTGTGTGCCATGGGCAAGAGGCTCCCTCTGCATGCCTGGTTCCCTCCTCCGGAAAGTAGGAGAGCGGCAGTACCCACCCCATGGGGTGGACGAGTGGCTTCCCTGGAGCAAGTGAGTATCCAGCCAGCAGAGCCCTGCGGGAGAAAGTGCCCTGTGTGTGTGTGGCCCAGAAACCCCCAAGTTGTCTGGTCTCCTGTGGATTCTGGACCCGCCAGCAGCCCCTAAGGCAGTCACGCTTCTTATGAATGTTGTTCCACTTTACAGACTGGGGAAAGGTCAGGGGCGGGCCTTGTCAAGGTCGCACAGCTGGAGAACGGGCAGCTGGATTTCAACTGAAGTCCCTGACCCAATTCCACAGCCCTTGATTTTAAGCAAACACACATCTTGGCTGTCGCGCCATCCCTCGCCAAGAAATAGCAGAGTCAGGCGGGGCCGGTTGGACACCCCCTGATCTGTTTATTTTTCAGCATCTGCTTCATAAACCCTTGTAGGTCCACCTGAATTTTCCCTATCGCCGTTAACCTCATCTTCCAATTATACAAAATGTTTCAACTGAGTAGCCCCTTGTTGCAGGAGTCTCATCTTTGGCTGACGTTTGGTGCTGTGTATCTTGGTCCTGACTGACAAAGGCAGCAAGTGCTCATGTCAGCCTCATTTTCTCCAAAGGGAAAATGGCTCCATGACCAGATGGGGCATCCATCCAGTGGACCCAGGAGCCCCAGTAGCTGCTGAGCAGGCAAAGAAAGGCTGATTAAAAATACACACACCAAGGCAGAAACTCTGGGCCTGAATTGGTTTCTTCAGAAAGAACAAAGATTGGGAGGTGCTAAAATTAAAAAAAAATGTATAGTTTCATGTAACTCTGGTTTTGGCTTTTTGGACATCCTGAGGTTCATGTGCCATATTTCCCTTGGTGTTTGGGACTCCAAGGAATGCTCTGTTTTGCTTGGTTTCCCAGCTGACCCCTCATTGATTCATTCATTCATTCAAGAGGTTACTGTGTCTGTAATGTGCCAGGCACTGTTCTCAGCTCAAAGTCTAAAGCAGGGGATCCAAAACCAAGGTGCTGATGCTAAGGAGCTCATGCTGTGGTCGAGGACAATCAATAAAGACAAAATGTATCTCGTGTGTACCAGGAGGAGGCTGATGCTGAGAGAGAAAGTGAAGCCAGGAAGAGGGGTCGGGGTGCAAGGGAGGTTCCCTGAGGACACTGGCATGGAGCAGAAACCTGAATGCCCTGAGAGGGGGAGACTGGCTAATATCTGAGAGAAAGGCAGAGAGAACAGCAAGTGCAAAGGCCCTGAGGCAGGAGCATGTTCAAACAGAAGCGAGGGACCAGTGTGGCCACAGCAGAGTGGGGGGAGATTCGTGGACAGAGAAGCCAGAGAGGCAAGGAGGCCAGACCCCTGACAAAGCCTCATGGGCCGCTCTGAGGATCTGGGTTTTATCTGTGTGAGGCAGGAGCAGAGGAATGACATGATCAGACTTGTGGTTAAAAGGACCACTCTGACCATTTTATTAGGGCAGGGGGCAAGGGGCCATGGTGAGGGTAAATGCCGACCCAGGAGCCAGTGAGGACAGAGTCTCCCCAGCGGCTGGGACCACAGTGGTAGCAGTGGGCTGGGAGAACTAGGGGAAGCTGGGGAGATTTTTAAGGTCGAGCCAACAGTCTTTGTCATGTGTATTGGGCATGGTATGTGTGAAGAACAAGACAACACGTGTCTCAGCATGGTGTCAAGGCTGTTGCCGTGAGCAACTTGAATACTGAGCTGTCAGAACCTGGCAAGAGATGATCAAGAAACATACAGGTTTCCAAAGAATTGGTTTTGTGCTGGAAAATGTAAAGGTGGACATCTTCTCCTGCTTTGTGTTTCTTTAAAAAAAAATCAGAGCACATTATTTATGTCAGATGGACACGTTGTCCTGTGAGGATGCCAAATTGTCATCTGTCATTTAAAACAACATGAAAAAGAATATGAGATCTCCTTTAACATCATCAGAAGTTTTTCAGCTATTGGTTCCTGGAAAAAAAAAAAAAACAAAAAACAAAACAAAAACAAAACTAGTGCCAGAGAATCAGCTAGAATAATTTGTGAGAAGGGACACAAATAGGCCAGGAATTGGTTTGCCTAATAGACTTCAACTTGAATTAGATGTAAGACAGATGATTCGAATCAGGCTGTTTTGCAGCAGAAAGAATTGCAGTGTCAGATGGAGCCATAAAGGTGCAGAAATTGAGCAGAAACACATGTTCTGCAGATATTAGCTGTTAGGTATGAGCCTTTCTCTTGTTGATGCTCTCAGTATGAAATCCAATATTATCGCAGGGAAAGGAAACAAGGCCACTAACTGTCAGATGGCCAGGTATATTACACTTCATCAAATCTCCCTGGTAACTTGACACATGCTTGTACCACTCAGGAAGCCAAGAGAAATTATATCTCCACTTTTCCTCATGTGGCGAGTTTAAAAAGAGATGCCAGCATTGCCGTGCTGGCAACAGCATGTGTGACCATTTGATGGGGGCAGGTCATTGGCACAGTGTTCTGTAATGTTAAAAAAAAAGAACAAAAAACAAACTCCACAGGCTGGGCGCAGTGGCTCACGCCTGTAATCCCAGCACTTTGGGAGGCTGAGGCAGGTGGATCACCTGAGGTCAGAAGTTCAAGACCAGCCTGGCCAACATGGTGAAACCCTGTCTTTACTAAAACACAAAAAATTAGCCTGGTGTGGTGGCACGCACCTATAATCCAAGCTACTTGGGAGGCTGAGGCAGGATAGTTGCTTAAACCCAGGAGGCGGAGGTTGCAGTGAGCCGAGATTTTGCCACTGTACTCCAGCCTGGGTGACAGAGCGAGGCTGTCTCAAAAAAAAAAAAAAAAAAAAAAAACAGCTGGGCATGGTGGTTCAAGCCTGTAATCCCAGAACTTTGGGAGGCCGAGGTGGGCAGATCGCGTGAGCTCAGGAGTTCGAGACATGATGAAACTCTGTCTCTACAAAAAAAAAAAAAAAATACAAAACTTAGCTTGGCATGGTGGCACACGCCTGTAGTCCCAGCTACTAGGGAGGCTGAGGTGGGAGGATCACTTGAGCCTGGGAGGTGGAGGCTGCAGTAAGCCGAGATCACACCACTGCACTCCAGTCTGGGTGACAGAGCAAGACCCTGTCTCAAAAAAACCCCAAAAACCTTCCACACAACAGTTGATAAAACAAATAAAAACATGAATTGGGGTCCCCCCTCCCGCTCCAGGAGGCAGTCCTGGCAGAGGACTAGGTCAAATGTTGAACATTTTGTTCCCGCTGCCTTAGGTAGCTGGGCGGGGCGGGGCGGAGCCCAGGCGGAGTCGGCACCATTCTCTTCTGCTCCGCAAGCGTGATCAGTGATGTCAGGTGGGGCTACTTGCTTTATAGATTCCTGGGCGTCTTTTTAACATAGATGGTTTTGATTGTAACAAATTAGACTGATAAACCTTTTCTTGCTTACCTTATCAGCAAAATTTCCAAAGTGTGATGATACCCTAGTCAATAAGGCTGTGGAGAAGCAGACATTCTCTAACACTGCTGGTGGGGGGTGATGCAGCACTGGTTCTGTGGAGGTCATTTTGGAGAAATCTTTAAAAATGACAAGTGCATTTAGTGTTTGAGCCAGCAATCCCACTCCCAGGAATTTATGCTGCAGGCATTTGTCTACAAATACTTATGATCAAGGGTGTGTATCACAACATTGTTGGTGAGAACCAAAGAGAGAAAACAATTCAGCATTCCTCTGTAGGACACTAGTTAAAAACAAAAACAAAGGCAATCTAGTAAAAACTATTGAATGTCTATATACTGAAATGGATAAAATAGAAATGAGATCCATTATTATTATCACTATTATTTTTTAGAGACAGAGACTTGCTCTGTCTCTCAGACTGGGGCAAAGTGGCATGGTCATAGCCCATTGCAGCCTCAAACTTCTGGGCTCAAACAATCCTCCTGCCTTCAGCCTGTAGAGCAGTGGGATTCTAGGTGTAAGCCACCATGCCTGGCCCATGGGGTAGTTATTCTTGAATATATGCAAGATCTAGCATATGAGAAAAAGCAAGGGGCATGGCAGTATTCATAGGATATTGCTTTCATGTACGAAAGGAGAAATGTAAGGTTCTATGTGTTTATATTGCTTATATTTGCATGAAAAAGCAATGAAGGACACATTAGAAACTATTAAAGTGGTTACCTGCGAGGGAGTGGAGTGCTCAGAGTGGGAGTGAGCCCATTAAATGAATCCTCTTCTATTACTTTGATTGTTAAGCCATCTGAATGTATTACCTGGCAAAAACTTAAGCAATGGTTTATAAACAGGCCCTATTTTGTAAGCAAGAATAGTGGTAGGAACACAAATGTATCAGGAATCAGTAGAGGACAGAACCAGGGAGTCCTTGTGCTTTTGTAAATCAAGATGCAAAAGACAAGACATCATCCCATCCTATCCCCACCCCACAATGTTCATTGCTCACTTCTTGATAAGAGCAGTGCTTTCTACCTGGCAGTCACTCAATGTGTAGGATGAGCCCTTTTCTGAATAGGGGAGTCCCAGTGTGTGCCTGTTTGCTTCTTTACTTAATAGCAGTCTCTTTCACTCTCCAAAGTGACCCTGTTTGAATAACAAATTATTTTGTCGCCTTATCAATAAGTCACAGAACTGCTCTCTAGCTAATGTAAGGAGATGAAATGTACTCCAAGAATCTGAATGGCTTTATCAAGACGGAGATTTTTTGTCTCATGAGATTTCTTGTCTCAAGAATTTGCCTACAGCAATTCTGATTTATGCTTGTTAACTAATAACTGTAATAATTATTAATAGCACTCCAACTCACTTTGACAAGTGCCTTGGGTTGGACAGTAAGTTGTATGGTTATTGCAGTCAGACATCAAGTCCAGATAGATTCAGTGCTCACGTGAGGTCACTGGGACATCTTGGTATGGCTATCACTCTTTTTTTTTTTTTTGAGAAGGAGTCTCGCTCTGTCGCCCAGGCTGGAGTGCAGTGGCGCAATCTCGGCTCACTGCAAGCTCCACCTCCCGGGTTCACGCCATTCTCCTGCCTCAACCTCCCGAGTAGCTGGGACGACAGGCGCCTGCCACCACACCTGGCTAATTTTTTTGTATTTTTTTAGTAGAGACGGGGATTCTCCCTGTTAGCCAGGATGGTCTCAATCTCCTGACCTTGTGATCCACCCACCTTGGCCTCTCAGAGTGCTGGGATTACAGGCGTGAGCCACTGCACCCGACTGGCTGTCACTCTCAAAGACCTATCAGATTAAAGTGGCTCCAGTGTCCATGTCCTCGAATCCACTGAGAGCCTCAAAGGGGAAAGGGGCTGGCTCCCACAAAAGATCTGGGATTGATTCTGATTGGATCACCTTCAGTGAGACCCATGGCTGACCCAAACTGAATAATTGGGAAGAATGGAACGTTCTGATCTGCTTAGATCAGAAAGATTTGGGTGGAGGAGCAGTTTTTTCTAGGAGTGAACAAGACTCTGATGTGTCTTGACACCTAACAACGTCTATAAATTTTCACCCTACTGCGTAAGCAAATCTCAACTCTAATGATTCTTCACGTTCCTTCCAACTCTTGATTTCATGATTCTGTGATGCCTCTTGACACATACGTGCAAAGGTTATCTGAGGGCTGACTTGTATCAATTTTAGAAAAATAGCAATAAAATCTTCAGGGCTTAGCATAGATGCCAACAGGTTTCCCAGCAGGAGTAGCAAATAAAAATTATATATATTCAAAAATTTGATGAACAGGAAATTACTTCTGGGATGAGCTCTCTAGTTATTGACTTCAAGGGAGTATTTGTTAGTATGGTGAAATGAAAATGATACATTATAATTTGACATTTTCCATGCAAATGGAAAAGTCGCAGAAATATCTGTCATCTCAGTTCAAAAAAGAACCCACCTAGAAAGAAGAAATTGGCACACTGCCACATCAGGAGGTGGTATGTTATGTGTAGTTTAAAATAAGGGTCAAGGTTTCTGAGGCTTGCTTTGGCTAAAAATTACAGAGACCCTTCCCTTCTCCCTCCCCCCTAAAAAAACCTTGGAGGTTTATTTTTTTCTCACATTAAACAAGTCTAGAGGCAGTCTCTTCTGGCTTTTTACTCCCCTATCTTTATTGTGAGCTCCATCCTCATGATCTTAATATAGCTGCCACTGCTCCAGTCAACATGACCAAGTTTCAGAAGACAGACAGTGACAAAGAGCACTTCGTCAACTCCTTTTAAAGAGTTTTCTTGGAAGTCCTATTTAGTAGCTTATGTTTAATAACCATTGGTTAGATCTGTGTACCACTCCAGGATAAAAGAGAGCCTTGGAAATGTTTTTAGCTGGTTATTTAGGTTCTTGAAATACAAAATAAGGGTTCAGTTACAAATAAAGAAGGAAAGAAGGGATATCGTTGTATTGGTTTTACACTCAGAGACCTACTGGGGGAAAGTGGCCACAATGCCCACATCCTCACATCTACTGAGATTCCCAAAGCAGGAGAGGGCTTGTTTTCTAGGAGCTCCCACACAGCAGTAGGCAACTAGGCTTCTCTGACACAACCTAATTGTGTCTCTGTACACAGAGTTTTCTCTAAAATTGGGTAGTGCTTTTGACTTCTTTCTTTCTTCATCATTGATGCTCCTTCTCTCTTCTTTTTTATTCTTTTTAATCTCCTATCTTCCATTAGAAGAAAACAAGAGATAGAATATATCCATGTCATACTTCTCTTCCTTTCTTTGTCCCCCATATGTATCAAATGGGTTCTGGGTTATAGAGACCTGTGGTCTTATCCCCAATAAACACAACAGACTAGTCATAAAGATTGCAGAACTTGAAGATTCAGAACTTTGCAATGGAAAACGCTGCATCGTACATCAAACATGTCCATTTTTTTCAAAATTTTATTTTCCAAAATTTTTGAAATGTGACTACTTTACAGATATGTTTACTTATATAAATAAGCATTTTTAGTCATCTGAATTAAACCAAACACCCAAATGAGCTACGCTAATCGACTGGAATGCCAATCACAGAATCAAAACTAAATGTTACACATTATTTCCTTAAGAAAGGAAATAAAAACAGCTCAGAATCCAGCTCACTAAAGAGTTGAATATGTATATTTTCTTTAAAGATTCAACTTTAGCAAAATATGATCATTTAAATATTCCTGGAAGAGCTCCTAGTCCAAATATATTTCTGAATCCAGAGCGCAATTTAAACCAAATAAATGTTAAAATTTTAGTCGCTATTAATTTATGGTATTTCAAATGAAGACTCACATGCTAACATGCCTGAAGCCAAGATGTAAATATCATCTTGTAAATACCAAGATGTGAACACCCCCGCTATCCAGCCTGCATCCATCCACATCCTGGGGTGTACAGACAACTCACCCAGTCTGGAGACTGAGCCAGATGAATCTGATAATGGACCAGCTGGGCATCCAACGGATGCTTGTGTTTTGGAGAGTAGGATGTGAATCTTAGCATCTGGGGAAGCAGAGACTGGCCTAATTTCCTAAGAATAGATTCTGGGCATAGAAATTTACAGTGAATATGGGGAAGCCTCTAGTGAAAACCCAGAATTCATCCCATGAATGATAGAAACTCTGCTGGTGATGGAGACATTACATCCTAGAACTATTAGGTGTTATGTGCATATGGAAGGATGATGGAATGATGGATGGATGAAGAAAGGATGGATGGATAGATTAATGGATGGATGAATGGATGGATGAAGAATGGATGGATGGATGGATGGATGGATGGATGAAGAATGGATGGATAGATGGATGGATGAATAGGTGAATGCACCTTCTCTGCCTTCTTCTATGCCTGGCACATGGGAAGGACTCAATAAATACTATTGAATGAATGAACAATCAGATGAATGAGATTGTGTTTTACGTTTCTTTTCCTGTGAAAGCCGGATAGTCAGATGGGGAGACTCAGGTTCTGGAGTCAAATGGCCTGCATTTAAATCCTGGATTTAAGCATAATTTACTGTGTGACCTTAATCACTGAAGTCACTGGGTATCTCTGAGCCTCACAGTTTTCATTGTTGTGATGGAGGATGCATCATCGTCATTGTCATCACCATCATGTGAGAATAAATATGATAATGTGGTAATGTATATAAGCTGCTTAGCAGGGTGCCAGGCACATAGAACACATTCACTTTATAAAGGTTGGAGTCTGAACCATATGTAATTGTCTATACACTTATGACAATAAGATTATTTCTAAGTTCCTTAAGAGGAAGGAAAATGCTACTACTACCAGTTTTAATAATAGTAACACACACTGAGTGATCAATGTGTCAGGAACTCTTCTAAGCACTTCTACTTGTTAGCTATTTAATTCTCACACTCACCTCATGAGGTAGGGACTGTCATTATTCCCATTTTACAGAAGAGAAAACTGAGGAGTGAAGAGGTGAAATCACTTGTTCAAGTCACATGGCTGGGAAGTGGAGAAGCCAGGATTTAAACCCTGGTGCTTTGGTCCCAGAGTTTATCTTCTTAGCCACATTTCATGATATGGGGGTGATAGTCCATCTTAAAGATGAGGAGGCTGAGGCTCAGAGAGGTGAAGCCACTTGGCCAGGATCTCACAGCCTGGAAGGGAAGGATCTGGGATCAGACTCTGGTTGGATAGCTCTACCAGGTGCTTCCCTAATTGCACAGGGCCCAGCCCTGAAAGATCTTGGCTAACAGTTGTTAATGGGATCAACTCCATTTAAATTGAAGGTGTGTTGAGGATGAGAAGAGAAGATGAGTAACAGTTACCAAGTCCTTCCCATCTGGAGGCATGGCTCAACTGTCTAATTTAAGCCCATACATTAACTAATAGTGTCAGCAAGGGGACAAGAGGACTGTGTATTTTAGTGACCATGGATGTCTGAAAGGAATGGCAGCTCATCTCATTTTGTAAATGTTTGGTTCGGTCACTCCCTTAATTCAGGGTGACCTTTACCCCAGACTGAATTTTTCTGATGTTATTGCTCATAGCTGGAAGCCGGTGCCCAAATCTACTTCAGAAATCAGAAGGGGCTGAATCCTAGAAATTTGTCCTCACCTCTGTTGTCATCTGTCATAGATCTTTCACCAACTTTCTGCTTCACTTAGAGAGTTTCTGAGGTTCTTCTCAAGGAGAAATTGACAAATATGCAACTGTGTCCAGGCACTACAAGGCCCACTAAGAGTCTCAGTTAGCACCCGCTTTATTGCAAATATCATAAAAACTCAACTCAATATTAAAAGGAAGATGTTGACTCATGTAACTGACCATTTCTGAGCCACGTGGATGCAGTAGATTGGACTATTGTACCCAATCCCTTTCCTCTCTTCCCTGACATCCTCATTCCAAGGACTTTGGTCTTGGCCATGTGACTTTCTTTGGCCAGTGGGGTATTAGTGGACGTGACATGGGAGAAGGCTTTAGATATGCTTGTGTGGGATGCTTAGGATCTTGCCCTTATGGTATAGGCACAAGAAGGGCAGGCTCCAAGCATCCTATGAACCCAGGATGGAGATATGTGGAGGTGGATCTGGTCTGAACTCTGAAGCAGAGATGCACCAGTTGACTTGCAGACTCGTGAGTGAGAAAAAGAAGTTTTTTGTTTTTTTTTTAAATACGCCACCAAGATTTTGGGGCTGTTTGTTACAAAGCTTTGTTGAACTACACATCCCTCACTAAACCAATCACTGAGAATGGACAGGATAAAGTAGGTTTCTGACCTAAGCCCATAAGACTCATGCTGGAACTGAGGGTAGAATCAATGTTCTCTGGTGTGAACTGGGGTTTGATCCAGGAAAATAAAAAGGGGGATATAACCTTATTAAAAGTCATGTGAAGGGATGCTGGAACACAAAAGCAACATTTGCCTATAATGCTGAGCTTAAGCTTGTATTTTCTAGTAGAAGGACAGTTTTAATGCTTTATAAATATAACCTGTAACCATCTCCTATCTTTTTACAACTCCCTTATTATGGGAGCAAAAGCAATCTGAGCTCCTTTGATTTCTGAGTCTGTGGTTAATGATCAATTGTCCAGTCTCTTGTGTAGAACATATTTTCTCTCACCTTCTCCTTCCTATTTCTTAAAAGATTGAAATAAAATATACATCACACCAGGCATGACAGCAATTATTTGGCTCAAATAATTCCCAAATGGTGCCAAGCACTTTAGTCCCGCAGGTTCATTCCTCTTGTCATTTCATTTAAAATATAGACCTCGAAAAGTGTACCCTTGGCTATTTTCAAGTTTTAATCTCCATTGACAGAACCATTAAAGTGTCTGTCCCCAATGTCAGAGCTTTTAAATGCTCCTTTCCCTTTCATGATATGCAAGTTTGGGCGCCGGAATCCCTGTTTGCTGGACCCAGGTGCTGCCTTGTCAGTAATAAGTTTGTATTTTTGTTAGGAGGGCCAGAGAATAAGTCTTTAATTGAGGGTAAGTTTAAGGGAAGTGGTAAGCTTTTTTTTTTTTTTTAGATGGAGTCTTACTCTGTCACCCAGGCTGGAGTGCCGTGGCGTGATCTCGGCTCACTGCAACCTCCGCCTTCCGGGTTCAAGCAATTCTCCTGCCTCAGCCTCCCGAGTAGCTGGGATTACAGGCGGGCACCAACACGCCTGGCTAATTTTTGTATTTTTAGTAGAGACAGGTTTCACCATGTTGGCCAGGCTAGTCTAGAACGCCTGGCCTCAGGTGATCTGCCCGCCTCGACCTCCCAAAGTGCTGGGATTACAGGCGCGAGCCACTGTGCCTTTCCGGGAAGTGGTAAGCTTTTAATGTGTCTACAGAAAGTATATTGGGATGCAGGATGGTGGACTTACTAATGAGGATAAGCAAGGCAATGTTGCAACAAACAACAGTACCCAAATCCCCTTGGCTTAAAACAACAAAACACACTCTATATATCTCACATGAGTTGTTAGGGAGGCCCAGTTTATTTTAACTTCTCAGAGATCTAAAGGAACAGAAGCTCCACCATCTTTCAGTATCTGCATCTCAATACATGCTCCCATGATCACCATGGCATGGCAAGAGACCATAGAGAATCATATACCAGCTTTTAAATAATTATACTGAAACAACACATGTCACTTCCTCAGATTTCCTTGGCCAAGCAAGATCTTATGTCCATACATAACTTCAAGGATGGGGAATTGTAAACCTTTTGTGGGATGGGAAGAGGAGGGGAATCTAGAATGTTGGTGACTGCTGAGTATGTCTCCCATAGTTGAGTTTTAGTTACAGAAAGGAAAGAATTGACATGAAAAGCAACTTCACTAATATGATGGTTCTCTCTTTGGCACGGTGGATCTCGGCAACTTGTTGGGCTTCTAAGTGGATGGATTAAAGAGAAGCATCATTTGAGGCTGGCTTTTTTTTTTTTTTTTTGCCACCAGTCTCTTTATAATCTTATTTTTGTCTGCGTGAAGGTATTAGCATACATTTTCTGGGCTTCCAGCCAGATGAGTCATTTTCTTTGCCTATTTTCCTGTCTCCATGGTGCCCTGCTGTTTGTCAGAACCAAACAATGGTCCCAGCCAAAAACTGTGCTGGGGGTCCTAAATCCACCTAGCTTAGTGCCCAGATACCCCTCCTGCTCTCTGGATGGAGCTCACCCTCAATCAGCTCCCCGGCAGGACCAGGCGCCATGCATAGACAATGCCACTTGGCATCTGATAAGTAACATTTGGTAGCAAGCCCGAATCAACTTTTCATCATCCTAGACAAGAGATGCATTTGGGACTCTTCAGTCTCCCCTGAAGCCCTCAGGCAGGCTTCTGTCATGGCTGTTTGGGATTATGATAACAGTGCTGGGAGGTCCCCACCTGCACCTCAGGCCAGACTGGAGAGGGCGAGAAAGCAAAATTAAAATGTCAGATTCCTACTGGGGATTAGGAGGCACTCAACTCTAGCCAAGTTTTTTTCTCCCTGAAGAAGGGGAAAAAAAGAAAATAGAAAACCCAACCCCAATTCTCCCATCCTCCTCCACAGTCCATAAAATTATAAGTTAAGGGATAAAAAGAAGAGACATAATTCAGCAAACCAGTGAGGAACACTTTGCCTGAACTGATACATTTTTCTATCAGTTTGAGGCCAGCAAAGCAAAAGAATTTCTGTTCACACCTCTGGTGTGAACAAGGGCTGTTTCCAGGAGAGAGATACCTCTAAAATAGGGAAATAGAAGAAATTGCAGTCTGTCAATTATTCACAGTTTAGTCTAACAACTATCTAAAATGTAGCCAGAGACAGTGTGGGGAGCAGATTTTAAAAAGGGCTCCCAATGGTCCCCACTTCCTGGTATCTGTGCCCTTGTGTGATCCCTTCTCGTTGAATGTGGGCTAGACCTAGGGACTTGCTTCAAACAAATAGAATATGGGAAAAATGATGGGGTGCTACTTTCGAAATTAGGGTAGAAAAAAGACTGATGTAATGTCTTATTCTCCCCATCACCGGCTTGCTCTGGGGGAGCCAGATGCCAAGTGCTGAGCTCCCCATGGGGTGAGAATCAAGGGAGGCCTCCAGCCAACAGCCACAAAGAACCAAAGGCCTCAGGTCCGCTGTCTTGAGGAACTAAATCCTGCCAAAGACCACTTGAATAAGTTCAAAAGCAGGTCCTCCAGCCCCAGGTGAGTCTTAGGATGAAACCACAGCCCCAGCTGATACTGTTTGCAGCCTTGAGAGCTAGAGAACTCAGCCAAGCCACATCCAGTTTCCTGAACCACGAAACTGCTAGATGACAAATACATGTTTCTTTGAGCCACTAAAATGTGGGGTTGCTTGCTATCTAGCAATAGATAACTAATGCCCATGGCTAAAGTGGGTGGGCATACAAGCCTGCCCAGGGCAATACTATTTGACCAAATTTTCCTGCTGAAATTTCTTTGACGGTTTTGAAACCAGATGATCCCAGCTTAGACTGAAGCAGCCATTCTCAAATGTTTAGGTGTGAAGACTTCATTCAAATGGAACCTTATGGAAAAGTTCTATTTGTCAAACAGATCAAAAACAAGCTGCTCTGGCTGAACTGGCGGTGAGGGCTCCATTAGACACCCAGCTCTGACTAACGTCCCCAGAGGAACCTTCTGTCCACCTTAAAAATTCCGTAGGAACCATTGGTCTAGCTGGTTGGGGCAGGCCTGCCCCAAGAATACTCAGTGATAGGAGGTGTCATCAATGACTGACTTTAAGAAAAAGCAATTTTCCCCCTGCCCTCACCACGAGTATAGACTTGGGTGAGCCCCAGGTTAAGGCAAGGAGGATGGAAAGCTTCTGCAGCGTCTGCTGCAGGGCCTTTCTCCTTCCTCCCAGCTCTCCCTGTTCTGTCCCTACCCTGAGCTCTGCTGTTCCCCAGAGACATGCCTCCATCAGCCAGCCAGAAGCCCCTGCTGAAGGTGGACTGGTATGGCTCATTCAGCCATCCTGCCTAGAAGTTGCTCAGTTATAAAAGGGAAAGAAGGAAAACCAAAAAGGAAGGAATCTCCAATGCTGGAGTTTCATACTCAGGGCAGGCTGGTGGGGAGATGGGCAGCCTTGCTCCATGCTGGTCACTGTGAGAGAGGCCTGGAGTGTTCTGCTGCCCCGAGGTGCAGAGATGGAGATGGGGCAGAGGCACTGGGTCCCCAGCCATGCCTCTCTCTGTAGTCATGAGCTTCTCACCTCCTGCTGCACAGACCTGTGGTTCCACTCAGATCCCAGCACAGAATTGCACCTGACATTGGGTCTCCTGGTTCTCGGCAGCTGGATCTGGTTCTGTCCCTGTGGGGAGGTGGCTGCACCTGCAGGTCCTCCCGGGATCCTGACTGATGCACAATAGACAAATCACCATGTGAGGAAACGCTTCAGGGAGGAGGGCGTCTCCACTCCCCAACAACCCAGCAAGACAAATCCAAAGGGATCCAGGAGAACGGAGCTAGCAGGAGCCTGCTGCTAAGGAGAACGAGTCGAGTGTTCTCATGTTTCTGAGGTTATCTAACAAGATGCACAGACTCACGTGGGACAGACATCATTTCAGGGCAAAGATGATACGCTGAGTGTGGGTTGGGTATTTGTGGCTTGAATTTTCAAAAGCATTTTAGGTGCATAGAAAACTATTCTGCAACAAACCATTTCACAAAGGATATCAAACTTTACAAGCACAGTGGAAGCTTCTAGTGTAACTCTCCACCATCATGTTTGCCTCCCTCCCTCTGAGAATCACACCTGAACTTTAGGTTTACTATGCTCGTGTATTTCACTTTCACTGCATTTTCATGTATGACCACTTTTCCAGTTTATTTTAACCTCTGTAGAGTACTCCACGCCATGAGCTCCAGCTGGTGGACATCCGGGCTGGCTCTGTGTTTTTCATGATCACAGACAAACAAAGCTGCCATGAATGTTCCAGTGCCTGGGTGCATGTGACACACTTGGGGCCAATGAGATGCAACAGGCCTTTTATTGTGGCTTCTGAGAGCAGCAGAGGCTCTTTTCTGCCGGGCTGAATCTGTCCTCAGCCATGACAGGAGATACTCTCTAAGAATGGTCCTGAGAGGGAAAAAGAAGAGCCAAGAGGCCAGGAGACACTCGTCCGGACCTGATGACATCATTGCAGCCTCTAGATCCAGCTGTGCCTGCAACGAACAAGGCATTCCTGGCACATTTTAGTCACCTGATGTAATAAAATTCTTTCATTTAAAGCTATTTAACTCGTTTTCTGTTGCATGCAACCAAGAGTGCTGACTGATTAAATCTTCCAATTATATGATGTTTTTACTTTAAAAGGAGTATTCAGTGCCTTCACCTGAAAGGAGCAATAATGGTAGTATTGAAGGCACACAGCAGTCCAGTGGTACTTAGAGGGTCCCTAAAATTATACTGTGTGGCCGGTTACTACTCAGTCCTTAGATTCAGCTGGTTCAGCAAGAAGAGTCATCAAGCTATCAGCTCTCTTCCCTCCTTTCTCCTGAAGGTGTCCTTCTTTACCTTTAAGACAGAGCACCCAACTAGCTTTGGCTGTTTTCAATTAGGCCTTCAGCTAAGAAATGGAAGGAAAATTTAAGGCCAGAATCATCGGAATGCGATGACGTGTACTTTCAAAAATTTTCCAGGAGGAGCCGACCTCATTCAGGACTTTGATGCTGGATTGAGTGCTCTGGTTCCACTCAAAGCTTAAGAATGCTTGACCTCTGATCTGTTAAGGCCTCAGACAAAGGGCAGACAATTACATGCAGGGAGAGAAAAATAGTTTTCTGGTTACAAAGATAATTTTTAATTGTTCTGCAATTGATGATTATCTAAATTTGAGTTTTGGTGTTTTTTTGTTGTTGTTGTCAACGTAAAGGAGTGAAGGATCCCACCAGCCTTCAGGCCTTGCTATTTAAGCAGGATGAACTAACACCTGCAGAATAATATCTGCATCTGTCACTGCTTAGTTGGATTTCAGGCCATGTCCTTTCGTCTTGCTAATCAGTTTTCCTGATTTCCTGGACTAATAACTCTTTCTCTGGTCTCCATTAGCTGCACATGCCATTTCTCTTGTAAAGACCTTTAAGTTTATGTTCTTATTTAAAGCAACGTTTGATGGACACCAGGCTTGCTTATTGAGTGTGTCTCTGACCCTAGGTCAAAGCAGAAAATGGGATTTTTGAGAAATGTCACTGAGGTCATGGTCGCCAGGATCAGCATAGTGAGCACAGACCCAGGGCTCAGAGGGCTACAGCAGGCAGCAGGAAACATCGTGGTGGTAAACTCCCGGGTCCTGTCTGAAGTCAAGTACCAAGGAGAGAGAATGGAAGCTTGGCAGTTCACTGAATTTATTCCAGAAGGCGAAGCTTGCACCTTCTCCTTGGTATTTGACTTCAGATAGAACCCAGGAGTTTACCACCACAATTCAGAGCTGACGAAGGACTGAGTTTTTCTAGATGAAAAAAAAAAAAGTTACCAAAGTGATTTGCACATTGTAGAACATTTCAATTCACAGATTTAACATCAGAGGCTTTAATGATTTGTAAATGACTCTGTGTGTTAATTGGGATGGCTTATGGGCAGTTAAAAGATCCCCAAATCTCAGCAGCTTAAAATAAGAAACAGCTAATTCTCTCAAATGCTATGTTTCCCTTCTGTGAATACAGTGGTGTCTGCACATTGTATTTGCTCAGGGCCCCAGCCTTCATCTTGACACATTTCTAGAAAATCACCATGACAGGTGGAAGCTAAAGTGGTTTAATGAACATTGGCTCAAAAATGATACACGCTGCTTCCACTCACATGTCTTAGACAACACCAGTCACATGACTGCACCAAACGGCAAGGTGGCAGGGAAGTGCAATTCTACCAAAAGGCAGGAAGGAAGCCCTTACATATTTAGCAAATAGCACTGATGGCCACCATACCCCATCACATGCAGCCATGCCAAGCTTGGCTGAGTCATGAATTTGATTCCCATGCGGTCAAGCTCGGGGGTGGAACAAGACCTCTCGCCTGGTGATGAAGGCTGGCCTCCCACTCAGTATTTGCAACCCAGAAAGGTTTGGACATGTCTCTCATCCATGTTGTGTTCAAATAGATAAGAAATTGATTAAAAATTCAGATTCTTGGTGAACGATGATCTCTGAGCAGAAATCCAAATTTCCGTATTAGAAATGGAGAAATCTAAAAAAAAAAAAAAAAAAAAAAAAAAAAAAAAAAAAAAAAAATTCAATGGTCTTAGCCAGAAAAACAAAACTGTAAAATGTGAATGTAACCAAGATTAATGAAATGGATGAGACCGCATTATATGCTGAATGGAAGCTTAAAAAACCATTTATGAGACTGTTTTGGTGGGGCTGCAGCCTGTGAAATCGCTGCATTTTATGTGAGATGTAATGTAGACCACAGAACTGTTCACAGAGAGTTCCCAGTGGTCCCTGGAGCTGGAGTCCAACCGCACATGGAAAGAGTGTCTGCACGGTTGGAAGGCCTGGATGCTAAAGTCAAACATAGCTGGTGAATGCTCTTCTGCTCCTGTGGTCTCTGAATATATATGAGACAGGGAGAGAGAGACAGAGAGAGAGAGAGAGAGAGAGAGTGTGTGTGTGTGTGTGTGTGTGTGTGTGTATATGCAGTTGTCCCTCAGTATCCATGGGGGATTGGTTCCAGGACCTCGCTTGGATACCAAAATCCATGAGTGCTCAAATCTCTGATACAAAATGGTGTAGATTTTGCATATAACCTACACACATCCTCCTGTATATTTTAAATCATCTCTAGATGACTTATAATACCTAATACAATGTAAATGCTATGTAAATAGTTGTTATGCAATGCTGTTTAAGGAATAATGTCAATAAAAATGTCTGTGCATGTTCAATACAGACACAATTCATTTTTGAATATTTTTGATCCTCGGTTGAATCTGCAGATACAGAGAGATGACTACATACACACACACACACACACACACACACACACACACACATACACACACACATGTAATTTTAAAGAGTACTGTGAATATAAATCTTTAAGGGTTTAAAAATTTATTTTGAATTAAGTTATTGGAATTATCAACAGTACCCACTTGATGAAAACAATATAAATAAAAAGTGACGCGTGATGATCTTTCAAAATGAAAAGAATTTGATATTGAAAATGCATCTCTCCAACAGCTGAATGGTGAGCATCGTGGAATTTTGCTTAAAGGAGCCCTGGCCCCAGATCCCAAGGTTCTGAGTCATCCCTTTGTTTGATACCCTCGAGGCGGAGCACCTCGAGGGATGGGTGGGAAACTACGCTCTCTTTGGCAAAATGGGAGGAGGAGAATCGGAAAAAGGTGACGGGAGAAGACAATAGGCGTGTTGACCACCCAGCAAGCATGCTCTCTGCAGATCAGTTTAGGGGATGAGAGTAGTTGGAAGTGTATGAGCCATCCTTGCCCCTCTGCCCCTTGGAAAGTGTTGTGGGTCCTCAGGTGACCTTCCTCTGTTGGGCCATCTTTGCCCCACTCATGAAATTATTGTTCTGGCTTCTCTCTGTCTTTGCTCAAATAGGAATAGAGCAAAGATACAGACAGAGCCAAAATAATGTGAGTTGCATTTGGTACTTTCAAAGTCAGTGTCTTATTTATCAAGTGTACGGGATAGGAGTTGATCTTCTTCCCTAAGCTCCCAACCCTCTCCATGTTGCAGAGAAAGTCCAGTTTAACATGTCAGGACACTCTTACCTGTCCCTCCTCTTCTGTCTCCCTTCTCTCCAGGACCCCACCTCTGCTCCTCTGCCCCTTCCTTCCCCTCCATCCTTCTATTCATATTCAG
This sequence comes from Homo sapiens, assembly GCF_000001405.40. Lineage (NCBI taxonomy): Eukaryota > Metazoa > Chordata > Mammalia > Primates > Hominidae > Homo > Homo sapiens. The sequence continues at coordinate 48,292,476 of NC_000020.11, read as the reverse complement.
TTTTGGTCTAGCTTCTCTTCCTATCTTTTTTCTTCCTAAACATTTCCACAGAATTAAATCTTGAAAGCAATTTGCATAAAACCATTACAAAGGGGCCAAGAGTGGCATTTCTTTACGGGCCTGGGTCAATAGCTTTGACAAATGAGGCTGATATCAAGGAAAACAAATTGTTGGTGTTATACTGAAATTTTGCTGTGGGTATTAAATATTTGCATGAGGTAACCAAACACTCTAGGGTTTAGGCATATGAATTCCTTTCCAAAACCACTAAAATGAAAAGCTCACTGCAAATGAGGTTTGAAATGGACCTGCCTGTCCTCTGAGATTTTGCAGCGACTAATGGATTAGCCCCCAAGTGGAACACAAACCTACTTTGCTTTCATAGAAGCAAAGAAGACTAATAAAGGCTGTGTCTCTATGCAGCCCTGAATCAACTAGGGCTCCGTCAACCTCTGTTTAATAGCCTCATGCTTCTCAGCTGAGCTTCTTAATTAAGTCGCAATAAGAGTTGCCCCTTAAGAAATCCCCGAACACCTGAGTTCTTGGTTTAATATTCTTCACTAGTGTTAGTGCCAAGAAACGGCTTAGAAAGGGAAGTTCATCCACCCCTCTCTGAATCTCCATTAGTGTCCCACTAAGAAAACACATACATAAAGTAAAAAATAAGCATTATGAAACTGTTCCATTTTTATTTATCTGAAATATACATGCCAAGTAGAAACTGTGAATGCTCCGCTGAGGCAGCTTTGAGATAAGTGTCCTATGCCTATCATCATGGCCCCTTATTGAACATAGAAAGCTGGGCTTACGCTCTAACAGCAATCGTCTCCAAATCTCAGTGGCAATCACACCAAGAATTTGTTTGTGTATTAACTTACGTGCTTATTTATGTTTTGTTGTTTTTTCCAGCTCACCCTTGCAGGCAGCATACCCGCGTGGACTCAGCCATCCTGGAGGTTTTCATCTTGCTCTGTTAACCTTGAAGCACCGATCTCCACCATCACAGTGCAGGGTAGACGGCCTGGAGTTTGCACACCTGCCAAGAAACACGTAGGTCTGGAGTAACACACGATGCCTCCTCCATCCAATTGTATAGAACGAGCCCCACACGCCACCCTCCCCAGTTTCACAAAACAAAGGGGAAGTGATATCCCTTTCTTCCTGGAAGGGAGAGAACACTTATAAACAATAAAAGCTTCTTTGAAATCCTCTTCCAACCAAATTACCATCTCTTGTATGAAAATTCCAGAGCCATCAATAGAGGATCAAAACTTTTTATCAAAAGAAATCAACAGTATTTGGTTTATTCTTTTTTCTCCTAAGTAGGGCAGTGCCAGGATGGGAGTGAATCTCTGGGCCAATCTGTGACCACAGAGGCAGGTCTGGGGTACCTTGGAGGAGGCTGTCCCTCGCCCAAGCATCTCTGCTACCATCTGGAGTGAGACCAAAGCCACTGAACCAGCTGACCTGGGAATCTCGGTCCTAACTCTTCCAGCCAAATGACTTGAGCAACCGCACCTTTCATTCACACAGATTATCTGTCTCCCCTATTAGTGTAACCACTTGACCAAGGCAGGCCTTCTCTTCACCTGCTCTGTTCTCTGCTGTATCCCTGGAGCCAAGAACATGCCCAAAGTAGGGGCTCAATAAATGTCTGCTAAATAAACGAACTCCCTGAGCCCCAGTTTCCTCATCTGTCCCAGGTAGATGCTGTTAATAAGAGTTGTCTTGAGAAGTACATTTTAAAAATATCTTTAAATGCTTTGCAAAATGTAAAGTCCTATGCACGGGGTGAGTTGGTGTTCCTCTCATTCCATACCGAGGGGTTGTGCAGACAGAATGACTGTGGCCAGAAAGCCAGCCTGCGTTTTCCCCGCTGGTTTCCTCCTGTGTTTTCCCGGCTGGTATGCTGATGGTCCAGAATCTTGCTTGGGAAACACAGGGTTTCCAAAGTCTTCAGCTTTCAGAGTCAATCTTTCATTTACGCTAAACCCAGCTCTTCCTCCTTGCTACTCGATCAGCAGACAGTTCGATATTTTCCTGGGTTTCAAATCCTGGGCATTTTCAGCCCTTTTTTCTCTCTGCTCTGCCAAACAAGTCACTCACCCCCACTATTCATGCTTCTCTCCCTGCTGGTCCCCATCAGGGTGGCACCAGTGACTGCCACTGTCCCAGTCCTCAGAGCCACCAGGCACCCCATCCACAGGGAGAGCTCCTTTGCCCTAACTTTTCCAGCAATAATCCCCAAATATCCTCTTAAACAGGGAGGAATAGATCACACGCACCCTCCAAACCAAACAAGATGGCCCGGGGATGAAATGCATAGACTGACCTAGACTTCATCTATGCACTATTTGAACAAATGTGTACCCAGCAGGTACCAAGCTGCAGGCAGTGTTTGTTCTAGGCGACGGCAAATCAGTGGCGGAAAAGACAGAAATCCCTGTGGGTCGTGAAGTGGATGCAATGGTTGGTTGTACATTTCCTATTGCCCCTGTAACAAATTACTCAAAGAGCAGCTAGAGTAACTTTCATTTGTCTCTTGCAGTTCTGCAGGTCAGAAGCTCAAAAGGGCTAAAATCAAGATGTTTCCAGGACTGTCCTCCTCTGCAGAGGCTGCAGGGGAGAATTCGTTTCTTTGCCTCTTCTGGCTTCTAGAGGATGCCAACATTTCCCGACTCCCGGCCCCTCCTCTGTCTTCAAGGACAGCAGTGGAAGGTTGAGCTCCGCCGTTGTGACATTGTCACCTTGCTTCCATCTTTACATCTCTGACTCAGAGTCCCCTGCCTCCCTCATTCACCTTTAAGGACCCCATGATGACATTGGACCCACCCGGATAATCCAGGGACATCTCCCCATTCCCAAGGTCAGTGGATTAGCAACTTTAATTCCTCCTTCTCACATAAGGTAACAGAGTCATAGGTTCTGGAAATTAGGACGTGACACCTTTGGGGGGCCATTATTCCACCAGCCACACTATAGCACACTCACCCTGTGAATCTGCAACACCTTCCTTACACTTACTTAAATCTTCACCCTGTGACTATTCCCATTTGGGACAAATGAGGCAGGCACGTGAGTATTTTCTCCCAAGTCACATAGTTGGGAGGTGGCAGAGCCTGCCCCAGAAGCTGCATGCTCAATTCTGCCCTGTGTTGCCTTTGGCTAAAACAAAATCAAACTTGCCTCCCATCATGCCAGCTGCTGGAATTCCACTGACTGTCCAAAACAAAGGAAGTGGAGCAGATCAGAGGAATGATCCATATTTGGAGATTGTTAAGGAGGGAAAACACCAATTTTGTTCTGTTCTGGTCTCACCCGTAGTACAAACATGGAAAGGTGCTTTCAACTCATCCATTTGTGTGCTTCCTCATGCAACAAATATTTGTGGAGCACTTACTATGTGCCAAGTACTGATGTGGGCACCATGTGACCTAACTCATAACTTTCACAGCAATTCCAGGGCATGGGTGCTCTGAGCTTGGTATCTCCCATTTTACAGATGTGGAAACTGAGTCACAGAGTGATGCACTCACTGGTTACTCACCTGGGTCCCCTTTGAATGGAAGCCACCTCACCTCTCACCCACGCTGTCACCACCGCACTCCACCCCAGGTCAAATGTCACCACCGCTGTGCAGACGCCCCTGACCTTCCTGGCAGAGTTCAGGACTCCCTCCGAGGACTCCCTTGGGCTCTTTCATTTTGCTCTTCGGGGCTCTGGTCAAATGGTGCTTAAAGTTTTATCTGCACATGTATCTCCCCTGTAGCCTGCTAGCTTCCTGAGAAGACAGACTAGCTTTATATTCCCAGGGATTGGCACAGGTTAGGGACTTCAGCAATGTTTGTGAATGAATAGGTGATTGAATGGATAGATTGTGGGACTTCAGTAATTCCTTGTTTGTTCTTTGTTTGTTTGTTTGTTTTAGACAGAATCTTGCTCTGTCACTCAGGCTGGAGTGCAGTGGTTTGATCTCGGCTCACTGCAATCTCCGCCTCCTGGGTTCAAGTGATTCTCCTGCCTCAGCTTCCCGAGTAGTTGTGATTACAGGCGTGCACCACCACACCAGCTAATTTTTGTATTTTTAGGAGAGAGGGGGTTTCACCATGTTAGCCAGGCTGGTCTCGAACTCCTGACCTCAAGTGATCTGCCCGCCTCGGCCTCCCAAAGTGTTGGGATTACAGTGTTGTGGGCCGCCGTGCCCGGCCTTCAGTAATTCCTATTAGTGCCTTAGGCGTTCCCTTGACCCTTGAGTATGTTTCTCTGTGCTGCTGAGAGAGAGAGGGTGATGCACACAGACACAGTGAGAGTGGGAGAGAATCACAGAGATGAAGACAGGCCGGGAGGCCCAAAGAAGACCCAAAAGAGAGGACAGGGAAAGGAAGGAGGACGGAGGAGAAGGAGCCTCCAATGCAGCTTAAGCCCCGAGGGTGGCGGTGTCAACAGCAAGGCACCTCTCCACCCCTCCCACCTCCCTCTAGGCACTGGGCCTCATGCCATTCATTGCACAGGCAAAGCAAACTCCTACCCCAGGGCCTTTGCACAAGCAGTTTCTTCTGCCTGAAATGTTCTTCCCCTAGGTCTTGACCTGGCTCTCTCCTTCTCACCATCTGTGTGTGTATTCGGGGGGTGAGGGGGAAGGGAGCTCAGAGAAACCTTCTCCAATGCCTTTCAGAAAGAACTCACCATAATTCTACCACAATCGCTGTTACTGTTTTTCTTTCAAAACCATTAGCCCCAGGTGGCAGTGTGCTATTTGTTAACTTGTTTATGTTGTCTACCCCATGGAGTGTGGCACCAGGCATGAGGGCTGGCAGGCTCTATTTAGGTTCTGCTTTAACCCCTGTGTCTAGTACATAGGAATTACTTAGTGAATATGTGTATTGGACATTGTGGATAAAGGAAGGAAAGAGGGAGGGAGGGAAGAATGAAAGAAAGAAGGAAGCTCCCAGCTGCTCTCCTTGCTAAACCCCACTGCAGAATGCTGTGTGCAGAGGCAAATAGAAATTGTTCAGGAAGCAGGCAGGAAAGCTGTGCCCTCTGCGCACTCTCTGTGTCGTAAGGGTCAAGGTCTGAATGCCGGCTCTTAGCAACTCTGGCCAAGAGGATGCTCTTCTAGAAGGAATGTGTCCTTCCTGAAGCAGCCAGGGGCCCGGGACAGGCTATTTGAGGCCTCCTCTATGCCTTATTATGGCAGAGACGGCTCAGAACTTTCCTCAAGCAACAAGAGAGAGCAGGGAAATACAGAACCAATGCAGACCTCCACGTGGGTGTCATCTCAGAGGAAGCAGCAAGGTCATCTGTCCCCTGCAAGGGAAGAAAGAAACCCTTTTCTTTGCTTTCATTTGTTCTGAGGCCTGGAACAGCAGCTGCACTTTTTTTCCTGGCAAGCTGGAGAATTAGGGCGGGCACAGATCTCCTTTAAAAGGGAAAATATTTCTCTCCATTCTCAGGAACCTCAGTCGAAAGGAAACACTCCTCACTCTGAGGCCTGTTTTGTGCCTTCCCCTGTCCATGCTGCAGGCCCCAGTCTCAGCCTCAGCACAGGTGACATTTAAGGGATGGCTCTGGAGCTGACCCCACTGCCTCTAGCATTAGGACCAGACCTCAGTTTTCTCTTTAGTAAAGAGAGCCTGATAATTTCTCCTCTCTGAAGACTGCTGTGGGGGTGGATGAACCCTTGCAGGCCATGAGGTGGCAGCTCCAGGGGACAGATGGCTGCCTGTGGGAATGATGCCCCGTGCAGCCAAATCTCCTCCTTCTTCTTTAAAGACAAATCAGAAATCTGAATGGTTTATCTGGAATCTCCCAACTGATTAAAAATAATGTCAATGACTTATGGTCTGCACTCAGTCAGTCTCCTTAATTATATAGAAGTGGAAAGAGCAATGAACTAGCAGTTAAAATGCTTTGTATTTGAGGCCCAGCTCTGCTACCTCCCAGTGGGGTAACTTGACCTTCCACCTTGCCAGGACTCAGTTTTCTCGTTGGTAACCTGGGGATACTAGCCACACAGTCAATGAACAATGGGTTGCTGCAACATTTAAATGAAATAATGTAAATGAAAAGACTTTGGGAAGTGCAGTTCATTCATTCACTTGCTCATTAACTCAAATAATAATCATTAGTGAACTATTTTGGAGCAAACACTGTTCTTGATCCCTGGGGTGTAGATAGACAGAGTAACATGGTCATTAAAGGTGAGGACGCTGAACTAGACTGCCTAGGACCAAAGTCAGGCTCTTTAACTCACTAACTTTGGGATAGGCAATAATAATACCTGACTGAAAGGGCTATTGTCAGGTTTAAAAGAGTTAATATATGTAAAGCATTCACAACATGCCTGGCACAGAGCAGCTGCTATAGAAGCTTTTGATCATAAAAGATCATTTTCTTTAACATCAACAGTGGAGAAGTTAAATTACACTTTAAGAAGACATAGCTGAATATCTTACCTTAAAAAATACTAGAAGGCTTAAAAGAATAGAGCAATGAACACTGGTGTAACCTTTTAGAAAGTTTTACAGCCACAATTCTTTAAATACAGAGTGAGGTTTTAATGATTAATCATTAACCATTGAGAACACACAGATATGTGGAATGTCTTAATTTATTAGTTGCTATGGTTTAGATATTTGTCCCCTCCAAACCTTATGTTGAAATTTGATCCTCAGTGTTGAACGTGGGGCCTAATGGGAGGTGCTTAGGTCATGGGGGTGGGTCCCTCATTAATAGATTAATTCCCTCCCTGGGGAGGACAGTAGGTTCTCCCTCTATTAGTTCCCCATATAGTTGGTTGCTAAAAGGGGTCTGACACTCCCCTCCGCCTTGCTTCCTCTCCCACTGTGGATCTCTGCACATGCCAGTTCTCCTTCACTTGCCCCCGTGAGTGGAAGCTGCCTGAGGCCCTCATTAGATACCCAGTCTTGAACTTTTCCAGACAGCAGAATTGGGAGCCACATAAATGTTTTATTTGTTGTTGTTGTTGTTAATAAATTGCCCAGCCTTAGGTATTCCTTTACAGCAACATAAAATGGAGTAAGACATTAGGGACAGAGGCTAAGGATTAATTCTACTGCCATTATAACACCTTAGGTTCCTTTTTATGAAGTGCCACTTTAATGACACAAATGACACATGAATACATTTCCCTTATTAAAAATAATGAAAACATTTGCATGAGGCTCAAGTCCTCTTTGAAATCTGGTGTTATTCTGCAGTAACATAAAAGGGAAAAGCCGTAATTTCAGTAGCTTCAAGAAACAAGGATTATTTATTGTTCAAATCCATATCCATCTCAGGACAGTGGGGATGTCTACTCCACAACACTTTCACTCATATGCCTGTGATGGCAGCTCCTCCGCTATCTAGGATGTGTCAGCAAGGTAAGAATGCAAAACATTTACAGTACTGGATGGTAATGGCATCTTCCCCAGGCAACATACACACTTCCCATCACATTCCATTGGCTAGAACAGATCACATGACCACCCCCAACTTCACAAGGTGAAAAAATGTCAATCTTACCATGCACCTGACTCCATCGCTTACCAGCCACATGATTTTGGGAAAGTCACTGAATTTCTTTGTGCCTCAGTTTCCTCATGTGTAAATCAAGAAGAGAAATGTGGCACTTATTTCAGAGGATTGATAAAAGAAGTAAATGACATTAAAAATGTAAAGGGCTTAGAAAGGTGCTCAATAATATTAGCTATGATGAGAAGGAGGAAGATGATAAATAAATCTTTGTGTATGTTTAAGAGTGATCCATAAATAAATCCATAAATAAATCTTTGTGTATGTTTAAGAGTGATCTCATACTGTGGTTCTGTCCTGTAATCTATACGTGGCTGAATCTTCAATACTAGTAGAAAGAATACTCTTTGCTGTATTCTATAATTTTAGGGCATATGTGTATATATACACACATACATATTCATATATATGCACATATTCAATGTACAGATGGTCTCCAACTTATGATAGTTTGACTTACAATTTTTCAACTTTATGATAGTATGAAAGTGATATGCATTGAGCAGAAACTGCATTTTGAGTAGCCGTACAACCATTCCGTTTTTCACTTCAATAAATTCAATAAATTACATGAAATATTCAACACTTTTTAACAAAATAGGCTTTGTGTTCGCTGATTTTGCCCAACTATAGGCAAATGTAAGTGTTCTCAGCACATGTAAGGTAGGCTAGGCTAAGCTACGATGTTTGGTAGGTTAGGTGTATTAAATACATTTTTAATTTAATGATATTTTCAACTTTATGATGGGTTAATCAGGATGTAACCTCATTGTAAATTGAAGAGCATCTGTAGTATAACGTAATACAATAAATATACATGCAAAGTACCTCTTTCCTTCTGTTTCCACGAAACCTGACTGACATACAGTTTTACTGCATTTAGCCTGAGTCCAGAGGCACAATTCACAGAGCAAACAATGGGTTCATGTTCGGTATTTCCTGATGTGGTCAAGGGAGCAGGGCTGTTCTTGGCAGGCAGTTCTCGCCCACGTGCTAGCTGGCCCTCGGCTGGCTGATGTCAGAGACAACACATGGGTCAGGGAGCTCAGATGCTTGAATGGTGACACAGCTGGAACCCCAGTTAGTACATGAGAGAGGAAAGCAGAATGAGTTGAGGTCAGTAGAGGGCACGTGGGACAGGTGTCGGAGCTGAAGTGTGGAGAAAGGGAGGGATGTGGGCAGAAGCCAAGTTCTGGTAGCAGAGGCTCTGAGAGCAGCCTGCATTTGTGGTGGTGGGGGCAGAGGTCGGGACTACTGCGATCCAGGCACCCAAAGGTCAGTAGAGTCAAAGGGCTCAAGGACTTCGGGTTGACTCTGGATGATGACATGCCCGGATGGGCGTGAGTGGACAGGTGCCTTGTACCTGCGGAGTGATATGGTTTGGATGTTTGTCCCCTTCAAATCTCATGTTGAAATGTGACCTCCAATGTTGGAGGTGGGGCCAGGTGGGAGGTGACTGGATCATGGGGGTGGATATCTTGCCAAGGGCTGAGCGCCATCCCCTTGGTAATGAGCGAGTTCTTGCTCTGAGAATGGATTGTTTACAAGAATATGGCACGTCCCCCGCACCTTGCTCCTTCTCTCACCATGTAATGCCCCGGCTCCCTTTCACCTTCCCCTATGATTGGAAGCTTCCTGAGGCCTCGTGAGAGGCAGATGCTGGCAACACACTTTCTGTACGGCCTGCAGCGCCACGAGTGAATTAAGCTTCTTTTCCTTAAAAATTACCCAGCCTCAGGTATTTATTTACAGCAATGCAAAAACGGACTAACACACCCAGCATTCACCCCCATGCTTCTGAAGCCACACTCTTGAGCTTGCTCTAGAAAACACAGCTTTGCTGGTCTCCGGTCTGTGCCAGGGTGATCATGTGACTCAGGCTTGGCCAATGAGGTTTCACATGACTCTGCCCACAATGATTGGTTCAGGAATGGCACGTGACCGAGTCAGAGCCAATCAGACCTCATCCTGGACCTCTGCTGGGGGACAGGGTGGGAGGTGTAAAACTGAGGCTTCTGAGCCACCAGGGGATGGCATCTGTCTCAGTGCAATTTCAATCCAGCAAAGTCACTCTGAGACAGATAGAAATGTGATAACAAGGTTTTACCCTCTGGAATTGGATGTGCCCAAGGCCAGCTCTATCACTGGCTTTTCCTTGGCAGGAGGCCATAGATTCTTTTCCTTATCTGAAGCCAGGTGGACTTGGGTTTCTGGCCACCTACAACCAAGTGTATCCTGGTAGCTAGAATGTGCCTCTTTGAAGACTGATGTTCATTGTCTTAGAGTGGAAAAGTAGACTGGCCACCCTGCAAATACTCTTGCAGACTTTCCTGGTCCATCTAGAAAAAATTCTTTTAGCTTCTCAAAAATTGCAGTTTACTTCCGTGCTCCCGAAGAAACCCAGTGTTAATTCATCCTTGAAGGGTACATGTCTTTGGAAGAGCTTTCCATGGCCTCTAATGTCAATTTTCCTTTTGATAATTTGTCTCTGCAGTATTAATGTCCAATGCAGTTTCATCCCCATCCAGCCCACCCTAAAATCGCCATAGTAGCCAATCATTGATTGATTTGCTTTCTTTTTAAAATAAGTCCTAGTTGAACCCCTAAAGTGTGTTTACTTTGAATGCATTACAATTGTACTTATCAAATTAGAACTGTATTACTCCCCCTTAAGTTACCTTGAAAACAAAATCAATAGTTTATTTAACCAGAATCAAGAAAAGAAAAAAAATACCCCGAGGAATCTGTGTAATAAGTTTTACTTGGAAAGAAACAATGTGGATAAACATGGAGAAAGCATTTCAGTGTAAAGCAGGGTGTATGGGTAGCTTGGAGGAATAAACAGGCACCAAATTTAATACTGTTCATTTCTGTGCACCTTCTTATAAATAGCAGGCCTTTGTCAAGCATGGGTTGCTTTCTGAGCAAGCAGTAGAAATAAACAATCGTATGACATTTTTAATAGTGACAGCAATTGGATTTAATGCAGGTATTTATACTATACTATTCTTTAAGTAAATATTTGAGACCCTTACAAAATTGGGCTGCTCATCAGTGCCTCCAACTTGGACTATAGGGACAAAATGTGCTCTAATTCAGATACCACCAGTTAGGCTCCCTGTGTGTGTTTTAAATTTGCAATTCCTCCGGTTTTTCTGTCCCCAGGTCGTAGCTCCTCAGTACTGAGCAGAAATGACAATTCCCCATGGAGTGACAGATGTGGCCCAATATCCTCTATGACCTGAGACTTCCCATCAGTTAATCTCCAGCTGGCACTTGGAAAATATCTGATTGTAATCAGGAGGTGCATTCTTCAAGGACTGATGAGCGTCTCCTGGGGGATGGATGGTTGGATGAAATCTGAACGCAAGAGGAAATCAGAGAGTTGGCTCTTTTGCCAGCTTCTAAATCTATCTTTTCCAGGTCTCCACATGCTGGTCCTAGAGGTCATAGAATTCTAGAGTTAGAAGAGACTGAGATTCTGGCACTTTGGAGGCCAAGGCGGGATCTCTTGATCCCAGGAGTTTGAGACCAGCCTGGGCAACATGGCAAGACCTCATCTCTACAAAAAATTTTAAATAATTTAAAAGTTAGTTGAGTGTGGCAGCACACATCTGTGGTCTCTAGGGTGGGTTCCATGGTGTCGTTCCGACATTATTCCCAGCTGCACAGACTTCAAGAATCCTGATTTGCTGTCTCTTCTGGAGAGTCTGTGACCTCCCCAGTGCCATTTCCTAAATTCCTTTTCTGCTTAAATAGCTAGAGTGGACCCTCTCGACAGAGGACCCTGAGACAGGTGCTCATCTCTTCCTCGTCTAAACAGGTGGTGGGCACTGCGTAGCCACCACTTAGGTGACTGACACAGAAGAGCCTTTCCTTATCACTTCCCTGCAGCAACTGACAGACTGAGCAGAAAACAGTCATTTTTGCTTGACAATAAGAGAATTTGATTATAAATCAATGAAGAACCCATCTGTGACCATGTTCTCACCAATTCTAAATGTTACAAGTTGGAAGAGAACAAGTCTCTGTATAATACTTGATATTGATATTAGTAACTACCAAGATAGGATTTTCCTGAGGGATAGGGAGGAGGGCTGCTCACAGAGAGACTCTGTGCTCTGGTCCCTGAAACCCATGGGAAGTGAGACCAGAGGGCTAGGGGTAGAGGACAATGTCAGGGTAAAGTGAACAGAATGCATTGGCTGCTCTGGTGGACCCTACTGATTGTCCCTGAAAATCTCTTGGCTGGTCACTGTGGCTCACACCTGTAATCCCAGCCCTTTGGGAGGCCAAGGCGGAAAGGTTGCTTGAGCCCAGGAGTTCGAGACCAGCCTGGGCAAATGGTGAGATGCTGTCTCTCCAAAAATTAAATTAGGCAGACGTGGTAGCGCACACCTGCAGTCCCAGCTATTCAGGAGGCTGAGGCAGGAGGATTGCTTGAGCCTGGAAGGTAGAGGCTGTAGTGAGTCATCTTCATACCACTGCACTCCAGCCTGGGTGACAGAGTAAGACCCTGTCTCAAAAAAAAAAAAAAAAATCCATTATCTCTTCATCTCTTTTGTCTATAGTCATAGAATCCTAGACCTTTATCTAGCCACTGAGAACACATTTTAGCTGACTTTGTAGGTATTTGTGACCAGATTACCAACTTCTAGTTAGTGGAATATAAACCTAGGTGCTGTGTTCAAATTCTAAGTATTTTAAAGAGACAGAGCATCCCCTCCCTCCATCTGCTGGCTGGCCCATGGACTTGGGTGACAGATCTGGAGCAGACACCTTGAACTATGAGTGAGAAGCCTCATGCAGGGCATTGCAGGGCATTGCAGAGCAAGCTAGAAGGGGCCTGATCCTCGACATCACAGGAGCCACTGTACCAGCCCTGGACTGTCCACATTTATAGAACATAGAAATATATTTTTATCCTGTTTAAGATATTAATATAATACTGTCATTTTTTCCTATTTGGAAACTCACAGCAGAATGTAATCTCAATGAACACAGAGACCATTTTGCTCAGCACTGAGCTAGAATCTTTGAGCAGAGGAAGAGAGACTTGAGGTTAATGTGTAGCTGCACTGAAAAGTCTGATTAGAAAGACGTCTCCACGTGGGTGCTGATTGGCCAGAGCTCCATGGGCTGGAGACTGAGTGATGTGGAAAAGGGTTCTGAGTGGGGGCAGACACTCAGGGACTGGCCGGGGTAGACTGGGCTTGGGAGCTGGGCCCTGAAGTTGGAGAATGAGGGAAAGAAAAGCAAAGAGAAAAAGGCTCATCTTCCAAGGCTCTGAAAGGCGTGTTGCCTTCCTTCCCAAGACAGAAGGAAAGAATTTAACAGCATTAAAGCAGGCTTCCACAAGGAAATAAGTACGGATGAGGACTCTCCAACATTAAGATGTATCGACAAAGCTATCTTGCAAAGTGCCCAGCACACAGTCTGTGCTCAACGATTATTTGCCTTATTGTTATCAGAAAGGGGTTCCAATCCAGACCCCAAGAGAGGGTTCTTGGATCTCGCACAAGAAAGAATTTGGGGTGAGTCCACAGAGTAGAGTGAAAGCAAGTTTATTAAGGAAGTAAAGGAATGAAAGAGTGGCTGTACCAGAGACAGAGCAGGACATTCCTGAAAGAGGTGGAATGCCCCCACCTTAGGTGCAAGGCTTGATTAGATATAAGATAACAAACATCATGGGGAAGATATGCTCCACTACAGGGGTTTGTGATAAAGGATTGCTAATCGTTGTGTAACTACTGTCCTTCCCAAGAGTCTATATTACTATTTTTAAAGCAAGACTTATTCTTAAAGTAGGACTGCTTTTGTTCTTAAGATATCAGGATGTCAAAACATTTCCTGCATCTGTTAAGTTCTGGGTCTGTTTCTGTTCCCTTAACAGTAAACATCCTGTGACTAAGAATGCCTGGCCTCCTGGGAATACAGCCCAGCAGGTCTCAGCCTCATTTTACCCAGCCCCTATTCAAGATGGAGTTGCTATTCAAGATGGAGTCGCTCTGGTTCACACACCTGTGGCCACAAAAGAAAGATTGGATGACTATATAAGTGATCAACCAACCAAACAAAAGAGAGGCAAGTAATACGGTGCGGTGACTAAAGGATGGTGCTGGAATTGGAGGACTGAGGATTACTGTTGAAATTCTAGCTCTACCATTCAGCAGCTGGTGAGTGATCTGGGCAAGGCAACCAGTTTCCTCATCTATAAGTTGGTGATGATAACCATCATGATAGAGATTCTCTCTTTAAGGATTAGGTTGAGTGAGATACCAATGTAGACATCAATATATACTGCTTATCCCAGTCCCTGGAAAGTAATAGTATTCAATAAGTATTGAATCACAACAATGTTATTATTGTTTTTGTTGTTGTTGTTGTTGTTGAAAATGAGAGCCTCTTAGGGCTTTGTGAATTTCCTCTTTCTAAAGGTCCAGGCAGCTTCCTCCCGACATATTCAAATCCACCTCTGTGCCTGCCCAGCCCTGGATCTCCAGTTGGCTCTAGGAGGCCTATTCTGACCACCCAGCAATTTTCTCTTCGAACGGCACATTACTACCTTGTCATCAGGCACTCGATGAGGGCTGTCGAGGACACCTTCTAGAATCTTATCTTATTTCATCCCTTGACGTCCCAGCCACATGAACAGCAAGTGAAGCCCATGTAAATATCTGCCCCTACTAGGTTTTCCACACTCATCCCTTCCATTTTCTCCTCCATTTAAAAATCCATGTACCTTCTCACATTTTTAACACCTTATTTTTTAATCATAAGTTTAAATCATTGTATCAGAAATACTGAATATTTATATTCTAAAAGAAGACTATTACATCAATTTTAACGTGTGTCTAGTGGAAACTCAATACCATAATGATTGATACCCACCACGATTGATTTTAAAAATGCATGAAAACTCAGCTCTAATTGTTGGAAATTTTGCCTTTTTCTCCTAGAACTTCTACTCCTCTAGCCAACTTTGATGGGAGTGTATCTTACTTTTATGCTTGGAAGTCTTGTATTGATCATACTGCAACAAAAACATGTATAAATTAAAAACGGATAATATCCAGAGTTCTGTTCCTGTAAAGCTTTAAATGTTAAACATGTGATTCTGAATTTAGTTATCATTAACGATAGTGAGTAGTGCACCATTGATCAGAGAAACATAACAGCCGTGGGGCTGTTTTCTCAATTAATTCATGTATTCGTGGATGACTGTTGCTTACTATCATAAGGAGACAGGTTTCGGCCTCAACATTATCCCCCTTTTGAAAAAATTTTGATTTTGTTGCTGTAAGCAGGGTGAATCTTGTTCACGTAAATAAACAGATGGAGATTAAAGAGCTTCTGTTACATGTTATGCAATTGTTTGAATGCCTTCCATCAAAATGAGCTCCCTTGCTTTCTGGCTTGTGGTTGTGTCAGAGGCGTGTGAACCAGAGCAACTCCATCTTGAGTAGGGGCTGGGTAAAATAAGGCTAAGACCTACTGGGCTGCATTCCCAGACAATTAGGCATTCTAAGTCACAAGATGAGAGAGGAAGTTGGCCTGTATCTACAAGTCTATAAAGACCTTGCTGATAAAACAGGTTGCAGTAAAGAAGGCTGCCAAAACCCACCAAAACCAAGATGGCCATGAGAGTGACCTCTGGTCATCCTCACTGCTACACTCCCATCAGCACAAGGATGGTTTACAAATGCCATGGCAATGTCAGGAGGTTACCCTGTATGGTCTAAAAAGGGGAGGCATGAATAATCCACCCCTTGTTTAGCATATCACCAAGAAATAACCCTAAAAATGGGCAGCCAGCCACCCTCAGGTTTGCTCTATGAAGTAGCCGTTCTTTTATTCCTTTACTTTCCTAATAAACTTGCTTTCACTTCACTGTATGGACTCACCCTGAATTCTTTCTTGTGCAAGATCCAAGAACCCTCTCTTGGGGTCTGGACCGGGACCCCTTTCCTGTAACAGTTGGGTTTTGCCATGGGATAGCGAGAACAGGCAGAGATGGTAGACTGAGAGATGAGTGAGGTAGGGGTTCTTTATCCCTACTGTGGGGGAGCCCAGGCTGCCTGCCTCCACTGCAGAAGGTCACAGCTCCTGTCTGACAGCCCCCGCCTAGAGTCTCCTTTTGTCTGCAGATTCCAGAAGGCTCTTTCCCCTCACCCTCCCCAGGGCCCCACTGTTACTAGCCAGGGCCTGGCACTATTGTTTGCTATTTCCCTTCATCCGGATCACAAGTTTTAAATAATACCTTTATGAAACTTTCCTCCAATTAGCCAATGTAAGTACGCTATCTGTCTCCTGCCAGAACATTGACTGATCAATCTTTGTTTTATAAAGTGGGAGAAGAGTGTTACCAAAAGAGGATGTGGAAATGAAGAGCCCACAGAGTACCCATGTCAGTTGAGAATCTGAAAAGTGATTCTCTCAAAATGGCCTGTTGCCTGTGAACCCTTAGAAAGTCATTGTGTACCCCCAGGGTCTGAGTACTGCAATTTGATTTGATCGATCTAATACCTGACCATCCACCCTTCTGTCCTCCACCCCACGATTGCAAGAACAATATTGGGAATCTAAAACTTACTGAAAACAGCCAGTGAGTGTTTTGCCATCGAGGCTAAAGGATGCTGGAGGATCCCATATAGATAGCTATGGTGAGGGTCCTCATTGCCCTCATGGCTGAGGAAGCAGATTCCCTCCTGGAGCTGATGTCTGGGAGAGGACTGACCAGAAGAGGCTAGGACCCAGGGTTGCCTGCTTAAGTCTAGCACTTACCACCACTGAAGCGCAGCCTCTTGTTTCCTTATCCACCAGGTTTTCTGTGGCACTGAGTTAGAAATTCCAGGCAACCCACTGAGAGTTCTTTATTGCAGCAGCGGGCAACTGATCCACAATAACATGTAAAAAGATAGGGGTTCCCAGGCGGCGACAGCAGCTGCAGCTTTAAGTGGAAATTGGAGTGAAAATGTGCTGCCTCCATTTGCTGGCAGGAGGGGAGGGGTGGGTAGTGGGAAAGGGGGATGGGAGAGTGAGTGAGCTCTTGCTTCCCAGCACTGAATTGGGCTAGAAACCCCCAGGCTCCTTTGCTCACTATGTCATCACATTGAGACTGGAGGCTTCTGGCAGTGGCTGTGGGTGTGTTTGCATTAACTGCCAGCAGCAGAGCCTTTCCTTCAGAGTAATTCAGATACAAGAATTTCTCTCTCTCTCTCTCTTTCTCTCTCTAATAATCTCAGCCATCCCTGTTCAGACAGCCTCTTAGATCACAAACAATCCTGCATTAAACTTTGGTTTCTTGAATCACTGTTCGTGGTCATAAGTTTAGTGATAGTTTGAGTTATTGTTCAGCAGATAATGGGCCTTCCTGGTCCATTGATGTGGGTTTGGCTGTGTGACTTGCTTTGACCAAGGATGGTCAGAGTGTCAGAGGAAGTGACGAGACTAAAGTCATTAAATGTGCTCATGAAGCTTGCTTGCTCTTGTCCCCAGGGATCCACCATGAGGAGTGTGTCCAGAGAGGAGCTGCTCTCCCTTTAGACTATGCCCAAGATAAACACATATGGAGCAGACCTGATCCCAACCCACAGCCTGCAGCCATGCCCAGCAGAGCCCAGCCTGGATCCGCCAAGTCGTGCTTGACCTATGGACCTGAATGTAGGAATAAGTACTTATTGTTAATATACATGAATGTAAGAATTACTACCACTGAGTTGGGTTTGTGACAACTGACAAATTACTGAGCTTTCAAATTGTGCTTCACAGATACCAAGGGCAGTAGTTAAAAAAAAAAATCCTCTTCTCAAACCCAGAGTGCATTCATTCATTTATTAATTAATTAATTCTCTTAGTTATTCAACACAGTTTTTGAGCCCTCAGATGTTAGGCATTGTTGTAGGTGCTGGGGATATGGAATTTAATGAGGCAGCCATTCATGGTTCCTGCCTTCATGGTATGACCATTTTGGTAGAGGAGACCATAAACAGACCAGTAAATAGATAAATAAACAAACAAATGCATAGGTTCAACATATGCTGTTATTGAAATGAGACAAAAGGTGAGCTGAAGTGGGAATAGGAGTGGCCACTTCAAACTGGGGGTCAAGGAAGGCTTCTCTGAGGAGGGGACATTTAAGCTGACACTGTAGAAAGAGACAGCCAAAGAATTTGCTCCAAGAGAGCGTTTCAGGAAGTGGGTATAATCAGGGAAAAGACCTTGAAGCAGGGAAGTATCTGGTTCAGTCAAGGAAGAGAAAGGAGGCAACCAGGCTAGGACACAGAAGAGGAGGAGAGGGGTCTTCTGGTGTGCCTGAGTGCTCCTATAGAGGTACAGGGCCTCATGGGAGGAAGGGTCTGAAGTTAACAAAATAAGCAAAGGAACATAGGTGAAAGGTTTAAGCCAGGGAGTGATTACCCTTCAGATCACTCAGCTGTGATCTGATCTTTAAAAATATACACTCAGAAATAGTGACCCAATATGACTGTGATTCTGAACTGCAAAGCAAGGAGACACACCCTCTTGAGGGTGGTTTTCTGTTATAAATCTCTGTCTCAGGGGTCCTAAGCAGTGTCCAGCAACGGGGACAGAAGAATGAGGGCCCACTCAGAGAGGTTCTGCTTCAGTTGCTTTATACCTGGGCCCTTGCTAAAGTTTTATTTGAAGAGAGAGTGCTGTGTTAAATAAATGAATATGATAAAATAAAGGAAAATAGAAATAACAACAACAACATGTGAATTTGTATCTAGACCAAGCCAAGCCAAGACTCAGATCTGGGAAACAGGTTCAGAAAGGTGGGGGCCTGGTTCAGAGTCACCCAGCACATTAATGCCCAGCTTCTTCTCACATTTACACAACAGTAACCATTTACAGTGACTTCACAGTCAGTGTCCTGGTAGGGTAGTTAATACACTGTCCCTGAATGAACAGTATCTCCCTGCAGAGCTGGAAGCTGTGGTATGTAGATGCAGCACTGCATCTCCTATTTATCCACACTAGAGAAGCAGCAAGCAGAGGTGGGAGAGGATCAGACAGGGATAGAAATCTGACATTTTGTGGGATGCAGTGGCTCATGCCTGTAAGCCCAGCACTTTGGGAGGCTGAGGCAGGTGGATCACCTGAGATTGGGAGCTCGACACCGGCCTGGCCAACATGGTGAAACCCCATCTCTTACGAAAAATACAAAAATTAACCAGGTGTGGTGATGCACACCTGTAATCCCAGCTACTTGGGAAGCCGAGGCAGGAGAATTGCTTGAATCTAGGAGGCGGAGATTGCAGTGAGCCAAGATTGCGCCACTGCACTCCAGCATGGGCAACAGAGTATGGCTCCATCTCAAAAAAAAAAAAAAAGAAAAAAGAAATCTGACATTTTTTCCTCCCTCTGTATCTAAGGGTTATCCTTGTTTATTTGTTATTTTTGTTTTGTTTTAGGCTTTTGACCACCTGAAACTGCTTTTTAATTTTTTTTTATTTTTTATTTTTGTCTCTGGCTGATAAGAGAAAAGGGGGTGAGGGAAGTGACACAGGACCTCTAGCAGCAGCCACTCCCCTGCAACTGATTATGTACCCACCCTAATCAGTCTCTTTTCTACCCCTGGCTTTTTTTTTTTTCTCTTAAATCTTTTTAGAATGGCTTGTATCTCTAAGTGGTTAAAATCCTTCCCTCTCCCACTTTTCCCCCCTTTTATGTCTCCTGTCTTTCCCCAGACATTTTTTTTCCTTTGGGTGTTTACCTGATAAGTTCCTGGTAGTCCTGAGTGACCTCTGCTGTGAGCAGCAGCCTCCCTCTCTAGGGTGTCCCAATCAACCTCAGAAGGTCTGGGGTCCACATTCAAGAGAACAATGATGTCACATCCTGATTTTGTGACAATTTACTCTTAAGAAGGAGGCTGTTCGCATGTTGATTAGGTAGCAGCACTCAGGAGTGCCCGGACACATTGGTCAGGAGATTTACAATCTTGCATGAGCTGAGGAACGTCCTCAGATGTCTTAAGGGGAGTGGAACAACATGCTCCTTCTTTCCTTTTTCCATTAAATATTTAGCCACTTGTCTCCATGGATGGGATCTTTTATATCCTGCTAAGTTAGGAGACGAATTGCAACAGCAGCAAGGCAAGCAACAACAGAGATTTGTCCTTGAAAATTTTTGGATGCCAATGGCTTCCATGAGAGGAGTACTTGGTGTTGCATCCCTATGGTTTACCAGAGGATACTGCACCTAGAATTTTGCCAGGAATGCTCTCTCAAAGGGCAGGTTAGTGCAATAATTCACTTACCCAGAGAAAAGAACTCAAGTCAGGCTGAATGAGCCTTACACTGACTTTGGCATTGATGGGCATGTGGATCAGATTCAATACAGTCCTTCTGGAAGAATCCTCTCCCTGTTCCCTTGAGAGGAGCCTTGTATGCTGGTCAATCAATGCACTCCCTCCTTCCTGGGTGCCTGGGTATCAAACAGACCCAGTGGATCTTGTTGCATATCCAAGATGATGGTTTTAGCCTTCCTAAAAACTAAACTATACAAAGTGAGGTGTACCATGGAGGCATGTGCCTTTGAGGTCCTCTTACAATTTAGGGTGGAACATCATGGCAGCACATGGTAGACATAGCATAGAGTGGAGGCGCTAAAGTGCAGGTATGTCCACAGCCAGGGGTGCTCATTGTTGGCGAAGCCAGTTAGTAAGCCAAGAGCAGCCCAGGGGCATGCAGCTCTATCAAATGTTGAGTCACCTGTGATGCCAACTGTCCCAGTTGTATCCAATGGATTTCAATTTATGGAAGTGACTGAGTGACAGCAGGGAGAAGCAGGTGCCATCAAAAGAATATTTTACTTGCGTTTCCCAAGAGAAAGGGGCACACCAGCCCACCTAGGAGTCAGTGGAAGGAGCCACAGAAAAGTCTGGGCAGGAACCTTTATTGTGTTTCTCAAGGGGAAAGCAGGGTAGGGCAGGGTAGGGCAGGGGAAACAGCTTGAGATTGGCTGATGTGAATAATGTTGCAGGCTCTGGGCTACAGGAGAGGTCTTAGTTGTCTTGTCCCTGGTCCCGGGTGATGTGAGGCAGGCGAAATACTGGCTTGGTGTGTGGGAGTTAGATAAGGAAGAAGTTGGGGGGTTGTGCTCTGGCTTGGTTGGAGAGTTTGTAATATGATTTTCAAACACCCTCCAAAGCTGATTGCAGGGGAGACATAAACAACTTTGGGCATTAGTTTGGCCCTGTGATTAATGGATGCCAAAAGACAAACACAGAATCTAAGAAAACACAGTGCCCGCTGGGTGTCAAGCAGAGATGTGACGCTGATATACTATGCGATGCTCATCCAACATCAGATGTGATACTGATATACCCTGATCTGTGTCCCCACCCAAATCTCATGTTGAAATGAAATCCCCAGTGCTGGAGGTGGGATCTAGTGGGAGGTGATTGGATCATAGGGGTGGATTCTAATGGTTTACATCAACCCCCTAGTGCTGTTCTCGTGAAAGAGTTCTCATGAGATCTGGTTGTTTAAAAGTGTGTAGCACCTTCCCACACACTCTTCCTTCTCCTCCAGCCAAGTAATATGTGTCTGCTTCCCCTTCACCTTCCCCCATGATTGTAAGTTTCCTGAGGCCTCCCAGCCATGCTTCCTGTTCAGCTGCAGAACCATGAGCCAATTAAACCTCTTTTCCTTATAAATTACCCAGGCTCTGGTATTTCTTTATAGCAGTGCAAGAATGGACTAATAGAGATGCCCATCTGTGTGCTGAGATGTGCTCACAGTTCTAACAGGCCTCCCTCCTTGCAAATGCCCTCCCTGCCCCCAGCTCTAGGACCATGACATGCAGACAGCCTTTATCCAGGGGGCAGGACCTGGGAGCTAAAGAAAGGCACCACCCTGGCCAGGAGGGCCATCTCCCAGGGAACTGGGATGCTAGGACCACATGCCACGTTGCCTACAGGAGTTAAGTAAATATGAAAGTTTTGGGAGTGGTGTTTAGAATTTTAGAAAATTATGCATGCTACTTCTACTTCTCCAGAAATGTATTCTAGAAACTTTGCTAGAGATAGAGCAAATCAGAAAGCATCCTGAGAGTTCCAGATATGTCCACCTTGCCTTTTATTTCTTTACTGCCTGTATCGCTTTCCTAGGGCTGTTCCAACAAATCACCACAAAGTTGGTGGCTTAAAACAACATACACTTATGTGCTCACAGTTCTGGAGGCCATAAGTCCCAAATCAAGATGTTAGCCGGGTTATGGTCTGTCGGAAGGCTCTAGAGGAGAATCCTTCTCTATTTTTTTCCAGCTTCTGGTGGCTTCAGGCATCTCTTGGCTATGGCCAAATCATTCCAATCTCTGCATCCCTCTTCATGTGGCCTTCCCTTCTGTCTGTGTGTGTCTTCTCTTCTTCCTTATATAGTCACTTGCCATTGAATTTAGGACCTACCTGAGTAACCCAGGATAATCTCATCTCAAAATCCTTAACTTAAACACATCTGCAAAGATCTTCTTTCAAATAGGGTGACCTTCACACCTTCCAGGGATGTGGACTGAGATACATCTTTCTAGGGGCCATAGTTCAAGCCATGACATTGTCATTAGGGTGACAAGTTTGTCCTCGTGTACCCAGAACTTTCTCAGTTTTAGCACCAAAGTCCTGCATCCACGGACTCCTTTCAGTGTCAGGAAAACTGGGATGGCTGATCACCCTAGTAACACATATTTGTAGCATATGGGTGGGCTAAGGTTCCAGAAGAAACTTACAGAACATTGCAGTTCATTTAAACAAGGCTTAGTGGGGCAAGACAGACTGACTTCTTTACATCAAATCACACTCTAAAGTAAACTGAAATAACAATTTGGTCAGATTCTCTTTGAAAGCTCTGATTTGGTTCATGGTCAGTCAATTAAGAAAGGGTATATACTTTATTCTAGTTTAAAATGTGTCTTTCTTTCTCATTTTTTTCTTCCCTCTTATTTTTCTTCTTCACTTCCTTCTTTTCCTTCATTTCTTTCACCTTCTTCTCCACCTTTTCCCTCTCCCCAATTCTTTTATTCCTCCGGGGCCATCGGGAAAACTTTGGATTTGAGTTTCCAGCTCAGTAAAGAAATAAATGGTGTGTGAGCCATGCCTGGGTTGGGCGAGGCCATCCCCCGCAGACCCCATGCTCTGGAATGTGCCTGCCCTTGAGTTTGGTGCCCATTTCCCCTGCATGGCTTAGGGTTGGATTTTCACATGTGCAGAGAGGTTCATACATCTCCATCCATCTGAGTCGTCACTCGGTCTTCATGTGAGCAACGAGGTTATGGATGGGCACATCCTTAGAGTACTTTGCTGGAAAGGAAGGAAATAAATCCAGCCTGTTTCCCAGCCCATTTCTCTTGCTCTGCTGACTACATGAGCCTCTGAGATCAGGCTGGGAGTGCAGTGAATGGAAAGGAGTCCTACTACCGCCTAAACAGGCTCCTGGCTCTCTCCCTGCAGTAAAGCAGAGGCTGTCAAATTTAATGGGAGAAAGAAAGAAGGAAGAAGGAGATATTCATCAGCTCCCCTGGCAGGGCAGGTGTTTTCTTCTCTTGCCTGGGTTTATTTTCTCAGCCACTTGGTGGTTTTGAAATAAAGAAACTGAAGCTCAGAGGGGGCAATAATTCACCTAAGGTCACACAGCTGGCACAGGGCAGGAACAAGATTCACACACAGGTATTCTCTTCTGTTCATTTATCCATTCAAAATGTCTTGAGCTTCTTTCAAGGGACAGACACTGGAGACACAGTAATGAACAAAACTGCAAAGTAGGCTGTGTTGAGAAAGACTGGCAAGGAACAATACACACTCCATCAGTGGTGATCAGGTCTGTAAGGAAAAGAAAAACACAGTAAAGTGGATCTTTGGGAGAGGATCCTTTTTGTAAAGTTGTCTGGGAAGTGATGCTCAAGTATAGACCTGAAGGAAATCAAGGAGTGAGCTGAGCATCGAGATGAGGAAAGAGCTCCAGGCCTAGGGCACAGCCAGGGCAAAGGCCCTGAGGCAGGACTATGTCTCCCATGTTGGGGGAAATAGCAAGTGACCACGTGTGTACTTCCTGGAGTCCTTCATTCAGGGGTACAGTAAGAGAGCAAAGGGGTGGGGCGAGCAGTCTTCCCAGGTGCAAGCAGTAAGGGGGTGCATTATCTATAGAAAGTTTAAAGCCCATAATAAAACTGGCTACAATTCAGTGGTAAAACACTCCTCCCCACCAGAGTGGATGGCCCCTACCCACCATGGACCCTGGGAATGTATTGCCCACGTTAGACCAGAAAACTCTGGAGGGCTGAGCCTGTGTTTGTCCTACCCCTTGCAGCATCCCCAGGACTTAACATCTCAGTCTGGAATCCAGCTTTTGTTGATGAAATAAACAAACAAATTGGAAAAATCCCAGTGTCTTCTGGGAGCTGCCAGTGCCTGGCCAAATGCAAATGAAGACCTTGATAGAGAAGGACAGCTTGACAATAAAACGCCACACACACAGTGGCGGGGCCTGGACAGGGCCACACGCTGGGGCTCCGCAGAACAGACCTCATGTGTCATGGGACCAAGGTCCTGGACCGTCCAGCCCTGTGCCATGGCTCACCCACAACAGGCTTTCCAGAGTGCATCAATGGGATTGCCTCCCCACTCCTCTGTGTTGAAGTCACGGAATGAAACCGTGCCCCAAAGAGTTAAAGAAACCAATAACTAACACAAATTCTTGAGTTTACAGGATGGCAGAAACTCCCCGTGCTTGCGAGATTAAATTGGCTGAAATCGGTTGGAACCGATATGGCCACCTGGAGTTTGCACAGAATGAGCTTGCTGATGTCACAGCATGAATTTCCACCGCACGTTTCACGCTAACTCTCCTCGAATTTGTATATGGAACCCATGAGGCGGCATGAAGGGGTAACTGCGCATGCCCACAGACTTCCAGCCCTCTCCTTTCCTTCCACCAATCACCTTCTAATCCCAGAATCCACCCCCTAAACCCGCCTCAGTGGGCTGTGTTGAAGAAGACAGGTGAGGAACACACTCCATCGGTGGTGATCAGGGTTGTAAGGAAAAGCAAAACACAGTAAAGTGGGTCCTTGGGAGGGCGTCCTTTCTAAGGCAGTAATTCTATTTTGATAGAAAATGACTGCCTCAAAGCCAGCACAGAGAGACGAATTTGAGCTGGACTCCTGTGTCCTTGCTGGTTAAATTGCAATAGAAAAGCTTTTCTTTTCTCAAAACCCTGGTGTTATAGTATTGGTTTCCAGTGCATCAGTCAGTGAACCCCTTTTGCCTAGTAACAACAAGGCCTCTGAGCAGAGAAGCCCCAGCCCTAGTTTCTGTCCTGGGGAAAACCATGACTTCTCCCATCCTCTGCCCACTGATATTGTTCAGTAAGAGCAGCCACTCACCTGAGCAGTCAAGAGGGATGGAGAAAGAGCAGTGGCCTTTGTGCCCAAAGGCCAGGTCCAAGTCCTAGCTCCATTCACTGCAGACAGTATGACATCAACCAGGATGTTTCCACCCTTGACACCTTACCTGGGAACTACGGTTGGGAATTGGGTGACCTAGAATATATTTTTAATACTGATTTCATAGATATCCAGATGTCTCTTCTCCTAAAGACTGCTCTGTGCAGAGCACTATAGGAAATTCAGAGCCTTAAAGAAATCACGTGTGCACAAAGATAGACACCCAGGAGCAGCTAACTCTTAGTGACCGTCTATTAAAACAGCGGCTACTCTTCCTCCATCTCAGAGGAGTGGGGACGAAGCAGCAAGAGCAATGGCATCTCTTTGCTTTGTATGTTTTATTTTATTTTAGAGACAGGGTCTCTCTCTCTCTCTCTCTCTATCACCCAGGTGGGAGTGCAGTGGCGCAATCACGGCTCACTGTAACCTCAAACTCCTTGGCTCAAGCAATCCTCCCACCTCAGCCTTCCGAGTAGCTGGGACCACAGTAATGCACCACCACATCTGGCTAATTGTTGTTGTTGTTGTTGTTGTTGTTTTTCTTTTGTGTAGAGATGGGGCCTCACTCTGTTGCCCAGGCTGATCTCAAATGCCTGGACTCAAGCGATCCTCCCACCTTGGCTTCCCAAAGTGCTGGGATTAGAAGTGTGAGCCACCATGCCTGGACCCCTTTGCTTTGTAAACTGTCAGTTGTAATTCATTTGCCTCCTCGTTAACACCTTACAGCAGTAAACGGGGAAGGTACTGTGTTGCTAAACAACACAGGTTGTACTGCCGCTCAGCTCATACCCTGAAAACCAAGTTGCAGTGAGCCCGGCTGGACACAGAACAAGCCTGGAGTGTGGCCGAGGCTCCTGGTTAGTTTCTTCCTCTTTTATTTCTTGGCCCTGCCCATCCCACTTCAAGATGGGTTTGATGAGGTTATCACTGGGCCCTTGCTACTCTGTTGATAGGTTTGGGGCTAGGGACATTTCTGCTCTTTGCCCCAGATTATCCATACTCGGGTAAAATGATACCTCCATCCTTGGAAGATGGACCTCCAGGTTGGTTTATCCTGAAGTCTCACTCAGCTAACGCCCTGCTCATATCTGCAGCATCCTCATCATCAACCATCCAGGAGCTGCTGTAACCAACCTACACCCCTCCACACCACAGTCCCAGGAATATCCCCTGTGCTACCTTCCTCTCTGAAAGGTTTGAGAAAGGGGTTTGAGCAACTGGAATGAAAATGGGAAAGATGGTTTCTAGGCAGTTTCAAAGCAGAACCAAGCACAAAATGAAAACATGGGGCCCCTCATTCAAAACTTATTGAGAATTTCAAGAGAGCCAAGCATTAAACCTAACATGGGGCCCTTCTAAACGGAGGCACCATGAGACTGCACAGCTCGCATGTCCACAGAGCCAGGCTTTTCCAGGGGCCTGGAAGTCTTCATGGGCTGAAGTCAGGCTGCACGTCTTTTGAAAATAATTACAAGCCTCATTTTCCATTCATCTCTATTGCATGAGTTTCAGGCAGTCAGGCTGTGCATAGCTAATCAAAGCCAGAGCCGAAGGCCGCCCAGTTTGATCTCAGAACAAGCAGACGGAGGCTGCAGAGGCTTGTGTGTGAACTTTGTAAGGCCCATGTGTGATGTCCAGGATGTCAGCGAAGTAAAGAAACTGCTCCCCAAAGCCTCCAATCTCCAACTTCAAGCAGCATTCTCACACTTTGTACTCAAAGGATGGTAACTGCTGCTGCTGTATTATACTATTTCAGATTCCAGCTAAATGGTTCTCCATTTTCTGAATGTCCTCATTATTACTGTCTTTTGATTTTTATAAAATCAAGTTTTTATCTATCAATGTCTATGTCTATGTCTCAGTGTGGCGAGGGCTGTGACAAGCCAAGGTGACTAGTCTGGATGCTGTGCTTGTGCCGATAGATGGGTTTTTCTTAGCTTTTATTTTTATTCCAGGTGGAGCGATATGGGGAGGCCTGGAGAGGGAGATGAAAGCCGATCAAAGCCACCCCTTCTGCTGTCAGCTAGAAGGAAATTGACAAATCTTTTACTCCATCAGAAAATTCAGCTTAAAAAAATCATTTAAAGAGATCCAGAACCCAACCACTTCTCATGACTTCCACCCCCACGTCCTAGTCCAAGCCATTGTCCCCATGGCCATGTCCTCCAAACTGGTCTTCCTGCTTCCACATTTACTTTTTGCCATACAGAAGTCAAAGTTATCTTCTTAAAAAACATTGGTTTGGTATTTTTACAATCTGGCTTAAAATGCTCCCATGAGTTCCGTAAGTACTTAGAACAAAACCCATTCTGGTTCCTGCTGTCTACCAAGCACCACATGGCCTAGAAGTCACCACCTCCCTGGCCTCCTCACCTGTTTCCCTCTTCCATGCTCTGCTGCCCAGCCATGTTGGTTGCTTGAGGCTCCTTGAACAAATCAAGCCCATTAGTATTTTATGGCCTTTGCCTCTGCTGTTTCCTCTGCCTGGAATGCTGGCTCCACATGCATCCACATGTAAATTAGGAGAACGGCCCCTAAAAGATGTCCATGCTCTAATTTCTGGAACCTGGGAATATAATAAGATTAACCTGAGTTATTTCGGAGGATACAATGGAATCTCATTAGCCTTGAATAACAGAAAAGAATGGCCAAAAAGTCAGAGAGATTTGAAGCTCTGGAAGGATTCAATGTGCCTTCTGTTTGGGCCATGTGGAAAGTGAGAAGGAAACGAATTCTACTAATACCAGAAGCTTGGAAGAGGACTCCGAGCTCCAGGTGAGAACCGTATCTCTAGCTGACACCTTGATTTTGGGCCAATGAGATTCTGAGAAGCGTATCTAGCCATGCTGTGTTGAACTTCTGACCTACAGAACTATGGAGTTTGTCACATGTACGTGTGTTGTTTAAAGCTGATAAATGTGTGGTCATTCATTCCAGAAGGAACTGTCTTGTTTCCTAGTGGATCCCCATCACCTGCATCAGTGCTTGGCTCAGCAGTTGCTCAATAAATTTTTATTGAATGAAGACATGACTGAATGAATGGCTTCTTTGCCCATTTTACAAATAATCTGAGACTTAGAGTAGGAAAATACCTATCCAGGGACACATCTGAAAGCTGCTGACCCAACCAGATGTGAACCCAGAGCTCCAACACCCAGTCCCAGACTCACTCCCTCAGTTCCCTTTTCTGCTCTCTTCCAGGTTTCTAATAACTTCTTTGATTTCAATTTGAGGCTGGGGTGAGTTAACCGAAAGTTCAAGGGGGCAGGTCTTCATTTTATTTATTGATTCCTTCAACAAATATTTATTTGAGCACCTATTTTGTGCCAAGCACTATCCTAGTGTGGGACTGTGGGTGGGCTCTTTCTTTTCTCTTTGCAAATGAGATGTTGGAGCAGAGATGGGAGTGAGATGTGGCCATGAGCATTGGAAGGGCAAAGAGCATCCCGGGCAGGGAGAGCAAGTACAAAGGCTCTGAGATGGGAGTGTTCTTGGTGTCTTCCAGGGATGCAGAGAGACTATATGGCTGGATCGAAGTGACAGAAGGGGGTAGCATGTTATCAAATCAGAAGGCCATGGAGGGAACAGATGCTGCACGCTGTGAAGCCATGGTGAAGTCTCAAGATGTGAGCCATTGGAGGATTTTATATAGACGAGTGGCACGATCTGGTTTCTTTTACATGGAAGCCAACTGGCGGCCATGTGGGGAATGGATGGTAGGGAGCAAGGGCAGACCTGGGGGACCTGTTAGTGTATTGTAGTTGTCCAGGCTAGAGACAATGTTGACTTAGCTCAAGGTTTCTCAGCCTTAACATCGTGGACATTTTGGGCCAGATAATTCTTTGTCGTAGGGGCTATCCTGTGCACTGCAGAATGTTTAGCAGTGTCCCTGGCCCACTGGATGCCAGTAACACTCTTAACCCAGTTGTAACAATCAAAACTTTCTTCAGATACTCCCAGCTACCCCTTAGGGAAAAAAATTGGCCCCTGTTGGGAACCATCACCTTTGCTGGACTGTTCTTACTGTTTCTAGCTACATCTTGCCCACATAAGCCAGGCTCTTCTCTCCCCACAAGTGCCTCTCTCTCTCTCTGTAAATTTGGGGACTGTTGTTTGCTCTGCAACCTCAGGATTTTGTTGGGCTCTGGAAAAGGCATGCACTTGTTGCTTGTCTGGTTTTTTCCTTTGGAGGGTTGGGAGCTATGCTCTTTCCAGCTTTCAATAACTCTGAAAAGAAATCAGAATACTTTTCTCCCATTTTAGCAAGGACAAAAATATTCCCAGAAGCCTCCAGCTGACTGGCCCTTCCAGCTCCTTGGCCAGCAGTGCTCAAGTGCCCACCTGTGGGATTGTCATGATTGACAGGGTTGTTCTCTCCCCTTGAACTGGACCTGTTGCTGCCCAAACAGATCCCATTTTTATTAGCAAAGAAGAGGTAAGCAACCAGCAGCTCCTGCTGCAAACTTTGTCATGTTCACTTGTTACATCTGTTTCACCTCCTAGGCTCTAAGTTCCCCTGAAGCAGGTGACATGTCCTCTTTATAACTCCTGTGGTTGCTATGATCTGGTACTTAACTTAATAACATCTGTCAAATGAATGACTCCATGAGCAGGAGTCGTATCAGAGATGTCCAAGGCTGCCATGTGTTCTGATCACCTGACATCAAGACACCCTCTGCCAGATCTCACAGTGGCCTCTCTCAGTGCATCCTCGAGGGGGAGGCCCGGCTTCCTGCTCTGAAATGGGAGGCTCAGAACCGGTCTGTGCTGTGCATTTATACTCTCCTTCATCTCACTCAATCCAACACAATGTCCCTGCAGTGTCGCTGATATCATCACTACTCTCAAGATGCGGAAATGGAAGCCTGGGGAGGTCAGCCAAGGATTTACCAGCCAGTGGGAACAGAGCCCAGGTTAGAACCTCAGCCCTAGGGCTACTGCGCTCTGCTTACACTAAATCATTACTGCCATTAATCAGCTCATAAGTGAACTTTCTAGAAAGGAGTTGTAAAACCAGGTGTGCTGTCCCAAAAAGAGCCCTAAATGGAATTGCACATATGGGAGGATGGATCCTGCCTTTCCCCTTTAGGAAACTCTTGGCCAGGTGCTTGGCTCACACCTGTAATCTTAGCACTTTGGGGGACTGAGGTGGGCAGATCACTTGAGCCCAGGAGTTTGAGAGCAGCCTGGACAACATAGTGGGACCCTGTCTCTACAAAACATACAAAATTAGTTGGGTGTGGTGGTGCATGTCTGTAGTCCCAGCTACTCGGGAGGCTAAAGTGAGAGGATCACTTGAGCCCAGGAGGTTAAGCCTGCAGCGAGCCATGATCACGCTGCTGCATGCCAGCCTGGGCTACAGGGCAAGACTCTGTCTCAAAATATATACATATAATAATAATAAATAAGAAAACTCTCGTCCACCAAAAATCCGTGTACTTTACCTTGTCCATAGAGATCTATAGCTGTGCTTCCTGGAGGCACCTTAGTCATTTTAATATTCACTTACGTGTATACTAATGCTGCTTGTATGCTTCTGTTGCATCACACAGTGAAATCCCCATGTTCAATCTTCCCTGCCCACTTATCCAGAAAATAACTATTAGTGAATTATAGAGCAAACAGACAAATTGTCACCTTTATCTGTGTTCTCAGAACCGTGATATTAACTGGCCATAACCCTCTTGTCTTTCATTAGTGAGAATTTAGAGTAACCACCATCACTCCCTGAGGTCACACATAAAACAGCTCAAAGATGACTGCAATTAAACCAGTTTATAAATTTCCCACCTCCCAACTAACCCACTCTTCATGAAGGTGCTCTATTGGGCATTGGGTATCAGTATAAATTAGACGCTACAATCACATGTAATTAAGCAGGGGGTAATGGAATAGATACCGTGCTGCAGAGATTAGTCCTGTTTTGCTGAAGCGAATTCATCTCCGTGTCAGTGTGTTCACCCAGGGAGGCAGCATGAGAAGTAATTATCTTTCTTCTGACTTAATGGTGGTTATGCTGCCATTTTTTATTACCATAATTTCTCAAGACTCATACACAGATCCCTTTCTCCTAATGCGATTGCAGTTCTACATACAAGACAGCTTATGCCTAGGTGAAAACTCAAGCAGAATTAACCATAAGACTATATAGTTATAGTTGATGCTGGAATTTGTATTTTTAAACCCAGAGCACCACGGTCCCCACTCAGGAGTAGAGAATTTAGATCATGATCCTTTGAGGGTGACTGCAGCAACTTTTGCTCTTGAAAGGCAATTTTCAGCCAAATTTCGGGGCCACCTGTGCTCCAGGTCTGTGGGCTTATTTTCCAAAGCCTCCGAATGCATCCCAGGCCACAGCCATTTTTCCTACTTTTAATGTTTCTCCTTCACACACTGATTTGTTTGACATGCTGAGAGCTTGACTTTTACAACCTTCATAAAATCCCATCTGCTACAACCCAAACTCAGCCAGAAAGTGCTCAGACAAAAATGGTACAGGTTGTATTATAGTCTCTTGATGGAGATTAAAAAATACACACTGAGTGATTTTTTTCCTTTTTTTTTTTTTTTGTTGTTGCCTATAAGTCAAGGAAATAAAACAGCAACTCCAGCTTTGCAAGGTAGATGGAACCAGGGGGTGTTCTGCACAAAAGGGCTGCCAAGGAATTTGCAGGCTGAAGAAGCGAGGTGTGGAAGCATCAAGAGAATGGTCCCCTTGAGGTTAAATCAACAATAAGGAGAGAGTTGGGGTGGCGTGAGGAGCTTGAAAGGCTTGATTGTGCAGCCAGGATGATCGCACAAGATGATGTCATGGGTGACGAAGGACACGGGAGGAGAAAGGCTGTGGGTGGAGGTGGCAGGGACTGGAGCATTGGGAGGCCGTGGGGGTCCTGAGGATTCTGCTGAGCCCCATCCAGGCCCGGCTGAGTCATGGCTGAGTGACTTCCCAGGCTGGGGACATCTGAGGCTCTAAAGGTCCTAAGTCTCCCAGGCAGACACCGAGCTCTGGAATGGGGCCAGCCATCCCCAGCTGCCTAGAAGGACCTGGAAAACAGGCTGAGGCCTTGAATACAGAGGACCAGGGAGTTTGCTGGGAATTATGGGGAGGAAACACGGCTCAGGGAGTTTTACAGATCCTCTGACATCATGGGTGTCTGAGCTGGTGAGTTAAGACCAGCCTACAACACATGACCCACAGCTCCTGCCTACAGTGAACACACACACACGCGCACACGTGCTCATCGGAACACACATGTGCATAATACTACTGTGTAGTCATTTGTTCATTTGTTCTGCAAGCATTTCTGGAGCACCTCCTCGTGCCGGGTACTGCATTCTGTTCCAAGGAAACGTGGATGAACAGGACCCGGTTCCTAGGCACCAGCAGCTCCTGGTACTCTCAGACAACTGGGAAAAGAGATGGGGTCTGAAGTGGAAAGATATAAGAAGTCTGAAATCCTACTTTGCATGTTGGCCTCAGTCCAAAATTCCTCACCTGCTCAGAGACCAAAGACCACACCCCCTGCATGCAGTAGGCCCAGTACACAGTAGGAAGAGCAAGCCAGACCTGCCTGTGACAACCCTCTCTTCCTCCTCCCTCTTCTTGAAAGCTTTGATTCATTCCCTGCCCCGCTTCTGGACAGTCTTTCTGCAGCTTGTTTTAATCACTTTTTGAGTTAAAAGTCAGTATTTAATTAACCAAGTAATTACATTCAGCTTACGTTTCAATCTGGTGCAGGTTTGCTCCTCTGTGCAGGTTGGGACCCCTGCCCTCTTGCCCCTCCATCTGTCCCCTGTCTCTTTCCCACAGGGCCCACCCTCACCTTTGGGGCAGAGACTGGGAGGCTGTGCTGGAGCAGGTTCTCGGCGGGAGACAGGAAGCAGGTGAGACGGGCTTCCCTTGGAGACGCCCCTGTATTTCACTGGGTAGTAAAGGGGATTTCTTACTGCACCTCTGCCTCCCATTACAGAAACCCCAAAAGGTTCTAGTTAGATTAAAGCTAATCATTAAGTGGCAAAGGGGGTGAGGAAGACAGGATGAAGACATTTCACCCTGTAGAAGATGTTCTCCCCACTTTGCTTGTCCCATGTCATACAGAAGAGGAAACTCAACCTGACAGCCTGTCAGGCGTGTAGTCTAGAGTTCTAATAAGAAACTTGAAAGGTGAAGGTGGTGGGCTTGACCGATGGCACGTGGGACATTTGCACATTAAGGTCCCTTCCTTCCCTGGCCAAGTTTATGTACATAAAGTCATGATGTTGGCACCACTGCTGCACCTGAGATTTGGGTGGATAAGACTGTGAGTAGATGCACACACAAACACATACACACATTTTATTTGAACTTGAGACTTTTTCTGAAACTCTAATAACCTACTAAGTTTCCAAATGTATTGACTGATCCATGAATTGACTGTAAAATGCCCAGCTTGGAGGAGCACAAAGCGTCCATATGTGTGTCCTGTGTGTGTGCATTTGTGTGCACATCTGTGAGTCTATCTGCCCAGGATACAACTCACATTCAACCATCATCCCAAGGACCTGGTTAATGCGCAGCTGCAATTGCCAACCCAAAGGGATACCCATGATGCTTGGAATCTATCTGTTGATCCACTTATCGTTTGTAGGGCATTTTTGAAAATTATCCAAATAATATTACCCCATTCCATGTCCTTTTGTTTGAAGGCACCAGGAACGGCTGCTGTTGGGTGGGGAGTTTGTACCCAGTGTTAAGTGCCAAACATCCTGGAACGTTTCCCAAAGGATGGGGCAGGGGCCACTGATAAACAGAAGGATTAGAGAATCGGCTCCATGATTAAGGTAGTTCACATGAAATACCACCAAATCAGGCACTAAAAAGTTATCCCCTTTTCCACTTTCTGCCAGCCCTCCCAGAACCTCAGATAGAAAGATCCAGGTTGGGCCAGGCTTAGTGGCTCACTCTTGTAATCCCAGCAATTTGGGAGTCCGATCACCTGAGGTCAGGAGTTCTAGACCAGTCTGGCCAACATGGTAAAACCCCATCTCTACTAAAATACAAAAATTAGCCAGGCTTAGCGGTGTGTGCCTGTAATCCCAGCTACTCAGGAGGCTGAGGCAGGAGAATCACTTGAACCTGGGAGGTAGAGGTTGCAGTGAGCCAAGATGGCACCACTGCACTCCAGCTTGGGTGACAAAGCAAGACTCCGTCTCAAAAAAAAAGGTAAAAATGAAAGTTCCAGGTTGGTGCAAATAGGTCTTCACAGTGGCCTGAAAAGAGAGAGATGGAGAAACAGAGACAGAGAGAGAAGATGGGGCCAGGGGTAGTTTAAAAGGAATATTTTGTGGTTGGAAATTAGCAATATTGTTTTGTTTTGGCTTTTTAAATTTTTTTTTTTACTGTGAAATAACTTAGATCCACAGAGAGTGGCAAGGAACTGTTTAAGGAGGTCCTATGTACCCTTCACCCAGCCTCCCCCAATCATCACATCTTGCATCACTAAAGTACAATATGACAAGCTGGAAATTGACATAGGTGCAATCCACAGAGCTTATGTAGATTTCACCAGTTATGCAATTTTATCACATATGCGGTTTTGAGTAACCACCACCATAGTCAAGCTACAGAACTGTCCCGTCACTTCAAGGGTCCCTCTGCCTCCCTCTAGGACCACACTAGCCAGTCCCTAACCCCCTGCAACCTCTAACTGATCTCCATCTCTAGAATTTTTTAAATTTCAAAAATGTTATATAAAGGGAATCATACAGCATGTAACATTTTGGTGTTGGCTTATTCTTCTAGTAAGCATCATTCCCTTGATGTTCATTTTGGTTGCTGTGTGCAGCAATAATTTCTCCTTTTTATTGCTGACATATTCCACATTATGGATGTTCCAGGGTTTGTTTAATCATTCACCCATTGAAGGACATTGGTATAGTTTCCAGTGTGGGGCCATTATGAATAAAGTTGCTGTGAAATTTTCTGTAGAAGCTTTTACATGAACATATGTTTTATTTCTGTGGAATAAAGGCCTATAAGTGCAATTTCTGGATCTATGGTAAGTCTATTTTTAGCTTTAAAAGAAACCGTCCTATAGTTATGGAACAAGATAGTACAGGTTCACTTTTCCCTACTCTTCCCCTCATAATACAACTAAATGCCCTAGAAATAATTTAACAGACAAGCATAAAGCGCTCTGAAAGACGGAATGAAGAAGATGCACTGGCTAAGAACCTTAGGACTTTGATAATGACACCTAAGTTGAGTTACTTGTCTTGTTGTTGTTGTTGTTGTAACTTCCCATACACCCTACACTAGGCACTGGAGAGGCCGGCAACCCGGAACCACAAATAGGGATACATGAACTCAAAACCAAATGCAACAGCTGGAAGGGGGCAGTGTCATGGAGCCCACACATAGCAGCAGCAGTGGCTCCAGCAAAGCTTCCAGGGCTTAGTTGGCCTGTCCCACACCCCATGCTCACTGGACACATGCATCCCTTCTTTGTGGTACCAGAAAACCTGGAGTCTCCAGCCCCTCCATCTAATGGCAGAGGGTAACTTAGACCTGGTGTCCCTGAGGCTTCCACCCAGCAGAAGAAGGTGAACCAGGCTTTGAGTCTCCACCCTCAACTCATGGCAGTCACCTACTGGGACCTCTCAACATCTGTTTCTCTACCCAGCAGCAAAAGAAGGCCAGGTAGGAGCTTCCTTCCCCTGTGGCACCAGCAGAGATAGAGTGAGAAGCCCATTGGCTTGTTTATGTCTCCAAAAAGCCATTTGGGATTTTAACAGAAATTGCATTAAACATCAATGAATTAGGGAGAGAATTGGCATTTTCACTATGTTGTCTCCCAGTCCATAAACAAAGTTGTTCCAGTTGTTTAGTTCTTTAATTTCTTTCATCAAGATTTTATAATTTTCAGCATATAAATCTTTTCCATGTTTTGCTGATTTTACACCTAAGTATTTCGTTTTCTTTGGAGCAACTGTATGTGGTATTGCACTTTAAATTTCAGGTTCTATTTGTTTATTATTAGGATATATAAATGCAATTGATTTTGTATATTCATCTTGTATCACACAATCTTGCTGAACTCACTAAATTATTCTAGGAGGGTTCCTTGTTTTGGTAGATTCTTTGGGATTTTCTTTGTAGGCAATGATGTCATCTTCAAATAGAGACTGCTGCATTTCTTCTGTTTACCTTCTATTTCTTTTTCTTGCCTTATTGTATTGTCTAGAACTTCTAGTACTATGTTGAATAAAAGGGGTGAAAAGGGACATTTTTCTTTTTATCCAAGCAGGATATTATCTATCTTGATGCCTCATTCCTGGTGGTAGAGGCAAAACATTCAGTTTTTCACCATGAAGCATGATGTTAAGTTTAGGTTTTCATTGATGATTTTTACGAGATTGAGAACATTACCCTCCAATTCTAGTGTGCTGAGCATTTTTATCATGAATAAGTGTTTCTTCTGCATCAATTAAAAAGATTTTTCTTCTTCAGCCTGTGGATACGGTGGATTATATTGATTGATGTTTTGAATATTAAACTAGCCTTGCATACTTGGCATTAATCCTCCTTGGTCATGTCATGTAGTGTTTTCTATACATTGTTGAATTCAATTTTGTAATGTATTTGAAGATTTTTATATCTAAGTTTGTGAGAGATATTTGTCTATAGTTTTCTATTTTTATAGTTTTCAATTTTTTACTTTTTATATAGTTTTCTATTTCTATTTTTATCTGGATTGGGTATCAAAATAGTATTGGCCTCATAAAATGAGCTGGGAAGTGTTCTCTCTTCTATTTTCTGGAAGACACTGTAACATTGGTATAAAATGTTCTTTTTAAATGTTAGCTAAAATTCTCCAGTGAAACCATCTTGGCCTGGAGATTCTTTTTCAGGATCTTATAGTGTTACTATGGTAATTAGTTTCATCTTGATTGGATTTGGTAGCTTATGGTTTTTAAAAGCTGGTCAATTTCTTACAAATTATAGAATTTATGAGTATAAAGTTATTCATAGCATTTTCTTTTTATCCCTTTAATGACCATAGAATCTGTAGTGATATCCTCTGTTTTGTTCCTGGGATTAATGATTTGTTTCTCTTTTTATCTTTGTCAATCTTGCAAACATATGTCAATTATATTGAGCCTTTCAAAGAACCTATTCTTTGTTTCATTGATTTTATGTTTTGCTTTTCTGTTTTCAACTTCATTCGTTTCTGTTCTTATCTTTATTATTTCCTTCTTTCTGCTCACTTTGGGTTTACTTTACTCTTTTTACCTACTTTCTTGAGGTAGGACTTGGATTATTGATTTGAGCTTTTTCCTTTTTTTCTAATGTAGGCACTTAGTACTCCAAAGTTATTTCTCAGCATGACTTTAACTACATCTCACACATTTTGATATGTCGTATTTTCATTATCATTCAGTTCTATGTATTTTTTTTTATTTTCTTGGAGACTTCTTCTTTTACTCATGGGTTATGTAGAATTGAGCTGTTTAATAGTCATACATTTGAAGATTTTCCTGTTGTCTTTCTATTATTGATTTCTAGTTTATTTCATTATGGTAAGAGAGTGTTCTCTTTGTGGTTTCAATTTTTTAAACTTTGTTAAACTCTACTTTATAAACCAGGAGACAATCTACCTTGGTGAATGTCCCATGTAAGCTTAGGAAGAATGTACATTTCTGTTGTTGTTGGATGAAGTAAACTATACATGTCAATTAGATCCAGTTGATTTATGATATTGTTCAGTTTAACTGTATCCTTACTGATTTCCTTCCTGTTAGATCTGTCTACTAGATGTGTCAATTACTGATAGAAAATGTCAAATGCTGATATCTTAGGTCCTGACATCTCCAGTTGTAATTGTGGATTTATCTATTTCTCCTTTCAGCTCTATCAGTTTTTGTTTCATGTATTTCAAAGCTCCATTGGTTGGTGCATACACATTTAGGATCACTATTCTTCTCTATGGATTGATCCTTTTATACTTATGTAATGTCTCTTATTGACCCTACTAATGTCTTTGCTCTAAAGTCTATTTAATCTAATATTAATATAAACACTCCATTTTATTAAATCAATATCCGCATGATACAACTTTTTTTTTTTTTTTTGAGATGGCGTTTCACTCTTGTTGCCTAGGCTAGTGTGCAATGGCTCGAACTCAGCTCACTGCAACCTCCACCTTCCAGGCTCAAGCAATTCTGCTGCCTCAGCCTCCCAAGTAGCTGGGATTACAGGCATGCACCACCACACCCAGCTAATTTTTTCTGTTTTTAGTAGAGACCGGGTTTTACCATGTTGGCCAGGCTGGTTTTGAACTCCTGACCTCAGATGATCCACCCACCTTGGCCTCCCAAAGTGCTGGGATTACAGGCATGAGCCGCTGGACCTGGCCCATGATACAACTTTATCCATTCTTTAGGTTTCAGCTTATGTGTCATTATATTTGAAGTGAGTTTCTTGTATGCAGATGTACCTGACTTGTATTTCTCAATCCACTCTCTCTCTTAATCAGTACAGTTAGACCATTGACATTTGAAGTAATTACGGATATGTTAGAGCTAAGAACTGAGATTTTATTATTTATTTTCTCTGTTTACCCTCTGTTTCTCTTTTCTTGCCTTCCTGTGGGTTTCTGAATGATTTTTAGAATTCCATTTTGATTTATTTATGTATTAGAGTATATTGCTTTGTATATTTTGCTCAGTGGCTGCCTATATACATACACAGTTTATTGTAAATACTGCTATCACTGTTTCAACACTTAGCCTGAAGCATCCAGGCCTTCCTGCTACTTAGGTCCCTTTCCCCTTCACGCTTTTACAATATAATTGTCTTAAGTGTTGCTTTCATACATTGAGAATCACATCACATGATGTTATTATTTTTGTTTCAACCAACACATATAATATAAGAAACTCATGAGGTGAAAACTAGTAAAATCGTTTATGTTTACCCTATTTTTATCCATTCACAATATTCTTGTTTTCTTTCTGGAATTTCAAGAATTCTGCTCCTGGTTTGTTACTGCCTATCTAGTTACATTTGAGGTGAGTTTCTTGTGACAACATATAATTGGGTCATGTTTTAAACTCACTCTGCCAATCTTTTGTTTTAATTAGATCATTGATAGGGTTTGGGTCTGTGTCCGCATCCAAATCTCATCTTGTATTGTAATCCCCAGTGTTGGAGGTGGGGCCTGGTGGGAGGTGATTGGATCATGGGGATGGAGTTCTCATGAGTGGTTCAGCACCATACACCTTGGTACTGTATAGTGAGTGAGTTCTCATGAGATCTTGTTGTTTCAAAGTGTGTAGCATCTCCCCACCCCGCTTCCTCCTGCTCCAGCCACGTAAGATGCTTTCTCTGGCTTCGCATTCTGCCATGAGTAAAAGCTCCCTGAGGCCTTCCCACCCATGCTTCCTGTACAGCCTGCAGAGCTGTAGGCCAATTAAACCCCTTTTTAAAATAAATTACCCTGTCTCAGGTATTTCTTTATAGCAATGTGAGAAGAGACTAATACAACTATCAACATTTAATGTCGTTACCATACTAGGGCTTAAGTCTGCCATTTTATTTTTTGTTTGCTTCTTCTGGTTTTAATTTTTCTGTTTTATTTTCCTTTCTTTTTTTGTGGTCTTCCTGTGAGTTATTTGAATATTTTTTAGAGTTCTGGTTTGATATATCTATGGTATTTTTAAGTGTATCTCTCCAGGTAGCTTTTTTAGTGGTTATTCTAGGTATACATGTAAATTAGTCTACTGATGTCATCATTTCATCAGTTTGAGTCAAATGTAGAGCACTTACCTCCATAATTATGGCTTTTCTTGTATCTGCATAAGCGTCATACCAGGATCTCTCAACCTTGTCCCTACTGACATTTTTGGTTAGATCTTTCTTTGTTGTGGATGGCTGGCATCTAGTGGATAGAGGCCATGGATATAGGTAAACATCCTGCAATGCACAGGCCAGCCCCCTCACGCAACTATGGACTTTGAATAGATAAAGGGGCAGGGGGAAACCTGTCTTGGTGGTCAAGATCTTAGGCTGAGCAGTCAGACGAAAACTTGAGGCCTGATTCTGCTATGTTCTAACTGGATCATGCTGGAAAACTGGCTGGGTTTGCCTAAGCTGCCGTTGCCTCAAGTGTAAAATTGAAATAATAAGAGGATCCAATGAGATACTATGAGATTAGTGCTTAACACAGGAAATGGCAGTAATAAAATAATAACAGCAATAGCCAATAATGGTAATAAAATAATAACAACAATAATAATCATGCTTATTATATACCAGGTACTATTCTAGGCACTACCTCATATTATCTCATTTAATTGTTCCAATGGCTCAGTGAGGTAGGTGCCATTATCGTTCTTGTTATGTAGATGAGGATTGTGAGGCACAGAGGGGTTAAGTACTTTTCCCAGAACCCCAGGGACTAGAAACAGATGGGAACCCTTACCAGCCCTGGGACTGGAGGCGCTGGGAGCAAGGGAGTTACTAGAGCTTGTGAGAACTGCAGCTGTAAGAGAGGATTGCCCATGAGATGCTGAGACCACAGGAAGAGGAACACTGCTGTCTTCGTCCATTTTCTGTTGCTTATGTTAAAAGAAAAAAACTCGGTACAATATTTAAAAAGGTTTATTCTGAGTCCATATAAGTGACCATGGCCTGGAGAACGGTCTCAACAGGTCCTGAGAAAGTGTGTCCAAGGCAGTAAGGTGACAGTTTGGTTTTATATACTTTAGGGAGACAGAAGTTACAGACAAAGACATAAATCAATACATGTAAGGTATACATTGGCCTGGAAGGGTGGGGACATCTTGAAGGGGAGGGAGGACTTACAGGTCACAGGTGGATTCAAAGATTTTCTGATTGGCAATTAGTTGAAAAAGTTAGGCTTTGTCTAAACACTTAAAGTCAGTAGAAAGAAATGCTTGAGTTAAGATAAGAGGAGGGGCCAGGTGCGGTGGCTTATGCCTGTAATCCCAGCACTTTAGGAGGCTGAGGCAGGAGGATTGCTTGAGGTCAGGAGTTCAAGACCAGCCTGACCAACATGTTGAAACACTGTATCTACTAAAATTACAAAAATTATCTGGGCATGGTAATGGGCACCTGTAATCCCAGATACTTGAGTGGCTGAGGCAGGAGAATTGCTTGAACTGGAAAGTGGAGGTTGCAGTGAGCCAAGATCAGGCCACTGCACTCCAGCCCAGGCGACAGAGCGAGACATCTCAAAAAAAAAAAAAAAAAAAAAGATGAGAGGGGTTTGTGGAAGCCAAGGTTCTTGTTATGTAGATGAAGCCTCCAGGTAATGGGCTTCAGAGAGAATAGATGGTAAATATCACTTTTTGGACCTTAAAATGTGTCAGACTCTTAGTTAATCTCTCCTAGATCCTTGAAAAGCCTGGCTGCATTTCTGGAGATACTCTACACATACAAATCTCCCCCACAAAAGACAGCCTTGCAAGGCCATCTCAAAATATGTCAATGAAATATATTTTGGGGTAAAATATTTTGATTTCCTTCAGAGTTTGCTATCTGTCATGTGATGCTATACTAGAGTCAGGCTTTGAATTTGGTCTTTTTTTCACAAAGAGTCTGTTTTGTCAGTTTTATGATCTCTATTTTAATGTTAATGCTAGTCAATTGTGCCTAAACTCCAAAAGGCAGCGAGTATAATGGGGTATGTTCAACCTCTTTTTCCAATGGCCAGGAATTCAGTTTTTCAGGTTTCTCTAGGGTCCCCTTGGCCCAGAGTGGGTCTGTTCAGTTGGTTGGAGAAGCTTTGGATTTTATTTTTGCTTTATACTTATATCAGAATACCTGAAACTGGGTAATTTATAAAGAAAAAGAATTTCTTTCTTATAATAATGGAAACTGAGAAGTCCAAGGTCAAGGTGCTGTGTCTGGTGAGGGCCTTCTTGCTGGTGGGGACTCTCTGCATAGTCCTGAGGTATGCAGGGCATCACATGGGGGATGGAGAACTGAACAAACTAATGTGCTAGCTCTGATCTCTTTACCTCTTCTTATAAAACCATCAGTCACACTCACATGATCAATGAAGGGATTAATCCATTCACAAGGGCAGAGCCTTCATGACCCAATCACCTCTTAGAGGCCCCACCTGTCAATACTGTCTGTCACATTGGAGATAAAATTTTAATGTGAGTTTTGGATGGGGCAAATATTCAAACCATAGCAACAGCCACAGCTGCATCAGGACCCAGCAAGGAGGGTGGGAGGCTACTGCCCCTCTCTGCTCTTATTGGCCAAACACAGCAGAAAGCACAGGCCTGGGGAGACTGGGTGACTGGCTATCTTAATGCTAGGGCAGAGCCAAAAATATGGAAAAGAGATGGAGGTGGGAGAAACAGAGCATCATACCCTAGGGCCATTGTCATGGTCTTCCAAATAGCACCCCTGCTGCTAGAGCTTCTGGCACAGAAAACTCAGAGAGGTCAGCTACTCCTTGGTGACCCATGGAGGGTGGCTGGGGAAGGGTGTCAGTGATAGAGGCCTCTGAGCCGTGTAGACCTGGGTTATGGCCCAGCCCTGCCGAGCTGAGCCTCCCTCACTGCAGAACTGAAAGGACCTTAACAGAATCTCCATTCCTTTAATTATCTAAATATTTAGTTGGTGCCTACTATGTGCCAAGTGCTGGACAAGGTGCTGGGGAGAGAGCTGTGCACAACCCAGACCCAGTCTCTGCCCTGGTGGAGCTGACCTTCCAGTGGGGGTGACAGGTACTAAATAATTGTAGGCTGCAGTAAGGACTAAGAGAGAAATGAAACAGGATATAAAATACAGAGAGTGCCTGGGTTAGAGGCATCATCTTAGGTAGGGTAGCCAGGGCAGGACTCTCTGAGGAGGTGACATTTGTGCTAAGATTTAGTACAGAAGAAGGAGCTCATCATACAAAATCTGGGGAAAAACTATTCCAGGGATAAGGAAGAAAAAGTGCAAAGACCCTGGTGCAATGATACTGACATATATTATATTAAGAAATGTATATTTAGTCTTTCTCCAGGTTCCTGTCACAGAGGTCTTAAACCCTTGGAATTTCCTAAGTGATAGAGGTGAGAGGAGTATCTTTTGTTTTTCATAATAAGCTCCTTTCAACCATACCTGACTTTATGCTAATGAGGTTACCCTTGGAGAATGGGGATTGGTTGCCGGAGGATCCAACCAGGAGAGTTCCATCCCCCCCAACCTCTAGGGTCCAAGAAAGGGACTGGAAATTGACTAATCACTGAAGGTCGATGAATTAGTCAATTATGGCTACATAATGAAGCCTCCATACAAACCCTAATCAATGGGATTCCAAGAGCTTCCTGGTTGGTGACGACATCCAGGTGCTAGAAGGGTGGCACCTGGGAGAAGACAAGCAAGTTCTGGGCCTCTATCTACACTTGCCCCGGTTGTCTCTCCATCTGTTTGTTCATCTGTATCCTTCGTGATTCCCTTCATAATAAACCAGTGTTGTGAGCTGTCCTAGCAAATTATTGAAAGGAGTGGGTCGTGGAAACTCCTGATTTACAGCCTTTTGGTCAGAAGCGTGGATCACAATCCAGGACTTGTGGCTGGTGTCTGAAGTAGGGGGCAGTCTTGTGGGACTGAGCCCTTACCCTGTGGGTCTGCACTCACTGTAGGTAGTTAGTGCCAGAATTAAATTGTAGGATGCCCAGTTGGTGACCAGGGAGCTGAAGAATTGCTGAATGCCAGCGGAAAACCCATATATTTGGTATCAGAAGTATTGTGCGTATACAGGAAAAATACAGGAAAACACTTTTTTCCTTCTGGGCAGGATAAAGTTTGAGTCGTCCCAGCAACAGAAAGAAGCTGGTGGGACTGGAGGGGAATTGAGAAGCAGGAGAGGGGTGGGCAGGGACCAGGTATCACTTCCCCGGATGGCTCTGGCAGGGAGTTTGCATTT
Organism: Homo sapiens; assembly: GCF_000001405.40. NCBI lineage: Eukaryota > Metazoa > Chordata > Mammalia > Primates > Hominidae > Homo > Homo sapiens. Next base: position 48,248,545 of record NC_000020.11, on the reverse strand, counting down.
TATTCTGAGAGCCTTGAGAAGCCGGGGAGGTATGAGCAGGTGAGTACCGGACTGGACCTAAGGCAAAGTGAGTGCCTGGCACTTACACAATCTGGGAGCGAGGTCTCCTTCACTTTGGTCCCCCCTGCTCTTCACTGCTCTCCCCCAGTGCCAGCCTTGCTAAGTGCTGTGATGTGATTTGCCACTTTAGGAAGAGGCCTCCAGCTATCGGAGGAGAATGGAAGATGGGGGCAAGGGGACATGGGGAGACCCCTCAGGCTGCTGTTACAGTTCCCAGGAGAGATACCACAGTCAGCCCATCCCCCCCTGAAGAAACTGGAGTCCTCTCTGAGTCCTTGCATCATGACTTTGGGGTGGTGTCCGGGTTCCCCCACAGATGGCAGCAACAAACAGGCTCTTTCAAGGCCACAGCGACAGTGACGCAGCCAAGGCCCTGCTTGCTCACAACGCCTCTCTCTCTCATTTAAAACAAATTGCCACCAAAAGTCTATATCTGCGCAGGACCTGAAGGCTCACTTCGCCCAAAAACTAGAAAAATTACCATAGAGAGCAAAGAGCAGAGGGAGGTTGGTTGTCCCGGCCTCCCTCACCCACCCTTTCTTATGGTTCAGGCATCACAGTGGAATGTTCTCTCTCTCTCTCTCTCTCTTTTTTTTTTTTTATCATTTTGTTTATTTTGCCATTTAAAACTAACATGAATAATTTTTGTTATGGGATCCTTTGACAAGAGGCTTTCACACACATCCCTATTAGACTGAGTTCTTATAGCAGTCCCATTTCCCCATTTCATAGTGGAAGAAACAGAGGTTCCTCACTGGCTGGTTCATGGGGAAACTGAGCTAGTGAGTGGAGGATCTGGGACTGAAACAGCTCAAAGCACCAGCCCCCAGCTGGTTTAAACCCCTCACTGAGGCCAGACATAGTGGCTCACGCCTGTAATCCCAGCGCTTTGAGAGGCCGAGGAGGGCAGATCACTTGAGGTCAGGAGTTTGAGACCAGCCTGGCAAACATGGTGAAATCCTACCTCTACAAAAAAAAAATACAAAAATTAGCCGGGCATGGGTGGTACACACTTGTAATCCTAGCTACTTGGGAGGCTGAGGTGGGAGGATGGCTTGAACCTGGGAGGTGGAGGTTGCAGTGAGCCAAGATTGTGCCACTGCACTCCAGCCTGGGCGACAGAGTGAGACTCTGTCTCAAAACAGCAGCAACAACAACAACAACAACAACAAAACAAAGCCCTCATTGAGTCCCCCATGGCTTGAGAGCTGGAACTTCCTCTCACCCACCTCTGCAGCCCAGTGTGCTGGCAGATAGGAGAAGACCAGAAATGTTCACTCCCTCAGATTGGGCTGCGGCTGTCCCTTTCCCTGGGGACAGGTTGTCTGTTGAATTGGAAGGATTGTTTACAGACAGGCTGATTATCTGACTCGGGTCCTGGGCTGCCACCAACACACTCAGCTGGGCCCATGGGAGAAATTCTATCTGCAGAAGCGGTCTCAAAGGGCTTTCCTGCCGGTCTATTGGCTGAGCAAATTGCAAATATTTTTCTTTTGACTTCAACACAGTTAAGTTTTTGCTCTGCTATAGCTTCTGCTGTTCAAAGAAACGCTCTCATTGTTCATGCCAGGAGACATTATACAGATCAGTATCTGTGAGCTGGCATCGGGTCTGCCTTTGTGTAAATATCCACTTAATTCTTTTCCTTCAGATCTGTGAATTTAGAGGCAAGAGGAAAAAAATAAAAGCATGAAGCACGAATCCTGCATCCTGAAAGAAGCAACAGATCACCAAACACACTCCCTCTCTCCCAGCCTTCTTCTTTGCTTGGCTTCTTTATCTCCTCCACACTATTTTCTGTCTGCTAAATGGAATTTAGATGCTCCTGTCACACCACTGCCTAAAAGGCAGATTCCAGAGGGACCAGCTTTGCATGTGCAAAGGGCCTGCGGCAGGTGTGGCTGGAGCATAGTGACCCTGGGGAAGGGCAGCAGGACCTGAGACTGGAGAGCAAGGTGGGATACGGATCCTGGAGGCTCTCAAGGGTTCTGCTAAGAAGTGCCAGCCATTGATCAGGTTAGGGGTGGGCCTAAGCCTCTGTCCACTGTCAAAGGACAACAGAGTTTGGAACATTGTTGCTAGAAGCAAATATAAAGATCTTCAAGGCAAGACTTTGCAATCAACTCTTAAATTGGTGATGATCCAATTGCCATCGACTCTTAAATTGGTGATGATCCAATTGCAAATCTGTAGCCTTTTGGAATTCATTATTAGAAACATGAATCAGTCTTTTCGTTGCCAAGAATAGATAATTTGGATGAAACCAAGTTGCTCCTCGTGTAACAGTGTGCATTAATCATCAGGCATATAGATGATTTTCAGGCAGTTTTCAAAAAGAATTTTCATCCAGGCAGCAAACAGAGCCCAGGGCTTGCGTTGACGATTTGACACATGGGAATATGGTGGCATTTAGAATGGGTCGCATGGGCCACGGATGGGCATTTCCAGATTGTGGATACTGTTAAGGGAGTCTTGTTTCTAGGCAGAACTTTGCAAGGTGGACTTGAGCTTAGAGAAGTCGGGAAGGGCTATGTTATATGGGGCCTCATAGGCTGTGGTGAGGGTTTGGGTTTTTTCCTAGGGATGTGGATCAGGTGGCTTTAAGCAGAGGAGAGGCATGATGTGACTTAGGTCCCAGTAAGACCCTCTGGCTTCATGTGGATGACAGGCAGTCAGGGGCAACGGTAGAAGCCCAGAGACTGTAGAGAAAGCCAGTGTGATAATCAGGAGAGAGATGATGAAGGGGCTTGTGTAGAGCTGGGGCCACTGCCCCACTCCAGGGAGAATGGGGACTGAGGTCAAGGGGAAAGGGAAGGGGAAGGTTTCCAGGCTTTTCACCTGAACCACCAGGTTGGTAATTGAACCCCAGAACTTCTCACTTGGGATCAATAAATGCTTACTGTAGAATCCTTGGTTGAAGTCAGCTAAATGTTAGGCCTGGATTATAATTTTGTATTGATGAATCTTGATGAAAACCAACAGAATATGCTGGCATCAGAAAGGAAGCTACAGGTGAGATGAAGACACAGGGGAGGGCAGAGCTAGGAAGGCCATAGAAAGTGGAGACTCTACGAATGTGTGTTTATGACGTACGATAGGTAGATGTGTAGGTGAATTTATGTGTGTATATGGTATGCATATATTGTAAGCGGAAGAAACAAGATTTGAACTCAGAGCCCAGGTCCTTAATGACTGTGCTATTTAGCCAGTCTCTGGGAGAAGACATTGAATTGTTCCCATTTGAAAGTTCATTTTTCACTGTTATAAATAATGTTGCTAGATGTCTTTCTACATGCACCTTGCACCCTGAGTGAGTGTTTCTGGAGATGAATGCCAGGGAGTGGATGCAGTGGTCTGAGAGTCCCTGGCATCTGTGGCCTCTGTCAGCTTCCACCCCTGGTGACTCTCCCTACTAGATCAGCACCAAGGAGCCTTAGTTCTTTACAGAAAGCAAGACAGACCGACAGACAGACAGACAGACACACACACACACACACACACACACACACACACACACACACACACACACACACACACAGTGTGTGTTCTTTCTGCAAAGAACTAGACCTTCCTCTCCAACTAAGAAACTGGCCTTTGAAGGTGACCAAGCTCCTTCCAAGAGATGGTGGATGAGAAGGGGGATGGGCCTTCTGTATGTCTGGTTCAACCCAGGTCAATGATGCTTGTCCACAAAAAAGTTAACACATTTTCTTGCATCCAATTACAGCCGACATGCAGCAGTGGGGGTCAGGGAAAAACTTAGCATCTGCTCTTTTCTGCTCATCCATGCAACTGTTCTGACAGTTCTCTGTGCTGGAGATTTCTCCACCAAGATAATCCCAGGGTTCCTCCCTGTCCTAGAGAGGGTGTATAGGTGTCCACCCTGTCAACCTAAATTACAGAGAGAAGTTCTCTAAAAGGAAAAGATACATATTCAGGAATCAAGCCTTGCAATGAGAATATGGATGCCATTGTAAACGATGTGCGAATTCAGGGAGGTAAAGGCAGACAGAGGTTTTTAGAGGGAAAAATGAGAAAGATTAAAGAATTGTTTTGAAATAATTATCCTTGACTGCAAAGACCAATAACAAGGGTGACCTCAGTCCAAGGTTGGACAGGCAGTTTCTAGGCAGATGTCCTTGCAGAAGTATTTTTTGTGTAAGGCTGCGGTGACCTTTTTGCAAGGTTGTGGTTTTCACAGTCTTTTGTGATGGTTTTGTTATCAGGCATACAAGCCTGAGAACCCTCTCTTCACGGCCTTCCCCAGCTCTATTTGTCCAGGTTTTTTGTTGGTTTGTTTTTTAAACACCAGTGACTCCATTTTGATTCTGACAACTTTCACAACCCTAACTTGCATCTGGTTGGGAGGACTCGGGCTGGACACAGCAAGGTGAGAAGCCCATTCTGTTTCCAAATTGTGGGGTACAGGTGGAGAGTGGTACCTTGTATAGATTCTCCCTTTCTCTACGGGGAGAGAAACGCAGTGAAAACGGGACCTTGTCTGAACGGTGTCCTTTGGCTAGAAAGTCTATGGCAGGAATGGATTTTTTAGAAATACACTGTGAACAGGTGTGACTGGCTTAATTCAACCCAAACAAACCTTTGGTGAGCCTCTTTGGAGGTCAGGATTTGGCCAGGCTCTGGGGCACCCAGATGGCAATTCATGGTTCTTGCCTTGAGGAGCAACCGCTGTAGCTCAGGGGTTCCCAATATCAGCTATGCACATACAGTTGCACCATTTTTCAATAACGCAATGCCATCTGTAGAATTACCTGAGGTTTGTATTTCTATGGTTGAGTAATTTTGGACTGTGAATAGGAAAGCAATATCCACTGACGTAAGTAAGAGGCCATTGTAAAACCAAGCACAGTGCAGTTATTAAACTTCAGCACATTGCTGCCTTCACGGTGGTTTGTAAGTGCCTATTTCCGAGCGTGAGTAGGAGAGAGGCGTTCAAGGCAATGAGCCCCTGAGACTTTCTCCCTGACTGTTAAGGATGGAGGCTGGAAAAGGGAAAAACATTGCCAAGAGTGAGTCCCAGGCATTTAATGTTGGGGCCATGCTTATGACATTTAAGGAGTGCTATGTGGCAGTCAGTGGCTCTTGTGTCTGAGGCTTAAGGATACAGTCAATCCTCAAACCCCGGAACATCAGGGGTGGAGTCGCCACTGCTCATTGCCCTGAGGGTCCACACCAGGTAGAAATCAGGTGCTTTTTAGAGAATATCCCAGACTGTTGCATTTCAAGTGTGCCCCCACCAAACTAGATTAAAAGCAAAAAAAAAATTATTTGCCATTCAGAATTTTGTTGAATGAGAACATCTCCATCTATTATATTGAAGGCCACACACTGACTTCGTGATCAGGGCCTGATCAATCACTGCTCCCCAGGCACACACGCCTCTGAGCCTCTGAGCGTGTGTAGCAAGGGATGGGAGATGAGAACAGAGGAGCAACAAAGGCTGATCATGGAGGACCAGGAGGCCTTGCAAGAGGGCTTGGATTTAATTCTAAGAACGATGAAAGGCCATTGATGCATTCTAAGTAAGTGAAGGATATGCCCTTCATGTTCTTAAAGGCCCACCCCCTGGGTGAAGAGGGTGGCCCAGGGACAAGAGTGGAAGCAGGGAGATCAGGTGGTGTTTGCAGTGGGCCAGGTGGGAGAGGCTGATGGCGCGGAGCAGACGGGGCGCTGCAGAGGGAGAGAGGTGAGTGGATTGCGGTGCTGCTTGGAAGATCGGCAGGGCTTGCTGATGGATCTCAGGTGGGCAGGTGAGGGAAGAGGAATCGGGGATGACTCCTGGATGTTGGCTGAGCTGTTGGGCAGATGGTGGTGCCATTTACAGAGATGGGAAGGCAGGTGGAGGAAGAACAGATTGGGAGAGGTGGGGAAGGGTGGATATTAAGCTGCTTTGCAGACGTTGCCCCCTAGGCCAGTGGCTGGTTTACTGGCTCTATCTGGCCAACTCCCCAAACTTGGAAACACACCTTATAGGCCATGCCTTGTTGAACAGAAAACCTGCTGCCAAGGACAAAGCGTTATTGGATCACAAGTAAAATCGTCAGGAAAGGACAGTTTCTGGGTGGAGCTTCTCAGAGAGGAGATGAGCAATGGCTTCAGAGTCCCATTGATTATACCTGTGTCCTTTGTGTCCTGCCCTTTCCCTGGGGCCTGCTGCCATCTCCCTTCCAGTGACAATGACCATATCAGAATTTTCTCCCAGAAGCTTCTACAACTACAGCCAGCAGAAGGTGGAGGAGAAAAAATTCACAGTACGATTTTTCAGTCCAATGTTCATTAATGAAATTCAATTCCCCCTCTTCGACATCTGCTTAATTGATTTTGAGTTTAGGAACCAATTTTGAGCCTTGGCTTTTTGGAGCTAAAACTAGCAATGACATTTGACTTGATTTGGTAATAACTGAGAGTCAGGAATGGTTTGCCTTGGCACTGTTGGGAGGAAGCCTCATCTGATAAGTGGGTCCTGGGAATCCAGTGTCCTCATTCTGGATTGAGTTACAGGAACACCAAGAGTTGCCACCACATCAGTGAGCACGTTACTGTGTGGAAAACAATGGATTTGCTCTGCCCAGATGTGGTTTCTGATTGCTGTTGTTTGTCCCCCAGCCCTTTCTCAAAACCCCTGCTGGGGACAGTGCTATTCTGGGGTGGGTGGTCAGGCCTGATGGGGCCCAGTCTGCTGCGGCTGGTAAGCAGGTGTGGCCATGGGCACCGTGGACAGCTCAGAAGCCGATCCCATGGACTGTGGATGTTCTAGGGACACCTGAGGCTGGGCAAGCGCTGCTGAGTGAATTCTAGCTTGGCAGGAGGACAACAGGGCAGGAGGATGGTGCAGGACACAGGTGCTTTCCTGCTTCCCCACAGGTGCTCACTGCCCCTCACCCCTGCCTTTCCACTTCATAGTCTATCCCCAGCCTCTACCTGAGACCACCTCTCACCACGCCAGACCTGCAGCCCCTCTTCTCCTATGAACACCTGCAGGCTTGTTTTGGAACTTCTCTCTGTGCCACACTCGAAAGTTCTATTTGCAGGTTTATTTATCTCATCTCTTGAGCTGGAGCCAGAGGTTGCAAACTCAGCATCTACAGGGGCTGGGAGTGGGGTTAATGTCAATTAGAGAATTGGGTGTGGAGGGGATTATGGTGGACAGGTGAGGATGTGCTCAGTCTAGAAAGCAGCCCTCACTACACACTCCCCATGTGGAAAGGGAAACAGTATGAGCAGGTCTTCCAACTCTTTGAGCATAGCCAAAAGTAAAATCTCCCAATTAGAAAGGAAGTTGGGGCCAGGCATGGTGGCTCATGCCAACATTTTTGCAGGCTGAAGCTTGTGGATCACCTGAAGGCAGGAGTTCGAGACCAGCCTGGCCAACATGGCGAAACCCCATCTCTACTAAAAATACAAAAATTAGCCTGGTGTGGTGGCACGTGCCTTTAATTCCAGCTACTCAGGAGGCTGAGGTACGAGAATCGCCTGAACAGGGGAGGCAGAGATTGCAGTGAGCTGAGATTACGCCACTGCAATCCAGCCTGGGCATCTGAGTGAGACTCTGTCTCAAAAATATATAAATAAAATAAAAAAGAAGTTGGTAGCTAATTAAAGAAAAAAATTTGTTAACATCTTGGGGGAAGGACCCAAAACAAACTCATCTGTAGAAAGGATCCCGATGGCAGACTGTTATATTGTTGCACTATATGTGTGAACTACAAGATGTAAACTTCTAGAAGGCTAACATATATTAAGTGCTTGCTATGCACAGCGTTGCACTATGCATAGGCTTTATGTGTATTTTCTGAATTGGTATCGAAGCAGTTAAGAATATGCTGCCTTGAAATATGCTGCTCTGGCATGTTGGCTATTTTGAATTACAGGTGCTTCCAACACAGCAGGCACAAGAAGATCATCCTGACCTTCATTCTGTTTTGTAAAAGTAGGAGGTGAAATTCCTATGTGAGCGATGCCCTCCCTATATCCCTAGAAGGAAAGTAACATTCTTTTTTTTTTTTTTTTTTTTTTTTGAGACGGAGTCTCACTCTGTCACCCAGGCTGGAGTGCAGTGGTGCGATCTCGGCTCACTGCAAGCTCTGCCTCCCGGGTTCGCGCCATTCCCCTGCCTCAGCCTCCCGAGTAGCTGGGACTACAGGCGCCCGCCACCACACCCCACTAATTTTTTGTATTTTTAGTAGAGATGGGGTTTCACCCTGTTAGCCAGGATGGTCTCCATCTCCTGACCTTGTGATCCACCCACCTCAGCCTCCCAAAGTGCTGGGATTACAGGCGTGAGCCACCACGCCCAGCTGGAAAGTCACATTCTTATCAACAAGGGCTGCAAGTTGAGATTAGAGAATTCCCTACAGACCTTGTTATAATAATTTTTTTTTAGCCTCCCACATAATTTAGTTGCTCTTCTACCAATTACTGCTCTTTGTCCAATACGAAATATAAGTATTTAACTAATTGTATCTTTGGGTCTTCTGTACCATGTAAAACTTGAATTAAATAGAGTAAATGTGTGTGTGTTTCTTCTGTTGATCAGTCTTATGTCAATTTCATTCTCAGGCCCAGCTAAAAACCGGGTGGAGGTAAAATTCTGCCTCTTTCACAATATTTAGAACAACCTCAGAAGGGGTGATGTTGTTATTCTCCCCATATTACAGATGAGGCAACTGAGGCACAGGGTGGTTGAGTCCTTTGCACAGGTCCCAAAGAGAGTAGCAAGTCAGGATTCAAGCCCGGGACTTCTAATTTGAGCGCCCATGCCCTGACCTCTCCACTGACCTAGGTTTGGTGACTTAGAATATTCTGGAATTATCCTAGAAATGTATAGTTAAATGTTAGACCTAAAGTAACCTATGACATATACATTTGTAGATGAGAAGTACGTGGCTTATTGAAGACTGTGGAAATGGCTAGTGGTTGGGGGCTGGGGTGTGTGTGTCCTGCCTTATTTTTCAGACTCTTAATCCAGTGCTCTGGCACGCTGCAAGTACAAAGATGAGGGTGGGGCTGGTGGTTCAGTTGCGAGCCTGTTTCTCTCTCTATATGAGAGACCGAGATAGAGATGAAGATGGAGCAATAGCAAACAAGCAAGAAAGAGACAGACAGAGTAAGCAAACAGTTCAACCCTTAAGAGGAAACTAAAGAACACGGGTAAGAAAGGAAATGCTTGGAAAGAAGCAGGCCTCGAGCTGTGCTTTCTTCTTTCTCTGCCTGCCCCATGCCAGGTTGCCCCTGAGATCCTGCTCCTTAATCCAAGAGAGAGGAGAAAACACGGTGTAGGAATCCTAGGCCCAAGGAACCCCCCGCAAAGTTGGAGCACATCAAGGAAAAATGTGGCAGATGAATTCTGGGCCAAAGCTGAGAGTGTCTCCTGGGTTTCTGGGCCACCAGTAGAAAACTAGCTTGTGCTGACTTCATCCCCATTAGCATCCTGGCTGGTTGACCTAACAGTGGCAGACTCACAGGCCTGGAGAGGCTTGGCTCAGAGTCACTCAGGCAGCCCAAGCAGAAAACTCCTGGTCTTCCAGAATTCTAAAAAATCTAGAACCACGTGGTCCTCTTAGTTTCCCATTTTTTTATAAAGACATGAGTACAATAAATACTCCGACTCCCTCTGAACTTTACAAGAAGGAATGCAGCAAGCTGAGTGTAATAACAAAGGTGACTTTGACTCAGTCTCGGGGCTGAGAAGGCAGTGGGGAGAGGTGGGGGCTATGGCGAAGCGGGGAGCCCAGGCCCCATTTGAAGAGCATTGCTACTTCTCAGTGGCTGTGGCTACTCATTTGTCTAAGAGAAAGCAGAAATCCAGATGTTTGGGTGACATCTAATTTTTAAAGCACCATAGAGACCCAGCAAAACACTTCTTTGGATCTGTGAGTCACCTGTGACCTTGTTTTATATTCAGAGTCACTTGTGGTTGCTGCAGAGAGAGGCGAGTCCTTGCCCAGAGCCTCCACGTGAGCATCTCAGGCTCTGCCATATGGAATGTGCTGCTCCTCGGGGGTGAGGCATGGAGGAGGGAGGAAGTCCTTGCTCATCTTGGTTCTTACCCAGATTTACTTGTTTCTAGGCTGTTTTCTTTCCCCTCTCTGACTCGTCCCCCAATATTCTTCATTACATGAGTAATACAGTTGTTCTTTAAAGATTTAAATAACACAAAGCGCTTCATTCCCCACCCACCGCTAACACAGGCCAGTATCATGCTCAGGTTCTTCTGCATCCTCTGAGAACATTTTCCCCTCATTTACTCAATGACGCATAGATATTAGACATATATATGCATATTGAGAAAAAGCATAGGGTAAACTGAGTCATTACGCAGCAACAGGGTGCTCTTTAGAAGGTGGCACCAGAGAGGGCCTCTTGGAGGAGGTGACATCTGCAGAGCCTGGAGTGAGAGGATGAGCCAGGCAGATATCTGGGGAAGAGCAGCCTTGGCAGAGGGACCCGCAAGTGCAAAGACCCTGAGGCAGGAGGGTTCTCAAGGGGCTGGGGGAGCAGCACAGAGGCCCATGTGGCTGCAGCAGGGGAGTGAGGTGGGGAGTGGCAGGGGTGGAGGTTGAAGAGAGGATGAGGGGTCAGGCCATGGAGGGCCTTGCAGGCCATGGGGAAGACTTTGGCTTTTATTTTGCATGAGAGGGTGGGTCCCTAGAGGACTCTGAGTGATGGAATGTGATGAGCTGACTTGGGCTGAAAGGCCCACCCTGGCTCTGAATGGAGAACACAGGGTGGTGGCCGAGGGTGAAGCTGGAAGACCAGTTAGGAGACTACAATAGTCCAGGCAAGAGATGGCAATGGTTAGACACAGACTGAAGTCAAGACCCTGCATTTACTGACCCCAGCTTCATTCTTCTCACTGTGCCACCCTTCTTCTATTTCCCAAAGAGTTCCTGAAATCACGTAATCTAATTATTCACCTATAACTAAACCACACACACACACACACACACACACACACACACACACACACACCAGGACATCATCTCCTTCATTATCCACCCCACACGGTGCTCCTGTACTTCTCAGGAGAAGGGAAGCAGGTATTCGGTCAGATGCAGTGTGCGTCTGCTGCTGGCTGATGGATGTAGTCTCTTGCACAGAAGCCTCTGGACTGGAAAACTAAGCTTAACTTTGAATCTTCAAAGTATTAGACACCGTCTAAGTCCCAGGAAACATTGTTTGCTCTGAACTTTGGAATATGGAATTAATTCAGCATTTCCCTGGTGTGTTATGTGTCACACCAATAGTACATGGTACACCAGAGTGCATTATCTATTTCACTATTTCATCTTTAAAGTTTTAAAGAAACACCATATATAACTAATGCATGAAATCTACAATTTCACAGACAATATTGTTTGGTTTGAGGCTAAAATTTTTAAAGTGATCCATTTAAAAATAACATTAGTGAAATAATTGTACAGGTGGTGCAGTGAGATGACCCAAAACAACATTCATGAGGAGTGTGTGCATGGAGGGTGCTTAGGAAATGCTGAGTTTCTGGCAGGTGGTGGGGTGCGGTTTGGGCATTGAAATTTAAGTTCGTTGGGGTGTTCCCCCACTCTCAGCCCATCCCCCCAGCCCATCAGAGTCACAGAGAGAGGTGTTAGGGTGACCTCATCCTTGGCCCAGCTAGGTGGGAAGGTTTGGTCATGGAAAGAAATTGTGTCTGTTTTTTTCCACTTGTCCCCAGGCTAATGTCGGAGAAAACACGTTTTGGTTGGCTGGCTCGGCTGCATTTGAAATATTAAAAAACTGGCTTCTTTCGCCTTTCACAGTGACATCTTCCAGGTTCTCACCTCCCATCAGAGCTCTCTGTCTACATTAGGGCTGGGGCTGTGGGAGGAGATGAGATCATATATTTTTTTGTGTTAAAGATGTTGATGTATAAAGCTTGGTAGTCACAGTGTTTTTAATAAATCAGGTTAATGTTCCAGGGGGAAGCTTACCACTTGCTATTTATGCACAAATGCCTCTATCACTTAAGAAGCTTGTTAAAATGGTAGTTTAAGAGTAAATTAACAAAGCGCTTCACAGCTGGTGTGTTTGGGCAGGGTGAGCACACCTAACAAGGACATACACACAGAGGGGAGCCGACGGCAAGAACACCCAACAGCTAATTGCCTCCAAAATTAGTAGGATGGAAAAGCAAATGCTTCAAGACCCTGGTTCTGAGCAGATTAAAAATAAGAAACAGTTCTGCAGGCTGTTTGCTTTTTGCCAATGCAGCATTTGGGGCTGCTGACTGCAGGTGAATTATTCACCAGGTGGCAGCTTCCCCTGCATTTCTGAAGAGAGGTCTGACAGGTTGAGTGGAGAGCCAGCTTTCATCCTTTTTACTACTGAGACAATTTTTGAAGAAGGAGTGAGGCTGGGTTCTCATTTCCTCTCCTTTGTCTTTCTTCCTCATTGTAAACAGTGTCCTTGCTATGTCCCGGATTCATGCCTGCAACAAGTATTTCTGAGCATTCACCGTAGGCTAGTATCTTAGTCCGCCTGTGCAGCTAGGACAGCATACCACAGACTGGGTAATTTATAAACAATAGAAATGTATTTCTCACAGTTCTGGAGGCTGAGAAGTCCAAGGTCAAGGCACTGCAGCGCTGGTGTCTGCTCAAGGCATCTCTCTGCTTCCAAGATGGTGCCTTGTTGCCGTCTGGCTGGCCCAGAGAGTAGGAACACTGTGTCCTCAATGAAAGACACGAGAATGCCCCCTTCAATTGCGAGCCCTTTTATAAGGGTGCTTATTCCATTCATGAGCGGGGAGCCCTCATGACTTAATCTCCTCCCAAAAGCCACACTGCTTATATTGTTGCAATGGGGACTAAGTCTCAATGTGAATTTTGGAGGGGATGCCACCGTTCAAACCATAGCAGCAGCCAGGGCAAAATGGTGAGACCCTGTCTCTACAAAGCATTTAAAAACTAGTCAGATGTGGTGACTCATACCTGTAGTCCAAGCTACTCGGGAGGCTGAGTGGGGAGGATTACTTGAGCTCTAGGGGTTGAGGTTGCAGTGAGCCATGATTGCACTACTGCACTCCAGCCTGGGTGACAGATTGAGACCCTGTCTCAAAAAAAAAAAAAAAAAAAAAAAAAAAAAAAAAAAAAAAAGGCAGCTAGACATAGCTCTAGGTATTGGGGAGATCGTGGATGAACAAATCGAGGCACTTTTTTGTTTTTGTTTTTGAGGCAAGGCCTCACTCTGTTGCCCAGCTTACCACAAGCTCTTGGGCTCAAGCGATCCTCCCACCTCAGCCTCTGAAGTAGCTGAGACTACAGGCACATGCCACCATGTGTAGGTAATCTTTTAACAAGATTTTTGTAGAGATAAGCCCTTAATATATTGCCTAGGCTGGTCCTGATTTCCTGGCCTCAAGCAATCCTCCTGCCTCAGCCCCGAAAGTGTTGGGATTATAGGCATGAGCCACCATGTCCAGCCGAGGTTCACTTTTATAAATGATACTTAGTACGTAGTTATGAAAAGGAATGCACTATTGACATACAATTGTATGGATTAATTTTACAACAGTATGTTGGGCAAAAGAAGCTAGACACAAGAGTGCATGCTATACATTCTTTTGATACAACATCTAGAACTAGCGATGTTAATTTACGGTAAAGGCAATCAGAAAACAGGCAGCTGCTGGGGATTGGTGTGTGGGGTTGACAAGATGGGATGCAAGGGAGGTTTTGAAATGAGGGCAATGTCCTATATTGTGATAAGAGTTTGCATGATAGGGGTTTGTGCATTTGTCAAAACAGATCTAAATGCATATTCAAAAGCTATACATTTTGCCATCTCTAGATTACAAGTCAAGTAAAGCATTTCTTAGGCAAATAAAATCATCCAATTCTGAGGTCCTTTGGGTAAAATGGTATATTCGTCTCAGGGTGTAAATGTGAGCAGTGGCAATAAACAGCTGCACCTTTTGAGAGTTGGAGGCTCGGAGGCCTGGAGAGGGAAGAACCTTGTTAACAGTGGGGGGAAAGCACCCTTGACCTGAGCTTCCCAAGGACACAGATATGACTGGCTTGTCTCTGTCCCCCAGGGTGCCTTGCCTGGCCTATGTAAATGTTGTTGAGTGGATGGATGGGGCCTGGGGGGCTCGAGGGTAGCTTGAGCGAATTCACAGGAGACCTGAGGGCAGGCTTTAGGCAGTGGAAGGATTTCCCTGCAGTTAGAGGCATGAATGCCAAGGTTCTTCACTCAGAGTCCGCTATTCTGCTCACAACAACCATTACAGTCTGCTCAATCATGAAAATGAGAGATATCATTATAGAGGGTGCACAGGTGCAGACATTAGCCTGTGGTACTTACACATGAGACAAGAGAGTTCATGCAAAGTATGTAGCAAGGGGCTGGCCCCTAGGAGGCCCTCAATCAATAACCACCAAGTTCTTGGCTATGGAAGTGGAGTTTGGGATTTGATACAGTTTTGTTCTGGGTCCCTACCCAAATCTCATGTCAACTTGTAAATCCCAGTGTTGGAGGAGAACCTGGTGGGAGGTGATTGAATAATGGGGTGATTTCTAATGGTTTAACACCCGCCTAGTGCTGTCTGGTGATAGAGTTCTCATGAGATCTGGTTTCTTGAAAGTGTGTAGCACTTCCCCCTTCCATCTCTCTCTTTTCCTCATGCTCCAGCAATGCAGGACGTGCTCCCTTCCTCCTCACTTCTCACCATGACTATAAGTTTCCTGAGGTCTCCCATCCATGCTTCATGTACAGCCTATGGAAATGTGAGTTGATTAAACCTCTTTTCTTTACAAATTATCCAGTCTCAGGTATGTCTTTATAGCAGCGTAAGAATGGACTAATACTGGATTCAAACCCAGTTCTGACTTCAAAGCCCACATGCTCAACTACCACTGACCCCCACTGACTCCCGAATGTTTATTCAGAGGCTGCTTCTCACCTAGCACCAATCACTCCCCAACGCCTAGAACTGTCCAGAAGATGCAGGAGAGAGGATGCAGCAGCCAGGACTACCTGGCAAACTCTAGCAAGCAGCAACTTGTTCTGGTGTCCAGGGACACCATTAACTGGCTCACTGGGATCCAGCAAAGCTTCCCTTTGAACAGAAGCCTTTGATCATCCAGTAAGAGCAGTCTCAGTCTGTGCCCTAGGACTTGGCTTTCTTCCTTTCTGACTTACCTTGTCTAGACTATACCCTCCAAGCCCCAAATATCCTTTACATGTGATAAAAACACAAACAGGAGGCTAACATATTTTCAGATAATCATAAGTGATACAATGAAATGTGTATCAGGCTGACGGGGACAGAAAGGAAGTGGGAGGAAGTGGTTTATCTTAGAGTAAATGCTCAGGGAAGGCTTCTCTGAGGAGATGACATTTGAAAAGAGACCTGTATGAATTGAGGGTGTTATTGATAGTGTGTATTAGTCTGTTCTCTCATGGCTAATACATACCTGAGACTGGGTCATTTATAAAGGAAAGAGGTTTAATGGACTCACAGTTCCACGTGGCTGGGAGACCCCACAATCACTGCAAGAAGGCAAAAGAAGAGCAAAGTCACGTCTTAGACAGCAGCAGGCAAGAAAGCGTGTGCAGGGGACCTCCCCTTTATAAAACGATCAGATCTCGTGAGACTTATTCACCATCATAAGAATAGCATGGGAAAGACCCACCCCCATGATTCAGTTACCTTCTGCCAGGTCCCTCCCACGACACATGGGAATTATGGGAGCCATAATTCAAGATGAGATTTGGGTGGGGACACAATCAAACCATTTCACAGTGGTAGCTGGGAGAAGACTGCTCCAGGCGGAGGGAATGGCAAGAGGCAAAGTCTGTTTGCTGGATTGAGCTTGGTGTGTTTGAAAATGAGAAAGGGGCCATGTGGCTGGACTGAGCTGGGGAGGGCTAGATCCTGCAGAACCTTGTAGACCAGGGTGAGGACCCTGAACTTGACCTTGAAGTCCATGAGGTGTCATTAAAGAGCTTTTAGTGAGGAGGTGACATGGGCTGATGTCCAAATTAGAAATCTGCCCCCTCTCTTTATCTGGGAGAGGGAGAGGTAGAGGGGGATGGGGGTGGTTTTGACCAGATGTGGGCATGGAGCTCCCAATACCAGCTACAGTTAGCTCTCTTAACTGAGCCCCGCTGTGGGTGAGGCATTCTTCCAAGTCACCATCACAAATTACACCGTTTGATCCTCAATCAACCCCCTGAAGCAGGTCCTATTATTATCTTCATTTTACATAAGAGAGAAGGGAGTAATTTGCCCAAGGTCTCTTAGTGAGTAAGTGTCACTGGGAAGATTAACCAAAATCACCCTGCTGTCTTCTCCTCCAAGGAACCACAGCCGGCTGACATCCAAGTACTGAGTAATTCAACATTCAGGACCTTGGCGTGACTTTCCCTGTAATTCAACATGCAGGACCACTGTGTGACTTTCCTGATAATTCAACATGCAGGACCTTGGCGTGACTTTCCCTGTAATTCAACATGCAGGACCCTGGAGTGACTTTCCCTATAATTCAACATGCAGGACCCCTGTGTGACTTTCCCTGTAATTCAACATGCAGAACCCTGGTGTGACTTTCCCTGTAATTCAACATGCAGGACACTGGTGTGACTTTCCCTGTAATTCAACATGCAGGACCCTGGGGTGGCTTTCCCAGTCCCAAGTGCCACAAAAGAGCTGGAGCTGGTTGCTTAGCAACCTACTTGCTCTTGGTGAATCATGGGGGCAGAAGGCAGTGCAAAGTCATTGGTGGCCCCAGTCATCACATGATCAAGATATGACCAATCAGGTCATCCTCTTCCCTTGACTACAGTGATTGGCTCAGGGTTGCACAGGGGACTCGAACTGGTGCAGATGGAGTCAACCCCAGGACATTGGCGTGAGTGTTGGGAAAGATGTGTCCTCCTTCTGCTTGGGTGACCGCAATGGGAGGCCTTCCCTGCCACCTCCAGGAAAACATCAGGCCGGAGTGAAGCTCACAGAGAGGCAAGGTGAGCCCAGAGTTGGGGTGGGAGAGTCCTGCCAAAACTCTCAGAGTACCAGGATGGAGTGGAGCTTTATGTGAGGTAATATGAGTTCTCTTTTTCTGTTAAGCCATTTCAGTGAGTTTTCTGTCATTTCTACCCAAGTGTCATGGCAGGTAGTGCTCTTACCTGGGGTGGCTTCCCAAGCAGGCTCCCTGAGTGATGCCACTCTGCCCATCCAAGCTCTAGGCTTGCTTCACTCTCACAGAGCCAGCGGATCTAGGGAAAGAGTGCCTCTCTTTCCCCCTCATTCCAGTGGAGGCACCCAGCATGTTTGCATTGGACCAACCTGGGCACATGCCTGTGTCTGAGCAGTCATCATGCCTGGAGGTGGCCAGGTCTGGACACCTGTCAACCCCAGGTGTGTGTGGGCAGCCCTACAGAAGCACGTGGGGAGAGTGTTAGCCAAGAAGACTGGGCTATGGGGAAGCAAGAGGTGACCTGGGAGGTGCAGCCCACAGGCAACCTGGGAGAGCCCTGGAAAAAGAGAACCTCCTAAAGGAAGACCTGGGGAGGGTGCAAGGGTGGTCAGGACTCAGTAGATGAGGCAAGAAGTGAGCCCTTCCTCTCTAAGTGCCAGTGGCCACACACAAAGTCCTGTTCCTCTTTGACCACCCCGCTACACTGGGGAGAAAGGCCTCTCCACCTAGCTGGGAAGAGGTAAGATGGACCCCAGGAAGAGCCCTGTTGTGGGAAATAGGAGGCCTGGCCTCTTGTCCCCAGCCATGAGCTGCTTTGGATGCATCACCACTCTACCTCTCTGTGCCTGAGTTTCCTCATCTGCAAAATGGGAGCAGTCAGCCCCTCTGTGGACCTCGGCCTCCCGTTCTATCCAATGAGAGGGCAGAATCTGGCTACTCCCTAAAGTCTTTGGGACATCCAGACAAGCCTGGCAGGGGGACCATTCTGAAATCCACAACAGCAATTCTGAGTGAGTGGAAGCCTCAGGAAGTCTCTCGCCTCCATGTTGGAAAAAAGTAATTAGCTGTGCAAACAGCCTGATGATGGGGCTGTGTTTGGGTGTCTGCCACCCCGAGCAGGAAGGGAGATTCTCAGCTGGAAACTGCTAATGTGATGACATGGTGGTTTATTAGCGTATCTCACTAACAAGCTGTGCAGTTTGCAGACACACAGTGGAAGAGTAAAGATGAGAAGGAGGCGGGCCAGGGGAGGGAAGCACTGCCGCTCAGCTCTAGGGAAGCTTCAGTAGAGTGAGGGTTATACAGTAAGCCTCTCCTCTCCTACCCCACAGTGGCCTGGGACACAGTGAGTTTGGGAGGTGCTGGTGCTCGCCTGCCTCCCCAAAAGGCCAGGCATTCTCTCTCTGTTTCTCCAGAATTAAACCTCCAACTGGGAAGATTTATGGGCACAGCAAACAGCATGTCCCCAACTGAGCTCCGATATTCCCCACTCTGAACCTGCTCCCCTGCAAGCATCCCCATCTGAGTTGACGGCAAGTGTCCAAGATGTTGGACAAAAAGGGTCTTAACCAAGACTGTAAGGATAAGTTGAGAGCTAAGATGGTGATAAGTGGAAAACATTATCTGCAAGATCTGATTAAAACAATCTGGCAAAGCAGGGACTCAGAGAACCAGAACAAGGTGGGTGGGGAGGCCTGAAGTACAGTGTGGAGGAGGGGCTGGGGATATGGTTTGGCTCTGTGTCCCCACCCAAATCTCACATGTCATGGGAGGGACCCAGTGGGAGGTAACTGAATCATGGGGATGTGTCTTTTCCATGCTGTTTTAGTGACAGTGAATACGTCTCACGAGATCTGATGGTTTTGTAAAGGGGAGTTCCCCTGCACATGCCCTCTTGCCTGCTGCCATGTAAGATGTGACTTTGTTCCTCATTTGCCTTCCGCCATGATTGTCAGGCCTCCCCAGCCATGTGAAACTGTGAGTCCATTAAACCTCTTTCCTTTATAAATTACCCAGTCTCGGGTGTGTCTTTATTAGCAGCGTGAGAACACACCGATACAGCTGGGATCTCAGACATGGTGGGGTGGGGATGGGGAGCATCACTCTAGACCAGGCAGCCCATTTTCCAGAAAGGTCTGGGAAGAAGAGACCTGACCTGGCCTTGGGGTGCAGAAGTGGTGGCCACTGGTGGACACAGAGCTGCTCACTGCAAATCCTGTCATTTGATTCATCTTCCTGAAAAGACTACGACCTTGTGCAGGTAACAGATCATAGTAGACACTGTGGTGTCCCTGTGGGCCCATCAGGTGAGGGATGGGGATTTAAGCTGCTTAAAGGACTGGTCCTCATCCCCAAGACAACATTCCCTGCTTCTCTAGAAAAACGAGGGTGAAGGGTGCAAATTCAGGCCCCCCTGGAAGTCTTATGTGCCACCAATATGGCTGGGCTGGAGGCCCCTGCAGGAGGCCACGCTGTGAGCTTTTTCTGTGTTTTTCTTCCTGTCTCTCCCAGGATGTTGCGTTAAAGTCATTCCTCACCTCCTGCATTTCCACCTCTGCCTCTGTGGGTCGCGAGCCACTTCACTTCCATTCTCCTGTCTGCAAAATAGGTTGAAGTCTGCCAAGCAGGCTGGGAAAAGCATCATGGTGTCTCAGGATGGGGCCCCCAGTCCCCAGTGCTCCAGAAGAAGTCAATGTTATTATTCTGGGGCAGTCATATCCTGATCATTAATTTATGATAATGTTAGAAACAACAACAATTATAATAATGACTGGTTTTTATGGAGTTGTTCTTACTACTCTAGCAGGAATAATCAATTTATTATGTCATTAAACACCCTAATAGCTATTTGAGGCAGATTCTATTTACCAGCATTTTTTATCTTAAAAATGAAGTAACAGACACAGAGAAGTGGAATAACTTTCCCCATGTCCTCCAGTTAGAAACTAATCCAGGAGTCTGTCTTCTACACTGACTCCTTCTGCGCCAGGCTGTGCTTCCACCGATGTGTCCTCAGTGCCAGGTGGGCATGGCCCATGGCTAGACTTGAAGGATACAGCCATGGTCCCTGACCTCAGGGAGGATGCAGTTTTTAACATCCAGGCTTTAACACTCCACAGACCACCCGATTAGCACATAGCACCCATATTGAGATGATCCGTTGACAGGCTTGTCTGCCTGGACCGGGCACCCCTCAAGGGAGAGGACCCTGCTTCATCACCCCCGTATAGCCCACTGTCTGGCAAGAATATTAATGTTTCATCTTTCCTGGGACTTTATTCTGGAGTTATATTTTGCTATGCTTGGTTCTGTTTGATTGTTCCAACATCAGGACCGTATGGATTTGCTTACAGTGGCTCTGAAATCACTTAAGACCAGTGGTCCCGCCCCTAGTTGATTCCATCTTGTTTTTTTTTTGGCTGTTCTTTTTTTTTTTTTGAGATGGAGTTTCTGCTTTTGTTGCCCGTGCTGGAGTGCTTGGCAACTCGGCCCACTGTAACCTCTGCCTCCTGGGTTCAAGCGATTCTCCCGCCTCAGCCTCCTGAGTAGCTGGGATTACAGGCGTATGCCACCACACCTCACTAATTTTTGTATTTTTAGTAGAGACGGGGTTTCGACATGTTGGCCAAGCTGGTCTCGAACTCCTGACCTCAGGTGATCTGCCCACCTCCACCTCCCAAAGTGCTGGGATTACAGGCGTGAGCCACCGCACCTGGTCTCCTTGGCTGTTCTTAAACATGGGCTCTTGCGTAAGAATTTGAAGATAATTTTAACCTGGAGTCGGTCTGTGTAAATTTAAACCCTGCCTCTACCTCTCACAACGTGGGCCAGTCACTCACCCCCTTGTGTCTCAGTTTCCTCATCTGTAAGTGGTGGGTGGGAACAATGACAGGTGAATGGAGCTTCAAAGAAGTTGAGTGATGTCAGGTATGCTAAGGCAGTTGCAACAGTGCCCAGAGTGTGGTAATCGCTCAATCAATGGTAGCTTTTCTTTTCTTTTCTTTTCTTTTTTGAGATGGAATCTCACTCTGTCACCCAGGCTGGAGTGCAGTGGCACGATTTCAGCTCACTGCAACTTCTGCCTCCAGGGTTCAAGCGATGCTCCTGACTCAGCCTCCTAAGTAGCTGGGACTACAGGCACATGCCACCATGCCAGGCTAATTTTTGTATTTTTAGTAGAGACAGGGTTTCACCATGTTGGCCAGGCTGGTCTTGAACTCCTGACCTCCAGTGATCCACCCACCTTGGCCTCCCAAAGTGCTGGGATTACAGGCATGAGCCACTGTGCCCGGCCTCAATAAATGGTAGCTATTTAATTATCATTATTATTGAAATGTATGTGAAATAGGGAGTCTTCAGTCCTGCTTGCTCAAATCTCTTTGGAGCTGTTGAGCTTCATGCCTTGTGGCTATCTATTCTTGGGGTGAGAAGGTGCTTAAGCAGGAGATGGAGGCAGGAAACAGGGCAGGAGACTGTAGACCCTTGTTCTTTCTTGTGCAGTTGGCCATGAGGAGTTGACCCAGACAGTGAACAGTGAAGGAGAATTAATTCTCTTTCCCCAAGAGCCTGGCATCAGGCAGGCCTTGGTGAATATCTAGTTGGTGGCATTTCACCAGCCTTGGAGATTGTGCAGGTCTGGAAAAGTAAATGCCGCAGGGAATGGTATGCGACAGGAAAATAAAGCATGTCAACATTAGAAGCCTCATTCAATCCCTGTGCACACACTGTGGTTGGTCATACAATATCTGTACCCTACTCACATACAGACATTTCGAACACAACCCAGGACCCCACCAGCCCATTATACCCTCCACACGCACACATTTGCACACCAGTACACACATACTCTCAGCTAAAATATCTGAGCCCCCAGGGCCTGCCGTTGACCCCAGCACCACCACCTTCCTGCCCTGGGGAAGCCCTGCTCAGGCGTAATTTGGTCTCATTCCAGCTCTCAGACCTGGATTTGAGGCCGACTGCTGCTCTCACTTCTGGCCCTGCAGGTGTGGTGATGTCCCCAGCATAATGCCCAGGCCTGGGGATGGCCCTGGCTTCTCACCCCACCACCCACACTGCCTCAGCCACCTATCTCTTGCCGATGTCCAGACAGCCTGCAGGGACAGGGGAGGCCCTGCCATGCTTTCTTGAAATAGAAAGTAGTGCAGCTGGGTTTGAGTCCTGGGTGGGTGAGTGAGAGCCTCTCAGAGCCTCAATTTCCTCCCCGCATCATGGGGGCATTGATGGGACAGCACCGTCTCCCAGTCACTCCAATCATCAACCCGTTAAGTTTCACTTGACACCTTCTGGAGACCCAGCCCAGTGGCTGCCAGGTGGGTTCTGGGCACTTGCACCCTGGGTGACCATGGACAAGGGGGTGCCCCTCCCTGGGGCACAGTCTCCCCATCTTTACAACTCGAGACCTGATCAGGTAAGGGCCCTTCCAGCACAAATGTTCCATGAGTCTCTGAGTCCACAAAGAGCATCCGAGAAAGTTCCTCAGAGTGATGGTGTTGGGACTGGATGAGGGGAGCCTGTCCTTCATGAGCTCAGCCAGGAGTAGCCACCTTCCTCTGACTGGGGCTTCTGATAAGGCCCAGATCTGAAAGACACTGTGATTGGGCCAAGAGGGAGGGGATGAAGGAGTTGGCCATGTCTGAGAACAGGAGGGGTGTGTGTGCAGGTGGGGACATATACGTACGGGCACAGATCTGTGGGTGGGTGGGTGGGGATGCTGATGCACGAGTACTATGCACAGGCACAGTACACTGTTTGGGGGCCTAACCTATTCGTACACATGTGAATGTTCATCTCCGTGTGTGGTGCCTGGGCCAGGTATCCACGCAGGTGCATGCATGTGGGTGCCCACGTGTGCATATGTGGAAGCGTGTGGACATGCACTGGGGCTGTGTGCTTGGGGCTCATATTTGTCTCATGCCTGTTGCTTGCCAGCCATTCTTCTAAGCACTTTCCGTGCATTAACTCACGCAACCCCCATGACGGCTTTATCTGAGATTATTTCTTAGGTTGGAGGAAACTGAGGCTCACAAGGGTTAAACCACGTGACCCAAATCACAGGTTCAGAAGTGGTGAAGCTGGGGGTTGGACCCAGGCTGTCTGGTCTCGGAATGAGTGATGTGGCCTGTGTCTGTGGGGTCTGTGTAGAGAGTGGGGCATTTGCATTCAGCTGTTTCAGGGGGTGTGCGCCTGTGGGTGAGATGGCGGGAAAGGCTCTGCGTGTGTACGTATGTGGTGGAGTGTACGTGTGTGCAGGTACAGGCATGTGTTGTAGACAGGCTTTGCACACACATGTGGGTTTGTGCTCACATGTGTATGTCTACCAGTGTCCCTGTGGCTGTGTGCTTGGGCATGCACACAGGCACATTGGTGGGGATGTGTGAATTTGCACCCCAGCATGATAGAGGGGAACCTCGGGGCCCTGGCAGAGAACAGAGGGAAGCTGAGCCCTCCTGGCAGGGTCCCTCCCACTCTCCCCCACTTCCTCCTCCCCCAGCACCACCCCCCATGCCACTGCAGTCCTCTCAGTCTAGTCGGGGAGGAGGAGGGCAGCCTGCTCAGTGAGTTGCATTCCACGCTGCACATTTGTGTTTTCCAAACTGGGGGATGGAGCACTAATGGGTGTCAGCCGCCCTTGGAGAATGAGGGGTGTGGAGAGAAGGGCCTCCTGGGCTGCTCCTTATTACACAGATTGCTTTTGGGGAATACATATGAGGCTGATCTTATTGAGACAAGGGGTATGGCCCCGAGACAGGCCTCACCCATGACTCAGTGCCTCCTGGGAACTTCTCAGGGTGTTACAGATGGAAGATTGGATATGCCCTGCCCTGGAGCTGGGCGTGAAGCCCTGGGCTGAAAGCTTTTCCTGGCCAGTTTGAGCTCCATGACCCTGGTGAAGTATCTCCCACCTCTCAGATTCAGTTTCCTGCTCTGGGAGAAGGAGCCACGGCAGCATCCATGATTTCTGTCTGGATGTGTCCTTCCCGCCCACCTTTGACCTTCCCTTATGGACTTGGTCAGCCTCATGCTGAGCCGTGGTGTGGACCGGGTGGGGCTGACCCAGCACTGGGCTGGGGGGATGTGTGACCCCAGGGAGACCATACAGAACGCTCCATCCTACTGGACTCTGATTGGAAGTGGGAGGGACATTGTTTCCTGTGGCCACTATGACAAATTACCACAAACGGTGCAGCCCACAACAAAGAAATTCACATCTCACAGCCCTAAGGTGGGAAACCTGAAGTCAGGGTGGCCACGGCTCTCTCTGGAGGCTCAGGGGGTGGGGACTTTGCCCCACTTTGCCTCTCTGTTCTTTGCCTTTTCCAGCTTCAGGTGGCTGCGGGCATTCCTTGGCTTGTGGCCACAATGCTCCAGTCTCTGCTACTGTGGCCACATTGCCTCCTCCTCTGTCTTCTCCTCTTCCCTCTAATAAGGACCCATGACAGTATTTAGGGTCCACTCGAAATAATCCAGAATCATGTCCTCGTCTCAAGATCCTTAGCTTAGCCACATCTTTGCCCTACGTGGGCACCGCAGGTTCCAGGTATTTGACGTGGACACCTTTCGTGGGGGCCGTTCTGTGGCCTGTCACAGACATGTGACCACAATGGGCCAATGGGAGCATGCCCTGGGGCTTTGCTGACTCTGGGAAAGAGACGTTCTCTGTGCTCCGGGACTGCTGAGCTGGGGGATGGAAGCCAAGAGCTGCCGGCGGTCGTCATGGTCCCCTGTGGAGACTACCTACTTGGGAGTGAAGCCAACACAGAGGACAGCGGAGCCCAGAAGTGGAGACAGACTGCGTCGTGGCCAGATTGTTGGAGCCCTGGAGCCAGCTGGGTCAGAAGCCCAATACGCCTGACTTCATTACATGGGCTGGGAGGTTTTCTTGTTTCACTTAAGTCTGTTTGAATTGAGTTTTTGCAAGAATCCTAACAGAGCTCAGAGTTTTCCCTTGGGTCACCTAAAAGGTGGGACCAGGCTGATCCACAGAAGAGAAGGCTGCTTTATGAAGGCTCTGTCCTCTGCATCTGGGGACCAGGGACTGCTAAGCATCTTGTCCAGGAGGAGCGGAGCTGTGCCACTTCCCTGCCTCCAGCATGGCTCTGGGTTCAGGGTACCACGAGGAGCCTCAGCACCCAGCTCACAACATCCATCTCTTTCCATGGATCACACAGGTCCCACCCAATTGGCTGAGCTATCCACAGTCAGGTGGCTCTAGACAAGGAGCACGGAACTCCCTGATGACACCTGAGGGACATGAGGGAGGAGACGAGTATACAGGAAATGGGTCACCTTTAAACAGAGAGATTGCCTGCTTTTGATCAGTATCTAGTTAGTTCACCACTTGTAGGGGCCATTTGCTACCTTTGCCTACCCGGGATACAAACCCTTTATGGTCTGCTTCCTGATTAAATCCAGGATCCAACTGCTTCTCATTACCATTGCCACCACCCAAGTCCAGAGCCATGTCCCCTGTCTCCTGGACAATTGCAGTCCCCTCCTCACTGACCTCCTGCTTCCACCCTCCCCATGACAAACTAATCTCATACAGCAATCTGAGCAATTCGATTAGAACACGGATCATGTCTCTTTTCTTCTCAGAACCCCCAGGGGCTTTTCATGGCAGATAAAGCAGAAGTCAAATTCCTTCTAATGGCCCACAAGGGCCTGCAGGATCTGCCCCGTCACACTGGCTTGGGCCAACTCATCTTCGGCCCCAGGACCTTTGCACCTGCTTTTCTTCTGGGATTTCTATTTTCTGAAACATCCACAGGACTTATCTCCTTCAAGTTTTGCTCAAATGTCACCTTGTCTGTGAGGCCTCCCAGGCCACCCCATCTGACACTGCATGCCCTGTCCTCCCGTCCTGCTTTACGTTTCTCCACAACACTGCTGTCGTGAATATTATATAACTAATAAGTTCATTGATTATTTTTGTCTATACCCCTGCTGTGTTTTGGATATCCCTGTCAAAACTCATGTTGAAATTTAATTGCCAGCTGGGTGCAGTGGCTCATGCCTGTGATTCCAGCACTTTGGGAGGCCAAGGTGGGAGGAGCTCCAGGTGGGAGCCCAGGAGTTCCAGACCAACCTAGGCAATATAGTGAGACCCTGTCTCTTTTAAAAAGTTAAAAAATTGGCCGAGCATGATGGCACACACCTGTGGGTCCCTGATACTTGGGACCCTGAGGTGGGAGGATTGCTTGAGCCTAGGAGGTCAAAGTTACAGTGAGTAGAGATTGTGCCACTGCACTCCAGCCTGGGCAACAGAGTGAGACCTTGTCTCAAAAAAAAAAAAAAAAAAGAAATTTAATTGTTATTCTGATAGTATTAAGAGGTGAGACCCTTAAGAAGTGACTAGGTCATGAGGGATTTGCCCTCACAAATGGATTGATGCTGTTATCACAGAAAGGCTGAGTTACTGCCAGAGTCCAGCCCCTTTTTCTCTCTGTCTCATGCGTGTGCTTCCTCACCGTATGATGCCTTCCACCATGTTCTGATGCAGCAGGTAGGCCCCTCACCAGAGGCAGCCCCTCAGTCTTGGACTTCCCAGCCTCCAGAGTGGTGATCTGTGAGCCAAATACATCTCTTTTCTTTTTTCTTTTTTTTCTTCTTGAGACAGGGTCTTGCTCTGTTGCCCAGGCTGGAGTGCAGTGGCATGATCTCGGCTCACTGCAGCCTCAACCTCCTAGGCTCAGGCAATCCTCCCATCTCAGCCTTCCGAGTAGCTCGGACTACAGGCACATGCCACCACACCCAGCTAATTTTTTTTTTTTTTTTTTTTTTTTTGTAGAGAAAGGGTTTTTCCATGTTGCCCAGGTTGGTCTCAAAGTTCTGAGCTCAAGTGATCCACCTGTGTCCGCTCCACAACATGCTGGAACTACAGGTATGAGCTACTGTGCCTGGCCTCTTTTCTATTAAATCACCCAATCTGTAGTATTCTGTAATAACAGCAGAAAACAGATGAAGACAATCCCCAAACGAGGCTCTAAGCTCTTTCTTCACTGCACATAGTAAGCATTTTCTAAACAGGCAATGAATGAATGAGCTCTGCCTCCTGGGCACAGCACCTTGATTGTCCTTTGGGAAACCTCCATCCTCCACTCTTGGTTCATGTGCTGTAGGTGGGTGGGCCCCACACCCAGCTCCATGCAAGGGACAAGATCCAGGTCTGTGAACTGGCATATTCAGAATCACCAGGTACAGACTTATGTCCTGGCACAGGCTGCTTCTCCTGAAAGGAAGGGGCATCCCTTTCTTACTCGTACCAAGTCACCTGAGGGAGTGGCCCTGGCTGTGAGCAAATCCTGCCACCTTGACCCCAGTGTTTAGATCAGAGATGGACACATGGCAAGTCGCGTCCAATCAGGTGAATCCTGCGAAGTCCTCAGGGGCCGCCAGGAAGAGAAGGTCTTTCCCTGGGGCTGCTGAGCTGGTAGGTGGAATCTCTCCACAAGCAAAGGAAGAGGAGACAGCAGCCCTGGAGGGGTGGGAGAAAGTGTCTGGGTCCCTAGATCAAGCTCTACCTGACACTGGACTAACCCTCAAAGCTTTTCAGTTCTTTGAGTCCATTATTCCTTTTCCTTTTTTTTTTTTTTTTTTTTTTTTTGAGATGGAGTCTCACTCTGTAACCCAGGCTGGAGTGCAATGACATGATCTTGGCTCATTGCAGCCCCCACCCCTAGGTTCAAGCGATTCTCCTGCCTTGGCCTCCCGAGTAGCTGGGATTACAGCTGCACACCACCATGCCAAGCTAATTTTTGTATTTTTGGTAGAGACAGGGTTTTGCCACATTGACCAAGCTGGTCTTGAACTCCTAACCTCAAGTGATCCACCCTCCTCGGCCTCCCAAAGCTATCTATTCCCTTTTTGCTTAAGTCTGTTGGGGTTGGATTTTCTGTCCTTGCAACTTTAGGACCCCATCTGACTCAGGGTTCAGGAAATGCTACCCTACAGGACAGCCAGGAGCAAATGTGCTTTACTATGTTTAAACACTTGAGGTCCATGAAGGGCTGCTGGGGCTGCTGTGGGCTCTGACCTCATCACCTCCTTCCTTCGTCCAGGGCTGCTCCCTACAGGAGTCTGTTCCCCTCAGCGCAGCCTCTGCCTCTCCTCGAAGTGGGTTTCAACACTCACAGCTCCTTCCCTCTCACTTGAGTGATTTTCTCCTTTCCCATTTTTCATCTTGAAAAATGGCAAATTGAAGCACTTAATTTTCCTCCTCCAGCCCAATTAATGTGGACATGCTCAGTGCTGATGGGCGTGCTTGTGAAAGGAAAGTCATTTATATAAATCAGCAGAATAAACATGAGCTTTATGGCCCTCTGCAAACTCCAGGTGGAAGCTTCCTCAGAGAAGGAGAAGGGAGACCCCACGGGAAGGCCCAGGGGCAAATACCCCATTGGATGCATCTGGGAAGTCTGGAGTTTAGGGGCCATTAGGACTGTGTCGTGGTGGCATTTTGGAGAGGGCACAGGTCCAACCACCTCTCCTTCCTGTGAGGTCGCTCAGTGAATATGTCCCAGGAACAAGAGAATTACCAGACATGGCTATACCTCAGTGTCAGCAGGGGCTCTGTTCCTAAGCCTTAACGTAGAGTCCATCCAGCCAAGCAGGAATGCCGAGCCTATCTCCAAAGTGTGCCTGAGCCCCCCAGATGCCTCACTGGACAGAGCCCCTCATCCATCTTGGCCTCCTGGATAGTCACAGCAGCTTCATCCGTGGTCTCTGCTGTCCAATCAGGCTTCCCTCCATCCATGCTCATCCCGGCAGCTGAAATGAGCGTTTAAAAATGTAAATCAAATCATGTGATCCTCCTGCTCGGAAATTCTCAATGGCTCCCTATTGCCCTTGGAAGAAAATCCAAGCTCCCTTTCATGGCTTCCAATATCTTGCATAACCTGGCCCCTGGCAGCCTCTCAGACTCTCCCCTGGCTCCCTCAACCACAGGGGCCTCCTTGCTGTTCTTCCAGCTCCCCTTGCTCACTCCTGCCCCGAGACCTAGGCACTCGCTGTTTCCCACATCTTCTTCTGGTGGCTGTGTCTCATCCTTCATGTCTCAGCTCCAACAGCTCCCCTGCACCCAATCCTGGTACCTGTCCTCAGCTGCTGTTTATCTCTTTTAGACCCTTTCAAACCTAAATATGTAGCCAGCACCCACGGTAGACCAGCCCCAGCTCCGTGTGCTCAGTGTCCAGAGTGAGCAGGACACACAATAACCCCTGTCTTCCCAGCCCGGTCCTGGGAACTCTGCAGACAGATGAGATGCAGAAGACCTCCATTGCCTGAATGAACTTCCAGGTTCTGAGGACCCAGTTTATCCCAATGAGGGGCTTACAGAATGAGGCGTGGGTCGATCATGTAGAGAAACGATGCTCACAGAAATTAGGTGAAACATAGAGACGTGAGGCCTGGAGCCGTTAGCAAATGCCATTAGCGTTGGGTCCTCAGCAAGCCTGGGCCTCGTTGACACACCATGCCCATGAGTGTATGTTGGACAGAGGCAGGCCCTTAGGTGGGCACCAAGAACATGCTGAGGAAAGGTTTTTGCTGTTGGTGTTTGATTTTTTTTTTTTTTTTTGAGACAGAGTTTCACTGTTGTCACCCAGGCGGGAGTACAATGGCACGATCTCAGCCCACTGCAACCTCCGCCTCCTGGGTTCAAGCAATTCTCCTGCCTCAGCCTCCCAGGTAGCTGGGATTCAGGCACGTGCCACCACTCCCAGCTAATTTTTGTATTTTTAGTAGAGACGGGGTTTCACCATGTTGGCCAGGCTGGTCTCGAACTCCTGACCTCAGGTGATCCGCCCGCCTCGGCCTCTCGAAGTGCTGGAATTACAGGCGTGAGCCACCACACCTGGCAGGTGTTTGATTTTTGTTTTAACTGATATGAAAGGGATTCTAGGAAGGGAGAATACAGGGAGGACTGGAAAATAAAAATCCCTGCCCTCTTGAGCTGACATTGTATTTGAGGAAGAGACAGACAGCCATTGAGATACATAAGCAGATGTCAGATGGTCACAAGTGCTAAGAGAAAAATAAAGTACAAAATGTGGGGGTGAGGCTGCCATTAGAAATGAGGTAGTCAGGGTGAGCTTCACAGAGGAGGAGACACTTAAGCCAAGAACTGGGGGAGCTGACAGCAGGATGCCTGGGGAAGGAACTTCCAGGCAGAGGAAAGAACAAGGCCAGGACTGCACAGTGGGCGAGCCAGTGTCTGGTGTGGCAGAGGAAGGGCGAGGAGGCCACAGTGGCTGAGAGGGCGAGGGGGCAAGGGGAAGGAGCTGGGGTTGTAGAAAGTGGTGGGCAAATCTCACTGGGCCTTGGGGTCCTCTGTAAGGACTTTGGCTTTTGTTCTGAGTGAGGTGGGAGTCCTGGAGTGCTCTGAGCAGGGGAGGGCACGGTCGGCCTCAGGTCTTCAAGGAGTCCTCTGTTAGTAAGTGAAGAATGGCCTGGGGAAAGTGAAGGCGGAATCAGGCAGAGCGGTTTGGGGGCTGCCCCAGCAGGCCAGGCAAAATGCCATCTGCAGCGGGGAGAGGAGCAGAAGAGGGCCAGGTTTCTTGATCTGGATCCTAAATAATTCTTGGGAATGAGAAAGTAGGGGAGAGGGAGAGGTAGAGAGAGGCTTGGACCCTTCCTTGGGTTTGAAGAGTTATCATGGAATCCTGATGTGCAGGGACTTGACAGTGATATGTATTTGCTCATGCGTTCACTCCAGAATTCATTCATTCGTTCACTCATTCATTCCGTCCTTCCTTCATTCCAGACCCGTGAGAGGCTTTGAATTCAGGTGGACCTGGGTTCAATTCATGCCCCCACCACTTCCTACTTGGGTGTCTCTGGGCAGTTACTTTAACCTCTCTGGGCCTCAGTCTCCATATCTGTAAAATAGCGCACATAACGGCACTTGCACTGACGGTAGGGTTGCTGTGAGGTCTAATGACAGTGCATGAGCAAACCGGCAATTCACTGGCATTCGCTTGTCCTTCCTCCCTCACTCCCTCCTCCCATCGTTTCCTCCTGCCTCCTGTCTTTATCTCACCTGATTAGACTATATTTCATCTGTGTCTTTTTTCTAGCGTTTCACGCCCCGATGCCTGGAATCTTGCTTGGCACAGAGTGGGAGCTCAATGAATACGTACTGAATGGATGACCTCACTGGAGTCCTGAGCAGACGGAAAGCGCCACATCAGGAGGTGGGAGGTAAATTATAAATTTCGAAACACAGATCAAAGTGGGGCGGGGGTGCCACAGACGTGTCTACAGGGAACCGGATCACGCAGCAGAAAGCAACACATCCACAGAGCTAAATTCTGAGGCCCAGCAGATAAGCATTAATGAAATGTTTAGTGTCTTTTCCAGCTTATGTGCAAGTTTTAAGTCAAATTTATGGCCCAGAGAGAGTTGTATTTTTAATCTGCTCTATGTAACTTTGTATTATATTGGAGCCTATTGTGTAATCAATACACACTTTTTTTTTTTTTTTTTTTTTTTTTTTTTTGAGACGGAGTCGCTCTTTCGCCCAGGTTGGAGTGCAGTGGCGCTATCTCGGCTCACTGCAAGCTCCGCCTCCCGGGTTCACGCCATTCTCTTGCCTCAGCCTCCCGAGTAGCTGGGACTACAGGCGCCCACCATCACGCCCGGCTAATTTTTTTGTATTTTTAGTAGAGACGGGGTTTCACCGTGTTAGCCAGGATGGTCTCGATCTCCTGACCTCGTGATCCACCCGCCTCGGCCTCCCAAAGTGCTGGGATTATAGGCGTGAGCCACCGTGCCCGGCCTCAATACACACTTTTAAAAAACGTGTCTAGGAGCATATTTTTATGATGTTAGCTGTTTATGACGATCTACCAAGCCACCCTTGCCTGGGAGTTTGGCAGAGCCTGGGGCTTTGGGGATGCTTTTGGGGGAAGGGGGTATTTGTGTAAACGAGTGACGATGAAAGCTTCTGATTTAATGAGAAGTCACTCGGTCCTGAGTCCACTGTTCACATGATTCACATGTGTGATTTCACCGCAGCCCCAGACAATCCTGGGATGATTCCATTTTACAGATGAGGAAACCCGGACAGCAGAGGGGCTCGTGTTCCTCCCAAGGTTGCTCAGCTCTGAAGATCAAACCTCCCCTTGACCCCAGCTGTGTGCACACCCACAGCCCCAAAGCCCAGGCTTTGCACCAGCTTTTGGCACAGTCGAAATAGATAAATTATCCCCAAACAGCCTCCTAAGCTCTAGAAAGAGAAGCTAAGCCAGTGTGAATAAACCTTGTAATATTTATTCTAGCACCTATGTTAATTTTGTGTCATATCTGTGGTTCTAGAGACTTATAGTGTTAATGTATACATGCATATTTTTATACAAGAGACCCTTGATACAATTAATGTCTTATAAGACTTGGAGTATAATTTCATTACTTTTAAATATTTACAGAGGTTGAAAGTTGTAACTCTCCTTTTATGGCGTAGTGTGGGATACTATGGTCCTGTCTGTGATGTGTTTAACACTCCGTCCTCAGCTAAGAAGACACCAAGGACAGCTTTGGGGGACAAGCAGCTCTCTGAGGACCCCACAGGAGGCCCTGGGGAGGAGGGAGGAGCTCTGGCCAGAAATGAACCCCAGTGGGTGGGCGGGCAGAGCTGCCTCAGGAGCTGTGAGGAGACCCTTCCCTGTGACCCAGGAGCTCAGAGGAGACTCCTGGGAGAGGCAGGACTGGGCTGGGCCTGGAAGGGCAGGTAGGGCCTCGGGAAGGAGCAGCTGGGGGCGGGGCTTCCCCAGGGAAACCACGTGAAGTCATCCACTGGGACGATTGCCATCTGAATTTCCTTCCCTCTGAAGATGCTGTGGTCGACCTCCCCAAGCTCTAAGTCACTCAGGTCTCATTATGTTGTTTCCTCCATAAATCCTCCCCAGACACCCGGAGCAGAGAAACAAGGATAAAGCACAAATCCACAGAGGTCTGGCGATGCTCCTGCTGGGAGAGAGAGTCTAGGTAAATGTCTGGTTCGAATTCACAGGTGTCCACGGGGCAGTGAAGATGGGCACTGGCTCTGTGGTGGGCACCATTTGAAGCTCCTCCCAGGGAGCTGTATCACGTCATTGGACACAAGAATCCCACCATCAGGAAAGGATCCTAGGGTGGGCGTGTTCATGCACACAGGTGCGTGAGTGTGTACAGGTGGGACAGGGCTATGAATGTATGTGTGTGTTAAATGCACACTGTGTATTCACTGATTATTTTATTTAGCCAAACACTACTGAACATTTATTATGAGGCTGGGATTGTGTTCGACCCTTGAGATTCAGTAGTTAAAATGGAAGACGAAAGGCAGTGCTGAACACTAATCACCAAGAATGATCATTGCATGATGAGGATTGTGTGATGAAAATATAATGTGCTGCTTTAGGGATCCATGGGGGAAGCAGGAGCACACACTGTAGATGGGAGGGGTGAAGAGGTGTCCCTGACAAGGTGACACTGCAGGACACACATCAACCAAGACACCCCCTTGACATCTGCCTCCAGCTCAGTCCCCTCCTCGAAGCTCTGGGTTCTGAGTGACAGCCACCAGCTTGACATCTCCACTGAGATCCATTCTGCCCCAGGTCCATGTGGCCTGAGGGAAGCTCCTGTTTCTCTTGCACAACCTGCCCCTCCCTCCCCCAGACTTCCTCACGCAGCCCTTGGCTGCACTGTGTACTGAGTGCCGGAGGAGTGGGTTAAGGAGCAGTCCGGGCAATGGGAGTAGCCAGTGCAAAGGCCCTGGGGCAGGAAAGACGGTCCTGTAGTGGAGGATAGAAAGGAGGCCAGGGCACAGCCAGCCCCAGGCAACCCCCCAAAAAAGGAACCAGGTGAACTCCAACACCACCCCTGCTGACCTCCCAATGGGACTCCCCACTGGGGGGACACATCCAGAGCCAGAGGCAAGGGAGCCCTGTGGTGTGGGCCACCTGGTCAGTCTGCAGGTCACAGAGCAGGGGGAGGTTGGGGGAGGACCCAGAGGACAAAGGGCAGTCATGTGGCACAGGCTAGGGCCAAGGCCGGGGCGCTGGCACTCATTCTGAGTCAGGTGGGGAGCCGTGGGGGCAGCAGGCAGAGAGATTATGGCCCGACTTGCAGGTTTAAAGTGTTCTCAATGCCATGGGGACAGTAAACTGCAGAGGCCCCGGGTAGAGGCATCTGCGGTGACCCAGGGAGAAGTGACGGGGGCTCTGCCTAAGTGTGGACAGGGCAGGTGTGCAGAGGCGGCCTGCCTTGGGTCAGAGTGGAAAAGCCACACTGAGGGACTCCAGGTGGCTCTCAGGTCTGCCTTGAACAGCAGAGTGACGGTCCCGTCCCTGGACAGAAGCAGCCTGAACGTCTGAGCAAATGGCGGGATCCAGACCCTGCTGGACGCTGGGGGTGAGAGCTGGAATGGGACAAACAGACTCTCTCACCCTGGGCCGCCTCCCGAAAAGTCCACCTCGGGCCTCAGAAGGTGCAGACAGCGGGAATGAGCGAGGTGCCCGAGGGTGGCCCCGCGCCAGGGCACCGCTGTCCTCACATTTTCTTTCCCATCCATTAGGAGGAAATGCGCTGGGGCCACAGCCGGCTTCCTGTTGAGAAATCAATGGCTCATTAGAGTTCACCTTTGCCTCCCCTCTGCCCTCAGGCTATTAAAACTGGCCAGGACAGAGCAAGACTCAGCCTACCCAGGAAGGACAGCAGGCCCCGCCCCTCCTGCAAGGCCACCCCAGCCAGGGCAGCAGCTCTGTCCCCAAGACTCCCCAGCAGCCTTGCTGAGGGCCTGGCCCTGGCCCTGCAGAAAGGAGACCACGTCAGCCTGGAGTGGAGCAGGCGCAGCTGTCCGGTGTCCCCAGTTCAAATCCTGTCTCCACCACTCATGGGACCTGTGACACTGGGAGTCACTTCCCCTCCCTGGGGCGCAGCCTCCCCATCTGTAAAATGAGGCTTTACCATGAGAGTATCAGCGCTCCTCTTGCAACCAGAGGCTCCACTCTGGCTGGTTTGAGCAGAGAAAGGAATGGATTACAGGGTCACCAGGGGCTCTTGAACCTCTGGGAGGACAAAGAAGCAGATGAGGAGGCTATGCAGGCAGCAAGAAAGCATCTCTGGCAGGACTGATCCCTGGGGACCCAACACTGATGTTGTGGCCACAGATACCGCAGCCTGCACCCTGACACCCACCACAGGGTCGCAGTGCAAACTCCTCCCACTCTCAGTCCAAGTGGTTCAAGCCCCTTCTCTGCACAGGGATGTCATGTGACCTGGCTCTGGCCAGTAAGATCCATAACTCTATCTGAGCCAATGAGTGTCACCCCAGGGCTGTGCCAGACTCACTGGGAAAGAGCCCAGTTTCTGCTGAGGGTGCTAAGTTGGAGGATGGAAGCCTGGCTGCTGGGGACCCCCTTGCCACTACCTGAAGGGCCAGTCTGAGAACTCCACCGACACAGAGGGAAGCAGGGCTGAGAGACCAAGAGGAGGCACCCTTGTGACACTGTAAGAGCCCCTGGATGCAGCTGTGCCTGAAGCCATCTTGTGAATGTGGAACAGCAAACCAGACATTTTGTTTCTTTGTTCTTAGTTTTGTTCTAGTCCTTGATTTGGGTTCTTGCAACCAAAAGGCCAAGGAATAATTCAAGGAAACACCTGGCATGGCACAGGTCAGCATTAATTCCAACACTCAGGGGCCTAGGGCTGAGCAGTGGAGGTGAGGAGAGGACTGGAGAGGAGAGAGAGATGAGAGGAAAGGAGAGAAACGAGAGCCCCATGCCCTTCCTACTTGCATCCTCAAGGTGCTGGAGTGCCACCATCTGTGATTTGAGGAGCTGGGGCTGGGGTCCGGGCACTGCAGGGAGGGGCCCTCCATTCTCATCAGCTCCTTTCCCCTCCCGGAGGTGAGCAGACATCCTCCGAGGGGACCCAGGATCCTGATGTGGAGTGTGTCCAGGGGAGCTTATGAGAGTGCAGGGAAGGGACCCCAGACGTCTGCCTCCAACTGTTGCCCTGTTCTCTGTGCCAACAGCCCACCCAGGGCAGCAGCCTTGTGGAATCTTCTTCCCACTCACACCTGGAGGAAACGCCCCATGGAGATACGGGCAGAGCCTGGTATTTGGCACCAAACACACCTGAGTGCCTGATACCCTCTGTCTCTCACTGGCTGTGTGACCCCAGGCCGGTCACCTCACGCTCCCAGCCTCAGTTTTCTGGTCTGTGGAATGGGGGTAATGGTAATGCAGATCCCACAGAATTAAGGGAGTCAACCTGTATAAATGTGCCTGGTACACAGCAGGTGCTTGGAATGTGTGTCCTAATCCTTCCCTCCTGTCAGGAGGCCTGGTGGGTGCAGGAATGACACCTGAGTCCTCATCACCCTTGGTCAGTTAAATGAGGTGGCTCAGAGAGTGAAATGCAACTCCTGGCCTGTTTTCAGGACTCAATAACCATTCATCGTCATCATCATCATCATCACCACCATCACCATCATCACCATTGTGATTGTTATGGGTTGTGGAGGCGCACACCTGACATGCTGACTTGGGGAGATCTGGGCGCTGATCAGAAGCATGTTTACCTGAGGTGCTCATAGCCTGTGATGGTCAGGGAGGGCCTCTTGGAAGAGGAAGACCTGAAGTGGCATCCGAAGTTCGTGGGGGCTTAGGTGAGGTAGGGAGTGCTGAAGAACAATAGTGCTAACACACATGCAGCTGCTGCTTGTCGATGCGTTCACTGTGGGCAGCTGGGGTCTGGGCGCTCGAGGTGCCTGAGCTCACTCAGCCCCCACAGCCCCAGGAAGTTGGTGCAATTTTGATCATCCAGGTTACTGATGAGGTAACCGAGTGGCAGAGAGGTTAGTAACTTGCCCAAGGTCACTCAGAGATGAAATGGCAAAGTGGGGATTTGAGTCCAGGCAGCCATACTGCAGAGCCTACCCTCCTGACCCTACACTGTGCCGTCTCTATAACTTTATAAACAGTAACCATAATCCTAAGATTGTCTGACCTGTATTGCTCATCTACGTTCCAGGCACTTTATACTCATGATCTCATTTGTCCTTGTAACAGCTCTGCAACGTTGGGAGAGAGTGGGGTGACCTCAGCCTCAGTGTGGAGTCCCCAGTCTGGCAGGGACACAAACTCACAGGAGCAAGGCAGGGGGTGTGAGTGAGTGAAACAGGCCAGGAGTGGGGACAACAGGGAGGAGTGGGGATTGTGGCAAAGTGGGGAGCACAGGCCCTGTGTGGAGGGGCAGCTGCAGCTCAGCTCAGGGATTCCCTACCAAGGGCAAATGTCACCTGTGTTCCCACAACTTGTGATTACTCAAGAGAAATTGGAAATGCAGTTCTTTAAATGTAAAGTCTCCTTATTTAAACATTTTGACTACAGATTCCACTTTTCAGTACACTTGGGGGCCATTTCCGTGAATGAAATAAAACCCATCTGGGAGTGGTTCCGCCCATGCCAGCGCTCATGACCTCTGAACGGTGCACTGCACCCTCCAAGGAAGGCACCCGAGGCATCACAGTGAGGGCAAAGGTGGGAGACAAAGGAGTTTCCCCTCCTGCCTGAAATAGGGAGGACAGGTGGCCGCACAGATGGAAACGGGAAGGGACAGGGGCAGTCAGCCTCTGTTCCACACAGACCAGAGCTCCCAGGCGGCTGTCCGGGTTGTGGATCCCACAGTCCTTGTCTGGAGGGATCAGCTGTGGGAATTCTCAGGATGGGTGGTCCTGACCCCGGGCAAGTTCTAAGAATTGTGGGAACATACTTGGTCATCACTGACAAGCAGTGGGCGGGGCCGGGGTGCTGACATTGTGCCCTTGGTGCATGGGAAAGTCCTTCGCAACCAGGGCCAGTGTCGGGTCCAGCCGGGCTTTCATGTCCTGCCAGACATTCGAGGAGGTGAAACCCGTTCCTGAGGCTCTACACCTAGATTCTCGCTCAGTTGGGGTCTCAGTTTGGCCTCCCCAGAAGCAGACCCTGAGTCAGATTCAAGGGCAAGTCGTCTATTTGGGACATGACCCAGGAACCCTGGAGTGGGTGTGGGAAGGGAAGGCATCCCCATAGATACTGGGTGTGTCAACACGTCACCTCTGCAGGCATTGGGAGCTCAGACTGCTGGGGACTGGGGAAACAGTCCAGGACCTGCGCCCGGCAGTGTCCCCGTGAGCCACAAGGCTGCTGGCGCATTGCACACCCGCCTCCCTCCACGTGCAGTGAGGGCCGTACTCTGGGGGCGTCAGTGCCCTGGACTTCCAGCCACAGCTGCAGGGGAGAGAGGACATGCCCAGAATCAACCCGTGTCCTCGAAAGGAGGAGGGACATGGTGGACATTGTTGTGTCACCACAAAGGGTTTTCTTTTTATCCTCTCCGTGTGATTTTAAGATGCACTGAATTTTTTTTTTTTTTTTTTTTTTTTTGAGATGGAGTTTCACTCTTGTCACCCAGGCTAGAGTGCAATGGCGCGATCTCTACTCACTGCAACCTCCACCTCCTGGGTTCGATTCTCCTACCTCTGCCTCCCAAGTACTGGGATTACAAGCATGCGCCACCACGCCTGGCTAATTTTCGTACTTTTAGCAGAGGTGGGGTTTTGCCATGTTGGTCAGGCTGTCTCGAACTCCTGACCTCAGGTGATCCACCTACCTCGGCCTCCCAAAGTGCCAGGATTACAGGTGTGAGCCACCACACCCAGCCAAGATGTGCTGAATTTTTAAGGACGGCATCAACCTTTGACATTGAGGGAAGATTGTCCACCTTGCGGCACACCCACCGTCGTGTTCTTGTGTTGTGAGGTTACGGCACCAAGCGTGTCAGTCTGCCTTTGCACCCCCATGTTCACTGTCCTCTTGTGCTTAGGTGTGAACACCCCACGGCTTCATTTCAGCGTGGTCATGCTCACAGATGTACATATAGAAAACATTTTATCATATAATAAATAACATTTGATTCGAATTGCTGTCATTTCACTGTTTAGCATGTTTGGGCATTTACTGACCTTTATAAAATAACTTGTCTGGCTAGGTTACAGTATTTTATGACTCTTTTCTGAGCAGTGCAGGACCTGTTAACAAGCATTTCTATTTGAGGGCAGGCTGGGCTGGGAGTCTCTGTACTGGGAGTTTGAGCCCATGTGGCTGAGGATGGAGCTCAGGGCACTTTCTTCTCCAGCCCACGTGACTCCCCAGTGACACTGACAAGTGACAGCTGGTCCAGGCTGAGGCTTTCTGAGTAGAAATCGATCGTGTCCCAGGGGCTTCTAGGAGTGACCCTCTGGCCTGGCGAACCAATTAACCACTTCCCCAAGGAAGGAAGAGGCTGGAGCAAAGGTCAGGCTGCAGTGCCCCCGCCCACCCCCACACCAAACAGCCCAGCTGTTTACATGGGCACATGCCCTCCAATTCACTGTCTGTACAACAGGGCAGCCTCAGCCTGAAGAGGTCCAGAAAGCAGTTGGTGTTTACGGGTCCTGTTTAGAGAGGAGGTGAAGCCACACCTCAATCCACCAGTGAAGTGGCAGAAATGCACCTTTTGTTGCAAAACTTCACAATATCTTGGTGGCATTAGTGCAAACTGGTTGAAGCACAGATTCTGGATCCAGAATGCCTGGTTTGCACCTGCTTCCTCCCAGCCCTGTGACCTTAGCCAAGTATACTTGAACACGCTGGGCTTGAACGTGTGTTTCCTCATCTATGAAATGGGACAGTAACAGAATGTTTTCTTCATGTGGCTGGGACATTTAAAAACATTTTCTCATAAAAGGACTTAGACATAGCTATGCCTGCCATGTTCACTATTATTTCTGTTTGAGTCCCTGTGTTGCATGGGTAGTGGAAGTTTGACCTCAGACAATTTAGGGTGGCCCTTTCCCTTTTTGGAGGGTTTACCTGGTACCAGGTGACAGTGAGAACTAACATGGTCATTGGGTCACATCCCTCTGAGTCAGCACTTGCTGAGACACTCGTCTTGCAGCCTGGATCGTGGGCATCCTGGACACGCTCCTTGTGCTGGTCCCACAGCCCTCCTAGCCCAGCTGTTCTCTCTGCTACTTCTGGGCCACTTGGGGGCACATGAAAATACCCCACAGCTCCTGCACCTTGTGGGGTGGGCACTCTCTGCCATTCTCTTGGATCCAACAGCCAACCAGGCAGGGGCTGCGAACGCACATGTCTGAAGGGGCGAGGCGAGGACATAATGGGTGAACGGGCCCGTTGGGGGTGGCAGTGAACTGGCA
Organism: Homo sapiens; assembly: GCF_000001405.40. NCBI lineage: Eukaryota > Metazoa > Chordata > Mammalia > Primates > Hominidae > Homo > Homo sapiens. The sequence continues at coordinate 48,208,285 of NC_000020.11, read as the reverse complement.
GGAAGGTACCATGTAAAGGGACGGCCACTCCCCAGGTCTGGCTAATTGTTATGTGAAGGAAGCAAGGCCCTTTGAAACTTAATTCTTTGCTTTTGCAAGAAACCAGGGGTTATTCTATGAAGTCTCCTGATTTTTAAGTATTGCTAAAAGTCCGTTTTAAAAGCACCATGTGGGCCAAACATAAAATGCCTGCAAGACTGAGCTTGACCTAGACTCGAGGTGCAGTTATTCCCTGCCTGGGCCTTGGTGCCTCCTTGAACTCCACCCAGGCCCTTGCTGTACTCAAAGCCACACACCACACCCATCAGGGACTCTGGCCACCTTCCTGGGGCATTAGACACAGGGGACCCAGATCAGTCTCCCTAAGGTTTCTGTGTTTGATACCGGCCCCAGAAGGAGCAGGGGCCTCCAGATCAGCTTGACAGGAGCAATGCACGACCATTGATCTATCCATCCAACACCCACCCATCCACCCACCTTCCCACCCATTCACCCATCCATCCATCCATTCATCCATCCACCTTCCCACCCATTCACCCATCCATCCATCCACTCATCATCCATCCATCTATCCATCCATCCATCCATCCATTCACCCATCCATCCATCCATCCATCCATCCATCCACTCATCCATCCATCCGTCCATCCATCCATCCACCATCCAGTCAACAGAAAAGTATTGAATGCCAGGTGCAACAGACCCAGCTGTGAACAAACAGCTGTTGACCTCATGCGGCTGATATTCTATCAGTGGAGCCAGCAGTAAACAGAGTAATTAAGTAAATAAATAACATGTTGAGTGGTGGTAACTACAAAGGAGAAAAAGAATGCAGGTGAGAGGAATAAGATGTGTGTGTGTGTGTGTGTGTGTGTGTGCATGACACACATGCATGTGTGTGATTGTGTGGGTCTAAATTATATATTGAGTAATTGGGAAGGGCTCACTGATAAGGTGACATTTGAGAAAAGATCTGGATTTGTTGAGGGAGAAAGCCATGTGGGCTAGTCATCTGGAGAAAGGGCATTTCAGGTAGAGGAAGCAGCATGTGCAAAGACCCTGAGGTTAGATGATGCCAGGTGTGTTTGAGGAACAGCAATGAGGCTGCTGTGGCTGGAAGAAGGTGAGAAAGAGGGAAGTAAGGGAAATGAGGCAAAACATAACCAGGGTCGCATCAGGCAGGGCCTTGTAGACAACTGCACGGACTGTCTTTGGAGGGAAGAAGTGCTGTGAGGAGGAGGAACAGGAGCTGTCTCAGGTTTTCACAGGGCCCTTCTGGCTGAATATGGAGGAGGAACTGCAGAAGACCAGAGACGGGTCCAATGCAGTATTCAGGAGGGAGGTAAGGAGGCTTGGATGTGTGGTAGCAATGAAGGAGGCGAGAAGTATGCGAATTCTGGTTCTACTAGAAGACAGATGCTATGGTCTGAACTTTTGTGTCTCTTCCAAATTCAAATATTGAAGTCGTAACCCCCAAGGTATTAGGAAGTGGGAGCTTTGGAGGTGATTAGGATTCATGAATGGAATGAGTACCCATATCAAATAGCCCCCAGAGAGCTGGCTCAGCCCTTCCACCATCCGAGAGGACATGGCAAGCAGGCAGCATTTTCTGAACCAGAGAATAAGCCCTCTCCAGTACTGAATCTGCAGGCACCTTGATCACGGACTCCATGTTCTCCAGAACCGTGAAAAAGAAATTCCTGTTGTTTAAAAGGCACCCATTTATGGTATTTTGTGATAGCAGCCTAAACAGACCATGGCAGCAGGCTGGCATGGTTTACTGCTGGAGGGAAGGGGCGTGTGTGAGGAAGAGGGGAGTCGCTGGTGTGCTGTGAGGCTCAGGGCCTGCTGAGACAGGCCCCGGAGGTCCTGGCTCCCTTCACATTTAGTCACCTGCCAAATCCCAGAACTATCACATGGCCCCGAAGAGGTACCCCGGTGTGGGTTGAAGTTGCCCCCTCCTCACTCCCCCGGAATGGGGGCTGGGAATGAGGGAATGAGACATTCAATTGGGAGAGAAGTACGGGGGTGATGAGTTTCCCGCTCACCTGAGTGTGAGGACCAGACTCAGTCCACAGTCTGACTAATGCTCACAGTTGCGGGCCTGGGATGTCCCTCAGGGTGGAGACGGGGTCCGTTACCTCCCTGCTTCCCCTGCACCCAGGAGTGGACGTACTGTCTCTGCGTAGCCTCTGCCAGGTTGGGGGTCAGAAGGCTTCATCCTTCCCTGGGGCTGGGAGCTGGAGTAAATCCCCTCTGCAGCCTGAGGCCCAACAGCTGCTGGGTAATTCCTCAGCCCCCAACATGTGTCTGCCGAGACTCCGTAATCCCCAGACCTCCAGGGGCTCAAGTGTCAGTTGTGCCTGATCAGAGAAGGAGGGAGGAGGAGGGGCGGAGTGACACAGAGGAGGAGACAAGGGAAGGGAAATACTTGGTGGCCCTGGGAAATCCACCCCTGCAGCAGCTGTGAGGGCCCATGGTGCACCAAGACTGGCCTCCCCACCAAATCCACAGGTATTTATGGAGGGCCTACCACAGGGGTCACAACTGGATGTCCCAGACTCAAATGCAGCCCACAGGCGTGTGCAAGGGCCAGGCATGTTCAACACACCCAACACTCAGTAAGTCAGGACAGACACCAGCAATGCCCAGTGGGTGCTCACTGTGTAAATACCTGCCCTGGGCATGTCCCCTGTGGCTGTGCTCAGTGGTCCTGCCCTCATTTGCCTGCAGATTTTGGCACCCACCTGCTGTGCTTGAATTGATGAGACGCTTGTCAGAGCCACTTGAGGAGGCCTGTGTCCACCCACCAGCCAGGACATCCAGGAAGCCAGGTCCCCAGTGTCCCTGCCAATCATAGCCCTAGTCCTAAAAGCCCAGTGCTGGGAGCCACTCCCTTGCCGGGAAGCCTCAGCTGACAAAGTATTGATCAGCCATTGGTCGATGGGGGCCTTGAGCTGTCTGGGCTTCCTGCAAGGCTCGGTGATCCTTGGCTCCAGGAGCCCATCCTCCCAGGGCGGGGCAGAGCACTACCTTGGTCCCCCAGCAGCCTTCTGCTGATGGTGACTCTGTGCCCACCCTACACCCAGCTGTCTGCTCACAGCGCCCACTTCATCTTCCCAACGACTCGCCAGGGCACTGTCCCCACTTTAAGGACCACAGACCCAGATGCAGTAACCTGCTGAGGCTGTGGCCACATGGGGTGGGGTCACTCCCCACTGCCTGTGCCCCCTCCTGCTGCCAGACCCCCAGGTCTGAGGCCACATGCCCAGCCCAGGGCAGCAGCTCCAGGGGGCTCACGGGACCTGCCCGTGAGACTGTGATTGGCAGGTGGTGACCCACATCTGACAAATAAGGGGTATGCTGAGGTTGAGTCTTCTAAGGAAAAATTCAACCAACGCATAGACCCTGCGTGCTCATGCTTTTTTCCTGCTGCCACCCTTTCTTCCTGCTCTGGCCCCGTGTCCCATCTCCCTGGCCTCCACCCTGGTCCAGCTCCACCATACCCGGCCCACTGAGTGGCCTTCTCCCAGGGTTCCCTGCCTTCCCCTTCACTCCCACAGTGGGTCTCCACACATGGCCCCGGGGGACTTAAAACCTTGCTCAGGTCCTGTCCCTCCTGTGCTGGGACATCCCGGCCCCCAGCTTGCTCAGCACGAAAGCCAAAACCTCGCCTGGGCTTGGGGCACCAGCTCCTCCTCAGTCCACCTCCCACCCCACAGGGGTCCCTTGCAGCCCCCCAGACTCTCCAGGCTGCACGTACCCAGGCTTGGCCTTGCTGTTCCTTGTGCTGAAGCCCCCTGTTCCCCCCCAATCCCACTCCTATGTCTGCCGGGCTCCCCCACCTCCTCCAGATCTCAGGCCTCCTTCCACAGCGGTCCTCTCAGACCTCCTTTGCTCACGCATTGCCCGTGACTCCCTGTTCCTCCCTCCAGCACGTTTTTTCTTCCTAAGACTTATCCCAATCTGACATTATAGTTTATACTTAATCATTCACTTCTTCAATATCTGTCTCCTGTCTCGAAATATCCACTCCAGGAGGACAGGAATATGTGGCATTTTTGCACCGCTATGTTCTCAGGGTGCCTGAACATGGCACCGGGTACTTACAGGAGCTCATGGATGAGTGTTGGGGAAATGGATGGAAGGAAACAGCCTGGAGAGGGAGGCATGGGCTGATGGGCAGCGCTGGCCTTGGGACACTCAGGGAACCTTATGGCAAAGTCACCGCTCCCAGGGCTCCGCGTCTTGTGTCTTCATTCATTCACCACCCATTCATTCATTTATTATTTCACCCAAACAGGCCTTTGCTGTACACCTACTATGTGGCAGCAGCTACTATGGGTTCTAGGAATAAAGTGTTGGGAAGGAAAAAAAAATTCTCCTTCACGTCTTAGTCTCTGGCTGAGTTCTGAATTCAGCTGACATAGGGCAGATGAATAGGAGAAAGTGGACAAGCTTGACTACATTTTGACGTGTACATGGGGCCTTCACAAGAGAAGGAAGCCCTGAAGAAGTGCCCAGTGCAGAAAGCATTTATCTCTCTCGAAGAAATGATATATTTGTGAAGAAATGATGAGACAAAAAGGTTTGGACTGGGGGCAGTAAATCGTGGGGGAGGAACTGGAAGATTCGTGGGGGAGAAACGAGTAAAACTGGTGGAAGCAAAGGGTTATTTTATTAAGTGTGTTTGTGCAGATGCACCTCGGCATCCACTCCCAGTGTTTGGTGATAAGGATGTTCTCTTCCTGGTACAAAGGGAGTGTGTATCTCGTGGGAAATGTCATGGCCTGTTCTTGGTTAGAAAAGGGGAGGTCCGAAGGCCCTGCCTGCACCTGCTGTTTCTCCAGTGCCTGCAGCTCAAAATAATCCATATACCAAAGTGACGTCATTTGGGGTAGCTTGTCCTTAATTCCTTCTAAAGCAATGAACGTAACAAACAAAAAAAGCCTGTGTCTTAGGACTTCACATTTCACAGCAGGGGCTGGACAATGATCAAGAAGTGAAAACTTGGTTTGTCTGATGGTGATAAGAGCCAGGAAGAGGACAGAGGGGAAAGGAGGGAGGAAGTGTCAGGGTTGGCACTTTAAATGGGGTGGCCAAAGACGCCCTCACTCAGAGGCAACATCCGAGTCAAGACCTGAAGGAGGACACTGAATCCTCCCGACAACCCTGTGAGGGGAACCATCATCCTTATTTTCCATGGGAGGCTCAGAGGGGTTCAGTAACTTCCCTGAGGCCACACAGCTGCTGCATGGTGAAGCCTGGTTTCAACCTGAAATCAGGCTCTTGACGGGTTGTAACTCTGCTCCTCCACGTCTTGCCGGGGCTCGTAGTCACTCTGGGTCTGAGTGTCCTGGGCTGTGTCTGCCATGAGAGCTCAGCTAGGGGCCTGTGACAGCTGCCTGGGAAGGACGCCCCTCCTCCTGGGCCTTCTCTCCTCACCCCTCCCGATGTTCTAATGAGCAGGGAGAAAAGACATCATACAGCACAGCTAGAATTCATTTCAATATTAATTCTGAAACCTCATTTTCAGCGGATAATTAAATTACTTTTTAATTACAAACAGAATATCTGTACATTCCCTCTGAGTGAGCACGGGCGGGTGGGGAGTGGGAAAAATGGTGCCGCCTGGCATTTTCTGCTCTGTCCCCAGCACACAGCAACCCCGCAAATGGTCCCCTCCTTGTCACATCTGAAGGCTGGGAGCACGTGTCCAGGCGACCCACCTGCCCAGTCACCAGACAAATCCCACCAATGAAGCCGTGTTCTCTGCTGCGCGCAGGCAGAGCATGAAGCCCCCGCACTGCCGCCAATAGCCACCTCCTCCCCAGCCCCTAAAAGCACTCAAAGGGAGGACACCAGGTTTCCACTAAAAAAGGAAAAGGATCCCCTCGAAGTGAGTCTTGGACAGCAGAGGCCACATTGCCTCAGATGGGCTGCAGAGAGGGGTCTGCGGTGAAGGCAGATGCGAGCTGTCCTGACCCAGGCACTTCTGCAACCCAGCAGAGAGCCCGGGCCAGGGCACAGTGTCACTGCAGAAAGCGACAGTGGACAGCAGCCTCTTCCCTTCGTGGAGACACATGTCTGCAGCTACAGGGTCACAGCAGTGTCCCCTCCTGCTCTGTCCCCAGAGAGCCCCTCCCACACCCTCTGGGCTGCCTCTGGCTGGAGTGTCCAGGCTGTCCAGGCCTGGGCGGGTGAGTGACAGAGGAGGCTCCTAGAGGTGCAGCCTCTTGACCACTGACCAGATGCAGCCTGGGGACCATCCCCAGGCCTTGGCCACCAAGTGTTTGAGGCGGATGGCCTGGTGGGCACAGACTTTGGGGACAGAGGAATTGAGTTAGCTCCTGGTTCCATGGCTGAGCAGCTGAGAAGGGGGTGAATGCCTGCTGCCAGCCACAGCTGCGCCCTGGGTGAGGAGGGGGCCCACCTGAGCTGGGGGAGCCCAGAGCTGCCTGGGCAGGGATGAGCATAGATGGTGCCCACCACCCACAGCAGCCCTGCCCGTCAGAATCCACCCTCTGCGTGACCAGCCCTGAAAGCCACCTTCTGTTGGCTTCCTTCTTCTCCTTCACTTCTGCCTGGCCCGTCTGTGCAGCCCCTGTCAGGGGGACACAAGACTGTCAGCACAGTGCAGCCCCCAGGAGGAGATGGCAGTCCCCAGACCCCATGTCCTGCCTGGCCCCCTTTCACATGAAAATGGGAGAGACAGCCAGGCAGATAGCCACTAAGCCGGGTGCTCTGGAGAGTATGGACACGAGGCCACATCCACACCAGGTGGCTGGAGCGGCTGCTGGACAAATGGTATCTGATGATGCCTGTCACTCCTGCATCCTCTGTCCCTGGAGCCCTGTCCATCCTCTGCACAGAAATCACACCTATTATCTCCCCTCCATAGCACTCTGCGACCACGGGATGGGAACTGCCAGCCCAGCCTCTGAATATCCCGCAGCCTGGTGAGCACGAGCGGTCCCTTTATTTAAAGTGACACCCAGATCCCCAGGGTGAGGAGCAGAGCAGATCTGGATCCCAAAGGGGTCTCTAAGGCTGCTTGGAGGGAGGAATCTAGGCATTGTGGGTGGGAGCAGGCTTTCCAGGCAGGAGGCCCCAGCAGAGGAGAGAGCAGCTGTTGCCTGGAGCCTCCTGTGGGCCTGAGTTCAGGGTCAGGGTGGCACAGCCTGGACGCAACCGTGCTCTGCCTCTCTACCCAGGCCCTCCACCCATTGCCCTGGCCCCTGAATAGGGAAAACTCCAGCCCATCCAGAGCAAGCACCATGGCATTTTGCACCCAGCCAGCCTGTTTGGACGTGGAGAGGAGGCCTGGCCTCGTGGCCCCAGAGAGCCCTCAAGCCAGAGAGCCCCAGAGTGATGGCAGTCGGTGGAGGGGGTCCCCTTCCAGGCTGGGGATTCTCCACTCCTAGGATTCAGCTACTCCTTGGCATGCAGCAGCACAGCCCCAGAGGCTGGTCATGGCCCTCCTGGTGGGAGATGCTGTAGGGTCCGTGACCCTCTTGGTGGGAGATGCTATAGGGTTCATGACCTGTGGAGATGACGTAGGATGTCTCCTGCCTCAGAACCTCCCCAAAGCCTCATGCTGGCCCTGTGCAAAGGAAAAGGGAGTTAATTCTACTCCCTCTAATTTCCAGACTTTATGGAGAGAAGCCAGGACTTCCATTCCAAAGGAACCTTAGTTTTCTCATCTGCTAAATGGGCTTATGGGGAAGACAAGAATCACCTAAGAGCAAACAAAAGAGGGAATTCTGCTGGGATTGTGGACCTAGAGGCGAGTGGCGATTGGGCTTCCCCACTCACCTCAACAAAGTAACTTCCCTCCTGCTCCCGGATCAGCCACCATTACACAGCCCCGTGAGAGCTGGGACCTTGCCTGTCACGTCTAATGTTGGATTTTCAGGATCTAAAATAGCAGGTCCTGGCTCACAGTAGAGCCTCAAAAGATTCGTTGAGTAAGTGAATGAATGAATTGAAAGGTGAATTAATGCATTGACTTTATGTGACCTTGGTCCTGCTCCTTGTCTGGGTGCATCACCATCACTCTCCCCCTAACTTACTCGGCCACACCAGCTTCCACAGGTTCTCAAACACTCGGGAACCTCCACTCCGGGCCTCTCCCCTTGCTATTCCCTCTGCCTGACATTCCTCGTAGTCACCACCCTCACCTCCTTCAGGGATCTGTACAAATGTCCCCCATCTTGGGACCTCCCTGACCCCTTTGCCTCAATCTGCGATTGACCCTACCTCCCGGCATTTCCTATCCCCACTTCATCTTTGTTTTCTCCGTAGCACTGAGCACTTTCCAATATATTAATTTCTCTATTTTGCTTATTATCATACTCCCCGCAGGAAGGCAGCCACCAGGGCAGGGATTGTGGCCTGGTTCGTTCAGTGCTGTTTCCCCAGCGTCTGGGAAAGCAGTGCCTGACACATAGCAGGTGCTCAGTCAACATTTCCCCAGTGAACAAGGAAACAGTCGAAGGAGCGTCCTGTGGGCTGGGGGAAGCGGAGAGAGCTTTCGTGGCTGAGAGGACTTGAGATGAGTATTGATGAGAGAAAATTCCAAGTAGGACAAAATACTCAAAACCAAATGTGGTTTCGGGGGCTTGGGGCAGGTAGCATCCCGCAGGCCCAGTTTTGGTTTGTTGTTCTGTGTGTGTTGGTTTTTTGCATGTGTGCCTTCATTAGATCTCATGCAGGCTTGGCAACAGTTCTTTGGCAATTAATTTAATGTTTTATTCATCTTTGAATTCCTTAAAGCTGCAAATCAAACCGTCACTGGGTGCTTTGCTCACCACGTTCCAGGCTCTGGTGTCGCAAATAACTGTGCTCTTTGCATACCAAGCAGACCTTGCTGTGTCCTGGGAAAAAGTATTTCTCCTGGTGCTCATTGCTCTAATTGCATCCACAGCGAGGCAGTCCAAATATGTTTCCATCCGCATTTGCATTATGCAAAACCTTAATCTCCCCAAGTTTCCTAAAGCACTGTGAGTGACTCACAGCCTCTCGATGCCAGGAAATGCACTGTTTGATCTGCCAATCCATATAAATTAGATTTATTGGGAGGAAAGAAAGGAGGCTTGATACTATAAACTATTGGGAAATAATCACCCATGTGCACGTGTGCCCCATAAATTTGCTACTTTGGAGAAAAACGAGGCAGCTGACCCAGCACATGTTGCTGAATTTATGTCCTCGGTGCAATGATCACAATGCAATGGTTGGTGGACTTCTGTGTTGGGCAGACTTCTGCGTCATCTGAGTCTGGGTTGACTGGTTTGTCAACTCCCACACTGCCCGATCTGAGGACAAACTGGCCTGAGAGAGGCCAGGGAGGACAGTAGAGTAGCAGGGTTGTCAGGGTTATGGCCAGAGCCCAGAGTAGGGAATGCCAGGACTGTCCTCTGTGTGCTTCAATATGTCATGCAGGTAATTTATCTTCCCTTAGCTTTAGTTTCTAGTTTCTTTCTTCTTCTTCTTTTTTTTTTTTTTAGACGGAGTTTCACTCTCATTGCCCAGGTTGGAGTGCAATGGCGCAATCTTGGCTCACTGCAACCTCCGCCTCCCAGGTTCAAGCAATTCTCCTGTCTCAGCCTCCTGAGTAGCTGAGACTACAGGCACATGCCACCACGCCCAGCTAATTTTTGTATTCTTATTTTTAGTAGAGATGGGATTTCACCATATTGGTCAGGCTGGTCTCGAACTCCTGACCTCAAGTGACCCACCCACCTCGGCCTCCCAAAGTGCTGGGATTACAGGCGTGAGCCACCGTGCCTGGCCAAGCTTTGGTTTCTTTAACTGCTGTTGGGGGAACACAACTTAATAGACCATGTAGCGATGAGGGTTTGATGGTGTCCTGGGTGGAATCCTCACTGGACGCCTTCTCTGTGCCAGGCCCTGGTCTATGCTCTCGGGGGCAGTGGAGAAAAAAGGTCAGCCTAGGCCCCTGCTTCAGGGAGCTTACAGAGGACGCACCAGGCGGCAACCCTCATGGAGGAACTCAGACCATGATAAGCGAGGTGGTGCATTGTCTTTATCACACAATTCACTTTGAGTTGGATTTTCTGTTACTTGCAGCCCAAAGCACCCCACCTGCAGTAGGCAGGCCCATGCTACCTGCACGCAGTCTCTTCCATTTGGTGAGCAAAGACCTTATCATGTAGAAAGCGCCAGAATTTTGCAGCATCAGAACCCCTGCAAAGTGTGGGTCATGATCCCTACTTACAGATAGGAGTGTTAAAAGAGGGTTAGTGAGGTCCCAGTGTCAGACCCACAGGCCATGGCTGAGTGAGCAATTGGCTGTGGTCCCATCTCGAGTCCCAGGGCAATACCTCTCCTGCCCTGCCACTGCATCCAGAAGACCTTCATCATTCTGTGATTTGAGGCCCTCCTCAGGGCATCCAAGCCCCATGGAACCCCCACATCCCATCACCATTGCTTTATGTTCTCTTGATTGGAGTGGCTTCCTGGGTTGAAGAATTACATCTCAGGACATTTCCTGTTGACACCTGCATGTCTCACCTAGAGAAATAGTGCTCGTCCACTGGCACAAATCAGTTCTTCAGATTAGGCCTCAGAGGTGGCAGGATATGGAAACAATGGGACAGGTAAGTTTGGGGCTGAATTTAATCATGGTGGCAGGGTGAGATTCTATTTATTCGTTCACCCATCACTCCTTCTGGGAATATTTACTGTGTGTCCTCCGTGCTGGACACTGTGCCCTCAGGACCCAGCCTTCCAGTGAGCAGAAAGAAAGCAGACATAAAAACAAGATGATTAGAGCTTTGACAAGGGCTACCATTGTAAGAAGACCAGGGGACATACAGAGAGTGATTAGCGAAAACGAAGGAGCATCCAAGCTTGAGCTCCCTAGACGACGACTTTGAGCATGGAGCCAAGGGCAAGTCGTTTGTCTGGAAGGGGATCCAGGCAGTACTGGTAAGGGGTGGGGAAATGAGACAGGAGAGGGAAAGCAGCCAGCACAGGGTGTTACCGAGCAAGCAATGCAGCGTGCAGCCGGGGCTCAATCCTCCTGGGGCAAGTTAGTGTAGAGCACACAGCTCAGAGTCATCCCGCTGCGGGGCGAGGGGCCTGGGATATTTTCCCACCAGCTACCAAGAGTCACTGGTTGAGGGCCGCTCCCACAGGGTAATGCGTCTTTGGCATTTCTAGCCCACCAGAACAGCCTTCCGGGACTCTGGAGAAATAGCCTCAGGCACAGAGATGAAGGTGGAAATCTGCACAGCGCGCTGCAAGTTCCGGGCTTTATGGGAAGGAACTAACAGCATCTGCCACAGGGATCCCCGTTAGATTGTGGGGGCGGGGGGGTGAGGGTGTCCGTGATGCTTAACTGTAGGTGTCCCATCGGCCAGGTGAAGCTGCCCAGTTGTTTGATCACAATCCATCTAGATGTTGCCGGGAAGTTAATTTTTAGATGTGATTGACATTTAAATCAGTAGCCTCTGAGTCGCGTGGAGTGCCCTCCACAGTGGGGGTGGGTGTCATGCAATCAGTTGAAGGCCTTAAGACACAGGTTCCCAACCCCCAGGCCCGTGGACCGGGATACTGGTCTGTGGCCTGATAGGAACCAGGCCGCACAGCAGGGGGTGAGTTGTGGGTGAGCAAACATTACCACCTGATCTCCACCTCCTGTCAGATCAGCAGCAGCGTTAGATTCTCGAAGGAGCATGAACCCTATTGTGAACTGCGCATGCAAGGGACCTAGGTTGCGTGCTCCTTATGAGACTCTAACACCTGATGATCTGAGGTGGAACAGTTTCACCCTGAAACCATCCACCCAACCCCCCACAGTCCGTGGAAAAATTGTCATCCACAAAACTTGTCCCTGGTGCCAAAAGTGCTGGGGACTGCTGCCTTAAGAGAGTGTGGTCCCTCAAAGAGGAAGGAATTCTGACTCCAGACTGTAACGTAGAAATTCTGCCTGAGTTTCCACCCTTCCGACTCCAGACTGCAACATTAACTCTTGCTGGAATTTCCAGCCTGCCTGTCTGCTTGCAGATTTCACACTTGCCAGCCCCCGCAATCCTATGAGCGAATCCCTTAAGTTTCTCTCTCTCTCTCTCTCTCTCTCTCTCTCCCCACCCCCCCTCTCTCCATATGGATTCTGTTTCTCTGGAAAATGCTGATTGATACAGCCTTCACGTGGGGGTGACAGGTGAGCTAATACCAGAAGGATGAAAAGGGGTCAGATACAAGAAGGTCTGGGAAGAAAGCAATTCAGGCTGCAGGCCCAGCAAATGCAAAGGCCCTGAGGTGGGAATGTGCTTAGTACAAAGTGAACAGGGAGAGATGTGTCGTGAGGGCAGGGACCAGATCACAGGGGGTCATGCAAGCCACAGTGGGGTTTGGATTTGATTCCAAGAGCAATGAGAAGTCATTGAAGATTGTAGATGAGAGAGTGGCATCATCTTAATTGCACTTTATCATGCTTACTCTGGTGGCTGAAAGGAGAATGGATCATGGGGGCAGGCGCAGCATGGAAACTCCACAGGAGCCTGTCTTAATCACCAGGACAAGAGAGGACAGTGGCTTGGACAGGGGGTAATGGACGTGGTGCTGAGCAGTGGGTGGAGCTTGGAGGGCCTGCTGCCCACAGGCTGGGGTCCAGGGTCCAAGAACCCTGGGGTGCAGGATACATAAGGCACAGGTTTCCCCACATGAGCAGAAGTGAGGAGGAGGAGGAGGAGGAGGAGGGGAATTGCATGGTGCCATGTGTGCAGCTAGGCAGGAAGAAGAAGAAGGGCATGGAGTCAAGGGCAAGAGAAGGGAGCTGCCTCTGCAGTCCCTACAGGGCACTGGGATCTGACTCACCTGTTAACTGGGAGGAGGAAGGCTAAGTTTTCTTTCATGCTTTTTCTGGCTCAGACATTCTGAGCCTCCACCATCTGGTAGGGGCAGACCCTCTGAGCCTCTGCCATCCGGACAGACCCAGATGGAGCAGAGGAGGGTGCGCAGGCCAGGGCGTCACGGTGTTCTCAGTCCCTCTTTATAGCCTTGACTCTGCAAACAGGACAGGGGACTGGCTCGGCGCTGCCAGGACACAGCTGTGGCAGCCCCTCACACCCCCATCCCCAGTCTCAGCATCACAGTCCTATGAGCCCCCACAATCCTATGAGCGAATTCCTTAAGTTTCTCTCTCTCTCTCTCTCCATATGGATTCTGTTTCTCTGGAAAATGTTGACTGATTCGGCCTTCATGTGGGAGTGACAGGTGAGCTGGCACCAGTGGGTATGAAGGACGGAGGGCAGCCCTGTGTCCCACACCCAGGCCCCCTCCCCTCCCTTGACTCGCTGCTCCCCAGCAGTCCCAGCTCCATCGTCCTCCAATGTTGCGCGTGCACCATGGAAACAGGTCCCACCTTCCGGGGCCATTCCTGTGCTCTTTTCCAAAGAGCTGTTTGGGCCAAAAGCCTGCGAAGAGAGCCGCAAGTCTGCGCGCCCTGCAGGGCTGGCCCTCGTCCAGCTCATTCGCCCGCAACACTCCTGTCCCTGGAGCAGCTCATCTAGGCCCTGCTGGTGTTTGAAAAGCTCCCATCATCGCCTGCAGCTCTAGGAGGGCTCTGGCGAAGCACAAACCAGGACCTGGGGGCATCTCCCATTACCTGTGGGCCCCACGGCGGTGATGGTGCACGTGTTCAGTAGGCAGTAGAGCCACTGGGAGGGACACAGTGTGGGTCGGCTCTGATTGGAGGGGGACATGGCAGGAAGGATCTGGAGGTGGAAGCCAGGGCAGCAGGGCTGGCCATAGGGTGGGGGTGCTCAGGCAGCCCCGCATGGGGAACCTGGGCCTGGAAAGTTCTGGAAGGGAAACATTTCAGGAAGCAGAAGGATATGGCAGCATCCACACCACATGCTGGGCAGAGGCTGGCTAGGGACCCGCCCTGGGAGTGGATGGACTTGGATCCTGGGCCCCTCTGCTGAGACCCTCAGGACTTCTGGATGGGAAAACAGAACAGCACAGGGCCGCTGCAGTGACCTAGGGAGAGGAGCTGAGCCAAGCCACCCTCACACACCCAAGGACCTGCCCCTGGGCCACACCCCAGACAAAGCCCTGGGCTTAGGTCTGGAGCCACACAGCCTGGGCTCAAATCCAGCCACTGTCCTTGTAAGAAAATTGTGGCTGCAACAACGGGAGATGCGGTGGGTGAAGGTGCCAGCAATGGAGGCCTTTTCTTACCCCTTAGGAGAACTCTGGAGGCGGGAGGGCCATGGCCAGGCAGGGGCTCCACAGAGTCACCAAGCCACTGCCCAGTCTCCTCTGGCCTCATGTGGCCCCCAAGGCATCCCTCATGGTCACACATTGTCACAGCCCCCATGTACATTCATTCACTTATTCAGTCATTATTTATTTGGGGATAGCCACGTGCCCAGCACTGCCCCAGGCCCCAAAAGGGGGCCCATGAGGGAGACAAAGCCGCCGTAGAGCTGCTGTTCTGGTTGGGCAAGCGGAACAGCAAACCAAATAGCTCGGTGTACCAGGTAGTGTATCAGAGAAACTAAACTGGGAAGAGGTGGGGGCCCAGGGCATGGGGAGGGTTGCATTTTAGACACTGTGACAGGGAAGGCCTAGTGGAGATGGAGACTTGTGAACAGAGACCTGGGGGACGGAGGGATCCATGGGGGTTACTAGGGTAGATCATTCCCTGCACAGGGAGCAGCTCGTGCAGAGGCCTGAGACGGAGCTGCCGGGGAGGTCAAGGGCCTGTGAGGAAACCAGGGTGGCTGGGACAGTGAGTGGAAGGGAGAGACGCAGGGGAGGGTGCGGGGAGGGGCGGGGGTCAGTGGGGTCCTGTGGGGAGTGATGGGGTCTTGGGCTTTGACTCAGTGTGAGATGGGAAATCCCTGGAGGGCTCCGAGCAGAGGAGCAACACGGCCTGACTTGGATTTGAGCAGAATCCTCGGGCTGCATGAGACCAGGGAGGAGAAGACCAGAATATTCCAAGCAAACGAACACAGGATGCTGTGCTTTGGATTAAGGTGGTGGCAGTGGAGGTGGGGAGGAGGGGTCAGGTGACAATGCCCAGGGCAGGAGGGGATGAGGCCAGGGGAGAAAACATGCTCCTCATGAGCCCCCTCTCTTTACAGAGAAAAGATTTTCCCAGAATCCCCCAAGCACATCCCTTGCACGTCATTGGTCAGAAGTGGCTCAATGTCCACCAATCACAGGCAGAGAGGTGGGATCCCGCGATTGACTTAGACCCCTGTGATTCACCTTCCGGGCTTAGCTCAGGACCATCCAGAGAGAGCAGGGGTGTTGTCCAGGAGGAGGAAGGACTGTGGAGAGGTGACCAGCATGTTGGCCATCAGCACTCTCCAGCTTGAGGTCTCAGACATACAAGCGACTGTGCCTGGATATGCCTGTACAGAGAAATGGGACACCACCTCGGAGAGTCGTCTGGAAGTTCCAATGGAAGGATGCAGGTCAAGCTTAGGACAGAGCCTGACACACTTGAGAGAGAGTACCTTCAATGTTAACCAGTGTCATTCCTGTTTGCTACGAGGACCCATATCTACCTCTTTCTCAGCCTAATGATGTCACATCACTGTTCTCCCCGCCCCCCGGTTTTCCTGCAGAATTTCTGCTCCCTTCGCCCTGTCATGGTGCTTGAAATTCCCGCATTAGTCACACACCTCCCAGAAGGACCATGAACGCCCTACTTTGTAGTTCATTAGAGAGACAGCTATGAAAATTTGAGAAAAATACATGTCATCATAACTCTATAAAAGTCATAAAATACAAACAAAAAAGCTTCTGACCTACCTACACACAGGGTACAGAGGCCATTCTTGTGCCGTGAGTGTGAGTAACGTGTTGGTCGTGGCAGTGGACACCTGGCACTTCCCCACCTGACTCCTGCTGACCCCGTTCCTGATCACGGCATGGGCGTTGTCCCAGGAACCACCCTCCACAAGTCGCCCCAGTTGGAGCTGGCCCACACCTGGCTGTCGGCCTTTACATAATGCCTAGGACTGACCAATCAGAGAACTGCTTCATTCCCTTATCCATGATGATTGGTTAACGGGGGGCGGGGGAGGGGGGGGGGCTCCTGACTCAAGGCTATCCAATCAGATTCAAAGACAGGTAATTCCAAGCTTTTCACCGGAGGGATTAGAGAAAGACTGTCTCTTCCCACGGGGTTTATAGGTGAGATTAATCAAGGGTGCAGAATTGTTGACACTCACCTTGCCAACCCATGGAGCCTGAGAATGCAGCCACCACAGAGGTAATCCTAGCTGAACCCTGAAAGAGACTTGGTCCTAATTCCAGTATCTGGGGTTCTAGATCCAGCCATGCCTGAAGTAAAACAGCTTCAAGCTGAGCCTGTTGGGGATGGCTTCCTGCCGCTTGCAACCAAACAAGTCCTAACTGACACATTGATGCTGCGATGGGGAAACTGTCACCCTCTCCAGCCATGTCACCATCTCTGTCTCCCTTCATATCCAGTGAGGGGCAGTTTCATCAAAAGACAGTCTGGAGCAGTGGTAAAGAGGACAGACCTAGAGGCCAGACTGTCTCCGCCACTTTGCTGTGTGACCTTGGACAAGATATTTAGCTGCTCTGCACCTCTGTTTCCACATTTAAAAAAACAGGGATAATTATAGCACCTACTTCACTCCAGAGTTTTGGGGATGGAATGTTAACATATCTAAAGCACTTAGCACAATGCCAGGCCCATAGTATGTGATGTGTGTTTTTAAAGAATTATTAACTTTTAGCAGCAGAAAGTTCCCCAAAGCGGCCTCAGTCTTCATGCAGGGACAAGACAGCCTGGAAGCCAATGGCCTAGTGGACTTTGCTAGGCCCAAGACCCTGCAGGAGAGACTGCCTCATAGCACCTCTTACTCCAGCAGGGACATGGGAGGGAACTTCTGGGGTGACTCACACACCAAGTGTTAGAGCACTGAGTGGCTCCTTCCATGGAAATTCGGAGCACAAACACAGAGCTTAGGTGTGAAATGGACATAATAACACATAACACGATCACATCAGCAGAGGATTAAATGAGATAATATGCAAAATGCACTTGGAACTGTGCCTGGCAGAGTTAGCCCTCGGTGGGAATTGGTGTTGTTGTTCTTACTATTGCCTTGTTAAAATATAATTGTTTCAGGTGAGCCCTGTAAAAGAAAATAAAATTTTAGAACTGTCTAAAAGTATTATGCCATGGGAGAAGTTAAGCCCTGGCGACTGAGCCACGGCTGCATATTTGCAGTTCTGCTTCTTAGATTAGAGCTTAACTGTCTTCCTCATTGTTCTCGTTGCTATAAATGACTAAGAGAGACCAAAGAACAGACCTTCTCCTCCTTCCAATCACTGATCTTTGTTATAGATTAACTGTCTCCTTTATTGTCCTGTACCTAACTCAGACCAGATGGTGCCCAAGACCCCGTGACAGTTACATCTTCCATGGAGAATGTTAAATTCACCTTTCTGGAAAACAAAAGCCATCTCAACTAATCAGATCATTTTAACTATGCATTAAGCCTTACATAGAAAGAGATTGGAATTCTGTTAAGCCTCCCTAAGCTTTGTCTATATAAAAATCCCAAACTTCTACAGTTTGGAACATTGACTTCTATTCTTTGGAATCTCTGCTTCCTAGGCAGCTTGTCCTCACACTTTGCACTTAAATAAATTCTCTTTAAACTAGATTCTGACCCTGTTGATTATATTAGGTTGACAGCCCATTCTTAGCAAATTAATTCTTAGTGAATGAATCAATTCACTTACCCCAAAATGGTCACCAAGCTCGTGCTATGTGCCAGGCATCGTTCAAGGTGCAATGGAAAAAAAGCTAAGCAACAATAAACAAAAAAAGCTAAACACACAAGACCTGCCCTCCCTGATCTAACACTCAGACCCCAACAACAAATCAAACCAATGAGAAAATGCCAAGCAGTGAGAGTGCTCCACAGCCCCAGCTTTTGGAGCTCTTGGGCTGGGCTGCAGCAGGTACAGGAGTGGGCTGACTTGTGGCAGCTGACTGAGGGCGAGGGTGGGGTGGGAATGGAGACTCTGCATGGAGGCTCCCTTGACTGCCAACTCACAGGCAGGGCACCTGCCTTCTTTGCTGCCCATTTGACCCAGTGCACACCTCCTTTCCCACTCCAACCCCTGGTCCGGAAAGGTCATGGCTGGCTTTACAGCATGTATGGCTGAGCTAGGCAGAGTGAGGCATGCACCAAGGAAAGCC
Organism: Homo sapiens; assembly: GCF_000001405.40. Taxonomy (NCBI): domain Eukaryota; kingdom Metazoa; phylum Chordata; class Mammalia; order Primates; family Hominidae; genus Homo; species Homo sapiens. Next base: position 48,190,056 of record NC_000020.11, on the reverse strand, counting down.
TCTTGTTCTTCCCCAGCTGCAAAATCCTTCCTTCCCCACCCTGGGGAAAAGCTGGCCTGGGTTCCTAGGCCCCTCCTGACTCTATGAGCAGCCAGAGGACAGGACGGGAGGTGGTCAAAGCACAGGCCCTGGAGCCAGAGAGAGGCCTGCTGTCTCCTCCTCTTCCCACCCACTTCCCGCCCCACCTGCTTACCAGCTGGGGAATATTTAGCAAGTCACTTAACCTTTAGTCACTGAATGCCTTAGTTTCCCCATCTCTAAAATGGACATAATAATACATTTCTCCTTGGGCTGTGGGGGCATTAAATATGCAAAATGCTTAGATAAGTGTCTGACACCAGAGTAAGCCCTTAATAGATATTAACTCCTATGGATACTTCAATTAAAGGCACTTCCAGAATAGCAGAGTAAAGACCTTCCCAAATCTACTCTTCCATAAAACAATAAGAACACTGGCCAAAAAGCAACTGTCAAAATCGACTTTTCAGAACTCTGGATATTAACCAAAGGCTTAAACTGTACAAGGATGTTTATTCAGGAAAATGCTGAATCTCAGAAAGAACAAGCTTTGTTTCAACTTGCCCTAACCCATCCCCATCTCCCCAGCTCCGTGGTAGCCTTGAAAACCAACCACCTCAACTAAGCAGCTATAGAAAGCAGCCACCTAGCAGCCACTTGGGGGAGCAGAGGGACAGGAATTTCCCCAAAGAAGATATGAGGATGCCCAGTAAACACATGCAGTTGCCCAGCATCAGGAATCTTTAGGGAACTGAAAATCATGACCACAATGAGATGCCGCTTCACACCCACGAAGATGGCTTAAATCAAAAAGACAGACAATAACAAGTGTTGGTGAGGTTGTGAGAAACCAGAAGCCTTATTCATTGCCAGTGGCAATGCAAAGTGTGCAGCCACTCAGGCAAACAGTCTGATGCTTCTTCAAAAAGTTAAACAGAGTTCACACACTATGCAGCAATTCCATTCCTAGGTATATATCCAACAGAAACAAAAACACACGTCCACACAAACATTTGCATGCAAATGTTCACAGCAGCATTATTCATAATAGCCCAGAGTGGAAGTGACCCAAATGTCTATCAACTGATGAATGGATCAAGAATGAAAAGCTCCCTTTGGGAGGCTGAGGCAGGTGGATCACTTGAGGTCAGGAGTTTGAGACCAGCCTGACCAACATGGTGAAACCCTGTCTCTACTAAAAATACAAAAAAAAAAAAAAAAAAAAATTAGCCGGGCATGGTGGCACACCCCTGTAATCCCAGCTACTTGAGAGGCTGAGGCAGGAGAACTACTTGAACCTGGGAGGTGGAGGTTACAGTGAGCCAAGATCGCACCACTGCACTCCAGCCTAGGTGACAGAGTGAGACTTCATCACAAAACAAAACAAAACAAAACAAACAAACAAAAAAGAATGAAAAGTTGTGCAGTCGGCCTTCCATATCCACGGTTCCACATCCTAGGACTCAACCAATTATACATCAAGAATATAGTCAGTCCTATGATGATCATGTCTGTAGTGAACATATATAGATAGTTTTCCTTGTCATTAGTTTCTAAATAATATAGTATAACAACTATTTATGTAGCATTTACCTTGTATTAGGAATTATAAATAATCTAGAGATGATTTAAAGTATACGGGAGTATTGTGTAGGTTAAATGTGAATACTACTCCATTTTATATCAGGCACTTGAACATCCAAGGACTTTGGTATCCATGGGGATATCCATGAGGATACCAAGATGGGACAGCCAGTGCAGAGGCATGCATGTGGTAACTGTTCAGAGGGCAGCAAGGAGGCCAGTTTGGCTGGGGTGGAATAAACCAGGGGGCAGATTCAGTGAGAAGGGAGGCTGGCAGGATTCGTGGAACCAGTCCTCTACGAATACCAAGGGACTACCGCATATGCATTCAGAGTATTATTCTATTTCTATTATTCTACCACAAAAAGGAATGGAATGCTGACACATGCTACCACGTGAATGAACCCTGAAAACATTATGCTAAGCAGAGGAAGCCAGTCACAAAAGATCCCATATCGTCTGATTCCACTTACATGAAATGACCAGAACAGCCAAATCCACAGAGGCCGACAGTAGCAGTGGCTGCCTATGGTGGGAGGGTAGTGGATGGGGAGTGACGGCTCATGGGTATAGGGCTTCTTTGGGGATAATGCAATGCTCTGGAATAGATAGGGATGATGACCACACAACTTCCCGAGTTTAATCAAAAGCACAAAACTGTATACATTAAAAGAGTGAACATCATGATATGCAAATTATCTCTCAATAAAGCTGTTACTAAAAAAAGATTCAAACACCCAGTCCAAAGCACCGCCATCTCACGCTTGGACCACTCTGGGGCCGCCTCATGGGTCTCTGGGTCTACTCTGCCCCTTTGAATCCCTGGACCCTTCTGATTTGTTGAAGCCAGAAGCATGATGGCGTCTCTCCCCTGTCTACGGTCCGCCATCCTTCATTTCCTTGTGTTCACCCTTCTCTCATGATTCAGGCTTTGGCCTGTACTGTTCCCTCACTGGATGAGCCTTCCCTTCCTGTCTCCCTGGCTAATCTCTGTCCACCCTTCAGGATCCAGCCCCCTCCTTGGAGAGGCCTTCCAGAAGCCCTCTGCCTGGGTTGCTGCCCCAGCCAACTCGCCCCAGCTCAGAAATGTTTCCTGTGCACTGTTGTCTCTCCTGCTGGTCCAGCACCTGTTTTTTCACTAGATCAAGCTCTTGCAGAGGAGAGTCTGGCTTCTCCACGGCTGTAGCCTCAGTGCATATGTCAATGTCTGGCACAGGATAGGGGCTCAGTCAACACCTCTGAGTAGATGATGTCCCGGGCTGCAGTGCAGCCCAGGAAGGAGCCCAGAAGCCAGCTCTGCAGAGACCTGCTCCGGGACGTTGGGCAAGACACCACCCACTCACGTGTGAACGAGCTGGAGAGTGCTGGCAGGGCTAGTGTGACAGCTTAATTTAATTGGCTTAAATAACCTCTGCATAACAATGCGTGGTTTAGCAACAGCTTCTCTTTGTACAAGCTTTGGAGGAAAAGAATCTAATCTCTCTTTAATTAGCACCACTTTGCAGATGAAAGTGAGGCTGGCAAGGTGCACTGACTTGCTTGGAGTCACAGTTTGAAAGAGGTAGAATAATTCACCTTGTTTGTTCACTCACCCATTCATTCATTCACTTGTTCACTCAGTAAGTCAGTATTTATTTTTCATGTAAAAGTTGTCCTGGGTCCTGGGGATACAGTGGAGAAAAGACAAAAGTGGGCCTGATTCCATGGAACTGACATTCTAGAGAAAAAGACAGGTAATGACTCCAGATTTTGGTATGTGCTGAGAAAGAAAAGTATGATAGAGAGTGAGTGAGTGGTGGGAGTGGGGAATGTGTGGGGGTGTAGGAAGTGCAGCTGTTTTAGCTGGGCTGGCTAATGAAGGCCTCACTGAAGAGGTAACATTTGCCTGAGATTTGGGAAGAACATTCCAGGCAGAGGGAACAGCCAGTACAGGGACACGCATGTGGTGGCTGTTCAGAGGGCAGCAAGGGGGCCAGTTTGGCCGGGGTAGAGTAAACCAGAGGGCTAGATTCAGTGAGAAGAGAGGCCAGCAGGGTTGGTCTCACAGAGCTTTGTCAAAAGTGATGAGGATCAGAGTCTGGCTGCTGAAGTGGACAAGCATGCTGGGCTGTGGAGCAGAGTGTGCAAAATGTGTGTTTCGTGTCACATTAAACTTTCCCAGGGAGTCACAAATATGCATTCATTAAGGTGAACTTGAGTTCTCTTCTGCACGTGGCTGGAAAAGACATTCTCTTGACTCAATCTGGTGGAGAGACCCAGCCAGGACCACCTGAGACAGAACCGTCCCGAGCAGTTCAGTTCTGCAAATACGTGGAGGAAACTTCCCCAACCAAGGCCTGTGCTGCAAAGAGAGAAGTAAAGTGGGCCAGCCCTTCCCTGAAAGATCCCACAGTCCTGGGGTAAGAAACCCTTGCCCGTGTGGAACAAGAAAAGAAAGACAGGTTTCAATGCTCATAGGTCAATCCAGCAAGGCATCTTCCAGAATATCTGGGAAAGACTACAGAGGTAAAAGTCAAAAGTTGAACCATGAGGCATGGTGAGATTTGTGGAGAGAAGGTAGTGAGGTTGGCCCCAGCAAGACTTTCTGCAAAGGCAAAGGTCAGAAAGTGGGGAAAGCATGACAAGCACAGGAAGGGTGCAAAGGAAGAGGCTGGGTGGAGAGCCTGGTAGGTCCTGGGGCAGGAGGGCATGGCGTTCAGTGGAAGTGTTGGTCCCTGACCACGAGAGACCTGAAGTGCAAGCTGTGGAGTGTTGGCTTGATCCTCAGAGCTCTGCCCCTCCCTGAGAAGCCTCATGAGTCCCCTATATCAGTAAGGGTAGATCCAATCTCATAGAACAGAAAGTTCAATACAAGAGAGCCTTCGACACAGGGATGCACTCCTATACTCTACTTAAAGGAAGTTTGAGAGATAAACAGTCCATGACTGATACGGAAGTTCCATGAAGTCAATAGGGTCCACAGAACTTTCCTATTTCTGCTACTCTATGGATATTCATAGCTTATATGCAAATACTACTTCATTTTGTATAAGGGACTTGAGCGTTTGTGGATTTCGGTATCCATGCGGGTTCACTTCCTAGTCCTCATGGCCACTTCATAATCCAGGATGGCTGCGAGCACCACTATAACATCCACATTCCAGGTAGCTAGAATGAGGAATGGAATCAGAGCACAAAAGGTGTATATTCCTCCTGAACCTGTTCTCTACCCTGAAGCCTCACCAGAGACTTCTTATGATATGACATTGATCTTTACTTTATCACATGACCTCACCTAGTAAAGGGAGGGTGGGCAAAGTCATCTTCCTTCTAGGGAGCCCTGTATCCAGTTAAACTGGGGGTTCTGTTTCCAAAGAAGAAGAGAAGACTAGATAGGGGGTGGGCAGCAAGCAGTTTCTGCTAGACCCTGGGTTTTGTCTCTTCCAAGATCTTTAAGGAAAGGAGCACGAACGCTTATCTATTCCTCAAACAACGATGCTTTGGCCAATTCAAAGGCCTTCTATTCAGCAACTCACTGAGGTCCATTTTTGGCCCTAATAAACCATCTCACTCCTGCAACCTCCTTGAGGAGAGTGGGCCCAATGAATGTAGTCTCCTCTTTAGGAAGAGACAGGACTTTCTGGCTGTCCTCAAACTCTCCTGCATGATGGCACCTTGGTGTGGAATGTCCTCTGACCAACCATGGCCCCTACTAATGCTCACTGCTAAACCCAGCTTCTCTCTCCCCTTTCCACAATGCCCATGCTTTTTGAGAAATGTTTTGAAGGCCTCTTTCATTAGCTAACTCTGATGCTGGGGAAACCAGGAGAGTACCTGGGGGCAGGAGGGTGAGGAGGCAGCTGTGTGGTTGACAGACATTTTCTCCCAGGATCCCAGATGTTGGAGAGGAAGATGACAGGTGGGATAGAAGCACATGAACCCTTCACACACCAGGTTCATGCCTCAAACAGTAGCATGGTTTTGGCAAATTACTCATTAAGTAAAGTAAAGCCCCAGGTTAAGGGGTATAATTACAGCCTCTGCATGTGTGGGCAGAAGGGTGATGTTATCTCGGAGCAGGACTCTGCTGTCTCCTGGGAACTGGGCCTTCCCAGTCTGGGGCCTCATGGGCCCCTTGGCTGGAATTTTCAGTTTCACAGGCTGAGATTTTTAATGTATTTTCTATTTTCCAGAGAGGGAGGACAGAATTTATCTTGAGTGTTTGTTACCAGCCTTGTGGACCAGATAATGAAATATGAGAGCAGACAGCTGAGATGCTAGAAAGATGGTCATCTGCAGTGGCCCCTAGACTAGTGAAGCCCTTCAGAGGCTTCCAAGAAAAGGTTCAGGATCAAAGGCACTCTATTTGAGAGACCTTGCAGAGCAACCAGTACTGGCATGGAGTCAACTTTGAAAGAGAGAAAATCCTGTACAGTAAAAGCCACAGTGGCACTTCGTGACATCGCTCTGCTAGTGGCATTGAGAGCAGCTCTCAGGGCCGCATCATGGGTGGTGTGAGGACTGATTCAGGGCTGGGCTGCCCAGGTTCAAATTCCTGCCAAGGTGGAACCCTCAGCGGGTTATTACAGCCCTTTGTGACTCAGTTTCCTCACCTGAAAATAAAAATAGTCCTAGGAGGTACCTCACAGGGTTCTGAAGATTAAATGAGCTAACATTTGTCATCTTCCTTCTAAGGTGACAAGTATTGGCTCATTAGAATGGGTTAACTCGTTTAGAATGGGGCTCAGGCTTGGTGGCAGGGGCTGTTAGAAATCATGACTAAAGAAATTATGGGTAAAAACCATGTGTCCCTTATCTTTGGACACAGCCATGTTTTCAGAATTTAAAAGGCCCAAAGCCACTGATTAAAGGGAGGGTAAGGAGCCATCTATGGCAGCCCCTACGGCTAGGTGGTTGGTGAGGCTGGGGGTAGAGCACCTTCATGGATTTAATGACCATGCATGATTGCATGCTCACCTTTGAGCCAATCACTGTGGCTTGGGCAATGGACTGCTCTGATTGGTCAGCTCTGGGTCATGGGGTAGAGTCAGCCTTGCTAATCAACATGAATGACAGCAGAGTTAAGGCAGTTCCCAAGAGAAGACCAGGCAGGTGTGGCCAGAGATGGGAATGTCAGGGTTGGGCAGGCTGAAAAGGTCCCTCGATGTCACGGCACCATTGGTGTTAATCTGCAAGCAAACATGGGATACTTAGCTAAGAAGGGAGACCTTTAACACGGCCACGAAACCCGAATATCCAAGTCATTAGAGTGGGAAAGGAAAAAGATCACCACCCGTTGGTGCAGTGCCAGTCCTCAGGCCAAAGCTCGATGGAAGGAAGAACTTTCTAGAACCATGTGCAAAATGAAACAGGCCATCTTGCAAAGGAGGAAACTCTGTTATTCCCAAGGTTCGAACCATGGCTGTGAGTTTGCAGGGATACTGTAGACAGGGTTTTATCTTTAGGAGGGCTAAGCTCCTCTAGTGTTTTCCAAACATCTCTCACAATTTTATCCATTTCCCTTTGCACCATCTGTACTGTAATCTATGAAACATTTTTATTTGCCTACATCTGTGTGTTTTACTTATATACATGGATTTAAAAGAAATATATACTTTCCAGGGGCTAGGGGCAGGGAGGGAGTGAGGAGTTGCAGAGGGTATACAGTTTCCATTCAGAAGATAAACAAATTCTGGAGGTGGATGTGGTAATAGTTGCACAACAGTGTGAAAGCATCTAATGCCACTGATCTTTCCACCTAAAATAGTGAAAATGATAAATTTTGTGATACGTATATTTTGCCACAATACAAAAAAAAATTTCACTGAAAAGAAAAAATAAGAAAATACACACATGTAAATGTCATCATCATAAAATGGAAAACCAGAATCATTTCCCTAAATAGAAGGAAATAGTAAGAACAAAAGCAGTAAGAAGAAAATATTGATAGTAAATTCTAGCCGAATACCCACAGAGCACTGTGATCCTGATAACCTGACCTCTGATTTTTCAAATGAGTATTAGCAAGGGCTATGAAATTTATTAAAATGTATTAGCATTAACCTTTGACTTTCTCCTTGATGAGGTTGAAAGAGAATTGATCTGGGAAGAAGTTTTTCTTGGTATGAGTCAATGTTATTCTTGGTCAGGGTCTAACTCCCTAAAGTCATCTTTGAAGCCCCAGCAGTTTTTTTTTATTGTCTTCCCTCAATTTCCAAGGAAGAGCTGATGTTGGAAGAATTGGGAGAACTAAGAGGGTGGGACATTGGGCCTTTTTCCTCCTTTTACCCTTTTCCTCTTTTAACTAAATAGCTTAGTGTCGATCCGTTTTCATCATGGACGTTCCCACAGACTTTAGATTTTATTTGACAAAAGAGGTCTGTGGCTCTAAAAAAAAAATGTGTCTGGAAACTATTGGTCTCAATCTGGGAAGATGCTGCTAACTTTAAGATTCCAGGATTCGTCATAATCATGATTATTCTCATTCTCAAAGTAAACATACCCAATTTCCTTCTGTTTTTTTTTTCTTTTTTTTTTTTTTTTTTTTTTTTTACAATTTTAAATGTTTTTCAGACCAAATTTTCCTTGCTTCAAATACGCTTCCCTTTTTTCTTGTAATGAACCCTATTTTCCTGGGCGAGCCACCCCTCCTCCACTCCCTGTGCAGGTAGTTTTGTTGAGTCCAGGGCTATGATGTGACCTGGGTCTGACCAATCAGAAGTCTCTATCCCATGACCACAGTGATTGGTTAAGATATGCACATGTGACCCAGTTAAAGTTACTAAAGGCCAATTCTCAGGTATCGGCCTCAGTAACTGCAGGAGCAGTGCTCTCTTTCCACTGCAGTTGCTGAGAAGTTACGATGCTGAGCTGGAGCAGCCGCTGGCCACCTTCATACGAGTGAACATCTACCCTAAAATATAGCCAACTCAGGGGAATGCACAGTTTAAAAATAGAGAAAAAGAGCCACATGGTGACATCCTTTGAGTTCCTGGATCCAGCCACACCCAAAGCAAAAATCCCCATCCTGCTTCAAGTCTGTGATTCAATGAAACACTTGGTTGGATTAAACCAACTGGGGTAGGATTTTCTGTCACTTGCAACCACAGAATCCTGATGGATACAAGACACTCTTTCTCATAGAGCCTCTCTTGAAGCTGCTATTTGATTACTGCATGGTCTTCTAAATAGTAAATATAAAATATCACACTTGGAAAGAACCCAACTTTTAGGCCTTTGGTGGGTAGATTTTTTCCTGAGGATTCAAGTCAGCAGCCTAGAGACCATCGTGTGTCAAGGTCTTAACCTCAGACACTCGCTCTTCTTTGTTACTTTAAAGCTGTCTAATGTAGAAACCCCTGAGATGCTGCTCCATAGACATGAGAAGACAGAGTCCTCGGGCCCTGCGCAAGGTCTGAGGCCCATCACCAGCTCAGCTTCTGCCCTTTTGCAAAACACTGGTCTTTTTGTCTCTGATGATGTGAGTCCATTGCTCACATATCTGGCTGTTTCATCCAAAAAAAAATATTTTACTTTTGGCTTAAAAGCCCATCTCAACATAAACATCGGAGCTCCCGAATGTTGCTCTAACAGCTTGACAACTCTGTAGGTGTAGAGCTGGCTGCCCGCCAATCCAAATTTTTCTGCTTCTTTCTTTTAATATAAACAGAGCCTTTGAAGAACTGTGGATTCATTGAATGAACAAATGAACTTGTTTACATAAAACATGCAGGAGGAAATTTCCACTGTGCTTCAACATATAATTTCAGTCTGTTTTTGGATGGGCTGGTGCATTATGGAGATTGTTTTTCTAGACCAGGATGCTGTCCTCCATATGGTGGCCTCATTGTTCACTCCAGTCGGTAAGTTCAAGGTTTAGCTATGAGGGGAGAAGGGGTACAAAATTAAATTCTGCTATGTTGGTTCACAAAGAACAGACTCGAGTTTGGAAGACCCCTGACCAATTATAGGAAAGAAAGAAATGGAAATGTGTTTTTTTCTTAGTGTATGATGTTTTATAGAAACAGAAGCAAAGGTCTTCTGGCCGGCTCTTCTGACCCTCCACTCCAAATATGCACCCTGAATCTAGTGATTTACATTAATTTGTAGAAGTTAAAACAAGCGAGGAGGTCGCTCAGGATGGGTTGGGTAGGATGATTAATGATAGTTTTATGTCATTTCAAGAAAATAAACATTGCTTTTCACAGGCTTTGTGTGCAGCCCTATGAATCATCTCTTGGTTAATAAAGAGGCTCCTCCCATCACTCTATTTGCTGGTGACAAATCACTTTAGGAGGGGGTGACAGGAGTTTTCAGAAAATGCCTTGTGTGATGATGTGAAATCCAGAGATAGAATATGCCGGTGGAAAGTTCAGGGAGGATGAGAGGGTGTGTATTAGTCTGTTCTCATGCTGCTAATAAAGATACACCCAATACTGCATAATTTATAAAGGAAAGAGGTTTAATGGACCCACAGTTCCACATGGCTGGGGAGGCCTCACAATCATGCAGGAAGGCAAATGAGGAGCGAAGTCACTTCTTACATGGTGGCAGGCAAGACAGCTTGTGTAGGGGAACTCTTCTTTATAAAACCATCAAATCTCATGAGACTTATTCACTATCATGAGAACAACGCGGGAAAGACCTGCCCCATGATTTAATTATCTCCCACTGGGTCCCTCCCATGACACATGGGACTTATGGGAACTACAATTCAAGATGAGATTTGGGTGGGGAAACAGCCAAACCATATCAGATGGTGTGGGCATGAGATGCCGGTGGTGGGGGATGTGTGGTATGGGGAGGTCTTGGGAGGAGGTGGCCATGCCAACACACCCTTGGAGGATATTGGTACATCCATGGGTCTGCAAAGGTCTCACACATTGGTAATCACCAAGGTGGATGTAGGAAATGCTCCTGTTTCCTCCCCTATTGTTACCAATGAGGACTTTTTATCATGAGTTGATGGCGAGCTGGTTTGATCAGTAGTTGGAAGCGGTAAAGTCTACTTATAAAATATATAAACAAGCCCTCTTGCAAGGAGTTACATTTTATTCTTTATTTCCTGTGAATGGTTTATAAATTAATACCTCTAGGATGCTACCTTCTGGGACACCAAAATCAAATCACAGAGTTCTTTAAAAAGTCTTCACATTTCAGCTTCAGCTAAGGGCCTACTTGTGCTCCTCCAGCCAAGCCAGATAAAAATTTAAATGATGATAATAATAATAACAGACTACATTTAGTGCCACGCACTGTTCTGAGCATTTCTGCACTTTAATTCAATCATTACAACAACTATGTAAGGACCACTTAGTCCTATTTTGCCAGTGAGGAAACTGAGGCACAAGCAAATTCAGCACCTGGCCCACAGTAATGGATCTAATAAAGGATGGAGCCAGGATTGGAACCTGAGTGGATGTTAGGGCCTTAGATGAGATTGAAAAAAAAAAAAGAGTGAGCCAAGAGCTTCAGTCTTTACTGAATAAAGGGGACTGAGTGGGATGTTTCCAGATGAGGGGCGGAGAATGTTGGACGGGAGTTAAAGACACATGGCAAGAGCTTCAAGCAAGATGTGCTTTTGAAATAGGAAGAAGGAAAGTGATATATTGATTGTCATGAAAAACAGAGAGGGGGCTGACCCTGCCTCTAGACTTGGAGCGCCTGAATTGTGAGGGAAACAAAGAGAGCTTCCTTGGAGAGGGGCTGCTTGTCCTCAAAGAGAGTCAGATTACAGGCAAGGCTGGTCCGTGGAGGGACTGGGAGAGTCATCTGGAGATGTTAGGGAGAAGGGGGGATTGTTGATAAAATAATTGTCTTAAAGATTTTAGGAGGCAGAGAAGATAATAGTGGACGGAAGGGTCAGATGAAGCAAAAATTAGGAGAGAGGGTAAAAAATTGTGTTGATAGAGACAAGAACTAACTTACAGATAAAAGGAATCTCTCAAGGAAAAAAAAGACAATGCAGCAAGGGAGCAATACAAATACCGAAAATAATAATTCAAAAAAACTTCCAAAAACAAAACCTTGGAAATTATTTGTTAAAAGAGCAGGCTGCATCCTGTGAATAGTGACCCATCATGACCAACACCAAGTTCAAGTAAAATTGCTGGACTTTAAAGAAAATGAAAACAAAACAAAACAAAAAAAAACTCCCACAAATTCTTTGGATCCATGATTGAAATGTCCAGAGGGGATCTGATGGATTTCAGGCCTGGCTAGATCCAAGGGCTTAAATCTTTTCATCAGGACTCGGCCTTTCTGGCTTTTTAATCACTTATCTCTGTTTGCATTTTGTGGCTCCCTATGTAGGCAAATTATCTCTATATGGTGTCTCCAAGCATTTCTCAGCTTCTATTATCACAACATAAAATCCAGCATAAAAAGAATATCTCTCTTGTTTAACAATCTCAACATAAAATCCAGCATAAAAAGAATGTCTCTCTGTTTAACAATCTCAGTGACAATTTAAGACTTGCATTTTGATGAACCGACTGGGGTCCTAGGCAGCTGGTGAATCTGATGCTCTGATTGGCCAGGCCTGGGTCACCTACTCACACCTAGGGTCAGTCCAGGACACCCGAGTAAGGTGAGAGTGAGAGACAGGTGGTTTCCCAAGAAAAACACACATTCTGACCTCAAAGGGAGGAGAAATGGATAAAGCATAGGCAAAACAATTTCTGTCCACTCAAATTATTAACCTCGGCTTTCCTGCTGATGCATTTTGGTCTCTAACCTGGGAGGAGACCGCTGGGCGGTAGCAGAGGGGAGGATGGGTTGGTGTGTGGCTGGAATAGGATTGTGTCCAACACCCTGTTTTCCTATTAAGGAATGTGTCTGGCTTTTGTTCTGGGTTCCTAGGGGGAGCTTGCTGATTGGTGAACACGTCAATGTGTATGGAGGGGGATGAGTCCTGATTCCACGAGGCAAGAATATGGGAACTCTACGTTTGAGACCATCCCAGACCTCACCCTTTGTGCCTCTTCATTTGCCTGGTCCTGATTTGTAACCTTTATAAGATTGTAACCATCCATATAGCGCTTCCCTGAGTTCTGTGCATTGTTCTAGTAAATTATGAAACCTGAGTGGCTCGTAGGAATCCTTGATTTGTAGCCAGTTGGTCAAAAGTGTGGGTGGCCGGACTTGGAGCTGGTGTGTGAAGGGAGGGCAGTCTTGTTGGGGACCGTGTCCTGAACTTGTGGAGTCTGCACCAACCCAGGTGGCGTGCCTGGGAATGGCGTTGAAGTATTGCAGCATGCCTTCCTCACTTCTTTCTGAGGGCACTTCAAGTGAGGACTTGGAAATGAGTCCCAGTCTCAGCAGATCGCACAAGTCTGTTCTCAATCTTATTGCCACAGAAAGGAACACGCTAGCAGCAGGCACAGCCAGGACTGAGCCCAGGTCTGTCCATTCCCCTGGCAGAGCCAAACCTCAACGGCACGTGGACCATGCAAGAGCTCCCTTTGGCCATTGGCATCCGGCTGTTTCTCATCCCACTTGGCTGATGCAGGGTGAGAGGGACAAGTGGGTGCTGCACCCCTCACTTGTGGGTCCAGCCACCCACACTTTTGACCAACTGGCTACAAATAAGGGATTCCTACGAGCCACTCAGTTTTCCTAATTTACTAGAACAATGCGCAGAACTCAGGGAAGTGCTATATGGATGGTTACGATCTTATAAAGGTTACAAATCAGGACCAGGCAAATGAAGAGGCACAAAGGGTGAGGTCTGGGATGATCTCAAACGTAGAGTTCCCATATTCTTCCCTCGTGGAATCAGGATGCATCCCCCTCCATACACATCAATATGTCCACCAATCACCTTCCTCCGCTGGGGACAGAGGTAGACAGTGGCTGACAGGGAATGCGGGGAGGAAGGAGCCTACATGAGCCTCAGTCTTGCTCAGCTCCCCCAGACAGGTGAGAGACAATGACATTTCAAGTACATGGCGTGCCTGGAAATGAATGACAGATTCCTCCTGAAACCTGGAACTGCTCACAAGCTGCTCTCGTGTCTCAGGGCTTGGGCCAGGCCGACTTTGACATTTACCGCTTACCTCTTCATCCCTCCTCCCTCCTTTCTTGTTTTCTTCTTAGGCCTGTGTTCCCACACTGCAAAGAGAAGGCAGTAAATGCCCATCTAATTTATCAGGGCAGTAAAAAGTATTGGGATTCATGACCAGAGGATTGTTCCGGAACAAAAATTGTGCAGCTCACCTCACCTTTCCTTGCACTGTATCTTTTTGGAATCTAAGCACGGCGAGCAGGGCACATGAGGACACGGATTCCCTGAAAAGCCCTTGAGTAATTCTGGCTTAGGCCATTAACCTTACACAGGCATAAGAAATCAACATATTTTACACATGTTCTTGTACCCCAGCTAGTACATAGATCAATGTAACTGACCTATAACATGCATATGAACCAAAATACTAGAAATCTTGTCCTGGGCTATCTATAAGGTGCATATGAACAAAAATACTAGAAACTTTGTCCTGGGCTGATCTATTACATGCATATGAACCAAAATACTGGGAACTTTGTCCTGGTGTTGTCCTGAATAGGACTTCTTCCAGTCACCAGAATGCCAATATCATTAGCAGACACTTTCCCATTTAGCAGCGAAATGGCAGGTCTGTGGGGATGCTACTGAACCATGTTTGCTTTCATGGGGTGGAAACCTGCTTGGCTCTGTCTCTGGTAAGTTCAACCTCAAAATATTTACTCTTAAATGGGTTAACTATTTTCTCCTAACCACACTGAAGCTAGCAGCAAAGGACGAACAGGTAACTTTAACATTCATTTTCCCAGGGAAGAAAGTAATTCATCACCCCGTAGCGGCCGGCTGGCGGGCCAGGCTGAAGACTGGTGTGGAGCGAGCCAGCAAGGCTAAGGTTGGCCTAAGAGACCACAGAGGGTGCCAGAGCCACAGAAAAGGCATAGCCTTGCCCCCTGGCAGAAAAAGAGGGTGAGAAAAACCCTGGCTTCTCCCTTCTTCCATGCTCCATGGCCCCAGCAGTGGCTTGGACTGGCCAAACCTGGCCCAAAGACAAGGGAGTCTGGGGAAGCTGGGGCCGGGCTCCCTGGGACAGAGCCCAGCAGAAGGGCAGGCAGTGGGCCTGAAGACAAATGCACCATTAACCAGTGACCAGCACAGAGAGAGTTCAAGACAGTTTAAATAATGGGCCTTCCTAGAAGCTGGACTTTGACTAAGCAGGTCTCTCAGGTGCATTTCTGAATTCTGCTGTCTGATATAATTCTCCCAGTAACCCGCCTTAGAAGAGACTATTTTTTCCCCAGTTATGCTGGCTTCTTGGTAGTGTTGACTAACAGAAAAAATATACAGTCCAGTTCATTATGCGAGAAATAACAGAATTCCAACTCAAACTGACTTAAACTACAAATGGGGACTTATTGGCTCAAGTAACAAAAAAGTTCAAGAAATTCCAGCTTCAGGTATAGGTAGATCCAGGGGCTTAATGTGTTCAGGAAGCCCTCCAGCTCTTGGCTTCCCTCTATATTGGCTTCACTGTCTGGCAGGCTCTGCCTTTGTGCTGATAAAGATGTATCCAACACCTCAAGGGTGAAATCCTACCAGATCAGCATTGCCAGCAAGAATCTACAAAAGTCTCAGGATTTGCACAGATTGGATCAGCCTGGGTCCAGTGCTCACCCATGAACTAGTCAGTGGGCTGGGAGAAATGGAAGACAGGGCTAAGCCAGACCCCTATCCCATACTACAGCCTGACACATCGAATCGCATCTCCAGAAATGAAAGGGTCCTGTGTGTCTGATGATGAAGCCCGTCCCTTCTCCTCCTTGTGTCCAGTCAGCTCAGGTTTTCGGGTCTCTCCTTTTCTGGGATCCTTTCCTGGGGAAATAAAGGGACATATTCCAACCAGGAAGGTAGGGAGTTCCCGGTGATACCCAAGTTGCATGGAGAACTCCCTGGTACACCCAAGGAATCCTGCCAGGCAGTTAACAGGGGATCACAGTGACTTATCCCTTTGTTCAAAAGGAAAATCATCGGTTTGGGCTGGGCAGTGCCTCTCCCTGTGCCAAGTAATCAGATGTTTCCTGAAGAATCCAAATTAGAACGCTGAGCTCACCAGGTCTCGTTCGAGATGTCTCTCATCACTCTCCCACCAAGAACACCAGCCCTTGGCTCAGAGCTGTCTCTGACCACTGCAGACTCGACAGAGAAGAACTCGCAGGCTGGTCTGTTAGACCGCAGAGAGCCAGATCATGATCCTCACTTTATGGATAAGGACTCGGAGGGGTTGTGATGACCATGGCTCTCTGCCACGTCTGTCTCTGCCTCTCCACGCATCTCTTCTACTTTGTTCTGGTTTGTGCATCTCTCTGTTACTCTCCTTTGCACTGTCCTTCAGCTCTTGGTAAATGTTTGGGTCTCACAATAAACATTTCTTAAACATCTACTGTAGGCTGGAGGTAGTGTTGGATTCCAGGGAATATAAATCTGAAACAACAACATCTCCATCTTTGTGGAATCCACCCTCCACTGTGGAAAAATTGATTTAAGATACAGCTTGCAGATATTATAGGGAGAGGATGTTTTGAGAATTCCCCAGAGAGGGACATGCTTCTGTCTGCCTTGGATAATCAGGGAACCATGAATAGACACAGATGTGATAGGTGGATTCTGAAGTAGGAGTTTTCAGGTTGCCTTTGAGATGCATTTCCACCAGATTTTTCCTTTCTCATTTTTCACTAGGACCCCGAAAAGAAAGTGCAACCTTATGGTTTGAAGTGCAAACTCAGGGACAGACTTCCTCGTTAATTCCTGGCTCCCCTACTAGCTAAGTAGCCTTCTGGAAGATGACCTTGAGAAATAACTTCTTCCCAGCCTCAGTTTATTCATCTACACAATGAGGATAATAGTAATACCCATCTTATAAGATTGGTGTGTGATCTTATAAGTCACACACCAGTCAGGGCAGCTCAATTGCTATACCAAATGACCTCCAAATCTAGGGTGATTAGATTTAGGTTTGCCTAAGACTGAGGGGTTCCCCAGGAAGCAGGACTTTCAGTGCTAAAACCAGGACAATTACAGGCAAACTGGAACTGACAGTTACGCTGCTAAGTCTCCATGGCTAACATAATAGAAGTTGTTTTCCAGCTCACATGGTTGTTGAGCAGCTGCCTTCCATGCAGTGACTCAGGGATCCAGGCTCCGATCTTCTTTTGGCTCCACCACCTTCTCCACTGGCATCTGTAATTCTGGCTGGCAGGTGGAACAAGAGGATGTTGATTTGGAGGTTCTTTGGGCCAGACCTATAAGAAGCTTGCATTACATCCAGCCACATATGCTTGGTTGAATTTAAGTCACATGGCAGGACCTAAATGCAAAGGAGGCTGGGAAATGTGGTCGTTTTCTTTGACCAGGAGGGAGAGGAAGCTGCTTTAATAAGGACATATTGGTGTCTGCTACAACAGTAAACGAGCTGAGGACAGCGACCAGCATGTTTTGATGTTATGCATTCTTATGATGAGGCTTTCCCTGACCACCCAAGGAAAAGCAGCCCCTCCACTCCTGGCACACTCTCTACTTAATGCCCTTGTTTAATCATCTTGACAACACTCAATCATAATATGGATTTCTTGTTTACCATTGTTTTCTTGCTTACTATCCATCACCCCTCCCCAGCTAGAGCATCAGCCCCAGTAGAGCAGGGGCCTTGGGAATCTTGTATGCCCAGGCCTGGGCACTGTGCCTGGTATACAGTAGGTTCTCAGTACATATCTATTGAAGACATGTGAAGAGTGGGGCTGGGCCTTTCACACCAAAGTCTCTCCTTCTCTGCCTGGCTCATTCTGTTTTGTGTTTTTCAGTCTGCAGTCTCCTCTGATCCCCTTGATCCCAGCTCCTCCCTCCCTCTCTGGAGCTCCTATCCAATCTCCATTTCCAGGGATCCCTGGGAGTCCTGGCAGGTTCACTCATTCCAGACTGCAGCTTCACTCATTCCACACCCGTGGTGTGGCCAGCCTCTGCTGCAGTCTCCCAGGAAGCTGCCTCCCAGCCCTTAGCTCCCACCCCCACCTGACACCTTCTTTTTGGAGAGGTGTTGGGTACAAAGGGAATTAGCACACATTCAGCAGACACCGAAGTCAGACATTGCACCAAGCTCCTCGCTGTTAGATTCTGCAGATGGCTTCTGGGCACAAAATATTGATGAATCACATTTCAGCATCACGTGGTCCGAGAAGCAAAAGTCACACGGATGGAGCATGTGTCTCTCAGCATGTATCCCTCTCTGCTGTCTCTGGGGTGGTCAGTGCCTGCTCCCCACTCCCTGTCCAGAGGATCTGCAGGGTTTGGAATGGGGCCTTTGGGTGGCCCTCCCCAGAGACCTGGCCACAGGGTTCTGTTGGAACTCAGGGCTAGCACAAGAGAGAAGATTCTGGGCAGCAGGAGGTAGAGGGAGAAGGAGAGGAGAATGGGATGGGTGTGGGGGTCAGGACTGGGCAGGGGTGGGGTAGGAGGTGGGGGGAATGAATCAGAGGGCATCCTGCAATTCTCAGACTCTGAAAAGTGGAGGAGCCAGCTCCACTTCAGCCTTGCACAGATGAAGAAACAGCTGGTGGCTGGATGGTTCAAGGCTATGCATTTGTTGAGCCGCAGTTAGGACTGGGACCAGCAGGGGGGCTTTGGGGCCCACTCTGCGGACTTATACAACAGGCAAGGTTAACCTCCAAGACCCCATCTGCCTGTGCCCAGCAAAACTGAAGACACAAAGAAAGAACGATGTACAGAGAAAAAGGAAATCATAACTGAAAATGTGAATGCCGGCTCTGCTGGCACCCAGACACGGACCAAACCTTCTTCTGGATCTCTGAGGGCGCAAAGAGGATTATGTTCTAAAGGTGGTGCACGAAAGTAAACAGGGTGCCTGCTTAAGATTACCCTTGACAACCTGTCATTGCCTATAAAGAACAGTCAGGGCTGGCACAGAATCAGAAGGCATTTCATACCGTGCCGTCACTGTCTTGAAATTCTTAAGTTTTATCTTTGAGCTTGTGATGTGTTGGTGAACTCCGGTGAGACACTGGCACATGCTTGGTCCTGCCCTTCCCCCCCACCAGATGAGTCCTCCAGGGCCCCCGGCCCCATGCGACCTCCCTCTCCCTGACCCCAGTCACTGCCATCAGATGGCAACTTGGCGGCAAATGCAGGGGCAGTTGCAGTGGGGCACATGCACTCACTTCATGCATCTCAGAGATGGGAGTGGTGGTGGCTGTCTCCACCCCAGGCTGGCAGCTAGACATTCCCTGTATCTTTTCAGTGACCGAGCCATCAATTCTTTATGTCTTTTTCCCTTAAGCCATTTCGAACTGGGCTTCTACAGTTTCAAACTAAAAGACTCCTATGGACTCTTTAGGCAGCACCCTACCCCCGCCACATCAAAATCAGATTTTAGGAAATGATACTGTAAGCTTCTTCCAGCCAGGTGGCAACAGCTGATAAGCTTTCCTGTGTTACCCCTCAGCACAGCATTGCCAGGAAGGCAGAAAGTCCAAGAGAGGGAGCTTAGAGATGTTTCCGGGGATCCACAGCCTTCTTCTCTATCAGCAAATTGATACTCAGAGAGGGTAAGGGGTTGGCCTGGAGTCACACAGCAAGTGAGGGCAAGAAGCCTGGTGCTCTGACCCAGGTTCCCATTTGGATACTGTGGTACCCCAGACATGCTCTTGACCCTACCAATTCCAGTGTCAGGATTCCCTGGGTTCTCTCTCTCTCTCTGCCTATCTCTGTCTCTCTGCCTCTGACTCTTTCTGTCTCCGTCTCTTTTTGCTTCTCTCTCTCCTTCAAATACATCATCACATAATGAATAGATGAACAAAATGTGGAATACCTGTACAATGCAATAGTATTTGGACATAAAAATGAATGAAATATTGATACATGCCACAGCATGGAAAAATCTTAAAAATACGCAATTCAAAAAAGCCAGGCAGGGCACAGTAGCTCGCACCTGTAATCTCACCGCTTTGGGAGGCCAAGGTGGGAGGATTGCTTGACCCCAGGAGTTTGAGACCTGCCTGGCCGACATAGTAAGAATCTGTCTCTACAACGTTTTTTAAAATTAGCCAGATGTAGTGGTGCACACCTGTAGTCTTAGCTACTGGGGAGGCTGAGGCAGGAGGATGCCTTGAGCCCAGGAGTTCGAAGTTGCAGTGAACTATGATTGTGCCACTGTACTCCAGCCTGAACAACAGAACAAGACCCATTTCTGAAAAACAAACAAACAAACAAACAAAAAAACAGGCCACATTTTGTATGTTTGTGTGATTCCATTTATATGAAATGTCCAGGATAAGCACATCCCTAGAGACAGGAGTAGATTAGTGATGGTGAAGAGTGAAGAGCCCTGACAGCTAGCAGGTGTGAGGCTTATTTGGGGAATGATGAAAACGCTCTGGAATTAGATCGTGGCGATGGTTTCATAACTTTGTGCTTCTACTAAAACCTCTAAAGCCCGTGCACAAGGCGTGCATCCTGAGGCAGAAGAGGGAATTGTTTCCAAAAGGATGGATTTTTATGGTGTGTGGGTTATATGGCAATAAAGATGTTATTAAGAAGCACCGTCATGTGACTTGGCACGTACACTCTGTTAGACGCTGAGCACTCCTGCGTCTGCGGTGCGGATGCACATGCAACGGATGCACAGGGTAAATCCACAGAGTCATGGGCACTGTCCTACAGGATATTTACAGGGTTTTCAAGGCCGATTTTGACTCTGTAAGATTTCACCTTTAGAGTAGCTGCAGAGGCTCGTGCCCCAGGTAGGATACTCGGCCACCAGCTCACCAGTGCTGGCCAGAAGAAAGAGCCAAGAATCCTAAACGTAAAAAACAAACACGATGTGTACATTCTGGGAAGATACAGAGCCCTGGAGGCTGTCTGTGGGGCTGGATTTCCTTTTTTTCAAAAGAGAGATTTTTGGCTCAGCACGGTGGCTCACACCTGTAATCCCAGCATTTTGGGAGGCTGAGGCCGGCAGATCACTTGAGGTCAGGAGTTCAAGACCAGCCTGGCCAACATGGTGAAACCCTATCTCTACTAAAAATACAAAAATTAGCCAGGCAGGGTGGCAGATGCCTGTAATCCAAGCTACTCGGGAGGCTGAGGCAGGAGAATTGCTTAAACCCAGGAGGCGGAAGTTGCAATGAGCTGAGATTGCACCACTGCACTCCAGCCTGGGTGACAGAGTGAGACTCCATCTAAAAAAAAAAAAAAGATTTTTGACTGTGCACAGAGCCTCCTGTCTATAATCCCAGCACCTTGGGAGGCCAAAGCAGGAGGATTGCTTGAGACCAGGAGTTTGAGACCAGCCTGGGCAACATAGCAAGACCCCATCTCTACAAAAAATAAATGAGTGGAGTGTGTTGGCACTAGCCTGTAGTCCCAGCTTCTTGGGAGGCTGAGGTAAGAGGTTTGCTTGAGCCCAGGAGTTCCAGGCTGCAGTGAGCTGAGATCATGCCATCACACTTCAACCTGTGTGACAGAGTGAGACCTTGTCTCAAAATAAAATAAAATAAGATAAAATAAAATAGAGAGAGATTAGCACTCATTAGTGCTTAAGGACTCCCTATAAGGAACTTGAAACTTTCTCCTTGATACAATCAGAAGGTTGAAAATGAATTTTAAAAGGCCCAATTCTGGATGGGCTACAATATATCCAATGCTGTTTCCTGGACCCCCGACCTTGTCTTCAAGACAATGAAGTCTTCAGCTGCACTTTAATCCTAGGCAATTTCATCTGTGTGTACACAGCACCGGCCATCTCAGCTGCTCTCCAAGCGCTGGGCCCCACACAAGCATGGAATGGGAGCCCACACCCAGCCTCCCAGACTCTGTGCTCTTCCCTGCTCTGCTCCTGCCTGAACATCTCACCCAGGCAAATGCAACTGTGCTCTTTAAAGACAGACAATTTTTCCTACCATATGACTGGCCCCTAAAGTCAGCCAACTCGTTCATCCAGGACTCAACTAGAAAAAATGGATGCCGTGTCTCAGCGCTGGAGGGAAATGCTATGTCAGACTCACCAAAAAAATGATGCGTCCAGATATACCAAACTCAACGGGCAATGGTGCTCTTGTGCCATTTTTGTCTCATACTCCATCCTCAGGATCCAACATAATCCTCACTGTGCGCTGGGGGCCTGGGGGAGGGAACCGTGGGATGGCTTCAGTTCTGGCTGTCAGCTATTGAGCACTCACTGTGGGCCTGCCACATCTAAATCCTTTGCAGGCATTAACTCATTAATGCTCACGACAGCCCAGTGAGATCCACGTTATTACCCACATTCAATATCCAATAATATGAGGCTCAGGAGGCTACTGACATCACCTGAAATAACAGAGCTGCCAAGAGGGGCAGCTGGGACATGAGCTCCAGGGTCTGTTTCCCTTTGCCATCTGGAGTCATTGCCTGCAGGACAGATAGGAGTCATGTCCAGGTGTGAATGGTCCCCACTCTGCTTTGGAGGCTCTTGCTGTGCACTGGCCTCCTCCGATAAAGGGCCAGCCTCTGGCCAGGGGCAGGCAACCAAGCAGGAGTGTGACGTTCCCACAGTACCAAGTGCCAGCAAGAACACGGAGCTACCACGCATGATGCTGGGGGCCATAGACACTGACGCCAACCCTTTGGAAAGTTTGGCATTGTCTACTGGAGATGAAGATGTGAAGACCCTCTGGCCCTAGCAATTGCACACTTGGTATATCCCCAGCAGAAATGCATTTTACATGTGCGGTGGGACACATGTCCAAGTCGTCCACCGAAGCGGCATGGGGAACAGTCCCTGTGCCCTGCTGATGACTCCGGCAGCCATCAGCAGCAGAATGGATAAGCACCTCATGGTGGACTCACCCCAAAGCAAAACATCAGCAGTGCAAGGAAGAATGAGGCTGCATCCAACATGCCACTGAGCAAAAGAAACCAGACACAAAAGTCCAAAATCAGGCAGAACTAAGCTTCTGTGTGTTCAGGGGATCAGGCTTAGGCAGTGTAAAAACAGAGGAGAACAAGGAGGCTAGTGCCTCAAGTCAGAAGAATGATGACTTTTAAGCAGCAAAGGAGACTGTGATTGGACAGGGAGACATAGAAGGCTTCCAGAGTATCTATCTGTATCATGATGTAGTGGAAGGGGTACCTGAATGTTCAATTTACAATAATCTGCTAATAATAACAAATACGTATTATGCACTTTTCTGAACACGGGTTCCATTTCACAAAATAACCGTTCCACCAACAGAGAGTGGTGGCCTTCCTCTTCAACCTTCATCCCTGATTTCCCTCTAATGACTTATCCGTGTGACCACACGCTCACGCTTGAGACTAAAACTTTCTCCATAACGGCAAGCTTGTCCCTGGCCTGTGCCAAGCAACCCCAGCAGAGCGGCTGCTGAGGGAAGGCGAAGGAAGGGAGGTTGGTTCTCCCGTTTTCCAAGGGTTCTGTGCTCCAGAGCCAGCTGTCTAGCCTCAGTTCTTGAACGTGATTTTTTTGTTCACTTTGTAAATGAAAGTTCAAAGCAAGGAAAACTTACTCTGGAAAGTTTTCCCAGGGAAAGCTATGTTCCTGCAGCTGCCCACTGAAATCTGCTCCCAAAGACGTCCCTCAAGCCCCCAGCCTCTCTCCATCCACCCTTAAAATGAGAAAACAGAATTGTTTTATTTTCAATGTCCAGTGATGAGCCCTGATCTCACTCCACAGAGGGAAGTGCGGTTTGTTTGTACTTGCAGTGTTTGGGCGTTTAATTTCGTTTGCTTAGTGATTTGCTCTTCTTCTTCCCGGTCTGAGGTTAAGACCAGGTTTTGGTCTTTGTGGCTTGTTTATGACCTGGGTGGTTGTCCTGTGGAAAAGAACTCAGCTCCCTGACCCTGCAGAGAGAACCACGGGTGGTCA
This sequence comes from Homo sapiens, assembly GCF_000001405.40. Lineage (NCBI taxonomy): Eukaryota > Metazoa > Chordata > Mammalia > Primates > Hominidae > Homo > Homo sapiens. The sequence goes on along the minus strand of NC_000020.11, from coordinate 48,166,546 downwards.
GTGCTGCTTTAGAGGAGCATTTCTGTTTATGGTTGGCAACCAAAACATTCTTTTTGGTTTGGTTTCATCTCCTTCTTCCCAGGCTCTGGCTGGGATAGGATTAGAAGCCTGAAACAAACAAATAGAACATCTGACTTTGCAGGGCGCCTACCCTGTGCCCAGTACTGCTCCATTATGCGTGCTGACCAAGCTCATCCCCAAGCCCTCTCTGTGGGAGGGGCCATTACCTTCATGCCCATTTTACAGAGGAAGACACCGAGGCACAGAGAGGCCAAGCAACTTGCCCAAGGTCACACAGCTACTTACTGGCAGAGCTGGGACTGGAACCCTGACTGCCTCCGAACCACTGCTTCTTTCCCTGTCTCTGGAAAGATGATCTTCCCATCCCAGAGTCAAGGCACAGTCAGTGGCCGGGGGGATACTCTGGGAGTTGCATTTACAGAGGATGTTCCCACCCAGGAGAATGCCACCCTCTCACAGGACCTGTCCCCGTGGAGGACCAAAGACCCTGCCCAGCGGGATGCCCAGGACTTGTGTTTCACGGTTAGAGGTTTGCTTACATATTGTCATCGTCATGGTAGGAGCAGGTACAATCTCTACACCTTTGTGGGAAGGGAGGTAGAAATGCTCAAATGGGGACTTGTTCCCCTGAGATGTGTCAACTCCTCATTTTAAAATTGAATCTTCATTATTTTGGGGATTTCATGATTTCGGGTGGATGGGGAGGGGGCTCACCCAGCCCGAGAAAAAGGGCCCCTCGTCCTCAGGTGAGGCTGGCTGAGCTGTGTCCCTGGAGCCAGACCACCTGAGCTGAACCCTGGCTCTGTCACTTAGCAGCTGTGTGGCTTTGGGAAAGTTACTGCCTCATTCTTTGCCTCCGTTTCTTCATCTGTAAAAGGGGAATAATAGTCCCTGTTCATAGAACTGTTGTGATGATTGAATCTCTCAATATGTGGGAACCGCTGAGAACACTGCTGGCATAGTAAGCCCTCGATACGCACCAGCCAGCCTAATAACGGTGGGAACGATAACAGTTGCTGCTATCAGAACCCTTCCAACTCTTCCTCCCACCCTCCAGGCAACTGTCAAGGCCAAGTTCTGCTGCGGCGCTGGGCGGCAGAAACATTCCTCCCTCTGTGTACTCAGTCTGGCTTCCCGCAAACCCACCCAGAGCCATCCCCCCAAAGGCCCTTCCTCCCATGCGCCTCGAGTCCCCAAACCCCACCCTTCCTGCCCATCTTCAGGAACCAACCTGCAGGACCCACTCCTTCCTCTCTGTAACTCCTTCCTCTCTGTAACCCCCAGCCAGCCTTCATTCCCTCCCATGGCACCCGGCTACCATCATTACTTGATGGTCACGAGGTGTCAGCCTTGAAACCTGGACAGAAAGGGGCTCAGAACTCAGAGCCCCCAGGCCTGGTTTGCTTCCCAAAGGACAGAAGGTCACCTTGCCATTCTTTTTCGGCTGAGAAGTCCACAGGGGCTATCAGAAAGAAGAAAAAGAGATGAGTCACAAACTAATGTTTTAATCGTATTGTAATGTAAACAATCACAAGGCAATGTGATAGTCTTTCATTCAACAAACATGCGTGGAGACCCTACTACGTGTCAGGCACTGTTCTAGGCTCCAAGTATGCACGGTGAGCATTATCCCTTCCCTTATGGAATTTAAATTACACTCAGGGAGACTGACAAGAAAGAAATGTACAGGGAATACCAGGTGGTGATGAGGACCGGGGAGACACATGAGGGCTGGGAGGAGGCTGTGGAATGCCGGGCCGGGCTGGAATGATTTGCCCTTCCGAGCTGGCTGTCATCACACGCAGGGCTCTACTCACAGGCACCTCCTCCGAGAAACCATCCCTGACCACTGTCAACAGCAGCCCCACTCTCTCGCTCCATCTCCTGCCCTGCATTCTTTTTTCCACAGCATCTATAATTGCCTGGAATTATGTGTTTATTGGCTTCTTGGCTTAACTGACCCCATAACCACAATGCAGACTTCACGTGAAGAAGGGCTGTACTTGCCTCTTTCAACTCTATACGCCTGGCCCCTGGCACACGGCAGGTGTGCAATAACTATTTGTGGGATGAATGAGTCCAGTGGTTATTGGTCAAGCAATGGGGATGCCATAATTACTACAATGAGCAAAGCCCTGCCCTCGTGGAGCTTGTGTGTGTGTGTGTGAGAGCATGTGTGTGTGAGAGTGTGTGTGTCTGTGAGTGTATGAGTGGGTGTGAGTGTGAGTGTGTATGATAGTGTGTGTGAAAGAGTGGGCAGGTGGGTGTGAGAGTGTGAGTGTGCGTGTGAGGGTGTGTGAGGGTGTGTGCCTGTGAGTGAGTGAATGGGTGTGAGTGCGTGTGTGTGCGTGAGAGAGTGGGTGGGTGTGAGTGTGTGAGTGTGCGTGTGTGTGTGCACGTGTGTGTGCTTGTGTAGGGGAGCTGGGGTGGCAGCAAGTGGAAAGACAGATACTGAACGTGTTAAACAAATGAAGCTTGTTTGCTGGGGTGTTGGCCATCAAGCCCCCGCCTTCAGTGAGAGTTCAGCCATCATAGGGTCCTCCCGGCATGGGTGGGCAGGAGTGGGCATCCCTGTGACACAGAGGCCTTGTTGATATCCCAGAAAGTGCCTCCTGTTGCCAGCTGCCTCCTTCACGGGAGGGAGGACCTGCCTTTTGTCTCTTTATGTTGCCTGTGGGCAGGTTCAGGTTCTTGACTCCGCCACACAAAAGAATTTGAGAGCAAGTCCAAAGTAAAAGCAAGCAAGGGAGTGGATTGCAAAACGGAAGTGTGCTCTGCCAGCTGATCAGAGCAGGCTGAGCAAGGGTGAGGCTGCACCGACGGACGCTGCAGATTTGGGGGTCTTCCATGAGAATTCATGAAGGGCCAGGAAGGGGCTCTGCTGCTGAGCATGTTCTGGGTGGTTTTCTGGCAGTGCATAGGCTGCGGCTGTGCATGGTTGTACATACATGTCTCATTAGCATTGTAAATCTCCACTGAGGTGTTTTTTACTGTTATAATAAGCACAGGTCAACCCAAGGACATTAATCACAAGTTTCTGCACTTGCATGAATTTGGGGATTTTCCTTTCTGCTCCTCTACCTCCTGGCTGCAGGATATTCTAACCACAAGCCCAGGATGTAGTTTGTGCACAATTGGGCAGTGCGTTCTCTCCATATATTTAGCAAGTTCGCTCTCCTTCGAGGGAGACTTTAAGGTCTCCTTTAAGTCTCCTTTAAGGGAGACTGTGACCACATCATCTAACCTACCTCATTTATGCTATGCCGTGCTCCGGACACAGGTGGTGCTCAATAAAGCAACCAGGGCTGACTGGGTGATGACCCCAGATTGTCTTAACTGATGGTCTCCTGATGTTCTTAAACATCCTGGAAAATCACAGGGATGTGTTGTGTTAGACTTCTCAGCAGATCAGAGCTGCAGGGACCTTAGGGAAATCAGTCTAATATCTCCTCCCATTTCACAGGTAAAGAAACTGACTTGAGCCAGATGGGAGCGCATGGGCTGACCTGGCACAGATCTGATCTTCCAGCCATGGTGCCTGGCTGCTTGGTGGACTCCGTATTTCCCACAGTGCAGGACGTGTGAGCCACACAGAAAGGTGGGGGGGCTTTCAGACAAACGCAAGGTGTTTTGGTAGCAGGCTGACGTGTCACACGCAATGACATGGACTCGCAGGTGCAAATCTCTTTTGATCCCTCTGTTTTCCCCTGGCCAGAGTCTCCGCCCATCGAAAGCCTGCCTTGAATGCTTCGCTATCGCTTGCTCATCCTTCTGCGGATGGAGCAGGCCTCAGGCTCAGAGCCTGGAAGCCACTGTGATACTACTCACACTGTATTTCCTTTTATTATTATCTTCTATTTATGGCACTGGTTTTAAACGTCAAAATACGAAGAGAGAGAGAGAGCGTGTGATTTCTGTAATAAATAGCTGTGCTTAAGTAGAATATGTATCCATTTTGAAAAATCTAGGAAAAACTAGAGACAGGTGTTGCTATCATGACAACCAGGAAGCTGGCCGGGTGCAGTGGCTCATGTCTGTAATCCCAGGACTTTGGGAGGCCGAGGCAGGCGGATCGCTTGAGCCCAAGAGTTTGAGACCAGCCTGGGCAACATGATGATACCCTGTCTCTACAAAAAAAACACAAAAATTAGCCAGCCATGGTGGCTCACGCCTGTAGTCCCAGCTACTCAGGAGTCTGAGCCTGGGGAGATTGAGGCTGCGGTGAGCCACGATCGAGTCACTGTACTCCAGCCTAGGTGACAGAGAGACCCTGTCTCAAAAACAAACAAACAAACAAACAAAAAACAAAAAAACAGGAAGCTAAGGTGTAAATGACTGAAGTTTGGCAAACCATCAGTTGGTGGTTGCATTTTTGGGAGGATATTAAAAATAAGCAGTATTTGCTGAGAATTTACTATGGGCCGGGCTCTGCTCTCAGGCCGCCCCCAGCATGAGTGATGGTTTCCCAGTGGATGCTGACCCCATGTTGCTCCTCGGTGCAGGCATCTTGAGCAGTTGAAGATTTTGTCATCAGGGGGTGGATGGGGTTGGGCTCCCTGGCACAGTCAGGCCTGATCGACTGCCCTTGGAGTTCCTGGTCTCCGTGGGCTGAATTCTGTGGCAGATATCTGCAGAGGACCTGAGGATGGAGTTGGAGGTGGCAGGGCCTGTGGCTTCCTGGAAGGCATCTGGTGTCCTTGCTGTGGGGAGTCGGCGGCATCAGGCCTCTCTGGTTAAGTCCCATTCCACACCTCCAAGGGCACAGGAGTCAGAAGCTCCATTCAGCTGTGGCTGGGACCCAGGTGGACCTCAAGAGATGGGCTGAGTCTTCCCAGCCTGGGGCTGTGGCCCTGACCACCCAGCCACGCTGACAGCTCTGCACTGTGGGAGCGGCTCTGGCTATAGTGAGGGTGCATAGATCAGCATGTATCATTTAATGGAGAATAAATCCACATAGCCTGACCTTCCCTGGAACAGCGAGGGGAACGAAGAAGTCAACAGGAGGACTTTTCTGGCTGAGAAGCCATCTCGGAGATTTGGAGCCCTGGGTTCCGGGTAGCTGGAAAGGTAAGCTGCCCAGCGTGGCTAGTGGGTGGCATGTGGAGCTGAGCAAGCCAGGACCCTCTGGGGCACTTGGGAGGGTCCCGAGGGGAACTCAGCTGTGCAGACCCAGCTCTCGACTCTTGCTTCCTCCACCTGCCTTCTCTCTGGAGGGAGTGGGGGTTTGTTTGGGAGTGAGTGAGGGGGCAGGAAAGTGGGGCCACTTCAGTGTGGCCAGGTCTCCTGCGTGCAGTGATAGGGGAAGAGGAGTCAGAAGACAGCATGTGGAGCTTTGCTCCTGCTGGATGAGCAGGAGGGTAAAGGGAGAGGAGAAAGGCACAGGAGCACAGCCAGGCAGGCTGTCCAGGTTGGGTGGGGGAAATAGGTGGTCCCTGGGTAGTCCTCTGGGATCTCCAAGAAGAGGCCAAAGTCAGCCCTCAGTGGGGGCAGGGGTAGGGGAATAGAGACCTGACCAAGGACATGGTCAGGAGGCCTGGGAGGAGCATGGGACAGCCCTGGGGAACCCCAGGGACAGCCCCTAAGCAGGCAGGCAGGAGCCATGAGGATGGGTGACCGAGGGGGAGCAGTTCTGGTGTCTGCTGGCCTGGGTCCTGTGTGGAAGCTTTGCCCCATGATAGGAACAGGCAATGACACCGAGAATGGCGTTTGTTCAGGGCATTGGTTATGTGCTGTGTGGGAACCAATCTTTCTTTATTCCTCCGCCCCCTGAGCCAGATGGGTTTTTTATGTCTGTGATGTGGATGAGGCAGCAGAGGAGCGGAGCCATTTATCCAGCACCATGGAGCTCATAGCAGTGGAGTCAGGGTGGGCCCAGTGGTCTGATGGTTCTTCCTACACTGAGACCACCTCTTATGGAGGAGCTCAGCTCAGACAGGCATGGCCTCTTCAAAGGCAGTTGCTTCACAGTCTCTGTCTTCACAGAGAAGGGGGTTTAGAGGGAACATGGAAGCAACCAAGCCTGGCAGCCTTGGGTGCACCCTTGGCATAGACAGGTGATCACATGTAGGCCTGACCCTTGGCTTCCTTTCTTGATGGTACAGGGGACCCAGAAGACGGAATGCAAGCTCCTGGGCATCTCTATCTGCTTCCGTTTTTGTTTTTTGTTTTGTTTGTTTGTTTGTTTGTTTGTTTGTTTGTTTGTTTTTTGAGATGGAGTTTCACTTTTGTTGCCCAGGCTGGAGTGCAATGGTGCAATCTCGGCTCACTGGAACCTCCGCCTCCAAAGTTCAAGCAATTCTCTGGCCTCAGCATCCCGAGTAGCTGGGATTACAGGCGCGCCACCATGCCCAGCTAATTTTTGTATTTTTAGTAGAGACGGGGTTTCACCACACTGGCCAGGCTGGTCTTGAACTCCTGATCTCAGGTGATCCACCCCCCTCAGCCTCCCAAAGTGCTGGGATTACAGGCGTGAGCCACCGCGCCTGGCCCCGCTACCATTCTCCTCTTCCCTCTTCCTGAATCCTGGGCAGAAATCCATCCCTGCTCTGCATTTCTGGATCGCCACAAAGTCAGTGTGGTCTGTAATCCACACCTGCCAGTCAGGCAGGAACTGTTAGGCGTGTGTCTGTGCCTACCACACACATGCAAACACACACACTCACACACACGAACTTGCAAACACACACTACAAATACACTCAGTCTTAGACACATACACACGCTAGCAAACACACACACAAATATACTTACTCTCTTACCCACACTCATATACATGCACTTGCAAACACACACACACTCCCACACCCTCTGTTACACACATACACATGCACTTATAAAGCACACACTCACACCTACTTGTACATATATGTTAAATGCACACACTCTTGTGAACCACAAAACCTCCTGCTCAGGTACTGTATATCTTTGCTCGTGCTGAATACAACCTCATTCCAACCCACAAAACACAATTCACTGCACCCAAGCACACACCCACATACCTAGCCTCCTCCATTAGCACGTGTGCACAAACACACACACACCTGTCATCCAATGCACGTAAACACAAGCACATCCGCAGTTGTTTTCTGCACATAAGCACATGCTCATTCATCTGTTTTCATTCATTGAACATCCCCTGAGCTGCTAGTGGCTCTCTGCAGGGCCACATGTCGTGTGTCATGTGCCATGGGAGGCAGAGGACAGAGCGTCCAGATGTTCTGGAGCTGGGAGGGCTGCCAGGAGAAAGCAGAGTTAAGCCAGGTTTTGACGGATGGAAAGGAATTTGCATGAAGACTAATGATTCATTCATTCATTTTTGTTTCAATGGTACCTTTGTTTGTTGGTTCATTACCTGTTTTCCCCAAGCAGAATATAAGCTCCACCAGGGCAGGATTTTTCTTTTGCTCGTTGCTTTGCTTCCAGTGATTTGAACAGGGTCTGACTCACATTTGAGTTCTTAATAAATATTTGTTGAAATGCTGAGATTCAATCACTACATGAAATACCTGGCTGTGAAAAAAAAAACCCCACAAAAACAAAAACCCAGAGGGCTGTTTTCCAGCAGCTCTGGGGAAGCTACGTGACAGTCAGATGCCAGCTTCAGAAAGATTCGCCATGCGTTCTGACCCTATGTTGGTCTCTTTCATCTCCTTTTTTTCTTCAAGAAGGAAGCTGATCCCAGTGATGTCAGCCCATGCATTAGACAGGAAACAATAGCAAATGTGTAGAATTCGTATTTTTCTAAAGGAAACTTAAAAACTGTCGCTATCTGTTATATACAAAACTGGTCAATGCCACATGGACAGGGAATAATAAGTTTGATTTTGGTACTTCTTGTTCCTCTTTGTATTCAGTTGTATAGAACTTTCAAAAGCAGAATGAAAAGAAAGCTCTTCTGTATCAAACCACCTAACCAATAAATGTCATATTTTAAAAGTAGCAAAATAAATAACAATAAAAATTGTTGAGTCAATAAATGTATCCATTAATCCTCCCTGAAGGATTCTGTTGGGGGTGATTTGACCCATATTTGATGTGATAGGTTGTTTCAAAATGTTCATGAGGAATAAGGATCTTTTTGCCCCTTTATGGAGAAGAGGGTGAAATAAATGGTGTTTTCTCTGGAAAGAGTGGCTTGGAATCAGTGAGTTAGGAAGAGTTAAGTTTCCACAATCTTCTTGGTGACTTCAGAACTATGGAGAGTGGAGAGGGAGGGAGAAGGAAGGAGGAAAGGAGGGAGGGAAGGAGAGATGGAAGGGAGAGATTGAGGAGGAAAGAGACAGCTTATTCAGAAAGAAATCAAAGAGCACTGAGACCTGGCATCCTCTGAGAACTGGGTGACCTGGGTCACTGGGCCTGTTTTCTGAATGTCGGCTGGGAATGAGCCAGCCCAGAGGACAGACAGGGAGTTGGAAATGAAGAGAGTTTGCTAATCCTGCGGTTTTGTACAAATCCTCTCATGTCTCTGGGCCTCAGCTGTGCATAAACTCAGAGGCTGGACAAGAACAGTGCTGCCAAAGTGGCATCAGTGGGCAGATTTCAGGTGGTACCTGGACATGCATGTTTCTATTTTAATAACTATTTATCAAGAAATAGAAAGAACAAGAAATAATGTGATAATTGCTATTCCCAAGTATGAGGTTGATTCTTACAAGAGAGTTGATGGAAAGCAGGTTTGAAAGGACATAGGTAATTTTGCCCAGGTGAGATGCAGGTACAAGACGGTGCTGGTGGACATGAATGCTGGTGTTTGGGAAATGCTGGCCTGAGTGACTGGAAACATTACCAGAAAGGGGTCCTGATCCAGACCCCAAGAGAAGGTTCTTGGACCTCATGCAAGAAAGAATTTGGGGCAAGTCCATAGAGTAAAGTGAAAGCAAGTCTATTAAGAAAGTAAAGGAATAAAAGAATGGCTACTCCATAGGCAGAGCAGCAGCATGGGCTGCTTGACCGAGTATACTTATAGTTATTTCTTGACCATATGCTAAACATGGGGTGGATTATTCATGAGTTTTCCAGGAAAGGGGCAGGCAATTCCTGGAACTGAGGGTACCTCCCCATTGTAGACCATAGAGGGTAACTTCTTGATGTTGTCATGGCATTTGTAAACTGTCCTGGCACTAGTGGAAGTGTCTTTTAGCATGCTGATGCATTATAATTGGTGTATAATGAGCATTGAGGATGACCAGAGATCACTTTGGTCACTGTCTTGGTTTTGGTGGGTTTTGGTGGGCTTCTTTACCACATCCTGTTTTATCAGCGGGGTCTTTGTGACCTGTATCTTGTGCTGACCTCCTACCTCATCCTGTGACTAAGAATGCCTAACCTCCTGGGAATGCAGCCCAGCAGGTCTCAGCCTCATTTTTTCCAGCCCCTATTCAAGATGGAATCTCCTGGTTCACCTCTGACAATTCCTCCTTTGCAAAAATTATAACAGAAAATTATGGCCGTGAAAGACATCTGACCTAACCAACCCCTATCTTGCCTTCAGCCTCCAACTGCCCTTGGTCATTCTTGTGCTTGGCAAGCTAACCTTGGGAGAAATTTAGTGTATAGTTTAAATGGTAATATCCCTTCCCACAAACTAAACCTCCTAATGAAAGACCACTGGGTTAGAAGGATGAGAGGAGCCCAAATTCTACCAGGCAAAAAGGATTTTACCAATCATTATTCTGGAGGCCACAAGATTTGCAACTTCCCCAGTGACTCCTGCAGATAACAGGATGATTGTAGAACCTAGGAGTGGCCTTTTGAGGTGTCTTCTCAGACTTCTGCATTCCTGAAAACCACCTGGATGACTCTACCTGGACCTGTGACTTTTAACTCGGTCCTTGTGGCCCCACCCAGAGGTGAATTCAGAGTACAAGGACTGTTTTCCACACCCCGATGATTGCATCCCCAACCAATCAGCAGCACCCATTCCCTAGCCTCCTGCTTAACAAACTGTGCTTGAAAAACCCTGGCCTCTGAATTTTCAGAGAGACTGATTTGAGTAATAAAACTCTGCTCTCCCCTTCAGCCAGCACTGTGTGAATTAAACTCTTTCTCTGTTGTAATTCTCCTCTCTTGATAAATTGGCTCTGTCTGGGCAGCACGCAAGGAGAACCCACTGGGCAGTTATGTGACCCCAGAGGAACCTTCCAGCTCTGTGGTTTTAAGGTCCCACAGCACCTGAACATCAGCCTCACATGCAGGTTAACCTGAAAGGGGAGCCCCCTGGAGCTCTCTGCACCCCCTACCTGACCCTGCCCTCTGGAAGAGGAAGAAGATCTTACAAGGTCTTCCTGGGGCAGAGGCTGTGCCTCCATCTTCATGAAGCCAGGAAGCATCCTGAGTGGGTGGGAATAATTCTGATTAGTGAGTGCCTTAGCTTCTGAATAAGGTGGACTCTGAGCCTTTACACTGGACTCTGAGCCCTCCTCCTAGGCCACTCTTCCTCATCACATTCAGGTCTCTGCTGTCATGTCACCTGCTTGGAACCACTTTCCCTGTGTGCCCCATGACATAGGCCCCACCCACTCTCATTACTCTCTAGCCCTCGATCTGCTCTTGTTTCCTTGGCTGGAAACTTCTTATTTAGTTGTCACCGTGTTGAGTGTCCATCTCCTCTACTTCATATCAGCTCCATGAGAGGACAGTCTGTGTCTGGGGTGCTCACTGCCTATACCCTAGTCCATTGCCGAATGAATAAACAATTGGCCGTGAAATATTCTAGTCATCTGCCTCCACCTGTTGAACATGCTTTTTGATATCCATTCAAGACAGGCCAGGGTTGTTCTTTTCTTTCTTCCAGGGCAGACTTGTGGGGCCATCGTACTATAACTGGAGTGGGCATTGGCATGTTTTAACAACAGCAGGTGGAGCCGAGCATTATTTAACCAGAGCCTGTGCCTGGGGTCCTCTGAGAGTTCACCAAGGGCCGCCATGCATCTGTTCCTGCTTTGGGGTGTCCTAGTTGGCCAGGCCCCAAGAGGCCAGGAGGGAAGCCCCAGTCTCTCTGGATGCCTGGCAGATTTGCTTTTAGTGTTTGCATTCAGCGAAAGGCTTTGCAAAGACAAAAGCTTCGAGGCCCGGCTGCCCATTGAGGTTGCCCGGCTGGCAGGTCTCCATGGAGACCACAGAAGCACATCTGTTCCCTCTGACTTCCCAGGGAGGGCGTCTGCCCTGAATCCACAATGCCCGGGCCTGGAGAAGCCCAGGCTGGGTCCCCTCTGTCCACAGGGAAAACAAGAAGAGGGGGGCATCTGTTCACGCCAGGAGGTGGGCAGCTTGGGAGTCAGGGCAGAGATGGGGCTGGGCGCAGAATGGACCCTCAGGGAAACAAAGGCCTGTTGTAGCACACGGAGCTCCTATGTGTCTGGGGGTGGTGGGACCAGGAATGCAGGGGTAGGTGACCAGCAAGAACAGCTGCCAGCCTTTTCCCAGGAGGCAGAAGCAGTGACTTCCATGGGATCAGACTTGGGGTTCTCAATACCTGGAGCCTAATGCCCCCGCCACCCGACCCCGACTTTCTGTAGCTCTTGGAATCCATCCAGCCTCCGTTTCTCTCTCTGTCTTCCCCTTGATCTCTCTCTCACTTTCTCTTGCTCTTTCTTTTTCTTTCTGCTTCAGTCTGTCTTCCTTTGGGCACTTCCCTGTCTCTCTGTGTCTCTATCTTTCTCTGCCTGTGTCTTGCTTCTGTCCCTTTCTTGGTACCACCACTCACAAGGAGCAGTGTCTCGGGAGCTATAGAAGAAACTATAGGAGGAGAAGTTAGAACTTGCTAGAGCTGTGCAAATTGTGCTCAGCCCCGACTTCTGCCTGTGGCTGGCCTTGCCCCCAGCCTTGCCCCTGCGAGTCCCTTGCTCCTTGCCACTCAGAACACAGCCCTCAGTGTTCCTCTCTGCACAACCAGATTGTCTCCCCTCTGGGCTCTGCCTCCTCCCTCCCACACCATGGGAGCAGGGAGTCTGTGTTAGCTGGAGGAGGCTCAAGTTCACATTCTGGGATGCCTGCAGATAAGGCATTGCCTGGTGGTCTTGGAGCGTGTCTACCCCTCTGAGCCTCATACCCACAGCGATGCTGAGGCCAGGAGCTAGGGCTCCCCCACCATCTCTGTCTGTCTCCGCGCAATCTGTTGTCATGACATCTCCAGCCTAGCTTCAGGGTCATCAAAGTTCTGACACCTTGGGCCAGAGCTCCTAAGAAACAAGTCGAGAGAGAGAGAGGGAGAGAAAGGGGCGAGATCTGAACTGCCTTTTGTGACCAAACCTTGGGAATTTGCAGTTTCCACTTCCCCTACATGCTGTCCGTGAGGACGACTCATTCCTAGTCAACAGCAGAGAAACAAAAATATTTCTAGCGGAAGGACTGTCAAAGAACTTGTAGAAGTATTTTAAAGGCACCACACATAGCAAGAGAATGGCAGGGCTGAGACTTGAACCAGACGGTCGGGCTCCAGAACGTGTGCTTGGCCACACTGCTGTGGGTTTTTCAATGTCTTCTCTTTGGGGGAAAAAGGCTGCACTTGGGCCCAAGCACATAAAAGATGCTCAATAAATGCTTGTAGATTATATTGCATAGACTGTAAAACCCCACAAGGCCAAGGACCCCAGGACAACACTTGCTCTCATCTCCAGAGCTCAGGGAGAGAGTGGATGGGCAAGAGAGGGTGCAAGCAGGAAACTTCCAGGGGCCACTGGTTGGAAGGGCTAATGAGATCACCAACATGCATCTGCCTCCACATAGCTCTGATGAGGAAAGGCTGACTTTCCCTTTGCAGGGTTTCCATAGCAACCAGCAGAGGCCCTGGCTTCTGCAGGTGTCCTCATTACAGTTGGTAGCTCCTGGTTACCAAACACCCTGCTCCTGCGGGTTACTGACTAGGAGCTAAACTGGCCAACTACGAGGAAGGGACGGAGGTTTACTCCCTTGGCATAAGGACAGGATCTGTTATTCTGGCAGGAAGTGAGACCATGGGATGGGTAGGCTTAGGGACAGGAAAGAACAGCCTCCAATTCCTGCTGGAATGGGAGAATTCCAGCGTGTTCTTGGAGATCACCTAGTCCTGAAAGTTTTATTCGCTCATGGATTCACTCACTCTCTCAACCAACATCCATGGAGCATCTGCGCCGGGCAGGAGACGTGCTAGGGGCTGAGCTGTAACACCGAGGGCCTGTCCTCGTGGGGCTGGCACGTGGGAGGGGAGCCAGAGGACACTCAGAATGCATCCGAAGGGAATCCATGTGCTGGACAGAGGCAAGAACCAGGGGAATGTACAGCAGGGAAGGGAGACAAGAGGGTGGGAGAGGGCGCAGCCCCAGCAAGCCCCCTTGAGAAGGAGGCAAGTGAGCAAAGGCCCAGTGGAGGGGAGGTTGAGACCACGGGCTCACCTGCCACTTCTTCCCCTTAGGTGGTGATTTTGGGGAAAATGGGTGACTGTTCACCGTACAATGCCCCGCTCCATGGGAAGGCCGTAAACCCCACCCTGTGGACTCAGGCATGCCTTCGTGACTTGCTTCAGCCAATGGAATGAGTGGAAGTGACATGAGCTACTTCTGAGCTGAAGCTCCACCTGTGCCTGCTCCACCAGTCCCTGGAAATGCTCCTGGTAGAGCGTGCTCCTCAGCCCAGGAGGATTCTGACACCCAAGGGACCGTTCACAATGTCTGGAGACATTTTTGGGTGCCATGACTTGGAGGAAGGGTGCTACGGGCACCCTGCAGTTGAATTTGTTTGCTAGGGCTGCAGTAACATGGTACCACAGACTGGGCAGCTTCAACAACAGAAACAACAGGCTCACAGTTCTGGAGTCCCAGATCAAGGTGTCGGTGGGGTCGGTTCTTCTGAGGACTGTGAGGAGAATCTGTTCTGTGCCTCTCCTCTAGTTTCTGGTGTGTCACTGGCCACCTTTGGTGTTTCTTAGCTCATAGAAGCATCACCCTCATCTCTGCCTTCGTCTTCACATGGCGTTCTCTCTGTGCGCATGTCTGCATCCAATTTTCCCCCTTTTCTAGGGACGCTAGTCACTTTGGATTACAGCCCCACCCTACTCCAGTGTGACTTCATCTTAGCTAATTACATCTGCAGCAACCCCATTTCCAAATAAGGCCACATTCTGAAGTATCTGGGCTTAGGACTTTAACATATGAAAAGGGTTGGGGGGCACAATTCAACCCATGACATCGGTGGAGGCCACAGATGCTGCTAAACATCCTTCTCTGCACAGAACAGCCCCCACGATAGAGAATGCCAGTAGTGCTGAGGTTGGGAAACCCTGTGATAGAGCTTGGAGTTCTGGATGGCAGGTGGCTTGGAGCTGAGTGGCAGTCCGGCTGTGGAGGACCTGCAGCCCCGTGAAAAAGTCACCTTTGCTCTTGTGAGCCATGAAACAGCTTATGTGTTTCTTACACAGCATAATCTAGCCCATTCTGACTGATGCAGCCACCTGGTACCCGCTAAGAACATGCTCAAGCCCCCAGCAGGATGGAGTGTCCTGATCATTTAGTAATGCATGCCATGGTGCAGGAAGGGAAAGTGTCCAAATGTCCTCATCTTCACTGTTTCTGGCCTCACCCCTGCAACTCAGAAAACGCCCAAAGTCATACAACTCACAACGTTCTGGTGCTTTGCACAGAGTTTGTCACGTAATAATGTTCAGTAAGTATTTGCTGGGTAAATGAATCTCCAGCAGGATTAGAAACCAGGCCTCCCGTTATCTTTCTACTCCACTAGGTCACATCTCCAGAGATTTTCATGCTCCCAAAATATCGTAAATGCTGAGACTAAGATTGGACCGTGCCACAAATTCTACCTTTCTCTTATCAACAATTGCTCGTGGAAAACGGATTCTCATATTCTCATTGAAGAAGCTTTAATGTGAGGTTTAAAGTGTTGCTTTTCTCCAGGATGATTTTCTTCATCTGGAAATTCAAAACGAGACTCCCTAATGCTGGCATTCCAGGCAGCAGCGATGGTGTGGGAAGGATTTGGGGAAACAGGGAGGGCATGCTTCTTGGTGTTTCCGGAATCACTCTAGGCAGGTGAAGGCTTTTTGCAGTGTTAGATAGCCAGGGCCCAACCTGAGGGTGCATTGGTTGAGGGAAGATAGATGTCATCAGCATATATTTGCAAATGAACTATGTGCCGGTGACCTCTACCTTCCCTCAACCTCTGCCCAGGAGAGATTAACCATGGAAGGATCCGTGATTTGCATGTTTGGAACAGGGCCTTAAGAGAAGCAAGGAAAATGACCAGAGGACCCCAGGCCAGTGTATGTCTGACTGAGCAGAGAGAGAAGAATTGTCTCTGTGCTGTCACCTTTGGGGAAAATCATGGGCTAGACCAGTGCTCTGGAAAAGATGGTGTCTTACAAGGAGGTGTGTGCCAGGACTTTTTTGGTTGCAAGTGAGTGACAGAAACCCAAATCAGATGGACTAAAGTAAAAAGGAGTATGATCACTTCTGTAAATGAAAGCTCGAAGGGTTTATGGCCTCAGATGCAGCTGGATCCAGGGTTTAAGTGACTTGGATTCTGGACTCTGGAAACACTGATCCATTTCTCTCTGTCTCTCAGTTCCTCTGTTCTCTAGGTTGGCCCCATTCTCAGCTGGCAGGAATGAAAGACATGATGAGCAGCAACCTCAGGCCGCTATCCTGCCCTCACAGTGACTGTGAGATCAGGAGAGGCCTCAGTCCCTGTTGTGCCAGCAGCGATCCGGGATCGGCTCTGACTAGACCAACCAGGGTTGCATCTTCAGCCCCATCCCCACCCCTACCAGTGACTGAGGCTGGACAATGGAAGGGCCAGGTCTGGGTCACGTGGCCAACCCTGGATCCACCCAAAGCACAGGGATTGAGTTTGTGAGCCAAGAACACCTGGGGCCAGAGAATGGGGGAATGGCTGCTGAACAATCAGAAAGACCCAGCGTCCACCACACAAGCCGACAACCCCATTGCAAAAATGTCTATTTCTAGTACAAATGCCCCCAAGGGCACCCCTTTCCCTGTCAATGAAATGTGATTTGAATTCATTTCTTACACCAAATACATGGAGACGGCGCAAGGCTCATTAAGAAGAAGGATGAGCAAGTGCACACGCTGGATTTTAATGGTTTAAAACTATGTTGCCTCTGTCTGTTTAAGAATTACTATTCCTCAAAGAATTCAGCTCCATACGATAAGTGTTAATGCTTTATTTCTTGGGGAAGTCTGCAGTCTGGAGTTGGAATTGATTGTGAACAGAATAAAATAATTTGCTTTTTATCAGCATCCTCCATGGAAACTTGTTTGCAGCCAGTCTGGGCCTCGGAGGAAAATGCATTTAGCTTTACCTCCCTAATCCCTCTGTAAGGCGCCTAAATCACCACCCATCACTCAGCACCACTCAGCCTGAAATGACCGTTGCTCAGTAATCATAAAAACAGAATTACGGTCGCTGTCACCTCCTGCTGATGGCTTCTTTAGGGCCAGATGAGAGCAGGACTTAAGAGTCAGCGATCGCAGGGAGCCACAAGCGCCCGCGGCTCTGCCAAGCACGGCTGTGCCCACGGAAGGGCCTTGCGTCCCCTAAATCAGCGCTGGCCATTCTTGTGTTCTTGACTCCCAAAGTCAGAATTAATGACCCTCTCCTTTACCGTGGAGGTGGTAGCTGACTGCTGATTTACAGACTACTGATGAGTTTCATTTTGCTTTTAAAAAATATATCAATCACCAAATCTGATCGTTGGGAATTTCCACATAAAAGCCTGGATTTTACTCCCTTTTTGGAAAATAGGGAGAGTTGAAACCGCTGCATTTGGGTGGTGCTGAGGAACGACATCCCACCTCCCTCTCCAGTTCACCCGAGCCCTGGCCACTTTCTGGAGGCCCCTTCACTCTTTATGTCACCTGCCTGGCCCCAGGCCACCTACATCTGAGACCCTAGCCCACAGTGGTGCAGGTGGGTTGGAGCTCAGACTCTATAGACGGAAGACTTACTGGCTTCCACTGCCAGCTCTGACCTGTCCTCGCTGGATGTCTTGAAGCAATGACTTGGTTTTGCATGTGCATCAGTTTCCTTATCTGTAAAATGGGTACAGTCATAGCATCGGTTGATATGCAAAGCAAATGAGTTAACGAACATGCAAGGCAACGGGAACCTCTCCCGGCACGCAGAAGAGCTGTGCTCGGATAAGCTGCTACTGTCATGCTCCTGCCTTCCTTTGCCCTCATGGCATTCTCTGCCCCATCTTGGATATGGAGTGCATGGAACTGTGGCCCCCAAGAAGATATGACCAAGGCCTCCACCTCTGGTGCCTGTGAATGGGACCTTATTTAGAAAATGAGTCTTTGCAGACATAATGAAGTGAAGACTCTTGAGGGAGACTATCCTGGATTAATCGGGTAGGTCCTACAACCATGACAAGTGCTTTTATGAGACAGAAGAGGGAGACACAGACACAGAGGGGAAGACCTGTGAAAATGAAGGATGGGACTCAACTGAGGCCACCACAAGCCGAGAACACCTGGGGCTGCCCAAAGCTGAGAGAGGCTGTGAAGGCATCTCCCTGAGAGACACTGGATGAAGCGAGGCCCTGCAGACTCCGCGATTTCAGACTCCTGTCTTCAGAACTGTGAGAGAATAAATTCCTATTGTTGTAAGCCCCGAAGTTTGCAGTGATTTGTCACAGCAGCCACAGGACACTAATAGCAATGGGATGGCAGATTCTGTGGCCAACACCATTTCTCTCCAGCCTGACCCAGCTCAGTGCTGGGCACGATGTCGGGGTGACTCTGGATCACTTCTCAACTGGGAAAATGTGCTTACACCTCCCAGCACATCTGTGAGGGACAGAGGGACCCTTTTTAGGGAAAGCAGGGCAGGGACCTGGAGTTCCAGGGTTGGGGGGGTGTTCCCCTTTCCCCACAGAAAGGCACAGAGCAGCAGCGAGCTCAAGGGAGAAAATGATGCTCACATGTTTAGGAAGAGATGAAAGAGGCTTCCTGCCACCAGAATCACACCTAGTACATGTGTGTGGGTTGGATCAGATCCCTGCTATGCAGGCCCAGTGCAAAATGGAAATACAGGGTTTCATGTTCAAAGACATTTAAGAATTTTAAGATGGTGACAATAGAGCACTAAGCCAAGTCGGGGGCTCTTCTGAGCATGGGAGGCTGCACAGGTCACAAGCCTGTGAAGCTGGGCCTGGGGACCCTGCAGGCAGCAGGGAACAGTTGGTCACACCACGTCCCTACCCCAGAGCTTACCTTTTGGTGGGACGGCGACAAGAACCAAGTAAGCAAACCTACAACATAGATGCATGGTTCCCATCCTCATGAGCAAACCTGGCTAAGTAGATCCACTTTACTCCCACAGGAAGGGGAAATAGAGAGTATGAGACAACAGAGAGGTTAAGTAATATCTCAAGGTTGCACAGCTGGTTTGTGCTACAACTAGGCTGCAGGCCCTAAACATCTTTACTTACTTCCCCTCAAGCAGGCAATTATTAGACAGCTGATATGTTCACTTCACATATATTAACTCCTTCAATCCTGCCACATGGTCAATCCTGTTATTATCCTCATATTACAGATGAGGAAACTGAGGCACAAACCGTGTAAGTAGCTTACCCAAGGTCACACAGCCAGCAAATGGCAGAGCCTGGATTCAAACCAGGGAGATGGCTCCAGGATCTGTGTTTTCTACCCCAGTTCTCTACCGCAGGGATGGCTCTTGTTAGGTTGAATTTTGATCATTAATTCTAATTCTTCAAGCCATTGTGCCCATTTTAATGCAACTTGTTGGAATTTAGTGTTGTTTTAGCATAAAAATGGTCAATAAACCATAGTTTTTTGCATAGAGGAAAAAATATTAACAAGGATTTGCCCCAGAAGGAGTTTTTGGGAAGGAAATTTTTCGGAAGGAGTCACCCGTGTCATGAGGTGGAGGACAGGGCATCTCGCCTTGATCAGTTCAGGGCATGCTCTGGTCTGCGGGGTCCTTGGCTCCTCTGTCGCCTGCCACCTCTCTTGTCTGTTCCGTTGCTCACTGACGTGTCTATCTTGGGCTGCGAGCCCAGTGCTCAGCACACACTGTTTTTGAATGAATCTATCTCTTTCTCAGTCCCTGCCGCTCTCTCCATCTCTCTCTCTCTCTCTGCTTCTGCCTCTAGGGCCCTGTGATTTCTTGAGGATTGTTCCAGGAAACACACTTAAGACACCTGGGCTCAGGGACACTGACCTGTCCAGACGCAAACATGATCCAGGTGGGGCCAATGACTCAGTGCCCCCATCCCAGCCCCATCACCCCAGGAAGACGAGACAGATGGACTGCTGGGTCCAGCGTAATCAGGGCTTGGAATGGGGGCCTGATTACCTGTCCATGGAACATTGATTTATAGGTAATTCTTCTTCTCCTCCAAGACTCTGGATTGCAGCTAATTTACCGACAGTCTTAAA
Organism: Homo sapiens; assembly: GCF_000001405.40. Classification (NCBI taxonomy): domain Eukaryota; kingdom Metazoa; phylum Chordata; class Mammalia; order Primates; family Hominidae; genus Homo; species Homo sapiens. The sequence continues at coordinate 48,147,111 of NC_000020.11, read as the reverse complement.
TCATCCCCCCACATGCAGTGGTGAAACCTGAGGCACCCTCTATCATGGGCCTCCTGTAACCACTGCCTTGATTAAAATGAGAGTGGTGAGGAGAATATCCTCCTTTGTACCGAGGGTGGGGCTCACACGGGAACTGGCAGTGTTGTTTATCCAGAGATGGTGGCAGCCCACACACGGCTCACTTAATTTCATGTTTGGTTGCTGACGGGTTTTCATTTATAGATAATATAAACAGGTTGACAGGGCCCTAATTAACTGATTTGTGGTCCTTTGGGAACAAAATGCTTATTAATATTCATAAACATTTGTAGTACTTAGGCAGATGCCCGGCCCTGACATGATCATAATATGCCATCAACAGTGAGCTCTCGTGATGTCTGATTTGTCCCTTGCCTGTGAACCCCAGAGAGCATTGTCTGACCGTGGTCCCTCTCCAGGAGGTGGGTCCAGCTCTTGATCCTGGCATTTGTGCATGATTTACCGATCACATCTTGAACTTTCCACAATCCTTTTTTCTCCCCAGATGTCCTTGACCCAGCCTTCCTCCAATCCCACCCCTGAATCTTTTTTGAGATCAGCTGAGAACTTCCTCCTCCAGGAAGTCCTCTTGGATTGATCTCTCCCTACAGTGATGCCATCTTTCTATAACAGAGTTACTTAGTGCAGTGTAATTGTTTACATGTGGGTAATTGTTTGCTGTTTGATATTCTTAGGTTATTTTATCGAAGAATGTTCTGCCTTGTGAGCTTTCCCCCAAATCAGGGATAAATCAATTTCTTCCTTTAGCAGTAGAGCCTCACCTTCTGCAATGTCATTCGTGCCATGGAAATTAAAGAACAAGCAAAACAGCAGCAGCTAGCACCTTCTGGGCTCTTCATTACATGCCAGGAAATACGCCAAGCCTCTTACCTGCTTTTCTCACCTCAGTCCTGGGAGGCAGGTGCAAGGGTCTTCACTGCTTTCTAGATGAAGAAACTGAGACACAGAGAGGCCCAGTAACTTGCTCAAGACCACAGATTAGTGAGTGGCACAGTCAAAATTACTCTTAAAAATTCCCTTAAGTACTCATAAGGTCCAGTATATATGGTCGAGTGAGCTGACTTTAAAACTTTATTCAACTCTAATGCGTAGCATGAAATGTATCTTTCACTGTGATCCGGTACACACTCGTGCATAGACACACGCACATGTGGACAGACACACACACGTGATGGAATTGACAAGCCTCTTAAAGCAATATTTATTTTATGATGTGTAAAATATCCTATTGTCTTCTCCCCTATTCCGTCCTGTTGGGAAAAATTCTGACCCACTGATTTTGTTTCTTAACCTATTAACAGCTCACAACCCTCTGATGGTGTGATGGTTAATAAGTGTTAACTCGATTGGATTGAAGGATGCAAAATATTGTTCCTGGGTGTGTCTGTGAGGATGTTGCCAAAGGAGATTAACATTTGAGGCAGTGGACTGGGAGAGGCAGACCCACCCTCAATCTGGGTGGGCACCATCTAATCAGCTGCCAGCACGGCTAGAATAAAAGCAGGCAGAGGAGCATGGAAGGAGTAGACTGGCAGAGTGTTCTGGCCTCCACCTTTCTGCTGTGCTAGATGCTTCCTGCCCTCGAACATCAGACTCCAAGTTCTTCAGCTTTTGGACTCTTGAACTTATACCAGTGGTTTGCCAGGGACTCTCGGGCCACAGACTGAAGGCTGCACTGTTGGCTCCCCTACTTTTGAGCTTTTGGGACTCAGACTGGCTTCCTTGTCCCTCAGCTTGCAGATGGCCTATTGTGGGACTTCACCTTGCGCTCTTGTGAATCAATTCTCCCGATAAACTCCCCTTCATACATACATATATCCTAATAGTTCTGTCCCTTTAGGGAACCCTGACTAATAGAGATAGGTTGTGATAGAGTTTGAAGATCACTAGTGTGAAGCACACCACACAAACACATAGAGAAGATGCTGTACATTTCCCTAAACTTTTGTAAGTAAGATACTAACATTTACCTGGGGCTTATTCAGTGCTAGGCACTTTGGTCAGAACTTTTCAACTGTTAACTTCATTCCCTATGGAATATTAGGTTGAATCATATGAAATTGCCTATGGTTGACAATTTCCTGTGGGGAATAGCAATTTCATATAGCTGAACTTAATATTTATCTTCATGATAATTCCATTTTGTATACACACACACACACACACACACACAAACAAAACAAACAAACAAAACCAGAGAGATTAATTAACCTGCTCAGTGTTGCACAGCACCATGTGAGGTTGCTGCATCTAACTCCCAGGCAGCCTGGCTCCAGCCCATAACCATAGATCCTCCTAACCACTGGGTAGCCAAGGCTCTTTAGCCAATGATTCCTCAAGGACACTGAGGAAGCTTGCAGGGGCCACTTGAATGAGCAGTATCTCCCCCCTGTTTTATGCCTGGGAAGGCCGTTCGAATCATTCTCACATTCTTTCTATAGGTTTTCCAAGCTTTCTGGGCTTTTAGACATCATGGCATTCAGTGCCCAAGGCCTCCCTCTAAGGAGCCCAAAGACTAGCTGAATTCCTGCCCTGTGTCAAGCCCATCTCTGCATCTCATCATCCCCCTCAATGTGAGGTGGAATTTGTTGGTGAGTTAAATGCAGTGTGGCACAGATTACCCACTGTTTCCTCCCAGGACGCATACCTGGGATGCATTTGCTGACCATCAGTTTAAAAACGTAGTCAGAGACGTAGTCAGGGGCCCACTGAAAGGTCAAATGACAGTCTGGACTAGAAGTATTTTTTTTCATATCTAATAACTTAATGAAAAGCAATGAGTTGGAAGAGGTGTTAGAGTCCCCATCGTCCAACTGCCCCGCTAGCCCTGACATCTGCAATTCTGCATCAGAACGTCCCTGACATTTGATGAGCTGCCCTTGTCATAAAACCATCTAGTTACTGTGCCTTTGGATCTAGGGCATCATCCATCTGCTTCTGGAAATTTCAATTACGTTATGTAAGCCGTGAGGTGCTTGCTTACAATTTATTCACCTTTCCAGAATTTTCATTTCCTCTTACCCATGATGGGCCCGCAGGTTCCAGCCAACCAGTTGCCACCCTGCTCTGCTCTGGAGACATGGCATCAGCAGCCTCCATCTCTTTGAAAAACGGTAGGGTAGCACCTGATGTTGGCTCGGGATCTAAAATTACTAATCAAGGCCAACATCAGATGTAGAAACAGCTGAAGATGTTCATACCCCAGGATCATCCTCAATATGGCTAAATGAACATATTTGAGTGGCCCTTGGCAACGGAGACACAATGACAGAATCGCAGCTCCATCTGCCACCACCCCCTCCCACCGGCAGGTGCCCAAAGAGGGGCATGCCCTGGCTGGATTATTTACATACATTTACATATTCTATGTTTCATTATTAGCATACATTTACTATCCTTTTTGTTATAAAACTAAAGATAATCTTCCCACGTTTTATTTTCTGTCAAGTGTATTCCGTTGTATTTACGTCTGATGCAACTCCACTGTAATCCTAACAATAAAGCTATCTGCTCTTGAGGGCACTCTGAGAGGTTTGAAAGAGCACTAGCTGACAATGAAAAGCCTGCCTGCTGGAGCCATCTCTTTCATTTACTGACTCTGTGACTTTGGAGAAGTCATCTAATATTTCCGAGCCATAGGTCCTCTTTTTTCTAGACTAGTGGTTCTCAACTGGGGGTAATTTTACTCTTAGAGGACATTTGGCAATGTCTGGACACATCTTTTTGGCTTGTCACAATTGAGAAGGGGAGGGTGCTACTGGCATCTAGTGGGTAGAGGCCAGGGATGCCGACAAACATCCTACAATGCCCAGGACAGCCCCACCACAGAGAATCAACCAGCCCAAAATGTCAACAGTGCTGAGGTTGGTAGACTCCAGTGTAGATGACTCCAGTGTAGACATACAAAAGGCATGAAAAATATTACCATGAATATCCATGTTTCTAGCTTCCAGACATGAGGAGAGGGTTGAAGCCCTCTGCGTGTGTGCTGCCAAACCCTTGGAGTACCTGCCTCCAAGTGCATGTCCCTCCTTCCCCAAGCAGTAGCCACCATGCTCAGTTACACAGTTATCACTCCCATGTACACCACTGACAAGAAGGAAACGATTATAGCACATCAGCCTTATTTAAGAGCTAACATAAGGAACATTTGTCTGAGACATAAAGCCCAAGAAAATGTTGCAAATATCCCCTAACAAAATTTACAAATGGGGGGATTACGATGGTTTCATTTTCTTTTCCTATTGCCCCTTTCAGCGTTCAGAGTAGAAATCCTTCCACCTCCTTCGACAGATGCAGAAATGACGTCCAGAGAGGTTACATGACTTTTCCCTGACTGCACAGCAAGTTAGACCCAAGCTGGGCTCAAACTCCAGTCCTCAGAGTCAACTTTTGGCATCACCATGTGAGTCCAGCTTGGACACACTTTCAAAGACTTGGAGCCACAGGAGTTAATGGAAGTTGATCTGGGCTTCTCACCCGGGTTAGCAGCTGTGCGCGCTCTTGCTCGCTCTCTCTTTCTCTCTCATGCTTATGTGAAAAGCATTTTGCCCGGACTTGCCTGCCTCCCCACAAGTGGCCATTTCATTTTGTAGAGTAGCATTGAGGCAGGCTTCTCTCCAGAGGGAGAGAAGATTGAAGCCTGCTCCAAAGGCATTTGCCCTTTCAGGCCAGCCCCCTGCGGAGAGCCGGAGCTCACAGGAACAGCAATTGGGCTGCCTCTCCTGTTCCTTTTTGTTCCTCATGAAAAAAGGTGAAAAAGAAAGCAATTTCTGAGAAAATGACCTAGGTGATTAGGTACAATCACTTCTCTTTTGCTTTCTGCTCCAGCTGGGAAGCTGCAGTCAGACTGTGTATGAGGAGGGAGGAGGGGGAGGAAGATGGAGAAGAGGGCCCTGGATCTGAGCTGCTGCCCATCCCCTAGGAGGAAGGGACAAGACTGGCTGCAGAGCCACTTCACAGATGACTTCAATCTTTTTTTTTTTTCTATTTATTTAATCCAAGGGATGTACAAACAGATTAGCAAATACTTCTATAAGGTTTCTTACTAAAAAAGCATTTTCTCACTCTCTTTGCCCTCCCCCCCTTTTTTCCACACTCGGGCAATTGCTTTCAACTCTTTTAGCTGAATATGTTGATATTTAAATCTAAGTAGTGTAACCACCCGACAGGCTCATCTTGCTGGCTGCCCAGATAGAGCTGATTTATCAAGACAGGAGAATGGTAATAGCGAATGTTTAATTCATGCAGAGCCAGCTGAGACTGGAGTTGTATTATGACCCACATCAGCCTCCCTGCAAATTCAGGGCTTAGGGATTTTCAAGGATAGTTTGTGGGAAGAGGGTTAGGGAATGGGTGCTGCTGATTGGTTGGGGATGCAATCATAGGGGTGTGGGAAATGGTCCTGGTGTGTTGAGTTTGCTTGTGGGTGGGGCCACAGGACCCAGTGGGTCACAAGTCTCGGGTCCAGGCAGAGTCATCCGGTCTTCAGAAATGCAAAAGTCTGAAAAGACGTCTCAAAAGGTCAATCTTAGATTCTACAATAGTCATGTTATCTGCAGGAGTAATTGGGGAAGTTATGAATCTTGTGACCTCTGGAACAAAGGTGGGTATCCTTTAACTATGCTTACATCTCAGCAGATTCAGGCCCCTCTCATAATCCTAACCTGATGATTTAGTTTTGAGAAAGGGCTATTATCATCCTGGTTTTAAGGTTAAACTACAAACTGAATTTCTCCCAAAGTTAGCTCGTCCCACACCCAGGAATGACCAAGGGCAGTTTGGAGGTTAAAGGCACAATGAGGTTGGTTAGGTCAGATCTCTTCACTGTCAAAATTTTCTCACTGTCTCAATTTTTGCAAAGGTGGTTTCAGTAGCATGCTTGTAAAAAGCCTTGCCATCTTTGAAGTCAAAGCAGGTGACCAAGGAGACGTAAGTGAGTGTTGCCAAGTGAAGGGGCCAGAGTCAGCTGCATGTGCACCAGCAGCCACCTATGCTCATGAGGAACATGCCCATAACGAGGCTGAGTAGAACAAGAGCAGGCACCCATCTTCCTCTTGGCAACATGGAGCCTACATACCACCTCTGGATGCTGACTGCAGATTTCCCTTTTGTAAGACAAGTGAAACTCTCATTGTCTTAGCCATTGTTTAGATTTCTTTCACTGGCAGCCAAACAACCATGAATTGGAACAATGACAAAGTCAAGTGCAAAACATGGCCTTTATTTTACTCACTAGATAAACCTGTCACTGCACATTGTTAAAAAAACAAAATTCCTCTTTGTCATATCATACGATCTGCTGTCCAGTAAAGAGCAGCCTCACAATGACCAGAGACCCTCAGGGGGTGCTGCAGAAGACCTCTCAGGCCCTCAGAATGCCCCTGACAAGGCCACACAGTTCAAAACTCACCTTCACAAAGCATCCCTTTGGATTAGGGAGATGCTCCCTGGATGCTCTTTTGTTTTGAGAAGCGTAAATTTGCATTATGAGACATTCATGCTCTGAAGGACATAACCAAGGAGATGTGGCCAACGGTAACAGGGTGGGGGTGGTGGGCAGGCACTTTCAGATTGGGGAGGAAAATTAGCCAGCCATGATGGGGTGCACCTGTAGTCCCAGCTACTCAGGAGGCTGAGGCATTAGAATTGCTTAAACCTGGGAGGCGTAGGTTACAGTGAGCCAAGATTGCACCACTGCTCTCCAGCCTGGGTGACAGAGTGAGATTTTGTCTCAAAACTTAAAAAAAACAGATTGGGGAGGAGTTTAGTGGTGAGGTGGTGGGGTGATGTCCCTCAGTGAGGGAAGACACCGAGATCAGTCTGAATGTTGAAAATTAACTGGAGTAAGGTGGGGGTGCAGGAAGGGACTGCACTCTAGGCAGAGAGAATAGCAGGTGCAAAGGCCCTGAGGCTTGGATGTGTTTAACACACACAAGCTGTGCATGGTGGAGCTCTGTGGCTGGGGAGGAGGTCTGGAGGTGGGCAATGGCCACGCCATGGCTGTCTGTGGCTGGGAATTTTTTTTTCTTCTAAGTACTCTGGGAAGACCCAGCAGGATTTTAAGCAGAGTCTACGGACACTCCAGAAAGTTCTCACCCACCCCTGGGGAACTCTGCCTTTCCTGCCCCCTTTAACTGAAGTGCCTTTCTCCATTCCCTCTTTCACCTGGCTTACAGGGCTTGACGCTGTTACTTCCAAGAAGTGTTGCCCAACCCATTCTCCATGTCACAGGGCCAGCGCCTCTCAGGGCTCTCAGAGCCCCCAGAGCGCCCTTCCACTTGGACACCTGCCCCATGATTGTCAGAGGCACTTGAACCAGAGCAACTCCATCTTGAATAGGGGCTGGGTAAAATAAGGCTGAGACCTACTGGGCTGCATTCCTAGGAGTGTATGCATTCTTAGTTACAGGATAAGATAGAAGGTTGGCACAAGACATAGGTCACAGAGATTGCACTGATAAAACAGGATGTGGTAAAGAAGCCAGCCCAAACCTGCCAAATCCAAGATGGGGATGGAAGTGACCTCTGGTTGTCCTCATTGCTCATTATACGCTAATTATAATGCATTAGCATGCTAAAAGACACTCCTACCAGCACCATGACAGCTTACAAATGCCATGGCAATGTCCAGAAGTTACCCTATATAGTCTAAAAAGGGGAGGAACCCTCAGTTCCAGGAAATCTCCACCCCTTTCCCAGAAAACTCATGAATAACCCACCGCCTTGTTTAACAGATGATCAAGAAATAACTATGAGTATACTCAGCCCAGCAGCCCATGTCACAGCTCTGCCTATGGAGTAGCCCTTCTTTTATTTCTTTACTTTCTTAATAAACTTGCTTTTGCTTTATTCTATGGACTGGCCCCAAATTCTTTCTTGCATGAGGTCCACGGACCCTCTCCTGGGGCATTGGGACCCCTTTCTGGTAACATTATGTTTCAGTGAGTAACTTCTTGGCCTCCCTTCTCAGAATGTGGGGTCCTTAAGCACAGGACAGGCTGTGTTTGCCTCTAGAGCCCCAGCGTTTGGCTTGGTGGGCTCAGCCCTGGATGCTCCTTAGCACCACTTGGGGGCCCCTGATCCCACATCCAGGCTGCACCCCACACTCTCTGCAGTGGGGCCCAGGCATCAGCATTTTTAAAGCTTCCCAGGAGATGACAAGGCGCTGTCAGGTTGCCCACTAGATGTGCTCCAAGTAAAGGAATGGATGCTGGTCTTCAGAGCGTCTACAATGTCCACACTGCTGCAGTGGGCGTGAATCCAACCCAAAAGCCCAGGCCGGTTAGAAACACCGCTCCTCAGTTTTTCTGTAACTCAACTGAATTTTCATTTTAGGTCCCCATTTGCCTCTGTGGTGGACACTCAGTCTCAGTCGGTATCGAACTCCCCTTTGTGCCAGGACTCCAGCTGGAAGTGGAGGGCATGTGCCCATGGGGATTGCTTAGCGAGTGGTAAGGGGCTCAGCAGGAGGGAGAGTGCAAGCGCCTGGGACCAGGAATTGGAGAGGTAGGGGCTGTTGCTCGCTTGGGTCCAAAGGATCCCCGGAAGGGGTAGGTGATATAGGCTGGGAGAGGAGAGTCAAGTGGAGAACGTGGCCTGGGAGGCAGCTGGGGTCTCTAGTCAAGGGACATAGCCAGGCCATGTTTACCCCACAGGCACAGTCTGTGATGTCAACTCCCTGCCCTCCCGCAGCCGCCTGCAAAGCCCCCAGCAGCCACACCCAGAAGCCAGAGGCCACAAGGGCCATGCTGTGGTACATATGTATCAGCCTCCCAGGACAGAGAGCGGGAGGGAGGAAGGGTGGGTGGACCTGGTGGGACAAGGTGAAAATGCCCAGCAACCCCCTCCCCCAGATCACACTCACCATCTCAGGCAGGGTTGAGTAATGCCAGGTGAAAGCACTGGGGGTGGGGACTAGTACACAGTTTCACCTGTACACCCTGAAATACACGGAGATGTCTGCAGGGACAATGTTCAAATATCCACACAGCACAGTCATGACCAGCCAGAACACTGGTCAGGAACTGAGGCTCACGGTGCTCCAATGCTGGTGGATGCTGAATCCCCTAGTTCTGGTCTGCACTGGGGCATCGCCCTCCCTCCACACCCAGCTAGGTACTTGAAGATCATCCTGCCGCCTCTGCAAACACTAGGAAATGGCAGACCTTATCTGCAATATGTCTTAAATGTGATTTTGAAATTTCATGTCTAAAAATCTGCTCTCATGAATAAATGATCAACTTCTACATGATCACACCTTGGAGGAAAGTTCGTAAGTAAGAATGTGCCCAGTGTCCTGGAAGCAGAAAGAAGCAAGGAGAGGCAGAGGACTGAATTTCCACCTCTGTAGACCTGAATTATGAGCCCTAGCTCGGAACTGGGTGCTGCAGCCCTTGAACAGTCCAGGCAGATGCTGGGAACACCCCAGTGACTGCTGCGCCAGGAGCTGAGTCCAGCAGCAGAGAGGGTGGGCACAGGCTGGGATATGGCGCGACATTGCCTTCATCTGCCTGAGAATACCCACAGCTCCTCTCGGTCCTGGTGGCCTCTGGTAAGTCTCAGCAGGTTCCTAGGCATGAGGATGGGGTTTTGACTGCCGCAGGAGCCTAGCTGGGCAAGTGGCTGGCGATGACTGGCGTAAGCTGGGACCACAGAGGAAGGAGGGATGGGGAGGAAGGAGGAATGGGGGAGGCTTTCTGAGCTGAAATAAATGTCAGAGAGCATCAGCAGGTGCTACTGGCATTTGAAAGCATTGCAAGAGACTTAATGTCCTTGATCCCGTCCCCTGGAATGCCAGCAGTGCCTTTCAGCTATTGTGACAACAAAAACATCACCTTATGTTTCCACAAGCCCCTGAGAAGGTGGGCCTCTTCTGGCCTACACACCATCTACCTATTTTATAAGTGAGAGCAAGATGGGATAGTGAGATGGGATAGTCCCTACCTCTTCCCTTCGCAGGCGGGAACTGGAGCAGCTTGTTTTACTCAGCTTATTGCTGGCCACTCTTCATGCTGGAACCGTCCGGCTGCTCCTCTCTGGCGGGAGCAGACTCTGTGCAGACCCCGCAGTAGAGTCCAAGCGTGTTACAACCCATGCTCTTTCAGCTCTGCTGTCCAGGGATGGCCAAGTACCAACCGACTCAGTGGAGGGTCAGGGTGACAGCCCTTGCCCTCTTGGCACCCGGGTTCTTGTCCGACGAACCAGGAAGAACCAGGTCACATGAACTGTTTGAAGGGTGATGAATGTAGAAGACTTTATTGAGCAGCGAGCAGCTCTCAGTGGAAAGGGAGGCTGGAAAGGGGATGGGAAGGTGGTCTGTCCCTGGAACCCAGCCGTCTCTGGCCAGGCCCCTCTCTAAAACCACAGTATCTGAAGTTAGCTGCATCTATCTCCAACCTCCGATGCTCAGTTGCTTCTCTGCTCGCTGTTCAGCCACTTCTATCCTCGACGCTCAGCCATTTGCGTTGCTTTGCCAGCTGAAGTCTTTAATGGGCACAGGATAGGGGCGGGGCAGGTAAAAAAGGCAACATTTGGGGGGAAAAAGGAGGTCAGCTGTTTTCACTTAGGGCCATGATTCCAGGCTTAAGGGTAAGGTTTAGCTGGGAATCCAGCCTTTCTGTATCAAGAGCACATTCTAGAAATGCCATCGTCTGTGTTGCAGCCTGGGGAGAGCCAGGACTATACCCCAGGTCTTCTACTGCTCCTGGTCCTACCATCATCCACTTTATTACAGTAGAGCTGATCATAAGGGGGTGAAATTTCCATAGGGTTAGTAAGATCTTCTAGCGACAATTACAGCAGTCATAGTAGTCATTGACATTCTTGGTGGTCTACAAAACAGCCATCACCTCCTGCTTCTTCTCTGCACAGAGATCCCCAATTTTGTGTCAAGAAAAGAGATGGGGATCTCAAAATCTCAGAGAAGCTAGCCTGTCTTCAGTCACAGAGGATTAATCTGGCTTAAAACCACCATGGTTCACCCTTTCCTTTTGCCAGTGACTGGTGCAGGAGTTGCCATGTGAATCTGTTCTGGCTAATGAGGTGTAAAGAGAAGTATGTTGGGCGGTTGCCCACTTTGAAATAAAAATTGACAAAATCTCATGACAGAGCTTTTTAACCCTGATTCTTTTACCTTTCTAGGGATGGGAGAGCTGGAGCTTGTCAGCCATCTTGTGACCATGAGGATGCGGATGTGAAGCTGAAAGGTTAACATGCTGAGGAAGGCAGGGAAGAAACATGGAACGACCCCATATCCATGGGGGGCATCGCACTGTTGCCATATCAGCCCTGGGATCTCCAGGCTCCAGATGTCTTGTTCAAATGAGACAAGGTGCTGTCTAAAAAGAGCACAAGACGGAGCTAGTCAGGTGTTCTGAAACTGCAGCCAAGTGCATTCCCAATGATGTAAATATTTTCCTGTTTACAGAGGGCTCTGTTGAGTATCTCACTCATGAGGAAATCAACAAACATGTTTACTGAGCCACAATTATAGGACAAAAATTTTCTAGGCCCTTAGAATACAAAGGTAAGCCGAGTTTCTGATCTCCCAAAAACTGAAAACAGGAGAGGAAACACAACATGGTCATATTCATAATAGCTACCCTCAGGATTTGTCAGGCACTGTGCTAATTCACTTGATCCTGGGTGGTCAAAGCTGAGTGGAACAGCACACGCCTTGCTGGGCAGTAGCCATTCTGCTTCTGTTCATAACCCACCCTGGGCCCAGTAAAAGTCTAAAAGCAAAATTCCGAGGGCGTGACTCCTCAGGCCAGGGGTGGATGGGAGCCTGAGACTCGGGGTCTTTCTTGTTGTTAATGGGGTGGGGTGTGCAGACCCCCACCATCAAAGCTGCAGTGAGGGAAAATTCCAGAAACCCCAGCTAATGGAGACTTGAGCCAACCAGCCAAATGGGACTCCCAACTTCCCAGCTCCTCTGTTTTTCGGAATGCGGACACGTGTCTGTTGTCCTCCACAGTCTGTGTATGGCAGGGAAGTTATCAGTAACTGGCCCCCCGCCCTCCCTGCTACCCCCACCCTATGAATGCCCAGCTCTCAGTTTCCTCTCCCTCTCAAAGCTTTGCCCAGCCTGATGCAAATCCTAATTAAAATTGCACACAGATTGACTTTAAAAAACACTGTTATGATTGAATATCTTTATTAAATCTGGGTAAAATATGTAAACAAACCACATATTACTAGGAAAACTAAGGGGAAGAGGATATGATGGCCACAAGTGCTAAGTTAATTCCTGAAGAAGACTGTGGGTTGTGTCTAGAAAATATCCCAAGGCCTCTATTGAAGGGACCATATTTCAATTTCTTATTTTTTAAATTGTGGTAAGAACATTTAATATGAGATCTACCCTTGTAGAGACTTTTACGTGTGCAATACAGTATTGCTCTCTATAGGCACAATGTCAGGCAGCAGATCTCTAGAACTTATTCATCTTGCTTAAGTGTAATGTTACACCTGTTGATTAGAAAGTTTCCCTTTCACCCTCCCCCCAAGCCTCTGGCAACCACCATTCTACTCTCTGCTTCAATGAGTTTGCCTATTTTTGATACCTCATATAAATGAAATCATGTAGTATTTGTCCTTCTGTGACTGGCCTTTTTCACTTAGCATAATGCTTTCAAGGGTCATCCATGTTGTCATAGATTGCAAGATTTCTTTTTTTTTAAGGCTGAATAATATTTTATTATATGTATATATTACATCACATTTTAAAAATCCATTCATCCATCAATCAAGATTGATTTCACATCTTGGCTACTGTGAACGATGTTGCGATGAAGATGGCAGTGCTGAGATCTCTTCAAGGTCCTAATTGCAGTTCTTTTGAATAAATACCCAGAAATGAGATTGCTGGTTCATATGATAGTCCTACTTTTAGTTTTTTTGAGGAGCCTTTATGCATTTTTCCATAGTAGCTGCACCATTTTGCATTCCCACCAACAGTGTAGCAGGGTTCCAATTTCTGCACATTCTCACTTGTTGTCTTTTGATTTTTTGATAATAGACATCCTAAAAAATGATGTGTGGTGATATCTCATTTTGGTTTTAGTTTGCATTCACCTGATGATTAGGGATGCTGAGCATCTTTTCATATAGCTATTGTATGTGAGACACCACATTAACAGAATGAAGGAGAAAAATCTCGTGATCATGTCAAGTGATACAAAAAGAGCATTTCATGAAACTCAACACTCTTTTATCATAAAAACACTCAAAAACTAGGCATAGAGAAAAATTATTAACTCAACATAATAAAGGCCATATATGAAAAGCCCACAGTTAACATTACACTCAATGGTAAAAAACTGAAAGCTTTTCCAGGAAGAACAGGAAAAAGACAAGGATGCTTACTCTTACCACTTCTATTCAACATAGTACTGGAAGTCCTAGCCAACACAACAAGTCAAGAAAAAGACATAAAAGGCATCTAAATTGGAAAAGAAGAAGTTAAGCTTTCCCTTTTGCAGATGGCATGATCTTATATATGGAAAACCCTAAAAACTCTTAAAAAAAACCTGTTAGAATTAATAAACAAATTCAGTAAAGTTGCAGGATACAAAGTCAACATACAAAAATCAATTGTGTTTCTATATACTCACAACAAACTATCTGAAAAGGAAATTAGAAAATCAATCCAGTTTACAATAGCATTAAAAAAATACTTAGGAACAAACTTAACTAAGGAAGTGAAAGATCTGTACACTGAAAACTACAAAATATTGATGAGAAAAATTAAAGAAGACACAAACAAATGGAGAGATGTCTCATGTTCATGGATTGGAAGACTTAATTCTGTTAAAGTGTCCCTACTACCCTAAGCATTCTACAGATTCAAAGTAATCCCTATCAAAATCACATGGAATTTTATTTTTACAGAAATACAAAAAAATTCAGAAATTTATATGGAACCACAAAAGACCCAGAATACCCAAAATAATCTTGAAAAACAAGAACAAAACCAGAGGCATAACATTTCCTGATCACAAAATATATTACAAAGTTATAGTCATTAAAACAGTATGGTACTGGCATAAAGACAGACCTATAGATGAATGGAATTATAATAGAGGGCCCAGAAATAAATACCCAAATATATGGTAGGATGATTTTCAACATGGGTGCCAAGAATACACAATAGGGAAAGGATAGCCTCTTCAATAAATAGTGGTGGGAAAATTGGATATACATATGCAAAAGAATGAAATTAGATCCTTATCTTTGTCTTACACCATTTACAAACATCACCTAAAAATGGATTAAAGCCTTAAATGTAAGATCTAAAACTATAAAGCTCCTAGAGGAAAGCATAGGGGAAAATTTCATGACATTGGTCTTGGCAGTGATTTCATGGATACAACACCAAAAGCATGGGCAACTAAAGCAAAAATAGACAAGTACGATGCCAAACTAAACAGCTTCCGCACAGCGAAGGAAACAATCAGTAGAGTAAAAAGGTAGCCTACAGAATGAGAGAAAATATTTGCAAACTATGTATCTGATAAGGGATAATTTCCAAAATATATAAGGAACTCCTACAACTTTATAGCAAAAAATCCCTAATAACCCAATTAAAAAATGGCTAAGGATTTCAATAGACATTTCTCCAAAGAAGCATGACTTTTAATTAGCCTAAGCAGCCTTACAGAAGGTGGGATATGGAGCAGGGTAATTGTGCAGAGTGATTTTCCCCTAAAAGATCAGCTGCCCTGGATGTCCCAGCTGGTGGGAAGATGTTCAGCCCATGCTGGGGCAGGGCCACAGAAGGGCTGAGCTGGACATAACCAACCACAACTTTCACCCGGATGTATCTCTTTGCAGCCAGGAGGCCATGACTTTTAATGGAGGGTTGCAGATCTATTTTATGTATGCTAGATGAGATTTTAAACAGACCTCAAAGAGCTAAGACAACTGCCCCCAAAAGGGCAGGGCTGGATTTTCTATCTTGGACCAAATAAGCAGGGATGAAGGTAAAGGGAGGGGTATAGAGCCAAACCTGCTTTTTATGACTGGGAAGGGGGAAGCGGGGGTCTGAATCTAGATTTAAAGGAGGAAATAAATAGAAAATGAAATTCCTTTTTCTTAACAAATAAAATAATCGGGGCACTGTGGTTTCTTAGAGGAGAAATTATTTCACTCTTCCTCCTTCTCCAAAGCTATAGATTTTTCTACTCCTTTGCTCGTTAATCAACTAGAAATGTGACTTGGGGGAGGCAGAGCAACAGCATTTTTTGCTCTGGAGTTCATTAGGAATTCTGGAAAGCTGACATCATAACTCACTCCTAGTGCAGCTGGCTGCCAACTTCCCAGAATCTGAGGTTGGGGAGCCCATTTAAAGCTGCAGGCAGCCTTTCTGCAAAATAACTCAGCTCAAATAGGATGTCTATTTATAAGCAGGACATCAGGATTTTCCTAGGAGTCTAGACTTCAACAGCTCCTTTAGTCCAGGAAAATGTCGGCTTAAAAATTGTATTACCACAGGCTGGGTGTGGTGATTCATATCTGTTATCCTAGCACTTTGGGAGGCCGAGGCAGGAGGATCACTTGAGGATGGGAGTTCGAGACCAACCTGGGCAACATGGCTAAACCCCCAATTCTATTTTTAAAAACAAAAAAATTAACCAGGAGTGGTGGTGCATGCCTGTAGCTACTACAGGCACTTGGTAGGTTGAGGTGGGAGGACTGCTTGAGCCCAGGAGTTCAAGGTGACAGGCAGCTGTGATTGTGGCACTGAACTCCAGCCTGAGCAACAGAGTGAGAAAACCCTATAGCTAGTAAGAGAGCAAAAACTAAGTTAGACGTGTCAGAAATAATAACAAAAGCCAGTAGGAAAATAGGATTCTCATTGCTAAAAAGCAGACGTTCATAAGACACATACCTGCACGTTGCTATTTTGCCAATTTAAGTGTGACCTATAAAAATAATGTAAAAGAGTTGGTTATTGACAATCTTTTCCCATAAAATATTTAGAAGTCTTGCTTCCTTATTTTATGAACTTGACTTTTTTAAGGAGGAGAGATGGATTATTCAATTCAACAAATGGGCAATGAGCTCCAACAAAAGGCTGCCTTGTTTATCTTGAATTTCGGAAGTGAAATAGACACGGGGTCTTGATGCCCCATCAAGGGCATTGCCCCAAGGGCAATGCATATCTGAAGTGTTGGGCTGACAATCTCAGCCCTCCTTAAGAAATAACATCGATCGTAAGCACCTTCAGAAAATACAGGCAGAAGAAACACTCCTAACTCATTTTATGACACTCACTTATGACACTATAATACCCAAATATGACAGATAGTCAGATTTCAGCACTGAACAGATAGTCAGATTTGGGTATTATAGTTTCAAGACATCTCAAATTTATTCCAATGTCTCTGGGCTATGCTGTTTCCAGCAAATGTCTACCAGGAGCTTCCACGATAGGCACGATACCTTTTGGTGGAAAAGAACATCTACTCGCTACCGTTTTTTTCCTCCCTGGACTAGTGTCATCTGCCCATAGACAATAGCTTTTTCTTTAGTACTTTTGTGAAACCTTCATCTCATCCACTCCAATGTCTTTGATTGGCCATTATGTTCACCAGGTTCACAATAAAGTCAGAAAGAGGTGACAGTATAACATTGCTTCTCCTTCTTCTCCCATGTTCAATTCAATGTGTCAGAGGCTCCTGTTGGTTCTTTCTTCCAAAACATTGGAATCTGAATGCAACTCCTGGTCTCTGCCGCTGTCATCGTGGGTTAAGCCCCATCATCCTTCTCCTGGTTTGCTGACAGCTCCCTAACTTGACTTCTTGCTTCCCTTGTCTATAGACTCCTATGTACAGAAATGAAACTGTTCAAGGATATTCTTTTTAGCCTTTTTATTTTAAAATCAAACACAGGTACAAAAAAAACACAAAAATGTATAGCTTAGTGAGATATTATACACAAATATTCTTATCACCAAGACTAAGTCAAGAAAGAGCACCTGGCCAGAGTCCCCTTCACGGCTGCATCCCAATCACAGTCTGTCCCTTCCTCCCTCCAAAAGTAACCCTCATGCTGATTCTCATAGTCAACAACCTCCCTACAATCTGCATGGCTTAATCACCCCCATGTGGCTCCCTAGACAGCATAGTTCACGTTACCCATTTGGTAAATCTTGGTAAGTCTCTTAAATTTCCAGATTTCCCTTCCATGCCTGTCTTTTTCTTAAAACTTCTTTGTCACAGTGCCTGAACCCTGTGACCTATAAAGATTTTCACAGTCTGGATTTTGGCGAATCCGAATTTATGGTGCAGTCAGCACATTCCTGTCTCTGTCCTGTGTATTTCTTGCAAAATAGCAGCTGGATCCAGCAACTTGTTCAGAATTAAGTGTGATTGTGAAAAAAAAAAAAAAGTCTGAACTATAAAGAAGCTATTGGGGAACAGTTGTAAAGTTGTAAAGTTAGATCATGATGTTAAAGCCCACCCACCTAAGACTGCCAGGAACTTCCCTGCAGTCACAGTCAGTTTATTTAGCTTGCTGCAGTCAGGGAGATTCCCACGCCCATGGCCACCTGGGGGCATCTCAGTAAGGGGGAAGGGGCAGTGCTTTTTAGAGGACCTAGGCTTCTACAGAATGGTTCCAAAAAGGGATTAAGGAGGCAAGGTCAAGAAGTGAGGGCAACTTGGTGATTGCGTATCTTAAATACTTTATCTCAGGAGTGGGAAGCTTGAAGCAGGCTAGAGTTGTCACTGGTAAAGAGGCAGCTGTCACTCATGTTAGAAAAGGGGCATGTTCAGTCATTTCTGTGGCTGCAGAGTGGTCTTATCCCTGCCTACCTCTAAACACAGTCAACTTGTGGCCTTGTCTGAACGAGTTCATATTCTTTGAGTGTGGTTCATGTCGACTCAGGAGCATCATGGCCTGGAGGGTTGTGTTTCTCAGTTCCCTCCATAGTCTAGATGCAAACAGGACTGTTTTTTTTTTTTTTCTCCCTTACCAATGATCATATTATGGAAGGCCTTGGTTTTCACCCTGAGAAGGTTTGTATATAACTTGGCAGATGAGACAGAGTTATCAAAGATAGTTGGGTGCTGGAGTAATCAAGTTAGAATTGTACTTGAGAGATCAGGTATCTGTCAGTCTTTTGAAAGAGAAAGGACAGGAGGTAGGGTATTAAGGGCAATTATGGTCCAGGCTAGAGAAGGTGCAATGCCAATGAAGGTACCAGGCATAGGAAGAAAACAAGCTGACCAATAGAGGAGGCATCTGAGGGAGGGAACAACAGGCTGTCCCCTGGATTGGATGCTGGCGGTGGAAGAAGATAAAGTAGGAGGTGCTGATGTTTGCTCACCCAACAGCTGTCCCCACCCTACTTGCTAACAGGATTTTTTTCTAGGCAAAATGGAAATGGATCACAATTGGTCAAAACCAGCCTTGGCTATGCCAGTCACCTTTGCCAGATACTTCCCAGCTCCCTTTACAGTGAGGACTTCCCTATGACTCATTCTGGCCCAAAAGACCGAAGAGGATTGTGACAGGTCTCCTAAGAAAGGTTTTCATTTCTTATAAAAATAACAGGTGTAAAGAGGGTGTTCCTTTGAATTGCCCCTATTTCGTTGTTTTGGCTTTGATCCTAAACTGGAAGCATTGAAGCCAAGCCTTTGATTAGCTCCCATTTTCTACAATAGGAAATTGGAATACGTAATGCCCAGATCTGCACCCCACCCCCCAGTCTTTTCCTAAAAACACTGGTATTTTCTTTCCTAAAAACACTGGTATTTTCTTTTCCTATCTTTTGAGATGGAGGTATTGCTCGTGTCTGGGTGAATTGCTTATGCCAATGAGATGTTCGTAGACACGGCACAGGCAGAAGCCTGGAATGTGTCGGCACTGCCAGGCCTGCCCTCTAATGCTCTTGATTTTTCCCACGAGACGAGCGTGCCCCAGGGAACTTTGGCTCCAGCTGCAGGATGAGAGGCATGTGGAGCACGCAGGGTTCCAACCCTCAGCCTGGAGTCAAGCCCAGACTAGATCAGCCTAAGCCCAGCCAAGCCACGGGTGCAGGAGTGAAAAGCAAATGCTAACTGTCCATGACATTGACTTTCAAAGGGGCGTGTCATGTTATGTGGCTCATCCCAGCAACAATGAAGATATTTCTCTATCAGTCAGTCGGTAAATAATTATTGACAATGTGCAAGGAAGCTGGAGTGATTGGAGTAGATTTGGTCACTATTCTTATGGAGCTTATTTTCTAGAGGGGAAGACATATGATGGATCAATAAATATAAATTATTCTATTAGGTTGGTGCAGCAGTAATTCCAGCACTTTTTTGCCAGTAAAGGTAATGGCAATCAAAAGTGGGGAGGAGCCGGCGCTGCAGTTCATTGAAAGTAATGACAAAAACTGCGATGACTTCTGCACCAACCTAATAGAATAAATTACGAGTGCGCAAAACGCTGTGATGGGAAAGTTCCAAGTGCCAGGACAGCATCTAGCTTCCTGGACTCAGGAGATGGGGGTTTTCAACCTAAGCAAGGTTAAGTCCAAGTGGTGGGGGCAGGCGGGGGGGCGATATTTCAGTGGAGACTCCAAGGATGAATGGAAATTAGAAAAGTGAACGCAGATGGTGAGGGGGGAGGGGTTTCAGGCACAGAGAACAGCATGTGCAAAGGCCTAGCGGGGAGGACATCGTGTGTTCTGGATGTCCTCCCCGCTGAGGGGCGGGGACTGAGGGGCAGCCAGCAGGCTGGAGCTGAGCGGGTGGAGAGGAGGATGGGGAGCCGGGCAAAGGCGCTCCACGCAGGGGGCACAGCAGGGGCAAAGGCCCGGAGTCAGGCCTGAGCCTGTGTGGTTTCAGGAAGTGACAGAGGCCTGTCTGGGAGGAAAGTAACAGCAGAGGGGAGACCATAAGGTCAGGGCAGAGGGCAGGGCCGTGCTGGGCACTGTGGGCTGTGGATAGGACCTGGCATTTATGCTCGGGTGAGGGGAACATGTTAGAAGATTTTAAGGAGGGCAGGAACATCTGGGGATAACGTGTATTCTAGAATCTCAACCAAGTAAATTCTAGTTTGAATGTTCACAAGACTTCTGCACAGGCAAAGTGAAAGATCGTTTCTAGAGCTGTGAGATAAAATCATAGTAAAAGAGAGTTACTAAGTTTTTAAAGGTTATTTCAAATGGTGGATTTCCACCTTACAATTGAATATAAGTAGATTGTAAGGTTGATGGAAAGTAGAAAAGTTTCCTGACTTGTGTGAATATAAAAGAAACATCAGTTTGAAAGAAAACATTTATTTATTTACTTCCTCTGCAGTTTTCCTGACTGCTACATTTCATGAGAAGGGATTATTCTTGAGGGTTCTGGAGCTGCAGCCCAGGGGAGGAGCCAGTGCTGCCACTGACACCTCAGGGTCGTGGAGGTGAAAATCCCAGAGGAACAGGTGCTCCTGTTGCAGTTTGAGGTTCCTGGAGCTGGAGACGCAGGGAGAAGATGGCGCTGCTGTTCTAATTTAAGGATCATGAAGCCGGAGACGCAGAAAGGAGCTGGTGCTGCCACTGCTCACATCTGAGGGTTTTAGAGCTGGAGCCTGGGGGTGGAGCTGCTGCTGCCTTTGAAGTCTGAGAGTCATTGACCTGGAGGTCCAGGAAGGAGCTGGTGCTGCTGTTCTAGTTTGAGAGTCATGGAGCTGCAGACCCAGGGAGGAGCAATGTTGTCATAGTTCAAGGGTCAGGAAGCTGATGACACAGGAAGGAGAGATCTTGATCTGCTTTGAGGGTCGTGGAGCTGCAGACCCAGGGAGGAGCAATGTTGTCATAGTTCGAGGGTCCGGAAGCTGGCAACACAGGGAGGAGAGATCTTGTTTTAGTTTGAGGGTTGTGGAGCTGCAGACCCAGGGAGGAGCAATGTTTTTGTAGTTCCAGGGTCCGGAAGCTGGTGACCCAGGGAGGAGAGATCTTGTTCTAGTCTGAGGGTCGTGGAGCTGCAGATCCAGGGAGGAGCAATGTTGTTATTTGGGGACTGGAAGCTGCAGACCTAGGGAGGAGAGGTCTTGTTCTAGTTTGAGGGT
This sequence comes from Homo sapiens, assembly GCF_000001405.40. Lineage (NCBI taxonomy): Eukaryota > Metazoa > Chordata > Mammalia > Primates > Hominidae > Homo > Homo sapiens. The sequence continues at coordinate 48,126,022 of NC_000020.11, read as the reverse complement.
CATGGAGCTGCGGACCCAGGGAGGAGCAATGTTGTTTTAGTTCGAAGGTTCGGAAGCTGGTGACTCAGGGAGGAGAGGTCTTGTTCTAGTCTGAGGGTCGTGGAGCTGCAGATCCAGGGAGGAGCAATGTTGTTATTTGAGGGACTGGAAGCTGCAGACCTAGGGAGGAGAGATCTTGTTTTAGTTTGAGGGTCGTGGAGCTGCGGACCCAGGGAGGAGCAATGTTTTCATAGTTCAAGGGTCCGGAAGCTGGCGACACAGTGAGGAGAGGTCTTGTTCTAGTTTAAGGGTCGTGGAGCTGCAGACCCAGGGAGGAGCAATGTTGTTATTTGAGGGACTGGAAGCTGATGACACAGGGAGGAGAGATCTTGTTTTAGTTTGAGGGTCATGGAGCTGGAGACCCAGGGAGGAGCAATGTTTTCGTAGTTCGAGGGTCCGGAAGCTGGTGACCCAGGGAGGAGAGATCTTGTTGTAGTCTGAGAGTCATGGAGCTGCAGATCCAGGGAGGAGCAATGTTGTTATTTGAGGGACTGGAAGCTGCAGACCTAGAGAGGAGAGGTCTTGTTTTAGTTTGAGGGTCGTGGAGCTGCAGACCCAGGGAGGAGCAATGTTGTTATTTGAGGGACTGGAAGCTGATGACACAGGGAGGAGAGATCTTGTTTTAGTTTGAGGGTCGTGGAGCTGCAGACCCAGGGAGGAGAGATCTTGTTTTAGTTTGAGGGTCGTGGAGCTGCAGACCTAGGGAGGAGCCATGTTTCCATAGTTCAAGGGTCAGGAAGCTGGCAACACAGGGAGGAGAGGTCTGGTTCTAGTTTGAGGGTTGTGGAGCTGCAGACCCAGGGAGGAGCAAGGTTGTTTTAGTTTGAGGCTCCGGAAACTGGCGACGCAGGGTGGAGAGGTCTTGTTCTAGTTTGAGGGTGCGCCCAGGGAGGAGCAATGCTGTCATAGTTCGAGGGTCAGGAAGCTGATGACACAGGGAGGAGAGATCTTGATCTGGATTGAGGGTCGTGGAGCTGCAGACCCAGGCAGGAGCAATGTTTTTGTAGTTCGAGGGTCCAGAAGCTGGCGACACAGTGAGGAGAGGTCTTTTTCTAGTTTGAGGGTCGTGGAGCTGCAGACCCAGGGAGGAGCAATGTTGTTTTAGTTCGAAGGTTCGGAAGCTGGTGACCCAGGGAGGACAGATCGTGTTCTAGTCTGAGGGTCGTGGAGCTGCAGATCCAGGGAGGAGCAATGTTGTTATTTGAGGGACTGGAAGCTGCAGACCTAGGGAGGAGAGGTCTTGTTCTAGTTTGAGGGTCATGGAGCTCCCGACCCAGGGAGGAGCAATATTTTCATAGTTCAAGGGTCCAGAAGCTGGCGACGCAGGGAGGAGAGGTCTCATTCTAGTTTGAGGATCATGGAGCTGCTGACCCAGGGAGGAGTAATGTTTCTGTTGTTCGAGGGTCAGGAAGCTGGCGACCCAGGGAGGAGAGATCTTGATCTGGTTTGAGGGTTGTGGAGCTGCTGACCCAGGGAGGAGCAATGTTGTCATAGTTCAAGGGTCAGGAAGCTGACGACACAGGGAGGAGAGATCTTGATCTGGTTTGAGGGTCGTGGAGCTGCGGACCCAGGGAGGAGCAATGTTTTCATAGTTCGAGGGTCCGGAAGCTCGCGACCCAGGGAGTAGAGGTCTTGTTCTAGTCTGAGGGTGGTGGAGCTGGAGATCCTTGGACGAGCTGGTGCTGCAGTTTAAATCTGTGGATCCTGGAGCTGGAGCCCTAGGCATTAGCTGGTATTGCTGTTGTTCATATATGAGGGTTATGGGGCTTGAGGTACAGGGAGGAGACGCTGCTGCTGTTCAAATCTGCGGGTCGTGTAGCTGGAGAGCGGGGAGGAGGTAGTCCTGGTGTCTAGTGTGAGGGTGGTGGAGCTGTAGACCTGGGGAGGAGCTGGTGCTGCTGTGTAGTTTGAGGGTCATGGAACTGGAGACCTAGGGAGGAACCAGTACTACCGCCATTGAAGTCAGAGGGTTGTGGATCTCGAGTTTTCGGGGACAGCCCGTGCTGCTATGTAACTGTGGGGAGGATCCAGTGTGTCAGGTGATGTCTGAGGGTTTGGGAGCTGGAGACCCAGGGAGGAGCCGGTGCTCCTCTTCTAGTTTGAGGGTAGTGGAGCTGGAAATCCTGGGAAGAGCCAGTGCTGCCATTTAAATCTGTGGGTCCTGGAGCTGGAACCCTTGTGGGAAGCCGGTTCTGCCATTCATGTCTTAGGGTCGTGGAGCTGGAAACCCAGGGAGGCAGCGGTGCTGCTGTTCTAGTTTAAGGATCATGAAGCTGGAGATCTGGACAGGAGCTGGTGCTACCATTATTCAAATCTGAGGGTTGTGGAGCTGGAGCCTTGGTGAGTTGCCGGTGCTGCCTCATCTGAGAGTTGCTGAGCTGGAGATCCAGACAGGAACCTGTGTTGCTGTTGTAGTTTGACGGTCATGGAGCTGGAGACTCAGGGAGGAGGGGTGCGGTTCTAGTCTGAGGGTTGTGGAGCTGGAGACCCAGGGAGGAGCTGGTGCTGCTGCTGTTTAAGGCTGAAGGTTGTGGAGCTGGAGACCAGGGAGGGAGCTGCTGTTGCTGTTGATCAAGTCAGAGGGTCATGGGGCTTGAGGTACAGGGAGGAGCTGGTGCTGCTGTTGCAGGTTTAGGGTCATGGAGCTGGAAATCTAGGGAGGAGCTGCTGCTGCTGTTCAAGTTTGAGGGTCGTGTAGCTGGAGAGCGGGAAGGAGGTAGTCTTGATGTCTAGTGTGAGGGTGGTGGAGCTATAGACCTGGGGAGGAGCCGGTGCTGCTGTGTAGTTTGAGGGTCATGGAACTGGAGACCTTGGGAGGAGCCAGTGCTACTGAGGGTCGTGTATCTGGAGCTTTGGGGAACAGCCCGTGCTGCTGTTTAACTGTGGGGAGGATCTGCTGTGTTAGTTGAAGTTTGAGGGTTTGGGAGCTGGAGACCCAGGGAGGAGCTGATGATGCCATTCTATTTTGAGGGTCATGGATCTGGAGACCTGGGGAGAGGCCGGTACTGCTGTTGTAGTTTGAGGTTCGTGGAACTGGAGACAGGGGGAGGAGCCGGTGCTGCTGTTCATGTCTGAGGGTTGTAGAGCTGGAGACCCAGGGAGAAGCCCGTACTACGGCTTTTTAAGTCTGAGGGTCGTGGAGCCTGAGACCTGGGGAGGGGCCAGTGCTGCTGTTCAAATGGCTCATTCCGGGGTCTCCAGCTCCATGACCTTCAAACTAGGACAGCAGCAGCAGCTCCTCCCGGGGTCTTCCAGCTCCATGACCCTCACACTAGAACAGCAGCAGCAGCTCCTCCCGGGGTCTTCCAGCTCCATGACCCTCACACTAGAACAGCAGCACCGGCTCCACCCTGGGTCTCCAGATCCATGACCCTCAAACTAGAACAGCAGCACTGACTCCTCCCCGGGTCTCCAGCTCTACAACCCTCAGACTTGAGGAGTTGGAGACTCGGGGAGGAGCCAGGGCTGCTTTTCTACTTTGAGGGTTGTGGAGCTGGAGACCCAAGATGCAGCAGCTGCTGCTATTCTAGTTCGAGGGTCTTGGAGCCAGAACCTTTTTGAGGAGCTGGTGCTGCCTTTCAAGTCTGAGAGTCATTGAGCTGGAGTTCCAGGGAGGAACCGGTGTTGCTATTCTAGTCTGAGTGTAGTGAAGCTGGAGACCCAAGGAGGAGCCGGTGCTGCTGTGTAGTTTGAGGGTCGTGGAACTGGAGACTTAGGGAGGAGTTGGTGCTATCGCCCTTTAAGTCAGAGGGTCGTGGATCTGGAGCTTTGGGGAACAGCCCGTGCTGCTGTTTAACTGTGGGGAGGGTCCGGTGTGTCAATTGAAGTTTGAGAGTTTGGGAGCTGGAGACCCAGGGAGGAGCCGGTGATGCCATTCTATTTTGAGGGTCGTGGATCTGGAGACCTGGGGAGAGGCCGGTACTGCTGTTGTAGTTTGAGGTTCGTGGAACTGGAGACAGGGGGAGGGGGCGGTGCTGCTGCTGTTCATGTCTGAGGGTTGTAGAGATGGAGACCCAGGGAGAAGCCCGTACTACGGCTTTTTAAGTCTGAGGGTCGTGGAGCCTGAGACCCGGGGAGGGGCCAGTGCTGCTGTTCAAATGGTTCCTCCCCGGGTCTCCAGCTCCATGACCTTCAAACTAGGACAGCAGCACCAGCTTGGAGCCAGAAACTTTCTGAGGAGCCAGTGCTGCCTTTCAAGTCTGAGACTTGTAAGAGCTGGAGACCCAGGGAGGAACAAGTGTTGCTGTTCTAGTCTGAGGGTAGAGAAGCTGGAGACCCAAGGAGGAGCCTGTGCTGCTGTTCATGTCTGAGGATTGTGGAGCTGGAGAACCAGAGGGGAGCTGGTGCTGCTGATCGTGTTTGAAGGCTGTGGAGCTGGAGATCCCAGGAAGAGCCGGTGCTGCCGTTTATATCTGTGGGTCTTGGAGCTGGAGCCCTAGCGGGGAACCCGGTCCTGCCATTCATGTCTTAGGGTCGTGGAGCTGGAAACCTAGGGAGGTGGTGGTGCTGCTGTTCTAGTTTAAGGATCATGAAGCTGGAGACCTGGACAGGAGCTGGTGCTACCGCTGTTCAAATCTGAGGGTCATGGAGCTGGAGCCTTGGGGAGGTGCCGGTGCTGCCTCTCAAGTCTGAGGGTTGTTGAGCTGGAGATTCAGGGAGGAGCCGGTGTTGCTGTTGTTGTTGGAGGATTGTGGAGCTGGAGGCCGAAGAGGAGCTGGTGTTGCAGTTCAAGTTTGACGGTCGTGTAGCTGGAGACCTAGGGAGGAGCTGGTGCTACCACCGTGTAAGTTGAGGGTTGTGGAGCTGGTGGCGCTGGGGAACAGCCAGTGCTATAGTTGAATTTTGAGGGAGCTGGAGACCCAGGGAGTAGCTGGTGCTGCTGTTCTAGTTTGAAGGTTGTGGAGCTGGAGGCTTGGTGGGAGCTGGAGCTGCCTCCCAAGTCTGAGAGTCATTGAGCTGGAGATCCCCAGGGGAGCTGGTGCTGCTGTTGTAGTTTGAGGATTGTGGAGCTGGAGACCTGGGGCAGAGCTGGTGTTGGAGTTGGAGTTTGAGGGTCAGGGAGCTGGAGATCTGGGGAGGAGCCAGTGCTGCTGTTTAAGTCTGAGGGTCGTGGAGCTAAACATGGAGCCAAAGTTGGGGAAGTAGAGAGAGAGAGTTACAGGATGACCCTGGAAATGGTAGACGTAGCTGTACCCCAAGCAAGCTAAGCTTGGGAACTTCTCAATGCTAGTGATCAGTGCATTCTTTTTCCTCTTACACAGTTTGGATTTGTTTTCCATCTCACGAGACAGAAAGATCCTGATTAATACCCTTAGGAATTGAAAAGCTAAAAAAACTAAAGGATGTTGGTAATAATAATAATAGGAATTAAAACATGATTATCCTGGCTGACAGAGACAAAATCACACACACAAAATATATATCTTTAAATCAGTTAGTAAAATAAAAAATAAATGGAAAAATAGACCCAACCAAAGCTATAAAAAGTTGTTTCATGGAGAAGCGATGGAGGACAGAGATTAATCTGAGAGTTGCTATTAATGAAAAAACTTTAAACTTACCATTTTTCCCGTGAGGTTTGGTGTAGAATGATATTGTGTGAGTTCTGGCAGCTGAGTCACTTCACACAGCCCGGTGATGCAATAGTTGTCACAGAAGGACCCTCTCCCAGTTGGTCCTGCCTCTCTGCTACAATGAGTGTCGCCTCTGATCCCCAACAGCTGACTGTGTCTTGAGACCACGCCCATGAGCACAAGAGTTTCCACGGTGAAGGTTCCTGGATGGAACGCCGTGGATGTTCCTAATGTTCCTTCCTGATGTTCACCTGCCATCTTGCTATTTAATGCAATGTCTTCTAAATATTGAATAGAAAAAAGTATTTGTCCAATATGGGCAAGGTATGAAGAATATGAATACACTGGACACACAGACAGGGAGGGGCACCCACAGCAAACTCCCTTCGCCTGGGAGCAGGTGGGGTCCTTGAGTCCTATGTCACCTGTTTCTTCCTCCGCCTTGGCCTACAGGCCCCATGTGATCTGACCTCTGCCTGCCTCTCCGACTCCATCTCCCCTCCCGCTCCTGTTCTTTCAACAATTATGTTACAGCCTCAGTGAATATCACAAGGACCCTGAATCACGGTGGCTTTACTAAGACAGAGGTTCATTCCTTTCACATGAAAGTTCAAGCCAGTCGGGTGATTCTTCTCTGTGCATTTTTCAGGGTCTTAGGGTACTTCCATCTTGCTGCTTTGACTTCTTTAGGGTGTAGCTTCCCCCACAGTGTCCATCCTATCTACTACCAGCCAGCAGGGAGGGGAGAAGAGAACAAGAGGACACAAATCTTCCTTCCTCTAATGGCAGTTGCTGTGCACTGGCCTCATGTGCATTGGCCACTGCCTGGTCACGTGGCCACTGCTGGGGTGCTGGGAAGTTTTCATCCTGGATGCCAGTGCCCACCTGGGTGACTCCTGAGATCGAGGGCAGAGAGGACATGAAAGAGAGTCACTGGCTCTTCCCACCATCATGCACGTTGCTCCAGTCTAGGGCGACCCACTGCCTCAGCTTGCTTAGGACTGAGGCGGATGATGGGGCACAGACCTCTCAGTTTTATAATAGGGGAAGTTCTAGGCAAATCATCCCAGCTTGGCTGAGACTCAGAAGTTTCCTGGGACATGGGATTTCTAGTGTTAAAACCAGGAAAGTTCTGGGCAAACCGGGACAAGTTGGTCCCCTTTACTCCAGACCCACTGGCTTCCGTTCTGCTCCTCCAGCAGGCCAGGCCAGGGCCTGCCGTGGGGTCTTTGTATCTGCTGTTACCCCATCTGGGATTCCCTTTCTGCAGCTCTGTGCGGTGCTCACTCCTCTTGTGTTGAGGAAAGGCTGCTCTCTGGGTGTCCCCGGGTGCCTGGTGTGCTGTACTCAGCACTACATGCTCTGTGAAAATCCCTGCATGCTCTTCATAGAATGAGATCGGTTCTTTCCACCCTTCCCTGCCCACTTCAGTTTGAAAGTCTCTGAGGATTATTAATTTTTATTCTCTTCAGCGCTGAAAGATACATCTTTTTCCCTGAATCTGTGGCTGTGTTCATGCATAGTCAGATAAATCTGATATTGATAATAACCTGAATGAAAAACATGTATTAAATCCCAAGATTATAATGTAGGAAGCAGGGATTCTGAAGAGATGTGTAAGCCTAATAAAGACCAAAGGGTGTGGATTAAAAGGAAATATGGGGTGGAGAAACATTTCATGAAATAGAACCCCACCTCTTGTGTGAGTTAATTAGTACAAGCTTTCTAGAGGGCAATTGGCAATTGGCCAATGAAAGTGCATAACTTTTGGTCCCAAATTCATTTATAGGCATTTATCCCTAGGAAATAGTCAGAAAAATACACAAAGATGAATCTCTAAGGATTTTTATAAGACGAAGTAGGAAGTATGAATGCCCACTGGTGTTCCTGCACCCTGGCACCAGTGCTCCCCTCTCCTAGTGAGTGGGCACAGGCTACATTTTCCCAGGCTTCCTTGCCATGAGTTGTGGCCATGTGACCAGGTTCTGGCCAATGGGAGGTAATAAAAGTATTGGGTGGCATTTTTGGAAACCCCTTTCTGTAACTTCTGTCTTGATATGGTTTGGATGTTGGTCCCCTCCAAATCTCATGTTGAAATGTGATCCCTGATGCTGGAGGTGGGGCCTGGTGGGAGGTGTTTTGGTGATGTGGGCAGATCCCTCTCACAATGGGTTGGTGCTGTCCCAGTGGCAATGACAGAGTTCTTGCTCTGAGTTTATGGGAGATCTGGTTGTTTAAAGGGCCTGGCATGTCCTCCTCCCTCTCTTGCTCTTTCTCTCGCCATGTGATGTACCTGCTTCCTTTCACCTTCTGCCATGATTGGAAGCTTCCCGAGGCCTCCTCAGGAGTTGATGGTGGTGTCATGCTTGTACAGCCTGCAGAACTGTGAGCCAATTAAACCTCTCTTCTATAAATTACTCAGCCTCAGTTATTCCTTTAGGCAATGCAGATGGGCTGACATATATCTTTAGTGTCATTTCTTAGTTGTTCATCCTTTGACCTGCTTCCTGGAATAAGCATATGATGGTTGGAGCTATTCTTGTCACCTTGAACCTTGAGGATTAGGCTTCTACCCTGCGGATAGCAGAATGTCCTCTGGAAGGAAATGAAAGTCCCTAACGCCACCCTAGACTGACAACTTCCAGTTTTGTTTTTACTTTTTTGTTTTTTGAGACAGAGTCTTGCTCTGTTGCCCAGGGTGGAGTGCAATGGCGTGATCTCAGCTCATTGCAACCTCCGCCTCCCAGGTTCAAGTGATTCTCATGCCTCAGCCTCCCGAATAGCTGGGATTACAAGTGTGTGCCACCATGTTCAGCTAATTTTTTTTATTTTTAGTAGAGACGGGGTTTCACCATGTTGACCAGGCCAGTTTCGAAATCATGACCTCAAGTGATCCACTCGCTTCAGCCTCCCAAAGTGCTGGGATTACAGGTGTGAGCCATTGCACCCATCCCAGTCTTGCTTTTTGTGAGATAAATTTCTATCTTGGCTGAAGTTACATCACTGATAGGGGATATAACCATAACTGGATAAAAGGTAGGAAATTGATTTAATACTTATATCTACACATGCCCATACCAAAAATGATAGTGATTTGTTGTTATCTATGTGTAGATATGGACACAAAATATTATTTAGAGTAAGTAAAGCTCTTTTTTTTTTTTTTGAGACAGAGTCTCACTCTGTTGCCCAGGCTGGAGTACGGTGGTGCAATCTTGGCTCACTGCAACCTCCGCCTCCCAGGTTCAAGCGACTCTCATGCCTCAGCCTCCTGAGTAGCTGGGACTACAGGCGCACACCACCACGCCCAGCTATTTTTTTTTTTTTGTATTTTTAGTAGAGACAGGGTTTCACCATGTTGGTCAGGCTGGTCTCTAACTCCTGACCTCAGATGATCCGCCCTCCTTGGCCTCCCAAAGTGCTGGGATTACAGGCGTGAGCCACCTCGCCCAGCCAGCATTGGTATTTTCTGACTGCTGATGGTAGGAGGTGCTGTTCCCAGTTGCCCAAAACATCCTAATCAACCCCCAGGGAGCCACAGATGACAGGAATGTCTTTGAACCTGGACAACTCACAGGATAGTGGGGTCTGCATGGAAATAGGAAAGTCTGGGGAGACGCTGTATCGGGGATGGGAAAGAAAAGGTAATTTTGTTTGAATCTTCCAGGTTTAAATGGACAGCAAATAAAGTCTGGGGCTTGAGAGAGAGGCTAGAACTTAAGTAGATAGCAGGTGGGAGGGATCCAGAGGTAATGGTTTGGAGATCTGCCTCAGATCTGTTTTGGAGAATCCTGAGTAAATGTAGACTTTAATCCTTTTCCACATAGTCAGATATTACTTTTAGGATGTTGTGAACTCATTGCCTGGCTTGGTTTTTGCACTTGCATAGCCTGGTTAGAAAATAAATTCATGGCCGGGTGCGATGGCTCACGCCTGTAATCCCAGCACTTTGGGAGGCTGAGGCAGGCAGATCATGAGGTCAGGAGATCGAGACCATCCTGGCTGACACGGTGAAACCCCATCTCTACTAAAAATACGAAAAATTAGCTGGGTGTGGTGGCAGGCGCCTGTGGTCCCAGATACTCAGGAGGCTGAAGCAGGAGAATGGCGTGAACCTGGGAGGTGGAGGTTGCAGTGAGCTGAGATCATGCCACTGTACTCCAGCCTGGGTGACAGAGCGAGACTCCGTCTCGAAAAAAATAAAAATAAATAAATAAATAAATAAATAAATAAATTCACAGGCCAGGCGCACTGGCTCACGCCTATAATCCCAGCACTTTGGGAGGCTGAGGCTGGCAGATCACGAGGTCAGGAGATTGAGACCACCCTGGCTAACACGGTGAAACCCTGTCTCTACTAAAAATATTTAAAAATTAGCTGATTAGTCGGGCGTGGTGGCGGGCACCTGTAGTCTCAGCTACTCAGGATGCTGAGGCAGGCGAATGGCGTGAACCCAGGAGGTGGAGGTTGCAGTGAGCCGAGATGGCACCACTGCACTCCAGCCTGGGTGACAGACCGAGACTCCGTCTCAAAAAAAATAGAAAAAAGAAAATAAATTCACCTCCCTTGTATCAATATAGTCACCAACCACTTCCCGCTGGAGAACTCCTTCCCACTCTCCTGTGCATTTGTTTACTTTTTGAAAAGCTTTTTTTTTTTTTTTCATTTTCAATATTTCAAAGGCAGCTGTTGCCACAGTCTCTGGGAGCTTGTGAATCAGCAGAGGCCTGCAAGGAATGATGGATCTTTGTGAAGCCGGAGGAGGAGGGGATGAGGGCAAAGGGGCCAGGAGCCCTGGAGAGTGGATCAGGAAGGACAGGTCCAAGCAGAGTCAGAGAGGGGTGCAGGAGAGTTTTGGGGATACACAGACTGCTGACTCCTCCACCTCTTAAAATATACACATCTAACAACTTAAAACAAGAGGGGATCTTAGATGAGAGGTGTGTTACTCTGTTTTCACACTGCTGTAAAGATACTACCTGAGACTGGGTAATTTATAAACAAAAGAGGTTTAATTGACTCACAATTCCACATGGCTTGAGAGGCCTCAGGAAACTTACAATCATGGCAGAAGGCCATGGCACACTCTACATGGCCACAGGAGAGACAGAGCAAGAGGGGAGGTGCCACACTTTTAAACCATCAGATCTCGTAAGCACTCACTCACTATCACGAAAACAGCATGGGGAAATGGCCCCCATGATCCAATCACCTCCCACCAGGGCCCTCCCTTGACATGTGGTGATTACAACGCAAGATAAGATTTGGATGGGGACACAGAGTCAAACCATATGAAGAGGAAACTGGGTCATGGAGATAGATGCCCACTTTTCCAGAGTCAGGGATGAGGGTGGCATGGGAGCCAGTTCTCTGAACTCTTGCCCATTGCTCTCTTCCTCTCCCCCATCACCTTTCCTTCAGAATGAGATGTGAAATCAGCGGAACATTATAAGCAGATGAATCATGAGTCTGCTCTGTGTATCAATGTATCACACAGAATGTTCTGACAAGGCGAAGAGGTCAGGATGGGGGTGGCAGGTGGAGGACAGGAGGTGAGAGACCAGTGAGGGGGTTGTTGCAAAAACTGGATGAGAGCTAATAGTAGCTTGGACCAAAGTGGGAGCAGTGGAGGTGGTGAGAAGTGACTGGACTCAGGATATATTCTGAAGATAAAGCCTACACAATTTCCAGGTGGACTGGATGTGGCATATAAGAGAAAGGAAGAAGAGAAAGATGGTGCCCAGGGTTTGGTCCTGAGCACCTGGAAGAATGGACTTGCTTGGGCCGAGATGGGAAAGGCTGCAGAAGAAGTAGGTTTAGACAGAGGATGTCTCAGTCTGATCAGGCTTCTATAACAAAATTCCATAGGCTGGGAAGCTTGTCAACAACAGAAATTTCTTCCTCACAATCCTGGAGGCTGGGAAGTCCAAGATCAAAGTGTCATCAGATTCAGTGGATGACGGGGGCCTGCTTCCTGGTTCAGTTAGCACCTTATCCCTGTATCCTCGCCTGGTAGAAGGGGGTGAATGAACTCCCTTGAGGTTTCTTTTATAAGGGCATTAGTCCTATTCACGAGGCTCTACCCCTAAGTCCTATTCACCTCCCAAAGGCCCACCTTCTATACCGTCACCTTGGGAGTTCAAATTGCAACATATAAATTTGGGGGAGGGGAGTGCATAATCATTCAGATTGTAGCACAGGAATAAAGAGTTTCATTTTGAACAGATTAAGTCTTGATATGTCTGGACAGCTGAGTGCATGAGTTCTGAATCCAGGGGAATTTCAGGCCAGAGATACAAATGTGGGAGCTGTGCGCATAGAGATGTTTAAAGCCTTTATCTTGGAGAAGATCCCCCAGGAAGAGAGGATCAGATCTTCTCAGATGGGCTTCCTGTGTGGTCTTGGGACTAGCCCTCCACCTCTTGAACCTTTTGTTGAAGCAGCCTGGGCAACAAGAGCGAAACGCCATCTCAGGAAAAAAAAAAAAAAAAAGGAAAATACCAATGTTTTTAGGAAAAGACTGGGGAGGGCAGCTCTGGGCATTACATATTCCAATTTCCTATTGCAGAAAGCCAGTTTGGCTCTATACCCCTCCATCTACCTTCATCCCTGCCTATTTGGTCCAACCTTTTGCTTGTCAGTAAAAATATGGATTAAAGAACTTGATCTCCAATATCCTGTCCTGCTCCATTGTTCTAGAATAGAAGAGGGTCTTCAGGATTGACTGAGCCAGGTTGATAAAGTGGATGCTGCCCACAGATCAGTGTTTATCTGCATTAGGGTGAAGACCTGGATATACATGGATTATCACCAGGTTGACAGACCCTGATGCAGGTGGAGTGAGACATGGGATGCTCCCCGGTGCTTCAAGCTGCTTAACTGGAAGCATCAACAGCCAAGCCTTTGATTAGCTCCTGTTTTCTACAACAGGAAATCAGAACCATTAGACAAACCAGTCCAGCTGGGAATCTCAGCTGGCATTCCCCACAAGACCCACCACCTCTGTGATCAATCACATCACCAGGAAGGTCACTGGCAACCTGTTGATCAGCTGGTGGTGAAACCAAGTGCTGCACATGCAGCCAGGCCATGCTGCTTGGCATCCCGTTCCCTATTATCAAGAGCCCTGTAATTCTTACTTCTGCCCAGGGCCCTATAAAGGCAGTCATTTAATAATGATTTTACAGAACGACCCAAGCTCTGTGGGGGTAGGGTAAACTTCTGCTCTAATTACACAATAGCTCCAGCTGGTGCCTTAGAAATGGGGCCCTGAAAAATAGGAGAAAGTCTTTGTTTCCAGGTCAGGCAGGCTAGGCTGTTTGTGGAGAGAGAGAATAAAACGGGGACTAGAATAGACTGAAGAGGTATGTTGGGTTGGACTGAAAACTGCCTGGCACCCAAAAGGTCAAAGTCAGGAGGTTGCCTAACAGGTTGTACTGATGAGACCAACATGAAAACCTGTACATGTATCCCTCCAAGAGACAGTAGGTGTGATGGTTAGGAACACGAATTCTGGAGACACACTGCCTCGGTTGGAATCCTGGCTGTCTTTTTGTACCTGTGTCACCTAGGACAAGTGATTTAACTTCTCTGTGTTTAAAAGCTTCACATGAAAAACGGGTACAATAATGGCACCGATTCCATCAGATTGCTCTGAGGATTAAATGAGTTAATATACATAAAGTCCATAGACCAATACCTGGAGCACCATGAGTATTACACAAGGCTTGCTGTTCCTAAGGACTGAACCCTTAGCCAGATTCCAAATTTTGCCTACTATTTGAAAAATCGCCTGTGACACATCCGGACTCAGAACGCTCTCAGTACATGAGAGGAAGAACTCAGCTCATGGATTTCTTACCTCTAGTCTTGCTCTTTAATCAGATAAATCAACACTTATTGATTAGGTGGCTGCAGTGTGGGCAGCTCTGGGCCGGATGTACAGAACCTTAAAATCAAGATGTAGATCCAAGACACAAACATGTAACTTGCTGAACAGAAAGAGTGGCACCAAGTGACATTCAGGATAGTGATGGGAAAAGTGTCACAGGGCAGCACATGGTCAGTACCCAGATGCTCAGGCAGAGAGTGAGAGGTGCAGGAATTTGAACAGAGTATTAGCAGATGACCTACTAGGAAAACCCAAGAGAATCTACAAGAAGTTTTGGAGCTTGTAATTGTGGCCAGAATTCCAATGGGCTACACAATTAGCATGTGGCCGGGCGCCATGGCTCATGCCTGTAATCCCAGCAATTTAGGAGTCAGAGGCAGGCAGATCGCTTGAGTCCTGGAGTTCAAGACCAGCCTGGGCTATATGGTGAAACCCCATCTCTACAAAAAACACAAAAATTATCCGGACATGGTGGCACGTGCCTGTAGTCCCAGATACTCGGGAAGCTGAGACAGAAAGCCTGCCTGAACACAGGAAGCAGAGGTTGCAGTGAACAGAGATTGTGCCACTGCGCTCCAGCCTGGGCAACAGAGCCAGAACCTGTCTCAAAAAAAACAAAAGCAAAAAGAATGGTAGTTAAACCACAAACAGAAACAAATCCAATTTTAAACTGCAACATACAACATTTTGATATTATTATAGCAAGTCTTTGGGATCCATATGAATAAAACCATAAAAACAAAAAATCAAATAATAACATGCATAGCATGGGAGTTAATATTGACTTGATACCTATTTCCTTCCTCTCAATCTATAAAATGTGAAATTCCAGTAAATTATCATGAGGGAAATGGTCTATAGTGAATTTGAAAACTTAAGTCATAAAAAAATCCTTTTTAGAAAAGAAAAGAAATTATGGATTTAGCTATACCAGGTATTCTCACACACGGAATTGTAATAACTGAAGTGTCAGGCTGATTGGAAACAAAGCAAGAAAACTCAATAGAAAATTCAGAAAAAGACCTGCAGATATAAAACTTTGCAATGTGATAAAGGTTGCATTTCCATTATTTGGAGGAAGATGGATTATTCAATAAATGGTATTCAGATCATTTTGAAGGTGCTTAATGATCTAGATAAAAATATTAAATCTGATCCGTATCTCATTTGTACATCAAAATACACTCCGGATATGTTGGTAAATTAAGTGTAGAAAACATGTAAGTCCTGGAAGGAAATAAATGAATTTTACATAATATTGGGGGATTTGTAAACATAAATATGGAAGGCACAAAGAAAAAGTTTATTGGATATAAGAAACAATAATGGGAAACTTTTCTTTCGATATCTCTGAAATTTATTCATTTTTCAATTTCATAAACTTACTCTAAGGTACCATTTCTTGCCTGAATTCATTCATTCTTTCTTTCATTGAGTGGCTACTATATGACAGATATTGTTCCCGGTGCCAGAAATACAGTAGTTTTTAAAAAGAGCAAAACTCCTGGCCCTTATGAGGCTTGCCTTCTAGCAGGGCAGACAGAGTAGGAACAGGATAGATAAGTAACATACACAACATGTCAGATTGTGTTTGGGTTTATGAAGAACAATAAGGGAAGAGATGGAGATATAGTTTGCGGGGAGTACTTTGCAATTTTAAAAAGAGAGGTCAGGCTGGGCATGGTGGCTCAAACCTGTACTCCTGGCATTTTGGGAGGCAAAGGAAGGAGGATTTTTTGAGCCAAGGAGATTGAGATCAGCCTGGGCAACATAGTAAGACCCCATCTCTACAAATATTTTTGTAAAATTAGCCAGACATGGTAGCACACCTCTAGTACCGGCTAATCAGGTGGCCAAAGAGGGATGATTGCTTGAGGCCAGGAGTTCAACACCACCCTGGGCAATATAATGAGACCTCATCTCCACAAAACATAGGAACATTAGCTGGGCATGATGGTGCACACCTCTACTCTGGAGGCTGAGGTGGGAGGATCTCCTGAGCCCAGGAGGTCAAGGCTGCAGTGAGCTGTGATGATGCCACTGCATTGCAGCCTAGACAACAGAGACAGACCCTGCTTCTAAAAAAGTGGGGAAGGGTGTCAGGAAAGCTTCTATGAGAACTTGACATTTGAGCAAAGCATTATAGGAAGAGAGCAGGTGATTATGTGGATAATTTAGGCAAAATATTCCAGGCAAGGAAACAAGGAAAAGGCAAGAACAAAGCCCCTGTGGCAGTTGTGTGCCTGACAGTGGTTGAGGATCCTCAAGGAAGCTGGTGTGGCTGAAACTAAGCAAGTGAGGGAGAAGAGTAGCAAGAGATGAAGTCAGGAAGTATTGGGAGCTGATCATTTGGGCTCTTGTAATCTATTCAAGGAATGTTGGCGTACAACTTCTTCCAATGAGAGGCTGTAGAGCATGGTGGTAATCTGGTGAATGGATGAATGGGCAGATGGACGGGCAGATGGGGCGATAGGCAGGTGCATGAATGAGTGGATGGGTGGGTGAGTGAGTAGAAGGGTGAAGGGGTGGGTGGATGGTGGGTGGTGGATGGGTGGGTGGATGGGTAGATGGGTGAAAGGAAGAGTTAATAAAGTAGAGGCAACCAGAGGGAAAAACAAAATATGCAGTTGAATACATGGATCTGAAACTCAGATAAGGGAGAACAACTGGAAGTGACTTTTTGGGAGTCAGAGAGGCAGCAGTGGTCACTGGGGTCTCAGGCATAGACCAGCACCTACAGAAGGAAGACAGAGAGGGAAGAAAGGAGCATCTGGGGCCAGAGCTTAGGGGATCATGAGCCGGCCCTTTTCTAAACTCTTTGCATATTTTAAGTCTTCCCATTCTCAAAAAAAAAAAAAAAAAAAACCCTGAGGTAGATACTATTGCTATCACGTTTTTAGAGGTGGTATAACTGTGACACAAAGAAATTAAATGACTTGCTCAAGGTTCCACAGTGAGTAAGCGGAAGGGCCAGGGCTTGAACTCAGGCATTTATGATCTTCTCTTAATCACCATGATGAAATGATGGGACCAGTGAAAAAATACGACACAACCACACAATGGAGGGGCTGTGCAGCCCGTAAACATGATGCTGCAGAAATGTGTGCATTGATGTGAAAATTTTAAAACTGCACTGTGATTCAGTGATAAAAACCTGTGGATAGGTAGATTTATCTAATGCATGCATAGAGAAAGGACAGAAAACTACACCTGAATTTCCTAGAATAAATACACTACTTTAAAAAAATTTTAATAGAAAAAAATGCCCAGATAAAGATACCGATCACAGTATCCACATCTATACAATGATTGATCCAGCTGTGGCCCTCCCCTCTTACCCAGCCCCATGTGGCTTCCTTTGAAACTGCAGACTGGAGATGACAGTGGTGAATTCTAGTCCTACTCACTGGATATCAGCATTTCTGAAGAAAGTCGCCATATCAGAGTGCCTCCCTTCCTCCCTCCCTCCCTCCTTCTCTTCCTCCCTTCTTCTCTCCCTCCCTGTCTTCCTTCTTTCCTTCCAACTGACATTTATTGAACACATGCCGTATGCCAGGTACAGTGCTAGGCACCCAACAAATAAGGTCAAGAGGGTCCCTCCCTCACAGAGCAGATGGAGGACGTACAAGGCAGTAAATGAACAATATAGTGTCAGGAGGTGGTCCAAGTTATGAAAGAAATGGAGTGAGTAATGTCATAGAGAATGTGGTGTTGTCACAAGTAAGAGTCCCAGAAAACAGACTCTGAGGGCACTCATGAGCATGCAGGATGATTATTAAGGAGGGAAGAGGGAAATGGCCACTCTAGAATGTGACGTGATCTGATGTCACTCTCTCTGCTGCGTGGACAATGGATTTTATAAGGAAAGGAAACAGGGTGGTCCATCAGGAGAGGTTGCAATTATTAAGGTATAAGATGACGGTGGTACAACAGGCCACCTTCCAGGGACAAAGCCTAGTCAATACAAAGCACCTGCATGGAGAGCGTGGGTCCAAGCATCAGCCTCGGGGGTCCTGTTCCCAGTCAAGGTCACTGTTAAGCCCCATGTGCAAGCTCTGCAGCCAGTTGGCTAAGCACATCTGGGACAAGGTGGGGCAGGTCTAACCCTGGCATGAAAACACTTGAGTGTATAGACTTTGTGGCCTATTCGTATACAAGGACCTGGGCAAAGTTGATGAGGAAATGAAGTTTCTTCCTGACCTTCATTTAGGAAATAAGAGTCCATGAAGTGTAAGGAACAAAGGTCATCTACGTACCTGGCCACAAATATGTCGTCTCCCCAAAACACCCAGCTCATGTTTGCAGGTGCCTTCCTGCTTGACATTCAAAGCATTTTCATGTCCACAATCACCATTCTCTTTTTTTTTTTTTTTTAACAGTCTTGCTCTGTCACCCAGGCTGGAATGCAGTGGCACGATCATGGCTCATTGCAGGCTCGAACTCCTGGGCTCAAGTGATCCTCCCACCTCAGCCTCTTGAGTAGCTGGGACTAGAGACATGCACCATCACGTTTGGCTAATTTTTTCGTATTTTTGCTGAGAAGGGGTCTCACTGTGTTGCTCAGACTAGTCTCAAACTCCTGGCCTCAAGCGATCCTCCCACCTTAGCCTCCCAAAGCACTAGAATTATAGGCCTGTGCCACCACGCCCAACTCACCATTCTCTTCCAATAGGCTGTGTAATTTCCTCTCTGTGTTGTAGATGAAGAAATTCTGGCTGGGGGAGATCAGAGGAAAACAACAATTGAATTTCTCAGACATTCCCATGACTTGGTTCCGAGTACGGGCTGGGAAACCTGCCAGGGGCTATGAAATGCATCACGTTTGCCCCAAGGTCACAGAACAAATTGGTCATAGAGTCAAGACTTGAATGTGAGTTGCCCAATTCCAGGGCTCTATTTCGTGCCCGTTGGGGCCAGGGGGTGCAACTATACTCTGCCCCTGTGCGCTCTTCCGTGAGGCTCCTGTCACCACTGGAAGGAGGGCTGGACATAGGCTGACTATACGATTCACAGTTCCCAAACTAGACCCCCTTTGAGTATGAATGGGGAGGTACTATTAATAATTATTCTAGAACACAGGGACTGTCTCAGGTAAACTGGAACTTGTGGTCCCCTTAACTGGATGCCACATTTGCCCAGGACCTTACGTAAGACAGAGACAACTTCCATTGTCTGTGACAGAGAATGAAACCAATGGGCTGATGACCCAAGAGAGTAGAAACCTGGCCACCACATTGCCCAGCTCTGTGACCCAGGCAGCTTATTCACTTCCTTTGTGCCTCAGTGGCCTAATTTGTCAAGTGGTGATGACACTAATAATTCTACTTCCAGGTTTCTCTAAAGATGCAGTGAGATGATGGCTGGGGAGCTCCTCTATCTGCGCCTGGCAGGTTGTGAGCACCTTAAAAGGACTGGCTTTCATCGTCACTTCCAGGGATGACATGGCCGCGCCACTTCCAGCAATTCTGGACCTTGCCCTGTGGAGCCTGAACAAGCACTTTGTAGGATGCACTGCACGGATACCAAAGAGGAGCATCTATGTCCTCCTGGAAATTTGAGTCTGG
This sequence comes from Homo sapiens, assembly GCF_000001405.40. Classification (NCBI taxonomy): domain Eukaryota; kingdom Metazoa; phylum Chordata; class Mammalia; order Primates; family Hominidae; genus Homo; species Homo sapiens. Next base: position 48,106,955 of record NC_000020.11, on the reverse strand, counting down.
CTGGAGAGACAAAAGACGGGAATTCTCAATCAGGGAGAATTGAGCAGGGGAGTGAGAAGGGTTCGCTGCAGATGGGTGGAGAGCAATCAGCAAATTCCAGGACTAGAGGAGCACGGGTTGCATAAAGCTTCTATTGCTGCTGTCACAAATCACCACTAACTTTGTGGTTTAAACAACATCAAGGTATTACCTCATAATTCTGGGGTTCAGAAGTCTGAGATGGGCCTCACTGGGCTAAAATGGAAGGGTTAGCAGGGCTGCATTCCTTCCAGAGGCTCTAAGGAAGAATGTGTTTCCCTGCCTAGCTCAGCTTCTAGGAGCCACCCACATTCCTTGGCTCATGGCCCCCTCCCTCCATATGTCAGTCATGTCAGGACAAGTTCTTCTCATGGTGCCAGCTCTCTGGTGCTACCTCCCTTATCTATTTATAAGGACTCTCGTGATTACCTCGGTCCCACCCAGATAATCCACAATCATCTCCCTATTTTAAAGCTAGCTGATACACCACCTGAATTCCATCTACAACGTTACCTCCTGTTTGCCATGTAACCTGGAATATCCACAGGTTCCAAGGATACAGATGAGACCGTCTTGTGGGGCAGTTATTATTCTGTTTACCATGGAGGTCATTGAAACTGAATAGCCTCTTCCATCCTGCAGTGTGAACGCTGAGGCCCTGGAAGAGGCAAGGAATTGCCTGCGGTGCTATCGCTGGTCATTGATGGTGATTAGATCCCTGCCCCCCAACAAACCCTGTCTCCCAGGCCAGGGCTTTTCAGTTCCAGAAAATGTTGTGTAATATATTTTGCAGTTGAGGTATTTAGAGGGAGGTTCTCCATGAGAGGCAGTGTCATGACTGCTGTGGAAAGTACCTGGTGCGTTTTCTCAAGCTGCTCGGCCTGGAGTCTCTCCTTTTAGTAATAAAGGGTAAAATTAAACCCAGTGACTTTCTCTGTTGCTGGAAGTCACATCAAGTTCAGCAGGAATCGTTGCAGAAGCACCCTTCGCAAATCACAGATTCATTACTAAACATATTTCAAAATAAATGTCCGTTTTCCAGCCCTAGAATAGAAAATCAATACCACAGTCGTGCTCAGGCAGATGGCTGATTTAGGAGCTGACTTCGTCACATTCCCTCATCAAAAAGGTCACTCAGGAACCTCCATCATAAGCACACCCCCTCTCCAACACAAGCCGGAGAGGGATGAGAAGGCGGTAATTTATACATGTAATTATTCTCATGCGGTGAACAGATGGGAGATTTTCTCCAGGGAACATGGTGTACAACATCCCATTTCTCATGGGGGCAGTGTGGACAGTTCCAATTAGCCAACTTCCCTCGAACCGGCTCCCAGCAGAACTCAGAGGAGGGAAAGGAAAGAGAAAAATGATCAAGGCTTGCATTAGCTTCTGTCGTAGCGCGGTGCCTATTTGAAAGCTTAATGTTCTCGCCACAGTCAGAAGCAATGTTCTTGGGTTTTTAGAGTCAAAAAGAATCTGCAAATTGTGCTCATGTCAACTACAGTCCACAATGGCCTGGCCTGTCCTCTGCTAGGAGGCAATTGTGATGGGCCCTTGACAGGCTTCTCGACCTTGTAGTGGGAGCACAGGCATCAGTTCTGACCTTGAGGACTGTACGGTATAACTGGGAGAGATGAGTTATCTCCCTCCCAGTTAACAGGAGAACTTTCCATGAGCATTCAGTGACCACTTACTCAGGCTACCTGGGGCTTCCATGGGAGCACGGTGTAGAGGAGAGGGCAGGCAAGTGGAACAAACCCAGATTCACATTCCTGCTGAGTCTCATAGTTAACCATGACCTTGGCAAGTCAGTACTGCCCTCTGAGCCTCAATTTCCCTGACCTACCAAGATACTCTGTCTGCAGCACCATGGCAGGGTTTCGAGCTGAAATAGGTAAATCATTTCATTAGATTCTTTTCTTCTCTTCCTTTTTCACTTTAGTTTCTCAGAAGGGGACAGGCAGCCTATGCCCTAGGGATAAAGAGGGAAGGATGCAGTGGTGTGCAGTGTGAGTTGATCCTTAAAGAAAGGTGTGGCAGACACTGCTAGTTGCCCAGTATCCTCTTCTTTCTTCTAACCAAAGGACTCTGGCTTTGTTCGAGGTGGCAAAGTGCCCAGCTAAGGCATTCACTTTCCCAGCCTCCCTTGCAGCTAACAGTGGTCACATGGCCCAGTTCCAGCTAATAAGATGTAAATAGAAAGCTGCAGGAGGGTTCCTGAGAATGCCTTCCTACCCCAACTCCCTTCTCTCTCTTTCCTGCCTGGAGGTGAAGCAGCCATTTTAGAACTAGACAGCAGTGCACCTGTGGGTGAAAACCAGTGCACTGAGGATAAAGAGCACTAAGACAGAAAGTCCCAGGCCCCTGATACATCAATGACTGACACAGCACTGGCTCAGGACTGCTTGTCTCTGGGTTTCTTTATTTAAACCACCTTTGGTTGGATTTCCTGTTACTTGCAACTAAAATGATTCTAGACAGTGAACCATTATGATATGTAGGAATAGACCAGGCATTCTGCAGGAGGAATGGCTGAAGCAAGTGGAGGAAAGTAGAAAAGCACAAAGCATGTGCCGTGGCCAGGGCTGTTGGCTCCCCAGTATCCAGTTGGCACCAGATGAGACCAATCATGGCACCCTCACTGACCTTCCTGCCAGTGACTGGTCTAGGAAGGTGCATGTGACCCCATAGTGGCCAAGGAGACCCAATGCAGAGTCTTCTGGAAGATTCCAGAGAATATTTTCAGGCTTCTAAGAGGATAACCAAGAAAGACCAACCCCTCCTCTCTCCTCTCTCATACATTTCTCACATCTGGAACTGCCTGGAACTGTGATCAGCCATCTTGTCAACAGAAGTGTTGGCCTGTGGATGGAGCTGATGCCCCAAAGATCGCAGAACACAAAATGAGAAAGAACTAAGTTCTTTACTTATGTCTTTGAGCCCCTGGATTAACCAACCAGCAGCTACCTGAACTCCTAGGTGAGTAATACTAATCATCAAAGTCATGGTTGTTGAAGACACTTTGAGTTGGGTTAACTGTTACTTACAGCCAAGATCATCCTAATTCCATTTATTTGAGGGAGAAAAGCTTGATTGATCATCATCAGTTAACTAAGCAGATAGCATGTGTTTGTCTTAAGTTTGTGCATACACGGCTTCTTTTTAATCTCCCAGAGTAAATCACAAACACTTGCTTCAGGGCAAGAATCTATCTGTCTTTGATTAGATCTATATCATATTGGCAGGCAGCACAGCATGACGGTAAGAACATGAATTGTAAGCCAGACTGCTTAAGTTTGAATTTCAAGCACTGTGACCTTGAATGTATTGTTTCAACTCCCTTTACTTTGCTTATTTTAAAAAATAGAGATAATAATAGCATCTCCCTGGTGGGCGGGGTGGTTGTAAGGATGAAATGAGCAAGCCCACGTGACGAACAGTTCCTGGAATGTGGTAAGAACTGTGTAAGAGTTAGCTTCTGTCACACTGATACACAGGCAAACAGCATTGTCGATCCAGTATGTCCTCCCACTGTTATAGCAAAAATATTCCCATCTTGCAGATAAGGAAATGAGGCATAGAGCATTAAAGTTCTTTGTCAAAAGTTCACACAACTGGTAAGCAGAGAAGCTTGGATCTGAGCCCAGGCAGTAGGGCCCCAGGTCCCGATCTCTTAACCACTGTTCTATTCTAGATCTTTTGCATGGTGGTCAAATTGAATGAATCAGGCAGCTAACCGAGGGGGCTCATTAAGCTGGCTGGAATCCATCTTGCTTTGCTGGTCCATGAATACAGCTAAGTACCAGCGACAACGGTGTGTTCCTTCTTTGCCAGGCTCCTTGCCATCTCCCAGCTCCAGTCATTTCAAAGCACCATTATCATTTCTCTCTTGCAGTTTGGAGCCTCTGAATGGGTCAGCGGGCTTGCAGATACAGAGGGAGCTCCGCCAAAGCCCCACCATCTGGCACAGCCTGAGAGATCGCATATGCCATGGCCTTCTGTGTGAGGCATCCTTCGCAATGAGTCCAAATGAGGTCCTAAATGCTCCCGATCAAGGATCAAAGCGGGTGGTCCGCAAGGCCCCTGTCGAGAAGTGCCAGCTCCCCACAGCTAACAGTCCCCCAGGCCCTAGGCCTTCTTCAGCTCCTGGGCCAGCAGCCCAAAAGAGAATTAAGTGTGGTGGGCGGCAATCTTCTACTTGTTCAGCCTGAAACAGTGCCCTTCAGGTGGGAGGCATGAAAGAAACAACTGACATGAGAGCAGACCACAAGTGCAGGGCACCTACGTGGCAACTCACAGGGCCAGGCACTGCATGGGGTGCCAGGAGCACAAAGGTAAATAAAGCCTGGTTTGTGCCCTGAAGACACCCACAGTGTTGAGCGCAAGACAGGCAGTAAACAACTAAGATGAGCCAACATGTATTGATCGCTTCCCGTGTGCCAGACAAAGGATGAACAGATTGGTTGGGTCTCCACACCTACTCCATGAAATCGCTCCTATTATCATCTCCATTTTCCCCAGGAAACGGAGGCACACACAGAGAGGTTAAGTCACTTGCCCAAGGTCACACAGCTCATAAGCAGCTACAGCCAGGGAATGAAACCAGTCCTTCTGGTTCCAGAGTCCAGCCTCTTAAGCATCCACTCTGCTTCCTGCCTGTAGCACTCAGAAGAGGCATGGCATGTGCTTTAAGTAAGGACTAGGTGCAGGTGCCCTGGGAGCCGCAAGTGGAAAGCAATGATTCCTCCTCCCACTGGAGAGAGGATGCCCGGAGGGAACAGGGGCCATGAGAGGTGGGCAGATGTAGACTTTGCCAGATGATGATGATAATGATAAAAAATAATGGTAGCTGACGGCCGGACGCAGTGGCTCACGCCTATAATCCCAGCACTTTGGGAGGCTGAGGCGGGCAGATCACGAGGTCAGGAGATCAAGACCATCCTGGCTAACACGGTGAAACCCTGTCTCTACTAAAAATACAAAAGAAAATTAGGCGGGCGTGGTGGCAGGTGCCTGTAGTCCCAGCTACTCTGGGAGTAGCTACTCTGAGGCAGGAAAATGGCGTGAACCTGGGAGGCAGAGCTTGCAGTGAGCTGAGATCGCACCACTGCACTCCAGCCTGGGCGACAGAGCGAGACTCTGTCTCAAAAAAAACAATTAATAATAATAATAGTAGCTAACGTTGACCGTGTGTGCACTAAGTGCCAGCCACTCTTCTAAGTGACTCATCCGTGTTTTTCTGTTATTCCACTCAACACACTTAAGGGGGCTACCATCACCATCTTAATTTTATAGACAAGGCAACTGAGCCATAGAGAGATTTAGTGACTTGCCTAATCTCAGAAGAGACAGAGTCAGGATTTGAACCCACGGAGTCTGGCTTCAAAGCCAGACCACAGAGATGGGGAAGACAGTTTGGGCAGAGGAAGCTCCCTGGGCAAAGGAGAGTGTGTGGGGTGGTGCCTGAGCCTGGAGAGGGAGCATAGCCTAGGCATGGTGTGGTGCATGTGCTGTGGGCAAAGGGGCATCAGGGAAAGGGGGTTTAACAGGATCTTTCATTCAGCACAAAGGAGAAGGGGCCTCAGCCTGAAAGTGGTTGAGTGGTGTTGACGCTTTCTCCAAAGCAAGATCGTGTGTTTGATGGAAGGGCAGGAGACTGAGTCCTGATCCTGGCTCTGCAGCACCATGTGACCATGTCCATGAGACTCAGCTGTCTCTTCTGAGAAGTGGGCACATCACAGCCAGTAGTAAGATAAAAATTTCAGTACACAGAATAGCATAAAAGGAGGAGCGGTGCAGAGCATACAGTTGGTGTATATTTGGAGTACAAATGTGAAATGAGGGCACCAGAAGGAGAGGCTAGGGGGGCGAGCAGGCAGGCAGGGGAACCAATGAAAACTTTTACACAGGAAGAGTTTGTATAGGAGAGTGATGTGATCTGTAACAATCAGTCTGCTTCATTGCAAACAACAGAATCCACTCTGGCTTACGCAAAACAGAAATTCATTAAAGGGTAGTAGGTGGCACAGAGACTCTTCCAAAGGGCCAGCGCATAGATCAGGAAACACACAGCTAGGAGTTGCACCAAACCACGGGGCACTAGACACCAGAAAGTGCACCTGCCACCCCAGAACAACCAGATGCCTCCACTCCCTCGCTTTAAGAAAACCTCAGTTCTGTCTGTCTAAGCTGCCTCCATATTCCCTCCCAAATCATAGCCTCAAATGAGAGGATATGATTGGAGAAGCCAAAGTCACATGACTGCCCCCAGCAGCAAGGGAGTCTGGATGAATGTCTTCTGGTTTCTTTCCTGGAGAGGTAGAAACTGCACAATGGGAGACTATCTCAACACCAGGTGGACATTCAGAAGATGCTGGGTAGCTTCAGAATGTCTCAAATGTCCCTTACGTGGTTTTATTTGCATTTTAATTAGATTTCTCCAGCAGGATCCTGAAATTGGGATTTTAGGACAAGGCTGGAGACAGGGAGATCTGCAGCAGATGACAGCAAGAGAAATAGGAACCTGAATGAGGGCAATGGCTGCAGAGAAGGGGGTGGACGTTAGGAAATATTTGGGAGGCAAAAGTATCAGGGGACACAAGCGGAATCAAAAGGATCAGCAATATCTAAAGCATTGTACCCCTATTTACGCAAAACCAAACTCTAGGAAAGGATACAAACCATTGATAAGGTTGGCTTTCAGGGAGGGAAGTGGAAGTGAAGGGGAAACTGGGGCAAAGAGGGGCTTTCATTCATGGTTTTATTCACAGGACATTAATTTTATTGATCTTTGATTCCTTTGCAACAAGACTGTGTGCTTCTTTTTTTTTTAGACAGGATCTCTGGAAATGGGATTTTAGGACAAGACTGGAAACAAAGAGATCAGTAGCAGATGACAGCAAAAGAAACAGGGAACTGAATGAAGGCAGTGGCCGAGTGCAGTGGTGCAATCTCAGCTCACTGCAGCCTCCATCTCCCCGGGCTCAAGCAATCCTCCAGCCTCAGCCTTCTGGGTAGCTGGGACCACCAGCATGCACCACTATGCCTGGCTAATTTTTTGTATTTTTTGTAGAGTCAGGATTTTGCCATGTTTCCCAGGTCAGTCACGAACTCCTAGGCTCAAGTGATCTGCCCGCCTCAGCCTCCCAAAGTGCTGGGATTACAGGCGTGAGTCATCACACTCAGCCAAGACTGCTTCTTACTTGGCCTTCTTTAGCTGTTCTGCTCAGATGCTGCTTTTCAAGGAAATAAAAGCCATAGGAGCTTGGCTGGGATGGGCACCAAAATCTTTGAGGGGGCTGAGATCCGTGGTCTATTCACCTTTTAACCCCAGGATCCTGGCATAAGTGCTGACCCACCCCTGGCACTCAGTGATGGCTGATTGTGGATTGCCACATTGGCTTGAGTTACAGCTTCAAGACGGTCTGCTCCATTAGAGAAATAAGAAGGAAAGAAATGTTGTTCTGTGCCCCTGACCGTCCTTTTAGGCAAGGATGTTCTCCATATATTCACTCAGTGAGGTTTTATGACACCTCAATAAGCCAGCCAGGGATCTGGATGGGGTAGAGGCCACAGGACAGGCCTGTCCTCATTAGCTCTGACAACTACAGGGTTTATATTTTTCAAGCCACTGCAGGATTTAAGGCTCGGTGGTAAAACGGAAGTGCAGAAGGGGAGAGAGTTCCCAGCCTGGGAGGGAAGGGAGGGAGTTCTAAGCCTGGCTCGATTGTTTATCAGCAGTGGGACCTAGGCAAGTTGATTAAACATCCCTCCGTCTCAGTTTCATGCTTTGTAAAATGAAGAAGAAAATCATCACGCCTACCTTAGGGGTGAGGGTTAAAGGATATGACACATAGGAATGCCAAGAACCACTCCTAATGCGCAGTAAGCATGCTGTGTAGCTCTTAGGATCATAAGATTTTTCTTAGGAGATTGTGCAAAGCTGTTCCTGCCTCTGGGATTTTGCCCCTGCTGTTCCCTCACTGTGAAAGTCTTCCCATGCAGCTTCTTCTCCACTTGCAGATTTTAGCTCTGATGCCAGCTCCTCTGACCACTCAACATAAACTAGCCTTTCCCACCAGCGGGCCTGCTTGCTTTCTTCAGAGGACTCACCACTCTCAGAAAAATATCATCTTTTTTTGTTTGTTTGTTTTTAACTTATTGATTGTCTGTTTTCCCACACAGGAACTGTCAGCACCAGGAGGTAATGCTGTTGACCAGGTTGTTTCACCTCCTTATCCTCAGAGCAGGAACAGTGGCAGACAGGCTCACCTTGCCTACCTGCTGAATGGGTGGGCAGAGCTTAGACTCCATTCTTTCCCACCCTAGGTCCCAGGATTCTGTCTCCGTGTTTTGACTTCATTCTTCTGAAGGGCACTGGTGTATTTGAGGGGAATTCTCTGGATTCTTCCTCCAATCTGGAAGAGCTGGTCTATAAGTTAGGCTGCTGCTGCAAAGACCCAAAGCAACAGTGACCTCAACATAGGTGGTAGGGCAGCTCCACTCTACAATGGGGTCAGGCAGGCACCGGGCTCCCTCTGTCTTGTGGTTGCCGTCCCTAGGGTGTGCCCCTCTTCCACATGGCCCATGACAGCTCCCTGACATGTCTGGGTTCCAACCACATGAAAGGGAGAGCTGCCATCCTTGCCCTTTGAGGACTCCAGAAGGGAGTCACATTCACCACTTCTGCTCAGTCTCATTGGCCAGAGCCTGGTCACATGGCCACACCCAGCCCTGAGAAGGCTGGGAAATGTAGTCTTCACTCTGTGCAGCTGTACACCCAGCTAGAATTCAGGAGTGCTATTATTATGAGAAAAGTGAATAATGGAAGACATTCCTAGTTTCCAACCCATCTACCCTCACCTTCTTCCTTGGGCCCTGTAAAATGGATGTGCTTGTGAGAAGAAAGAGGAGATAGTGAATGAGCCCAGGAGAGGGTCCTGAGGAATCCGTTCCCACTTTGAAGTTGTGGGAGGGTTTGAGCTGCCTCCTTGTATCTTTCCTCTGCCCCCTCTTGCTCTCACCCACTCTAGTCGTGCTTAAGGATTGTATCTGAGTTTCTCCTGCTGATGGGGTCAAAGTACAATTGGTCTCCCCATCAAGCTGCTGATGCCCTGGTGTCCCTCAGTCGTGGCTGCCTGGTCTTGCTTTTCATGCCCAGTGCACAGAGAGGCTGGCTTTGTCTGGCTCAGAAATGCACTGGGCCAGGTGTTTCACACTCAGTCCCACTGGGTCACACCACTTGGCATGGACCCTGAGAAGCTCTCAGCTGCCAGTACTGGCAGCTCTGCCAAATGCCAGCCTCCTGGCCAGAGAGAGAGGACAGTGCCACCACTCAGTCTCCTTCGGGCAGCAAGTGGGCTGCTTGTCAGTGAGGGTGTGGGCATGCGGTCATCTCACTAGGGTGTCCGAGGATAGCCTCTCCGGGCAATGCCAGGTCTGCAGAAGGATCAGGCCAAAGGTGCCCTGTGGCCCGTCATTCCTTGGAAGCTACAGAGAACAGGTTTTCTACTGTCTGTTGGCTTCTGCCTCATTCTTATGTCTGAGCCCAGGAACCTGGTGCTGCCTTGTCCAGTGGGTCTTATGGGGAAGGAGCACTGGCATGGCCTTCCAGGTTTTGTCTGCCTCGCATGCATTCTGCAGCTTATGGTAGCAGCAGTTGTCTTCCCTCTGGAGAACCACCTCTTCTCCCTGTAGTTAGTGTGGGGCTGACCCCACCCTTGGCTCCAGGAGTGGACATGTGACCTCAGCCTGGCCAATCAGAGTTATCCATTCTGCTGGGCAAAGTTTTGAATGGAAGATGGTCACATGACCATGCCCGGCCAATGAGGGAGGTTAGCCAGCACTCAGCGCTCTGAGGATCTGGTCTCGCTTCCTTTTTTTTTCCTTTTTCTTTTTTTTTTTTGGAGACAGTTTCACTTGTTGCCCAGGGTGGAGTGCAGTGGCATGATCTTGGCTCACTGCAACCTCCACCTCACAGGTTCAAGTGATTCTCCTGCCACAGCCTCCCAAGTAGCTGGGGTTACAGGCACCCACCACTGCACCTGGCTCATTTTTTTGTGTGTTTTTAGTAGAGATGGGATTTCACCATGTTGGCCAGGCTGGTCTCTACCTCCTGACCTCAGGTCATCTGCCCGCCTCGGCCTCCCAGGGCTCTCTTTCATACTTCTGAAATTGCTGGGCTGTAAGATGTAGCCTGGAGCTTCTTGTGACCGTCTCTGCCATCATGAGGGGAAAACCTGCCTACAAATTAAGCGAAAACAGTGGAAGAAAAGCAGAGGGATGGAATGAGAGGCAGATTCCTGAATGCAGCTGTGCCCAAAGCCTGTGTTATCCCTTGATGACTCAGTCACATGAGCCAATGAATTCCTTTTTGGCTTGCAGCAATTTGAGGTAGGTTTCTGTCTCCCGAAACGAAAAGATTTCTTGCCTATGGTCTTCTTCCTGAATCCACAGAGCAGGCCTCGATGGACAAGGCCTCGGCCCACGCCAGGCACTGGGAGGGAGGCTGGGCTTCCTATCACTATGGAAGTGTCCTGCCAGCCCTAGGTTCAACCTGGCTGGGTCTCGAGCCCCTGCCTGTGAGGCCTCACCTGCCCTTTCAACAGGGCTTCGCCCGCAGCCCTGGCCCAGCTTCCTTTCCCTCAGCCCTGGTCAGCCCCTTCTGGCTGTGTTTCTCACTCTCTTTTCTCCCTTTTCCTCAGCTTTGTCTTTTTGAAGCTGAGACCCCTTTAGCCAACCCCTGAAATAATCCCATAGTTGCCAAAGACCACTATTGTGTTAATAATAGTTAATAAAATAAAATATTATTTTATATTGTGGTAAAACAATACACTTAAAAATTAACCATTTTAACAATTTTTTTTTTAAGGTGGAGTCTCGCTCTGTAGCCCAGACTGGAGTGCAATGGTGCGATCTCAGCTCACTGCAACCACCCCCTCCCGGGTTCAAGCGATTCTCCTGCCTCAGCCTCCTGAGTAGCTGGGATTACAGGCACACGCCACCACGCCCAGCTAATTTTTGTATTTTTAGTAGAGACAGGGTTTCACCACGTTGGTCAGGCTGGTCTCGAACTCTTGACCTCGTGATCCACCCTCCTCGGCCTCTCAAAGTGCTGGGATTACAGGTGTGAGCCACCGCACCCAGCCCATTTCCACAATTTTTAAGTGGACAGTTTGGTGGCATTAAGCACATTCCCATTGTTGTGCAACCACCACCACTCATGCACAGAATCCTTTTCATCTTGCAAAATTGCAACTCCGTACTCATTAAACACTAACTCCCCATTCTCCCTTCTCCCCACCCCTGGCAACCACCCTCTCCTTCCTGTCTCTATGAATTTTCCTATCCAGGTACTACGTATGTGTGGAATCATCAGCACAGCTGGTCCCAACTCACAGGATTTTTCAACTTTACAATGGTGTGAAAGTGACACGTATGCAGCAGAACCCCACTTCGAGTTCCCATACAACCATTCTGTTTTTCACTTTCAGTACAATATTCAATAAATCACATAAGATAGTCAACATTTTATTATAAAATAGACTTTGTGTTAGATGATTTTACCCAAAATTAGGCTAATGTAAGTGTTCCGAATAAGGTAGGCTGGGCTAAGCTATGATGTTCTGCAACTTAGGTGTATCAAATGCGTTTTTGGCCTATGACATTTTCAATGTATGATGGGTTTACCAGGACGTAAATCCATTGTAAGTTGAGGAGCGTCTACATTTGTTCCTTCATAACTGATTTCTTTTCTTTAGCATTATGTCATCAAGGCTCATCCATGTCATAGCATGGGTCAGAATTTCCTCTTTTTTTGAGACTGAATAATGGTTCATTGTACGTATATACCACATTTTCTGTATTCGTTTGTCATGAGTGGCACAAGGTCAGACATAACCAGGTCAATGCACGTTTGTATCTTTCCACAAGGTCAGACTTTTATTGATCCTATTTCAACCATAAAAGCCAGAAATTACATGGAGTTTCCAAGGAGACAATTCTTCTTAGTACCCCAACCCTCCGTTCACTTGGTCATCAAAGCCATGGGCACACACATTCAAGACGATCCGCAAATCAGTGAATATTACAAGCCATACATAGTAGTATACTTAATATATAAATGCTATAGGTTAAATATTCCACATCAAACAAAATAACATTTGACATCAAGAGAAAAGGGGATAGGAAAAATGGTTAACAAACCAGTCCAAGGAGAGTGACGTGGACAAGAAGAGTGTCCTGGCCTGATCTGGATGGGTATCAACATCTTGCAAAGAATAGTCTTTGATTTGGGCAGTCCTTCAGTGGCAGATCCTGGATGCTGATCACAAGGGACAGGAAGGCAGTGCCTATTAAGATGGCTATCTTAAGCTGGCGAAGCCCTGCTCTTTTTATAGCTCCAGGGTCCCCTGGTGATGATAGTAAAAGGGCATGTCCGGTTATGTTCTTATCTGATTGGGGGCTGTCTCTATTTATTAGGCAAATATCTGGTCCCTGTTGACATGACACTATTTGAAGTATAAGATGAAGTCTTTTCCTAACATGGAGTCACTTATGTCAAGGGCGCTGTCTACCTGGTTCATCTTTCAATAGACTCTTGTGTTACTTATACCTTTTGTATATTGTAAATAATACTGTTTTGAACATAGGTGTACAAATCTCTCTTCAGGTCCCTGCTTTCAGTAATTTTGGGTACATACCCAGAAGTGGAATTCCTGGATCGTATGGTAATTCCATTTTTAATGTTTAGAGGATCTGCTATAGTGTTGTCCATTGCAGCTGCACCTTTTTACATCCTCACCAACAGGGCACCGGGTTCCAACTTCTCCTCATTGTCACCAACACTTATTATTTTCTGTTTTCTTGTTTCTTCCTTTTTTTTTTATTTATTATAGGAATCCTAATGGTTGTGAGGTGGTATCTCACTGTAGTTTTGATTTGCTTTTCTCTAATGGTTAGTGATGTTGAGCATCTTTTCTTGTATTTTATGGCCATTGGCACATCTTCACTGGAGAAATGTCTATTCATATCTTAGAGCCTTCTTTATTCATTTTATTCATTCTTTAGTTTATTCATCCATCAGTATTTCTCGAGCGCCTATGATGTGTCAGGTATTGCTCTATGTGCTACGCTACAACAATGACAAGACAAAACAAACAAACAAAAAACAACCAACCAAACAAAAAACAACCAAACAAAAAAGAGCTGCCAACCTTAATCTATTTATAACATAATTCTTGCCTTGGAGAGCTTGTCACGAGAACGAAATAAAGTGATGTCTGTAAACCTCCAGCAGAGGATGGGGCCTCAGTCAGCTCCTCCCTGCATCTCCTCCCCTCTCTTCCAGGATGTCCACACTCTCCCTCTGCTCTTCCTCCATCCCCTCTGCCACCTTCTCTCCCCACCTTTTCCTGGATTTTTCCTTTATTATGTGAATTTCAGTAGCTGGTGCATCTCAGAGCCAGGGCCACCATGCCTCCAGGGTCCTGGTGGGGGATTTCCGCCCCTGCTTCAGCTTTTCTTCTGAAATATCAGAACACATTTTCAAAACACCAAATGTTCATTGTTAACCCTTCCATGGAACCACTGTATGTCAAAGCCCAGATGGAACCTCTATGAAGAAAGCTGCCATTTTACAGTAACAGCCTTTGTCTGACACACGTATTAGGAATCATTGATATGGATAGGAAGCAAGAGATATGTTGAGGCTGGAAACAGAAGAGAACTCAAATATCTGCAAGGAAGATGGATGCAACGTGTGAATGGGAGCAATGGAGCATTGACCCTGAGTCATGAACAACTGGCTGAAATACAGGCGACCATCCATCAACTTCTGGAAACTTCTTCCAGTGGAGTGGGTCTCTCAGCAGTGGCCAAACAAGTCTTCTTGTGTCCTTAGGAAGAGGTGAATGGGGACCTGATAAATGGCTCCTTCTTCTCCAAGCTTCCCTTTGGGGCTCATTTCCATGTGTCCAGTGAGTGGACGGGCCTCAGAGGCTGCCAGGTTTCCCCTTTCTCTGGAGGGGTGCATTCCACACTGTCTGCTACTCCTGGACAGAGAAATTCGAGACGGGAGGGAAAACATGTGAGGCTGCCAGCCCTGGCCTCCTCCTCCATCAGGAGCTCCTCAGGCCCCTGTGTCCCAGCGCCAAGCAGCCCACACAGATGGGTTCTGTTCGCTTCTCTCCGGGCTCACAGGCCCCGGATATTGGATTCATCACCAGCTTTGATGGATGGTGATGGGAGCTGGGACTCTGCCAGCCGCAGATGACTTGGAGGTGTTCAGATGACAGACGACTCTGGGCCTGGGACAGGGCAGGCATGAGCCTCACAGTGCACCTTTCTACTGGAACAGAAGCATCCACAACGGTCCGAGCACAGCAGAAAAATGCATCCCTCTGTGAGGATGTCAGTGAGGGACTGTGGCTTCAGCATGTCCCCATCATACTTCTCTCCATGGCCACCTCCCAGCCTCCTTCTAACAACCTTGCTCCCCACCTGTCCCCCCACCCCCAATTCCCAATTTCCAGGGGCCCCGGCCTTTGTCCCTCCTCCTGGGCTGCCCATCCTTGGTATGAAAGTTTCCTGCCTTCTGCCCCATTGAAACTTCTCTGTTTTCTTACATCTTGTCAAAAAGACAGATGCTATCTCCTTAGAGCTTAACTAAACTGGTAAGCGAAGGTGCACCAAGTATTGAAAGATGCATGGCTGTGCAGTTGAGTAACTGGAATTCCTGTTCAGACATCATCCCTAATTAGCATGGAAGATTAGGAAGCCATTGTTTCCTAGGATGATAAGACATTGTTTGCACCCTACTGAGCATCTCTCATTGGCTTAACCAAAAGGATGGAAAGGAAGCCGAGAAGGAAACAAGAAAGATGGGAGCTTCATCAGTATATGGTCCACTGTCATTTTTTTTTTTTTTTTTTTTGAGACAGAGTGCTGGAGTAAAATGGTGCGATCTTGGCTCACTACAACCTCCGCCTCCGAGGTTCAAGCGATTCTTCTGCCTCAGCCTCCTGAGTAGCTGGGACTACAGGCACATGCCACCATGCCTGGCTAATTTTTGTATTTTTAATAGAGATAGGGTTTCATCACACTGGCCAGGCTGGTCTCAAACTCCTGACCTTGTGATCCTCCCTCCTCAGGCTCCCAAAGTGCTGGGAATACAGGTGTGTACCACCGCATCTGGCTGGCCCACTGTCATTTAATGCTTTCTATGGGATGTTCTGTGCTGGTGGTTGCAAAAGCATTTTGTAATTTGGTGGGACACAATCTCTGGGGAAGTGATGTTCTCTGGCTTGTCAGTGGAACAATTCTGTTTATTTTCTTTTCTTTTTGAGACAGGGTCTTGCTCTGTCACCCAGGCTGGAGTACAGAGGCATGATCTCGTCTCACTGCATGTAAGAAAACAGAGAAGAAAACAGATGTAAGAAAACAGAGAAGTTTCAATGGGGCAGTTTAGACCGCCCAGGTTTAAGCCATCCTCCCACCTCCAGACCAAGTAGCTGGAACCACAGGCTTGCACCACCACACCCAGCTACTTTTTTGTATTTTTTGTAGAGATGGGGTTTCTCCATGTTACCCAGGCTGGTCCTGAACTCCTGGACTCAAGCAATCCTCCCGCCTCAGCTTCCCAAAATGCCTGGATTACAGGCATGAGCCACCACACCTGGCCCAATTGTATTTCTGACACTAAATTCTGATGGTAGGAGGCAGAGTTTTAGCAAATCTCCAAATTCAGGTACCCACTTGAAGCTGGGAAATCCAGACCCCACCAGAATAATTGCAGCTGCTGTGTATTGAACATGTGCCATGGGCCAGGTCCTATGTCAGGCACGAGGTGCTCTAATATACATGTCCCACTGACCCTCATTATAACACTGCTGGGATTCAGATTTATCAGCCCATTTTTCAGATGAGAAACTTGAGGTTCGAGGGCTTGCCAAAGGCTGCACTGCAGGAAAGCGGCCTGGGCGGGTTGGAGCCTCACTGGACTCACATGACCCCAGGGTCTGTGTTCTCTCTGTGGCCCACGCTCCTTCCTGCTTTGTGCTGGACTCTCCGTGTAGTGAGAATGTGTGTTCCAAGTAAGCCCAGCTCGAGGCTTTGCTGTGTTTGTAAAGGGATTTTCTCTAAGGCTTACAGAGAACTATATTTTCTTAGAGGCCAGAATTGCCATATCTCCTGATGTATCATTTGACCACTCACATGCTCCATCTTCATCCCTCCTTGCCTTTCCGCCTTGTCCTCTTCTCTCCTGACTACCCAAATAAAAATATCCTTTATTACAAGAAGCAAAATCTCCAACCCAAAATGATTTAGAAACCTATGAAGAGAATTGCTGACTTTTGTCATTGAAAGCTGCAGCAGTAGGGCTAGCTTCAGGTGTAGCTTGATCAAGTTGTTCAATTGATGCCATCAGAATCTGGCATCTCTGTCTTAGCTCAGACAGACTTTCCTTTTGTGGCTGTAGCATTTTTCATCTCTTCTTAGGTTCAAGGCCTCTGGAAAAGAGTGATTATCTTTGTGCCAGCATTCATTTATTGATTCGTTGATTCAGCAGATATCTAGGGAGTGCTGCTTTGTTCCAGAATTTTTCTAGGTGCTGGGCATACAGGAGGCAAAACAGACAAAAATCCCTGCCCTCCTGGAGCTTTTGGTTCAGTTGGGGGGACTAACAATAAATGAATTGACAAACAAATATATCAAAGATGTTGTATTTGGTTGGTGAAAAGTAACTGCTGTTTTGCCATTGCTTTTAATGGCAAAAACCACAATTACTTTTGCACCAATCTAATATTTGTCTGTTTTCACACTGCTATAAAGAACTGCCCGAGGCTGGGTAATTTATAAAGAAAAGAGGCTTAATTGACTCACAGTTCAGTCTGGCTGAGGAAGCCTCAGGAAACTCACAATTATGGGGGAAGGGGAAGCAGACACCTTCTTCACAAGGCGGCAGGAGACAGTGTGAGCACGAGGAGTGAAGGGGGAAAAGCCCCTTATAAAACCATCAGCTCTCATGGGAACTGACTATCACAAGAACAGCATGAAGGAAACCGCCCCCATGATCCAATCACCTCCCGCCTGATTCTTTCCATGACACGTGGGGATTATGGGGATTACAATTCAAGATGAGATTTGAGTGGTGACACGGAGCCAAAGCATATCATATGTGATGTGCAGCAAAGAAAATTAATGCAAGGCAAAGATAAAGAAGGCAGAGGTGGCTATTTTAGAGTGATCTGGAAAGGCCTCTCAACAAGGTCGATTTTCAGAAGAGACCTACGTGAGATGAGCCCTGTGGATGCTGACGAGAAGAACATTTCAGGCAGGGGACCAGCACCTGTGAAGCCATAGAGGAGAGACCATGCTTGGCTCATAAGCCTGGAGGTGGGTGTGGCTGGGGTAGGAGGCCAAAGGGGAGGGTGCCAGGAGGGTGGAGAATTGGGCAGGAGGTCGACCTACATCGCAGACTCTGTAGGAGTCTGGTGTTTATTCTAGGTGTTGAGTGAGTAGCCAATGGAGGAGAAGAGCAAGTGAGAAACTCTCCTCTACACCTAAAGGGCCCTCTGGCAGCAGCGAGTACCCTGGCTCTTACCAGCTACATGGTCATTTCTGGCTCCACTCAGGACGTGAGACCCTGGTGGGTCTGAGCTGAACAGTGGGCAGAAGGGGTTCTCAGGAGAAACATCCATTACTGCCAGCAAATTGCAGGGCTCTGCTCCAGCAGCCCTGGTGTCCACTCTGGGGTCTCACCTCCATGGCCCTTCTTGAGGCTCCTCTCTTCCTTCATGTGGACCCAGCAGGTTCACACAGATGGGGCCACCACAGGCGACATAAGGCAGCCATGGCCTCTGTTCACACAACTATGTCTTCTTGTCATCTCTGCTAGATCAGGAATTGGCCAACCATCTCCTCAGGCTAAATCCAGCCCACTCAGCCCGTTTTTGTCCTGCCCCTGAACTAACAATGGTTTTTACAACACACACACACACACAAGAATATATGGCAGAGACAACACGTGGCCCTCAAAACCTAAAATATTGTCCGGGTGCAGTGGCTCACGCCTGTAATCCCAGCACTTTGGGAGGCCGAGGTGGACAGATCATGAGGTCAGGAGATTGAGACCACCCTGGCTAACACAGTGAAACCCTGTCTGTAATAAAAATACAAAAAAATTAGCCGGGTGTGGTGGCAGGTGCCTGTAGTCCCAGCTACTCGGGAGGCTGAGGCAGAAGAATGGCGAGAACCTGGGAGGCAGAGCTTGCAGTGAGCCAGGATCATGCCATTGCACTCCAGCCTGGGCGACAGAGTGAGATTCTGTCAAAAAAAAAAAAAAAAACAATTAAAATATTCACTATCCGGCCCTTTATAGAAAAAGCTTGCCAACCCCTGCCCTAGATTACAAACTATTTGGGGAGGACCCTTTTTTCTGCCCATCTTTGTGTCACCGACAGAATTGGTTCCAATGGCAACATCTGATTGTATCATGATACGATCAGCCTTCTGTGATCATCAGTAAATACATAGTATTTCAGAGAGTGCAGAAAGAATCCAGTTTTGCCAACAAGTCTTTTGTACAAAGGAGCCATAATAAATGGTTGGCCTTGAGACTTAGGTTGGACATCTGCCACTTGTCCCTTCTATTCCTCTGGATCACGGCACCCCCAATCCCAGCATCCATTCTACTTCTCTGGATCAGAACACCCTCCAACCCCTTTTTTGTTGAGCAATACCCACTACTCTCAGCATTTGAGTTTCCTGGGGCATCAGCCGAGGTTCCAAAAGGGAGTCGTAGACCCACCCTGGGCCAGTGAGCTGAAATTCTGATTTCTATTGAAACTCTTAGCCAGGGGATGTCTCTTTTAATTGACTTTGGAAGTGAAAGGAGCTCAGCCTGGGCAGCCTCGGGCCACAAGGTCCCCCCTGTGGAGTAGGACCACCTGAAGGTGAGCCCAAACAGGAAGGCAGGGCTGAGAGATGGAGGAGGGAGACAATCTAGTAATGTCATCGGACCTCACAAGTGTGTCCTTGCCATCCAAACTTCTCTTCCTGGCTGTAGGACCCTAGTAGAATGATGATCAAATCTATTGACTAAATCAGACCACTTTTGAGAATAAATGGGGGTGTTCCTCATTATTTTTGGACAGCATTATGTTGGGATTGTCCCAGGGAAGACAGGAGGGATGGTCAGCCTAGACCTGGGTAGGTTACTTTAGGTCCCTTTATCACATATTCTTCATCCAAAGAAGACCAATCTCCAAAGGGATGTGGTGAGGATTAAATTAATGGACACAAGATCTTAGAAGACTGCCAGGCATTTAATAACTACGGAATTGTGTTCGCCATTGTTGTTAATATTGTCTTTATTATTGTTTGCCCCCATTTAAATCTCCTCTCATGTTTAGAAAATTTTCCATCTTATAATTTCATGCCTTTCTACATGAAAAATTAGTGTTCAATAAGGCATTTTATACTTAATGAGTTAGATTGATTTTTCCTGCTTGTAACTAAGACTCATAATGGATAAAACCCCCAGATGCAAACATGCCTGCAATCGTCTTCCGGACTTTTTAGTTAAATAAACCAATCCTCCACTTCCATCTTCTCTTATCTTTGAATGCAGTTTAATTTAGATTCCTGCTACTTACAGCCGAAGCTTACTAATGAATACACACACATGCTCTCAAAACTGGGCAGGCAGGAAAGGTGCTTGGAATAGAAAAAAAACACACACACACACACATCATTCTTGTGGCCAGGCATGGTGGCTCAAGCCTGTAATCTCAGCACTTTGGGAAGCCAAGGCGGGCAGATAACTTGAGGTCAGGAGTTCGAGACCAGCCTGGCCAACACAGTGAAATCCTGTCTCTACTAAAAATACAAAAATTAGCTGTGTGTAGTGGCGTGCACCTGTAGTCTCAGCTACTTGGGAGGCTGAGGCAGGAGAATCTCTTGAACCCAGGAAGTGGAGGTTGCAGTGAACTGAGATCGCGCCACTACACTCCAGCCTAGGCAATAGAGCCAGACTCCACCTCAAAATAAAACAACATGGCATTATTCTTGCACAAAACTTTAAACTGCAGTTCCTTAAACACCCCTCTCTTCATTATGTAATATTTCCACCCTCACTCACCAGCCATTTAAACAGAGTCCCTGGCTACCTAAAAACAAAGTTAAACATAGGCAACAGGTATTTCGTATCTTATTACCTGTATTTCTTTCCCGATTGCTGGTTGAGAAAATGTGAATAAAGACTCTGGTCTGTTGCTGTTTCCTTTGGGAGGGCTCTATGAATACATTGAATCTTTGCGTGTGCTTTGAACAGTGATTGTCTTTGCAAAAGCCTATCTTCCTTCTCACCTTGGACTTGCAGTTGCCCAATATCTAGAGTGCTTTGTGAATATATAAAGGGAAAAGAAAATATAGTAATTCAAAATGTCATGTAACCCACCAGCGCCTCCCACTCTCTAGAAAACACACAGTCCCAAGAAAAAGAGGTTCTCAGAATTCAGACCTTTGTGAAAACCCCCTAAGATTTATCCTCTTACCAACATCCCCAAATAATTTATTTGGATATGATTGAGGGTTTCAACCCAAGAGAAAAAAAATATAAACATCTCTGGAAATAGAATTCTCATTCATGCTCAAAGTTTACATTCTAACATTATTTCCATATGCCCTGTCAGAACTAGGAGGAGGAAGAGGAAGAAAAATGAGGCTTTAAAATCAGGCTTGCTTGTACTGTATTTTTATAGGCAGGAACAGTGTTTGATGCCACCTTTGAAGTGAGGTCTGCTGGCCTGTCCTTCTGCAGAAATCCAGGCCATGCCTAGGTGAGATTGGGGCCAGCGGGGTTGTCCTTTAAAAAAATAAATAAATAAAGGGAAATCCAACTAATACTTTCAGAGAGATCAGTTTTGTGTGAGTGTGACCTTAAATGTTATTTAAAAAATTATTATACAATAAAACTGACCTTTGTGTGGTGTGCAGTTCTATGAATTTTAATGTGTGTATAGGTTTGTGTAACCACCACCATGATCAGGATACAGAACAGCTCTATCCTCCCCAGAGAAAAACAAAACAAAAAAAACGCCTTATGCTAGCTTCTCCAAGTCACCCCATCCCCTTCCCCATATAATCTCACACCCTTCTTGTATTGTATGGTTTCTTTCTCCTTGAGAAAGTCATATAAATGGAAATGTACAGTATGTAATATTGAGACTGTTTTCTTTCATTCAACATAATGCCTTTGAGAATCAAAGGAGTTGCTGTGTTTATCAATAGTTCATTGCTTTGTATTGCTGAGTGGCATGACTCAAAAAGTATCTGAAACAGATCTCAATCAATTTAGAAAGTTTATTTTGTCAAGGTTAAGGACGTGCCCATGACATAGCCTCAGGAGGTCCTGATGACACATGCCCAAGGTTGTCGGGGCATAGCTTGGTTTTATAAATTTTAGGGAGACATGAGACATCAATTAATATATGTAAGATATACATTGGTTCTGTCCGGAAAGGTGGGACAACTCGAAGCGGGGAGGGGGCTTCCAGGTCATAGGTAGATAAGAGACAATCGGTTGCATTCTCTTGAGTCTCTGATTAGCCTTTTACTGAAAATGCAGTTCACGCGTGAGAGGAGGGTAGAGGAATAGTCACTTATGCCTTAGTCTGGCTTAGTGAAACAACAGGGCAGAGGAAACAATCAGATATGCATTTATCTTAGTGAGCAGAGGGATGACTGAGTTCTGTCTGTCCTTTGTCCACAAGGAATTTCCTTGTGGGTAAATTGTGAGGGAGGTGGGCAACTTTTTTTTTTTTTTAATCTTTGTAGCAATCGTATTGAGAGAAGAGAGACAGACCCTCTCATATTGTTTTATATTGTTTTATACTCAGAAAAGGAAAGAAAAGCGAAACAAAAGGCAGGTAGCCCAGCTCCTAAGAGCCAGACCCAAAACCAAAGAACCAGACCCGAAACTAGGCCTGGGCCTGCCTGACTTAAGCCTGGTAGTAAATTCCACCCTTGACCTAGCAACCGATGTTATCTATAGATTCCAGACATTGTATAGAAGGACATTGTAAAACCTCCCATCCTGTTCTGTTTCGTTCTGATTACCAGTGCATGCAGCCCCCAGTCACGTACCCCCTGCTTGCTCAATCGATCACGACCCTCTCACGTGGAGCCCCTTAGAGTTGTGAGCCCTTAAAAGGGACAGGAATTGCTCACTCAGGGAGCTCAGCTCTTGAGACAGGAGTCTTGCTGATGCTCCCAGCCAAATAAACCCCTTCCTTCTTTAACTCAGTATCTGAGGATTTTCGTCTGCAGCTCATCCTGCTACAGTATTTAGGAACAAAATGGGAGGCAAGTTTGCCCAATGCAGGTCCCAGCTTGACTTTTCACCGTGGCTTAGTGATTTCGGGGTCCCCAGATTGATTTTCCTTTCACAGTGGTCTCGCACCAGCTGTTTTTACCCCAGCACCTGATAAAGGCCATTTGGGTTCCCTCCATGTTTCAGCAATTACACAGAGAGCGGCTATAAACATATGTGCACAAGTTTTTGTGTGGACGTAAGTTTTCCTTTCTCTGGGGTAAATACCCAGCAGTGGGGTTACTGGATCAACTGGTAAATGTATGCTTAACTTCATGTGGAGACACAAAGCTGATTTTTACAGTGACTGTACCATTTTGTATTTTCCAAAGCAACACACGAGTTCCAGTTGCTCCGTAACTTCTCTAACACCTGGTGGTGTCAGGATTTTTATTGCACCCATTCTAATTCTAATAGGTATGGAGTGGTATCTCATTGTGGCTCTAATTTGCATTTCCCTAGTGATTAATGAGATAGAATATTTTATCATGTGTGTGTCTGCCATCTATATATCTTCTTTGATGAAGAGTCTATTCACATCTTTGCCTCTTCTTTAATTGGGCTGTTTGTTTTCCTATTGCTGAATTTTGGGAATTCTTTACATATTCTGCATTCAATTTTTTTGTCTGTCAGATATATGATTTGCAAAGATTTTCTCCCAGTAACAAACTTGACCTTTTATTCTATTAACAGAGTCTTGCACAGAACAAAAGTTCTTAATTTTTATGACAAATATATTAATTCTATCAATTTTTTAATGGATTGTGCTTTTGGTATCACATCTAAAAGCCATTTTCCTAACTGCAGATCCCAAAGATTCTTCCTGTTTGCTTAGGATCTATGTTTCCATTTGCTCCATTAGTGTTCATAATTGCTTATTGGAGGATTTTTATAATAGCTGCTTTAAAGTCCTTGTCAGAAAATCTCTATATTTGTGTTATTTCATTATTGGGGTCTCTTCGTGGTCTTTTCCCATGAATACTGAGATTTTCCTGGTTCTTAATAAGCAAGGAATTTTGGATTTTATCCTGGACATTTTATATATTATGTTATGAGACTCTGAGTCTTGTTCAAATATTGCCCATCAATATCATAAGGTTGCTTAAGAGCTTGTGTCTGGAGTTGGTTCCTTCCAGTGGGTTCATGGTCTCACTGACTTCAAGAATGAAGCCGCGGACCTTCGCGGTGAGTGTTACAGCTCTTAAAGGTGGCCCGGACCCAAGAGTGACCAGCAGCAAGATTTATTGTGAAGAGCAAAACAACAAAGCTTCCACAATGTGGAAGGGGACCCCAGCGGGTTGCCGCTGCTGGCTGGGGTGGCCAGCTTTTATTCCCTTATTTGTCCCCGCCCATGTCCTGCTGATTGATCCATTTTACAGAGTGCTGATTGGTGCGTTTACAATCCTCTAGCTAGACACAGAGCGCTGATTGGTGCGTTTACAATCCTCTAGCTAGACAGAAAAGTTCTCCAAGTCCCCACTCCACAGAGGAAGTCCAACTGGCTTCACCTCTCACTTGGGCATGAGGGAATGGAGAAAAGAAAAAAACAGTGGAGATGTCCACACCCTGAGTGTTAAAAGTTCCCTGAACCAGAACTAGAGGGCATCCCTGAAATGCCCCTGGAGCTCTGTCTTTGCCCCATTGCTCACTTCTGAGTTTCAGGATCAGGTCCGGTGATACCAAAGGGCAAAACATGGCAAATTCACCACCAGTGCATATGGTTTGGTTCTGTGTCCCCACCATCTCATGTTGAATTGTAATCCCCAGTGTTGGAGGTGGGGCCCAATGGGAGGATTGGATCATGCTGGTGGTCCTTCATGAATGGTTTAGCACCATCATCTCGATGCTGTTCTCGTGATAATAAGTTCGTGAGTTCTCATGAGATCTGGTTGTTTAAAAGTGTGCAGCACCTTCCCCCTCTCTCTCTTCCTCCTGCTCCTGCCATGTAAGATGTGCCCACTTCCCCCTCACCTTCCTCCATGAGCAAAAGCTCCCTGAGGCCTCCCCAGAAGCAGATGCTACCATGCTTCCTGTACAGCCTGCAGAACCATGAGCCAATTCTTTCATTGATAAATTACTCAGTCTCAGGTATTTCTTTACAGCAGTGTGACAATGGACCAATACAACCAGTTTAGTGACACTTCACATTCTGATCTTCTGTGATCCACCTACAACTATTTACTTTTCAGAGCCCTCGGATTACTGCTGTCTTTCCAGGTTCTAGATCTTCATTCAGTGGGAGAAACATGGTAGAGTGTATATATAACATCTTACCTCAACCAGAATCTGTAAATATCAGTTTTTGATTAAAAAAAATTTTTTTTGAGTTGGGGTCTCATCTGTTGCACAGGCTGGAAAGCAGTGACACAATCACAGCTCATTGCAATCTGAAACTCCTGGGCTCATGCAATCCTCTTGCCTCAACCTCCCAAGTAGCTGGGACTACCAGCGTGCACCACAAGGCTCAGGTAAGTTTTTCTATTATTTTGTAGAGACAGAGTCTCACTATATTGGCCAGGCTAATCTCAAACTCCTGGCCTCAAGTGGTCTTCCCACCTTGGCCTTCCAAAGTGCTGAAATTACAAGCATGAGCCAATGCACCCAGCCAGTTTTATAGAATAATGATTCATTCGTTTATTTAATATGTTTATTACAATTATCCCTGCGTCACAACCCCACGTATGTTTGCCACCTCTACCTCTGGGATGTGAGCTTCTCCAGTTCACCTCCCTGGTTTCATTCATCCTGAGTCTATCCCAGGACTAAGCTTAGGATGAGACTTAGAATAAACCCTTATAATAGTACTTAACATTAGTATGTAGCAAAAGTCAGAAAATCTAACTCAAACTTGTTTAAACATTTTTTTCTTTGCACTCATAACAGAGAAGTCCAGAGGTAGCAGGCTTCATGACAAGTCGAATCCAGCATTGTACATGTTTTAATTTCTCTCCTTCATCTGTTTTCTGCAACATTGGCTTCATCTGTGGACTTCAACTTTGAACAATTCTGAGTTCTCATCTGTGGCAATAAAATGGCTCCTGGATGTCTAGAATGCAGATCCTCACACCACAGAAACTAGGGGAAGGAGAAGGGTCTCTTACTGTATCTACTGCATAAGTCTTGAAATTTTTACCATTTCTATAGCCTTAATTGGGTTTTGTGTTTATCCCTAAACCAATCATCAAAGCCAAAATAATAGAATATGCTAATTGGTTTAAGCTAATCTAAACTGTCATATAGAGCTGAGTGTGGTAGGAGTCCCACTCAAAACACATGTCTGAGAATATAGGAAGGTTACATTTTCCAAAAGAAAATCAGACAATAAACAATGAGAGAAAGAATAGATGGATGTTATGGAGTAAATAATGTAGATTAATTTTGAATGTCAACATCAAAAATATTAACTCATCCTGGCTTAATTATTTTAAATAATCTATTGGTTCAGATAAACAATAAGTTCAGAAATTTGGATATCAGGAGCGGCTTGATCAAGTTCCCTCTCCAATTTATCTTTTATACTCTGTATTGGGCCCTTCTCCTCATCCTCAGCCTGGCCTTCCAAAATGACCCAGCAGTTCTGGTATCCAGATAACCGTGCCTTTCACATTCAGAAGGAGATTTCCAAAGAAAATATGAGTTTTTCACTGATTGGGCCACCTTGTGGGAGAGTATTATATATTAATTGGATTAAGCCTGGTTTCACTGAATGAATCATTGGTTCATTAAAGTAGGATTACTCTAGTTAGCTTAGACCAATCCGGGTGTACTGCTGTAGTTGGGGGTCAGGTCAGTTCCCCTCTGAGTCATGGGCTACCTGGAAGACAGATGATATCCACAGAGAGTATTACAAGGAAGGGACATGGGTGATTAGATACTGGGTAGGCACATAAACACAGAAAAACTGCCAAAACTACCAGATATAGCTACCAAATCTTTCCAAAGCAGATAATAAATCTTGTTAATTTTGAAATTCCAGAATGTTCTGTGTGTGGCACTTAGTAGGCACTCCATCAATTTTTGATGACTGAATTAATGACTTAAAACAACCAGGCTCTAAAGAATAAAATTCTAATCACACTTAAAAATAGGATTCACAGTTCTAGGACTAATTCCAGTTGTAGGCACTATCACTGACAGACATACTTTGCTATAGCTGTGTCTATGAAGAATTGTCAAAATATTTTGAAATTAGATAATAATTTGATATCTATTAAGATTCTATCTTCAAAAGTCTTTTTTCAGTGAATACAGAGCATTGAGGACAGAGCAAACTAATGTAAAAACGTTTATTTTATGTCATCTTATCTTGGCTTCCAGGCTAGGGGCTGCCATAAATCGACACTTGTCACAGAACTCAAAACGTGGATGGTTCTTAGGAAGGAAGATGACGATCATTTATAACACCATGCCCGATAGGTGATTTTGATATCAAAGGCTATAGAATTCTAAGGAGGGTAAAAACTCTTCAGAATTCTTGGTCAAGGTGAGATTTGAACAGAGTACTGAGGATCAGTAAGATCATCCTAAAAGTCAGGGCTGGTGTCAGGTGTTAGATGAGATGAGGTGTTAGGTCCAAAGCAAAGGCTTAGAATCCAGAAAAGGCAAGGTGTATGGTACCCAAGACCACTCACAGGACTAAGGACTGACTGTGAGGATTCACAACCCTCAGCATGTTGTCATCCTCTTGACTATGATGTATTGCAGAAAAAAGCAAAATCAACAAAGAAAAATGGTGCATGGGTGAAGTCTGGGAGAAGTCAGGCCCAAGCTTCCAAGGGTCTCTGCCATTGAAGTCACACAAGATGTGCTAAATTCCCCCAGCAGTGAGGTGTGGCAATGCCTGGGAAGTGTCATCTACCAGGGAAGATGATTAGAGACTTGGTGCCTGGGATTTTTATTCAGGGCTGGTTATGGGGCAGCCTTGGCCTGGCATGTACCAAAATTCCAGACTCCCAGAAGAAAAACATGTTCGCCAGGGACCATGCTGTTTTGTGTAAACAGTTTAGGCACAGCGAGATGTCTCAAATGTCACATGCTGCCTTGACATCTTTGAGCCTCACAGAAACCCAAAAGCCTAACCATGAGTTCTCCTGCCCTCACCAGATATGTCACCCACCCAAAAGGAAAGAGTCTCTACCTGGCCAGTTCCCCTACCGGCTACACCAGCTGTACCACATCTGGTCCTCAACCTCATGGATGCACCTCTCTGCCAACCCACAGATTATTGAAACAAGCCAACTGCATCCTCCTGCAGGGACCAGGGGCACCTCAACCTCTTGTTGCCACAAAGCCTGCCATCCACAGCCTTGGCTGGTTTTCTCTGCCCCCCAGCACAACCCTGCATGGCCCTGCACGGCGTGTGATGCCCTCCTCCCCCAGGGTGTTAGTAGACGTGACTGATGAGCTGCTGCCAAGGTCATCTGTCCAGTGTTGGGCATCGTGTGTTCAGCCATCTCATATGCTTTAGGATGGGACATCCCTCCCTAACCAGTGGGATAAATAAGAGGTAATTGAAACAAGCACTGTGGTTGCCACTTGGATGCAGGATGTTCCTAGGAGCCCACTTCATCACATGGGGTGGGTAATAGATGGGAGGACTCATTTGTTTATTTCAGGACAAAGGCCAGGGGTTGAGGGTCGCAGTGGTCAAAGTTCTTTCGTGTCCATAGCACAGAGTGGTGGGAGGAGTCATAAAAAATCTATTTTTTATGTTTGACTGTTGGGGGGAGGGAGGCGCCCTGATGGGGTGACAGCCTCCCCAGCTGTTCTCTTGTCCCACCCTGGGAATGTCATGTCTGTGGTCCTGGAGCCCCAGCAGGTGGTCCTGCCCAGCCCTGCTGGTGAATCTAGCCATGTCGTTGTCAAATCGCCCTTCGCTTTGAACCGCTTTAGTTGCCTTCAGCTACAAACTCTCAGTTGTAAAGATTTACTCTGAAGACACTGGGGTGTCCCTTGTTACATTTTTAATTAACAGACCTTGGACTTCATGCAAGCAGTTTAGTCCTGAGACGGCAACAAGGCGCAGAATGAACACAGAGCATGCTGCTCTCCTGGGTGACTCCAGTAAGTAAACACTGTGTTCCTCAACAGGCCAGGCATGGTCTTGCCTCGGGGTCTTTGTGCAGCTATGCCTTTTGCCTGGAGCACCTTTTACTCTCTTATAAGCTTGGCTTGCTCCCTCCTTTCCTTCGGGTCTGTGTTTGGCTGTCACATCCTCAGAGTGGCCTTCCCCAAACACCTTTAACAAAGGAACCCCCCAGCTACTCTACTTAGCTTTCCCCCACAGAGCTCATGGTCACCAGATAGATTGTGTGTCATTCCTGATCTCTGTTCTTCCACACATCCTCAAGAACAGGAAATTCATTTTTTCACTGCTGTATTCCCAGCACTTGCTACATAACGGAAGCTCAGCAAACATAGTCTGAAGAAAGGATGAGGCCACGGTGTCTGAGCCAAAGCCCCCTGTTTTCAGAGACTAGGAATGGGGGCTTAAAAACAATCCTCCAGGGAAGTGGCATTTGGAGCAAAGAGAAGGACATGGGACTGAGATTTGAGAGATGTGAGTGCGGCTCCTGCTCTTTCCCTGGGCCAAGAATTGGGTGAATTGTTGTTATCCTCTATGATGGTTAAGGTTAAGTGTCAACTTGATTGGATTGAAGGATGCAAAGTATTGTTCCTGAGTGCGTCTGTGAAGGTGTTGCCAAAGGAGATTAACATTTGAGTTAGTAAACTAGGAGAGGCAGATCCACCCTCAGTCTGGGTGGGCACCATTGAATCAGCTGCCAGCTCGGCTAGAATAAAACCAGGCAGAGGAACGTGGAAGGACTAGACTGGCTGAGCCTTCTGGCCCCATTTTTCTCCTGGGCTGTATGCTTCCTGCCCTTGAACATCAGACTCCAAATTCTTCAGCTTTGGGACTCTTGCATCTTCGACCACAGACTGAAGGCTGCACTGTTGGCTTCCCAACTTTTGAGGTTTTGGGACTCGGACTGGCTTCCTGGCTCCTCAGCTTGCAGATGGCCTACTGTGGGATCTCACCTTGTTATCGTGTGAATCAACACTCCTTAATAAACTCCCCTTTATATATACATCTATCCTATTAGTTCTGTCCCTCTAGAGAACCCTGACTCATACAGATTTTGGTAGCAGGAGTAATTCTAGAGGAACAGAGTATTAAGGATGGAGTTCTTTTGTTGATTTGGGGGTTTCTGGAGTTGGCTGCTTAATATGATTAGACTCAAAAATGCTAAGGGCTCTACTTCTAATAGCATGGAGAACACCGATAGTTCTTGCAAAATAAATGCATTTGATACTCCTGATTCACTGCTCATGAGAGGCAGGAGCTTAATGACTCTATACCTGATATCTTTGACCCTACGTGGAGAACCAAGGAATATAATGAAGTTGGTTGGTTGCTCCTAAGTTCACTGGACAAAGTGATGAAAGAAAAAGAGCCTCATTTTCTTTATCTGAAAACAGAAACAAGGTCGACCAGCATGTGGCTGAGCCAATGAACCCAGGCAAGATGTGAAGAGACCTGCCCCTCCGGGAGCTGACGAACATCGCCTTGTGCCTGCCTCCTCCTTGACAGCCCCTGATTTAATGCAGAGATGGAGGCAGGGGAGCATCTGAGTCTGTTCGGGTAGCAGCAAGACTCCTTCCCGCCCACACCAACCCCAGCTAGCCTCAGAGAAGGCTACACAGCCTTGCAGAGGAGAAGGGGCTGTGAAATCTGCTGGATTCATTCCTTTCAAAGCACTTTACCAATGTGCACACACAGGCCCTCCATTCTCTCAGGAAGATCAAAAAGCAGCCCAGATAAGCTGAGATGGATGAGTCTCTCTAGAACAGTGCACGATACCTAGGGTGATCAATAAAGTGTTTGTAGAATAAGCAAGTGAATTAATAAATATGTGAATGAATGAAACCATTTTTTTGAAAATGACTTCCGTTGAGTTCCACAGAGCAGAATTTGAAAACTCAGTGATTTGTCAGTTGTTGCCAACCCATCTCCGTGGTTCAAAATAAGCACTAATTCTCACACGCGCAGATTCACAGGTGACTCATGGCTCTGCGACCCGGGCTCTGCGACATGGGCTCTGCTGGATAGGGTGCAGGCTGTGGATTGGGCTCAGATCTGCTCCACACGTGTGCGCACTGGACCGAGTATCAAGGGACAGTAGCTCCTGTTATAAAGAGAGCACACGCTCATCACAGCAGATCCCCAGGAGCAAGAGTGAGCCAAGCTGCACATTTAATCCCTTTGCTCTCATCACTTCTGCTGACTTCCAAATGGTCAAAGCAAGTCACACAGCCAAACATCAGCAGGGTGGGAAGTGTTCTCCACCTGCAGTGTGAAGGGGAGAGAGTGAATATTTGCTTAATGATAATCTAAACTGTCACAAAAACCCTGGCCCTAGAGAGTGGCTCGACCAGCTTTAATGTTGTGATGGGTCACAATCTAAGAGGCTCTGAGATTGCTATTGTTTAAAATTAATTAATAAATGAAAATAAATGCCAGAATCTGACATGCCCTGAGGGATGAGTCACAGTGACAGCTAGTGCAGGCGCACCCCACAGCCATCTGCCAGGAACTTCAAGTCTCAGAGGCACCAAGTATGTTGGGCAATTGACCTTGGGGGTTCTGGCCAACTCAGGGATGGGAGATTTGAGATCGTCACTTGCCTCCTGCAGGTGGATGCAGCACACGCTTTAATAACTCCAAATTCAACTTTAAACTGCAGCTGCTGTCATCGCCTGGGGACCCTTATCTTTTTACATGTTATCGTAGATCAGTTGCCCGCTGCTGCAATAAAGAACTCTCAATGGGTTGCCTGGAATTTCTAACTCAGTGCTCAAAAAAAACCTGGTGGATAAACCAGATGGGCTTTTGTTCAATGGTGATTGGTGCTAGACTCAAGCAGGCAATCATGGGGTCTTGGCTTCTTGGAGGCAGCCCCCACTGCACCCATGAGCTCAAGGGAGGAATTTGCTTCCCCTGCAGATGAGGGCAGTGGTGGTGTGGCCGGGTAGTAGCAGGGATGGAAGGTGCTGGACAAACACCATGCTGTATAGCTTTCACCTGTATCATCTGGCATTTGTGAAAAGGCATTTGCCAGCTTTCTTTAATGCTTGTTTGGTTCCCAACCATGTCCTTACCACTATAGAGTGAAGGGAACAGGGTGGTTGGTCAGGCATTAGATCAGCCATCATCTCATAATCAAAAAATCAAAAAATGATAGATGGCATGGATGTGGTGAAAAGGGAACAATTCTACACTGCTAGTGGGAATGTAAACTAGTGCAACCACCATGGAAAATGGTGGCAGGGAGGGCGGGGCGCAGATTCCCTAAAGAACTAAAAGTAGAACTACCATTTGATCCAGCAATCCCACTACCCGGTATCTACCCAGGGGAAAAGATGTCATTATACGAAAAAGATACTTGCTCACGCATGTTTACAGCAGCACTATTCACAATTGCAAAAATGTGGAAGCAACCCAAATGCCCATCAATCAATAAGTGGATAAAGAAACTGTGATATACTGTGATATATATATACGCACACATATATATATATAGCGTGTGTGTATACATATATTTATGTGTATGTATGTATATATACCACTCAGCCATAAAAAGGAATGAATTAATGGCATTTGCAGCAACCTGGATGGGACTGCAGACTATTATTCTAAGTGAAGTAACTCAGGAATGGAAAACCAAACATTGTATGTTCTCACTCGTAAGTGGGAGCTAAGCTACGAGAATGCAAAAGCATAAGAATGACACAATGGACTTTGGGGACTCAGGGAGAAAGAGTGCGAAGGGAGTAAGGGATCAAAGACTATAAATTGGGTTCAGTGTATACTGCTAGCGAGATGGGTGCACCAAAATCTCACAAATCCCCACCAAAGAACTTACTCACAGATCGGCCATCATCAGATTGGAGTACTCACACCTCTGGGGATACATGACAATTTTTTAAGGGTTCACAGGCATAGACAGTTTTAAGATCATCAATTTCCAGACCCCCTACCTACATGTATCCTATTTTTCAATTCCTCCTTCACAAATGCCCTCTTTCATTATATTAAAAGTGGGAGTTGAACAATGAGAACACATGGAGACAGGGAAGGGAACATCACACACTGGGGCCTGTTGTGGGGGTGGGGGATAGGGGAGGGACAGCATTAAGAGAAATACCAGATGTAGATGATGGCTTGATGGGTGCAGTAAACCACCATGGCACGTGTATACCTATGTAACAAACCAGCACGTTCTGCACATGTACCCCAGAACTTAAAGTATAATTTAAAAAATGGGTTTATCAGTCAGGATACTAACACAAAACAGAAAGCACACTCAAATTGGGTAATTCGAAGAAAGTTTAATACAGGAAATGTTTATAAAGGTGTGGGTGAAGTAAAGAAAGCCACAAAGGATAGTGCAGCTCTCTAGGGTTAGTGGGGCCCTGTGCAGAGTTAGAGAAGAAAGAGGTTTCCAGAATCTGGAGACAGGAGAGGCTGTGTAGAATGTGAAGGAGCTGTGACCTTCCTGAGAGAGATGCAGCCACCCTGGGTCATCCCACAGATGGAGCCCAACTTTATTCTTCCCTGCCCTGACCTCCAACCACTGGCAGGGAACATAACTTGGAAGCAGCAGAGAAGGGAGCCCATTGCTGTGGTCCATGCAACCAGCCTCCCAGGACAGAAGGAGGATGGGGAAGGGTGGATGGTGGAAGACGTCCTCACACAAAAGCCATCACCCAGCTTGCGTCTTACAAAGGCGTTTTCCCCTCCTGGGAAAAGTCCTTCAGGGCATCAGGCAAAGACACATTTTGAAATATTAGCCTGAGCATTGAGAACACAAACATCTCTGACAACTGGGTACCCCATCTGGGTGTATAACTGGAACCACATCCCTTTACAGTCAAATTGTTTTCAATTCTTCACTTTCACTGAAATTGAAGAGGAACCTAATAGGGATGTCAGCTCATAGATTATCAAAAATATTTTTATGATAAATCATTGTGTGATTTTTGGCACATAACCTGGAAGGAGTCCAAACAAGTGCGTGGCTTCCAACAGAAGGCCCCCCTTTCCCATCTGCTTGTTTATGTGAACGAATGCTCAGTGCTTACACCAATAAAAACAAAACGGTGTGAATAAAATTGATGATGAAACTGCCTCCTTAAAATAACAAGTAATATTCATGAATACATTAATGGAAAAAAAAATCCCACCTATCATACTAAGAGAAGAATAGCCAAATAATTTTACTTTTTTCAGATTAATAATTCTTTATCCTGAGCTCTGCCATACTTATGCTGCTTTGATCAATTGTGTTCTGCGAACAACCAGAATGATCATCCATAATGATAAGTTTAAAAAAAAACTTATTTTAAAATGTAAAGACTTATAGTCAGAGACATTTTTTAAATTTAAATGTAAATGTATGAGCATATTTTTGTTGCAGTCAGTGATATGTGATAGAGTAATCAATAAAAAAAACTTCCAAGAATAAAACTATGATACATTATGATCAAATTCTTCTAGGGGTGTACAAGTTCAAGGGGAATAAAGAACAATGAAAAGTTCCTAACCATGAGAAGCTCCTGTATGTATTTTTTTAAAAATCAATTATGACAGGTATCAAATCACAATCGTATTGAGCCTCAGTTGGACATACTTTAAGTTATATTACGGTTTTCTCTTAAAATATCCAGTATTTACAATATGCTGAAAATTTTACCCATTTATTTATTTATTTTACACAAGTAAATATCTTAAAAATATAAAATATATATGTAATTTATAAATATATAATTACATCCAAATATAAATTTAAACTTATAAAAAATTTAGCTGGTAGCTTAGGAATGCAGGAATATAGACATGATTTTTCAAGTTGAAAGAGATGCTAGATGTGTCTGCAGAAGTCAACAGGGTCAGATCTGTTTTTTGAAGGGCCTTGTTTGCCCATTACATGCTGGGAAAACAAGGAATGAAATAAGGTAACATTCACAGAGGATGTCAAAGGATGTCTACTTCAAGTGCCCAATGACAAGGTAATAATGTGCTGTCGGAGAAGGAAAAGATTGCTGTGGACGAAGGTGATCACAATGGGAGGCAGAGGGCCACTGAGGTTAACCCAGGACTTGGAGGAGTGTTGAATCGATCTAGTCTTGGAGAAAAAGTTGCCAGGGAAGTGGAGAAAAATAGAAGTGACTTAAGGATCCTGGAGTCCCTTCATTGGCAAGCAGATCAGCTGGTTGACACTCAGTTATTCTCAATTGTGATAACAGTAGTAATATTACTATTCGATATTTATTGAACACTGTTTTTAGGCATTGGCCTGAGACATCTTGATATACAGATATAGGCTCTGAGATTCTAGCACCCATCCTTGGCCACTACTCCACGCTACTTCTCTTGTGTTTCCTGGGCTGTTGTTCATGCAGTCAGTCTTTCTTTTCTTTCTTTCTTTCTTTCTTTCTTTCTTTCTTTCTTTCTTTCTTTCTTTCTTTCTTTCTTTCTTCTTTCGTTCTTTCTTTCTTTTCTTTCTTTCTTTTCTTTCTCTCTCTCTCTCTCTCTTTCTTTCTTTCTCTCTCTCTCTTTCTTTTTCTTTCTTCTCTCTCTCTCTCTCTTTCTTGATGGAGTCTCACTCTATCACCCAGGCTGGAGTGCACTGGTGCATCTTGGCTCACTGCAACCTCTGCCTCCCGAGTTCAAGCAGTTCTCCTGTCTCAGCCTCCAGAGTAGCTGGGATTACAGGTGCGCACCACCACACCCGGCTAATTTTTGTATTTTTAGTAGAGACAGGGTTTCACCATGTTGGCCAGGCTGGTCTCAAACTCCTGGCCTCAAGTGATCTGCCTGCCTCAGCCTCTCAAAGTGCTGTGATTCTAGGCATGAGCCACCCTGCCCGGCCCCTTTTTTATTTCTTTTAGCAAATAATTGTTGCGTGTTGACATGGGCCAGGCAGTTGGATATATTTATTCATCTTAACTGTTGGTAAGTTCTCATCTGCACTGATTTCCCTGCAAAAGCCTCGTTCTTGGCATGGTTTGATTGGGAAGGAGTGGCAACTCCCTTCTCCCAGCCTTGGAAGGGAGCCATGGTCTCTCTGCTCCCAGGTCCAACCCATCCTGGCTAGTTCTTTGAGTGTCCACTGCAGAGGAGACAAAACTCCACTTTCAACCTCTTAGGGTTCCAGCTGGGCTCTAGAATGAAATCGACCTAAAATAGATTAAGAGGAGAAAAGCATACAAATTTATTTAGTACAAGTTTTATGTGGCATGGGAGCCATCTTAAGGAAATGAAGACCCAAAGAAGCAGAGTCAGTCCCTCAGATAGTGAAATTGGACAGAGAACAGTAAGTTGTGAAAAAGCAGCTCACTCATGTGGGGAGGCTGAAAAGATAAGAGTTGTTTTAACAAGGTCTGTACAGAATTATCTCGGCTAGGACTCCCCATCAAAGAATGTTTCTTTTCTCCTGGCACAAAGAGGGCATCTTTCCCATGGGAATTTTTATCTCCCATCTTCAGGAAGAAAATGTGAGATCAGAATGCTCTTCTTGCATCTGCTGTTTTTCAAGCACCTTTAGTTCACAGTAATCCTCAAGTTGAAGCAGCGTATTTGGGGTGGGTGAGAGAGTTCTCACCCTTCACCACCTTTCTCAAAACCCTGAAACCTCTTCCAGTCTGCA
Source organism: Homo sapiens (assembly GCF_000001405.40). Classification (NCBI taxonomy): domain Eukaryota; kingdom Metazoa; phylum Chordata; class Mammalia; order Primates; family Hominidae; genus Homo; species Homo sapiens. Next base: position 48,070,853 of record NC_000020.11, on the reverse strand, counting down.
CCACACCCTCCTGCTCAAAGTTTATGAAGTTTTCCCCAGGACACCTAATCATATTGGACACAGGAACTACCTATTACACTTCTGAATCTCCCCAAGATTTCTAGCTCAGAGACGCCTTCTGAGATGAGATCTGAGATTTTGTTCAGTTATGAGTTCCCCCCGAAATGGACAGTACCTTAAACAAGATAAAGTGTCCTTCTGTCTTATGTAAAGGAGGACAGCCTAAGGCTAATACAGCGGCCCCCATGCCATCGAGGAGCAAGGCTCCTTCTAGCTTGTTACTCTGCCATGATCAGCAAAGGGTTTCTCACTCATAGCTCAAGGTGACGGCTCCAGATCAGACGCCTGAGTCTGCATTCCAGCTGGCAGACGGACAGAGGGAATGTTCTCACTCCTTAAGATACCTCTCAGAATCTGGACACAACAAATAGGTTTATATTCCCCCAACTAGAACTTCTTAGCCACATCTACCAGCAAGCCTGGATGGAAAATGGAGTTTTGATTCTATATGGCCATATGGCAAATAAAATATCTAATAAAAAAGAAGGAAAACAGATGGCGACGAGGAGCCACCGCAGTCTGCCATAGCATCTCAACACATCCTCTCCACCTTGACTTGACCCATCTCTCCAGCCCAGCCCCATCCTCTGGTTCTATTTCCCCCCCGAGGCTTGGAGATCAGGGCACAGAGCCTCCCTGTCTGTTTGCAGCCCTCCTCCCCATCCCCCAGGAAAATCCTAGCTTAGGAGTTACTAATACCAATACTGAGTATTTCCCAGGCCCTTGTGCTTCTCTGACTTGTAACATTTAGAAATTGTAAGAACATGTTCACAGATGGGCTTTTCCATTAATTTATAATCCAATTTCCATCTTTTGAAGCAAAAATAAAGGTTTTCTTCTCATTTAGTTTGTCAGCTGTCACCAGGAGGTGGGCAGGAAGGGCCCTTACATGTCAGATGCTTGGGTGGTGGCTACACAGCACTCAACAGCTGTTGGAGCATGAAAAGGATGAGCTCGTGACGGTGCAAGGTCTTAACCAGAACATCTGCCAGGATGCTTGCAGAAAAGGAATTTAGTCAATGTCGGTGTTGGGGATCCTCTGGAAGGAACAGTAAATCAGGCTTTTTGGTGTCTCAACAGCCAGGAATAATGCTGTGTGTGTCATCCTATAAAGTACTGACATTTCCACTAAAGACACAGGAATTATGAATTGGAGCAGAAACCCTGAGACATTCCAAATTTAAAAATAATAATAATTTTTAAAAGTAAGCAACTTAGGTGGTGATAATCTGAATTAGCTCCAGTTTTGCTCTTGGACCCCAAAGTGGAAGCATTGATGAGCTCAATGTACTAATAATCTTAAATATTTAGTTGAAGTACCGGCCAGACGCGGTGGCTCACGCCTGTAATCCCAGCGCTTTGGGAGGCCGAGGCAGGGAGATCATCTGAGGTGGGGAGTTTGAGACCAGCCTGGCCAACATGGTGAAACCCTGTCTTTACTAAAAATACAAAATTAGCCAAGTGTGGTGGTGTGTGCCTGTAATCCCAGCTACTTAGGAGGCTGAGTCAGGAGAATTGCTTGAACTCGGGAGGTAGAGGTTGCAGTGAGCCAAGATGATGCCGCTGCCCTCCAGCCTGGGCATCAGAGTGAGACTCCATCTAAAAAAAAAACAACAGTATTTAGTTGAAGTAATAGTATAAACACCCACACTGCACTCAATTGTTGGACCACGGGACATTTATTCTAATCACTTGGTTAGAAAGAAATTTAGACTTTAGAAAGGCCCCACCGGACTATTTATAAGCTAGGAACCAAGAAATAAACAATTATGAACTAGGGGTCAGTTTATTCCTCCAAGTTACCATATACCTTATTTACTCTGAGTTTATCTACATTGTATTCTTCCAAGGAAAACTTCTAATAAAGATTCCTCAGAGCATTTTATTCCTTCTTTTTTCTTTTGTTTTGTGTGGTAAATAAACTATTGATTTTGTTTTCATGGTAATTTAAGGGATAATTCAGCTCCATTTGATAACCACCACCTTAATGTATTCAAAGTAAACAAATCGTAGGGTTTCAATTAGTTATTTTTGCCATCAAAATCGACCACATCATGACAGGCACTGTGGAGATCGCTGTGTGGGCTGTTTGGGCCCTAAGTTATATGTGACATTAATGATCTGGAGACCAATTGCCAAAGGGAAAAAAATTGGTATGAGACGCCAGAGAGACTCACCCAGAGTTGTGTGCTCTTCGAGGGTAAATTAACATTGGATTTCTTAGGAAAAAAGTGAATTGGGATGTGATTTGGGGGAATTCAACAGAATTGATTCTAGTTAGGCCAAAAACATCTTTCGAATGTCTTTGCAGAATGAGCGTATTACCGGTTCACTGCGAGGGAAAGAACAGCAATCTTTAAAGAGGCACACTCTGTCTTTGAGGACAAGGGTCCCCAATCCCTGGGCACAGACAGAGACCAGTCCATGGTCTGTTAGAGGCCAGGCCACACAGCAGGAGGTGAACGGCGGGTGAGGGAGCATTACTGCCTGAGCTCCACCTCCTGTCAGATCAGCAGAGGCATTCAAGCTTGCCCAACCCACGGCCCGGAGCTAGCATGCAGCCCAGGACGGCTTTGAATGCGCCCAACATAAATTTTTTTGTTGTTGTTTATTATACTTTAAGTTTTAGGGTACATGTGCACATTGTGCAGGTTAGTTACATATGTATACATGTGCCATGCTGGTGCGCTGCACCCACTAACTAGTCATCTAGCATTAGGTATATCTCCCAATGCTATCCCTCCCCCGTCCCCCCACCCCACCACAGTCCCCAGAGTGTGATATTCCCCTTCCTGTGATCTCATTGTTCAATTCCCACCTATGAGTGAGAATATGCGGTGTTTGGTTTTTTGTTCTTGCGATAGTTTACTGAGAATGATGATTTCCAATTTCATCCATGTCCCTACAGAGGACATGAACTCATCATTTTTTATGGCTGCATAGTATTCCATGGTGTATATGTGCCACATTTTCTTAATCCAGTCTATTGTTGTTGGACATTTGGGTTGGTTCCAAGTCTTTGCTATTGTGAATAATGCCGCAATAAAATGCAGCCAACACAAATTTGTAAACTTTCTTAAAACGTTATGAGATTTTTGTTTGCAATTTTTTTTTTTTTTTTTTTTTTAGCTCATCGGCTATCATTCGTGTTAGTGTATTCTATGTGTGGCCCAAGACAATTCTTCCAACATGGCCCAGGGAAGCCAAAGGCTGGCCATCCCTGCATTAGATTACCACAGGAGCATTCACCCTGTTGTGAACTGCGTGTTCGAGCGGTCTAGGTTGTGGGTTCCTTATGAGAATCTAACTAGTGCCTGATGATAGGAGGGGGAACAGTTTCATTCTGAAACAATCCCTCCCCACCACCCACCATGCGTTGAAAAATTGTCTTCCATGAAACCAGTCCCTGGTGTGAAAAAGGTTGGGGAAGGCTGTTTTAGAAGACATTAGGTTGTAAGTGACAGAAAACCCATGTCCGACTAGTTTAAACGAAGGAAAGGAATGTATTGCCTCATGCCAAGAAAAGGCCAATGACAAGCTGGCTTTGAGCATATCCAAATCCAGGGACTATGACTCTTTTTCTCTCCATCTCAGCACAACCTTCTTGACATCACCCTGAGGCACATGTGACCCCCACCCAGGGGGCTCTGAAGGTGGAGTCTTACACCTTCCATCCTTCCTCCCCTAGCAAGGCCCAGGGTGAGCTTTGATTGGGTCTGACTGGGTCACATGCCATTCCTGAGCCAATCATTGTGGCCAGAGGGATGTGGCGCCTCATTGGTCAAACCGGAGCCACATGATCATTTCTGGAGCTGTGCTGAGACCAGCAAAGCCATGGTTCCCTGAGCAAGCTCAGAGCATGGCCCCAGAAGTGTGGGGTGAAGGCTGGGCAGGCACAAGACATCTGCCAACCACACGTCCATCCAGACAAACAACTCATCAGCCTCCAGAGTCAACCTGAAGTCATTGCACACCTTAGCCCTGTTGGCCTTTGGGTGCTGGGCCTCATTGCCCCATCTCTGTCCCCAACCACAAACACAGGGTACCCCCTGAGCCTCTGCTTCCAGAGCTTGACTTTGCCCACATCCCTCCCTTTCACCCCTCTTCAGTTCCAACTCCTGGGAATGTCCCACGTGCCCCCTTCTGACCCCACCTCACTCTGCTTTCTTCTCCGATGTCCTGATTGGGTTTCCAGCTGCGTCACAGTTCAAGCATCTGAGCTCCCTAAACCATGTGTCTGTCGTCTTGGACATCAGCTTGCGGAGGGCCAGTGAGCACGTGGGTAAGAACCGCCTGCTGAGAGCAGCCCTGCTCCCTTGCCCGCATCAGGAAATACCAAACATGAACCCACCATTTTTTTTCAATCATTAAGTGGCATTGGGTCAAAAGCAATAAAACTCTGACGCAATCCAAGTTTTCATGGGAACGAAACGCAATGGTGACTCGCATGTATGGATGTATTGTGTAAGTGTGTAAGTTTGAAATAAAATGCGAGGTTATTGTTTCAGTCAGATCACACATTTTTATCGGCATTGGAAATGTAGTCTGATACTACTCACATTAAACAGACATGCACACACAAATAATACTTTATATTTTCTGTGGGTAGATCACATTGTCATTATAGCTAACATTTTTGTGTATGATTTAAGTCTCATGACAATGCCATGAGCAAAGCACTGTTTCTGTTTTCATTTAACAAACAAGGAAACTGAAATACAGTCAAATTAAGTGACTTGTCCACAATCAGATGATCAAACAGTGAAGTCAGGTGTGTAGTCGAATTAACCTTTTTCTTCTCAGTGAAGGTGGGGGTGGCCAGTGACATGAAAGAGGAAGTGATAGGTGTCACTTTGGGGTTGATATCTTTAAGAAGCAGTGTTTTGTTGTTGTTGTTGTTTTCTAGGCTTTCCTCCTTTTTCCAGATTCTTGATGGTGGAGGAACTGCTATCACAGGTATATGAGGGTTTACTTCAGCAGGTAATACATTTTATTGCTTTAAGCTTTTGAGACTTGAACTAATACATTAAGACATTAATAAGTTAGGGCATTCTAGATATCTGTGTGTTCTTGATGGCTAATGATTAAGAATTAAAATTTTATTTCACATTTAGAAAATGTGGGCTTTACTGGGCTTGGTGGCGTGCACCTGTAGTCCCAGCTACTCTGGAGGCTGAGGCAGGAGAATGGCATGAACCTGGGAGGTGGAGCGAGATGGCGCCACTGCACTCCAGCCTGGGTGACAGAGCAAGACTCTGTTTCCATAAAAAAAAAAAAAAAAAAAAAAAAAAACACAAAATGTGGGCTTTAAATCTTTTTAAAAAGTTATACAGATGTTTATTATTCTATTTATTGTTCTATTATTTTAACATCTCTGATATTTTTAAGGTAAAATATACAGCCATATCTCCTTAGGTAGAAATACTGAATGTAATTTTTCTTAGTTGTTCTTTTCAAAAATATTTTTTTATTATCAAAGGATTTCTGGAACTTACTCTATGCCAGGAACTATTTTAAATGTTTTACAGATATTAACTTCTTTAAACTTGACACTAACCCTTTGAGTCAGGTTTTATACTTAACTTTCCCATAGTTAGTGAGTAATGAGGCTAGTATTTGACCCCAGGCAGTTTGTTCCAGAAATCTGCCTTTAGCATCTATTCTGTCTTCACTCTTCAGGCCTCAGAGACTTCAAGAGGAGCTTGGCACATAATAGGCCCTCAGTAAATGTGTTGAATGCATGAGTGAATGAATGTATGAATTCCACTTCACAAAGGGCCATCGTTACATTATTTCGTTGGAATACCACCCCAATCCATTGCCATGCGTGTTATTTCTATCCTCGTGTCACAGAAAGGAAACAGAATCTGGCAGAGTGAAAGGCAATGTGACCCAAGAAGGTGGAGAACTACTGTCCCAGGCCTTAAAACCAATAAAAGCAAAGAAAAGGGTATATTTTCCCTTGGAGGGAACGGGTGATCCTGTTCCTTCCTCTGAGATGACACAAACGTGGATGTCTGCATTGAACATGTATTTCCTTGCTCTTTCTTGTTGCTTGAGGAATATTCTATGCTCTCTCTGTGATAATAAGGCATAGAGGAGGCCTGGAACAGCCTGTTCTGGGCCCCTGCCTGCTTTAGGAAAGAGTGGCCCCCTAGCAGGGAGAGTTGTTGCAAAGGTTGCATGAGGTAGCATGCACTGCACAAGCTTAGAACAGAACCTGGAACACAGTAAGTGTGCAAAAAGTTTTTGCTCATGAAAGAATAAATAAAAGAATTCAAATGCAATACAAAAGTTCTTTATACTGTAGGATTAGACTACACCAAAACAAAATTTAGGTATATTTTTCCTCAACTTCCTCGAAATAGACATGATTCTCTCAGAGCAACTCCAGCCCTATTGTTCTGTATAAGTGGTGGAATTCCAGCCACTGGCATCATCAGAAGAGTTTTATTGTGTTTTCTGCAGAGGCTGCTGGATGCAGAGTTCAGTGTGTGGCTTCTAGAGCCAGATACCTGGGTTCGAATCCTGTCTTGGCTACTAACTGTAAAACCTCGGGTAAAATACTTAGCTCAGTTTCCTCATTGTGAAATAAAGATAGTCATGCTATGAGGACTAAAGTAAATATCTGTAAGATATTTGGACTGAAGCTGGAACATCTATCCAAGTTACCATTAACAGAGTTGGCTTTGTATTTTAAAATGCTTTGCAAACTGTCAAGTCTTGGCGGAAGTGTGTTGTTGGTTTTATTCTTATTCCATCCTTGTGAGTTTATGCAGATAGGACAATCATTATCAGCAAAGACAGGTCATGTTTTCCTTGTTGGTTTCCTGGCCTCACATATTTGTGTAATCCAGATTTCTCCAAGAGACATCAAGCCAGACCCTCCCCATTTTCTCCCTGCCTAATAGGAAGTTCAGTCTTTTCATGGGTTCCTAACCCCAGACGACGTCACAGAGCTTCTCTGTGATCCGCCCTCCCCAGGCTCCAGCCTGCCATCCCTGGTGCTATCCCTATCTAGTTTCCCTCATGAAGCAATGACCACAACAGTTCCAACCCCGTTACCTACACAACATGCATGCTTCTTTATGCAGAGTGTCCGTGGGGCTTAGACCTCATTCAAGCTGACGGAGCTATCAGCAGAGACAGGGCCAGTTCCTGGGTCTCCCATCTTCCTAGGGCTGCACTCTACAAAACACAGTCAGCATTCCAAGAAGAGTCCTGACATAATGGGAGAGGCACTGCATGGCCCTCACTCATTCGGCCAGTCATGTATTCACTAATTATTCAACAAATAGTTACGATGCTTGCTGTGTGCCAGGCACTGTTCCAGGTAAGAGGACATTGGCACTGCATTATGTAAAAGGAAAGGAAAAAAAACTGGCTGATTTCTTCTGGAAAATATGTTTGTTCCATACTGCGAAAGCATTAGTGGCTCCAGAATTTTTTACAGGAGGGTCTCAGATGTGGCAATGTTCTGGAAGGAGGAATGATGGGAACATAGAGTACTCATGCATATCTGCTCCTCCCCTCCTTCTGGGAACAGAACACCTCCTGTATTAGTCTGTTCTCACGCTGCTAATAAAGACATACCTGAGACTGGGTAATTTATAAAGGAAAGAGGTTTAATGGACTCACAGTTCCACATGACTGGGGAGGCCTCACAATTGTGGCGGAAGGTGAATGAGGGGCAAAGTCACATCTTACATGGCGGCAGGCAAGAAAGCTTGTGCAGGGGAACTCCCCTTTATAAAACCATCAGATCTCATGAGACATATTCACTACCATGAGAACAGTGTGAGGGAAACTGCCCCGATGACTTAATTCTCTCCACCTGGCCCGCCCTTGACACTTGGGGATTATTACAATTCAAGGTGAGATTTGGGTGGGGACACATCCAAACCATATCACCTCCCCTCCCCTTGAAGTTAGGTGGGGTCATGGGGCATGTTCTAGGCAACTGTTGTGGATGGAAGAAGATGAAGGTTTCACTTCAGAGTGAAGCGTTTCTGGGGCTCCCTTACCTGCACCATGATGGTGCCAGAGCTGTGAGGTGGACACTGCAGGATAGAGGCCACCTGGATGGCTGAGTCCACATGGAGGATGCTGCCCACGAGAGTCATCTGGACCCGCAATTGCTTTTTTGTGAAAAAGAGAAAGAAATGTTGCCGTGATTTCTGCAATTTGGCTGCAATTTGGGGGTTATTTGTTATTAGAGCATTGCCCAGTCTTTCCTGACTGATATGGGATCGGGAGAAAGGTTAGGATACTGGTCTTGAAGCTGAATTTGCAGAGTGTCACACTTTCTAATTGGAATGTAGGTCCCCTATAAGCAGCAGCAAAACAGTTTCCTAGAGATTTTATTACATAACTTTGCTTGTATATTTTTCTTAGTACCCTGCATGGCAGCATATAGAGAGAGCACTGCCTGGGGTTATGAGTGGACTAAAGCTTCTCTTTCCAAGTCATGCCTTGGAAACACTATTAATTAAAATATAATAAATAATAATAGACTCAGTAAACACATTTTTACACTAAGGAAGGCTAAACATTAATTAATAAATAGGACTCAATGTTTAAGGGTTTCTTTTTTCTTTTTCTTTTCTTTTTTTTTTTTTTTTTTGAGACGAAGTCTTGCTCTGTTGCCCAGGCTGGAGTGCAGTGGCATGATCTCGGCTCACTGCAACTTCCACCTCCCAGGTTCAAGCAATTCTCTGCCTCAGCCTCCCAAGTAGCTGGAATTACAGGCACCCGCCACCATGCCCAGCTAATTTTTTTGTATTTTTATTAGAGACGGGGTTTCACCATCTTGCCCAGGCTGGTCTTGAACTTCTGACCTCGTGATCCACCCACCTCGGCCTTGCAAAGTGCTGGGATTACTTTTTTTTTTTTTTTTTTTTGAGGCAGAATCTCACTCTGTCGCCCAGGATGGAGTGCAGTGGCACAATCTCGGCTCACTGCAACCTCCACCTCCCGGGTTCAAGCAATTCTCGCACCTCCGCCTCCTGAGTAGCTAGGATTACAGGTGCCCGCCAACACACTTGGCTAATTTTTTTGTATTTTTAGTAGAGACAGGGCTTCAGCATGTTGGTCAGGCTGGTTTCAAACTCCGGACCTCAAGTGATCCACCCGCCTCCGCCTTCCAAAGTGCTAGGATTACAGGCATGAACCACTGCGCCCGGCGTGTTTAAGAGTTTCTTAAGGGCCAGCTCTCACGGTGACTTAATTAAGAAGCTCAGCTGAGAAGCATCGGGCTATTAAATAGAGGTTGACGGAGCCCTGGTGGATTCAGGGCTGGATAGAGACACGGCCTTTATTAGTCTTCTTCGCTTCTATGAAAGCAAAGCAGGTTTGTGTTCCACTTTGGGACTAATCCATTTGTCACTGTGAAGTCTCTAAGGAGAAGGATGTCCATTTCAAACCTCATTTGCAGCTGCTTTTTAGTCTTAGTGGTTTTGGAATGGAATTCATCTGCTTCGACCCCTTGTACATTTGGTTACCTCTTGCAAATATCTAGTGCCCACAGTGAAATTCCAATATAACATTAACAATTTGTTTTCTCTGATATCAGCTCTGTTTGTCACAGGCTGGAACCCAGGCCCATAAAGAAATGTCACTTTGGGTCTCTTTGTAATAGTTGTATGCAAACAACATCCAAGCCTTCATTCTGTGATAATGATTTCAAGGAGAAGTAAGACTGGCTAAGGAGGAGGGGAATGGAAGGAGGGGAGTAGAAGGAAAAAGGAGGAGGGAAAGAAGGGGGCGGTGGTGAGGAGGTGGAGTCATGGAGAGAAGGGAGGCCTAGGGAAGGAATAGTGCATGGGTGTCCATGAGCAAATGAAAACACACCTCTGCCTCTACAACATGGTGGGGTGGTGGTCGAGACTAGTTGCCCTGAGCAGCTTGACGCATTCTCAGGGACAGACACGATGGTGTGTGAGCAATGCTATGGAGAGGACCCAGTGCTCATTACAAAATACTAGTGATTCCAGTGCCAGTAGGGGATGGAATGCCAGGCCAGTAAGTCAGAGAGCAGAGAAAAGGTTTTTGAATTCAGATCACCTCATTCCCGAGGGGCACACAAACACCATGCAAGGGTATCTGGGTATGGACCGCAAACTCAGTGTGTTCTCATGCCCTGCAGTACTCACCCTGAGAACACTCTTGCTGTTCTTTCCCATCTACCCTTTCATAATCACCCTTTTCCCTTTTAGAAAAAAAAGTACCATCTTCACTTATCTAGAGCCTTTCCAGAATGCTTTGCTTTAGGCATGCAAATCCCCCCACCCCACATTCTACAAGGGGAAAGCTTGTTAAGAGTGGGGTCTGGGACAAGTGTCCTTTAATTAAGACTCCACAACCCCCTCCATCCATCTCCTAAAGACTTTACTTTTAATAAAATATTGCTTCGATGCTTAATAATTATTTATCAAAATTTACTGTGTGTTTGTGTTGTTTTGATCACTTGGGTGTTACAAATAACACCAATGATAACTCAGTTCTGATTAAATTGTAAACATAGTATATTTAAAAGTAAAGCAATTGATAGCATCAAAATAAATTGAAATAAGATAAAATTATCCGGAGGAAGTAGAAGGAGGAAAGGAAATGATACGCATTTCTAACTATTAAGAAAAGCTTGTTAATATATTTTAAAGATCATGCATATTAATCAACTATGATATTTAGCTTCCATTGGATGCATTTGAAAGTGTGTCCAGAATGGGTGTGTTCTTGGTCTTGCTGACTTCAAGAATAGCCGTGGACCCTTAAGATGAGTGTTACAGTTCTAATGGTGGTGCGTCTGGAGCTGTTCATTCCTTCTGGTGGGTTCGTGGTCTCACTGTCCTCATGAGTGAAGCTGCAGACCTTCGCAGTGAGTGTCACAGCTCATAAAGGTGGTGCGTCCAGAGTTGTTCGTCCCTCCCGGTGGGTTTGTGGTCTCGCTGGCCTCAGGAGTAAAGCTGCAGACCTTCGCCATGAGTGTTACAGCTCATTAAGGCACACCCACCCAAAGAGTGAGCAGCAGCAAGCTTTATTGCAAAGAGCGAAAGAACAAAGCTTCCACAGCTCCAAAGGGAACGCCAGCTGGTTGCCACTGCTGGCGCTGGCAGCCTGCTTTTATTCCCTTATCTGACCCCACCCACATCCTGCTGATTGGTTCATTTTACAGAGAGCTGATTGGTCCATTTTACAGAGAGCTGATTGGTCCATTTTACAGAGAGCTTATTGGTCCGTTTACAATCCTTTAGCTAGACACAAAAGTTCTCCAAGTCCCCACTAGATTAGCTAGACACAGAGCACTGATTGGTGCATGTATAAACCTTGAGGTAGACATAGGGTGCTGATTGGTGTATTTACAAACCTTGAGCTAGACACAGAGTGCTGATTGGTGCATTTACAAACCTTGAGCTAGACACAAAGTGCTGATTGGTGCATTTACAATACTCCAGCTAGACATAAACGTTCTCCAACTCCCCACCTGACTCAGGAGCCCAGCTGGCTTCGCCTAGTGGATCCCAAGCCAGGGACGAGGGCAGAGCTGCCCACCAGTCCCGCAGCGGCATGCCCGCACTCCTCAGCCCTAGGTTGATGGGACCCAGCGCCGTGGAGCCGGGGGTGGCCTCCTTCAGAAGCCCATGCCGGGGGGCTGGCTCTTGAGCACAGCGGGCTGCAAGTCCCGAGCCCTGCCCCACGGGGAGGTGGCTGAGGCCCAGCAAGAATTCAAGAGCAGCGTGGGCCAGGCAGCAGTGCTGGGGGACCCGGTGCACCCTCCACAGCTGCTGGCCTGGGTGCTAATCCCTTCACTGCCCAGGGCCTGCGGCTCTGGCTGGCCACTCCTAGTGTAGGGCCCACGGAGCCCGTGACTGATCCCAGAGAAGCCCATGGGAGCCCCAGGGAGAGTTTTCTTTGTGAAGGGCAGGGCACCCTGGAATGGGTTTGCCGAGCCCGCTCCCACCCGGAACTCACGCTTGCCCACAAGCGCCCCACACAGCCCTGGTTCCCACCTGCGCCTCTCCCTCCACACCTCCCCGCAAGCAGAGGGAGCCAACTCCGGCCTTGGCCAGCCCAGAGCGGGGCTCCCACAGTGCAGCGGTGGGCTGAAGGCCTCCTTAAGTGTGGCCAGACTGGACGCTGAGGCCAAGTAGGCATGGAGAGCGAGTGAGGGCTGCTAGCATGTTGTCATCTCTCAAAAGGACGATGCACAGTTTTATTGCAAAGTATCAATATTTACAGTACTCTTGTCATTTACACAACCTTGTCATTTTTGTCCTTTGTATTTTACCCTCTAATTTTTTTCCTTTGCCCTTTACTTCCATGATCAGGAACTGGCTTTCTCATCAGGGCTAATTTTTCACAAAGAATCTGCATTTGAATCAAATCATGAGAAATATACAAAGCAGATGAGAGAGAAGCCCAGGCTTCCCTGGCACCCACATTCTGAGTAGTGGGCCAGCCCTGCTCAGCAGCCAAGTGGAGTGGGTCCACCCACCAGCCCTGCTCCACATTTCTGCATACCATGGAGTATGGTGGTCATGACTACTGCTCACTAAATATTCCCCCGTCCCTCCAAGCACTTTCCCACAATCTTGGAAGGCAGGTGCAGCCATATGACTGACTTTGCCTAGGACATGTGGGATAAAATGGTAGTGTTGCTCTTGGGCAAATATTTTAAAAGCCAATCTTTATGAAGCCATGTTATCTTCCTCCTGCCACAGTGATTGTAGAAGGATGTGCCAAGAGGGAGGTGCTGTGAGGTGGGCCCCAATGTACAGAAGTCTCAGCTGACCCTGTGGTGGCAATGCAGCCTTCTTATTTAAACCACTGATATATTTGGTCTTATTTGTTACTGCAGCACAACCTCACCCACGCTGAGTAGCACCATGAGTCATTTGCAAACAGCTGAAACTTCAAATGTTAACTCTGTGAAATGCAAAGTTATTCCACATTCAGCTCCTCTTTATAACCATTTATTTTTTTTTACAAAACCCACCATGCTTTGTCAAGTCAAATTTTTGTATCTGACTTTTTGGAATAAATTTCTTACATGGACAAATTTGCATTTTCTCTTCTGATTTGACCTCAGGACCTCAGGACCTTTGACCAAGGACCCAGGGATTCACCACTCATCCTGTTGAATTTTGCTACTTCCCATAGGTCTTTGAGCTTGAGGTCAGTAGTGATCACTTCTCGGCTCCTGCCTTCTCTGACTCTTGAGACATTTCTTTAAAATTCCGTTTCCTTCTCTGATCCCAGGTCAGAAGCTCTTGTGCATAAGCAGGCCTGGTGTCCATCAACATTCACTATCAAATAAGAATGTCAGTGTGAAGGCCTTTCCCACAGAAACACCAGGTGCAGCTAAGGGAAGCCGGAGGAAGTGGGTCATTAGCCCAGAAGAGTGAAGGAAACTGATTCGTGAGTCAAAACGACATTACCCACTGTTCCACTAAAGAAGATACAGACTCGAACCCCATTCTGCATTTACCAATCCACTGATGAGTGACCAGCTCTGAAGGCTGATGGGAATCTTTGCCCCTTTAAACCAACCAAGAAGCTCATTTACACATTAAAAAAGAAAAAAATATCCATTTTAGACAATGATTTTCTGGCTTAATAGTGGTAGAATAACTGTGATTCTCACTTTGTAACTCTAAAAAGATATTTTTTCCTCCATGCACGTAAACGTTTCTCCATCTCTCTGGGGTCTTGGCATATCAGGGATCCAACAGTTTTTAAAGTAGAGGAAAACCAGAGCACCCAATCCAGCATCAACGTCCTAATTGAGGTCAGCCCCTCTTGGGTAAATCTTAAGCCGCACATCCTCATGTTCCAATGGTCCTGGTTTTAATGTTTTCTTAATTTCTCCACTATACGCCTAACTGAAACCACCCAAAGCTAATTAGATGCTCTGTCTTAAAGGTACAGAAGGATGCCTGCAAGAGAAAGCTGATAGCTTGATAACTCTTCTTGCAGAACCAGCTGAATCTAGAGACTGAGTAGTAACTGGCCATCTGGTATGATTTCAGGGGTCTATGTACCATTGCCTTCTTCCTGGATTGCTATGTGCCCTCAATCCTACCATTACTGCTCCTTTCAGGCTGAGACACCAAACACCCCTTTTAAAGTAAAAACAGCATATAATTGGAAGATTGTATCAGTCAGCACTCTTGGTTGCATGCAACAACAACAAAACCTAAGTTAAATAGCTTTAAATGAAATAAATTTATAATATCAGATAACTAGAATGTGGAAGGAGTAGCTTGTTAGTTTCAGGCACAGCCAGATCCAGAGGCTCAAATGTCAGCAGTTCCTGATGAGTGTCTCTTGATCCCTCTGCTCCTCTTTTTCCCTCTCAGGGCGGTTCTTAGCATCTCCTGCTGTGGCTGCAAGGCTGACTAAGCCTGGTAGAAAAGAGCCTCTGGCACTCCCAGAAGCCACAACAAAAGTCTCATTGCATCTCGTTGGACTTAAGTGTCACATACTCATCCCTGGACCAGTCAGAGCTGTGGAAAAAAAGAGCCTGATGGTTTTAGTCCACCTGACACAGAGGGTTGGTCCAGCCATTGGAGGGTGGTTACCCAGGGGAAACTGGAATTCAGTTACCCAAAGATGGTACAATAGATTCTGGGTAGCCAAAAATAAATATACTACAAAGTTCGTATTCTTTAAAGAGATTTATAAACAAGAATGAGATGCACAGAAGCAAAGTTTCACTATCCCTGTCTAAAGATGAAACCACTAACTTACTACCTGGGTTGACATCTCAGATTAGGTACCTGTGACCTTGGAAAGAGAAGTCCTATTAGGGTTGGGACACAAACCAGGAACGTTTGAACTGAGGAAAGGAATTCAAAGCTCCTAAGATGGAGAACTGGCCAAGTGAGGCACAAGAGAATGGAGGCAACCAGCAGAATGAAGGGAGGTTCTGGATGGATCCTCAATATAAAGAAGAACATAACAACAATGAGGGCAGCCATGGATGATGGGCTTGCTATGTGCCAGGCACTATGCTAATCACTGTCTGCATATTAACACATTCACATTTCACAGCAATTTTAATGTTTATGAAAGTCATTTCCATTTTACAGTAAGACAACTGAGACATGGAGGGCTTGATAAAGTTAGTGGTGGTGATGCTGAGACTTGAACTCAGGCAGTCTGTTCCAAAGTTCACATGCTCAGACAAGTTATGGAAGAATCGCCCAGAACCAGAGCACCAGAACGGTGATGCTGGCAGTAGATGCTGAAGCTCCTTAGAGCAACTGTCTCTTCATGAGTAATGGGGAAACTGGGGCCTCTATAACTGGGCACTGTTCTACCCCAGGATATTAGTTAGGACCCCTTCCTTCGGTAGCCAGCAACAGAAAATGCAGACCAGACTTGTTTCAGTAAGAAGGGAATTTGTTTTCTCCCAAAACAAAATAACAAAATATCTAAGTATTGTACTGGTTTCAGGGACAGTAGATTCTGGACTCAATTCAACTTGACTCAGTTTCCCTGATGCCTTGACTCTACCCTCAGCTGTGTTAGCTTCATTCTGCAGCTCTAGTAGCAAGTTATGGCACAGCCTCATCATCCAAGTTTCAATCCTGCAGAAAAGGGCCACAAGTTTCCAGGGAAGTCCGGAGACTCATTCTGATTGGGTCACCATTAGGTCATGTGCTCACTCACCCCTGATAAATTGCTGTTGCCAGAGCACACCACGTGGTGATTAGCTTAGCTCTAGAAAAGCTACATACTGATTGGCTTAGCTCTGGAAAAGCTGCATGCTGATTAGCTTAGCTCTGGAAAAGCTACATGCTGATTGGGCTTACCTCTGGAAAAGCTACATGCTGATTGGTTTAGCTCTGGAAAAACTACATGCTGACTGGTTTAGCTCTGGGTCTTGGGCTAGAGTTCTGACTGCAGCTCATATAGATTGAAATATAGAGGGGAGATTTTTCAAATGAAAATGGTGAAGATGGGAGTTTTGTTTCTAAAATAAAGTGATAAAGGTGCAAGGACTAAAGAACAGCTCTTCGTAATACCCAGTCTCCTATGTGAGAAAAGTTTATTGTTTTCTTAGCTTATATTGCAGCGAATTCAAATGCATGTAACCCACAATGACCTCTTCCAGGCTGTTATCTTGTAAAGTGACCCATATCCTTTCATCTATTTCCATACTCACCTACATGTGTTTGGAAAATGGATTCGAAGCCGGGCGCAGTGGCTCACACCTGTAATCCCAGCACGTTGGGAGGCAGAGGCGGGCAGATCACCTGAGCTCAGGAGTTTGAGACCAGCCTGGCCAACATGGCAAAACCCCGTCTCTACCAAAAAAATACAAAAATTAGCAGGGGCAGGGGAAGAACTGCTTTATCTTAAAGTCAATCATTGATGACACCTCCTATCACTGAGTATTGATTGGGTTAGGGTGGGTCTAACAGATAAACGACTCTTAAGAATTCAAGTTTAGCAAGTCGTTTATAACCAGAAGCTCCTGCGTTACTTACAGAAAACAGATAACAAGCCTGCGGCAGAGGCAGAAGATCAAGTACCAAGAAGGAGGGAAAGATTTATGTGGCCCTAAGTCAACAAGAAAAACCACAGTGAGAATCGAAGTGTCAGCGTCTGCAAAGAAGATTCCCTCAGAGCTGTTCTTTCTGCTTCCAGATGAATGGAAGTGAGAAAAGTATATCTATTAAAATGCGTGTGGCTGTCAGCAACCAAAGACTTGATTAACAGACTTGAAGAATCATATAGATTGTCCCCTATAACAGAGGGGATGAAGAATGCAGCTCAACCATATCTGTCTCTCTGCTCTGCCTTCCTTAGCAGATTGACTTGTTCTTAAGCATGGCTCCTCATGCTCACAGAAAGGCTGCTTCGGTTCCAGCATGTTGTTCTCAACCAATTATTTTCAAAGGCAGGAAGGAGAGTTTCTTCTTGTGCCTCCGTTGCATTACGAAACAAAATTTTTCCTTGAACTCTTCCCACCTCAGAATATTGACTCTCTCGTTGCATTGGTCAGGTTTGGGTCCCATGGCTGCTTCTGGATGCAAAGGAGGCTGAGCAAGAAGCATTTGGTATATTTGGGCTCTAGAGGAAGAGAAGCAAGCACCATGCAAGACAGAGATAGGGGGCTGGGGCTGTAGCGGGCCACATTGGGGGTGACCCTTAGCTCCCGCCTCGTAAAGACAGCTAAAGCCTTCTGTCCAGTTTTATTTTGTTTTTTTCTCCTGGGGGCTACTTGGCCATTTGGACAGGATTGTGTGTCATACATTACCATCCCTGAACCCTTACACTAAATTCTAGAAATGACACCCACCATGAGTTATTGTGACAATGCAAAACTCTAGATGTTTTTAAATTAGCAGAACTGTCCCCCGTCTACATCAAAGATTCTTAAAATATGTGAATTTTGTTCAGGCCGGTGTGGTGGCTCACACCTGCAATCTTAGCACTTTGGGAAGCTGAGGTGGGAGGATTGCTTAACTCCAGGAGTTGGAGACCAGCCTGGGCAACATAGTGAGACTGTCTTTACAAGAAATCAAAAAATTAGCCAGACATGGTGGCGTGTACCTGTGGTCCCAGCTACTCAGGAGACTGAGGTGGGAGGATCACCTGAGCCCTGGAGGTTGAGGGTGCAGTGAGCTGTGATCGCTCCACTGCACTCCGGCCTGAGTGACAGAGAGAGAGCAGGAGAGAGAGAGAGAGAGAGGCTCCTGGATTGAGGGGAGGGTTTCAGGGGGTGTAATATATTTAATGTATCACATGGAGCACCCACCCCCAGTTTCAACCAGAGCAACTGGGTTTCTAGCCAGTTTTACAAATTGAGATTTTATAAAAGGTTCTCTTTGCAGAAAATATTAATATTTGGAAATAGTTGAAAATGACTATTTGAGTCTCAGCTGGAGTTGGGTGAATTCAAACTGTCTTTTTCAGGAGAACAATCAGTCAACATGGTTATTTTACCCAGCAAATATGTCAGACTAAATTTTTGATAGTTGATAGAATAAATTGTGGCTAGTTGACAGATTGCATTTTCTTCTGTTTCTTACTTTCAGGGGGCATCTGTTTTTCAGATTCAGCTTTTATTCTCACCAGAAATGGATCTTAGAAACCCTTTTGTGTGCTGGCCTTAGAGTCATGGAAAACGCTCCAGGCAAAGTAATCCTGGCTGGTGGCCAGATTGTTTCTTTTTGTTTGGGTGTTTAACAAATTTTTTCTTCTAATTCACGCATCTATGGTGTGTTAAGGAAAATGGGATAATTTAGGTTGTGTTTTTTTCTTCTTCTTCCTTTAGAATGGAAAAATAAAACTTGGCTAGAGTTGACTGTCTCCTAATCCCCAATAGGAACCTGACATTTTTATGTTGCTTTTTCACCCTCTCCAACCTGGCCTGAGGTGCAGGTGGGGAGCTGCTGGTAGAGTGTTACCATAATCCCACCCAGCATGACAGAGACCTGCCTGAGGGCTTCAGGGGAGACTGAAGAGTCCCAAACACATCTCTTGTCTAGGGTGATGAAAAGCTGATCTGGGCTTGGTACCAAATATTACTTATCAGATTCCAAGTGGCATTGTCTTCATGGAACCTGGTCCTGCCGGAGTGCTTGTTGAGGGTGGGCTCCATCCAGAGAGCAGGAGGGGCATCTGGGCACCGGGCAAGGTGGATTCAGGACCCCCGGTGCAGGTCCTAGCTGTGACCACTGTTTGGTTCTGGCAAAGACCAGGGCACTATGGAGATGGGGAAACAGAAAAGAAAATGATTCATCTGGCTGGGAGCCCAGAAAATGTATGCTAATGCCTTTGTAAGGCAAAAATAAGATTATAAAGAGACATTGCAGAAAACAAAAAAAGCCCAACCTCAATCCATTAACATGGAAACTAATAATGTGCTGAGATTCAAAGAGTCAGAGAGAGAACCATGACATGAGTCAAGTTGTTTTTGAAGTCAATTCTTGCCTGTCCACATCCCATTCTCCTTCTTGGTAGACATTGCTAGAACTCACAAATAACCCTAGCCTCCTACTTCTTCCAGGCCCACAGGACACATACCCTCCTCTAACCCCTTAAAGTCATGAATAGGCATGTGACCTCTCTCAGCCATTGAAATCTGAGAGAAAGCAACAGGTGCTATTTCCTTATGATTACAATTTTATCATTCAGGATACAGATCAGGACCAGCCAAATGAAGAGACTTACAGCACAAGGTCTCAGAGGGTCTACAACATGAAGCTTCTGTGCCCTCTCCATGGAACCAGGGCACTCACCTGCCTGGCACATCCAACCAGGAAGTTCCACTGAGCTGCTAACAGGTGCTAGTTCTAAGGAGAAGCATTTAAGAACTGCAGTGTGATTGGCTATGCTGTTTTTATGCTGTGGTAGTCTTGGGAGCATGCATTGAGACGGTACAGCCTCCAGCAGACTGGATCACGGAATGACTATGATGAAGGGAGCCCTCCACAAAGAACCCACATTGGATATAAAGTGTAAGTGGGTTTTAAAACATTTGTTGTGTTTGGCCCTAGAGATTTGGGTCTTATTTGTTACTGCAACCTAACCTTGTCCATCCTGATTGATATGCTCAACATCTTCCACCACAATATCCCATATCTGGACACATTAGAGGCTCATGACTTCTTCTAAACCTACATCCCAAAGATTATCAGTTCTCAACTTCCTCCAGGCAAAAGAAACAGAATTGTTAGATGAGATAGCTGTTGACTTCAGCACATCAGGAATTGCTGCTCCAATACTGAATCTGATGAAAAAGAAAGGAGAATTTAAAAGTGCAGACATTGGAGAAAAACGCTTTAATGGTTATGTCAAAGGAGATTCAACTCAGAAACAGAAATAAAGTTGATCCTTAAACAACACAGATTTTAACTGCATGGCTCCAATTATACACAGTTCTTCCACTTCTGCCACCCCTGAAACAGCTCCACCTCTTCCTCCTGTTCCTCAGCCTACTCAACATGAAGATGACAAGGATGGAGACCTTCATAATGATCCACCTCCACTTAATGAATAGTAAATATATTTTCTCTTTCTTATGATTTTCTTCATAACATTTTTTCTCCAGCTTACTTTATTGTAAGAATATAGTATATAATACATATAACATACAAAATATGTGTTAATCAATTGTACATGTCATCAGTCAAGCTTCTGGTCAGCAGGAGGCTATTAATAGTTTAGTCTGGGGGAAGTCAGAGTTCTACACAGATTGACTGTGTGGGGGTCATCCATGCCCCTAATGCCCACATTGTTCAAGGGTCAACTGTAGTCTGGTGACAGGTGGGAGTGAACCTGTGGGACTTGGGTGGTGATGCTATTTGGGATTACCTGAGCTCAATAATTATTGTCACCTCCATTGTGAGTATCTTAAATCTATTAAGAAGTGAGAGGAGAAAAGTATGTTGTAACAAGAGGCTGGACAACATGTTGCACCCACAGCTACCGAAATCAAAAGGCTCCAGCTGCTTTTATTCCTATAAAGGATGAGATGTGGGCTGGGTGTGGTGGCTCACACCTGTAATCCCAGCATTTTGGAGAGGTCAAGGTGGATTGACCACTTGAGCCCAGGAGTTCAAGTCCAGCCTGGATAACATGGCAAAACCTCATCTCTACAAAATAATACAAAAATTAGCTGGGCGTGGTAGTGCCTGCCTGTAGTTCCAACTACTCAGGAGGCTGAGGCAGGAGAATTACCTGAGCCCAAGAGGTTGAATCTGCAGTGAGCCCTGATTGCACCACTGCACTACAGCCTGGGCGACAGAGCAAGACCCTGTCTCAAAAAAAGTAATGAGCTGTGAAGATATGTAAAAAGGTTGGCAAACTGCAAGTATAAAACACCAAAATCAATTTCATTTTATTTAAAAAAAAAACTTGGCTCAGTGTAGTAGACAAGTGTTGATTTTGGCCCACATACACACACACACACACACAAACATTATTTTTAGTAACAAAATATTCCCCATATATTTTCCAGGAGACCACCCCCTATCCTGCCATTTCAAGCCAAGAGAAATAAAAACATATGTCCAAATAAATATGTGTCTATGAATGTTACAGCAGCATTATTCATAATAGCCAAGAAGTGGAAACAGCCCAAACCTCCATCAATTAGTGAATGAATAAAAAAACAAACAGAACTGTGGTGTATCTATATTATGAGCTATTATTCAACAACAAAAATAAACACACTAAGATACACACCATGACCTGAATGAATCTCACAGACATTATGCTAAGCAAGAAAAGCTAGAAAATAAAACTAATAAATAATAAATAATGTTTGTAAAAAAGAAAGAAAATCAAGTTTAACAAGTCACAGACTTATGACTCCATTTATAATGACATTTTCGAAATGAAAACTATAGGGATTAGGGATCAGATTAGTGGTTGCCAACAGCTGGGGAGAGAAGATTGCCTACCAAGGGGCCACATGAAGAAATTGTGAGGGTAATGCAGCTGTTTTGCATCGTGATTTTGGTGGCGGAGAGGCCAATCAACACATGTGTTATAATCTATAGGCCTATATGCCCACAAGAGGTCCATTTTACCATAGGATCATTTTACAAATAAAATTATTTTTAAAAATCTTATGTGGATTAAATTTGGCTTTGGGCTCTAAAATTGATCTCCTGGATCAGAAGCTCTTTGGATGATCCTACTTTATTAAAGTTGAAGCTTTAAAGAAAATATACATATTCCATCCTTGAGCAAGCTGATTCCCTGAGGTTTTTTTTAAAAGTAAAATTTAACATTAATTTTGATTTTGTTGGCATTCCAGCCAATTAGCATAGTTCATTAGAATGTTTGGTTCAATCCAGGTGACTAAAAATGTTTATTTATATAATTAAATACATATGTAAAAAAGTCACATTTCAGAAAATATGTAAATGCAATTTTTGAAAAAGGAAGGTGCTTGATTTATGAGGCTCATCTTTTTTCGGGAGCTCTGAAGTTTCAAATCCTTCTGCAATATTTATTATTGTTCGGCTCTCTCTTAGAGAGGAGACTATGGGGTCTCCATAACCCAGATCCTATTTACTTATTTTTTATTTAAATATAATAATAATATTAATTATTATTATTATTATTAGATACAGGTCTTGCCCTGTCACCCAGACTGGAGTGTAGTGGATGATTATGGCTCACTGCAACCTTGACCTCCCAGGTTCAAGGGATCCTCCTACATTAGCCTCCTGAATAGCTGGGACTATAGGCATGCACCACGAGGCCTGGCTAATTTTTTTTAGTAATTCTTATTTCATTTTACTTTTTTCAAGATGGGGTCTTGCTATGTTGTCCAGTCTGGTCTCAAACTCCTGGGCTCCAGTGATCCTCCCACTTCAGCCTCCTAAAGCACTGGGACTACAGGCATGAGCTAGTGTGCCCAGCCACAGATCCTATTTGATCTAATCATTTAAGGAATAGGAGGAAGAAGAAGTGCAGTAAGAAAGAAATAGATTGTGCCATGTATTAGTCTGTTTTCACACTGCTATAAAGATACTACACAAGACTGGGTAATTTATACACAAAGGAGATTTAATTGACTCACAGTTCTGCATGGCTGGGGAGGCCTCAGGAAACTTACAATCATGGCAGAAAGCGAAGCAGGCACCTTCTTCACAAGGCGGCAGGCGAGAGACAGCAAGCAAGAGCATGGAAAACTGTCTTATAAACCCATCAGATCTCAAGAGAACTCCCTCACTATCAAGAGAACGGCATGGGGAACCATCCCCATGATCCAATCACCTCCCTCCATTGACACAGGGAGTTTACAAATGCAGATGACATATGGGTGGAGACAGAGCCAAACAATATCATGCTGCTTTTTGTCTTTGATGGAGGTTGAACGATAATTTTTTTTTTAACAAAGAAGACAGAGGAAGCACTGGCAAAGAGGAAAGGGAGAAGTCAAAAGCACTGCCAGGTCTTAGAGCAAACTCTATGAAAAGAGACACTCGGGTGCATCAGAGGCTCCAGATTTCCCTTCCTTCTTCCTTATTAACTGAACCCTGATGTTAATTGAAGAGATTGTATTCCCAGCTAAACAAAATTTCCCAGGCTCTCTTGAATCAAATGTTCACATGACACAGACCCAGCAAATGATTACTCAACATAAGCTACTGGGCAGGACTTCCGGGAAAACGCTTTAAAAGGAGCTGACTCAGCAGGCAGGTGTCTGTTACTATTGTCTGTCATGTTGGCTGGAACTGTGGCAGCCGTTTTGAGAGCATGAAGACAGGGCTCACAACAAAGATAGGGTCATGGAAATCCAGAAAGGGCATGGGTCCCAGATGTTATCATGGAGCTACCATTCCATCCCTGGACTACCTGCCTCTAGACTTATTTAACATGAGGAAAAATAAACCCCTATTGGAGAGGGGCTAGGGGTCTCTGTAACTTGTAGAACTTGTAGCCAAAACAAGTCTCAAGAAACTTCATGCCTATTTTTCAACCACCCATAACAAACCACCTCCTGATGTGACAGTGCCTATATCTCTTCTCTTTCCAGGGGGGCCCTTCCTTGAACTGAAATGATAGATATTTCTGCTACTTTTCCATTTGCATGGAAAACACTAAATTATAATATATCATTTTCATTTCACTGTACCATCAAATACTTCTTTGAAGTCAATAATCATAAAGCTCATCCCAGGAGTAATTTCCTGATCATCAAATTTTTGAATGTATAGTTTAATTTGTTATCCCTGCTGGCAAGGCAGTTGGTGGGTATGTTACACCCTGGAGATTTCACTGTTATTTTTCCAAAAGGATGTAAATCAATCTTCAGATAACTTTCAATTGTGTACATTATTAAGAGACACCATAGAATCAGGACATCAAAGAGCTTGATAGAACTTCAAGAAAAATTCCAGCTGAGATATTGTTTATGTAGTAGGGTGAACATTTGCAAGAGTTGTCCGCAAAGTAATCTGGTGGCAATCCAAAGCTTTTCTCAGTCTCATGAAAAACTATAGATATTCTAGGACACATTCAGGAGGGTGACCTTCCTGTGCCTCTACCCAGCTGTCTCTGATTCAAGCATCTCTGAGGTCCCCATGCCTCCATTATTAATGATGTGGATCAGACTTGGCTATGAGTTGCAAATAGCAGAATCTACTCTAACTAGTTTAAGCCAAAAAGGAATGTATTCAGTGACTCCCAGAAGCTCTGCAAGGCCAGAGAATCAGGCTTGGAGGCTATATAACAGAAACAAGGCAGACCCACAGCTACTGGTGGTGCTGGGCATATCACTGACACAGACAATAGGGGACAGTGTGACAGCCACCCACCTCTGCCTCCCCACTGCTCTGTACCTTCTGCAAGCCCCATATGTCTCTTCAGTACCCTCTGCAGAATGGTCTCTGCACGCTGCCGTCTTTTACACAACCTTCTCTTCTTAACGAGAGTCTAGTTCGTACCCCTCTGATCAGTGCACTCCATGTCACATGTCTGCTCTCTAGCTGTAAGGCAGATGGGAACGTAGACTTCTGGCTTTTCTTTTGGGGATGTGCAGACACATCAGGAAAAAATTTCCCTGACATGTAAGAGTTTTCAAAAGGTTCTGGAAACCCACAAATCATGACCAATGCCATTATCAGTCATTCTCCCAGCACAGGTATTGGCACAGGTATTGTAGCTCAGCTCTTGACCACAGTAACATCACTTCCCATTTCCAGGCTAAAAATTGGCAAAGGAGCATAAGAAGAAGAAGAAGAAAAAGCAGATTCAAATTTCCAACTGCCTGGTTAAGAAACACAAAGAAGGGAGCTAATGATCGGTAGAGAAAAGTCACGATACAAATTCCAGATGTTATTCCAGAAAAAGGTGTTTTTGGCATGAACTTGTAATTCTAAAGTAATAAAAACCATTCCATTTTAGAAGAAACAGTGTCTAGTTTTCCAAATATGTGTGTGTGTATCAAAGTATGATTCTCAAATGTTAAAAGCATAATTCTCATGAGCTGGATGGTAAGCATTTGTCAAATCTGTTTCATTAATAATGGAACTAATAGGATGGCAAAGTTGATTCAAAATAGGGTATAAGAACAAGGATTCCATGCAGTCAATCAAAAAGAAGAAATTCTGCCATTCAATTGCTGAGTTGGCTACAATCACTTCAATATCTTAATGGTCAATAATGTTATAATTTGGGGATTATCTTTAGTGCCATCAGAAAAGAAACACATTCTACTTTATAAGTTTCCTATATCTTAACCTCTAACTTTCCAGAATTATAAAATGTCTGGGCCCTAACAATGGTAACTAGGAAGTCAAACAAAGTCACATCTCATGAGGGACTCAGGTCCCCCCACATGGACTTGTTAGACTGCCCTACACCCTGACACTATGTGTCTCAATCATCTTTATACCTTATTTTCAAGTTTTGAATATTTTTTAAACATATATGAGCTTTTCCCCCATACCTCAAAGATAAATATATTGGTTTGACTTGGGCTTTTTCCCACTTAACACCTGTTCAATCACTCATTTATCCAGCAAATGTTGATTGGGCTTCCATTCTGTGTCAAGAACTCATGTAGACAAAAGTAAATTAGACATAATTCTAACCCAAAGAAACAAAAACCTGAAGTTAATTCTTACAAAGTTCAATAATGGAGTTGTTAAAAATAATAACAAAGTGCTGTGGGATGGAAGGGAGGAGGAAGCAGTTCTGCCTTAAGTTTGGAGGTCAGAGGTACAAGTAAGTTAGGCAGCCTCAACGTTTCTTAAAAACCTACTAGGTGGGCCAGGCGTGGTGGCTCACGCCTGTAATGCCGGCACTTTGGGACACTGAGGCGGGTGGATCACTTGAGGCCAGGAGTTTGAGACCAGCCTGGGCAACATGATGAAACCCAATCTCCACTAAAAATACAAAAATTAGCCAGACATGGTGGCACATGCCTGTAATCCCAGCTACTTAGGAGGCTGAAGCACGAGAATTGCTTGAACCCAGGAGGCAGAGGTTGTAGGGAGCCGAGATCGAGCCACTGCACTATAGCCTGGGTGACAGAGTGAGACTTCATCTCAAATAATAACAATAATAATGATAATAATAATGCCTAGTAAGTGCCATACATATCCCAGGCTGTAAGAATCCCAGGATGTGTTGCTTGTGCACATGGGCTGGGGCAGGCCTCTGGTGCTGTAGACCGGCCAGTGCCCATTCCCCACTCTTCTGCCCTGGACTTCAAGTTCCCCTCGAGGATCCCATGCCCACTTGGTCACCATCTCAGGAATGGATGACCAAGGTGCTCTGCCAGAGAGTGAGCGTGGGGCCCAAGCCCACACTTCCCTCCTGGGAAATTTTACCTTGAGGGGACTGAGACAAGAAACAAGAGTGAGTAGGCCCTCACCCCAAAATGTATGCCTCAAAGAGATTTCTCAGACTTGACCCAGGTCTAGTCCTTCTGTCACCTGGTCCCTTAGCCCTTCTGTGTTCTCCGAGCTACCCCACATCTGTCCACAGATCCATGTTTTGGTAAGGCTGACCAAAGCCAGCTTCCATTGCTTGCAGCCAAAGGATCCTGGCTGGTGAATGCAGCAGCTGGAGAAATGTGCCAAGGAAGGGAGGTGGTTGGCATGGCAGAAGATCCAATACCAGCAACTCCCACCCTGTCTACCCCTCTCTCCCATCCAATATGTTCAGTCTTTACCATGGGATGGGACCACAGCATGACTCTTTTGAGAGACTGACAAATCCCAGGTAGGGGAATTCACCTTCTCAGCCCCAAAGTCACAGTTTACAGCCCCTTTTGGCTACCAGGCATCATGCCAGGAACAGAGGATGTAATTCCTGCCCTTGAGGAACTTCTGTAAATGATTTCAAAACACTTGCAGGATGGACCCGAGTTTATCCACATGAACTCAATGAGAAAATGCTCCTATCATGTGCATTTCACACCTGATAGGATTTGGATGTTTGTTCCCTCCAAATCTCATGGTAAAATGTGATCCCCAGTGTTGGAAGTGGGGCCTGGTGGGAGCTGTTTGGATCACAGAGGTGAATCGCTCATGAAATGGCTTGGTGTCCTACCATGGTAATGAGTTCTCTTGTGATCTGGTTGTTAAAAAGAGTCTGGAACCTCCCCAACCCCTGCTCTCTTGCTCCCTCTCTCACCATGTGACACCCAGACTCCCCTTCACCTTCTGCCATGAGTAAAAGCTTCCTGAGGCCTCATCAGAAGCAGATGCTGGTGCCACGCTTCTTGTGTTTCTTGTACAGTCTGCAAAACTGCGAGCCAAATAAACCTCTTCTCTGCATAAATTACTCAGTCTCGGGTATTCCTTTACAGAAATATAAAGCAGATGAATACAACATTGAAAGGAGAGAACTGAACTGACTTGTGGAAACCCTACTTCCTCTGGAGCTCAGTTTCACTGTGGGAGGGAGCTGCCCTTGCTGTGAGGCAGGCATCGTGATTCTGTCAACATGGCAGACCAAGCCCAGTGCTTGAAATGTGTGGAGAGTTTGTACCGTCAGCATACGAGAGACCTGTATAGGCCACCGTCAGTGATTTCCAATATGTTTTTCAACACCAAAGGATGATTCTCTTGAGGGAGGTTGTCTTGCCTACCTGCAGTTTGTTACTGCTTCACGGAGCATCTGGAGCAATAAAGTGTATCCTATTTTATACAGAAGGCTGCCTCAGGAAAACTTTCTATTTGTCTTCTCAGTATTTATTCATTCAACAGATATTTAAGGAGCTTCCACTGTTGAGTGTTATCATTCTAGATGCTCAAAATACAGCATTGAACAAAATGGACAAAAATCTCCATGTCAAAAGGACATGCCTTTTAGTGAGGGGAGTTTATGGCAGCAACTTGATTTTCATTTAGAAAACTCTCCCCACCCCTACCCAGCCAATGTAGTGTGGAGAGAAAAACATCCCAGAGTCAGGGGCTGGGACCTATGATCCAGGTTAAACCTATCAGCACCAGCGTTGCCCCGGCAACAAGAACTTATCACAGGTGGGCACGTGACCTAAGCTGATTCCATCTGAGTTAATCTCGGGCTTTTTGAAAGCTACTAGAAAACCAGCCGACCCTAACTCATCGTTTGACAACCTTAGTAAAATACATCCTGGGGCAATTTTTACATCCCTTTGGTCCCCAAGAGCTAAGCCAACTCTAAGATGCCCTGATGACCGCTGGATTTGCTATGCCTGATGATGATGCCAAAGATGACCAGATAACTTACTCGCCAACTCAGGACATGTGTTAAGTGCGAAAGGCAGCACCATTCACAATTACAGCAAAACAACCAGCACTGACGAGGACCACCTTGTGCAAACCAGGTGTGCTCAGCCAGTTCCTGGTTGACTTTTTTTCATCATACGAGGCAAGAAATTACCTCGTCATTAAGCCACTCAATATTCTTGCAATGAAGTTCCTCTGCTTAGGTAGGGAGCAACACTGAGGTTTAGTGATAGGTTGGGTCATACGGGAATGCTATTAATAATTAAGGCAGCAAACAGGCTCACACGGGCACTCCCCTGTTCAGACCAGGACAGAGGCTTACATACACACTGAATGTCTGCTAGGTGCTGGCCCTGTGCGTACTGGGCGTGGAGGGTTCTAGGATGATCGAGGCACAAGTACCTTCCTCGAGGAGCTCACTGTCTTAGTCAGAGACATGAATACCTAAACACACAATGGCAGCACAAGATGCTGAGAGGGAGCCACAGGAGGAGCTCACCTGCTCAGCTGCCTCTTTCAATCATGATCATGTCGTCAGAGTTTGCCTTTGTTCAGTAAAGCCCAGCAATGGTGAATTACTGGACAGAGCAACTGAGTTGACTTTCTTACTTCCCCCAGCATTAACTGAAAATTCCAGCCCTTCAAACAAAAATGGCAGGCCATCTGTGGTTTAATATTTGAGCTGCTTTCTGTCTCTCAGCTATTAGAATTTTTGCCTGGGAGATTTAGAGATGGAAGCCCCTCATCTTTGGGTCAAGAAGACAGTGGCAAGGGAATGAAGAGAAGGCTTAGCCTCTCCCTCCATGCTTACCCTGGAAGGTTTGTAGGGAGAGGAAGCGTTTCTGCAATATCCACTCTTGATAGCGCCTGTTCTTGGTGGGCAGGGGATTGCCAGAGTGACTTCTCAACAACTTTTATTCTAAAATTAAAACAAAAGCATAATTTTCCAAAGACATCAGGTAGCACGGGCCACGTGGCTGCGTCTGATCCATTTCCCTGGTGGGAAGCACGTGGCAGCGCAGGAGGGAGCCCTCTGTGCTGGTGTTCAGCATGGCTGCATTGATTTTATTAGTTTGTCTTTTGTATTTGGAAAAATACAGAACATTTGGCCAAGGATCTGTCTTTATTGAATGGCCCCGCATACCGTGGTCAACACATCAAGCTGGCATCTATTCCAAAACACACCATGAGGAAAAGCAGAGATACGACGTCTCTTATCTTCCTGAGCGGTACAAGCCGTGTGACAAGTAAACGGG
This sequence comes from Homo sapiens, assembly GCF_000001405.40. Taxonomy (NCBI): domain Eukaryota; kingdom Metazoa; phylum Chordata; class Mammalia; order Primates; family Hominidae; genus Homo; species Homo sapiens. The sequence goes on along the minus strand of NC_000020.11, from coordinate 48,041,341 downwards.
TGGGTTTGATGGAGTGTAAGACAGCTTGTCATCCAACAGCTAAGTGGCCTTATTTCCTTTCCCTGGGATAATATTGGATTTCATACCGATAGCATCAACAAGAGAAAGGCTCGTACCTAACAGCTAATTTCTGAAGAACATATGTTTCTGCTCAGTTTAGGCACCTTTATGGCCCCTTGTGACATTGCAATACTTTCTGCTGCAAAACAGACCTCATTCGACTCATCTGTCTTACATCTAATTCAAGTCAAAACCAGTAAAGCCAGCCAACTCCTGGCCTATTTGTAATTCTTCCACAAATTATTGTCGCTGATTCTCGCGTGCTACAATTTTTTTTCAGGAACCAGCAGCTGAAAAAACAAATGCTGATCAAATTGCAGATCTCATTTGCTTTTCTGTATTATTCTCTTAAAAGAGGAAAGTCACAAATTGGGATCCTAACGGGACGACAAGTCTCATCTGTATAGATACTGTATTATTATTTTTATTTTTTAAAAATCACAAACCCGGAGCACCTGTCTACCTTTAACTCTGTAAACACAAAGCGAATCCTTTGGCAATCTGCACACTTCTCGATAAACACAATACACTCCCACAGCTCAGCATTCAGGGTGATCAGACCAGAAAGCTTGGAGTCAACCTGTATGGGTTTTATTGTTCTCCTTCAAACCATTTTACAAAAACATCCCATCCATTTTACAACCACTTCAACCACGCTTCAAACACTTCTGTCGTCACAACTGCTACTGCCATGGTCCATCACTATTGAAAAGGAAACCGTCTCCTCTCTGATTTCCCAGAGTCTGCACTTGCCCCAGCTGCTCCCCTATCCTATTCTGAGCACAATGGTCAGAAAAATCTTTCTAACTACAAGTCACAGGCAAGATTCCAAGATGGCCCCATGATTGCTCCTTCCCTCCTTTAGAGTCTGGGCAGAAACAAAATCTGATGGGATATCGTGCCATGGATTAGGTTGCTAACCGACTGACTTTGAGTTGATCAAAGGTGAAAGAGTCTGGATGGACCTGACCTAATCAAGCAAATTATTGAAAGAAGCTGAGTTCTTTGGGAAGGAACGATGGAGGGGACCATGTGTCGAGGGCCTGGGAGCAACAGCCAGAGGCTGAGTGTGGTGATGAGCTGACAGCTAGAAAGACACAGGGTCTTTGGCCCTTCAGCGCCAAGGGAAACTGATTCTGTCCAACAACCCGGGGGAGTTTGGAAGTGGATCTTTCCCAAGTGGAGCCCCTAGATGAGGACGCAACCAACTAACATGTGGATTTCAGGCTTGTGGGGACCTGAGCAGAGAGCCAGCTCTAACATGCTTGACTCCTTTACCCCCAGAAACCACACAGTAATAAACCTGTGTCATGTTCAGCTACTAAGATTGTGGTCATGTATTACACAGCAATAGAAAATGAATATCAAAGAAAATAATATTTCTTCCCTCTGTTCAAAATCCCTCAAAGTCCTCCGGAGTCACTAAGATAAAACCCAGATCCTCACAGCGGCCCATGAGGCTTTGTGGGTGTCTGGCCTCCCTGCCTCTCTGGCTTCTCTGTCCATGCATCTCCCTCCACTCTGCTGTGGCCATACTGGTCCCTCACTGCTGCTGGAACATGCTCCTGCCCCAGGGCCTTTGCACTTGCTGTTCCCTCTGCCTTTCCCCAAGATATTAGCCTGTCTCCCACCTTTGTGGCCTTCAGGTCTCTGCTCCATGACAGCTTTCTCTGAGGATCCCCACTTCCACCCAACCCCCCTTCCTGGCTTCATTTTCCCACTCAGCATCAGCCTCCTCCTGGTACACACAAGACACATTCTGTCTTTTTTTTTTTTTTTTTTTTTTGAGACGGAGTCTCGCTCAGTCGCCCAGGCTGGAGTGCAGTGGCGTGATCTCGGCTCACTGCAAGCTCCGCCTCCCGGATTCAGGCCATTCTCCTGCCTCAGCCTCCCGAGTAGCTGGGACTACAGGCGCCCGCCACCATGCCCAGTTAATTTTTTTGTATTTTTAGTAGAGACGGGGTTTCACTATGTTAGCAGGATGGTCTTGATCTCCTGACCTCATGATCCACCCATCTCGGCCTCCCAAAGTGCTGGGATTACAGGCATGAGCCACCGTGCCCGGCCACATTTTGTCTTTTTATTGATTGTCCTTGACCGGAGCATGAGCTCCATAGCATCAGAACCTTGGTTTTGGATCCCCTGCTTTAGACTTTGAGTGAAGAACAGTGCCTGGCACATTGCAGACACTCAGTAACCTCTTGAATGAATGAATGAATGAATGAGGGGTTAATTGGGAAACCAAGCAAAACAGAGGGTTCCTTGGAGCCTTAAATGCCAAGGGAAAGGCGACATGTGAACCTCAGGGTGTCTATATACAGAAAACACCAAAACCACAGAGTTTTATCAGACTGTGTCGTTAGCACCTCCCAATCTTTGTGCTTTTTAAAGAAACCATGAAACATAGTTTCCACCTTGGCATGTGCTTTTTGTTGTTGTTTTGTTTCGAGATGGAGTTTCACTCTGTTACCCAGACTGGAGTGCAGTGGCATGATCTCGGCTCACTGCAACCTCCACCTCCCGGGTTCAAGCAATTCTCGTGCCTCAGCTTCCCGAGTAGCTGGAACTACAAGTGGGTCCCACCACGCCCAGCTAATTTTTTGTATTTAGTAGAGATGGGGTTTCACCATGTTGCCCAGGTTGTTCTTGAACTCCTGAGCTCAGGAAATCCACACTTCAGCCTCCCAAAGTGCTAGAATTACAGGCGTGAGCCACTGAGCCCGGCCTTGGTGTGTGGGTTTTAATCAGCCTTTCTTTGCCTGCTCAGCAGCTACTGGAGCTCCTGGGTCCCCCAGATGCCCGACTAGTCATGGAGCCCTTTTCCCTTTGGAGAAAACGAGGCTGACATGAGCAGTTGCTGTGCTGCCTTTGTCAGTCAGGACCAAGACACACAGCACCAAATGTCAGCCAAAGATGAGACTCCTGCAACAAGGGGCTAATTGGTTGAAACATTTTGCGTAATTGGAAGATGAGGTTAACAGCAATAAGGAAAATTCAGGTGGATGTCCAAGGGTTTATGAAGCAGACGCTGAAAAATAAATAGATCAGAGGGCGTCCAACTAGCCCCGCCTGACTCTGCTATTTCTTGGATAGTGATGGTGCCACAGAGAGGATGTGTGTTTGCTTAAAATCAAGGGCTGTGGAATTGGGTCAGGGACTTGGGTTGAAATCCAGCTGCCAGCTCTCCAGCTGTGTGACCTTGACAAGGCCCGCCCCCTGACCTTTCCCCAGTCTGTAAAGTGGAACAACATTCATAAGAAGCGTGACTGCCTTAGGGGCTGCAGGAGGGTCCATAATCCACAGGAGACTAGACCACTTGGGGGTTTCCAGGCCACACACACACAGGGCACTTTCTCACACAGGGCTCTGCTGGCTGGATACTCGCGTGCTCCAGGGAAGCCACTCGTCCACCCCATGGGGTGGGTACTGCCGCTCTCCTACTTTCCGGAGGAGGGAACCAGGCATGCAGAGGGAGCCTCTTGCCCACGGCACACAGCAAAAGCCCCAGCGTCCTGAGCTCAGGGGCCGGCCCCATCCCACTGACAGGTTTGCTTCTATGAAAGGATCATTTTCCCTCCCGCTGTTGGCTTGTTTGATCATCAGACACTGATGTCTGGGCCATTCCTTGAGCCCTAAATCTGAGGAGTCTGAAAGGTTGATGCCCAGGCAGCTTGGGGGTGCCAAGAAGACCTAGTTTCCTGACATCCCACCCCAGACCCAGGGCGGGGTGAACGGCCGTCTAAGGAGCCAGTGTCAGCCAAAGCAAAGGCACCGTGAAGGCTATACTAGGGGTCATTGCTCAGTGACAATGTCACATGATGCAAAATTCATGGGATAATGGAAAAGAAATTTTCTGCAGGTCATGAGAGGTCAGCTTTTCCTGAAAACCCAAATGCGTAGAGAGGAAGAAGGTGGGGACAAAGCACAAGCAGCACTTTTTAAAAGAGAGGAAGAAAGAGAAAAATATTTATGTCACTTGTTCCTGGAAGAGTTCATGAAATTACAGAAATTTTTAAATCCCCAAAATGGATCTTGGACAACTGCGCCCCTCCCAGGTTTAACTCCATGGTCAGAGGCTGGCAGAAGGCTCTCCCAGTTACAGGATCTGGCACCAGCCTGTCCTCAGTGAGACCTGCAGGGTTCAGGAGAATTCACCTTAGCCCTTTGCTGAACCCCTGAGTCTCAGCTGCTCCCAATGCTGCAGACATAGGCACCTCAGAAGATCCCTGGCATGAGGAGTTGGCTCCTTCAGGAAATGCCCTCACTTTCCGAGTCTGGTCATGCCACAGGTAGGTTTATGAACAAGATGGTTTGAACAAGAGAAGTCAGTGTTCTTGTCCTAGAACTTTTTTTTTTTTTTTTGAGAGAGATTCTTACTCTGTTGCCCAGGCTAGAGTGCAGTGGCACAATTTTGGCTCACTGCAGCCTCCCCCTCCCAGGTTCAAGCGATTCTCCTGCCTCAGCCTCCCAAGTAGCTGGGGTTACAGGTGTCTGCCAGCATGCCCTGCTAATTTTTGTATTTTTAGTAGAGACAGGGTTTTGCCGTGTTGGCCAGGCTGGCCTTGAACTCCTGACCTCAGGTGATGCACTCGCCTTGACCTCCCAAAGTGCTGGGATTGCAGGCATAAGCCACCACTCCCAGCTTGTCCTAGAACTTTTATCCTAGTTTAAAGCTTATGCTATCCTTTTATGTAGGTTATTAATAATTATCACTAATATTAATAATAAAACAGAATTATTAAGGATGATAATCATTTCATTATAATTAATACCTAGATATTAATACATTAATAATAACATCATTACTTTAATTCTTTACAAAATCGTGCAAAATAGCTCTCACAAGCTACATTTAGTTTGATGTAGTTTGTAGGAGGATGTCAGGGAATTCTTACAACTCTACCTTATTGTAGATGAAAAAATAAAACTGGGCACAGAGAGGGGAAGTGACTTGCCTGAGGACACACAGCAAGTAAGGGACTGAGCTGAAGCCTGGGCCTGGCTCCTCTCCTATGTCCAGGCTGGCTACTGGTGGGAAGAGGAGCACTGGAATGGGAGTTAGGCGCTCTACATTCTCCCCGGCTTCCTCCCCAACTAGCCCTGGGGCCTTGAGTAGGTCACTCCTTCTCAGGCCTGAGTTGTACCACTGTTGACATGCAAGCAAATGAATCATGGAGCAACATAATGCCCCAGGATCTTTTTATCTCTGTTATTCTGAGACACCAACAGCTCAGCCTCCAGCTCTCTTTGGTGATTTCTCCAGCTCACCCTCCATTCTCCCCACTCCCACACCTAAGGAATCCTTATCAGTAATTTTATTCTACCTTTGGTAAGACAATTGCAGACAATAACTAATGCATTCTCCCCATATAATAGACAGAGGAACTTTTTAATTATTTAAATATTTTAAAAGATCAAAACGCTATAAACAGGAGCAAAGTCCCCCCTCATCATCTCCTTCCTGGGCCTGACCCCACTCCATAACTGCCCATGGTGTTGATATCAGTGTGCTGGTGTCCAGACCTGATTCCCCAGTTCTACCTATTTGTGTGCCTATAAAGACAAGACCATATTTTTGTATGCACATGTTTCTATAGATGGCTTCTCACATCACATATGGTCTAGCATCTTGCTTTTCCCCCCTCAACCAGATGCACTAGAGACCTGTCGGCCTTGCTGCATACAGATACCTCCTCCCTTATACCTGCTGTGGTCTGTATGTGTCTATGTCTGGAGCTAACCCCCATGTATTAGTTCGTTCTCACACGGCTATAAAGGCATACCTGATACAGGGTAATTTATAAAGAAAACAGGTTTGATCAGCTCAAGGTTCTGTGGGCTGCACAGCCTTCTGCTTCTGGGGAGGCCTCAGGAAACTCACAATCATGGCAGAAGGCGGAAGGGAAGCAGGCATATCTTCACATGGCCAGCAGAAGACAGAGAGTAAGGAGGTGCTACACACTTTTAAACAAGCAGATCTCAGGAGAGCTCTAATCACAAGAACAGCAAGGGGTAAGTCTGTCCCCATGATTCAGTCACCTGCCACCAGGCCCCTCCTCCAACATTGAGGATTACAATTTGACATGAGATTTGGATGGGAACACAGAGCCAAATCATATTACCCTAGTTCATATCACCTTTCCCCTAAGGATGGACACTTAGGCTGTGAGTGGTCATGAGGACGTTTGTGAACTAGTTCCGATTCTCTGCCCTCTGGGCAGGTGGCAGTGCAACTGCCCTTCTCTGCCCTGCACTGAAGGTAGTCATGATCTTGGGACTTAATATTGAGCAATGAAGTGAAAGCACAAGTCCTATGTGTCACTTCCAGGCAGAAGCTTAAGAGGCAGTCCCTGATCTTCCAGGTGCCCTTTGTCCTGCCTGGGCTGTCACAGGAGCATGAAGAGAAAGTCACCCTCTACAGGATCCCTGAGTGGGCATGACGTAGAGCAGAAGCCCCACCTACCTGAGGCACATGCAGCATGAGTGAAAAACAACATCAGGGCCAGGCGCGCTGGCTCACGCCTGTAATCCCAGCACTTTGGGAGGCCGAGGCGGGCGGATCACGAGGTCAGGGGATCGAGACCATCCTGGCTAACACTGTGAAACCCCGTCTCTACTAAAAATACAAAAAATTAGTCGAGCGTGGTGGCGGGTGCCTGTAGTCCCAGCTACTCGGGAGGCTGAGGCAGGAGAATGGCGTGAACCCAGGAGGCAGAGCTTGCAGTGAGCCGAGATCGTGCCACTGCACTCCAGCCTGGGTGACAGAGTGAGACTCTGTCTCAAAAAATAAAAAAAAATAAAAAAATTAAAAACCTTAGCTGTTCAAGCCCCTGGTATTTTTGTGGTGCTTGTTTTTTTTCTTTCTTTGTTTGTTTGTTTTTATGAGATGGAGTCTCGCTCTGTGGCCAGGCTGGAGTGCAGTGGTGTGATCTCAGCTGACTTCAACCTCCACCTCTCGGGTTCAAGTGATTCTCCTGTCTCAGCCTCCCAAGTAGCTGGGACTACAGGCACGCACCACCACCACGCCCAGCTAATTTTTGTATTTTTAGTAGAGACGAGGTTTCATCACGTTGGCCAGGATGGTCTCGATCTCTTGACCTCGTGATCCTCCTGCCTTGGCCTCCTAAAGTGCTGGGATTACAGGCGTGAGCCAGCGTGCCCAGTCATGGTGCTTATTACTGTGGCATAAGCTAGGCTGTTCTGACTGCTGTAAATTATTTTGGGGTGGACTGAATAATTGTGCCCCCAAAGCTGTTCACATCCTAATCCACAGAATCTGTGAATGTTATCTTACATGACCAAAGGGACTTTGCAGATACAATTAAGAATATTAAGATGGAAAGATTAACCTGGATTGTCCACAAGGGCCTAATGTAATCTCAGGGATCCTTATAAGACGGGGGAAGGTCTCTGAGGAATCACCACACTGCTTTTCACAATGGTCGAACTAATTTACACTCTCACTAACAGTGTATAAGGGTTCCTTTTTCTCTGAAACCCCACCAACCACTTGTCGTTTTTGACTTTTTAATAGTAGCCCATCTGACTGGTGTGAGATGATATCTCACTGTGGTTTTGATTTGCATCTCTCAAATGATTAGTGATATTGAGCTTCTTCTCATATGCTTCTTGGCCGCATGTATTCTTTTTTTGTTTTTTTGTTTTTTTTTGAGATGGAGTGTCGCTCTGTCCCCCAGGCTGGAGTGCAGTGGTGCAATCTCAGCTCACTGCAAGCTCCGCCTCCGGGTTCACGCCATTCTCCTGCCTCAGCTTCCCAAGCAGCTGGGACTACAGGTGCCTGCCACCATGCCCGGCTAATTTTTTTTTTGGATTTTTAGTAGATAGAGGTTTTTACCATGTTAGCCAGGATGGTCTCGATCTCCTGACCTCGTGATCTGCCCGACTTGGCCTCCCAAAGTGCTGGGAATCCAGGTGTGAGCCCCTGCGCCCGGCCGGCCACATGTATTCTGTGGTGGCATGCGTCTGTTCTGGGTATGTACCCAGAGGAATACACATCATTCTATCATAAAGACACATGCACTTGTATGTTCACTGCAGCACTATTCACGACAGCAAAGACATGAAACCATAAATGGTAGACTGGATAATGAAAATGTGGTACATATACACCACGGAATACTATGCAGCCATAAAAAAGAACAAAATCATGTCCTTTGCAGGAACATGGATGGAGTTGGAGGCCATCATCCTCAGCAAACTAATGCAGGAACAGAAAACCAAATAACATGTTTTCACTTATAAGTGGAAGCTAAATGATAAGAACACATGGACACATAGAAACAGCAGACACTGGGATCTATCAGAGGGTGGAGGGTTGGAGGAGGTGGAGGATCAGGAAAAAATAACTAATGGGTACTAGGCTTAATACCTGGACGATGAAATAATCTGTACAACAAACCCCCATGACACAAGTTTATCTATATTATAAAACCTACACATGTACCCCTGAACCTAAAATAAAATTTTTTTGTTTGTTTGTTGTCGTTGTTGTTGTTTTTTAGAGGAAGAACGAGCACAGTGTCTCACTCCTGTAACATCAGCACTTTGGGGAGGCCGAGGCAGGCAAATCAGTTCAGGCCAGGAGTTCAAGACCAACTTGGCCAACATGGCAAAATCCCATCTCTACTAAAAATACAAAAATTAGCTGGGCATGGTGGCATGCACCTGTAATCCCAGCTACTCAGGAGGCTGAGGCATAAGAATCTCTTGAACTGGGGAGATGGAGGCTGCAGTGAGCCAAGCTAGCGTCACTGCACTCCAGCCTGAGCAACAGAGTGAGACTCTGCCTCAAAAAAAAAAAAAAAAAAAAAAAAAAAAAGGAGGAAGAGGGGACAGAGTCAGAAACTAGTGATGTGGCAACAGAAATAGAGAGAGAGAGAGAGATTGGAAGATGCTCCATTGCTGCCTTTGAAGATGGAGGATAGGGCCATGAGCTAAGGAATGCAGGTGGTCCTTGGAAGCTAGAAAAGGCAAGGAAATGGATTCTCCCCAAGAGCAGCCTTGTCAACCCATTTCAGACTCCAGAACTGTAAGAGAATAAACGGGTGTTGTTTTAAGACATGAAGTTTATAATGATTTGTTACAGAAAGAATAAGAAACTAATACATCTTCCAAATTTTTGTAAAACAAACTATGTTCAATGAACATCCCTCCAAATCTCTTGGCTATATATGAGTGTTTCCCAAATTAGACTTTTAAACGAAGGATATATCCTCTAAAAGTGTATGTTCTTTTTTAAGAATTAAAATGAACTTCCTGCTAAAGAAAATTGTATTCAAAATTTCTGAAATATCTGAGGTTAAATACAGAATACTACTTAATAATCCATCACTCCCTGTTTAATATGAAGCTCCAGGTAATTGACATCCATTCTCCCCATCTGATATTTTTATTGAATTAGGCACAGTCATAGTTTGTGGTTAGGCTGGGGATGGTGAATTTTGTTTCTTGGCCCAAAAGAACTCACAGAGAACCTCTTGCTGAGAAGAGACAAATTTGGAGTCCTCTTCCCCTGCCCCCTTCCCTGTATTTATTTGCCCTGATCATACATGTGCACCCTCTATTGCCTGTAGATAGGCAGCTGCAGGAAATGGCAGGACAATCATCTTACAGGGTATGCCGTGGTCTCAGAACCCCAATGTCATTTTGCATTTTGCTCCCCTGTATTTAGCCCAGGAGTGGGTTAGGGAAAGTCACAAACTGCCAGTGGAATGAAATCTTCAACCTTCCCAACCTTTGTCCAGACCTGTCTCCTATTCCCCGCATTTATGGCTAAAACTTGTTTTCTTTTTATTTTTCTCCCTGGGAACCCTGAGATGGAGCAGGCCTATGGACTAGGCAAGATTCTTAATGGCTGGTTTGATTGATCAGGCCTCAGCTGTTCTCTCATTTTCGTATACAAAGGTTACCTAGCTCCAGAAACAATCAATGGATCACTAATGTATGCAGGCATGTTCTCACCCGCTTTCAGGCTACAGGACATTTTATAGACAGGCTGCCAAGTCATTTTAAAGCTGTGAGCACTCAAATTGTTTTTATAGCTGAGCCCATGCTGGAACACACTGATTTCAAGGCTTGGTGTGGTTCTGATTCTTTATAAGCTGCTAATGGGTACGTGGGGAGAGAAAAGTCAGATTGGAAGGCTTGCATTTAGGATGGTGAAGTAGAATGCCCGTAGAAGATGGAGAGATGTCATTATGCTTCACAATGACATCTACCTCTACAGAGTATCTAAAGAGGTAAAGGCTAGAAGTGAGACTTTGAAAGATACCTGTGGCTTTACTGGGCACTGAACTTGGCCCACAGTGACACTGGTCTAAACTGAGGGTCCCTGAATTCTCACCTAAAAGACACTGATTTCCAGAGAGGCAGATTGCCTGGGTAGGGGAAGGTGAGAACAAGGGAAGTGCAGAGGAAAAGGAAAAGAGCTCATTAAAAAGTCCTTTTCACCATTCACTGCTGAGAGGATAATAGTGATGGAGAGGAAGTTACTAAAAGTCAGCATTAGCCAGAAACTCATGCTCTGAAATTGACAAGAACACCAATAATGATTATTCCAAGTGCATGTGGCTTTGCTAGTGCAAATTTCATAATTTGAGTTTCTGGCATTCATTGCCCCATCTTCTGGTAACCAGACCCTGGTAACCAAGCAGTCACTCTCCTGTTGCCCATCACCAGGTTCAAGATGAGCTCCAGGTTTGGATCTAAGGATAGAAAACGTGACCAGGTCTGGCCAATTAGCTGGTAAATCCCTCTGACCTGGAAGTGATTCAGGATGAGCATGTGGCAGGAATTAATCCAAGCAGAGTGAGCCCTGGCTCTGGAGCAGGAGTGACTGGGAGAGATGCTCCCTGGGTCAGGCTCTGCTGGATGTCCACCCAACAGCTCCCCACCCCTTAGTTCCCCAATCCAGAGGCTGAGAGTGCCCGTTCCTTGCTTTCCCATCCTCCTTTGCAGGGAAGGCAGAATCACATGAATCAGTCCAGCCAGTGGACTCTGAGGGAGTGTCTGTTGGGGTGTAGGGTGGGGAGGTGGAGGGTTCTGGGGGGGATTTGACGTGTCTGATAAAAGAGAGATGTGCCTGACAAAAGGCTTGCTTTCCTACCTTCATTGGACACTGTTGTGTGAACACAGCAAGTGGCAGCCATTTTGGGGCTATACCAAAATAAATCACGGAATTACAAAGAAATCTCCCTAGAGCCTTAGGTTTTGAGTTACTGAGTCATTCTCTGAGCTACTTACCTTCAGGCTTCTCGTTATGTGTGGGGTGGGATGGGGAAAGGGGGAACTAAGCCACTTTTTAGACTGAGGTTCTATTATTCTGCTCAAATCATTTTAAGTGGACTTAAAACATAAATGGTTCTGGAGCTACTAGAAGCCATCTTACCTCCTGCAGAGCCCAAGAATGACTCTGTCATGGAGGAGAATGGAGCTGAAATAAACAATCCTGGTGGCTTATTTAATCCCTTAAATCTACCTAAGTCTCACTCCTGAGTTTTTCAGTTGTATAAATCAATACATTTTACTTTTGCTTAAATCAGTTAAGGGTGTCTTTCTCTTGCAGTTGACTACATTAAACTTTAAAACTTTTGCATAACAAAGGATGTCGTTAAAAATTTAAAGATGTTCTCTACAGTAATATTTATAACAGCAAAAGTAAATGAATGAATGAATATATAAGCAAATGAAAAATACTTAGTTGTCTATAACACAATGGTTAAATAATATATGGTGCACCCATACAGTGTGTGACTATGCAGGCATTTAAAGAAATAAGGTGGGTCACTGTGCACTGGCAGAGGGCTATGTCCCAGACATCTATTACATGAAAAAGGGAGGTGACGAATAATATTTATAGGCCAAGCACGGTGGCTCATGCCTGTAGTCCCAGCACTTTCAGAGGCCGAGGCAGGCAATCACTTGAGGTCAGGAGTTCGAGAGCAACCTGGCCAACACAGTGAAACCTAGTATCTACTAAAAATACAAAAATTAGCCGGGTGTGGTGGCGTGCACCTGTAATCCCAGCTACTCGGGAAGCTGAGGCAGAAGAATTGCTTGAGCCCAGAAGGCAGAGGTTGCAGTGAGCTGAGATTGCGCCATTGCACTCCAGCCTGAGTGACAAAGCGAGACTATCTCAAAAAAAAAAGAAAGAAAAGATATATTTATCTGTATGAATAACTGACATATATGCACTTTGCATGCCCACATTTATAGAGGTACATGCATAGAAAGTAATCTAAAAGAACATAGGCTATTTATATGAAATAATACTGAGCAGGGAAGTGAAATTGTGGGAAAGGAGGATGCTTTTATCCCATACACTTGCAAATTGTTTCAATTTTGATAGAAGTCTATTTTTTGTATTCATTGTGAGTTTAAAAATAAAATTAAGATTTGAAAAATATATAAAATAATTGTGATGCTCTAAGTGGGCTCTACTTAATACAAAACATTTCCTAATAAAGAAAGAAGAAGAGAGACGATAAGCAGCGTGGACAGGTGGACATGCAGCCTGGAAGCTGGAACGTTCTCCTTGACTTTCCACCTTGGTCCTTCAGTCTCCATGACTGAAGCCTGAGAACCAGCTAAGAATGCGCTCCCAGCCAGCATATTGGGAGCACCCCTTTGACCCCAGGGGGCCAGCCCTCTAACACAAGTGGGACCCAGTCTCTGCCCCCTGCCAACCAAGCTCTGGCACCTTAGAGCAGCTCTCCAGGCCCCAAGCTGAGCATGGCTGCAGAAGGGCTTTTTTGTTGAGCCCCTGTGACCCTCGTGGCAGTTCCATCCAGCCCAGTTCCTTGGAGACAGCCTTTAAAGGTATCAGTTCCACCCTCTAGGGTGACGAAGAGGAGTGAATCTCCATCATTTCGTGTTTCCCTCATACATGAGAAACCAGCAGTTGTAGCCTGCTTCGTGTGTATAAAGCTGCCACTCGAAAGAGTATAGGCCGGGCACAGCAGCTAGCACCTTTAATCCCAGCACTTTGGGAGGTTGAGGGGGGAGGATCATCCAAGCCCAGAAGTTTGAGACCAGCCTGGGCAATATAGGGAGATCTATTATTCTTAATGAGAGTGGCCATGCTGTACATTAGGTCTCTGGAAATGTGTACCCTTTGACTGTCTCCCCATTTTTAATGTACTTCTATTTTTTTTTTAAATTTTATTTTTTGAGATGGAGTTTCGCTCTTGTTGCCCAGGCTGGAGTGTCGTGGTGCAATCTCGGCTCACCGCAACCTCTGCCTCCCAGGTTCGAGCTATTCTCCTGTCTCAGCCTCCTGAGTAGCTGGGATTACAGGCATGTGCCACCACACCCGGCTAATTTTGTATTTTTAGTAGAGACAAGGTTTCTCCATGTTGGTCAGGCTGGTCTCAAACTCCCGAACTCAGGTGATCTGCCCACCTCGGCCTCCCAAAGTGCTGGGATTATAGGTGTGAGCCACCGCGCCCAGCCTTTTTTTTTTTTTTTTTTTTTTTTTTTTTTTTGAGACAGGGTCTTGTTCTGTTGCCCAGGCTGGAGTATACAGTGGCATGATCTTAGCTCACTTCAGCCTCAACTTACTGGGCACAAGTGATCCTCCCAACTCAGCCTCCCAAGTAGCTGGGGCTACAGGCACATGCCACCACACCCACCCATCTCTACAAAAAAAAAAAAAAATTTTTTTAATAAAAAAGCAAAAATAATAAATGAAAATTTTTAAAAAAAGAAAAAAAAAACAGTACAAAACACCAAACAAGTCAGCAAGAGTCTCACAATGTGCTCATATTCTAGAATAATAATGTTCACAGTGACCGCAATAGCAGGCACTTCCTTAACACCTGCTCTGTCGGAGGAGAAGCGTGTTCTGCCCTGAGCCTCGGCTGTGCTGAGCTCCTGTTGTGTTCCAGGCAACACAGTCTCTCTTGGGCATGGACCAGCATTGTGCTGCAGGACAGATAGATGTGAGGGGAATGGTGAGGCCCTCCAGGGCCTTGTGGATTCTTGTAACATCATTGGCTTTTACTCCATGGGAGGAGACAAGCCACAGGCTGCTGTGAGTTGAGGAGTGGCAGAGATGACTCCACTGTTGGCAGACCCTCCGGGCTCTGTGGGGAATAGACCATCTGCAAGGCAGTCTGCAGCCAAGGAGGAGCAAGGAGACCCAGGAAGAGGCACCCGCAAGAATCCAACGGGAGATGATGGCAGTTAGGGCCACAGCGGGAGAGGTGGCATGCTAAGAGGTGAACTCAGTGAAACCGACAGGATTTGCTACCAGGTTGGGGGTGGGAAGGACAGAGAGAGGTGTGAGGGCTGACTCTGGCTCAGAGGCATCTATTTACATATGAAATCGACACCAAAAATACATATTCTTTCAAATTTTTATCAAAGTCATACAGGGTAATAGGATTACATGGCTGATAATGAAAAGCTGCAGTTTCCCACACCAACCCCCACTACTACTCTCCAGGAACAACCATTTTCAGCAATTTTAGCATGTCTACGAGTATCACCTCATTTCTGAGTAATATGTTTAGGTTGCTATTTGCTCTTTTTTCTAGTTATTACCTACTGTCTACTGGCTGTGAAGCAAAAATCATGAGGATTTCGTTCTCAGACCAGAGCCCCTCACACATTCCCCTTTGCCCATCTTCCTGGGAGAGCCATATCGAGCCTTCACATATGTAAGAAATATAGAGGAGCCTGGGCAGCATGGCCAGACCCCATCTCTACAAAAAATAAAAATTAGCTGGGTGTGGTGGCACATGCCTGTAGTCCCAGCTACTCGGGATTCTGAGTTGGGAGGATCGCTTGTGCCTGGGAGGTAGAGGCTGCAGTGAGCCGAGATCACACCACTGCACTCCAGCCTGGGCAACAGAGCAAGACCCTGTCAAAGGGAAGGGAAGGAAAGGGGAGGGGAGGGGAGGGAGAAAGACGTTAAAAATGGGGAGACAGTCCAAAGGGTACACATTTTCAGAGACCTAATGTACAGCATGGTGACTCTCATTAAGAATAATGTACTGTATATTTATACTCAATATTGTACACGTGAAATTTTCTAAGAGAATAGATCTTAAGTATTCTTACCACACAAAAAAAGGCAACTACATCAGGTGACAGATATGTTCATTACTTTGATCGTAGTATTCATCTCACAACATATGCATGCATCAAAACATTACTTTGCACACTTTAAATATATATAATTTTTATTTGTCAATTATACCTCCAGAAAGCTGGAGAAAGAGAAATGCTCAGTGTTTACACCACCGTGGGTAAAAGCATCCACAACTGAGCCATGAGGTATAAAATTTAATCATCTTTCTTTTACACATTTCTTGTTCTGTTTCGTTTTTGTTTTCTCGAAAATGAATAATGACTTTGAACTTTTCCCACTTCCCTAGTTTTCTCCATAGCAGTTACTAATCCACCCCTAAATTCCCTGCCCTGACTCATCAATTCTAACAAATGTTTAGTAAGATGGTAATATAGAGGAAAGTGGCAAGGACCAGGGTATTGAAGGGATTTATAGGAACGTTCTGTACTTTTTGCTTAATTTAAACTGTTCAAAACACAAAAACATTCTATCAACTTAAAAACAGAAAAAGACAAAAGAGAGAAGTCACCCATATCCTACCACACCTTTCTTTCTTTCCTTTTTTTTTTTTTCTTTTTTTTTTTTTTTTGGTAGAGTTAAGCAAAGTTAGCATGGCCAGGTTCACCAACACCACTGCCTCCCTAGATTGGACCTCGGACCTTGGGCCACCACACTGGGTGCTCCCAAACCTGACAGGCTCCAGGAGAAACACAGACCCCTGGGCATGTCGCCTGGGCAGCCCGAGGCAGAGTAGACCTGCACTCCTCAGCCCTCGTGGCCCTCCGCCTGAGACGGCCCCCATCCAAGCAGCTTTGTGGATCTAGAAGCAGAGCCAGCCCTTCCTGGCTGCTACAAAAAGACCTTCCAACCACCTTCAGGGCTGGCACGAGCCCCCTCCCACCTTGGGATGTGATCCTTGTCTTACCTTCTATTGCTGAGGGCAGGGAGCCTCCGGGAGACAAGGAGCAGAAGGCCAGCCAGCTGCGTCAGCCTCTGAAACCACAGCCCCTCCCTATGCAGCCCTCACCGCCTATGTTCTGTGGCCAGCAGGGCCTTGGCCCAGTGCACAGACAGACCTCGAGGAGTCGGGCATCCGGGACCAGACTGAGTCTCACAGACGCATATGCAGTGTCAGGCTCCATCTCCCAGCCAGGGGCCAGCCCTGTTTTTAATTTTCTTTGCTGGAGCTGCATAAATAAATAAACACACGAGTGTGTGGACGGATCCTGCCCTGCTTTGGATTCCTAACCCCAGCTGGTCTGCTCCTCAGGTGCCAAGATCTGAATAATTAAGAGGAGAGAAAACCTGTGACTCCTCTCATCTGCCATTTGCAGGAGAACAGAGGTCCCTCCTAGAAGACAATTCTTTCACAATTTATTGCATTGCGTTGATTTGTGTTTTTGTACCAGCCCCTTGCTAAGCTCCAAGCTCCACAACAACTAAAGCGGTCTGTGAACAGTTTACCCCTCATCCCTATCCCTCCCATTCCACAGGCGAGGTCACTGTTTCTCCAGGAATGGTCTGAGTCTTATTAAAAATGCAGATTCTCAAATCCCACCCCTAAACTACTGAAATTGGGCTCAGAGAATTAAACATTTTTAAAAGCTCCTCAGGGGATTCATACACACATCTACCTTGGAAATATTTTGGAGTAGATGAGAAACAGACCCATTTATCTCTACGGATTAAAAATAAGACTGGTCTTTCTGTTTATATTTAATGCAGTTATTCATACAATTTAGGTCTGGTTTCTTACTATTTGTTTTCGATTTGCATCACCTTTCTCTTCTTCTGCCTTATTTCTTCTTATCGAGTATTTTTATTATTCCATTTTGTCAATTCCAATTAACTCGTTCATCTTAATCTCTTCATTATTCTTTCACTGTAATACTAGGGATTATAACATATCTCCTCCAGTCATTCTGGTCTGCCCTAAATTAGAGTCTTGCCACTTCCTGGACAATGAGGAACCATAGAGCACTGTAACACCATTAAACATTTTTCCTGGATAGACGCATCATCCCTGTCACATCATCTAATTCTACAGATACGGTAAGCCCCACGGGACATTCTTGTTATTGTTTTGTGTACTCATTAAATTTACCAATGTATTAACCCTTTCTGTGGCTCTCCGTTCCTTCTTGCGCGTCTACACTTCCATTTAGAATCATTTTTCTTCTGCCCGAAGAACTCTCTTTGGTGTTCATTGTAGTGCAGATCTGCTGGCAATAAAGTCTGTCGATTTTCACTTCTCTAAAAATGCCTTTATTTCATCTTCGCTTTCAAAGCATATTTTTGATGGGTATAAGATTGTAGACAGGCAATTATGTTTTTTCAGCAGTTGAATCTATGTCATTCTGTTATCTTCCACTTCCATCGATCTTATTGAGAAATTCGCCGTTTACTTATGGTTTCTTCTTTGAAGGAAATGTATAGTTTTTCTCTGGTTGTGTTTAAGATGTTCCCTTTGTCTTTCACTCATGGCAGTTTTACTATGATGTGGTGAAGTGTATCTTTCCTTGTTTTTATTATGCTAGGAGTGCTTGAATCTTTGATTTCACGTATTTCACTAGCTTTGGAAAATCCTCAGCTAATATATTTTCATATAGTGCTTCTGTAGAATTTGTTTCCTGTTTTGTTTTTTGAGACAGGATCTCACTCTGTCGCCCAGGTTGGAGTGCAGTGGCACGATCTCAGCTCACTGCACCCCGTGCCTCCCAGGTTCAAGTGATTCTTTTGCCTCAGCCTCCCGAGTAGCTGGGATTACAGATGCCTGCCACCAAGCTATGCTAATTTTTGTATTTTTCATAGAGACGGGATTTCACCACGTTGCCCGGGCTGGCCTCAAACTCCTAGGCTCAAGCAATTCACCTACCTTGGCCTCCCAAAGTGCTGAGATTATAGACATGAGTCCCCGCACCCAGCCTTAGAATTTCAATTACGTGTATTTAGATCTTTCATCATATTCTATATTTTCTGATGCTCTTTTTTATATTTTCAAAGTTTTTATGCCATACCTCAGCCTGTAGATTTTCAACACACCTATCTCCTGCTTTGTCTAAATTGTTGATGTACCTATCACTTGTATTTTCAATTTTAGTTATTTTATTTTTCAGTTTGAGACTATTCATCTGATTCTGCTTTATAAATTCCATTTTTCTGATGAAATTTTCCAGCTTTTCATTTTTTAAATTAATATATCACTAATTGCTATTTCAAAGTTTGTATCTGATCATTTCAGTAACTAATCATCTGTGGGTCTTTTCTTGTTGTCTATTTTTTTTATTGCTTGGTTTTTGGTCATTTGCACCTGCTCCTGTTATTAATACTTCTGATGACTTTTTTTTATGACTTCTGGCTATTTTATTTGAAAAACTGAGTGTCTCTTGATATCTTTTCCCAGAGAATAAATTCTTCTGTCAACCACGATGGTAGGCACAGATTACCTTAATCAATCTGGGATTAAGGTAATTTAAGGCTGATTTTCTGTCTTTATAAGGCCTACTTTATTTTGGTTTGATCTTTCTTCTAGGGCAATTCCTTGGAGGACCTCAACTGAAAGACTTGCATATTTTCCAGAACTCCTGTTTGTTGAGTCTTAAACCCTAATTTTTGTTGTTACGGCATCATGATATTGATGAAAACTGCTTGGTTTCTTAGCTTTTGGGGGCCCACTTTCAGCTCGGCTTCTGAGCATCTCATTCTGGATCAGCAAACACTGATACAGAAATTCAGACTCACTGTCAGGGGTCCCATTTTCTCTGACATCTCTGTCCCTCAAACCCTGGCTTTCTTGTCAGCTTGAATGTCAACTTTCGTCTCCCCAGATCTGTGAACTTGGCATACAACTCTGAGCCACTGCTTTCTGCTTTCTCAACCCCTCTGCACTTACAAATTGGCTACTAGCTCAAGGAGATTCAAGGCTACTAGCTTCAAGGAGAATGTAGGGCTTACCTCGTTGCAGTTCGCTTTTCCATGGGATCGTGGACCCTCAAGTCCTGGCAGCCTGGGTTGCTTTCTGATGCCTTCAAACAACTCCTAAATGCCTACCAGCACCAAGCAGGTAAGTCAAACAATGAAGCAATCCAAGCATGATCAAGAGGGTAAATTCAGTTATCAAAGATGAGCTATATTTGGCCGTGGTGATGGGGAGACTCTAGGACTGGAGGGACTGAGGTAGACCAGGAGGAGAATGTTCCACCCTAAGGGCACGTTGGTAATAGCTGCCTGTGGCAAGATAGGAAGGCGGACTGAGTATTGGGAGAGCTCCGTTATTGTAACATATAAGCTGTTTGATGTCAAGAACACACACACTTAAATTTCTGACAATTTCATTTTAAACATTATGCCTCCAATAATAATAATAATAATAATAATAATAAAAACAGTTTGGCACAGAAGTTTATAGCATAGGCTGTGGAACCAGACCATCTGGGTCCAAACCCTGCCTTACTCCTGCCCAGCAGATGACCCACAGTAAGGCATTGAACCCCTCTTGGTCAGAGTTTTCCCATCTCTAAAATGGGAATAATAAGAGTGCCTATCTCAAGGGGTATTGGGAGAATGAGACAAGTTAACATACATGAAACACACAGAACCCAAAATCATGAGTGCTAGGAAAGTGTTCACTAAACAAACAAATGAAACAGTTTGCCAGACAGAGCCCCTCTCCAGGCTGATTTCAGCCCACAGCCCACATGTGGAAGCCTCTGCCCTGGTCTAGCCCTCCTTACTCTACGGATGGGGCAAGAGGAGGTACAGAAAGAAAGAGGGGTCTGCTCAGGCATTTGCACAGCTTGTTAGTTGTAAAACTGGCTCTAAGGCTGGAATTTTCTTTTCATACATTTTATCAATTAAATTGTGTGCTCTGTAAGTCAAGCAGCTAATTTCCCTTGAAGACAGAGGGGTCAAATCTTGCTCAAACTATAGATAATTCTCTAATTGCTGTGTCTGCCCCAAATCCATTGTGATCATTAGCAGAGCCCCCTGTGCTCCAGCTGAGAGAGGAGAGGGAGGCTCAGGCTCATCATTGCTCATCTAAATGTTTAATAATGCTCCAATCTGCAGATCACTGGGGCATCAAGCCTAAATTAGCCTGATACTTAAAGCCACGAATAACAAGAGGAGTGAGAGGGATAAAGTTTGTTTAATGAAAATTTCATCAATGCAGATTTCTCATTGAATATTAAGGTTTTGGCTTGAAGACAGCATCAGAGTGGAGTCTGCTGTGACATTGACCTTTATCCCTTGGAGACACAGGTGCAAAGTCAGGCTGGTTTCGCTCTCTGAGTGACAGCACAGTGGATTGTCCTGGCAGTTACAGCGAAGGAAGGTCCTGAGCCTGGGGTAAAGATGGCTCAGCCCTGTTCTTTTCAGGGAGTTTCTCTGCAGGTCCCGGCGTCTCTCCCCACCAAGGCTGCCCTTCCCGGACCTCCCACTCCTCATTCAGGAGCTCCTCCCTTCTTCCAGCTGTGCATCCCAAATCCTGGGAATCCTCCCTGAGCCATGCATGCTGTCCTCTAACTACTGCTATTCAATCCATCCGCAAGTGCAGTCAGCCTGACCTCTGTGAAGACCTGCCCAGAGGCTCTGGTCACGACAGTGACAGCCAGCGCCCTTTCAGTGGCATGCAAGGTCTCGCACAGATCCAGTTGTGTCCCCTCTGACCTCAGCCCCTAGTGTCCTCCTCTCCCATCTACCTCCAGCCACATTGGCCCCTGCCCCTCAGACATGCGGCACACATCTTTCCAGGCCCACACTGGCTGTCCCTCTGCCTTGGACCATCTCTCCCAGAATCCATGAGACCCCCATTCTTTCAGCATCCTTGACGAAAGCGGCCTCCCTGAGCGCCTGCTTAGACTCCTGCCCATCCCCCTCTGTCCCATCATCCTCTGCAAGCTTCCTCCTGGGGGTCATCAGCGCCTGGCTCCTGACTTCGCTATTGTTTGAAGTTCATCATGTGCTCAGCAGCAAGGCTGGAGGAAACAGACATGAATAGCAAGGACCTGTCAATTTCTAACAATAAATTCACCAGGAGTAGTGCAGCACCTACTGTCAGGCCGGGTCTAGGTCCTGGGGACACACCAGAGGACAAAAGATCCAGAGTCCCTGCCCTCGCCAGGCTGCCCCTCTGTACACCCACAGACCCTGGACCTCCAGCAGGAGAGGGAGGAGCCTCGGCTGCCAGAACAGCTCTCAAGGAAGCCCTTTGGCAAAGGGGCGGTTGGAGTTGAGCTCTAGAGAACAGAAAAATCCACCCAAGTGAAGACTGATAAAAGGTGCACAGGGTTGGAGATTTCCGGAAACAGGGGAGAGGGCTTTGCCTCCAGCCAGTGTGACCGAGGAGGACAGTATGAGATGGCAGGGCCCTGTTTTCAGCTAAGTCACACGCTGAGGTTCCAGTGGACATGAATTTGGCAGGGACACTCTTCAGCTCAGGGCAGCTTCCCCTTTTCCCCAGATCAGCATCCAAGCACCCACTCTGACTCACCTTTGGAAAGACCTTCAGGCCCCGAGGGTGGTCAGTGAATGTTTCTGTTGGTGAATTACATTCTTGATGGTTTTGCCTTGGCTATGTCCTTGCCTACAGCTTCCCAGGAGTTGAAGGTCACATTTGGGGCTCACCCACCTTCAAGCCCCCTCTTCCCTCCTCAACCTCAGGGAAGCTTTTCTGTTTCTCTGTCAACCCAAACACCCACTTTGTCTCTACTGAATGACGTTGTCTTTAGTTGTTTGCATTTTGAAAAAATTTGCGCCTTTTGTCCCTATTTTCCTAGGCAATGAGTCAAAGGGCAGAAGAAGCCCCTTCACCCTCCAGCCACACATCACCATTTTACCCACAACAGCACAAAGGGGGTCCCTCTCCCATCAGAGCAGGGAGAAGACCCTCAGGCCTTGGGATGTGGAGCAAGTCACTTTTTTCTCCTCAGCCTCAGTTTACCCCTTTGCAAATGAATGGGTTTGTCTAGATGGCTTCCGAGGGCTTCTCCTGACTCCAACACTCTAGGATTCAAATATTTATTGTAGAATTCTCAGCATTCCATTCTCTGAGTCTTTCCCTCATTCAATTCCTCAGCAAATCCTCATCCAGAGCTCACTCTGCCACAGGTCCTTTTCTTACTTAGAGCAGGGATCCAGCAGCGAACAGACAGATGAAATTCCACACTCATGTGGGTGACATTCCTGTGGGTGCAAATGACAATAGCAAAACGGGAAGAGAGGCAATCAATTCCAGATGGTGACAGTCCTGTGCAGATCACGGGTATATGGCGTCGGAGTGCAGAGGGCTTCCTTGGGAAGGTCAGGGGTGTTCTCTGAGTGGGTGACACCTGGGTGAAGAACAAAGGGCAAGAGGGTGCAGGTCAGAGGGCGGCTGTGGGAAGAGCATTCCAGAACGCAGGAGCAGCAGGTGCACAGGCCCTGGGGCAGGAGGACTGGGGCGTGGGAGGAGGAGCCAGAGGCCAGTGCGGCTGGGATGGGGGAGTGAGGGGAGGTGGTGGGAAGTGATCTGGGGAACCAGCAGGACTCTGCTGGGCCTTGTGGGAGGTGATGAGGAGGTGGAGTCTGCTGTTCCCAGTGCAGTGTGAGCCGCTGAAACATCCGCTCAGGGCCACATGGTCATTTTCAGGAGCTCACTCTGGATACACGCAGAGAGTAGATTTCAGGCATGGGAAGAGGAGTGGGAGCAGGAGGGCCCATGGGGGCTGTTGTAGTGACCCAGGTGAGGACAGAGGTGCAGACTTGGGGACAGCAGCAGGGTGTGGAGAGGAGTGGACAGACAGGGGTGCATTTTCAATTTAATAGATTCCATGGCAGCTAGAAGATGAGGGAGGGCCTGAGGATGCTGTCTGCTCACTGGCTTGAGGAACCGGGCATTTGGTGGCACCACCAACTGGGAAGGGGACACTGGGTCTTTGGTGGCTTTGTTGAAAAATTGCCAGATCTGAAAGCCTGAGAGGCGCCAATGACTGACCCTCCAGGCTGCCCTCCCAAGGGCCTTCTGGACAGGAGGCCATGGGTACAGAGGGACCAGCATCCTGGTTCCCATATGCCAGTCCCGACCCAGGGACTGAGCCCCAGGCAGACCGTGGAACAGCATAAGACCCAGATCTGGTGCTGCCTGGGCAGAGCTGAGCCCAGGATTTATGAAGGAAACTGGCAGGAACAGAGCAATTCCTTCAAACAGCACCTTGCTCCTCACCATCCTCAGTGGCACCCTCAACCGCAGGAGGGAGAATGGTTAGAGGATGGCATTCTTACAGGGTCCTTCAAGACTGCCATTTGCATTTGAACAAGGCTGTGCTTTCTTAGCCCCAGTCCCCTCCATAAGCCCAGGCTGTAAACTGGAAATAAATTTAACTGCATACAAATGTCAAGATTCCAGATACCCGATATAATCAAGGACACATTCTTCATTACTCCGGCTGTTATACTTACTTCTCAGTAGACTTCAGGGCCCTCATTAGAGACTGAGTCATCTTGTAAGTGCAATTAGGAAGACAGAAAGAGACAGGAAGAAAGAGAGAGAATGAAAGCTGGAGAAAGGAAGAATGAATGAGAGAGAGGATGACAGAAAAAAATGAGAAAGGAGAAAGAGGGCTTTCAACATCCAGATGAGACCCCAAATTTTCATTGATTTCTTCAAATGTTCTCTGGACAGGATGACTTTAAATATTTTTTTGTTTATTTAAATTTTTGAGACATTATTTGATGCTGGATGTTAGCCACAAAAATAGCCTTCTAAGAACCAAGACTTTGTCTACATTCCCCCTTTGGGGGTGTGTTAGTCCATGTCATGTTGCTATAAAGGAATACCTGACACTGAGTAATTGATAAAGAAGAGAGATTTAACTGGCCCACGTTTCTGCAGGTTGCACAGGATACATGATGCAAGCATCTGTTCAGCTTCTGGTGAGACCTCAGGAAGCTTCCGATCATGGGGGAAAGTAGGCATGTCACATGGCAAGAGAGAGAGCAAGAGGGAGGGGAGGAGGTGCCAGGCTCTATTAAACAACCAGATCGTGAGTGACCTAACAGACCAAGAACTCACTCATTACCAGGGAGAGAGCACCAAGCCTTTCATGAGAGATCTACCCCCATGACCCAGACACCTCCCACCAGGTCTCACCTCCAATAATGGGGATCACATTTCAACATGCAATTTGGAGGGGACAAATATCTAAACCATATCAGGGGCACTGGTAACTTTCTCAAGTCAGCACTAGAAACTCCCCTTTGGCTATAAGAATCACCAATGTAACAATAACTCAGACATGGGTAGCCCTACCGTGTGCCAGTTTGAAATGCTCAGCATGCAGCAACCAGTTCATGCCTCCCAGGAACTATGAAGGCAGAGCTTCTCTCAGCCCACTTCCTGTTGGGGGGAAAAAAGGCACAGGAGGTGGAGAACTTTCCTGGGTCACACGTGAGCCCGCAGGGCAGGTTGTGCTCCCAGGACCCCCTTCCATGGGTCCTTCTCCAAAGAGGTGGACCGAAGAACCTGGTGGATTTATTTTCTGGCCAGATAGATGATTCCTGGTTAACCCTGGCCTTTGGAGGACTTGCCCTGGACGTAAATAGTGGATTTGCCAAGTGGGAGGAGCTGGCTGTCCTTGGCGAATTCCTGGTCAGTTCTGGATGGAACCAGAGTAGTGGAAACCTGGCAAAGTGAAGCTCAGGTTGTCTCTTAGGGGAGGCCTGGAGATGATGCGCTCACCCTGCTGGGGCTGCGCCCACCAGCCCCTGGCAGCTGCCTGCCCTGCAGGACCCAAAGACAGAGGCAGAGAATCAATGCTGCCTCCTGTGTTGCAACCACAAGGCAAGAGGTCCTCAAGATGCTTCCCGGCAAAATCTAGAAAGTTGGCCTCCAGGAAGAGTCTCAGGCTCATGTGGGATCATTGTATGTTTTCCCAGGCTAAAAAGAATTTAAACAAATATCTCTATTACTGATAACAGAAGGCTGCCTTTATTACTCCACATATACAGTTACACAAAGCAGCGAGTTGTTACTCACTTTAAGCAACATTCCAACCACAGGAAATTTGGTGCCAAAATCCTGCCTCATCTTTCTCTCATGACGATCCTGATCCTTGTGGCTTCGGCTTATGGAAACCACTGGTGGGAAAGATACGAATGCTTGACATCTTCTTTTCCCTTATGATATACACTTTGTAATGCCAAGATTGTATTATACACGTTCTATTGCCAAGATTCATTTGTATGTCTCTGAATAAAAGATTTCATACACCAATACCAGATATATACATTGATGGAATTTACTTATTTAGGGGCCATTGGGGAAACACATATAAATTATTCTTTCCTTGGAAATAAATTTTTTGTCCCTATGACAGCAAACTATGAGACGAATGAGGAGCATGAACGTAACTCAAACAGAAGGAAAATCACCACTTTATAAAGAAATAGGTAAATAGTGAGTAAAAGAACGCAGAACAGAGTGTGTTTATGGATTCTAAACCTTGCCAAAACCAAAAGAATTTTTAAGAAAATACTCAAAGTGTCTTTGTAACCTCAAACATATCATGTTTAAACATCTTTAGTAGACAATGGGACCCTCCGGGAATTAAAGCCAGTATTTAAGAAGAAATAAAAAATGAACCAGAACTAACATTTTGAACTTGTAATGAGAAGGAAAAGTGTAGACACAAAAGGAAAGTCCAAACCAAACAGTATTCATAGGAAGTTTCCAAAAAATCAAAGTTTTAAATTTTAATTTAATGTATCTGTTTCTGCCAAATATTAACTATTGTGTCTTTTGCATTTCCTTTTTTTTTTTCTTTCAGGAAATGATAAAAAGAGGCTGATGAGTTTCGGGTGTGGTTCAGCCTGGGAAGCCTCCTTATTCACAGGAAGCCAGTCCTCGGCTTACACAGCATCAGGGGATCAACCACCACACCGTGATCTAAACTGAGGCCCGCAGAAGTTGGAACAATGTTAAAATGAAAGCTTAAATCAGCCCCAATTAAAAGATGATATGTCATTTAAATCACAAGGATGTTCTCTATGAGGCCTTAGAGCTGAAGTCCTTGCACAGCCGACTCTGGCACCCATCAGCACATCTCAGACCTTTTCTAGGTTTGGTCCCTGCATTCATCAGGACTTTAGATTACAGGTGGCAGAAATCAAATCAAATGGCTCAAATAAAATGGACAATTGCTAGTTCATCATATCTTTTTAAAACTCCAAATATAGACTTTCAGGTATGGTTAACTTCAGGTTCTAGGTCTAGGCAGCCTTCTTCCCCATCTTTAGGTCTGCCTTCCCCTCTGTGGGCTCCATTCTTGGGCAGCCTCTCTTTGTGGCGTGGCGTGGCTTCTGGCAGATCCAGCAACTCCCATAGAGATGTGAGTTTCATATCCCTCAGTTTCCATGGGAGAGCTAAGTCTCATTGGCTCTGACTGGACCCCTTGGCTATCTCATTGAGCCAGTCTCTGTGGCCAAAAGGGCTGGAACACTCTGACAGTTCAGTCCCAAGTTAACTCATGCCACTGTAGAAAAGCCCCCAGTCTCAGATTTCGAAGAAAGATGTGACTCTTTGTAAGAGCTGTGTCATAGGAAGGGGGAAAGCACTCACCAGTTTCCTAATAGAGCAAAACGTCACTTGTAATCTAGGGTCCTGATTAATGCAGAGACCAAACCTAGGAAAGATCTGGATGCTGGAGTCTACTGTTTGAGGACTTCACCTCTAAGACCTCATATAAACATCCTTTCAAGCTTTCTTCTATACCCAAGGCCCCTCCAACCTTTGCCTGGAGAGGAGAGACGGTGACTCTGGTGAGGAACAGGCTGAGCGGCAGAGGGGCGAGCAGACCTCTTCATTGTGGATCCACGTCTTCGTAGAGGCTTTTGAGAGGATCCTGACCACATGCATTTGGAAGAGGTCACTATATTTTTTCAGTAAAACATTTAGGATCTGTAAAGAGGTCACGGTGTTCGGCTAGGGGATAAAAAGAACTGAGAGTTTCTTTGCCAGTTGGGATTTTTAACTTGTAAAATACGTGGCTTGAAATTCTGTTTATTTGGCTGGGCGTGGTGGCTCACGCCTGTAATCCCAGCACTTTGGGAGGTCGAGGTGGGTGGATCACTTGAGGTTAGGAGTTCGAGACTAGCCTGGCCAACATGGTGAAACCCCATCTCTACTAAAAATACAAAAATTAGCTGGGCATGATGGTGGGCGCCTGTAATCCCAGCTACTCGGGAGGCTGAAGCAGGAGAATCATTTGGACCCAGGAAGCAGCAGTTGCAATGAGCCGAGATCACACCACTGCACTCCAGCCTAGGCGACAGAGCAAGACTCTGTCTCAAAAGAGAAGATAATTGGGAAATGTTATTTGAATATTTAAGTGATCAAGTTGAGTATGCATTTCTAGGGGATCTTGGATGACGTAGAGTCACTGTGCCTCCTCTCCAGGCAAACCTTTTAGGGGTCTTGGGTACACTTGGGCATAGAAGAAAGCTTGATGTTTTGCTCTATTAGGAAACTGGCAAATGCTTTCCTCCTTCCTATGACATAGCTCTTACAAAGAGCCACATCTTTCTTTGTACAATGTCACTCCTGCCATCTCTCCAGTCTCATCTTGTGTCACTACCCCACCCCCATTCCTACCACTCCACATTGGTCTCCTTTAAGTTTCTCGTGTGTGGCAAGTTCTGTACACAGATGTCCCCTCCATCTGGGATACCCTTTCTGCCACACCTTCAGCCAATGAGCCTATTCTTATCCTTCTGGGCCAAACTTAACTGTTACCTCCTCCAGCAAACTTCCCCTGACACCTGTCCACCAGGCTTTCCTCTCCCTCACCCCCAGGATTCTCCACCTCACTTCATGTTTGTTTCATTCCATATGTGTCTATGGAGTACCTACTCTATGCCAGGCACTTTCTAGGGGCCAAGACTACATCACTGAGCAAACAGACAAACATTACTGCTCTCACAGAGTTTATATTCTAATAAAGAGAAGAAAGAAGTAACCCAAATAATAAGGAAACGTTATAGTTTATTAGAGGGTGATGAGTGCCATGGAGATCAATATAGCAGGAAGGAGAAGAAGGCTGAGAGGATGCAATTTAACAGGAATAGGGAGAAAAGGGCTCCTTGAGGAGGCAAACTTTGCACATGGATCTTAGGGAGTAAATGATACAGTCATGCAAATATCTGGAGAAAAAGTCCATGCAAAGTATAAAATAAATAAAAACAGTGCCAGGTTGGAAAGGGAGGGAGTCTGGAGTCAGTGGCAAATATTCAAATATTCCCCTCTTGATGTCTCAGCAGACAATGAGGGACACATTCTACATGGTTTCTGAGAGGGTCTCCAGTGGATTGAGCCTAGTTGTCCACCTGTGTACCCAGTTGTCTATTGGTGCATAGCCAACCACCTCAAAACTTTGTGACATAAAACAAGAACCAGTTTATTCTGCTCGTTGACTCTGTGAGTCAGAAAATCAGATAAGACATAGCCCTAATGTGTGTGAGGCCTCTGCTGGAAAGAGTTGAAATACTGCCAGCAACTCAAATCACTAGAGGCTTGAATCATGACAGAATTCTTCAATCACTTGTGTAATGTCTGCCTGCAATGGCTCACAGATTAGCCTTGGCTAGGACTCCCCAGCAGAGGGCCTAAATGTAGCCTCCTCACGTGGCTTGGGCTTCCTCCCAGCATGGCAGACTTCAGGCATGGTAGCTCAGGATTCCAAGAGCAAGTGTTTTAGCAAATAAGATGGAAGCTAAATGATCTTTTATGACCAAGCCTTGGAAAATCACATAGCATAACTTTTGCTAGCCGGAAGAGTCACAGGAAAGGAGAGGGGGCATAGAGCCCACCTCTAGATTGGAGGAGCATCAAACATCTGCAGCCATATTTTAAAACTGCCACACAGTAACTAACTCAAAATGCATCCTTGTATTAGCTTCTTCTCTTTCTCTATTTCACTATTCCCAGTCCTTCCATTCCAGTTCCTGGGATTGCTTCCATAATCTATCTGAACCCAAGCCCTTGACTCAGGCTCTGCTTGTGGGAGAACCCAAGCAAAGACACTCCCCATAGCTTCAACCTGAAACAATTTGGGGACCTTCCAGGTTTGCAAGATGTGGTTTGGTTTAGGCATAAATGAGTTCTAAGTTGAGTTCACTTCGATTGGAATTTCTAATGGTCATTGGAGCAAAGGAAAACACCCCAAAATCTGACATAGTCACACACTCTTTCTTTCATAGGACTACTTGGGTTTTCCAGTTTTATTTCTCTCCCCCTTAGCAGCTGCTTACTTTTACTGGACAGAATAATTCATGGGAGAGCTTTATAATAACCTTTAAATTCTCTACTTTATGAAGAGAAAGAACAATAATAAATGCATGAATATTAACACAGGTGAATGTTTCCCCTCTCTTTTGATTTGGCTTCATAAACCCTGTGACATGGCAGGATTTGGATCAACTCAAATTGTATCAAATCTAAGTGGTCTCACTTTTTAAAAGTCCTCTGAGAATTCACATATATTTTCTCTACAGGTGATTCATTTTTCTCCCATCCACTTTGAACATATAAAATTCAGAATATATCAAGCATAGCATCGATTTATTTCAAAATTCACCATTAACTAGGACCATTTTTAGACCCTGTGTTCTTGCCCTTCCCTAAAAGTAGCCTGCAGCATTTTCATAATAAAAAGCAGTTAGCATGCTTAAAATCTTGAATGAATTAGAAATTATTTCCAAGAAATCCATGGTCGATTTATAGGCAATAAGCTTTTTTTTTTTTTCATTTGAGGTGTGCTTTACAAAAGCATTTTCCTACCTCCTTCAACTCTGGGTGACGGCTGTTGATTCCGATTGTGGCTGAAACCATGATGATGAAGATAATAATGATGCTGCTGATGGCAGAGGTGGTGATGGTGATGATGAAGTTGATGCTGCTGCTGATGGTGGAGGTGATAATAAAGTTGAGGGTGATATTGATGATGGTGGCTGTGTTGGTAGTGATGGTGAAGGGGATGGTGATATTGATGGTGATTGTGGTAATGATGAAAGTGAGGGTGATATGATGGTGATTTGTGGTGGTGGTGATGATGAAGGTGGTATTGATGGTGGTTGTGGTGGTGGTGATGATGAAAGTGATGGTGATATGGTTGATGGTGGTTGTGGTGATGATGAAGGTGATGGTGATATTGACGATGGTTATGGTGGTGGTGATGATGAAAGTGATTGTGAGATGGTGGTTGTGGTGATGAAGGTGATGGTGATGATGAAGGTAATGGTGATATTGATGGTGGTTGTGGTGCTGGTGGTGATGATGAAAGTGATAGTGATATTGATGATGATGGTGGTGGTGATGAAGGTGATGGTGATATTGATGGTGGTTGTGGTGGTGGTGATGATGAAGGTGATGGTGATATTGATGGTGGTTGTAGTGGTGGTAATGAAGGTGATGGTGATATTGAGAATGGTGGTTGTGGAGGTAGTTACGTGAAGGTGATGGTGATATTAATGATGGTGGTTGTAATGGTGATGACGATGAAAGTCATGGTGATATTGATGAAGGTGGTGGTGCTGGCTTCTCACGTGGGAAACACTGATTGAAGATAAAAAGTATTAGCTGTGGATAGTTCATTGAAAAATACAAAATATTCCTTTCACATTCCTGGTGCATCTGGTTACACTTTTAACCTCATTGAAGTATTCACAGGTAATCACGAAAGATCCCAATTTGAGAACCTTAACCACAGAAACACCTGAACCCAGATGAGTCCTTCCAGACAACAGTGCAGGTCACGTCACTGGGTCAGGGTTTCCTTGGATGGGATTGAAGAGGTGGTTACCATGCAGATCTCTAGGAGAATGCATTGCTTCAGCTCAAGAGGAAGCATTAGGGATTCCTCAGTTGGGTCAACTGTGGAGTAACTTAGGAAAAGAAGTCCCTG
The DNA here is from genome assembly GCF_000001405.40 of Homo sapiens. NCBI lineage: Eukaryota > Metazoa > Chordata > Mammalia > Primates > Hominidae > Homo > Homo sapiens. Next base: position 48,010,258 of record NC_000020.11, on the reverse strand, counting down.
TTTGAAGACACCATATAAACGAATCTCTCTCTTGAAAAAATGAGACTTTGATATGGTTTGGGTTTATGTCCCCACCCAAATTTCAAGTCAAATTGTAATCCCCATTGTTGGAGGTGGGGCCTGGTAGGAGGTGATTGGAACCTGGGGGCAGACTTCCCCTTTTGGTGTTTTTGTGATAGAGCTCTTGTGAGATCTGATTGTTTAAAAGTGTGTAGCACCTCCTCCCCACCTTCCTCCTTCTCTGGACATGTAAGACGTGCCTGCTTCCCCTTTGCCTTCCACCATGATTGAAAGTTTCCTGAGGCCTCCCCAGCAGCCGAGCAGATACCAGCATCATGCTTCCTGTACAGCCTACAGAACAGTGAGCACATTGAACCTCTTTTCTTTATAAATTACCCAGTCTCAGGTAATTTGCTTTTTATAGCAATGCAAGAGCAGACTAATACAGCCTTTCTTTATCTGCCCTCAGTGGAAACTGACTAAGGAACACATCACATCACATCACATCACATCACATCACATCACATCACAAGCAGATGTCAACCTTCACAAAAGCATCTCAGGCTACACTCATCTGGTGAAGAATTTTCCTCGCCATTTGTGAGAAGGACCACAGGACCTCCTGCACCATCATGCTTTCATCTAAAGCAGACCAGCCAGGTTCATAAGTCATCTGCACAAGCCTGGCCAGTGTACAGTGACCTGCTTCAATGCGGATGACCACAAGGAAGACGTACATGAAGAGTCAGCTCACCTGGGAGCCACCAAACCCCATTTTCCTTTTCTTTTCTTCCAAAATAAATGAGTAACTCATGCAGCAGTTTCACTCATTATCAAAGGCAAGAAAGAGACAGGGATAGAAGTGAATACATTAATCAAACTCAGCTCACAGACCTACTCCCTTCTTCAGTTAGAGCCTGTAATTTGGGTGCTGTGATTTTTGAAGTCAGTGAAATGCTAAATAGAAGCATGTCAGCTGGTATCAAATAGATCCTCAAAATAACATTGCTGGGAATGGATCCTTTGATAAAATACTCCTTAAAAGTTTCAAGATACATTTTTTTTACAAAAAGAAATTGGCAGAATTTTCTTCTAGTTTCCAGCTTTACAAGGATGATTTTCATTCCAAAATGTTTTTAAGCTTGCAAAATATCTTACTTCTTTCACTCCCCCTATACTGAGTTGTCTCTTTTGCATTTCGCAGTTAATTTTAAATCTGAGATGGATGACTTCTTTGGTGCTGAGTCACTGGAACAGAAATGGCCTAATTTTCTATTGCATGTGAGCAAAATGGGGCGTCTGAGGCTTGTATATGGGCAACATGAAATATCCCTTAAGAGACTGAAAACTACAAACTCTGCTAGCCAAAAGAATCTCTGATGTTCTCCAAGCATGGTTTTTCTCTTGTAGGTTTTTCCTGGCAATAAAAAGGGAGGGTTTTTTTAAATTAAATACTTAATACAAAAGCTAAGTATTTTTATCTTCCCAGCTAGACCATATGTGCTATGAATTTAGCATCTGATTTTTAACTGTCCTAGTGCCATTCACTATCCTTTGAATCTGAGAACAAGTCCTTGGTAAATTCTTACTGACAGCTTGATTAATACCTCTGAGAATCAGGAGATGACAGATTTGGGTGTGAACTGGGATCATTGAAAAAGAAGGAAAAGCCTTGCTTTCATTAAAAACAAAGTAGCTGTTATGGACCAGATTGGATTCCCCTCCAAATTCATATGTGAAGTCCTAACCCCCAGGACCTCAGAATGATGTATTTGGAGACAGGGTCTTCAAAGAGGTAATTAAGGTTAAGTGAGGTCATTTGTGCCAGCCCCAAATCCAACAGGACTAGTAATATGGTTTGGATCTTGCCCAAATTTCATGTTGAATTGTAGTCCCCAGTGTTGGAGGTGGGACTTGGTGGGAGGTGATTGGATTATGGAGGTGTTTCTCATGAATGGTTTAGCGCCATCCCTGAGGTGCTGTTGTTGTGATAGTGAGCGAGTTCTTGTGAGATCTTGTCATTTAAAAGTGTGTAGCGCCTGCCTCTTCTCTCTTGCTCCTGCTCCCACGTGAGGTGCCTGTTCTCCCTCTGCCTCCCACCATGACTGGAAGCTTCCTGAGGCCTCCCCAGAAGCCCAGCAGATGCCAGCATCATGCTTCCTGTACAGCCTGCAGAACCGTGAGCCAATTAAACCTCTTTTCTTTATAAATTACCCAGTCTTGGGTATTTCTTTACAGCAATGTGAGAACAGACTAATACAACCAGCATCTCAAAGAAGAGAGGACACAGACACGTGCAGAGGATGTAGGGAGCAGATGACCATCTCCAAGCCAAGGAGAAAGGCTTCGGAAGAAATCAACCCTTCTACCCTCCAGAATGCCGAGGAAATACATTTCTTGTGTTTAAACCACCCAGTCTTTGGTAATTTGTTACGGCAACCCTTGAAAATGAACACAACCACTATCTTCCCTTTCGCTGTGGTTCCATTCTCTGAGAACTGATATTGCTTATTCACATGCAATCCGCGAGTGAAATATGACATGTTTTTACATCAAAGTCAAGGATGAGAGACATTTGAACTTGAGCTTAAATGTTCAATTTGTACCTGGCCAGATAGAGTGTCTGTAAAATGCATTGTCCCCAAACAGTTTCAAATGATTTATAATCCCAACGTGAAAAAAGGAAGTGGCCTTCTTACATTAGTATTTGAAATACTTTCCAACTCCCACCAAAAAAGTAACAGGCAGTTAGATCATATCTCAAAAACTAATCTGAGCAGAAATGTCAAGCCCTGAACCGGCCAGCCTCTCTATTAGGAAGCAGATCTGGAGAGACAAGTGCTTGCCACCTGCTTCTCTCATATTACCTAAACTTTGTAATAAGAGTATGGAACTTCGAAAAAAAATAATGCATTAAAATGAGAAAACATAGAATAACCCATACTGAGTTCATGCTGAGCACGGAGCCCACTCATTGCCCCTCAGTCATTGCTTCCCTCCCTCCACTTCAATGGTCACAAACCTTCAGCTCTCCTTAAAGCTCTTCCTCTCTGCCGGCTTTTCCAGATCTCCAAAGCTCCCTCTCCTCCCCTGGCTGGCACCCTGTGCTCCCAAAGCCTGGACTGGGCCTGGAAGGGACCTTCTCCTCTGTTCTCCTCCACTTTCCCCCTGCAGCCTGGGGCAAAAGTGTCGGGAGAAGGTACAGATGCCTCAGCTTGTTGTTCCCCAACTCCTTCCCCAGTACTTGGATCCCTTCTCTGCCTGGGGCTCCCTGTTCCAGAACTGGCCCCTGAGAATCGCATCTCCGGGGCTCCCTGCCCTCTGGCGTCCAGTTATGTTCAGCCAAGGGGACTCTTCCCTGGAGGTCAAAGGCAGGAGGGGAAAGGTCAGAGTGCCTCTTCCCTACTCTCCCTGTGGTGTGACCTTCCCTGCAGGGCTCTCCCTGGGCTACTCATGCACTCTCCTCCACCCACCCCTCCAGCCCTGGGCTCTGGGCAGCTCCATCTCTTGCTGGTCCCCAGGTGCTTTCATCATTTAGCAGTTCCCTTAATTCTGCCACAAACCCCTGCAGCGCATGCCTCTGTTTCCCATTGGGGCTGGGTCTGAAAAAAACTGCTAGACCAAGGCCAGGCACGTGACTCATGCCTATAATCTCAGCACTTTGGGAGGCCGAGGAGGGCGAATCACTTGAGGTCAGGAGTTTGACAACAGCCTGGCCAACATGGCGAAACCCTGTCTCTACTAAAAATACAAAATTAGCCAGGGCTGGTGGTGCACGAGTGTAATCCCAGCTACTTGGGAGGCTGAGGCACGGAATCACTTGAACCTGAGAGGCAGAGTTTGCACCGAGCTGAGATCAAGCCACTGCACAAACCAGAGCCCAGGAAACAATCAGGAACTGAGTCCCTGACCCAAAGGGGGCTCAGCAGAGAGGAACCGGAGTCTGCAGCCCTGGGTGCCACAACTCTGGTTCCTGCCACAGAAACCAACGATGCCACACATGGCCACCCCCCATCCCCAGTCCTGCGCCTCATTGGCCCTGTGCACACAATGCCACGGGGTGCCCCAAACCACAACCTTCCCTGGGGCTCGGCTTCTGCAGCTGAGCCAGGCTAAGAGCAGCAGGGAGGGGTACAGGCTCTCCTTGGAACCCTGACTCGGCCCCTTCCAAGCTGTGTGACTGTGGGGAGGTTATTTGCCCTCTCTGGTCTCAGTCTCCTACCCTTTAAAATGGGTGGCATGATGGCCCTGCCTCATCGGGTGGGAGGGGCTTCAGTGAGATACTGCATACACAGTGTTCAGATCCAGACCTGCACAGGACGGGCTCAGTAAACCCAAGCTCTGGGGATTTCCCTGTGCCTGGGACGACCTGCCTGGCTTGCCTTCTGCAGCCCAGGCCTCTCTGTAGACTGTGGACACTGCATAGATTTCTTCCACGCATACATATTCTCCTCAACCCCCGCTCCAGCCCACATTCCTCCCTTTAAGGAAATTCTATGTCCTGCGGTCAGTGTCTACACCCCTGCCTCACCACCACTCACCCCGGCACTCCCACTGGGCTTCCCAGCCCTGCTCCCCAAAGCCTCTCCTATGGAGCTCCCTGTGCTCCCCCTAAGGACCCGCCCAGTCCCTCCTGGGTGTCCACAGAGGGTGGTCCTGGGCCGTCGTTCCTCCTGGTCTACCCCTCTGCTACTGTCTGAAGGTGTCTCCTGAAATTCTCATGTTAAAACCCAATTGCCAACGTGATAGTGTTAAGAGCCGGGGCCTTCAGGAGGTGATTCCAGCATGAGGCCAAGCTCCTGGATGTGACTGGCACCCTTCTACCCATTTGGACACAGACAGCAGCCCTCACCAAACACTGAACCTGTCAGCGCCTTTGTCTTGGACTTCCCAGCCTCCAGAACTGTGAGGAATAAAGTTCTATTATTTATAAGCTACCCAGTCTCAGGCATATTGTCATAGTAGCAGGAATTGATGAAGGCCCCCTTCTTGTTCCCATGCTCAGCCAGGCTTTCTCTGCCACCCTTGTCCTCTTCTTCTCCTGCTCCTAAATCCAGGGGGTCCCTCCATTGAGTCTGCCTCTCGCTCACTCTGCTTCCCCTCCTGGGGGTCTCAGCCCCCCTTAGACCACAGACACATGGGGTCACAGACACACAGGGGACTCCTTAGCCACACCAGCCAACCACTCTCCTGGCTTCAGACCTGCAGGTCCACATGGGTGTCCCATGGCACCTTCAACTCAGCCCGATAAATTCACCCCCAAATGTAGGCTCTTTGGGGGTCACCGCCTCAGTGACTGGTGACCCCGTCCCTCCAGGCCCATCCAGAACCCTGGGCAGCTCTCTTATCCCCTATCTCCTCCCTCTCCCTCTTGTCTCAAACCCAAGTCCTACTGAGTTGATTGCTAAATGGCTCTTGGCTCTGTTCTATTCCTTCCTCCTCTGCCATCACCCTGCTAGCTCAGGTGACCATCCTTTCTCACCTACATGATGGCCTCACCCACCTCACAGACCACCCTGGCCCTGGGCAGCCCCTCCTCCTCATCCCCCATACCATGGACAGAGGGACCTTCTATGGTCACGTCACATCCCTGCTAACCTCACTGAGGTCTCCCACTGCATTTAAAGACACCCCCAGTGCCACATGTGGCTGAGAAGGCCCTGCCACTGTCTGCCCCTACAGCCCCAACCCCTGCCTTCTTCCCTTGTCATCCTCACCCTAACACTCGGCTTAAACCCCACTGAACTTCACTCAGGTTCTCCAACTTGCTGCACCATCTTTGCCTCCAGGCCTTTGCACATGCCATTCCCCTGCCTGGAACTCCTTTTCCTGCTCTTTTTGCCTGTCTGAGTCCTCATCATCATGAAGTCAGCACAGCCACATGCTCTCCTGGAAGCCTGTCCTGGGTTTGCCCCTCCTACCTGCTCCCATAACAGCTGAGCTGCCCAAACACACAGACAAGTCACTCACTGCTGGGCACTTCTCATTTCCACAAGCAAAGGACAGTGACCTCATAGTAAACTACTGAAGGAGCAGCTGTTGGTTCTCCCTGCCCATCTTCCCATCTTCCATCTACAATTTTTTTCCATATAATTCCGTTTTTCCTTGAGAAAGCCTCTCTTCCTTTCCCCAAATCCATGTGGCAGTTCCCAGGGCTGGTCCACTCCCGGTGGGCCTGTGACCCAGGTCTGGCCCATCCGTGTACCACATCTTCCTAGCCACAGCAATTGACTTAGGATGGAATGTGACCCAGCCTGGCCCAAGGATTACCCTGCCTGAGAACAGTTGGCAAGAAGACCCTCTTTCTGGTAGGGCTGAAAGGGCTGAAAGAAGATACACCTGGTGTTCCATTTACTGCATAACAAATTGTTCCAAAATCAAAGAGCTCAAAATAACTATTTCATTATTCCATGGGTCCCGTGGGTCCAGAATTCAGACAGAGCAAAGCAGAGTGGTTTGTCGCTACACCACAATGTCCAATGCCTCAGCTAGGAAAAATCAAACACAGGGAACCATCTAGAAGCCTCTTCACTCAATCTGGTAGTTGCTGCTGGCAATCAGCTGGGCCCTCAGTTGAGGCTGTCAACCTCAGCACCTCCATGTGGCCTCTTCATACAGTCTGGGCTTCCTCCTAGCATGGCGGCCTCAGGACAGTAGGACTTACATGTCAGCTCAGGCTTCCAAAGGCAAGTGTCCCCAAACACAAAGCAAAAGCTGCACTGCTTTTTCTGACCTAGTCTCACAAGTTGTGCAGCATCATTCTCACCTCTATATACTGGTTTCCAATGAGTCACAAGCCTGTCCAGCATGAAAGAGAGAGGACATAGACTGACTTCTCAGTAGGAGGAATATCAAGGCCACGTTGTAAATGAGTGCCTGAAACAGGGGATATTGTTGTAGCCATCTTTGAAAAATAGAAGCTATTGCCATAGCTGGTGCTTGCAAAAGGAAAGAGGCTTTCTACTGATGAAGCCAACACAGAGGAAAGTAGAGGCATAAGAAGGGAGGGACCCAATGCTAATAATGTCATGTGAGCACCTGGATCCATCCATGCCTGAAGCGAGACATCCTGGATCTTGTACATGAACCAATAATTTATCTTTTTAACCTAAGAGCTATATTTCAACCATTCACAACCAAAGGAGTCCTGATTAGTAAAGAAGCAGCACAATGCAACAGGTAAGAGTGTGCTCTTTGGAACCAGAAAGCCCAGGTTTGAATCCTGGTGCTTCCTGTTCAAGCTGTTTAGCTTTGGAAACAGGTTCTCAGTGGCCTGGTTTGCACCACCTGCCTATCTTTTGAAACTAGCCCAAATGTCCCATAGAGCTGATGCTTAGGGTTTTTCTGAATGAACATAAAACCTGATCCTCCCTGTTTGGTCTCAAAGCTTGAGAAAGTTACATTTGTCTTATCTGAGTTCTTTCTCAGGAAACCAACCATCAGGCCTCCCAGATAGTAACAAGGAACTGAAACTCACCAGATGACTACATTTAGACAATGAAACACCAGACCCCTCACCCATGTCTGCCTAAGCCATCACTTGCTCCCTATTGAGCAACTCCTCTTCCTTACCCCTCCCTATTTCCTGTCTTCCCATACATGGTTACATTTTGTACCTGCTATGTAAACTCCTAATTTTCGTTAGTCAAGGAGACGGATTTGAGGCTGATCTCTCATCTCCTTGGCTGAAGCAGCTGATTAAAGTCTTCTTCCCTGACAATACTCCTGCAGCATCTGATTAAAGCTTTCTTCCCTGACAATACTTGTTGTATCAATGATCGGCTTTCTGTGTAGCAAGCAGCAGGACCTAGACTGAACCCCTGGTGTTTCAGCAACACTTTAACCACTTGATTCACAGAAACCATCAAACTGCATGCAGAGATAGGCAATTTCTTAATCGAACCATGAAAGAAAAGAATGATAATTCAAACTCACTAAAATTCAGAAGTTCTATTCATCAAAAGCATCATTAAGAAAGTGGAAGGGAGTAAAAAGGCAAATCTCAGATGGGAAGAAGACATTTGTAATACCGTATACTTGACAGTGACTTGTATCTAGAAGATACAAAGAATTCCTAAAAATCAGTAAGAAAAAGGCAACCCAATTAGATAAGGAACAAAGGATTTCAACAAACCTTAACAAAGGAGGAGATCTGAACATCCAATAAACATGTAAAAATATTTTTCATGTCATGACTCCTAAGAAAAATGCAAATTAAAGCCATAATGAGATACGTCCACACATCCACCAAATAGCTACAATGTCAAAAGACAGACAATACCAAGTGTTAGCAACGGCGTAGGACAACTGTTAACTCCCATGCTGTTGATGGGAATGCAAGTCACTACAGCCACAGTGAAAAATGTCTGGAAACATCTACTAAAGTTAAATAAATATCCACCTCCCCTATTACCCAGTCCTTCCACCCTGGGAACTTACCCGAGAGTAATGAGTATGTACATTCACCAGAAGACGTGTATGCATGTCCATGGCAATTGTATGCCTAATAGAAAAATATATTAGGCTGGCCGTGGTGGCTCACGCCTGTAATCTCAGCACTTTGTGGGGCCGAGGCAGGCGGATCATGAGGTCAGGAGATCGAGACCATCCTGGCTAACACGGTGAAACCCCGTCTCTACTAAAAATACAAAAAAATTAGCCAGGCATTGTGGCGGACGCCGGTAGCCCCAGCTACTCAGGAGGCTGAGGCAGGAGGATGGCGTGAGCCTGGGAGGCGGAGCTTGCAGTGAGCTGAGATCGCACCACTGCACTCCAGCCTGGGCGACAGAGCAAGACTTCACCTCAAAAAATAAATAAATAAATAATATTAAATATCCATTAGGAATAGAATGGAAAAGTAAATTGAGGTCTATGCATGCAGTGGAAAGCTATGTAACAATGAAAAAAAATGGACCACTGCTACAATAAACAGCATGGAGACATTTACTGATCCAGCAAGGAGCCAGGAAAGCCAGACACAGAGGACTAAATATGCTATGATCTTTTTTATAAGAAGTCCAAGGACAAGCAGGGCTAATCTCAAGACTAACCTATGGAAGTAGAAATCAGAGTAGTGGTTTATTGTGGGTGTGTGTATTAGTCCATTCTCACATGGCTATAAAGAAATACCTGAGGCTGGGTGAGGCGCGGGGCTCACACCTGTAATCCCATCACTTTGGGAGGCTGAGGTAGGCAGATCACCTGAGGTCGGGAGTTCGAGGCCACTCTGACCAATATGGAGAAATTCTGTCTCTATTAAAAATACAAAATTAGCCAGGTGTGGTAGCACATGCCTGTAATCCCAGCTACTCAGGAGGCTGAGGCAGGAGAATCGCTTGAACCCAGGAGGCAGAGGTTGCGGTGAGCCAGAGATTGTGCCGTCACACTCCAGCCTGGGCAACAAGAGCGAAACTCCGTCAAGAAAGAAAGAGAGAAAGAGAGAGAGAGAGAGAGAGAGAGAGAGAGAGAGAGAAAGAGAGAGAGACAGAGAAAGGGAGACAGAGACAGAAAGAGAGAGAGAGAGAGAGAAAGAGAGAGAGAGGGAGAAAGAGAGAAAGAGAGAGAAAGAAAGAAAGGAAGGAAGGAAGGAAGGAAGAAAGAAAGAAAGAAAGAAAGAAAGAAAGAAAGAAAGAAAGAAAGAAAGAAAAGAAAATAGAAAGAGGGAGGGAGGAAGGGAAGGAAGGAAGGAAGGAAGGAAGGAAGGAAGGAAGGAAGGAAGGAAGGAAAGAAAGAAAAGAAAGAAGGAAAGACCTGAAGCTGGGTAATTTATGAAGAAAAGAGGTTTAATTGGCTCATGGTTCTACAGGCTATCCTGGAAGCATAATAGCTTCTGCTTTTGGGGAGGCCTCAAGACTCTCACAAATATGGCAGAAGGCAAAGGGACAGCTGGCATGTCAAACGGCCGGAGCAGCAAGAGAGAGTGAGGGGAGCTGCCACACACTTTTAAACAACCAAATCTTATGAGAACTCACTCAGGACCGGGGGGGATGGGGCTAAACCATTCATAAAAACTCCACGCATCTCTCACTCATCTCCCACCAGGCCCCACCTCCAACACTGGGGATTACAATTCTACATGAGATTTGGTGGGGACACAGGCCCAAACCATATCGGTATGTGTTGAATCACAAGGGGTGTGAGGAAGCCTTCTGGCTGTTGGAAATGATCTGTATCTGCCCCTGAGAGTTGTCACATGTGTGTGTCCATGGAAAAGTGTACTGTGTTTATACTTAAGAAGTGATCGAACCTAACCTTAGATGCTCCCACTGAGATTCTTCTACTGAATCTGTGGTCTTTCAAGTTTAGCCATTCGGTGGATCTATATTTGTTCACAGTTACAGGTACTGTGAATCCTGTGACTATTACCATGTATAGTGTCGGTAGAATTGGCCTTAGGGCACCATATTGATGAGTTCCTCATAAAAAGACAATTATAGATGTCCCTCAGTATCCCTGGGAGATTGATTCTAGGACCCACCCACCCCCGCCCCCCACGGATATCCACAGATGCTAAAGTACTTTGTATAAAAAGACATAGTGTTTGCATGTAACCTATGCGTATCTTCCCATGTACTTTAAATCATTTCTAGGTTATGATACCTAACACAATGTAAATACTAGGTAAATAGTTTTTATACTATACTGACTTTTCAAATTTGTTTTCCTTTTTAACTTTGGTTTTTTTGTTTTAGTTTATTTAAATCCACATTCTGCATAACATATTGATTTTTTAATCTGTATTTTTAAATTGTTGGGTTTTTTTTTTCAAATGTTTTTTATTCACAGTCAGTTGAATCCACAGATACAAAACCCATGGATAGAAACAGCTGACTATACATCTTACTCACATTCTATGGCTGAAGTCCAGCTACAGGGTGCCCTTAGATGGGGGTGAGAGAAAATTAGCAAAGATCATGTGACCCAAGGTGGGGAAATCCAGCCCTCTTTATTTGGGCTTCAGCAAGAGCTGACCAAATCATCTCTTTTTTCCAACAAAGGGCATTTTTAAGTTTCATGAAGCCAGAACAGAGGAACTGAACTAAATAATAATGTTGGGTGTTTTTTTTTTTAAATAAAGAATGCTTCCTAGTGAATTCCATGCTGCCAATTCATGCCAACATTGAGGCCTACAGCATGGATAATTTGGACCTGCTGCTGAGAGGAGTAAGACTTTGTGGTAGCTGAGGGCAAGATTTCATAGACCTAGGATGCTCCTGGATCCTAAAAGGGAACTGTTGCAAGCATGCGCCAGCCAGGCCAGACCCCAACTGTGGTGGTTGCCATGGTGACAACACAATGGATTCATCAGGGAAAATGTGGCAACATCTCTGGTCTTAGGGAAGTGCTTGTGGTAATCAATTCCACCCTGGCCTCTTCAAGGGCAAGCCTAAACACAGTTAGGCAGAGATATTGAAGCGTTTGCTCTCCCTGCTCCGTCCCTTGGTCAAGTTATTTCTCGGTTCAGCAGGAGGCCAGGAGCTTCCCTGTAGACCATGCACACCCTGTTCTGCAGAGAGAAGCCGAGCATCCTCCCTGGAAGTACTCAGGCCCTACTCGGGTGCACAGAACCTTCAGTTCACAAAATGCGCCTGAGCTGCTCTTCCCACCAGCTTCGCTGAGGTTTGAAAGAGCCATATTAGTGTTCTTTTTTTATTCCTGTAAGACATATTATTTTCCCACCTTTCACACACACACACACACACACACACACAGGCATGCATGTGTGCACATCTATTTTCCAGAGAACAAGTGTTATCTGTTATGTCATTCAGCTAGAAGGAAGTTCACACAGCTTTTCACAGACCTGTCTTCAACTCACAGAAAAAAATCCCTTTCTGAACATCCCTGACACCTTCTCAGCCTCCCTTTTTGAGATGGAGTCTTGCTCTGTGGCCCAGGCTGGAGTGCAATGGCACGATCTCAGCTCACTGCAAGCTCCGCCTCCCCAGTTCACGCCATTCGCCTGCCTCAGCCTCCCGAGTAGCTGGGACTACAGGCATCCGCCACCACGCCTGGCTAATTTTTTGTATTTTTAGTAGAGATGGGGTTTCACTGTGTAAGCCAGGATGGTCTCGATCTCCTGACCTCGTGATCTGCCCGCCTTGGCCTCCCAAAGTGCTGGGATTACAGGCATGAGCCACCGTGCCCTGACCCCCGTCTTCTTAAATACCTGAGGGGTATGGCATATATCAGTTAGCATGTTTGGTGTTGCAAACAACAACAACAAAAATCAAACTGAACTAAACCTTAAAGGAAGCATTAGGTTTCTCCAGTTGAGGTAGAGGGCCTCAAATGGGTTTGATGAGTCTTGGCTCTGTTTCTTTGTACATCTCCTGCTCTGACTCCAATGCCAGAGACTTCATTCCCTCTGAATTTCCTCGTGGTCACAGACTACTGTTTGCATCCTCACTTTCCAGGAGGGAAAAAGCTTCTGTTTCCCAGCTGTGAATCAAAAGTCTTATCTTCCAAATCAATTAATGTAATCCATCACATCAACAGGCTAAAGAAGAAAAATCACATGATTATATCAATAGCTGCAGAAAAAGCACTTGACAAAATTCAACACTCATTCCTGATAAAAACTCAGTGAACTAGGAATAGAGAGGAACTTCCTCAATTTAATAAATAGCTACAAAATCCCACAGCTAACATCACACTTAATACCAAGAAACTCCACTTAGCTTTCCCACTAAGATCAGGAACAAGAAAAAGATGTTCCTTCTCCCCACTGCTTTTCAACATTGCACTGGATGTCCTAGATAATGCAAGTCCTAGCTAAGATAAGAAAAGGAAATAAAAGGCATATAGATTGGGAAGAAAGAAATAAAGCTATCTTTGCCTATAGATGGTCTGGATTGTCTATGCAGACACACTGAAATAATCAACAAAATAACTCCTAGAACTAATAAATTATTATAGTGAGGTTGCAAGATACAAGGTTGATATACAAAAGTCAATCACTTTCCTATTTAGCAGCAATGAACAAGTGGAATTTGAAATTTAAGATGCAATACCGTTCACATTAGCACTCTTCAAAATGAAATAGTTATAAAACTCACAAAATATGTACAGGTTCCATATGAGGAAAACTTCAAAACTCTGAGGAAAAGAACTTTTTAAGCTAAATAAATGGAGAGATAGTCCAGGTTCATAAATAGGAAGACTCAGTATTGTCAAGATGTCAGCTCTTCCCAACTTGATCAACAGATTCAATGCAATCCCAATCAAAATTCCTGCAAGTTATATTGAGGATATTGACAAACCGATTCTAAAGTTTTTATGGAGAAGTAAAAGACCCAGAATAGCCAGGCACGGTGGCTCACGCCTGTAATCCCAGCATTTTGGGAGGCCAAGGTGGGTGGATCACAAGGTCAGGAGATCGAGACCATCCTGACCAACATGGTGAAACCCCATCTCTACTAAAAATACAAAAAAAAAAAAAAAAAATAGCCAGGCATGGTGGTGTGCACCTGTAGTCCCAGCTACTTGGGAGGCTGAGGCAGGAGAATTTGCTTGAACGTGGGAGGCGGAGGTTGCAGTGAGCCGAGATCACACCACTGTACTTCAGCCTGGGCAACAAAGTGAGACTCTGTCTCAAAAAAAAAAAAAAAAAAAAAAAAAGAGACACAGAATAGCCAACACATAGTAAAAGAGAACAAAATTGGAGGACTCACACTACCTGACCTCAAGACTTACTGTAAAGCTACAGTAATCAAGACACTATGGTACTGGTCACATTGATAGATCAATGAAACAGAATAGAGAGCCCAGAAATAGACCCACATAAATAGAGTCAACTAATCTTTGACAAAGGAGCAAAACCAGTACAAATGAGGCAAAGACCTCTCAACAAATGGTGCTCCAACAACTGGACATTTACCTGAAAAAAAACAAAACAAAACAATGAACCTAGTCGCACAGTTTACATCCTTTACAAAAGTAACTCAAAATGGAACACAGACCTAAACATAAAATGCAGACTATAAAATTCCTAGAAGATAACATAGGAGAAAATCAAGATGACCTTGGGTTTGGTGATGACTTTATAGATGCACCAAAGGTATAATTCATGAAAGAAAGAATTGATGAGCTGAACTCCATTACAATTGAAATGTAATGCTCTGCAAAAGATACTGTCAAGAGAATGAAAAGGCAAGCCCCAGACTGGGAGAAAATATTTGCAAAAGACACATCTGATAAAGGACTGTTACCCAAAATATAAAAAGAACTCTTAAAACTAAACAATAAGAAAACAATCCAACTAAAAATGGGTCAAAGATCTTAAACTACACCTCACCAAAGAAGACGTACAGATGGCAAATAAGCATATAAAAAGATGCCCGCTGTAGTACGCAATTAGGGAAATGCAAATTAAAACAATGAGACTGGCCCCGGTGCCTCATACCTGTAATTCCAACACTTTGGGAGGCCGAGATGGGAAGATCCCTTGAGCCCAGGAGTTTGAGACCAGATTGGGCAATGTAGGGAGGCCTCGTCTCTATTAAAAAAAAAAAAAATTAGATACCAGTAACCACCTATTAAAATAGAGAAAATCCAAAACTCTGACAACAAATGCTGATGAGGATGTGGAGCAATAAGAGCTCTAATTTACTGCTGGCAGGAATGCAAAATGGTACAGCTACTGTGGAAGACAATTTGTCAGTTTCTTGCAAAACTAAACCTGCTCTTACCATACGATCCAGCAGCAGTCATGCCCCTTGCTATTTACCCAAATGAGTTAAAAGCTCATGTTCACAAAAAAAGCCCTGCTTATGGATATTTACAGCAGCTTCATTCATAGTTGTCAAAACTTAAAAGCAACCAAGATGTCCTACAGTAGGCAAATGGATAAATAAACTGTGATAAATCCAGATAATGGAATATTATTCAGCACCAAAAAGAAATGAGCAATCAAGACATGAAAAGACAAGAAGGAACCCTCAAAGCCTATGGCTAAATGAAAGAAACCAGCCTGAAAGGCCATGTACTATATGATTCCAACCATACAACATTATAGAAACGGCAAAACTATGACAGAAGATCAGAAAATTAGTGGTTGCGAGGGATTGGGGAAAGGGAGCAATGAACAGGTGTAGCACAAAGGATTTTTAGGGCAGTGAAAATACTCTGTGTAATATTATAAGGATGAACATATGTCACTGTACATGTATCCAAACCCATAGAATGTATAAAACGAAGAATGGAGCCTAATGTGAACTATAGTCTTTGGATGATAATGATGTGTCAATGTAGGTTCATCGATTTTAGCAAATGTGTCACTCTGGTGTGAGATGTTGATGGGGAAGATGTACAGGTGAGGGGGCCAGGGATATGTGAAAATCCTCCGAAACCTTCTGCTGATTTTGCTGTTAATCTAAAACTGCTCCAAAAAATAGTCTATTACAATTGAAAAAGTTCTGTCTTCACTCTGATTGGATCAATTCTGAACCAATTCCAGTGGCTAAGGGGAATACTGTGCATTCATTGGCTTAGCCCTGGGTTATGTGATCACCTGTGAACCAATCTCAGTGGCGAGGGGAACGTGATCCTGCCGTGGACCCATCTTCAGATCTCCAAATGTTTTCATGATGAAATATTTCACCTTTCTTAGTCAGTCTGGATGGTCTAGACTTGAAAAAGTAATTGACTCGTCTTCCAGCTCTCTTCCCATACACCTGAGTTAAACCAGACACTGTTAACTCCTAAGGATGGGGGCTGCAGGACTCACAGAGAAAATGGATGCAGAGAGCTGGCCTCCAGGGCCATCATGCTAACAGAAGAGGCAAAACACACGTGCTCACACAAGCACACTGTTCCACAGCAGCCAGGCCTATGCAAGCCTACCCTCAAAATTCCGAGGAAGCTGAAAGGATGAACAGAGAGGCTGACAAATCCAGTTTCTTAGGAAGAAACATGTAATAGGGATGTGCAAACAAAAGCCATGTCTGTCTCCTGGTTGGAGGTGAGACAAGGTGATGCATCCCCACACCATTACTCCCCAGACCCACAGGGAAGGGGTGATTCAGAAGGGATGTGTAGAACTATTGAAGTAAGATAACATCAAGGTTGTTTGAACTAAGGGCAGGATTTACAGTAAGTACCTGCTCTTACACAAGGAACAATAGATAAACTGAAAATCTTAGAAGTCTTCCTGAAACTGGGAGTAATCAGAAGCCAACATGGTGGATTCACTTCCGAAATGGAACTTCTCTGGCCTCCACATATGTACACATGTGCACGCACACACACACACACACACACCCTGCACACGTGCTCACAGGCACACACCCCAGTGCACATAGACATATGCACACACATACACCATGCACTTCTCTGGAAGAGAGGGGTCTAGGGAATAATCCACTTCCTGGAGACCCCCATGGCTCCACCATCACAATGTGGGTTGACAGTTTGAGGTATGTATTAGTCCACTTCTAAAAAATAAAGTTTTTTTTTTTCTTAATGGAGCTTCTAAACTGTTGCACAAAAAAAGGAGGCTAAGATGACGTCCAGCAAGAAAGTCATCTGTATAAAAAGATCTCTGTCATGAGTGGGGCCCAGAAGTCAGGGTAATGCCCAGGAAGGACCCCAGACAGACCAGAGGAGTCAAGTCCTGACGCCGAGTGCAGGGGCTCAGAAGTCAGGGTAATGCCCAGGAAGGACTCCAGACAGACCAGAGGAGTTGAGTCCTGATGCCGAGTGCAGGGGCTCATAGCCCAGCCTCCCTGCAGGACCTCACTCACTGAGGTACCCACCCCAACAACAGGGCAACTCCAAGGGCCCCTTGCACCTCAATATTCCATGAGGATCTCCAATGTTGAGTTTCCAAGGGCAATTAGTGAGAAAAGAGAAAACAAGAAACCAGTCAGGCAGGCAGTTAGGGTGGGTCCTCAGTTGAATTCTTTCAAACAAAGGAACAGCCTGATAACTCGAGCTACAGGCACAGATAAGGGAACTTGCACAGGGGAGCTTGCCTGAGACATGCTTACGTCTGCACAGGTAATAAAGGCTACACAGGTGACTTGCCCGGACATGCCCATAATGGAAAATTCCATCCGCTAACACATAAACAGTAAGAAGAACAAACAATATGAAGTAACTCAAGCTAAGGGGCCACAGGTGCATTAGGAGGATGGGGTGGAGCTACCAGAAATTCGAGCCTTACACAAATGAGATGCCCAGCCCTCATCAGTTTCTTATAAAAGCCTTTGCATTCAACTGTAAAAACGGCAACCCTCTTTCAGGCTCCGTCTCTGTGGCAGAGAGCTTTCTTCTTTTACTTATTAAACTTTCACTCCAACCTCACCCTTTGTGTCCATGCTCCTTAATTCTCTTGGTCCTGAGACAAAGAACTCTGGATGAGATCAATTGGAAAGATAGTAACATTTGGAAATGACATGCTACCTAGGGAGGTCTTTACTCTCCAAGCCTAAAGAAAATATTGTGCTTACTTCTCCAACCTCCGCTGCCACAGTTTTTGGCCAGGGATGGAGTGAGGTGGAGGGTTGTGCTTTGGGTGAATAGAGGCACAGAATGAAAAATAAACTACTTTTTGAAGCTTTGCATCTGTTTGTACCTACAGTCACTTTGTTTCTAAACTCAAAAATCCCTTTTACAAAGAAAAACACTAAGCCTTGTAATTAGGGCTTTTCAAACCAACTCAGCTCCCCATTACAGGGCCAACTGCACACGAACTTGAGAATGGTTGTAGAGTGTAGCAGATACCTGGTGCCAAATGTGATGGTAACAAGAGTCCAAGTTGACTGATCTCTCTGGCGAAGAGATGAGTCTGCTGAAAATGGCATTTATCAGTGATGTGGGCGTGTCATTCAGTCCCATTTTCAAGGGTTTATTTTTGTGGTTTTGCTGCCTGCTTAAAGTGATTTGCTGGTGCCGTCTTTTAGTCCTCTCCCTCCCTGCCTGGAAGGTGATGTAGATGTATTTGCACTCCCAGCAGGAGACACAACCCTTGGCAAAAGAAACTCCCAGCATAGGATAAGCAGTTCCAAGCTCTGGCTCTGAAAGTCATGCAGGCTGTAGCATGAATCCCATGGCAGAGCACCAGAGAAGAATGTGCCTGCAGCTTTTGCAGCCCTGAGGCTTCCTCCTCCTCCAGAGAGGGGGATAGTTCCCGCACTCCCACTCTCCCATCTTATAAGTCGCAGAGTCAGAGGCTGGTCCTAACTCTGGCGGTGGACTGGGGGTGAGTCTGCATGGAGTCTTCTGCCATTTGTAGGGGGGCGGTGAGAGAGCACACTTCCATGTAGACTCTTCACCCTCGACTTCACCTGGGAGTCTCACATTCTGGCCACTTACACTGCACTCGCATATTTCAGAATGCTTCCTCTAAATTCTTCTGATTATTGTCTTAATACTGCCCATGTCAACATATTATTGAAACAGATTATTGCAAAGATATCACTTCAGGAGAATGTGCTTAGGGGTAACAGCTACATCCCAGCTTTTCTTCCCCTGCCCCCAGCTCTATTTCCCATCACTACCATGTTATAGCCCTCAGGGGGACTTGGTTAAATATCCAAGGATCTCACCGCTGATAAATCCTAAAACATTGCTTAGAGACATATTATATAGAAGCCAAGAGGACAACTGTCTTATTCTCCGAGAGCTGCAGGCAATCTTCTCCTTGTCCCATAACAGATTTCTAGTTAATAGATAACATTGCCAATTGTCAGAAAATAGGTGGCCCCTCTGGGACAGGTCCACAGCCCTTTCCTGGCTTGGCTGCATTCATCAAGCTGAGTTTTGTCTCTCAGCGGTGTCACATCCAAGTTAGTGTCTCTGCTTGCTGCTTCCTCAGTTATCTCCTTGAAACAAATTTCTTTAAATTGACTCTGCAGAATACCATTCCAGAACTTGCCATCATGTCTAATGAATATAAATTTCTGTAACAATTTTCAAAATTGGCCACCAGCATCATGGGTTCTCAGCATCCACATTATAAATTTCAGAGGCTTCCAGACCTGCATATCTCGTCACTGAATAGATCCGAGCTTAAAATCAGAAGAACTGAATCATCATGCACTCTGAGGCTTCAAGAAACATTTAATCCGGGTAACCAACACACAGTAATAAAAACACTTTTATCATCACTTTATGATATTAACTTGTAAGGATGCTCAATTAAAAACCTATTGATTGATCAAACATTTAGCCCTTTGAAAAGTATTTTTTAACAATTGCTTTGTGCAAAACACTGTTAGGTGTGATGAAGTGTCCACAGAACCATAATACAATTCAATTAAATGAGGCAAATAATGATGAGTTCCTGCCATGCATGAAGAATTCTGCTAGATTGCGTGATCCAGAAGTGAGCAAAATGCAGATCTTATCGCTGTCAAGATGACAGAGTAAAGTGATGTATCCACTAAATCAGTAACTCTAATGTAATAACTTTGTGCTAAATAGGAGATGAGTTCACACTGGACACAGGCAAAGGCTGGCAAACGCCTTCATTTCCTACAAGTTACATGCTGCATGGGGCACATGGGTGCTCAAGGAGACAGTGGGCCTGGGTAGCCTACGAGAATCGTGGCTATGAGCACTGACCCTAGACTCAGACCCTGCAGGTGGAAGCCAGCTCTGCTCCTACTCACCATGAATGTGCTTAGGACATTAGAATGCTCTGGCCTCAGTTTCCGAATCTCTAAAAACCAGACACTGATACCTAATTCATTATGGATGAGACAGTGCCCGTAGAGAGCTCCTGTGAGGCGTGCCTGGGCCCAGAGGTTGAGCGGATGGCTGTTACTATTGGAGGGTTACAGCAGGCTTTGGTTCCCACTGGATCCACCGAGAGCTCTGTCCTTCACCGCAGCCAGCAAGACTGTCTTCGGTACACAAGCACCATCCTGCCTCAGGAACATGACGTTGCATCCAGACATGGTACCAAACTGTGTGCCTCCCAGTCTAGCAGAGGCTTCAAAGCCATCAAGCCCAAACCCCACCATGCTCCCTGTGCACTGAGCCATCCCTACACGGTGTGGGAGACAACTTAGTGTGGGGCCACCGTATGGGTTAACCTGGCTGTTCTCTGGCTGGCTGCAGTCTGCCAAAGTAATAAGCAGCAGTGAGAAGTTAAGTAAACATCACAATGTAATTAAGTTGCTATGGCAGTAAATCTTAGTGACTCAGGTTCAGAAAAGGAGTGGCTCTCAACCAGGGGCAGTTGTCCCCTCCGGGGAACACTTGCTAATGTCTGGACACAGTTTTGGTTGTCACGACTAGGTAAAGGTGTAACTGGCATTTACTGGGTAGAGGCCAGAGATGCTGTAAGCATCCTGTACAATGTGCAGGACAGTCCCACAACAGAGACTGCCCAGCCCAAAATGTCAATAATGCTGAGGTTCAGAAACCTCGACACAGCAGCAGCAATGGCTGGTGCTTGTTGGAGGAGGAGGGTGGCTTAACTAGAGTCTTGAAGGATCATGAAAGTTAGAAGAGCAGGCAGGAGAGGGGAGCCTTCCAGGAGGGGTCCCAGCACAAGCAAGGATGGGAGGGAAGACTGTCTGAGGGGTAGTGAGCAGGCTGGCTCAGCTGGAGGGGCGTCTGTGCAGGTGATGTGTGGAGGGCGTGTGGGGTTTGCTCTCCAGGCCTAAGCAAATCCTTGGGCTTCCGCTGAGAAACTCCCCATCCCTGTCCTTGTGGTGAGGAGGGACTTTCAGTCAAATGACAACACTGTCCCTGAGTCCAGGGGGTAACATGTGGCCAAGACAGGACCATCCTGTCCTCCTGTGGGGACCTGAATGGTGAACAGTGACACATGAGTGGATTCACCATGATGGCCACACAGAGGACCCAGGAGCTGCCCTGATGTCCCCAAGCCCCGTGAATCTGGCTCTTCATATTTAATTTTCCTACAGACTTAACCCATTTCTTCCTATAAATGTCTTCAAAAAATTAAATCAAGGAATCCAGAGTCGGTTTCCATTGCTTGCACTCGAAGTTGGATGGGGGTCTGTGGCTTGGGTCTTCCTCTACCTTCCTGCCACATACCTTCTAGTGCCTGGACCCTGACTGTGGGGACAGTGGAGTCTGCCGAGCAGATACACACTCCACTGAATTATGGGACTGTGGTGTGTTGTGCACTGATGTTTGCAAGACACACACACACACACACACACACACACATACACAGAGGAGAGAGGACACATAGGGACAGCCAGGTTCACAGCAGACACTGAGCAACCACTTTCCTTTCTTCCTTGGTAACAGAGCCACACTTTTGTTCACCCCTCCAGTAGAAAACAATGTGCTGAAGGAAGGTGGCCCTGCCTCAGCCCTAAGCAGAGCAAAGTGATTGGTCAGTGGTTCAAAGCCAATCACAGTAATCCTCTCCCCTTTGCTTGTGATTGGTTTGCGAGTAGGCCTGTCATCCAGTTCTATTAATAGCTAATGGGACCTAAGAGACATCTACTAGAGGCTTCCGGGAAAGCCTTCCCAAGCCACACAGGAGAAAAATCTCCCAGCTCTCCTTCCCTTCCTCTGTTCTGGACACAGGCTGGTGATGCTGGAGCCACAACAACCACCGGAAACCCCAAGGCGAAGACCAGAGAATCCCAGAGATGCAGACAGAGACTTCCTAGAGCTACAGAGTAAGCCAAATTGGAGTTGCCTTTTCTGGACGTCTTGTTAAGTGAGTAAAAAAAAAAATGCCTTTGTAATTTAAGCCTGTGCTTCTAGAACTTTAATATTCAATAGCCTTTTCAACAAATAGTGTCAGAAAAAAAATTGGGCATACATAGACAAAAAATTAATCACACCCTGTCACACATGATACAAAAATTAACTCAAAAATGGATTTTGGACTCATAATGTAACACGTAAAACTATAAAACTTTTTAAAAAAATACTTAGGAGAAAATCTTCAGGACCCAGGGCTAGAAGAAGAGTTCTTAGACTTGACACAGAAAACACAATGCGCAAAAGGAAAAATTGATCAACTGGACCTCAATAAAATTTGAAACTTTTGCTCTGCGAAAGGCCTTGTGAAGAGGATGAAAAGACAAGCTATGTACTAGGAGAAAATATTTTCAAACCACTTATGCTACAAAGGATTTAATACCTAGAATAATATAAAGAATTATTAAAACTCAACAGTAAAAAAAAAAATCCATTTAGGAAATGAGCAAAAGACATGAACAGCTATTTCACCAGTGGTGATATATGAATGGCAAGTAAGTACACAAAAAGATGTTCAACATCATTATCCATAAGGAAAATGCAAATTAAAATCACTAAATACCCACATGAAAGTGGCTAAAATAAAAAATAGTGGTAACAGTAAATGATGACAAGGGTATAGAAAAATTGGATTGCTCATACAATACATTGCTGATACACAGATGCTCTGGAAAACAGTTCAGCAGTTTCTTCCAAAAATTAGACATGCGCTTACCACATAACCCGGCATTTGCACTCTTGGGCATTTGTCCCAGAGAAATGAAAACTTGTATTCAGATAAAAATTTATATACGAATAATCATAGCAACTTTGCTGATAATAGTGAAAAACTGGAAAACAACCCAAATGTCCTTCGATGAATGAGTTAAACAAACTGGTGCATCTCTACTATGAAATACTATTCAGCCATGAAAGGGACCAAGCTATTAATACCTGTGATGGCATGGATGAATCGCCTGGGAATTAAGCTCAGTGAAAAAAACCAATCTCAAAAGGTTATGCACTATATGACCTCACTTAGATTTTTTTTTTTTTTTTTTGAGGCCGAGACTTGCTCTATAGCCCAGGTTGGAGTACAGTGGTGCAATCTCGGCTCACTGCAACCTCCACCTCCCGGGTTAAGGCGATTCTCCTGCCTCAGCCTCCCAAGTAGCTGGGATCACAGGCACCCGCCATCACACCTGGCTAATATTTGTATTTTTAGTAGAGACGGGGTTTCGCCATGTTGGCCAGGCTGGTCTTGAACTCCTGACCTCAAGCGATCCGCCCACCTCGGCCTCCCAAAGTGCTGGGATTACAGGCGTGAGCCACCGCACCCAGCCACTACAGCATTCTTTAAATGACAAAATTATCAAAATGGAGAGCGGAATAGTGGTTTCCAAGCATTAGGAGTAGAGGAAGGAAGGAGAAGAGTATAGCTATGTAGGAAAACAACCTTTTGTGTGGCAAGAGTGACACCATCTTGAAGCAAAACCGCCATGATGACCAGTGTTTGACTCTTGCATACTAAGGTGCTCTCATAGTGTAGATAACCTCTCATAAAGGGAATTGAACAATGAGAACACTTGGACACAGGGTGGGGAACATCACACACCGGGGCCTGTCATGGGGTGGGGGGAGGGGGGAGGGATAGCATTGGGAGATATACCTAATGTAAATGATGAGTTAACAGGTGCAGCCCACCAACATGGCACATGTATACATATGTAACAAACCTGCACGTTGTGCACATGAACCTAGAACTTAAAGTATAATAAAAAGAAAAAGAAACAATGCCTATAGCATAGATAACCCCTCATAAATATGTTTATCTAACCTCCTTAGCGGTCACAAGTGTCACAATCTGAGGTGTGAGTAGTTGCACGTATTTTACAAAAACAGAAGCTTCCTATCTAAAGGATATTTTCTGGAGAGTGGGTGTAGGGATCCACAGTCTGGCAGCCACCTGAAATATCGCTTTAGTAGGTCCCTACTAAATGTTTCTTTCATAGAAGCTGGATTTGTCAGCTTCTTTCTTCAGCCTCTCAGCTTGCTGGGCCTTTGGGGAAAGGTTTACATAGACCTGCTCTTCATGGAACAAGCTATAAAAGGACAGCGTGAGGAATGCTTAGGAAGGAACTGTTTTCA
Source organism: Homo sapiens (assembly GCF_000001405.40). Classification (NCBI taxonomy): domain Eukaryota; kingdom Metazoa; phylum Chordata; class Mammalia; order Primates; family Hominidae; genus Homo; species Homo sapiens. The sequence goes on along the minus strand of NC_000020.11, from coordinate 47,986,432 downwards.
ATCTTAATGGTGGTGGTCACATGAATCTAAACATGTAATAAACTTTCAAAGAACTAAATACACACTAATTAGTGCATATAAAACTGGTGAAACCCGGGTCAGATAGATGGATTGTATCAGAGTCAATATTTTGGTTGTGAAACTTTACTATAATTAGGAAGATGGTATTATTGGGGGGAAATGAGTGAAGTGCATGTGAGATTTTTCCTATTTCTTACAATCACGTGTGAATCTAAAATTATTTAGCCAAATTTCACTAAATTTTTTGTGGCTCCATGAATTAATGTGGGGAACCCATTTCCTGAACTGCACGAAGGCGGTTAAATAATGTATATTACATATCAGAAATCAATTCCTTCTGGTATTGTGATTTTTTTTTCAAACAGGAAAACGTAGCAGGGGCGTTGGGGAAGATTTGGAATTAATATGTAATTAGATATTCAGCCAGGTAGAAAGCTTAAGCAAAATAAACTTGACTCTAAGTAATTAAAAAATTTAATATGCATATGAATCACCTGGGTCATCTTGTTAAAAAGAGAAAAGCAGATTCTGATTCAGTAAGTGTTGGGTATTACCTGAGATTCTGCATTTCTAATGAACTGATATTGCTGGTTCATGGAACCCATTTTACGTAGCAAGAAAATAAGCCACTTTTAGCTGCATTTTCTGTTAGTTGCCGCCAAAAGCATCCTAACTCTTTTGACCATTTGCATATTAGCCCCGCCCACTGGAGGAGCCCAGAGTCTTATCTTCCCACCAATCAGATTCACCCTCCACCTGTGGGAGGAGCCAAGAGACAAGTGGTGGGGAGAAGGCCGTCCTTTTTCCAAAAGGCAAGAGTGCTTCCTTGTATTGTGAGCCTGGGTGAGAGAGAGAGACCGAGGAGGATGGAGGTACAGCCAGAAGGCAGGGACAGATGCTGATTTGGGGATGTTCTGGGTCTCCAGGTGCCTCTTTATGGTCTGTTTATGAAACCCAGACGCCCTTTCAGTGAGAAGCAATTCTGCCATGTTTATTTTTTGCGGGGAAAAGAAGCCACAAAACCCAAATATTTATATCCACTGTGCAATCTTCTCCAGTTTCCAGGCACATCTTCCTTTTCTATATCTTGGAGAGCATTTCAAGCCTCCTGGAATTTTTCTTCAAGGAGGGGCCTCAGGGCCACTGCTGCAGTGTGACTCACTGAGCTGCCAGGAGGCCTGGGCTTCCTTCCTGGAATCAGGGATCCCATGTGGGCCTCTCAGACCCAGCTCTACTGTGAAGTTGAGAGCTTCAAGTGGGTCTTCTAGGGAGGTCAAGAGGCAGAGGGAATATTGGAAATGGCTCTGCCACTAGCATGCTCTGTGTCCTTGGGTGAATGATTTGGCCTCTCTGAAAACCAGTTTCTTCCCCTGCGAATGGTAGGAGTTGCATCAGGTGATTTCTTAGGATCCTACCTGCTCTAAGTGTTTCTTGGTCTCTAAATTCTCATAAACAGGACTTAGCTTAGGTTAGTGCTCTCCATCTTGGCTGCATATTTGAGTCACCTGAGGGACACTAAAGATACTAAACCCAGATGTTCTGATCTGATAGATCTGGAGTCCGATGTGGGCGTCAGAAATCTTTAAAACTTCCCAGGTGTCACTAACATACAGCCAGGGTTGAAAGCCACCGGGCTACGCCTGATTTTACAGAAGAGGAAACTGGGCTCACATCTCTGGTCAGCAGGTCAGCCACCTGTGGAATCCAGTGACTCCCGCTTACAGGTGTGGGACCTCACAGCCACCCTCTGCATTCCAGCACATCCCTAGGACCTGGGGGACATTGCACCTTTCCATTCTTCAGTAATCTTCTCCTCCATCTCTTTCCCTCTCCACCCCGCCCCTCGCTCTGATGAGCTAAATCTTTCTCAAGTAGCTTCTGCCTCTGTCCTGTGAAAGTCCCTGCCAGGAGGAGTCGCCACACCTGTTTACCTCCATGAACTAGAAGGAAGGAGGGAAATACAGGCAGAGACATGCAGAACTCAGGGTCTCCCATGTTACTCTGCCTCCCACCCAAAGCACCTTGCTCCAGGTTTGTCACAGGACAAGGGGAAGCTGCTGTGAGGACACTGAGGGTGACGGAAAAGTTGAAAAAGAAGGAGGAGAGAAATAGCACATCTGTATTTAGACATTATCCCTGGATGCTTCTTTGCATGTTAGGAAAGGCTCACTACAATCTAGTCATGTTTAGCCCTTTAAGAGCCCTGGGATAGTGAGTCCAGAGCCAGCACTGGGGGCTTTTCTCCCAGCCCCTTTTCAAAGTCATGTTGACCTTTGAGCATCTCCTGCCCCAGGAGAGCGCTGCAGCCGCTGCAGACAGCATGAGATGCTTCTCTATGTGGGCTCAGCTTCACCCTTCTGTGCTCCTGAGGATGGAGGACAGAAAGTGGTTCTTCCTCCCTGGCAAGCATTTCCAGTCTCTGAAGACTCTCTGGGGAAAGAACACGAAGGGGGAGAGGCTTCCTAAGTCCCTTCACTGGGGGCTTATCCGTGACCGACGTTCCTGGGGAGACATACATTTCATCAGTCACTTTCCATCTCACTCCACTCTCCCTCCTCCTCTCTGCAAGCTTACACTGCAGCCCGATGGAATTACACACAGTGCCCTGCATATGCCAAGGTTCTTCCACCTCTAGTCATGCTGCTTCCTGTCCTGGAACCCCCTTCCCAACTCGATCCTGCTGAGCAGCCTGGGATCTGTGTACGGGACGCCCCTCAGAGTCACCCAGACACAGGGGAAGCTGGGGTGTTTATTTCCTGCCTGTCAGTCACCAGTGCAGGCCTGCTCCTGGGGCACTCACCCCAGCATCTCCAATGCCAGGCAGCTCAGAGAGCCACTTTCCTGTCCAAGCAACCCTTAGAGAACATTCCCAGGAGGAGCGAATGTCCACCTTGTGTGGCATCGTCCTGGGGCGCTCCTTCTGGGGGGGACCCCAGTCCCTCCTGCCCTTCCAGCCAGAATCCTCCTGTCTCCTGGGTGAAAACTGGAGCCCGGGTTCTAGCTCTGCTGTGTCTCTCAGACTCTGGTGAGTGTCAGAATCTTCTGGAGGCCTTGTTAAAACTCCGATGGCGAGGCCCACCCTAAGGTTCCAATTCAGGAGGTCTCAGCAGAGCCTGAAAGCTGGCTTTCCCAGCAGGGCCCCGGGGTGCTGATGCTCCTCCCCCTAGAACGACCCCTGAGAGCCCTGGCTCTCCACTGGGACCTGCTCACCTGGAGACAGTGACCACAGGCCACAGGTCACCCCTCACCGCTTCACTCCACGCCCTCTCTTGTGACCTCATCTCCTCTCACCTCCCCCTGGGTCACATGGCTCCAGCCACACCCGCCCCCCTGCTGTTCCTCACCCAGGATCACCAAGGTCTCTCCTGCCCCGGGGCCTGTGCACCTGCTGTGCCTCTGCTTGGGATGCTCTTCCCAGGGCTCGCCCACCTCCTCAGAGAGGCCTCCTGACCCCTGACACGGCCTTGCCCTTCACCTCTATCGTCCTTTAGAACAGCCCCCACCTCCCGCACATCATGCAGTTGCCGGTTCAATGGCTACTGCTTGTCCTCCAGACTCGAAAGTAACCTCGCAGTGGGTGGTGGGCAGGGGGCGTTGTTTTGTTCCCTGCCCTGTCCCAGCACCCAGAGCAGTGCCTGGCAGGGGTGGGTACTCAGTACACACCTGTTAGCAAGTGACTCTGATGCAGGGACCGTTCTCTCTGATCTCTAAATCCAACTTTCTTATGTTGTAGTAACAATGTTGAATGTTGTTCCATACATCATCCATTTTCTTTTTTGACTTTTAGATCATAGTGCCTTAGAGAACAACTGGGCAAAAAATGGACTTTCAGACACGGCAGGTGCTCAGGTCCAGCCCCCACCCTGTGGCCCTTCAGGGACTGCACTCATTTATTTTTCTCTTTCTGGCTGTCCGCGAGCCAACAGCTCTCTCCTGGCTTTAATTTTCATCCATTTAAGTTGAAAAAAAAAATCAAACAAATGAAATGCACTTAAGAGAAAGCCTTGAGGAGTTAGTGAGCCACCTGAAGTGAACGGACTCCTTTCAAGGCGCTATCAATTGTTGTTATCAATTATTTATTGGGCCATGTTTGTTCCTGGTGCCACCAAGACAGAGAGGAGACAGGGTCCCTGCCCTGAGGCATCCCAAAGAAGAAGGGAGCATTTGTGAAATGAAAAAATGTCCCAGATGATAAGACAGTTACCCGTCACACCTCAAGGCTGCTCTATGCTTTTATTATATTTTTACTCTTAAGAATGTTCACTTATTTTCTGATTTTAAAAAGTAATTGAAAAGTTTATAAAATATTCCTAGAAATAGAGAAAAAATAAAATCTAACTCCAGTGTTTTTAATGCACATATAAAATCTACTTGGTTTATAAAATTAGGATTTATTCTAAATGTTTAATTTAGTTAGTTTGGAAGTTTTGTTAATTTACTCATCAGATTCTGCCTTGAGTTTTCTTCACATTATACCATGTTCATTTCTTCAGGCCATCAAGCAGCCTTCAAAAACATAAATTTCATTAGTTACAATGTATTTCATATAGATATACGATAACTGCCTTCACCAATCTTCTATTTCTGGACAATACAATTTTTATTTTTTTTCTTGTTTTGCTTTTGGTTATTATAATCAATATTCCTGTGAATATGCTTAGTTTAGAAAGCCTTGACTCGCTGTTATTATAATTTCAGTTTATAATCAGGAAGAGGGAAAGCCTAACTCTAAGGTTGAAACTAAATCTTAAAGCTAGTGACACAGCCTCTCTGAGCTTTGCTGTCCTCTTCTGTCCTATGGTAAGAATGATACTGAGGTCCTAGGGAGCTGTGAAGCATATGCTGTGAGACAACACAGCTGAGCAGCCCAGCCAGAGCCCCCTGGGGAAGCCGTCAGAGGTCAGCCGCTCCCGTCTGCTTCCCTCTTGACTCCTAATAGGCTGGGACAGAACTTTGCCCTCCCTTCTTCCTGTCCAAAAGACGCACAATGATAATGATGCTGATGGTTATTTAGTAAGAAACTTCCCAACAGGAACAGTTGTCAGGAGGGGGCACAGTTGGATTCTCTCCAGCAAAGATGTCAGGGTGGATAGAAATGTCAGCGTGATCCAAAGAGGACACAAACACTCCTGTTATTTTGTTGTCACCATAGAAAGGCCAGCTGTAGGTTTGACGAATGTTTAGTGAAAGAAAGTTTGCAAAAGTCAAAAAGAAACTGACATAATGATAGCCAAACAGGCTTTCTCTGCATTAGAAGAACTCAATAGGTCCTTGCACGTCTGATTAGAGCAAAACAAAACAAACAAGCAAAAGCTCCCCTGATGCACAGAGTTAGTGCTCCACTGAACTAGACCAGAAGAGCTTGTCCTGCCCCTTGGAAACAGGGGCCAACATGATGCGGTGGGCAAGGACCCATCATCTGACATGAAGATGCCCTGGGGGCAATGGAAAGCATGGTGTGTCCGGAGAAGATGGCCCTGACGGCAGGTGCATTCGGGTGCTAGTGAGTGCTGCAGCATGTTGGGTCTCTAGTTTTGTATCAGTCAGCTACTCTCACAGTCACACTGTGTAACAAACCACCCCCAAACTCAGTTACAAACGATAGTACTTATTTCTCATTCTCATGTCCACAGGTCTGATGGGGTTCATCACATCTGAGCCAGGACTGGCTTTTCTTGGCTGCAAGCTGAAAGTTGGGTCCAGGTCTGCTGTACTGAGGGTCTCCTATCTTCCTTGGACAGGGACAACCAGAGGCCTATTTATCTCATGATGGAAGGCAGGAGAACAAGCAGGCAAGACCAGCTGTGCTAGCACATGCCACCTCTTTGCCCACGTCACACCTGCTGACGTCCCATTGGCCAATGCAAGTCACACAACCAAAGCCAACATCAACAGGACAAGGAAACAGACTCTGCCTCTAGATGCACAAACTACAGAGTCACGGACAGAGGACACGGATCCAGGGAAGGAAGATGGAGAATGAGAACAATGACCCTCAATAACACAGCCTCCCACAGGTTTCCAAATCCCCAACCCAGGCATATATCCAAGGAAATGGAATCATGGGTTCAGGTTTTAGAGCAAGCAATTTCTGCTCTCCCTGCCTAGTTTCCACACCCTTAACACAGGGGCAATGATGTCACATCAAAACATATCATACAAATTTGTGATGATGTTTCAACAACTAAACACCAGAAAAATGCTTAGGGCAGGGCCGGGTAGGAGGGGCAGAAGCCAATAGTAACTTAACATCACTGCTAACCCACAAAGTTCTGGGAATTTCTTTGAATGTCTAATTAGAGAACCATGTCCCCAAGAATTAACATTTCTTTTGCTTTTTTTTGAATCTGAGAAAATACTAATTGTCACAGGGTAGAATATTTATCTGATGAGCATATAGAAGTTAAGGGCTCCTTGAAATCACAGTGCTAGGTTTGGGTCTCATTCCTCCTCCTACCTGCCTCTCTGAGCCTCAGTTTCTCATCTGTAGAATGGGTACAATCCCAACCTCATGTGTTTGTGGCAGTCAGGGTTAATTGGGCTAATGATTCTAAAGTGCTCTGCGCAGGCCTGGCAGGTACTGAGCAACCTTGGGCCATAGAGAGAGCACTGACTTGGGAGTCAGGAGCTGGGACCTCAGGTCCTATTCCCTGGGGATCCGGGAAAAGTCCCTTGGCTTCCCTGAGCTTCATCTGCCCCACGTGCTAGTGAGGTGGCTAGACCAGTCAGGCCAAGGACGTCCCTGCAGCTATCTAACTTCTCCTTACTCCCTGTTCAGCAAAGGGCAGGAGCTGGGCCTGGCCAGGCTCCCACAAAGCCCAGGCGTGGCCGTGCTCAGCTCACGACGGGTGTGGGGGATGCGTTTCTGCCCTCAAAGGACTGAGCTCCAGTTTCTTTCTTCACTGAGTCCTTTACTCTCTGCCTGCGGGTGGTTATTTAAGACATCTCCTGCCTGCAGGGGCCTCTTAGAGAACAAACAGATCGTTCCTTCAGCTGCAGTGCAGGCTTTACTGGGCTTGTTCCTGCATCAAGTAGACAGATCCTTCCTGAATGGAGTCGCCCCACAGGCCCCACACTCGGAGAGGGGCAGCCAGGAGCCTCCGAGGCTCTGCCCAGCCCGTCCTGAATGTGCTCCCTGCCCTGAGTGGAGCGCTCACAGCTCCCCGCATCAAGGTTTCTGTCTCCCCAAGGATCTTCCTCATAAAAACCCTTCTTCTCCCAGATCCCACAAACCGACATTATAAAAAACACAAACACCCAATAAGCACCATGTAAATTGATCACATACAAATAATATCCAAAAATAAGAACTCGTATAACCACTTTAAACTATAGAACATGTCTGTTGGGATTTGTGGGAGATCATGGATCACAGGTTCCCCCTGCTCCTGGTTCAGCACTGTGAGAAATGGAAGTGAGGTTCACCCAGGGACGGGAAAGCGTCAGCTGCCACTCATGAGGCTGGGGGGCAGGGGAAGCCCTTCATCCGTGGACACAAACAGGCATCCTAACATGACTTCCATGAGCAGAAGTGGGCAGACAGGGCTGAAAAGCTGACCTTACAAGGCTGAGGACCTGCCTTGAGCTCTGCCTGACTGCAGAGAAGGAAAGTTCTCTTCTTGCAACCTCAAATCTTCCAGATAAGAACCAAACGACATCCGGCCTTTGCGTTCTCTCCACCAGCTCCCGGCTCACCCACCCAGCAGCTCAGCACCTGCGAAATCCGTCTCCCGATGCACACTTGCTAACCGCGTGGGTGTGAGCACAACGATGGGAAACAGCGGAAGTCCCCGGAGTGCAGACTCAGGAGTGAACCTGCCTGAAGAGTGGCGTCTAACGCACACACTGTGGTCAGCTCCACCCCACTATGGGTCCCGGGAATAGGAGCAAGTATGTATTTTGCTTGCAGGGCAGGTGTTTCATCCACATTATTGCAGGAACAGATGAATTTAATTAAAAGAACACCACAGTGGGCACCTCTTCCAGGGATGCCTCCCTCTAAGAACATGACACTGAGATGATCAAGGTTCTAAAAGGGCGATCAAATCACTCTCCGAAAATGAAACTGCTCAGACAGAATGACAATTAAATTAATAACAACCAAGACAATGCCCAGATTTCATCTCCGCTCACAGCCCCTCCTGTGTGCTGTATGATCAGGTTCTTGGGGGTGGCTCCAGATACAGCAAACAGTCAGGATTAATCCACAAGAGTGAGCTGTCAGCATGAGGTTCCCCTACAGTGGAGCTTGCCAAGGTCCGTGGCTCCCAGGGCACCCGTTCCAGGGCTAACAGATGAAGCATGGAAATGCTGTGTGGAGTGAGCTGAGCAGCCATTCTCAGGAGAAAACAGACAAATCCTCCTGCACCCTGGCAAACCAGCTTTGTGGCCTGTTTTATGTCATCTTTGCTGAGCTCCACCGGGTCACCCCTCCTGCTGGCTTTGTGATATTGACATTTCAGGCACTGGCACAGATACATTGGCCTTCCTGGCTGGGATTTCACGGACGGAGTGAGCAGTGCTGGCTTGGAGGAGCCGTGGCGGCACAGGGCCTGTGCCCTCAGCTGATCAGTGCCTGTCCTGACCCCAAAGGGCCCTCGCAGCACTGTTTGAAATTGCTCTTGCCATGTTTGGAACCGATTCCTCGGTACGTTTCAGACTCATTGTTGTGACTTTGGTTTCAATCCAGGGACACACCGTGGCCAATGGAGTGTCTCAACAGCATCTATGATCGCTGTTTCCCAGAGACAGCATCTCAGATACCGATGCTGAAAGAGAAACAGCAGCCTGTCCCCAGGTGGCAGGAAATAGTCCATTTTAACGGCAATTTCATAAGTGGCAGATGATTTTTATTGTAATTTTCTGGTGAGCTGATTAAGTGGAGGCAGAGTCAGTTCTGAGGCGTCAATGTCTTTAACAACTCGGGGAGACCGAGGCCATGCTCAGCAGGAACACTAAGTCCATGGAAAACAGGCCCTGGGCCCGCTGATGTGCATAATTCCACGTTTGCCCCCCATGTAACCAGGATGGTAAATTACAGGTGTCAGATAATCACGCTCTGGAGTGGCTACTTGAGGATGCGATCGACCAATTTAAGCTCCGTCTGACACATGATCAATAGCCCGTGATGCTGCATGGAATTGCAGGCACAGCGTCCAAACCTGCAGAGCAGTGGCTCCCAGCTGTGGCAACTTTGCCCCCCAGAGGACATTTGGCAATGTCTGGATATGTTTGCAATTGTCACAACTAGGAGAGGGGGATGCTATTGGCATCTGGCGAGTGAGGCCAAGGATGCTGCTAAACCTCCCATGATGCACAGGAGAAGTCCCCACACAGACACATCCTGCGCAGACTGTCCATAAAGCTTAAATGAGATGCTCTGACTTAGAGCCACAGTGAACATTCCATTCCATCGTCTGGGTATCTCCAGGGATGTACGTAGCTGGATGTCTAGCTTTTCATCTGGGTATGACCGGCCTCACGCAGAATCAAAACCATGTGTAGGTCGAATCTCTTATTTGCTCTCCTGCTTCCTTTCATTGTAATATTCTCCTTCTCATTAGTATTTTCTGTTATTGGAGGAATGGTAAGAAAACATAAAATGCTGGAGAGTTACGATTTTGTTTCTGTCAATAAAAAAGTAATTTGCCAGTGACTCATAAAAAGCAGAAAATTAATTAGAGAAGACATGAGATCTATCAAAAAGCTGATCAGGGTGGCTCACGCCTGTAATCCCAGCACTTTGGGAGGCCGAGGCAGGTAGATCACCTGAGGTCAGCAGTTCGAGACCAGCCTGACCAACAAGGTGAAATCCTGTCTCTACTAAACACATGAAAAAAAAGTTAGCCGGGCATGGTGGCAGTTTCCTGTAGTCCCAGCTACTCCAGAGGCTGAGACAGGAGAATTGCTTGAACCTGGGAGGCGGAGGTTGCAGTGAGCTGAGATCGCGCCAGTGCACTCCAGCTTAGGTGACGGAGTGAGACTTCGTCTCAAAAACAAAACAAACAAAAAAAACTGATCACCTCAGGAGAGCAGCAGAGAGAAGAGTCCAGATGGGAGCTGGTCAGTTTCAGGAGAGTGCACAGAGCAGGACCTCGTGGGACTGGCCTAGAGCTCCTCAAACTAACGTCAGTTCAGCGGGTGCAACTAGCATTTTAAAACATTAATCACAGAGTTGAGTAGAAAATATCAAAAGGTATCAGTATTATTTTGTGAAACTTTATATTCATATATATGGGGGGTGTGTGTCTCTGTGTGTGTGTGTGTGTGTGTGTGTGTGTGTGTATGTACCAGGTTCCATTGTAAAATAATTTCTTATGATGGGTTGTGATCAAAACAGCTTGAAAAACACTGGAGTGGCTTCACTGACGGAGGATTGAGAAATAATTAAGTATCTGTAAGTAAACTTTGCAAATAAAAAGAACAAGAAGGCCAGGCACGGTGGCTCATGCCTGTAATACCAACACTTTGGGAGGCTGAGGTGGGCGGATCACGAGGTCAGGAGATCGAGACCATCGTGGCCAACATGATGAAACCCCGTCTGTACTAAAAATACAAAAATTAGCCAGCATCACGTCTGTAATCCCAGCTACTCGGGAGGCTGAGGCAGGAGAATTGCTTGAACCTGGGAGGCAGAAGTTGCAGTGAGCCAAGATCATGCCACTGCACTCCAGCCTGGCGACAGCGAGACTCCATCTCAAAAAAAAAAAAAAAAAAAAAAAAACAAGAAAATTACGAACTCTAGGAAAAATGAAAGGTGTGTAAGAAAGAAAATATTATAGTACTTCGCTCTGCAGAGAATAGCATTTACCTGGTCACATGACATAAAGGCTGATTATGATGCAATTAAAAATAGTGATGTATCATACAGCGTGGCAGGAAGGGAGCTGGTGGGTGGTGTAAGAGCTAACTTCTCATCTAGCTTAGCAGACATTAGATAACACTAGACCTTGAAAGCTCTATGAATAGCTTCCCTGGCTTCCTCTTTCGTTTCTTTTCTTTTTTTCTTTGAGACAGGTCTCACTCTGGTTTCCCAGGCTGGAGTGCAGTGGTGCGATCTTGGCTCACTGTAGCCTTGACCTCCTGGGCTCAGGTGATTCTCCCACCTCAGCCTCCCAAGTAGCTGGGACTGCAGGCACACACCACCACGTCTGACTAATGTTTTGTCTTTTTAGTAGAGACAGGGTTTTGCTATGTTGCCCAGGCTGGTCTTGAACTCCTGGAATCAAACAATCCACCCGCCTCAGCCTGCCAGAGTGCTGGGATTACAGGCATGAGCCTCAGCACCTGGCCAAGCTTCCTCTTTCAGGATTCGGAAATAATGTGCGGAAACAGCTAGAGGATTACTTGTGGATGTCTCTGAGAAGAGGTGGGCAGGGAACAGACAGATTCAGTGGTGTTGCATTTGATGACCATGTATCTCTTTATTTAAAAAGGGACCATTCAGGACCAGTGAGGTCACGGTGGTGTTCACTGGAAAGACACCAGGGACCCAGGTGGCTCTTGGCTCTGTGACTTTGAACAAGTCCTTCTCCAGCTTTTGACACCAGTTGACCAACCTCTAAAACAAAGAGGCTCGGCCAAATTATTTTGACTTGTCCTTGGAGCCCTGTGAATCTGTCTCACCGTGGAGTGACTTGGGAGTCTGGGCACCACCCACCCCGACTCTATGTCAAATACCGTGCACATCTCAAGCACAGTGCCTGGCTCAGCACAGGCAGCAGGAAAGCTGTGTGGGTGTGCCTCAGGGTTGGTGGACACAGTAGACAGCCTTTGCTCTCCCAAGATGGGGGAGGCCCTGTACCATGACTTAGGGAACTGCTCATGCCTAAGCCCCCACCCCCTCCACAGTAGTGCAGAAAGGATGCTCTCCTAATCAGCTAATTTTCACAAAATGTGGGATGCCCTGGTGGGATCCCCTGGTAGGAGAGTAGATGACTTCCAGGAGCACATAGAGGGGGCAGAGGCTGCGGGCTGACCCTTGATACCCCTCATCCCCTACATTTCACATTGGAAATCCCAAAGTTTAGCTGCCCGGACCAAAGCTGAATTTCCCATTCTGCCTTGCAGCTGGTGTGTACCTTCCCAGTGTACCCTTAAATGAATGGGTACGCTCCACTTGCCCTTCTCCTCTTCCCTCCTGTCTGATGTGACTTGCACCTCCTCGGACCAGGTAGACAAAAACAGCCTTTGTCAATGACAGATCACAGGACTGGAGTGTCGAGGCTCAGCCCCGGGAGCTGCCCAACCAGCCAGGGGGCCCCCACGCCGGGGCTGTCACATGGGATAGAAGCAAACCTCTGGCTCGTGAAGTCATGGGTATTTTGGGGTCTGATGAATTTACTTACAAGTAAATATGGGAAGTATATTTTTATATCAATAGTTATTTATTCACTTCAATATCCATTGGAGAAAAATATCTCAACTAGTGGATTCACCCCTGCGATTCCACTAGGTGAACCCACCAGCAATCCTGGGGACGCTGAGGACCCTCCCTCCTCAGCACATGGCCCTCCTGACTGTTGGGGGAGCCAGCATGAAGCCCCCGTCGCCGACCGGCAGGCCCGAGCTCCTGGACTCAGCATTGACCGACACTGACTCTGTTCCCACAGCAGCCGCTTTGTTCGTCTCCTTTGTGGACACTTAGCTCAGCGCCTGTGCTGCTCGGCTGTGACCTGACCTTCGAGGGTCACCTCCTGAATTCACTCGCTGTGACCTGTGCTGCGGACCCCGTCAGGAAGCTCCTGGTCTCCCCCGGCCCCTCCCCCGCCTCATTTGCACAAAAGGCCTCATTGTTCTGCAGGGTCTGACTCAGACCTGCCCTGGTTTCAGTTTCCGCAAACACCCAGCACTGGCTTTGGGTCAGGGGTCACTCTGGAGTGAACGGGGCGCCCTGAGCAACCCCACATCGCTGTGTGATCCCGGCTCATCCACAGGAAGCCCCGGCCCAGGGACCCAAATGGGTCCCAGAAGTGGACCAGATGCAGCGCCGACGGTGATGTGGGGACGCCGGCATCTCCAACAGTGGGAAAGAGGAAACTTTCTACTTTTCATTAACCCCGTCCTCTTCTCCCCCAGGGTTACGGGGACACAGTGTCTTCACTGGCCATGTTGGAACGTTCTGGGGAGTGAAGGGAACGTCCCCAAGAGCATTGACTTGACCTTCGCTTTGGCTGAGATTTGAAATTCTCTTCTTATCAATCTCTATATCTGTACACGCAGGAGTCTGTTTTACATCCAGCCATCCCTGTGACCTCGGGCGAGTTCCTTACCTTGTGTTTTCTCATCTGTAAAGTGGGTATAATGACCACCGCACGGCCTCGCATGCTTGTCAGAACCAAATCAGACAATGCACGAAGACCCGTTGGCCCGGAAAGCTGCAGCTGGGCCCTGACGATGCCACGCTGTCCATCTGGGGAGGGGAAGTTCATTGCTAATTCGACTCAAAGGAGGAAAAATGCACGTCCCCCTGAGCTGAAAGAAGGAACGAAGCCAAGTCCATCAGGCCACCGGGTCTCCTTAGGCTGAGGAAATGGACAATGAGGGCGACATCGAAACTGCAGAGAGCAGCAAAGCCCTTCACTACTGCTGCCCGAACCCTGCAGCGGCTCCTACAGCCACCACGGGTCACTGGGCCAGGAGCAAGTTGGGGAACAGCCACATCACCATCCAGGGAAGCCCCCGGAATGGTGGATTTGCTAACAGCAGCCACACAGACACCTCACCTCACGCCAGGCTGCTGAGCTCAGCGGGGGGCACGATTGCCCAAGCAGGGGTGGGGCAGGGCAAGGCAGACCGAGTCACACGGTGGGAAAAGCCAAAAAAAAAACCTGCCTGATTTGGTAAAATGCCAGAAAACTGCGTGAACTGGGCATTTGAAAGTAAGTTTTTAAGGCGTAGCCATTTGTTGGGGTTTTTTTGCCCCGTACTCTCCTGTCTCCCTCCTCGCCACACAATAAACTGTGTCCAAGGCAGCCGCCCTCCCGCTGCCAGGACGTGCGAGGCAGGAAGGTCAGGAGCTCTGCTGTGAGGGCGCCACCCGGCTTCCGGTTTGTGCATGAAAACCCGGCTCAGCTTTTCCATTCCGTGAAGACTGGGCTTCTCCAGGCTGCTCGGTAAATAATCACGGATTCCACTGGGAATAGGAAACGTCCCCACAGCCCCATCTCCATTGTGCACCCAACCTCCAGGTGTTTTCAATCTCTCAAAGAGCCCCGACGCCTGAAATTTAACAACTAAAATCTTATTTTTCATTTCCTGAGATTCTCTTGGTGGAATCAGGCAGCCTGGCGGTGCGCAGCACCTAGGGTGGCTCATGATGAAAAATCCAGAGGGGACTTTGCCTTCCTGCATGTCCTTTTGTCACCAGAACCCAGGGACCAGCAGGACCCAAAGCTCCCTGCGGGATCAGCTGGGTCTGGGAATCACTGTCCTGGGCCCAGTTGGACTTTTCGGATGAGGCCGGTGTTTGGCACCTGGGCTGGGCAGGTGGGAAGGACAGAGGCACTGATGGAGAGAGGGAGGAGAAGGGGATTCATGGCGGTCCTGGGGGAACCCCACGGGTGCCTTTGGCCTCTCCCTGGTCTGTCTGCCCCTCAGGATGGTTAAACTGTCCCCTGAAAGTTCCCCATTGGGCAAGTCCAGCAAGCCTGAGCCAGGCCTGTGATCTCAGGGTGGGTGGAGCTCTAGAAGGCCTGGCCCTCGCTCCTGGAGTCCACATTCACCCTCAAGGCAGTGAACGGCGCCCCACTGCGCATCTACTCACTAACCAGGCATGGGATGGTTTCCATGGTTCCTGTGTCTTAGACCAGCTCGCTCACGGTGACATGAGATGCCCTGAGACCCCGCCATGGTGCAGAGTGACATTAATGCATTAAATTAGCAGCCTCTGCAACACAAACACATTTCCATGTGGAGCCTGTGACGTTCTTTGGTAAAAGGGATCATTACGTGTTTGCAAACATTCCATAAGCTGAGGAAGGGCCTCAGGTTCTGACAAGTGATGAATGGGAAAATTAGAGGCTTCAGGAAAATGCAAATATCATCCTTTGTAATTCTGTCCCTTGGCAGGAAATAAAAAAAGGTTTCCCCAAAGCACCGAGGCATTCCTTCTATTAAACGCCAGGAAGAATGGCTGTGACTCTTTCAGGCACTTGCACGGATCTTGATTTGTCTTCCACAGCCTCCCCAATGCCCTGGCAATGTGTGGGAGAGAAGCCTGTGATTTCAGCGGACTGTCCTCTAATTCAGCCTTTCTCACCTTTAATTCATGATCAACCCCTAAGGAACCTTCATAGAGGTTTTTTTCTTACTCACCCCCACCATGAATTTAATACTACAGAAATACCGCAAAATGGTTTATGCACTGTGCCTACATCTGTATTTTTACATAATGAGAGAAAAATCTTTTCACCTCCAGGAACCAGCTCTGGCCCTCTTGGGAGCAGTATTCCCCGCTGAGGAAGCATGTGCTCATTCCTTCTTTTGTTCATTCGTTCAAATGTGCAGAAAACTGTGTATCTGGTGTAAATTCTGGGCCCTGGAAGGAGGTGTGGGAGCTGCCTGGGGCCTGGGGGCAGAGCGATGCAGGAGAGGGGATAGCGAGGACAGAGTCCAGAGACACGAGGGGAGGGATGAGGCTGAGGAGCAGCCAGGAGCCCCGTGTGGCTGGGGCCAAGGGGTGTTAGAAGATGAGGCCAGAGGGGTGATGAGTCACAGTGGGGCAGAGAGAGAGATGGGTCATCTCAGGCCTTAGGCGACCCTGTGAAGACTTCAGCTTTTACTCTGAGGGAAGTGGGAGCCATTGGAGGGTTTGAGCAGAGACAGGATGTGGTCTGGTTTACTTTTTAATGGGATTCTGTGTCTGAGGACAGGTTGGGGGTGTGGGGCAACAGCTGGAGCAGCAAGACCAACAGGGAGGCCAGGTGGAGGTGATGGTGACCGGAGCCATGTGGTCAAAGTGGAGGAGGTGAGGGAGTCCAATACTGCAGATCCCTTGCAGGTAGAGCTGCCAGGACTTGCTGATGGATGAGAAGCGGAGTGTGGAAGGCAGGGAAGAGTGGAGGATGACTCCCAGGTGTTGGCCTGAGAGCTGGGAGGGTGGGGCTGCGATTTACAGAGATGAGGAAGACTGCGGGAGGACTGTGCTCTGACAAGGCCCTCTGCTGACTCTGAGAGACACAGGAGAGCGGGACAGAGAGGATGAGGGTGACTCTTAGTAGATTTATTACATTCTCCCAGCAGATCCAAGTACATAATTTTCACAGCCTGTGCAAAATGAAAATGTAGGCCACATGCTCAAAAGCAAGAACAAAATGTCATTATAGGTACTAAAATAAGAAAGCTTTTGCTTTCTTTCTGCAGTCTGTCTCTTGACCTGTCATGGTGTTTATTATTTGCTACTCAATGTTGCGTTCCCTCGGATATGACGATGTTTGTAGGGTAGCTCAGACCCCCCACAGTCAAGCCCTTTCAGGGGCAGAAGGTGAAAGCAGTCACCAGCAGGGTTATTCTCCTGAGTAGCATCTCCAGGGTGGCACCTTTTCAGTAGCCTTTTCCAAAGGAATGAGTTAGTATGACAGTTGTCACAACTTCAATGAAAAGCAGCCAGCGCAATGGGAGATGGGAGAATGAACCATCAGTGATGGGAATATGAGACACCTGGGGAAGGTCAAGGGCTAGCAGATCCTTTATATGGGCTCAGCGCTTCTACAACCTGCAGCAAGGTTCAGCCCCCACCATGGCCCCTCTCCACAGTGGCCCCGCCTTCATTCTGGCCACACCCCCATCCTGGCTACGCCCCTGCATGACCCTGGCCCCTGCCTTGTTTGGCCCTGCCCCACTTTGGCCCTGCCCCTGTCAAAACCATGTCCGTCTCCCCCCAGCAAATCTGGTCACACCTCCAGGCTGTCAGGCATCATTGTGGCTAGGGTAGACCCTGACAAATAGCTTTCGGGAGTGAATCTCCTCTTTCTATGTAGATGAAACCTGTCCAGGCAGGAATTCTTGCATTTCTTCCCCAGCCCAGCCGCCTCCTTTGTGGACACCCTGGAGGCCTCCTCGTGGTGTATGTGGGACAGGTGGGCTCCGAATCACTCAACAGATACCTACTGAGATTTACTCTGTGCCCAAGTTTCAGGTCCCGGCCCCAACGGTGAAGGAAGCGGGCAAAGCGCCCTCCCTCTGAGGTGACGTCTCCAGGGCTGGTCACAGGGACTCCAGGGCCATGAGCACATGGTTGACCACTCTGCAGATTAGCCCACCCCAGTCGTAAGCTCCTGGAGCAGCTCCCGGCTTTCTGGGTGGTTTCTACCCCTGTGGGGTGATTTATAACCGAAGCCCAGAGAGCGAGAGGTTGATGGGGGGCCTGTCCCGTCCCCGTCTCAGAGAGGCAGGAACTGCTTAGAGCTCCGTGCGCGTGGGACCAGTGGCTCCGACAAAGCCTTGGCCAAACTCTGCTTCCCGATCCTTCCCCTCACCCAGTCGCCTCCTTCCTACAGCATCTGCGGATGCTCAGCCCCAGGAGATGTGAGCTGCTCGGGGACCGCCCTGAGTTTCTGAGAGTCCTGGGGGCGATGGCACCTGGGTCCTGTGCAGATGACACTGGAGAGCCTCGAAGGCTTTGACTCGGGCTGAGCGTGGGGGTGGGCACGGGGCATGCTCAGTCCTGACCCCACCATCGCGGCCCGGGGGACATATGATGGGGGTTGTGTCCCCTCAGAAAGAGACAGCAGGTCCCGCTGTGAGCACACGCTGAGAAGAGACGGTCCAGCCTCCACCAAGTGGAACCCTGAGCCCAGAGGGATGGCCCTGCCCCTTCCACTAGGTCTGGCCAGTCCTGTCTGTGGGTTTCCATTGTCAGCTGTGAAGGGGACTTGAGACTCACAGGTGGGGTTAAGCGGAGTGACGGGAAGGTTAATTCTGGATGCACAGGGAATCTGAAGATGGAATTGTGAAACATTCATGGATTTGCCCCAGTATTCCAGCCACCCATGCCTGTGTGGGTCTGTGTGTGTGTGGGGGGGGGGGGGGAGGGGGGCAGGGGAGGTATGAGTGTATGTATGTGTTGGTACTGGTGTTGATGGTGTATAGTTCTCTCACTTGGGACTCTTGCCTCCCAACCAGATTTAACACAGATTGAGCCCACATGGCCTAGTGGTTAAGAACATAGTCCCTGGAGCTAAACTGCCCAGGCTCAAGTCCCAGCACTGCCCCCTGAGCAAGTGCCTTGACCACTCTGCCTCAGCTTCCCCATCTGCAGCATGGGGAGCTTAGTAATAGTGCCGTATCTCATGGGGTTGGTGTGAGGACTGAGTGAGATCATAGATACAGGGCACGGGGAATAGTGCCCGGTGTGTGCCAGCTCCCACCACTCTGCAAAGAGGACACATCCTGCCTCCCCACGGCCAACTCACACCCAACAGCTGCTGCATGGACATGGATAGAATGAATCTGCTATTCTCTGGGGACCTCCATGCACCTGACTTCAGCCTGGCCTTCAGGGGTCTTTCTCAGGATGAACTCAACTCCATTCATACCTAAAGGAATTCAAGCACTGACTGGGGATCTGCTGGGTCTTCACTGATGAGCACTCCAGAGGAGGCGATCTCAGGTCAAATGTCCCTTTCTGAGAATTTAGGGGGGTGGTAGACTGGGGAAGGTAAATGGGGACTTGAGCTTATCTTTAATGTCTTGGTTTTCTTACAGGGAAATACATGATATATTACTTGTGTCGTGAAAATTAATTTTAATTTAAAAATCAATTTCATGCAATACAGATTTCACCATAAAGTAACATAATTTTTAATTTTTTTGATTGAGATATTTGACAGTAGGCACTGCATCATCCTGAAAGAACCAACTTTACAGTAAACAAATTTTAGTCCCTTAATAACGAGATCAGAAATAGCTACAATGCCTGCCCCTCCTGCTAACAGTTATTCAGGGCTTTGCTCATACCAAAGCTTTGCCTCTCATGACCTGTTTCCATCCTTATGACAATGCAGCAAGGTTGGAAGAAGAGGAGTATGATTGTTTCTCTTTTGCCAAAGAAGATGGAGTGACTTTCTCCCTGCAATGGGTTCCTACTGAAGGATTACAGCAACAATTCACCAGGCCCTTCTTCACCTGACCCCAAATCTCCCAGCACAGTAGCCCATGGCCCTGTCCCTGCCCCCAGCCCCAGCAGTGGGCTGTGATTGGCCTGATGCAGTCAGCTCTTCCCACTCTCTGACCTTGACTGATTCAAGAATGGGCACCTGGCCCAGGTGGGCCAGTGAAAGGTAAGATGTTGCCTGGGAGCCCTGGCTTTTCCATGGTTTGCTCTGGACAAGGTGGATGGGATGCAGCTCTTAGAACCACTGCAGCCTTCTCTGCTACCACAAGAAAAGCCAGTCTGAAATCATGACCCATGAGAGAGGACAGTCTGAAATCATGACCCATGAGAGAGGACAGTCTGAAATCATGACCCGTGAGAGAGGAAAGAACCAAGAGAACTTCAGGGAAACTGAGCCACAGCCTGATCCAATCATTCCTGATGCTGTTTATCTCTGGGATTTTTGAAGGCTGGAGCCCATGAAGCTCCCTCCTGCTCACACCTGTTTGCACTGAGTTTTCCATTCCCTGCAACCATAGCTCTCTATCTGATTCTGGCTCTCGTGTCGCATGATAGTAAGGGGTAGATTATTAAGCCAAGACCTTCCCTGGCTGGCTCTTTGTGTGCAATACGCATCTTCTTACAGCCAACCTGGTTCTTTACATCTAAACTTCAGAGTCAGACGAGAGACCCTAGAGGTCATCTAGTGCAGCCCCTTAGTGTAACCCCTGAGCAAAGTGAGGCCTGGGAAGAAGTCGTGAGCCTGGATCACAGGGCTGGACTTTCTATCCCTGATTGCTCCTGTTTTTAGGTTAACATGATCTAAGAGACCACCTGTGACAAGACAACCTGAGCTTCATCTGTCAATGCAAAGTCTGTATCTGCACACCCAAAATGAAGCAAAGTCTGTATCTGCAAACCCAAAATGAAGCAAATTCTGTATCTGCACGCCCAAAATGAAGCAAAGTCTGTATCTGCACGCCCAAAATGAGGTGGCAAACATTAGCCATTGCAGACCACTCAGCGAGAAAACCTCCTCTGTTCCAAATATCTGGATACAGTCCTGATTGTAAATTGGAGAGTGACTTTACTATTTTGACTATCTGGTATTTTTGCTTTTCTCTGCTAAATTCGATGACTTTTTTGAAGATTATTTTTATTCGATCATATCACTTGGGTACAGATCTGCAGTGTTTTTCTAAGCACAAATTTCCATACCAACAAAAAATCTTAAAAAGGAGCAGAAATGGAGAATGGATTAACTTACCTTTTATTCTATCCCTACTCCCTATAGACTCTCTCACGAGGCTGGGGCTTTTGTTTTTCTTCTCTTCTAATTTCTATTAAGACAAGGACACATGGACTGACATGCAATCTCCAGGTTACTTGAAGCACGGCTGTGGGAGATGCATCCCAAATTGGGATTTTTCTGTGCATGGCCACGTTCAAGGGTGCAAAAGGCAGGAGCCACTCAGAGAGTGTAGCTTGGGAGGGCTTTGTGTCACTGTCCAGGTGAGATTTCTCACTCTCAGCGTCTCACCTGGTTGAAAATGTTCATCACGGTAACAGCAGACCCTTCAAGTCTGTGTCACTCTTACAGCAAAGATGCTGTGTTGAATTTTCATGGCAAAAGCAACTGCAATTTTAGGCCACTGTAAAACATCTTTTGTTTTGTGCTGAGCCATGGAGAGTGAGAACTTAAGCAATAAACACTCGGCATCTGCCGTCCTTCCAAAGCCTCTTTCACATTGACTTACTTCCGTCAATCCATTCAGAACAGTGTCATACAAAAGTGATTTTCAGGCTGGGCACGGTGGTTCACACATGTAATCCCAGCACTTTGGGAGGCCAAGGCGGGTGGATCACTTGAAGTCAGGAGTTCAAGACCAGTTTGCCCAACATGGTGAAATCCCATCTCTACAAAAATAAAAAAATTAGCCCGGTGTGGTAGTGGGTGCCTGTAATCCCAGTTACTTGGGAGGCTGAGGTGGGAGAATTGCTTTAACCCAGGAGGCGGAGGTTGCAGTGAGCCGAGATCATGCCACCGCACCTTGCACTCCAGCCTAGGTGACAGAGCGAGACTCCGTCTAAAAAAAAAAAAAATGAATGCCAGGCACAGTGGCTCACGCCTGTAATCCCACTTTGGGAGGCCGAGGTGGGCGTATCACAAGGTCAGGAGTTCCAGACCAGACTGACCAACGTGGGGAAACCCCGTCTCTACTAAAAACACAAAAATTAGCTGGGCGTGGTGGCAAACACCTGTAATCCCAGCTACTCAGGAGGCTGAGGCAGGAGAATCGCTTGAACCTAGGAGGCGGAGGTTGCAGTGAGCTGAGATCACGCCACTGCACTCCAGCCTGGGCGACGGAGCAAGACTCTGTCTCAAAAAAAAAGTGATTTTCATCATCCCCCTCAGAGATTATTGGAGGGGACAACATCTCATTAATTTTTTACAATCTTATAATCAATTTTTAATTAATGAGACGATGAAAAACAGACTTTACAGAAAAAGAAAAATCACTCATGTAGTTGCAGCTACAGCCAATGTGTTTGAGACTAGGAGCTTTGGAATTGGGTATCTGTGTTCAAATCCTGACTCCACCATGTCCCTGCCGTGTGAGTCCGGGGACATCACTCACCTGAGGACGTCACTCACATGACAGTGTCACTTACCTGAGAGGCCACTATCTGGGGAGGTCATTGACCTTCTCTGAACCAGTTTTACTCAGTTTTAAGGATTATTATGAAGGTTCAAAGTCAAAATATATTATTAAGGTCTTGCTTCTTGAAGTGTGGTCTGCAAACCAGCAGCCATCACCTAGATGATTGCTAAAAATTACGGAATTTCAGGGCCCATCCAGGTCCTACTGAATAGAAATCTCAATTTTAACAAACCCCCCAGGTGGTTTGTGAGCACATTAACGTGTGAGAAGCATTGTCTTCAAGCACGTCCTTGCCGTTAGGTGCACAGCAGGGCCTCAACTTAGCCTCCTGATTGGTGTACCTCTTATCACATTATACTATTTCTTACTTAACAAAATGCATTTCATGCTGTTTTACAGTTTTCACTTGAGTTCATACTACTTCCTGGTCTACATGGAGCTATTCTGAATGTCTGTGTAATAGTCTACTGAATCATTATATCGTGCTTTCTTCTCCCATTTCCCCATCTTGATCGTTCCCAGCATTTTGCTGTTAGAAAATAGCACCTTACTGAGGCAGGAGACTCTCTTGAATCCGGGAGGCGGAAGTTGCAGTGAGCCAAGTTTGCACCATTACACTCTAGCCTGGGCAACAAGAGTGAAACTCTGTTTCAAAAAAAAAAAAAAAGAAGAAGAAAAGAAAAAAGAAAAAGAAAAAGAAAATAGCACCTTAGTGAGCACCCTTTTATGTAGAGATTTCCAGAGACAGGGAAGAAGGAGGAACAGGAAAAGAGAAAAAAGGAAAAAAAGAAAAAGAAAAGCATATATCTGTCTCTTTAAAGTCAGGAGTGTTGAACGTCCCCTTTAATCTCATTGTAAACTAAGGGAGAAAACCATGCCCCTGGCTGCATCCACTGGGTAGTGATGGGGGTACAGAGACAATTACCTCACTGAGTCACAGCACAGAGCTTCAGGGATGCAGGATGCAACCAGGGCAGAGGTGTCAGCCACACCTCCATGGCACCGATGCCTCATAATCACCTTATGGAAAAATTATTTTGAAATTGGCTTACCTGCTCAGGAACTGAAACTGGAGAGAAACCCGGATTATAGGGGGACACTTGTATTGAAGGGCCTCCTCGTGAGTGGTCTCTGCACATACAAATCACCTTGCTGCTCAGGAGTTCAAAGCCCTGGCCTGGCACTTATTTCACAGGCTTGCAGGAGCTGACATCCTTATGCATTAATGGGCAGCTCAATTGCAGGGAACCCTGGTGACAAGTGACTTCCTCGCCACACTTGGAAACGGAGCCCCGCCTAGCCTCTCCCATGGCCTGTCCAGAAAGTTAAAGGCAGGCAGCACTTGAGCTCTGGTCTCCCGTCCCCACAGCCTTCACTGTTCCCCCAACGCAGGTGCCTCTGGCCCTGAGCCACTTCTCCAGTGGCCAGCCATGGCACTTCTCCCTCTCCAGAGCCATGGCCTGTTTTACATGAGATAAAAATCTGCAGACAAAAGCTCTTGCTGCCCAGAGCATGCGTTCTAGAACTCAGATAAATAAATGAGCAAGAAACCGAGCGTGTGCAAGGGTAGCCATGCTGTGGGGAAAAGAAGGGAGGGAGGATAGTAAGGGGACCCCAGGCTCAGGGAGTAGGAGGGGGGCAAGGGGATCAGGAAGAGTTGGGGGGTTCCTCATGCCTCAGAGCTGGGGGAGATTGGAGTGGGGATGAGGGAGGACTTGGGTCCTGGGCCTCTTGGCTGCTGACATGACCAGGGATAGAGGGGAGATGAGAACAGGCTGCCAGGTTCCAGGTAGGTGATGGCAGAGCCACGGCTGTAAGCGGACAAGGGAGCTGGGTCTCACAGGGGCCCAGAGCTCTGGGCATCTCTTCTGTCCCACCTCTGGGGCTGAGCCTGGAGGAGCCTGGTCCGCAGCATGTTCCATGTTGTCACTGCCCCTGTGGAGTTTCAGGAACCCCAAGGGCTGCCCAGGGGCCAAAGCATCTCCTGTGACCTCCCCCCTCCCAGCAGAGGGAGAAGCTGGGACCCCCCTCTTTTGGAACACTCCTTCCAGAGGCAGCTGCAGGTGGATTCTCATCTGACAAGAGACAGCATCACTCAGAACCCCTAGAAAGGCCATTGATTAAATGCCACAGAGCACAGCAGTGATGAGGTCTGCAGAAGGCAGCACATAGCCAGAGGCGGGGCCAGGTGATGGATGGCCCCTGCTTTCAGAAACCCCCCCGGGCCCCACTGCTCCCTGCCCTTGGGCAGGTCGCTCTGGAGTTTAAGAGTCATTAAGAGAAGCAGTTCCTTTTTATAACCAGTTCTCTTTCCTCTCTCAGGTGGTTCTGGAATAAAAACATCATAAAAGCGATGTCAGGTCACAAGGAAGAAGCTGCCTCAGGTGAATCTGGCTTCAGAGATGGGGACCCCTGAAGTGAAGCAGGAAGTGAAGGATGCCTTTAGCTGGATTGAAATGCAGGAGAGGAAAATACTGCACAGGCTGGCCTCCCTGTGCCTGGGGATGAAGAGGTCTCCTTCCCATCCAGGGATACTCAGAGCCCTCATCAGGGTCCCTCAGTGACTCCATCAGGCCTGAAAACATCCTCTGGGATAGACAGAGAATTAAAAAACAGAGATTCATCCAAAGCTCTTTGGAATTTAATAATAAAGGAGATAAACAGGCAAGGGGGGCAGGCGCGGTGGCTCATGCCTGTAATCCCAGCACTTTGGGAGGCCGAGGCAGGAGGATCACTTGAGGCCAGGAGTTTGAGACCAGTCTAAGCAACATGGTGAAACCCCATCTCTACTAAAAACACAAAAATTAGCCAGGTGTGGTGGTGCAGGCCTGTAATCCCAGCTACTTGGAAGTCTGCACCATGAGAATCACTTGAACCCAGGAACTGGAGGTTGTGGTGAGCTGAGATCACGCCACTGCATTCCAGCCTGGGCAAAAGAGTGAGTGAAACTCTATCTCAAAAATAAATAAATAAACAAATAAATAAATAAATAGAATAAACAGCCAAAGTTTCCCGTGTCCTGAGGGCCAGTACGTGGTCGTCATGCCCCCAGGAGGGCAGGCAGCACCGTGCCAGCCATAACATGGGGCACTGCTCCATTGACCAGACATAGAAACAGTGTCCGGCCATGCCACTGTCCGGTGGAAATCCTTGGAGTCTGTTTTCACTTCTTCCTGCTGGAATGGAAGTCCAGGGACACAGCCCAGCTTCCCCCAGGCAGGCATTCTATTCTCCCCCCATTCCTTGTTTTGTTGTTGTTGTTAACATTATGATATGACTACTTGGGAAAGATGACTCACATATGCTTTGTATTTAATTCATTTATTCAGACCTATTTCATTTACATATCCACAATTTTCTGAGCAAAGTATTTGTTTATTTATGCAGTGACTTCTCTGAGCACTAGAGCTGTGAACAGACAGACCTGGCCCAGGCCCTCAGAGGGTGAACGTTCTGGTAAAGGAGGCACAATAAACAAGGAAATAAACAAGATTGGTGAAGAGGGTGAAACTGCTCTACAGGAAATAAACTGGGAATTGAAAGAGCAAAGGGAAGAAAGGCCACAGTGGATGGGGACAGCCTCTCTGAAGAGGTGGGCTTTGAGCTCAAGCTGAGCACTGAGAAGTTTCCAGCCCAGTAACGGCCATCAGGAGATCACGCCAGGTCAAGGGCACAGCAGGTGCCAAGGCCTGGAGGTAGGACTGGGCTGGACAAGTCCAGGGAACAGAGAGGACGCCAGGACTGAGGACGTAGGGAGAGCAGGTTGCAGGGATGCAGGAAGGGGTGGGGGGTGTGGATCAGGCAGAACCTCCTGGGACAGGGTGAGCCCCCTTGGGGTTCACATGGGGAGCAGTGGGAAGTGATTGGAGGAGTTTTTATGGTGGAGGTGCAGCACAGCTGGTGCACATGTCTGGACAGCCACTGACTGGCTGCTGGGAGGGAATGGAGGGAATGAAGGGTCAGGGCAAGCATGGAAACCGTGGGTCCAGGCTGAACCCAGACCTACAAGATGCAAATGTATCTTTCCTGAGCCTCAGGTCCTCATCTGTGATTGAGGGAATCATGAGCCATCCTGAGGCTGTTCTGAGGATGTAATAAGAAGGCGCCCACGGCACAGCCCAGCACATAAGGTCAGTGTCTTTCCATAACGATAACAGGCGAACCTTGACCTTCCCAGACTCATGTCCATGACTCAGGAGATAACTCAGACCAAAATAACGTGCCCTTGGGTTGCCCTATGGGTGTGCTTGTACAGACCCAGCCCATTGATCTGTCCTTCATTCATTCTGTCTCGACTGTTAGGGTTTCTTCAGGTGGTGAGAACGTGGCCCTGGTATTGGGATTGCAAATTCTAATTGACATCTCACCTGGGAACGGCAGGGCAGCTCATTAAAGTGACTCAACCCAGAACACAGCCGTTAGGGAATTTGATGGTGAAGCCTGGGAGCAAACACCTGCCTTGGTAGTTCAACAAGAATCCAGGAAATCATCTTAAAACACAGGCCAGGCACGGTGGCTCACACCTGCAATCCCAGCACTTTGGGAGGCCACGGCAGGCAAATCACGAGGTCAGGAGTTTGAGACCAGCCTGACCAACATGGTGAAACCCCATCTCTACTAAAAAAATACAAAAATTAGCTGAGCATGGTGGCACATGCCTGTAATCCCAGCTACTCAAAAGGCTGAGGCAGGAGAATTGCTTGAACCCAGGAGGCAGAGGTTGCAGTGAGCCGAGATCATACCACTGCACTCCAGCCTGGGCGACAGGAAGAAAAAAAAAAAAAAACACCTTCCTTTGCTCAGGCAATGGCTTGACAATGGCTCCTTTGAGCTCCAACACCCCATTCTGGGTTTAATTGAAACTGACACACCTTGGCAAGGATGTCCAGCGGCATCCATCTGCAGAAGGAATTGAAATGACACCATGAGGCAGCAGACTGACAAATCCTGGATGTGGGGCATCCCACAGAGCAACTGCTCCCAGGAATTCAACAAGCAGTGGCATTAAAAGTAAAATGAAGGAGAGGGGATCACTGTCAACCAAAGAGAAGTTAGAAACTTAACAACCAAATGCCGTGTGGTCCTTGTTGAATTTCTGGAAAAGCAACCAGAAAAAAATATCTGAGCAACACCTGGGGGAATTTGAACATCGGAGATGTTTAGGATATTGCAACTTTGTTAGAAAATGTCCACTTGAGGTCTGGGATTTGCTTTAAAATAATTTGGCAGAAAGAGGGGAAAGAGCTGGAAGGAAGGGGGCAAACCCTGAGAGCTGTTGAACCTGGGTGATGGGTAGATCATGATTCACTATATTCCTCTGGTTGAAATATCTATAGTGGGCCGGGCGCGGCGGCTCACGCCTGTAATCCCAGCACTTTGGGAGGCCGAGGCGGGTGGATCATGAGGTCAGGAGATCGAGACCATCCTGGCTAACACAGTGAAACCCCGTCTCTACTAAAAATACAAAAAAATTAGCCGGGCGTGGTGGTGGGCGCCTGTAGTCCCAGCTACTCGGGTGGCTGAGGCAGGAGAATGGCGTGAACCCGGGAGGCGGAGCTTGCAGTGAGCAGAGATCGCGCCACTGCACTCCAGCCTGGGCGACAGAGTGAGACTCCATCTCAAAAAAAAAAAAAAGAAAAGAAATATCTATAGTGATTGTTTAATTGTGCTCAGTCTATTTTTAAAGATTGGAGTTTTCTTGTGGAAGTGTTGTAGAATATTGCAGAACACAGCCCAGGAATTGTCATTGTATCATTTTTGCTCCCGCCCCTGTAGCCCAGTATGAACAGGGCATTTCACAAGGACGTGAGGCTGGGACTGTAAAATACCAACTCTTTTGCAGATGTGGTTCTCTCTGCAACCCCCAGCCAAGTCCTGGATGCCAGGACGGGATTTCATGTGCATACCATCTGAAGCTACCAGCTTGCTCACTACACAAGTCGACAGACTGACGTGACTCTTTGCAGCACTGAGCACAACAGCCGGGGCCTGTCAACCAGCTCACCAGCAGAGAGCCAGGGGTATTTTCAAGCAGAAATAATGGGCCACTGTGGCTTTTTAAAGAGATATGATTTATCTCTGGGACCGCATCCAGGCTAGAGCTGCTGGAGGACAATGACAGGCTCCTGGGCCAGCGAGGAGGCTTTCATACCTCGGCTTGTCTGCAGACGGAGGACAGCTGGGGCTTCGCAGGCCGAGGCACCCAGGGGTTGCCGTGATCAGCAGGGGGCACAGAGAAGCAGCCAACTCTGCACCCTGAGGAGGGTGGAGATTTAGAGAATTTCATTGGATTTGAACCACATGACGGTTCCTTGGAGGAACTGGGAGTCCAGGTGGAATCTTTGCAGACAGGGTCATGTGGTTTGGTCACCTTCATTACTCAAAAGCAGGAATCTGTGTTTGGGAAGATGTGAATTACGTACTTTTGATTGAAAACAGCTGCACACCCACAATCCCTTTAGCCAGTTAATTGGACCATGACAGGCACTCCAGATGTCTACCCACATGCCCTTTTCTTACCAACAGGACCCCGACGATCACACACTCCCTGGATGGTGCCCAGCTTCCTGGCCGCTCAGCCTGTGTGACACAGCTCTAGCCCAGTGGAGGGGGAGAACAGGCAGCTGCTGGGGATTCTGGGAAAATGTGGTCTTTTATGTAAGCTCTTTCCTGCTCTCACCTCCTCCTTCCTCCTCTCCCATCTGGAGGCAGACAGGAGGCCGAGCGTGGCAGCTCCAGCAACCACAGAAGGCCTCGAGGTAATGGCACCGCTGAAGATGGTGGCAGAAAGGCAGAAGGAGCCAGGCCCAGGGCGATATCCTGCCGCCCCACACCTGCCCTGCCTGGCCCCTTCGCCCCGGACCTGTGAATCTGGAATAAGGCAACTTCCCCCGGAGATGCCACCATGCCTGGGCTTCTGTGGCTTTGAGCTGAAAACAGCCCTGGGTGATGGAGAGAGACAGTAGTGGTCACCCTACCCAGCAACCACCTACCTGCACAGGTATAAATTTCAGGTCAGCTGAATCCCACAAAGCTAAATCCAGAATTTATGAACCTTCTTCCACACCAACCATACCAACCATCCTATTCCTTCAAGATTCTTTGAATGTGTGGCTGGGCTGTCCTATGAGTGCCGTTAGAGGAGGGAACAGGTCTTGCTGCATCCTCCTGCCTCCGCTTCCCCTTCTGTACAACAGAACCTGATTAGCATTTGAGGATTCACCCTCCCCACTCGATCCATGTGTCTAGGGTGAGCTGACCCTGAACCTCAGGTCCCAGGGTGGACACGGGAGCTGGACCTAGCCCAGCCAGCACCACTTGCCCTGGACAGCGATGGGCTCAGTGAACGAAGGACCTAAGCTGACCGTTTAGGGTGACTCTCGTGGCCTTTGTGGGATCCGCTCTTGTCGCTGGATTTGAACCTGAGAGTGTGAGGCTAGAGCTTCGGTGGGCAGCTAGCACCAGGCAGGGGCACCTGGAGGCTGCTGGGCCTCCTCCTGCTGAGGAGCCATGACCATGGCAGTGGGTGGACACGTGGAGGCCAGGGGCTCCAGGGGACAGTGTCCAGGGGTCAGACCCAGCTTGCCTGAAGATCGAGCAGAAGTGGTCAAGCCTATTAATGCACTCTCCGCTGAGCCACCGGAGTCATCAGGTCTTCTGTCACTTGCCCTGAGAGAATCCTGCAGCTATTAGGGCTGAAACTTCACCGGCCCTTGGGAAACCTCCAGCCCGCCCAGAAACCAAGAGAACATTTCCGCCTGCTGAGTTTCCCACCACAGTCGTCCTCCCTGGGCCTCACCCACCTCCATGTGGGGCCATTTCCTTTGGCTGAATTCACTGGACTGTCAGGGAACTGCAGCTGGGGTTGGCTTTGCTTGCTTCTGGGCGGGAGAACACATTTTGGTCTGTTTTAACACCTAAATGACACACATATGCCCTGCGTAATGCAGAAATGGAAAGTTCCTACGTGCAGAGGTCATCACAGGCATCTTTGTTTCTGAGATTTTGCTCAAAGAAAACAAACCCGCAGCCAGAGCCCCTTGCTGGGAGGTCAGACTCTGCTGTCGCAGCTGCTCCGAGGGCTGAAGTGCCTCATCCCTGGCCCAGGTTCCCTCGATGGCCTGGCGGCTCAGTCTCTCCGAAGGGCCTCTCCCCTCCCCCTGCTGACTCCGCTCCCCACCACCAAAGGCTCTGGCCTCCTGCGAACCTTGTTTCTGGGGATTAAAAAGGCCTCGAGGATCTTGCAGCTCTGTCTGCAGAGGCTGAAGGAGCAGCGATGTCAGTGGCTGTTTTGCTAAACTACAACCAGCCACCTCCCTGAAGGGGGTAAAATACTGTGAGCCCCAAGACAAAAGTCCACTCGTGGAGGTTCCAAAAGCAGAGAGGCGAAATGCCTCTGAAACAAACAACCTTCACAAACCACGAGTTGTCAGGTCACAATCACAGGCGGGGCTGGCCAGAGGTGGCTGTTCCTAACAGCCCCTTTGTGTTTCTGTCCGTGAAACAGACTCCATGATGGCCCCATGGCCACTTCTGTGCTTCGTTTCTTCTCTGCTTCCTGGAGGCCCCTGTCCACTTCCTGTCCTTGTGGTTGGGTCCCGTTCCCAATTCCTAGAACCCTGTGCTTTCCCTGGACCAGGGCTTCCCAGCCTTCCAGGGAGTGGGCTATAGAGCAGTGCATTCCTCTCCTTTCTGTATGTCTGAGGTTTTCTGAGCCCTGTAGTTTTTAGCTGCCCAAAGATGACACGTCTCCCCAAACTTGAGGCCTGATCCTCCCACCAAAGACGCTGTGTCCTATTACCTGCTCTCTTTTCATGTTGGCATTTATTATTTTCTGGAATTGTCTTGTTTAGTGACTTATTTACCTCCCTTAGGGTCTGACTCCTCAGACTAAATGTGAGCTCTGTGTGGTCTGAGGCTACATCTGTGTAATTCTCTTGTGTTTCCCTGGAGCCTGCAGTCATAGAGGGTGCCTGATAGGAGCTCAATCAATGTGAGGTGAAGAGATGAATGAAGGAAGGATGGAATGAATGAGTGGGGACCTCTTGGTCACAGTCCCCCTTATTGTTGCTCTTTTTTTCTTGCTACTGCCTCTCTCCAACTTGATGTTTTCTGGACTCAAAACCTTATATGTCTGTCTCGTGTTGTTGAGTACAACTTTCTGCACATGGTGAAAATATTCTGTGTCTGCACTGTCCAATATAGCAGCCGCTAGCCACATGTGACTATGGAGCACTCAAAATGTGGCTAGCGTGACTGAGGAACTGAATTTTTAAAGCTATTTAGTTTTCATTGATATAAACTGAAATAACCCCAGGTGCCCAGTGACTGCCATGGAGGACAGCACAGGTCTTGATCTTCAATGTCATTCTTAGCTGTGGCCTTCAAATCTCATCCTGTTGTCTGCCTACATCTGCTCCATCCAGACTCCCAGCTCTCACCCCACCATCAGCCTGGAGGTCACAACCTCCTGCTAGGCAGGCACCTTATTCACCTTTGGTTTAGGGGCCCACAGGGATTGGACCAGGTCTCAATTTGATTAGAGCACCTGAGGCCATTTCAGTCCAATCTTAGCTCAAAGGTTTCCCAAGAATACAGGACAAATATGAATCTCCTCCCTACAGCCTAGGGCCCCCAACAGGAGACCTCCAAAAGCTCTAAAAGTCACTGAGACAAAAAGGGGGAACTGTCATCTATCGGGCAGCACTTTTTTTTTTTTTTTGAGACAGAGACTCTCTCTGTCGCCAGGCTGGAGTGGAGTGCAGTGGCACGATCTCGGCTCACTGCAACCTCTATCAGGCAGCACTCTTGATCACAAAGGACAGAATACCCACTCAAACTTAAATGAGTGAAAACATGAATATCTTCACTCCAGAAACTTAATGTCCCGGCAGTATTTGACTACAGGCACAGCTGGATCTTGGTGCAAAATGACATCATCAGGAAGGGTTCTCTTCCATTTCTCAGGCTGGCGTCCTCCTGGGTGGGCTCCCTTCTGGGTCACACAGTTCTCATGAGGTGGCAAAGATGCCCCAGCAGATCCTGATCCTCCCATCAGCCCAGCAAGGTCAGTAGAAAAGAGAAGCCTCTTCCCCAATTCCCCAGCAGAGGTCCAGGGACTGACTCAGATCAGACAAGCTGGGCTCACGAACCCACCTCCTGATGCCATCACAGAGTATGTTTGATTGGCTGGGTCTGGGTCACTTGCCAATCTTGGAGCTGGGGAGTTGGGGGATTAAGAGTTGGGGAAGGGGGCACCAGGCACAGTGACTCATGCCTGTAATCCCAGCACTTTGGGAGGCAGAGGTGGGTGAGTTGTTTGAGCCCAGGAGTTTGAGACCAGCCTGGGTAACATGGCGAAACCCAAATTAGCTGGGCATGGTGGTGCACACTTGTAATCCCAGTTACTAGGGAGGCTGGGGTGGGAGGATCGCTTGATCCTGGGAGGTCGAGGCTACAGTGAGCCCTGATCTAGCCACTGCACTCCAGCCTGGGTGACAGAGTAAGACCCTGTCTCAAAAACAAAAAACAAAAAACAAAAAAAAACCATAGTGGAGGAAGGTTGTTTCCCACAAGGGAAGCCCGCTAAGAACTAGGAAAACAGAGAGAAACTATCCAGGTAGGTGAAACCCAGAGATGCCCCTTCAGGGTGTTCAGAAGACCTCAGCCCCAGCCCCATGTGACATGTGCTGCTCTCTTCTGCCTACAGTGTCACGAGAACTGGTTCTGTTCAAGTGGAGCCCTGAAACCCCAGAACGAGTTGACATGTCCCCACCACAGGTGAACGCAGCCCCATGCACCACGTCCATGTCCCAGGAGAACCTGCCAATTGATGGTCTGTGCCGGGGTTGAAGGTCTTGTCTGATTAAAAACTGCTGTCCACTCCTCCACACATTCTAGATTGATCAGTATCATATTCCCAGTGTCCCCAGCCTCGCCACCAAAATAGATTTAACCTAGAAAGAGAAGTGAGCTGCAGAAAATTAATCACTTTTTTATCCTCAAGGGACACCAGCGTGATGAATTTAAGCTTTGACTGGGGAAATTAGAGTCACAGAAATGGCCAAGTAGAGCCTGGAAACGTGAGTTCAGGCGGCCTGTTGTCCACAATGGCATCAAGAGGGTCCAGGAGATTGTGTCATTTCTTCTCCCTTGCCTCAGTTCCCTTATTTGCAGAATGGGGATGATGTGGTAACAGCAGTGCCTACCACTCAGGGCTGTTGCAAGAATTAAGTGAGTGTATATACTCGGCACATAGGAAGAATTAGCTACTATTTATGGAGCCTGAATGGCAATTAAACAACATTAATAACACGCATGCACAAACACATCCGCACACACACACCCACACACTGCAGACTTCCGCCAGGCGGGCCATCACCATGCTCTTCCTTAGCCCATTCCCTGACTTCTACCCAGGCGTGGGCCAGCAACTTAACGTGGTCATTTCTCTTTGCACAACTCTCTGAGTTGGCCAAGCACCTTGACATATGTCACCTTGGTCTTTGAGCCCCAGCAGTCGTGACTGATGGATATTGGAATATAGGTTCATGCCACAAAGGAAAAAAACTTGACCCAGAGAGGAGGCATCTCTCCCAAAGTCAGGTGCCTGGGAACAGCTGAATCAGGACTTGAACCCAGGACTCAGATGCCAGGCTCACCCTAGGAGTCATCAGCATCATGTGCAGCCAGCACCTCTGGGCTGGGTATCGCTGTAGGCTCTGGGGACACAGGTTCGTAAGTCAGGTCGGACACTGATTTTCCTTGGAGCTCACACACAGGTAAGGAGGGGGAGATATGTTCCCCAAGTCAACACATGCTCAAATTCATTTCAGATGGTGATGAGGGATCTTGAGAAGAGGAAATGGGGTGAGATGCTAGGAAGTGCCTTGGTGGAGAGGGCTCCTGGGGACAGGGTGGCCAGGGAAGTGCTCACCCAGGAGGTGGCACCTGGCAGAGCCCTGAAAGGTGAGAAGGGGCAGCCATGCACAGGGCTGGGGACAGCATCCAGGAGGAGAATGGTCAGTCACACAGGGTCCCTGGGTTGGGAATGAACCTGGCTGTTTGTGGCACAGAAGGAAGGTCAGTGAGTCCAGGAGAAGGGGGAGGAGGAGTGGACAGGCCCCTGGCGCCTGCACGTCTGGAAGCCAAGTTTCCAAGCATCTTCCAGGGCAGAGAAAGCTCCCTTCTGAGTAGGAGGGGCTTGCTTCACCAGCAGGAGGGGTGGGAGAGTAGGAGGGAGCCCTCATGTCCCGGCTGCAAGTCCAAGGCTGGAAAACCAGGCGGGCCTCCGTGGAGGCTGCTCCTTCCCCATCGGGCCTCCGCCATCTGGTTGGGGCATCTCAGACTGAGGAGCAGGAAGTGTGACTGTCACAGGCCAACGCCTGCTGACAAATCTCCCAGCCCAGGTGGTGGCCTGTGGTGGGCTTCCCAGTGCAAGTGGAGGCGGCTTTGGCAAGGGGCTTCTCTCCCCTTTCAATTTCCTGCTGGTTCTGCCCACATGAAACTGAGCTGGTTGGCTGGGCTTCCTTTACTCTATTTGGTTATCTTACTCTCTGAATAAAAGATGAAAAGTCAAAACATATGCATAATGCAGAATTATAACACTTGGATTTGTTTAACTTTATCTTTGCCGCTTCTCGAGTGTTCTTGCACCTAAAGCACACCATTGCATAGAAAAAGACATGCTTTGGAGAAAGTGATATGACTCCTGCTTCCAGGAATGAAAGACATTTTTCATTCAGCTGTTGACATGTGTGAGTCTGCGTATGTGTGTATATGTGTGTGTCATGTCTATGTATGAGTACTGACCATGTCTTTTATTTTCAGTATTCTGATGCTCTGACATTTCCAGGCCTTGCCGACCCTGGACAGCGTGCTCTTCCCATGCCTGCCAATTCCTAAGAGACAGGAAACAACTCATCTGGAGCATGTCTTGCAAATGAAAAACAAATCAAGAGCCCACACGCCCCAACCACCTCTTTTATTGGGCTCTCCCTCTCCAGGGCCAGGTACCAGACAACTAGGAACAGCCCCTATGTCCCAGAGCCTGCTGAAGTGACTCACACTCACAACCCTGAGCCTGGTGACTGCCTATCCATTCATTCCTCAATAAAGTCTCTTGCTCATGTCTCACTTCCTCCCTCTTCCTCTTGAAAGGAAGCGTTCCCCATGTGGCCCTGCAGAGCACGGTTCCCGGGTTCCCAGGGTTCCCCATGTGGCCCTGCAGAGCACGGTTCCCGGGTTCCCGGGTTCCCCATGTGGTCCTGCAAAGCACGGTTCCCGGGTTCCCAGGGTTCCCCATGTGGCCCTGCAGAGCACGGTTCCCGGGTTCCCAGGTTCCCCGTGTGGCCCTGCAGAGCACGGTTCCCCGGGTTCCCCGTGTGGCCCTGCAGAGCACGGTTCCCCGGGTTCCCCGTGTGGCCCTGCAGAGCACGGTTCCCCAGGTTCCCCATGTGGCCCTGCAGAGCACGGTTCCCGTGTTCCCGGGTTCCTAGGTTCCCCGTGTGGCCCCGCAGAGCACAGTTCCCGGGTTCCCAGTGTTCCCCATGTGGCCCTGCAGAGCACGGTTCCCGGGTTCCCCGTGCGGACCGCAGAGCACGGTTCCCGGGTTCCCAGGGTTCCCCGTGCGGCCCCGCAGAGCATGCCATGTCTCCCGTTTCTCGGGACCTAGAATGTAATGAATGTCTTCCCGGATGACAGTACTTTCTGTGTCTGGGGGTCTTACCATACCTGATTAAAACAAATCCCTGATGAATAGAGTGAGTCTCTGTATCCCATTCTGCGGGCATGCACACAACAAATACACACATATTCACAGAGTCCCTTATGTGTGCTCAGACATGTGAACTTTGCATCACAAAACCACTGAGTGATGTCAGAGGCGCCATGAATCATAATGGCAGCTCCTGGCCTGGTATCCAAGAGACCTCAACACGCTGCTAAGTCACTGTTCCCCGCTATGAGAACCGGTCACTCTCTTTGAGCCTCCAGTTGAAGGGAACTAAATTAATCTAGGATGACCCATATTGTGCAGCAGCTAATGACCCAGTTCACCTCTGGTTAATTTTCTGCTTCTGGGTGTCCTGGGAACGGGTGGTGTTTACTCCACTTGGGACAAACCTTTATTAATGAGCCGGAGTGTTGGCTGCTCTAGGCTGAGTGTTTTAATAGAAATCGGCCCATGGGCCAGGGCGTGCTGAAGTTGCAGAATATGAATAAGGCCATTTTCTTTACCCTCTCTCCTCTGCCTTGATTTGCATGACTAAGCTTTTATGCCTTTTAAAAAAAAAATGTGTTTGTTTGTTTCTTGATTGTCGCTCCATCTCCTATGGAGGAAACAAATTACTTACTCACCAGGCAGGGACCTCAGTTTGGCAGAAGTCCAGGTCTGTTCCTCCAGCAAAGGGGAGTAAGACAGCCACACTCAACGCTAGTAGGGACAATTCCAGGAGAGCTGACATGGCCCAGGATGTGGGCTAAATGATTACACAGGTCCCCAGCAGACTCCTTAAGAGGGAAAATACTCCCTCTTAAGGAGTCCTAGCAAAGGATAGCAGTTGGGAGAGGACAGAAAAGAGTCCTTCCTTGTAAAATGTGGCTCAAACTAACAAAGAGCTCCAAGGTGTCTCTCAGTGAGGCTATGGGTTTCCTATGGAAAGAGAAGATGTTGCTAATTCTTTGTAGATGTGTGATTCTCGACTCTGTCAGAGTCAATGCCAGGCTTTTAACACAAATACTTTATCACTTTCCCTTTACTCAACTGAAATGAAATTCATAGAAAATATAACCTAGCTACAGGCATTTTCTTAAACAATGTAATTTCCCCAGAGGGATATAAAGAGAAAAAGAAAGGAATTTATAATAAAACAAAACATAGTTCAACATGTAAGTGCCCTAGTGATATGGTTTGGCTGTGTCCCCACCTAAATCTCACGTTGAACTGTAGCTCCCATAATATCCACGTGTCATGGAAGGGAACTGGGGGGAGGTCACTGAATCACGGGGGTGGTTACCTCCATACTTTTCTCGTGACAGTAAATGAGTTCTCAGGATAATCTGATGGTTTTATAAGGGGCTTTTCCCCCACTTCACTCTGCACTTCTCCTTGCTGCCACCATGTGAAGGAGGACAAGCCTGCTTCCCCTTCCGCCTTGATTGTAAGTTTCCTGAGGCATCCCCAGCCCTGCAGAGCTGTGAGTCAGTTAAGCCTCTTTCCTTTATAAATTACCCAGTCTCGGGTGTTTCTTCATAGCAGCCTGAGAAGACTAATACACCTGGCATTACTAAGGTAGACCGTGTAATTATGTCATCAGATGCTTGAACTTGGATGCAGAATCACAGTGAACGAAGTCACAGATGCGGACTGACTACAGCTGTACTGTTCTGGGCAACTCAGACACCACAAGAGGCTCTGCCATTGGTAAGGTGATTTTTTTCAAACAGGTGAGCAACATTGAATAAATCCTGAAAAGAACAGAGTACAATCTTCCCGTAGTTTACACCATGGGAACAGTGTGGTAAAACTCAGTTTAAAACAGTAAAAAAAATAAAATAAAATAAAAATTATTTCTATGTAAAATGGATTTCAGTTCTGGGCTCAGATCATTTCAAGCAGCTTTTTAACCTATGTGAACATCCAACAAGGCATTCAAAATTAGTGCCAATGCATGAAGCAGCAGCAGCAGTGGTGGGCTTCAGAGGATGATCCCAGAGCTAATCCCTTGGGCAGGTGTGGGTGTCCCATGTTTAGGTGATGAAATGCATCCAGAGAGAGAAGACACTCACCCAAGACCTCACAGCCAGAAAGGGCCAGAGCTGAAATAAAATTCTGTGGGACTCTAACCCCAGTGTGGTTTCCTGCCTTTCTTCTAATGTCCCTTGGCAGATCCTACAGCAGCCCAGCAAATCTCACAGTCCCCATTACAAGACTGACCCATTCTGTCTTGGAACCTGAACCTGAACTTGAAGAGGAGGACCACCTTGACCACTGTCTATTAATAGACGGTTGGAGCGGGTGTGGATGCTATCAGACCCTTGCGTGGATCCCCCTTACTGAGCATGTGCAACTATGTTGGTTTTTTGTTTTGAGACAGAGTCTTGCTCTTGTTGCCCAGGCTGGAGTGCAATGGCACAATCTCAGCTCACTGCAACCTCCGCCCCTCCCAGGTTCAAGTGATTCTCCTGCCTCCGACTCCCAAGTATCTGGGATTACAAGTACCCGCCACCATGCCCAGCTAATTTTTTGAATTTTTAATAGAGACGGGGTTTCACCTTGTTGGCCAGGCTGGTCTTGAACTCCTGACTTCAGGTGATCCTCCTGCCTCGGCCTCCCAAAGTGCTGGGATTACAGGCATGAGCCACCGCGCCCGGCCTGCCCCAGCCGTTTTGAGTGGTGTCTGAAAATGGCTCACAGGTGTCCCCCTCCCCAGAGTACTGCCCTAGGCCACATGAGAACTTCCTTGTCCAATAAGCTGCAACCCCCATGCTCATCCTAGGGCAGCCCATAGCCAATGACTAGCATGGAGATGCAAATGCCAGCCCCCTGCCTCAGACTGGGACCTCTGGGGTACAGTTCATGCTCCCGGGCTTTCCATGGGACCAGGCTGAAGTTACTCTCCTTCCTTGCTTAGCTTTTTTTTCCTGACCTATTCTGCACCCTCACTCCCTTCTCTCAGGAGTAGCTTCTCAATAAGTCACATGCATAAGCCATCTGTCATAGGCTCTGCTTCTAGGAAACCTGACCTAATACAGGGTCAAGACAGAAACCAAGAGCCTAGTCAGGAGACTACTGCAATAGTCAGTTGAGAGATGATGATGGCTTGGACCAAAATGGCAACAGTGGAGATGGAGAGAAGGGATTGATGACTTTAGAATATTAGTGACTGTGTTAGGTGCTCTTCCTGTATACCAATAAGCTAAGCCAGGGGTCAGCAAATGACCTTCTACAAGAAGCTCTAAACCCCATCCATAGGAAGGGGCCCTTTTCCAAGCTTGTCCTTCCTAGGGTTCATTCTCTTAGCCTTAGGGAGCCATATATACTTTTTAAAATATTCTACAGTTATTCTTTTATCATAGTTTAATATTTACTTACGTAACATTTTCTCTGTTTAAATCACTGTGTGGTTTTTATCCCCTGATTGGGCCCAGGCTGCTATCCCAAGTGGATGGAACCCAGCAAGAAACAAACTTGATGAAGAATAAATGTAAAGTCTCAGGTTCAGCATTATAGAATGAAATTTAAAAGGTTGAGTTTGGGGATGAGAAACAGTAGCTTAAGAACCAGCACAAGATCCTTTCCAGCTTTAACATTCTATTGTTTATAATATTTCCAATCCTCCCATAAAAATGGCATATTGAAAGATCACTTACTTGGAAATCAAAGAACACAGATTCCAAGCTGGTGTCTGCAATGAACTCTCTGTTTAATCTTGAAAAAAATACTTCCCCTCCCTGAGTCTCAGTTTCCTCACCTGTCAAAGTACACAGTTACACTAGATGTCCCCTGAGATCCTTTCTACTGTGAATTGCCCATGGTTAAGTGAGAGAGGGTATGTATGAAGCAGCATTTCTTGAACTCTAAAGTGCTTAATGATGGTGCTGGATTCTCCCATGATAATCTGTGCCCATTTGGCTAAGTCTGGCACTCACTTTCTCTCACACCCCACACCCAA
Source organism: Homo sapiens (assembly GCF_000001405.40). Classification (NCBI taxonomy): domain Eukaryota; kingdom Metazoa; phylum Chordata; class Mammalia; order Primates; family Hominidae; genus Homo; species Homo sapiens. Next base: position 47,946,983 of record NC_000020.11, on the reverse strand, counting down.
TCCATCAGCATTTTCTGACAGCGCTACCTCCAAAGTAGATTCTTAATCCACTCACTTTTCTGTTCTCTATCACCCCCACGTTTATCCAAGCCCTCATTATCTCTTAGTCGGAAAATTACAATAGCCTCCTTGCTGCAAACAATGTGGTTTAGGCTGGGCATCTACTTTCATTCCATGTGTGTGGAATCCTGGTGCGTGCTAAGCAGAGGGTGCCCATGGGACCTGCCCCAGTAAAAACCCTGGGTGCTAGGTCTCTAAACAGCTCCTGTTTTAGTCTGTTTTGTGTTGCTATAAAAGCATACCTGAATCTGCATAATTTATAAAGAAAAAATATTTGGCTCATGATTCTGATGGCTGGAAGGTTCAAGATTGGACATCTGCATCTGATCAGGGCCTCGAGCTGCTTCCACTCATGGTGGAAGGTGAAGGGGAGCTGGTGTGTGCAGAGATCACACAGCGAGAGAGGAACCAAGAACAAGATGGGGAGGTTCCAGGCTCTTTTTAACAACCAGCTCTCATGGGAACTAACAGAGTGAGAACTCCCTCACCCACAAGGGAGCACATTAATCTATTCATGAGGGATCTGCCACCATGACTCAAACACCCCCCATTAGGCCCCACTTCCAACAGTGGGAATCAAATTGCAGCACGAGGTTTGGAGGGGACAAACATCCACTCCATAGCAGCTCTCCACTCGTGTTAGGTGCCCCTGCTCCCTGCCACCCCCACAGGCTCAAACTCTGCTTTCACAAATTCACATCGTGATGTCACTCCATTGCTTAAATTTCACCAATGACCCCCTACTGTAGTGAAATAAAACCCAAACTCCTTACTGCGCCCGAGAGGCCCTGCACAATCTGGCCCTTAGTGTTCCTTTAACATGCAGACCTTTCTTGCTCCGGGCTGTTGCTTCTCCCACCGGGACACGTGCTCCCCAGCACCTGGCATGGCTGGCTCCTCCACATCCCCAAGGTTGGCTTCCTCAGAACCCTCCCCTGACCACCCTGGCTAAAGCAGCCTTCCACAGTCATCGCTTTTTATCAAACCATTCTTCAAAGCACTTATCACAATCTGAAAATACCTTATTTATTCATTTTCCATCTCTTGCTATCTCTCCAACCAGAATGGAAGCTCAGTGAGAACAGGACCTTTGTCTTGCTCAGTACTTTACCCCCAGTGCCTAGCACAGCGCCTGGGATAGTTTGTGCACAATAGATATTTGCTCAATGACTAAATAAAAGGAAATGTGTATGATCAATTGCAGATAGCCCACCTCGTGTGCCAGCTTCCTGGTTCCAGGGTCCCAGTTAAGTCCAAGTACATGTGCCCCCTTTTATTCCCATCTTCCTCTCTGGTACTCCGTAGGCAGCTTCACACACCTGTACCATGTATGAGTCAGGGCTTTAGTTGCAAACAACAGAACTCTGTCCAGTAAATTTAAGCAGAAACTTGCTAAAACATAGCAGGTAACTAGGAGATCTACCCAGAAGGGCTAGATAATTAGACTTAAAGTTACATAGCCAGGAACTTGGTCCAAATCTTACCACAGAGCTGTTCACATGAAAATACCTCTGGGTACCAACACTATAGCATCTACTACCCAAAATACCAATATGGGACTCTCACGTCTGATACATATCCCCTGTCAGTATATCCTGTGGACCTGGATGCAGCTCCTCCCACTAATGGGCCATCCTGAGAAATGATTGAATGAGGCTGCTGTTTCTTAAAGTTACAAGATTCCAGTTCAAAATGAATGTCTATGGGTACACAGGATTAGAACAACCAGAGCCATTGGACCTAGCCCTTCCAGAGTAAGCCAGTGGGTCGGATAACTGAGTAATTGAAGTCTGCAGAAGATGTAAAGTTTGCTGAACACAAGAAAGTAGTTCCAAGTTTCTATATGGCTGAAAAGAAGAACAAATACTCACAGAACTCTTTAAGCAAGCAGCCATGGATGATCTGTTTTCCCCCTTTAAGCAACTGGCTCTTATCACACCAGAAAAGGTTGCAATAAATCATCCTCTAGTTACCTCTCTCCTCAGTGATGACAAATGTTGCCAAACCCACATGACTGAAGGCCCCTGTCTTTTTAGATGGTTGAATTGCAGTCAACGTGACTCCCGTCGTTACTTATTCTTGCTCAACATACAGTCAACCTCAGCAGCGATGTGGAAGAGTTTTATGTGCTACAAATCTGGGACAGACACAGCCCTGGAGAGCATGGGGTCGCTCCCAATTTACATGTACAAAAGGGGAAATCAGTGAAGAAAGGGTTGCCCTGGCTCGAGACTCACCTTTCCTCTCCTCCCTTCTCTCCTTTATAAATATTCACTGAGTATCAGCCACAGGCCAAGCAATGTGCTAGAAGCAGGACATACACAGATACATACAGAAGCTGAGAAAAACATAGCTGTGCTTCCTACAGCCATGGACAGTTCATTTGGGGTAGAGGTTGGGGAGGGGAGATATTAACCTAATAGTCATTGAAACAGATGTAATATGGAGACTAAGACAAGTACACCTTTTTAAAGACAATAAAATCATGTGGCTCCCCTGCTCAAAATCCTCCTATGACTTCATCCCACACACACAGAGTGCAATCCAGCCTCCTACCAGCCCCCTGAGATGCAGCTCCTGCCTACCTCTCTGATTGTCCTCTTGACACTCAGCCCTGATGACTGGGCCCAGGCACGGGGGCCTTTTCTCTGTTTCTTATACTTTATTTGGGCCTCTATCATTCTAGGTCTCTGCTGCTCACAATCAAACCCAATTCCACTGACACAGCACATTCAGGAGCTTCTGTCTTTATTTTTAGGGCCAGGTGATGCCATAGAAGCATTTAGACAGCAGGAGTGATGTGTAGTTTTGATGCAATGAATGATCGCTCTGCTGCATGGAGGAGATGGGAGGGGGGTGTTGGATGTGGGGTGGGTGTTGGATGTTGGGTGGGTTTGGGGGGAGATGCTCTGTCCTCACACAGCATAGAGGATGCTGAGGCTTCCCAGACACTGAGCCTGCAGGCAGAGATTATGTCGAGTGAAGCTGAGTCTTAGAGGCCAGGTAGACCCTGACTGTTCCATGGGTGAGTCACATTTCCAAACCCCAACGTCCCTGTCTGAAAATTTGAAGATTTGAGACTCTGGGACTCAGATAAGGGCCCTTCTGCCTCTAAAGTCTTATGTGTCTGCCCAAGCTCCCACAACCCATGAGGGGTAAATCTTGAACCAGATGTTGCTGTCTGAGTTTCTTGCTCAGTGTCTTGGCTCATTCACTATCCCAGGCAAGGTCACCATGCCTGGTCAGAAATGAACAGAAGGAGGTTGGGCAGGATGGCCCACACCTGTAATCCCAGCACTTTGGAAGGCTGAGGCAGATGAATTGCTTGAGTTCAGGAGTTCAAGACTAGCCTAGGTAACATGGCTCTAAAAAAAAAAAATACAAAAAATTAGCTGGGTGTGGTGGCATGTACCTGTAGTCCCAGCTACTCAAGAGGCTGAGGTAGGAGGATCGCTTGAGCCCAGGAAGCAGAGATTGTAGTGAGGTGAGATTGCACCACTGCACTCCAGCCTGGGTGACAGAGCACGACTCTATCTCAAAAAAAAAAAAAAAAAAAAAAAAAAAGAAGAAGAAGAAGGATCCCAGAGGAATCATTCAATGCATTCAGCTTTCCAGGCTGAATGTGGCTATGCCTGGAAGAGTTTTGTGTGCTACAAATCTGGGACAGACACAGCCTTGGAGACCATGGGGTCACTCCCAATTTGCACGTATAAAAGGGGAAATCAGTGAAGAAAAGGTTGTCTCTGTCACAACTACTGAACCAAAAAGAACTAGAAATGAACAGAAGGAGTGGTAGAATCATGACATCCGGTCCTGCTTATAAGATCAGATATAAGCAGGGGCAGGGGCAGCATGGAATCCTGTGAAGGCAGAGAGACCGAAGGAGAGAAACACCCCTGCTGCCCTCAGCCAGTGTTCGTCGATGCCCACCCTCCATGAAGGCCCAGGTGATGAGGCCCCAATCAGACAGGGAAACAGGCATAGACATGCAATTCACTTAACTAAATGCCTTTGGAAAATAATCGTTGCTGTGATGGTGTGAGAGCTGCTGGCGTAGCCCACATGCCCTCGACACACAGCGAGTCCTTGCTGGGCAGGTATCTGACCACAAGCCCCAGGCTCTAGCTGAGGGCTTCTCTTGGCCCCTGGGAAGTGCTGGGAGCTGACGCCCCAGATGCGGCCCTCTGCCAATGATGGATGTGAAGCAGGGGACTTGTGTGATAGCACACCCCCTGTCCCATCTCACTGCCCCACTCCCCTGTAGGGTTTTCTGGAATCACCTCCCAAATAAACTTCTTACTCTCAAATCCTCATCCCAGAGTCTGTTTCTGGGAACCCAACTCAGGGTTGATGGAAATCAAATGGGATAGCAGAACAGAACAGGAGCCAACGAACTTTCTGTGAAGTCATGGGCAGCATGACCTTGGGCAGACACGCAAGACTTTAGAGGCAGAAGGGCCCTTATCTGAGTCCCAGAGTATTAAATCTTCCATTTCTCAGAGAACAATGCTGGGGGCCAGAAATGTGACCCACCCTTGGAACGGTCAGGGCCTACCTGGCCTCTAAGACTCAGCTTTGCTCTACATAATCTCTCTGCCTGCAGGCCCAGTGTCTGGGAACCCTCAGCATTCTCTATGCTGTGCAAGGACAGAAGGTCTCCCCACAACCTCACCCAACATCCAACATCCACCCCATCTCCTCCATGCAGCCAGAGGGATCAGATAGAAAATGCTTTGGGCTTTCTGGTCTATATAGTCTCTGTCGCAAGTAGTCAACCAAGCCCCTGAAGCAAGAAGGCAGCCATAGATGATATGCAGGCAGATCCAAGTGGTTGTATCCCAATAAAACTTTATTGACAAAAACAGGCAGCAGACTGGATTTGTCCCCCAGCTGTAGTTTGCTGCTGTTGGCTGGAGAGTGGCCAGTGGTGGATGAAGAGCTCCATTGGATGGCCTGGCTGGGAGGCCTCCCAAGGGAGCAATGTGTGACCAGAAGTCACTAAATGAAGATCCAGGGGAGGTGAGGGCCATGCAGAGGGAGCGGCAGGACCACCAGGCAGGAACGCATCTAGATTGCTGGAGGAACAGTGAAGCGGCCAAGGACAGAGAACAAACAGAGACATGACAATGATAGGAATGGCAGCTCATAGCTAACCAGCCCTAGCTGGGCTCCTGGCGCTTGTTGAATCCTCTCAATGTCATCCTCGGGTAAGTGTGACTATCGTCCCCACTTTCCGGAGGCGAGTGAAGGCACAGAGAGGTGAAGAAGCTGGCCCAGGCCACCCAGCTAGTTACCAGTGGGGCTGGAACACTCCCCCTCCACCCAGGCTGGCGCTGCCTGAGGGGAAGGGGTCTATGTGGCATTCACCCCAGGGTCCTGCATAGAGCTGGTGTGCGGTAGACGCCTGGGGATCATGGGTGGTAATGACATGTGTCCAGCACCAGTCCTGTGCCAGGGCCCCTTCTAAGAGCTTCATACAGACTAATTCATCTAATCTTCACATCAACCCTATAGGTCGGGGCTATGATAGTCACGACAGCATGAAGGAGGACACAGAAGCACCACGGGGTTAAGTCATTTGCCTGAGGTTGTGGGCTAATGAGTAGCTGAAGAGTGGGGTTAAATCTCAGGCCATCTGACCCCAGAGCCCCTTCTGTAACCCGGGTACACACACACATGCACAAACACAATCACACACACGTACACACCCATATATACACACATACACACGCACACATGTACACATACAAGCACACAAATACACACACACACCAGCAACTCCAGAGAAGCCGCAAGTGAAGCACTTACTAGGAGACTGTTAACCCCCCACGGAGAACGGCCTATGTGATATCTGGGAGGCTGATCTCAGTGAACTAACTGTGACTGTTGGAGCTACAGCCCCGTGTATAGGCAGAGGTGGGGGCATCTTGGAATCCTGATTTTTGTGGCTCCCACAGAAGATCATCTGCCTTTTTTTTTCCAATGGCAGGTTTTCAGATGCAATGACAGCTCGTAGCTGTGCAGCCCTTGCCAGGCTCCTGGCGCCCATCTGATCCTCTCAACAGCCTCATCGGGAAAGTGTGACTATCGTCCTCACTTTCCAGAGAAGAAACCTGAGACACAGGGAGGTGAAACACCTGGACCAAGGTCGCCCAGCTGCATCAGTCAACCAGGTGGGCTGACCAGCACGGGCTGTGAAACAGACTGCTGTTAATCCAGGTGCCATCTCTTACTCACTCTATGATGAACAGGAAACACTTCACCATTCCAGGCCTCAGTTTTCCTATCTGTGAAATGGAGCTAATAACATCACTTCTCCAAGGGCTGTCAGGCAGATTCAATGAGATCACACCTGTGAAGTGCTTAGAGCCATGCTCGGTACACACCAAGTGCTCACTAAGTGCCGCTGAAACAAAGAATGTCCTGTGCAGAAGCAGTTCCTTCCCTGACCCCTCAGCACCAGACAGCCTCTATGAGCCCTCCATATACAAAAGCCATGGGTGGTATCATTGTTTGGAAGCATCATTGTTCCAAGAATGAAATCTCACATATCAACCAGAAAATTTCCCCAGCCTTTGTTCAGCTGTGCTGAGCTGATATGGATCCAAGGTCACGTGATTTTTTTTTTCCTTTTCTTGGCTGTTTCTTTTCTGTATGGATCAATAAGAGAGATAACAACTGTACCTGGATTTTGTGTTTTAACAATTTTAATAATGCGCAGGAAATTGGATGGCTTAGGGACTCTGCGTCACAAGGCGAGTCATCCCTGTCAAAGGACCAAGTGGAAGATGAGATTCAAGGGCAGGAAAGAAAAGGGCCCAGGGGGTGGGAATGGAATAATTTGATGGGCTTCAACAATCTAAATTAAATTAAACCTTGTCAGTGCTTTCTACATATCACAGTCTTCCAGTTAGGGGAAGAATGGATCCCTGCAAGCAGTGAGTTGAAAATGAGAAATTTATTTCATTGCATCTCCAGTTAGAATAAAGCCATGTCACTTTCCCCACAGTTTCTCTGGCCCTTCTGTTCCCCAAAATACACCCAGGTGGCTGTCCCCACCTCCCAGCCTTGAACTCGCTGTGCCCTCTGGCAGACCTTTACATGCCCACCTTGTCCTCCACATGCAAGTCTCAGCCCTAATAGAGGTCAGAGGGGCTTCTCCCCAGATACTGCATTGAAGGGGGGGACCCATCCTGCTGCTCCCACACCCCACTAGTCCACTGCCCCGCTGTACTTTCTTCACAGCACAGTCACGCTCTGAAAAGGTCTTATTTACTCAGCTGTTCACCTATATTTTGGTGAATTTTCAGGGTAAGCCCCATGAGAGCAAGGGTCTCATCGTTCCTGTTTACCTCCCTCTCCCAGACACCTAGAATGCGCCAAGTACGTGGTGTAGGTGCTCAATACATCCTTGTCAGGTGAGTGAGTGAATGAATGAATGAATGGATGGATGACCTGGCCACTATCTAATAAGGTTTGCTACTTTTCACTTACCAAGTGAATTGGGCACAAATCTCCAAGCCGTGTGTGTTTGCCCATCGTCCTGTGATGCCTTAAACACAAATCAGATTCTTTCCTCTTATTTGCCTGTAAATACCAGCCTTCCTGGAAAGACCCAGAATGCCTTGAGGGCAAGGGGTGTGCTCTGTGCCTCTCTGCATCCTCCACAATGCTTTGCACTTGGCCAGCTCTCAAAAGATACCCCAGGATTGGATTGGATGGATCAAATCAGATTGGATTGAATCAGATTGGGTCAGTTTGGGTTGGATCAGGTTGGATTGCGTTGCATTGGGACATGAGAAGCTGAGTTATCATCTAGAAAGTTTGATCAGTTTTAGGGTATTTCAAATGATGCTCTCTTCCATCAATAGCAGCTCTTTGGCCTGTACACCTTTACACAGACCACTCCCTCCGCCCAGGTGCCTCTCCCTCTCAGTCCCACTTCTGGTGAACTCTTACTCATCCTTCTATTTCTGTCACTTCTTCCGTGAAGCCTTCTCTGATTTCTCCCTTGTTGTCCCACTCCCATCCTTAGCCCAAACATTGATCCCTCCGTCTCTATTATAGTTCAGTTTCCCTAGTGCTTCACCCAGTTTTTTCAAATGGTAAGAGAAACACACACAGAGAAATTGCTTTTTGAACAAATGATCAAAGTAAATATAAAATGAGGTAGAAGGAAATTTAAGAACTAGATGGAGATACAAACCACATGTTTAATATCCATTTTCCCCTGTGAGAATGTCGGCTCCGGGAGGCAGGAATTCTGTTGTCTTCCTAGATCTAGCCTCCCAGCCATAGGCCTCAAAAAGCATGTGTTGGCCACAAACATACGATGAGGCCACTGAGGGAAGAGGAACTGAGTCTGATGGGCATCCTAAGAGGATCAAGAAGGAGGCAGGTCTAGGCTGGTGCTTCAAAGAAAAGCAGACTCACATTCAGTCAGTAAATATTGGTTGAGGTCCTACTATGTACCATCTTCTGTCCCAAGCACTGGAGCAAAACAGCGTTGTGAACAAAACACAATCCCTACCCTCTTGGACTTGACCTTCTAATGGGAAGAAAGACAATAACCAACTTTAAAAAATAGATATGCAATACAGATGATCCCCAACTTAGGATGGCTTGACTTAATGATTTTTCAACTTTACAATGGTGTGAAAGTGTTCTGAGCATGTTTAAGGTAGGCTAGGATAAGTAAGCTACGATATTTGGTAGACTAGGTGTATTAAATGCATTTTCAAATTAACAATATTTTCTACTTATGATGGGTTTATCAGGACATAACCCCATCATAACCCAAGGAGCAGCTGGAGTTAACAACTGTTTGATTTAATACATTTTCAGCTTACAGTGGTTTTGTCAGGACGTGGCCTCATTGTATCGTGAGAAGCACCTGCAACGTCAAATGAAAAGTGCTATGAAAAAAATAAGGTGGGATAATAGGATCAAGAGGGATGGAGGAGTTATTTATTTATCTACTTACTTACTTGCCTATTTATTTTGAGATGGATTCTCACTATGTTGCCCAGGCTGGAGAGCAGTGGCGTGATCTCAGCTCACTGTAACCTCCCCGCCTCCCAGGCTCAAGCGATTCTCCTGCCTCAGCCTCCTGGGTTGCTGAGATTACAGGTGCCCGCCACCACGCCTGGCTAATTCTTGTATTTTTAGTAGAGACGGGGTTTCACCATGTTGGCCAGGCTGGTCTTGAACTCCTGACCTCTAGTGATCCACCCACCTCAGCCTCCGAAATTGCTGGGATTCCAGGCATGAGCCACTGCACCTGGCCAAGGAGTTACTTTAGACAGGTGGTCAGGAAGGCCTCCTGAGAGAGAGGACATTGGAGAAGAAACCTGAATTCATCACAGGGAGGGAAAGTATGTCATTTGGCTCCCAGGGACAGAGCATTGCAGAGGTGTAAACAGAGAGTAGAAACAAGCCAAGATGGGCATGAGTTTGGCCTCTTAGAGGAAGAATAAGGGGCCGGGGTTGTTGGCTGGAGGGAAGGAGGCCAGGAGGGGAAGCAGGTGGTCCCAGAGGCATACCGGGGAGCACGGGAGGTGCACACCCACAACACATGGGAGCTGATGCACGGGTCACACACCATCGTGCATTCGCACCACACTTTGGGGGATTTTTTAGTATTTTTGAGTATTTGCTAGCAATTATTAGTATTCTAATATCATAAAACCCTTCAGAAAAAAATGCTTTAGAAGCTGTTCTCAGTATTGGAAATATGTCCTACATTGATCAGGGTATAAGTATTTTAGGAAAGAGATCTCATCCTCCCTACCGTGACCCCCTGATCTATTAGCAAGAACTTTCTTTGTCAGGATGCTAATTTCATCCAACAGGGCACAAAAAACATCCACGCCTCTTTCGTGTTCTGCTGCCTACCTTGAGTGATGATTTCTGCCCCTTCCTTGTAAAAGGACCGGAGCTATGAAAACGAGCACTAAACCCAAAGATCAAAGAATGGTTCTTTCCGTGGCAAGTAGCCAACCAGAATACCTGGAAAATAGGAAACCTGCTCTGTCCCCCGTTGTCCAGATGGGAGGAATTGAGCTTATGAAGGACCGCACAGGATCTCACCCCTAAGACTGTGCTCTGTTCGTTTATGAGCTTATTCTGTCAAGGTCTGTTGGCTTTGGTTTTGTGTGAGGTTTAACAGGATTTCAGGCTTGGGGGTGGTCTCTGGATTTTTTCCTTCTTCTTCCTTTTGATGCTTAAAAATACCCCACAACAAAGAAACAACCATGGCTGAGAAGATTAGAATTATACAAAATGTAATTCCCTTTCATAAAAGTGTTGAAGAGTGTCCGGTCATCTCTGGAACTGTGATTTTCCTCTCCTCGTACGAAAGCCAAAAAGCCGAGGATTTTGGTTAAAGAAAAATGGCTATGAATAAAGTGTGATCTGCAGGTGCCCATCTTGAGCTTCCAGTTTCAAACCCTAAAATTCCAAAGTAGAACATTTGTAAAACAGGGGCGATATAGCATTCAGTCAACTACCAGGTCACACGATACACAGAAGAGAAAATAAATTCAGTATCTGTAGGTTTATCATTTCTCTGTGTGTGTGTGTGTGTGTGTGTGTGTGTGTGTGTGTGTGTGTGTGTGTGTGTGAGATGCAGTGACTCACAGTGGGCATAGTATTGTTTTCTAGGGAGTTTTGAAATTATGAGGGGTGAATTTTTGGTTCCACAATGATTGAAATTATCAAAGCCTAATTTTTAAAGATAAAATCATGACTCTCAAACAAATATTAAAAGAATATGTGTCAACAGTTTTATTTAACTCAGTAATGGATGAGGGAAGTAGAAAGGTTTTAAAACCAATTCAAAAGGAAATTCAAAGAGCAGACACATTTATAGGCTATTAGGAATGCTGAAATGCATTTGATTAGTAGATGCAAAACGGGCTTATTTCATAATGGAGGAAGGGAGTGCATTGAACCCGACTAGACATAATGTACATCTCTATGGACAGGAATTGCATTGCTCTGAATTTGCTACAAATAGACTTGTATCTATAAAGAACTAGAAAATAGTCTAGTTAGAGACAATGAAGACAAAGATCACCTGGGTTGATGAGCTAGTCAAGACACACACTAAACTTCAAAATTTTCCCCATATTTTCCTTACGAGGGCTCCTGGCATTTAGTAGACAGGAGCACAGGACGCTATCACTACCATCGCATGCAAAACAATCCCACACAACAAATAATTATCTTGCATCCTCCATGACTTTTAAATGTCTTTCTGGATATTCCCGCAGACAAAAACTCTATTTATAATAAATGAGCCTCAAATCTAACTCCATAGGAACACAAAGCATTTGATGCATCTTTTAATGCACATTAAATGTGTTTTCTTCACTCCTCCTCTGCCTTTTAATTTTCTGTACTTCTTAGACAGGATGACTTTTGGTTATCTTGCATTTTTAAGTCCAGACATATTCATCAATGGTAGAAGCAAATATTTCACTCGTATTTTATGCCTTGTAGCACATCTGTCCCCAAGCACATATATGCATTAATTTTGTGCAATTCTATTGTTTTGTTATTGTTATTATAAGCAATATTCTACAAGTTAGATTCCTTTTTATTTCTCCTTGACATTATAGCGAGGACAATAGTCTGATTTCTTCAATTTTGTATATAGGTAGGTCATATTGTTTATGAATTTCATTTCAGAAGTGTAAGGAGGCTTTATACAATATTTGTCATAAAGGTGGCTGTTGAGTTAGTCTGGTAGGGTTGAGAACCACTGTTTCCTCAGTTGTTTCTGTTTCTCCAGTAACAGCATCCCAATTCTCTTTGGGGGAACAAAGCTTGCCGCCTTGGATACAGTCTGGAGGACCTGCCAATCAAGGTGACAAGTCCCGTACTGGCCAATCTGTGCTCTCCTCTTAGAAGCTGCATCTTAGGTAGGGTGACCAAAACATCAAATGCAGTTGAAACTGCTTTACTCTGCAGCCTGAGTCAGTTCCTGTTGCTTACGAAGAGCCCCAACCCAACACATAACAAAGAAAATAAACCACAAGCAGAAACCCAATAAAAGACAAGTCTTACTGGAATGTCGACCTAAAATATTAATAATGATGCACTTGAAAACCTAAAGAACTAGTTCGAGACAAAGAAACCTTGCATTCAGCCTTTGACAAAGACTCTCTCCTTAACCAAACGTTAATCAGGTCCTCTAAGCCTTCTTCTCAACCAGACCTTTACCTCGGCCCCATCCTTGCCAGGCTTGCCTAGCCCAATTTCAGCAAGAATCCTGATAAGTCAGTTTAGAAAGCATCCCCTCAACGCCCACCCTAGATATCTGGTCACCCTGGCCTGCCGTCAGCCAGAACCTCACTTGGTCAAGTCCAGCAAGAATCCCTCCAATCTTGATGTCTCTTTGGTAAATTTCCATCCACAACCTTGCAACCTGCTCCTTGGCTATAAACCCAAATGTGTTCTTGTATTCAGAATTGAGCTCAATCTTTTCCCTATTACAATCATCTTGACAGCTATTGTAGTTGTCCTGAGTAAAGTCTTCCTTATTATTTTAACAAGCATGGGAATAATTTTTTCTTTAACACTGTTCACACAAGAAATATATCCTGGGCTTCTAAAGCGGGGCAAGCCCTGTGCTGAGCAGTGGGAATAAAATGATGACAGACCCAGAGAAGAGCCCTGTCCCCATGGAGTGTATGGGATGGCAATGGGGGGACAGGACACAGGAAATGGCCAGGTTGACTACTGCAGGCGGGCCTTATAAGAGGACGGAAGGAGGTGTCTAAATAGAGTTTTTGTGAAACAAATCACATGCCAAGATCTGCTACTTTGTAAAAATGATAAATCTTATGTAATATGGGCAGCCAACCCCTAATTTCTCTTGTCTTTGAAGTTCTGGATTTACTGTCTGAAGCATTCCAGATGCAAAGAGTCCTGTTCAGCAAAGGTTGTTTTCATTTGCATTTTGAATACACCAGAGACTGCGGTGCCAATCAGCATGAGAAACTATTTTCTCATACAATCCTCAATTTATGTAAAACAGCACCCTTCTCTAGTAGTCTTTTTCGTTCATTTATAGGCTCCTGGCTGAGGCGCTGTCAAAACTAATGGCCACATTCTCAGAGGACACAGGTGACCTGCAGATGTGGGGCTTTATTCTCAAGGTCACTTTCATGTGAGATGCCCCCAACTCGTCCCTCCTCGGGAATGAGTTCTTCTGCCCCGCCACTCTTGGACCACAGCCACCCAGTCCTGGTCACCTAGATAATTCATTTCCTTCACTTTGGGCCAAGTTATGTAATTACATGCATTTGATATTCATCTCCTCCAAGTTGGACGCTAAGTGTCCAAACTGAACCTAAGAAGTGGGGCTGCCAGTTATTTAACTAGACTTCAGCTGGCAGTCAATTGGCTAAAAAGCAGAAACAGACCTTGGAAGCATGATGAAATTAAATAGCATGCAGTTTTTCAAATTACCAGAAGTGCAGAAAGGCTGGAAGAGTAAAACAACCGTTCCTGGCCCCTGCCCCCTCACCTTCCGTCACATCCAGGGCCAACCACTTTTGATAGTTTCTGAACCATGTCCGTATTTCTGAAAGCAAGACATCTCAAGAGTAACAGCCCTTATCCATGGTGTTGCGTGGATCAGTAGTGTGTTCCTTCTTATTGCCGAGTAGTATTTCACGGCGTGAATCGACTACAGCTTAGTCACTCATTCCCCTGTCGGTAGACATTTGGGTAATTTCCAGTGTGGGGCTGTTATGGATAAAGCTGCTTATGAACATTCTTGTTGACATGTTTTTGTTTCTCTTGTAGATATACCTCAGAGTGGAATTGCTGGGTGATAGGAGAGATGCATGTTTAATTTTTTTTAATTGCCAAAACACTTTTCAAAGTGGCTTATCCCATTTCACATTCCCACCATCAATGTATGGGACTTCCAGTTGCTCCACACTCTCATTTGGCCAGCTGTAGAAATCGGTTGCTGGCTTGCTGCTGTAACATACGAAGGATTTAGCAGAGGGCTCTTCCCAGTAGCATAATTTTTACCGCCTACTTTGGAAGTAGCAAAGATGGCTCTGTGAAGGTAAACTGCACAGATTTGAAGGTCAGCTCTGTCACTTACTACTGTAGAAACTTGGAGGAGCTGTTGCATTTCATTGTGTCTCTGTTTCCACATCCATTAAATGGGACAATAATAGTTCCTACTCCATAATGTCAAAAGTACCAATTTGAAGACTGTATGATATGTAGTAAACAATAAATGTTAGTTACTACTATTCTGTTATTCTAGTTACTATTAGTTACTATTATTCTATTTTGGGGTATCCTGGTCATTTTAAGGATTTGAACATCTTTATTTCGTTGTCCAACTGTGGACAATGTCTCTTGGCTCCCCGCTTTGTAAGCTAATGCTCCTAAAATACACATAAAGATGCCTTCTATGTGCCACTGTTTGGGAAACATCATTCATAAAGTAATACAGTCTTCACATCAAACATCTGATTCAGGTATTATTAATTATGCTCAGGATGGAGATGGGGAAATGTAGGAGCAGAGAAGTGAGATGGCCCACCCAAAGTCCACAGCCCAGAGGTGGCAGGGCCAGGACTGGGACCCAGGCAGGTGGAAGCCAGGGCCCCCACACTTCCCCACTGCTCTTGGGCCTCCTCTTTGTCCAGGCCCTCCTTGCCCTTACCCACCTCCCAGCCTCTGCCAGGCATATTTGTCTCTATAAATAAGGTGTACATCATAAAAGTTTAAGGAAAAGTGGAATTCTATTTTTCTTTTTTTTTTTTTTTTTTTTGAGACAGAGTCTCGCTCTGTCACGCAGGCTGGAATCAGTGGTGTGATCTTGGCTCACTGCACCTCCGCCTCCCGGGTTCAAGCGATTCTCCTGCCTCAGCCTCCCGAATAGCTGGGATTACAGGCGCCTGCCACTACGCCTGGCTAATTTTTGTATTTTTAGTAGAGACGGGGTTTCACCTTGTTGGCCAGGCTGGTCTCGAACTCCTGACCTCAGGTGATCTGCCCACCTCGGCCTCCCAAAGTGCTGGGATTACAGGTGTGAGCCACCACGCCTGGACTCTATTTTCATATCAGATTAGATATCCACCCAGGAAGGAATAAGAGGTATTTGAAGACATTCTCCCTGGCCTGGAACACAGAGACACCAGCTCATCTGTGGGTTTGCTGCTAGTTGAGAAGAGCCTTCAGAAGCGCATGAGTTTCCGACATCCTCAGGCATCCTGGCCCAACTGCCTTTCGGTCATCATTTGGGAGAGAGCCCAGACGTCCTGAACTCAAAGTGCAGCTTCCTCCACAACAGTCTGTGGACAAGGCAATTCCTTGAACCCCTTTGCTTCAGTTTCCACATCTGTGTCTTCCTAGGCCTCCTACTCCCCAGGCGATCGCATCCTGACTGAAGCCTTTACATACTCATTCTATGCTGAGCGTTCTAAAATATTTCAGTCCTACCCCAACTTCTTCCTGAGATCTCTACTTGTATATCCAACTGCCCACTGGACTCCTCAAACATGATCTTAACAAAGCTGAACTCTTGTTCAACCTCAGGCCCCAAAATTATTCTTCTCACAGTCTACCCCATTTCAGCAAACGGAAATGTCACCATTCCAGTTACTCTGGCTACAACCCTGGGTGTCTTCTTAGCTCCTCCCTTTCTCTGGTTGCAGCACCAGCTGAAAATAAGCAGCCAGAAGAACTGCCCAGCGGAGCCCAGTTACCCCACAGAACCATGAAAGATAATGAAATGTTTGTTGTTTTGAACCACTAGTTTGTGGTTGTTTATTATGTGGCTCTAGATAACTGAGACATGGTGCTTTCATAGACAAATGTTTTACCTACATCCTTGATATGAACTACCAGCTAGGTCTTCAAATGTGCCTGCTTTTCTATGTCCCAAACTTCAGGGCTAGCCTACCATAAGAACAGTTTCTCTGCCACTCCTGGATAATACCTCTACGATTACTTAACATGTTTTTTTTTCAAATGGACTATAAAAGTTGGATCATTTGTATAATGTAGCCTGCTACTAAGAACTAGTAATACTAATGATGGCTGTGCATATTGACTGAGCACTTACCATGGGCCATCCATAGCTCTAAGGGCTTTCCATACGGTCGCTTGTCTAATCTTTACCACAGCCCTATGAGGAAGATATTATTATTGTCACCATTTTACAGATGATGACAATGAGGCACAAAGAGGTTATCCAAGGCCTCACAGCTAGAAAACCAGGGAGGTGAGACCTGACTCGCTATTGTCCAACTCCAGAGTCTAAATTCTCAACTACCTCTCTGAACAACAACAATAACCACTGGTATCTATCGACTTCTTGCTACATTTCAGACACTTTCCTAGCTCATTATTGATTTCTCCCCACAGCTCTTGGAGGTAGGTCTATTATTATATGCATATGCATATAATAATAGGTGAGGAAACTGAGGCACAGCAGGGCTGAGTCACGCAGCTGAAAAGTCCATGGCAGAGTCAGGATTCAAGCCCAGGCATTCAAGCTGCAGAGCTCACACCCATCACCAGTCCCCTGTGTTTCAGTGAAATAACATTCAAATACACCCATAACCATCAGATAGCAAGATTTTTCTTGCTGTCTAACTCATTTCATGAGCCACCACGGACAGGCAGATCACAATTTGGGAAGCATCTTCCCAGCCTCAGGTGCCTCCTACCTGGGGCCCCAGTCTACTCACCTGGGTGGCCTGCCAGATGCTGGTGGGGCTTTATTTCCATCTGGGGGCCCCTGCACACCCTCCATACCTAGCTGTCCCTGGATGCAGGGCCCTCACTGCTTGAGGCTGTGCCCACCCAGGACCACATCCAGCTTCCGGGGCTCCTGCCCCTTCTGGCCTGGCCCCTCTCTCCTACTCCCTCAGTCCAGGACTCTCGTGCTGACAGCCACCCTCTTAACTGGAGATGAGAACACCACTGGCATCCACATTCCACCTGGATTTGCATAATCAGGCACATTTACTGCCCTCACTCTGTGCCATAATTACTGACTTGCTTTGCATTCGACACTTTTCAACTCCATGCACGTCCCTTCTCCTTCCTGCATTTTTAAGGTGGTTATTACAGATACGGCAGACTTGGCTTTCCCAGACATGACTCTGGCTTTAAAAATGCAAAAAGATCAATGTCCTACTTTATGTAATTATGTCTGCCCCTAGAATCAAAGGAAGAGCAGATGGGG
Organism: Homo sapiens; assembly: GCF_000001405.40. Taxonomy (NCBI): domain Eukaryota; kingdom Metazoa; phylum Chordata; class Mammalia; order Primates; family Hominidae; genus Homo; species Homo sapiens. The sequence continues at coordinate 47,929,693 of NC_000020.11, read as the reverse complement.
CACACTTTGGAGTCAGCAGACTTTATAACTAGGGGAAGAGTTGAGGCCTGTAGTATTTTCCACAGCATCATCTGCTCCCTAAAATCACACAAATCCCTCCTTGTCCCCTAGAGAGGGGTAGAATTTCCTGGTCCCTGTGAGTCAGACAGGACTCCTGGGCCAGGATTTTCATGACATCTGAGTCAGAGAAGTTTGCAAGGGGGAAGTAATCCAATTGGCTATGGAAAAAAAAAAAAAAGCAGTGTTCAAATTCTCTAGAGCAGGTTTTTTTCCCCCAAACTTTTGAAGAAGGATCCATTATAAGACACGAAGTTTTCATCAGAACATGAAATAAATGTACACACACACACACACACACACACACACACACACACACACACAGGATGTTAGGAAAGTTACAGACTAACAACAGATGGAAGAAACAAAGTATGGGCCTTCATTGAATCTTTATTTTAAAAAGTAGCTCAAGAAAAGTTTATGAGATAATCAGGAAAATTTGAACGTTGACTAGATATTTGATAATATTAAAAGAATTATTGCTTATTATTTGTAGGCAAGATACTGGTATTATATTTGTGTTTTAATATGGAGTCTTTCGCTTTTAGAGACACATACTAAAGTATTATGATAAAAATGATACAAGGTCTAGGCCTCAAAATAATCCAAAAGAAAATAAACTAGTATAAGGTGACATAGAGATGAAATGAGATTTACCACGCATGTTAAAGCTGGGTAATGGGTAAATAAATGGAAGTTTCTTACACTTTCTCCTATACTTCGTGTGTATTTGAAAATACTCATAATATACTTTATATTAATTAAATTAAAAGACCTGTGGGGGAAAAAAACTACTGGATCAAAACTCCTAAATAAATCAAAGGAATTTCCAATCAGATAGTGTTTGCAGTAATTATAGCAAGTAGTGTTTTAGAGTGTACTCTCTAAAACAAGACTATTTGGGTTTGAATCCTTTCTTTGACACTTACCAGCTGCATGGCTGTGGGCAAGTTACCTATCCTCTCCCTGCTCCCATTTCCTCCTCTGTAACTTGGAATAACAATAATAGTATCTACATGCTGGAGCTGTTAAGAGGATTCAACGTGTTAAGTGCTTAGAGGTGTATCTAGCACAACAATCATTATCCCAGTAGTAGTCATAGTGGTGGAAGCAATAGCGCCAACAGTACTACGCAGTATTCAGGAATCTTTTTTAATATTGAAGTCATCCAAAAAACATGCTGCAGCTCTCCCTGGCTTTGAAGGCATTAAAAAAAAAAACCTGTAGACAAAGTTAATTTAACAGAGGTTATTTGGACAAAGAACAATTCAAGAATCAGGCAGCACTCAGAACCTGAAGACATTCTGAGGGCTCAACTCAGCAAGGTGGAGAGCAAGTGTTTATAGACAGAAGATATAAATAAAGTAGAAAATTAACTTGATTGATTACACCTAGGCATTTGCCTTATTTGGACATGGTCTGACCTGTTGGCTACTTCTGATTGGCTGAAGCTCAGCAGTTTCTGATTGGCTGAAACTTGGCAGCTGGTGATTGGCTGAGATCTGGGTATCTGTTACAAAAAATCTACACTCCTAAATTAGGTTTCAGTTTGTTTATATACTAAGTTAGGTTGCAGAGCTTTATGGAAGAACTCAAAGTACAGAGAAAGCCTCAGGCTAATGACCTCCTACTTATTTAATTTAACAGAGTTAATAGGGTGTAAGTGGAAGTGAGGTGTGACAGCTTCTTGGAATGTTCCTTGAAAAGAAACCTGATGCTTTGAGCCTTTTTGACTTCATACCTTCTTTCATTCTGGTTGCTTGGGGGGCAACACGTCTGGGGCTGAGGCTAGAGCTGGAGCTGCCATCTTGGACCATGTACTGTTCCTGAGAATAGAAGCCACACCTGGCAGGGAAACCCGAATGAAGAAATCAGGTCCCTGGGTGCTTGGTCAACTAGTGCCCACATGCCAGCCTTGAGCTATCGCCCAGACTACCACGTGGGAGAAAAGTACATGCACGTCTGTTCAGATGTCTGTGACTGGGAGCACTATTACTCACAGCAGTAATCGGGATCAGATAATCCTACCTGGTACATTAAGTTGTAATTTGTTTATCATAAATCATAAGAGTTGTCATCACAGAGGAGAGAACACAAATTGATACAGCAAAATATTCCACATCTGGAAATGCAAAGGGTGTTGTTCATCCTCTTTTCAATATATGGAACTGAGAGGAGAGACAATGAAGTCATTCTGACTCATCCTGCCTCAGAGGTTTATTTATTCCTTTCTTTTCTATTTTTTTCAAATATCATGGTCTTAGGTGAAGCAAAAACGTGGAAAGAAGATTCATGAGTGTGAGCTGTAAAGCCATGTTTAAAAGGAATCTGACAGGTTGAGGTAGAAAATATCATGCTTTTTCCTAGACTGCATGCTTTGTCCTCGATCCTTGACTGACAGCTCCTGATCTGAGCTTCCAGGCCCTACTTGAGTGATCCCTCTTCTGAGATGTCTTCTCTCAGACCCTACGAGAGCAGTGGTCAGACGTCCATCACTGGACAAATGCTAATATATGCTGAACATCTGCAAACACATCCAGAGCACTTTGTAGTCTCTTGACCAGTATCCATTCTCTTTTCTTTCAACGTTATTAGCTTTTGTGGATGTTTACCTTCCCAATTTCCAGTTCACATGACCTGGTGTGGCCCGTCCCTTGGCCTCAAGAATGAAGCCCTCACCAATTGGTATATATCATTACTCTGATTACAGTGATTGGTCCAGGTATAGTCATGTGACCTAAGCTGGTCCAATCAGAATGAATCTTGAGACTAGGCCTTATGCTTCTTTTATGGCCAAGTAAGCCTCTGGGAGGCGAGTCCTCTCACATACAACAGCTATAAACTCTGGACAAAATTTTAAAAACAACGACCTGAAAGCACAGGACAATGAAGAAAGGCAGACAGATATGGGAGGGGAGTTGATGCTTGGACAGATTTTCACCTGAGAGGAGGTTTCAGTCTGCAAAAGAGGGACAACTAAAACTCCAACTAAAAATCAGTCATCTCACCCACTTGAAGAACCAGAGGACCAGGCTCTGGGAAACCATAGCCACTGGAATGGAGCAGGGAAATTACAAATGCAGAGAGACATCAGAGACAGGGAGCCCCAAATTTTATGTATAAACTTTTCAAATGTCTAGCTGGTCCCTAAACCACATATGTGTAGGCAGACTACAAGTAGCCCAGCTAGGGTTGCCACAGAATTGAACTGAAATTTGAGCTATTTCCCACTCCAGGAAACACAAACCTTTTCATTTTTTTTTCTTTTACCTTTAGTAACTGAACGCAAGATCTTTTCAATTTGAGTTCAGCCACTTTAGTCACTTGCTCAAAAAATCAACAGTCTTCACAGGAAAACAACGGAATCAAGAATTACTGTATTGGTCACAATATTCTGGATATAATGCAAAATTGCAGGAAAATATGACAAAGACTCAACATAAAAAAATAAGAATAGAGACTTATCTGAAGATAACTCATATGTTCAAATTAGCAAAGATTTTATAGTAGCTGTTATAGGTATGCTAAAGGACATAAAGGAAAATCCATTCATAAGGAATGAATAGATAGGAAATCAAAATTAGAGCAAAACTCAGAATTGCTATGTGAGCTATTGGAAAAGACTTTGACAAAATGTGAAGCTAATTCTCAGGCAATTCCTTTGAACCAAAGGAAGAGACTGAAACTTCCTAGGACCACAGAATAGAACTTGAGAAAGAAACAAATACAACAGAAAGAAAACCTCAGAATTAGAGAGAAACTCAGTGTTCACACGATTAAGTGCTTCAATCTAGCCATACCTGAAGCCAATATGTCCCCCGGGCTTTCCTGTGAATCACAGCATGATTCAAGCAATCCTTTTATTCAAGCAACCTTGAGCTGAGATTTTCGTCCCTTGAGTAGGAAGAGCCATACTGATTGTCTTATGTAGGGTTCTCTCAGAGGCAGGCATGAAGACAAATTTGAGTGAAAGTCATTTATTTGGGAGCCATAAAAGGAACAGTAGGGGAATAGGAAATTGAGATGTGAAAAAGAAAGGAAACCATCCAAGGTGACTTAATAGGCACGACGTTCTAGAATAGGCAGTTCAGGTTGAAGGCTGTGAAGAACATGGTGAATTATCCCACTCAAAGGGCAAAGAAACTGGGATTTTGAGCCACCAGCTCACTTCCATCACTGATTAGGGGCTGTCCCTGGGGCATTAACTCTCTGGCACCTCCAGCCTGCCCCACACACAGGCTGAGCACACTCCAACAACCAAAGAAAGTTCTTAGGCGGAGAGCCGCAGGTGCTCACAGTAGATGTCACTGGCATTTATTTATAGGAACAGTGAGTACCTAGGAGAGGCGGGCAGGGTACCAACAGCATCTGCCACACATTACACATGACCTTGGCTTTTGTGTGATTCTGAGGGTCTTCGAAAAAAGAATTAGCTTTACTTTCACATTCCCATCCCCAGTGCATAGAAAGGTGTCTGACAAGTACATAGTTGAGATGTAATAAATAGTTTTTCTCTCTGAATGGCAGGAGGACTATTTCCTATGGAGGTAGGGAAGACAAGATCTGCAGTGACTGATTATCTTCTTATTAAAGGCTAATGGAAGTTCAAAATTAAGCGGCAAGATGGCTGCCTTTAAATGATTTCCCACATGTTAAGAAAATGGAAGATTTCCTGCACTCTTGAGAACCAATGTTTTATTTCAGGAATGTTTTGGACTGTTACAAGTATCCCAGGGTATTGCTTTGCTTTACCTTCCACAGAATTAAAACGGAACATTTCTCTCCCGCCTATCGCAACTGGAATGACAAAGCAAAGGGTTGATATAGGATTTTGTAGGGTAGATTTTGGTCTCTCAGGAGAGTTGCCCGAAAGTGAAAGAAGTGGCTCCTGTACAGGTTTTGTGCCCTCCCAAAATTCTCCCAGTGCGTCAACATCTGGGCATTCAGACAAATGGGGGAGGGGGAGAGTTACCATTTAACCAAAGAAATACTTTCAACTCAACACATTCATTGAGTAGCTCTTAGAATTTCAATCCACAGAATTCTAGAATGGTGGATTTTATTTGGTCTAATCCTTAACATCCTCATTTTGTATGTCTCCAGAATTCCATTCACTCATTGAACAAATATTTTCTGAGCATGTACTATATGCCAGGTGCTGTGCTGCATACTGAAGACACAGCAGTGAACAAGACAGAGAAAAGTTTACAGCCATGGAAGCTGGGTTATGGAGAAGAAAGTGATAATAGTGAATAATTCTATGGCACTTACCACGTGCCATGCGATAGGTTATGTACCTTACAAGTGTTCTCTGGTGAAATCTTCCGGAATTATTCTCTAATCTGGTGTTCTTATTATCCCCAGTTTACAGGTGGGAAAAAAGTAGGCATAGAGACCTTAGGAAACTTGCCCAGGGTCACAAAGCCAGAAAGTGGTGAGGTCTGGATTCAACCCTGCTCTCTGACTTGATTCCAGGTGCTCAACCTCCATCCTCTGACTGCCCTGCAGGTTGTTTATTCCATAACTTTCATTAGCTGTCTACTGGGTGCCACACACTGTGCTAGGCACTGGGGTTGTAATGAGGAAAAACAAACATGACTGCTGCTCTCATTAAGTTTACATTCTAGTCCTAGACCACATGGGTCAATAAATTCATTCATTTATTCACTAAGTGAGTTATTACTAAATGACCAGTATGCAACTATCAGCTCTAGGGTTTCCAAAGTTAAGAAAGACATGCTCTCAGCTAAGGTGGAGCAATTTGGAGGTGTGTATAATGCTTACGTCACATGCCCAGCTGAGGGGGTGGAATCAAGATGTGTGCATTCAGCTGACCCCTTACCCCCAACTCCATGTAGGTGAGTAGTCCAGCCATCGGGCAATACTTCCATGGCCAGTAAGTGGTAGATTCTGGAGCTTAAATTCATGTGAAGAGGAGGCTTCCCTGTGCCATTCTCAGCCCAAATCATAGGCAAGACAGAGTGAAGTGAGGGCAGAGGCTTCCAGAAAGCAAGGGAAGCCAGTCTACAGAGAAGCTCCAAGAAGCTCCCAAGAAGAACAGAGATTTGATTCCCTCCAGCCCAAAGTTACCCATGGTTTGAATGGTTTTAATCCCTGTGGATCAATTGAGGAACTTTAAGAGGAAGCCATGTCCATACAGAACAATGCCAAATCCATTTGAAATTCTAACCAATTCAGCACAATGTGAACATGCGTACATACACACATTAAACACATTTAGAGTTCTAATCAAGGTGACCAAGATACCTTTGGAATCTGATAGGTGTAGTGAATACTGTTGACTGCCTACCCAAAATTTCAATGCCATACACACACACACACACACACACACACACACACACACACACACACACCCAGTTCTTCACTTTTCAGGAATCCTGTTTTCCCTGCATCCCAGGGATTCAAGAAAGTTCATCCTGCTCCCATCCTAGCTACAACACTGTTCTAAGGGTGATCCCAGTCATTCCATTGATAGGGTTTTGGTCAAGAGCACACATATCATGCAACTGAGGTCAAGAAGATTCAAAAATGGGTTCGCTTGTGGTTTCTAGGAAACTCCCTGCTTGCTCTTCTGAGAATGCTTGCAAAGGTTACCTGATTTCTTCTTCACCCAGGAGGAAGTCCAGCCTTGGGATAAAGTCAACACAGAACAGCAGGGCAGAGATGGAAAGGGTCTGATCCGTGAAGACATCTTGGGATTGCTGGATCACCTCTAGATTATATGAACCAACATATTTTGTAATTGTTTAAGCCAATTGCCATATGAGTTTCTGTTATTTGTTCCGAAAAACATCCCGATACACAGTTAATTTGCAGTATGCTTTGGAGAGCTGTGAGCTGATTTTTATTTCCTCTCACATTTTCAACAAGAGTGTTCAAAGTTCAAACCACACTTGGGAGGTGCCAAATATCTTACCATCACCAAAGAAGCCATACAAGGGAGAATATTCATTTTGAAAAGGAGGTGGTTTTTTAATGGTTGGTATTAAGTTCTATCTTAAAAGCATAATGCACCCAAAAATTGACCAACAAAACAGCCAAAAAAGTGCTATTACTTCAAAGGGTCCCTTTACCTGGGGCCTTGCTCAATTCTGCTTGCCTAACTATGCCTAGATAAATGCATGAAAAGTAATATTTACACTTTTGCTTGGTTGCCGTGTGTGACTAAGTGGATGAGAACGAGACAGACGGAGAGAGAATGAGGAAATGCAACAACTTCTCCCAATTCACTGTTTCCTGAGTTTTCTCTCTTCTGTTAAACTTCCCCAAACCAACTTTCCAAAATCACGGTGTGATGGGGAATGTGGACATCATTAGCATCAATTGTTTCAGACCTGAAACCCAGACCCAGAGAATTCCTTGTTGCCCTTGGAGCTATTTTAAGGTTTAAAATTTAAACCATATTCCTATTTTCTATATATTTTCCAACATTTCTGCTGAATGTAATCCATATGGAAGGATTTTTTTCTTCAAAGAGAAAATATGGCCTTGGTGGGAATGCTGGTCTTGCAGCTGCTTCCTCCCCTGCACTTCACCCGTGCACACAGCCCGAAACTCACTCCGGCTGGGAAGGAGAGAGGCTGCATTCAACATAAATGCAAAATGCTCCAGACATTCATGATTATCTGTGCTGTGCATGAATAACGACAGCAGCTTGCAAGTGGGCAGGACTTGGCGGCGAGGCCCCATCACAAATCCACTGCCACACCAACACGCTCCAACGAAGTGCCTGTGAAATCTGCCTTCAGTCACTAATTTCACACTCCAGGGACAGAGCTGCGAACAGCTCCGAGCTCATAATTCTCATTTTAATAACAGTTTCCTTAACCTTCAGACATGCTTTTATGGCATTTTTTCCACCTTTTAAAAAATTAAAATGCTCAATTCCTTTAAGGTTAAGTCTCAGGTTTGCTTTCGTTTAATCATCTCTTTACCGTGTTGACTTTGCAAACAGAAGAGATTTTATATTGTCTTTGGATCATTTGTGAAGCTTTTTCTGGCTCGGCTGCATTTTTTAAAAAACAAAATGAATCGTTCACATATTCTGCATTCATTTTTCCCTCTCCTGCAGCTTTCTAAATAATGTAGGTATTTTGGATGCTTCTGTCATGAGCACGGAATGCATTTGCAATGCCCTGCTAAAATATGCTTTTCATCTCCCTTCAGATCATAACACGAATTTTCTTCTTTGGGTTTCTGCAGACCTGAGAAATACCCTTCTCTTCTGGAACGTGTTGCAAGACACAGAGGAGGGTCCTTTGGGACAGAGGAAAGAGTGAGGATCCCGAGTTGACAGATGGGCAGGCGTCGACCCAAAGAGGGCAATTTGCAAGATTTCTGGGGGCTGGATTTATGAACCCCAAAAGGGTTTGCCTTGGGAATTCGGGTTTGATCATTCCTGTTAACTCAGTTGGGCATTCCCCTCAATGACTCAGACATAGTATCTATTCAGATGATTGAATATTGTGAAAATCTTGTTCAGTTGCTTTAGAAAATATATCACAGGTTTGTTTCTGATATAAATTAGTTCGTTAGGGTTGTTTTTTGTGTTTTTGTTGTTGTTGTTGTTGTTGTGGTTTTTAGACGGAGTCTCGCTCTGTCACCCAGGCTGGAGTGCAGTGACACGATCTCGGCTCACAGCAAATTCTGCCTCCCAGGTTCAAGCAATTCTCTGCCTCAGCCTCCCGAGTAGCTGGAATTACAGGTGCCCACTACCACGCCCGGCTAATTTTTTTGTATTTTTAGTACAGATGGGGTTTCACCATCTTGGCCAGGCTGGTCTCGAACTCCTGACCTCATGATCCACCCGCCTCAGCCTCCCAAAGTGCTGGGATTACAGGCATGAGCCACCACGATGGGTGTTTTTTGTTTTTTTAATAAGCCATGGTTCTCATCATAGTACTTTTAAGAATAGGATTGGTTTAGCAATCAGGAAATTAGAGGCATCAATCTCAACGACAGATCCTGTCCTTAAAGATTTAACATTTTGTTATTTGTGGATTTTCTTGCTTTGGTTTTGACATGTAAACTATTCCATTACAATAATATTTATCTTGATTTTTCAGAGTTTTGGCATCCCCCCTCAAGAAAGCCCAGGGGAAGAACGTTAATTGATTCATCTTAGTCCCATTCCAGAATTTACTTCAAGCCCAAGGGTGAAGTGAGTTTAGGGGTCCCCTTCTGAGGACAGAAGTTTAGGGGCCCCCAGCCTTTCCCTTATTGAGATGGTGAGTTTGGATCTTGATATGGTTTTGCTCTGTGTCCCCACTCAAATCTCATCTTGAATTGTAATCCTCATGTGTCAACGGAGGGACCTGGTGGGAGGTGATTTGATCATGGGGGCAGATTCCCCCATGCTGTTCTCCTGATAGTGAATGAGTTCTCATGAGATCTGATGGTTTTTAAAGTTCTCTATCTCTCTCTCTCTCACACACACACACACACCTGCCTCCATGTAAGACGTGCCTTGCTTCCCCTTCCCTTCCACCATGACTGTAAATTTCCTGAGGCCTCCCCAGCCATGCACAACTGTGAGTCAATTAAACCTCTTTTCCTTATAAATTACCTAGTCTCAGGCAGTTCTTTATAGCAGTGTGAAAATGGACTAATACAGCTCTGTCTTGGAAAGAGGGAAGATTTAAGAGTTTGTAGCTGGCCGCAGGTCTCAGCTCTCCTGAAGCTTACTGACGTCAGGAATTAAATCCCAAGTGAGCCACTGATACATGCCATCCACTTCCCACCACCTGTCTTACCCTCTCTTTTCCCCTCTCTCTCTGTGTTCTCATTGTGACATGTGGCGTGGCTGGCATCGCACTTTCAGGATTATTCCACATCAGAACAGCAGAGTGCCAGAAAGTTCTTTGTGTGAGGGTCTCTCAGATGAAACCCCCAAATACCAGGATCCCAGTATCATCCTTGTGAACACAAGACACACACCTGAGGAGAGGGTGGGGGTTTCCCAGGAAAGTATTTCAGATTCAGCTGTGATCCTGCTCAGCCCTACCCTCCCCTGCTCTGAGATTGATGTAAAAGTCAGCTTTGTCACTCTCAGTGCCCTTAAGTGTCTGCCACATCTACACAAAATACCAGCCACAAATCTTGGATATGTGCCCTCCAAAATGCCAACCCTTCAGACATGTGGGAATGTCTAGAAATGTCTACTTGGGTAAGGGATCCCACTGGCCAGCTACCGACCATTTTCCCAGATGACTGAAGCCCTGGAGTTGTTTTGGACTGGTTATTATAGTGGCAAAATTTTATTTTAACCTCCCAACACATATTACCCTTCTTTTCAAAATAATGCAGGGGAACAAATCTGCCATGGCACCCTTATGGTCTTGCACATATCAACATAAGCCATGCAGGCAAGGCTTGAACCATGGCTCATTGGATTCTTGGCAGAATGTCTTAGTATCCTCCAGGAACATGAGGTACCCCAGGCATCTTCCACTCACCTCCCTCTCTCCCTGAGAGGCTCACGGGACAGTTTCTCACTACCAGGCAGGTTCCAGTATGTTTTCCATCTTGCCCCTCAGAACATCATTGCAGACCATAAAACTACTTGGCTGCACTCTAGGACTGGCTCCTCTGCATAGGGTGTCCCGTTAATCATGGCAGTCATTCAGGCCCTATTTAGGTGTCATCTGCATAAGGGCCCTAGGAGCTTGCATTAGGCTGCTCTTGCATTGTTATAAACGAATACTTGAGACTAGGTAATTTATAAAGCAAAAAGGTTTAATTGGTGCGTGGCTCTACAGGCTGTATAGGAAGCAATAGCACCAGCATCTGCTTCTTGGGAGGCCTCTGGAAGCTTACAGTCATGGCGGAAGGCCAGGCAGGAGCCTACATGCCACATGGCAAAAGCAGGAACAAGAGGGAGAGAGAGTAGGGGGAGTGGGTGACGCACACTTTTAAATGCCAGATACCATGAGAACTCACTATCATGAAGATAGCACCAAGCCATGAGGGGTCCGACCCCATGATCCAAACACCTCCCACCAGGCCCCACCTCCAGCATTGAGGATTACATTTCAACACGATATTTGGGCAGGGACAAATATCCAGACCATATTAGAACTACCACCCTTGGCTACTCTAGGTAAGTCAAAAGCCAGCTGAATCTAAACAGGGCTCATTGTTCCTTCATCGGCCAAATCTTTCAGGACTCAGCCTTACCTCACCTTGTGCTTGACATTCAGACTTTGTTTTGGAGAATTAACTTTCCCTGTTGTGAAGTCTGAGGCAGATGGTAAATTGAAGTGCCCTGCCCTCCCCTCACCAAACAATAGGCATGAGACCTCAGCTGGGAGGTCCCAGCCCTCTCTGGACCTTGGATCTTAACAGAAGCAGCACGGGCTACAGAAACAACCAAGAACTATTCATATGACCAGTGATGCCCTTCCGGGCCTGCCCATAACTTCCTACTCTCCATGCCCTGACATGGTTTCGGTTCTTATTCTTTTTCTAAACCTGGTTTCTTGCCTTTCTTTTGATTCTCTGAGCTGCCAAATAGCCTACCGATCAATTCTCCTCTGTGAGTACAGCCCAAGTTGAGTTCTGTTGCTTGCCATCAGACAATCCTTCCTGACACTTTCAGCCCCATTGTTCCTTGGCAATTCCTTCTGACTTAGTTTTGGACCTTTCAGCAACCTGACTGTTACCAAAACACCAGGGGTTTGGTCTAGGTCCTTCTGCTCGCCACACTGAAAGCCAATGACTCAGATGATGAGTATTGCCAAGGAAGAAGGCTTTAATCGGGTGCTGCAGCCAAGGAGATGGGAGCTCAGTCTCAAATCCATCTCCCTGATCAACTAAAACTAGGGGTTTTTATACAGCAGAGAAGAAATGTAACAATGAGTAAGCAAACAGGAGTTAGGGAGGGGCAAAGAAACAATCATCTTGAATGTATTTCATTGTCTGCATGTGGCAATCTGTGAGTTTCAGTTCTCTGATACTTTTGAAGGCCTAGGGATCCTTTCTTGAGGAAGGAACTCAGATAAAACAAATATAAGTTTCAAGCTTTAAGACCAGAAAGGCCAATTTCCATGTTTATAAAAAAAAAACTCTCTGTGGGACTATTGGGTCAGTTTCATGATCAGTAATGATCCTGATCATTCTTCCTTTGTTTCCCATTGGCTCTTTTGCTCTTTTTTCATTCCCATCCTCCACCACAGTTTGGACCTCATGTCTTCTTGCTAACTATTGGAACCCCTCCCCGCTGACCCTGGCTGTAGTTCCCTTTGCCAACACATCCAAAGCACTCCATCTACATGGAGTCTACTAAGACTGTGGCACTTTCCATCACCTCCCTCCCCTGTTCAGAAGACTTCCACAACTCTCCTTATCCCACTAATGAGTCCAAAGTATATGTGACCAGACCACCAGCAAGACACTAGATGATTTCACACGTAACATGGACAAACAAGTTTTTTAAAGTCATGTTTAAGTCATGTATTTATTTCCATTCATTTTGGGGAAAAATGTATACTCAGCCATCAACCCCATGTTTTCACAGATATGAACACCGAGGGTGAAATCTTCATTTGGAGTAAAGTAAATAGAGTCAATTCAAACAAAAAAAAATCAAGTAATAACATACAAATTGCATGCTAATTGGGCAAGCACAGTATATGAGTTACCTATTGCCACTGTAACAAATTTCCACAAAGTTAGTGGCTTGAAAAATCACACACAAATTTATTATCTGGGGGTCCACAGGGCTGCATCCCTCCAGAGGCTCTGGGGGAGAAGCTGCTGACTTTCCTGCTTTGGCTTCTGCAGGCTGCCACATTACACTGCTCATGGCCCTTCTTCCCACTCCTAAGGAAGCAACGACATCACTCCCCCTTCCACTTTCGTCCTCATACCTCCTCCTCTTTCGCCCTGCTCGCATCATCTCATTACCTCTGACCCGGGTCCTCCTGCCTCCTTCTTACAAGGACCCTTGTGATTACATTCATCTCCCCCAGATAATCCAGGACCATCTCCCCATCCCAAGGTCCCTCACTTAGCCACCTCTGCAAAGTCCCGTTTATCACACTGTGTAACATAGTCACAGATTCTGGGCGTGAGGACATGAATATCTTTAAGGGACCATCATTTTTTCTACCACACATGGTGATGGTGGTAAATATGTTTTGGACGTTTAAATTCTAACTTATTTAGCTTGGCATTGACTCTGGACCCATCTGTCAGCCCAATGCAAATGATTGCCTGACACACCCCTCTTTGGCTTTGGCCAGATGATCTCCTCAGCACCTCCTGCCAACCCACCCACCCCATTCCATCCTGTTTCATGCTCACAGGTTCCCCCCAACACATACACATACACAAACCTGTCCTCCCTCTTTACTACCCCTATGAACCCTGTAAGATTCACCTCCTCCAGGAAGCCTTCCCTAAGCATGAGAGGCTACGGGGATCAATTCCTCTCCTGATCCTTCAGGACCTCATAAACAAGTGCTCACTCAACACTTTCTCTCTGGTACATTTCTCCCTCATGGACCTGACCAAATGCAGACTGTCCCTCTCACCATCCACACTGGGCAATTCAGAGAAAGTTCCTTTGGAAGGTCCATCCTAAAGGTACAGCTCTCCTTCGGGCAGAAAGCCCCTTGAAGACAAGAACAGAAACTCAAGCAGAAATAAGCAAAACGGATAATTATTGACCTGCATAACTTATGGGCAGTCTAGGATGGTGGTTCTTAGTGGAGGAAATTTCTCCCCAGGGACATTTGGCAACACCTGAAGACATCTTTGGTTGTCACGATGGGAGTGGCGGGTGGGAGGGTGGCATGCTACTGGCATCTGGTGAGTAGAGGTCAGGGATGTTGTTAAACATCTGGCAATGCTCAGGACAGTCTCTACAACAAAGAAATGCCCAGCTTAAACTGTCAATAGTCTCAAGGTTGAGAAAACCTGCCCTAAGGGTGATGGCTTCAGGCATGGCTGCATCCAGCCGCTCAAATGACTGATGTCTACAAGGCTCTATTTTCCTGTGCAGTGCCTTCACAAACAAGAAGTTTCTGCTCTGTGGCCCTGCTTACACTCTTACAGAAACCAATCCAATAAAAAGAGAGGTGTTCTTTCTAGTAAATCAAACCAAAGTCTAGTAAATCAAACCAAAGTTTCATTGGCCACCCAGGAATCACTCTGACCTAAGAGAATGAAAGTGGAGGTGGAGAGAGAGAATACACTGATTGTCCAGGTCTGGGGCATGAGACCAAATCTAGGGCTGGGGTCTTAGTAAAGTCAACACACACACGTGGATTGAAGAGGGGAGGGGTCATTGCTGAGAATAAAATTAGGGCAGTGCAATTAGAAGGAGGAATGAATGTTGGATGGACAAGAGCAAAAGCTGCCCACCCCTACATGTTTATGAGTGAAAGAGAGAGGAGAAGAACTGGTTTATGGTTAATGTTAAACACACACCATGGAGAAAGAAAAGGATGAAATAAGAGACAAGGAAAGAATGCAAATGTGAGTTCATTGTACTGACCAGAAAGTACATGCAACTGAGGACCTGCAGGCGTTTTATTTTTCTTTTCCCTTTTTCTCTTTTTACTTGGTTGGGAAAACTGCTATAAATATGTGCAACATGTAAATACCTTCCACATATTAAATGAGCACAAATGAACTGGTGCATGAGAAAATATTTTTGGAAAGTATAATACATTATACAAACAGAATGGAATGTGGAAATTATTGCCCCAAATGCTAGAGCTATTAAACACATATTTCCCTTGGGGTCCTGTTTCTGTAGAGTAATCATGTTTTATTTACCTGTATTTAAAGATTAAAGTTTCAATATGGCACCTTAATTCCTTAACAAAGAGAAAGAATGCATATCTTGTGGTAACGGGGACCAGCAGCTCCATGAATCAAAGCTTTCTGTGGCTCGATCTAGTTCAGGGTATGAGTGATACATTTAATGTGCCAGCAAAAGCCTCTGGTAAACAGGGAGCAGCGTTACAGCCAGCAGAGCCCAAGGGCTTGCCGGAGCTGATGGAGATTTAAGGGAGCAGGTTCGAGCTCCTCCTGAGGCAGAGTGAGAGGAAGGCTCTCCCCATCTCCTGAGTGTCAGGCTGGACTCAAAGGGGAGAGAAAATTTTTTAACTGAAATAAAACACAGTCATTGCAATAAAATGTGACAATTCTCTTCCCTTTTCTTTTTTCCTTTTTTTTTTTTTTCTTGGACACAGGTTCTTGCTCTGTCACCCACCCAGGCTGGATTACAGGGGCATGATCTTGATTCACTGCAGCCTCAACCTTCCAGGCCCAAGTGATCCTCCTGTCTCCCAAGTAGCTGGGATCACAGGCATGCACCACCACATCTGGCTTTGTGTGTGTGTGTGTGTGTGTGTGTGTGTGTGTGTGTGTGTGTGTGTGTGTGTGTGTGTGTAGAGACGAGGTCTCATCACTTTGCCCAGGCTGATCTCAAACTCCTGGGCTCAAGCAATCTGCCCACCTCTGCCTCCCAAAGTGCTGGGATTACAGGTGTCAGCCACCATGCCTGGCTCCCGTCTCTCTCTTTTTTTTTTTTTTTTTTAAGACAGAGTCTCGCTCTCTCTCCCAGTCTGGAGTGCAGTGGCGCGATCTTGGATCACTGCAAGCTCCACCTCCTGGGTTCACGCCATTCTCCTGCCTCAGCCTCCCGAGTAGCTGGGACGACAGGTGCCCACCACCACACCCGGCTAATTTTTTGTATTTTTAGTAGAGATGGGATTTCACCGTGTTAGCCAGGATGGTCTTGATCTCCTGACCTCGTGATCCACCTGCCTCAGCCTCCCAAAGTGCTGGGATTACAGACGTGAGCCACCGTGCCAGGCCGACTCCCTTCTCTTTCTATCTCACCTCACAGTGTCTCTGCATCCCCATCTCTTAGCACTGTCCTGACTTCTTGGATACCCTGGCCTCATATTTGATCCTCCTGATCTCTGGCCTTTACACTTGCTATTCCCTCCACCTAGCATGCTGTTCCCTCAAATCACCCATGGCAGCCCCTTCTTATTCTTCAGAACTCTGTCCACATGTCACTTCCTCAGAGAGGCCCTCCCAGACCACCCAAAATGAGACAGTAGCTCCACCCCCATGACTCTTTATCCCATCTCCCAATCTGTGTCCTTTATTGCATTTTTCACAGTCTGAATGATGTTTATGTGTTGACCTGCATGCTGTCCATCCTCATAGACTGGAACTTCCTGAGAGTGTCATGAGATCAGATGGCTCTTACTCACTGCTGTGTCCCAGACACCAGCACAGCAGCCTGTGTTTAAAGGTGGTCTGTCAATATTTGTTAACTGACTGGACAGATATGGAAGTGGACGGTTACACTGATAGTTTTTTACAGGGGGACTTGTTGCTTTACCTTTGACTTGTTCCATTGTTCTCATATGTAACGTGGGCCTGACCAGGAAGAGGTGGTGCCTGGACATGACGAAAAACTTTCACACGATCTGTCGGACAACAAACCACATAAGTACCCCTTCTCTATCTGTTATTCTATACCTTCATGGATAAATCACTAGACCTCACGTGGGCACAGGAATTTTGAAATATATTTTTAAACAAATTGCTAATGTAGACAGGGATCCTAAAATATAGACAGACATATAGATAGTCACCTGAGCCCTGCACACTCTACGCATGACTTTGCAATCCATCCTTCGAGGAAGTCTGCAGCGAAGACGGCCCTTCAGAGCTGTGATGAATCGAGTCAAGGGGCTGGACCTTTAGACCCCTGTGTTTACTACCAGTCTTTGGAGATGCAGGGACCGTAGGAAGGGTGACTGGGCAAAGCAGCTCCTGTCAGCCAGGGGCATTTTCTGGAGAGGGTCTCAGCTGTGAGCTCTCAGCAGGCAACCCCCTGGGCAGTGGGGCATGCATGCCTGCTCCTGAAAGGGATGTGGGGGACACATCCCAGCATCTGGTCCAAGCCATGATTCTTTCTCACCCGGGCCATTGTGCAAAAGCTTCCCGACAGGCCTCCCTTCTTCCACGCTTGCCCTATTTACCTATTTTCCACACAGCAGCCAGAGAAAGCCTGTGAAACCCAGGTCAGGTCCTGTGCTTCCTCTGCTCAGAACTCTCCATGGCTCCCGCGTACTCAGAGTAAAACCCGGAGCTTCATGATAACCATGAGGCCCGCAGCTTCTGCCCCCAAGGCTTCTCTGGCCTCACCTCCTGCTGCTCCTCTCCTCACTCGGCCGCAGCTGTGGCTCCCTCCCTGGTTTTCCTGGAACATGCCAGCACACCTGTTGCCGGCTTTGTACTCACTGTTCTTTTGCCTGGAAGGCTCCACCCTCGATGTCATCCTGACCCACAGCCTCAGCTCCTCCAGTCTTGGCTCAAATGGTGGCTTCTCAGCAGGGTCTTCCCTGACCATCCTACTGAAAATCAACAACCACCTTCTGTAGGGGGTGGAACAAGGGCCCCCCATATGTGTCCACATTAAAACCCCTGGGCCCTGTGTGTATGTCCATTGCAAAGGGGCTTTGCTGATGTAGTTAAGTGAAGGATCTTGAGATAGAAAGATGACTCTAGATGACCTGGGTGGGCCCAGTGTAATCACAGGGGTCCTTATAAGAGGAGGGCAGGAAGGTCTGAGTCAGAGGAGCTGTATGACAGGGCAGAGACTGGAATCATGTGCTTGAGGATGGAGGAAGGGGCTACAAGCCCAGGAATATGAGGAGCTTAAAAGAAAATACAGGCCGGGTGCGGTGGCTCATGCCTATAATCCCAGCACTTAGGGAGGCCGAGGCAGGCAGATCACCCGAAGTCAGGAGTTTGAGACCAGCCTGGCCAACTTATACTGAAACCCCATCTCTACTAAAAAATACAAAAATTAGCTGGGCATAGTGGTGCATGCCAATAGTCCCAGCTACTTGAGAAGCTGAGGCAGGAGAATCGCTTGAACCCAGAAGGCAGAGGCTGCAGTGAGCCGAGATCACACCCCTGCACTCCAGCCTGGGCGACACAGC
The DNA here is from genome assembly GCF_000001405.40 of Homo sapiens. NCBI lineage: Eukaryota > Metazoa > Chordata > Mammalia > Primates > Hominidae > Homo > Homo sapiens. Next base: position 47,911,637 of record NC_000020.11, on the reverse strand, counting down.
AAGAGTCTGCCTAAAAAGAAAGAGAGAAAGAGAGAGAGAGAAAAGAAAAAGAGAGAGAGGAAAGAAAAGAAAGAAAGAGAAAGTGAGAAAGAGAGAGAAGGAAGGAAGGAAGAGAAAGAAGAAAGAAAGAAAGAAAGAAAGAAAGAAAGAAAGAAAGAAAGAAAGAAAGAAAGAAAGAAAGAAAGGAAAGAGAAAGAAAAGAAAAGAAAAAAGAAAAATACAAACACTTGAAAACACAAAGAATCCTGCCCTCAGTGCTTCCAGCAGGAGCCAGCCCTGCTGACACCTTGACTTAGCCCGGTAAAACAGACGGCAGACTCCTGACCTCCAGAGCTAGGACAGAGTCCATCTGTGTTGTTTGAAGCTATCAAGTTGGTGGTGATTTGTCACAGCAACCACAGGAAGCTAACACACTCTCCCACATACCTGGAGCTTCCTATCCCCCAGCCTGCTGAATGTCTCCCTGTAGCATGGATTAGCAGCTGACATGCATACCTTTCACTGATTTGTTTATCCCTCTCCACTTACTGAATGTGTGCTCCATAAAAGCAGGAATTCTGTTTGTTGCAAGATCCCCTACATCTAACACAGTGCCTGGCAGATAGCAGGTGCTCAGCAAACATCCTCTGCAATGCTGCATTTGAGTCCTGAGGAGGGGGAAGGAGCAGATCCTGGGATGAGCCAGGGGACAGAGCTCCTGACAGAGGCAGCAGCAAGGGTAGAGTCTGAGTCACAACCAATCCCATCCTTCTAGATGGCTGCTGTAGGACCCATGGATAAACTTCCTCCTGGCCCTGCCTCCACAGAGAAGTCCCTTCAACTGAAGCCATGGAAGCTGAGGACTCACTTAAGAGCCCCTACAGTGAGAGATTAAGAGCATAGACCCTGAAGCCAAGCAGCCTAGGTTCAAATCTCAGTTCTGCCACTCACTGGCTGAGTGACTCTGGGCTAGTTAATTAACCTCTCTGTGCCAATTTCTTCGTCTACAGAATAAGGATAATGATAGTGCCCATCTCATAGGGCTATTGTGAGGATTGAAATAGCTAATGCATTTAGTACAGTGCCTGGCACACAGTACACATGATTCTTATTTGGGTGGAAAAGTCCAGCAAGTTGCAAAGATTGCTAAAAAGCAATGAGAGTATACCGGGTGTCTAAACTGACAAGCAAAGGGTATGATTAAAAGACAAGCCAGGTTGGCAGCAGAACATTCGCTTTCCTTGGCCTGGGCCACAGACAAGGAATTGAAAGGTAGCCTGGCAACGATTCTAGAAAAATTAATCACCCCTGCTGCCTTCCTGCCCCTGCCCATCCCATTTAATCTGCACTCTCCCGCCCCCTACCCTACCCCTAAAGGGATCCTGGAGCCTCCTGTTGCACAGGCCGGGCTGTGACATTCACAACACACCCCAGCTGGGCCCAGCGAGTTGTTTTCCAGCCCCATCTGCCCAGACACAGCCCCGTGAAGAGAGGGCCGAATGCAGAGCCAGGGCTGTGTTGACTGCAGAAGGGACGGAAGAAAATAGATGGGGTGCGGTCTGCACAGTGGGCGTTGGTGCATCGTGTGAGTCTCATATGTGGCTTCCCTCCAACAAGCCCCCTGCAATCCCTGCCAGATGTAAGGAGTAGGGGGAGGGCTGAAAGTGGGGTTTCCCCCAGAGGCAGCAGAGCTAAGGAGGGGCCCGGGCTGTAGGGACCTGTGTACAGGGCATGAGATGTCACCGGGGGCTTCCTACATGAGACACAGTGAGTCATCAGGGTGCAGGGTGGAGGCTCTGAAGGAAGAGCCCAGGGGAATATGGGAAAGAGGTGACATGAGAATCCATCAGCCACCACCCCAGTCCTTCCCTCCTCTGTCCAGGAGCAGGGCCAGGGCCCAGGAGACAGGGTGAGCTTTCTGCAGGAGGGACACCGGCCCTGAGAGGAACCCAGGTTGTCATAGCCACACAGGACACTGCAAGCCAGGAGCAGTGACAACACCCATAGAGCAGGGGCATCAGAAGGGGGCGGAAAGAGGCTTGTCACCCGAGGGCTGTGAGCATGTGTTTGCAGTGACCAAGGGGAAACAAAGCAAGTGACGGAGACACTTTCTCGTCAGCAGTGGTTCCCTCTGCAGGTCTCCAGGGACAGTGGGTCTGGGTGGCGGGAACACTGGAGGGCTGTCACGGGTGCCGCATCAGAATGTCCCCTTCTACCCTGAGCAGCAGGCAGTCCCCTCCAGGATTCCACGTCATCAGCCTCTGGCCCGAAGGTTTCCCAGCAGCTCACTTTCGCCATTTTGGGTGACTTGGGCTGGCATTGGCATCTACATCTGTGCACTCCTGGCCCCTGGTGGGTGTGACCTGGGCCCTCCCATCAAACATGCTTCAATTCCGTCCTACACAGCCTAAGGCCTGGCCCTGGCCCCTCATGCACAGACTCAGACGACACACTTGGGATCCAGGCACTAAGACGCTGCACGTGGCCCCATCCCAGTGTCTCAGAGGGAAATGAGGCTTGAATTTCTCCTGGGACACTGGACACCCCACATCTCACGGCGCTACATAAGAGGATGCTTGGCCCTGCATCCTCCCTGCAATAACCATCATTTTATAAGGCCAGAAGAAGTGGAGAAGGCGCGGCCCACGGGGCAGCCATGTGTTCAAAAGCAGCCCCCACCCACACACAAGCAGCCCTCAGAGGTACCAAGGCAGCTCCAACCAGCAGGTAAAACAGGTGGCTGGAATGTGCAGAGCCAGCCCAGATCGCAGCCTGGATCTCAATTTGCAAGAAAGAACTTGCCAGTTTAAGCAGCTGCCATGAGTCCGGGTGGCTTGGCAGTTTCTCCTGGAGGCTGTTCTCAGAGCCAGACCGGGGGCGGGGGCTCCCCTTGGCCTCTGTGGGCCCCCGCAGTCTGCACCGAGCTTGGAGTCACCAGGCTGATTTCACGGATGTTTATGGAGCCTGCAGGAGACCATAGCTTAGTGTGTCCCCTGCTAATTAAAGGACAACGGCCAGTTGTTCCCCGTCAGAGATTATAAAGGATGATTGCTTAGGTCCCCAGGGAGTGGATGGGAGCGTATCAGATGCCAAAACCTGGTGCCTGCCACCTGGCATTCTTTGGAAGTGACCCTTTGAGGCGCATTGGCCATTATCGGGGAGATGGGTATTGGGGAGCCTCCCTCTCTGCTCTGGGGGCTCAACTCTGCCCACATAGGGCAGGAGGACAATGTCCTGAAGCTGTGCCTGTCCTTGCCCAAGGAGGGTTGGGGGCTTTGCAGGGGGGTATGTGAATGCCTGCAGGCCTGGGGGTCAGGGGACCCATGCAGGGCTGGAAGAGGGGTTCTCAGCCACAGGACAGCCCTGCTTCAGCCAGTGAAGCCATGTGTGGAAATACGGCTCAGCATTGTTCAACCTTCCAGCAGCCAGGACACCCTGGGTTTGAGTCCCTGCTACAGATAAAAGAACCGAATCCGACCATTTTCTCCAGCCATTCTCAGACTCTGCCTCTCTCCCCAGCCCCTCCACCCCTGTGTTCAAGGAAGGCAGAGCCCAGAACCTGTCATGTGGGACCTTGGGCTTTCCACGGCCTGATCAGTGCTAGTCCCTGGGGAGCACTTTGGGAGACACATTCAGATTCTCTCGAATGCCTCATACCCGGACTGCAATCCCCCATTCCACCAGCGATTTCAGGACCATGTGGGAAATTTCATCAAATTTGCAAGTGTGTTGTTTCTCCTTTTACCCCCATTCTATCTGTGAGATGCTCTAGAATTCACCAGATGTAATATATCTTTGGGATGAATATTCTATGTTAAGTCCTTTGAAAGCAATCAACAACTGTAACCCAATTACTATTGGCTGTATCGTTCATGCCCTTTTGCCCCAAACCTCATCCTACCTGTGCACCAAGCTCACCACATACACACACACACACACACACACACACACACACACACACACACCACAGCAGATGCCAATTTTGTGCCTCGCTGCCTCACATAACTTGGGAGCATTGAGTAGTGAACAGCTGATCTCCATGAATTAACGTGGGAGGTCCTGTGGGCCCTGAAGCTTTCACACTCACAAACCGGTGTCGGGATGGGTTGTCATGGAGATCAGGTGGCGGGACACCAGGGCTCCCCCAAGGACTCCGGGCCTCCTCTAACGAGCAGGTCACATGGGGATCTGGGGGAGGCATAGGCACGAACTGCGTATTAAATACACCTGACTCACTGTGTCTGTGAGTGCGTGGGCATGTGTGGGTGTGGGAGAGTGCATGTAGGAGTGAGCATGTGTGTGAGCGTACATATAAGTGTGTCTATGTGTGTGTGTGCATATGAGTGTGTCTGTGAGTGTGTATCAGTGTGCATATATGTGTGGGCATTGTATGCATGCATGTGCATGAATGTATATGTGTGAGTGTATCTGTGTGTGAGCACGTGGATGCATGAGTATGTGGGGGCATGTGTATCTGTGTGTGCATATGTGTAAGGATGTTAGTTTGCATGCATATGTGTCCAGATCCCACATGGGATGAAAATTCAATGGCTCCGAAGATCTGCTGGACACATTTCAGATCCTAACAGAGCTCTTAAGCTCCAAGGGGTCATTGAATGGACAATGAGTGTTTGAGTCCAGGTGGCACGGACTCTAGGAAGGCAGCTCCTAGAGCTTCATAAATAACCCCTCACCCCCTTTCTCTCCCTCACAGTCACCCACCCCTACCCACGTCCCTTCCTCTCCCCATCTCTGTTTGCCTTGCAAGCCTCTCCCATTCCCGGTCTCATTTCTTGCATGTTCATCACTTCATCCTGCAGTTCAATTCCCCTCCAGCCCTCAGCATGGACTGTGGGATGAGAGAGCCACAGCCTTATCCCTGACGTAACCAAAACTCTTGGCACCAGCTTAGACCTGTTTCTCAGTCTTATAAACGGTCTCAAATCAGGGAAATGTAAGGTTCTGAGGAAAATGATCACTACTAGGTGATTCCCCTTTGTGTTACCGTAAGGCGGTGAGACAGAGATTCTCTAACGTTTTTAGTGCAACCCACCTAAAAACACATTGCAAACTGCCACCCACCACACACAAGCACATCCATTTATACAGATACGCAGCACGTTTACCCAAACGACACTCACCCTCGCTGCACACAACGCGCTCTGATGCCTCCTGACCTAGTCTATTCTGGTTCTATTGCAGATTTTCAATGCCGGGCTTGACACTCTAAATTGATTTCAAGACCCACTAATGCATCACAGCCTGTGATTTGATAAACCACGCTAAGACACATCCTGTTGTGAGGTGTTCGATCTAGAGGCCGTTTATCCTGCAGTGAGCGGGGGAGGGGGGGCAGGATTCACCCTGAGGCGCGCCTCCTCCTTCTCAGTCGGGCAGGGAGGAGGGGGCTCTGTGCCATGGGACCCACAGAGGTCCTGGTCTCAGGGTTCATGCCCTGTAGCTGCTGTGTGTCCAGCAGCTGGCAGGGCAGGAAGGTTGGGGGTGGGGGTGTCACTCCCACAGGCACACAGTAACCCGCAGAACCCTGGCCTAAAGCTGCTTAGCTCTGTGGCCTCTTGAGCCCACCTGGGAGCAGGCCCTGGAGGACAGCTGTTGGGGGCAGGGACTCCCAATGCACAGTACAGGCCATGAGCTGGGCAAGCTGCTCCTTCCCATAACGTCAGACCCTTCTTCTGACCCACCTAGGACCAGTTCCTGGGAGTTTGCAGGCAATCCTGGGCCCAGAGAAGCAGGCAGATGCGGCTGTTGATAGCACTACTGTGGGTTGTGAATATCATCCTGTGGTTATTACTTTACTTTCATTACCCGCCAGTACACTCGATCCTGCACGTGTCCCCTCACTTCACGCTCACGGGGTTTGCATGATGGGACGAGCGCTCCCAGTAGGTGATGAGGGTGATAAATGGCACCTGACATTCCTGGAGCACCTGTTGGCGCCCAGGGCGGGGCTTAGTGCTCCATTTGAGTCTGGAGTCTTTACTCTGCCATAGCAGCTGTGTGACCCCCGGTAAGTGGTTTAACCTTTCTGTGCCTCTTCTTTCTCAACTCTAAAGGTGGATAATAAAGTCCCTGCCCTCAGGCAATCAAAGATGTGTTAGAAGGGCTTGGCACATGGCAGGCAGACAGTATACATGGTTGGGATTAACCCCACTATACAGATGAGGAAACTGAGGCTCAGAGGCACTGGCCTGGCAGGCAGTGGGACCTGCACCCAGGCTCGTCTGACACTGAGCTCTTTGGCCTCCCTCCTTTACTGCTGCCTTCAGAAGAGACAGAGGAGAGGGCCACCCCCTCACACGCACACAGGGGCTGACCATCCAAGGTCGCCAATCACCTGGCTGCGAGCAGCCCTGCTCCCACGGGGACACTGACCGCTCCGAGTGCCCGGCATTCAGGCCTCGAGCCACCCACTCTGCACTGCACGGGGCCTCCTTGGAACGCGTCCCTCCCCAGAGGCTGTTTCTCTGTGGGATGGCGCTGCTCTGTGGGGAGGACCCCACCTCCCTCCTTCATGACGACCTGCCCTCACCTGGCTCGTCTCTTGGCAGACGCTGTCCCACACGTCTCTGTCATTTCCATGCCACCATGGTGACAGTCTTCCTGGCCACGGGTGTGACAGGGCCTTTTAGTTTCTGACTGACACAGTCACAGCCCGATTTCACCTGATTCCACTTACAAAGGCAGGTTTCCCTTCCCAGCCTCACATGGGGGTGGTCTCCGTGGAGTTCAAGAGGCTGTGGGCTGGGAGGAGGGGCAGCAAAGAACCCCAGCACACCCCAAGCAGGAGGGGGCAGCGTCCATCCGGCCATCTGGAGACAGCCAAGACCCTTGGCCACTGCAGATCCCCCCACTGAGCCTGGGCCTCCACCCCCACTTCACACTGGAACAGATGCTGGAGGGGCAAACCCCAAATACCCTCCCTAACCAGAAACCAAAATACTGAACTCCACCAGATCCCAGCCCAGCCTGGCCAGATAGTCTGACTTTCCAACGAAGTCGAAAATACAGATTTTTAGAATTAAAATGTAAATGCTGGCAACTAATTCAAATTCAATTGTGTGGTGGGTTTTTTTTGTTTTTTGTTTTTTGTTTTTGCATGGAGGGCTTTCTGGTGAAAACCAGACCCCACCTGGGAGCAGGCCCCGGGGGGACGGCTGTGGGAAAAGGGGACCCCTTCCCCACAAGTGCAAAGAACAGGCCACGAGCTGGCACAGATGCCTCTTCCCGAGCCCACCTGGGAGTGACAACCGGAAAACGTGCTAGACAAATTCTAAAAGAGCTGTAACACCTTACATTATTTTAAAAGTCCCCAGGTTGAGTTAATCCCAGACCCTTTACAGCTTTTTCCTTCTGATTGGTGAGGCCTCAGCTCAAATGTCACCTCCTCAGAGAGGCCCTCCCCCATGGCCCTATTTAAGTAGCTCCCACCAGAGTCTCAGTCAGCGACACGCACCCTTCATTTCCTTCTTGGCGCTGACCCCTACCTGCAAGTGCCTCGTCATTTGCGGTTGGCATCTGCACTGTCCGTCTCCACCAGCACTTAGGCTCCGTGAGGACAGACGCACGTCGCCTTGTGCCCTGGTGAATCCCAAATCCCTGCCCTGAGCGCAGTGCCTGGCACAGAATAGACACAGGCAATGAGTGCTGCTGAAAGTTCCCCATGGAGCCAGTGGTGATCTGTCCAGGCTCTACAGCCCTCCCGCTAAACGTGTTCAGAGACGGGGACGCTGGGGCCATCCTCCTTGCTCCACTCCTGGTGAAGAGCCCTCAGACCCATAAGATGGGCTTGTCCATATCACCTTCTCAGGTGAGCCTCATACATAAGCAGGTTCAGTGGGTTAACCAAGCCTACATCTTTAACCCACGTGATAACCACAGTACCAGGTTTCTGCCATCAAATCTTTTCTATCCTCAGTCCTGCCTTGGGAATTCAGACTCACCCAGAATTCAGAGTTTCACAGACTCAGAAGAGAATGTGATGCTAGATTGTTCTGAAATGTTTGGTTTTAAAGCAAGATCAAATGATTACATTTGTGATCTGAAATCATTTGATTGTATCAAGCCATATCCCCTTCCAAATTATTTTCTTTAAATTCTCCCCAGAACGGGGAGCAGTATTAATTGTTTCCAATGAAAAGACTGCCCCTTTCATCAAAGCCATGAGCTTTATCTGCTGTTTTTGAATATAACACTGGCTTAGTGAAAGTTGATTGTAAATAGCAGGACTTCTTTCTGTATTTTATCCTTCCAAATGTGCTAGTTGCAATAAAGAAGTGAAAAGTTTAAAAATCCTCTCTTGTAAATGTTTGGAAATTGCACTAGAGTTATTTCTTGCTCTTTGAGGGGAGAGGTCACCCTGCAAACATACAGTCACACCTGTTCGGCTCCCCCGGGTTTTGAATGTCACTAAACCCCCACTTCCCCCCTACCTTGGCAGGTCAGACTCTGTGAAGGATGCTCACTGTCTGTACGACCTCACACCAGGCACAGGGACTGGGGGAAAGAGACACATCTGGCTTGTGGGACATTCCTGCAAGGCCAATTTTCTGGTAGGGAGGTGACACCTGCAAAGGAATCTCTCATTTCTCCCAGCTCCAGCCAGTTTCAACAACAGGTGGGGTTTTCTTTCCTCTCAATTGTTATAGATTTCTTTTCTAATAATCAAAGTCATGACTCATTTTGAAAGTTTTTAAAAATAGAAGAAAAGATTTTAAATCACACGTGATACCAACACCAAAGATAAGCAGCATTCGCATTTTGCTATGTAGTGCTCCTGTTAGACATACACACACATATGATCACACTTACACACTTATGCATTTTTGCTTCATTAAAATAGAATAAAGCTTTATGGGCCAGGTGCAGTGGTTCATGCCTGTAAACACAGGCGGATCACTGAAGGTCAGGAGTTTGAGACCAGCTTGGACAACATGGTGAAACCCTAGCTCTACTAAAAATACAAAAAAATAGCTGGATGTGGTGCATGTGCCTGTAATCTCAGCTACTCAGAAGGCTGAGGCAGGAGAATTGTTTGAACCCAGGAGGCGGAAGTTGCAGTGAGCCGAGATCTCACCATTGCACTCCAGCCTGCACAACAGAGTGAGACTCTGTCTCAAAAAAAAAAAAAAAAAAGAAGAGCTTTGTTTACACTAAACAATATTTTGTGTCCATATTTACACATAGATAACAACAGATCACTATCATTTTTGGTATGGGCATATGTAGATATAAGTATTACATGAATTTCCTACTTTTTATCCAGTTATGGTCATATCACCTATCAGTGATTTAACTTCAGCCAAGACAGAAGTTTATCTCATGAAAACCAAGACTGGGCCGGGCACAGAGGCTCACGCCTGTAATCCCAGCACTTTGGGAGGCTGAGGTGTTTCACTTGAGGTCATGAGTTCGAGACTAGCCTGCTCAACATGGTGAAACCCTGTCTCTACTAAAAATAAAAAAAATTAGCTAAATATGGTGGCACGCACCCGTAATCCCAGCTATTCGGGAGGCTGAGGCATGAGAATCACTTGAACCCAGGAAGCGGAAGTTGCAGTGAGCTGAGATCACGCCATTGCATTCCAGCCTGGGCAACAGAGCAAGAGTCTGTCTCAAAAAATAAAAAAGTAAAAACAAAACTGGAGGTTCTCAGTCTAGGGTGGCGTTAGGGACTTTCATTTCCTTCCAGAGGACATTCTGCTATCCGCAGGGTAGAAGCCTAATCCTCAAGGTTCAAGGTGACAAGAATAGCTCCAACCATCATACGCTTATTCCAGGAAGCAGGTCAAAGGATGGAACAACTAAGAAATGACATTAAAGATATGTGTCAGTCCATCTGCGTTGCTATAAAGGAATACCTGAGGCTGGTTATTTATAGAAGAGAGGTTTAATTGGCTCACAGTTCTGCAGGCTGTACAAGCATGGCACCAGCATCTGCTCCTGGGGAGGCCTCAGGAAGCTTCCAATCATGGCAGAAGGTGAAAGGGAAGCAGGTACATCACATGGCGAGAGAAAGAGCAAGAGAGGGAGGAGGATGTGCCAACCCCTTTAAACAACCAGATCTCCCATAAACTCAGAGCAAGAATTCAGTCATTGCCATCAGGATGGCACCAAGCCATTGTGAGAGGGATCTGCCCACATCACCAAAACACCTCCCACCAGGCCCCACCTCCAACATCAGGGATCACATTTCAACATGAGATTTGGAGGGGACCAACATCCAAACCATATCAAGACAGAAGTTACAGAAGGGGGTCTCCAAAAATACCACCCAACACTTTTATTGCCTCCCATTGGCCAGAACCTGGTCACATGGCCACAACTCACTGCAAGGAAGCCTGGGAAAATGTAGCCTGTGCCCGCCCACTAGGAGAGGGGAGCACTGGTGCCAGGGTGTGGGACCACCAGTGGGCATTTATGCTTCCTACTTCTTTCTTCTTATAAAAATCCTTGAGATTCATCTTTGCATATTTTTCTGACTATTTCCTAGGGATCAATGCCTATAAATGAAATTTGGGACCAAAAGTTACTCACCTTCATTGGCCAGTTGCAAAATTGCCCTCTAGAAAAGTTGTACCAACGAACTCACCCAAGAGGTGGGGTTCTATTTCATGAAATGTTTCTCCACCCCACATTTCCTTTTAATCCACACCCTTTGGCCTTTATTAGGCTTAGACATCTCTTCAGAATCCGTGCTTCCTACATCATAATCTTGGGATTCAATACATGTTTTTCATTCGGGTTATTATTAATATCAGATTTATCTAACTATGCGTGAACCCAGCCACAGCCTTAGGGAAAGAGATGTATCTTTCAGTGCTGAAGAGAATAAAAATGAATAATCCTCAGAGACTTTGAAACTGAAGTGGGCAGGCAAGGGTGGAAAGAACAGATCTCATTCTACGAAGTGCATGGAGGGATATTCACAGAGCATGTAGTGCTGAGTAGAGCGGAACAGGCACCCGGGGACACCCAGAGAGCAGCCTTTCCTCAACAGAAAAGGAGTGAGCACCACACAGAGCTGCAGAAAGGGAATCCCAGACAGGGGTAACAGTAGATGCAAAGGCCCCATGGCAGGCACCAACTTGTCCAGGTTTGCCCAGAACTTTCTCAGTTTTAACACTAGAAATCCCATATCCCAGGAAAATTCTGAGTCTCAGCCAAGCTGGGATGATTTGCCTGAAACTGCCCTGTTATAAAACTGAGAGGTCTGTGCCCCATGACCCTCCTCAGTCCTGAGCAAGCTGAGGCAGTGGGTCGCCCTAGACTGGAACGACATGCATGATGGTGGGAAGAGCCAGTGACTCTCTTTCATGTCCTCTCTCCCCTCAACCTCAGGAGTCACCCAGGTGGGCACTGGCATCCAGGATGAAAACTTCCCAGCACCCCTAGCAGCAAGCAGTGGCCACGTGACCAGGCAGTGACCAATGCACATGAGGCCAGTGCACAGCAACTGCCATTAGAGGAAGGAAGATTTGTGTCCTCTTGTTCTCTTCTCCCCTCCCTGCTGGCTGGCAGTAGATAGGATGGACACTGTGGGGGAAGCTATACCCTAAGGAAGTCAGAGCAGCAAGATGGAAGTAGCCTAAGACCCTGAAAAATGCACAGAGAAGAATGACCCGACTGGCTTGGACTTTCATGTGAAAGGAATGAACCTCTGTCTTAGTAAAGCCACCGTCATTCAGGGTCCTTGTCACATTCACTGAGGCTGTAACATAATTGTTAGAAAGAACAGGAGCGGGAGGGGGGATGGAGTCGGAGAGGCAGGCAGAGGTCAGATCACATCGGGCCCGTAGGCCAAGGCGGAGGAAGAAACAGGCAACATAGGACTCAAGGACCACACCTGCTCCCAGGCAAAGGGAGTTTGCTGTGGGTGCCCCTCTCTGTCTGTGTGTCCAGTGTGTGGATATTCTTTATACCTTGCCCATATTGTACAAATACTTTTTTCTATTCAATATTTAGAAGACATTGCATTAAATAGCAAGATGGCAGATGAACATCAGGAAGGAACATTAGGGACATCCACAGTGTTCCATCCAGGAACCTTCACCGTGGAAACCCTTGTGCTCATGGGCGTGGTCTCAACACACAGTCAGCTGTTGGGGATCAGAGGCCGCACTCACCGGAGCAGTGAGGCAGAACTAACTGGGAGAGGGTCCTTCTGTGACACCTACTGCATCACCGGGCTGTGTGAAGTGACTCAGCTGCCAGAACTCACACAATATCATTCTACACCAAAACCTCATGGGAAAAATGGTAAGTTCTCAGTTTCTCCATTAATAGCAACTCTCAGATTAATCGCTGTCCTCCATCGCTTCTCCATGAAACAACTTTTTATAGCTTTGCTTGCGTCTATTTTTCCATTTTTTTTAATTTTGCTAACTGATTGAAAGATATATATTGTGTGTGTGTGATTTTGTCTCTGTCAGCCAGGATAATCATGGTTTAATTCTTATTATTTTTATTACCAACATCCTTTAGTTTTTTAAGCTTTTCAATTCCTAAGGGTATTAATCAAGATCTTTCTGTCTCATGAGACACAGAAAACAAATCCAAACTGTGTAAGAGGAAAAAGAATGCATTCATCACTAGCATTGAGGAGTTCCCAAGCTTAGCTTGCTTGGGGTACAGCTACGTCTACCATTTCCAGGGTCATCCTGTAACTCTCTCTCTCTGCTTCCCCAACTTTGGCTCCATGTTTAGCTCCACGACCCTCAGGCTTAAACAGCTGTACTGGCCGCTCCCCAGATCTCCAGCTCCCTGACCCTCAAACTCCAACTGCAGCACCAGCTCCGCCCCGGGTCTCCAGCTCCACAATCCTCAAACTACAACAGCAGCACCAGCTCCCCTGTGGATCTCCAGCTCAATGACTCTCAGACTTGGGAGGCGGCACCGGCTCCCCACCAAGCCTCCAGCTCCACAACCCTCAAACTAGAAAGCAGCACCGGCTACTCCCTGGGTCTCCAGTTCCCTCAAACTTCAGCTATAGCACTGGCTCTTCCCCGTGGCCACCAGCTCTGCAAACCTCAACTTACACAGTGGTAGCACCAGCTCCTCCCTAGGTCTCCAGCTACACGACCGTCAAAATTGAACTGCAACACCAGCTCCTCTTTGGCCTCCAGCTCCACAATCCTCCAACAACAACAGCAACACCGGCTCCTCCCTGAATCTCCAGCTCAACAACCCTCAGACTTGAGAGGCAGCACCGGCACCTCCCCAAGACTCCAGCTCCATGACCCTCAGATTTGAACAGCGGTAGCACCAGCTCCTGTCCAGGTCTCCAGCTTCACGATCCTTAAACTAGAACAGCAGTACCGCCGCCTCCGTAGGTTTCCAGTTCCATGATCCTAAGACATGAATGAAAGAACTGGGTCACCCCAGGGCTCCAACTCCAAGACCCACAGATTTGAACGGCAGCACCGGCTCTTCCTGGGATCTGCAGCTCCACAGCCTTCAAACTAGATCAGCAGCTCCGACTCCTCCCTGGGTCTCCAGCTACACAATCCTCAGACATGAACAATAATAGCACCGGCTCCTCCTTGGGTCTCCAGCTTCACTACCCTCAGACTAGAACAGCAACACCAGTTCCTCCCTGGGTCTCCAGCTCTACAATCCTCAGACATAAACAGCAGAAGCACCAGCTCCTACCCTTGTCTCCACTTCCACGACCCTCAAACTACAACAGCAGTACCGGCCTCTCCCCAGGTCTCCAGATCCATGACCCTCAAAATAGAATGGCATCATCGGATCCCTCCTGGGTCTCCAGCTCCCAAACCCTCAAACTTCAATTGACACACCGGATGCTCCCCACAGTTAAACAGCAGCACGGGCCGTTCCCAAAAGCTCCAGATCCACGACCCTCTGACTTAAATGGCAGTAGCACCGGCTCCTCCCTAGGTCTCCAGTTCCACAACCCTCAAACTACACAGCAGCACCGGCTCCTCCCCAGGTCCACAACTCCACCACCCTCATACGAGACACCAAGACTACCTCCTCCCCGCTCTCCAGCTACACGACCCTCAGTCTTGAACAGCAGCAGCTCCTCCCTGTGCCTCAAGCCCCATGACCCTCAGACTTGAACAAGAACAACACCATCTCCCCCCAGGGCTCCAGCTCGGGGACCCACAGATTTAAACAGCAGCACCGGCTCTTCCTGTGATCTCCAGCTCCACTAACCTCAAACTAGAATAGCAGCACCAGCTCCTCCTTTGGTCTCCAGCTTCACTACCGTCAGGCTAGAACAGCAACACCGGTTCCTCCCTGGGTCTCCAGCTCAATGACTCTCAGATTTGAAAGGCAGCACCGGCTCCTCACAAAGTTTCTGGCTCCAAGGCCCTCAAACTAGAATAGCAGCAGCTGCTGCATCTTGGGTCTCCAGCTCCACAATCCTCAAAGTAGAAAAGCAGCCCTGGCTCCTCCCCGAGTCTCCAGCTCCTCAAGTCTGAGGGTTGTAGAGCTGGAGACCCGGGGAGGAGTCAGTGCTGCTGTTCTACTTTGAGGGTCGTGGATCTGGAGACCCAGGGTGGAGCCGGTGCTGCTGTTCTAGTGTGAGGGTCATGGAGCTGGAAGACCCCGGGAGGAGCTGCTGCTGCTGTTCTAGTGTGAGGGTCATGGAGCTGGAAGACCCCGGGAGGAGCTGCTGCTGCTCTCCTAGTTTAAAGGTCATGGAGCTGGAGACCCGGAAAGGAGCCATTTGAACAGCAGCACTGGCCTCTCCCCAGGTCTCAGGCTCCACGACCCTCAGACTTAAAAAGCTGTAGTACGGGCTTCTCCCTGGGTCTCCAGCTCTACAACCCTCAGACATGAACAGCACCACCGGCTCCTCCCCCTGTCTCCAGTTCCACGAACCTCAAACTACAACAGCAGTACCAGCCTCTCCCCAGGTCCCCAGATCCACGACCCTCAAAATAGAATGGCATCATCAGCTCCTCCCTGGGTCTCCAGCTCCCAAACCCTCAAACTTCAATGGACACAGCACATCCTCCCCACAGTTAAACAGCAGCATGGGCTGTTCCCCAAAGCTCCAGATCCATGACCCTCTGACTTAAATGGTGGTAGCACCAGCTCCTCCCTAGGTCTCCAGTTCCATGACCCTCAAACTACACAGTAGCACCGGCCCCACCCCAGGTCCACAGCTCCACCAACCTCACATTAGACACTAAGACTACCTCCTCCCCACTGTCCAGCTACACAACCCTCAGCCTTAAACAACAGCAGCACCAGCTCTTACCTGGGTCTCCAGCACCACAACCCTCAGCCTTAAACAACAGCAGCACCAGCTCCTCCCTGTGTCTCAAGCTCCACAACCCTCAGACTAGAACCGCACCCCTCCTCCCTGAGTCTGCAGCTCCATGACCCTCAAACTACAACAGCAACACAGGCTCCTCCCTGAATCTCCAGCTCAACAACTCTCAGACTTGAGAGGCAGAACCGGCAACTCCCCAGAACTCTAGATCTGTTCAGACTAGAACAGCAACACCGGTTCCTCTCTGGATCTCCAGCTCAGTGACTCTCAGACTTCAAAGGCAGCACCAGCTCCTCCGTGGATCTCCAGATCCACAACATTCAAACCAACATGGCTCCTCCCTGGGTCTGCAGCTCCACGACCCTCAAACTAGAACAAGACCTCTCCTCCCTGGGCCGCCAGCTTCCTGACCTTCAAACTACAACAACACTGCTCCTCCCTGGGTCTGCAGGTCCATGACCCTCAGACCAGAACAAGACCTCTCCTCCCTGGGTCGCCAGCTTCCTGACCCTCGAATTACAACAACCTTGCTCCTCCCTGGGTCTGCAGCTCCACAACCCTGAAACTAGAACAAAATTTCTCCTACCTGAGTCGCCAGCTTCCTGACACTCGAACGACAACAAAATTGCTCCTCCCTGGGTCGGCAGCTCCACGACCCTCAAACTCGAACAAGACTTCTCCTCCCCAGGGTGCCAGCTACCGGACCTTCAACTTACATCAACATTGCTCCTCCCTGGGTCTGCGGCTCCACGACCCTCAAACCAGAACAAGACCTCTCCTCCCTGGGTCGCCAGCTTCCTGACCCTCGAACTAAAACAACAATGCTCCTCCCTGGGTCAGAAGCTCCACGACCCTGAAACTAGAACAAGACCTCTCCTCCCTGGGTCGCCAGTTTCCGGACCCTTGAACTACAACAAAATGGCTCCTCCCTGGGTCTGCAGCTCCACGACCCTCGAACTCGAACAAGACTTGTCTTCCCCAAGTTGCCAGCTACCAGACCCTCGAACTACAACAACATTGCTCCACCCTGGGTCTGTAGCTCCACGACCCTCAGACCGGATCAAGACCTCTCCTCCCTGGGTCGCCAGCTTCCGGACCCTCAAATTACAACAAAATTGCTCCTCCCTGGGTCGGCAGCTCCACGACCCTCACAATAGAACAAGACCTCTCCTCCCTGGGTCGCCAGCTTCCGGACCCTTGAACTACAACAAAATTGCTCCTCCCTGGGTTGGCAGCTCCACGACCCTCAAACTCCAACAAGACTTCTCCTCCCCGAGTTGCCAGCTGCCAGACCCTCGAATTACAACAACATTGCCCCTCCCTGGGTCTGCAGCTCCACGACCCTCAGACTAGTACAAGACCTCTCCCTGGGTCGCCAGCTTCCTGACCGTCGAACTACAACAAAATTGCTCCTCCCTGCGTCTGCAGCTCCACGACCCTCACACCAGAAGAAGACCTCTCCTCCCTGGGTCGCCAGCTTCCTGACCCTCGAACTACAACAAAATTGCTCCTCCCTGGGTCTGCAGCTCCACGACCCTCAGACCAGAACAAGACCTCTCCTCCCTGGGTCGCC
Organism: Homo sapiens; assembly: GCF_000001405.40. Classification (NCBI taxonomy): domain Eukaryota; kingdom Metazoa; phylum Chordata; class Mammalia; order Primates; family Hominidae; genus Homo; species Homo sapiens. The sequence goes on along the minus strand of NC_000020.11, from coordinate 47,894,820 downwards.
AGCTTTCTGACCCTCGAACTATAACAACAATGCTCCTGCCTCAGTCTGCAGCTCCACGACCCTGAAACTAGAACAAGACGTCTCCTCCCTAAGTCTCCAGCTCCAACACCCTCAGATCTGAGCAGCGGCAGCACCAGCTCCTTTCTGGGTCTTCTGTTTCACGATCCTTAAATTAGAACAGCAGCACCATCTTCTCCCTGGGTCTCCAGCTCCACGAAACTCAAGCTAGAATAGCAGCACCGGCTCCTCTGGGATCTTCAGCTCCACGACCCTAAGACATCAGTGGCAGCACCGGCTCCTCCCCTGGACTCCAGCTCCAGGACCCTCAAACTTGAACAGAAACACCAGCTCCTCCCCAGGCCTCCAGCTCCTTGACCCTCATAAACAATCCCTTCTCATGAAATGTAGCAGTCAGGAAAACTGTAGAGGAAGTAAATAAATAAATGTTTTCCTTTCAAATTGATGTTTCTTTTCTGTTCACGCAAGTCAGAAAACTTTTCTACTTTCCATCAACCTTGCAACCTGCTTGCATTCATTTGTAAGATGGAAATCCATCATTTGAAATAACCTTTAAAAACTTAGTAGTTCTTTTTTACTATGATCTTATCTCACAGCTCTAGAAACGATCTTTCACTTTGCCTGTGCAGAAGTCTTGTGAACATTCAAACTATGAATTTACTTGGTTGAGATTCCTAGAATACACATTATCCCCAGATGTTCCTGCCCTTCTTAAAATCTTCTAACACGTTCCCCTCACCCGAGCATACGTGCCAGGTCCTATCCACAGCCCACAGTGCCCAGCACGGCCCTGCCCTCTGCCCTGACCTTATGGTCTCCCCTCTGCTGTTACTTTCCTCCCAGACAGGCCTCTGTCACTTCCTCAAACCACACAGGTTCAGGCCTGACTCCGGGCCTTTGCCCCTGCTGTGCCCCCTGCATGGAGCGCCTTTCCCCGGCTCCCCATCCTCCTCTCCACCGGCTCAGCTCCAGCCTGCTGGCCGCCCCTCAGTCCATGAACACACGATGTCCTCCCCCCAGGCCTTTGCACATGCTGTTCTCTGTGCCTGAAACCCGTCCCCCCTCACCATCTGCGTTCACTTTTCTAATTTCCATTCATCCTTGGAGTCTCCCCTGAAATATCGCCCCCCGCCTGCCCCCACCACTTGGACTTAACCTTGCTTAGGTTGAAAACCCCCATCTCCTGACTCCAGGAAGCTAGATGCTATCCTGGCACTTGGAACTTTCCCATCACAGCGTTTTGCGCACTCGTAATTTATTCTATTAGGTTGGTGCAAAAGTCATCACAGTTTTGTCATTGCTTTTAATGAATGGCAGCTCCGGCTCCTCCCGCTTTTGATTGCCATTACCTTTACTGGCAAAAGCCGGAATTACTGCTGCATCAACCTAATAGAATAATTTATATTTATTCACCTATCATCTGTCTTCCCCTCTAGAAAGTAAGCTCCATGAGAATAGGGACCAAATCTACTCCAATCACTCCACCTTCCTAGCACATTGTCAATAATTATTCACCGACTGACTGATGGAGAAATATCTTCATTGTTGCTGGGATGAGCCACATAACATGACATGCCCCTTTGAAAGTCAATGTCATGGACAGTTAGCGTTTGCTTTTCACTCCTGCACCCGTGGCTTGGCTGGGCTTAGGCTGATCTAGTCTGGGCTTGACTCCAGGCTGAGGGTTGGAACCCTGCGTGCTCCACACGCCTCTCATCCTGCAGCTGGAGCCGAAGTTCCCTGGGGCACGCTCGTCTCGTGGGAAAAATCAAGAGCATTAGAGGGCAGGCCTGGCAGTGCCAACACATTCCAGGCTTCTGCCTGTGCCGTGTCTATGAAAATCTTGTTGGCATAAGCAAGTTACCCAGCCACGAGCAATACCTATGGGATGGATAAGTCTATCCACCCTCCCTCGGGCCCTGGTAAGGACGTGGATGTGTCATACTCTTACAGGGGTAGTGAAATAGTGAGGCCCAACATTAAATCACCTACAGCAAGATACATCAGCCTCTGTGTCCCCACGCTGGAATCATGCTTCACCAGCAGGTTTACCTGAGCTGACTCCCCTTTGCAATGGTGCCTGCAGGTTTAGGCCAATGCTGTTCCTTGTGGAAGACAGAGAAGCCTCAGTTGGCCTCCGACTGTTGGCAAGAACAACATATTAAGTTGGCACAAAACAACCAGAAGCCCCAGGTGGCCCGTGCCCAGTGAGATAGGAGAGGGGCAGGAAGAACTGTGGAAGCTCAGGGAGGCTCTCATCCCCAGCCCCCTCCCCACTAGTCCCCATCTCTGCTTTCTTTTTCCTGTTTTTTTTTTTGTTTTGTTTTGTTTTTTTGAGACAGGGTCTGACTCTGTCACCCAGGCTGGAGTGCAATGTTGTGATCTTGGCTTACTCCAACCTCTGCATCCCAGGCTCAAGTAGTCCTCCCACTTCAGCCTCCCCAGTGGCTGGGACCAGAGGCACATGCCACCACACCCAGCTAAATGTTTTGTTTTTGTTTTGTAGAGACAGGGTTTTGTTGTGTTGCCCAGGCTGGTCTCGAACTCCTGAGCTCAAGCAATCTGTCCACCCAGCTAAATGTTTTGTTTTTGTTTTGTAGAGACAGGGTTTTTTTGTGTTGCCCAGGCTGGTCTCGAACTCCTGAGCTCAGGCAATCTGCCCACCTACACCTCCCAAAATTCTGGGATTGCAGACATGAGTCACTGAGTCCAGCCTGCTTTATTTTTTTTAACAGTACTTGGAACCTTCTAATGTACTAAGTACACATGTATTTTCTTTTTTTTCCTCTCTTCCCTAGAATAGGAGCTTAACGTGGGCGAGTATTTTTGTTTATCTCATTTATCACCCTATCCCCAGTGGCTGGAATAGCGTCTGGCACATGAATGGTGTGTTCTAAATAAATATTTTTAACAAATAAATGAAATATCCTACAAGAGAAAGCTAGTATTTGGAACTCACCCATCAACAGAACCAAAAAGCCGAAGACCTTCAGCCTGTCCCTACCTCTGAATGCACCCAGCCCCAGCAGATTAAAAACAGGAACAAAGTTGGGGAAGGGAGCAGGTGGTGCCACCCCGACCAAGGACCCCTGAGGCTTAGGCTGAATTTGAGCTGGAGAAGGGACTAACCTAGGAACTGGGCGTGAGATTAAAGTTGAGACTTGTCTGGCCTGGATTTTGTAACACCGAAACATGAGCTATTCCATTCATTTTTGTTTTTGTTTTTTTTGAGACAGAGTCTTGCTCTGTCTCCCAGGCTGGAGTGCAGTGGCATGATCTCAGCTCACTGCAGCCTCCGCCTCCCAGGTTCAAGTGATTCTCCTGCCTCAGCCTCCTGAGTAGCTGGGATTACGGGCGCCCATCACTAGACCCAGCTAATCTTTGTATTTTCAGTAGAGACAGGGTTTCACCATGTTGACCATGCTGGTCTCGAACTCCTGACCTCAAGTGATCTGCCCACCTTGGCCTCCCAAAGTGCTGGGATTACAGACATGAGCCGGCGCCTGGCCATATTCCACTCATTATTAGCAAGTCTGCTATTATAAATCAAGGTGACCAAAATCCTAGGAAAACTTCCCCAGATGTCATCAAGGAGCAGAGACCAGAGACCTATCAGCAGGATGGGGACTAGGGCGAGGCAGGGGAGGGAGGCGCTCATCTCTGGATTATCAGGGTGCAGCAAGTGAGGCATAAAATTTAAGGGGGCACCAAAAAATTCAGGATCAAAATAAATAATATTTTAGTGCAGAATTTTTTTAAAAAGTTAAATTCAATGCAAAAAAAAAAAAAACCCTAATGGGAAAGTTAACAACATTTCAACTAAGACACAATATGACCCTGTATTTGCATGACTTGGCCTCACTCACTCACCCTAATCTGGCCCCTGCCTCACAGAAGCTGCTGGAATGCAGCGGCTAGAGAACAATGAAGCTGTTTTCTGCTCCTATCCAATTCAGACCTTCCATAAAGCAGCTACAGGTGAGACCGTGATGAGCTGCCTATGCCAACCAGGACCACAATCTACCATTAGGACCACAGTGACCGGGTCCATGTTGCCTGTCCCCAGCTGTGCCCGGACGCTTTGGCTTAGAGGCTCAGGCCAGTGCTGCTTCTCCCGTTGACACCGGGCACTCATGAAGAGAAAACAGACAAGGCCGGGCACGGTGGCTCATGCCTGTAATCCCAGCACTTTGGGAGGCTGAGGTGGGCAGATGACCTGAGGTCAGGAGTTCCAGACCAGCCTGGCCAACATGGTGAAACCCCCGTCTCTACTAAAAATACAAAAATGAGCAGGCATGGTGGTGCCCAGCTGAGGCACAAGAATCACTTGAACCCAGGAGGTAGAGGTCGCAATATCGGGCAGCTGCACTCCAGCCTGGGTGAGAAAGTGAGACTCTGTCTCAAAAAAAAAAAAAAAGAGAAAACAGCCTCGGTTATAGGAACTCAGGCCTCCACACAGACACAATCAAGAAGCTTAGTTATTTAAAATGCAGCTAGCTCCGTGTGGGGGTAGGTTGGGGAATGATTCTTATTTTCTACTTTATTCTCTTTCTCTGTTACTTGGCGTCTCTGGCCATGAGCCTGTCATTTCTGTAATTAGAGCACAGATTGTGGGGAGGGGAAGGACAGGCCGCCTGGCAATGTGGTCCTGTTTTTCCTGGACCAGGCTTTGTGTGAGGACCTGTGCCCAGCGGGCAGATTCGGGTCCCTGAGGAAAGAGGAGGAGCCAGGTAGTGGGACATTTGAGGTGACAGCCCTTCCCCAGCTGCCCAGGGCCCGCTTGGCACCAATGGTCATTCCCAGCATGTTGGGTTGGCCTTCGGGGGTCTGGTCAGGACTCTCGGGGCCATCAGGGTCTGGCAGACCCAGTTCTGGGTGTGAAGACACCTGGGGCATCTAGACGCCCTCTCCGGCCACTCACACACCCAGCACTGAGAGGCCACAGCACGTCTGCCCACGCCTCTGTCCTTGTTCACTTGGCAGCTGGCCAGTCATCGTGGACACTGACCGTAGCTCGAGTGTAGGGTCCCCAGGTTTCTGCTGGGCCAGCAATTGTGCCCCTTGTGCTGCTGTATCTTGGGGTGCCAGTACAGGGTCTCCATAGGGATAGAGACAGCATCTCTGCACCAACCAGTGGGCACACAGCTGTGTTTCAGTACAAACACCTGGGCCAGCTGGACAACGCAGCCTGGGCCCAGCAGCTCTGATTTGCCTGAATCCCAGAGTTGGCATGGTGGGGTCATTCTTTCCAGCCAAACCAGAGAGCACGTCCTTGGGCAGGATGAGGAGGGTTCAGAGCAGGTGAATGGAGCTCTGCAGGGAATGACATCTCCTCCAAGAAGTGAGGGCCCTGAAATAAATCCAGGGACACTCTCTGAGCATCCCCAGGGGGCACACTCAGCCTCAGGGAGCAGAGAAATGTCAGCCGGCAAGGATAGGTCTGTGCTCTGCGGATGGGCCAGAAAGAGGGGGTGCAGCAAAGGAATCATAGTCGCAGAGGAGAAAACGGCCAGAGTCACAGCCTGATTTGTCCCTTTCTCACTGGGTGCTGCCAGGAGTCCAGTCCAAGCCAGCGACTCCCGAGCACAGGTATCAAAATGGACTGAGACCCTCTAATCGCCTCCTGGTGTCTTGAGATAGCCTCCTACCCACCGGCCCCCAACACGGGGCCCTGCACTGGCTTCTCCAAGAAGAAACTGGGGGGCTGAGGGGCTGACCTGTGGGGACACCTTTCACTCAGTGCCCGAGAACCTGCTGAATGTTTAACTTATCCTTAAAAAACATGCCTGCCTCTTTGCATGTCTAACTCTCTGTAAGGAGCATGTGTTACTTTGCTAAAGAAGGAAAACATCACTCCAGACCACCTGTGCATTTAGCAAACACCAATTCCCAGCCCAGAGCAGATTTGCTGCTGCAAAAAAGCAAAAGCTCAAAACCCATGTGGAGACTTCAGAGGCCGCCTGGCCCCCAGCTCACCCTTCGGAATGCACTGACGGATGTGCTTGGGGCTGTTTCTTCTTGGTGTCTGGTGTCAGGAAAGAGAAGACACAGGGACACCAGTTGGGGGTTTAATCCCATCAGACCCAATCCTCGGTTCTCTGTGCCCCTTACATTACCCCCATCGAGACGCCGCTGGGGCTGAATGAACCACGAGCTGCTGCCCTGAGCAGGGAGTCAGATCCGTCCTCGGTCAGATGGTTGAAGCCGTGCATGACCTCTAGGGCCCTGCATGGGGATGGGGAGTCACACCTCGGTTTTATCTCACAGCAGGGATGACCCCTCACTGGGCACCCCAGCTCAGACCTCAAGGGAAACAGACCCGGGGGAAGGTGGGTGGAAGGATGGGGCCCCTGGTAGTAGGACTCACAGGGCAAGAGACCCCACCCACTCGGGCGATTCACACTCGGGGTCTTTGGGGCCCTCGCAAGAAAAGTTGGTTCACAGTGAACATAGGTCCTGCCATCCAGGGTCACAATTATCTGCAGCAGGGACAAACACCCACTCCCAAAAGATGAATTCAGTAAGGCAGAAACTTTAGCTCAAGATGAATTTATTGAAAATGATCCTTAGGCTGCCTGACGGAGTTTAAATGTTGTCAAATGCCTTTCAAAGGAGATTTGGTTCTTTATTGCTCTTCCTCAACCATGGGGGCCGGGAAATGATCTTCCCGAGACATGCAGGAGGGAAGCTGAGTTCACCAACACCTTCACCTTCACCCCTGCAAGGCCAGGCCCCCTCGCCACTGCTGCTAACCCAGGTCCCCTTTTGGCAAACCCAGAAAACTCACATTCCCGTTCAGTGTGATTTCAGATCTATACATGAATTAAGTGGGGTGTTTAAAAATGAAGCAATGGGAGTGTTGGGGAAAAAGTATTCTCAGGAAATGTGCATCTTGTGCTCCAGCCACGTGGTCCCCCCACCTCCGACGGCTTCAGGGCAGCTCCGTGGCCAGCTGCGCCTCCTCCCCAGAGTCAGCAGCAAGCTCAGGACATACTGCTTTCTGCAGTTCCAGGTCAGACCCTGGCCCTGGCTCCAGCCCAAGGCCACCTGCATGTGACATCTGGGAGACCCCTTCTTTGTGGCCAGTGATGTCCAAGGATCCTGCAGGGACCTAGAGCCTGTGGTCCCTGAGTCCAACAGAAATGCTGCCTGTGCCAGACAGGTGGCATCAAGCCTGCCATCCAACGCCATGGGCTGCAAGGGTGAACATCTGTGCTGAGTCCGGGGTGTAAGAGAGGCTGTGTCTCTTTCTTTTCTTTAAGTCCACTGCATTGTGACTGCAGCCTCCGTCCCCCTGGGCTGCTAGGAAATGCCATCTCAGCCATTCTTCCTCTCCCAACTTGAGAAGAGGTCCACATCACAGGCCTTGCCAGGGTCTAACGTTGGGAATGAGGGAAGCCAAGCTTTCTGCTCTCAGTCCCTGGTTATCATGAGATGCCACTCGGCCCTTGCAGTCCCTCAGGTGCACTGGGGCGGGCAGTGTAGCGACGATGAGCATAGCATCCAGAAGCGGACTGCCTAGACTCCACGCCACGTGTTGCCACCTATCCCTTGTGCAACCCTGAGCAGTGATTAACCACTCTATGCCTCAGTTTCCTCATCTGTCCAGTGACAGCACCCACCTGCTGAGGAGGTACAGTAAGGTCATAGGAGATGCTTAAACCAATCCCTGGCAAACAGGGGTTCCTCAGGCAGTAGAGGCTGTTCTGTCTGAGGCCCAAGACTGGCAATACCCCTGACACTCTAGGGAACGCAATGCAGGTCTCCGCCACTGTCCAAACACAGGCTTCAGCCAGGTCTCCGCCACTGTCCAAACACAGGCATCAGCCAGGTCTCCACCACTGTCCAAACACAGGCGTCAGCAAGCCTGCGCAGCTCTGCAGAAGGCTCGGCCCACCTGGCTGCTGGCCAAAGGCTCCCACCCTCCTGGACACTTGGGCAAATCTCTTCACTGGTTCAGTATTTTGCAAAAGCCAATAACTTCGGCCTTCTTCGATTCACTTGCCGTTGCCACCCAGTTCCTCCCAGCAGACACCACCCATATCAGTCTTCTGTTGTCACAGTGGTGCTGCATAACAAACCATCGCCCAAACTCAATGGCTTATAACACGAGCTTCTGTCCTCACACTTGGAGTCTGCAGGGTGACTAAGGTTTGGATGATCTGGGGCGGTCTAAGGGCAGCTCTGCTCCAGGCTACGGGTTGGGCTTGGATTGACGACACATGACTTCTTCTAGACCCGGGCACAAGAGGCAGCAGCTCCCCAGGACACACGCTTCTCGTGGCAGTGCACTCACGGCCTCTGCTCACAGTATGTGCGCTCATATTCTGTTGGCCAAAGCAAGTCACATGGCCAAGCCCAAAGTCAGTGGGGCAGGGATGAGTTCTTTAACCACAGTCAGAGAGCGAGGGGATTGACTATCTGCTAAACATTAACCTTAACTTTCACATCACCCCAAACCCTAACTTCTGACATTAGCAAGACTGCCTGCCTGCTTAAAATGGAGGAAAAGAAAAGGGGGAAACAAGAAGAGAAAAAGGTTAATGAATCTTACAAAAAAATTCCCACCAAACCTCCATCCCCACCAGGCTGGCCAAACTGCAACAGCAGACGCTGAAGTTGTTTTAGCCCCAGGAGAGTGTCCTGTGCTGTCACGTGATCTCTCCCATCCATCATTCCTCCCCTCGGCATCCCCACCACACAGGCCTGGCTAAGAGGGCCAAGCCCCTCCAGGATCTCCAAGACCCTGGTGCTTCAAATCCACGCTTACTCTGGGTGAGGTTCCAGATCAAGCTCTGTTGGGACACACTGAAGACACAATCTCTGCCACGAAAAACGTCGTTCTATGGAGGATCTGAGAAAATTCTAGAAAGTATAGACTGTAATCATATTACAGGTACAAGTCCACAAACATGGAAAGTTAATGTGATACCTCCCCAGAGACAAATGCAGAGACAAACAAAGCCAAGAACACTTGTGGCCGGGAGCAGTGGCTCACACCTGTAATCCCAGCACTTGGGGAGGCTGAGGCGGGCAGATCACCTGAGGTCAGAGTTCAAGACCAGCCTAGTCAACATGGCAAAACCCCATCTCTACTAAAAATACAAAAATTAACCGGCGTGGTGGCGGGCGCCTGCAATCCCAGCTACTTGGGAGGCTGAGGCAGGAGAATTGCTTAAATCCAGAAGGCAGAGGTTGCAGTGAGCCAAGATCATGCCACTCCACTCCAGCCTGGGTGACAGACTCCATCTCAAAAAAAAAACCACTTGTGAGGAGCATGGAGAGATCTCTGGGGAAGCTTCTCTGTCCTCCTCTTCTTTGGCCACACCAACACAACAGAGTGTGGGTGCAATAGAGGGGGCCTGTGGGACTCAGGGTGTCAACCTCACTGTGGAGTGAATGGCTCCAGAGCAGTGGTTCTGCAGTCACCAAAGCCACCAACACAACCTGGGTCTCAGATCAGAAATGAGCCGGGAACAGAAGGTTGGCAAGCAGGACTGCCTTAGAAAATCTGAGGCATTAAGCCCCTGACAATGCAACCTATTGCCCGATTCTTGCCCAAACTCAAAGTCTTGAAAAGAACGTTGTGGAGAAAGGGGCAAAATGAGGAGAGGAAATAAGGATTCTGAGAAACAAGGAAAGGGCAATGCCACATTCCCTCTCAAACCACCTGGAGTGAATACATGGTTCCCAATGCACCTGGAGACAAATGATGGTAAAACACTGTGCTATGGATTGGAGAGCCTTCGAAATGTTCTCTCAAAATGACTCCTTAATACAAATGTAGACACTATTCAGCAATCCCACAGCCCGAATCCACCGCAGATGGTGCCCTCAGCTTCTCTCTTGTTTCTCTGGGAAAAAATAAAACTGATGTAGAGCTGAAATCCTCTGGCCCTTGGAAGCAGACCATCATAGATTCAAATCTAGCTCCGATACTTTCTGGGTGACCTTGGGCAAGTTACTTAACTTCCCTGGACTTCAGTTTACTCATCCACAAAATGCATGTGATGCCGCAAAAGTTGATGTAACAGTAAAGGAAACGGCACAGATATAACATCTTGTGCCCTACCTGGTAGGTTATGAGATGCTTAGGCCAATAACTGAGGAGGTTAGTTCCCTTCTTTCCCTAGCCTTGGCTAGGACAGCACCAAGCACGGTTTCAGTGTACATTAGGAGGTAACACTGTAAAGAGCTCCTGAGGAGGGCATTCAGAGCAATCATCTTGGATGATCTAATTTATCTCTCTTTCATTCCTAATGCTGCCAATTCAGAGACAGCATAAATGGAAGTGTTTTCCAGAAGTACTGAACATTTGGTCACAGGCTCCTGATCTTTGAAATGGACCTAAGAATTAACTATCTCAGCAGAAATGTGCACTCAGCATCGTGGCAGGTCACATTCAGCAGGCACTCACACTCAGCATCATGGCAGGTGCATTCAGCAGGCACTCACACTCAGCATCATGGCAGGCGCATTCAGCAGGCACTCACTATGTGCCACACTAAGCACATGTTAGCTCATTTCATCCTCACACACCTCAGATAGCATCATGGCAGGTCACATTCAGCAGGCACTCACACTCAGATAGCATCATGGCAGGTGCATTCAGCAGGCACTCACACTCAGCATCATGGCAGGTGCATTCAGCAGCCACTCACACTCAGATAGCATCATGGCAGGTCACATTCAGCAGGCACTCACACTCAGATAGCATCATGGCAGGTCACATTCAGCAGGCACTCACACTCAGATAGCATCATGGCAGGTGCATTCAGCAGGCACTCACACTCAGCATCATGGCAGGTCACATTCAGCAGGCACTCACACTCAGCATCATGGCAGGTGCATTCAGCAGGCACTCACTATGTACCACACTAAGCACATGTTCGCTCATTTCATCCTCACACCCACACTTTCAGGTGGGCATTATTATCAGATCCATTTTACATATGAAGAAACTGAGGCACAGCTAAAGTAACTTATACAAGGTTGCAGCGCTGTAAGAGGCAGAGCTGGGACCTGAGCCCATGGGGTCTGACTCCTGAGCCTGTGTATTCCCCGGGGCACTCCATGAAAGCTCCGAGACCCAGCTCTGAAGGGACAACCAAGTGCCCAAGTTTGTCTTCATCCAGCTACACTGAAGTCTCTCCCTTGCATGGCTCTCTAAGACCCTAAAGTGATTTTTTAGTTTTTCAAAAAGTCTAGAGTAGAGCCATTTCACCAGGGCCTGCCCAGATGCTCCAAAGTCTCCCTTCCACCATCTCAGAAATGACAAGGAAGAGTCAGTCATGGCCGAGGAGGATGAGGAGATGCCCAGTGTCAGGGCTCCAGCCGGATGTCTGATCAGGACCTGAATCGTTGTCCCTTCAACACCCTGTCCTCCACAGCCCATGGTGAGGGCTGTGGGAGGGCCAGCTCCATCCTGGAGCCATGGAGGATGGGCACTGGGTCCTCCAGGACAGAGGAGGTAGCGCAGGCTGTGCCCCATGAGCTGCAGGAGAGACAGATGCATGAGTGTGGGGGACACCCTTGGTTTTCCCACCCAGCACCTGCTGCTCCTTCTGGGTCCTGAGTCCCCTTTGGAAAAGCGACCCCTCCCCAGCTCTCCATCCATGGGTGGGGTGGACCCAGCCCTGCTCGCTCAGTCCAGGGCTTAAGCCTTGCTGTGGCAATTGGTTTAGGGAGGAGCTTGTGAAAATCACCCTTCAAATGAAACTTTATCCAAGGGCTGTTGTATGAATGGCAAAGGAGGCTTCCTTTCCCCTGGGATAGGTAAGCTGGGAGAAGGAAGAGGGGCTCCTGGAGGCGTCATCACCACAAGGAGAGAGCCATCCTCCAAATGCACCAACAAGTCTAAGCAAATGAGCCTGGAGAGACGCAGAGACAGGAAGGCCTCCTGATGTCATCTGAGCACCCGGATGCAGCAGTACCTGAAGGCAGCTGGCCTTTTGTGTTAGTTTTCTATTCCTGTGTCAAATTGCCATGCACTTAATGGCTCAAAACAACACCCATTTATTAGTCCATAATTCTGCAGGTGAGAAGTTCGGCCCAGCAGTACTGGGCTCTGCTCAAAGTCTCACAAGGCTGAGAACAAGGTATTGAGTTCTTATTGGCTCTGGGGGTAAAATCTGCTTCCAAGCTAGTTCATGTTGTTGGCACAATTTAATTCCATTTGGTTACAAGACTAAGGCTCCCCCTTCTAGGTATTCTGAAATGTACAATAGTTTATTGTAAAGTGTAGTCACCCTACTGATCTACACAATACTAAATATTTCTTCCATCTGACTTTGGATTCATACTCATTAATCAACTTCTTTTCATGCCCCCACCCCCTACCCTTCCCAGCTTCTGGTAGACACCAATCTACTTTCTATCTTCACGAGATTCACCTTTGTGGCTCCCACATGGGAGTGAGAATATGTGATATTTGTCTTTCTGTGCTTGGCTTATTTCACTTAAAGTGATGGCCTCTAGCTCCATCCATGTTGCTGCAAATGACAGGATGTCATTCTTGTTTATGGCTGAATAATAACCCATTGTGTATAGAACACTTTTTTAAATCCATTCACCCACTGACAGGCGCTTAGGTTGATTCCATATTTTGGCTATTGTGTGTTGTGCTGCAATAAACATGGGGGTGCAGAGAAACAAAACAAAACAAAACAAAACATGAAAAGACTAAGGTTCCAAGATTCCCATCTTCTGGCCAGGAACCACTCTCGGCTCCTAGAGGCCTCCCGAGTCTTTGGCATTTGGGCCCCTCCATTTTTAAGTCAATGGCATTTTGAATCACTCTTGTGATATGAATTCCTAACTTCTGTCTCTGATCTCTAGGCCCAGATTCAAACAGCTAGTGTGATTAGGTCAGGTCCACCTGCTAATCTGCCTTCTGATTACCTCAAAGTCAATTGACTAATAGCCTTAATTAGATCTGCACAATCCCCGTTGTCATATGATGTCACAGGAGTAGTAGCCTATTCACAAGCTCCACCCACACTCAAGGGGAAGAGGCTTTTCAAGGACAAGGGTCATTGGGAATCATTCTGGAATCTGCCCACCACACCTCTGGACTCTTCAGTGACGTGAGGCCTAACATTCTTTTGTTTGTTTGTTTAAGGTAACTTGAATTGTTCCTCACTTCAAACCAAAAGAGTAGGCTGGGTGTGGTGGTTCATGCCTGTAATCCCAGTACTTTGGGAGGCCGAGGTAGGCAGATCACTTGATACCAGGAGTTCAAGACCAACCTGGACAACATGGTGAAACCCCATCTCTACTAAAAGTGCAAAAATTAGCACGGTGTAGTGGCATATGCCTGTGATCCCAGCTACTCAGGAGGCTGAGGCATGAGAATCGCTTGAACCCAGGAGGTGGAGGTTGGAGCAAGCTGAGATTATGCTACTGTACTCCAGACTGGGTGACAGAGCAAGACCCTGTCTCAAAAACACATAATAAAACAAACAAACAAAAATGACAGTTATCCATGCAATGGAATATTATTCAGGCATAAAAAGGAATGAAATGCTGATTCATGCTACAATGTGAATGAACCTTGAGAACATTATAGCAAGTGAAAAAAGCCAGACACAAAAGATCACATCGTATATGGTCCCATTTATGAAATGTCCATAACAGCCAAGTCCATAGAGACAGAAAATAAATTAGTAATTCCCTAGGACAGTTGGAGAATGACTGCTAATGGGTACAAGGTTTCTTTTTGGCAATAATAATGTTCTGGGATTTGATATTGAAGGTTGCACAACCTTGCAAATACTAAAAAACACTGAATTTTATACTGTTAAAGTGTGAATTGTATGTGGATTTCGATTTATATCTCAAAAATCAAAGTGAAATGAAGAAACAAAGTGTGTCAGGCTAAAAGGAGAGCAAGAAAATCACAGATGTGGTCTGACTGGGTGAAGCCAGGCTGCATGGCCTCTCTCTGTGAAGACGGAGCCTTGCCTCTGAAGTCATCCCCATCACACTTTTCACGTCATCCCATTCACTGGGGAGGCAGAGGTAAGGAAAATAATCAAATTATTTTTTAAATTTCTCACATTATTGCGGGTTAGCCTGACACACTGCTTATGAAAGCTCTTGCTCAAAACCACCTAATATTTGATAGGCTTGTAAAAGAGAAATTCTCCTGGAATTCATTCCACAAAAGTAAAATGAACGGCTATGATGAGTATTACAAATCAGTCTTAGTGCAAAGGGAAACAGACTTTGGCTGCAAGAACCAGAGTCATCTTTCCCCCTTGAGCAGTTTCCGAAGAGGCCATTCATTAAAAAGTAGTTTGGGCCAGGCGCGGTGGCTCATGCCTGTAATCCCAGCACTTTGGGAGGCCAAGGCAGGTGGATCACAAGGTCAGGAGATTGAGACCACTCTGGCTAACACAGTGAAACCCCGTCTCTACTAAAAATACAAAAAATTAGCCAGGCGTGGTGGTGGGCACCTGTAGTCCCAGCTACTCGGGAGGCTGAGGCAGGAGAATGGTGTGAACCCAGGAGGCGGAGCTTGCAGTGAGCGAAGATCGTGACACTGCACTCCAGCCTGGGCAACAGAGTGAGACTCCATCTCAAAAAAAAAAAAAAAGAAAAGAAAAGAAAAAGAAAAAAAAATAAGTATATTTTCCACTAGAGAAAAACTGTCAAGCAAATGAGATGCAAACTCTCCGGGCTGTGTATCAGACCCATGCAGCGTGTCACCTCTGGTTTCCCCAGCTTCCACTGCAGGAACTGACTCAGCGCAGGTCCACAGGACACCACTGTGTTCCGACTACCTCCCGTTCACCCCATCGGTGAGGGATGCATCCTCGCCCTAAATAGTATGAGATGGCCGAGCACACAACACCCAGCGCTGCACACATGAGACGGGCAGTGGGTCGGCCACAAATACAGCCCGCAGGGGAGGATAACACGCGCCCTGCAGAGCCACAGGGTGTGCACCTGGGAACAGAGAGAACAGGAGGGGCTGTGGGAGGCAGACCTTGAAGTAACAACGGGGTGAGGTACCCCTGGTTCCTGTGGGCAGAGAGGTGAAGCCAGTTAAGCTGAGGACCAGGTGGAGCGTGGCTGCTCCAGTTGACAGGTAAACCTACCAGGTGGGAGTCTTTCCCACTGAGCTGGGAGCATATTGGTGAGGGAAGGGAACTAGTAGTTTGGCCTCTGCAGCCCTGTGAAGCTCAAAGACATCAAGGCCGTACTTAATATTACACTTCAGTTTCAGGCCTTACACCACACACGGCCTGAGACCGACGCCCCAAGATTCTGGATCCTCCACCAATTCTGGATTCAGCTAAGTTGCCACAAAAATGAGCGTGGGATCTGGATTCCCCAGCAGCTGCCAAGGGACTGGGTGATGCACCCTGGTGTTAAGAAAGAGAAGACTCGGCCAGGTGTGGTGGCTCATGCCTGTAATCCCAGCACTCTGGGAGGCCGAGGCAAGTGGATCACTTGAAGTCAGGAGTTCAAGACCAGCCTGGCCCAACATGGTGAAACCCCGTCTCTACTAAAAATACAAAAATTAGTCAGGCATGGTGGTAGGCACCTGTAATCCCAGCTACTCGGGAGTCTGAGGCAGGAGAATCATTTGAACCCTGGAGGTGGAGGTTGCAGTGAGCTGAGATCATGCCACTGCACTCCAGCCTGGATGACAGAGCAAGACTCAGTCTCAACAAGAAAAAAAAGAAAAGAAAAGAAAAGAAAGAGACGACTCCCTGAAGAGCAAACCTGCACCCTCAAGGGAGAGGAAAAAAGAGAGATTAGCTATAAATGGCCCCTCCCAACCATCCCCATATGGGCCATCCTGTGGGGAGCGTTTCTGCACAGCTTGTCTGGAAATGCTCCACGTGACCTGGTGACCAGCTGGGTCTTTGGGAGGCTGTCATCAGCTCAGTCATCACTTCCCAGCCTCCCCACCTCGCTTCCCGTTTCCCCACCCTGGACCCCTGGGGCTGCATCTGCCCCGAAGGCACTGCGCCCCAAAGGCACTGACTCTTTCAGTTGGCCTTGGCTCTGGGTGAGGAGACCTGGGCTAAGATGATTGTCTCCAGGATCCCCAGGAAAGACTGAGTCAGACAATGACAATGCTACAAAGGAAACTGACACAGAAACAGGGCAGGAAGGGCCAGAGAAATAGGGCTCAGGCCTCATTTCCCACTGGGTCATGTAGGGCTGAGAGTCCAGGGGACAAAGGATGACCCAGGAGGCGGGCTTCACGAGGAGATGGACTTCAACAGGAATAGAAGGTATCCGGTGATTAATTCCATGCTCTCAGGGTGGAATGTGGTGGGGAAGGTGTGTCTTTAGGAGCAGGAAGGTGGGGATCTTTCCAGGCTCACGCAGCATTGTGGAGCTTCCTATCAGCCCCTGTCAGCTGAGGTGTGGGCCAGGGAAGGGGTAGCTTCATATGGAGGCCAAGGGACTCCTGGGCACCTCTGGGCTTGCAGATGGAGTGGTAGAGTGTGGGTAGAGCTGGTCCTTCTCAGAGGGAAATGCTTGCAGCAATAAGGAAAGGTCTGAGAGCCACACGTAGGCAAGTCCCCTGCTGGTCACCTCAGCCACTTGCTGCTGATGCCCCCTGGCTCTGCTCTCCCTTCCTCTGTGTGCCAGCCTTCTCCTCTGCCTTGTGCCCTCATAGAGACAAGATGGCTGCCATCTCACCTGCCAAGACATCCACTCAGAACCATGACCAGAATAAAGAAGAGAGAAAAGAGAGAGTTGCTCCTCACAGATCCCCTTAGAGACCCCAGAAGCCCCCACCAATAGACTCCCAAATTACATCTCATTGACTAGCCCTGACTCAATGTCCCCTCCAAGCCAATTACTAAAAGTAAGTGAGACTGCCATGCTGGGCTCAGACCAATGGTAATCCACTCCCTGGTGTCAGAGAGCACATTGCTTCCCAGCATCTGAGCAAAACCAGGGCTCTGCTTGCAAGGAAGTAGGATATCTAAATGTTGGGGTCTACACCAGCAATTAACCAACTAACTGTGAATTACAGTGGAACGGCCCAATGCCTTGGGAATGAATGAGTAATGTCCTTGCAAAAAGACACATGAAGATTCCACATACACTTCAGAACCCTCTTTTTGGATTTTTGGCGAGTCTGAAAGTTCGACTTTCCATTAGAGGGTGCGATTCCTACACAATTCATTCATAACATCAAGGATCCATTCTCCCAAGGACACACCTCAGGATGCCCTGAGATCAAGATTTTTCTTCCGGGAACACCAGCAGAAACAAGTTCAACTTTTCTGCCACCTCTCCTTTATCTTGCATTGGGCAGAAACAAGGAATGTCCAAAGGAATGTGTAGTTTTAAATAAGGAAGCTGAAGCCCAGTGAGGGAAGGTGGTCTGCCCAGCTCTCAGAAAAGGTCTTGAGACCTGAACAGGTGCACCTTGGCTCAAGGAATTTCAGTGATGCTTCAACATTTCCACTGAATGTCACAGGGACACTTAGCGTGTCCTGTGTTGCTAAGAAACTTGAGGCTCATTCACAAGAAGACACGATGGATGGACTACGGCTGCATCCTCAAGCTGTGCCTGGATGTCTTTGATTTTCTGGTAGAAGTCTTTTTCACCCGAATTATCTGGGGCACCACCCGGCTTTCTCTTTCTTGGCGTATATTGGTTCTCACGAACACTTGGGCATGAAGTCACATTTGCATCTAAGCTTTCTGTTTGTTTTCTTCCACCTGTTTGAATGAGGAGGAACCAGGGACATTTAATAACTTGTTTCCACTCACTGGTTTCATGATAGTAATTTGACTACACGGGGTCTTTAACACTTCACCATCACAAAGACTCAATTTTATATGTGAATGAGTCAATGTCAAATGGTAGGAGGAGGAGGAGGGGGGCCTGACATGTTTTCCTGACACCTCTTAAATGGTTTCTTATTTCATATTGATACAGATCAGGGACAGTAGATCATGCTGACAAGATCATCAATTACCTGCTACTCGCCAACAATACCAAGGTCTTGCTTTCTTGGTGTGGTAGTTGATGTTGATTGCTGAGGATGTCTGTGAACTTAAAATTGTGTTTATCTCCCTGAGACCTTGAACCTGAGAACTTCCTTCCCCACACAGTGGTACAGATGGCGTGCTTGGTGTAAGTATTGTTGAGAGACATAAATTACAGCAATTGGAGTTGGGAGAGAGGGAAGGATGCATTGCTAATTACAGCATCATTACAGGGCTTCCTAGAAGCTAAAAGAGACACAGCGTCAACAGTGAAACCCCAGAAGTGACAGACAGTGTCTATCTGTGCAGAGACCAGTGACTGCATTTGGAGCCAGAGGTCATTACCACGGGCAATTTACAGGCTCTGTGACTCTGCAGGGGAGAGAAACTCACTCTGACAGGCAACAATATGTTAAAGTGGCCATTTTATTATTTTTCAGGAGCCATAATTTTCAAATGACACTTCAGGGATCCTTTAAGGAGGATAATTGATTACCTGACAAAGAACTTGTAGCATTTCCTTCTCACAATGGAAGAGAGAAAAACAGCAACAATCAGCTCTTTTGAGCAGAAAAGGAGCATTTCTCAGAGAAAACATTGCGAAGTTTATAATAATGGGAGCCTGAGGAAACACAAATACATCTTGCCTTCTTGACAAATAAGATTTAATTAAGACAACCTTCCTGCTGGGAAATCAGGTCTTGCTTGTGCTGTGCAGGGAAAAGCAACAGGCTTAGGAATGAGAATCTCCTTAAAACGTGGTCCTGTGTCGGCCTCTTAATTATTCATGAGCATCCTTGTCACTGAATTTCACTGTTTCACCTATTTTTAGTTAATTTTTTTACTCCAGATGCTACTTGTGTTACTTCATGAAATAGTTAATGTGTCCACGATAGGCACAGATGAAACGGAGAGGCTCGTGCTCACCCCTGAGGAATTCCAACAGTGTGGTTAGCACTTTGCAGGCAGGCCGGGAACTCTGCTGTGGGAAGCGGGTGTCTGAGAGCAAGGTCAGTGACACCATCTTGTTCTTGGGACTGAACTGGAGGCAGGGAAGCCAGGAGAAGCCCTGGGACCTGACCCCTGGATGTTCACCGTGGGCAGGCAGCTGTTTGCAGGGAGATGCCTGAGTGACCCCCAGGTTCCTCATGAAAACCTACAGCTCCGGTAAAATCTGCACTTCCCAGCCTGGGCTGCTTCCCACTGGATGCTCCCGAAGCCAGATGCCTTCATTCTGACCCCTGGCAGTTCCTGCATAGGCCCGCATGAATCAGGAGGGTCCTGGGGCTTCTCCTGGCTGCCCGGCCTCCAGTTCAGTCACGAGTACAAGACAGCATCGCTGACCTGGCTCTCAGACCCCTGCTTCCCATGGCAGAGTTCCCAGCCAAGCATTTCCTGAAAATCAGTCTTCACAGATTTTCTCCTGAGATGTGGCCAAGGCCCTGAAACAGAGGTCTCCCCTCCCACCCGGGTTCTTACCTGTGAAACAGGCCATGGTGGGAATGGGGAGGAAAAGATCAGCCTTAGACAAGGAGGCCCTCCCATGGGGACGTCCAAAGAGAAAGATCGGACCCATCAAACCTCAGAGGCTGCCCTTGGACCAAACCCCCACAGGTCCCTGCCCCCGTCCAGTCCCACCTCCCACCACTCACCCCTGTGTCCACTCGGTCATGGCCACACTGGCCTCTCCGCTGGTCTTGGACAGACCAGGCTTCCCGGAACCTCAAGGTCTTGGCACGTGCTGGCCCCTCCTCCTAGAATGTGCCCCCACCCCCAACCCCATCCTCACCCAGTTACCTCCAGGAGCCTCGTCACCTGTCACATCTCAGATGAATGTCACCTCCTTGGGGGGATTCTCCTGTGTCCTCATCACCTCCTCGCCCAGGCCCAGGGCCCAGGTCAGGTCCCCCAAGGCCCCTCTTATCAAACTGTGGTGTCTTTTCTTCCCAGCCAGGACCACGTGTAATGAAACAAGGCCGTTGTTATCTGAGGACAACCCGTACAACTAAAAAGCCCATTCAAGGTAAATTCAATTAAATTGAGTACCAAAGTTTCACAACAAATGCTTTGTGATTTAGTTAACAAACATTTACCTTGGACTCACTTTAGGCCAGGCGCTGTTCCCCGTACTCCATGTGTATTAAATCATATACTCTCCAAAACACAGGCACTACTACCTCACCGTCCCCATTTTGCAGATGAAAACACAGAGGCACAGAAAGGTGGTTGCTTGTGTAGAAATTGGCATCATCAGGACTGGATCAGGTCACCCTGCACCAGAGCCCCTGCTGTCAGCCACACACTCACCACCTCTTCTGAAAAAAAAAAAAAAGAAAAAAAGAAAAGAGAAAAGCTTAACTACAGCTTTATCAAAAAATATGAAATTAAATTGGCGAAAATGAGTTTTTCTCTCCTATTCAACAACATTTAGGTTATAGTGGCAAACGTGCCCTAATTCTTGTTTTGTTTTTTTGTTATGTTTTGTTTTAAGACAAAGTCTCACTCTGTCGCCAGGCTGGAGTGCAGTGGCGCGATCTTGGCTCACTGCAACCTCCACCTCCTGGGTTCAAGTGATTCTTCTGCCTCAGCTTCCCAAGTAGCTGGGACTACAGGTGCACACCACCACGCCCAGCTAATTTTTGTATTTTTAGTAGAGACGGGGTTTCACCATGTTGGCCAGGATGGTCTCCATTTCTTGACCTCATGTTCCGCCCACCTTGGCCTCCCAAAGTGCTGAGATTACAGGCCTGAGCCACCACGCCCAGCCTGTGCCCTAATTCTTAATCAAAGAATGAATCAAGTTCTCATTTTTCAACATAATTCTTCTAATAAAATTGTAGCGACAGTCAACCTCTTTCCCCCCAGGTTTGAGTTTTGCAGCCTGATCAAAGGAGACATTTTCAAAAACCGTTAGGGGCTTCAGAGCCTCCACAGGGGTCTCTCCTCCTCCTGACATGGTCTGTGTTCCCTTTGGGAGATCCTGCTTCATCCTCATCCCTGCTGGTTCCACTTCTTCAGTGTTTATTGGTCTACATCTGCCAGGTCCTCACTGCTGGACTTTGTGGGTGATTCAAGTAATGCTTCCCGTTGCATGGCAGGATATACAGGCTCACCCACAGCCCCATGGTGCACCCACCCCACATCCACTGTGAGACCCCTAGTAGGGACCAGACAGTCCCTCACACCCAGTGGAGTGCAGGCAGCTGGCTCTGAGAGCCAACTGTGAAATGTTCAGAAACTTTGCTAATTTGTGGTTACATCTTTGGTAGCTTGAAATCAGCCATGGTGGGAATATTTACACCAGGGAAACTGGCAATTGCTACAAATCAGGGTTGTTGGGGTCTTTTTTCCAGAAGAGCTTTTTACATTTTTTTTAACCAGCACCCACTGCAGTCACACCCACCCATGGCCCTCACTTTGAGATGAGGCACTTGTTATCAAATTTACCAAATTTGGGGGCACCTTACCCAGGGACTCCAATATCCAGGCCCCAGCTGTCTCCTCTTCACCTGCTTCCCTCAAAGGGGACACTGAATCCCAAAGCCCCTATGCTGACACCACTCCTGCTCCTCAGCACCATCCCAGGCGGTCTCCCATCCAAGTACCAGCGAGGCCCAACACTGCTTAGCTTCTGAGCAGGAAGCCAACAGCACCATCCCCTGACAGGGCCCCTGCCTGAGTCCTAAGACACGCATTCAGTGGGTCCACAGATGTTTACTGAATGCTCAATGTGTCCAAGGACTGTCCTAAGAACTAGAGCAATTTTCTTGGGAGTGGTTGGTCACCAAGTAGTTCAGGGATCTCAGACATGTGAGAACGCACACTCTGGCTGAATGCACTCATCAGAGAGGAGAGGAGTGCAACAGTTTGCAATAAAATAGGCCTCTCCTTTGCCATCCAGGGACACACAAAGAAGAAACAGTGAACAGCCAGTACTTCACCCGGATTCAGGCACATCGCAACCCATGTGGCATCCTCCCTGTGACACAGGAACGGGGTGGGATAGGAGTTCTCTGGCCACTTGCCTCCCAAGCTTATCCATGGGAATGCACCTCCATCCCAAGCTGTCAGGGAGAACCACAAGACCCCCCCTCGGCCGGCAGGAAGCTGGCCCCACCCTTTTCTCCATTCACCCCCTCACTTTCTCCTCTCCTCCACTGACACTCCTCAACTCCCTGGACTGTCCACTCCGCCCCAGACCTTATCTCTTCTGCCCCCACTGTGGCGTGACAGTCAGTCATTCCTGTCTGGTCCAGAACTGCCCAGGAGGGTGAGAGCTGGGGGAGGACAGGACCCCGCAGGATGACGTGGCCTCAAAAAAGAGCGTCTGAAACATATCAGAGCCTTGTGAGGCTTCAACTGCCAGCAAGTCCCATCTACCGACTCTGTCTTCTTTGCACAAACAGCGTCTGCCTCCTTCCTGGCCTGTTGTTACCAGAATCTCAAGAGATGCCAGACCCCAGGAAATGTGGACAGAAGGGCTCTGATCTGTCTCATCTGTTTGACTATTTGATTAATATCCTCCTTTGCTCTGCCTTCCCCACCATTTCATCATCAGGCCCAGCCACAGGCTTGGCACGTTGCAGGCACTAAACAAATACTTTCCTGAACGAATGATGGACACTTTGGTTTGGACGGGGGCTATTAAATTTTTGACCTTGGGGTGAGAACCATTTCACACACTTTCAATAATCAAGAAATCTTTCATTATAATTCATTCATCAAAGGTATTTTTTCTTTCTGAGATGTTGATTTAGTTCCTATTTTCGTTTCTTTGTCCATGTGGGAAATAAACAGCAAATTGCCTGCATGTAGAATGTATTCAGTGGAGCTGCCTTAATTAGCTAATTTACTCATGTCTCACTGGAGAGCAATCAGAAAGAGTCCTTGTCAGTGCTGTTTAAGTTTGCAAAAGTGTCCTTCCCTCCCAGAGCTGCCGGTGTCATGGGTGGCTGGGGCTGGGGAAGGGGCAATATATTCCCACCCTCTCACCCTAATTTCCACACCCAGCCGCTGACTCCATTGTAAGAGCACAGGGCAAAGCCTTCCTGTGCCTAAGATTATTTCTCGGGAGCATCTTCAAATTGCAGAGGAAGCCCCTGAGTTTATGCCCATGGTGCTCTGAACCCTGTAAAGGGCTGGCCAGGGGTGGGGAGGCTGTGCCCAGATCAGCCCCACCCTCCACTCAGGGCTCACCCCAGCCACCAAGTCCCCCAAGGGCCTCCACTCCTCACTGTGAAGCAAGGAGTGGAGCACCCTGATGGGGTAGGGTCCTGCCAGGGTCATGTCCCACAGACTGTGTAAGAAGCAAAGGAGACAGCACCTGCTTTCCAAGGCCTGTCCAATGGGCCAAGGTTCAACTTAGGTGAGAGGGCCAGGCTGTCCCTACTCATGTTTCAGCTCAAGGGACACAACCCTTCCTGCTACAAAGCTTCCTTTTACAAACAGATAAACCTTGGTCAGGGTTTTTTATTTTTTGCTTTTATTTTTATTTTGAGATAGGGTCTCACTAAGTCACCCAGGCTGGAGTACTGTGGCACAATCATAGCTCATTGCAGCCTCTACCTTCTGGGCTCAAGTGATCCTAACACCTCAGCCTCCCAAGTAGCTGGGACTACAGGTGCACACCACCACACCCAGCTAATTTTCTTATTTTCTGTAGAGACAGGGTCTCACTATGTTGCCCAGGCTGGTCTCGAACTCCTGGGCTCAAGCCTAGGCCTCCCAAAGTGCTGGGATTATAGGCATGAGCCGCCATGCCCAGCCAAGGATTTTTTAAATCTCTATGTCCAGGAAGCTTTCCACCAATATCACCTTATGGCTAATTAGCTTAATCATATTTCTTTGCTGAACATCATTATCTGAGATGCCCAGTGTTTATTTTGTGGCCAAGGGACAGGTTTGCGGCTTCTCTAAGCCCTGATTTTCTTGCCTCTTAAAGGTTGCCATTGGAAGGAGATGAATAACGTAAAAGCAAGTACCTAACACAGTGCCTGGTTCAGACATGCTAATCAATAAATCCCTTCCTTCCATTCTGCCTTCCACATTTGCTTCTTTTTTTCTTTCCCTCCTTTCCTTCCTCCCTCCTCTTTGCCTTATTATCCTTCTCCTGAATGACAGAGAGACAATTGCTTTTCAGTCTGTCCACATTTATCCTTTAGTCAGAAAAAAAAAAAGTGTCTGCTTTCAATGGCACACACAGGCAGCAGTGATAGGAGATATATTTACAGAGCAGTCAAAGGGCCAAAGGTTTGCCTCCAACCTCAATACGTGTTTCTTGTCTGATTTATTTGATTTTATTTTTATTTTCTCCAACTTACTATTTGGAAAAATGTTAAAGCTATAGAAAAATTTTGGCCGGGCGTGGTGGCTCCTGCCTGTAATACTAGCACTTTGGGAGGCCGAGGACGGTGGATCACCTGAGGTCAGGAGTTCGGGACCAGCCTGGCCAACATGGCGAAACCGCGTCTCTACTAAAAATACATAAAATTAGCCGGGGCGTGGTGGCGCACCCCTGTAATCCCAGCTACTCAGGAGCCTGAGGCAGGAGAATCGCTTGAACCTGGGGGAAGCAGAGGCGGGCAGATCACGAGGTCAGGAGATTGAGACCATCCTGGCTAACATGGTGAAACCCTGTCTCTACTAAAAATACAAAAAATTAGCAGGACGTGGTTGCAAGCACCTGTAGTCCCAGCTACTTTGGAGGCTGAGGCAGGAGAATGGCGTGAACCTGGGAGGCAGGACTTGCAATGAGCCGAGATCGTGCCACTGCACTCCAGCCTGGGCGACAGAGCAAGACTCTGTCTCAAAAAAAAAAAAAAAAATAGATCTACAAAGTGTCCAAACCATTTTCACCTCCAATAATGTAATATTGATGCAGAAATATAGCTTATACCAAGCTTGTCCAGCCCATGGCCCGCAGGCCACATGTGGCCCAGAATGGCTTTGAATGTAGCCCAACACAATTTTTTTTCTTAAAACATTATGAGATTTTTTTTCTGGCAATTTTTTAAAACTCATCAGCTATTGTTAGTGTTAGTGTATTTTATGTGTGGCCCAAGACGATTCTTCTTCTTCCAGTGTGGCCCAGGGAAGCCAAAAGATTGAATATCCCTGGCTTATAAGTCCAAATTTCGAGCTTTTTTTCCTCATTCTGGGATCCCATGGATGGTCATGCATGGTCTTTGGTTGTCATGACCCATCTCCTAGAACAGTGCACCCTCCTCGTTTGTTTCTCATGATATTGACGTGTTGTTAAGATTTCATCTTGTACCAGAAAATCAGAAAGTCCTCAAAGGGGGCAATCAGAACAAACCACAAAATAGAAGCTGGAAGAATAGGGCTCCCACTGGCCAGATGTAGGAACGTAAGAACATAAAACAATTTCGGTGGTGGCTGTGAATGCATGGAGTAAAAAAGAATCCCTGAGTCCATAACCATACTGAAAATAGTGACTGAGAGAACGGACAGTTCTTCCTGGAGGAAGGCCTGCTGGTAAATGTACAAGACCATTTGCAACCTTCAATGTAATCATTGTACGTAGACCATCAGTGGATGCAAAACCACTGGGGGAAGATTTTGACAAACAGGGTGTCCACAAGGTCCCAAAATATCACCACACATGTTATTTGGCAATTTCAAAGGGAAAGGGATCCTTTACAACAGAGAACTCTGATGGCCAGCACCTTAACCAAGCACCCAACTCAAACTCAGCACGAGACATCATCGCCTGGCTGCGATGAGCCAGGCGGAGGCTCCTTCTGCAGCAATCCTGGCCACGGTGTTGGGGCTGAACCTCCCCCAGGGAAAGAAGGAGACTCACGCAGACTTCGGGCCCTCCTGCAGGCCAGCGGTCCGGGCTCCCATCTAACCTCACTCGGGTGGCCCATAGACACGCTTTGCTTTGAGCCCTATCTCCTGCCAGGCCCTGTGCTGGTGCTGGAGATGTGGAGATGGATGCTTTGCTTTCAAGGATGGGGAAGATGGTCGAGTCTGTGACCGGGGTCTTGGGCACTTGGACAACTTCCAAAACAATTGTGACACCTCCACTAAAGGAAGAAATGAAAATACACGTATCTGTTGTTTCTTCTCCTGAACAAACCAGGTGGAACCGTTTCAAAAAAAAAAAAAAATGTGTCGCTAGAGGTACACTCAGGAGCGATTTGTGGGCTCTTGGTCATCCTATCAAGTGAGATGCCAGGGGTAATAGGGACCATTATCGTCACTCTGCCGTCAGGATTCATGACTGCAGCATCAAAGGGTAGCTGTACAAAAGCATCAGAAAAACACCCGGTGTAATGGGAGCTTTTATCAGCGGTCTGAGTCCCTCTCTGGAGCTGCCGCTGTTGGGAACACTAACTTGGCTGCAAACAGTAGCAACAGGCTTCGGAGTCAGCCCAGAAGCAGCAGGAGATGGAGTCTGCATCAGCCAAATCAGGGGCGACTTTGCCTGGGATCTGGGTTCTTTAAAGATGCCAAATATCCATCTCAGAAGCCTGCAGAGGCGGACCCAGGAGGCGTCACTCACTCAGCGCATATTTAAGCAAGGCCGACTGTGCTCCAGGCACAGTTGTAGTCTCTGGCCACAGCAAAGAACAAAACAGACCCCTGTCTTCAGGGAGCTCATGACCCAGAGGATAAGCAGGTGACAGCCCAAGACAGTGCACAAAGCAGAAGCTGGTGGTGCCGCGTGGGTCCCGCAAGCCTCACCGTCTTTGCCCTACCATGGCTTCTTGCTGCCCCTGCTCTCCTGCGGGGCCTCCTCGGGCTGCAGGAGCCTGTGTGACCTGGGAGTGGAGTCCTGGAAAGCTGCCCTGGGCGAATGGAAGCTGCAGGGGAGCAGATCTGGCCTCCCCGCCTCTCCAGTGCACCCCTCTGAGGCCGCTCCTCAGCGTCTCCCTGAGGTCCCCAGCACAGCTGAGCACCAGTGGCCCACCGTGGGCACCTGCTCCTTATCCCATCAGGATGGGCGTTTTTTCCTTCCCGTCTCCCTCCCCGCGGTCCTGCCCTCTCTTCCCGGGGACTTCTCCAGATGAACTGAGTCACGCCCAGTCTCAAAGGCACCAAGGCCCCGCGGTGCGCATCTGAGGCTGCATCTGCCCCACCTGCTGCTGTGTCGAGGGTTGCACGGGCTCCCACACATGGGTGCTCAGGTTCTGCTGCACAGAATCCAACCTAAGGTGTGCGACACGCAAACTATGTCAGATGGTGGGAAGTGCGCTGGAGAAAGACAGCCCTGGGAAGGGAGGGGGTGGCGGTGGGGGCTGTGATTGCTCATGGACATCAGAGGAGCCCCCGGAGAAGGGGGCCAAAATCCACCTCTGCAGTCTCAGCAGCAGGTGCCCAGGCAGTGAGGGCACAGTGGGTGGACATCCCAGAAAGGAGCATCCCAGGACGGATGGGGCAGAGGGTAAGACCCCGAGGTGGGGAGCTCCTGGCTTGAACAGAGCAAGGCCACATGGGAGAGAAGCAGGAAAGAGACCGGCAGGTGGAAGGTGCCAGAGGCTCAGGGCCCTGTCGACCGGGGAAAGGCTGTGGCTGCACAGAGCGAGGCTGGAGACCCGGGCTCGGTGCTGGCCTGGCTGATCTGAATCGTTGAATAGAATAGACTGAGGTGTGTTTGGACTGCCAGCTGCAAGGCAGAGCCAAACCCAATATGGCCCCATCATCCCTGGCTCAGCTGTGCTACCTGGCCATGCTGGAAGGGGTTTGATCTTCCAGGAATTGCTTCACAGCTCTTTCCTGTCCCAAGCTCTATGCCTGATGTGTAAATTCAGGACCCAAAAGGGCACAAAAAAGCAATAACTACTAAATATAAGGAAAACAACTCTGTATACAGCATGTATAAAGAAAAGCAAGATATATTTGGGGAGATAAAAGTTGTAAAGGCATTAAGATGTGTGTTTGTTGAGAAAAAATAAATTTGTGCATTTAAGAAGTTAAAAAAAAAAAAAAAAAGAATAGACTGAGGTGGAGGCTGAGCAGGGAGACCAGGGAGGGCCGCGGTGTGATCATCCTCCGAGAGCAGCCAGGCAGGGACTGCAGCGGGAGAAGACAGGAGGCCGGAGTTCGGGAATTGGTCCATGTGGACAGCAGATGGACAGAGGTGCTGAGCGGTCAGAGGGTGGGTGCCAGGGGAGGAGAGGAGCTGGCCATGCCGGCCTGAGCACCTGGGCAGGAAGAAGGGCCATCATGGAGGTGGGGGATGCAGGGAGAAGGCGGCCAGGGAAACCCACGACTATTTGAGTTGGAGACAGCCCAACCACAGCTGATTGCATGAACCTGGACATCAAGTAAAGGTCTGGGCTGGGCACAGAAATAAGCATTTAAAAATAAAAATAAAAGGCTACTCCTGATGTCACAGGCAAATCTCATCAAAATCCCCAAAACATGACACATGATACTTTTCGTCAACCGTGGAACCCCTCGATCTGAGGAATGCATGGACTTGATGGTGAAAACCTGGAACCAGGTGGGGAACTCCTGCTGTTGGAGCTGAACCACGTGGATCCCACTGCAGCCCCCACACCAACCCATTGCTCTTGCCTCGGGCTGGGGTCTCCAGAAGCAGAAACTGAGACGGAGTTTTCAGTGGAAGTTGTTTTTAGGGATCAACATTTGTGAAAGGAAGTGGGAGACAGGCCAGGCACGGGGAGACATTGATTATGGTAGAGGTGGTTCCAGCTGCCAGCTGGAGACCGTCTGCTGACCACATGTTGCCACAGCCCAGCAGCAAATCCTTCCTTGAAGGGAGACCCGTATGTTGCTCTTCGTGTCTTCCTCTCTGCATCTGGTCATGCTGTTCCCTTTAGCTAGAATGCCCTCTGCCAACCCAACTCATCCTTCAGGAACCACTTAGCGGGCTCCTGCCACTCCTGCAAACCCCGTCACCTGTTCCCCATGAGCCTCTCACCCAGCCGTAGCCACTTCCCTCTCAGAACTCCCAGAGTGTTCCAGCAATATTTCTCTCCTATTTTGTAGATCACAGTTTTTTGTATAAAGGCGTTCACATGGTCCAAATCTTTATGAATGGAGTCCCCATAGTTATTACAAAGTTGCATAGAGAGATAAAGCCATCACAGTCCAAGAGTTCACTAATGAACTGGCCGATTACAACATTCATCTCCAAAATCCACCTCTTCAGTCTCAGCTGCACTTTGCACTTTTCTCCCCTGTGCCAACCCCAACAGGTCCTCAGAGGCCAGGTTTCCTGAGGGTGACGTGAAAACATCTGTGCACATCATGCAAGTAGATGAAAACCAGTGCCGAATGGAAATGCAAATCTTGCAAAGACTATGGGATTTCGTGAACTTCATGAAAGTGAAATTAGTGAGAACAGCTCATGAAGCCATGGGCACATGAAGACATGGTAATTAGACCAGTTAACGACACACTACCTGATGGGTACTTAAAAAGAGAATTATTTGCATACAAAAGAATTGAGTCCTTTGTGGAAATGAATGAGCTATGAAATATTTTGCAAAACTGAATTTCTTTTATAGAACTGTGAACGTTAAACGTGAAGTGCAGGGGATTTATAGGAAAATGATACCCCCAAATCAATGCCTCCTTCATTGCAATTATGGCATCAATTTTGTTGAGATAAGAAAATACACTTTCTCTAAAACTTTTCATTTCACTACTCAAGATAAAGACTCAATCACTCTTTCCACTCTTTATTTTGAAATATGGTGTCCCTGTCTTAAGTAAATTGACTTTAAGGGACTATTTTTCTTGGTTGACAAAGACCTCCTGTACTTTTCTTATATCTCGTATTCAACCAAAAAGGCCTTGAGGACATAGAATGGGCATGTTTTTCAGCCTGGAACATAATAGATGACAACTAATGTTAAATGAATGAGTAAACAAATTAAACAGAGGCACCCCAGGATGCTCTGTTCACTCAAGCTGGTTAGAGAGAAAACAAAACTTATACCCAACATTCACGATGCTGGCTGAGCTCCCAAGAAACCACCAGGTAACTTAAGACAGCAATTCATTCGAACAGGAAAAGGATGACTTGTTTAGCAAATGATGCCAGAACAACTGGTTTCCTATTTGCCAGAAAATTAAGGCTAAAACTAAAATGCATCCCTGTCTCATGTCTTCTACAAAGTTAAATTCTAACAAGACGAAGACTTCATTGTACGAAGTTAAATTAAAATTTTGCAAGAAAATCTAAGATACTACAGATATAATCTAAAGGTTAGGGATATCTTACAAACCAAGAATGGAAATCCTGAAGCAATAAAAGAAAAAAAAGCATATTTGAATATTAAAATTTTGTACATTGCAAGATTATGTAAATAAAATATACATATACACTATAAATCTGCAAAATTATTGTAAGGCAAATGATAAAGGGTTAATTTCTATTATATACAGAGAGCTCTTACAAACTAACCAGAAAGAGGCAAAGGTTATAAAGAGACCATTCCCAGAAGAGCAAATCTCAATATTTAAAAAAGAAAATTAAGGAAAGATGGGAGGGAAGGAGAGAGGAAGGAAGAAAAAGGAAAAAAAAAAAGAAAAAAGAAAGAAAGTAAAGGAAAATAAAAGATGTTTGAATTCCTCAGTATTCAAGAAATTTCATATTCAACCCTGAGTTATGGCTTTATGCCTAGCGTACTGGCAAAAATTTAAAAGTGCCATAAATCCTATTGCAGCTGGGCTGTGGGGAAGATATACTTTCCTACAGTCTAGTAGAAACATGGAATATACAATCTCTTCTGAAGGCAATCTGGCAGCATTTAGTAAAATTGTTAAAAGTGCATATACCCTGTGTATGCACCCAGCTCTTGAACCGTTGAAAATCCATCCTATTTGTACCAAAATGTACAAAGATACTTACTGCAACGTTGTTCATAGTGGTGCAGAACCAGAAGCAAACAAATTCCCATTTCCAGGGGAATGGCTGAGCACTTTGTGAGTATATTCACTTCGTGACATAATGCACATCTGTTGTAAGGAACTAACTTTAATTTGGAACTATACAAGATGACTTGAAGATATTCCTACAAGATATTGAGTGAGAAAATCAAGATGCAGAAAAATGTATGTCATACAATACCATTTTTTCAAAACAATGACTCATCCTCCCTTAAAAAAAGTTCCTTTTATACCTTTGTATGTGTGTGTGTGAGAAAGAAAGAGAAAGAGAAAGGAGTTCTAGAGAAAGAAATGAGCTTTGCAGGGTTATGGGGTTATAGGAATACAAAGGAAAACATGGAAGGATATCCTGTTTTTTTTAAAATACAAGTTATATTTGGAGATGGAGGGACAGATGTGAGGGGAAAGGTAGAGAAGAAAAAAGTGTCCACACTCCAACAGGAGTCATGTGATCCCTTTTACGTAAATGTACATGTGTGTCTCTACATAAGAACGTTACAACTAAGAAACCATCTGGCCTCACATGTGTAGTGAGGAAGGTAAATCCTAACCTTTGTCTGCCTGAAACAGTGAGGAAGTCAGGAATGAGAAGGGAATCTGAGCCAGAGGATAAACAAGATTTTGACAAGCAAAGTCGGCAGCAAGATGGAAAGAACTCCTGGCAAAGGAAATAATCTTAAACAAAGGAAGGCATTTGGAAGGGCAGGTGTTTTATCCATTCAACAAATGTATTGAGAGCCAGTGTTGTAGGCAGAATTTTCTAGATGGCCTGCAAGATTTCCACCCCGCAGCGAACACACCCGGTATAACACCCTCTCTTTGCATGTAGGTGGGACTTGCTGATAGGATGGGATTTCACTCCTGTGATTAGATTATGTTATGTTGCAGATGTGATTAAGGTCCCTAATCAGTTGACCCTGAATTCATCCAAAGAGAGATTATCTCAGTTGAGCCTGACCTAATCAAGTGAGCTCTTTAAAAGAGAATATCAGGCTTTTTGAAGGAAGAGATTTGAAGCCAGAGACATGCTCTCCCACTGTCCTTGAAGAAGCAAGCTGCTGTGAGTTCTATAGCTATAAGGAAATGAATTCTTCCAACACCACAGGAGCATGGGAGAGGAGCCAAGCCTCAAATGAGACCCCAGCCCCAGCCAGCACTCTGATTGCCGCCTTGGAGACCTTGATCAGAGGGCCTGACTAAGCCATGCCCAGACTTCTCATCTGCAGAAACTGTGAGATCATAAAAGCACATTGTTTTAAGCTGCCAAGTTTATGGCAATTTATTACATTGCAATGGAAAACTAATCCAGTCTGCTTTGTGACTGCCCCCACTCAAGGCTGTGGAGAAACTGCATGGGATGGTCCAGACCTGGCTTTAACCTCATGGGGCTCATGGTCTGGTTGGAAAGAAAATCTACACTCAAGAATTTAAATCAGTGGCTAGACATGGTGGCTCACACCTGTAATCCCAGTGCTTTGAGAAATCAAGGCAGGAAGGTTGTTTGAGGCCAGCAGTTCCAGGCCAGTCTGGGCAACATAGCAAGACCCCCATCTCTACAAAAAATAAATTTCAAAAAATTTTAGATTAAAAAAAAACCATGTGTGTAGTTCTAACTACTCAGGAGGCTGAGGTGAGAGGATCCCTTTATTAAGGCCAGGAGTTCAGGGTTGCAATGAGCTATGATCACACCACTGTACTCCAGCCTGGGAAACAGAGTGAGACCCTGTCTCTGAAAAAAAAAAAAACAGTTAAATCAATAAACAAGCTAGTTAGGAAAAGACTTTGAAAAAAATGAGCATGGCTTTGAGTCAGAGAGTAATTGGGGTGGGGGCTGCATTAGCACGGCTGGTGGTCAGTGAGGGCTTTTCTGAGACTATTTTGATGCCAAAATCCCAAGAAAGAGAAGAAACCGGCTGGTCAAAGAGCTGCAGGAAGAGCAATCCCAGCAGAGGGAACAGTATGTGCAAAGTCCTGGAGGCGCAAAGTGTGGTCCTATTTGACAGACCGTGTGTACAATCACTTCTCACTGAACAAACCTCCAGTTGTGGGTTTAGACTAGCACCCTTGAATAACATCTACCATTTCACATATTAAGCTGATTCTACAATGCATACAAATATCTTCATAGTCACAATCTATACAGCTGTGGTCATCTATTGGGGGCAATAGGGGGCTCTCCAGATGTAACCCATAGCTGGAATCTAGTGCCTAGTAAGCCATAGTATGGGTTTGGGGGGTGCAAGGAGGCACACACAACACCCGGGATGTCTGTTTTCTTTTTATATACTTTTCATATACTTTTTACGTATATGTATTTCGTGTGTGTGTGTGTGACAGGGTCTCACTCTGTCACCAGGCTGGAGTGCAGTGGCACAATCTCAGCTCACTTCAACCTCTGCTTCCCAGGCTCAAGCGATCCTCCAGCCTTAGCCTCCCAAGCAGCTGCAATGACAGGCGCAAGCCACTATGCCTGGCTGATTTTTGTATTTTTTGTAGAGATGGGGTTTTGACATGTTGCCCAGGCTAGCTTCTAACTCCTGAGCTCAAAGCGATCCACCCACCTCGGCCTCCCAAAGTGCTGGGATTGCAGGAGTGAGCCACCGCACCCAGCCACATATGTGTATTTCTTTTTACAGCTGCCTGAAATTTTGGCAGGGAGCACTGATTTTTCCATTATAGTAATGATATAATGTCAGCTCTATGAGGGTATAATTTGCATATAATAAAAGCCACCAATTTTAAGTGAACATTTTGTTGAGTTTTGACAATTGTATGCAGTCATATAAATAACCACCATAACAATCGTAATCCAGAATGTTCCCTCATCCCAAAAAAGTTTTCTCCCACCCCTTGGCAGTCAATCTCTTCTCTCCACTATCAGCCCCTGGCAACCACTACTCTTTGTCACTTTTGTTTTGAATTTTCTAGAATTGCATGCAAATGGAACCGCATTGTGCCTGGCTTCTTCCTAAACATACTATTTTGTTGTTGTTAATACATGTGTTTGGTGAGTGAGGAGGGTAACAGAAGTGAGAGAGACAGCGGTGTGCACAGCTGGTATAGGCTTGGAGGCTGAATGCCACACAGAGCAACACAGACACACAGACAGACAGTCCACCCAGCAGGGCAGGCCGGGCAGCATTCTGGGGCCTGTAACACTCGGTTGATCAGTGAGAGCCGGCAGGAGGTCTGGCCCAGGGCTGGAGGCACCCAGGCACCCTGGAGACTCCCTTGTCCGAGGTCCCAGGTGGTGTTGGTGGTGGCAGTGGGGCTCAGCTCACACCATTCAGGGCCTTGCAGGCAAACCTGGGCAGCACAAAGGCTGTGCGGTGTGTGTCTGGGCTGTGGCATTTCAGCTGCATCTGCCCCACCTGCTGCTGTGTCAGGTGCTGCACCAGCTCCCGGTCACGGGTGATCATGTTCTGCCGCACAGCATGAAGCCAGTCTGGCTGCAGGGGTAGATGGGGACCATGCAGTAGGTGTAGCCCACCACGGCTACTGGCAGAACTGCCACATCTCCTTATGAGGTGAAGGTGCAGCCACTGGTGCTCTCCCTGGCAGCAGAGAATGCTGTCCTCCGCGAGGGCCACCTTCACCTTCATCTGCTGACAATAGGCTTCCTTGAAGAGGCTTTCAGCCGGGCCCATGTGGTCTGAGAAGTCAGTGATACATCAAAGGCATCCTGGTTCTGCTTCATGAACTCAAAACTGTCACCCACATGAAGGATCAGCTTTGAACTAGAGTAGCAACTGGCCATGCCTAGCAGGAACTTCTTAGAGACTTGGATGACATCCTTGTCAATGTCACACTGGACCACAGACTCCATGGAGAGGTGCTTCCCCACCTTGTGCAAGACACCCATCTCTGCCCACGATGATCAGCACCTTTCGTGGCTTGGGGTGGCTGCAGAGAGGCAGGATGGCTACCATCTCCTGGCAGGAGAACTCATCCCTCCCTATGCCCAGGACGATGCCATCCAACACCAGCATATTGCTGTAGGTTTTACTGCAGAAGACAAGGATGTTCTGGTAGTGCGAGTGCTGGTCGTGGAGCAGAGACAAGGCCTGCCCGGACCACAGGCTACACGTCTGGTGGAACGAGACTTCGGGGATGGCAGTGAGGCTGGAGGCAGCAGGGCCCTTAGGGTCAGGCTCCATGGCAGGCAGGCAATGTGGGGCACGGACTTGGGACTACAGGCCACGTGGAGCCACAGCACACTGGGACCGGCTGCATTATACTTTTGAACTCCATTCCTGCTGCTTTTATCGGTAAATCATTTCTTTTGCGTTGCTGTTGAGTAGTATCATATTCCATTGTAACTGCATACACTGGTGTGTTTACCCATTCACCGGGTGATGCGCATTTGTGTTGTTTCATGATGAATAAAGCTGCTATGTGTGGACATATGTTTTCATTTCTTTTGGATAAATACCGAGGAGTGAGATCACTGGGTCAAACAGTGTGAGTTTCACTTTGTAAGAAACTGGGAACTGTTTTGACACAGTGGTGATACCATTGGAACAACCACCAATCATGTAGGAGTGTTCCGTCTGCTCCAAATGTTTGCCAACACTTGGTCTTGTCAGTCTCTCTCAATTTAGCAATTCTACTGGGTGTGTCGTGGCATCACATGGTGATTTTACTTTGCATCAACAAAGACATTGAGCATCTTTTCATATGCTCAGCTGCCACTCATATATCTTCTTTGGTAAAATGTCTGTTCAGATCTCTCATCTCTTTTTAACCAGATTTTTCACTTCTCAACATTGAGTTGGTCTCCATAACCTCCACCACCAGATGTGACTTTCATTATCATGTTATACTGCAGAACAAAAGTGACTCTGTAGATGTAATTAAGATTAAATAGTCAGCTGACCTTCAAATAGGAAGATGATCCTCAATTATCCAGGTGGGCTCAAGATAATTACAGGAACCCTTAAAAGCTAAAAAGGAAGGCAGAGAGATTCAAAGCATGAGTAGGACTCCACCCACCATAGCTAGCTTGAACATAGGGAGGACCACATGGAAAACATGAGAAGGAAATGAATTCTACCAACAACCAGGAAACTTGAAAGAGGACCTGAGTCCCAGATAAGAACCACAGCCTGGCAGATACCCTGATGTTAGCCTGGTCAGATCCTCAGAGGAGAATCCAGCCACATCATGTTGGAAAACCTGTGAGATAAGACATGGCTGCTGTGTCAAACCCCTAAATTTGTGGCAATTTGTTACACAGCAGTAGAGAAGTAATACACCATCTCTTTATTAACAGGAAAAAAAAAACCCATGAAACTTAAATTAGGAGACCCATGTATTTCAACACAAATGAGAGTGCATACTCCTTTGTGGCACTAAAGTATTCACACCTGTGTGTTGCTACGCAAACAAAACACACTTGTGTTGAAAAACTACAGCCAACCCCTTCCAGGACATACACCTCCTACCTGGCCCCCGTGGGCGTTTGAATTCATGACTCCGTTTTTAGAGTTTCTGGAAACTGTCTAAGTTCTCCTCCTCACAGCCTCCCATCCCAGGAAGCCCAGGCCTCTTGGTTCTCAGGGAAGGTCCTGCTCACAGTTTCCAGATGACATCATCCCCGCAGGAGCCAAGGCTCTAGTTGGAGGTGTTTTCTTCCATTCTTTGTGTGTTTTGTTTTGTTTTTTACCTTCTTAGACCCAGGAACCAGTCCAAGCAATGTGTGCTTCCCCAACATGTTAACACAAACAGCCGCTTCCCAAACTGAAGAGGCACATGCTACCTTAATTACGCGGTTGCTATTGAAACACTCAAGTGACAGACAAAACCTTTCATTTGGGGAGAAAATTAATTGTACACAAACAAGAGCACATTTCATCTCGAATTAAATTCTTCAACATTCCCTTGGCAGAGAACCCTCCGGCCGTTTCTCTCCTTTTCTTTTTGGCGTTAAGTCTCACCCCTTTTATGAGAGATTTTCTTGGCAAACAGGGCCAGCCTTTGAGGTCCCAGGAGGGTTTTGCTGTCACTTCCCTTTATTGGTCATTCTGTTGCCTCTGTTGAAGCTTCACTGGCTCCCGCCCACCTTGAGCCATGAACCTCCCACCCCAGCCCTGTTCCTTCCTAACACAGTCCCCTCCCCTCAGCCTCTAAAGTGTAAAACTGTCCCAAGTCCGTAATACCCTGCCCTCCCGAGGCCGGCAGCGGTCCGAGGTAAGCGAATGATTAAACATGATGAATAGCAGAGCGGAAGATGCAGCGTGGTGAAAGAGCTCACTTTAGCTGCAACTCTGAGATTTGTTGCTGAGTGCCACAAGTAATGAAATCATCAATCTTCCCTGAACTAAAAAAAAGGAATCCACCACAGCAAGTTTGAAAAGGGCAGGGAGGAAAAGTCCTGCCTCCTCATTGGAGCAATTTATGGCCTGGTTGCTCTGTGATCTCGCTGCCCAGCTAATCTGCCCCAGACACCCTGGGAACTGTGCAGAGGGGACATCGCTGACCTGTCACCTGCCCAGTTGCTCTGATCCTGAAACTCGCTGACTCACTTCTGGGAGGAGAGGACGGTCTCGGGTCTGTGAGCTGTGTTACAGGCACACCAATGGGTGTTTTCTGGTTCACGCATCATCACAATAGCACAGCCCTTGGCCTGGGCCAGAAAGGTGCATTTCAAAGCTGCCACAAAGGGACTTCTGGGGCAGGCTTCCTAAACGGGAGGGCGCCCAGGCCTGTGGAAATCTGCTCTTCTCCAGTCCTTCTTTCCTTTAGCTGCTCATTAGCCCTGGATCCTCCAGCAGCTGTGACCTGGGGCCCTTTCCACACGTCTCACTGCCCTGGGTTGAACTGTGTCCCTTTCAAAATTCCTTTCTTGGAATCCTAACCTCCAGTACCTCAGAATGTGACCTTCTTTGCAGAGGTAATCAAAGTAAAATAAGGGCCGGGCATGATGGCTCGCACCTGAAATGCCAGCACTTTGGGAGGCCGAGGCAGACAGATCATGTGAGGTCAGGAGTTCGAGACTGGCCTGGCCAACATGGTGAAACCCCATCTCTACTAAAAATACAAAAAATTAGCTGGGCGTGGTGGTGCACACCTGCAATCCCAGCTACTCGGGAGGCCGAGCCTGGAGAACCGCTTGAACCTGGGAGGCAGAGGTTGCAGTGAGCCGAGATCATGCCATTGCACTCTAGCCTGGGCAACAGAGTGAGACTTTGTCAAAAAAAAAAAAATCCAACAAAAAAAAAAGTAAAATGAGGTGATTAGGGTAGGCCCTCATAGAACATGACCAGTGTCCTCATTAAAAAAAATAAGAAGAAGAAGAAAGAAATTTGGGCACAGAAACACACATAGAGGAAAGATGGAAGGAGAAGATGGCCCATCTACAAGCCAAGAAGACAGGCCTGGAACACAGCATTCCCTCACAGTTCTCAGAAGGAACCAACCCCACTGCCACCTTGATCTCAGACTCCTGGCCTCCAGAACTGCAGGACAATACGTTTCTGCTGTCAAAGCGCCCAGTCCAGGGTACTGGGTTACAACGGCCCTTGCAGATGAGCACCCTCACCAACAGACATGTTTCATTTGGCCCTCTCTCTTTTGTGTTTGTTTTTGTTAAATGAGCCAACATTCAAGACTCAAATTATTTTACATAAGAATCTCTTTCATTGAAACTCTAGACACTGGCCAACCCTACATGGCAGGAGCTGAGTGGAGGCCACCCCCTCCCAAGCCCTCCAGAGCCCCCGGTGCTGGCCGCTGTCTCCCTGGCACCAAGACCGGATGTCAGCCATTATTTGTCTCAGGAGGGTTTAGTTCCAGATACCAGGAACAACATTAGCCATGTTAGGCAGAAAGGGATTGAATACAGGGGACTAGGATCCCCCCAAAATCATGAGAAGGGCAGGGGCACAGGCTGCAGTCTGGGTCCTCAGAAGAGACACCCAGAATAGGACCCCGGAACTGATCCGCCAGGGACGTAAACAAACCACATAGCCAGGCACTCCAGAGAAATGGGCTGTGGGGTTGGGGAGCATGAGGAGGAACTGCTGAGTTGAAGAACACACCAGGGGTCAAGAAGCAGCTGCCTCCAAAATGCACCCCCACCCCACTGTTACACAGAGGAGCCAAATATAACCTCTGAGGATTGGCCCCTGGGCTGTCTCTTTCTTTCTTTTTTTCTTTCTTTCTTTCTTTCTTTCTTTCTTTCTTTCTTTCTTTCTTTCCTTCTTTCTTTCTTTTTTCTTTCTTTCTTTCTTTTTTCTTTCTTTCTTTCTTTCTTTCTTTCTTTCTTTCTTTCTTTCTTTCTTTCTCTTTCTCTTTCTCTTTTCTTTCTTTCTTTTTTTTGGACAGAGTCTCACTCTGTTGCCCAGGCCGGAGTGCAGTGGTGTAATCTCGGCTCACTGCAACCTCTGCCTCCCAGGTTCAAGCAATTTTCCTGCCTCAGCCTCCCAAGTAGCTGGGACTACAGGCGCATGCCACCACACCCAGCTAGTTTTTGTATTTTTAGTAGAGTCAGGGTTTCACCATGTTGGCCAGGCTGGTCTCGAACTCCTGACCTCTGGTGATGTGCCCCCGTCAGCCTCCCAAAGTACTGGGATTACAGGCTTGAGCCACTGCACCTGGCCCATTTCTTTCTTCACAGCAAACTGAGCCCCATTACCTCGAAAGCCCACTGGTGCCAAACTCAAATTTTTACACACCTGATTATTTTTTAAATAACCCAAAGAGATTTTTAGCCATTTAGAGCCTGCCTGCTTTGCCTACCCTGCAAAACCTCACGTGACAGCTCTTACTCATGCATTAAAGATAGAAAGCCTTGCCATTATAGGGCCCCCAAATGATCTCTGCCCTTGGGAGCACCCTGAGCCAGAGACTCCTTGGGCTACGCTGCTGAACGACATCACTTCGTCACACAAGCTCCTGCCCCCAGACTTCCCTTGCCCTCCCTGGCTTCTGCTGCGAGGGACCTTCTCTGCTTGCAAACCTGTCAAAGTACTGCCCAGTGAAGCGAGTGTGTGCTACTGCCACCTCATGGTCAGATTTTCCCCGGCTCAGCTCCTAAATCCCTGGAACAAACCCACAAACTGAATGGCCATGCCCTGGAACCCTGATGCAGAAGACCCAACCCTTCCCACTGTGCCCCCGGCTGGAGGCACTCACTGAAGCGGGGGCCTCAACTCCTCCACGTCCAAGAGCCTGGGAAATGCAGGTTTCAGCTTTCCAGCCTTTGCAGCCCCAGAAGCTGACCAGGTGGAGGTGCCCACCCACAGCACTCATCATACACTGACCTCGCTTTCCTGATGCAGGCCCCCTTCATTCATGTATCAGGGTCCAAGGAAGCATCCTCATATCTGCCACATAGTGAGGGCTGGAAAACCAGGTGGGCTGGACTCTGATCCTCCAACTTCCTCTCCATGGTCACCAACTATCCAGGATCGCCTCAAACTCTCCAGTTTTAGCACGAATAGTCCCATATCCCAGGAAACCCCTCAGTTCTGAGCCAGTGAGGACGGGTGGTCCCCATGCTTCTCTCCCGGCAGAGCCACCCCTATTCTTCTGCAAATGATTCCAGTGAACAGCAAGTGTTCTTTGCTAAAAGCGACTGCAAATAATCAGTCTACATCATCCTCCAGATAGAAAGGAGCATTAGTTATGATACAGGGTTTCCCAAAACAAGGTACACATACCTCCAAAGATGATTTGGTTCTTTCACAAATGAATGCTGCTTTTTTTTTTTTTTTTTTAAATGGAGATAGGGCCTCACTGCCCAGGCTGGTCTCAAACTCCTGGCCTCAAGCGATCCTCCTGCCTTGGCCTTCCAAAGTGCTGGAATTACAGGCATGAGCCACCATACCCAGCCTGTGCTGCTTATTTTAATAGTATAAGAGTACTCGGACATTAGACAAAAATAAAACTAGCATATGAAACATATGAATTTTAAAAATTAATATTAGAAGAGATTTATAATGCAAATGATAAAAATTATGACAGCAGTTCGGGAATGTCTGAGATTTGAGAGCTCTGTTGCAGTAGGAAAATCTGAGCCTGGGAGCCTGTAGGTTGGGATAGGCACCCTCCCTCTGCACCTGCTGGTCATGTGACAGTGGACACGCTGCATGACCTTGGAATTCAGCGCCCCATGAGGCCGCCATGGCCCTGTGGGTTCTTCTCCCTCAAATGCAAAGACCAGCCTTGTCGTGGATGCGAGGGTGGGGCCTGCACAGGCTGCCCCCCAGTTCCTGCTTCTGAGACTTCCTGGTGTGGCCCCGGACTTGTCCTCTCTACTCCTGGTCCCCAGCCCCTCCTGTGTCTGAGAACTCCACACAGAGCCAGCCACGAAGGCCCTGTTTGGATTGAGTTAGGTGTCTGCCACTTGCAGCCAAAGGGCCCTAATGGATCTAAATGGCTCTAGACCAGGGGTCCCCAGCCACCAGGCCACAAACCACTACCAATTTGTGGACTGTTAGGAGCCAGGCTGCACAGCAGGAGGTGAACGCCTGAGCTCTGCCTCCTGTCATATCAGAAGCAGCACTGGATTCTCATAGGAGGGCGAACCCTATTGTGAACTGTGCATGAGGGGGATCTAGGTTGCGTGCTCCTTATGACAATCTAATGCCTGATGATCTGTCACTGTCTCCCATCACCCCCAGATGAGACCGTTTAGTTGCAGGAAAACAAGTGTAGAGTTCCCGCTGATTCTGCATTATGGTGAGTTTCATAATTATTTCATTATATTTTACAATGTAATAATAATAGAAACAAAGAGCACAATGAATGTAATGCACTTGAATCATCCTGAAACCATCCCCACCCCCACCTCAGTCCATGGAAAAATTGTCCTCCATGAAAGTGGTCCCTGCTGCCAAAATTTGGGCACCGCTGCTCTAGACAGTCCCATCATCCTGGATCAGGTCCCAGATCACTTCCCTCTGGCCTTGCCGGCTGTACCTTTGCATGTCCTTGTCCTGCTGTCTCCTCCTGGGACCTCCTTCCTCTCTCTCCCACCTACCCTGCCCAGCCCAGCCCAGCTCACATGTTAGCTCCTCCTGGTAGACCTTCCTGACCTCCCTTCTCTGGGCCTCATGGCACCTGCTCCTCTGGACAGGCTCACCTGTGGCCCTGCCTCCTCCTGAACTGACCGACCACAGCAGGGTCTGGGTGATGTTACTTCACCCAGCCAGGGGCTGGAGGAACCACAAGGCCCTCCTCCCTCTGTAGACAGGGTGCTAGACACCTTTCTTGGGCTCATTCATCCTTATAGGCTCCATCTTCCTGTCTCAACCCTATTTCCCCCAACGCCGACATCTTTGGGTTTGTAGCAAGCAGCTTGATCACCTCCCAGCACATACATGGCCACAGGAGGACTCCAGTGATACATGTGGGCTATTGCAGCACGCACTTCATGGGTTGAGGGGTGAACATCATGAGTGTGGGTCTTGCTCAAGTTTTTTGATCATGAGAACATTCTAGAGAAGGCCTGGAAGCTTGAGGCATCTGCCGACATACTCTTAATTATAAATTCATCACAGCTCATAAGTCCCATGTTTGGAGCATCTCCATAGGAACAGTGCGAAGTGACCTTGGATTTGCTCTTGACTCCTTTCTCCCTCACATCACTTCCAACTGATCAGAAAATCCTGCCAGCTCTACTTTCAAAATCAGTCCTGACTCCCACCGCTTCTCCCCACCTCCACCATCCCACCCTGGACCACCAGGCCACCCTCATCTTTCGCCTGGAATATTCCAGAGCCTCCTCACTGCCCCCGCCTCCTTCTCACCCTTTATGGGGCCATTTCTTCCATGACAGCCACAGGGCTCCTGTTAAACCCATTGGATCACGTCCTCTCTCTGCTCAAAACCCCCCAGCGGCTCTGTCATGCTTGAGTCAAATCCACACTCCTCACCATGGCACAAGGTCCTGCACGTGGTCCAGAATCTACCTAATTTTTGACCTCATCCCTGACTTCTCTTCCTACTGCCCACTCCACCCAGGCCCACCAGCTCCTCAGCTTCCTGCAGCCCACGCTCGGCCCACTCAGGTCCTGCCCTCTCTGGGACATTCTCCCCAGACATTTCCATGGCCCGCGTCTTAGCTGAGACTTCATAGAGAGGCCTTTCCCAGCAGTCCTCTTGGGATATCCCTCTCTCCTTATGCCTTTATCCCAAAAGCTGGTTACCTTCTCTCCATACCCCTTATTCACCTTACTTGATGCCCCAGGAGCCTGGTTTCTAGGTACCTTCCCCCAGCCTCCCTGGCTTCAGCCCACAGGCACTCTGGCAGGGGATACAGGACGGGAGTAAAGAGAGTTGCCCCAGGGTGCCAGGCAACAGCTGTGGCGTTGGCAGTAGCTGCAATTCTCAACACCCGCAGCTTCTGCAGCCCCTTCCCCTGGCTCACGTTCAACCAGGTTCTGATACACTACCTCCTCCTCTTGCCCCTTCAGGCCTTGGGAGGCTGGGGCTTGTCCCAGGGGCAGCACCCCCACCTTGGTCCCTGCAACCCAGCTCCACTGCTCATGGTCGCTGAACAGTCTCTTCCTTAACTCTCCCCAGTTCTTCTTTTTCATGAGGTTTTCCTGTCCCACCCTGAAGAGAAGAAGATTTAAAACACCGTCAAATGTGCCATGACACAGCATCAACTCATAAGATAGATGGCAATTTTAGAGATGTTAAAGATGCAGGAAAACGCACATCTTAGAGCCAACGAAAGGTATTAGACATTTACGTGTATCTTGTCTGTCTCTTTCACTCCTCCAGTGGGAACTCCATGAGGCAGGGACATTGTCTATTTTCCTGTTGACTTCTGAGAGACCAGAGCGATGCTCTGCTTGTGGCAGGAGCTCACTACATACTTTTTGTTTTTCTGTT
Organism: Homo sapiens; assembly: GCF_000001405.40. Classification (NCBI taxonomy): domain Eukaryota; kingdom Metazoa; phylum Chordata; class Mammalia; order Primates; family Hominidae; genus Homo; species Homo sapiens. Next base: position 47,851,101 of record NC_000020.11, on the reverse strand, counting down.
GTTGGGTTTTTTTTGTTTTGTTTTTGTTTTTGTTTTTGACACAGTGTTGCTCTGTCACCCAGGCTGGAGTTCAGTGGCGCGATCTCAGCTCACTGCAACCTCTGCCTCCTGGGTTCAAGCCATTCTCCTGCCTCAGCCTCCCGAGTAGCTGGGATTACATGTGCGCACCACCACGCCTGGCTCAGTTTTATGTTTTTAGTAGAGACGGGGGTTCGCCATGTTGGCCAGGCTGGTCTCAAACTCCTGACCTCAAGACGTCGCTAGATCGCTGTAAGAAGGTGATAAATGCTTGACCCAGCTCAGCATGTTTTGTGCCAGGGTTATGTTCTGAGATATAGGAGGGTTAACTAAGCTGGGGCTGTGGATTAGTTATACCCCCCAACCCCTGCCACCCTGTGCCTCAACCTCCCAAAGTACTGGGATTATAGGCATGAGCCACTGCGCCAGGCCAGTATTTGAATAAAAGATTGAATCAGTGAGAGACACCCAGCCTCTGGTAACTGGCCTCCAGTGAGCCCTCCTTTCTGGAACTCAGCTGTCCCCCACCATGTGGTACCATATTTGGTGGGGGTGACCAAGAGCATTTGGGAGAAGTGATGATGTGCCACTTCCAATATTAGGTTATAAAGGCAGCCGTTTCCATCTTCATCCTCTCTCTCTCTCTTTCTCTCTCAGAAGCCATGTGGTAGAGAGGCCCATGTGGTTAGGGACCAAAAACTCCTCCCAGTAGCCACGTAAATTATCCTGGAGGCCCATCTGCCTCGAGCTCTTACAAGTCTTAGAAGACTGCAGCCCCAGCCAACAGCTTGCCTGCAACCTCGTGACGGATTCTGGGAGCTCAGCTGCTCCCAGAATCCTGACCCTCAGAAACATATGAAATAATAAAAGTTTGTTGTTTTAAGTTACTAAGTTTTGGAAGTAATTATTTACAAAGCAATAGATAACTAATCCACAGCCCCAGCTTAGTTAACCCTCCTATATCTCAGAACATAACCCTGGCACAAAACACTTTGAGCCGGGTCAAGCATTTATCACCTTCTTATAGTGATCTAGCAATGTCTCGTCCTCTCCACTGCCAAGCCTTCCAGGAACAACTCCATTTTTCTCTTTCAGCCTGAGCCCTGGGCCCAGCTGAAGGTGGGGGCTTCCCGAGCATCCCCCCAGCCAAGATCCCTGTGAGCTTTGCCCTTCCCCAATCCTGACACTGTTGCTGGTTAACTTTCCTGCAGATCCTTCTACATGGGGCCCAAAAAGACTCAGGGAAAAGAAACAGACATTTGTTATGGTACATATACACCATGGAATAGTATGCAGCCATGAAACAGAAGGAAATCACGTCCTTTGCAGCAACATGGATGCAGCTGGAGGCCATTATCCTAAGTGATTTAACATAGCAACAGAAAACCAAATACAACATGTTCTCACTTATAAGTGGGAGCTAAACATTGGCTACACATAAACATAAACATGGCAATGATGGACACTGGGGATTACTAAAGGGGAAAAGAAGGGAGGGGGGAAAGGCTGAAAAACTACCTATTGAGGGGCCGGGCGCAGTGGCTTACACCTGTAATCCCAGCACTTTGGGAGGCCGAGGTGGGTGGATCACCTGAGGTTGGGAGTTCAAGACCAGCCTGACCGATATGGAGAAAACCCATCTCTACCAAAAATACATGGGAGGAGCAGGAGGAGGGGTGCCTCAGGGTTAATCCTGCCTCCCCACCTCCTCCTCACCCCACTCGCTGCAGGATAAATGGCCTCTGGGTCGAACACCTCACTACAGGATGTGTCTTAGCGTGGAGTTTATCAAATCGCAGGCTGTGATGCATTAGTGGGTCTTGAAATCAATTTAGAGTGTCGAGCCCCGCATTGAAAATCTGCAATAGACCAGGATAGACTAGGTCAGGAGACATCAGAGCGCATTGTGTGCAGCGGGGGTGAGTGCCGTTTGGGGAAACGTGCTGCGTTTCTGTATAAATGGATGTGCTTGTGTGTGTGCTGGGTGGCAGTTTGCAGTGGGTTTCTTACGGTGGGTTGCACTAAAAACGTTAGAGAATCTCTGTCTCACCGCCTTACGGTAACACAGAGGGGAATCACCTGGTGGTGATCATTTTCCTCAGAACCTTACATTTCCCTGATTTGAGACCTGTTTATAAGACTGAAAAACAGGTCTAAGCTGGTGCCAAGAGTTTTGGTTACGTCAGGGATAAGGCTGTGGCTCTCTCATCCCACAGTCCATGCTGAGGGGTGGAGGGGAATTGAACTGCAGGAAGTAGAAGTGATGAACATGCAAGAAATGAGACTGGGAAAGGGAGAGGCACGGAAGGCAAACAGAGGAAGAGGAAGGGACGTGGGGAGGGGTGGGTGACCGGGAGGGAGAGAAAAGGGGTGCAGGTCATTCCTGGAACTCAAGGAGCTGCCTTCCTGCATTGCTGAGTCAGTGCCACCTGGACTCAGAAACACTCATTGTCCATTCAGTGACCCCTTGGAGCTTTAAGAGCTCTGTTAGGATCTGAAATGTGTCCAGTAGATCTTTAGAGCCATTCAGTTTTCATCCCATGTGGGCTCTGGACACGTATGCGTGCAAACTAACACGCTTACACATATGCACACACAGATACACATGCCCACACACACTCATGCATCCATTTGCTCACACACAGATACCCTCATACATATACATATATGCACATGTGTGCCTACAATGCCCACGCATATATGCACACTGATACATACACACTCACACAGACACACTCATATGCACACACTAACACACATAGACACACTTATATGTACACTCACACACATGCTCACTCCTATATGCACTCTCCCACACCCACACACGCCCACGCACTCACAGACACAGTGAGTCAGGTGTATTTAATATGCAGTTCGTGCCTGTGCCTCCCCCCAGATCCCCATGTGACCTGCTCATCAGAGGAGGCCCAGAGTCCTGGGGGAACTCTGGTGTCCCTCCATGTGATCTCCATGACAACCCATCCTGCTACTGGTTTGTGAGTGTGAAAGCTTCAGGGCCCACATGACCTCCCACGTTAATTCATGCAGATCAGCTGTTCACTACTCAACGCTCTCACGTTATGTGAGGCAGCGAGGCACAAAATTAGCATCTGTTGTGAGAGGTGTATGTGTGTGTGTGTGTGTGGTGAGCTTGGCACACAGGATGAGGTTTGGGGCAAAAGAGAAAGATACAGCCAATAGTAATTGGATTACAGTTGTTGATTGCTTTCAAAGGACTTAACATAGAATATTCATCCCAAAGATATATTACATCTGGTGAATTCTAGAGCATCTCACAGATAGAATGGGGGTAAAAGAAGAAACAACACACTTGCAAATTTGATGAAATTTCCCACATGGTCCTGAAATCGCTGGTGGAATGGGGGATTGCAGTCCGGGTATGAGGCATTCGAGAGAATCTGAATGTGTCCCCCAAAGTGCTCCCCAGAGACTAGCACTGATCAGGCCGTGGAAAGCCCAAGGCCCTACACGACAGGTTCTGGGCTCTGCTTTCCTTGAACACCTGGTAGAGGGGCTGGGGAGAGAGGCAGAGGCTGAGAATGGCTGGAGACAAATGGTCAGATTCGGTTCTTTTATCTGTAGCAGGGACTCAAACCCAGGGTGTCCTGGCTGCTGGAAGGTTGAGCAATGCTGAGCCGTATTTCCACACATGGCTTCACTGGCAGAAGCAGGGCTGTCCTGTGGCCGAGAACCCCTCTTCCAGCCCTGCACGGGTCCCCTGACCCCTAGGCCTGCAGGCATTCACATACCCCCCTGCAAAGCCCCCAACCCTCCTTGGGCAAGGACAGGCACAGCTTCAGGACATCGTCCTCCTGCCCTATGTGGGCAGAGTTGAGACCCCAGAGCTGAGAGGGAGGCTCCCCAATACCCATCTCCCCGATAATGGCCAATGCTCCACAAAGGGTCACTTCCAAAGAATGCCAGGTGGCAGGCACCAGGTTTTGGCATCTGATATGCTCCCATCCGCTCCCTGGGTCCAAAGCATTCATCCTTTGTAATCTCTGACGGGGAACAACTGGCTGTTGTCCTTTAATTAGCAGGGGACACACTAAGCTATGGTCTCCTGCAGGCTCCATAAACATCCGTGAAATCAGCCTGGTGACTCCAAGCTCGGTGCAGACTGCGGGGACCCATAGTGGCCAAGACCCCGTCCCTGGTCTGGCTCTGCGAACAGCCTCCAGGAGAAACTGCCAAGCCGCTGGGACTCGTGGCAGCTGCTCAAGCTGGCAAGTTCTTTCTTGCAAATTGAGATCCAGGCTGCAATCTGGGCTGGCTCTGCACATTCTGGGTGCCCGTTATCTGCTGGTTGGAGCTGCCTGGACACCTCTGAGGGCTGCTTGTGCATGGGTGGGGGCTGCTTTTGAACACATGGCTGTCCCATGGGCCGCGCCTTCTCCACTTCTTCTGGCCTGATTAAATGATGGTTATTGCAGGGAGGATGCAGGGCCAAGCATCCTCTTATGCAGCACCATGAGATGCGGGGTGTCCAGTGTCCCAGGAGAAATTCCAGCCTCATTTCCCTCTGAGACACTGGGAAGAGGCCACGTGCAGTCTCAGTGCCCGGATCCCAGGTGCGTAGTCTGAGTCTGCATGAGGTGCCAAGGTCTGGCCCTGGGCTGTGTGGGATGAGATTGAAGTGTGTCTGATGGGAGGGCCCAGGTCGCACCCACCAGGTGCCAAGAGTGCACAGATGTAGACGCCAGTGCCTGCCCAAGTCACCCAAAACGGAGAAAGGGAGGCGCTGGGAAGCCCTCGGGCCAGAGGCTGATGACGTGGAATCCTCGAGGGGACTGCCTGCTGCTCAGGGTAGAAGGGGACATCCTAATGCGGCACCCATGACAGCCCCCCACCATTCCTGCCCCTCAGACCCACTGTCCCTGGAGACCTGCAGAGGGAACCACTGCTGAAGAGAAGGCGTCTCCGTCACTTGCTTTGTCTCCCCTTGGTCACCACAAAGACAGATGCTCCCAGCCCTCAGGTGACAAGCTTGTGTTTCTGCCCCCTTCTGATACCCCTGCTCTACGGGTGTGGCCACTGCTCCTGGCTTGCAGTGTCTGTGCGGCTATGACAGCCCAGGTTCCTCTCAGGGCGGGTGTCCCTCCTGCAGAAAGCTCACCCTGTCTCCTGGGCCCTGGCCCTGCTCCTGGACAGAGGAGGGAAGGACTGGGGTGGTGGCTGATGGATTCTCAGGTCACCTTTTTCCTGTATTCCCCTGGGCTCTTCCTTCAGAGCCTCCACCCTGCACCCTGATGACTCACTGCATCTCATGTAGGAAGCCCCCGGTGACATCTCATGCCCTGTACACAGGTCCCTGCAGCCTGGGCCCCTCCTCAGCTCTGCTGCCTCTGGCGGAAACCCCACTTTCACCCCTCCCTCCTTACGTCTGGCGGGGATTGCAGGGGGCTTGTTGGAGGGAAGCCACATGTGAGACCCACATGACACACCAACCTCCCACTGTGCAGACCGCACCCCATCTATTTTCTTCCGTCCCTTCTGCAGTCAACACAGCCCTGGCTCTGCATTCGGCCCTCTCTTCACAGGGCTGTGTCTGGGCAGATGGGGCTGGAAAACAACTTGCTGGGCCCAGCTGGGGTGTGTTGTGGATGTCACAGCCCGGCCTGTGCAACAGGAGGCTCCAGGATCCCTTTAGGGGTAGGGTAGGGGGCGGGGGAATGCAGGTTAAATGGGATGGGCAGGGGCAGGCAGGCAACAGGGGTGATTAATTTTTCTCAAAGCGTTGCCAGGCTACCTTTCAATTCCTTGTCTGTGGCCCAGGCCAAGGAAAGCAAATGTTCTGCTGCCAACCTGGCTTGTCTTTTAATCATACCCTTTGCTTGTCAGTTTAGACACCCTGGTATATTCTCATTGCTTTTTAGCAATCTTTGCAACTTGCTGGACTTTTCCACCCAAATAGGAACAGTAGATCATGTGTACTGTGTGCCAGGCACTGTGCTAAATGCATTAGCTATTTCAATCCTCACAATAGCCCTATGAGATGGGCACTATCATTATCCTTATTCTGTAGACGAGGAAATTCGCACAGAGAGGTTAATTAATTAGCCCAGAGTCACTCAGCTAGTGAGTGGCAGAGCTGAGATTTGAACCTAGGCAGCCTGGCTTCAGGGTCTATGCTCTTAATCTCTCACTGTAGGGGCTCTTAAGTGAGTTTCCAGCTTCCATGGCTTCAGTTGAAGGGACTTCTCTGTGGAGGCAGGGCTAGGAGGAATTTTATCCATGGGTCCTACAGCAGCCATCTAGAAGGATGGGATTGGCTGTGACTCAGACTCTACCCTTGGTGCTGCCTCTGCCTGGAGCTCTGTCCCCTGGCTCATCCCAGGATCTGCTCCGTCTCCCTCCTCAGGACTCAAGTGCAGCATTGCAGAGGATGTTTGCTGAGCACCTGCTATCTGCCAGGCACTGTGCTAGGTGCAGGGGATCTTGCAACAAACAAAATTCCTGCTTTTATGGAGCACACATTCAGTAAGTGGAGAGGGATAAACAAATCAGTGAAAGGTATGCATGTCAGCTGCTAATCCATGCTACAGGGAGACATTCAGCAGGCTTGGGGATAGGAAGCTCCAGGTATGTGGGAGGGTGTGTTAGCTTCCTGTGGTTGCTATGACGAATCACCACCAACCTGATAGCTTCACACAACACATATGGACTCTCTCCTAGCTCTGGAGGTCAGGAGTCTGCCGTCAGTTTCACTGGGCTAAGTCAAGGTGTCAACAGGGCTGGCTCCTGCTGGATGCCCTGAGGGCAGGACTCTTTGCATTTTCAGTGTCTGTATTTCCTTCCTTCTTTCCTTCCTTTCTTTGTTTCTTCCTTTCTTCCTTTCTTTCTTTCTTTTTCTTTCTTTCTCCCTTCCCTTCTCTTCCTTTCCTTTCTTTCCTTCCTCCCTTCCTTTCTCCCTTCTCTTTCTCCTCCCTTTCATTCCCCTTCCCTCCTTCCCTTCCCTTCCTTCTCCTCCCCTCCCCTCCTCTTTCTTTCTTTCTCTTTCTTTCCTTCTTTCTTCTCTCCCTCTCTTTCTCTTTCTCCCTCCCCTTCCCTCTCCTTCCCTCCCTCCCTCCCTCCCTCCTTCCCTTCCCTTCCTTCCCCTTCCCCTTCCACTTCCCCCTTCCCTTCCCTTCCCTTCCCCTTCCTTCCTTCCTTCCTTTTTTTTCCTCTCTGTCTTTGTCTCTTTCTTTTTTTTAGAGACAGAGTCTCGCTCTGTCACCCAGGCTAGAGTGCAGTGGTGCAATCTTGGCTCACTGCAGCCTCTGCCTCCTGGGTTCAAGTGATTCTCCTGCCTCGGCTTCCCAAGTAGCTGAGACTACAGATGCGCACCACCAGGTCCAGCTAATGTTTTTTGTATTATTAGTAGACACAGGGTTTCACCATGTTGGCCAGGCTGGTCTTGAAATCCTGACCTCAAGTGATCTACCCGCCTCGGCCTCCCAAAGTGCTGGTCTGGCCTGTATTTTCTTTTGAGCCCCTCATACTCCTGGGAGCGTGGCTCCTTCCTCCATCCTCAAGCACATGATTCCAGTCTCTGCCCTGTCACTACAGCTCCTCTGACTCAGACCCTCCTGCCCTCCTCTTATAAAGACCCTGTGATTACACTGGGCCCACCCAGGTCATCCAGAGTCATCTTTCCATCTCAAGATCCTTCACTTTACACCAGCAAAGCGCCTTTGCAATGGACATACACACAGGGCCCAGGGGTTTTAATGTGGACACATATGGGGGGCCCTTGTTCAGCCCCCTATGGAAGGTGGTTGTTGATTTTCAGTAGGATGGTCAGGGAAGACCCTGCTGAGAAGCCACCATTTGAGCCAAGACTGGAGGAGCTGAGGCTGCGGGCCAGGATGACATCGAGGGTGGAGCCTTCCAGGCAAAAAAACAGTGAGTACAAAGCCAGCAACAGGTGTGCTGGCATGTTCCCGGAAAACCGGGGAGGGAGCCACAGCTGCGGCCGAGTGAGGAGAGGAGCAGCGGGAGGTGAGGCCAGAGAAGCCTTGGAGGCAGAAGCTGCGGGCCTCATGGTTATCATGAAGCTCCGGGTTTTACTCTGAGTACGCGGGAGCCATGGAGAGTTCTGAGCAGAGGAAGCACAGGACCTGACCTGGGTTTCACAGGCTTCCTCTGGCTGCTGTGTGGAAAATAGGTAAATAGGGCAAGAGTGGAAGAAGGGAGGCCTGTCGGGAAGCTTTTGCACAATGGCCCGGGTGAGAAAGACTCATGGCTTGGAGCAGATGCTGGGATGTGTCCCCCACATCCCCTTTCAGGAGCAGGCACGCATGCCCCACTGCCCAGGGGGTTGCCTGCTGAGAGCTCACAGCTGAGACCCTCCCCAGAAAATGCCCCTGGCTGACAGGAGCTGCTTTGCCCAGTCACCCTTCCTGGGGTCCCTCCATCTCCAAAGACTAGTAGTAAACACAGGGGTCTAAAGGTCCAGCCCCTTGACTCAATTCTTCGCAGTTCTGAAGGGCCGTCTTCACTGCAGACTTCCTCGAAGGATGGATTGCAAAGTCATGTGTAGAGTGTGCAGGGCTCGGGTGAATGTCTATATGTCTCTCTATATTTTAGGATCGCTGTCTACATTAGCAATTTGTTTAAAAATATATTTCAAAATTCCTGTGCCCACGTGAGGTCTAGTGATTTATCCATGAAGGTATAGAATAACGGATAGAGAAGGGATACTTATGTGGTTTGTTGTCCGACAGATCGTGTGAAAGTTTTTCGTCATGTCCAGGCACCACCTCTTCCCGGTCAGGCCCACGTTACATACGAGGACAATGGAACAAGTCAAAGGCAAAGCAACACGTCCCCCTGTAAAAACTGTCAGTGTAACCGTCCACTTCCGTATCTGTCCAGTCACTTAACAAACATTGACGGACCACCTTTAAACACAGGCTGCTGTGCTGGTGTCTGGGACACAGCGGTGAGTAAGAGCCATCTGATCTCATGACACTCTCAGGAAGTTCCAGTCTATGAGGATGGACAGCATGCAGGTCAACACATAAACATCATTCAGACTGTGAAAAATACAACAAAGGACACAGATTGGGAGATGGGATAAAGAGTCATGGGGGTGGAGCTACTGTCTCATTTTGGGTGGTCTGGGAAGGCCTCTCTGAGGAGGTGACATGTGGGCTGAGTCCTGAAGGATAAGAAGGGGCTGCCATGGGTGATTTGAGGGAACAGTGTGCTAGGTGGGAGGAACAGCAAGTGCTAAGGCCAGAGATCAGGCAGATCAGAGATGAGGCCAGGGTATCTAAGAAGTCAGGAGAGTGCTAAGAGATGGGGATGCAGAGACACTGTCAGGTGAAAAAGAAAGAGAAGGGAGCCAGGTGTGGTGGCTGACACCTATAATCCCAGCACTTTGGGAGGCAGAGGTGGGCAGGTTGCTTGAGCCCAGGAGTTTGAGATCAGCCTGGACAACGTGGCCAGACCTCATGTCTAAAAAAAAAAAAAAAAAAAAAAAAAAAAAAACAGACGTGGCACATGCCTGAGGTCCCAGCTACTGAGGAGGCAGGAGGATCATCTGAGCCTGGAAGGTTGAGGCTGCAGTGAGTCAAGATCATGCCCCTGTAATCCAGCCTGGGTGGGTGACAGAACAAGAACCTGTGTCAAAAAAAAAAAAAGAAAAGAAAAGAAAAAAAGGAAAGGGAAGAGAATTGTCACATTTTATTGCGACGACAGTGTTTTGTTTATTTAAAATATTTTCTCTCCCCTTTGAGTCCAGCCTGACACTCAGGAGATGGGGAGAGCCTTCCTCTCACTCCGCCTCAGGAGGAGCTCGAACCTGCTCCCTTAAATCTCCATCAGCTCCGCAAGCACTTGGGCTCTGCTGGCTGTAACGCTGCTCCCTGTTTACCAGAGGCTTTTGCTGGCACATGTATCACTCAGACTCTGAACTAGATCAAGCCACAGAAAACTTCGATTCATGGAGCTGCTGGTCCCCATTACCACAAGATATGCATTCTTTCTCTTTGATAAGGAATTAAGGTGCCATATTCAAACTTTAATCTGTAAATACAGGTAAATAAAACATGATTACAGAAATCATTTTCAATAAAAATCCATCTTGAGCTTAAGTTTCTGCCTTACTGAATTCAACTTTTGAGAGTGGGTGGTTGTGCCTGCTGCAGATAATTGTGACCCTGAATAGCTGGAACTGTGTTCACTGTGAACCAATGTTTCCTCTGAGAGCCCCAAAGACCCTGAGTGTGAATCGCTTGAGTGGGTGGGGTCTCTTACCCTGTGAGTCCTCCCACCAGGGGCCCCATCCTTCCACCCATCTTTCCTCGGGCCTGTTTCCCTTGAGGTCTGAGCTGGGGTGCCCAGTGAGGGGTCATCCTTGCTGTGAGATAAAACCGAGGTGTGACTCCCCATCTCCATGCAGGGCCCTAGAGGGTGTGCGCAGCTTCAACCATCTGATCAAGGGTGGATTCAACTCCCTGCTCAGGGCAGCAGCTCGTGGTTCATTCAGCTCCAGCGACGTCTCGATGGGGATAAGGTAAGGGGCACAGAGAACCAAAGATTGGGTCTGATGGGATTAAACCCCCAACTGGTGTCCCTGTGTCTTCTCTTTCCTGACACCAGACGCCAAGAAGAAAGAGCCACAAACACACCTGTCAGTGAATTCCAAAGGGTGAGCTGGGGGCCAGGCGGCCTCTGAAGTCTCCACATGGGTTTTGAGCTTTTGCTTTTTTGAAGCAGCAAATCTGCTCTGGGCTAGGAATTGGTGTTTGCTAAATGCACAGGTGGTCTGGAGTGATGTTTTCCTTCTTTAGCAAAGTAACACATGCTCCTTACAGAGAGTTAGACATGCAAAGAGGCAGGCATGTTTTTTAAGGATAAGTTAAACATTCAACAGGTTCTCGGGCACTGAATGAAAGGTGTCCCCGCAAGTCAGCCCCTCAGCCCCCCAGTTTCTTCTTGGAGAAGCCAGTGCAGGGCTCCGCGTTGGGGGCCAGTGGGTAGGAGGCTATCTCAAGACACCAGGAGGCGATTAGAGGGTCTCAGTCCATTTTGATACCTGTGCTCGGGGGTTGTTGGCTTGGACTGGACTCCTGGCAGCACCCAGTGAGAAAGGGACAAATCAGGCTGTGACTCTGGCCGTTTTCTCCTCTGCGACTATGATTCCTTTGCTGCACCCCCTCTTTCTGGCCCATCCACAGAGCACAGACCTGTCCTTGCTGGCTGACATTTCCCTGCTCCCTGAGGCCTGGTGTGTACCCTGGGGATGCTCAGAGAGTGTCCCTGGATTGATTTCAGGGCCCTCACTTCTTGGAGGAGATGTCATTCCCTGCAGAGCTCCATTCACCTGCTCTGAGCACTCCTCATCCTGCCCAAGGACGTGCTCTCTGGTTTGGCTGGAAAGAATGACCCCACCATGCCAACTCTGGGATTCAGGCAAATCAGAGCTGCTCAGCCCAGGCTGCGTTGTCCAGCTGGCCCAGGTGTTTGTACTGAAACACAGCTGTGTGCCCACTGGTTGGTGCAGAGATGCTGTCTCTATCCCTATGGAGACCCCGTACTGGCACCCCAAGATACAGCAGCACAAGGGGCACAATTGCTGGCCCAGCAGAAACCTGAGGACCCCACACTCGAGCTACGGTCAGTGTCCACGATGACTGGCCAGCCACCAAGTGAACAAGGACAGAGGCGTGGGCAGACGTGCTGTGGCCTCTCAGTACTGGGTGTGTGAGTGGCCAGAGAGGGGGTCTAGATGCCCCAGGTGTCTTCACACCCAGACCAGGGTTTGCCAGACCCTGATGGCCCTGAGAGTCCTGACCAGACCCCCGAAGGCCAACCCAACATGCTGGGAATGACCATCGGTGCCAAGCGGGCCTTGGACAGCTGGGGAAGGGCTGTCACCTCAAATGTCCCACTACCTGGCTCCTCCTCTTTCCTCAGGGACCCGAATCTGCCCGCTGGGCACAGGTCCTCACACAAAGGCTGGTCCAGGAAAAACAGGACCACATTGCCAGGCGGCCTGTCCTTCCCCTCCCCACAATCTGTGCTCTAATTACAGAAATGACGGGCTCATGGCCAGAGACGCCAAGTAACAGAGAAAGAGAATAAAGTAGAAAATAAGAATCATTCCCCAACCTACCCCCACACGGAGCTGCGTTTTAAATAACTAAGCTCCTTGATTGTGTCTGTGTGGAGGCCTGAGTTCCTATAACCGAGGCTGTTTTCTCTTTTTTTTTTTTTTTTTTTTTTGAGACAGAGTCTCACTTTCTCACCCAGGCTGGAGTGCAGCTGCCCGATATTGTGACCTCTACCTCCTGGGTTCAAGTGATTCTTGTGCCTCAGCTGGGCACCACCATGCCTGCTCATTTTTGTATTTTTAGTAGAGACGGGGGTTTCACCATGTTGGCCAGGCTGGTCTAGAACTCCTGACCTCAGGTCATCTGCCCACCTCAGCCTCCCAAACTGCTGGGATTACAGGCATGAGCCACCGTGCCCGGCCTTGTCTGTTTTCTCTTCATGAGTGCCCGGTGTCAACGGGAGAAGCAGCACTGGCCTGAGCCTCTAAGCCAAAGCGTCCGGGCACAGCTGGGGACAGGCAACATGGACCCGGTCACTGTGGTCCTAATGGTAGATTGTGGTCCTGTTGGCATAGGCGGCTCATCACGATTTCACCTGTAGCTGCTTTATGGAAGGTCTGAATTGGATAGGAGCAGAAAACAGCTTCATTGTTCTCTAGCCGCTGCATTCCAGCAGCTTCTGTGAGGCAGGGGCCAGATTAGGGTGAGTGAGTGAGGCCAAGTCATGCAAATACAGGGTCAAATTGTGTCTTAGTTGAAATGTTGATAACTTTCCCATTAGGGTTTTTTTTTTTTTTTTTTGCATTGAATTTAACTTTTGAAAAAAATTCTGCACTAAAATATTATTTATTTTGATCCGTGAATTTTTTGGTGCCCCCTTAAATTTTATGCCTCATTTGCTGCATCCTGATAATCCAGAGATGAGCGCCTCCCTCCCCTGCCTCGCCCTAGTCCCCATCCTGCTGATAGGTCTCTGGTCTCTGCTCCTTGATGACATCTGGGGAAGTTTTCCTAGGATTTTGGTCACCTTGATTTATAATAGCAGACTTGCTAATAATGAGTGGAATATGGCCAGGCGCCGGCTCATGTCTGTAATCCCAGCACTTTGGGAGGCCAAGGTGGGCAGATCACTTGAGGTCAGGAGTTCGAGACCAGCATGGTCAACATGGTGAAACCCTGTCTCTACTGAAAATACAAAGATTAGCTGGGCCTAGTGATGGGTGCCCGTAATCCCAGCTACTCAGGAGGCTGAGGCAGGAGAATCACTTGAACCTGGGAGGCGGAGGCTGCAGTGAGCTGAGATCATGCCACTGCACTCCAGCCTGGGAGACAGAGCAAGACTCTGTCTCAAAAAAAACAAAAACAAAAATGAATGGAATAGCTCATGTTTCGGTGTTACAAAATCCAGGCCAGACAAGTCTCAACTTTAATCTCACGCCCAGTTCCTAGGTTAGTCCCTTCTCCAGCTCAAATTCAGCCTAAGCCTCAGGGGTCCTTGGTCGGGGTGGCACCACCTGCTCCCTTCCCCAACTTTGTTCCTGTTTTTAATCTGCTGGGGCTGGGTGCATTCAGAGGTAGGGACAGGCTGAAGGTCTTCAGCTTTTTGGTTCTGTTGATGGGTGAGTTCCAAATACTAGCTTTCTCTTGTAGGATATTTCATTTATTTGTTAAAAATATTTATTTAGAACACACCATTCATGTGCCAGACGCTATTCCAGCCACTGGGGATAGGGTGATAAATGAGATAAACAAAAATACTCGCCCACGTTAAGCTCCTATTCTAGGGAAGAGAGGAAAAAAAAGAAAATACATGTGTACTTAGTACATTAGAAGGTTCCAAGTACTGTTAAAAAAAATAAAGCAGGCTGGACTCAGTGACTCATGTCTGCAATCCCAGCATTTTGGGAGGCAGAGGTGGGCAGATTGCTTGAGCTCAGGAGTTCGAGACCAGCCTGGGCAACACAACAAAACCCCGTCTCTACAAAACAAAAACAAAACATTTAGCTGGGTGTGGTGGCATGTGCCTGTCATCCCAGCTACTGAGGAGGCTGAAGTGGGAGGACTGCTTGAGCCTGGGATGCAGAGGTTGGAGTAAGCCAAGATCACAACATTGCACTCCAGCCTGGGTGACAGAGTCAGACCCTGTCTCAAAGAAAAAAAAAAAAAAAAAACAGGAAAAAGAAAGCAGAGATGGGGACTAGTGGGGAGGGGGCTGGGGATGAGAGCCTCCCTGAGCTTCCACAGTTCTTCCTGCTCCTCTCCTATCTCACTGGGCACGGGCCACCTGGGGCTTCTGGTTGTTTTGTGCCAACTTAATATGTTGTTCTTGCCAACAGTCAGAGGCCAACTGAGGCTTCTCTGTCTTCCACAAGGAACAGCATTGGCCTAAACCTGCAGGCACCATTGCAAAGGGGAGTCAGCTCAGGTAAACCCGCTGGTGAAACATGATTCCAGCGTGGGGACACAGAGGCTGATGTATCTTGCTGTAGGTGATTTAATGTTGGGCCTCACTATTTCACTACCCCTGTAAGAGTATGACACATCCACGTCCTTACCAGGGCCCGAGGGAGGGTGGATAGACTTATCCATCCCATAGGTATTGCTCGTGGCTGGGTAACTTGCTTATGCCAACAAGATTTTTTCATAGACACGGCACAGGCAGAAGCCTGGAATGTGTTGGCACTGCCAGGCCTGCCCTCTAATGCTCTTGATTTTTCCCACGAGACGAGCGTGCCCCAGGGAACTTCGGCTCCAGCTGCAGGATGAGAGGCGTGTGGAGCACGCAGGGTTCCAACCCTCAGCCTGGAGTCAAGCCCAGACTAGATCAGCCTAAGCCCAGCCAAGCCACAGGTGCAGGAGTGAAAAGCAAATGCTAACTGTCCATGACATTGACTTTCAAAGGGGCATGTCATGTTATGTGGCTCATCCCAGCAACAATGAAGATATTTCTCCATCAGTCAGTCGGTGAATAATTATTGACAATGTGCTAGGAAGGTGGAGTGATTGGAGTAGATTTGGTCCCTATTCTCATGGAGCTTACTTTCTAGAGGGGAAGACAGATGATAGGTGAATAAATATAAATTATTCTATTAGGTTGATGCAGCAGTAATTCCGGCTTTTGCCAGTAAAGGTAATGGCAATCAAAAGCGGGAGGAGCCGGAGCTGCCATTCATTAAAAGCAATGACAAAACTGTGATGACTTTTGCACCAACCTAATAGAATAAATTACGAGTGCGCAAAACGCTGTGATGGGAAAGTTCCAAGTGCCAGGATAGCATCTAGCTTCCTGGAGTCAGGAGATGGGGGTTTTCAACCTGAGCAAGGTTAAGTCCAAGTGGTGGGGGCAGGCGGGGGGCGATATTTCAGGGGAGACTCCAAGGATGAACGGAAATTAGAAAAGTGAACGCAGATGGTGAGGGGGGAAGGGTTTCAGGCACAGAGAACAGCATGTGCAAAGGCCTGGGGGGAGGACTTCGTGTGTTCATGGACTGAGGGGCAGCCAGCAGGCTGGAGCTGAGCCGGTGGAGAGGAGGATGGGGAGCCGGGGAAAGGCGCTCCACGCAGGGGGCACAGCAGGGGCAAAGGCCCGGAGTCAGGCCTGAACCTGTGTGGTTTGAGGAAGTGACAGAGGCCTGTCTGGGAGGAAAGTAACAGCAGAGGGGAGACCATAAGGTCAGGGCAGAGGGCAGGGCCGTGCTGGGCACTGTGGGCTGTGGATAGGACCTGGCACGTATGCTCGGGTGAGGGGAACGTGTTAGAAGATTTTAAGAAGGGCAGGAACATCTGGGGATAATGTGTATTCTAGGAATCTCAACCAAGTAAATTCATAGTTTGAATGTTCACAAGACTTCTGCACAGGCAAAGTGAAAGATCGTTTCTAGAGCTGTGAGATAAGATCATAGTAAAAAAGAACTACTAAGTTTTTAAAGGTTATTTCAAATGATGGATTTCCATCTTACAAATGAATGCAAGCAGGTTGCAAGGTTGATGGAAAGTAGAAAAGTTTTCTGACTTGCGTGAACAGAAAAGAAACATCAATTTGAAAGGAAAACATTTATTTATTTACTTCCTCTACAGTTTTCCTGACTGCTACATTTCATGAGAAGGGATTGTTTATGAGGGTCAAGGAGCTGGAGGCCTGGGGAGGAGCTGGTGTTTCTGTTCAAGTTTGAGGGTCCTGGAGCTGGAGTCCAGGGGAGGAGCCGGTGCTGCCACTGATGTCTTAGGGTCGTGGAGCTGAAGATCCCAGAGGAGCCGGTGCTGCTATTCTAGCTTGAGTTTCGTGGAGCTGGAGACCCAGGGAGAAGATGGTGCTGCTGTTCTAATTTAAGGATCGTGAAACAGAAGACCCAGGGAGGAGCCATGTTGGTTTGAATGTTGTGGATCTGGAGATCCACGGAGGAGCTGGTGCTGCCTTTGAAGTCTGAGAGTCACTTAGCTGGAGATCCAGAGAGGAACCGGTGTTGCTGTTCTAGTCTGAACAGATCTAGAGTTCTGGGGAGTTGCCGGTTCTGCCTCTCAAGTCTGAGAGTTGTTGAGCTGGAGATTCAGGGAGGAGCCTGTGTTGCTGTTTTAGTTTGAGGGTCATGGAGCTGCAGACTCAGGGAGGAGGGGTGCGGTTCTAGTCTGAGGGTTGTGGAGCTTGAGACACAGGGAGGAGCTGGTGCTGCTGTTGTTTAAGGCTGAGGGTTGTGGTGCTGGAGACCCAGGTAAGAGCTGGTGCTGCTGTTGTTTAAGGCTGAGGGTTGTGTAGCTGGAGAGTGGGGAGGAGGTAGTCTTAGTGTCTAATGTGAGGTTGGTGGAGCTGTGGACCTGGGGTGGGGCCGGTGCTACTGTGTAGTTTGAGGGTCATGGAACTGGAGACCTAGGGAGGAGCTGGTGCTACCACCATTTAAGTCAGAGGGTCATGGATTTGGAGCTTTGGGGAACAGCCCATGCTGCTGTTTAACTGTGGGGAGGATCTGCTGTGTCCGTTGAAGTTTGAGGGTTTGGGAGCTGGAGACCCAGGGAGGAGCTGATGATGCCATTCTATTTTGAGGGTCGTGGATCTGGGGACCTGGGGAGAGGCTGGTACTGCTGTTGTAGTTTGAGGTTCGTGGAACTGGAGACAGGGGGAGGAGCCGGTGGTGCTGTTCATGTCTGAGGGTTGTAGAGCTGGAGACCCAGGGAGAAGCCCGTACTACAGCTTTTTAAGTCTGAGGGTCGTGGAGCCTGAGACCTGGGGAGGGGCCAGTGCTGCTGTTCAAATGGCTCCTTTCCGGGTCTCCAGCTCCATGACCTTCAAACTAGGAGAGCAGCAGCAGCTCCTCCCGCGGTCTTCCAGCTCCATGACCCTCACACTAGAACAGCAGCAGCAGCTCCTCCCGGGGTCTTCCAGCTCCATGACCCTCACACTAGAACAGCAGCACCGGCTCCACCCTGGGTCTCCAGATCCACGACCCTCAAAGTAGAACAGCAGCACTGACTCCTCCCCGGGTCTCCAGCTCTACAACCCTCAGACTTGAGGAGCTGGAGACTCGGGGAGGAGCCAGGGCTGCTTTTCTACTTTGAGGGTTGTGGAGCTGGAGACCCAAGATGCAGCAGCTGCTGCTATTCTAGTTTGAGGGCCTTGGAGCCAGAAACTTTGTGAGGAGCCGGTGCTGCCTTTCAAATCTGAGAGTCATTGAGCTGGAGACCCAGGGAGGAACCGGTGTTGCTGTTCTAGCCTGACAGTAGTGAAGCTGGAGACCCAAGGAGGAGCCGGTGCTATTGTTCATGTCTGAGGATTGTGTAGCTGGAGACCCAGGGAGGAGTCGGAGCTGCTGATCTAGTTTGAAGGCTGTGGAGCTGCAGATCCCAGGAAGAGCCGGTGCTGCCGTTCAAATCTGTGGGTCTTGGAGTTGGAGCCCTGGGGTGACCCAGTTCTTTCATTCATGTCTTAGGATCATGGAACTGGAAACCTACGGAGGCGGCGGTACTGCTGTTCTAGTTTAAGGATCGTGAAGCTGGAGACCTGGACAGGAGCTGGTGCTACCGCTGTTCAAATCTGAGGGTCATGGAGCTGGAGTCTTGGGGAGGTGCCGGTGCTGCCTCTCAAGTCTGAGGGTTGTTGAGCTGGAGATTCAGGGAGGAGCCGGTGTTGCTGTTGTTGTTGGAGGATTGTGGAGCTGGAGGCCAAAGAGGAGCTGGTGTTGCAGTTCAATTTTGACGGTCGTGTAGCTGGAGACCTAGGGAGGAGCTGGTGCTACCACTGTGTAAGTTGAGGTTTGCAGAGCTGGTGGCCACGGGGAAGAGCCAGTGCTATAGCTGAAGTTTGAGGGAACTGGAGACCCAGGGAGTAGCCGGTGCTGCTTTCTAGTTTGAGGGTTGTGGAGCTGGAGGCTTGGTGGGGAGCCGGTGCTGCCTCCCAAGTCTGAGAGTCATTGAGCTGGAGATCCACAGGGGAGCTGGTGCTGCTGTTGTAGTTTGAGGATTGTGGAGCTGGAGACCCGGGGCGGAGCTGGTGCTGCAGTTGGAGTTTGAGGGTCAGGGAGCTGGAGATCTGGGGAGCGGCCAGTACAGCTGTTTAAGCCTGAGGGTCGTGGAGCTAAACATGGAGCCAAAGTTGGGGAAGCAGAGAGAGAGAGTTACAGGATGACCCTGGAAATGGTAGACGTAGCTGTACCCCAAGCAAGCTAAGCTTGGGAACTCCTCAATGCTAGTGATGAATGCATTCTTTTTCCTCTTACACAGTTTGGATTTGTTTTCTGTGTCTCATGAGACAGAAAGATCTTGATTAATACCCTTAGGAATTGAAAAGCTTAAAAAACTAAAGGATGTTGGTAATAAAAATAATAAGAATTAAACCATGATTATCCTGGCTGACAGAGACAAAATCACACACACACAATATATATCTTTCAATCAGTTAGCAAAATTAAAAAAAATGGAAAAATAGACGCAAGCAAAGCTATAAAAAGTTGTTTCATGGAGAAGCGATGGAGGACAGCGATTAATCTGAGAGTTGCTATTAATGGAGAAACTGAGAACTTACCATTTTTCCCATGAGGTTTTGGTGTAGAATGATATTGTGTGAGTTCTGGCAGCTGAGTCACTTCACACAGCCCGGTGATGCAGTAGGTGTCACAGAAGGACCCTCTCCCAGTTAGTTCTGCCTCACTGCTCCGGTGAGTGCGGCCTCTGATCCCCAACAGCTGACTGTGTGTTGAGACCACGCCCATGAGCACAAGGGTTTCCACGGTGAAGGTTCCTGGATGGAACACTGTGGATGTCCCTAATGTTCCTTCCTGATGTTCATCTGCCATCTTGCTATTTAATGCAATGTCTTCTAAATATTGAATAGAAAAAAGTATTTGTACAATATGGGCAAGGTATAAAGAATATCCACACACTGGACACACAGACAGAGAGGGGCACCCACAGCAAACTCCCTTTGCCTGGGAGCAGGTGTGGTCCTTGAGTCCTATGTTGCCTGTTTCTTCCTCCGCCTTGGCCTACGGGCCCGATGTGATCTGACCTCTGCCTGCCTCTCCGACTCCATCCCCCCTCCCGCTCCTGTTCTTTCTAACAATTATGTTACAGCCTCAGTGAATGTGACAAGGACCCTGAATGACGGTGGCTTTACTAAGACAGAGGTTCATTCCTTTCACATGAAAGTCCAAGCCAGTCGGGTCATTCTTCTCTGTGCATTTTTCAGGGTCTTAGGCTACTTCCATCTTGCTGCTCTGACTTCCTTAGGGTATAGCTTCCCCCACAGTGTCCATCCTATCTACTGCCAGCCAGCAGGGAGGGGAGAAGAGAACAAGAGGACACAAATCTTCCTTCCTCTAATGGCAGTTGCTGTGCACTGGCCTCATGTGCATTGGTCACTGCCTGGTCACGTGGCCTCTGCTTGCTGCTAGGGGTGCTGGGAAGTTTTCATCCTGGATGCCAGTGCCCACCTGGGTGACTCCTGAGGTTGAGGGGAGAGAGGACATGAAAGAGAGTCACTGGCTCTTCCCACCATCATGCATGTCGTTCCAGTCTAGGGCGACCCACTGCCTCAGCTTGCTCAGGACTGAGGAGGGTCATGGGGCACAGACCTCTCAGTTTTATAACAGGGCAGTTTCAGGCAAATCATCCCAGCTTGGCTGAGACTCAGAATTTTCCTGGGATATGGGATTTCTAGTGTTAAAACTGAGAAAGTTCTGGGCAAACCTGGACAAGTTGGTGCCTGCCATGGGGCCTTTGCATCTACTGTTACCCCTGTCTGGGATTCCCTTTCTGCAGCTCTGTGTGGTGCTCACTCCTTTTCTGTTGAGGAAAGGCTGCTCTCTGGGTGTCCCCGGGTGCCTGTTCCGCTCTACTCAGCACTACATGCTCTGTGAATATCCCTCCATGCACTTCGTAGAATGAGATCTGTTCTTTCCACCCTTGCCTGCCCACTTCAGTTTCAAAGTCTCTGAGGATTATTCATTTTTATTCTCTTCAGCACTGAAAGATACATCTCTTTCCCTAAGGCTGTGGCTGGGTTCACGCATAGTTAGATAAATCTGATATTAATAATAACCCGAATGAAAAACATGTATTGAATCCCAAGATTATGATGTAGGAAGCACGGATTCTGAAGAGATGTCTAAGCCTAATAAAGGCCAAAGGGTGTGGATTAAAAGGAAATGTGGGGTGGAGAAACATTTCATGAAATAGAACCCCACCTCTTGGGTGAGTTCGTTGGTACAACTTTTCTAGAGGGCAATTTTGCAACTGGCCAATGAAGGTGCGTAACTTTTGGTCCCAAATTTCATTTATAGGCATTGATCCCTAGGAAATAGTCAGAAAAATATGCAAAGATGAATCTCAAGGATTTTTATAAGAAGAAAGAAGTAGGAAGCATAAATGCCCACTGGTGGTCCCACACCCTGGCACCAGTGCTCCCCTCTCCTAGTGGGCGGGCACAGGCTACATTTTCCCAGGCTTCCTTGCAGTGAGTTGTGGCCATGTGACCAGGTTCTGGCCAATGGGAGGCAATAAAAGTGTTGGGTGGTATTTTTGGAGACCCCCTTCTGTAACTTCTGTCTTGATATGGTTTGGATGTTGGTCCCCTCCAAATCTCATGTTGAAATGTGATCCCTGATGTTGGAGGTGGGGCCTGGTGGGAGGTGTTTTGGTGATGTGGGCAGATCCCTCTCACAATGGCTTGGTGCCATCCTGATGGCAATGACTGAATTCTTGCTCTGAGTTTATGGGAGATCTGGTTGTTTAAAGGGGTTGGCACATCCTCCTCCCTCTCTTGCTCTTTCTCTCGCCATGTGATGTACCTGCTTCCCTTTCACCTTCTGCCATGATTGGAAGCTTCCTGAGGCCTCCCCAGGAGCAGATGCTGGTGCCATGCTTGTACAGCCTGCAGAACTGTGAGCCAATTAAACCTCTCTTCTATAAATAACCAGCCTCAGGTATTCCTTTATAGCAACGCAGATGGACTGACACATATCTTTAATGTCATTTCTTAGTTGTTCCATCCTTTGACCTGCTTCCTGGAATAAGCGTATGATGGTTGGAGCTATTCTTGTCACCTTGAACCTTGAGGATTAGGCTTCTACCCTGCGGATAGCAGAATGTCCTCTGGAAGGAAATGAAAGTCCCTAACGCCACCCTAGACTGAGAACCTCCAGTTTTGTTTTTACTTTTTTATTTTTTGAGACAGACTCTTGCTCTGTTGCCCAGGCTGGAATGCAATGGCGTGATCTCAGCTCACTGCAACTTCCGCTTCCTGGGTTCAAGTGATTCTCATGCCTCAGCCTCCCGAATAGCTGGGATTACCGGTCCGTGCCACCATATTCAGCTAATTTTTTTTATTTTTAGTAGAGACAGGGTTTCACCATGTTGAGCAGGCTAGTCTCGAACTCATGACCTCAAGTGAAACACCTCAGCCTCCCAAAGTGCTGGGATTACAGGCGTGAGCCTCTGTGCCCGGCCCAGTCTTGGTTTTCATGAGATAAACTTCTGTCTTGGCTGAAGTTAAATCACTGATAGGTGATATGACCATAACTGGATAAAAAGTAGGAAATTCATGTAATACTTATATCTACATATGCCCATACCAAAAATGATAGTGATCTGTTGTTATCTATGTGTAAATATGGACACAAAATATTGTTTAGTGTAAACAAAGCTCTTCTTTTTTTTTTTTTTTTGAGACAGAGTCTCACTCTGTTGTGCAGGCTGGAGTGCAATGGTGAGATCTCGGCTCACTGCAACTTCCGCCTCCTGGGTTCAAACAATTCTCCTGCCTCAGCCTTCTGAGTAGCTGAGATTACAGGCACATGCACCACATCCAGCTATTTTTTTGTATTTTTAGTAGAGCTAGGGTTTCACCATGTTGTCCAAGCTGGTCTCAAACTCCTGACCTTCAGTGATCTGCCTGTGTTTACAGGCATGAACCACTGCACCTGGCCCATAAAGCTGTATTCTATTTTAATGAAGCAAAAATGCATAAGTGTGTAAGTGTGATCATATGTGTGTGTATGTCTAACAGGAGCACTACATAGCAAAATGCGAATGCTGCTTATCTTTGGTGTTGGTATCACGTGTGATTTAAAATCTTGTTTTCTTCTATTTTTAAAAACTTTCAAAATGAGTCATGACTTTGATTATTAGAAAAGAAATCTATAACAATTGAGAGGAAAGAAAACCCCACCTGTTGTTGAAACTGGCTGGAGCTGGGAGAAATGAGAGATTCCTTTGCAGGTGTCACCTCCCTACCAGAAAACTGGCCTTGCAGGAATGTCCCACAAGCCAGATGTGTCTCTTTCCCCCAGTCCCTGTGCCTGGTGTGAGGTCGTACAGACAGTGAGCGTCCTTCACAGAGTCTGACCTGCCAAGGTAGGGGGGAAGTGGGGGTTTAGTGACATTCAAAACCCGGGGGAGCCGAACAGGTGTGACTGTATGTTTGCAGGGTGACCTCTCCCCTCAAAGAGCAAGAAATAACTCTAGTGCAATTTCCAAACATTTACAAGAGAGGATTTTTAAACTTTTCACTTCTTTATTCCAAGTAGCACATTTGGAAGCACAAAATGCACAAAGAAGACCTGCTATTTACAATCACTTTCACTAAGCCAGTGTTATATTCAAAAACAGCAGATAAAGCTCATGGCTTTGATGAAAGGGGCAGTCTTTTCATTGGAAACAATTAATACTGCTCCCCGTTCTGGGGAGAATTTAAAGAAAATAATTTGGAAGGGGATATGGCTTGATACAATCAAATGATTTCAGATCACAAATGTAATCATTTGATCTTGCTTTAAAACCAAACATTTCAGAACAATCTGGCATCACATTCTCTTCTGAGTCTGTGAAACTCTGAATTCTGGGTGAGTTTGAATTCCCAAGGCAGGACTGAGGATAGAAAAGATTTGATGGCAGAAACCTGGTACTGTGGTTATCACGTGGGTTAAAGATGTAGGCTTGGTTAACCCACTGAACCTGCTTATGTATGAGGCTCACCTGAGAAGGTGATATGGACAAGCCCATCTTATGGGTCTGAGGGCTCTTCACCAGGAGTGGAGCAAGGAGGATGGCCCCAGCGTCCCCGTCTCTGAACACGTTTAGCGGGAGGGCTGTAGAGCCTGGACAGATCACCACTGGCTCCATGGGGAACTTTCAGCAGCACTCATTGCCTGTGTCTGTTCTGTGCCAGGCACTGCGCTCAGGGCAGGGATTTGGGATTCACCAGGGCACAAGGCGACGTGCGTCTGTCCTCACGGAGCCTAAGTGCTGGTGGAGACGGACAGTGCAGATGCCAACCGCAAATGACGAGGCACTTGCAGGTAGGGGTCAGCGCCAAGAAGGAAATGAAGGGTGCGTGTCGCTGACTGAGACTCTGGTGGGGGCTACTTAAATAGGGCCATGGGGGAGGGCCTCTCTGAGGAGGTGACATTTGAGCTGAGGCCTCACCAATCAGAAGGAAAAAGCTGTAAAGGGTCTGGGATTAACTCAACCTGGGGACTTTTAAAATAATGTAAGGTGTTCCAGCTCTTTCAGAATTTGTCTAGCACGTTTTCCGGTTGTCACTCCCAGGTGGGCTCGGGAAGAGGCATCTGTGCCCAGCTCGTGGCCTGTTCTTTGTACTTGCGGGGAAGGGGTCCCCTTCTCCCACAGCCATCCCCCCGGGGCCTGCTCCCAGGTGGGGTCTGGTTTTCACCAGAAAGCCCTCCATGCAAAAACAACAACAACAAAAAAACACCACCACAAAATTGAATTTGAATTAGTTGCCAGCATTTACATTTTAATTCTAAAAATCTGTATTTTCGACTTCGTTGGAAAGTCAGACTATCTGGCCATGCTGGGCTGGGATCTGGTGGATTTTGGTATTTTGGTTTCTGGTTAGGGAGGGTATTTGGGGTTTGCCCCTCCAGCATGTGTTCCAGTGTGGAGTGGGGATGGGGGCAGGCTCAGTGGGGGGATCTGCAGTGGCCAAGGGTCTTGGCTGTCTCCAGATGGCCGGACGGACCCTGCCACCTCCTGCTTGGGGTGTGCTGGGGTTCTTTGCTGCCCCTCCTCCCAGCCCACATCCTCTTGAACTCCACGGAGACCACCTCCATGTGAGGCTGGGAAGGGAAACCTGCCTTTGTAAGTGGAATCAGGTGAAATCGGGCTGTGACTGTGTCAGTCAGAAACTAAAAGGCCCTGTCACACCCGTGGCCAGGAAGACTGTCACCACGGTGGCATGCAAATGACAGAGATGCGTGGGACAGTGTCTACCAAGAGACGAGCCAGGTGAGGGCAGGTCGTCGTGAAGGAGGGAGGTGGGGTCCTCCCCACAGAGCAGCGCCATCCCACAGAGAAACGGCCTCTGGGGAGGGACGCGTTCCAAGGAGGCCCCGTGCAGTGCAGAGTGGGTGGCTCGAGGCCTGAATGCCGGGCACTCGGAGCGGTCAGTGTCCCCGTGGGAACAGGGCTGCTCGCAGCCAGGTGATTGGCAACCTTGGATGGTCAGCCCCTGTGTGCGTGTGAGGGGGTGGCCCTCTGCTCTGTCCCTTCTGAAGGCAGCTGTAAGGGCTGGGATCTAGTGGATTTTGGTATTTCGGTTTCTGGTTAGGGAGGGTATTTGGGGTTTGCCTCTCCAGGATCTGTCCCAGTGTGGAGTGGGGAGCAGCCATAAGGGATGGAGGCCAAAGCGCTCAGCATCAGACAAGCCTGGGCGAAGGTCCTACTTCCTGCCAGGCCAGTGCCTCTGAGCCTCAGTTTCCTCATCTGTATAGTGGGGTTAATCCCAACCATGTATACTGCCTGCCTGCCATGTGCCAGGCCCTTCTTACACATCTTTGATTGCTTGAGGGCAGGGACTTTATTATCCACCTTTAGAGTTGAGAAAGAAGAGGCATAGAAAGGTTAAACCACTTACCGGGGGTCACACAGCTGCTGTTGCAGAGTAAAGTCTCCAGACTCAAACAGAGCACTAAGCCCCGCCCTGCGCACCAACAGGTGCTCCAGGAATGTCAGGTGCCATTTATCACCCTCATCACCTGCTGGGAGTGCTCGTCCCATCATTCAAACCCCGTGAGCGTGAAGTGAGGGGACATATGCAGGATCGAGTGTACTGGCAGGTAACGTAAGTAAAGTAATAACCACAGGATGATATTCACAACCCATATTAGTGCTACCAACAGCCACATCTGCCTGCTTCTCTGGGCCCAGGATTGTCTGCAGGCTCCCAGGAGCTGGTCCTGACTGGGTCAGAAGAAAGGTCTGAGGTTATGAGAAGGAGTAGCTTGCCCAGCTCATGGCCTGTTTTGTACATTGGGAGTCCCTGTCCCCCACAGCTGTCCCCATGGGCCTACTCCCAGGTGGGCTTGGGAGACCCCAGAGCTGCGCGCCTTTAGGCCAGGGTTCTGCCGGGTGCTGTGTGTCTGTGGGGGTGACGCCCACCCCCCAACCCTCTTGCCCTGCCAGCTGCTGGACACACAGCAACTGCAGGGCATGAACTCTGAGACCAGGACCTCTGCAGGTCCTGGGAGGCAGAAGTTGCAGTGAACCAAGATTGCACCATTGCACTCCAGCCTGGGTGACAAAGCGAGACTCTGTCTCAAAAAAGAGAAACAGATATTTATATGAGACAGTCTGTAGAGGTTTGAAATGCAACATGATCCATCATGCGGAGATTTTTATAGAGAATTAATTGTTTCAGTTCAGTGTGAAGGGACTTAAACTCCTCTCTTCACTAGAATTTTCCAAACTGTTAAGGGGACATATGTAATTGTCACCTGCATCACATGCAATCAGGGGCCCATAAGAAGAAGTGAAACGTTCCTTTCTTACATGATTGTTTTTGGTGAATTGAGCAGTTTTGTATTCATCATTCAAAATGCACAGGCCAGGGGAATGCCCAATACTTCTGGCTGCCTACCCTCCCACTGCAACTAACGTAAGCAGGCAAGCAATGGCTGTTGATAAGGACACAACGGTCATCATCACATTTCAGGGGTTTTTGTTTGTGTTTGTGTGTGTGTGTGTGTGTGTGTGTGTGTGTGTGTGTGTGTATTTGTTTGTTTTGAGACGAAGTCTCACTCTGTTGCCCAGGCTGGAGTGCAGTAGCAAAATCTCAGCTCACTGCAACCTTAGCCTCCCAGGTTCAAGCAATTATTGTGCCTCAGTCTCCCCGAGTAGCTGGGATTACAGGTGCCCGCCACCACACCCAGCTAATTTATGTAATTTTAGTAGCGACGGGATTTCGCTATGTTGGCCAGGCTGGTCTTCAACTCATGGCCTCAAGTGATCTGCCCACTTCGGCCTCTCAAAGTGCTGGGATTACAGGTGTGAGCCAAAATTTCAGGGTTGTTTGTTTGTTTGTCTTTAAGACAGGCGCTCTCTCTGTTGCCCAGGCTGAATGCCGTGGTGTGATCATGGCCCACTGCAGCCTGAACCTCCTGGGCTCAAGCGATCCTCTTGCCTCGCTCTCCTGAGTAGCTGTGAATACAGGCGCATGCCACCATGCCCGGCTAATTTTTGTATTTTTTATAGAGATACGGCCTTGCCCTGTTGCCTGGGCTGGTCTCAAACTCCTGGGCTCAAGCGATCCGCCCACCTCGGCCTCCCAAAGTGTTGGAATTACAGACATTTCAGTGTTTTTAAAAAATCAAAAAAGCATGACTGGATACAATCAGGATTTCAGTAGAAGTAGAAAATATGGGAATGTCAGTGAGCAAATAAGTGCAGAGAGAACAGGGGATGAGAAGAGGAATGTGGGAAGATGGGAAGCGCTGGGCGGAGAAGAGGATGGGGACGGGCTGGGGATGAAGTCTGGAGTGCAAGCTACAGTCAGGAAACTGAAAGCTGCCCAAAGCATTAAGATTGCCCAAGCCAGAAGCACACGAGGCAGTTTTCAAGAGAGTAAGGAGCAAGAGATCATTAAACTCACTCACCAGGAGAGACAAGAGATGGTGGGAGTAATTTAATGAGAGAGGCCTTGACACTACAAAAAAATCTAAATTCATTCTTTGCCTGACTGTTCACAAGGGAGGAGGGGGAAGCGGTTGTCTTCAGAAAACATGATACATTTTTCTTAGGCAAAACTTACAGAGAGGAAGAGATGGGAAAAAGAAGCAACCGAGGTGATGGGAAATGGAGCTGATTTATTCTTGGTGTTGGAGCGGCAGTTTCTCTAACACAGATAAACTTTAAAAACCAGCTCAGACCCATCCCTTGAGCCCTCGCTTGTCCCTCTCCACAGGTCCCAGCCCGTTCAGAGTTTTCAAGGAAGCAGCTCCCAGGCTACTGCCACCTTCCTGGGACCTGTGAGCCCCTCATCACCCAAGCTGGCAGAATCCCTCCAACTCATGGCTCCGTGAAACCTGAGTGCCTGCCTCCGCTGACCAATTCCCTGGGTGGATTTTCTTCTGGTGGTCGGAAAACTGTATCAGTCTTTTCCAGATGTCTGGCATTACATTCTGTCATTTGGAATACAGTTGATTCTTGAACAATGTGGGAGTTGGGGGCACCAAATCCCACGCAGTCAAAAATCCACATATAACTTTTGACTCTGCAAAAACTTAACTACTGATAGCCTACTGTTGACCAGAAGCCTTACTGATAACATAAACAGTTTTCGTATGTTAAATGTATCATATACTGTATTCCTACAATAAAGTCGGCTAGAGCAAAGAAAATGTTATTAAGAAAATCATACGGAAGGGAGTATACATTTACTCTTCATTAAGTGGAAGTGGGTCACCATGAAGGTCTTCATCCTTGTCTCTTCACATTGAGTAGGCTGAGGAGTAGGAGGAGGAAGAGGAGGGTTTGGTCTTACTGTCTCGGGGTGGCAGAGGCAGAAGAAAATCTGCGTATATGTGGTCTCTGGCAGTTCTAACCTGTGCTGTTCAAGGGTCCATTGTATTTATTACCCAGTGGGCTGAAATCAAGATAAATTAAGCACAGGTAAGTCCCATTTCAAGAAGTCCAATACATAAAAATCTGCCCATAGAATACTCAAATGAAACAACCAAAAGAGACCCAAGGCTCTTTTGGATCCAATTTCCTCAACACTGAAGAGGAGAATGTGGCCCTCTGAGAGGCATTCAGTTGGACTCTGTGTAGTGAGATTGCTGTTTCTTTATCTAGGGTCTGGGCACAGGAGCGTGTACCTGGTGAGGATTAATTGAAATGTACTCTTATGATCTGGGCACGTTTCTTTTCTTCCTCTTTCTCTTCTCCTCCTCCTCCTCCTCCTCCTACCCCTTCTTCCTCTTCTTTTTTTTTTTTTTTTAAGAGATGAGGTCTGACTATGTTGCCCAGGCTGGTCTCAAACTCCTGACCTCAAGTAATCAACCCACCTCAGCCCCGCAAAGTGCTGGGATTACAGGTGTGAGCCACCACTCCTGGCCTGGGCACTTTTCTTATGTATGCTATCATTCAGTATCTTTTACTCCCAGGGGGATTTTGATTGAGGAAGAGCAAGGCATTTTTTGTTTTGTTTTGTTTTTGAGATGGAGTCTCGCTCTGTTGCCCAGGCTGGAATGCAATGGCACGATCTCGGCTCACTGCAACCAACCTCGTCTCACTTGTCCTCCCAAAGTTCTGGCATTACAGGCATGAGACATCGTGCCCGGCCTGAGCAAGACATTCTTTAAAGGTGAGCCACCCCCCTGCGAGGGTGTTTGAGCCACTCCCTCAGGAACCACCCATTCCTGGTTCTTTCCCACGGGATTTGCTCCAGCCTCTGCTGCTCTGGCTTCCCCAGCTTCCCACTCCTGGCTCCCCTCCTACCCTCCTGCTTTGTCACGTCCCCTCCAGATCCCCCAAGGACCCTGGCTGGGCTGGCTTTCCCATCCCAGAGTCCCCTGTGGCCCCCACTGTCTTGGCTCAGGGAAGCCTCTTTCCCAGACAGGCCCGTCCTGGCCACCACCCCACCCTCCATCCCCCAGATGGCACACGTACAAGTCCATCGCAGACCCCATCAGAGCCCAGATTTCTTTGGTGAAGATGTGACTTGGCACAGATGAACCCACTCTCTTGAAATTTCATTTCTGGGCTGCATAACCCAGCGGCAGGGCACAGCTAGCATCCAGACCCCCTGTAATGATTTAGAGAAGGAAAAGAAATCTTGGACGGGCGTGGTGGCTCACACCTGTAATCCTAGCACTTCGGGAGGCTGAGGCAAGTGGATCACATGAGGTCAGGGGTTCAAGACCAGCCTGGCCAATATGGCAAAACCCTGTCTCTACTAAAGATACAAAAATTAGCCGAAAGCGGTGGCACATGCCTGTAGTCCAAGCTACATGGGAGGCTGAGACGGGAGAATTGCTTGAACCCAGGAGGCGGAGGTTGCAGTGAGCCGAGATCATGCCATTGCACTCCAGCCTGGGTGACAGAGAGAGGCTCTGTCAAAAAAGAAAGAAAGAAAGAAATCTTAGAGCCCAGGAAGAGAACAAGAACAGGCAAGGCAGACAGTGACTATCAGTCTTCCCCAGTCAGCTTTCCACCCTGCAGCCTCCACGGTCTTTCTCCATCCAGCTCCACGCATGGTCACTCCACTGCGTAAAAACCCTCCAGCTCCTGAAATGGAAAAATACACTTCCGAAGCGGCGTGCTCCCATCACTAACTCCCCCAAAAACTCACCGTCCACACCCTGTGCATATTCGATGTTGGCTCTTATCTTTAATTTCCTCTCCCCATTTTATCTTGGCTTATTTAGGGTTTTTTTTTTGGTTGTGTTTTGTTTTGTTTTTTGTTTTTTCCTATTTTTTGAGAACTCAGTACTTTTACCATCGCCCTTTTGAAACCCTGGAGCAATACAAGCATTTAAGACTATAAATTTTCTTCTGAGTACAGCACTAGCCGAGTCCCTCAGATGCTGGTGTAAACTATTCTTGTTGTTTTCTAGAAACCATCATTCTAGTTTTGGTTTCTGCTTTGATCTGGGAGTTATCTGGGAGAGAGTTCCTTCCCCAGTAAAAGGCACTGTTCTCTGTCCCATTCAATGCGTTTTGACAAATGTGTCTACTCAAGTAAACATCATCCCAATCAAGACACAGAGCATTCCTAGCAGGGCTATCTTTTTTTCTATTTATTTATGTATTTATTGAGACAGAGTCTCACTCTGTCACCCAGGCTGGAGTGCAGTGGCATGCGATCTCAGCTTACTACCTTTGTTTCCCGGGCTCAAATGAGAGCTCCCACCTCAGCCTCCTGAGTAGCTGGGACCACAGGTGTGCACCCCCACATCTGGCCATTTTTTTGTATTTTTGGTAGAAATGGGGTTTCTCCACGTTGGCCAGGCTCGTCTGGAACTCCTGAGCTCAAGTGATCCACCTGCCTCAGCCTCCCAAAGTGCTGGGATTACAGGCATGAGCCACCACATCTGGCCAGGGCTATCTCTTTACCATTTATTTTAATGTCATTTGTAATGATCAGAGCATGGCCTATAATCTTTATTTTTTAAATTTTGTAAAGGTTTCTTTTGTATTCAAAGAAACAAAAGAAGGAAATAATTTATTAAAAATTCTTAAGCATCAAATATCCTCACCCTTGTGTACATTTCCAGCTCTGTTTCCGTATCCCTTCCATGAATTTCCTCTTCACTGCGCTCCTAACCTGGTCTATCCATCCTTAAACTATAGCTCTAATCATGCCCCAAACACACCCCCTCTTTCAATAGATTGTGAGTAGCTGAAGGGTCCGAGGCTGCATGGTTTCCATCTCTGTGTCTCTGCAGCTAGACCAGTGCTCAATGTGGCAGAGGTGCTCCACCAACATTCACTGACTACAGGTGAATTAAATACACCTGTGCCGTGGGGGGACCCAGGCAGGAGGGCAGGTGGTTCAGAGAACACTTCCTGCAGCTGCAGCCTCATCTCTACCTTGGCTCCATTCACAGCGAGATATTTCAGATTCTTCTTCAGAGAGCCTGAATAATTAAGGGAAAACATTCTAACATTCACCTATTGGTTTTTCTGCCAAGCCCCAGTGGCTTGAAATAAGTAAATCATTTAAACCATCCCATCCTTGTGTCTCGGGGAAGGTGGTGATAGACAGGGAATCGATAGATTCAATCAGGGGAGTGAGAGGCATGCGGATAAAGGTCCCTGGCCAGGGCCTGTCTGCGGCCCTCATGGCTGGAGATGCCTCGGAAATCCAATCAGGGCTCTTCACAGGGGACATCACCGCTGACTGTCACTGCATTCTTACCCCTGAGCTGGCCGAGGGTCCCTGCCGAGAGACAGGGACACGTGGGCTCAGGAAATAAAGACTCAAAGCCTCCACTTACCCCACACCTCAGCCTCCGAGGGATGCGGGGTCACCTGCTGGGAGGGAGGGGCAGAGGCCACACTGGGGGTGGCACATGGGTGGGACCCGGTCCTGCCTGGCTGAATGTCCCCCATGCTTTATCTCTTTCCCAGGCCACCTGGATTTTAAGAGCACTCACCTGACGCCCTCATGCCCCAGATTTCCAGCCCGGCAGCACCCTTGACTGTGGCTGCCAGGCTCTGTGCCATCTGGCCCCTGCCTGCTCTCCTCTTCCACCTCCTCTGCTTTCCTCCTGTTTCACTGGCTTCTCTCTGCTACTTTTTTTTTTTTTTTTGAGACAGAGTCTCATTTTGTTGCTCAAGCTGGAGTGCAGTGGCTCAATCTCGGCTCAGTGCAACCTCTGTCTCCCGGGTTAAAGCGATTCTTTCGCCTCAGCCTCATGAGTAGCTGGGATTATAGGTGTGTGCCACCACACCAGGCTAATTTTTGTATTTTTCATAGAGACTAAAAATAGTTAGGGTTTCACCATGTGGGCCAGGCTGGTCTGGAACTCCTGGCCTCAAGTGATCCTCCTGCCTCAGCCTCCCAAAGTGCTGAGATGATAGGCGTGAGCCACCACACCCGGGCTTCTGCTACTTCTTTGAACCAGGGCCCCCACCTCCTGTCAGGCCTGTGTGACGCTAGCCCCGCTGCCTGGAACTCCCTTCTCCCAGCCCCGCAACAGCCCTCCTAGCTCAGGAACTCCCAGAGGATAAACATGAGATGATTTGACAAAGCAAACGGGGCTAGCACTAAGATCGCTGAATCCTGTAGTGGTTCTTCTCCAATTCTTCAGTCACCTCAAAGAAAACACCTTGATTTGGTGCTGATGCGCCTTTAGCTCCTTTCCAGACCTTGCATTTCATCCTTTTGAACAAAGAAAGGACAGGCCCCGGGCTTCCTGCAGAATGAAGCCCTTCTGTTTAGGTTTATTGCTTTTAGTTCTACAGTCATCATCCTTTTGCATGGAAAAGATGCTGGTTTTCTATTTACTCTGGTGATAGAGTTTTCCTTTTGAATTAAAGTTTCTTAATAAAAACAAAAATGGAGTTGCTAAGCAACATACACTGATGTTAGAGTTGGCAGAAATGGCCAAAGGACCGGGGCATGGATGAAATCACACTCCTGGGTTGCTCCAAAATGTTCAGTAAAATGTGTCTCTATTAGCTACTTGGGGATGTGGAACTTGGAGATGTGAAAAGCAGAAGAAGAAGCCCACGATGTGGTTGGATGGAGGGACCCTTGCAGAAGCAAGAAGGGCAGCTGTGAGATGCAGAGTGGAGAATTCGACCTTAGCAGAGGCCAGAAAAAAGAGCTGGGAGGAGCAGGAAAAATGTCAGCTCTGTGAATGGCAGAAATCGTGACGATGATGATTTTGGACATCCCGTGCGCTCAGGATTTAAACACTGGGGTTACAATAAGATTCTATGGTCCTTTCAAGCCGGAATTGCTGGTCACATGAACAAATTTACGGGGAAAATAACAGCCACGGGTAACTCAGGCAAGTCAGGTCCCCCAGGCTATGGATAAACAGTCATGCCTGAGTCAGCCTCTTTCTTGAATATTTTTTTTCCAGTTACCTGAGCCAATAAATCCACCTTTGCCTTAGACCATTGGGGTTTAATTTTTCTTCACTTAGCAGCTGAAAGAATCTTAACTTACAGAAACCACAGAACATAGACATAATTACTCTTCCATTTTACAGCAGAGGAAACTGAGGCCCCACCTCCTTCTATCTTTATCCTCGGATTTTTGAGACCGTTGCCTTCTGCTTCATCCCAGACATCTGTACCCTGTTTTCTCCCATCCAAAGAGAAGGAAAAAAAGACAATGTTCACACCCCACTGGCCATGTTTTGGTCACAAGGAGGCCTGGGAAATGCAGTCTTTATTCCAGGCAGCTAGGCTCACTGCTACCAGGAGGGATGCTGAGGTCATCCAGCAGTCTCTGCCACAGCTGGGTAACCCCAGCCCTGTCCCTGTCCCCCATGGGGCAGCTTGAGTGCAGGACAGAGGACCTGCAAGCCCCACACCAACCTGACAGGGCACCTTCATCACATGGCCTGGCCAGGTCATCCTCACAGGAGGACAGCACTAGGGTCTGGGCAGGACCAAGGCTCTGGACAGGCCAGAGAGAAAGGTATGAGCAGTGACGGGAGCAATATCCAAAAAGGCCCCACCCCTTTCCTGGGTGCCCAGGGAACCCCAGGGTCTCCCTCAGTGCTGCTGGCTCCTTCCTGCACCAGGCACCTGAGACAGAGGCTGCAGTGAGAAGACCCCGTGGTCAGTCACTCTTGCATTGGATGGGAAACTCCTCCCTTTGAATGAAATGCTAATTATAGCCTGCATGTGTGCAGTCTGTTACCTGCTAAAAATATGCTGTCTTATTCTTGTCTGCACAGGTGCAGCTGAGTTGGGGGAAATCATGCTGTTTTTAGCACTGGTATAAGCAGACAATTGAATCCTAGACTTTGGGGACGGGGTCTGCCTGGGAACTTGTTTCCAGGAGTGTGACTGAAGTGAAGGGCCAGTCAGAGGAGGTGCCGCAACCCCGGGGCACAGCAGAGCAGTGCCAATGTGGGAGGAAGCATCTTCCAACAGTGGTATCAGCTTCACAGTGGAGGCAGCCTCAGCTTCCAGGGCTGAGAGACATTTGTCATCTTGGCAGGAGGGAGGCTGTTAAAACAGGCACTGGGGGAGCACAATGGGGCCCCAAATCCACCCAAGAAAGCCCCAAAACAGGGATGTTGGAATGAGATGAGGAGGAAAGGGTCCTGAAGACAGAGGAGGCAGGTATGGGGAAGGATTGAGAGATGTCACTCATTCATTCATCCATTCATTCATTCTACAAATATTTATTGAGTCCTACCACATGCCAGGTACTCTGCTAGGTGCTGGGTTGAAAGGGACAGATAAGGTCGCTGCCCTCATCTTTATTACAATAATATTTCTATACATATTGAGCCAGGAACTGCCCAAGGCACTAGAGACACACATCAAACAAAAACCCCTTCTTGGAGCAAAAATTCTAATGGGGGAAGGAGGCTCTGATGTCCCCTCTCCCAAGAACAAATGAACACGGAAATGATGATAAGAGTTGGGGACTCCCATGGGACCCTCCCGTCCCTGTCCCTGGGTCTCCAGTTCAGCCTTCGAGAGTCCAGGAGGTGTCGGCTTTCCCACCTGGCCACATCTGCTGCTCGGTTTGTCTCACATGCTGCTCAAAGACTCAAACCAGCATCCTCAGCCCTGATGCACCCCCTCACTCTGGGGGGGCACAATCACAGGATGCAAGTGAGCCAGATATCCAGAAAGGTGAAGACCTCCTGGATCTAGACAAGAGAATCCAATTGGCTGAGCCAAATTTGCACACAACACCTGCATGGGAGGCAGGTTCTCTGGGTTCAAATCCCAGCCCACTGCCTACCACTTACTAGCTGTGTGACCTTGGGCAGGTTATTTAAACCTCTCTGTGCCTGAGTCTCCTCCTCTATAAACTGAGGATAATGATAGTTCCTGTTACATAGGATTATCAGACAAGTTAAGGCAGAAAATACCAGTAAAGTGCTCAGTACACCATCTGCCCATGGGATGCAAGGGTTTAAAATGTTAGGCATCATCACCCTCATTACGGTTGCGTTGAATTTTATATTGATTATTGGCTTTATATTGATTACTTCTGATTATTATTGATTGGTTTTATATTGAGTATTATATGGCATCTGATAACATTCTCATGACCTTCCTTCCTGGCTCCACAGTGTCATGTGTTTTTTATGCTGGGATCAATTCCATTCCCTGGATTTGACATTTCCCTGCAGAAACGCAGGCTGGGAAGGGAGCTCTGAGGTCATCCCCCATCTTTATCACAATCATCAGCCACAGATGTCCCTGAGTCCAGGGCAGGTGCTGGCCCATCATCCCGCAGGTGGTTCCACTCTATACTCTACAGAACATGTGCTTCCCATTCCATCTTCCAGCATCTGCTGACCCTGAATGGCTCCCCAGCCTTGCCCTGGCCTCCCGTCCTGGTCATGAGCAGCCCCTTCCCCACACAGCAGTTAGAAGGATCCTTCTCATGCTGAATCAGCCCTGGGCAGCTCTCTGACCACAACCTTCCAGTGTCCCCATCACGGGACTGATGGGCCAGGCCCTGCCCCCTCTCAGCTCCTGTCTCTGCCCAAGCTCCCCTCACACCTGCCCTCAGTCCCTCCAGCCTCCCTGCTGTGTCCAACCACCACCCCCTCTTACTCCCAGCTTGTCCCACCTCAGATCCTTCTACCAGGAGTGACCTTACTTAAATATGCCCACCCTCCACTGGCTCCTCCTCATCAGACAAGGCAGGTCAAGTGACACCACCTCAGGAGCCCTCCCAACTCCCAAGTCCAATGTCGGCCACACTCTCCCATCTGTCATGTCACTCTCCCTTGCTTCATGGGTCTAAGATGGCTGCCAAACTCCAACCATCACACTGACATTCCAGATAGCAGGAAAGCACAAAAGATAAAGAAGAGAATACCTCTGTCTTTAAGGACACACCCTTAAAGTTGCACATGATGATTTTGCCTACTTTCCCACTGTCTAGGACTAAGTTCCCTTGCCATGCTTAGCTGCAAAGGGGCTGGGAAAGGTAGTCATGACTCTGGGTGACCATAGGCACAACTGATAGTCAGCAGTAGTTCTATTACTAAGGAAGAAGGGGAAACAGCTAATCTGTTAGGGAACCACTTGGACTCCCTGCCACTGCCACCTACTGACTATTTCACCTTGGGCAAGTTACTGGGGATCTTTGTTGTGAATCTCAGATTTCACATCTCTGATATCAAATGCAAACTCAGAAGATCCAGCCTGTTCTGTCCCCTGTCTGTCCTTGTGGTCACACCTCTTTCCACTCCCCCACCTGATTCACTTTGCTCCCAGAGCACAGGACTCCTTTGTCTCAAATCTGCCAAGCTCATTCCTACCCACAGGGCCTCCGCATTTGCTGTTCCCTAAGCATGGAACTCTCTTCTGATCATTTTTCCTAACTGTGGTAAATTACACACATAAATTAACCACCTTAACCATTTCTAAGTGTACAGCTCAGTGGCATTAACTACATTCACACCATTGTGCTACGATCACCACCATCCCTCAACAGAACTTTTCATCTGGCAAAACTGAAACTCTGTATCCGTTAAATACGACTCCATTCTCCTTCCCCTCAGCCCTTGGCGGTCACCATTCCACCTTGTCTTTATAATCTGACTACTCTAGGTACCTCCTATAAGTGGAATCATACCGTATTTGTCCTTTTGTGACTGGCTTATTTCGTTCAGCATAAAGTCCTCAAGCTTCATCCGTGTTGCAGCATGTGTCAGAATCTCCTTCCTTTCTAAGGCTGAGTAATATTCCATCGTAGGGATATACCACATTTTCTTTATCTATTCATCTGTCAATGGACACGTGGATTGCTTCCGTCTTTTGGACATTGTAAATAATACTGCTATGAGCCTGTGTGTACAGATACCTCTTCAAGTCCTTGCTTTCAATTTTTTGGGGTATATACCCAGAAAGGAATCGCTGGACCACATGGTAATTATATGTTTAATGTTCCGAGGAACAGCCATACTGTTTTCCATATGGGTATACAATTATACCCCCATGGTATACCCCTATAGTATACAATTATACCCCCATGGTAACCCCTATGGTATACAATTATACCCCCATGGTATACCCCTATGGTATAATTCCATAGGGTATAGCCATAGGGGTATACAATTGACATTTCCATCAATAGTGCACAAGGGTTCCAGTTTTTCCACACCGACACCAACACTTGTTAGTTTCTGTTTTCTTGATAGTAGACATCCTAATGAGCATGAGATGGTATCTCATTGTGGTTTGGGTTTGCATTTTTCTAATGATTAGTGGTGCTGAGCATCTTTTCTTGTGTTTATGGGCCATCTGTATATCTTCTTTGGAGAAATCTTTATTCAAGTCCTTTGCTCATTTTATAATAGGGTTATTTCTTTTTTTGTTGTTGAGTTGTAGGAGTTTGTTTTTAATATCCTGGATATTAGCCCCTTATATATATTTCAAACATTTTCTCCCATTTCATAGGTTACCTTTCACTCTGCTGTGTCTTTAGATGCAAAGTGTTTAATATTGCTGTAGTCCAATGTATCTATTTTTTCTTTTGCTGTCTACACTTTTAGTTTCACATTCAATAAATCGTTGCCAAATCCAATGTCATGAAGCTTCTCTCTTATGTTTTATTCTAGGAGTTTTACAGTTTTAGGTTTGTGTTTAGGTTTTTTATCCATTTTGAGTTAATTTTTATATATGATAAAAGGTTCTTTTGTATGTAGATATACAGTTTTTGCAACACCATTTGTTGAAGGGACTGTTCTTTCTCCATTGAGCGGTCTTAGCATCTTTGTCGAAGATCATCTGCCCTACATGTGAGGGTTTAATTCTGGGCTGTCTGTACTGTTCCCTTGGTCTACACACCTATCTTTATGTCAGTATGATACTGTTTTGATTACTGTAGCTTTGCAGTAAGTTTTGAAATCAGGAAGTGTGATGTCTCTAACCATTCTTCTTTTTCAAGATTGTTTTGGCTATTTGAGGTGCCTTGAGGTTCCATATGAATTTTAGTATAAATTTTTCTATTTCCACAAAAAAATTAGAATTTTGATAGGGGTTGCATTGAATCTATAGATCGCTTTGGAAGGTAAGGGCATTTTACCAGTATTAAGTCCTCTGATTCATGAGCATCATCTGGTGTCTGCATTTATTTGTGTCTGCTTTAATTTTTCAGCAATTTTTATAGTTTTTTATAGTTTTTGGTACAAATCTTCTGCCTCTTCAAATTTATTCCTGTCTTTTATTCTTTTTGATGCTATAGTAAATTGAATTGTTTTCTTAATTTTCTTTCTGAATTGTTCATATTCACTGATTTTTGCACATTGATTTTATATCCTGCAACTTGTCAAATCCACTTATTAGTTCTAACAGGGGGATTTGTAGAATCTTTAGGGTTTTCTGCATATAAGATCATGTCACTTGAGTACAGAGATAATTTTACTTCTTCCTTTCCAATTTGGATGCCTTTTATTTATTGTTCTTGCCTAATTGCTCTGACTAGGAGTTCCACTGCTATGTTGAACAGAAGTGCTTCTTCCACTAGTTTTCGCTCAGTAGATTCCTTCTCTGCATTCGAGTCTCAACTCAAATATGATCTCCTAACAGACAGCAATCCCGGACGCTCCCTAGTCCCCAGTCCCTTGCTATCACATCAACACACTTTATTTTCCACCATTTAGTATGATCTGAAATTACACTGTGTATTTGTTTAATTGTTCATTTCCTGTTTTGCTTCCTGCACGGGGGTTCCATGGGTACAGGGACCTGTCCTTCTTGCATGCCCCATGCCTAGGATGGGGTCTGGCACAAAGACATTCCTTGATAAATGTTTGTTGAATGAATTGGTCAAAGATGGGACTGAGGCACCAGCAGTTGTAGGCTCCCATGCCCCTGGCAATGCTTCCTTCTCTCAAGAGTTTTCTTCTCTGCCCGCCCACAAAACGTCTTCATCCAAATAGGTTGATTCCTTGCCATCCTCTACAATTGCTCTGAGCGACTGCAGTCGGTCATCTAAGTGGGGATGCATAGCAGTGGCCCAGGATTAGAGGTGCAGAGGACATGCCTTTCTTATCAGGGATAGTCCTAATAACAATATCTTATTTACAACTCACTTCACAGCCTGCATGTACTTAAGCATCTGCCATCCCTGAAAGAGAAAGATAAACACAATTGAGACATTTAGGCAGAAAATGAAGGGAAGATGAAAAGGTTTAAAAATGAGCAAGGGATGCATTTTCCAGCATTGAATGAGAGCATAGGTTTCTTCCTGGTTTCAAGATAAAAGAGAAAAACCTGAAGGAGAAAAACACTCAAAAAAGGTGATGCTTTATCCTGAAGATTAGCCCACAGCAGACTGTCAGGGAATCTATAGTAACGGAGACTCTAGGATAAATTTTTTTAAATTAAGAAGCAGAAGGAGAAAAGGCAGCAGCCCTGAGCCTCGACTTTGGAACGTCCTCCATCCGTCTGCGTCTGTCATCAGCTGGCAGAGTGGGTGCATGGCAGGGGGAGCCAGGGCCATTGTTCCTCCCCTCAGCCCTTTCTGCTCTCAGTTTAGGGATAACCAATGTTTGATGGCTTGTCTCTCAAGAGCGATTAGAAGCAAAGCTGCTCATTACAGGCTAAATCTCAAAGCGCTCCTACAGAAATCTCACTTCCTAAGCCCAAAGCCCTGATCCCGGGCTGCATTTTGACAAGGCTCATCTGTGACCCTGACCGGCACCAGCGGACGACGATGGGCTGACACACACAGCACTTACTGCGGGCCGGGGACTGCAGTTCTGAGCTCTCCGGGTGCATGAACTTGCTTAATCCTCACTGAGCTCAACGATGCTATTGGGATTCAGCTCACAGATGAACAGAGCCGGGCTGGGCAGAATCAATGCTCCCTGGGCCCATGGCTGCAGGACAGCGGAGCCACTTCCAGGACCCCTGGCCAGCACCAGGCCCACACCACTGACCACTGCCCACTGATGGTGCTCTTGACAGAAAAGGGGCCTCAGTGACAGCCCTGATACCAATATTGCTCCAGATGCCTCTTTCCAGGAAAAAGTCCTCTTCTGAGACAGTGAATCCAGTGAACCAGACTTTTCCAGGGCTCTCAGAATTTTGGCTGCATTCCCACAGTTAGAAGTGTTGGAACCAATTTGTTCTAAAGAGAGTGTGGAAATCTCTATGAAAGCCACCAGTCACCACCCTAACATGAAAGAGGGACATTCGAAAGGAGATTTCTAGGAGGGAATTAGCAGGAGGAGACACTTTGGCCCAAGACAAAGAGCAGGGCTTCGAGAAACCACCGGCAGAGGCTGGGCTACTCTCCAAGCAGGACAGCATCTCTCAGACTATTCTTCCCCCAAGAGTGCTGGGAACCTCCGAGGGCAGAGGGGATGCTGGACTGGACCCATCTGGGAAGGGGTCCGCTGAGTGGGGGTTCCCTAAGGCTTTACATGGGGCAGGAATTGAAGGTGAGGTTTGCAACAAGGGGTGCATTCCCAGCGCCCCAGTGTCTGAAAAGCATGCAGTATGGAGCCCCAGCGTGTTTCTGAATGCTCCTCTCCCACCGTCCCATGCACCTATTTTATGTCAGGTACCGTTGAAGCAGATCCTGAGAGGAGGACCTTCATGCAAGGACTGGATCTAGGATCTGCACCAGAGAAGACGAGAAAGGGGTAGGGAGAGGGGATCAGGAAGAGCAGGAAGCCGGGCCAGGGTGCGGCCTTAAGCCAAGCCCCTTAGGGAGGGAGGCAGGCTTCAGCCCACCCTGCAGGGGAATCCAGCCCAGGGTGTGAGTCACAGCCACTCCTTGTCCTGCCTCAGGGCAGGGAGCTGGGCTTCCGGACACCTGCACTCCAGACACAACCAGCTCTCTGTTGAGGCAAGGCAGATCCAGGAGCCCCAGGGCCATCCTCTTATGAGAGCCAGAGCTGTGGCCCATGGAGGGGAAGGAAGGTACAGCCACCAGGGCCAGGCGATGAACACAAAATGCAGAAGAGAATCCCAGGGCACAGAGGCTGGCACCCCCGCTGGCCGCTCCTTATTTCTCTGCTCACTGCCTGTGGGACCCTCAGCCTGTCGCGCGCCCTCCCTGAGCCTGTTTCCCCAGCTCCAGAGTGAGAATCGTCATAACTGCCCTGACCTCCAAGGGCTGCCATAAAACCAGGAGAAACTGTCCAGAAAACCCAGCACAGCTGGGACCAGCAGCGGGCTCATTAAGAAAGCTAAATATGCTAAAGTGGGTGGGGAATCCAAAAAAAAAAAAAACCCGTTTACACTCACAGCTTTATACAGTTAAAAGAAAACATGCAACTCTCCTATAATTGACGAATATTTTCATGCCAGGGCTAATGACTTTCTTCATAATGTGGGCCTGCTGTTGGATTCTCCCATTGTCTTTGTTCTTTATATAATTCTACAATGTTCAGTTTTGGCTTCTTTGAAGTGGAATGAGGGTATGAAAACACTTGCCACGCAATCCGGGTGCAGGATCCTTCCACACCAGCATTGTCCAGTAGAAATAGAATGTGAATCACAAACATAATTTAAAATGTTTCAGTAACCGCATTAGGAAAAAAAAACTAAAAAGAAACAGAATAAATTAATTTCAATGATATATTTTATTTAACCCAACATACCTAAAATATTATTTCAACATACAATAAATGTAAAAATGAAGGTCATTTACATTTTTCATTCTAAGTCTTCAAACTCTGGTGTGAGTTTTACCCTTCCAGTGCACCTCCATGTTTATCAGATATACTTGACTTCTATTTCGATTTTAGAAATTTGACAGCTGAAAAAGTAGATTCACATAAACAACTATCCCCAAACATATTTAAAAGCTTTCCAATAACTGAATCACATATCAGTTTTTAATCATTTAAATTAATTAAAATTGAACAAAATTAAAAATTCAACTTCTCAGTCACATCAGCCACATTTTTAAAAAATATTTTTTAAGTTAGAGATGGAGGCCGGGCGCGGTGGCTCAAGCCTGTAATCCCAGCACTTTGGGAGGCTGAGGCAGGCTGATCACCTGAGGTTGTGAATTCGAGAGCAGCCTGACCAACATGGAGAAACCCTGTCTCTACTAAAAAAAAAATAAAAATACAAAAAATTAGCTGGGTGTGGTGGCACATGCCTGTAATCCCAGCTACTTGGGAGGCTGAGGCAGGAGAATCACTTGAACCCGGAGGCGGAGGTTGTGGTGA
Source organism: Homo sapiens (assembly GCF_000001405.40). NCBI lineage: Eukaryota > Metazoa > Chordata > Mammalia > Primates > Hominidae > Homo > Homo sapiens. The sequence continues at coordinate 47,808,443 of NC_000020.11, read as the reverse complement.
GCCGCTATCATGCCATTGCTCTCCAGCCTGGGCAACAAGAGAGAAACTCAGTCTCAAAATAAATAAATAAATAAAATTAAATAAAATTAGAGATGGGGGTCCTGCTATGTTGACCAGGCTGGTCTCAAACTCTTGGCCTCAAGCTATTCTCTCATCTCGGCCTCCCAAAGTACTGAGATTGCAGGTGTGAGCCACCACGTCCAGTCACATCAGCCACATTTAATGTGCTCAGTAGTCACATGCAGCAATGACTATTTCTTTCAACCCTTTTTTTTTTTTTTGAGACAGAGTCTCTTTGTTGCCCAGGCTGGAGTGCAGTGGCACGATCTCGGCTCACTGCAACCTCTGCCTCCTAGGTTCATGCGATTCTCATGCCTCAGCCTCCTAAGTAGCTGGAGCTACAGGTGGGTGCCACCATATCTGGCTAATTTTTTTTGGATTATTAGTAGAGTTGGGGTTTCACCATGTTGGCAAGGCTGGTCTCAAACTCCTGACCTCTCAAGTGATCTGCTCCCCTCAGCCTCCCAAAGTGCTGAGATTACAGGCTCTCCCACCCAGGCTGGAGTATAGTGGCACATTCATAGCTCACTGCAGCCTCGAATCCCCAGGCTCAAGAAATCTTCCCATCTCAGCCTCCCAAGTAGTTGGGACTACGGTTGTGCATACCACACCCAGCTAATTTTTTTTTTTTTTTTAAGTAGAGACAGAATCTCCCTACATTGCCCAAGCTGGTCTTGAATTCCTGGGCTCAAGTGATCCTCTGGCCTCAGCCTCCCAAAGTTCTGGGATTACAGGCATGAGCCATGGTGCCCTGCCTGCAGCAATGACTATTATATTGGGCAATTACTGGGCAGTTCTCAATATTTTTCTGATCTCTTTTTCAGCTTTTTGCCCTTAAGAGATCTTTCCAGACAATTCAACTTGGTGTTCATAAAAACAGCAACTCCCTTTCTTTTTCCCCTCCTAATTATCCGTTTGCTATGTTTACTAAGTTTTGCAATTGCAATGCCAGGTATATCCAGAGTAAACAGGTTTGGAAACAAACCCCTGAATTTCAGCAGGCAGAGAACACGATGGGCATTTCAGAGAGTGGCAGATAGCCCCAAGCTGTGGGCTTGTCCCTCTACTTACAGAGGAACGGAGGGCTTGGAAGCATCAGGGGAGTGAGTTAAGGGAGTTGCACAGAGAAGATTCTACTCTGCATTGAAAGCTCTAATTTCAGTGAGTAGCACGCAAAAAGTAATTGTTGTCATCTCTGCTAGTCTAAAAGCACACCACTCCACCAAAGCCCTGCTCAGACGGCTGCCTAACCAATATCCTTCTTCACGTTCCTCCTCCTGACAGAAGCCTGACTTTGTCCTGGTGTCTACCTGTTCCCCATGCAGCCCCTTGGTTCAGGGGATGCTGACGTGGTCCTCAGCTTCAGGGTCATCCCAATTAGTCTACAGTTACTACATTCAGCAATCTCCTGGTGATTGTCAGTGGTCCCGGAAGGGACACATGGGCCAAGATGGCCAATTGTACTGAAGACAAGGAGTACATCCCACACTTGAAGGAGTGATTTCTCTCTCAATGCCAGGGGACCTGTGATAGGGACAGGAGGCAGAGAAACTCTGGGCAGAAGAGGGCGGTCCCCAGCAAGGGTCCTACCCTCAAACCTGGAACCATGGCCCGAAGTGAGAACACGGATTCCTGTTTTCTGACTTGAATGTTGCCTTTCCAAAACCACACATGACACGCCCCACCCCCCATCCTGTGCCATAAAAACCCCAGGCTTCTCCAGCAGAGAAGAGGAGAAGTAGCTGGACGTTGGAGAGAAGCAGCTTGACTTCAGAGGGACGGCTTGACAGTGTTGCTTCGAAGAGGATGAAGAGAATGTTCCCCAGCGGGGAAAGATTATCTTCCCGCTCTATCCCTTTTCCATCTCCCCTTTCATCGGCAATAAAATCCTCCATATTCACCACCGTCCAATTCGTTCATGCGACCTGATTTTTCCTGGATGCAAAATAAGAGCTCAGGTGCCACAGGTGTGGACACTAAAGGCTGTCACACTGACCGTCTGCTCTCGCTGGTGGAGAGAAACAACCTCATGCAAAAAGGCAGAGGGCCCACTGAGCTGTTTAACACTTAAGCCATCCGCGGACAGCAAAGCTAAAAGAGCACTGTGACGCCCGTCCTCTGGGGTTTCCGGGTTTGCAGGTACCCCCCTCCCTTAGACGCTGCTGTGGGGCCAGCACAGAGTTTGCTCCTGCCAGCGCCCAAAGGCACTCGCCGCAGCTCCTGAACCCGCTCATCTACATGCTCCCTCCCACAAGGGGTTGAGCACAACAGTGAGTGGAGTTTGCCCTGCTGGCACCGAAGTGGCCGGGTAGCTCCAGCTTCCGATACTCCAGGTCCCACCTGTGAAGGGGTCGGGTAAAATTTCCTGCTTCACCTGGACAAGAAGACATGTGCCAGTTGCTGGTGGCAGCCACATTGTGACATCCCACAACAGGCGAGGGAGACTGGTGGTGTTGCAGAGCCACTGAATCAACCCACCCTGAAGTCCACCTCTGTTATGGGAGATAACATACTCCCTCACTGCGTAAGCCAGATTCATTAGGGGTTTCAGTCACTTGCAGCCAATAGCAAGCTGACTCACATACAATCCCTCCTAAAAAGACTTCTCTGACCCTCTCCGTTCTCTGGACCCTGCGACCTTTCTCACCGCACCAACCCACTGCATCCTGCGTGCCATTTATGTCCGTGTGTTTCTCCCACCAGCCATGGGCCCACTGAGGATGAGCTCTGTTTCTTCACTCTTCTCCTTAGCCCAGGGTTCTGCGATTAGTAGGTGCTTTGTAAATTCCATCGCACAAAAACATATTTTATTGCGGTTGCTTTAGAAAGCTGGATAGATGGGTGGAAAGCACTCTTTTGTTTTTTGTTTTTCAGAAACTCACCACTGTGATGTAAACTGCTCTGTTAGGTGACACTGCAGTACTTCTATGCCAGTAAAGACAGGTTTGAAGATGCTTTATTTCACTGGGACAAACTACATGTCCATAAATGTCCCATCCGTCTTTCTCCCACTTGATGATATTTGCAGACTCAGTAATTTCCTTTCTGCGATGAACATCCCTCTTTAACATTCAAACTCCCTTAAACAGATGTAGTGCTTTCCCACAAACCCATCTGGACAGGTGGCAGCCACGTTAAATCTCGTGCATGGGACTGCAGCACTCTGGGTACTCATGGAATCTTCTTCCATTCATTCTTGTTGTTGTTGTTGTTGTTGTTGTTGTTGTTGTTGTTGTTGTTGAGACAGAGTCTCACTATGTCACCCAGGATGGAGTGCAGTGGTGCGATCTCGGCTCACTGCAACCTCTGCCTCCCTGGTTCAAGCCATTCTCCTCCCTCAGCCTTCCTCCCGAGTAGCCCGGCTAATTTTTGTATTTTTAGTAAAGACAGAGTTTCACTATGTTGGCCAGCCTTGTCTTGAACTCCTTACCTCAAGTGATCCACCACCTCAGCCTCCCAAAGTGCTGGGATTACAGGTGTGAGCCACCAGGCCGGGCTTCTTCCATTAATTCTTTTTTTTTTTTTTTTTTTTGAGATGAACGTTCACTCTGTCACCCAGACTGGAGTGCAGTGGCTCCCTCTTGGCTCACTGTGATACAGTTCTGATGAGGGGAGGAGGGTTCTTGTCTCATGTCAAATTAGGTAAGATGACACGGACACACATGGAGCGGTTTTAAGGAGCGGAGTGTTTAATAGGCAAGAAGGAAGGGAGAAGGAAGAAGCTCCCTTGTACAGAGGCAGAGGAATGGGGGCTCCAAAGCCGAAAGAGGAGGTCCCCACCTGCCATGGATACCAGCCAGGTATATATACAGAGGCTGGAGGGGGCGGTGTCTGATTTGCATAGGGCTCAGGGGATTGGTTTGACCAGGCATGTCATTCATGGTAGCCCATGAAAAAGCTGGCCCTCCCACCCTAGTCTTTTAATATGCAAATACAGGGCGCCACAATGTTCTACACACGTGGGGATATGTGGGGGCGGCCATGTTGCCAGGAACAGGTCGGGAAAGGGCAAGAAGGCTCGCGACCCAGTTTCTAATGGCTGGCATTTGCATATCAAAGGTTGCCCGCCTGGCTCTAAGAGCCCGGGCTTTACAGAAACTTCCGGAGATGCTTTAACAAACGAAAACTTCCCAAGGACCCCTTTTCCTTTCTATCTGCCTAAAATAATTTCTTAATAACTCCTACCACAACGGCAACCTCTGACTCCCAGGTTCAAGCAAATCTCATGCCTCAGCCTCCCAAGTATCTGGGACTATGGGCGCGTGCCACCACACCCAGCTAATTTTTGTATTTTTTTAGTAGAGACAGGGTTTCACCATGTTGGCCAGGCTGGTCTCGAACTCTTGACCTCAAGTGATCCACCCACCTCGGCCTCCCAAAGTGCTGGGATTACAGGTGTGAGCCACTGCACCTGGCCCCATTCATTCTTTCCCCGCAGGGGCTGCCCATCCTTTCTAGATATGCACCCCCACCATTAGAATAGAATCCAGGTGGCGTCTTTAAAAGAGAAACCAATACTGCCCTGGGCAACTTTACGTTAGGGAAGAATGTTTTGGATTTAAATCAAAGGTTAGTGTTTAGGGTCCCTTCTGCAGGTGGGCAGGGGCCCCAGAGACTAAGGGTGGAGACACTGCTTGGCCCCAGGGTCACCTTTGGGCATCAGGGTCACACAGTGCACACTCCTGCAGGTTTGTGCAGGTTTCTGATGCCCCTTATCTTCCCTCCAAGCCGGTCACTCCCATTTAAAAAAAAAAAAAAAAAGGCACCTACAACCTTCTGGCGATTAGGCCAAATCTTAGAGTCAGCATAACCCTTCTCTTTCTCTTATTCCTCCATATCCCAACCATCTACCAAACCTGCTGGCTTTAGCTTGTGATGATGGCTACCATGCTATCGCCTGGCCACACCGCTCCGAATACGGAGGCCTGGGCGTCCATCATCCCTTCTTGACTGTGGCAATCACCTCCTTGCTGGTCTCCCTACATCGACTCCCTGCATTGATCCTGCACAATCCATGCTCACAGGCAGCCAGAGGGATCCTTTTAAAATATTAAGGCAAAATACATAAAGTCCTCTGTGCCAAACCCCACCCCATCTATCTCAGAATATGACCCAGATGTCTTTGCCATGACCCATGAGGCCCTCCATAACCTCAGCTCGAGCTCTTCTCCTTGTTCCCTCCATGCTGACCCTCCTAGAACACCCCCAGCACACTCCACCACAGGGCCTTTGCACATGCGGGTCCATCTGCCTGGAAACTTCCTCCCCTGGATGTGCACATGGAAGACTCATTTAATTCCTTCAGGCCTCTGATCAAAGGGGGCGCATCTCAGAGAGGACTTCCACATCCCCCAGTCTAAAGTAAACCCTCCAGCCACTTGATATTTCAAGTATATGTGCACACATACACACATATGTCTATGTGACTGTACTTGCGGGGGCAGGCTGTACTTGTTTTTCACTGCCCCTCCCACCCCGCCAGCTCCCCGAGAACAGGGCCTTGGTCTTTTTCATCCACAGTTGCATCGCTGGTGCCTAGAGCATGCCTGGCACGTAGAAGGTGCTCTGAAAAGAGCTGGAGTGTGATTAAACCGTGGAATCTTCTGAGAGTGCTGCCTCCGCAGAGAACTCGGGGAGACAGAAGCTGCCTGGCCCAGGGCATCTGATTCCAGGGCCTGGACTTCTTGTCTGGTGTCCCTCCAGGAAGGTGTCCCTAAGAGAATAAGTTGTACTTTCTCTTCTCAGTACAAAGGATCTTTTTGTAATTCTCTGGCATGGGAACCATTCCAGAAGCCCCAGAGTCACCAAGCTTGGCCACACTGAACACACTTCCTAGAACGAGCCTCAAATGGTTGGGTCTGCCCGTCTCCAGACACCCAGTTCCTGGACAGTCACCGCAGGCAGCTCCCCTGTCCATCAGGACAGAGCTGGACAATCAAGGTGTGGGGCTTGGTGCATCTGAGGGTTCATCTCGGGCCACCCCCGCTCCAGTGAGGAACCTGCAGGCCAAGGAGGGGACGTGACTGGCCACTGAGGGCATTGCAGGCAAAGCCGGCCAGGACCGGCTTTCTCCCAGGCCAGGGCGCTTTCCTGATGGAAGTTTCCGGAAGCCTTCATCCAATTCCATTCGTTCACTCTTCTTGCAAGTCAGCAGGGCAGAGGCAGGGGCAGCAGAGCCCCACTTGGCAAATGAAGAAACTGAGGCACAGCCAAGGTCAGTGACTCACCTTTCTTCAAAGAGCTCATTACTGCGGGGCCCCCAGTGAGTGATTACAGAGTGGGTCCCGAGCCATGGCCTGGGCTGGGTCCTGGTTCTACCACTTTCAAGCTGAGCGAATTGCTCACCCCTGTGTGCCTCGTTTTCTCACCTGCAGAACAGGTAATAAGCATAATTGACCCGTGGCTTTTACGAGCACAGTGAAACCCAGGCATCAGCAATGGGAGGAGCCCAGCCCTGGAGGCAGATGCCAGTTCCACCCCACCCGGCCCTCCGCCCACCAGCTCCCAGGCTCCCCTACCCCTCTGCAGATGGAGGTAGCGGCAGTGCCTCCCACACAGGGCAGTTGCGAGAATTCACGATGGTGTTTTGTTGATTCGATGTGTTTTCGACGCTTCTTGTTTCGTTTTGTAAATCAACTAGAGCAGTGCCTCCACACGGCAAGCTCGATGTAAGTATTTGTTAAATAAAAATATAGAGAATGCATGTAAGGTGCTTAGACCAGTGTCTGATGTGAGTGATGCTTGGTGAGTTTCAGCTGCTCTGACTTTTAGTGACAAGGACCAGAGCGTGAGTCGTCCTGACCCCCCTACTTCCCTTCCGTCCATGGTAACCCCCAGGCCACATCTCAGGCTCTCAGGGTCGCCCAGACACCGTTTCTCCTTGGAGGTCGCCTTGCTCTCTCTGCTCCCATATCCCACTGTCTGCCTCCTCCAGACACTCTGTCTCCCACACATGCGCACACTCTCACGCCCAACATACACACTCTCACACACACATACATACATTCTTACACACAGGCTCACACACTCATACAGTCTCACACATACACACACAGACTCATACACACACACACATACACACAGGCTCATGCTCACATATACAGGCTCACACACATACACAGGTTCACATACACCTACACTTACACACATTCACGCACACATACACGCACACAGGCCCCAACACACCTACACTCACACATACATTCACACACACATGCATACATACACACAGGCTCATACACTCACATACACACATACACACATTCACACATGTACAGACTCACATACACCCTCACTCTCACGCACACAGTCACATACACATTCATAGGCGCACATATACACACACTGTCACCCTCTCACACGCACACGTGTCCCCTGAGACACGTGCTACCCACCGCGTCCTCCCTGAAGCTCCCCCCCCTCCCTGCTGCCCAGATGCCCAGCTTGGGGGCTGCCTGCACTGCCAGGACTCAGCTGACGCCCTGGCCCGGGGAAGCTACTGGGACTCGCCCCTCTGCTGAGACAAAACGGGCTGCACAGGCTCCTCATGGTCTCCCTGCCCCACCCACTCCTGGCTTTGTGCCCTTCCCAGCAGCCATAACCAACCCCAGCCGTCTGCTCAGGCCTCTGGTGCCTCCCCAAACCCAACCCAGAGACGCTGGCAGTGCTGTCACCCTGTCACCAGGCACTCAAGGCAGTGTACAACTGCCCCCAGGCAGGCTGGACTCTGGTCTCAGTCAGAACCCGGAGAAAAGGCCACAGACTCCACGGGGCAATGGAAAGAAACGGATGGACCAGTGCTAAAAGGCTAAAAGGCGACCAGCTCCCACAGTGCGGCCTGAGCCGTGGAAGGACAAGGGCCACAGTCACACCCATAATCCTCCTTCTCTCTGCTGGAACACCTGGTTGGCCGGAGTCACCCGAGGGGCTTCGGGAGTGCCGTGGAGGAGGAAGCTGCGGTCCACTCTGCTCTTGCACTGGCTCAGCACAGACCATGGGCTCTTCTGAGACAGCACCAGGCCAGGCTCAGAGAGGGCCAGGACTCTGTTCCCACAAAGCACCGGGGCTGGTGGGGGACCCACCTGTCAACAGTCAATAGCAGAGCACCAGCATGAAATAATCCTGGAGTGGGGGTGGCCCCAGCAGGAAGCCCTCAGCTCCCACTGGGAGTGTGTTGCAGGGGGTGGTCGGGGACTCAGGTGGGGTGGGGGGGGTGGTGTTGGAGTCAGGCCTCCGAGCATGAGCAGGACATTGAAAAGAAAGGAGGGAAGAGGGGTGGGGTGGGAACAAAGCCAGAGCCAAGAACGTACTTAGTGGGAGCGAGAAGGCGGCTTTGGTGGATAGAGTGGACAGGGAGAAGTGAGAACCAGGTTAGAGAGGGGCTGGAACCCAGAGGGCAGAGGCCTGAGATGCCCATGGCAGAGCGTGCACTATGTCCCCTTGATTTAGGCATTGCCTGCCACCTGTCTCATGGAGGGCAGCCTGGGATGGCATTGAACACTTTAAAGATCAATTTATTTTTTAACTATATAAATTTATTTCAACAGCAAACTTTATATGCTTAAGTTTATTGGAAAACATTAAGTAGAAACCAAAGCAACATCATCAATTGCAGGTAGGTACATACGACGGCCTACCAAAGACACTAGGCCCAAGGCTGGCTCTTTCTTGGTTCCAGATGGAGATGAACAGTGTTGGAAAGGTGTTAAGATTATTAGCACCAAACTGGGACTCTTCTCCTTGAGACAATGGACTGGCTTTCTAACCATGTGTCTCCATGTTATGGCAAGAAGATCTGAGTCACCCAGTGTCACCTGTCATCATCCCCAGGGGAGCAGATGCTGTTCGTGCCCTCCACATAGCCCTGGAACCCTCCAGCAGGCTCAGAGCCACTTCTAACTGCCAATATCTTCTTCTTTTTGCCTGCAGGCTTTTGTCCATGACCTCAGCAGTCCACTCTACCCACACCTGTGGCAGGTGGGAGGTGCCAGGGGATTAACACTCACCTCCAACAACCCCCAAGTAATAACTCATAGGAGTTGGTGTATAAATACCGCCTGTCCCTCGCTCCTGGGATTCCTCTATTGTGTGTGATTTCTCCATGGGACTGAACTCCAGCTGTCCTCTGCACCAGCTGGCTGAATACTACGCCCTGAATTGGCCTCCTCCCTTTCCTGTTGCGCTTCCTAAAGCCCTGCCAGAGCTTCCTGAGGTCACCTCTCAAATAAACTACTTGCTCTCAAATTCTTGTCTCGGAATCTGCACCTGGGACAACCCAAACTAAGGCATCAACCATCAGTGACATCTGTCCCACCCACCCTCAAGGTCAGACCCCAAACCTGAGAGACTCAGTCCAAAGAGACCCAGAAGACAGCTTGGCCCTTATAACTAGATGAGAAATCAACCCAGAAGAAGCCTGCATGGCAATTTATAATGGGAGGGGTTGGATTTTTCTGTGAAATATTTTCATATGGCATTGATTGCTGACAGTGAAACTAGAATGAAATCAATCAGATCTGCAGTTGGAAAAGCTCACTCTGGCTCCTGTCGTGAAACGTGGATGTGGGCGGTGCCCTGGTCTGCACAGGGAGCTGGGTCGGGTACCACTGCAGTTGTCAGAGGTGACTGGAGGGGTGGCCGCCCTTGGCAGGTATTTAGGAAGGACAATCACAAGGAATTTGAAATGGATTAAGCCAGGGAAGGAGATTGAGGAGGAGGTGATTTCTGACTTATAATGGATAGAAGTGGCAGTCACTCCAAAGGCAAACACAGCAGGAGGAGCAGGTTTGGGAAGGAAGGTCAGGAGTTCAGACCCAGGCACACTGGCTTGAGTTGCCTTCAAAACATCCAGGTGGAGATGTCAAGATGTCTGTTGGATAAATGAGACCGGAACTCAGAGGAGAGGCAAGAACAACAGTGACCATCGCCCTGCAGACATAAATGAGGGAAAGGGTGTGGATTTTAAGAGTCGTGTATGTATGTTTCTTTTTTCTTTTTTTATTTTTATTTACTTGTTTATCTTTTGAGACAGGGTCTCACTCTGTCGCCCAGGCTGGAGCACAGTGGCACAATCATGGCTCACTGCAGCCTTGACCTCCTGGGCTCAAGCGATCCTCCCAGCTCAGCCTCCCAAGTGGCTGGAACTACAGGCACGTGCACCCATACCCAGTTAACCTATGGTTTTGTTTTGCTTTTGGCAGAGACAGGGTTTTGCCATGTTGCCCATGCTCAAACTCCTGAGCTCAAGTGATCCACCGGCCTTGGCCTCCTCCCAAAGTGCTGGGATTACAGGTGTGAGCCACCAGGCCCAGCCATGTTTCTTAAAAAAAAAAAAAAGTTTAATTTTAAAGAAGTTTATTATTTCATTTCTATGGACATGGAAAAAAATGTTGAGTTATGATACAATATACAAACATAAAATTTACCATCTTAAACATTCATTTATAGACACTTGAGTTGCTTTCACCTTTTGGCTATTGTGAATAACGCTGCTATGAGCATGGGAGACAAATCTCTCTTCAAGTCCCTGTTTTTCAGTTCTTCGGGGTACATACCTAGAAGCGGGATGGCTGGATCATATGGTGATTCTATGTTCAATTTTTTGAGGAACTGCCATATTGTTTTCCACAGTGGCTGCACCCAAAGGTTTTACGTTCCCACCAACAGTGTACAAGAGTTCTAATTTCCCCATAGCCTCACCAACACTTGTGATTTTCTGGTTTTTGACAGTAGCCATCGTAAAGGGTGTAAGTTGGTCTGGCCAAGGTTTTTGAACTACAGATGTCACAAAGATACAGAGCAAGAAAAGGACTTATGCAACATCATAATAAGCCAGGGAGATGTTCTGGTCATACCTACATCATTATCAACCTCATGAACTTGGATCAGTTGGGGGTGCTCTTGGCTACAAGTAGCAATGTTATGAAAGCATTTGCTGTCTTGTTAATAAGAACTCCCTGGGCTGGTCTTTTCTGCTCAGTCAGGCTCAGCCGATTGGTGACAGTGACATTGCCCTTCCTGGCCATACGTTGACTCTTCAATGCCATGCATATGTGCGCTCAGGACCACACATAGAGCAGCAGGAAGGGGGCATGAGGCAGGCCCCCTCCTTCCAAGATTCTGGCCTTTTTAACAGGAAGAAAGTGACTTCCCCAAAACCCAGCAAATACTTCCTGACATCTCATTGGCAAGAAGCAGTCAAGTGCCCACGCATATGACTGGCGCAGGGTAAGCGGTGCTAGTTAAAGCAGGGATGGCTGGGCCCCACCCACAGAGTTTCCGATTCAGTGGGACTGGGATGGGGCCCAAGATTTGGCATTTCTAACAAGTTCCCCGGTGATGCAGATGCTGCCAGTCCAGGGACAACACTTCGAGGACCACTGGCTTCAGTGATCTTGAGCTGGGTACGTGACCACCCAAACCAATCAAAGGGAAAAAGGAGGTAGGTGGTGGAAAATACAAGACTTTCTGTCACAAACTCTGTGGAGCTCACTTGTATCTTTTTTGCTCACTAGACTCTAGGCCCCCTGGGAGCAAGGGGTCACGAAAGTCACCTTTTTGGGCCTTGGGGTCTTGATACAGTTACTGTGACTTGGTGGCAACTTTAAACAGATTTTTCAAATGAGTGGATAAATGAACATGTCACCAAAGATGTCCAAGGCTGCTGCACCCTCAAGTCACCTTGATCAAAACACCCTCCTGGAACCCATGCAGGCAGCCTCCAAAACACAAAGCAGGCTGGGCACAGTGGCTCATACCTGTAATCCCAGCACTTTGGGAGGCCGAGGTGGGCAAATCACGAGGTCAGGAGTTTGAGACCAGCCTGGCCAACGGGGTGAAACCCCATCTCTACTAAAAATACAAAAAATTAGCTGGGCGTGGTGGCAGGCGCCTGTAATCCCAGCTACTCAGGAGGCTGAGGCAGGAGAATCACTTGAACCCAGGAGGCGGAGGTTGCAGTCAGCCGAGATCGCACCACTGCACTCCAGCCCGGGCGACAAAGCAAGACTCAAAAAAAAAAAAAAAAAAAAAAAAAAACAACAACAACAAAAAAAAAAAAAACACAAAACACAAAGCAGCCCCTTCTCTACCAGGACAGCAGCTCCCCTACAAAGCAGCTCAGGTGTCTTCCCTGTCAGCCTGTCCTCCCGGGGAGGCTGGCTCCCTGCTCTGCAGTGACACTGCAGGGTCAGAACTCAGCCTGTGGATAACCCAAGAACAATGCCTGTTTGGGGGTCTTCACCGCTGACACAGAGAGCCTGTGGCCATCCATCCCAAATAGTGTCTGTTAGTTGCCCACTGGGATGTGGTCCCTTGTTGAAGTCAAAGAAACAAGCCCTTAATTCACTAATCGCCTAAACAGACACCACCGGCTGAGAACTCCAATAGCCAGGCGTGTGATGCCTTATGACCCTGAGTGAATGCAGCTGCAAACAGCCAGTACCTGTTACATATTCCTTAGCCACAGGGGAAACTTCTGGAAGGTTGCTAGCATGGAATATGATTAATGAAGAAGAAAATGCCTTATCCTTCTGTTCTACATTCACACTCACATGTGATCCACGCAGTGGTCCTGAAAGGATCCAAGGCTGGGGGAGATCTGGGAGTCCGTTTACCGACAAGGATCTGCTACTCAGAGCTGACGTCCCATATATGTGCAGTGAATATTCAATCAGCAGTAGCTGTGATACTCATAAATCACTCGCTCTGAGGTGAAGGGGAACCGACTAGGATAAGCCAGGCTCACCCCAGAGGCCTCTGCTGCAAGCCTGGTTGGCAGCCCAGCCCTTGTGGGTACCAGGACCTGCCAGAGCCACAGACGACCGGATATAAGCACAAATTGATGAGTCACCCAAGAGCCATCGCAGGGTGAGGACAGACCTGGGTGCCAAGTGGGCAGCGATTCCATCAAGTCCTGGCAGAGGACCAGGCTGTGACGGACAGAAGACACTGCTCAGGTCAGACTCACGTGGCAAGGCAAGGTCTTGCTGGAAGGCAGGCAAGGAAATGCTCCAGCAGGAGCCCAGCAGAGACCGGCCCTGGGTGCTGATCAGGACCAAGCTGGCCCCAGCCTCTGTCCAGGGTTGTACAGGGCTCAGGGAGCTGCGCCAAGGTGGAACAAGAGTAGAGGCCGGGGGCGGTGGCTCACGCCTGTAACCCCAGTACTTTGGGAGGCCGAGGTGGGCAGATCACTTGAGGTCAGGAGTTTGAGACCAGCCTGGCCAACATGGCGAAACCCCATCTCTACTAAAAATACAAAAATTAGCTGGGCGTGGTGGCGTGTGCCTGTAATCCCAGCTACTTGGGAGGCTGAGGCAGAATTGCTTGAACCAGGAAGTCGGAGGTTGCAGGGAGCCGAGATCACACCCCTGCACTCCACCCTGGGCGACAGAGCAAGACTCCATCTCAAAAATAAATAAATAAATAAAAGAGTCAAAGCCCTGGGTCCTCTTCTCCCCTGTGTTAGCCTTACTATGTGTTCTTGGGGGTGGTGCTTCACTCCTCTGGAACAGTGAGCCTCACATACCTGACTCTGGGCCATGCAGGGGCCAGGCTGGGCCTCCTCACACCCACTGACTCCCTGCTAGCAACCCCAGTTCCCATCTCCCATCCCCCCACCCTAACTTCCAGGGCAGATAGGATGTATGCACTGGGGAGTGGACACAGTGCTCTCTCCAGCCAGGTGGAAATGGGACCAGCACCTCCCTCGTCACCCCCTCCCCAGACACTGTCCACAGCCCAGATGGGCTTTCATGCACCTCGGCAGCCGGCCTCCCACCCTCTCCCCACCACCGCAACCAAAACTGCTTCTGTGGATGCCTACTGGCATGTTTTGAAGTTACCTACACATTTATTTCAGGGTCAACTAGTCCTGAGCACCTCTGGGGAAACCTTATACCACTCTCCTTTTCCCCCAGGACTCCCCAGGGAGCGGGAGTTCTCAGCCCTGGCGCAGGCTGGAGCCACCTAGGCAGCTTTGAAAACCACCCATGCCCGTAAGGGATGGAACTGGGATGCTGAAAATGTTCCAAAACCAGATGACAGTAATGGTTGCACAACTTGGGACATTTAAAAATCATTCAATGGTACACTTAAGATGGGTGAATTTTATGGTATGCAAATTATACCTCAATAAACTTGTTTTTAAAAAAAAAAATACCCAGGCCTGGATCTATCACTGAACCATTAAATCAGAATCTCTGATTTGGGGCCTGGGCTGAGATTCCTGCTCTGGTGTCACCGTGGGGACATCTCTTTCCACTGTCACCATCACTCATTCACCCTGGGAGAAGAGGAGTGACCCCCCGCCCCCCCCGCCGCCCCAACTCATTGATGGGCATATCCATTTCCTAGAGCAGTTATAACAATAACCATGAACTGGGTGACTCAGAACAGCAGTAATTGACTCTCTCATAGTTCCGGAGGCCAGAAGTCCAAAATCAAGGTGCCAGCAGGGCCACACTCCTCCAAAGGCTCCAGGGAGGGTCTTTCCAGCTGCTGGTGGCTGCCAGAAGCATCACTCTGATCTCTGTCTCCTCCTTCACATGAACTTCTTCCCTGTATCTCTACGTCCCCACTCTCTCTGTCTCTTTTTTTTTTTTTTTTTTTTTTGTGAGAGAGTCCCGTTCTGTCACCCAAGCTGGAGTGCAATGGCGCAATCTTGGCTCACTGCAATCTCTGCCTCCTGGATTCAAGTGATTCTCCTGCCTCAGCCTCCCTAGTAGCTGGGATTACAGGTGCACACCACCAAGCCCAGCTACTTTTTATATTTTTAATAGAGGTGGGATTTCACCATGTTGGCCAGGCTGGTCTCAAACTCCTGACCTCAAGTGATCCACCCATCTTGGTCTCCCAAGTGTTGGGTTTACAGGCATGAGCGACCATGCCTGGCCCCCACTTTCTCTTCTTAGAAGGATACCAATCATTGGATTAGGGTCCACCCTAATCTAAGTATTACACCCTCATCTTAACTATCTGCAGCTGCAAGGTCCCCAATTCCACATAAGGTCACATTCTGAGTTTCTGGATTGGCATGAATTGGGGCGGGGGGACACCGTTCCACCCAGTACAGTAGAAATGCTAGCTGAGTCAACTGCATTAAAGCCGGTCATCCCATTACCTATATTACATACACACTTTCCTGGGTAGACTACCTTATTTATTTCCAGTTAAATGCAATTTTTATCGTCAAAATTTCCAAGACTTCTGTTAGTTTCCTAACTGGAGTGTAGTGGTGCGATCTCAGCTCACTGCAACCTCTGACTCCCGGGTTCAAGCAATTCTCGTGCCTCAGCTTCCCGAGTACCTGGGACCACAGGCATGTGCCACCACACCCAGCTAATTTTGTATTTTTAGTAGAGATGGGGTTTCATCATGTTGGCCATGTTGGCCAAGCTGGTCTTGAACTCCTGACCCCAGACAATCTGCCCACCTCGGCCTCCCAAAGTGCTGGGATTATAGGCGTGAGCCACCACGCCCAGTCCTAACTCATTTTTTTTTTATTGCAGCTTTAGCTGAAAAGCATCTTTACCTACATGCCCCTGCATATGGACATCCAGTACCAAATATTCTCTTTTTAAAAATGTACAGGCTGCTGGGTATGGTGGCTCATGCCTATAATCCCAGTACTTTGGGAGGCCAAGGCAGAAGGACTGCTTGAGCCCAGGAGTTCGAGACCAGCCTGGGCAACGTAGTGAGACCTCATCTCTACAAAAAAATCAAAAAAATAGCCAGGCGTGGTGGCATGCACCTGTGGTCCCAGAAACTCAGGAGGCTGACGTGAGAGGATCATCTGAGCCCAGAAGGTCGAGGCTGCAGTGAGCCATGATTGCACCACTACACTCCAGCCCGGGCAACAGAGCAAGACCTTGCCAAAAAGAAAAAAAAAGTACAGGCCAGTAATAAGGTAAAATTCACAACAGAGTCTACCTACCAGAGTGGAGTGGGAGGGAATCCGCAGAGTCAGACCTTTGCCAGCGGATTCACTCTCATTTAGCAGAGGGAAGTCTCTGTTTGTCCTCTTCTCTCCAGGTTCCCTGCCTCGGCTCCTGTGTGAGCTTCCAAGGGCTGGTCTCAGGGGTGAGAATCAAAATGTCTAACCACAGGCCCTGACTCATCAGCCCAGATGCCTGCTGTAAACAACCAGAGCTTTTTCCAGGCAAATGTTGACCTAGCTGGTCTCACACAGGGCAGCATCAGCACTTCCAAGAAGTTCTCCCAGGGGCATTGTGCTTGGAGACAGTTTCTGTGTGAGCCTGTGAACAGCCAGTGGTGCTTAAAATCATGGGCCTCTGGCCAGCCTATTCAACATTAATCGTAAGTGCTTATGAAAGGTTGGCGTTAGATGCCAGATTCTGTTCTACGCTCTTGGTATATAAGCTCATTAATAACTCGCAACAGTCCTAGAAGGTGGAGAGATGATTGTCATTGTCCCTATTTGGCAGGTGAGTTTAAGGAACACAGGCCCACAGTAACACACAGTTGGTGCGTGGTAGCACTGGGATTGAAGCTGTGTGGATTTATCTCTAAAAACTAGGGTCCAGTCCCTCCATTTTACCACCTCTTCTGTTTGAAAACATCACATATGGGATATTCATTCCTTCATTTAACAAATATCTGTCGAGTGTCTACTCCATGCAAGACAGTGTTCTGGGCACTGCAGCTACAACAGTGAACAAATGGCCACGGCCCCTGCTCTCCTGCAGGTAGTGTGGGTGGGGAGTGGGGAGGGGGACATAGACCGCAGTCACAGACAGAAAATAAAACCAGAATTTCAGATAGTGGTATGTCATAGGAAGACGCTAAAATGGGGAGGGAGGATAGAGTGATTGGGAAGCATTTTTAGGTGAAACAGACAGGGACAAACTCTCCCAAGGGGTGACATTATGCTGAAACCCAAGTAATGAGAAAGAGTTTTTGGAGCACAATCTGGGGAGAGAGATGCCAGGGAGAGGCCACAGAAAGTGCAAAGGCCCTGAGGCAGGAAAAGGCTTGAGGAACAAAGTGAAAGATACCTTTGTGTCTCTGTGAGCAAGGGAGTGATTACGGAATTACTGTTCCTTTCCTTTGGTGTGATAATAATAGGGAGGTCACCTGGGAAAACAACTGATTCTTAGGAGATGCCTGCCCAAGTCCTGAGGGGTAATGTGTCATCATGTCTGCAACCACCTCTCAAATGTTTCTGCAACTTATAAAGCACACATGGCAAAATATTAGCAACTGTTGATTCTAGGTGGAGAGTATAAGTGTGTCCACTGTACTATTCTTTCAACTTTTCCATGTGAAATTGTCATAATAAAAATGGAAGCAAGACAGCAGCGAAAGATGTTGGAGTGCCAGGCAGGAGCAGGATCGCGTCTCCATCTAAGAGGAGGAGATTTTAGGCTGAAGAGTGGCGTGATCTGGTTTCCTTTGGCATCATTGCCTCAACTGCCCTGGATTTCAAAGTCTGGCTTTGCAGACCATGAAGGAGTATCTCTCTCAGGAGCACAAGACAGCATGTTTCCAATTCTGATTTAGTGAACACTCATTGTGTACCTTCCAGCCAGGCGTTGTGTGTGCGTTTTACCTTTATCAATCTCACTTAATCCACATGACAGCCAGCAATGTCCTCGATATTATCCTCATTCTTAAGATGAAACTGAGGCCCGGGAAGATCAGCCAAGGAGGGGCCAGACAGTGGAGGCAGAGCCTAGGTTCGTTAGAAACCTCAGCCCTGGGGGGGCCCTAAGTCATCATTCCACTTTTACTAAATCACCATCAACATTCATCATAATTGATTAATTAATTATGATCAAAGCTTAAAGGTGATTTTTCTGAAATACGATTGCAAAACTAGATGCACTGTTCCAGAGAGAGCCCTAAAGTGAATTGCACTAATGGTCAAATGGATCCTGCTTTTCCCCCTGAGAAAACTATCATCCAACAGAGTTCCAAGCACTCTCCCTTGTCCACAGAGATCTGCAGCTGTGCTGCCTGGGGCCACATTACTCATTTTAATATTCAATTGCACATTTGCTGATGCTGTCTGTGTGCCTGGATTTCATCACATCACAAAATATGTGGAACCCACATCTTTAATCTTTCTTGCCTGCTTATCCAAAGGAAAACCACTAGTGTGGTAAGCAACTAGACAAATTGTCCTGTTATCTGCGTTCTTAGAACAGTATCTTAACTGGAGGCAGCCCTACTGTCTTTCACTGGTAAGAATTCAGAATAAACATCATCATTCTTTGAAATCACTCATAAGCAGCCCCCAGGAGACTGCAATTATACCCGTTTATAATTCTCCTCCCTCCCAAACTAACCCTTGATTCATAAATGTGCACTTTTCGGCGTCAGGCGTTAGAATAAATTAGACTATACAATTATGTATAATTAAAGGGGAAAATGGGTACCGTGCTGCAAAGATTAGCCGTGTTTTGCTGAAGTAAAGCATGTCTGTGTCAGCGTGCTGGCCCAGGGAGGCAGCATGAAATACAATTAATGTTCTTCTTACTTAATGGGGGTTTATGGTACTGTTTTTCATTATCACAGTATCTCAAGAAATATAAACAGTTTTTCTCTAACGCAATTGCATTTCTACTGACAACACAGCTTGGGTCTAAATGAAAATTCAGCAGAATTAACCACAGGTTTATATTGTTATGGATGATCCTGGAATCTGTATTTTAAAAGCCATGCAAAACTGTGTGCACTCAGGAGCCGAGAAGTTTGATCTCAACCTCCTGAGAGTGGTTCTGCAGCCTCTTCTGCTCTTGTAGAAGCAACTTACAGCCAAACTTGTGTGCATTATTAAAGCCACCTGTGCCCCAGTACTACGGCTAGCATTCCCAAGCCTCCCGTCTGCAGCCATGTTCCTTCTTCTAACGTTTCTCCTTTACACGCCAATTTGTTTGAGACATGTTAAAAGCTTGACTTTTACAACCCTCATAAAATCCCATCGACTCCAACCCAAATCCAGCCAGAAGTGCTCGGACAATCAGATTGAGTTTCAACCACTTGATGGAGATAAAGAAACACATAGCAAGAATGATTTTTTTTATTGTTATATATGAGTCAAGGGAATAAAACAGCAACTCCGGCCTTGCAAGGGAGATAGAACCGGATGGCTGTTCTGCACAAAAGGGCTGCCAAAGAATCTGCAGAGGGAAGAAACGAGGCATGGAGGCGTCAAGAGAAAGGTCCCCCTGAGGTTAAATCAACAATGCTGGGGAGAATGGGGCGGCATGAGGAGCTTGAAAAGCTTGATTGTCCAGCTAGGATGGTCAGGATCATACCAAGAGATGTCATGGGGGATGAGGGATGTGGGAGGAGAAAAGCTGTCTCCGTGTGGGTGGAGGCGGCAGGGGCTGGAGTATCAGGAGGCCGTGGGGGTGCCCAGGATTCTGCTGAGCCCCACCGAGGCCCGGCTGAGTGACTTCCCAGGCTGGGGGACATGTGAGCCCTCGGGGCCCCTCATGTATCCCAGGCAGACACTGAGCTCCAAGCTCCGTAACGGGGCCTGCGGTCCCCACCGGCCTGGAAGGACCTGGAAAACAGGCTGAGGCCTTGAACCCAGAGGACCAGGGAGTTTGCTGGGAATTATGGGGAAGAAACACGGCCAGAGGAGCTTTGCAGACCCTCTGACCTCATGGGTGTCTGAGCCAGTAAGTCCAGACTAAAACGCATGACCCATAGCACCTGCCTACAATGAACACACACATACATGCTCGGACACACAGGTACACATGCATGCACACACAAGATCTGTCCCCGTCTACTTAAGGAAGGATAAGGGGCCAACATAGACGTTACCATGTTTGGTAATGTCCAGCAACAATGGAAACAACATATCCAAAAAGATAAGCAAATGCCACGTGTCCGCCAGGCCCACAGCCCCAGAAGAAGGGATTGTAAGCATCCCCTCTCTGACTGGGGTTACCTGACGAGCAGAGAAGGATGGAGTGAAACATTGTGGGCAGGATCCTTATGGGTATGGGAGAGCCATGTTCAGGAACTCGAGGACCTAAGGGCACAGTGTGGTAATGCAGTGGGGTTTTTTTTAGACTTTTTTTGCCGTGGAAATTTCCCCACCCCTGAAATATTCTCCAGAACCCAACATAAAAAGTAGGAGGGAGGCAGATCCCATTCCTGGGCCTCCCTCCACCACCCCAGGCCCCAGAAGCACCACCAAGGGGCCCTGAGGATTCAGTAAGAAAATTGCTTCTGCAGTGGGGTACATGTCCCCAAACCAGGGACAGCATCAAAAGGGTTGAAATCCCACTGGCCAAGTTTTTGACTATAGGCAAGACCCTTTATCTCTCTGAGCATCAGTTTGCTTGAAAGATTGTCAGGAGGATTACATGAAATGACCCGGTGGAAACAGCCATTGACCGCAGAACCTGCCAGAGTTGCACTGTCCAGCATGGGACCCCTGAGCCACATGTGGCTGGTCCCAATTGAGATGTGCTGTAAGTTTAGAATGTACACCAGATTACAAAACTTAGTAAGAAAAAATAATGTAAAAATATCTCATTAATTTTATATTGATTACATGTTGAAGAGATCGATTTTGGATATACTAGGTTAAGTAAACTATATTATTAATATTAAAATTAATTTCACCTGCTTTTTTCAGACAGGGTCTGACTGTCACCCAGGCTGGAGTACAGTGGAACAATCATGGCTCACTGCAGCCTTCACCTCCCAGGCTCAAAGTGATCCTCCCACATGAGCCTCCCGAGTAGCTGGGACCACAGGCACATGCCACTATGCCCAGCCTAATTTTTGTATTTCTTGTAAAGATGGAGTTTCACCATGTTGCCCATGCTGGTCTGGAACTCCTGAACTCAAGTGATCCGCCCACCTCGGCCTTCCATACTGCTGGGATTACAGGCGTGAGCCACTGTGCCCGGCCCTCACCTGTTTCTTTTTACTTTCTAATGCCACTACTAGAAAATTCTAAATGATATATATGTCCTTCTGCAGAGATGAGGCGGAAGGAGAGGGGTCTCCATTATTTTTCGGTCTATGATGGTGAAGCCTGACATTCTGTCCCAGGGCAAAGAAGGTGGGAGCTGTTCAGCCTTATCAGTGATGCCAAAGGTAGGGCCAGCACCTGACTTGGAAAAGCAAGTGCAAGGTTTTTCTGATTTATTTAGGCTCTAACTTGATTGGCGTGGCTAACAGAGGTTATGGGGAGGAGCCTAGAGCTCCAAACCCAGTCAGGAGATCCGATTTGAATTTCAGATTTAAAAATGAATGATTTTTTAGTACTAACTTCCTCCCCGTGGATGTCTATATTTATTTGTTAAGTCTGACAACTCTACCATGGAGGATCATATCAGAGAAAGGAGATGCTAGGTTGAAAAGTAAAAACATCCTAGGATTTAAGAGCATGAGCCGGGAGCTAAGGCTTCTTGGCTTCACAGGATCCACCACTTATAACTGTGTGATCTTCGGACAGTTACTAAACCTCTCTTGGTTTCCATGGTAAAACGGGCATAGTAACTTACTGTGTGAGATTGTCACAAGATTTAATAAGTTACTGCTGTTTACAAGTGCTTTCCCACAGCGGCGTCTGTTTCCCCTTAGCTAGCAACTCGGCTGTGTTTTCTGCAGCTGCTGGTGAGTTCTCTGCCCGCTCTTTGCCCACCCGCGTCAGGCCGGTCCCCCTCCGGCCTCTTCTGTGGCGCGAGGGACAGCGGAAACCACGGTAGACAGCACCCCCTTGAGTCCAATTCCTCCCCTTTCGGAGGAAGCCGGTTTCTCCTTTCTATGCTACTCCCGGGCCATTTCTGGACAACAGCTGCTATTTTCACTTGAGCCGAAGTTAATTTCTCGGGGAGTTCTCGGGCGCGCACAGGCAGCTCGGTTTGCCCTGCGATTGAGCTGCGGGTCGCGGCCGGCGCCGGCCTCTCCAATGGCAAATGTGTGTGGCTGGAGGCGAGCGCGAGGCTTTCGGCAAAGGCAGTCGAGTGTTTGCAGACCGGGGCGAGTCCTGTGAAAGCAGATAAAAGAAAACATTTATTAACGTGTCATTACGAGGGGAGCGCCCGGCCGGGGCTGTCGCACTCCCCGCGGAACATTTGGCTCCCTCCAGCTCCGAGAGAGGAGAAGAAGAAAGCGGAAAAGAGGCAGATTCACGTCGTTTCCAGCCAAGTGGACCTGATCGATGGCCCTCCTGAATTTATCACGATATTTGATTTATTAGCGATGCCCCCTGGTTTGTGTGTTACGCACACACACGTGCACACAAGGCTCTGGCTCGCTTCCCTCCCTCGTTTCCAGCTCCTGGGCGAATCCCACATCTGTTTCAACTCTCCGCCGAGGGCGAGCAGGAGCGAGAGTGTGTCGAGTGAGTGTGCGTCTGTGTGTCCCGGCGAGGGTGCGCGCTCGGCGCCGGGAGCGCGGCCAGCCGAGTCCGGAGGCATCGGGAGGTCGAGAGCCGCCGGGACCCCAGCTCTGCGTTCACTGCCCCGTCCGGAGCTGGACTTCGGGGCCGGGGCCGGGGCCGTGCGCCGGGGACAGGCAGGGCCGGGTCGCGGGCCGCGCGTCCCCCAGGCCGGAGGTAAAAGCGCTAGCGCGCGGAGGGCTCGAGGAGGGCACCGCGGCTGGGCCCCCCGCGCCCCGGGCCCCAGCCGTCCGCGGCTCCCGGCCCGACGCTCCCCGCCCCGGAGCGCGCCCGCCTCCCCTGCGTGGAGGCCGGCGGGCAGGCGAGCGGGGGGCGGTAGCGCCGTGCCAAGGGGCTGGCTGGGGCAGCGTGGCCGGCCGGGCTGGGGCGATTTAAGAGCGGTCCGGGCGGGGTGCGGAGCCGGACTTTGGCTGGGGCGGCGCGCGGGGAGGGGGCCGGGGGCGGTGGCGGCGGCGTTGGGGGGCGGGGAGGAGGCAGGAGGAGGAGCAGCAGCGCTCGCCGGGGGATGCAGCAGCGGCAGCGGCGGCGGCGGCGGCGGCAGCGGCAGCGGCGGCGCGGAGTCCCCTGCGCCCAGCGGCCCGGCCGGGCTGCGGCAGAGGCGGCGGCGGCGCCCCGCTCCGGGTGAGGTTGCCGGGGCCGTGCGCGCTGGTGAGTGGGGCGTGGGGGGCAGGTGGGTGGCTGGGGGACGCGGGGCTCGGGCGGGGGCTCGCGGCGGCCGGAGCCTTCCCCGGCGTGAGCCCGGCCGCGAGCGCCGCCCAGGTGAGCCGGGGCTGGTCCGGACCGCCCGGCTCCAGCCCCAGCGCTGCTTGCGGAGGTGGGTCCGGGCGGGCGGGAGGGAGGCTCCGGCGCCGGCCGTCCGCAGAGGGATGACCTGTTTGACCCCGCTGGCTGGCGGGCGGGCGAGGACTTCCCGCCGCGCCCCTGACCCGCGGACACGGCACACCGAGCACAGGCGGCCCCGGGTAGGGGAGCGCGCCTGGGCCGGCCATCCGCAGGGGCATGGCCTTGTTGACCCTTAGGGTTTAGACCCAAGGGACCGGTAGATGCCAGCCCACGTGGGGCTTGTCCGGGCAGGACTCGGGGAAGCAGTGGGCCGGATCTTCAGAGTGGTTGGAAACTCGCAGACACCGAAAGGACAAACAGGATCGAAAAGGCAGACTTCCTCCCAGGCCAGGGCAGAACGAGTTTCCATCGCCTGGCGGAGGGATGCTCCCCTCCCCGGCTCCTCGGGGTTTCAGAAGTCTAGCGGTGAATTCTAGGAGTGCACTTTTCCAAACATTCCTTATAGTAGTTCGTTCATTCGTTCTACAAGCATTTCTGGAGCACCCCCTCGTGCCGGGCACCGCGTTCTGTTCCAGGGAAACGCGGCTGAACAGGATCTGGCTCCTGCGCGCCAGAAGCTGCCGGTTCACTGGGAGGGCAGCAGGGTAGAGAGATGCCGTCTCGGGGTGGAAGATGGAAAGGGAAGCCTGCAATCCTAGTTTGCACACTGGCCTCGGTCCGCAACTCCCCCACCTGCACGCAGTAGGCCCAGCACACAGTAGGAAGAGCAAGCCAGACCTGCCTGTGACGACCCTCTCCTCCTCCTCCTCCCCCTTGAAAGCTTTGATTCATTCCCTGCCCCCCTTTCTGGAAAGTCTTCCTGCAGCTTGTTTTAATCACTTTTTGAGTTAAAAGTCAATATTTAATTAACCAAGTAATTACATTCAGCTTACGTTTCAATCTGGGTATTTGCTCATCTGTGCGTGTTGGGACACCCGCCCTCTCGCCCCTCCATCTGTCCCCTGCCTGTTTCCCACCGGGTCCACCCCCACTTTTGGGGCAGAGAAGGGGAGGCTGCGCTGGAGCAGGTTCTCAGGGGGAGACAGGGAGCAGGAGAGACGGGCTTTCTCTGGAGGACACCCCCGGATCTGCGCGCTCTCCAAATTTCAGCTTGTAGTGAATAGTGAAGGTGATTTCTTGACAGCCTCTGCCTCCCATTACAGAACCACCAGAGGGTTCTAATTAAATTAGAGCCAATCGTTAAGTATAGGAACGGGGTAGGGAGGACAGAACGAAGGGGGCCCCTTCCCTGTAAGAGATGTTCTCCCCAGCTTCGTCTCTCCCACATCATAGAGAAGAGAAAACTCATCCAGACAGCCTGTCGGATGTGTAATTTAGCGTTCTAATAAGCAGCTTGAAAGGCGAAGGTGGTGGGCTTGGCAGATGGCATGTTGGACCTTTGTACATGAAGGCCTCTTCCTTCCCCAGCTAAATTTATATACATAAAGGCCGTGATGTTGGCATCACTGCTGCAGCTGAGGGTCAATGTGGGTTTGGGGTTTGGGCTTTGTGTGTACTTCTTGGGTTTTTTATTTGAATTTATGGCTTTTTCTGAAACCCTAATAACATGTTAAATTTTCAAACTTGAGAGTAGAGTGATGAGTTGACTGTAAAAGTCTGGTCTTGGAGGAGGACAGCATAGCAGTGTGTGTGCATGCACGTGCATGTCCCCCAGTTCAGCTGCTGTCCAAAGAACCCAGTTGATATGCAGTTTCACACCTGATTTGGACCTGATTTGGGAGATAACATTTCCTTCTCACTTTTTCTGGCACTGGTTAGTTTATCTGCTTGGACCTGCCTCAAGAGGGCAGCTGGGTTAACCAGGCAGAATATCACCCAACTCTGTCAAGCTTTGGCCATTATCTGACCTTAGACTTTAGTCCTGCAGAAGGAGTCCAGAAGCCCTGTCCTACAGAAAAATATCAGCATTTCTGACCAGCTTGTAGTTAAAAGAAAAGGTTTAGTCCAGACTTAAGATAATTGGTAACACTTAAGTAGTTTTGTATGGGCCTGATCTGAGGCATTGATCTAAGCCCTTATACCTTACTCATTAAATCCACACAAATACCCTGTTAAGTAAGTACTGCCATTGTTGCCATATTAAAGATGAGGAAACAGGCACAGAGAGGATTGTGACTTGCCTACAGCTGGTCACAGGTAGAGCTGGGATTCAAGAGGCCCTCAAGCTCCGGGGTCCACTTGGAACCACTGGACTCTCCTCCATGACCTTGGCCTTTGTCCCAGATGTAGAAGAAACACATATGCAGGGGAAGAAAACACCTTCAGACAGTCAAACTTTGCAAAGTAAAAGGCCCTTAACTTTCCATAAACCCCCACTGTTCCGACAGAGAGTCCGGGTTTGTATTTGAGGTTTTTTGCCCCAAGGAAAACATGTGTCTGCCTGGTGCTTTTTCTTCTGCTTATGAGCAGACACACTGTCCCCTCCCCCAGTCAAAATGCAAAGGGAAACATCAAATGCAGCTGATGGAAAAGCCAGGTGAACCATGGTGAAGATTTCAGCCCACTCAGAGCACAGTGGCCAGAGAGCAAAAGCTCTCCTAGAGGTGAGACCTTCCTGTGGTTGGTGATGGAGTCTCGATGGCCTGGCCCTGGGGGTGGTGCCAGGGTGCTCTGTGTCAGGCCTGGGCGGATGTGGAAGATGGGGGCCTCTCTCAATGCTGATCTGCAGGTGAGGGGGCCCTCCCTGAAACCTGCTTTCTCTGGGCCTCCTTGGAATGGGCCTTGGTGGAGATCTACAGACAGCCCTGGCCCAGCCGGATTGAAGGCACTGTCTAATTGGGAGGGCATTAAGATCGTTATAATTAATTGGCATCCCGATAAATGGCATGGTTGCCTAATTGGGGTGGTTGCTAGGGAACGAGGCCTCACTTGGAGCCTAAAGGGGAAGAAGCGCTGGGCTGGCCACAGTTGGGTGTCAGGGTACAGATCCAGCAGTGAATGGACCGGAAGGGAGAGCAGTCCATCCGTATCTGCTGGTGTTTACTGAGCAGCTGCTGTGTGCAAGTTGCAAATGGAGTATCAGTTAGGGGTACTTGCCTAGAAGAACTGTAAAGTAATCAGGTTCCTTTCTCTTGCAAGCAACGGAAAAAGAGAAGAAAAAAACTCAAGCCAGCTTAAGGAGAAAAGAAGTGGACTTACTGGTTTTCATAACCAAAAGTCTTAAGGTGACTAACTCTAGCTTCAGACACAGCTGGACCCACAGCTCAGATTTTGTAATGAGAATCCATTCCTATCCACCGCTCCTCTGCCTTCCATGAGGCTGATGTCTCTCCAGCTCTGGGGCGGGCAGTCCCTGGCAGCTGTGGGCACCGTGGCTAGGAGAGCCAGACTGCCTGGCTCCCTGCCCAGCAGTGGGATCTGGGGCATGCTACTTAACCTTTCTGTGCCTTGATGTTCACATCCAACAAATGATGATGATCATAGCACCTGTCTCCTGCTTGTGGTAAGCATGAAATGAGATGATCAATGTCAAGTGCTTAGCAGGGCGTCTGACCCAGGTGAGCCTTCAGTAGGCATTGACTGTTACCATAACTTAGGTGTCAGGACAGATGTCATGGAGCAGAGGGGTCTCATCCCCTCTGGTTTAAGCCCAAAAGGAAAGAACAAGCCTCTGATCTGGCAATGCACACCTGAGCCCCATGGTTCCCTCTGATTGGACTGTTTTTTGTCCAAACCAGTCACTGGCTAAGGAAATGAGTTGCCAACAATTGGCTTAAGCCAGGCTCACAGGCCTCTCCCTGGAGCTGGATGGAGGCTGACTGCTGAGACCCCAAAGCCTGGAATAAAACAGCACGGGGAGTCCCCAGTGAAAGGGAAGCCCGGTTGCTGGAGAGGCAGATGGCCAGTGCCTGCGATGATGGGCCACTAATGTGAGCAATGCTGGCCAGATGGACCCATCTTCATTTTGGCCAAGGTGGAGACTGGGGAAACACGCTGCCTGGGCAATGCCTCTCCCTTCCACCAGGGCCAGGAGGCATCAAAGGCCTGACTTTTCTGCCTTACTGTCTGAAGGATGGGGCCTGGCCTTGATCCTGTGCTTTCGGGGGGCCAGGGGCAGTGTTTGTCTAACCTCCCACCATGAGAATCATCTGGCTGTATTTGTTTAAAAAGGCAAAGACCAGATCCTGTTGAATCAAACTTCTAGGGAGGGTCCTGGATGCTGGGGGGCATGACCAATATGTCATGTGTATATTCTATATCAGCAGGAGGGTTTGGCGAAGAGAGCTCTGGAGCGTGGGCCTCTTTGTCTTCCTGCCTAATGCAGGGGCTGTCAGAAGGCGGGGAAAATGCTCTAGGCCTGGCGTGCTGGCTCATGCCTATAATCCCAGCACTTTGAGAGGCCGAGGTGGGAGGATCCCTTGAGGTCAGGAGTTTGAGACCAGCCTGGCCAACATGGCAAAACCCTCTCTCTACTAAAAATACAAAAATTAGCCAGGTGTGATGGTGCTTGCCTGTAATTCCAGCTACACAGGAGGCTGAGGCACCAGAATCGCTTGAACCCAGGAGTCGGAGGTTGCAGTGAGCTGAGATCGCACTACTGCACTCCAGCCTGGGCAACAAAGTGAGACTCAGTCTCAAAAAAAAATTTAAAAGAAAAATGACTGCATGATGTGATGGGGTGGGAGGCAACTTTAGGCAGGCTGTCAGGGAGGCCTCTGTGAGGATGTGACCTTTGAACTGTGACCTAGATTTTAGGAAGGAGTCCGCCTTGGAAAGATCTGGGGGAAGAGCATGCCAGGTAGAAGGAACAGCTAGTGCAAAGGCCCAGAGGCGGTGGGAGGGGCCTGTCCAAGACACCTGCCCCAAACACAAATAGAAGTCAAGTGGGGTAGGCCAGGCGTGGTGGCTCACGCCTGAAATCTCAGCACTTTGGGAGGCTGAGGCAGTTAGATCACTGGAGGTCAGGAGTTCAAGACCAGCCTGACCAACACGGTGAAACCTCATCTCTGCTAAAAATACAAACATTAGCCAGGTGTGGTGGCACGTGCCTGTAGTCCCAGCTATTTGGGAGGCTGAGACAGGAGAATCACTTGAACCCGGGAGGCAGGGGTTGCTGTGAGCCGGGATCACACTTCTGCATTCCAGCCTGGGCAACAGAGTCAGACTCTGTCTCAAAAAAAAAAAAAAAAAAAGTCAACTAGGGTAGAGGGTCAGGAGTAAGTGGGGGAGGGCACGTCAGAGATGAGAAATACAGGCCATGCTAAGAAATTTTAGACTTTATTTTAAATAAAATGGATAACTGTCTGGACGCGGTGGCTTATGCCTGTAATCGCAACACTTTGGGAGGCCAAGGCGGGTGGATCACCTGAGGTCAGGAGTTCAAGACTAGCCTGGCCAACATGGTGAAACCCCATCTCTACTAAAAATACAAAAATTAGCCAGGCACGGTGGCGCACACCTGTAATCCCAGTTACTCGGGAGGCTGCAGCAGGAGAATCGTTTGAACCCAGGAGGTGGAGGTTGCAGTGAGCTGAGATTGTGCCATTGCACTCTAGCCTGAGTGACAGAGCAAGACTCCATCTCAAAAATAAATTAAAAAATAAAATGGAGAACCATTGGAGGGTTTTAAGTCAGAGAATGATATGATTTGTGTTTCAAGAAGATCCTGCTGGCTCCTGTGAGAGGCGTGCTGTGCAGATGGAAGTGGTATCACCGGGACTGTTAGGCAACAGAGAGGGCCCGAGAGTGGCTTGGACCGTGGTGGTATCAATGGAGATGGAGTGAAATGGGGATTGGAGATGTATTTTGGAGGTAGGGCCCACAGGACTTCCTAGTGGATTGGATTACAGAGTGAGGGAAAGGGCTTTGATTCTCAACCGAGGGTGATTTTGACACCCAGAAAACATTTTAACACTATCCGGAGACAGTATAGGTTGTCCCAACTGGGGAAGGGTTGCTACTGGCATCTAGAGGGTAGAGGCCAGGGATGCTGCTTAACCTGCAATGTACGGGATGACCCCACAGTGAAAAATGATTCAGCCCAAATATTCATGATGTATCCTGCCAAGGAGTCAAAGGTGACTAGGCAGCCTGGTGCGTGGTGATTGCTAAATAGGGAAGATAGGAGAGAAGGTTTTGGGGAGGAGGAGTGATCTGGAATTCCGACGTGGAAATGTTGGGTTTGAGATGAACCCCACCTGGATGTCTGAAAGCTCAGTGGGTGGTGAACGTGGATGTCTGCAGCCGGTCGGGGCTGGCAACCTAAGTTTGGGAGTTATCGGCATATTGATGTTATTTTAAGCTGTGGGACTGGACACAATTATCCAGAGAGAATGTGTTTTGTTTTCTAGTGTGGTTTTCTCCCCCCAGCCTCCCCCTAGTGCCTGTCATGAATCTATTTGATGAATATTTTTAGCATATCCCACATGCTCACCTCTCTGACATTTCCAAGAAGTTCCTGAAGGCTCGGGCTGAGCCTCCCCTTCTTCATCGCCTGGTTTCTCAGTGATTAACAGACAGAGCTAAATATTCATTGCTCTGCCACAGATGCCCTTGGGAAATTGCTTAAGGTCATGTGGGATCTCGGGCCTTGTAGGCAGCACGATGCCTTCTGGGTGGAACAGCTGTTGGCATGGCCTTCAGAGCTTCTCCTCCAGCCCAGGCCAGGGCTTCTTGGAATTCTCTGTAACCAGAATGTTTTGAATTCCCCACGTTCTCTTAATGTGATTCCAAAGCACACGTTGCCCAGTGGCCCTGGCCTCTGCCATGGAGCGTCATCTTACAGAAGGCCTGGCCCACTGCTCTGCACACCTGGGCCCAGCTTGAATCTTAGATAAATTCTATCCCAAACTCAGAGTTGTTATGGCCAGGTCTTGTGTGTGTAAGTTGGTGGACAGGGCCATCCCCAGGGACCACAAATAGTACCAAAGATGTGTTTGGCCATGTGGAAGCCAGATGTGTTAGGGGAAGAATGTGGCCAATAGCTTTTCTTATTGGCTCATGGTCAGGACCCCAGCGGGTGACTTGACCCACCCCAGTAGCCAGAGAAGAGGAGCTTTTTTGTTTTTGAGACAGGGTCTTGCACTGTCATCCAGGCTGGAGTGCAGTGGCACAGTCTCAGTTCACTACCACCTCAACCTCCCAAGCTCAAGTGATTCTCCCACCTCAGCCTCCCAAGTAGGTGGGACTATAGGCACAGGCCACCATACCCAGCTAATTTTTTTTTTTTTTTTTTGGTAGAGATGAGATCTTGCTATGTTGCCCAAGCTGGTCTCAAACTCCTGGGCTCAAGTGACCCTCCAAAAGTGCTGGGATTACAGGCGTGAGCCACCCTGCCTGGCCTGGAACTTTTTGAAAAGAGATTGAAAAAACTGTTAGCTCACAGAAGCCTTGGAGATGTTCCTGCTTGGTGAAAATCAGACCATCTGAAAGCCACATTTCTGGTCTGCTCTCGAGACAGATACTATCCATAGACTTCTGATTGCAGGCCACTTATCTGGATATTTCAGAGACCAGGAAAGCCTACTATAATTCTTAGTAGCTTAGAGTCCTGATCATTTTAATGTGAATTGAAATGGTTTCATTATGAGGAATCACATTTCTGACTGACAGTGGCTTATGCAATAGAAACATTTAATTCTCACATAACACCAAGTCCAAAGCAGGGGAGTCCAGGCGCTGGTTTTTCAGTACAACAGTGTCATCCAAGGTCCCAGGATCTTTCAAGCCTCTTCTTCTGTCCTCATCATGTCTTTGGCCTTGTTGCCTCATAGTCTCAATATGGCTGCCACAGCTCCAGACGTCGCATCACCCTACAAAGTGGGACTATAGGACAGGACTCCTTGCTGTCTCTCTTTTAATCAGAGAGTAAAATCCTTGCCAGAACACTCCCACCCTAGCAGACTTTGCTTTCTGTTTCATTGGTCCGGAGTTGGGTTTTGCACTCACCTCTAAATCAAACACTGGGAAAGGACCTGGCTCCTTCCTATGCTTCGGATCTCAGCTGAAATGTCACCTCCCTAGAATGCTGGAAGGACAACCTGTTTTATGTTTTATAACACTTATCACTCTCTGGAATTAGCCTGGTTTGCTTATTTGTCCTTTGTCTTCTCTCTCCTCACTAAAAAGCAAGCTCTGTGCTTGTAGGGACATTGTCTGTCTTGTTCATCGCTGTATCCCCAGCACTGAGAACCAGGGTGGCACTCTTTGGATACTCAGTAAATTTTTTTTTGAATGAAGGAAGCAAGAAAAGAAAGAGGCTTGGAGAGCTACAGGCACATCTGGCTAGCATGTTTGCTCGAAGGTGACTGCTCAGGGCAAGGATGTCAAAACCTGTTAGTCATTTGCAAAAAGCTAAGCAGGTGGCTGGGAGGATTGGTTTCATACACACTCACTTGCTCCCCAGTGCCAGAGCTGGGGTTTTGTGCTAGCATTGCTTGCAGAGGAAGGATCGTCCCCTTTATGCCACGGCAGGGACCTCACGGCCTTGCAGAAGGGCTGGTGGAACCCTCCACTTCTGATGACTCTGGGGCCAAGCTAGTCTTCCAGGTCAGTGGTGTGACATTCTAATGAGGGCTCTTGGGTTAAATATTTCTGCATGTGCCCTTGAAAAGACAACTCCCTTCCCTAAATTGTCCCTTCCTGAAAGAACAGCGGTCACAGCCCAGGAGAGCAGCCTCTTTAACCTCCACTCCCCAACCTACCCTCCTGAAAGCTCACATTTACCGAGCACTTTGTACAGGCTAGTGGTGGTTTAAGTGCGCGCTCCTGTGAATGTGGAATAACTCAGCGATGTGGGGATCTTCCAACCCCGTTTTACAAAGGAGGAAAGAGACACAACGAAGTCTCTCCTTGCTCTGCCATGCTGGTAGAATAGGACATCACAGGCCACCTAACCAGGGGCTCTGTTCAGCTCGCAGAAATGTTTTGTTTGAACCTTCTAAAAAGCTGTCAGATTTGTAACAACTACGAGATTTCACATTTTAAAAATCTGGATTTTCAGCTTCTCCTGAAAAATGGGGAGATGTGGTCCCCACCATCCCCTATAGCCTGACATTGTGAACCAATTCATTTGGCTTTTCATTGCACTTTCCCTTCTGTTTTTCTCATTGTGGAGCAATATTTCTCTGTTCCATCTCTACCAAAAGTGGCCAGATGAGAGCTGGAGAGGAAGTGGGGTGTGGAGTTTTCTTATGCGTCCACTTCACCCGTTTACATTATCTGCCTGGCCCACGTAGGCATTTGAGTTTGTCTCCCGTTGTGACACTTTGTACCCAATGGCTACACTTCCAGGGACATTGCAAGTGTCCCTGGACACTTACATTGTGCATTGCAAGTGTGTAGTAATAATAATGTCTAATATCTATTGATTACTTTTTGCCCAGCATTTCATCATCACAGCAAGCCTTTGAAGCAGGGACTAATATCATCTTCACTTTATCAGTAAGGAAACTGAGGCACTGTGTGTGATGCCCTCACTAGAACAGGAGGTCCTGAAGCTTGTTCATCTTTGTACCATCTGTGCTAGGCTTACTGGCTGTTTGAATGAATGACTAAAGGAATGAATGAATGATGTTCTCCTCCAAGTGTTCATTAGCCGAAGAGGCTGAAAGTCTTAACCTCATAGTCATTTGTGACATTTCTGTTGGGGGAATGGGCTCTGATCAGTGTCACTGAGGATTCTTGGGTTGTGTTTCTGCTGTATAACAAACCACTCCAAACTCAGTGGTTTAAGGTAACAACATTTTATTTTGGACGATTCTGTGGTTTGACCAGGTGGTTCTTCAGCTTCATGTGATATCAGCTGGCAGGTCTAAAACAACCCCATTCAAATGGCTGGCAGCTCTTGCTGGTCACCAGATGGGAGCTCAGTTATTCTCCATGTGGGCTCTGCCCTATGGCTACTTGGGCTTCCTCGCAGTATGGCAGGTTCAGGGTAGCCTGACTTCTAAGAGTGCAAAAATGAAAGCTGCCACGGTCTCTTAAGGCTTAACCGCAAAACCGGCACAGCATCACTTCTGCCACCTTCTCTTGGTCAAAACAGGTCCCAAAGCCAGCCCGGTTTCATGAGGTGGGGCCCACACAAGGGTTTGAATACCAGGCAGTGTGGCTTTTTGGAGTCCACCAAAGTACCCATTCATCACAGACTGCAAGTAGCAGAGCCCAACACTTACTACCTCAAGCTGGAACAGGATTTACTGGGGGGCTCAGGAAAGGACAGGTCAGGAACTGAGGAAATTCTGGGGACCTTGGCGCAGGAGTTACTAGCAGCCTCCTGAAGGAGAGTTTCCATCCCAATGCGACAAATGCACCCCTGCTTTTTCTTTCTGCCCTTGACACTTTATTTGACAGTTGGGGACATGGTAAGAAAGTCTGATTGACCTTGGTCACATGATCACCCCTTGGCAGAGAGGATGGGGGCATCTTGGCAGAGGGGAGGGAGTCCTCAAAAGGAAGCTGGGGTGCTGTCAAAAGAAGGGGACCAGATGGACAAAAATTGTTAGAAATCTCTGCACCGCCCCTGCATAGGTGACTCCACCCCTGGCAGAGCAATGAACATTTTAAAACGAGTGAATGGACTTTGAAAGTCCAGTATAAGTAGAATGCCCAAACCTGTGTGGCAGCTTCTCCAGCTCCAGGGCCCCATAGCTCAGGTGCTGCTGGGGGTCTGGAAGCTTCTCTCCACTTTACGGGGCAAAGTCAACTCCTAGAACCCCTGCCATGCCTCAATATCCCCCTCCAGAAGATAGGGGCAGTTTGCTTCTGGCTCCTGAAAGGAGAGCATGCGCGGTAATGAGGGACCTGGGCTCAATGCCTGCACTCCCTCCTCCCAGACCCCGCCTCACCAGTGACACTGCCTTCCACCCCAACACCTGGTGACACCCAGTGAGTCCCCGCAGCAGGGGAGGCTGCTAGTAGGAAAAACTGATCCAGACTAATCTCAGCTCGCAGAGCCTCTGACCCGGGCTTTCCTCCCACTTGCCGGTCTATTTCCGGCTGCTAATTAGATTGCACAGCAAGCCACATTGGGAAGCCGACCTGTCGTTCCAAAGGCACTCCACTCGCATCTCCAAATGTAGCAGGTGATTTGGTAAAAGTTGATTCTGACTCCTTCCCCCAGCTTCTAAAATAATTGTAAGTGTCGGGCTGTTTCCAAGGTGAACTAATGAACAGCTCATCTGCTAATAGCAGGGGCAAGCTGGCTGAGGACGGCACGCTCGCCTGTGGATTGGGTGAAAAGGAAAGAAGTAATTGGATTATTAATACCAAGCCGTCAAAATACCTTTTATTCCTTTTATATTCTTCTGGAAGGAAACGACAATCTCTGGAAACATAAATACATGTTCTGTGGGGGTAAGCAGGGCTAAGAAAATGTGGGGCTGAAAAGGAGGAGGGGGTTAAAAAGGTGGAATTGTCAGTCCCCACTGTGGCAGTCTACACTGAGAACCAGCCCACAGTTAGGCGTGAATAATGACTCTGTTCAAGTCGGACTTTATTGCTTTTGGCCAAAGGCCTTTTGCAGAAATAACTTTGTAACTCCCTGCCAGGGAAGCTTTTGTCCACAGCTGAGACAAAGGAACAAAGAACAGAGGTGGGAATTTCTGTATCTGATTTCTACTTCCTCTAAACAGCCAGAAAGGACAGCGGGTGTGGCCTGCCCAGAAGGCATGGGCTGGGGCAAAGGGGTGTCCAGCCTCCTGTGGGCCACACTGCCGTGCTCGGCTGCACCATGTTGGTTTCATTGTGCACATTCCCACCCCAGGGCCTTTGCACTTACTTCCTCCGTTCATAGAAAGCATTTTGCCCACAACTGGCTTCTCGCCCGCCTCTGCTCTCAGCTCAGATGCCATTTCCTTATGCCACCTCCTCATGCCAGAGAGGCCTTTCCCAATTTACTGTCCATCCTATCACCTGACAGCTTCCTCCAAAGCTCTTAAGACAATCTTCATTCATTCATTTTCTCCTCCACCAAGGTATCACAGCTCCATGAGGACAGAGGCCTGGCCTGCCTTGTGGCCACTGCTGTTTCTTAGCATGTGGCACATAGTAGGTGCTCAGGAAAGATTGGATAGCTTGGAAGAGTCGCACATAGCTCCCAGGCCAAGCTCCAGCGGGGCTTTATGGAGCCCGCTCAGTGCTTAAAATAGGTTGAAAGTTTTTACTTTGGAAATGGTGTTTCCGGTGTAGTCCAGGCGCCACCCCATCTCTATCCTAAATCTAGGCCACTTTACTCACTCAGGTCTCCTGCCCGACCCTTGGATGCATTTGCATATTTGTCCCTGCTTTAGACAAAGGCCACTGCAAACATATCTCTCTCCAAAGGTCACCAGACAACATCCAGACTTCTTGCATTGCCAAGTCTTGTGCCAGACCGGTGGCCTCCACCAACCAGGTCCCATTGACTGGATCAAGGTGTAGTCTTCATCTTAGCCGTCCACGCACAGGGCGTAAGTGGCGTTGATCTCATCATAAGCAGGTCATGGCAGGAGGAGGGTCGGGCAGGAGACCTGAGTGAGTGAAGTGGCCTAGATTCAGGATAAGAGACGGGGTAGGGCCTGGACTACATTGGAAATGCCATTTCCAACGTAAAAACCTTTAACTTTTCCTTTTTCCCCTTTTCCTTTTCTGCTCTCCTCCAAGCCTCTGGGTCATCAAGGAGGGAATCGCGTGAACTCCTCCTTTATGGTCTTCAAGGAGACCTACTCCCAATGTAAGGGGAAGCGCAGAGGCCTTGGCAAGCAAGAATGTAACCACAATGTCATTGCCTTTATACTGTTGCCATCTAAGTATGGCAGGGGTTCTCACCTAGGGGCAGTTTTGCCCCCTAGGGGGACATTTGGCAGTGTCTGGAGATATTTTTGATTGTCACAACTGGGGTAGGTGCTACTTGCATCTCATGGACAGAGGCCTGTGAACACCCTGTGATACACAGCACAGTCCCCCATCGAAGAATGATCCTGCCCACGCGGCAGTAATGCCAAGGTTGAGAGACCCAGGTTTATGGCAATGGGTGCTGGTTCCTCCAAGATAGACTTTTCTTTCTAAATAAATTTATTGAAATAAGAAAGGGAATGAATGAATGAATTTAGGCCCAGATTTGGGTATTCTACTTATACCAGACTTTTAAAAATTCATTTATTTATTCTGAGACGCTGGCATATGGGATGGAGCACAGAGGTTAACGATCAGCCCTGTCATCCCTTTCGGAGCAGATCAGGCTGTACCATTTGCCTCAAATCAGGAGCCCCTGCCCTGGAAGCTGCCATCTTGCCAGAAACTTCCTGGGGAGCTGCCTGTAAAAAACTCTAGCAGCAGTTGATTCTGGCCCAGGTGGAAAAGCTGTGTTATCCCAGGCGGAGTTCCGGCAGGTTGGGAGATGTTTCCAGGTCTCCTGCCCAGCCAGGCATGATGAGCATCCTTCCAAGCTTGGCCCCGGAGCCCTGGCCCAGCACCCCCATTTGAAGCCTGCAGAGCCTCATCATCACTGCCCCCGCCCCCGCCCCATCCTGCCACTGACAAGCCAATACCTGCCTGATGAGAGGGGCTCCCAGGGACAGCAGCCTTCCCTCCTGGACTCCAGGGCAACCTCCATGTTGTTGGGCGGCTTTGAGCACAGGGCTCAAGGGCAGAGGCTGAGTTGGAAAATTTCTTGCCTCTGCAGAAGGGAAGAGCTGGGGGAGGTTGGGGCCTTTTTCCCCAAACGAGGTCTTATTCTTCTGTGGGGTTTTCTGGGTTTGTTAGGTGGCTTCCTTTCTACTTAAAAATAAGCTGGGAGTGGTTAAAAAATGGGAAGAAATCAATGTTTCTGGCGTACATAGAACTGAGCAGATGTGTTATCTAGAATAAGGAGGAGAGGTTGTTGTGACTCTAGCTCCTGGTACGAGCCCTTCAGTTCACCCTCCTGCCCTGCTCAGAACCCCCTGGACCTGACATCGTGGCTTTAACACCCTTGGGTCATGTGAGAAGGAAGAGTGCCCACCCAGGACTTTCCGAGGCTCACAGATTCTTTGAAATGGACGTGAGCACAAACGCCCAGCCCCGACAGCCAGGGATCAGATCGGGTTTCACTTCCTAGGAGGGAGGATGTACTGCAGGGGAGGCCCACGTGGCTGCCCCAGGCCTGGCCAGCCTCTGTGACCCAGCAGGACTGACTGTTTTACGGGATGGCCACACGGTACCCTGCAGGCTCATCCATGGTGGGACCTTGATGCTCCTTTGTTGAGATGTGGGTCTGTGTCCCCTCCCCTTGAATCTGGCCAGACGTGCGTAGCCCTGGTGGAAGGAACACCATGGGACAGCAGAAAAGATGAGCCAGCTCCCCCTGGATCACTGGGACCCTCGCTGTTGTGTAAGAAATCAGACCCCACTGCAAGGCCGCCATGCTGTGAGGAAGCCCAAGCCACACTGAGGCCACATGGAGGTGCCCACTCCGCAGCCCCTCCCAAGCTCCCAACCGACTGCCAGCAACAACTGCCAGACAAGCCAAGGCCCTGCTGAGCCTTCTCAGCAGTGGCCTCAGACGTTACAAAGCAGAGACCAGCCCTTCCTGCCATGTCCTGCGCAAGTTCCTGATCAGGAGCCTCTGAGAATAAAAGAAAGATTTTAATTCACCACTAAGTTTTGCGGTAAATTGTTACACAGTATTAGTAACTGGAGCATTCAGCCAATTCCAGTCTTCCCACCGTGCAGTTATTCATTCATTCACTGAACAATATTCAGAAACCGTCCACCTCTTGCCCCTTCTTTGCTCCCACCTAGTCATCTCAGTGGCCTCCCTGTGCCTACCCTCATGCCCTGCAGTCTGTTCCCCTCACATAGTCAGAAGGATTCTGTTAAAACTTACATCAGGGCTGGGCATGGTGGCTCATGCTTGTAATCCCAGCTCTTTGGGAGGCTGAGGTGAGAGGATTGTTTGAGTCCAGGAGTTCAACACCAGCCTGGGCAACATAGCAAGACCTCATCTCTACCAAAAATTTAAAAAGTAATCGGGCATGGTTGTCCTCACCTGCAGTCCCAGCTGCTTGGGAGGCTGAGGTGGGAGGATTGCCTGAGCCTGGGAAATGGAGGTTGCAGTGAGCTATGTTCGTGCCGCTGCACTCCAGCCTGGGCGACAGAGCAGGACTCTGTCTCAAAAAAAAAAAAAAAAAAAAAAAAACTACACCAGATCACATCACCCGCAAGCTAGAACCCCCCAGCCCCCTTCACTCAGCTCCGTGCCGCCATGCGTGCCCCCTTTCCGGCCCTCCCTCAGGCATCTTCCTACCTCAGGACAGTTGCGCTTTCTGTTCCCTGTGCCTAGGATGCTCTTCCCCTAAATATCCACAAGGCATGTTCCCTCCCCTCCTGCAGGGATCCACCCAACTGTCATCTCTCAGGCCTTCGCTACCCAACCTATTTAAAGTTACACCCCCTCACTCCCTAGCACTCCAACCTCCCTCCTTAGGACTTGATCTCCTTGGGACACGTTGCCTCATATGTTGTGTAATTTATTTTGGTGTCTGATCCATGAAGGATTGTTTTTCCTGATTCCCAGCACTGAAGAATAGGGCCGGGAACATAGTAGGTGCTCAGGAAATCTCGGCTGCCTATCTGGAAGAATTAGCACCTCGGCTCTGCCAGGAGCTGGGGCCGTGGCGTCAGGCAACCAAGAGACAGCCCCTGCCCATGCGAGCTTCTGGTGGAGGGATGCCCCTCTACAAAATAAAAACCCAGGCCAGGTGCAGCGGTTCACGCCTGTAATCCCAGCACATTGGGAGGCCAAGGTGGGCAGATCACTTGAGGTCAGGAGTTTGAGACCAGCCTGGCCAACATGGTGAAACCCTGTCTCTACTAAAAAAAAAAAAAAAAAATACAAAAATTAGGCAGGTGTGGCCGGGCGCGGTGGCTCACGCCTGTAGTCCCAGCACTTTGGGAAGCCGAGGCGGGTGGATCACAAGGTCAGGAAATTGAGACCATTCTGGCTAACACAGTGAAAGCCCGTCTCTACTAAAAATACAAAAAAATTAGCGGGCGTGGTGGTGGGCACCTGTAGTTCCAGCTACTCAGGAGGCGGAGGCAGGAGAATCACTTGAACCCAGGAGGTGGAGGTATGCAGTGAGCTGAGATCACGCTACTGCACTCCAGCCTGGGCGACAGAGTGAAACTCCGTCTCAAAAAAAAAATGAGGCAGGCATGGTGGCGGGTGCCTGTAATCCCAGCTACTCAGGAGGCTGAGGCAGGAGAATCACTTGAACCTGGGAGGTGGAGGTTGCAGTGAGCCAAGGTCATGCCACTGTACTCCAGCCTGGATGTCAGAGGAGACTCCATCTCAAAAAAAAAAAAAAAAACACGCACACAAACACAAACTCAGGCCAGAGAGTAAATAGAGGAATCACAAGTTATGATAAGTGCTCTGAAGAGAGCAGTGCTGGGACTGGGGGTGGGGGTGACCGAGCAGGGCCTGCTTCAGGGACAGAGGGCCAGGGAAGGCCCAAGTCACAGCCAGGGTGGCCGAGTCAGGTCCAGAATTTGTGATTCCCACACCCACGTTCCTTCCGCTTTTCCACACTACCTTCTCTTATCAGTTGTCAAAGAAGGATGGGCGAGTTGGCCCTCAGTAAGGCGGAGAGTTGGGCACAGGCCAAGGAGGCCTAGCGTGGGCTGGTAGGCCGTGCCCTGAGGCCTCTGTTCACACAGGCACGAGGTGGCCAGGAAGCCACGGGAGTCAGCCCTCTGCCTCCAGCCCGCCCCCCAATTTGGGTTCATTTGGTTGCAAGTGAGAGAGCAACTAGGAATGACCTAATTGAAAAAAGGGAATTTCACTTCTGATCTTGAAGAGTCAAAAGTATGGGGAAACTGACCTACAAAGAAAACAGAAACTAGTTAAAGAGGAATTTATTGGGCCTGAAACAAAGAACCCAACCCAAATCTTCCTCTTTCAGGCTGGGCTGGATCCCAGGTGTCCAGTGCTGTTAAGTCCCAAGTATGGTGCATTTCACAGCACTGCTGTGTTCGGTGTGTTGGCTTCA
This sequence comes from Homo sapiens, assembly GCF_000001405.40. NCBI lineage: Eukaryota > Metazoa > Chordata > Mammalia > Primates > Hominidae > Homo > Homo sapiens. The sequence goes on along the minus strand of NC_000020.11, from coordinate 47,768,201 downwards.
TTCCCGACCCCACTCAAGACAAAGTGGCGTCGCTGTCTTCCCTGGTCCTCACATTGGAACCACATGGAGTGAGTTAGCCAGTTGTAAAGACTGGATGCCTCTTCCTGACCAGTCAGGCCAAAGGGCCTGGATTACTCTGGCCCGTCACTGAGGCAAGGGGTGGGGAGGCTCTGATTGGCCCAGGTCTAGGATCCCACGATCTAGCATTGTAGCTCCAGAACTGGAGCCTAATTTGAACTTTGTGGACCAAGGGTGGGGAGAAAAGGATCCCCCAATATTTTTTTTTTTTTTTTGAGACAGAGTCTTGCTCTGTCGCCTAGGCTGGAGTGCAGTGGCGTGATCTCAGCTCAATTCTCCTGCCTTGGCCTCCCGAGTAACTGAGATTACAGGCACATGTCACCACACCTGGCTAATTTTTGTTGTTTTTGAGACACGGTCTTGCTCTGTCACCCAGGCTGGAGTGCAGTAGCGCAATCTCGGCTCACTGCAAGCTCTGCCTCCTGGGTTCACGCCATTCTCCTGCCTCAGCCTTCCAAGTAGCTAGGACTACAGGCATGTGCCACCACACCCAGCTAATTTTTTATTTTTAGTAGAGATGGGGTTTCACCGCATTAACCAGGATGGTCTCGATCTGACCTCATGATCCACCTGCCGCAGCCTCCCAAAGTGCTGGGATAACAGGCGTGAGCCACTGTGCCCAGCCTAATTTTTGTAGTTTTAGTAGAGATGGGGTTTCACCATGTTGGCTAAGCTGATCTCAAACTCTGGACCTCAAATGATCCACCTGCCTTGGCCTCCCAAAGTGCTGGGATTACAGGTGTAAGCCGCCACACCCGGCCTCAGACTCCCAAGAAAATTGGGAGCTGTTATAGAAAGGAGATAATCCTGGGTGGCCCAAACCTAGCAGAGAACACAAGCCAGCATTTATTGGGCACTTGCTGCATACAGATCTGTTGAAAGTCTCCGTGCATGTTAAACCATCCACTCTGTAGGCAAGTGCTTGTAGGTGTCCTCACTTTCCAGATGAAGTCACTGAGAAGACAAGAGGTTCAGACACTTGCCCAACCTCTAGTAAGTGACGGAGCTGAGATCCAAACCCAGGCAGGCTAGCTCTAGATCCTACCCTCCTCCTACTCAGCGTGTTCCCTGTGGCATTTTCCCCCAAGTAAGTATCAGGCTGTTTGCTTACCTCTGTCCGCTGTTTGTCAGCTCTCTGAGAATCGAGAGTTTTGTCTGTTCTTTTTTTTTTTTTCTACTGATCATGAAACAGTACAAAGCAAGTGGCAGATGCTCAGGTATTTGAGGGTGTGAATTATATGGCCTGTCAAACATCTACCCACTTGACATACAAAACATTTTGGTGCTCAGCTTCCTAAGACTTGAATACATTGTTTCTAAATTTCCTTTGTGCTCTAACTTTAATCCATGGCCACTCTGTTCTCACAGCTTGCCGGTGGTTTGCCATTATTTCCAGTCCTCTTTTCTGATCATTCTCACATGTAGCTGGAATCTTTCAACTCCAGCTTTTCCTATGTTGACTTAGAGTATCACTTCCAGGAGGGCAGGGAGCTTTCTTTTCACTGCTTTATCCACAGTGCCAAGAACTGTGCCTGGCACACACGAGCCTTCAGGAATGTCTTGTTACATCAATAGTTAGGCAGGTAACTGGGTTCCTAAGCCCTGCATTTTTGCCCTACAATCTTTATGCCCTAATTTCCTTTCCAGATCCTGAGCCTTTGTCTTGAAACCTGATCTTTCCCTCCTCCCTCTGAATGACCCTTCTATTGTCTCCTGCCCTGTTCTTGAGAGCCGGCTTGGTTCTCTGCCTCCATTTGGAATTCCAAGAACAGGCAAGGAGAGCCACAAGATGGCCTGGGCTAGGTAGGGGAGACAGGGAGAAGCTGTGGCCCATAGGTTACAGGAGCTTCTGTCCTTTCTTTGACGGCCCCAAAGAGGAGGAGAGAAGGCTGGAGAAAGCCTGTAGCCAGGAAGAAAGGGAGACACAGGGGAGTGTAAAGTTTAACAGATGTGCGTGTGTCATCCCCTGTCTAGACAGCTTCTGGGCTTGTGAGGTTTGGGACCACACTTTCCCATCCCTCCAGGGGCCTCTCTCTGTTTCCTCTGCCTGCTCTTTGCCCAAACTGTTTCTCCTGCCTGAAGCATCCTGTCCTCCACCCTCCTCTTCACTGGCCATCCAAATCCTTTGGATTCTTCAGAACTTTGCTCCTGTTAGGCTGCTCAGTTTATGCTAAGTACTCCTCCAGGAAGCCCTCCCTGACTGCTCCCAGGCCAGCAGTTTCCCCTTTCCTCTTGCTGTTTATACAACACACTTAACCTCAGTCCCTTGTATCACTTGTTGCTTTCCAAGTCAGCATAAGTGTCAAAAGAGTAGGCTCTGGGGTCAGAATGTCTGTGTGCAAATAGCCATGCTGGCTTGCTTGTTTTGTCTGTCACTTGGAGGTGGCACATCCAAGTGAACCTCCCAGGGGACAGGGAAGAGTGGATTACTGTTGTAATCGGGCAGGATTCTCCTATCACTGAACACTGCCTCACATATAGCAGGCCCTTAATAAATATTTGTAAAGTAAATGAAGGAAGAGAGAAATGATCAGGCTCCCTGGACCACCTGAGGAGGCCCTCAGGTCTGTTGCTGGGCTCTGGCCCCAGCCCGTGGGACATATCTGCACACCCACAATTTCCTTTCTTCCCTCCTCTCATGAGTGTTTCCCGTCTGACCAATGCCGCCTTCTGCCTCTGGCCCCTTCTTCCTCTCCCACCACCTCAACTGCCTAATTATTACCAAACTTCTCTCTCCTGTTTTTTTTTTTTTGTTTTGTTTTGTTTTTTTTTAAGGCAGTGTCGCTCTGTCACCCAGGCTGGAGTACAGTGGCTCGATCTCGGCTCACTGCAGGCTCCACCTCTGAGTTCACGCTATTCTCCTGCCTCAGCCTCCCAAGTAGCTGGGACTACAGGCGCCCGCCACCACGCCCAGCTAATTTTTTTGTATTTTTTTTAGTAGAGACGGGGTTTCACCGTGTTACCCAGGATGGTCTCGATCTCCTGACCTCGTGATCCGCCCGCCTTGGCCTCCCAAAGTGCTGGGATTACAGACGTGAGCTGCCGCGCCCAGCCCTCTCTCCTCCTCTTGTTGGATTTGGAGGTGGAGAGAAGATGGGAAGGGAGGACCAAAGGGACAGTATTCAGCACCCATGCTGCACGACACTGGGCAGGTTCTGGAACCTGTCCGTGCCTTATCTTCCTTGTCTGTAAATGGAGCATCCCAACTCACAAGGTGGTTGTAAGGGTGGCGTGAGGTCACACACTAAAAGTGCTTAGAATTGTGCAGGGCCCCTGATGTTAGCTATCATTCATTATTGTTCTTCTAGGGTGTTTCCTGTGTTGGTCTGGGTGCTCCCTGTTGCAAATGACAGCCCTAATTCGGACTCTCTTAAGCAGCAAAGGGCACTTTTTTGAGTCTGTACCTGGCTACAAGATGCAACTTGGTCCACCCCATTGTCACCAGCATCCTCTCTCTCGGGCTCCATCCAATGGGCGGCCACCATCAGCACCATATTCATGCCTCCTGGCACCCAGCACAGTCTCCTCCAGCCTCCAGGACTCCCTCTCGCTTATTGGCCAGACTTGGGTCACATGTCTGCCCCAGGACCAATCGCTGAAGCTAGAGCTGGAATTGCTGATTGGCTCCACCTGGCTCACATGCGCTGCCCTGCAGTCAAACCATATATAAGGGGGGGTGGGAAATAAGAGCACTTGTGGCCTCAAAGCACTAACAGGGGCTGTTACCAGGAGACAGGAGATAATTCTTTGTTAAGCCAGTAAATATTTTGAATGCCTGCTATGCCGCAAGCATTGTTTTAATTGTTGAGGATATAGATCTGAACAAAAATGACAAAAACCTGTACCTTCAGGGGGCTGATATTCTGCTGGAGGACATCCGCAAAGAAATAAAGGAGCTAGCTGTGAGAGGTGGTAAGTGCTACTGGGGAGGGCAGAGATTTCGGTTTTAACCTGCCAAGGTGAAATTTGAGCAAAGACCTGAGGAGGGGGAAGAAGGGATGGTGAAGATAACCTGAATGAAGGCTCCAGGCAGAGGGAGCAGCAAGTTCAAGGGCCCTGGGGTGGGCTGTGCTAGCATGTGCAAGGAACAGTACAGAGACCGTGTGGCTGGAACCAGGTGTGCAAGGGAGAGAGGGGAAGGCAATAAGGTCGGAGAGGTGATGGAGCAGGTTGGGTGGGTTCTTGTAGCCCCTTTGGAGGGTTTTTGCGTTTTACTCTGCGTGGGATGGAAGTTATTGAAGGCCGTTCAGTGGAGGAAGGCAGGCCCTTGCTTTTGTTTTAACAGGATCTGTCTGGCTGCTTGATGGAAGGGACGAGGTAGAAGCAGGGAAACCAGTTAGGAGGCTGTTGGAATCCAGGCAGGATTCTCCTATCACTGAACACTGTGCCTCATAGGAGGTCCTTCATACGTATTTGTAAAGTGAAAGAAGGAAGAGAGAGAAATGATCAGGTTCTCTGGACCACCTGGGGAGGCCGCTAGGTCTGTTGCGGGGCTCTGGCCCCAGCCCGTGGGACGTATCTGCACACCCACAGTTTGCTTTCTTCCCGCCTTTCATGGACATTTACCATCTGACCAGTGCCTCCTTCTGCCTCTGGCCCCTTCTTCCTCTCCCACCACCTCAGCTGCCTGATTGTTCCCAAACTTCTCTCTCCTCCTCTTGTTGGATTTGGAGATCCTCAGAGGAAAACAGCCCATCTGGGTCTTTCTAAACAGGTCTGGATGAGGTCCCAGGTGTTTGTTCACCGCTGTGGTTTGTGGCATTGGGAAGGTGAGGGCATCAGTCACTCAGACCCGTTCCTCTTGGCAGATCGGCAGAGAAATTGAGAACTAAAAATGATGTTTCTAAATGCTCAGGACGTTAGCTGTTTCCAGAGATGTCTCCTGGGCTGGCGAGCCTTTGCCAAGGTCCTGGAGAAGACTCAGGATGGAGAGGAGGAGCCAGAGAGACCTGGAAAGGAACTGGTGGGAAGGAGAGGTGTTGTCCACAGCAGGGATGGAGTGGCAGGCGGCTGGTGCTGCGTGAGTTCACTGGGTGCTCTCTCGGTTCAGCCACTTTGAATATTTTACCAAGAAAAAGGAAAAAAAACAAGGCAGAATCCCTTGTGTCATCTTTAATTGATTTCTTCAGCATCCGGAGAGAAACTGGCATGAGGCCACGAGAAGTCTGAGCCAGGGGAATTCATCAGAAATCGACCCACTGATGACTTGATCTGATGAAATAATTAGCTCCTGTTATTCTCTGGCTTCTGGTGCCGGAGCTTTGACTTCCATCCAGAGGAGAGCGGGTGATAGCCGCCCAGGAGTGGGGGGTGCTCTGAAACCAACATGGGAGCCAGGAACGAAGTCCAGCTGACTGTGCCCCGGGCTCCATCTTTACCCAGCCCAGGGCTCCCAATGAAGACTGCCCTTCCCAGCCCCCCTGTACCCTGGCATCACAGGCCCAGGGCCAAAAAGGCCCTCAGAGGGCACCTGGCCACCTGGCAAATGAGGAAACTGAGGCTGGGAGACTCTTAGGAACTTGTTCAAAGATCTGCTTCTAGGGGGTCCTGGTTGAGCTGCCCAAATCGGGCCAGACTAGGTTTGAACCCCTTCTCTGCCACTTACCCATATGATCGGGGGAAAGTGATTTTAACTCTCTGTGCCTCAGCTTCTTCATCCATAAAATGGGTGAAATATTGATGGGTGGGTGTGCATATTAATTGGGTTGACACCTGCAAACAGCTCAGAGCAGAGACTGGAGTGTGCTGCAAGCTTTCAGAAAGGTTTTCCTGTGATTGGTTTCTGGTTTCAGAGAGTTGCTATTTGTAGGGCACCCCATCGGAATTCTCCCAATATTAGCACTCCACGTCTGTCTCTCTGAAGGAACGTGAATGTGCATCTTAGAACGCTGGCTGCTGCAATCGTAGTTTCAAGTGCAAAGCATCCCGTAGTGTTTCCCGATGGAGGGACATGGGCCACTGATAATGTATTAGTCTGTTTTCACGCTGCTGATAAAGACATACCCGAGACTGGGTAATTTAAAAGAAAAAGATTTAATGGACTCATTGTTCCATGTGGCTGGGGAGGCCTTACAATCATGGTGGAAGGTGAAAGGCACGTCTTATGTGATGGCAGACAAAAGAAGATGAGAACCAAGCAAAAGGGGAAACCCTTTATAAAACCGTCAGATCTCATGAGACTTATTCACTACCATGAGAACAGTATGGGGGAACCACCCCCATGATTCAATTATCTCCCACCAGGTCCCTCCCACAACACGTGGGAATTATGGGCGCTACAAGTCAAGATGAGATTTGGGTGAGGACACAGCCAAACCATATCAGATACACAACATAGTTTGAGGATTACTCTGATTTGGGGTGGTTCAGGGACTGATTCGATGGCTAGAGTTTGTCTCCTTTTCAGCTGTCTGGCAGCCTCCAGTTACCTCCAGCAGAAAGTCTCAGATGGTGCTAATGTGCTTTGACTCCTTTCAACACCTGCTAATCTCACTTCAAAAGAGAGTGCGAGCGCGAGGGCACGCGAAGCCTGGGAAGCTATTTGCATCAAGTTCCACTGATTCAGCTTTCTTTGACTTTTATTTGTACAATTAGCTCTACAGGGAAGCGATGTCCACTTTCCATTTATCTTTGGGTAGGAAGTTTTCTTTTCCCAAAACATGTGTTTGTGTTTTTATTTTAAAATGAGGCCATTTAAAGAAGCACGTTAAGCAAATAATCACTGAAGGGCTCTGCAGATTCAGCAGAAATCAGGGCCGTGGTCCTTGAACGGAAAGAGTTGGGAAATCCGAGTTTCGTGATGAGAAGCCCACATTGAACGGTGAGGGAGGGCAGAATTCACATCCCATCCCTGCCATCTTCTGTCTGGGTGGCCTTAGGACAGTAATGAAACCTCAGTTTTCTCTGGGGCTAATAATAGTACTTGCAGGAGGGAGCCTTGGTGGAGGTTGAAGGAGATTTCAGAGTGCCTGACGCAGGACAGCTGCAGCGGTAGGATCACTCTAATAATGGTTTACATTGTGGAATATGTATCCCAGTTAGTACTATGGCCAGGCTCTAGTCCCAGCACACTGTATCAACACATTTAATCCTGCACACCCATTTCACAGATGAGGAAACTGAGGCACAAAGGTGTTAAGTTACTAGCTCAGGGTCTTTCAGCAAGTAACTCCAAAGTCCACATCCTTAACCATCACACCACGTGGCATAAAGCAGGTGCCCAGCAGGCAGTTGCCGCAGTGGCTCTGGCTGTCATGAGGTGTATGTTTCTGCAGACGAGAGATTGAGAAGGAAGGTGTTGTTCACCCTCTGGTCCCATGAAACTCACAGTTCTCATGTCAGACGACTGCATCGAGTGTGTCCCCAGCTCCCCTGAAATTGTGACTCTCAGAGCCACCTGGGAAGGAGGCATTGAGCGGAGCCTGCTTCCTGCTCCCAGGGGAGGTGCTAGAAGGGAGACTTGCTGTCCTGGCCAGCCTGACATAGGATACAGGTCCCTGAATGAAGTAAATTAGGGTGCGCATCAGGGCAGCTGGGAGAGTTGATTGAAAGCACTGTTTTCAGAGGCAGGTGGGCAAAGGGAGCAAAGAAATGATGCTGCACCGAGGAACCGGTAGCAACAGGAGCCCTTACTTTCCCGAGACTTGATGGGGCAAGAGGAGGGAGAGGTGAACTCAGAACTGGGGAGACGCTAGAGCCAGGAGGGGCCCCAGGCAGGAGCTGCATCCACACACACAGACACGAAGGCTACTGCCTGGGGAGCTACTGCGTGCGGGAGGAGAATAAATGCACGGACTTCCCACCACCTCCCATGCTGCAGCCTCCCAGCCGGAAGCCAGAGAGCAGGGACGTGCCGACCGTGCCATCTGTAGAGCTCAGCCTCCCAGGGTGCCAAGCAGAGCTGGGGGAGAAATGGAGCAGGAGTGACCCTTCCTGGGGTTTTTCAACCATAGCGCTGCCCAGAGAACACAGTGGCCAGCTCCTCGTTGGTGTCCATGGAGGGTGGCTGGGGCAAGGCATCAGTGATGGACGCCTCTGAGCCATGTAGACCCAAGCTATGGCACGGCCCTGCCAAGTCCAGCTTCCCTCACTCTGCAGAACTCAAAGGACCTTAGCAGAACCTCCGTTCCTTTATTTATCTATTTCTTTGTGCCAAGGCCTGGAGACAGCCATGAATAACATAAGCCTGTCTCTGTCCTCAGGGAGCTGACCCCCTAGTGGGGAAGAATTGGACAATAAATAAGAAATTGCAGGCTGCAGTAGTGATTACAAGAGAAATAAAACCGGTTATAAAATGCAGAGTGCCTGGGTTGGGGGCCCCCGCTTTAAATAGGGTGGCCAGGGCAGGCCTCTCTGAGGTGATGACGTTTGTTCTTTTGACAGAAAGAGCCAGGAGTACAAAGCAGGAGTTTGTTGTTGTTGTTGTTGTTTTTGAGACGGAGTCTCACTCTGTCACCCAGGCTGGAGTGCAATGACATGATCTCGGCTCACTGCAACCTCCATTTCCCAGGTTCAAGCGATTCTCCTGCCTCAGCCTCCCGAGTAGCTGGGATTACAGGCATGTGCCACCATGCCCAGCTAATTTGCGTATTTTTAGTAGAGATGGGGTTTCACCATGTTGATCAGGCTGGTCTCGAACTCCTGACCTCAGGTGATCCACCTGCCTCAGCCTGCCAAAGTGCTGGAATTACAGATGTGAGCCACTGCGCACAGCTGCGGGAGTTATTTTTAAAAGAGCAGGTGCAAAGACCCTGGGGCAAAGAGAAGCTTGACTTGTCCATTCGACAGAAAGAAGCCAGTAGGGCTGGAAAGGAGAGGTCGAGGAGAAGTGGGCAGGGGCCAGATCTCACGGGCCAGGGCAGCCCTGGCAAGAAGTTTGCATCTTATCCTGTGAGCCATGAGCAGCCAGGGAAGGTGCGGCAGGTGAGCACAGGACTGGCACTAAGGTGAGGCGAGTGCCTGGCACTTGTGCAGCCTGGGAGCGAGCACCCCCTTCAGTCTGTACCTGCACGAGGCACTGTGCCCTCCCCTGCCCAGTGCTGTGATCTGATCTGTATTTTAGGAAGATTCCTCCGGCTGCCCTGGGAAAATGGAGGATGGGGGCAGGGAAGAGGGAGGCGGGAGACCCCTCAGGCCACCTTGCAGTCCCCAGGAGAGATGAAGCAGGCAGCACATCCCCCTGCTGAACCCGGAGACCTTGCTGAGCCTCTGAGTCATGACTTTGAGCTGATGGCTGGGGTTCCCCATGAAGGGCAAGGACAAACAGACCCTTTCAAGGTCACAGCAACACAGCCACCCCCACAGCACTTGGCTTCCTCCCGGCACATCTGCAGGCTGTGGCTCTCTCGCTCATGCTCTCTTGTTTTAAATAAATGATACCAAAAGTCTATATCTGGACAGGACTTGAAGGCTCATTTCCTCAAGAAGTGAAAAAATGACCACGGAGAGCAAAGAGCAGGGCGAGATTAGAGACCTGCTTGAGCCAGAGTCGCGTCCCCACCTCCCCGCACCCACCTTCGCTGGTGACCTAGTCTGACCTGGGGCCAGGGGGGTGACTGAGGGCACAGTGGCCTGTGGCAGGTCTTCCCCCTCCACCTTTTAGCGCTCAATTTTCTCTATTGTCATTTCATTTATTCTGCAACTTAAAACTAATAGGCTGGGCACAGTGGCTCACACCTATAACCCCAGCACTTTGGGAGGCCAGGGCAGGTGGATCACCTGAGTTCAGGAGTTCAAGACCAGCCTGGCCAACATGGTGAAACCCCATCTCTACCAAAAATACAAAAAATTAGCCGGGCGTGGTGGCAGGCGCCTGTAATCCCAGCTTCTCTAGAGGCTGAGGCAGGAGAATCGCTTGAACACCAGGAGGCAGAGGTCGCAGTGAGCCCAGATGGCGTCATTGCACTCCAGCCTGAGCAACAAGAGCAAAACTCTGTCTGGGAAAAAAAAAAAAAAAAAAAAAGGAATACTTTTTTGCCCAACTACAAGATCCCTTAACAAGGGGCTTTCACACGCATCCCCAGCAGACTGAAATCTTACAACAGCCCTGTCTACTCATTTTGTTCATGGGGAAACCGAGGTTCCAAACGGGCTTGCTCACGGGAAAACTGAGCCAGTGAGTGGAAGATCTGCCACTCACACATGCCAGTTGTCCAGCCCAAAACATCCAGCTCCAGGCTCTCGTTTAAACCCCTGATTGAATCCCCCGCTGCTGGGGAGCTGGAACTTCATCTCCCTCACCTCTGTACCCCACGGTGCGGGCAGATGCAAGAGGACGGCAAATATTCACCCCTTGAGACCAGCCCGCTGCTGTTCCTCTCCCTGGGGACGATTTGTCTGTGGAGTTGGGTGGATTATTCAGAGACGGCTGTTATCTGACTCGGGTCTTGGGCTGCCACCGACACATCAGAGGCTCACTGGATCCAGGGAAGAAATTGTTTCTGCAGAAGTGGCCACAGAAGGCTTTTCTGCCAGTCTGTTGACCAAGCAAACTGTAAAGACTTTGCTAACTTCAGCGGAGTTCGGTTTTCACTCTGCCATAGCCACCCCTGTTCAAAGAAACTCCCATTGTTCATGCCAGCCGCCATACAAATCATTATGCAAGAATGAGCAGCCGGCAGCCTTGACATAAATATTGACCTGATTCTTCCTCCTCCTCTAGATCTGCGAGTGAAGAGGGACGAGGGAAAAGAAACAAAGCCACAGACGCAACTTGAGACTCCCGCATCCCAAAAGAAGCACCAGATCAGCAAAAAAAGAAGATGGGCCCCCCGAGCCTCGTGCTGTGCTTGCTGTCCGCAACTGTGTTCTCCCTGCTGGGTGGAAGCTCGGCCTTCCTGTCGCACCACCGCCTGAAAGGCAGGTTTCAGAGGGACCGCAGGAACATCCGCCCCAACATCATCCTGGTGCTGACGGACGACCAGGATGTGGAGCTGGGTAAGCCTCGGGGCCCCAGGGTGGCACCTCGGCCCCTCGGAGCAGGGTCCCTGGGTTAGGCTGAGGCTCCTGAGGCAAGGCGGTGGTGTTGATGCGTCGTGCTCACTTTTGAGTACATTGAAACCAAGACACGGGCCACCCACACGTGTTTGGGGTCACAACTGGGTCCTCAAGGTTAGGGGTCTCTACCCTTCTCCAGTTGCACAACCGTTCCTGGATTTCTCCAAAGAGTTAAAGAGAACAGGCTGGGCGCTATGGCTCATGCTTGTAATCCCAGCACGTTGGGAGGCCGAGGCAGGTGGATCACCTGAAGTCAGGGGTTCGAGACCAGCCTGGCCAACGTGGTGAAACCCCGTCTTTACTAAAACTACAGAAATGAGCCAGGCATGATGGCGCACACCTGTAACCCCAGCTACTGAGGAGACTGGGGCACAAGAATCACTTGAATCCAGGAGAAGGAGGTTGCAGTGAGTGGAGGTCATGCCACTACACTCCAGCCTGGGTGACAGAGTGAGACTCTGTCTCAAAAAAAAAAAAAAAAGATGAGACATGAGCCTGGAGCCAAATTTTGGAGGCTCTTGTGGGTTGTGGCAAAGACTGTCAATCATTGATCCCGTGAAGGGTGATCCCTCAGCCTCTGTCCACTCTTAAAGGATAACAGCGTGTTGTTGGTGGCAACAAATGTGAAGGTTGACTAGGTTAGCCTTGACAACCTGAATTTGTCTTTTAGCTACCAGGAAAAGGCAATTTACATAAAACCAAGTTGTTCCTTGCAATGCTTTGTATTAATGATCACAAGTATAGTTTTTTTCCTCCGGGAGCTTCTCAGTGCAGAAAGAATTTGTAGCCAGGAAGCAATCAGAGCCCAGAGCTTTTATTGACAATTTGACACATAGGATACCTATCTCCTGGCAGCATTTAGAATGAGGCGCATTTGATAACTATGGGGAGTCTGCAGACTGTGGCCAGAGAGGTGTGTTTCGTTTCTTGAAGAATTTTGCAGAGGGGTCTTGCAGGCAGCACCTGGACCTCAGAGCTTCTTGGTCTCACATTGTGTAGCCCCGACGCTGTTTCGGCTATAGTCATGCTTAGAATTTCCGATGCCCTGCACGTTTGTTCATTCATCCAGCAGATGTTTATTACGCATTTGTTGCATTCAGTGCACTGTGTCAGGAGCCAGAGAACTAAGGGAGGCTCATTCCAGGTGAGGAGAACAGGAAATTCAAAGATACTGAGATAGAAATGGGCTCGGTGGTTTGGAGCAAAAAAAAAAAGTGCCAGGGAGCCGGAGTGGAGGGAGCTGGGGCCGTGATGGAGAGAGATGAAGCTGAGGAGCTGACTTGGCCCGGGTTGCACCAGGCCTTGTGGCCATGGTGGGGGCTTTGAGTTTGATTCTTAGTAAAATAGACATGGATGAGGGGGCCTTAAGAAGAGGAAGGCCGTGACCTCACTTAGGTTCTAACAGGATCCCCCAGCTCTTTTGATGAAATTAAATCGCAGGGGTAAGGGCAGAAACAGGACACTCATTCAGAGGCCGATGGGGTGATAGGGCAGTGATGATGGAAGCTCAGACCCGGGTGCTGAGATGCGGTCCCACCTGATGTATATTTGGGAAATAAACTGATCAATGGGTTAGGTATGTGGGTTATGGAAAAGATACGTTTCAAGGGCAGCCGCTAGATTTGGGGCCCGAATCAACAGGTGAGTGGCTGAATACCCACTCTTAGGAACAACACATTTTTGCAACATGATCCAGCTAAGTCTCATGTCTGAATCTGACTGAATTTTGCATCTGTGACTTGTGAATAAAACCAACAGTGTATGCAGATAAAAAGAAAGCAAAGGCATATGCAGATATAAGGAAACCAACAGCGTATGCAGATACAAGGAAACCAATAGCAGGTATGAAGTAGACACAGGAGAGAGGGGAACAAAGAAAGCCGTGGCTGACTTAAAATACAGAGATTTCTTCTCTCCATTTGACAGATGGAAAAACTGAGGCAGAGAGAAGTCACTTGTCCAAGTTTGCACAGCTAGAATGTGATTAAACATGATTTGAGCTGGGTGCAGTGGCTCACGCCTGTAATCCCAGCATTTTGGGAGCCTGAGGATCACTTGAGGCCAGGAGTTCGAGACCAGCCTGGGCAACATAGTGAGACCCCCCCCGTCTTAACAAAAAATGTAAAAATCAGCCAAGGATGGTGGCACACACCTGTAGTAGCAGCTAATGGGAGGCTGAGGTGGAGGATCACTTGAGCCCAAGAGGTCAAGGCTGCAGTGAGCCTAGGTCACACCACTGTTCTCTAGCCTGGGCAATAGAACAAAACCCCATCTTAGAAAAAAAGAGAAAAACAAGATTTGAACCCAGAACGCGTGATCTTAGCCACTGCTCTATTTAGCCAGATTCCTGGGATGGATATTGAGTTGTTTTCAGATTGGTAGCGTGTGCGTTTGTTAGTTTTTCACTGTTACGGATATTGTTGCTGGAAATTTAAACAGGCATCGTTGCACAGACAAGGGAGTGCTTCTGAAGGATAAATTCTAGGAGGTGGATGCGGTGGGTTTAGAGCCCCTGGTGTTCAGTGGCCTGTGTCAGCTCTTGCCCAATAGCACTACACAGCATAGATTAGGGCCTACAAGTCTTGCCCTCTATAAACAAGCCAGACCTCTTCCACCAGCAGCACTGGGTTTTGAAGGAGGCAAGGGATGGGAAGGTGGTTGTGGGAGGGGCATGATAGGCTTTTTATAAACCACTAGACAGACCCAGATCAATAATGCATGTCCCAAAAAAGCCCAATACATTATCTCACAGTCTCTGCTACAACTGGCATGCAGCGGGTGGTCCTAAAAAATTTATCATTTGCTATTTTCTGCCCATCCGTGCAGCAGTTCTGACAGCCCTCTGGGCTGGAGACTTCTTGACTGAGATAATCCCAGGATTCTTTCCAGTCCCAGGACAGAGAACAGACGTCCATCCTCATTAGGGTCCGGTTGGGAGGACTGGTGCCAGATACACAAGACGAGGGGCTTGTTCTGTTTCCTAATTGCAAGGTTGGGGGGTTCGGGGCTGTACCACGTATATTCAATTTTCCTTTCCCTGCACGCATTTGACTCCCTAAGCTGTCATTTGGAATTATCAAATGCCCAGGGGAACTGCTTCCAGGGCCATACTAGTTCGTAAGTGGCCTAAATTATCATTACATGTTTAAAGTAGTTGGGGACATCCCTGTGTCTCAATGGCCCTCTGAGACCAACGGACTTTTGCTGGACTTCCGCTCCAAAAGAATAAGAGGGAAGCACATGGAGGTAAAGGTCTCGTTTGCAGACGTCCTTTGTTCAGGGAGGCAGTAGAATCTTTGGGCTCTGCCAGGGTTTACTGATTTAATTTGATCTAAACCTCTGGGGAGCCTCTGGGGCTCCAGCAGGCTCTGAGACAGCAAGAGGATTAAGACATGGTTCTGGCCTGGAGCAAGAGAATTTTTGCAGCATCCCAGTTCTGATCTATGACTTGAGAATTTCTTTAACTGGACTTATTTTTGAAGCTTAAATATTATTTTAAAAGGAACCTCCAAATTCTGACTGTAAAGGAAAAAACCAATACCCATTGCCTTCGGCAAAGGATCACTGTAAAACCAAACACAGTGAAAACCAAGTCGTGTTTTTAAATTTCAGCAAGATGCTGCCTCCCAGAAAGCCAGTGTGTCTCTACTGTAATGAGGGTGACGGGCAGTTTCAGAAGCGGCATTAAAGGTGAAGTAGCACCTGCCAAGACTTTCTTCTTGGCCTCATCAGCAGGATAGAGACTAGAAAAGAGAAGAACTTTCTCAAGCTTTTGATGTGGGGGTCCCACTTACATGGGGACCACTTGGTGGTGGCTCTTGTATCAGAGGGTTAAGGACACAGCCAGACTCCAAACCCCAGAATATCAGAGCGGATTCCCCAGTGCTCATTTTCCTGAGTGTTCACACCAGGCAGAGATGGGTGCCTTTTCGAGGCCCCTCAGATTGTCGGATTTGAAGTGTGCCCCACGAGACTGCATCCAGTGTTTGCATTTCTTTTCTTTTCTTTCTTTTTTTTTTTTTTTTTTTTTGAGAGAGTCTCACTCTGTCACCCAGGCTGGAGTACAGTGGCGCAATCTCGGCTCACTGCAACCTCTGCCTCCTGGGTTCACGTGATTCTCCTGCCTCAGCCTCCCAAGTAGCTGGAATTACAGGTGCCCGCTACCACACCCAGCTAATTTTTGTATTTTTAGTAGATTCAGGGTTTCGCCATGTTGGCCAGGTTGGCCTCGAACTCCTGACCTCAAGCAGTCCGCCGCCTCGGCCTCCCAAAATGCTGGGATCGCAGGCGTGAGCCACCACACCTGGCCTGATGTTTGCATTTCAAAAGAATTCTTTGCCTCTCAGAACATCTTTATTTTTATTTGTTTATATTTTTTGAGACGGGGTCTCGCTCTGTCACCCAGGATGGAATGCAGTGGTGTGATCACTACTCACTGCAGCCTCGACCTCCTGAGCTTAAGCAATCCTCTTACCCCAGCCCCCGAAGTAGCTGGGACTACAGGTGCGCACCATCACACTCAGCTAATTTTGGGAGTTTTTGGGGTTTTTTTTTTTTTTTTTTAGAGATGGGCTTTTGCCATGTTGCTCAGGCTGGTTGCAAACTCCTGAGCTCAAACAATCCGCCCCCCATTGGCCTCCCAAAGTGCTGGAATTGCAGGTGCGAGCCGCTGCACCCAGCCTATCAGAACATCTTTAAATGAAAATACTCCGAGTAAAGTTGCAAGGGTAAGAGCTGTCTCATTAGCCACCAGGTTCAAATCCTCACTCTACCATTGACCATGTGTCCTTGGGAAAGATTTGCCCTCTCTGTGCCTCAGTTTACTCATCTATAAAGTGGAGATGATGATCTGTTTCCCTGGCATTCTTGTGAGGAATACCTGGCACCTGTCATATGTGTGACAGTTTGCTCTCACTTGGGTTGTTAAAGCCATCCTCTGTTAGAGCACCCTGGGCCAATGCCACAGTGTTGTTTGTCTACAGCAAGCTTTGCATATCAAAACGACATTAAAATCTAAATGTCTCATGGCACTGAACAGCAACATTAGAGTCTCCTCCCAGCTGACACAGTGGGGTGAGTGCTGTCCACGCTCATGCAGGTGAGCTGGCACCCACTCTGCCAGGTATGTGAGCCTGGCATGGTTACATACCCCATAATTTGAGTGACACTTGTCAATCAAGTTTGGCATGGGTTCTTCTGCCATTACTGCCTCTGCTGATGAACAGAGTTGCACCATCATGGCTGTTGAAAAGCAACTGAGTGGTGGTTTTGGGGCCTGCAAAAGTGCCATGGGAACCAGCCTTCCACTGGGTGTTAAAAACGCGTGTGTCACAACCACTCTCTGTCAGCCTGGATTCTCTCAGTTACGAGTGATGTAAACCCAACTCGAGCAGGATTGAGGAATCAAAAAGGGGACTTTATTGGACTCATATGAATAAGTCCAAGTATACATTGAGCTTCAGGTGCGGCTGGATCTAGGAGCTTTGTCTCTGGGTGGCCTCTGTCCCTCCATCTCCCTGACCTCAGCTTTCCTCCAAGTTGGCTTTACTCTCAGGCCAGCTCTCCAGGCAGCATTCCTGGCATCACTAGACCCACATGAACACCATACAGGTGCAAGCCATCCCTGTGGAAAGAGAGCTTCTCTCACCTAGAAGAGAGTACCCAAATTGAGTCTTTTTGGTCTGACACTGTCTGGGACTTCTGGTCAACCAGATTCAGGGGAATGGAACACAGTGGTTGGCCAGATGGAGTCAGGTGCACATTCCTGGAGCCAGGACTGGAGCCAACCCCACTTGAACCATGAGGACTGGGATTGGGATAGAGCAGATTCCCCAAAGGAAAATTCAGAAGCTAGTGCCAGAAGAAGGCAGGTAGCTGGTGTGCAGTCCAGTTAGAGAGATGCTCGTGACACCCTCACATGGCGCTCTCTGAAGCAGCTGCTCAAACTGTGGACCAGACTTATTCATTCGGCAGGTGTTTCCTGAGCACCTACTGTATGCCAAAGGAGATCCAACAGCAAACAAACTAAACAGAGCTTACATTCTAATGCAAGAGTTAACAAGACACATCGAATCTATAGTACATAAAAGAGCAGAAAGTGAGGAGGAGAATAAAGCCAGGAGGGGAAGCCAGGAGGGGCGATCAACCAGGAGAAAGGTGGAGAAAAGAATCGCTGGGATTTTCTATAGGGTGGTCTCATTGGGAAGGGGAAATCTGAGCAAAGAAGGTAAGGAAACCAGTCAAGGGGGATCCCTGGGGAAGAGCACTCCAGGCAGAGGGAACGGTGTGTGCTAAGGCCCTGAGGCAGATGCGGTCTCAGCAGGCTCAGAGCCGCAAAGAGGCCAGAGCAGCGTGCACAAGAGCAGCAGGAAGAATGAACGGTAATAGGGAGGTGGTGGTTGGATGGACCGTGCAAGGCATGAGCCTTTGAATGGGAGGAAGATTTTGGCTTTCTGAGTGAGATGGACACCAATAGAGGACATTGAGCAGAGGAGGACATTGAGCATCTGATTTGTGTCTTCATAGGACCCCTCTAGAAGAATAGACTGAATAGGTGTAATGAGAGCAGGGTGTCCAGTAAGGAGTCTACTGCAACAGTCCACGCATGAGATGAGCCCAATGAGGAGTCTATTGCAATGGTCCAGGCATGAGATGATAGCGGTTCAGACCAGAGTGAGGAAAGTAGTAAGTGCTGGTCATATTTCAAAGGTAGAGCTGATACAAGTGCTGATGGAACTGATGAGGGATGGTAAAGAAGAGTTGAGAATGACTCCAAGGTTGTGGCCTGAAAAACTATGAGAATGGATTTTCTGTGTACAGAGATGGGGAAAACCATGGTTAGAAGCTGTGGGCCGGGTGCGGTGGCTCACACCTGTGATCCCAGCGCTTTGGGAGGCCAAGGCACGCGGATCAAGAGGTCAGGAGATCGAGACCATCCTGGCCAACATAGTGAAACCCCATCTCTACTAAAAATACAAAAATTAGCGGGGCATGGTGGCACACGCCTATAGTCCCAGCTACTCGGGAGGCTGAGGCAGGAGATTTGGTTGAACCCAGGAGGCGGAGGTTGCAGTGAGCTGAGATCGCGCCACTGCACTCCAGCCTGGCGACAGAGCGAGACTCTGTCTCAATACATCAATAAATCAATAAATAAAGCTCAGTTCTGGACCTGGGAAGTTGCAGGTGCCTGTGAAAAGCCAACAGGAACTGTCCAATAGGCAGCCACATCAGTCAGACGTTGAAGAGAGAGGCCCAGGCCTGGGTGGACTTAGAGTAGGGCACGGTGGGGATCGTATACAAACTGTGTGCTTGTTTGTGCTTTACTGAATCTGAGACCCTCCCCAGATCCTGAAAGTTGCAGGAATACAGCCTGGAGAACTGTCCAGTGGGAGAGGCAGGCTTTTGAAAGAAAGATGTAGCAGAGGTCTGGCCGGCCTCCTGTTTTCCACTTTCCATCTGTGAACACAAGGAAACCACACCCTGTGCCACAGCCTGATATCCAGGAGATCAATTCCAAATCGCAGGCTCAAGTACTCTCTGTAGGGGCCAGATGGCTGGAAGCCCAGGACAACATACCCAGATTCCAGACACCAGATCAGTGGTAACTTCCAGCTCAGCCTCTCTGAGATCCCACCTCCTGGCCTTCTAGCCGCTGATCACTAGAGGAGAAAAAACATGTGGATGCAGGTTATCTCAGGAAGAAGAGAGGCTCATTCGGACCCACACTGGTGTTCAGCTTGCCAAGCACATTCCTGTAAGATGATTTTTTTTCAATTCAGCAACATTTGGGAGATCACTTGAGTTCTGGAAGTTAAGTGTATCAGGATTAGGTTTGGCTGCATGTAAAAGAAAACATAAAATAACAGTGGCTTAAACAAGACAGAATTATACAAATGTCTGGAGGTAGGCAGTCTAGGGCTGGCTTGGTGGCTTCAAGGTTATCAGGGACCCAAGCTCCTTCTCTGCCTTTCTGTTCCATCATACTTACTGCGTAGCTTCCATCTGCAAAGTCACCTTGTGGTTAGAACAGCTGCTGGAGCTCCAGCTCTCATAGCCACACTCTAGGCAGCAAGAAGAAGGAAGCAGAGGCAGAAGGGCAGGAAAAAGAAAAAAAAAAAAACCACTTCAGAAGTCACATGCAACACGAATAGATCTTATTTACTTAGCCACATGATCTCAGCGAGAATTATAAAGCACATGCAAATTTGAATCATTGGAAGACGGTTTAAGTGTTTTTTGCTAAGGTGTGAGCAAGTGCGAGGAAACCACTAGGGATAGGGCAGTGCCCCAGGCTAATTAGCAACAGTGGGACAAGAGGTTACTGGAACCCAGGGACACAGAGGGTCACCCCACAAGAGCTGTCACCCTCTGTTGGCACCACAGAGAGGAAGGTGGAGGAATCTGTCCACCAACCTCACTCTCTTCTTTCTCCGATCTCCTGCCAGGGGCCCTTGTCAGTCAAATCCAACCCAAAGCCCAGAGAGCGAAGGGGCTTGTTGAACCAGCACCTCCAGGCCAGTGCCCTGGGGTGGAGAACTGGACAGAGAGCAGGGCTGGAAGGCGGCAGGCAGGCTCCTGGCACATCTTTGGCCATAAGGGAATCTGGGAAATGTTTCCTAGCTGGGTGCATTGAAAATAAAGTCACAGCCTGATCAGAGGAAGAAGGAGAAAGAGATATTTGTGGGCAACTGAGGGTCTCAGCAACACCAGAGATCAGGAGCAAGGGTCCCAGTGAGGGCAGCTCCCCTAGCAGTGGGAAGTGGGGTTGTGTGGCCTAACACTGGGGAGACCTGTGTCATGAGGAGACATTCATGTGGAAACCCGAGGCAGGAGCACTGCAGGCAGAAGCACGGCACGTGCAAGAGCCCTGTGGCAGGAACAGGTTTCCCAGGACGTTGGAGGAGGGCAGCAGGACATGGGAATGAAGGGGAGGAGGATGGGGAAGAGGGCGGCAGAGAGCAGACAGGGGAGACCTGGTGGTCCCCAGCAGGCCATGCAGCAGGGTCTGGATTTGATTGCATGCCCGATGGAAGGTCCCCAGAATGTTCTGAGCTGGTCAGCTATGCGTGCATGTTCTCAGAGGCACACCCCGGCTGTAGGTGAAGAGGGTGGCCCAGGGACAAGAGCGGAAGCAGGGAGATCAGGTGGTGTTTGCAGCAGTCCAGGTGGGAGATGCTGGTGGTACGGAGCAGGACGGGGCACTGCAGAGCGAGAGAGGTGGGTGGATTCCGGTGCTGCTTGGAAGGTCGGCAGGGTTTGCTTTATGGATCGTGAGTGGGTGGGTGAGGGAAGAGGAATCGGGGATGACTCCTAGGTTTTTGGCTGAGCCGTTGGGCAGATGGCAGTGCCATTTACAGAGATGGGAAGGCGGGGGCAGGAGGAACAGATTGGGAGAGGTGGGGAAGGGGGGGACATTAGGTTGCTTTGCAAACATCACCCACCAGGCCTGTGGCTGGGCAGCAGCTCTGCGTAGCCCCTTCTGAAAAGTGGGGAAAACACCCTGGAAGCCCTGCCCCATTGAATAAATATCCCCTCCCAGGGATGGTGATTGTAGCATTTTGAGTTAGAGGAATATTTCTGGGTGGAGTTTCTCAGAGAGGAAATGACCAATCATTGCAGAGCCTCGTCAATTACACCCAAGCCCTGCCCTTTCCCACGTGTGCTCTGCCACCTCTCTGCTATGGTTGACGATGACCATAGCAGAATTTTCTCCCAGGAACTTCTGCAACCAGAGGCAGCAGAAAGCAACGGAGAAAAAATTAACTGCATGGTCTCTCTGACAACCCGATGCTTATTAATAGAATCTCAGTCCTGCCTCCTCGACATCTGCCTAATTGATTTTGGGTTTAGGAACCGATTTGGAGCCTTGGCTTTTCGTAGCTGAAACCAGCAATAACATTTGTCTTTATTTTGTAATGTCCAAGAGTCAGGAATGGTTCACCTTTGCACCAACAAAAGAAAAACAACAACCTCTGAGCAACAGGTCTCCAGAATCCAGTGTAATTATTCTGGATTGAGTTACAGGCACAGCAAGAGTTGCCACCAGCAGCAGTGAGCACATCTATACTAGGTGAAAAATAAGAGATTCCCTTTTTATGTGTGTGTGTGTGTATATATATATATATATATATATATTTTTTTTTTTTTATTTATTTAAGTTCTAGGGTACATGTGCACAACGTGCAGTTTTGTTACATATGTATATGTGTGCCATGTTGGTGTGCTGCACCCGTTAACTCGTCATTTACATTAGGTATATCTCCTAATGCTATCCCTCCCCTCTCCCCCCACCCCACAACAGGCCCCAGTGTGTGATGTTCCCCTTCCTGTGTCCAAGTGTTCTCATTGTTCAATTCCCACCTATGAGTGAGAACGTGCAGTGTTTGGTCTTTTGTCCTTGTGATAATTTGCTGAGAATGATGGTTTCGAGCTTCATCCATGTCCCTACAAAGGACATGAACTCATCCTTCTTTTGCCCAAGTGTGGCTCCCGATTTCTGCTGTTTGTGCCCCAGGCCTTTCTCTCCCCTCTGCTGGAGACAGAGCTATTCTGGGGCAGTTGGTCAGGTCTGATGGAGCCCAGCCTGCTGCAGCCCATTAGCAGGTGTTGCCTTGGTCATGGCAGGGAGCTCACAAGCTGATCCTACAGCACTGCGGACATTCCAGGGACATTTGAGGGCCAGGAGAGGGCTGCTGAATGAGTTCCAGCCTGTTAGGTGGACACCAGTAGCCAGAGGTCAGTGCAGGACACAGGTTCTTTCCCGCCTGTGGCTCGACCTCATAGCCCTCTTCATCCCCCACCTGTCCAGGTCAAGACTCTGTTCCAACCTGTACCTGACCCCACAGCCTCTCTTCCCCACTGAATGCCTGTTCTCTGCAGGTCTCTGGGCCCCAGTAGAGCGTTACCTTTGCAGATTTATTTAGCTGCTCCCTTCACTTGGAATTGAATCAGCTAAGGGTTGCAAACTCCATGCCCACAGGGCTAGGCACGTGCTGGCAAGGAGGAAGTCGGCATGGTAGGGGTGGTGGAAGACCAGAGGAGGACCTTGTCAAGTGGGCCTTCGCTACTCAGGTCCAGCCCACTGTGGGCCCATCAAAGCCAGGTCTTTGCATTTTTCAAGCAAAGCCAGAAAGCTGAATTGATGTGAAATCTCGCAATTAAAGAAAAAGGCCATTCAATTTTTAAAATCCTTTCCTTTTGGGCAGACCTAAATCAAACACACATGCAGACAAGATTTAGTCTAGAGGGACTCCGTTTTTTAACTCCGCGTGAGACGATACTTGTTGAAAAGCTGACATGTGGCCGGGCACAGTGGCTCACTCCTGTAATCCCAGCACTTTGGGAGGTCAAGGCAGGTGGATCACTTAAGGCCAGGAGTTCAAGAACAGCCTGGCTAACATGGTGAAACCCCATCTCTACTAAAAATAAAAAAAATTAGCCGGGAATGATAGTGGGAGCCTGTAATCCCAGCTACTCAGGAGGCTGAGGCAGGAGAATCACTTGAACCCAGGAGGCAGAGGTTGCAATGAACCGAGATGGTGCCATTGCACTCCAGCCTGGGTGACAAGAGAGAAACTCTGTCTCAAATAAGTAAATAAATAAATAAAAGCTGGCATGCATTAAGTGCTTTCTGTATGTCAAGCATTGAACTAAAAAAGTGTGTGTGTATGTGTATATATATATATATATATATATATATATATATATATATATATATATTTTTTTTTTTTTTTTTTTTTTTTTTTTTCCCTCAAAACTCAGAACAACCCTGAGAAGGAGGCACTGTTATTCTCCCGCTTTGCAGATGGGGAAACTGAGGTGCAGGGTGGCTAAATCATTTGCACAAGGTACCTGGTTAATAGGAAGTGGCAGAAATCAAGATTTGGAATCAGGCCTTCTGACTGAAAACCTTTTTCATCCTATTGAGTATGGTGACATAGCGATAGGTTCTAGAATCTATCCTAGAATTTCATAGTCAAACCTTATACCTAAAGTTATTTATGGGCTGTGTTTTTACAGACAGGGAAGCTGAAGCTCAAAGTCAGTGATTTACGGCAGTTCACACCTCATTCTTGGCCTCTCAATTCAGTGCTCTTTGGCACCCAAAGTCTACAGATGAAAAAGGACCTGGTGATTCAGTCTAGGACTGAAGTGTATATGTGCATCTGTTTGTGTGTGTGTTATACACACACACACATATTCATTTGTAGCAGCTGAACCCTTTTAACATACAAAACAAAACAGGTAAGAGAGGAATCAGGAGAAGGACGCGGCCTGGAGAGGGGTGTGTGGTGCCCCCTTCATCCTCAGCCTGCCCCATGCCAGGTGGACTTTAATGCCCCTCTCCTCAAGGAAAGAAAGCACAGCTTGGGGGCCCCTGGGAGCAGACTGGCCCCAGGTAGAGTGTAGCAGGTGATATGTGGCCACAACAGTGGCCACAGTGGATAACAGTGTTATCCCAACACTGGGAGGCCAAGGCAGGAGGATCACTTGAGCCCTGGAGTTCAAGACCATCTATAGATTTTTCGGTCATCTATAGAAAGCCCACTGTGTGCCCTCTTCCCCTAAATCCCAGGGCCTGCTTCACATAGGGGTAGCACACAGACAGGCCTGCAGACCCGTGCAGGAATGCCAAGTGCCAAATCCTGCCCTCTCCCATTGTTCTAGAAACCTGTGGCCCTCTTGCTGCATTTATTTATTTTTTATTTATTCAGGAGTTCAAGACCAGCCTGGTCAACATGGTGTAACCCTGTCTCTACTAAAAATACACACCAAAAAAAATAGCTGGGCATGGTGGTACTTGCCTGTAATCCCAGCTGCTCGGGAGGCTGAGGCAGGAGAATCGCTTGAACCCAGGAGGTAGAGGTTGCAGTGAGCCGAGATCGCGCCGCTGCACTCCAGCCTGAAAGACAGAGGGAGACTCCATCTCAAAACAATCAATAAAATTACACAAGCAAAACTTTAAAATATCCAAGTAATGCAAAGCAGAGATAGCCCTTGACTCCCCACCCACCGTGTACCCCACTCACCCCAAAGGCACCTGCATGTCCCCTAAGAATCTGTAGCCTGCATGTCCCCTAAGAATGTTTACTCTTCATTTACTCACACGGAAGCACCAGGAAGAGCAGCAAAAGGCAAGAAGGAAGGGGAGGGCATGATTCTAATCAGCACAGTCCAGAGAAAGCCTTGCTGAGAAAGTGATATTTGCAGAAACCTGAAGGCAATGAGGGACTGAGTCTGGGCTGAGGAGTGGCAGGTGCAAAGGTCCTGAGGCAGAAGCGTGCTTGGTGTGTTCGAGGAACAACAAGGAGGAGGTCAATGTGACTGGAGCAGAGGAAGCTTAGAGAGAGAGCGCACAGTAGGAGTTGTAGTTGGGGCGAGTGAGCATCCGGATCACTGAGGACCTTGTAGGACAGAGGGAGGACTTTGATTTTTACTCTGAGTGAGGCGGGCAGTCACTGGAAGACAAAGAGCAACGAATATGATGATTTCACTGACTGTTTTAAAAGAAGTCCTGGCCAGGCAGGCATGGTGGCTCATGCCTGTTATCCCAACACTTTGGGAGGCCAAGGAAGGAGGATCACTTGAGCCCAGCAGTTCAAGACCAGCCCGGGCAACGTGGTGAAGCCCCACCTGTACAAAAAATACAAAAATTAGCTGAGTGTGGTAGTGTACACCTGTAATTCCAGCTACTCAGGAGGTGGAGGTGGGAGGATCACCTGAACCTGGGGAGGTCGAGGCTGCAGTGAGCCGTGATCACACTACTGCACTCCAGCCTGGGTACAGAGTGAGACCCTGTCTCAAAAGAAAAAGCCTCTGGCCACCAAACGGAGAATAGAACAGCTTGGGAGCCTACTGCAATAGTCCAGGCAGAGAAAACAGTGATTAGAGTGAATTTAAGTCAAGGTCCTGTGTTTACTGACTCCGCCTTTATTTTTCTCCCTGCCCCATTCTTCCTTCTGCTGCTTTCCCTAGGAGGCCCTGCCATCACAGACTCTAATAATATCTATAATTTTAAGAAACTAGCCATAGGAAGGCATCTCACTAGTTATACATCAAAATCACCCAAGTTGAGGGCCGCAGGGATTTGTCTGGGAGGGGTACAGGGTTCCCCTGCTCCCAGCTGAAGCAGGCCTCCAACAGATAGGAGCCACCTAAGCCTCAGGAATGGCAAAAAAAAAAAAAAAAAAAAAAAAAAAAAATCATGTTTTGAATCCTGAAACTCCCTGGCACCTTGCTAAGTCCCCATAGATAGTGTTTGCTCTGACTTAGACCTTTAGAAGAGCAAATTCATTCAGCATTTCCTATGACACTGGCAACGTCGTCATCTGTGGCAGGTCAGCAAAATATTGATTTTATCAACGATGGACTTACTGGATGGTGCATCCAAAAATATATATATATAACTCACACCTTAATTCTCTAACTCGACGTAGTTAACTTGGATTGAGATTAAAGGGTTTTTTCTTAAATCACGTTAAATACAAATATCAAACAAATCATAGCACAGTGGTACACAGGCCCCCAAAAAGCCACCGTGAATGGGGAGGCAGTTCAGGAGTGTCATGGGAGAAACTGCATTCTAGCAGTTGGGTGGTTTGGGCCCCCAAGTTTAAATCCCAACAGATGGGCCTGGGGGTGAGGCCTCTCCAGCCCATCAGAGTCACAGAGGTGTCAGAGTGACCTCACCCTCAACCCAGTATGGTGGGAAGGTTTGGTCATGGAAAGAAACCGGGTCTGTTTTTGTCTGCATGTCCCCAGGTTTATGTTGGACGAAAGAAGTTGAGGTTGGCTGGCCCAGCTGCATTGAAAAGCTTGAAAACTGGCCTTTTCATTTCTGTGTGGCCGTGTCGTTCAGGTCCTTCCCTCCCGTCGGAGCTGTCCTTCTGCATTAGGGCTGGGGCTGGGCAAGGGGATGAGATCATATGTTTTTGTGTTACAGAGGTAGGTTTACACAGCCTCGTCGCTATGGCAGTTTTAATAAAGCAGGTTACTGTCCCCAAGGGGAGGCTTAGCACATAGCACTGCCCATGCACAGATGCTGCTGTCATTCCGGGGCACTGTTGTCCTTTACTCGTGGATTGACACAGCGCTCCTCCGCCAGCTGATTTGGGAAGGGTGAGTGCTGGCCAAGAGCACCTCACAGCTCGCTTCCTCTGGAATGAGGAGGAAGGAGATCTAAGCATTTCGAGACCCTGGATCTGAGCCCATTAAAAACAAGAAATGGTTCTGGAGGCTGTTCACTGTTTGCCAAGGCAGCACTGGGGGCTGCGGAGTGCAGGTGATTTCATCAGGTGACGGCCTGCCCTGCGTTCCCTTCCAGGAGAAGGGTCTGACCAGTTAGGTGGGTGGCCAGCTTTTGTCCTTTCTGCAGGGTCTGGAGACCGAGAGAGGCTGAGCTCTCACTACCAGCTGCTTCGTCCTTTCTCCTTCGTGTTTGGGACTAGGGAGCAAAGGATCGATTCCACTTGGGGTGCCCTGGACTCGTGCATTTAAGAAATATTTATGAGCACCCACTGCGTGCCAGGCACTGTTCTAGGCTGAGCTGTGGAGCCATCAAAAGTCACAGGGAACAGCAAACGGGATCAGTAGATAAAAACATAAAAGTATATCATGTGTTAGATGATGAGTGCAGGGTTGAAAATGTCAGGCAAGGAAGGGAGTAGAAAATATTGGGGGCCAGGGAAGACTCCACGGAGAAGGGAACTTTTGAGTAAAGACAAGAAGGGGGTGAGGGCACCGCTGCGGGGCTCCGGGGGAGAGGTCTTCCAGGCAGAAGGAACAGCAGGGCACAGGTTCTGGGATGGGAGCACGCCTGGTCAGTCTGTGGACAGAGCAGGGGACCCTGTGGCTGCAGAGAGTGGGCGGAGAGGGGGATGGGGTTAGGGAGGGGAGGGGATTGGGTCCCACCACACTCTGTGGATGGCCAGAAAGATTTGGGCTCCTCTGAGTGAGCAGGAGCCCCGGAGAGTGTCAGGAGAGGAGACTCTGGCTACACCGTGGGGAATAAGTGACTGGAGTCCAATCAGGAAGCAACTGGCCTGATTTCAGGGAGAGAGGATGATCGCCTGACCCACGGGGGAGGTGGCAAGGGTACGATCGTGGGTGTTTACGTTGAAGAGAGGGCAACAGGCTTTGCTGATGGATTGGATGTGGGAACTGAAAGATGGGAGGAACCGTAGCCAAGATGATTGCCCAAGTACCCGGAGGAAAGGGGAGTGGCTTCGGGAGGAGCAGGAGGGACGGTGACATCAGGGCTTGGCTGTGGGTGTGGCACCTGAGGTCTAATCGACAGCCGAATGACATCAATGGATGTCAGGGTTGTACCAAGCCACACATCAAGGGATGTCAGGTCCGGGTTTTACCAAGCCAATGATTGCCAAATTCTAATCATTCCCTCACAATTTTCATCATATATCTGTGTGCCACTTGTACGATTATTTACTTTTTAAAAATCGGCTGCAATTGTTTGTTGTTGTTGTTGTTTTAAGAGGATTTCCACCACCCTAAAGGAAAAGCTAAGGTTACTTGCCCTAAGTAGAAGGAAACCAAGCCACGCAATTAATCTAAGGCAATGCCACCCCCTGCCTGGAGCTCCCAGTGGCCTTTCACACCACCAGCATCCCTGGTGTTTGGTGATGTGACCCTGGGCCACCCCCACCCCTGGTGTGCCTGATGAAGTCACCACTAGAGGACCCCCTTCTGGGTCACCAAGGGACCATTCTGAGCTTAACTGAAGCCAAGAGTGGACCAAGAGCATGGGGACCTCTATGCACTTCCTCAGGACACTGTTACCACCTCCCGTGTGACTGTGACATTTTGTGAACGTGAAACTCAGCACCCCGCCTCTGCTAGGCTTGAGTCTTCACTGCCTTCCCAGCTGTGCAGCCTTAGCCAGTCATTCAGCTCCCCAGGTTCAGTTCCCTCTTCTGTCAAATGGGCCATTGGGAGAATTAAGTGATGAATGTCTTCAGCCCAGCCATAAGCATTCAGCCAGTGATAGTCGCCACTATTAATTATAATGATTATTACTGGCATAGAAGACTGCCCTCTTCCCCAGGAATAAGTTGGAGTGCTCTCAGTTCCTTAGCTATATCAGAAGGTTGCAACACCCAAGCCTTCAGGGGTCGGGCAGGTAATGAGAGTGGGTGCAGGTGGTGTAAGACTGTAGGGAGCACGGGGGAGTGTGGCAAACTGGAGAGCACATATCCTGTGTGATGCTATTTAATGTCACATTTTTAAAACCCACTCTACAAGACACCAACACACAGGTCTGTGGACACCAACTGGTTTGGATTCCTGAGATATGAAAACCCGAGTGTAAGATAGTATTTTATATGTTAATTTAGCTGGTCTCTGTTGAGCACATTATGTGCCAGGCACTGTGCTAGGCAGTGAACAAAGTAGGCTGAGTCTCTGCCCTTGTGGTGAAGGCAGCAACATACAAATAAGTGAAATCAAAATGACTTATGTTTGAGGACAGTAACTGCTGTGGAGAGACACGGAGCGGGGAAGCAGAGTGGAGAGTGCTATGGGTTGCGGGAGGTGGTTTCAATACAGGCCAGGGAAGGCCTCTCCAAGAAGGTGGTGTCTGATCAATAACTTGAAGGAGACAGAGGTAGCCCTGTGATTGGAGGAGTGAGAGCATCCCAGGCTGGGGGTACGGCTGAGGCAGGGGCCAGGAGGTGGGAGGGCGGCCAATGTGCAATACTGGGACCTCAGGGGCACGACCTTGGTGCCTTGATTGGTGGTAAAAATTTAAAGTAGAAGCAGCTGATTGCTGAGCAGAGGGCCTTCCCCAGATCCCAGGAGGCTGCAGTGGGTCTGATGCTTGTTTTCAGGTTTCTAGGGGGTTGCTAGGTGATTGGGATCACAGCCTTCACATGCCTGGTAGACCCTGTTTTGGTTTCCCACTGCTGTCCTAACAGATCACAAACTGGGTGGCTTAAAACAACAGAAATTTACTCTCTCAACAGTTCTGGAGGCCGGAAGTCCAAAATCAAGGTGTTAGCATGGCTGTGCTTCCTCAGAAGGCTCTAGGGGAGAGCCCTTCCTTGCCTCTTCCAGCCCTGGGGACCCTAGGAGTTCCTTGTTCCTTGGCTTGTATGTGCATCCCTCCAGTCTCTGCTTCCCTTTGAATGTGGCCTTCCCCTCTGTGCCTGTGCGTCTTCTCCACTTTGTGTCCTATGTGGACACTTGTCACTGGATTTAGGGCCCACCTGGGGAATCCAGAACAAATCTCATTTCAGTAGCCTCAATTTAATTACATCTGCAAAGACACCCTGTATTGGTCTGTCTTCATGCTGCTGATAAAGATATACCCGAGACTGGGTAATTTAGAAAGAAAAAGAGGTTTAATGGACTTAGTTCCATGTGGCTGGGGAGGCCTCAGGATCATGGCAGAAGGTGAAAGGCACATCTTACATGGCGGTAGGCAAGAGAGAATGAGAACCAAGCAAGAGGGAAAACCTTTATAAAACCATCAAATCTCGTGAGACTTATTCACTACCAAGAGAACAGTATGGGGGAAACAACCCCCATGATTCAACTGTCTCCCATCAGATCCCTCTCACAACACGTGGGAAATATGGGAGCCACAATTCAAGATGAGATTTGGGTGGGGACACAGCCAAACCATATCACCCTCTTTCCAAATATGGTCACATTCACAGCTTCCAGAAATTAGGACATGGTCTTATCTTTAGGGGACGGGGGCACCGTTCAACCCACTGCACACCTTAAGAACTGCAAGGAAAAGGGGAAAAACCAAGGATGGCCATAGAAGAAGGAGAGAGGGTTTCCATGGAATATTTCCATCAAATCACTAAGGGTCTGGGTACCAACCACAGCATACAATTGAGCATGCACTCGTCACACCTATGTTGAGTACCCACTGTGTGTCACACACGGCAGCAGTGCTGAGGATTCAGCGCTGAGCGGAGCACACAGCCTTTGCCCTCCTGGGACCTTGGCCTGCACGCAGTAGGGCTCCCACACACGTTCATTTGCTTCCTTCCTTCCTTCTTGCCTTTCTTCCTAAGTGTCTTGCTCTGCTTACAGCTTGGTTGAGAAACAAGAGCAGGCATGGCCAGGCAAGGTGGTTCATGACTGTAATGACAGCACTTTGGGAGGCAGAGGCAGGCGGATCACTTGAGGTCAGAAATTCCAGACCAGCCTGGCCAACATGGCGAAACGTCATCTCTACTAAAAATACAGAAACTAGCTGCGTATAGGGGCTACTTGGGAGGCTGAGGCAGGGGAATCGCTTGAACCCGGGAAGCAGAGATTGCAGTGAGTCAAGATCACACCACTGCACTCCAGCCTGGGCAACAGAGCAAGACTCTGTCTCAAAAAAAAAAAAAAAAAAAAAAAAACAAAGAAAAGAAAGAAACAAGAGCAGGCATGACCGAAACCTCGAAGCCTGGGGTATGATCAGTACTCAGGACACATGCTGCAAGACTGCTCAGAGCTCTCAAGCCCAGGGTGGTGCCAGAGGCTCCCTACGAGAGGGTACTAGGCCGATGGGTTGGATTTGGGGTGAGGGGTGGTGGGTTCCAGGCTCGAAGAAAAGTGTGGACAAGAGGCCAGCAGGGTTTGTGGCTGATGGCAGAGCACCTCAGCCAGGGAATACTCAGGGAGAAGGTTTGCCACCAGGTTGGCATGACCAGATTTCAGTAAGAGCAAACAATTATTGGGAAAGTTCCAAAGAAAAGAAAGTATAATCTTCCCTCAATTTACATGGTGGTTGGTTTCCAAAAGAAAAAACAAAACAATGTATATTAATACCCTGCAAAAACAATGTTGTGTTTAAAATTTGTAAAACAGTTTGATTCCAGTCTCAGGTCATTTATAAACAGGTTTTTACCTGCCTTGCAGGTAGAGATGCAATTACAGTACCGGACAGTGACAGTACAGTCACTTACAGTCACTCACCTCCAGCACCATTGCAAAATCCTCCAGACTCCAGACCTGGACCTCAGGAGTGTCCAGGTGGACTCGGGACCCAGGGTCCTTCCTGATTATGCAGGACAGTCCCACCGTGCAGCAGTGGCCCCTGCCCCGTCTGCCCCGTAGGTCTGCAGAATGTGCCCACTCCAGACCTAGGGATGCCACGTGCTGAGAGCCCCCTGGTGCCGGTGCCGCCCGGGTCTCCTGCCCTGCGCCTTACTTCCACCCTTGACTTGCAGGTTCCATGCAGGTGATGAACAAGACCCGGCGCATCATGGAGCAGGGCGGGGCGCACTTCATCAACGCCTTCGTGACCACACCCATGTGCTGCCCCTCACGCTCCTCCATCCTCACTGGCAAGTACGTCCACAACCACAACACCTACACCAACAATGAGAACTGCTCCTCGCCCTCCTGGCAGGCACAGCACGAGAGCCGCACCTTTGCCGTGTACCTCAATAGCACTGGCTACCGGACAGGTGAGCAGGGACGGGGGCAGGTGCAGGAAGGGAGTGACAGCCAGGGCGGGCGTCCCTAGGTGTGGTCTGCACACCACTGCGGTACCCAAGTTGATTCTGGATAGCCCCTAGAGCAACTCTCTTATAATTTCAGAGTTGTGCATTTATTTCTGTGTGTATTAAAGAAATACAGATTTATTTGCCTACAGTAGTGATGTAAAGTGACCTTGTCAAAGGAATTTGAGTCCCCCAAAAAAGTGAGTCTTTTCAAACTATGAATCATAGTGTGGAGAGGCCATAAGGTGCCCATGCATGAGTTTGCATCCTCTGTTAATAGTTATTAAGCCCATCAGGGACTGTTTCGTTGACTTCAAACCATTAGCTTGGAAGAAGGTTCCAAAACATAGGGGTGGGGGATGGGAATTCATGGAGGGGAACAGATAATGGGGCTGTGTGGTCGCTTTCTACGTGGCAGTAACCAAGGTGGTGCAGAAACTGACATGGTGGTTGACTGTCCACACTCACCCGTGTCATCCTGGGTGGAGGGCGACCCAGTTCCTGTTTGCTTATCCTTCAGGAGGTCTTTGGTGGGCTCTGAAGGCTCACCTGCCAGGCTGGTTGTCTGAGGTAGAGATGCAATTACAGTATAGTCACTTACCTGTAGCGCCATTGCAAAACCCTCCAGACTCAATTCATTTAACTTGCTTTAATTAAAAATAAATAAATACTCCCCGCCTTGGGTAAGAAGCCGCGGCGGTTGTGAAATCAAGATATTGTGGCTCAGATGTTGCAACCCCAGGAAGTTGCATCCAAGTGACAAGGGGTTTGTTTGGGTGGGAGTGCCGCAAGGGAAGGATGGACTCCTCCTCCAGCCCTGTCCGCAGTGCTGGACCTGCAGCCCTCGAGGCTGGGCAGCTTCCTCTCAGATACACAGTGTGGGCTGGCAGGGATGCTTTGGTGTGGGGAGCAAGCCAGTAAGGTGTGTCTTCTTACAGCCTCATCCCATAGCCAGAATCACCTAGAAAGTATGTTCTGCTGAGAACTAGGAAGGCCTCGTTCCTATACCTTGTTCCTGTGTATTGTGCGTGCCATTATGCAGAATCAACCACCTGTTGGTTCCCCTGAGCCTCTGCAGAAAGCCACATGTGTCAGAAGTTACCATGGCCACCACCCTAGATGATTGGCGGGGGCCTGGATGTTGCTAGCAGAAGCAGGACAGGCAGGCCCGCAGCACAGCAGTGGGCCCTTATTGAAGATGCACCTGCAACTTGGCTCTAGAAAGTACAGCCATGCACTCAAGAGTGACCAGCCTTGAAATGTTTTAAAGTCTGAATATTTCACTGAAAATCTTATTTTAAAATATGCCGGCACAGCTTATTTTTTCTTTAATGTATACTGGGGGCCAAAGAAAATATGTCTGAGGAGTGAGTGTGTGGCTCACAGACTCTCTTTTCACAACCTCTGGGTGAAAGGTCTGTACAGAAACCTTTCGTTTTGGATGCTGGAAGATCAGTAAAGACCCTAGACCTGTTCTCATCAATCCCCCTCATTTCACAGCCAGGGCCACTGCAGCCCAAAAAAGAGACCTGCCCAGAGTCAAAGTGAGGTGTTTGTGGCATAATCAAAATGGAATGCAAGATCATGGGAATTCAGAGGGGGCATGGAAATAGTATTCATCAGACTGAAAGGAAACTCATATATTCTGTGCCATTTTGAGGGCTCAGGGTGGGAGCTAAAGGCTAGTGTTTCAAAATCTTACAGGCGACATGAGAAAATCAATCATTTCAAGAATAAACATTCTCTAAAGTGGATTTCCCAAACTTGTCCTTGAATGTATGCAAATCACCAAAAAGCTGTCTCCCTAAATAAGTGCTTTTATTCAACTATGATTCATTATTATACCCTCATGAAGACTGGGAGCGTAATGTCAAGTGTAAAGAGCCAGATACCGAGAACATTTACGTTTTTGTAAAACTGCCACTGAGAATTTTATTCATTATATTTAGAATGCCACTCTGTACAAAGAATCCCATTCCAGCCTTACTTTCAGAACTCAGGACCCTGAAAACACCTGTTTAGTCTGATGAACTGGTGTACTCCTTGTTATTACATAATAAGAGCCACATACCCTGTATAGTTTCCCTCTTTGCCCTGGCAGCTAGGAAGCTCAGGTTTGAGTTTTATATTGAGTTGTTGTTTAAAGTGGAAATGTTTTTAAAGATCCAACTGCGTGATATGTTATACTGATCAGTGTTGACTAAGAAAAATGACAAAAATCTATAATGAATTCAAAACCTTTTAGATTATTTTTTCCTTTTAGATTGATTTGTACATACATATTAGAATATACTGTAAATTTTTAATCCCCCAAGGACCAAAAGTAAATTGTTCCTGCTGAGTCTTCAGCCATGTTAAACCCTGTGTTCACGTGGCCACCTAGCAAAGTTGGTTCAGTTGGATTTAAGTTTGGCTGTGTGTGTGAGAGAGACCGGGGATGTCAAATAAAATTCCAAGTTGTTCTGGTGGCCCTGCTCTATGAAGTGGTCAGAGACTCCGACTCCATTTCTCCTTATTTCCCATTGGTGAGAAACAAGTCATATGGCCATGCATGGCAGCAAAGGGGCCTGGGAAATGTAGTCTTATTCTAGGTGGACATTTGCCCAGATGAAAGTTATTTTACTGTGGGAGAAGAAGAAAACGGATACTGAAGGACAAGTGAAGTCTAGGCCACCCTAACAGTTATTAGCCATTTGTGTTTGTGATACTCGTTTGAATAGAGGAGATCAGCCCAAACTGAGGAAGACTGACCCCAGAAAAATGCTACTTAAGTGGACCAACATTTCATAATAAATAGTGCTTTTAATGTATTTAGTAAGGTATTTGATCTTGAAATGAAACTACAATGTTTCGAGAATAACTCTGTTATGTTACATCTCTTTTTTTCTTTTTCTGAGACAGAGTCTTGCTCTGTCACCCAGACTGGAGTGCAGTGGCACAGTCTCAGCTCACTACAACCTCTGCCTCCTGGGTTCAAGCGATTCTCCTGTCTCAGCCTCCTGAATAGCTGAGATTACAGACGCCTGCCACTACGCCTGACTAATTTTTGTATTTTTTGTAGAGATGGGGTTTTGCCATGTTGGCCAAGCTGGTCTCAAACTCCTGGCCTCAAGTGATCCACCTGCCTTGGCCTTCCAAAGTGCTGGGATTACATGCATGAGCCAACGCACCCGGCCCTCTGTTAGGTTGCATCTAATGATATTTAACAAATATTGGGCTCTAGTTGCAACTAATGAGTTGATTCTTCAAGCAAGTGAATTGACGAAGTGTAGGGAGGAATATAATGTGTTTCACAAATTGAAATGGATGGCACAAGATGATATCCTTTACTTCACTAGGGACATTTTTGCAAAAGTATTTGAGGATTTGATCAATTTTTTCAAGGGCCTCTCCTAATTCTCTGACATCTGAATCTTCCCCTGTGAAGTGCATCTCATACTTCATCATCCTTCTCAATAGTCTCTTCTCCTTCATGTAGTATCTTTATAGACCAGGTAATTATTCGTCAGTGGATTTGCATGTGTTTTTTGAGCTATCTTCCAGCGTCATTTTAATTAATTTTACAAACCCTGCATCTTTTAAAATATTTGCAATTTCATTTTGCAGTGATCTTGCTTTGCATGGCCCCATGTTTGCAGTGGAGATTGACAAAAGACAAAATGAGAGAAGCTAAGTTTAAGCAGGATAAATATCAATTTGTTCATGAATATTTCTCTGTATGGCTTCTTACAACTTGAGGGACTTGGATCTCAGATATGAATACCCTTGGAAGGATCAATTGCATCCTCAGGTTTTTTGTTTTCTTTGTTTTTTTGTTTGTTTTTGAGACAGGGTCTCACTCTGTTGCCCACGCTGGAGTGCAGTGGCGTAATCTCAGCTCACTGCAACCTCCACCTCCCGGGTTCAAGCGATTCTCCTGCCTCAGCCTCCCCACTAACTAGGATTACAGGTGCGTGCCACCACGCCCAGCTAATTTTTTGTATTTTTAATAGAGACGGGGTTTCACCATGTTGGCCAGGCTGACCTCGAACTCCTGACCTCAAGCGATCCACCCTCCTCGGCCTCCCAAAGGGCTAGGATTACAGGTGTGAGCCACTGCACCTCGCCACATCCTCAGTTTTTACAAAGGTTTTATAGTCATCCTTTAACACAGTTCAGCAGTTGAAGTGCTGTTGCCCTGCCTGTGATCACTTATATATCCACAAGTCAAAGTTGTACAGTGTTCCCAGAATGAGACACCTCCCAGCTCTCTGCAGAGTGGTTGAGGGCATTAGCTTTGCCTGGGTTTGAATCCAGTCTCTGCTGCTTTCTGCCTGCATGAACTTGGACAAGTTATTTAGCTTCTGTGTCTTGGCCTCCTCAACCACAGTTAATAATGTCACTTAACTCATAGAGTTTTGTGAAGATTAAATACATTAGAACAGTGTCTGGTACATGGTCGTGGTAGGCACTTGGGAAATTTAGCAATGATGGCTGGGTGCAGTGGCTCACACCTGTAATTCCAACATTTTGGGGGGCCAAAGTGGAAGGATCACCTGAGGCCAGGGGTTCGAGACCAGCTTGGGCAAAATAGTGAGATCCCTTCTCAATTTTTAAAAAACAGTAATAAAAAAAAGTTAGCAATGACGATGACGATTTGCACAATAGCACAACATCACACAGCCCACCTCAGGCCAGTGTTCTGATGAATGTCATGGTAAGTTGCACTCATGGATCAAAATGTGGCAGCATGTGCTCAGCCTCTGGTAATCAGCAAAATGCAAACGCAGCCAACAGTGCATTATCACATCCCAGCCATGACCACAGCAAATATGAAGAGGTCCCATCGCACCAAATGTTGGTGAGAATGTAGGAAAACAGGAAATCATATGCGCCAGCAGCATGATGGTAAATTGTTCCCTCCACTTTGAAGAACAGTTTGCCAATTTCTGGCAAAGCTGAAAATGGACATCTCCTTCTACTCAGCAATTTTACTCTGGCTGTGTCCCCCTCGGTTCTGAGGAGGTGATGTTGATGTGTGAGTTCTGCTTGAGCAAGGGAACACACTTCCTGGCTGCCCTGTTTGCTCTTGAAGATGTGTGATGCTCATGGCAATAGATTCCCTTTAGATCCAACGGACAGGAACCCCGACTGCAGCTGGCTTCAAAAACATTGAATTTTTTGCTCCCTAAACAGGCCAGGCACGGTGACTGAAGCCTGTGATCCCAGCACTTTGGGAGGCAGGGATGGGCGGATCACCTGAGGTCAGGAGTTCAAGACCAGCCTGACCAACATGGTGAAACCCCGTCTCTACTAAAAATACAAAAATTAGCCAGGCATGGTGATGTACACCTGTAATCCCAGCTACAGGGGAGGCTGAGACAGGAGAATTGCTTGAACCTGGGAGGCGGAGGTTGCAGTGAGCCGAGATCGCACCACTGCACTCTAGCCTGGGTGACAGAGTAAGACTCTGTCTCAAAAAAAAAAAAAAAAAAAAAAAGAGAAGATACAGGTGAGTAGCAGGCAGAGTCGGATCTTGTGGTTTACGAGTATCATGATCATATCACGAGGCTGGAGGTCTGGACATGGTGGCTGGCACTCCAGCAGCTGTGTGCCTCCTTGTCCACATCTGGCAGGAGCAAGAGAGCATCCTTTTCCAGAATGCTCAAGGCATGAGATCCCTTCTGATTGGACCACCCTGAGTCACATGCCAGCCCCTGAGCCAATCATCATATAAAGCACATGGTTTGTGCCAACTTGCCCAGCGTGGATCACCTGCTCTGCAGCAGCTGGCTGAGTCCCTTTTTCCCCAGCACTTGGACTGCCAGGTAGAAATCAAGGGCTGCTGGAAAGAATAAGGAAAAGCATACTGGAGTGCCGATCACAATTTTACTACACTGCCTTTGGCAAACAAAAAACAAAAAAAAAGTAACATCAGCTGGCCGGGCACAGTGGCTCACGCCTGTAATCCCAGCACTCTGGGAAGCCGAGGAGGGTGGATCACAAGGTCAGGAGTTTGAGACTAGCCTGGCCAACATAGTGAAACCCGTCTCTACTAAAAATACAAAAATTAGCTGAGTGTGGTGGTGGGCGCCTGTAATCCCAGCTACTAGGGAGGCTGAGGTATGAGAATCACTTGAACCCAGGAGGCGGAGGTTGCAGTGAGCCGAGATTGCACCACTGCACTCCAGCCTGGTGACAGAATGAGACTCCATCTCAAAAAAAAAGTAACAACAACAAAAAGGCAACCTTTTCCAGCTCTTTCTGGTGAACTAGATTGGAGTGCCATTTTCTCCCCATTGGGATAATGCCTTTCTCCTTCCACACCTGAATCTGGCAGTTCTGAAGTTGTTTCCCAGCCCCAGCTTCTGCCATCCGGTCCAGACTTTCGCAGAGATGGTGGCGGGCCCTCTGCCCTTCTGCATCATGTTCTAAAATGCGTCAGGGGAGCAGGGGGTACATGCTCCTTACAAGACCAGGCCTTGCCAGGGCTCTCAGTTGGAGCCTGTTTTGGGGTTTGGCCCTGAGCGCCCCAGTTATTTTCACTCTTCTCGCACAAAGCTGGGTAGAGAGGTCAGCTGAGGACCAGAACCTGGCCATCAGCCTTGGGCAGCTACCCTCACCAGGGTCTGGGGGGCCTCTGTGTCCTGATGACCCCACCCCATCTACACTACACTACACTTGGGGCACCCCATCGCCCTCTCACACAGGAGGATGGAAAGGCGCCCGCTAGGCATTTTGGCATCCCCAACAAATGAGACTTGTTTTTTCCCTAAAGCGGTTTCATTCAGGACCGCAGGGGCAGGAGGGCTGCTGCGTGGGCCGTCCTCCTCTGCAATGCTATAAAGTGGCCCAATGCCCCTCTTTCCCTGCCACTCTCTGGATCTACCCTTAGCCCCTTGCCCTGAACCCCATCCACCCTGGCCCCTCTGCCTCCTGGCCATCGCCCCAGAGCTCTCCCCAGCACATCAAGCATGAGTCCAGCATCACTTCCTGGTCCCCCGCCTCCCCGGCGCCTCTCACAGGCTTCTCCTCGGCACCTCCAGTTTTCCAGTTGCTCAGGCCAAAACCTTAGCACCATTCTTGATTTTTTTTTTCCTATTCCTTTCACACTCCACATTCAGTTCATCAGCAAACCCTGTCAGCTCTGCCTTCAAAATATGCCCAGAGTCCCCTCTGCTGCCACCAGCCCATCCGCGCCACTGTCTTCCCCGCCTGCCCTGTTCCAGGTTTCTCCTGGGATCCCCCAGCTTCTGCGTTTATGACCCCTTGGTCTGTTTTCAATGCAGCAGCCAGAGGGGTCTGGTCAGAACCTAGTTCAGATGCTCTTTCTCCTCTGGGCAGAGCCCTCCTTGGCTCCCACCTACTCAGGGTAGAGGCCCCGACAGCCACCTCAGGGTCCCAGTGATCCTTCCCTTCTCTCTGAACCCTCTCAGCCTCCTGGTCTCCCCTCAGTCACTGTCCTCCAGCCACAGCTTCTCAAGCAGTCAGCCACACCTGACATGCACCCACTCACAGTGCTTTGCACTTCTTTCCTTTTCTCAAAACTTCTACACGTCTGCACTTTC
The DNA here is from genome assembly GCF_000001405.40 of Homo sapiens. Lineage (NCBI taxonomy): Eukaryota > Metazoa > Chordata > Mammalia > Primates > Hominidae > Homo > Homo sapiens. Next base: position 47,729,119 of record NC_000020.11, on the reverse strand, counting down.
CTCGTGTCTGTGTTCCAATGCTGCCTCCTCAAAGAAGCCTTCCTTGACTACCCCATGCCTCCTGTTCATCCCAGTTTTTTCCCACCAGTGCCCCCATCACCACTGAACACCACTGACTGTGTATTCTGCCCATTTGTCTCATTGATTGTCTCGTTTCTAAAATGCCAGCTCTCAGGCTGGGCGTGGTGGCTCACGCCAGTAATTCTAACACTTTGGGAGGCTGAGGCGGGTGGATCACTTGAGGTCAGGAGTTTGAGACTAGCCTAGCCAACATGGTGAAACCCCATCTCTACTAAAAATACAAAAATTAGCTGGATGTGGTGGCGCAAGCCTGTAATCTCAGCTACTCGGGAGGCTGAGGCAGGAGAACCACTGGAACCAGGGAGGTGGAGGTTGCAGTGAGCCGAGATCACACCACTACACTCTGTCGCTTGGGTGACAGAATGAGACTCTATCTCAAAAATAAATAAATAAAATGCCAGCTCCCTGGAAGCAGCGGCCTCTGTTCTGTGCCCTCGCGGGTTGCCAGGCCTAGAGAGTGCCCACCCCATCGTAGGTGCTCAGGAGACCTTCCCAGGATGACTGGTGACTAAGTCTCCACATTCTGTCCCCGCCAGCAGCCCACCCCCATCTCTTCCACACTCCTTTCTCCTCTCCCGTTTCTCTCCTCTCCACCCCCACTCCCACCATCTCAGCCTTTCCTCCTCTTTCTTCTCAGCCTCTCTGCACACACAGGGAAGAGAAGACTGAAATTATTCCCGGGATGCCGTCCCTGGGCCCCTGGTGCAGCTGTCCCTGCCTTCACAATGGCAGCCTTCTCTTTGCTTGGCTCTTCTCCTGGGTTTGCTCCCTGCTCTCTTCCTCTCTCCTTGAGTGCACACAAGTGTGCACGCACGCACGCACACACACAGCTCCCTTCTTCCCTCGGTCCAGCTGCCTCTCATCTGCCCATCTTCCCTCCCCCTCTCCGGCCTGTGGGGGGACAGCAGAGCCTCTCCATTCACCCCGTGGAGTGTATCCACTGCTCACAGCAGGTAGCCTTCCTGTCTCTCTGCAGCGAACACCCAGCCTTCCCCACTGTGGGGATCCGAGTATCCACGGGAATTGCACAGCCCCTCCTGGGACCCAGGCTGACCCAGCGTGTCCTCGAGAGGCACGGATTTGCCGCCTCCGTGCACATCTTCAAGCGAAATTTCTTCCTCTAATTTGATAGTCACTTCCTTTCTCTAAGACCTCAGATTTCAAAATAAGTGAAGCACTTGTTTTGAGCAAGAGTCTAAAGAATTAGACTCCGCCTTAAGCGCCCTTGTGACCTTGAGCTGAGACCTCATCCCCTCTGGGCGTCAGTCTCTCCATCTGTGCAGCAGTGTTGTGACATCTAAGCACTAGTCACCCAGTGCCTGTGATAAGACGCCACCCTGAGTGATACGTGACCTGTGCCCACAAACCCAGGAGGAGAGGTTCCCTGCGCCGTAAGAGGAAGTGGCCACGGGGAAAGAGGAAGCTGATGTGAGGCCGATGGGGCAGGGTTTCCGATTGTTTCCAGGCGACACCCTCTCTGTCCCACCCCCTTAGCAGGTGTATCCACTTCCCTAGTGGACCACAGACTGGGTGGCTTAGAACAAAAGGCGATTTTCACAGTTCCGGGAGCCAGAACCCCAAAATCAAGCATCATCAGGGCCACGCTTTCCCTGCAGGCTTCAGGGGAGGGTCCTTTGCCCTTGAGTTCCTGGGGGTTGCTGGGAATCTTGGCACCCCTTGGCTTGTGGCCACATCACTCCAGCCTCTGCCTTCATCTTCATGCGGCCTCCTCCCTGTGGGTCCCTCTCTTCCCGTGGCCTGCTCCTCTCTGAATCAGTGTCCAAATTTCCCTCTTCTGTCAGGACACCAGTGATTGGACTAGAGCCCGCTCTGATCCAGCGTAACTTCATCTTACAACACCATGTTACAAACACGGTCACCCTCACAGGTACCTGGGCAAGGACTTGAGCATATATTTTGGGGAACACATTCATCTCGTGACGGCTGGTTTCTTTCACACATTAAACCCCGCCCCCCCCCATAAAGGCTGCAGAGCCGATGTCAAACTGAGCAAACCTGCCGCTCTTCCCCTCTTCACTGCCCCAGCTGTGGTCCTGGGTGGGGAGCAGTGTGGCCGCCCTGAAGATCAGCTCCATGCGTAGCCTTCCCTTCCCAACCATGGTTTCTCTCAAGGAATCTCCACCTGCAGTGGGCGTTGAAACAGCTGCAGGGTCAAAAGTGAGGGAAGGGTGACTGTGGTGACAGACAGGCACACCCTGTCTCCTGGGCCTCAAGAGGCTTCCGGGGGTTTCAGAGTGCATGAGACCTTTTGTAGTCCTCTCCTAGGTGCTAGCTGTGACTCCCTGAACATTCTGGAATGAGTTAGGCTGGAGCCAAATGGCCCAGTACCGTTGCCACTAGCCACAGGGAGCTATTTAACTTTACGTTAATTACAATTAGCATTTCAGTTTCTCAGGTGCACTAGCCATGGTTCAGGTATTCAGTAGGCGCACATGGGTTCTGTACTGGATAATGCACATAGAGAATGTTTCCATTGGCACAGAAAGGACTCTTGGACAGCAGGAGAATAGAGCCTATGGCTGGGCCTGTAATCCCGGCACTTGGAAAGGTCGAGGCAGGAGGATCTCTTGAGGCCAGGAGTTTGAGACCAGCCTGGGCAACATAGTAAGACCTGTATCTTTACAAAAAATTTGAAAAAAAAAAAATTAGCTGGACATGGTAGTCCATGCTTGTAGTCCCAGCTACTTGGGAGGCTGAGGCAGGAGGATCACTTGAGCCTAGGAGTTTGAGGCTGCAGTAAGCCATGATCACACCACTGTACTTCGGCCTGGGCAACAGAGTGAGACCTTGTCTCTAAAAAAGAAAGAAGAATAAAGCCTAATCAAACAAAATCTTTTGGGAGTGGGGAGTGACACACAGCACTGAGAAGGGGCAATAAAAACGCAGGGGGTGGTGGCTGTCGAACTTTAGGTGAGTGCTTTCCGTGATTCCTCATCTGTAATCCAATCTCCTCCTCCTCATCCCTGCACTCACTTCCCCTTATGCTCCCAGTACCTTGATCTGTCTTCCCAAACCTTCCTGGGTCTCGGGTCAGGGTCTCAGGACAGGTTCCTGTTCTCCGAGCAGCAGACACCATCCATCCCGGGGCCAGCAGGTTGTGCCAGCCCACACAGCGAGTCCTTTGGGAATCCATCCGTGTCGCAGGGGATTTGAGCAAATGAAGGGAAACCGAGTTCCTACACCGAGGCCGGGAGCGGGGCTTCCTCTGTCATCCCTGTGTGAACCCGTTCTAGCCTGGGGGCTCCAAATGCATAGAGGGCTGGCAGGTAGCCCAAAGCAGAGAGGCAGGCTGGGTGGGGAGGGGGTGCCCAGATTTCAACTGTGGACTGTTCACTCTACTTTTTAAGAATGAGCAACTGAAAACACCGGGCAGGCCCACAGCAAACACACCTGAGGGATGGATTGGTCTGCAGGCCACCGGCTTGCAAACTTCTTTCTAAGCTGGTGGTTCTCAAGGGAGCACACCGCCCCCTAGGGGTTAAACTCTGTGACTGCATTGCCGGTGATGGTGAAGGATTTGACTTTGCTGGCTTCCTGGGGGCGGAGACTAAGAAGGACTTTGATGTCCTGCTCTGCACAGCAGAGTCCACGTGGCCCCCACATTGCATTGTATTCCACATAGCTTCTGAGTTTCCTACCACATCACTCATATGGGTAGATTATTTTATGTTTATTGTCATCTGAGTCTTGAACCTACGTCTATTTTATATGTAAATACTGGAGGGTTTTTGCATATTCCCAGGAATGTACGGAATAAGAAAATGGAGGCAATATTATACTTGAGTGCAAAACTTTCCCAAGAGTCATTCCTTATTTCTGAAAGTCCCATCCCCGATGACAGTGCTACGCCAAAGGATTTGAATGGCAAATGTCGCCCGCCCACCCAGCTGCCCTTGTAATTGTCACATTCCCAGTGAATCTGTGTCTAGGTGCAGGCGTCTGCCTGACTACTGTGTTGTGCCTTCTTGATGGATGTGCTGGGGGAATTTCATATTGAAATTTATCTTCATTATAAATTGCTTTCCTTTTATTTTCCCTGTAGATTGCAGTTAGAGCATTATATTGATTTTGTGGAAATGACATGCATAGGTAGCTTTTGTTACCTATAAATTTCCTTTCAAGAAAACAAGGGCGCTCTACAAAATATTTGTCATAGAAATGGGAGGTCAGTCTGATGGCGCTGAGAACAGCTCTTTGAAAGGTGCAAGTAGTGTCAGATTCCTCCAAGGCGATAATTAAATATCCATTGAGTGACAGGCCTTGTTCTGAGGGTCTGTTGTGGATTTTCTCCCCCTCCTCTAGTCCATCCCTCTGAACAAAACCACACTTTAAAAGGCACAAGACAGATATTTAAGACACAGCTTGTCCTCGTGGTGACTCAGCAGGCAATAAAACCTGTCACTAGAGATGGAGCCCTCCATACCCAGCTAATTGAGTTTCCAGGGAATGAATGGGCCTCATCCTCATTTGCAGGAGCTGCAAGACCCTTCTAGGGAGCGGATGGCTGGAGCCAGCATTTAATTAGGCACAGGCAGCCCGCCCTCCATGCCACCAACACCCAGAGCTCCGCCTGGCCCTGCTACAACCAGTCAGCAGGGCCTTGGTGTCCCCCGCAGCCCAGTCTTCCTCAATAGCCACAGCCTCACTAAAAACAGGCAGGCGGAAGACAGGAATGCATGGAGTGGCAAGACAGAAGCAGCTCTCGCCTCTCGCCCTGGCGATCTGCTTGTCCCTGTTTGTCCCCAGCAACTGGCCATTCCTTCTCCCCACCCACAGCCGGAGGACACTTTTAAAAATTGTAAACCTGACCACATCACTTCCGGCTGAAAACCTCCTACGGCTGCCCACTGCTTTTTGGATAAACTGGCATCTCCTCGCCAGGGCTGCCAAGACCTTGTTTGGCCTGGGTGTGCTCACCTCTCTGTCCACATCTCCTATCTGTCCCTTCCTTGGTGACAGCACTCAGGCTGCCTAGCCTCTTTGTTCCTCAGAACTTCCAAGGTCCATTCCTGCCCCAGGCCCTTTGTATGTGCAGTTACCTCTGTCTGGAGCACTGGCCCACAACCATTCTGGTACAAGCAACCGGTTTCGTGGAAGACAGTTTTTCCACGGACTGGGGGTGAGGGATGTTTTGGGATGATTCAAGCGCATTTCATTTAGTGTGCACTTTATTTCTAATATTATCACATTATAATATGTAATGAAATAATTATACATCTCACTATAATGTAGAATCAGTGGGAGCCCGAGCTTGTTTTCCTGCAACCAGATGGTCTCACCCGGGGGCAATGGGAGACAGTGACAGATCATCAGGCATTAGATTGTCATAAGGAGTGCACAACCTAGATCCCCCGCATGCACAGTTCACAACGGGGTTCACGCTCCTATGATAATCTGCTGCTGATCTGATAGGAGGCAGAGCTCAGGCAGTGATGCAAGTGATGGGAAGCGGCTGTAAATACAGATGAAGTTTGCTCACTCGCCTGCCACTCACCTCCTGCTATGCAGCCCAGTTCCTAACAGGCCACAGACCGCTACCTGTCTACCTGTCTGCAGCCCAGGGGTTGGGGATCCCTGGTCTAGAGCGTTGTTCACACACTGCGGAGAACTTCCTCCATCCATTCTCTCTTCCTTCCTGCCCTTCCTGTGTCGGTTAGTACTCCTCAACCCTCTCATTCTCGACCATGACACCCGGCTTTATGTTCTTCTTAGGACTTCTCGCCCCCTTGAAATTATCTTGCATGTTTGTGAACTTTTTTTTTTTTCTTTTTTTTGAGATGGACTGTCACTCTGCCACCCAGGCTGGAGTACAGTGGCATGATCTTGACTCACTGCAACCTCCAACTCCCAGGTTCAAGCAATTCCCCTGCCTCTGCTTCCCAAGTAGCTGGAACTACAGGCACCCACCACTACACTCAGCTAATTTTCGTTTTTTGTTTTGGTTTTTTTTTGAGACGGAGTCTTGCTCTGTCGCCCAGCCTGGAGTGCTGTGCCACGATCTTGGTTCACTGCAGCCTCCACCTCCCAGGTTCAAGCGATTCTCCTGCCTCAGCCTCCCAAGTAGCTGGCATTACAGTTGCATGCCACCACAACCGGCTAATTTTTTACATTTTTGGTAGAGATGGGGTTTCACCATGTTGGCCAGGCTGGTCTTGAACTCCTGACCTCAAGTGATCCACCTGCCTCAGCCTCCCAAAGTGCTGGGATTACAGGCATGAGCCACCGCACCCAGCCAATTTTTGTACTTTAGTAGAGACAGGGTTTCACCATATTGGCCAGGCTGGTCTCGAACTCCTGACCTCAAGTGATCTGCCTGCCTCGGCCTCCCAAAGTGCTGGGATTACAGGCGTGAGCCACTGCACCTGGCGAGTGAACTTGTTTTTTACATGTTTTGTTTGCTGCCCATCCAAAAATAGCACCAGGCAGGTATTGGGTACTCAGTAAAGATTTGAACAAGGCCAGGCACGGTGGCTCACACGTGTAATCCCAGCACTTCGGGAGGCTGTGGTGGGAGGATCACTTGAGCCCAGGAGTTCAAAACCAGCCTGGGCAACATAGAGAGACCCTGTCTCTACAAATAATTTTAAAAACTGGCCAGGCATAGTGGCACACACCTGTGGTCCCAGCTCTTTGAGAGGCTAAGATGGGAGGATCACTTAAGCCCAGGCCTTTAAGGCCGCAGGGAGCCATGATCGTGCCACTGCATTACAACCTGGGCAAGTGAAACCTCAACTCAAACGAATAAAAAAAATGAACAGATGGAGAACTCTTGGGCCTTAGGCTTGAAGTCAGCAAAAAAATAAAAACAAAATGGAATTTAGATTACTATCTCATTTATCCAGCATGAAGAAACATAATCGAAATTAGTTCAGGCAAACTTTGCCAGGTCCCAGTGCTCAAACGCTGTCAGAACCCTGTCTTTCTGCTTCTTGCGTTTTCTGTCATTGGGTTGGCTTTATTAGGAAGGTTCCCTCTTTGTGATGGCAAGATGGCCCCCACAGGTCCATCTCCCCAGTGTGGTGACCCCAGCTGAAAGAGAGGCCTCTTTCCAAGGGCTCCAGCAAAAGTTCCAGGGAAAGCTCTCATTGGCTCATCTAGGGTCTTATGTCTCTTTCACCCAATCACAGCAGCCAGGCAAAAGGAGATACCCTGATTGTCCAGGCCAACCTCATGGGCCTGGTCCAGGATTCAGAGCTAGAAAGAGCCTCATCAGAACATGTAAGGCTGAGAAAGGGGAAAGATTGGTTCCCTCCCTCTTTGGTGACTGAAGGCACAATTATGAAAAGACAGGAGAATGGATTCTGGGCAGAAAAATAAAACAGATATCCACTATAGAAACCCACATGCAGGCCGGGCGCAGTAGCTCACGCCTGTAATCCCAGCACTTTGGGAGGCTGAGGCGGGTGGATCAGTTGAGGTCAGGAGTTCGAGACCAGCCTGACCAACGTGGTGAAACCCCGTCTCTACTAAAAAAATACAAAATTAGCCAGGCGTGGTAGCGCATGCCTGTAGTCCCAGGTACTGGGGAGGTTGAGGTAGGAGAATCTCTTGAACCCGGGAGGCAGAGGTTGCAGTGAGCCAAGATAATGCCACTGCACTGCAGTCTGGGTAACGAGTGAAATTCTGTCTCATAAAAAAAAAAAAAAATAGCTTCTTCTTAAAGGGCAAGTGGGAGGAGAGCATTTCTCCCAGCCCCCAGCTCGCTCTGCTTCCAACATAAGATGCCTCTTTCGTGCGGAATCATGACCCCACCTTCCTCATTTGTTTTCACACAGCTTTCAGTTCAGCAAGATCCCATCTCTGGCATCCAGAACTTTTATAGCATTGATTTATCACTTCGTGCAGTGATTTGCATTTGGTATTTTTTTTTTCAAAAGCAGAAGAACTCGACTCAGGCTGTAACCTTGCAAAGCAGCACAAAGTTAAAAGGATCCAGTTACAGAATATCAGAAATACCCCAGCCCTGAGAGCTGTGGAGCTCTGGGTTTATTTAATGCATTTCTTGCCAGCCCTGCCTCCTCAGCCAATTTGTCTGCCAAAAAAACAAAGACTTCAGTCCTGTGGCATTTCACATCTAATATTTATGCTGTTCTAGAGTTTGCAAAAGGGCTTCCTTTTCATTTATCACTGTTCCTCAGGAACCTCCAGCTCCCCTGCTAGGTTAATGGGATTGTTCTCTGCTGCCCAGACCGGGAGCCCCAGGAAGCCAAATGACAGATCATGAAAGTGGCCCAGTGGAGGACTCTTCTACTGGTGTCAGGGGTAGGATCAAAACTCAGCCTGAACCAGCTCAGTTTCTATTTTGTGACCCTGGGGGCCAAATATGGATCTTGCAAAATGGCAGCTGGCAGCCTGAGTCTACACTTCAACCCCAAATTTCTGTCAGAGTTACAAGATGCTTTTTAAAATCTGGAAATTTAACCAAAAATACCCAGATTACAAACTTCTCTTTAAAAAAAAAAAAAAAAAGATTATGATAGGCCTGTAATCCCAGCACTTTGGGAGGCCAAGGTGGGTGGATCACTTGAGGCCAGGAGTTCAAGACCAGCCTGGCCAACATGGTGAAACCCTGTCTCTACTAAAAATACAAAAGAATTAGCCGGGCGTGGTGGTGTGCACCTGTACTCCCAACTACTCAGGAGGCTAAGGTGGGAGAATCACTTGAACCAGGAGGCAGTGGTTGCAGTGAGCCAAGATCATGTCACTGCACTCCAGCCTGGGTGGCAAAGTGAGACCCTGTCTCAAAAAAAATAAAATAAAATAAAGGCCAGGTGCAGTGGCTCAAGCCTGTAATTCCAGCACTTTCAGAGGCCAAAGCAGGTGAATCATGAGGTCAGGAGATCGAGACCATCCTGGCTAACACCGTGAAACCCCGTCTCTAATAAAAAATACAAGAACAAAATTAGCCGGTCGTGGTGGCAGGTGCCTGCAGTCCGAGCTACTCGGGAGGCTGAGGTGGGAGAATGGCGTGAACCTGGGAGGTGGAGCTTGCAGTGAGTGCAGTGGCACTCCATCCTGGGCAACAGAGCAAGACTCTGTCTCAAAAAATAAAACAAAAATTTGAAAAAGATAATAATGATAATGATGGTATTGCCATTACTGGTAACATTCCTGCATGGTGGAGATTAGTAAACTGTGGCCTACAGGAGTCTGCTGCCAGGTTTTACAAAGTTTTCTGGAACACAGCCACACCCATTAGTGTATGTACTGTCTGTAGCTGCTTTGGCTCTACGGTGGCAGAATTGAATCATTGCAATAGAGACCTTATGGCTGCATAGCTGAAAACACATAGTCTGGCCCTTTGCAGAAATAGTTTGCTGAGCCCTCCTAAGTGGCGCCAGCCCACTGGATTTGTGCCACAGATACCCCCAGGATTTATTAGAATATAGGTGGAGTTGAGGGTACTTCAGTCCCTAATTAACAGCGGATTAGAGATGATAGGTGCTTATTTCTCTCCCATTTGACAGTTTGGGCATAAACAGCCTAGAGATGATGTGGCAGGCATGGTGTTGGCTCCCAGGCTCCTGATGGGTGATGGTCAGATGGCGTTCCATCATCCTGGGCGATCGTCCTTATCTAAAGCAGCATCCCATCCTGTCTGCATCCAACCAGCAGGACACAGAAACTATAAGGGAAGCTCACTTCCCTTCCTGGAGGGGAGTTTCCAGAAGTCACACACCACCTGGTGTACCCCTCCAGTTCATAGAAAATACAGAGAATTACAAAGGAAGCCAGTTATATGAAAACATATTTATCAAAATATTTTATAAACTGTGATATGTATGCTTCTTTACACATAAAATGGCACGATGAAGCAGTTATTTAATGGACAATGGATAGGTCTGATAACTTCCATGATTTCGAAGTAGCGCTGGCTCAAATGATATTTTAAGAAGTCCATGTTGACTACAATGTGATATGAAAATATCCGTAATTCCCATTGGTGACAAAGTCCCAGGGACCATCATTCATAATTGAAGGGGATGCTAGTTATAGGTTAATGAAAATAAACAAATACATACTTTTGCCATTCAATTTCAGGAAATTATATCTTGGGACAACAGATTAAGAACCTCTTCCTCAGGTGATCTGATTCGATTCCATGGCATTAAGTGCCATCTAAATGCTTACAGCTCCTCAGTTTGTAATTCCGTAGCTTTTCTGTGAACCTGGTCTGTTTCCACCTGAATGTCTAACCTGAGTCTCGAGGTTAATGTGTCTGATTTCTTTATCAACCCCCATCCCCAACTCTGCCCCTCCCAGTGTCCCTTTCCTAAATAAGGGCAAATCTGTCCTCCTCATTGCTTGGACCAAAAACCTTGAGTTATCCTTGACTCTCTTTACTTCTTTCGCATGCCACATCAGCAAATCCCATTGGTTCCACCTTTAAAAATAGCCTGGAACCAACCACCCAAGCCCTTCGCCTGCCACGATTGTGGTCATCACAGTCTGTCTCCTGAATGACTGTGAGAGTCTCCAAACATTCCAGTTCCCTGCCTCGGACTGGCCTTAATTCTAGGACAGAAGCTCCAGGAAGATGCAGGTTTTTTGCTGCTTTAATTTTTTCTGTTTTGTTCACTGGTATCCCCAGTGCCTAGAGCCATCCCAGCCACACAGGAGTCCTCCTTTAATGTTTACTGATTGAATGAATGAATATATAACATCATGATCAATAATATTATGATAAAAACAGTAACCATTTAGAGGCAGTTAACATATTTTCTCATTGAATCTTTCCCAGCAACTTTGTCATGTAGGGATATTATTATTATTCCTATTTTGCAGTTGAGAAAACTGAGCTGGAAGGCAGAGGTAGCTGAACTTAAATGCAAGCTGTTGGCTCCAGAGCCCATGCCCAGCCCTCAGACCTGCCTGCCTCGGAGGATAAAAATCATTTCTGAGGCCAGGCCAGGTGGCTCACGCCTGTAATCCTAGCACTTTGGGAGGCCGAGGCAGGTGGATCACGAGGTCAGGAGATCAAGACCATCCTAACCAACAAGGTGAAATCCCATCTCTACTAAAAATACAAAAAATTAGCTGGGCATGGTGGTGGCGCATGCCTGTAATCCCAGCTACTCGGGAGGCTGAGGCAGGAGAATCGCTTGAACCTGGCAGGCGGAGGTTTGCAGTGAGCCGAGATCGCAGCACTGAACTCCAGCCTGGGTGACAGAGCGAGACTCCATCTCAAAAAAAAAAAAAAAAAATTATCTCTGAAACCCTACACTTCTGGAAAGACTGATCTGGATAACGACTATGGCTCCTACCTGTGTCCCCCACCTATGCTTCAAGAAAGGCAAAGTGCCCGGGTCCTGGGAATGACCTTCCTTCAAAAGCCCACGGCCGGATGAATTCTGGGAGGATGCAGCATGGGAAGATAACCTCAGTGTGGAAATTCCCTTTGCCTGGAATTCTGGCAGAAAGCACTTCGGAGATAGTCTGAGCCACATCGGAGAGGAGGAGCTCTCGGAGGCTGAGTCCCATTTGTGTGTGTCCCCACCTTTAGCCATGGGGCAGTCCCTCTGCTGTTCCCTCTTCCCTGCCTCTCTGCGTCCCCGTGGATGGGAAGAGCTCCAGTCTGTGGTCGCTGGAGTCCTGCTGAGAGGCTGAACAGGGTAGTCACCAAAAGGCAGGTGGAGACAGACAACCTGGGATTGAGCCTCATTTCAGCTCTGACACTTGGCAGTTGTGGGATGTTCGGTGAAAAGGGGACTTTGCCTCTCTGTGCCTCAGTTTCTCCATCTGTAAAATAGGGACCAAAAAAAGGATCTACCTCACTGGGATGTTGTAGGTCATCGTCTAAACCAGTGGCTCTCAAAGCGTGGTCCCAGGATCTCTAGACTCAAAACTATTTTCATGATAATACCAGGACACTGTTTACCTTTTTACCGTCATTTTCCTTCTGGTAGACAGTGGAGTTTTCTAGCAGGTACATAGCATATCTAGTTATCTAAAAAGGATTAAAATACTCTTCCCTTTTCCATCTGCATACCCATTTTATTTTATTTTTTAGAAATAGGGTCTCGCTTGTCACCCAGGCTGAAGTGCAGTGGCACAATCACAGCTCATTGCAGCCTCGAACTCCTGGGTCCAAGTGATCCTGCCACCTCAGCCTCTCGAGTAGCTGGGAATACAGGCACACACCACCACGACTGGCTATATTTATATATATTTATTTTTTAGTTTTTGTAGAGATGAGGTCTCACTTTGTCACGCAGGCTGGTCTCAAACTTTTTGCTTCAAGCAATCCTCCTGCCTTGGCCTCCCGAAGTGCTGGGATTACAGACGTGAGCCACTGTCCCTGGCCTGCATGTCTGTGTGAGGCTGGATTTTTCATGTTAAACAACCAAAACAATATATCTCAGCAGATTGAATGCCAAAACAGATTTAAGAATCCTGCTGCCTTCCAGTAAACAAGACATTGAAGAGATTGGCAAAAATGTAAAACAATGCAACTCTTCTCATTAATTGTATTTTGTTTGGGAAAAATATAGTTATTTATCTTTTTTTCTCCCCAAGACAGAGTCTTGCTCTGTCACTCAGGCTGGAGTGCAGTGGTGCAATCTCAGCTTACTGCAACCTCCACCTCCTGGGTTCAAGCAGTTCTCCTGCCTCAGCCTCCCAAGTAGCTGGGATTACAGGCGCCCGCCACCACACCCGGCTAATTTTTGTATTTTTAGTAGAGACAGGGTTTCACCACATTGGCCAGGCTGGTCCTGAACTCCTGACCACATAAGTCATCACGCCCAGCCTCTATTTATCATTTTTTAAATGTATGCTAACAAGTAGTGAGTTTATTATTTAAATGAGTGAACAAATATGTTTTAAATTTCTCAGTTTTCATCTCTAATATAATAACTATCACTAGATATAACCAACATACACAGGACTCTGGGTTCCTTAATAAATTTTGACCATATTGAAAAGCACTGCTGTTGCCTTACACTGACCTTGAGTGCTTTTTTGGTTTTATAAAGCACATCCACAAATGGAAGTCATGTCCCGTGTGGGCCAAATAGATCCAAGTTCAGCCAGCCAAACACCATACAAGCAAATAGGAAGACAAGAATTTAACAATTCTACCCACTCCTCCACTCACAGAGGGTGTGCACCGGATGATAAAAAAACAAATCTACGTTCTCAGCCAGGCGCAGTGGCTCACGCCTGTAATCCCAGCACTTTGGGAGGCCAAGGCGGGTGGATCACTTGAGGTCAGCTCAAGACCAGCCTGGCCAACATGGTGAAACCCTGTCTCTACTAACAATACAAAAATTAGCCAGGCATGGTGGCGAACACCTGTAATCCCAGCCAGTCGGGAGGCTGAGGCAAGAGAATCACTGGAACCCGGGAGGCAGAGGTTGCAGTGAGCCGAGATCGTGCCATTGCGCCCCAGCCTGGGTGACAGTGTGGGACTCCATCTCAAAAAAAAAAAAAAAAATCGACATTCCCTCACTCAGCTGTGTCTCCCACAGGCCTCCCATTACGAGGTGTTCGTTGGTTCAGTTGTTTACCCATTTATTCCACAAACGTTCATCGAGGTCTCGTCACTGACCAAGCTCTGTTCTAGATGTGAGGACACAGGGGACAAGGGACTCAGAAAGCCGCTGCCCTCATGGGGCTGGTACTCTGGTGGGAGAAGCACGTGATAAAAACTAGAAGACAGATAAATATGACCAGTGAATAAATATGTGGAGAAGCAATGTCGGGGGAAAGGGGAGAGCCTGGGCGGTGTGGGGAGATGCCATTTGAATAGGAGGGTTAGGATTGAGCCCCAGTAAGTTAACATTTGAGGCTGGACATGGTGACTCACACCTGTAATCCCAGAACTGAGAGAGGCCAAGGTGGGCAGATCGCTTGAGCCCAGGCATTGAGACCAGCCTGGGCAACATAATGAAACCCTGTCTCTACAAAAAAAAAAAAAAAAAAATACAAAAGTTATCTGGGCATGGTGGCTTGTGCCTGTGGTCCCAGCTACTTGGAAGGCTGAGGTGGGAGGATAGCTTGAGCCTGGGGAGGTTGAGGGTACAGTGAGCCACGACCGCACCACTGCACTCCAGCCTGGGTGACAGAGTGCGACCCTGTATTGGAAAAAAATTAAAAGCTTTGAGCAAATAGCTGGGAAAGGTGAGGAAGCAGCCCATGCAGGTATCTGAGGAAGGTGATTTCTTTCAGGTAACAGCAAGGGCAAAGGCCCTGGGGCAGGTATGAGCTTTGGGGTTGGGGTGCTGGTAGGATAGAGGGAGACCCCAGGACAGGAGGCTGGGGGGAAAGTGGGGGCAGATGCAGTCACGGAGCAGGACAGGAGACAGTTATAGGACTTTGTAGGGCATGGCAAGGACTTTGGATTTTAGTTGAGGTGGATGTGGAGCCACTGAAGGGCTTTGCACAGAGTGGGGGGCTTGATCAAATTTGTGATTTAATGGGATCCTTCTGGCTGCTGTGGAAGATGGGCTGAAGGTGGAGGCAGGAGGACCAGGGACGAGGTTCCAGCAAGGTCCAGGCAGAGGCAGTGGTGGCTTGGACCAAGATGGTGACAGGCGGATGATGGGAAGTGGTCAGACCTGGATGTGTCCTGAGGGTGAAGCTGCTGGGACATATGTGAGGGAGGACAGAGGAGCTGAAGTCCCCTCCATGGTGCGTAGCCTTGACCCACTGGCATTGACGGATGTATGGATCACAGGGCGAAAATCAAGAGGCCGGTGTGAAGTGCTGATTTGACACCAAATGAAGTGATTTGAAGGAAATTACTAAGTATGCAGCGGTCCAAATGATACATAAAAACGGCCAAACGTGTGTGAGAGGCACGCGGACAACTGGAATTGAGATGATGCCACGAAGGGCAAAGACCCCGTTTTGTTTTCGCAGACTCCGTGCCTGCGAAATGGCGCGGGTCTGTTTTGGGAAGGACGGACTTTCCACAGGCTTCTGCTTCATCTTTCGCCGACCTCTCTGAATTGCTTTGGCAAACACTGTTTATTGTCATTGGCTCGGCTCCGCGCTCCAGCCCATCTCTGCTGATAGATGTGTGTCATGCTCAGCCGACTTCACTGTGCGGCATGAACACTCCTCCCCAAGCTCATTACTGGAGTCTCGGAGGGGCCTTGCCATTTTCCAAAACGGTGTCACATCTGGTTTCTAACAACCATTTTTATTTCTCCAGAGGTCCAAGTTTTCATCCCCCTCCCTGAAAACGGAAAGCAGACTGTATTTTGGGAACTCACAGTTCTTTTTTGTTTCTGTTTTTTTGTTTTTTATTATTTTTTTTTTTTCAGAGACAGAATCTCACTCCGTTGCCCAGGCTGGAGTGCAGTGGCACAATCATGGCTCACTGCAGACCTAAACTCCTGGGCTCAAGTGATCCTCCTACTTTGGCCTCCCAAAGTGCTTGGATTACAGGCATGAGCCACCACGCCTGGCCCTTTTTCAGAGTTCTTTATGCACAATCTCATTTGTTGCTGCCCCCATTTTTATAGAAGAATTCACTGAGGCTCAGACAGGAGCACTCGCTTGCCCAAGGAGTCAGAGTCCTCTGACTCTGCAAACCAAGCTCTTTAAAGCCACACTGCAACCCTGTCGTTAATGGTACATTTGGACAACTTTTTAAACTGTGCACTTTACACAGAGTTTCACAACCTCGGCACTGGTGACACTTTGGGGCTGGATCATTCTTTACGGGGGGAGGAGGGCCATCCCATGCACTGGAAGATGGTCAGCAGCATCCCTGGCCTCTGCCCGATAGATGCCTGTAGCACATTCCCCCACCCCGCCAGGTCATAGCAGTGAAAAATGTCTCCACACACTGCCCAGTGTCCCCTGCAGGGCAAAATCACCCCTGGTTCAGTGTATTCTGCACACAGATGTGCTTCAGGTTGGCAGCCCTGCCTGCTCCGTTGACCCATTTTTTTCAGCATGTAGCACTGTGCTGCAGACACTATAATAGAAATCCCTTCCTTTCTTTTTCTCCCCCCACCCCTGCCCCCCAGACAGGGTCTGGCTCTGTTACCCAGGCTGGAGTGCAGTGGCAGGATCTTGGTCCACTGCAGCCTCCGCCTCCACTTCCTGGGCTCAAGCGATTCTCCCACCCCAGCCTCCCAAGTAGCTGGAACGACAGGCGTGCAGCACCACACCTGGCTAATTTTTTGGTTTTTTGGTAGAGACAGGGCTTCTCCGTGTTGCCCAGGCTGGCCTCAAACTCCTGAGCTCAAGCAATCTGCCCATCTTGGCCTCCCAAAGTGCTGGGATTACAGGCGTGAGCCACCACACCAGGCCTAGAATCCCTTTCAGTAAGACATGCAGTTGCCACCTCTCCTGCACTCCTGGGCGAGGGGTGTGACGCTTAACATTAGAGGGCGCTGCCCCACCTTGCACAGCTGTGTACCTCAATCAGGTGCACCTACCCAGCCCTCCTGTCGGCCACTGCTCACCGTGTGCACACTCTGGGCCAGGTACTGCGCTGGGGCTACAGTGCAGCACGGCTCCTGCCTTACGGACCCCACACCCTAGTTGGGGAAATGAGGATAAACAAGAAAACAAATGCATCTATAGGATAATTTCAGAGAGTGCAGAGTGCTGTAGAGGAAATAAACAGCCCGGTGACTATAGAGGGATGGGTGACCAGGGACAACTTCTCATCTGACCTGAGGTGCCACGGTGAGGAGGAGGCAGGCGTCCCAGGCAGAAGGAAGAGCAGGTGCCAATGCTCGGTGGGGTAGAGAGCTTGGCTCCTAGGGAGCGTGAGACCTAGAGAAGTTGAAACAGAGTGAGCTCAGCAGTGCGTCCCTGAAGGGAGACGGCCTGATGGCTCTTGGACTCAGAAGGGCCCTCTGGCCATTTGGGGAAGTCTGGGCTCTGGGAAGGCTGCGGAGGCAGAAGTCCAGTTGGAAGTTGGCTGTGAGAAGGAAACAGGTGAAGAAGCAAGATGCATTTCTGTCTTTTTTGGGATTTTATATCCTGTGTATATGTGTATGTTGTGTATTCGTGTATGTGTGTATATGTGCTTTTACTGTATTTTCCTGCATCGTGTATATGTACATATGTACCTGTATATTCATGCATTGTGTATATGTGAATGTTGTATATCTATGCATGTGCGTATGTGTGCCATATATTAATGCATATGTGTATTTTTATATGTCATGTATTCACTCGTGTGTATATGTGTGTTGTATATTCATGTATGTATATGTAGTGTATTTGTGCTTGTGTATATGTATTCATGCATGTGTGTATATGTATGTGTTGTATATTTATGCAGGTGCGTAGATGTGTTTGTGTGCTGGTTCCAAAATATGAGGACAAATTGCCAAATCAAAGTGAATAAATATTTAATGAAATGGTGTTGCATGATTCAGCGAGTCAGCTCTGGAACATTTGGACTCTTAGAGAGCTGTTTGTCGATTACCTTTAATGTAGTGTGTGGGTGGAAATGGTGTGGGATGAACATGTACCGAAAGTTGCTGATGTCCTTAAAGAAGCCCTGTTGGTATTTCCAGCCAGATGGCCCGTCGTGGGGGAGAGAAAGTCCTCCGAAAGCAGCGGGTGCTTTCTGTCCTGCTGGCTGCCTCTTGGGAGGCCCCTAGGACAGATCAGGTCCTGTTTCACCCTTCGCATGCCTGTCAGTTCATCCACGTGCATAGCAGTGGGTGGGGGTGCACTGTCGTTTCATTGCCAACAACCACAGGGGACAAAGTCCTTTGTGGTCCCACAGCTAGGAGGTGGCAGATCCAGGATTCAAACCCAGACAGTCTGACTGCAGAGACGCTTTGGGCACTCTGCCACATTACCACCTGTGTTACTGGGAAAAGGGAGAACTGATGCTGGGAGGAACAGCGTGTTCCTACGCCGGCCCGGCATGGCGGGGACATGTCTGCAGCAGGGAGAGGTGGCCGAGGTTCCCAGTGGTTTCTGGTTGCAGGAGCCCTCTGTCTCCCCCATTGTCCGTGGCTTGCTTAGTATCCCCAGTGATGCCGTGTGTGCCCCTGTGCCAGGTTTTTCACCAGCTAATCTCAGTCCCTGGTCGCCACGAGACACAGCTTTCACAGACCACAAATGCAATTATTACAAGGCAATTTCAGTTAGATTTGGGGCTGGGAGAGAAAACAGAAGGGTCTCCTCCTCCCATCAGGCTCCGAATCGTTCCCCAGGAGCACTTAACTCAGACAAATGGGGAAGCAGCCGCGTGGAGCCTCCACCGTAGAGCTGCCTGCAGGGGAAGTGGCCGACCTGCTGGGCCACGAAGCAGGGTGCAGGAAGGATATGGGGAGCTAGTGATCCTCTCCAAGGGGGCAGGGGGACTCCATTAAACCAGATGTTAACAGCAAGAAGTTGGCTATAACAGGGGACGGGCCCATTGGTGGATAATGAAAATATAACCCTTAGTAGGCACTTGCTATGTGCCAGTTCCAAGCAATGTACAGTCGTGTGTCACGTAACAATGGGGATACATGCTGAGAAACGTGTCGTTAGGTGATTCTGTCATTGTGCGAACATCATGGAGTGCATTACACGCCTGGATGGCATAGCCTACTACACACCTAGGCTCTGTGGCGTGACCTATTACTCCTAGGCTACAAACCCCCCTACAGCATGTGACCATACTGAATCCTGTAGGCGGTGGTAACACAATGGGAAGTATTTGTGTATCTAAACATACGTGAACATGTTAATAGAGTACAGTAAAAATATGGTGGGCATGGTGGCTCATGCGTGTATTCCCAGCACCTTGGGAGGCCAAGGCGGGAGGATCACTTGAGCCCAGGAGTTCCAGACCAGCGTGAGCAACATAGTGACACCCCATCTCTACTAAAAATTAAAACATTAGGCTGGGCACGGTGGCTCACGCCTGTAATTCTGGCACTTTGGGAGGCTGAGGCGGGCAGATCACCTCAGGTCAGGAGTTCAAGGCCAGCCTGGCCAACATGGTGAAACCTGGTCTCTACTAAAAATTAAAAAATTAGCTGGGCGTGGTGTTGGACACCTGTAGTCCCAGCTACTCGAGAGGCTGAGGCGGGAGAATCGCTTGAACTCAGGAGGCAGAGGTTGCAGTGAGCTGAGATCATGCCACTGCACTCCAGCCTGGGAGACAGAGTGAGACTCCATCTCAAAAAAAAAAAAAAAAAGTGGTTTCAGGTAAGAGTGGATCCCCAGGGCCTCAAACCAGCATCTCTCTATCTCTCTATCTCTTGTATCTCTCTATCTCTTCTGTCTCTCTGTCTCTATCTTTCCCACCTCCGCATTTTTCCATATTGCTTTACACACACACACACAGACTCTTCCCTCTTGGTGGCAAGATGGCTGCCAGCAGCTTCAGTTATGTATCCCACCAGTTCCAAGCCTTGAGGAAGAAGACCTTCTCTTTTCTAGTAGCTCCCTAAAAATCCCAGGGCTGACTCGCTGCAGTTGGCCCAGCTTGGGTCACATGCCTTTGCCTCAACTAACCAGTTTGTGCATGATCACCAGGGGAATGCGGTCCTCATGGGAGTCAAGGATTTGCACACATTCCTGGAGTCAACAGTCAAGGTCAGCCCGTGCAACTTAAATAAGGAAGTGTTGGTGCCCAAAGGATGACAGAGCCAGGCAGGTGAAGCTTCCACCTAGTGCTGGGCACACAGGAGGCAGTAAGTGCTCTGGCCTTTCAGCAGATGCCAGCCCTGCTGCCCAGGGGCAGTCGCCAGCCAGCTCATTGTCAATGGCCTTTCCTGGCCTGCCATTAATTCCTCTTAATCTGCCTGCCAAATTTTCCCACCCCCACGCCAGCCCCCAGCTTGCCCCTCCTCTTGTGCTGTCCTTGCCTCGAAAGCTCAGCGAATCCAAGCTTCCCAGGCACCAGCCACCTGCCACAATTTGGGCTGGGCTTTTAATCTTGGTTTTAATTCCAGCTCATTCTCTTGGCTGTATCTCCCAGCCCAGGAGCCCCGGGGCCCATGCTAATTTGCTTCTCCCACCTCCACTGGTGCCGGAATAACCATTTTTAAAAGTGCCTTGGGGAAATATAATCAAATGAGAGCAAAATCTAATTTGGCACTAAAAGCCTCTGACTGAAGCCCTGTTTTCTAGGGCCTGGTGGAGACTGAATAATACACCCTTTTTGGGTTTTTAAGGGTTGGGGGTTGGAGAAAGGAAAGAGACGTGAAAGGGGAGATGCTAGCAGAGGAAACAGCTTGCATTAAGCTGACATCCGTGGCACTGAAAAGAATGGGCAGGAGGAGGACCCCCACCCACTCCCTATGAAGAAATTCATATCCCAGCAGCCAAGCCAAGAAGCTAAACTCCAGCATTCATCAGAAAGACCTTGGCCCAAGTCTTCAAGAACCAGTAGGTTCACTGGCTGGAGATTTGGAAGATGTGGGAGTGTAGCGGGAAACCCAGTTCCCCAGTGGGGAGTTCAGTGAAGCCTTTTTCTCTGACTTTCAGTTCACTTTTCTGCAAACTGAGGGGGTGAAAATCTGTGCTTCTTAAATGACTTGTGATCTGGGCTCCTTTCAGAATGTGTCAAAAGCTGTGGACTTGTTTCCAGGAAAATGCACAAAAGGCAAAATCTGGCATGCAATGTTCCAGGAGCGGTACGAACCCTGCCACTCCTCATGACAGTCTCCAGGACCCTATGGGATCTGTCCCCTCTTCCCCGTGATGTCATTTCCTCCCTCCCTCACTGTCCCCCTTGGGTTCTGCGATGCCCCCACGTTTGTACTGGCTTCAGGGACTTTGTACCTGCCAATTCCCTCTGCCTGGAACAGTTTTCCTCCTATCCCCTCTGACTCTTGCTCTTCAGCCCAGCGAGGCCTCTCACAGCACTGCGTGGGGCCACTCTGTCCTATCATTCTCCTTTATTTTCTTCATCGCATTTGTCATCATTCCCCACTAGAACATCAACTGCACGAGGGCAGAAGGGATCCTGGTGGTCTTGTTCACTCCTGTGATTCCAGTGCCTGGGAAGCTCCCTGCATACCGTAGGTGTTTAATCAACACTTGCCGAATGGATACAGGCATGCATACCTTCCCTAGGGCAGTGGGACCCCAAATTCAGCAATTTCGAGTGCCACCATCATGAGGTGTACCATGCCCAGGTACACTGATTCTGTTAACATTTTACCCTAGATTGTTTCACTCTGGACTTCAGTTGTTTCAAAAGGAATCTTTTACATCACTGACAGTATTGTTTGCCACGAGTAGAAAGTGTCGGGGCTCTGTAGGGGTGTAACAAAAACGCAGGTAATAAGAGCGAGATCTGGTATAAAGAAAGTGATTTTTTATTCCAAAGCTAGCTTAGGGGAAGAAGTACAGTCTTCCTGCCTTAAGGGTACTGCTTTGCTTTTAGGAGCAGAAAGGAGTTGCTTTTTAAAAGGGGGCCTGGCATGAATGGCACACAGGGGAGGAATTGAGTGCTGGGGGGGTCCGCATATCTCACTCGAGTACTTCATCTACCGGGAAGTCAGCTGGCAGCCACTGGTGCCTTTGTGGGTGGAACTAGGTTGTAAGGGTGGCCAGAAGCTCTCCACCTGGGAGGGAGTTTCGCAGCAGGCATACTTTGGGTTGTAGTGGACCATTGTCTCTCGAGGCAACCTCCCAGTGAGTGAGAGTTCCGCTCCAGAGCCTCTAAGCACGTGATTAGATGAACTTGCCCTGAAGAGAGTGTCTGGTGTAGGGGAGATAAAAGGTTATAATTGCATTTCTAAAGGGCGAAGTGGGGCACGGGGAAAATGGAGAAAAAAGAAGAATAAAAAATAATAAAACTGCCGGACAGGGTGGCTCACACCTGTAATCCCAGCACTTTGGGAGGCTGAGATGGGTGGATCACCTGAGGTCAGGAGTTAAAGACCACCTTGGCCAACATGGTGAAACCCTATCTCTACTAAAAATACAAAAATTAGCCAGGTGTGGTGGCCATGCCTGTAATCCCAGCTACTCAGGAGGCTGAGGCACAAGAATTACTTGAACCTGGGAGGCAGAGGTTGCAGTGAGCTGAGATTACACCACTGCCCTCCAGACTGGGTGACAAGAGCAAGACTCCATCTCAAAAAATAATAATAATAATAATAAAACTCATCTTTTTCTTAGAAAAAATGGGAATACCGATTTATGTGGGGGCTTATTAAATTTTACCCTCTTCCTTGTTGAGGTCCTGAGCCGATTAAGAAATCAGACCCAAGAGTCAGCTGATGAAAGTCAACACTGCACTCTGATGAATCTGGTGAAGGCTGGGTTTGAGGGCATGGCTTCCTTCTGAGAGCATTTGGGCTTCCTGACTAAACTCCAGAGTGTGACAGACTTCCCACTGATGCAGGTCCACACCTCTCCTCCCCGCGCAGACAGGACAAGCCTCCTGAAAACTAGCCCTCCCCGGGGGCAGCTCAGTCCCCAGAGGAAAAGCAAGGGAAGGGATTGGGCTATGCATGCCCACTTCGGCCCTTCAAATCCACTAGGCACATGCTAGGGGTCAGCAAACCACAGCCAATGGACCTAACCAGGCCCTCCATTTGTTTTAGTAAATAAAGTTTTATTGGAACATACCCGCCCACTTGTTTATGTCTTGTCTGTGACTTCTTTTTTTTCTTTCTAACAATAGGGTTTAGCAGTTGTCACAGAGACCCTTTGACCCTCTGGCCCACAAAGCCTAAAATACTGACTATCTGGCTTTTACAGGAAAGGTTTGGTGACCTCTGCTGTATATTGTCCCCCTCGGAGGAGGTACGGGAGAGCATGGAGAGAGGCCAGGAGTGTTACAGAAGTGGAGCCCCCCCGCATGGAGGGCAGCGTTAGAGGTGGGGGTCAAGGTCACAAGGTTTAGGAAATCTTGTTTCCTGAACTACACTTGGTCTCCAGGGGCCTTCCTGGCTCTCACAATATGGCTCCAAAGACCTGAGGGGTGAGATGCTGGAGGGTTGGACCATAGGCAGGTTTATTTAAATAAGATAGGGTTTCTCAGCGACGTATGGTGGCTCACATCTGTAGTCCCAGAACTTTGGGAGGCCGAGGCAGGTGGATCACTTGAGGTCAGGAGTTCGAGACCAGCCTGGCCAACATGATGAAACCTCATCTCTACTAAAAATACAAAAATTAGCCGGGCATCATGGTGCACGCTTGTAGTCCCAGCTACTCGGGATGCTGAGGCAGGAGAATCCCTTGGACCCAGGAGGCAAAGGTTGCTGTGAGGCGACATCACGCCATTGCACTCCAGCCTGGAAAACAGCGAGACCCTCTCTCAAAAAAAAAAAAAAGAAAAGAAAAGAAAAGGTTTCTTGGATTAGGCGCTGCTGACATTTTGTCCTGGCTCAGTCTTTGTAGCGTGGGGGCTGTCACGTGCGTCGGCGAATATTGAGCAGCATCCTTGGCCTCCACCCACCAGATATCAACAGCACACCAAGTTGTGATGAAACCAAAAATGTCTCCAGACATTGCCAAGTGTCTCCTGGGGACAGAAATTACCCCCTTTCTGGCCAAGAGCCACTGCTTTGAGGAGCTGGATGCATTGAGGCATCTCCAACATTCCAGGTCCCAGAGAAAGAGAAGTGCAGGCCTTTAGCTTGCCCGGGAATCTCATGCTGCCTCCACTCCATCAGTTACTCCCTGACACCTAGCCAGGGACGCCCAGTCGCTGTTTAATTAGGCACCCACCACCTAATTACATTTCACTCTGTGAAAACTGGATATGACTCAGACTCAGAGACTGCAGCCGGTTCCCCGCCTCCTCCTCTGCAGAACGCCAGGTTCTTCCCGTTTATTTTTGCTCCATCCTCCCACACAAAGGGAGGTTCCATCCCGGACCTTACCCCTGAGGCTGCTGGGGGATCCTCCCTTCCTATTTTCACCTCCCCTGTGTACCCAGACCCTTACAGGAGGTGTTTCATCAGCTCCTCCCTCTGGAGCGGTCACCTCCCGGCCCTGCATGATGGGCAAGTCATTTAATGAAGTGCTCCCCTTTGCCTTGTATTTTGGGGGTTTCAGAATCCAGCCGCTTGGGTTCCTAAGGGGTTTTCCCACTCCTGGAAAGTGTCAGCCATCTGCCAGGTCACCAGGAAAACCGCTGCAGAGGGAGCCAGCTCCATCACAGCTCCCCCAGGGCCAGGTGGCTCTGTGCTTTCTCCAAGGACACTGGTGGATAGGTTGTCCTCTCCTCTAGGGGCACCAGAGCCCCATCCCACCCACTCTCCTCCTTCCTCTGGGGGTTCACCTCCCTGGCCTTTCTCTCTTCATCCTGGCTTCTCGGCCAAGCACTCACGTGCACAAGGCCCAGCGCTGAGCTGTCTGTTAGCAAGATCTCCTTACATCCCTACAACCTCCTGGAACGCTCATATTCTGTGCTCTCAGCAATACTCGTCAGAAATTTCAGAACCGCAGTGTCCTCATCTAGAAAGAGACGACTAGAATAGGATTGCTGTCTCTAGACTCAAATTTTCCCATTTCTTAAATATGGCTTTATAGATTATAATTATTAAAAATTATACATGCAAGCCAGACACGGTGGCTCTCGCCTGTCATCTCAGCACCTTGGGAGGCTGAGGCAGGCAGATCGCTTGAGCTCAGGAGTTCAAGAACAGCCTGTGCAGCATGGCGAGACCCCTTCTCTACAAAAACTACAAAAATAAGCCAGGCATGGTGGCATGCGCCTGTAGTCCCAGCTACTCGGGAGGATGAGGTGGGAGGATCACTTGAGCCTGGGAGGTTGAGGCTGCAGTGAGCCGTGATGGTGCCACTACACTCCAGCCTGGGTGGCAGAGTGTGACGTGTCTCAAAGAAAAAAAAAATGTACATGCAAAATAAAAACAGAAGAGGATCATGAAGAGGTCTTGTCTGTCTCCTTATCACAGAGCTTTTAGGCACATCCCCTTCCTGATGAATTAGGGTGATTTTCTTTAAGCTTTGTTGTTGATGTAAAGCGTGCATGTGGAAAAGTGCATGGCTCCCAAATCTCCAGGCCAATGAGGTGTCACCAACTGAACCACCTGCTCCAGCAAGAAATAGAACAAGATCATCACCCGAGAAACTCCCCTTGCTGCTCCCAGCCACCCTCCCCCAGTCTCCAGGATACCCACTGTTTTTATTCTAACATCATAGATTAGTTTGGCCTGTTCTCAAATTTCACATAGATGACGTCATATGGCATGTATTCTTTTGTATCTGGTTTATCTCTCTTAACATTCTTAGGTTGTTGAGATGCATCCCTGTTCTTGAATGTAGCACTAGGTCTTTCGTTCAAGTTTCAATGTAGCCTTCCGTTCTGTAAATATGCAACAATTTCTTTACCCATCCTTTTGTTGATAAACATTTCATTTGTTTCTACCTATTTACTATTACAAATGTGCTGTCATGTCTTGTACCTGAGTTTAGGTGAGTGTATGAATACTTTTCTGTTGGGTAAATACCCAAGATTTAAATTGTTGGGTAGAAGTTACCAATGCATTCAAATTTAGCAGACACAGCCAAAGAGTTCCCCACCGTGGTTGGACCGGTTGGGGCAGCCACTCAGTGTGTGAGGGCTCAAGTTGTCCCACATCCCCACCCATACTAGGTGTTGCCCATTTCTTTAATGTTAGCCATTCTGGTTGCTGTATAGCAGACAGAATCCAAGGGATCCACAAACTTCAATGGGAAAAAAAGTGACACTCTGGTTTTCACTAACCTACAGCTGAGACTTAGCATTTGCTTCCAATATGAGCATAAGCCATAAACCACAGTATGTTGGCAGAATCTGTAGCTTTGTCATCTGTAGAAATCACCAGTATTTAATATCCCATTGCAGTTTTTGCAGATACTGCAAAATATAATATTTTCACTCATAACTATTCTGAAATGATCGCTCTCTACAAGGTTTTAAAAGACACAGTAGGCCAGGTATGGTGGCTCACGCCTGTAATCCCAACACTTTGGTCAGGAGTTCAAGACCAGCCCGGCCAACATGGTGAAACCCTGTCTCTACTAAAAATACAAAAAATTAGCCAGGCATGGTGGCAGACGCCTGTAATCCCAGCTGAGGATTACTCGGGAGGCTGAGGCAGGAGAATTGCTTGAAACCTGGGAGGCAGAGGTTGCAATGAGCCAAGATCGTACCATTGCACTCCAGCCTGGGTAACAGAGCAAGACTCCATCTCAAAAATAAAAAATAAAAGACACACTGTATCGCAAATGTGTTTAGTATTTTGATAACCGTATTTCCAAACAATTGATTTTCTCTGTAATCCTATATCTTGTATTCAATGCACGTAATAACATTGGAGAAGGGATCCATTGCTCTGTGTGCCAGAGGGCTCCATGGCAGAGCAGGTGTGCATGCTCAGGCCTCGGACACACAATAGTTTAATAAACATCGTCAGGCACTTTCTCACGTGGCCTCCTGATCCATCTCCCTCCGCAGCTTTCTTCGGGAAGTATCTTAATGAATACAACGGCTCCTACGTGCCACCCGGCTGGAAGGAGTGGGTCGGACTCCTTAAAAACTCCCGCTTTTATAACTACACGCTGTGTCGGAACGGGGTGAAAGAGAAGCACGGCTCCGACTACTCCAAGGTAAGCTGCAACCTTTCCAGCCTGGGAGTGGCTGTGTGGCCCAGCAGTTAGAGGCCCAACTCAGGAGCCAGACTACTTGGGTTCAGATTGTGACTCAGGCACTTAAAAGTGTGACCTTGAGCATTTTACATACACCTCCTCCTCAGTTTTTCATCTCTCAGCCAGGGACAGTGGCTCACGCCTGTAATCCCAGCACTTTGGGAGGCTAAGGCAGGTGAATCACTTGAGTCCAGGAGTTCAAGACCAGCCTGGGCAACATGACGAGACCCTGTCTGTACGAAAAAAATACAAAACTTAGCCGGGTGTGGTGGCACATGCCTGTGGACCCAGCTACTAGAGAGGCTGAAATGGGAGGATTGCTTAAGCCCGGGAGTTTGAGGCTGCAGTGAGCCAGGATCTTCCCACTGCTCTTCGGCCTAGGTGACGGAGCAAGACTCTGTCTTTAAAAAAGAAAAGAAAAATGTATTCATTTCTCAAAAAATAGTGTCTGTTTCCAAGAGTTTGGTTTTTTAACATTTTGCCGAGACAGAATATTCTTACAGAAAGTACATACACAGAGTGTACCATTCAAAGGCTTGCCGCACACTGAACGGACATGTGTAATGAGCACCCGGGTAGGCCAAGAAGAGAATGTCACCACCGCCCGCAGCAGTCCCCTCACGGAATTCCCCCGACTCGACACCCCTCCCGCGAGGATAACGATGATTCAGACTCTTAGCGTTACAGATTCACTCTGCATCTGGCTTCTCCTGCTTAGTATTATGTTGAGTTCATTCTTGCTGCCCAGCATTCCATCATGCGCTTATACCACAATTTGTTTATTTCTTCTACTTTTATTGGGCATTTAGGTATTTCCAGTTTGGGGTTATTACAAATAGCGCTGCTGAGCACTGTCTAGAACCTAGCTCCTGGTGAGCATAGAGGCTCATTTC
This sequence comes from Homo sapiens, assembly GCF_000001405.40. NCBI lineage: Eukaryota > Metazoa > Chordata > Mammalia > Primates > Hominidae > Homo > Homo sapiens. The sequence goes on along the minus strand of NC_000020.11, from coordinate 47,701,586 downwards.
TGTTATACCCGTTCCTCACAGCAGCGTTGCTGAGCACAGGGCGTGTGCATGTTCGGAGTGAGTGGGTGCTGCCTGAGCACCTGCAGCAGTGGTTGATCCTCAGTCGTAGTTTTTTCTGTTTTTAACATAAGATGAATTGACATGAGGTAACATGCACAGATCTTAAGTGGACCGCTGGATGAATTTTCACATACGTGTGCATCTGTTTCACCGCGCATCTCTTCCACATATGCGTGCATCCATTTCACCGCGGCTCCGATCAAGACATAGAGCACTTCCAGAAGACTCCCTGAGACCCCTCTCCAGTCATGACCCCCCACCCTGGGGATGACGTCTACTCTGACTTCTGACAGCGTGGATTATTTTTGCCTATTCTAGAACTTCACCTAAATGGAATCGTATAGTCTGTTCTCTTCTGCATCTGCCTTTTTTCACCCAGCGCAATGTCTGTGAGATCTGTATTATTTATTCATTCAACAACTCATGGACATTTTGGTTGTCTCCAGTTTGGGTCTATTATAAACTAAGCTGCCGTGAACATCTTTGTCCATGGCTTTTAGTGGACATATGCACCCATTTCTTTTGGTTATACACCCAAAGAAGGATTGCTGGGACATAGGATGTGTTAAGATGTTGCGCCCGGCCAGGCGCAGTGGCTCACACCTGTAATCCCAGTACTTTGGGAGACTGAGGCGGGTGGATCACTTTAGGTCAGGAGTTCGAGGCCAGCCTGGCCAACATGGTGAAACCCCGTCTCCACTAAGAATACAAAAATTAGCCCTGCGTGGTGGCGGGCGCCTGTAATCCCAGTTACTCGGGAGGCTGAGGCAGGAGAATGGTGTGAACCCGGGAGGCAGAGGTTGCAGTGAGCCGAGATCACATCACTGCTCTCCAGCCTGGGAGACAGAGCGAGACTCCATCTCAAAAAAGAAAAAAAAAAAAAAAAAAAGATGTTGCACCAGTTTACACTCCAGCCGGAAATGGGAGTTGCCCTGCATCCCTTATCAGCACTTGGTGTTGTCTTTTTTGTCAGGGCTGCTTTGTTGGGCATGTAGCGGTGTTTCATTATGGTTTTACCACAAAGGTTTTTGAGGATCACGTGAGTTAGTACATGTAGAACATTAGAAGCGCCCCTTGCACGTAGTAAATACTCAGTATGTAGTAGCTTAGATCAGGGCAACAAATATTTTCTGTAAAGGGCCAGATACTAAATATTTTAGGCTTTACAAGGCTTACAGTCCTGTTACCACTGCAGAAGTCTGCCGTTATAGTGTGAAAGCAGCCATAGATAATATACAAACAAGCATGGCCATGCTCTAAGGAAGCTTTGTTTACAAAAACAGGCAGTCGACCTGCTTGGCTGTAGTTTGCTGACCCCTGGCTTAGATGATGAGGAGGAGAAGGAGGAGAGGCTGACAGTGATGTTTCATCCAGATGTCCCATTTTAAAAGAAATATGGAAATGAACAAATCTTCCTGCCCCATCTGAATCCTCAGAGTCAGCTCTGACATCCCCCCACAGCTGGTACATTCTTTCCCCAGACCAGCTGCCAAATCCATCCCTCTTTCTCTTTTCCCATCCCCACTGCCACCAGTCCTGGGCCCTGCCTACTGTGACTTCCCAGGTTAAAGTCACTAGAGAACAGGCAGTCACTGAAAGAGGGTAGCAAGCCAGGAGTGTGTGGACAATAGGGAGTGGTGGAGACGGTGGAGAAGGTGTCTGTCCAAAAGGGGCAGATCAGGCCCAGGTAGAACTGTGGGCCCAGATGGCCACTTTTCCTGATTTTTCAACAGAAGCCACAAATTTGTATTTTTTACCTATGAAATCTCCTGATTGGTAAATATTGGCAACTAATTCAGACTTTTCTAAAATCTTGCATCAATTGAGCATGCCTGACCCATGGGCCTGCAGCCCTTCAGCCCACCATGTCGTTCTTCTGCCAGCACCCTCCGGGGACTGTACGGTGAGTTTCACATTTGGAGTCAGTGGGATCAAGTTGAGAGCCCCAACCTTGACACATATTACGTGACCTTGGACATGCTACGTACTCCTAAGAGCCTCAACTCCCAAATCTGAAAAACAAGCATACCCTTGCATACTTAATCATGTGTACTTCCATTTACTGAGCACCTACTGTGTACCCCTGAGCACCTACTATGTAGTGCTCAGGGGTACACAGTAGTACTTCTGATAACATGTAGTACTTCTGATATTCACAACAATCATATGAGGGGAGTGGACTAGTCACATTTGGTTCCATTATTCATTCACCACCCCCAACAAGTATTCATTGAGAGCCTGCTGTGTACCAGGTACCATGCCAAGTGCTGGCTATTCCAAGGTGAATGAAAACAGATGACCCAATCATGGTCCTCCTGGAGCTCACAGTCTGGCACATGAAGATATGATATAAACTGTTAAGTGATGTGCACACATCATTAATGCACACACACACAGTCACATCACACCCGTCTATTTTGTCATCCCCAGTATGAGCCATTTCAACCTCCAAGCTTGCTAGTTATTACAGTCATCTCAGTTTTGTTTTGTTTTTTGAGACAGAGTTTTGTGCTTGTTGCCCAGACTGGAGTGCAATGGTATGATCTTGGCTTACCACAACCTCTGTCTCCTGGGTTCATGTGATTCTCCTGCCTCAGCCTCCTGAGTAGCTGGGATTACAGGCATGCACCACCACGCCCAGCTAATTTTGTATTTTTAGTAGAGATGGGGTTTCTCCGTGTTGGTCAGGCTGGTCTCGAACTCCCAATCTCAGGTGATCCACCCACCTCAGCCTCCCAAAGTGCTGGGATTACAGGTGTGAGCCATGGCACCCAGCCACTATAGGGTAATTTTTTTTAATCAGACTAGGCTCTTGAAGTTGTTTGTGAACAGAAATTTAACTCCCAGTGGCTTAATCAAAGAGGAAATATATTCACCTATTTAACTGAAAACCAGCTATAGGGGTATCAGGCATGGGTGGATCCAGGAGTTCAAATGAACCCCCAAGGAGTTGATTTCTCTCTACTGTCAGCTCTGTTTTTGTCTGCTCGACTGTATTCACAGAAGCTCTCTCTCCTCCTGGTAGCAGTGCGGCCTTCCTTATATCCTCCCAGCTTCCTGGCCAGCTGCAAGCATGGGAGTCTCTTTCCCAGGAGTCCCAGAGAGTCTCAGTGCATCTCATTGGCTCTGGATCAGTCCCATGTCTGTCCCTGAGCCAATCAGAGTGGCCAGGAGGATGCCTGGTTCCCTGGACTATAAGTCACATGCTCCACTCCTGAGCCAGACATGGGGGTAGCAGGAGCTCTACGCTGGAACGTTGGCTGGGAATAGAGCCCCAAATAAGAATGGAGTTTCCACCAGGAGAAGGCTGACTAGGTGCTCAACGGCCAAAAAACACTCTGTCCCACTTCTGTTCTGGAAACCCCGGCACACATGGAGATCCCTCTGCCTCCGACAGGTCATCCTGGGCTCCCTGTAAGTCTGATGGGTCCAGGCCCAAGTGGCAGAAGCCGCCCCCGGCCTGCCCTCAAGTCTCATTCTGCACATAGTAGGCCTCCAGCCTCCCAAGTGAATTAATTCCAAAGTTCTGATGAGGCAGTCCGGCATGGACTCCTTGGAATATAAATTCCAGTCCCAGGGCTAAGCACGCTGTTTCCCTCCTCCCAGCCTCAGTGCAGGCGGATTCTCTAAATATCCTGAAAAATACATTCCCTCCTTTTTAAAATTCTTCACCACATCCACGCCTCATCTCAGAGCAGCCCGATAATCAAGTTATCCCGGGGTGCTCAGGATTCTTTTGGGGCTAAGCATGGGGACATAGAACGTCCGTCCTTTTGCCCTGTTTCCTGCCCACACACATCTCCCCCTGTGAATGAGAACAGCCCTGTGAGGGAGGCGTGAGAGGATTCCTGGCCCCCCAGTTACCAGGGGCCTGGGAACAGAGATGCTCTAACAGGGACGTGGGCAGAGGGCGGGGCGGTGAAGTCAGAACTGGCTCAGGTCCAGGGTTCAAATCCTGAGGGTAGCAGTGGGCAGCAGGAGCCCAAGCGTCAAGGGAACAGGGGTGAGCCCGGGGTTTCCAGCCAAGGCAGAGCTCAGGAGCCCTGTGCCCTGGGCCCTAGATCAGGCAGTAAGATGCCTCTGGCAAGGCAGAATGTCACTGCTGGCCTCGGGCGGGCCTTGTTGGGAGGCCCAGGCAGGGAGGAAGCGGCAACCCTTCGTAAGCCCCCCTCAGAAGGCCTCTGAGGACTCTGTCCCAAGTCACTAATCCACAGATGGGCACATGCCACCAAAGGGGTCCAGATGTCAAGGGCAGAAAGAGAGGCAGTGGTGATGAGAAAAGAGTGATACAGGACAAGCGCTAATGGCAGAAGAGGGTTGGAGAGGGGAAGACAGTTGTTAGTGGGAAGGGAAGTGAGAATGACCTAGAGTTGAGTCCACCCGAAAAGAGGCTTCCAGGTAGCTGGCAAAAGTGGGCCTGGGTGTTGGGTGGCTCTGCAGGGAGGTGATGGCAGTGCACGGCCAGTGTGGGGGCGACCTGGCAGATTCTATGAACTTCATGTGCCCCGCCCCTTGCCGCAGCGTGTACACTTCTCTGTCTATCTGGAGAAGCCTCAGTCATAGGCAGGAGACGGCGTGATGGAGCAGCTGGTTGTAGCTCTGTTTATTACTGAAAGAAATTAGCAAAGTCCACCAATACACGAAATAACTAAATGACCGTGAAGCATCCCTCCTCTGGAAGATCCTCGGCAAAGGATGAGGCCGGTCTGCCTTATGTCCTGAGCCCATCAGGCAGAGTGGGAAAAGCAAGTTCCAGAACTCCTGAGGTCCTTATTCAAATGTCACCTCACTTTAGCCTTCCTGGACCACCTTGTATAAGGGCACCCCCACCACACTCCTTACTGCAACAAATCACCATCTGGTGCATTACACCCTGTGTATATTACTGATTCATTTGTTAAGTATCTGTCTCTTCTCATAAGAATATAAGCCCCATGAAGGCAGGAATGCTCATTTGTTTTGTTCACTGCTGTATTTGTCAGATAGATAAATGAATATGTACAGTATGATGTGATTAATAATATAAAAAGATGCATAAAGTGATACTATAATGTACCTAACAAAACACTGGAAAGGTTATTCCCAGTAGGGGACAGAAGAGCCAAGGTTATGGGGGTGGGGGGGTGGTAAGGAGTAATCTAATCAAATGAGACTTCACTGTCCTTTGTACTATTTTAATTTTCACAAAGAAAATGTAGGCATATGGTTCTTGAGGAATAATGACTAACACTCATTTAGACATACCATGTACCAGATACTGTTTGAATCATTTTACACAAATTAACCCATGCATTTCTCATCATAGTCTGTGAGGTATATACTGTGTCTATTCCCAACTGTCAGATGAGAAAACTGAGGCCCAGAGAGGCTAAGTAATGTAACCGGGCCACATAGCCTAGTAAGTGATAAAGCAGAATTCGAACCCAGGCCATCTGGCTTCAAAGTCCATGCACTAAACCACAGCCCGTGGGCCCAGACTGGTGGTTTTTGTATGGCCCCTGAGCTAAGAATGGTTTTTACATTTTCAACTAATTGAAGAAACAATCAAAAGAAGAGCATTTTTCACATGGTATATACAAAAATGAATGTCATTCAGCCTTTAAAAAGGAAATCCGGCCAGGCGCAGTGGTTCATGCCTGTAATCCCAGCACTTTGGGAGGCCAAACCAGGCGGATCACTTGAGGCCAGGAGTTCGAGACCAGCCTGGCCAACATGGGGAAACCCCATCTCTACTAAAAATACAAAAATTAGCTGGACATGGTGGCACATGCCTGTAGTCCAGCTACTTGGGAGGCTGAGGCAGGAGAATCGCTTGAACCCAGGAGGCAGAGGCTGCAGTGAGCCCAGGTAGCACCACTGCACTCCAGCCTGGCCGACAGAGCGAGACTCTGTCTCAAAATAATAAAATAAGGAAATCCTATCATATGCAGCAACATGGATGAACCTTGAGAACATTATGCTAAGTGAAATAAACCAGACACAGAAGGACAAATACTGCATGATTCCCTTACATGAGGCATCTAAATTAGTCAGACAATAGCAGCAAAAAGGAGAATGGTGGTTGGCAGGGCTGAGGGGAGGGGGAACTGGGGAGTTCCTGTTCAAGATGTATGAGGTTTCAGTTATGCAAGATGAAACAGTTCCAGAGATCTGCTGTACAACATGGTGCTTAGAGTTAACAGTACTCTACTTCACAGATAAAACTTTGTTAAAAAGCATACAGCTCATTTTTTTTTTACCACAATAAAGCTTTTAAGAGTAATTTTCATGACATGTGAAAAATACATGAAATTAAAACTGCATCCATACATAAAGCTTTACTGGAGCACGGACATGCCCATTCATTTTCCTGATAGCTGCTTTCAAGCTGCAATGGCAGTAATGAGTAGTTGCAACAGAGACAGGGGGCCTGCAGAGTCTAAAATATTTACTGTCTGGCCCTTTACAGGAACGGTTTGTGCATACTTGCTCTAAACCACTATGTATGCTTCTCATTAATAATGTTATCTGTGGCGGGGAGAAAAAGATGGACCTGACCCAAAAATACAAAGGCCTTGGCTCCAGCTCTGGATGCATGGCTTATTTGTTTGGGGACCTCACTTCCTTATCTGTAAAATGGGTATAATGTCCACTTGTCAAAGTTGCTGTGACGATCAGCTGAGCTAAGGTATTTGATAACATGAAGAGCCTATGATCATTCATTACGAGTTGTCTGGAGCCTGTGGAGCTGCTGCCACCCACACGCACTGCCTTGGCCTTGGAGGGAAGCCCGGTGCGGAGTGCCCACTCGAGGGAAACACGCTTTTGCCTAGGGCTGAGGCTGGCAGTCTCCGCAGACACTAGCTACTCAGTCGGTGAAGCTTGTGGATGCCTGCAGGAATCACCTGAGGCTCAGAGGGTGCTTGCCAGAGGGGGCCGGTTGCACCTCGGGGTCCCAGCTGTGGCTTCTCAGCCCTGTGGAGCTGTGCAGGCCAGCAGCACCTGGGTAGAGCCTGACTCCTGGGCGCCGGGTTCTGGAAAATGCACCTGGGCCTGTGGACCTCCACCCATCTCACCCTCCTGCTCACAGGTCTGAATTTCAGAGTTCTTCCTCATGGCTTGACCCGGGCACCCCAAACACAGTTTGCCCATCTCTGAACTCAGCCTTTCCCCCGGCCCAGGCCTTCTCTACCCTTCCCTCAACTGCCCAAACCAGAGACCAACAGGGGTGGGGGTCACCCGCCCCTCCCGCACCCCACATCCACCCAGTGGCTGTCCTGGCTGCCCCTGAGCATCGCTGGATGCTGCCCCCGCCACCCTGGCCCAGGCCTCCTGTTCTCTCCCTCAGAGAGAACAGGGCATGGCTGAAGCCCTGTGGCCGGAGGGATGGGTGGCTCTTGTTGGCTGGCCTGGCACTAACTGCCCACTGGTGGAGCAGGGTGGCAGCTTTGGAGGCAGGTGTGTCATGTGGCATTGCGGAGCTAGCAGAGATCGGGGAAGACTTAGCCGAGGAGTGGCCACTGAGGAGGATGGATAAGGAGGGGAGCTCTCAGACATGGAGAAATCTGCCCAGCCACCAAGACAGTCCTGATTCTTAGCTGAATGGTGGCAGAGAGCTGGCTGTGCACAGGACACTATGGCAAGAGCTTCACATCTATTGGTGCTTTAACCTGCCTGTCAGCCTCAAGAGGCAGGTACTGTAATCACCCCCCACACACTTTGAAACATTAGACTGTGGGAGCCCCTGACCCACCCTCCTGGGTCTCATTCCTGCCCCGGCCTGAGCCCTCCCCTGGAGGTAGCCAGTATCCTGGAGCTTCTACCCACACATACCTTTATTCTTTCATCCCATAGGTGGATATCTCAAACAATGTACGATGCTGTGTTTGTGTCCTTAGACTTTTTATAAATGATATCATATCATACACATCCTTCCACAACCTGCTTTTCTCACCCGATATAACATTGTAAGATTTATCCACGTTTGATCCGTGTTCATCCACGTAGCTCTGTTCTTTTTCACTGCTTTAGAATCCCATTGTATATCTTCTCCTAGGAATGGAGGTTAATGGTAGCTTTATTTTTAAAAAAGTTTAACCACGGCCAAACAGGCATATAGTTCTAAGATGAAGTAGTGAAGATGAGTCTGTTATGAAGAGCAACGGTGGCTTCCCACCCCACCCCACTGGCGGGTGGCAGCAAGTGTCCACCACTGGCGGTTCCATCTCATTCTCATGCCATTTCCTGACTTGACCCCTTCAGGCCCTGACTGTTGATGTCAGGGTACAGAGCTTTGCACCATTTTTAGATCCATTGTAAATTACCTTTGTCATTTTAAGAACTTTTCTAATACCTTTATATCACGTTCCAAAACTATAGCAGCAGCTCTTTGATTTATATAACATATATTATTTTTATGTAATAAATTCTGTAGAGCCCCCTTATAAAATTGTTTTTACTCCCCAAAATTAATCCATAAATAATATTCAAGGAGCAATATATAAAGAAGCAAGTAACTTTCTCCGCTTCTCTCCTCTTCCCAGTCTTCAATCAGCATTTTGATATCCTTCCAGATTTTTCCTTGATGCTCAAAAATATATGAGGTTAGAGTTTGGTTTCTCCTCTTCACCTTCCCTTCCCTCTGCCCCCACAAAAAATAGAATGTTTCTGAGTTTGACTCTGTTGCTTGCTCTTACCCTTAACCATGTATCTTGGACAACTTTACACATGCCTTTTTAATGTCTGCACAGCATTGCATAGTATGGAAGCAATGCCACCAGGTGTGTTGGCTCATGCCTTAATACCTACACTTTGGGAGGCTGAGGCAGGAGGATTGCTTGAGACCAGGAGTTGAAGATCAGCCTGGGCGGCCACTTGCTAGCTGTATCTACTTGGGCTAACCACTGTTAGATACTCAAGACTCTGTCTGTAGAGACCCTGTCTCTACAAAATAAGAATAAAAATGAAAAATTAGCTGGGTGTGGTGGCACATGCCTATAGTCCTAGCTACTTAGAAGGCTGAGGCAGGAGGATCACTTGAGCTGAGGACCTCAGGGTTACACTGAGCTATGATTGTGCCACTGCACCCCAGCCTGACAGAGCAAGACCTTGTCTCTAATATGTATGTGTGTGTATAATATATATACATGCATACTGTTAAACATATATCCTCCTGCTGGTCACTGCAATGTTTTTGTTTTATAAACAATATTGCAGTGGCCATTCTTGTGCATATGGATATAGTGGATGAGTGTACCTGAAAGAGTGTCTGTAGATATATGAATACATCATGGTATGTATATATGTTGTATACTTCAGGGTGGAAGCTGTAGACACCTCTTCACCTTTTTTTCTTGAAAATAATCACTTTTTGAAAGTAATTGTTTTGGGCAGAGCTGCTTTCTAGCAGAGGGTATATTTCAAGAAGTCATTACCTTGAAGAAAGATTAGCAGCTAAATATTTACTAAATTCAGGAAGAGTTGTATGGGTGCTGTGGCTCACGCCTGTAATCCCAGCACTTTGGGAGGCCAAGGTGGGAGGATCACTTGAGCCTGGGAGATGGAGGCTGCAGTGAGCCATGATTTCACCACTGCACTCCAGTCTAGGCAATGGAGCAAGACCATTGCTCCATTTTTTGCTCCATGACCAAAAAAAAATTAAAGAGTATAGGCAAACCTCAACTTCTTAGCTGAGCTTTTAAAGCCTCCAGTTCTGGCCATTTACTTTTCCTCCAACTCTTCTCTCCTCTTGCCCAATATGTAAGTCAGTTCCTTATTTTCCTGGAGACATTACTGCATCCCCATCCCTTTTTTGTGTGTGTGCTGCTCCTTATATCATTTCTGCATTTTACCCTCTGACATTTTATCCTCTTTCCAAGGAGCCAGTTGCCATCTGCCCTCTCTTCTATTTTTAGAGCACATGGCAAGCACATTCCTGCCTCAGACCCCGTTATCTCTGCCTGGAACTCTTTCCTGGATCAGTGATTCTCAATCCTGAGTACCCATTAGAATCCCCTGGGGAGTTTTTTAAAAGTCTGATACCTGGGCCAAACCGCAGGCCAATCCAACCAGAATCTCTGGGGGTGGGCCCAGGTATCAGTAAGCTCTCCAGGGGATTCTGGCAAAATCCAGTGATACATATCTTCCTATGCCCAGCTCCTTCTCATCATTCAGGTCTCAACTCAAATGTCACCTCCTCAGAGAGGACCTCCCTGACTGCCCCAGCTAAAATATGCCCCTCACCTCAGCTCCCAGTTACTCTTTGTTACATCTCTCTGTTTTATGATATTTCCTTCATCTGTCATAACTTTTAACTACCTTGGTTCTTTATTTATACATGTGTCTGCTCCTGCCCCAGTGTAGGCACCCCAGGGACTTAGGGATATACCCACCCTGCATGACAGTGTCCCCAGAGCCTTGAAAAAACTTCAGACTTAGGAGCCAAGACTATGTAGTGCTGGGTCCAACATTTACTAGCTGTGTGCCATTGGGCAATTTACTTAGCTTCTCTGTGCCTTAATTTCCTGTTCTGGAAAATAAGGATTATCATCATACGTACTTTCTATAGTTATGTCAGAATTAAGCGAGCAAATACAGGTAAACACAGAACAGTCCTTGGCACATCGTAAGCACTCAATAGTGTTAGCTATTATTCTTTTAATATCTTTTTTTTTTTTTTTGAGTCAGAGTCTTGCTTTGTCACCCAGGCTGGAGTGCAATCATGCAGTCGTGGCTCACTGCAGCCTCCACCTCCTGTGTTCAAGCGATTCTCCTGCCTCAGCCTTCTGAGTAGCTGGGCTACAGGTGTTTACCACCACGCCTGGCTAATTTTTGTATTTTTAGTAGAGATGGTGTTTCACCGTGTTGGCCAGGCTGGTCTCAAACTGACCTCAGGTGATCTGCTCACCTCAGCCTCCCAAAGTGCTGGGATCACAGGTGTGAGCCATCCCACCCAGCCTATTTTAATATCTATCTAAAGTGATCTATTGCAATTCCTGCCCTGTTCTCCCTATCCACTTCTCTGCTTTATGTCCAATTAGCTTAGCACCATTTGCATCATTTGTCTGGCATTTCATTTATTTTACTTGCTTATTTCTTGTCTGTCTGCTCCCTAGACTGTCAGCTCCAGAAGGGCAGAAATTGTTTTGTTCACTATTGTGTCCCCAGTGCCTAGCAGGGTGCCTGGCACGTAGTGGACACCAGTATGAATACCTGGCTCCTCACCTGTTCTCCTGTCTCTCCCCACCCCCCAGGATTACCTCACAGACCTCATCACCAATGACAGCGTGAGCTTCTTCCGCACGTCCAAGAAGATGTACCCGCACAGGCCAGTCCTCATGGTCATCAGCCATGCAGCCCCCCACGGCCCTGAGGATTCAGCCCCACAATATTCACGCCTCTTCCCAAACGCATCTCAGCACATGTAAGCCTCAGCACTCTGCCTGCCAGAGGCACTGCTTAGCATGAAGGGGGAGGGTCAGGCTTTAGCAACAGTACTGTCACCACCATGACTTCACTGTGCCTCCTCTCTAATCCTCCTGGTTTAAAGACCCCAAGAACATACTGCTTGTCCATGGTGAAACTGGGATGCAACTCCAGACAGCCTGGGCAACAGACCAAGGCAGGAGAATTTTTAACTTGGGATACACGGCCTCCCACCAAGAGGTGTGTGGATGGAACTGCATAGAATAGGTTTCCTTTTAATGCCATGTGTATTTTATTTAAGACATCTAAAAACATTCTTTTGAGGAGGGGGTCTATAGTTTTACCAGACTAATTATTTGCCACCATTTATTGAGCTGTGGGCTATGTAGCAGGTGCTGTGCTAAGCCCTTGGCATTATTGTCCAGTCCCTGAATATTCACAGTGACCCTTGGTGTACCAGTTATCTATTGCCATGTAACAAATCATCCCAGAATCTAGCAACTTAAAACAACAAACACAAATTATCTCACGGTGTCTGTGAGTCAGGAATCTGGGAGTGGCTGTTCTGAGCTTCTGGCCCAGGGTCTCCTGAGGTTGCAATCAAGGTGTCAGCTGGGGCTGCAGTCACCTGAGGCTTGACTGGGGCTCAGTCCCATGGCTGGGTCTTGCCACAGGAGCCTCTGTCCATAGGGTGTTTGAGTGTCCTCACAGCATGATAGCTGGCCTCACCCAGAGCAAATGATCAGAGAGAGAGTAAGGCCAAGAAGGAAGCCACAGTGTCTTTTACAACCTAATCTCGGAAGTGGCACCATCACTGTGCCACATTCTATTGGTCACACAGACCGGTCCTTCTACAATGTGGAGGGTCTACGCAGGGGTGTGAAGGCCAGGAAGTAGAGATTATCAAGGGCCATCTTGGAGGCTGCCTGTCACACTTGGTATTCCCATTTTACAGATGAAGAAACTGAGGCACAGAGAGGTAAGGTAACTTACCTGAGGTCACCCAGCTCTAAGTGGCAGAGCCAGGATTCAAGTCCAGCCCCCCACTTCTGCTTCCCATGCCTCTGCCCACCCCTGTAGTACTCTATCCAGCTGGCTGGGAAACTTCCTGGAAAGTTCTCCTGCTTCTCTCTGCCTCAGACCACCCCCTGCTTAGCAGTGACTCAGCAGCCCTTACTGTGACATTCTGGGGCTGCAAGGATGGGGTGGTTTGGAATCTGCCTGAATATTCAGGGTGTTTGGCTTCATTACAATCTGAATACATTGCCCTCCTCAAGCCCCTCCTGTAATTACTTTTTGACAGACCTCGAAGCAGCTCAGAGAGGGTACCGAAGGCACTGTTCACCTTCCCATCCCCTGATCTCTGGGGAGGAGGCTTTGACAGAAGACGATGAGCTGCGTCCCAGGGGCTGCAGCATTGCTGCTGTGCACATCTGTCTGGCTCCCCCTCCAAACCCAAGCCCACTCCTCTCCACCCAAGAAGGCCAGCCTCCCCCAGCAGCCGGCACCCCGCCCTACCGCCACTTAGAACTCATCCCTGCAGCGGGTGGAGGCCACTCAGCCCTGTCTAAGGGAGAAGCCGTGGGTGAGGGAAGGGACGCTTTGCTTCGGCAGCATCTCTAAAAGAGGTGCCGGCTTCACCCCAAACAGCAGCGAGCGGTGCCGGAATTTCATGATGAAATTGTTTGGCATTGCCTGCTGGTTTATTTTCCCTTTGAAATGAAAATTACAGAAATTGAAAATGAGCAGTGTCTGCTCTTATGTGGAGAAGCCCCCTTTGCCTTCTTAGGGGCATGTTTGGAAGGCTGTCTCATCTCTGGAGTATAATCATTTCCGAAAGAAACCAAAAAAGAGAAAGTCCTGCAGCTAGGATGTTAAATGATGACAGTCAAGAAGGGGTGGAGAGGGGACAGAGCCGGGGCGCACGGTTAGAGCACTGGATCTTTCTGTTAGGGGTCTCCTATCCCATCTCTCCCCTAGAAAGCCGGCACATGCCCTTTCCTGGGGCAGGCCTTGTGTACTCTGGCAAAAGTTGGTAGATGGTGGTACCATCCACCCCGCAGACCCCAGGGCCCTGCACCCTCCCCATGCACCCCCCCACACACACAGTCACATACATACAGACACACACAAAGACATGCAAATACACACAGGCACACAAAGACATACCACACAAGCAGATACACACAATGAAACACACACAAGCCTGGGCAACTTAGTGAGACTCTGTCTCTACAGAAAATTTAAAATCAGCCAGGGGTGGTGGTGCACACCTGTAGTCCCAGTTACTGGAAAGGCTGAAGCAGAAGGATCACTTGGGCCCAAGAGGTCGAGGCTGCAGTGAGCTATGATTGCGCCACTACACTCCAGCCTGAGTGACAGAGTGAGACCCTGTCTCGAAAAAAAAAAACACACACATGCAGACACACAAAAATACACAGTTACAGACACACACAAAGACATACACACACGCAAACAAAGACATAGGCAGAGATACAAAGATACACACAGGCGTGCCCACAGACACAGCCCACCAGCCCTCAGAGCTTCCCTTCAAAGGGCGCTGATTGTGGCTTCAAGGGCTTTGGGGCGAGGGATGTTGGGGCTGCTGCTGATGGCCCCAGACACACAGTGGAGGGGCTGTGAGGACACCACCATCTTCCCGCCATTTCCCCAGCAGAAGGGAAGGGGGATGGTCTTCTTCACGCCCTTTTGTGAACGCACCAGATATTCCTCGGATGCTGGAGGAGGTGAAGTTTTCAGATGTTTGTTGAACAGGCAGCTGGGCCCATGGGAAGATGCCGACATCCTCCCTGGGGGAGCCTGGCTTGACACAGGCAACCAGCAAGCTGGCGTCGACCCCAAGCACCACCCGGCTCTGCTGCCTTCTGGCCTCAGTGTCCTTCTCCAAAAGCGCTCTCTCCGAGCCGGGGCTGCAGAAATCATCATCCTCTGAACAGTCACCCCTCACTGTTCTCGAGGGCCGATGTCAGCCTAACTTCTCATGGATTCAGGGATGATTGCTGAAAATTGCATCCTGGAATCCGGGCCCTTGGGCCTGCGGGACCAATTTTCCCACACGCTCGCTGCTCTGAGAGCGTCTCTGTCCGACTGCTGCCCCCAGCAGCCCCCTTTCAGTTCCTCGGTGGGAGAGATCTGAGAGGGGAGCTGAGCTTGTTCCTGGGAATGTTCTACATGGCGGGTCAGGCCCTGAGACAGCAGAGCCAGCCCACAGGAGAGCCTGGCCGTTCTGTAATGAAAGGAAGCATGGGCCCTGATGGATTCAGTGGCATGAGGCTGCAGATCAGCCAGGGGCTGAGAAAGCCGAGTCCAGGGGAGCCTTGGAGACAGTGACTCACCTCCCGCCTTACATAGCAACGGTGTCCACAGCTGCCAAGCTACCCCAGCGGCAGCGTCACAATTTCTGCCCCGGACGATTGTGATATCTGAGACGCTGCTGAAGTCCCGACGTACCAGGCCAGAGGGAGACATGTCTGTGCCCCTCTGACCAGGCTTGTTTTTCCTCCTCTTCTTCGCGGGAGCTCCTTGCCCCCAGAACACCCACTGTGAAAAGCAGTGGAAACTCACCCTTTACTTCAGCCTTGACTGGGAAGAGAGGCCAGATTTGCAGGGAACCTGGCCTTCAAGAACCATCAGGCCCAGGGCGAGGAAGCCCACGTTTTGTGAGGCCTTAAACAGTGCCTCCTGTCAATGGTGCACCCCACCCAGGAGACTCCCCCATGCTGCGGTTTTCAGTAGCTCGGAGCCAGGGGCCCGGCATAAACTGAGGTGACAAGGAGGTGCTCTTGGTTTGCTCACAATGTTTCCTCTGGTTTTGGTTTAATCTCCCATTGACTAACCAGGAAATAGAGAGGATCAGAGAAGTTTGGGGACCTGCCCGCTGTCTCACGGAGTGAGTGACAGACCCAGTGTACCTGACTTCTGCCGTGGAGTCACCCGTGATTACTAATGACAAAGGGACACACCAATGATAACCTCTCCCAAGCAGTCATCACGCACTGGCCATGGTTAGAAGGGTTCCCCTTACAGCCTCTCCCTCAGTGCTCACAACCTTCCTGGGAACTGGCACTGTCTGTATTCTCCTTGGGTAGGAAATGAGGGAACTGATGCCTTGGGAGGGGACTAACTGGCCAAAGACAGAACTGGGGCTCGAACCCCAGCAGCTGGTATAGTCAACCACTGCCATGATATCATCATAGATACCTGCTTGGGGTCCCTCCATCCCTCACATCACAGGTGCTCAGACAGAACTTTGCCCAACACACTCCTGCTGCACGATTAAGCAGCATGCCAGGTGCAGTGGCTCATGCTTGTAATGCCAAAACTTTGGGAGGCCAAGGTGGGTGGATCACCTGAGGTCAGGAGTTCAAGACCAGCCTGGCCAACATGGCAAAACCCCATCTCTACTAAAACTACAAGAATTAGCCAGGTGTGTTGACACAAGCCCGTAGTCCCAGCTACTAAAGAGGCTGAGGCAGGAGAATCACTTGAACCCAGGAGGCAAAGGCTGCAGTGAGCTGAGATCCCACCACTGCACTCCAGCCTGGACCACAGCAAGACTCCATCTCAAAACAAAGAGGCCAGGTGCAGTGGCTCATGCCTGTAATCCCAACACTTTGGGAGGCCAAGGTGGGCAGATGACGAGGTCAGGAGATCGAGACCATCCTGGCTAACATGGTGAAACCCCATTTCTACTAAAAATACAAAAAAATTAGCCAGGTGTGGTGGCACGCGCCTGTAGTCCCAGCTACTTGGGAGGCTGAGGCGGGAGAATCACTCATACTGGGAGGTGGAGGTTGCAGTGAGCTGAGATTGCGCCCCTGCACTCCAGCCTGAGCGACAGAGCGAGACTGTCTCAAAAAATAAAAAAGAATGTGGCATGTCCCAAATGTGCACATTCAGGTGCCTTCCTCACAATTCTGGCCTTACACATAAAACTATGACTTATTTCATTTTTAAATCCATTTCTATTATTTCAAACTAAAATCTATTGCAAAAGGATATTCCGTGGTCCTACCTTAACCACAATAACTGCCACCTGCCATTCACCAAAGGTAACTGCCATCTACCAATAATAGGTACAAGGCACACAAAGCAATGCTATGGAATTTGAGTTGGGTACTGGTTCCCGATGAAGGCTCTGAACTTGACTTTCTTCCCTTTTTTCAAAAGGAAGACGAGCAAAGTCTAGAGAGGTGTTAAAGAAACACTAGCACCAAACAGACTTTGCCCTGAGAGAGCCGACAAGGGACTGGCTGTCTCACTTTGTCACTCAAGGTCACTGAATGCTGTGCCTCTTAGGAGCTTCCCAAGTGCACACTTCACACGTGGAGAAACGCTGAAACAGGGTTTGGATAAGCCCCTGACATGCCAATGTCCCCTTTCCCACCAGGAGATCACACCTGGCCCTGGGCTGCAGACACAGCACAGGGTGGCTGCTCATCCGGGCGGGTCTGGCGGGGGCCAGGCAGGGTCCAGGCTGTCCCTGGGTTTGACCGATGTGTATGTCCTTGCCCACCAGCACGCCGAGCTACAACTACGCGCCCAACCCGGACAAACACTGGATCATGCGCTACACGGGGCCCATGAAGCCCATCCACATGGAATTCACCAACATGCTCCAGCGGAAGCGCTTGCAGACCCTCATGTCGGTGGACGACTCCATGGAGACGGTAGGCGCCCGCTGCATGCCTCTTGGTGGGCGTGGCTCCGAACCCCCAGCCAGGCCAGGGCCGAGACCTCCTGGCCCTTCAGGGTTTTCCTGGAGGAATAGAAATCAAAGGCAGAATGAAGAGGCCCCATGTGCTAGACCTGGGGAACAGCTTGGAGCAATCCAGACAAAAGCCTCTTCCTTCATGAAACATTTTCTAGATCTGTGTTGCCCAATACGGTAACCATATATGCTAGTTATATTTTTTCCTGCTATTTACATTTTTGAACACATTTATTGGGATGTAATTCACATACCATACAATTCCCCCAATTAAAGTGTGCAATTCTGTGGTTTTAATATGCCCAGAGTTGTATAACCATCACCACATCCATGTTAGGACATTTTTCTTACCCCAAAGAGAAACCTCACAGCCCTTAGATGGCCCACTAAATCTCCCTCACCCCCAGCCCCAGACAACTGGTGATCTCTTTCTGTCTCTATAGATTTGGTGTTCTGCACACTTCCTATAAATGGAATCGTACACGCTGTGGCCTTCTGTGCCCAGCGCCTTTCTTTCACTTAGCGCCACGTGTTCAAGCTTCACCCCTGGTGTCGCATGAATCAGTCCCCCTCATTCCCTGTTATTGCTGAATAATATCGCATTGTATGGGTATTGTCACATTTTATTTAGCCATGGCTATTTAAACTGAATGCAGTAACATTATAAAGTCAGTTCTTCTGTCACACAAGCCTCATTTCACATGCTCAGTAGGTTCGTGTGGCTGGAGCCAATATGTGTCCATATCGGACAGTGCAGACATTAACACGGCCACCAATGCAGAAAGTTCTGCCACACGGCGCCCTTCCAGATCGCAAGATCCTGCCATAGGCTGCAGCCCAAGTTTCACTCATTCATTCATTCACCTGACAGCATTATTGAGTGCCAGTGTACGTGGGATACAGCAGGCAGGGAACAAAATGACAAAAGTGTCTGCCCTAATGGAGGCAGCATGCCAAGGCAGGGACACAGATGATCCACAGATAAGTAAAAGAGATGGATGCCAAGAAGGGCCATGAAGAACCGTGGAGGGGAGGGCGGGCCAGGGGTGACAAGAGGCAGGAAGGTGCAGTGACAAAGGGGACAGCCCCTGGGAAAGTTGAGCAAAGACCTGAAGCAGGGGAGGGACGGGGCCTGAGATCTCAAGCGCCTGTCACCCCGGGTCGGAGACGGGCCAGGCACCCAGTCCCCACTGTCCCTTGCCTCCTCGCCCGTGTTGCAGATTTACAACATGCTGGTTGAGACGGGCGAGCTGGACAACACGTACATCGTATACACCGCCGACCACGGTTACCACATCGGCCAGTTTGGCCTGGTGAAAGGGAAATCCATGCCATATGAGTTTGACATCAGGGTCCCGTTCTACGTGAGGGGCCCCAACGTGGAAGCCGGCTGTCTGTAAGTGTGTCATCCCCCAGGGACCCAGGGAGGCCCCTGGGCCCAGCTCAGGGCTTCAACCATGCAGCCCAAACCCAAGCCCACCCTGGGTGGCACACAGTTTTCGCAGATGTACCCCAGGGCCAGCGGAAAGCAATTATGTCATGCATGTTATATCCCTCTGCTGGGGAAGGAGAGGCCGGGAGCTGTTAGCACCTGTGGAAACAGGTGTGGTGGGGCCGTATGCCAGGAAATCCAGGGAGCTGGGCTGTATACGTGTGTGCGCGCACATGCATGTCACCAGCGGGTGGGAATGGTGCTTGGATTTCTGTTCTGGGCTGGGCAGTCTTTGAGCCTGGAGGTTGTCAGGGAGGAACCCCGGACCACAGCACAGGCAGCTGGTTGTCAGCTGGGATCAGCTGAGCCAACTCTGGGCAGCAGCACAAAGGGAAATGCTCTTCCCTCCCATCCTTCCTGGAGGACCACGTGGGCCGCAGCCCTCAGCCAGCCATTCTCCTCGGGCTAACCTTTGAGTTGACATGTTCTGGCAGCGAACATGCTGCGTCTGGGGCAGGGGAGCGGACAGGCCACTGTTCCCGGCAGCAGCTTCCTTGGATCGGCTGGGATATTATGGAGGCTGGCTCAAATGAGGTTTTTGAAAAGCAGATGTGTTGCTATTAAGACTGTCATTTGGTCTGCCTTCTGCTCATGCCCAGATGTGGGAACACACACCCAGCACTCACACAGGGCTGGCTGCGGAATTCCTCCTGAAAAGGCGTTGACAGTGCAGTGTGGAATTCCAGACTGACATGTTCCCACTGCCTTGGACATTTTGCGAGAATTCCAGGAGGCAGGCTGCATGAGTTCAAGGCCAGAGAAAGTGATGACTGACTGTTGACCTTATCAGATCACGCCCGTCTTTGGCTCTTAGCGTCCCCATTGGACTAAGAGCTGTAATAACGACAGTCCACACGTATGGAGTGTCTACTCTTCAGGGCCTGGTCTAAGAACTACATAATAATTCATTGCAAGCCGGGCCCTGTGGCTCATGCCTGTAATCCCAGCACTTTGGGAGGCCCAGGTGGGCAGATCATTTGAGGTCAGGAGTTCAAGACCAGCCTGGCCAACATGGTGAAACCCTGCCTCTACTAAAAATACAAAGATTAGCTGGACATGGTGGCGTACACCTGTAATCCCAGCACTCAGGAGGCTGAGGCAGGAGAATCGCTTGAACCTGGGAGGTGGAGGTTGCAGTGAGCCGAGATCATGCCACTGCACTCGTCTGGGCGACACAGTGAGACTCCATCTCAAAAACAATTAATAATTCGTTTCAGCATCACAACTGCCCTGTGACGTGGATGCTCATAGTAGCCCCATTTTACACCCAAGGCCACTGAGGCACGGAGAGGTTAAGTTGCCTGAGTTTACAGCAAGTAAGGGAAGGGGCTGGGGCTTGAAACCAGGCAGTCTCTATTCCCATCTGCCACGCCTCTCAGAAACTTCAAACCATCCCTGTGAACAGAAAGAATCTGACCCACTGAGGGCTCTACAAACACTGACATTGGGGGTTTGGTCAGCCTCGGAATCTGTGATCTGACTCATAGGGCCCAAAACCACATCCCACATGGTCAAGAAAAAGAGAGTGCTCATGTCAGGTTTGGGACCAAAGACACACGGTATCTGTCAGCCAGGACTCCTTTGGTTGCAAGCAGAAATGACCTTTGAACCAGATAAGGCATGTAAGATAAAAGGAACACAGTAACTATAGTTACTGAAAAGTCCATGCACAGCTCCAGCCTCAGGCATGGCTGGATCCAGCAGTCTTACAATGCCATTGGAAAGCTCTCATTTCTTATCTCTCAGTCCCACTTCCGCCGAATTGGCTTCATTCTCAGGTGGGTTTTTCTCCTTGTGGCAGGGTCAGCAGCTCCAGATTTTCAGCCATCCTGTTTAGGAAGCCAAACTGCTTTGAACAGAAGACCTGAGGCTGACTCCCACTGGCCTGACTTAGGTCACGTGTCCTTCCCTGAACCATTCACTGTAGCCAGAGGTGACAGAAACCCTTGAGTAACCAGGCTGAGTACATTGGGCAGGGGACTCTGAATGGGGCCAGGTAGTTCCTACAGAATTAGAAGCTGTGACACAGAGCAAGGCATTGGTGCTGGCCAGGAAAAGCAACCACTGTCCTCCTTCCCCTGAGCCTGGGGGAGCGGGACCACTGGACAAGCTCAGCCCCATTAGCTGCCGGTTGCTGGGTTCTGCAGAGCGCCCGTCGCTCAGCAGTCTTCCCAGCTCCCTCGCCTCTGGATTCAGTTGTAGCGCCTCACGCTGGCCTTCGAGCCCCCCATGACACAGCCCCATCTTCAGCAGCTGCACACATGCTTGGCAGCCTGCCCGACGTTCACAGGGCACTGGACTGGGGAGAGATGAGGGGTTAAAGATGACGGAAACCCTAGGACCCAGGCCCTGCCCTGGTCCCCAGGGAACTAGCGGGGAAGGCACTCAGATGCTCTGACGGGACTGTCCACCATTCAACAGGTCCTGGGTCCTGTGCTGGGCACACCCCTTAAGTCCCTTACCCTACATTGGGAATGCCATCAGCCAGAAACAAGAGCCAGGAGAGGTGGCTCATGCCTGTAATCCCAGCACTTTGGGAGGCTGAGGCGGATGTATCACCTGAGGTCAGGAGTTCAAGAGTAGCCTGGCCAACATGGTGAAACCCCACCTCTACTAAAAGTACAAAAATTATGGGTGTGATGGCGCATGCCTGTAATCCCAGCTACTCGGGAGGCTGAGGCATGAGAATCGCTTGAACCCAGGAGGTGGAGGTTGCAGTGAGCCAGGATCATGCCACCACACTGCATCCTGGGTGACAGAGCAAGACACCTCTCAAAAAAAGAAACAGGAGCCAGGAAAGGTGGCAGATGTATGGGAATTCACTTAGCCAATATTTACTGAGTAGCTCCTCTGTGTTCTAAGGGTATAAGTCCTGGAGATACAGAAGTGACCACCTGAGCCAGCCTTCCTGCAGCTTAGAGTCTAACTGGGCAATAGACAATAAGCCAGAGAAATAAGTAAATTATATAGCATATGAGATGGTGATAAGTCTTCAGGAGAAAGATAAAGCAGGGAGGGTGGGGAGGGGGCGCAGTTCCGAATAGGGTCCTCAGGAGGGGCCTTGTGTTGGGTATCTGTGCTGCAGAACAAACTGCCACAAACTCAGCAGCTTAAGACAACACACATGTACAAACTCACAGTGTCTGAGGGTCAGAAGCCTGGGCCTAGCCCTGCAGGGTCGTCTGCTTAGGCTGAAATCAAGGTGCCGGCCAGGGCTGTGGTCTCATCCAGAGGCTTGACTGGGGAGCATCTGCGTCCCTGCTCATGGGGCAGGTCAAGTGCAAGCAGAGGACTTGAACCCATGCAGTCTGCCTCCCAGACTGCTCACAGTCTAGCTGCTGATTTAGAGTGGCTTGCTTCTTCAAAGCCAGCAAGGGGAGAAAGAAACCAGAGCCAGACTGCTAGCAGGATAGTAGTTGACTATCTCATAACACAACCACGGGAGTGACAGCCCATCACCTTCACAACCCACTGGTTGGCAGCAGGTGCAGGTTGGTCCACACCCAAGGTGAGGGGGTCACATTAAGGTGTGATCACCAGGGACAGGGATTCTGGGGACCACTGAGGCCTGTCACGGGCCTCCTTGGTCATAGAGCAAAGAACTAAAGGGGTGAGGGACGGTGGCCCCTGATCTCCAGGGAAAGGACATTCCAGGCAGAGAGGATGGTAAAGAAGAAGGCCCTGAGGCTGCACTGTGCCTGGGCTGTCAAGGAACAGCGAGGAGCCAGTGTCTGCCCCAGAGGTTCAGGGGAAGGGTTCAGGAAGGGCCAGGATTTGGGCTGGCTGTAAAGGGGGGGTCGCCTTCACTCAGGAAGTGGGGACAGGAAGGGCAGGAGGGGGACAGGGTGAGGCTGTCAGCTCACGGCATGAGCTGAGACACAGAAACTAAGGGGGGGCGAGCACAGAGTGGGGGTTCAGCTGAATCTGGGCCGCAGAGGGGAGCTGCTGAGGTTGAGGTGCCAGACTGCAGCTTCCATACCTGCAGATGTCAGCCTCCCACAAACTGCTGCCCACCTACCGCTCCCCACCCCCCACGCGAGGCTGAGGCACCACCACCTGAGTGACTGAGTCCCCGATCTCCTGCCTCCCCCAGGAATCCCCACATCGTCCTCAACATTGACCTGGCCCCCACCATCCTGGACATTGCAGGCCTGGACATACCTGCGGATATGGACGGGAAATCCATCCTCAAGCTGCTGGACACGGAGCGGCCGGTGAATCGGTGAGGACGGAGCAGGGCAGGTGTTGAGGGGGCCGGGACATTGACCTGCGGGAACTCAGAGCAAAACCCTGTGGGTCTAGAACGTGGGGTCTCCAAGGGTCGGGAGCTGGGGTTCTCAGGTCCCGCCATGCCAACCACTTACCTGCTGTGGGAGAGAAGCATGGTCCCCTCTCCGAGATTCTGTCTTCCCATCTGGAATGTGGCCAAGGTGACCAGTTGGGGACCTTCTCTGAGCTAAAATTACCCAAAGCTTGAAATGATAGCAGCAGTGATGGTAGGAGATGGTGCTAACTGCACGGCGCTTGTGTGTGAGGCCCTATTCTAAGTACTGTGCAGGGAAATCTAGGAATTTGATCCTCACAGTAACCCAGCGAGGTGGACATTATCATCATCCCCATTTTACCAGTTTGGAATCTGAATCCCAAAGCGATTGAGTGACGTGTCGGAGGTATCCCAGCAAGTCTGGATGTAGCTCTGGGAATTCAGATGCTGACTCACCACGCCCCATAACTTTAATGCTGGAGGGTGTGATGGGAACATATTCCTAGGTGTCCAGAGAGGCAGAATAGGAACCGTGAGGGTGAGCAAGTCAGACAGGTGGGAGGTGGGCTGAGTCAGGGCGGGGAGGCTGGTGTGGCCGCAGCGACATCTGGTGGCCAGCGCTCTTAACAGCCACCAGGTTCCTGGCCTCCAGGTGCTACTTCAACTCCTGGCTTGCACCTCTGGCAGCGGAGCCCTTCCCCTGTGGCCTCCCAGAGGCTCCAGCCAGGCGAGCACTGTGTGCCCACATCTGGCTGCCCTGTAGGGGGACCGTGTCCATTGAGGCTCCTCCCCTGACTGTGAGGCCAGGCAAGCTGTAATGGTATAAAATGGACATGTTTGGGGACACTGGCCTGGGAGCCAGGACACCTGGGGGTCAGGGGACAGGGTGGAAGCTTCCCCTCTCAGCTTCAGAGTCCCCATCTAGGAAATGGAAATGACCAGGTGGCACTGGATGAAACATACAAATTACATACATGCAACTGCAAAGCACCAAAGAAGAAAATACTCCCAAAACCCAATGCAATTAACCTGACATCAAGGCAACCACTGCGCCTGACACTGAGCTCAAGACAGAGCTCAAGACGCCAAACCACTGCGCCTGATGCTGAACCACTGCGCCTGACGCTGAACTCGAGATAGAGCTCGTCTAGTGCCGGGGGAGTTGCTGGGCTTCCTGGGAGGGGCTTGAGATGTGTGTGCGCGCACACACACACACACACACACACACACACAGTTACTTGGGTGGGACTTACAGTGATTTTGACCTGGGTCATTTCTACTGTGTGTGTCTCCAGACCCAAGTCTCTGGGGAAGGGGTGGCTCAACTCAGAGGAGGGTGGGCAATGCTCTAGTGCCCAGCTGGGCACACTCACCACAATTGCTGTCCAGGCTGACCGTAAACCAAGGCTGACTCCTGGTGCCGTCCCTGCTCCTGGGGGAACGGGGGGTCGTGGGAAGCCCTCATGTTGCTGAGAAGCAGGAGCCGTGCTTTTTTCCAGGTTTCACTTGAAAAAGAAGATGAGGGTCTGGCGGGACTCCTTCTTGGTGGAGAGAGGGTGAGTGCCGGGTCCTGGGAGGGACACCCCTGCCCACCTCCCTCCCTCTGCCCAGGAAGCTTCTGTAGCCCCACCGCATCATGCTATTCAGGAGCTGCCCATGGCTCTGAAGTTGGTCCAAAGGCCCCTAAACACAAAGCCCATTCACTGCTCCTATAGACACAGAATTGGGGTCTGAGGTCACGTGTACGCTTTTGGCATGCTTTGTCCAGCCTCTACAATGTCTTCAATTTATTTAATTTATTGCCAACTCATGCAATTTGGGAAGTTTCTTATAAAATTCCAATGTCTTAAGTTTCCTAAACATCAGAAGACCCGGGCAGGTGGCCCTGCGCCCTCCACTGTGAGGAAAAGCCGGAGCCGAGGGGGCACCCCTCTAGGTGGGCACACATGCCTCCGGGGCTCCTCCAGAGCTGAGAGGCCGGCCCCGCGGCTCCTGCTCTCTGCCCCATAGCAAGCTGCTACACAAGAGAGACAATGACAAGGTGGACGCCCAGGAGGAGAACTTTCTGCCCAAGTACCAGCGTGTGAAGGACCTGTGTCAGCGTGCTGAGTACCAGACGGCGTGTGAGCAGCTGGGACAGGTAAGAAGGCTCCCTTCCCTCCCAACGGCTCCCCCTCCTGACTGCAGCCGGCCCTGACCTGCGAGGCTCTGAGAGCCGCTGAGCCAGCAG
Source organism: Homo sapiens (assembly GCF_000001405.40). Classification (NCBI taxonomy): domain Eukaryota; kingdom Metazoa; phylum Chordata; class Mammalia; order Primates; family Hominidae; genus Homo; species Homo sapiens. Next base: position 47,676,403 of record NC_000020.11, on the reverse strand, counting down.
GGCCAGGGCCTCCCAACGGGTAGTCCTTTGCTGCCGTGTGGTGCCCAAGATGCTGTTTGGTGGTGCAGGATGATGCTCACAATAAGTGATTCATTTCTCAGCAGCCTTTGGACCCTGACCGTGTCAGAGGCCAAGTGTCCCGTGGGTGTGTGTATGCCCTTAGCGCCTCTCTAGCCCTTGCCGATCTCTCTTGCACGAAGGCCCCAGCAGGAGTTAAATTATTTTATTTTCACCATATTCACTTTGACAGTATCCTCTTTGTGACTGGTTTTCCTTTTATAGGAGTAATAAGACATGGCTTTTTAAAATAAATATAGGTAAGGTTTTAAAAAGTGAATTGATTGCAAGAGAAATATTAAGGAAATTATGGCCAGGAACAGTCCGTGGCTCATGCCTGAGGTCCCAGCTACTCCAGAGCTGAGGCGGGAGGATGGCTTGAGCCCACGTGTTGGAGGCTGCAGTGAGCTATGATTGCGCCACTGCACTCCAGCTTGGGTGACAGAATAAGACCCTGTCTCTAAAAACATAAGAAAAAAGAAAATTATCTGGGAAGTATCAGAGATAGCCAGAAACTGACATGTTTGGGAAAGCCTGAAGGAGGCTTTTCTGAGGCTGGAAAGCCAGGGCAGGCTTGGAGAGGAGGGTCGGGGGCGGGGCAGGGCAGGGAGGGGAGTGGGATGGAAACTCTGCCTTGGCTGGCCCAAGGGGTGCCGGAGGTGTGTCCCTGCCCTGCCTGTCAAAGGCTGGGACTTTGAGCTGGGGCTGGAGCTGTGTGCCTGTTTCACCTATGAGAAAAAGCAAAACCAGGGCCCTGGTATTGAAGGCCAAGGCCTGAAGTGGATGCGTTTCTGATGGACTGCATTTGAATGACTCCATCTTAACACTGCACACAGAATTAGTACAGGCCCATACAGGCCTGACTGTGCCTCCCCACCCAGTGTGTGTTTGTAAACCCACAGACCCCTCTTAGTCACACAATTAACCCGTATCTGCCACCGGGCAGGAGCTGTGGATTTCATCCCTCCGTTGTACAGCATGAATGCGTCCCCCCGCTTGCCAGGCACTGTCCTAGGCGCAGGGCCACAGCCTCGAACATGCTCAACAGAAGCTCCTGCCCTCCCAGAGCTGATGTTCTGGAGAGAGTTCAGCCTTGACTTTGTACCGAGATCCCAGAAGTGGTTCTGATTTTAGTTCTGGGCTAAAAGGAGTGAAATGAGGAGGCCAGGAAGTCTTTGCCCCTCGACGAGGGAACGTTGTCAAGTCCCCCACTGGTTCTTTCTGATGTCTCCCCTGACCCAGATCAGGGCTTGGGCAGCCAGAATGACCTCTTTGCTGGGGCCAAGAAAGAGGAGGTATCAGCATTTTCCAAACAATCAGAGCACACCACTGAAGCCAAAGGAAGAGAGTGCTGAGGGCGGAGTTTGGGGCACTTAGCCTAGGCCAGCTGGGAGGCAGCAACCCACGGCCCCCGACCCAGCCCCGGAGCTTTGGGGACCTCAGGCTCAGACGTCTGCCCCCCATCCCAGGCAACGGCCCTGCTCACAAGCCGGTACTCCCCGAGTGCCGTTGCCATGTCCCTGCTTGTGCCGTGCCTTCTGGAATGCCCTGCCCAGTGTAGAAGCTGTACCCTGTGGCCCGAGGACGTCTCTTAGGGGCCTCACACCCAGCCATAGCATTGTCTTGGGTACCTTGTCCGTGCTACCCCACGTGGTAGATGTTTTTTTGTCATTTGCTGAACAAACGTGCCCAGGAACCGAGCTCATGTGCATCTGTCTGTCTCCCGGTGACACGGGGACATCCTAAGGGCAGGGCCCGGCTAGAATTCATGTCATCATTGCCAAAGCCCAGACCAGGGCCCAGGCCGGGCAGGAGTAAATGTGCCCTGGGCACCTCGTAATGATGATCATCACGGGCAACACGTGAGTGTAAGCTCTACCTCCAGCCACCCTATCTGGCAGGTATGTTCTGTACACGGGGAAACTGAGGCCCAGGGCTCAGGCAAACTGCCCACAGCCTCACAGCTTCAAGTGGTGGAGGCAGGATTTGAACCCAGGTAGTTGGGCTGCGGGACCTTCGTTCTCAGCAGCTGTAGGGACCCCAAGTCAAGCCGACACTGGCCCAGCCCTGTGGGGCTCAGGCGCCGCCCCCGCCAGGACAGCCTCGGGACGGGCCATGTGGACACGGCTTCTACATGAGTAGTTGCAGGGGCAGCAAACCCTTTCCGCACAAGATCAGACAGTAAATAGTTTGGGCTTTGCAGGCCACATATTTGTTTTTGTTCTTGCTTTTTACAACTCTGAAAACGTACAATGTAAAAACCGTCCTTGGTTTGCAGGCCATACAAAAACAGGCTGTGGGCTGGAGTTGACTAGCAAGAGGGCTGCTGTTTGCCGACCCCTCAAGTCGTGCCCCAGCTGAGTTTGTTGGGTTGGAGCGGGGAGCAGGCAGTGGGGAAGGAGAATTCCAGGCAGAGAGAGCTAAGTGGACAGGAGGCTGCTCGCCAGCGCACACAGCTCAGGGCTTCACGCAGAACTCAGAGCCCTGGCTTTTCTTGAAAAATCAGACCTGGGCTTCTGGGCCTGTGCTCCCCTCTGGCGACAGTCAGATGGGTATAGCCGGTCACAGTGCCCACTTTAGCCTCCCCAGGTCCCCCAGGCGCTTCTGGGCTGGCCTCATTCAGGGCCATGCCTGCTGGCCCATCAGTCTACTTCTGCACTAAGGAATCCAGGTTGCTGGAAGGGCCTGCATGCATTGAAGGGGATGGGAGGGTGGCAGGGCGCTGTGAATGCAATTAGATTCAGCCTCCAGGTGAGAACAGATGGGCGGGACAGGGGCAAGATGAGCAGGTGAAAGGCACCAGGGCCTTCAACGGCAGCGGGCGGGGGCAGACGGTGCAGCAGAGGGTTGGGGGGGATGGTGGCACCAGACTCCACACTTTTCCTTACAGCTCTTGCACCTCCCAGTTGTGTGACCCAGGACACATCTCTCTACCTCCGTGTGCCTCATCTTGAATCGGCACAGTAATGACAGCACCTGCCTCGTAGGGTAGCGTGAGGTGTAGTAAGCAAGTTAATATATTAACACACAGTGCTTGGCACATGCTAAGTGCTGGAGAGACACAGGGAACAGATCTGACCCATGGCCTGGAAAGGTCACTTTGGCACAGAATAGGCCCTAAAGAGTCACTGGGTCAATGGGCTGGAGCAGCTGTGGACAGAAGGGAAGAGAATCCAGTTTACAGGTGGTTGCAGAATCCCGTGAGGGGATCCAGGAGGCTGGAACTGGGGAAGAGCAGAAGGATCAACACGAGAGATTTGGACAGTGATTCTATCTACATTCAGCGTCTGACCACAGGCCTGGAGTTGAGTGCACACGTGGAGCCTCTGCACACACTGCACTGATTGAGTCTGGGAAGGTGGTCAGGGGAGACCTCCTTGCGCTGGAGCAGACGGGAAGGAAGAGAAGCCTCCAGCAGCAGGAAGGGCTGGAGAAAAGGCATTCTAGGCAGAAGGAACAGTGAGCGCCAAGTCCCTGGGGCAGCAGCCCACAGGGGATACTGGAGAGAGGGCTGAGGGAGAGGAGGACCGATGGGTAGGCCAGGGCCAGATTGCAGAGGATGTTCAAAGACTAGTATCAGGAGCTTGGGTCTTGTCTTAAAGACAGTGGGAGCCATTGAAGGGTTTTAAGTAGGAGAGTAATATGATCCAACTTGCCCTTTAAAAAGATTCCTCTAGCTGCCATGTGGGTGGATTTTAGGAGCAGACAGAAGCAGGTAACCGTGAGAGTGGTGGCTGTCGGAGGCATCTCGCTGGGGGATGATGGTAGCTCTGCCCAAGGTTCAAGCAGTGGCAGTGGAGAGAAGCGGCATTGGAGATAGCAGAGGTGGGGCTCGGTAACAGCTGGATGCAAGCAGGGAGAGGGATGTCTCCAGGGTGGATGGGGGTGGCAGGGGAGAGGCGGGTTTAGGGGAGCAGATGAGCAGCTGGCCGAGGCCCTGGCATGTCTTTCAGAAGTGGCAGTGTGTGGAGGACGCCACGGGGAAGCTGAAGCTGCATAAGTGCAAGGGCCCCATGCGGCTGGGCGGCAGCAGAGCCCTCTCCAACCTCGTGCCCAAGTACTACGGGCAGGGCAGCGAGGCCTGCACCTGTGACAGCGGGGACTACAAGCTCAGCCTGGCCGGACGCCGGAAAAAACTCTTCAAGAAGAGTAAGTGTCACAACCTGGCTGAGTGGGACAGGAGGAGAGAGACCATGCCTGGGGGGCCCCATTCATTCACTCCGACAGTTCCACAGAGACTGTCACTTTGCCAGGTGGTGATCTAGGGGCTGGGGACACAGCCACATCTCCTCACGAGCCACCCATTCTAGTGGGGAGCAGTAGTAATAAACAGATAAGGCCAGGCGCAATGGCTCACGCCTGTAATCCCAGTACTTTGGGAGTCCGAGGCAGGCAGATCACCTGAGGTCAGGAGCTCCAGACCAGCCTGGCCAACATGGTAAAACCCCGTCTAAAAATACAACAATTAGCCAGATGTGGTGGCTCACGCTTGTAATCCCAGCTACTTGGGAGGCTGAGGCATGAGAATCGCTTGAACCCAGGAGGCAGAGGCTGCAGTGACCCGAGATTGTGCCACTGCACTCCAGCCTGGGCAACAGAGCGAGATCCATCTCAAAAAAAAGGAAGAAACACACATACAAGGTTCTGTATTGATTGGCTGGTGAAAATGCTAGGACCAGAGGTTCACAGGAACCCAGCTCTGTGCTTCCCCTAGGAGCCATGTTTCAGCGTTCAATTAGTCAGTGTTTGTGGTGAGTTTATAGAACTACCCTGGGCTGGGCGCGGTGGCTCACACCTGTAATCCCAGCACTTTGAGAGGCCGAGGTGGACAGATCACTTGAGGTCAGGAGTTCAAGACCAGCCTGGCCAACATGGTGAAACCCCATCTCTACTAAAAATACAAAAAATTAGTTGGGCGTGTGGTGTGGCAGCAGAGTCGCTTGAACCCGGGAGCAGAGGTTGCAGATAGCTGAGATCACGCCATTGTGCTCCAGCCTGGGCGACAGAGTGAGACTCGGTCTCAAAAAAAATAAAAAATAAACTACCCTGAAGAACAAAAATAGACTATAGTTGAGTGGGGAAAAGCCTCACTCAGCTGAAGAAGTGTCTACACCTTCACACCTCATTCTCGGCAAGGGCCGAGGAGAGGACAGTCAGACAGAAGCCAGGGAGCAGGCGAAGTGGAGAGAGGGACTCTTCTAGACCCAGCCAGAAGGCTCAGCCGCCACCCTGGGCCATCGCTTCACCATTCTGAGGCTCAGCTCCCACCATCAAACAGGAAGAATGGTCCCTGCATGACTTTAAAACAAGAATGAGCCTGTGCCCTGAAAATGTGTGGAGGCGTCGGGGTCCGCCGGCTAGAAGTGTGCCCTCCAAGGCTGGGCAGCTTCCCACGTAGCCCATTTCTCTGGCCTAAGGACAGCCAAAGCCTAATGAGAGATTTTAGGTGTTGTTTTTAAAAAAAATTATGGTGAAATTCCCATAAAATTTATCATCTTAACCATTTTTAAGTATCCAGTAGTGTCAACTATATTCCCACTAGTACGCAACCTATCTGCTAAATGAACTCTTCATCTTGCAAAACTACAACTGTCCCCATTCAACGTTATCTCCCCATTCTCCCACCCCGCTCCCACCCCCACCCCGTTCTCCCACCCCGCTCTCCCACCCTGCTGTCACCCCATTCTCCCACCCGTTCTCAGCAACCACTCTTCTTCTCTATGAGCTTGACTGCTTTAGGGGCCTCATGTAAGTGGAATTGTACAGTATTTGTCCTTCTGTGGCTGGCTTATTTCTCTTCGCATAATGTTCTCCGGGTTCATCCACATGGTAGCCTGTGTTGGAATCTCCTTCCTGATCGGGCACAGTGGCTCACGCCTGTAATCCCAGCATTTCGGGAGGCCAAGGCAGGCGGATTGCCTGAGCTCAGAAGTTCGAGACCAGTCTGGCCAACAAGGTGAAACCCGTGTCTACTAAAAATACAAAAATTAGCCAGGCATGGTGGTGGGCGCCTGTAGTCCCTGCTACTCAGGAGGCTGAGGCACTAGAATGGCTTGAACCTGGGAGCGGGAGGTTGCAGTGAACTGAGATCATGCCACTTCACTCCAGCCTGGGTGACAGAGCAAGACTGTCTCAAAAAAAACAAAAAGTCTCCATTCTTTATAAGACGGATGATATTGTACCACAGACTAGTTAGAGATTGAGGTCTCTGACGGCAGGCGCAGTGATCTCCTCTGGTCCAGCCAGCCAGGCAGCAAATGTCTTCATCGTGGAGCAGATAAGTCTCTCTCCATAACAGCCCAGCCACTGCCTGAAACACCGTTTCCCAGCTGATGACCCTCCGTTACATTTCCTCACCAGCTGATTAGGAACTACTACATTAACTTTTCTAGCTGAACAGAATGATTGGTTTCCAGATTGGATTACACAGCCAGCATCTCCTTGCTTCAATATGTGGCACAGTCGATAATCTTTAAATAATACAAGATCTGGCAGGGAGAAATTCAGCTCTTTTCCCCTTATTAATGCTTAGAGGAAAGAAAAATACCTAAAAGTAGCTGAGAGTCAGCTCAGCCCTGGTCAGAATCCTCATGTGAGTGTAATGTCAGAGCCGGGACCTGCACCTCTCAACAGCCCTGTGAGCAGGGCAGGGGTGATCATCAGGGGATGATGGACAGGAAAGACTGGGTCACGTGGCTGATTTGGGGACTCCAGCCCCATCTCCTGCCTGGCATTCTTCCCCCTGCTAGAGTCTCCGACAAGACACTCTGTCCCTCTTTTCTGAGCAGTCAGCCTAGAGCAGGCTGAACTGGGGGCTTTCTGTCCCCCAGGGGACACTTGGCAATGTTTGGAGACAGTTTTGGCTGTCACAATTGTGTGTGATGGAGGGGTGCTGCTGGCGTCTAGTGAGCAGAGGCTATGGATGCGGCAAAACATCTTGCAACGCACAGGACGGCCCCCACCACAGAGTTTGATCTGACCCCAAAGTGTCCGCAGTGGTAAGGTTGGGAAGCCCTGGCCCACCTTGATCCACGGGGATCCTGGCTGTGGCGTGGGGAGGTTAGGCAGAGCCAGCCAGCTCACAGCAGAAGGGGGACCCAGGAACAGGAGAAGGGGACGAGGACTCGGGGGATGGGCCCAGCTGACTGGGGTTCATTCATTTCTTGAACTTTGTGCAAGACACTGAGATTAGAGTTGACCTGGAGAGACACGGACTTGGACCTCATGGATGAAACAAGATGTGAACAAGTGAACAAAGGGCCACTTCCGCTGGTGAAAAACGCATGAAGGAGACGCAGCGGTGGCGGGACTAGCAGAGAGGGGTGGCGGCTCCAGAATGGCGCTCAATGGACATTTAATGAGAACAAAGTACAGAAAGGAGCAGGTCTTGTGACCAGCCAGAGAGCAAGTGTTCTGAGGAGGAGGAAGATGGAGTACAAAGACCCTGTGCTCAGAATCAGGGCGGTGAGTCCCAGTCACAGAGAGGTGACCGGTGTGGCCGAGGGTGGTGAGAAGCACCATGGGCATGGGCAGCCACATCACACAGGCGGTCACCGGCGTGGAGAGGCAGGGAGTGGGCCCAGGGTTGTCACCTTAGGTGAGGACGTCAGCTGCAGGCAGAGTCCCCACCCCCTGCAGTAGCTGGTCCACACCAGCTCATCAGGCATGAATGCTTCACTAGTTCCGTTTCGTGCCATCCTCCAAGGAGCCTTTGTAGGGTAGGCACCATCCTGAGAAGTTACCCAAATCGCCGGGGCCACACATGTGCTCAGGGGTTTGCACCTGAGCCATCTGATTGCAGAGTCAAAGCTCTTGGCCGCCGGGTTATGAAGTCCTGTCCCATTCCCTGTTGGTGTGGCAGGAAGGGTACCTCCAGGACTCTGGACATGAACACAGAGTGATGGGGAGAGCAGGTAGTGTGGCTTCAGTCCAGGAAAGGATTCACACAGGGCTGGCATACCGCTTCTGTGAAGAGCCAGAGAGTAAAGGTCTTGGGCTTTGCAACTCAGCCCTGCGACTGCAGAGGTATAAGGGAATGCGAGCAGCTGTACCCAGTGAAACTGTATTCACAAAGACAGATGGAGGCTGGCCTGGGCCCTTAGGCCATGGTTTAGGGACCCCTGAATCTAGAGCTGGGAGATGGAGGGTGGAAAGAGGCAAAGCAGCTCACTTATGAGCCGACTGAGACAAAAGGAGTGGAGAGGACACGCTGGGTCTATTTCCTGAGCCTCTCGGGGCAGGACCTGCTTGGCACAGGGACCATCCTCGGCAATTTGTGTACTTGCATCGGGAGACTAAACCGAGGGAGAGAAGTGCCCAGGAGAAGGCTGCCCTGTGTCAGAAAAGGCCCAAGGCTCTGCTGGAGAGGGGAGGCCTTTCCCGGCCCCTCAGGATCCTTCGGCCCTTGTGACTCTGATGCAAGGTGTCTGAGAACTGAAAGATACAAAACATCCCCCAAGAGTGGGGGTGGCACCCGGGCCACGTGAGAAGGGAGCCCTTTCCTCCCTCCTTCCACTGCCTTCCGCCACCACCTGCCTCCAGCTGGTCCTCTTTGGTCACCATCTCGGGGTCACTTGGGATCCAACAAAACCTGGGTCACTAACTGGCTCCAGGCCCTTCTCTTTAAATGAGGCACATCTGGAGAAGGATGACAACTGCAGTGCGTGCCTGCTGGGGCCAGACATGTGTCAGGTGGGCAGAGGTTTTAAAACAGGAAGGAGTGGCGGGGGCTGTGGCCAACAGGGAAGACAGTGGGCAGCCAAAGGGGCCGCCCATCCCCGGCCCGTCCTGACCATATGGAACTGTGGGCCCGTGAGACATCTGTTTCCTTTCTGGAAGCTGGAAATCTGGATCCCTACATCACCGCCACCACCTCCCCTTTTTCTTTAATGTTACCAACTCAGATTTGTTTTTGAGACATAGAAGATACAGGCTACCTGGGGTGTCACTTCAGCCTGCACCCCTGAGTTTTCAGCGTCAGGGCGTATGCAAAAGCCCCCCTCAGCCTTGTTGCCGGCCCACCTGGGTGTAGCACCTGCCTACCACCTGGTGGGCAGCCTCCAGCTCTCTGGGACTCAAAGAAGCTAAGTGGCTTCCCCAGTCCCCGTCCATTTCTACCCAGAGACAGGCACTGCAGGGCCCCTTTTTCCCAGTTTAAATCAACATTTTTACATCCATGATACTTTTTTTCCTTTTTAATTGAGGTGAAGTTCAGATAACATCAAACTCACCATTTTTACAATTATATACAATGCAGAGGCATTTAATAGGTTCACAGTGTTGCACACCTCTACCTAGTTCCAAAACATTTCATCACCCCAAAAGGGAACCCCGTACCCACAAAGCAGTCACTCCTCACTACCCTCTCCCCCAGCCCCTGGCAATCACCAATCTTCTTTCTGCCGCTATAGATTTACCTATTCTGGGTAGTTCCTATAAATAGAATGTAACAATACGAGCCCGCTTTGTGTCTGGCTGGTTTCACTCCGCCTGCTTTTGACATTCATCCACGCTCTAGCGTGAATCAGAACCTCGCTCCTGGTTCTGGTCGCATATTCCGTTGTACAGATGATGTACCGCCATTTGTTTACCCGCAAGCAGCTCTCGCTTGAAATCCTCTTGAGTCAGTGGCTTCTTGGCTCCAGGACTTCCGTCTTGCCGGTGTGATCACCTCGAGGCCCTCCCCTGCGGTCCAGGATCTGCGAGCAGGCGGGTAGATTCCACGACCCCTCGAGTCGCAGGCAAAGCTGAGCCTCATGCTTGGAAGCCCGGCCCTATCTTGATGAAGGACCCACTGCCCTGGGAGCCTGGCCAGCCTTTCCTGCCTCCCTAACTCTGCCACTCCTCTAATGCCCACAGAGTACAAGGCCAGCTATGTCCGCAGTCGCTCCATCCGCTCAGTGGCCATCGAGGTGGACGGCAGGGTGTACCACGTAGGCCTGGGTGATGCCGCCCAGCCCCGAAACCTCACCAAGCGGCACTGGCCAGGGGCCCCTGAGGACCAAGATGACAAGGATGGTGGGGACTTCAGTGGCACTGGAGGCCTTCCCGACTACTCAGCCGCCAACCCCATTAAAGTGACACATCGGTGAGTGTCCAGGTGGAAGTCGAGGGTGAAGGGGACAGGACAGACCTCGGCAAAGGGCTTCCCACACCTCTTGGGCCCCTGAGGACCAAGATGACAAGGATGGTGGGGACTTCAGTGGCACTGGAGGCCTTCCCGACTATTCAGCCGCCAACCCCATTAAAGTGACACATCGGTGAGTGTCCAGGTGGAAGTCGAGGGTGAAGGGGACAGGACAGACCTCGGCAAGGGCTTCCCACACCTCTTGGGCACCTGGGCTGCTCCCCCTCCACCACCTCCGAGCCACACGTGATCCCTTCTCTCAAGCAGGTGCTACATCCTAGAGAACGACACAGTCCAGTGTGACCTGGACCTGTACAAGTCCCTGCAGGCCTGGAAAGACCACAAGCTGCACATCGACCACGAGGTGAGTGGAGAGCGGGAGAGGAGCATGCTCTCGGCCACCACGGGCCTGGCAGGACCCCCGGTTCACAGTGGGAGGGCAGTGAGGCCAGACCCAGGGAAGAGGCTGGAGAGGTGAAGTGAGGTCCCCACAGATTCCTCAACGCGGGGATAGGTGTCAGTCCCAGCATGAGACAGATAGCTTCCTGCCCAGGCCGTCTGAGGGACGATGGCTTAGCCACGTTGTCCCCCTTTTGACTTACAAGAAGTCTACGCTACAGGAGGCCTTTCATCAAACCCAGGGGAGACACTGGAGGCCTCAGTGGGCTCAGCGGGTTCCTGCGCAGGCCAGGCCGGAAAAATGACTCGGTTCCCTTGCAAGGGCTGGCTGGAGGAGAAGGCGGGCTTCCTTCAGGCAGAACAAGTACCTCCTCCCCACCCAGACATGCCGGTGCTTGCCCTGGGGCCCGGGGAGTGCAGGCTGCCGCTGCTGAGCACAGACACGGCAGCGTGGGGGCAGTCACCAGGCCAAGTCTTTGTTGTCCAGCCTTGAAGGTTTCAAGGCCTCCTCTTCTGCCCCTCCCTCAGATTGAAACCCTGCAGAACAAAATTAAGAACCTGAGGGAAGTCCGAGGTCACCTGAAGAAAAAGCGGCCAGAAGAATGTGACTGTCACAAAATCAGGTGAGGCAGTAGCAAAGGGACCTCCCTAAGACCCCACTCTCCTACAGGACAGTTCAGTTCATCCCCTCTCGTGATTGACCCCTTTCATTTTTTATTTTTATCTTTATCTTCTCCCCTCATGGCATTAAAAAAATCCGTAATTTACCTCCCTGTTGTCAGCCAGTGTGGCACACGGACCTGCTCCTCAGCCAGGCTGGCGCCCAGATTCCAGTACTGCTAGCAAGAGACCCGTGCTGGCTGCGCAGAGCCGGCTCCAGGCCGGAAAAGTGCCTCTGCCGATTGCCCTTTCAGAAATCCCCCATGTGGTTTGAGGTCCATGTTCCCGGCTTAGGGGTCCCCTGGCCCAAAGGACTGAACTCTAGAACAGCTCTAATAGAACATTCTGTGCTGACGGAAATGGGCTATATCTGCACTACACCACACGTGGCTGGTGCATACTTAAAATTTTGGCTAGTGTCACTAAGGAGCCAAATTTTTTATTTTGCTTAATTCAAATTGAAGTAGCCACCTGTGGCCAGTGGCTACCATACTGGACAGCACAGCTGTAGAAGCCCTGCTGTCTTTCCAGAAAGTGTTGCAAAACACAGGCTTCCCTGTGTTGACCCCGACCAAGTGTGAGTAGGCAGGGTGGTGAGGGAACCAACCTCAAGATGCTGAGGCTTTGACATGTAAAATTAACCATCAAAAAAGAAAGGAAAAAGGATGCTGAGGCTGATGCACCTAAAGCCAGGCCCAGCTTCTAGTCGTGGCTAAATTACAATTAACCCAACCTGCTAAAGTCTAGCAAAAGTCCAGGCAGAGTCCTGGCTCATGCTTGGAGAAAGAAGCCACTCAGGCAGGCACCTGCTGCCCTGAGGATAGGGTCATGCCCTACCCACCACCACCCCAGAAGGAGGGACAGGGGTGGGGCAGCAGCAACACATGGGAGTCCCAGAAATCACAGCTTGCACCTGCCAGCGGAGCCCTCTGAGCCACTCCTGAAGCCTGGGGCTGGGGGGGTCTGTTACAGCTACCACACCCAGCACAAAGGCCGCCTCAAGCACAGAGGCTCCAGTCTGCATCCTTTCAGGTAAGAGCAGCTTGAGGTCCTGGGGAAGAGATGCAGAGGCCTGCATGAGGAGGTGGCCCTCCCTTAAGCTAAAACTCAGAAGAAAAGGAAAGAAGTCCAGGCCCTTCCCTGGGAAGTCCACGGTAGCCCTCGAAGAGGCCTTACTTCCCAATCAACACTGAGCGGGCCTCCGACGCCCCCTTGTGGCTAAATGGGGTTACCGCAACTCCACCAAGCAGGGCAGGACACAGGAAGGAGGGGAAAGGGGTGTCAACAGGAGTCCCAGTAGCTGCCTGGTTCTGTCCCCAGCTTGTGCCCCCTTGGGAGTTAAAGTAGAATGACAAGACCCAGGTTCTGGTCCCGGCTCTGCCTTGGAGCAGCACTGGGACTTGGGACCCTGAATTGCTATGCCCATGGCTCTCTGTTGGAGAAGCCTCAGCGAAGCCCTTAGGTGGACAGGAAGAGCAGAGACATGGGGTCACTGATCCCTCAGAGGCCCAAGGTGTGTGTGGCCCTCTGCGCCCATAGGAAGGGCCTGCAAGAGAAGGACAAGGTGTGGCTGTTGCGGGAGCAGAAGCGCAAGAAGAAACTCCGCAAGCTGCTCAAGCGCCTGCAGAACAACGACACGTGCAGCATGCCAGGCCTCACGTGCTTCACCCACGACAACCAGCACTGGCAGACGGCGCCTTTCTGGACACGTGAGCAAGCCCAGGGCAGGGGTGGACAGGCTGAGGCCCAGGGGTTCAAGAAACTTCTCCACTTAGTGACCCAGACCTCTCTCAGAAAGGGGGTCCCCAACACCAGGGGTCCACGGTGCTCGGGACAGCCTCTTGGCATTTGACGAACTGGTTTTAGGGGCTGTCCCTGACAGGAATCACTGTTGGCAGATGGGGCCTCCTCCCGCAGGCACTCAGGACATGCTCTCTCTTCCTTGGCAGTGGGGCCTTTCTGTGCCTGCACCAGCGCCAACAATAACACGTACTGGTGCATGAGGACCATCAATGAGACTCACAATTTCCTCTTCTGTGAATTTGCAACTGGCTTCCTAGAGTACTTTGATCTCAACACAGACCCCTACCAGGTACAGGCAACCCGAGCTAGAGGGATGGGGGTGTGGGGTACACCAGTGCTGCCAGGTAGGCCCCCCCCAACCTCAGGGAAGTGATGACAAATTGTCCAAGTCCCACTGAGTCCCTGAGCCGGTGGGAGTAAGTTGTGAAGCTGCTGAGATTGGGGGTTCTGTGTTCAATCAGCCTTTTTTGCCTCCATCACCCTGCTTTTTGCCTCCATCACCCTGCGTGTGTAATATATATGGCTTCTTCCCTCTAACTTAACATGCAGCATGCAACCAGGTTTTGCCGGAACTTGTGAAGACTCCTAACACTGTCAGGCTGTAGGATCAAGCCAAATATCACCCACTGCAGGGCCTACACGGACCGCGCAGCTAATATAACAGTAACACACTGCACCAAGCACTCTGCTAAGTGCTTCCGTACAGTAAGCCATCTAAACACACATGCGACTGAAGTGGCCCAGGACCACACAAGACCAAAAGGAGCAGTGGCATGTCTGGTCATCGGAACATGTGGGCCCTTGTACAGGGACAGTCACTACTGAGCTCCAGCACTAGAGCTTTCCTGTACTGTGGCCTTGGTATTGCCCAGGCTTTGACCTTTCAAGAAAAGCCTGAAATAATTTAAATGAAATCTGATGTTTAAATGTCAGCAGCACAAATGCTTTAATTACTATATAGGTGTGCAGTCTTTCTCCTTAGATAGGTTCACCCTCATACTTTACCAAAGGGGTAGGTTAAGTCCCTCACCGGTAGCTCCCAGACTACACAAGAACCCAGGCCACTTACCCGTCCTTTCATCAAATGGCTGCTTTGCAATCAGGAGGAGCTGAGGGCCCCTGAATGAAGGCTGCTGATAAAACCAAGACTTGGAAGGCTTTCTTTCCAAGCTTGGGAAGTTTCCTGACCAGTGGCTGCAGAACTCCAACGTTAAATACACAGACGTGGTTTTTATTCTCCTGAGTTTTCACTCTCATGAAGAGTGAACCTGGTGGGACTTGAAGCCAAAAAGTCACCTAACTCTTCCAAACGCTGGCTCTTGCAGAAGTTGGAGTAAACAGGTCACCAGCCCCTAGCACCTTCCACCCGCCACCTGCCTGAAATATGTCCCCTGGTTGGTAGAAGGGCAGGGCGAGAGTCCCTGTACTTACCTTGTTGACAGACTACCTTTTTTGCAACCAGCTGATGAATGCAGTGAACACACTGGACAGGGATGTCCTCAACCAGCTACACGTACAGCTCATGGAGCTGAGGAGCTGCAAGGGTTACAAGCAGTGTAACCCCCGGACTCGAAACATGGACCTGGGTGAGTAGGCACCCCAACGTGGGGCCCTTGGACAGCAGGGTAACCAAAGGAAGGGACTCAGGAGGTGGTGTCTACCCCAAGAATGAGCCTGAAATCACCAGGCTTTGGGAGGTGATACAGTTCCAGACGAGTCATGGGAGCCCCTGTCCATAGCAGGCAGATGACCTTTAACAAGCTGTGATTCCTGAGAGAGGAACACCTGCACCAACTGCCCAGGAAACACACGGAATTCCGTCTCATTTCATTGTCCTCCCTTTTGTCCACTCATGCATTCAACAAACACTTCCTGAGAACTTACACCTGAAACCATGTTGACTAAAGATGACCCCATCCTCGCTGACTTGTGTGGAGCCAGTGTTGTCCTAAGAAGAGCAGTCCACAGCAGGAGGCCTCTTGCTTGTATGGAAAGGGTAAAACTGGATGGTAGAATCCAGTGTGACTGGGGAAGGGCACTGCTAAATAAAACCAGGGTCAGACCTCTGAACTGAGTCCTGAAAAGTAGGATGCAATCGACCACTGAGAAAACGTGGAGGGCTGGCGCTCCAGGAAGCTTAAAGTGTGAGGAGCAGAAAGCAGCTCAGGGGGTGCAGCCAACACAACTGAGGCCAGTGGAGAGTGGCGGGAGGGCATCGGGCCACCCTGTGTGGGGCTTCCTAGGCCACGGTAGAGTTTAGATTTCATTTGTGGTGTATCAGGAAGCCAATGGAGGGTTTTAACCTGGGCACCGACATTTGCTAGGTGGAGAATGGGACTTTATGGGAGAAAACAGCGAAGATGGCCCAGTTATCCAGGGAGAAATGGTGGTGGCTTGGACTAGAGGTGGGAGCAGTAAAGATGATGGATTTCAGATTCAGGTGGTGAAGCCCCCAGACAACATGGTGATGGGAGGTGCGGGATTAGGAGTCCCAGGTAAATCCTGAGTTTTGTTTGGGACAGGACAAAATCTGCAGTTTTAAGTTTAGAATGCCAACCAGATAGATATTTTAAGATGAAAAAAGCTAAACAGGCATGGTTGCTCATGCCTATGATTCCAGGGCTTTGGAAGGCTGAGGTGGGAGGAGACTTGAGCCCAGGAGTTCAAGGTTACAGTGAGCTATGATAGCACCACTGCACTCCAGCCTGGGAGACAGAGCTGTCGCCCCATCTCTAAAAATAAAAAAAATATATTAAAAAAAGAAAACAAAGCTAAAAGAAAAATGAAGTTCACTTACTAGTGAGAGAGAGTGGCCTAAAAAAAACCTTTGGTATTTAAGGTCCCTTGGGGAAGGGACTGTGTCTAGGAGGATGCCTAGAGTTCATGTCAGGAAAATGGCTACACAGCTTAGGAGGAATTCAGACGCTACCGTCGGCTCTAGTTATGAAGAGGGAAGAGCTAATGTGTTTACACAAGATGTTGCACTAATACTTCTGGTCAGGAGCCTGATATGATCAGAATTTTCACTAGTAGCTTCCTAATCTCTGCCACTCAAGTGCTGCTACTCTTGTGATCAAAGTGCAATGACATATTAGTCACTGTGTGCCAGGCTCTGTGCTGAGCATTTTACATGTGTTAGCTGATAAGCTTTGAGGTGAATCTTATCCTCATTTTATGGAGGAGTAAGGTGAACAAGGTGGGCTGACCCCGGAGCCCACGCACTTGATCCTGCCACATCCTCGGGAAAACTTCCCCAGAGCCCAAAGGGGAACTCCCTCCTGCACTTGGTCAGGGCTCTTGGCTTTCTGTCCTCTGGAGCACAGATGTTCATGCCTGCATCTACCTCCCTCACCATAACTAAGGTCAGCGCTGAATGAAGCCATCAGGGTCCTGAAACTGATCATGGTGACACTGGATTTTAGGCAATCTACAAGGCTATCTAGGAGACTTAGGGCAGGTTCCCCTCATAATTCAGTCTACCCCTCATAATTCAGTCTACTCTGAGTAGGGAACACTATCAGCATCATGGGATTGTGACAAAAAAGCATAAGATGGTTTTCTGGTGTGTTGGGGTTGTTTTGCCTAAACTATCTGCTCCTGTTTTGTTTTTCATTTCTCCTTCATTTAGGACTTAAAGATGGAGGAAGCTATGAGCAATACAGGTATTTCGTTTTATTATTAAAGCCTAAACAAAGTTCTCCTATCTTGGCCCATCCTTCAGTCTCATCTCTGTGAGTCTGCACCTGTTATCTTGAGAAACTGCCCTTCCCTCTGGTCTGCCCGAGACCAGGATCACCCACCAAAGATAGGTGTCACCTAGGAGACCTTCTTTGTATAGTTCTTTGGGGACTTTTTCTTTCTTGGTGATGGTTAACATTCATTCTCCTTTGACACTTGAAAACTTAGGCAGTTTCAGCGTCGAAAGTGGCCAGAAATGAAGAGACCTTCTTCCAAATCACTGTGAGTTGAGGAACCAGCTTACAAATAGAAATCTGGTTCTGACCGCTTCATTTTGCCAATGCTATTCTATTTGCATGCCATTTCTTACATACCACCCTTTGTTTGTTCTCATGATGAGGGTGGGGGGGAAGTACTAATGCACATCTTTCCCTAAGAAAACACTTGAATCCATTTCATGTTTTAGATTAATGCCTTGTCCAGTACACTGCTGTTCTCGCTATAATCTGTGCTTGGTAAACTTGAGCTATTACTTAGAGGTTGAGAAGCATTTAAATATTACAAATTGCTAGGCATCTTGAAGGCTGTGGCTACAAAAGTGCTAACTGATATACAACATCAGTAGTAGGATGGCCTCATTAAATGGTTTCCAAAAAGCCCATGCTACAAACTCTCACTCCAGTGCCATTGGAGGCTGACAGGGACTAAGAGACTGGCAACCTGTAAAGTTCACCTCTATTCTAAAGGGAGCAGGCCAGTTTGCTCCCTGCAGGAATGGGCTGAGGTTCGCCAGATTTTCTCATTCGTCTACCAAATCCAAAAATGCAAGTATGTGTGAGAATTCTTTATCATTATCATCTAATTTGACATTAAGTTAACCATGTGGGCAAATTATCGCCCTTGGTGAACTGCCACTTGCAACCTCTGGTCTACTCATTTCTTCCTTTATATGCATATAAACCTGTGTGGCTTTAATAGGACATTAGTAACAGGTCACCTAAGCCTTTCTTCGGTGCTTCTAGAATTAAGGTACAGAATCTTTACATATCACAATCTCCTTAGCCACTATTCTGTCCAGATCCTTAAATGCCATCCTTGCCAGGCATTGGGTGTATAAGTAAACAAAAAATTGAGGTGACTAGGTGGTGGCAATCCCGTTCTAAGTAACCTAGAAATATTCATTCTCAGCAGCCTTGAAGCAAAGCTTCCTCAGCTATAGGACCGATTAGGAAGTCATGATAAAGACCATGATAGCTAAGTGCTAAGATGAGTTTGTTTTGTTCTTTAGGGGACAACTGTGGGAAGGCTGGGAAGGTTAAGAAACAACAGAGGTGGACCTCCAAAAACATAGAGGCATCACCTGACTGCACAGGCAATGAAAAACCATGTGGGTGATTTCCAGCAGACCTGTGGTATTGGCCAGGAGGCCTGAGAAAGCAAGCACGCACTCTCAGTCAACATGACAGATTCTGGAGGATAACCAGCAGGAGCAGAGATAACTTCAGGAAGTCCATTTTTGCCCCTGCTTTTGCTTTGGATTATACCTCACCAGCTGCACAAAATGCATTTTTTCGTATCAAAAAGTCACCACTAACCCTCCCCCAGAAGCTCACAAAGGAAAACGGAGAGAGCGAGCGAGAGAGATTTCCTTGGAAATTTCTCCCAAGGGCGAAAGTCATTGGAATTTTTAAATCATAGGGGAAAAGCAGTCCTGTTCTAAATCCTCTTATTCTTTTGGTTTGTCACAAAGAAGGAACTAAGAAGCAGGACAGAGGCAACGTGGAGAGGCTGAAAACAGTGCAGAGACGTTTGACAATGAGTCAGTAGCACAAAAGAGATGACATTTACCTAGCACTATAAACCCTGGTTGCCTCTGAAGAAACTGCCTTCATTGTATATATGTGACTATTTACATGTAATCAACATGGGAACTTTTAGGGGAACCTAATAAGAAATCCCAATTTTCAGGAGTGGTGGTGTCAATAAACGCTCTGTGGCCAGTGTAAAAGAAAATCCCTCGCAGTTGTGGACATTTCTGTTCCTGTCCAGATACCATTTCTCCTAGTATTTCTTTGTTATGTCCCAGAACTGATGTTTTTTTTTTAAGGTACTGAAAAGAAATGAAGTTGATGTATGTCCCAAGTTTTGATGAAACTGTATTTGTAAAAAAAATTTTGTAGTTTAAGTATTGTCATACAGTGTTCAAAACCCCAGCCAATGACCAGCAGTTGGTATGAAGAACCTTTGACATTTTGTAAAAGGCCATTTCTTGGGAGTTTTTTGGTGTGTCTGTTTTTTTAAAGTATTCAAGATACTACCAGTCAACATCTTTTTGGAAGAAAATGCCTTGGGTTTAGAAGATTTTCTTAAAAGGGGAGTAGATGGTTGTAGATTGACTAAAAAGTCTACCATACTTCAAGGGACTACAGGTAAGTCTCATAGTATACCAGCTTTGGTACTTCATTTTTTAAAAAAGTATTAATCAATTGCAAAGAAATTCGCCTTGGCCAACCCTTCTTTGTGTATCAGGTAGTCTAACCTGATACAAGTAGTTGACAGATTTCAACTATCAATCACCAGTCCAACCCATTTCTCATTTAACAGATGACGGAGATAATCCCTAAAAGCACCCACATTTGTTTCAATGCCCCAAACAGGCCAAGGCTCCCTAGCAACTCCCTAGTGGCGTTTTTTAACTTCTCAGAAACTGTTACCATTATTTGAAATAGGCTTCCTTAACCTCCTTTACCCTTAACCCAACAGGGATTTAAAAAAAAAAAAAAAAAAAAAAAACTCTTTAGGCTCCAATTTTAAATAGAAACCTTTATTTACAATGACATCCAAAATGGTCAGCAAAGCAGTCACAGCTCACCATCCCCCATAAGTCATTTCATGT
Organism: Homo sapiens; assembly: GCF_000001405.40. NCBI lineage: Eukaryota > Metazoa > Chordata > Mammalia > Primates > Hominidae > Homo > Homo sapiens. The sequence continues at coordinate 47,656,784 of NC_000020.11, read as the reverse complement.
GGTTTCAATTCTTTGCAAGATAAAGAATAATTTCTATTTTTTTAAGCAACATAATGTAAACTTGATTGAAACTGAATTCATTCTCAAGAGTATAAGTCAATTCCTGAGAATTTAAATATTGCTCTCATATTTTATTCTTCGAAACTCCATATATTAGAAAGGAAGAGAGAAAACACCCTGCTCGTTTATTAACAGTGTGCCTTGGAGTTGAAAACAATAAATCAATCCTTGAGGTTTTGCTCCTAGGAACCTAATTGTGAACAAAACTCACAGCTTCTGCAAATAAAAAGGGAACTGGGCAGGCATACATGTAACTGGCAATCCATTCTGTTTACTTTCAGCTGCACCCACCTCTGGATCAAAGAACTTCTAGGACATCAAGCCAATTATCTTCTGTAATACCCTACCCCTAATATAGATACCCCCAACTCACCTCAGATATTAAATACTGATAACTAAGTAGCACTGTTATTGATATTTACACCTTTCAATCCAGATGCAGTTTAGAAAAGTGGCATCATAATATGAACATTAACAATGTAACTTCCGTTTATTTTTTAAAGGAAGAAACATGTATCTCCTTTATATCATTCTGATCTTTATAAAATATATATATTTTATTTATATATCTTTGGATTCAGCAAAAAAAAAAAAAAAAAGTAGGTACTGGAAATATCCCACATTCTAAAAGCAGATGAAAAGATTATACTGTTCACCCAACAGATACCAAGGTTTGAAAAAATGGGGGGTGCTGGGGTGTGAGGAGAGGTAGACAGCAGGAGTACAAAGAATTACCTAAAAAAGATAAAGGGCAATACAGGTAAAAACAAATTATCTCAAAGACTGCACCTATTAAAAGAAATCTTGAGTTTGCACCAAATGAACAAGTAGAAAATATAAAAACTTATAATAAACTTCATTTTTCTACTATATAAAAAAGGGAGTGCTGCCTTCCAGTTAGCCTGGAGCCAGGTCTGAGGAAAGGATTGCAAAAAAATTTATTTTTTTTTTGTTTTTAATAATTTTTTTAAAGTCAAGAAAGATAAGAGCACCATTCTATTTCTCCCCACACACATAACTTAAAGAAGGGTCAGATACAATTGAGCTGAAAAAGAGACAGACTGACCTGGTTCTTCCTCTGTCTCCAAACAGGAGAGTATACTATCTGAAAAGCACAGGCCACTACAATGGAAGTTTTCGGATTTACAATCTTTCTTAGATATATTTTGAACTTGGTAGGGGAAAGAGGGCAAACTCATAATTGTCTATACTGCTTTGAAAATAAGATCCACTCTGGTGGTGGGTCTGGAAATAATCAGGATTCACTTACTCGTAAGCATATCAAAGATATTAAATGATCTTACCTTCAGAGACATCTAGAAAGATTGGCTAAATGTGTGAAATTCTTAAAATTAACTGGCTCTCAGTTATTGCTAGAAAATGATACCAAGGCTAGCAGAGACCTCTGAAATTCACAGACATTCAGAAACCCAATTCCGTCAACTATTTGAACCAAATGAATTAACCCAGATAAAGGGAATTAAACTTGATTTTTCCCTTCCTCCCAACTGACTAAAACAGGTGTCAAAGAGAGGCAACAGCAGAAAAGTGGTAGGGGGCAGAAGAGGGAGGGGTTTAAAAGGTGCTCAGTTAGACTGTGGCTCTGAATCACAGTAAAACTGGCTGTTCTGGGTACTGAGTTACTTAAGAAATAACTGACACTATTCTAATCCACAGGGACATAATGAAAGCATCACATTAGTAGAATGAGGGGACAGCTGAGCAGACACCAGAAACCACACCAAGGATTCTACTCGAGATCTCAATATGGGATTCAGGTCTTAGCAACCAAAATCTGAAAACGCTCCTAAAGGGGATGAAAAGGTAACATAATTAAACATACACACACACACACACACATACACACACACACACAGCCCATGAATTGCTATTATTTCGGACTGCTTAAAATCCAAAAGATTCTCTTCAAATTGCTCGTTTTTTTAAATTCCTGATTTTTTTTTAAGTTTATTTCCCCATATCTATTCTTTCCCCCCAAATTAACAAAGTGCTTAGTTCTGGTAGAGGAATTTTTAAAAAATTAAAATGCCTACATCTAAACAAATAATCTCTTTAAAAAGCATTTAGATTAAGAGATTGAAAAGAGCGAGGCATCTAAGGCTGGGGGGTGGGGAAGGAAAAGCTGTGGAGCACTACCCCTCCCCCAGGCCACAAAAGTCAAGGGATGTCTCTTCCACTGGTAGCCTCACCACACAGCTTACTGAAATCAACAATGTTAAATATTTAGCTTCACAAACTCTGTAAAAATGAGTTGTTGTGACCTACAAAAAAAGGTATATACATATTTTACATAATACAATATCTTAAAGGTCATATTTACAAAAAAATCTATTCACAGAAACACTGCGAGATTCTGATTCAGAATGCAGTACCTGGCCTTGGGTTTTCAGAAGTTTATTTTTAAAAAGCATTATTGCTCTACCATATAGGCAAAGGGTGACACCAGTACTTTAAAAAAAAAAATCATAGTTCTTGTCTAACACGTAAGTGTAGGCAAAAACCAGGAATGTGTTTCACTATTCCCTCAAGACCTCAAGAATATTGCATTTATCCATTCTTTTTAAATAAAGTGCACTCAGCTGCACATTAGCATGTGAAAAGTTTGCTACTGCTGCGATTAAATACTGTCATCTCATTTCCTTTCTGCAAAGCCATTTGGACATCCATGACAGTTCCTGGAGGTGAAGTATTACAGGACATGAATGGCAAATGAAAACCTTCATTAGGAGAAAGCCTAGGGCAAATAATAGGGACAGAGCAACTCAACACCATTAGTAAAGGACAATTCAGAATCACCAATTCCACTGGACAAAGGGTCAACACAGAACTACTACACCTGAAGGCTGGGACTATGCTCTTTGTCCAATACTGCAACTAGAGAAACCAGATATTCTAATCTCTCTTGATTCTTCCAATGTTCTCTGGCCCACCTACGTGTATTTAAGAGATTTTGGCTAGCAAGGCAGAAAAAAGTGACACAAAAGTTTTATGATCAGTAACACTCCATGTCTCCAGAATTATATCCCTAGGAGGTGGAATGCCAAAAAACATTTCTGTTTTGAACACCATGATACACAGCAGAAGGAGGGGGGAAAAACACGTAGATATTGCCCTTCGGCTTAAAATCCAGTCCTGCTCAAATGACATCACTTAAAATACCCTTGATGGAGCTCAAAGCTGGTCCTTTCTTCCAAGATGGATGCCTGGAACAATGATTCCTTCCCAATAATCCTAGTGCAGTGTCATTTGTACAGTGGTTTCCTTAAGAGGTCCTGGTGCAGAGATGTCAGCAGTATTTCTGTCAGCAACCAGGAAAAAAAAAAAAAAAAAAAAAATGAGTAAAACACATGCTTTGCACAACAAAAAAATACCCATGTCCACATTCATGGCTTACAGTGCAGCTCTGGCTGAGTGATTCAGGTTCCTGAGATCCCATCTTACAATGCAGCTCTGGCTTACCAAAAGTATCTAATGGCCCAATGCCTTCAAACCAAGTTTTTTCAATTACTATATTTTAAGTTATACATTCAAGTTAAAATATACCTAGGACATTCTGATTATAGCCTAGGCTTTAGTTCTATCCAGAGAACAAGAAAAACTTTTTGAAAAAGGTAAGGAATCGATCCCATACCTGATCAGGACCCATAGGCATGCCAGACATGGGCATGGGGTTCATGTTCATCTGTCCCATGTGACCACTGCTGCCATTCATGTGCACCATACTATACACTGCAGGATTCCCCTGGTGGGCAAACTGCTGCTGGGAAAAGGAGCTGTAAGTAAACAAATGGTAATATTACCTCTGGAAGTCACTTTAGCGACAAAGGGCATGCCCACAGAAATTACTACAATTGTGTCAAACATTGCTATACTTAAGCTGGGAATGTTAGAGAAAACTCCCTGACAGCCTGTGATCCATTTTTCACAGCTTTCTGTACTAGACACCCTAATAGATATGTGCGTGCTTGAAGGACTCTCAAAATGGACAAGCCAAATCACACCTTCTAATATGAACCCAGTCCTTTCAACCTCTCCATCCAAAAAGGCTTGACTGAAAAATACATTAAGTTCTTGGACTTCTGGGACTAGGATGTGACTAACTTTATAAGTCACTGTTCTTTACCTGTTCCTGGCCAAATTTCCTGATGGCCAGCCCTTCATTTCTGAGGACTGATAGATGGATGCAGCCTGCGGGTGTTGCATCATGGGATTCTGGGAGGGACCCATTCTTGACGACATCATTGCATTGGGAGGACTAGACACTCGACCAAAGGCTGGATCTGGTTGTTGTCCCATTCCTTACAAAAATAAAACAGAAGAAATAAAAATGCCCAAATGCCTTCTCCTTAGAATATCAGATTTCTGTAGTAATTTTGTTTTTTTTTTAAAGGAGGTGGGGGTGGAGGGAAGTGATAAGTGTAAGATACAGAGTGCTATAAGATGCTGCCCCCCCAGGTATTCTAGATTCTCACCAAGATGACGACTAGAGTAACAGGCTTACTACAGAAAGGAGCACCATCTGGATCACTGAAAGATCAGTTGCTTTAATGGGTTTCCTGTAGAAAAGGGACTCCGTATCACTCAACTCACATCACTCCATCCTTCTTTAAAGGGCAGGGGAGTTATAATCCTCAGATGACAGGGCTCCCCAATAGACACCTTTATTCCCACCATGTTCCTGGAACCTCTCAAAGGCTGAAATGAAGAGGTATCTGCATCACTGTAATAATAAATCCAGGGCCGGGCACGGTGACTCACGCCTGTAATCCCAGCACTTTGGGAGGCCGATGCAGGCAGATCACGAGGTCAGGAGATCGAGACCATCCTGGCTAACACAGTGAAACCCCGTCTCTATTAAAAATTTAAAAAAAAAAACAGCCGGGGGTGGTGGAATGCACCTGTAGTCCCAGCTACTCAGGGCTGAGGCAGGAGAATCACTTGAACCCGGGAGGCAGAGGTTGCAGTGAGCCAAGATCGCACCACTGCACTCCAACCTGGGTGACAGAGCAAGACCCCCATCTCAAAAAAAAAATAATAAATCCAAGTCACCAAGAAAATCAACTTAAAAGCCCACAAAGTGCATTCCTCTCACTGACTTGACCAAGCATTCAGAGATTAGAGAGTTCTACTATACTGGAACATACAAGAAGGGGCAAGGGGACAACTTTGCAGTGTTTCTTCCAGAGTTTGGGGACTCTTAATGAGTGGGACTGAAAAAAATATTCAACTATGACAGGATACACCTGTCTCAATTACCTGTGTGCTGCAGCATTTTTGTTTTCCAATCATTTAAATTAATTTGGTTTTCCTTGTGAAGTAAAGAGGGAGTGAATCGTGTTTTTGTCTTTCATGTGCAATAAATGTAATGAAGCTTATGTCCTTAGTAATGTTAACTTGGGGAAGGCACATTTTCATTGTCAGATTTACCATAATTTGGTTGATATGGAAACTGTTGCGGAGGAGCTTGTGGCATTGTGGGTCCTGCCAAAAGCCCATCCATGCTGGGGGAAGCAGTCACATTAGGAGGTGGGCTGAAGGCCTGGGTTTGCTGCTGTTGCTGCTGTTGCTGTTGCTGTTGCTGTTGCTGCTGCTGCTGCTGCTGCTGCTGCTGTTGCTGCTGCTGCTGCTGCTGCATCATCATAGCCACCCTCTGTTGTCGGAAGTGATGACTTAGCAGCTCTCTGCTGCGTTGGGCGACCATTTGAGCATTAAGAAAACCCTGCTAATACCCAAGAAAGAGTGCAATTACATATATATAGCAAGAACCTGCCAGTTGCATACATATAGTACCCCCACAATACACCAGGTATAAGACAGAAAACACCCAGGGCCTTCTTTTTTTTAACAGGGTCTCACTCTGTCGCCCAGGCTGGAGCGCAGTGGCACAATCTCGCCTCACAGCAACCTTCGTCTCCCAGGTTCAAGTGAGTCTTCTGCCTCAGCCTCCCAAGTAGCTGGGATTACAGGCGTGCACCACCACTCTGGCTAATTTTTGTATTTTTAGTAGAGATAGTGCTTCACCATGTTAGCCAGGCTGGTCTCAAACTCCTAACCTCAGGTGATCCGCCCACCTCGGCCTCCCGAAGTGCTTAAATTACAGGTGTGAGCCACTGTGCCGGCCAAAACATACAATTCTTCACATAAAAGCTTTCTGACCTGGTGCAGTGGCTTACGCCTGTAATCCCAGCACTTTGGGAGGCCAAGGTGGGCGGATCACTTGAGGTCAGGAGTTCGAGACCAGCCTGGCCAAAATGGTGAAACCCTGTCTCTACTAAAAATACCAAAACTAGCCAGCCTTGGTGATGAGCACCTGTAATCCCAGCTACTCAGGAGGCTGAGGCAGGAAAATCCCTTAAACCCAGGGAATTGACGCTGCAGTGAGCCGAGATCGTGCCACTGTACTCCAGCCTGGGCAACAGTGACTCTCAAAAAAAAAAAAAAAAAGCTTTCTGGCTATTGCAAGGGGAGGGAGGGAGAACTGAAGAAGAGGGACCTGAAAATTATTTGGGGTTAAAAGACAAAAGACAACACACTGTCAAGCTTTAACATGACTAGAAACATTCCACAAAGTAAGAAAACATTTAGGGGTGGAATCTGAGGACAAATTTTTCAGGAACTATGAAAGACAATTACAGGAAAATGAGGATTCAGTGTGTTGGGGTGGTGGAGGGCTGAAACATGAAGCCAAAAAAAATAAGATGGGGTTATACTCAGATAAGCAGGGGTCCACCTCAGAAAATCTTGAACTTTCTTTAAACTTTCAGAAAGAGGTAAGGGGCAAGCAGAAGCTATCTGGAGGTTCAGAAGGTGACATAACTGAAGTACAACAAGGAAGCTGATTTCAGCTCTACTAGCTACGGGTCATCTCCAAAAAGCAAGCTTTTATCATCTTTCTGTAGGACATTCTAGCTCAGCTTCCACAAGATGTTTTATTATCAAGAAAATGTAAATATCAGTACTTCCAAGTAGGCATAAGACAATAAAAATCGAGCATTTCACAGTTGCTTTTTAAAAAACAATTATAAACGATATTTCAAATCACAATAGAGGATTGCTGTGTGGTCATCTGCCTCATGCACATTAAAAAAACCCCTCAATACTGTCTCCACCACTGGCTGGAAGTAGAAGGGAATTTTAATATCCCCTCCTACTACAAGAAACAGGTCATCTCAGAGGCTATCACTGAGAACAGGATTATGTATTCTTTATTTTCTTCTTTATAATTTCAGAATTTTACCCAGTGTGCATGTTGTTTCATAATCCAGGAACAGAGGAACATTTACAGATTTATTAAATTCCTAAACAGCCAAGTGATAGCTGTTCTCACAGTACAGCAACTGATCACAAAGGGAACCAATTAAAAAAACACTAATCGATGGTTTTAATGAAGAAAGCTCTCCCTCCTCTGATTCCTCCCAGTCACCAGCCAGAGAGAAGAATGGAAGAGTCGAAAGTCTTTAATGCGACTGCTTTCTTACACAAGAAATTCAGAATTACCTTCATTTGTTTAACAAACATTTACTGAGAGCCAACCACAGGCCAAGCCCTGTCCTGAGCACAGAGCAATGCATGTGGAGAGGCTTATCATCCTCACCTGGGAGCTCACCTGGGGCTGCATCATAGGCCTCATCACCGCAGCACCACCAGCAGTAGGGTTTTCCATTTTCAATTCAAGTGCCTGTCGGCTCTGATTCAAAAACTGAGGTGAGACAAGTTGGTTAGAATGCAAGCAGAGCACGTCAGTCTGCCAAAACAGCTTTCCAGACCCTCAGCACCAGCCAATGAGGTAATATCTCCAAACACAATAACCTGGCTAAGTCACGTCTAAACTGAACCAGTACTTTCACACTGCAAAAAGGTCAATGTTGAAAAGTCTTTGGCTAGCATATGATGGGCTACTGTTTGGCACTGGGGAAAAAAAAGTAAAGTGCAATTTTGCAGCTTAAAGAATATCTTCACACCTGTAATCCCAGCACTTTGAGAGGCTGAGGTGGGCAGATCACTTGAGCCCAAGAGTCTGAGATCAGTCTGGGCAACATGAAGAAACCCCATCTCTACAAAAAATTAGCCAAGAGTGGTGGCACACTCCTGTAGTCCCAGCTACCTGGGAGGCTGAGGTGGAATGATCACCTGAGCCTGGGAGGTCGAGGCTGCAGTGGGCTGTGACTGCACCACTGCATTCCATCCTGAAACCCTGTATCAGAAAAAATAATAATAAATAAATAAATTTTATATATATATACACACACACAATAGAAACTCAAAAGATTTATAGTCAGGCTTTCTCTGGGATTATTCGGGCACATGGGGAAATACCTTTAAGTTGATCAGAGGAATTCTGAATAAACTCCATTAGCTTTCCCTAAATGACTTTTAGTGAAGAAACGGCAGAAAGTAAAATGAATACAGTAACACAGCTTTTCTGAGTACCTAAACTGACTTTTAACAATATTTATGCAATGGAGTCTCTGGCTCTTTGGATTCCAAACTCAGGCATTTGGCCGCACACGGTGGCTCACACCTGTAATCCCAGCACTTTGGAAGGTCAAGGCAGGAGGATCACCTGAGGTCAGGAGTTCAAGACGGGCCTGGCCAACATGGTGAAACCCTGTCTCTACTAAAAATACAAAAACTAGCCGGGCTTGCGTGGCTCCCCAGCTACTCGGGAGGCTGAGGCATGAGAATCACCTGAACCCAGAAGGTGGAGGTTGCAGTAAGCCAAGATCATGCCACTGCACTCCAGCCTGGGCGACAGAGCAAGACTCCACCTCAAAAAAAAAAAAACAAAACAAAACAAACAAACAAACAAAAAAAAAACCTCAGGCATTCATCTACTTATATGGTTTGAAGACATAAACAATAAAAACAATTGAATTTTAAAACATTTCTTGGGGACTAAGAAAACAATAGGGTAAACAGAAGTCATATTTTAGAATATTAAAAGACAACTCTAGTTTTATAAAACATCTAGAAAGAAGAGTTCCATTAAAAATGCTGAAATCAAGAAGGTTTAAGTATTTGGTTATTAGCAGTAAGGATTTTTTTCAAAAAAAACCTTATCTACCTTTAAGACTACAAAGTCATCAAGTAACATTTTTCTTCCCCAAGAGCAATCCTTCCTGACATTTTTTTACTTTTTACCTGTAAAATAGAATATTCTCATAAAACTACTCCTTAACAAGGAGCCATTTGTACAAATAAAACCTTACACAGAAGTAAAACAAAAAGAATTTCTTTAGTTGACAGGGATAGATTGCACCAGTGGTAAGAACACTGAGAAACATAGTCTGAAAACAACAGAAGGAGAAGCCAGAGGGAAGAACACATGACTGGTTACCTGCTGGCCCTGCAGCCTCTGCTGAAGCTGCATTCTAAGTTGCTTGGGGGTGTTTGTCCGGGGTCTCATGATGTTGGCTCGTGGGTGCATTCCTTGGAGAGGAAAATTGCCTTGCTGGTTCATCTGATTCATCATAGAGTTAAAAGATGGTGATTGTCCCTGAAGATGAAAGCCTCCTTGCATTGGAGGCCCCTGTGCTGGGTATGTCTGTCCATATAATCCTGCCTTCTGATCCATCATTACTGCTGCTTCTTGGCCTTGGAAAGCATCCTGTTTGGGCTCTAATGCCTGTCCCTTAAACACAACACATAAAAGAACAGTGAAGAACATCTATGAAAGCAACAGAAGTCAAATGCTCTAAAGAAAGTGCAAAAAACATCCAGTCATTCAACAAGTATTTAAGTAAATGCTTGTTATGTGCCAGGCATCACTTCTCTACATGCTAAGGATACATTCAAAATAACATCCCACAGGTGACAGAAAAAGAAGTAAAAGTTGATATTCTGAAGAAGAGAACAACCTGCTGTGCTAAGACAAGAACCAGGTGTACTGTGCATTCACCTTTATTTTCTCATCCACAGGCACTGAATGCCAAGCATGCAGCCAGCATGCTTGACATGTCTCTCTTGAAGCATACTTCACCCCACTGTACTTCGCAACACTTCTCATTTTTCTCCCATCTCTCTGGCCTTTCCTTGAATGAATGCTAACTGTTCATCAGGGTTCAGTCCTAGGCTCTCTTATTTTCTCTTGATATATTTTCTACTTAGGTGCTCTCATCCGCTGGTGATAATGATCACATTTTTGTCTCCAGCCAAAACATCTCTGAACTTTTGGTTTTGTTTATGGAAATGCCTACTTAACATCCGCACCCTGATGTCTCAGGTATCTCAAACTTAACAGGCAGAAAACAGACACCATGATTCCCAACAGCCCTTCCCCCCAAGCAGGCTTGTTCTCCTCCAACCTACCCTACTATATCACAATACAGTTGGCCCTCCATATCCATGGTTCCACACTCATGGATTCAACCAACAGGGGACTGAAAACATTCCAGGGGAAGGAAACGGTAGCTGTACCTGACTGAATACACACAGTCATCATTCTTCTTATAATAATTCCCTAAACAATACAGTGTAACAACTATATAATATACATAACATTTACATTGTATTAGGTATTATAAGTAATGTAGAGCTGATTTAAACTATGTGGGAGGATGTGCATAGGCTATATGCAAATACTAGACTGTTTTATATAAGGGACTTGAGCATCCATGGATTTTGGTATCCACAGGGGTCCTGAAACCAACCCCTCACAGATGTCAAATGGTGACGGTACACAGCATCACCATTCACTGCCCAGGAACCAAAACCCAGCAATTTGATTCTTCACATTCTCCCTTTCCAAGAGTAAACACGTGTGACCACCAAGTCCTGTCAATTTTTCCTCCAGGGCATATCATGTATCCCTCCCTTCTTTCCATTTCACCCTTATGACCCTTCCCAGGACACCTCTTGGACTGTTACCATAGTAACTGGAAACTATGTTTCTATTTTGTCCCATCAACTTGGGTTCATGTGATCCTCCCACCTCAGCCTCCCCAGTAGCTGGGACTACAGGCACACACCATCATGCCTGGCTGAAGATGTCTTAATAAAGCAAACTATACTTTAAGTTAAACATGGCAGACTGATCATGCATGCTTACCTGCATTCACTTGCTAACCCTACTAAAATGACAATAAAGGGAACTAAGAGGTATCCAGTTTATTTAAAAAAAAAATACTTAAAAGGTAGTATTTATCCATAAAACACTAATAACGCAACAAGATCAAGTATTTCCATATTTATAATAGAAGATACAAAGTGAATAGAGAAGTAGGAACCAGCTCAACAGAACAGAAAAACTTAGACTTATGTGCCCACAGAGGAAAAATACATATGAAAAACAAGCAAATGTATTCCACAGATCTATTGAGACTCCAGTGAGGGTGGTAGGGGATCAGAGCATGGTGCTGAAATGAGGAGGTTGGTTAGGAGTCTGAGTATAGAGCAGGAGGTCAACTACCTCCCTGCCTGCTCCCTGACTCCCGAAAGGCCTGTACCTTCTACCTACCCGACAAAGGTACAGGGGTTCAGGGGCACCAAGCAGAGCCTAAGAAAGGAGTGAGGCAGAGGCTGAAAACAGGAAATTTTATATTTAGCATATTTATAATTTAAATAAAATTTTATATTTTATAATTTAATATCCCACACTTGCCTCCCTAGCCCAGCTCCCAAAATGCAACCAGGTAATAAAAGATTACCAGATGGCAGGAGTGGTAGTGGTGGTTGAAAACAACTCTACATGTGGAAATTTGGGGAGTCCTGGCCAGGCGCGGTGGCTCACACCTGTAATCTCAGCACTTTGGGAGGCCGAGGCAGGTGGATCACGAGGTCAGGAGTTCGAGACCAGCCTGGCCAATATGGTGAAACCCCGTCTTTACTAAAAATACAAAAAAAAGCCGGGCGTGGTGGCGTGCGCCTGTAGTCCCAGCTACTCAGGAGGTTGAGGCAGGAGAATCGCTTGAACACAGGAGGTGGAGGTTGCAGTGAGCCGAGATCACGCTTCTGCACTCCAGCCTGGGCGATAGGGAGAGACTCCGTCTCAAAAATAAATAAATAAAAATTTGGGGAGTCCTGAAATAAAAGGGCTAGGGCTAGTTCCCCACTTAATTACCCTCAGTAAAGACAACTGATGCTGCTCACACTTGCAAAGTGTCAAATCAGCTTCTTAATGTCTCACTCTTAACATATAAGAACAGTCAGGGATCACCAGATACTTGATAAAAGCGTCCAACACTTTCCAAGCTTGAACGTGACTCAAGCAAATCAAAGACAAGAAAAATAGAGAAGACTTCAAAATATAGAATGAAGGGCCAGGCGCGGTGGCTCACGCCTGTAATCCCAGCCTGTAATCCCACTTTGGGAGGCTGAGGTGGGTGGATCATGAGGTCAGGGGATCGAGACCATCCTCGCTAACACGGTGAAACCCCGTCTCTACTAAAAATACAAAAAATTAGCCAGGTGTGGTGGCGGGCACCTGTAGTCCCAGCTACTCGGGAGGCTGAGGCAGGAGAATGGCTTGAACCCAGGAGGTGGAGCTTGCAGTGAGCCAAGATCACGCCACTGCACTCCAGCCTGGGCGACAGAGCGAGACTCCGTCTCAAAAAAAAAAAAATAGAACGAATTTAATGCCCAACATGTCAACAGAAATCCCAGAAAAGTAGGTCAGAAAAAAAAACACAGGAGAGATAAGGTTAATAAAGAAATTATACAAGAAAACACCCCTAAACCAAAGGGAATATCAGTGTATCTAGTACACAGCAGAATGAATGAAAAAAGACCCATACCAAGATACAGCATCATAAAATTTCGGAGAGAAAAAGTTCCTAAATCATTCCAAAGAGAATAAACGGGTCACATGCAAATGAATCAAAATCAGAAAGAAATACAACTCAGTGGCCACACTAGATGCCAGAAAACTATGGCAGAAATCTTTCAAAAGTATATAATTATTTTAAACCTAGAATGTAATACATAGCCAGACATGTAGGAGGGTGGAATAAAGATATTTTCAGACACATAGAACCCAAAACATTTTATTTCATGCAGTAGGGATGAAGAAGTTAATAGAAGTTGTGTTGCAGCAAAACAAAGGAGTAAATCAAGACAGAAAGCGATTTGAGATTCAGGATACTAGGAGTCCAACACAGGGGAATAGTGACAATTATTAATTTCTAGACTTGCCTCACAAGGACACAGTAAAACAGAGAGAACTACAGGAGGGAAGGAAGGAATTGATGGGTTATTTAGTGTGCCTGAACAAGTAAAGAAATAAAAAAGAACTTCTATACTTCTGTTGGAGTATAAAATATGGCTCCTCAGTGCCAAGGTTCTATGTCACTGGTATCCCTGAAGGTGTACACAAGGACTGCTCAGCGTTTCCCATCTGCACTGTGACAGCATTTGCCACATGGCAGTGTACTTCCATATGTACACATCTATTTCCCCAACAACAACTGACAGCCCCTGATGATCTTTCCTGCTTACTGTTGAACGCACAAACCTATACAGTGGCCCCTCCATAGCCTTTAAATAAAAACAGTCATGGCTGGGCACGGTGGCTCACGCCTGTAATCCCAGCACTTTGGGAGGCCAAGGCGAGTGGATCACTTGAGGTCAGAAGTTTGAGACCAGCCTGGCCAACATGGCAAAATCTCATCTCTACTAAAAATACAAAAGAAATTACCCGGGCGTGGTGGCGGGTGCCTGTAATCACAGCTACTCGCGAGGCTAAGGCAGGAGAATCACTTGAACCCTGGAGGTGGAGGTTGCAGTGAGATGAAATTGTGCCACTGCACTCCAGCCTGGTTGACAGAGCGAGACTCCGATTCAAAAAAGAAAAAACAGTCACTACAGAATGTGTCTTTCAGAAATACAGATTTGTGAATGGCATGTTTTCATAAGGCGGGGTATGTAAACAGGAACAGGACACCATGATGTTAGGATGTTCAGCTTGGCCATTGTAAACAAGTTTTGTTTAAACAAACAAGCAAAAAAAAAGCTTGCCTCAGAATACACACGGCTTGGCTAAGTAGTAGAGAAAGATAGTTATAAAAATGAGAACTGTTAACATGAATAAAAGGTCACATTTTTAAGAACAGTACAGTAGCTTAACTAAATCATTTCTACAATTGCCAAAAATAGTGGGTTGTTGAAAGTAATATCGCAATCGTAAGTATATTTTCTATTTTAACATACGAATTGAGACCAAAAAAGGATATTTTCCAAATTTAATGCTGGTATCCATGAATGTAGTGATATAACACAAGTACTAGGAGAGACACACACAGGCATTCTTGTATGTGGCTTCATGAATGTGTACGCGCGCACACACACAAATATACACTCTCCTACTTCCATGTTAATGCAACCTACCTGATTGACAAGTTCAGGAATGCCCAAAGCTCTGTCAATTTCTTCCAGGCCTGTGGCATCTGTGTTGCTGAGAAGAGTGTGCAGCTGGTCCAATAATGCTCTTTCGTCACTCTGGCCTTCCAGGTTGGAAGGTGGCCCAACAAGATCATCCAGGGAATTCCTAAGAAGAGGCCTAGAAAAAGACTTGCAATCAATGTCAATGGTGCTTTTTTTTTTTCTAAGAGTAATAGATCACAGCAACCATGCATAGTATTTTTAATGAACAGTAACTCAAATGCTACAAACACAAATAATAAACCAAGTGGTAAAAAAGAGTGAATGGCATCAATTTAAGTTTAAGGCCCACAATTTAGAAATTTCACCAGGCCACTTTAGACCACCATATACAGCTTAAACCCCCAATCCCAACACCAAATTGTAATTGCCAAACCCTAGGCATTTGGGGTATAGCAGAAATGGGGGCCAGGGGGAGGGTAGGGAAGGATGGGAGAAGATACTCCTCACAAAAACAGTGAAGGAGGTAATAATTATAATACTTGAAAATTAGAGAAATCAAAAGAATAAAAGGAAGGATACAAATGTTGAGCTATGGCCAGGCGCAGTGGCTCAAGCCTGTAATCCCAGCACTTTGGGAGGCCGAGGCGGGCGGATCACGAGGTCAGGAGATCGAGACCATCCTGTGAATGGTGAAACCCCGTCTCTACTAAAAATACAAAAAATCAGCCAGGCGTGGTGGTGAGCGCCTGTAGCCCCAGCTAGTCGGGAGGCTGAGGCGGGAATGGCATGAACCCAGGAGGCGGAGCTTGCAGTGATCCGAGATTGCGCCACTGCACTCCAGGCTGGGAGAGAGAGCAAGACTTTGTCTCAAAAAAAAAAAAAAAAAAAAAAAAAAAAGAAGGGAGCCAGGCGTGGTGGCTGACACCTGTAATCCCAGAACTTTGGGAGGTAGAGGTGGGCAGATTGCTTGAGCCCAGGAGATCCTTGAGCCGAGATTGCACCACTGCACTCCAGCCTGGGCGACAGAGCCAGATTCCGTCTCAAAAAAAAAAAAAAAAAAAAAGAAATGTTGAGCTATCACTGACGTGAGTCTGGAGAAATACCAAAATGACTTTGTCACACTTGGCCCACAGAGCTCATATTGGCAAGTGTAACACAAACCCCATACACCCACAGCAAGTTGCCTCAGTTCTCCAACACATACAAGGGCATGAAGTTAAACATTTATCCTGCCTCAGAAAAGTTCTGTTAACTTGAAACTATTTGCTCTCTATTGAGTAGAGAAGCATTCAAATAAATTCATATAGAGTAGAGAAGCACTCAAATAAATTCATATAGTTACATCACTGTCTGCTCAATAGATCAGTTCATTTTTATTTTCCTTGCTTAACTTACTGTAGAATTCCTGTTAGAGCTGACATTGACCATGGCCTCTTGCATGCAAGTAAATTACTAAGCTAAATAAAAATTAAATACAATCTACAATTTTTTTTTTTTTTAGAGACGGAGTCTCACTCTGTTGCCCAGGCTGGGGTGCAGTGGCATAATCTCAGCTCACTGCAAGCTCCGCCACCCGGGTTCACGCCATTCTCCTTCCTCAGCCTCCTGAGTAGCTGGGACTACAGGCACACACCACCACACCCGGCTAATTTTTTTTTTTTTTTTTTTTTAGTAGAGACAGGGGTTTCACCTTGTTAGCCAGGATAGTCTCGATCTCCTGACCTTGTGATCTGCCCGCCTCGGCCTCCCAAAGTGCTGGGATTACAGGCGTGAGCCACCACACCGGGCCTACAATCTTTATTTTATGAAAAATTTTAAAGATGCTATATAGTTATTTCACTATCATCACTGAAATGTTTAAAATAATTTTAGAAAACAATTAGCCAATCCTTAAAAGAATTTTCTCAATAGGCAGCAGGTGGTTGGGGGAAAAGAAAAGTTTTTTTAAAAAAGTTTAATTTTCTGGAAAACTGAGGCTAACCCTCTGAAGAACATTTATAAAACCACTAGAAACATGTACTTATCTTTTTTCCCCTCCTCATGGGACTAGAGAGACAATCATCTCACAGAGAGGCTCTCAGAGGTTTGGCCACTGAATGGCCCTAATGGCTGGACAACATGGTTGTATCTCCTCCCTCTCCTGTGAATGCCACACGCACTGCTTACTGCTTCAGCCTCATTTTTACACAGAGTTACACGAGAAATGCCCAGCTGGCAACCCAGTACCTCAATTATAGGGAATTCTCATTCTCTTTCACGTTTGCTTCTGTGCTCCAACTCTTTTCTAAACTACCCAATGCTGAGATTTTCTACAGAGTCACAAAATAACACCCCACCTATTTTGAGTGCCATGAGAAACTTGTTCCATGGACAACATGCCATCGGGCCAGGAACCCAGTTGGTTAGATGCTGCTGCTTGGCCATAGGGATTAGCCCCCATTCCCATGGGGATTTCACCAGGCCCTGGGGGAGCAAAAAGAAAGCACAAATTCTCAAATAAGAGCAAAAATTATCCTGAAACATCTAACTTTCTTTTTTCATGAAGAGGGGAGGGTGGACACTTACTCATTTGAAGCATCTGCTGCTGCTGTTGCAATACTGGTCTCGCACCTGGTATGCTATTAGACCGAAGAGGCAATGTGGGAATAGAGCCACCCAGTGCAGGTCTGGGTAAAGAAGTATTATAATCTCCTCCTGGTCTTCCCATGGAGTTTGAATTCATAGGTTCCATTCTGCCGGCCTTTGAGTTTGGTAAGCCCCAGTCTCCTGAGGAAGGAGTCTGAGTCACAGTCACATTTCGGTTTGGCCCACCTAAAACAGGTAGCCATACTTAGGTCTTTTCCATATTATAATGAAATCCTTCTTATACCATGTAAGTACAGCCATTATACACAACATCAACCTTGACAAAACAGCACTTTGTCATGGTAAGAAAAGGGCTGGCCAACTGTGGAGACATAGGCCACTATTCTCATATATTCAACAGGCTGGAAAATGTCATAGACCAAAAGACTCTTGAAGAGTTTACATAACCAAAACATAGAATAAATGAAGGATATTCATGGAAGAAACATACTAACGTTATTCAAAAAGTTATTATTTACTCCCAATTATTTAGATGGCTTTAAGTATTTTAAATATGCTTTTCCCAAAATAATCATACATACTAATTAGAAATAACGTACCCATACTTGAGCCATAATTTTCCTGACTATCCATCATTCTTGGATTCCCACCCAACATGGGTTGCTTTGGTAACATGGGGAAAGCACTGATATTTTTTACTGGAGGACTTGAGCCAACAGAAACAGGGCTATCCAGAGACACTGCTCGGTTATATGGAGGACGAATAGACTGCACAGACTGTGAACTTTTCAAACCTGTTGAAAACACAATACAAAAACATTTCTTCGTGATTTAATATATAAATAATCAAGTACAAAACACAAATACCACCACTCCCCACCCAAGAATGTCTTTCTTACAAAAACAAACACTGTCTTCCTTTACAAAATAAGTGAGGGAAGTGGCCCTCACCCACCACCGCCACCCCCCGCCCCCCTGCCAGCCAAAAAAGGGTCTCATATTCCAAATAAAGTAGAAACAACAATCTCCATGTCGGCTGAAGTACTGAGAACTTTTCTGTAGCCTGATATGGTCACTGATACTCTGCGCTTCACTTAATATTGAAAAATTCACAAATGTTCCAAGCTCCTGAAGGTTCTTGCATATTTGTACTTAAGTATACTGTTTATAATTTTAACAATCAACTTAACCAGATAAGTTGCCTTCTGATCGAAAAGAAATAAAATGTAAAATCCCCTTCTAACCTTCTTTTTTTCCCCCCCACTCTTAATTGATCTATCCATTCTAGTTTAGGAAATAATGCTACTGAATAATGACCATTCTGAATAATTGTGCATGCTGCCTTTTCAATTGACACACACAATATATCTTTGTTTTTCTGTCTGTTTGTTTGAGACGGAGTCTCACTCTGTCACCCAGGCTGGAGTGCAGTGGCGCAATCTTGGCTCACTGCAACCTTCGCCTCCCAGGTTCAAGCGATTCTCATGCCTTAGCCTCCCGAGTAGCTGGGACCACAGGTGTGAGCCACCATGCCCGGCCTACCTTTGTTAAATTGATGAAGTCAACACACAGCAACAGGAGAGGGGCTAGATAAGAACCAGCAAACACCAAAGAAAACTATCTTAATTAAATGACAAGATTCTGTTAAAACACCAATGGACAGGTTTTAATCTAGAGTCTGAGTTGCTTTTTAATCCAGTTCTCTGTGGCTAAGAAAAATATATGCCCTAGTACCTACAGTACTCACCTGGAATAATCAAACATGAATATTTTTCTATAAGTGCCATGATTACTGGCATATTAGTTAGAAGTGGGAAATTTATTTAATTTTTAAAAAACAGGAAAATGTTCAAAAAGCTTTCTAAAGCACATATAAATTAGTATAGAAAACAGAGGCAGAATATATGTTCTGAAGTTATAAATGCTATTTATATCCTGGTCTTAGTGTAAGAGTGTTTACAGGTATGCAGAAAAGTTTCAAAGGCAGCAAAAAAAAAAAAAACCTAGTTCATTCTTACCCAGAGAATTAGTTCCTTGAAACACCTGTTGCTTAGTCCCCAGATGACTACCATTTGAGGATATGGAATTATTGTAAAAGTCAGAACTAGTCAGATCACCAAGAATAGCATCTAGATTATCCAAGTCTCCAGATCCCTGAAAATAAAGTTTTAAAAATTAACCTGTATACATTACCAGACACACAGGTATAAACATACCCATCAGAAAAAATGATACATGAAATAGAAGCAAGTAAAATACAAAAACTACCTACAATGATAATACCCACCTGAAAGGCCAGTTTATTATGACCCCCATCTCTAATCTTCCTCCTCTGAGATTAAATCACTACATTTGGTCCTTTCAAAGGGGCATTTTTTAAATTTACACAAGACATTTAATTCTCAAACTGTAGAATATTTTGCAGGTAACAGTCACTAGCAGTGCATTGATAATTAGCTAACAGATATCTGCATCTACACAAACCTTCTGAAAATAAGTGTGATTAATAATAAAAGGAGCAAGCTGGGATGTTCATAGGCATGCTCTAAAAAGGGCTTCGGTCAATAAATTTGGTGAACAGTAGGTTAAGCCCACATCCTAACTTTAAGCCTTTCATTTTCTCAAGTGCATATTAATATATCCTATAAGTTTGGGAAATGCTTATACAGAATGTCATCTTGTGCATGAAACTTGATTTTACCTTAAAATAAAAATTATGCTGCTTAATACAAGTTTTTTTTTTCCTGATTACTTCTACCATTCTCTTAATGACCCAATCTGCCCATTCCAGCAATAAACACCTCCATGAAAAAATTTCATATTGGCTACTAAAGAGTTATAGTCACATCTT
The DNA here is from genome assembly GCF_000001405.40 of Homo sapiens. Classification (NCBI taxonomy): domain Eukaryota; kingdom Metazoa; phylum Chordata; class Mammalia; order Primates; family Hominidae; genus Homo; species Homo sapiens. Next base: position 47,636,950 of record NC_000020.11, on the reverse strand, counting down.
AAAACATACACATCTGTTATTTCTAAATTACATCATAATTTTACTGACATCCAAAATAATTATAAAGAAATGAGAGCTAAAGATTTAACTTTCTTTAAATAAACCTAAAATGGAAGAATTTTTATATCACATTATCTAACACCGAAAAATGATGAAATATGAGCTGAAATATACAGAAAACAAATTACCTCTTCACTTGTCTCTGTCTTAATTTTAGGGTCTTTCTCTTGACTTGAGCTAGGAATGGTGGAGCTGGTGCACTGACTCATTTTATTATCCACTCCTTCCACTTGGGGCTGTAGTTCTTTAGAGAGTGCATCACTAGGATCATCCCTGTCCAGCAGGTATCTAAGAAGTGCATTATTCTCCTTCTTCTTAGGACTTAGCTGCTCCTGCTTGACAACATTTCCGTCCCCACAAGAAGTTATACTGCTGGTGTCTTTCCCAGTGGCTTCTGCAGTAATCTTGGCTACCTCAGCTGGTGAATTCCCATTCTGCAGCAACTTGTGCAAAATCCGGTGCTTCTCTTGTAACAGTGACCCATGCATATTGGATGTAGAGGATACTCCTCCAGATGTAGAGGAGGAGACTCCAGAGGGGCTGGTGACACTAACAGAAGATTCTTTACAACTTGAATCTAGGGGGGAGTTGGTCAAGGAGGAATGACCCCGGTCATCAGAAGAACAGGTAAGTAACTGCAGTAATTTTTTATGACCTTTGCTTTCCAAAGGACCCCTTTGATTCTCTGCCCCCTCAACACTGCTCTCCTTACTTTCTTTGTCACTGAGGTGATCTCTGCTATTTGACTGACACATTGAACTCTCCACTGGATTTTGGTCGCAATAAAAGCCCAGAGGACTCTTGGAATCCTGATTGCTTACTTTACTTGGTTGGGTAATATTCATATTGGGAGAGTTATCCAATTTGGGGCCTGGTGATGACAGAGTAGATAAAAGGGAAGTCCCCACACCTTCACTGATGGCTTGCAGGGCACTGAGAGAGCTGCTGGAAAAGCTGTGGTTCCCAGTATTGCCAGAAGATGCCATGGGAGAGTGCACACCTGAATTTGAAAAAAAATTTAGGAAAAGAATTAGACTACCAGACACTGTAACAAAATACAACTTAATTCTTCAAAGTTTCTATTATAAAATAGATTAACTTTACAAGAATTATAGTAGTATGGAAAGAATAATTACTTAAAAAGAAAAAAAATAAAAGGAAATGTCAACACAAATACCTGCAACAGGAGAAAACTGATGTGAGGCTATCTTTGGACTCCCACGATTACGAGGAGAAATCATGATATTCTGCTGGTTTGGGGCAAGACCAGGACTCCCATGTGGGGGGCTACTCATGTTGAGCCCATAGTTGTTGTTCTGGTAGGAAGATGGTGATTGCATGCCTGGCCCAGGGGTCAATGAAGCTATGTTACTGGAACCCCCATACCTAGCTCCACTCATCTGCCCTGTGGTGCTAGGGTCTGCCAAGCCATAGGCCCTGCTGCTCGGCATCTGTAAGCCTTGGTTTGGCGACATACTCATGCCGCCTACCGAACTGTTGCATCCAGCCATAGGTGGTCTAATCCCTTGTCCAACAGGATTTGGGTTTGGTCTATATCCATTCTGTTCTCTGCAAAACAAACATCAAACTTTTACTAAAAAATTCTAAGCATGCATGAAAGCTTTTAATCAGATTTAAAATAAAATAAAATTTTAAAAAACCAGCCAGCTACAGTGGCTAACACCTATATTCCCAGCACTTTGGGAAGCTGAGGCAGGAGGATCACTTGAGCTCAGGAGTTTGAAACCAACCTGGGCAACACAGCAAGATCATGTCTCTACAAAAAATTTAAAAATTGGCCAGGCATAGTGACACACATCTCTAGTCCTAGCTATTCAGGAGGCTGCGGTGGGAGGATCGCCTGAGCCCAGGAGTTCGAGGTTGCAGTGAGCTGTGATGGCACTACTGCACACCTGCCTGGGTGACAGATCAAGACTCTGTCTCTGTTTAAAAAAAAAAAAAAAAAAAAAGAAGAAGAGAAGAAGAAGAAAGGAAGAAGGGAGAGAGAAGGAGAGGGAATAAAAAAATGGGATGAATTAACTACCCAGGAACTTAACTTTTTAGGCAGCATTCCAATACCTAGTGACAGTTCCAATCTACATATTGATCAATTATTTACCTAGTAACATATTTTTCAGTAAGCCACAGAATCTATGAGTGAGACCACTGTAGTATTATGAAAGACCAACAGCTATGTTAACTGGAGTTTCAGGTGGGCTTTATTAGAGTTGCCACATTATCTAGGGCTTCACCTGGGGGTACCTGCAAATTACTCAAGATAATTAATGGGTGAATATCCTCCCCTTCATGCATTTCTTATTTGCCACTACCAACCCAGACAGTAACTACCTTTATTCTTGAAGTTTACCCTCAAATTTTAAATGCAGTCCCCAAAGCAACACACATTATCAGAAATGAGTGGTAAGACATGTAATCAGATTTTATGTGCTCTTTTATCCACCCATTAGCCTTCCCATCACCTAGCTTTCCTGTAAAGTATTTAATAAATAATCACTTTCACATAAAAATACAACCTTAAACATATCATAATCCAGGAATCTAAACTCATTTCATCAAACCCAATAACCTTCCTAAATTTTGTCTCATTTTATCCCTTCCCTTTTTACTTTAATAATAAAGCATTTTGAGAACACTGCTGCATTTTGTATTAGAATACACAGTAATCTATCATTACCTCTGAAGGAAGTGGGTTGAGACAAAGCCATGTCGATCATTTGTTACAGGATTTCGGAAGAGTTTGCTTTTTGTCTGTGCAGTCACTATAGTTCCATCAGCCAACGAGAATCGATATACTGGGGTTTCTGCATGGCCATTAAGATAAGCTGTTGGGGAAAATATCCCATCACTGGTAACTACAGTCAGCAAAACAAATATATATAGGAGGGGACAGGGAGGAAATATACTTCAAGTACATTTCTAAAAATCCAAGGAAAGACTGGATCTGCACCAAAATCATCAACAGGGTAAAATAAGAACACTCAGGCATCATTTTCCTACCCCTCACCAACAAGAGAGCAACTACAGTCATGTGTATACCAAACATAATGACAAACAAGATCAAGAATCAACCACAAAACCAGGTATGGTGGTGTGCACCTGCAGTCTTGGCTACTCAGAAGCTGAGGCAGAAGGGTCAATTAAATCCAGGAGTTCGAGTCCAGCCTGGGCAAGATAGCAAGGCCCTGTCTCTAAAGAATAAAATGATAAGAACAATCAACCCCAAAATTCTTTACCTTCTTGATAGTGACGTTTCTGGGACCATGACTGCCCATCATTTAGACTAAAAAATCTCTGAATACACCTTCGGATTATATCTTCAAAGCCAGGCCTCATGGAGGATCTCAGTGAATTTGTATCTATATTGACAACCTTTCCTATTAAACAAAAAAAGGAAAAAAAGACTTATATCCAGCCCACAAGTATTTACTGGCTGCCTACACATGGCTTAGCACTGGAGAATAAAATAAAAGATATTAAATCTTTGCTCCACCTTCTCTGATCCAAATTTCTACTATATCCACAGCTTTTCTCCTTAAGACATAGCACCACAGGATTCTCCCTACATGTTCTGCTAAGGAGTATAATAATACATTTGGTCTTTGTCAGATTTCTAGCACAGAGCCCCTATCCAAAATCCTCAGAATTTCCTGAGTAATAAAAGTATTTTCAAGTTATTCATAAAGAGCCCCTTTGGAACACACCTCAATTTATGCTGATGAGGAGACTTAGGGTGGGGTCTCTAGATCACCTCAGGATGGAGCTGATAATCAGAAAGACCAAGTAATTAAAGGATTGGAACTTTCTGTTAGTAGTTCCATCTACTAACCTCCAGGAATGGGGCATGAGGGAGGAAGGAGAGCCTGGTGATTAAATTCTATAAAAAACTCTTGGCCTAGCACGGTGCCTCACGCCTGTAATCCCAACACTTTGGGAGGCCAAGGCAGGCAGATCACGAGGTCAAGATATCAAGACCATCCTGGCCAACATGGTGAAACCCCATCTCTAGTAAAAATACAAAAATTAGCTGGGCATGGGAGTGTGCGCCTGTAGTCCCAGCTACTCGGGAGGGTGAGGCAGGAGAATCGCTGGAACCTGGCAGGCGGAGGTTGCAGTGAGCCGAGATCATGCCACCGCACTCCGGCCTGGCAATAGAATGAGACTCCATCTCAAAAAAAAAAAACTCGGGCCAGCAACAGTGGCTCACATCTGTAATCCCAGCACTTTGGGAGGCCAAGGCAAGCAGATCACAAGGTCAAGAGTTCGAGACCAGCCTGGTCAACATGGTGAAACCCCATCTCTATTAAGAATACAAAACTTAGCTGGGCGTGGTGGTGCGTACCTGTAATCCCAGCTACTTGGGAGGCTGAGGCAGGAGAATTGCTTGAACCCGGGAGGCAGAGGTTACAGTGAGCTGAGATCGTGCCACTGCACTCCAGCCTAGGCAACAGAGCAAGACTCCATCTCCAATTAAAAAAAAAAAAAAAAAAACCTCTTGAACAAGAGATTTGATGAGCTTCCAAAGGATGAGTACATTAAGGTGCTGGGAAGGCTATAAGCCCAGAGAGGGCATGGAACCTCCAAACCTCATCCCCACCCCCTAATACCTTCTCCTATACATTTCTCCCATTGAGATATTCCTGAGTTGTACCCTTCATAAGAAACCAGTAAACCTGAGTAAAGCATTTCCGGATTTCTTGAGCCATTCTAGCAAATCATCAAACCTAAGGAGAGGATCAGAAGCCCAATTTATAGCCAGTCAGTCAGAAGTACAGAAGGCCAGGACTTGCAACTGGCATCTGAAGTAAAGTACAGGCAGTCTTGTGGGACTGAACCCTTAACCTTGTAAGATCTAATGCTAAACCCAGGTAGAAACTGTCCAAACTAAAATTGTAGGGCACCCAGCTTATGTCAGACAGAGCGCTGGTTAGTGTAGAAAAAAATACATCTGGGGTCAGAAGTGGTGTGGCAGTGTAGAAAAACAGTGTTTTCCCAAATGCTGTACAGAATATATATCACACAAACTCCTTTTACTGTCTGAATGTACTGAATATACATGTCCAGATAACCTTAAGTTCATTTTCGTGTAAAGGGAAAAAATAACGCCTATGAGGAAAGTTGTTTGTCCGAAGAGATTCTGTCCCTACAACTATAAGCAAGAGAAAATACCTACTTAAAGTAAGCCAGCAGGGACAATTATTTGCATCTGAGAGATGATCACATTTTTGTACACTTAATACCTAAACTTGGAGGGTTAACCAAATACTCATTTCTACAATGCTGGAAGCTTCTGACAACTTTTGCTTAATATCAAATACAATGGAGACACCAAATATACATACTCAAAAATACTATGAAATTAAAGAAGGTTTCATGACAATAGATGGTCCTTAAAAACTGTCTAGGCCTTTTCACTCTAAGCAGCACTAGGGTGGTTGGCAAAAGCAAGTGCCTTACAAAAAGTGGCAGAATGGGAGCAAAGAAGAAAGTGGTTAATCCATTTCCTAAAAAAGACTGATATGATGTGAAAGCACCAGCTGTGTTTAATTGGTAACAAACTAGTCAAAAGGGCTCAAGGAACCAAAACTGCATCTGATGGCCTCAAGAACTGTGTTTTTGAAATGAACCTTGCTGATCTGCATAATGATGAAACTGCCCTTAGAAAATTCAGACTAATTACTGAGGACATCCAGGTCAAAAACTATGTGACCAGCTTCCATGGCTGGTCTTGGATCAGCTTTCAGGCCTTTTCTATGTCTTTGAATGCAGACAGAATGATCCAAGCCATAATAACTGGTCACACAGTTTTTGACCTGGACATCCTCAGTAATCTTTTCTGTGACAAAATATGCTCCATGGTTAAACATGGCAGACTTCATAGGAAGCTCCTGCTGATGTCAAGATTGCCAATAGTTATCTGTTTTGTATAGGTTTTACTAAGAAATGCAATAATCAGACTTGGGCAATCTCTTATGCTCAGCACCAACAGATATGCCAAATCCCAATGATGATGGAAGTTGTGACCCAAAAGGTACAGACAAATAACTTGAAAGAAGTGGGCAATAAACTGACTCCAGACAAATTAGGAAAGACATTGAAAAGGCTTGCCCAGGCCAGGCGCGGTGGCTCGTGCCTGTAATCCCAACACTTTGGGAGGCCGAGGTGGGTGGATCATGAGGTCAGGAGTTCGAGACCATCCTGGCTAACATGGTGAAACCCCATCTCTACTAAAAATACAAAAAATTAGCTGAGTGTGGTGGCACATACCTGTAGTCCCAGCAACTCGGGAGGCTGAGGCAGGAGAATGGTTTGAACCCGGGAGGCAGAGGTTGCAGTGAGCCGAGATCTCGCCACTGCACTCCAGCCTGGGCAACAGAGCGAGACTCCGTCTCAAAAAAAAAAAAAAAAAAAAAAAGTCTTGCCCATATATTTATCCTTTCTATGACATATTCATTAGAAAACATACTGAAGAAAACCAAGTTTGGTTTGGGAAAACTCATGGGGCTTCATAGTGAAAGGTAATTCTGCAAAAGCTACTGGAGATTTAAAAGGCACTAATATTGAATAAGCTGACAGAAATAAACCACCAGTCCAATAATCTGTTTAAAATTCAGAATTTTAATGGTGACCAAAAATCTTATTAGTAGCAGGGGGAGACTAGGGAAAAGGGATAAACGCATTCTGGGAAAGAGTAAATACCTGTGCACTCGTGCCCAAAATAGACATGATTTGTCCTCAACCACCTCTCCTGAGTTTAGCCCTGGGCCACATGACAAATACAAAACAGATGTCCATAAAAAGTTTATTAAATGAAACACATCAGGGACAGAAGATAAAATATCCCCAGAGGTCAAAAGTAAGTAGGATCTCAGTTTTAAATGATGTTAATCACACAAAGCATTTGATCTTTCTTGCTTGGCAATTTTTTTCTCCATCATGTCCTGTTTTCTTTCATGCTTGGTAATTTCTAACTTTTATAATAAACATGTATCACTTTTATATACTGATGAGATAATTTTCAAAGATGCTACTTGCTAAATTGCTTAAAGATATTTTATTTAGTATCTTCAGTAGCAAATGTAAAACATGGCTATTCAAGTAGAAAATTAACACTGCCAAATCATAAGAGGTGCAGAGAAAGACTCACTCTAAAAGGATAAAATAATATATAACAATTGCTGTCACTATGTTTATCTGAGGGGAGTTAATACAGAGAAAATGTTCAAATATAAAGTAACATACAGCCGGGCATGGTGGCTCATGCCTGTAATCCCAACACTTTGGGAGGCCGAGGCAGGCGGATTACCTGAGGTCAGGACTTTGAGACCAGCCTGACCAACATTGTGAAACCCTGTCTCTACTAAAAATGTAAAAAATTAGCCAGGCGTGGTGATGGGCGCCTGTAATTTCAGCTACTCGGGAGGCTGAGGCAGGAGAATCACTTGAACCCAGGAGGCAGAGGTTGCAGTGAGCTGAGATCATGCCATTGCACTCCAGCCTGGGCACGACAGAGCAAAACTCCGTCTCAAAAAAAAAAAAAAGTAACATCCATCAGCGTAAACAAGATTATACTGTGAATTGTCAAAATAATCCTTTGCTACTTTTAATTGTGAAAATTAATCTCAAAAATCCTGAAGATAGGTTACTGATGGCATAAAATGATTGAATGACTGCAAAAATAGCAATATTTCTTTAAAAATATTCTGCATTATGTATATTATATATACATATTACAAACACACACATACATATGTAATAGTGATAGCTATGTTTTATGTATACCTACTCCATTTTTATATCACTTGTTAAAAGTCCACATTGTAAAATTAGTGTTACACAAAGCAAAGAATACAGGCTAAGTCAGGCAGACTCAGCTATAAATTTTCTTATTAGCCATGATCTTGGACAATAACCCAATCTCTGTCACCAAGCTTCTGTTTCTTTATCTCTGAGATGGGGCATATATGACAAACCCTTGGCATCCCCATTTACACTTAGGTGACCATAAGAGTAACCCTGAAGGTAAATAAAAATAATATTGCCACAGTGTTTAATTTCATTAATGCATCTTATCAACCACGATGTCTTTAATTTTTTATTTCTATGATTAAAAAATGGCAGACCAAGATTGAAACTCAGGTTGACGTCAAGAATTACTCCCGGCCAAGCACAGTGGCTCACAACTGTAATCCCAGCATTTTGGGAGGCTGAGGCAGGCGACTCACTTGAGGTCAAGAGTTCGAGACCAGCCTGGACAACATGGTGAAACCCCATCTCTACTAAAAATACAAAAATTAGCCGGGCATGGTGGCACGTGCCTGTAGTCCAAACTGTTTGGGAGGCCATGGCAGGAAAATCACTTGAACCCAAGAAGTGGAGGTTGCAGTGAGCCGAGATCGCACCATTGCACTCCAGCCTGGGCAACAGAGCAAGACTCCGTCTCAACAAAAAAAAAAAAAAAAAGGAATTACTCCCAATAATTCTCATTAAATTACTTATAATTTTTTAAAACATGTTTCTTTATGACAAATGGGCTTGAAGTTAAAGAAATACTAAATTCTGACGCAAAATGCAATTTGGAGAGAAAACCAGGTGCCCCTAAATTTTTTTTTTAATTTATCTGGGGGATTTAAAATGCCAAACATACCCAATTCAAATGCCAAGAATTTTAGTGAAATTCTTTTAAGGTTGCATAAGCAACATGAAAAAAGATACACATAAAGCACTCATTACAGTAGGTATACATTTCTATGATAGTACAGATTAAAAATAGTAACATTTACAAAAATTTCCAAAATAAAAATGTACGTATACACAGAGAGAGAGAGAGACAAAAAAAGAGTTTTTACCTGAAAGATCATGTCTGGTAATAAAGCTCTCAGGGTTTGATGGAAATGTTCTTTCTCCTGTAGTAATGCGGCGTGCCACACAGATCATACAAGATTGCAAATCTACAATAAAAAATTCACCCTGGTAAGGATTATACTTAACTTTTGGATATATATGTTCAATAGGCAAGCAAAGACATGGAATTCAGTAAGAAGGGTTACAACACAAGTTTCAAAACTCCAAGTATGGCCACTATTTGTTTCATGAACATCACAAACATATAATAGCTCTTACCTTCCCCTTCCTCCATCATAGCTCGTGGCTGAGACAGGGCAAAGCACTGCATTGTTTCATATCTCTGGCGCATTTCAGGACTGGCGTTTATGTCTTCCAGAATATCATGTGGTGTTTTCATCAACATACGGCAATTAAATGTATGGCTTTTTTGTCTTTGGGTCTCATTTGTCCAGGAAACTCCATTAACTTTGGAAAACAAATTGAAATGACATTTTAAAAAGCTGGTAACTCATTCTATGACCATCATCAAGAATTCAAGCTGCATTTTCTCATTATGCATGTTTTCCATAGTTATATCTATACTAACATTTCAGGCTGGCAATATACAAAACATGTGAATAATTTCAACTTTAACAGAAATCTCACTGCATATTTTGTAACTATATGCCTCTTAAAATGTATACCAAATTTTTAATTCACTGACTCCATATGTGAAAATTCTGCTATTAAATCACATGCCTTTCTACCCTCATTTGATCGCTTGACTTCCTAAAAGATACATTCAATTTTCTAAGAAATGGTCAAGGAAAAAAATTTAACCTATTTAGAAAATACACATTAAAAGCCTACCTGTAGATTTTGGTAAATTCTTAAGAAAATCCTTTCTGTCTTCTTCATGTAAGATATTGTAAACACTTGTGTTAACCAGGTCCTCTTGCTTATATTGCAGGTATTGTGTGACATTTTCTGATACAAATACAATGTTTCCGTCTCGATTCACCACAAATAGGAAACCATCCAATGCCTAAAATAGGATATGTTAATACAGGCTGTTATGGACTGAATTGTATCCTCCTCCCTCTAATTCTTAAATTGAAACTCTAACCATCAGTGTAACTGTATTTGGAAACAAGACCTTCAAGGAGGTAATTAAAGATAAATGAGGTCATAACGGTGGGGACCCTAATCCAATATGACTGGTATCCTATAAGGGGAGAGAAAGACACCAGGAATGTGCACGCAGAGAAAAAGGCCATGGGAGAACACAGTGACAAGCCAAGGAGAAGCCAATCCTGCTGACACCTTGATCCTGGACTTCCAGCCACCAACACTGTAAGAAATAAATTTATTTGGTTTCACCTACCAAGTCTGTGGTATTTTGTTATGGTAGTATCAGCAAACAGCAACCACAGTAGTAAGTAGAATGTGTAAAAACTACTGCTGACTTAATTACTGCAAACAACTATAAGCCACCATTACTACTAACATTAGCACCATTACTACAGGCCTTACTGGGGGGAAAAAAAAAGAAGAATAATTGGGGGTGGGGGAGTGTGTACATAAATATGTTCAGCATGAAATCTGAATTAATGTCTAACCTAATTTTTAAAGAATTATATCTTTAAAGGAGCTTTTAAAAATGAGAAAAGCATCCTTAGCTCTTCCCATTTTTCCATTTGATGCCAAGTCAAGCTACAGAAACTGCTCTACTATTCCTTAATGAGAATTTACAAAGAGGAATTTCAAAACTGATCAACTAAAAGTAGTTGGAACAAACTACCTGAAACAAAAAGAAGTTGACAAGTTAACTTTATGAAGGGCTTCAGCCCCTAAACAAATACAAAGCACATGTTTAAGTCTTAACAATTCCTCAAGAATATAAAACCATAGCGTGCCATGTGATCAATCACGCAAAAATTCACCAAAAATGTCTGAGCCGAAACGTACAGTCATCATACCCCAGTATCTGTGTAAGGTTGGTTCCAAGACCTCCCAAAGATAGCAAAATCTGAGGATGCTCAAGTCTCCAATATAAAATGGTGTATTTGCCTATAGCCTATGCATATATTCCAATATACTTTAAATCATCTCTAGATTAGTTATAATACCTAATACAATGTAAGTGCTATATAGTCATCACACTGAGGTGTTTTTTATTGTTTTAACATTATTTTTTATTTCTTCCTCAGCCTCCAAATCTGTGGTGCAAAACCCATGGATATGAAGGGCCATTTGTACCCAAATATCTCTGTGAAATTACAGGCTACCTTTCCTTTCCTGCTTGCTTATATTTTTATGTTTGTATATGTGTGGTTCCTCAGTTTGCAACTATATTTTTACTAGGGGGGCAAGGCTTCCTGAATTATGTATATTGTAATTATAAGAGCATTTTACCATCATATTCAGAATACTGAACTGTCTCAAAGAAAAAAATGTTTTCTTTTTGTTCTCATTTCCTAACCAAAATTTCATCGATTTTTTATAACTTTATAATAAACCAAAGGGCAATACAGCCTACTGGACAGTTAAAATCTTTATACTTGCCTGAAGTAAAAGCGGTCCTAAGGAGTCTTTATCAATAACTCCCTGCCCTGTAGAAGATACATCGGCTTTTTGAACATCATCATCATTGGAAATAGTTTTTCCTGAAAAGACAGAAGGTGGTATAACGAATAACACACTATCAGTTATAGATTAAATCACCTTCGAATAGTCCCCAGAAGAGACATAAAGATACACATGCACATGCCCATACATACATACAAAACATTTCCTCATAAGAGAATGATGCTACAATATTATAACATCAAAACTAAACTTCATAGTTGCCCAGGAAGCCAGAAGATACCTAAATCATTTCACTACTAAATGTACTATCCCACAGCTTCCTGAAAAGGAACTACCAAATAACAGGCAATTGTCTGTTAACCGTCTCTAAAGAGCATAAGCTGGAGGCCCAGCGCGGTGGCTCACACCTGTAATCCCAGCACTCTGGGAGGCTGAGGCGGGTGGATCACCTGAGGTCAGGAGTTTGAGACCAGCCTGGCCAACATGGCAAAACCCCATCTCTACTAAAAATACAAAACTTAGCTGGGCGTGGTGGCAGGTGCCTGTAATCCTAGCTACTCGGGAGGCTGAGGCAGGAGAATCTCTTGAACCCAAGAGGTGGAGGTTGTGGTGAGCTGAGATCACACCACTGCACTCCAGCCCGAGAGACAAAGCGAGACACCATCTCAAAATAAATAAATACATAAATAACAAAAAGCACAGCTGGTCAACACATTTGTCTATTCCCATACTTGCTAGCCTCCATCAGTTGTAGTCTCTACCCAAACAAAGGAGCAAAAAGGCAAATATAGCAACAAGTTCCTTCTAAAACAGGGGTCCCCAACCCCCAGACCACAGACAAGTATCAGTCTGTGGCCTGTTAGGAATGGGGCTGCACAGCAGGAGGTCAGCAGTGGGCAAGTGAGCAAAGTTTCATCTGTATTAACAACAGCCCCTCCCCATCACTCACATTACCACCTGAGTTCTACATCCTGTCAGCTCAGAAGTAGCATTAGATTCTCACAGGTGTGCAAATCTTAATGTGAACTCCACATGCGAGGAATCTAGGTTGTGTGCTCCTTATGATTCTCTAATGCCTAATGATCTGTCACAGTTTCTCCCATTACCCCCAGATGGATCCATCTAGCTGCAGGAAAACAAGCTCAGGGCTCCTACTGATTTCTATATTATGGTGAGTTGTATAATTATTTCATTATATGTTACAATGTAACCATAATAGAAATAAAATGCACCACAAACGTAATGTGCTTGAATCATCCTGAAACCATCCCCTCTACCAGGTCCATGGAAAAACTGGCTTCCACAAAACCAGTCCCTGGTGCCAAAAAGGTTGGGAACCACCACTGTTCAAAAAGACATGAGTGTTTTTATTACCTTGCTCTTTTATTTGACGTATCTGTCTTACTGTTTCCTTTAAAATCGCACATTTATCTGGTTTGACATTGAAATTGTCAATATCACTAAGATTGGCAGATATCAGCTCAGCCAATTCTTCAATATATTTACTTTCCTGCTCCCGTCTCCGTTTTTCACCACTGCAGGTAAGACTAAGGGAAAAGGCGTAGAAAGGGGGGAAAGGAGACATAATATATATATCACAAAAGAGCTGTTAGCAGAATCAGCCCCTATACAACACTATTACATGATTACTTTTTTTTTTTTTTCCTCGAGACAGAGTTTTCGCTCTTGTTGCCCAGGCTGGAGTACAACGGTGCGACTTTGGCTCAATGCAACCTCCACCTCCAGGATTCAGGCAATTCTCCTGACTCAGCCTCCCCAGTAGCTGGGATTACAGGCATGCGCCACCACGCCTGGCTTATTTTTGCATTTTTAGTTGAGACGATGTTTCACCATGTTGGTCAGGCTGGTCTTGAACTCCTGACCTCAGGTAATCCACCCACCCTGGCCTCCCAGAGTGCTGGGATTACAGGCATGAGCCACCACACCCGGCCTATTATTTTCATATGTAAACAAACTAAACTCAGCCAATATAAACTATCAAAAATGCTGTCTTGGAGAAGTAGTACAACATAATAGAGATTCATGTAAACCTAAATTCAGTTCCATCTTTGTTAGCTAGGTGGCCTTGGGCAGAGTTAGCCTCAGTTACTTCATCTAGAAAATACGAATAAATCATCTTTACTTCTTAGAGATAATAAAACAACTAACAAATAAGAACAAAAACAGTGGTAGCTACTTATTAATGATGAAGTTTTATTCATTGTAGATTGATATTTTTCAACTAGCACATTAAACTTCAATTGACACTGACTTTGGCAAATACTTTAAAAGCTATAGAGTAGTGTTATATAGATTACATTATTTTGTTTCTAATTTTTAAGCTTCTCATTTCACTTGGTAAAAAAAAGGATGCAACCTCACAAATGACAAAATATCAACTTATAACCCATTCTTAAAAGATAGCAAAGATTCTTACTTATAACTGTCAGGCCTCTGAGACCAAGCCTGCACATATACATCCAGATGGTCTGAAGCAACTGAAGATCCACAAAAGAAGTGAAAATAGCCTTAACTGATGACATTCCACCATTGTGATGTTTCTGCCCCACCCTAACTTGATCAATGTACTTTGTAATCTCCCCCACCCTTAAGAAGGTTCTTTGTAATTCTCCCTACCCTTGAGAATGTACTTTGTGAGATCTAACCCCGCCCGCAAAACATTGCTCCTAACTCACTGCCTATCCCAAAACCTATAAGAACTAATGATAATCCCACCACCCTTTGCTGACTCTCTTTTTGGACTCAGCCTGCCTGTACCCAGGTGAAATAAACAGCCTTGTTGCTCACACAAAGTCTGGTGGTCTCTTCACACGGACGCACGTGACATAACCTTGGTCATCTATTCGTAACTCCTACCCCTCCTTCCATTCAGAAATTCTTATAGTACCGCGAATTGTTAATATTCTACCTTCTATATGAATCAGCAATAAAAAAAAAACTTCTATTACATCAAAAAGATGTCCATCTCATCAGTAACACTCTACTTACCACGAAGTGAAACCACCAAAAAATCTAACCAGAGAATGTAAATGGCAAGAAGTTAAAATGTTATCCTTAAACAAAGGCACAACAAGTGTGGTAAAGCACCAGGAAATAAGTCACCTACCCTTGTCCTGGAGTATCACATGGCAATTTGCGTTTTCGTGAATCACTGGCCAGTGGATCCAAGTTTTCTCCTAATCCACTCATCTTGAATATACATCAGCAACTAAGAGAGAATAATGAGAAATAAGATAAGTACATTAAAAAATATACATGACTCTATGAAGGTGTTATATGACTGAATGACTGCAACTTTTAATTCAGAACTACTTTCTCTAAACAGATAATTCTCAATATTCTTTTTCATAAATGACTATACTGAAGACAACCTCAGATTTCATATTCTAATATGAATTATGCAGAACGTATGTACTCCAAGACAGAAATGTTCCTCAAGTCCTACTAAAAATGTGTATCTTGCAGGGTGCGGTAGCTCATGCCTGTAGTCCCAGCACTTTGGGAGGTCGAGGCAGGTGGATCACCTGAGGTCAGGAGTTTGAGACCAGCCTGACCAACATGGTGAAATCCCGTCTGGCCAACATGGTGAAACCCCGTCTCTACTAAAAATAAAAAATTAGCCAGCCATGGTGGCAGGTGCCTGTAATCCTAGTTATTTGGGAGGCTGAGGCAGGAGAATCACTTGAACCGAGGGGTAGACGTTGCAGTGAGCCGAGATGGCACCACTGCACTCCAGCCTGGGTGACAAGAGCTAGACTCCGTCTCAAAAAAAAAAAAAAAAATTTGACTGATGGAAAAATAGTATGCTTTGGTTAAAATTTCATTGATGAAGAAGATAAATGTAGAGTACTTCTTGTTGAGAAAGATGATTTAAGACATCTACTAAGCCCTCATTTGCTAAGAATTTTATCTGTACTAAACTCTTGTTTAAAACAAGACGATCACTGTTGTAAAGAATTACATGTCAACCAAAGAAGTTCAACGATTCTAAACTAATTTTTATATATTAAAATGCATCTTGCATTCCAACTAAACTCTGAGACGTATGCTGGAGGACATAAATTTCCACTAGGTGGCAGAATGCTACCAGGAAGGAAGACAGATTTATAAAAATGAAAAAATTCACTCAAGATGCTGATCAAACTTCAAATGTGTAGCTTTAAAAAAAAAATCAAAAGCAAAAAAACAAAAAAAATAAAAATTTAAAAAATCACATGATCATAATATAAATCAGAAAATCTAGATTGCAACATTGTCTTTACAGATGCACTAAATATGTATTAAATTACCAAGAAAATTCATTCTATAACTTTGGTTGTAAAATGGAAAGGCTAAAAAGCTGAGATGATTTAAGTATTTGTTTTTTCCCCATGACAAGTTTAAATGAAGGACAGAAAAAGACTTAAAATAACCTTTATTAGTAGTGGCTCACTATTATTAGTAGTGGCACAGTCAGATCACACAATCTCAGGGGTATTGTATTTTCAAACGTGTCAATGTCACAAAAGACAAAGAAAGTCTGTAAACAGTCCAGATTTTAAAGGAAGCTATAAGAAAATGACAACTAAATGCAATATTTGATCCTAGACTGAATCCTGTGCTAGAGGGTAAGAAAATGCTATAAAGAATATTATTGGATCAACTGACAAAATTAGAATATGGACAATAGACATAAAAGTATGTTGTCAATATTAATACACTTAAGTTGATAAATGAACGACGGTTATTTAAGAGACCAATATTCTTAGTATAATATTTGGGGTAACAGGCTATTACATATGCAAATTATCCTCAGATGGTTAAGAAAAATTGCATATATAATGAGTGAGTGAATAAACCTGGGAATGGGGACAGGCAGAGCAAGGATGAGGAAGGGAGTTGACACTAGGTGAATCCTGACCCGGGGGGGAGATAAACGTAAAAACTCTTTGTACTATTTTCTTGCAACCTTGCTTTAAGTTTAAAATTATCCTCAAATAAAAGAGTTTTAAACTTAAAGGTATGTTCGGTTTTGATTTTCCAATTTTCATATTTAAAAAGAGTAGCTCAAGTAATCCCAGTGCTTTGGGAGGCTCAGGCAGTTTGAGTTTGAGGCACTTGAGTTTGAGACCAATCTGTGCAACACAGTAACACCCTGTCTCTACAAAATTTTTTTAAAAATAAGCCAGGCATCATGGTGCACACCTATAGCATTAACTACTTAGGAATAAAACAGGAAGACTGCTTGTTTGAGGAGTTTGAGGCTGCAGTGAGTTATGATCACGCCAATGCACTCCAGACTGGGTGACCGAGTGAGACTCTGTCTCTTAAAAACAATAATAATAATAAATTGAATAATTAAAGAGCCAGGTGCAGTGGCTCACGCCTGTAATCCCACCACTTTGGGAGGCCGAGGCGGGTGAATCACAAGGTCAGGAGATCGAGACCAGCCTGGCCAATATGGTGAAACCCTGTCTCTACTAAAAATACAAAAATTAGCTGGGCGTGGTGGCAGGCGCCTGTAGTCCCAGCTACTTGGGAGGCTGAGGCAGGAGAATCGCATGAACCCGGAAGGCGGAGGTTGCAGTGAGCTGAGATCCCGCCACTGCACTCCAGGCCTGGGTAACAGAGTGTGACTCCATCTCAAAAAATAAAAATAAAAAGAATAGTGATTCCATTCCTTAAGTACAAAAATAGAATAATTCTTGTTATGTCTCTATAATTGGTTTTATATTTGTTTCATTCAAAGGTGATTTTTAAATTGAATGGCAAACTATCCATTGAGTAATAACTTTTTTTTTTTTTTTTTTTTAAAGACAGGGTCTTACTGTGTCACCCAGGCTGAAGTGCAGTGGCACAATCTCAGCTCACTGTAACCTCGGCTTCCCAGGCTCAAGCAATCCTCCTGCCTCAGTATCCCAAGTAGCTGGGACAACAGGTGAGCACCACCACACCCAGCTAATTTTTGTATTTTTTGGAGAGACAGGGTCTCACTATGTTGCCCAGGCTGGTCTTGAACTCCTGGGTTCAAGTTATCCGCCTGCCTCAGCCTCCCAAAGTGCTGGGATTACAGGCATGACCCACCACACCCAGCCTACATTTCTTTATTTTAAATATGTAATTTATTCCACATTCTAGATATTATTTCCTTACTTTGGCTTTTGTTTATAAGCTGAATCCCTGAAACAAATGGAGAAACTATTCCATGGATAACAGCACTTCTTTAATTTGAAAGATAAAATTTTGCCTATATTCTCAATATTATTTCCTTTGTTATTAAATATAAGTTGAATACTCAGTAAGGAGTAAGGGGCCTACCATGTAATAGGTGGTCAATATATGTCTTGAATAAATATTGAATAAATATAAAAGCAACATTCAACCTACTAAATCATAGTTTAGAAATTTCCTTTATTCTGATCTATAACAATCATTCAATGCAATCCTACTGCATTAAACTTTTTAAATGTTTACTTCTACAGTTGATATAGTGTTACAATAAATTCTGACAGCATAAATTAAATCAATAGAAAAACTAAGTCATGACAATCTCTTAATATGCAAAAAAATTAATAAGCACAAATATCAGTTTAAACCAGAAATGCAGATCATTTGTGTTAAGCCAATGTTTATGTGCATATAATGAAACCTAAATATGTCGAGCTATGTCCATAGACACATGCAGCTTTTTCTCTTGATCTCACAAAACAAGCTACACTGTACACATAAGCCTGTGCAATCTTCCTGCTACCAAACTTACTCCTTCAGAGTCCAACCTAATTATCCAAAAAGGTACTAAGGGAAGGCCGGGTGTGGTGCCTCATGCATGTAATCCCAGCACTTTGGGAGGCCAAGATGGGCGAATCACCTGAGGTCGGGAGTTCGAGACCAGCCTGACCAACATGGAGAAACTCCATCTCTACTAAAAATACAAAATTAGCCAAACGTGGTGGTGCATGTCTGTAATTCCAGCTACTCAGGAGGCTGAGACAGGAGAATTGCTTGAACCTGGGAGATGGAGGTTGCAGTAAGCCAAGATTGGGCCATTGGCACTCCAGCCTAGGCAGCAAGAGTGAATTCTGTCTATAAAAAAAAAAAAAAAAAAAAAACTAAGGGAAAATAATAACTTAAAATCATGAAAAAGGTGTTTACCCGAACATAAAGGTATAATTGTTTAAGATATAAAATATTTCTATCTTATTTTTTGTTTTGTTTTGCTTTTGAGACAAGAGTCTCACTCTGTCACCCAGGCTGGAGTGCAGTGGCATGATCTCAGTTCACTGCAACCTCCGCCTCCCGGGTTCAAATGATTCTCGTCTCAGCCTCCCGAGTAGCTGAGATTATAGGTGTGTGCCACCACGCCTGGCTAATTTTTGTATTTTCAATAGAGACAGGGTTTCACCATGATGGCCAGGCTGGTCTCGAACTCCTGACCTCAACTGATCTGCCCACGTCAGCCTCCCAAAGCGCTGCAATCACAGGCATGAGCCACCATGTCCAGTCTCTATCTTGGGTTTTTTAGGAACAGGTTGGACAGATTTGTAGTTCTTAATTAGACATGGACAAAACTTAGGTACATTTACTGTACAACTGTATAAGATACCACAATGTCTAAGAGTAAATGACAAATTGTTTTATAACAAAAAGCAAAGTAGAGCAAACATCTCCTGAATTTCATTAAACTAAAGAAAATGTTCAACATGAGAAATAAAAAAGCATTTCTGGTCCCCAAAATAATAATTTCAATATATACAATAATTCCTGAGCACAAATGACTATGACTAACCCTTCAGGTACAGTTTTCTATTTGGTATTAATCTTAGCTATAAACAAAAAATCAAAAATGGCATTTGTTTTAGTTGCCACGCCTGTTATCTCCTTCTCACTGGGAGGATATGCTATTTTGGTAGATTAAGATATAAAAGGTAAATGCCTAGCACAGACACAATAGATCTAGATCACTTTCAGTCAACAGTCAAGAATGAAGATGAGAGAGGGGAATAAGGCAGGTACCAAGACCATGAAGTTCTTAACCGGTAAGAAACATGGAACAGTAACTACCTGAGACTAGCTTACATTTTTACATCTTAAATTACAACCCATCTAGTTTGGAGAATATATGTAGTTGATAAAAGCCATCTTCAAAGGGCAAATAATATAGCACAACAGTCTCACACTAAGTTTGATTGTAAGAACAGTCTAGGCCAGGCGCGGTGGCTCACGCCTGTAATCCCAGCACTTTGGGAGGCCGAGGCGGGTGGATCACCTGAGGTCAGGAGTTCAAGACCAGCCTGGCCAACATGGTGAAACCCTATCTCTACTAAAAATACAAAAATTAGCTGGGCATGGTGGCATGCACATGTAGTCCCAGCTACTCAGGAAGCTGAGGCAGGAGAAAAGCTTAAACCCGAGAGGCAGAAGTTGCCAGTGAGCCAAGACCGCGCCACTGCACTCCAGCCTGGATGACAGAGTGAGACTCCGTCTAAAAAAGAAAAAAAAGAACAGTCTATTAACATAGAGTCCCTTCTTAATTCTGACTCCCTACAATTAGATATTATCACTTATAGTTGAATAGAAAAGAAATTAGGACCTATACTTGCTACCAAGTAATCTGTCCTCCTGAAGTTACATCATACATCCAATTGTGAGATGCATCCATATTTTGAAGTTTCCACTGCACCTCTAATGCACTTCCAAGAAGATACACAATCCAGTCTCAGAAGCCTTTTCAAGCCCCTGGCACCAAAGTACAGAAAAGAACTGGAAGGAAGAACTTCTCATTTTATCAGAATTCAAAGGCTAAAACCAAGTCAATCTTTCAATATAAACTCTATCATCCAGATCCATGAGCCATTTTTACAATTATTTTCCTTATCTAAAATGTTTCCACTAAAAAAAGTTGTATGCTACACTACTTAAATGTATTAAATATGGCAATGCACACTTTAAGACTGCATTTTTAAAAGGCTGGGCGGGGTGGCTCACGCCTGTAATCCTAGCACTTTGGGAGGCCGAGGTGGGCGGATCACCTGAGGTCAGGAGTTCGAGACCAGCCTGACCAACATGGTGAAACCCCATCTCTACTAAAAGTACAAAATTAGCCGGGCGTGGTGACACATGCCTGTAATCCCAGCTACTTGGGGGACTGAGGCAGGAGGATTGCTTGAACCCAGGAGGTGGAGGTTGCAGTGAGCCGGGATTGTGCCATTGTACTCCAGCCTGGGCAACAAGAATGAAACTCCGTCCAAAAAAAAAAACCTGCATTTAAGCAATATATTCCATGCAATTACTTTTTTTTGGCGGGGCGGGGGGTGGGGGCGGGGGGCGGGTGGAGTGCAGTGGTGCAATCTCGGCTCACTGCAACCTCCACCTCCCAGATTCAAGCAATTCTCCTGCCTCAGCCTCCTGAGTAGCTGGGACTACAGGCGCCTGCCACCACCCTGGCCTAGTTTTTCTATTTTTAGTAGAGATGGGGTTTCACCATATTGGTCAGGCTGGTCTCAAACACCTGACCTCAAGTGATCCACCCGCCTCAGCCTCCCAAAGAGCTGGAATTACAGGCGTGAGCCACCACGTCTCGTCACAATTACTTTAATGTAGAATAGTAACAATGAGAATACCTTTCAATGCTATCAAAATCTAACGCTATTTCTATATTATATGGAAAAGTCCAAAGTATATCCATGATAAGATTTAAAATGAACAAGTATCTTACAACAACTGGATAGAATGTTTCCTATAAATACTATAGGCCTTTCTATACGTAACATTCAAGCTATGGAACATGTTGAAGCTTAGACATCAACAGAATATATAATAAATTGTTAGAAAATGAACTTTCATGGAATAACTAACTAATTAAAGCTGAAAAGCAGCAAAGAATTATACCTGCTAGCTCAAAAACCATGAAAATTTTGGTATATGGCTTAGCAGCACTAATCAGCTTTCCTTTTGGTTATTTGGGATTAAGACAGGAGGGAAAAAGTTTGATTATACACAGCAAATTAGCTAAATGGACAAGGATACAGGAACTACGCCCTGTCCAAAAGGAAAAGATATCAATCAACACTACCAGTGTTCATTAGGCAAGCAAGAAGTTATTTTGAGGGACCTAAAAAAAGCTATAGTGTGCCAAAATAGCAGATGGGTTATCCAGTAAATCTAAATTGACATAGAAACCAACTAAAATATTTTACTTTTCCTAAATTAATAAGGGAGAAATAAGGAGATAATTTTGTGGTAGTACAATACTAGACATCTCATATATACTGTAATTTATTTACCATGACCCTCCAGAGTATGTATTACTATAATAGTCCCATTTTACAGATAAGGAAATGGCTAACTTTCCACTAGAGCACACACAGATTCTGGATGGCAGAGCTGGAACTACAATATTTTTTCAGACTTCATAACCAACAAAATATGTATCAAATGTTTCTTGGGCATTTTATTCCCCACCACCACCAAAACAAGCCATTTGTACTACTGAATCACACTATAGCCAACCAGTTAGCCAGAAAATTTCTCAGCTTATCAGTAAGAACACTGAGAGGTTATGACAGCCATAGTTTAGGGGCATGCAGTATTAGGGACAGAGGCAAGGAGTTGCTCAAGCTCAGCAGATACTAATGCTCCCCTCAAGTACCTTACCTAACCATTACCCACCGATGTCACTAAACTGCCCTTCGTGGTGGTCTAATATTACCCATAACCCTTACTTCCACTTGAGATGGTCAATGGCTCACACAGCAAAAGGAAAATTTGAGATCGACATATACAAACTATACCTTAAAATGGTCAGTCAAGTATTGTTATTCTTTGGTTTGCTATCATTAAATGGTGGAGCCACTTGACTATCCCAGCAGCAATTTAGTTTATCTGTCAGGCTTGTTTCCCTAACTTATACAAGGTATGATTAAATACACTAATTAGAGAGAGGTTTGGTGTATTTCTTGAGAATCACAGTAACTTATGGAAATTTTTTCAAAGAGCTATGGATCTGAACTGGTTTATTAAAAACTGCTTCAAGCACTATGCAAAAGCAGAGACTGCTCAAGTCAATCAGAAAAAACAAGTTCTTGGGAAGAATGAGACAGTCATACATAAAAGTTCTACCCAAAACTGAAATTCCAAATTCTCAAATTCCTAATCAGACAACTTAGAAAATAACCACTACTAGTTAACACAAGGGCTTAATCTTACAAGGTTTTTTTCTCTACCCTAAAAATATCAAAAAGTTTCTTAATCTTCTTTCTTTCAATCCGTCATTCATACCCTTACTAATAAAATAAGAGGAGCTCCAAGAGAACTGGTACCACGGAGAAAGGACTGAAGACAAATATAACGTGTGTAAAGGACAGGGGAAGGCAGGGAAGAGCTTTTATAACGTGGAACTGTTATAAAAGCTTCCTCCTCAAGTGGATGACTCTTCCAGTTAGTATCTCCTCCTACCTTTGTTTCTTTCAATGCTGGTAAGGAAGTTAAGAGCTGTGAGGAGATAAGTAGGAGGGGAAAGAAAAGAAAATTTTTTTTAATTTTTTTTTTTTTTTAAGACAGAGTCTTGCTCTGTCGCCCAGGCTAGAGTGCAGTAGCGCAATCTCAGTGCAACCTCCGCCTCCCAGGTTCAAGCGATTCTCCTGCCTCAGCCTCCCGAGTAGCTGGGATTACAGGCACCCACCACCACGCCCAGCTAATTTTTATATTTTTAGTAGAGACGGGGTTTCACCATCTTGGAAAGGCTGGTCTTGAACTCCTGACCTCATGATCCACCGGCCTCAGCCTCCCAAAGTGCTGGGATTACAGGCGTGAGCCGCCGCGCCTGGCCTACTTATTTATTTTTCTTTTGCTTCCTCATCCTCTGTCAGAGAGGGAAATTTTTTATATCCTTTTGTTTTGTGGCTGATAATTTGCTATTATGTTTTGTAGGATAAAGTATAACACAATCCTTTTTTTTTTTTTCAATTTAATTCCATTTCAGCTCAAACGTTTTGCATGCCCAGAATCATTTTAGCCCCAGAAAACAGGGATAAATGTCACTACCAATTACTAGAACTCTCAGGCTAGCAGAACAGGAAAACAGAAAAACAATTAAATTTGGTAAGTGTTAAAAAAAAAAAAAAAGAAGGAATCGTTTGAACACAATGAATAGCAAAGCTAGGAGCCTACAGTTTTTAGAAACAAAACATACACATGGTATCTACAAGAAACTACCTTGGTGGAGATGTATACAAGAAAACAGTACAACTTCAGTTCTTGGTAATTTCTTCTCCACTATCTTTGCTTTATAATGCCAGCATATTGAGTGAAGGGCTAGCAAGAAACAATAAAGTAAAACATCCTATTTTTAATATATAAATTGAACAGAAAAGCATCTGAATGTAAATTATTTTATGCGCAAGGTTCCATTCTCTCTTCCTTCTTGCACATTTATGT
Source organism: Homo sapiens (assembly GCF_000001405.40). Taxonomy (NCBI): domain Eukaryota; kingdom Metazoa; phylum Chordata; class Mammalia; order Primates; family Hominidae; genus Homo; species Homo sapiens. The sequence continues at coordinate 47,613,022 of NC_000020.11, read as the reverse complement.
TCCAGTTTAAACCTGATGAAGTTGAATTTAAACATAAACTCCCCAGAGACTAGAGTGCTAGAACTGGGCATACCAATTAGCCAACTCAGGTGTTAGTTGCAACTGGAAACTTGCTGCCAAGAGACTTCTCAACCTCTACATGAGCAACAGAGTTGAAGTTCACAGATAATACACTGTACAGAGGGAGTTAAGGGAGCCAATTCCATCCATATCCAAATCAAGTTACCCTCTCCTGACAGCATACTAACTAGCCGGGTAACTCTTTTGTTTTAAAGGTTACATTGACTTCTACAATTTAATACACTGAATCTATCTCATATATAAGAACAGACTTAAGTCTGAGCTTCATAAACCTGAATTTGGCTTCAGTTTAAACAACCTGTTACCAGTCATACTTCTTCCTCATCAATCACCACCAGCAACCCCAAAATGATCTTTATACTAAAAGTTTTTAATAAAGGTAACTGAAACATTTCCTTTATTTTTAACCTTAAGTCACTAATTTTTTTTTAATCTTTCCCACATCGCTTTTCCATCTAGAATATTCCTGCCCTTCAAGATTAATTTGTCACCTCTGGTAAAACCATCCCCGACTCTCCCAATTAGACAAAAGTTTTCCCTTCTTTATCCTAAGCATTTTCCATATTTTTACTATAACATTTTACATATTACACTATTTCTGTCTCTGCTTCCTACCTTGTAAGCTCTAAACCATTGTGTAAACTTGTATGTAACTCTATTTTTTACAAATTTTTTTTTTAACTACCACCATTCCTCTTCTCTTTTCAAACTCCAGTTCTCCTTTGCTTTCCCATCAGCTGTACTTTTGACCAACTCCACATCTTCTTAAAATACAGAGAAGGTTCTCCTTTTACAGAGGTAAAAAGAAATAATTTGGCTGGGTGTGGTGGCTCACACTTGTAATCTCAACACTTTGGGAGGCCAAGATGAGAGGACAGCTTGAACCCGGGACTTCAAGACCAGCCTGGGCAAAGTGGCAAAACGCCGTCTCTACAAAAAATACAAAACACTTAGCCAAGCGTGGTGACGCACACCTGTAGTCGCAGCTACTCGGGAGGCTGAGGTGGGGGTATCACCTGAGCCCAGGAGGCAGAGGTTACAGTGAGCTAAGGTTCGCGCCACTGCACTCCAGCCTGGGTGAAGGGAGTGAGACCCTGGTCTGGAGGGGCAGAAGGAGTGGGGCTTTTTTATTTTGTTTTGTTTTGTTTTTGAGATGGAGTCTCGCTCTGTCACCCAGGCTGGAGTGCAGTGGCGCAATCTCGGCTTACTAAAACTTCCGCCTCCCAGATTCAAGCGATTCTCCTGCCTCAGCCTCCCAAGTAGCCGGGATTACAGGCAGCTGCCACCATACCCACCTCATTTCTGTATTATTAGTAGAGTCGGGGTTTCGCCATGTTGGCCAGGCTGGTCTCGAACTCCTGACCTCAGGTGACCAACCTACCCCAGCCTCCCAAAGTCCTGGGATTACAGGCATGAGCCCGGCCGAGGAGGAGATTTTTTAAACCCCAGTATTGTGTACCATTTTTTACCTCTGGGGTTTGTAGTTTAATTTTCCTTTGACAGACATAAGTATCTCTACATCAAAAGTAGTACTTATACCTAAGTTTGTCCCTGTGGCATATAATGAAAATAAAAACAGCAGAGGAAGAAAGAGATAAATAAAAACCAAGGGTTTTAGCCATGCTAAGGTAAGTGAGAAAGAACTGGATAAAGAAGAGTGGTGAGGAGGGACAGTGGGTATGTGCACAGAGCAGAAATGAAATCTGATATAAATTAAATTAATAAGCAATAAAGATGTAAAGGAGAGATGATCACAGCATATGCCCCATTCTCTTCTAATCTATTCTTTCCATCTACCTCACAGAGGAAAAGACAGTATTGAGAAGTAAATGTTAAAGCTTAAGAGATGACAACATTAGCCACCTGGTAACCAAACAGCTGAGAGCAGCAAGGATGGTACATAAAGTGTACCATGGTACACTAAGTAAACAATGAAGAGGGGGAATGGTAACCATGGTCAAATGCAAGACAGATAAATATTCCTAAACCAGAGTGCCTGTAGAGTAAAAAACAAAATAACAAACTTCCCACTATAGTACTAAAGTTAGCCCTGTCCAGCAATATCAAAAATAGAGGCTACAATGAGTTTGTTCACCTGCAACACTGATGTTACAAAAATTAAGACTGTAGAAATAAATGTAAAGCTAATAAAAGACTTTTGGGTTGATTTTTCAAAGAAAAGATATTGAAGGTAGAACAGAGAGATGTCCTTCTTATAAAGCAAAGAGGTTGGAGCAGATCTGTAACTCTAGCAACACGACACGGCAAGTCTGACTCACAAGACTTCCTGAATAGGTCATCATCTGTACTGCTGCTTAGTCTGTGGCTCAGTCCTTTTTTTCCTGACCTCACAGCTTATTACTCTTCAGTAATCATTAAATAACTTTAAATTCAAAAGAATCCTTTTTTAAAAATGTTTCCGGGCCAGTTTCAGTAGCTCACACCTGTAATCCCAACGCTTTGGGAGGCTGGGGCAAGAGGATTGCTTGAGCCCAGCAGTTTGAGACCAGCCTGGGCAACATAGTGAGATTCTGTCTCTGCAAAAAACACAAAAATTAGCTGGGCATGGCAGCATGTGCCTGTGGTCCCAGCTATTTAGGAAGCTCAGGTAAGAGGATCACTTGAGCCCAGGAGGTCAAGTCTGCAGTGAACCATGATCACCGCACTCTGGCCTGGGGGACAGAGCAAGATCCCGTCTCAAAACAGTAACAATAATAATAGTTTCCATATCCCTAGAAGTTATGTGTCTGATAATAGAATTTGTCTTTTCAAATAAATCTCTAAAGCCATTATTCATCTGATGACAACAATACAAATAATGAATAAGAAAATATATATCAAAAAGTTAAAAAATAAAAAAAGCTTTCAACATTATTTGCTTTCTGGAGGGTGGGGTAGCACTGGTAAAAAGGTTAAAAGGTATCAGAACTGAAAACTCAATAAAACCCTTGACCCTCTCCATTCCTCTCCAAAAAATAGCTACCGTCTTATGTGGAGCTAAACATTTATACCATTAGGTCAAGATTGCTTCAGGGAAGAAATGTGCAGTAAGCAAAAATATAAAATACTGCAAAGAGGAGGAGAAGTACATCATTCAATTTAAAATACAACATTAAAAAATAAAAATAAAAAATAAAATACAACATAGCTTGGTTTTTTCTTTGTTGCTATTCAAATGTTAGTTTCATGATCCATAACTTTTTTTTTTTTTTTGAGACGGAGTCTCGCCCTGTCACCCGGGCTGGAGTGCAGTGGTGCAATCTCGGCTCACCACAATCTCTGCCTCCCGAGTTCAAGGAATTCCCCTGCCTCGGCCTCCTGAGTAGCTGGGACTACAGGTGTGCACCACCACAACCAGCTAATTTTTTTGTATTTTAGTAGAGATGGGGTTTCACCATGTTGGCCAGGATGGTCTCAAACTCCTGACCTCGTGACATGATCCATAACTTTAAAGAACTTTTTTTCTGTACTTCACAAAACCTGCCTATCCATGTCTAGTAAATGAAGCTGGGGGCACCTCATTATTATTAGAGAATATCTGAGGCAAGAAAATTTTATTACGAACTTCTGTAAAATCATCCATACACCTAAACTGGTTAAAACCAAAACCTACTTCACCAAGTATCTTAAGAGTGGTCACTGTTCAACATATCGGGTGTCATCCACATAGAAAAAGGAAATAGTATCCCCTATGCTAAGTGCTTGGGGTAGATGAATTGTTGATCAAAACAGGAATTTTTTTGCCTTCAAGGAGCTGATGACTCGGTGTGAGGAATTAACAAACTAGTAAGTAGATCATCAGAAATTGTATTATATGCTACAAAACGTCTTTATTTAAAATTAATGGCCGATTTGTGATTCAGAAACAGAAACAACTGAGTACCAGACATATCCTATAATGTTATACAGCTGTTCAAAGTCCTAAATCTCTATAGTAGATATGTTTCTTACTAATAAAAGAAGTAGATTCAGGTTAACAACTAAATGCCCCTGAAATTGGCCAAACTTCAGATTGGTTAGCTCAGACCTCCTCCGTATTTAAGCAGCACAGAATAGAGGCAGCTGTAGCAGGAACTGGGTGTGCTACAAGATACCAAATACAACAAGGTGAAAGGTTTAAGTCAAATGCTTCTAGAGTTCCAACCAAATTCACTAGATTTCAAGCCTTTTGATCTCAGGATTCCTTTACCTCTTAAAAACTGGAAACCTGTAATAACTTCTGCTATGTGGGTTATGTCAGTATTCACCATATTAGAAATTAAAACTTAAGAAACATTCACCTTTTTTTTTTTTTTTTTTTTGGAGACAGGGTCTCAGCTCTGTCACCCAGGCTGGAGTGCAATGGTGTGATCACGGCTCACTGTAGCCTCGATCTGCTGGTCTGAAGTGATCCTCCCACCTCAGCCTCCCGAGTAGCTGGAACCACACGCATGTGCCACCATGCCCAGCTGATTTTTTTAATTTTTAGTACAGACCAGGTCTTGCTATGTTTCCCAGGCTGGTCTCCAACTCCTAGGCTCAAGCAATTCTCCCACCTCGGCCTCACAAAGTGTTGGAATTACAGGCATGAGCCACCAAGCCGGACTCATTCACTTTTTTGGTTTATTTGTTTTGTTTTGTTTTTTGAGATGGAGTTTTGCTCTTGTCACCCAGGCTGGGCTGGAGTGCAATGCCGCAATCTTGACTCACTGCAACCTCCACCTCCCCAGTTCGAGCGATTCTCCTGCCCCAGCCTCCCAAGTAGTTGGGATTACAGGTGCCCGCCACCATGCCCGGCTAATTTTTGTATTTTTAGTAGAGACAGGGTTTCACCATGTTGGCCAGGCTAGTCTCAAACTCCTGACCTCAGGTGATATACCTGCCTGGCCTCCTAAAGTGCTGGGATTACAGGCATGAGCCACTATACCTGGCCCTCATTCACTTTTTAAAGCCCATCATATATTAACATAAATAACAATTTTTGCAAAAAACAAAACTTCTGAAACAATGAGAATTATAAAATAATTAAAAACATATATTTGCATATAATTACCTGACTTAATAGAAAACAGTTATTTACTTCTGCATTCAATCCGGTGCAATGTTATCTTGATTTAAGGATATAAAGAAAATCTGGCCTCACAAAGACATGTACTTGTAAAAGGAAGGACTATTTTAATAAACTTTTATAAATAATTATGGATATTTCTTGATATTACACTAAAACAACTGGTAATTTCTTAAAGGTGAGTTTTATAGGAGAGAAAAAAATAATTTTTCCTCTACCCTATCTGAGTTCTAAGTTGGGTCAGACCCCTTAACAAAAGACAAATTAACAAGAGAAAATCAGAAATATAATAAATATATCTCATGTATCCATGAGAGATACCCAGAGAAATGAGTAAATCTTTTCATTTCTAAGAGGTGGCTTAGAATTCAGACTTAAATATCATCTTCAGCTGAAACAAATAAAGAAGGGCACAGGGGCTAGGGAGCAATAGTTATGGAGAGGTGACCAAGAAAAGCATGGTAAACAACAGTAAGGCTTGTTATACAGATTTAAGTCTATGCCTTCTCCATTAGTAAGTTTCTAGTGATTGAGTCATCCTTTTCCTGGTAATGAGGAAGACACCCTTACAAGGGAGATTTCCTTTATAGATATAAATTTTCCCTTACAAAAGGGTAACTTCTACTCTGTTTTCAGAACTTCTCCTGTGTCTGCTTCTCAAAATAATCCTTACACCAAACAGGCATATTTTAGGGTGGTATATTCTAGTCTCCTACAGTTGCAAAGTGGAATCTGAAACCATATAAATGAATTTTCATGCTGTCTCATTAAAATGCATTGGATCTAACTTGCACTCTGAACAGATCTTTAACCCATGCATCACTGTATAATCAAACACCGGGTCATTTAGATAATACTGGTTCACTGAGTTAAAGTAGATCTTTCAAATGCTGGTACATTTCATTACACAATTTTTTTAACCCACATTCATTAATGTCACCACCCATCTCATCAGGAAAGTAATAAAAGGCTGTTATGCTCATGGTGGCCGATTCAAGTTTACTTACTTATAATTTCACTTGAAGCTCAAATTTTATCACTGTCAACCAATACAGTCAGATGTTTTCCCTGTAGTGACAGGTTCACCTCACTCAATTTGAAGACAGTCTCCAAATAACCAAGACTCAATAGCCATGGTTTGTCACTCATCCAAGTAAAAATGGTGTTCCATGAAAAAAGTGGGTACTTCAGTTCACAACGCAAACTGCGCAAGTGCTTTTCCCGGAGACAGCCATCATACTTTGGCAGGCAGAAGTCTTTGTGCACATTTTCCATTCTCATCACACAGAACATTAAAACGACAGTACTTAAGGGTACAGTGAAAGGTACTTAAGGAAAAAAGGGAATGAGGGCCAGGTGTAGTGTTGCTGCTTCATCATGGACAATCCTCAGTGGAAAACTGATTTTTTTTTTTCTTTATGAGCTCCTGGCAGTGAAGAATGCAATGTCTACCTAGGAGCGGAGTCTGGCGCCACTGCCTTAATTCATGGTAAGGTGTCAGCAATTTTATGCATCACCGCATTTCCACCATCGGTGCAAACACCAACGGGATGAAAATAGCAAATAACACATTAGCATTATTATGAGAATAGTCTTAACCATGTAGAACCCTTAAAAGGTTCTCAGAGACTACCGGGAGTCCACGCACCACACGTTGAGAGCCACTATATTAGATTAAGGTTGGGGCTGAGAGCCTGAAACTGGGTCTGGCTTCTCCAAGATACCCCACGTTCATGTAATAAATGTTTTAGGGCCAGGAGCAGTGGCTCATGCCTATAATCCCAATACTTTGGGAGGCTACAGTAGAGGGTCACTTGCCAGAAGTTCAAGACCAGCCTGGGCAATGTGGCAGGACACTGTCTCTACAAAATACAAAAAAATTAGTCAGGGGTGGTGGTAAGTAAATAAAGCAAGTAAGCAGATAAGTAAGTAAATAAACAGATGCTTTAGTATCTACTATCTGCAGGCCTATATAAACAAGCCATGTTGTGAGATCAAAAGAACATGGAGACTTCCTGAAAGGATAACAGAGAAATGCTGCTATCAATCAACACCACCTTATCCCATTGCTCCAAATATAATAATGACAGATAAAATACGAATTTTGTATTAACTTCAAAAGACACAGTTACGCTCAAACATGACAAATATATTTGTGGACCATGACAGAGGGGAAATATAAAGCAATAAATTAATAACTCCATGAACCCAACTGAGCTCCAGGACAAGAAACAAGCAAAGGCAGTCAGGAAATGAAATCATGCACAAGATAAGAAAACCAAAAGCAAGGCTCACAGGTAAAACGAAAAAATCTCATAGGTAGAAACCAAACAAAAAACTCATGAAAGGAAGGTGAAAAAAGGTATTATCAATAGCTAAAGTTATTATTTCAAACTGCCACAGGCAGTTGTAGAGGAAATAAAAGGTACTCTAAATAAATAAAAGGTAATATATACATAATAATAATATATATATGTCTCATACACACACACACACAAACAAAACCTAAGTAATGCATATCACCAACATTGCAATAATATCTCAGAATTAGAATCCTAGATCTAGACTGAAAGCATGGTGTAAATGTATGAAGGCAACAAAAACAGAGGTATAGGTGGCAGGGAGACATACAGAAAAGAACACCAAAATAAAGGGAAAAAAATTATTTCCCACTCAGCATATAAACCATAAACTAAAATCCTAAAGTGTATTTAAAAAGTGAACTAATGGGCCAGGCGTGGTGGCTCACGCCTATTATCCCAGCACTTTGGGAGGCCAAGGCGGGCGGATCACGAGGTCAAGAGATCGAGACCATCCTGGCCAACATGGTGAAACACTGTCTCTACTAAAAATACAAAGATTGGCCGGGGGTAGTGGCATGCGCCTGTAGTCCCAGCTACTCAGGAGGCTGAGGGCAGGAGAATCACTTGAACCTTGGAGGTGAAGGTTGCAGTGAGCCGAGATCTCGCCACTGCACTCCAGCCTGAGTGACAGAGCAAGACCCCACCTCAAAAAAAATAAATAAAAATAAAAAATAACTGAACTAAGGAAGATAGTCAAGAAATTCATCAATATCAAAAGATGAATTCAATGCTTAATAAAAATCTTGAAATTGGTTTAAAATAAATGTTTATGATCCTTAATGAGATAAAGAATTGGCCAGGCACAGTGGCTCAAGCCTACATTGCCAGCACTTTGGAAAGCTGAGGTGGGAGGCTCACTTGAGCCCAGGAGTTTGAGACCAGCCTGGGCAACATAGCAAGCTCCCATCTCGATTTTTAAAATAATAATTGAAAGCCATTACGAATGATAAAAAGAAACAGAAGAATAAATGGATGTTAAAAGAACTATAAGCTTTCACGAATTATAAATAATTTGAAAAGATAGTATCATCAATTATCCACAGCCAAACTCTAGACAGACATGGGATACTTGTCTGAAACCAAGAATCAATAGACAAGGTTAATTCCTAAACTGGACACACAAGCACACATCATTAGTGAACAAGAAAACAACGAATCCAACTTAAATGAAGCATAGTGAAGAGGGGAAAAGAACACAGACTTAACAGCTGATTTGAGCTCAGCATGACCTTACCAAATTTACATCTCTGAAGCTCAATTTCATCTTCTCTAAAATGCACATCCATCACCTTTACAAAGTTGTTGAGAGGATTAAAAACCACAGGTAAAACAAAACCTCAGTGATGTCTGGCAAATGGTAGGCTCTCGAAAAATGGCTCCCTCAAGAACTGTACCATTTACAGACAGAATCAAGGTAATTAAGAAAAATGGAATTTGGCCTCTTAACTACAAACAGATCTACAACCTAGTTTACAAAAAAAGATATTTGTGTTTTCTAATTCCTATATTACTGATACAGACAGGAGACAGGGAAATACTGGGTAGAAGAAGGCAGTTCCCTGGCAAAGGCCCCACTCAAGCCTGAAAACCCATGACCCTAAATGAGAACAAACATTCCTGTTTTCATGCCTAAAAGTTGCCTTTTGACCCACCACGCCCCCATATCCTGTACCCATATAAACCCCAAGCCCCCGGCTCCACAAGGAGACAAACAGAAGAGCAGAAGAATGGCAGAATGGCACGGCAGAGAAAGAAGAGAAGGAACATCTGAACACCAAGAGGAGTTCGGCTGAGGACGGTCAGAGAGGAGATGGGCCACTGGATGGCCAAATTCCAGGGGAAGATCATTTTCCCACTCCATCCCCTTTCCAGCTCCTCATCCATCCAACTGACAGCCAACTCCATCACTCAATAAAATCCCCACATTCACCATCCTCAAGTCCGTGTGTGACCTGATTCTTCCTCGATGCTGGACAAGGACCTGAATACCAAGAAGGCCCTGAGCTGTTTAACACTTAAGCCGTCCATGGTCGGCAAAGCAAAAAGAGCATACTGTAACACATGCCTACTTGGGCTTGGGGAGTTGCAGACTCCCACCCCTGGACACTCCCATGAGAACAGAGCCCAGGGGCACTCGCCCCAGATCCTGCACCTGCCTGCACGCATGCTCCTCCTCCCAAAAGGGGTTTGAGAGCACGGAACAGATGAGCCACAGCCCTGTCGCACGTCCTGTGAGGGGGGTCAGGGAACTCTCCCATTTAATTAGCTGAATAAATTAAGCAAATTGTCTAAATCTTGGTGCCTACAGGAGAATTTAAGAGATGTCTCTTGAGAAATACTAAATTCTCAAAGATGCTAAGATCTTCAAATGAAGTTTTGGTAGTGGTCTTGAATTGTTCTTATGGCACTTAAAATGTTTTCTAAAAACCTCTCTGATATCATACACTTCTCTGTCAAAAGAATTTGTAGAAACGGAACTCTTATTAGGAAAGGCATTTGGGTTACAAGTGACTAAGGATTACTTCTTCCTTGAAAAATCATGTTAACGTTCATAACTTATCGCTCTGCAATTTTTTTTAATCTAAAGACACTGGCAATTTAGCCTAAAAAAAACCCTTCACTATTCATCACTCTTAATAAGATGGCTTCCTTTCCAACTGCCAAAAGGAAAATGGAAAGAAACTCAGGCTTCTCATATTTCAAATAAAATTAAGAGAGAGCTATTTAAGTATGGAAACACCAACAGTTTAGATGGTACCTTCACACCACAAACTAGACTTATCAAAAACCTAAGTAAAAATTCTCATACACAAAAATAAATTTCAACTTTCTTCTCAGCGCCTAGGAATCAAAGCCTTAAACTACTGAATCATGTCTGGAAATGAAAAGACAGTAGGATTACAGCTGTGCATGGCCAATTTATCTTCTGAAGTCAAAGCATTTCTCCTGTTACCTTGCAGCAAGTCAATGTGATCTGCATATAAATATATTAAATGGTCACAGTATCTGAAACCTATACCAACCACAAAAGGTGTTATTTTAATTAACAAGTTGGCAACATTATGAGCTTTACAGTTTTATTCTAGAATTCTTTTTGAATTATCACAATTTAAAGAAAATTTTTAAAGGCTAAGAACTCAGACTAACAATTATGCCATTCCAATTCTATTTATGTCACCCTCCAGTAAAATAGCCCTATAAATAGCTTGGCAAAGAGAACAGCAATATAACAATAGTTGGTTTAGAAAAAAGTTAATTTCTACCATTTAGTCTTCTACAACAGGACAAAATTTTATGGTAATGAAATTAAAGAAGGGCCAAATCAAACACTATATAACAAAAGGGCTATCTGGAATGTGTTACATTATTTGTAATAGCACAGAAACTATAAAAGATAAATTCCATGTAAATGAATGAAGTAGCCTGCATTGCTGATCTTCCAAATGCTTGTGTACTCATATAAGTTTAATATATTGAGCTCATTAAAGATTTACACTTAGTTTCTTATATTAATGATAAGCAATACATGATGGAAAATATATTTAAAGCTTAGGAACATATGTTGAGCATGTGTGCACATGCAAAGCTTTCAAAGTTGCTTTAAAATGTGAAAATGAATATGGCTCCCCCTGTTATCCTTGATAAATGTCAGCTGTCATGTACTCATGTCCAATACATACTATTTTTCACAGAGCAGAGACCCAGAAAACGCAATTTTGAACCCACCAGCTGCATGTAATGGTTATACATAAGCAAATTCTATTTGAGGTCAGAAGTTTAAAGGTTTTCAATATCAACTTCTAAATAATGCAGGCTTTATATGTTAAATATTACACAGATTCAAAAGCATACTCCAATTAGAAGTTTTTGGAAACAGACAAAATCGTAAGAAGGCAATTACTCTAAAAGTTTGGCACATGAGATAGGCTCATTTATAACAGTGATACAAACTGGACTATTTGTACAGCAGTTCACCTTTTATTAGATTATTGAGCTGATATTTAGGCTAATTCTATTTCTTAATTAAGTTACAAAATTAAGTACTATAAAGCTATATTATTACCGATCTAACGATTTTCATGTCTATATCTGAAAGCTTAGCAGAAAGTAAACCGCCATAACCTTTGGTCTTTGCTATGGTTTGAATATAGTTTATCTCCACAAAACTCATGTTGAGGCTTGGTCCGCGATGTGGTATTCGGAAGTGGTGCCTTTAAGAGGCAAGTAAGTCGTTAAGATGGATTAATGCCTTTCTCACTCCCTTGAGTTCTTGCTCCCACAGGTTTGGACTAAAGAGTGGGTTGTTACAAAGTGAGACCACCTCTTGTGTTGGTAACTTTGCACATGCCTGCTTCCCCTTCCTCTTCTCCACCGTGGTGTTACGACATGGCACAAGGCCCTCACCAGAAGCTGACCAGATCTCAGACTTCCCAGCTTCCAGAATCATGTGCTAAATAAACCTTTCTTTTATAAACTACCTAGTTTCTAACCCTAGAAGACCAGAACACTAGAACAGAACACCAGAAAGCAGACTAAGACATTCTTTGACTTTAATAATAAAATACAATTATCAATAGGAATTGTCTTTTGAAAGCATCCCCTGTATAGTATGTGACCTATACTTAAAATAAATTACCTTTTACAGTAAGTTGTCATATGAGCAACACTAAATTCAAGATACAATTTTTGAATTCTATCTTTTTTTTTTTTTTTTTTTGCCAGGGACAGTGGCTCATGCCCGTAATCCCAACACTTTGGGAGGCCAAGGAGGGCAGATAGCTTGAGCCCAGGAGTTCGAAACCAGACTGGGCAACATGGCAAAACCCCATCTCTACCAAAAATACAAAACGTTAGCTGGGTGTGCTAGTGTACGCCTGTAGTCCCAGCTACTTGGGTGGCTTAGGTGGCAGGACTGAGCTTGGAAGGCGGAGGCTGAAGTGAGCCGAGATCACACCACTGCACTAGAGCCTGGGTGACAGACTGAGACTCCATCTCCCCCAACCCACACGCCCGCCAAAAAAAAAAAACACATTTAAGCTTTTAAAATTATAAATGCGGCCATGCGCGGTGGCTCACGCCTGAAATCCCACCACTTTGGGAGGCCGAGGCGGGCAGATTGTCTGAGGTCACGAGTTCGAGACCAGTCTGGCCAACATGATGAAATCCTGTCTCTACTAAAAATACAAAAAATTAGCTGGGCGTGGTGGTGGGCGCCTGTAGTCCCAGCTACTTGGGAGGCTAAGGCAGGAGAATGGCGTGAACCCGGGAGGTGGAGCTTGCAGTGAGCCAAGATCGTGCCACTGCACTCCAGCCTGGGCAACACAGCAAGACTCCATCTCAAAAAAAATAAAAATAAAAAAATATATATATATAAAATATATAAAATACACACACACACACACACACACACACACACACACAAAGGAAGTGAGAGAATTAGCCATCAGATCATCTCAAGTAAAATAATTGGAGCTTTTCTACTTGTATATACTGCACTTAACTAACTAGTCCTAAACAGCAGATCCACCAGGATTATGAATTTTTTGGTGAATTTTTTTTAAACTGTAGTTATAAACTTGAGAGCAAACATTGATTTCTGGAGGCATTGCGCAAGATAGCCATAAATATCTCACAAATGTTTAGTGGACAAACAGGAAGTGGAGATGGATCTGGGTATGGTCTTTTTAAGAATGCAATCTTTTCAATGTAAACTTTCTTGACACATGAAAAAGATATGCTGCTGGAATTCATATTGACCATATAATTACAGGATGACCTCTATAAAAAGACTGAATAAGGTTTTTTAAAATTTGAAGTGAGTGCAATTAACATCTTATTTTTGAAATCTAACAATGTTTGAGATAGGAAACCTTTTGAGATCAGTGTCATGAGGAAAGTAATATTTTTCCATAAAATTTCTGTATGACATCATAGTGTTCTTAGCAGTTTTGCATACATCAGCTAGATTCTTTAACAGCTTTACTGAGATATTAATTCACATATTATATGCTTAAAGTGCACGACTGGCTTTTAGTATATTTCAGAGTTGTGTAACTCTCACTGTAATCAATTTTAGAACATTTTCATTATCCCAAAAAGAACTCAAAATCCCTTAGCTGTTATTCCCCCCTGCTCCCATTCCCACCCCCTCAACCTCATATAACCCAACCTTCCACCTATTCACCCCTGCCCTTGACAACCACTTACGTATTTGCGTCTTTATGGATTTACCTATTCAGGACATTTAATATAAATGGCATCACACAATATCTAGTTCTTTGTGACTGGCTTCTTTTACTTAGCATAGTGTTTTCAAATACATCAACATTGTAGCACATATCGGTTCAGTCATGCCTAGCTTAATGACAGGGATACATTACGAGAAATGTGCCTTCATTCCATTTCATCATTGTGCAAACATCACAGAGTGTCCCTTAACAAACCTAGATAATACAGCCTAAATCTAGGCTATATGGTATAGCCTACAGCTCCTACGCAACAAACCTATACCTATACTGCATGTTAATATATTGAATAGCGCAGGCAAGTGTAATACAATGGTATTTGTGTATCTAAGCATATCTAAACATAGAAAAGGTACAGTAAAAATACAGTATAATCTTATGGAACCACTGTCATATATGTGGTCCTATTCCTTCATTGACTGAAACATTGTTATATGCTACATGACTGTACTTCATTGCTTTTTATTTCTGGCTAATACTTCACTGTATGGATACACCACATTTTATTTATGCACCTATCAGCTGATGGAAATTTAAGTTGTTGTTCTGCTACTATGAATACTGTTGCTATGAATATTTGTGTGTAAGCTGTGTGATTATGTATATTCTTAAATGAGAAATCATGAGCACTAATAATAAAAATAGGTTTCAGCCAGGTGTGGTGGCTCATGCCTGTAATCCCAGCACTTTGGGAGGCCAAGGCAGGAGGATCACTTGAGGTCAGGAGTTCGAGACCAGCTTGGCCAACATGGTGAAACCCTGTCTCTACTAAAAATAACAAAAATTAGCCAGGCATGGTGGCACGCACCTGTAATCCCAGCTACTCAGGAGGCTGAGGCAGGAGAACCGCGTGAACCCAGGAGGTGGAGGTTGCAGTGAGCAGAGATTGTGCCACGGCACTCCAACCTGAGCGACAGAGCGAAACTCCATCTCAAAATAAAATAAAATAAAAACAGGTTTGATAATACATGTAAATGATGCTTCCAAAGTTCGCTAGTAAACAGTAAAGAAGCCAGGTTCTTTTTTTTTTTTTTTTTTTTGAGACAGAGTCTCGCCCTATCGCCCAGGCTGGAGTGCAGTGGCGTGATCTTGGCTCACTGCAAGCTCCGCCTCCCACATTCACGCCATTCTCCTGCCTCAGCCTCCAGAGTAGCTGGGACTACAGGCGCCCGCCACCACGCCTGGCTAATTTTTTTGTATTTTTTAGTGGAGATGGGGTTTCATTGCGTTAGCCAGGATGGTCTCAATCTCCTGACCTCATGATCCGCCCACCTCGGCCTCCTAAAGTGCTGGGATTACAGGCGTGAGCCACCACGCCCGGCAGAAGCCTGGTTCTTTAAAAACATTTATTCTAAAAATCTAAAAACCAATCATGGAATCTTAACTATGATTAATATGTTAACGGGCTCTAATGGGGAAAGCAGACAACATGCAAGAAGAGATGGGTAATGTAAGCAGAGAGATAAAAACTCTAAGGAGGAATCAAAAGGAAAGGTTAGGCCAGGTGCGGTGGCTCACACCTGTAATCCCAGCACTTTGGGAGGCCGAGGCCGGTGGATCACCTGAGGTCAGGAGTTCAAGACCAGCCTGGACAATATGGAGAGACCCTATCTCTACTAAAAACACAAAAAGTAGCTGGGCTTGGTGGCGAGTACCTGTAATCCCAGCTACTCGGGAGGCTGAGGCAGGAGAATGGCATGAACCCGGGAGGCAGAGGTTACAGTTAGCCGAGATCGCACCACTGCACTCCAGCCTAGGCGACAGAGCGAAACTCCATCTCCCCCTCCCAAAAAAAAAAAAAAAAGCACAGGTTAGAATCAAAAAAGACTAACAGAAATGCAAAATGCCTTTGATGGGCTCATCAGTAGACCAAACATAGGAGTGGGAGACCAGAGAGCCTTAAGATCAATACAAACTCCCCAAAACTGAAAAAGAAAGAGAAAATGAAAAAGAAAAGAATATCCAAGAATGGTGGGACAATTATAAAAGGTGTAACACACACAAAATGGGAATACTATTCACATGAAATTTTAGAAAAGGTAAAACAGTAGTGACATAAAGCAGACCAGTTGGAGGTTTCTTCTGGTTGCTAGGGACCAGTGGAGATGACTGATTGCACAGAGGCACAAAGAACTTTAGGGAATGGTAGAAATGTTTTATATCATGACTGTGGTGATGGTCACATTTGTCAAAACTCATTAAATTGTAAATGTAAGGTTGGTAAATATTTTGTATGTATATTATGCTTTAATAAAGTTGGTTTTTTGAAATCAAGTACTTAAGGAAAATTACAGTGCTTATTGCTAATCCTATGATAAATAAAAAGTGATATGAAATAACTTAGCTAATAAAACAAGAAACAATGTATAAAACATTTCAGTAAGAAAATTTACTTTTGGCTTAGTATGGTGCCTCACACCTGTAATCCCAGCACTTCAGGAGGCCGAGGCAGGTGGATCGCTTGAGCTCAGTTCGAGACCACCCTGGGCAACATGTTGAAATCCCCATCTCTACCAAAAATGTAAAAATATTAATTAGTCAAGTGTGGTGGCAAGCGCCTGTAGTCCCAGCTACTCAAGAGGCTGAGGTGGGAGTATCGCTTGAGACTGGGCGGCAGAGGCTGCAGTAAGCCAAGATCATGGCACTGCAGTTCAGCCTGGGCAACAGTGTGAGACCCTGTCTAAAATTTAAAAAAAGAAAGAAAATTTACTTTTTCTAAAGTAGTACCACCACATTGAAAGCAAATATATTAGCAGTTAAAATCAAGTTTGTTTAAAACTTTAGAGCAATAAAAATATTTTAAACGAGATACAAAAAATGATCATTGCAACGTTGTTCACACTTCAAAAGCTAGAAGAAACTCTAATGTTTATCAATTGCAGATTTGAAAAATGAATTCTAATGAAGCCATGCAAAAGAATACAATACAGGGATGGTAAAAATGAATTATACACAACATGGTTGGATCTTACAATTTAGAAAGCCACCACATTACATCCATTATATTTTTGGAAAGCTAAAAAAAACAAGAAAACTAAACATTGTTCAAGGACACATCCAAATGAGACTTTTTCAAAGTTTTTTAAATGAAGTTAATTATTAACTCAAAGATAGCTGTGACTTCAAGGATAGAAGCAGGATGACTTCGGGAAGAAAGATTCAGGGAGCAGGTACACTATACGAACTGACCGTCCCGTTCTTCAGTTCAAGGAGTGGGTTCAAGAATAGCCTTCAAAGTATACTTCATAATTCAAATAATATATACTCTTTATTTATATAAAAATAATGTGTAATTTTAGTGTTTAAAGTAAAAAATCACTATGTGAACAAATACTTGCTCTAACATCTGAGTGAGGTATTGTGATAAATGCATTCCACTTATTACTCCCATTTAATCCTCCTGACAGCCCTATGAAACACAGAATAGTGAGCTAGATGAAAGTACAGTTCAATATTATCCCTACTTCACTTGAAAACACTGAGACATCGAAAGGTAAACTCAACCCAAAGTCATACATCCAGTAAGTGGTGGAGCTAGAAATTAAATCCAAGTCATTCTAACTTCAGAGCCAAGCTTTTAACCAATCCCACCAAAAAATTAAAAAAAAAAAAAGCCTTATGTCATGGCATCAAATATTTTATTTTTTTCATGGAATCTCAGTAAAGCCACATCACTTACAGCTATTCTAACAGTTTAGATAGAACTGGCCTTACTGGACTTCCAATAATAAATCACTCTTTTCCAGCCACACCAAGTGGAAGATCCCACCAGTCTAAAAAATTTAAAACCAGTTATAAATCACGGTCCTTTGCAAGTTAAGCGCCAGCCAAGGACTGTAGATTCTTGACCTATCCCTATAGATATCTCCTGTAAAAAATTATTTTAAGGCCAGGCGTGGTGGCTCACTCCTGTAATCCCAGCACACTTTGGTAGGCCAAGGCGGGCGGATCACCTGAGGTCAGAAGTTTGAGACCAGCCTGGCCAACATGGTGAAACCCCATCTCTACTAAAAATAAAAAATTAGCTGGGCATGGTGGTACGTGCCTGTAGTCCCAGCTACTCAGGGAGCTGAGGCAGCAGAATCGCTTGAACCCAACAGGCAGAGGTTGCAGTGAGCCGAGATGGCGCCGCTGCACTCCAACTAGGGTGACAGAGTGAGAGTGTCTTTAAAAAAAAAAAAAAGGTCATTTTAAAGGCTGGGCGTGGTGGCTCACACCTGTAATCCCATCACTTTGGGAGGCAAAGGCAGGCGGATTGCCTGAGGTCAGGGGATCGAGACCAGCCTGGCCAGCGTGGCAAAATTCCATCTCTACTAAAAATACAAAAATTAGCCAGTCGTGGTGGCGGGTGCCTGTAATCCCAGCTACTCAGGAGGCTGAGGCAGGAGAATTACTTGAACTCGGAAGGCAGAGGTTGCAGTGAGCTGAGATCGCGGTACTGCGCTCCAGACTGGGCGGCAACAGCAAAACTGTCTCCAAAAAAAAAAAAAAAAAAAAATCAGGTATTCTGCCCACCTCAGCCTTCCAAAGTGCTGGGATTACAGGCGTGAGCCACCGTGCCCAGCAATATCATGAAGACTTTCATCTTCTCTTTTTTTTTTTTTTTTTTTTTTTTTTTTTTTGAGACAGAGTCTCGCTCTGTCGCCCAGCCTGGAGTGCAGTGGCACAATCTCCACTCACTGCAACCTCCACCTCCCAGGTTCAAGGGATTCTCCTGCCTCAGCCTCCTGAGTAGCTGGGATTACAGGTGCCTGCCAACACGCCAGGCTAATTGTTTTGTATTTTTAGTAGAGACGAGATCTCATCATGTTGGCCAGGCTGGTTTCGAACTCCTGACCTCAAGTGATCTGCCCACCTAGGCCTCCCAAAGTGCTAGGATTACAGGCATGAGCCACTGCACCTGGCCAAGACTTTCATCTTCTAATCTGACTGGTTATCACGCATCTTGAGTGGTGTAACAGCAGTTAGCAGGTAACTAAAAGGTTCCGTAATGTAGAATCTGATCCGTCAATCATAGAAAATTAAAGCTGGAAAGAACCTGAGATTATGTGTAAAACAAGTGAACTGGTCATTATGAAGAAAATGATGCCAAGATGAGACTACTACTCTTCCTAGTTCCCATCTGGCAACATGTGTTTTCTGGCTTTAAATATGAGAGGTGTTATATCCAAGGCAAAATCAACAAATGTTGATTTTTATACATAAGGCAATACAAACCTAAAAACAATTCACTTAAGTTGTTTGGTTTTTAAGTAATCGTTGCCTTATAGGATTTCTATGAATTTGGTTCATATTTTAATTAGAAGGCATGAATGCAGAATTTATAATTAAAATGTTTACCTTTAAACTTTAGAAATTTAATTTCAAAATAAACTGAAGGAGAAATATAAATATACGGTTACTACAACTAAGAATGTCATTCTTATGCCAGTAATTCTTTTCCCATACTACTAATTATCTTATAAGGTTCTAACAGAACTTTAGAAACTAGAATTTTAGGAAAATGTTTATATAAAGGCACTTGATAATTATCCTGGCTTAGTAATGCTTTCATTCCTTTACCAAACTTTATAATGTTCTTATTTTAACTAAGATGACACAAAAACTGGTTTAAAAATTTTCATGAAGTTAAATCCATCAACTTGGCCAGGCGCAGTGGCTCACGTCTGTAATCCTAGCGCTTTGGGAGGCCGAGGCAGGCGGATCACGAGGTCAGGAGATCGAGACCATCCTGGCTAACATGGTGAAACCCCATCTCTACTAAAAATACAAAAAAAATTAGCCGGGCGTGGTGGCGGGCGCCTGTAGTCGCAGCTACTCCGGAGGCTGAGGCAGGAGAATGGAGTGAACCCGGGAGGTGGAGCTTGCAGTGAGCCGCGACGCACCACTGCACTCCAGCCTGGGCAACAGAGCGAGACTGTCTCAAAAAAAAAAAAAAAAAAAAAAAAAAAATCCATCAACTCAAGAGGAGGTACTCCAAAGAGTTAATTTCCGAGACAATGAATGATACCGCAGTCTGGGATTCCAAAGTCTTGATTTTAAAACGTATGTGGTGGCCGGGTGCAGTGGCTCAGGCCTGTAGTCCCAGCACTTTGGGAGGCCGAGGCAGGTGGATCACCTGAGGTCAGGAGGTCAAGACCAGCCTGGCCAACATGGTGAAACTCCATCTCTACAAAATACAAAACATTAGCAGGGTGTGGTGGCGGATGCCTGTAACCCGAGCTACTTGAGAGGCTGAGGCAGGAAAATCGCTTGAACCTGGGAGGCAGAGATTGTAGTGAGAGGAGATCACACTACTGCACTCCAGCCTGGGCAACAAGAGCAAAACTCTGTCTCAAAAAAACAGTCTGTCATTAGAATTAAATTTTTCTGTTGAGTAACCACAGACATACTTTCACTGCTGGAGGAATGTCATCTAAAAAGATTAGTTCAAGGTATTACTGACTTCAGGATACTTAAATTCTTCAACTGAAAACCGTTTTTTAAATGAGAAGAACTTCAATTTTCTGCAATTTGACAATGTTGTTAATTAAGTAGCATCCGCTACCAGGACCACCACTCACACCAGTTACAGTATGAACATTTTAACTGACAGCAACTTATTAGAAGATAAAGATCATGGCATTATGGAAAGAAAATGGTCTGTAGTTTGTAAACAATCAAGTTAGGTTCTAATTTCAGTTCTGCCACAAACTAGGTATATAACTTTGATAAACCTGTTACCTTTTCTGAAGCCTCTATCAACCCCAACACAGGGCTGTAGGAATGAAATAAGAGGTAAAAGTATTTCATTGTTGAATAGTGCTTAGAAATTGAGTTGGCAGAAAAAGTCACTGAACTTGAAGGGATATCAAAAGAATTATCCAATTTGAAGAAGAGAAAGGAAGAAGACTGAAGAAAAATGGTTAGAACCTTAATGACTTATAAACATATCAAATGGTCGGCTGGGCCTGGTGGCTCACACCTGTAATCCCAGCACTTTGGGAGGCTGGGGCAGATGGATCACCTGAGGTCAGGAGTTCAAGACCAGCCTGGCCAACATGGCAAAACCCCATCTCTACTAAAAATACAAAAAAAATTAGCCAGGTGTGGTGGCAAGCACCTGTAATCCCAGCTACTCAGGAGCTGAGGCAGGAGAATTGCTTGAACCCAGGAGGCGGAGGTTGCAGTGAGCCAAAAGAGCACCACTGCACTCCAGCCTGGGGTACAAGAACGAAACTCCACCTCAAAACAAAAGAAAATCAAATGGCCTAGCAAGTATGATTGGAGTCCCAGAGGAAGGAGAATTAAATTGAAGCAGAGATGCAGAAAAAGTACTTGAAGAATGGCCAAAACTTTCCATATTTGATGAAAACACAAATTTACAAATCCAAGAAGCTCAAAGAATACCATGCAGGATAAATACAAAGAAAACTAGACCTAAATACATAGTCAAACTATTTTAAACCAAACGTAAAAAGAAAATCTTAAAAGTATCCACAAGAAAAAAAGACCACACATACTGAGAACAAGATTAAAAATCAACTCTTCAAAAAAAAAAAGGGGAGGAGGTTACAACACCACAGAACAACTTTAAAGTGCTGAAATAAAAAAATCAACAACCCAGAATTTTCTATCCAGTGAACCAAACCTTCAAAAATAGGGTGAAATAAAGACATTTTCAGATAAATAAAAGTTGAGACAATCAGTGATAAACAATTCTGGAAATGAAATTATATCCTTCAGGCCAAAGAGAAAGGGGCATCAGATGAAAATGCACATCTATAAAGATGAATGAAGAGTACCAGAAATGTCTTACTGTCAAATGGGTGATGGCTTCTGCTACTCTCCGATGCTTCCCTTGAGGACTCATATGCTATAATTTGTCTTCAAAGGACAGTTGAAGATTCTCATGCAAAAGACTGTACAAAGTACCTTTAAATCTTGATAATTTATGAAATACTCTGGGCAATGAACTACTGAGCTAACATTTTTAAATTTTAAAACTATACTAAAGGCCAAAATGTCTAGGTATCTTAAACATCTAAGCAGACAACTTAAAAGTGACTACAGAATAAGCCTAAGAGAAACAGAATTAACTGCATAGGACTAAATGAACTAGTGGCAGAAATTTAACCAGTTGTTTCAGACTATGGTTTTTTCTTTTGTTTTTTCTTTTGTCTTTTGTTTTTTGTCTTGAGACACAATCTTACTCTGTTTCCCAGGCTGGAATGCAATGGTGCGATCTCGGCTCACTGCAGCCTCTGCCCCCTGGGGTTCAAGTGATTCTTATGCCTCAGCCTCCCGAGTAGCTGGGATTACAGGCACCCATCACCACCCCCAGCTAATTTTTACGTTTTTAGTAGAGAGAGGTTTCACCACGTTGGTCAGGCTGGTCTTGAACTCCTGACCTCAGGTGATCAACCTGCCTCAGCCTCCCAAAGTGCTGGGACTACAGGTATGAGCCACCATGCCCAGCCGTTTTTTGTTTTGTTTTGAGGCAGGGTCTTGGTCTCTTGCCCAGGATGGGGTGCGATGGTGCGATCACGGCTCACTGAGGCATCAGCCTCCCAGCGTCAAGCGATCCTCCTACCTCAGCCTCCCCAGCAGCTGGGACCACAGGCATGTGACACACAATGCCCAGTTAATGTTTTTATTTTTTATTTTTGTAGAGACGGGGTCTTACCATATTGCCCAGGCTGGTGTTATTTTTTAATATTCTGTTTTCTGATGGCTATATGAGGAAGCCCTTTTCCTTTCTTCTTCATCTACCTCTAGCTCACAATTTAATATATTATGCTTTTGTAGGAAAATTTTTAAATGGCATTTGAGAGCGGTGGCGCATGCCTGTAGTCCCAGCTACTCAGGAGGCTGAGGCAGGACTGCTTGAGTCCAGGAATTCAAGATTGCAATGAGCCACAATCATACCACTGCACTCCAGGTAGGTCAAGAGAGTGAGACCCCACCTCAAAATAAAGTAAAAACTAAGTCTATTTTTTCATGTTAATAACGTTATTTGCATAGGCTTAATCAAATTCCGTCAAGACAAAGGTAAATAAAATTTACCAGGATAACTGGACAAATCATTGTACAATCTAGGTCATATACTATTTCTTATAATTAAGAACAATATAATGATATAATGTCATATAATTATAATATAATCGTATGACAAGTCCACCACTATAACAAAGATAGTAGGGCAGGACACAGTGGCTCACACCTGTAATCCCAGCACCAACACTTGGGGAAACCAATGCAGGGGGATTATTTGAGCCCAGGAGTTCAAGACTAGCCTAGGCAATATAGTGATACCTCACTTCCACAAAACATTTTAAATAAACATCTTATAAATTAAAAAATTTTTTTAAAAAGAAAACAAAGATTTTACATTATACAAGAAGTCAATGTTTATGGGCCTGGTACCTGTTCTTGGTTTACAGGGACTAGCTTCACAGATGGAAGGTCACTTAGTGGCAGCCAATGACTCAGTAAATTTAGGGAACCTGAACAAGAGATGACTTCATCCAAATTTATAAGTATTCCAAGTGAAATCTGGTGGAGAGGGTATTGTATTTGTTTCCTAGTTTCAGGATAAAAGAACAAATAAAAGAGACTTTAAAAGTTCAAGTCAGCCAGGTGCAGTGGCTCATGCCTATAATCCCAGAACTTTGGGAGGTCAAGGAGGGTGTATCACCTGAGTCAGGAGCTCGAGATCAACCTGGACAACATGGCAAAACCCCGTCACTACTTAAAAAAAAAAAATTAGCTGGGCTTAGTAGTGGGCACCTGTAATCCCAGCTACTCAGGAGGCTGGGGCAGGAGAATCACTTGAACCAGGGAGGCAGAGGTTGCAGTGAGCTGAGGGTGCGCCACTGCACGTCAGCCTGAGTGACAGAGCGAGACTCTATCTCAAAAAAATAAATAAAGTCCTATAATCAGACAATGTATATGGGCATGAGGATGGCACTGAATAGAGGCCAGAAAGAGACTTTGGCAAATATAATCAATTAATCAAGTTACCAAAGCAAACCAAGAAAAAAGGAACATCTTTTCTACAAATAGCCCTGGAACTGGATATCTATAATTTAATCAAAAGTTGGTCCTCTGGCCGGGCACAATGGCTTACACCTGTAGCTTACTCCCAAGCACTTTGGGAAGCTGAGGCGGGTGGATCACCTGAGGTCAGGAGTTTGAAACCAGCCTGGTCAACATGGTGAAAACCTGTCTCTACTAAAAAAAAATACAAAAATTAGACGGGCATGCTGTTGGGCATTTGTAGTCCCAGATACTTGGGAGGCTGAGGCAGGAGAATCTCTTGAACCTGGGAGGCAGAGGTTGCAGTGAGCTGAGATTGCACCACTGTACTCCAGCCTGAGAGACAAGAGCCAAATTCAGTCTTTAAAAGAAAAAAAAGTTGTATTTTATATTCTGTAAATTTTACTACAATTAAAATAAATGAATGGGAAAGATCTCTTTGGCATGATAGGGCATTATTTCCAGGAGATATCAGTTAAGTAGGAAAAAAAGCAAAGTGCAAGAGTATATATAGTACGCTATCTTTTGTATAAATAAATAAATAAAACATACAGATACCATCAAAAAAAAGAAATGGGAAGGATAAGACAGAAAACATTTAAGTTGGTTACCTAAGAAAACTGAAGAAAAATGGCATGGAAGGGATACAAAAGCAATGTATGCCTTTTGTATAATTTTGACTTTTGAAAGCATGTTATTATTCTACATATTACAAAAATAAAAATCAGAATGGGAGGCAGCATAAGCAAACAAGTAAATAAACTTAATTTTGTTTCAAATGAATACCCTAACTAGTTTATACAGAAAGTAAGGTGGGAAGTAAAAGTGGGGTGGAGGTCGGGCGTGGTGGCTCACTCCTGTAATCCCAGCACCTTGGGAGGCAGAGGCGGGCGGATCGCCTGACCTCAGGAGTTGGAGACCAGCTTGGGCAACGTGGTGAGACCCTGTCTCTATTAAAGATACAAAAATTAGCTGGGCATGGTGGCACGCACCTGTAGTTGCAGCTACTCAGGAGGCTGAGGCAGAAGAATCCCATGAACCCAGAAGGCAGAGGTTGCAGTGAGCCAAGGTCGCACCACTGCACTCCAGCCTGAGCAACCAAGACTGCCTCAAAAAAAAAAAAAAAAAAAAAAAAAAAGTGGGGTGGAGAAAGGGTATGGAGGGCTAATCCAAGCAATTTAAATTTTAACTGTTTACTCTCGGTCTTGGGTAAAATTGGGAGGTGGAGAAGAATTATAGACAAATGCTCCACTCATTTTCAGTTTGTTTATTGCAGTGAAATGAAAAAACCAATTCTGAAATTATTTTAGATGTATTAGAGGATTAGGCAAATGAGTAAATGTACTAAGGTTGAGAGTCAGGATTCCCACATAATAATAAGGGACATAAAAATAAAAAATGAAGTACAAAGAACCCTGTAGACATGGAATAAAGACGTACATACTGATATAAGCTCATGATTTCTAAAATATGTATATGTATGTTTCAATGAACACATGCGAAGTCGGCCCTCTGTATCGTGGATTCTGCATCCATGGATCAAAAATACTCAAAAAATAAATTTAAAAAAACAATACAGCAATAAAATACAAATTAAAAAATACAGTTTAACAACAACCTACACAGTATTTACACTGTGTTAGATTCTTATAAGTAATCTAGAGATGACTTAAAGCATACAAGAAATTGAACATGGGTTATATGCAAATACAATTGCTACTTTATAGTTTAAAGAACTTAAGCATCAGCAGATTTTGGTGCACACAAAGGGTCTTAGACCCAATCACCCTCAGGTACGAAGGGATGACTGTATGAGTATGTATATGTACATGTATGTGTATAAGCATGCATATTATTTCCTAGCTCTATCCACTAAAAAGGCCAAGATGAGAAAACAGCCCAGAAGTAGTGAGGACACCTAGCACTCAGAGAGATCTTGGTCTCTAAAACTTTTATTCCCCACAAGGACACAGCGGCCCACTTACAGGAGTTTCACTAGCCAAACTTCTAGGACAATTTGAGCACTAAAATAATTAAGCAGGGTAAGTGAATTGTAAACCATTCAAAAAATAGGAATTCATGAATCCATCACCAATACATAGGGCTATTGATTATGGAATACAGCCAAGATCCGACGGGTAATGGGAAAGGAATGCTGGAAAGAAAAAAATGACCATTTTGCAATCATCACAATAAAAAGCTGGATCAGACAAGAGTCAATGGATGCTAAATCTAGAAGAAACCGTGAAAAGAATCAGAATATCTGCATTGTTTCCCCACAAGCTGCTTATTGCTTGGCAAAAGAGAGGGCAAAAAAACCAAATGGTGGAGAAATCTGGCAACACCTTGGCCAAGGGATCAAAATTTGCATCACAATAAGGGACAGACGGACGTCATATGACTCCATCTCAGAGTATCACATTGCGGATGCAGTATTCCTGCCAAGAATCCATAACATCTTAATCTAATCACAAGGAAATTTCAGACCAACATAAAATGAAGAACATCTCCACTGAACAGAGTAAAGGGGTTAGGGAAGGGTTGTGTTCTCAAAAATGCCAATGTCATAAGAGATAAAGACAGGCTGTGAAAATATCCCAGGAAAAAGGAGGCCAAAGAGAAATAATAACTGAATGCAGAACCTGACCCCAGACTGTAGTCTATACAGGAAGCATAGAAAATGCTACAAGAGACTTTCTTAGGTCAACTGACAAAACTGGAATATGGGCGATAGATTTCATCGATGTCCATTTATGAAGTTATTAACTGTACCATGGTTATATAAGAGAATGACCCTATCTGTAGGAATACAACAGAAGTATTAGGGGAAAGAAGCATAACATATGTAACTCACCCTCAAATGGTTAAAAAAAAAAATTGTGTGTGTGTTTACGTGGGTAGAAAAAGAGAAAAGAGAGTAGGACAGCACAAATACAAATAAGCAAGTGGGTAAGTCTGGATAACGGATATCCAGATGTTCTTTATACTATATTTTTGTAACTTTTGTAAATGTATACTTCCAAATAAAAGGTATTTAAAAAAGAAAAAATTGGCCGAGCACAGTGGTTCACACCTGTAACCCCAGCACTTTGGGAGGCCGAGGCAGGTAGATCACCTAAGGTCAGGAGTTCAAGACCAGCCTGGCCAACATGGTGAAACCCCGTCTCTACTAAAAATACAAAATTAGCCGGGCAGGGTGGCGCGTGCCTGTAATCCCAGCTACTCAGGAGGCTGAGGCAGGAGAATCACTTGACCCTGGAAGTGGAGGTTGCAGTGAAACAAGATCGCGCCATTGCACTCCAAGCTGGGTAACAAACTCTGTCTCAAAAAAAAAAAAAAAAAACCTGTGGAGATAGTTCTCTGCCATGTTCAGAAGAATGGGTATATATCACAATTAACTGAGGGATTTTACAGGGAAATTGCAAGACCTAAGGCTGGTAACTTGGATAGATTCTCAGATAAAGTACCATTTGAAATGTCAGAGAAGGGAGTTTGTACTTTTTCTTTCTGTAAGCCAAGGAAAGGTAGCACAAAACTTAGAGCACAACATAAGCTTGGCTAAAAGTATACATTTAGGAAAATCTAGCTAAATTTTAAGTGAGTGGACAAGGAAGCAGTAGAGACAAGGAAAAACACCCTCATGAAATTATGGGGTCTTGGCCTCGGAAGCTAAAATTAGGAACAGAAAGTGGAACAAATACAGGACACATGAAAATAGAAAGCCAGATAAAGCCTGCTTACCAAATGAATCAGAGTACGGTGGGATTCAAAGACAACTCAGATTTCAAACCTAGCTAACCAAGAGAATGATGGGATTACCAAAAGAAATTTAGCTAAGCAAAGCATGATTGTTTTCTCGGCAACTAGACAGCTTTTTCTATTCTCATTTTTCCTATTCTGATGTAATATTAAAAGTTAAGAAAAGGGGCCAGGCGTAGTGGCTCACGCCTATAATCCCAGCACTTTAGGCCAAGGCAGGCACGTCACTTGAGGCCAGGAGTTTCAGCCTGGCCAACATGGTGAAATCCCATCTCTACCAAAAATACAAAACTTAGCCGGATGTGGCCGTGCACGCCTGTAATCCCAGCTACTTGGGAGGCTGAGGCATGAGAATTGCTTGAATCCAGGAGGCAGAAGCTGCAGTAAGCCGAGATCACACCACTGCACTCCAGCCTGGGTGACAGAGGGAGTCTGTCTCAAAAAAAAAAAAAAAAAAAAAAAAAGTTAAGAAAGGGGTTAGATGAAATGTTATTTGCCAGCACAAGCAATCTGGGGAAATTTGTCTTCACAAGGTGAAACAGCAAATGTAAGTTAGGCTAATTCAGATGTTTGACTAAATGCCATTAAAATATTCACACATAAGGAGGGGGAATTTCTTCTCTTCCCCCAAAATTATGTTTGTATTTGTATGTATATACATATATACGAATACCATAACCCCTTGTACAACACATTTGAACTGCATTTGTTCTGTTATACGCAGATTTTTCTCTATTTCTGCCATGCCTAAGACAGTAGGACCAACATTTCCTCTTCTTTCTCCTCCTCAAGCCTACTCAACCTCACGAAAAGAATGAAGACCTTTATGATGATCCACTTAATGAATAATATGTATATTTTCTCTTCCTTATGACTTTTTTTTTTTTTTTTGAGATGAAGTCTCACTCTGTTGCCCAGGCTGGAGTGCTGTAGCATGATCTCAGCTCACTACAACCTCCACCTCCAAGGTTCAAGTGATTTTCCTGCCTCAGCTTTTCGAGTAGCTGGGATTACAGGCACACGCCACTATGCCCGGCTAATTTTTGTATTTTTAGTAGAGACGGAGCTTCACCACATTGGCCAGGCTGGTCTCAAACTCCTAACCTCAGGTGATCCACCCACCTTGGCCTCCCAAAGTGCTGGGATTACAGGCATGCGCCACCGCATCCGGCCATGTCTTTCCTTTTTAATTATTTATTTATTTACTTATTTTCTAGAGACAAGGTTTCATACTGTTGCCCATGCTGAAGTGTAGTGGTGCAGTCATAGCTCACTGCAGCTTCAAACTCCTGAGATCAAGCAATCTCCCACCTCAGCCTCCCAAGCAGCTAGGACTACAAGCGCACACCACCTTGCTAGCTAATTTTTTGTGTGTTTTGTAGAACTGGGGGTGTTACTGTGTTGTTTAGGCTGGTCTCCAACTCCTGGCCTCAAGTGATCCTCCCACCTCCAATCCCCAAAGTGCTAGGATCATAGTTGTGAGCATATGAGTGAGCCACCATGTCCAGCCTCCTTAAAATTTTCTCCTTTTTTCTATTTCTTTTTTTTCTTTTTGGAGACAGGGTTTCATTCTGTTGCCCAGGCTAGAGTGCAGTGGCACAATCACAGCTGAGGCGCAGCCTCAACCTCATGGGCACAGGCAATCCTCCCACCTCAGTGTCTCTAGTGCTAGGGACTAAGGCACAGGCCACTATGTCTGGCTAGTTTTTGCATTCTCTGTAGAGATGGGGTTTCGCTCTGTTGCCCAGACTGTTCTCAAACTCCTGGACTCAGGTGATCTAACCACCTCAGCCTCTCAAAGTGCTAGGATTATAAACATGAGTCACTGCACTTGGCCATAATTTTCTTAATAACATTTTATTTTCTCTAGCTTACTTTATTGTAAGAATACAGGATATAATATATGTAACATACAAAATATGTGTTAATCAGCTGTTTATATTAACAGTGAGGCTTCTAGGCAAGAGGAGGTTATTAGTAGTTAAGTTTGGGGGGAGTCGAAAGTTCTGCACATTTTTTACTGAACAAGGGGTCAGTGTCCCCAGTCCTCAGTTGTTCAAGGGCCAACTGTACATACACATACGTATTCACTCAAGTACTCTAAGCACATTCATTTAATAATCATTAAAGAGAAAAACATGAAGCATAAATAGTTTTAATTAAATCATAAATTAAAGAGGAGGGTAATATCTTCAGAAGGTTGAAGACAAAAAATTACAAAGGATCAAATCAAACTAAAGCTGAATTACCTGGCTAACCAGTCAAAGGATGTTCAAGCAGTTTATTTTTATTGGTCTCTGAGTCCACCATCCAGCAAGTATTTTGATCCTGAGGACAAAAAGAAGAGGAGGGATTGAATTTTATTGTCTTTTCTTCATTTAAGCATTATGATTAGTCACCCACAAATTAAGTCTTCCAGCCGGGCGTGGTGGCTCACGCCTGTAATCCCAGCACTTTGGGAGGCAAGGCGGGCAAATCACTTGAGGTCAGGAGTTCAAGGCTGGCCTGGCCAACATGGCAAAACCCCAACTCTACTAAAAATACAGAAATTAGCCGGGCGACATGGCATCCGCCTGTAATCCCAACTACTCAGGAGGTTGAAGCAGGAGAATCACTTGAACCTGGGAGGCAGAGGTTGCAGTGACCCGAGACTATGCCACTGCACTCCAGCCAGGGTGACAGAGCGAGATTCTCTCTCAAAAAAATTAAGTCTTCCCATTTTTCCCTTCCCTGGATATATGAAACAAACAAAAGCTATCAAGTACACCACCTCTTCCTAGGAATTTGAGTAGATGTCTTATTGTACCATATAATCACTACTTCTGTTTGAAAAGTCAAGCATAGGGCCAGGCGCAGTGGCTCATGCCTATAATCCCAGAACTTTGAAAGGCTGAGGTAGGAGGACCGCTTGAGGCCAGGAGTTCAAGATCAGCCTGAGCAACATAGCAAGACACCATCTCCACACACAAAAAAATAAAAATTAAAAAACAAAAGTCAGGGCCAGGCGCAGTGGCTCATGCCTCGAATCCCAGCACTTTGGGAGGCCGAGGTGGGTGGATCACATGAGGTCAGGAGTTTGAGACCAGCCTGGTCAACATGGTGAAACCCCATATCTACTAAAAATACAAAAAATTAGTTTGGTGTGATGGCATGCGCCTGTAGTCCAGCTACTCAGGAGGCTGAGGCAGGAGAATCACCTGAATTAGGGAAGCAGAGGTTACAGTGACCCAAGACCATGCCATTGCGCTCTAGCCTGGGCAACAAAAGCAAAACTCCATCTCAAAAATAAGTAAATTAATTAATTAATTAATTAAAATAAAAGTCAGGCATAGCATATATAATATGTACTCTGTCACAGTTTGTAAAAATGGATAATGCAAAGTGGAGGTGGTGGAGACCAGTTCTGAATCTTGAAAAGTGATCAAAACAGATGGGTACTCTGAACTTGTGGGGGTATTCATTTGTCCAAAATCAGTGCTCAACAGAGAATAAAGACAACATTAATACCCTGGCAGAATCAAATGCTTAAATGCCCTAGTCCAAAAATTATCAGATGAGGGAGGGATGGATAAAGCCAACAAGCAAAGGCCAGAGGAAAGGCTCAGATGTTTTCTTGCCTTCTATAAAAGGATGCATTTTGACCACCAAAACAAAATATTAGCAAGGAAATGAGAGACCGTTCTTCAAAATAATCTACAATAAAACACATGAACATATAAACAGCAGGCTTTTGCACTTGAAGAAATGGCGTGCAGGTTCTGCTGCAATAAATAAGTGAACCAGTAAGAACATTCACTTTACCTTATGAATTTCCAAATTTAACAATAAAGCAACAATATGATTGCCACTAATTCCAATGGTATCGAACCAAGATAACAACCATAATTACGCCCTAAAGTTAATAGCTTTCATGCTGGAATTGGTAGATCTGTTGGTATGGGGGAAAGGAAAAATGATATATTCACAAGTTACAAGTAACAAACATATTATAGCCATGGACATTCCACGTAGTGTAGTCTGCAGACAGTATATAGGGAGAGCCAACCACAATCTAGCTGCATTATGGAAAGGTCTGTTGTGTTTCTGAAACTAAAATTAGAGGGGAGAAAATCAGTGAGCAGGGAATGGGAGGCACATTACATGTGGCTCACAACAAAGGAAAAAGAAAACTCTAGGTAGTGCCGGGTGACTATCCCTTATGCAAAATGCTTAGAAGCATAAGTGTCTCGAATTTTTTTCAGATTTCTTAAATATTTGCATATGCATACTGAGATATCTAGGGGAAGAAACCCAAGTCCAAACATAAAATTCATTTATGTTACTTATACACACAGCCTGAAGGTAATTTTATATAATATTTTTAATAATTTTGTGCACCAAAGTTGTAGCTTTTTTCTTTTTCTTTTTGAGACAGGATCTCACTCTGTGCCCAGACTGGCTGGAGTGTGGTGGTATGGTCATGGCTCACCTCAGCCTCGACCTCCGAGGCTCAAACAATACTCCCACATCAACTACCCAAGGAGCTGGGACTACAGGCACACACCATCATACCCAGCTAATTTTTATATTTTTTGTAGAGACAGGGTTTCACCATGTTGCCCAGGCTGGCCTTGAACTCCTGAGCTCAAGTGATCTGTCTGCCTCGGCCTCCCAAAGTGTTGGGATTACAGGTGTGAGCCACCATACCGGACCGAATGTTATGTTTTTTAACTTGAATTTTTATGCTATCCAATTTAATTCGTGTAAGATGAACGGAGAAAAGGTAGGCAGAACTTCTGTAAAGAACCTCTAAGATCTTCTGGCCCTGTTTTAAATCAGGTTTGACTTCTAAAATGGTTCTCTTATGTTTTTTCCTTTATTAGGAAAGACGAAGGAGGGTCATGGGGTGGGGTTAGCACCTAAGGAACAAAAGAGGTGGGATAAGGAAAGGATTTTTTGGGGGGATGGGGGTGGGGGATGGAGTTTCACTCTGTTGCACAGGCTAGAGTGCAGTGGGGCATGATCTCGGCTCATTGCAACCTCTGCCTCCCGGGTTAAAGCGATTCTCCTGCCTCAGCCTCCCGAGTAGCTGGGATTACAGGTGCATGCCACCATGCCCAGCTAATTTTTGTAGAGACAGGGTTTCACTACATTGGCCAGGCTGGTATCGAACTCTTGACCTCAAGAAATCTGCCCACCTCGGCCTCCCAAAGTGCTGGGATTACAGGCATGAGCCACCGTGCCCGGCCAGGAAAGGAATTTGAGTCAGAAAGTATCTAGTAGCATAATGGACCTAGGAAACAATTACTGCTGCCTCGTGTAGAAGGTGGTGAGAGGGCCTAGATTAATACTCCAGTGTTATAGTGCTGGTCTTCGTACTTCTCAAAGGAATGCTGACCCTGCCAATCTGCACCCTTGGACCCAAATGTTAACTGCTGGACCCCCAGGTGGAAGATCATGTAAAGTCAGCATGCCCAGATGAACAAAGAATGCAACCATGGGTGGAATCTAAATGATCAAACTGAGGAACAGCGAATGAATAAGAGCAGACACCACATGGCAGGACAGAAGATGCAACCAAATCAAGCCTTGACATCATCCCATGGCAGGATCCACTCAGATCACACCTCATTACTCTCCAAATATAAAACCTGCACCCAAACTCTAGTTCAGAGAGGCAGATTTGAGCCCAACTCCTGTCTCCTTACACAGCAGCCTTGCAATAAACTTTTCTTCCTACAAAAACTTGGTGCTTAGTGTTCAGCTTTCCATTGCATACACAGAAAAATAGACCCAGTTCAGTTCAGTAACACAAAGACAAGCCAGGTACAAAATTCTCCCCTCCAAGGAAGTGTATAATTAAACCAGAGAGATTCGCAAATAGTCACAGAACAATGATTGGCTTGCCTACCAGGAACCTGGAAAGGAGTACTACTATATACCAGGATCCTGTAAGTATAGAACTGTTAGTAAATTTGCTGGTGAGTTAAACTTGTCTGGAAAAAAGATTCTGCAAAGGCAACAATCCTAGCAGATTTCTTAGGACAGTATTTTTTTTCTTTATCAAAAACAAGATTATCCCTTTTCACAATTCAGATTTTCATCAATCACACATACAAAAACCAAATCATACTGACATAAAACTAAATGTGAGAAGTTCCAGAAACATTAGACATCTGAGAAGGTAACAGGGACATTAAATTTTCTAGTAGAATTAATGGTTTACTGATGACATCTACATTACCAAAACCTGCATCACCAGGCCAGGCATGGCAGCGCACACCTGTAACGCCAGCTACTCAGGAGGCTGAGGCAGGAAGATTGCTTGAGCTCAGGAATCTGAGTCCATCTTGGACAACATGGCCCCTGTTTTAGTTTTAGGTTTTTATTTTAAGCCTTCATCACCAGAGACCTAAAAGGACGTGAGGGGAAATCAAACATCAAATTAAGCCTTGTTAATAGCTAGTCTGAGAAGATATGCCTCAAAGCCAGAACAAAGAATAAAATTGGGGAGAGGAGTTGATACACAGGAAAATCCAAACTATATAATATATAATGCTTGGAAACACCAACAGGGCAAAAAGCAGCCACTGAATATTATAAACATGTTTTTCTTTTACTGTTGAACATGAAAAGGGGCAAGGATTCTACAATTAATCATATTAAACCCATTGTTCTTTCCAAGCTCCCACTGGCACTGCTCCCAGGATCTCCTTCCTCACTTCCCTAAAATCACAGAAAAGGGGAGCCACTGTCACTGGGAAAAGCTAGCTGTTGCTCAATAATCTTCAAAGTACTACAGAGTAGACTGGGTCACCAAATGAATTTCAGGTTAAAGGCTGCAAAATATTAGTGTTAAATTTAACGTCAAAATCCAACACTTTTGCAGTTGGGATTATTTATCAAGTGATAAGTATCTTTGATCAAAACTCTAACCACAGGTTTCACTTGCAACAATCAACTACAGCTAATCTGTA
Organism: Homo sapiens; assembly: GCF_000001405.40. Classification (NCBI taxonomy): domain Eukaryota; kingdom Metazoa; phylum Chordata; class Mammalia; order Primates; family Hominidae; genus Homo; species Homo sapiens. The sequence continues at coordinate 47,578,554 of NC_000020.11, read as the reverse complement.
GCTATAATGAAAGGAGAAGACCAAATGCAAGTTGAAAATCATATGAACATTTCAAGTTATATAAAATGGGGCTGGGTGCAGTGGCTCATGCCTGTAATCCTAGCATTTTGGGAGGCCGAGGTGGGCAGATCACCTGAGGTCAGGAGTTCGAGACCAGCCTGGCCAACATGGCTAAACCCCATCTCTACTAAAAATACAAAAAGTAGCTGGGTGTGGTGGTGGGCGCCTGTAGTTCCAGCTACTCGGGAGGCCGAGGCAGGAGAATCGCTTGAACCCCGTAGGCAGAGGTTGCAGTGAGCTGAGATCGCGCCACTGCACTCCAGCCTGGGCAACAGAGCAAGACTCTGTCTTAAAAAATAATAATAATAAAGTTATATAAAATGGTACCACTTTTTTTGAGCTATATAAACTTAACTCAGTTTAAGAATTTTTTTTTCCCATTACTTAGTCCATTATTGTATGTTCAATTAAGTAAAAATGTATTTGCTTCCCAGGAGAACATTGGTAAGACATTTATAACAATCTTTTTTAAATGCTATAATCTTCTTGATAAGGGAGTGGGGGACAAGGAATTATTTCAAATTACAGCATATGCATGTCTAGTAAAATAAAGACAGGTATTACCACATATCTTGTGATATATACTAGAAAGAATCAAGCTGACTTATAATGTATTCTACATATTTAATAAATTAAACATTTAGTTCTATACGGAATCAGCCTGAAAATTCATAATAACGCAGTGAAAACAGACGCCTTGGCTTCTGAAAACCTAGATTTTGTAAAGTCCTGCTTCTTGAAATGATCTTGTGTTAGATTTTAATTCGATTTCAATTAAATGCTTGCTGTGTATCTATTAGAATCAGGCACTGCACTGGCACTTGGAAATAAGCAAATCACAGTTGCTGCCATCAATTAATTAGGAAAAGGGAAGCAGGTATAAACAGACCTAAAGTTCCTAAAATGAAAGCTATGTTCATTCAGTAAGCATCTGCTAAGCATCCATGTGCCACATTGTGCTAGACACCATGGATAAAAGGAAGAATTAAAAAGACCAGAGTCCCATGAGAGTATAAGGAAAGAATAGAGAAAAACTACCCTGCCTTTTTCATGGGGTTGTTAACTGTTCAACACTATTTACATGTGAAAGCAAGACAAATCCAAAACCATTTATCTCAGCCAAAGGGGGAGGCATTAATTGTACAATTTCTGCAATTATGTCCAGAGTTGTCATAACCAAAATGCCATTTGAGTTTCTTCATAATAAAGGCAAAAGACAAAAAACCTTCTATGAAATGGCCATTTGTGTAAAAATTACATAGGGATACAGGAAACATAAATGGGGTAAAGGTAGCTAAAACTTAAAACTTATTTTTAATTCAAGACATCCAGGAAATTATGCCATACATTTTTGCTTATACAACGATACTATCCACTGATGAACAATGGAACTAAACTAGCCTAAATTTTTTTAAATTAGCTTTAGATTAAGGAGAAAACTTAAAAATCTGGTTGGCAGATTAGTATAAAAGGCCTGATATCTTTGGCTGAGTTGAATATTAGCTCTTATCCAATGGTTACCAAAACAGGCATTCAAGCAAGCCGCTTGCTTGCGCTTGTTCTGCCTCTCTCTCCCTGCCACTTTGGAAAAACTGCATGCAGTGCTGCAGGATCACACAAAATAAATACAGGAAAGAGGGTGGGAGAGTTGGGTGGGGAAGTGAGCAAAGCTCTGGGCTCCACCAGTGGAAGGCGTTCCACAAGAATTGCTACAGGGTCAAAAGTTTACAGTGGTTTCAATTTCACCTTTTAGCAGCCAATCAGGAAACACAGGCTGCATGCTGACCCCTCGGGCTGCAAATGAACATTAACTCATTGGCTACCAGGATTGCACATTTTCCTTTTCTTATAAGGCTTTCCCTTCTTTTTATTTTTTTTAAGGACAGGGGAGTGGAGAAGGCAAAGAACACAATAAGTTCAAGGTGACAATTTTATTCAAGACAATATATTTTAAACAGGTGTTTGAGGGGAGAAATGATCGAGTAATTATCTTCTTTCTTCTTGAAATCTGAGTTTCTTTAGCCTGTAGTATCTAACAAACCAATTATTAATGCTAGTATCAAGACAAAGAATAAATTTAGGCAGGTAAAGGAGATGGATTTTCCTCCATGAGGTTGCAATTCTATGAACAATTTATAGGATGGTAAAAAGATAATACTGGTTGTGTATCCAGTAAATGCTTTAAAAGTAACTCAGATAATAAAGACATCTAACTGAAGGATTTGCCTATACCCCAATTTTTTTATTTGCATAGTTTCCCTACCCTCTCCTCAAACCATTACTATACACAGGTAATGTTCCTCTATCCTTTTCATAATGTGGATCCACAGAAATGCAGGCAGAGCTCTTAGCTAAGGTTTAAATTTTTCTTTTCTTATATTTCAGTACCTGGGAGTAACTGTACAATAAACTCAGGAGTGAACCATTTGGCAGTAGGTACAACTGCTCCCTAACTAATTTATGTAAATTTCTTCAAATGCAGAAACCAATAAACTAATCCATTAAATAATATTTTCAACATTCTATATTTAACATTGAGCAAGTCTAAAATGAAAACCTCTACTACATACACCTTAACTGGACTACATTTAAAAACTAGATGCCTTTGAAGCACCACAGGATAAAAGTGAAATCGCTGTATTAACTGCTCTACTATTAAAATGATTAGTCAAATCCTAAATGAACACACTGTAAATTTGTAGTTAGCAATATTTCTCTCTTTGACACAATAGGTAGTTGAATTTTAACAGACTCATTGACTTAAATTTACCTTTACGTTTAGAATACCCTGTAGGCACCACCATTGCCTAAGAAAACGATTTCATGTAGGATATTAGCTCTTATCCAAACCAGCAAAGTAAGATACCAGTTATTTCTGAAAACGTGAAAGTAAGCAAATATACAGAAGTGTGTGACTTAATATAACTGCTGAAGGGTTCCAAAATAACTTCAGTGTTTAAAGTTTATATAGCAATATAATGTCAGTTAAGATAGTAAATAAACTCGATGCTGATAGTTTTTTCTTAATTCGACATTAAAAGAAGTAATTTTCTAGTAACAATTCCCAAGCCTTCATGATTTAAGTTTATGCATATTTGGCAATAAAAAGTCTACTTTAAAATAGACCTAGTTGTTTTTTCAACATGGTTTGCAAAAGCTTTACATATACGTATATATAGATATATAATAAATTAGGGGTCTTCTGTATATCTTCTTTTTACAAAATGGCCTCATTTTGAAACAAAATGGATGCGATAAAATTTTACATCAAGTCAGCATGTTAGCAAGAAGCTTTTTTGTGTGTTCTGAATTTGATTAATACAAGCCAAGGTCACTTCCTGAAAGATGCCTAGCACTGCAGCTGCAGGCAAACTAGGCTCTAGCATAAGGCTGGGGGAAGGGAATGGGTGATGGCATTATTATTAACCCTCAGATAGGATTCCATCTCCAGCAGCAGCTATTGGGGGAAGTGGGGAGGTTGGGGAAGATCCCAGAGTTCCTAAGTATATTAAGATTAAAATATTTCCATTCCTTAATACTTAAAAATAGAAATGTAATTACATATATAATGCTGATGTCAAAATTATATCAGATATCCTCACTGCTACAATGTACAAGAACATTTTACATAATACTATGCAAATCATTTAATGCCAGACATTGTGTTGAATGCTGAGTTTACGCTAAAGCATTCAGTTTACACTGAAATAAACTCAACATTCAACACAATGCTAAGCATGACCTGTACTTGCTATGCAAAGCGTATACAAAGGAAGATACAGGCCCTTGAAGAAAACAGAATCAGATTCAAATTTCAAAAACCAAGGGTGGCCTAAAAGTTAATTAAGGTAGAAACTTAAAACACAAAAGCCTATTTTGGAAAATATTTGATAAAGTTTTGTTCTGAAATTCAATTTAAATTTTCATTTTACATAAAATTTTAAATTTTCATTTCACCAACATTAATACAAATATTACTATGCCTCTGTGCTAAAAAAAAAAAAAATCAAAATATACATAGTAGCAACTAGAAAAAACCACCTCCCTGAATAATTAATAATGTATTAAGTAGTTACAATGCATGCTAGGAAACCATAGTAATTACTCTGTTGTACTCTGAGGTTCTTTACACATTTCAATTCATTGATAAAATACCAGGTATAGTCAGGAAATCTACACGTTCCTTGTAATTTTATATATGTAATCTTAGAAAAATTAAATTAATTTTGTGTGCCTTTTTCCTATGCACCAAATGGGGGTTATACTTTAACCATGATATTCCACAGAGACAGAGCAGCAGCAAGGCACTGCTGTATTTTTAGCGGTTGTATGACGAACGCAAAACGTGGCCTTTTTATCTTGTCTATATGTTCAAAAGTGTTTTCTATTTTCTACACAACTTAATAGCATAATTTTGTCACTCTGTTGTGCTCCCCACCCTTTTTCTGAAGTTTGATTCAGTAATTTCAACAAAAAAACTGAACAAATGGTGTTAGATCTCAAGTTCAAACAAACTGACCCCTTGAATTTTTGGAGGTCAATGACTGGCAGGAAAAGGGTTGTTATTTAATGGCCACGGAGCATTCTGTATGTGCAAAGGACTTCTTAAATCATTTTAGGAAAAGGAAGGCAACCAAGTAAAAACATACTGTGAGAAGTCCCTGAATTCAGAGAACCTAATCCCTAGGTGTGGCTAAGAAAGGCACTTCAAAAAGATCCCATCACGTGCCTTTGAAATAGGACAAACCTGAAAGACAAAGGGTAAAATTAAATTAGTTTTTCATACTCCCTCTCCCCAAGACACCTGTGGGGCAGTGAAGAGGAATGAATTTTTCCTCAATTTTTCCTGGCCCTACAGGCATACCTCATTTTATTGTGCTTTACAGATATTGCGCTTTTTACAAATTGAGGTTTGTGGCAGCCCTGCTTCAGGTAAGTCTACTGGTGCCAATTTTCCAACAGCATTTGCTCACTTTGTATGCCTCCCTTACATTTTGGTGATGCTCCTATTATCTCAAGAAGCTTTTTCATTATTATTTTATCTCTTATGGTGATGTGTAATCAGTGTTTTTTTGTTTGTTTGTTTGTTTTTTGGAGACAATAGTCTTGCCCTGTCACCCAGGCTGGAATGCAGTGGCAGGATCTCAGCTCTCGGCTCACTGCAACCTCCGCCTCCCGGGTTCAAGCAATTCTCCTGCCTCAGCCTACTGAGTAGCTGGGGTTATAGGCGCCTGCCAGCAGACCTGGCTAATTTTTGTAGTAGAGACAGGGTTTCACCATGTTGGTCAGGCTGGTCTTGAATTCCTGATCTCAGGTGATCTACCCACCTCAGCCTCCTAAAGTGCTAGGATTACAGGTGTGAACCACCATGCCCAGCCTGCGATCAGTGTTCTTCAATGTTACTATTGTTAATTGTTTTGGGGCACCATGCACTGTGCTCATATAAGATGGTAAACTTAATCAGTAAATGCTGTGTATATTCTCACTGCTCCAATAGCTATTCCCCATCTCTCTCCCTTCTCTTCAGGCCTCCTTATTCCCTGAGACACAGCAATATTGAAATAAGTCCAAATAATAACCCTATAGTGGTCTCTAAGTGTTCAAGTAAGTAAAAGGAAGAAATGCACATCTCTCACTTTAAGTCAAAAGCTAGAAATGGGCCAGGCATGGTGGCGCACCCCTGTAATTCCAGCACTTTGGGAGGCTGAGCCGGGCAGATGACTTGAAGTCAGGAGCCCAAGAGCAGCCTGACAAACATGGTGAAACCCCATCTCTACCAAAAATATAAAAATTTGCTGGGTCTGGTGGCGCACACCTACAATCCCAGCTACTTGGTGGGCTAAGGCAGGAGAATCACTTGAACCCGGGAGGTGGAAGTCGCAGTGAGCTGAGATTGTTCCACTGCACTCCAGCCTGGGCAACAGAGTGAGACTGTCTCATAAAAAAAAAAGGCAGGTGGGGGGGGCTAGAAATGATTAAGCTTAGTGAGGAAGGCATGTCAAAAAGCTGAGGCTGAAAGCTAGGACTCTTGCACCAAACAGCCAAGTTGTGAATGCGAAGAGACAAGTACTGTTTTTTTTTCTTTTACTAGATACTGGGTCTCGTTCATATGGCCCAGACTGGGGTGCAGTGGTGCAATCACATCTCACTGCAGCCTTGAACTGCTGGCTGTTCAAGCGATCCCCCTACCTCAGCCTCAGAGAAAGTTATTAAAAGGAAATTAAAAGTGCTACTCCAATAAACACAGGAATAACAAGAAAGTGAAACAGCCTTATTGCTGGTAAGAAGAATGTTTTCATGGACTGGAAAGATCAAACCAACCACAATATTCCATAAGCCAAAGCAAGACCATAACTCTCTTCAATTCTATGAGGGCTGAGACAGTTGAGGAAGCTGAAGAAAAGTTAGAAGAGGTTGCTTCATGAGGTTTAAGGAAAGAACCCATCTACATAACATAAAAATGAAAGGGCCAGGTGTAGTGGCTCACACCTGCAATCCCAACACTTTGGGAGGCCAAGGCAGGCAGATCACTTGAGTCCAGGAATTAGAGACCAGCCTGGGCAACATGGTGAAACCCTGTCTCCATAAAGAACAAAAAAATTAGTCGAGCATGGTGGCATGTGCCTGTAGTCCCAGCTACTCAGGAGGCTGAGGTGGAAGGGATTGCTTGAGCCTGGAGGCAGAGGTTGCATTAAGCTGAGATTGCACCACAGCACTGCAGCCTGCAGACTGCAGCCTGGGTGACAGAGGCAGACCCTGTCTCAAAAAAAAAGAAAAAAAGAATTACACTGAATCTATTCTGCCTGTGCATTATAAATGGAACAATAAAGCCTGAATGACATCTGTTTACAGCATGATTTACTGAATATTTTAGGTCCACTGTTGAGACCTACTGCTCACCAAAAAAAAATTCAAAATATTACTGCTGGCAGGTGGATTGCTTGAGGCCAGGAGTTCGAGACCAGCCTGGGCAACATAGTGAAACCTCATCTCTAATAAAAACACAAAAATTAGCCGGGTGTGGTGGTGTGTGCCAGTAGTCCCAGCTACTCTGGAGGCTGAAGCACAAGAATCGCTTGAACACAGGAGGTGAAGGTTGCAGTGAGCCAAGATCACGCAACTGCACTCCAGCCTGGGCAACAGAGCGAGAATCTGTCTCAAAAAAAAAAAAAAAGAAAGAAAAGAAAATTAGCCGGGCACGGTGGCTCATACCTGTAATCCCCGTACTTTGGGAGGCTGAAGTGAGTGGATCACCTGAGGTCAGGAGTTCTAGACCTGCCTAGCCAACATGGTGAAACCCTGTCTCTACTAAAAATACAAAAATTAGCCAGGCGTGGTGGCACACACCTGTAATCCCAGCTACTTGGGAGACTGAGGTAGGAGAATTGCTTGAACCTGGGAGGCAGAGGTTGCAGTGAGCTGAGATCATGCCACCGCACTCCAACCTGGATGACAGAGCAAGACTCTGTATGGGAAAAAAAAAATGTATATACACACACACACACACACATATATGTATATACTTGTGTGTGTGTGTGTGTGTGTGTGTGTGTGTATATATATTACTGCTCATTAACGGTGCACGTGGTCACCCAAGAGCTCTGATAGCAAGGTACAAAGAGATTAATGTTGTTTTCACGCCCATTAACACAACATCTGTTCTGCATCCCATGGATTATGGAGCAATTTTAACTTTCAAGTATTACTATTTAAGACATATTTCATAAAGTTACAGCTGCCATAGATAATGATTTCTGTGATGGATATGGGCAAAGTGAATCTTTCTGGTAAAGATTTACCATTCTAGATGCCATTAAGAACATTTCTGATTCACGGGAGGAGGTCAAAATATCAACACAAATAGGAGTCTGAAAGACGTTGATTCCAACTCTAATGGATGACTTTGAAGGGTTCAGGATTTCAGTGGAGGAAGTAACTGGAAGTGTGGTGGAAATAGGAAAAGACATGGAATCTGAAGATGTGACTGAATTACTGTAACCTCACGATGAAACTTCAACAGATGAGGAGTTTGAGGAGTTGCTCCCTGCTTTTTTGGAGACAGGGTCTTACTCTGTTACCTAGGCTGAAATGCAGTGGCGTACCACAGCTCACTGAGGCCTCAACCACCCACGCTCAAGCAATCCTCCTGCCTCAGCTTCCTGAGGAGCTGGGACTACAGGCATGTGCCACCACACCTGGCTAATTTTTGTATTTTTTGTAGAGATGGGGTTTCACCATGTTGCCCAGGCTAGTCTCAAAGTCCTGGGCTCAAGCAATCCGCCTGCTGGGATTACAGGTGTGAGCCACCACACCCAGCCTTAAGGAGTTGCTTCTTATAGATGACCAAATAAAGTGGTTTCATGAGATGGCATCTACCCCAGTGAAGATTCTGTGAACATTGTCGAAATCATAAAAAAAGACTTAGAATATCACATAAACATAGTTCTTAAAGGAGCCGCAGGGTTTTTTTTTTGTTGTTTTTTTTGAGACGGAGTCTCACTCTGTCAACCAGGCTGGAGCGCAGTGGCGTGATCTCAGCTCACTGCAACCTCTGCCTCCCGGGTTCGTGCCATTCTCCTGCCTCAGCCTCCCGAGTAGCTGGGACTACAGGCACCCGCCGCCACGTCCAGCTAATTTTTTGTATTTTTAGTAGAGACGGGGTTTCACCGTGTTAGCCAGGATGGTCTTGATCTCCTGACCTTGTGATCCGCCCTCCTCGGCCTCCCAAAGTGCTGAGATTACAGGCGTGAGCCACTGCGCCCAGCCATGAGCAGCAGGGTTTTGAGAGGATTGACTTTTGTTGTTGCTGTTGTTGAGACAGGGTCTCTCCGTCACCCAGGCTGGAGTGCAGTGGCACAATCTCAGCTCGCTACAACCTCCGCCTCCCGAGTTCAAGCAATTCTTGTGCCTCAGCCTCCCAAGTAGCTGGGATTACAGGCGCCTCCACCATGTCTGGCTCATTTTTGTATTTTTAATAGAGACAGGCAGGGTTTCACCATGTTAGCCAGGCTGGTCTCAAATTCCTGACCTCAGGTGATTCACCCACCTCAGCCTCCCCAAGTGCTGGGATTACAGGCATGAGCCACCGCATCCAGCCTTTAAAAAAACAAAATTATTTATTTTTTATTGGGGGACGGTATGGGGTGGGGAGATAGGGTCTGGCTCTGTTGCCCAGGCTGGAGTGCAGAGGCACAATCTTGGCTCACTGCAACATCTGCCTCCCAGGCCCAAGCAGTCCTCCCACCTCAGCCTCCCGAGTAGCTGGGACTACAGGCGCATGCCACCATGCCCAGCTAATTTTTGTAATATTTTATAGAGATGGGGTCTTGCTATGTTGCCCAGCTTGGTCTCAAACTCGTGGGCTCAAGTGATCCTGGTCTTGAACTCCTGGGCTCAAGTGATCCTCCTGCCTCAGCATGAGAGGCTGTGGCAGAAGAACTGCTTGAACCCGGAAGGCAGAGGTTATAGTTAGCTGTGATCACACCCTGCACTCCAGCCTGGGCAACAGAGCAAAACTCTGCCTCAAAAAAAAAAAAAACTGTTTTAATTTGTCCCAGCCACCCCAGCCTTCATTAACCACCACCCTGATCAGTCAGCATCCATCAATACTGAGGCAAGACCTTCACCCAGCAAGATTTACAGCTTACTAAATGTTAAGATGATCAATCAGCATTTTTTAGCAATAATTTTTTTTTTTTTGAGACAGAGTCTGGCTCTGTCACCGAAGCTGGAGTGTGGTGGCACAATATTGGCTCACTGCAGCTTCTGCCTCCCAGGTTCAAGTGATCCTCCCACCTCAGCCTCCCAAATGGCTGGGATTACCGGCACACACCACCACCACGCCTGGTTAATTCTTACATCGTTTTGGTAGAGATGGAATCTTGCCATGTTGCCCACGCTGGTCTCATGGAGCTAAAGGGATCCACCTGCCTTAGCTTCCCCAAGTGCTGGGATGGAGCTACCCACCAGGCCACAATAAAGTATTTTTTTAATTAAGGTATATACATTGTTTCTTTAGACATAATGCTACTGCACACTTAACAGAATGGAGTGTAAACATAACTTTTTATCTACTGGGAAACCAAAAAATTAGTGACTCATTTTATCACAATATTCATTTTATCACAATGGTCTGAGGTATGCCTGTATTTTTTTTTCTTCTACCATGTGAACTATTCCAAAGATAACAGAAAAAAAGTACAGACTTACAGTAGCTGCCTAGCTTCTTGCCACGGTCTGGCACAACGGAAGTGCCATCATTCCTCCCTGGTTTTATTCAAGTACCCAATGCATTCCTCACTTGTCAAGGAAAGTAAACTCAACTGGAGCCACAGCAGCTTGTTGCCTGGTCTTCTTCCAGGACCAATGCAGCTTCTGTGCCAAAAATAGAACTTGAAAGGAAATACTGACTATAAAACAAAAGCAAACAAAATAGTGGCCTGTATGTCTTCTTGCTCTGCCAGAGTTGTTTTTAACAAAAGACTTAAAAGCCACCAGGTATGGTGGCTCATGACTGTAATCCCAATCCTTTGTGAGGCTGGAGGAACACTTGAGGACAGGAGTTCAAGACCAGCCTGGGCAACACAGAAAGACCCCATCTCTACAAAAAGAAAGTAAAATAATTGGCCTGGCACGGTGGCTCACACCTGTAATCCCAGCACTTTGGGAGGCCAAGGTGGGTGGATCACCTGAGGTCAGGAGTTGGAGACCAGCCTGGCCAACATGGTGAAACCCCGTCTCTACTAAAAATACAAAATATTGGCCGGGCACGGTAGCATGTACCTGTAATCCCAGCTACTTGTGAGGCTGAGGCAAGAGAATCACTTGAACCCAGGAGGCAGAGGTTGCAGTGAGCCAAGATCATGCCACTGCACTCCAGTCTGGGCAACAACAATGAAACTCAGTCTCAAAAAAGAAAGAAAAGAATTAGCCAGGTGTGATGACATGAACCTTTACTCCCAACTACTTGGGAGGTTGAGGTGAGAGGATCACTTGAGCCCAGGAGTTCGAGGTTGAGTGAGCTGTGATTGCACCACTGCACTGCACTCTAGCCTGGGCCAATAGTATAACATCCTAGCTCTTTAAAAAAAAAAAAGAAAGAAAGAAAAGTACTCAAATATTTTATGTTACATCAAACAAAACAAAGTACAACCGAGTGCAGTGGCTCACACCTGTAATCCTAGCACTTTGGGAGGCCGAGGCGGGGGGATCACAAGGTCAAGAGATCAAGACCATCCTGACCAACATGGCGAAACTCCATCTCTACTAAAAATACAAAAATTAGCTGGGTGTGGTGGTGCACACCTGTAGTCCCAGCTACTCGGGAGGCTGAGGCAGGAGAATCGCTTGAACCCAGGAGGCAGAGGTTGCAGTGAGCTAAGATCACATCACTGCACTCCAGCCTGGTGACAGAGCAAGACTCCGTCTCAAAATACATACATACATACATACATACATACATACATACATACATACATACATAGTACTATACCATGTAAACTGTTAGTACTAATAGTACTTTTTTAAATTTCTTCTTTTTCTTTTTTGACAGTCTTGCTATGTTGCCCAGGCTGGCTTCCAACTCCTGGGCTCAAGCAATCTTCCTGCCTCAGTCTCCCAAGTACTCAGGACTACAGGTACACGCCACTCTACCCAGCTATGCTTACTCTTTAAAAAGCACATTAGGGCTAGGCGCAGTGGCTCATGCCTGTAATCTCAACACTGTGGGTGGCCAAGGTGGGTTAACTGCATGAGCTCAGGATTTCAAGACCAGCCTGGGCACACGGCAAAACCTGTCTCTGCAAAAAATACAAAAATTAGCTGGGCATGGTAGCACGTGCCTGTGGTCCCAGCTATTCTGGAGGCTGAGGTGAAAGGATCGCTTGAGCCCAGGAGGTTGAGGGTGCGGTGAGCTGAAATGGCACCACTGCACTCCAGCCTGGGAGACAGAGCAAGACCCTATCTCAAAAATAAATAAATAAGGTGATATAGATAAGGGGGAAGAAGAGGGAGAAGAAAGTAATTTCAGGTCTGGGAAGGGCTCTCCTAAGATACAACATTTAATCCAAGAGCTAAAAGGAACCAACCACACGACTGTTCCAGACAGATAGCGCTATATAATGGTGGATTTCATTATTCATGTTAATTATAGTTAATCAATTAACTATTTTATTATCATTATGTCCAATAGCCCCAAGCTTCTTCCAAATTCCAGCTTGGGACTCACACTGTAGACCAATGAGAACTGGGAACAAAAAGGGAGGGGTGGGAGAAGTCAGCCACAGTGGCTCACGCCTGTAATCCTAGCACTTTGGGAGGCCGAGGCAGGTGGATCACTTGAGGTCTGGAGTTCGAGACCAGCCTGGCCAACATGATGAAAGCCCATCTCTACTGAAAATACAAAAATTAGCCAGAAATCGCTTGAACCCGGGAGGCAGAGGTTGCAGTGAGCCAAGATCGTGCGACTGCACTCCAGCCTGGGCAACAGAGAGAAACTCAGCATCAAATAAAAAAAAATTTTTAAATGGTGGGAGAGGGAATGACATGCTTCATTTTTAAACTTAGGTTTAATGGTGTCAATGAAAGAACCATACAAAGCTAGTATACAACATCACTTTTAGGAAGTATAAGAAGTTAGTGGATGGTCATGGGAGTATTATCAAAAATAATGCTTGTTCCAATGGATCTGGAAGGAGGAAAAAAAGATTCAAATCCCAGCTGTCCTAATTACTAGCTATGTTACCCCACCTCCCTCCTCAGTTTCTTCCTTTTTTGGAACAGGGTTTCAGTCTGTCACCCAGGCTGAGGCTGGAGTGCAGTGGCATGACCAGAGCTCAAGGCAACCTCTGCCTCCCAGGGTGAAGTGATCCTCCTGCCTCAGCTTTCCAAGTAGCTGGGACTACAGGTGCATGACACTATGCCCAGCTAATTTTTGTGGTTTTAGTAGAGACAGAGTTTCACCATGTCACCCAGGCTGATCTCCAACTTCCTGGGCTCACGCGATCTGCCCACCTCAGTTTCCCAAAGTGCTGGGATTACAGATGTGAGTCACTGTGCCCAGCCCTGCCCTACCTATCTAAAACAGCAGGGCAGTTACAAAGACTAAATAATCGAGATCCTCCCTACCAGTGACACTGCCTCTGGATAAGGGAAAGCCATGTCTCTGAGAGTAAAAAAAACATACAGCTCAGCCACTCATTAAGAGAGACATCTGGGGCCAGGCACCGTGGCTCATGCCTGTAATCCTAGCACATTGGGAGGCCGAGGCAGGCGTGTGACTTGAGGTCAGGAGTTCAAGACCAGCCTGGCCAACGTGGAGAAACCTCGTCTCTACTAAAAATACAAAATTAGCCAGGCATGGTGGCACATGCCTGTAATCCCAGCTACTCTGGAGGCTGAGGCAGGAGAATTGCTTGAACCCACGAGGCAGAGGTTGCAGTGAGTCGAGATCGTGCCACTGCACTTCAGCCTGGGCAACAAGTGTAAAACTCCTTCTAAAAAAAAAACCACCACCCTATAGTTAAGTAACAGAAAGAAAACATCTCTGGTGTATAAACAAACAAGGAATTAAAGTTTAGGATACATAGGAGCTTTACAAATTAGAAAAGACAATCTACTAAGAAAAACAGACAAGAAAAGACAATCTACTAAGAAAAATGGACTAAGAACCAGAGTAGGCAATTCACAGTAGTACAAATGACCAGCAAACACATGAAAACGTGCACAACCCTTCCAAGCATTCAGGAAATGTAAAATAAAGAAAATGGTATTGTGGCAAAAATTAAAAACTTTAAATGCATATATCCTTTAGACTCAACAAGTCCATGGCTAGAAATACAGCACAAGTACATCAAGATACAAAAGATGTAGATACCAATTGGGGTTTTAACAAAGATGAAAAATATAACAAGGATATTCACTACAATATTCTACCTAAAAAAAAAAAAAAGAGGAGAAATAAATAATGACCATCAATAGGGGAATATAAACTCCAACTTGATGCAAGCTCCTTGAGGTGAGAGATTTCAGTTTGTTCTGTTTGTTGAATATATCCCCAGTAACTTGCACATGACAGGTACTCAATAGTTCTTTGCTGAATTAACAGATGAATGACTAAATAAAGGACATCCAACAACAGTATATTACATAGCCATTGAAAATAATGCAGTAGATGTCCATATACAATTACCTAAAAGGATGCCCATGCTACAATAATTGAAAAAAAAAATGCAAGCAAAATAACATGATTGTTTTAATGTGTGAGAACAATGTTTATATAGATGTATCTGCTCATACTTGGGGAAAAAAACGGAGAAAGGTGCATAAATTTTTTTTTTTTCGTTTTTTGAGACAGGGTCTCGCTCTTTCCCCAGGATGGAGTACATGGCTCACTGCAGCCTCACCCTCAGGCAGACTCAAGCAATCCTCTTGCCTCAACCTCCCAAGTAGCTAGGACCACATGCGCATGCCACCACACCTGGCTAATTTGTGTAGTTTTTGTAGAGACAAGATTTCCTCATGCTGCTCAGGCTGGTCTCAAACTCCTGAGTTCAAGTGATCCTCCCACCTCAGCCTTTTTCTTTTTTCTTTCTTTTTTTTTTTTTTTTGAGACAGAATCTCGCTCTGTAGCCCAGGCTACAGTGCAGTGGCACCATCTTGGCTCACTGCAAGCTCCGCCTCCCAGGTTCAAGAGATTCTCGTGCCTCAGCTTCCTGAGTAGCTGGGTCTACAGGCGCCTGCCACCACGCCCAGCTAATTTTTTTATATTTTTAGTAGAGATGGCATTTCACCACGTTGGTCAGGCTGGTCTCGAATTCCTGACCTCAGGTGATCTGCCTGCCTCAGCCTCCCAAAGTGCTAGGATTACAGGCATGAGCTACTGTGCCCAGCCATGCCTCAGCCACTTAAACTGCTGGGATTACAGGCATAAGCCATCATGCCCAGCCTGCACTCAAATTTAATATGCAACTGAATTGAGGGCATGGTTTAATTACTGTACCATTTTTTTCCCTTTTTGATTTCTTAGAGCAGTTTTAGGTTCACACCAAAATTGAGACCAAGTACAGAGATAGCCTATCTATTCCTTCTACATATGCATCTCCTCCCCCCATCATAAACATCCCCTATCAGAGTGGTGAGTTTGTTACAACTGGTGAAACTACACTGACACATTATCATCACCCAAAATCACTGACTTTTAAGTGGTAAAATGACAAATAATTTTGTTGTAATTTTTAAATAAAACAAAAATGATGCCACCAAAAAACTTTTTAAGCTCTACAAAATGTTAAACTCCTTAATGTAATATAAAAAGGATAGATTAGGAAAATAATTCGTAACATCCAGCAGTAGTCTTCGATCCAGAATCTACTTCCAGTACTCTAAACAAAGAAGTATGAGAAATGTAGACAAAGCTTGTGGCACCTGATGCTCACATAAACATTACTTTTAGCCAGGCGTGTTGGCTCACGCCTGTAATCCTAGCACTTTGGGAGGCCCAGTGGAGAGGACTGCTTGAGGCCAAGAGTTCAAGACCAATCCGGCCAACATAGCAAGACCTCATCATTATTTTTAAAAAATTACTTTTAATAATCATAAAAGTAGCCTCTAAAATATTATTAAAAGTTCTGCATAATTACATGTAAAAGAAGGATACAGAGATATATGGAGAATATATAGGAGAAGAAAAAGAAGAATTTAGAAAATATAACAAAATGTTAATCCCCACAATTACTAGTAGTACTTTTTCCTGCTTTGAAAGTATCCCAAATTTTCCAAAGTGATTGCTATGCTTTTATAATCACAAAATAATAAAAGGTATATGGTACAGTTGTGATTTATATACATTCCTAGGCCGTTTTACATTCAAAATACCAAACCCTAACTAATTCCTTAAAGCTAGATCCCAAATCCAATTCCTGACCCTCATTTGCCAACACAAATTAAAAAAAAAAAAATCAAGACAGATGGACAGATGACAAACAAGTATATGAAAAGATGATCCACATCACACGTCATCAGGGAAATGCAAACTGAAATGATGATACTAATACACACCTGTTGGAATGGCCAAAATCTAGAACACTGACAACACCAAACACTGGAAAGTATGTGAAGCAACAGGAATTCTCATTCATTGCTGGTAGGAATGCAAAAGCCATTTTGGAAGACAGTTGGGCAATTTCTTAAAAAACTAAACATATTCTAACCAGCAATCATGCTCCTTGGTGTTTTACCCAAAGTTGAAAACTTACATCCTACACACAAAAACCTATACACAGGTGCTTATGGCAGCTTTATTCATAATTGCTAAAGCATGGAAGCAACCAAGATGTCCTTCAATAGGTGAGTGGATAAATTGTGGCACATGGAATCTCATTCAGCACTGTAAAGAAATACGCTATCAAGTCATAAAAAGACAGGGAGGAAACTTAAATGCATATTACTAAGCAAAAGAAGCTAGTCTGAAAAGGCTACATACTTTATGGTTCCAACTATATGACATGTCAAAAAAAAAAGCAAAACTATGGGGACAATAAAATGATCAATGGTTGCCTGAGATTACGGGGAAGGAGGGGATGAATAGGTGGGGCATAGATTTTTTAGGGTAGTGAAACTACTCTGTATGATATTTTAATGGTAGATCATTGTAAATTTGCCTAAACTCACAGAATATACAACATTCTATGAATTAACCCTAATGTAAGCTATGAACTCTAGGTGATGATGTGTCAGCATAAATTCATCAACTATAACAAATCCACCACTCTGGCAGGGAGTTGCTGATAATGGAGGAAGACATGCACATATGGGAAATCTCTGTACCCTCCTCTCCATTTTCCTATAACCTTAAACTGCTCTTTAAAAAAATAGCCTAAGCGAGGTGCAGTGGCTCATGCCTGTAATCCCAGCACTTTGGGAAGCTGAGGCAAGAGGATCACTTGAGGCTTAGAGTTGGAGAAAAGCCCAGGCAACATAGCAAGATCCTGTCTCTATGAAATAAAAAAAAAAAGAAAAAGAAAAAAAATTAGCTGGGTGTGCTGGCACAGGCCTATAGTCCTAGCTTCTTGGGGAAGCTGAAGCAAGAGGATCACTTGAGCCCAGGAATTTGAAGCTGCAGTGAGCTATGAACATGCCACTGCACTGCAGTCTGGGCAACAGATCGAGACCGTGTAGCTTTAAAAAAAAAAAAAAAAGTCAACTTGAAAAAAAAAAAAAATTGGCCAGTCCCAGTAGCTCATGCCCATAATCCCAGCACTTTAGGAGGCTGAAGCAAGCAGATCCTTTGACCTCAGGAGTTCGAGACCAGCTTGGGCAACATGGCGAAACCCTGTCTCTACAAAAAATACAAAAAAGTAGCTGAGTATGGTGGCATGCATCTGTGATATCAGCTACTCAGGAGGCTGGAGGCTGCGGTAGGAGGATCGCCTGAGCCCCAGAAGTCAAGCTGCAGTGAGCCAAAATCATACCACTATACTCCAGCCCGGGTGACAGAGACCCTATCTCAAAAAAAAAAAAAAAAAAAAAGAATGAGGGATAAGACTACATATTGGGCACAGTGTACACTGCTCAGGTACACCTAAAAACTCAGAAATCACCACAAAAGAACTCATTAATGTAACCAAAACCACCTATAACTCAAAATTATTGAAATAAAAAAAATTTTTAAATCAAAGCAAGCCAGATCGTGAGAAAAATGTTTAACACATCGAGAATTTACATTCCAAAATATATAAAGAGCTCTTCAATGACAAAATAGTAACACAAGAAACTAGTTAAAAGATGGACTAAAGACACCTCACTGAAGATACACATATAGCAAATAAGCATATGAAGATGCTGAACATCATCTGTTATTACAGGACTGCTAATTAAAACAATGAGATACTACGACATACCTATTGGAATGGCTAAAATCTAAAAAAACTGACAATACCAAATGTTGTGAGCATGCAGAGTAACAGGAACTCTAATTCATTGCTGGTGAGCATACAAATGATACAGCCACTTCAGAAGACAGTTTGGCAGTTTTTCACAAAGCTAAAACCTAACTTAACCATATGATCCAGCAATCACACTTCCAGGTATTTATCCAATTGACTTGAAAGCACGTCCTCATGGCCGGGCACGATGGCTCACATCTGTAATCCCAGCAATTTGGGAAGACAAGGCGGGCAAATCACTTCAGGTCAGGAGTTTGAGACCAGTCTGGCCAACATGGTGAAACCCTCTCTCTACTAAAAATACAAAAAGCCGGCCATGATAGCGCACACCTATAATCCCAGCTACTCGGGTGGCTGAGGCAGGAGAATTGCTTGAAACCAGGAGACAAAGGTTGCAGTGAGCCAAGATTGTGCCACAGCACTCTAGCCTGGGCAACAGAGCGAAACTGTCTCCAAAAAAAAATTAAGGCCAGGTGTGGTGGCTCACTCCTGTAATTCCAACACTTTGGGAGGCCAAGGTGGGTGGACTGATTGAGGCCAGCAGTTCGAGACCAGTTTGGCCAATGTGATGAAAGCCCATCTCTATTAAAAATACAAAAATTGGCCAGTGCAGTGGCTCACGCCTGTAATCCTAGCACTTTGGGAGGCCAAGGTGAGAAGACTGCCTTAGTTGAAGAGTTTGAGACCAGCCTGGGCAACACAGTGAGACCCTGTCTCTGCTAAAAATACAAAAAATTAGCCAGGTGTGGTAGGGTGTGCCTGTAGTCCCAGCTACCTGGGAGGCTGAGGCAGGAGAATCACTGGAACCTGGGAGGCTAATTTTTTTGTATTTTTAGTAGAGACGGGGTTTCACCATGTTGGCCAGACTGGTCTCGAACTCCTGACCTCAAGTGATCCGCCCACCTCGGCCTCCCAAAGTGCTGGGATTACAGAGGTGAGCCACCACGCAGAGCCTGAAAAGATTTTTAATGCAGATGAAAGTGCCCTATTCTGGGGAAGAAAAAAAGACTGCAAAGGACATTTAGTAAGAAAGAGAAGCAAGCATCAGGATATAAGGCAGGAAGGGACAGGCTAACTCTACTGTTTTGTACAAATGCAGTAGGGTTTATGATCAGGACTGCCCTCATCTAAGAAGCTGCTAGCCACCACCTCCCTCCCCTGCTCCAAATCTTGAAGGGAAAAGATAAACACCAGCTGCCAGTCTTTTGGTTGTATAAGAAGGCCTGGAGAACAAGAAGCCTTTTTCTGGATTGAATCCATCAATGCTTTGTCCCTGAAGTCAGGAAGTGCCTTGCCAGTAAGGGACTGCCTTTTAAAGTTCTTTTACTATTGGACAATGCCCTGACCACCCAGAAGCCTATAAGTTCAACAATGAAGGCATTGAGTTGGTTTACCTGCCCCCAAACATGATAACTCTAATTCAGTCTGAAGATCAGGAGGTCATAAGGACCTTTAAGGCTCATTACACATAGTGCTCTATGGGAAGGATTATGGATGCTATGGAAAAGAACCCTAATAGAGAAAACATCATGAAAATCTGGAAAGATTACACCATTGAAGATGCCATCACTGTTACGGAAAAAGCTGTGAAAGGCATCAAGTCCAAAACAATAAATTCCTGCTGGAGAAAACTGTGTCCAGATGTCGTGCATAACTTCAGAGGATTTAAAACAGAGCCTATCAAGGAAATCATGGAGGTTGTGGATATGGCCAAAAAAAAAAAAAAAAAAAAGTGAAAAAAGTAGGGAGTGAAGGGTTTTAAGATATGGATCTTAGAGAAATGTAAGAGCTAAAAGACAACACACACCAGAGGAATTAAGAGAACTTGATGGAGATGAGGGATTCTGAACCAATGCCAAACAATGAGGAAGATGACTTAGAAGAAGCAGCATCCAAAAAAAAGAGACTGACATTAGACAATCTGGCAGAAGGGTTCCAATTATTCAAGACGGCTTGTGACTTCTTTTACTGATAGGGACACTGAAACTGATGCAAACAGTGGAAGAACTGGTAGAGTTCTTTGCACCCTGCCAAATTTCATGTTTTAATCCTCACCTCTCACAATGTGACTATATTTAGAGACAGAACTTTAAAGAGGTGATCCTATTCAAAATGAGGTCACTAGGGTGGCCCTAATCCAATATGACTGGCGCCCTTGTAAGAGGAAATTTAGGCCGGCGCGGTGGCTCACGTCTGTAATCCCAGCACTTTGGGACGCCGAGGCAGGCAGATCACCTGAGGTCAAGAGTTTGAGACCAGCCTGACCAACATGGAGAAACCCCATCTCTACTAAAAAAAAAAAAAAAAAAAAAAAAAAAAATACAAAATTAGCTGGGCGTGGAGGTGCATGCCTATAATCCTAGCTACTCGGGAGGCTGAGGCAGGAGAAATCGTTTGAACCTAGCAGGGGGAGGTTGCAGTGAGCCGAGATTGCGCCGTTGCACTCGAGCCTGGGCAACAAGAGACAGACTCCATCTCAAAAAAAAAAAAAAAGAAAGAAATTTAGACAAAGAGAACAGAGAGAAAACCATGTGAAGACACAGGGAGATGTCAGCCATCTACAAGTCAAAGAAAGAGGCTTCAGAAGGAAGCAACCCTGCTGACTTCTGATTTTGGAATGCTAGCCTCCAGAACTCTAAGAAAATAAATTTGTTTAGCCACTCGGTCTGTGGCACTTTGTTATGGCATCCTTAACTAGACTGGGTTTGTAGACTAGCAGTATATTGTTAGTTGTAATCATTGGTTCCTCAAGTTAAATTTGAAACCACTAAGGATTATACTCATTTGAAAAGTCCAAAACCTAAACATCTAAAGCCAGAGTCAGAAATTATATCTCATATATATCTTTGTCAATAAACTGAATTATCTATATTGTTTGGGCTATGGCTGATTTGAAGGACTATTAACTTTCTATGTATTATCTGACTATATTACTTAATTTGAAGGAAAATATGTACATTCTCAATTTGTATATATGCACCTATTTACAGATGGTCCTCTCAATATTAGAAACAGTTTGTGATTAAGAGGAACACAGACTTTGGAATCAGACAGGTGGCGGTTTAAACCCCAGTGTGTTACCATTTACTAGTTATGCGGCCTTAAGCAAGTTATTTCACCTCTCTGACCCTCAAATTCCTCAACTGTAAATGGGGATGAAAATAATATCTTACAGGATTATCAGGATTAGAGAAAGCCAAGTTAAGCACCTGACACAATTCCTAACACATGGTGGGCACTCAATAAATGGCTGCTATAAGATCATCATCCCAAGAAAATAGGCATGAAAAAAGTAGGTGTTACTGTTGACAGGACTGTAAGCTATTAAAGCTTTCTGAAAAGCAATTTTGAAATCCAGCCAAATATGAAAGATATCCCTTGGACATCCACAGACCCAAAAAATTTGACTTTCAGGAATCCGTTCTATGGAAATTTCTGCAGGAGTGGGTAAAGATGGGAGAAAAAGGATGTTCTTTGTGGCACTGTTTTAACAGCAAATAGCTGGTTTATTATTAGACTATCCACAGATTCATATTTGCCATTATTTTTTAAATGAAAAAGATCTCTATATACTGACAAAAAGATGGCAATGGCAGAGTAAGTACAAGGTGAGCCAACAAAGTAAAAACTGTGTGTTTATATATGCACGGAAATGGGTATGAAAGGATTTAATTCTAAAGCTTTCACTTTTCACATATATTCTACTTTGTAAACTTTTAAAAACAATGTTTTAATAAACATTGATGTCCACCATCTTTTGAGACTGTAATGCTTTCCTGGGCTATAGAATGGGACATGTTAAAGAAAGCTTCACCAGCCTGGCCAACATGATGAAACCCCATCTCTATTAAAAATACAAAAAATTAGTCAGGCATGGTGGCAGGCGCCTGTGATCCCAGTTTCTCAGCAGGCTGAGACAGGAGAATCACTTGCACCCAGGAGGCGGAGGTTGCAGTGAGCTGAGATCACACCACTGTACTACAGCCTGGGTGACAGAGTGAGACCCCATCTCAAACAAAAAAAGGGGAAAAGAAAACTTCAAAGCAAAATATTTTGCACATTAACCCTTCCTTCTCACTGAAAAAGTCCAGAGTCTACTTGAAGCCCAGGTTCAAAATATTGCAAAATCAATTTCTACTCTATATTCTTTCAGCAGCTATTTCTACAGTCAATTCTAACCTTGTGGAGTTAGTCACAAAACATTTTAAAAACTGCTAATTACTTGCCACATAAACAGTTCCATCATAAAAACTCTTCCCCTTCTTGTTCCAAAACAACCTGGTTAAATATACATGTGGAATACAAAATAACTTTAATAGGCTTGGCACAGTGGCTCATGCCTCTAATCCCAGCACTTTGGGAGGCCAAGGCGGGTGGAATGCTTGAGCTCAAGAGTTCGAGACCAGCCTGGCCAACATGGTGAAACCCTGTCTCCAATAAAAATACGAAAATTAGCCAGGCATGGTGGCACATGCCTGTAGTCCCAGCTACCCAGGGGGCTGAGGCAGGAGAATTGCTTGAATCCGGGAGGCAGAGATTGCAGTGAGCCAAGATCACACCATTGCCTGGACAACAGAGGAAGACTCTGCCTCAGAAAAAAAAAAAAAAAAAGGCTGGGTGCAGTGGCTCACGCCTGTAATCCCAGCACTTTGGGAGGCCGAGGCTGGCGGATCATGAGGTCAGGAGATCGAGACCATCCTGGCTAACATGGTGAAACCCCATCTCTACTAAAAATACAAAAAAAAAATCAGCCGGGCATGGTGGCAGGCGCCTATAGTCCCAGCTACTCGGGAGGCTGAGGCAGGAGAATGGCATGAACCTGGGAGGCGGAGCTTGCAGTGAACCGAGATAGTGCAACTGCACTCCAGCCTGGGCGACAGGGCGAGACTCTGTCCCAAAAAAAAAAAAAAAAAAAAAAAACACTTTAATAGTATCTAAGGAAAAACAAAATAAATCTGCATCCAAAATCAAAGGAATCAGTTTGAAAGCTTCAGCACTTTAGATTGGTATGAACTACAATTCTCCCCATTATTGAAGATAATCCAAATTTTACTACACAGAATACTGACAATGGAATTATGGATGGTCACAACAGAAATGGAAATACCTTGATTTACAAATGAGAAACACGAACCACAACAAGTGACTTAACCAAGTTCACACAGTAAAAGAAAGATGGAAGATCAGTGCAGGGCCCTGGCCTCCCACTCCAATATTCTTTTTTCTAGATCATGTTGCCTAACATCATAGCTTACAGAGTTTTATATTAACACCTTTTTCCAAATAAATTAGCAAATATAGCATCAGATAATATACTTGGCTTCATAAATATGCAAAAATGAAACAAACGTTAGCTGGCATATATATACTACCTGGCATATTTGCAACAATATCTATAGAGCTTTGCATTCATTGAAATTTCAAGAGTGTAAATAGGGAATCCTTTCCCCATTGCTTGTTTTTGTCAGCTTTGTCAAAGATCAGATACTTGTAGATATGCAGCATTATTTCTGAGGGCTCTGTTCTGTTCCATTGGTCTATATCTCTGTTTTGGTACCAGTACCATGCTGTTTTGGTTACTGTAGCCTTGTAGTATAGTTTGAAGTCAGGTAGCGTGATGCCTCCAGCTTTGTTCTTTTGGCTTAGGATTGACTTGGCAATGTGGGCTCCTTTTTGGTTCCATATGAACTTTAAAGTAGTTTTTTCCAATTCTGTGAAGAAAGTCATTGGTAGCTCGATGGGGATGGCATTGAATCTATAAATTACCTTGGGCAGTATGGCCTTTTTCACGATATTGATTCTTCCTACCCACGAGCATGGAACGTTCTTCCATTTGTTTGTATCCTCTTTTATTTCATTGAGCAGTGGTTTGTAGCTCTCCTTGAAGAGGTCTTTCACATCCCTTGTAAGTTGGATT
This sequence comes from Homo sapiens, assembly GCF_000001405.40. Lineage (NCBI taxonomy): Eukaryota > Metazoa > Chordata > Mammalia > Primates > Hominidae > Homo > Homo sapiens. Next base: position 47,554,635 of record NC_000020.11, on the reverse strand, counting down.
CCTAGGTATTTTATTCTCTTTGAAGCAATTATGAATGGGAGTTCACTCATGATTTGGCTCTTTGTTTGTCTGTTATTGGTGTATAAGAATGCTTGTGATTTTTGCACATTGATTTTGTATCCTGAGACTTTGCTGAAGTGCTTATCAGCTTAAGGAGATTTTGGGCAAGGACTTCATGTCTAAACACCAAAAGCAATGGCAACAAAAGCCAAAATTGACAAATGAGATCTAATTAAACTAAAGAGCTTCTGCACAGCAAAAGAAACCACCATCAGAGTGAACAGGCAACCTACAGAATGGGAGAAAATTTTTGCAACCTACTCATCTGACAAAGGGCTAATATCCAGAATCTACAATGAACTCAAACAAATTTACAAGAAAAAAACAAACAACCCCATCAAAAAGTGGGCGAAGGATATAAACAGACACTTCTCAAAAGAAGACATTTATGCAGCCAAAAAACACATGAAAAAATGCTCGTCATCACTGGCCATCAGAGAAATGCAAATCAAAACCACAATGAGATACCATCTCACACCAGTTAGAATGGCAGTCATTAAAAAGTCACGAAACAACAGGTGCTGGAGAGGATGTGGAGAAATAGGAACACTTTTACACTGTTGGTGGGACTGTAAACTAGTTCAACCATTGTGGAAGTCGGTGTGGCGATTCCTCAGGGATCTAGAACTAGAAATACCATTTGACCCAGCCATCCCATTACTGGGCATATACCCAAAGGATTATAAATCATGCTGCTATAAAGACACATGCACACATATGTTTATTGCGGCACTATTCACAATAGCAAAGACTTGGAACCAACCCAAATGTCCAACAGTGACAGACTGGATTAAGAAAACATGGCACATATACACCATGGAATACTATGCAGCCATAAAAAATGATGAGTTCATGTCCTTTGTAGGGACATGAATGAAGCTGGAAACCATCATTCTCAACAAACTATCGCAAGGACAAAAAACCAAACACCGCATGTTCTCACTCATAGGTGGGAATTGAACAATGAGAACACATGGACACAGGAAGGGGAACATCACACACCGGGGACTGTTGTGGGTGGGGGGAGGGGGGGAGGGATAGCATTAGGTGATATACCTAATGCTAAATGACAAGTTAATGGGTGCAGCACACCAGCATGGCACATGTATACATATGTAACAAACCTGCACATTGTGCACATGTACCCTAAAACTTAAAGTATAATAATAATAATTTAAAAAAAAAATTTTCAAGAGTGTAAAAGTATCTTGATCGGACACTGCAAAGGTGTCTGCTCTACAGAAGCAGAGATGAAAATGCTTTAGGAGAACCAATTCATCCAATTCCCTTGAAAGCAGAGGAACTAGTTAGATTCTAATTAGCCAAAAGACCAGATTTTCAGGCCAGGCACGGTGGCTCACGCCTGTAATCCTAACACTTCAGGAGGCCAAAGCGAGCAAATCCCTTAAGCCCAGGAATTCAAGACCAGACTGAGCAACATGGCGAAACCCCGTCTCTACATAAAAATACGAAAATTAGCTGGACATGGTGGTGTGTGCTTGTAGTCCCAGCTACCCGGGAGGCTGAGGTGGGAGGATCCCTTGAGCCCTGGAGGCAGACTTTACAGTGAACCAAGATCGTACCACTGTACTCCATCCAGCCTGGGTGACAGAGCAAAACCCTGTCTTAAAAAAAAAAAAAAAAATCTAACCATGTATTTTGAAAAGCATGTTTTTGTTTGTTTCAATCACATTTTTCCCTTTTACAGTAATGCTTCTCATCTCTGATTTCAAAGTCACCTTTCATCCTAATGAAGACACATAGCTCTGATTTTCTCTCTAGAACAAGACCCAGATGAAATATAGGCTAATGCAAAGGGGAATTTCTTTTCATATATTCCTTTATTGAAAACTGGTTTGATAAAAACAACAAAAACCTTTAATGAACAGCTTTTCTTGTATAATGTTCGTATATAACAAAAAAAATTAAAACCTACAAAGTAAGGACAAGGAAAATTAACAGCAGTATGAGACAAAGAATATATGAAATAGAACCTAGGTAGATAGATCTACTATCTACCTGCAATCTGGTTTGGGGAAAATATAATGATCATCCTGTTCTTATATGGACAAGGGCTTCAGCAACTGGCAACTTCAAGCTAAGTTTACCAAAATATAAAATAAATGCTAAGAAATCTTTGCTCTTGCCTCATATCAAAAAGCAAATATTGAGGGAAATATGTTTAGATATCTTCAAACATAACCACAGTAAAATTACGCTGCTGCATTTTTTAAAGTCAGAAATGGAATAAAATTAAAGTATTACAATATGGGCTATGGCTAATTTATAGATTTTCCATTGGCCTTCTAATCTGGCAGGTTAAAACTCAATATTCAAAAACATACAGTTCATCAATACTAACACAAAATGCTGTTTATAAGTATAACTTTGCTAGATATGCTTCAGTAATGTGATATGATAATTAACTTCATTTTATCAACTGAGTGTTGATATTTTCCCTTAACAAAATCCAAGTATTCAGGGCTATGAGTGATGAGTGACCTTGAGACAGCACTTGGCAAGCAGTCACCATGGCAACACTGCCACAGAAGTGCCTCATCCTCAGCAAAAGGGCCAACCTGGTACATTAGGATTTAAAAACCTAGAGATACAGAGCTTCCTTAAAGCCCAAAAAACAACAGTAAAATTAAAGTTTTTTTAAAACCTAACAATTTACTTTTAAAAAATGTTTACATTAACCTTTCTATTTTAGCCTTCCTATTTATTCCTCATGGAAGGATACATACGTATTAAGTTATCTTAACAGTAAAATATTGAACCATATAAAAATTCTTCTTTTCCCTTTCTGTTTCCTACGTGGGCAAAATAAATTGCTATGGCATACACAAATAATGTTTTTCCATTTTTAAAAAATACATGTTTAAAATTTTTCAACAGAATCACCACTATTTTAATCATCTTTTAATCACTGTCAAAAAGAAACATTCATCTTAGTAAGAAAATTTATCTTCCAGCCTGCACTTTCATAAAGAAACACACACACATCCTGGAGGTGAGGGGTCTTAAAATTTCAAATACAAAATATGCATTTGTAATTCTGTTTATAAAAACACGAAATGTAAAGATCTTTAGTGTGTACAGTTATACGTCTTTGCTTCAGACATAAATTAAGTTGGTTGTTGTAGAAAGTCTACTGCTTGAAAGATGGGAATGTGTCAATTCAGGGAACGTGTCATTACATCACCAACACAGCCAGCACGGAGCCTGACAACAAACAGGTACCAAAGGACTTGAATGTTTTTGCTCAAGTACCTACCAGAAGATTCTTGAAAAACTATGGGCCCCAGAACATTTGCAAGTTGACATTTAAATTTTTCATCAATTTAGTTACGAAGTAGTCACTTCCAAGATATTATGAGCATTAGCATTTTAATAAGGTGTTATATCACTCTTACATATTGAAAAGAACCTAGATCATCTCCAAGTCAGAAATTCTACAACTCTTCCTTTCTCCTGAAATATAAAATTTCCGTTCTTCTTCCCCAGAATTTAATCATGAGGAAATGCCATTTTATGCTTGAATGTATTTTATTATCCTATATCTGAAAAAAGATATATAAACTGAAATAATTAAATTCCATCTGATCATAAGGTCTAAGTATTGAAAAACATCTTATTCTGAGTTACTATGATCATTATTAGGATGTAATTGTTCAAAACATAAACATATTACAAATTTGGGTAATATATACATAAAAATACACTTTTCACTGTCAGTGAATCTGTTCGCTACAATGAGCAAGATGTTTTGTCCTTCTCCCACCACTGACATGCACTCATTTTTTGTAAGATTAAAATGTGCTGACATAAGTAGATTAAATACATGGAAGGAGTTATGTGAAAGCGATGTCATTCAATTCTTTCAGTATAATCTTAATTACATGATAAGAGTCTCAGTGAACTACCATCAAAAATTATGTTTTCATGATCTCTCAGAGAGCAATTTGATTAACTTCCACCTCAATTCTGATGAAAACACACTTAGAAACCAACTAATAGGTCGTTTGTTAATCAGTCATTGAGAGTCATTCACTTGTTAAACTCTGACACCAGTATTTCTAATTGCCCATGTGTTTCAAACCCCCCCACCTTTTTTTTTTTTTTTTTTCTGAGACGGAGTTTTGCTCTTGTTGCCCAGGCTGGAGTGCAATGGCACGATCTCAGCTCACAGCAACCTCTGCCTCCCGGATTCAAGCAATTCTCCTGCCTCAGCCTCCCGAGTAGCTGAGATTACAGGCATGTGCCTCCATGCCCGACTAATTTTGTATTTTTAGTAGAGATGGGGTTTCTCCATGTTGGTCAGGTTGGTCTCAAACTCCCAACCTCAGGTCATTTGCCCACCTCGGCCTCCCAAAGTGCCGGGATTACAGGTGTGAGCCACCGCGCCTGGACTTCAAACCCTTTTAAAAAAAAAAAAAAATTGAAATACAACACAGTAAAACGGGAGACTTCTTACTTCTTTTGGCAGTTAGAAGAATAATTGTAAAAAGAGACATCTGGAGAATAAGGCTCTGCAAGCTTTCTCAGGCCAACTTAAAAAGTTAAAAGAACAGCCAGCACAGTGGCTCACGCCTGTAATCCCAGCACTCTGGGAGGCCCAGGTAGGCAGACTGCTTGAGCTCAGGAGTTTGAGACCAGCCTAAGCAACATGGTGAAATCATGTCTCTACAAAAAATTACAAAAATTAGCCAGGCATGGTGGTGGCGTGCGCCTGTAGTCCCAGCTATTTAAGAAGCTAAGGTGGGAGGATTTCTTGAGCCTGGGAGGTAGAGGCTGCAATAAGCCTTGATTGTGCCACTACACTCCAGCCTGGTGACAGAGGAAGACTCTGTCCCCAAAAAAGAGAAGAAAGAAGAAGAATTTAAGAGAACAAAGGTTTGTGAATCTGCAAACCTGGAAACTGATCTCATTAAATCATCTGTGCTCAAGCCTCTAGATCCAACCACCACCAATTTATACAAAATACAGAAGACTTTTTTTTTTTTTTTTTTTTTGAGACAGAGTCTTCGCTCTGTTGCCCAGGATGGAGTGCAGCAGACAGATCATAGTTTGCTGTAGCCTCAACCTCCTGGTCTCAAGTGATTGCCATGTCTCAGCCTTCCGGGTAGCTGGGACCGCAGGTACCTGTCATCCTGTGCCCAGATAAATTTTTTTTTAACCACATCATGCCCAGCTAATTTTTTTTTTTAATTTTTTGTCAATCTGGGGTCTTGCCATGTTGCCCAGGCTGGCCTCAAACTCCTGGGCTTAAGTGATCCTCTCACCTCAGCCTCCCAATGTGCTGGCATTACAGGCAAGAGCTGCTGCACCAGGCCTAAAAACTTTTTTATTACAAAGTTAATACATGTTCTCCATAGGTGATACAAAATTAAGGATAGTTAAGTCCATGATGGCTCAGGACTGTAATCTAACACTTTTGGAGGCTGAGGTGGGAGGATCACTTGAGCCCAAGAGCTCGAGACCACCCTAGGCAACGTGGTGAGACCCCCATCTCTACAAAAAATTTAAAAAATGTTTTAAATACAGTTTTTACATCTTTGAAGTTTATGCATTACATCCAATCCAAACCAAGAAAACACTAATTTAACAAATGTTCTCAATAATAATAATTCACTATTAATTTTTAAAATTCATTAAATGGTATTTTTAGGAGACCCTTTAAAATGCTATTGATTTTATCATATTCACCAAATGAAGACCTCACAGATATTATTTCACATCTTGTGCCTAACAGCAGTACGCAGAACAGAGTGGCCCTTCTTGGGGAGACTACACAGTAAACCATCATGACATAATTAATCCTTTCTAGATTACTGCAACTCTACTGATTTGCTGAAACAGAATAAAAACATTGAGAAGGCATAATATACATGCACACTTTTTTAAAAGCATTTCTCAATTGCATGTTAATGTCTATCGACATGTACCACCCCTTCTTCTCAAACTGCCACTGAAAATGCAGTAAAAAAGATTTTTTTTTAATTTTTATTTTTATTTTATTTTATTTTTTGAGATGGAGTTTCACTCTTGCCACCCAGGCTGGAGTGCAGTGGCATGATCTCAGCTCACTCCAACCTCTGCCTCCCAGGTTCAAGTGATTCTCCTGCCTCAGCCTCCCGAGTAGCTGAGATTACAGGCGCCTGCCACCATGCCCAGCTAATTTTTTGTATTTTTAGTAGAGACGGGGTTTCGCCATGTTGGGCTGGCTGGTCTGGAACTCCTGACCTCAGGTGATCTGCCTGCCTCAACCTCCCAAAGTGCTGGGATTACAGGTGTGGGCCACCGCACCTGGCCTAGAATGAATTTTTTTTTTTTAAAGGAACCTTTTTTTATTAGGCTTAGAGAGTAAGAAAACAAATAAGAAATTCTCTTATATATATGACAGGTGGTAACTCACAATTCCTCTATATTAACAAATCACCCTAACTTTATTTAACCAATTTCAGAGTCAACTTCCATCTTAAATGGATTTCTAGAAACAGTTCCAGCCTAAAGAGACGGGAAGCTAAAATAAAACCAACAAAGGCTGAGCATGGTGGCTCACACCTATAATCCCAGCACTTTGGGAGGTCGAGGCAGGTGGATAACCTGAGGTCAGGAGTTCAAGACCAGCCTGGCCAACTTGGTAAACCCCATCTTTATTAAAAATAAAAATAAAATAAAATAAAATAATTAGCAGGGGGTGGTGGCAGGCGCCTGTAATCCTAGCTACTCGGGAGGCTAAGGCACGACAATCGCTTGAACCCAGGAGGTGGAGGTTGCAGTGAGCTGAGATCATGCCACTGCACTTCAGTCTGGGTGACAGAGCGACACTCCATCTCAAAAAATAACAAAACGGGCCGGGCGCGGTGGCTCATGCCTGTAATCCCAGCACTTTGGGAGGCCGAGGCGGGTGGATCACGAGGTCAGGAGATCGAGACTATCCTGGCTAATGTGGTGAAACCCTGTCTCTACTAAAAACACACACACAAAAAATTAGTCGGGCATGGTGATGGGCGCCTGTAGTCCCAGCTACTCAGGAGGCTGAGGCAGGAGAATGGTGTGAACCCGGGAGGTGGAGCTTGCAGTAAGCCGAGATCGCACCACTGCACTCTAGCCTGGGTGGCAGAGCGAGACTCCGTCTAAAATAATAATAATAATAATAATAATATAAAAATAAAATAAAATCAACAAAAACTAGGAACTTTCCTAAAGTACTCCCACCACAGGGTTTAAAGAGAAACGATATGCTGTGACCCAGAAAAACATCTTAACGCCACAGATGGGGTAAGAGAAGGGCTTTAGGACGTCACCCTTTCAAGGAAATACAGAGTGTGTTTATTCACTCGACAAATGAATGATGAACATCTACCATATGCCAGACACCTACCTAAGTGTTTGAGATATGTCAGTGAGCAATGGGGACTAGGATTCTTGTTCTTGTGGAGCATATGCTTTATAATTAAACACAATAAATAAGTAAAGTATTAATATATTAGAGCATTAGTGCTATAAGGTCAGAGGTTCCGGTATTAAATAGGGTGGTAAGGGTGGGCCTCATTAAGAGTGTAAGAATTGAGACTTTAAAGAGATGAGGAACTTAATCAGACATATGACAGAAACATTCCAAGAAAGGGCATACCCAAAGGCAAGAATGTGCCTGCACTGGATGAAGAACGGTACTGGATCAAGAATGAACAAGGAAGACAGGAATGATAGGTGAGATCAGAGATGTAACAGAGGCAGGCCGGTAGCGGTGGCTCATGCCTGTAACCTCAGCACTTTGGGAGGCCAGGGCGGGAAGATCACCTGAGTTAGGGAGTTCAAGACCAGCCTGACCAACATGGAGAAACCCCATCTCTACTAAAAATACAAAATTAGCTGGGCGTGGTAGCACATGCCTGTAATCCCAGCAACTCGAGAGGCTGAGGCAGAAGAATCACTTGAATGCGGGAGGCGGAGGTTGCAGTGAGCCAAGACTGCGCCACTGCACTTCAGCCTAGGCAACAAGAGGGAAATTCGGTCTTAAAAAAAAAAAAAAAAAAAAACAGAGGCAAGTCACAGAGTCTCATTGAAACAAAGTAAGAACTTTCATTTCTACTCCGGGTGAAATAAGAAACCTCTACATAGTCTAGAAGAGAGGAATGACAAACCGGTTTAGGATTGTAAAAGATCCCTCCAGCTGTTACGTTACTAACAGGATACAAGGAAACAAGAGTAAAATGCAGGAAGACTTATTAGGATGTTATTACAATAACTCACAGAAAATGTTGGTTCAATGGAATTACTGAGATGTGGCCAGACACTACATATATCTTAAAAATAGCAAGGAGATAAAAGAGTAGTCAAGGTTTTTAAGCCTAAGCAACAGCAAGAATGAATTACCAACAATGAGAAAGAAAAGGCTTTAGTGAAGATCTTACAGGGAAAATGATGAGATTGGTTTGGGACATGTTGAGTTTCAGTTGTCCATTAGAAATCTAAATGAAAAGGTTCAGAGGACAGTTGGATATACAAGTGAGGAAACAAAAGAGAGGTTTATCTCACATAAACAATATACAGGCCTGGCACAGTGGCTCATGCCTGTAATCCCAACACTTTGGAAGGTTGAGGTGGGAGGATCACTTGAGCTCAGGAGTTCTAGACCAGCCTGGGCAACATGGCAAAACCCCATCACTATAAAAAATACAAAAATTAACCAGGCATGATGGCATGCCCCTATAGTCCTAGCTATTCAGGATGCTGAGGCAGGAGGATCGCTTGAGCCCAGGAGGTGGAGGTTGCAATGAGCCATGATCACACCACTGCACTTCAGCCTAGGCGACAGACCGAGACCGTGTCTCCATATATATATCACAAAGATGATCCAATATATGTATAGTAGGAATCCCAAAGAAGAAAACCAAGGCAGTAAGACAAAAAAAACAAAAAGCAAATAAAAAAAAAACAGCACTAAGAAAACCTTCATGATATTGAGAAAAACAGAGACAAAAAAAGAAGAGGGGAAGGAAGCTTGAAACTATTAATACATATTGAAAAGACTCACTGAATGCCCAAGGAAAAATGTGTCAGACCAACCAACACCAATAAGATTACAAAGGCCAGGCGCAGTGGCTCACGCCAGTAATCCCAGCACTTTGGGAGGCCAAAGCAGGTGGATCACCTGAGGTCAGGAATTCGAGATCAGCCTAGACAACATGGCAAAACCCTATCTCTACTAAAAATACAAAAATTAGCTGGGCGTGGTAGTACATGCCTGTAGTTCCAGCTACTAGGGAGGCTGAGGCAGGAGAATCCCTTGAACCCGGAAGACAGAGGTTGCAGTGAGCCGAGATCCTGTCACTGCACTCTAGCCTGGGCAACAAAGTGAGACTCTTTCTCAAAAAAAAAAAAAAAAAAAATCCTATGGATATCTAAACAATTACAAAAAAAAAAAAAAAGCTACATTGCTCAAAGAAAAACAGGTCGACATCATCATACTGTAACAGCTATGCTCTGTGCCAGAAGACAGTGGAATGACATATTTCAGATACTGTGGAACAGAATTTTATCATCACCAAGCCAGCTTTTAACTATTAAAGCTGCAGACAAACTTCTCAAACATAGGGGAACACAAGGAATACTGTTCCCATAAGCTCTTCCTGAGGAATTTATTAGAGAAAATGAATTCCAGATGACCCAAATAACTGGAAAGTCCATATCAACATAAAAATGGTAGTGGGCATTAAATATATATTTATCTGTAAAAACCTGAATGAGGGTTCTAAGTGACACTTTATACTACATAATGACTATATGTTCCAACATTGTAGCTAGAGCACAACTATCCATAAACTGAAGTATGAAGAGATAAAAACTGGAAAAAAAACTGGCTGATTACCTGATATCAACTGAAAGAAAAAGATATTACTTTAAATCAAATGCTTGGGAAGAAAAAGAAGTTACTAGGTAATTTCAATAGTATTCAAAGTAAGAAACCAACAGAAAATAACCAAAAAATTGGGGGGGCACTAAGTCTATTACATAAGGATTTTAATATAAAGGCAACATCTAAAACAAAATACAAACTTCATAAATTTTTTTAAATACCCACAACAATTAGTCAGGCATGCTGACACATGCCTGTGGTCCCAGCTACACAGAAGGACCGCTTAAACCCAGGAGGTTGAGGCTGCAGTGAACCATGTCAGCACAACTGCATTCCAGCCTGGGTGACAGTGAGACCCTGCGTTTAAGGGAAAAAAAAAAAAAAAAAAAAAGTAGTATTAAATAAAAGACAAATAAAGATACATTATCATGAACATCCATCCTACACCTAACTGAAAAAAAAAAACTTGAACAAAATAAACCCCAAAAAAACAAAAGGGAGAGATTAATAAAGAATAGGATTGGATCCTGGAACAGAAAAAAACACAAGAGTGGAAATTTGACAATATCTGCTACTTAGTTAACAGTATTATACCAGTGTTAGCCTTAGTTTTGATCACTATAACATGGCTATGCAAGTTATTAAATTGGGGGAATCGGGGTGGAGTACACAGGAAAACTCTACTATTTTTGCAACATTCCCAAAAGTCTAAAATTATTTCAAAATAGTTTTTTTTTAAACTTTGAGAAAAAAAATGTTTTTTACCACAGGAGAATACTAGTAAACCAACTTGTTATTTTAAATACTAGTAAATAGAGTCTAACATATATCACATCTTTCCTATGTAAACTGTACCCACACCAGGTGACCAAATACTTGATTAGAAAAAGCTTTTCTTGGCTGGGCACAGTGGCTCACGCCTGTAATCCCAGCTCCCTGGGAGGACAAGGCAGGTGGATCACCTGAGGTCAGGAATTCGAGACCAGCCTGGCCAACATGGTGAAACCCCGTCTACACTAAAAGCACAAAACTGAGCCAGGCGTGGTGGTGCGCACCAGTAGTCCCAGCTACTCGGGAGGCTGAGGCAGGAGAATCACTTGAACCCAGGAGGTGGAGGTTGCGGTGAGCCGAGATCCCACCATTGCACTCCAGCCTGGGCAACAGAGCAAGACTCTCTCCAAAGGAAAAAAAAAAAAGAAGAAGAAGAAAGAAAGAAAAAGTTTTTCTTTATAGTATCTGCTAATATTAACAACTCAAAGAAAAACAGACGTCATGTGTCTTCTGATAAACCACACTCCCTGGGAAGTAGTCTCACTGTAGTAGCCAGCACCAAGATGACATCCCCAGTGACACCCATCTCTAGGTATTCATGAACTTAAGCAGTCCCCTCCCATACTGTATCAAAGTTGGTCTATGTGACCAAAAGAAAAGTGACAAGCTGTCACTTCTGAGGTCACAAAGGCATTTCAAATTCCCTCCTCCTTTTCTCCTTCTCTCTGATCACTAGCTCTGGCAGTAGCTTTAGGACACTCAGGCAGAAACTGAGACCTCCCACCAATGGTCACTGAGTAAGCCACCTCGGAAGCAAATCCTCCAGCCTTTGTTAAACCTTCAGATGACTGCAACCCATTAAGAGTACTAAAACCACAACTCCCCAGCTAGGCTACTCCCAGAGTCCTAACCTTCAGAAACTGTGGAAGATAATAAATACTAAGGAGTTTGGGAGGTTTATTTTGCTTTGTTTTGAAACAGAGTCTTGCTGTCACCCAGACTGGAGTACAGTGGTGTGTTCTCAGCCAACTGCAACCTCCACGTCCCAGCTCAAGACATCCTCCCTCCTGCCTCAGCCTCCCAAGTAGCTGGGACAACAGGTATGTGCCACCATGCCCGGATAATTTTTGTATTGTTTGTATAGATGGGGTTTCGCCATGTTGCCCAGGCTGGTCTCAAACTCCGGGGCTCAAATGATCCACCCGCCTGGGCTTCCCAAAGCGCTGGGACTATAGGCATGAGCCACCATGCCTGGCCAATTTTTAGAGAGAGGGTCTTGCCTAGGAATTGCCTATTCACAGGTGCAATCACAGCTCACTGCAGCCTCAAACTTCCAGGCTTAAGCAGTCCTCCCACCTCAGTTTCCTGAGGTGCTGGGACCAATAAATGCTGGTTTAAGATGTCAAGTTTGGAGATAATTTGTTACACAGCAACAGATAATGAATATGCTTGTAAAAAATAACTGAACCAGAAACTGATCAAGACTTGAAAGCTAACTACCATTTTAAAAATAGAGAGAGAGAGGACAGAGGACACACTGAAAAACCACCACAAAGACATACTTTGCAAAATCCAGACAATAAGAAACTCTACAGGAAGCCGGGCACGGTTACTTGTGCCTGTAATCCCAGCACTTTAGGAGGCCAAGACAGGACAATCACTTGAGGCCAGGAGTTCCAGACCAGCCTGAGTAACATAGCAAGAGCCCCTTTTCCACCAAAAAAAAAAAAAAATTTTAATGTAGCTGGCATGGTGGTGTGCACCTTTAATCCCAGCTACTTGGGAGGCTGAGGTGGGAGGATCGCTTGAGCCAACGAGTTTGAGACTACAATAAGCTATGATCACAGCATTGCACTCCAGCCTGGGTGACAGAATAAGTCTCTGTCCCTCCAACAACAACAACAACAAAAAAAAAAAAAAAAAAAAACTCTACAGGGCAAAAAATAATTTGATAAATTGGAAGGAAAAAAGAGATGAAGAGAAAACCTATATTAACAGAAACTTAGGTCGCATAAAAACCAAATTGCAATGTCTGCATCTTGTTTGAATCTGATTCCAACAAATTAAAAAATGAGGAGAACTAGAAAACTGAAGTGACTGTGTATTTGATGCTACTAAGAAATTAATGCAGGTTTTCTAGATGTAATAATGTAGAGTTTGCTTTTTATGAAAGACAGTTGTATCTTTTATAGATACTTAAGGAAATTATATAATGTCTAGTATTTGCTTCAAAACGGTATGAAGGAGTATTGCCTGGAATCCCAGTACTTTGGGAGGCCTTGCAAGGCAGGAGGGTAACTTGAGGGCAGGAGGGTAACTTGAGGCCAGGAGTTCGAGACCAGCCTGAGCAACAACATAGAAAGGCCCCATCTCTACAAAAAAATTTAAAAATTAAACGGGCACAGTGACACACACCTGTGGTCCCAACTACTCAGGAGACTGAGGTGGGAGGATCCTTTGAGCCTGAGGAGAGAGAGGGGAAGGGAGGAGAAAGGAGGGGAGGGGAGAGGGGAGGGGAGGGGGGAGGGGAGGGGAGGGGAGGGGAGGGGAGGGGAGGGGAGGGGAGGGGAGGGGAGGGGAGGGGGGAGGGGAGAGTGGGGAAAGGAGGGGGAGGGGGGACAGAGAGAACATTAGTGATGTAAAGGGGATTAATGCTTGTTTCCACCCTTTAGAAGTTAATCATGAATGCTACAAGTCACAAAAAGTGACCTCGGCAATGACTCACAAAGTACAACTGATTGAAAACGTGGCAAGAGTGACATTGAAGGAATTTAGGGACAGGGAGTTCCTCTTTTTTTTCACCCAAAGATTTTTCTTCTAAAACTGAGTACTTTCTCCATCTACTTGATACAATAGAAGCAAATACATGTAGAAAGCATGATCTACTTTTCTCTGGGGTAGTAGCTCCTGCACTCTCATATGGAGATTTAAAAAAATTAAGATACAATAGTTCATGTTCAAACAGTTTGCAGTTCCATTTGTAACAAACATTAATATGATTTTAAAGGTAAAGTAAATAATCTCACTAACTGAAAATATCTCCCAGGAATTCATTTACATCCTTCCCTAGATTACCCCAGCCCCAAACAATCATTTCTTCCTCTGAACTCCAAAAGCAATTATTTGTACAATTTATTTGGCAATTAATCCTTCACTGCCTTGTTAAACCTCTTGCATTATTCTCTGAAATGTTATTTAAATCTTCTCTAGTTATCTTTCATGTTTAGTTCTCATCTCCCCAAACAGACTATAAATTCCTTGAGAAGAAGAGATAAGACCTTATATTGTTTTGTATACACACAGACCCACAGAGTAGCTAGCACAGAGTAAATACAAAGATATTTGAATTTTTTTTTTTTTTTTGAGACAAGAGTTTCACTCTTGTTGCCCAGGCTGCAGTACAATCCTGCGGTCTCAGCTCACTGCAAACTCCACCTCCTAGGTTCAACCGATTCTCCTTCCTCAGCCTCTCAAGTAGCCGGATTACAGGCACCCACCACCATGCCCAGCTAATTTTTGTATTTTTAGTAGAGGGGGGTTTCACTATGTTAGCCAGGCTGGTCTCGAACTCCTGACCTCAGATGATCCACCCTCATCGGCCTCCCAAAGTGCTGGGATTACAAGTGTAAGCCACCGCGCCCCAGCCAAGATATTTGATTTTAAGGAAAAATAGGAAAAATCCATTTCAAAGAAAATGTTTAAAGCCATGCCAACTAAGTATCTCCAAGCCAAAGTTGACTATCTTCAAGCCAAAGTTGACATACAGGCCAATGTACTATTTTATTTCCTTGACTCCTAAGGCAATGTAGGGTGGTAAAAAGGGCATGGCCTCCGAAATCTGAGAGACCTCAATCTGGATCCTCTACTGGAGAGCTTATGTAATTAACCCATGAGCTTCAATTTCCTCCTCTCTCAAATGAAGATAGTAATATCCAACTCTAGAAGGTTTCATGATTGTTAAATGAGAGTTTATGTAAAACTAGTATCCCTTAAATATTTTGGGGTTTGTTCATATTTTTACATCTTTAAAATCAGAATATGTCATGTTATTGGCAGTATCCAATTATTTATTTGAAAGTTTTACATTTTCTTTCCCAGTAGTACATAAAATAGGCCGGGTGCGGTGGCTCACACCTGTAATCCCAACACTTTGGGGGGCCAAGGCAGGCGGATCACTTGAGGCCAGGAGTTTGAGACCTAGTAATACGTAAAATAATGTTGTGTTCTATAATTGATGGTATCTTAAACTTGATGAAATTTGGTAATAGCTAGCAGCATCCTCAACAACGCTGGCTTCATCTCCTCCTTCCTCCCTCACACCCATTCATAAACTATCATATGAACAGAAAACAAGCTATAAAATGGAAAAACCACCAAATCCATTCAAAGAGCTTAGCACTTTGCCATTCAGTGTGTGCTCAATAAATAAAAACCTGCTACTGCTACTCTAAATTTATTCAGCAAATATTTGAGTACCTACTATGTGTCTGCCACCATTCTGAGCACTAAGGATATAGCAGTAAACAAAACAGATACCTCCCAGTCCTCAAATAGTTTATGTTCTATTAGCATAACTTTTATTTTATTTTTTCCTGGAGACAGGGTATCGTTGTCACCCAGGCTACATATAGTACGATGGTATGACCAGAGCTCACTGCAGCCTCAAACTCTTGGGATCAAGCTACCTCCTACCACCTTATCAAGTAGCTTATCAAGCCACCTTATCAAGTAGCTGGGACTACAGGAACATGCCACCATGCCTGGCAGCACATACAAATTCTATGGCACAAGAAATGAAAAGCTAAAATTCACAACTAAGTCAACAGATTGTCCCAAAGGCTGAAAAAGCTAAGCAACCCAAGAAAGATACTAAAACACAACTCAGGCAAACCACTAAGGAAAACCTTACCCAAAGGCAAAGTGAAGTCTTGAAATCAATTCATCCAAGTTTTTGTTCTAAATAAAAGGTTTGAGAAAAAGTAAAACAGCCAGAACAGATGCTGAAACTTAACAGGGAAAAGTGAGAATATAACATCTTCTCCAGTTTCTGAAAACTAAACATCTTTTAGATTCATCTGAAAGAGAAGAATAGTGGCTGGGCACAGTGGCTTACGCCTGAAATCCCAACACTTTGGGAGGCCAAGGTGGGAGGATCATGAGGTCAGGAGTTCGAGACCAGCCTGGCCAACATGGGGAAACCCTGTCTCTACTAAAATTACAAAAATTAGACTGGCATGGTGGCACACGCCTGTAATCTTGTAATCCCAGCTACTCAGGAGGCTGAGGCAGGAGAATTACTTGAACCCGGGAGGCAGAGGTTGCAGTGAGCTGAGGTCACACCACTGCACTCTAGCCTGGGTGACAGGTGTCTCAAGAAAAAAAAAAAAGAATAGTAATAATGCTGGTTATTTAAGAAACACAAACTTCTTTAAGGAGGCAGAGAAAATTATGTTTTTAAAAAGTATCTTATGTGTCCACAAATCATTTTTCCAAAGCTCTTCCAATTGCAGTTACAGACTGGAACATCAGACTCTCTTAAACAGAATGTTACAAGTCAGGTTCACCACTACTCTCTACCCCAAATAAATTAATATTATTCTTCGCTTCTAACGCAGTGCCTAAAAAAACCACATCGTGAATTACTATAGCAGTCCAGACCAAAAGACTTGTGTCAAGTCAACTAAAGATCATCTAAATGGGACATTTTTAATCATCTTGGGTTTTTTTCCCCCAAAGTTAGAGCTTAAAAACCTATTAGTCCAGGCGCGGTGGTTCATGCCTGTAATCCTAGCACTTTGGGAGGCCAAGGTGGGTGGATCACCTGAAGTCAGGAGTTCAAGACCAGCCTGGCCAACATAGTGAAACCCTGTCTCTACTAAAAATACAAAAATTAGCCAGGCATGGTGGCAGGCACCTGTAATCCCAGATACTCAGGAAGCTGAGACAGGAGAATCACTTGAACCCAGGAGGTGGAGGTTGCAGTAAGCCAAGATTGAGCCACTTCACTCCAGCCTAGGAGAAAGAGCAAAGCTCTGTCTCAAACAAACAAACAAACAGCCAGGCACAGTGGCTCATGCCTGTAATCCTAGCACTTTGGGAGGCCGAGGCGGGCAGATCACAACCAGGTCAGGAGATCAAGACCATCCTGGCTAACACAGTGAAACCCAATCTCTACTAAAAGTAGAAAAAATTAGCCGGGTGTGGTGACAAGGACCTGTAGTCCCAGATACTCAGGAGGCTGAGGCAGGAGAATCACTTGAACCTGGGAGGCAGAGGTTCCAGTGAGCTGAGATCGTGCCACCTGCACTCCAGCTTGGGCGACAGAGCAAGACTCCATCTCAAAAAAAAAAAAAACCCTATGTAAACCCCTTGGTTTTTATAGGTGGTCATTTGTTGAACTAGCTAATTTGGCAGTTTTACATTTTCTTTCCTAGCAGAATATAAAATAGAACAGGTGCAATGGCTCACACCTGTTTTCCCAACACTTCCCCCCCCCACCCCCGCCGATTATCACAAAAATAAAAGTTTGAGTTACATTCTATAACCTTTCTATAGAAAAACACTCCATTAAGAGGTAGAAGTGATGACCACAGGCAAAAGTAAATTACACTCAATTTACTTCTCTGATAAGTTCTTTACAACGCTACAAGTAAAGAACGTAACTGAAAAGCACTACTTTTACCAACTTTCCTTCTCCTTGTCTAAAAGATTTAGTCCCTTCCAGACCAAGGAAATGTAGAGAACTCAGTTGTATATGGATAGATAGCATATCCTCTAAACCAGACAGCATCTATAAATATGAAGAACTTCTTTGCTTAAAACAAAACAGGCCGGGCGCGGTGGCTCACGCCTGTAATCCCAGCACTTTAGGAGGCCGAGGTGGATGGATCACAAGGTCAGGAGTTTGAGACCAGCCTGACCAACATGGTGAAACCCCGTCTCTACTAAAAATACAAAAAAAAAAAATTAGCCGGGCATGGTGGCGCACACCTGTAATCCCAGCTACTCAGGAGGCTGAGGCAGGAGAATTGCTTGAATCCAGGAGGCGGAGGTTGCAGTGAGCCGAGATTGCACTACTGCACTCCAGCCTGAGTGAAAAAGCAAGACTGTCTCAAAAAAAAAAAAAAAAAAGAAAAAAACAGTGAGGCTGGGCACAATGGCTTCATACCTGTAATCCCAGCATTTTAGGAGGCCCATGCAGGAGGATGGCTTGAAACCAGGAGTTTGGGATCAGCCTGGGCAACAAAGTGAGACTCATCTCTATTTTAAAAACAAATAAATAAGAACTCAAAGCACAGATATCAATCATCACTTAATAAAGAGGCAAAGAGCCCCTACAAGCTTTAGAATGACAAAGGCATGACAACAATTTGTTTTGCAGTAAATGATAATACATTATTTTCCTGTAAAGGAGACAAAATGTGTATAGGATATATTGTCTGCACCAAAAAATAAGCTCCTTTTTGGGCAGGGACCTTTTCTTGCAAAACTTTCTATCTCCTAGGATGCTTTGCATATACCAGGTAAGCATTAACATTCACTGGCCGGATAGGGGGCTCATGCCAGTAATTCCAACACTTTGGGAGGCCAAGGAAGGAGGATCACTTGAGGTGTGGACAATGTGGCAAGACACTCTCTACAAAAAAATTTTATCATATTAGCTGGGCATGTAGGTGCACACCTGTAGTCTTGATATGGGAGAAGGGCAGGGAAGTAAGTGCTGGGTAGAGATGAGTAGGGTACATGGTGAGTGCTCCACCCTCGGGCCTGTGCTCACGGACCTAAGTGAGAACAAGCATTTCTGTTTACGCACCCAAAAAGTTGCCTTTTGGCCTGCCATGCCCCCCTATCTTGTGCTCATATAAGCCCAGGACCTTAAGCAGACACACACACAAGCGGCTGGACATCGAGAGGAACAGAGGAGCAGAACAGCACACTGACAGACACCAGCAGCGCCAGCCAGCCATCTACATTTAAGTTGATGCAGAATTTGATAGGGGGTGGTCGGAGTAGAGTCCAGCTGCTGGGCAGCCCAGCTCCAGGGGAAGATCACCTTCCCTCTCCATCCCTCTTATGGCTCCCCATCCATCTGCTGAGAGCTACTTCCACCATTCAATAAAACCTTGCACTCGGCCGGGCGCAGTGGCTCATACCTGTAATCCCAGCACTTTGGGAGGCTGAGATGGGCGGATCACAAGGTCAGGAGATCAAGACCATCTTGGCCAACATGGTGAAACCTCATCTCTATTAAAAATACAAAAATTAGCCAGATGTGGTGGTGCATGCCTGTAATCCCAGCTACTCGGGAGGCTGAGGCAGGAGAGTCACTTGAACCTGGGAGGAGGAGGCTGCAGTGAGCCGAGATTGCGCCACTGCACCCCAGCCTGGCAACAGAGTGAGACTCGGTCTCAAAAAAAAAAAGCAAAAAAACCTTGCACTCATTCTCCAAGTCCGTGTGTGATCCGATCTTTCCAGCACACTAGGGCAAGAACCTGGGATACAGAGAGCCCTCTATCCTTGCGATAAGGCAGAGAGTGTAACTCAGCTGATTGGCACAAGCCACCTGTAGACCACAAAACTGAAAGAGCACACTGTAACACACGGCCACTGGGGCTTCAGGAGCTGGAAACACTCAACCCTAGATGCTGCTATGGAGTCAAAGCCCAAAAACACTCCTCACGACCTGTCCGTCTGCATGCTCCCCCTAGGGGTTTGGGCAGCGAGGCACGGAAGAAGTGAGCCTAGCTACTTAGGAGGCTGAGGTGGGAAAATTCCTTGAGCCCAGGAGTTTGAGGCTGCAGTGAGCCATGATTGTGCCACTGCACTACTGCACTCAAGTCTGGCAAGAAAGCAAGACCCTGACTCAAAAACTAAGAATAATAATAACGCTAATTATTTAAAAAGAAAAAAAAAAAAACAAGCCTGGGCAACACAGCCAGACCTTGTAATGATTCTTACACTGGATATAAGGAAAATAACTATCCAAACACCTTTTTTTATAAATTAAGAAAAAAAAAAGAGAGAGATGGAGTCTCACTCTGTCACCCACGCTATAGTGCAATGGCATGATCTCTACTCACTGCAACTTCCATTTCCCAGGCTCAACCGATCCTCCCACCTCAGCCACCCAACAGCTGGGACTACAGGTGCACGCCACCACACCCAGACAATTTTTTGGATTTTTGGTAGAGATGGGGTTTCGCCACGTTGCCCAGACTGCTCTTGAACTCCTAAGCTCAAGTGATCTGCCTGCCTCAGCCTCCCAAAGTGCTGGGGTTACAGGTGTGAACCAGCTCATCTGGCCCAAACACATTCTCAAAAGATGTCAGTAATCTAAAGTAAAAGCAGACAGTTACTTTGAGGTTTTTTCATATCTTATTCTTAAGCCTGAAAAACATACAATAAATAGACATTTTCTGAACGTCCACAACGTACTCAGAAAGTTACAGGTCCCTGAAAAGACTCAAATTCAGCATGATCCAGTAAAAGGATGCTCACAACCCAGTTAGGGAGACTAATGCTAGTGAAACACTTGTTATATATAGCATCTTGTGGTGGGTACCAAGTACCAAGTTGGACAGCACAAACTAGAAGCCTGGTGAAAGAAATAATCACAAGTTCATGCTTTGGTTTCTCTATAGAGCAAATAAATCTTTTTTTTTTTTTTTTTAAAGAATCCCAAGTTCAAATGGACAGGAAGGACACAATAAAAGAGCCTTGGATGGGTAGTTTGACAAGAAAATGAAGCCAAACAATTCTAGTTGTTCAAGCCAAAAACTTTTGAATTATGCTTGATTCTTCTCTTCCCTCTTCACCCCCCGCCCCCCCCACTGAAACCATCACAAAATCCTGTTGGCTCTACCTTCAAAAGAAGATATATACAATCTGACCACTTCTTATCACCTCTCTTGCCATAATCATAGTCTAAACCAACATGGATTACTCTAACAGCCTTCTAATAGGTCATCCTGGGTTTTTTGTGTTTTGTTTTTTCGTTTGTTTTTGTTTTTGGAGACAGGGTCTTGCTCTGTTGCCCAGGCTGGAGTACAGTGGCATAGCCACAGCTCACGGCAGCCTCAACCTCCTGGGTTCAAGCAATCCTCCCAGCTCAGCCTCCCCAGTAAGCTAGGACCACAGGCACCTGCCACCATGCTGGGCTAATTTCTGCATTTTTTGTAGAGATAGGATCTATGTTGCTCAGGCTGGTCTCAAACTCCTGGGCTCAAGAAATCCACCCTCCTCGACCTCTCAAAGTGCTAGGGTTACAAGTGTGAGCCAGTGCACCTGGCCTAGCTCTCCCTGCTTCTACCCTTGCACTCTTACAGGCTACTCTTCACATGACTGCTGGAGGGTCTTATGAAGACCCTGATAGAGTTCATTTAATCTCTGCTAAACCCATATACTGTATAAGGCACTGTGTATGTGTAAAAGAACAAAGAAAAAAAGACTGGAAAGATATACATACAAAATCTATTAATAATGGATGATGCGGTTGCTAGTAATCCTTATTTTTTTGTACTTTTCTGGATTTTCCATGTTTTCCACATGAACATGAATTAATCACCTTTACAACCAAAGAAAAAAGAAATGCTTTAATTTGAAGGGGAAAAAGAAAAAAAAAAATCAATGATCTTTTTTTTTTTTTTTTTTTTGAGACGGAACCTGGCTCTGTCACCTAGACTGGAATGCAGTGGTGTGTTCTCAGCTCACTGCAACCTCCGCCTCCCAAATTCAAATGATTCTCCTGCCTCAGCCTCCTGAGTAGCTGGGATTACAGAGGTGCCTGCCACCACGCCCGGTTAATTTTTTTTTTTTTTTTTTTTTTTTTTTTTGAGACAGAGTCTTGCTCTGTTGCCCAAGCTGGAGTGCAATGGCACAATCCTGGCTCACTGCAACCTCCGTCTCCCAGATTCAAGCAATTCTCTGCCTCAGCCTCCCGAGTAGCTGGGATTACAGGCGCCCGCCACCACGTGTGGCTAATTTTTTTGTATTTGTAGTACAGACGGGGTTTCACCATGTTGGCCAGGCTGGTCTCAAACTTCTGACCTCAAGTGATCCGCCCGCCTCAGCCTCCCAAAGTGCTGGGATTACAGGTGTGAGCCACCGTGCCCAGCCAAATGATCTTTTTGGAATAACCAAAAATACAATTAAAAAATCTGCAGGAAGCCAGGTATGATAGCTCACACCTATAATGCCAATACTTTGGGAAGCTGAGGTGGGACTATTGCTTCATGTCAGGAGTTCAAGACTAGACTAGGCAGCAAAAAAGACCTGTCTCTACAAGAAAAAAAAATTTTTTTAATTAGCTGCACGTCTTAACACTCACCTGTAGGCCAAGCTACCCATGAGGCTGAGGTGGGAGCCCAGCAGTTCTAGACCAGCCTGGGCCTGGGCAATATAATGAGATCCCATCTCAAAAAGAAAATAATGGAAACCATGCATTTATATGCTATTATGCTATTTTTTAAAAAATGAATTTTTTTTAAAGTTGAAGTCCTTACAACTGTCTGCAAGGCCTCACTGTTACCTCTCAGATTTCTCTTGCTACTTACGTCTTTGTTCACTGTCCTCCAAACACTGTGCTCCAAAACACTGGTCACCTTGCTGTTCTTCAAATTCACTAAGAATGCTCCTAACAAAGGGCCTTTCCACTGGTAGTTCCCTCTAAACAGAAAGCTCCCCATCCCAACCTTACCCCAACCCAATATTCTCAGGGCTTACTTACTTCCTGGTGTCCTTGTTTAAGTATCACTTACTTAGCAAAACTTACCATGATATCTAAAACGTAAACCCTGCAACACACACACACACACACACACACACACAAGTCCCCCCCTACAAAGTTTTATTTTTTTTCCGTAACCTTTCTAGTCACTGGTATATTCCTAACATCTAAGGAATAGGCAACACATGGCTAGCACTCAATAAATTTTTGCAGAATAAATTAAAGCATGGAAGAAGAAATGAAAGTTAAAGGATTTTGGAGGGTGTGAGGATGTACACGTTTGAGGGGTCAAGGACTAAACAAAAATCAATCTGACAGGAGCAGAGAACACACGCAGTAAAGAAGCTTCCAAAGGTAAAGAAAAGACCTTGGTTAACAGTGAGAAACCAGAAAAAGTGAGGGACCTGAAGGATGGAAAGTTGACAGAGGTAAAAAGGTTACAAGCCAGACGGAAATTTAGGCTGAGGGAAGGGATAAGACAGTTGCAGACTGGAGGAAAGCTGAGAAGGGGAAGTGCATGAAGAGGTCAAGAGAAAAGTTATAGATACAGGAAAGGTCAAGAGGAAGGATGAGACTGTACAAGGGAGGAGCAGATCACAGGGAAGGGATGGAGAACACTGTTATGTCACAACATTATTCTTGCTCAAATCTAGCCCAACAGTCCAGAAGAGATATACTTCTGCATTAATATGGCTTTACTTCCAAAATGTCAGTGATGTGCAAGTGTAAAAACACAGAAAGATATCTGTAATACATCTGTTTCATCACTTTGAACCCTTAAATTCCTCTCTGCAAAAGTGCAGTTTAAAGGTTCATTTATATATCTTGAATTCCCCAATTTCTTTTTGTTTGTTTGTTTGTTTGTTTGTTTGAGATAGTCTCGCTCCGTCGCCCAGGCTGGAGTACAGTGGCACAATCTCGGCTCACTGCATGCAGCCTCTGCCTCCTGAGTTCAAGCGATTCTTCTGCCTCAGCCTCCCGAGTAGCTGGGATTACAAGTGACCACCACCAAACCCGGTTAATTTTTGTATTTTTAGTAGAGACAGGGCTTCACCACGTTGGCCAGGCTGATCTTGAACTCCTTACCTCAAGTGATCTGCCTGCCCTCAGTCTCCCAAAGTACTGGGATTACAGGTGTGAGCCACCGCACCCAGCCAAATTCCTCAATTTTATTCCTTAATACCAATGTTAGGCATTAGCCATGGAAGAGATGAAAGATGAAACAGGGTAGATAATTACAATGTATTTGTAATCTACTCTTCACCCTACTGCTACGCCAGTTTACAGATCTAGGAAACCTGGACTTACATCATTAGAAAAGTTGGATAATAACACCTTGTTTGCCTTTAAATTTCAAGGAGCCAAACAAAAACACAGCATCAATTTTAATATAAAGTCTACTGACATTTTAAAAGATTAACAGGAACCTAAAATAGTTAAAATTGTTGGCCAGGCGCAGTGGCCCACGCCTGTAATCCCAGCACTTTGAGAGACCAAGGCAGGTGGATCACTTGAGGGCAAGAGTTTGAGACCAGCCTGACCAACATGGTGAAACCTTGTCTCTACTAAAAAAATACAAAAATTCGCCAGGCATGGTGGCGGGAGCCTGTAATCCCAGCTACTTGGGAGGCTGAGGCAGAAGAAATGCTTGAACCCAGGAGGCGGAGGTTGCAATGAGCCAAGATCGTGCCACGGCCCTACAGCCTGGGTGACAGAGTAAGACTCTGTCTCAAAAAAAAAAAAAAAAAAAGTTAAATCATTAAAAATTTATTGAATCAAACCAAAATACTGAGCTATGCAAATCTTTTTAAAACTTTGTCTCAATTTTCTCCTCTATACAAATCCTTTTAAAACTTTAATTTTCTCATCATTCTTCTGTATGTATAAAACCCTGTAAAATTTTATGTATGCAGCACTGTAACTAAAAGGATGATTATATATCTTCTCAGATACATAATCTACTGAAATAAAACAATCAAAACCATTTGAAACAATCAGGAATTTTGGAATCAGAAGTTTTAAAAATAATTTTACAATTTCAGTGTTTATGGCCACACTATTCAGGCAGAGATGAAACAAACATACAATACCTTAGATGTGAAAATATATGCACTGCTCATTAAAAGCTACATGCCATTTTATCACTGATAAGAGTAGCTTCAAATTCCACTCAGAGTGCAACTGCAGTTGCAATGAATCCAGCAGTATAAGCGTGCCTGCATGTTATTATGGGAAATAGTGGAAAATTTCACAGGCTGACATCCAGAATGTCTGCGGTTCTTCTTCATATTTCTTTCTTCCTGCAAAGCAGTTAATAGACCAGAAATTAAGTTTTTTTAAAAGGTGGAAATTTCCACTGTTTCTTTTTAAACTAGCCTTCTTAAATGTAAGTTGTAAAATGTTCCAAAATTCCAGCATGAGAGAAAGAATAATTCAGACAGGAAAGAATTGTTTATCATCTTCACATTTGGGTGAGGGGACTGTTAAATAAATTGAGGTAAGGCCAGGAGCAGTGGCTCACGCCTGTAATCACAACACTTTGAGAGGTTGAGCCGGTGGATCACTTGAGGTCAGAGTTCGAGACCAGCCCAGCCAACATGGCAAAACTCCACCTCTACTAAAAATACAAAAATTAGCCAGGTGTGGTGGCATGCGCTTGTGGTCCCAGCTACTCGGGAGGCTGAGGCGCAAGAATCACTTGAACCCAGGAGATGGAGGCTGCAGTGAGCCAAGATCACACCACTGCACTCCAGCCTGGGCGACAAAGACTCTGTCTCAAAAAAGTTTTTTAGATGCTGGGCACGGCGGCTCATGCCTGTAATCCTAGCACGTTGGGAGGCCAAGGTGGGTGGATCACCTGAGATCAGGAGTTAGAGACCAGCCTGGCCAACATGGTGAAACCTCATCTCTACTAAAAATACAAAAATTAGCTGGGCATGGTGGTGCCTGCAATCCCAGCTACTTGGGAGGCTGAAGCAGGAGAATCGCTTGAACCCAAAAGGTAGAGGTTGCAGTGCTGAGATGCACTCCAGCCTGGGGGACTAGAGTGAAACTCCATCTCAAAAAAAAAAAAAGAAAAAAAATTTTTTTAAATAAATAAATAAATTGAGTTGAGTATCACCCTGAGTAAGAAAAAAAAGTGTCCAGCCAGGCACAGTGGCTCACGCCTGTAATCCCAGCACTCTGGGAGGCCAAGGCGGGTGGATCACCCGAGGTCGGGAGTTCGAGACCAGCCTGACCAACGTGGAGAAACCCCCTTCTCTACTAAAAATACAAAATTAGCTGGACGTGGTGGCTGTAATTCCAGCTACTTGGGAGGCTGAGGCACAAGAATTGCTTGAACCCAGGAAGCGGAGGTTGCAGTGAGCTAAGATCACACCATTGCACTTCAGCCTGGGCAACAAAAGCGAAACTCCGTTTCAAAAAGAAAAAGAAAAAAAAGTGTCCAGGTAGATACTTAGGTAATATAGTGTTACAATAATTTAATATAATTGCTAAATGTGACAAATATCACATTGTAAAGCTGATTTTTTTTTCTCATCAGCTTACACAGCAAGCATTCAAAACCTAATTCAAGTCAGTAGAACAGTTACGCATAGAAAGAACAAAAAGACAAGACAGTATGTGTATATACTTGATGCAAAAGTAATATATTGTATACTAATAGAGGTAAGCCATAAAGATTGGGTTTTTCAGTGAGGGTTAGAGAGGGAACAATGGCAAAAGCTTATAGGCAAGATTAAGTGTTTTTTTATTTTGGCAACTTTTCATTAGGTTTATACCAGACCAATATATTCATAGTTTTTCATTTTAGTTAGTAATAATAAATAATGAAACAGACAAGGAATTATTTATTCATTTTTATTAGATAAAAAGATGAAGCTCTAGGCCATTTAAAAGTATTTAACATAGTTAAGTACAGTAGACAATTTACTATGTTTAAGAATGTAAATGTTCCGGATTAACAATCTAGGTTTTTCTTTCCCTATATATGGATTAAAGAATGCAGCTTATAGTATATGTTAGCATAACTGTTATTTTGAGCTTTAAAACACTTGTTATTCCTCAAAATATACATATGACCAAGAAATGGAGCATTACTACAGAGACTCAGCTGATCAATTAGAATTGTACCAACAAAGCCTGGGAGAAAATATCTGCAAACCATATCTAATAAAAGATGGATATCGAGAACATTTAAAAAAATGAGTTTTTTTCCTAAGAACTCAGTTTTTTCTAAGAATTCAGTAACAGAAAAGCAACCTGATTTTCAAAACAGAAGGGGGAGGAGAAAAGAAAAAGGAAAGGAAAAGGAGGCAAAAGATTTGAACAGACACTTCACCAAAGAAGCTGAATGACATTTCAAATTAAAATCACAATGGGATACCACTACATATCTACCAGAATGGCTAAAACATAGGAGAATATTAATACCAAGTGTTGGTGAGGTTACAAAACTGAAATTTGGCTATACTGCTGGTGAGAACACAAAATGGAACAGACAGGTAAACAGTTTTACAGTTCCTTATAAAGTTAAACATACATTTACCATATGATCCAGCAATTCCACCTCCTAGATATTTGTCCAAGAAAATGAAACCTTCTGCCCACGCTAAGGTTTGTATTCAAATGTTCACAGCGGCTCTATTCATAATAGCTAAGAAATGTTGCTCAACTGGTAAATAAACAAACTGCCCATATGTATTGTCTATATACTATATACATACTCAGAAACAAAATAAGAACTCATATATGCAACAACATGAATGAATCTCAGGGAATTAGACTAAGCAAAAGAAGTATGACACAACAACAGCAACAAAATATACGTAAAGAAAAAAAAGAAGCTGACACAACATACTTTATGATTACATGGGATTTATATGAAATTCTAGAAACAATACTATACTAATACAAAGCAGATCAGCAGACCCATAACATCTTAATATTCACCCCGAACACTGAGAACAAAACAAAGATGTCTACTCAACAATGTACTAGAAGTACTCGCCATAACAATAGAGCAAGAAAAAAAAGGTATGCTGACTGGAAGGGAAGGAATTAAACTGTCTTTATTCACAGACATGATCACCTATATATACAATCCTAAGCAAACTACATAAAAGCTACTAAAATTAATTTAGCAAAGTTATAATATATTAGGCAAAAATACAAAAATCAACTGTATTGCTATATACTAAGAATAAATTATTCAAATTGAAATCTAAAATCCAATACTATTTATAATCTCATTAAAAAATATGGAACTGGCTGGATGTGGTGGTTCATGCCTGTAATCCCAGCACTTTGGGAGGCCGAGGCAGGTGGATCACCTGAGGTCAGGAGTTCAAGACCAGCCTAGCCAACATGGTAAAGCCCTATCTCTACTAAAAATACAAAAATTCTCCCTCTCCCCTCCCCTCTCCCCTCTCTCCCCATGGTCTCCCTCTCCCTCTCTTTCCACGGTCTCCCTCTGATGCCGAGCCGAAGCTGGACGGTACTGCTGCCATCTCGGCTTACTGCAACCTCCCTGCCTGATTCTCCTGCCTCAGCTTGCCAAGTGCCTGCGATTGCAGGCGTGTGCCACCACGCCTGACTGGTTTTCGTATTTTTTTGGTGGAGACGGGGTTTCGCTGTGTTGGCCGGGCTAGTCTCCAGCTCCTAACCACAAGTGATCCGCCAGCCTCGGCCTCCCGAGGTGCAGGGATTGCAGACGGAGTCTCGTTCACTCAGTGCTCAATGGTGCCCAGGCTGGAGTGCAGTGGCGTGATCTCGGCTCGCTACAACCTCCACCTCCCAGCAGCCTGCCTTGGCCTCCCAAAGTGCCGAGATTGCAGCCTCTGCCCGGCCGCCACCCCGTCTGGGAAGTGAGGAGCATCTCCGCCTGGCCGCCCATCGTCTGGGATGTGAGGAGCCCCTCTGCCTGGCTGCCCAGTCTGGAAAGTGAGGAGCGTCTCTGCCCGGCCACCATGCCATCTAGGAAGTGAGGAGCGCCTCTTCCCGGCCGCCATCACATCTGGGAAGTGAGGAGCGTCTCTGCCCGGCCGCCCATCGTCTGAGATGTGGGGAGCACCTCTGCCCTGCCGCCCCGTCCGGGATGTGAGGAGCGTCTCTGCCCGGCCACCCCGTCTGAGAAGTGAGGAGACCCTCTGCCTGGCAACCGCCCCGTCTGAGAAGTGAGGAGCCCCTCCGCCCAGCAGCCACCCCGTCTGGGAAGTGAGGAGCGTCTCCGCCCAGCAGCCACCTTGTCCGGGAGGGAGGTGGGGGGGTCAGCCCCCCGCCCGGCCAGCCGCCCCATCCGGGAGGGAGGTGGGGGGGTCAGCCCCCCGCCCGGCCAGCCGCCCCATCCGGGAAGTGAGGGGCACCTCTGCCCGGCCGCCCCTACTGGGAAGTGAGGAGCCCCTCTGCCCGGCCAGCCGCCCCGTCTGGGAGGGAGGTGGGGGGGGTCAGCCCCCCGCCCGGCCAGCCGCCCCCTCCGGGATGGAGGTGGGGGGGTCAGCCCCCCGCCCGGCCAGCCGCCCCGTCCGGGAGGGAGGTGGGGGGGGTCAGCCCCCCCGTCCGGCCAGCCGCCCCGTCCGGGAGGGAGGTGGGGGGGTCAGCCCCCCGCCCGGCCAGCCGCCCCGTCCAGGAGGGAGGTGGGGGGGGTCAGCCCCCCGTCCGGCCAGCCGCCCCGTCCAGGAGGTGAGGGGCGCCTCTGCCCGGCCGCCCCTATTGGGAAGTGAGGAGCCCCTCTGCCCGGCCACCACCCCGTCTGGGAGGTGTACCCAACAGCTCATTGAGAACGGGCCATGATGACAATGGCGGTTTTGTGGAATAGAAAGGGGGGAAAGGTGGGGAAAAGATTGAGAAATCGGATGGTTGCCGTGTCTGTGTAGAAAGAGGTAGACATGGGAGACTTTTCATTTTGTTCTGTACTAAGAAAAATTCTTCTGCCTTGGGATCCTGTTGATCGGTGACCTTACCCCCAACCCTGTGCTCTCTGAAACATGTGCTGTGTCCACTCAGGGTTGAATGGATTAAGGGCGGTGCAAGATGTGCTTTGTTAAACAGATGCTTGAAGGCAGCATGCTCCTTAAGAGTCATCACCACTCCCTAATCTCAAGTACCCAGGGACACAAACACTGCGGAAGGCCGCAGGGTCCTCTGCCTAGGAAAACCAGAGACCTTTGTTCACTTGTTTATCTGCTGACCTTCCCTCCACTATTGTCCTGTGACCCTGCCAAATCCCCCTCTGCGAGAAACACCCAAGAATGATCAATAAAAAGAAAAAAGAAAAAAATAAATAAATAAATAAAATAAAATAGAAATACAAAAATTAGCTGGACATGGTAGTACATGCCTGTAATCCCAGCTACTGGGGAGGCTGCAGCAGGAGAATGAGGCAGAGGTTGCAGGGAGCCGAGATTGTGCCACTGCACTCCAGCCTGGGCAACAGAGCAAGACTCCATCTCAAAAAATATATATATATGGAACTTACTGATAAATCTGACAGAAGCTTTATAAGATCTGTATACTGGGGGGACCTCCTCTTTTGGCTTTGGAGCCCCCTCCCTCTGTCTCTGTACCAGGGAGCTTCCTCTTTCTGTCTTCTCCCTTCACTTGTCCCTTCACTTCTTATCTATTAAACCTTCTGCTCCTTAAAACCACTCCACGTGTGCCCAAGTCATTTTATCTAAACTGGCATGAGGACCAAGAACCCTGGTGTTCCCCCACTCATTAGAGCCGTATCATTTTGGTGCATGGGCCAGGAAAGGAAATTCAACCATCAGAGTGGTGGGTATGGAATGGATTTCAACTTTAAATCTGTCCTTTAATTTCAAGGCTCTCTTCCAGCTACCCTGTCGCCAAACTTTCTTTCTCTTTCTATCCTCGGTCTCTTACCCTCTCTCCGTGTGTCTAACATGCAGGAGTCTTTACAGTTCAGGGAAACAGGTATGTTAGAAAAGATTGTGAATCACGGCAGGCAGTAATTCAATAAATGTCTCTCTCTCTCTACATTCTGGCAAACACATGGTATTCCTAAGCCACCTAGTAGAAATCAGGCTGTAGGCCTCTTCTGGGAACAGGAAGTTTCTGCTTTTAACAGGAGTAAAATGTCTTCCGTAGACAAATTTTTGTCTCAATATTGTCCCACTGACAGGAAAATGACCATTCGGTTCCTACATTCCTTTAAGCCATCTATTCTGGCTCCTATTAAGATGGTACTTAATTAGTAAGGCGATTTTAAGTTCAGAAGTTAACCGGAACCGTTCTTCTATGGGTAAATGCTTTAGCATGGGCTATGAAAATACCACACTTGTGGGAATTGCTGTCCTCACTCTACTATTTGCAATAGGGTTATACATGGTAGCACCTTCTAACTGAAATATTAGAGAGTTTCCACTGCTGTAATATTTTGCTTAATTATTATCCTTATAGCAGGGATAATAGTTGACAAAAAGGAAGCATGAAAGTTTCACTATCGCTGAGTCCGCTAGGACTTTTTATTGGGTTTAGTAAAGCAGTTTTAAACGAAACATGCTGCTTTGGGATTAACACCTCTAGTAAAGTAGAGGAAAATCTACAGGTACTTAAAAATCAAAATTATTGACAGGCTCAGGGAAAATGCCAGATTCAGCTCCAAGTGGCTACAACCCCTCTTTAATAAATTCCAGTCTTCTTTATGGAATTGGTTAACCCCTTTACTAAGCACTCTCTTGCTTATACGTCTTGTACTAATATTTGGACCCCGTATAGTTAATACTATCACTCGAAATATTTCTTCTCGCCTAGAAGCAATCAAACTCCAAATGGTGCCATAAACTGAACCACACATGGACAGGCCAGCCATTCCTCCGAAGACCCTTGGATCAACCCCAGAAGGAGCCCTAGCTGCTGTTTCCCATTCCACGCCCCTTTTCAGCAGGAAGTAGCCAGAAAGAGTCATCGCCCAAAACCCCCTAACAGTTAGTGTGGCATCTCCACAGGGGATAATGTTATAGGAAAAGGGGTCCTTGGGAAGTTTTCGTGGTTTTTTGTTTTGTTTTGAGACGGAGGCTCGCTCTATCGCCCAGCCTGGAGTGCAGTGGCGCGATCTCGGCTCACTGCAAGCTCCGCCTCCCGGGTTTATGCCATTCTCCTGCCTCAGCCTCCGGAGTAGCTGGGACTACAGGTGTAGGCCACCACGCCTGGCTTTTTGTATTTTTAGTAGAGACGGGGTTTCACTGTGTTAGCCAGGATGGTCTCGATCTCCTGACCTCGTGATCCGCCCACCTCGGCCTCCCAAAGTGCTGGCATTACAGGGGTGAGCCACCGCGCCGGGCTCGTTTTTTTTTTTTTTAAAGCATCTCTGGAAAAGTTTCTCGTAAAGCCTCAGCTCTTAGAGCCAGGCCAACAACCTTTGATATGCAAATGCAGGCCATTAGAAAATGGGTCCACCCAAACATGGAGATTGCCTCAGCCTTCTTGCCCTTTCCCCACAAGTTCCTGGCAACATGGCCTCCCCCACATATCCCCACGTGTGTAGAACATCATAGCGCCCCTGCATTTGCATATTAAAAGGCCAGGGTGGGAGGGTCAGCTTTTTCACGGGCTACGCGAATGATTTGTTGAGTCAAACCAATCCCGAGCCCTATGCAAATCAAACACTGCCTCCTCCAGCCGCTGCATATATACCTGGCTGGTATCTGTGGCAGGTGGGGACTTCCTCTTTTGGTTTTGGAGCCCCCCTCCTTCTGTCTCTGTATGGGGGAGCTTCTTCCGTCTTCTCCCTTTCTTTCTGCCTATTAAACTCTCTCCTTAAAACCACAAAAAAAAAAAAAAAAAAGGGCCGGGCGCTGTGGCTCACGCCTGTAATCCCAGCACTCCCAGCACTTTGCCGACGCGGGCAGATCACGAGGTCAGGAGATCGAGACCATCCTGGCTAACATGGTGAAACCCCGTCTCTACTAAAAATACAAAAAATTAGCCGGGCGTGGTGGCGGGCACCTGTAGTCCCGGCTACTCCGGAGGCTGAGGCAGGAGAATGGCGTGAACCAGTGAGGCGGAGCTTGCAGTGAACCGAGATCGCTCCACTGCACTCCAGCCTAGGAGACAGCAAGACTCCGTCTCAAAAAAAAAAAAAAAAAAAAAAAGATCTGTACAATGGTAACTACAAAACACTGCTAACGGAAACTAAATAAGACCTAAATAAATGAAAAGATATACAATGTGTTCATGGAAGCAAAGGCACAATACTGTTAAGATGTTGATTCTCTCCAAATTGATCAACCGATTCAATGCAATCACAATCAAAATCTCAACAGAAATTTCACAGAAATAAGCTGATTCTAGCAATTATATGGAAATGCAAAGGGCCTAGAATAGCCAAAACAACTTGAAAAGGAATAAAGTTAGAAGAATTACTCTATCTGATTTCAAGACCTCCATAATCTATATGGTATGGTGCCTGAGTGTTGGATATGAGTTCTAAATTTCTCTTCAAAGAATATGTCAGTATGTTCAATTCTTTGCCTTCTACTTTTAAACTTAACTTCCCTGTAGAGCAACCTTTTTTGATTACCTGTTCCACTCTGACTTATTCTGATTACCTGCTCCACCCTGACTCATTGTTCATCTTGACTCATTCCTGTTTCCTGCTCTGCCACAGCCATTTTTCCCGCCAAACCACTCACCCCAACACTTTCTTTAAATTAGCCAATCGGAATTAGCTTAGCCTGTGCAGTCTAACCCTAGCCAATAGGGGAACGACACAGCAGCAGAGGCCACGTGCGTCAGGAATAAGAACCCCTTCTCCTCCCTTGTCCAGGTGTGCGCTCACCATTGCTCCATCTGTGAAGGTGCATCCTTCTATAAGAGTAAATTGCCTTGCTGAGAAAAAAAAAAAGAAAATCTTATATTCGAGTGCTATTTCTTTTGTGGCACCGAAACTTTATACAAATTTGGGGGCTTGCCTGTGATTACATTCCCCTCCGGGGGCGGTCTCTGGTTCTCTCTTGTGAGGAGGTGCACCCCGCCCCCTTGTGGCGGCCTCAGGGGTGACAAATCAGGACCCACGCAGTGCGACGAATAAGCTGAGCTCTCAGCAAGGCGGAAAGAAACTGGCCAGCAACCTAGGTAAAAGATCTTCACATACTGCGGCGACGACTCTGTGCACACACCAAGGAAGGAGAAGCCGTGGGAGCCGGTAGAGTACTTCCTTGGTGGTCAAATTCTGAAGGGCTAAATGTGTATGTGCGTGAATGATCACAAACAACCGTACTTGCGGTGTTGTTCGTGTAGATGATGACAAGTCCTACTGCTGGACAGAGTGAGTGGGTGCCCTCTGCGTTCCATAGCTACCTCATATGGCTTAGGGCAGATCCTGCCGTGGGATTTATACCAGCACACCAACGCTAAGAGGGGCCTAATTCTCCCTCAGGGGAGCAGCCAGAGAGGACAACACAAGTTCAGTGAGCGCAAAGGACCTTCAGAGGGGGAAAGGGAGGAAACAGGTCAGCCTTCCAGGGCAGCAAGGCAAGACACTCCCTAGTTTGAGGGTTTGAGCCTTCCAGGGCAGGCAAGGCAAGACAAGACATCCCTAATTTGAGGGTTTGAGCCTTCCAGGGCAGGCAAGGCAAGACATCCCTGGTTTGAGAGGTTGAGTCTTCCAGGAAAGCCAAGACAAGACACCACTGGTTTGAGGGGTTGAGCCTTCCGCAAATTTCAGGGGGTTGAACCTCACACAAACCTCCGGTAGTAAGGAAAATATTCAGAACTCCCCTTTCCTTTCTTCTCAGGGGAAGAAAGAGTAGCTCCACTCCTGCCGGTTCCTCCCCTAGGGGAAGGGCAAGGAGAGGGGAGAACAGCGGCATAAGTGGCTGGCAGAGGCAGGGAAAGACCAGCAGAGGAAAGAGAGAGAGGCAGAGAGACAAAGAGGGAGTCAAAGAGAGAAAGAGAGAGACAGAGTCAGAGAGAGAAGCAGTAAAGAGAAAACAGTGTACCCTGTTCCTTTAAAAGCCAGGGTAAATTTAAATTTAAAACCTCTAATTGATAATTGAAGGTCTTCTCTGTGACCCTGTAACACTCCAATACCACCTTGTTGTCACTGTAAACAAGGGTGTAGCCCGAAAGCACTGAGGCCACTGACAACCTGTAGCCTTCCTTTTTTTTTTTTTTTTTTTTTTTTTTTTTGGCCAGGCACAGTTGCTCACACCTGTAATCCCAGCACATTGGGAGGCTGAAGCCGGCGGATCACAAGGTCAGGAGTTCGAGACCAGCCTGACCAACATGGTGAAACCCCGGTTCTACTAAAAATACAAATATTAGCCAGGCGTGGTGGTGGGCATCTATATAGTCCCAGCTACTTGGGAGGCTGAGGCAGGAGAATCTCTTGAACCTGGGAGGCAGAGGTTGCAGTGAGCGAGATTGTGCCATTGCACTCCAGCTTGAGCAACACAGCGAGACTCTCTCAAAAAAAAAAATTTTCTGTGGAGACAAGAGTTTTGCCACATTGCCCAAGCTGGTCTTGAACTCCTGGTCTCAGGCAATCCTCCCAAGTGGGCCTCACAAAGTGCTAGAATTACAGGTGTGTGCCACCATGCCTGGCTCCAAATTTCTTAACCTGATATTCAGTTCTTAATCACCGTCTTTTTATCAGTCTTTCAGACTAATTTCCCTTGGTTTCAGACATACTGTTTTTTCTCCATCTTCTCCCTTGTTTCTCCACTGCTTTCTAGTCTAGTTGTTGGGCCCATCTCAGGTACCATCTAATGTAGGTAAATTACCAGAACACCAAAACTAAAAATATCATTTTTTTTTTTTGAGATGGAGTCTCGCTCTGTCACCCAGGCTGGAGTACAATGGTGCAGTCTTGACTCACTGTAGTCTCGGCCTCCCAGGTTCAAGCAATTCTCCGGCCTCAGCCTCCTGAGTAACTGGGACTACAGGCACACGCCACCACGCCTGGCTTTTCATATTTTTAGTAGAGACAGCATTTCACCATGTTAGCCAGGGTGGTCTTGATCTTCTGACCTCAAGTGATCCACCCGCCTCGGCCTCCCAAAGTGCTGAGATTACAGGCGTGACCCACCGTGCCTGGCTTTTTCTTTTTTTTTTTTGAGATGGAGTCTCGCTCTGTCACCCAGTGTGGAGTGCAGTGGCACAATCTCGGCTCACTGCAACCTCCACTTCCCAGGTTCAAGCGATTCTCCTGCCTCGGCCTCCTGAGTAGCTGGGATTACAGGTGCCCGTCACCACGCCCACCTAATTTTTGTATTTTTAGTAGAGATGAGGTTTCACCATGTTGGCCAGGTTGGTTGCAAACTCCTGACCTCAAGTGATCCACCCACCTCGGCCTCACAAAGTGCTGGAGTTACAGGCGTGAGCCACCGCACCAGTCATTTCTTAGATGAATCTTAATTGTTCGTGTGCATGTGAGTCAGTACTTCTTGATTGGTAGCGTGGATTCAAATTGTCTATTTCTTGAAGGTAAGGAGTAATCCTTTTATAAGCTTTAAAAATCCTCTATTGGCCAGGCATGGTGGCTCACCCCTGTAATCCCAGCATTTTGGGAGGCCGAGGCAGGTAGATCACCTGAGGTCAGGAGTTCGAGACGAGCCTGACCAACATGGTGAAACCCCATCTCTACTAAAAATACAAAAGTAGCCAGGCTTAGTGGTGCATGCCTGTAATCCCAGCTACTCGGGAGGCTGAGGCAGGAGAATCTCTTGAAAACCCGGGAGGTGGAGGTTGCAGTGAGCCGAGATCATGCCATTGCACTGCAGCCTGGGCAGGCAACAAGAGCGAAACTCTGTCTCAAAAAAAAAAAAAAAACAGAAAAAGAAAATCCTCTATTATTTTTTTCAATTATGTTTCTTTTTTTTTCCCCCAATTTAATTTATTTATTTTGAGGCAGGGTCTCCCTCTGTTTCTCAGGCTGGAGTACAGTGGTGAAATCATGGCTCATTGCAGCCTGGAACTCCTGGACTTAAGCGATCCTCCCACCTCAGTCTCCTGAGTGGCTGGGATTACAGGTGCGCACCACCATGCCCAGCTAATTTTTTTTTTTTGGCAGAGACGGGGTCTCCCTATGTTGCCCAGACTTGTAATGAACTCCTGGACTCAAGCAATTCTCCCACCTCGACCTCCCAGAGTATTAGGATTACAGGTGTGAGCCATCATGGCTGGCCTGGATGTGAAAGTTTTTAGAATTCAACCCTCGAGTCAGTTTTTCTACCTGGAAATGGAGTTAAAATTAAATATTCCTAGGGATTTGCTTGGGACCTGTGTCTCCCTCACAGAGTTGTCCCAGGAAAATCATATCAGCCTTAGAGTACATTCCATGTTTTCTAAATTGCCCTAGGACTGGACGATCCTTCTTTACATCATTTAAATGTTTTTATTCAGTACCACTGTTTTTCAAAGAATTGTGCTAAGTAATGTGACTGTTAGAATCCCTTTGTGATCTAGGAGTTTATAATCTAGTTGAAAAATAAATGTAATTGGCCAGGCGTGGTGGCTCACGCCTGTAATCTCAGCACTTTGGGAGGCCGAGGCAGGCAGATCACCTGAGGTTAGGAGTTCGAGAACAGCCTGGCCAACATGGCAAAAACCCGTCTCTACTAAAAATACAAAAATTAGCCAGGTGTAGTAGCGAGCACCTGTAATCCCAGCTACTAGGGAGGCTGAGGCAGGAGAATCACTTGAACCCGGAAGGCAGAGGTTGTAGTGAGCCAAGATCGTACCACTGCACTCCAGCCTGGGCGACAGAGCAAGACTCCTTCTCAAAAAAAAAAAAAAAAAGAAAAAGAAAAAAGAAAAAAAGAAGAAAATGTAATTGCATCAACATAAGCAGGTGGTTCACAAGTTCAGAGGAAGAAAAGTCCTTTTCAACTGGGATTATTAGCGAATACTTGAAGAAGATGGAATAGATCTAAAGGGAATTAACTGCTGCTTCAGTTTCTTCTCTTTCTCATCTCTTTTTACTCTGTACTGTTTCGTTATAGTAAAAAATATTATAAGGTAATTTTTTTGGGGAGGAGACGGAGTCTCGCTGTCACCCAGGCTGGAGTGCAGTGGTGCTATCTCAGCTCATGGCAACCTCCACCTCCAAGGTTCAAGCAATTCTCCTGCCTCAGCCTCCCGAGTAGCTGGGATTACTGGCATGTGCCACCACGACTGGCTAATTTTTGTATTTTTAGTAGAGATGAGGTTTCACCATGCTGGCTGGTCTCAAACTCCTAACTTCAAGTGATTCATCCGTCTAGGCCTCTCAAAGTGCTGGGATTATAGATGTGAGTCACTGCACCCAGCAAATTTTTTTTTTTTTTTTTTTAAGACAGGGTCTCACTCTTGCCCAGGCTAGAGGGCAGTGGCGTGATCTTGGCTCAATCTCTGCCTCCTCAGTTCAAGCAATTTTCCCACCTCAGCCTCCCGAGCAGCTTGGACTACAGGTGTGTGCCACTATGCCTGGCTAATTTTATTTTTGTACT
The DNA here is from genome assembly GCF_000001405.40 of Homo sapiens. NCBI lineage: Eukaryota > Metazoa > Chordata > Mammalia > Primates > Hominidae > Homo > Homo sapiens. The sequence goes on along the minus strand of NC_000020.11, from coordinate 47,516,762 downwards.
TTTTTGTAGAGACAGGGTTTTACCATGTTGGCCAGGCTAGTCTTGAACTCCTGACCTCAAATGATATGCCTGCCTCGGCCTCCCAAAGTGCTGGGATTACAGGCTTGAGCCACTGCACCCAGCCTGCTTGACTGCTTGGAACCTTTGTTTTTTATTGTCTAAAATTCGAAACTAAACTTCACATGGAGCTCCCAAAGATTTTCATAATCTGACTATTAATTTTCATTTCAACCACCATCTTTCTAATTCTATGTGTGTATCTTATTTATATGTCAGTTGCTTGATAGTCTAGACCCTTGCTCTGTCTTCTACCCTCTTATTCCAATAAAATTCTCTTCCCTGTGTCCTGATCTATATTTCAGTTCCTATTCCTGGGTAGAAAAGATAAAAGCTGCCATTTATTTTTTAACACTTTATTTTGTTAGAGGCGTTTTAGGTTCACAGCAATATTGAACAGAAGATACAGAGATTTGCCATATACCTCCTGCCCAAACCCATGTGTAGCCTCCCCTATCACCATCCCCCCACCATCTTGATACATTTGTACCTACACTGAGGCATCATTATCATCCAGAGTGTGTAGTTCACATTAGAGTTTACTCCTGGTATCGTGCATTTTATGAGTTTGGAACAATTTATAACAACATGTATCTACCATTATAGTATCTATCATACAGAGTAGTTTCACTACCCTGAGTACTGTGCTCTGTCTACTCATTCTTTCCTCCCCACTAACTCCTGGCAACCACTGATCTTTCTAGTGTTTCCAAAATTTTGCCTTTTCTAAGATGTCACATAGTTAGAATCACACAGTATGTGGCCTTTCCAAATTGGCTTCTTTCACTAAGTGAAAACTTAAAGTTTTCTTCACATCTCTTCATGAATTGATAGCACATTTCTTTTTAGTACTGAATAATATGCCATTGTCTGGATATACCACAGAAAAGCTACCACTTATTGATTGATGATAATATTGGTATTAAGGCTGAGGGCAGTGGCTCACGCCTGTAATCCTAACACATTGGGAAGCTGAGGTGGGCGGACCACTTGAGGCCAGAAGTTCAAGACCAGCCAACATAGTGAAATCCCGTCTCTACTAAAAAATAAAAAATTAGCTGGGAGTGGTGGTGCATGCCTCTAGTCCCAGCTACTCAGTACGCTGAGGCATAAGAATCGCTTAAACCCAGAAGGCAGACTGCAGTGAGCCGAGATCATGCCACTGTACCCCAGCCTGGGTAACAGAGTGACCCAGTGACCTGTCTTAAAAAAAAGAAAAAAAAAAAAAAAAAAGAAAGAAAGAAAAAGCTCGGGTGTGGTGGCTCATGCCTGTATTTCCAGCACTTTGGACTTTGGGAGGCCGAGGGGGGTGGATCACGACATCAGGAGTTCAAGACTAAGACAGTGAAACCCCATCTCTACTAAAAATACCAAAATTAACCAGGCATGGTGGTGCGCGCCTGTAGTCCCAGCTACTGGGGAGGCTGAGGCAGGAGAATTGTTTGAACTCAGGAGGCGGAGGTTGTGGTGAGCGGAGATCGTGCCACTGCACTCCAGGTGGGCAACAGAGCGAGACTCCATCTCAAAAAAAAAAATTTTTTTTAAATATATATATATAGCTATTAAAAGTTACTATTTGTGTGTCTGTCCCTGGGCAGTGTTAAATGCTTAATATACATTATATCATTCATAGTCCCGGTTTTTCAAACCTCTTTTGCTGTAGAATTTTTTTTTTTTAACACAAATGAAATCTTATACAAAACACTATTTAAAATACAAGAGGCTGGGTGTGGTGGCTCATGCCTGTAATCCCAGCACTTTGGGAGGCTGAGGCAAGTGCATCACCTAAAGTCACGAGTTCAAGACCAGCCTGGCCAACATGGCAAAACTCTGTCTCTGCTAAAAATACAAAAATTAGCCAGGCATAGTGGCAGGCACCTGTAATCCCAGCTACTCTGGAGGCGGAGGTTGCAGTGAGCTGAGATTGCACCACTGCTCTTTAGCCTGGGTGACAGAGCAAGACTCTGTCTCAAAAAAAAAAAAAAAAAAAAAGCAAAAAACAAAACAAAACAAACAAACAAAAAAACAGCACACCTGTGATCCCAGCACTTTGGGAGGCCGAGGTGGGCCAGATCACTTGAGGGCAGGAATTTGAGACCAGCCAGGCCAACATGGTGAAACCCAATCTCTACCAAAAATACAAAAAAAAAATTAGGTGGGAATGATGGCACATGCCTATACACCCAGCTACTCCAGAGGCTGAGACATGAGAATCGCTTGAACCTGGGAGGTGGAGATTTCAGTGAGTCAAGATTGTACCACTGCACTGCAGCCTGGGCAACAGAGACCGTCTCAAAAAAAATAAAAAAAGATTTGTTACAAGTTTATTTTTGAAATTTATACTGTTTTTTCAGTTATAAAAGTAGTGAGAATGAGACTGTTGTGATATGTAGAAAATTTGAAATTGGGTTATGAAGAACTGTTATGGACCTAAATCCATCTCTGCCTCTACTTTATTTCTATATTAAGAAAATGTTGATAAATTAAAAAAAAAATTCAAAAAAATAAAAGTAAAAAAATAAAATCTTCTGATACTAGAAAAAAAAAAGAAAATGTTGACTTAAAGAGAGTTGCAAATGGTCTCAGTTAAGAAAATACTTTTTGAAATAAATTACAGGTACACATCAGATCAATTTAAAAGTTATCAGAGGGTATACAGTGGCCGTCCTTTCTTAGCTGCCTCCTTCCCTGCCCTGGAACCATTGTTACCCTAGTCTAGGTACATATACATGCATATAGTTTAAAGTTTTTAAGTTTAAGCATTTCGCCTATATTTTTGGCAAACTTTAAATTGATGTATAATATATTTATGGAAGGGCACAAGTACAGCTTGCTAAATTGTTATAAAATGAACACACCTAAGTAACTGGCACTCAAGAGCCCTGCTTTGCACTGTACATACTTTAAAAATGATCTTGGGGAAGGATTCATATCAGTTTGATTTACAGTTGCTTATAATTTTTTTTTTTTTTTTTTTTTTTTTTGAGACAGAGTCTTGCTCCATCGGGCTGGAGTGTAGTGGCGCGATCTTGGCTCACTGCAACCTTTGCCTCCTGGATTCAAGTGAGTCTCATGTTTCAGCCTCCTGAGTAGCTGGGATTATAGGTGTGTGTCACCACGCCCAGCTAATTTTTGTATTTTTAGTAGAAACCGCATTTTGCCATGTTGGCCAGGCTGGTCTCAAACTCCTGGCCTTGAATGATCTGCTTGCCTCAGCCTCCCAAAGTGCTGAGGTTACAGGCTTGAGCCGCCTCGCCCGGCTAATAGTTGCTTAGAAATTTCTAATAATTACACTGCATTCCATTGTATGGTTATATCATGATTTATTCAGTTTCATATTATTTCAAACAAAACTGGAAGTAAATATCCTCATATGTATTTGATGGTAAGTAAGCAGCTTCTCTGCGTATTTGTGTATAGGGTAGTGTGTGGACCTAAGCTTGTGTTTCTCTTGGGGGGAACCCAGAAGTAGAATGGCTGGGTTATATGCTAAGTGTATAATATTTACAAGTTTATTTTATTTTTTTTAATTTTTTTGAGACAGAGTCTTGCTCTGTTTCCCCAGCTGGAGTGCAGTGGTGGGATCTCGGCTCACTGCAACCTCTGCCTTCTGGGCTCTTCTCATGCCTCAGCTATTCTCATGCCTCAGCCTCCTGAGAAGCTGGGGTTACAGGCACACACCATCACATCTGGCTAATTTTTTGTATTTTTAGTAGAGACCAGGTTTTGCCATGTTGGCCAGGCTGGTCTCAAACTCCTGATCTCAAGTGATCCCCCACCTCAGCCTTCCAAAGTGCTGGGATTACAGGCTTGAGCCACTGCACCCAGCCAATATTTACAAATTTAAAGAAACTGCCCACTGTTTCTCAAAGTGATTGTACCATTTCACATTTCTCCTAGCCATGTATCCACGTATGATACAGTTCTAGTTGTTCCACATCCTTACCAACAAACGGTATGGTCAGTCTTTTTAATGTTACCCCTCATAGTGAGTGTATAGTGGTATCTCATTGTAGTTTTCAGTTTCCCTAATGGCTGATGTTGAGCATCTTTTTTCGTACTTACTTGCCACTGGTGTACCTTTTTTCTGTGAAGTCTCTGTATATATCTTTTGTGTTTTTTTTTTTTTTTTTTTTAGTGAGACAGAGTCTCACTCTGTTGCCACGTTCGAGTGCAGTGGCGCTATGTCGGCACACTGCAACCTTCGCCTGCCGGGTTCAAGCAATTCTCCTGCCTCAACCTCCCGAGTAGCTGGGACTACAGGCATGTGCCACCATGCCCGGCTAATTTTTTATTTTCAGTAGAGACGGTGTCTCACCATGTTGGCCAGGATGGTCTCGATCTCTTGACCTCACGATCCGCCCGCCTCAGCCTCCCAAAGTGCTGGGATTATAGGTGTGAGCTACGGGGTCCAGTCTCTTTTGCCTATTTTTAAGTTGGATTGTTTTTATCTTATTGAGATGTAAATTAGTTATTTTTTCTAGAAGAAAAACTTTTTTTGTGTTTATATTTTGTTTTTTGTAAAAATTATTTTATTATTTCCTATTTTTTTTTCATAGGATGGGGTCTCACTATATTGCCCAGCCTAGTCTTTAACTTCCGGCTTTAAGCAGTCCTCCTGCCTCAGCCTCTCAAAGTATTGATATTATGGGCATGAGCCCCTGCACCCAGCCTGATTTTTTTTAATTTGTATAAATTTATGGGGTACAAGTGTAATTTTGTTACATGCATAGATTGCCTAGTGGTGAAGCCAGGACTTTTAGGGCATCATTTACTCAAATCACATACATTGTACCCATTAAGTAATCTCTCATCATCCCCCTCCTCACCCTTCCTAGTCTCTTGTCTATTATTCCACACAATATGTCCATGTGTAGCATAGTTCCCACTTATTTTATTTTGGAGACGGGCAGATCATGATGCCAGGAGTTCAAGATCAGCCTGGCCAACAAGGTGAAACCCCGTCTCTACTAAAAATACAAAAATTAGCTGGGTCCACGTGGTAGTGCTGCCTGTAACCCCAGCTACTCGGGTGGCTGAGGCAGGAGATTCACTTGAACCGGGGAGGTGGAGGTTGCGGTGATCTGAGATAGCACCAGTGCATTCTAGCCTGGGTGACAGAGCAAGACCGTCTCAAAAAAAAAAAGAAATATATATATATATATATATATATATATATATCTCGAGAGAGATACATATCTCAGCTATATATCTATATAGCCAAGAACACGCCACTGCACTCCAGCCTGGGTGACAAAGAGAGACTCTGTCTCAAAAAAAAAAAAAAAAAAAAAATTAGGCATGGTGGTGGACACGTGTAGTCCCAGCTACTTGGGAGGCAGAGGCAGGAAAACCGCTTGAGCCCTGGTGGTCAAGGCTGCAGTGAACCATGATCATGCCACTGCACTCTGGCCTGGGCAACACAGTGAGACCCCCATCTCAAAAAAAAAAAAAGAAAGAAAGAAAGAAAATGTTTAAATCTTATTCTTCAACATGCTGTACCCTGATGGCCTGGATCAGTAGTAGTCCCTTGCCTCCTCTGAACTTCTCTACAATCTCTATAGGCAAAACCGACTTATCACTGATTGCCTTGTACTGAAGTGATATGAGTACCTGATTGATTGTGCACACTTGGAGGTCACAAACTTTGTTAACTCTCACAGTTCCTTAAATAGTAAAGGCATAATAATCACTGATTAAGTATGTCTGTGCATGGAAGAGTAGGCAACAACAACCAAGCAGCAGCAAATTAAAGATGATTGAAGTTTAAGGCCTCAAGACTTAGAAGAGTGGTATGAAAACTAAGTTTAAGAAAACTCACTATACTGGGCACGATGGCTCACATCTGTAATCCCAGCACTTTGGGAGACCAAGGCAGAAGGATCGCTTGATCCCAAGAGTTCAAGACCAGCCAAAGACACACCTTCTATACAAAACTTAAAAACATCAGCCAGGAGTGGTGACATGTGCCTGTAGTCACAGCTACTGGGAGGCTGCGCTGGGAGGACCGCTTGAGCCCAGTAGGTCAAGGCTGCAGTGAACTGTGATGGTGACACTACACTCCATCCTAGATGACAGAGCAAGACCCTCTCCAAAAATTGAATTAATTTTTAAAAGTCCCATGTGGATGACTATATTGTGATTTGGGGGAAAGAAAAGGGAAACTGAAGGTTACTGGGCAAGTTCATGCTTACAGGTTTGCCAAATCTTAGAACCCATACACTCAAGGCTTCTACCATTCTAGATATGATCGTGTACTTTTTTTTTTTTTTTGAGATGGAGTCTTGCTCTGTCACCCAGGCTGGAGTGCAGTGGCGCGATCTCAGCTCACGGCAACCTCTACCTCCAGGGTTCAAACGATTCTCCTGCCTCAGCCTCCTGAGTAGCTGGGATTACAGGCACCCGCCACCATGCCCAGCTAATTTTTTTATATTTTTAGTAGAGACGGAGTTTCACCATCTTGGCCAGGATGGTCTCCAATTCCTGACTTCGTGATCCACTCATCTTGGCCTCCCAAAGTGCTGGGATTACAGGCGTGAACCACCACTCCTGGCCATGACTGTGTACGTTTAAAGTCGCTTTCTGGATTCCATTTTATTGATTCCTGATGAAAGTAGTTTTAAACTTAATATGGTAACAGTCCTGTCTTATTATATGACAAAGATATCACTGACCCTCCAATGATGCAAGATGTGTAGAGTTATTTTTCTCACTGGTGGAGTTTCTTCACTGGTAGATTTTCCTATATGTAGTCAACTACTGTTCCAACTGCGGTGAAGACAACTACCTCAATTGAGATTAACACATTGTCATAAAACACAATTACCACCAAGCAAGTAAAAGGAAATAGATGAGCTGGGATGGAACACAGAGTGTGTAGTAGACTAAAGGGACAATTTGATAAACAGTACTGAGTAACTCTTATAACATTTTCAAATAAAATTGCCAAATTTTTTTAATAGAGATGGGGGGGTCTTGCTATGTTGCCCAGGCTGGTCTTGAACTCCTAGGCTCAAGCAAGTCTCTGGTCTCAGCCTCCCAAATTGCTGGGATTACAGGCAGGAGCCACTGCACTCAGCCCCAAAATTGCCAAATTTCAATCTGGAAACAAACTCAAGCTGATATAGCTACTCCACAAGATGACTTAAATAATCCATTTCAACGACAGCAATTTCACTGAGAGTAAAGAAAGTAACACTTGCTTTTCTTACACGAGAAGGAGGGGACTGAAAATCCCTCTCTCTCACACACACACACTTTTACCCAGTTATAGCATATACTGTGATGAAGTCAGGCGATTAAAGTCCCTTTTGAGACAGGGTCTCACTCTGTCACTCAGGCTGGTGTGCAATGGCACAATCACAGCTCATTGCACCCTCAACCTCCTGGGCTCAAGTCATCCTCCCAGCTCAGTCTCACATGCGGCTGGGACCACAGGCGCACATCACCATGCCCGGCTAATTTTTTTTTCCTATTTTTTATAGAGACAGGATCTTACTTTGTTGCCCAGGCTGGTCTCAAATTCCTGGGCTCAAGTGATCCTCCTCTCAAAGTGCTGGGATTACAGGTGTGAGCCATGGGACCCAGCCTCTAAATTCTTTATAAGTCAGCACTGAAAGCTGCATCTAACTTCACACGGTTATCTGGTATAAAGAGCTTAATTCATTTATGTTCAATCAACAAAATTTAAGTAAAAGAGCATTGTACATATCTACATAATGCCTTAAGTTTATAGAATTGTATAAAATAAGGAACCTTGGAAAACCATACAGAGCACCCTTTGTTTTAAAATTTTAAAAACTGGCCAAGAGAGATTGATTTGTCCAAAGCTTATAGCACATGCTTACAAATTATTCTGAACTCTGCCCTAGGTAAGTCTTCTTTTCAAAGTAACAAGCTAACAAAATATATTGATCAGGTACCAAAAAGGAAAAAAAGGTTTTCACATGTAGATTTCTTTTTAATCAAAGTTCTGTTTTGAAACTGAACATATGATCATGCTGCTCTTTCCACCAACAGCAATTAACTTTCATTTATAAAAATGTCAGTTTAGGACATTTCTATTATGATACACATTTTCTTTCAAAGTAAAATAATATGGCTTTAGATTTCATTTAAACAGAAGGGCAAAGAATATTTACTCCAAAAGTGCCCCCTTTTTTGTTAAAACCCTTTCTTCCCCTCCCCATGCTTTCTCTTCTTTTGTACTAAAGTTCTCAAATGCATGAGATGGAGGAACAATACCACAATACAACTGCAGGCTTCCTGCCTACTAGTCAGTCATTATTCTTCAGTCTTGAGAATTTTCAAAACACTGCTTGGGTTGCTTTGAAATTCCTTCTTTCAGATTTTCCCTCCTTCATGGAACATCTATTTAAAAGAATGACTTCAAAAATGTCTTGCTGCACCCAATCCAAATTCTCTAAACAAACTAAAAATGCTAGCCTTAGATATGAAGGTGGGATGTAAATGCCTGAAGCTTGGCAAACACCAACCTAATAAAAGTACAGGACAGAAAGAAGTATATTTCTGGCCAAGCATAAGAACAGTCTTTTTCTTATATGTATATAAATTAAGCTTGTTTCTGAAAATTTTCATATTTATATGGATAGTATCACGAAGTTAAAAACTACATCATTACTATCCCTTTTTTTTAAACAATACAATTTATAGACCTAAAAATCTCAACCTACATTGATAGCTGAGGAGAAAGGGGCTAAGTCAATTATTACTGACTTAAATTTCACACTAAAATGATGTATATTCATTTATTTTTTAAAAGTTGTTGGCCAGGCGTGGTGGCTCACACCTGTAATTCCAGCACTTTGGGAGGCCGACGCGGGCAGATCACCTGAGGCTGGGAATTCGAGACCAGCCTGACCCACATGGAGAAACCGCCATCTCTACTAAAAATACAAAATTAGCCAGGTGTAGTGGCACATGCCTGTAATCCTAGCTACTCACGAGGCTGAGGCAGGAGAATCACTTGAACCTGGGAGGCAAAGGTTACAGTGAGCCAAGATCGTGCCATTGCACTCCAGCCTGGGCAACAAGAGTGAAACTCCATCTCAAAACAACAACAACAACAACAACAAAAAGTTGTTGGGTGCTCTAAGGATCAGGGTTAAATTTAAAAATATATATACATGTTGTTGGGGACAGAAAAAATTAACAGCACCAGTCACCTGCAAACCTGGGGAATTTCCCATTCTTCTGACCACACTTAGATGGTGGTAGTACTTACTAACAAACTAATTAGGTTGTCGACATAAACCAAGAGCTACTCAAAACATGGTGTGGAGGGGTGATATACATGCTCTGCCACTGCCCAGCTCAACATGCTTTCTTTTCTTTTTAAAGGTAAAAGCATTAAAGATGGAAGGTTCATGAACAACTTGTCAAATTGTTACAATAAATGGAAATTTTTCCAAAATCTCTAACACCTCTAACAAAAAGACTGTTTTAAACAATATTTAATAAAGTCTAATCCCAGTACAACAAAATAATTTGGCCAGTCCCCTGGAGTTCGTTATAATGGGATTTAACCTGTACACTCAACATTCAATTAACCATAAGGCTTATCCTAATTGAGGATTATGCTGACTTCTGCAGTCCTTTCCCATCTATCCATCTACCACGCCAACTCAGCTGCCATAGCCACCAAAGCAAAGCCCCAGGAAGCAGATTATCCATTACTGTGTGATACCCAGGCCAAGATTCCCTTTTCATCATTATGTGGCTAATCAATAGTTAAATTCAGTAATCTAGTCACCCTGGTTTCCAAAAAGTGAAGCTGCATAACCCTCATTCATAGCCTCTAACCAAGGAAATTAAACATTTCAACAGAATACCTTTTCATAGGAATAACAGATGAAAAATGTCACACCCTTTCCTAGAACATATCAATAAAAAAATTAACAGAAAATTTAAAAAAAAAGACACAGATGTTCCTAACAAAAATATTTTAAAAGCCAAACAAAATAGACACTAGTCCATTTGCTCTTGGAATATTACTTTAAATGGGTAAAACCTGTTTGCCAGTCAGGTCCGACTCCTTTCCTTTGCCTTTAGGCCACAAAGTTTACTACACAGTTAGTTAAATAAACCCTATTACTGCCCCCCACTGTAAACTGACCTAGGCTGGCAGTACCTACCAAACTGAGTTAATGCTAACAAAGTTTGGTACTGGCAGTATGCAGCCTAAGAAGATTATCCAGTTTGTGGATAAATCGGCCTTCTACACACTGCAGGTCTCCCATCCTACTCCTGCTGTGTATTTTCTGGCCATTTTCCTGTTCATTTAAAAACTCTCCACCAGAAGGTAGGAAAGGGAAAGGCAATTAAATTCAATTCCATAATTTGTTAGGGGGCTGAAAATAAAGTTAGGCTCTGGATAAATTGCATCTTTAACCTAAAATAATCTTCTCCCAGAAACCCTCTCAGAAAAATGATAGACAAAATGAATTTACCTAGTAAAAACATGACCAAACTCATGGAATATGCCTCATTACCACAAAGCCCCTCCTCCACCTTAATTCTGAAGTGTTTATTTTGTAACCCCTCCCCAACCCCAAGAAGCACTCATAAAATGGGAGAAAATGGGCCGGGAGCGGTGGCTCACGCCTGTAACCCCAGCACTTTGGAAGGCCAAAGCAGGAGGATCACTTGAGGTCAGGAGTTCGAGACCAGCCTGGCCAACACGATGAAACCCCATCTCTACTAAAAATACAAAAATTAGCCGGGCATGGTGGCGAGCGCCGGTAGTCCCAGCTACTCGGGCAGGGGCTGAAGCACGAGAATCGCTTGAACCTGGGAGGCAGAGGTTGCAGTGAGCCGAGATCATGCCACTGCACTCCAGCCTGAGCAACAGAGTGAGACTCTGTCTCAAAAAAAAAAAAAAAAAAAGGAGAAAATGCCTACATTTTACTGCAGCACTCAATCTCAAAGCTATTCCTGAGAATCCAAACCAATATAGTCCCCTTGTTTTTCAATTTTTTGAAGTATGAGAAAAAAATAAGAAAAAGTTAACATACATTTCCAATACTAATTTTCTGCTCTCAGAGCTTTAACCGCTCAGTAATGCAAAAAACAAATATTTATACCAAGGATATGAACCAAACTGCTACAGGTAATCTCTTCAATCATGATCAACAAGTCTTGTTTTTTTTCTAATCCTAGATAGCTTTACAGGGTAACAACTGTATTAAATTGTGACAAATTTGCTGTTGTAGACCAAAAGTCACTGGCGGCTAATATGCATTCTAAACTTGCAACAAATTAAAAGTTTTCAAAAGTACTCTACCTCCTCTGGCCAAAGTGTGAAATTATATAGTTTTTAAAAAATGCAGGCTGGCGTGATGGCTCACACCTGTAATCCCAGCACTTTGGGAGGCCAAGGCAGGTGGATTACCTGAGGTTGGGAGTTCGAGACCAGCCTGGCCAACATGGTAAACTTTGTCTCTACTAAAAATACAAAAATAGCCGGGCGTGGTGGTGCGCACCTGTAATCCCAGCTACTTGGGAGGCTGACACAGGAGAATTGCTTGAACCCAGGAGGCAGAGGTTGCAGTGAGCCAAGATCGCGCCGCTGCACTCCAGCCTGGGCAACAGAGCAAATTTCCTTCTCAAAAAAAAAAAAAAAGAAAGAAAAGAAAAAAAAAAAACGCCCCTGCCCGCAAAAAAAAAAAAAAAAAAAAAAAAAACCAAAAACCCAAAGCCATTTATTTTAACCATCAATTTGGGATAGGACAATAGCAGAGTTTTTAAATCTTACCCTATTGTCCAAACTAAAATTTATTTTTTAATTTTCTTTTAAAGACTTTTCAATTACAGTACTCCAAGTTAAAATGAATTATTCCAGAATCATACTGCTAATGCACAAGACAGAATTTTTTTTTTTTTTGAAACAGAGTCTCATTCTGTTGCCCAGGCTGGAGTGCAGTGGTGCAATCTCGGCTCACTGCAACCTCCGCCTCCCGGGTTCAAGCCATTCTTCTGCCTCAACCTCCTGAGTAGCTGGAACTACAGGTGCTCGCCACCACGCCCGGCTAATTTTTTGTATTTTTAGTAGTGAAGGGGTTTCACCATCTTTGCCAGGCTGTTCTCAAACTCCTGACCTCGTGATCCACCAGCCTTGGCTTCCCAAAGTGCTGGGATTACAGGCCTGAGCCACTGCAGCCCGGCAGAAAGAACTGAATTCGTTAAAAAAAAAAAAAAAAAAAAAAAAAGACACACTTAGCTTTTATCTTTAATGTAATGTCCCTGCAAGAAAGCTTATTTCAAAAGACCAGTCAAGAAGACATTAGTAAGCAACCATTTTTAAACTACTTTTTATTTGCATATCGCCTAGAAAAAGGGTCTCACGTACAACAGTACTTCACTCCTTACTGAATTCTATTTTATTTGCTCGGGAGGTGCGTGGCACTTTTTAGAAATAATTTTTATACAGAGAAGGAAATGCACAGCATAATCATTTTCAAAATACAGTTAAATTATTTAATATAATCTTTAATAACCTAGCTCTAATATCACTGAATTTCCTTAGCAAATTGTTAGTGTTGGCAAGCTGTTAAAACAACCATTCTAAAATATAAAAATATAAATCTCGCTATTGATGCTTAAGTTGTACATTTTCAAAGCCTTTGTAATTAAATATCTTATGGCAGAAATATTTCCTATAACTGCTCTAGAAATATTACAGCCTCCCGCTTAGTCCACAATCCCCATCTTCTATATGCCAAAAGCTGGTATATGCCTCTTATTTCAAATGCTGATTGGACAATTAAGTCATTTCCATCTATACATAAAATGCCCCTATAATTTAGGATCACAGGCAATTTAGATTTCTGCTCATTGAAATGCAGAACCTGAAGCAACCTCTAGTGACAGGAGCTATAGTGTTCAATATCATTTTACATGTTACAAGCAGAGGATTCATTGTACATACAAACAATGAACCCTGGCAGAGTTCTTTATCCTAAAGCCCCACAGATTGTTATTTAACGGTATTAATAGATAAGGTGACATAAGCAGTAAGTTCTGAAGAGCTTTTTCCAATAGCTATCAACATTTTTTTTAAGAGAGCAAAAACAGTATTCCCACATTTTCTGTTTCTTCTGTTCATTTTATTTCCCTGCTTTTGGTATCCAACAGAAGTGGTTTCAAATGAAAATCTTAAAATAATTATTCCAAAGACCAAGGATATTCTAAAAACCAGTAACAGTCTTTGCCTCTGAGAAGGGGAAACTGTAGGGTTTGGCGTGAAAGAGAGATTCACTTTTCAATGTGTTTGTACCTTTCCAATTGGATATCATTCGGTAGAACCATATTCTAAATGAGCATACATTTAAAATATTTTCAAGAACAAACAATTCACAAACTTACAGGTTTCCATTAACATTTTCGTTTGTGCAGCATTCGCTGAAGACCTAAGATTTTTATTCCTCCAATCACCTTCTCAACAACCTGCTGCAACAAATACTGAAGCTTTTTTGCAGCCAGGGATCAGTTAGGTGGATCCGAGGCCAGGCATTTAAATCAAAGAGATGCAGCAATCTTACTCAATACTACTACCACTCTCACGCATCTCATTCAACTCCATTTAAAACCACTGCAGCAAGACAGCTGGTACTCTCCTTCCTGTTTCTTTACCGTACAGGCTTAATAACAAAAACAGGTTGGTTTTGAAGCCCTGCTCAAATATTGCAAAAAGGAAGTCTTCGCATTCGGGAGGGGGAAAAAAGTTTCGACTTCGAGAGAATCTCATAGCTTCCGTGTCATTCCATTTGGGAATCCCAGATCCTGCCAGTGAGGTAGATGCTCGCTCTCTCGGTTAACTTTTCCACCCTAGATGCCCTCAAACTGCCTAGGAAGCAACTAAGTCTCCCAACGACCCATGGCTAGTTTTGTTAAGGCAGGTACAAGACAAGCAGTTTATTTAAACCATGACGAACTGGGTCGATGTTCATAAAATGAGAGATGGGGAGAGCAAAAAAAAAAAAAAAGTAGTAATAAAGACAGCCAAACTCCTAATTTTATCAACCAACTTCCCACTTGCCATTTCCCAGCCTTCACACCAGAGGTAGTAAAACGCCTTTTTACCGAGAAAACTAAGAAGCTACCCGAGCCCAACATGAAAATTCCGCGGACAATTCGTGTTAAAATATTTTTTAAATGCCCAAGTGAGGAGGAAACACAGCAACCAAATCTCACCCGGCTGGGAGGCTGGGGTGGGGGGGGTCCCCGCGGCTTTTCCCTCCCGTGCGTCCCAGAAGCTGCTAAGGAGCCGGGGCAGCAGGAGGACGACGCGGGGAGCTTTCAAAAGGGCTGGGGGAGGCAAGAGGAAGAAAAAACTTTAGGGACAGAAGGGGAAAGTGGGCCCCTGCAGTCCCCCCGCAAACTCCTCGGGTGACCCCTCCGCGCGGGGACCCCCTCGGATCCCCAAGCGGACTGCCACCCAGCTTCGTCTCAGCTCCTACCGCCGCGGGCCGCCCCCCGGGCTGAGGGGAAGCGGCGCGGCCCCGACACCCCGAAACTACCTCAGCGCGTCCCCCGGCCGGCGCGCCCCTCAGTGCCTTGGCAGATCTGAAGCCGCTGGCTCTCGCAGCCTGGGGAACTCGCCCCTCTTCCCTCCGCCTCGCACTCCACCCCCTCGCCCGCCACCGCCTCCTCCTTTATCTCCACTCACCTCCCGCCGCCATTTTCCTCGCAGCTCAGCTTTAAATCGGAAACTCGCCGCTCAGCCCGCAGCCGCCGCCGGCCGCCACCGACTAAGCCGCAGCCGCTGCCGTCGCTGTGGAGCGGCTGAGACAGCAGCAGCTAAAGTCGCCGCACGGGGGCCACTGGGATATGTAGTCCCGAGGCCACGCCCAGCACTACCGGTCCCAGGGGGCCTTGCGCGGCCGGCCTAGGGTTCCAGCGACCCCCACCCTGGCTTCCGCGGCGGAGGGCGTGGCGACGTGGGCTCGTGCGGCCGCTTTCGCCCAGCATCGACTGGGAGCTCCCTCGGGATCCGGAGAACCGGAATGCAGTCCTAGCCCTGCCCTTAATTTTTTTCATATTTGCCTTCGTCCAGTAATACCTAACATTTGTGGAGCGTTTCTGGTATGCCAAGCACGGATCCTCAAAACAAGCATCCGGTAGGGACCATGATCATCCTCATTTTTCAGATGAGCGAACTGAGGCACAAGGTCGGAAGCCACGAGGCTGTTCCTTAGCTGCTAAAGTCACTGGGTGAAATGTTGTTGGGCAGCAGTATATTCAGGGTATATTTAGTCCCGAAGTATCATCCCACAGCGTATTTATGACTTACAATAAAGAACAGCTTGCTTTACAATGGAAAGATCTGGCAGGCACCCCCTTACCAAGTGATCGAACTTAGCACCACCAATAATGGGTCAGGACTGTTGTTATGTGTCTCCTAATATGATGCAGTGGGGAAAGCATATTGCTACCTCTGTCGTATTCTTGCCACATACACACAAAAAGCTTACTTGAAAAAATAAACGAATTCAGAATGTGGGACATTCTACACAACATCTAGCCTGGAGTCTTTTAAAATATGACAGCATGAAAGAGGTGAAAACCAAAAGCAATAGGTGAGACTTGATTGGATTCAGGATGATTTTTTTATGTAAAAAGAATTTGGGGGGCAATTTCAATGTGGACTGTATGTTAGATAATATTGAGTCAGTATTAGATGTGTTGAGTGTAAATAAAATAGAATAATCTGACCACTTACCACCTCCACGGTCAGCACCATCATTTCCCACCTGGACCACTGCAACAGCCTCCTCAGTGTTCTGCCTGCTTCCACTCTTTCCTCTTAGAGTCTATACTCAACACAGCAGCCAGAGGAATCCTGGTAAGAACCAAGTCAGTCTCTGTCCCTCCTGCAAAATTCTTGCAGTAACCTGCAAAGCCCCATACAGCCCGTCTCTTGCCCTGCCCTTCCCTCTCTAAACTCATCACCTTCTTCTCTTCCACTCACTTCTGTAACTCAGCTACAATGGACTCGGCCTCTCCAACGTGCTTAGCACACTCTGGCCTTAAAGATCGTGCACTTGCTATTTCCTCTGCCTAGAACAGTATTTTCCCAGAAAATTCAAATAACCCATTCCCTAATCTCCCCATGGTCATTGTCCAAATGTCACTTATTCAGTGAGGCTTTCCCTAACTGCTCTATTTTAACTTCCTGCCCACTCTGATCCCAGCTTTCCCTACTCCTATTCCTTTCTTCATTTATTTTCAGAGCATGAATTATCATTAAAATCATGATATATTTCTGTTTACTTATGTTATTTAAAATATCTCATTTTGGCTGGGCGCGGTGACTCACGAATGTAATCCCAGCACTTTGGGAGGCCAAGGCAGGCAGATCACCTGAGGTCGGGAGTTCAAGACCAGCCTGACCAATATGGAGAAACCCCGTCACTACTAAAAATACATAATTAGCTGGGCATGGTAGCACATGCCTGTAATCCGAGCTACTCAGGAGGCTGAGGCAGGAGAATCACTTGAACCTGGGGGCAGAGGTTGCGGTGAGCCGAGATGGCACCATTGCACTCCAACCTGGGCAACAAGAGTGAAACTCCGTCTCAAAAAAAAAAAAAGTAAAAATTAAAAAATTAAATATCTCATTTCTGGGCCGGGCACGGTGGCTCACACCTGTAATCCCAACACTTTGGGAGGCCAAGGTGGGCAGATCACCTGAGGTCAGAAGTTCCAGACCAGCCTGCCCAACATGGCGAAACCCCGTCTCTACTAAAAATACAAAAGATTAGCTGGGCATGGTGGCAGGCGCCTATAATCCTGGCTACTCGGGAGGCTGAGGCAGGAGAATCACTTGAACCCGGGAGGCAGAGGTTGCAGTGAGCCGAGATCGCGCCACTGCACTCCAGCCTGGGCCACAAGAGCGAAACTCTGTCTCAAAAAAATATATATATATATATTTCCACCAGGGCACAGTGGCTCAGGCCTGTAATCCCAACACTTTGGAAGGCCGAGAGATTGCTTGAGCCCAGGAGTTCAAGACCAGCCTTGGCAACAAAGCAGATACCCAGTCTCTACAAAAAATTTTAAAATTAGCTTGGTGTGGTGGCGCCTGCTTGTATTCCCAAGTACTCAGGAGGCTGAGGTGGGAGGATTGCCTGAGTAGGGGAGGTCAAGGCTGCAGTGAGCCATGCTTGCACCACTGCACTCCAGCCTGGGCGACAGAGTGAGACTCCATTTCAAATATATATATATATAAAATAAAAATAATAAAATAAAATACTGCGTTAGATGCTGAGAACCCAGAGATGAAATGCTCACACGTGTATGGCCTTTCACCTCAGCAACTGCACCTGTCTCCTAGCTACTCTCCTTGCTTCTCTCCCTTTCATCCTCTACAGGGCACTCCCAATACAGTAGCCAGAGGGATCCTTGAAAAATCATGTATTAAATCATGTTACTTCCAACCTAGGCCGGGTACGGTGGCTCACGCCTGTAATTCCAGCACTTTGGGAGGGCAAAGCAGGCAGATCACTTGAGGTCAGGGTTTTGAGGCCAGCCTGACCAATATAGTGAAACCCTGTCTCTACTAAAAATACAAAATTAGCTGGGCATGGTGGCACACACCTGTAGTCCTAGCAACTTGGGAGGCTGAAGCAGGAGAATCTCTTGAACCCAGGAGGCAGAGGTTGCAGTAAGCCAAGATCATGCCACTGCACTCCAGCCAGGGCAACAAGAGCGTAACTCCATCTCAAAAACAAAACAAAACAAAACAAAACAAAAAACTTCCAACCTAAACAGCTTCGAATGGCATCCCATTGCATTTGGGATAAAACTCAGACCCTAGTTGGGTGTGGTGGCCCACGCTTCTAGTCCTAGCTACTCAGAAAGCTGAGGTGAGAGGATTGCTTGAGCCCGGAAGTTCGAGGCTGCAGTGAGCCGTAATTGTGCCAGTGCACTCCAACCTGGGTGACAGAGGGAGACCCTGACTCCATTTAAGAAAACAAACTACTCTGACCCTAATTGATTTGGTCTCTGCTCCCCTCCCTGATCTCAGGTGATATATCTCTCCCTATATCTCACCCCATGTCACACTAACATTCCTGAACACACCAAGCATATTCCTGCCTCAGGACCTGTGCACCTGTTGTTCCTTTTGCCTAGAATTTTCTTTCCTCCTGGCTTGCTCTCTATTGCCATTCAAGTCTCTGCTGCAATGTCTCCTTCTCGGATAGAACTTCTAAAGCACTAAACACACACACAGGCACAAACACAGTCATATCACCCTGCTTTGTCTTCACAATGATTCATACCATACACCATCTGAATTTTTTTAGAAATTTTTTTTTTTTAGATGGAGTTTCACTCTTGTTGCCCAGACTGGAGTGCAATGGCGTGATCTCGGCTCACCACAACCTCCGACTCCCGGGTTCAAGTGATTCTCCTGCCTCAGCCTCCTGAGTAGCTGGGATTACAGGCACATGCCACCATGCCCAGCTAATTTTTTGCATTTTTAGTAGGGACGGGGTTTCTCCATGTTGAAATGCAGTGGCACAATCATGGCTCACTGTAACCTCAAACTTCTGGCTCAGCTGAATTTTTTTGAGACAGAGCCTTGCTCTGTTGCCCCGGCTGGGGTGTAGTGGTGTGATCTCAGCTCACTGCAATCTCCGCCTCCTGAGTTCAAGGGCTTCCTCTGCCTCAGCCTCCCGAGTAGCTGGGATTACAGGCACGTGCCACCACACTTGGCTAATTTTTGTATTTTTAGTAGAGATGGGGTGTTACCATGTTGGCCAAGCTGGTCTTGTATTCCTGACCTCAAGTAATCCAACCTCCTTGGCCTCTCAACATGCTGGGATTTACAGGCGTGTGCCACTGCGCCTGGCAAACATTGGCAGAGTTTGATGGAACCTGTAGGTGATCTTGTAGTGAGTGACATGTGGAAACACTGCTCTAGACTCAAAATCTAAGCCAAATGAGTGACACACTCTACAAGATAGTCTGTGTAGGTGCCCACTATCATTCTTTCCTGCTGTTTGCACAGGCCACTCCTACATCGAAAGGTAGGCTTTATTTCCTCTTCCTTGAACTGGAGTTGACTCTGTAACTGTTTGACCAATGGAAATAGTGGAAGTGATGTCATGGGACTTTCAAGTCTAGGCTTTAAGATGATTGGGGTGGCTCATGCCTGTAATCCCAGCACTTTGGGAGGCTGAGGCAGGTGGATCACCTGAGGTCAGGAGTTCGAGACCAGCCTGGCCAACATGGTGAAACCGCGTCTCTACTAAAAGTACAAAAATTAGCCAGGCGCCGTGGCACATGCCTGTAAACCCAGCTACTCTGGAGGCTGAGGAAGGAGAATCGCTTGAACCTGGGAGGCGGAGGTTGCAGTGAGCCAAGATTGTGCCACTGCACTCCAGCCCAGGCGACAGAGTGAGATTCTGTCTCAATAAAATAAAATAAAATAAAATAAAATAAAATAAAGATGATTGGCAGCTTACACTTTCTTCCTCATGGAACCCAGCTGCCAGATTATGGGAAGCCTAAGCCACATGGAGAGGCTACATGAAGTAAAAACTGAAGCACTCCACTTGGCAGCCCCAGCTGAGATTCCAGGCAAGAGCCTGCAGTAACTGTCAGCCATGCAAATGAGCCTTCTCATACATTTCAGTCCTTAGAGGCCCCAGGTGACTATAGTGTTGACCAGAACATTGTGAAAAAAAAGTTATAAAAAAGGAAAATAGGTAGTTTTTAAAAATAAAAATAAATGGCCAGGCGCAGTGGCTCATGCCTGTAATCCCAGCACTTTGGGAGGCCAAGGCAGGTGGATCATTTGAGGTCAGGAGTTCGCGACCAGCCTGACCAACATGGTGAAACCCTGTCTCTACTAAAAATACAAAATTAGCTGGGTATGGTAGCACACACCTGTAATCCCAGCTACTCGGGAGGCTGAGGCAGGAGAATCGCTTGAACCCAGGAGGCAGAGCTTGCAGTGAGCCAAGATCGCGCCATTGCATTCCAGCCTGGGCAACAGAGCGAGACTCAGTCTCAAAAAAAAAAAAAAAAGAAAAAAAACTAAATCATAATTAAATAATTTTTTAAAAAAAAGAACTGGAACAGAAGAACCATCCCACCAAACCTAATCAACCAAGAGAATCATGGGAGATAATAAAGATGTTGTTCTTTCAGCCACTAATCTTTACAGTGATTTACTATGCAGCAATGGATTATTGAAATACTATGTAAGTGTGAAGTTTTGTTGAACTGTGGCTGAGAACTTTTAATAGGTAGGAAGAATAATTTCAAATTCTGAAATTATTCCTCAATAAAATTGGCTTGACCTAGGGGACCCAAAGGCACAAATTCTCTGAGGATACGATTAGAAGGTCAACTAGAACAAGCCCTCCAAAAATGAAGAGATCCTGCCTACAAATATTTCTGAGTGCATGAAGCCTCTACTTACATGCTGCCCTGTGAACTTCCTCAAGGGCAGCTGTGCCAGTTAGGATTCTTGGGTTGCAAGCAACAGCAATAGACTTTGAAATGTAGCAAAATGATATCCAGGAACTCAAAGAATCAATGGGAAGTCTGGAGGGCCAGGTCGGAAATGTCAGAAACAAAGGGAAGAAAAGAAGAAAAGTAAAAGTGAATAAATAAAAAAAGAAAAAAAGATTTAAATAAAGAAAAAGAAAGCAAGGGAAGAGAAGATACTTGAAGATACTTGAACATCTTTTTCTTTTTCCTTTTTTTTTTTTTTTGGAGATGGAGTTTTGTTCTTGTGGTCCAGGCTGGAGTGCAATTGCACAATCATGGCTCACAGCAACCTCCGCCTCCCAGGTTCAAGCAATTCTCCTGCCTCACCTCCCAAGTAGCTGGGATTACAGGCATGTGCCACCACACCTGGCTAATTTTTGTTAATAGAGACAGGATTTTACCACTTTGGCCAGGCTGGTCTTGAACTCCTGACCTCAGGTGATCCACCTGCCTTGGCCTCCCAAAGTGCTGGGATTACAGGTGTAAGCCACTGCGCCTGGCCATACTTGAACATCTTATCTGAGACCAGCAGTAGATCTAGAAAAGACCACTCATTTTATCCTGTCCTCTCATTACCCTATTCCAAGATTCAAATTCCGAAGAGTAATCTGTTCAATTGATCTAGCTTGGGTCACATGTTTTATATGAAAGGAACTCCAGACCGGTAACAATGGTAACTAGCCTGCTTGCAACTTGCTCTCAAATGATTTAGGGAGAAAAAATGCACACACACAGGGAGAGAGAGTACAGATGAGCAAATATGGCAAAATGTGATCAATTAGTACGTTTAGGTTTAGGGTACACAGGTTTGTTTGGGGTTTTTTTGTTTGTTTGTTTTCAGGTGAAGTCTCACACTGTCATCTAGGCTGGGGTGCAGTGGCGCGATCTCTGCTCACTGCAACCTCTGCCCCCCAGATTTAAGCGATTCTCCTGCCTCAGCCTCCCGAGTAGTTGGGATTACAGGCACCTGCCACCAGGCCCAGCTAATTTTTTGTATTTTTAGTAGAGACAGGGTTTCACTATGTTGGCCATGCTGGTCTTGAACTCCTGACCTTGTGATCCACCCGCCTCGGCCTCCCAAAGTGCTGGGATTACAGACATGAGCCACCTTGCCCGGCCTTTGTTTTTATTTTTTGAGATGGAATCTCACTCTGTCACCCAGGCTGGAGTGTAATGGCACAATCTCGGCTCACTGCAACCTCTGCCTCCTGGGTTCAAGCGATTCTCTTGCCTCAGCCTCCTGAGTAGTTGGGATTACAGGCGTGCACCACCACGCCAGGCAAATTTTGTTTTTAGTAGAAATGGGGTTTCACCATGTTGGCCAGGCTGGTCTTAAAATCCGCCCGCCTCAGCCTCTGAAAGTGCCGGGATTACAAAAGTGAGACACCGTGCCCGACTGATTTTTTTTTTTTTTTTTTTTTTTTGAGACAGGGTTTCACTCTGCTACCCAGGCTGTAGTGCAGTGGCATGCTCACGGCTCACTGCAGCCTGGACCTTTTGGGCTCAAGTCATTTTCGTGCCTCAGTTTCTGTCCCTACTGCTATCTCCCACATTCTTCCCTCTTTCATTGTGTGAGATATAGCCAGATACCCTAATGGTTAAGAGTGTGGACTTTCCAGGAGTTCAAGACCAGCCTGGGCAACAAGGTGAGACCCCTGTCTCTACAAAATTAGAAAAATTATGGCCAGGCGCAGTGGCTCTGCCTGTAATCCCAGCACTTTGGGAGGGCCAGGTGGGCAGATGACTTGATCTCAGGAGTTTGAGACCAGCCTGGGCAACATGGCAAAACCCTGCCTATACCAAAAAAAAAAAAAAATTAGCCAAGTGTGGTGGCATGCGCCTGTAGCCTCCCAGCTACTCAAGAAGCTGAGGTGGGAGGATCACCTGAGCCAAGGAGGTTAAGGCTGCAGTGAGCCAAGATCGTGGGGCTCACGGTCTCAAAAATAAACAAATACATACAAACATACATAAATTAGCCAAGTATGATGGCATGCACCTTTAGTCCCAGCTACTGGGAGGCTGAGGCAGGAGGCTCACTAGAGCCAGGGAAGTCAAGGTGATTACACTCCACCCTGGAGTCCAAAAAGAGAAAAAAGAAAATGTGGGCTTTGACACTCACTGCCTAACCTGCTAAGCTGGTTCTGCTACTTACAAAGCTGTGTGATAGTGGCTGGTTATTTGAACTTTCTGTGCCTCCATTTCCTAAAGTGAGAACACTGATAATGATAATAATAGCAACAACAATAATGCTTATGTCATAGGGTATTATCAGGATTAAATAGAACAGCATAGTGAAAGCTCTAAACACAGTGTCAAGCACAGAGCACTCAAATGTTAATAATGATAATGTATGGCAGTTCCAAACTTGCTTCGTAGGGGTTAATATCCAAGGGTTAGTAACAATGTTCTCCTCCCTCACCCCACACCATATTTTGCTTCATGATAGTAATTACAGTGTGAAATTTCCCTGCAAGTGAAAATAGATTCCTTGGGTAGAAGCCTAAACCCTGCACATGCCTAAAACTCTGTTACGAAATACCTAATCTGAAAATGAGCTGGCACAGCCCCAAGCTCCACCCCCAGGCTGTACTCTGAACCACTTTTCTCCCTGGGAAGGACACACAACTGAGGGGGAAAGAGAGAGCAGAAGAGAGAGATCAAAAAATGCAATTTAGGGTAAACAAGTACTTGACTTCTTGTTTTGCTTAAAAGAGGGGAAAAACACCCCTGAGAAGAATCATATTTAAGACAAATTTTTGGAGATAAAGAGCAGCCTGAGCTTTACAACCCAGAGTTGCCTTATTCATGCCTCTTCCTTTAAACTCAAATCAGGGTTTGGTGACCTGTGATTTTTGTGCCAGAGATGACACATGCGCCTGTTGGAATTGGCACCTGGCCTGGCTGCAACAGACTTGTCCTGCTCCACAACCTGCAAATGACTCCACAGCTGGAAGAATTTGAAGCCCAGCTCATTTTTGTTTTGCTTTTCCTTTCTAGACTTACATATTAAACATATTTGCCTTGGAAGAAAAAATCATTTGCTATCAAATGCTTTAAAAGTACCCACTGTAAGAGGGCTAAAATAAAAATAAGGACTATGCTCATGTTGGCAGCACATACACTAAAACTGAAACAATACAGAGAAGATTAGTGTGGTCCCTGCACAAGGATGACATGCAAATTCTGTGAAGCATTCCAGTTTTGGGGTTTTTTTTGGTTTTTGTTTGTTTGTTTGTTTGTTTTTGAGACAGAGTTTCGCTCTTGTTGCCCAGGCTGGAGTGCAATGGCACAATCTCGGCTCACTGCAACCTCTGCCTCCCGGGTTCGAGCCATTCTCCTGCCTCAGCCTCCCAAGTAGCTGGGATTACAGGTGCCCACCACCAGGCCCAGCTAATTTTTTGTATTTTTAATGGAGATGGGATTTCGCCGTGTTGGCCAGGCTGGTCTTGAAATCCTGACCTCAGGTTATCCGCCTGCCTCAGCCTCCCAAAGTGCTGGGATTACAGGCGTGAGCCACCGTGCCTGACCCCAGTTTTTTGTTTTGTTTTGTTTTGTTTTTTAAGTGTTAACCACAATGTAGAGAAATTGAACCATTTGTACACTGTTGGTGGGACTGTAAAATGGTACTCCATTTCGCAAAATTGGTGGGCAGTTCTCCAAAGTGTTAAACAAAGAATTGCCATATGACCCATCAATTATACCCCTAAGTATATACCCAAGTGAATTGAAAACATATGTCCATGCAAAATCTTGTACAGTAACATCCTTAACAGGTTTGCCATGTAATTGATTGATAATAGCCACAGGGTTTTAACTTTTATGTTTTTAAAGCTAGAATCTTAACTTACCTTATACATTCACCCCTGGCATAGAACTGTTTGCATGCCCCAACATCTCTACTCCTTCCATGTTCCTACTCTGTAAGTACTAAATCACTGGAAGAGGGTTTATCCTCTCAAATAAGCTTACTGCCATCACTTTAAAACTCATTTTCTTTTTTTTTTTTTTTTTGACAGTTTTGCTCTTGTCGCGCAGGGTGGCGTGCCATGGCATGGTCTTGGCTCACTGCAACCTCTGTCTCCCAGGTTCAAGCAATTCTCCTGCCTCAGCCTCCTAAGCAGCTGGAATTACAGGCACCCACCACCATGTCCGGCTAATTTTTGTATTTTTAGTAGAGACGGGGTTCCACCATGTTATCTAGGCTGGTCTTGAACTCCTGATCTCAGGTGATCTGCCCGCCTCAGCCTCCCTAGGTGCTGAGATCACAGGCATGAGCCACCACACCTGGTCCCCAAATTCATTTTTTAAAAAAGGAAGTGTTTTACTCCAGGGCTGGAGTCAGCCAACCTTTATATGATGGGATACCAAGAGTCAGCCAAACTATATATGTTGGAATATCATGTAGTCAATGAAACATTATGAAGCTGTTTAACACTCAGCAGTTAAAAAAGATCTCCCAGATACTTCACTTTTAAAAAAAGTTGTGGATACATTGTAGGTGTATATATCAATGGAGTACATAGGATGTTTTGTTACAGTTTTGCAATGTGAAATAAGCACATCACAGAGAATGGGGTTCAGACACTTTTAAGTTAAAAAAAAAAGGTAAAGCAGTATGTATAATAGGCCTTTTTTTGTGTTACAAATATGTATATATATAGGCCAGACGTGGTGGCTCACGCCTGTAATCCCAGCACTTTGGGAGGCCAAGGTGGGCGGATCACCTGAGGCCAGGAGTTCGAGACCAGCCTGACCAATATGATGAAACCCCATCTTTACTAAAAAAATACAAAAATTAGCCGGCCATCTTAAAAAAAAAAAAAAAACCTACAAAAATTAGCCGGGCATGGCGGCGTGCACCTGTAATCCCAGCCACTCTGGAGGCTAAGGCAGGAAAATTGCTTAAACCCAGGAGGCAGATGTTGCAGTGAGCTGAGATCGCACCATTGCACTCCAGCCTGGGCAACAAGAGTGAAACTCCATCTCAAAAAAAGAGAAAGAAATACAAGTGTCAATACTGAATCACAATGTGAAATATGTTTGTTGCTGTTCTGCGATTCAGCCAAAGGCTTGAAGACACTGAGCTAGGAGGATGAATTTTTGGCCCCCACATTCTTTTTCATGACCTCAAACATATGGGCCAGGCTTGGTATATAGATCTGAGATCCCAATTCCTCTTAAGGGTAAAGTCAAGAGAGAAGTACTGCCAGTGGAAAGGCCATGGCTTCTGAGGTGGCCTTTTTGAGGAACTGACTTAACCCTTGCCTTTTTCTAGAGACAGATAAATGTGAGGTGTTGCCATTCTTCAGCAAATATTTTCCCAGCTTGGCTTAGGAGCTATTCTTACATTTTCTCTTTTTTTTTTTTTTTTTTTTGAGACGGAGTTTTGCTCTTGTTGTCCAGGCTGGAGTGCAATGACATGATCTCGGCTCACCACAACCTCTGCCTCCCGGGTTCAAGCGATTCTCCCGCCTCAGCCTCCCGAGTAACTGGGATTACAGGCGTCCACCACCACGCCTGGCTAATTTTGTATTTTTAGTAGAGACAGGGTTTCTCCATGTTGGTCAGGCTGGGCTCGAACTCCCGATCTCAGGTGATCCACCCGCCTCAGCCTCCCAAAGTGCTGGGATTACAGGAGTGAACCACCACTCCGGGCCCATTTTCTTTTTCTTTTTCTTTTTTTTTTTTTGAGACAGAGTCTTGCTCTGTCACCTAGGTTGGAGTGCAGTGTTACGAGATCTCAGCTCACCGTAACCTCCATCTCCCAGGTTAAGTGATTCTCATGCCTCAGCCTCCCGAGTAGCTGGGATTAAAGGCGTGTGCCAGCATACATGGCTAATTTTTGTTTCACCATGTTTGCCAGGCTGGTATGGAACTCCTGACCTCAGGTGATCTGCCTGCCTCAGCCTCCCAAAATGCTGGGATTACAAGCATGAGCCACTGTACCCAGACAATATTTTCTTTCCTTTCCTCCTCTCTTCCTCTTTCCTTTCTTTTTTCCTCCTTCCTTTTATTTTATTTTATTTTTTTTTTTTTTGAGACAGAGTCTCGCTCTGTCACCCAGGCTGGAGTACAATGGTGCAATCTTGGCTCACTACAACCTCCACCTCCTGGGCTCAAGCGATTCTCCTGCCTCAGCCTCCCGAGTAACTGGGATTACAGGCACATGCCACCACACCCAGCTAATTTTTGTATTTTTAGTAGAGACGGGGTTTCACCATGTTGCCCAGGCTGGTCTTGAACTCCTGACCTCAGGTGATCCACCCGCCTCGGCCTCCCAAAGTACTGGGATTACAGGCGTGAGCCACCGCACCCTGCCCTTATTTTTTATTTTATTAGAGACAAGGTCTCGCTCTGTCACCCACGCTGGAGTACAGTGGTACAGTCATAGCTCACCGCAGCTCAAACTATTCCACTGCTTCTCAGGCTCCTGAGTAGCTGAGACTACAGGCGCATACCACCACACCCAGCTAATTTTTAAAATTTTTTTGTAGAGACAAGGTCTCACTATGTTGCTCAGGCTGGTCTTGAACTCTTGGCCTCAAGTGATCCTTCCGCCTTGGCCTCCCAAACTGCTGCTTGCACTTTGATTACAGGCGTCAGCCACTGCGCCCAGCCTCTTCATTTATTTTTAACTTCTACAAAGGAAATGCGATGTAAGTCCCTCAGCCACCCACTTCCTCTTCCAGAGGAGCCACCATTGCCAATTTCTTAGGTATTATTTAAGAGATGCATTTACAAATAAACACACACACACACACACACGTATTTATATATATTCTTTTTTTTTTTTTTCTGAGATGGAGTCTCCCTCTGTCACGCAGGCTGGAGTGCAGTGGCGTGATCTCTGCTCACTGTAACCTCCACCTCCCGGGTTCAAGCAATTCTCCTGACTCAACCTCCCAAGTAGCTGGGATTACAGGCGTGCACCACCACGCCCAGCTAATTTTTTTAATTTTCAGTAGAGCCGGGGTTTCACCATGTTGGCCAGGCTGGTCTTGAACTCCTAACCTCAAGTGATCCGCCTGCCTTGGCCTCCCAAAGTGTTGGGATTACAGGCGTGAGCCACCGCATCTGGTCTATATATATATACATTTTTGTAACACAAAATAAGGCCTATTATACACACTGCTTTATCTCTTTTTTTTTTTTTAACTTAAAGTATCTGGACCCCATTCTCCATGATGTGCTTATTTCACATTGCATGCCTGTAACAAGACATCCTGTATACCCCATTGATATATACACCTACAATGTATCCACAACTTCTTTTAAAAGTAAAGTATCTGGGAGATCTTT
This sequence comes from Homo sapiens, assembly GCF_000001405.40. Classification (NCBI taxonomy): domain Eukaryota; kingdom Metazoa; phylum Chordata; class Mammalia; order Primates; family Hominidae; genus Homo; species Homo sapiens. The sequence continues at coordinate 47,488,883 of NC_000020.11, read as the reverse complement.
TTTAACTGTTGAATGTTAAGCAGCTTCATAATGTTTCACTGGCTACATGGTATCCCATCATATAGAGTTTCGGGGGCATTTAAAGGTTGGCTGACTCCAGCCCTGGAATAAAACACTTCCTTTTTTAAAAAATGAATTCGGGGACCAGGTGCGGTGGCTCACACCTGTAATCCCAGAACTTAGGGAGGCCGAGGCGGGCGGATCACCTGAGGTCAAGAGTTCGAGACCAGCCTGGCCAACATGGTGGAACCCCGTATCTACTAAAAATATAAAAATTAGCCAGGCGTGGTGGCGGGTGCCTGTAATTCCAGCTGCTTAGGAGGCTGAGGCAGGAGAATTGCTTGAACCCAGGAGGCAGAGGTTGCAGTGAGCCAAGACCGTGCCATTGCACTCCAGCCTGGGCAACAAGAACAGTGAAACTCCGTCTCAAAAAAAAAAAAAAAAAAGTAAAGAAAAGAAATAGTGTTTTAAAGTGATGACAGTAAGCTTATTTGAGAGGACAAACCCTCTATCAATGATTTAGTACTTACAGAGTAGGAACATGGAAGGAGTAGCCATGTTGGGGCATGCAAACAGTATCTATGCCAGAGGTGAATGTATAAGGCAAGTTAAGATTCTAGCTTTAAAAAAAATAAAAATTTGCCAGGCGTGGTGGCTTACGCCTGTAATCCCAGCACTTTGTGAGGCCGAGGTGGGCGGATCACCTGAGGTCAGGAGTTCAAGACCAGCCTGACCAACATGGAGAAAACCCGTCTCTACTAAAAATACAAAATTAGCCAGGGTGGTGGTGCATGCCTGTAATCCCAGCTACTCGGGAGGCTGAGGCAGGAGAATCACTTGAACCTGGGAGGCAGAGGTTGCAGTGAGCCGAGATCGCGCCATTGCACACCAGCCTGGGCAAAAAGAGCAAAACTCCATCTCAAAAAAAAAAATATTTTAAACCTTCTGGCTATTATCAATCAACTACATTGCAAACCTGTTAAGGATGTTACTGTACATGTCAGTCATGATGTCTGCCCCACTTACCCACAGACCCTTCTAAAGACAGAGCAGAAGTCACCTTCTTTGGTACCATGTGACTGGCAACTTCTGCTCACACCACAGCTGATTGTGTCAGACATGGGCATCAGCCCCAGGGGCAGCCAATGCATGGGCAGGGCAAGTGATTTATGAGATAGCTGGACCCAGAATATCTGGCCCAACAGGAACCAGGTTGACCTGTGAGATTGCCACCTGGGATGCATTTAAATTAGAAACTCCAGAGTAAATCAACTTGTTAAGAAAAGGATTTGAAGCTGAAGGTATAAAAGATATATGAGACAGGAGGGAGTAGGGTGGGAAATGAAAGAACAGAAACTGAATATTCAGAGCTAGGGGGTAGAGAAAAGAAACTAAAAAAAGCGCAAAGGTGGTCAGTTTCCAGCAATACAGCAGATTAGATAGCCTGAAACACTCAACCCCACCCGCAAAAACATCTGGAAATTCTGAGTAAAAGATAACAAGTACTCTTTTAAATGAATCACAGGGTTCACAGGAAAGAAAGGGAAATCCCCCATGTCAAAAAACAAAAATGGAACTGAAACCCAACCGGTAGTGTGAACTGATAGATACTATGCCAGAGGAGGAGGTGTCACGGGTCTCAGAAAGCAAAGACCTCCTAATGCAATGCAAATACAAGGGCAGGAAATCAGGCCTTGGGGCTCATGTAATCCAAAATTACAATATAGAAATCATCCTCCTGGAGCTAGGAGTCAACCCAGCAAGCAAAGGCGTACTTTCAGATAATAGCATGTTTGCACAAAAACCATCGAAAGATGAGCTAATAATTATTAAAGACACAAAAGAAGGTACCAAAATATGCAAACAGAATAATATCATAAAAAACAAAAAAAAACAAAAAACAAGCAGGTTTGATAAAGAACCTGGCTCAGGCCTGTAATCCCAGCACTTTGGGAGGCCGAGGTGGGCAGATCACGAGGTCAGGAGATCAAGACCATCCTGGTTAACACGGTGAAACCCCCGTCTCCACTAAAAATACAAAAAAATTAGCTGGGCATGGTAGCAGGCACCTGTAGTTCCAGCTACTCGGGAGGCTGAGGCAGGAGAATGGCGTGAACCCCAGAAGCGGAGCTTGCAGTGAGCCGAGATCGCGCCACGGCACTCCAGCCAAGGGACAGAGCGAGACTCCATCTCAAAATAAATGAATAAATACATAAATAAAATAAAAACTAATTTCTGGCCGGGCACGGTGGCTCACGCCTGTAATCCTAGCACTTTGGGAGGCCGAGGCAGGTGGATTGCCTGAGCTCAGGAGTTCGAGACCAGCCTGGGCAACAACGGTGAAACCCCGTCTCTACTAAAATACAAAAAATTAGCCAGGCGTGGCAGCATGCGCCTGTAGTCCCAGCTACTCAGGAGGCTGAGGCAGGAGAATTGCTTGAACCCGGGAAGCAGAGGTTACAGTGAGCCGAGATCACACCACTGCACTCCAGCCTGGGCAACAGAGTGAGACTCCGTCTCTAAAAAAAAAAAACTAATTTCTTTCTCTTTTTTTCTTATTTATTATTACTTTTTTTTTTCTAGAGACATGGTCTTACTCTGTAGCCTAGTCTGGAGTGCAGTGGTGCAATCATAGTTCACTGCAACCTCAAATTCTTGGGTTCAAGGGACCCTCCAGCCTCAGCCTCTTGAGTAGCTGGGACTATAGGCATGTGTCACCATGCCTGGCTCAGGACTCATTTATTGAATGACACTGTATACCAGACCTGTCCCAAGCACATGCCAATGCAGTTCCTATTATGAAAGCTTACAGTCCAGACTTGACAAATTCCCAAATGACTACCCTGGAAAATTTCAACCCCCATACTGGGCCTCAGTTTCTACGTTTGTGAAATGAGCAATTTAAACTCAATGTTTCCCCTAGTGTAGATGAGATTATTTTTGGTAAAATATTCGGGCACCATTAAAAAGCACTGTGGAAAGGAATCTCTCTTTCATTTTTTTTTTAAGTAGAGATGGGGGGGTCTCACGATGTTGCCCAGGCTGGTCTCAAACTCCTGGCCTCAAGTGATCCTCCCATCCCAGCCTCCCAAAGTGCTGGGATTAGAGCCGTGAGCTACCACACCCAGCCAGTCACCCCTTTTCCTTTCTTTCTTTTCTCTTCTTTCTTTCTTTCTTTTTCTTTCTGTCTTTCTCTCTCTCTCTCTCTCTCTTTCTTTCTTTCTTCTTTCTTTTTTTTTCGAGATGGAGTTTGGCTCCCATTGCCCAGGCTGGAGTGCAATGGTGCAATCTTGGCTCACTGCAACCTCTGCCTCCTGGGTTCAAGCGACACTCCTGCCTCAGCCTCCCGAGTAGCTGGGATTACAGGCACCACCACCACCCCTGGCTAATTTTTTTGTATTTTTAGTAGAGATGGGGTTTCACCATGTTGGCCAGGCTGGTCTCGAACTCCTGACCTCAGGTGATCCACCCATCTCAGCCTCCCAAAGTGCTGGGATTACAGGCTTGAGCCACCACGCCCGGCCTCAGTCACCCCTTTTTCAATCCTCTTCTAATTCTACCTCTAGTAGGAAGTCTCAGTGTGGTACAATCTCCTTTTCTGTTTTTGATTTTTTTGAGTCAGGGTCTTACTCTCTTGCCCAGGCTGGAGTGCAGTGGCACAATCGTGGCTCACTGCAGCCTCGACCTCCTAGGTTCAAGTGATCTTCCCACCTCAGCCTCCCAAGTAGCTGAGACCCCAGGCAGGTGCCATTATGCCCTGCTAATTTTTTTTTTTTTTTTGTAGAGACAAGGGTCTCCCTATGTTGCCCAGGCTCATCTCAAACTCCTGACCTCAAAATATTCTCCCACCTCAGCCTCCCAAAGTGCTGGGATTACAGGCATGAGCCACCACCCCCAGCCCAATCTCCTTTATGACAAAGGACAAGCAGATCTGGACCCTAAAGCCTGTACAGGCAACAGTCTCTAGCCAGCATGTAATCACATTGTGTTGTTTCACTGTCTTTATTTTTACTTCTAGCTCCCATTTATGGCAAGAGGTATAGGTTTTCTGCTTATGTATTGACATAAGGTTTCCTTTTGAAATAATATTTATATAGCTAAAAATAAGTGAACCGATGCAAGAAAAATGTTAAGTAAATAATATAGATGGTACAGATATAAAAATGCTAAATAATATAGACGATATGGCAAAAATCATAAAGATAGAACAGGAACAACTCCAGTTAGGCAAACACAGATCTATTTCACTCGGCCCATTTTGCAGGCATGAAACCTAAGGCCCAGAGCAGGTAATAGAATCTCGCTGACTCCGACATAGCAAGGAAATTGCAGAGGATGGCTGATTCAGAATTCATTAGACAGTCATGAACTTCAGGAGGTTCCAAGCCAGCAAGCAGGTCTGCCGGTCAGGTATGCAGATCCTGAATCCACAAGTGATTGTATTGCACCTTCCTTTCCACTTCGTCCCTGCTGGACAAGATTCATTCATTCAACAAATATTTATGCTCCCTGCTGCAGTACATATACTAAAATTGGAATAACACAAAGATTAGCATGGCCCCTGTGCAAGGATGACATGCAAATTCATGAAGTGTTTCATATTAAAAAAAAAAACAAAACAAAAAAAACAGTCCAGGCACAGTGGCTCATCCCTATAATCCCAGCAATTTGGGAGGCCAAGGCAGAAGGATCATTTGAGCCCAGAAGTTCGAGACCAGCCTGGGCAACATGGTGAAACCGCATTTCTACAAAAAATGCAAAAATTAGCTGGGAGGCCGGGTGCAGTGGCTCATGCCTGTAATCCCAGCACTTTGGGAGGCTGCGGCAGGCAGATCACCTGAGGTCAGGAGTTCGAGACCAGCCTGGCCAACATGGTGAAACCCCATCTCTACTAAAAGTACAAAAATTAGCTGGTCATGGTGGTGCGTGCCTGTAGTCCCAGTTACTCTTGAGGCTGAGGCACGAGAATCGCTTGAACCCAAGAGGTAGAGGTTGCAGTGAGCTGAGATCGCGCCACTGCACTCCAGCCTGAGAGACAGAGCAACAGACTCGGTCTCAAAAAAAAAAATTAGCTGGGTATGGTGGCACATGCCTGTAGTCCTGGCTACTTGGGAGGCTGAGGCCGGAGGAGCACTTCAGCCCAGGAGTTCCAGGCTGCAGTGAGCCATGATAGCACCACTGCACTCCAGCCTGGGAGACAGAACAAGATCCTATCTTAAAAAAAAAAAATACATATATATATATATATATATATATATATATATATATATATATGTATGTATACAAAAATTAGCCAGACTTGGTGGCGGGTGCCTATAATCCCAGCTACTGGGGAGGCTGAGGCAGGAGAATCACTTGAACCAGGGGACGGAGGTTGCAGTGAGCCGAGATTGCGCCACTGCACTCCAGGTTGAGCGACAGAGCGAGACTCTGTCTCAGAAAAAACAAAAACCAAAAAATCCCAGAGAAATATTTGTTGACATCCTGCCGTTTACCAGGCACTGTGCTAATTCTTAGGCATGTAATGGTGAGACACAAACAGCAACAGTCTCTCTTCTCAGGACTTTGTAATCCAGCGGGGACGGGGACAAAACATCAGTTAACACATACACAAAAGCAAGATAATTACAGATTGTAATCAGTGCTACAAAAAAAAAAAAAAAAAAAACAGCTTGTGACAGGCACAGAATAACCACAGAACTACTTATTTAACTAGTTAGTCTTGATGGTATTTATTTGTTAATTTACTTTGACCAGGTATAATGTGGTTCAAAATCCAAAAGGTACAAAAGATTTCTGGTAAAAATCTTTCTTCCACTCTTCCCTAGACACCCAGCATCTTTCCCTAGAGACAACAAGAGTTAACTGTTTCTTGTGTATGCTTTCAGAAGTAGTTGAATCATGTACAAGCAAAGGGCTATATATCTCCTGAATGGTAACATAGAGGCCAGGTGCAGTGGCTTATGCTTGTAATCCCAGTATTTGGGAGGCTGAGGTGGGAGTCATTGGAAGCTAGAAGTTTGAGACTGGCCTGGACAACATAGCAAGACCTTGTCTCTACAAAATTTTTAGGCCAGGTGCAGTGGCTCACGCCTGTAAACCCAGCAATTTGGGATGCTGAGGCAGGTGGATTACCTGAAGTCAGGAGTTCAAGACCAGTCTGGCCAATATGGCGAGACCCCATCTCTACTAAAAATACAAAAATTAGCTGGTGTGGTGGCACGTGCCTGTAATCCCAGCTACTTGGGAGGCTGAGGCATGAGAATCGCTTGAACCCGGGAGGCAGAGGTTGCAGTGAGCCAAGATTGCACCACTGCACTCCAGCCTGGGCGACAGAGAGAGACTCTGTTTCAAAAAAATAGAAATAAAAATGAAAAATAAAAATAGAAAAATTAGCCAGGCATGATAGTGCATGCCTGTAATCCCAGCTACTTGGGAAGCTGAGGCAGGAGAATCGCTAGAACCCAGGAGGCAGAGGTTGCGGTGAGCTGAGATCACGCCACTGCTCTCCAGCCTGGGCAACAGAGTAAGACTCCATCTCAAATAAATAAATAAATAAAAAGGTAACATGTATGCAATACGTACTTCCCACCTTACTTTTTCACCTACCAGCACATCTTAGACATTTCTTCACTTTCTTTAGGTAAGTAGATAGAAAAGGTAGCCTTTTGTCAAGCACAGAATTCAGGCTGGGAGTGGGGTACAATCCAGACAATTACAAGTACCAAGAGTTTGATATGTGCAGAAAGAGGAAGACGCCAGTAAACCTGAGCGTGATAAACAAGGCTCAAGAAGCAACGAGAATGCCAGACAGACAGGCAGGGTCTGGGCATGCAGGTTCTTGTCAGTCATAAAAGAAGTTTGCCGTTTATTCTAATTGCAGTAGCCACTGGATGTGTTTTTAACAGAGTGATATGATCTGACTTGCATTTTCCAACGATAACCCCTGTGACTGTGTGGGGAGTTGGGTCAAGACTGGGAGAGGATACCAGATGAGAAGTGGCTGCGGTATTCTAGGCGAGAGGGGATATGAGCTTGGGCTAAGACGATGTAGGAGAAAGGATGGGGGTTCAGGGTATATGTTGAAGCTAGACAAGAAAAACTTCAAAACAGATTAGATGTGGACAGCAAGAGAAAGTAGAGAATTGAACCCCTGGGAAGTGGACATTTTTAGGTTTTGTGGGTGACTTCATGTCTATAACTTGCTTTATGATACTTCAATATAATCAGTTTGTTTGTTTTTGTTTTTTGAGACAGTCTCGTCTCACTGTGTCACCCAGGCTGGAGTACAGTGGTGGGATAATGGCTCACTGCAGCCTCGATCTCTCTGGCTCAATCTATCCTCCCACCTCAGCCTCCTAAGTAGCCGGGACTACTGGCGCACACCACCAAACCTGGCTACTTTTGTATTTTTTGTAGAGACGGGGTTTTGGCCAGGCATGGTGGCTCATACCTGTAATCCTAGCACTTTTGGAGGACAAGGCAGGCGGATCGCTTGAGCTCAGAAATTCAAGACCAGCCTGGGCAACATAATGAGACTCCATCTCTACTAAAAATACCAAAAAATAGCCAGCATGGTGGTGCACACCTGTAGTCCCAGCTACTCGGGAGGCTGAGGTGGGAGGATTGCTTGAGCCTGGGGGAGAAGGTTGCAGTGAGCAACCTGCAGTGAGATTGCACCACTGCACTCCAGCCTGAGTGACAGCGCAAGATCCTGTCAATAGAAAAATAAAGGAAATAAAGGAAAGAAAGGAAAAGAAGAAAGGAAGGAAGGAAGGAAGGAAAGAAGGAAGGAAGGAAGGCAAAGAAGGAAAGAAAGAAAGAAAGAAAAAGAAAGAAAGAAAGGAAGGAAGGAAGGAAGGAAGGAAGGAAGGAAGGAAGAAAGAGAAAGAGAGAGAGAGGAGGGGAGGGAGGGAAGGAAGGAAAGAGAGAAAGAAGGAAGGAGGGAAGGAAGAAAGGAAGGAGGAAGAAAGGAAAGAAGGAGGAAGGAAGGAAGAAAGGAGGGAAGGAAGGAAAGGAAGGAAGAAGAGCTGAGAATTTGTATTTCTTTCTTTCTTTCTTTCTTTCTTTTTATGATGGGGTTTCACCATGTTGCCCAGGCTGGTCCTGAACTCCTGAGCTCAAGCAATCTGCCAGCTTCAGCCTTCCAAAGCTCAAGGTGTGAGCCACTGCACCCAGCCTAATCAGTTTGACATTATATAAATGTCAGTTTAAGCCAATGATTTTTTTGTTTTGTTTTCTTTTAACATACAGGGTCTCCCTCTGTTGTTGCCCAGGCTGAAGCGCAGTGGTGTGATTATAGCTCACTGCAGCCAAATTCCTGGGCTCAAGCCATCGTCCTGCCTCAGCCTCTCAAGTAGTTAAGACTACAGGTGCATGCTACCATGCCTGGCTACTTTTTAAATTTTTAGTAGAGATGAGGTCTTGCTGTGTTGTCCAGGCTGGTCTCCAACTTCTGGCCTCAAGGGATCCTCCTGCCTTGGCCTCCCAAAGTGCTGGGATTACAGACACAAATCACAACACCCAGCTCCCAGTGATTCTCTAAGTGTTATCTGTGGGCCAGAATCACTTGATTAGATTAGATTAGGTTAGGTTAGAAATACGAATTCTCGCTGGCACTGCGGGTCACGGCTGTAATCCCAGCATTTTGGGAGGCGGGTGGATCACAAGGTCAGGAGATCAAGACCATCCTGGCTAACATGGTGAAACCCCGTCTCTACTAAAAATACAAAACATTAGCTGGGCATGGTGGCACACGTCTGTAGTCCCAGCTACTTGGGAGGCTGAGGCAGGAGCATTACTTGAACCCAGGAGCCAGAGGTTGCAGTGAGCCGAGATCGCACCACTGCACTCCAGCCTGGACAACAGAGTGAGACTCGTCTCAAAAAAAAAAAAAAAAAGAATGTAGAATACAAAGATAATTAACCACCACTTAACAGTAATGGCCACATCAGCAAACTAAAATAGAAGTAAATTCCAGAATGTTTTGGAGACAGGTAAGAAACAAAGGGAGTGTTCTCAACAATGGAACCTTATCAGAAAAAGGGAAGCAATGCTAGACTTGTCTGGAACAGCCTCTTCTAGGTGTGGTTCCCCAGAGCCCTGGGAAAAACAGGCCTTATCTTGAAAAGAGGAAGGATTGGATGCAAGGAAGTTTGAAGCAAACAATGGCAGTTCAGGCCTTGTTGGAGAGAACTGAGTTGTGTGCAAAAGTAATAAGGGAAAAAGGCTTTTTAAAGCAGAATTCTGACCACAGAAGGCATGCTGTAGGTGGGGGGAGGAAAAAGTTTGTTTCTAAGAACAGAGAAGACAGAAGAACACATAGGTACAGACAGACAAGGAGACCAGGATTAGAGTCTGGGGTCACCAACTAAAAGGCACATATGACCTTGGGCAAGGGATTTCACCTTCACATTTTAGTATTTCACAATTTTCCCCCTCTAAGAAGTTAGACTCTCAGCTGCCGTAAATTTAAAAATCATTCCCTAAGGCCTTTCTCTTTCTACCATCTTGGAGCCTGTCTGCTTGACAGGGCCTTTTTTTTTTTTCTTTTGAAACAAGGTCTCACTCCATCGCACGGGCTGGAGTGCAGTGGTGCGATCATAGCTCACTGTAACCTAGAGCATCCCAGGATCAAGTGATCCTCTAACCTCAGCCTCCTCAGTAGCTGAGAACACAGGTGCATGCCACCACACCTAGCTAACTTTTTTTAGTGTTTTGTAGAGATGGGATCTCCTTATGTTATATTTAGAGACCCAGGCTGGTCTCTAAATCCTAGGCTCAAGGGATCTTCTCGCCTTGGCCTATCAAAGTGCTGGGATCACTGACATGAGACACCCTGCCCAACCAGGACAGGACTTCTAAAAGGCAGATATGTCTGGAAGGCTGTGGTCTAAGGCCATTTTTCCTTTTTTCCTTTTACTTTTTTTTCTTTTTTTTTTTTTTTGACACGGACTTTCACTCTGTCACCCAGGCTGGAGTGCAATGGCACAATCTCGGCTTACTGCAACCTCCGCCTCCTGTGTTCAAGTGAGTCTCCTGCCTCAGCCTCCCGAGTAGCTGGGATTACAGACATGTGACACCACACCCAGCTAATTTTGTATTTTTAGTAGAGACGGGGTTTCACTATGTTGGTCAGGCTGGTCTCAAACTCCTGACCTCAGGTGATACACCCGCCTCGGCCTCCCAAAGTGCTGGGATTACAGGCGTGAGCCACTGCACTTGGCTTTATTTTCTTTTTATTGTAGAGACACGGTCTCACTATGTTGACCAGCCTGGTCTTGAATTACTGGCCTCGGGTGATCCTCCTGCCTAGGCCTCCCAAAGTGCTGAGATTACAAGCATGAACCACTGGGCCTGGACCCAAGGCCACTTTTGCTGGCTATAAGCAGGGTCTCTTGAACCAAAGGGAGTACACAGCTCTTCTTAACATTGAAGGCATTTATGCCTGAGATGAAACTGAATCCTATTTGGGCAAGAGATGCGCTTATGCATACAAAGCAAAGAACAGGACAGTGACTCCCGGCAGCAAACTGAACAAAACCAGAGTGATGTGAGGAAAGGTAACTCAGACCCATGGAATTATGGGCATAGTTCATGCCAAATTCTGAAACAATCTTCCTGCTAAGGCCACTGGACAAAGATTCCATGTGATGTTATACCCCTCTTAAATAAATGAAAAGTAAATAAATAAAAAATATATATTTTTTGGAGATGGAGTTTCACTCTTGCTGCCCAGGCTGCAGTGCAATGGCGTGATCTCAGCTCACCGCAACCTCTGCCTCCCCAGTTCAAGCGATTCTCCTGCCTCAGCCTCCCAAGTAGCTGGTATTACAGGCACCGACCACCGCACCTGGCTAATTTTTTGTATTTTTAGTAGAGATGGGGTTTCACCATGTTGCCCAGGCTGGTCTGGAACAACTGACCTCAGGTGATCCACCTGCCTCGGCCTCCCAAAGTGCTGGGATACAGGCGTGAGCCACCATGCCCGGCTAAAAGTAAATTTATTAAAACGTAGTATAATAAAAATCATTCCCCAAGAAGGACACACACAATATCACTTTTATAGTATTTTTGCCAAAAATATTCAACCTGAATCTAAACCTGTGGATACAATCAGACAAGTTCAAATTGGAGGTGTTGAAAAAGCTGAACTGCAAAATATTTAAAGAGGTTTATTCTGAGCCAAATATGAGTGATGATGGCTAGCAGAAGACTTTTTTTGGGGGGATGGGTGGGGGGCAGGGTCTTGCTCTGTCATCCAGGCTGGAGAGCAGTAGCATAATCTCAGCTCACTGCAACCTCCACCTCCCGGGCTCAAGCAATCCTCCCGTCTCAGCCTCTGGAGTAGCTGAGACTGCAGGTGTGCACTACCACACCCAGCTAATTTTTTAATTAATTAATTTTATTATTATTTTATTTTTTTATTTTGAGACAGAGTGTCCCTCTGTCATCCAGGCTGGAGTGCAGTGGTGCGATCTCGGCTCATTGTAACCTCTGCCTCCTGGGTTCAAGCAATTCTTCTGCCTTAGCCTCCCGAGTAGCTGGGACTACACGTGCACGCCACCATGCCCGGCTAAGTTTTGTATTTTTAGTAGAGACAGGATTTCACAATATTGGTCAGGCTGGTCTCAAACTCCTGACCTCAGGCAATCCACCCACCTTGGCCTCCCAAAGTGCTGGTATTACAGGTGTGAGCCACTGCGCCTGGCCTAATTTTTTATTTTTTGTAGAGACAGGGTTTCACCATGTTGGCCAGGCTGGTCTCAAACTCCTGACCTCAGGTGATCTGTCTACCTCCGCCTCCCAGAGTACTGGGATTACAGGCATAAACCACCGCACCCGCCCTTTGAGGTTGGTTTTATACATTTTAGGAGGACATAAGATATCAATGAATACATGTGAGGTGTATCGGTTCAGTCCAGAAAGGTGGACCAACTCAAAGTAAGCGAGGGTATTTACAGGTAACAAGTGGTTTCAAAGATTTTCTGATTGGCAATTGGCTGAAAGTTAAGTTACTATCTAGAGATCTAGAATCAAAAGAAAGGAGTGTCTGGGTTACAATAAGGGGCTATGGAGACCAAGGTTTGTATGAAGTAGATGAAGTCTCATAGGTGGCTGCCCTTTGAGACAATAGAGGACAAATGTTTCCTATTTGTTGGGCGGGCATGGTAACTCATGCCTGTAGTCCTAGCACTTCGGGAGGCCAAGGCAAGAGGATCACTTGAGCCCAGGACTTCAAGACCAGCCAGGGCAACAGAGTGAGACCCCATCTCTATAATTTTTTTTTAATGTTTTCTATTTAGACCTTTACAGGATGCTAGATTCTCAGTTAATCTCACCAGGATTTGGAGAGCCTGGAAGATGAAAAATCTAGTTATATTCATAGAAATTCTTTACAATGCAAATTTTCCCCCACAAAAGAAGCCTTTGTAGGGCCGTTTTTTTTTTTTTTCGTAATGGGTTGAGGGGAGGGGGAGAAAGGAGGAGGCTCCTGGGGCCATTTCAATATGTGGCAAGGTAACTTTTTTTTTCTTTTTTTCCTTTTTGAGACAGAGTGTTGATCTGTCGCCCAGGCTGGAGAAAGAAATAACCATAAAAATAGCCAATCAGCAGCCCATGCTACTGCTGTGCCTATGAAGTAGCCATTCTTTCATTCCTTTACTTTCTTTTTTTTTTTTTTTTTTTTTTGAGATGGAGTCTCATGCTCTCTCTCAGGCTGGAGTACAGCGGCGCAATCTTGGCTCACTGCAGCCTCTGCCTCTCTGGTTCAAGCAATTCTCCTGCCGCAATCTCCCGAGTAGCTGGGATTACAGGCAAGTACCACCACACCTGGCTAATTTTTATCTATTTTTTGGTAGAGACAAGGTTTCGCCATGTTGGCCAGGCTGGTCTTGAACTCCTGACCTCAGGCGACCCACCCACCTTGGCCTTCCAAAGCACTGGATTACAGGCATGAGCCACTACCCAGGGCTGAAATGTTGCTTTTTTTGGTCTTTGTTTTGTGGCTGGGTGGGGTGGTGCACACCTGAATCCTGACTACTTGGGAGACTGAGGCAAGAGTATCCCTTGAGAAGTTCAAGGCTGCGGTGAGCTATGATTGCACCACTGCACTCTTGTCTGGGTAACAGAGTGAGACCTTATCTCAAAAAATGAATGAATATATCTTTGTCTTTTGAAATCTACCCTCTCCTTCCAAGTCTGGGTCAGGGACTAGTTGGACTAGGGTGACTGATTTCTCTCCGTTTGCCCAACAGAGTCTCACTCTGTTGCCCAGGCTAGAGTGCAGTGGTGTGATCTCAGCTCACTGCAACCTCTGCCTCCTGAGTTCAGCTGATTCTCTTGCCTCAGCCTAGTGAGTAGCTGGGATTACAGGCATGTGCCATGACACCCAGCTAATTTTATTTATTTTTTTTGAGACAGAGTATCACTCTGTCACCCAGGCTGGGGTGCAGTGGAGTGATCTCAGTTCGCTGCAACCTCTGCCTCCTGGGTTCAAGCGATTCTCCTGCTTCAGCCTCTCAAATAGCTGGGATTACTGAAATGCGCCATCAAGCCTGGCTAATTTTTGTATTTTTAATAGACATGGGGTTTCACCATGATGGCCAGGCTGGTCTCGAACTCCTGACCTCAAGTGATCTACCCACCTCAGCCTCCCAAAGTACTGGGATTACAAGTGTGCACCACCACACCCGCCTGGCTAATTTTTGTATTTTTAGTAGAGACGGGGTTTCACCATTTTGGCCAGGCTGGTCTCGAACTCCTGACCTCAGGTGATCCACCCACCTGTAATCCCAAAGTTCTGGGATTACAGCCATGAGCCACCATACCTCTCTCCCACAGACTGCACTCCCAGCCCTCATCCTTAACCCCCTGGCAACCGCTAATCTGTCCTTCAGTTCTAAAATGTTGTCATTTCAAAAATGTTACAAGCTGGATGTGGTGGCTCACACCTGTAATCCCAGCACTTTGGGAGGCCAAGGTGGGTGGATCACCTGAGGTCAGGAGTTTGAGACCAGCCTGACCAACATGGTGAAACCCCGTCTTTACTAAAAATACAAAATTAGCCGGGCGTGGTGGCATGTGCCTGTAATCCCAGCTACTTGGGAGGCTGAGGCAGGAGAATCACTTGGGCCCAGGAGGCAGAGGTTTTAGCACTGCAAGTCCTACAATCCAGAAACCCCCTCAATCCCAGGAAAATCATGATAGTTGGTCACCCTAAAGGGAGACCCAAATTCTCTCAGCTGGGCATAAGTCTCCCCACAAAAATGAAGAAAGGCGGCCAGATGCGGTGGCTCACGCCTGTAATCTCAGCACTTTGGGAGGGCGAGGTGGGCGGATCACAAGGTCAGGAGATCAAGACCATCCTGGCTAACACGGTGAAACCCCGTCTCTACTAAAAATACAAAAAATTAGTCGGGCATGGTGGCGGGCACCTGTAGTCCCAGCTACTCGGGAGGCTGAGGCAGGAGAATGGCGTGAACCTGGGAGGCAGAGCTTGCAGTGAGCCAAGATCATGCCACTGCACTCCAGCCTGGGCGACAGTGCAAGACTCCCTCTCAAAAAAAAAAAAAAGAAGAAGAAAGAAAAGTATTTCCATTAAAAGCCACCATTTAGCCTCATGCTGGCCTAGGGAAGTTTCTCTAGGTTCAGGTCTGTACTTACCTGAAAAACCCCTGGGATACAAGCAAAAGATAACAATGACTGTGCTAATTTTCCAGTTACAAATGTGGCTGTGAAAGTCAGGGGACTGACCAGATGTGGTGGCTCAAGCCTGTAATCCCAGCACTTTGGGAGGCTGAAGTGGGTGGATCATGAGGTCAGGAGTTCAAGACCAGCCTGGCCAAGATGGTGAAACCCCATCTCTACTAAAAATACAAAAATTAGCCGGGCACGGTGGTGGGCGCCTGTAATCCCAGCTACTCGGAAGGCTGAGGCAGGAGAATGGCTTGAACCCGGGGGGCGGAGGTTGCAGTGAGCCGAGATCGTGTCACTGAACTCCAGCCTGGGTGACAAGAGCGAAACTCTGTCTGAAAAAGAAAGAAAGGAAGAAAGTCAGGGGACCAGAGACACTTGGGTCCTGAACCTTTGTAAAATCCTGGTAAAATTTAAAAAGCCCTATATCAAATTAATTCAAATGAATGAGAAATTTTAGCTCTGTTCCAAGCATTATTCAGGTAACAAAGCAAATGATCACAAGTTAAATCCTACCGTTCCTTCTAGCCCTCAAAGAGAAGCCCTGTTGTTCAGCTGCTAGCTCTCTTGTGTGCTTATCTCAGTTTTCAGTTCCTCTGTTTGTGTGTGTGTGTGTGTGGTTTTTTGTTTTTTTTTTTTTTGAGACAGAGTCTCACTCTTGTCGCCCAGGCTGGAGTGCAATGGTGTGATCTCAGCTCACTGCAACCTCTGCCTCCCAGGTTCAAGCGATTCTCCTGCCTCAGCCTCCCGAGTAGCTGGGATTACAGGAGCCTGCCACCAAGCCCAGCTAATTTTCGTATTTTTAGTAGAGACAGAGTTTCACTATGTTGGCCAGGCTGGTCTGGAACTCTTGACTTTAGGTGATCTGCCCACCTTGGCCTCCCAAAGTGTTGGGATTACAGGTGTGAGCCACTGCGCCCAGCCGAGTTCCTCTGTCTTGAACTGAGAAGTAAGATTATCTTTTGAGGAGGACTGGTTAAGAGGCAGCCCCTAGAGCCATATTGCTGAGTTCAAAACCTAGCTCGGCTGTGTGACTATGAGCAAATTACTTACTTTCTTTATGCTTCAGTTTCTCCCTTTGCGAAACGAAGATAACAATTATATAGGGATATTGTGAAAATTAAGATTAATAAATGTTAGGTGCTTGGAATAAGGGTTGGCAAACTTTTTCTACAAAGGGCTGGAGAGTAAATATTTTAGGCTGTGGGCTCTATGGTCTGTGATGAAACTATTCAACTCTAAGGAGCAGTCATAGACAAAATGTAAATAAATGGGCATGGCTGTGTTCCAATACAACTTTATATAAAAACAGGAGGCAGAACCAAAGACTGGTATCAGCCCAGATATGCTTCAACAAGTAAATAGTTAAACTGGTACATCTGTATCATGGAATACTACTCAGCAATAAAGAGAAATGAATTGTTGGTTCGTGCGACGGTTAGAAAGAATCTCCAGAAAATTATGCTGAGGGGGAAATAAAATCCCCTAAAATTACATACTGTATGGGGATTGGGTATGGTTCCAGTTGTGTAACTTTTTGTGTGGGGAGCAGGGGGGCAGGGGCACAGAGTCTTGCTCTGTTGCCCAGGCTGGAGTGCAGTGGTGTGATCTCAGCCCACTGCAACTTCTGCCTCCCAGGTTCAAGTGATTCTCCTGCATCAGCCTCCCGAGTAGCTGGGATTGCAGGTACCTGCCACCACACCCGGCTAATTTCAGTAGAGACGGGGTTTCACCATGTTGACCAGGCTGGTCTCAAACTCCTGACCTCAGGTGATCCGCCCACCTCGGCCTCCCAAAGTGCTGGGATTACAGGCGTAAGCCACCACATCCAGCTTGTAACATTTTTGAAATGACATTTTAGAACTGGAGGACAGATTAGCAGTTGCCAGGGGGTTAAGGATGAGGGCTGGGAGTGCAGTCTGTGGGACAGAGGTGTGGGTGAGGTTATACAAAGGCACAATGAGGGTCCCTGTGGTCTTGAAACTGTTCAGTATCTGGACTGCGGTGGTGGACACACAAGACGTGATAAAATTTTATAGAACTTAATACACACACAAATGAGTACAGCTAAAAAGGGAAATCTGGTCCGGTGAGGTGGCTCATGCCTGTAATCCCAGCACTTTGGGAGGCTGAGATGGGCAGATCACCTGAGGCCAGGAGTTCAAGACCAGCCTAGCCAACATGGCAAAACCCCATCTCTACAAATAAGAGAAATCTGAATAAGATTGGTGGGTCATATGAATATCAACATCCCGAATGTGATATTATACTATGCTTTTGCATAGTTGGAGGAAAATGGACAAAATGTAAAAGAGATCTCTGTATTATTTTTTACAAGTGCGTGTGAATCTGCAATTATCAAAATTATTTACTTCTCATTTTAATTTGTAGAGATAGGATCTCCCTGAGTTGCCCAGGCTGGTCTCAAACTCCCAGCCTCAAGCAATCCTCCCATCTCAGCCTCCCAAGTGTGGGGATTACAGGTGTAAGCCACCATGCTTGGTCCAAAATTTTTTCAATTCAAAAAAAAAAGAAAACTAGTGGTGGGGCTGGATTTGGCCTGTGAGTTGGCCCGCCGCCTGTTAGCAGTCCCTGATCACGGACTTCATGCCTGGCAAATGCTGAGTACCATATAAGTAGGATGACCGGCTCCTTCTGGTTTGTCCAGGACTTTCCAGGTTTGCAGTGTTAAAATCAGGAAAGTCCTAGTCAATCGGGTTGAGTTGGATGCCTGATTATACACTTTTTTTTTTTTTGAGATGGAGTCCCCCTTTGTCGCCCAGGCTGGAATGCAGTGGTGCAATCTCAGCTCACTGCAACCTCTGCCTCCTGGGTTCAAGCAGTTCTCCTGCCTCAGCCTCCTGAGTAGATGGGATTACAGGCATGCGCCATCATGTCCAGCTAATTTTTGTATTTTTGGCAAAGACAGGGTTTCGCCATGTTGGCCAGGCTGGTCTGGAACTCCTGACCTCAGGTGATCTGCCCACCTCAGGCTCCCAAAGTGTTGGGATTACAGGCATGAGCCACCTTGCCCAGCCTTTTTTAAAATAGATTTTTTAAAAGACAGGGCCTTGCTATGTTGTCCAGGCTGGATTACAGTGGCTTTTCACAGGTGCAATGATAGCACACTGCGGCTACCATTCACTGCTGACCTTGAAACTGCCTCTGCCAAATTATGACAGTAAGATAAATTTTACATAGTTGACTCCATCTTGCTTCTGACCTCCAAACTCCTTGGTCATTCCTGGGCATAGGCCAAGCTAACTTTGGGAGGAATTTAGTTTATGGTTTTATCTTAAAGCAAAGATAATAATAGCCCTCCCCAAAACCAAACCAGCTTTGTAAAACTAATGAAAGGCCACAAGGTTAGCAGGATGAGAGGGGACTGAATTCTGATAAAATAGGCACAGTTTCTATAATCCTTTACTGCTCGGGAGTCATGTGGCCAGAGGTCACAAGATTTGTAACTTTCCCAATTGCTTCTATAGATAACATCACCTATAGAACCTAAGGTGGTTGTTGTTTTTTCTTTTTTGAGACGGAGTCTCGCTCTGTCGCCCAGGCTGGAATGCAGTGACATGATCTTGGCTCACTGCAAGCTCTGCCTCCTGGGTTCACACCATTCTCCTGCCTCAGCGTCCCTAGTAGCTGGGACTACAGGTGCCTGCCACCATGCCAGGCTAATTTTTTGTATTTTTAGTAGAGATGGGGTTTCACCATGTTAGCCAGGATGGTCTCGATCTCCTGACCTCATGATCTACCTGCCTTGGCCTCCCAAAGTGCTGGGATTACAGGCGTGAGCCACCACACCTGGCCCATACATGCGTTTTGTTTGTTTGTCTGTCTGAAATGGAGTCTCGCTCTGTTGTCCAGGCTGGAGTGCAGTGGCGCGATCTCAGCTCACTGCACTACAAGCTCCACCTCCCGGGTTCAAGCGATTCTCCTGCCTCAGCCTCCCCGGGTAGCTGGGACTACAGGCACCTGCTACCATACCCGGCTAATTTTTTGTATTTTTAGTGGAGACGGGGTTTCACCGTGTTAGCCAGGATGGTCTTGATCTCCTGACCTTGTGATCCGCCCACCTCGGCCTCCCAAAGTGCTGGGATTATAAGCGTTAGCCACTGCGCCCGGCCCATACAAGCATTTTAAATAATCTGAATGAGTTGTCAGTATTTGAATACTGGTAGATTTCACATAAAGATCTGAATTTCTGTCAATTTCTGGCTTCTTTTGAAATATGTATATAAAAGTATGGGAAAAGAGGGTCTACTTTCCTGATGGCTGATCTGAGGATCTGGAAAGGAGCATGGGCTCTCCAGTTTACCACGGTACCCACTATTCCCTGATGCCTTCCAGACACTGAGGCCAGTGAAGATTACAGGTTATCTTTCTCAAGCCAGCTCTATTCAGTGCATCTTAGGTTCCTGTTATGCATTTCAGTTTGTTACTCCTGTCCAGAAATTAAACTCCATCTGAGTAGACATTATTTCTGTTTTGGTTTCCATTATGCCCAGCATAGTACCATAGGATGCACTTAATAAAATTGAGAAAGAAAGAAAAGAAGACCGGGCATGGTGGCTCATGCCTATAATCCCAGCACTTTGGGAGGCCGAGGCGGGCAGATCACGAGGTAGAGATCAAGACCATCCTGGCCAACGTGGTGAAACCCCGTCTCTACAAAATACAAAATATACAAAAAATACAAAAATACAAAAATTAGCTGGGCATGGTGGCGCACGCCTGTAGTCCCAGCTGCTTGGGAGGCTGAGGCAGGAGAATCACTTGAACCCTGGGGCAGGGGCGGAGGTTGCAGTGAGCTGAGATCACGCCACTGCACTCCAGCCTGGCGACAGAGCGAGACTCCGTCTTAAAAAAAGAAAGAAAAGAAAGAAAAGAAGGAAAAAAAGGAAGGAAGGAAGGAAGGAAGGAAGGAAGGGAGGGAGGGAGGGAGGGAGGGAGGGGGAAAGAGGGAAAGCCCTCCCTCCCTCTGTTGTTTTCTCTGTCTGTTGCTCTGTTATTTGATCAGAGCAACCCAAAAGGACTAGTATGGGTTTCCTTATCTTCCATCTCCAGACATAGGAGACAGAACAAGAATATTTGCAAGGGAAAAAAAAAGGTCAGATAATAGGGTTGAAATAAGAAGAAAGAAAAAGAAACAAAAATGACCCCATTACCTGGGCATGCTTGCACGTGCCTGTAGTCTCAGCTACTCAGGAGGCTGAGGCAGGAGGATCACTTGAGCCCAGGAGTTCCAGGCTGCAGTGAGCCATGACTGCACCACTGCACTCCAGTTTGAGTGACAGAGTGAGACCCTGTGTCAAAGAAAAAAACGACCCCATTATTCAGATCTAGCAGCATGCTGCTATTTACCAGATTTAGCAGCCATGCTATTAAATAAAGATGTTTTTAATTAACAAAACATGCCTTTTCTTTATCAGTTTTCACTTTTCACTGAGTAATGCAAAAGAGGCATGTGTTTTGGGGGGGTGGGGAGGCACTGATGCAAATTGGGGTAGCGAAAAACATGCTTGAACTTGCCCCCTCTGGGTTTAGTCGGCACTCTCTATGCCCTGTCAAACCCTTCTGGAATGAACGTTTGATGTTCCGGGGGTAAATCTAAAATAACTCCAAGGTGACATGTGCTGCAGACCCTTGAGATTATGTGTTTGTAATCGTATGAGATAAAAAAAGAGGAAGCAGAAACACGCACATATATACACACGCAACCTTTCTACAGCTGGGCGCGGTTTCTATCAGCCTGGTCAACAAAGCCAAGCTTTCTGTAAAGAAACAAGCTGGGATCTTTCAAGGCCTTGGGTTCCGGGTGCCACTCTAAGGTCCTGCCTGTGCAGTTGACTTTTACACATCTGTTTTGCGAGACTTCAAAACCTCGATGTTCTGGCCACTTGGTTCTTGCAGCTGGCAGTTGGCACATTTAAGGCCTCTCCCCAAATGAAGGCCTTTGAAAATATATTTGAAAAATGTAGCCCCCACCAAATTTAAAAAGGCTATGAATAAAGACCGTTTGAACCTTGAAGCTCCACCTGAAGGCAGCAGTCCTTGGAAAGATTTCCTCAAGCTGGACATGGTGGCTCATACCTGTAACCCCAGCACTTTGGGAGGCCAAGGCGGGAGGATCATTTGAGCCCAGAAGTTCAAGACCAGCCTGGGCAACATGGCAAAATCCTGGCTCTACAAAAAATGCACAAAAATAGGCCAGACGCAGTGGCTCACACCTGTAATCCCAGCACTTTGGGAGGCTGAGGTGGGCAGATCACAAGGTCAGGAGTTTGAGACCAGCCTGGCCAACATAGTGAAACCCCATCTCTACTAAAAATACAAACATTAGCTGGGTGTGGTGGCACGTGCCTGTAGTCCCAGCTATTTGGGAGGCTGAGGCAGGAGAATTGCTTGAACTTGGGAGGCGGAGGTTGCAGTGAGCCGAGACCGAGCCATTGCACTCTAGCCTGGGTGACAGAGTGAGACTCCATCTCAAAAAAAAAAAAAAAACCCCACAAAAATCAATTAGCTGGGTAGCTGGGTGTGCGCCCATGGTCCCAGCTACTTGAGAGGCTGAGGCAGGAGGATCACCTGAGGCCGGGAAGTTGAGGCTGCAGTGAGCCGTGATTCCATCACTCAATGCCAGCCTGGGTGACAGTGAGACCCTGCCTCAATCAATCAATCAAAGAAAATATTCCTCCAGCACCAGTTTTCATGCAAGGGAATTTTTGTTCAGTTTGGTTCAGCCAAATAAAGTCCAGGATAGAACCTGGGTCTATCAGAGTTCCCCAAATTTCAGTGACTCATGTAACGCCTTTGAGATTTTTGCCATCGCCACAAATCACCTTTTTTTTTTTTTGAGACAGCGTCTCGCTCTGTCACCCAGGCTGGAATGCAGTGGTGCAGCTGTTACAGTAGGTAGCTAGTCAGACATGAACAGAGCAAGAGAGAGTTCCCCCACAACACACACACACCAGGAATGTCAGGTGACCAGAGGTGACCATCAGGTGATGCTCAGGCGGTTGTTAACTATCTCTCTAAAATAATGATTGGTCTCAGCCGACTCCAGGGAAAGGCAGTCTCCCAATAAGCAGAAAAAAAACAACAACCTGAAACTGGTGATCAGCAGCTTCCCAGTAAGATCTCAGGACTGGGTAAATGGGCTCAAGCATGGGAATTAAGAGGCAAAATGGCAAAGTTTAACTGATGACCGTCTAGGGACATTCAACTGGTAAGGGAAGAATGCCTCAAGTGAGCACGTACACAACTCCAATAAACACATTGCACGTGCAGACAGCCCATCCCCAGTGAAAAATCACGGGAGAAGGAACTCAAGACCCCGGAAGTATGTCAGCATATGAAACACAAATCACAGGTAAAACAGAGCGCTTGATTTCTCAAGTCGCCCGCCTGACCCTCTTCCAACATAGAAAGGCCCTGTTTCTACAAAAAATTTAAAAAATTAGTTAGACGTGGTGGTGCACACCACTAATCTCAGCTACTTGGGAAGCTGAGGTGGGAGGATCACTTGAACCCAGAGTTTGAGGCCACAGTGAGCTATGTATTCCAGCCTGGGCAACAGAGCAAAAGACCTATCTCAAAAAAAAAAAAAAAAAAAAAAAAAAGAAATGGTTTGACCAGTTAGAATTTTTCATTCCTTCTGGGTACAGTGATTGGTTCAAGAATGGGGTTGTGATCCAAGCCAAGTCTTTGAGGCTCAGTTCTTAAACTTTTGTTGCAACAGTTGCCTAAAAGATTCCTCTGGAATTGCTAACTTGGTAGGAAGTAAGTCTGTAGTTGCTGGAGCCACCACTCGGTAAGATTCTGCCTGAGAATAAAGCGGAGATGAGCAATAAAAACAGAGACCAAATAATTATGACCTTGTTGCTCAGATCCAGCCATGCCTGAAGCTGGGAAACTCTGAACTTTTGAGTTGTGCCAGCCAATACATTTCTCCCTAACATCTTTTTTCTTTTTGGTTTTTTGTTACTTGCAATTGACTGATAAATATACCACCACAAATGGCAGGATACATAGCAGACATTATTGTTGGCCTACTCAAAAACTTTTCTTCCTTTTTAAATGAGAATTCTGGTTGGGACCAGATGTCCACCCCTCTCCTGCTGGCCATGTGCTTCCAGGGAGATGGATCCCAGTCCCAACCCCAGCCTGAGGAATACATATGAACCAATCACGGTGATCCAGACCACTTGTCAGTGGTTGGTTTAGGCTTATCACGTGATGCCCTCTAGCCAATAAGACAAGAAAAAAACTCCGCTGCACGCTGGGAAAGGTTTTTCTCATTAACAGAAACGTGTTGTTATGACTTGAATGTCTGAAATTGTGGGCATTATCGTGGCATCACGAGTGAGAATATCTAACACACTAAGAGAGGCAGAGAAAGAATTTAGGTTCTGACAATATTTGAGCCCCTGAGAACTATCTATACCTATGGATCCTTGACAACTTGAAAGAGTTGCTCTCTTGGTGGCAAAGTTACTGTAGTAACTGAAGCCTCCCAAACCGACACCACCACACAGGAGAAAAGCATATGCTCAGGGCTTTCTCTTGAAAGGGAAGAAACTGCTTCCCTTCCGGAGTCCCAGATAAAACCTTGGATCTCATTGCCTCTCACTCAGTGATGTGTTCATCTGCGAACCCTAACAAGAAGACCAGGGAGGCCGGGCGTGGTGGCTCACGCCTATAGTCCCAGCACTTTGGGAGGCCAAGGCGGGCGGATCAACTGAGGTCAGGAGTTTGAGACCAGCCTGACCAACATGGTGAAAGCCTGTCTCTACTAAAAAAATACAAAAAATTAGCCTGGCGTGGTGGCATGTGCCTGTAATCCCAGCTACTCAGGAGGCTGAAGCAGGAGAATCACTTGAACCTAGGAGGCAGAGGTTGCAGTGAGCCGAGATTGTGCCACTCCAACCTGGGTGACAGAGTGGGAAGGCCAGGGTAAAGAAAAGACTTTGATTGATGTAAGCCAATCAGGACCCAACTCTGGAGCATGGGGCAAAGTAAATCTTATTCCAAAACACATGGAATTAGAGTGTGAAAGTTGGTGTTCTGTGGTTCCATTAATGGTGTCCTGGAAAGATTACAAAAGAACACTTACATTCTCTTCCAACCCAGGAAGTCATAGGACTTTGGGGGCGGGGGTGGAAGGAGAGAGAAAGAAACATGTCATTTGCTCAACATGGTACTTAGCATTATCGAAGATTAAGAAAATGTGTAGCACATGATCCCTGCTCTCAGAGAATTTACAAGTGAGATTAACTGCCCCTTAATATATCAGTTTGGGAGACCTGCCCTTCAAAGACTATATTTTTTTTGTTGAATACTCTATTAGAGTAACGCTAGCCACTGTAACAAATAACGCTCACATTTCAGAGGCTTGCATAATAGAAGTTTATCTCCTCTAGCGCTGCATTGCCAGTTGACTGACAGCTTTCCTCCATCCCTGGGGCCTCATCGTTGATGTCTGCATCCAGTGGTGGCAGGGGAAGGAGAATGGAAAAGGCGCACATGTTTCTCAACTGCTTTGTGCAGAGCTAATACACATTGCTTTTGCTCACATTCTATTTGCAGAATGAATCACAGGCTGTACCCAGATGCAAAGGGGATTGGGAAATATTGTCCCTGGCTGCTTTCCAATGACAACTCTATATCCTAAGGATAACTAGCCGTCTCCGTCACTCAAATATTGCCTGTAGTAATGGCAAATGCCCACAAGGATGCAGAAATGCCTTGATCGTGTTTAAGCAATTTAAATCATATACCAAAATTTCTCACTCTCAGCCCGATTGACATTTCCGGCCAGATAATTGTTTTGGGGTAATCCTGTGCATTGTAAGATTCAGTTTAGCAGCATCTCTGGCCTCTACCCACTAAATGCCAGTAGCACCCCCACCACCAGTTGTGACAATCAAAAACCTCTCCAGACAGTGCCAAACATCCCCTAGGACACAGAACATTTCCATCCCCCAGAAAGTTCCCTCTTGCCCCTTCCCAAAACAAGATAACCACTATCCTGACCTTTATCACCCTTAGTTTTCTCTATTCTTAGACTCCACATAAATGGAATCATACAGAATGAACTCTTTTTTTTCTTTTTTGAAACAGAGTCTCGCTCTGTCACCCAGGCTGGAGTGCAGAGGCATGATCTTGGCTCACTGCAACCTCCGCCTCCCTTGTTCAAGGGATTCTCCTGCCTCAGCCTCCCAAGTAGCTGGGATTACAGGTGTCCGCCACCACGCCTGGCTAATTTTTTTATTTTTTGTAGGAACATGGTCTCACCATGTTGGCCAGGCTGGTCTCAAACCCCTGACCTCAAATGATCCACCTGCCTCAGCTTCCCAAAGTGCTGGGATGACAGGCGTGAGCCACTGCATCCGGCATGAACTCATGTATCTGGCTTCTTTCACTCAAATAATGCTTTTCAGATTGAGTCACGCTGGATGCCCCAGTAATTCTTTCCTGGCTGTTGTTGAGTAGAATTCCATTTTGGGACCATACCATCATTTGTTTACCCTCTTGTTGTCGGGCACTTGGTTGTTTCCAGTTTGGACTATTATGAAACAAGCTTCTATGAACATTCTGGAACAAATTTTTTTTTCTTTTTTTTTGAGATGGAATCTTGCCCTGTTGCCCAGGCTGGAGTGCAATGGCAAGATCTCAGCTCACTGCAACCTCCACCTCCTGGGTTCAAGCGATTCTCTTACCTCAGCCTCCTGAGTAGCTGGGACTACAGGCGCGCACCACCACGCCCAGCTAATTTTTTTCCTCAGGTGATCCGCCCTCCTCAGCCTCCCAAAGTGCTAGGATTACAGGCATGAGCCACCACACCTGGCCTGGAACAAGTATTTTTATGGACATGGGCACACATTTCTCTTAATCCAAGAGTGGAATTACTGGGTCAGCAGTAGGTAAATGTCAAACTTTATTAGGTATTATAGTTAACCTATATTATTTTTAAGTTGTATTTATTTATTTATTTATTTTTATTTTTTATTTTTTGAGACGGAGTTTCGCTCTTGTTGCCTAGGCGGGAGTGCAATGGTGCAATCTCGGCTCACTGCAACCTCCGCCTCCTGGGTTCAAGCAATTCTCCTGACTCAGCCTCCTGAGTAGCTGGGATTACAGGCATGCGCCACCACGCCTGGCTAGCATTTATTTATTTTTTAGAGAGTCTTGCTGTGTTGCCCAGGATGGTCTCAAACTCCTGGCCTCAAGCGATCTGCCTGCCTCAGCCTCCCAAGGTGCTAGGATTATGAGCATGATCCACCACACCCAGCCTTCTCCTTGTACCCTTTCCTTCACCCTTCTTCAGAGGTAACCACTCTGAGCCTTTCTGCTCTGTCCTTCTAGAACATTCTTTCTATTTAGGCAGCTAGTTTATAGCAGTTAGGAGCTTAATGTGGCCTTGGGCACATGTATGAACTCTCTGTGTCTTCCTCATTCCTAAAAAAGGCATTTGTTTGTTTGTTTCTTTGTTTTTTGTGACAGTCTCGCTGTGTCGCCCAGGCAGTGGCATGATTTCAGCTAACTGCAAACTCCGCCTCCTGGTTCAAGTGATTCTCCCGCCTCTGCCTCCTGAGTAGCTGGGACTACAGGCAGGCGCCACCACACCTGGCTAGTTTTTGTATTTTTAGTAGAGACGGGGTTTTGCCGTGTTGTCCAGGTTGGTCTTGAACTCATGACCTCAGGTTATCCACCCACCAGCCTCCCAAAGTGCTGGGATTATAGACGTGAGCCATCGCACCTGGTCTGATTGCGTTTTTTTGCACACTTCTATCTGCTATGGTTTGACTGTCCCCTTGAAAATTCATGTTGAAACTTAATACCCAATGTGGCAGTACTGAGAGGTTCAGCCTTTAAGAAGTGATTGGGCTTGGCCCAGTGGCTCATACCTGTAATCCCAGCACTTTAGGAGGCCGAGGCGGGCAGATCACCTGAGGTCAGTTCAAGACCAGCCTGGCCAACATGGTGAAACCCTCATCTCTACTAAAAATACAAAAATTAGCCAGGTATGATGATGCATGCCTGTAATCCCAGCTACTGGGGAGGCTGAGTCAGAAGAATTGCTTGAACCAAGGAGGCCGGAGGTTGCAGTGAACCGAGATCGTGCCACTACACTCCAGCCTGGGTGACAGAGTAAGACTCTGTCTCAAAAAGAAAAAAAAAAAAAACAGAAAAACAAAAAACAGAAGTGATTGGGTCATGAAAGCTCTCATGAATGGATTCATCCATTCATGAATTAATAGATTAATGAGTTAATGGGTAAATGGATTAATGAGTTGTCATAGAGTGGGACTTGTGGCTTTAGAAGAAGAAGAAGAGAGACCTCAGGTAGCTGCTCAGGCCCCTCTTCATGGGATGCCCTGTGCTTCTTTGGGTCTCTGCAAAGAGTCCCCAACAGCAAGAAGGCACTCATCAGATGCAGCCCCTCGAGCCTGGGACTTAGCCTCCATAATTGTAAGAAATAATTCCTCATATATGTACCTACTATGTACCCACATAAATTAAAAATTAAAAAAGTAATAATTCCTTTTATTTATAAATTACCAAGTTTTATGTATTATGTTATTTCTGTTATAAGCAACAAAAAACAGACTTAAGACAATATTATTGAATTTTCCACAAAGGTCACTTCTGTATAAATTAAAGGAAGCCTGTACTTTCTTTTGTTTGGAACATTACCAAAACTTGTTCACTACTTTAGACAATCATGTCACTTCTGGCAATGCAACTCAGTAAAACTCAAGGGAGTTTTCATCACCAGTAATCACCCCTGTGTGGGTCCACGTTCAAGGCTGTCCCTTCACAGTGAATGTGCACATCTGACCTCTCCGATGCATCCTCAGTTAGATGGGGCCGAACACACTCATACCAAAATCTGTGTGTTAGGGCATCCTATGGGGGGGTTCCAGTGACAAAAGGAAGACAGGGAGAAGAGATGCTGAACAGACATTAAGAAGACTTGGCCAAGACAGGCGGTTAGCCTGAGCTCAGGAGTTTGAAATCAGCCTGGGCAACAAGGTGAAACCCCGTCTCTACTAAAAATACAAAAAAATTAGCCGGCTACTCCGGAGGCTGAGGCAGGAGAATTACTTGAACCCAGGAGGCGGAGGTTGCAGTGAGCTGAAATCGCACCACTGCACTCCAGGCTGGGTGAAAGAGTGAGACTCCGTCTCCAAAAAAGAAGAAGAGTTGGCCTTGCTGTAATTATTCCCATTTCATAGGTGGCTAAGGCAGGGCATAGAGAGATTCAAGTGGTTGAGGAGTGGAGGAGGCAGACTCAAACCCAGTTACCACTACAACTTACTTACCGCCTGTGTTAGTCAGGGTTCTCCAGGGAAATAGAACCAGTAGGATAGATAGATAGATAGATAGATAGATAGATAGATAGATAGATAATTATATTAATAGATGATAGATAATAGATTGATAGATGATAGATAGATCGCCTCTTGGCCTTTTGGCTAAAATCAAGTGTAGATTGATAGATGATAGATAAGTGATAGATAATAGATGATAAATAGATGATAGGTAGATAGGTACATAAATAGATGATAGGTAGATAGATGATAAATAGATGATAGGCAGATAGAGCAATAGATTGATTTATAATAGATAAATAATAGAAATAGATTGATAGGTGATAGATTGATAGATAATAGATTAATAGATAGATGATAGATAATAGATTGATAGATCATAGATGAGATAGGTGATAGATACCAGATGATAGATAGATAGATAGATAGATAGATAGATAGATAATAAAGAGATAAATAGATGATAGGTAATGCCCGTAATCCCACCACTTTGGGAGGCTGAGATGGGCGGATCACCTGAGGTCAGGAATTCGAAAACAGCCTGGGCAACATGGTGAAACCTCATGTCTACTAAAAATACAAAAATTAGCTGGGCGTGGTGGCACATGCCTGTAGTCCCAGCTACTTGGGAGGCTGAGGCAGGAGAATCGCTTGAACCCAGAAGGCAGAGGTTGCAGTGAGGCAAGATCACACCACTGCACTCCAGCCTGAGCAATAGAGTGAGACTCCATCTCAAAAAAAAAAATCAGCGATAGGTAGACAGATAATAGGTAGGTAGGTAGGTAGATAGATAGATAGATAGACAGATAAATAGATAGATAGTTATGAACAGGAAGAGATTTATTACAGGGATTGATTCATAGGATTATGGAGGCGGAGAAGTCCCACTATCTGCCATCTGCAAGCTGGAGGCCCGAGAAAGCTGGTGATGCGGTTCCAGTACGAATCTGAAAGCCTGAGGACCAAGGGAGCCAACAGCATCTGTCCTGGTCCAAGTCAGAAGGCCCGAGATGTCCAATGGCAGGAGAAGGTGGATGTCTCAGCTGAAACAGAGAGAGAATTCATCCTCCCTCTGCCTTTTTCTTCAATTCAGACCCTCAAGGATTGGGTGATGTCCATGCATGCTGGCGAGCAAGGTTCTTCTTTACTCAGTCTATTGTTTCAAATGCTAATCCCTTCTGGAAACACCCTCCTGGAAATGTTTTACCAGCTACCTGGGCATCCCTTAGCCAGTAGATTAACTATAACACTGTCTATGTGCCGCATAATTTTCTGGCAACTGTTCTCATAAATTGTTGAAAAATTGCATTGATAAATAAAGGTAAACACAGGCTCTACTGTTCCTTGTGTTCTCTGACACAGCATCCAATCGCTGGACGTCAGGGAGTGAGTCCCAATGTTACAGGGTACAAAGAGTTCAGCAAAGAAATGCTCTCAGCTGGGAAATTTGAATATATCAAGTACCTGCATATTTGATGACATTAGGAATTATTGTTAATTTTTTTTTTTTTTTTTTGAGACAGAGTCTTGCTCTGTAGCCCAGGCTGGAGTGCAGTGGCACAATCTCAGCTCACTGCAACCTCTGCCTCCCGGGTCAAGCAATTCTCCTGCCTCCGCCTCCTGAGTAGCTGGGATTACAGGCACACACCACCACATCCAGCTCCTGACGCCGACCTTGGGCTCCCAAAGCACTGGGATTACAGGCTTGAGCCACCGCGCCCGGCCATTGTTAACTTTTAAAATGTATGATATTAGAATTGTGATTATGACCAAAGTCGAGTCTTTATTTTTTAGAGATACACACGGAAGTATCCACAGAGTGGTGTGATAGCTGAGATTTGCATCAAAGTAATCCAAGCAGCAGGAACAAGAGTGGAGGGAAAGATGAAGCAGGATTGCCCCTAAATTGCTAATTGTCAATATCTTTTTTATGTTTTTATTTTTCTTTTAGAGACGGGATCTTGCTTTGTTGCCCAGGCTGGAATGCAGTGGTGGGATCATAGCTCATTGCAGCTTCCAACTTCTGGGCTCAAGTGATCCCCATCCTGCTTCAGCCTCCTGAGTAGCTGAGACTACAGGTGTGTGCCACCATGCCCAGCTGATTTTTTTTTTTTTTTGGATGGTGTGCACCCAGGTTGGAGTGCAGTGGCGCAATCTTGGCTCACTGCAACCTCTGCCTCCCAGGCTCAAGTGATCCTCCTGCCTCAGCCTCCCAAGTAGCTAGGACCACAGACGTGTGCGACCACACCTGGCTAATTTTTGTATCTTTGGTAGAGATGGGGTTTTACTATGTTGCCCAGGCTGGTCTCAAACTCCTGAGCTCAAGTAATCCAGCTGTCTCGACCTCCTAAAGTGCTGTGATTACAGGCGTGAGCCACCGTGCCTGGCCCACCCAGATAATTTTTAAATTTTTTGTAGAGACAGGGTCTTGCCATGTTGCCCAGGCTGGTCTTTAACCCCTGGGCTCAAATTATCCTCCTGCCTCAACCTACCAAAGCAGTGGGATTGCAGATATGAGCCACTGTGCCCACTTGAGCTGATAATTGTAGAAACCAGATAATGGACAAGGGAGATGATGATACTATTTTCTCTCCTTTTGTATGTTAGATTTTTTCATAATGAAATAATAATAATCAATAAAGGAAAGCTCCTGCTATAATTTTTCCTTTTTCTTTCTTTCTTTCTTTTTTTTTTTTTTTTTTTTTTTTTGAGACAGAGTCTTGCTCTGTCACCCAGGCTGGAGTGCAGTGGCATGATCTTGGCTCACTGCCACCTCTGTCTCCCAGGTTCAAACAATTCTCCTGCCTCAGCCTCCCAAGTAGCTGGGATTACAGGCACGTGCCACCACACCTGGCTAATTTTTGTGTTTTTAGTAGAGATGTGTTTCACTATGTTGGTCAGACTGGTCTGGAACTCCTGACCTCAAATGATCCACCCACCTCGGCCTCCCAAAATGCTGGGATTACAGGCCTGAGCCGCCACATCCAGCCTTATTTTTCTATTTAAGTCTGTAAAGCTGACTTCTCCATAAAAGGCATTCTAATTCATATCTATTGATAGAAAACCACAGTTAACAATCTATACACCATGGATGAAATTAGAAGCAGGTGAATTAAAGCTATCCAGTCATGAACTGCTTTCACTCTTGCTCAGAGTTCATCTTGATGGCTTCCTAATTCCCAGAAGACTGTCAGATGAGGCAGAGAACAATATCTCCCAAAAGTTTTTGTGGTATCTGAAGAAAGTGACTCATTGGAAACTCAAAGTCAGGGCCTGTGCGTTACTTATAATGATAGTTAACTCTTACATAACAGTGACTGCATGCCAACCTCTCTTGTTAGCACTTGACAAATATTAACCCATTTAATTTTTATCAATCTCAGGAAATACGTACAATTATTAAGCCTATTTTACAGATGAGGAAACAAAAGCATAGAGCGTTTAAATGACTCATCCAAGGTCTCACAGCGAGTAAGAGGTGGGGCCGGGATTTGAACGCAGGCAAACAGATTCCATGTCTACATTCTTCATGATGATTTTGACCACCTCCATATTATTTTGGTAATGCATCTCTGGCAGTTTACTGAGTATCAGATAACAGCGAATTGGGGGAAGGTTGGGGAAAGCAGTTAAGATCAGTGTTCATTCTGTGCCAACCTAAAGTATTCCTAGAAATAGCAGATAACTGAGGCCGGGCGCAGTGGCTCACACCTGTAACCCCAGCATTTTCGGAGGCTGAGGCGGGTGGATTACTTGAGGTCAGGAGTTGGAGACCAGCCTGGTCAACATAGTGAAACCCTCATCTTTACTAAAAATACAAAAATTAGCTGGGTGTGGTGGCCGGTGCCTGCAGTCCCAGCTACTCGGGAGGCTGAGGCAGGAGAATCACTGGAACCTGGGAGGCGGAGGTTGCAGTGAGCTGAGATCGCACCACTGCACTCCAGCCTGGGGGACTAAGCGAGACTCTGTCTCAAAAAAAAAAAAAAGAAAAGAAATAACAGAAAATTTACATTATGTGTCTCCCCTAGGAAAGCTATAATAAAATAGCCACCATTTAGGAAACTGCTGCTGTGAATAAGCTGCTGTGCTCACAGAAAAATACACTATGATAATCTCAGTTGCATCAATAAATATTCTATGTACCAGGCTCTATTCTAGATACTGAGGATACAGCCCTGAAAAGACCAACATGATTTAAACCCACGTGGAGCTTCTTGGGACCTACATTAACCACATAGTGGGGCAGAAGAGACGCTGCACACGTCTAGAGCTTATACCTTGAAAAACTTTGCAGCTTCCATTTTCACTCTTTTGGAACTCTGCCCCAAGACCACCACACCAGAAGAAACTCTGAAAGAAAACCCACAGAATGAGAGAGACTTAGCCACCTGGCTGTCCCGGCTGAGCCTTCAGCCACGTGCAGCTTCATGAGCAAACCCAGGTGAGACCAACAGAAGGGCCATGCAACCACCCAAAGACTCATAAGAAATAATAGGCCAGGCCCAGCGGCTGACGCCAGGAATCCCAGCACTTTTGGAGGCTGAGATGGGCAGATCCCTTGAGTCCAGGCCTGTAATCCCAGCACTTTGGCAGGTCGAGGCAGGCAGATCACTTGAGGTCAGGAGTTTAAGACCAGCCTGGCTAACAAGGTGAAAGCTCGTCTCTAATAAAAATACAAAAATTAGCCAGGCATGATGCTGCATGCCTGTTATCTCGGCTCCTTGGGAGGCTGAGGCAGGAAAGTCACTTGAACCTGGGAGGCGGAGGTTGCAGGGAGCTGAGATGGTGCCACTGCACTCCAGCCTGGGTGACAGAACAAGATGCCATCTCAGGGGTTGGGGGGAGATCCCTTGAATCCAGGAGTTGAAGACAGCCTGAGCAACATGGTGAAACCCCGCCTCTACAAAAAATTAGTCAGGCATGGTGGTACAGGCCTGTAGCCCCAGCTACTCGGGAGGCTAAGGTGGGAGGATCACTTGAGACTGGGAAGTGGAGGTTGCAGTGAGTTGAGATCACACCACTGCCCTCCAGCCTGGGTGACAGACACCCCATCTCAAAAAATAAATAAATAAATAGTGGACATTTATTGTATCAAACAAATTCCCAATACATCATTCAGTGTCCAACTTGGGGTGGGGGTGTGTTTTTTTGGGGGGAACCTAATTTATCTCAGATCATAGAGATTCAAACCAAGATCAGAAGAGCTGGTGGTTGGTTGTTGTTTCTGAAAACTCATAGCTAGACCCTCAAAAGTTAATAAATGCAACAGGATTTAAAACTCAGCTTTGTTTGTCTTGGTGTGTTACGAAAGAACACAAGAAAAAAATTGCATTTCACCACTCCTGTGGCTTAAGAAGAAAGCGACCAAACAAGTCAATTAACCTGTAAGTGAGGGCCCAGTCATGTGGTGGAGAGACTCTCCTGCCGCACACAATCACTTACAGAGGAGCGGAGTCAATAACAGCCAAAGATTTCACCTGATAATTGTCAAAATGTTTAAATACACCATTACAGTGTGCAAACAGGACTTTATCTTCAGCTCCAAGCACATCAAAACCACTGGTTTAATTCCAGCAGCTTATGCTTTCAAAGGAGTATTGAGTGAAGGCATACAGGGATGGGCTGAAATCCACACCTTCCCCCAGGCAGATCAACAAACCTTTTCGCTGGGCTGAGTCCAGCTTCTGAACTTTTGTACAAAATCTCTAACACCCACTGTCACAAAAAACTGAAGACCTGTCTTAGGACCAGGGATGGATCCAGGTTTTGTGGTACCTGAAGCTTAGACAATTTGGGGGAGCCTTCTTTAAAACAAATACAAAATTTAAGTACAAAATTAGGTATAAAAGTGAATGTTTAGGCCAGGTGTAGTGGCTCATGCCTATAATCCCAGAACTTTGGGAGGCCGAGGTGGAAAGACTGCTTGAGGCCAGGGGTTCGAGATTAGCCTGGGCAACATGTGAGACCCTGTCTCTACAAAAGATTTTTTAAAATTAGCCAGGTGTGGTGGCATGTGCCTATAGTCCTAGCTACTCGGGAGCTGAGGCAGGAGGATTGCTTGAGCCCAGAAGGTTGACACTGCAGGGAGCCGTGATTGCACCACTGCATTCCAGCTTGGGAGACAGAGCGAGTCCCTGTTTCCTGTTTCAAAAACATAAATAAAAAAGAAGAAGAAGAAAGAAAAGTAGAAGAAGAAGAAGGAAGAAGAAGGAGGAGGAGGAGAGGAAGAGGAGGAGGAGAAGGAAAAAGGTGAATATTTAAAGTGAGAACAGGGCCAGATGCAGTGGCTCACACCTGTCATCCCAGCACTTGGGGAGGCCGAAGCAGGCAGATAGCTTGAGCTCAGGAGTTCGAGACCAGCCTGGCCAACATGGTAAAACCCTGTCTCTACTAAAAATATACACACACAAAAAATTTAGCCAAGTGTGGCGGTGTGCACCTGTAGTCCCAGCTACTTATGGGGGGCTGCGGTGGGAGGATCACTTGAGCCCGGTAGGTTGAGGCTGCAGTGAGCCAAGATCATGCTACTGGACTCCAGCCTGAGTGACA
The DNA here is from genome assembly GCF_000001405.40 of Homo sapiens. Lineage (NCBI taxonomy): Eukaryota > Metazoa > Chordata > Mammalia > Primates > Hominidae > Homo > Homo sapiens. The sequence continues at coordinate 47,454,300 of NC_000020.11, read as the reverse complement.
AAGTGAGATCCTGTCTCAAAAAAATAAATAAAATAAAATGAGAAATCACAAAAAAGTCATGGGGCTGTGTTAGCCAGACTCCAAAATGCCCTCCAGTGATCCAATGATCCTTTGCCTCCTGGTGTGCCCACCTTGTGCAGTGCCCTCCTCTATTGCACCAGGGTGGTCTGTGTGACCCGTAAAATTAGGCAGAAGTGATGGTGCATCATGACAATACTGCTTCTGTCTTGGTTCTTTCTCTCTCTCTCTCTTTTTTTTTTTTTTTTTTTTTGAGATGGAGTCTCACTCTGTTGCCCAGACTGAAGTGCAGTGGCACCATCTTGGCTCACTGCAACCTCTACCTTCTAGGTTCAAGTGCTTCTCGTGCCTCAGCCTCCTGGGTAGCTGTGATTACAGCGTGCACCACCACACCTGGCTAATTTTTGTATTTTTAGTAGAGATGGGGTTCACCATGTTGGCCAGGGTGGTCTCAAACTCTTGACCTCCAGTGATCTGCTCGCTTCAGCCTCCCAAAGTGCTGGGATTACAGTTGTGAGCCACCACACCCAGCCCCTCTCTCTTTCTTAAAACTTCTCTCTTGGTTTCTCTCTCTCTCTCACTTAGTGAGGGAGCCAGCTTCCATGTCATGAGGGACTGAAACCTTCTGACCACAACCACATGAACAAGCTCAGAAACAAATCATCTGGCCCCAAAGAGGCTTCCAGCCTCTGCAGCCCAGCCAACAGCATGACTGTAAACAGGGCAGATACCCTGAGGCAGAACCACCCAGCAAAGCCACTCCTGGATTCCTGACCCACAGAAACTGTGAGATAAATGTTTTATTGGTTTAAGCTGCTAAATTTTGAAGCAATTTGTTACACAGCAATAGATAGCTAATACAGAGGCCTTCAGAGACTCATGTTCCTGTCTTCTGGGATGGTTTTAGGTCATTATTTATTTACTTACTTACTTATTTTTCTAGACGGGGTCTTGCTCTGTCTCCCAGGCTGGAATGCAGTGACTCAATCATGGCTCACTGCAGCCTCCTGAGCCTCCCGGGCTCAGGAGATCCTCCCACCCCAGTTTCCTGGGCAGCTGGGACTACAGGCGTGTGCCACTGAGCCCAGCTTTAAGTAATTTTCCAGAAGCGTTCACATACAAATGCTTTCTCTTTGCAGCCTGGATTCCATCCCCACTGAAAACTCCTTCCAATGCCCAGCACTACTGAATCTCTGCTTCCTAAAGGTGTGTGGAACACTGAGTAGGAACTCAAGCTATATTTGCTGAATACATGGATATACAAGAGCCTTGCAAGAGCAATATTTCATCCTTATTTTATAGATCAGGAAATGGAAACTCAGAGACATTAAGTAACTAGCTTAAGATCACACAGCTAGAGACCGACTAAGTCTTAATTCCTCAATGGAAAGTTTTTAGAACCTGTAGTGTCAATTTCTTTGATGCTTTCCATAGTACCAAGTACATACTAAATGCTTAATGCAGATTGACTGAAAGAGTTAATGGTGTGAGATGGGTGTGGTGGCTCACACCTGTAATCCCAGCACTTTGAGAGATTGGGTGGTTGGATGGCTTGAGCCTAGGAGTTCAAGAACAGCCTGGGCAACATACTAAGACCCCGTTTCTGCTAAATGATGTGGTGGCTTACGCTGCACCTATGGTCCCAGCTACTTGGGAGGCTGAGGTGGGAGGATCACTTAAGCCAGGTAGGTCAAGGCTGAGGTTAGCTGTGATCGTGCCACTCACCTCTAGCCTGAGTAACAGAGTGAGACCCTGTCTCTAAAAAAAAAAAAAAAAAAAAAAGTTAAGTTAATGGCATAGCAGGTCTTTATCTAGTTAGGTAAATGTCTCTTTAATATAGAAACAAGAGGCCGGGCATGGTGGCTCAAGCCTGTAATCCCAGCACCTTGGGAGGCCAAGGCGGGCGGATCACTTGAGGCCAGGAGTTGGAGACCAGCCTGGCCAACATGGCAAAACCCTGTCTCTACTAAAAATAAAAAAAATTAGCCAAGCATAATGGCACGCATCTGTAGTCCCAGCTGCTTGGGAGGCTGAGGCAGGAGAATTGCTTGAACCCAGGAGGTGGAGGTTGCAGTGAGCCAAGATCGCACCACTGCACTCCAGCCTGGGTGACAAAGCAAGACTCCGTCTCAGAAAAAAAAATAATAAAAAAAAAATATACACACATATATATACACATATATACATATATATATATAAAAACAGGAACCATGGTGGGGTGGTGGCGGGGGCAGAGAAAACAATGTGTTATTATACTTTCTTCCTCACAAACAGTAATGGAGCAGTGGCAGTATTTTATGAAAAAAAACGGACAAAACCACTTCAAAAGTGTCCAGACACTAAAATTTAAAATAATAAAGGGTTTGTATTTCGTTTCATGAACAATATTAAAAAGTTAATTTTGTTGGTTTTAAAAGCCTATGTAAAACCAATTAATTTGTGGTTCATGTCCCCCTCTTTTGAACAGTAACAACATCTCCAGATTGACGCACACAGTTAGGGGTCTAACCACCCAAGAGTAATCATGGGCAATCCTGGGATGGCACTTTCTTCCCTTCAAGTGGTCACTGGAGTTGGCCAAGGTCAAAAGTTAACCAAGTGTTCCAGCAGCCTGGGGGTTGTGGTGAATTACGTGAGTGCCCTGCTTTCCTTTGAACCCTCCGATTCTCTGCAATTGCAATAATTTAGGGGTGCGGATATTCTAATTAGGCCATGTGAAATTTAATTTCATAGTGGTGAAATTTGCAAGGTCTTCTAAATGTGCACGGAATAAACATGGAGCCTTTGAAAATTCATGGACTTGTTGGCTGAGTTGTTATTCACAAAAGTCTCTTCAACTCCAAGCACAAAGTCTGGGACATATTAGGTGGTCAATAAATTAATAAAGCTGACGTGAATGGGAGTTAATTGGACATCTAAATGAGAATGGATCACTCAGTATTTCCACAAATTCCATCTCTTTTATCAACAAGGCCTCTGGACTCTGTGCTGTCTGATCACAAGGATTTCATTCTCCTCTTTGCCTAGGAGAGTCAATATCTATTGATTTAACCTCTGAATATCTGTTCCCCTCTTCTCTGGAAACAAGTCCTTAATTTCTTTCTAGGATTCTATCCCTCCCATCCCTAATCCGTGTGTTTTTTTTGTTTCGGTTTGGTTTTGAAGACAGGGTCTAGCTCTTCCGCCCAGGCAGGAGTGCAGTGGCACAATCATAGTTCACTGCAGCCTTGAACTACCCAGTTCAAGCAATCCTCCCCCCTCAGCTTCCTGAGTAGCTGGGACTACAGGCACATGCCACCACACCTGGTTAATTAATTTATTTTTATTTTTTCTTTTTTAGAAACAGGGTCTTACTATGTTGCCCAAGCTGGTCTCAAACTCCTGGGCTCAAACAGTCTGCTTGGCTCAGCCTCCCAAAGTGTTGAGATTACCGGCATGAGCCACCAAACCTGGCCTCCATGTGTTTTGGAGGGCTGATTCCACTCCTGGCTCCAGAGATGAGCATGCACCTGAACATGACTAACCAGTGTGCTCAATTCCTCTGGCCACATTCATTAGAACAGAGAGAGTCATATGACCTAAGTTGATCCATTCAGGGCCAATCCCCCTCTCCTTTTAAAAAGTAGACTATAGGCAAGGCACAGGGGCTCACGCCTATAATCCCAGCATTTCGGGAGGCTGAGGTGGGTGGATCACCTGAGGTCAGGAGTTCGAGACCAGCCTGGCCAACGTGGCAAAACCCCATCTCTACTAAAAGTACAAATAAATTAGCCGGGCGTGGGGGTGGGTGCCTGTAATCCCAGCTACTCAGGAGGCTGAGGCAGGAGAATCACTTGAACCCAGGAGGTAGAGGTTGCAATGAGCCGAGCTTGTGCCACTGTACTCCAGCCTGGGCAACAAGAGCAAAACTCTGTCTCAAAAAATAAATTAATTAATTAAAATTAAAATTTAAGCTGGGCGCGGTGGCTCACGTCTGTAATCCCAGCGCTTTGGGAGGCCGAGGCAGGCAGATCACAAGGTCAGGAGATCAAGACCATCCTGGCTAACATGGTGAAACCCCGTCTCTACTAAAAATACAAAAAATTAGCCGGGCATAGTGGCTGGCACCTGTGGTCCCGGCTACTCGGGAGGCTGAGGCAGGAGAATGGTGTGAACCCGGGAGGCGGAGCTTGCAGTGAGCTGAGATCGCACCACTGCCCTCCAGCCTGGGCAACAGAGTGAGACTCCGTCTCAAAAAAAATAAAATAAAAATAAAAATAATTAAATTTAAAAATAGACTATAATATACAGCAGTTTTAGAGTGACAGCAAAATTGAAGGCAAAACACAGAGCTGGTTGTGCATGGTGGCTCATGCCTATAATTGCAACACTTTTGGAGACCAGGTAAAAGGATCTTTGGGAGCCAGGAGTTCAAGACCAGCCTGGGCAACATGGGGATGCCCTGCCTCTAAAAAATAGAAAAATTAGATGAGCGTGGTGGCTCATGTCTGCAGTCCCAGCTATTTGGGAGGTGACTGAGGTGGGAGAATCCCTTGAACTTGGGAGTTTGAGGCTGCAGCAAGCTATGATCACACCACTGTATTCCAGCCTGGGCCACAGAGCAAGACCTGTCTCTAAAAAAAACAATATGGGCTGGGCGCCATGGCTCACATCTGTAATCTCAGCACTTTGGGAGGCAGAGGCAGGTGGATCATTTGAGGTCAGGAGTTCAAGACCAGCCTGGCCAACATGGTGAAACCCCGTCTTTACTAAAAATACAAAAATTAGCCAGGTGTGGTGATGCATGCCTATAGTCCCAGTTACTGGAGAGGCTGAGGCAGGAGAATCGCTTGAGCCTGGGAGGCGGAGGTTGCAGTGAACAGAGATTGTGCCATTGTCCTCCAGTCTGGGTGACAGAGTGAGATCCTGTCTCAAATAAATAAATAAATAGACTGGGTGCCATGGCTCACGCCTGTAATCCCAGCCCTTGGGAGGGTGAAGCAGGTGGATCACCTGAGGTTGGGAGTTCGAGACCAGCCTGGCCAACATGGTGAAACCCCGTCTCTACTAAAAATACAAAAATTAGCTGGGCATGGTGGTGGGCACCTGTAATCCCAGCCACTCGGGAGGCTGAGGCAGAAGAATCGCTTGAACCTGGGAGGCAGAGGTTACAGTGAGCAGAGATCATGCCACTGCACTCGAGCCTGGACAACAAAGTGAGACTCCATCACAAAATAAATAAATAAATAAATAAATAAATAAATAAATAAATAAAATAAAAAATATGGAGAGTTCCCATATACCCAGTCTCTTCACATGCACAGCCTCCCTGATTATCAACATCCTGCACCAGAGTGGTATATTTGTTAAAATTGATGAACCCTCATGACCCCTCATTATGAATCAACGTCCATAGTTTACATTAGGGTTCACTCTTGGTATTATGCAGTTCTATGGGTTTTGACCAATGTATAGTAAAATGTAAGCACATTATGGTATCAGACAGAATGATTTCATTGCCCTAAAAATCCTCGGTGTACCACCTACATCTCCTCCTTCCTAACCCCTGGAAACTGCTGATATTTTGACTGTCTCCATAGTTTTGCCTTTTCCGGAATGTCATATAATTGGAATCATACAGTTTGTAGTCTTTCCACATTGGCTTATTTTCATTTGATAATAAGTATTTTAGGTTTGCTATGGCTTAAATACAGTTTGTCCCCACTCAAATTTATGTCGTGACTTTGTCCCAATGAGGTAGTGTTGGTAGGTGGTGCCTTTAAGGGGTGATTAGGTCATTAAGATGTATTAAGGTCTTTCTCATTCCCTTGAGTTCTCGATCCCATGGGATTGGATTCATCAGCTCCAAAGCAGGTTGTTATAAAGCAAGACTGCAGGCTGGGCATGGTGGCTCACGCCTGTAATCCCAGAACTTTGGGAGACCGAGGCGGGTGGATCACCTGAGGTTGAGAGTTCGAGACCAGCCTGACCAACATGGTGAAACCCCGTCTCTACTAAAAATACAAAATTAGCCGGGTGTGGTGGCGCACGCCTGTAATCCCAGCTACTCAGGAAGCAGGAGAATTGCTTGAACCTGGGAGGTAGAGGTTGTAGTGAGCCGAGGTTGTGCCATTGCACTCTACCCTGGGCAACAAGAGTGAAACTCCATCTCAAAAAAAAAAAAGCGAGACTGCTTCTTGTGTTGGTCACTTTGCACATGTCTGCTTCCTCTTCTGTATCATGTTATGACATAGCACAAGACCCTCACTAGAAGCTCAATTTTTCTTTGTTCATTCTTTTTTTTTGTTTGGTTTTGTTTTTTTGAGTCGGAGTCTCGCTCTGTTGCACAGGCTGGAGTGCAGTGGCATGATCTCGGCTCACTGCAACCTCTGCCTCCCAGGTTCAAGCAATTCTCCTGCCTCAGCCTCCCAAGTAGCTTGGATTACAGGCACGCACCACCACACCTGGCTACTTTTTGTATTTTTAGTAGAGATGGTGTTTTGCCATGTTGGCCAGGATGGTCTTGAACTCCTGACCTCACGTGATCTGCCCGCCTTGGCCTTCCAAAGTCCTGGGATTACAGGCATGAGCCACCGCGCCCAGCCCATTCATTCGTTTTTGAGACAGGGTCTCACTCTTTCACCTGGGCTGGAATGCAGTGCCATGATCACAGCTCACTGTAGCCTTGACCTCCTGGGCTCAAGCAATCCTCCCACCTCAGCTTCCTGAGTAGCTGGGACTACAGGCATGCACTACAATGTCCAGCTAATTTTTAAATTTTTTGGTAGAGATGGGGTCTCACTATGTTGCCCAGGCTGGTCTTGAACTCGTGGGCTCAAGCAATCCTCCCACCTTGGCCTCCCAAAGTGTTAGAATTAAAGGCATGAGCCACCATGGTCAGCCTGCTTGTTTTTTACAGACAGGATCTTCCTCTGTTACCCAGGCTGGAATGCAGTGGCACTGTCACAGCTCACTGCAGCCTCAAACTCCTGGGCTCAAGCCATCCTCCCTCCTCAGCCTCCCCAGTAGCTGAGACTGCAGGCCACCATGTCCACCTAATTTTTATTTTTATTTGTATTTATTTTATTTATTTATTTATTTATTTTTGAGATGGAGTCTCACTCTGTTGCCCAGGCTGGAGTACAGTGGTGTGATCTCAGCTCACTGCAACCTGTGTCTCCCAGGTTCAAGCGATTCTCCTGCCTCAGCCTCCCCAGTAGCTGGGATTACAGGCGTGTGCCACAACACCCAGCTAATTTATTTGTATTTTTAGTAGAGGTGGGGTTTCACCATGTTAGCCAGGCTGGTCTCAAACTCCTGACCTCAAATGATCCACCTGCCTCGGCCTCCCAAATTGCTGGGATTACAGGCATGAGCCACCATGCTCAGCCATTTTATTTATTTTGAGATGGAGTTTCACTCTTGTCACCCAGGCTGGAGTGCAGTGGTGAAATCTCAGCTCACTGCAACCTCTGCCTCCCAGTTACAAGCAATTCTCCTGCCTCAGCCTCCAGAGTAGCTGGGACTATAGGTGCGTACCACCATGCCTGGCTAATTCTTTTTTTTTTTTTCAGACCCAGTTTCACTCTGTTGCCCAGGCTGGATGGAGTGCAATGGCATGATTGGAGCTCACTGCAACCTCCGCCTCCCGGGTTCAAGCGATTCTCCTGCTTCAGCCTCCCTAGTAGCTGGGATTACAGGTGCGTGCCACCACATCCAGCTAATTTTTGTATTTTTAGTAGAGACAGGGTTTTACCGTGTTGGTCTTGAACTCCTGATCTCAGGCGTTCAAGTGCTCGAATTGAACGAGCCTCCCAAAGTGCTCCCAAAGTGCTGGAATTATAGGCATGAGCCACCATGCCCGGCCTAATTTTTGTATTTTTAGTGGAGACGGGGTTTCACCATATTGGCCAAGATGTTCTCCATCTCCTGACCTTGTGATCCGCTCACCTCAGCCTCCCAAAGTGCTGGGATTACAGGTGTGAGCCACTGCACCTGGCCCATTTTATTTTTATTTTTGTAGAGAAGAGGTCTCCCTATCTTGTCCAGGCTGGTCTCAAATTCCTGGCCTTCAGTGATCCTCCTGTCTCAGCCTCCTGAAGTAGTGGGATTATAGGTGTAAGCTACAAGCCCGACCAGAAGCTCAGTTTTTAAAAGCTGAATCCCATATCCTGCAGATCTTAGACAACCCCACCTCCAGAATCTTGAGCTAAATAAACCTCTCTCCTTTATAAATTACCTAGTCTCTAGTATTCTGTTATAGTAACAGAAAACAGACTAAGGCAAGGTTTCTCCACACCTCTTTATGTTTTGGCGACTTATTTCATTTTAGCACTAAATAATATTCTTTTTTTTTTTTTTGAGACAGAGTCTTGCTCTGTCATCCAGGCTGGAGTTTAGTGGTGCAATCTTGGTTCACGGCAACCTCTGCCTCCTGGGTTCAAGCAATTCTCCCACCTCAGCCTCCTGAGTAGCTGGGATTACGGGTGTGTGCTACCATGCCCGGCTATTTTTTTTTTTTTTTTTTTCTAATAGAGATGGGTTTTCGCCATGTTGGCCAGGCTGGTCATGAACTACTGGCTTCAAGTGATCCGCCAGCCTCGGCCTCCCAAAGTGCTGGGATTATAGGCATGAGCCACTGCGCCCGGCCAGCACTGAATAATATTCTACTGTCTGGACGTACCACAGTTTATCCATTCACTTACTGAAGGACAGCTTGGTTGCTTCCAAGTTTGGCAATTACGAATACATCTGTTATAAACATTTGTGTGCGAGTGTTTGTGTGGATGTAAGTTTCCGATTCACTTGGGTTAAATGCCAAGGAGTGCAATTGCTGGATCATGTAGGAAGAGCATTTCAGTTTTAGAAGAAACTATCAGACTGTCTTCCGAGGTAGCTGTGCCATTTTGCATTTCCACAGCAATGAATGAGAGCTCCTGTTGCTCAACATCTTGACCAGCATTTGGTGTTGTCATTTTTAAAAATTTTAGTCATTAGCCATTCGGCCAGGCATGGTGGCTCACACCTGTAACCTCAGCACTTTGGGAGGCTGAGGTGGGAGGATCATGAGTTCAGGAGATCGAGACTATCCTGGCCAACATGGTGAAAACCCGTTTCTACTAAAAATACAAAAATTAGCCAGGCATGGTGGCACTTGCCTGTAATCCCAGCTACTTGGGAGGCTGAGGCAGGAGAATCGTTTGAACCCGCGAGACAGAGGTGGCAGTGAGCCGAGATATCACCATTGCACTCCAGCCTGGGCGACAGAGCGACAGAGCGAGACTCCGCCTCAAAAAAAAAAAAAAAAGAAAGAAAAGAAAAGAAAAGAAAAAATTTTAGCCATCCTAGGCCAGGCACAGTGGCTCATGCCTGTAATCTCAGCACTTTGGGAGGCTGAGGCCAGCGGATTACTTGAGCCCAGGAGTTTGAGACCAGCCTGGGCAACATAGGGAGACTCCCATCTCTACAAAAAATTTAAAAATTAGCCAGGCAGGGTGGCGTGCACCTGTAGTCCCAGCTATTCAGAAGGCTGAGGTGGGAAGATCCCTTGAACCCAGCAAGTCAAGGCTGCAGTGATCAGTGATCACGTCACTGTCCTCCAGCCCGGGTGGCAGAATGAGACCTTGTCTCAAAACAAAGAAAAAAAAATTTAGCTGTTATCTAATAGGTGAGTAGTGGTACCTCATTTTTTTAATTTGCAATTCCCTAATGACATATGACATTAAGCACTTTTTTATGTGCTTATTTGCCATCTGTATATACATATATTTTTTGAGAGAGTCTTGCTATGTGTGTGTATATATATATATATATATATATTTTTTTTTTTTTTTTTGAGACAGAGTCTTGCTCTGTCGTCCAGGCTGGAGTACAGTGGCACAATCTTGGCTCACTGCAACCTCTGCCTCCCGGGTTCAAGTGATTCTCCTCCCTCAGCCTCCCGAGTAGCTGGGATTACAGGCACCTGCCACCGCACCCAGCTAATTTTTGTAGTTTTAGTAGAGACGGGGTTTCACCATCTTGGCCAGGCTGGTCTTGAACTCCTGACCTCATGATCCACCCACCTCGGCCTCCCAAAGTGCTAGGATTACAGGCATGAGCCACCATGCCCGGCCGTGTATATCTTCTTTGGTAAGGTATCTGTTCAGAGTTTTTTGCCCATTTATTTTTTAATTTTAATTTTCTTTTTCTTTTTTTTTTTTTTTTTATTTGAGACGTAGTTTCACTCTTGTTGCCCAGGCTGGAGTACAATAGCAGGATCGCGGCTCACTGCAACCTCTGCCTCTCGGGTTCAAGCGGTTCTCCTGCCTCAGCCTCCCGAGTAGCCGGGATTACAAATGTGTGCCATCATGCCCAGCTAATTTTGTATTTTTAGTAGAGACAGCGTTTGTCCATGTTGGTCAGGCTGGTCTCGAACTCCCTACCTCAGGTGATCCACCTGCCTCGGCCTCCCAAAGTTCTGGGATTACAGGCGTGAGCCACTGTGCCAGGCCTTTAATTTTTTTTTAATTTATTTTTGAGACAGGGTCTCACTCTATCACCCAGGGTGGAGTGTAGTGTGATTTCGGTACACTACAACCTCTACCTTCCTGGCTCAAGCAATCCTCCTACCTTAGCCCCGCCAAGTAGCTGGGACTACAGGGCCGTGCCTTCACACTCAGCTAATTTTTTGTATTTTTTGTAGAAATAGGGTTTTGCCATGTTGCCTAGGCTGGTCTCGAACTCCTGGGCTCAAGCAATCCACCCATCTCAGCCTCCCAAAGTGCTGGATTTACAGGCATGAGTCACCACCTCTGGCTTTTTTTTTTTGAGGCGAGGTCTCACTCTGTTGCCCAGGCTGGAGTGCAGTGGTGTGTTCTTGGCTCACTGCAACCTCTGCTGCCCAGGTTCAAGCGATTCTCCGGCCTTAGCCTCCTGAGTAGCTGGGATTACAGGCACCTGCCACCATGCCCGCCTAATTATTGTAGTTTTAGTAGAGATGGGGCTTCACCATCTTGGCCAGGCTGGTCTTGAACTCCTGACCTCATGATCCACCTGCCTCAGCCTCCCAAAGTGCTGGGATTATAGGCATGAGCCACCACGCCTGGCCTTGCTCATTTTTTAATCAGGTCGTTCACGTTCGTGTTTTTTTAAACGAGTCAGCATCGTGCTATATTGCCCAAACTGGAGTGCAGTGGCTATTCACAGTCAGGATCATAGCACATTACAATCTTGAACTCCTGGGCTCAAGTGATTCTTTTAGCTTAGCCTCCTGAATAGACTACAGGCATATGCCACCATGCCCAGCTCTATTTTCAGATTGTTGAGTTACGTGTTTTTTTATTTTTATTTTTATTTAATTAATTAATTTTTTTTTTTTTTGAGACGGAGTCTCGCTCTGTTGCCCAGGTTGGAGTGCAATGGCGCCATCTCGGCTCACTGCAACCTCTGCCTCCTGGGTTCAAACCGTTCTCCTACCTCAGCCTCCTGAGTAGCTGGAATTATGGCATGCACCACCACGCCTGGCTAATTTTTATATTGTTGGTAGAGACTGGGTTTCGCCGTATTGGCCAGGCTGGTCTCGAACTCCTGACCTCAGGCGATCCACCTGCCTCAGCCTCCAAAGTGCTGGAATTACAGGCAAGAGCCACTGTGCCCAGCCGGATTGTTGTGTTATTTGGATAAAAGACCTTTATCAAGATATGTTTTTGCAGATGTTTCTCTCAGTCTGTGGCTTGTCCTCTCTTTCTCGTGACAATCCCTAAACTTTTGTTGCACCATCCAGGAAAGCGGCATTCTCCCTGCTGAGGGTGCTGAGAGGTGGGATGAAAGTCCAGAGCTGCTGGCAGCCATCTTGGAATCACAGGAATGGGGCTGACTGAGAATGGAGTCAAGAAAGAAATGGGGCCTGTAATCCCAGCACTTTGGGAGGCCGAGGCAGGTGGATCACAACGTCAGGAGACCAACCTGGCTAACACGGTGAAACCCCGTCTCTACTAAAAATACAAAAAATTAGCCGGGCGAGGTGGTGGGCGCCTGTAGTCCCAGCTACTTGGAAGGCTGAGGCAGGAGAATGGCGTGAACCCCAGAGGCGGAGCTTGCAGTGAGCCGAGATCGCACCACTGCACTCCAGCCTGGGCGACAGAGCAAGACTCCATCTCAAAAAAAAAAAAAAAAAAAAAAAAGAGAGAAAGAAAGAAATGGGGCCTGTAATCCCAGCACTTGGGGAGGCCATGGCTGGAGGCTTGCTTAAGCCCAGCCGTTTGAGACCAGCCTGGGCAACACGGCAAGACACCATCCCTAAAAAAGTTAGCTGGGCATGGTGGCGCACACCTATAGTCTCAGCTACTTGGGAGGCTGAAATGGGAGGATTGCTTAAGCCTAGAGAGGTGGAGGCTGCAGTGATTCATAATTGCAGCACTGCACTGCAGCCTGGGTGAAAGAGCCAGACCCTGTCTGGAAAAAAAAAAAAAAAAGGAAGAAAGAAAGGGAGAGAGAGAGACAGGGAGAGAAAAGAAAGACGAGAGGAGAGGGGAGGGGAGAGAAGAGGAGGGGAAGGGAGGGAAGATGGTTCACAGACCCAAAATCCCACAAATGGCTCAAAATCTACAAAAATAAGATCAGCTCTTATCAGAAATGAATTTACAACTATGAAGTGACACTACTTTTTCACCTGTCAGATAGGCTAAATGAAAAAATAACTGATAATACAACATGTGGCCAGGGTGTGAGGAACATGGCACTGTCAATCAGACTCAACTTTGGATATAGTAACAGAGACAGGACAGATTGGTGGCTTCAATGAGATAAAAGTTTATTTCTCTTCTCATGTAAAAGAAGTCTATAGATTAGTTCTCCAAGGCTGGCATGGTGGGTCCTCTTTCCCCAGAAACCTTGTTTCTGTCTGTCTGCTTCCATTCTTAAATCCACATGACTCAAGATAGTGGCTGGAATGCCATCCATCAAATCTGCATTCCTGGCAGCAGGAAGCGGGAAGGGAGAAAAGGGTGCACCCTTTCCTTTCTGGGAGCCTCCACTCATGTCAACTTACATCTCATTGGCCAGAACTTAGACATATGACTAAGCTATAAAGTGACACTACTTTTTCATCTATACCTAACTGCAAAGGAAACCGGGAAATTTAACCTTTATTCTAAGTTCTAGGTGGCAACGTGCTAGAATAAAAATTGGAATCTGGCCAAGCACAGTGGCTCATGCCTATCATTCCAGCCCTTTGGGAGGCTGAGACAAGAGGACCACTTGAGTCCAGGAGTTCAAGAACAGCCTGGGCAGCATAGTGAGACCGTTTCTACAAAAAAAAAAAAGAAAAGAAAAAAAATTTAGCCAGGTGTGGTGGCACGTGTCTCTGGTCCCAGCTACTTGAGAGGCTGAGGTGGGAGGATGGCTTGAGTCCAGGAGGTCGAGACTGCAGTGAACTGTGATTGTTCCACTGCACTCCAGCCTCGGTAACACACTGAGACCCTGTCCCCTCACAAAAAAAAAGAGAAAAAATTGGACTCTCTTAATGTGAAGAAGGGCAAAAAATGGATGTTGGGAAATAACTGGCCATTCCTGGATGGGTTTTTTTACATTTTTAAAAATTTTATTCATTATTTTATTTTTATTTTATTTTATTTATGTATTTATTTATTTATTTTTGAGACAGAGTCTCACTCTGTCATCCAGGCTAGAGCACAGTGGCATGATCTCGGCTCACTGCAACCTCCACTTCCCGGGTTCAAGCGATTCTCCTGCCTCAGCCTCCCGAGTAGCTGGAACTACAGGTGCCTGCCACCACACCCAGCTAATTTTGGTATTTTTGTAGCAATGGGGTTTCACCATGTTGGCCAGGCTGGTCTCAAACTCCTGACCTCCAGTGATCCCTCGCCCTTGGCCTCCCAAAGTGCTAGAATTACAGATGTGAGCCATCGCACCTGGCCAGACACTGTGTTATTCTTGCCAACAAGTGACAAAAATCACGATCAAATTGGTTATGAAAAGAGAATTCACAGGCTCACCTGATAGCAAGGGTACAGCTTGTACCAGCTTTAGGTATGGATGGACCCAGAGGCTCACACAGTGAGATCAGTACTGTTTCCCTATTTCTTGATTCATTTCCTTTGTGTTAGCTTCTTTTTTTTTTTTTTTTTTTTTGAGACAGAGTCTCGCTCTGTAGCCCAGGCTGGAGTGCAGTGATGCGATCTCAGCTCACTGCAACCTCCATCTCTCGGGTTCAAGCAATTCTTCTGCTTCAGCCTCTTTAGTAGCTGGGATTAAAGGCATGCACCACCACGCCCAGTTAATTTTGTATGGTTTCACCATGTTGGCCAGGCTGGTCTCAAACTCCTGGTCTCAATCAATCCACCCGCCTCGGCCTCCCAAAGTGCTGAGATTACAGGCGTGAGCCACTGCGTCTGGCTGTCTCTATTTCCTGATCCATTTCCTTTATTTAACTTTTTTTTTTTTTTTTTTGAGACGGATCTCACTCTGTCGCCCAGGCTGGAGGGCAGTGGCACCATCTCAGCTCACTGCAACCTCCACCTCCAGGGTTCAAGCAATTCTCCTACCTCAGCTTCCTGAGTAGCTGGGATTACAGGCACATGCCAGCACGCCTGGCTAATTTTTGTAATTTTTTTAGTAGAGACGGGGTTTCACCATGTTGGCCAGGCTGGTCTCGAACTCCTGACCTCGGGTGATGTGCCCACCTCGGCCTCCCAAAGTGCTGGGATTACAGGCATGAGCCACAGTGCCCGGCCTGTGTTAGCTTCATTTTTATTTTTATTTTCATTTTTATTTTTATTTTTTTTTTTCAGGGACTATAGGAAAGGTAAATGCTTCATTCTTGGTAATTTCCCATATGGTGGCCCAGCGAGGCTCACAGCAGTCAACCTTACATCCCACCACAAAGCAATCATGGTAGAAAAAGAACATCTCTTTTCCAGTATTTCTAGAAAACATCTCAGAACTGACTTTCACTGGACTCTCTTAGGTCACATGTCCATCTTTCAGCCAATCACCACAGCCAGAGCTGAGCTATGTTGGTGTCCGGATTGACCTGAGTCGCCTGCTTATTCCTGGAGCCCATGGGTGGCGGTCTGCCTCACCAGGACCACAGACACCAAGGGGGAGAAGGAAACCCCACCCAGGAAACCTAGAGCTGTTTCCAGAAGGAGGAGGGGTTGCTAGGTAGACTGAGCTACAAACATCTACAACAGTCACACAGGGAACTTAGGGGAAGGCCACCCCAGAAGCCCACAGTTTCCTAAGGTGCATCTCACTGTGCACGCAACTACCCCAGCTCTTTCTGTTGCCTAGGAGCTCACGTCTAAGAAATCACAAAATGTAAACACGGACTAAAGGAGAAGTCATCAGAGGAGAAGAGTATGCGAAGGGAAGAGGTTCAGAAGGGCGGGAAAACATCCAACTCTTGGACTTCGTTACCATATTCACCTTGTCGAAAAGTTTCTAAACCTGATGAATGACATTCCAGAGGACTGAAATAATTGGCACATGTGACCGAGGAAATGCAGGCAGTAATCTTCAAGAAATTGTGGAGAGTGGGAACAACTGGAAGATTGGAGTTGGGCAAATGTATGTAATTTTTAAAAGCTGAATCCCAAGCCCTGCAGACCGATTGGTTTGGGTGGTTATTCTTCCGCTTCCTCTTCCTCTTTTTTTTTTTTTTTTCTCTCTCTCTCTTTTTTTTTTGAGACGGAGTCTTGCTCTGTTGCCCAGGCTGGAGTGCAGTGGTGTGATCTCGGCTCACTGCAACCTCTGCCTCCTGGGTTCAAACGGTTCTCCTGCCTCAACCTCCCAAGTAGCTGGGACTACACTCGCACGCCACAGCACCCAGCTAACTTTCGTATTTTTAGTAGAGACAAGGTTTTGCCGTGTTAGCCAGGCTGGTCTCGAACTCCTGACCTCAGGTGATCCACCCGCCTTGGCCTCCCAAAGTGTTGGGATCACAGGCATGAGCCACTGTGCCCGGCCTCTTTTCTTTTGCTTCTTCTTTTCTTCCTCTCTTTTTTAAAAGACAGTTTTATTGCTATGTAATTTACATGCCATGAAATCTACTGCTTTTGTTTGTGTAATTCGATTATTTTTAGTAAATTTTTAATATAATGCAGCTTTTTCATCACCCCAGCAGGAACTCTCAGGCCTGCTTATCCTTAATCTCTGATCCCACTCCCAGCTCCAGGCAACCACTAATGTACTTTTTGCCTTAATAGATTTGTCTCTTCTGGCTGGGCGCGATGGCTCATGCCTGTAATCCCAGCACTTTGGGAGGCTGAGGCGGGTGGATCACGAAGTCAGGAGTTCGAGACCAGCCTGGCCAATAAGGCGAAACCCCTTCTCTACTAAAAATACAAAAATTAGCCGGGTGTGGTGGCACGTGCCTGTAATCCCAGCTACTCGGGAGGCTGAGGCAGGAGAATGGCATGAACCCGAGAGGTGGAGGTTGCAGTGAGCCGAGATGGCGCCACGGCACTCCGGCCTGGGCGACAGAGCAAGACTCCAACTCAAAAAAAGAACAAACAAACAAAAAAATAGATTTGTCTTTTCTGGCTGGGCACAGTGGCTCATGCCTGTAACCCCAACACTATGGGAGGCCGAGGTGGGCAGATCACCTGAAGTCAGGAGTTCAAGACCAGCCTGGTCAACATGGTGAAACTCCATCTCTACTAAAAATACAAATATTAGCCAAGCCTGGTGGCACACACCTGTATTCTCAGCTACTTGGGAGGCTGAGGCAGGAGAATCACTCAAACCTGGAAGGTGGAGGTTACAGTGAGCCAAGATCGCACCACTGTACTCCACCCTGAGCAACAGAGTGAGACTCTGTCTCAAGAAAAAAAAATTTTTGCCTTTTCTCTTTTTTTGAAACAGGTTCTTGCTGTTGCCCAGGCTGGAATGCAATGACATGATCATGGCTCATTGCAGCCTCGATTTCCTGAGCTCAGGTGATCCTCCCTCCTCAGTCTCCCCAGCTGTTGGAACCACTGGCATGCTACTGCACCTGGCTAGTTTTTTTTATTTTTTTGTAAAGACGGGGTCTTGCTATGTTGTCCAGACTGGTCACAAACTCTTGGGCTCGAGCAATCCACCCACCTTGATCTCCCTAAGTGCTGGGATTACAGGTGTGAGCCACCTTACCCAGCCCCATATTTTTATTTTTTTGTGTGTGTATATATGTATCTACTGAGTCATAGTATAAAACATATATTTTACTGTGGATCATTGCCGAAAAGGTTGAAAACATAGTTATTGACTGTCCTCTTATTACATAACTTTTTATGTGGGTTTATTGTCTCTTATAAACCAAGAACAAAACTTTCAGAAGGCAGAGTTTCCTTGTATCCTTGTTTTATCGGTGATTTAAAAAAAAAAAGGCACAAGTGTGTTCTTCCCACCATCAAAACAACAACAGAAAGCTTTGATTCATTCTTAGTAAAAATTAAAAGCAATTCCAGGTCATCTCAGCTTTTTGTTAACATCAAGTACTTTGAATTTTCTGTCAAATAAGGGACAGGGAGGGGCGGATGCAGTGACTCACACCTGTAATCCCAGCACTTTGGGAGGCTGAGGCAGGAGGATCACTTGAGCCCAGGAGTTCAAGACCAGCCTGGCCAACATGGTGAAACCCTGTCTCTACTAAAAATACAAAAATTAGCCGGCAGCAGTGGCACGCACCTGTAATCCCAGCTATTCGGGAGGCTGAGGCAGGAGAATCGTTTGAACCCGGGAGGCGGAGGTTGTGGTGAGCCCAGGTCACGCCACTGCACTCCAGTGTGGGCAACAGAGTGAGACCCTGTCCCTGCCCCCCCCCCCAAAAATATATATATATATATAAATTAAAAATAAAAATAAGGCCAGGCGTAGTGGCTCACGCCTGTAATCCCAGCACTTTGGGAGGCCAAGGCAGGTGGATCACAAGGTCAGGAGATCGAGACCATCCTGGCTAACACGGTGAAACCCCGTCTTTACTAAAAATACAAAAAAATTAGCCAGGCGTGGTGGCGGGCACCTGTAGTCCCAGCTACTCAGGAGGCTGAGGCAGGAGAATGGCGTGAACCCAGGAGGCCTAGCTTGCAGTGAGCCGAGATCGCGCCCCTGGGTGGCAGAGCAAGACTCCGTCTCAAAAAAATAAATAAATAAAATAAAATAAGAAATAAAAATAAAGGGGAAGGTGGGTTGTGATACATTTTCATTCTGATGGCCTCACCAACACGGTGCACAGTGAGACCCAGACAGATGGGATAAGTGCTTTATTTTTGTTTAGAGGCCACAGCTTTTTAAAATATTCTCTAAGAAGAAGCAAGAAAATTCACAATTTAATTTTGAGTTCTTCATAAGCCATTTCATTTTTTAAAGTCCTCATGGAATGGTCATTCAATATTAAATATGAACTTTCTATTTGTAGAAGCATGTGAAAGATTGTTTTGTTCTTTAATCTAGAACAACAATCTGTAAACTGTTTATGTAAAGGACCAGATAAATATTTTAGGCTTTATGGGCTCTCCGTCACAATGACTCAAGTCTGCCAGTGTAAGGCAAAGCAATCATAGACAGAATGCAAATGAATAGGCAGGGCTGTGTTCCATTACACTTTATTTGTGGACACTGAAATTTGAATTTCACATAATTTTCTTTTGTCACAAAATATTCTTTTTTCCCCCACCCCCTTCTCAAAATATTATTCTTTTTGGGGTTGTTTTCAACCATCCAAAAATGTGAAAACCCGGCCAGGTGTGATAGCTGATGCCTATAATCCCAGGATTTGGGGAGGCTGAGGCCGAAGGATCACCTGGGGCCATGAGTTCGAGACCAGCCTGGCCAACATGGTGAAACCCCGTCTCTATTAAAAATACAAAAATTAGCTGGGCTTGGTGGTGCATGCCTGTAGTCCCAGCTACTCGGGAGGCTGAGGCAGGAGAATTGCTTGAACCTGGGAGGCAGAGGTTGCAGTAAGCCAAGATGGTGCCACTGCACTCCAGCCTGGGTAACAGATCGAGACTCCATCCCAAAAAAAAGAAAAGAAAGAAGAAAAATTTGCCTTTTTGAAACCAACCCAAGCAACAAAGTGAGATGTCATCTCTATTAAAAGCAAACAAACAAACAAAAACGGAACTAAAAACCATTTGTGCTCACTGGCCCTGCAAAGAAAAAGTATGTGGTAGGGAAATAAATTTGCTTACCTTTTCACATTTTTATTTTGTTTTCTGAATGGGTAATAATTTCAGCTTGGTTCAGAATTCAAAAAGCACAAAGGAAAATATCTTCCCCACTGAGACACTGAGCCACCCAGTTTCCTATCCCAGAAATAAGTAATGGGTCCACTTTCTTATGGATACTTCCAGACATTGCCTGTGAATATACAAATAATTCTTTATATAAATTTATATATTTTTTTCTGACAAATCCATACTGTTCTGAATCTTGCTTTCTTCACTTAATCTTGGAAGTCACTGTGGAGCAGAACATAGCCACCTCACTAATTTTTCAGCTCATAATATTCCATTGAATAGATCAGGGATCAGCAAACAGGCTCATGGGCCAAATCTGGCCATTGCCTGTTTTTTGTAAATAAAGTTTTATTGGAACACAACCATGCCCATTCACTTATATATGATGTATGATATATGACTACATTTTTTTTTTAAGACGGAGTCTCGCTCTGTCGCCCAGGCTAGAGTGCAA
Organism: Homo sapiens; assembly: GCF_000001405.40. Taxonomy (NCBI): domain Eukaryota; kingdom Metazoa; phylum Chordata; class Mammalia; order Primates; family Hominidae; genus Homo; species Homo sapiens. The sequence goes on along the minus strand of NC_000020.11, from coordinate 47,434,626 downwards.
TGGTGCGATCTCAGCTCACTGCAACCTCTGCCTCCCAGGTTGAAGCAACTCTTCTGCCTCAGCCTTCCGAGTAGCTGGGATTACAGGTGTCCAGTACCACACCGGCTAATTTTTGTATTTTTGGTAGAGACGAGGTTTCACTATGTTGGCCAGGCTGGTCTCGGACTCCTGACCTCAGGTGATTCACCCGCCTCAGCCTCCCAAAGTGCTGAGATTACAGACGTGATCCACAGTGCCCAGCCTGTATGACTACTTTTGAGCTACAACTGCAGAGTTGAGTCATTGCACCAGAGCCCTCTGGGTCTGCAAACCTAGAGTACTTACTCTCTGGCCCATTATGTAAAAAGTTTGCTGACTCCAAGTATAGATGTTCTTCAGTGTACTCAAACATCGCTTGACAATGAACAGTTAGTGTTCATTCCAAATGTCTGTGGTTACAGAGAGTGCTGTGATACATAACGTGTCCATGTGCAATTGTCCACGTATGCAACTTTCTCCAATGTCAGAAAATCCTAGAAGCAGAATTGCTGGGTCAAAAGATATGTGCATTTGTAATTTTGATAGAAATTGTCAAGTAATTTCTAGAGATTATATCAGTTTACATTCACTCCCACCAGCAGCAAATAAAAGCAATCAATTTCCCAACACATTTTCTAACTTAGTCTGTTATCAGGCTTTTTGATCTTTGTCTAAGTGGCGGGTTAAAAATGGCATGTCAGTATAATTTTAATTTTCATTTATTTTATTGTGAATATATTTGTATCGTAGGGCTGCAATGACAAATTACCAAAAACTTAGTAGCTTTAAACAACCAAAACATGTTCTTTCACAGTTCCAGAGACTAGAAGCTCAAAATCAAGGTGTCAGCGGGGCTGGACTCCCTTCTAAACCTCTAGGGAAGATTCCTTCCTTGCCACCTGTACCTTCTAGAGGTTGCCAGCAATTTTTGTTTTTCCCTGGCTTGTAGATGCATTACTCCATGCTCTGCCTACATCTTCACCTGCCTTCTCCCCTTGTATGTCCATGTCTCTGTGTCCAAATTTTTCTCCTTTTTCCTTTTTTTTAAAAATGTTTTTTATTTTTTTTCTGTTTTGAGACTGAGTCTCACTCTTGTCTCCCAGGCTGGAGTGCAATGGCACAATGTTGGCTCACTGCAACCTCCGCCTCCCGGGTTCAAGCGATTCTCCTACCTCAACCTCCGGAGTAGCTGGGATTACAGGTGCACGCCACCACACCTGGCTAATTTTTGTATTTTTAGCAGAGACAGGGTTTCACCGTGTTGGCCAGGCTGGTTTCGAACTCCTGACCTCAGGTGATCCATCCGCCGCTGCCTCCTGAAGTGCTGGGATTACAGGTGTGAGCCACCGTGCCCAGCCTAAATTTTAAAATACTAGACATCAGTATGACGTACTACTCAGCCTTTGATTTCACTTGCTTATTAAGTATATTTACACTATTTATGACACCAACCTTTTCTCTTTTTCTCTCTTCCTTCCTTTTTTCTTCCTTCTTTCTTTCCTTTTCTCTTTCCTCCCTCCCTCCCTTCTTCCCTTCCTTCCTCACTCTCTCTCCCCCTCACTCCCTCTTCTCTTTCTCTTCTTCCTCTTTTTTTTTTTTTTTTATGCTCCACTTCCTCAACATTCTTCCCTTACCCCAAGTTGCCGTTTCAGATCAGGAAGATTAAGAGGCCATAGATAACCTTTCTTAACTTTTCTGTGAATTATTCTTTTTTGTTTTTTCTTTTTTCTTTTTTGAGACAGAGTCTTGCTCTGTCGCGCAGGCTGGAGTGCAGTGGAGCGATTTCGGCTCACTGCGGCCTCCGTCTCTAGGTTCCAACAATTCTCCTGACTCAATCTCCTGAGTAGCTGGAACAACAGGCACGCGTCACCATGCCCGGCTAACTTTTGTACTATTAGTAGAGACGGGGTTTCGCCACATTGGCCAGGCTGGTCTTGAGCTCCTGACCTCACGTGATCCACCCACCTTGGCTTCCCAAAGTGCTGGAATTACAGGCGTGACTCACCGCACCCTGCACTTTTCTGTGAATTATTCTACTGCAAGCTCAACTTGATCAGATCCTGTTCATCAGTAGAGAAGCAAAAACTAACCAATACAAAACACACATCAGGGTTTCTTAGCACAAAGATGAGTGACAGAGGTAATTCCAGCTCTCTCAACAATCCTTCAATAAAGAGATACTATACAGAAAGTGTTTAAACCACAGCTTTAAATAAACAGTGAGTAATTGATCAACTCTCCCACTGTTTTTATGCAATACATGATGGCTAAAAAAATTAGAGTGTTTCTTGAATAACTGGAAGTTGAATAATGTACTTATGTGTTGCAAGAGTTTCCAGTTTCAATGCAAGAAAATATACCATAAATTGGCCGGACGCGGTGGCTCACGCCTGTAATCCCAGCACTTTAGGAGGCTGAGGCGGGCAGATCACGAGGTCAGGAGATCGAGACCATCCTGTCTAACATGGTGAAACCCCATCTCTACTAAAAATACAGAAAACTTAGCTGGGCGTGGTGGTGGGCACCTGTAGTCCCAGCTGCTCAGGCGGCTGAGGCAGGAGAATGGTGTGAACCCAGGAGGCGGAGCTTGCAGTGAGCCAAGATTGCGCCACTGCACTCCAGCCTGGGTGACAGAGTGAGACTCCGTCTCAAAAAAAAAAGAAAATATACCATAAATCCATAATTACATTTTCCTTTTAAGATACAATACACAGGGCTAGGTATGGTGGCTCACCCCTCTAATCTCAATGCTTTGGGAGGCTGAAGTGGGAGGATCACCTGAGGGCAGGAGTTTGAAACCAGCCTGGGCAAGCTGGGCACCATGGCTCATGCCTGGAATCCCAGCACTTTGGGAGGCCAAGGCAGGTGGATCACGAGGTCAGGAGATTGAGACCAGCCTAGCTAACACGGTGAAACTCCGTCTCTACTAAAAATAAACAAAAAATTAGCCAGGCGTGGTGGCAGGTGCCTGTAGTCCCAGCTACTTGGGAGGCTGAGGCAGGAGAATGGTGTGAACCCAGGAGGTGGAGCTTGCAATGAGCTGAGATAGCGCCACTGCACTCCAGCCTGGGTGACAGAGCAAGACTCCATCTCAGGAGAAAAAAAAAAAAAAGAAAGAAACCAGCCTGGGCAACATAGTGAGACTCCAATATGTACAAAAAATTAAAAAATTAGCCAAGCGTGGTGGTGCCTGTCTATAGTCCCAGTTACTCAGCAGGCTGAGGTGAAAGGAGTATCACCTGAGCCCAGGAGTTCAAGGTTACAGTGAGCTATGACTATGCTGCTAGTCATAGTAGCATATGGAGACCCTGTCTCTTAAAAAAAAAAAAAAAAGATACAATGATACATTTTCAACATTTACACACAGTTCCATAACTTGAACCTGGTTGACACTGACCAGCTTAAGCCGACCAGTTTAAGATGAAGACCAGCCAATTGTTTTACATTCCATTATTTTTTGATGTGTTGGGAGGGAGAGAGGGAGACAGGCTTTCAAGATCTTCCTCATAAATGCATTCAGTTGAATAAATGTGCTCTGAGTTAGAGCCGCACCTTCTGAAAATGAAGAGCGGTCATGCAGGCTGGAGTGGCTCTGCCATTTACTAGCTGTGTGACTTTGAGTAAGTTACTTAGCTTCTCTGTGACTCAGATTTCTCACCAGTAAGTGGGTGAAATAACAATATCTGCCTATTGATAACTTGATATATAATGTTATTTTATATGTTATAAATATGTATGTATATATATAACAGTAAATATAGTAAAGTACAATGCAGTATACATACACCTATACAGTATATATACATACAGTAATATAATATTAATATTATGTTACTATTAACTATTAATTATAAAATACATTATATGTATTATATATTAATATAGTATATATTTAATAATACATAAATATATATATAAGTATGTAGTGTTTGGTATATAGCAATAGCTCGATTAATGTTTATTATTCTTTTATATTTTTATTGATTTTTTTTTTTGAGACGGACTCTCGCTCTGTCGCCAAGCTGGAGTGCAGTGGCGCGATCTCAGCTCACTGCAACCTCCGCCTCCCGGGTTCAAGCGATTCTCCTGCCTCAGCCTCCTGAGCAGCTGGGACTACAGGCACCTGCCATCACGCCCGGCTAATTTTTGTATTTTTAGTAGAGACAGGGTTTCACCATGTTGGCCAGAATGGTCTCGATCTCTTGACCTCGTGATTTGCTCACCTTGGCCTCCCAAAGTGCTGGGATTACAGGCGTGAGCCACCGCGCCCAGCCTTTATTTTTATTTATTAACAGGACAGCGTCTCGCTATGTTGCCCGGGATGGTCTTGAACTCCTGGGCTCAAGCAATCCTCTGGTCTCGGCCTTCTAAAGTCCTGGGATTACAGGCGTGAGCCACCTCACCCAGCCTAATGTTTATTATTATTATTGGCATAGCAAGAGTTCTCACACCAGACCACAGCATTCTAACCTCCATAACTGTCCCATGATGTTAGAAATGGACCATCATACCGAGAAATGACCTTGTCCCAGCCACATACTTGTATGGGCCCATTATCTCACATCCATACTTTTATCAAAAAACAAAAACAAAAAATGCAGAGGTGGGAGGATTTCTTGAGCCCAGGAGTTCCAGACTAGCCTGGGCTATAGTGAGACTGCCATCTCTACAAAAAACAAATACACAAAAAAGTTTTCTGGCCAGGCACAGTGGTTCACACCTGTAATTCCGGCATTTTGGGAGACCAAGATGGGAGGTTCGCTTGAGCCCAAGAGTTTGAGACCAGCCTGGACAACATAGCAAGACCTTGTCTCTATAAAAAACAAAAAAAATTTTTTAAGTTTTTTGAGCACAAAGGACTTTATGCAATCATATTAGATACTTGTAGTTGAAAAGTCTATGTGTTTGAACTTGCTGGCTGTCAACCAGTTGAGAGGGTGCAGACAAGCACAACTACAAGATATATTGCTTAAGAACAACAAAGGAAGAGGGCTGAAGTTCATGCCACTGGGTTGCACATTCTATGAATTTTTCTTCTGTTTCTTCTATTATAGAAATACACATGGGGTAGGCAAGGGGGTTGAAAAGTCCTCTAGAGATCAAGGATAGTTGCGCACCGGGTGCAGTGGCTCCTCCTGCAATGCCAGCACTTTGGGAGGCCAAGGCGGGCAACATCTCTATTAAAAATACAAAAATTAGTAGGAAATGGTGGCGGGCACCTGTAGTCCCAGCTACTCAGGAGGTTGAGTCAGGAGAATCACTTGAACACAGGAGGCAGAGATTGCAGTGAGCCGAGATCATGCCACTGCACTCCAGCCTGGGTAACAGAGCGAGACTCTGTCTCAAAAAAAAAGAAAAAGATAGCTGTGGTCAGCAGAGCCCAAGAATAAGGCCTTGAAGCGCAATGCTTGTGAGCACCAATTGTGGAGTGAGGAGAAAGGTCACAGTCTTAGCTCCACATCCAGCCTGCTGTGGGACCTTTGAAAAGCCACTTAACCCCCCTAAGCCTTCGTCTTGGTCTTGGGTCAGTGGCCCCAAGGAACAGTCTCTGGGAGGGAGATTTGCACCAGAATATTTATTGGAGAATGCTCTGGAAAACAACACCTATGATGGGGAGAGGGAAGGAGGATTGGGTAAAGAGAGGAATTTATGATGCAATCTCAACAAAGCCTGAGATGGCCCTCAGAGATACTCCAAACTGAGGTCAGGGGGCTGGGCCTTTGTGCTGCTGTATTAACCAGGCACTGGGTACATCAGTGGTTCTTAATGCAGGGAGGGGGAGAATTTTGCCTCCCAGAGGATATTTGGTGATGTTCAGAGATATTTTTGGTTATTTTAATAGGAGAAGGGGTCCAGCCTGGCCAACATGGTGAAACCCACCTCTACTAAAAATACAAAAATTAGCTGGGCATGGTGGTGCGCGCCTGTAATCCCAGCTACTTCGGAGGCTGTGGCAGGAGAATTGAATTGCTTGAACTCTGGAGGCAGAGGTTGCAGTGAGCCGAGATCATGCCACTGCCCTCCGGCCTGGGGCACAGAGCAAGACTCTCTCAAAAAAAAAAAAAAAAAAAGAGGGGGCTGCTAGCATCTAGTGGATAGAGGCCAGGAATGCTGCCACGTGTCCTACAGGGCACAGGACACTTCCCCCAACCCCTGCTACAAAGCATGATGTCAACAGTGCAGAGGCTTCTCAAGGAGAAAGGCTGTTGAACAAGGCAGCTTCCTTCAGCTCAGGGCAATTTCTGAAGAGGGACTCATCAGAATGTGAGGGAGTAGCAGCTAACACTCCTGGCAGCTAGGGGAATACCTGCTGTGTCCTGCAGAGGGAAGGGAAGGTGGACGGTGGATCACAGCATCCCTGTCTTTTTTTTTTTTTAATCAGGCAGCCTCCCAGACCAAAATAGTTTCAGAGAGACTCCTCCCCGCCACATCATTGTTTTTTCAGCCCTTTTTAAATTATGCAAATAATACTTGAATCCTATCTCCTTATAAAAGTTAAAATGATCCAGATCAGGGTTCTCAATTTCAGCACCATTGCCATTTTAGGCTGGATAATTCTTTGTTGCGGGGGCTGTGCTAAGCATTGTGGACTATTTTGCAGTATCCCCGGCCTTGACCCACTGGATGCTAGTAGCACCCTCCCCCATCTCAACCATTTGTGATAACCCAAAATATCTCCAGACATTGCCCAATATCCCTAGAGAGCAGAATCAACTACTTCGGGCGCATTGCCTGTGGGGTAGCCCTGCTCTGCAAAAAGCAGAAGGAAGAAAAAAAAAAAAAGGGCAGAATCACCCCTGGCTGAGAATCATTCCAGGTAAATCTGAAGTAGCCTTCAACTACAGTTCCCAATCTCAGGCCCTTCCCCTGAAGTAACCACTGTCATAGGTTTTAGGTAGATTCTTCCAAAAAAAAATTTTTTTTTTCCGAGACAGGATCTTGCTCGGTCACCCAGGCTGGAGAGCAGTGATGTGATCTCTGCTCACTGCAACCTCCACGTCCCAGGTTTTAGCGATCCTCCCACCTCAGTCTCCCAAGTAGCTGGGGCTACAGGTGCTTGTCACTACACCCAGGTAATTTAAAAAAAAATTTTTTTGGAGAGATGAGATCTCACTATGTTGCCCAGGCTGGTGTTGAACTCATGGGCTCAAGCCATCCTTCTGCCTGGGCCTCCCAAAGCACTGGGATTACAGGTGTGAACCACTGTGCCCAGCCTCCAAAATTCTTAGTATGCATTTACATAGGTACATAACTGCCCAGTGGGTTCTCCTTCCCCACTGCCCAGATAGAGCCAATTTATTAAAACAGGAGAATTGCAATAGAGAAAGAGCTTAATATGCCTAGAGTTGGCTAAGCAAGAGACTGGAGTTTTATTATTACTCAAATCAACCACCCCCGAAATTTGAAGGCTAGGGTTATTCAAGGATAGGAGGCAGGAGGCTAGGGAATGGGTGCTGCCGACTGGTTGGGGATGCAATCACAGGGCTGTGGAAAACAGTCCTTGTGCACTGAGTCTGCTTCTGGGTAAGGGCCACAGAGGAGTTGCTGATCCAAGTGGAGTTACCTAGTAGTCAGAAATGCAAAAATCTGAAAAGATATCTTGGAAGGCCAATCTTAGGTTTTTGGTTTTTTTTGTTTGTTTTTTTGGTTTCTTTGGTTTTGTTTTTTGTTTGTTTGTTTGTTTGTTTTGAGACAGGGTCTCACTCTGTCACCCAGGCTGGAGTGCAGTGGTTGATCATGGCTCACTGCAGCCTCTACCACCCAGGCACAAGCAGTCCTCCTGCCTCAGCCTCCCAGGTAGCTGGGACCACAGGCATGCACCACCATGACTGCTATTTTTGTTTTGTTTTGTTTTCTGTAGAAACGGGGTCTCCCTATGTTGCCCAGGCTGTCTTGAACTCCTGGACTCAAGCAATTCTGCCTTGGCACACAAAGTGCTGGGAGTACTGGTATGAGCCACCGTGCCTGGCCCCAATCTTAAGTTTTATAATAGTGATGTTATTTACAGGACTAACTGGGGAAGTTGTGACTTCCAGAACAATGGCTGGTAATTATTTAACTATGCCTACATTTTAGCAGAATTCAGACCCCTCTTATAATCTTAAACTTGTGGCCTTTTATTAGTTTTATAAAGCAGCTTAGTTTAGGGAAGAGCCATTATCCTTTAAACTATGAACTAAATTTCTCCCAATGTTAGCTCACTCCACACTCAAGAGTGACCAAGGGCAGTTTGGAGTTTAAAAACAAGATGGGGGCCAGGCGTGTGGCTCACACCTGTAATCCCAGCACTTTGGGAGGCCGAGGCAGGTGGATCACAAGGTCAGGAGTTTGATACCAGCCTGACCAACATGGTGAAACCTCATGTCTACTAAAAATACAAAAATTAGCCGGATGTGGTGGTGCACACCTGTAATCCCAGTTACTCAGAAGGCTGAGGCAGGAGAATTGCCTGAACCCGGGAGGCAGAGGGTGCAGTGAGCAGAGATTGCGCCACTGCACTCCAGCCTGGGTGGCAGAGTGAGACTCCCTCTCAAAAAAAAAAAAAACAAAAAAAAACAAGATGGGGTCAGGGCACAGTGGCTCACACCTGTAATCCCAGCACTTTGGGAGGCTGAGGCAGGCAGATCAGCTGAGGTCAGGCATTCAAGACCAGCCTGGCCAACATGGTAAAACCCTGTCTCTACTAAAAACACAAAAATTTCAAAAAAAAAAAAAAAAAACAAGCCGGGCGCGGTGGCTCACTCCTGGAATTCCAGTACTTTGGGAGGCCGAGGAGGGTGGATCACGAGGTCAGGAGATCAAGACCATCATGGCTAACACAGTGAAAACCCATCTCTACTAAAAATACAAAAAAATTAGCTGGGCATGGTGGTGGGCGCCTGTAATCCCAGCTACTTGGGAGGCTGAGGCAGGAGAATGGCGTGAACCCAAGAGGCAGAGCTTGCAGTGAGCCAAGATCGTGCCACTGCACTCCAGCCTGGACGACAGAGCGAGACTCCATCTCAAAAACAACAACAACAAAAAACTTGTGATTGTCTTTCTTTTTTTTGAGATGGAATCTTGCTCTGTCACCCAGGCTGGAGTACAGTGGCGCTATCTTGGCTCACCTAAACCTCTGCCTCCTGGGTTCAAGCGATTCTCCTGCCTCAGCCTCCCGAGTAGCTGGGACTGCAGGCGCGTGCCACTATGCCTGGCTAGTTTTTGTATTTTTAGTAGATACTGGGTTTTGCCATGTTGGCCAAGCTGGTCTCAAACTCCTGACCTCATGTGACCCAACCGTCTTGGCCTCCCAAAGTGCTGGGATTACAGACGTGAGCCACCGCACCTGCTTTTTTTTTTTTTTTTTTTTTTTTTTTTTTTGAGACTGGGTCTCCCTGTGTCATCCAGGCTGGAGTGCGGTGGCGTGATTATAGCTCACTGCAGCCTCAAACTCCTGGGTTCAAGCAATCCTTCCAAGTCGTTGGGACTACAGGTGCATGCCACCACACCCAGCTTGTTCACTCTTATAGACACTGAGGATGCAGAAGTGAACAATACCAAACTTCTACACAAGGAGGTGTTTTTTTTTTTTTGAGACGGAGTCACTCTGTAGCCCAGGCTGGAGTGCAGTGGTGGGATCTTGGCTCACTGCAACCTCCGCCTCCCGGATTAAAGTGATTCTCCTGCCTCGGCCTCTGAAGTAGCTGGGATTACAGGCACGCACTACCACGCCCAGCTAATTTTTGTAGTTTTAGTAGAGACAGGGTTTCACCATGTTAACCAGGCTGGTCTTGAACTCCTGATCTGAAGTGATCCACCTGCCTCAGCCTCCCAAAATGCTGGGATTACAGGTGTGAGCCACCAGGCCTGGCCATACACAGAGAGCTTTAATTCTTGTGCAGTAGATAACATAAATAAAATAAAAAAGAAAATTATAAAACATAATTTTGGCCGGGCGCGGTGGCTCACGCCTGTAATCCCAGCACTTTGGGAGACCGAGGCGGGCAGATCACGAGGTCAGGAGTTTGAGACCAGCTTGGCCAATATGGTGAAACTCTGTCTCTACTAAAAATACAAAAATTAGCCAAGCGTGGTGGCATGCGCCTATAGTCCCAGCTACTTGGGAGGCTGAGGCAGGAGAATCGCTTGAACCTGGGAGGCAGAGGTTGCAGTGAGCTGAGATCACCCCACTGCACTCCAGCCTGGGTGACACAGCAAGACTCCGTCTCAAAAAAAACCAAACAACAAAAAAAAGCCCATAATTTTATAAAATAATATAATGTCATATAACATACTAACATAACAATGTATACTACATGATAATGCAACTATTAAGTCTGTGGGCAAAATTATTGGCTTTTGCCAGTCATGGTTTTCTGGACCCAAATCTCTTGCTGCTTGAAGGCCCCCTTTTTTTTTTTTTTTTTTGAGACAGAGTCTCACTCTGTTACCAGGCTGGAGTGCAGTGGTGCGATCTCGGCTCACTCCAACCTCTACCTCCCGGGTCCAAGCGATTCTCCTGCCTCAGACTCCCAAGTAACTGGGACTACAGGCATGTGACACCACACCTGGCTAATTTTTGTACTTTTGGTAGAGACAGGGTTTTACCATGTTGACCAGGCTGGTCTTGAACTCCTGACCTCAGGTGATCCCCCGACCTCAGCGTCCCAAAGTGCTGGGATTACAGGTGTGAGCCACCATGCCAGGCCTGAAGGCCCTATTTTCTAGGATGAATTCAGTTGAGAAATCTGAGTATAAGTAGCTCTGCTTACAAGAAGAAGATCAAACACCCAGTTGCTTAGAGCAGCCTTCGGGTTATGTTTCAGGATGTGACTGCAGGTTAAAAGCTCCGGGGAAGGTGAGGTTTCCATGTCAGGCCATTAGCACTTGTTAGCACTCTCCCTTTTTATGAAAGTGGCCAGGGAATGGCTTACTAATTCCCTCTTTCATTAAGTCTGATCATCACCATTAATTAACATGGCCACTATGGAAATGTAATTGGAGCATTTCAGAATCAAAGACGGATTGAAACAAGTTTAAGGAAAGCTTTCAGCCTGGAAGACTTAATGGCTGAGAATGCACAGCCTTTACTCTAAGATGACAAGAAAATGTTAATTCTAGGAGGGAACCGGTTTGGAAGTGCAGAAGGTTAAGCCAGGACTCGCCATTCTGTTATGTTGAAAGGTATCAACTTATGTGTAGGTCTGTTGCTTACTGCTTGTAATATATTACATTTTCTCCAGGCTATTTAGCTCTTGACATTTAAAAATAGTTTGGTTTGCTCTTTTGCCTGGAAAACAATTGTGCCATCCGATCGAATTTTTTATATGTGTTTCAGAACCTGTTCCTCCCTTCTCCCCATCAATACCATCAATACCACCCATGGTATTATTCAGGCCTTAATTCTTGTTGGAATTTTAAGTGTCGTAATAAGCAACATCCTTTTCTATCACCTGAATTCAGAATAGTTTGAAAGACAAATGCTTGTCTCAGAGTGAGAACAAATGATCACCATTATCCCCAACAATGCTGGCTGGCGAATATGGCTTTTGGTGTGTGGACAAGCGAGCTTGCAAGCATTCCACCCCAAATGTGACTCACCTTGTTCATCATTTAGGGTACTGCCAGGGTCATGGACAGATAAGCTCCAAATCTTGATGGTTTGATGCAATCATTTAGTTCTTCTCCTATAAATTTCACAATAGGAGTTCCTGATCAATGGAGTTCCTCCTCCACCAGGTACAGATTCGGGGATCCATGTTCCTGAACCCCTATCTTGTGGCTCCACTGTCCTTAACACTTGGTTTCCAAGAATGCTCATCTGTACCAAAGCAGAAAGTGTGTGAGCCAGCAGGAACTCTGGAAAGAGAGTGTTCTGGGCAGACAGAGGGAAGTACAGGTGCAAAGGGAACGTGTGCAAGCCACAGGGAGACAGTGTGGGTGGGGTAGCAAGTGACTAGGAGGGTGGGAGGAGGGTTTTAGAAGGATAAGACAGAAATGGTCCCTGACTTCTCTAGAGGCAAGATATTGACACTGAACTAACAAAAGGTGTGAAATGCACCAAATGGGGACCCAGAGGAAAGCGTGGCTCTATTTAAAAGAGGCAGTCACAGCCGGGCACGGTGGCTCACGCCTGTAATCCCAGCACTTTGGGAGGCGAGGTGGGTGGATCACGAGGCTAGGAGTTCAAGGCCAGCCTGGCCGATATGGTGAAACCCTGTCTCTACTGAAAATACAAAAATTAGCTGGGCGTGGTGGCACGCACCTGTAGTCCCAGCTGCTCAGGAGGCTGAGGCAGGAGAATTGCTTGAACCCGGGAGGTGGAGGTTGCAGTGAGCCGAGATTGTGCCACTGCACTCCAGCCTGGGAGACAGAGCGAGACTCTGTCTCAAAACAAACAAACAAACAAACAAACAAATAAATAAATAAATAAATAAAAGAGGCAGTCACTTCTCAGTTCAACCAAGAGTTGCAAGACAGGGACGTGGGCCCAATGTGGCCTGATCCTCTGATTTTCTTAAGATTAGAAATGGGGAGGAGATGGGTCTCAGAAAGTCATTTGTGGCCAGGCACAGTGGCTCACACCTGTGATCCCAATACTTTGGGAAGCTGAGGCAGGCAGATCGCTTGAGCCCAGGAGTTCAAGCCCAGCCTGGGCAACAAAGTGAGACCTCATCTCTACAAAAAATAAAATAATTAGCCAGGTATGGTGGCTTACAACTGTTATCTCAGCTACTCGGGAGACAGAGGCAGGAAGATTACCTGCGCCCAGGAGTTCAAGGCTGCAGTGAGCTGTATTCACACCACTGCACTCCAGCCTGGGCAAATTAATTAATAATTATTAATTAATTTTTTTTGAGACAGAGTCTCACTCTGTTGCCTAGGCTGGCGTGCAGTGGCACAATCTCAGCTCACTGCAGCCTCTGCCTCCCAGGTTCAAGTGATTCTCTGCCTTGGCCTCCTGAGTAGCTGGGATTATAAGCACCCGCGACCACGCCTGCCAAATTTTTGTATTTTTAGTAGAGACGGGGTTTCACCATGTTGCCCAGTCTGGTCTCGAACTCCTGACCTCAACTGATCCGCCCACCTCAGCCTCCCAAAGTGTTGGGATTACAGACTTGAGCCACCGCACCCAGCCCTAATTATTAATTTAATACATAAAATAAAGCCATTTGTGGCCAGGCACAGTGGCTCATGCCACTATTGCACGGAGTCTGTCCCTAGTCAGCTTCTGCAGGAACTCAACTCAAGACACCACCTTTCTGAAGGTCCCACCTGACACCCCAGCTGGGGGCTGATGGTTGGAGCCAGAGAGAGGCTGTGGAGTGGGAGGAGGCTGAACTTTCCCAGCTGAAAAGCAGATGCCCGCAGCACACAGGGCCTCTCAGAGGTTGAGAGAAGACCAAGGCACTTCTGTTTTTTAAAGGTCTCACTTAATGAAAAAGAAAAAAGCAGAAAAACCAAATAGGGTTACCAACACTGTTGTTGATTTTTAAAACTCGGTCCTGTCAGAGGGGATGTGCACATCTTGGTGGGAGGCCCTCTCTGGATGGGAGGCCTGGGCCCTGGGCCCTGTGAAAAGTCCCAAGATCCTTTTTTTTTTTTTTTTTTTTGAGACAGGGTCTTGCTTTGTTACCCAGGCTGGAGGACAATGGTATAATCACAGCTCACTGCAGCCTCAATTTCTCAGGCTCAACCAAACCTCCTGCCTCAGCCTCCTGAGTAGCTGAGACCACAGGTATGCACCATGACACCTGGCTAATTTTTTTTTTTTTTTTTTTTTTGTAGAAATGGGGGTTTGGGGCCGGGCACGGTGGTTCACGCCTATAATCCGAGCATTTTGGGAGGCCGAGGTGGGTGGATCACCTGAGGTCAGGAGTTCAAAACCAGCCTGGCCAACACGGTGAAACCCCCATCTCTACCAATAATAGAAAAATTAGCTGGGTGTGGTGGTGGGTGCCTGTAATCTCAGCTACTCAGGAGGCTGAGGCAGGAGAATCTCTTGAACCCAGGAGGCTGAGGTTGCAGTGAGCTGAGCTCACTCCACTGCATTCTAGCCTGGGCAACAGAGTGAGACTCTGTCTTTAAAAATAATAACAATAATGAAATGGGGGTTTTGCCGTGTTGCCCAGGCTGGTCTCGAACTCCTGGGCTCAAGTGATTTTCCCACATCAGCCTCCCAAAATGCTGGGATTACAGGCATGAGCCATTGCTCTCCCAGCCCTGAGATCCTATTTCTAGTCCCTCTGTGCAGGGAGGGAGTGCTCAGAGCAGTGGAGCAGGAGGGACAGGGAAGATGGGGATGCTGGAAATCATTCCTCCTCCTCTCTGCTTGCCCTTCCGTGAACTCCTTCCCTCTCCTAGGCCCCTCTACTTGAGCATCTTAATCTGATTCTACAGAGTAATGTAGTTAGGGGCATCCCTCTCTTCCTGCCCCAGGTCTCCCAGCACACATCTTTCCTGAAATTGACAGAAGGAAGCAAGAGCCCATCTGTGACACAGGGCAGCCATGCACAGTGCAGGCTCTATGCAGACAAGCAAAGTCATCTGGTTTGAAGTGGCCTTCTTGATCAGGAACCACCCCTTCCCTACATCTCATAACGTAAGGGGACATTTTAACCCGCGTGTAAGATGCTGGTTAACTCACGTTTGGGAAACCCAGTTTGCTGCTGTGTTCCCAGCTGCGCCTGGAACAGCCCCTCTCTTCAGGTGATGACAGACAGTGTAGTTTGGTTTTATGGCTCTAGTCTAAGAACTGCTTAAATTGATGCCTGCTTTCACCCCAGCACCGCCTTCCTTTTGAGCCCCTACTACGTGGGGACAATTTGCATATTAAGAAAGAGGTAGTCCGGGCACAGCAGCTTACGCCTGTAATCCTACCACTTTGGGAGGCAGAGGCAGGAGGATTGATTGAGGCCAGGAGTTCAAGACCAGCCTGGACAACATAGTGAGACCCCTGTCTCTATTAAAAATTTGAAAATTAGCCAGTTGTGGTCAGGCGCGGTGGCTCACGCCTGCAATCCCAGCACTTTGGGAGGCCGAGGCAGGCGGATCACCTGAGGTCAGGAGTTCGACACCAGCCTGGTCAACATGATGAAACCCCGTCTCTACTTAAAATATTTTTTTAAAAAATGCCAGGCGCTGTGGCTCAACGCCTGTAATCTCAACACTTTGGGAGGCTGAGGTGGATGGATCACGAGGTCAGGAGTTCGAGACCAGCCTGGCCAATATGGTGAAACCCCCTCTCTGCTAAAAACACAAGAATTAGCTGGGCATGGTGGCTCGCGCCTGTAGTCCCAGCTACTTGGGAGGCTGAGGCAGAAGAATCGCTTGAACCCAGGAGGGGGAGGTTGTAGTGAGCCAAGATCGTACCACTGCATTTCAGCCTGGGTGACAGAGAGAAACTCCATCTCAAAAAAAAAAAAAAAAAATTAGCCAGGCGTGGTGGCAGGCATCTGTAATCCCAGCTACTTGGGAGGCTGAGGCAGGAGAATCACTTGAACCCGGGAGGCAGAGGTTGCAGTGACCCGAGATCGTGCCATTGCACTCCAGCCCGGGTGACAGAGCGAGACCCAGTCTCAAAAAAAAAAAAAAAAAAAAAAAAATTAGCCAGTTGTGGTGGCTGGCACATGCCTGTGGTCCCAGCTACTCGGGAGGCTGAGGGGAGGATTGTTTGAGCCCAGGAGGTCGAGGCTGCAGTGAGCCATGATCACACAACTGCACTCCAGCCTGGGTGACAGAGCGAGATCCTAGCTCAAAAAAATAAATAAATAAAAAATAAATAAATAAATAAAAAAGGAAGGAAGGAAAGGAGGGAGGGAGGGAGGGAGGAAGGAAGCCGCTAGCATTTAACAGTGCAGGGGCTGAGGGCAGGCTGGCCAATGAGAAAGTTATCTGTGAAGAAAGAAGGGAGGGAGAGATTCTTGGTCCTGTCTGATGGTCTCAGGGCTAAGGGAGGGAGGATGCTGGGAATTATATGGAAAGAACATCTTGAATTGGAAACATTTTATTTCCTGGATTTTCACATCAAGGGTGCATTACAAAAAAAAAAAAGTGGATGATTATTCTTGCTGTTATAAGAACCGGAGTTCACAATAAAATGAGGCCAAACTGCCTCTTTAACCTCCATGAATACTGTTGTCAATAACTGTGGAGATTTTTTTTGCTTTTCCGAATCACTGTAACTTTCCTTTCCTGGGGGCACGAAATGATGACTGTTGAGGCAATGCAGTGAGTGGTAATGTACATTGCAATGTTACTGTGCCAGAAGCATAAAGGATTTGATTTTTCCTTGGAAAGGTAGTAATTATTGTAGCATGAATCATCATTTTCTCTAACTTTTGCCTAATATTTTGGGAGGCTATTTCGTACTTTTCCAAATGTTTGCATTCATTTTCCTATTTGATCCCTACTGCAAGTAGGGAGAAATCTTTGCCTTAGTGTAATATTCTTTGACCTTAGCTCTAGACAAAAGCACTATCCTACCAACCAGTGCATTTAACAAAGATCAGCGAGCATTAAACAAAGACCAGCCGGCACCTTATATGATTCAGGGTCACGACCCTCATAGTGCCTTGGCTTTACTTCAAAGGGATCTGTACTTTGGAAGAAAAGTCAACTACCTAGACTTCTGTTCCTCCTTTGACCCAATAAGTTTCTCCCTTCTGCCCAAAGCCAAGCCTTGTCTTGCCTTCCTTTCTTTCTCTCCTTCCTTCCTTCCTTCCTTCCCTCCTTCCTTTCTTCCCTCCCTCCCTCCTTCCTTCCTTCTCTTTCTTTTCTTTTTAACAGGGTCTTGCTCTGTCACCCAGGCTTAGAATGCAGTGGCGCAATCTAAGCTCACTGAAGCCTCAACCTCCCGGGTTCAAGCAATCCTCCCACCTCAGCCACCCAAGTAGTTGGAACCACGGGCACACACCACCACGCAGCTAATTTTTTGTATTTTTTGTAGAGATGGAGTTTCACCATGTTGCTCAGGCTGGTCTCGAAATCCTGAGCTCAAGATCCTCCTGCCTCAGCCTCCCAAACTGCTGGGATTACAGGCATGAGCCACCATACCTGGCTGTTCTGATTTCTTGGGGCTAATTGTCAGTGCTCTTTGACCTCTGACCAGAGGAACTTTTCAAACCCCTCTCTGGCAGTGTTGTGCTGATAAAGAGGCTCTCCAAGGGAAAAACAAACAAACAAAACAGCCCTGGTTTGCAGCATTTGCCCATTTCTGTGGTGTAAATACTTCCACCATGGCTAATTTCAAGCTACCTACAGTGTACAACTGACTTAAGATTCCTGACTTTTTAGGAAGTGGCTCTCCGGAGCAGGGACAAGCCTATTTCGGCATTCTACTGCCTATGTCTGAAGCACAAGCAAGGTTATTCTCTACATTCTTTCTTTTTTTTTTTAGAGACAGGGTTTCACTGCAGCCTCAAACTCCTGGATTCAAGCAATCCTCCCACCTCAGGCTTCCAAGTAGCTGGGACTACAGGACCACTACACCTGGCTAGTTTATTTATTTTTTGTAGAGATGGGGTCTCACTGTGTTGCTCAAGCTGGCCTCAAACTCCTGGGCTCGAGGGATCCTCCCACCTCAGCCTCCCAAAGTGCAATTTCTTATTAATAGGCAGCTGTGCCACTTCTAATCTTTTGCCTGCTCTACCAAAGCTGTGAAAAATAACCTTGCTGTCACAGTGAAAAGTGGGTGAAGGGTGCTCCAGGCAGAGGGGAGGATATGAACAGAGGCTTGCCGTGGACACCTGTTGTTTTTGCCTGCCTGCGGCTATTTCCCTTCTTGATTGCCAGTGTTCATGTTTCAGATGGGGCAGATTCCCCCACCAGTGCTGGTGGGAGGGTGTGAGGCACAAGACCCAAGGCTGACTGATCAGTGAAGCCTACCCTACTGATCACAGCGATTGGTTCAGGGATGGTTGTGTCACGCCAGCTGATTCAATGAGCCTTATCCACAGGGCCTTCTTCTTTTTTTTTTTTTTGAGACAGAATAGTCTCGCCCTGCAGCCCAGGCTGGAGTGCAGTGGCGCAGTCTCAGCTCACTGCAACCTCTGCCTCCTGGGTTCAAGCGATTCTCCTGCCTCAGCCTCCCAAGTAGCTGGGACTACAAGTTTGCACCACCACACCCAGCTAATTTTTGTGTTTTTAGTAGAGACAGGGTTTCACCATGTTGGCCAGATGGTCTCAATCTCTTGACCTCGTGATCCGCCCAACTTGGCCTCCCAAAGTGTTGGGATTACAGGCATGAGCCATTGCACCTGGCCCACAGGACCTTTTTCTAGAGCAATAAAGAGGAAATGAGAGTCCTCTTTCCACCTGGATGGCTAATTAGGCTGCAACCTTAGGACCATCCTTCCATCCCTTTGGGAGAGACTGAGAATGAAGATAATGCAGTGGAGACTAGGGGCAGCCAAGGGAGACTAGAGCCATCTATGTCTGAATCCACCTTCTTGGGTCCGTCCTTTCTTTCTTTCTTTTCTTTTCTTTTCTTTCCTTTTCTTTTCTTTCTTTCTTTCTTTCTTTCTTTCTTTCTTTCTTTCTTTCTTTCCTTCCTTCCTTCCTCCTTCCTCCTTCCTCCTTCCTCCTTCCTCCTTCATTCCTTCCTTCCTCCCTCCCTTCCTTCCTCCCTTCCTTCCTTCCTTTCACAGAGTTTCACTCTTGTTGCCCAGGCTGGAGTGCAATGGCGCGATCTCGGCTCACCGCAACCTCCGCCTCCCAGGTTCAAGCAATTCTCCTGCCTCAGTCTCCCGAGTAGCTGGGATTACAGACGCACACCACCATGCCTGGCTAATTTTTGTATTTTTAGTAGAGACGGGGGTTTCACCATGTTAGCCAGGCTGGTCTCGAACCTGACCTCAGGTGATCCGCCCACCTCAGCCTCCCAAAGTGCTGGGATTACAGGCGTGAGCCACCACGCCCGGCCTTCTTGGGACTTTTCGGTTGTATGAGCCTAATACACTCTAAAGGCTTAGTCCAGTTCGAGTTGGGTTTCTGTCACTTGAAACTGAAAGAGTTCTGACTAACCCAGTCCGAGGCCGGAAAGGGCTTGGTGCAACTTGGAGGAAGTGAAAGAAGGCACAGAGACCAAGGGGAAGAGCGGTACCAGAAAACTGGCTACAGGCCAGGTCACGGAGGAACTTGTAGGCCACGATGAGCATTTTGGTTTTTAACTCAGTGAACTGGGCCTGGTCTGAAGCAGGAAAGTCACATGAAAATGGCTTCTTCAGGGACACGGGACATTGAAACATGTGGTTATTAGCTTATCAGAGCCAACAAACATTCTGGCTCCCAGTGTGTCAGGTTGAAATTCTGCTGCGAGGGGCACCAGCTGCTAGGATTTTTGTGTCCAAACACCTGCAGTGATCTTTCTTTGATTATGAGCTATCAGAAAACGGGCAGAATAATACAAAAGTATTTCGGGGATAATAGCTACAGGAAATTACTGATCCATTCCTGTTTTTTTGTTTTTGTTTTTGTTTTTGTTTTAAGAAAGGACAAAACTGTGTGTGTGTGTATTGATTATTGTGTTGATTGGACTATTACACCAAACTGGTAATTGCGATAGAAGAGTGGGCTTTCTTCTTTGTACACTTCTTTTTTTTTTTTTTTTGAGACAAAGTTTTGCTCTGTCACCCAGGCTGAAGTGCAGTGGTGTGATCTTGGCTCGCTGCAAGCTCCACCTCCCAGGTTCAAGCTATTCTCCTGCCTCAGCCTCCTGAGAAGCTGAGATTGTAAGTGTGTGCCACCATGCGTTGCTAATTTTTGTATTTTTATTAGAGACGGGGTTTCGCCATGTTGGTCAGGCTGGTCTTGAACTCCTGACCTCAGGTGATCCACCCGCCTTGGCCTCCCAAAGTGCTGGGATTACAGATGTGAGCCACTGTATCCGGCTGTCTGTTAAATTTTTTAAAACATATATCTTTTTCCCTTTCCATAATGTAGGTCCTATATTATAGAGCAGAGGTTAACAAACTTTCTCTGTAAAGGGTGCCAGAGAGTAAATATTTTAGGCTTTCTGGGCCATGCAGTCTCTGAATGACTCCATTCAGCTGGGGTACTGCAAAAGCAGCTACAGACATTATGTAAATGAATGAGTTTGCTGTGTTCCTGCAAAACTTTGTTTACAAAACAGGTGCCAGGCCAGGCAAGGTGGTTCATGCCCGTAATCCCAGCACTTTGGGAGGCCGAGGCGGGTGGATCATCTGAGGTCAGGAGTTCAAGACCAGCCTAGGCAACATGGTAAAACCCCGTCTCTACTAAAAATATAAAAATTAGCCGGGCATGGTGGGGCGTGCCTGTAGTCCCAGCTACTCGAGAGGCCGAGACAGGAGAATCACTTGAACCTGGGAGGCAGAGGTTGCAGTGAGCCAAGATCACACCACTGCACTCAAGCCTGGGCAACAGAGGGAGACTCCATCTAAAATAAATAAA
Source organism: Homo sapiens (assembly GCF_000001405.40). Taxonomy (NCBI): domain Eukaryota; kingdom Metazoa; phylum Chordata; class Mammalia; order Primates; family Hominidae; genus Homo; species Homo sapiens. The sequence continues at coordinate 47,414,199 of NC_000020.11, read as the reverse complement.
TAAATAAATAAATAAACAAACAAACAAACAAACAAACAAACAAAAACAAAAACAGGTGCCAGACTGGGTTTGGTTTTCTGTGGGCCTTGGTTTGCTGACCAGTGTTATAGAAAAGACAACATATAAGGATATATAAGGTGGCCGGGCATGGTGGCTCACACCTATAATCCCAGCACTTTGGGAGTCCAAGGTGGTGGATCGCTTGAACTCAGGAGTTCGAGACCAGCTTGGGCAACATGGTGAAACCCTCTCTCTACCAAAAATACAAAAAATTAGCCAGGCATGGTGGTGTATGCCTATGTTACCAACTACTCAGGAGGCTGAGGTGTGAGGTTGAGGTTATAGTGAGGGAGGTAGAGGCCGGGAAGGTAGAGGTTGCAGTGAGCTGAGTTTACACCACTGCACTCCAGCCTGAGTGACAGAGCGAGAACCCTGTCTCAAAACAAACAAGCAAACAAACAAACAAAGGATATATAATTTTATATTATAAGGATATATTTACCAAGATGTTTGTTGCAGTTTTTTGGGTTTGTTTTTTTTTTTTTGGAGACAGGATCTCTGTCTGTCTGTATGATTGATGGAGACCTGGTTTTTCCCATTCAGCAACTATTCGCCCCCCAAATCGTGACAACAGCACCCGATTTCCCTTCCCCACCTTCAGTCCCTGTGGAATGCATGGGGTGCCTCAACTGCCTCTGTTCAACAGGAGACACATGAGCCAGCATTGTGTTTGAGCTGGCTCGAACTAGCTCACTAGAGCTGATGGGACATGACAAGAGTTCTGTAAACCGGTTGACACTACATTGGTAATTGAAATCGGCTATGGTTTCAAGCTAATGGGGGTACTTACATCATAGAAATCAGGAAACACTACAAATCAAAACTTTTATTTTCTCAAAAAGACTATTGTTAGACATTTATCAACACACCACTGCGTTTAGCTCAGATCTGGTCAATCAGAGGGCCACAGCTTCCTGGCCGTAGAGCAGGACTGGGCACAGAACTCAAGCAAGACCATGAAAGTCAGCTCAGGTGTTAGAAAGGATGCTCTGTTCTACTGGGGCTCCTGGACTGGTAGGATTAAGCCCACAGTTGTGAGAAGCCACTAATAGAGGATATAAGGTGTAAGGAACTAAAAGATGGTGAAAGTTCAAGTCCTGTTGACATTATTTGAGGCCCTTGATTCAGCATTGCCTAAAACTAGAATGTCCCCTGTGCTACAAGCCAGTACATGTACTACATTCTCTTTCTAGCATATACTGCTGGTGCCCTATAGCAAATCCCCTTGGCCTGCTTCTGAGATTAGCTACAACTATGATGGACAGGCTGGCAGCTCCCACCTCACACACACATCTGTTTCTCTTCTTCTTCTTCTTCTTTTTTGAGAGAGTCTCACTCTGTCACCCAAGCTAAACTGTAGTGGCGTGATCTCAGCTCACTGCAACTTCCGCCTCCTGGGCTCAGGTGATCCTCCCACACTAGTCTCTTTTTTATTATTTTGAGATGGAGTCTCATTCTGTTGCATAGGCTGGAGGGCAGTGGGGTGATCTCGGCTCACTGACACCTCCACCTCCCAGGTTCAAGTGATTCTCCTAACTCAGCCTCCCAAGTAGCTGAGATTACAGGTGCAAGCCACCACGCCCAGCTAATTTTTGTATTTTTAGTAGAGATGGGGTTTTGCCATGTTGGCCAGCCTGGTCTTGAACTCCTGACCTCAAGTAATCCACTTGCCTCAGCCTCCCAAAGTGCTGGGTTTACAGGCATGAGCCACCGCATCTGACTGTTTTTCTTTTCTCTTGAGGCAAAGTCTTGCTCTGTTGCCCAGGCTGCTGGCAGTGGCATGATCACAGCTCACTGCAGCCTCAACCTCCTAGACTCGAGCAATTTTCTCACTTCAGCCTCCTGAGTTGCTGGGACCACAGGTGCACGCACCACCCCCTGGCTTTTATTTTTTTATTTTTTTTATTTTTTGGCAGAGACAGTGTCGCCTTATGTTGCCCAGGCTGAACACCTGTGTCTCTTAACCTAAGAGCTGTCTCCAGCACAGGATGCAAGACAGCCCCAAAAAAGTGTTAGGGACTTAAAGCCACCAGAAGCTTTTCTTAACCAATGGAATACAGGAGTCAATGGGTAAGTACCCCAGCTTCTCAGTTCCCTGGAGGGACAATTGTGATTTGGGGTTTTTTGGGTTTTTTTCCTACCTACATCAAAAAAGGAATGCAGAAAATATGTCCACCATATATTCTACAGCTCAGGGAATTTTTTTTTAAGACTGGATGAGGGCCAGGCGCGGTGGCTCACGCCTGTAATCCCAGCACTTTGGGAGGCCGAGGCGGGCGGATCACAAGGTCAGGAGATCAAGACCATCCTGGCTAACACGGTGAAACCCCGTCTCTACTAAAAAAAAATACAAAAAATTAGCCGGGTGTGGTGGTGGGTGCCTGTAGTCCTAGCTACTCGGGAGGTTGAGGCAAGAGAATGGCATGAACCCGGGAGGCAGAGCTTGCAGTGAGCTGAGATCACGCCACTGCACTCCAGCCTGGGCGACAGAGTGAGACTCCATCTCAAAAAAAAAAAAAAAAAAAAAAGACTGGATGAGGCTCTCTAACCCAGATGCATACCAGGTTTTGAGGCTCAGAGCTTAGTGAAACTAAGCCTTGTGTCCCACAAAATTCTGATGCTCATGCAAGAAATATCCAACTGGGGAGGATACTCTGTCCGTGGACTGATTTGCCCAGGCACAAATTCAGGCTGAAAATAGCAAACTAAAGTTAGCCGAGATGTTCTGCCTTGTGGCCTCCTTCAGGAACATCCTGTCCAGAGGAAAGGATATTTAAGGAGAAAGGAAGCAGCACAAGTTCGACTCAGCCAAGAAACAGAGGAAGGACATCCCAAGCACGAAGTGGGGCACCAGTCTGTGTTCCAGCGAGAGGTGGGGGATAAACAACCATGAAACATCTACTGTGTGTGTGTATTCATGTATTTTACAGATATTCTCTTCTCTCACTTTGTCCTTTATGTTTTTAATTTTCCTTAAACTTCTTGTTCTCTCTGTTCACTTACACATTGGTTTTTGTTTGTTTGTTTGTTTGTTTGTTTGTTTGTTTTGGGACGGAGTCTTGCTCTGTCGCCCAGGCTGAAGTGCAGTGGCATGATATCAGCTCACTGCAACCTCTGCCTCCGAGGTTCAAGTGATTCTTCTGCCTCAGCCTCTCAAGTAGCTGGGATTACAGGTGCCTGCCACTACACCTGGCCAATTTTTGTATTTTTAGTAGAGATGGGGTTTCACCATGTTGGCCAGGCTGTTCTCCAACTCCTGACCTCAAGTGATCCGCCCACCTTGGCCTCCCAAAGTGCTGGGATTACAGGCATGAGCCACTGCACCCAGCTTACTGATCTGATCGTGGAAGCACAGTTGGTCAGTGCATTTTGCTACAATGATTTGGGGTTTGTATTTGGAGACTCATTTGCAAGAAATATAGGCACATCCTAAACTAGCCTGAACAAAAAGTTTGGAGGACATCAGGTGAACCTGAACCCAGGGGCTCAACATGGCTGGTTTCCATTTCTCTATCATCTCTCGGTTCTTCTCCAAGTTGGCTTTCCTCTCCTGTAGCTTTGCCTACCTGCTGGTTCTGGGGTTATTTCTCACCAGCACAGCAACACCAATGGAAAGGGAAAATACCCCTGACAATAGTTCCAAGAACAAACTGAGGAGGGCTTCGTTGGCTCAGTCTGAGTTACCATAAGCCAATCACTTAGCCAGGAAGATATAATGTTTTTTGGGGTTTTTTTGGTGGGGAGACGGAGTTTCACTCTTGTTGCCCAGGCTGGAGTGCAGTGGCACAATCCCGGCTCACTGCAGCTTCCACCTCCCGGGTTCAAGTGATTATCCCATCTCAGCCACCAAGTAGCTGGGACTATGCCACCACACCCAGCTACTTTCTTTTTCTTTCTTTCTTTATCTTCTTTTTTTTTTTTGTATTTTTAGTAGAGATGGGGTTTCACCATGTTAGTCAGGCTGGTCTCAAACTCCTGACCTCAAATGATCCACCTGCCTCAGCCTCCCAAAGTGCTGGGATTACAGGCGTTGAGCCACAGCACCCGGCCAAACCATTTGAAAGTATACAATTCAGGCCGGGCACAGTGGCTCACACCTGTAATCCCAGCACTTTGGGAGGCCAAGGTGGGCAGATCACGAGGTCAGGAGACCAGCCTGACCAACATGGTGAAACCCCATCTCTACTAAAAATAACAAAAATTAGCTGGGCATGGTGGTGCATGTCTGTAATTCCAGCTACTCAGTAGGCTGAGGCAGGAGAATCGCTTGAAGGGAGGCGGAGGTTGCAGTGAGCTGAGATCATGAGACTGCACTCTAGCCTGGGTGACAGAGCGAGACTCAGTCTCAAAAATAAATAAATAAAATGAAATAAAGTATACAATTCAGTGGCCTTTTCTTTTTCTCAACAGTGAATTTTATTTATTTATTTATTTAGACAGAGGCGAGGTTTCCCTTTGTTGCCCAGGCTGCTCAAACTCCTGGCCTCAAGTGATCCTTCTGCCTCAGCCTCCCAAAGTGCTGGGATTATAGGCATGAGCCACTGCACCTGGCCTGTCCCAGTAATATTTGTTGAAATACAAAATTGATTTTCTTCAATGAATTACCCTGGTGACTTTGTTGAAGATAATTTGGCCATATATGTGTCAGTCTCAGCTGGGCTTTCTTTTTCTTTCTTTTTTTTTTTTTTTTGAGACGGAGTCTTGATCTGTCTCCCAGGCTGGAGTGCAGTGGCGCATCTCCACTCACTGCAAGCTCCACCTCCCAGGTTCACACCATTCTTCTGCCTCAGCCTCCCAAGTAGATGGGACTACAGGCGCCCGTCACCACGCCCGGCTAATTTTTTGTATTTTTTTAGTAGAGACAGGGTTTCACGGTGTTAGCCAGGATGGTCTCGATCTCCTGACCTTGTGATCCGCCCGCCTCGGCCTCCCAAAGTGCTAGGATTACAGGCGTGAGCCACCGCACCCAGCTAGCTGGACTTTCTATTCTCTTCCACTAACCTATTTGTCTATCCTTCTTTATTTTGTTTTTTTATTTTGAGATGTGGTCTTTCTCTGTTGCCCAGGCTGGAGTGCAGTGGTAGGATTATAGCACACTGCAGCCTTGACCTCTTGTGCTCAAGCAATCCTCCTGCCTCAGCCCCTCACGTAGCTGGGACCACAGGTACATGCCACCACACCCAGCTAATTTTTTGTAGAGATGGCATCTTGTTGTGCTACCCAAGCCGGTCTTGAACTCCTGGGCTCAAGCAATCCTCCCACCTCAGCCTCACAAAGTCCTGGGATTACAGGCATGAGCCATCATGCCCTACAAATCTTTCTGTTACCTTTTCAAATATGTAAATTGTCCATGGATACCCAATCATACAACACAATTGCCCTTGTTCATACAAGTATTTTCTGAGTCTAATTTGTGCCAGTCATTGGGCATACAGTGGTGCTCAGGACCCAGCACCTTCCCTGGCCTCATGGAGCTTGAGGTAGTAAACATCTGCTGGTTTTGCCTGCTCAAAATCCTCCCTGCTTCAAGCAACAACTTCCTCCTCTCCACTGGAAAGCCACTGCCCATCCACTCTCACCCCACGTGTTCAGAGAAGGCTGACCTCAACATTCCCTTCAAAAGGTGGATGCATAGGCCAGGTGCGGTGGCTCATGCCTGTGATCCCAGCACTTTGGGAGGCCGAGGCAGGTGAATCACCAGGTCAGGGGTTCAAGACCAGCCTGGCCAACATAGTGAAACCCTGTCTCTACTAAAAATACAAAAATTAGCCAGGCATGGTGGTGCACACCTGTAATCCCAGCTATTCAGGAGGGTGAGGCAGGAGAATCGCTTGAACCCAGGAGGTGGAGGTTGCAGTGAGCTGAGATCGTGCCATTGCACTCCAGCCTGGGCAACAGAGCGAGACTGTCTCAAAAACCAACAAACAAAAAAAGGTGGATGCATGATCCAGGTTTGGCGACATTTTTCTAGACCTGCCAGTAAGATGTAGTTTTCTATACTCTGGTTTTTGAAGTTGGGGAGCTACAGGGGGCACTATTGCCTGAGATTCTCCTCCTGAGAAGCCAACATGGAGGACATGAGGGTCTCCAGGGGGAGATCAACAAGTACTTACCCTGTGGCCATCATTCTGGCTGTGCCTGAAGCTCACGAGGCTCCTGGGATTTCCAATTCTATGAGTCAATAAATTTTGTTATAATTATAATTCTGTTTATCTTTTTACTTTTTTTTTTTTTTTGAGACTTTTTTTTGTCACCCAGGCTGAAGTGAGTGGTGCAATCTCCGTTCACTGCAACCTCCGCCTCCCGGGTTCAAGGGTTTCTCCCTGCCTCAGCCTCCCGAGTAGCTGGAACTACAGGCGCGTACCACCATGCCTGGCTAATTTTTGTATTTTTAGTAGAGATGGGGTTTCACCATGTTGGCCAGACTAACCTCAGGTGATCCGCCTGCCTCGGCCTCCCAAAGTGCCGCGGTGTGAGCCACTGCGCCCAGCCTTACCTTTTTACTTAACACCATTTGAGTTGAGCCTACTTGCCCTCTGCTCAATATAAAAGAGTTAATGCAGGCAAAAAGGACAAAGGCTGGGTCAACACAGGCATCTTGGGGCAATTCCTTGGCCAACTTTTGAGGCAATGGTTATGAATTCCCTCCTTTGAAGGCCTCTGTCTAGCCCCTCTATCCAATCAAATAACAAGTCCCTAGAGAACAGTATTTTTCACACTGAAGATTATGACCCACTAGTGAATCATGAAGTGAATTTATTGGGTTACAGCCAGCACTTTTTAAAAAAAGAAATAGAAAAGAATACAAAGAATAGAAAATATCAGAGGGCATTCCATGTTGCAAGCCTAAGTATTGTTAATAAAAATGTTTCTGTTGTGTGCATGTGTGTACTGAGTCACCATGTAAAATGTATTTGTTACTGTGGGACACGGTCGAATAGGCTGGAAAACCTCCGCTGTAGAGCAATCCGTGGCAGACTCTGTGGGCTGCCCACCCAATAACCCTCCCTGCCTTTCTCCTTGCTGAGAGAATTATGATTTTGTCCAATACCCCTCCCTGCCTTTCTCCTTGCTGAGAGAATTATGATTTTGTTAAGGAATGGAAGCAGCCATGTGTTTATAGGGAGGTTGAGCTGTGTGGAATTATGGGTGGGGGCTAAGCCTCTTTATAGCCCAGGGAGTGAGTGCTGTTGTTGTTGTTGTTGTTTTGAGACAGGGTCTTGCTGTGTCTCCCAGGATGGAGTGCAGTGGCACGATCATAGCTCACCACAGCCTCCACCTCCTGGGCTCAAATGATCCTCCCACCTCAGCCTCCCAAGCAGCTAGGACTACAAGTGCACACCACCACCACATCCAGGTAATTTTTTAAATTTTTATTTATTTTATTTTTTTGAGATGGAGTCTCGCACTGTCGCCCAGGCTGGAGTGCAGTGGTACAATCTTGGCTCACTGAACCTCCACCTCCAGGTTCAAGCAATTCTCCTGTCTCAGCCACCCAAGTAGTTGGAATTACAGGTGTGCGCCACCATGCCCAACTAATTTTGCTATTTTTAGTAGAGACAGGATTTCACCATGTTGGCCAGGCTGGTCTCGAATTCCTGCCCTCAAGTGATCCACCTGCCTCGGCCTCCCAAAGTGCTGGGATTACAGGCATGAACCACTACACTTGGCCTATTTTTATATTTTAGAGACGGAGTCTCAATATGTTGCTCAGGTCTCAAACTTCTGGGCTCAAGGGATCCTCAGAGAGTGAGTTTTAATCAATATAAGTCAGTGGTTCTCCAGTTGTGAATGCTGAATCCTCAAGACCTTTCCAAGAGGTCCACAAAGCCTTCTTTTTTGCAACAACATACATGTATGAGACCAGAATTTCTGTGTATTTAAAGCAAAACAGAATATCACAATGGGTTGAATGCAGAAGCAGGCATGAAAATCCAGCTTCTTCTGTTAAGCAGACATCAAAGAGATAATAGCAAAATGCAAAACAGGGCCACTTTGCCACTTGGAGGCCAAGGCCAGAGGATCGCTTGAGTCCCGGAGTTCAAGACCAGCCTGGGGAACACAGAAGGACCTTGTCTCTATAAAAATTATGAAGTAATTAGCTGGATGTGGTGCTGCAAGCCTGTGCTTCCTGGTACTCAGGATGCTGAGGAAGGAGGGTCGCTTCAGCCCAGGAGGTCGAGGCTGCAGGGAGCTATGATTGCATCACTGCACTCTAGCCTGGGAAACAGAGCAAGAACCTGTCTAAAACAAACAAACAAAGAAACAAACAAAAAATGCCATGCTTTGCACTATTTTTTGTCTTGCAAAGTATAGCTATTTTTCATAAAAAATTATTTATGTTACTATGTAAAGGATAATTTTGAATGAATAAATACATGTTTAATTTTTTTCACTTTTAACTTCTAATATAGCAAATATCAATAGACATAACCACATAAACCAAAGCTCTTTGGAGTCATTAATAACCTGACAACAGCTTTTTTGTCTCATTTTGTTTTGTTTTGTTTTGTTTTGAGACGGAGTCTCACTTTGTCACCCAGGCTGGAGTGCAGTGGCATGATCTCGGCTCACTGCAACCTCCGCCTCCCAGGTTCAAGCGATTCTCCCGCCTTAGCTGCCCGAGTAGCTGGGATTACAGGTGCGTGCCAACACGCCCAGCTAATTGTATTTTTAGCAGAGATAGGGTTTCACCATGTTAGCCAGGCTGGTCTCAAACTCCCGACCTCAGGTGATCCACCCACCTTGGCCTCCCAAAGTGCTGGGATTACAGGCATGAGCCACCGTGCCTGGTCCTGAGACAACCATTTGAGAACACTGACCTAAGCCACTCATGCTTGTTTCCTTCGACTTGCCAGTGATTTTATTAGGAATGTGATGCAATTCTAGTAAATAAGATTTAAAGTTAGCTGAAGACTTCCGAGGAAGTTTTCCTGCTAGAAAAATAAAAAAGAAGAGCAGCATGGGAGGAAACAGGTTCTCTTCTTCTACTCCACTGGATTAATGTGTATGTGATGTGCCTCCTGGAGCAGTGGCAGCCATATTACAACTATGAGGTTACAAGGTTGAGAAAAAAGCCGACACACTGAGGATGGCAGAGTGAAGAGATGGAAAGAATAAGGTCCTTTAAGATAGTGTTGAGCCTCTATCCACCAGCCCAGGACCACCTATCTCTGGATTTCTTGTTCTGTAAGATAATAAATCTCTCCCCACAGATCATAAAATCTATAAAGCCAGAGTTTTTCTTGGATTTTCAGGAGTGGTGAGGGGGTTGATCTGTTTTATTCATTGCCATATCCCCAGCACCTAGAACAGGACCTGGAATATAGTAAGTGACAGGAAAATGTTTGTAGAATAAATGAATGACTCCTTAAAGATATTCCTTGTTGTATTTTGTTATTCTTGTTACTTATAGCCAAAACACCGTGTGTGTGTGTGTGTGTGTGTGTGTGTGTGTGTGTGTGTGTGTGTGTGTATCTTGCTGTGTCACTAAGGCTGCAGTGCAGTGGCCTGATCATGGCTCACTGCAGCCTTGACCTGCTGGACTCAAGTGATCCTCCTGACTCAGCCTCCCAAAGTGCTGGGATTACAGGTGTGAGCCACTGCTCACAGCTCAAAACATTTTTAATTGATTCAAACGTCCAGCCCTACTCCAATTTCTGCTTATGGGAATTCTTTTCAGCCATCCTCCTCAGTAAGCCTTTCATCAAACAGTGTCTCAGCCCAAGTTGAGCATGCCCTAACTTTTTTTTTGAGACGGAGTTTCGCTTTTGTTGCCCAGGCTGGAGTACAGTGGCGTGATCTCGGCTCACCGCAACCCCTGCCTCCCAGGTTCAAGTGATTCTCCTGCCTCAGCCTTCCGAGTAGCTGGCATTACAGGCATGCATCACCATGCCCAGCTAATTTTGTATTTTCAGTAGAGACAGGGTTTCTCCATGTTGGTCAGGCTGGTCTCGAACTCTCAACCTCAGGTGATCCGCCTGCCTCAGCCTCCCAAAGTGCTGGGGTTACAGGCGTGAGCCACTGCGCCCAGCCACGCATGCCCTAATTTATAACCTCACAACACCATGGGGTTATATCTATTTCAGAACTTGTCACTTTTTTGCGGGGGGCAGGGGGTGGCTGTCTCTTTGGTCTATTTCACTAGAAGTGGAGGTCAAAGGCTTATTAGTTTGGGTAAAATCTAGGCTGCTATAACAAAGAGACATTAAGTTTAGTGGCTTAAACAAAATCAAGTATATATCTCTCTCACTAACAACCCAAGTTAGGAGGTCCTAGGGTAGCAGGGAGGCAATGGCCAGCTTCAACACACAGCTTCAATCTCTGGGTCGAGGTACCTGCTCTAGGTCCTGCCATCACACCTGCATCCTGGCCAGTGGAAAATGGCAGAAAAAGGGGCAAAGGGAGAACATATCCATTCCTTTTAATAGCATGACCCATTAAGTGATGATAAAGTGTGTCAGAGCAAAAAAAAATAGCATGACCTAGAAGGAACATTTATCATTGTTGCTTATATCTCACTGACCAGAACTCAGTCACATCAACACTTAGATCCAAAGCAGGCTGAGAAATGTAGTCATCAGGCCAGGCACAGCAGCTCACACCTGTAACCTCAGCACTTTGGGAGGCCGAGGCAGGCAGATCACCTGAGGTCAGGAGTTCAAGACCAGCCTGGCCAACATGGTGAAAACCTGTCTCTACTAAAAATACAAAAATATCCAGGCATGGTGTTGTTGGGTGCCTGTAATCCCAGCTACTCAGGAGGCTGAGGCAAGAGAATTGCTTGAACCCAGGAGTTGCAGTGAGCCAAGATCACGCCACTGCACTCCAGCCTGGGTGGCAGACCTAGACTCTGTCTCAAAAAAAAAAAAAAAGAAAAGAAAAAAAAAAGGAAATGTAGTCATCGGGGGCCGGCCATGGTGGCTCACCCCTGTAATCCTGGCACTTTGGGAGGTCAAGGTGGGCAGATCACCTGAGGTCAGGAGCTGGAGACCAACCTGGCCCACGTGGTGAAACCCCATCTCTACTAAAAATACAAAAATTAGCCGGGCGCAGTGGCCGGCACCTGTAGTCCCAGCTACTCGGGAGCCTGAGGCAGGAGAATCACTGACCCGGGAGGTGGAAGTTGCAGTGAGCCAAGATTGTGCCACTGCACTCCAGCCTGGACAACAGAGTGAGACGCCGTCTCAAAACAAAAAAAGAGAAATGTAGTCATCAACTGGATAAACATGCACCCACCTAAAACTCATAACTTCTGTTATTAAAGAAAGAAGGGGAAAAAAGAGATATTAGTGCTGAAACAGCTGTCTCTGCCATAATACTCAGTTTGATTCATCCTTGTACCCTCAGAGCCTCAGAAAGGCTTGGCACATAGTGTTGAGGAAAAATTTAATGAAAGAACAAGGCCAGGCGCAGTGGCTCACACCTGTAATCCCAGCACTTTGGGAGGCCGAGGCGGGTGGATCGCGAGGTCAGGGGATCGAGACCATCCTGGCTAACACAGTGAAACCCCGTCTCTACTAAAAATACAAAAAATCAGCCAGGCGTGGTGGCGGGCGCTGTAGTCCCAGCTACTCGGGAGGCTGAGGCAGGGGAATGGCGTGAACCCGGCGGGCGGAGCTTGCAGTGAGCCGAGATTGCACCACTGCACTCCAGCCTGGGAGACAGAGCAAGACTCCACCTCAAAAAAAAAAAAAAAAAAGAAAGAAAGAACAAATGAGAAAGAACAGAACCCAAGAATCTTGCTTTTTTTTTTCTTTTTGAGACAAGGTCTTATTCTGTCACCCAGCCTGGAGTGCAGTGGTGCAATCACAGCTCACTGCAGCCTCGACCTCCTGGGCCCAAGCAATCCTCCCACCTCAGTGTTCTGAGTAGCTGGAACCACAAGCACGCACCACCACGCCTGGCTTCTTTTTTTTTTTAGACGGAGTCTGGCTCTGTCGCCCAAGCTGAAGTGCAATGCCGCGATCTCGGCTCACTGCAAACTCCACCTCTCGGGTTCAAGCGATTCTCCTGCCTCAGCTTCCCGAGCAGCTGGGATTACAGGCACCTGCCACCACACCCGGCGAATTTTTGTATTTTTAGTAGAGACGGGGTTTCACCATAGTGGCCAGGCCGTTCTCGAATCGAACTCCTGACCTCAAGTGATCCTCCCACCTCAGCCTCCCAAAGTGCTGGGATTACAGGCGTGAGCCACCACGCCCAGCATTTTTTTTTTTTTTTTTTTTTTTGGTGGAGATGCGGTCTCTCTACGTTGCCCAGGATGGTCTCAAACTCCTGGGCTCAAGTGATTCTCCCAATTAGGCCTCCCAAAATGTTGGGATTACAGGTGTGAGCCACAGCCCCCGGCCAAGAATACTACTCTTGATGGATATACCATTAATCTGGAAATCAAACAGAAACCAGAAGAGACAATATTAGCTCATGAACACAGCCAGTCGTGTTGGCTCATGCCTGCAGTCCTAGCGCTTTGGGAGGCAGAGGCAGGAAGACCACTTGACCCCAGTAGTTCAAGACCAGCCTGGGCAAAATGGCGAAAACTCTTCTCTACAAAAAATACTAAAATTAGCCGGACATGGTGGTGCGCACCTTTAATCTCAGCTACTCGGGAGGCTGAGGCAGGAGAATCTCTTGAACCCAGGTGGTGGAGGTTTCAGTGAGCCAAGATCGCACCATTGCACTCCAGCCTGGGCGAGAGAGACTGTCTCAAAAAAAAAAAAAAGGCCGGGTGCAGTGGCTCACGCCCTGTAATCCCAGCACTTTGGGAAGCCAAGGCGGGCGGATCACGAGGTCAGGAGATGGAGACCATCCTTGTTAACATGGTGAAACCCCGTCTCTACTAAAAAAATACAAAAAAATTAGCTGGGCGTGGTGGCAAGCGCCTGTAGTCCCAGCTACTGGGGAGGCTGAGGCATGGGAATGGCGTGAACCTGGGAGGTGGAGCTTGCAGTGAGCCGAGATTGCGCCACTACACTCCAGCCTGGGCGACAGATTGAGACTCCGTCTCAAAAAAAAAATAAAATAAAAGACATTGTGCACTTTAAATATACCCAGATCCTAAGATCCTAGCACAGTTGGAGCCAGGTGCTCAAAGATGTCTTCAGAATCTTCTAGTCCTTCATGCTGTCAGCGTCTTCTGTGAGGCTTCACTCTCAGTGTGGTGAGAGGGGCCAGCAGTCTCAAGAAAGGCGTGTCTCTGACAGTTTCAGCAGGAAGTGGTAGGAAATGAATCCTCTGATTGGCCCAGTTTGGGTCATGTGCCCAGATCTGACCAATCACATTGGCCAGATGGATGAAGCCCTCCGATTGGCTAGGTCTGGGTCACATGTTCACATCAAGCGTTGAGAGATCCAGATCTGGAGTAGAAGAACGAAAGTGATTGGCAAGAGTCTGCTCAGCAGGAAAAGCTCTACTGATCTACTCCATAGCTCCCTCTCTGTCTGGCTCCTGTTTCATTCTTCCCATTACAAAAATCCAGGGAAACTATTGGGCAAAGGCAGAGTCTCCTCCAAGGGCCTCAGTTGCTGGGCAGGCAAAGACCAAATGGTCTTTTCTTTAAGGGGGCGGGGTGCTATAATCACTTATATTAATTATTCAACCACATAAATTAACTTCCAGGACTCTGGATATATTTCGGGGGAAGAGTCTAAATAATTCATATTTGATTCATAATACGTGCATATTCTAATACCAGATAATTGGAAAATTATACACCAGAAATACTGTTCATGCAAATATGCATTGTTACTCTCTGCATAAAGGAGGCATTGCAGGCATAATTAATAATGATGGTGCCATAATAACAGTAAGTCTAATTCTGTGTTAAATTCTGTTTGATTATAATGCATTAAATCTATGATTTAACGGTTTTATACATGTACATGCACACGCATATAATTTTACAAAAAATCATAAATGTGATCATATCATATATGTTGGGGGAAAGAAAGTTTTTGTTTTTTGTTTTTTGTTTTGTGAGATGGAGTTTTGCTCTTGTCGCCCAGTCTGGAGTGCAATGGCACAATCTCAGCTCACCGCAACCTCCACCTCCCAGTTTCAAGTGATTCTCCTGCTTCAACCTCCCGAGTAGCTGGGATTACAGGGCCTCACCACCACGCCCAGCTAATTTTTACATTTTTAGTAGAGACGGGGTTTCACCATGTTAGCCAGGCTAGTCTCGAACTCCTGACCTCTGGTAATCCACCCCTGCCCTTGGCCTCCCAAAGTGCTGGGATTACAGGCGTGAGCCAACATGCCCGGCCAGGAAGTTTCTTCTAGAGAAATCTTTTTGGTTTTTCTCTTTCTTTTTTCTCTTGGCTTCTCCTTCCCTATTTCTCCTTTTTCTCTCCCGTTCTCACCTCGGGTTTGTATGCTCCCATCTTTTTCTCCATGCCTAGGTAATTTTATACAAATACACATATACAGCCAGGCTCGGGGGCTCATACCTTTAACCCCAGCACTTTGGGAAGCCGAGGCAGGCGGATCACTTGAGGTCAGGAGTTTGAGAACAGTCTGGCCAACATGGTGAAACCCCGTCTCTACTAAAAATACAAAAATTAGCCAGGTGTGGTGGGCTCCTGTAATCCCAGCTACTCAGGAGGCTGAGGCATGAGAATTGCTTGAACCAGGAGGTGAAGTTGCAGTGAGCTGAGATTGCGCCACTGCACTCCAGCCTGGGCAACAAAGCAAGACTATATCTGGAAAAACAAACGAACAACAACAAAAAAAACAAATACACATATACATACATATTTGGATACACGTACATGTATATGTAAGTATAGACATGCAAACATACTACATACACATTGAATACACAGGAGTTTATATAAATAGCATCATGTTATACTCATTTTTCTGTATCCTCCTTTTCTCATTTAACACATCACATTGACATCCCTCCAGGCCACCTGGCAAAGAGCATTTTAGTGGCTGTACAATATTCTGTGGTGTGGCTATACCGTGATCTATTCAGAAACTCTGTAAGGATGGATATTTACTTTGTTTGCCATTTTTGCCAAGATGAACAATATTGCACACATCTTCTTGCACATATATTCTTACATATTAGTTCCCAAGAGTGGAACTTATCCCATGGAAATGTTAAAAGGCCTTGCCCAAAGGCTGTAACAATAATGTATTAGGGTTGCCGGGCGCGGTGGCTCACGCCTGTAACCCCAGCACTTTGGGAGGCCGAGGCGGGTGGATCACATAAGGTCAGGAGTTTGACACCAGCCTGGCCAACATGCTGAAGCCTGGTCCCTACTAAAAATACAAAAAATTAGCCACGTGCGGTGGCGCATGCCTGTAATCCCAGCTACTCGGGAGGCTGAGGCAGGAGAATCACTTGAACCTGGAAGGCAGAGGTTGCAGTGAGCAGAGATGGCACCATTGCACTCCAGCCTAGGCAACAAGAGAGAAACAATGTCTCAAAAAAAAAAAAAAAAAGCACAATGACGTAGAGCCAGGCGAGGTGGCTCACGCCTGTAATCCCAGCACTTTGGGAGGCTAAGGTGGGTGGATCACCTGAGCTCAGGAGTTTGAGACCAGCCTGGCCAATGTAGTGAAACCTCATCTCTACTAAAAATACAAAAAATTAGCTGGGCATGGTGGTGGGCACCTGTAATCCCAGCTACTCGGGAGACTGAGGCAGGAGAATTGCTTGAACCCAGCAGGCAGAGGTTGCAATGAGCCGAGATGGCGCCATTGCATTCCAGCTTGGGCAACAAGAGCAAAACTCAGGTCTGAAAAAAAAAAAAGTATTAGAGTTTTTTTCCTTATGGCCACCAGAAATAACTGTTAAGGTTCTTTGTTTTTCTTTCTCTCCTTCCCTTCCTCTGCCTTCTGTGTCTCCTCCCCCTCTCCCTCTTCCTTTCCCTTCTCCTTCATTTAAATTAAGGTGAAGTTCACATAAGGGAAAATTAACCAAAGTGGTATTTACCACATTCACAATGCTGTGTAACCACCGCCTCTATCTAGTTCTAAAACATTTCTATCACCTCAAAAGGAAACCCCATACCCACTTCAGCTGTTTGTGCAAAGGCAAGGTCATTAAGCATTGAGTGGCAGCCAGAAGGACTTGGCAGAATACAGGCATGGATAAATTGGCTAATTTTAGTTCACAAATGCTGCATTTTAATAACCGTTAATAACTCACATAGTGAATTACTATTAAGTCGCCCCTGGATGCATATAGACCTGAAGTGAGTTCTGGCGGTGTCTGTCATTCAGGGACAAGAACTGAAAGGAGGACAAGAGATTTCAATATTCTAGAACACTGTGGCTTCTGTGATCTTTCTTGTGACAGATACAGCCTACTAGCTACGCCAACTACCATCCCTAACCTGTGACTCTTTTCTTCTTCCTATTTTTTTTTATTTATTTTTTGAGACGAACTTTCGTTGTTGTTGCCCAGGCTGGAGTGCAATGGCATGATCTCGGCTCACTGCAACCTCCACCTCCCAGATTCAAGCGATTCTCCTGTCTCAGCTTCCCGAGTAGCAGGGATTACAGGCATGCACCTGGGATACAGGCCACCGCGCCTGGCTAATTTTGTATTTTCAGTAGAGACGGGGTTTCACCATGTTGGCCAGGCTGGTCTCAAACTCCTGATCTCAGGTGATCCACCCGTCTTGGTCTCCCAAAGTGCTGGGATTACAGGCGTGAGCCACCATGCCCAGCCATTCTTCTTCCTATTTTAGAAGCTGGAAAGCTTCACATTTGTTCTCCCAGGTTCCTTTGCAACTGCAGTTGCCAACTCTGCTGTTGGATTTCCAAGAAATGTTTGCTTTCCAGATAAAAGGGAGAGACACAACTGGCTCCAGCCCTTTTCCTGCCTCTTCCTGCTTTGAATACTCACATGATACCTGGAGCTGCAGCAGCCATCTTGTTTACCAAGAAGAAAAGCCAAGATGATCACAGAATAGCCAGCACTGGTATTGTTCCGCCAGCGACAGCAGATACTTACCTCCAGATTTTTGGGGAAAAAAAATGTAAGCCACTCTTTTTTTCCTTTCTTCTGTTTTGTTTGTTTGTTTGTTTTGTTTTGTTTTTGTTTTTATGAGACAAAAGTGAATCACAGGTCAGAGATGCAAAGGTTGCTGGCCTGTCATACATGCCCTGTGTTGGGCTGGAATGCAGTGGTGTGAACGTGGCTCACTGTAGCCTTGACCTCCTGGGCTCCAGTGATCCTTCCCACTCAGCCTCTCGATTAGCTGAGACCACAGGCATGCACCACCACACCCAGCTAATTTATTTTTTGTAGAGTGTGGTCTTGCCATGTTGCCCAGGCTCTTCTCAAACTCCTGGGCTCAAGCAGTTCTCCTGCCTCGGCTTCCCAAAGTGCTGGGATTACAGGCATGAGCCACTGTGCCTGGCCATGTAAGCCATTCTAAATCATGGTTTCTGCTATTTAAAGCCCAAAGCCCAAAAAGTTCCTGATTCATTTCTTATGCTACTTAGGTGCAACACTAATATGCCATAATTATAATTATACTTATGATTTCTTTTAGCTTGGGAATTCAAAAGTCCGTTCCTCAAGTGAAATCTTGTTTTTTTTTTTGAAACAGGATCTCCCTCTGCCACTCAGGCTGAGGGCAGTGGTGAGATCACAGCTCACCGAAGCCTCCACTTCCCAGGCTCAAGTGATCCTCCCACCTCAGCCTCCCGAGTAACTGGGAGTACAGGTGCGTGCCATCACACCCTGCTAATTTTTCATATTTTGTAGAGACAGCGTTTTGCTATGTTGCCCAGGCTAGTCTCGAGCTCCTGGGCTCAAGGGATCCTCTTGCCTCAGCCTCCCAAGTGCTGCGATTCCATGTGTGAGCCACCTCGCCAGGCCCGAAGTGAAATATTATTAAGCTCCTAGAGAGTTGGCACCCCCAGGATTTCTTTTTTAATGAATTGGAAATTCAAAGTTGAAAAATAGATAAAAAACAAATCTACAGGCGCGGTGGCTCACACCTGTAATCCCAGCACTTTGGGAGGCCAAGGCGGGTAGATCATCTGAGATCAGGAGTTCAAGACCAGCCTGACCAACATGGTGAAGCCTCGTCTCTACTAAAAAGACAAAAAATTAGCCGGGTGTGGTGGTGCACGCCTGTAATCCCAGCTACAGGGAGGCTGAGACAGGAGAATTGCTTGAACCCGGCAGGTGGAGGTTGCAGTGAGCCGAGATTGCGCCATTTCACCCCAGCCTGGGCGACAGAGTGAGACTCCATCTCCAAAAAAACCAACCAACCAAACAAATCAGTCCGGGTGTGGTGGCTCACACCTGTAATCCCAGCACTTTGGGAGGCTGAGGCGGGCGGATCACCTGAGGTCGGGAGTTTGAGACCAGCCTGACCAACATGGAGAAACCCCGTCTCTACTAAAAATACAAAATTAGCCAGGTGTGGTGGCACATGCC
Source organism: Homo sapiens (assembly GCF_000001405.40). Classification (NCBI taxonomy): domain Eukaryota; kingdom Metazoa; phylum Chordata; class Mammalia; order Primates; family Hominidae; genus Homo; species Homo sapiens. The sequence goes on along the minus strand of NC_000020.11, from coordinate 47,395,733 downwards.
TGTAATCCCAGCTACTCGGGAGGCTTAGGCAGGAGAATCACTTGAACCCGGGAGACAGAGATTGCGGTAAGCCGAGATCGTGCCATTGCACTCCAGCCTGGGCAACAAGAGGAAAACTCCATCTCAAAAACAAAAACTAATCACAGCAGCCTGGGCAACATGGTGAAACCTTGCCTCTACAAAAAATACAAGAATTAGCCAGGTGTAGTGGCAGGCACCTGTAGTCCCACCTACTTGGGAGGCTGAGGTTGAAGGATTGCTTGAGCCTGGGAGGTTGAGGCTGCAGTGAGCCATGATCATGCCACAAACTCCAGCCTGGGTGACAAAATGAGACTGTATCTCAATACAAAAGCAAATCACAGAGGCCAGGCACAGTGGCTCACACCTGTAATCCCAGAACTTTGGGAGGCCGAGGCAGGCGGATCACCTGAGGTCAGGAGTTCAAGACCAGCCTGGCCAACATGGTGAAACCCCGCCTCTACTAAAAATAAAAAAATTAGCTGGGCGTGATGGCAGGTGCCTGTAATCCCAGCTACTCAGGACGCTGAGGCAGGAGAATCACTTGAACCCAGGAGGCAGAGGTTGCAGTGAGCCAAGATCTCGCCATTGCACTCCAGCCTAAGTGACAAGAGCAAAACTCCATCTCAAAAAAAAAGCAAATCACAGGTAAGAGATGCAAAGGACACAGGCCTGTCACACATGTCCTGTGTTGTGCTTGAACTCTGGTAATTTTATTTACATTTATTTATTTATTTATTTATTTTGAGATAGAGTCTTACTGTGTTGCCTAGGCTGGAGTGCAGTGGTATGATCTCGGCTCACTGCAATCTCCACCTCCTGGGTTCAAGCAATTCTCATGACTTAGCCTCCCGAGGAGCAGGAACTAGGTGTGTGCCACCACACCCGGCTAATTTTTGTATTTTTAGTAGAGATGGGGTTTTGCCATGTTGGTCAGGCTGGTCTCGAACTCCTGACCTCAAGTGATCCTCCTGCCTCGGCCACCCAAAGTGCTGGGATTACAGGTGTGAGCCACTGCACCTGGACTGAACACTGGTAATTTTAAAATGAAATACATTTATTACTTTTTACAAATACTCAAGTAAAAGACCAAAAAAATTCAAATTTAATTTTAATTTAAATCATTGTAAGATGTATGGGATTAATATCCACACTCAGGATTTCTCAGTACTCACTTTTCATAAAAATCAGCTCAAAATAAAACATACCTAGAAAATTGCAGAATAGAGGGTCCTGTGGTGCCTATCTAGTCTCTATTCCTCTAGGGGGAATGTAGTGGGGTCTTAAGATACCCTCTTGGCTGGGTGCAGTGGTTCACGTCTGTAATCCCAGCACTTTGGGAGGCCGAGACAGCCAGGTTACTTGAAGTCAGGAGTTCAAGATCAGCCTGGCCAACACATTGAAACCTTGTCTCTACTAAAAACACAAAAATTAGCCAGGCGTGGTGGCGTGTGCCTGTAGTTCCAGCTACTCGAGAGGCTGAGGCAGGAGAATCACTTGAACCTGGCAGGTGGAAGTTGCAGTGAGCTGAAATCATGCCATTGCACTCCAGCCTGGGTGACAACAGCAAAACTCCACCTCAAAAAAAAAAGATACCCTTTTAGAGCCAGGCGTGGTGGCTCACACCTGTAATCCTAACACTTTAGGGAGGCCGAGGCAGGCAGATCACCTAAGGTCAGGAGTTCGAGACCAGCCTGGCCAACATGATGAAACCTTATCTCTACTAAAAATACAAGAATAAGCCAGGTGTGATGGCCGGCGCCTGTCGTGATCTGATTATCTGAAAGCAAAAGGAACAAAACTGGAGTGCAATGAGTGAATGAGCTCACATGTGTCTTGTTTAGCCTTAGAATTCATATTTAGCAAAATAAGTAAGCCTGTGCTCCTCACCTGAACTCCTGGATAACTCACTGTGGATATTTACACATCACTGGGTAGCTGTCTGTCATGTCTCATTTATTCCCACACATGGGCTCATTCATTCATTCAACAAACATTTGCAGACAGCCCCTTCTCTGCTGTGCTGCCCTTTGCTTTCATGCAGTGTATCTTCATACTTTCTCTAATAAGTCTGCCTTTCTTTACCAAAAAAAGAAAAAACAAACATTTGTCCTATGACCTACTGTATGCCTAGCACCAGGATGGGTGGGGTTAGTCTGACTTCTTTTGAGTGACCTAAGCCCAACTCAAATTGGCTTGTGTAAAAAAGAATTTGGCTGGGTATGGTGGCTCACGCCTGTGATCCAGCACTTTGGGAGGCCGAGGCAGGTGGATCACTTGAGGCCAGGAGTGTGAGACCAGCCTGGCCAACGTGGCGAAACCCCGTCTCTACTGAAAATAAAAAAATTATCTGGACATGGTGGTACACACCTGTAATCCCAGCTACTTGGGAGGCTGAGGTAGGAGAATCACTTGAACCTGGGAGGCAGAAGTTGCAGTGAGCTGAGATTGTACCACTGCACTCCAGTGTAAACGACAGAATGAGACTCTGTCTCAATAAATAAATAAGGAATTTATTGGCTTATGTAACTCTATGAAACTTATGTAACTTATAAAAGCTCTAGTGCAAGTCGCCTTCAGGCATGGTTGGTTCTCACAGTATGAGAATTACCCTCACTCTTCATCTCTCAGCTATACTTTCTTCTGTGGAGGCCTGCTTCACCCTCAGGTAGCTTCTACCCTGAGATCATAGCAGTCTTGGCCTCTACCCACTCTAGCTTAACCACCCACAGAGAAAGGGAAAGCCCTTTTCCCAACAGTTCCAGTGAGAGTCCTGACCTGGCTCTAATTTGATTCAGTTTGAGTCACATGCCTTCACTGGATTGATTGGGAGGTGCTAGATGGTTGTTGGCCAGTGTGTCATCACCTGGTCACACCAGTAAGTAAGAGATTCAGTCCCATCTGAATCACGTGGATTGAGAATGACGGAAAAGGTAGTTTCCCAAAAGAATGCTAGGGCACAGTGACCAAAAAAAGAAGAATGGATGCTGGCCATGCAAAAAACAACAGATGTCCAACTATAGACATGACAAAAATGAATAAAATACCTTTTATGGGACTATAGAACCCCCACATGCACCTGGCAGGAGTGTGGGCTGGCAGCTGCTATGTGGGAGAGCAACCTGGCAGTGTTTTGCACCCACATAGCCTATGCCCCGGCATCTCCTTCCTGGGGAGAAGAGGCAGTGATGTGTGTGGAGGCGGCCATATGGGGGCCATTGCTAGGAGAGTACTTTGGTAAAATGTGGTGAATGCACAGAAGATGGGGAAGCCGAAGAAATGGACTAGATATTTACAGAGACCCGTGTTGAGATCTTCAAAACAGAGTGAAAACAAAAACCAAAGAACTCTGTAACAGGAGGCTATTTGTGTAAATGTAAAACGCATGTCATGGTGAGTAATCAAGATAGCGTTGCCCTTGGGGGATGTGACTAAAAGGAAGCACAGAGCTGCCCAATTAAATAATACATTTCCCAGCTTTCTTTGCAACTAGGCGTGGCCACATGACAAGGTTCTGGCCAATGGGATGGGAACAGAAGTAATGCAGGCAACTTCCTGGACCAAGACCATAAATGGAAAAGAGAGTGCCCTCCCTCTCTCTTCCTTTCTTTCCTGCAGGAGCTGGAGTGACTCTCTTGGTCCCTAAGGTGGAAGCCATGTGTTGAGGACACTGAGCAACAAGATAGGAGGAGCCTGGGGCCCAGCCAGAGAACAGGAAGCCACCCAAATAGCTCTCAACCCCTTATAGATGGACTACTAAATGGGAAATAAAGTAGACTGTTCTCTCTTGATCTTTGTACAGAATCTATGTGCTAACTAATATAGTGCTCACTGGGAGGCTGAGACAGGAGGATAGCTTGAGCCCAGCTTGAGCCCAGGAGTTCGACACCAGCCTGGGCAACATAGCAAGACCTCGTCTCTACTTAAAAAAAAAAAAAAATTAGCGGGGCATGGTGGCACGTGCCTATAGTCCCAGCTACTCGGGAGGCTGAGGCAGGAGGATGGCTTGAGCTCAAGAGCCAGAGGTTGTAGTGAGCTAATATCACACCACTGTATTCCAATCTAGGTGACAGAGACCCTGTCTCAACAAAATAAAACAAAAAAACCATAGTGCTCAATAGGTTGATATTATCATGACTTTCTCCTCAGTTGTCATTATGATGATGATTATTTTATTGACCTAAAGCATTATGTACAGTTCAGCAAAGTCTTGTGGTGCCTTAACAAACAATGGAGGCAGTAACCCTTAGAGTTCTTGAGTTGCAGGTGTAGGAAACCACTGCTGACTCAAGTAAAAATATTGGTAGAATATGGTGTAGCTTATTGACTCAAAAGAAAGGCTGGAGGCCTTGTGTGGTGGCTCATCCCTGTAATCCCAGCACTTTGGGAAGCCAAGATGGGCGGATCACCTGAGGTCAGGAGTTTGAGACCAGCCTGGCCAATATGGCGAAACGCTGTCTCTACTAAAAATACAAAAATTAGCTGGGCGTGGTGGTGCACGCCTGTAATCCCAGCTACTAGGGAGGCTGAGGCAGGAGGATTGCTTAAACCTGGGAGGCAGAGGTTGCAATGAGCCGAGATCACACCATTGCATTCCAGCCTGGGCGACAGAGTGAGACTCCGTCTCAAAAAAAAAAAAGGCTGAAACTAGGCTTCTGGAAGGCTAGGATCTGAGGCAAGTCCTGGAATCCAGGTGACAGGAACTCATCAGCATTGGAGTAAAAGAGATATTCAAAACAGAGTGAAGAGTAAGTATAAATAACAGGAGGCTGGCTGGGCGTGGTGGCTCACGCCTGTAATCCCAGCACTTTGGGAGGCCGAGGCGGGTGGATCATGAGGTCTGGAGATCGAGACCATCCTGGCTAACATGGAGAAACCCCATCTCTACTAAAAATGAAAAAAAGAAATTAGCCGGGCGTGGTGGTGGGCGCCTGTAGTCCCATCTACTCGGGAGGCTGAGGCAGGAGAATGGCTTGAACCTGAGAGGCGGAGCTTGCAGTGAGCCAAGATCGCGCCACTGCACTCCAGCCTGGGCAACAGAGCGAGACTCGTCTCAAAAAAAAAACAGGAGGCGGCCGGGCGCGGTGGCTCACGCCTGTAATCCCAGCACTTTGGGAGGCCGAGGCGGGTGGATCATGAGGTCAGGAGATCGAGACCATCCTGGCTAACAAGGTGAAACCCCGTCTCTACTAAAAATACAAAAAATTAGCCGGGCGCGGTGGCGGGTGCCTGTAGTCCCAGCTACTCGGGAGGCTGAGGCAGGAGAATGGCGTGAACCCGGGAAGCGGAGCTTGCAGTGAGCCGAGATTGCGCCACTGCAGTCCGCAGTCCGGCCTGGGCGACAGAGCGAGACTCCGTCTCAAAAAAAAAAAAAAAAAAAAAAAAAAAAACCGGAGGCTATTTGTGTAAATGTAAATCGCATGTCACGGTGAGTAATCAAGATAGTGCTGCCCTTGGGGGATGTGACTAAAAGGAAGCACAGAGCTGCCCAATTAAGTATTACATTTCCCAGCTTTCTTTGCAGCTAGGCGTGGCCACATGACAAGGCCACATGTGGATGTGGGGCAGAGTGGACAGGGAGGTTGTGTTTGCACAAAAGCATCTACCTGTGATGTTTAAGTTGAGATGGATGAAAAGAAACTGGCCATGTGCAGATACTGGAAGAGAGAATCCCACGCAATATGCCATTGGAAAGGAATCTTAGTTTGAGAAATTCAAGAGGTGCCAGTGGTGGGGGTGGTGTGGGCGTGGCAGGGGATAGACTCTTGGAGAACAAAATGATGAAGAAGGCAGAGAATGTATGAGATGAAATCAGAGGCCAGGAAAAGATCATGGAGGAACTTGGAGGCCACTGAAGAGAGTCTGGGGCCAGGCACAGTGACTCATACCTGTAATCCCAACTCTTTGGGAGGCTGAGGCCAGAGGATTGCTTGAGCTCAGGAGTTCAGGACCAGCCTGGGCAACACAGGGAGACCCCCATCTCTACAAACAAATATAAAAATTAAAAAATTGGCCAGGCGCAGTGGCTCACACCTGTAATCCCAGCACTTTGGGAGGCCAAGGCAGATAGATCATGAGGTTGGGAGTTCAAGACCAGCCTGGTCAACATGGTGAAACCCCGTCTCTACTAAAAATACAAAAATTAGCCAGGCATGGTGGCAGACACCTGTAATCCTGACTACTCTGGAGGCTGAGGCAGAGAATTGCTTGAACCCAGGAAGCAGAGGTTGCAGTGAGCTGAGATCATGCCACTGCACTCCAGCTGGGTGACAGAGCGAGACTCCGTCTCAAAAAATAATAATAATAATAATAATTTTTTTTAAATTAAAAAATTAGGCCAGGTGCAGTGGCTCATGCCTGTAATCCCAGCACTTTGGGAGGCCGAGGTGGGTGGATCACCTGGGGTCAGAAGTTCGAGACTAGCCTGGCCAACATGGTGAAACCCTGTCCCTACTAAAAATATAAAAATTAGCCAGACATGGTAGCATGCACCTGTAATCCCAGCTACTTGGGAGGCTGAGGCAGGAGAATTGCTTAAACCCGGGAGGTGGAGGTTGCAGTGAGCTGAGATGTTGGCATTGCACTCCAGCCTGGGTGACAAGCAAGACACTCCATCTCAAAAAAAAAAAAAAAGAAACTCAGGCGTGGTGGGGGACACCTGTGGTCCCAGCTACTTGGGAGGCTGATGCAGGAGGATCCAGGCTGCAGTGAGCTGTGATCACACCACTGCACTTCAGCCTGAGTGACAGAGCAAGACCCTATTTCAAAAAAAAAATTTGGTTTTTATTCTTTTTTTTTTTTTTTTTTTGAGACAGAGTCTTGCTCTGTCGCCCAGGCTGGAGTGCAGTGGCGTGATCTCAGCTCACTGCAAGCTCTGCCTCCCGGGTTCACGTCATTCTCCTGCCTCAGCCTCCCGAGTAGCTGTGACTACAGGCACCCGCCACCATGCCCGGTTAATTTTTTTGTATTTTTAGTAGAGATGGGGTTTCACCGTGTTAACCAGGATGGTCTCGATCTCCTGACCTCGTGATCCGCCCATCTCGGCCTCCCAAAGTGCTGGGACCACAGGCGTGAGCCACTGCACCTGGCCAATTTGGTTTTTATTCTGGTTGTCCTGGATAAAAATGTTGAATTTTAAGTAGAAGACTGGCGTGACTTGATTTACTTTTTCAGATCTGCCTGACTGCTGAGTGGAAAAGTGATTCATGGGCCACGGGTGGAGACAGAGAGACTAAAAGATGGGAGCAGTAGAGATGGGGGTGAGGGTGGGAGCCCTCAATGCTTGCTAATGGCCTGGAAGCCAAGTGAGAGGAAAAAGAGAACAAGGACCACTCCTTACTCTCATCCTTATGAAGCCGTATGGAAGGGGCAGAGGGTGGGACAAGAGCCAGTCAAGAGTTCTGTTCTGGACAATTGATGGCTGAGAACGCCAGCCAGTCTGTAGATTTGGATGTGTGCAGGAGACAGGAGATATGAATAGGGAAGTCATCAGCATGGAGATGCTATTTAAAATCTTGGCACTGAACCAGATTATCTAGAAACAAGGCAAGACCCAGGCCCCAAATCCTGGGACGATACAAGGTGTCAACATGCACTTAAATCTTTTTTTTTTTTTTTTCGAGACGGAGTCTTGCCCTGTCACCCAGGCTAGAGTGCAGTGGTGCGATCTTGGCTCACTACAACCTCCACCTCTCAGGTTCAAGCAATTCTCCTGCCTGGGATTACAGGGGCCTGCCCACCATGCCCCACTAATTTTTGTATTTTCAATAGAGATGGGGTTTCACCATGTTGGCCAGGCTGGTCTCGAACTCCTGACCTCAAGTTATCCGCCCGCCTCAGCCTCCCAAAGTGCTGGGATTACAGGCGTGAGCCACCGTGCCCGGCAAATCTTACTGTCTTATCTAGCTAGACACCTCTGGGGATGTCATTCCACAGAGGGTCCCATTTCTCTGCTCCTTTGTTTAGTAAAATTTCTCGAAGGCATGTTTATCGCTACCATCTCCCCTTTCTCTCCTGTTCCTGTTCTCTCCTCAATGGACTCTATCAGGCTGAAATAAGTATTTCAGGTTTTTCTTTTCTTTTCTTTTCTTTTTTTTTGAGACAGTGTCTGGCTTTTTTTTTTTTTTTTTTTTTTTTTTTTTGAGTCTCGCTCTGTCACCCAGGCTGGAGTGCAGTGGCATGATCTCGGTTCACTGCAAGCTCCGCCTCCCAGGTTCACGCCATTCTCTTGCCTCAGCCTCCCGAGTAGCTGAGACTACAGGCACCTGCCACCACACCCGGCTAATTTTTTGTATTTTTAGTAGAGACGGGGCTTCACTGTGTTAGCCAGGATGGTCTTGATCTCCTGACCTCGTGATTTGCTCACCTCGGCCTCCCAAAGTTCTGGGATTAGGTGTGAGGGTCTGGCTCTTTCTCTTAGGCCAGAATGCAGTGGTGCTATCACGGCTCTCTGCAGCCTCCACCTTCCAGACTCAAGCGATCCTCCCGCCTCAGCCTCCCTAGTAGCTGGGACTACAGGCATGTGTTACCACACTGGGCTAATTTTTTTAATTTTTAGTAGAGATGGAGGGTCTCACTCTGTTTCCTAGGCTGGTCTTGAATTCCTGGGCTCAAGTGACCTTCCTGTCTCGGCATCCCAAAGTGCTGGGATTTCAGGCATGAGCCACCGTGCCTGGCCTATTTAGATTTTTTTTTTTGAGACTGAGTTTCGCTCTTGTTGCCCAGGCTGGAGTGCAATGGTGCGGTCTCGGTTCACTGCAACCTCTGCCTCCCAGGTTCAACCGATTTTCCTGTCTCAGCCTCCTCAGTAGCTCTGGGATTGCAGGCGTGCACCACCACACCTGACTAATTTTTGTATTTTTAGTAGAGACAGGGTTTCACCATGTTGGCCAAGCTGGTCTTGAACTTCTGACCTCAGGAGATCCCCCTGCCTTGGCCTCCCAAAGTGCTGGGATTACAGGCATGAGCCAGCACACCCGGCCCAGATTTTGCCTGGTTTCAGTCAGCCAAGACCACACTTCTGCACTCCAGCCTGGGCGACAGAGCAAGACTGTCTCAAAAAAAAAAAAACACTGCGTTTATTTCAGGCCAGACATGGGGGCTCACACCTGTAATCCTAGCACTTTGGGAGGCCCAGACAGGAGGATTGCTTGAGCTGGGGAGTTCAAGACCAGCCTGGGCAACATAGCAAGACCCTGTCTCTATAAACAAAAAATAAAACAAAATAAGTTGATTTAATAAAAACTGTCGAATTAATAACAGGGTAAGTGGTTCTTGGATATGAAGAGATACATCCCACTCCATCATCAACAGTCTAGTCTAGGCCAGGCGTGGTGGCTCACACTTGTAATCCTAGCACTTTGGGAGACTGAGGTGGGAGGACTGGCTGAGGTCTGGAGTACAAGACCAGCCCAGGCAACATAGCAAGACCCCATCTCTACAAAAAAAATTTTTTTAACAACTCAAGCTGGGCGCAGTGGTTCATGCCTGTAATCTTAGCACTTTGGGAGGCCAAGATAGGAGGATCCCTTGAGCCCAGGAGGTCGACACCAGCCTGGGCAACATAGAGAGACCCCATCTCTCTCTTTTTTGGGGGTGAGGGGGACGGAGTCTTGCTCTGTCACCCAGGCTGGGGTGCAGTGGTATGATCTTGGCTCACTGCGACCTTCGCTTCCTGGGTTCAAGTGATTCTCATGCCTCAGCCTCCCAAGTAGCTGGGATTACAGGCCACCATGCCCAGCTAATTTTTGTATTTTTAGTAGAGAGGGGGTTTCACCATGTTGGCCAGGCTGGTCTCCAACTCCTGACCTCTACCTCCCAAAGTGGTGGGATTACAGCATGAGCCACCACGCCCAGCACCATATTTATTTTTATTTTTTTTCTTTCTTTGAGACAGTTTCATTCTTGTCGCCCAGGCTGGAGTGCAATGGCACAATCTCGGCTTGCTGGAACCTCAGCCTCTCAGGTTCAAGCAATTCTCCTGCCTCAGCCCCCCAAGGAGCTGGGACTACAGGCGCGTGCCACCATGCCCAGCAAATTAGTAGAGATGGGGTTTCACCACGTTGGCCAGGCTGGTCTCAAACTCCTGACCTCAGGTAATACACCCCACTAGGCTTCCCAAAGTGCTGGGATTACAGGCGTGAGTCACTGTGCCTGGCCCTTATTTTTTTAATTTAAAAAAAAAAAAAGGCCGGGCGCAGTGGCTCACGCCTGTAATCCCAGCACTTTGGGGGGCCAAGGCAGGCGGATCACAAGGTCAGGAGATCGAAACCATCCTGGCTAACATGGTGAAACCCCGTCTCTACTAAAAATACAAAAAACTAGCCGGGCGTGGTGGCGGGCACCTGTAATACCAGCTACTCGGGAGGCTGAGGCAGGAGAATGGCGTGAACCCAGGAGGCGGAGCTTGCAGTGAGCCAAGATGGCGCCACTGCACTCCAGCCAGGGCAACAGAGCGGGAGACTCCGTCTCAAAAAAAAAAAAAAAAGAACTCAAACATGTTAGAGAAACACACCCACGCCCCGGGGGCTTTGCTCTTACCATTCTCTCTGCCTGGAACACTTCTTCACCAGATACCTGCTCTTTCTCCTCACTCCGGGTTTTGCTTAAGTGTCATCTCAATGACATCTCTTTATTAAGTGTCATCTATTTTCCATGTGTTCTACCTATTGATGTATTCATTCATTCACTGTTCTAGGGCAGGAGGCATCCGTGAAGGCAAAGATTCTGTCTGTTCTGCTGATTTCGGTGGTCCCAGCACCCAGAATAGTACTGCACGCAAAAGCTTATCTGTTGAATGAATAATGTGTGAACGAATGCACTAGGTTATGAATCGGGCACCGGCATTCAGGGAGCACGCCGGACTCTCATCACAACACTATAGCTTTAGTACTGAAAATTCCTCCGCCGGGCGCGCTGGCTCATACCTGTGATCCCAGCACTTTAGGAGACCAAGGTGGGTGGATCACCTGAGGTCAGGAGTTTGAGACCAGCCTGGCCAAACGTGGCGAAACCCCGTCTCCACTAAAAATACAAAAATTAGCTGGTGCACGCCTGTAATCCCAGCAACTCAGGAGGCTGAGGCAGGAGAATCACTTGAACCCGGGAGGCAGAGGTTACAGTGAGCCGAGATCACGACATTGCACTCCAGCCTTGGCGACAAAAGTGAAACACCGTCTGAAAGAAAAAAAAAAAAAAAGAAAGAAAATTCCTCAGCAGAAGTCTTTGGGAAGGTCAAAGGTGAAACTCCGAATTGTTCTCAGCTGTGCTTTAACCATTCCAGCCCCCTGAGAGCCCCAGGGCTCGGTCCGCCGCCCTTCCTTTACATTCCTGAGCTCTGAAGTCCCCACCTCCTTTCAGCACCCTGAGTTCTTTCCTAGGATGGAATGGACTGAATAATATTTTCCATGTTAGTGATGGGGTCCAAGAATGTCCATGACGCATGAGACCAGAGCTCCCAGCCCGGAGAATGGAACGCTGCTCTCTCTGGAGCCACCAGGGGGCGCCATTTCTCCACGGAGTTTCGCGAAGGCCGCGCCGCAAGAAGCTGCTCTCCCAGCAGGAGGCGAGGCTCTTTGCCTGTTGCAGGGTTGGGTATGTCGGCAGGATTTGGAAGTGCTCAAGCAGGTGGTGGGAGAGCTTGCTTTGATGCTCCCAAAGAAAGTGTTGCCCAGGTTCTCTCCTGCTTGTAATTAGACCTGTGTTCCACCCCAGACTTTGGCTGCAGCTGCGTGACCCTGGACAATTCACTGTGAATGTTGCAGCCGTGGTAACCTCATCCATAAGAACACTGGGACCCCATGGGATTGTGTGTGGACACAGTGAGATGAAAGCTTGCAGGCACCAACCATTGCTCTGAAATGGGAGCCAGTGATGGGATCAGAGGTTGTTAATTATACTAGTAATCAACTGAGCCCTGGTTCTCAAAGCCTGTTCCCTGGATCAGCAGCAGCACCTGCTAAATTCTGATGGCGTTTGATAGAAATGCAAATTCTCAGCCCCACTTCCCCCAAAGTCCTTGATTGAATTTATTAATCTGCCGGGTGTGATGGCTCACGCCTGTAATCCCAGCACTTTGGGAGGCCGAGGCGGATGGATCACCTGAGGTTAGGAGTTCAAGACTAACCTGGCTAATGTGGTGAAACCCCCGTCTCTACTAAAAATACAAAAATTAGCTGGGCGTGGTGGCACCTGTAATACAAAAATTAGCTGGGCGTGGTGGCGGGCCCCTGTAATCTCAGCTACTTAGGAGGCTGAGGCAGGAGAATCGCTTGAACCAGGGAGGCTAAAGTTGCAGTGAGCCGAGATCATGCCATTGCACTCCAGCCTAGGCAATAAGAGTGAAACTCTGTCAAAAAAAAAAAAAAAAAAAAAAAAGAGTTTCTTAATCAAAAGGCCTGAGAATTTCAAGAAATGCAGATTCTCAAATCTTTCAACTGAGAAACTTGGTGGGGGTGAGTCCCTCAATCAGTGTTTAGCAAGCTGCCCACGTGCTTCTGATGCCTGCTCAAGTCTGCTTAGAGCAGTAGGGACTTCTCCTGTAGGGGTTTGGAACACAATACCCCAAATTACAGCACTTTGGCAAACTGAGCATTTGAAGCTGAAGGAATTTGAGGAAACCATAGAAGCAGGAAGGTCACTCTCTGACCTTCTCCTGCCTTCCTCTTCTGCAGTGGGCCACTCAAGGTTTCTCTGACCTGCCTCTCCTGAAAGTAGGCCCCAAGCCCCTCATTCCAGAGGGGGTCCGGTCCTGTCCGTGGAGACCATGAAGACTAAACTCACAGGCCTTGCTAAGTTCCCACTGTGTACATCATTGGATCAAACCCTTTTGTCCTCCTGTGACACTGCTGCTTGACTGTCCATAAAAACACAGGTGCCCTGGGTCACGGTTCTTCACTTTGGAAGACTCCTGAGTCACTCAAAACTTGGGTTAAATAAATTTGTCATGCTTATCTCTTGTTAATCTGTCTTTAGGGGTGTTAGCCATGAACCTTGTGATGGGTGAGGAAAAGGTACTTTTTCTTCCCTACAGCCCTAAATCATAGTTAGTTAGGAGTGGAGCTGAAATTGAAAAAAATTAAAAAATTAGATTTACTGCCTGCAAAGCTACAACCCAGGATATGGTGTGCGTGTATATCCCATTAGTGATGGACATGCCAAAATGCCTCCCCTCCCCCTGCTTTTTTTTTTTTTTTTGAGACGGAGTCTCACTCTGTTGCCCAGGCTGTAGTGCAGTTGTGCCATCTCAGCTCACTGCAACCTCCTCCTCCCGGGTTCAAGCGATTCTGCCTCAACCTCCCAGGTAGCTGGGATTACAGGCGTTTGCCACTGTGCCGGGCCAAAATGCCTCTTTTTGTTCTAGTTTAAACTTGTAGTTTTCTAGAACAGTGGCGCTCAACCGTGGCTACACATTAGAATCAGCTGGGGCTCTTTAAAAACTATATCAACCTGGGTGCGGTGGCTCACACCTATAATCCCAGCATTTTGGGAGGCCGAGGCGGGTGGATCACTTGAGGTTGGGAGTTTGTGACCAGCCTGGCCAACATGGTGAAACCCCGTCTCTACTAAAAATGCAATAAAATTAGCCGGACATGGTGGCAGGTGCTTATAATCCTAGCTACTTGGGAAGCTGAGGGAGGAGAATTGCTTGAACCTTTGAGGCGGAGGTTGCAGTGAGCGCAGATCGCACCATTGCATTCCAGCCTGGGTGACAGAGCGAGACTACAACTCAAAGAAACAAAAAAAAAAAACAACAAAAATCAAATGCTTGGTCGTCTCCCCAGACCAATTAATCCACAATTTCTGGAAGACCCTGTGCTTTTATAAATTTTTTTTTTTTTTTTTTGAGATGGAGTCTTGCTCTGTCGCCCAGGCTGGAGTGCAGTGACATGATCTCAGCTCACTGCAACCTCCGCCTCCCAGGTTCAAGCAATTCTGCCTCAGCCTCCTGAGTAGCTGGGATTACAGGCGCAGGCAACCACACCCGGCTAATTTTTATATTTTTAGTAGAGACGGGATTTCACCATGTTGGCCAGGCTGGTCTTGAACTCCTGACCTCAAGTGATCCACCCGCCTCAGCCTCCCAAAGTGCTGGGATTACAGGCGTGAGCCACCTCACCTGGCTTTTTTTTTTTTTTCTTTTAGAGAGAGGGTCTCATTCTGTTGCCTGGGCTGGAGTGCAGTGGAGTGGCATGATCATAGCTCACTAGTAGCCTTGAACTCCTGGACTCAATTGGTCCTCCCACCTTGGCCTCCCAAAGTGCTGGGATTACAGCATGAGCTACCACTCCTGACCAGAGCAAAGTCTTTTTTTTTTTTTTTGAGACGGAGTCTCGCTCTGTCGCCCAGGCTGGAGTGCAGTGGTGCGATCTCGGCTCACAGCAACCTCTGCCTCTCAGGTTCAAGTGATTCTCCTGCCTCAGCCTCACAAGTAGCTGGGATTACAGGCGCCCACCACCACGCCCGGCTAATTTTTTTTTTTTTCCTCAAGACGGAGTCTTGCTCTGTAGCCCAGGCTGGAGTGCAATGGCTTGATCTCAGCTCACTGCAACTTCCACCTCCCAGCTTCAAAAGATCCTCCTGCCTCAGCCTCCCAATTAGCTGGGATTACAGGTGCCTGCCATCATGCCCGGCTAATTTTTTGTATTTTTAGTAGAGACAGGGTTTCACCATGTTAGCCAGGCAGGTCTCGAACTCCTGACCTCATGATCCGCCCGCCTCAGCCTCCCAAAGTGCTGGGATTACAGGCGTGAGCCACCACGCCCAGCCCCATGGATACGTTTCTATGCCATTTTAATTATTTACTACATGCATGTTTTTCTATTTCCTAGAATTTTTTTCAGGTTAATATGCTGTATGCATTATGTTTTGGTCAGGAAGTGGTAAGGTCTTGGCCCTCAAGCTAACAGGGTGCACAGCTCTTGAAAGGTTGGAAATTCTGCATCTGTTCTCTGCTGAATGATGTCAGCAGAAGCTGTGCGACCTTGAGTTTTTATTTCAGTGGTGGTGTTATAGAAATGCTCAGTTGGCAATCACCCTGATCCTTAGAAGGCACTTCACAGTTTACAAAGCTGAGAGGCTCTTCACTTTTCATGATCTCCTCTATCCTTGACAGCAGTGTCATGGGGTAACTGGGGAAGGCCGGAACTTGTCCAAGGTCACACCTGGAAAATGCCCAAGCTGGGCTTCGACCCACCTTTCCTTCTCTGCTCCTGTTACGTGGCTTGAAGGAGCAATTTTCTTTTTCTTTTATTTATTTTTTGAAATAAAGTCTGGCTCTTTCACCCACGCTGGAGTGCAGTGGTGAGATCTCAGCTGACTGCAAACTCCACCTCCCGGATTCAAGCAATTCTCCCTGCCTCAGCCTCCCGAGTAGCTGGGATTACAGGTGCCTGCAACCACACCCAGCTAATTTTTGTATTTTTTAGTAGAGATGGGGTTTTGCCATGTTGGCCAGGCTGGTCTTGAACTCCTGACCTCAGGTGATCTGCCCACCTCGGCCTCCCAAAGTACTGGGATTACAGGCATGAGCCACCGCACCCGGCTGTCATCTTTGTTGGTTCATTCTCACAGCCAAATGTCCAAGCTGTGGAGAGTGTCAGGGACTGGCCCTTGGACCCGATTCTTTCCCATCACGCACAGTCCTAGGTGATCTCAGCCCATATGCGTCATGGCTTTAAATTCCGTCTAGATGCTGATGCCTCCCACATTTATACTTCCAGCCCAAACTTCCCCTGCACTCCATCATCCGACTGCCTCCGTGACATCTCCACTTGGATGACTAATAGCTCACCCCCACATTCATCCTCCCCCAGCCTGTTCCTCCCACTACTGTCCCCATCTCAGCCCGCACCAACTCCAGCCCCCCAGCAGCTCAGGTCAGAAGATATTGAAGTCTAAGCACTTTGGAAGGCTAAGGTGGGGGCGGATCACTTGAGCCCAGGAGCTTGAGACCAGCCTAGGAAACAGAGCAAGACCCTGTCTCTACAAAAAATTCAAAATATTAGCTGGGCATAGCGGTGTGGGCTTGTGGTCCTAGCTACTCAGGAGACTGAGATGGGAGGATCACGTGAGCTCAGGTAGAGGCTGCAGTGAACCATGATGGCGCCAACTGCACTCCAGCCTGGAAACAAAACAAATCACGGTTGCGGTGGCTCATGTCTGTAATCCCAACACTTTGGGAGGCAGGTGGATCACTTGAGGTCAGGAGTTTGAGACCAGCCTGGTCAACATGGTGAAATCCCATCTCCATTAAAAATACAAAAATTAGCCAGGCGTGGTGGCGTGCACCTGTAATCTCAGCTACTCCGGAGGCTGAGGCAGTGGAATTGCTGGAAACCGGGAGGCGGAGGTTGCAGTGAGCTGTGATCGCGCCACTGCACTCCAGCCTGGGCAACAGAGCGAGACCCTGTCTCAAAAACAAACAAACAAACAAACACAACAACAACAAAGATCTTGAAGTCATCCATGCCTCCTCTTCCTCCCTCCCATACTCCACAAACCCTGACAACTAGATTTCCCAAGTAGGTCCAGAATCCTGACTTGCTGTCCTCCTTCACCCTGCTCTGAGCCACCAGCATCGCAGGCCTGGAACATTCCAACCATCCCCACTAGTCTCCCTACATCTGCCATGGCCCCCTTCAGTCGATTTGCAACCCCATGACCAGAGTGATGTTTGTGGAACTTGTCAGCCTGTGTCTCTTATCTGCAGAAAGTCTCCAGTGATTTCTGGTCTTATTTAGAGTAAAAACTGAACTTCTTAAAATGGCCTGCGACATATTTCTGTTTCCTCAGTACCCTCTAACCTTCCCCACCACGGTGTCCTCCCAGAGAGTAAAACATCTGAGCAGTGATCGCCTTGGCTATTCCTCCAACACCTGGTCCCTGCAGGGCACTCCGAGGCTGAGGGCTTCCTCTTCCCTCTCCCTTAAGGATTCTCAACCTCACTGCTGCGGACATTTGTGGCTGGGCCGTTCTTCTTTTTCTTCTTTTTTTTTTTTTTTTTGAGACAGAGTCTTGCTCTGTTGCCCAGGCTGGAGTCCAGTGGCACAATCTTGGCTCACTGCAACCTCCACCTCCTGGGTTCAAGCAATTCTCCTGCCTCAGCCTCCTGAGTAGCTGAGATTACAGGCACATGCCACCATTCCTGGCTAATTTGTGTATTTTTAGTAGAGACAGGGTTTCACCATGTTGGCCAGGCTGGTCTCGAACTCCTGACCTCGTGATCCACCAGCCTCAGCCTCCCAAAGTGCTGGGATTACAGGCGTGAGCCACCGTGCCCAGCCAGCTGGGCCATTCTTTGTTATGGGGCTGTTCCATGCATTGCAGGATGGTTAGCAGAATCCCTGGCCTCTACCCACTAGGTGCCAGGAGCAACTCCCTAATATTTCCAGACAAATGTCCCCTGGAGGGCAAAATCGCTCTTGCTGGGAACCCCTGTTCAACCTGTACTGCTGTCCCCCAAAATCCCCCACGCCTCCTCCTTGATCTTATTCAGGCTCAGCTGTCAGCTCCTTGGTGAGGCCTCTGTCTACACTGATGACCACCGTTGCCCACCCCAACCCCCCACCATCTCCCTTGCTGCTATATTTTTTTCCATAGCACTCATCACCATTTAACACACTACCTATTTTATTGTTCCTATTTATTGTTTATTATTTACTTATTGTTGTTTTTTATTATCTGTTTATTGTTTATTACCTGTTTCTTCTTACTAGAATGTAAACTTCAAAAAGCCAAGGCTTGGCAGGGCGCGGTGGCTCACTCTGTCTGTAATCCCAGCACTTTGGGAGGCCGAGGCGGGTGGATTGCCTGAGGTCAGGAGTTTGAGATCAGCCTGGGCAACATGGTGAAATCCCGTCTCCACTAAAATACAAAAAATTAGCCAGGTGTGGTGGCACATGCCTGTAGTCCCAGCTACTCAGGAGGCTGAGGCATGAGAATTGCACCACTGCACTCCAGCTTGGGTGACAAAGTGAGACTTTGTCTCAAAAAAAAAAAAAAAAAAAAAAGAAGGCAGGGCCTGGCATAGTAGGCACTCAAATGAATAGTTCCTGAAGGAAGGAGTAAATGCCAGCCCTTGTAACAGATGCATGAACATATGAACATGAGACCTCAGCCTCAAGAGACCTGCAGTCCATCCTGGGTGCAGGGAGTCAGCAGGCAAATAAATGTGTGCAGTGGCAGGTGGCTATCAGAGCTTTAAATAAAGAAAAATAAAGCAAGTGTGTCCGTTTGCTAGGACTGCCAAAACAAAGCAGCACAACTGGGTGGCTTAAAACTACAGAAATATATTGTCTCACAGTTCTGGAGGCTACAAGTCTCAAATCGAGGTGTGGGCAGGGACATGCTTCCTCTGAAACCTGTAGGGGACAGTCCTCCTTACCTCTTCCTATTAGCTTCAGGTGGTTGCTGGCAATTTCTGGCATGTCTTGGCTTGTAGATGCATTGCTCCAATCCTCTGTCTTCACATCATCTTCCGTCTGTGTCTGTCTCTGTGTCCGGATTTCTTTTCTTTTTTTTTCTTTCCTTCCTTCCTTCCTTTCTTTTTTATTTGTTTGTTTGTTTGTTTGTTTATTTTAGATAGGGTCTTGCTCTTTTACCTAGGCTGGAGTGCAGTGGTGCAATCTCGGCTCAGTGCAACCTCCGTCTCCTGGGTTCAAGCGATTCTCCTACTTCAGCCTCCCAAGTAGCTGGGATTACAGGCACGTGCCACCACAACCTGGCTAATTTTTGTATTTTTAGTAGAGATGGAGTTTTGCCATATTGGTCAGGCTGGTCTCAAACTCTCAGCCTCAGGTGATCTGCCCGCCTTGGTCTCCCAAAGTGCTGGGATTACAGGCATGAGCCACCAATGCCCGGCCACGGGTCCAGATTTCTTCTTTTTTGTTTTGAGACAAGGTCTCACTCTGTCACCAAGGCTGGACTGCAACCTCAACTTGGCTCAAGTGGTCCACCTGCCTCAGCCTCCCAGGTAACTGGGACTAGAGGCACACACCACCAACCCCTGATAATTTAAAAAAATTTTTTCAAACAGGCAGGGTCCTGCTATGTTGCCCAGGCTAGTCTTGAACTTCTGGGCTTGAGAGATCCTCCTACCTCAGCCTCTCAAAGTGCTGGGATTACAGGCATGAGCCACTGTGCCTAGCCTAGATTTCTTCTTCTTCTTTTTTTTTTTTTTTGGCAGCAGGGTCTTACTCTGTCACCCAGGCTGGAATGCAATGACACCATCACAGCTCATTGCAGCCTCGACTCCTGTGCTTAAGTGATCCTCCTGCTTCAGCTCCTGAGAGCTGTGCGCCACCACACCCAGCTAATTTTTGTATTTTTTGTAGAGACAGGGTTTCACCATGTTGGCCAGGCTGATCTCAGACTCCAGGGCTCAAGTGATCCGCCCGCCTCAGTCTCCCAAGTGCTGCGATTACAGGCGTAAGCCACCACACCCAGCCTCAGATTTCTTCTTTTTATAGGAACTTCAGTCATATTGGATTAGGGCCCACCCTAATGGCCCCATTTTAACTTGATTACCTCTGTAAAGATCCTATTTCTTTTTTTTTTTTTTTTTTGAGGTGAAGTCTCACTCTGTTGCCCAGGCTGGAGTGCAGTGGTGTGATCTCGGCTCACTATAACTTCTGCCTCCCAGGTACAAGTGATTCTTGTGCCTCAGCCTCCCAAATAGCTGGGATTACAGGCGTGTACCACCACACCTGGCTAATTTTTGTATTTTTAGTAGAGATGGGGTTTTGCCATGTTGGCCAGAGGTCATCCTCAGGTGATCCACCTGCTTTGGCCTCCCAAAGTGGTGGGATTACAGGTGTGAACCACCGTACCTGGCCTCAGATTTCTTCATTTTATAAGGACATCAGTCATATTGGATTAGGGCCCACCTTAATGACCCCATTTTAACTTGATTACTTCTGTAAAGATCCTATTTCAGGCCAGACGTGGTGGCTCACGCCTGTAATCCCAGCACTTTGGGAGGCTGAGGTGGGTGGATCACGAGGTCAGGAGATCAAGACCATCCTGGCTAACACGGTGAAACCCCATCTCTATTAAAAATACAAAAAATTAGCTGGGCGTGGTGGCACATGCTTGTAGTCCCAGCTACTTGGGAGGCTGAGGCAGGAGAATCGCTTGAACCAGGGAGGTGGAGGTTGCAGTGAGCCGAGATTGTATCACTGCACTCCAGCCTGGGCAACAGAGCGAGACTCTGTCTCAAAAAAAAAAAAAAAATCCCATTTCTACATCAAGTCACATCCTTGGGTACTGGGGGTTAAGACTTTAACATATCTTTTTAGAAGGGACACAGTGAAATCCTTAACCACAGGATATGGGATTAGGGAGTGATGCTTGGCACTCCTTTAGGGAGGGGGTTAGGAAAGTCCTCTCTGAGTTGGTGATATTTGAGCAGAGACCTGCATGGAGAGAAAAGTCCTGCAAACACCTGGGAAGAGTGTTCCGGGCAAAGGGAACAGCAAGTGCAAAGTGGCAAAATCAATGTACCTACTATGTCACAGTGCTGTAAGGATTCAATTAGCAAACACTTAATGTAAGTCATTATTATTATTGTTCTTCTTCTTCTTCTTCTTCTTTTTCTTTTTTTTTTTTTGAGACAGAGTCTCGCTCTGTCGCCAGGCTGGAGTGCAGTGGAGTGATCTTGGTTCACTGCAGCCTCCTTCTCCCGGGTTCAAGCAATTCTCCTGCCTCAGCCTCCCGAGTAGCTGGGACTACAGGCGTGCGCCACCACACCTGGCTAATTTTTGTATTTTTAGTAGAGACAGGGTTTCACCATGTTGGCCAGGATGGTCTTGATCTCCTGATCTCGTGATCCACCCACCTCGGCCTCCCAAAGTGCTGGGATTACAGGCGTGAGCCACCGCGCCCAGCCTTCTTCTTCTTCTTTATCCTTTTTGTTAAAGGCTCTGACTCAGTGGCTACACATGGGCCTGGTTGCCTTCTTGAGGCTGGGAATCCACAGTGAAGAAGCCAGACAAGGCCCTGTCGTCATGCTGCTGACAGTCGGATGACATCTGTCATCTTGGTTGCAGAGACCAAGAGACCAACAAGTCAAAAATAAAGCAACAGGCCAGGTGTGGTGGCTTGTGCCTGTAATCCCAGCACTCTGAGAGGCTGAGGCGGGCAGATCACTAGAGGCCAGGAGTTCGAGACCAGCCTGGGCTATCGTGGGGAAACCCTGTCTCTACTAAAAATACAAAAATTAGCCAGGTGCAGTGCCACAGGTCTGTAATCCCAGCTATTCAGGAGGCTCAGGCAGGAGAACCTCTTGAATCCAGGGAGGTGGAGGTTGCAGCGAGCTGACATCGTGCCACTGCACACCAGTGTGGGTGACAAAGTGATATTCCGTCTCAAAAAAATAAGACTGGGCACGGTGGCTCATGCCTGTAGTCCCAGCACTTTGGGAGTCCGAGGCCGGTGGAACACCTGAAGTCAGGAGTTCAAGACCAGACTGGCCAACATGGCAAAACCCCGTCTCTACAAAAAATACAAAAATTAGCCAGACATGGTGGCACGTGCCTGTAGTCCCAGCTACTCAGAGGCTGAGGCAGGAGAATTAGTTGAACCTGGGAGATGGAGGTTGCAGGGAGCCGAGATTGCACCACTGCACTCCAGCCTGGGTGATAGAGTGAAACTCAGTCTCAAAATAAATAAATTTAAAATAATAATAATAATAATAGGCCAGGTGTGGTGGCTTAAGCCTGTAATCCTAGCACTTTGGGAAGCCGAGGCGGGTGGATCACCTGAGGCTGGGAGTTTGAGACCAGCCTGACCAACACGGAGAAACCCTGTCTCTATTAAAAATACAAAATTAGCCAGGTGTGGTGGTGCATGCCTGTAATCCCAGCTACTCGGGTGGCTGAGGCAGGAGAATCGCTTGAACCCAGGAGGCAGAGGTTGCAGTGAGCTGAGATTGTGCCATCGCACTGCAGCCTGGGAAACAAGAGTGAAACTCTGCCTCAAATAATAATAATAATAATAATAATAATAATAATAATAATAATAATAAAAAAGCAACAGCGTGTGATAGTTGATAGGAGTCCTCATAGGACAATACAACAGGTGACCTCATAGAGGGTGACTGCTGGGCAGGGCTGGGTGGGAATCTCCTCTAGATAATGCAATCAAGGAAGGCCTCTCTGAGGAGGTGACATTGCAGCTGAAGTATCTCTCCAGGTGTTAGGGAAAGTTTATGGAGAAAAGTCCACTGATCAGGTCGAGATCCATGACTAGGCTGGCACTGACCATGGGGGAGATGCACCAAAGGTGAGAACCTGATGAGCCTATTAATGCCTGCAAGTCACTTCCCATTTATAAAGAGTAAAGGCCCTGATCAAAATGGTCTCAAAGTCCAAACTTCCCTCACCATCCCCATGGCCACCCTGTCCCTATAACTGAATAAAGAAAACATAAGTAAGAAATGGAAAGTAACTCCTCAGTCAAATCCCAATGTTCATTTCTGACCTTGGGTAAAGACAGAAGCAATTAAAAACAGATACTGGTGGATGCCCCTGCTTTACCTGTTGGACAACTCTCAAAGAGAGCTAACCAAGTGGCTCCATGTTCTCAGAGGGTTGTTTGGGTTAGAGTCAACACATCTCTTCAAAGGCCCTAGAAAATCCTTTTCTTCTGGGAATTCCTTTACCTCCTAATTGTTTCAGGGCAATTTGCCAGTAAAGGGGAGCTTATGTTAGGTGTTTAAGGAATGCTGAATGCAACTGTGTTGAGTCAGGTTCTATAAAGTCTCTTCTGCCTGGCTAGAAAAGAACGTGGCTGTTTTGACATTTCCATGATCATGCTGCTTTCCTTTTGAAGCTACATTTGTTATTTTGCTTCATTTGGGGAGAAAAGCCAGAAATCTGCCTTAAGCTTCATCCTCTCCTTCTCCCCACCACGTAGCCATGTAGTTGGGGCTACGGAGACAGCACAGAAAGACAGACCTGGGCTCAAGACCCAGAACATGGGGCAGGGCAGAGGGGTGCAGGGGAGAGACAGAGAGAGAGAGAGAGAGAGAGAGAGAGAGAGAGAGAGAGAGATTGAGAGAAGGGGCCTGACCACAAGTGTGTGCTCTATTATCAGGTCGTCGTGGAGACTCTGGTGGATTTGTATTCGCTCTGCAATTATTTCTTTCTTTTTTTGAGGCAGAGTTTCACTCTGTCACCCAGGTTAGGGTGCAGTGGTGTGATCTCGGCTCACTGCAACCTCCACCTCCCGGGTTCAAGCGATTCTTCTGCCTCAGCCTCCTGAGTAGCTGGGATTACAGGCACCCACCACCACACTTAACTAACTTTTGTGTTTTTAGTGGCGATGAGGTTTTGCCATGAAGGCCAGGCTGGTCTCGAACTCCTGACCTCAAGTGATCCGCCCCTCTCGGCCTCCCAAAGTGCTGGGATTACAGGCGTGAGGCATCACGCTCAGCTGCTCTGCAGTTATTTCCGGAGCAGCTGCTAAGGGCTGGAGCACTGTGCTGGGATCCAGGAGTCCATCGGTGAAGCCACAGTTAACCTGCTCTCATGTGGCTTATAGTTTCCTGCATATTCACATCTGACAGACTCCAGCAGAGCTTTAGCAGCAGAATCCTAAAGAGCAGGACTTTTCTTCTTGGCCCTTCCACCAATTAGCAGGCCCCCAGTTTTCTCCTCTGTGAAAAGGGTTCAACCATCCATGCCATGTATCTCACAAGGACTTGTGAGAGGCCCCTAGGTGACCGTAGAGTAAAGGATGGCTGTATGAAGTTGCTTTTTATGGAGAATGTATTCTGTGCTAAGAACTGGGTAGGTCATTTATTTTTCCTTTTTTTCTCAGATGCGGTTTTGCTCTGTCACCCAGGCTGGAGTGCAGTGCCATGATCATAGCTTACTGCAGCCTTGAACTCCTGGGCTCAAGTAATCCTCTTGCCTCTGCCTCCTGAGTAGGTGGGACTACAGGTGTGCACCACCAAGCCCAGTTAATTTTTAAAATTTTTTGTAGAGAAGAGATCGTGCTGTGTTGCTCAGGCTGGTCTCAAACTCCTAGCCTCAAGGATCCTCCCAAGTCAGCCTCCCAAAGCACTGGGATTACAGGCTTCAGCCACTGTGCCTGCATTTTTTTTTTTTTTTTTGGTGGTGGCGGGGAGGTCCTTACCCCACCCTATTCGGCTGGCGTTGGTTTCTCCCTTACCCAGAGGTCACAGGGGGCCAGTTTATCTTCCAAGGAGGCTCAAGACTCTGAGCAGCAGAAAGGTAACTGTGAAAGGACATTGCTGGGGAGAGTTTGATGGGACCAGAGAGGTAGAGGTGCCAGACTGATACAGGATGTACTTATACTAAAAAAAAGATTCCTTGTTTATCTGAAATTCAAACTGAACTGGGCATCCTGTATTTGTATTTGCTAGACCTGGCCACCCTACAGAGGTTCTGACATCAGGCTGGTGGAGGCCTGGGCTGTAGCTGGGACCAGAGGCATTGGAGTGAGTCACTGTTCCCGAGGCTGGTGAGCCGAAGGGTTGCGGGCAGGCAATTCAGGTAAGACAGCAGTGAGCAGGGGCACGGGTGGGATGGATTCCTAGAATCTGGGCGATTTCTGCAGCTGGAAGCCTCCCGCCCCCAGGGTAATCCACCACTTCTGCCTTCAGCTTCGGGCCTTTGGCCTTCAGCTCCCCATGGAATTCGTCCCTCTCCTCTCTCTTTGTTTGAGCTGCTTGCTGTGAATACCAAGTAGTCAGCTCTTAGGCTAACCCAGCCCCTGCACTGCAGCTCTCTGGGCCACGCTCCCAGTTTTGCTTTACATTGGAATCACTGCGGCTTCCTTTTGTAACCCAGTTACCCTCAGTGGGCTTCAGTTTTCCTGCATCCTCATTAAAAGCCGATTTTTCTTTTTTTTTTTTTTTTGAGACAGAGTCTCGCTCTGTCACCCAGGCTGGAGTGCAGTGGCGCAATCTTGGCTCACTGCAAGCTCCGCCTCCCGGGTTCATGCCATTCTCCTGCCTCAGCCTCCCGAGTAGCTGGGACTATAGGTGCCCGCCACCACGCCCGGCTAATTTTTTTTGTATTTTTAATAGAGACGAGGTTTCACCGTGTTAGCCAAGACGGTCTCGATCTCCTGACCTCGTGATCCGCCTGCCTCGGCCTCCCACAGTGCTGGGATTACAGGTGTGAGCCACCACGCCTGGCCAAAAGCCGATTTTTCTAATTATTTAACTTGAAAAGTGGGGATTTGGGCTCCTCTGCAGCTGATTCATTCAGCTACTCTCTTGTCCAATATTCACCAAATTATTTTTGAGCACCTACTATGTGCCAGAGTGATACAGAATTGAACAAAACAGACAGTAGGTAAGAACTCGATCATAGGAATTTATACCTGCCCGGCACGGTGGCTCACATCTGTAATCCCAGTACTTTGAGAGTTCAAGGCAGGCGGATTGCTTGAGCCCAGGACTTCAAGACCAGCCTGGGCAAGTGGCGAAACCCCGTCTCTACAAAAAATACAAAAATTAGTTGGGTATGGTGTTTCGTGCCAGTAGTCCCAGCTACTCAGGAGGCTGAGGTGGGAGAATCGCTTGAACCTGGGATGGAGGTTGCAGTGAGCCAAGATCGGGCCACTGAACTCCAGCTTGGGTGACAGAGCAAGACTCTGTCTCAAAAAAAATAAAATAAAATTTGTACCTGGTGATTAAACATGTATAAAGTATTAAATTATGATTGTCATGGGCACTATGAGGACACCATATAACTGGAGGATCTGATTTTTTTTTTTTGAGACAGAGTTTTGCTCTTGTCGCCCAGGCTGGAGTGCAGTGGCATGATCTCGCTCACTGCAACCTCCGCCTCCCAGGTTTAAGCAATTCTCCTGTCTCAGCCTCCAGAGTAGCTGGGATTACAAGCGCCCGCCACCACACCCGGCTAATTTTTGTATTTTTTAGTAGAGACGGGGTTTCACCATGTTGGCCAGGCTGGTCCTGAACTCCTGACCTCAGGTGATCACACACCTCGGCCTCCTAAAGTGCTGGGATTACTGGCGTGAGCCACCATGCCCAGCCTAGGATCTGATTTTTTTTGGGAAATGAGTCTGGGAAGGCTGTCCTGAAGAAATGAATTTTGTGTTGGGTTTTGAAGGATGAGTAGGAGTTACCTGACAGCAATAACAATAGCAATAGCTAACTGGGTGCCAGATGCTGTGCTAAGTGAGCACTTTTTACTACATGAATTAATTTAATCCTGACAACACTCTAGGAGGTGCTATTATCCCCACTTTAGAGGCCCAGAGAGGTTAAGTTACTTACATGCGGTGGCACAGTGAGTGAAAGGCAGAGCCAAGATTTGAATCCAGGCAAACTCACTCAGTCTTTGAAGCTGGCTGGAGCTCAGACCCTGAGCAAAAGCTGGAGAAGGGAATCCTACAGGCCCCCTAGGGCTCGTTGAAGAATTTCAGACTGTGGCCTGAGAACAATGGGAAACCTGTGAAGGGTTTTAGAGGTGGGGGTTGGGGGATGGGGATGTGATCTGGCCCAAATTGAAATTTCAAAAGATCCTTCCAGCAGCTGAGGGTGGAGGATGGGAGCAGAGTCGGGGTGAGGAGGCTGTTCCCTTCCAGCCCAGATAGCAGATAATGGTGGCTCTGGAGCCAAGCACCTGTGCAGAATGGAGCTACGCCGCCGCAGTCGGCAGTGGAAGGCGCTCAGAAGGTGAAGCCACAGGGCTTGGGATGGGAGATGGGGAAGCGGTGGTCAAGGGTGATGTCCAGATCTGGGACTTGAGGGACCAGGTGGATGGAAAACACAGGGAGGTTTGGGGGGCCTCAGAACACGAGATGAATTGTGATTGAATTGCCCTCTCTGGAATTTCTGTTTGTGTTTGGTCTATTTTTTGCTGCTGTTGTTGGTAAATTGGTTCCTGATCACCTGTAAGTGTTGGTTTCTCCATAGTTTTAGCTTCTTGAAATTTTAGAGGCCAAGTAGGCTGAGGTTTCATTTTTCTTATGAATGTTTTCCTTTTTTCAGATGTGTAAATTACTTGATCTCTCTGCACCTCAGGTTTCTCACCTGTAAAATGGGGGTTATCCTTGTACCTGCCTCATAGGGTTGTTGGAGGGGTTAAATTAATTAATACGTAAAGTGTGTTTGGAACAGTGCCTGGCACATGGCACCTCAATAAGTGCAAGCCACTCTTCCAAGGTAAAGATGAGGAGGAGGAGATGTCGTCATGACAACGAGGAGGGCGATGGAGGCAGTGGTGGCAGCAGGAGGAGGCTAAAGCCCATAGAAGTCACTCCAGGAACTTAGCAAGGCCACATTAAGCCTATTGTGCCCAGTAT
Organism: Homo sapiens; assembly: GCF_000001405.40. Taxonomy (NCBI): domain Eukaryota; kingdom Metazoa; phylum Chordata; class Mammalia; order Primates; family Hominidae; genus Homo; species Homo sapiens. The sequence continues at coordinate 47,368,412 of NC_000020.11, read as the reverse complement.
TGAGCAAATTGTTTTAAAGCATTTGTACTGAGCCCCAGGAATTGACGTTCACTCAAATCAACAGACTCCCCTGTGTGGGACCTACTCTAGGCTCTGGAGATGAACCGTCGAATCAAGTGCTTGTAAAGGACAAGATTGCTGCCCTGAAAAGCAAATACAACACATAATTTTTTTGTTTTTATTTTTTGAGACGGAGTCTCGCTCTGTCACCCAGGCTGGAGTGCAGTGGTGCCATCTCGGCTCACTGCAACCTCCGCCTCCCGGATTCAAGGGTTTCTCCTGCCTTCCTGCCTCAGCCTCCCGAGTAGCTGGGGTTACAGGCACCTGCCACCACGTCCAGCTAATTTTTTGCATTTTTAGTAGAGATGGGGTTTCACTGTGTTGGCCAGGCTGGTCTCGAACTCCTGACCTCAGGTGATCCACCTGCCTCAGCCTCCCAAAATGCTGTGATTACAGGTGTGAGCCACTGTGCCCAGCCAAAATACATTATTTTATTTTATCTTATTGTATTTTATTTCTTCTTTTTTTTTTTTTTGAGACGGAGTCTCCCTCTGTCACGCAGGCTGGAGTGAAGTGGCATGATCTTGGCTCACTGCAACCTCTGCCTCCCGGGTTCAAGTGATTTTCCTGCCTTCCTGCCTCAGCCTCTAGAGTAGCTGGGACTACAGGCGCGTGCCACCACACCTGGCTAATTTTTGTATTTTTAGTAATGATGGGGTTTTCACCATGTTGGCCAGGCTGGTCTCGAACTCCTGACCTCAAGTGATCCGTCCCCCTTGGCCTCTCAAGGTGCTGGGATTATAGGCGTGAGCCACCACGCCTGGCTTTTCTTTTCCTTTCTTTCTGAGACAGAATCTCGCTCTTTCACCCAATCTGGAGTGAAGTGGTGCAATCTTGGCTCACTGCAACCTCCATCCCCTACCAGGTTCAAGCGATTCTCCTGCCTCAGCCTCCCAAGTAGCTGGGATTACAAGCGTCCACCACCACGCCCGGCTAATTTTTGTTTGTTTGTTTGTTTCGAGACAGAGTCTCGCTCTGTCGCCCAGGCTGGAGTGCAGCACATGATCTCAGCTCACTGCAACCTTTGCCTCCTGGATTCAAGCGATTCTCCTGCCTCAGCCTCCCAAGTAGCTGGGATTACAGGCGTCCACCACCACGCCTGGCTAATTTTTGTATTTTCAGTAAAGACAGGGTTTCGCCATGTTGGCCAGGCTGGTCTCGAACTCCTGACTTCAGGTGATCCACCTGTGGGAGGTATTTTCATATCTATTAATTCATTTTCTCTATTTACTGTATAACCCGATGAGATAGAGAGTAGTATTCCTATTTTACATGTGGAGGATCAGGTGTAGAGAGTTACAGAAATTATTTGGGGTTCTGGAGCTACACAGTGCAGAGTCAGTCTGTCTTAAGCTTGAGTGTACATGTCTAGCTACCCTTTTATAGGGCTCTCTTTTGGGGTGGGTTCAGGGATGGTGTGGATTAGATGTAGAGGAGAGTGGGGATGGGAAGGTAAAGAACATTGTGGAATATTTTGAGTCTTAGTAATGGAAAGATGGTGGAGGGAATGGTGACCTTGTCTCTGAGCTTATCTCCATGCTTAGGTCCTCTGGATCTTTTTTTTGTTTTGTTTTGAGACGGAGTCTCTGTTGCCCAGGCAGGAGTGCAATGGCGGGATCTCGGCTCACTGCAACCTCTGCCTCCTGGGCTCAAGCAATTCTCCTGCCTCAGCCTCCTGAGTAGCTGAGATTACAAGTGCCCACCACCACGCCCAGCTAATTTTTGATTTTTTTTTTTTTTTGAGAAGGAGACTCGCACTGTTGCCTGGGCTGGACTGCAATGGCGTGACCTCGGCTCACTGCAACCTCCTCCTCCCAGGTTCAAGTGAGTCTCCTGCCTCAGCCTCCAGAGTAGTTGGGATTACAGGCATGCGCCAGCATGCCTGGCTAATTTTGTGTATTTTTTAATAAAGACGAGGAGTCACCATATTGGCCAGGCTGGTCTCGAACTCCTGACCTCGTGATCCACCCACCTCGGCCTCCCAAAGTGCTGAGATTACAGGTGTGAGCCACCGCACCTGGCCAATTTTTGTATTTTTAGTAGGGACGGGGTTTCAACATGTTCACCAGGCTGTTCTCTAACTCCTGACCTCACGTGATCTGCCTGCCTCAGCCTCGCCTCCTAAAGTGCTGGGATTACAGATGTGAGCCACCATGCCTGGCCTGGTCCTCTGCATCTTATTATTATTATTATTATTATTTTATTTTATTATTTATTTATTTTGAGACAGAATCTCGCTCTGTCGCCCAGGCTGGAGTGCATTGGCGCGATCTTGGCTCACTGCAACCCCTGCCTCCCGGGTTCAAGAGATTCTCCTGCCTCAGCCTCCCGAGTAGCTGGGACTACAGGCGTGTGCTAATTTTTTGTATTTGTATTTTTATTTATTTATTATTTTTATTTTTTATTTTTTCGACTGAGTTTCACTCTTGTTGCCCAGGCTGGAGTACAGTGGCATGATCTCGACTTACCACAACCTCTGCCTCCTGGATTCAAGCGATTCTCCTGCCTCAGCCTTCCTGAGTAGCTGGGATTACAGGCATGCACCACCACGCCCGGCTAATTTTGTATTTTTAGTAGAGATGGGGTTTCTCCACATTGGTCAGGCGGGTCTTGAACTCCTGACCTCGTGACCCACCCGCCTCGGCCTCCCAAAGTGCTAGGATTACAGGCGTGAGCCACTGCGCCCGGCCACTTTATTTTATTTTTTGAGACAGAATCTCACCCTGCTGCCCAGGCTGGAGTGCAGTGATATGATCACCACTCACTGTAGCCTTGAGTTCCTTGACTCAAGTGATCTTCCTACCTCATCCTGTCGAGTAGCTAGGACTACAAGTGTGCACTAGCACGCCTGGCTAATTTCTTCTATTTTTTGTAGAGACATGGTCTTGCTTTGTTGCCCAGGCTGGTCTCGAACTCCTGGGCTCAAGCAATCTGCTCACCTCAGCCTCCCAAAGCACTGGGATTACAGGATTGAGCCATGGGACCCAGCCTCTTTGCACCTTATTTGGTGTAGCCATACCTGGCCTTTTTTTGTTCCGCTGAAACATCAAACTGCCAAGCTCAGACCAACTTAGAGCCTTCATACTTCCTGTTCCCTCCACCAGGAAGGTTCTATGTTCTTCGCTCCAATGTCACAGCCTCCTTAAAGGGTCTCCCCACTTCCTGCCCACACTATCTAAAGCAGATAAACCGGCAGGCACTGTGGCTCATATCTGTAATTCCAGCACTTTGGGAGGCTGAGGTGGGAGGAGCATTTGAGCCCAGGAGTTTGAGATCTGCCCAGACCACAGAGCAAGACCCCTGTCTCTTTTTTTTTTTTTTTTTTTTGAGACGTTGTTTCACTCTTGTTGCCCAGGCTGGAGTGCAATGACACGATCTTGGCTCACAGCAACCTCCGCCTCCCGGGTTCAAGCGATTCTCCTGCCTCAGCCTCCTGAGTAGCTGAGATTACAGGCATGAGCCACCACGCCTGGCTAATTTTGTATTTTTAGTAGAGACGGGGTTTCTCCATGTTGGTCAGGCTGGTCTCGAACTCCCGACCTCAGGTGATCTGCCCGTCTTGGCCTCCCAAAGTGCTGGGATTACAGGCATGAGCCACCGTGCCCAGCCTGACCCCTGTCTCTTACAAATAAAAAATTAAGTCTGGGTGCGGTGGCTCATGCCTATAATCCCAGCACTTTGGGAGGCCGAGGCGGGAGGATCACAAGGTCAAGAAATCGAGACCATCCTGGCCAACATGGTGAAATCCCGTCTCTACTAAAAATACAAAAATTAGCTGGGCGTGTTGGCATGCGCCTGTAATCCCAGCTCAGGAGGCTGAGGCAGGAGAATCTTTTGAACCCGGGAAGCAGAGGTTGTAGTGAGCTGAGATCTCGCCACCACACTCCAGCCTGGTGACAGAGCAAGACTCTGTCTCAAAAACAAACAAAAAAACTAGTAAAAAATTAAAAAAAAAAAATTAGCTGTGTGTGGTGGACACACTTGTGACCCCAGACACTCAGGAGGCTGAGGTGGCAGGATTGCTTGAGCCAAGGTGGTTGAGGCTGCTGTGAGCTGTCATCTTGCCATCACGCTGCAGTCTGGGAAACAGGACGGGGCACGGTGGCTCACGCCTGTAATCCCAGCACTTACGGAGGCCGAGGCGGGTGGAACACAAGTTCAGGAGATCGAGACCATTCTGACTAACACAGTGAAACCCTGTCTCTACTAAAAATACAAAAAATTAGCCGGGCGTGGTGGCGGGCGCCTGTAGTCCCACCTACTCGGGAGGCTGAGGCAGGAGAATGGCGTGAACCCAGGAGGTGGAGTTTGCAGTGAGCCGAGATCGCGCCACTGCACTCCAGCCTGGGCAATAGAGCGAGACTCCGTCTCAAAAAAAAAAAAAAAAAATCCGGCTGCGATGGCTCATGCCTGTAATCCCAGCACTTTGGGAGGCCGAGGCGGGCGGATCACCTGAGGTCAGGAGTTCGCGACCAGCCTGACCAACATGGAGAAACCCCATCTCTACTAAAAATACAAAATTAGCCAAGCATGGTGGCTCATGCCTGTAATCTCAGCTACTCGGGAGGCTGAGGCAGGAGAATCGCTTGAACCCGGGAGGCAGAGGTTGTAGTGAGCCGAGATCATGCCACTGCACTCCAACCTGGGAGACAGGGTGAGACTCCGTCTCAAAAAAAAAAAAAAGAATGGGATGGTTAGTCCTGACCTCAGTTTACTCATATAGGAGTGGGTTGATAAGTATAATGGTGCCTGCTTTATAGTTTTGAGGATAAATGGGTTGGTTCATGTAAAGCGTTTAAAATCGTATCTGATGGCCGGGCACAGTGGCTGACGCCTGTAATCCCAGCACTTTGGGAGGCTGAGGCAGGTGGATCACTTGAGTCAGGAGTTCGAGACCAGCCTGGCCAACATGGTGAAACCCCGTCTCTACTATAAATACAAAAATTAGCCCGGCGTGGTGGCACGCGCCTGTAATCCCAGCTACTCTGGAGACTGAGGCAGGAGAATCTCTTGAACGCAGGAGGTGGAGGTTGCAGTGAGCTGAAGTTGCGCCGCTGCACTCCAGCCTGGGAGACACAGTGAGACTCTATCTCCAAAAAAAAAAAATAATAATAATAAAAAAAAATAAGAGTAAGCCAAGAGGGAAATAGTAACAGCAACTAAATGAGTGCTGACTCTGTGCAGCGTTGCTGCAAGCTTTTGGTAGAGATGATTTATTCAATGATTCCAGGCACTTTTTATTTTTGTTCCCATTGTACTGATGAGAAAATCAAGGCACAGAGAACTTAGTACTTCAAGCAAGGCCGCACAGCTGGCAAGTGGGGTGGCTGGGATCCACACCCAGAGAGTGTGGCACCAGCAGCCACACACTCAATCACTGCACAGTTGTGCTTCTTGATGTGGGGAAGAGAGAGGAAAAAGGTTACAGGTGCAAGAGAAATGGGGCTAGTTTTTAAGCCAGGGCTCAGATGGAAAGATATCTGATGTAGGGTGCAGCAGAAGAGAGGCCTTGTCGGCTGTGGGGAATCCTTTCAGAAGCAGCAGGGAAGATACAGACATGTTGAGGCCCCGCGGAGGAAATGGCTAGCTGCTGGGTGGTTTGGGGAAGTGGGCAGATCCATTGATTGTAGGAAGGGTCAGAGTAGAAGATCAAGTACCACGGCTCCAAGGAGGAGAGAACAAGTTAGAGAATGGAAAGAACAGGTGGATGATCGGAGTGGCCGGAGCAGAGTGAGCCACAGGAGGGTGGAGGGAGATGGTCGGAGGTCAGAAGGGCACAGTGCCAGCCGGGAGGCTGGTGGGCCGTTATCTGGACTTGGGCTGTTACTGAGAAATAGGAGTCATTGATGGATTTTGAGCAGAGGAAGGACAGGAGCTGACTTGTGTTTTGAAAGGATCACTGGCTGGCCGGGAACGGTGGTTCACGCTTGTAATCCCAACACTTTGGGAGGCCAACGCAGGCGGATCGCTTGAGCTTAGGAGTTCCTGACCAGCCTGGCCAACATGGTGAAATTTGAAACCCCGTCTCTACTAAAAATACAAAAAAAAAAAAAAAAATTAGCCGGGCGTGGTGGTTTGCACCTGTAATCCCAGCTACTCGGGAGGCTGAGGCAGCAGAATCACTTGAATCCAGGAGGCGGATGTTGCAGTGAGCTGAGATGGCGCCACTGCACTCCAGCCTGGGCGACAGAGTGAGACTGTGTCTCAGAAAAAATAAAATAAAATAAATAAGTGGCTGGGCATGGTGGCTCACGCCTGTAATCCCAGCACTTTGGGAGGCCAAGGCAGGCGGATCACGAGGTCAGGAGATCGAGACCATCCTGGACAACATGGTGAAACCCCCGTCTCTACTAAAGACACAAAATATTAGCTGGGTGTGGTGGCATGTGCCTGTAATCCCAGCTCCTCAGGAGGCTGAGGCAGGAGAATTGCACGATCCTGGGATACGGAGGTTGCAGTGAGCTGAGATTGTGCCACTGCACTCTAGCCTGGGCGACAGAGTGAGACTTTGTCTCAAAAAAAAAAAAAAAAAAAGGGAGAGAAAAAAAAATAAAAGGATCACTGGCAGCCTGGGTGGTACAGTGTGTGTATGTGTGTGTGAGTGCATGTGTACAAGCGTTTGCAAGGGCGGAAGCAGAGAGCTCAGGTAAGATTCTTGCAACCATCCGGATGGGAGATGGTGTTCTACTGAGCTCTAATATATGTCAAGTGCTGTGTTCAACTCTTGAGGGCATGATGGTGAAGAATTCAGACAAGGTCCTTCCTTGCCTCGTGAAGTGCTCAGCCTGGTGCACAGTTTCTCAGCCTCTGCACTATTGACATTTGAGGCTGGCTAATTCTCCGCTGGGGGGTCTTGTCCTATGTGTTGTAGGATGTTTAGCAGCACTAGATGCCAGTAGCACTCCCCACTTCCCTGAAAGATCTTACAACCCAAAATGGAGACAACCCAAAATGTCCCTAGGCATTGCTAAATGTCCCCTTGCGGGGGCAAAACCACCGGTCCAGTGGGAGGGAGAAACAGAGCGAACGAATCTATAGTCTTCTGCCCATAAAAGTAATTGCTAGGAAGAAAAAAGAGTAGGGCCTGAGTTTTCCTGCTTTTCATTTTCCTTCTGCTCCTGCATCCCTTGCTCGGCGCCCCACCCGCGCTGTGGCCATCTGCCTGATGAGGGGCGACCATCCACCCCCTGCCCTTTCCACTAGCCCTTTTTGTTTTCCCTCCCGCCGTTTGCCTAATCCTGCCAGTCCCTCCTAGAAAGAGGTAAAAAAACAAAACAAAACCAAAAAACCCCACACCCCTCTCCTAGTAGGCATCTTCTCCAAGGGAGGGAGGCTCCTATCTGCCTCTTTGTGGCTGTAACATGACACAGTCAGCTCCGGGCTCTGAAGGTGAGCCCTTCTGTCACCGTGCCCGAAGTTGGCCTCGGTTCTAATTGGCCAGAAAGGAACAAAACAAAACAAGATATTTAAAACACTTCCCTGACTCAATCCTGTCCATTTCGCGTAACGGTCAGAGAGGCCTGCTGTAGCTGGAGGCCGATAACTGCAAGTGTGCTTATTTTTGTAGGCAGCCGAACAGGCTATCTCGGGATGCAGCTTGTGGGGCCGCTCCTGCTGCTGCTCGCCTGGCTGGAGGCCAGCGGAACGGGCGAGCCATTTCAGGGAGGCCAGGCCTCAGCTCGTAAGGTGCTGGGGGAAGGGAGCTGGGGCCAGCCTTTCCTCTCCCTCGAGACCAGTGTTGTTACTGTGACACTCTGCCTGGCTCCCCACAGCCTGATTCTGTACCCCAATCCTCTCTGTACCCTGGGAATATTAAGAGAGACACGTTTTAATCTATTTTTATTAGCTCATTGCTTATTAATATCACCAAAGAACCTGCTTGTTTAGGCCTGTGCTGGCTTTTCTAGCCAGAGGCAGAATGATTGGACTGTTTTCTTCCCTTTCCTTAAAGGGCTTAAAGCCAGGGTTTCCCAACCTTGGACATTTTGGATCAGATACTTCCTTGTTGTGGCGGGGCTGGTCTTGTGTACTTATAGGATGTTTTGCATCATCCTTGGCCTCTACCCACTGGATACCGGTAATACAACCTCCCTAACTGTGACAACCCACACGTCTCCAAGCATTGCCAAATGCCCCCTGAAGGGCAAATCCCCCCATGGTTGAACCACTGGTTTCAGGGAATATAAAAGCCTAATTTTAGAGATGGCAAAGTGTTCCCCCTTGACATCTTGCATCTTGCTGGAGGTTGGGAGGGAGAGGGTCGCTTCCTCTGGGCCTCAATCTGTAATGAGGGGCATTTGAATGAGTCTAATCTAAAAGTTTCCTTCAGCGCCATCATTCAATACTGAAAACCCACCTCAAAAGGGTGGGTCTTCAGGTTGCAGCATTGAGTTGTGATGATGCCACTGCACTCAAGCCTGGGCGACAGAGCGAGACACTGTATCAAAAAACAAAAAAGCAAAAAACTGGTCTACCTCCTAAAAGAAAACACAGATTATGCAGTTGCTGTTCGTAGGTTTCAGCCTCATTGTTTCTGCTGTGCTTGGTTCGGCTTTGCTTTTGCTTCTTTCTTTAGAGCCAGGAGAAGGTACAGAGTTTAGGGATGTGAAGTGCTAACGGGGTGGACATCTGATCTCTGGCACTTCCCAGCTGTGTGACCTTGGGCAGCTCACTTCACCTCTCTGGGCTTAGTTCCAGGTTTCTAACAATGCCACCTACTTCAGGAATCAGTCTATGTAAAGCACTAATTTAGAAGTAACTGCTGGGATACTCACTGCAGTGGGGCTTTAAGAGGAGCTGCTGAATGGATTTCTAGATTGAGACCTGCAACATTTGGTTTTATTTCCTGCTTATCAGCCACATTCCATGAAGCCCAGGACCAGCCCTTCGTAGGCCTGCCCCAGGCTTTCTTTTCAATCTGTGTTCCTCCCAGGATTCCATCTGCCACCATACTTTTGTGTCTGTCCCCAGCCGAATTGCTGTTTTCCAGATAACCTCAGACCTACCCGAATGCCAACAGCATTCCTCAAACAGAGCAGAGCTGCCAGAATAAGCCAGCAGCTTCCTGCTCTTTGCCCCAGAAAACATTTCAAGTGATCAAGTGATCAGAGAGAGGGAGGGAGGCGGGGAGGATGCTGTAGCTGCTTATGCAACAAGCTTTAATCCCAGGTTAAAATCCACCACGCACACCAGCGGCATATTTTATTTCCTCATTGGTTCGTGGACTTAGCTGCATGGGAGATCTGCCACCAACCCCACAGTCCTGTTTGTTCCCCTCAAAGCAGCACCCGCAGAAACAAACAGCATTCCATATGGGATGGCGGTGGAGGGCCGCTGCCCACACAGCTAGGAGGGTGAGCACGCACTGCTTCACTGTGGCCTCCACCTCTCGCCTCCTCCCATTTAGTCTCCCCATGCAGCTTTCTACCTCCAGGAAGAGCAGGCCCCTCCCTTTTGGTGAGGCCCAGGCCTGCTGTCCTGAGCCCTGGAGCTTTGTCAGGTTGGGTGGCCATGGAGCTGTCCCTCCCTGCAGCTTGGCCTCAGCAGCCTAAAACAGTAACAACAGCAACATCCTGTCCGTTTTTATAAAGCCTGGGTCCTGCCCTGCCGTACAGTGAGTTTCGATTCCCAGCTCGTTCCTGAGCCTGTTTGATATGAGATTCCCGGCCAGGAAGAATTTATGTACAAGCAGTGGGCATCTGTTGTCCATGTGGGGGTTGGGGGGGGGCAGGGAAAGCAAGCCATCAGCTCTTCGTTTTCTTTGTGGGAACCGTGTGGGACAAGAAAGCCCACAAGTCCTAATTTTAGGAGGAGAGGGGAGACTTTATTGCTCCGGAGTTATGCCTCCTGGCATATGGCTGCGTTAACTCTGGACGCTTTCTCCAGCCTCTAAAGAATGGTGTTTATTTAGCTTCTGTGGTTCCAGGTTGCTGTTTTAAAAAATCCTGTTAATTAAGCACCTTGTCATTTAAAATGCCGAAGAAGGAAAGAGAGCGAGAAAGCTGGGGACATTTTACGGTCCTTTTCTATCTCTGGGTACAGACCAACTGCGAAGGCAGCTTTAGGGAGGAGACCAGCAAAGACCTCCTAACGCAATTGAAGTGGGTAGAATTGTAAGCAGCTCTGAACAACCAGTTAATATTTTACTGGGGAGCGGTGCCAGAGATGGGGGGGTGGGGGGGCTGCCAAATGGAGGGCTGTGTGTGAAATCGCTGCTCCATCTGCCTTGGGGGACGAAAAGAAGCCGTTCTCTGTGCAAATAAATGGAAGCAAGAATCCTTAGGAAGCCCAGGGGATTTGTCTGCCCACCGAGGAGGGCCCAACTCCCCCAGGCACACACATACAGGGATGATTGTGGCAGGAAGGGCTGACCTACGGGGGTAGGCCTGACGCATAATGGGGGCTCTTGTTTCCGGGCTGAGCGTGCCATCTTTCTGTCTCCCTCTGGATTGAAATGGCTTCTCAGCCCGAGAGGCACTGCCTGTGCCCTGGATTCACAAGGTACACGCCTCCCTGGGAAGCAAAGGCTGAGAGACAGCGGCTCTCTCTCTCTCTTTCTGCATCTGCCGGGAGAGCTGCAGCTGGTATTTTTCCACAGGCCTTCGCTGCGATCTCAAGGCCTAGTTTTTCCCAGCCAGGCCCCGAGTCCGAGAGAGGGTTAACAGGCAGGAAGCCGAAGGCATCGCAGGCTAATACGGAAGTCAGATTTGTGTTTAACTGACAGGTTTAGCAGGTCTCGGCCGCGGGGGAGGGGCCGGGAGGGAAGGGAAGTTTGTAGATCCAGGCATGTGGCCTGCGAGGAGGGCTTTGGGTTTTTCTTAGGGTAAGGACCGAGAGGGGTCCCCCTTGGCATCGTGGCAGGGCGACAGGAACCCACGTTGATTTTGCCTGCAGGACTGGCTAAGCAGGGCGCGAGAGGCCCACGGCTCCCTGGCCTGCCTTGCAAGGAGGCATGGGGACAATGACTATGCAAACTTGACCACTCTGCTCCCCTCCTCCCCTCAGCAGCTACTCCTCGCTCCTCTGAGAAGCCAGGGCTGCTCTCTGCTGATTTTTCGGGGCTCCCCCGGGCTGCCTGCTTCCCCCAGCTTCTCAGAGGCCTGCCTCAAGCCCCTTTTTCTGGCCCCTTGGCTGTTTCCCCGGGACTCCCCACTCCCCAGCTTCCCCTTCCCCTTGGAGAGCCACCCTGCTGGACTGTTCTAGAAAAAGGCTGGCCTTCCTCCCTGGACAAGGGCCGTTTCTCTGGGGGCAGGTGAGGGTGAGCCGTTCCAGCCCACTCCAAGAAACTCCCTTCCCAGGGACCTCCGGGCCTCAGGCTTTCCTGGAGCAGGTCAGGCTGGCTGCCCTGGCTGGCCCGTGCCGGGAAATCTAGCCAGGGTGCAGGAGAAGTGCGTGTGGGGGCCCCTTTCCCAAGTTTTTCTTGCTGCAAAAGGCCTAGCTTAGCCTGTCTTTTTCTATGCACAGGATGGCTCTTGCTCACCCGAGCCTCACAAAGATAATCGCTCAGGAAGTGTTTCAGCCAATCCGGGGCGGCTTTACACTCCGATTTGCCGGGGCAGCCAATCGGGGATGAGCTTTTATTAGGCGGCCAGATCATCAGCCGAAGTGCCAAACCCTTTTTCTGTGAGAACTAGGAGCCTGTCCTCCATGTTTTATAAGTATTGACATTACACAGTGTTAACAATGCATCCACAGAGGTAAGCTCGACTTTTTAACCATCTTTTTTCCCCCTCCCTCTGAGACATCCGAATTGTGGGCGAGCAGTGTGATTTCTCTGTGGCTGGCCGTGCCACACTCACCCCCAGAGCACTTATGTTAACTTGGAACTGTTTAGAGAGAATTTTTTTGCTTTCTTGGGTCACATGGCTCAGTAGCCATTAGCCATAGCTTGATTTTGCAAACTGGCAAGGGCCTGGCACACCTTTCCTTCCACCAGGGCATGGTGTTTCTGGAAGAGTTTGAAGCTAGATCCTGGTATGCCAAAAAAGAAGCTTTTTTTTTTCCTTCTTTTTTTTTTTTTCTTTCCCTCTTCCCTCTCTCTTCCCCTCTCTCTCTCTCTGAGCAGTTCCCCCCCTCCCACCCCTGCACTATTGTCTTCTCTTTTGCCACATGCCCTGCTGGGGGAAGAAAATGGAAGGTAAGCAAACAGGCTCCTCTCCAAGGAGAGCTCATGGCAGACAGCAGAGCAGGCAAGTTTGCCTCTCCAAAGAGGTTCTGGGAAGGCTGGATAAGTTTTGACAAGAGAGGAGCGTGTTTGCAAAAGAATTGTGCCCTCAGCAGAGCAGTGCTAAGGAGAGTCTAGCTCCTGGGGCCTAGGTGGGTGGTGGTGTCTGTACACGGTCTTCTCTTATTCTACAGAGCTTCTGCACTTGAAACTACATTGTTCAGCCTGTTTTCCTGACTTAGGTTGCTACAGAGTGTTCTGCAAGCCAGCCTACAGCCAGCAAATGTTTCTGAAAGTGTTTTCTAGGCTTTGGAGGAAGTTTTTTGGAGTAGGGATGGGGACTGGGGGGTGGGGGGAGAGATCTTGGACAACATCCTGCAAAAAAAAAAAAAAAAAAAAATCTGCAAGGATTCTGAATCCCTTAGCTTTCTACTCTTGCATGATTTTCAAGGAACTAATGTTACCTTTTATCCTTGTTTTCATTTTCCTGTCCCTTTTATACATTGTATCCTCCTCTCTTCTCCTGTGTCATGGAGTGTAGAGGAAATAAAATCATGTCTGTGGCTCATGACAGCATTCCATATTCAGTTGTTGGGTTGTGTTGTTGTTGTTGTGTGTGTTTTTAATAATACCATGTAACTGTTTAAAAAAATTTCCTTTTTGATCAAGTCCCAAATCTGCCAGCCTGTTCTCTCTTCCTAACTGTGGAAAAATGAGACGGTTGCTTGAACATTTGTTGGGTAAGTAAAGCAATCCATTTCCTCTGTGACCATGTTTGAAGAGTTTTGCGAACATTTGGGGTCTGTTTGTAATAGTGGGTCTTGGCTACAGGAGTTGGGGGCTTCATTAGCAGGAACAAAATAAGGGCTTTTTAAAGAGTGTCTTGATTTTAGGTGACTGTTTGAATCCACTGTTTTTCCTGATAACCTGCAGCTAGGATTGAAGATTATACTTCCTGTTTACCCTGAGTCAGGGGAGAAATGTTCAGTTCATTGTGACTTGACTCTAGACCTTTAATGGGGTTTGTTTGGATATTCAAACTGTGAGTAGGTGATGTGCTTGTGAAATGTCATGAAACTGCTTGTTCTTAGAGGTGCAGAGCCCTAAAAACATTGGTGGTGTAGAAGCTGGTGGTGGTGGTGGTATGTGTGTGTTGGGGGGGTGGTGTCAGTGTGCTCATGTTTTAGGACTTATGTATAGTGCAAAATCTCATCTACCACCAGACTGGGTTTGATTCAGGACTCACTGACCAACACATTTTGGCCTTTTTTCAGGTCTCCTCCACACATCTGTATGCATGCTGGCCCCACATAAGATTTCTCACTTTTTACATTTCCCTTGACCACTTAAGGCTGCAGCTAGAAGTTAAGTGGGAAAAGTAGAGTCTTGTTTAGCAGTACCTTCAGAATTTCCCTAGAAGTTCAGTACATAAATTTTCAGCTTGGAGACCAATCCGACATGACCGTAAATGCAGGAAATATATTCAATTGCTGTGTTATGTCAACTTTATGGAGTCAGTAATCTTTTTTCTTTCAAATGAGTGTCCAGTAGCCCACTTTCTGACACCGAATTGGAAAAAGGCTCATTTAATCAGCAGAAACGTACCACATTCTAAGTTGAGAAAAGTCTGTGCAAGGCAGGCCAGCTTAGCTTCTTAGAGTAAAACTGCAGGCAGTTAATGATGTTATATACTTAAAACTGAACAGTGCCACTGCCCCAAACAAGTAAGTTCAGACACTCAGCTATTTTCTTTGTTCTTATCTCCTTGCTGTAAATGGAAATTACATATCGAGGTTCTTGTGGCCTCCCTAGAAGCAATATCTAATCATAAGACTCCTGGTTTGGTGCCTTCAACGTTTGCATAATACTGTGTTTGTTGGGCTGGAAGGGAACTTAAGGGCAAGGCATTTGTCCTCTAAAAGCTTGCATTAAAATGGCTCCCACAGGTTTGGAGAGCCAAGATCTGTTTTCAAATGTACAGCCCCCAGCAAGTTCCCAACCCTGGACCAAGCTAGCCACTTTTCCTCTGGTACTGTGACCCCTACCAAGCATGAGTCTGTAAAAAGTTAATTGCTTTCAAAGTAGCATTATTTTCCAGTTTCAGGAAAGGGGGAAAAAAATAAATGTCTGCATTGCAGCAGGACTAGGTAGGGACGGCAGTACTGGCTCCCAGAGCAGCCCAATGGGGTTCTTCTACTCTAGCTTTTAAACCAATAGACTTGGAGGAAAGGTTAAAGATTGACAATTGCAGTGGCCGAACTAAGAACGGGCCTTCTGGAAATTTCTACCATCTTTGTTCCTTTTAGGAAAAGCAGATCTGCCAAGCAGAAGCGTCTCCTACCTTCCATTCCTAGGTCATCTCCCTTCCCTGCTTCCCCCCAACCCCCCTTCTTTTTCTCATCAAGGTAGAATGTTCTCTCTGCCACGTTTGTAAATTGCAGAAGGAGGAACAGAATGTTGGGCTGTTTTCCTTTTTCCTTCTGCCTCCTCAGTCCCCAAAGAGGATACACAGCTGCAAGGAGCAAACACAGACACACTGAAGCTTTTGATTCCTCTCCTTTTTTTTCCTTCAAGACCCTCCAGGATGGATTCACTTTCTGCTTTGGGAAATTAAGTGGCATTCACGTGGGGGAGGGGGAGTAACTGCTTTTATTAGCTCCAGAAAATGGTCAGTGTTCAGTCTGTAACTAGGAATTAATTATATATAATCACTCAGTAAACTTTCTACAGAGTTTTTCTAATTGCTGAGCCTGATCATAGTTAGCCCGTTGGCGCCAAGTCCAGTTACTTTTATAATTAACAGCTCAAAGATTTGAGTCAGAAAGAAACAATTGGGGGCCTCTTGGATTATAAATTAGGGATGAAAACAATAGCTTTTTTTCCTTTCTTTCTTGTCATCCCTTTTATTTTCAACAAAACATTTCCCCTTTTCTTTCCCTGGGAGAACCAGTGGGGAGACTGCATCAGGTCTTAAATAGGATGAGGGGGGAGACACTTTTTAGGAAGTGGGGTGACAGTAACCTAGAAAACCCTGGAGGCAAAGGTAGGTTTTTAAAAGTCCAGCCACTTGCAACGCGTGATGTCTTTGTTTCTTTTGCCCTCTTTCCCCTTCTCTCTCCTGTGGCAGAGGCAGCAGACATTTGTCAGCCTGGGAACCCTCAATCTGGCTTTGCCTCTGGTTGACTCTGGAAAGAAAGATACATTCAAAGGGGCCTTCGCTACTGCACAGCAGAGATTTAAAAAGGGAATATGTTTCAGAACCCTTTGGTTACTCTTAAAATGCAAGATCTGAGCAAGGGTTCACCCTTGGCTTCAGGTTGCTAAGGTTATGGTCACCCTCCCCGCTACTTCCCACTCTCCTTGCAGACAAACAAACAGGCAGTGGCCATGCCAGCTCTGCAGCCAGTGTGCTGCCAGCCTGTCCCCCCCATCCCGATTACCTTACCTACCGGCCGGCGGGGGCCAGTGGCCCGTCCTTGCCCTGGCATGGCCTTGGGCACTGTGCCCTCCTTTCTCCCCTGGAGCTAAAAAGCAGTCACCTTGAAACTCCTCACTCCCAGCACCAGAGGAGTTCTGAGGCCAATGCTCAGACCTGTAACAGTAAATGACGTTATCCACTCAGGCTGTTAGTTCGGCCTCTGAAAGCGGGTTTTGCAAAACCCATTGTTAATTCTCAGGCTCTGTTGGGGGTGGTCAGAAATCTAATTTGTGAGTATCCTGTGCATTGGATAAGGGAATGTTTTCCTTGTGTTTCTCCTCTGCAGACTCGGATTGTCTTTCCTTGATGTTAACTGTCTTAGGACTGGCTGCTTCAGAGGGCTGGGTATTTGGTGGCTGTTTGCAGGCTTATAAACAGCCTTTTTATTTTACCTTTGCCGTAGACTGAGGTGCAGCCCTTTAGCTTGGCTTTTCAGATGCCTGCTGTCCTTGAAGCACTTTCATTTTACCTAGCGCCTTTTTGGTATGGATGCAAAGCTGGTTTCTAATAGACTGAGAAGAGAAGGGGGACCGGGCTTCCTCCTTGCCTTCCCCCAGGCTGCTCCCTGGGAACATTTTTGTGTTTGCACAGACACCTGTCCGTCTGCAGTTTGTGCCACGGGGCTGCACGATTCCTAACCTTCTACCCACCTAATTTGAGGGCAAGGGGGCCTCATCACAGAGCCTCATGTTGAAGGCTCAGGATCTACAAGAGAAGGCTTTTCCTTAGGAACCTGTGACTTCACAAACTCTCCCTGTCATTGCAGAGTTTTTTTTAAGCTTCTAAACGTTGGGTTGTTGGTGTCCTTTGGTTCAGCTTTTCCTAGTTCTGGTATTTAGGAAGGTGGCTTTGAAACTCGCAGGGCTGCTTAAACAAGAGCTACAGCTATTGAACAAACTGCTACCATTTTAGCTTCAACACAGGAATGAGGCAGTGTTGCCAGACGCCATTTTAAGAATCCTGCATAAATAGCTTAGCTACCGATGACTCTGCCTGTTTTAGGTGAGTGCTTATATAAAGCTGCTCTGCTAACCATTCCCCCCCACCCCAATTTCTTAAAAAATTAATTGTAGATTTAGGGAAGCATGGTTTTTAATTTTGATGTTCACTATTTTGTAATCTAGAAGAGGAAGATGTTATGCCTTGGGGATTAAATATTTCTTACAGCCTGGACCATTTTGGTATTTTGAATGAAAAGTAAAAACCAGGAAAAGTCCTTTCGAATGATGCATGATTCTTGAATTGCTGTGCGATGATCCTCATCTGTAGAACCAGAGTCTTGTGCATGTTGGTTATATATTCTAGATGGCTTAGATACTCTTCTTTAAAAGTCAAATAGTAGGGGCACTTGGGGAAAAGAAATATGTGGGCATTGTGTATTCAGGCATTTTTCTGTCAAAACTAGATGCTTTCTTTTTTCTCTCTCTTGGAAGTGTTGAGGAGATGAGATTCCTGGGAATTACGGACCATCCCTGAGTCCTCAGAATTAACAATCAGAAGGCTTAAAGCATCCTGGAGGTGCAGTAGTTCATCTGCAACTTTTAATTGCTCTTTTTTCAGTGCATGCAGGTTAAGAAGTAAGCATAGGTTTTCTTGCTCAGGCACTGGGGGAGAAATCTTTTATTCTTTTTGGGATGGGATGGGGTGGTCTTGGTTATCTTTGCAGGTACTGTTATTTCTTTGAATTGCCTCAAATGTATCAGTTTGTGAAATCTGCAGGCAAATGACTTGGGTAAATGTGAGTGTAAGAGGTGGTGGTGTATACAATGTATCTAACTAGTTGATGGTGTATTTTCCTATTGGAGTGAGAAATTGTTTGCTTTTCAGCTAATTTTACCCTTTTCTGTAGCGGGCCCCCAGTTTCCTCAACAGACCTTTAAAGGGAAAAAAGTAATGTCAGTTTGAAACAAGAGCTTGTTGTCCCATTGTTTTTGATTTAAATCATCAGGGTTGCTGGAAGCTAGCAGATATGGAAGGAAATAAGCTGTCTATGTTCTAAGACTTTAATGTGTTAATGACAGAAGTTCAGAGTATTTTCTCCAGATGCAGCTGCCTTTTCTTTTTAAGAATTATTTGACTGTTTTTTTTCCCCCAAATGACTGAACAGTTCTTAACCTAAATTGACCAACATCAGTGGGGCAATTCAGACAGGTACAGATCTTTTCTTGCGCCTACTTTTGATGTAATATTCATTTTTTTTTCCTAATAACATACTAGTTCTTAACACTAAATCAAAAAAAAACACACACACACACACAAAAAAACCGAAATCAGTGGTGTAGGAAAAAGGAAGTCCCTTTAGATGTGGCTATTCAAAATGACTAATTTTGCATTCTGGTCTTTGCTTTTGTAAATGAAGTTTTTTTTTTTTTTTTTTTTTTTTCTCCTTTTAATGCATAGACACTGCAGTTTCCTTTAGTCAAATACAAGTTAATTGTGTGTGTGAGTGTGCGTGCATGTGTGTGCACGGGTTCCTTTTGAAAGGATGGTTTGCTGATCTGTGAAAAAGATGGTTTTCTTAAATTGTTGTGCTTGAAATGCTGTGCTAAAGCTGGTGGTGCTATTGCTAAAGTTGGGTGATTATGGTGCCCACTTGTAATACTTGGAAAGATAAAACAGCTTAACTTTTTTTTCCCTCTCTCTTCTGCTCCAGCATTGATTATCTTAAAACTCAGAAGCAAATAGCCACCACATAACTAGTTTGCATTTTCCTCGTCTCTCAGCAGCATTCCTGCCTGAAGTATTCAGCTCCTCTAGGCTGTTACAAGCCAAATAATGGTTCCCTTGAATGCAGCCTTCCTCCATGATCAATACACCTTTGAATGTTTTCATCGCTGCAGAAATCCTTCAAGTGGGTTTTTTTTGGCTCAGTTCTGCATAATTGTTTCCCTCACCACTGTAGATTTCAGTTGGATCACAGATTAGCGTTTTCTCTATTACTCAAAATATGGGATCGGTTTCAAGAAGTTTAGAATTTCACATACTTCATGCTAGAGAGGGAAACAGAATTCTAGTTGCTAGAAAAGATCAAGGTTGCTATTTGTTCCTTTGAAGTTAACTGTCTACCCATCTCCGAGGGCTGCATGGGGCTTTTTGTTAAGATGTATTTCCAGTCACCCCAAGCCAGAACCCATCAACAGCATCCAGTTGGACAACCTGTGTATGTTTCAGGCAGAGTGTTTCTGAGTTGAGAATGTTTTCTCCTTAAGTTGGAATAGAAAGCATTAGTGCTGAAATAACCTTCAATAAATCACCGTTGTATTATTGCATATAAGCGATGTGTTTAAATTTAGCAGGCTGCTTTCTCCTGATGAAAACCATTTGTGACAACATGTCAGTTGTTTCTTTGGTGATTTGTGTCACAGGCTTTCTTTACAGATGCGGTGTAAATGAAATTGTTAACGGGGTTCAAAATCAGATGGCTAAATGTGTTAATATTCTCATTTAAACCCAACTACCTTTCTTCGTCTCCAAGCCCCTATAATTTAACTCTGAACTATAATCTTTTCCATTCTATCTAGCTCCCATCCTAAGTCCTCTCCTCCTAACGTGGAACTCTCCTAAAATCTTCTCCTTATACTAGGGTTCGAGACATGAGGCTGTCTTTTTGGGCCTTTTGCGTTGTCACAGTCCCAGACCACGGAACATTCTCTCTTCCCCAGGACAGGACATTCTCTCTTCCCCAGCCTCCTTCCTGTCCTGGCGTTGAGTCTTCCAAATGGAAAATTCCAGCCATATCAATTGGTGATGCACCCATTTCTTCCTGTGGAACGACAGTCTGATGGAATTGCTTCTGGAGTAAATGCCCAGCTTCTTACCACTTCAGTGTCAGCCTGAATGTTTGGAAAGTTCTAGCACCTCAAACCATTTGCATCTATGAAAGCAGAACTCTATTTTTTCCCTTTGGTTTAGCTTGTGAGTTCTCTGTGGGAGGAAGATCTGATATGGCCGGCTCTCTTTCAACCCTAGTTCCAGCAGAGAGAGAGAGAGAATGTTCTGGGTGACGGACCCTCCCAGCAAAGGGGCTTGCTTTATTTGCTTCTCTCCCCAACCCTCCACTCTTAGCCTTTGTCTTTTGAATAATCCTTCCTCATTCCACTTTTGTGGTGGGGGATAATTAGTCACAACTCAGTAGTAAGCCGTGCCTGCTGTAGAGAGGAAGCATTCAGGGGGTTGGAAGTGTGGAGACCCCAGTCTGATTGCTGGAATCAGTGCTCCTCGGTTCAGTGTTTTGAGACCAGGTCTTTAGCTTCTAGCTGGGCATATTTTTCTGCTTTGTAATTTAACCTGTATCTTTTTTTTCCCATGTTCCTGCCTCATCAGGGAATTGTAAGATTTAGGGGGAGGTGTGGGAAATCTTACTCTTTGCCCTAAAGTATTCAGCGATCAGAATTCTGGATACCCTGCAAAACACCTCCAACCTCCCTGCCTTTGAACCCTGTGTTAACAATGAGAAGCTTGTTTATTTGAAGGCTGGGTTCTCATTGGCCCACAGGGGTAGGTTGTAATTGTGTGTCTAAAAAATTGCCTTTTGCATTCCCCAATAGCATGACAACTGGAATAGTAATTTGACTTAAAAAAAAAAAGAACAACCTAGTGTTTTAAAAAACTCCTTTAGGACTCTTCACACTTTGTTGAAATCAGGTGTGGGTTTCCTCCCCCAGCCCTGGATAAGGATGAGGGAATGTCTTTAAGGTGTGTTTGTTGCTAGAACTTCCAAATAGCTGCCCCCATGGGGCAAGTTCTCAGCCTTCCTAAACATGAACATAATTTGCTCTGTTTCAGCTTGGCTGAAGAGGAAATAAAAACAGAACAGGAGGTGGTAGAGGGCATGGATATCTCTACTCGCTCCAAAGGTGAGTAAAAATCTTGTATTATCTATTCTAGAGCTAAGGAGGAAATTGGAATTTCTTTTTGTTGTTGTAGTGCAGTGAAGTGTGTGGCTCTCTGAGCCGACGTTGTAACTCTTCTTGGATTTTCAGATATAAGATTTTTTGATGGATGAACCTAATTGATGGAGAACTCTCCTCCTTTTGGTTTTCTTTCCCTGGTGCCTGTGTAGGGGTCCTGACAGTGAATTTTACCTGTGTGTCATGACTGAGGGTGGCTGGCTACCTCTCCGCAGGGTGACTTTCAGGAGCCACAGTTTAAATAAAGCATGTTCTGGAAGCCACCAGAGCCTCTAGCTGCTGCTCGTTTTCTGATTTTAACAACAGACCTCTTTGGAATCCCAGAAGTGGGATGAAGTCAGCCCGCTTCACTGGAAAGTGGTGGTCTTGGGTTAGAGATAAAAAGGAAATGTAGAGCTTGCTGGGATGCCGGGGCCAGTGTTTGCATTTAGTTCAAAATTTAGCAAATTAGGACAAACACAATTTATGCGTTTATTCACAAGCCTGGAGTAGACTCCTGAATATCTTCTAATTGAGGGATTGGTACTTTTCATTTGGTCTTTGTGAAAGAGATTTTATGAGGCTTCCCAAAATGAAGCAGTTATTCACTTTTACCTTCAGGGTGCTTTCACAAATGAGCTACTGGAGTATTTTTCGTATCTTTGGTTGATGAAAAGGCTCATCTCCAAACTTAATGGTTGTACCAAGGTGTTTTCATTCCTTCAACAAGTCACTGAGTGCTTTCTTGGAACACACAGCCTTGCACTGGGGGTTATGGGGAGGGAGGAAGAGGCTGGACAGGGTTACTGCATACTGCCGGAAGGAGATTCTCATTTGGCTGCAGAGTGTCGCACAAAGTGACTCCCTAAAGGCGTCTGAAACCAAAAGCATTTTGAGGATTGTTACAAGACAGCGTGTCGCCAGGCGTGGTGGCTCATGCCTGTAATCCCAGCACTTTGGGAGGCCAAGGCGGACCATCACGAGGTCAGGCGTTCGAGACCAGCCTGGCCAACATGGTGAAACCCCCGTCTCTACTAAAAATACAAAAATTAGTCGGGCATGGTGGCACGCGCCTGTAATCCTAGCTACTTAGGAGGTTGAGGCAGGAGAATCACTTGAACCTGGGAGGCGGAGGTTGCAGTGAGCTGAGATCGCACCACTGCACTCCAGCCTGGGCGACAGAGCAAGACTCCATCTCAAAAAAAAAAAGACAGTATGTCATTTTGGGGCAAAGTTGAGGGTCCAGTAGTCAAGGCTGGGACCTGGGAAGCAGAAGCTGGCTGCTGATCTCTGGCAGGGGTCACAGAAGGGGAGGCACCCTGGGTGGGAAGGCCTGGCTTACTGGGTGGGTGCTGTGTGCTGGGGAGCAGCAGGAGGAGGCTGGGCGGAGGCAGAGGGCTGCTGCCCCCTCATCACAGCATGACCCAGCCTGTGCTGGGTGGCAGGAAGTTTCAGTGCCATTGATGGTGAAGAGAGCTGAGCCACCAGGGACTTCAGAGCAAGGAAGGTACCTTCTCACAGAGGTGTTTTTGATGTTGCAGGAGCACGTGCCTCTCAGCCACTTCTCAGCCCCCTTGTTGTGGTCAGAATCAAATGTGGTCCAGCAGGAGACGGGGCAAAGTGGAGAGGGACTGAAGAGAGGGGGCCAGGAGGGTGGGGGTCTTGTCCCTGTTCTGCTGCTTACCTTCCCCAGGGGGCTTGGACACTGGCTCTGTCCCTTCATTTTTGTATTTGTGAAGTGGGGTGTTGGATTAGATTCTATCCAAGCATGACCAAGCTGAGTGACCATTGTCTCTTTCTCTCTTTTCTCCTACTCCCATCCTCACCCTTCAGCAGCCAGAATGCGCTTCAAAAACGTGGATTGGGGTCAGGCACAGTGGCGCATGCCAATCATCCCAGCTACTTGAGAGACTGAAGTGGGAGGATCAGTTGAGGCCAGGAGTTTGAAACCAGCCTGGGCAACTTAACGAGACCCCCCCCTCCCGCCCCCATCTCTATTAAAAAAAAAAAAGTGGACAGAGTGCGTTGGCTCACGCCTGTAATCTTAGCACTTTGGGAGGGCGAGGCGGGTGGATTGTCTGAGCTCAGGAGTTCGAGACCAGCCTGGGCAACACGGTGAAACCCCATCTCTACTAAAATACAAAAAAATTATCTGGGCGTGGCAGCATGTGCCTATAATCCCAGTTACTTGGGAGGCTGAAGCAGGAGAATTGCTTGAACCCAGGAGGCGGAGGTTGCAGTGAGCCAAGACCACGCCTTTGCACTCCGGCCTAGGGGACAGAGCGAGACTCCGTCTTAAAAAAAAAAAAAAAAAAAGTGGGTCAGGTTCTGTCTCATTTTGCTAACTCCTTCTGATGATTTTCCAGTACCCTTCCACTCAGGTCTGAAGTCACCGTGACCTGCCTACCTGGGCCGGCCCTGTTTACCTTTGTTTCCTTTGTGATGTTCTGTTCACCTTGTGCCATTTCTCCCCCAACTTCACTTGAGCTCCTTGGCCTCCTTCCTCTTGGTTCCTTCCTTGGGGCCCCTGTGTGTCTTTTGCCAGGAGCAGGCTGCCCATTTCTCATTGTGATCTCAGACTTATCTCAGATGGTGGCTCCTCAAAGAGGCTTTTGGTGGCCACGGAGTCTGAAGGAGTCATTTCATTATTTTCTGTTTTAAATATATATATAAAAGACAACGTCTCACTGCACTGTCCTGGCTAGAGTGCACTGGTATGATCATAGCTCACTGTATCCTTGATCTCCTGGGCTCAAAGCTCACTGTAGCCTCAATCTCCTGGGCTCAAGCTATCTTCCCACCTCAGCCTCCTGAGTAGCTGGGACTACAGGTGCACACCACCTCACCTGGCTAATTAAAAAAATTTTTTTTTTGTAGGGATGAGGTCGCAGTGGGTTGCCCAGGCTGGTCTGAAACCCTTGGCCTCAAGTGATCCTCCCTCTTTGACCTCCCAAAGTGCTGGGATTATAGGCATGTGCCACCATGCCTGGCCAATTTTCTATTACATTTTTAAAATGAACTTTTAATTTAACAGTAGTATTAGATTTCCAGAAAAGTTTTGAGGATAGTGCCAAGAGTTCCCATGTTAGCCCCTGGCTCCACACACACAATTTCTTCTATTATTAACATCATACACTAGTGTGGTGTAATTGTTACAAATAATGCATCAATTTTGATATGTTATTACCAACTAAAGGCCATCCCTTATTCAGATTTCCTTCGGTTTCCCACAAAAGTCCCTTTTCCGTTTTAGAATCCCACTCAGGATTCCTCATTACATTTAGTTGTCTGCCTGGGCTCCTGTTGGCTGTGACAGTTTCTTAGACTTTTCTTGTTTTTGTGGAACTTACCGGTTTTCAGGAATACTGGTCGGGTATTTTGTAGATTGTCCTGTCAATTGGGATTTGTATAATGTGTTTCTCATGATTAGACTCTGGTAAACTGTGGTTATGGGTTTTGGGGAGGAAGAAGACTACAGAGGGTAAAATGCCATTTTCATCATATCACATCAAGGGTATGTATTATTAATAAGATCTATCACTGTTGGCCTTGTGCAGTGGCTCACACCTGTAATCTCAGCACTTTGGGAGGCCAAGGTGGGGGGATCATCTGAGGTCAAGAGTTCGAGACCATCCTGGCCAACATGGTGAAACCCTGCCTCTATTAAAAATACAAAAATTAGCTGGGTGTGGTGGCAGGCACCTCTAGTCGCAACTACTCGGGAGGCTGAGGCAGGAGAATCACTTGAACCCGGGGTGGAGGGGGTGGAGACGGAGGTTGTAGTTAGCTGAGACCATGCCACTGCACTCCAGTCTGGGAGATAGAATGAGACTATCTCAAAAAGAAAAAAAAAAAAAAAAAAAAAGATTTATCACTGTTGATGTTGACCATGACCATCTGGCTGTCTTTCTTCTCTTTCCATCCTCTGCTCTTTGGAAGGAAGTCACAAGGCATCACCCACACTTAAGGAGTGAAGAGCTATGCTCCACCTCCTCGAAAGCAGAGGCTTGACATAAATTATTTGGGGGCTGGATGTGGTGGCTCATGCCTGTAATCCCAGCACTTTGGGAGGCCAAGGCGGGCAGATCACTTGAGGCCAGGAGTTCGAGACCAGCCTGGCCAACGTGGCAAAATCCCATCTCTACTAAAAATAACAAACATTGTATGCCTATAATCCCAGCTACTTGGGAGACTGAAGCAGAAAAATCACTTGAACCCGAGAGGCGGAGGTTGCAGTGAGCCAAGATTCCACCACTGCACTCCAGCCTGGGTGACAGTGACACTGTGTCTCAAAAAAAAAAATTTAGAATTCTTCTGTATGGGGTATTAGTCTTTTCTCCCTCATGTATTTATTCAGTCATTTATCTCTAGCAGTGTGGACTCTGGGATGGTTACTTTATACTGTGGGTTGTAATCCAATACTACTTATTTATTTTATTGCTCAAATCATTCCAGCTTTGGCAGTTGGGAGCTCTTTGTGTTGGCTCTTGTGTCCCCTTGACAGACTCCATCGTTGTGGGGTTTATTTATTTGTTCGTTTGAGACAGCCTCGTTCTGCTGCCCAGGCTGGAGTGCAGTGGTATAATCACAGCTCATTGCAGCCTTGACCTGCTGGACTCAAGCAGTCCTCTTGCCTCAGCCTCCCAAGTAGCTGGGACCACAGGCATGCATCACCACAGTTGGCTAATTTTTGTTCTTTTTATTTGTAGAGATGGAGTCTCGCTGTGTTGCCCAGGCTGGTTTTGAATTTCCCAGGCTCAAGTGATCCTACCACTTTGGCCTCCCAAAGTGCTGGGGTTACAGGTGTGAACCACCATGCCCGGCTGGCCTATTTATTTATTTATTGAGCACTTTCTTGTCTTCTGGCACTATAAGATGTTCCAGGCTCATTTTGTATGTCTTTGCCTCAGCCCTAAAATCATCCATTTCTCTATGGATCCTGGTTTCTTTCTTTCTTTTCTTTTTTTTTTTTTTTTGAGATGTAGTCTTGCTCTGTTGCCGAGGCTGGAGTGCGGTGGTGTGATCTCAGCTTACTGTGACTTCCACCTCCTAGTTCAAGCAATTCCTCTGCTCCAGCCTCCATAGTAGCTGGGATTACAGGCACATGTCACCATGCCCGGCTAATTTTTTTGTATTTGTAGTAGAGGCGGGGTTTCACCATGTTGGCCAGGCTAGTCTCGAACTCCTGACCTCAGGCAATCCGCCTGCCTCAGCCTCCCAAAGTGCTGGGATTACAGGCATGAGCCTCCGTGCCCAGCTTTTTTTTTTTTTCTTTGAGACAGAATCTCGCTCTGTCTCCCAGGCTGGAGTGCAGTTGGCGCGATCTTGGCTCACTGCAACCTCCACTTCCCTGGTTCAAGCAATTCCCCTGCCTCAGCCTCCCGAGTAACTGGGATTGCAGGAGCGCACCACCACGCCTGGCTAATTTTTTTGTATTTTTAGTAGAGGCAGGGTTTCACCATGTTGGCCAGGCTAGTCTCGAACTCTTGACCTCAGGTAATCCGCCCGCCTCGGCCTCCCAAAGTGCTGGGATTACAGGTGTGAGCCACCGCACCCAGAGGATCCTGGTTTCTTTTATTGGAGAATAGTATTAGAAACCAAGATGTGGGCACTAAGTGTGCTCGTTTTTGTTTGTTTGTTTGTTCGTTTTTGAGATGGAGTTTCCCTCTGTTGCCCAGGCTGGAGTGCAGTGGCACAATCTCGGCTCATTGCAACCTCTGCCTCCTGGTTTCAAATGATTCTCCTGCCTCAGCCTCCTGAGCAGCTGGGACTACAGGCACACACCACCACGCCTGGCTAAGTTTTGTATTTTTTTTTTTTGAGACGGAGTCACGCCCTGTCACCCAGGCTGGAGTGCAGTGGCGCGATCTCCGCTCACTGCAAGCTCCGCCTCCCGGGTTCACGCCATTCTCCTGCCTCAGCCTCCCAAGTAGCTGGGATTACAGGCGCCCGCCACCACGCCCGGCTAATTTTTTGTATTTTTAGTAGAGACAGGGTTTCCCCATGTTAGGCAGGATGGTCTCGATCTCCTGACCTCGTGATCCACCCGCCTCAGCCTCCCAAAGTGCTGGGATTACAGGCACGAGCCACCGCGCCCGGCCAAGTTTTGTATTTTTAGTAGAGATGGGGTTTCACTATGTTGGCCAGGCTGGTCTGGAACTTCTGACCTTGTGATCCTCCCACCTCGGCCTCCCAAAGTGCTGGGATTGTAGGCATGAACCACCGCACCTGGCCAAGTGTGTGCTCATTGCTACTGGAATGTCTTTGTTCTAGATTCTTTTTTTTTTTTTTTTTTTGAGATGGAGTCTCGCTCTGTCACCTAGGCTGGAATGCAGTGGTGCACTCTCAGCTAACTGCAACCCCTGCCTCCCAGGTTCAAGCAATTCTTCTGCCCCAGCCTTCTAAGTAGCTGGGACTATAGGTATGCACCACCATGCCTGGCTAATTTTTAAATTTTTAGTAGAGATGGGGTTTTGCCATGTTAGCCAGGCTAGTCTCGAACTCCTGACCTCAAGTGATCTGCCCACCTCGGCCTTCCAAAGTGCTGGGATTATAGGTGTGAGCCACCTTGCTTCTAGATTTTCTCAGTAGACAAGGAAGGATATATAGACATACTGTGTAAACATTTTTACATGTATCCATCTGTGTCTATATCAGCTAAACATGAGTTCATTCTCTCGTTTGACCTTTTCGCATTACCACATGGATCATTCTAGCCTTATTCCCTGGTTTCTCTGTAACCTCCTCCTCCAACAGTGAGAAGGCTGGCTTCTACTGTCCACCGTTTGTTTACTATTTTCTGGTACATTTTAACCTGATCTACAGTGTTCAGTCTGATGAACTTTAACACACGTTCGCACTCATGGGGCCCTGACCCAGATCAAGATAATTAAACATTTCCAGCATCCAGAGCGTCCTCTATCCCTCTGATTTTGTTTATAGCCTTTGTCCTCACTTTGTATTTTCTTATTTGTTACTCTGCTAGAATGCTGGCTGCTGTATTTTTTTTTTTTTTACATTAAAAAAAATACTTTTTGAGACAGAGTCTTGCTCTGTTGCCCAGGCTGGAGTGCAGTGGCTTGACCTTGGCTCGCTGCAACCTTCATTTCCCGGGTTCAAGTGATTCTCCTGCCTCAGCCTCCTGAGTAGCTGGGGCATACGCCGCCACACCCAGCTAATTTTTTAATTTTTAGTAGAGATGGGTTTTCACCATGTTGGCCAGGCTGGTCTCGAACTCCTGATCTCAAGTGATCTGCTCGCCTCAGCCTCCCAAAGTGGTGGGATTGTAGGCGTGAGCCACCACGCCTCCGGCCTTTTTTTTTTTTTAAGACATGGAATCTCACTGTGTTGCGCAGGCTGCAGTGTAGTGCAGTGGTTATTCACAGTTGCCATCATAGTACACTATAGCCTCTAACTCCTGGGCTCAGGTGATTCTCTTGCTTCAGCCTCCCGAGTAGCTGGGACTGTAAGTGCGCACCATGGTTTCAAGTTCCCTCTTTAAGCACCCCTGGACCACCATTCTTACTTACCCCAATGATTTGAGAGGCAAGGTGTCATTGAGATTTAAAACACCTGGCTTCTGGCTGGGTGGCTTATGCCTGTAATCCCAGCACTTTGGGAGGCCAAGCACTTTGAGAGGCGGATCATGAGGTCAGGAGTTTGAGACCAGCCTGGCCAATATGGTGAAACCCAGTGTCCACTAAAAATAGAAAATTAGCTGGGTGTGGTGGCAGGCACCTGTAATCTCAGCTACTCAGGAGGCTGAGGCAGGGGAATCGCTGGAAACCAGGAGGCAGAGGTTGCAGGGAGCTGAGATCGTGCCCCTGCACTCCAGCCTGGGTGACAGAGTGAGACTCCGTCTCAAAAAAAAACAAAAACCACCTGGCTTCTAGAGCCAGATTTCCTGGTTCTGTCTTGCCCCCTTTCTAGCTGAGTTATTCCTTGTGGCTAGGTTTCCTTTTGTAAATGGGGATGATAAAGATAGAAGGTTATGGCTAAGATGAACTTTGCTCACACAGATAGAATGCTCAGAATGGTTCTTGGGGCCGGGTGTGGTGCCTCACTCACGCCTGTGATCCCAGCATTTTGGGAAGCCGAGGTGGGCGGATCATGAGGTAAGGAGATCGAGACCATCCTGGCTAACATGGTGAAACCCCGTCTCTACTAAAAATACAAAAAATTAGCCAGGCGTGGTCGCGGGTGCCTGTAGTCCCAGCTACTCAGGAGGCTGAGGCAGGAGAATGGCGTGAACCCGGGAGGCGGAGCTTGCAGTGAGCAGAGATTGCGCCACTGCACTCCAGCCTGGGCGACAGAGTGAGACTCCGTCTCAAAAAAGAATGGTTCTTGGGACAGGGTGGCTGCTCAAAAATGTTAGCTATGATTTGCATCAACTTAGAGACAGTGAATTTTTATTGCTAGGTCTGTCAGGTGGTGAGAATGACTGTTCTGCCATTTCCCCCACTTGCAGCCTCTAGGAAGAAGGTCTGGAGGCAGATGAGGAAACCATGCCCGGAAGACCCCCTGCTTAGAGGGGGCACAGTGAAGAATTGTGGGCCGGGCACTGTGGCTCATGCCTGTAATCCCAGCACTTTGGGAGGCCGAGGCGGGCGGATCACAAGGTCAGGAGATCGAGACCATTTTGGCCAACACAGTGAAACCCCGTCTCTACTAAAAATACAAAAAATTAGCCGGGCGTGGAGGTGGGCGCCTGTAGTCCTAGCTACTTGGGAGGTTGAGGCAGGAAAATGGCATGAACCTGGGAGGCAGAGCTTGCAGTGAGCCAAGATCACGCCACTGCACTCCAGCCTGGGTGACAGAGCGAGACTCTGTCTCACAAAAAAAAAAAAAAAAAGAAATAATTGTGTAGGGTTGCCCAGCAGGCAGGCTCGGGACCAGATAGGAATTTGCTTCTCTCCATCTAGGAGTCCAGTGCTTTGCACTGCCCTGCAAGCTTCCTGTCCTGTTGGCCTCTGTGACATTTGAAGAAGCCATTCTGCAGGTGTTTGGAAGGATTTTCTCGGGTGCTTGGGAATTCTTGCTTTGGTAGGGAATCATTGAGGGGAAGGGATCACCTTGTTTTGAGGGAGAACTTTCCCCAAGGATTCTCTGGGGTGGTTGTCGTTATGTGAAACTGAGCTCTCGTGCCCCATAGTGAGTGGCGGTGGTGGTAGCTTCTGTTTCCAGAGCACCTTTCTGCCGGAGCCACTTGGCTTAATATTCAAAGTCCTGGGGTTAAGATTGGGGTTGCTGAGGTTCCCAGAGCTGAAGTCTGCATGGTGAAAATATGATGTCTGTGAAGCTGACCGGGATGAAGCCTTATCTCTTGTTCAGTCCCAGTGATCTCAGCGTCCGCAGTGGGATGATCTCCAGGCTCAGTGAACATGTTTTTTTTTTTCCTCCAGCCTGCTTTTCTTGGGAAGTTTAGGGACTCTGTTCCCCTGTGACATGACCCGGGTCAGGGTCCTTCGGTTCTGAGCAGGAAAGGGATGGACTGCAGGTGGTCTGTTGGTGTGAAGCTGCTCCCACTGCATTGGTGGGAAGGCTGGAGGTCCAGGCCACTCTCGGGAGTAGAGCCAGCCCGGAGCCTCCTCAGGGACAATAGCGCAAAGTCCATGTGCACGTCTCTGGCCAGGGAAGGGCTAATATCCTGGACACCTGGACCCACCAACGCTGTCCCCACTGGGAAAGAGATGGGTCCTCAAAAGGAGATAAGGTGACCACTCTACCATCTTATGAACCTGGCAACGTGTTTTTCTCTACTTGCACTTAGAAAACAGGTGCTGAGCCGTCCTCTTCTTGGGAAACTTAGAAACTCTGACAATAATTGGTGCAGAATTCCTCAGTCCTATTCCTACATCTAGTCCATGTGACCTTTCAGTTTCTCTAACTGAATTTCAATTTTTACGCCCCTCTCCCCTTGACACATACTCACTTATTAACTGAGTAATTCCCAAGCCAGTCATTGCCATTATGCCAGCCTTGGCATTTAGTAGAGCGTTTTAGCTCTCAGGAGACAAAGCTTTCGAGCTTTCAAGATGTCAGGTTGACATTTGTGTCCGAGGGTAATGATCCTGCTGAAAGATGCTCCTACATCAATGGGAAGTGCCATCTCGATGCCAGGTGTGTTTGCGTGGCTAATATTTTCTGAGTACTTCATGGCATGATATGCAAATTACTTCATTTAATTTTCATACTAATTCCATGATGTGGGTGTGTCATTCCCATTTTACAGTTAAGGAAACTGAGGCTCAGATGAATTAAGGAAGTGTCAAAGTAGGGATGGAACTAGGGTCAGGTTTTATCTTTATTTATTTATTAATTATATAGAGGGTTATTGCCGTGTTGCCCAGGCTGCTCTTGAACTCGTGGGCTCAAGGGATCCACCTACCTCGGCTTTCCAAAGTGCTAGGTTTACAGGCGTGAGCCACCACTCCCGGCCCTTTGATTTATTTTATTTTATTTTATTTATTTATTTTTTTGAGACAGAGTCTCCCTCCATCACCCAGGCTGGAGTGCCTATCTCGGCTTACTGCAGCCTCCGCCTCCTGGATTCAATTGATTCTCGTGTCTCAGCCTCCGGTGTAGCTGGGGTTACAGGCGCCTGCCACCACGCCCGGCTAATTTTTGTATTTTTAGTAGAGACAGGGTTTCACTGTGTTGGCCAGGCTGGTCTCGAATTCCTGACCTCAGGTGATCCACCCGCCTTGGCCTCCCAAAGTGCTGGGATTACAGGCGTGAGCCACCGTGCCTGGCTGGCCCTTTGATTTTTAAACCTTTTTTTTTTTTTTTGATAAGAGTGTTTAATGTCCCTAGATTTTAAACCTTTGTACTTAACCATGACCTGTATTCCAAGGGTTGCAAGTCAAATGCCTGAAGGGCCCAGCAGGTAGATCAGTGATTGTGGCTGGCATCTGGGGATGCAGGGGGAAGGGGAGCTTTGGTGAATGGGAGAGTGTGCCAAAGTGGGGAGGGTGCCTCCATCTGATTGCTGACCAGCAGGAATATGGCTCATCCGCTGTGGCCAGCTGGGATTTTCTTTTCCCCTGTAAAACTGCCTCATTTAGAAATGTGGTCTGTGTAGACTGGCTTCTCTAAAGATCATGCGTGAACCCAACAAAACGCATTTCCGGGTCAGAAGAAGCCGAGGGCTGTCATTTTGCATTCCCTGTGCGAGACTGGCCAAGGCACAATTCATTGCAGAATTTGGCCTCACCATGCGTGAGTCAGAACAAGCGCCTTGAAGGCCAGGGATTTGCAGCCTGAGAAATGATGTACTCCGCGGGTTGAATTCACGTCTCCATACAAAGGCTCCCCTGTTTGGGCTGCTTGCGTCTTGATCCTGCCATGTGTGCGTTTTGTGGTAGTGCTTGTGGTGTGTGGATGCCAGCCTGCCAAAGCTGAAACCATTTTTAAAAATGTCTGTGTAATGTCACCGGCACAAGGGAATGAACGACTTGGAAACACGCACAGATGCAGCGGAAGCCCAGGATATTAAAATCTTGAACAGTATCATTCTTGCTGAGATTTGCTGGGGGTATGGATGTGTTTTCAGAGACAGGATGCTAGAGAATGTACAATTATAGCAATTTGCTAACCAGCCCCAGACCTTAATTAGCACAGGATCCTTGTTCTCACTGTTGTATGTAAATTAAGACTTTCACAAAGGGATTGTTTATGAGGACGGCTGTGAGATAGAGACCTTCTGTCATTTTTCAAGGAAACTCTTTCAGAAAATATAACCACAAACACTTTTAAATCACAGCGCGATGCAGAAGTGCTGAGAATTTTTCTTTCAAAAAATGAGCATCAGTATTTTTAACCGTATTTTGGCTCCTCTCTATCTCTGACAGCCCAAGAAGTGCCATCCGTGTACTGTGCAGTGGAAAGAATTTATTTGTGAGTTAGATGACTACCAGATTGTTCCTCTCCTAACAAGGTCTAAAATATCCCAGAACTCTGAAGATGTCTGATTATGGTTTTGCAAATGAGAAATCTTCTACCTTCTCTTGGCCAGCATCGTCTCTACTGTGCATCTGTTCATGGAATCCTGTCGGCAGTGTCTGTGCAATTTAGCTTTGTGGTTCACTCATGCAAACCTTGTGTTTGCCCCATTTTTGAAGCATGACCCACGTTATATGTTTGTGTGACTATTATTATTCTAGAAGACTGTGATCTAAAATCGACCGTTTCAAGCTTAGTTTAAAAAGAACCATCTCTTCTTTTTCCTCTCTAAATGCCTGTAGAATAAGCATATCAGGGCTGAGGCCTTTTAGAGATCTGGGTACTTTTTATTGCCTTATTAAAGTCGTCATTCCTTCATTGTTCTCTATTGATAGTGGATCCTTTACCGATGACTTGAGGTGATCAGTTTGGAAAGACCAGGTGTCATGGCTGTGGGGGGGTGAGGGTGAGTGGAATGATAATAAGCCCCCTTCAACTTCCTGTGACTCCCCTCACCTATCCTGGGCTTTCCTGGGAACCTAGAGATCCAGCGCTTTATAGACTTAAAAAAAAAATACCTTTATTGACATATAATTCACATACCATACAATTCTCCTTTTTTTTTGTTTGTTTGTTTGAGACAGGGTCTCTCTCTGTCGCCCAAGCTGGAGTGCAGTGGGACGATCTCGGCTCACTGCAGCTTTGATTTCCTGGCTCAAGCAGTCCTCCCACTGCAGCCTCCCGAGTAGCTGGGACTACAGGTGTGCACTACCACCCCTGGCTAATGTTTATATTTTTTTGTAGAGATGAGGTTTCACTATGTTGCCCAGGCTGGTCTTGAACTCCTGGGCTCAAGCGATCCTCCTGTCTTGGCCTCCCAAAGTGCTGGGATTGCTGGTGTGAGCCACCACTCCTGGGCCCAGTTCTCCATTTAAAGTGAATAGTTTGATGGTTTTTAATATATTTTCACGGAGACCGGGTGTGGTGGCTGACGCCTGTAATCCCAGCACTTTGGGAGGCCGAGGCGGGTGGATCACCTGAGGTCAGGAGTTCCGACCAGCCTGGCCAACATGGTGAAACCCTGTCTCCACTAAAAATACAAAAAATTAGCTGAGTGTGGTGGCGTGTGCCTGTAATCCCAGCTACTCAGCAGGCTGAGGCGGGAGAATTGCTTGAACGTGGGACGTGGAGGTTGCAGTGAGCCAAGATCGTGCCACTGTACTCCAGCCCGGGTGACAGAGCAAGACTGCCTAAAATATATATATATATATATATATTTTTTTTTTTCACAGAGTTGTGCAGCCAACAGCACAATCAGTTGTAGATTTTCATCACCCCCAATAAGAAACTTCATACTCATTAGCAGTCACTTCCCATTCCCCCGTTACCCCTGTGCCTGGCAAGTACCAGTCTACTTTCTGTGCCTGTGGATTTGCTTATGCTAGACATTTCATATAAATGGAATCATACAGTATGTGACCTTTTGGTCTGAGTTCGTTCACTTAGAATAATGTTTTCAAGGCTCATCCACATTCTTGTAGCATAGATCATCAGTACAGACAGTTCCTGACTTATAGTGGTGCGGAAGTGACAGTTCAGTACAAACAGTACTTGGCATTTTGGATTTTTGATCTTTTCTCTGGCTAGCATCAGTATGAGACTCTCTTGGGGTGCCAGGCACCTCCCAGTCAGCCACATGATCACGAGGGTAAACAAACAATCTATACGACCATTCTGTTTTCACTTTCATTATGGTATTCCATAAATTACATGAGAGAGTCAACACTATTATACAATAGGCTTCGCATTAGATGATTTTGCCTAACTCTAAGTGTTCTGAGCACATTTAAGGTAGGCTAGGCTAAGCTATGATGTTCCCTAGGTTATGTATATTCGATGCTTATTTATTTATTTATTCATTTATTCATTCCTCCCTCCTTCCCTTTCTTAATTTCCTTTTTTTTCTTTTTTTTTTGAGATGGAGTCTCACTTTGTCACCCAGGCTGGAGTGCAGTGGCACTATCTCAGCTCACTGCACCCCTCTGCTTCCTGGTTCAAGCGATTCTCCTGCCTCAGCCTCCTGAGTAGCTGGGACTAGAGGTGAGCACCATCACGCCCAGCTAATGTTTTTTTTTTTTTTTTTTTTTTTTTTTTTTTTGAGACGGAGTCTCGCTCTGTCACCAGGCTAGAGTGCAGTGGCACTATCTCGTGTCACTGCAACCTTTGCCTCCCAGGTTCAAGCGATTCTCCTGCCTTAGTCTCCCGAGGAGCTGGGACTACAGGCATGTGCCACCACGCCCAGCTAATTTTTGTATGTTTAGTAGAGACGAGGTTTCACCATGTTGGCCAGGATGGTCTCAATCTCTTGATGTGATCCACCTGCCTCGGCCTCCCAAAGTGTTGGGATTACAGATGAGAGCCACTGTGCCCTGCCATGTATTTTTAGTAGAGACGGGGTTTCACCTGTTGGCCAGGCTGGTCTTGAACTCCTGACCTCAAGTGATCTGCCTCCCTCAGTCTCTCAAAGTGCTGCCTGCCTTACTTTCTGATGGGGTCTCACGATGTTGCCCAGGCTGGAGTGCAATGGTGTCCTCAAGGGATCCTCTGGTGTAGCTGGGACTACAGGAGTGTACCACTATGTCTGGCTTAAATGCATTTGTGTTTTTTTATCTCTCTCTCTCTCATATATATATGTTTTGTAGACCCAGGGGTCTCACTGTGTTGCCTAGGCTGGTCTGGAACTCTTGGGCTCAAGTGATCCTCTGGCCTTAGTCTCCTGAAGTGTTGGGATTACAGGCATGAGCCACTGTGTGTGACCTCATTTTTGACTTCTGGTACTTACATTTTATGGGTTTATCATCTGTAACTCCATCGTGAGTTGAGGAGGGTCTGTAGTTCATTTCCTTTTATGACTGAATAATGCTGCATTGGATGGATATGCTACACTTTGTTTATCTATGTATGTGTTGATGGACGTTTGAGTTGTGTCCACTTTCTGGCTAGTAGGGATAATGCTGCGGTGAGTGTTCATGTCTGAGTTTTTGTGCAGACACGACACATCATTTCTCTTGGGTATAGATTTAGGAGTGAAATTGTGGGGTCATAGGGTAACTATTAACCTTTTGAAGAATATACACATTTAAATTTTTTGTGTTGTCTTTATTTATTTTTTTGAGATAGGGGCTTGCTCTGTTCCCCAGACGGGAGTGCAGTGGCATGATCCTCGCTCACTGCAGCCATGAACTTCTGGGCTCAAGCAATCCTCCCATCTCAGCCTCTTGAGTAGCTGGGACTACCTGTACATGCCACCATGCCTGACTAATTCTTTAATTTTTTGTAGCGACAGAGTCTTGCTATGTTGCCCAGGCTGGTCTCCAACTCATGGGCTCAAGTGATCCTCCTGCCTTGGCCTGCCAACGTACTGGGATTATAGGTGTGATCCACCATGCTTGGAGTCACAGACTTTTAAAGGCACTTGTCTCCCCTCTCTGCTGTCTTGACCCCCACATCTTTCCTACTAGCAACTGCTGTATTTCTGTCCTCTTCTTCAAAGCCAAACTTATTTTTTTTTTGAGATTGAGTCTCACTATATTGCCCAGGCTGGAGTGCAGTGGCACAATTTTGGCTCACTACAACCTCTGCCTCCCGGGTTCAAATGATTCTCATGTCTCAGCCTCCTGAGTAGCTGGGATTATAGGCGCACGTCACCATGCTCGGCTAATTTTTGTATTTTTAGTAGAGACGGGGTTTCACCATGTTGGTCAGGCTGGTCTTGAACTCCTGACCTCGTGATCCGCCTGCCTCAGCCTTCCAAAGTGTATTTTTTACACTTTTTGTATTTTTAGTAGAGACGGGGTTTCACCATGTTGGTCAGGCTGGTCTTGAACTCCTGACCTCATGATCTGCCTGCCTCAGCCTTCCAAAGTGCTGGGATTACAGGCGTGAGCCACCGCGTCCAGCAAGCCAAACTTCTTAGAAGCGTCTGTATTCCTGTCTTTGTCCTGCAAGCTCCAATGTGGCTTCCACCCTGACCTTCCACATTCACATCCCCACTGAGCTTCCTGGAGACTCTGTGTTGCCTTTTCCAGGGGAGGTTTTCCATCCTCATCTGCTGCGCTGTCTCTGCAGTACTGGAGATGCTGATTATTCTTGTGGACACTCTCTCTTCCTTTGCCTTCTTTGCCACCGCAGTGCTGATTTTCCTTCTGTTTCCCTGGCACCTTCTCCTCCTCTCTCTGGCCATTAAATGCTGGAGTTGCTGAAAGCTTGGCCCTGTCCTTGTCTCGCCTAGCACGTTCCTTCTCTGGGTGATCTTACCCACATCTGGAGCTTTATGACTCAGACATTTATGTTTCCAACCTAGATTGCTTCTGAGTCATGGTGCAGAGGGTCAGCTGCCTACCTGACCTCCCTGCCTGTTCATGGGCGTCTCAAACTCAAGATGTCCATGAGAGATTTTACATCTTCACCCCCAGAGATATGGACTCATTCCCCATTCTTCTGTTCTTTGCCCTTTTGTGTCATTTTCTTACAATATCGTATCCTAAATGTCACTCCACTTCAACCAGCCTATCACCATTGAACTACAGTGGCCTCGTAGTTGTTCTCACTATCTCTATCTGCCGCACCCTCCCAGTCTTTTGAAAGGAACATCTTCCTGGCTATCCCTTCCTACTTTAAACTCTTAAGTGTTTCCTCCTTGGCTTTTAGATTCATAATTGCAAAACCCTCCTGTGCTGGCCTCTGCCCATCTTGCTAGTCTCTGTTCTCTCTGTGTTCCATTCTCTCCGTGTTCCGTTCTCTCTGTGTTCCACTTCTCTCCGTGTTCCACTTCTCTCTTCTCCAGCCACACTGACTGTGCAGATCCATCAAAGCCTCAGGGCCTTTGCCCATACCTTGAAGGTCCCCTCCTTGCCTTCCTCTCCTTACTCCCCATCAATTTTAAGGCTCAAAATGAGGATGAGTTCTGCCTTTTGTTTTTGCTCATCCTGTTTTACTACCACCTTGCCTGCTGCTGGTGAGCGTATAATAAATATTTTTTTGAATGAACAAATGATTTAGCTCTATCAGATGGGTAGAACTTCTATCCTAGAGACTGAAGTAAAAGCAGCCTTTCGGCGAGAGAGGATGGCTTTGTTTTCAGCATTAATCCAGTGCCTGGAGATTATTACCCAGCTCAAGTGTCTGTTCTCTGCAAAGCGACTGGTGGCCTGTCTTCCTTTTCCCTCTAGGGACATAGTACTCTTTGAAATGGCCCTTTCCCCCTGGTTTCTTTGCTTTCTGACATATTAGTATAACTTCTAATGGGCGCCTTCTAAAACACAAGTCAGATTGTCCCACTCTCCTTTAAATTTGCAGTGGCTCCTTAAGAACACAGCCTTAAGGGCATGGTGTCTCACGCCTGTAATCCCAGCATTTTGGGAGGCTGAGGCAGGAGGATAGCTTAAGCCCAGGAGTTCAAGACCAGCCTGGGCAAAGTGGCAAGACCCACCCGTTCCTACAAAAAAAAAAAAAAAAAAAAGCAAAAAACCCAGGCATGGTGGCTTGTCTCTGCAGACCCAGCTACTTGGGAGGCTGAGGTGGGAGGATATCTTGAGCCCAGAAGGTGGAGCCTGCAGTGAGCTATGATCTTGCCACTGCACTGCAGGGGTCCTGCAGCATCTGTCTTTCCTGGACAGACTGCACGGCCTTGTGAGAGTCCTGTGATGTGCACCTTGCTGAGACACACTTGGCATTGCCTTCCAGACTGACCTTCGTGAGGACCATCCTCACTGT
Organism: Homo sapiens; assembly: GCF_000001405.40. Lineage (NCBI taxonomy): Eukaryota > Metazoa > Chordata > Mammalia > Primates > Hominidae > Homo > Homo sapiens. The sequence continues at coordinate 47,330,107 of NC_000020.11, read as the reverse complement.
GTCCATGGAGACCCAAGCCCTCTCTTGGCCTGAACCCTTTATTTACAGTCTCCCACAGAGAAGTTCTTTTAGGTTCCAAAGTCAAAAATCACTCTTCAAAGTACCTTAAATTGCCCACGAAAGTATTCAGCTTTGATCAGAAATTCGTATGCATACTAAAGAGTTAACAATTGCCAGGCTAGACTAAAGGAGTGAAAGGTGAATCCATATTCACATTTCCCTGCATCCGGTGCCTTGAATTCAACTACTCAGTCCCTAGAGGCAAATTGGGATGGGTGGATGATTGTGCAGTGTCCTGCTTGCTTGCCAGGCATGCTTCTTTGTCTTAATATTAAGCTTCTGCAGCTGTGCTGTCCAACACAGTCGCCACTAGCTGTACGTGGCTCTTTAAATTTACATTAACAAGCCAGGCGTGGTGGCTCACGCCTGTAATCCCAGCACTTTGGGAGGGCAAGGTGGGTGGATCACCTGAGGTTGGGAGTTTGAGACCAGCCTGACCAACATGGAGAAACCCCGCCTCTACTAAAAATACAGAATTAGCCAGGCATGGTGGTGCATGCCTGTAATCCCAGCTACTCAGGAGGATGAGGCTGGAGAATCGCTTGAACTCGGGAGGAGGAGGTTGCGGTGAGCTGAGATCACGCCATTGCACTCCAGCCTGGGCAATAAGAGCAAAACTCCATCTCCAAAAAAAAAAATTAGATTTACAAAATAAAATTCATTCCTCAGCTGCCCTGGCCACGTGTCAAGTGTCTGACAGCCACAGGTGATTAGAGGCTGCTGTTATTAGACAGCACTGATAGAGAACAGATCGAGAACATTGCCATCATTCGAGCAAGCTTGATTGGATCACACTGTTCCGTAGCCTTAGTAGATTAATGGATTTGTTGTGCATGCTGTGCTGAATGCTGTAGGTGAAGCTATGTCGCCAGGGGACACAGCACTGAACATGTTCCATGCATGATTATTGAGTTTTAAGTTTTGCTTGGTCATTGCCTCCTGAGCTTGCCTATTCTTTGAAAAGTTGTGCAGAGAACACAGTCCTCTTTCTATCTTTGCAAGTTGGTGTGTTTTGTTCAGGCCCTGCTGAATTCCCTTTTTGCCAGGCCCCTTGGCACCTAGGCCTGACTGGGGTAAAGTTCCACAGGATATGCCAGGGAGCTGGGCGGTCCTCCCTCCAGCCTTCAACATGCTTTACCGTAATTATGCATTTACCTGTGTGTCTCTTCTAGACTGATAGACCAAATAACTCTCACCTCTTTAGACTAACAAGGGACTGGCATTTCATGGTAGTTGCCCATTAAATGTTTTGTGAATGAAGGATCTCTTCCAAGAACTGGAAACTAACTTGGCCAGGCACGGTGGCTCATGCCTGGAATCCCAGCACTTTGGGAGGCCAGTGCATTACCTGAGGTCAGGAGTTCAAGACCAGCCTGGCCAAGATGGTGAAACCCTGTCTCTACTAAAAATACAAAAATTAGCTGGGTGTGGTGGCACGCGCCTGTAATCCCAGCTACTCGGGAGGCTGAGGCAGGAGAATCGCTTGAACCTGGGAGGCAGAGGTTGTAGTGAGCTGAGATCATGCCACTGCACTCCAGCTTGGACAACAGACTCTGTCTCGAAAAAAAAAAGAATTAACTTTTTGTGGGGTGGCAGAGGGGTTAAGGTTTATTGGATTTTCCTTTCAAATGATAAAAATCAGTGTATCTCCTTGACAACAAGCCAAAGTATACAAAGAAAAAGCTAAAAATCTTCTCCTGCCAGGTAACCAGTGATAACAGTTTGGTATGTTTTTGTCTATACCACCCTCTCCATGCTTATAAAAATGTCAAAAAACTTATGCAATACCTATAATGGGGTTGAACTTTCTAGGACCTGGCCATCCTAGCAAAACATCCCTTGTCTCTGATCCCTCTCTTTACCTTATTATCCTTCTCTGCTTCCCCTGTCCTGTTACACCCTTTAAGGGCCTTTCAAGTTTAGATTTAATGATCTAGGGTAGTCATGGTAGCTCATGCCTGTAGTCCCAGCATTTTGGGAGGCCAAGGCAGGAGACTTACTGGAGCCCGGGAGTTCAAGACCAGCCTGGGCAACATAGTGAGACCTCATCTCTGAAATAAAAAAAAATTGCTGAGCTTGGTGGCATGCACCTGTAGCCTCAGCTACGTGGGAGGCTGAGGCCGGAGGATCACTTGAGCCCAGGAGGTCAAGGCTGCAGTGAGCTGTGATTGCACCACTGCACTCCAGGCTGGGCGACGGAGCAAGACCTGTTTCTGGAAAAACAAACAAAAAAACAATAAGTTATAGATTTAATTATCTGAAAGTTAAGAATAATGGAGACCTCGGCAAACAGGGATTCTGGAGTTCTACCCAAAGTGGGCAGGCGGGAGGATTGTTCCATGTGGGAATAGGGGGCCCTATGTGGAGGGATCTTGTGATTTTCTTTTCTTTCCTTTTTGAGTCTTACTCTGCCGCGCAGGCTGAAGTGCAGTGGCACAAACTCTGCTCAGTGCAATCTTTGCCTCCTGGGTTCAAGCAATTCTCCTGCCTCAGCCTCCCAAGTAGCTGGAACTACAGGTGTGTGCCACCACGCCTGGCTAATATTTTTGTATTTTTAGTAGAGGCAGGGTTTCATCATGTTGGCCAGGCTGCTCTGAAACCCCTGACTTCAAACGATCTGCCTGCCTTGGCCTCCCAAAGTGCTGGGATTACAGGTGTGAGCCACCGCACCTGGCCTATTTTTTCTTTAACCCCTTGTTTCATCTGTGAATGACCTTATTTTAAAAGAGAAGCTAGAGCTTCTCTTTAAAGGCGGTGGCTCACGTCTGTAATCCCAGCACTTTGGGAGGCTGAGGTGGGCGGTCGGGAGTTGGAGACCAGCCTGGCCAACATGGTGAAACCCCATCTCTACTAAAAATACAAAATTAGCCAGGCGTGGTGGTGCATGCCTGTAATTCCAGCTACTAGGGAGGCTGACTGGTTTCCTGGCCACTGATTGCTCCTTTTCCAGATCACTGGTTCACCGCATCAGCTGTAAGTAGTGCTCTCTTCCTAATAAGGCTGACCTGGTTTTGCGCACCACCTCCTTAATGACCCTCCCGTAACTCCCCATCCCCAGACTTCAAGTTTGGGTACAGTCACTTCAAACCAGGTTGCTATTTCTTGACTTGGGACCAGATACAGTAGCAGTTGATAAGAGCCGAGGGACTGTGTTGTAAGACAAATATTTATCTTGAAAATCTAGACCCGTCTTATGCCTGGTGTGATGCTGACACTCTGAGAAGCTCGAGGGAACTAGATGGAGACAGGAAGGAGCAGACTGAATATCTCTTGACTCATTTCCATGGGATGCAGGGAAGATGAACTTGAAAAATAATTTTTTGCTTTTCCCAGTCGAAGCTGAGCCTGTCTGCACATAGATCAGTACCTGTATCTGATCCCTGCTTCTCATAGCAGGGGCAGACTTGGAGAACCCAGAGGGAGACTGAGGATCTACGGAGGTTTTGGAAAAAGAGATCCTCAGACTCAGACGTATAAGAAAAAGGGCCCAGAACCAAGACTGAAGATTTGGTTAAATGGCCATCTCAGTGGCGGGTCTCCTAGAAGGGAATATGTTTTCCCTGGAGAAAGTCATGCCTCTTTTATTTTTATTTTTTGAACTGCTAAATAATTCTGAAACAATAGCTCTCCTCAAGAATAACTGGGAGGCCGGGCATGGTGGCTCACGCCTGGAATCCCAGCTCTTTGGGAGGCCGAGGCGGGTGGATCACCTGAGGTCAGGAGTTCGAGACCAGCCTGGGCAACGTGGTGAAACCCCATCTCTACTAAAAAATACAAAAACTAGCTGGTGGGCTGGATGTGGTGGCTCATGCCTGTAATCCCATCACTTTGGGAGGCCGAGGCAGGCGGATCACGAGGTCAGGAGTTCAAGACCAGCCTGGCCAACATGGTGAAACCCTGTCTCTACTAAGAAATACAAAGAATTAGCCGGGCGTGGTAGCGGGCACCTGTAATCCCAGCTACTCAAGAGGCTGAGGCAGGAGAATTGCTTGAACTTGGGAGGCAGAGGTTTCAGTGAGCTGAGACTGCACCATTGCACTCCAGCCTGAGCCACATGCAATACTCCATCTCAAAAAAATAAATAGATAAATAAATAAAATAAAATAAAATTAGCTGGGTGTGGTGGCATGTGCCTGTAATCCCAGTTACTCAGGAGGCTGAGGCAGGAGAATTGCTTGAATCAGGAGGTGGAGATTGTGCCATTGCACTCCAGCCTGGGCAACAAGAACGAAACTCTGTCTCAGAAAAAAAAAACAAAACAAAATGGAAAAAGAATAATTGAGAGAATGAGTAAATTGGTTGTCTTAGAAAAACCTCCTGAGATATCCCCCTTTGATTTTTCAGTAATTGCATTTAGCTGAATGGCCCCATCCCATTCAAGTTATAAATCTTTACTTACTCCCCTGCTTTTGGGGGAAATGGGTTCTTTAGGCAAGAGAATGGCTGAGTACCTGTTGAAAGGAGAATGTCCTGTTCTGGGGTCCCTTTCAGAGGCCGACGTGACCAGGCTCCCATTTGTGTAATCTTCCCTGTTGACTTCGCTACCCTGCTGCCTTCCTGATTTGCTGGAAGAAATTCTTAGACTGGGGAAGAAAAACTGGAGTTTGCTGAGTCAGGTTGGCTGGCCCACCTGTACAGGGCTTTGTTAACCCTGTACAGTCGCTCAGTTAGTCGGTCTGATATGTACTTTGGGGTACTTCCGAGCCAGGCCATGTACCTGGCACTGGGCTACAGCAAAGAAGGATGGACAAGCTGAGATTGAGCTCACACTCTGGAGGGAGAGACACAATAAACCAGTGAACCAGCAGAAGAGGAAAATAATTTTTGATAATTTTCAACTATGGGCCAGGTGTGGTGGCTCACGCTTGTAATTGCAGTACTTTGGGAGGCCGAGGTGGGTGAATCACCTGAGGTCAGGAGTTTGAGAGCAGCCTGGCAAACATGGTGAAACCCCGTCTCTACCAAAAATACAAAAATTAGCTGGGCGTGGTGGCGCACGCCTGTAGTCCCAGCTACTCGAGAGGCTGAGGCAGGAGAATGGCTTGAACCCAGGAGGTGGAAGTTGCAGTGAGCCAAGGTCACACCATTGTACTCCAGCTTGGGCAACAGAGCGAGACTCCTCAAAAAATAAAAAATAAAAAATAATTTTCACCTATATATGACTGTAATGAAGGGAAAAAAATAACTTCAGGATTATATAATAAGGAGTCTGGAGGCTGGAGGCTGGGGTGGTCAGAGAAGGCCTCTCTAGGGCAGTGAGCCAAAAGATGAAGTGGCAGCTATGGAGAGGACTGGGCACAGAACATTATAGATGAAGGGGCCAGCCGCATGCGAAGGAGCTTGTCTAAGGAGCTGAAAGGAGGCCATTGGGGTTGGAGCTGAGTGAATGAAGGAGAGAAGGTGGGCAGGATCAGGTCACCAGGGGCACTGCAGGTCTTCATAAGACCTTAGGTGTCTACAGTAAGCTCTTTGAGGGTTTTAAGCAGGGAGTGCACTATCTTATTGAGGTTTTTATTTACTTTTTTATTTTTTGAGACAGAGCTTCTTGTTGCCCAGGCTGGAGTGCAGTGGCTCGATCTCGGCTCACTACAGCCTCCGCCTCCCAGGTTCAAGCGATTCTCCTGCCTCAGCCTCCCGAGTAGGTGGGATTACAGGCACCCGCCACCATGCCTGGCTAATTTTTTGTATTTTTTAGTAGAGATGGGGTTTTACCATGTTGGCCTGGCTGGTCTCGAACTCCTGACTTCAGGTGATCCACCTGCCTTGGCCTCCCAAAGTGCTGGGATTACAGACGTGAGACACCACGACCGGTAAAGGTTTGGCATTCTTTTTTTTTTTTTTTTTTTGAGACAGAGTCTCGCTCTGGCGCCCAGGTTGGAGTGCAATGGCATGATCTCGGCTTATGGCAACCTCCGCCTCCCGGGTTCAAGTGATTCTCCTGCCTTAGCCCCCCGAGCAGCTGGGATTACAGGCGTCCTCCACCACCACACCCAGCTAATTTTTGTATTTGTAGTGGAGACAGGTTTTCACCATGTTGGCCAGGATGGTCTCGATCTCTTGACTTTGTGATCCATCAGCCTCGGCCTCCCAAAGTGCTGGGATTACAGGCGTGAGCCACCACGCCCGGCCAGGTTTGGCATTCTTAATAACACTTGGCAGATGACTAGGACTCTGAGGCTCAGAGAGGTGAAGTAACCTGTTGGGACACACAGCCATGTGAGCCAGGACCAGCTCTCTCCCTAGCTTGATGAGCCTCATTTGAGTGGAGAGGGGAGTGCAGTTGGAGGAGTCCTGGGGGAAGGTCAGTGGAGGTGGGGTGGGGCTGGGATTGTGGGCCATCTGGAGAATTCTGCTTTGATTTTCAAGGAAGTTCTGAGCCCTGGAGGGATTTTGAGCCTGGCTTCCTTGAGCTCCTGACAGCCTGAGGGGGTTTATTGTGAATATTTGTGTTTCTCATCAGTGAACCCTTTTTAAAAACAGGCTTGGAAGAGGTAGTCTGGTGAAGGTACAGAAAGATTTGGGGGCCAGGTGCAACAGCTCATGCCTGTAGTCCTAGTACTTTGAGAGGCTGAGGTGGGAGGATCACTTGACCCCAGAAGTTTGAGACTAGGAGATCCCATCGCTACGAAAAATAAAAAATTAAGTGGTCATGGTATTGCACACCGTGGTGTTAGCTACTTGGGAGCCTGAGGTGGGAGGATCGCTTGAACCTGGGAGGTTGAGGCTGCAGTGAGCCATGACTGTGCCACTGTCCTGCAGCCTGGCTGACAGAGTGAGTCCCTGTCTCCCCCAAAAAAGAGAAAAGTTGGGGGAAATGAGTTTGAAATTTCTCGGTTATTGCCTTTTTCTGTGCCCTGGCCCCCTCTTCCCCCCAGGAGAATAATGGTAATAAAGTATGGTGCTTTGATGTGCCAGATGCCTTTCATTCACTTTGTATGCATTATCTTATTTAATCCTCACAACCCTTTTGGGAAGAGCCTAATAGTTCCAACTGAATGACTGAGTCACAGAGAGGCTAAGAAACTTGCCCAAGGTCACACAGCTGGCAGGTGCCAGCACCTGGATTCAGACCTAGTAGTCTGGCTCCAGAGCCCACACACTGAACGACAATGCTGTGTTGACGTTGGCCAATGCCAAGCATGCCCTTTGTGATGGAGAATTACCAGGTGGCACTCACAAGCCTAGGAGAGACAGTTGACCTGTACAGTGAAGGGCTTTAGAGTGGAACTCAACCGTGATGGAGGTGGGGCGTGCTGTGTCGATCTGCTTGTCTTGAAGCATATAAATGACTTTGCCTCTCTGAGCCTCACCTATAAAATGGGTACAGAAATACCATCCTGGCTGGGTGTGGTGGCTCACGCCTGTAATCCCAGCACTTTGGGAGGCCGAGGCAGGTGGATCACGAGGTCAGGAGATCGAGACCATCCTGGCCAACATAGTGAAAATGGGTGTGGTGGTACGTGCCTGTAGTCCCAGCTACTTGGGAGACTGAGGCAGGGGAATCACTTGAACCCAGGAGGCGGAGGTCGCAGTGAGCCAAGATCGCGCCACTGCACTCCAGCCTGGAGACAGAGTGAGATTCTGTGCTGAAAAAAAAAAAAAAAAAAAAGAAATGCCATCCCAACCTCTTGGGATTCTTGGGACAGTTTGTAGCTTCTCAGTAAACAATAGCTGTGAACCACATGAAACCCTTCTGCAAAGGAAATAGAGGAATATTTCCCTGTCTATCCTCACACCTGCTAGGTGTGTTCACAAACTCCTGATATTTTTCCTGTTCAGTGGTTTGTCCATCTGTAATCAGTTTCTCAATCATTCTGTACTTAATAGCCGCTTTACCATGGGCCTGGTTTTCTCTGGGCTTTCATTACCTTATCAATGAAACAGGGAGGCTGGGTGAGGTGGGTCACATCTGTAATCCCAGCACTTTGGGCGGCTGAGGCAGAGGGATTGCTTGAGCCCTGGAGTTTGAGACCAGTCTGGGCAACATGGCGAGACCCCTTCTCTACAAAAAATACAAAAATTAGCCAGGCATGGTGGCCTGTGCCTGTAGTCCTAGCTACTTGGGAGGCTGAGACAGGAGGATCTCCTGAGCCTGGGAGGCTGAGGTTGCAATGAGCCCAGATTGTGCCACTGCACTCCAGCCTAGGTGACAGAGTGAGACTCTGTTTCAAAAAAAAAAAAAAAAAAAAAAGGGCGGCGAGTTTTAAATAAATCGATATTTGTATTTCTAACAATGCCTCCCAGATAGTAACTGCTCAATAAAAGGTAGCTGTTACAACTGTGTTTCTAGCTGTCCTTCCATCAGGGCAGAGGCCTTCCTGGGACAGTTTTCCTGATAGCCCAGATATCTAGTTGTTGCCTAGTGACTATTTGTTGACTGACTGGTCCCATTATTTTCTTTGAAGTCTGAAGTCAGGGCCACCAGGTGAAACATCAGGAATCATTTTCCTTCTTAATGAATACATGCACCTCTGTGGGTGGTGTGTTTACACATGGTGAGACCTGCCTGGTAGCTCACTGAAGTTTCTTTCTACCAGGATTTCTCAGCCTTGGCACTGTGGACTTTGGGCCTGATCATTCTTTGTCTTAGGGCTGTCCTGTGCATTGTAGAATGTTTAGCAACATCCCTCACCTCTACCCAGTAGATGCCTGTCGCAACTCCTTTTCCTGCCCAGTTGTGACAACCAAAAATGTCCCCAGACATTGCCAGATGTCCCCTGGGTGTGCTGATACTGCTTTCCACTCTTCTAAACACCTGAGCCCCGTAAAAGTGTTTGTTTGATGATGGGGGCGTGTACTGAGCTCCTGCTGTATGCCGGGTACAAGGGATACAGACGTGATCCCTGGCTGGGCAGTGCCCAGGATGCAGTGAGTGTTCCATAAATATTGTCATTATCACCCAGTTTCCCCAAAGCCATTAATAAATACCTTCGTTAAATATGTAAACATGATCAGAAATAATTCAGAGGAGTCCAGCGTTTACTGGGTTTCCTGGGTGTTCCTCCATGTCTCTGCAAACCCAGAAGCCTCAGAGAACAAACTTTTACCCTGGTTCTATTTCTGGTCTCCTTTCACTTGGATTTTGGACCATGCCCGTCTATGCAGACGGGATTCCATCTTTATTCCATTTTATGGCTGCATCATGATGTTTCACATATGGGCATCAATGTTGGTTCCTGTCTGACTTTTCTACAAAGCCCTGTTGCAGTGGCTACCCCGTCTATCCTTCTGTGCACCCATGAGCCCTGTAGACAATAGGACATGTTCTTAGAATCACCCCACTACTATCTGAGTGATGTTAAGCATCTTTATTTATTTATTTTTGAGATGGCATCTTGCTCTGTCACCCCGGCTGGAGTGCAATGGCGTGATCTCGACTCACTGCACTCCAGCCTCCTGGGGTCAAGCGATTCTCCTGCCTCAGCTTCCCCAGTAGGAGTAGCTGGTACCACAGGTGTGTGCCACCACACCCGGCTAATTTTTGTATTTTTAATAGAGACAGGATTTCGCCATGTTGGCCAGGCTGGTCTCGAACTCCTGACCTCAGGTGATCCGCCCGCCTTGGCCTCCCAACGTGTTGGGATTACAGGCGTGAGCCACCATGCACAGCCGCAGCATCTTTACGTGGTGGCTGGCCAGGGTAATTTGGGTGACATGTTGGGTCTGAACTCTTCGCTCCCCAAAGGAATGTGACAAGGTGACTGTGGAGGGCCTGTCCCTTCGTACCTGGCGTTTCAGTAGAGAATTTTGCCTTCTTTAGGTGGCTTTTAGAGATACCATCCAGGGCAGATGGGGACCTTGGTTGGTTAGCAGTGGCGCCTCTTCCTTCATCTGCCCCCTTTCTGAAGCTAATTTCCCTTTGCTTCTCCCAACCCACTTCTGTGCTTCAAATGCTGCCAGCACAGAACTGTCTTTTTGTTTCTGAATTGCCCTCTGACGCCGCGATTCCCCATTGCAGTTTGGAAGCCACTACCACCGGAGATTTCCAGAACCCAAGCCAGGCAGGGGCTGGATAAATAGTGCCAACGGGTGTCAGCCACCAGAACCAGCTCCTCAGCCAGCCACAATGTAAAGGCCAGAGGCAACCGGTTTCTCCACATTCTTTGTGGTGTTCCGGTCGAGTTTGAAGGGCCTCATGTACACATGTTGGAGGGAGCCTTTGGGGCCTGGGCCTGCTGAGGGGGTGGGTGGGTGGTGGGCAGTGCGTTCTCACAGGGAGTCGGATCCTGCCTCAGTAAAATTGGAAAGAACTTGGCATTCTTGATCCAGGAAATTCCTGTTGCGATGTTGTCGTTTTTCCAGAGGGCCTCATCCCAGCTGGGGAGGAGAAAGGGCCGCGGTTGCTATTGCCTCTAGTTGTTGAGGGCTAAACACTGAATTCAATTGTAAATCAGCCTCTTTTCTGTAGATTGAAGCAATTTCTGTCCTGCCAGGCGAGTTTGGAAGTTCGCCTTTTACATATGAATGTGCCCTTTAATCACCACTTCTGCATTATTGAGAGAAGGGTGGAGGAGGCTGTGTCTAGTGGGAAAGGATTATACCTCAAGTATAAAAGATGGGTTTTCTCATTTCTAGGAGAGGGGCATCAGAACTGGAGAATCTGAAACAATTACTAAAAATGTTAAAAACAACTTCAAAATGCAAACCACAGCTGTTTCCCTCCCCCCAGGCTCCCTTCTGATATTGTCACCTCGGCCAGCAGAACAACTGCAGTTCCTCGTATTTATTCACAATCCCACGAAATCAATGGCTCTTCGGTGCACTGCACCGGAGACTTTCAGCTCAGCCGAGCTGCTGTTGAGGGTGATAAATTATAGGCGAAAGCCCGGGGACATGAAGGCAAGTCGCTGGGTTTCAGACTGCCTGATTGCAAAGAGGTGACAGTGTCCTTGCCCCGCCGGGCGACCTAATGCGTACAAGACCGGGGCTGGCCTGGTAAGTGGTGACTCTTAGCCTGTTCTCTTTGCTTCTTCCTCCTCCCCCTGGGAGAGGCCGCTGAGGATCCGGAAGCAGGAATGTCTGCTGTGGGTGAGCCTCTGTTCTCTTTTGAACAAGAGAGGCTAGGCCCTCTGAGCAGCCGCACTTTCTCAATGGCAGGTAAGTGCCTCCTCTTGGCGTTCCCTGCCCCTCGCATGTTCTGCCTCCGAGGTACTTGATGTTCCTGGTGAAATGCCATTTTCCCCAAGTTGAGAGTGACCTTTCATTCCACAGCCTCATTTCCATTCCAGCCCTCCCTATCCCGGCTCTGGATGAGAAGTTCCTGTTGATTTGCAGAGATTCTTTATAAGCACAGTTCAGGCCAGTGCAGTCCTCTGGAGGAGAGGGCTCAGCCCGGCAGCTCTGGCAGGCCCAAGTCAGCCAGGGTGCAGACCGGTCCTCGAGTTTCTGTGGGTCTAAGAGACGGTCAGCGTTGGAGGAAATAATCATTTGCTAATGCGAGCGGTTTTCATTTACAAGTTCCTCCTGGCTTAGGCATTCTCTGCTGCGAGGACAATTTTGCTTCCTCCCCACCCCCAACCTTTGCTCCTGATTTCTTACTTCTATGCTCTGCCAGGAGGAAATTCCGGACTTTTGTCTCTTTATGATGTAATTACTGGTTGGGGAGGGCCCCAAATATTCCTGGGGAAGGGAGGCCTGTTTGGGTACCTGCTCTGTGTCTTTGGGAAACGCTTTGAAGTGATTAACCATGCTCTGCTTTGCTGCTTCTGGGGGAGCAGCAGTGTGTGGTCATGTTTGAAGTAGGCCAAGGGGAGGACTGGTGATTACGAAAAGGGCTGTAGAGCAGGCCTCTGCTTCTGACCCTGCCTTCACAGTTACTGGGGGAAACCTGGCATTTTCAGTCTGATTGAAATGCAGAAATCCTGTCCTGGGCTGATTCTGGTCTCCAGTCTACACAGGCCGGTGTTTTCCATAGCTTTGAACTTGTGGAATTGATTTAACATGCTCCTTCCAGAAAGCAAGCTGTGTTTTTGGAGTGGGGGGCGGTAGTCGGGGAGGAGGTGGAAGAGAAGCAAGAAAAGGAGGAAGAGTGATTGGTTAAAAAAAATACAGTTACCCATTAGTTACCATTGAATAGGTGCTTACTATTTGCCAGGTATTATACTAAGAGCTTTACGTGAATTAACTCATTGACTTCTTCGATAACTTTACAAGGTACCACTTGTAAAGTGGTAAACTCTCTGAGGCACAGAGAGGTTAAGTTGCCTTTTTACGGTCACACTGCAGGGGAGAGCACAGCCAGGTTCTGCATGCATTTTGACGCCAGAAAGCTGATTCCCCACCACTGTGGCATCCTGCCTCTCTGTCGTTTGCAACCTGGCCCATGAGAGCATATGCCTTGACCTATGTGTCCTGGTTTGCCCGGGACCCAGCTAAGCACATGGTTGGTTGCCCTACTCCTGTGGCCTGTCATGCCTGTCTCAGCCTGTGGACCAAGCTTCTCTTTTCGTTCAGGCCCCAGCAGGCTTGCTGTCGACATCATTAAGGAAATTAAACACCCACAAAAACACAAGAAGCTCCCGGCCTTTCAGCTGCGGCCCTTTCCCTTGAGGGAGGAGACAATTCCCTGTAATGGTGTGTCATTTCCTAGCCCCTGGAGAACGGCATGTGCTGTGACTCAGGCACCGGATGTGGGGGCAGGAGTGGGGTGGAGGGCGGGTACCTGATGTGGCCTGCTGGGGAGGCCTAGCCTTGATGGAGGCTGGAAAAGGGGAGGTGAGTTGGCCCTGGAGCCCCCAGCCTATTTCAGGGACTGATGCCACTGTTTGGAAATTGGGAGGTGAATGTGCTTTCTGGGGACTGCCTTTGAGAGAACGGTGTCATCAGTGAATGACACGACTTTCCACCTTTTCCCAGTTCCTGAAACTGTTTGTTGGACCTTCTCTGTCCCTATACTTCCATCTGCAGTTTAGGGGAAAAAAGGCAAAATGAGAGTGTGCTCTTAAATCATAGACCCTAAATTAGGGAGTCCTCTTGCTACAGGGCTGAGGATGAGGCCCTCCTGGTACAAGGCCATGTGGTACAGAGATTAGAAGCTGGCCCTCGGAGTCCCACTGCCTGGGTTGAAATCCCAGTACTGCTCTGGCCCTCGGAGCCTCACTGCCTGGGTTCAAATCCCAGCACTGCTCCTTGGTAGCTTTGTGATCTCAGGCAGGTGACTTAGTGGGGACTACAGGAAATGCATTTTGAACATTGCCTAGAATATCACATATAATAAAAGAAACTCTTAGCTTTCTTTCTTTTTTTTTTTTTTTGAGAGCGAGTCTTGCTCTGTCACCCAGGCTGGAGTGCAGTGGTGCGATCTTGGCTCACCACAACCTCCACCTCCCTGGTTCAAGCAATTTTCCTGCCTCAGCCTCCCAAGTAGCTGGGATTACAGGCGCACACCACCACTCCTGGCTAATTTTTTTGTATTTTTAGTAGAGATGGGGTTTCACCATGTTGGCCAGACTGGTTTTGAACTCCTGACCTCAGGCAATCTGCCTGCCTCGGCCTCCCAAAGTGCTGGGATTATGGGTGTGAGCCACCACACCTGGCCGAAACTCTTAGCTCTTCATACTCTTGGCTCAGGAAAGCTATGAGCCTGTGTTATCTTGAATTAAGATGCCCCTTAAATCAAAAGACATCCAGGAAGTGCTGAGCTCCAGGATGATTTCTGGTGGATCACAGGCTTGGGAAGGATCTCCTCATATGCTTGGTTCCTTTTTTTTTTTTTTTTGAGACAAAGTCTCGTTCTGTTGCCCAGGCTGGAGTACAATGGCATGATCTCGGCTTACTGCAACCTCCGCCTCCTGGGTTCAAGCAATTTTCCTGCCTCAGCCTCCTGAGTAGCTGGGATTATAGGTGCTCACCATCACATTCAGCTAATTTTTGTATTTTTAGTAGAGACGGGGTTTCACCATGTTGGTCAGGCTGGTCTCGAACTCCTGACCTTGTGATCTGCCCACCTTGGCCTCCCAAAGTGCTGGGATTACAGGCGTGAGCCACCGTGCCCGGCCTCATGCCTGGTTCTTAATACCCAGTAGACCTTCCCATATTGTTACAATTTCAGCAAAATGTCACAAGGAGAGGAAAATTCTGCTGCTTTCCGCTCCATGCCAAGCTGTTTTCCTGAGTCACTGCTCTGTCCTCTCCATAAGGCTGCATTCCTCCCTCACCCACGTTAACTCATTCAGAACCACTCATTTTTGGGGGATGGGTGAGAGGCAGAGGGTTGTGAGTGAGCCAGCCGGGCGGGGTCACAGGTCCTACTCCCTCAGAAAAGGCAGCAGAAAAGTCTTTCAGATCCAGGGTGAACCAGTGGTTCAGTCGACAGTGGCTGTTTGTCATTGTTCAAAGTTTATAGATGAAATGCACTGGGCAATACATCCTTGTCAGAATTAAATCATTAAAGAAGAAAAAATTGACTCAGCTTTCTGGAAAGGGTCCTTATGGAGCCTGGGTACCACGGCTACAGTCAGGTGTACACCCACCAGTCCATCATCACCAGAGGCCCAGCCCCCACTGGAGTGGGGGGCATTTAAGTAATAATGCCCCCCTGCTGTCTCATCCCTCCGAAGGATACCGAATCCAGCAGGCATTTCCTAATTCTTCTCCCTACAACCCTTCATTGAAATCTCCTGCTGTTGACTGATGTGTCTGTTGTTTGGAACCTATCAAATTTCGACCCCTTGGATACAGTCACTGAACTCTCATCAACTCCAGGGGGAATTGGTGTTTGTAACAGCAAACAGAATTGGGGTTTTTATGTTTTGCTGAAACTAGAAGGTTTGGAATACTCTCAGGTGTGGGCATGCTTGGGCTAGGACCCACCTCCCCCTACCTCTTGCTGAGCAGAACCTCAGTTTCCCCCTTTGTTTCCTGGTGGGCTTGGGTGATAGTCCCTTGCCAACTCTAAATCGCTTACAAGTATATTACTGTCTAGTGATTTTTTTTCCCACTTTCTCATTAAATTAAGTAATGTTGAAGAGGGACTTTTAACATCCTCTGGGGGCCCTGAAGTTTTTAATCATTGGAGCTGAGGACACCTTTGCAAAGGTGAAGGAAGCTATGACTCCATGTCCCTAGAAATTGCACTCCTGTATACAGTGATGGCCTGTTCAAGGGTCCCTGGAGCACTGTCTGGTCTTTAAACAAGAACTTCTAGTCTAGTCCCTTTCTCCCGGCTCTTCCCATTTTGCAGGTGAGGCCCTGAGGCCCTGAGAGGTGGAGACTTGCCTGGGGTTGTTTCCTGTTTAGCCTCATTCTCCAGCCTGACTCCCTTGCTTAGCTTCTATCCTGAGTCCTGAACCAACCCCTCAAATAATGTCTGGAAGTAGAGGCCATTGGCTCTGGCTCGCCAGTGTGGAACAGGATTGTGTAGAGTTGAGAACTCAGACCCCATCTCCTAAACACATACACATACCCTAGCGTTCCTCAAACTAGTGTACCTCCCAGTCTTCGGGAGGACTTATTAAAACAGATTGCTGGGCCCTACCCCAGAGTTTCTGATTCTGTAGATCTGGGGTGGGGCCTGATAATTTGCATTCTTTTTGTTTTGTTTTGTTTTTAAAGATGGAGTCTCTCTCTTTCGCCCAGGCTGGAGTGCAGTGGTGCAATCTTGGCTCACTGCAACCTCTGCCTCCTGGCGCCAAGTGATTCTCCCGCTTCAGCCTCCCTAGTAGTTGGGACTACTGGAGCGTACCACCACACCTGGCTGATTTTTGTATTTTTAGTAGAGACAGGATTTTACCATCTTGGCCAGTCTGGTCTCGAACTCCTGACCTCAAGCGATCTGCTAACCTCAGCCTCCCAAGGTGCTGGGATTACAGGCGTGAGCCACCGCACCTGGCCAATTTTCTTTATTTTCGTAACGTCATCCAGTCACATGATAAATAAGTACACAAGGGTATAGAGTGGAAAATAATCCTTCCCTGGACTCCCCTTCCCTGGACTCCCTGCAGGCACCCCTCCCAAGGCAACCAGTAGTCCCCAAGTCGAGCTTTGTTGTACTTTTGTGTTCATCCAGGAATATTCTAGGTTTATGCAAACATTGATGTGTATATTAAATCTTTTTTTGGGAGGAATATTGGTCCATTAATGGTGCTAGATACACTTTATTTATTATTAATTTTTTTGAGACGGAGTCTTGCTCTGTTGCCCAGGCTGGAGTGCAGTCGTGCGATCTCAGCTCACTGCAACCCCTGCCTCCTGGGCTCAATCGATTCTCCTGCCTCAGCCTCCCAAGTAGCTGGGACTATAGGCACGTGCCACCACACCCAGCTAGTTTTTTGTATTTTTAGTAGAGATGAGGTTTCACCATGTTGGCCAGTCTGGTCTCGAACTCCTGACCTCAGATGATTCGCTTGCCTCGGCCTCCCAAAGTGCTGAGATTACAGGTGTGAGCCACCGTCCCCAGCCTAATTATTATTATTATTATTTTTTTGAGATGGAGTCTCACCCCTCTGTTGCCCAGGTTGGAGTGCAGTGGTGCGATCTTGGCTCACTGCAAGCTCCGCCTCCCAGGTTCACGCCATTCTCCTGCCTCAGCCTCCCGAGTAGCTGGGACTACAGGCGCCCGCCACCACGCCCGGCTAATTTTTTGTATTTTTGGTAGAGACGGGGTTTCACCATGTTAGCCAGGATGGTCTCGATCTCCTGACTTTGTAATCCGCCCGCCTTGGCCTCCCAAAGTGCTGGGATTACAGGCGTGAGCCACTGCGCCCGGCCTCCAGCCTAATTTTTATATTTTTTGTAGATGCGGGGTTTCACCATGTTGCCCAGGTGTTTTTAGATCTTTTTAAAGAACTTAAAAATTTTTATAATTAAATTTTTTTTTTTTTTTTTCAGAGACAGTGTCTCTCCTTTTCACCCAGGCTCCGACGTGATCATAGTTCACAATACCCTCAAACTCCTGGGCTCAAGCAATCCTTCCCCCTCGGCCTCTCAAAGTGCTGGGATTACAGGTGTGAACACTGTGTCCGGCCATGTGACTGTAATGTATTCTTAGAGCAGTCCTCTGTTTGCAGACGTTTGTTTCAAGTGCTTTGGGTACAGCCCACAGTGCTGCAGTGCAGTCATCTTGCCTTTGCTCCTTTTCCACTATGTTTGTAGAATGTGTTTCTAGAGGAGATTGTTGGGTCAAAGGCCAAGTGGAGAAAAAGTTTTCAGGAACAGTGGCGAGAGTCGGGTGAGGACCCATGTGGGAGGGAGGGGAGGTTTCTCTGGGGGAATGTGCTCACCCCGGGCTGCACCTCTCTCTCTTTTTTTTTTTTTTTTTTGAGACGGAGTCTCGCTCTGTCGCCCAGACTGGAGTGCAGCGGTGTGATCTCGGCTCACAGCAACCTCTGACTCCAGGGTTCAAGTGATTATCCTGCCCCAGCCTCCCAAGTAGCTGGGATTATGGGTGTGCGCTACCATGCCTAGCTAATTTTTGTGTTTTTAGTACAAAAGTACGGGGTTTCACCATGTTGGCTAGGCTGACCTCTTTGTCTCTTTCGTGAGTTTTCCCACTAACTAGCTGCTGTGTGCCTTTGGTCCAGCGCTTTGGGCTCTCTGGGCCGCCCTTTTGATGTCTGTGGTTTGATCTCTGGACTCTCAGGTCTGTTCACCCTCAAGGTACCTGTTGTTAGCATTTAATTTCCACTCATGACTGGGTCTCCACGCAGCCCCCTGAATATTTGTTCAGGATTGTCCAGAAGCTTGCATGGTGAGGCTGGAGAGTTCCATCCTGTAGATTGGGTTTTGGGAAAGTGTTCATTGTCTTCCTTTGTGAATCTGCTGGAAGATACTTTGCCTTTTCATGAAAGTCAACCACTAGGAGGCCTTGCGTGGACCACGTTGGATGCTGTTAATCTGCTGTCAGTGACCCTCCTACAGACAGGGAGACAGATGCACCATGCAGCCTACATGCTGAGTGGTAAAACTGGGGCAGGAGCATCTTTGGTAATTGACATCTTCGCAGATTTCACATCCCATCCCACCCCATCCCCCCTATGGTCTTGGCACAGCTCACCCCTCTTGTGGTATTTGTAGCTTTCGTTCCTCAGGATGTCAGGTACACCAGGCTGTGTCATTACATCGTCCCTAAGTTAAGAAGACCACCATTGGGCATGGAGTGGATTCAAGTCCTTGGAGGTGAAGATTGAATGGATGGTAGTGGAAGTGTACCTGTGTTTATGTATTTTTATTATTATTTTTGAGACAGAGTCTCACTTTTGTCACCCAGGCTTGAGTGCAGTGGTGTGATCTCGGCTCACTACAACCTCTGCCTCCTGGGTTCAAGCGATTCTCCTGCCTCAGTCTCCCAAGTAGCTGGGATTACAGGTGTGTGCCACCACACCCAGCTAATTGTTTTTGTATTTTTAGTAGAGACGGGGTTTTACCTTATTGGCCAGGCTGGTCTTGATCTCATGACCTCCCGCCATTGTTCGTGAAAACTTTTTCTCCACTTGGCCTTTGACCCAACAATCTCCTCTAGAAACACATTCTACAAATACAGTGGAAAAGGAGCAAAGGCAAGATGACTGCATTGCAGCACTGTGGGCTGTACCCAAAGCACTTGAAACAGACGTCTGCAAACAGAGGACTGGTTTTACCATGTTGGCCCAGCTGGTCTTGATCTCGTTAACATGGTTTTACCATGTTGGCCAGGCTGGTCTTGATCTTGTGACCTCAGGTGATCCGCCTGCCTCGGCCTCCCAAGGTGCTGGGGTTTATAGGTGTGAGCCACCGTGCCTGGCTGAAGTGTACATGTGTTTAAATGAGATGCTGAAAGATGAAAAGAAGGGGTGCATGAACAAGAGTGGGGCTGGTGAGAATCCACAAGGATGTAATTTGTATTGATCTTTTTGGAGGAGGGTCTCAAACACGAGGCCCAGAGGCGGTGGGAGCACGGGAACTTCCCGGTGGGTGGGGTGTGTTCTTTCCACACAATTACAGTTCATAGCCTATTAAACACGAATAAATGATGTTGTTTTCCACAAAGGAGAATGTATGCCTTCATTTCCTTGAAGTATGGCCTTCCTGGTCTATCTTCTTTGGTTTCCTGCTTTTGCAATCAGGCATGGGCATGGACAAGTCGTATTTCTTTGGGGTAAGAACAATACTGGTCCCTGTGTGATGACTGTTGGCAGGTTGGCCTCGGTCTCATCAGCAGGGACGTAGTGGGGAAGAGTGGCGATTGCACATGTTTCCATCTAAAAGTGGGGTAGCTGTTACTCAGCTGTATCTGGTGCTATAGGGGCCTGCAGGTCCTAATCTGTTTTTTTTTTTTTTTTTTTTTCACGTCGGAGGCTTGCCCTGTCCCCCAGGCTGGAGTGCAGTGACACAATCTCGGCTCACTGAAATCTCCGCCTCCTGGGTTCAAGCAGTTCTCCTGCCTCAGCCTCCCGAGTAGCTGGGATTAAAGGCATGTGCCACCACACCAGGCTAATTTTTGTACTCTTAGTAGAGACGGTATTGGCCAGGCTGGTCTTGAACTCTTGACCTTGTGATCTGCCCACTTTGGCCTCCCAAAGTGCTGGGATTACAGGCATGAGCCACCGTGCCTGGCCCTCCTAATCTGTTTTTTTAAGAAAAGTGAAAAATCTAGGTTATTACATGAAATTTCCTGATTTTTGTATCTTGGCAACAAGTTAAGATTTTACAAAAATGTTACATAGGTCAAAGAAATACTTGTCTGACTGTTGAAGCAGACAGTGAAGAAGGGGGCACGTATATTCTGGGAGGAGGAACACTGAAGTGGCTTCGGGAGTTGGGGGACAGAATGCACTCTGTTCCCACACTTGGTTCCTCCACACCTCCTCCCTGTGGGGCCCAGGCCTCCCTGACTGCTTTAAAACCTGTGGTCCTGTATCTCTTTCAGATCCTGGCTCTGCAGAGAGAACAGCCCAGAAAAGAAAGTTCCCCAGCCCTCCACATTCTTCCAATGGCCACTCGCCGCAGGACACATCAACAAGCCCCATTAAAAAGAAAAAGAAACCTGGCTTACTGAACAGTAACAATAAGGAGCAGGTAAAGCAGCCGCTGGGAACGGTGTCCTCACTGGTGGGACAGAGGCCAGCTAGTAGCGCTGAACCTCTGGATCCTTGTAAGCGCCGGCTTTCTTGGATTTAGTTAGCTGCCTTGCGCTGGCTGTCATTTGCCTTGGACAAAAAAAGATGGCTAAAAATGGGCCTGTGTAGAAATTTCCAGTGGGTTTTCAGATCTGTTTCGGGGACAGAGCAGGGACCCAGATGAGATGAGGGTATATAATTCTTTAGGGTTTGGGGCGTTTCCTTGTATTTGTATTTTTTTTTTTTTCATGCTTTTAGGACTGTTTTCCCCATGTGGCCTGAGGAGTTTTCCCCTCCTGGGCCATGCCCACAGGACTAGTTCTCAGCTCTGTCTGGAAGCGGTTGCTTGGCTTGAGGCAAGTTCCCTTCTGGCCTCAGTTTTCTCATCTGTAAAATGAAGGGTTTAGAGGCTGGGCCTGGTGACTCATGCCTGTAACCCCAGCACTTTGGGAGGCCGAGGCAGGTCGATCACGAGGTCAAGAGATTGAGACCATCCTGGCCAACCTGGTGAAACCCCGCCTTTACTAAAAATACAAAAAAAGTTAGCTGAGCATGGTGGCATGCGCCTGTAGTCCCAGCTACTCGGGAGGCCGAGGCAGGAGAATCGCTTGAACCCGGGAGGCGGAGGTTGCAGTGAGCCGAGATCGCGCCACTGCACTCCAGCCTGGTGACAGAGCGAGACTCTATCTCAGAAAAAAAAAAAAATGAAGGGTTTAGGTTCTTTGGTAAGAGGCATTGCCAGGGGCAGGCTTAGGTAATTGGTCACAGTTCCTTTTCGTGGAAGCACAGAGGATTCTTTCCAGAGCCCACCCTCCCTTGGCAGCTAGCACCAGTCAGCTAGATAGGAAAAATCCGTTCACCGTTTGGATCTTTTCTAAGGGACATTCTAGCTTTAGAATTCTCTGGGGCAGGCTAGATACTCTTCAGATTACAAAAATGGAGAGGCACTTTAGTGGACTTACTGGTGGATTGTATCTATCCCCCTGGACTATGAGGTCGGATCTCATAGCACTGAAGGAAACAGTGTCCCGTTGGTTCTGATGCCACTTGTTCTTCAGCAGTGATTCCTAGGGATGCATTCATCCACTTTGTGCATTATTGAGTAGAGGAGTGGGCCCTGGGGATGGAAAGTTGAATTAAACGAGATTGTTGCTTTCATGGAAGGAGACCTAGCAACGGTTAAATACCCAGGCCTGTGAGAGGTGTGTGTTTCTGAGCATGAATCTATTTTCACTCTCAAAATTACATAGTGAAATGCCAGCCCTGCTTTTGCTCCGTGGCTGTGGGCAAGTTAACCTCTTTTGTGCCTAGTTTTCTCATCTACTGAAATGGGGATAATGATACTACCACAAATTTCACAGGGTTGTGAACATTGAGCTAAATGCCATAAATAGTGATATTAAAAATGAAACATAAAGTCAGTTTCTCTGCTAAGTAGAATAATCATACAATCTTTATATGAAATAAACAATTCCTGTAAAAATGCTCATGTCTGGCCAGGCGCGGTGGCTCATGCCTGTAATCCCAGCGTTTTGGGAGGCCGAGGCAAACGGATCGCCTGAGGTCAGGAGTTCGAGACCAGCCTGGCCAATGTGGCAAAAACCCTGGCCCTACTAAAAATACAAAAAATTAGCCGGGCGTGGTGGCACATGCCTGTAATCCCAGCTACTCGGGAGGCTGAGGCACGAGAATTGCTTGAACCTGGGAGGCGGAGGTTGCAGTGAGCTGAGATCATATAATTGCACTCCAGCCTGGGCGACAGAGCAAGACTCTGTCTCCAAAAAAAAAAAAAAAACCTCACGTCCAAGATGGTAGCCACAGGTCACATGTGGTTCTTCAGTACTTGAAAATGGCAAGTGACTGAGGAACTGAGTTTTTCAATTTTTTTTTTTTTTTTGAGACAGAGTCTGACTCTGTCACCCAGGCTGGGGTGCATTGGTGTGATCTCGGCTCATTGCAACCTCCACCTCTCAGGTTCAAGGGATTCTTCTGCCTCAGCCTCCCGAGTAGCTGGGATTACAGGCGCCCGCCGCTGTGCCCAGTTAATTTTTTTATTTTTAGTAGAGATGGGATTTCTCCATTTTGGCCAGGCTGGTCTCGAACTCCTGACCTTGTGATCCACCTGTCTCAGCCTCCCAAAGTGATGGGATTACAGGCGTGAGCCACCGCGCCTGGCCTTATTTATTTGAGATGGAGTTTCACTCTTGTTGCTGAGGTTGGAGTGCAATGGCGCAATCTTGGCTCTCTGCAACCTTTGCCTCCCAGGTTCAAGAGATTCTTGTGTCTCAGCCTCCACGTAGCTGGAATTACAGGCGCCTGCCACCACGCCCTGCTAAGTTTTGTATTTTTAGTACAGATGGGGTTTCACCATGCTGGCCAGGCTGGTCTTGAACTCCTGACCTCTGGCGTGAGCCACTGTGCCCAGCCTACCCTCTTTTTAAGAGATGGGGTCTTGCTATATTGCTCAAGCTGGACACTCAAGTTATCCTTCTGCCTCAGCCTCCTGAGTACCTGGGCTTTCCGGTGTCCCTTTATTTATTTATTTATTTATTTTTTGAGACGGAGTTTCTCTCTCATTGCCCAGGCTGGAGTGCAGTGGTGTAGTCTCAGCTCACTGCAACCTCTGCCTCCTGGGTTCAAGCGATTCTCCTGCTTCAGCCTCCTGAGTAGCTGGGATTACAGGCATGCACCACCACACCCGGCTAATTTTTTTTTTTTGTAGTTTTGGTAGAGACGGAGTTTCGCCATGTTGGCCAGGCTGGTCTCAAACTCCTCACCTCAGGTAATCCACCCACCTCGGCCTCCCAAAGTGCTGGTATTACAGGCATGAGCCACCGTGCCTGGCCAAGTTCCGGGGTCCCTTTTTTTATAAGGGCACTAATCCCATTCATGAGGGCAGGGCCCTGATCACCTCTCAGGGCCCCACTTCTCTAATGCCATCACCTTGGGGTTAGAACATCAACATAGAAATTTGGGAGGTACACAAGCATTCAGACCATAGCACTCAGCAAAATCTAGCAACCAGCTGGAGCTGAGTCAAGCCTGCCCCTTTAGACACAGGCCTGTGCTTGCTTGTTTGCCACACTGCCCACCATTCCCTGTTGTCTCATACTCAGCCTGCTCTGCTCATTTCATCCACCTCTGAATTTCTTTCCATGTCCATGTTCTTTTGACTTTGGCATATGTGAAGATTCTCCACTGTCGTCTTCTTTTTCTTCACTTTAGTTTCTCTTCTTTGTTCCATTGTTCCAGAAAGAAAGCTATTCTCACCTCATAAAGAGCAAATAGGCTGGGCTCAGGACTGTAATCCCAGCTACTTGGGAGGTTGAGGCAAGAGACTCTCTTGAACCCGGGAGGCAGCGGTTGCAGTGAGCTGAGATCGTGTCACCACACTGCAGCCTGAGCGACAGAGTGAGACTCTGTCTCAAAAAAAAAAAAAAAGGCAAATAATCCATATATTTCCATTTTTGGTAGAGATGTTTTATTACCATGTGAAAATATGGGATGAGTTTTAAGTTTGGTCCCTATTCCACCCATTTATCATATATTAGGAATTCATTTTAGGGAAGTTTATTTTTATTTGTATTTTTATTTTTTGAGACAGGGTCTCACTCTGCTGCCCAGGCTGGAGTGCAGTGACATGATCACAGCTTACTGCAACCTCAACCTCCCCGGCTCTGCAGGCTCGACCTCCCCGGCTCAAGCAATTCTCTTCCCTCAGCCTCCCAAGTAGCTGGGACTATCGGCACATGTCAGCACACCCGGCTAGTTTTTTTTATTTTGTTATAGAGATGGGGGTCTCACTTTCTTTCTTGCCCTGGTTGGTCTCGAACTCCTGGGCTGAAGTGATTCTCCTGCTTCAACCTCCCAAAGTGTTGGGATTACAGGCATGAACCACTGCGCCGAGCCAAAAGTTTAAAGAGCTTTAAAACACATTTTATTTTCAGGGTTTAAAAGCATCCTAAGGTTTACCATGCATTTTTAAAAGACCTTTGGTCCAGTGTTTTCACCCCTTAGGAAGGTTTGAGAATGCCTGGGAAGATGCTCTCGGCGTTTTGTGGAGGAGGGTCAGGTTGCTAAATGGATGTCCTGTAGTATATGGGGCAAGAAATGCCTTGCCCCAAATGACGTCAGGGTCTTTACAGATAAATACCACTCTGCTCTTTAGTTCTGACACATTTGAGTTCAAACATCCTGTTGGGAGGTGTTTTGGTTTTTTTCCCTTGCATTAAAGGATTGAGAAATAACGTGCCAGCAGATTTGTACAGAATGGCCTTAGGTGCATCTTTGATCAAATATAGCAAAGAAATGATGGGGCCCCTCTTCACCTTCTCTGAGGACAGGGTGTCTGCATATCATGAATGAGTGGCTAGTACTTATTTTCTTGGGCCCACATGTTGCCCTAAAAACTGGGACACTTGAAGTCTTTTTTTGCTTGCTTTTTTTTTTTTTTGAAAGAAACAAGGCTTTGCAGGCCCAGGCCTGGTGGCTCATGCCTGTAATCCTAGCACTTTGGGAGGCTAAGGTGGGCAGATCACCTGAGGCCAGGAGTTCGAGACCAACCTGGGCAACATGGTGAAACCTCATCTCTACTAAAAATAGAAAAATTAGCCAGGCATGGTGGTGCGCACCTGTAATCCCAGCTGCTCGGGAGGCTGAGACATGAGAATCGCTTCAACCTCGGAGGTTGTAGTGAACCAATATCGCACCACTGCACTCCAGCCTGGGTGACAGAGCGAGACTCTGTCTCAGAAAAAAGAAAAAAAAAAAAGAGGCAGGGCTTTGCTCTGTTGTCCAGGCTGGAGTACAGTGGTGTCATTGTGGCTTACTACAGCCTTGACCTCCTGGGCTCAAGTGATCCTCCCACCTCAGCCTCCCAAGTAGCTGGGTCTACAGCTGTTCCCCAACATGCCTGGCTAATTTTTTTTTTTTAACTTTTTGTAGAGATAGGGTCTTGCTGCCCAGGCTGGTCGCGGACTCCTGGGCTCAAGCTGTTCTCCCACCTCATTCTCCCAAATTGGTGGGATTAGAGGTGTGAACCACTGCACTAGGCCCACAGAAGTCTTTTGTTGGGCTGAGACAGTGTATTAACAGTTGAGATAGTTCAGGGGAGTGCAGGGATTGCCAGTTTCTCCCCAAGGTCAGGCAACACTAGGAGTTTGTGTCTGCCCAACTCCTTGGATCACTGGAGCTGAGTGGGGGCTGCCTCTGTAAGATGGGTCTGAGCTCTGCCCAGCCCTGCTGTCTCCCCCACTGCGAGGTTGAATGCCAGTGCATCCTCACACTCCAGGGCTAGGTGGTTCTTTCTTACATACTTCACAGTATTCATGCTTTTACCAGATGTAGGAGAATGATAGCTGAAGCTATGGTTTTTTTCACTCAGGTATGGTCCCTGTGTGGCCTCTGTAGGAACTGGAGTCTATGGTCCTCATCGTCCACACATGGACCTTGTGTTTACACACAGCCAGAGCACCCATACTCTGGTTTATGTAGACCAGGTGTCTGCAACTACAGCCTGTGGGCTAGATGCTGCCTGAAGCCTGTGTTTATAGAGTTTTATTGGCACACAGCTACAGTCATTCATTTATGTACTGTCTGTGTGTGCTTTTGCCCTACAGTGGCCAAATTGAGTATTTGCGATAGAGGCCTTATGGCCTGCAAAGCCTCAAGTATTTACTATCCTTATAGAAGCCTTTATAGGAAAAGTTTGCCGGTTCCTGGTATCATTGAAGGTATTCCAGAAGCAAATAGACAGGGCCTTTTCTACTTTCTTGTTAGCCAGCCTATGGAAGCAGGGAAATAAGAACATTTTCTCTTCTGCAGTATCCCTTAATAACCTGCAAATATTCCATGATAACACAGGTTGCAACCTGTTTCCCTAGTTATCAAACTGGTAACACACATTATACATGTAGGGGAGAAAAATCATATCTCAGAAATGATTTGCTTTCCCTTTTTAAAATGTTCCATATTTGTTATCAGATTATTTTTATGGAACAGGAAACACTTACAAGCAGCAGATAAGGAAAATATCTGATTGATAAGGAGATTAACCAGGCATCTAGCTCTCAGCAACTGCTGCTGTTTCAGGAAAGGAGAAAATCTTCTGAAAAGAGTACAGAGCAGCCAGGCAGTCCTCGGGATCCTCCTAGGGGCAGCCAGCCCCAGCCAGGAGGTGGTGGGGTTGGGAGGGGAGCACCAGGAGAAACTTAATTTTGGAGGATCAGTACCTCGGCTACTATCAGACAGAGAGGATTTGAGTTGCTGGTTAGGGAGATGTACAGTCATATTTGATTCTTCCAGCTTCTTTTTTTTTTTTGAGACAGAGTCTTGCTCTGTTACACAGGCTGGAGTGCAGTGGTGTGATCTTGGCTCACCGCAACCTCCACCTCCCGGGTTCAAGCACTTCTTCCTGCCTCAACCTCCTGAGTAGCTGGACAGGCGCCCACCTATAGTTTTAGTAGAGACGGGGTTTCGCCATGTTGGCCAGGCTGGTCTTGAACTCCTGACCTGAGGTGATCCACCTGCCTTGGCCTCCCAAAGTGCTGGGATTACAGGCGTGAGCCACTGTGCCCAGCTGATTCTTCTAGCTTCTTAACAACTCTTCCTATTGTATTATTAACTTACTGAAAAGAAGTCAGATACTGAAAATACGGCTGACTGTTATCTTTCAAAAACCACAGTAGCATCCTAGAAGACCTCACTCGGGGTAGAAATAGTTCTGAAAAAAAAGAAAAAGAAGGGAAATAGTTCTGCTTGCTTGGTATGTATAGCTTATCTTTCAACAGGAGTTCCCCGCCCTCTCTTCCCCTTCCTGCTGCTCCTCACCCATCTCCTCTTTAGCACCCCCATACCCCTACAATAAATTCGAAGCAACCATTTTCCTAGGCAGAGAGCAGACCCTCTACATTAGTGGTTCTCAGCTAGGGACAGTTTTGACCTCCAAGGGACGTTGGGCAAAGTCTGGAGACGTTTTTGGTTGTCCTAATTACGTGTGTGAGGGTGTTAGAGTATTACTGGAATCTAGCCAGGTATGCTTCTACCTGCCCTGCAATGCACAGGACGTCTCCCACAACAAATACTTTTCTGGCCCCCAGTGTCACCAGTACCAAGATTGAGAGCCTGTGCCCTGGATGCTGTCCCCTTCTGTCAGGTTTTTAGTAGTCATCTTATTTTTCAGATGTTTTTTCCCCTCTAGCTTTGTGCACTAATCTGAACTTAGTTTGCATTGCAGATAATGTTCTCTGAGGGGGTCTCTAAGTCAACACACACTCTCCTGGATTCAACGTTGTCTTATGAGGGCTATAGGGAAGAGAGAGTGTGCTGGGAGACCCAGGTTTGAGTCTTTGCTCTGGGCTCCAAGGTCAGATAAATATCTTTAACCAAGTAACCAAGTTTTTCTACACATCAAGTAAGACTAGTATGGGTTGAGTATTCCTTATTCATCTTGGGACCAGAAGTGTTTTTTTTTATTTTTTAATTTGGAATATTTGCATATACATAGTGAGATATCTCGGGGATGGGACCCAAGCCTAAACACATAGATATATATTTTTTTGAGATGATGTCTCGCTCTTTCGCTCAGGCTGGAGTGCAGTGGTGTAATCTTGGCTCACTGCAACCTGAGTTGAAGCGATTCTCCTGCCTCAGCCTCCTGAGTAGCAGGCATGTGCCACCATGCCCAGCTAATTTTTATATTTTTTGTAGAGATGGAGTTTCACCATGTTGCCTAGGCTGGTCTGGAACTCCTGATCTCAGGTGATCCACCCACCTCGGCCTCCCAAAGTGCTGACATTACAGGCGTGCCACCACGCCTGGCCTAAACATAAAATTCATTTATGTTTCATACATACTGTATTAGTTTGTTTGTTCTCATGCTGCTAATGAAGACATACCCGAGACTGGGTAATGTATAAAGGAAAGCAGTTTAATTGACTCACAGTTCAGCATGGCTGGGGAGGCCTCAGGAAACTTACAATCAAGGTGGGGAGGGGAAGCAAACACGTCCTTCACATGGCTGCTTCGAGGAGAAGTGCAGAGCAAAGAGGAGGAAAAGCTCCTTATAAAACCATCAGATCTTGTGAGAACTTACTATCACCAGAACATCATGGAGGTAACTACTTCCATGATTCAATTACCTCCCACTGGGTCCCTCCCATGACACATGGGGATTATGGGAATTACAATTCAAGATGAGATTTGGGTGGGGACACAGCCAAACCATATCACATACCTTATACACATAGCCTGAAGGTAATTTTATACAATATTTTAAATAATATATGTGACTCATCACAAGAGATCACTTGTGGCTTCATGTTAGTGCTCAAAAACTTAAGGATTTTGGAGCATTTTTGATTTCTGATTTTCTCATTAGGGAGTGCTCTTAGTACCTTTCTGGGTGGTTGTCAGGATAAAATGAAGATGGTGTGTGCAATGGCATGCTGAAAATGTAACATGAAAAAAATATTGTAGCAGTGATATTCCCTGGAAACCAAGTAGAGCTCTATCTTAAAAGTTGGTCTGACACAGGGAAATAACTGGGCTAAAGAATTATGCAGCTGGGAGCAGTGGCCAACACCTGTAATCCCAGCACTTTGGGAGGCAGAGACGGACAGATCACCTGAGGTCAGGAGTTCGAGACCATCCTGGCCAACATGGTGAAATCCTGTCTCTACTAAAAATACAAAAAATTACCTGGGCGTGGTGGTGGGTGCCTGTTATCCCAGTTACTCAGGAGGCTGAGGCAGGAGAATCGCTTGAACCTGGGAGGCAGAGGTTGCAGTGAGCCGAGATCACGCCATTGCACTCTATCCTGGGCAACAAGAGCGGAACACCATCTCAAAAAAAAAAAAAAAAGAATTATGCAATCACATTTATAAGTATTAGCTACTTACTTTGCAGAAATGAGAATAGAGAGGCTTAGAAACATTGGTTTACAAAGGTCTACTAAGCAAGCATCTACAAGGCTCTTCATCAAGGATTGTGGAAATACCAGGCATTTGGGAACAGTAAAACCTCTTAATACCAGCCTGGGTAACATGGTGAAACCCTGTCTCTACAAAAAAAACAAAACAAAACACACACACACACACACACACACACACACACACACACACACACACACACAAAATTAGTTGTGCATGGTGGCGCTCACCTGTAGTCCCAGCTACTTGGGAGGCTGAGGCTGGAGGATTGCTGGAGCCTCAGAGGTGGAGGTTGCAGTGAGGTGAGATCTTGCCACTGTACTCCAGCCTGGGCGACAGAGCAAGACCCTGTCTCAAATACTAAACAAAACCTCATAATAAAAGCTGGGAACAAGATATGGGTGCCTGCCTTCTTGGCAACTCTTGCACATTATTTTGGAGGTCCTAGCCATTAAAAAGAAAAGTCGTGTTAAAGTATATGATAGGAAAAGACAAAACTGATGTTACTTAGAGTAATATGATTTTCAGTCAATAAACTATTGGAACTGTCTATATATGAGGTCTGTATTAGAAATCTGACAGCATTTCTGTCTATCAATGATAACCGTTTAGTAAATCCCCATTCGTAGTATCATCAAAAAGTATGCAGGATCTCACCAACGTAGAAGATATTTGTGGAGGAAACCATCATGTTTTACTGAAGGACAGAAAAGAAACATGTTATACAGTGAGATTTATTCGAGGGTAGGGAATATGGTTGTGGCTAAACTATTCTCTGTGGTTTTATTGCCAGGGAATTGAGGCTCAAAGTGGGTTGAGTCACTTTCTTAAGGTCACATAGCTAGTTACCAGGTCTTTTTGAATCTTCCCACAGGACTTACATGTGTACTTCCTAAATAGGATTTCGTATTTGTTTCTGATAGACATTTTCATTATGAGTTTCTCCTGAGTGAGTTTTTGTGTTCAAGTGTGGCTTTGCTGGATTCCATAATATACCATAATATTCCATAATATACCAGGAAGAGGTCGACCTCCCATGAGTTGGCCACCCATCTCATCTTTCTGCCATTGCTGATGTCAAATAAGAGATATGTCTCCCTAGCAAAAACAAGGACCTACCATGCTCAAGAATTATGGCTTTAGGAAGCCTCTTGTTGGCTCATAAATGCTTTATGTATTGGGGGTAAACTTAAAAATTAGATAACTGGCCGGGTGCAGTGGCTCACGCCTGTAATCCCAGCACTTTGGGAGGCCGAGGTGGGCAGATCACGAGGTCAGGAGATTGAGACCAGCCTGGCTAACATGGTGAAACCCCATCTCTACTAAAAATACGAAAATTAGCCGGGCATGGTGGCACACGCCTGTAGTCCCAGCTACTCAGGAGGCTGAGGCAGGAGAATGGCTTGAACCCGGGAGGCAGAGGTTGCAGTGGAGCCAAGATTGTGCCACTGCACTCTAGCCTGGGCAACAGAGCGAGACTCCGTCTCTGAAAAAAAAGAAAAAGAAAAAGAAAAAAAAAATTAGGTAACCATTTTTTGGTGACTGAAACCCTATTGATCTATTCTCTAAATGTCTGCCATTTGAAGAATCCCAGGGCAAACTACTATGCTTTTATTGGCTTTGTAAATTGGGACTTCCATAAGTTGGGCTTCCAACCACATTAGCATTGTTAGTATGGTGGCATTTTGATAAACAGGCATACATTATATCACCCCATTTAATAGCAACACAGTACCATGAAGTGTTAGGCATTATCATCTCCATTTTACAGATGAGAAAATTGAAGCTGAGAGGTTAAGAGACTTGTCCAAGGTCATGCACCTGGTTAATGGTAGAGTTAAAATCTGAACCTAGGTAGATGTGGGTTATAGGCAATGTGCCATTCTGCTAGGGCTGCCTTGTAACTCTTAGATACCAGCTTTTAATCGTGGCCTCTTAAAATAGAAAAAAGAAAAATCCTCATAATTTTAACAACTTGCTAATTATATATTTAGTAGAGTAACCTAAGATAGTTTGGCTTTTTAATGAATTTGTGAAATGCTGTTATTTTCTTTTGTTGTTATTGATGTACTTGTTCAAATTCCTTTTGAGAATGCACATTTGTTTTGAAACCAAACCTGTCTTTTTGCCTACATTTCAGTCAGAACTAAGACATGGTCCGTTTTACTATATGAAGCAGCCACTCACCACAGACCCTGTTGATGTTGTACCGCAGGATGGACGGAATGATTTCTACTGCTGGGTTTGTCACCGGGAAGGCCAAGTCCTTTGCTGTGAGCTCTGTCCCCGGGTTTATCACGCTAAGTGTCTGAGACTGACATCGGAACCAGAGGGGGACTGGTTTTGTCCTGAATGTGAGGTTAGTTCCTGATGAATGAATGCATTACCTGCCTCGTTTCCTCTCCTTTCTCTTTCTTCCTTTTATTTTTAAATTTACAAATAATCCAGATAGATGGAAAAGAGAAATTTCTTGCTTTCCACCTGTTCTATCCTGGTCACCCCCTTCTTGACCAACACCGGCAGTGGCTGCAGTACTGCAGCTCTTGGAAAGACAATTGCACGGAATATTATTTCTGATTTCTCATGAGTCCTTGGATTCCTTGGAGATCTGTAGTCGTCATCTCTGCATCTTCTATGATGAACTTTTTGAAAGTTAACTCCCAAATCATGAACGGCTCACACATTTTGAAAAGATCTCATTCTGTTTTCTCCGTCTTGGATGTTGTTGCCTGCCGCATCATTGAATCATCAGCAGTAGCCAAGCTGAGAAGACCACGTTTGGTTGCATGTTCCCTGTAGTGGCCGTCTGGTGCTTTCTTTTGTGCAACAAGTATTTCTTGAGTGCCTATTAGGTGCTGGGAATTC
Organism: Homo sapiens; assembly: GCF_000001405.40. Classification (NCBI taxonomy): domain Eukaryota; kingdom Metazoa; phylum Chordata; class Mammalia; order Primates; family Hominidae; genus Homo; species Homo sapiens. Next base: position 47,298,222 of record NC_000020.11, on the reverse strand, counting down.
GACAGTGCACAAAAACAGGCATGGATCATTTTTTTTTTTCCAGCAGAAAAGGACAAAAACCAAAATAAATAAAGTTCCATATAATGAATTAAAAGAAAAGTGCTGTGAAGAAAACAAATTCAGGATGGGAATAGGAGGTCCAAGGGAGTGCAAGGTGTTTTCATTTTGAATGTGGTGGTCTGGGAAAGCCTCACTAAAATTTGAGAAAGACTTGATGAAAGAGAGGAGTGAGCCATGCAGCCATTTGGGGGACAACTTCCAGGCAGACGGCCGGAGGCAGCAGTGCATGGGCGTAGTCGGGGCAGTGTGTATGCCTCCTGTGTAGCAAACCCCAGGCACCCTTTATTAAGCCAACTATTAGGGTTTCCACTGTTTGGAGGTGGCTCCTGTTCTTGGAGACCCCCAACTCTGATGTTTTTTTGGAATTGCTGAAAATAAAAATGTCATCTCCACAATTATTTAATGTGGAATGTCTCTTGGATTCAAAGATACATTGGAGGCTGAGCGTGGTGGCTCATGATTGTAATCCCAGCACTTTGGGAGGCCGAGGCAGGAGAATTGCTTGATCCCAGGAGTTCAAGACCTGTCTGGGCAACATAGGGAGACCCCCATCTCCACAGAAAGTTTAAAGAAATTAGCTGGGCATGGTGGTATGTGCCTGTAGTCCCAGCTACTTGGGAGGGTGAGCTTGGAGGATCACTTGAGCCGAGATGGTTGAGGCTGCAGTGAGCTGTAATCATGCCACTGTATTCTATCCTGGGAAATAAAGCAAGATCATGTCTCAAAAAAAGAAAAAAAAAAGGTACATTGGAGTTTGATCTCAAATGTGGAAGCTTTCTATGTGTGAAATGGAAAGATCATCCAGATGTCTTTAGTAGGGAAAAAAGCCAGCTATAGGACAGTGTCTGTCATACTTTTGTGTAGGGAGAGGAGAAAAATAAGAAATACATAAAAAGAAAGTAGACATGAAATCAATATGATGACGATGATATTGTAATGGTGTCCTCTCTAAAATGGCAAAAGGCGGCTGCCGTTCTCTTTGGGTTACTCTAGATGGAGAAATATGTAGGGTTTGCATTGTACAGCGGCGCCCTCCTCTGCACGCAGAGGCTGACCTCATTCTACTACATTTGTCATGGGATCTGGAACCTTCACCAATTTTCTTTAGTCTTGGCCAACTTTTCCCAATTGTTTAATGATATTACAAAGATGACAGCAGCTCTGATAGGATGCTTTTGCTGCAAATAATAGTTCTTTTATTTTTATTTGAGACATGGTCTTGTTCTGTTGCCCAGGCTGGAGTGCAGTAACGAGATCTTGCTCACTGCAGCCCTGACCACCTGGGCTCAAGCGATCCTCCCACCTGAGCCTCCTGAGTACCTGGGACCACAGGTACACACCACCACACCTAGCTACTTACTAAGTTTTTTGTAGAGACAGGGTCTTGCTATGTTACCTAGGCTGGTCTTGAACTCCTAGGCTCAAGCGATCCTCCCACCTTGACCTCCCAAATTGTTGGGATTATAGGTGTGAGCCACTGTGCCCGGCCAACAAAATATAGTTGTTAATGCAAGCACTAGTTCCTGATAGAAGGGGGCTGAAACAATGTGGATTTATTATCATCAGAACCTAGAGGCAGGGCCAGGCCAGAGTTTATTCAGAGCCAGACTCTTTCCATCTCATTGTTGAGGTGACATGTTCTCCATGGCCATAAGTTGACTGCTAGGGTTCAGGTATTATGTGTGGATAGACAAAAATTCTCCCAAAAGGAGGATGTCTCTCCTTGCATCTCTTTTTATCAAGCAGAAAGATTTTGTCCATCATCCCCCAGCTGATTTGCCCCTGGGCTCATTGGTCAGTATTGCATCACCAGTCCTTGTACAAAAAAGCCTTGAAAATTGCATATGTGGTGCTTTTTGTGTTGTGGGAACCAGGCACTGCCAGCCAGGAAGAAGGAGTGGGGGGTGAGAGGGAATGAATGATAGTTGGGCAGGCAGCCCAAGTGTTTGCCATGGATAAGTTACCTGGAAACAAACCAGAATCAAACAAACAGGTGCTCTGTGTCTAAGATTCGGGGCTCTGAATTTCTTCCAGGGATGAGTTGTTACGGCAGTCAACTGGGAAGACTGAACGTTGCAAGGCTGTGGTAGCTAAGCAAATAGATGCATGCGTCATGCACTGTTTTCAGCTTCTGAGTGACTCTTGTGTTGGCCTTTTCCTCGACAACCAACGAGACACATCTGAGAGTTCCTTTTGGAGGCCCCAGAGATGTGAAAAATGGAAACAGAATCCAAATTAATTGGAGAAAACTTTTCTCAGCTCTCCCTACACAGATGGTTAAAGAGTGTTTCCTGACATGATCAGAATTTGCTATTTTTGTTGTTGCTGCTACATAAGGATTCTGAAGCCTTAAGATGTAGTACCAGATTTACATAGCAGAATCTGGTTTCAGACGTTCCTTTGGGTCTCTTCTTTGATGGGAATTTCCCTTAGGAGCTGATATCTATTACCCATGGAGATAGACAGTTAGGTTAGGTTGTGCTCCTTGTGTACTTTGACACAGTGCCTTAGGTGGGTTCAAAGTAAGGGAGATGGACAATGAAGTCATACGTATTATTAGTCCACTGCTTTCCCTTGTAATCTTTCTGCAGGGAAGTCTGTCCCTTTCCATCAGTGATGTCATTGAATTAATGCCTTGTCAGTTTCCTGAATGACAGCCCAGAACCTTAAGAGGATCAGGATAAATGGTTGATAAGTACCCATCCTGTGAAGTAATCACCCTGAAATCATCCGTGGCCTTTACTTTCTTTTTTTATACATACATATTTTTGAGACAGGGTCTCGCTCTGTCACCCAGGCTAGAGTGCAGTGGCACAATCATGGTTCACTGCAGCCTCCGCCTCCCAGGCTCAACCCATCCTCCCACCTCAGCCTACCAAGTAGCTGGGACTACGGATGCGTGCCACCATGCCTGGCTAGTTTTTGTATTTTTTTGTAGAGATGGAGTTTCATCATGTTGCCAGGCTGGTCTCCAACACTGGGGCTCAAGCAATCTACCCACCTCAGCCTCCCCAAGTGCTGGGATTACAGGCGTGAGCCACCACGCCCACCTGGCCTTTGCTTTCATATCCCATTCTTGAAACCTAAAGGTTATAATAATGATGATTTTTCAGGCCCCTGTTTAGCCACATCTTTTCTCAGATCATGTCGTCTTCCTGAGCTAAAAATGCTTCCTGATAAGGAAATAGATTGATACGCTTTTTAATAGTTACCCACTGATCTGGTACATTTTGTTCCAGGAGTCTTTGCTAAGTGAAACAACAAGTCTCATTGGGATGAGAATTGCTTTTTGTCTGTCAGTTGACTGAAAAAATAGAAATCAGTACATGGATGGTAATTTCTTTTTTCTAACCGGACGTTTATGTATGACTTTGACTTTGTAGAAAATTACAGTAGCAGAATGCATCGAGACCCAGAGTAAAGCCATGACAATGCTCACCATTGAACAGTTATCCTACCTGCTCAAGTTTGCCATTCAGAAAATGAAACAGCCAGGGGTAAGAAGAAAGTTCCTCTTGGTATACGCGTAAATGAACGTAATGACATATGTTTTGTTCTGTTAATAGCTTAGCTTTTTAGGTACCTGATGTATTCTTTGGGCCTCCTTGCATCCCCAAATTCAAGTATGTGTAAATCACACATGAGGTATGATGCCATTCAGTTAATTCTCTGTCGTAGTAAGCACTGTATGTCCCAGAGGAGTTTAATTGGTACATTAGTCTGTTTTCACACTATTGTAAAGATATTACCTGAGACTGAGTAATTTATGAAGAAAAGAGGTTTTTTTTTTTGTTTGTTTGTTTGTTTTTCTGAGATGGAGACTTGCTCTGTCACCCAGGCTGGAGTGCAGTGGTGTGATGTTGGCTCACTGCAACCTCTGCCTCCCAGGTTCAAGTGATTCTCGTGCCTCTGCCTCCCCAGTAGCTGGGATTACAGGCTCCCGCCACCGCACTGGCTATTTTTTTTTTTGTATTTTTAGTAGAGATGGGGTTTCACCATGTTGGCCAGGCTGGTCTCAAACTCCTGACCTCAAGTGATCCTCCAGCCTCGGCCTCCCAATATGGTGGGATTACAGGCATGAGCCACTGTGGCTCGCCAGAAAAGAGGTTTAATTGACTCACAGTTCTGCATGGCTAGGGAGCCCTCAGGAAACTTAAAATGATGGTGGAAGGCGAAGGGGAAGCAAGGCACGTTTTACATGGCAGCAGGAGAAGGGGGGTGGGAAGTGCCAAACACTTTTAAACCACAAGATCTTGTGAGAACTCACTCACTATCACGAGAACAGGATGGGGGAAACCACCCCCATAATCCAGTCACCTCCCACCAGGTTCCTCCCTTGACATGTAGGGATTAAAATTTGAGATGAGGTTGGGTGGGGACACAGAGCCAAACCATATCAATTGGGCAATGACATAGTAAAACGTTGAGGGGGATTGAAAATTCTGACTGGTTGCAAAGTGAAACCTCCTATAACACCCAGCAAGGGGAGCTTTGTGCTCCTTCCCATGGGAGTTAGGAAAATCCATTTCAATGAGGAAGCTGAGCACAACACAGTTTATTTATGTCCCAGATCTGATGATGGAACCTTCAAGGAAAACTCAACCAGTGACTTTTCTGTAGAGGGTGAGAATTTGGTTAGTTCCTTCAGTTTTGAGATGAGATTTGATATACAGCCTTTGCCCCTTGAGGAAAATCTGCATGTGGGGGAAGGGTTGGCCAGTTGTGTACCTCACAGTGGTGCCTCACCTGTGAGTCCCAGGTCAAACCATGGCCACTGTGGTTTGTATATTTATCACAATACTTTTCAGGAAAATGGCAGAAAAATAACTTGTTTTTGAAGATAGTATTATTTTGACAATATAATAAGCATATTATGACATTTTTTCTATAGATGAATATTTTCCTTTCCTCCCTCCCTCTGTCCTTCCCTCCCTCCCTCCCTCCCTGCCTGCCTGCCTGCCTGCCTGCCTGCCTGCCTCCCTCCCTCCCTCCCTCCCTCCCTCCCTCCCTCCCTTCCTTCCTTCCTTCCTTCCTTCCTTCCTTCCTTCCTTCTTTCCTCGTCCCTCCCTCCCTCCCTACCTCCCTCCCTTCCTTCCTTTCTTTTTTTGGAGGCAGACTGTTGCTTTGTTGCCCAGGCTGGAGCGCAGTCATAGCTTACTGCAGCATCAACCTCCTGGGCTCAGGCGATCCTCCCACCTCAGCCTCTCAAGTAGCTGGAACTATAGATGCACACACCGCCACACCCAGCTAACTTTTTTATTATTATTATTTTTTGTAATGACAGGGTCTCGCTATGTTGCCCAGGCTGGTCTTGAACTTCTGGCCTTAAATGATCCTCCTGCCTCAGCCTTCCAAAGTGCTGGGATCACAGGCATGAGTCACGGCGCCTGGCCCCTACAGATGAAGAGAAACTTGCGGACATGATGCCCCCTACCTGATTTGCACAAAGGCACCATAGGGGCTAGTGGTGACCCTTTGTACAACTCCTGAGAGTACTGTACAGAAATGTAGATTCTTGGGGCTAATCACTGTGGTTTTATATCTTTAAAAAAAAAAGAAGCTTTTGCTTTGAGATTATATTCTGAAATTTTGAAGAGATGATAAAAAAAATTTAGAGCATGCTGATTGGATATCCTTCAATTGAGAACCTTTAACAAATTGGACTCTTTTAAACAAAATCTCAATCAGTGGAAGCAAAAGGTGTAGCCTTAGTTTGGTTTGCACAATTTTTTTGTTTTTTTTTTGCTATGGTATAATTTTTATGTTGAGTGTGGCAAGGAATTACCTTCGATTTTCATAGGCTAAATTATATGTGCTAATGACTATTAACAAAAAGAATGAGTCATGTAGATTTGTCAGCCCCATAGAATTAAAAACCAAGAAGAAAAATTGAAGAGGGCGTTAATTTCTCAAGTAAATCGTTGAACGTCAAATCAGTCAGGGGAGAAAGTGCTGATTTTGTTAAAGCATCTTTTTAACTTACAGTGCGTATTGTAATTGTCAATCTTAATGTAAGAGGACAGGATCTGTTTCTTGAGTGTGTATTGAAAACCAAGAATAAAATTGGATCACAATTGGGCTTATAATTATCAATAACCAGGCAGAATTAGAAGGTAGACCAATTTGGAGCTCCCCACGGTCATCCTTTATGGAAAACTTTAGAACTATATTGTCTGAAAAGTTGTCTCAATTTTTCAAGCCTTTTGTTAGCATTAATGCTTGGTTTTCCATAGTAATGATGGGTTCGTTCCTCTGCATATCTTCTCTTTTATAGACAGATGCATTCCAGAAGCCCGTTCCATTGGAACAGCACCCTGACTATGCGGAATACATCTTCCATCCAATGGACCTTTGTACATTGGAAAAGGTTGGCCTCCGTCAAAGAACCTCACCATTCTAGCCCACAGTTGAGATGCCTAAGGCTCTTCCCTCACTGCCTATGCTCTATCACAAGTTGGACATAACAATCTTAAATTGTTTCTCTATATTTTCATTGCTCCTTTATTTGGATAGAAGAACTCTTGATTCTCTAACGTCTTTCCTTTGTAACATTCTTCCAAGATTGCAGTGGAATGTTGAAATTCTTTGGTAATACTTTTGCGATGATTCTAGCTTTTTACCTGCAAAAGCCATAGCTTCTAAGAGTTAGTGATTTGATTGACTTGAGCGTTACCTCCTCTTTCTTTCGGAGGTGCTAATGAGAGCAGCAGGAAGGAAGAAGAGAAAATTAAGTGTCTGGGAAGCCTCCAGATTAGCAATAAAGATGTGGCTTCTTAGAATTTGACTTACTCTACTGATTAGGTTTTTTCTTGAATGCCTGAAGGTTTTAAAAGTTCATGCTAAAATTCCACGCTGAAAATTACACTTGGAACACTGTAGATTGTGCACATTATTCTGATGCTGATTTTCCAACTATTTGCAGCAAAATATGGGCAGTGAAATGCATCCACGAGGAAGAAACATTACTTCATATTGTCTTCCCCAATAACTCCCAAACCATAAATCCAGTCTGTTTTTAGGAAATTGCACATACCTTCATGGTGTGGTGGAAAAAAGGAGGCATTCAAAAGAGATGGAGTTGGAAACCTGACTTTATATTAATTAAGTTAAGAGCTGTGGAACTTTAGATACATTCCTTAACATTACTGTATCTCAGTTTGCCTTTCTGTAAAATGGGTATGATAATAAGTACTTCATTAAATTATTGTGAGGTTTGTGTGAGACCATATGACTAATAATAAATAATGTATAAATATATGAAATACCCTGTTTGGCCGGGCGCGGTGGCTCAAGCCTGTAATCCCAGCAGTTTGGGAGGCTGAGGCGGGCGGATCATCTGAGGTCAGGAGTTCGAGACCAGCCTGACCAACATGGAGAAACCCCGTCTCTACTAAAAATACAAAATGAGCTGGGCATGGTAGCACACGCCTGTAATTCCAGCTATTCAGGAGGCTGAGGCAGGGGAATTGCTTGAACCCGGGAGGTGGAGGTTGCAGTGAGCCGAGATCACGCCATTGCACTCCAACCTGGGCAATAAGAGCAAAACTCCACCTCCAAAAAAAAAAAAAAAAAAAAAAAACTAAATAAATAAACTATCCTGTTTATTGGAAGAAGCTACATGATAAATGACAGCTACTATAAGATGAGAAAATTCCAGTTATTGTGTTAAATTCAAAGAGTGCATTTTTATAGGGTTATAGATCTCAAAAATAAAAGCATTCTTTAGTCGGGGTGTTGTAGGTTAAAAAGAAGCATCTTGGGAAATGAATAGAAGAACACTAATTGATTTGGCAAATGACTGCTACAAAAATTATGTGGGGACACAAGAGTCACTGACTGTGGCTTGTCTAGACTCACTGTGATTATGCTCCATCGCTTTTCTTCCCAGAATGCGAAAAAGAAAATGTATGGCTGCACAGAAGCCTTCCTGGCTGATGCAAAGTGGATTTTGCACAACTGCATCATTTATAATGGGGGTGAGTGGCTTAGATGACTCCTAAGAAAGAGTATGCTGTGTATGTGTTGCACAAATTCCTGTCCTTCATGAAAAATCAGGCTCTTAATTCATATTGAGAATACTTGCGTATAGATTGTGCTAATATATGTGAATAGGAGGCAGTGACCAAGTTCATTTTAAGGTATGAGCTGACATCTAAAGTGGCTTGCAGCTGCATGGTGCTGCTGCCTTTTAGTGTTATTTCTACAAACCTTATTTTAATGGAAGTATAATTGCATAAAATAAAACATACAGATTTTATGTTTATATTCACTGAATTTGACAAATGTGTAACCACAAGATCCAGAACATTCCTATCAGCCTGTTGGATTCTCATACATGCCATTTTCTAGGAAACCCACTCTCAACAGGAACCACTTTCTGCTTTGTGTTAGGATAGATTAATTTTGCTTCTTGTAGAATTTCATATAAATGGAGTCAGAGTTAGTGCTCTTGTGTGTCTGGCTGCTCTCATGCAGTGTAATATTTTGAGGAGTCATCTGTGTTATGTGTTATTAGTGGTTCCTTTTTTTTTGTTGCTGATTTTTTTTTTTCATTCGATCAATATGCCGCCATTCATCCATTTACCTTGTTGATGCTCATGGATATTTGGGTTGTTCTTAGCTTTGGGCTGTTAGGAATAAGCTGCTGTGAACCTGCTTGTGCAAGTCTTTGCATGGACATAGGTTTTTCTTTCTCTTGGGTAAATACCTAGGAGTGGTGTTGCCAGCTCAGTGAGTAGGATTTTATTTAACTTACTACGTTTCACCAAACAGTTTTTGCAAAGTGGTTCTATCATTTTACATTCTACCAGCAGGGTATATTAGAGTTCTCTTTTGCTCCACACACTATAAGGGTTGATATTGTCTGCCTTTTAAATTTTACCTGTTCTTGAAGGTGTAAAGTATTATGTCACGATGTTTTAATTTGCCTTTTCCTAATGATCAGTGGTATTGCGTATCTTTTCCTGTGCTTATTAGTGACTTGTATGTCATTTTTTGTAAACATCTATTCAGATATTTTGTTCATTGCAAAAATAGGATTATTTATTTATTTATTTATTTAGAGACAGAGTCTCACTGAATCGCACAGGCTGGACTGCAGTGGTGTGATCTCAGCTCACTGAAACCTCTGCCTCCTGGGTTGAAGCGATTCTCGTTCCTCAGCCTCCCGAGTAGCTGGGATTACAGGCGTGTGCCACCACACCTGGCTAATTTTTGTATTTCTAGTAGAGATGGGGTTTCGCCATATTGGCCAGGCTGGTCTCGAACTCCTGACCTCAAGTGATTTGCCCACCTTGGCCTCCCAAAGTGTTGGGATTACAGGCATTAGAGACCACGCCAGCCTGTTTGCTAGTGTTTAAGGAAAGATATATGCATATCTGCTTTACGCACCATATTGCATTACTAACTATAGCAGGGCTGAGAGTGCAAGGAGGGGAAAAAGGAGAGGCACTAGGCATTAAGAATGTGTGGGTCAGGTGCAGTGGCTCATGCCTATAATCACAGCACTTTGGGAAGCTGAGGCGGGCGGATCACTTCAGTCAGGGGTTCGAGATCAGCTTGGCCAACATGGTGAAACCCTGTCTCTACTAAAAATACAAAAATTAGTTGGGTGTGGTGGCGCATGCCTGTAATCCCAGCTACTCTGGAGGCTGAGGCGCAAGAATCGCTTCAACCCAGGAGGCAGAGGTTGCAGTGAGCTGAGATCTGCGCCCCTGCACTCCAACCTGGGTGACAGAACGAGACTCCATCTCAAAAAAAAAAAAAAAAAAGAATTGGTGTAAAGATTATAAACTCAAATATATAGAAAGGCCCCGCCTATCAAATTATATAAACAAGTGGATGAGGTCAGGTAGAAGAACAAAAACATTAGCACAAGCCAAGAAGGCTGCAGGTCAAGTGATGTGCTGTGGATCATGGAGAACAGAAAACTCCTACCTGGCCTGGAAAGGTCGCTGTTGGCAGCTCCAGTGCTCCATTGATTATAGTTACTGGATCTTCTGAGTTTTCAAGGCAAACCAGAAATGTAGGTATATTGTGTGTTTGTGTGTGTGAAATCTTCGTGTCAACAAATTTACAATTTCTAAAAATACCATAAAGTTCAAAGAAAACATGACTTTGGACCATCTTGTCGTCTGGTTTAGTGTAGAGTTAGACCTGGGGCTAGATGGTTACTTTATTAGCTAAGTAATGTAAGTGGTGACTCCTGAACCTTGGCATACTCATTCATTAAATGGGCACATTTTGTCCCTGCTTCCTAGTATGACTTCTTGAGGAGCTGAGAAGAAAATGTGTATGTGTGTGCGTGTGTGCGTGTGTGTGTGTGTTGTTTTTTTCTAGAGGTGGGGTCTCGCTATGTTGCCCAGGCTGGTCTTCAACTCCTGGGCTCAAGTGATCCCTCTGCCTCAGCCTCCCAAGGTGTTGGGATTACAGGCATGAGCCACCACACTTGGCCCAAGAAGAAAATGTGTTTTGAAGCACTAGCCACACCAGAGCTATTCAAGAAAATGTCTTCTTTCTCTTGTATTCTTCTTGGGTTGGCGTCTGGGACAATGGGTAGAATAAGGCCTTTTTTCATTAATTTGAGCCTTTAGAATGTCAAAGCATTTTAAGAATATTAATCCATGATCTCTAGGGAAACCCACATAAATTGCTCAGTTGCAGAGAAGATGACATCGAGGCGCCAAAGAGTCGTCGACATTGATGGGAGGAATCACATAATGTGAATTACTATTAGAAGCCAGGAACCTCTGGTTTTAGCCTTTAAAAGCTTAATCCTGGGGGAAAAGCAAGTAAACACATTGTTAGCGGAAGTAAAGTCCCCAGGCCCGGTGTTGCGGTATTTCCATTAGAATTAATCCTGTTTTCTTATTCCCTTAGGAAATCACAAATTGACGCAAATAGCGAAAGTAGTCATCAAAATCTGTGAACATGAGGTATGTGTTTCCCACTGTCCTGTTTTAGATGCACCCAGAAGGAGGGGATGGGGCAGCTGAAGTTTCCATTTGCAGAATCTCCTATTAGGTAGCCGAGGTGATTTTGGAATTTGTTGAGGCCACACCCCTACTCTTCAAGGAAAGTAAAAAGAACAAAGAGGGGCCCGAGTATATTATAAAACACCCTTACTGTAGCAATGATCTAAGGGAGATGGAAAGGATTTTTTGTTTTTTACCCTTGAGTCACCAGTAAGCACCGGGCCTCCTGTCTTTTCCTGATTGCCTAGATAGAATTCGTAATTTCTGACCTTGGCCCCACAGCCTGGTATTGTTTCAGGTCCCTTTTGGTCCTCTTGCAGAAGAGGATTTGATATCTGGGGGCATGGCCTTGACTGCTTCTGGGAGAGTGGCCCAGGTGTCCAGGAGAACCTGTTTTCTTGCAAATGCCCATAATTGTGATGGCGTGGATGGAACAGACCTCTTAGGCGTGTGAGCTGTGAGGCTCTGGTGGTTGTGGGACAGGCTGGCAGCCAAAATGGTATGAGGGAGCTTTTCTTTATTAGATCTCATTGTGAGAATAAAAAAATGAGATGGAATGACCTTCAACCTGTCAGTGTGCTCCCATTCATTCATAAAGAAAAACTGTTCAGATAGCACTGGGACCCATCCATGTCTTTTTATATATGGATATATAGATCTAGATCTAGATATATCCAGATAGATAGATAGATGATAGATAGATAGATACCTGGCCAGGTGCAGTGGCTCACACCTGTAATCCCAGCACTTTGGGAGGCTGAGGCAGGGAGATCACTTGAGTCCAGGAGTTCAAGACCAGCCTGGCCAACATGGCAAAACCCCGTCTCCACTAAAAATACAAAAATTAGCTGGGTATGGTGGAACATGCCTGTAATCCTAGCTAAACTGAGAGGCTGAGGCAGAAGAATTGCTTGAACCTGGGAGGCAGAGGTTGCAGTGAGCCAAGATAGCACCACTACACTCCAGACTGGGTGATAGAGTGAGACTCTGTCTCCGAGAAAAAAAAAAAAAATCTATCCTTATAAATTTATATCTATATATAGATATAGTTATCTATGTATTTTTTGAGGCAGGGTCTCAACATGGACTGGGTGCACCATCACACCCAGCTAATTAATTAGCCTGGCTATTTCTTTTTAAATTAATTATTATTATTTTTTTTGTAGAAATGGGGTTTTGCCATGTTGCCCAGGCTGGTCTCAAACTCCTGGGCTCAGGCGATCCTTCTGCCTCAGCCTCCAAAGACGCTGGGAATATAGGCCTCAGCCACCAAGCCCGGCTTATGTCTGTATATTTATGTAGAGAGAGTTTTATAAACTGCTTTCTCACTTAGTTTATTTTATGTATTTTCTCTGTTTCCTAGGTAATTAAACTCGTAGGAAGAACAGAATTTTTCATGGCTGTATAGTATTACATACAACACATGGACATTCATTTAATTACTCCTCTTGTCATTAAATAGTACCCAGTTTTATCAGCATCTTAAGTAACAAGGTGATGAATATCATTGCGCATTTGATGATTTCCTTAGTTTAATTTTTAGGAATAAAACTACTATGAGGCTGTGAACATGTCAGATGTTCCAGTTACAATGAGGCTATGTCCTTTCCAATATTGGGAGTTGTAATTACAAAACTATATGTAAATATGTGCCCCCCTGCCCCAACGATGTGATCTGTAAAAACGGTAGGCATCTTACTGTGATTTTAGTTTGCATTTCCTTGAAGAAAGTCATACAGGCTGTTTTGGATATGTTCCTTTGGAATAGCTCAGAAGTAGAGTGGGCTTAGAAGCAGGAGGTGCACTCTGCCATCCATGCATTTGTTTGCACATTCATTCGCTTACTTACTCGCTGACCTGTGAAATCTGTTAGTCTTATAATTATTGAGCACCTGTTAAATATGTGGCACCTTGCATGATAAGAGTTAAAGAGAAGAATAAGGCAGATAGTGGTAGAAAGGAATAACAAATATCAGTGCAGTGGTGACCTGCATGGGCTTTGGAGCCCGACTACCTGGGTTCAAATCCTGACCATGCCACTTTGTTGCTGTAAGACCTTGGGCAGGTTACTAAACTTTTTGGGGCCTCATTTTTTTTTTAATCTCATGAGGTGTAAGGAATACAATGAGTTAATACTTACAGAATTCTTAGAATGATACCAGCACACTCTAAGTCTTCAGTAAATGTTAATGGGCAATATTGATTACTCTGTCACTTGAAGCACTTTACATTTATCTCATTTAATTTCTTATAACAGCCCTTTGTGGTGGGTGCTGCTTTTTTTTCTCTTCAATAGATCAACATATGGGGGCTCTGAGAAGAGAAGCAGCTTACCCTAAAGTCACAGAGCTAGTAAATGGTGGAGTCTGACTTGAGATCCAAGAAGGGAGCTTCTGGGATCTTTGGCTCTAAGCTACAATGTTATTCTAGGGGAATGTACTTTCTTATGAGAGAAAAGGACAATAAATAAGTTAATTGAATTTTCGGATTGTCGTCAGTGGAGCTGAAATAGGGCAACATGGTATTAATTAGCTACTCTGGACATAGAATTGAGCTTGGCAAGCAGAGCAGGCCAGAGTGGCTGGAAGGGGTTGGGGAGCGGAACTGCTGCAAGGTGAGCCGAGACAGGTGGGCTGGGGCCAGATCACATGTGGCTTTGAGGGAACCTGTCAGGTCATTAGACTTCATTGTTAGTTTCTCAGCTTGGTACTGCTGACACTTAGGGCTGGAGAATTCTTTGTTGCAGGGACTATTGTGTACATCTTAGATTTCAGTAGTCCCGCATCCCTCCTTTGGGCTACTTGTGACAATCAAAAATGCCTCTAGACATTGCTATGTGATCCCTGTGGGTGGGGGGAATGGTTAAAGTGCTCTGACAGAGAACTACTGGGTATAATGGGAAGTCACTGGGGGCTTTTAAGCAGGGGAAGGACAAGAACAGATTTATGTCTATAAAAGGTGGCTCTGGGTTGGGCATGGTGGCTCACACCTGTAATCCTAGCAGTTTGGGAGGCTGAGACGGGTGGATCGCTTGAGGCCAGGAGTTTGAGACCAGCCTGGCTAACATGGCAAAACCCTGTCTCTACTAAAAATACAAAAATTAGCTGGGCGTGGTGATGCACGCCTGTAATCTCTGCTACTTGGGAGGCTGAGGCACGAGAATTGCTTGAACGCAGGAAGCGAAAGTTGCAATGAGCCCAGATCGGGCCACTGCACTCCAGCCTGGGCAGCAGAGTGAGACTCTGGAGGAAAAAAAAAAAATGGTGGCTGTGGCTGCTCTGCAGGGAATGTCTATAATGGGGGTAAAAGTGGAAGTGGGTGACGTGGGGAGTTAGCTGTTGCATTGGTCCAGAGAGAAAGGACGGTGGCTTGGACTGGGTGGAAGCATTGGGAGCGATACATAGTGGTTGGATTCATCTCCAAGGTGTTCCCTCTATGGGACTTTAAAACATCTTAACCTTCAAAATCATCAAGCATTGATTGAGGTCCACAAGATATCCACCCCTGGGGTGACACATTCTAATGTATTTTTGCTTTACAGATGAATGAAATCGAAGTATGTCCAGAATGTTATCTAGCTGCTTGCCAAAAACGAGATAACTGGTTTTGTGAGCCTTGTGTAAGTTGGATTTACTTTGCTTATTTCATTTACTGAACCCTGTGCCTTGGATGACTACCCTGAGACAGCTTTTTCCAGGTGGCTTATTAGATGAAACTTTGGATGGAGTTTTAAGATAATTTTTTGCTGATAAAATTATGGCAGAAGGAAAGTAATCCAGGTAGGATAAACCTCTTAGGCTGAAAGTTCATGTGCCAGAGATAGCATCATGGCTTCCTGGGTTGATTAGCCTGGGCAGACTGCAAGGTGCAGCATAAAAGAGAGCTCATCAGAGATGTGGGATGCAGCAAAGCTTTTCAGATAATAAGATGAGCTTAAATCAGTGTGGATTTACAAATCATGTTGGTTCTATTTTAAGAGGTTTGAAAATACTTCCCTGGATTAACTCCATAGTCCCTCCAAAACATGATTCTTGGGGGAAATAAAGTCACCCTAGTTTCCCTGTGGATCTGCCTTCTCCAAGCTGGGGTTCTGCAGAGAGAAGTACATTGTTGGGCTGCACTGGTGTGTGTGTTGGGGGTGGGGTTGGTGGGTTGGAGTGGGTTTGGAGGCAAGATTAGGCAAGGAAAGTTGAGAAAATATACTTTGCATCTCTTCGTGCTTTTGGAGATTAACACCGGAATAGCTAAGCCTTCAATAAAGAATAAAGGTAGCAAAATACTGCCCCTTATTAGATGCTAGGTATGATGCACATTTAATCCAAAAACAGAAGGTATTGGTGTCATTGTCTCTGTGTATGTTGCACAGAAAGGTGAAATGTCTTGCTCGTGCCTGCCCAGATAATAATGGTACAGCTAGAATCCAACCCTGGTTTTCTCATCTTTCTTTTTTTTGTTTTTTTTTTTTTGAGATGGAGTTTCGATCTGTCGCCCTGGCTGGAGTGCAGTGGCGTGATTTGACTCACTGCAACCTCCACCTCCTGCGTTCAAGTGATTCTCCTGCCTCAGCCTCTTGAGTAACTGGGACTACAGGCGTGTGCCACCACGCCTGGTTAATGTTTCTGTTTTTAGTAGAGATGGGATTTCACCATGTTGGCCAGGCTGGTCTCGAACTCCTGACCTCAGGTGATCCACCCGCATTGGCTTTCCAAAGTGCTGGGATTACAGGCGTGAGCCACCATGCCTGGACTTCATTCAGCTTTTGATTTCACCATTTAACTCCATTTGCAGTTTTGTCCAGGTGTCTTGGCCACATACCTTTTAGGGAATACCACACAGGCCGACCCTGCTTGAAACTCTTTTTCCACTCATGGCCTGTGTCCCACAGTCCTGCTTCATCCTCACATACCAAACTTTAGTGAGTATCTTGCTGTCAAATATGTACAAACTCTGGATCTTGTTTTTCTTTTCCTAGAGCAATCCACATCCTTTGGTCTGGGCCAAACTGAAGGGGTTTCCATTCTGGCCTGCAAAAGCTCTAAGGGATAAAGACGGGCAGGTCGATGCCCGATTCTTTGGACAACATGACAGGTGGGAGTTAATAACAGGCTTGGAACATGTAGCTTTCACTGAACTTTGATACTGTTATGAGATAAGAAAAGAAGTGGAGGCTGCAGCTATTATTCTCATTATTGTCATGATACCAACCATTGATCTTGTTGTTGAAATAAATTTCCTGTGGTATGTTAAGCTTGGTAATGGCGTGGGCTACAGTTTTCTCAGGTGTGTTAGAAAATCATCTTACTTTACTGGGTCTGTTGATGAAACCAACATTGGAATGGGTTCTGTGGCTGTTTGAAGTGCTGCTGTTCTTTTTTGTTTTGGTTTGATTTTTTGGGAGGGGGTTTCTGAAGTAAATTAAACCTCCATGGAAACTGCTTTCCAAATCATTCTTTCAAAGAATAGAAGTAGTTTCCTAGATTGCCAGTAAATGAATCTCTTATCATCATGCTGAGTAGTTCTCTCCTGTTCCCTTTTCTCTGAAGCTACAGTGGGAAGTTATAAGGGGTTGCTGTTTTGACAGGTGTGAGCCCTCCCTCCCAGCCTTCCTGCCCTCCCCTTTCCCTCCGTACACGGCAGAGTGAATTATTCCAGCTAATAGCAGTTCCCTGTAGAGCAGAGCCTGCTGTGTGCTTGAGAACAACAGGTAGGCAGAGATGAGCAGCGGTTAATATCTTAGTTCTCTTTTATCAAGTTATGATTAAGTAAGGCAAAGACCCTTTTGAAGCCCTACCAATCAGTTTGAGAAAGCGTGTTAGTATGTAGCGAGACTACTTAAAATATATATACTACAAATTATGTACACACACAGAGTGTCCAGAAGCTGAAAATTGGTTTCCCCTGTTAAATTTTGCTAGTCGTCTTGCAGACCAAAAGAGTGAATTCCCAAGTCATTTGCAAACTCATTTACTAGGAATCCCAATGGTCCACTGTCAGAAGACAAAATGGAAATTATTGAGATGGTGCTGGATTTGGTAGGAAGTATTGCACCTTGACTTTAATTCCTGTATTCCTTCATTCAAAGAAATACATATTTGATGACTGCTGCGTGCCAGCCTGTGTAGTGGAAGCTGGTGATTCAAATGTTTCTGCCCATGTGAAGGCTGACATCCTAGCGGGGAAGAAGGATGATACACAAGTGAACTAATAGGCAAGATAATCTCAGGTCAGGAGGTAGTGGTGGGGGCCTGGTGTGAAGATCTGGGATGAGGGACCAGGAAGAGCAGAGGTCGGGAGGGGAAGGGCTGAGGCTGAGAGGGTTCAGGAAATGCTGGGAGAATAGTGGGGTTTAAACAGGGTCGGGGAGGAGAGGATGCTCACAGCTGGAGTCAGAGGGGTAGGCAGGAGTTTGTTTTTTATTTGAAGAGCAGGAGGAATTGGTGACAGGCTGTACATCCCTCCTCTTCATCAGAGCATGACAAATGTGAACCATCTTGATGATTTGAGATTCTTACTCTATAGGTTGATACAGTAATACAGTATGAGTAGATATACTTAGGACACAGGCAGGATGGGAAAAAATAATACCTACCCCCTTGCACCCAATATTCCCAGACCCTTATGGTTGATGGCTGTAGTCTCTCAGCTGTGACTGCTCTGCAGGGACCTCCATCTCTCACCCGTCAGACAGCGACTGAAGGTGGCTTACAGAGCATGAAGGACGGCGTGTGAGTTGGCCAGCTCTGTGTGCAGAAGCTGTTTCCCAAAACCATTTGTGTGTTTAGGTCTTGGTTCTGGATGAGAGCTGTCGTGGAAGCTGGCCCCCTTCTGTTTGTGAAAAAGAAAGCAGCATGGGTCTGATGGTCACCAGTTTCGAAGCCCCTCTCAGCACCTGCTTTAAGGGAGTGCACCGTGTTGTTGGGCTTGTTTTGGGAGAGGGGATCCCCTGGAGGGAGTTGTTCAGGACCTTCCACAGTGGTAGAGAAACAACTTTGGAGGTCTTGGGATGTTTTAGTAGGCTTTGGGCAGGGAGTCTCTGACCACCATTCTTTTTTTTTTTTTTTTTTTGGAGCAGAGTCTTGGTTTGTCACCTAGGCTGGTGTGTGCAGTGGCGAGCTCTCGGCTCATTGCAGCCTTCTCTTCCCGGATTCAGCCATTCTCCTGCCTCAGCCTCCCAAGTAGCTGGGTCTACAGGCATGTGCCACTACGCCCAACTAATTTTTTGTATTTTCAGTAGAGATGGGGTTTTGCCATGTTGCCCAGGCTGGTCTTGAACTCCTGGATTCAACCGATCCATCTGCCTTGGCCTCCCAGAGTGCTGGGATTACAGGCGTAAGCCACTGTGCCTGGCCTGGTTTTGTTTTATAGATGCACAGTTATGTAAAAATATAGGAAATATTTTATTAAATGCCTGCAGAGTTAAAAAAAAAAAAAAGCGGACACCAACCAATTGCCTTTTATGTACTGGGCAGTGTTTTAAGTGCTTTTTTGTAGAAGCTGCTTTTATGTCTATTTTATCAATAAGAAAACTTAAGGTCAGAGAGTGCCTAGGGTCACATAGCTAGGGAGAAGCCACCGTGGGGTTAGATGTGAGATAATGTGAAACTAGATATTGTCCCCCGCAGAGACTCTATTTTGTCAAGCAAATCTAATTTCGCTTGAAATACTTCCTGGGCTTGTTTTATTATTTATTTATTTATTTAAGAGGGGGGTCTTGCTCTGTCACCCAGGCTTGTTTTATTTATTTATTTATTTGAGGCGGGGTCTCGCTTTGTTGCCCAGGCTGGAGTGCAGTGGCTCATTCAAGCAATTCTCCCACCTCTGCCTCCTGAGTAGCTGGTATTACAGGGGCGTGCCACCACATCCGGCTAATTTTTCCATTTTTAGTAGAGATGGGGTTTCACCGTGTTGGCCAGACTGGTCTCAAGCTCCTGACCTCACGTGATCCTCCTGCCTCTGCCTCCCCAAGTGCTGGGATTATAGGTGTGAGTCACCATGCCCAGCCTTGGACTTGTTTGAAAGAAAAGAGACTCTTTTCCTTCCCTGCCAAGCAATTTCATGGAAAATAGTTGGGGGAAGGGAACAGTGAGCGCCTTAGATACCGGACAGAAGTGTGTGGGTGAGGTGGGTGTGGAGCAGGTCAGGGGGGCGAGGTTATGATACCAGGACCAACTGGTGATAAGCTCCTGGTGGCCCTGCCTCTTGATTCTCCAGAGAAGGACTCACTCTCCTTTTTCTCGGTGACAGAGCTGAGGCTAGCTCAGGAAGGGGGAGTCATTTGCCCTAGGACAGCACTGGAGACCCTGATGCCTTCTCAGATCTGTCCTGTCTAGTAGTCCTGATCTGTGCCCGCTCACTTTGAACGCAGAATCTCACCGTGAGGCAAACTCTTACCTTGAGAGCATCTGGCTTCTGTTCTGCTCTGCCCCTCTTGGTGGAGATATGGTTCTTCAGGTCTCAGGAGAAAGACAGCAGTCAGAATGGATGAGAAGCTGGTGATTTCCAGCCCTCTGATAGAGCAGATCGATATTTTTGGGGTGTTTAGTTTTAGTTTGTGTTACGATCTGGTGTCACCGAGACTTGCAAACAATCCGCCTGTATTGTGAATTCGGTCCCAGGGATGTGCTTTATTTCTCCTGGGTTGTTTTCTCTTAGATGCCAACTGTTGAAATGGGGGTAAAATGTAACATAAGAAGTCTATTTTGTCTTCTTCTCTTTAAAATATTGGAAAACGTGGCAGTGTTGGGTCCAGATTCCTACATGGTTGCTTTGGATAGCAACTGAGTAGATACTGCTTTCTCCCTTTCCACCAGACGTGAGTTTTCTGCTTCTGCAAAGTCCCCTTTGCTCCCCACTGCTTTCTACCGGGCTTCAGTTTGTGGTCTGTGAAATCTAAAAGGCCACCTTGGAGGTTGGGTGCAGCGGCTCACACCTATAATCCCAGCTCTTGGGGAGGCCAAGGTGGAAGGATTGCTTGAGTTCAGGAGTTCAAGACCATCCTGGGTAATGTAGCGAGACCCCATCTCTACAAAAGTATACAAAAGTTAAAAAATTATCTGGGTGTGTTGTGGCGCGTGCCTGTACTTCCACTACTTGGGAGGCTGATCTGGGAGGATTCCTTGAGTCCAGGAGTTTGAGGCTGTAGTGAGCCTTGATCATACTTCTGCTCTCTGGCTTGGGTGACAGAGGGAAACCTTGTCTCTTAAAAAAACAAGCAAAAAAGACTGGGCACGGTGGCTAACACCTATAATCCCAGCACTTTGGGAGGCTGAGGTGGGTGGATCACGAGGTCAAGAGTTCAAGACCAGCCTGGCTAACATATAGTGAAACACCGTCTCTACTAAAAATACAAAAATTAGCTGGGCGTGGTGGCACACACCTGCAGTTCTGGCTACTTGGGAAGCTGAGGCAGGAGAATTGCTTGAACCCAGGAGACGGAGGTTGCAGTGAGCTGAGATCATGCCACTGTGCTCTAGCCTGGGCAATAGAGCGAGACTGTCTCAAATAAATAAATAAATAAATAAATAAATAAATAAATAAAATGAATTAATTAAACAAACAAAAAATCCCCCACAAAAGCCTTCCTTGGAAAGCTTATTCTCGCCAGTTTTTCCAGCCAGAAACTGGGTTGAGGCCAGCAGATCATACATGGTAGCCAAGTTATTTCTGGGATGTCCCTGTATCAGCTGCGTGGTCACCCGCAGCAGCGGTTGTGGTGTTTGCACCTCCCCCGGGGGCCACTGGCTCTGGTTCCAGAAAAGCTGCTGCTGGCATTGTTTGTTCTGCAAAAACATGCTGTCATGGGTCTTTGCAGAGCAAAATTGGAATGTGGGATATGGATGTTAGGAAGATGGAACTGGCCTGGGATGGGAGGTGGAAAGTGCACGCCTGGAGGCGAATGGGCTCCTTTTTCAGTGATTTTCTGTGTGAATTATCTTACATTCAAAAACATGTACCTCCTTTTAGGGATGCAGTATTCCAAAGTTTCCTTCTGTTCCTATTTCAAATGGCAATGGGAAAAGGAAGCTTTTTATGTCTGAGTGTAACCTGAGGAATAAGTCTCTTTTCAGAGGTGTTGTCAGATGCAGTGGCTGATTTATTTTTCTCTACTAAGAGAAAACCAAAGAGGATTGTTTCTTTAGTGGCTCACAATGACTAAGTCTGTTGCACTTTTAAATGTTTTCGCCGAAGTTTTGTTGTTCATGTTCTGTTATGGTAGAACATGCTTGTTAAATGGATCATTAATTAATCCTTCAAACCAAGTTTTTTTTTTTTTTTTTTTAATAGAATAAGAATCTTGGCAAACATGCTTGGCTAATTTGGTTCACATCAAGAAAAAAGCAATCTTGGAAATTACTGAAGTTGACTTAAACTCTCTTTATCTTTTGCCCTTCTAGGGCCTGGGTTCCAATAAATAATTGCTACCTCATGTCTAAAGAAATTCCTTTTTCTGTGAAAAAGACTAAGAGCATCTTCAACAGTGCCATGCAAGAGATGGAGGTTTACGTGGAGAACATCCGCAGGAAGTTTGGGGTTTTTAATTACTCTCCATTTAGGACACCCTACACACCCAACAGCCAGTATCAAATGCTGCTCGATCCCACCAACCCCAGCGCCGGCACTGCCAAGATAGACAAGCAGGAGAAGGTCAAGCTCAACTTTGACATGACGGCATCCCCCAAGATCCTGATGAGCAAGCCTGTGCTGAGTGGGGGCACAGGCCGCCGGATTTCCTTGTCGGATATGCCGCGCTCCCCCATGAGCACAAACTCTTCTGTGCACACGGGCTCCGACGTGGAGCAGGATGCTGAGAAGAAGGCCACGTCGAGCCACTTCAGTGCGAGCGAGGAGTCCATGGACTTCCTGGATAAGAGCACAGGTCAGCTCCGTGCGGGGGAGCGGGGAGGAGGCCCCTTGGACACGGGGGTTTCCCATGGGTGCACACTTGGTGGGCCCAAGCAGGTGAGCATCAAGCAATCGTGGGGAACTGTAGGGGGCCACAGAGCAGATTTTCAAGAAGTCACCAGTGGAGTTCTTGCTGCTAGTAACCCAGAAATGAGAAAAGTGTCCCCAAAAGGCCACCTGGAGGTTATACCTAGAAGTAGATGGAGATGGCCAGAAATCTTGTGGAGTTCTGTTCAGATGTCGCTGCATTTTGGATTATTGACTTTCCATAACACAAATAATTTTGTTTTAGTTGAAATTGTATTTTTCTGTCAAAACCCTACATTCATATTAAACAGTGCAAATCTTAGAGAAACACATATGATAAAAAATAATACTTGACCAGGCGCCGTGGCTCATGCCTGTAGTCCCAGCACTTTGGGAGGGCAAGGCAGTCAGATTGCTTTAGCTTGGGAGTTCCAGACCAACCTGGGCAACATGGCAAAAACCTTGTCTCTACCAAAAATACAAAAATTAGCTGGTCGTGGTGGCGTGTGTCTATAGTCCTAGCTACTCTGGGACTATAGTTGAGGTGGGAGGATTGCCGGAGCCTGGGAGGTTGAGGCTGCAGTGAGCTATGATTGCGCTGTTGTATTCCAGCCTGGGCAAAGTGTGACCCCTTGTGAGACCCTGTCTCAAAAAACAAAAACAAAAAAAGGTAAAAAACAATAATAGTACTCTGTCTTCCCAGTGTGATCCCATTCCCTTAAAGGTCATATCCTTTAATAGTTGTGTTGTGTTTTTTTTTTTTTTTGGAGACATAGTCTCGCTCTGTCACCCAGACTGGAGTGCAGTGGCACCATCTCAGCTCACTGCAACCTCCACCTCCTGGGTTCAAGTGATTGTCGTTCCTCAGCCTCCCGAGTAGCTGGGATTACAGGTGCGCGCACTACTATGTCCAGCTAATTTTTGTATTTTTAGTAGAGACAGGGTTTCACCATGTTGGCCTGGCTGGTCTCGAACTCCTGACTTCAAGTGATCCACCCGCCTTGGGCTCCCAAAGTGCTGGGATTACAGGTGTGAGCCACTGGGCCTGGCCCAAAGTCTGAGTTTTTAAGTAAAACCTCCAATTCTTAAATGTCAGGTTTTTAAGTAAAATCTCCAATTATTAAATGTCAGTTTAAGATGTCTTGGAAGATTTTCTAGAATGAATAAAGCAGGTTGGAGTACCAGCTTTAGGCTTCTGGCCTAAAGCCTTGGACAGCCTTTCACACTCGCTTCCTTCCTTGGTCTCTCTCTCTCTCCCTCCCTCTCTCCCTCACTCCCTTCACACAGGAATTCTTTAAGGAGCAAGCATCAGTTCTTCAGGATACCATGAATGTCCCCAAGAGTTAAAATAATGAGGATTTAGTTGTGAACTCAAATAATTCTACTGACTTTGCTTGTGTTGTTTCTTGGGAAATTTTTTTTCTTTTTTCTTTTCCTTGGGTTATTTTCAAGAACTGCTTCTAGCTGCTCCCCAGATGGTGGTAGGAGGGGTAGAGAGAGCCTGTGGCTTTTGGTTCTGTAAAATAAAGGCTGCAGTCTATATCTTTCTCTAGTTCTGATTCATAGCTGTGTGGTCCTAGACACTCATGGTTGAGTCATAGAGCTTTGTTTTGGAATTGACATAATTTGTGTTGACACAGTTTCAGAAAAGTCTTCCTTTTTACCCCCTTGTTTCTGACCAGAGTCCTTAAAAGCTTACTTTGTTTCATGACACGGTTCCATTTAAGCCAAGTTCACAAAACATGGTACTTAATTACACAATCCTTCGGCACATTAATTCCCATAAAGAGCATGCTTTTCAGGAAATGTTTAAAATTTTAACCTTGGCAGCGACTTTGTGAATTAGTGTTGCCTGAACTTTCATTGCCATGGTTTTCTGCCGTATTTTATTACATACTTAAATATGAAAATTGTAATGCAGCTTTGTCCTAAGCTAAACACAATGTATAGGCTCGTGTGTTTAAATTGCTTGTTGTGGCTTTTCCTAATATATGTGAAATTAATACATAACTAGTAAAATGAAACATGGCATATATATGACCATTGGTTCTCCTGCACCACATTTCAAAAAATTCAGTTTTATAGGAATATAAGAACAGGGATAATGTGTTTAATTTAGCTTCTGTCTTCCCTTGGGAGGTACAAAAGGAGAAAGATAAATGACATCAGACTTCCTGGAAAAATATACCTCATTCTTTGAGTGCTTTTTAGGTGAGAAGTTAGTTGAATCCCCCATTTGAGTAGACTTTAAAGTCCCTTTCCTAAAATATAATCTCCTTGCTGGTATGTGCTTAGGTCATTTTACTAATCATGAATTAGCCAATGTGTAGTGTAGGAAGAGAGAGTGATATTGAAAATTATTTTACTCTTACAAATTGCCCCCTTTTCTGTCAGGGGCTAGATAGTATGTATTTTAGGCTTTTTGGGTCTTTTTTCCAACTCTGCAACTATTTAGTCATTGTTGCAGTAACGTAGCCACAAGCTGCTGTAGTCCCAGCTACTGAGGAGGCTGAGCTGGGAGGATCAATTAAGCCTAGGAGTTTGAGGCCACAATGACCTGTGATTGTGCCACTGCACTCCAGCCTGGACAATAGAGTGAGACCCTAGCTCAATAAACAGCTAGCTAGATAGAAGAAAATAGAGCAGCCGTAGACAGTTAAGACTTTTTTAATGGACACCGGAATTTATTTACTTATTTAAATTTTTATATTTTTTGAGATGAAGTCTTGCTCTGTTGCCCAGGCTAGAGCGCAGTGCCACGATCTCGGCTCACTGCAACCTCCACCTCCTGGGTTCAAGTAATCCTCCCACCTCAGCCTCCTGAGTAGCTGGAATTACAGGCATGCGCTACCATGCCCAGATGTTCTTTGTATTTTTAGTAGAGACAGGGTTTCACCATGTTGGCCAGGCTGGTCTGAAACTCCTGACCTCAGGTAATCCACCCGCCTCAGTCTCCCGAGGTGTCCAGACACTGGAATTTAAATTTCATATAAGTTGCATGTTTCATGAGCTATTAATTCTTTTCCCCCCAACCATTAAAAAAATGTTAAAATACCTTTCTTCGCTTGCAGGCCCCTCAGGAACAGGTGATATGCCCAATTTGACCCTTGAGCTATAGTTTGCCAACCACTATTACAGACTAAGAGGATTAGAAGAAACTGAGTCATTTTACAGAAGGCAAATTGAGAGCCATGCAGAGTGTAAGGGAGGTGTGAAAGTCCCCACAGCCAGATTCTGCATCCATACCTGTTTCCTTTCTCTGCACCCTACTGCCATCTGCTGTTAGCAGTGATAATAGCATTTAGTGGAGGGAGATGGGAAATTTGTATTAAAATGCTTCCACAGTCAGGATAATATAATTGAGATAAGACAGTAGTTCACCCAAAATCGTGTAAAATAATTGCCATGTCATAGAATAGAAAATAATATAGTAGCCTCACCAGTGAAAGTTTTGTAACCAGTAACATAAAACTACAGATTGAAATGTTATTGCATAAAACTTGTACAACAGTGTAGAAATCTTGTTTTTGTTTAGAAGATTGGAGAACTCAGAGCTGTGTGCCTATAATCCTTAGAACTGGATATTTAGCTTTCTAAGAAGCACTTTGCTCAGCCAGAAGTCTTTAACTCACAGTGTCCTATAATCTTGCTAGCTAGGTGGCCTAAGTGGTTAATATTCTGAGTGATTTTTGTAGTTTCCCCTTTATATAGACCTCCTGGCCAGAATGGTTACCTTCACCGGTATTTGTTTGCGCGATCTCGATGTAAGTTATTAATATGTATTAGGGTCAGAGTCGGGGGGCCTGACATTCACCACCCTCTGGGCTAATGGTCCTTTGGTCTGGTAGCTACACTGTGAGTTACCATTTAAGAAAGGAAAGAGGGTCCGGGTGCGGTGGTTCACGTCTGTAATCCCAGCACTTTGGGAGGTCGAGACAAGCGGATCACGAGGTCAGGAGATTGAGACCATCCTGGCTAACACGGTGAAACCCCGTCTCTACTAAAAATACAAAAAATTAGCTGGGCGTGGTGGCATGTGCCTGTAATCCCAGCTACTTGGGAGGCTGAGGCAAGAGAATTGCTTGAATCCGGGAGGCAGAGCTTGCAGTGAGCCGAGATCGCACCACTGCACTCCAGCCTGGGCAACAGAGTGAGACTCTGTCTCAAAGAAAAAAAAAGAGGTTTCATATTACTCCCCCCCCCCTTTTTTTATAATTGTGAAATCAATATGTTTTTGTCATAAATTAGTTCTTTATTACAGAATTTAAAGTCACTGATGGCTGGGTGCAGTGGCTCATGCCTGTAATTCCAGCACTTTGGGAGGCCGAGGTGGGCGGATCACTTGAGGTCAGGAGTTTGAGACCAGCCTGGCCAACATGGCGAAACCCCGTCTCTACTAAAAATACAAAAACTTAGCCAGGCGTGGTGGCACACGCCTGCAGTCCCAACTACACAGGAGGCTGAGGCAGGAGAATCACTTGAACCCGGGAGGTGGAGGTTGCAGTGAGCTTGAGATCACGCCACTGTACTCCAGCCTGGGAGACAGAGCGAGACTCCATCTCAATCGATCAGTCAATGAAATAAAGTCACTGAGAATCTCACCTCTCACAGCCAGTCCTTAGATTGTGTTTCCAGCGCTTTTTATATGTGGTTATAAGTCCTACTGTTAAGCTGAAAGCTCAAATACAGGGATCAGGCAGATATGGCAGTGAGTGAGGTTGGGGAGTGGTAGGTAGAGACTGGGATGAATGAAAGCAGACATACGTTTCTTTCCATACCTGTTACACATCGTGTGCTTTTGTGTGCATATGGGTGTATAACACTTAACCCAAGGGGTGCGGACTTTTCTGATACATAGTGCATGCTAGAGGTACTACAGCAGCTTGGGGCTACTTTAGTGCTACAATGATAAGCAGCTCTTTCATAAGGAAATACAATAGGGCAAATGCTAGCATGCACCATGTGTCAGAAGAGTCAGTAGCTCTTGGGTAAGTTTTACACACCCATGTTACCCATAAGTGTTACACACGGCTAATAGGTCATGAGCTCCCAAGACGCTGAGCTAGAGAGTTGTGCCTTTCTGAAAGAGACCAGGGACCTTTTCCTCCTGCTGGTTCTTGCCACATAGGAGTATGGGCTCTGTATTGAGAGATTTCTGGTTTTTCTTTCTTTTTTTTTTCTTTTTAGACGGAGTCTCACTCTGTCGTCCAGGCTGGAGTACAGTGGTGCGATCTCGGCTCACTGCAAGCTCCGCCTCCTGGGTTCACGCCATTCTCCTGCCTCAGCCTCCCGAGTAGCTGGGACTACAGGTGCCTGCCGCCACGCCCGGCTAATTTTTTGTATTTTTAGTAGAGACAGGGTTTTACCATGTTAGCCAGGATGGTCTCGATCTCCTGACCTCGTGATCTGCCCGCCTCTGCCTCCCAAAGTGCTGGGATTACAGGCGTGAGACACTGCACCCGGCCGATTTCTGTTTTTTCAAGAGAACCCTCAAATTAAAAAAAATGGGAACTACTCCAGCTTTTTCTTTTTCTTTCTTTCTTTTTTTTTTTTTTTTTTTTTTCAGAGACAGGGTCCTCACTATGTTGCCCAGGCTGGTCTCAGACTCTTGGGCTTAAGCGATCCTCCCGCCTTAGCCTCCTGAGTAGCTGGGGCTACAGGCACATACCACCACACCCAGCTATCAACTTTTATGTACTGGCTCACATTTTTAACTAAATAAAAGCTACATCACATTAAATGCACCTGTGGACTCCTTGGTTCATGGATCACCTGTTTGCAATGTCTGGTGTAGACTGTAGAATTTATTTTTTTAAAGCTTAACCTTGTATTCTTTTTTAATTTTTTATTTTTATACATTAAAAAAACTTTTTTTTTTTTTTTTTTTGAGATGGAGTTTCACTCTTGTCTTCCAGGCTGGGGTGCAATGGTGCGATCTTGGCTCACTGTAAACTCTACCACCTGGGTTCAAGCGATTCTCCTGCCTCAGCCTCCCGAGTAGCTGGGATTTTTTTTTTTTTTAAGAGACAGGGTCACACTCTATCACTCAGGCTGGAGTTCAGTGGTGTGATCATGGCTCACCGTAGCCTTCAACTCTTGGGCTCAAGCAGTCCCCGCTGCCTCAGCCTCCTGAGTAGCTAGGAGTACAAGTGTGCGCCACCACACCTAGCTATACACCTAGTATAGATGATGTCTTGCTGTGTTACCCAGGCTAGTCTCAAACTCTTGGGCTCAAACGATCTGCCTGCCTCAGCCTCCCAAAATGCTGGGATAATAGGCATGAGGCACCATGCCTGGTCCATAGCCTTGTATTCTGAATATGTTTCTGTGTTAGTGAATAACCCTTCAAAACAGCATTTTTACCAACACATCCTGACCCATCCTAGACCATCTGGCCATGCTCTGCTCATCTGTGCATGGCACCATAGGAGTTGTGCAAGGTGCGGCACTTTGAACATACAGGTTGTTTCTGAGGTTTTATAACTGGAGGACATTTAGCGTGAATCATTCACTCTGCCTTTCCACCCCACCCAGAGTGCTGGGGTGCATGGGAGGGAAAGGGCATTTTTTTCCTAATTTAATTCCAAGGCTCATGTTTCCTACTGTAGTCAGAACAACCCTTCACGCAGGCCAGGATTTTGTAAATGTAGATAATAAATGATGTGTTTCAGCCCACACTTGTGAATTGTACATCAAAATATGAAATCTGGTAAAATTATTTGTGACTTCAGAGGCAATTAGTTCTTCCTTTGGGCAAAATGTATGGCTTTATAAAAGGATTGGCATCTGTTTCAGAGTTTTAATTGAAACAAGCATTTCCAAGTCTTTTTGCTTTTGAAATGTCTGGAGTGATTCGAAGCAGGTTTTTCTCAACCTCAGGACCACTGACATTTAAGGCCAGATAATTCTGTATTGTGAGGCTGTTCTGTGCACCTAGGATGCTGAGCACCATCTCTGGCCTCCATGCCAGTACCACCCACACCCTCATGTATATTGACTTGGATTTTTTTGTGATCTGCTTAGTCATATCTGTTTCTTTATTTTTATTTATTTATTTTTTTTGAGATGGAGTCCCACTCTGTTGCCCAGGCTGGAGTGCAGTGGCATGATCTCGGCTCACTGCAACCTCCGCCTCCCAGGTTTAAGCAGTTCTCTTGCCTCAGCCCCCCAAGTAGCTGGGATTACAGGCATGTGCCAACACACCTGGCTGGTTTTTTATTTTTAGTAGAGAGCGGTTTTGCCATGTTGGCCAGGCCGGTCTCGAACTCCTGACCTCAGATGATCTGCCTGCCTTGGCCTCCCGAAGTGCTGGGATTACAGGTGTGAGCCACTGCGTCCGGCCTTGTCATATCTCTTCTTTGGATTGTTAATCACTCTTTTAGCAAGCACCTTGTGTTTAGTAGGTGTATAACATTGGGGAGATTGTTTGATATTTTTGTATGAAAAAGGTTTTATCTGGTTGTCATTGTTTCTTTTTCTTTTTTTTTGAGATGGAGTCTCTGTCACCCAGGCTGGAGTGTAGTGGTGTAATCTCGGCTCACTCGCCACCTCCGCATCCCAGGTTCAGGCGATTCTCCTGCCTCAGCCTCTTGAACAGCTGGGGTTACAGGCGTGTACCACCACGCCTGACTGCTTGTTGTATTTTTAGTAGAGACGGGGTTTCACCAGGGCCGGGCACAGTGGCTCACACCTGTAATCCCAGCACTTTGGGAGGCCGAGGCGGGCGGATCACGAGGTCAGGAGATCGAGACCATCCTGGCTAACATGGTGAAACACCGTCTCTATTAAAAATACAAAAAATTAGCCCGGCATGGTGGCGGGCGCCTGTAATCCCAGCTACTCGGGAGGCTGAGGCAGGAGAATGGCGTGAACCCGGGAGGCGGAGCCTGCAGTGAGCCGAGATTGTGCCACTGCACTCCAGCCTGGGTGACAGAGCGAGACTCCCTTCTGAAAAAAAAAAAAAAAAAAAAGAGACGGGGTTTCACCATGTTGGCCAGGCTGGTCTCAAACTCCTGACCTCAAGTGATGCATCTGCCTCCGCCTCCCGAAGTGTTGGACCAGTCGAGACTCACTGCGACCGGCCTCGTCATTGTTTGTTTATTGCTTATCATGACTACAGCAGTGAGAAGAGAAATGGAAACCTCCTTCTTCAATTATTTTATGCACTGCTCATTCAGTGAATGTATTATGCACCTGATAAGCATCCAGAGGTATCCTGGATGCCTGCTGGCCAGCGCAGATCCTGCTCTTTCAGGGCCAATATTTTCATGTCAAAAGGAAAGACAGTAGGCCAGAGGCACTGGGCCACTTTAGGTGGCCAACAAGGGAGGCCTTCGAGGAGGTGATGTTTGAGCTGGGACCTGACCATGGAGGAATTCGAGCCAGTGTGATCTAGGGTGGGCGTGAAAGCCTTCCCTTGGGAACCTCAGGCACAAAGGCTTGAGGTGTGAACAGACTTGATCTTCCAGGGTGGCCCTCAGGTCACTGTGGCCGGACATTCCAGGAGGTAGAAAGGAAAGGTTGGGTTTGAGGTTGGAGAGGACGTTGGATTTTATTCTGGGGAATGAGGTGCCTCTGGATGTTTTTAGGTGATGGAGCAATATGCCCTCATTTCAGGGGTTCTGCCCTGGCTGCTGTGTGGAGAGTGCCCTGGAAGAAGGGTGCTGTGCACATGGTGGGGAGACCTGTGGGAAGTGCTTACGGGGTCTCCATGGGAAATGATAGGCAGGGCAGTGTTGCCCAGTCTTTTAATTGCCCCCCCCCCGCCCCGGCCCTGAACCATTTTAGACATTTTCTTCCTATTTACTCCCCCTGAGATCTTTTAAAAAAATGAGGTCAAATTCACATAACATAAAATTTACCATTTTGAACAGATCAGTGGCATTTAGTGCATTCACAGTGCTGTGCAGCCACCACCTCTGTCTAGTTCTAAAACATTTCCATCGCTCCAAAATAAAACCCTGTACCCACCAAACAGCCACTCCCCATCCCCCACAAACTTCCACCCCTACCTCTCACCCCACAGCCTGCCCCTAACAACCACCAATTTGTGTTCTGTTTGAACTGACTTTCCTATTCTGGGTATTTTGTTTCAGTGAAATGAAAGAATATGGGGCCTTTTGTGTCTGGCTTCTTTAACTTAGCATCATGTTTTCAAGTCAGCCACACTGCAGCACGTATCAGAACTTCATTCCTTTTATGGCTCGGTAACGTTCTATTGTGGGGATACTTCAGTTTGTCCATTGATGGACAGTCAGTTGTTTCTACCTCTTGCCTATTGTGAACAGTGCTGCTTGTGCACATTCGTATCCAAGGATTTGTTTGTGTACCTATTTTCAATTTTGGATAGGTACTTACCTAAGAGTGAACTTTCATGAAATTTGAAAATATTGTAGATCTGTTTATGTACTGTCTATACACACCACACACCACACACACACACACAGAGTGCTTTGTACATAAAAGGAATAGTAAGATAAGATTTTTTCACCCCCTAAAAATTATTTTTGCCCCGTTGGGGGCCATATGGTCCCTGTTGAGATGCATGGACTAGGGTGATAGTAGGGGAGGTGGAGATGAGTGCAGAGA
Organism: Homo sapiens; assembly: GCF_000001405.40. Taxonomy (NCBI): domain Eukaryota; kingdom Metazoa; phylum Chordata; class Mammalia; order Primates; family Hominidae; genus Homo; species Homo sapiens. Next base: position 47,266,672 of record NC_000020.11, on the reverse strand, counting down.
TTTGGGATATGTTTAGGAAGAGGAGTGCAGAGTTCTTCCTGAAGATTTGGGTAAATTCAGGCATGAGAGCAAAGGAGGAATTAAGAATGGGCTGAGTGTAGTGGCTCAAACATCTGTAATCCCAGCACTTTGGGAGGCCTAGGTGGGTAGATCACCTGAGGTCTGCAGTTCCAGATTAGCCTGGCCAACATGGTGAAACCCCCATCTCTACTAAAAATACAAAAATTAGCCGGGCGTGGTGGTGGGCGCCTGTAATCCCAGCTGCTTGTGAGGCTGAGGCAGGAGAATCCGCTTGAACCCGGGAGGTGGAGGTTGCTGTGAGCTGAGATTGCACCATTGCACTGCAGCCTGGGCAACAAGAGTGAAACTCCATCTCTCTCCCCGCCCCCCTCCCCCCCAAAAACAAAAAGAATGATCCAGGTGTGTTTGGCCTTGAGCCACCAGGTGGGTGGCCGTGGCATTCATGATATTGGGAGGACAAGGCAGGTGCAGGGTGTTTCACACACTGGGGAGGTAGGATTGGTGGCACTAGGAGGTGGACATAGGAGACCTGTTTCTCAGGGAGATGCAGAGGAGGGTTTTGCAGCGTGAGGCTTGTGGGTTGCTAGTGACTCTCATGTATGTCCTTTTCCTGACTCCATGAAGCTTTGCAGTCCCAGATGCCTTAGGAGGATGGGCCCTGCCCTTCACTGGCTGGGTAGAGTGTGAACCAGACCCATCTCCATGGGAAACCAATGTTTTCCTGACACCCTTATTCTTGCCATATCCAAGTGCTATGCTTAAAACCATTTTTTAATATTTAGAACATACCTCTTAAATCTCAACACTTGTTTATTTATTAACAAAGGAAATAGATCTATCAAATTAAAGGCCTGTTCTAGTTATTAATTTTTTAGCACACATGAATGTATATACAGAATTATAAAAATAGGCTGGGCGTGATGGCTCACACCTGTAATCCCAGCACTTTGGGAGGCCGAGGTGGGTGGGTCACCTGAGGTCAGGAGTTCGAGATCAGCCTGGCCAACATGGCAAAACCCCGTCTCTACTAAAAATACAAAAAGATTAGTTGGGCATGGTGGCACATACCTGTAGCCCCAGCTACTCCGGAGACTGAGGCAGGAGAATTGCTTGAACCTGGCAGGCAGAGGTTGCAGTGAGCTGAGATCACCCCACTGCATTCCAGCTTGGGCAACAGAGCAAGACTTTGTCTCAAAACAAACAAACAAACAAACAAACAAACTTGACCTGTCGAGCAGGAAAATGGATTCACTTGGCTGTGTTCTACGTGCAACAGCATCTTTGCGTGTTTTTGTTTGTTTGTTCCTGCTACCCTTTAGGGTTGGACGTCCTTGTCAATGTTCTCTGCAGTCCCAAGCAGGGTATTTGATAGTATAGTAAGGCCCTCCCTGTTAGACCTTGCCAGTTTGCTTATGGGAATACAATTAGAGAAGCCCCGGTCTTTAATCCTCAAGGGGAATCTATTACACAGATATTTGAGCAGCTGCAAATTGCTTTTGGAATGAGGTAGAACATAAATGAATTAATAAGGTTAAAAATTCTAATGCTAAAGATTTTATTGGTAATACTTCCGTTAAAATGCCTATATATATATATATGTATATATATTTTTTTGGGGACAGGGTCTCTCTCTGTGTCCCAGGCTGGAGTGCAGTGGCATGATCACGGTTCACTGCAGTCTTGACCTCCCAGGCTCAATGGATCCTCCCATCTCAGCCTCCCAAGTAGCTGAGACTACAGGCGTGTGCCACCATGCCCGGCTAAATTTTTTGTATTTTTAGTAGAGATGAGGCTTCGCCATGTTACCCAGGCTGGTCTCGAACTTCCGAGCTCAAGTGATCCTCCCACCTCAGCCTCCCAAGGTGCTGGGATTACAGGGGTGAACCACCGCACCTGGCATATTCTTGTTTCTTCGTGTAACAAACACTTCAGTTCTATGTCTTACAGTACCAGTGATAGGACTAGTAATAATATAGCAGCCCCCCCCAGTGAAGGAATGTGGCATGCCACGTGCTAGGCCAATTCTATTAATTCTTGCAGTAAAACAGATTTATTGTGTTAAAAACTTAATTATAGGCTGGGCACAGTGACTCATGGCTGTAATCCCAGCACTTCGGGAGGCTGAGGCGGGTGGATCCCTTGAGGCCAGGAGTTCCAGACCAGCCTGGCCAACATGGTAAAACCCTGTCTCTAGTAAAAATATAAAAAATAGCCGGGTGTGATAGCAGGAGCCTGAAGTTCTAGCTATTTGGGAGGCTGAGGCAGGAGAATCGCTTGAATCCAGGAGGCAGAGGTTGCAGTGAGCCGAGATTGCACAACTGCACTCCAGCCTGGGTGACAGAGCGAGACTCCATCTCAAAAAAACAAAAGCAAAGAAAACTTATTTCTTAAAACAATTTCTAATATTTATTGAGCACTTGCTCGGCGCCAATTGACATAGATCGACGACATTGATCCTCACTCCCTTATCATTCCCGGATGAGGAAAAGGATTCCCAGCTGCATGCCTACTCCATCCCTATGCGGCGTGTCAGTTTCAGCACTTTTGACGTTTGGGGCCAGATAACTCTTTCTTGTGGGGGGCCGCTCTGTGCATGGCAGCAGATTTAGCAGCGTTTTGGTCTCTAGCTCCTAGATGCCAGTAGCAACCCCCCACTCTCCTAAAATGTCTGGATGCAATGCCCAGTGTGCCCTGGAGAGAAGAATTGCTCATAGCTGAGAATCAGTGGTTCAGAGGATAACCCCAAAGCCCTAGAGGTTAATGGGGAAATAGAAAATAAAACCACTCTAATAGCAAACAGTAACAGAGTACTTACTGCATGCCAGGCACTGTTCAGATGATTGATTTAATCCTCACGGCAGCCTGATGAGATGTAGCTACTGTTATTGTCCCTTTGTATCATATTATTAGTGTCTCTCTTTGCTGCTGCCAGGAAGAGGGAGGCAGAGGTGCCAGTAACTGGCCCAGGGTTACACAGCAGGGCAACAGCTGAGCCGGGGCTTGAATCCACAGTGTCTGGCTTCTAATCTGTGCTTGAATCCAGGCCTCTTTACTTCTGGAGTCTTTCCCACTATATTACATTAACAGTAATGCAGGCAGGTCCTGGCACCAGAGCTGCCTAGCTTACTTGGATTCACCAGCCGAGTGGTATGTGAGTTTCAACACACTGAAGCCTTGTTCTGAGTTTTCTAATTTGTCAGGTGAGGAAACTGAGGCAAGTGCTGCCCACACAAGTGTCCCAGCACTTTCGAAGCCCCTGGGGAGTCTCAGTTCCTAACTCCAATTTGCCATCCACAAATTTCTTTCCAGCACCAGATCAACTCAGAATGTTTCTTGCTCATCTTGGAAGAGTTGGCTGTCATTGTTGTTAGTGATGCCTTTAGTCCCAGCTGTTTTTAAATGGGCCCAAGAGGCATTAACAGGACAGTCCCAGTACCATGGAGGGGCAAGGACAAAGGGGCAGGATTTGAAGGATCTTTAGGACGCTTGTTGGCCCCTATGAATGCTTGCTTTTTTAAACGTAAGTGGTTTATTGTCCTAACCCTGTGAAATGAGGCAGGGGAGAAGCAGGTCGTAGGTCATTTTAAGGTATTTTTAAAAGCCTTAGGCATAGGTACAGTTCTCTCTCCTCCTGTGAAAGTTTGAAATACAGTAAAGAAGGACATAATTTACCAACGTCTCCCTCACTCCATCTGGTACTGGGTTTGGCTTTACATAGCCTCAAGAACCTTTGAAATGGGAGCTGGAGATTTCCCAAGGGGCCAAGTTGGTCCCTGGCAGGTGCAGTGGCTGCGTGTGAGCTGGCCGTGGTGTCTTTCCACAAACAGATGATACGCATTTGTAAGCCTGGCTCCCGTTCTCCACATCTGGACCATGTGGGGGTTGGTTTAATCGCTATTTATGTTGAGATTTATATCCGTGAATGGGCCAAACCAATTTCAGTGGCAGCTTAGCCGATTTGTCTTAGAGCTTTGTGCTTAATAGAGTAACTGGGGAGACCTTCTTCATTTGTGGCTTTAACGGTTTCACATCCGGTTAAAGCCCTTTGCTGAAAATAAATGGCCAACCTGCTATGCTCCACCCCACCCCATTCGTGATACTGTAGCGGCCTTGCTGAAATCAAACACAATTTCATAATCTCTCCATTCTCTCCCTACACCACACCTACACGTTCTACTTGTTTATTTGTAAACCTGTCTTTTAACAATGCCATACTTTTTCAGCTTCACCAGCCTCCACCAAGACGGGACAAGCAGGGAGTTTATCCGGCAGCCCAAAGCCCTTCTCTCCTCAACTGTCAGCTCCTATCACGACGAAAACGGACAAAACCTCCACCACCGGCAGCATCCTGAATCTTAACCTGGGTCAGTCAGAATTTTTGCCAGTATCTTTCTGTGGCAACTGTGGATATTTTTGCAAATGACGTATCCTCTTGTGTATGTGGTTCTTGAACCTTCAACTCTTTTCTCTATGCAAAAAATGCAAAAGTTTCAGAGGATGAAGGTGAGAAAAGATCTGTGAAAAGAATAAGTAAGGGATTTCTTGGGGCTTATTGACATACAAATTACTTTTTTTTTTTTGAGATGGAGTTTCGCTCTTGTTGCCCAGGCTGGAGTGCAAGGGTGCGGTCTCGGCTCCCTGCAACCTCCGCCTCCTGGGTTGAAGTGATTCTCCTGCCTCAGCCTCCCGAGTAGCTAAGATTACAGGAGTATGCCACCACACCTGGCTAAGTTTTCTATTTTTAGTAGAGACAGAGTTTCACCATGTTGGCCAGGCTGGTCTCAAACCCCGACCTCAGGTGATCCACCCACCTCTGCCTCCAAAAGTAATGGGATGACGGGCATAAACCACCATGCCTGGCCCAAAGTGCTTTTATCCAGGCCAGTGTTTCCACCTCAGTTGTCCTTGACCACATTAACCCAGTTCTATTTGCAAATTATACCCATGGCACAGAAGCAAGTAGGAGGAATCAGTACTTACCTTTCCTATGTGCAGCATACTCTGATATTCCTTAATTCTCTTCTTCTAATTCTTACACTCTGGTCTTTATTCCCTGGATGATGATGATGATGATGATGATGATGATGATGATGATGATGATAACTGTTTTTTTAGAGATGGGGTCTCACTCTGTCACCCAGGCTGGAGTGCAGTGGTGTAATCATAGTTCACTGCAACCTTGAACTCCTGGGCTCAAGCTATTTCCTGCCTCACCCTCCCTGAGTAGCTAGGACTACAGGCCTAGCTAGTTTTTAGCTACATACTCAGCTAATTTTTTGTAGTGATTGGGTCTTGCTGTGTTGCCCAGGCTGGTCTTGAACTCTTGGCCTCAAGCAGTCCTCCCACTTTAGCCTCCCAAAGTGCTGAGATTACAGGCATAAGTCACTGCACCTGGCCCATTATTGATTCCTTATTATTATTATTTTTTTTGAGATGGAGTTTCGCTCTTGTTGCCCAGGCTGCAATGCAATGGCGTGATCTTGGCTCACTGCAAACTTCTGCTTCCCAGGTTCAAGTGATTCTCCTGCCTGAGCCTCCGAGTAGCTGGGATTACAGGCATGCACCACCACGCCTGGCTAATTTTGTATTTTTAGTAGAGATGAGGTTTCTCCATGTTGGTCAGGCTGGTCTCGAACTCCCAACCTAAGGTGATCTGCCTGCCTCAGCCTCCCAAAATGCTGGGATTACAGGCATGAGCCACTGTGCCCGGCTGCTGTTGATTCATTATTGATTGATTCATTGCATCCTCACCATTGATTTTTCTTGAACATCTATTATGTGCTGTGCACTATTCTAGGCATGGAAATAGAGTACAAAGCAAGTCAGCTAAGGACCTGCTCTTGTAGAGGCTGGGTTTTTAGAAAGATAGAGAAAATAATAAAGGCAAATAACAAGGCAGTTCACACCATGAGAGGCAGTTCACACCAAGATAGTTCACACCATGATGGATGTCTGGAAGGTAATGTGATGAGGCAAGAGATGGGCAAGTTGCGAAGCAGATGTCACAGTTCACTTAGGTGGAGGGGTTAAACGGGGCCTCTTTGAGAGGCGATATTTGAGCTGAAGTTTACGTGACAAGAAAAATCAGCCATGCCAGTGTCAGGAGGAAAAAGATTCTAGAAGGAATAAGAGATTTTAAAGGCTCTAGGGTTAGGATTAAGTTGGTGTGCTATAGGAGTAACTGGGTGTGTTGTAGGATTAGCAAGGAGGCCAGGGTGGCTGCATCCCAGTGAGTGAGGGTGAGGCCAGTCCGTGGAGTCGGAGACAGTACGGGGGCCTCGTAGACCCTGGTGTGGATGGAGGGTTCAGCGCAGGAGGGATGTGAATGGACTTCACATCTCAGAAGAAGCCCTCGGTGCTGTGTTTCAAATAGTCCATATCAGTCAACCATTCTCATCTGGGGGCAATTTTGTAACACTTCCCCACCCACTGGCAATGTTTGGAGACATTTTTGGTTGTCACACCTGGGGTTGGGGTGCTCCTGGCACCTAATGGAGGGAGGCCAGGGAGATACCACCCAACATCCTACAAAATGTAGAACAGGGCCCCCAACAGAGAATTTCTAGATTGTGTCAGTAATTGTGCTGACAGATCTGGGTATGGCAGGAGAAGCCAAGGGTCTAGTTTAGATTATGTAAATTTGAGCAGCTGTTACACCCCTAGGTGGAGAGGTCAATAGGGCAGCTGGAGGCAGGAATTAGGGTTCCCTGTGGCCAGGTTCAGGCAGGAGGTGTAATTCTGGGAATCTTGACGTGTACGTGGGATTGGGTTAGAGTGGTAGTTCTTGAAATGACTTTGAGGGGGTGATGGGGACACTGCTGGCATCTAATGATTGGTGGCCAGAGTTGCGCTAAACATCCCCCAGTGCATAGGACAGCCTCACTCAACAAAGACTCCAGCCCCATTGGCTTACTGAGGTTGCGAGTCAGGGGTAGAGCATTGAGCAGGAGTGAGGCCCCTGGGACATTGAGGATGTGGAGTTCTGGTTGAGGAGGAGAAGCAAGGGGTGGAGTAGCCACACCAGGGGAGTGTGTTGCCCTGGAGCCTCCAGTATGGGGGTTTCAGAAAGAGAGGGCGGCCACCTGTGCCCAGTGACGCTTAAGTGTGAATTCCACGCCTTTGGTGGTTGGCGCCCTCCAGGTCCATCTTGTCCTACAGTGCCATTTTCAGATGGAGAAACTGAGGGAGGTCTGGAGAGGAGGCATGGGGTGCCCAGGATCCCAGAGGCAGCAGGGCTGGAGCACAGCCTGGCTCCAATCCTGGCTCACCTGTGAGTACAGCCCTGATGTAATAGGATGGTCAGGGCAGTTGCTTTCGGGGCTCCCATTCAGACCAACCAGTTGGTTCCTCACTTGAGTGAAAAGGGACACACGTGCTTCCTTGGGAACATTCATTGTTCCCAAATCTGTGGTTTGCTTTCTCACACCCTCCTTCCACCTCCACACCCTGAAAAGAAATGCTGTTTGGAGGCGTTCTCACGGTGACATTTCCTCTCTGCCAGTCATGCTTGTCAAGAATAGCTCTTTGCTGAAACTGGGTGGTCATTGGGCTTCCTCGTGACACTGTGGGTCTTTCAGTTTGGCTTGATCTGTTGTGGGAGTGAAAGGTTTCTTCCTGTTGTGTGTCTTGGTGGGTGGGCATGGTGGTGGGTGAGCACCAGGGGAACCGAGGCCCTCTTGTGTCTCCCCTGGCAGCTCTTCCGGTTCAGGACACATTTCTTATCTTCGTCAGCAGGAACAAGAGCATTGGGAATGTGGGCGTTTTGTGGGCTGGGATTGCAATGACCTAACGGGAAGAGGATCAGCTAGGGACCGATGGAAGTGCCGTGGGTGGGGAGGAGATCAGAACAAGCAGGGCAATGTTAAGGAATTCTCCAGTGACTGCCCAGGGACTGAACAAATGCTTTATAGGGCTTGATTCTGTCTGTCAGCCGTGGAACGACTTTCCCCAGACAGGGACAATGAAAGGGAGCACCCTGGATAATGATGAAGTTATTGTAGCTAACAAAACAGGATTTCCTTAAAAAATATATCAGAAAAGGCAGAATTACAGAGATGGGGAACAGATGAGTGATAGCTGGGGGTTGGAGTGCAGGAGGGTTTGCCTACACATTGGGAGGGAACTCTTCGGGAGATGGACCTGCTCTGTGTTTTGGTTGTGGTGGTGGTTACAGGAATCTATGCAGGTGTTACGACTCATAGGACTGTATTCTCCCAAAAGTGAATTTTGCTGTCTGTAAATTAAAACTTTTTAAAAATTACAACAACCTTTAAAGTAGGTAATATCTATGTTTCACAGAAGTGTAAACTGGGGCACAGAGAAGCAAGTTACCTACCCAAGGATCAACCATGGTTTGTGGTAGAGTTTGGCCTTCAGGCCCAGGCCTGTCTGCTGCAAAGCTTGAGCTCTTAGCTGAGATACCTGAATGTCTCCTGTGCCTATTGGATACGTCAGCTTTTTTGGGGGTCAGGGGGTAAGGTGAAGTTTTGAAATTTGTAAAGGATGTGGCTCTTGCCAGCTTAACCCACATTGTCGGACTGAATTGTCAGGAAAAACAGAACTCTAGATTATTACAGGAACTCTCCTAGTTTTTAAAAGCTGACAATCAATTTCATTAAAAACAAAAACTGGCTAGGCTTGGTGGCTTATGTCTGTAATTCCCGCACGTTGGGAGGCTGAGGCAGGAGGATTGCTTGAGCCCAGGAGTTCAAGGTTGCAGTGAGCTATGATTGCATCACTGCACTCCAGCCTGGGTGAGAGAGTGAGACCCTGTGGTACAAAAACAAAAACAAAACCCCAAAACTCTATTTGGGCCAGACAAACACATACAACCAACAATACAAAAATAGTCCATAGGTTGTCAGTTTTTATTTATACTATACTGTAATTATATTATACTGTTACACTATAATTAAGAATATATGGTATATAAGTATATGGCATTTTAGTATATGTATGTGTGTATATGGTATATGTATGTATATTGGGTATATGGTATGAGTATATGTATGTGTGTATATGGTATGACAGTATATGGTATATGGGTATATTTGAGTATATGTATGTGTGTATGGTATATGATGAGTATATGGTATATGGGTATGTTTGTATATTGGGTATATGTGAGTATATGTATGTGTGTGTATGGTATATAAGTATGTATGTGTGTGTTGTATTTGCGTGTGTGTATATGGTGAGCATATAGTATATGGGTATATATTTGTGTGTGTATGGCATATGAGTATATGGTAAATGTGTATATGGTATGTGAGTATATGGTATTTGTGTGTATGTATGTGTGTATATGGTGAGTGTATGTGTATTTGTGTATATGGCATATGAGTATATGTATATGTGGTATATGAGTATATGGTATTTGTGTGTGTGTATGGTATATGACTATATGGTATAAGATGGGAAGGTTTGTACAGAGACCTGGTTCTTGCCCAGGTTGCTAATTCACTGTTTCCCCTCATTTGCTGTCTGGGGCCTTTCCTCTCCTCACTAAAAAACAAGGAGCTGAGCCCAGTGGATTATTACGAGCCCCCTGTATGACTCAGCAGTGATTATAAATAAGTCATAAATAGGAATGAGTTTCTGAGACTAGAAGAGAAGAGGTGGGCCCGGTCCTTTTCTTCTTCCAGACTCCTGTTTGCTTTCTCTGATGATCCCATCTCCTCTTATTTCACAGAGGGTGTTTACTTTGAGCTGAAGAAACTCAGCAGTCAGTAGTCCTGTTAGTGACAGAAATGCGCCTTGATGCTCTGTTGAAAATGCAGGCAGGGCCAGGGAACGTCGTCACACCCCGAGACTTTCTGTTTATTTCTCCACTGTTAATGACAGGAGGCATCCTTTCTTTTTGTGCATAAAGCGGTATCTTGGAAGTCGGGCTTTCTTTGAGAGCATACATGGAGTGCCTGGGCCCAGATTTTTCAGATGTTGTCTTGATTTTCTTTAGAGTGAATGAGGTGGGGAAGATCTCTGTTTGGCTTTGACTGAAAGATAGTGTCTGCCAGGGTCTCTCTCTTTTTTGAGATGGAGTCTTGCTCTGTCGCCCACGCTGGAGTGCAGTGGCGCGATCTCGGCTCACTGTAAGCTCCGCCTCCTGGGTTCACACCATTCTCCTGCCTCAGCCTCCCAAGTAGCTGGGACTACAGGTGCCCGCCACCATGCCTGGCTAATTTTTTGTATTTTTTAGTAGAGACAGGGTTTCACTGTGTTAGCCAGGATGGTCTCAATCTCCTGACCTCGTGATCCACTCGCCTCGGCCTCCCAAAGTGCTGGGATTACAGGCGTGAGCCACTGTGCCCGGCCTCTCTTTTTTTAAAAAATAATATAGAGACAGGGTCTCGCTATGTTTCCCAGGCTGGTCTCAAACTTCTGGCCTCAAGCAGTCCTCCTGCCTCAGCCTCCCAAAGTGCTGGGATTACAGGCATGAGCCACCATGCCTGGCCAGCTAGGGTCTTTTGTCTAAGTGATATTGCTCCCTTGAAGGAACTGACATTTTGTAGTTCCTGGAAGTCCATCCATTGTAGTTTGCGTTCAGCTTTAGAACAAAAATCTGTCTTTTTTTTTTTTGAGACAGAGCTTTGCTCTTGTTGCCCAGGCTGGAGTGCAATGGTACAATCTCGGCTCTCTGCAACCTCCACCTCCTGGGTTCGGGTGATTCTCCTGCCTCAGCCTCCCAAGCAGCTGAGATAACAGGCATACGCCACCATGCCCGGCTAATTTTTTGTATTTAGTAGAGATAGGGTTTCACCATGTTGGCCAGGCTGGTCTCGAACTCCTGACCTCAGTATATGGTGTGTGTGTGTGTATATATATATACATACAAATATATATATATACGGTATATATATATACACATACAAATATATATATATACCGTATATATATATATATATATATATATATATATATATATATATACACACATACACGGTATATATATATATATATATACACACACACACATACACCATATACATATACTGAGTATATGTATATGGTATATATATACTGAGTATATGTATATGGTGTGTATATATATATATATACACACACACACACACACACACACACACACACACTGAGTATATGTATATGGTGTGTATATATATCCACCATATGCATATGTATATGTATATGGTGGATATATATATTTATATCTCCACCTCGGCTTCCCAAAGTGGTGGGATTACAGGTGTGAGCTACCACGCCCGGCCCTGTCTCTCTTTTTTTAAATGGAAAAAGAAGTTCTTAAATTTTTCTTTTATAGAGTTTGTTTTTATAAGTAATGAGTACATATGGTAACAAAAATTTCAAAGCACAGGACATTTCATGAAAGGCCAGCGTGTCTGTAACCTCCAACCACCTGTCTCTATACCCCTGTTCCTGCACGTCACCACTGTTGCAAGTTTTTAGTTTCTAGAGCCCTTCTAGATATATAGCATGAGTTCTGAATGGTTTTTGTCTCCCAGGTGACATTTGGCAGTGTCTGGAGATATTTTTATGTTTTATTTATTTTTTTGAGATGGAGCGTCGCTCTGTTTGCCCAGGCTGGTGTGCAGTGGCATGATCTGGCTCTCCGCAACCTTTGCCTGACTCCGCCTCCTGAGTAGCTGGGATTACAGGCGCGCGCCACTACGTCCGGCTAATTTTTGTATTTTTAGTAGAGATGGGGTTTTAGTAGAGACGGGGTTTCACCGTGTTGGCCAGGCTTGTCTCAAACTCCTGACCTCGAGTGATCTGCCCACCTCAGCCTCCCAAAATGCTGGGATTGCAGGCATGAGGCACTGCGCCTGGCCTGGAGATATTTTTATTGTCACAACTGGTGTGTAGGTGCTAATAGCATCTAGGGGGTAGAGGCCAGGGTGCTGCTGAACATCCTACAACACACGGGACAGCCCCTCCACCCCACCCCACCCCCACCACAAAGACTTATCCAGGACCCAAATATCAATAGTGCCACTGTTGAGAAACCCTGAGAATATATAGCCTTCCCAGCGATTTTCCATTTCCTTCTTGGCTCCCCTACAGCAGTGCTAAGGTGCTCCACCAGTCTTTGCTTTTTCATGAAACAGGTTGGCTTTTCATATCAACACACAGAAATCGGCCTTCATTTCATTTTAGCAGCTGTATTTAATTCCATTTAAAGGTAAACTGTAACATTTATTCAGGCGCCTTACTTACTGACGCTACGCTTCTTTCCATTTTTGCTATTGAAGACAACTGCAATGAAGAACCCTTTTGCCCACGTGGGAGGGTAATCCATAGGATAAATTCCTAGAAGTGGAATTGAGCATCAGAGGCCACATGCGGCGACATTTTGAGAGGTATCGCCCAACTGCCCTCTAAAGAGGTGGTTCTGATTTATGCTCCCTCCAGAAATGTAAGATCGTGCCTTTTTCTCTAGCGTGAGTATTTTTCATCCCTGGTTTCCATTTATAGCCTAAGCTGTCTTCATATCAGCTGAAAAGTTCAAAATGTTGGCAGCAAGGGTGGATTCTGAAGATATTCCCGATATAGAAGGGCAGGGGTGGAAGAAGTCCCGATAAGCTACATGAGCTAAATGAGAAAGTGAAGCTGTTTTCTCTCTGCGGAGGAGGGGGGAGTCAAATGCAGCTGCAGGTTTGGATAAAGATCATTACATTCGGCTAAACTCCTGAAGGTCAGCTTCCAGGGCCTGGGCCCAGCCCCTAGCCATTTGGTGGTTTATTCTAACAAGAATAAACATAACAGCAGCTTACTGACCAGAGAAACCTCAGTTTGTAAAATGAGGGAATTTACCTTCTTTGCATTTTTCTTGATTATGAACATTCCAGTGCTCAGTCTTTTTAGGCTAAAGTTAATGGGTCGCATTTACTGTAGCCATACGTGTAGACACGCAGGTGCACACACAGAGCTCAGTTATTCAGGTGAGGTCTAGGTCTCTTTTTATGGACCCTAAGGTTTAGAAAGGTTGTCCTGTTAACACACACACAGGAGTTAAGGCAAATAGTGAGTTTTCTTTACTCACATAGAAGATTGGTCTGATACAGGGGTTCTCAGCCTTAGCTGCCAATTAGGATCACCTGGCAAGTTTATTGTTGGTGTGGTTTTTTTTTTTTTTTTTTGAGATGGAGTCTCATTCTGTTGCCCAGGCTGGAGTGCAGTGGTGTGATCTCGGCTCACTGCAGGCTCCTCCTCCTGGGTTCAAGTGATTCTCTTGCCTCAGCTTCCGAAGCAGCTGGGATTACAGGCAGGTGCCATCATGCCTGGCTAATTTTTGTATATTTAGTAGAGATGGCATTTCACCATGTTGGTCAGGTTGGTCTTGAACTCCTGACCTCAGGTGCTCCACCTGCTTTGGCCTCCTAAAGTGCTGGGGTTACAGGCATGAGCCACTGCGCTCGACCTCCTGGCAAGTTTGTAAAAGGCTGATGCCCAGGCCTTCCCCTCAGCCAATTGAGTCAGAGTCTCTGAGGATGGGGCTCAGGCCTCAGGATTTTCTAAAACTTTACAGGCAATTTTGGTGTGCAGCCAGGGTTGGCAGTCACTGGACTAGTATAGAAGATGGCAGATTTTACGGCTTTCAGGCCAAATCTGGCCCCCACCTGTGTTTGCAAATAAAGTTTACTGGAACACATCCACACCCATCTGTTTATGTAGTGTTCATGGCTGCTTTTGCAACAGAGCCTGTATGGCCTGCAAAGCCTGAAATATTTACTCTCTGGGCTTTTATTTTATTTTTTGAGATAAGGTCTGGCTCTTTTGCCCAGTCTGGAGTGCAGTGGCCTGATCTCGGCTCACTGCAACCTCTGCCTCCTGGGCTCAAGCGATCCTCCCACCTTAGCCTCCTGAGTAGCTGGGATTACAGGCGTGTGCCACCATGCCTGGCTAATTTTCATATTTTTAGTAGAGACAGGGTTTCACCATGTTGCCCAGGCTGGTCTCAAATGTGAGCTCAAGGGAACTGCCCACCTCAGCCTCCCAATTGCAGGGATTACAAGTGTGAGCCACTGTTCCCGGTCCTCTCCAGGCTTTTACAAAGAAAGTTTGTTGGTCTCTTTTGTAAATTTTTTCGTTAACTGTGTATTCTAGTAGTATATAGGAATATTGAGGACACTGATGAATGTGTCACTTGGGTAGCCATGGAGAGTATTTTTGTGAGTATACGTTTCCATCTTTATTCTTGAAAAGGCTGGCTTTTCCCTCTGGAATCTAGCATGCTTCTTCATTTCTGAAAGTGGAAATTCCGAGGGAGGCCTCAAATCCCTCCCCCTTTGCTGTCACATTTGCATGCAACTCAGCTGTTAAGTCCTTGAGTCCTGCCTACTGGAACTCTTTAATCTGGGCTTTTTTTTTTTTTTTTTTTTTTTGAGACAGAGTCTTGCTCTGTCGCCCAGGCTGGAGTGTAGTGGTGCGATCTCGCTCACTGCAACCTTCGCCTCCTGGGTTCAAGTGTTCTCCTGCCTCAGCCTCCTGAGTACCGGGGATTACAGGCACCCACCACCATGCCTGGCTAATTTTTTTATTTTTAGTAGAGACGGGATTTCACCATGTTAGCCAGGCGGATCTTGAACCCCCGACCTCAAGTGATCCTCCCGCCTTGGCCTTCCACAGTGCTGGATTACAGGCGTGAACTGCTGCGCCCGGCATTTCTCTTTTCTTTCTTTCTTTTTTTTTTTAAATAAACTTTTAATTTAAAAGTAAACTTTAGTGTCAAAAATGCAAACTCGGGGAGGGCAGAAAGATCACACACAAGGCTGCCACTTTACACCTGGAGGCTTGCATGGCGGCCAGACAGAGGTGCTCCTCACTTCCCAGATGGTGCGGGGCGGGGCAGAGGCGCTCCTCACTTCCCAGACGGTGCGGCGGCCGGGCAGAGATGCACTCCTTGCTTCCCAGATGGTGGGGCGACTGGGCAGAGGCGCTCCTCCCTTTTCTTTTAGTGTTCCCCATTCCTTATTTTTAAAATTATTTTACCCTATAATTTCTCTTTGTTAAGCTACTTCAGATTTCTTGCCGGACAGAGACGGGTATAAAGAGTTTTCTAGTTCTTTGTCCAGTAAATTTTTTTTTTTTTTGGAGACAGGATCTTGCTCACCCAGGCTGGAGTGCAGTGACGCAATCATGGCTCACTGCAGCCTCAAACTCCTGGGCTCAAGCAGTCCTCCTACTTCGGCCTCCCAAGTAGCTAGGTTTACAGGCGTGCACCACCAAGCCCAGCTACTTTTTGTATTTTTTGTAGAGATGGGGGTCTTGCTATGTTGCCCAGCCTGGTCTCGAACTCCTGGCCTCAAGCAATCCTCCTGCCTCTGCCTCCGAAAGTGCTGGGAGAGGTGTGAATCACTGTGCCTGGCCCCACTGCAGTAAATTTGCACATTCTTCACCCTCTCAGAGGTGGCTGTGTGAATGTCTGCAGTCCTGTCTCTAGTAGCCTGTCTTTAAAGCCCTGATAAGTGTGCACACACACATGCATGCACACAGATACTGTTTTTGCTATTTTTCTTGAATTACAGGGATAGTGTCTCTGCTTGCTTTGAGCACTCACTTCTGGAATCTCCCTGGGTCTGGGAGGGGCAGTCTGTAAGTGTGATTTAGGAAAAGACCCATCTCTTCCCTCCTTTTTTTTCCTTCAAAAAAAAAAAGTCTTGCTCTGTCTCCCAGTCTAGAGTGCAGTGGCGTGATCATAGCTCAGTACAGCCACTAACTCCTGGCTCAAGCCATTCTCCTGCCTCAGCCTCCTGAGTAGCTGGGACTACAGGTGCATTCCACCACACCTGGCTGGGAAAAGACCTCTTTCTAATCTTATCCTGGGGGCTGATAAAATTAAGTTGGAGCAATTTATTGCTTCTGGTCACCTGTGAGTGGATTGGGTGGGGCTTTTGGGAGGCTGCTTCTAGTTACTTTGAAGGAGCTGATTTCTGGGTATGCAGTGTTTGAGAACTCTCCCTTACTGCATGAACAGGAAAGTGGTTGGGTCAGGCCAAAGGAAAAAGGTAGGAGAGAGTGATGGCTTTAAACAGTGCTTCCAGCCCAGCTCTCAGACTAGATTCTGGGGCCTCTTTCACAGCCCAATGAATGGAGGTGGCCTGAGGTATGGAGGGAGCAGGGAGATGAAGCACGAAGTCCAGGGAGCAACCTGATAGCTGTTGGGAACAGGCTCAGAGGTGGCTTCTCCTCTTTGTGGGTTGATTGGATTCCACCTGCTTTCTGACTTATTTTTTGGGATCGGCCGGAGTAGGACAGATGCCTCACACTCGCTTTGGGTGGGTTGGAGGGGATGCCAGAGGGTGGCAGGCACAGTGGAGGACAGTAGGCCCCACCTGCAGAGTTGCTTGTTGCTTTCTGGACCTTTGCAGCCACTGAAACTCTTAATATTTTGGGGGCACTGGAGTCGGTGGGAGAGGAATCCAAGAAATGTAAGCTCACTGACTTTGGAATCTGTCCTGCTGGTCCTACAAAGAGCCCTCGAAGAAGTGAGGGGACAGGACCTCCGGCCTGAGTCACCCCCCAGAGGCCTCTGCCTGGGAACTAGGCTGAGGACCTTGGACTCTTACTTGAGCGAGACCTGTTAGACAGAGGTTGAGTATCCAGGGCTAATCTGTTCCCCTTGCCTCACATAGATGCTGTGAGCCACAACACACTGGCTGGAAGGTCTGCCTATCTTATATTCCCTGCCCTTTCTAGTTTCCACCCCAGACTAGGTCCACTGAGAATGAAAAATGAAGCCTCTGTGGCAAATAGGCATTTAGGGCCCCCAATTATCAGGGTGTTTTCGAGGGGGTCGCCATCTTTCTTGGATACAAGTCCTCTTCAATCTGGACCTGAAGTTACAAGTACACCTTGACCAGGCTCAGTGTTGCTTTGTTCACTGAAATTGAGATTGAATATCTGCCCATAACCTTTGTCTTTGGAGGGTCCCTAATGATGTTGACTTCCACACACTGAGCCATCTGGCTGGGATTGTCCATTTTAAATATTGAAAGTCACCCAGACGATTGTTCAGTGGACTGTTTAAACCTGCCAAACGTGTTCACGTGGGCCATTATCTTCATGTCACCCCATTTGGTTGAGCAGATGATATTGTTGGGATGAATGACAAAAAAAGTATCTCCCCCTCCCCCATGTTCTAAAATGTGTGTTTTGCTCTGACTTTGCAAGGACGAAGCTCCGTGATGAGGATGGTGTGTGCCTGATCTTACGAGGGTGTGATGGTTTCTTTCAGATCGAAGCAAAGCTGAGATGGATTTGAAGGAGCTGAGCGAGTCGGTCCAGCAACAGTCCACCCCTGTTCCTCTCATCTCTCCCAAGCGCCAGATTCGTAGCAGGTTCCAGCTGAATCTTGACAAGACCATAGAGAGTTGCAAAGCACAATTAGGTATACCTTTGGTTTTGTTTTTTTTTTCCAGCAGTATCATTGTTATCATTACTGGTAGGGATACCACCTGGATGAAATCAAGGTTGAATCCTGGCTGCTTTTAGCAGCTGCTTTAACTTTCAACTATTTGCTCAGCTAAAATATATTTCCACTCATGGCAAAAGACTTCAGACTTGCTAGTTAATTCAGGGCTTTTTGAACTCATCAGTTTATTCTTTGGTGAAAGCAGTCTGGAAACTCGAGATACAGGTTTGAATCATCAAGGTTTGCAAGCAGAATGAGGATCCTCTGAGTTTTGCCTCTGCTCTCCTCAGTACGCATCAGTGTCTCCACACGAGTAGTGAGTGTGTTCTGTAGGTGTCCGACACGAAACCCTTTCCCTCCAGACTGGTCTCCTCCCCACCGGGCAAACCCTGCTTCTGTAGCTGTTGCCTTTCTTCCTCTTCCCTGTGCTGCCTGCCTTCACACTGCCTACCTGAATCCTGCCTTCTGTGAGGCTGAGCTCAGATCTCACCTCCTCCAGGAAGTCTCCCCTGACTGCCCTCCCCATCTGCCCTCCTCCTTTGGTACTTCATTGCTCGGAAGTAGCAATGGTCCCTTTGTGTGGGGGTGTCCCTCCCAATCTAGACTGGAAGCTCCTTGAGGGCAGGGAGGCCGTTTTATGAGGATTTGCCTTCTCTATGGTACTTGGTCTGTGCACATGGTAGATGCTCTGGAATGTTTGTTGAATAAGTAAGTAAAGCTAGGAGGGCATTTGTAAAGAAGTGGGGGATGGCTGGGCCTCTGGAGAGCAAGCTCCTCTGAGTGTCAGTGGGTGCTCTGCATCTTCAGGTGAGAAAGCAGCTAGAGTTAGGGACCCATCTGGGGCTATCCAGAGGACAACAGCTCCCGTTGGGTTGCCTGTTTGGTGAGGACATTGGGTGGCATGGGTGAAATTTGGCATGCCATTTAAATAATCCTCTTGGGTCCTTCCATGCAGCTGGCCCAACTCTTGATTTGTTTTTATTGCTAATAAGAATTTTATTATTTCCATTTACTGAGTGTTTCCTTGGACACTATGCTAAGCACTGCATATAGATTGTCTTGGGAGGTTGATACTTTTATCAGTCCCATTTTGCGGATAGAGAAACTGAGGCTCAGAGAGATAAATAACTTGTTCAGGGTCACACCAGTAATAAAAACAGAAAAGCAGGATTTGAATTCATGTCCTTTGGACTGCAGTACCCAAGCTTTTCCTATCACATATGTGCTTACACTTTTCCTTCTTGTTTCCAATCATTACCTACCAGTAGCACAAGCCTAGGATCCCAGAATTATACCAGATCTGGGTGTTTGTATTTTGGCTTGTGTTCTTCCTGTGTTGCCCTGGCTAGCCTTGAACTCCTGGGTTCAAGCAGTTCTTCTGCCTCAGCCTCCTGAGTAGCTGGGACCACAGGTGTGCACCACCATGCCTGGCTCGACTTGTGTTTTTGATTGAGCCCTGGTGGAGGCAGATACATTCCCCAATGATCCAGCTGATCCCCCATGCCCCGGGCTGTTCATGGCTCTGGTATTTTTGCAGGTTTCTTTTTGGTGTATACAAGTCGGACAGTGGCACCATTCACAGTGGCCATTGCTCTAGAATGAAGAGATTGCACAGACTTGATTGGGTTTTCTTTCCTCTTTCTAAAAGTTTAGGATATGGTATTATTATCTACAGTATGATGGCATAACATATGGTTGGGGGCAGGAGCCGTAAATGGGTTAAATGGAACTATTGTTAGAAATGTGCTTCTGCCCATTTTTGTTTGTGTGTATGAAACACCTGCTAGTTTGTGCTTCTTCCTTTTGAAAGAGACAGAAGTATGTGACTTCTCTCTTGACTCCTTTACCAGTGGAAGAGCAATGCACACCGAGTGGCAGTTGACTTTCCACGAGTGCAGGGAACAAGAGGGAGGGCTGGGCACCCGGGTCACCTGGAGACAAGTGTGTCCCCCGCCTAGAGGAGCCAGTGGCTTTCCTGTTCCAGCCAATGCCTGGCAGGCTGGTGACCCAGAGCGGCTAGATTTTCCGCTCTTTCATCAGAAGCCCCTGCTTTGATTTCTATATGAAATTTCCTGATTTGTGAGTTGGACAACACATTTATAAATTAAAAGCAGACAAGATACCCTGTGGGCCAAACCAGTGCCTCTCGCATGAAACATGTCTGCAAGCTAGATGTGGCTTGTGGGCTGTTTGCAACCTCTGCTTTAAGGCTTTGGCTTATTTTCTTTGGCCTAGACACAAAGGATCAAGAACTTTAACCCTTTGGAAACCCAAGGGAAGAGTGTTGGTGGGGAGCCAGGAACCCGGGGTTCTGGCCTGGCCTCTGTCTTGTGTCCTAGGGCAGGTGATATCCCTGGGCCTCTGTTTTCTAATCTGTAAATTGGATCAGTTTGAACAGCTTGTCCCTGCTGTTCCCTTCCAGCCCTCTTCATTCTCAATAATCCCAATTAGTTATCAACGTTGCAAAAATTTGGCACCACATGTTTAGTGCCATATAAATTTAAAATCTCCGTTGGTAGGTCCTGTGTCTCCTAACAACCAAAACCCTCTCCCAAGGCAAGTACCACTTGGCAGCCGTAGCCAGTTGCCACTTGAGATTATTACTGGCCCCATTTAGGCCAATGTGATGCGATTTGAAACGTGCTTTTCTTATTCCAGCATTTGGTGTGGAAAAATGTTTGCATTTTTCATCCTGCTCTTTATTTTGTGACTACGCCACATGCTGGGTTTTCTTTTTGAATTTAGGCATAAATGAAATCTCGGAAGATGTCTATACGGCCGTAGAGCACAGCGATTCGGAGGATTCTGAGAAGTCAGATAGTAGCGATAGTGAGTATATCAGTGATGATGAGCAGAAGTCTAAGAACGAGCCAGAAGACACAGAGGACAAAGAAGGTTGTCAGATGGACAAAGAGCCATCTGCTGTTAAAAAAAAGCCCAAGCCTACAAACCCAGTGGAGATTAAAGAGGAGCTGAAAAGCACGTCACCAGCCAGCGAGAAGGCAGACCCTGGAGCAGTCAAGGACAAGGCCAGCCCTGAGCCTGAGAAGGACTTTTCCGAAAAGGCAAAACCTTCACCTCACCCCATAAAGGATAAACTGAAGGGAAAAGATGAGACGGATTCCCCAACAGTCCATTTGGGCCTGGACTCTGATTCAGAGAGCGAACTTGTCATAGATTTAGGAGAAGACCATTCTGGGCGGGAGGGTCGAAAAAATAAGAAGGAACCCAAAGAACCATCTCCCAAACAGGATGGTAAGTGATTGTATCTGTTTCCAGTTTTCTTAATTTGGTTTAGAATCCTACCTCGTACACTTACTATCAAAAGTTATGTGACCCTTAAAGAAACAAATCAGAAGTTATGTGACCCTCTAACACACTGAGAGAGAGGCACAGTGAAGCTGTGTTTGGTTTAAGGTTGCCTAGCTAGTCATAGAACAGGACCTGGACTCAAACATGGGCCTGCCTACCTTTAACCTGCTCGGTATCCAGTATGATTGATTTTGAGTACAGAAAGAGAAGTCTGTTAGAAAATGATGGTTACTTTTAGTGACCAAGTCATTTTTAGTCTGAGCAGCTTCTTTTCCAATATGCTCATTTATTTCCCCAAAGTGTTTGTTAACATTTGGATCTTGTCAAATGGTCCTTCAGTGCTGCATTCCACAGACATCTCATTCTCTTTTGACAAGTCTCAAACGGTTAGGAGTGTTCATTTCAAGCTGGGCATGGTGGCTCACGCCTGTAATCCCAGCACTTGGGGAGGCCGAGGCGGGTGGATCATTTGAGGTCAGGAGTTCAAAACCAGCTTGACCTACATAGTGAAACCCTGTCTCTACTAAAATACAAAAATTAGCGGGGCGTGGTAGCAGGCGCCTGTAATCCCAGCTACTCGTGAGGCGGAGGCAGGATAATCGCTTGAACCCAGGAGGCGGAGGTTGCAGTGAGCTGAGATTGCGCCACTGCACTCCAGTGTGGGTGGCAGAGCAAGACTCCCTCTCTAAAAAAAAAGCAGTGTTCATTTCAAAGGTTTTGATGATTTCAGCTTTGCTTTCCTCCCCTCATGCCACCTAGGCATCTCCAAGTGTATTTTCTTACAGTAGTAGGACAGTATTTGGGTGATTGGTGCCAGAATACTGAGTGCTTCTTAGGGCACTAGAAAATGGAGTATGGTGGATATGTGTATTGGCTTTTTTGGGGAGGGGGGGCGGACAGAATTTGGCTCTTGTCGCCCAGGCTGGAGTACAATGGTACAATCTCGGCTGACTGCAACCTCCGCCTCCCGGGTTCAAGTGATTCTCCTCCCTCAGCCTCCCAAGTAACTGGGATTACAGGCACCTGCCACCACGCCTGGCTAATTTTTGTATTTTTAGTAGAAACAGGGTTTCACCATGTTGGCCAGGCTGGTCTCAAACTCCTGACCTCAGGTGAGCCACCCAGCTCGGCCTCCTAAAGTGCTGGGATTACAGGCATGAGCTACTGCGTCTGGCCTTACTGGCTTTTAATCTTATTTGCATTTAACTTAGCTCAGAGTTTCACAACCTTGCACTTCTGACAGTTTGCCCTGGCTAATTCTTAGTCCTGTGTATTGGAGGATGTTTTCCAGCATCCCTGGCCTCTACCAGCCAGATGGCAACCTTACTTGCTCAGTTGTGGCAGTCACAAATGTGGCAATCAAATATTGCCAAATATCCCCTGAGTCTCAGAGGCTACGGTTATATTCTGAACCAGCAGTGACTACCCCACAGCCTAGTGCAGCCTGGGCATGTTAACAAGCCCAACAAAAGGGGTGTGGGAATGATTGGAAGGATGTCCTTCCCACTGACAAAGTATTCAGCACATTTTTGAGTTGGCTTGGCAATTAGGTTAGAGGATTCAACATGCTCAATAAAGATACTGAAGAATTAACTAAGGGCCCAGAAGAAACATTGCCCCAGGACAAATTACAGGTTGTAGCCATAAAACCTTATGTATGTGGCGAGTGACTTAAGGGATAGCCAGGTTTAAATCTTGACTGTGCCTAACTTCTATCAGGAGCTAACTTGTCAATGAAACCCTTGAATAAGATGTAACTCCATGTCCTTTGGGGTTTCCATTGTCTGGTGGCTTAAAGCAAGTCAGGGATGGGCCTTGAGAATCTTTCTGCTGTGGTTATGGTCAACCTGGGCTGCTCTGGAACCTCAGCTGTCAGAGTGAGAGAGGATTCCTGCAGTTCAGCTAAAGAGAATGTCTGTGAGAGGTACAGTGGAGGAAGAGAGAGATACAGTTACATAAGGGAGGGAGGATAGGCCATCAAACCATCCCGACCCATCTGTTAGATTTATAGATGGCCTCTGAAAAATATGAGTATGTTATGGATTGGGTTTTGAGAGACTGTCTCTGTTGTTGCAGAGAACAATAGGAGTAGCATTTATTTCATGAGGATCGTAGGAATATTTGGGTGCAGATGGCAGTGCTCCTATGAGTGACATATTTATACTGTTCTTTCTTTCTGGAACAGATCTTTTGATTGATTGGTTTTGTGCCCCTACCTCTTCCAGAAAGAATTTGCAACAGATTGACAAGGATACATAACCATATGAAACAAGATGAAAATAAAGACATCCATGTAAAAGGAAAATGAAGGTAGAATAGCAAGTGGTCTGGGGAAAGGTTTTATACAGAAATCTGTACTATTTCAATCTTCAGAGTTAGGGAAGTTGGCTCTGAAAGCAGAATGGGAAACACAGTACCTTAGAAGATCTCATACTTTCCAAAAAAACAAAAAACCATTCTAGTTGATTAAAAGAAGTAGAACTTTTCCTCACATTGATGTCTGAAGGGAATTTCTCCAGGAAGCTTTAGTAGATGGTGGACAATTAAGCTGAAGATGATTCTAAAACACAGTTCAGTTAGAGCAGCTTCCTAAGGCTTGGGGCAAAACCAATTGATCTTAAATTCAGAGCTGATGGTGGTTTGGGTCTTGAAAAATTCTCGTGTCAGACTCCGCTAGAGAGCATCTTTTCAATGATGTGTTTTCACTTAAGAGTTTAGTAAGTGAAGGGCATTTTGGATTGCGCTGTTGTGACCTCCAGCTTACCTTCCACTAGGGATGCAGCTTATGGGTAGAATATGAATCTTCAGATGGCAAAACAGCTTTTATAGCTAATAACCTCAGAACAGAAGCAAAGAGAGCACACTTAGACTCTTCGCTGTGCTTTCACTGGCACATCAGTAATTTCCATCCTTCTACAAAGGGGATGCTAATTTTTCTCTTAAAAAGTCCTTGCTTTATAAATGAAAAACAGTGACCAGTGACAAATTCAGGAATTAAGTAGGTTAATTTGATAGGGCAGCTTCTCAGGTGCTGACCCTTTAAAAAAAAATTCACCCTTTTTTTCCCGCTACAGGTGATTGATTATGTACTCCAGATTTCTGGGACAAATGAAATTTCCTGTAGCCTCATTTTGTCTCCATAAACCATCAGGATTCCTGGAAATTTAAATATTTTGATATCTAAATAACTTCAAACAATTTTGAGCCTGGAATCTTATCGGATTGTATACTCTAGTTCTTTATTTGGCAGAGAGCCAGCTGTGATCACTGCAGAGCAGTAACCCCTCCGCCCTGCTGGCTGTTTGCTTTTGCAAATCAGGAGAGAGAAAACGACCATTTTGCGGTTGCCCTTACGGTGGGGAGACAGGCTAGCTCATCAACAATAACAGTATATTTTTTGGTAATGTGGCAGGAAAGGAAGGCATTGAAGGCACTTACGTGGGTTAGAAGCTCTGCTAAGGCACTGCCCCCTGCCCTCCTCTTAGAAGGGCCCAGTTCAACACCTCATCTCCACCTGGAAGAGGCGGGGACTGTGCCCCATATCTGGCAGGTGGCCCTGGAAGCATCGGAGTTCTTCACTGCAGGAAGCTCTCCTTCCAGACCCACCCCAGGCTCTTGCTGACCAGCTTGGCTGGATTCTCCTCTCTGGGGAAGTACAAGGGCCAGCAACATCTCGATAACCATCGAGAACGCCCTCTGAAGTCGGGATAGTCAGCTTGTCTCTTTCCCTCCTTGGCTTCTTAAAACCCACAGCTTACTGAATGAAAATCCTTGCTGGAGTAATCAGGCTCATGTCTTTTTCTGGGTAATACTGATCTTAAAAAGACAGACATAGGCCGGGCGCAGCGGCTCACGCCTGTAATCCCAGCACTTTGGGAGGCCGAGGCGGGTGGATCACAAGGTCAGGAGATTGAGACCATCCTGGCTAACACAGTGAAACCCCGCCTCTACTGAGAATACAAAAAATGAGCTGGGCATGGTGGCGGGCACCTGTAGTCCCAGCTACTCGGGAGGCTAAGGCAGGAGAATGGTGTGAACCCAGGAGGCGGAGCTTGCAGTGAGCCGAGATCGCGCCACTGCACTCCAGCCTGGGTGACAGAGCAAGACTCCATCTCAAAAAAAAAAAAAAAAGAAAAGAAAAAGAGGCAGACATAATCCTTATTTAAAGGAGTTTGATGTCAGGGAGCATAGTCCAAGATCGGGGTGCTGGCTTGTACCTGGGTGTGGTGTGTGTTCCCCAGATATCCTCTCTGGGGCATAGGCTCACCTTACCGGGGGCTGAGGCCTGTGCATCCATAACTGAGCCACCTTTACAAATGAGCTCCCGTGTGGTCATCGCCTCTACGTGCTGCTCAGTGCTTCTGGCTCTAACCTCCCTTCCAGCCCCTCCTCCCTGCCTGCCCTCACTTACTCAAATGCTCTGTATTCCTAGACATATCTTGGCTGATGCTGTTCCCTCCAGATTCTCACTTTCCGCCTGTTGAAATCCTACCCTTTATTCCCCACCAGCCCAGCTCCTCCAAGATGACATACTCCATATGGCAGCGTTTTTCAAACTTGAGTCATTCACATTCATTGTCTTTCCCGTTCTCAAGTCCTGCTTGTATAATTTTTGACTTTTTTTATTTAAAGAATCTTTTTTTTTTTTTTTTTTTTGAGACGGAGTCTCGCCCTGTCACCCAGGCTGGAGTGCAATGGGGCGATTTCGGCTCACTGCAACCTCTGCCTCATGGGTTCAAGCGATTCTCCTGCCTCAGCCTCCCAAGTAGCTGGGATTATAGGCACACACCACCATGCCCGGCTAATTTTTTGTATCTTTAGTAGAGATGGGGTTTCACCATGTTGGCCAGACTGGTTTCGAACTCCTGACTTCGTGATCTGCCCGCCTCGGCCTCCCAAAGTGCTGGGATTACAGGCGTGAGCCACTGCACCCGGCCAAGAATCTCATTCTTTAAAAATAAAATTAAGCTCATTTAAAGCGGGACACAGTAGCACGTCCCGTGTAGTCCCAGCTATTCGGGAGGCTGAAGTGGCTTGCTTGAGCCCAGCCGGGGTGATATAGCAAAACTCTATCTCTTTAAAACATAAAATAAAATAGGCCGGGCACGTTGGCTCACGCCTGTAATTCCAGCACTTTAGGAGGCCAAGGCGGATGGATCATGAGGTCAGGAGTTCAAGACCAGCCTGGGCAAGATGGCGAAACCCCGTCTCTGCTGAAAATAAAAAAAATTAGCTGGGTGCGGTGGCAGGCGCCTGTAATCCCACGTAGTCGGGAGGCTGAGGCAGGAGAATCGCTTGAACTCAGAGGGCGGAGGTTGCAGTGAGCCAAGTTTGTGCCACTGCACTCCACCCTGGGTGACAGAGTGAGAATCCATCTCAATAAATAAATAAAATAAACTCATTTTATTTACTTTTCATTTATTATTATTATTATTTTGAGACGGAGTCTCACCCTGTCACCCAGGCTGGAGTGCAATGGCATGGTCTCGGCTCCCTGCAACCTCCACGTCCCGGGTTCAAGCGATTCTTCTGCCTCAGCCTCTTGAGTAGCTGGGACTACAGGCGCCTGCCACCGCACCCGGCTATTTTTGTATTTTCGGTAGAGACGGGGTTTCACTATGTTGGCCAGGCTGCTCTTGAACTCCTGACCACAAGTGATCCGCCCACCTCAGCCTCCTAAAGTGTTGGGATTACAGGCGTGAGCCACTGCGCCCGGCCTATTAGTAATATTTTTTGAGACGGAGTCTCACTCACTCTTTCTCACAGACCGGAGTGCAGTGGCGCGATCTCGGCTCACTGCAACTTCCGCCTCCTGGGTTCAAGGAATTCTCCTGCCTCAGTTTCCCACCACGTCTGGCTAATTTTTTTGTATTTTTAATAGAGACGGGGTTTCCCCATGTTGGTCAGGCTGGTCTCAAAATCCTGACCTCAAGTGATCCGCCTGCCTCAGCCTCCCGAAGTGCTGGGATTACAGGCGTGAGCCACCGTGCTTGGCCTCATTTTTTTAGTAAAAAAATTTCCCCTGAAAAAAGCATCTGCAAGTATAAACTCATTTTAGACTTGAACACCACCCAATAAGAACAGTAGCACACAGTATACATAAAAGCTGGTGATAGGAATAAATCCAATCAAAACCAAAGCAATGCTACTCAATCCTAGATCAGTACCATTGCGTTGGGGGAAGGTTCTGGCCTTGGGGCAGAATTTGTTTTCCTGGTATTGTCCTGGCTATCAGTACCGCCTTCAAACTTTGTCCTGGAGGGAATCAGAAGAGATGAAAAGAATACTTTTCTTTCTGGGTGACTGAGTGTTACTGCTTTGGCCATTGGGAGGCCATCTGGCTCTTTGGAGGTATTGCTTTCTACGTTCCCTAGCCAAAGAATTGCTCTTCCTGTCTGGATTGACTTCCGCTGGGCCCTTCTCAAGGTGCCGACTAGATTTTAACTTTGCGAAAAGGGCGTGAACATTGAATCTGTTCGCCCACCGCATTGTCCACTAGGTGTAGGGGAGCTTGAGCGCAGGAGCCGGGTCTTGTTTGCCTCATTCTCCCCTAGAGGTCTTGACTTGTATCTCAGATGTGGGCCGGCGCTCAGTAAAGGAGGCCGCTGCTCGCGGAGATGGAAGACGCCGCAGAAGTGGCCTCAGCGTTAGGTGAGAATGTACTCCTCCAGCGCGGTGTGCTTGGCACGTCGAATTGGTTCGGCATTCCTGGCTTTCATAGGTTTTACCCAGAACTTGGTGGCGTCAAGACCGTGCAGGTGAACCTGAGTGAAATCCGGTTTTTGTTTGTTTTTTCTTCATGCATTGGCTAGTTGTAGGTAAAACTCCACCATCCACGACGGTGGGCAGCCATTCTCCCCCGGAAACACCGGTGCTCACCCGCTCTTCCGCCCAAACTTCCGCGGCTGGCGCCACAGCCACCACCAGCACGTCCTCCACGGTCACCGTCACGGCCCCGGCCCCCGCCGCCACAGGAAGCCCAGTGAAAAAGCAGAGGCCGCTTTTACCGAAGGAGACTGCCCCGGCCGTGCAGCGGGTCGTGTGGAACTCATCAAGTAAGTTTCAAACGTCCTCCCAAAAGTGGCACATGCAGAAGATGCAGCGTCAGCAGCAGCAGCAGCAGCAGCAAAACCAGCAGCAGCAGCCTCAGTCTTCCCAGGGGACGAGATATCAGACCAGACAGGCTGTGAAAGGTACCGAGCCTCCCCTTCTGTTCTCCGTGGCGCCCGCTCCCATTTTGCCACATCGACAGGAGAAAGTCATTGCTCTTTTATTTTTTTTTTTTAGTTCTCGTTTGTTTCCGGGCCATTGTATCTTGAAGGCCTTGCACATTCCATTTGGCATTATTTTTAAAAATTGTTTTGCTACTTGCTTTTTTACTTTCAAAAAGTTTTTTTTGTTCATTTTATAAATGATACATGCATATATTCTCCTTAAAAAGGGGGCAGAAAGTTTTACATAAAAGTCTGTTATCCCGTTTACCTTCCATTTCATTCTCTTCCCTTCCACAGTGGCCAGTATCAACCGTTGTAAAAGCTTTTCTATGCATGTATGCATGTATATGTATATATACATATCTGTATGTATATATGTGCGCATCATGTATATGATGCCATAAAATTAGTCCTTTTTCCCCCCTTTTTTTCTTTTTTAAAACATAAAAATGGTACCATACTTGCTTTTTTCCCCCACCCATCAGCATGTTTTGGAGGTCCATCCACATCAGCACATACAGCCCTGCCTTGTTCTTTTGGACTGCTGCATAGTATTTCATAGTTTATTTAAAGCATTCCTCTACTAATGGGCATTTAGGTTGCTTTCAGTTTTTTTTCTACTGTGAGCAGTGCTGCAATGAATATCTTTGTATAAATTTCCTTGTGCACATGAGGGAACCTCTTGGAGTTATTTTGGAAAAAGTACAGTGCGAGAAGTTGATAGCGAAGGTTACCTTAGTAACTGGAGATTCGTCACACACACAAGATGAGCCAGCCTCAAGAACCACTTGCTGAAGTTGCAGAATCAGAACTCCCACCAGTCCTGCAGGAGGCTCCATCTGGAGCTGAAATTAGGCCAAACACAGTGCTGATCTGACTGGTTGGTACCAGTTTGCCTGGCTTTTGTGAGCATTGATGTAGATCTTTCTACCAGGAAACCTGCATCTAGATCCTCAAAGGCTGGGTTCTTCAACTGAAACTCATAGTGAATGCGCCCCTGTGAGGGGGGCTCATGAGCAGCAGAATGTGAGGTTGAAAGGTGGCCAGGTCTTGAATTGGCCCCCAGTGAAACCCTTCACAGATGGCGAGGGAGTGGGTCCTGAAGAATTGGCCAGGCAAAATTGAGAGTACAGTTGGATTAATCTTGCTATTTAAAAAGTTGGTGGGGCAAAGCCGAGTCTAGGATATTTGAGATTGGGATTGCGGCTTCCTGTCTTCTGTCTTCATATCTCATAAGCAGGAGACTTCCCCAGGGGAGTTTAATTGCTACCAAGAAGAGGGTCGGGCGTGGTGGCTCACACCTGTAATCCCAGCACTTTGGGAGGCCAAGGCAGGCAGATCACTTGAGGCCAGGAGTTCAAGACCAGCCCAGTCAACATGGTGAAACCCCATCTCTACTAAAATGGAAAAAAAAAAAAAAAGCAAAAAACTAGCCGGGCATGATGGCACATGCCCGTAACCCTGGCTACTCAGGAGGGAGGCATGAGAATCCCTTGAACCTCAGAGGTAGAGGTTGCAGTGAGCTAAGATTGCACCACTGCACTCCAGCCTGGGCGACAGAGTGAGACTGTCAAAAAAAAAAAAAAGAGCGCTGCCAAAAAGTGGCTCATTGCTTCAGATTGTCTTACGCCAAAGTAAAGCCTAGTTAAAGGGGTAAAGACCAATTTAAATTGGTAATATGCTACTGTAATAGGGGCAAGAGTCTAGCATAAGCTGAAATTAACTTTGATTTGTACAGGGGTGACTGGACATTTTAAAGGGAGAATGAGGGAGTAGGGATGGGAGCGAGTTGGGCCTCAGTAGAGTCAGGGAAGTTAAACATCTTGATTTGCTAACGGGCACTTCATGAAGTTGGGCCCCTACTCTCCCATAGACACTGGGATGCTGAGGTCCTGTCTTCAGGTGTTGGCTGGAACAAAACTGTCAGTTCTTTTGCCAGCATTGAGTTTTCCCAGGCAGTCGCTTTAAGAGGGGGTTGGGGTCATCCTAGCATGCACTCTTGAGCTCTTAGAAACTGTCAATGTTTGCTCAAGTCTTTCCAGGCCAAGGTTAGGGCCTAGTTGAGAAACCTGGATAGAGTTTGGTCAAGGGGAGCATCTTTGTCATTTAAAAGTAGAAAAGCTCTCAGGATGTCTATTAGGGGCTTTGCTTCTACACCACAGCTTTGTGCTGGGATGGGTCCTTCCCACGTGGGGTAATCAGGATGCTTTGCCTTCCTAGCTGTCCAGCAGAAGGAGATCACACAGAGCCCATCCACGTCCACCATCACCCTGGTGACCAGCACACAGTCATCGCCCCTGGTCACCAGCTCGGGGTCCATGAGCACCCTTGTGTCCTCAGTCAACGCTGACCTGCCCATCGCCACTGCCTCAGCTGATGTCGCCGCTGATATTGCCAAGTACACTAGCAAAGTGAGTGGATGGGAGAGCTACCGTGGAGATGGCAGACACCTG
This sequence comes from Homo sapiens, assembly GCF_000001405.40. Classification (NCBI taxonomy): domain Eukaryota; kingdom Metazoa; phylum Chordata; class Mammalia; order Primates; family Hominidae; genus Homo; species Homo sapiens. The sequence continues at coordinate 47,236,283 of NC_000020.11, read as the reverse complement.
GCAGGATGCCAGAATCTTGGTCTCCCGAGGGGAAGCGTGAGCGTCTTAACCTTGCAGTCTTTAGGGAGTGAAGACCCTTTTTTTTAAAAACAGAATCTCCAAGACCACGTTCTTTAATTTGGGTCTAACAGAGAAATGTAGAATGGACTGAATCTTACTCCAAGTGGGCTTAGATTCTAAAGTCAGTTCATAAAGTGCAAATGACATAATCAGAATTACCTTCGAGAATTCAAGTCACTCATTAAGGCACTGGAACACATGACTGATCCTTCAGTGAACAGCTGACCAGGGGTTTGGTTTGCATTTAGAGCTTTGCATGTGGAGCAGAAGTGACAGAGACTTAAACATGAGACTGGCAAGGTGAGATGCCCACACTTTGATTTTTCCAGGAATCAAGATGGATGGGGAGGGGGACCAAGGGGACTCCCTCTCCCCTGTCTCCTGCCCTCTGGGGCACAGTCCCCATTAAGTGGCATGGTGGGCAGGATTGCCTGTTGTTGGTGAACTCATGGGAACTGTCTCAGCACAGGCCCCTTCTTTTTTTCTCTTAAGTTGCCAAGTGCTTTTTTTTTTTTTTGAGATGGAGTCTCACTCTGTTCCCCAGGCTGGAGTGCAGTGACACAATCTCGTCTCACTGCAACCTCCGCCTCCTGGGTTCAAGCAATTCTCCTGCCTCAGCCTCCCAAGTAGCTGGGACTACAGGCACGCGCCACCATGCCTGGCTAATCTTTGTATTTTTTTAGTAGAGATGGGGTTTCGCCATGTCGACCAGGCTGGTCTCAAACTCCTGACCTCGGGTGATCCACCCACCTCGGCCTCTCAAAGTGCTGGGATTACAGGTGTGAGCCACCAGGCCCGGCCTGCCAAGTGCTTTTATGGTCACTGTTGAATTCAGGTAGATACCATCTGCAGTTCTCAGCGTCATGTGAGAGTGCGCTGGACTGATGTGCTGTGTATCTTGTCATTAGACCACGGTGGTAATAATAACCACCAGAATGTCAGGTCCACAAAGGCAGGAATTTTTGTCTGTTTTGCTCACTGCCAAGGCCTAGAACAATGCCTGGCATGTAGTAAGTGCTTGACCCATAGTTGGGCTTTGTTTTTATTGGCTTCAATTATTATCAATAACTTAATAATAGCTATTGATTTATAATCTACTGAGATTAGTTAGTAAATTACTAAGTAGTTAATAATTTATTCTTTACTGATGAGTAGATTACTAATACTGATGAGTAAACAGTTCTAGTTTTTAGAATGGATGAAAATAATTGAGGATGGTTGTTTCTAGAATTCTTTCTTTTTAAAAAATGCAAACAGGGTCTCATTTTGTTGCCCAGGCTGGTCTCAAACTCCTGGCCTCAAGTGATCTTCCTGCCTAGTCCTCCCAAAGTGTTGGGATTACAGGTGTGAGCCACCACACCCAGCCTGTTTCTAAAATTCTTATAGTCTTAATAATAAAGAGTTAGCTTTATTATATTGAGTTAAGGGAAGAGGAATCTTTTAAAATTCTGAGTGGTGAGAGAAATATATATGAATTTTTTTTTTTACACAAATGAGTTTTCATTGGTCATGTTTCTTTTTATTTCTTCTGTGTAGGTGTAATTGTTATCTATTGCTGCAGAACAAATTACCACAAAACTTAGCAGCTTTAAACAGCACACACCTTTATTATCCTACAGTGTGTGTGGGTCAGGAATCTGGGCATGGCTCCACGGGGCTCTCCGCTTCAGGATCTCTTGCAGTTGCAGTCATGGTGTCTGCAAGGGTTTGGGACTCACACAAAGGCTCAACTGGGAAAGGATCCACTCTCAAGGTCATTTAGGTGGTGGCAGGCAAGATTCACTTCTTGAGGGCAAGTGGCCTGGGCCACCCTCAGTTCCCTGCCATGTGGGCCTCCCCAGCATGGCAGCTTGCTTCATCAAAATCAGCAATGGAGGCTGGGCATGGTGGCTCACACCTGTAATCCCAGCACTTTGGGAGGCTGAGGTGGGTGGATTGCATGAGCTCAGGAGTTCAGGACCAGCCTGGGCAACATCGTGAAACCCCATCTCTACCAAAATACAAAAAATCAGCCTGGCATGATGGCATGCGCCTGTAGTCCCAGCTACTTAGGAGGCTGGTACACGAGACTTGCTTGAACCTGGGAGGTGGAGGTTGCAGTGAGCCGAGATCTTGCCACTGCACTCCAGCCTGGGCTACAAAGCGAAACTGTCTCAAAAGCCAGCAATGGAGAGAGCCTGCTGGCAAGATGGAAGTGACAGGCTTACTTAGGCCAGTCACAGAAGTGACACCTCATTACGTTTGCTGTATTCCATTGGGTAGAAGCAAGTTGCTAGGTCAGAGGGAGGGGATTACAGATGGGCACAAAATATTAGTAGGTTGGGATCATCGGGAGCCCACTTAGAGTTTGCCTACCACATAAGGTAGCAATATGTCTGCATAGCATTTACTCTAGGCTAGATGCTGTCCTAAGCACTTTTTGTATGTTACTTACTCAGTCTTCTTGACAAATTGATGAAGTGTAGGTACTGTTATCACCCCAATTTTATAGATGAGAAAACTGAAGCCCGGTGAGGTTACACAGTGTGTCTAGGGTCACAAGCTAGTGAATGGCAAAGCTGGACTTTGAATGATAGCAGCCAGGCCCTAGAGAGTGTGCACTTAACCTGGCTTTGAACTGCTTTGTGCATTTCAAACAAGCCTGCTGACCACAAATGTTCATGGTCCACAAACTGTTGCCACATGACTTTTATAAGCAACTCCTCTTAGGATTCAGTGTGGCTGTTTGAGCCAGTGGCTGTAACCGCAGCACTTTGGGAGGCTCAAGTGGGAGGATCCCTTGAGGCCAGGAGTTTAAGACCAGCCTGAGCAACACACTGAGATCTTGTCTTTACAAATAAAAAAAAATTAGCTGGGCCTGGTGGCACATGCCGGTAGTCTCAGCTATTCGGGAGGCTGAGATGGGAGGATTACTTGAGCCCAGAAGTTTGAAGCTGCAGTGAGCTGTGATTGCACCATTGCACTCCAGCCTGGGTGGACAGAGCAGGACCCTGTCTCAAAAAAAAAAAAAAAAAAAAAGCCTGGTGCGGTGTCTCACACCTGGAATCCTAGCACTTCGGGAGGCCCAGGCGGGTGGATTGCCTGAGGTCAGGAGTTCGAGACTAGCCTGGCCAACATGGCAGAACCCCGTCTCTACTAAAAATACAAAAATTGGCCCGGTGTGGTAGCAGGCACCTATAATCCCAGCTACTCAGGAGGCTGAAGCAGGAGAATTGCTTGAACCCAGGGGATGGACGTTGCAGTGAGCTGAGATTGCGCCACTTCACTCCAGCCTGGGGGACAGAGCGAAACTCCTCTGTCTCAAAAAAAAAAAAAAACAAAAAAAACAAAAAAAAACATGGGGGAGGTTGTCATGAAAGTGTTAAAGGCATAACAGCACCAAACTGAGACTTCTTGCTGAAGCAATCTGTAGGATTATTAGAGAATTGAAAGCGGGTAATTTTTTCGTTAGTGATATAAGTAGGTGTCTGGTTTTGCCTGAATGATCTCTTGTTCTACCTTCGGTTGTCCTTACATCACCTTCCCTTGATTTAGTCCCAGCTGTTTGCTTATGAATGGGAAAGCTGAGGCCTACTGAGTGGGTCTGATTAGTGGTTTGCAGGAAGGCTGTTTTCTCAGCTCCTGCAGCCATTTTAATTTTGTTACCTTCTGCATCCCCTTTGTTCTTTAAAAAATTACTAAAAGAAATTTTTTTTTTTTAGAGTTGGGGTCTAACCCTGGTGCCCAGGCTGGCCACTCCTGGGTTCAAGCGACCCTCCCACCTTGGCTTCCCCAGGTAGCTGGGTCTTCAGGACCCCAGCTCCCCTTGACACTTTTGGCAAAACTTTATTTATTTATTTATTTATTTATTTATTTTTGAGACAAGGTCTCACTCTTAGCTGGAGTGCAGCAGTGTAATCTCAGCTCCCTGCAAACTCTTCCTCCCAGATTCAAGCGATTCTCTCGCCTCACCTTCCCAAGTAGGTGGGATTACAGGTGCCCTGACCACCACACCTGGCTAATTTTTGTATTTTTGGTAGAGACGGGGTTTCACCACATTGGCCAGGCTGGTCTCGAACTCCTGACCTCAGGTGATTCGCCTGCCTCTGCCTCCCAAAAGTGCTGGGATTATAGGCGTGAGCCACTGTGCCTGTCCAGGAATGACTTTTTTGATAAGTGTTTTCTTTGAAGTTAAAAAAAATGAACACAGTGACATTTTTTGGGAGCTGATGAACTTTTCCTGTCTCTGAGTTGACCTGGAGTGGAAGACGCAGTTCTGTGTGTTTTGGCAAAGTGGTGTTCTTTACCGATGTTGAAGTCTTTGCTATATTTGGAAGTTAAGAGTAAAAGGCAGTCCATGAATGCATGATATCTTTGAAGTGGAATGTGACCATTACATTAGCAATGTATTGAATTTCACCCACTTTTTAAAGTTTTCTTGTAAAGCCATTTAGTTGTAATTTTTAAAATGGACACAGTGGGTGCAACAGAGCAAGGAGGCAAGTGCAGGAGGGCTGCAAAGCCGTGGAAAGCGCAGAGTGTTTTTGCTGGCAACGGCCTGGTGTGGGCTCCGCAGCAAGCCGGGAGCGGAAATCTCAACAGAGATTTTATTCATTTTACTCCATTTTGGGGTGAATTTGGGCCTACTATTTTGGGGTTTGGCAGCAATTACGCAATTGCATACTTACATGAATTTCTTTTTCTTTAAAAATAAGATGAATGGGTATTTCTTTATGAACACCTACTCCGTGGCAGGTAACGAGCTGCAGTGTTTGCGTGGTTTTTTTCATTTAATCCTCGTGCACACCCTACCGGGGCGGCATGCAGTTCTTGTTTTTTTGTGGGGAAACCGAGGCTTAGAGGCAGTGCATAGTGAGGCATCAGATAGGAGGCTGCTCTTTGTCCCGCCTTCTCCCTGAATTGGGGCATCTAGAAAGCACTGGAGAGACTCAGCACCAGTCAAGCCAGGCCTGAGACAGAGCCTGATCTCTTGTCCCCTCCTCTTTCTGCTGTAATGGGGGAAGAGTCAGCTGGCAGGTGGGAGGTAGAAGAGAAATTCATCCTATTAACATAGTCAGCAAATCCCTGGGTGCCTGCTGCAGGGACCTTAGCTGATGTCACCAACTGGCTGATGCCTTCAGGGGTCAGATAGTTAAAGATGGGAAATGAACCGCAAAGACAGTGTCCTGACTGAAGGCATTAAAATGACAAACCAGCCATATCTGTAAAATGGACTATAAAAAGGAATGAAGTTCCGCTGCCTGCTGCAGCACGGATGCGCGAGTCACAGAGGACCTTGAGTTGTGTGATTCCATTTATATGACATGTCCAGACTGAGCAAATGTGGAGAGACAGAAGGCAGATCAGTGGTTGTCAGGCGCTGGGGGAGCGGGGGATGGGATACCAGGAGGTGAAGACTAAGGCCGGGGGAGTGGGATTTTCTTTTTGGGGTAATGAAAATGTTGTGAAATGATTGTGGTGACAGATACACAACTCTGAGGTACTAAAAGCCATTGAATTGTATACTTTAAATGAATGAATGGTATAGTATATGCATATACCTCAATAAAGCGGTGCTGGTTTTTTGACGGGAAATAATGAAAACCAAAACAAAGTAATCCTTCTCTCGAACCTACTGTGCTGGGCAAATAAAAGACATCTGGGGGTCAGGCACAGTGGCTTCAGCACTTTGGGAGGCCGAGGTGGGTGGATTACTTGAGGTCGGGAGTTCAAGACCAGCCTGACCAACATGGTGAAACCCCGTCTCTACTAAAAATAGAAAAAAAATTAGCTGGGTGTGGTGGTGTGCGCTTGTAATCCCAACTACTTGGGAGGCTGAGGCAGGAGAATCGCCTGAACCTGGAGGCGGAGGTAGCAGTGAGCCAAGATCACGCCCCTGCACTCCAGTCTGGGCAACAGAGTGAGGCTCCATCTTAAAAAAAAAAAAACAACAAAAAAAACACCACACATCTGGGGGCCAAATTTGGCCTCTCCGGTTTCAGCCAAACTGTAGTATGGAAACTAGCTTTATGTGGGTATGGAAACTAGCTTTATGGTTATGAAGTGGCACCACAATGCGATCCATGAAATTTGTTGGAAATTTTTACCCCATTAATGCTGGGGTTTCTTAACCTCAGTGCTAGTGACATTTTGGGCTCGTAGGTCATTGTTTTTTGTGTGGGGTCCTTCCGTGCCTTTAGCATGGTTCAGGTAGGAAGTTTAGCAGTGTCCCTGCCTCGACCCTCTAGATGCCAGTAGCAGCTCCTTCTCCTTGCTCCTGCACCTGTCATGGCAACCAGAAATGCCCAGTGTCTCATGCGGGACAAAATTGCCCTAAGTTGAGAACCTCTGCTTTATACAGATAGATTTTAAGTATTTGTCACCAGGAAAAGCCTCCAAGAAGTGATCAGCTGAATTGTTTCTGTTTTTATCTTTCAGATGATGGATGCAATAAAAGGAACAATGACAGAAATATACAACGATCTTTCTAAAAACACTACTGGAAGCACAATAGCTGAGGTCAGAGATGACACATGAATTTCTTATTTGCTAAGAGTGTTTTGTGGGCTGCTTTAAAGGTGGTACCATGAAGAAGCTTCTCTGGAAACCCCTCTGGGGTCCTGGCTTGGTCACTAAGCTGGCTCTACTGATTGTCATTATCGATGGGGGTATTTTTTCCTTTAGCCAGACGGCTGGGGCTGTGGAGACATGCCCTGCTTTGTGTGATCAATTCATTTCTAATAAAACAGCCAAAATCAGAGCTTCAGTTAACCTACTGGTGAAACTGGACACCAGTTCTTTTTGCTTCATGTAAAACTGGCTCCTGAATCTTCTCTGGAAGTTTGGACTTTTTAATACAAGTGCTTCTTCTTGTTCAATAATTTGTGTACTGGAGTCTCCATAATTATGTGATTGTGTAGACAAGAAAGTGGTTAAGACATTTCATTGGCTGTGCATGTTGGCTGTAATCGCAGCGCTTTGGGAAGTTGTGGTAATCCCAGCGCTTTGGGAATCCTGAGGATTGCTTGAGGCCAGGAGTTTGAGACCAGCCTGCACAACATAGTGAAACCCCATTTCTACAAAAATTTTAAAAAAACAAGCAGGAGATGGTGGTGTGTTCCTGTAGGAAGCTAAGGCAGGAGGATTGCCTGAGCCCAGGAGTTTGAGGCTGCAGTAAGTTGTGATTGTGCCACTGTACTCTAGCCTGGGAGACAGAATGAGACCCTGTCTCTTAAGGAAAAAAAAAAAAATTAAGCTATCTACTTATAAAGCATCCGCTTTTAAAAATACACCTCCCTGAACTTCCCCTTTAGGCTAATTCCCTATCAGGGCTTGGAGAGTGGGCCACTTGCCGGCTGTCTGTGGATGGTACAATGTAGGCCAGATGCAAACGGGTTATCAGGTGAAATGACAAATGGCAGGACTTACAGAGGTCATTTAAGGTGACGTTGGGGAGCTGTGGGAATCCTTTGCAGAGCTATTGACCTTTTAGGACTTGGCAGCATTAGGCTGGTGCTCAGACGAAGAGGAGAAGATCTTCAGGAAGGCAACCTGGTGGTCCCTTCAACAGAAGACAATGTGAATACAAAGATTTAAGAGACCCAAGAAAAATCAATGAATCCCCTTGAATAGTTTTGCAAGTATGACCTTTATGATTATGCTTTGGACATCAAATAAGAAGGGAAAGAATAAGGCTTTAGAAACAGCTTCATTCTTGTTTGTATACGTTGTAAGAATTGGTGTGTGGTTGAAAATACAGGTTCATAATATCTCACCTGAAACCTGGGGTCTGGATGTATGCCAGAATTTTTTTTGGATTTTAGAGAGGTTATAATATGCAGTCCCCCACAATTAGAGACACCATTTCTGCAATGAAATGTGATTGTTCACACTACGTGAATTAATCAGGTTTTCTCGGCCTTAGCTATACTGACGTTTGAACCAGATAATTTCTGTTGTGGGGCTGCCCTGTGCATTCTAGGATGTTGAGCAGCATCCCTGTCAGCAACACTGCTCAATTGTGACAACCGCAAATGACTCCAGACATTCTCATGACAGGGGAGAGTACTCGAAATTGCCCCAGTTAAGAACTACTGCGATAATTAAACACTGTTTATTATTATTTTTTAAATTAAATTTTTTTTTTTTTTTTTGAGAAGAGTCTCGCTCTGTCACCCAGGTTGCAGCGCAGTGGCATGATCTTGGCTCACTGCAACCTCCGCCTCCCGGGTTCAAATGATTCTCATGCCTCAGCATCCCAAGTAGCTGGGATTACAGGCGTGCGCCGCCATGCCCGGTTAATTTTTGTATTTTTAGTAGAGATAGGGTTTCTCCATGTTGGCTAGGCTTGCCTTAAACTCCTGACCTCAGGTGATCTACCCACCTTGGCCTCCCAAAGTGCTAGCATTACAGGCGCGAGCCACCGCACCTGGCCAAAACACTGTTTAATTAGTTTCCTATCAGATCAGGTCGAGTTTGTTTGTTTATTTGCCCTTTCAAATGAGTTTGGATCCAAAGTTACACTTCCTCTGCCCAGAAATACCCTTTGGTTTTCAGAGATGTCAGGCTTTGGAATTTCAGGTGAATAAGTGTGGATCCCACCACCTAAATGTTATGTAAGAGTGAAAATCCAGCTATCTTTGTATTTGTTACGTATTTATAGACCAAAATCCTAAATAACCCTTAATATATTATTTATATGAAAGTCTGGTCCTTGTCACTTTAAGTGGCTTTCCCTCGTGCCAGTATTTCTTGGAATTGATGGCCTGTTTATACTTGGTTTTCTGAACCAGTGTTTCTGGTGAATTTGGGTTCACCCACCAGTGATCACCTCTCTGGACTATAGCTGTGGGAAGGTTAGCATGATTCCCATACCCCTCACAGCCAGCCGTGGTTGAGCTTCTGAGCCCTCCTGGTGAACTGCATGAGACAGCTTTTGAAGACGCTCACTCTCCCTCTTCCAGATTCGCAGGCTGAGGATCGAGATAGAGAAGCTCCAGTGGCTGCACCAGCAAGAGCTCTCCGAAATGAAACACAACTTAGGTAAGGCCTGACACACTGGTCTGGACTGAGGAGGGTTTTGGGTGTGAACTTCTTTGCACCTCTGGAGTCAAGCCGAGATGTGAGTGCAATTAAAGCTAGGCTAGGATTGTATGACTCGTAGGGAGACCACAGAATCCTGAGAGTCTGGGCCTGGAGAAACCAGGTGTAAGAGTGGGTGTTGGCGGGAGCCCCCCTTTCCTCTGTTCAGAACACCAGCCTCAACAATAAAATAATGAGGATTGGTCAGGCACGGCAGCTCACACCTGTAATTCCAGCGCTTTGGGAGGCCCAGATGGGAGGATCACCTGATTCCAGGAGTTCAAGACCAGCCTGGGTAATCTGGCGAAACCCTATCTCTACACAAAATTTTAAACCATTACCTGGGCCTGGTGGTGCGCTCCTGTGGTCCCAGCTTCTCGGGAGGCTGAGGAAGGAGGATCACTTGAGCCTGAGAAGTTAAGGCTGCAGTGCACTTAACTAATTTCATTACACAAACTGTTGTGATAAAGGGATCTGTTATATCCCTGGTTTTCCTTTCCTTTTTTTCACACTCCGCATGCGTGGACATATCCCCAGTTTTCAAGGGAAGAAACCGACGTGTTGAGGAAATTATTCAAAGTCACACGGCCACAGTTCAAGTCTGGGCACTCTTCACCCTGTTCATCATGGAATGCTAGGCACTTTAACAATATCTGGATGCTTCCTGTGCACTGCTCAGTGCGGAGAAAGATACTTTATTGGTCCCTGGATTAGATTGACAGATGTTTTGGCCTGTCGTTCTGTATAGTTAAGCTTTTCCCCAAAGGTAGAAGTGATTGCTTCAGCCCCTCACGTAGTATCAGATCAGATGGGCTGCTGGCAGCCAGGAGAACTCTTAGGTTGAGGACCCATGCCCAGGTGTGCCTACCTGCTCACTTGTGGTCAGCATCTAAGTCACACCTTGCAGACATGAATCCTTTCAGAGCCCCCTGGAGAGGAGCCCTTGGTTCATTCTTTCTGGACGCTGATTTGGGTGTTGTTGCTTCTCGTTTTCCTTTTTTTTTTTTTTTTTAAGACAGAGTCTCACTCTTGTTTCCCATGTTGGAGTACAGTGATGTAATCTCAGCTGACTGCAGCCTCTGCCTCCCAGGTTCAAGTGATTTTCATGCCTCAGCCTCCCGAGTAGCTGGGATTACAGGCATGCACCACCATGCCTGGCTAAGTTTTGTACTTTTAGTAGAGACGGGGTTTCAGCATGTTGGCCAGGCTAGTCTCAAACTCCTGGCCTCAAGCGATCCACCCACCTTAGCCTCCCAAAGTGCTGGGATTACAGATGTGATCCACTGCCCCTGCCACCACTTCTTGTTTTTCTAATAAAATCAGGGAATCTTACTTTCATAAAATCCTTTTCTTTTTATGTGTTGACTGCACATTTGAAAAAATTACCTGTGGGCTGGCCAAAACTTAGCTATGGTTTACAGACCCCTAGTTAAAGGTAGTTAGATTGACTCAAAGGTTCTGTCTGGCCACAGGTAGTTAACTTCTTTATGAGGGGTTAATTTTACTTTATAAAGTTCAGGAAGAGTATTTGAAGGAATTGAGGGACCATTCCCCTCCCATCCCCTCCTTCCCCTTCCTTCCCCTCCCTTCCCCTCCCTTCCCCTCCCTTGTCAATGGAGTTTCACTCTTGTTGTCCAGGCTGGAGTGCAATGGCATGATCTCGGTTCACTGAAACTTCTGCCTCCTGGGTTCAAGCAATTCTCCTGCCTCGGCCTCCCAAGTAGCTGGGATTACACCATCGCGCCTAGCTAATTTTTGTATTTTTAGCAGAGACAGGGTTTCACCATGTTGGCCAGGCTGGTCTCAAACTCCTGACCTCAGGTGATCCATCTGCCTCAGCCTCCCAAAGTGCTGGGATTACAGGCATGAGCCACTGCACTTGGCCTATTTTTCTTTTATTACAGCCAGCAGGTCACTCCTAAATGAATTACCAGTGGACTTAACTGTCTGAAGTAAAATTAGAGAAATCTTGGTAGACTGAGTAGGTTCATAGTTGTCCTGTTAGTATAATCATCAACCACAGTCCCATCTGGATCCAGTGCCACAGGAGACACCTACAAGAAAGCACGCCTGAGGTCTAGGCCCAGCTAGCTGTTTGCCTCGGTTTCCTCATCTGCGAAAGGGGTAGAATAGTAGTACTTACCCCGTAGGATTATTAGGATGAGGGTTATATGAGTTAATATTTATAAAGTTCTTAGAACAGTGCCTTCATGTAGTGGGTGCTGTATAGGTATTTGATTGATAGGGGGGAAAAGGCTTATGTTAATGAATAATAGGATAGAAAGTGAGTTTTGGTGGCAGTTGTTTCAAGGGTTACTTTGAGGAATTCCCAGAATGTAGTCTGGTGTGGAAAATCCTCTGGGGCTGCAGTTATGTCCATGCTGGGCACCTCATGTCCACTCTCAACAGGCAGCACCATCTGGTCACCATGATGAATGCCCTATTTACAGATGAAGACTCGGGCTAGGTTATTGCCCATGGGCACACAGCCAGGGCTTCTCCCAGCCAGGTCTTGCATCCACGTCTGCCTGAATCTGGGGGCAGGAATAACCCCACACCCCAGGCTGGGGTCAGGTGATGAGCGGTGTTCTTCCCCTCCTCCACCAGAGCTGACCATGGCGGAGATGCGGCAGAGCCTGGAGCAGGAGCGGGACCGGCTCATCGCCGAGGTGAAGAAGCAGCTGGAGTTGGAGAAGCAGCAGGCGGTGGATGAGACCAAGAAGAAGCAGTGGTGCGCCAACTGCAAGAAGGAGGCCATCTTTTACTGCTGTTGGAACACCAGCTACTGTGACTACCCCTGCCAGCAAGCCCACTGGCCTGAGCACATGAAGTCCTGCACCCAGTCAGGTAATGCCCTGTGGGGCTGCCTCCCGTCCTGGGCTGCAGTGGCTTGGCATTGGTCTCCCCTGTGGACTTCAGGGGTCTCAGGGCTAATTGTCAAGGGAGCTTGCCTGGCTTCTGGACACTTTCACTCAAAAACAATTGTGTCTTACACACAGGTGAGCAGTGTGCAGGCACATAGCTAAAACTTGAGCCATGGGCATTTTGAACCTTTGATCTTTGCAGAACCCTTGATCTCTTCTCAGGCCTAAAGTGTCAGTAGTACTGAAGTTGAGACACTGTGTTTTTTTTGGCAGTAATGGACTTGTGGCTTTAGATAATATGGATTCCCAATTTCTTTGTTAAGTAAAAAGTGTTAGTTTGGTACTAACCTATCTTTGACACTGCTGTAATATTTGTAATCACCCTTTCCAACATAGAACAAGCAGTCCCCAGGCCTAGAGCTTCCAGCAGGAAGCACTATCTAGTTAGAATTTATCCTTTTTTTTTTTTTTTTGAGACAGAGTTTCGCTCTTGTTGCCCAGGCTGGAGTGCAGTGGCGTGATCTCGGCTTAGTGCAACCTCTGCCTTCCGGGTTCAAGCGATTCTCCTGCCTCAGCCTCCCGAGTAGCTGGGATTACAGAAATATGCCACTATGCCCGGCTAATTTTTAGTATTTTTAGTAGAGATGGGGTTTCTCCATGTTGGTCAGGCTGGTCTTTAACTCCTGACCTCAGGTGATCCACCTACCTTGGCCTCCCAAAGTGCTGGGATTACAGGCGTGAGCCACAGCGCCTGGCATCAATAATATTTTATGAATTATTATTATTATTATTTTGAGACAGAGTTTTGCTCTTGTCCCCCAGGCTGGAGTGCAGTGACACGATCTCGGCTCACTGCAACCCTGCCTCCTGGCTTCCACTGATTCTCCTGCCTCAGCCTCCCAAGTGGCTGGTATTACAGGCACACATCACCATGCGCAGCTAATTTTTGTATTATTAGTAGAGACAGGGTTTCACCATGTTGGCCAGGCTGGTCTTGAACTCCTGACCTCAAGTGATCTGCCGGCCTCAGCCTCCCAAAGTACTGGGATTACAGGTGTGAGCCACCACGCCCAGCCTATAAGTTATTTTTTACCATTAGCTTTTATTTGTGGCAAATGATACTAGCTTTGTATGGTTGGAATTAAACACTTCCATTTTAAAGAATTTCAAGTGTCCCATAAATAATACAATAAAGTAGTATGTCTGCGGATTGGCAAAATTTGCAAAGGTGGTATGTAAATGACTCAAGTGTGAGAAGCTTGACCAGGGGTTGGTAAACTTTTTCTGTGAAGGGCGAGAGTGAATATTTTAGGCTTTGTACACCATGTGGTTTCTGTTGCTACTACTTAACTCTGCTGTTGCAGTGCAGAAGCAGTCTTAGATGATATGTAAATGGATGGACATAGATGATATATAAATGGATGGATGTGGCTGTCTGCCAATAAAACAGGCAGCACTAGCTTGCCAGCTCTTGCTCTAGACAAATCTGTTATTTTATTATTTTTTAAAAGGCAATATTGGAGAATACCTTGCCCTGTTCTTTAGTCTTTAGGGAGATGTCTTCTTTGTAGAGACTTTTGGTCTCTTACTGGAGTAAAGTCTCTTTGTGTTTTCCCTCCGTTCTGGAATGTGTCTGATGAGCCTTTTGCTGTTTTGCCAAGATGGCCAAAATGTCCTTCGGCTTTCCTTTTTTTGTGACATAATTACATCTGTTCTTCCTAAATTCCTCCCAGACGCGTTTTTCTTTTCCTTTTTTTTTTCGTTGAGACGGAGTCTCGCTCTTTCTCCCAGGCTGGAGTGCAACGGCGCGATCTCAGCTCACTGCAAGCTCCGCCTCCCGGGCTCATGCCATTCTCCTTCCTCAGCCTCCCTAGTAGCTGGGACTACAGGTGCCCGCCACCACGCCTGGCTAATTTTTTGTGTTTTTTAGTAGAGACAGGGTTTTACTGTGTTAGCCAGTATGGTCTTGATCTCCTGACCTCGTGATCTGCCCGCCTCAGCCTCCCAAAGTGCTGGGATTACAGGCATGAGCCGCCGCACCCGGCCCCAAACGCCCTGTTTTTCTATGTGTCCAAGTTTCTGCCATCTCCAGATTCTCTGGGCCTCTGATAGCATGTCGCCTTTCACGTGGTTTTCCTGTCCCACCTTAGAAGGAAGAAAGTCTCTGGGGCTAAAAATATAGGTCTCCACCTAGAAATGACTAAATAGAGTAACTAAATCAGCAGTTACAGGTTGGCTCTTGTTGATGGGCTTTATTTGTTCCAGGAATATACTTTCATCTCCAGAATGATTTAATAAAACTTGAATTGCTAACCATTAAAAATCAACATGTTGGCTAGGCACGGTGGCTCAAGCCTGTAATCCTAGCACTTTGGGAGGCCGAGGTGGGTGGATCACCTAAGGTCAGGAGTTCAATACCAGCTTGACCAACATGGTGAAACCCTGTCTCTACTAAAAATACAAAAAATTAGTCGGACATGGTGGTGTGCACCTGAGTCCCAGCTACTTGGTGGGCTGAGACAAGAGAATCACTTGAACCCAGGAGACAGAGGTTGCAGTGAGCTGAGATCGTGCCATTGCACTCCAGCCTGGCTGACAGAGCGAGACTCCATCTCAGCATGTTTATGTTAAAATTTGGAATTCTAAAGTTTGGAATTCCAGCTTCTGGAAAACTCTGGCAATCTGGCCCCCTTGAGCCTCCACTTTTATGCCCTGGGTAGGGCTGAGCCTTGGGTGCCACTGGGTGCAGGGCGGGGCTCCATGCATGTTTCAAAATCATCGTACTCTGTGTATATGTGGCGTCTCTCTCTCTCCTTTGTCCCCAGCTACTGCTCCTCAGCAGGAAGCGGATGCTGAGGTGAACACAGAAACACTAAATAAGTCCTCCCAGGGGAGCTCCTCGAGCACACAATCAGCACCTTCAGAAACGGCCAGCGCCTCCAAAGAGAAGGAGACGTCAGCTGAGAAAAGCAAGGAGAGTGGCTCGGTGAGGATCCCCCCATGCCTTTGGCTAGTGACATCTACCCTTTGTGCCAAGTGGACTTAGGACCCCCTGTCTGCCGCCCTGAAAGTTCCGTGTTGTGGGAGGCTTGTCCTAACAGTGTGCCGGCATTTCCAGTGGATGTGTGGGAACATGGAGCCTGGGCCGGCGTGTGTGGGACCTGGCAGCTGCTCCCCAGTACTCTCTGCTGGGGACCCTCAAAGTGTAGAATAGTGTTGCCCAGGAGAACTTTCTGCGATGATGGAAATGTTCTGTACTTCCCGTCCAGAATGGTAGCTGCTAGCTACATGCAGCTTTTGAGCACTTGAAATGCAGCTAGTGTGACCGAGGACCTGATTTTACAGTTTTATTTAATTTTAATTAATTGAGATTTCAGTAGCCACATGTGGCTAGTGGCTGCCCTATTGGGCCACGAAGGTTTCACCTCCTTGTTTGTTTGCCAGGGTGTGATGTATGTGACATTGATGGTATGCAAAGACTATTTTCATGAGTATATAGTTTTTTACATTTTTAGTCACTGTATATCTATTTCATTGCATATTAGGAAAAAGATAAATCGTTAGACTGTCAGTTAAAACATGTTGGTTTAACTGATAGTATTACCTAGTCAGAGGCTAGCATGAATTAAAAGCGGACTGACAGAATTTTGAAGTAATGTACTTTCTCCTTGGATATGGCAAAAATCTGGAGGGGGTTCTGTTAGTGAGTGGAGTTTAGGAAACAGTGAATGTTCTAGGGTACAGTGAGGGGCCACTCTGGTGCTGCGTTCCAGTCTGTTCAGTGTGGGAGATGGTACCTGGGGTTTGGCCACCTGGCCGCCCTGTGCCCATCACTCCCACCTGACCGTGCCAGGCAGAGGACACTGAGATGCTTTGGGGGCAGCGATGAGCACCCCCATGACTCCCTGGATTTCCCTGTGGGGGCGACAGTAGCCTCAGTGCCTTGAGTCCATCTTTTTCTTTTTGTATTTCTAGACCCTTGACCTTTCTGGCTCCAGAGAGACGCCCTCCTCCATTCTCTTAGGCTCCAACCAAGGCTCTGGTATGTTGCCCCCTGGTGGGCGAACGGTGCTTTCACATTTCAGATGGGCAGATGGGGAGCCATTTTGTCAGGGAGAATTTGAAGGGTTTATTCCAATGGTTTCCAAACGATTATGGATCCTTAGGGGTGCCTGGGGTGGGTCAGTGGGGGTGAGGGGGTAGCTGAGCATGTTAACTTTCAGGTACCTCTTCAAGCTGATCGGTATTACCTATTGTATTTACTGGGGATCCACATAAAACTCCATTTGGACAGAGGGTTCTGTTGCTGACCTGGGGTAGGGTAGAAGAAGTGCATTTGGATTGGGAAGTTTTTTTTTTCTCTCTCTCTCAGGGAAATGAGAACGGTAAATGACACTGTGTAAGATTTTATTCTGAGGTTCTGACACCTGCATATGGTGGATGAAGGCGCTCAAGCCTTTGAGAATTGAAGGCAGTGCTTAAGTGGATGATCTTTCTGTTAAATCCTTTCCTTTTGGAGAATAACCTGGCAGGCAGGTTTGGGGAAATTTCTGAGACTTGACATCTAGGTTTTTTCTTCTGTGGGGTTTGAGCTGTCTTCCTTCCTTAGCCCAAAGAATCTTTTTCCTGCACTTTCTTAAAGCAGTTTTGGGTCATTCCAGAAGGGTTCAGAGAAGGTGTCTTCCTGGTGGAAGACAGTTTTACTTCATTCAAGGTTTTTGCCTGGCACCACAGCTCCAGGACCTTTCTGCCTGATGATGATTTTTTTTTTTTTTTGAGACAGTCTTGCCCTGTCGCCCAGGCTGGAGTGCAGTAGTGTGATCTCAGCTCACTGCAACCTCCGCCTCCCAGGCTCAAGTGATTCTCCTGCCTCAGCCTCCCAAGTAGCTGGGACTACAGGGACGCACCACCATGCCTGGCTAATTTTTTAAAAAAATTTTGGTAGGCCGGGCGCAGTGGCTCATGCCTGTAATCCCAGCACTTTGGGAGGCTGAGGTGGGCGGATCACAAGGTCAGGAGTTTGAGACCAGCCTGACCAACATGGTGAAACCCTGTCTCTACTAAAAGTACAAAAATTAGCTGGGCGTGGTGACATGCGCCTGTAATCCCAGCTACTTGGGAGGCTGAGGCAGGAGAATCGCTTGAACCCAGGAGGTGGAGGTTGCAGTGAGTCGAGATCGTGCCACTGCGCTCCAGCCTGGAAGACAGAGCGAGACTCTCTCTCAAAAAAAAAAAAAAAAAAAATTGTAGAAACGGGGTTTTGCCATGTTGGCCAGGTTGGTCTTGATCTCTTGACCTCAAGTGATCCTCCCGCCTCTGCCTCCGGAAGTGCTGGGATTACAGGCGTGAGCCACTGACGATTCTCTTGAGCTGAAAAGCAAACATTTCATTTCACTTCTGCATATTGAGTGCATGGAGGAAGAAGTGATGTCCATTGTTAGGGGCTGGGAACGGTTTCCCTAAGGGGCTAGGCCTTGAAAGTTGGATGGGATTTGGGGGCACAGTCAGAGGGAGTAATATGAGCTTGCTTTAGGAGGGAGGATATGAACTTGGCATTAAATATGACTGAACCACCTATTGAAAAAGCAACTCCCTCTTCACTTCCCCTTGTAACAGGCTCAGTTTAGTGCTAAGATGTCTTTAGCATCTCTCATATTTCCTGATTCTCTTTTTAACAAAGACTGAGCAGACTCTAGATTTTAGCCGCATGCTCCCCACCCTAGAACTTTTAATTTAAGGTTTTCATTACATTCATTTTTGGAGTTGCCCTTGATTTAACAGCAGATTTTATTGGTTTTGTGTTTTTTGTTGGTTAACAATAAAAGTTTAGTTATTTACCTAAGTTACATAAGTTTAAAATAAAAACATGAACTAAGCAATATGTAAGAGGACTATGGATGTGTCGAAATGGCACAAGTGGTGTGAGGAAGGTCCAAGTTAGGGAAACACCGTTTCAGACAGAGGGGTGCTGTTAGGGTTTTGGAGCCTCAAAGTGGCTTGATTGAAATGGCATCTGAGAAGATGAATGATGCCGTGGTAGGATGAATCTGGCAGGAGTCTGTTGGCATCAGGAGGGTGGCATACAGGAAGGTAGTTGGGAGAGGCATCGTATTCCATTCTGAGCTGGAGGAGTATTACCTAGACCAGGGTCAAGAAACTTTTTCCATAGAGGGCCATTTAGTAAGTATTTTAGGTTTTGCAGGCCGCATGGTTCCTGTCATAGCTGCTCACCCTGCCGTTGTAGTGTGAAAGTAGACATAGATAATATGTAAACAAACGTGTGCCTTGTGCCAATGAAACTTGAATTGCAAAAACAGGCATTGAGCTGGCCATAGTTTGCTGACTCCTGACCTGAGGCACACTGGCCCAGGGAGTGGAAGGGAGAGGAGGCAAGAAGCCCCAGTAAATGGTGGGGGGAAGAGGGGGGCGAGCAGGGGGAGGAAGGGGCAGTTTTTCTGAATAAGGCAGATAAATGCCTATCTTCGTGGAGTTTCAAAGGAAGTCAGAAGAGCAGCTATTGGTGATACTGAAGAGCATGAACACCTTATCATGTTTTTCCCCAATGTCTGTAAGAGCATAGTTAGTATTTCCATTATACAGATGAGCAAGTTGAGGTCCAGAGACATTAACTCAGATGCCCAGGTAACTCAATGAGTAATTATGAGAGCCAAGACTTCAGTTCAGATCTCTCCAGACTCATGCTTTGAAAGGTGGGTGGGTGGGATTTGGGGGCACAGTCAGAGGGAGTAACGTGAGCTCACTTTAGGAAGGATACGAACTTGGCATTAAATATGACGGAAGCACCTACTGAGAAAGCAACTCCCTCTTCACTTCCCCTTCGAACAGGCTTAGTTTGATACTGAGATGTCTTTAGCATCTCTCATATTTCTTGATTCTCTTTTTAACAAGGACTGAGCTTTGCAACCATATGCAACCAATTGAGCTTTGCAATCCAGACTCATGCTTGCAACCATATGTCAGGTATACTTAGGTGGACACCTATAAAATTGTTGTAACTCAAAAATGGCTGAGTAATGGCACTTGTGCGTGGCTCTGCTAATAAGGCACTGATCTCTAGGAAACGTCAGCGTGCAGATGTGGCCTTTTTTTCCTCACCCAATTCTACTAACTGTCTTGTTTCTATACCTCCCTCCTTCCTACCTCCTTACCCAGCTTAATTTCCATGGAGTACTGTTGCTAATACAACCCAGTCTCCCAGGCCCTTCCTGTTTTCCTAGCATGTCCATTTGGCAAAACCTCACCTTGGATGAACCCCAGCTTTCCGCTTTTGATTTACCTGCACCTGAGCCTCAGTGCTTAACTGGAGAATGTTACACAAGAACACAAACTCCTCTCATCACACACGCAAATCTGGGTCACTAACCTCAGAAGCAGATATTCTCTTCTGCCGGATCGTCTTCCCAATATGTTTTTCTTTTATTAATACTTTTTGTCCCCAGAGACCTGTGTTCTTTTTTTATTCTACTTTTTTGAGACAGAGTCTTTGCTCTGTCGCCCAGGCTGGAGTGCAGTGGCATGATCTCGGCTCACTGCAACCTCTGCCTCCTGGGTTCAAGTGATTCTCCTGCCTCAGCCTCCCGAGTAGCTGGGATTATAGGTGTGCACCACCACACCCAGCTAATTTTGTATTTTTAGTAGAGATGGGGTTTCACCATGTTGGCCAGGCTGGTCTTGAACCCCTGACCTCAGGTGATTTCACGTGCCTTGGCCTCCCAAAGTGCTGGGATTACAAGCTTGAGCCACTACGCCCAGCCCGGCCCTTTTTTTTTTTTTTTTTTTTTTTGAGACAGAGTCTTCGCTCTGTTGTCCAGACTGGAGTGCAGTTGCGTGATCTTGGCTCACTACAACCTTTGCCTCCTCAATTCAGGTGATTCTCCTGCCTCAGCCTCCTGAGTAGCTGGGATTACAGGTGTGCATCACCATGCCCAACTAATTTTTTGTATTTTTAATAGAGACAAGGTTTCACTGTGTTGGCCAGGCTGGTCTTGAACTCCTGACCTCAAGTGATTCACCCACCTTGGCTTCCCAAAGTGCTGGATTACAGGCATGAGCCACCGTGCCTGGCCAGAGGCCTGTGTTGTGACCCAAGTTTTTTGTTTTTATCAGGATTCCATCGTCCATGATGGCTATTTCTCAAGTTCTCTGCTCTGTTTTGGACCTCCCTGCATCTCTCCCTGCGTCACCATCCCTGGGCGCTCAGGGCTGCTCCTCTGCCCTCTGCAGGGCCTCCGTGGTGTGCTCTGTCCTTCCCTCCTGCCGTTCAAAGGCATCTGCATCCTTTGTTGTAGCCAGATTTCTCACTCTGTATTGCTTTTCTTCCTAGGCACTTAAATATCCTCATCTATCTCCAAGTGCCTTCCTTGACACCTTGCATCTCCAATAGAACGTTCTGTGACAATGGCCATGTTCTTATATTTGCACTGTCCACTATGGTAGCCACTAGCCACGTGTCGCTGCTGAAGCCTTGAACTGTGGCTAGTGCGACTGAGGAATGGAATTTAACATTGTATCTTATTGTAGTGGTTACCATATTGAATGGCATAGCTTAAGACCTGTCCTGTCTCCTTCCTCAACCCAGTTAGTTAGATGTCTCTTCAAGGGTTGTTATTCTAGAGCTAGGGCCCACCTGTAGTCCCAGCTACTTGGAGAGGCTGAGTCAGGGGGGTTACTTGAGCCTAGGAGTTTTGAGACTGCAGTGAGTGCCTGTGAATAGCCACTGCACTCCAGCTGGGCAACAGAGTGAGACCTCATATTTAAAAAAAAAAAAAAAAGTTGTTTCATTTGTCTCCATTTCCCTTTCTTTACACACTCCGCTGCTGCTATGATACAGTTTCTATTCTGATACTCCACCATCCCCCTAAGCCATTAACAGTCATGGACATTTATTATTATTATTATTAGTATTTGAGATGGAGTCTTGCACTGTTGCCCAGGCTGGAGTGCAGTGGTGCAATCTTGGCTCACTGCAACCTCTGCTTCCCAGGTTCAAGTGATTCTCCTGCCTCAGCCTCCTGAGCAGCTGAGATTACAGGAATACACCACCACGCCCAGCTAATTTTTTGTATTTTATTAGAGATGGGGTTTCACCGTGTTGCCCAGGTTGGTCTCGAACTCCTGAGCTCAGGCAATCCACCTGCCTCGGCCTCCCAGACTGCTTGGATTACAGGCGTGAGCCACCATGCCTGGCCGACATTTTTAATTCTAAATGTTGTTTTGAAACCTAAGAGACAGGATCTTGCCTTGTTGCCGAGGCTGGCCTTGAACTTGGCCTGAGCTCAAGCCATTCTCCCACTTCAGCCTCTTGAGTAGCTGGGATCATAGGCATGTGCCACCGTGGTCAGCAGCAGAGACTTTTTTCTTAAAAGACGACCAGATTGGCTAGAATCATGGTATCTTCATGTCAGAAAGGGCCTCCTCTCCAGGGTTTGGATAAAGATTGAGGTGCACCCGGGGCTACACTAAAAGAGATTTAGCCCCGCATTTAGGTCAGGCGTGGTGGCTCATGCCTATAATCCCAACACCTTGAGAGGCCAAGGTGGGTGGATCATTTGAGGTCAGGAGTTCAAGACCAGCCTGACCAACATGGTGAAACCCCGTCTCTACTAAAAGTACAAAAAATTAGCTAGGCGTGGTGACACACCCCTGTAATCCCAGCTACTCAGGGGCCTGAGGCATGAGAATTACTTGAACCCAGGAGGCGGAGGTTACAGTGAGTTGAGACCGTGCCACTGCATTCCAGTCTGGGCGACAGAGTGAGACTGTGTCTCAAAAACAAGAGATTTAGTCCGACATTTAGGACTTGGAAAGAGGCTGGGCAGAGTCACATCAGCACAGTGAGAGCGCCATGGAGCCCATGGTCAGAAAGTGGCAGAAAAAGTGCGTTTTGCAGTCAGTGCCGCAGTGATTCTGAGAGTGTGAGTGAGAAGCTGCAGGGAGGCCGCAGAGGTCTGTGCGGGAATGCAGCCGTCAGTCTTCTCAGTCTTCCCGATTTTCTCACCAAAGCAGTTTGTGTTGACAGGTCACGTCAAAGCAAAAAGACTTCCTCAGTTTTGATCCCCTTCTAATTAATTCCTCATCCATGTCACTTTACTTCTGCCAGCACTTGCTTTCTGGTGACAGCGCACGTGACATATCTAGAAGGAACATGGGTTTTAAAAACGTCAAGGCTTCTGAGCTATTTATGTGCATCAGGTACTAGGACAGTACATCTAAGTTTAGTTGGAAGAGAGAGAATTTTAGTTAGGGGTATGAGCTCCCTTAGTGTGTGGGCCTCTCCTGTTCATCTTTTCGTTTTAAGCTTTTAGTTAGAGCTATATGCATAGAGTTGCAGAGAATAAAATAGTGCAGGGGAAAACTCTTCCTAGTTCCAGTTTACACGGCTCATTCTGGTCCTTCTGTTACCTCCTTACTAATAAATAATGTACTTGGCTATACCTCTATTTCTTGACTTCATCATTAGATATTATTTGTTGACTTCGAGCTTTAAAAGATGAGAGTTACTCTTCTCTTCCTCTTCCCACACTACTGAGGTTGCTATTTTATGTGCTACCTTGCTCCAGTGAAACACTTGCCTCCTTAGCTCTTTTGTTCTGTCTGCTACAGACAGTATCTCTTGACCCCTCTTTTGGCAGTCCATCTTCTCCTTACCTCTCCCACCCCTGTCATAGCCAGGCTTCCCACCTGTCCTGTGACTTTCCCCGTTGTCAAGGTTGAGAACATGTGCATTCTGTCCTATAACTGCAGTTAAGCCTCACTCTTGTCTGTTGGCTTAGTCTAAAAAGTTGCAGTGTGACAATTCTTTCTTGTATGATTATGACCATATCATTCATGGCAGAGTCACATAGTGTACTGTGATTATATTCCATTCTTTTATAGCCTTTTTCCTGGAGTTTCTATTTTTTCTCTTGATCTTACTTTCAATTGTTTTCCTATGAAGCTTCTCACGGTATCAGCTGTTTACGGAGACTCCTTTCATATCACTGTTTTTTGACTCTGATTTCAGAGGTGATTTGTTGGTGTGCTACCATCGTAGCTGAGAATTTAGCTTACTTGCCACCTCATCTGGAGCCCCTTCCTTAGTCCTCCTCATCACGTGTGCCTTCTCCATCCTCTCCTCCCTATTCTGTTATCACTGTGGGCAGTTGATGAGTTATTGCCTTAAATTGTCTGGCTTTCTCGGGTGCTGCCTTCAACCTTAGCACGTTTCTAGTGCCTGCCTCCGTTTCCCATGGTTGAATTAGGCTATTGGCAGAGCTAGTGGTTGAAAATTTGTGGCTTACAAAATGCTGAGTTGCTTTTATGTCATTGTATACCTTATTTCCTACCTGTAATGCTGTGCTGTGTCCAGTGATGCTGTTTGTGGTTTGATATGCATTTTTAAAGAGACTTAGTCTCCTGTGCTTGCATTAAAGTTGGACAATGGTGACATGAATGAAGGTGCCAACTGGTTCTAATAACAGTAGCCTGTTGATGAACAAAAATAGTAAGCACTTGGGGTTGTGCGGAATTCCAGCTCTCTGACAGACTCTGAGGCTACCTGTGCTATCTCTTCAGTTAGCAAAAGGTGTGACAAGCAACCTGCCTATGCCCCAACCACCACAGACCACCAGCCGCACCCCAACTACCCCGCCCAGAAGTGTAAGTATGAACCTGTCTTACGAAAGCTGCCGGGGCTTCTTCCTGGTATGCAG
This sequence comes from Homo sapiens, assembly GCF_000001405.40. Taxonomy (NCBI): domain Eukaryota; kingdom Metazoa; phylum Chordata; class Mammalia; order Primates; family Hominidae; genus Homo; species Homo sapiens. The sequence continues at coordinate 47,212,588 of NC_000020.11, read as the reverse complement.
AAGGCTTGTTCTGTGTGTGTCCGTGTATGTGTTCCTTTGTGGGTGTGTCTTCTCCTGTTCTTTTGAGTTGTGGGTCTTCCTTTGCAACGTTTCTTCTTCGCTGTGCCTCTGGTCGCCATCACAAACTGCATTAGGAAATGAGAGCGAGCATGTGGCCTGGCTTCTTGATGGAGATCGTCCTCGCTCTTTTCATAAAGGGTCCTAGATGAACACCGATTCCCTCCTGTGGTGATTGGCTATGGCAGCCAGTGTCCCGTGTCCTCTCCATATGAGGAGTGAGGGCCTGCAGATCCCTCCATTAGCCAGCCTGGTTCTGGGAGAGAGATACTGAACTCAGCTTGGCCCTGGTCCCATTTCTTCCAGTACCCGCTGGTGGTCTCTGCCCTCACCAGAGCTGGAAGGACTTGATGTGGTTTGACCACATCACTGTAGGATTTTCTCCCAGATGGGGATGACCAGCTGCATCACTCCCCAGAGTCCTTCCGGAGAAATAAAAGCATAGGCATGGCGGCTAAGGGAAGAAGGCATAAGAAGGCAGATTGAGGATTGTTAAGAAGACTCCGCCCTTGCCCCCAGCTCTGCCTACCATAGTATTGCTCCCTTTTGGTCACTGATGCACATGACTAAGAAGAGTTCTCTCCTGAGTAACTACATGACTTTGGAGATCTTTGTCATTCTCTTCACTGCTTATCTTCCAGAACTCATGATTACCCACACATGCCTTTTTACCAGGCAGTAAGAAATGCAGCCCCCCTAGGTAGTAGCATGGTCCCCTCCTTGGCCCACTCCACTCTTGCCCTCAACCTCTTTCAACCAAACATTATCACCCACCTTAAGAAATTAAAAAATAATTCTGTCCCAGTCTGTCTGAACTTAGTACATGATCCAGGATGTGATGGGATCTTAGGGCTTGGCTGGAAGGTTTCTCCAGTCAGCCATCTAGCAGAGCTGCAGATCTGGGCTGGGCTGTTGGCTAAAGTGCTCTTCACAGACACCTCATTCGGCTCTTCCTTCAGCTTCTTCACTTATTTCTTACTCAGTCACTACTCAGCTCCTTGTCCATGTGTCCTTGAAGCCATCCTAGGTCTTATTCTGATTCTGAATTCTTCAGTCACCCATAAGCTTGTCCTTACCGGGAGTCAGTGGGTGTGTGTTCCCAGGTGGACTTAACCATTCTTCTCCTTTATGATCCTTTCCCTTGGGTGGACAAGTGTGATTTGGTTGTAAGGCCATTTTTCAAGTTGCCTATACATTGATAAAAGAAATCCCACTAACGGAAGTAGACTGCATGCCAAATTTCAGTGTCTTTCTCCAGGGGCCAAGGTTGGACCCAGAAGTGCATGGGGTGCTTGGTGTCGTTCAGTGATGTAGTAAGGATACACGGTTCCAGACACGGCACAAGAAATGCCTTCCTTGGCAGTTCAGCACCTTTTCTACAAATCTTTATTCTCTGTGAGCATGACACCCTACCGTTTTTTCAACCGGTTGTCGTTAAATCCTAAAAAATAAGTTGTTCTACCTTTCTGTTCTACAGACCCACAGATGCAGGGCAGTCAGCGGTGGCAGTGTTTGAACCATCAATTGGGAGGGGAAGGTGGTTTCCTGTGCAGGAGGGGCAGGTCAGATTGCAGGATAGTTGTGCTCAGGCGCAGGTGGGCAGGCACGCTAAACACATTGGTTTTCCCCCTCAGACCATTCCCGGAGTAATAAATCCAGTTGGAGCAGCAGTGATGAGAAGAGGGGATCGACACGTTCCGATCACAACACCAGTACCAGCACGAAGAGCCTCCTCCCGAAAGAGTCTCGGCTGGACACCTTCTGGGACTAGCAGTGAATCGGGACACAAACCACCCACCCCATTGGGAGAAAAACCCAGACGCCAGGAAAAGAAGAAACAACAAAGGCAGGAGAACAGCCACTTTCAGACTTGAAAATGACAAAACCCTCAGTTGAGCCTGAGCCCCCGGCGCGGGGGCTGCTACACTACAGGACACCCAGCATCGGCTTTGACTGCAGACTGTTCACCCACACGAGCCCTGTGCTTTTGGTGTAAATAATGTACAATTTGTGGATGTCATTGAATCTAGAGGACTTTCCCCTTTTTATATTTGTATTAACTTTAACTTATTAAAAAAAAAAAAAGAAAAAGAAAAACGATTTAAAAAAAAAAAAAAAAGCAACCAACCCCAACAACAAAAAAGAATGTTTTGGTATTGGAGAAGGGATGGTCAGTTAGCCTGTCTGTCACACGACGGAATGGATACTGGGCCCGGGGACCACTTTCATACTCACGTCCTCATCCTTGGATACCCAGGGGAGGGCGAACCGTTTTCGCTCGTGTGTCTGTACGCAGCATGTTGGGATCGGGAGTTTCGGCACAGACTATCCCATCAAGCCGTTGGCTCCTTTCAGCTACTACGTTACCACGTTCCTAAAACGCAAGCTCTCCGGACCAGACGGACACAGGGAGAAGCTAGTTTCTTTCATGTGATTGAAATGATGACTCTACTCCTAAAAGGGAAAAAACAATATCCTTGTTTACAGAAGAGAAACAAACAAGCCCCACTCAGCTCAGTCACAGGAGAGAACACAGAAAGTCTTAGGATCATGAACTCTGAAAAAAAGAGAAACCTTATCTTTGCTTTGTGGTTCCTTTAAACACACTCACACACACTTGGTCAGAGATGCTGTGCTTCTTGGAAGCAAGGACTCAAAGGCAAGGTGCACGCAGAGGACGTTTGAGTCTGGGATGAAGCATGTACGTATTATTTATATGATGGAATTTCACGTTTTTATGTAAGCATGAAACACAGGCAGTATGAGAGAAAGCAAGGCCCGTCATGCTGTCCGTACACTACGTATGCTGTAGAGCCATTTTGTATGTTGTGTAAAACAAAAAGCATTGATGAAAAAGCAAAAGGTGATGTATGTATATGAGAAAATTAATTGTACGATATCATTCCAGTACGTTTTGTTGTACATTTTAGTCTTGTTTACTTTCTCTTCATTGTTAAGAGGATGCGAACTGTACAGTTTCCAGCTAGTTACCCATATTAGAGAAGAAATAAGAGAGTATTAGAAGAAAACAGGAGAGAAAGAACATTTGTGAATTGCAGTTGTCAAAAAAAAAAAATAGCCTAGCTGGCCTTATTTGTGAAGCATAATTGCTTTTAGCATATGGAAGTATTTTTTCACATTTTCTTTGTATAAAATTTGTATTAAACTTAAATATCTTTTTGATGGTGGTGTTTCTTTGTGACTGAGCCAGTAGACTCACACTATATGCTTTTTTGGGTTTGCCCGTTCCTTCCCCCACCCCCCCAGTTTTTTCAGATTTCTTTACCTTTTTTTAATTAAACTGTTTTGGAAAAATGCCGTGGTCGTCCTCGAATTTGCAGTTTTCCATTTGGTCGGGATGGCTGTGTCAGGTTTGCACGACCAAACACAGAAGGGGCCGTGAGAGGTCATGAACACCCCCCACAGCCAGGTGGTGGGCACACTGGAGAGAATGGGCCCTAGTGGGTGCCCCCCACGCCAGTCCTCGTCAAACAGTTGGGAGAGGACGGAGTTGTCTTCTTGAAGCCCGTAGGGAGGCCGAGCTAACAGGCCTCGCGTGGGCAGCAAGGATCCCAGCCCCTCGCAGGTGCCCTGGTCCATGGCTCTGGGCCTGGCTGGAGGTGCACAGGGTATGAGTAGAATGAAGCCGGCTTGAAAGGCTGAGGTTTGGTTTCCTGGGCAGCAGTGTTCCTTCTCTGCAATCCAGTAACTCCCCAGAAAAGATCTCCACAAACCCCTTCCTGTGCCAAGGGCCAAGACATGACATGGCCGGCAGGGGAGGTTGGCCCGCGTGGGCATAAGTTCATTCCTGCCAATCAGCAAACACACATCGCGTCAGGCACTGTCCAGGCACTGAGGATCCCATGGTGCCATCAAGGAGTCGGGTCCCTGCCTTCATCAAACTTGCATCCTAATGGGGACAACAATCGTTCAGTTACTCAAGTATTACAGGGGACCTGTCATTAGCCATGCACAGTTTCAGTTACTGGGGACAGATGGTGAGCAGGGCACAGGAGCCCTGTCAGGGTGGGCCTCTCATTCTTCACAGGAAGACAGACTGTCTACAAGTTATTCTCATTTTTTGTTTTTTTTGAGACGGATTCTCGCCCCGTCACCCAGGCTGCAGTGCAGTGGCGCAATCTCAGCTCACTGCAACCTCCGCCTCCTGGGTTCAAGCAATTCTGGTGCCTCAGCCTCCCAAGTAGCTGGGGATTCAGATGTGCACCACCATGCCTGGCTCATTTTTTGGTATTTTTAGAGACGAGGGTTTCACATATTCCCCAGGCTGGGCTTGAACTCCTGACTTGAAGTGATCTGCCTGTCTCAGACTCCCAAAGTGCTGGGATTACAGGTGTAAGCCATGGCACCTGGACTCTCCTCTTTTTTTGGAGGGAGAGTCTCCATCACCCAGGCTGGAGTGCAGTGGTGTGATAGCTCACTGCAAACTCAGCCTCCCGGGTTGAAGCAATTCTCCTGCCTCAGCCTCCCGAGTAGCTGGGATTACAGGTGCCTACCACCCATGCCCAGCTAATTTTTGTATTTTTAGTAGAGATGGGGTTTTCGCCATGTTGGCCAGGCTGGTCTCGAACTCCTTGTCTCAGGTGATCCACCCACCTTGGCCTCCCAAGTCTTTTTTTTTTTTGAGACAGAGTTTTGCTCTTGTTGCCCAGGCTGGAGTGCAATGGCGCGATCTTGGCTCACTGCAACCTCCGCCTCCCGGGTTCAAGCAATTCTGCTTCAGCCTCCCGAGTAGTTGGGGTTACGGGCATCCACCACCACACCCAGCTAATTTTGTATTTTTAGTAGAGATGAGGTTTCTCCATGTTGGTCAGGCTGGTCTCGAACTCCCAACCCCAGGTGATCCGCCTGCCTCAGCCTCCCAAAGTGCTGGGATTACAGGTGTGAGCCACCGTGCCTAGCCTCCAAGTCATTTTTTTAAGTGAGAAGAATGTTAGCTTCCCGTTCCTGGGCATGTGTGTGCACCTTTCCTCTGTTGTCTCATTTCATCCTGAAGACCAGAGAAAGGAGGGGCCATGGCTACGAGGGGTCATCCATTGTCTTCTTTCAGCTCCTGCCTTTCTAGTCTCAACTGCACTCTCTGCTCCTTTGACCTGATACCCTCTTCTGTGGCTGGTACCTGATTCTTCAGATGTCACTCCTGAAATAGCCACCTGCCCACGGGCCCATCATGCCCTCAATATTTTCTTCATATCTCTGAGCAAAGGGTGTGGGGTTTTATTACTTCTCCTGTGTGTCCCAGTTGAATGTGAGCTGGGTGAGGGAGGTGCTTTCTCTGTTCCCTGCTGTGTCCCCAGGGCTTGGACACAATGAAGGTCATGCCACTCCTAAGTAGCGAGCAGCCAGCAGCTGGGCTCCTAAGTAGCGAGTAGCCAGCAGCGCAGCATTCAAATGCAGAGGCCACCTTGAGGTGTCCCACTGCACCCCCATCCAGCCTCTGCCGCAACCTCCCTTAGAAGCAAAGACATCTAGGGAAGTGGCTTGCTTACTCGAGGATAGAGAAATGGTTGCTTTTAGTTTTACCATTCATCTGACCAGGTAAAACAGCCCACATGACTCAAATCTGAAGATACGAAAGGGCCCATAGTATAAAGCCTCTCCCTCCCTGCTACCTCGGTCCCCTCCAATCCCCCTTCCCACATAGTCCTCAGGGAGAGTCTGCATTTACAAACAAATGCAGAGACATTTTTCTCTGCTCCTTTTCTTCTTTTTTAAGACGGAGTCTCGCTCTGTCGCCCAAGCTGGAGTGCAGTGGCGCAATCTCAGCTCACTACAACATCCACCTCCTGGATTCAAGCAATTTTTCTGCTTCAGCCTACCGAGTAGCTGGGATTAAGGGCACCCGCCACAATGCCCAGCTGAGTTTTGTATTTTTAGTAGAGACAGGGTTTCACCATGTTGACCAGGCTGGTCTTGAACTCCTGACCTCAGGTGATCTGCCCGCCTCGGTGTCCTAAAGTGCTGGGATTACAGGCATGAGCCACTGCTCCCGGCCCCCTTTTTCTACATAAATGATAGCATTTGATACACACTCTTCTGCCCTGTCCCCTTGCCCCGTTTTTTTTTTTTAAACTTAATCTGAAGCCTTGAGTATTGATCCATATCAGTGCAGTTCAAGAGCACCTCCATCCATTTTTAGGGGGTGTGATATCTGCTATGTGGACACGGGATAATGCATGTGGCCAGCCCCCAGCTGGTGGACATTGAGATTGTCCCCAAACTCTGGCCACGGCAAACGGCCCTGCAGTGAGCACCATTATAAAATGACTCCCCAGGCTCCTCTTAGCTGCCCAGTGGGGTGGTTATTCCACTCTTTGTGCAGCTTGGAAAACTGAGACTCAGGGGTTACATGCATTTGGAGGGGTCAGGTTTTTAGTTGCAAATAACAGAATCCACTCCACCTAATTAGAACACTCTCTAATCTGCTTACTTCTCAGGCCACACCAGTGGGTCAGTGAGAGGCCAGGTAGGAGGGGAGGGGCTTGAAGGTTCCAGTCTGGGTTGAGTGTTTTCAGAATGAGGAGAAGAAGAGGGAGATGCAGTGAGGTCTGGTGAACCTGGCAGAAGCTGCCAGTTCCTTGCTGGTTTCCTTTGGCAATGACCGGGGCAGGAACTGGCTCAGACCTTTTCATGCAGTCCAGCAAGCTCGCTATCTGGTGGCCATAGGCAAAACTGCAGCCTGTGGAGAGATCTGGCCCACTGGGGACAGCGAGCACGTGGGCCAAAACCCTTCATTCCGGAGACAGCTGTTCACTGAGCTCTCTGTATGAGTCAAGTCCTCAGTAGTGACACAGTAGTGAACAAAACAGGTTCGGTCTCTGTCCTTATTGATCTGACACTCTCACTGGGAAGCAATTTGATACCTGTATGCATGTAATATAATCCCAGGCGGGCTAGATGCGCTGAAGGTAAATAAAGCTAGGCGGGTAGGGAGATGATGTGATTGGGAGCCCTCTCTGAGGGGCTCACCGTTCAGTAGAACCTGAAGGGGGTTTCTTTCCGAGGGGACTGAGCCCAATTATTTTATTTATTTATTTTTTGAGACAAGGTCTTGCTCTGTCGCCCAGGCTTGAGTGCTATAGGGACGTCTCTGCTCACAGCAACTTCCGCCTCCCAGGCTCACCCCATCCTCCCGCCTCAGCCTCCTGAGCAGCTGGGACTACAGGCACACGCCACCATGCCCAACTAATTTTTAAATTTTTTTGCAGAGACGGGGTTTCACAATGTTGCCCAGGCTGGTCTTGAACTCGTGAGCTCAAGCGACTCACCCGCCTTGGCCTCCTAAAGTGCTGGGATTATAAGTGTGAGCCAGTGTGCCTGTCTATTTTATTATTTTATTTTATTTTGAGACAGAGTCTCACTCTGTTGCCCAGGCTGGAGTGCAGTGGCACGATTTTGGCTCACTGCAACTTCCGCCTCCCGGGTTCAAGCAATTTCTGGCTAATTTTTGTATTTTTTGTAGAGACGGGGTTTCACCATGTTGGCCTGGCTGGTCTCAAACTCCTGACCTCAACGATCCACCTGCCTTGGCCTCCCAAAGTGTTAGTATTACAGGCATGAGTCACCGCGCCCGGCCGACCGTCCATTTTAAACTATACAGTCGAGTGGCGATAATCAGAGTTGAGTTTTCCAAAGGTCAGCATTTAGCTGCCACCTTCATATCAGGGTACATCAGGACCCCATCTATATTCTTATTTATTTTCTTTAGTCTAGAGAAGCAAAGGTCACCTATATTCCTCCAAGTGTCGCTGATGTGGGCCTGCCCCACGTGGGGCTCTGTGCTGAGGCTTTCCATGCTGTAATCCTTCGGGTTTTGTAATAACTCCCTACATGGAGCAGGCCCTCGTAACAGGCCCATTCTCCCAGTGAGGCAGCTGAGGTTCAGAGAGAAAAAAGTGACTTGCTCAAGATCACACAAAAGGTCACTGCAGAGCCGGGACTCAAACCAGTCTGCTTACTTCCCAAGCCAGTTCAGTGAATCATCAGGCAACACTGCCCCAGTCACAACTAGCCCTGTGTGTGTGTGTGACACCGTGGTGAGTTTACAAAATGACTCCCCAGGCTTCTCTTAGCTGCCCTGGGGTGGTTATTCCACTCTGTGCAGCTCGGGAAACGGACACTTGGGGGATACATGAATTGGGAGGGGTCAGGTTTTTAGTTGCAAATAACAGAATGCACTCCAGCTAATTTGAGCAGAAAAGGCATTTGTTAAAGGATATTGAGTGGCTCACAAATCCCTGGGAAGGCCAGAGAGATGGATTAGGAGATTGCACAGCAACCAACAATGTCCAGATTACATTGCAGGACCTTTGTGTTAAGACTTCCCACATTGGCCAGGCATGGTGGCTAACGCATGTAATCCCAGCACTTTGGGAAGCTGAGGCGGGCAGATCACCTGAAGTCAGGAGTTTGAGACCAGCCTGGCCAACATGGCGAAACCCTGTCTCTATTACAAATACAAAAATTAGCAGGGGCATGGTGGTGTACGCCTGTAGTCCCAGCTACTCGGGAGGCTGAGGTAGGAGAATCACTTGAACCCAGGAAGTGGAAGCTGCAGTGAGCTTTGACTGCACCACTGCACTCCATCCTGGGTGACAGAGCAAGACTCCGTCTGAAAAAAAAAAAAAAAAGACTTCCCACATCACTGCCCCATTGGGTTCAAACACTGCGACTTTCTCTAGTGACGCTGGGCACGACCCTTCTGCCTCCTTGCCAGATTGGATTCCATGCATCAGAATCCACTTCCATTGCTTTCACATGTGGATGTATCTGGATTGGTTGAGCCCAGGTCCCATGTGGGTGCATCTGATTGACTGAACCTAAGCACCATTTAGGTGTTGTATTAGTCCATTTTCACACTGCTATAAAGAACTACCTGAGACTGGGTAATTTATAAAGAAAAGAGGTTTAACTGACTCACACTTCTGCAGGGCTGGGGAAGCCTCAGGAAACTTAGAATCATGGCAGAAGGCAAAGGGGAAGCAAAGCATGTCTTACATGGTGGCAGGAGAGGGAGTTCAAAGGGGGAAGTGCCTTACTTTTAAGCATCAGATCTTGTGAGAACTCACTATCACGAGAACGGCAAGGGGGAGATCCACCCTCACAGTTCAATCACCTCCCACCAGGCACCTCCTCTGACACATGGGGCTTACAATTCGAGATGAGATTTGGGTGGGGACACAGAGCCAAACCATATCAGGGGTATTTGATTGCTGAGCCTGGGTGCCACCTGGGTGTATGTGATTGGCTGAGCCTAGGCCACATAGCTAACCTTCTAACTGCAAAGGAGGCTGGGAAAGTGAGATTCAAGCCTCTTCTGGTGCAGACTCATAAGTTGGGAAAGTGTTCAAACAAAAGGTCTTGTGTGGACAAAACGATGACAGTACCCACTGCAGAACTGTCCAAGGTCTCTGTCAGCCTGGTCAGTTGTAGAGAGCAGAATTCACCCAACCAGTTTAAGCACAAGGCATTAGTAAGTGTACTGGTCAGTTCCGTGCCAACCTGGCTAGGCTGGAACCACATTTCCCAGAATCCTGGCTCTCGAGTGGTTCCCAGTTAGAGTTGACCAAAAGAGGAGCTGTGTGAGATTTCCAAGGCTGTAAGGAAGCCACAGCCTCTACTGTTGCAAGGTCGCTGTAGTTAGATGTGGGACAGACAACTGCAGTGGCGCCAGCAGGCTCCAGCTTGCCCTTGCTCTCCTCCACTCTGCGTCCAGGTCATCTTCCTGACTCCTGCATGTCAGCACCTGGCCTGTCACCAGCCGCTGGACTGCAGAGGCCACAGATCCCCATTGAGTCCTCTGAACTTGCCCCACAGCTTCTCAGATCACCTTCTTGGTGACTCCAGATCTCTCCTCAGACCCCTGCTTCCCCAGCTCCTCCCACAATTATGTAAGATCTAATACCCATCATCTGTGCATGACTGCTCCCAAACTCATGGGCTCAATCTCACTGATGCATTAACAGTATTTACAAGCCAGGCACGGTGGCTCCTGCCTATAATCCCAGCACGTTGGGAAGCTGAGGCAGGCGGATCACTTGAGGTCAGAAGTTCAAGACCAACCTGGCCAACATGGTGAAAGCCCATCTCTACTAAAATACAAAAATTAGCTGGGCGTGGTGGCAGGCACCTGTAATCCCAGCTACTTGGGAGGCTGAGGCAGGAGAATCGCTTGAACCCAGGAGACAGAGGTTTCAGTGAACCGAGATCATGCCATGGCACTCCAGCCTGGGCGACAGAGCTAGACTCCGTCTCAAAAAACAAACAAACACAAAACAAAAGAACAAAAACAAACAAAACAACAAAAACAAACAAACCCCCAAAACAGTATTTCCGGACTCACATGGAGGGCTGAAGAAAGCCATGAGGTCTGAGCTTCCAGGAAGCCACCGAAGCCACCGTGCAGGACTGGGCTGCAAAGAAACAGATGCACCGAGGCCACAACCACGCTGGCCCTAGGCTGGTCCACACCGCCACGTGCAGTCACTTTTCTCCCCACTTAATCCGTACCAAATGCAGCTGATGGGTGGAACCTTGAATATATCAGACGCCTGGCTGAATAGAGCCTGAGGAATAAGTTGTTTTTCTTTTTTTTGAGACAAGAGTCTCATTCTGTTACCCAGGCTGGAGTGCAGTGGCGTGATCTCGGCTCACTGCAACCTCCGCCTCCCGGGTTCAAGCGATTCCCGTGCCTCAGCCTCCTGAGTAGCTGGGATTATAGGCGTGTGCCATCATGCTCAGCTGATTTTGGTAATTGCAGTAAAGACAGGTTTTCACCTTATAGGCCAGGCTGATCTAGAACTCCTGGCCTTAAGTGATCCTCCCATCTTGGCCTCCTAAAGTAATGTGGTTACAGGTGTGAGCCACTGGGCCCAGCCGGTTTTTAGTTTAGTTCAGAAAACCACCCCAGAAGAATGATCAGATGTTGAACAAGCCAGTTCTCATACATGTGACCAGGGATCAAACCCGTGGCTTTGCCACCTGGTCTAGGGCTCTAATCTGCCCAGGGCACTCTTTTCAGATTGTGGTGTTAATGGAAAACTGTGGCCTTCCTGGTCCCACAGATAGCCTAAGCCTGGGCCAGTTGGGTACTACAAGCTTTATTAAGACAGCTGAGTACTGACCTTGGTTCACTTTGATGAACCCGAGAGGGAAACTTCATTTACATACACAGCACCTCCTGTGCTCCAGGCAATTTCTGCACATTGCATCCTAATGACCTGCATTTTGCAGCAAAGGACATCAGGTCCAGAGGGATTGAGGCTACACAGCTTGTGCGTAGCCGAAGCTGGACTTGAACCCAGTCTAATGACACAAATAATGCCTGCTCTTTTTTTTTTTTTTTTTTTTGAGACAGAGTTTCGCTCTTGTTGTCCAGGCTGGAGTGCAGTGGCGCAACTTTGGCTCACCACAACCTCTGCCTTCCGGGTTGAAGCGATTCTCCTGCCTCAGCCTCCCAAGTAGCTGGGATTATAGGCATGAGCCACCATGCCTGGCTAATTTTTGCATTTTTAGTAGAGACGGGGTTTCACCATGTTAGCCAGGCTGGTCTCCAACTCCTGACCTTGTGATCCACCCGCCTCGGCCTCCCAAAGTGCTGGGATTACAGGCGTGAGCCACCGCGCCCCGCCCAAAAAATGCCTGCTCTTAACCATGACTATATCTTTGTCATCATTGGAGAAACTTTTGTATAAAAGCCACAAGTTAATTATTAACTAGGGACTTACTCTTCACTGGGCTGTGTTTCAGGTGCTGGGGACACAACTGTGGACAAAAGAGACAAGACGTAGACATAGGGTAGTGAGTTCAGCTGGGGTTTGCTCCCAGGACCCAGGCAGGGGATATAAGCTAGGGAAACAGGCTGGGGTAACACTGACATAGATATGCTTTCTTTGTATAGTAAACATGTTAGAGGCCAGGCGCGGTGACTCACGCCTGTAATCCTAGCACTTTAGGAGGCCGAGGTGGATGGATCACCTGAGGTCAGAAGTTCGAGACCAGCCTGGCCAACATGGTGAAACCCCCGTCTTGTTGCACGGGAGCGAGTTAGAGAAAACACCACACTTTTGAGACGAATTAAGTCTGTTTATTTAGCCGGCGGCTAAGAGATGGCTTACGCTTAAAGTTCTTTCGGCCTTGAAGAAGGGGCTAGATTTTCTTTTATACTTTGGTTTAGAAAGGGGGGGGGTCTAGTTAAAACAATTTTACAGAAATAAAGTAGGCAAAAAAGTTAAAAGGATAAATGGTTACAGGAAAGTAAACAGTTCTAGGTGCAGAGGCTTTAAGATTATTACAAGGTGATAGACGCGGGGCTTTTTTTGGGCGTTATCAATCAGGCGAATTCCTGGGAACTGCGGATATTGCTCGCCACATTATCTTATCAGTGAATTGCATTCTTGGATGTGCTGGGAGTCAGTTTGCACAAGTTAAGTCCTTGAGGAAGGCGCTGCCAGTGAAAGAGCCAAGATGGAGTCTGTCTGGCTCTCTTAGCTAAGGGAGAGTCAATTAAGGTGGAACTAAGGCTAGGTGATTAAAGGAAAGAGGGAGAGTCTAAAAACAAGGTTAGTAAAAACAAGCTTAGGCATTACAGTCTCTACTAAAAATACAAAAATTAGCCGGGCGTGGTGGCGAGTGCCTGTAATTCCAGCTACTTGAGAGGCTGAGGCAGGAAAATTGTTTGAACCTGGGAGGCGGAGGTTGCAGTGAGCCGAGATCGCGCCACTTCACTACAGCCTGGGAGAAAGAACGAAGCTTCGTCTCAAAAAACCAAAAACCAAACAACAACAATAACAACAAAAACACGTGTTTGAATAATCTGTGCATTTTTTTAATCTTTTTTTTTTTTTTTGAGACAGGGTCTCCCTCTGTTGCCCAGGCTGGAGTGCAGTGACACAATCATAGCTCACTGCAAAGTGGCACAATCATAGCTCACTACAACCTCGACCTCCTGGGCTCAAGCCATCCTCCTGCCTCAGCCTCCCGAGTGGCTGGGACCACAAGTGCACACCACTACGCCCAGTTACTTATTTATTTTTGTAGAGATGGGGGTCTCACTATATTGCCCGGCCTGGTCTCAAACTCCTGGGCTCAAATGATTCTCCCACCTCAGTCTCCCGAAGCACTGTGATTGCAGGTGTGAGCCACCGTGTTCCACCATTGCTTTTCTTGAAATATGTAAGCCCTTTGGTTTAGTTTTTATTTTTCCACTTTTGACAGAAAAAATATTTCTCCACTATGAGAATAACAGCTGGCTGGTGTGTGGATCAATGGCAACCGATGCTTGACTTCGGGGTGTCAGGGAGAAAACACAGCATGGTGGCCGGGCGCGGTGGCTCGCGCCTGTAATCCCAGCACTTTGGGAGGCTGAGGCATGTGGATCACCTGAGGTTAGGAGTTCGAGACCAGCTTGACCAACATGGTGAAACTCCATCTCTAATAAAAATACAAAAAATCAGCCAGGTGTGGTGGTGCCTGTCTGTAATCCCAGCTACTCGGGAGGCTGAAACAGGAGAATTGCTTGAACCTAGGAGTTGGAGGTTGTAGTGAGCCAAGCTCGTGCCACCGCACTCCAGTCTTGGCAACAGAGCGAGACTCTGTCTCAAAAAAAAGAAAAAAAAATTAAAAAAACAAAAAACACAGCATGGTGAGGACTGTGGCGAACGGGTCAACCTGGAGAGCCCCCGAGTCAGCTCACAGGGGTGGCCATGGGATGGCTTTAGCTGCTCATGTGCAAATGCAGGCCAAGGGATCCACTTGAATTTTAGAGAAGTTGAAAATTTACATTTTGAGTGAAATCACCCAAGTTTTATATAATCGGGTCAAAGTATGAAAAAAATCATGTGAAGAGTAATAAAATGTATCTGTGGACCAGAGTTTGCAACCTGAGTCAGAGAGTGCAGGATCGGAGTCTCAGCTCTGCCCGCCTCCAGCTGTGAATCACAGGCAAGCCACGACACCTCCTGAGTCTCAGTTTCACCCTCTGTTAAATGGGGCTTATAAAAACAATCACTTGGATGAGCTTATGTGCCAATCCTTGTTCTAAACCAGTGGTTTCCAATCCATGGGTTGTGAAATTGATTTTGCAGATTGGAACCTGCATCACTGAAAAACAGCAGGATGGAAAAATTATAGAATGTGTCACAGTTGTTTGGTAAGCATTGCTTTGTGAAACTGAGTTATACACACATACATGATATACATACACTCCTATTTATACACACACATATGTATGTGCTGTACTGGGTCTTGATGTAATATGTAATATGCATTTCTTATTACCCCACAAGGGGGCCAGTAGACTTCAGGGGCTGAGGGAGAGGTGGGTAGGTCTCTGTGGGCCCAGATCCCCATGGAGTTGGGTAGGGGATGCAAGGGCAAAGAGGCTCCCCCGTCACCTAGAGCTGGAGTTTACCAAACACCAAATACTTGGCTGGGTGCTGTGGCTCACACCTGTAATCCCAGAACTTTGGGAGGCTGAGGCGGGAGGATCACTTGAGGCCAGGAGTTCAAGACCAGCCTGGCCAACATGGCGAAGCCCCATCTCTACTAAAAATACAAAAATTAGCCAGGTGTGGTGGCATGCGTCTGTAGTCCCAGCTACTCGGGAGGCTGAGGCACAAGAATCGCTTGAACCCGGGAGGCGGAGATTACAGTGAGACGAGATCATGTCACTGCACTCCAGCCTGGGCGACAGAGCGAGACTCTGTCTCAAAATAAAACCAAAACCCCAAACAAATACCAAATACTTAATGGTTGAATTTATTTTTTTTTCTTTTTTGAGATGGAGTCTCGCTCTGTCGCCCAGGCTGGAGTGAAGTGGCGTGATCTCGACTCACTGCAATCTCCGCCTCTTGGGTTCAGGCAATTCTCTTGCCTCAGCCTCCCGAGTAGCCGGGATTACAGGCATGCACCACCATGCCCAGCTAATTTTTTTTGTATTTTTAGTAGAGACGGGGTTTCACCATGTTGGCCAGGCTGGTCTCGAACTGATGACCTCAAGTGATCCACCTGCTTCAGCCTTTTTTTGAGATTTTTGATACATGGTCTTGCCTTTCTCTGTCACCTAGGCTGGAGGGCAGTGATGTGATTGTGACTGCAGCCTCAAACTTCTGGGGCTCAAGCGATCCTCCCGATTCAGCCTCCCAAAATGCTGGGAATTATAGGTGTAAGCCACTGCACACGGCCAAATGGTTGAATTATAAAATCAGCATTTGGCTAGAGCCGGATTATCATCACTCTCAGATGAACTTCAGGATATAAAAATAAATCCGGCTGGGCTCGGTGGCTCATGCCTGTAATCCCAGCACTTTGGGAGGCTGAGGTGGGTGAATTGCTTGAGCCCAGGAGTTTGAGACCAGCCTGGTCAACATGGCAAAATCTCCACAAAAAATACAAAAAATTCAGCCAGGTGTGGTGGTGCACGGCTGTAGTCCCAGCTACTCAGGAGGCTGAGGTAGGAGGATCACTTGAGCCTGGGAGGTCGAGGAAGCTGCGGTCGCACCACTTGACTCCAGCCTGGGCAACAAAGTGAGACCCTATCTCAAACCAACCAACCAACCAACCTACCAACCTAACATTTCTCCCAGACAATTGAAGCCATTGTTACAATTACATTATTAAACACTGGCGCGGCCCATGTCTAAAGCTGGGCAGAGTGCAGGAACAGCGTTTCCCAGCCCTGTAGGTGGCTGGGCCACTCTCGAGGCCACCACAGCGTCCATCTGCCTCCTGCATAGACATTGTGTCAACCGAGGCCACCACTATGGTCACTGTAGAAGGTCACCTTACCATGACCTCTTGGGCCTAACATATCGTCGACGGTGCTGCAGTATCATCAGAGCAATCCCTGTAGCCCGGCGCAGCCCAAAGCAGACGCCTTGAGAATCCTTTCTCGGAAGGCTTGCGTTATTGCTCTTTCCGGGTCCCACTTCAAGTGGCACCTGCGGGCGGCTGGGTCAGCTGTGGGGCCGCACTGCCCCCTGGTGGTTGCAGATGAGCACAGCTTCTCGGGCGCTGAGCTTGCATCATGGGGCTCAAAATATTAGGGAAAAATGGTCCATCGTTTTTAACGCGAATTCTCCTCTTGCCAGAATGAACCACAGGTCCGTGCCACAACATGGGTACACCTCAAAAACATTCTGAGTCAAAGAAGCCAGGCACCAAAGATTACGCTCTGAGTCCATTTATATGAAGTTCTAGATCTGGCCAAACTACCTTAGCGACAGGAACCGGAACAGTCATGGAATGCGGATATAGACTGGGCAGGGGTGCGAGGGAGCCAGCCTTTTGCCTGGAAACGTTTTCCATCTTGATCTGGGTGCTGTAATTATCCCAGCATAATCATACGTAAAAATACTTGAGATTTGAGATTTGTGCAATAGACTTTATATTAATTATAAAATAAAAAAAATTTAAAATGTATGAAGGAATCCCTTGCCCAGACGCTTCATCCTGCCCCTTCTAGCCATTCTTTCCATGGCAGCCAGGGTGATTTTGAGAATATCAATCATATCACAGCACCCTCCTGTTTAAAACCTGATTGGTTTTAAGCACCCTGCTTAAAACCTTCTGATATCTTGTCACTGGATTTAGAATACAATTTAAAATCCAAAATGAATAGGGTCCCACGACATCTGGCCGGGCCTTGCCCTTGCGCCCTATCATGCTCGCACCCTCTGACCTTGGCCTTGGCCTCCAGCCACACCGGCTTCCTTTCCTTCCTTTGTCCTGCCTGGAACCGTGTATTTCCTGCACCTCTCCCTGGAATGCTGTCCCTGGCCTTTCTTGTTGTACTGGTCTGAGTTCAAGTGTCACCTCCTTAGAGGTGACCAGCGAGTCCACAGCAAATGCTTTTCGGGGGAGTCTGCACTGCATCAGCCCAATGCTTGCTTCCGGACTCCAGGCACTGTCTGAAGTGACTCTGTACTGGGGAAGAAAGCAGCCTCCTTCTTTGAGCTAACAGTACCATGCTGTGTGCCCTAAAAGTTAAAATCTCAGCCAGCAAAAAGATCCTCAATATTTTACCTCCTGGGCAAGCACCAAGACCCCTTTATGGCCCCTGAATGTTCCCTGGAGAGATACTGCCATCTCTGTCAAGAAGTTCTTCTTGGGACCCCTTTCAACAGGTCTTCTTGAAGTTGGCTAAAGTAGGCCTCCAAGAGCCACCTTCCCCTCCCTGCGGAGGCTCATACGACCCCTCCTCTCCTGCTGACCTCAAGGCAGATCTTGGAAGGGGACACAGATTGTGGCTCAAGCCTGAATGAAGCCTGTACCTGGGGTGTGTGCTGGTTCCCTGCTCCTGGCTGGCGAAAACCTTTTTTCTTGTGGGACCCAGCTGACTGGCGGCAAAGGCTACCTCCCAGTGTCAATAGGGCCGCTTTCAGTCCGGTTCCCTGCACTTTGTGACGGTCGGGACCTCATCTGCTCATTTTCACCTCTGCATCCAGAAGTTGAAACGAGCACCTGGTAAATAACAGACCTGTGCATAACCCGGATCTATTTCCAAAACACATCGCTAAGTGAAAAAAAGCCAATGGCACATGCCACCCTTTGTGTAACAATGAAGAAGAAATAAGAAATATATTGTCATATTTCCATAAAGAAACTTTAAAAGGATACAAAAGAAATGAAGGGGCCGGGTGCGGTGGCTCACACCTGTAATCCCAGCACTTTGGGAGGCTGAGGCGGGTGGATCACCTGAGGTCAGGAGTTCGAGACTACCCTGGCCAACATAGTGAAACCCCATCTCTACTAAAAATATGAAAATTAGCTGAGCGTGGTAGCTCACACCTGTAGTCCCAGCTACTTGGGAGGCTTGAGGCATGAGAATCACTTGAACCCGGGAGGCAGAAGTTGCAGTGAGCTGAGATCATGCCACTGCACTCCAGCCTGGGCAACAGAGTGAGACTTGGTCTCAAAAGAAATTAAGGAATGCAGCTGCTTACAGGAGGCTGATGAAATCAGACATATGAGTGACAGGTGGGAGAGTGCCTTCATCACACTGAAAATTGTGAATGGGTGAGCTGTAGGAGCATGGATGAGTGGATATATTCCAGCCTCTTTGAAACTTGTTAACAGGATTTTCCCAGGGGTCCCTGGCTCTCAGACCACTGAGACCACCTTGTGTTGGACAATGGGGCCTCAGAGAAGGGTCTTTCTTGCTACATCCCACATGGCCACAGCCTTTACCCAATGCTGTGGGGCACACAGAGAAAGGGCTAGTGATGCTGTTTGGGGGAAACCAAGGCTGGAAACAAGCTCCTGAGGGCCACAGGTTATTGACAGAGAAGTCTCCAAAACTGACATCTGACCTTTACGATGCTCCTATAGGGCCAGGCAAGATGGCACATGCCTGTAATCCCGGCACTTTGGGAGGCTGAGGCGGGAAGATCACTTGAGGCCAGGGGTTTGAGACCAGCCTGGGCAACATAGTGAGACCCTGTTTCTACAAAAATAAAAAATTAAAAAAATTTAAAAAAAGGTGCTCTTATAGGTAATCCATTCATCGTTTTCAATATATGAGCTTCATCAGTACCGTGAGTCATGAAACTCTCAGATTTTTGTCCAACTAATGTGGACAATGAACGTATTTGCATTTCTCTTGTTATAGGTGAGGTTGAACTTTTTTCTTTTCTTTTTTTGAGACAGGGTCTCGCTTTGTCACCCAGGCTGGTGTGCAGTGGCATGATCACAGCTCACTGCAGCCTTGACCTCCTGGGCTCAAGTGATTCTCCCACCTCAGCCTCCCTGGTAGCTTGGGCTATAAGTGCATGCTGTCACACCTGGCTAATTTTTTAAATTATTTGTGGAGACAGGGTCTCACTATGTTGCCCAGGCTGATCTTGAACTCCCGAGCTCAAGTGATCCTTCTGCCTCCGGCTCCCAATGTGTTGGGATTATAGGTGTAAGCCACTGCACTGACATTTTTTTATATTTTATTTTTATTTTTAGAGACAGGGTCTCACTCTGTCATCCAGGCTGGAGTGCAGTGGCATAATCATAAATCACTGCAGCCTGAACTGCTGGGCTTAAGTGAGCCTCCTGCGTCAGCCTCCTGAGTAGCGTGCACTACAGGCGTGTACCACCAGGCCTGGCTAATTTTTTTATTTTTGTTTTTTGTAGAGATGGGGTCTCACTATGTTGCAGTCTGGTATGGAACGCCTGGCCTCAAGCCATCCTCCCACCTTGGCCCCCACAAAGGTCTGGGATTACAGGTGTGAGCCATCATGTCTGGCCTGAGTATTTTTTTATAAGTTTTAAAACCAAATTAGCTGGGTGTGGTGGCTCATGCCTGTAATCCCAGCTACTCCAGAAGTTAAGGTGGGGAGATCGCTTAAGCCCAGGAGTTTGAGGTTACAGTGAGCTATGACTGTGCCACTGCACTCCAGCCTGGGTAACAAGAGTGAGACCCTGTCTAAAAAACAATCAAAACCAGAAAACGCACACACACAAAAATCCCCCAAAACCAAACCAAAACAAAACCAAACACCAAAAACCACCACCAACCAAAAAACAAGAACCAGTTGCATTTTAAAAAATATAAAGTGTTGGCCAGGTGCTGTGGCTCATGCCTGTAATTCCAGCACTTTGGAAGGCTGAGGTGGGCAGATCACCTGAGGTTGGGAGTTCGAGACCAGCCTGGCTAACATGGTGAAACTCTGTCGCTACTAAAAATACAAAATTAGCTGGGCATGGTGGCATGCGCCTGTAATCCCAGCTACTCAGGAGGCTGAGGCAGGAGAATCGCTTGAACCTGGGAGGTGGACATTGTAGTGAGCCGAGATCATGCCATCGCACTCCAGCCTGGGTGACAGAGCAAGACTGTCTCAAAAAAAAAAAAAAAAAAAAAAAAAAGGCTGGGCACGGTGGCTCACATCTGTAATCCCAGCACTTTGGGAGGCTGAGGCGGGTGGATCACGAGGTCAGGAGATCAAGACCATCCTGGCTAACACGGTGAAACCCTGTCTCTACTAAAAAATACAAAAAAATTAGCCGGGCGTGGTGGCAGGCACCTGTAGTCCCAGCTACTCAGGAGGCTGAGGCAGGAGAATGGCACGAACCCGGGAGGCAGAGCTTGCAGTGAGCCGAGATCACACCACTGCACTCCAGCATGGGTGACAGAGCAAGACTCTGTCTCAAAAAAAAAAAAGAAAAAAAAGAAAAAAAAAAAACTAGTAATGCTATTTATTATGTGCTATATCAGTTGGAGCGCTTTTGGCTGCAAGTAACTCAGGAAGAAACAACTCAAAATATTTAAAGGACATTAACTCACATAATACATTTAACCTGATTATCTGTCCTAGGCAGTTATCTTTTAAAAATTAAGCAATGCTTTACTCATGAAAATCTTTGTTGGATTACGTCTTCCACAGCTTCCACTCTAAGAATGTGGATGTTGCCTACAAACGAAGCCAAAGGAGAGGAAACAGAGTCCAGGGATTCAGAGAAATAAATTGAATTTTAAAGATGGGTCTTGAGTTTTGCATTTGAAGGGGTCTGAGGTCACTCATTCTTGAATCTTTTAGTCAAGTGAGCAGATGAATTCTGTTTTGTTTAAGCCATTTTGATAGTGTTTCTGTCATTTGCAATGGAAAAAATCCAAATGGTAGCTCTCTGACTTCTAAATCCCTTGGATATGCAAATTCTTTCATCCTTGAGGTCAACCTGGGCACTTTTGTGGGTCTCTATCCTTCTGCTGGGCTGCTCAGGAAGTTCTGGAGTCAAGGTTGGACTTCTGAGAGTCCAAAAGCTTTTGTATGTGTGTCTTGAATAGTCCTGTTACTCTACTTCTAAGAATGTTCTGGAGAGCAGCAAGACACCGCTGGGGAAACAGTGAAGTCTAGAAGCCTGGGACCATGAAATCCCAGTCATCCATCTATCCATCTATCCACCTAACCACCCATCTGTCCACCTATCATCCATCCATCCACTCATTCACCTATCCATCTATCCATCCATCCATCTACATCCATCCATGCATCCACTCATTCACCCATCCCTCCATCCATCCACCATCCACTAATCCATCCATCCATCCATCTACTATTCACCCATCTCTCCATCCATCCATCCATCCATCCATCCATCCATCCATCCATCCACCACTTATCTACTCATTCACCCATCCAACATTCATTAAGTGGCATATCTGTGCCAGGCTCTGTGATGGGCAATGAGCATACAGAGATGAGAAAAATACTATCCTTACTCAGCAGAAGCTCTGAGTCATCCAGAAGGAATTCAAGTTAAAACACTTACCTTAAAGACTGTGGACTGCTAACTTTTGTCAGAACTAGTCTTTGACATTGACTCATCACAACAAAAAAGTAGTTGATCACCTACGTAGTTTAATTTCAGGGTCAAGGGGAAGATCTGTTTCACCCAAAACCTCCTGTGTGCATGGCTGAAATTCTACTTGTGTTTCTAATGAAATCCTACTAAAAGAAAAAATTTTCTTAATAAGTAATTTACCCTTTGTTGGACCCTAAACAGAATTTTCCCTGACAGCAGGTTTTGATGGTAGCAGGAAGGGAGAGATGGGTAGATCATGATTATAAGTGGGTTCCTGTGTGGCAAGGGTGCTAAAGAATGGGGAGTCAGGGGGATTCAGGAGTATTCACATCACTGACTACCAGTGGATGGTTGGTGACTGGGTGGCTCTACTCTAGTCTCATTATCCACTCCAGCTAGAAGTCAGCTTATCCAGTAAAGCTCCTCCACTCATTCTAGAAGAAACCTAAGCTGACAGATATTAGTGAGGCTGACTCAGGTATTTTAGGCAATGCTAAAGATTCTTCACTTCCATTCCACTCTCTATCCATCTAACCATCACACTTCATTTCCATTTAACTTTCCATCCACCTGCCCATTAAACTGTCCACATATCCATCATAATATTATTATCAACCACCAACAACCATCAATCATTCCATCCATCTACCTGTCCAAACAACCCACTCATTTATCCACTAACTCACCCACCTAACCATCTATCCATATTTCCGTAAAACCACCCAGCCATTCACTCATCCAAACCACCATCTATTCATTCATGTCACCACACAACTACTTGGTTATCGATCTGGTCATCTATCCAATAATCTATCTGTTCGTCCATATACCCATGATTTATCCAACTATCCATCTAGTCATCCCAAGTAGGTATCCATTTATTCATCTATCCATCTTCCAGTCACCCAATTACCCACCCACCTTCCAATTAATCATCTAATCACCTAACCAACCATTCATCTACCCACGTACTCAACTGTTTAACACTCCATTTTATCCATTTGTCCAAATGGCCATTCACCCATATTATCATCCATCTGGCTGTGGTTCCATTCATATTTCCATCCTTCATTCTATGCCATCTATAATGGGATTCTATTTTGTGTCAGGCTCTGTGCTTGATTCTGTGGATATAGAGATGAAACCAACAGTACCTACCCCCTGAGAAGCTCAGGGTCTAGTAAGGGAGTCTATCTGACCCTTAGTGATGCCTTTTTTTTTTTTTTTTTTTTGAGACAGGGTCTTGCTCTGTCACCCAGGCTGGAGTGCAGCAGTGTGAACCTGGCTCACTGCAGCCTCAACCTCCTGGGCTCAAGAGCTCTTCCCACCTCTGCCTCCTGAGTAGTTGTGACTACAGGCGCATGCTATATGCCTAGCTAATTTTTGTATTTTTTGTAAAGACGGGGTTTCACCATGTTGCCCAGGTTGGTCTCAAACTCCTGGGCTCAAGCGACCCACATGCCTTGGCCTCCTAAAGTGTTGGGATTACAGGCATACACCACCATGCCTGGCCGGTGACAGTTTTCTAATCATCAGAGATTCTAGCTCTGAGACTCCAGTGGCAGAGATCTCCATCTCCCATGACATGGGTCAGCTGACTGATAATCCACGATTTTACCAGCATTAATAAGGAAGGAGCCTATATTCCTGCTTAGCATCCAATCAGATAGACCCAGGTCCTGCCTGGTCCACTATGGGTAGTGGCAGTGCTCCAGATGTCTTCAGAACTTCTCCAGATTTCCCTCCTTGCCCCTTAAACTGGATCCTTCACTCATGTCCCATCCACTGGGAAATGAAGTCCTACCATTAGAACGGAAGTCAGTTGCATTTTCCAGCCCGACCCTCAATTCCCCCAATTCTTTGAATAACAGCTCACTGATTTTCTTTCCCTTGGAGGATCAGCTTGTTCAACTTGCTGTTCGTGACAGGATCCAACCCTAAATCCAGCTCCGTGAGTTGCCTAAGCCTCAGATTTGGCCAACGAGTTACAGTCCTGAGGCTTTCGCTGCACCACGGTGAAGAATGTGGTCTCTTTCTGTCTGTGTGGTTTTGCTGAAGGACTCGTAGAGCCGTCTTTGCCACACAGGGAACAGCCTGCCTGAGAATTACGGCCACATGAGAGAAATTCATTTGACCACCCGGATCCAGACAGATACCACCTAAAGTTCCTGGAGACACTTGTCCCTTTGTCCTTCTTCCCCTCCCTTTCTGCCTCCCTCCTTTTCTCCCTCTTCTCCTTCCTCCCTCCCCCCACCCCATTTTTCTTGGCTTAAGCCAGTGTGAGTTGGATTCTATTCTTCTGCAACTGATAAAGTCTTTAAAAAGGACAACACATTTGGAAGCCTCAAGAGTGGTAATAAAGTAACCACATCCTACCCCACTTCAAAATGTAAACGTGGTTTTATTTAATGCCTTTTATCCATCACAAAGCACCCATTCCTTCCCAGCATCCCCCTCTTCCTAGAAAACAAGATGTAGCGTAAGGCACGTGCACTGTCCACATGACGTCAAGTAGGTCTTTAAAAACAAAAATAAGCAATAGTCTTTTCAACAGCTTGAACTGCCTTCCTCTCTAATGTTCAAAGAATGATTGTCCCCACAAAGCACAACTTGGAGAATAGAGTGCTTACATTAGAACTGTGAACCACCCCACATACCAGTTCAAAAAACCAAACCAAACCAACGACTAAGAAACCCAGCCACACAGGTACAAGAGCATAATTCCGGAGTAATGAGACTAGTCCATAAATTAAAAAGAAGACAAGACAAACCCATCCCCTCCTCATCACCAGGCACCCCCCAAATCAGCAATTCCTTGCTTTTGTTCTGTGAGTCTTACAGAAGAGTCTAGACTCCGAGCCAGCCCTTTTCCCCAAAGTCAAATACTCCGAAGCCAATGTTGGGTACTTTCCTTCTCAGAACCCCCATTTGGACTGATGGACGGCTTCTGAGATGGTCACTGGACACGTCGTCTCGGCTGTGGGGCCCCTTCCTGGTGTCCAACATCTGGGTCTCTGGAGTTCTCGGTGGGGAGGTGGGGAAGGCGAGGGGGTCTGAGGGTGAGATGGCAGGTGGAGATGCTGCTGATCCTGCTATAAATACTCCAGCTCCAGGGCGTGCCTCAGTGCCTCCAGGTCTGCGTGGCAGGATATCCGCCAGAAAGGCATGTTGTGCTGAAACACAGAACACCAGCCACAAGGTTATGGCCCCGCCCCTGCCCCCGGGTTCCACGCCTGTGGTTAGAGGGCATGTGAGAAGTCAACCCAGTTAAGTCTAGCACGTGGGGACTTCCCAAACTATGGGGCACTTGATGTTGCTGGCAGACCCACATCTGGCCAGTACCCACCAGTATGGCCAACCATTTCTATTCAGAGCCTGCTCTGACGGGCTTATCCAGCACTGCCCAGCGTGTTCGCTGTTTGACCCTCTCGCCTCTGTTGGTACCAGCGTGGTCTTAGGCGGTGCACTGACATGGTGTTAAATTGCACAATGGGAAAGCGATTCCTTTTTAAAAATTTGTTCTTGCCTGGGCACTGTGGCCCACGTTTGTAATCCCAGCACTTTGGGAGGCTGAGGCGGGAGGATTGCTTGAGGCCGGGAATTGGAGGCTGCAGTGCTCTGAATCCTGTTACTTCAAGAAGAAAGTCACAGCTCGGTGCTGGAACCCCTCCCCAGCATTGACAGTCTCCACTGTGAACAAACAGAGCTGGTCTTGGAGAGTCTTCAGCAGGCCACTGTAGCTAGCCAGGTCAGATGACACTAATCTGTTTTCTTTATAGCTTTCGTTTTTATCTTTTCCTTTTCTTTGCAGCAGGTGGTACCTGCTTCAAGTTATTGTCATGATGTGGAGTTTTTTTTTTCTTTCTTTCTTTCTTTTGAGACAGGCTAGAGTGCAGTGACATGATCTCTGCTCACTGCAGCCTCAACCTCCCAGGCTCAAGCGATCCTCCTACCTTAGCCTCCCGGGTAGCTGGGACAACAGATGCATGCCACCACATCTGGCTAATTTTTGTATTTTTTGTAGAGATAGGGTTTCACCATGGTGACCAGGCTGGTCTCAAACTACTGGGCTCAAGCGATCCACCCACCTCAGCCTCCCAAAGTGTTGGGATTACAGGCATGAGCCATTGTGCCCAGCTGAATTTCGTTTCATTAATTTTTTTTTTTAATTTTAGAGATGGAGTCTCAGTTTGTTGTCCATGCTGGAATGCAGATCATGGCTCACTGCAGCCTTGATCTCTTGGGCTCAACTGATTTTCCTGACTCAGCCTCCTGAGTAGCTAGGGACATATCTAGGTAAATAGGAAAAAGGAAGGATGCAGGACAAATTGTATATATATGTGCATGTATATGGAAGAAAGAATGCTGGCGTTTCTCAGTAGTTTAAAAGATAATAAATAAGACTACCTTAGGAAGAATGTAAAGAAATCATTAAGGCAGGTGTAAATAAAATGTCATGGGAGCCAGCCAGAGGAAGCAGCCTCTTTTTTGGTAGAAGTGAATGGGATGGGGGTGTCTCAGGGGACAAGAAGCGCATGAGACCCAGACCTTGAAGAACGAATGAGGAGGCCGGGCGTGGTGGCTCACGCCTGTAATCCTAGGACTTTGGGAGGCCAAGGCGGGTGGACTACCTGAAATCAGGAATTTGAGACCAGCCTGGCCAACATGGTGAAACCCCATCTCTACTAAAATACAAGAATCAGCTGGGCGTGGTGGTGGCCACCTGTAATCCCAGCTACTTGGGAGGCTGGGGCAGGAGAATCACTTGAACACAGGAGGCAGAGGATGCAGTGAGTTGAGATCATGCCACTGCACTCCAACCTGGGCAACAAGAGTGAAACTTCATCTCAAAAAAAAAAAAAAAAAAAAAAAAAAAAGAATAAGTGCTTCATAGTTAGCAGGTCACTGAAGGGAAGGGCATCCCAGATTGAGAATCCCTCAGTGAGCAAAGGAAGATCTATAAAGATGCCAGGGGCAGACCCCAGTGGGGCCTTCTGTACAGGTCACAAACACTTATGGGGCTTTCATTGGAGGCTCAGATAAACCCACAGATAAGAAATAAACAAGATAAGTTCATCTCCTGGTAAGTGCTAGGAAGGAAACAGAATGAGATAGGGTAGAAAGCAGCTTTGTGTGTCTACTTTTGAGAGCTGGGTCAGGAAAGGCCTCTCCAGGGAGTGTCATTTAAGCAGGCCCTGGCAAAGATGTGGGGGAACGTGGGGGCAGGTAGAAGACACAGCAAGTGCAAAGGCCCCAGGAAGGTTGAGCTTGGAATGCAATGCTCATTGCTGCACCGCATGGCTCTTGACACATAGTAGGTGCTCAAGAAATATTCGTAGAAGGAATGAAAAGAGGAAGAGAGAGAGGGAAAAAAAGAAGGTAAGTTTCTCAAGCAAAGTCCTCTGAATGTATCCTTTTCTCTTTGTTCTGTAGTTTCTAAACAATTCTCAGCTCAAGGGAAGCAGAAAACCATCTCCTATGGGAACAGCTCTCATCTCTTCAACGCCTTCTCACTGCCCTAGCATTCCCACCCTGCCCTCATCCCGGCCAAGCCCTCCTTTCTTTGCAAAGATAGATTCTGGTTGCCACCTGGCCAATCCTGCCCTCTTTAAAGAGTGTAATTTGGCTGAGTGTGGTGGCTCACACCTCTAATCCCAGTACTTTGGGAGGCTGAGGTGGTCGGATCACCTGAGGTCAGGAGTTCGAGACCAGCCTGGCCAACATGGCAAAACCCCGTCTCTATTAAAATTACAAAAAATTAGCCACATGTGGTGGCTCATGCCTGTAATCCCAGCTACTCAGGAGGCTGAGGCACAAGAATCGCTTGAACCTGGGAGGTGGAGGTTGCAGTGAGCCGAGATCATGCTACTGCACTCCAGCCTGGGCGACACAGTGAGATTCTGTCTCAAAAAAAAAAAAAAAAAAAAAAAAAAAAAAAAAAAAAAAAAAGAGTGTGATTCATTTTTCTGGGAGAGAATGAGCAAAGGTGGAAGAAAGAGAATGTTCTAGCCGCCTTTACCCCAGGCTTAAAGGTTCCAGAGTGCCAGTGGATTCATCACTCGTGAAGAGGTGGAGACAAATCACCCACTAAAATGGAGATATTAACAACACTGTCAGCGGAAACAGTCAAGGCCCCTGGTCCTGCGGCCATATTTTACACCGCTCAGATTTCCGGTGGCCTGGGCTAATGACTTCCATTTGTCAGGCTGAGAGAGCTGCTGGTGGACACTGTTTCTCACTAACGTTCTGAGGCTTCTGCCTCAGACACTGGGACTTTTATGGGAGTTCTGTGTGTGGTGGGTGTGTACCTAGTCTTCTTTGGCTGACTCTACTCTTGCCTGACTAGCTCAGGGGTGAAAACCAACCGTGTTTGAAACTCGTAAGTCCGTCTCCTCCCTGCCAGGCGTTTGGAGCATGACACAGGTAGGTTTGCATGTGCTAGATGTGTGACCCTAGGCAAATTAATTAACCTTTCTGAGTCTCAAATTCTGTCATCTATAAAATGGGGTGTGGCCGGGCACATGCCTCTAATCCCAGCTTTCTGGGAGGCCAAGGTGGGCAGATTGTTTGAGTTTACGAGTTTGAGGCCAGCCCAGGCAACATGGCAAAACCCCATCTCTATAAAAAAAAAAATACAAAAAATTAACCAGGTATGGTGGTGCCTGTCCATAGCTCCAGCTACTTAGAGGTGGAAGTGGGAAGATCGCTTGAGTCCAGTAGGTAGAGGCTGCAGTAAGCTGAGATTGTGCCACTGCACTCCAGCCTAGGTGCCAGAGTGAGACCCTATCTCTAAAAAAAAAAAAAAAAAAAAAGGGATGCAATGATACCCACTTTGTAGGAGTTTTTGGAGGATTGAGTACAATGATGATGTTAGCAATAAAGTTACGGTGGTGAAGGGCATGGGGTTAGGTCAGCAACTCAAGATGCCAGCCACAGCCTGGCCACACACCAGTGCGACTGACCCTGGCAGCTGCCCCTCAATATCACTTCTCCCCTTCTCTCTCAGAAGCAGCTCCCATTTCTTAGCGGGGCTCATGGCGGCGGATAATAGAGACTACATCTCCCAGGAAAGGGGAGGAGCCTTCCAGGTGGAGGGAACAGTGCCTGCAAAGCCTTCCAAGCTCCTCTCTCCCGGGGCCCTCTCCCAGGACCCTAGGGCTTCCCTCTTCTTCTGGGTTTCATCTGCTGAGACCCTGAACATTTTTGCATTTCCTTGGGATTTGCTGCCAGGCAGAGATGGGGGAAACCAGGTCCCCCTAATTAAGGTCTGTGACATTAACAATCCACTTCCCAGGCCTCCGGGTTGGGGGTGGCAGCCTCTCTGGGGCGCTGTTGACAGATCCAGACCCAGGACTTTGGCAGCTGTTTCTTTTCCAAGAACAGAGATGTGGCCACCAGAACCCCCTGCCCTCTCCTCACGGGCCCGAGATCACAAATGCAGGATTTTCTTTTTCATTAGCTTAATGCTGTCTTTATTAACTGGGAAGGGTTGCTGGAACATATGATCAGTAAGTATTAAATAAAACACATGCACGTGCACTGGCCCCCCACCAGCCTGCCCTGCCGGAGCGTCTCTAGGCTCCCGAACAGTTGTCCCAGAAACAATCCAGGGCTACCAGGGGCAGCAGCCAGAGGCAGAGAGGGGGATTTGTAGAAGGAAATTACTCAGGATGCTTCTGCAATTTGCAAATGGAATGGACTGGCAAGCAAGGAGCCTGGGAAGGAGGACCCAGCCAGCCACGGGGAGTGGAGGAAATCATGGAAGGAGCCCTTGAAGACCACGAGGGGTGCTCGAAAGAGCAGGAAAACGCAGTCTGAGAGGTGGAAGAAGTACCTTTTTCGCTCCTTGCTCCTCTTCCACACCATCACCGATCACCACGTAGACAGCTTTTCTGCCGAATCTCTGCATTATCCTCTCGAAGCAGCTCTCCTTCCCTGCACGCACACAGGAAGGAAAGAAAAAACGCTCTGTGAGGACCCCGGATTGCAGCCAATACCCGCTCATTAAGAGCTTGGTGCCTGCAGCTGTGCTCCCAAAGGCCCGGTATTCATCATTTCGTTCTTGAGCAAACTTCTGAGGTGAGCCCTGTTATCATCCCCACATGAAGGATGATGACAGCCGGAAACACAGCGAGGGTCAGTAGCTTGCCCAGGGCAACACAGCAGGAGGAGGCAGCGCAGGGGTTAGAGCAGGCTCCCAAGTCTCTGCAGCTGTCCGATGTAGAAGTGGCAATGGATGCACAACCATTTGAATGCACTTGATGCCACTGCGCTGGACACTTTTGTTTCGAGACACAGTCTTGCTCTGTCACCCAGGCTGGAGTGCAGTGGTGCCATCTCGGCTCACTGAAACCTCCACTTTCTGGGTTCAAGCCATTCTCCTGCCTCGGCCTCCTGAGTAACTGGGACTGTAGGCACGCATCACCACACCTGGCTAATTTTTGTATTTTTTAGTAGAGATGGGGCTTCACCATGTTGGCCAGGCTGGTCTCGAACTCCTGGCCTCAAGTGATCTGCTCACCTCAGTGTCTCAAAGTACTGGGATTACAGGCGTGAGCCACTGCACCCAGCCATCTTAACCTTTTTTTTTTTTTTTTAGACGGAGTCTCGTTCTTGTTGCCCAGGCTGGAGTGCAATGGCCTGGTCTCGGCTCACTGCAACCTCTGCCTCCTGGGTTCAAGCGACTCTCCTACCTCAGCCTTCCAAGTACCTGGGATTACAGGTACCCGCCACCATGCCCTGCTAATTTTTTTATTTTTAGTACAGATGAGTTTTCACTATGTCGGTCAGGCTGGTCTTGAACTGCCTGACTTCAGGCAGTCCACCTGCCTCGTCCTCCCAAAGTGCTGGGATTACAGGCGTGAGCCACCGCGCCTGACCCATCTTAACCATTTTTAAGCGTATAGTGCATGGCCAGGTGCGGTGGTTCATGCCTGTAATCCCAGCATTTTGGGAGGCCGAGGCAGATGGATCACCTGAGGTCAGGAGTTCAAGACTAGCCTGGCCAACAAGGTGAAACCCCGTCTCTACTAAAAATACAAAATTAGCTCGGTGTAGTGGTGCACGCCTGTAGTCTTTGCTACTCAGGAGGCTGAGGCAGGAGAACTGCTTGAACCCAGGAGGCGGAGGTTGTAGTGAGCCGAGATTGCACCACTGCCCTCCAGCCTGGGCAACAAGAGAGAAACTCCATCTTAAAAAAAAGAAAAAAGGTTAAGATGGTGAAAATTTTACATTATTTAATTTTACCACAATTAAAAATAAAAATATTATTTAAAAAAGAGATTCGAAATAAACCTGCAAAGGTACTTGAGGTATGCAGGAAAAATGGGAAAAATGAAAAGACAGGATCTTGTTGAAAAATCTTCAACAACCATTTTGGCCCCTACTACTATAATTTTAAAATCAAAAGGCACTTTCATATAATGTTTGGACGTAGAACTTCAGTAAAACCAAAATTGCTCCAAGAAAATGCTGCCAAAGTACTATAAATTATTTATTTTTTTTATTTTTTGCTCTAGAGAAAAAACAATGGAAAAGGTTTCTAATTAAAAATATTTTGGCACGGTGGCTCATGCCTGTAGTCCCAGTACTTTGGGGGCTGAGGTGGAAGGATTGCTTGAGGCTGGGAGTTTGAGGCTGTAGTGAGCTATGATCTCGCCACTGCATTCCAGATTGAGTGACAGTATGAATCACTCAGCTATGGACTACATTTCCCAGCTTCCCTGGCAGCTACTTGTGGCCACGTGACTAAGCTGGGGCTAACAGGAAGTGAGTAGAATGTAATGTACATAGCCTTCTGAGCTTGGCCTTCAAATACCAGACCTGCTAGAATGAGGATGGGCTAGGACTCTGATTTGACCCCATACATGAGAATAAAACCATAAGAAATGGTGGAAAAATAAAACGGGAGAGACCTGGGTTTCTGGATGTCTCTGAGGACAGGGTCACCCCACCAGCCTGGATCACTCACCTCTGTCTGTTCTACTAGGGAGAAATCAGCTTTGACTCTTTTGCAAGCCCTTGCATTTGGGGTGTGTTTGTTACAGCAGCTTTGCCTGTATCTGAACTCATACAGACACTTTGGAAAACTGTGGTCCTAACCAATTTCTTTAGAAGCAGAGGTTAAGGCATGTGGTCTATGGGGGCTGTTTTGGGAATCTGAGTCATGGCCATAGGCACACTCCATCCATTTCTGTGGTGTCATGTTCCTTAAACACCCCATTCCCAGGATGGAAAGCTAACCCCACCCTCCAACCCTGTATCCCCGCCGAGGTGTGGCTTCTCCCTACCTGTCTTGGTTGCACTGTAGATGTTCTCAATAGGAAACACAGACCCCAGGCCATATAGCAGGACTTTGGCCAGGGCAGGAATTAGTTGAGTGGTGGTGACCAGCACATTGACACAGTTGGGCCTAAGGACAAAGGAGACTGTGGATCAGAACTCAGAGGGACCACAAGGCCAGGCCTCCTCTTGCTGCATGAGCCTGCAGTTGGCGGGAAATCTGGTAGGCTTGGAGGCTATGGCTGTCATCTTCAGGTATGTTAGGGCCCAAGGATTCTCAGGCTGTTCCTCTCTTTTAAGCCTGAAGCTGCCTGACA
Organism: Homo sapiens; assembly: GCF_000001405.40. Classification (NCBI taxonomy): domain Eukaryota; kingdom Metazoa; phylum Chordata; class Mammalia; order Primates; family Hominidae; genus Homo; species Homo sapiens. Next base: position 47,180,627 of record NC_000020.11, on the reverse strand, counting down.
TAGTGAAATGTAGTATGGGGGGAATACTTTTCTTATATAAAAAGCAAATGTTTATTGCAAGGGCCATACACTTAAATAGTTGCGGGTAATGTAAATGAGTGATATGGAACAAGTGTAGGACAAGAGGGAGAGGTGGGGAATAGAGTAAGCTGGAGCCTGCATGCCAGTTCTCATCTTTTGGGAGAATCCAGAAACCTGGAAACCTGTTGGGCCCTGAAAAGTCTCTGCCGCTATTAGCTCAGCTATGCTCCAAGGTATCCACTGAGCCTTGTGCACTTAAGCTTTATTAAATATTTGGGCTGGGAGTGGTGGCTCACACCTGCAATCCCAGTACTTTGGGAGGCCGAGGCGGGTGGATCACCTGAGGTCAGGAGTTCGAGACAAGCCTGGCCAACATGGTGAAACCCCATCTCTACTAAATACAAAAATTAGCTAGGTGTGGTGGTGCACACCTGCAATCCCAGCTACTCAGGAGGCTGAGGCCGGAGAATTGCTTGAACCTGGGAGGGAGAGGTTGTGATGAGCCGAGATCACGCTACTGCACTCCAGCCTGGGCGACAGAGTGAGACTCCATATCAAAAAAAAAAAATATTTGGAAAGTGTACAAGTGAGAGTTTGAGGAGTCCAATTCTCCCAAGTGTGGACATGCAGGAGCCACCACTGTCTACTGCGAGAAAGTTCAGTGGCACAGAGGAAAATGAGGGCTGCCACTTGCCGGGAGTTGATGAGGTTTAGTGCCTTCAGGGAGTGGGTCAGCCAGAGGTCTGTGAGAGCTTCCAGCTCAGCTCGGAGCTGTAGCCAGGTCTCCCTTTTGGGAGTGCCTATCAACCCTGTGGACAAAGGAAATAAAGATGTAGTCATCGTATTAGAAAGATCTGGGGGATGAAGGTAGGGAACAGGAATCTAGCTACTGTACCCTGAGGGTTAAAATCAGATGACAACCCAAAGTAAACTTCAATCCAGTGGCTTCTCTCAATCTTATCCTGAGATCAACAGATTGATAGATTAATCCATCCACTGACTGATTCACCCATCCACCCATCCACCCTTCCATTCATCCATCCATCCATCCACCCACCTATCCACCCATCTATCTACCTACCCACCTATCCACCCATCCATCCACCCAATATCCATCCATCCACCCATCCATCCATCTGCCCAATATCCATCCATCCATCCACCCACCCACCTATCCACCCATCCATCCACCCAATATCCATCCATCCACCCATCCATCCATCCACCCAATATCCAACCATCCATCTATCCACCCACCCACCCATCAATCTACCCACACACCCACCCACCCATCAGTCTACCCACCCACCCATCCACCCATCCACCCACACACCCATCCACCCATCTACCCACCCACCTATCCACCCAACCACCCATCTACCCCATATCCATCCATCCATGCATCCAACAAAAAATTCAGGAGTACCTTCTAAGTACTTGATATTGTAATAGGCACTGAATGTACAGATATGAACAAAAATATGCAGATTATAGAGCTTATATTGTTATGGTGGAGACAGGGAATTAATAATAACATAAAAAATGATGAACATTTTTGAGTGCTTATGTGCAGGGCTCTGCTTTTAACATGATTTATTTCATTCTCACAATGACCATAGAGGTGGACACCATTTTTATTTCTATATTTTTAGGTAAAGAAACAGGCTTTGTGATGTTGACTGACTTGCTCACCATAGGGAGAAAATAATAGACACCTATCCACCCATCCATCCACCTACCCACGTATCTACCCATCCATCCACCCAATATCCATCCATCCACCCACCCACCCATCCACCCATCTACCCACCCACCCATCCACCCATCCACCTATCTACCCCCACATTCATCCATCCATGCATCCAACAAAAAATTCAGGAGTGCCTTCTAGGTGCTTGATATTGTAATAGGCACTGAATGCACAGATATGAACAAAAATGGACACAGGTCCGGCACCCAGGCAGCTGGCTTCCAGAGCTACCCTGGGTATTTCTCAACCTGCCATTCTCTCAGCCTTCAGTAGCTTTAAGATAAAGTTCAAAACCCCCAGCAGCATGATCCTGTCCCTACTGAGTTTCATCTCCTGCCGCTGTCTTTCCATTCCAGCCTGGAGGCCTCGTTTGTTCCCTGAAACACCAAGTGGACTCCTGCCCCAGGACCTTTGCACACCTCATTTCAGAACATGGACCACTCTTTTATCTCATCTTCTGCTTTTGCCTGGCTAAATCCTTCACACTCTGCATTTGGGCCTTGTCTTTTTTTTTTTTTTTTGAGACAAGATCTTGCTCTGTCACCCAGGCTGGAGTGCAGTGGTGTGATCAAGGCTCACTGCAGCCTCAGTCTCCCAGGTTCAAGCAATCCTGCAATCCTTCCACCTTAGCCTCCTGAGTAGCTGGAACTACAGATGCCTGCCACCATGTCCGGCTAAATTTTGTATTTTTCATAGAGGTGGGGTCTTGCTATGTTGCCCAAACTGGTCTTGAACTCCTGGCCTCAAGCAATCCTGCCTTGGCCTCCCAAAGTGCTGGAATTACAGGTGTGAACCTCTGCATCCTGCCTTACGGCCTCATCTTAAATGTCATTTGTTCTGGAAGGTCTAACCTGATCTCTCCAGGCTGGGTCAGGTCCCTTTAGTTTATATTCTCCCAACACACTGTAGCTCTTCTTCACAGCACTTCTCACAACTCTAATTTTAAGTGTATCTGTGTGACGATGTGTTTGGCATCTGCCTTGGCCATTAGGCTATTCACTCTAGGGCAGAGGGCAGGGACCAAGTCAGTCTTGTTCGCCATCATAGCAGCAGTTTCTGTAGCAGGGGCTGGCCTGTGCTTGATGCTCAATCAGTATTTGTTGAAGGAAGAATGAATTAATTAGGACAAAATGCTGCCTGTGCTATGGAGACATCGTCTTCTCTACATAGAAGAGCCCAGTGTCCAAACTGGGCCTTATGTCATCTGGACACCGCCAGCTCTCTCATCCTGTCCTGGACCACGTGCCCCCTCACTCCAGCTATTCAGCTATGCTGGCCTTCTTTATCTTTCTGAAAAGTGTCAAACTCTTTTTGTCTCAGAGACTTTTCATTTGCTGTTTGTGGTAGACACTTAGTTGCCATCCACTATCCATTTTTTTCACTTGTAATTAGTAAAAATATAAATACAAAAGGATCTTCTCATTAGTAATAAGAATCCTGATTTTGGCTGGGTGAGGTGGCCCACGCCTGTAACCCCAGCACTTTGGGAGGCTGAGGTGGGAGGATCGCTTGAGCCAGGGGTTTGAGACCAGCCTGGGCAAGACAGGAAGGCCCCATCTTTACAAAAAATTTAAAAATTAGCCAGGCATGGTGGCATGTGCCTGTGGTCCCAGCTATTCTGAAGGCTGAGGTGGGAGGATCACTTGAGCCTAGGAGGTCGAGGGTGCAGTGAGCCGAGATCATGCCACTGCACTCCAGCCTGAGAAACAGAGTGAGACCCAGTCTCAATAAATAAATAAATAAATACAAAGATAGAAGGGGCCAGGCAGGGTGGCTCATGCCTGTAATCCCAGCACTTTTGGAGGCCGAGGCGGGCAGATCATCTGAGGTCAGGAGTTCGAGATCAGCCTGGCCAACGTGGTGAAATCCCGTCTCTATCTCTACTAAAAATACAAAAATTAGCCGGGTGTGGTGGCAGGCGCCTGTATTCCCAGCTACTTGGGAGGCTGAGGCAGGAGAATTGCTTGAACTCGGGAGGCGGAGGTTGCAGTGAGCCGAGATTGTGCCACTATACTCCAGCCTAGGTGGCAGAGTGAGACTCTGTCTCAAAAAAAAAAAAAGAAAGAAGGATCCTGGGATCCTGGGCTCATAACACTGTAGAGTACTTGGCCAGCTTGGAATGCCTACAGCTTTTGTATATAAGAAAAAAAATACATTTCTATCTGGTTTAAGCCATTGTTGTTTTTTGTGTTATTTTTTGGTTGGTTGTTCTTTTACTTATGCAGTTGAATGTAGCTGAACTGATTGACTCTTTGCTTGTATTGGTCATTCCCCAGCTCTGGGCATCTGGTTATCATTATTAGAATCTCATCTAGAATATTTAGAATACTGAGTTCAAATAGCCCTTCCTGAGAGATGGACTCTGGGTCTACTATTCCAAGTATCCCCTGGCCACCACTGCCCACGCTGGGCTCTCTGCCATATCTGTTTCTTCAATAGGTGTGATCATCCTCGAAATGACTGAATTAAGAATTTAAAGCCGGGCATGGTGGCTCATACCTGTAATCCCAGTACTTTGGGAGGCTGAGACGGGTGGATCACCTGAGCTCAGGAGTTCAAGACCAGCCTGGCCAACATGGTGAAACCTCATCTCTATTAAAAATACAAAAATTAGCCGGGCATGGTGGCATGTGCCTGTAATCCCAGCTACTCGGGAGGCTGAGGCAGGAGAGTCACTTGAACCTGGGAGGTAGAGGTTGCAGTGAGCCGAGATCATGCCACTGTATTCCAGCCTGGGTGACAGAGCAAGACTCCATCTCAAAAAAAAAAAAAAAAAAAAAGAATTTAAGTGATTTGCTCACTTGTTGATGGTCTGTTTCCTCCACTCACTGAATATAAACTCTTTGAAAACAGGGACCTTGTTTCTTTTGTTCACTGCTGAATCCACAACCTAGGCCTTTGACGATGGACACGTGGAAGAATGAATGAATGAATGAATCTTCTTACTGCTACATGTCCCATCTTCTCATTAGTCTATCAACTCTAGGAGAACACACGGCCTCTGGTTTTCCTCTGTCTCTGCACCTTCCCCACAGACCCTTAGCTGGAACCCTCAGTAACAATACAAACTCACAAGGCTCAGCACTTTTCAGTTGACAAAGGGCTTCCCAACGTGCTGTCTTGTGTAGCTGGCTGCCCAACCACCCCTACTTTGCTCCACGCTGGGAAGTGTGCTTCAAGCTGTTTCCTCGGCGTTTTCCTCCAGGCTTGGCCTCCTTCCCACCTTCCCCAGATAACAAAAGTGCCACTTAATGAGAGCTTATGTGTGTCAGATGCCGTTCTGAGCACCTTTCCTGTGTGAATTCACAACATCCTGGCATGAATCCTTGTGTATATTGTGTATATTGCAGACACTATTAGCCATCTACCAATGATGCTGGGCAGCATCACTGGCCCCATTTTGCACACGAGGAGGAAACTGAGGCACAGGGAGGTCAAATAACCTGCTCAGAGCTACATGGGAAGTGGTAGATGGAAGGATGACATCAGGCTAAGGCCCCTGATTTCAACCCCTGCCTCCTAGATGGTGATTTACTAAGCATTTTCTCTATTCTGTATTTTGCAGATGCCTTTCTTCCGAGTGTACCTTCTAAAACACTTGGAATCGTGGGGATCTGTGGTGATCCCTGGGCTGGAAGCCACGGCCATGCACCTGGCTAGTTCTGTGATGCAGGAACAGCTGGGTTGGGGAAGGAGACCGGCATGCCGCTGGCTGTGGGCTCCTCACTGGCTGACGCCTTGGGTGCTCTCCCCTCAGCTATGGGTGAGCAGAGCAGCCTGACAAAGCCCTGGCATTTCCTGGGCCTTAACCTGGATGGGGAACAGATGCTCTCTGGCGGCCAACCCCATCCCTGTCTCACCTGAGTCAGCCCTCCTGCTCCCCTCCTCCCTCCGTGCAGGGCTGGGTACAAAGGCTGGGACCTGACCAGAGCTTGCTGCTTCACTCCTGCAATCAACACACTCACATCTGAGAGGCCACCAAGTGTGGCCCTGAAGGGCAGAGGTGGTGCAGTCACCCAGCCTGGGACTCCACTGTGGCCCTTCTGCCTGGGCTGTGTGACGCTGGGCAGGTTACTTAACCTCCGTCATCTCAGTTTCTGCTTTCAAGCAACACCGTTGATAAAAACATTTACCTTACAGGCATGCTGTGAAGAGTGAAGGAGCTAGTCCATGAAAACGGTGGCAAAACTGGCAGAGCGAGTGCTCCTTAAACATTAGCTACTGCCAGGACCGCGCTTAGCACGTGGGCTGCATTAGCACCGCAGCCATGAACACGACGGGAAGTCTGTCCCAAAGAACGGATGGGAAAGCTCCAGGGACAGTAGAAGACGCAGGGGAACCCGAGGCTCCCAAGCAAAACTGAGAGCAACTCGTGACAAATGCCACCATTTATTGAGTTCCCGCTGTGTATCAGGCATGGAGTCATGCCTTTTGTATGCACTAACAATAAATCTCTCAATAATCCAGGGAAGCAGAAGTATTTGTATTCTCCATTTCATAGATTTAAAGACTAAGGCTCATTAAGATGACCGTATGTATGTTGCCTAAGGCCACATAGCTAGAAAGTTGTAGAGCTGCGACTGGAAGTGTGTTCTGTCCAGTTTGAGAACCGGGACTCTATTCTTTCTAGGAATGGAGGGAGGGGGCCCTAGAAGTTTTTGGGGCCAATGTGTATATTGCAGACACTATTAGCCACCTACTCAAACCCTGCCCTTATGGGCCAGTGGTTGGTTCCAGGCACTGTGGCAACCAGGAAGACTCCCAGATGTCTCCTGAGGAGGGCGCAGTACCACCCCTAGTTAAAAACCTCTGTTCTAGAGAACTCCAGAATTCTCTAGACTACGGCTGAGCCAGCCTCGCCTTCAGTGCCTTCAGACTTCTTGTTTGGGGCAATGAGCAAATGTTCCTAGTACCTGAAGCCAGGGGGCGGGTCTCTCCTTGGCTGCACTTAGAATTCCCCAGGGATCTTTATGACTCCTGATGTCCAGGCTGCAGTGATACCAAGACCACCAGCAACTGAAACTCCCTGGGTGGTTCCAATGAGAGCCACGTGTGAGAACCAGTGACTTCTAGGGCTTCTTCAACTTTAATGCCTCCACAGTCACCTGGCGGGCTTGTCAAAAATGCAGATTCTGGGCCAGGCAGGTGGTGCATGCCTCTAATCCCAGCTACTTGGGAGGCTGAGGTGGGAAGATCACTTGAGGCCAGAAGTAGTTTGAGACCAGCCTGGGCAGCATAGCAAGACCTTGTCTCAAAAATAAAAAAAAATTTTTTAAAGCAGATTCTGAGTCAGTTGCCCAGGATGAGGCCTGAGACCCTGCACGTTTTTTTTTTTTTTTTTTTTTTTACGGGGTCTCACTTTGTTGCCCAGGCTGGGGTGCAGTGGTGTAATCTTGGGTCACTGCAGACTCTGCCTGCTGGTGACCCTGCACTTCTAACCAGCTCCGGGGGATGCTGATGTGGTTGGTCTGCGGACAACAATCTGAGATGCAAAGACTCAAGGCACAGGTCCTCCCGATTCCAGGGGGATTCTGGAATTCCAGAATCCAAGGGGGGATTCCAGGGCTGTGAAAACACAGATTCTGGGCCCCAGCGCAGAGTTTCAGATTTGCTAGGCCTGAGGTAGGGCCAGAGAATCTGCATTTTCAACACATCCCCAGGTGATGCTGTCGCTGCTACTTGGAGGACCACACTGTGAGAGCCTCTGGCTGTGGGTAAGAGAATTCCGCCCCCACGTCCACCCCGCGCCATTTGTGGCCTGAAGGATCTTGGACCAGATGCAGCCTCCGTCCCTCAGCTTTCCCACCCCCAAAGTGAAGGTGACAAAATCCCAGTGCTCTATTCCGAAGGGTGTCGTCAGGGTTGCATTAAGTGGGCTGGTACTGAACTTGTGAACCTCTCTGCCTGGCGCCTGGCACAGCAGGGACACTGACAGCATCCATCCCAATGAGTTTCCCTTCCTCGGAGGCCCAAGGCTCACAGTACTCACCACCAACGTTGTTCTTGTAGGTATTGTACATCTCCTTCACCCGCCGGTAGCGGAAGGCCAGCTTCCTCATCCAGTCCACGCCGCCGTGCACGCCAGAGCCCAGGCACAGGTTGGCTCCTGGGGCCGAACTGTGGAAGCCGTCAGCGGAGAAGTTGTATGTGCTGCGGAGAGAGGAGGGGAGGGACAGTGTTAGTGCAGGGGGGTGCAGGGCATCTTCCCTGGGAGACCACAGGCTCTGTGGGACCCACGGGTGGGCTTTTGGGTGTCCATGAGCCCCTCGAAATGCACAGGGTGCTGCGAGTGTGCATTTGGGGGGCAGCAGGACCACAGCTTTCATTAGCTTCCCCAAGAAAAGTGGTGTCTTTTGCTCTTACCTGATCCACATCCATTTGCCTTTCATTTATTTTTTAATTTTTATTTTTTTGAGACAGGGTCTTGCGCTGTTGCCCAGGTTGGAGTGCAGTGGTGTCATCACAGCTCATGGCAGCCTCAACCTCCCAGCTCAAGGGATCCTTTTACCTCAGCCTTCCGAGGAGCTGGGCCCACAGGCTCCTCGTGTGTGCGCCACCACACTTGGCTAACTTATTTTTATTTTTTGGAGAGATGGAGTCTCTCTATGTTGCCTGGGCTGTTCTTGAACTCCTGGGCTCAAGGGATCCTCCTACCTTGGCTTCCCAAAGTGCTGGGATTATAGGCATGCACCACCGTGCCTCGTCCCTTATTTTGACTTTTTATTTTTTTATTTTTTTTATTTTTTTTTATTTATTTTGAGATGGAGTCTTGCTCTGTTGCCCAGGCTGGAGTGCAAAGGCATGATCTCGGCTCACTGCAACCTCTGCCTCCCAGGTTCAAGTGATTCTCCTGCCTCAGCCTCCCCCTCCCAAGTAGCTGGGATTACAGGTGCCCTCCACCACACCCAGGTAATTTTTTGTATTTTTAGTAGAGACAGGGTTTCACCATGTTGGCCAGGCTGGTCTTGCACTCCGGACCTCAAGTGATCCACCCGCCTTGGGCTCCCAAAGTGCTGGGATTACAGGCGTGAGCCACTGTGCCCGGCCATAGATTTATTCTTGAAAAAGTGAACGCTCACCATTAACTCAGATGCTACCATGGGGAGATGTCTAGATGTTAGGAGATGGAGGCCCTTGGGGAGGGCAGGAACCAGTGTCCAGGATGGACAGAGGATCTGTTAAGAGCTTGGGTCCCAGAGCCAGGCTGCCTGGATTTGAATCCTGCCTTCCCTGCTGACCAGCCATGTGAGTTTGGGCCAATTGCTCAATCTCTCTATGCCTCACATTCCCCAGCTGAAAAATGAGGATGAGGATAAAAGCATCTCTCTCTCCTAGGGTTACTGTGGATATGCAATGAGTTATCCCATGTAATGCATTTAGAATAGAACATGGCACAAAACGAGGCATCTCTGAAGGTTGGTTCTTACTGCTAACTGAAAAAAACAAAACAAAACAAAACAAAACAAAAAAACAAACAAGAGGCATTTCATGTTTGGGACCTAGCATATAGTAGGTACTCCATAAATATTTCTTGAATGAATAAGTGGAGAATTTGGTCTCTAAGGAAGAAAACACCCTTGGGCTGAGAATTCTCAAAGTGAGGTACCAAACAGCTCAGCATGAGACAGGGTTCAGAGGACTGTTGCTCTCAATTCCAAGCCAGCTAGCTACAGGGGAAACTATAGAAACAGAACGGTGCTGCTCACTGCCTTGAAAGGAAGAGTGCTTCCCAACGATGACTTCATGGAAAGGACCAATTAACCTTGATCTGGGGTTTATTTACTCCATCAGGTGAGAAGTCCTGGTGGGGCTGGAGCTTTGCTCCTTGCCAGTCCTGATTGCAGAAGGGATTTTCCGAATGGCTGATTAAAATGAAGCAGGCATCTGCCGGCTGATCACTTCCGATTGTGCCGGGCTTTGAAAAGACTTGCAGGGCTCAGGAACAGAAATTTTGATTTTTGTTTTTGCAGTAAGTTGGGAGAGACACCTTGGAAGCAGCTACTAAATAAAGTTACAATGACTGATCCCGTAACCAAAACATTAGTTGGTCTAATAATATATCTGATGAGCCTAAAGCCGTTGAATTGTGGTAATTTTGGATGAGCACAGATTAACTATGGTTCCATTTTTACAAAGTTTTCCCAGGGGCAGGCTTGGAACATTCCAGCCCACATTCCTCTGGAAGCTGTCTCTCTTTTTTTTTTTTTTTTGAGACGGAGTCTCGCTCTGTACCCCAGGCTGGAGTGCAGTGGCACGATCTCGGCTCGCTGCAACCTCCGCCTCCTGGGTTCAAGCAATTCTCCTGCCTCAGCCTCCCAAGTAGCTGGGATTACAGGCGCCCGCCACCACGCCCGGCTAATTTTTGTATTTTTAGTAGAGATGGGGTTTCACTGTGTTGGCCAGGCTGGTCTCGAACTCCTGACCTCAGGTGATCCTTGCGCCTTGGCCTCCCAAAGTGCTGGGATTACAGGCGTGAGCCACCACACCCGGCCTGAAGGTGTCTCATATTAAGCAATGGGTTACCTGATTCCTGGAAGCCATGTCCTGGGAGTGTTTTCCCCTAGAAACCAGACACACCACTTATTCATTTGAGAAGTGTTTCTTAAGTATTGGCTGTATCAATTGTTATATTAAAAATATATGCATGCTGGTCGGGTGCGGTGGCTCACGCCTGTAACCCCAGCACTCTGGGAGGCTGAGGTGGGTAGATCACTTGAGGTTAGGAGTTTGAGACCAGCCTGGCCAATATGGTGAAACCCCGCCTCTACTAAAAAAACAAAAAAATTAGCTGGGTGTGGTGGTGCATGACTGTAATCCCAGCTACTCAGGAGGCTGAGGCAGGAGAATTGCTTGAGCCTGGGAGGTGGAGGTTGCAGTGAGCTGAGATCACACCATTGCACTCCAGCCTGGGTGACAAGAGTGAAAGTCAGCCTCAAAAAAAAGAAAAAGAAAAAAATATATATATGTATGCTAATGAATACAACCAAATATTTGGAGGCAGCTGCCTCCTTACGAAGACTGCTGGAGGAGGAGAAGCACGTGAAACTCTGAGCTTGACTACTGAGAAAAAATTGGTTATAACATCTCCGGACCCTTGATTGGAGGAGAGAAGCTGAAAGAAAGGGTATTTTCAACATTTTGAGCAGATCTTTGAAGAATATATACTAAACTCTTAATGGTGGTGAGTTTGGGAGGTGAGGTCAGGTTAAGTGTTTGAATTTTTTCTGTTATGCATGCATTACTTCAGTAAGCAGGAAAAAAATAGCAATAAATGAGCAGAGTTTAGTGATTTGAGGTGATGAGCAAGAGACTGTAGGGTTGAGGGGTGAGGTTGTGATTTTTTAAACAAATTTTTACTCATTTATTTATTATAGTAGAGATGGGGGTCTCACTATGTTGCTCAGGCTGGTTTTGAACTCCTGAGCTCAAGTGATCCTCCTGCTAAGACCTCCCAAAGTGCTGGGATTACAAGTATGAGCCACCACACCCGCCTAGTTGTGATTTTTGAGTCTGAGATGCAAAAGTCCCAGTTCTGGCTGGAGGCAGGCACTCCTTGTCCTTATAAGCAGCCCTCCTCTCCCACCCCACTTCCTAGTAGAAGGATAACTTGATAATCAATCAATCAATCAATGGGCATTTTTGACTCCCCAAATTCCCACCTTAAATCTTGGCCATTGTCATCTGATGAGACGTCATCAACGTGGATCTGGTCACAATCCTATGGAAAATTTGACAGAGAGAGAGAGAGAGAGAGAACATGCCTGGTTAATCTGATGTAGCCTTCAAGGGTTGGCCTCATAAGCTGAGGGCTGGGATGAGCACTGCACTGGGAGTCATCAGGCTCGGGTTCTAGTCTGGATTTGGATACTCAAGGTTAGAGGTCCTTGGGTTCAATCTCATCCTCTTTGTCTGTTTGGTTTCCTTATAAATGAGCAGGTTGACTGCAAGGAAAGTGACCATACAGATACTCTCCAAACAGAGAGAGTTTTGCATTAAAGGGGGATGGTATTATACTAGGGGGATAGGTTCAAACCAGGACTCCCCTAGGTCCCCAGCTTCCCAAGTATGGCCAGACATTTGGTCACCCTGGCCATATGGTGGACACCTCTGCCTCGCTAAAGGTGTTCCCCCTGCTTGAAATGCTCTCCTGCCTACATCTGCTTAGTAAACCCTGTGCTCTTCAAGTATTGGCTCCTGGAGGGACACCTGCTGTGCCTCATGATCTGTGATCATCATTTACTGAGCACTTACTATGTGCCAGGCACTATCCCCAGGGCTTGCCATTGAACAAACTCCAATGCCATGCTGTTTCCCACTCAGTTTCCTTGGGGAAACACCTCTCTCTGTGGGACAAGACCATGGGGTGGAGGCTGGGCATGGTGGCTCATGCCTGTAATCCTAGCACTGTGGGAGACAGGCGGGTGGATTGTTTGAGGTCAGGAGTTTGAGACCAGCCTGGCCAACATGATGAAACCCTGTCTCTACTAAAATACACAAATTAGCTGGGCGTGGTGGCAGCTGCCTGTAATCCCAGCTACTCGGGAGGCTGAGGCAGGAGAACTGCTTGAACCCAGCAAGTGGAGGTTGTAGTGAGCCGAGATCGCGCCACTGTGCTCCAGCCTGCATGACAGAGCAAGACTCTGTCTCAAAAAAAACAAAAAAACAAAAAAACAAAAGACTACGGGGTGGGGACAATGAAAACCAATCAGAGGGACCCAAGGTCCCCCTGGCCACAGTGATTGCTTCAAGGATGAACATGTGGTCTAAGGTGGGCCAATGGGAACCAGCCCGGGGACGTTGGCTGGCACTTTTGGAAGAGGTGCTGTCTCTTCCCTGGGGCTGCTGAATGGTGGATTAAGCCGGGAGCTGCTGAGGAAAGCAGGGCTGCGAGCTGGAGAGGGGGATGCCATGAGCATGCGATCTGATCCCCTGGATCCAGTCAGGACTGAAGCTGAGCCATCCCTGACTGTGCTGGGCCGAATAACGAACCCCCAAAGATGCGCACATTCTTATCTCGGAACCTGCAAATCTATTACTTTAAATGGCAATCAGGACTTTAGTTCAGTTAGAGATCTTGAGGTGGGAAGTTTTTCCTTGGCTGTCGGGGTGGGCCCTAAATGGAATCACATGGGTCCCTGTAAGAGAGACAGTGATCTGATGACAGAAAGGAGAGGGTGACTGGAGTCATGTGCTTTGAAGATGGAAGAAGAGACCACAGTCAACATACACAAGTGGCCACTGAAAGAAAAACTAAAACAAACAAAAAACCAAAGGGCCAGGTGTGGTGGCTTACACCTGTAATCTCAGCATTTTGGGAGGCTGAGGCGGGTGGATCACTTGAGGCCAGGAGTTTGAGACCAGCCTGGCCAACATGGAGAAACCCCACCTCTACTAAAAATACAAAAAATTAGCTGGGCATGGTGGTGCACATCTGTGGTCCCAGCTACTTGGGAGGCTGAGGCACGAGAATAGCTTGAACCTGGGAGGCAGGAGGCTGCAGTGAGCTGAGATCACACCACTGCACGCCAGCCTGGGCGACAGAGCGAGACTCTGTCTCAAAAAAAAAAAAAAAAAAAGTAAAAAAACCGATTCTCCTCTCAGAGCCTGACCTCCAGAACTGTAAGAGGACACGTGTGTGTTGTTCGAAGCCAGTAACTGGGGGAAATTTGTTACAGCAGCCCTGGCGAACAAATACACCCACTTTTCAGATTAAGTGAGTGGAGCTGGGTTTCTGGCACTTTGCAGCCAAGAGTCGTAAGGGATGCCATGTCCCATGTGGAGCCTACACGATGCACACCTGCCAACCCCGCCTGCATCATGAAATGCCCTCGTGACACGCTGATGGGGCAAACATATCATGAGTGCACTTCATGATGCTGGCGGAGTGACATGATAATATGTTGATGGGGCAAAAAATGTGCGGGGGTGCCAGCCCCTGCGGTACTGGTTCAGGGTGCAGGCTCTGGAATCTGACTGCCTGGGCCTGGATCCTGGATCCAACCGCTTCCCAGTGTGTGACCTTGAGTGAGGGGCATGACCCTCATGAACCCCAGAGGCCTGACTGATAAATGGACCTGATAACTGAACCCACCTCCAGATGAGGTGAGGAGAAGCGAGATGCTGCATGAGAGCACCGAGAACAGTGTCGGGTGCACAGTGGCTACTGCATACATGTTAGTTTCTACCACTGTGTTAAGATCTTACACATTTTCCCACAGTTTAGTTGCAAGGTGATTTCTCGAGGCAGCTGCCTCCTTACAAAGGCTGCTGGAGGAGGAGAAGCACGTGGGACTCTGAGCTTGACTACTGAGAAAAAATTGGTTGTAACATCTCTGGAACCTTGATGGGAGTAGAGAAATTGGAAGAAAGGGTATTTGCAACATTTTGAACAGATCTCTTTTTAGACAATTGGACAAGCAAAAAGCTTTTTTTTTTTTTTTTTTTTTTTTTTTTTTTTTTTTTTAGACAGTCTTGCTCTGTCACCCAAGCTGGAGTGCAGTGGCACAATCTCAGTTCACTGCCACCACCTCCCAGGTTTAGGTGATTCTCAAGCCTCAGCCTCTCGAGTAGTTGGGACTACAGGTGTGTGCCACCATGCCTAGCTAATTTTTGTATTTTGAGTAGAGATGAGGTTTTGCTATGTTGGCCAGGCTGGTCTCAAACTCCTGGCCTCAAGAGATCCTCTAGTCTTGGCCTCCCGAAGTGCTAAGATTGCAGGCATGAGCCACCGTGCCTGGCCAAAAGGCTTGAATTTATCTTTGAGAATATAAGCTTTGCAGGGGGATGGTGGGAAGCCCCTGCCTCATTCATTTTTTTTCTTTTTTTGAAAAATAGAGATAGGGTCTCAATATGTTGCCCAGGCTGGTCTTGAATTTCTGGGCTCAAGTGATCCTCCCGCTGTGGCCTCCCAAAGTGGTAGAATTACAGGCCTCCTCATTAATTTTTAAAAGATACGTAAGGTAGTCTTGTTGTTATGGTGATGTTTAGGGAGGCAAGAGAGGGGTCAGTGGCATCTGGGGCAGCCTGGGTTGCCCTGTGGGGAGCTGGGCTGGAATCTGAGAGAGGGGTTGGCAAGGGGGTAGTGTGGCTGCTGGTCCCTCTCCAGCCCCTTGAAAGGGCCTCAGATTAGAAAGGGTTTTGATGAAAGGTGAGGCTTGTTTCCAGAGTCCTTGACACACATGGGCCCAGGCACAGCAACTTTGTGGCAGGTGACAAAGTGCAACTGCCGTTCTCGCCTCTGCATAGGACCTTGCACCTCTGTGACCCACGGGCAGCACCCTGGGTTTGGACAGTGGTGTGCTCTTAAGGCCTGGAGACCAACGGCAGCAGGGAAGTACCCCCAGGTGGCTTCCTAGGGGTCAGCTCTGGGCAAATGGGAGTAAGCAGATGGCCAAGAACACAGTGGATGCTAAAGGGTGACCCTGAATGAGAAACTCACTGGGAAGTGGGGGAGTGGAAGGACACTGAGTGACCACTCTTGAGCCAGCAGACATCTGGTTACACCTAAGCTTTTACTGCTCAGTATTTCGAATTTCCTTTCTTTCCATTTACCCAGGACTCTGATTAATGCTTGGTGGTCTCAGGTATAATCTACCCCCTCTCCCCAAGAAGGAGTGATCTTTTTTGCAGTAGTCAAGCACGATGATACCCTCCACATTGAAAGAATCTAGAGCCATGTTGTCTAATATGGTAGCAATTAGTTGCCTGTGGCTAGTTATAGTTATATTGAAATTCAGTAAAGTTAAATAACATTAAAGGTTCAGTTCTTTAGTCCTACTTCAAGTGCTCAAGAGCTACATGTAGCCAGTGGTTATTGCAGTGAACGCTGCAGATATTTTATCATTGCAGAAATCTCTACTGGACAGCGCTGCTCTAGAGGGGTGAGGGAGCCAGGCCGGCAGCTTGTCTACTGTGTTGATAAGTTCAGTTAGGGAAGAGCCTGCAAACTGGCCTGGAGACATATCTACTTAGCTCATTGCATGTTTAAATTTTTTTGAAGCAATGGGCAATATGTAAACTTGGGGGATGTCCTCTCTCTTTTCTCTCTGCCTCCTCTTCCCTTTCTCTTCTTGTTCTTGTTCTCTCTCCAGATTTTCAGCTACCTCCTTCAGCCAGGGCATCCATTTACAGTTTCCCACCATCTCTACGGGGCTTGCTTCAGTTTACGTTACCTGGATCCTTGACCCCCCTAGGCATGTGAGTCTGAGACCTCTGAGCCATGGCCATATAAATGGATGGCCTAGAATGAGCAATCCTGACATGTTAAGGAAAATGGGATTTAAACGGCAACCGCTGACTTTACAGACCCAGGCGCAGAGGAAACAGCAGATAGCCCCCAGCTCACTGCTTTGCCTGAAACTGGAAAAACACCCCCTCCGCCCCCCAGGCCTTTCCTCAAGCTCTGGAGCCACTCCTGGGGTCACCCGGGCTCAGGCCTCTGGGCAGGGTTCCATGCGCTTTCCTTGATGTCAGAGGAAAGGCATTTGGGGAGGCTCTGTTTTTCTCATTTGTAAGGGGATTGTTGGGGGCGCTAAAGTGTGACAACAGTAGCAATCACATTTCGGACTTAATAAAATACCGTGACGCTCAGCTAGACGCTACCTCATACTCCACCAGCTGACCTGGATCAAGTTACCCCTTGAGCCAGCTCGGAGGGGAGCTGGACCGCGCAGAGGCCACGAGGATGGGGGAGCCTCCAGGGAAGAGAATCCCACGACCCTCAGCGCTGCCATCCCTCTCCTAGGTACGAGGGTGAGGGGACTGTAAGTCAGAGGGGAGACTTGTCCACACGAACTGCAGGGTGCTTCTGGTCTCTTCCGGGTCAAAGTATGAGTATCTTGGGGTGGGTGCTGAATGGCATCTGCTGGCAGAGACGGTGGAAGGGTTCCCGTGGCCTTGACACAGGTGAAGTGCAGTGGGGCTGAGGACCGGGACCTGGTGCAATCCCCGTCTCGAGGGATTTTTACTTTCTGACCCAGAGTAACACCTGCAAAGAGCCTTGTGTAAAAATGTCCATCATCCTGGTGAGAAACTGGAAAACACCTAAAGTTCCCTTGATGAGGTCGTAGCTAAATAAAATGTGGTATATCCATTCAGTGGAATCCTACCCAGCAGTGCAGAAAAAGGAGGTGGATTTTTTTTTTTTTTTTTTTTTTTTTGAGACAGTGTTTTGCTCTTGTTGCCCAGGCTGGAGTGTAATGGTGCAGTCTCGGCTCACTGCAACCTCTTCCTCCCAGGTTCAAGCAATTCTCCTGCCTCAGCCTTCTGAGTAGCTGGGATTACAGGCATGCACCACCACGCCCAGCTAATTTTGTATTTTTAGTAGAGACGGGGTTTCTCCATCTTGGTCAGGCCGGTCTTGAACTCCCGACCTCAGATGACCCCCCTGCCTCGGACTCCCAAAGTGCGGGGATTACAGGCGTGAGCCACGTCCCAAGCCAAGGAGGTGAATTTTTATGCTAGCACATGGAAATGGTTCCAAGACATCCTGGAGTGTGAAAAACGCAGGTTAAAGAATCATACATCCGGCTGGGCGCGGTGGCTTACATCTGTAATCCCAGCACTTTGGGAGGCCAAGGTGGGCAGATAGCTTGAGGTCAGGAGTTGGAGACCAGCCTGGCCAACATAGTGAAACCCTGTCTCTATTAAAAATACAAAAAGTTAGCCAGGCATGGTGGCATACACCTGTAATCCCAGCTACTTGGGAGGCTGAGAAAGGAGGATCGCTTGAGCCCAGGAGGTGGAGGTTACAGTGAGCTGAGATGGCGCCACTGCACTCCAGCCTGGGTGACAGAGCAAGACTCTGTTTAAAAAAAAAAAAGAGTGATACACCCAGTATGATGCCATGTATATATTTATAAAATCCCATTAAAATATGAGATTTTTATATGGATATATTGTACATAACTGGAAAAAGAAAGATCTGGAAGCCCATACATCTGGCTGGAAGCAGCAGTTTCATATGGGGAGTCACTGGGATTGGGCTGGTGATCAAAGAAGGTTTTAGCTTATTGAAATACTTTCATTAAAAAAAATGAGGGCCAGGTGTGGTGGCTCACACCTATAATCCTAACACTTTGGGAGGCCAAAGAGGGTGCATCTCCTGAGCCCAAGAGTTTGAGACCAGCCTGGACAACATGGTGAGACTCTGTTTCTACCAAAAATACAAAAATTAGCCAGGTGTAGCGACATGTACCTACAGTTGTAGCTACTTGGGAGGCTGAGGTGGGAGGATCACCTAAGCCTGGGGAGGTCGAGGCTGGAGTGAGTTATGATCGCACCACTGTACTTCAGCCTGGGTGACAGGGCGAGACTGTGTCTCAAAAAAAAAAAAAAAAAAGGATAATGTGTGTATGTACTGCTTTTGAAAAAAATTAATTACAAATATCTCAGTGAGATAGAGACAAAAATCTCTATCACTGGACAGAAACTAGTATTGGACTAGGGATAGAAACTAGTATTTATTAAAAGCTTTCAATGTGCCAGGGACTATGGCCAGCACTTTCTATATATGTAGTGGGAAACTAGGAGAAAACGAGGCAGAGAGGAGTGTAGGAACATGCCTGTTATGGGTTGAACTGTGTCCCCTACAAGATGTTGAATGTGACCTTATTTGGAAATAGGGTCTTTGCAGATGATCACATTAAGATGAGGACCTTAGCGTGGGCCTTCATCCAATATGTCTGTGTCCTTATAAAGGGGGTATTTGGACACAGAGACAGAAGACGAAGAATGCCAGGTGATGACGAGGACAGAGACCGGGTGACATGTTCTCTACGAGTCAGAGGACATCCGAGACCACCAGGAGCTAGGAGAAAGGCAAGGAAAAGATTCTCCCTTGCAGCCCTCAGAAGGAACCAACCTTGATCTTGGACTTCTCGTCTCATGAACTGTGGGACAGTAAGTTTCTCTTGTTTAAGGCACCCAGTCTGTGGGACTTTGTAATGGCAGCCCAAGCAAACTCAGATGTGCCCAAGGCGAGGGGAAGAGGAGCCAGCACCCGGACCCATCTCCTTTCAGAGCCTGTGCTCGAGAAGATCTGTCTATCCCAAGACTATAAAAACACCTACTATGGGCCCGGCACCGCATCAGACAATGATGGGTCAAGAGAGGGGAAGCTTCTTTCTTCTCCAAGAAAACATCCGGTTTTGGGGGATGGGGGGCTGGAGGCCCTGGGGACCCTGGGATGGGGAACCACGGTGGCTTCTGTGGAGGCTTCAGCAGGGGCATCGGGGGCTGGGGTCATAGCCGCGGACAGGGCCCGGGCCAAGGCCGAGGAGCTCACAGAGGCAAGACCAAGGACAAGGAGTGGACGTCTATCCCCAAGCTGGGCCACCTGGTCAAGGACATGAAGATCAAGTTCCTGGAGGAGATCTATCTCTTCTTCCTGGCCATCAAAGAGTTTGAGATCATTGACTTTTTCCTGGGGGCTTCTCTCAAGGATGAGGTTTTGAAGATCATGCCAGTACAAAAGCAGACCCACGCCAGCCAGCGCACCAGGCTCAAGGGATTTATTGTCATCGGTGACTATAATGGTATGTCGATCTGGGTGTTAAGTGCTCCAAGGAGGTGGCCACGCCATCCGCGGGGCCATCATCCTGGGCTAGCTCTCCATTGTCCCCATGTGCAGAGGCTACTGGGGGAGCAAGATCGGCAAGCCCCACACCGTCCCTTGTAAGGTGACAGGCCACTGTGGCTCTGTGCTGGTGCACTTCATCCCTGCACCCAGGGGCACTGGCATCATCTCGGTCCCCATGCCCAAAAGCTGCTGCTGATGGCGGGTATCTATGACTGCTACGCCGCAGCTGCACTGCCACCCTGGGAAACTTCGCCAAGGCCACCTTTGATGCTATCTCTAAGACCTACAGCTACCCGACCCCCAACCTCTGGAAGGAGACTGTATTCACCAAGTCTCCCTAGAATTCAGGAATTCAGGTCAGGAATTCACTGACTACCTTGTCAAGACCCCATCAGAGTCTCTGTGCAGAGGACTCAGGCTCCAGCTGTGGCTACAACATAGGGTTTTTATACAAGAAAAATAAAGTGAATTAAGCTTGAAAAAAAAAAAGAGAGGGGAGGCTTCAAGGATGAAATCTGGCTCTTGCCCTCACAGTGCCTATCATGTCACTGGAAAAGACAAGGCAAAGAGGCATGAAATACCAAATTGCTGATTCAAGATGCGTACACACTGATCACCTTCTATGTTCCCAACACTGGCCTAGGCACTGCATGTGTCTTGGAGTTATCCCCGTCTCCTCTCTCTGACATCCTGCCACCCATCCATCACCAAATCCTGTTGGCTTTCCCTTCGACATATACCCACAATCTGACCATTCTCACCTCCTCCACTGCCCGCACCGCCCCCCGCCCCACCGTGGTCCAAACCACCATCATCTCCCACCTAGATCAGAGGTTAGTAAGCTATAACCCAGGGGCCAAATCTGGCCTGTCGCCTGTTTGTGTAAATAAAGTTTTATTAGAACACATCTATGTTCATGCAATTACATCCTGTCTGCTGCAGCTTTTGTGCTACTGCAGGAGAACTGAGTAGCTGAGACAGGTCCACTATGATGTGCAAAGCCAAAAATATTTACTATCTGGTCCTTTACAGAAGTTTGTTGACCCCTGGTGTAGGCTACTACAGTCACCTCCTCACTCTTCCTGCTCCTATCCTTATCTAGCCCCTATCCTCCCAGCCTAGTCTCCAGCCAGCAGCCAGAGGGATCCTGTTCAACCCTAAGTCAGATCACGTCCCGCTCCTGCTCAAATCCCCACAATGGATATCACCTCCCTCCAAATAAAAGCACAGTCCTCACAGTGGAACCTGGCTCCATGTGGTCTGCCCACCCTCAGGTTCATCACCTCCCTGACCTCATCTCCTACCCTCTCCTCACTACACTGCCCACACAGTGGCTTCCTGCAGCTCACTGCAGCCTCCGCCTCTCAGGTCAGTGATTCTCCTGCCTCAGCCTCCCAAGTAGCTGGGATTACAGGCATGCGCCACCATGCCTGGCTAATTTTTGTATTTTTAGTAGAGACAGGGTTTCACCATGTTGGCCAGACTGGTCTCGAACTCCTGACCACAAGTGATCCGCCCACCTTGGCCTCCCAAAGTGCTGGGATTCCAGGCATGAGCCACCGTGGCTGGCCTGGAATAGTTTTAGATTTACAGAAAAGTTGCAAAGATAGTACAGAGAGTTCCCATACACCCCACACCCACTTTCTCCTTTTGTTAACTTCTTACATTAGTATGCTGCATTTGTCAAAACTAATAAGCAGATAGTGCTGTGTTAACTACTGTCAATTACTTATTCAGATTTTTAAGGCTTTCCCTGTACTGTTCTTGGACTGTTTCAGGATCCAAGGTGGATATCACATGACACGTAGTTGTCCTGTCTCCTTAGGCTTCTCTGGTTTGTGACAGTTTCTCAGGCTTTCCTTGCTTTTGAGGACGGTGTGAAGGAGAACTGGTCAGGTATTTTGTAAAATGTTTGTCAACTGGGATTTTTCCGATGTTTTTCTCATGATGACACCGGGTTCCTGGGTTTTGGGAAGGTCACAGATGGGGAGTGCCATTCTCTTCATATCACATCAAGGGTAAATATTATCAACATGACTAATCACTGTTGATGTTGACCTTGATCACCTGGCTCAGGTGGTCTTCATCAGGGTTCTCCACTCCGAAGTTACTATTCCCCTCATCTATATTGTACTCTTTGGAAAGAAGTCACTATGCGTGGCTCACACTATGGGTGTAGTATCTACATAAGTTACCTGGAATTTTTCTGTGTGGGAGATTTGTTTAGTCTCCCCACTTATTTATTTATGCAATCATTTATCTACATCAGCATAGACTCATACATACTTATTTTATACTTTGGGTTAGAATCTGATATTACATTATTTATTTTATTATTCCAGCTTTTATTTTATTTTGCTCTCCTTTTTATTTATTGTTCCAGATTTGGCCATTGGGATCTGATATTATATTATTTATTTTATTACTCCAGCTTTTGTTTTATTTTGTTGTTCTTTTTATCTTTCTGGATTTGGCCATTGGGAACTCTTTTCAGTTGGATCCTGTGTTCCTCTGGCATAACGTATCACTTTGGGTTTTCCTGAGCAATTCCTTACTTTACGGTGCTAAAAGATGCTCTGGGATAATCATATAGTTCTTGGCCCAGCCCTAGAATCAGCCATTTCTCCATGGAGCTCTGGTTCCTTTTTCTTGCAGCGTGGTATTAGAAACTGTTATCTGAGTATCCTCATTGCTACAAGGGTGTCATCGTTCCTGGGCTCAGGTAACACAGCAAGGTCTTCAGTTTCCTTTTTTTTTTTTTGAGACAGAGTTTCACTCTTGTCACCCAGGCTGGAGTGCAGTGGGGTGATCTCGGCTCACTGCAACCTCCATCTCCTGGGTTCAAGCGATTCTCCTGCCTCAGTCTCCCAAGTAGCCGGCATTACAAATGCCTGCCACCACATCTGGCTAATTTTTTGTATTTTTAGTAGAGATGGGGTTTCATCATGTTGACCAGGCTGGTCTCAAACTCCTGACCTCAGGTAATCCCACCCACCTGGGCCTTCCAAAGTGCTGAAATTACAGGCGTGAGCCACTGCACCCAGACAGTCTTCAGTGTTTTTTAAAAAATTACAAAATATGGTTATTCTATCTGCTTGCAGGTGTGTTACGAGGCAAGGGGCAGGTGTCAAATAAATGATACCAATTATAGTCCAGACCCCTCTTTTCACCAGTGTGGAAACTAAAGCTCAGACAGGATCTGCAGAAAACTTCTGTAAAGAGTCACAGGGCATGGATGAAGGTAGGTGCTGGGATCGCAGGGGCCTTCCAACTTCAGCAGCGACGACCGCAATTTGTCCATTTGTCATATGCGCTGTAACTCCAGTGTCAGCTTTAGGGTGATGTTAGTCTTATAAAATGTGTGGGAGAGCATTCCATCTTTTTCTTTGCTCTGTAGTTTATGCTGGATGAGATTTATCCTTTCCTTGAAGTTTTGTTGGAACTCTTGTTTAAAACCAGTGGGACCTGGTGCCTTTTTTGGTGGGGGCACCAAAAACGCACTTTCTCTTTAATGATTTAACAAATTTTCATGATCTTTGGTTTGTTGTATTTATTTTTATTTCCACTTGGGCTAATTTCAGTAATTTGTGTCTTCCTGAAAAGTGTCAATCTCACCTAGATTTTCAAATTCATTGGTAAAACAGTGTGCCTGGCATTCTTGTAATTAAAAGAAACAACCTCCCCTGGATTTTAGTAATGTCCACCCTTTCATTCTGGATGTTGTTTATTGATCTCTCTCTTTTCCCCTTTGATTAAGCTTGCTAAAGCCTTATCTATTTTAACGGTCTTTCCAATTATTCTTATGAATTTTCCTGTTTTTCTAACAAATGTCATTTAGGACTGTAAATGCCAATCTGGACTGCCCTTCTGCATCCCACAGGTATGATACTTAGTACTCTTTTTTTTTTTTTTTTTTTTTTTTTTTGAGACGGAGTCTTGCTCTGTCACCAAGGCTGGAGTGCAGTTGTGCAATCTCGGCTCACTGCAACCTCCGCCTCCTGGGTTCAAGTGATTGTTCTGCCTCAGCCTCCTGAGTAGCTGGGACTACAGCGTGCACCACTATGCCTGGCTAATTTTTGTATTTTTAGTAGAGATGAGGTTTCACCATCTTGGCCAGTCTGGTCTCGAACTCCTGACCTCAAGTGATCTGCCCTCCTCAGCTTCCCAAAATGCTGGAATTACAGGCATGAGCCACCATCCCCAGCCGATACTTAGTATTACTGTTGTTGCACGTTGCTGATCAGTAAACTCAGTGACAAATACTTATCAAAACCTGTTCTGATTGAGCTGGTGACAGCTGGGGTTTCTCAAACTCTCCTGCTGTGGTTTGATTCCATTACTTTTTGTCTTTGGCTGCTTGGAGACATGAATGCAGAAATTGTTGACAAATTTGCGTTAGAAAAATGATGCTCATCAGGGCCCCGATGAACTTCCTGGCTGCTCCTTCTCCTCTGAGGCAGGTATATTTTTCAAGTGAGATTGCTTAATGCTGCCTCCAGACTAGCCAGAGAGGAGTCTACTCCCTGGGAGGGAAACCTGGGCCACATCTCTTGTGCTAAGTGTTTAACTTATCTTAAGAGCGCTAAAGAGGCTGTGGCCTGAATTGTATTAATGACCATTGGGCAGGATGCTTTGGAGAGAGTTCAGTGTTAACACAGTGACATATTATTTTCCTGATGGCTCCTAAAGCTATCAGGATAAATCACACGTTTAGCAACCAGGCTCATGTGTCAGGCAAGCAGCCATGGCTGCCCTGATTTCAGCAACTTCTGAGTCTCTCCGGCATGGTCTTTCCTAAAGCCCTGGCTGCATCTTGAAATGCTCCCCTTCCAGCCTGCCCGAATGCCTGGCCATTCCTGCGTCAGGCTAGGGATACCTTTTGCCAAAGATCTTTAGCGTTACCTTGTTTCTCCTGAAAGGCTCTTTCCTTATTTTTTTATTTTTTGAGATGGAGTCTTGCTCTGTTGCCCAGGCTGGAGTGCAGTGGTGCTATCTTGGCTCACTGCAACCTCTGTCTCCCGGGCTCAGGCAATTCTCCTGCCTTAGCCTCCCGAGTAGCTGGGACTACAGGCATGCACCACCATGCCCGGCTAATATATATATATATATATATATATATATATATATATATATATATATATATATATATATGTGTGTGTGTGTGTGTGTGTGTGTGTGTGTGTGTGTGTATGTATATATATGTGTGTGTGTGTGTATGTATATATATGTGTGTGTGTGTGTGTATGTATATATATATATATTTAAGTAGAGACGGGATTTCGCCACATTGGCTGGGCTGGTCTTGAACTCCTGACCTCAAGTGACCTGCCCACCTTGGTCTCCCAAAGTGCTGGGATTACAGGCATGAGCCACCATGGCTGGCCCCCTGAAAGACTCTTTTCTTCCATCCATTCAGTTGATGCATGTTCTCCACTTCCTAGTTCATCTCAAACTCTATTCTCCATGAAAGATAGACATTAGCAGAGAAGTCATTTGGCCTGGGATCAAATCTCCACATTCTTCTTACTAGCTGTGTGACCCTGGGAAAGGGATCTTTCTGGGCCTCAGTTTCCTCATCTGTAAAATGGAGATTGAAAAAACCATCTCCTTTGCAGGGCTGCTGTGAGGATGCGGTGAGATGGTTCATGCGCAATGCCTGGTGCAAAAGAAGAGCTTGATATGCGTCAGCTGTCGCACAAGTGAACCGCTCTGTGCCTCAGTTTCCCCATCTCTAACATGGGGATACATAACAGTACCTGCCCTCTGTGGTTGTTGTAAGGGTTAATGAATGGGTACAGACAAGCCCTTCAGTCACTGCCAGGCACACAGTCGCATGCAGGACACACTAGCTCCCATCGGGATTGTGCTTGTTACTCCCACATGTGCACTCAGCATGTGGGAGTAACATGTCTTTTCTAGAAGGTGCATTCAGATCCCTTGCACATTGCTTTGATCACCTCCAGGCGATTCATCCCCTCAGCGGGGAGTGAAGGATGCTGTCGTGTTCATGTGGTTGCTTGTTGCTATTTGTGTGAGTTTTACTTTGCATAAGGTGCTATGCAAACTCACAGCAGAGGAATCTAATAATTCGATTTTTCATCTTACAAAGACATGAAAAATCTTGGCCAGGTGCGGCGGCTCACGCCTGTAATCCCAGCACTTTGGGAGGCTGAAGTGGGTGGATCACTTGAGGTCGGGAGTTTGAGACCAGCCTGACCAACATGGTGAAACCCTGTCTCTACTAAAAATACAAGAATTAGCCAGGTGTGGTGGCTTTAGGAGCTATCAGCTGGTGGTCCCAACTACTCGGGAGGCTGAGGCATGAGAATTGCTTGAACCAGGGAGGTGAAGGTTGCAGTGAGCTGAGATCGCAGCACTGCACTCCAGCCTGAGAGACAGAGCGAGGCTCCATCTCAAAACACACACACACACACACACACACACACACACACACACACAAAACAAAATAAACAAAAACAAAATCAGAAAAACCCAAAGAGATGAAAAATATTTGTTTTCTCCATGAACATTGGGACTTCCTCCTCCTCCTGGTGTCAGATCTTGGCTTTCCGCCACCACACTTCTCAGTGACTCCAGCCTCCCTTGCACTTTCTTTTCTTCCTTTGAGTCCACTGTCTGCGGCACTGCACGAGCTCCTAAATTCTTACTGGGAATCCTTTTTCTCAAACCAGACGGACATCACTGTCCCTGGCAGGGGCAACACAGCACCATGGGTAAGGGCAGGGTCTCTGGAGCCAGGCCACCTGGGTCTGAATATTGCCACTGCCAACTATGTGACTTGGGCTGTTCACTTAGCCACTCTCTGCCTCAGTTTCCTCATTTGTAAAATGGATGTTATGAACTGAACGTTTGTGTCTCCTCCCAAAATTCATATGTTGAAAATCTAACCTCCCTATGTGGCTGTATTTAGAGGTAGGGCCTCTAAGGAAGTAATTAAGTTTAAGTGAGGTCACAGGGTGGGGCCCTAACCCAATGGGATTGGTGTCCTTGTTAGAGGAGACACCAGACAGCTGTTTTCTCTCTCTGGCTCTCTCTCCATGTACATGCATTGAGGAAAGGCCGGGTGAAGACACAGCAAAAATGCAGCCATCTGCAAGCCAAGAAGAGGGCCCTCACCAGAAACCAACTTTGCCAGCACCTGGATCATGGACTTCCAGCCTGCAGAACTGGGAGAAAGAAAATTTCTGTCGTGTAAGCCACCCGCTCCATGGTATTTTATTAGGACAGACTGAGCAGACTAGTATAATGGGGATCATAATAGGATTAAATAAAGTGAAACATACAAGCCAGCTAGAACAGTGCCTGGTATGTAGTGAGTGCTCAGTAAATGTCAGTTATTATTGAGATCTGGTTCAGACGAAGAAGTGGAAAGTCAGCCAAGTTAAATACCTCCTTCAAGGTCTTAGAGCTCAGAAGAATCAAGGTCAGAATTGGAACTTAGGTCCTCTGATCCCAAATAGTATCCCATTCCTTCCACGGTGCCAGGCCTCTTAGTGGATGGCACTCACCCGGATACAGCCATGCTCCTTCATGTCGCACCTTCACGGATTTAGCCATAGAGGAGTCCCCACTTTCACTAACTTCTCAGTCTTTTTTTTTTCTGAGATATTCTTGCTCTGTCACCCAGGCTGAAGTGCAATGGTGTGATCACAGCTAGCTCACTGCAGCTTCAACCTCCCAGGCTCAATTGATCCTCTACCTCAGCCTCCCAAGTAGCTGGGACTATAGGCACTCATCACCATGCCCGGCTAATTTTGTTTTGTTTTTTTTTGTATTTTTTGAAGATATGGGGTTTTGTCATGTTGCCCAGGCTGGTCTCAAACTCCTGTGCTCAAGTGATCCTCCCGCCTCAGCCTCCAAAAGTGCTAGGATTACAGGCATGAGCCACTGCGCTTGGCCTCCTCATTTATCTTTACACTGATGCTCTTTCACAAACCTACGCTTCATCCTGGGCATCATTACCTATGACATCACTGGTTTGATGTACTGGTCATTTTTCCCCTAAAACACGAGTAAGAAAAAGCCATACATTTAACAAAGTGGTTTTTTGTTTTGTTTTGTTTTGTATTTTAATTAAGAGCAAACCACATGAAACCTGGATCATGCTGTGCACAAGGCATCCATAAATACTGCTCAGCTGACTGACATCTCTCAGGGACTCAGTGTGGTGGGCATTTGGGTGGGACAATTCCACTTTGTACAAGACTGTCCAACATATTGGGTTGAGTGGTATTGCTGGCCCGGCCTCTAAAAGCAAACAGTGCTTTCCCTTCATGTGACAACCAACTACCCCAACCCCCAGTTTCTTTCTTTTTTTTTTCTTTTGAGACAGAGTCTCAACTGTGTCACCCAGGCTGGAGTGAAGTGGTGTGATTTTGGCTCAATGCAATCTCTGCCTCCCACCCACCCCCAGTTTCTTTTTTTCTTTTCTTTCTTTTTTTTTTTTTGAGACTGAGTCTTGCTCCATCACCCAGGCTGAAGTGCAGTGGCGCGATCTCGGCTCACCGCGACCATTGCCTCCTGGGTTCGAGTGATTCTCGTGCCTCAGCCTCCTGAGTAGCTGGGATTACAGGCACCCGCTGCCACACCCATCTAATTTTTGTATTATTAGTAGAGACGGGGTTTCACCATGTTGGCCAGGCTGGTCTCGAAGCCCTGACCTCAAGTGATCTGCCACCTCAGCCTCCCAAAGTGCTGGGATTACTGGCGTGAGCCACCATGCCTGGCCCCACCCCTAGTTTCTAATGCGCCCCCCTATCCATCCAAGGGATGGGGCTGCCCTCAGGTGGGAATGCTGGTCTAGTTAAACACACTGACACTAATGTGAATGAGAACATTCAGAATGCCCACTCTTTGAGAAAAAAAAAAAAAAAGGTACACTCCCCTGTCCTCCCAACACACAAATGACACTGCTAAGGAGCAGGGCTGGTAATTCACAATACAGGTGGTAGGAGGTATGTGTACAGCGTGGAGGAATAATCCAGGGCAAACATGCCAGACTAGAGGATCTAGCAAATGAGGAGAATGGGTCAGAGTCCAGGCACCCGGCTGAGGTTGCAGAACCAGAAACCAGGATTTGAGGAGAAGAAAATGCAGTAAATGGAAATTGAGGTCTGTAAAATAGGAGGTGAGAATTAAGTGCTGGCAGGAATCTGAGCTCTTCGTCGAGAAGAGGTCCCTGGATTGCTAACCTCTAGAGTTCTGCAGATAAGAGAAATACATCCTGTTTTGTATGGACGACGTTAACCTACTTAATTTCTAATAAAGTCAAAGGCACATAAACAAAGTCAGTTTCCTGAAAGTTAGAAATTCCAGAAGGCAGTTGTTACCATGGATGGGGTCGTAGGGCAAGATCATCAACCGTCAAGAAACAACGATTTACTGATCACCTACTATGTGCCAGTTATAGCAGTGAACACAGTGGACATGTTCTCTGCCCTCCTGGAATACACAGCTGGTGGGGAACACAGAATTCACATCAATTACTTTAAATAATTATGAAATGGTTACAAAGAGTACAAAATGTACCGCATAAGTATGAGGCGTCCTGGGAGCATATGATGGCAGAATCTAACCTTTTGAGGGGAATCGGGTAAGACTTCCCTAAGGACATGGAACTGGTTCAGAGATTTAAGAGGTGCATAGGAACTGGCGAGGCCTTGGACCTTGAGAACAAGAGGAGGGGAGAATGGTGGGGAAGCGTGTTCCATACAGAGGGCATGGCGTGGGCAGAATCTTAAGGTAGTGGGGAGCATGGATGTTCAAGGAATTAAAAAAAGACCATTGGATCTGGAGTGGAGCAAATGATGAAAAGAGTAGGAGAAAAAGAGTCTGGAGAGGCAGGTGGGGTCAGTCCATAATAGCTCACTGAAGAGCTTTTTTTTTTTGAGATGGAGTCTCGCTCTGTTGCCCAGGCTGGAGTGCAGAGGTGTGATCTTGCCTCACTGCAACCTCTGCCTCCTGGTTTCAAGCGATTCTCCTGCCTCAGCCTACCGAGTAGCTGGGATTACAGGTGCCCACCACGATGACCTGCTAGTTTTTGTATTTTTAGTAGAGACAGGCTTTTGCCATGTTGGCCAGGCTGGTCATGAACTCCTGACCTCAAGTGATACACCTGCTTCGACCTTCCAAAGTGCTGGGATTACAGGCGCAAACAACTGTGCCCAGCCTACTGAAGAGTTTTAAGCAGGTGACATGTTCAGCTTTCCTTTTCACCTCTCTGGCTACTGTGATGAAAACCGAGGAAAGGTGTCAGGATGAGACTGCCAGCTGACCCTCAATACCCAATTCACTTCCCCCTTTATTAGTAGCAGTTTTTATTGGCACGTGACTGTCCAGAATAAAGACTACATTTCCCAGGCTCCCTTGCCTTGGAAGGTGTGGCCAAGTGACTATGTTAAGGCCAATGGGGTGTGAGCAGAAGAGAGAACTGCAACCGCTGGGTGGTGCCCTTCTCTGTCTCTGCCTCCTTTTCCCTGCTGCCTGGAATGTGCCTGGAATAGGTGGCTCATGCCTGTAATCCCAGCAGTTTGAGAGCCCAAGGCAGGAGGATTCCTTGAGACTACGAATTTGAGACCAGCCTGGGTAGCATAGGAGACTCCATCTCTACAGAAAATAAAAATATTAGCGGAGCATGGTGACGCCTGCCTATAGTCCCAGCTACTCAGGAGGCTGAGGTGGGAGGATGGCTTGAGCCCAGGAGGTCGAGGCTGCAGTGAGCCATGACCATGCCACTGCACTCCAGCTTGGGTGACAGAGTAAGACCCTGTCTTTCGGGGGGTGGGGGAAAAGGAAGCCGCTGTGCCTGGGCTTCTGGCATGGAAGAGCTGCCTTTCTGGCCCTAGACTGTTCACATTTCAGATTTCCTCATGAGAGAGAAACAGATCTGTGTTGTACTTAAGCCTCTTTATTTTGATGAGCTTGTATCCTAATTCATAGACAGCAGGGGGACAGTGAGAAGGCCGTGATGACGTCCAAGAGAAAGATGATGGTGACTTAGACCACAGAGGTAATGGCAAGGGGAGTGAAGAGAAGCGGACAGGGGCCAGGACCAGAGAATGCAGCAGAAACTCAGGTGAGGCAGGATGACGCCAGGTGCCTCCAACCTCAGCCACTGCTGTGCGACCATTGACTCCCTGGCCAGATGCATTAATTCCACCCTCCTGGGGCCAAACTCTTTGCCTCCCTCTTACTACTGCCCTCACCATGCCAGCCCCTGGACATCTTCTTCAGGGACAGCACCTCACTCAGGCACACCTCCTGGCTTCCAGAGGACACCCTGACATTGACAGATTGCCTGCTAAGGCAAGGGAGAGCAAGGAAGGCCCCCTCCTCAGTCCTGCTGCATCTTGCCTGCAAATCTTGCGTGTGTGTATGTGTGTATGTATGTATTTATTTACTTATTTTGAGATGAAGTCTTGCTCTGTTGCCCAGTCTGGACTGCAGTGGTGTGATCTCGGCTCACTGCAACCTCCGCCTCCTGGTTTCTGCTGCCTCAGCCTCCCAAGTAACTGAGATTACAGGTGCACGCCACCCTGCTTGGCTAATTTTTTTTTTTTTTTTTTTTTTTGTATTTTTAGTAGAGATGGGGTTTTGCCATGTTGGCGAGGCTGGTCTTGAACTCCTGACCGCAAATGATCCACTGTCTCAGCCTCCCAAAGTGCTGGGATTACAGGCATGAGCCATCGTGCCTGGCCCAAACTTGTGTTCTTTTAATATATACCAAGAAGAATGTGATGCCCAGCAGGCAGGGGGTACCTAAGACAGTTCTTGTCAACACACCTGCCATTTTAACCAAGAGGATGGGGGCCGTTACAATCTTTAGGGCCACCAAACGCCATGGATGTGGATAGCAAATCACCAGAGAGTTTCGGTGGTGTGATGAGCTGATAATGAAAATCTGCAACTGGAGAGTCAGCCTATCTTCTCTGTCTACTTTAGATCCCTTTTCTTCTGGCTTTATATCTATTTATGATGCCTTTGTTTATAGGTACCTTTGCTTGTTAACTTCTTTTTCATGCCCGAACTAAATGTCCCCTTGCTGAAATTTGGAATCATCTTTAATCACACTGCCTATAAAATTTCAGCCATTCAACATAAATCTAGGTTTTAAATGTATTTTAAATTAAAGTTGTGACATCTCAAAACATAAATAATACTTGTTTTTTTTTTTTGTTTTTTGGAGATGGAGTCTCCCTCTATCGCCCAGGCTGGAGTGCAGTAGCACAGTCTCGGCTGCCAGGCCTCCCCAATCTCTTCTTCTCACAGGGCAGGGCTGAACAGTATCTCCTCCTGGCTGCATCCGAGCCCAGAAGTCAAAACCTAAGGGGTCCCTGCTTGGCTGGGACAGAGGCCGCAGACCTAGGTCCAGCTCTGACTCGACAGTGGCACATCCCTGTGAAGTAGGGCTTGGGGGCTTCCCATGAACAGCTTTCAGAGTGAGTGCAGTAGAGTGGGGCTGGAGGACAGTTTTGACAGATCTTGAGCAGGTGCTTGAATTTTAACCCAACATCCACCCTTACCCATGACCCAGGTGACATTTCAGAGGAGGGTTCACCTGCCCTGCAAAGTAAGAGCTGCAAAATCAGCAGCTCTTGCACAAAGGCAAAGTGGCAGGGAGCAGGGGAGGGAGTGTCGATATTTATGCCCAAGCTGCAGCAGTTGGCTGGGACCCAGGCCTGGTCTGCTCATGACTGTCATCATCTTTGTCATATTTCTGTTGCCTATACTTTTATAAAATGATTGTAAAATCAGGGGTCGGCAAGCTAGTTATAGTTTTCTAATTCACAGTAAAATAAATATGTAGCAATTAAACAATTTGCCCTGGTACCATAGAACCCCCACTTGCCTATCCCCAGGGACACATGTAGCCCCTGTAGCCCCCTGGTGGAAAGGCCCCCACATTGGGCAGGTATGCCAGGCTCTGTGCTGACTGCTTTCACATAGCTCCATCCTTACAGCCCTAGATGGTGGGGGCTTTTCTTCCACCCATTTAACAGATGAGCAAACTGAGGCTCAGAGGGATGGAGAGACTTGCCCAGGTTAGGAGATGGTGGATCCAGGACTCAACAGCAGATGGAACTGATTAGAAGGCTTTTGTCCTCAACTTGGGACATGCGTGCAGAATATCCTAAGATACAGCTGCATGTGGCACCTTCTGTGTCCCGGACCATTTTTTTTTATTCTTTTTTTTTTTTTTTGAGACAGAGTCTTGCTCTGTCGCCCAGGCTGGAGTACAGTGGGGCGATCTCTGCTCACTGCAGCTTCCGCCTCCTGGGTTCCAGTGATTCTCCTGCCCCAGCCTCCTGGGTAGCTGGGATTACAGGCGCCTGCTACCACACCTGGCTAATTTTTGTATTTTTAGTAAAGACGGGGTTTCACCATGTTGGCCAGGCTGGTCTTGAACTCCTGACCTCAAGTGATCCACCCGCCTCGGCCTCCCAAAGTGTTAGGACTACAGGCGTGAGCCACCGCACCAGGCCAATCCTGGACCATTCTTTAAACCCCACAGATTCTTTCCCCTGGGAGTCTGGAAGTTGCTGATTTAATGCGGATGCCTGCTTCAATCCTTGTCCTCTGGAGTCTGTTCTCCACCAGGCAGCCAGAGGCAGCTTCTGAACCAAAGTCACATCATGTTGTTCCAAACCCTCCAGTGGCTTTTGTCACCCTTGGCTGTTACCCAAAGCCTTACAATGGCCCAAAGGCGTCACCCTCATTGCCCACCACAATTCTTCCTGTTCCCTCTGCTTCAGTCTTGCTGGTTTCCTCCCAGTTTCTGGAGCCCATCAACTCTAATCATACCTTG
Source organism: Homo sapiens (assembly GCF_000001405.40). Lineage (NCBI taxonomy): Eukaryota > Metazoa > Chordata > Mammalia > Primates > Hominidae > Homo > Homo sapiens. Next base: position 47,147,453 of record NC_000020.11, on the reverse strand, counting down.
GCCTTTGCACAGTGCTTCTATCTGGAACACTCTTCACCCAGATATCGGCATGGCCTCCTCCTCCACCTCCTTCAGGTCTTTGCTCAAAAGTCAGAAGAGCCTGGGTGCGGTGGCTCACACCTGTAATCCCAGTACTTTGGTATTTTGGGGGTTGAGGAGGGTGGATCACTTGAGGTCAGGAGTTCGAGACCACCGTGCCCAACAAGGTGAAGCCCTGTTTCTACTAAAAATACAAAAATTAGCTGGACATGGTGGCGTGTGCCTGTAATCTCAACTACTTGGGAGGCTGAGGCAGGAGAATCGCTTGAACCCAGGAGGCAGAGGTTGCAGTGCGACAAGATCGTACCTCCAGCCTGGACAACAGAGTGAGACTGTCTCAAAAAAAAAAAAAAAAAAAAAGTCAGAGGAGCCTCTCCTGGATATAACAAGTAAAAACCACAAAACAAAAGCCCTGGTGAGAGCCTCCTCCCTGACTCTCTTGGTCTCTCTTCAGAGCACTTTGCTCTGACATTATACTTTGCATTCCATTGTTTATGGTCAGCCTCCTGAACTGGAAGGTCAATGCCTTGTGGGCACGGGTCTTGCTGTGTTTGGTTTGCTGCTGAATCCACAGCATTCCATTAGGGCCTGGCAAATGGTAAGCCCTTCATAAAGCGCTGCTGGACGCGGGAAGGAACTCCCTTACAGGTGGTACTACTACAGGCTCGGAGAACAAAGGCTTCTGGCTTTGCCGGGCCTTGAGCACGCCTCTCTCTGGTCCACACAGCTTCCCTGGGCAGCTGCAGAAGGCTGTGCTTTAGATTTTGACAGGGACTGCCTTGCACCAACAAACAATATGTTTTCACTTGTGTGGATTTTAACTTCATCATCGTATAACGTGGTTTCAATTCTGCTGAGGTGCCCTGGGGGGCTTCTGGCACTGGGACATTTTCGAAATAAATTTAGAAAATAAAAACAAACTGGCTTCCCTAAGTAGCTCCAGCTGGTAATTAAGATCCTCCTTCCAGAGGTGCAACTTCGACTTCAGGGGCCAGACAGAAACAGCAGAGTGGGGCAAGACTCTGAAGACATCAGCTTGAAATACACAGAAATCCCACAAAATACCTGGCTTTGAGTCGCAGGTTCAACCAAGATCCACAAGGCGCCTATTCCATGCCTGGTGTTGTTACTGCAGTGGAGGTTCAAACTCATCTATCTGCTGCCTGATCTGGCATCTTCACCAGGGTGTCTCAGACATCTCAAACCCCACGTACCCCAGACAGGGGGATGGGATCCTCCACTGCATACCAAACACCTCTTCTGTTTTGCCCATCTCAGTGAAGGACAACACATCCTGGTCAGATCAAGCCCAGGAGTCCTTGCCACCTCTCTCTCCCCCAACCTCCACATCTAGTCTATCAGCAAGTCCTCTTGGCTTCACCTCACCCTCAAGTCCACGTCTTCCTACCACCTGGATCCAGTCCATTTTCTTCTCTTGCTTGGACTATTGCAGTAGCCTCTTGGCTGGTCTCTCTGCCTCCACATTTCTTTTCTTTTTTACTTTTTTTTTTTTTAAGATGGAGTTTCAATCTGTCGCCCAGGCTGGAATACAGTGGCTTGATCTCAGCTCACTGCAACCTCTGCCTCCTGGGTTCAAGTGATTCTCCTGCCTCAGCTTCCTGAGTAGCTGGGATTACAGGCACCCGCCACCACACCTGGCTAATATTTTTGTATTTTTAGTAGAGACAGGGTTTCATCATGTTGGCCAGGCTGGTCTTGAACTCCTGATCTCAAGTGATCCACCCGCCTTGGCCTCCCAAAGTGCTGGGATTACAGGTGTGAGCCACCATGCCCAGACCACATTTCTCCTCTGACTGCCCATTCTCCACACAGCAGCCAGAGAGGTCTTTTTAACACACAACCCAGACCATGTGGCTTTTCCTTCTTAATATCAGCTTGCCCCAGAGATGTCCAAGGCACTTAGAATGAGCTTCGATTGCTGTAATATCTCCTGCCCCAGGCTCATCTATCCTGGCCACCTCCATACTTTTACTCCTGCACTTCGGCCTCCATGCCTTCTCTCTGATCCCAGGGGCCTTCATGCTTGTTCTCACTCAGGACCTTTGCACTTGCTGTCCCCGCCCCACTGCCCCCGATCTCCATCTGAATGGGTGCTTGTCATCCTTTGGTTCAAGTGCTACTGCCTTAAGAGGCCTTCCCTGGACCGGCCCCCTCAAGAATGCTGCCCCCCAACCCTCCTCCATCCCCATCACTTGTTCTCACATCTGATTATTTTATTTTCTTCATATCCTTTTTATTATCATAAATGGTCTTGTTTATGGATTTGTTTGGTTGTTTACTGCCTGGGCCCTAGAGATTCAGGGTCAATCACACAGAGTGGTCCCTGTTCTCACAGAAGTGGGGGCAATAAGCAAGAATGAAAACAACCCTGGACTTTTCAACTACAAGGGCCAATAATTTCCACTTTTGGTTAAAACGAGTTGGGTTTTGATCTTTGCAATCGGCTGAGTCTTTACCGCATTAGGCTCCATAAATACTCACTGAATTCAACGGCCACAGTTTTTGTTTGTTTGTTTTCTCTCTTGTGTCCTTCGAGCCATAGACGTCATCGTGAAGCGAGCCTGAACTTTGCTTTTGAATAGAGACAGTCCCAAGCCTTGAAGCCAATGGTATTTATTCTCCATTGCTCCAAAGCTCTCTTTCTTCCTCAAGTTTCTACCTAGTTCTGCTCTTTGAAACAGATGTTGGGCAAAGAATACCAATTCCATTTTATAGATGTGAAGACTGAGGCCCAAGAGGCTTACATAGATTAGACAAAACACAAGACTGATTATTTCAGCAAGGATTCCTCTCTCTGGAACTCCAGCCTGCAGACTAGAAAGAAAAATCTGTATGCTTTCCTAATGATAAATATTAGTAGTGCCTTGGGCTAGCCAGGATGGATTTGAAATCCATAACCTTTATATTTCTACTTCAGTTTAGTCCCCAGGGATATTCCAGATTCCGGGAAAAAATATTCCTACTAAGAGAAATAGAATTGTTTTTTTGTATACAGTTTTATTTTAGATTGCCTTTCTTTTTCTTTCTTTTTTTTTTTTTTTGATGGTGTCTTGCTCTGTTGCCAGGCTGGAGTGCAGTGGCACGATCTCTGCTCACCGCAAGGTCCGCCTTCCGGGTTCACGCTACTCTCCTGCCTCAGCCTCCTGCGTAGCTGGGACTAAAGGTGCCCGCCACCATGCCCGGCTAATTTTTGTATTTTTAGTAGAGACGGGGTTTCGCCATGTTAGCCAGGATGGTCTCGATCTCCTGACCTTGTGATCCACCCGCCTCGGCCTCCCAAAGTGCTGGGATTACAGGCGTGAGCCACCGCGCCCGGCCGGTTGCCTTTACTTTTCAATCTGTTGAACCAATAAGGTGAACATAATTTACAAAGCCAGAAGATTTCCTTACTGATCCTTTTATCAGCCAAAACCCCTTCTTCACGTTGGAGAAAGTTGCTTGCTCTTTCATTAGAGAGAAGTAACTCATTGTATTTCCCTCTTTACTTTGGCTACCAGGAAGTGATACACTCTGAACTTGATTGCAATAGTTAGCCTGAGCCTGGATTTTTTTTGTGCAATGTCTTACCCTTATTCATGACATAGCTTTGCTTCCGCTTGCCTTTGTGTTACTAGTTCTATTCTAAATATGTTTCCCATTCGAAATCCTTTCTGACATAGGCTGGGTATAAACAAATGAATTCAATTTATTTTTGAAGCTGCTCTCCCGCTTTTTTCCCTATCTCCCTTGGATCTTGCTTACGGGCTCAGGAGCAGATACTTTAAATAAGCATATTCCCTCTGCTCACTCTCACTCTTTCTCTTTATAAAACATGCTTTCAGGGGAATGTAAATTGTTTTTAAAAGCTTCCACCCTGGGCCACTGCTAATTATTACTGACCCAGGAGGATCTGTACTAATTTGCCTTAATAAACTTATTAAATAGCAAATTTCAGGAGGAAGAAACTACATAGCCATTATTGGATTAGTAAAACTGCCAGTGGACACTACCACTGGAACAGAGAAGAGCCCGTTAACTGCACAGGAAAGCTAGGGAGATAATTGAGCTAAGTGTGTTTCCAATAAACCATCACCGGCCACAGTTTTGGGCCTTTTTGGGGGTTGTTAGCAAAAGTTTCAAGCTTCTAAAAGAAAAAGGAGAAAAAAAGAAAAAGAAAAAGAAAGGAAAGGCAGCATCCTTCTTCCCATAAACTAGATGCAGGTGATTAAACATGGCAAATATTAAATGAAATCAGCAACCACAAACCTCCAGGTCATTGAAGAACAGATGTGTATCTGCAAGGTTGAAGATCATCTCTTCCATCATAAGGCCAATGCGCACGGACGTCGTGGTGTCCTGCGAGGCAGAGAAGGGGAAAATCACATGCACGCGGAGCCTGAGGAATCTTAGCTACCCTTTTGGTCCCATTCCACTGCCGAAAAGCAGTTTTGGTTTTTCCTCATCTGCTCGGCTCACGCGTGGCCTAAAATGAGTCTCTGTGTGAGGCCGGTGTGATAATCATGTTGTACAGCTTCCGGGATCTCACTTCCAGTTTTCACCATTTCTTTTTACCCTTTCCAGTATTTAAATCTCCTGGAAAATGACCCTGGGATTGCAACAGTGTTCAGCGTTGCAAGGACACTTATCACAGATATGATATGGCTGTAATAAAACAGGGCCTCCTGGCAAATGCATGTTTTCAGGGGTTGCCCCCAACACATTTTTGTTTTCAGGGAGGTCTGGAAGATTTCAGTATAAACTACTGGGAGAGTTGGGATGTTGAGTCTCTCTCTCCAACAATCTCTCTAGGCACACTGCCTTACTCCCTCCTCTTGATATTTAAAAAAATCCCTGTTATCCAACAATAGAGGGTTAATGATAAAAACACACAAACACAAAGGCACTATGGTACATTCATAGGAGGGAAAACTAGGCAGCCATTATACAAACGAAGTCATTCTGGAGTTACTGATATGAAACTGTCATCAAGAGATACAGTACTAAGTAACAAAAGCAAGCTGCAACACAGCATAACGTATGAATTTGCACACTTGTGCAATGAAAGTGCCTCCTTTCTGTATACACAGTGTGGTAGACTGTACTGCTGTTCACCCATATTTGGGGTCCCTCCCTGAGGTGCTTCTCCCTGCAAAAGGAGGACATGTAGCAGGGGTTGGCAAGCTGCAGCCCCCACGCCATACCTGGCCTGCTGCTTGTTTTTGTATGACTAATGAGTTAAGAATGGTTTTTACATTTTTTTAGAAAATCAGTGTATTGTCTACACTGTACTACAAAGTCAGAGGTGAGTAGACTGTGTGTCCCACAAAGCCTAAAATATTTACCATCCAGCCGCTGACACATACCCTCCCTGTTCAATTCAGGTTATGATTGATTAATATTGGGAGGACATGAAGAGAACGTTTGCATATGTGTGATGGGGTCAAGGGTGAGAAAAGAGAGCTCAATTCTTCTATTTTGGGAAGCAAGAGATCATACCTACAACTGAAAAAACATACTTCTTGTATGTGCTACAAGAAGGAGCACATACGCATGTTACTTAGAAATTGGACCATGCAACTTGCTTTGGCCAGTGATATGTGGGCAAAAGTTATGTTTCACTTTTGATCAGAAGTTTTTAGGAGCCAGTGCACACTTCCCCATGCACTCTCTTTTCTCACTTCACAAGGCTGCAAGTATTCTGGATATTTATTCTGTTAGCCTGGAAGGCAGCTATGTTCACCAATGCCCACACATATTCTGTTGGCTTGGGTTCCAGAATAAAGATGATGTGGATCAGAGATACAGCTGACCACAATGGACATGTATCATAAATGAGAAGTAGATGAGATTTTGGGGATGTTTGTTACTGCAGCATGCCCTTACCTATCCTAACCGATACACATGGAAAATATGCAGCACAATGGTTTCCACCCCTGGATACATATTGTGATGCTCTGAGAAGCCTTTAAAAATCCTGATGCCCAGGCTGCTCTCCAGACCAATAAAATCAGAATTGCTGACAGCAGGGTCCAGGCACCAAGAAGTTTAAAGCTCCCCAGGTGATTTCAATATGCAGTCAAGGTTAAGAACCACTAGTCTAGATTTCAATATGCAGTCAAGGTTAAGAACCACTAGTCTAGGAGGATATAAAACACACTGTTAATAATATTCCTGGCTAATATTCCTGGCTAATATCTATGAAGTGCTTTCTCTGTGCCACTTTATAAGTATTAACTCATTTAATCCCCACCAAACTCTGTGAGGTGAACACTATTATTTTTCCATTGCTATGGTTTGGATTTGGTTTGTTCCTGTCACAACTCGTGTTGAAATTTGATCTCCAATGTGGCAGTGTTGGGAGGTAAGGCCTAGTAGGAGGTGTTTGGGTCATGAATAGATTAATGCCTTCCCATGAGAGTCAGTGAATTCTCAGTCTCTCAGGAATAGATTAGTTTCCAAGAGTGTGAGTTGTTAAAAGAGTTGACTTCCTCTCTCCCCATGTGATCTTTGCACACGTTGACTCCCCTTCCACTTTCCACCATGAATGGAAGCAGCTTGAGGCCCTCACCAGGTACAGCTACCCAATCTTGAACTTGCCGATCCCCAGAATCATAAGTCAAATAAACCCCTTTTCTTTATAAATTATCCAGCCTCAGGTACTCTATTATAGCAACACTAAATGGACTAAAACACCCATTTTATAGATGAGAAAATGGAGGCATACAAAGGTTAGGCAACTTGTTCAAGGCCATACAAGCTAACAAATGCTGAGATTAGAACATAGGTAATCTGGTTCTGGAACAACACTGCTTCTGAGGACTCAAAGGGGCTGAGTTGGGAGAGGAGCGACAGGGGCCTTGTCCCCTTGCTCCATACAGTCCTTTTCCTGTTTAAATTTTTCACTGGAGGCTATATTATTTCTATTATAAAAATAAATAATTAAGGACATAAACCCTTTTTGACCCTTAAAAAAAAAGAAAGAAAAAAATGCAGCTGGTGATCTCAGCTTCACACACACAACTGTGAAGAATCAGGCCCAGGAACACAGCCATTAGGCAAAACACTTCATCAAGGCCCCGAGAGCCAAAGCTTAGCACTCTTGGTCCTGGCTGGAAGTCGATGGGGCAGGGTACTCAGTGAAAAATGAAGAGCAAATGAGGAAAACAAACTTCTCAGGGCCTAGGAGGGAATCGTGTGTGACCTGGGAAAAGGTTTTGCATTACTCATATCCAAAGCATTTCACCTCTGCACAATCACACACTCCTCTTTGACGGAGCAATTCGTGCACCTAATCACTGATTACCAACCCTCCATGTACTGGACAAGAAGCAAGAAGGAGCTGCCACCCAGACTTGTTTGCTGAAAGGATTTATTCTGAAAGTTGTCACCTCCCAGGCCAGCACACAGAGAAGGAAAAGTAATTATTGCATACCAAATGACTTCTCTGTGAAGAGTATTTATATAGTTGTAAGAAGGCAAATACCGCATATTGGTAAAGCTCAAGTTATGATTGACTGATACTGGGAAGACATGAAGAGAAAGTTTGCATGTGTGTGTTGGGGTCAAGGGTGAGAAAAGAGAGCTCAATTAGTATATTTTGGGAAGCCAGAGATCATGCCTACAATGGGGGGAAAAAAAGAATCAAGAAGTAGCACCTAAGGATGTTACTTAGAAATTTGGGAGTGAGGCTGGGTGCAGTGGCTCACACCTGTAATCCAGTGCTTTGGGAGGCCGAGGCGGGTAGATCATTTGAGGTCAGGAGTTCGAGACCAGCCTGACCAACATGGAGAAACCCCGTCTCCACTAAAAGTACAAAAATTAGCCGGGTGTGGTGGCGCATGCCTGTAATCCCAGCTATTCGGGAGGCTGAGGCAGAATTGCTTGAACCCAGGAGGAGGAGGTTGTGGTGAGCCGAGATTGTGCCACTGCACTCCAGCCTGGGCAACAAGAGTGAAACTCCGTACCAAAAAAATAAAATAAAATAAAAATAATTTGGAGGTTACATTTTTAAAGGCAGCAGCAAGAGTTGTTGCCCCTGGGCAGGAAAAAAGGGTGGTGGGCAGTCACTGAGGACTGCTGTTTTCCATATATATTCCTTTGTAGAACTATGAATATTAAACTATAGGCATATATTTCTTGGATTAACAATTTAAAAATAACAGGCAACATACTCAGTAATTCCACTTTTCATTATCTATCCTACAGAAAATCTCATACACATGAGCAAGGGGACATATCGAAGATGTTCATTACAGAATTGTTAGTAAATAGCAAAAGATTGGGAATAATTTAGCTATCACTTCAAAGCAGACTTGAAAAATGAAATGTGGTCTATTCATACAATGGGAAATGAAATTTCAATGGAAGGAAATGCACCAGATCTCCATGTATTAACAGGGACACATCAAAAAATACACTGGAGTGAAAAAAAGTTTTCTGATTGCATTATGTACTATGTACTGTATGTTATTACCGTTTATTAGAGACACATAAAATGTTACTATATTTTCCATGTGCACTTACATATTTATACATATCTGAAAGGCTGTACACAAAAAGAAAGGCAGTTACTTCTAGAAGGCAGAGAGGAAGGAACAGGAATTAAAAGTGATGGTCAAAGTGAACTTCAGTATTATCTAGAATATTCTAGATTTTTTTTTTTTTTGAGACAGGGTCTCACTTTGTCACCCAGAGTAGAGTGGCACAATCTTGGCTCACTGCAGCCTCGACCTCCCAGGTTCAAGTGATCCTCCTGCCTCAGCCCCCAAGTAATTGGGACTACAGGTGTGCACCACCACGCCTGGCTAATTTTTTTGTATTTTTTTTTGTAGAGACAGGGGTTTCACCATGTTGCCCAGGCTGGTCTCAAACTCCTGAGCTCAAGCGATCCACCCACCTCGGCCTCCCAAAGTGCTAGGATTACAGGCGTGAGCCACCATGCCCAGCCTTCTAGAATTTTTTAAAAGAGAAGGGATTCAAATACTTATCATGTAATTAAACATTTTTCTAAAGATTGAAGACACCCAAATGTTTATATGATGAGCCTTTAGAATACCCACCTACTCTTGGAGCATTCTTATTATTTCAGATTTTCCTAAGATTGTTTTAAGCTATGTAGGTGGTACCTCTGTTCAAAAAACACGATAAAAACTAGTTGCACAGAGGCAGAAAAGTCTGGAATAGCCTCAGAAAAGCAAGGCTAACTCAGGAGTCAAGTAACACAGTGTTGCCCTGGGTCAGAACACTTTTTTTTTTTTAATTTTTAGTTTATTATTATTATACTTTAAGTTTTAGGGTACATGTGCACAATGTGCAGGTTAGTTACATATGTATACATGTGCCATGCTGGTGTGCTGCACCCATTAACTCGTCATTTAGCATTAGGTATATCTCCTAAAGCTATCCCTCCCCCCTCCCCACACCCCACAACAGTCCCCAGAGTGTGATGTTCCCCTTCCTGTGTCCATGTGTTCTCATTGTTCAATTCCCACCTATGAGTGAGAATACGCGCTGTTTAGTTTTTTGTTCTTGCGATAGTTTACTGAGAATGATGATTTCCAATTTCATCCATGTCCCTACAAAGGACATGAACCCATCATTTTTTATGGCTGCATAGTTTATCCAAGTAGGAAATGTTTTTCCAGGGTTGCAGAGAGCAAGAAACTAAAAGAAAAAAAAATTTGGTGGTGACTCAGTATTAATTTATGTGAAATACATCTGGAGTGAGGACAAGACAAAAGCCATCAGTTTCATCCTGGGCTGCCTGCTGAATGCAGCCCTACTATAAACCATAAATATTCCATCCTGGTGTCTTGACTTTAGTCACAGAGGACAGCTTGGAGGCAACCCTCTGTCTGACCCAGAACTTCTCCCAGTCAAATAAAGCCTAAAATAGACAGCTTTCACACCATGCTCTTTCGGGCCACTGACCCCTTCAAGTCCAGCCTGATCCCTCTAAGACCTAACATTGCAGTGAGGATTAAATCAGACAGCACGTGTGGAAGCACCTAGCCCAGGCCTGGACTGCAGCAGGCACTCCACAAGCATTGGTTATTGTCAAAATCCCCCAGTCCCCTTCCTTGAGCCTTTAAGCAAAGAATCGTTTCTGCGAACCCAGCAGGAAGACCCCACATCAGTTGGTACAAAAGCTTTTAACATGCCACTTACATGAAACCCATTTTCTGAAGCATTACATATTCTTTGGATTAAAAAACAAAAAACAACAGTGGTTAATTTCCTAAACAAGCAACAGCATAAGTGGATTACTTTAAAAAAAATCAATTTAAACCAGAATGAACTGAGAGGAGGTAGTTTTTCCAAAACAGGCTTCAATGTGTAACTCATCCTGGGAAGGACCATGCTGGGGGCTAAGGGGTGGGGGTGGATGGAATGTCATCTTTGTTTGACTAGAGAACTTGTGGGTGGTTCTCTTGAGGCGAAGGTACGGATCAGACAAAGACGCTGTAGATTTTCTTAGCGTGCCCTAATGTTCTACAGATTTCTCCGGGTTCAGTTTTTATGATGGTGTGGTGGGCTCTGCATACTTGTGTGGGAGGCTGGTGAAGAGGTTTCGAGTTGGAACTGCCCTTCAGGAGAGAGGCTATGGACCTGGATGGCAGCTCAGTAATATAACTATTATGCATTCTTGATGAAGTTCTTTTTTTTTTTTTTTTGAGACAGGGTCTCCCCTGTCACCCAGGCTGGGGTGCAGTGGTGTGACCATAGCTCAATGCAGCCTTGAACTCCTGGACTCAAACAGTCCTCCTGCCTCAGCCTCCCAAGTAGCTAGGACTAGAGACGTGTGCTAGCACACCTGGCTTATATTTTATTTTGTGTAGAGACAGGGTCTTGCTATGTGGCCCAGGGTAATCTCAAACTCCTTGGTTCAAGTGATCCTCTTGCCTCAGCCTCCCAAAGTGCTGGAATTACAGGCAAAGTTCTCTGAATTATAGGAGGTTGGTGGGGCCTTTCACCACGTAGGCGGCCCAAAGATCTGCCTCGTGGATCACTATCTTGGGATGTATGGTTGTATTTCTTGGATGAAAGGGAGAGGATAAGAGTATACAAAAATCTTTCTTAAAATAAAATTAATCTGATGTAAAGCAAACATGAATGAGTTTCAAAACGTGAATGCCAAAGTTATTCATAGTTAATTAAGACTAAACAGTTGTTTTCTATCAAGTGTCTCTACCATCCTCAAATTTATCAGCTCTCCAATTTATGCCGTATTGTAAGTCTACTTCCCAGTCCACATAGATTAGGAGGTAACTGTTCTCATTTCAAAATAACACATATAGATTTTTACCAAAAAATTGTTTTAATGAATCAGAACTCTATCCATTAAAGACTTTTTTTCCTGGATTTTCCAAGTTTTCTGTTTCTTTCTTTTCTTTTTTGAGACAGGTCTACTACCTATGTCACCCAGGCTGGAGTGCAGTGGCATGACCATAGCTCACTGCAGCCTTGATCTTCTTGATCCTCACACCTCAGCCTCCTGAGTAGCTAGGATTATAGGCTTGCACCACCATACCTAGCTAATTAATTAATTAATTAGTTTTTTGTTTGTTTGTTTGTTTTTTTTTTTTTTTTTTTTTTTGTAGAGACAGGGTCTCCTTATGTTGCCCAGGCTGGTATTGAATTCTTGGCCTCAAGTGATCCTCCTGCCTCAGCCTCACAAAGTGCTGAGATTACAGATTTTGCAAGCTTTCTGTTTCAAGCATGCAGCACTTTTGTAATAGATGACTCTAAAATGTGTTCAATTCAAAGAAGTGAGATTTACATACTAATTAGCTGTACAACCCTTTGAACAAAAGGAAGGCATGCCGATTTCATCCTGAAACTGGTTTATGTGACTGTGGGATTTTGAGTTCCTTCATAATTCAAATATGAGTTCCTTCATAACTTAACTCCTGGCTGAATAATAATAATAATAATAATTAATAATAATGTTGATAATGATAATGGCCAATCTCTAGTGAGTGCTTTGTTGTACAGGTGAAGAAGGTGGGCTCTAAGCCAGACTACCTCTGATCAAGGCCAGTTCCACTTCTTACAAGTTACTTAACTTCAGTGTGTCTCAGTTTCTCATCTGTAAAATGGGCTTATATACCTGATAGGATTGTTGTAAAGATTAAATACGTTTTTGTAAAAGTGCAGGTTATAATCCTTTTAGTGAAAGTTTAATGAACAGCATTAAAAAAAAGACTGGAAGAAATATAATAGAACCCAGGAGTCAGCAAACTATGGAACTATGGCCTGTTGTCTGTTTTTTTTTTTTTTTTTTTTTTTGATATGGAGTCTCGCTCTGTCGCCCAGGCTGGAGTACAGTGGCGTGATCTCGGCTCACTGCAAGCTCCGCCTCCTGGGTTCACGCCATTCTTGTGCCTCAGCCTCCCAAGTAGCTGGGACTACAGGTGCCCGCCACCACGCCCGGCTAATTTTTTGTATTTTTAGTAGAGACGGGGTTTCACCACGTTAGCCAGGATGGTCTTGATCTCCTGACCTCATGATCCGCCCGCCTCAGCCTCCCAAAGTGCTGGGATTACAGGCGTGAGCCACTGCACCCGGCCCGTTGTCTGTTTTTGTAAATAAAGTTTTGTTGGAACCTAGCAGTGCCCATTTGATCACTTAATGTTTATTTATGGCTGTTTTCATGGTACAATGGCATAGTTGAGTAGTCACCACAGGACCTAGCTGAAATCCTAAAATATTTATTATCCCTTTATAGGAAAAGTTTGTTAATTCCTACAATAGACAACGAACTATCAGAATCTATCATACACAGCAATGGTGAACACCTATTCCAGTTGGGGTGTGTGTGTGTTTGTGTGTGTGTGTGTATGTGGTGGGTTATAGTGTAAAATGTATTTCTTACTGTGACCATGTAAAAAAAATTAAAAACAATAAATTAATGACTGTTTAAGTGCTTAAAACCATGCCTGGAACATAGCAAGGTCTGAATAAATGTTAGCTTAATAATAGCTACTGTTTATATTGCTATTACTGTTACTATTATTACTGTGTAGCTTGTTCAATGTTGCTTAGCTTGTAAGAGAAAGTGTTGGCACTGAACTCAGGTCTAATCTGACTCCAGACTCCATAATCCTCTGGTTAGGCCACCACCCCTGTCATGGCTTTTTTGCTCTGAGGGAGCGTCTGCCTTCCATGGCTCAGCTGCATGACTGGGCAGAAGGGATGTGCTGTCCCCTCTGTGGAATCTCCAAGTGCACCAGACATCTACGCTATCTGGTGGTCTTTACTTGGGAAGAGCCATTTAGCTGATTTCATTTGGGGTCTGCTATAAAGATTTAGAGGCTGGCTGTGCAGGAAAGGGTTAACTCAGCAGGCCTGGGTTGCTCAAACCCTGCACATTCCTTAAGAAATGTCTGTCTTCAGGGCTGGCCCTTGGCCAGTTCCTGGTGCATGAGCTCCAAGCCCTTGGGCCACACCATGCACTTCCACTTGAGATAGTTTAGGCTAAGAATGTAGTTTATGGTGAATGTCTATTTTTGCTCTGGGGTGCTGGTGTCTGAGTGGCTGAGGTCAGTTACTTAGGTGTCGCATGCCTATGTCACTGACCCCCAATAAGACCCTGGACATCAAGGCTCAAGTGGGCTTCCCTGGTTGGCAACACTTGGCATGTGTTCGCACACATTGTTGCTGGGAGAATTAGGTGGAGTGTCCGTGCTCCCCTGGGAGAGGACTCCCGGAAGATTGTGCCTGGTCTTTCCTGGATTTCACCCCATGTGCCTCTTCCCCTTGCAGATTTTAATCTGTGTCCTTTTACTGTAATAACTGTAACTGTGAGTCTAACAGCTTCTCTGAGCCTTGTGAGTTCTAGTCAATCATTGAGGCCGAAGGTGGTCTTGGGGATTCCCAACACAGTGTCTTTATTAGACACCTTCAAAAAACAACCGGTTAGCAAAGGAGGCAGCATGCTATTGTGGAGATACCCAATCTCTCTGAGAATGAGCAGTCACATCCGTAAATTAGCAGTTAATAATTTTTAGTAAAAATAACACCCATTATGGGTCTTTCAGGGTGATCTCATAACCCATCCCTGGCTAGAATCATAGTGATTGATTCAAGGATGATTATGAGCCAATGGGCATTGGCCTGAGGACTTTAGCTATGACTCCTGGGAGAGGCACCTTTTTTTCCTGGGGTGGCTGAGCTGGTAGATCTAGGCTCAAGGATGCCGGCAGCCATCTCTGTCACCCTACAGGCAGAGCCTTCCTGACAGTGCACACAGATTCATATGAAAATATTTAGGGAGCTGGATCCCACCTTGCTTTAGGTCTACGTTTGGACATCTTGGTGACATGAACAAATTCTCCTTTTTGGCCTAAGCTGATGTGCATTGAATTTCTGTCGCTTATAATCAAAAGATTCTTAACTCAGCATGCAACGTGCCAATTCCAAGCAAAAACGGGTGTTTGCGGCATAGACAAGGCCTGCTGAGCAAGCCCAAGTGTTTCTTTACATCTTAGCAATGGTCGAGCTTTGCCAGGAAGCACTTTGGAAAGACTGTCTTCTCTTCTGATGGCACCTCTTGCTACCCCCACCCCAAGGTGATTTAAGCCAAGTCCATGGAAGGGCCTGGGTTATTATGTAGTCTGAAAAGAGTAACCTCTCCCTTATACAAGCATTGCCTAATGGGGCAAGGGACTCACCCAAATGGCCACCACAAATTGCCTCCATCATTCACAAGGTATCCATGAATGTGGCCATAGACAAGAATCTCCATGAAGCAAAGTGGTTGAGAGCATCACCCATGGAGTTGGCAGGACCCAGGTTCAAATCCTGGGACTGCCATTCCCCAGGTACATCACCTTGAAGGAGATGTTCACTCTCCCTGGGCCTCAGTTTCTTCAGCTGAACATAAGCAGTGAGTCCTTTCCAGGGCTCCTGAGGATTTGTGTGTGGTGTGTCTTGCAAAACACCTGGTGCCTAGGTATTACTAACAAAAAGCAGCAGCATTCAGAAGCTTCCAACAGAAGACTTCTCCCGCTGAGAAATTCCCATGCGATAGTTTAACCTGTTATTTTCCAAACTAGGGCCATTCTTGGAACACCTTTGCAAGTTCTGCCAAGCTACAGAGTAGCTGTGTTATTATTAACTTAATATTTTCCTTTAATTTGGCTACTCCCTCCTTCTAAAACACCTCGCTGGGGGCATGGTGGCTCACGCTCATAATCTAGTGCTTTGGGAGGCTGAGGCAGGAGGATCGCTTGAGCCCAGGAACTGAAGACCAGCTTGGACAACATAGTAAGACTTCATCTCTACAAAAAATTAAAAAATTAGCTGGGCGTGGTGGTGTGTGCCTACAGTCCTAGCAGGAGGATTGCTCAAGCCTGGGAGGTTGAGGTGACAGTGAACTATGATTGCGCTACTGCACTCCAGCCTGGGCAACAGAGTGAGACCCTGTTTCAAAGACAAAAACAAAATCTAAGTGCATTTTAGTTTAGAAAGAAACTTGTTATCATGATCATAAATAGAAAACCTGGTGTAGTCACCATAAATGGGAAGTCACCATGAATATAAACACATGTAATATAGTTTCCCGTGGCTGCCATAACACATTAGCACAAACTTAGTGGCTTTAAACAATGTACACTTATTCTCTAATAGTTCTAGAGATGAGAGGTGTCTGCAGGGCTGCGTTCCTTTGAAGGCTTCAGAGGAGAAGACTGTTTCCTTGCTTGTGTTAGCTGCTAGAGGCCACCTGCATTCCTGGGCTCATGGCCCCTTCCTCATGTCACTCCAATATCTTGCTTCTGGCCTCACATCTCCTACCGCCCACTTTGACCACCCTCCCTTTTATAAAAACCCTTCTGATTACATTAGGGACACATAATCACAGCTGCAAAGTCCCTTTGGCCATAGAAGGTTAACAGCCACAGATTCTGGGGACTAGGATGTGGACGTCTTTGGGGTGCCATTTGTCTGCCCACCACAGCATGCAATTATAAAATTGCCAAATGCGGTTATTTTGAGTATATCATCCATGAATCTGTTTTAGGGCAGTGGTTCTCGGCAGGTGTGGCACCTCCGCCTAGACAGTGGTTTGGAAATTTGTGGGGGAAGCATTTTGTTCGTTGTAATAGTTGAGAGGGATAGTGGTATTTGGGGGTGCCAAGGATATTAATGTCTTCTAATGCACTGTAGGAAGTTGTACAGAAAGAAAAATTGTCCCACAACCCATGTGACTTTCATATCTCCTGATGAACACTCACGTTGTGAAAAACCTGTTTCTAATGATCTGAGCCTAGAATCTAACTCCTTTATAGAAGTAAACATAGAGTATTTTTGATTTTTTTTTTCTTGAGATGGAGTTTCGCTCTTGTAGCCCAGGCTGGAGTGCAATGGCGCAGTCTCAGCTCACTGCAACCTCCACCTCCTGGGCTCAAGTGATTCTCCTGCCTCAGCCCCCTGAGTAGCTGGGATTACAGGCACCCGCCACTACACTGGCTAATTCTTGTATTTTTAGTAGAGATGGGGTTTCACCATGTTGGCCAGGCTGGTCTTGAACTCCTGACCTCAGGTGATCTGCCTACCTTGGCCTCCCAAAGTGTTGGGATTATAGGCATGAGCCACCTCGCCCGGGCTTTGCATGGTTTTGATAAATACTGAATATACTTGTTTGTATCCCATGGTCCATCCCATCTCTGTTCTTCCATTTTCCTTTACTTCTAGTAGAGAAGAGCCCCAGATCTTCCTAGTTCTCTGAAATGCAACCTTTTAAATGAGAAGTGGGTGGTAGTATCAGACTCCTTTGTCATGTCTTCTATTGCGGTCATGTTTGAGCATTTACATACTGAAATACATATTTTTAGAAAATAAACCTTCTCGGCCGGGCGCGGTGGCTCACGCTTGTAATCCCAGCACTTTGGGAGGCCGAGGCGGGTGGATCACGAGGTCAGGAGATCGAGACCATCCTGGCTGACATGGTGAAACCCTGCCTCTACTAAAAATACAAAAAAATTAGCGGGGCGTGATGGCGGGCGCCTGTAGTCCCAGCTACTCGGGAGGCTGAGGCAGGAGAATGGCGTGAACCTGGGAGGCGGAGCTTGCAGTGAGCCGAGATTGTGCCACTGCACTCCCACCTGGGCTACAGAGCAAGACTCTGTCTCAAAAAAAAAAAAAAAAAAAAAGAAAATAAACCTTCTTTTATTTCTTTCCGTTAAGTTACAGTTAGGATACTACATTCATTTTTTTTAAAGTAGTGAGTGGTCAGCTATATTATTTGGGGTTTTCATTTTGGGATCATAAAAAAGGCATTTTAAGAGATTTATTTCAAGGTTGAAATCTGCTTTAGGAAAAACTGGCAGCTAAGGCAGTGACTCAGACCCTGATGCTAGCCATCCTCATTTGATCTGATCCGTGGTGGGGGTTGGAGGGGGACATGCATGTGACTGGGGTGGGGGGCACAACTGCTCCCCTGACCTGAGGGCTCTAGCACTTCACCTGGTCCTTATACCCCAATTGCCTGATTTCTTCCAGGTTTTCCAAGGAGCAAGGGATTAAGAGATAGTTCCCCAAAATAATAATTCTTATCAGAGCTTTGCTGGTTGGATGGTCTACTATGCACCTGCTCCTGCGCTCAGCACTTTATTTGCATGTTGTCATTTATCTTATTTCCAAGGCACCTTCAGTCCATCACCAAGAGAGGGGGGCGGTGAGGGAGGAAGACAAGGAGCCCCTCTGTGTGCTGGGCCACTATAAAGGCAGCTAGCCTCCCTTGTCCCCCATGTCTGTTGTCCACACAGCAGCCAGAGTGCTCTTTTTAAAACAACTATCAGAGCTGTGCTTTTCACTTAAAACCCACTGGCTTCCCCTGGCCCTCTGAGTAAAGCCACCGTCTTCTAGTGGCCTCATGTGCTCTAGTAACCACCTACTCTTCCACTCTGCCTTGAATCTGCCAAACTTGCTCCTGCCTCAGGGCCTTTGCACATGCTGTTCCTCAGCCTGAAATCCCCTCTTCCCAGGCTCTTTCAGGGCTGGATCCTTTGTAACATTCCATTCCCACTTTCAATGCCAGAAAGGTCTTCTCTGACCATTCCCTATGAAATAAACTAACATACTCCTCCCCACTCACTCCACATCCCATTACTCTGTTGCAGTTTTAAACAGCATTTATCATTGACTGAAATGCTCTTATTTATTTATTTATAATTTTTTGTGCTTCTCCTCTAAGTAGGAGGCAAACTCCATGGGAGCTATTACTGTGTCCCTCATACCTAGATCAGAGCTTGAATGGCAGATGCTTGGTTAATTTATTTTCTTTTTTTGAGACAAGAGTCTTGCTGTGTTACCCAGGCTGGAGTGCAGTGGCATGATCTTGGCTCACTGCAACCTCCGCCTCCTGGGTTCAGGTGATTCTCCTGCCTCAGCCTCCTGAGTAGCTGGGACTATGGGCACATGCCACCATGCTCGGCTAATTTTTGTATTTTTTAATGAAGACAGGGTTTCACCATGTTGGCCAGGCTTGTCTCAAACTTCTGGCCTCAAGTGATCCACCCACCTCGGCCTCCCAAAATGCTGGGATTATGGGCATGAGCCACCGTGCCTGGCCATTTTTTTATTTTAAATGAATATATGAATATGTGTGAACTTTGTGTACATTATCCCATTTCCTCCTCAAAATATCTTTTCCCTGTTTTACAGATAAATCAAAACTCAGACTGATGAAGTGACTTGTCCAAGGTCACGCTGCCAATAAGTGGCAGAGCTGGGATTCAAATCTAGGACTGTCTAACTCAAGAATCCAAAATCTTAACCATTTTACTCATAAATATATCTTCATGGGAACTAGTAACATAAAATGAAATGATTTATTAGGAAAAAAAAGCTTAGGGCAGATAACCACCAGATTTTTTTTTTTTTCGTAAATGCCTGATTTGTAACTGTTGATGTCTACTTTTAATGAAACAAACAACATGTTTAATGACAATTACACTTCCAAAGTGAGGAGAAACGGCAGGCAGCTGCCACCTAAAAATCAGCCCTGATTCTTTTCTCAGGTCTCAGGCTGGCTTTCCTCTCTGATAACTGCAATGCTGGTCTTTGGAGGGGACAAAAGGAGAGCCCACAGGGTGGGAAACCGTCTCCCCTTATTGCTGTGGAGTATGTGTGTCTTTAATTTCCTGGACTTGATATGAAAAGGCAAAGCTAACTGGAAAATCCCTTCCTTGTCAGCTGCCATTTGCTGCCTGCCAAAGGCCGGGAATGGCTCTGCGGGAACCAGACACCTTGGCCGCGATTGGAAATCAGCTCATTTTAGCTGCCCCCGAAGGGCTCAGAACCATCTCTCTCTGCTCCCAGCCTTTCCCCTCACTTACTTGTAGCCCATGTCTTTCTAGGATGTCACCCTAGGAGTCAAAAACAGGTGTGTTTGTGAAAAGATTAACTTTAGGGCCTCTTTAGATCCATTAATCTTATCAAATGCAACATATCCAAAGATAATTTTCAGAAAACAGCAACACTCTCTGAATAATGTCTTGGTCTGTCAGCAACGCTAGCTGTCTGTTTCGCTCTTGTCAAGGGTCTTGCAGGTGGGATGCCACGGTCAGTCCTTCCAGATAGAAACACGAAGCCTACGGCCCTTGCTCTAAGAAGCTTGAATTCTGACATCTTAAGCATTGGACTCAACCCAGTCCCAGGATTAAGCCCTCCAGGACTGTCTGCTTATCTTTCCAGCTTCAGACACAGCTCTGAGCCCTTGGGGAGGAGAGTCTTGGGAGCCCCAAAGAGGCATCAGAGATCTCTGAACACATCCCTCAGCCCAAGGAGGCTCAGAGGGTGAAATTAGTTAATCTGCTTTGTGCTCTTCATACATATTTTCTTTTCTTTTTTGTTATCTTGGCTCACTGTAACCTCTGCTTCCCGGGTTCAAGTGATTCTCCTGCCTCAGCCTCCTGAGTAGCTGGGATTACAGGTGTGTGCCACTACAGCTGGCTAATTTTGGTATTTTTAGTAGAGATGGGATTTCACCATGTTGGCCAGGCTGGTCTCGAACTCCTGACCTCAGGTGATCCTCTCGCCTCGGCCTTCCAAAGTGCTGGGATTACAAGCATGAGCCACCGAGCTTGGCCACATAAGCATTTTCTTAAGGAAACTTGCATAATAAGTAGAGGTAGATGTTTGGGAATTTGGGGACTGTCTTCAAATATTCTTGTACTAACAATTTCATCCGTAACTAACTGTTCAGTTGAGAACAGTTAGTGGCACTTTAGATGTGTTTCTGAAGAATTTCTGGTGGCCTGGTTAACAAATTCACTAAGTTAATTAATTAACTTTTTTTTTTTATAAGAGATTCAGCCTAATTTTGAGGGGGTGGGGTGGGGACTGATGGGTGCATTAATATTGCTTTTGTGTGTTTACAAATTGCTTCTAGAGTGAGCATTTGAGCATTCTACAAGAATGAAAAGTCTGAGTAATTATATAAGAATGAAACATTTGAGGATTCTACAAATCAGGGTTTTTCCGCTTTGGCACTGTTGGCATTTTGAGCCAGATAATTCCACGTTGTAGTTCCATCCTGTGGGTTGTAGGAATTTGAGCAGCATCCGTGGCCTCTACCCACTAAATTCAGTAGCACGCCTACCCAGTTGTGACAGTCAAAAATGTCTCCAGACGTCACCAAATGTCCTCTGAGGGACAAGATCACCCCTAGTTGAGAATCACTCCTCTAAATGATTTTTAAAATAATGAAAAAGCTTGGTCCTTAGTGTTAGTAAATTAACTTTGGAATTACAGAGTGGGCAATGAAACTAACTTTCTAACTTGTTAATGAAACCAGCTTTCTAACTAAGAGATGAACTAAATGAAAAAAAACAAACCTAAGTCTCTCCCCGCCAGCTGAGTGGGAGGTGCCACTTTCTTGTCTCAAGGGGCAGCTCTGCCCAGTAGTTAGGACTGACTCCTGCAGCCAGACAGCTGGCTGCAATCTGCGCTCTGCCCTTATTGCTAGAAGGTACGTGACTTGGGACAGGCCACTTAACCTCACGAAAACCCACGGCATCTACCTCCCTGAGACAGGTTAGGGAGGTGATGGGTGGAAAGCACTTGGGATGCATGGGCGGCTTGCGGCAAGCACTACTAGCGGGCTAGTCATCCTTGTTCACAGAATCGCTTCTCCGGGGCCTGGTTGGTCACACCTAGCATTTGCACTGGGCTGCCCCTTTCTCAGGTGCCACGCGAAGGGAAGGTCGGGGGAGGCGTTTGGCCTCGCGCTTTGCAATCCCAGGCCCTTTCCTTTCTTAACACTCAGACTGCATTTGGGCTGGGCTTGTGTCTCCTTGGGGGCCTTGTCTGGGCTTGCAGACTGTTGCTGCAAAGTGCAGACCTGCCCGTCTGCAGACCTGCCCTCTCTGGAGATGTCTCAAAAATACAGGCAGCTTGCTGCCTGCCTTCGCCTCACTTTTCTTCTGTGTCAATTACCCTGACGTCCTGAACTTCAGGACACATGTGCTTCAGCACCAATCCTGGAATGGAGATCTCCTCCCCTCTCTCTTTTAAAGAAAAAAAAACACACACAAACACACAAAACACATCAAAACCATCACACTATCCAAGCCAACTGGGTCTTTAAAAAATCACCGCCAAGGAGCTGTTTACAAGTTGAACAAATAATTACTCTGCCACAAGGAAGAAAAGTATTAATTAAAGCTGTTCATTAAACCAGCTCCCTATTCTGTGGGGTTTATCTCTTGGAAGTGTCAGCCAGAGGTCAGGAATGGATTAACACACAACAGAGAGCTTTGCCAGTTAAATCTCCTCCTTGTGGTTAGCTTTTAATAATAAAGTTGTCATTAAAAGAAAGAATTTAATGGTTTTAATTGGGTTTAATTACTTGGAAACTTTTGGAAGGCAGATCAGCTTGTTTAAAAAAATTTTTTTTAGAGGAAGACAAGAAAATGATGCTGATAAAGAAAAAATAAGTTGATTCACATGTTTAAACAGTAAAGTTAAAAAAAAACTTGGCTTCTTCGACAGTTTTGTGGGAGAACACCAAAAATAGAAAAGATAATGGGTCTATCTGTACTAACAAGAACTTAACTGGCCAGGCAGGTGGCTCACACCTGTAATCCCAGCACTTTGGGAGGCCGAGGCGGGCGGATCACGAGGTCAGGAGATCAAGACCATCCTGGCTAATACAGTGAAACCCCATCTCTACTAAAAATACAAAAAAAATTAGCCGGGCATAGTGGCAGGTGCCTGTAGTCCCAGCTACTCGGGAGGCTAAGGCAGGAGAATGGCGTGAACCCAGGAGGTGGAGCTTGCAGTGAGCCGAGATAGTGCCACTGCACTCCAGCCTGGGCAACAGAGCAAGACTCTGTCTCAAAAAAAAAAAAAAAAAAAAAAAACTTAACCAAAAGACTGTAGGATACATTCCATCATCGCTGAATCACAAGAGTCAAACTCATGACAAATGATGAAATCATGGTCAAATTTAAGAGAACAAAGAAAGATGTTGAAACCGGTTCCTCTTTTGGGGTTTTGTGCAACTATTCAGCCTCTTAGAATTTTTTTTTTTTTAATCTTTGAAGAATGTTCTTTCAGCTGGACATGTCTAGCAGCTTTTAAAGTATTTTTCTAGGATATAAATTTAAAGGCAAAAATAACAAATAAATAGATAAAATGGATTGTGGATATGGAGTAGAGTGACCAACTCTCCTGATTTGCCTGGGATTGAGGGGTTTCCTGGGTCTTGGGACTTCCAGTGCTACAAGTGGGAAAGTCACAGACAAACCTGGATGAGATGATCACCCTAACAGGAGTCACTGCCCAGGGCTGAGGGGCATGTGGTGACATGGGAGATGGGTTTGTTTATGGAAAGTCATTCCAAGGACTCAGAACAGGGTTTGATGCCCAGCAAGTGCCCGCTGCTGCCATCAGCATTGACAACATCCCCATCAACACCACGTGCTTTCTGCTTATTATTAGTAGTCGTCACACTTCAGCACACTTCCTCAGATAGAACATCTTACATAACCAGCAATGTGCTTCTAAAGATGCAGCTCTTTAAAAGATACTATATGTATAGCACACCCTTGACATAAGTGACTCCATCTTAGAAAAAGACTCCATCTTACATTTTAAAAGTCATCAAGTCAACAAGAGTCCAGATGTCTACCTAATCAATAGAGACAACACCCAACCAGATAAGGGTGTAACCCTTTACCACCAGTCCTCACCAGAGGACTCAAGGGTCATAAAATGAGCAGGACCTCACCAGCTTGACATCTTAACACATTCTGTCTCACTGTCACTTGTCATCAGCACCCAGAATTTGAAGCTGAAGGCTCTGCCCAAATAAAGGACTCTTGGAAGATACTGGCAAGTGCCCGGATCAGGACTCTCTCCTTCTACATGTCACTCTCCTTGGACTGGTTCATTAGGCCCCCCACTCCCCCACCTTTTTTTTTTTTTGAGATGGAATCTCACTCTGTCACCCAGGCTGGAGTGCACTTGGCACACTGCAACCTCTGCCTCTTGGGTTCAAGTGATTCTCCTGCCTCAGTCTCCCAAGTAGCTGGGATTACAGGTGTGTGCCACCAGGTCTGTCTAATTTTTGTATTTTTAGTAGAGACGGGGGTTTCACCATGTTGGCCAGGCTGGTCTTGAACTCTTGACCTCAAGTGATCTGCCTGCCTCGGCCTCCCAAAGTGCTGGGATTACAGGCGTGAGCCACCGTACCCAGCCCGTTAGTCCCTTTTCATATCCCCTTTATTCTTGATGCCTAATGTTGCTGTTTGGCATGAAATTCTAATCTATAACATTTATATATCAATTAAGTATACTATTATGTATGGTTTGCAATATTGACTGACTTGTGGAGTGGTTTCAGCCTTTTGTGCTCATGGCCCTGACTACCAAGTGAAAGGGTAATATTAAGGAGAATTGCCTCCTTGGGAACTCCAGACAGGTCATTCTCTTGTCTTCCTCTAGCTAGTGGCTTTCATAACTGAAATAGCATCAGTGAAAGCCTGACCTTGTGGAAAGACATAAACGTGCGTGGACCTGGTTATATCTGACCTTGCCCCACTCATGACAATATTTTAATAATAATATATAGTTTCAAATAGCTAGAAGGAGGATATTAAACATTCCCAACACAAAGAAATGAGAAATGTTTGCGATGGTGGATATGTTAATTACCCTGATCTGATCATTATACTTTATATGCATCGAAACATCACCATGTACCCCATGAATGTGTACAATTATTATCTGTCAATTAAAAAAAAAAGTGTCATTTGCTTATCTACAAAAACTCTTTACTACATAGGAGGTACAGCTCCAAACACTCGACATGTATTAACTCATGTAATCCTCCCCCAGTGACCCTATAAGGTGAGTATTATTGTTATTACATCCATGCTACAGAGGTGAAAACTGAGGCACAGGAAGGCAAAGTGACTTGTCTGAGGTCACATGGCTAGGAAGTGGAGCTGTCTTTGGATCTGAGTAGTCTGGCTCTTGAGACCAGGGGTGGTGAACTTTTTCTATAAAGGTTTGGAAAGCATATATTTTAGGCTCTGTGGCCCATATGGTTTCCATCATAACTATTCAACTCTGCTGCGGTAGCACAAAAGCAGACATAGACAAGATGTAAACGAATGGGTGTGACTGTTACAATAAAACTTTATTTAAAAAAACAAGCTGGGGGAGTGGGGAGGGAGCAGATTTGGCCCATAGGATGGATGTAGTTTGCTGACCTCTGCTCTTGACCACTTTGCAATGCTGTCTCCTTGCTCTCAGATATTGAAAGTCCCTTGCCTCAAGGAGCTTATATTCTAATGGCAGAGAAGGGCATAAAAAACTAAGAAACACGCCTGTAATCCCAGCACTTTGGGAGGCCGAGATAGGTGGATCACGAGGTCAGGAGATCGAGACCACCCTGGCTAACACGGTGAAACCCCATCTCTACTAAAAAATACAAAAAAAAAATTAGCCGGGTGCGGTGGCGGGTGCCTGTAGACCCAGCTACTTGGGAGGCTGAGGCAGGAGAATGGCATGAACCCAGCAGGCAGAGCTTGCAGTGAGCTGAGATCGTGCCACTGCACTCCAGCCTAGGCGACAGAATAAGACTCCATCTCAAAAAAAAAAAAAAAAAAAAAACCAAGAAAATAACTAAGAAACATTTCATTTCAGAGAGTGACAAATGTTATGAAGAAAATGAAACATGATGACATTAATGTTAGGGAGATGATAGGGAATGAGGGGACTGTGGCAAACTGAACACCTGAGCCATTTATAGGGGGTGGTTTCTGGGCAGCTGCAGCCAAGTGATGCCATTTGGGATTGTGGGTGCAGCATGCCCAGATCTTCTGATTTTTCAAAAGAAACCAGAAAGCTGGATTTGTATGTGAAATATCCTGATTTTAAATGCTGGCAACAAATTTTAAAAGTAATAAAAAGGATATGTTTAAGGGCCAGGTGTGGCCTGCAGATGCCCTCAGTGTGATGTCTGGCCGAGGAAGGAGCTGGGGTTGGAGGGCAAGTTTGAGGGCTGGGCCAGGGAACTTGGGGCCTTGGTCAGCTCAGTTGGGTTTAGAATGGCCTTTGGAGTTCTGGGTCTGATCCCTTCTCTGCCACTTCCCAGCGTGGTAGTCTTGGGCAGAGCTTGTGTCCTTCTGGGTTGAATGGGGATTACTATGTTTAGCTTGCAGGTTCGTGTTGAAGACCAAGGAGATGACCCATGCAAAGGATCTGACCCAGTGCTATGCATGGGGAGAGAGATTTATTTTATTTTTAATTGTAGAGACAGGATCTATGTTGTCCAGGGTGGTCTCAAACTCCTGGACTCGAGTGATCCTCCTGCCTACTGTAGGTTTCTGATTATGGATTATATGCTACAAACTGAAAGTCATCATAAAAGTAGATACTTCAATTTTGTTTTTTAGCTGTACACATACAAATTTGACAACGAATGAAATGAATCAATTCCTTGAAGACCATAAACTACCCAAACTCACCCAAGATGAAATAACTACCCCTACGAAAACATTGAATTCTGGCGGGGCACGGTGGCTCATGCGTGTAATTCCAGCACTTTGGGAGGCCAAGGTGGGTGGATCACTTGAGGTCAGGAGTTCGAGACAAGCCTGGCCAAACATGGTGAAACTCTGTCTCAACTAAAAATACAAAAATTAGCTGAGTGTGGCGGCGGGTGCCTGTAGACCCAGCTACTCCGCAGGCTGAGGCAGAATAGCTTGAACCCAGGAGGTGGAGGTTGCAGTGAGCTGAGGTTGTGCCACTGCACTCCAACCTGGGCAACAGAGAAAGACTCTGTCTCAAAGAAAACCCAACAACAACAACAACAACAACAACAAACTTGAATTCCTAATTAAAAGCCTCCCAGAAAACAAAAAAGAACTGCAAGGGCTAGATGGTTCCAGGGGAGAATGCTATCAAATATTCCAAAAGAATTAGCACCAATTCTCCACAATCTCTTCAAGAAACTAATGAGGAGGGAACACTTCCAACCCATTCGATGAGGCCAGTATTATCTGGACACCAAAACCAGATGATGACAGTATAAAATTCAAACTCAAGAACTAACAAAAAGTCCTATCTGAATTTCCAAGTAAAAAATATTCATCTTTAGCTATCTCCAGACCGTGTGCGTTCCTTCCAGAGCACTCTCAGTGCCCTTTGGGAAACAGAATCATTCTCGGGCTTGTCTTATGAGGTCAGTAGGGCAAGAACTGCTGTTCCAATTTTACAGACTGAGACCTTAGGAAAAAACTGACTTGTTCCAGGAAGTGGTGGGGATGGGATTTGATCTGGGACCTTTAGACTCCACAGTGTCACATCACCCGGCAGGATTCCAGTCAGAAATGTCACAACAGACACCATGGCAAGAAGCGACTTCCCCACCGCATTGGGCACACGGGCTATGGCAGCACATACCAAGACCAAGCCTGGGCTCAGCGGTCTAACAAAACGTGACTACCCAAGGAGATTCTTTCTTTCTTTCTTTTTAAAAAATTTAGGTAAAATCCATAGCACTGAAAATAAACCCTTTTTTTTGAGATGGGGTCTCACTCTGTTGCCCAGGCTGGAGTGCAGTGGTGCGATCATAGCTCACCACAGCCTTGAACTCCTGGGCTCAAGCGATCCTCCCACCTCAGCCTCCTGAGTAGCTGGGACCACAGGCACACGCCACCATGCCTGGCTATTTTATTTAATTTTTTTTTTGAGGCGGAGTCTTGCTCTGTCATCCAGGCTGGAGTGCAATGGCACAATCTTGGCTCACTGCAACCTCTGCCTCCTGGATTCAAACAATTCTTCTGCCTCAGTCTCCTGAGTAGCTGGGTCTACAGGTGTGTGCCACCATGCCCCGGCTAATTTTTGTACTTTTAGTATAGACGGGGTTTCACCATGTTGGCCAGGCTGGTCTCAACTCCTGACCTCAGGTGATCCGCCCGCCTTGGCCTCCCAAAGTGCTGGGATTACAGGCATGAGCCACTGTGCCCGGCCTATTTTACTTATTTTTCTTTCTGTAGCGACAAGCTCTTACTATGTTGCCCAGGCTGGTCTCAAACTCCTAAGCTCAAGCTATCCTCTCACCTCAGCCTCCTGAAATGCTGGGATTACAGGTGTGAAAATGAACCACTTTAAAGTGAACACTTCAGTGGAATCTAGGGTACAATGTTGTGCACCCACCACCTCCACCTAGGTCCAAAACATTTTCATCACCCTAAAAGGAAACTCTGTACCCAAGAAGCACTTACTCCCCATTCCCCACTACCCCCAGTCCCTAGTAACCAACAGTCTTCATTCTGGCTCTAAGGATTGACCTCTTCTGGGTATTTCATATAAACAGTCATACAAATATGACCTTCTGTATCTGGCTTCTTTCACTTGACATAAGTGTGTTGTAGCATGTATCAGTACCCCATTCCTTTTCATAGCTGAATCATATTCCACGAGTATGACTATCCTATGATTTATCCATTCATCCATTGATGGTCATTTCCACTCCGAGACTGCATATTTCTGCTTTGAATTAGGCCCCACTGGGAGACATCCATTGGAGCTTTTCCCCATCTGCCATCGGAGGGGCCTGAAAGTTCACGAATTCACAGAGGAAGTGTGGGAAGCAGGCATGGTGAGGGGACACCTCCTATTTCCCTGTCAAAGTCAACCCCAAATACAATGGCGTTGACACCTTCCTGCCGTTTAGCAGGTGACACCTCATCACCAGCAATCTTTGGACGCTGGAAGAACACTATTGTTGGGAAATAAGTAGTGTAAAAAGTGCAGGTGAGTAGTTGGAGGGGAGACGGCTTCTCAACCTGCTAGTTAAGTGTAAAGGAAAATTGTTCCCATTATGTAGGTTCCCAGAGTGCCTGGGATTTTTTTCAGCACTTATCATCGTGAGCAGCAAGCTCTATATTTACAGAAGACAAAGGAGCTTCTTACTCCAACCCAGCTGACAATTTGTTGTAGGTTTTGCATGGAGGATTTAAATCCCTCTCCTTTTTCTTTCCTTTCAGATGCCCTTCAGCATTCACTGAGAGGTGGGGCAAGAAAGCGGGGGAAGTTGGCGAAGGAAGTCTGGGGAAGCAGTCTGTGTTTGTTAAATCTGTGGGCGGAAAATTAGGCATAGTCAGGAGACTTAACTCGCTCAGAACTCTCAACCCAAGTTGAGTGATTCTATAAGGAAATGGTCTCTCTCAAAGCGGCCGAGAGCACAGGGCTTCAAAGAAAGTCTCTGCTAATGAGCACTTTTCTGACAACCCCAAACCATCTTTAAAATATATTTTATGTTGGAAATAATCCTTTAATGCTGTAAAATACATAAGCGGGGGTACTTGGCATGAAGGTCCCTGGCTTAGGGAAGCATCATTATAAGGGATTAAGCCAACAAAGGGTACCACCCCCATCCAACACCTCAAACAATGTCATTCACCTCCGGGACATCTCTCAAGGCTGTTCCAACTTCTTCCTCACCCACCCCCGCCAAAATGACAACTGCAGATGTTTGCTTCTTGCCCTCACTCCTTACAGGATGGGACAGAGTGACTAGTGAGGTCACTCTCCTTCTCCCAGCCGTGCTGCAAAGAAAATAATCACTGCTGGAGAAGCCCAATCAAAGTCATCCTTTCTTTATTAGCCACAAAGACTAAACACCTTTTACTCAGCTGAAAAGAGAGAGGGAAGGGGGAAGAGAGATTTAAATACAAGGTTTAACCCCCAGTGGGGGAAAGAAATCTCCGACTTCCTCAGAAAATCCTTTTCAAATTGTATTCATCTTGACTTAATCCACATCTACCAAGTGAATGAGGCAGTATTTATTTTGAGAATCTATTTTATAGAGTTCCAAGGACTCTGTTTTCCTTGGGCAGGGCTTCCTCTCCGTTTCAGAGCTACAGGCTCCTGCAAGGGTCTGGCCAGGCCTTTAAACTTCCAAGGTGCTCGCCTCACATGACCAAGAAAATGTAAATAAACACAGCTGAGCTCAGGAGAAATTGGAAGGTTTTCTCGTTAAAGAAATAAAATAAACAGATGTCCTTAAGCACTTTGGCTTGTGTTTGTCACAGGATGGAAAGCTCTAGCTGTATGAACGGCAGAAATGAATTACAGCTACATTTCAAGGTAGAAGGGGGAAAAGGAAGAAAAGGAAAGAATCTGTGGTCCTCTGAATTAACTAATAGTCCTCGAGAGAGGGCACTTTTGATTTGAACCTTAGCAACTTCTACAAATAGTTTTTAACTGCTGCGTCATAAAACCGGGTTTTCTTTTTCTTTTTCTTTTTATTTCTTCTCAGTTTGTAAAGCAGTAACAGACAGGCCAAGCCGCCTATCGCCAACTGGATCTGATTGAATCCCTACAGTCCTGTGCTGGGTTCTGGATTCCGGAATCCAAGCCGGAATCACGTAATAACACCCGCGGAGGAATCGGGGAGGACTGTGGTGGAACGGAGAGGGCAGAGGAGCCGGTCGAGGAGCTGTGGAGATCAGGTCATGCTCTCTCGACCTGGCCTCTGGATCTGCAAGAAAAGCCAACACCAGGTGAATTCGGGGCTCCATCTCACCTCACAGATGAATGTGTGAAAGGATGGCCTGGGGATGGAGTTAAATGCAGATGCTTGGCTGGGTGCGGTGGCTCATGCCTGTAACCCCAGCACTTTGGAAGGCCCAGGCGGGCGGATCATTTGAGGCCAGGAGTTCGAGACCAGCCTGGCCATCGTGAAACCCCGTCTTTACTAAAAATACAAAAATTAGCTGGGTGTGGTGGCGTGCGCCTGTGGTCCCAGCTACTGGGGAGGCTGAGGCAGGAGAATGGCTTGAACCCAGGGGGCAGAGGTTGCAGTGAGCCGAGATCGCACCACTACACCACTGCACTACCGCACTGAAGTCTGGGTGACAGAGCAAGACTCTGCCTCAAAAAAAAAAAAAAAAAAAATGCAGATGCATGTTCAGTGAGTCTACAGCGGGGTCTGAGACTCTGCATTTCTGCCAGCTACCTGGTGATGCCAGACCGCCCTTCAGTAGCCAGGAGACTTATGTCACAGCAGGGCTCTACTAAGAGGAGTTTCCATCCCTGCAGCAGCAATCATGGAGTCCCAGCATTCATACATCCTCGATGTCTTAGTTTGGGTCTCCCAGGATGCTGACCCAGAGCCAAAGATTCACATGCAGGTGGTTTTTCTGGGAGGTGATCTCAGGAAGGGCTGTTGACACAGTGGGAGCGTGAGAGTGGAGGGGAAGGAAGGGTGGGTCAATGAGCAGGTCAATGCCTGGGCCACTGGGGCTCTGTCCCTCTGGGACACTGCCCAACGCACTGCAGAGGGTCACAGGTGCCTGCAGAGGGACATCGTCACACCCAAAGGAGCAGAGTGCTACGGGAATAATGGGGGAGGGGAGATTGACAGAATCTGTTATAATGAGGTTTCAATTCCAGCCTTTTAAGAAGGATGGTGGGCCGGGCGCAGTGGCTCATGCCTATGATCCCAGCACTTTGGGAGGCTGAGGTGGGTGGATCACCTGAGGTCAGGAGTTCGAGACCAGCCTGGCCAACATGGTGAAACCCAGTCTCTACTAAAAATACAAAAATTAGCTAGGCGTATTGGCAGGCGCCTGTCATCCCAGCTACTCGAGAGGCTGAGGCAGGAGAATCGCTTGAACTAGCCAGGCGGAGGTTGCAGTGAGCCAAGATTGCACCACTGCACTCCAGCCTGGGCAATAAGAGCGAAACTCCATCTCAAAAAAAAAAAAAAAAAAAAAAAAGAAGGATGATGATGTTATTCTATAATCAAATAATCACACCCAGAAATAAATAATTGCAACTGTGCTACTATGAGCACTGTGGTGCTATGAACCATCAGTAGGAGGTTTTTAACCAACTTGGAAAGATTGGGAAGCGTCCCTAAGGATACCACACTGGACAGGCAACACTGGTTAGACTAAGGGAGGGTAGGAAGAGTGTTCTGGGCAGAGCAACAGTGTGTGCAAAGGCCCTGTGGTGGGAAGTGCATGTGAGCAGGAGGCTGCAGCAGTGCTGGGGGTGGGTGAAAGAGATCAAGGTGAAAGTTGGCAAGGTTGGCAGGGGCTGGACCGCCCGGGGCCTGGAAAGTCATGGCAAAGAGTTTGCCTTAAGGGCAGTGAGCATCACTGCAGGGTTCTCCACCGGGTGAGGATGGAGAAGGTGGCACAATCCCATTTGCCTCTTGAAGCAGTTGTTTGGCTGCCCAATAGGCTGAGGGTGGTGGAGGCAGAGGGGAAGCAGGGAGGCAGCTGTCCAGACCCGTGGAGAGGGCGGAGGAGGCTGAAATGAAGGAGGTGGTGGGGGAGCTGGAGAGAAGGGGATGGGATTCAAGAGACAGACACAGCAATGATGATGGTTGGCGTATGGGTCAGTTAAGAGAGTTACGTGAGCATAAGACGGGTGACCTGACTTACTCTGGGGGACCCTCGAGGAAGTAACTTCTGAACTGTGTTATGAAAGAAAAGCTGAGCCTCCCAGTGAATAACAGGAGTAAAAAAGAAGGATGAAGAATATTCTAAGAATTCAGAATAGCATACGCAGAGGCCCAGACAGTTGGGAATTTGATGCCCTGGGTGAGCAAAGGCACCTGTATGGCCAGGGAAGACGGCTGAAGACGGCAGCGATGAGCTGGGCAGGGGGTCCTTGGGAGCAGTCTGCTTCCCTGGCAGCAAGAGGGGGTCATTGCAGGGCCTGATTTGCATTTTCAAGCAATCCCTCTGGCAGGTGGGAGAAGGGTAAGGTGGTGGGCAGTTGGGAGGTGGGCAGGAGGCCCCACCTGTGAGCAAATTTGGCTATGAAGACCCTTCAGCTGCTTGCCTCGGCATGCCCGAAAGTATCTTTGTGAGTCCATTCTTGCATTGCTATAAAGAAATATCTGAGCCAGGGTAATCTATAAAGAAAAGAGGTTTAATTGGCTCACAGTTCTGCAGGCTGTATAAGCACAGCACAGGCAACTGCTGAGCTTCTGGGGAGGCCTCAGGGAGCTTTTATTCATGGCAGAAGGCCAAGTGGGAGCAGGTACTTCACCTGGCAAAAGCAGGAGCAAGAGGGGGAGAGTGGCGGAGAAGTGCCACACACTTTTAAATGACCAGATCTCACAAGAACTCACTATTGTGAAGCCATGTGGGATCCTCACAAGCCATGAGGGATCCGCACCCATGATCCCAACACCTCCCACCAGGCCCCACTTCTAGCACTGGGGATTATAATTTAACATGAGACTGGGGCAGGGATCAAATATCCAAACTCTCTCAGTGTCTTTGATAGAGGCCAAAGCTTTATTATTATTATTATTATTTGAAGGAGTCTTGCTCTTGTGGCCCAGGCTGGAGTGCAATGGCACGATTTCGGCTCACTACAATATCCATCTCCTGGGTTCAAGTGATTCTTTTGCCTCAGCCTCCTGAGTAGCTGGGATTACAGGCGCACACCACCACTCTCGGCTAATTTTTGTATTTTTAGTAGAGACGGGGTTTCACCATGTCGGCCAGGCTGGTCTCGAACTCCTGACCTCAGGTGATCCACCAGCCTCAGCTTCCCAAGTGCTGGGATTACAGGCATGAGCCACCGTGGCCGGCCAAGGCTGAAGCTTTTCATGCCTTCTGAAGAGGAAAGGCTAAAAACGTCACCCTTAAAGGGGGACAGAAAACCCTGTGTGAAAGACCTTTTCCAGAGGCTTTTAGTGCAGGCACTTCAGCGAGGTGAGCCTCAGGGTTCTCATCTGTGACATGGGCATTCACCTGCCCTGCCCCCAGGGATGAGAGGATGGTGTGTTTCTGTAGCCATCACACCAACAGGTGTCTTATACAGAGCCTTTGAGGCTGCCTGTGAGTTCTGCCCATTCTCCCCCGACAGAAGAGCTGACTCATGAGTCCAAGAGTCATGGAACAAACAGATATCTGTGTGGATGGTCACTAAAAAGGCAAGTCAGGGAACATGTGGTGATCCCAGCCACTGCTACTTTGAATGACACCTAGTTCCATTTAAATAAGAAACCCCAGAAGCACAGTGGAGATCTCCCCCTTGAAACCACAGCATATCCACAAAAAAAAAAAACCCATCTAGGAATTTGATGTGGGCTCAGCTGTGTCTGAGGCAGTGATTCACTCTGAAAAGCAGAAACATTATGGTCTGTGTGTCTCAGGAGAGTGGGTTTCCCTTAAGGAGGGGTGTGCTGGTGGCAGATGCTGGGCATTTCTCTCTCTGGAGAAATCTCAGCCTGGGAATGACCTTTGCAGTGGGTGAATACAAAGTGTGTGATCTGAGGTTCGTTTCTAAGCTCCAGGCTACAGCGCTACCCACCTTTCAGAGCAGACAGCCCCGAGTGTGGATGTGGAGGCTGGCTCTGCTCCTGGCATGAGCACCCATGGTTTCTGCCTCTCATCCATTCTCATTCTTTCTGCTAAAAGCTCCTTAGGTTCCTCATGGGGAACTGCCTGCCCCCACTGCAGGTGGCTTGGTGGGCTGTCCATCAAGGTGTCTAACCCTGCTTAGCTGAGAGGTGGGCACAGGTCCCAGGCACAGCCGATCAGCCCCTCTCTCCTGGGACTGAAGCAATTCAAGGATGAAACAGCAGCTGTAAGGCCTAAAGGTGCCACCTCATCACTCCTGCTCCTTGGGAGCCCCAACTTTTCCTCCATTCTTCTCCTGGATCCTGAAAACTCCCTCATACCCTCCCAATCAATTTCCTTGTGGTTAAGTTAGCCACAGCTAGCCTTTGTTGCATTTGGACGTAAAATCTGCCAGTTGCGGTGGCTCACACCTGTAATCCCAGCACTTGGGGAGGCTGAGGTGGGCGTATCACTTGAGGTCGGGGGTTCAAGACCAGCCCGGTCAACATGGTGAAACCCCCACCTCTACTAAAAATACAAAAATTAGCCGGGCGTGGTGGTGCATGCTTATAATCCCAGCTACTAGGGAGGCTGAGGCAGGAGGATCGCTTGAACCTGGGAGGCAGTGGTTGCAGTGAGCCAAGACATCACCACTGCACTCCAGCCCGGGTGACAGAATAAGACTCCGTCTCAAAAAAAAAAAAAAAAAAAAAAAAAAA
Source organism: Homo sapiens (assembly GCF_000001405.40). Taxonomy (NCBI): domain Eukaryota; kingdom Metazoa; phylum Chordata; class Mammalia; order Primates; family Hominidae; genus Homo; species Homo sapiens. The sequence goes on along the minus strand of NC_000020.11, from coordinate 47,112,862 downwards.
GGAGTGAACATGAAATCTAACTTTTGGAGCCATTCCCTGCTTCTGGAGCCTCAGGCAAGTCCCTCAACTTCCCTGGAACTGTTTTCTCTTTTGCAAAATAAGAAGAGTAACAATAATTCCTGATTTATTCACCTCAAGAAGGTGGTTGTGGAATTAAGACAAATAATGTAAGAATGAACTGTAAACTCCCAAACGTGCCTAAGTGCTTTTTTTTTGGCCTAGTTTTGAAGTCTCAGCTGATACTTCCTTTTACAGGAAGTCTTCCTTGACTATCTGAGCCATGCAGATACCTTCTTTCTCCAATCTATGCCTAATCTCTCCTCTCAGCAAGGAGCTGATCAGATATAGTCTTGCATAACTCATTCTTTTATATGCATAATATAATCAAGTTAAATCATTTAATTTTTAATAGTTTTAATTTTTGTCAAATGCTCAAAAAGTTCCACAAGGCTTGTTATAAGACTGCAGTTTCCCTGACACACCCTCTCATGCCCCCTTTGTCACCACCTTCAACTCTTTCCTTCATTCATTATCTTGATACTCACTGCCCTGTCTCTAAATTGCATGGTTATAATTACATGGCTTTTTGATTTTTCACTTTGAGGCATTATTTGATCCCACTATGGGCAATGTGGATTTTCTTCTTGCTACCTTTACCGCACATATGTATCCTTCTCATTCTCTTTTCCTCCTAAATAGTCATGGCTTTGTTTGTTTGCTTGAGACAGCGGTCTTGCTCTGTTGGCCAAACTGGAGTGCAGTGGTGCCACCTCGGCTCACTGCAGCCTCTAACTCCTGGGCTCAAGGGATCCTTCAACCTCAGCCTCCGGAGTAGCTAGGACTACAGGTGCACACCACCACGCCTGGCTAATTTTTTGAAAAAAAAATTTTTTTTTGTACAGATGGGATTTTGCTGTTTTGCCCAGGCTAGTCTCAAACTCCTGGGCTCAAGTGATCTGCCCACCTCGGCTTCTCAAAAGTGAATGGTTTTTATTGGGCTACTAGTCAGAGTTCACGCTGCTGTGATTACTGCATAGGCTGACTGCCTTGATGACTCAATGTCCTTACATCTTCACCCTCTGAAGTGTGATAGTAAAGCTTCTCCCTTCAAGAGGTGGGGTTACTGCTCTGTTTAAATCTGGGCTGGCTTATGTTTACTTTTGCTGACAGAATGCAGCAGAAATGATCTGGGCTCGTTTCTAAGCCCCAGGGTACAGTGCTGCCCACTTTTCACAGTGTGCCAGTTCCAAATGGCACGCCAGTTCCAAATGGAGGACTAAAGACGGGTCTCTCTCCTTGAAAGGAACACTTCTTAGGCCACGAGGAAAAGCCTGGACTTGCCTGCTGGAGGATGAGAGACCCCATGGAGCAGAGACAGGTTGTCCCAGCTCAGGCCATTCTCTACCAGCTGATCTGCCAGCTGACCCTGCAGACACATGCAAGAGCCCAGTCTAGCTCAGTAGAACCTCTCTGCCAACTCAAAATCTCATGGGCTGAATAATAAATGCTTATTGTTTTATGCCACTAAGTCCTGGGGTGATTGTTTTGTAGCTAACTGATAACACAGCTAAGCCAGGTAGTAAACTATGATCACTTCTCATGCCTTTTGTTTTCCGTTGGAGTAAATAATGATCTTTTAAAAATCCTCTCAATGCATTCAGATGTACCAGGTATTTTACCAATTTCACTTCTTCAAGATGTCTTTCTCAGCACCTTCTGACCTACTTCAATTAGGACCAACTGCACCTGTCATTTATTCTCTGGAAGCCAGAGTCAATGGGAAAATGCCTTAAAACTATGAAGGAAAATTATTATTTCCAAACAAAAATTCTATACCCAGCCAAACTGCCATGAAGGACAGTAGAACAAAGACATTTTCAGGAAGGAGGGGATGGATGCAATGTCTGAAAACAAAATTGTGAAGCCTTTGCTGAGACCCTGCTGTGGGCCAGGCTCTAGGTGAGGCCAGGCTAGGGGGCATGGAGCATCTCAGTCTGAGACAGAGGCTGCCAGGCCCCTGCTTGTCACACACGTGGCTGTCTGCTCCCTTGTGGGTGAATGCCCTGGAATCTTATTTCTGCTGTATTTGCCATCACACAAGTGAAAACTCCCTACCTGGCAGCCCTTTGTTTATTTGTTTATTCAACAAATATTTGTCCAGTGGAGGTGCCAGGTACTGTGCTGGGTATTGGGATAAAGCTGTGAACACATCAGACCCAGTCCCTGTGCTCCACGAGCTAAGAGGCAGCAGAAGAGTTCATTCCAGAGGCTTTTAATTTTTACCCTCGAGACAGTCACATGGATCACTAGGGACATGTTACGTGGTTAAGAGCAGTGGAGCGGCCGGACATGGTGGCTCACGCCTGTAATCACAGCACTTTGGGATTTAAGCCCAGGAGTTCGAGACCAGCCTGGGGAAAGTGAGATCCCTGTCTCACAAAAAAACATAAAAAATTAGCTGGGCATGGTAGTGCATGTCTGTGGTCCCAGCTACACAAGAGGCTGAGCTGAGAGGATTGCTTGATCCCAGGAAGTTGAGGCTGCAGTGAGCCGTGTTTGCACCACTGTGCTTCAGCGAGTGACAGAGTGAGACCCTGTCGCAGAAAAATAAAATAAAAAATAAATTAAAGAGCAGTGGGCCACTTCCTGGCTTTCATCCCTCCTAAGCTGGGTGACCTTGACTAAGTCACATCACCTCTCTGGGCCTCAGTTTCTCTGGAAATGAGTATAAAGGGAGCAGCTGGGCCTTATAGATTCATGGTGGGGATTAAATGAGAGAGAGGGTGTAAAGCTCAGAGCAGTCCATAAAGGTTGCTCGTCACAGCTCTGTCTGTGCTGATGCGGAGCTGAGGAAGCCTGAGTGTCCTCCCTGAAGAGAGTGCCATAAGGAAGACCTGGAGGACCTGGGACTATGCAGCGGTCAGATGCAGGCCCCCAGCCACAGCACTATGGACCCGGAGGGCCCAATCATCCTTTATTGTGGGGCCATCCTGTGCATTGTGGGATGTGTAGCAGCATCCCTGGCTTCTACCCACTAGATGCCAGTAGTATCCCATTCCCCAAAAATGGGGAATGTCAAATGTCCCCTGGGGGCCAAAACTTCCTCTGGTTAAAAACTATTGTGTTAGAGTGATAGAGTTGTATGTATGGCAATGTGGGAGGATCTAAAACCATAGTGCAGGCAGGGTGTGGTGCCTCATGCTTGTAATCCCAGCACTTTGGGAGGCTGAGGCAGGAGGATTACTAGAGCCCTGGAGTTCGAGACTAGCGTGGGCAACATGACGAGACCCCTGTCTCAGAAATAAATAAGTGAAACCATAGCACAGAGGGAGAAAGGTAAGAAACACAGGGTATTTAAACAATGTCACCTATACACATAAGAAATAAATGCACACAAAAAGAGAATGTATATGTTACAGGAAACAAACAAAAGGCTATACACTGAGCTATATAGGGAGGGGAGGGAAAGGAGCACAAATAGGTTTAAAAGGAAACACATTGGTAGTACCTACGTGAAACAAGAAAGGGGCCTTGTGTGGACAAAGAATATGAATAACTCAAGCTGTGCCTTTGAGGCTTAACTTAAGAAAATAATAAAATTGATAGTGAGTGCTTGGTGTATAGGAAATGTGCAGTAAAGCTTGAGGAATTTGTTCAGGAGGAATTGGCTGGTTGCCAACAGGGGTAGAAGCAATCAGGTCTCTTCAGGGGGAGACCCTGGATGGAAAACAGGGCATCTTTGCAGCTTGGTGGTGAGAATTAGGACTCCCTTTACCTTCTTTATCTGTGGCTGGTCTGCCTTCAAAATATACCCAGCCTACTGTGCTCCTCCCCGCCTGCATCTCCACTCCCTGGGTGGAGAGAACGGTAAACTGAGAAAGACCAGTTCAGTCTTTCAGATAAACTGGTGCAGTAGCCTCCTCACCCATCGCCAGGATTCCAACCTGGCCACTTTCTACTCTCCTCTCCCCGGGGAGAGCCAGAGGGGCTCCTTAAGAATGGAGCTCAGGCTGGATGCAGTAGCTCACGCCTGTAATCCCAGCACCTTGGAAAGCTGAGGGGGGAGGATCGCTTGAGCCCAGGAGTAGAGACCAGCCACTGAGACCCTCGTCTCTCAAAAAAAATTAGCTGGGCACAGTGGTGTGCACCTGTAGTCTCAGCTACTTGGGAGGCTGAGGTGAGAGGACTGCTTGAGCCCAGGAGGTTGAGGTTGCAGTGAACTATGATCATGCCACTGCACTCCAGCCTGGGTGACAGAGCAAGACCCTGTCTCTAAAATAAATAAATAAAAAATAAAGATAAATAAGAATGGAACTCAGATTCCATCTTCATCCATTTGTGTTGCTATAAAGGAATATCTGAGGCTAGGGAATTGATAAAGAAAAGAGGTTTATTTGGCTCACAGTTCGGCAGGCTGTACAAGAAGCATGGCAACAGCATCTGCATCTGGTGAGGCCTCAGGCTGCTTCCACTCATGGTGGAAAGCAAAGGGGAGCCAGCATGTGCAGATCACATGTGGAGAGAGAGGAAGAGAGAGAGTGGAGGGAGCTGCCAGGCTCTTTTCAACAACGAGTTCTCACGGGAACTAAGAGAACTCACTCACTCCTGCAAGAATGGCACCAAGCCATTAATGAGGGATCCACCTCCAGGATCCAAACACCTCCCTTTAGGCCCCACCTTCAACAATGGGGATGAAATTTCAACATGAGACTTTGTGGGGCTCAACAAACCATACTGAAACCAGGGCAGACTCTGTCCTTCTACTCCAAATCTCTACCAGCTCCAACTTAAGAGTCAGTCTGCTGTGCTCCAGCCACACTGGCCTCCTTGCTGTCCCTCAAACTCCCCAGGCACACTTCTGCTGCAGGGCCTTTGCATGTGCCATTCCCTCTGCCCTTCCACCAGATTTCTGTTCCTCCACTTCCTTCAGGCCTTATTCAAAATTTAGCTTCTCTGTGTGGCCTCCTTCCCTGGCCACATTTTTCTCAAATTTAATTTCAACTTCTCTTTTTCTCTGGATTATTATTTCTTCTTATTTCTTCTTCTTTCCCCTTCCCTTCCCTTCCTTCTTCCTCTTCCTCTTCCTACTTCTTCTTTCTTCTCCTTTTTCCTTCTCTCTTCTTCTTTTTCTTTTCTTCTTCTTCTTCTTCCTTCTTCTCTTTTGTTTTTTCTTTCTCTCTTTCTTGTTTTAGAGACAGGGTCTCATGTTGTCCAGGCTGGTCTTGAACTTCTGGCCTCAAGCAATCCTCCTGCCTCAACCTCCCAAAGTGCTGGGATTACAGGGGTACACCACCATGCCTGGCCTTGCATTTCTTTCTTTCTTTTTTTTTTTTTTTTGATACAGAGTCTCACTCTGTTGTCTAGGCTGGAGTACAGTGGCATGATCTAGGCTCACTGCAACCTCTGCCACCTGGGTTTAAGTAACTCTCATGCCTCAAGCCTCCCAGATAGCTGGGACTACAGGTGCCCACCACCACGCCTGGCTAATTTTTGTATTTTTAGTAGAGATGGGGTTTCACCATAACGGGCAGGCTGGTCTCGAACTCCTGGCCTCAAGTCATCCACTTGCCTCAGCCTCCCAAAGTGCTGGGATTACAGGCGTGTGTCACTGTGCCTGGCCACTTGCATTTCTATGTGTCTTGCTTATCATCTTCCTTCCTCTCCCCAAGGATATCAGCTCCATGAGGGCAGAGTTTTTAATGGACTTTGTTCCCTGCCGCATCCCCAGGGCCTAGAACAGTACACCTGGCATGCAGGAGGCACTTGATAAATATTTGTTGAATAAAATGAGAAAATGCACACATTTCTATGGAGACCACTAATGGTATCTTGGTGGGTTGATTCACGGGTTTGTTGTGCCTCCCATCACCGTGACAACTGCAAATTCCTCCCTTTTCCAAACACTCCCTTCTACTCCAGTTCGCTCCCTCAAGGATCTGATGTATCCGCCAACAAGAACATGGGCGAGATGTGAGTTGTTACTCTCTGCTCCCTCAGTTCCCTGTTTTCCAGCCTCCCATTCATAAGGTAGCAGATTTTGAGCTTTTTGGCCTTGGGATGCTGAGCGAGTGGCACTGGTTTCTTGTCCTGACTTCCAACAACTGAAGGATGGAAGGGGGTTTTCAGAGGCCTCCCTACCCTGCCACGTGTGCCAGGAAGCAAAACCTAAGAGAGTGACAGTCTGGGCTAGGGGGTCAGGCAGATAGGACCATAGCCAGCCTCACTGAGATTCCAGATCCCACCAGACCTGAAGCACCCCTAGGGACAGGAACCAGATACATGTCAGCAGTGTCGTAAGTGGACAGAGGACTCGTGGGTCCATGGACTCTCACCCAATCCCTGGGTGCTTTGTGAGCTCCCTGGAAGTCTGATATAACCTGGTGAGGAAGGAAAAAGAACCCAGCAGAACAAAGGCTGCAAGTAGGAATTCCATTGCGTTACAGAAAACCAAAATTCTATTTCATGCATGCTGTGTGGGTTGAGATCTCTCCCTGCTACTAACACTTAAAATACTCCCTTGATTACAGTCATGTAATCAACAAACGTTTACTGAGCTCCTACCATGTGCCAGGCCCTGTGCTAGGTCCGGGGGCTACAGCTGGGAGGCAGACCACCCTGGTGCTTGCCATTCCAGGCCAAGCCACAGGGCCTGAGGCAAGAGGAAAAATGTGGCCCCTACATACACTTATCAAAACATTTTTCTGTATTTTGACTCAAGTGGAAAAAGTTAATAAAAGCTCTACAGTAAAAAACAAAAACAAAAACAAAAAACAAAACACAAAAGATGACTATATATTAAAGCCTCTCGTTGGCCAATCTGTTCCTGCCATTGCCAAGGCTCATAAACCTGCCCTGTGGAGAGGTAACAGTCACTCAGGCCAGGGAGTCAGGGGCTGATTGGAAACTGTTCCCATTGCACAATAACGCAGGGCAGTAACACACACAACCATCTGTCTTTGTTTACATTTTGATTTTCTTTCATGATCGATTTTTTGGCATCAATTTTGATTTGTAAAATATTGCATTAAAATATGATTGAGCTTGATTACTCTGTTTCTCAGTACCCACTTAAATTTTGTGCCTACAAAAGGCTAATCCTGGCCCTGGTGCTTGTTTTCATAGAGTTTACATTCAAATGTGTGTGTGTTGGAGAGGGCAGGTAATAAATAATACATATTTAACGCATCAGGTGGTTTGATGAGGAAACATTTGGGCAGGTTCCTTTTTTTTTTTTTTTTGGGACAGAGTCTTGCTCTGTCGCCCAGGCTGGAGTTCAGTGGCGTGATCTCAGCTCATTGCAACCTCCGCCTCCCAGGTTCAAGTGATTCTCCTGTCTCAGCCTCCTGAGTAGCTGGGATTACAGGTGCCTGCCATCATGCCCAGCTAATTTTTGTGTTTTTAGTAGAGACAGGGTTTCATCATGTTGGACAGGCTGGTTTCGAACTCCTGGCCTCAAGTGATCTGCCTGCCTCAGCTTCCCAAAGTGCTGGGATTACAGGCATGGGCCACCACGCCCAGCCACTGGGCAGATTCGTGAATAAAGGAGCCATGTAGAAAATGGGGAGATGGGCATTCCTGGCACAGGGAACAACAGCAAGTGCAAAGGCTATGTTAAAACCACAAAAAATAAAACCAATGGAGATGCCAATTATAAAGGTCAAGACTGGTCATAAGAACAAAGGTGGAGGACTCCTACTTTCCATTTTTGAAACTTACTACAAAGCTACAGTAATCAAGACAGTGTGGTACTGGCATAAGGGCATACATACAGATCTATGGGATAAAATGAAGAGTCAAGAAATAAACATATTTACGGCCAATTGATTTTTTAAAAAAATTTTTGAGATAGAGTCTGGCTCTGTCGCCCAGGCTGGAGTGCAATGGCATGATCTTGGTTCACTGCAGCCTCCACCTCCCGGGTTCAAGGAATTCTCATGCCTAAGCCTCCCAAGTAGCTGGGATTACAGACGTGCACCATCTCATCTGGCTAATTTTTGTATTTTTAGTAGAGATGGAGTTTCACCATGTTGGCCAGGCTGGTCTTGAACTCCTGGCCTCATGTAATCCACCTGCCTGGACCTCCCAGAGTGCTGAGATTACAGGTGTGAGCCACTGCACCTGGCTGCCAATTGATTTTCTGACAGGATGTTGAGACAATTCAGTAGGGGAAAGAAGAGTCTTTTCAACAAATGCTACTGGGACGACTTGATAGTCATAGGTAAAACAATGAGGTTGCACCCCTGCCTCACATCATACACACAAATTAACTCAAAATGGATCACAGACCTAAATGTAAGAGCTAAAATGAGAAAATTCTTAGAAAAAAGTGCAGGAGTAAATCTCTGTGACCTAGGTTAGGCAATAGGGTCTCAGATATGACACCAAAAGCAAAAGTAACCAAAGAAAATATACATAAATTGCACTTCATAAAAATAAAAAGCTTGGTATTTCAAAGGATACCACAAAGAAAATGGAAAGACAACTCACAGAATGAGAGAGAAAATATTTGCAAATCACATATCTGATAATAGACTGGTATCCAGATATATAAAAACTCTTATAATGATATAAAGACAAACCAATTAAAAATGAGCAAAAGATTTGAATAAATATTTTTCCAAAGAAGATATACAAATGGCCAATAAGCACATAAAAACATCACTAGTCACTTGTCAACATTATTAGGGAAATGCCAATCAAACCCACAATGAGATACCACTTCATACTTACTAGGACTATAGCCAAAAAGGCAGACAATAACATATTGATGAGGATGTGGAGAAATTGGAGCCATTTTACATGGCTGATGGGAAGGTAAAATGATACAGTCACTTTGGAAAATAATCTGGCTGTTCCTCAAAAGCATTAAACCTAGAGTTACCATGTGGCCCAGCAATTCTACTCCTAGGCATATACCTAAGAGAATTAAAAACATATGCACATGCAAATACTTGTATGCCAATGTTCATAGCAGCATTATTCATAATGGCCCAAACTTCAACTATCCAACTGATAAATGGATAGACAAAATATAGTTTATCCATGAACTGTGATATGGTCTGGCTCTGTGTCCCCACCCAAATCTCATCTTGAATCATAATCCAAATTGTAATCCCCTTGTGTTGGTGGAGGAACCTCGTGGGAGGTGATTGGATCATAGGGGTGGTTTCCCCCATGCTGTTCTTGTGGTGGGTGGGTGGGTTGTCACTATGTCTGATCGTTTTACAAGGGGCTCTTCCCCCTACACTCTGAACTTTCTCTCTCCTACTGCCTTGTGAAGAAGGAAGTGTTTGCTTCCTCTTCTGCCATGTTCGTTAACTTTCCTGAGGCCTCTCCAGCCACGCAGAACTGTGAGATGATTTAACCTATTTCCTTTATAAATTACCCAGTCTTGAATATTTGTTTATAGCCATGTGAAAATGGACTAATACACAATGGAAAATTATGTGGCCATAAAAAGGAATGGAGTACTGATACATGCTACAACACGGATGATCACACGTACTGTGTGATTCCCTTTATATGAAATATCCAGAAGAGGCAAATCTGTAGAGAAAGAAAGTAGATTAGTGGTTGTCAGGGGCCAGGGGGAGAAGGAAATGGCAGGGGTGACTGCTAGTGAGTATAGGGTTTCTTTTTGGGGTGATGAAAATATTCTAAAATTAGAGTGGTGATGGTTGTACAACTCTGTGAATATACTAAAAATTACTGAATTGTACACATCGAAAGGGTAAATTATGATATGTAGATTGTATCTCAATAAAATTGTTATTAACAACAACAACAACAACAGGTCCTGGAGTTGAGCTTCATATTGGTAGTGGGCTGCCTAGAAGGCAAGGCACAAAAGGAGGAGTCAGGGCAACTCCCCATGAATCCCTGGAGGAAAGCTGACTAATTTCTTTTAGAATCCCTTCCTGGCCACAGGCAAAGGCTCTTGACCACCTTGCATTTGCCTAATACCAGCTGGAAAAAAACAGAGTTCAGAGACTGCGGAGGAGGGTGGTAGGGGAAGGGAGGGGTTAGGAAAGAGGCAGCAGTCACTGGCTGCTCCAGCTCTCTAGGGAATTTCTAATGGATCCACAAGATGCTGGGAGATACAGCTACCAAAGGGATGTTCTGGCTCTGAGCACTGGGGAGGAAGAAATGGAAAGGAAGTGAAGAGATGACAGCCTCAAGCAGCACATCCCTTGATTGGGAACAGAACGGGAGCCCAGTTTCTGTCTTAAAATTCAAACAACCTATTTTGAATCATTCCCCAATCATTTTAGCTTTGTTGGGCTTAGTTCCCCCAAAAAACAGCAAGTCCCCACTCTGGCTGGTACTATTAATGATTTTGGCTTCCTGCATGGTATGCAGCATGATGGCCACAAGCAAAGTGCTGCTGGTTCTTGTCATGGATGTTCAGGGGATCTTGGCATCCAGTGCCCATTCACTGGACATCCATGGGCCTTCATACTCTTCTGGAAGGATTACTCCAGTTTCCTTTGGGGGACCATCCTCCCTCTCTCACTCTATTTGGTTGAGGTGGAGCTGATCTGCCCCTCCTTTCCCATGCCAGGAGTGGGCTCTTGATTTGGCTGGCCAATCAGAGCTACAGAGGTTGGCATATGGATGGGCATGTGACCCAGTTTGGGACATTGGCATTAACGCCTAGAAGTTGTGCTGGAATGTGGGTACTAGAAATTTCCAGTTTTTAGTTGGGATTGCTGAGAGGGAGTTACCACATGGAGAAAATTGGCTAAGAGATACAGAATGACCTAAGAACATTGCTTAAACATCTGGATCCAGCCAGACCTGAATCCCAGGTATCCCTGGGTTTTTCAATTATTGTGCTTCAATAAATTTTCTTTGCAGCTTAAATATGCTGTACTTCAAACTGAATGTCATACTTGATGACAGCTATTAATAACAAGTTTCACATGGCTGCAGTGCTGGGGAAGTACAGAGAGAAAGAACTGTGAGCCAGAAGCTGAGGCCATGAGTTTTGGTTCTGTCATGAATATCCCACCAACTACACAACTTCTGTAGGTCTCATCTCAGTCACTCTGTCTGCAAAATGGGGCTCACACTTCTCCTCTACATCCTTATTACTTCTCTGACATCCAAGCTTAGAGCTATAGTGCAGACCTCTCTCTGGAGCTTCAGACCTACAAATCCTGTTGTCCCTCAGGCCTCTCAAACATAACTAATTTTATGTTTCCTCATCAGTTTTCTATTTAATTGTTTTTCCTTTTACTATACAGTACTTTGGGCTAGAAATTGCTAGTTGTCCTCTAATACCCATTCTTCTTTTCTCCCTCTCAGAGTAATAGAATATCTAAATTTTAACTGGCCATGACAGCCTCAAATAAAGAGTACATTTCACAGACTCCCTTGCAGGTAGATGAGGCCATCTGACCAAGTTCTGCCCAATAGGATAAGAGCAGAAGTGATGCCTGCAACTTCTGAGTCTGGCCTTTAAAAAAGTGGGGCTTGCTGGGTGTGGTGGCTCAGGCCTGTAATCCCAGAACTTTGGGAGGCCGAGGTGGGAGAATCACTTGAGCCCAAGAGTTCGAGACCAGCCTGGGCAACACAGTGAGATCCCATCTCTACAAAAAACTTTTAAAAATTAGCTGGGCATGGTGGCACTTGCCTGTTGTCCCAGCTACTCAGGAAGCTCAGGTGGGAGGCTTGCTTGAGTGAGGAGTTTGAGGTTACAGTGAGCTATGATTGTGCTACTGCACTCCAGCCTGGGCAGCAGAGCAAGACCCTGTCTCTAAAAAAATTAATAAAAATAATAAAAAAAGAGGGACAAGAAAATAAAAATATCAAAAGAGAGGGGCAAGTCCCCCTTTTCCTATTCTTGCTTACTGGCTGGAATGCAGACATGGGGGTAAGCTATGATTTATCTTGCCAATGCTGGTGACACTCCAAAAAATGGCAGGGAATAAGACTGTAGAGGCTGTGGTCTCTGGTGCTGCACAGCAGTTTCCCCAGCTTGAACTGCTTCCATCTGGACTGCAGGGGAGTGAAATAAACTTGCATCTTGTTTAAGTCACAATTATTTTGGGTCTCTCTGAAGGTTGCTAGATTTAGCAAATGATAATACTCATTCATTCCTCACCTTAGCGAGAGCTGGAGGAGGGAATGGAAAATTCTAGGAGAGTCATGAAGATGGCACAGGCGATCTGGGTGCTCTAACAGCTTTTCACCTCAGTTTTCCCTGGACATCCAGAGATCACACAGGAAGGCAGGTGAGCTTGAGTCTGATTCTCATGCTTTCTTGGATGATCTTACTCCCTCTGAGCCTCAGTTTCTCCTTATGGACGATGGAGACTAACTGGACATGATGATCTCTCAAGTCCTTCCAGCTCTAATCTTCTATGATTCTGTAATTCTAGGATGGATGTTGAAACTCAGATACCAATGGGGCCAGAGAGTCCCAAGAATGGGTTAACCAGGCCAGGTGGGGGCTGCGATGGGCTGGAGAATGTCCACCCCCCCTAAGAGGGCAGTCCTCCTCTGCTCCTGTTGATTGTGGCCCCAGGGGAATGCAGGATTGCCAGATTTCTAATTTTTCAAGAAGAGCTGGAAATCTAGATTGTTTTGGTCTGTGCAATCTCCTGATTTTTAAATGTTGGCGACACATTCACATTTTTTCAAACACTCTGGGGGCCAAAGAGAAATATCTGCAGTATGAATTTGGCCAGCGGCCACCAGTTAAAAATTTCTGTTTTGATACTATTTTCCTTCCTTCCTTCCTTCATTTAACAAATATTTACTTGACACCTACTAAGTGGGAGACACTGTTCCATGCACTGGTGATAAAGCTATGAACAAAACCAAACCAAACCAAACCAAACCAAACCAAACCAAAGGTCCCTGTCCTCGTGCAGCTTAACATTCTAGGGGATCACCCTGATTCATTCATTCAACAAATATTTATTGAGCAATTCTGCCCTGTGTACTGCGCGTGGTTGGGGAAATAAAAAAAAATGTTCATGGTCTCTGCCCTTATGGTGCTTATAGCCTAGAAGGAAGACATAAAATAAAAATAAACATAATTATGACATGAATGGAAAACACAGTTATGAGGACAGACGCAATTTAGATGGAGAGGAGTACTGAGGAAAGTCCTTTTGGAGGAAGCTACGTTTTAAATGAGAACTGAAAGATAAGTAGGATTTAACTTAATAAAAGAACATTCTAGAACATCTTAGATTATAGCAGAGGCTTCCAGTGTGCCCCAGCTCCACGTCCCCTCAACTGTCACCATTCCTGTACATATATGAAGAAACCTTCCACAGTTAGCATTTGTGATGCTCTACCCTGGGGCTCTCTTTTTATTGATTGAGTGATTGATTGAGACAGGGTCTTGCTCTGTTGCCCAGGCTAGAGTGCAGTGGTGCGATCATAGCTCACCACAGGCTCAAGCGATCCTCCCTTCTCAGCTTCCTGAGTAGCTGGGACCAAAGGTACACACTATCACACCAGGCTAATTTTTAAGTTTTTTAAAGAGATGGGGTCTCACTATGTTGCCCAGGCTGGCCTCAAGCAATCCTCTCACTTCGGCCTCCCGAAGTGCTAGGATTATAGGTGTCAGCCACCAAGGCTGCCCTCTGCGGCTTCTTGGGGACAGGCCAGAAGTGCAAGGAGACAATTTCCAGGAAAAGCCTTCAACGCTTAATGGAAGGGAATTTGCAGGTAAATATCCCAGCTCCCTCACTCCTTGGGTGGGTTAACACTGTCCCTGGTGGGACTTAGCCCCAACTGCCCACGGCAGTAACTATTATATTTGTGTAATTTGTATTGGCTTCCTTTCCCTCCTTGCCTGAATTCCCCACTACTTCCTGGGATTACCTCCCAGATAGATTACTCGCACTCACTCTTTGTCTCAGGATCTTCTGGGAGAAACCCAGCAGCGATGGGAGAGAATGTGGCAGGTTCAAGGACCAAAAACAACTCAGGGTAAGAGCAGGAAAGGAGGCTGGAGAATGGGGCAGGAGGCTACTCATGAAGAGCCTTGGAGGCTGGGGGTAGGCTTGTCAATGGGGAAGCCACTGAAGATTTTTCGGCTGGAGAGTGATATGGCCAAGCTTGCATTTCAGGATGACTCCAATGTAGGGGGCTGCAGTGGGCAAGAGTAGAAGCTGGGAGACCAGATAGGAAGCCGAGTTGGAGGTGAAGGTGGCTGGAATTGGGTGGTGAGGTGGGAGAGAGGTGGCTGGCAGTGAGGAATGGCATGGGCCAGGGGACATGGGGCCCAGAAAGGAACTCGGGGCTTTGTCTCTGACTTGAAGGAGCCCACAGTTTGGTTTGAGGAATGTTGGTGAGACACAGATACAAAAATCATACCCAAGATCACACATCCCTACACAATCCATACTAAGTGAGTTGTTGCACGGAGCTATGGAACTTCACAGCAGGCTGCCTCTAAGGGCAAGATGAGTGAGTGCCTGTGTCTCAGGGGAGGTGACTTTACAGGAGTGGTTAGGAAAACCATAAAACACCACGACTTAGCAGGCAACTTACTACTGTGGCCCCTTTGGGATAGCCCAAATTTTTGCAATGGCTGTGGAGCCCATTCTTCAGTGTTTTCAGCAGCTCTTGACTCTGCCATCTTTTACCTAAGCTGTGCACAGTCCAAAAATGCATGCTGGATTTCCCACAGGCACTGCTAGACATATTAACGGCATTCCTACACGGCAAGAGATTTCTGCACCACCAACACCATTTTTATATTCTTTACAACATAATGGCAGACGATAAATCTATCTTGCTAATTACACATCCAGCTTGTTATAACCCCCATAAAAAACATGAGCAGCTGGAAAAGCCATGAAGTGATGTCAAATCATATTCCTGGTCTCTAAACAGAAACAGAAATATTTTCCAGGCGCTGGCAAGTCTCAAGGTTCCTACCCATGCGTGGAAGCAGCTGCCAGTGGGTCACTCACCTCTGAGGAGATGAAAACTAGGCTGTCGTCTTAAGTACTGCCCTTCCACCCCATGCGTGCCCCTGAAGAGATGACAGATGTCTAGGGCATCCACTCGTCGTCTGTTCAGTAGCCCATGGGATGAACCCAAATAATTGACAAGGTTTGAGTTTTAGCAGTTGAGTTCATTTTTGCATTATTAAAGTGGTTTCAAGGTCTCTTCCATCCACCACGATTCAGCCAATAGCATTTGCCTAGAATTCTAACTAGATGGTTCCCCGACATAATTTGTTGATGATACATTTGCAAAACGATTGCTAAGATCCACACTGGAGCTGACAATGCCTCCCCCTTGTCTCAAAAAAACAGAAGGAAAATTAAATTCATCTGCCGGAGACACTAGGATAAACAACAGGGAAGAAGAAAAGTACTTTACCTCGTTTTCTAGCTAGAATTACTGGCTTTGGCTGCACCATAGCCCACTGTCTTAGGAAGGGAGACGGCTGAAGACAACAAGTGTATTTCCTATCAAGTAAATGTTGATTGCTTCAAACGTTGGAAGAAAAGGCATGGAAGACAATAGAAGGGGAAGCTAATTAAATTTTCACATGGCAAAGGAAAATGTCATAGGAATTTTTAAACCTGGGCTGACCCCAAAGGGCAGCTTTTGTTGGAGAAGCTGCCTCATAAACTGTCCGCACAATTTCCAGGACAAACTGGCTGGACAATAACGTTGAAAACAAAAAAAGAGAGAGAGAGACAAAATGGATTCTTACCTTCCCGTATCTGGATGCAAATGTCCCCGTGAGTAAGGAGTGAAAAATAATTATTGTCTCATCCAAGTCCCACACGAACACACGCTGTGATGAAAGAGAGGAAGAGAATGGAGAAAAATGGACTCACGTGCATCTGACTTAATGTCTGCAGAAATTCATTCCCTTGGAGGAAAAGAAGTCTCGAAAAACATTATCTTTAGTTACAAAACATGTAACTCACTGATGTGTCATGAATCCCCATCCAACCTTATCTGTGTCATGTGTATTCGGATGCCCAGTTTTTGGGCTCTTATCAACTCAAAAGATGTCAGAATCAAGAAGTCTGTCCTTGCCTTCCATATAAAAGCTCAAAAAGGAGGATTCAGGCCAAAATCAACAACGAAAATCATATAACTCGTTTTACAAAATGAAATACCACCATTTTAAATTCACTGTTCACCATACGCTCAACTATTTCTGTTTTTAGCAAGTCTGGTGATCACCTCTATAATTCTAAGTAACATATTTATACCCTTACTGATTTTTCAACTTGAGACAATATCTTTTGACTGGGCAGTCTTAAAAGATGAGGGTTTAACTCATGGAAATCTCTGTTGTTTCTCTGGAAACTTACATTTTTCTCATATGTGAGTCCCTCTATTCCAATTCTCCTTGGACATTCTCCCTTGGCTAAAAAGGTAAACAAACATGGAGCTATCGATATGGGAGTCCCTACCTTTTCCCATACATCCTCCCCGCTCTAATGTCTATCAGCTGTAGCTTTACCTTCATATTGTCAATGAGGATAAACTTGTTTGTACATTGGTTTTATAACTAAGGTTAAATTTTCTGCACTCTGCCTATGTCAATTTTAAAAGTTGGTAACTAGTAATATACATTTACATTTTGTGATTATTGTTCACTACAGAGCCAAGTAATATGCTAAGATTGCATTGTCTTCTCTATGTGTCCAATGTCATATCCCCAGATTGATTTTAAGGAGAATGCCCCTACCATTGTATGTATTCTCTTTACTTGTACTCCATCATAATTAAAATAATGTCATATCTCAGTTTGTTCATATATGTATCATACCTGTCTGATGTAACTTTTTTGGTTTTGTCAGAATTTATTAATTTTTTCTTGTTTGCAACAATGTACCTTCATTAAAATGTCAAATTCAGCCACACACTCTGTATTGGAGATATCTATCCTCAGTGATAGAAACCTCCAATGTGGACTGGATCATTTTTAGGCTTGCTGCAGACTTCCCTTCATTGTATTTCTGGGTTGGATCCACTGTTTTCTGGATCCCAAGTCTCTCTTCCTTGGTTTTCTTCCTTGTTTTGCTTGAATACATCCTTAAGTTGCTTTTCCTGAAATGGTACATGGAAAGTAATCTTCCTGAATTCTCGAATATCTGAAGTTATCTTTATTTTTCTCTATAGTTTCTCTGGGTACAGAATTCCAATTTGAAAACAATATCCTCTAGATCTTTGAAAGAATTCTTTCATCATTTTTTTTAAGTGTCCAGGGTCACTGATGAGAAATCTGGTATTTCACTGTTCCTCAGTCCTTGTAGGTTTTACCTTTTTTTTCTTTCTAGAATTTTAAAGGATCTTTTCTTTACACTTGGTATCCTCAAATTCCATGAAGATATATCTGGGTATGGTCTTCTTTTTAATGAATTCTGTTTGGCACTTCAGCATTTTCAACCCAATGACTTGCATCTTTCTACAGATCTGAAAATTTTTATTTTCTTATTTCTTTTAATAATTTTCTCCCATCTTTTCTACTGTTTTCTTTTTGTGAAATTCCCAATAGTCAAATCAAACCTTTTGGGTTGATACTGCCTTTCCTTGTAAATAATATTTTTTAATAAATCTGTCTTTTTGATCTGTGTTCTGGGAGATTTCTTAAACTTTCTCTTATAACCCTTATTAAATTTTTGATTTTTGCAGTAATTAAAAGATTTCCAATAACTTTTTTTCCCTCTGAGTATTCCTTTCCCAGTAGCCTCCACTTTTTATTTTATGGATGCAAGATCTTGAGTTTTTATATGAAAACCAATTAGAATTTTCCTAAGTTATTTTATGTTTCTTAAATTACTTCACTTCTAACTTATCCCATTTATTTACCTTGGCCTTTATTGTTTTTAATTAAAAAAATTTTTTTTGAGACAGGGCCTGTGTGCAGTGGCGTAATCATCACTCACTGCAGCCTAGACCTCTCCAGGCTCAAGCGATCCTCCCACCTCAGCCTCCTGAGTAGTGGGACTACAGGCATGTGGCACCATGCCTGGCTAATTTTTGATCTTTCTTTTTGTAGAGACAGGGTCTCGCTATGTTGCCCAGGCTGTTCTTGAACTCCTGAATGCAAGCAATCCTCCCCACTTGGCCTCCCACAGTGCTGGCATGGTGAGCCACTACGCCTGGCTAATCTTGTTCTTTATTTTTCATACTGTTGATTTTCTTTATTTTTCTGGTGATCATTATTTTCAAGGACAAAGGACCTGACTAACTCTGTAGCTAGTGTTGAGAAGGGGAGGCAAATGTCCCTCCCCAGTATGCAATCTTGAGTGGGCCACCTTTTAAAACTCTCTGGAGGTCAATGGCTGTATTAACACAATGGCATTTGCCATGCCTTTGAAAGTTAAGAGAAATATCTAGAATGAAAAAGGTATTAGCATCCCAGATTCTCTAGTACAGGGATTTCTGAAGCAATTAGTAAGGCTAAGTATTATTTCATAAATCTTTTGGACCAGTTATATTTATGTGCATATATATGCTGGGCCATCATAGTAAGTATATTTCTTATTACGGGTCATGGTAAAAATGTTTGAAAATCAGTGTTTGAGAAGGACCTTCTGAGATTCAAATATGCCAAGTCCTAACTTATCTGAATTCACTGGGGTTGAACTTAGGAAATTAAATTTAGAAATTTCAGTAATAGAACTTTTAAAAATCAGCAAATATTTTCAAATTTAGTGCAGGCTCCCTTACTTTATCCATTAAATCCCCTCTGAAAAAAATCCATCCCTTTCTCCTACTACCTCACCATCCTCGATTCTTAGTGGGTAAGTTCCTGGTGGCCATTCTGCAGGTGACCCTATTCCCTAGGCCATCATGGTGCAGACCAGGGTGCGTCCTTAACCATGGGTGGGTCAGAGACCTTTTATTTTGCAATTTAAAATTGGGGCTAGGAAGAAAGTAATTGTCTTTTGGGGAGGGCTATTGGTGGCCAAGTTTAGCCATGTGATCTGAAGGGGAGACAAGGGCAGCGTAAGGCACATGGATGTGCTTTGGTCAAGGACTAGGCTGAGATGGATACCCAGGCCTGCGTGACTCAGCGAGTTTGGCGTGCAGGTGCATACCTCCACTTGTTATATAACCTGTTTGTGTAGTTCATACTTGGCTTGCAGTCACTACTGTCTTTAGAAGATATAATTGCCCTGCTGACGCTGTGCACAGGGCATGGCTCTTGGCTCAGTTTGGCTCAATGTGGCTCTTGTGCAGGCGCTGGTGCCCAGAGAGGGAATGAAGCTACAGGCCCCTGTAAGGGAGAATGACTGTTTTGCAGATAGACAGAGGGGAGCCACAGCACAGCTTGCGCTGGTGCCCAGAGAGGGGAAGAGTTAAGCTGCTGACCCTGAAGGCAAGGGAGAGCCGGCTGCGCGGCTGCAGCTGTCAGGGCAGCAGGAGCCGCAGAGCTGAAGCAGACAGCCGAGATAAAGGTGGACAATGTGAGACAGCTAATGTGAGAAAGCTGCTGATGAGAAAGCTGCTAAATAAAACTACATTTCACCTCCTATGGCCCCCTGAGTGTTCTTTCTGCCCATCCACCCACTCCCCTCGGACTTCAGCATGGGCTGGACCCAGACCCCGGGATCTGACAGGTAGTCTCCAGAGACAAGAACAGAAGGTGAAAGATACAAACAAACTAACACTTTACCAGGACCTGGTTTCATTGGGAGTAGAGGGAAAGGAGGAGTGAGGAGGCCCAGAGGAGAGCTGTGCCCAGTAACTAGCACATGAAGGCACGGCCAGGACACTATAGTTTGGGAGTTCTGTCATCTTCACTGTGGCAAATGGGAAGAGAAGGCATACATGCAGTTTCTTGTCCCTGTCTCCCTTGCTGGTTCCAGTGCCTCGCTGATACTCTACTCTACTTCTGTCCTTAAGTTCTAAGAGAGGCCCTGTATCCTTAAAATAAATTCTGCTTTTTCACCTAAGTAGCTCAAGTTGGTCCCTGGCACGTGCAGCTGAAGGATTTTAACTAATACATGCTCAGAATTTTCCTCCTTTCCACTTCCACATAATTTCTCTCCCGTGGGCTTCAGTCATTAGCAAAACAGCCAAAGACTTAAGAGGTGTGACCCAAGCAAACCTTCTATGATGACATTAAGCATAGAAGTGAAACACAGCTCACACCTTTTCAATGGTTCTTGCCAGTGGTACTTATGCTGAAATCAAGAAGCAGATGTTTCCAGAATAATATCACCCTATAATCCCTGACTTCTATGCCATAACCCTCCCCACCTCTTTCTCAGTTTAATGGAAAAATCTCTCTCTACCCCCGCCGTTCCCCTACAGAGAGCAGAAAACATGTTAGGTGACTGAATAATTTTCTTGTGGGGAGGGAATATTATGTATGTGTGGCTCTCTGTGTTTTCGAAGCTCTGCAACTTCAAGCTGGTAGGAGATTCTAGGAATATGGGAAGGCAGACAGCAAGTACAACCTGACGCCAATACGTTTTCTTTCAGTCTTTTGCAAAGGCCTAAACCCACTGAAGGGATTGTGCAAAATCTCCTCTATTTGGGGAAAGGATGGAGCTTTAAGAACAAGGCAAAAAGCAAGGACAGAATTCCCTGGACTAAGAATGGCCCCAGGAACAGTGGGAACACTTGCTCTGCACCAGGTCTCTAGCATGGATCAAGGCTACTGGTAGATCTCGGGAGGCTGACCAAGTGTAGGGCACCAAGCATGATGTTCAGGATATTTAATATCTTCCAGGGTGATCAGAACCGACCCCAGCTATAAACAACTGCTACAGGTGAACTAGGGACCACTGGCTAAATATCAAATGCCCTGAACATGCTGAAGTCAGCATGTGTTGCTTGGAGGTCCCGGTCCCCACCCCTAGCTTCCAACTTCAGGGCTTCTGAAAAGAGCATCCTAGTTTTCCTTCCCCATTGTGTGCTATTTTGGTGGGGCTGTCAATTAAGGGGTAAGACCCAAGCTAGGCCACTGGGATACTGTCTTCTTGGAATCGGACACCGAAGGACAGGACACTGCACTCTAAAATGTTTGCTTTCTGGCATTCCTAGATTTCTCAACAATGTCTTTGTTACTTTCTTTCTAAACTTGGTTTTACGGCCTCCTCTCATTGTCCTTTCCTAGTAAATTCATTTTTGCTTAAGTAACCAGAACTGGTTTCTTTTTTTTGAGATAGGTTCTCAATTTGTCGCCCAGGCTGGAGTGCAGTGGTGTGGTCATGGCTCAACGCAGCCTCTACCTCCTGGGCTCAATTGATCCTTCCACTTCAGCCCCCTGAGTAGCTGGGACTACAGGTGTGTGCCACCATGGCTGGCTTTTTTTTTTTTTTTTTTTTTTGGTAGAGATGGTGTTTTGCCATGTTGCCCAGGCTGGTTTCAAATTACTGGACTTAAGCAATCTGCCCACCTCGGCCTCTGAAAGTGGTAAGGTTATAGGCGTGAGCCACTGTGCTGGGCCCGGTACTGGTTTCTGTTGCTTGCAACCAAAGAATTGTAGCAAATATTTCAAGGTTCTCAGGCTCAACAAAGATTTCCATACCCATTGTATAGCATGGAAACACCAGAGAGTGGCTGGACTTTTAGTGACGACTGCAGGCTTTGACAATGAAGGTGGCAGGGGCCACCCAGCCACACTGGACGTCAGAGGCTGGTCTGGTTTCTGAGACCACTTGACCCCTGGATTCTCATTTAATCCTGGGAGTGGAGGGTCCCTAATAATGAAATGAAATTTCTTACCATCTGGTGGCATGGGGACTCAGGGTTAAAATTACATTGCTTTTTAAGGAAATGACAAAGGTGATCTTTCTCAGTGTGTTTGAGTTTGTGGCTGAGCATTGCAGCTGCCGCATAAAGTATACAGATTATAAATAGGGATGTGACGCTGGTGTACTTGAACTGCCTGGCACTGACAATCCTACCGAGACACCTAGCACACTCAGGCCAGCAACTGACTGCCTTTTTCAAAGAAGTATAAACCGGTGAGTTTGCTCATTTTCCTCCCTTGATAAGACAACAGTAGCTTACTTCCGGTTTTGGGGCATCCATTTTGCCTATTTCTACTGGTACCCTCCCCTAGGCATAATGTTTTGTTTTTGGGAAAATGTCAGTACCTGGCCAATACTACTACACTTGCATAACAAATGACAAGTATAGAGATCTAATGTGCAACACAAGAATTAGAGTTAACAAAGTTATATTGTATTAGGGATTTTTGTTAAATAAGTAGATTTTAGCTGCTTTTGTCAGACAGAAAAAGTAACTTTGTGAGATGGTAGACTTGGTAATCTGTTTCATGATGATTATCATCTTACTATCTGTATGTATCCCATAGCAACCTGTTGAAAACCTCATGTATACCTGATTAAAAAAAAAAAAGTCCGGGCATGGCGGCTCACGCCTGTAATCTCAGCACTTTGGGAGGCCAAGGCGGGTAGGTCAGTTGAGGGCAGGAGTTCAAGACCAGCCTGGCCAACATGGTAAAACCTCGTCTCTACTAAAAATACAAAAATTAGCTGAGCATGGTGGCGTGCACCTGTAATCTCAGCTATTCAGGAGGCCGAGGCAAGAGAATCGCTTGAACCTGGGAGGTGGAGGTTGCGGTGAGCCGAGATTGTGCCACTGCACTCCAGCCTGGGTGATGGGGGAGCCAGAGAGAGGCTCCAATTCAAAAAAAAAAAAAAAAAAAGATTGGAGCATCCCTGACCACTAGTTCTCAGCCTGAGCTGCACACAGGAATCACCCACGGAGCTTTAAAAACACTGATGCCTAGCTTCTACCCTCAGGGAATAGGATTTAATTGGTCTGAGGTGCAACTTGATAATGAAGGTTTCTCAAAGTCCTCATGTGATTGTCGTGTGCAGTCCAGGTTGAGAGCCCCTTTCTGAGAAGTCAGAATCCCAGAATCCCAGAAATAGAGGCACACTCATTAGAGCCAGCCTCCACACAGATCAATATCTAAGCCTTATTAGAGTCCCCACCGAGAATGTTTAAAACTCCCCTCCTCCCCCCTAGTTCCTCCAGTGAGTCTTTTCAATTGATCTGGGATGGGGCCAGGGTATCTGTTTTTTAAAGAGCATCCCAGATGATTCTGCTGTGTAACCAGGGTAGAGAACCACTTTAACCCAGCTGGAAGGTCGGAGGCCCATTCTTTTCTTTATCAGGGACTCTCAGAGTGTGGTCCTCAATCCAGAGCATCATAATCATCTGGGGGCTTGTCAGAAACGTAAATTCTCATGCCCTGCCCCAGATCTGCTGAATTGGAAACTCTTGGGCTGAGGCCCAGCAATCCCTGATTTCAAAAGCACCATCCCCCACCCCCCAGGTGATTCTGATGCTGCTTCAGTTTGAGAACCTCTCTTCTGTCCTGGCCCCAGGACTACCTGCTTGGACAACCTCATGCTTCCCTGCTCATGCTTTGTAAAACACGAAGGGCGATTCTCCGCCTCGTACTTGGAGAAAACTCTGTCCCCACTCTTGTTTGGGCCTCAGATGGAGATTACATTCACCAGGTCACACAGAGCCCCTTTGGATTACCTCAATCTCATTGTCCCCTGCCGGGGACGGGTCACTGCTCCTCTTAGACCGGCCTCGGAGCTTCCCGTCGGAGGCCCGGTGCGGCCTGTCTGTGTCTCCCTCTTTCGCTGGTGTGGAAGGTCCATTGTGTGTGTTGTATTCACCTGGCGTAAGAAAGGGAATGGTGGACAAATCAGAAGCTTTGCTGGGTGTCTCCTCCTGGGAAATATCCCAACAGCACCGTCTAGCTCCAAAGCAGTGGGTTCCAAGGCAGCACCAGAGGCAAAGATCTCGTAGGATGAAAACTGCCCTTGGAAGTCCCTTAAATTGCCCATTGGTGACCTTCATTATCTTTCATCCATCCAGCAGACACTTGGTCAGCGGGCACTGCTCCAGGCAGTGGGATTATGTCCTGGTTCTCACAGCACTTCAACGCTAGTGAGAGGAGACAGTCATCAGACACATCGACAAGTAAGCATACACCAAGCCCGGGAGGGAAATGTGCCACAGAGAATTAACAAGTCAGGGGGCCCGGCGTGGGGGCTTACGCCTGTAATCCCAGCACCTCCAAGGTGAGAGGATCGCTTGATTGCTTTGAGACCAGCCTAGGCAACATAGCAAGACCCTGTCTCTATGAAGTATAGAAAAGTTGACCTCGTGTGGTGGTGCATGCCTATAGTCCCAGCTACTCGGGAGGCAGAGTAGGAGGGTCGCTTGAGCCCAGGAGTTAGAGGTTGCAGTGAGCTATGATAGCGCCACTGCACTCCAACCTGGATAACAGAGCGAGGCCTCTTCTCTAAAATCAACCAATCAAGTATTCAATCAATCAGGGTGGGGCAGCGGGGAGGGCTGAAAGGTGACTCATTTATATGGGGCTAGTCAGGGAAGGCCTCGGTCAGGGAGTGAGGGAGGGGCCACTGGATGCTGTAATGATGGAGGAGTTATGCATTTACAACTCTCTCAATCTGAAATCCTGAGCATGCCTAGATGAACAGAAGGAGGGCAACACGTATTTATCTGTAGCTGAGCATTACACTCTTCCACCTTTAGAAGATTCCCCTCTCTCTGCCCCAGAGGTAAACGGGGGCTGCATGGGAAGGATTCTCTACTTTCCTCTCCCTGCTGGGCTCCCTCTATTCTCTATTTTTTTATTTTAATTTTTATTTTTTGAGACGGAGTCTCGCTCTGTTGCTCAGGCTGGAGTGCAATGGCGTGATCCCGGCTCACTGCAAACTCTGCCTCCTGGATTCAGCAATTCTCCTACCTTGGCCTCCCAAGTAGCTGGGATTATAGGCACCCACCACCATGCCCGGCTAATTTTTGTATTTTTAGTAGAGACAGGGAGACGAGGTTTCACCCTGTTGGTCAGGCTGGTCTCGAACTCCTGACCTCAGGTGATCTACCTGCCTCGGCCTCCCAAAGTGCTGGGATTACAGGCGTGAGCCACTGTGCCCCGCCACTTCTCTATTAAATGCAAGCCTTTTAAGCTTTACCTGCTGAGAGCTGTCAATCTGAGAAGTAAATGAGATTATATAGGCGAGAGCATCTAGCACAGGCCTGGCAGTTAGGAGGTGACTTGAATGGAGTTCTGGCTGGAGTCAACCCATGGATATGTGTGGATTAGTGAGAGACGCAGCACAGAATGTGGGTCCTTGCTGCTTCTCACTTTGGGGTGCTCCTGGGTGTGGCCCCACTGAGAGGCTGTCACACTTGTGCCCACCGGCGATTGTCTAGTGGTCCCCAACAAGTGAAGCAGCACTGTCCCCGACCCAGGTCCTAAAGCCAGCATCAGAGCTGTGTTGCTGCTTACGCACAGATGTTTTAAATGCATGGCTTTTGATTGTACTTTACTATCCTTATTTAGCTAACGAGGTAACTCAGGTTTAGTGAGGTGACTTACTGGACCATGTGAGTCTGCAAATGAGTGGCAAAGCCAGAACTAAAATTTGGACCTGTCCTTGTCACTCGTGAGTGACAGAACTGTAAAACAGCGTGAACCTTCGAGGACATCCCATCCCATTTTCTCACTTTACAGTTGCTTGGTTTAGCTCCCAAATGTGTCACACAGACCCCATCCTTCCTGCCCTAATTGCCAGTTCTTGGATCATCAGGGGAAAATCCTTTGTCTAAAAAGACTTGGCTAGGGAGAGTTTTTTTCTACACTGAAAGAACTATTTCCCTTTAAGACCCAAGGGACTGAACTTTGTTTATTTAATATTTATAAAAGCTTCTTAACAGACTAAGGACATAATAAGACAAGACATGATTTTGCGCTGTCAGGATGGCTGGGTGTTTTCCACCTCCCCAGAGTCTTCAGGATGCAGCATGAGAGATTCCCAAACATTGAGTGAGCAAAGACTTTCCTCTGGAAAAAGAATTTCTTCTCAATTCACAGATGCTGAAGAGCAATGTAAATAAGGTCTTTCCTGGTTCACTTGGTAGTTTAAGGCTACTGGGCTTAGAAAACATTTGTTTGCCCCCCCCATTAAAACAGGCAAATATTAAAAAGAGGGGTAAATGCTAGTTATCTAAGAAATGTCTAAAATAAGGTCTGTGTGAAACCAATTTCGCAGGGGTGCCAAAAAAAAAAACAACAAAAAAACAAACAGAAAAACCCAGGCCTTTACCCAAACGTACACATTCTTGAGAATGAGGAGTGATATGGTTTGGATCTGTGTCCCCGCCCAAATCTCCTGTCAAATTGTAATCCTTAGTGTTAGAGGCGGGGCCTGGTAGGAGGTGACTGGATCATGGGCATGGAGTTCTCATGAATGGTTTAGCACCATCTCCCCTCCCCGGGTACCGCACAGTGAGTGAGTTCTCATGAGATCTGGCTGTTTAAAAATGTGTGGCACCTCCCCTGACCCCCTCCTTTTCCTGCTCTGGCTATGTAAGACGTGCCTGCTTCCCTTTTACCTTCCGCCATGATTGCAAATTTCCTGAGGCCTTCCCAGAAGCTGAGCAGATGCCAGCACCATACTTCCTGTACAGCCTGAGGAATGATGAGACAATTAAACCTCTTTTCTTTAGCTGGGATTACAGGCACACGCCACCATACCTGGCTAATTTTTATATTTTTAGTAGAGATGGGGTTTCACCATGTTGGCCAGGCTGGTCTCGAACTCCTGACCTTAAGTGATCTGCCTGCCTTGGCCTCCCAAAGTGCTGGGATTACAGGAATGAGCCACTGTGCCCAGCCATTAAACCTCTTTTCTTTATAAATTACCCAGTCTCAGGTATTTCTTTATAGCAATGAGAGAACAGACTAATACAGAGTAAAAGTTCAAGGTCACAGTCAGAGATCCACAGGATAGCACAATTTATGTAAACCTTTCTTGGAGTAATTTCATTCTTTTTCTTTCTCTCTTTTAATGTGTTTACTTATTTAACGCATTACTGAGGCACAACTGACATACAATAAACTAGACATATTTAGAGTACACAATTTCTTAAGTTTTGACGTATGTACACATCTGTGAAGCCATTGCCACAATCAACATAATAAACAAATCCAGCACCCCAAGAATTTCCTTGTTATCCCTTTGGATAAGCTCTTCCTCCAGTTACCCTCCCCAGAAAACCACTAAACTGCTTTCTTTCACTATAGACTTTGGTTTGAATTTTCTAGAGGTTTAAACAATTGGAATCATATAGTATGTATTCTTTTTTCTGGCTTGTTTTGGTCAGCATAATTGCTTTGAGATTCAGTACATGCGGTGTTTATCGATACTTCATTTCTTTCTTTCTTTTTTTTTTTTGAGACAGAGTCTCCCTCTGTTGCCAGCCTGGAGTGCAGTGGTGAGATCTTGGCTCACTGCAACCTCCGCCTCCCCGGTTCAAGCGATTCTCCTGCCTTGGCCTCCTGAGTAGCTGGGATTACAGGCATGCACCACCACGCCCAGCTAATTTTTGTATTTTTAGTAGAGACAGGATTTTACCATGTTGGCCAGGGTGGTCTCGATCTCTTGACCTCATGATCCGCCCACCTCAGCCTCCCAAAGTGCTGGGATTATAGGCATGAGCCACCATGCCCAGCCTAATATTTCATTTCTATTGCTGAGTACTATTCAATTGTATGGATACATCAGAATTTGTTTATCCATTCGCCTGTAGGTAGACGTTTGGGTTGATTCTAGTTTTCAGTTCTAATAAGGCTGCTATGAACATTAATTCACACATTGGTCTAGATGTAAGCTTTTTATTTTTACTGAGCTTGTTTGCTAGGTCATATAATAAGTAGTGTTTAACTTTTGAAAAAATGGATGAGGCTGGGCATGGTGGCTCATGCCTGTAATCCTAGCACTTTGGGAGGTCAAGGTGAGAGAATTGCTTGACCCTGGGAGTTTGAGACCAGCCTGGGCAACATAATGAGACCCCCGTCTCTACAAAAAATACAAAAATTAACTGGGTTTCATGGCACACACCCATAGTCCCAGCTACTCAGGAGGCTGAGGCCAGAGGATCACTTGAGCCCAGGAGGTTGAGGCTGCAGTGAGCTATGATCACACCACTGCACTCCAGCCTGGGTAACAGAGTGAGAACCTGTCTCAAAAAAAAAAAAAAAAAAAGAAAGAAACAGATGAATTATTTTCCATAGTGGTTGTACCATTTTCCAGCAGTGGATGAGAGTTCTGGCTGCTCCACATCCTTGCCAGCCCTTGGTATGGTCCGTCTTTGTGATTAAAGCCATTCCAGTGGGTATGTAGTGGTGTCTCATTGTGAACTTAATTTGCATTTCTCTAATGATTAATGACATTTGGCATCTTAATCATGTGCTTTTGGCCATCCCTATATCTTCTTTGGTGAGGCATCTATCATCTGTTCAAATATTTTGCCCATTTCTTTATTTTTATTTCTTTATTTTTTGAGACAGGGTCTCACTCTGTCAGGCTGAAGTGCAGTGGCACAATTACAGCTCCCTGCAATGTTGATGTCCCGGGCTCACACGATCCTCCTGCCTCAGCCTCCTGAGTAGCTGGGACTACGAGCCTGCACCACAACACCTGTCTAATGTTTGTATTTTTTGTAGAGACAGGGTTTCCCCATGTTGCCCACGCTGGTCTTGAAGTCTTGGGCTCAAGCAATCTGCCGTCCTTGGCCTCCCAAAGTGCTGGGATTAGAGGCGTGAGCTACTGCACAGAGCCAGCCTTTTTTTTTGAGACAAAGTCTCACTCTGTCGCCCAGGCTGGAGTGCAGTGGCGCAATTCTGGCTCCCTGCAACCTCCGCCTCCTGGGTTCAAGCGATTCTCCTGACTCAGCCTCCCGAGTAGCTGGGATTACAGGCACATGCCACCACACCCAGCTAATTTTGTATTTTTTAGTAGACACAGGGTTTCACCATGTTAGCCAGGCTGATCTCAAACTCCTGACCTCAGGTGACCTGCCTGCCTTGGCCTCCCAAAGTGCTGGGATTACAGGCATGAGCCACTGCACCTGGCCCTGCCCATTTCTTTATCAGATTGTTTGCTTTCTTATTATTGGATTTTGAACACTCCTTCTATATTCTATATAAACACATGCTTTATTCGAGATATGCCTTGCAATTATTTTTCTCCTGGACCATGGATTTCTTTTCATTCTCTGAACAGTTTTAAATTTGTATGAAGTCCAGTTTATATTCTTTTTTTCTTTTTGGATCATATTTTTGGTGTTACATATGAGAAATCTTTGCCTAAATCAAAGTCACAAAACTGTCTCCTATGTTTTCTTGTAGAAGATTACAGTTTTATATTTAAGTCTATGATCTATTTTGCATTTTTTTTGTGTGTCATGTGAGGTATGAAGTATAGATAATCAGTTGTTCCACGATTTTTTTTTTTTTTTTTGAGATGGACTCTTGCTCTGTCACCCAGGCTGCAGTGTGGTGGCATGATCTTGGCTCACTGCAACCTCCACCTCCCTGGTTCAAGGGATTCTCCTGCCTCAGCCTCCCAAGTAGCTGGGATTACAGGTGTGCGCCACCAAGCCTGGCTATTTTTTTGTATATTTAGTAGAGACGGGGTTTCATCATGTTGGCCAGGCTGATCTTGAACTCCTGACCTCAGGTGATCCACCTGCCTTGGACTCCCAAAATGCTGGGATTACAGGCGTGAGCCACTGTGCTCGGCTGTTCCAGCATCTTTTGTTGAAAAGACTGTCCTTTCTCCATTGAATTGTCTTTTGTCAAAAATCAGGTGACCATATACATGTGGGTTAATTCATTTATTTACTGTGGAGACAGGGTCTTACTCTGTCATCCAGGCTGGAGTACAGTGGTATGATCATAGCTCACTGTATCCTCAAACCCCTGGCTGAAGCAATTCTCCCACCTCACCTTCCTGAGCAGATGGGACTGCAGGCACAACCCACTGCCTGGGTTATTTTTATTTTTTTGCAGAGACAGGGTCTTGCTATGTTGCTCAGGCTGGTCTCAGACTTCTGGCCTCAAGTGATCCTCCCTCTTCGGCCTCCCAAAGTGCTGGGATTACAAGCACGAGCCACGGCACCCAACCTATTTCTGAACTCTCAATTCTGTTCCATTGATTTATTTGTCTATTTTTATGCCAGTGCTGCATTGTCTTAAGTACTGTGGCTTTAAAATGGATTTTAAAATCAGGTAGTCTTAGCCCTCTAACTTTGTTCTTCTCTACAAAAGTCATTGTGGCCCTTCTTGGTCCTCTGCATTTCCATTTAAAGTTCAGAAACAGCTTGACAGTTTCTTAAAAAAAGCCTGAGATGTTGATAGAGATTGTATTAATCTTATAGCTCAATTTGGGAAGAGCTGGCATTTTAACAATATTAAGTCTTCTGATTCACGAACCAGGTATATATCTCCATTTATTAATGCCTTCTTTAACTTCTCTCAGCAGTTTTATAGGTTTTAGTGTAAAGTCATGCATATCTTTTGCCAAATTTAACCTTGAGTATTTCACATCTTTGATACTATTTCAAATGGCATTTAAAATATTCTATTTCCTGTTGTTTGTTGATTTTTAGATATTCACCTAGTACCCTGCAACACTGCTAAAGTTACTTTTTAGATCTAGTAGCTTTTTCATAGATTCCATCAGATTTTCTACATAGGTGACCAGGTCATTTTATCTCTTTACTTCATGAAGTTTTACTTCTTCTTTTCTTATTTTTAAAAAATTTTAAATTAAGTTAAATAATCATATCTTTGGATGAAAATTATTATATTTAACTGTCTGGGTTAAAGTGAGTTCTTAAATATATTTTCATTAATCATTATTTATATTTGCATGTTACTTAATAATTGGCAGGGTTGGCTGGGCACAGTGGCTCACGCTTGTAATCCCAGCACTTTGCGAGGCTGAGGCAGGTGGATCACCTGAGGTCAGGAGTTTGAGACCAGCCTGACCAACGTGGTAAAACCCCGTCTCTACTAAAAACACAAAAATTAGCCGGGCATGGTAGTGGGCGCCTGTAATCCCAACTACTCAGGAAGCTGAGGGAGGAGAATCACTTGAACCTGGGAGGCAGAGGTTGCAGTGAGCCAAGGTCACACCATCGCACTCCAGCCTGGGCGACAGATCGAGACTCTGTCTCAAAATAATAATAATAGGCAATGCACATTTTTTCTTTCTCTCTCTCTCTCTTTTTTTCTTTCTTCTTTTTTTTTTTTTTTGAGACAAGGTCTCGCTTTGTCACCCAGGCTGGAGTGCAGTGGTAAAATCTTGGCTCGCTGCAACCTCTGCCTCCCAGGTTCAAGTGATTCTCCTGCCTCAGCCTCCTGAGTAGCTGGGATCACAGGCGTGTGGCACCACGCCTGGCTAATTTTTGTATTTTTAGTAGAGACGGGGTTTCGCCATGTTGGCCAGGCTGGTCTTGAACTCCTGACCTCAGGTGCTCCACGTGCCTGTGCCTCCCAAAATGCTGGGATTACAGGCATGAGCCACCATGCCCGGCCTTTTTATTTCAATTTTCACAGCAACCCTGTAGATGATGATGATGATTTGTTAACTGGACAAATAAAAATTGTGTATATTTATGATGTACAACATATTTTGATATATGTATATATTGGGGATGGCTAAATCAAGCTAATTAACATTCACATATTTTTTATTTTTTTTTTACTAAAAACACTTAAAATCTACTCTCTCAGCAAGTTTCAAGTATATAACACTGATAGGGTTTGGCTCTGTGTCCCCATCAAATCTCATCTTGAATTGTAACTCCCACAATTCCCACATGTCATGAGAGGAACCCAGTGGGAGGTGACTGAATTATGATAAAGACATACCTGAGACTGAACAATTTACAAAGGAAAGAGCATTAATGGAGAACTCAGTTCCATGTGGCTGGGGAAGCCTCACAATCATGGCCGAAGACAAGGAGGAGCAAGTCCCCATCTCTACAAAAAATTTAAAAATTAGCTGCGCATGGTGGCACACACCTGTAGTCCCAACTACTTGAGAGGCTGAGGGAGGATTGCTTGAGCCCAGGAGTTCGAGGTTACGGAGAACTATGATCGTACCACTGCACTTCAGCCTGGGTGACAGAGTAAGACCTTGTCTCTTTAAGAAGGAGGGTCTTTCCTGCACTGTTCTTGTGATAGTGAACGAGTCTCGCAAGATCTGATGGTTTTAAGAAAGTGGCAGTTCGCCTGCACGAGTTCTCTCTTTGCCTGCTGCCATCCACGTAAGATGTGACTTGCTTCTCCTTTTTTTCAGCCATGATTGTGAGGCTTCCCCAGCCACATGGAACTGAGTTCTCCATTAAACCTCTTTCCTTTGTAAACTGCTCAGTTTCAGGTGTGTCTTTATCAGTAGCATGAAGATAGACTAATACAAATACCTTATTTATTAACTATAGTCACCATATTGTACAATAGTTCTTCTGAACTTATTCCTATTAACTGAAATTTTGTATCCTTTGACCAATCTTCCCTCCCCTCCACTCCCCTTTACTCCCTCCCTCCCTCATTTCCCTCCCTCCCTCCCTCATTTCCCTCCCTCCCCCCTCCCTCATTTCCCTCCCTCCCTTCCTTCACCTGATACCTGTGGTAATTGTGTCTTCTTTTCTAATTCAGGTATTTCGTGCTGTAAGTTTCCCTTTAAGTACTGCTTTAATGACATTCCATAAATTTTGATATATTTGTTTTCATTTTCATTCAGTTCCAAGTGCTTTTTAATTTCCCATTGATTTCTTCTTTGACCCATGGGTCACTGAAATGTATATTATTGAGATTCTGAAGATTTGGGAACTTCCCAAAAATCTTTCTGAAATTTATTTCTAATTTAATTCCACTGCTGTCAGAGAACATGCTTTGTATGCCTTGATTCTTTTAAAGGTACTGAAACTTGTTTTATGGCCCAGAAGATATTAATATTTATCTTGGTAAATGTCCCATGTGCACTTGAAAAGAATGTGTATTTGCTGCTGTTGGGTGGAGTGTTCTACAGATTGCCTGTTACATACAGTCTTTTCCTTTCACTCCAGATCTTGTTTTCCTCTCCAGAGAAAATGACTATTAACAGTTCTTATTGCATCCTTCTAGAAATTCCTTATGGAATATGAGTAAATATGGGTATTAAGCTACACTTAAACTTTTAAAAAACTCAGGCTCACATTACCCATGTAATTCTGCCTCCTGCTTTTTTTTTTTAACCTATCACAATAGCTCAAAGAGAAACCCATAGTAGCACAAATATATCTAACTTATTCTTTTTAACAGCTGTATAGTATGCTACTGGTGGATGCACCATGATTGATTTAACCTGTTTCCTGTTAATGGCATGGTATCCAGGTTGTTTCCAGCCTTTTGCTATGATGCTGCTGCAATAAATATTCTTTTTTAAAAAAATAAATATTCTTGATGTGACTGACTTAAGGACTTCGAGATGGGGAGATGATCCTGGATTCTCTGAGTGGGCCCAGTGGAATCACAACAGTCCTTATAAGGGGTCGGGGGCAGGAGTTAGAGAAGGAGATGAGACAATGTAAGTAGAAACTGGAATGATGCAGGGTCATGAGCCAAGGAAGGCAGGTGGCCTCTGCAGGTAGAAGGGCAAGGAAGTGATTCTCCTCTGGAGCCTCCAATACTATAACCCTGCTGACCCCTCAATTTTAGTTCAGTGAGAGCCATGTTGCATTTCTTACCTCCAGAACTGTAAAATATCACTGTGTTGTTTTAAGACACAAAGGTCATAATAATTTGTTACAGCAGCAAGAAGAAACTGATACAGTCTCCAAACATTTCTGATTGTACCATACTCATCAGCAAAAAATTTTCTACTGCACAGATCCATCATATATATTGTAGAGCAAACATAAACAGAAATTGAAAAGGATAAAGGGGATACAAGAAGTTTCAAAATGCATTTTTGTATGTATTTATGTACTAACAGTACAAAACCCTTGTGGTTATCACTAAAATTATTTGCATAATAGTATTAATAAATTTTTAATCAGTGAAAAAAATAAGTATTCTTTTTACTTAAGTGTTTGTACCTAGGTCAAAGTTTATCTTTCGGATAAATTCTTAGATGTCGAATAGTTGAGTTAAAAGGTCTATGCATTTTAAATTTTGTTAGATGTTGCCAAATTACACGGAAGAGCCTTCCCAATTTCTTCTTGAGAGATTAAAAAAATTCTTCTTCTCTTGGCAAAGGAAGTTGATCTTAGAAGTTAAAAAATCCTTCAACTTCTTTTTAGATAATTTGTATCATATTTAAAAATGTAAAAAGAAAAAAATCCTTAAGTAACCAATGATTTGGTTTTTCTCTTAAGTAACATGAGATGTTCAGATTCTGCCCTCTATATCAGCAAATTGCCCTGTAATCATCTGCAAATTGTTGGCACTTCACACACACATTAATGCATGTCAATGCAGAGTGTCCTGTGGCGAGGATGGGGTGCATGGGGGATGTGAGTGGTGAGAGCACCAAAATACTATATCCAGGCAGTGCACACAGTGAGTGTGATCTGTCTGTCAGTAAACCTCTAGAGCCTCTGGAGTTTGGAACCAACCACTCAAGGATATCCTGGATAATTTCAAAAGTAGAGTTTTTATGGGAAATTTAAAAAGAGTGCATGAATGTGTGTGTGTGTGTGTGTGTGTGTGTGTGTGCGCGCGCGCGCGCACGTGCACATGTGCACACACATATGCTTAAATTCCTTTACAGTGAACACTAGGAAAAAGAGGCAGGAGACCTCAGCTACAGCTGACCATTATTTACGTCATTAGATTTTATGTCAGCTTGTTAGACACACAGTAAAAACCATCTCAACCACTTACTGTTGAACCTTTGATCAAGGGATAAAGGAAGAACAGAGGGAAACAAGACAGAAAAATTTCAAAGACACAATGAGCCTTTATATTCACTCCTGATGGGAATGAAGAGAACCTTCCCACAAAACTCAAATTCTGGGGAGGTAAGTTTTTCGTTTGCCATTCAGTTCACCATTGAATTATAGACGGATAGTGGCATCTACTCGATGGTTTCCTGCTTATAGTTCCTCTCTGCCCTAATTTCTCATCAATGTTTTGTTTTTATCTCCTTTGTTGAAATGAGATCGGAAGAACCACATTCTGAAAATCAGGATGGCTAAAGATAATTCAAGATGATGACAGAGAAAAACTTTGTTAAACTTCAAACTCTTCAAAGAAAGTTATTAAATAGGTACTATGCATCATTAAATATTCTGGGATGAGATCACAATGACCAAAATCAATGCTCAAGCTCTAAACCTTTTAAAAAGTTGACTTTATTTAACATGCTTTGCCATATTGTCTCCATTTGTCATCAAACCAAGGATAACTCACTCATTCCCAGTGATGGAAAATTTAAGGGCTAAAATCAATAGCCACACCAAGAACCCCAGGAACAAAACAGGTGGGTCTTCCCTATTGTTCCTTTTCTAACAATCAACCAATTAATATTTGTTGATGACTGTCTCCACACCATCGTGCTAGCTTAGCTTCTGCAAAGCCCTACAGCATCAGTAGGTTTCAGAAAAGAAGACAAAGGAACGAAACTCAGTGATATCTACTGACATTCTAACGTATTGCTGCCATGTTATTTAATGTTGATAAGCCAAAACCACCTTGTAAAAGAGAAGATGTGCATAGCAGGTCTGGGGAATGAATGAATGAATCCACAGGCTGGTGCATTAGTTGCATAGGGATGTTACATACTAAGTTCTGTGACCACAGAGGGGTCAGGACATGGACTCTGCCACATGTTGCTCATAGTGTAGGTGGCATCCATATCAAGGTTGTGGACATTTATTGTTTTTGCTCACCCATTGTCTCTTCTGTCTTCTTGTAGTTACAATGCTCTAGGTTTTTTGAGGTGATCACCTCTTCCTCACTCTCAGTCCCTGGTGGTTGAGGTGAGGCTGACCCCAACTCTAGCTCCAGCCGTAGGCATGAGCCCAAAGTCTGCTGCTTCATCCCAGCATTCCATTCCACTGACCACAGAGATTGGTTTGGGGATGAGCATGTGACCTAAGCTGGGCCAATGGGAGCTTTACTTGGGACTTTTGCAGGAATGGCTAAGAAGGAGGAACTATGTTTGCTGGGATGGATTAGCAGACAGGATTGAGCTCTGGGTAGCTGGTGGCCATCTTTGCCACCATAGGGGAGGAGCTTGCCTGAGAACGGAACGAACCCAGGAAAATTCAGAGCCAGAAGGAAGAGAGAAACTAAGTCTCAACATTGTCATTGGAACACCTGGACCTAGCTCTAAACCCCTGTACATCTAGGTTAGATATGCCTAAAAGTTCATTTGCTTTTTCTTAAACTAGTTTGAATTGGATTTTCTATGTCTTTTGAAGCCAAAAAATCTTGGCTAATCAAAAGGGTTTCCTAAAACTATTGTGCCATCAGAAACAAACATCCTTAAAGATAACCCGATTAAAAAATGGGCAAAGGACATGAACAGACACTTCTCAAAAGAAGACATACATGCAGCCAACAAGCATATGAAAAAATAATATCACTGGTCATTAGGGAAATGCAAATCAAAACCACAATGATATACCATCTCACACCAATCAGAATGGCCATTATTAAAAAGTCAAAAAATAACAGATGCTGGCAAGGTTACAGAGAAAAGGGAATGCTTATACATTGTTCATGGGAATGTAAATTAGTTCAGCCACTGTGGAAAGCGGCCTGAAGATTTCTCAAGGAACTTAAAATGAAACTACCATTTGGATATATACCAGCAATCCCATTACTGGGTATATATCCAAAGGAATATAAATTTTTCTACCATAAAGACACATGCATGTGTATGTTCATTGCAGCACTATTCACAATAGCAAAGACAAAGAATCAACCTAGATGCCCATCAATGGCAAACTGGATAAAGAAAATGTGGTATATATACACCATGGAATACTACGCAGCCATAAAAAATAAGATCATGTCCTTTGAACCAACATGGATAGGGCTAGAGGCCATTATCCTAAGTGAATTAACACAGGAACAGAAAACCAAATACCACATGTTCTTACTTATAAGTGGGAGCTAAACATTGAGTACACATGGATACAAAGAAGGGAACAATAGACCCAAGGACCTACTTGAGGGTAGAGGATGGAAGGAAGGTGAGGACTGGAAAACTACCTAGTGGGTATTGTGCTGATTATCTGGGTGACAAAATTATCTGTACACTAAACCTCCACGACATGCAATTTACCCATGTAACAAACCTGCATGTGTACCCCAAACCTAAAATACAAGTTGAAAGAAAAAAAAAATGAACATGCTTAAGGATGTTTTGAAGGATTGTATAATTCTTGAGGACCCTGAGTCGCTATACTTGAACCCCTCTTAGACAAAGAATCAACATTTGAAAGCCTCTGCCCTTCTGTTCTCAAACGGATTTTAGATAACATATTCCTGGCCGTACACAGCCAGGCTGTGTACACAGTTCCTGGCTGTGTATGGCCAGTGCATAGCAGGAGTGCTGGTTATGGGGGCCAACAAACTGGGATTGGGATCCTAGCCCCACCAATCACTAGCAAGCTCCTTATCACTCTCATCTTCATTGTTCTTATCTAGAAAAAGGGTGGGGATAATATAAACCTGTTTTTGTGAGGATTATGCCTCTCCTTATCACAGTTTGTAATGAGATATTTGTATGATTATTTGATTCCTGTCTGCAAAGCTTAACTCTACACTGCACTTTATTTCCCAAACTAAAGGGAGGGCCTGGAATGCAGTGGGAGCTTACCAAATATTTGTTGAATAAATATATAAGTAAATGATTAGAGAAGACCACACAGGTATGTGCTCAGCACGAAACAGATGGGTATTTTATTTATTTATTTAATTTTTTGAGATGGAGTTTCACTCTTGTTGCCCAGGCTGGAGCGCAATGGCGCGATCTCGGCTCACTGCAACCTCCGCCTCCCAGGTTCAAGCGATTCTCCTACCTCAGCCGCCCTAGTAGCTGGGATTACAGGTGCCTGCCATGACTCAGGCTAATTTCTGTATTTTTAGTAGAGATGGGGTTTCATCATGTTGGCCAGGCTGGTCTCGAACTCCTGACCTCAGGTGATCCACCCGCCTCAGCCTCCAAAAGTGCTGGGATTACAGGTGTGAGCCACCGTGCCCAGCTGGTAATATTATAAATACTACCAGGGTTCATCAACTCCAAGGCCTACATGGGCCAGGCAGTAATGAACATGGGGTAAGCTAGCTAGATGTGGAATTGGGTGTGTCCTTTCTAAAAAGAGCAGACACACTTAGTTTTAACCAAGTGGTGTTCCTTGGGAATGTGGCTACTATGGCCAGATCTTCTTTCAAAAGAAGCCAGAAAATAGAATTTTTAGGTATTTATAAAATTTTCTGACTTTTAAACGTAAATGCAATTAAACACATGCACAAACAGGCCAACAAAACATGTCTGAGAGATGGATTTAGCCCTTGGGAGCCTGTTTGTGACAACTGGGACCCATATCCAGGTCCCTCCTTCAGAGAAGCTCTCAGGCCACATCCATGAATGACCCTTGGGTAACCTGTTTGTTACAATTGGGACCCATGTGCGGGTCCCTCCTTCATAGAAGCTCTCAGACCACAGCCATGAATGGCCCCACCAGTGACTGCACCTACCAGCAAGTGACTCGGAACTCTGGTTGGGGACGTTGTGAGATGCCTCCTGGAGGACGTAGGTGGACGTGGAGAGGGGCGAAGGGCAGATGCTGCTGGCCGGGACGTAGGGAGGGTTGTAGGATGAGCCGTAATACTGGGGGTACTGGCTCTGGGGGAAGCCGGGGTAGGAAGGATAGTCCTGGGAAGAGAAAAACAAACCAAGGACATATGTGAGGAAGCCTTTCTGGGCTCGGGCCGTTGGTCAGCCTGGCCACTCTGTCTCACCATTAGAATAAAAGCTCTCTGTGGGCAGAAACTGTCTTCATTTTGGTTTCCCAGAAGCAGACCCCGGGGCAAGGATTCAAGTGCAAGGAGGCTGTTTGGAAGGTGAAGGAGACACCAGCAGGGGATCGGGGAAGTGAGAGAGATGCGGGAGAGCAGCCTGCATAGGTGCTTCTGTGGTAGTGACCAGAGATGAGCCCTATGAGGAAAAGCTGAGATGGTCTAAAATCCACATCTCAGAACTGCCTCTCCCACGGGTCAAGGGAGTGGAGGGGTTTATACATCAACTTGTTGGTCTTTGAGAGCTGCACCCAGGGGGCTTTAATTCCCAGGCACTTCCTGCCTGCCCCGTGCACTGGTTCTAGAAAAGCCCCTTGGGCCCAGGCATGCAGATGCTGGCACCTGGAGGTCCACAGGCCACCCTAAGGGATATAGACGTGGCCCTGATGGCACCTGTCCTGGTCACTATTGTATCCTCTGCACCTGAAACAGTGCCTGGTATATGCAGTAACTCAACAAATACTGGTTAAATTAATAAACAAATGCATTAACAATTAAGACCACACTGCACCCCCCCCCCACGACACACACACAAACCTAGAAGACCGCACACACACCCACACGACACACAAACCCAGGAGACTAGGTGACATTTTATGTTCATGGGGAGGAGGTGCAAATACAGCAGCACCTACACAGCATTAGGGGTCCAGAATATTCTATGAGGGAGTCATGGAGATCAATTCAATAGCTGCCAATCACCTTTGATCAAGCTTTGTTTAAGCAGACCAGCGATCCCAATTCTCCAACAGTCATTGTTTCAAATATCCTGCCGCACTATCACCAAACCAGTGCTTCTCAACCCTGCACGGAACTCATGGAACGTTCTGCTTCCTGGGCCCCACCCCAGAGCTGGGAGTCAGAGTTCCTGGGGGTGGGGGTTGCGGGGGTGGTCAGTGTTTTTGAAAAACACAGATTTAATGGTGAAATGGAGGGTTAAGAACCACATCTTAAAAAGTACTGTTTTATTTATAAGTATTTTATCTATGTACATAGTACATTAGAAATAATGCAAAAATACATGAAACAATTTTTACATTTGCTAAGTTTTAAATTATTTAGATTCTCACTGGAAAAGAAATTGCGTATTCCTCAGATCTAAATATGTTAAATATTCCTAAAGCCCATCTACCCCAGGGTGGTTCTGTTTTAAATGGTAGCCTGAAAGCAGGTGAACCTTTTGTTTTGAAATAATTTTAGGTGTACAGGGAAGGTGTACACACAGCAGAGTTACTGCACACTTTGAGCAGATGCGAACTCTTAATTCACTTTGTAAGTGACACCAAGAGAATCAAAGTACTAGCCAACATTTACCTATATAGAGTTGACTTTGCTCTATTTAACAAGTATTTATAAAGCCCCCACTGTGTGCTGGGCTCTCACCACTGGGGATGCAGAGGTGAGCAAGATATACGGTCCCCCTTGAGAAGCCCATGGTCTGGTGAAAGAACCCACCCATTTGTATTGATATATATCAGATTCAACAGTCAATGGGTGTCCTGAGTCCAGGTCAAGATGGAACATACTTGTAGATCTCCATGACATCTCAGGAATCTTCTAACAATTCCTACGTCTCCGCCTGTATACTGTGTCCTTCCAGCAGCCTTTTGCACAATCTAGCCCCTGTAGTCTCCAAACCCAGGGACTAAGAGGCAGGTTCCCAATGGGGATTGTGTGTGTCGTGGGCTCTCTGGGTGCCCTGATGTAAGGGGAATATTTCCAGAAAGAACTGAGGAAAGAATCGGGAGGGAGCCATGTCTACCTGGTGCACACTCCCGAAACCGGCTGCGTTGCCCAGTCCATTTCCTCCTTGATAGAACCCTGTTGTGCCTGTGGGAAGGAGGAACAGGGGTACAGGTTAGGGTTCTTGTCTTTTTTTCTCTTTAAAGCAGTTGTTAGCATTTCATGAACCTCCCTCCATGTGGCTTCAAGGGTGACAGCTGGGCAGAAGCTCTGGTTCCTAGTGGTAATGCCTCACACCAGCGTTCCCAAAGCAACCCAGGTGAGACTTGTTGACACTAATCCTCTGGTGACGCCTACCACCAGCATCACCACGGCCTCCTGGGTGCTTCCAAGTGCTTGCTGATGCGGCCGTGGCTATGGCTCACGTGACCCCTAAGTCTCTGGATCTTCCTCTGTCCGGATGGCATGTTGGCGGCCCAGACCCAAGAGCCAGGTTAGGTTTCTTACAGTCGGAGAGGAACATGCAGGAGGAGGGTACCATGGCCAGGTGGGGTCTTTGAGGTCTGACAGGCTGGGATGGAACCTGTGACTTTGGTTACCAAATTTCTCTGAACCTCAATTTCCTGGATAGATGAAGAAAATAAACGGTGTCCTTTTCAAAGGGCTATGGTGAGAAATAAGTGAGATAGTGCCCACTACCCAGATCCTGGTCCTTAATAATTATGTTTTTAAAAAATTTGAGGCCAGGTGTGGTGGCCTCAGATTTTTCTGTAATTCCAATGCTTTGGGAGGCTGAGGTGGGAGGATCACTTGAGCCCCGGAGTTTGGTCATTTAAGTGTTTCACTTTTTAAAGAAATGGCCAAACTGTTTTCCAAAGTGGCTGTGCCATTTGCATTCTTACTAGGAATTCACGAGAGTTCTAGATTCTCCAGCACTTGGTAGTTTCAGTCTTCTTGATTATGGCCACTCTAGTAGTCTGGTCAACATAGTGAGATGTTGTCTCTACAAAAAAATTAAAACATTGGCTGGGCACAGTGGCTCACACCTGTAATCCCAGCACTTTGGGAGGCTGAGACGGGAGGATCAGGAGGTCAGGAGCTCGAGACCAACCTGGCCAACATGGTGAAATTCTGTCTCTACTAAAAATACAAAAATTAGCCAGGCGTGGTGGTGTGTGCCTGTAATCCCAGCTACTAGGGAGGCTGAGGCAGGAGAACTGCTTGAACTCGGGAGGCGGAGGTAGCAGCGAGCCAAGACTGTGCCACTGCACTCCAGCTCTGGGTGACAGAGCAAGACTCCATCTTGGAAAAAAAAAAATTCCAGGTGTGGTGGCGCATGCCTATAGTTCCAGCTACTTGGGAGGCTGAGGCGGGGGGATTGCTTGAACCTAGGAGTTTGAGGCTGCAGTAAACTACAATCTCACCACTGCACTCCAGCCTGCGCAACACGGCAAGACCCTGTCTCTAGAAAACAGTAAATAAAATAAAAAATAAAAATTATTTATTTAAAAAATTGTGGTATATATACAACATAAAATTTACCCTCTTAACCATTTTAAAGTGTACAGTTCAGTGGCATTAACTACATCCACATTATTGGGTACTCATCACCATCATTCATCTTTAGAACATTTTTCTTCTTGTAAAATTGGAACTATGTACCCATTAAACAACAATGCACAATGGCATAGATGTACAACATCCAATATTGGGCTATTATGGATAATGCAATATAAGCATTCACATACAAGTCTTTGTATGGATATATATTTTCATTTCTCTTGGGTAAATCCCTAAGAGTAGAATTACAGAGTTGTGTGGTAAGCATATGTTTACCTTTTAAAAGAAATGGCCAAACTGTTTTCCTAAGTGGCTGTGCCATTTTACATTCTGACTGGTAATGCACGAGAGTTCTCGATTCTCCAGCACTTGGTCATTTCAGTCTTCTTGATTACAGCCACTCTACGAAGTATGTGGTTGTATCTCACTGTGGTTTTAAGTAGCATTTCTCCAATGACTAATGGTGTTGGGCATTTTTCATGTGCTTTTTAGCCATTCACATATCTTCTTTGATGAAATATCTACTCAAATCTTTTTCCCATCAAACCCTAGTCAAATCTTTTTAAAAAATTAGGTTTGGCCTCTTATTACTGTTATAAGAGTTCTTTATATATCTTGGACACAAGTCCTTGATCAGATACATGATTTGTGAATATTATCTCCCAGTTTGTGGCTTGTCTTTTTCTTAATGGTGTCTTTTGAAGAGCAAAAGATTGTAGGTTGTTGATTTTTTTCTTTGATGCATTTTGCTTTTGTTGCCTAATTCAAGGTCACAAAGAACTGCTCTTGTGTTTTCTTCTAGAAATTTCACAGTATTCTTGTATTTAGGTCTATGATCCAATTTAAGTTAATCTTTGTATACAGTGTGGATTAAGGACTTAAATTCATCTTTTCATATATATATATGTGCATATATATGTATGTATATGTGTGTATATATACATATACACACACACAGTTGTTCCAGGACCACTATAAAAAGTCTATCCTTTCTCCCACTGATTTTATTATTTTTTAAAATTTTTGTGGGTACACAGTAGGTGTATATATTTATGGGGTACATGAGATGTTTTGATATAAGTATGAAATATGATATAAACACATCATGGAGAAGGGGTATCCATTTCTTCCCCCACTGAATTACTTGGTACATTTGCCAAAGATAAACTGACCATAAATGAGAAGGTTTATTTCTGGACTTTATTCTGTTTCACTGATTTATCTATCCTATACCAATTCCATCCTATCCTTATTACTGAAGCTTTATGGTGATTTTTTTTAAAAAACAGAATCTCGCTCTTCTCACCCAGGCTGGAGTGCAGAGGC
The DNA here is from genome assembly GCF_000001405.40 of Homo sapiens. Taxonomy (NCBI): domain Eukaryota; kingdom Metazoa; phylum Chordata; class Mammalia; order Primates; family Hominidae; genus Homo; species Homo sapiens. The sequence continues at coordinate 47,069,445 of NC_000020.11, read as the reverse complement.
GCAATCTAGGCTCACTGCAATCTCCGCCTCTCAGGTTCAAGTGATTCTCCTGCCTCAGCCTCCCAAGGGATTACAGGTGCCCACCACTATGCCCAGTTAATTTTTTGTATTTTTAGTAGAGATGGGGTTTTACTATGTTGGCCAGGCTGGTCTTGAACTCCTGACCTCAGGTGATCCACCTGCCTCAGCTTCCCAAAGTGTTGGGATTACAGACGTGAGCCACTGAGCCCGGCCTATGGTGAGTTTTGAAACCAGGTAGTATAAGTTCTCCAACTTTGTTCTTTTTCAAGTTTGTTTTGGCTTTTAGTTACTTTGCATGTCAGTTTCTACTAAACACCATCTGGGATTTTGGTAGGAATTGGACTGAATCAACAGACTTCTTTTATAAGATGAGGCCAGATTAAGAAAGTTAGGGCTGGATGCTTCAGGACCCGGAAGCCTGGAGCATGGTTTGCATCTGCTGAAGGGGCATGGACTGCTGTCAGAGGTTTTAAAGCAGCAACCGCACAACTGCAGGCACATCTCTAAACATTCACACTAGTTGCTGGTTAGAAAACAAATGGCTACTCAAATGAGCGGTGACTTACATCAAACAAGAAGCTTCTAGAGCCCACACTACTTTTTATAAAGTGGCTAAAATGAACACAATGGACTCCAGGAAACTTACTTCCTGGGGTGAGGTAGGAGAAGATAAGAGGATAATAAAGGAACCACAACACCTCTAAAATTATCCAAGATGATGGATCCATCAGAACCATAGGATCTCAACCCTTGTTCTGCATCAGAATCTCCCAAAGAACTTGAAACAAAAAACAAAACAGAACAAAAAAGCAGTCTGAGGGCCCTTCCCACAGAGAGTCTGATTTGAGTTAGTCTAGAGTTGGGCCAGGCATCAGTATATGAAAACAACAACAACAACAACAAACCTTTCTGGGAGATCCTAGTACACACTGAGAATTGAGAACCAATAGTCCATGCCAAATTCTTTATGGTCCAAATGGGGAGACTGAGGCACAAAGAGGGAAGGCAAACAGTGCTGATCCTGTGCTTTGGTCTTGGCAGCAGAGAAGGCCTTAAGCCTGTCTCATGCTTCCCAGCTCAGGGCCTTTCCATGGCAGCACATGGCTTCTCTACACAAAGATACTGAGGCCATTAATTAGTTCATTAATTCATGCATGCATTCATTTATTCATTCCACTGAGATTATTGAGTGCTTTATGCACCAAGCACTGTATTAGGCACTTTGTATATAACTGCACTTAATCCTCACATCGATCCTGAGAGGAAGGTATATAATTGCCATTCCCATGTTCCATACAGAGAAACTGAGGCTTAGGAATGGAGTTTTTCCCAAGTCATAAAGCTAGTAGGCTGTGAAGCTAAGATTAATTCTTTTATTCATTCATTTATTAATCAAACAAAATGTGCCAGAATAAGGGAAAAAGAATAGGAATGACAGCAGATTTCTCATCAGGAACCATGGAGGCCGGAAGGAAATGGCACAACATTTTTCAAGGGCTTAAGGAAAAGAAACATCAACTCAGAATGCTATATCCAGAGACAATATCCTTCAGGAATGAAGGGAAAACTAAGACATCCTCGAATGAAGGAAAACCAAAAGAATTTGTTACAGCAGCTCTACCCAGAAAGAATGGGTACAGGAAATTCTTCTCATAGAAAGAAAAGGATAAAAAAGCTGGAAACATCAGGAAGGAAGAAAGAAAAAGGAAAAGAATAAAAATATGTGTAAATAAAGTCATTTAAGATAGTTCCTCTCTATGTGGTTGTGCCAACAGCTCAATATACAATTTGGTTCGTTACATTAAATTTTTTTTTAATTTAAAAATTTTTAATTTTTGTGGGTACATATTAGGTGTATATATTTATGGGTGACATGAGCTATTTTGATAGAGACATGCAATGTGTAATGATCAAATCAGGGTAAATGGGGTATCCATCACCTCAAGCATTTATCCTTTGTGTTATAAACAATCCAATTATACTCTTCCAGTTATTTGAGAATGTACATTTAAATTTTTGTTGACTATAGTCAACAAAATCCCACTCTATCCTCAATGTCCTGCCCAGACACATTTAGCAGAAGGTCTAGGTCAGTCTATTCCATTCGAGGTCATCTGTTTGGTTCTGGTTACCATGGTGACCCTACTTGCAAAAGCTTAGGAAGCCACCTGTCTCAGAAGACTCCTGACTGCAGTGTTTTCTCTTCTGATTTCTCTTTTCTTTTGCATGAACCTTCTGAATGATGACTCAGGGCAGGTTTGGAAATAAACAGGCTATCGTCTTGTCCCTTGGTATGCTTTCTCCAAAATAGTCTCTTGTTTATTTTCATTTTGTGACCCAGGGTCAGCTGAAGAATGGACAGCTGAACAAACTACAGCGTGAGGGCAGCCACAGAGTGCCTGCAGTGAGAAATCCATCCTGTGCCAGAGAGGACCCAGGAAGAAGGGGGCACGTGGCCCCTGAAGTCTTGTGCCACAAGTTGTGGTCTCTGGAGGGTTTTGACAAACAGACCCAGCTTGGTGCTGGAATGTGAAACACTGACCTCTTTCTTCCTTCTGGCTGATACAATGCCCAGTGAGGGAAGGCAAAGATGAGATGAAAAAAACATCCTCTTAAGGTGATGGTGGCAGGTCTCCTGGAGGGTCCCCTAATATTGATTCACCCCTTCTCTCTCATATTAATAGAATCTGTTTCTAAGCTGAGCACATGGCTGATTAGAATAAAAACTACAATTCCCAGATTCCCTATGGCTAAATGTGGCCACATGATGAGTTCTAGGCAAAGGGATAGGAGTAAATTTTGAAGGGCAGTGGCAGCTTCTCTTTCTCCATGGAATGGGGCCATCTTGGATATGCAGCTGAGCAACAGGACATGAGGAGCTTGGACCCCCATCACGTTTGCAGACTAGAATGGCCACATTAGTTAGGACTTTTAGGTGAGAGAGAAATACCCTTCTTTCTTGTTGAAGACATTGCTATTTTGAGTCTCTGTCAAAGGCAGAGAACTGCTACCATTTTTGGTTGATTGGTTTTCTTGGGTTTTAAGTAAAAGTAGCCTCCAGTGCCTGACTCAGTAAAATAATTTTTTTTTTTTGAGACAAGGTCTCACTCTGTTGCCCAGGCTGGAGTGCAGTGGCATGATCACAGCTCACTGCAGTCTTGACCTCCCAGACTCTGGTGACCCTCCTACCTTAGCCTCCTGAGTAGCTGAGACTACAGGAGCATGCCACCACATCTGGCTAATTTTTTGTAGAGATGGAGTTTTGCCATGTTGCCAAAGCTGGTGTTGAACTCCTGGGCTCAAGCAATCTGCCCACCTTGGCCTCCCTAAATGCTCAGATTACAGGTGTAAGTCACCATGCCCAGCCAGCAAAACAATTTTTAAGTGGATATTCATTCAATCATTAATTTGTTCATTCATTCCCTCAGGCATTCAACAATTCATTTCCTAGTGATGTACCAAATATCACCGTGTGGCAGACACTGTTTTAGATATGGTGTTGACACTGACATTCAGGTAAGAGAGACAGACAACAATCAAATGAACAGATACATAAGGAAGTGAGATAATTCCAGACAGACAAAGACGCAGTGATGCTTCTGCACAGCACTACTGAGGTGTGAACTGCAGATTGGTGCCTGCTCACAAACCGTTTATTACCAGTCTATGATGAGATAAATAGAGAAATTGAAAGCCACTGTGTTTATTACCAGTCTGAGATAAATAGAGAAATTTAAACCTCCAGAGCAATTTAATACAGTACTTTATGCCTGTTAAATCTAATAAAAAAATCACGCTTTTAATTTATTAAAAATTATAAAATAAAAATTAAACAAATTTAAATTGCTTTAAACTTCATTGTTTCTCAACCTTTTTTTCATTATTGCCACCCTTCGCCAGGGTTCTTTTATAATTTTTTTTTCTCCCCTAATTGCCCCACCTCCCATGAAATTTTACTATTATAGTTAGACTGTATATCTGTTTTGGGACTGTATGTGTATGTGTTTTTGCTCCACTCCCAGGGACCACTTTTTCCCCTCTTGGGATGATATTTCCCCTACTGAGAATACATATTCTGGTGATTCATTTTTATTTTACGCTAAATGGGGGAAGAAGCCCTTGTCCTTCATGACAGTGAGAATGAGAAGCACTGGGTAATATGGTGCCTGGAGGTGGCCTTGGTACCTGATATAGTTTGGCTGTGTCCCCACCCAAATCTCATCTTGAATTGTAGCTCCCATAATTCCCACGTGTCATGGGAGGGACCTGGTGGGAGGTAATTGAATCATGGGGGCAGATCTTTCCCATGCTGTTCTGGTGATAGTGAATAAGTCTCATGAGATCTGATGGTTTTATAAAGGGGAGTTCCCCTGCACATGTTCTCTTGCCTGCCACCATGTAAGACGTGACTTTGCTCCTCCTTTGCCTTCCACCATGATTGTGAGGCCTCCGCAGCCATGTGGAACTGTGAGTCAATTAAACCTCCTTCCTTTATAAATGACCCAGCCTCAGGTATGTTTTACTAGCAGCATGAGAACAGACTAATACAGTGCCCCAGTGAACAGCATCTCTCATGTTGGACACTGTGCTGGGGATGCTATGTACAGTGACTTATGTGACGCTGCTGTCTACTCTCTAAGGTGGGCATTGTCCTTCAGTTTACAGAAACTCAGAGTGGGAAAGGTCCCATGACCCAACACGAGTGTCTGGGCTGAAAACTGCTGCTCCTTCACACTCGCTAGGTTGGCCATAATAAAGATAGAAAAAGAAAAAGAAAAAATGTGTTGGTGAGGATGTGGAGGAATGGAACACTCACACACGCTGGTGGAATGTAAAACGGTGCATAAAAAGCTGTGGAAAACACTGGATGATTCCTCAAAAAGGTACATACAAAACTACCATATGACTCAGCAATTGTACTTCTGGGTTTATACCCAAAATAATTGAAAACAAGTATTTAAGCAAAAACTTGTATGCAAAAGTTCACAGGAGCACTACTCACAGTGGCTGAAAGGTGGAAATGATCCAAGTGTCCACTGACGGCTGAACGGATAAACAAAATGTGGTTCAGCCATACAATGGAATATTATTCCGCCATAAAGAGGAATGAAATTCTGATACATGCTACATACAGCATGGATGACCTTTGAAAACATTATGCCAAATGAGGCTGGGCATGGTGGCTCATACCTATAATCCCAGCACTTTGGGAGGCTGAGGAGGGTGGATCACTTGAGCCCAGGAGTTTGAGATCAGCCTGGGCAACATGTTGAAATCCCATCTTTACTAAAAATACAAAAAATTAACCGGGCATGGTGATGCATGCTTGTAGTCCCAGCTCTTCTGGAGGCTGTGGTAGGAATATCATCTGAGCCTGGGAAGTTGAAGCTGCAGCAAGCCCAGATGGCGCCACTGCACTCCAGCCTGGGCAATGGGAGTGAGACCCTGTTGTTACTGGTGGAGGGCCTTGACTATTAGTCGCCCAGGTTCTTGACATTTTGAACAAAGGATTGGACAAAATGCACAAAAAAGCAAAGCAATGAAAGAATGAAGCAACAAAAGCACAGATGTATTGAAACCAAATTACACCCCACAGAGTGGTGGGAGCAGCTCAGGAGTCCTGGTTACAGAGTTTTCCGGGGTTTAAATATCCTCTAGAGGTTTCCCATTGGTTATCTGGTTACACCTTAAGTAAATGAAGACTTGGCCCACGGCCAGTCTGGTTGCAAGGAAGGACCAGAGGCTGAAGTAAAGTTACAAAGTTATAACCTATGCAAATGAAGACTTGGCCCACAATCAGAGGTACTTTCTCCTTTTCATCTGCAACAAAGTGGAAAAGGGGCAGGGAGTTGCAAAGGGAGTAGCCTCTGATTCTTTTGTTACTTGGGTGTGCAGAGGTGGGGTTTTCCTTTTGATTCAGTTCTAGGAAGTCAGCATGAATTGGCCTTAGGTTCTCTGCCTCCAGACCCTATTCTCCTGCCTCACTGTCTCAAAACACACACACACACACACACACACACACACACACACACGCACACGCACACACACACAAATAAACCCAAAAAACATTATGCCAAATAAAATAAGTCAGACATACAAGGCCACATACTGAGGGATTTGTATTCATATAAAGTATCCAGAATAAGATAGTCTACAGAGACAAAAAAAAGTAGGCTTGTGATTGCCAGGGCTGGGGGATGGAGTATTAGACATGACCGCTTAAAGGTTATGGGGTTTCCTTTTGGGGCGATGAAAATGTGTTGGAATTGGAGGTGGTGACTGCATAACACTGTGAACGCACTAAACGCCACAGAGTTGTACACTTTAAAATGGTTAATGGTTAATTCTATGTTATGGGAATTTTACCTTAATTTAAAAAACAAAACTGCTCCCACTACCTCCCCACACTGCCCCCATGGCCTGTCTCCCAGGCTTTGGCAGCAAAAGAAAGGGCACAGAAAGGCCCAGAAAGATCAGAACCCCCGCCTTCTGCCACACTCCTGGGCACCCTACACCTTGAGGCCCGAGAGAAGAGACTATATCTGAGGTTCAAAGATGCCTTCAGCCCCACTCCGGAGTTGAGGGAACAAATCCCTCTCCCTTTGGCACCAACTGCATACCCCCTTTCCATATTTTTCTTTCCTTTTATTGGCAATATTATGACTCAACGTTAACCAGGCTGCTGAGATTCACCGCAGAAGGCTCTTCTGGACAGAGGGAGGACAAGCTGGGCCCGGCCCTCCCATGTAACACGAACCCGAGATCTGAGATCACAAAACAGCTCATGTGCCAGAGCTGCTCAGAATCTGGGTGAGATTTGGGATCTTCAAAATATTTTCAGTTCGAAAGAGCCATCCTCCCTTATTACAGCTGCCAGGAGAGCCGCTACATGTACCTTGGGAAGCGAACATGTTTTCTGCACCGATCCTGGAGCCTGATGCCATGCCTTCCTGTTTCCCCAATAACTGGAGATAACTGCATAAAAGAGCCAGCGCCTGCCTGCGATACCGGGGTGACCTCCCTGCGAACTCAGCCCCAGCTGTGCAGTCCAAGGGGGCACTCCAGAGGGGCCTGTTCAACTCCAGATCCCATTTTACATGGTGGATTAGACCATTTAAAAATCATATCTAGATGGATATGTTTAATGGACAGATACTCAAGAAAATGCTGAGGATGTGTACATTTTCTGGAAATTTCTCCTCAACTTCTCTGCTGAGGAAGTGCTCCTGGGGTGGTGGTCCGAGGTGGACAATTGGACGTCCAGGATGCACCAGGTATTCCTCATCACGTCATCACGTGTGAGAAGTGGTAAGTGAGCCCAGGATTCAGGCAGGAAGGCAAATGTGTCAGGGTGATGTTTTGAGACGCTGCCTTGGGATTCTTCCTCCCAGACAGTCCCATCGTGGATCATGGAGCCCAAGCTGGGGCATAGCAAGGTGGAAAGAAGGAACAGCAGAAATGAGTTATCCTGGCTCTTGAGGTTCCAAGTCCTCCTGAGAGTCTGGGAGGACCTGAGGTGTACGCCTGTGTTTCTCAGCTCTGTGGGGAAGAATCCGTTTCCAAATGTCTAACCCTTTGGGGACTAAGACGTGGTTCACGATGTGTGATTAGCATGCAACTCACACCACAGGCAATTGGCCCTGTGATGCAACAGTCCCAAACTCGCCTACACCCTCTGCAATGAGATGAGCGTAGGATCATGTGCTTGGATGCTGTGGCCGTATCTAATTGCTGTAAACATGTCTCACTTTTTCTCTCAGTTCCATATTTGTTACTGTAGACCAGCAGCTGTTTGTGGACTGGCTGCCGTTGGTGAACCAACTGTGAATTAGATTGAGGTAGGCAAAATGGCTTAGCAGGAAACATGAATTAAGAGGGATTTTTTTTTTTCAGTTGAGACAGGGTCTCCCTCTGTCGCCAAGGCTGAGTGCAGTGGTGCCATCATAGTTCAATGCAGCCTTGACTTCCTGGGCTCAAGCGATCCTCCCACCTTGGCCGCCCGAGTAGCTGGGACTACGGGCACATGACACCATGCCCAGCTAATGTTTTCTTGTATTTTCTGTAGAGGTGGGGTCTTGCTATATTGCCGAGGCTGGTGTCAAACTCCTGGACTCAAGGGATCCTCCTGCCTAGGCCTCCCAAAGTGCTGAGATTATAGGCGTAAGCCAGCATGCCAGGCCTGATTTTCTTAAAGGAGGGCAATTCTTCAAGGCTAGGGAAATGGGGTAGGACAAGAGACAAGGGAAGAAGGAGAGTAAAGAGATGAAGTTGGGCTGGGTGCGGTGGCTCATGTCTGTAATCCCAGCAGTTTGGGAGGCCAAGGTGGGTGGATCACTTGAGGTCAGGAGTTTGAGACCAGCCTGACCAACATGGTAAAACCCCATCTCTACTAAAAATACAAAATTAGCTGGGCATGGTGGCAGGCGCTGTAATCCCAGCTACTCAGGAGGCTGAGGCAGGAGAATCACTTGAACCTGGGAGGCAGAGGTTGCAGTGAGCCAAGATCACACCATTGCACTCCAGCCTGGGCAACAAGAGCAAAACCCCATTTCCAAAAAAAAAAAAAAAAAAAAGAGAGAGAGAGCGATTGATGAAGATGAGCAGCTGTGGACCCTTCACTTCTGTGCATGAAGAGTCCGAGGCCGGCAGCATCCAAACCTTACAGGTGTAGCAAGCAACACCAGTGAGGGAAGGAGGTGCTGCAGGCACAGTGATAGATGGCTTCAGTGCTGGGGAGCAACAGGGGATGGTGGGGACTGTGGCAAACTGGAATGCCAAGCTGTATTTAGGGAGCAGCGGTTTGTGGCAGATACCACTTGGCCTCCCAACAGGCATGCCTGATTCCTCGCTCCCCTGATAGCTTCCCTCTGCCCAGGCTGATGAAGACTAAGTCTTGCATTCCTGGCCTCCCTTGCAGGATGTGATGCTGGATCCTTCTTCAGAATGGCCCATATTATCTAGTTTTGGCCAAGGGGGCTTCTGGGAAAGACTATTCTTTTGTTTCACTCCCCACACCTCCTCCCGAGTCATGTGAGGATGTTCCTGGAGTGACTGCAGCCATGTTGGGCCATGAAGCCATGAGAGTAGAAGCAAAAGGCTCATATGCTGAGGCCAAAATGGGAGAAGGATAAAATGAATCTGATTTTTGATTATATAATTGAGATGCCAAACGAACCTTGGGGTAGAGAGTTCTTGTTAAATACACAATGAACGTGATTATAGTTTAGCCAATATTAGTTGGGCTTGTTATTACTTGCAGCTAAAAGCATTCCTCACTGATAGAACACTATTCAGCTCCAGCCAACCTCTGCCCCATAAGAATGTGAGTCTAATGTAGCCAGGGCTTCTGGATTTGTATGTAAAATCTCCTGAGTTTTAAATGCAGGTAACAAATATGAGTTAGTTGGACCAAAAAATAAAACCAAAAACAAAACAAAATAAACAAAACTGTGTTTGTAGTGTAGAGGGGGCTGTGGGCTTCCAGGTTGTGATCTCTGCTCTAGGAAGACAGAATAGTGAAAGGTTCCTGGGTCCTCAGTGTGGCAAAGACACAGATGTGAAGAGTCCAGACCCAAAGGGGCCTCCTAGACCAAGACAGTGGCCTGGGTCCTGATGATGGAGAATCGGATGAGCCTTCAGCACTACAAATAGACTAGCACTGAGTAAGATTCCACAACCATGGCCAAAATTCTGGAGAGTTTGGGGAAAGCCCCAAATGACTAAGATGAAACTTTCTCACTTTCCCAGAAGAATGGTGGCTTGAAATAGAAATTATGGGCCAGGTACAGTGGCTCATGCCTATAATCCCAGCACTTTGGGAGGCCAAGGCAGGTGGATCACGAGGTCAGGAGTTCGAGACCAGCCTGGCCAACAGGGCAAAACCCCGTCTCTACTAAAAATACAAAAATCAGCTGGGTGTGGTGGCGGGCACCTGTAATCCTAGCTACTTGGGAGGCTGAGGCAGGAGAATTGAACCCAGGAGGCAGAAGTTGCAGTGAGCCAAGATCATGCCACTGCACTCCAGCCTGGGAGACAGAGTGAGACTCCATGTCAACACACAAACAAACAACAAAATAAACAGAAATTACATTGACATGCTGAAAATAAAGTTTTATTTCTGGCCCCTCGAGCCTGTAGTCTGAGATTTATACCTACTATACAAAGGACAGAGGGATTCTTTATGTCCCAGGAACTGTGGCACTCCCAGCGTGGGAAACTATGTGGACAGCCTCAGAAGCCGGTCCCTCCCCGCTCACCATCCTGCACCTCGGGTGTTAAGGCAGAGTTAATTTGGTTCATGCACATTTTCCTTATGAGCCCACCCAAGACCCCTCCTGTTATTTATTTGTTTCCTGTCATTCCCCATCACTCCACAGGCACTAATTCTGGTGTGCCTGTTGCATATTCTCTTGTTTGTGCATTAGTGCAAAACATGCACTAGTGTTTCGGGAGCAGGCATTTGTTTCTGTAAATTCTGTGTGTATTGTTTTGTGGGGTTTCTGTTTTCTCCCAGCATTAAGTTGTTAAGACCCACCCATGTTGCCGTGGGCATGTCTCCTCCTCCACCATTTGCATTCTTTTTTAAGAGACTAGGTCTTGCTCTGTTGCCCAGGCTGGGGTGCAGTGGCACGATCATAGCTCACCACAGCTCTGAATTCCTGGGCTCAATTGATTCTCCTCCCACAGCCTCCCAAGTAGCAGGGACTACAGGTGTGCACCACCATACCTGGATATTTATTTTTCTAGAGATTGGGATCTTGCTATATTGCCCAGGTTGGTCTCAAACTCCTGGCCTCAAGTGATCCTCCCACCTTGACCTCTCAAAGCACTGGGATTACAAACATGAGCTACCACACCTGGCCTTCCATGTGTGTCCTTCACATCTCTCCTACTGACTCCCCCAGGGTCAGCACCAGTATGGCCTCTCTCTCCTGCCATCACCAGCAAGGCTGCCATAAACGCCCTCGCACCCATCCCCTTGTGGGCCTGTGTGTGAGTTTCCTCAGGATATAGTGGGACCTGGGATAGAGTGGGACCACTGGGTCCCAAGGTTGCACAGACCTAATTTCCTGAATGGCTGGGTGCCCCGTCCATAGGTGGTTCCCACATCCTACACCCCTACAGGCACTTGGCATAATCCCACTTGCTATTTTTGCCAGCCTATGGGACTAACATCTCATTCGTTGTCTTTAGTCTACATTTCTCTGATGACCGATGATTCTAAACATCCCTCCTTGGGCTTGTTGTCTTCTGGATTTCCTCCTCTTTTTAAGGAGAGGTGACAGTTACCATGCAAACCTTCCTCCTTTTCCTGGGCCAAACCCGGTATTAACTTAATCCAAGCCCTTGGAAGACTTTCAGTTGTTGGCATTAGCAGCTGGATAAATACTAATGAACTAGTAATAATAGCCTCCATTTATTGAGCACTTACTATCTTCCTCATCGCTTATCAGTTTGCATGCATTATCTTGTTTAATCTCCACCACAGCCCTAGGAAGCAGGCCCTCCTGGGAAGGGGTGGAGCAGGGTTCAAGCCCAGGTCAGCCTGACTCCCAGCCAGCAGGCCGTCCTGCCTCCACACACCTGTGGGAAGTTGCACAGGCCACTGCCTGCCTTAGTTCTTTTGGGCCAACCTACAGTGAACTCATGGTCACCCATGGATCTGACATGCCAGCCCCGGCAGTGCAAAGGAGGCCTCATGGGTAATCCCAGTGAACAGACATCCCCCCTTCCACCTTACAATTTCTTTCCCCATAGCAAAGGGACCTCTGTACTGGTTCCACAGTGACACCTCAAAGCATGTGTTCTCCATCTTAATAAAGTCTTACTGATGTTGATGTGAAAATAAAATTGCTGAAAACCTACCAGGACTGCAAGTGGAAAAGGTCTGGAGGTATGAGATGGGGGGGGGGGGTGATATAAAAAGTAGTCAGCAGATAATGTATAGAATGGAAAAGCCACAAGTGGGTAGAGAGGCGTGAGCCTGTTACAAAATTCACCCACTCAAGCACCCTGACCACAGCCCAAGTTCCAGAAAGGGACAAATCCCAGGCTTCATAGTCTATTTCTCTGTTTCTTTTCTTTACCCAGAATACAAAGTGGTGAAGGCAAAGACCTGGCTGCAGCTGGCAAGCCCTGCCCCATCCCCTCACCTCCTGGGCAAACCTTTCATTCACTCAGCTGCTCATTCATTTTCCTTCAGCCATCACATCTTTGTTGAGTGCCTAGTACGTGCTGAGATTCCTTCCTTCCTTCCTTCCTTCCTTCCTTCCTTCCTTCCTTCCTCCCTCCTTCCTGTCTTCTTCCTTCCCTCCCTCCCTCCCTCCTTCCTTTCTTCCTTCCTCCCTCCCTCCCTCCCTTCTTTCTCCCTTTCTTTCTTTCAACAGTGCCTCACTCTGTCACCCAGGCTGGAGTGTAGACGTGTGATCTTAGCTCACTGCAGCCTCAACCTCCCCGGGCTCAGGCGATCCTCCCACCTCAGCCTCCCAAGCAGCTGGGACTACAGGTGTGCACCACCACACCCAGCTAAGTTTTTTACTTTTTATAGAGACAGGGTTTTGCTCTCTTGCCTAGGCTGGTCTCGAACTTCTGGGCTCAAGCAATCTGCCCGCCTCGGCCTCCCAAATTTCTGGGATTATAGGTGTGAGCCACCATGCCCAGTCCTGAGATTTCTATTTTGAGAAAGAGCAGGGTCCTGTCTCCTTGGATTTCAGAGCCTGGAACGGGCTGGAAGACAACAGAGAATTCAGATATAACTCATGATTTTCCCTGATAACTATGGACACATGGTTGAACTTTCTAAGCCTCAGTTTCCTCATCTGTAAAGTGGAGCTAAGCATAGTTTGTTTATCTGGCTTATGTGGTGGTTCTGTGAGACGTGGGATACAAGGGCCAGAGCCCAGCATCGAGTACATGTTCAACAAACGGGAGCTACGGTGATAATTTTTTGTGTCTTCATAATCACCACTGAAGATGTCAAAAGTGCTAGCATTTCACCAATTTGTCATTTAAAAAAATTCACAGGAATAAAAACATCCAGGGAAGGTTAAAAAAAAAAAAACAATTTGGATAGGACCAAACAGCAGAACCCAAAGCAGACAAAGCCTCCTGGGGTACCCATGTTGCGTTCTCAGCTCTGAGACCAACAGGACGCCTGGTCCACATCTGCCTTGCTGCTGTGAGTCGTCAAGTCCTTCTCACCGTCTTAAAAACTCCAAACCCACACCCGGAGCCTGTCTTCCTGCATCTTTGCTCCACGTGGAGTCTAGCCCACATCTGTGTTTAATCAAATCAGTTGCTAAATGTCACAATGGCCTCATTCACAGGTAGCATAAAGCATATTTAACTGGTAATAAAACAATCCGCATGCCTGAGAACGCCATTTCAGATAGGCTGCCCTGTCACTGTGTCTCTGCCACACAAGTCGGGATAATGCCATGGAAGGAGCAGGGGTGGCGGGGGCAGCAGGGGCGGGAAGAGCCATCCTGCTGCAGAGGAGAAAGCTGTCACATGTCGGTCCACATGTGCTGGTGTGGAGAGATGTCCAAAATGCAGTGCGGGGTGAAAAAAAAGGTGAGTTGCAGGACAGTGGGGCTACTCTGAGCACATGCTGGACTGAATATTTATGTTTGTTGATTTCAGTTAAACAGGGGATCAATACATTTGGAAGACCTCTTAGAGGAGGTGGCATTTGCTAAATGCATAGGAAGGAGCCAGTTACATCATGAAGACGTGGGGACAGAACATTCTAGGTTACGGGAAAGAGCAAAGTGCAAAGACCCTGAGGGGTAAGGATCTGAAAGAAGCAAGAGCGAGTGAAATTCAGGAGAGGATAAGGGGGCAAGTGTGCGAGAGGAGGTCAGAGAGGTCATCAGGAACTGCACGGTGCTGGGCCCAGGTAAGGCGGTCGCAGCAAGGCATTGGGGTTTATTTCTGATTTCAGTGGGAATCTCCAGAGACAAAGGCTTTTAAACAGGGGAGTGACATGATCTGATACAATATAGGGAGGGACAGACCATCTGCCTTCACCCAGTGTGGTGGAAACAGATCAGGGGATCACAGCGGATCCCAAGACCAAATACCTATTCTTCCTGCAGAGGATCTCCTCGGGAATGGTAACCCATAAAGACCAGAGTTTCTGAAACAAGTTATACACGTCAGAGAGAGATTTTCACTGATACAGTCCCATGCAGGGCAATGAGGTTCGAGATGGCTTACACTTCCCTGGTGAGAATTTGGCAGGGATGCATCACGTGACTGAGCCTGGACCAATCAGTGCATCACAGTCCCCTGACCACAATGACTGCTTTAGGGGTGTGCACCTGAACTAACAGGCAGGTCCAATGAGAGGGAATCTCAAGATGACATATGGTAAAGAGGCTGGAGCTGCTGCAGCCTCTTCGCCACCACGAGGGCACAGTCTGTCAAAGCACAGCTGCAGAACACAGAAAAAGAGAGACAGAAAGAGGAACCAAATCTGGCTGACATGTTTGAGCTCCGGATCCATCTATTTCTGGAGCCCGTAATAGCTGCAGTTTACAATAAATTCCTGTAAAAATATTAAGTCAGTTTAGGCTGGGTTTTATTTTACTTGTGTGCGAGAGTCCAAACTGAATCAAAAGTTCATAGGTAACAGCAAGAGAGAGACAGAAGCAGGGCCTGGCATAGCTAGGAGACTGGCTGCATGTCCCCCAAGTGAGTCCCGGAGTCACACATCTGAGGGACGTGGGGCAGAGCAGCAGAAAGAACTCTGTATGGGATGTCCTGGGGTCAAGTCCTGGGCTGCCCAGGTGTCAAGTGTTGGGTGCTGGGCAAAGAGGGGTGAATGTGCTCATTTTCTGTCTATCCGCATTAGTGAAGAGGATCTGAGAGGGGAGGAGGCTTTTACTCAGTACACCTTGCTTATCTCAAGCAGCCCCCCACACATGCTCAGAAACACCTGGTGCAGGGTAGACATTCAGTGCTGATCTGCTGAACGGAATCAGTGAAACTGACGGATTCATGAATTCGACAAATATTTTTTCATCACCAGCCCTACGCTGACAGTATATGAATTTCAGGGGAAACTGCGATGAATGAGACGTGATCTATTTCCTTAGCGTCATTCATTCATTCAAAGTGGAGACAGAGATGTGAATGAGATGCCATTTATTCCACAAATATTCACTGAACACCTCAGCCAGGGGTGGCATCAGGGTCAAGTTGGAGAAGTGGGGGGTGCAATGCTCAGTGCCTCACAATCTCCATGAACAAACCCCGTCCATTCTGTCTTACAGACAACTTAGGTTTTCTCAAACATAATTACAATAATCACTTATACTTATCAAATTCTTACTGTGTGACAGGTA
Organism: Homo sapiens; assembly: GCF_000001405.40. Taxonomy (NCBI): domain Eukaryota; kingdom Metazoa; phylum Chordata; class Mammalia; order Primates; family Hominidae; genus Homo; species Homo sapiens. The sequence continues at coordinate 47,054,077 of NC_000020.11, read as the reverse complement.
CTTCTCTAAGAAAGTTAATTGTATTAATTAATTTAATCCTCATGACCACATTATAAGGTGAGTGTCATCATCAATACCATCCCCATTTTACAAATGGGGAAACTGAGGCCCAAGGTCACTCAGTAAGGTTCCGAGCTGGGATGCTGACTGCAGCAGTCCGCCTTGAGTCTATGACCCTAACGACTCTACTCGGATCCTAACCTGACTGCCTCTCCTTGACAACCCTGAGCCCCTCCTTTGTGGAAATTTTAGCCCACGTATTCTCAAGGGGGCAATATCACCCCCACCCTTGAGACTGCCTGTAAGCAAGTAAGATTCTTCTATCTCCCAAGAACCAATATTCACCTCCTTGGGTGATGATTGGTTCTTGGGAGATAGAAGAATCTTACTCTTTTTTTTTTTTTTTTTTTGAGACAAGGTCTCACTCCTGTCCCCCAGGCTGGAGTGCAGTGGCATGATCTCAGCTCACTGCAGTCTTGACTTCCTGGGCTCGGTTGTTTCTCCCACCTCAGCCTCCTGAGTAGCCGAGACTACAGGCATGCGCCACCACACCCGGCTAATTTTTTGTATTTCTAGTAGAGACGGAGTTTTGTCATGTTGCCCAGGCTGGTCGAGAACTCCTGGGTTCAAGCAATCTGCTCATCTTGGTTTCCCAAAGTGCTGGGATTACAGGCATGAGCCGCTGCACCCGGCCGAATGTTACTCTTTTTATGAATGAAGTAGAGATACACCTTCAGCACATAAACAGATGTACAGCATGTCCGTGGCATTCGCTTTTCATAAAGAAGTCTTTCTTGCTGAGAAACTTGCAAAACCAATAAGGGCTCTAAGGGTGGAGAGAGAGAGATCTGGGTGGCCTCCAATTTCCATTCTCCCTTATTCTTTGTAATTTCATCTAGAAGAAAAAATGTCTAAAAAGGATCCTTGAGGTGGGAGTGGGGGTGGGGGACAATAATGAAAAAAAGGTCGAGAAACTACGTAAGGCCCACCATGGAGGGTGGCCAATTCTATGCCCTCCACAGGCAATAGGTTAAGGGCTGGGGAGACGAAGATGACCCAGACACAGTCCTTGACTTCCAGGACCACATAGGGGACACACTCAATGACACCAGGTCCTACCCAGATGGTGGCTGGAAATATTTCATGTCTCAGTCTTATACTGTGAATGTGGATAAAAGAAATAGAAGCCCGTTTGGGAGGCTGAGACAGGAGGATTGCTTGAGGCCAGGAGTTTGAGATCAGCCTGGGCAACATAGTGAGATCCCATCTCTACAAAATACAGAATAATAACCGGGTATGGTGACACGTGTATGGTGACAGTCCCAGCTACTTGGGGGCTGAGGCAGGAGGATTGCTTGAACCCAGAGGTCAAGGCTGCAGTGAGCTGTGATCACACCACTGCACTCCAGTTTGGGCAACAGAATGAGACCCTGTCTCAAAAAAAGAAAAAAGATAAAAAGAAAGAAGCAGGACTCCTAAAACGACCTATTTTGCCTTGTAGCGGTTTACAAAAGGGCACTGCAAATCTCAGCAGAGGACTGGCACTCTCAAGCCCCAAACATTCCTTAGTAACAAAGGTCGGCTTGGGGTAAATGCCCAGCAGTAGCTGAGCAATCCGTTCACAGACTCTGAAGGTTCTGGATGAGGCCTGAGATTTCTAACACGCCCCTCGTGATGCTGATGCTGCCAGGACCACAGGTGGGGGCCCCAGCCCCTCCCATGCTGGCTTCTCCTCCTCCTCCTCATTTGGGTCTCAGCTCACATGTGACCTCCCCTGACCACTCCAGCTAAAGCAGCCCCCATGCTCCCCCCAACTCCAGCCACACCTTGCACATGACCCTGGTTCTAAAGCTTTTTCTTTTAGTAGCACGCCTCTGAAATCATCTCATTTCTTCAGGGTTGCTTTTATTGTTTATCACATTCCCACTGGAATATGAGCCCCATGGGAGCAGAGGCTGTCTTTTGTTCATGGGAGAGTGGGAGGCACGTGGTAGGCTCTCAAGAAATAATTTCTGGGGGGAAAAAAAGGAGTATCTGTTTTGTTCTCGGCACTATTTCCAGCTGGAACCTGGCACACAACAAACGTTTGATAACTATTCATTGAATGAAAAAAGTGAATGAGTTGACATTAGCAATAGTTACTGATTGCTGGGCATCTGCTCTGTGCCGGGCACTATGCTGAGCCCCGAGCTGTGGTTATCCTAGCTTATCCTCTGCCAAAAAGGAAAACAACAGAGCAAGGTCGGTGACTCCTTTCAATCGTTTCACTGATGTTTCCTGAGCACCTACTGTGTGCCAGTCTGTCCTAAGCAGGATACTGATGAAATCCCTGCCTCTGTGGAGCTGACATGAGTCAGGAGGGGCTGAGGGTGCATAAATATATAAAATAATGTGTCCCATGGTCATAGGTGCTGGAGCCAGCTAAGCTGGAAGGGGACCCAGGAACACTGGGGTCCGGGTTGGGTCATCAGAGAAGGCTCCACATCTGAGGACAGACTTGCAGGAGGTGAGAAACTGAAGCTTTCATCCTTGAGGTTAAGCAACTTGCAAATTAAAACTCACAGATTATGAGCAAAACTGGGATTAGAACCCAGGAGTGTCTGCCTCGGGGGCTTGTTCTTCATCTCAGTTTTCTCCCATTTCCAATCTGCTGTAATTTTTGGTCCTACTGGAAGGTTCATTCATAGTTTCGGTGGGTATTTGACTTAACCCAGCTAAAAATCCGCCCCCCTACTTCTTCCTCCCAATGCACCTAGATGTATGTGGTGCACATACTTCTGATTTCTTCACAGCAGATGGCCGCCTATGGGGCTGTTTTGATGGCGTTCTGCGATGCCAGCCACGTGCACCGTGCATACACTGCAATGGCGAAGCGATGCAGAACGTGCTGTGATGAGTCCTTGGCAGCCAGTGCTCAACGAGAGGGAAAGTCCGGCATAGGCTAGGGTCTCGCCCCAGGGCAAACAGAGGCCAACATCTGGTTAGCGACAGAGTGACTGTCCAAAAAGCCATGTTATAGCCTCTGTTCTAAAGTTTCCTGGCAGTAAAGACAACCTTTTCCAAACTGATACTTTTCAAATGGAGAGGTCAAGGGCTCACCAAAATGACCTCCCATGGCAATGCTCGAATGCCTCGTAAGATCACACATCCTGTATCTGTCTGTCCCAGCGGGGCAAGGAGCCTCGTAAAACGCTGCAAGGTTCTCAGGTATGCCTGCTGGAGCGCTACGCTTTCTCTCTCCAAATATCAACTCCACTCCTGCAAAGCCGCTTGTTTCAAGTGTATACCCTTAGGAATAAGGGCCCTTCTGCAGACCTGTAAATTCCAAATGGGTTCATCTAATGCACCCCAGGAGGATGTGGAAATACCTTATGCAAAAGCCACAGCTTCCTTTAAGATGTCTCCCACTTTTAGATCAAAGCCTTTTTGTCCTTGGTCCTAACAGCTATAATTCACTCCTTTCCTTAAAAACCTCACATTGCTTATAAAGGTTTGATGGTCCGAGCAGCTGCGGACCTTGGCTTTCATCTCTGCTGGATTTATTTCCCCTTCCCTGATCATCTCTTCCAATCTTCATTGCTTGAATTATTTCCAAAGTCCCCGAATGTGGGTGCTTTTCTTTCCCACTCCTGCCATCACTAGTGGGTGTTTTTAAGCCTTCTTAAAATTTGGAGGTTATTCACTGTTACTGAGCACTTCATACGTATTTACTAGGTCAGCCCAAGGGATGGGTGAGGTCTGCTGATGTGTCCTGCTGAATATTTTGTGTTTGTTTTATATTTTTCCCTCTCGCTACATACAGAAAGCATTTAAACCAAGGGGTTAGGACCCAGACTCTGATGATCAAAGTTAACAAGAGAGAAAGCCAAGCTCTCCGGCAGGCATACCTGAGAACCATGCAGATTTCTACGAGACTCCTTGCCCCATTGGGACAGACAGATACAGGATTTGTGATCTTACGAGGCACTCGAGCATGATGATCAAGGTTAACATCACCAATAATAAGACATCAGCATCGTGCAGCCCCTGGAAAGATGCACTGAGGGTGCAACGTCACTTATGTGATCTCCTTGACAAAAGTGCACAACCTCAAGCTAATCACCAGGAAACAGGAGACACGCCCATATTGAGGGACAACTGCCAAAATGTCCAGCTAGTATTCATCAAAAGTGTCAAAATCATGAGAGAAAGACAGACTGGTGGCGGTGGGGGGGGGGTCTGTCACAGATGGGAGCCTAGAGAGAGAGGCACAGCTACATGCAAAGTGGGACTGTGTTTGTCATCAGATTTTGCATGCTATAAAGAAACACCTGAAGCTGGGTAATTTTTAAAGCAAAGAGGTTGAATTGGCTCATGGTCCTGCAGGCTGTACAAGCATGGTGCCAGCATCTGCTCAGCTTCTGGGGGGGCCTCAGGGAGCTTTTACTCATGGCGGAAGGCGAAGCTGGAACAGGTGTGTCACATGACAACATGGAGCAGGGGGTGTCACACGACGAGACAGAGCAAGAGAGAGGGAAAGGGGGAGGTCCCAGACTCTTTGAAACAACCAGATCTGCAGGTGAATTAACAGAGAGAACTCATTCATTATCACGAGGAGAGCCCCAAGCCATTCACAAGGGATTCGCCCCCATGATCCAAACACCTCCCACCAGGCCCCACCTCCAACAATGTGGAGAGGACACACACCCAAACCATATCAGGGACCCTTGACTGGATCCTGCAACAGAAAATGGATGTTTCTGGAAAAACTGGTAAAATCCAAATAAAGTCTGTAGTTTAGTTAAAAGCACTGCACCTATGTCATTTTTCTAGTTCTGATCACTGCCCGATGGTTATGTAAGAGGTTCACATTAGGGAAAGCGGGAGAAGGGCTTCAGGGAACTCTGTACTATCTTTGCAACTTTTCTGTAAGTCTAAACTTAATTTAAAATAGAAAGTTAAAAAGAAACAGAATAGGGACTGACTGAGTTTGAATCTGCTATTTACTGGCTATGTGACCCTGTGCAAGTGACTTAGTGCCTCTGTGCCTCAGTTTCTCCATCTGCAAAATGGGTCTTCAAATAGCACCCATCTTCCAGGGCCATTGTGAGAACCACATGAATTAATACATTTAATGTGTTGAGTACCATAACGTGTTGGAACTCAGAAATGCTGGAACAAATGTCACCCACTACTAGTATCATTCTTCTTCTTACTCTCACCTCTGTTACTTCTCTCTTGCTGGGAGTGAAGCAGGGGACACAGATTCAGCAATTTATAGAGTCTTGAGCCTCCCAGCCTGGCACATTTCATAATATCTGCCAGGGAACTGCTGCACAGTATTTTATTATTTATTTTCTTGAGACAGAGTTTCACTCTTGTCGCCCAGACTGGCATGCAATGGCGTGATCTTGGCTCACTGCAACCTCTGCCTCCCAGGTTCAAGCAATTCTCCTGCCTCAGCCTCCCGAGTAGCTGTGATTAAAAGGTGCATGCCACCACGCCCAGCTAATTTTTGTATTTTTAGTAGAGACAGGGTTTCACCATGTTAGCCACGCTGGTCTCAAACTCCTGACCTTGTGATCCACCTGCCTTGGTCTCCCAAACTGCTAGAATTACAGGTATGGGCCACTGCACCCGGCCTGCATAATATTTTTGAAACTGACAAAATGTAATAATTTCCCATGAAAACCCAGATTTTGGGCTTCCCTTTGAACAAAAAAGTGGGGGAAGTTCTGGCAAATCAGGCCCAGTTTCTCATATGTAATAACCATACTCTAAAAGTGAGTAGCAGCCCCTTTTAGATGGAGCATGTGTTCTCCACGTGGCCACACTCTCCTCCCCTCCCTGAGGTCTCCTTAATACTGGGGAAAAATGCCATCATCCTTGGCCTGATAGCTTTCTTACAGTTAAAAATGTTTCTGTGTATCTGTGGTAGGCGGAATAATGGTTCTTCAAACGTGTTCATGTCCTAATCCTCGGAATTTGTGAATAAGTCGAGTTAGTTTATACAGCAAAAGGGACTTTTCAGATGTGATTATGTTAATGGCCTTGAGATGGGCAGATGATCCTGGATTATCAGTGAGCCCAATATAATCACAATTGTCTTACTAAGAGGGAGGCAGGGGCGCGGTGGCTCATGCCTGTAATCCTAGCACTTTGGGAGGCTGGGAGCGAGATGGATGGAGAAAGAGGCTACAAGCCAAGGAATGCGGGCAGCAGGGAAAATGAATCCTCCCATGGAGCCTGCAGAAGGAAGCAGCCCTGCCAACACCTTGATTTCGGAATTCTAATTTCCAGAACGATAAGGTCATAAATTTGTTTTGTTTTAAGCTATTAACTGTGTGGCACTTTGTTACAGCACCAGTGGGACACAAGACAATATCCTTGTCCCTAACAAAAATGAGAGACAGGCTGGGCGCGGTGGCTCACACCTGAAATCCCAGCACTTTGGGAGGCTGAGGCAGGTGGATTATCTGAGGTCAGGTGTTCAAGACCAGCCTGGCCAACATGGTGAAACCCCGTCTCTACTAAAAATACAAAAATTAGCCAGGCGTGGTGGCACATGCCTGTAATTCTGGCTACTTGGGAGGCTGAGGTGGGAGAATCGCTTGAACCCGGGAGGCGGAGGTTGCAGTGAGCTGAGATCGCGCCACTGCACTCCAACCCGGGTGACGGAGTGAGACTTTGTCTCAAAAAAAAGAGAGAGAGAGACAAAAAATAAAGCAGTGCCTGCTCATCTTTTTTCTTAGGCTTAGCCCACTTTACTCCTCTGCGTGACCTGCCCTACTCCTGTGGGCATTTGTGTTTGCTGCCCCTCGCCTAGGAGTCTCAGATCATCCACGCACTCATTCATGCATGCCCACGTTTAATGGGGAACTGCTCACTCCCAGGCCCAGAATTACTCACTGAGGGATGCAGAGGGGAATAAGACACAGCCCCCGACCTTCAGGATCCTACAGCGTAAGTGGATATTCATGGGGATGCACTACAACATTTAAACTTTGAAAAGAGAAAAAAAATCATTCTTTGAGAAATGTACACGATACATTTTAGAAAATGAGCAAGTTGCCCTAATCTGATCTTATTTTTGTCTTCACAATAACCCAGGGGAGACAGATATCATACCCCAGCCTGACAATCTTAAAAATAAGGACATTGAAGCTTAAAGAAGTTAAGTAACATGTCTAAGGTTGCCCAGCTAAGTGGTAAGCTGTCTGCAGTAAGAGTTGTGCTTGTTCCATGAGGCAGCTGAGATCTGTCAGAACCCTTCCCAGATAGATACACAAGAGTTCACCAAGCTGCTGAACTCTTGAACTCACCTTAACAGTCATATTTTACAGTGTCAAACCTGGTCCAGAACTGGCCCTAGTTTGGACCCTTCGTGGTCGCAGCCACCTGGCGACACATTTTGAATAGATGAATGGACTAGTCCAGAAAGGCAGATTAGCATGAAATCCATACACGCTTGGCTAGGAGGGCTTGGACCCAGCCCACCCCCCTACACAAGCCTCCCATCAAAGCTCACTCACTGGATGTTTGTACCAAGGGAGGGCTGTTGTTTTAGGATGAGGGCTGGGAATTCTGGTGGGCAGCCCACAGCTGACACTGCTCTGTGCAGAGATGATGAGAGATGCAGACACCTTCATCCTTCGGTGTATCTACATGCTGGTTCCCCCACTAGCCATGAGTGGTAGAGGCTGGTAACTGCCCACAATGTCCATTCTTTCCTTCTGTCTCACAGTGATCAAGCTCACAAGTTTTAGCTGTGTCCCTCCAAAATTCACATGTTGAAAGCTAATTCCTAACATGAAAGTATTTGGAGGTGAGACCTTTGGGAGGTGATTTGGTCATGAAAGTCGAGCCCTCATGAAGGTGATTATAAAAGAAGCCCCTTATAAAAGAAGCCCCAGAAAGCTCTCTTCTTTCTGCCATGTAAGGACACAACAAAAAGATAGTTAGTGGTCTATGAACCAGGAAGAGAGTCCCCACCTGAACCTGACCATGCTGGCACCCTGATCTTGGACTTCCCAGTCCCTAGAACTGTTAGAAGTAAATGTCTGTTGTTTATAAGCTACCCAGTCTATGATATTCTGTTTGTTATAGCAGCCCAAATGGACTTAGACGTTAGCCTTAAGATGTTAGCTGTCGTATAGAAGAGGACAGCAACACAGACTTGTGGAACAGCAAGATGAGAAGAGTCTGGGTCTCCTCCTCTGTAACACCCAACTGTTACATAAGAGAGAAATAAACCGCTACTTCATCAAACCATTGTTAGTTTTGATCTTTGTTATAGAAGCTGGAAATATACCCTAACACTACTCCCAAACCCGCATATACCATTGATGCTGAAAAAAATTCTCAAAAACAGGCCCCTGCAAATTCCTGACAAAAGTTCTCTTGGTTCCATAGCAATTCCATTGCTCATGTAGACGGATATGAAAAGAGTTGAGGAAGAAGACAGGGGCAGCTTCAGGCAGAACGTCTTCAAGGTAACAAATCCATGGAAGCACTGTGCTCCAGTTACTCTAGAAACTTGTGAGACATTTTAAGGACAGGATGTGGTAGGCTGACCTTCAAATATGGCTGTCAAGAACTCTTCTGATCCCTGTATGTGTATACTGTTCCCACATCTTCCCCTCTCCTTGAATATGGGCTGGCCTTGTGACTTGCTCTGACCAACAGCATGTGGCAGAAATGATGTTCTGGGACTTCTGAGTCCGGGCCTTAAAATAGCTGGCAGTTTCCACCTTCTTTTCCTTAGAACCCAGTACTATGCTATGAGGAAGCTGGTTGGATATCTGGAGGAAGAGAGTCCATGTGGAAGAGAACCAAGGTGCCCCAGCCTATAGTAGCACCAGCTGCCAGATGAATGGGGATAGCTTTCTTGGGCATCTCAGCTGAATGCAGCTGTTATGTGTGGCCCCAAGTATCACCAGGAAGAGTGGAAAACCACCTAGCTGAGCCCAGCCAATCCAAGACATTACGAGAAATGATCCATTATTGCTGTTTTAAGCCACTGCATTTTGGGGTGTTTTGTTACACAGCAATCACCAGTCCATACACTGGGCTTAGTATTTCCCCAGGCCCAGTTACAGTTCCTCAAAGCCCCTTGTACTCTTCCTTCATAGCAATTACCACAATTGCAATGATGTAATTAGGTACATGATGATCTGTTTAGTATTGTTTTCTCTCTCTAGATGAGTACAGTGAGAAGCAGTGTATTTATGCTTCCTTGGCAGTGTCTCAGTCCTGGATTTAGAACTAGGTTCTGCTGTTCTCCGATTGTATGACCTTGAGCAAGTCACTCTGCCTCCCTGTGACTCAAATTTCTCATTTACAAAATGGGAGAAATATCAGTAATTATAGATAGGATTTTTGTGAGATGAAATGAGAGAATGTTAGTTAAGCACTTGGCATGCCCTCAATAAATGTTTGCTGAGTGAAGGAATTAAAAAATGAACAGCGTTCTACAAAAATGTGATCGCTGAATGAACCATGTGCTCAACGCCAACTTCTTAGTGAGACCCAGCCTGACCACCTGGTTGAACAGTGCAACTTGCTATTGCCCCCACCCCCCCGAAAGACTCTACTTTGTTCCTCATTCATAGCGTTTCTCACCCTACAATACAATGTACTTATTTATTCTATTACAAATATTGATTTTTGTCTGTCTTTCTCACTGTGAGTATTGACTGTTGTCTACTTTGTCCACAGATGCATCTCTAGTGCCTGGAACAATGCCTGGCACACAGTGGGTGTCACCCAACATATGCTGAATGAATGAGTAAGTCTAAGAAGGGTTCATGGGCTATCTGTGGTTCTTGGAAGGGTGGACCAGAGCATATGGAAAGCAGCCCCGCTAGAAAAAGGCCTCTCACTTTCTCAAGACACCTTAACGCCATATGTTGAAAATGGTCTGATGACTGAGTCTATGATGACTTTGATGTGAATGGTGCCCCCTGGAGTTGTGTAAAATCAAAAGCAGAGCTCCAGTGGGAAGGGCTGTGCTGATTAACAGTATCCAACTTTGTCCATACCAGCATGCCCTATGAACACTTTCCTAGTGCCCTGTCTCCAAAAACACAGATTTAAGTCTGTGGTTAAAAGGATAGTCTATTACTGGACAACCTGGACAACTTTGTTTGGATCCAAACACCTCGTAATGTTGAACTATCAATATCTATATCCTATCAATATCCTCTTGATCACTAAAAAAGTGAAAGAACTACTCAAAAACTGCTCAACATTGATTGGGAAGGTGTCAGCTTCTATTGACCCACTCAGACAGGACAATGATGATAATGGCAATAATGATGATGGTGTGGTAAGATTGAGAACTTATTATGTGTCAGGAAAGTTTCTGTGAGCTTTATACGTATTAACTTATTTAATCCTCACAACAGTTCTATGAAATGCGTATTATCATCAGCCCATTTTATAGACAAAGATACTGTGGAACAGAGAGGTTAAGAAACTTGTCCAAGGCTACCCAGCTAGAAAGTGACAGGAAAAAGTGCAAAGTTAGGCCAGGTCATAAATGAAAGGATAAACACCACCTTCTGAAGACAGCACTGCAGAAAGGATGCTGAGAGGCCTCACAAAAGAATGCGGCCTGCACCCATGACCACGGGCAGCCAGGGAGAAGCAGGACTGGCTTCAGGGCTACTTCCAGTCCTTGGCTGTGTTGGAAGGCACCTGACACCTCCTTCCTGAGACTCCTGTGTACTCTTCCCAGCCTGAATGTTGGCCTCTCCCTTTTAAAACATTCCCTTTCCGTGGGTCCCCTGCCTGTGCCTCCTGTCCTACTTAAATATACATCTGTACTGTGATGAACTCTCATTCCCCTGGAATAAGTTTGCCAATAAAAACAAAAGTGGCCTCAACATGCAGAAGTTCACAGAAAAACCCTTTTAAGGAAAAATATAACATTCATACTTTTGGGCCCAGAGCTCTGTAAGACAGCAGGATGAACATTCTTTTATCACAGCTCTATAGAGCTGGAAGGGGTCTGAAGGATTAATCCTCCCCTTCCTCCCTCTCGCCTTTCCTTCTTTAAGTATTTACAGTCGCCTAATGGGTGCCTACTCAATATCTGCTTCCTCTCCTTTCTTGTTAAGAAAATCCAACTGGAGCGGCAATGTACCCAGGTAAAAATGATCACTTCTCTATCTCCCTTGCAGCCAAGAGTGGCCATATAACACAAATCCAGCCATTAAAGCAAAACCTGAAAACTTCGGCTTTCCTGATTGTGGCATTGCTCCTTCTTGCTTTTCTCTTCTGCCTTCCTGTAATGTGGAGGTGACGGCTGGAGGTGAAGCAGCTGTCTTGTGACCATGAGGTGATAAGAGGCATAAGGATGAAAAAGCTAAGTCCAAGTATAGCAGGGTAGACCGACAGAGGGAAGCTGGGACACTCGGTTCTCTGTTGCTGGTGGCTGAATGAACTCTAACTGATAATGCGTGCCAGGTGCTGTGGGTTCTTTGAGATAAGGGATGGTTCCCGCCATCTGGAAGCTCAAATACAGCCTAACTCCTGTACTTCACAGATGGGGAAGTGGAGGGTCAGAGGCTGAATGACCAGGGTCATATATGAATTTGTAACAAAGACAGGGTTAGAACCCAGACTTAAGCCTTAAGTCCAGTTTGGCTCTTTCTACCAATCTAGGGCTGCCAAAGTGTGACAGAAACCACCAGTGATGATACAAAAGATAATTTTAGATGACTTCCCTTTTAATTTCTTTTAATCGATCTAATAGGCAGCCTAGCTCAGAAGTGAAGAGCTTGGAGTCTGGAGTTAGACGGCTTGGGTCCAACTCCTGGCTTTACCACTCATTAGCTGAGTGACATTGCACCTATCACTGACCCTTGCCATGCCTCAGTTTCCTCCTCTATAAAATAGACGTGATAATAATTTCTACTTTATATGGTAGTTGTAAGCAATTAATGAGGGAGCACCTGGAACTGAGTATTACATTAGTATTAATTATTCCTGGGTTAAGGAGAACATCTTTCACACTCGCTAATCTCTTTGTGTCTTCAGATTTGGATACTTGGCTATAATTTAACTTTTAGTGAATATATTCTTACCAATTTTATTTTATATTTATTTTATAATTTTATTTTTAGTGAATTTATTCTTACCAAACCTTCCATTTATGGCAAACAAAACTGGCTTTCCATTTAAGGTAGTGCTATAAATTTGGCTTTTAAAATGAATTTACTTTTGAACCAAAAGAAGTCTGTAAATTAAAAAAAAAATCAAATAATAGTGGAGGTGGAATTTTGATGTGACAAAGCCATGTATAATATATTCAAAGTACAGGAAACATTTACTAGACTGAGGGAGAACAATCTGAGCACCTATCCTAAAACTCCCCTCCCGTGGTCATGGCAGGCATCACTAATTGATCCCTGCACACCTTCCTACCGAGTCCAACAAGATGTTCATTGAATGAAATTTGCCAGTGGCTTCCTTGATTGGTCCAGTTCTCTCAGACAGAATTCAGAACCTGGCACTGCAACTCAGTGATAAAAAGAGCAGACCAGAACAGACCGTTGGCAGTTGCTACAAGCTTATGAGTCCTGGTAGGTTTAGGGTTAGGTTTTTACCATCTGTATAAAAGTGTTCAATATACATGTATGCTTAGTCGTGCACAGACTATCTCTTGAAGGACACAGAAGAAACTGGTGATGGGGGCTGCTTCTGGGGAAGAGATCTGGATGGCTATGGGTTAAAAGTGGGAGGCAGACTTAACTGCTACCTCTGTACTATGTGCAGGTATTCACTATTCAAAATAACATAAGATAAATTAAAGGAAAGAGCATGGGGAGGGAGGCTTTTCTGGCAGGTTGGAGTTGCCAGTTGCCAAAGTTTTTAGATTTCCTTAGGATCAGAGGGTTCTTTAAACACTAGAGAACAGAAATCAGATTTTTCTGTAGAATTCTAACTCGCAGGGGCGGGACTGCTTCAGCGGGCTGGCAGGAGGAGCAGGGACCTGGGGGCTGCACCCACCTGCTGGTTATCTAACTTCCCTGTGGAGGGTGGTTTATCCTCCAGCCAGGCCTAAGCTCCTTACCTGCTGGGACCCCACAGGGTGCTTCTGGCCCCCTGCAGCTGTGAGCACACAGTGGAGCCTCACGTGTTCTGTGAAACCCTTGGCATGCCCTCAGAACATGTGCTGTCCAGTGATAAGATGCTGGCTACATAAGCCCTAAGTCACAGTGGTTTACAGGTTTTGGTTTTTTAACCTCCCCCCTAACCCCCAGACACTCCCATTTCTAGGGACAGTTCAAGACAAGTTCTAGTGTAGTTACAGTGATAACAGCATTGACTTTCAGCCAGAAAGGCTGAGCTGAGACCCAAGCTTCTTACCTGTGTGACCTCAAGCAACTTGCTTGATGTCTCTGTGTTTCAGTCCCTACCTGTTGTGTGGCTGTGATTAAAGGAGCTATGCGTGTGATGTGATTAGAACAGTTGCTGCTGTATGGTTGTTATTTTCCTTGTGTAACAGCAGAGCGTGTAACAGAACAGGAAATAATGAAAACAGTGCTGAATGTCCCTGAGGGCTGGCCCCGTGCTGAGCCCCAACTCGGCGTTTTCTCACTAGTCCTCAGTTTGGCTTTACAGGAGAGGTACAGCAATTCCCCTTCGACAGACCAGAAAACTGAGGCTCAGACTGTGGAAGGAGCTTGCCCAAGATCCCCCATTGAGGGAGATACGGAGACAGGCTCTAAGTGGAACATACCATTCTTCAAAGACTGCCAAGACCGTTCCCACTTCTTTATGGAACAGTATTTGCAAACTGGGTAAGACCTGCTAGTGTGTATGAAATGAATTTAGCAGATAGAACCAATACTGTAGAAAAGATGGCCTTCTGTGCTTAAAATGGCAAACACTTACTGGGTGCAGTCTCACCAAGCATGGCTAAACATTGCCTCTATTAAGTATTTGATCTTTGCCAGGTGCGGTGGCTCATGCCTGTAATCCCAGCACTTTGGGTGGCCGAGGTGGGTGGGTCACCTGAGGTCAGGAGTTCGAGACCAGCCTGGCCAACATGGTGAAACCCCGTCTCTACTAAAAACACAAAAATTAGCTGGGTGTGGTGGCGGGCGCCTGTAATCCCAGCTACTCGGGAGGCTGAGGCAGGAGAACCGCTTGAACCTGGGAGGCGGAGGTTGCAGTGAGCTGAGATCGCACCATTGCACTCCAGCCTGGGTGACGGAGCAAGACTCCATCTCAAAAAAAAAAAAAAAAAAAAAAAGTATTTGATCTTCACAATGACCCTATGAGATGAAGAAGCTGGGAAACAGAGAAACGAAAAAATATCCCACAGTCACACAGTTAACAGCAAAACCAGGATTTGAACCCAGGCAGGCTGGCTCCACAATCTGTGTCTTTTATCACTACAAGATGCCCCGCCTCAGGAATAGAAAAAAGAGAATTGAGAATACTGCACTGATCTCAGGCAGTGAGGGTGTGATTTTGTTGATACTTTGTTTCCATTGTAGGTATATGCATGCCCAAGTGCCAGCTCAGGGTTAAAATATAAAACGCATTTCTTTCTGTGGGTCTAGATCAGGGGACGGGAAAACATTTTCTGTAAAGGGACAGACGGTAAATATTTTCTACTTTGGCCACATGGTCTCTGGTTGCAATGACCCAGTTCTGCCTTTGTGATAGGAAAGTAGCCACAGACAATAGACATAATGAATGGATGTGGCCGTGTGCCAATAAAACTTTATTAGTAGACACTGAAATTTGAATTTCATATCATTTTCATGTGCCATGAAATATTATTCTTCTTTTGATTCTTTTCCTCAACCATCTGAAAATGTAAAACCCATTTTAAGCTCATGGGTGGTACAAAAACAGACAGCAGGCAGATTTGGCCTGAGGGTTTTAGTTAGCCTACACCTGGTCTAGGTCAAAATAGTTAGAAACTCACATTATAGAATTGTGCGCGCGTGTGTGTGTGTGTGTGTGTGATTTCGACATCTGCTCTGGTTTTTTGCTAAGCCCAGCCATTTCAGGGACAGGACACAGTTCTTGGCCCCAAGCCTCTTGCGGCTCAGCCAGGGACCCAGGCTGGGTGATGTCGTGGGTAGAGTTGCATCCCCTAAAAGGCTAAGTTCATCTCCTAAGGCCCAGTAGCTGTGAAAAAGATCAATGTTTTTTTGTTTGTTTTTCTCCTGTTCGAGAAGCCCCTACTCTCTTCACAAAAGCCCCTCAGGAGACAAATACTGTACGATTCCACTTACGTGAGGTATCTAAAGTACTCACACTCTTAGAAACAGGAAGTCCTCGGTGGCTGCCAGGGGCTACGTGCGGGGAACGGGGACTAGTTGTTCAATGGATATAGTTTCAGTTTGGCAAGATGGAAAAGTTCCAGAAATCTGTTGCACAAAGTGGTGCATACAGTTCACACTCCTTACTGTATAATTAAAAATGGTTAAGATGGTAAATTTTATATCACAATGAACATTGTGTATGTGTGCGTGCACACACACACACAGACCCCTCAGGGTTTCCTCTGCCCTATGTGGACCTGTCCCCAGAGCACCCTTGTGGGCAGAAGCAGTAGTTTATATTTATATTTTTATTTATTTGAGACAAGGTCTCACTCTATCACCCAGGCTGGAGTGCCATGGTGCGATTACAGTTCATTGCAGCCTCAATCTCCTGGGCTCAAGCAATCCTCCCACCTTAGCCTCCTGAGTAGCTGGGACTATAGGTACATGCCACCATGCCTGGCTAATTTTTGTAGAGACGGGGTCTTGCCATGTTGCCCAGGCTGGTCTCGAACTCCTGGGTTCAAGTGATCCTCCCAGCTTGGTCTCCCAAAGTGCTGGGATTACAGGTATGAGCCACTGAGCCCAGCCAGTAGTTGACTTTTTTCCCTGACCGCCCCACCCCTACCTAAAATCATCAGCTTCCTAATTCTCTCCCTTGCTCTATTATTTTTTCTACATGAATCCATCACCATCAGAAACACTATGAATTTTACTTAAAATTAAAAATATATATACATCTACCTCTCCCTGTTAGAATGTAAACCCTGCAAGGGCAGTTTTTATCTGTTTTGTCACTGCTGTAAATCCTAATTCTGCTGCACAGCAGATGCTGTGAATAAATACTTGTTGAATGATGAACACGTGTGGTAGAGAGAACAAATGCCCCTACCCACCAAGATATCCAATACGAATCCCAGGACTTGTGGATATTTAGGTTACATGTGTGGCAAAGGGAAATTAGGGTTTCAGATGGAATTAAGGTTGCTAAGCAGCTGAGCTTAAGATCGGGAGGTGATCCTGGATTACCTGAGAGGGCCTAATTTAATCACCAGGGTCCTCAAAAGTGGCAGAGAAAGGCAGCAGAAAGAGTCAGAGAGATGGGACTACAGAAGATCAACCCACTGTAGCTGGCTTGAGGAAGGGTCTACAAGCCAAGGACTAGTGGCAGCCTTGGGAGGTTGGAAAAGGCAAGGGAACAGATGCTCCCCTAGAGGCTCCAGAAGCTCTGCTGATGCCTTGATTTTAGCCCAGTAAGACTTCTGACATCCAAAATGGTAAGATAACAAATTCATGTTGTTTTAAGCCACGAAGTTTGTGGTAATTTGTTATAGAAGTCATGGAAAACTAATAATACAATGCAACACATAACAATGCAACACGTAATAATGCCAATGAACACGGAGTGCTTCTTTTGCGCCATGTCTATTCTCAGTGTTGCATGAGTTTTGACTCATTTAATCACTACAACAACCTGCTGATGAGTAGGGGAATTCCCACTGATATGGTTAGGCT
The DNA here is from genome assembly GCF_000001405.40 of Homo sapiens. Classification (NCBI taxonomy): domain Eukaryota; kingdom Metazoa; phylum Chordata; class Mammalia; order Primates; family Hominidae; genus Homo; species Homo sapiens. The sequence goes on along the minus strand of NC_000020.11, from coordinate 47,037,293 downwards.
TTGTGTCCCCACCCAAATCTCATCTTGAATTATAATCCTCAATCCCCATAATCCCCAGGTGTCAAGGGAGAGACTTGGAGGAGGTAATTGAGCCATGGGGGTGGTTTCCCCCATACTGTTCTCATGATAGTGAGCGAGTTCTCATGAGATCTGATGGTTTTATAAAGGGCTCCTCCTTGCTTCTCTTGGCACTTCTCCTTCCTGCCACCTTATGAAGAAGGTGCTTTGCTTCCCCTTTACCTTCCACCATCATTGTAAGTTTCCTGAAGCCTCCCCAGCCATGTTAAACTATGAGTCAATAAAAACTCTTTCCTTTATACATTACCCAGTCTCGGTCAGTTATTTATAGCAGTGTGAAAACAAACTAATACACCCATCATTTGTATCTTACCAATGTGGAAACAGAGGTCCAGAAAAACAAAGCCCCTTGCCTGTCACATAGTTGATAACTGGCAGAACTGGGATTTGAATTTAGGCGATCTGAGTTCAGTGGCCACATTCTGAACCCCTGTACTTGGTTATGCAGGTGACATAGGTGGTGTGTGCAAAACTGTAGAACCTACTGGAAGGAAGGAAATAAATAAAGCAAGAACTTTGGATTCCGGCTGCCTGGAGAAGTGTCCTGATTGGCACTGAACCAAGCTGTACTGAAGCCTGAGGCAAAAGGAAAAATACATGCTCTTATATGCATTTCCCAAAATATCCTCCAATATTACGAAGCAAGTGGAAGAAGTTAAAAACACTATTATCAAGAAGCATGACTTTATAACAGTCCCTGTATTGCCAAATCTGTCTGCTTACCCTCCTAGCCCTGCCACGGCAGGACCATAATGCCCGTGTGCACCAGAACCCTGGGCTGATTGGAAACGACCATTCCTGTTCCACAATATTGCTGGGTCACTAAACAAACAGCAGGAGTCTGTCTTTATTTCAAAATTTGATACTTTGTTCATCAGGGAGTTTTTGCGCGAACTTTGGCTATTTTAAATAGTGCCTTAAAATAGTTATCCATGATTGAATTTCCTGGCACTCTGTTACATTTTGCACATGGAGCCAGTGCCTCTCTTACTTCATGCTAGTCCCGGCCCTGATCCCGGTTACGCCACCTCCCAGCTTTCTCGCTTCCTCCCTTGGAGTCTCAGTTTTCTCATCTGTCAAATGGCAACAACTTGCTGCAAACACTGAAGTGGTGACCAAGGGAGTGAATACTGGCCAAGTGCTCAGCCTGGTCCGTGGTCCCCAGAAGCCCTCATTCAGCGTGAGCATTGTTTTTTCTTTCTTTTGAAATAGGGTCTTACTCTGTCACCCAGGCTGGAGTGCAGTGGCACAATCACAGCTCACTGCAGCCTCGACTGCCCAGGCTCAAGTGATTCTCCCACCTCAGCCTCCCAAGTAGCTAAGACCACAGGTGCACGCCACCACACATGGCCCCCTTTTTCTTTTTTTTTTTCAGAGACGGGGTTTTGCCATGTTGCTCAGGCTGGTCTCGAACTTCTAGTCTCAAGGAGTCCTCCTGCCTCCGTTTCCCAAAGTTACAGGTATCAGCCACCAAGCCCGGCCCAGTATTAGCTATTTTTATGATCATTCAGCACCCATCACTACACTGACCATTAATTCATGGCGGCCCTGATTAGGCTTGTGGTCACTAGGTATTTGTCAGACAAACACTGACTATTAGGATACATTACTAAGCGTCACTGCCTCAGGGTCCCAAGCTGCCATTAGAGAGAGGAGAACAGAGGTGCACGCTGGAGAGACATCTATTATGATTTTTTTCTTCCCCTTCGGGAAGGGGTGGCGGGTGGTGGCAGACAGAAGGGGCTGGTTTTAAAACAATAAAGTCAATTTGGTACGGTCTGCTTCAGTGTTTTGAGATCTTTGAAAGAGATATTGTGTGGCTATGGGAGGGGGTGGCTGGGAAGAAGGTTCTATTTATACTTAAAGAGGGAGCCCTGACCTTTGCTGGCATTGGCCTCTTGCTGCCTCACTTGCTGGGGCCTAGACCATCTTTGCCGCCACCGTCTCAGACTGAGACTAATACAAGCCAGCTGAGCAGCAGGATCCTTGACCGACCTCTTTCACTAGGGTGGTTTCAATTTTTGCTAAGCCCAGCCAGCTCAGGGACAGGACGCAGTTCTTGGCTCCAAGCCTCTTGCAGCTCAGCCAGGGACCCTGGTTGGGTGATGTCGTGGGTAGAGTTGCGTCCCTTGAAAGGCTATGTTCATCTCCTAAGGCCCAGTAGCTGTAAATGTGATCTTATTTGGAAACAGTGTCTTTTGCAGATGTAATCAAATTAAGATGAGGTCATAATGGATTAGGGTGTCTTCATAAGAAGAAGGAAATTTGGACCCAGACACACAGAGAGAATGCCATGTGGTGATGGGGGCAGAGATTGGTGTGAAGCATCTATAGGCCAAGGATTGCCAAGGAATGCCTGCCACCACCAGAAGCCAGGAGAGAGGCATGGGACAGTCTCCCTCTGAGCTTCCAGAAGGTACCAACCTTGCCAATGCCTTGATTTCAGACTTCTATCCTCCAGAACTGTGAGACAATAAACTTATATTCTTCAAAGTGACCCAGATTGTGGTGCTTTGTTATGACAGTCTTAGGAAACACATCCAGGCAATTCTGTTGACTTACTGGCATTCCTCAGTTTTCCTTTTAACTTTGGTGGGGACAGGGCCTCGGGCACAAGGATAGCCTGGCCTCTGAATTGCAAAGTTGGGGATCCCTCCTCGCCTTGGTCCTGGGAAGCTGGTTCACCCACAGCAAAGCACATCCCCTCTCTAAGCCTCCACTTGCACACTTATGCAAGGAAGATATTGAACAAGATTCCTGCATCCAGACTCTACTCATCTCCCTGCCCCCACACAGTTTTTAAATATCCTCAAACTACCTGGCCTATTCTTTTATTTAATATTTCCCTTATATCAGCTTAATGTTGACTCACATTTTTGCGAAACTTACCTGTGTCCTAAGCCCTATCCGTATAATCATTCACTGTTTTTACTTAAATAAATTTGTCTGAGAAGACTTTATATTATTACTGTAAATAGAAAATCAATACCACTTGCCATTAATGATAAATACAAAACACAAAAAATACATAGGGAACAAATGTTTTTAATTCTAGCCAAATACTGTTGTCTGCCAAAGACCTTAAACCTAGGGTTTGCTCTCATCTTGTTAAAAAGAAGTATTTGCAGGGATTAGAGACACATTGAAGATATATCAGCATCAAATAGAGACTTCCTTCCTCCCTTTATCACTGAATCAGAAGGGCTGAAAGATGACAGAAAGGGGAATGACTTCCTCACTATGTGACCCAATGACTTTGAGTGCCACTTTCATGTTCCATGTAAAATAATCTCTTGTGCCAATAAATTAGTCAGGAGAGGTTATGGTATGATGTGGTAACAAACATCCCCAATATCCCACTGGCTTGAATGCAATCAAAGTTGATCTATCTTTCATGCTATATGTCCATTGAGAATCATCAGGGACTATGTTCACTGGAGTCACTCAAGGGCACCAGTTAAAGGAGCAGCCTTCAATTTGAACACTGGCAGAGTCTTGTATTGGCCATTGAATGCTCTGGCCTAGGCATGACATGATCATTTCCACTCTCAGTTCAGTGGCTAGAATTAGCTGACTGCCTCTCCCCGACACCTTGCCTGCAAGAAGGGCAAGAAATACAGTCCTGCCACTCTGGGTCATTGTGTATGATTCAGTGTCAGGAACAGCACTAAAGGCAGCCATAGCAACTCACCCAGGCCCCGGGATGGATTGACTTAGACCAACTCATATCAGGAGTTGGCAAACTATGGTCTGTGGGCTGGTCACCTGTTTTTGTAAATAAAGTTTTATTGGAACACAGCCATGCCATTTGTTTATGTGTCATCTATAACAATGTTCACAGTGCATTGGCAGAGTTGAGCAGTTGCAACAGAGACTGTATAGCCTGCAAAGCCTGAAGTTTTTCCTATTTGGACTGACCCCTGACCTAGATGATCTCTATCACCCCTTCTAGAAATACACTTCTGGGATCCTGGGTTGTCTCTAGTAGGCTTCGGTATTTGCCTCCTCTTGGCTCTCTTCTCTTGCTCCTAAGCGATCAAAAATACTCCACTGACCTAAAGGTCAGGCAGCCGGCTAGGGCTCACCTGCAGCAGCAGCTGGGATGGCCCTGAGCTATGGTCTTGGGGGTTGCACAATCTTTTTGAGCTGCCAGTTCTTACAGGCTGCAGTTTAGGGCTGGAGTAGCAGAGATGCAAAGTGTGGCGAGACCTGGCGAGGCCTGCTGCGGGAATTGGAAGGGGGCCCTGGTTGCCACAAAGGGAGACACATACGGGGACAGCAAATGGCTGCAGCAACCAAAATTCAAGATTGCAGGCTTCTCTGTGAAAACAGTGAAATGTGGGAAGTTTTGTCCATTTCAAGGGGAATGGCTAAATGCCGTGGTATATCCATAACACTAACCATGATAGCCAAAGCAAGGAAGCACTTGACTTTGTCCCAGGCTTCACAAAAGCTACTCCTATAAACCCCATTTCACAGATGAGAAAATCAAGTCTCACAGCCAGTGAGTGCAGAGGCGGAGATTCAACCCCAGCATCTGGCTTTCTCGATGCAGTACTGCAGCGTCTGCAGAGGCCAAACAAGAGACTAAAGTGGGTTTGTTTGAACCGACTTTGAGAGATCTCCGAGACATGTTAATTGGCGAAAAATATAAAAGACAACTTATAAAACAAGATGCACACCAAGATATTACTTGTGTTTAAAAAAACAGGATTTTCTACTGGTGAGAAGAAAAATAAGCTCGTAAATGCATACATAGAGAATGTTCTGGAAAGATACACACTAATAGCACTGATGTGGTTTAAAATAAATGTATGAAAAATAAAAAGCAGTGTAAGAAGGCAGGTGGATTCAGGACTAGGGGGCTAAGCTGCCTTCCTGGGACATGTGTAAAGCTACTGAATGGGAAATAATACAAAAATCAGGAATTCCCTGCATGTTCCCCGGGCCCAGGGAAAGAAGCACATAACTCAAAGGTGGGTGGAATCTGGACTCTGGTCCCCGCTTTACCACCTGAACTTTTAGGAGCAGCAAAAATCTGGTTTGCTTTAAGGGTACATACTGAGCATCCCACAGCCTGGCTTCTGTCCTGGCTGTGCCTCCTCTCTGAACTGAGGAGTTGCAGGGTCTGTGTGTCTGTCTGTGCCTCTCTAATAAATGGCTCCCTGCCTGAGGCTGTATTTCCCCTACCCCTTAATTACCCCTTTCAATTCCTGAACAGAAGGCTGGGCTGCCTGGGCTGGGAGCAGGCTGCTCTCCTTTTATCTCTAAGGAATTAGCAGGGCAGGGACTTGTTCCTTGGATAGGACTCTGCATTTTTTGTGTGTTTGTACTGGTTTTTAAAATTTGGTGCATTTTTTTTCCTTTTTCTCATTCCACTCCCCTTCCCCCACCCCTGCCCCTGCCAATGATCAGATGGCAGAGAGATTTCATCTATGACTTTTCAACAAATTGTGCAGGTGCAGACCCTGGTTGTGGGCCCAGTTCTCATTTCATCGAAACGTCAGAAATAAAAATGATAAACAAATGAAATAAGAAACAAGTGACACAAAAGCAACGTCATCAAAGCCGTGCTCTGGGCCTTCATTCCTCTGGGAGTAAAAGGATAAGTTGTAATAATTCTAGAATTTTCTGAATGGGGTCACTGAGATCTGGCAGGCATTGTCACAGGTACACTTGTGAATACTGGCTTCACTGTGTCTGACCTAGAGAAGCGGAGGGGAAGGGAGAGCTAGGGACAGGTCAGGCACTGTCTCAGGACAGAACTCCCTCCTGGCCTCCTTGCAGCCCTTGCCATCCCCCCATAGTCCACTCATCCCAGCAGTCAACTGGTCTTTCTGAGATGCAAACCAGATCACCTGCCCTGTTTTAGAACCCCATGGCTTCCCGGTGCCTGAGCACCGGCCAACTCATTCCCCACCCCTCTCCCCTTGGCTCCTCAGCCACTTGGCCTCCTATCTGCTGGCGACACTTGTGACCCATGGCTGGCTCTTCCGAATTTGCAAGTGCCAGCTCCACTGTCACTTCCTCAGAGAGCCTGGCGTCCTTCCTGGTTTCTCTTTGTTACATCTCCCTGTTTATTCTCCTTGGAGCACTCATCACAGTTGACATCATCTTGTCATTTGCTCATTTCCTTACCCACTGCGTGTTGCAACTGAATTGTGGCCCCCAGATTCGTTATGTTGAAGCTGTAACCCCCAATTGTGACTGTATTTGGAAACAGGGCCTCCAGAGTAGTAATGAAGATTAAATGAGGTCATAAGAGTTACAAGGTAATAACTGGTGTCTTTATAAGCAGCAGCAGCCTGGTGTGCACCTGTAGTCTCAGCTACTCAGGAGGCTGAGACGAGAGGATCGCTTGAGTCCAGGCATTCGAGGTTATAGTGACTACGATTGCACCACTGCACTACAGTCTGGGCTATAGAGCAAGACCCTGTCTTTCAAAAAAAGGAGACACCGGAGATTTCTCTCTCTGTGAACCCAAAGAGGAGAGGCCATGTGTTCACAGAGCGAGCATATACAAGCAAGCCCTCACAAGGAAGAGAATCTGCTGGCACCTCCATCTGGGACTTCTAGCTCCCAGAGCTGTGAGAAAATAAAGTTCTGTTGTCTAGGCCACCAAGACCATGGTATTTTGTTATGGCAGGTTAACTAGACTCATGCACCGCCTGTATCCTCCCTGGGATATAAATTCCATGAAGGTGTGGCTTGACTGTCAGCCTGGGGCTGTGTGGCCCATGCTTAGCATGCTGCCTGCAACAGAGCCTACGCTGGTGAATGTTTGCTGAGTGAATGACAGATGTTCATTCCTACACCACAGCCACCTCTCCCCATGCCTGAACCTGCCACTGTGTAAACCAGTGGTTGGGTGGCTGCAGTACCCCTAGGGGGTGCCTGGAAATTCATGGGGACACTTTTATTGGAGGAACTAGTGGCATTTAGTGGGCAGGTGACAGAGGTGCAGACATTCTGCAATGTGTGGAGAGTCCAGCAAAAGGAAGACCATTCCCAGGTCCCACCTGACTTTCAAATATCCAACCAAACATTCAGGCAGATAAGATCTGGTTTTAATAATATGACCCTAGAACACAGAGCTCAGCCAAATCCAACCCACCACCTGCTTTTGTAAATAACACTGTCTTGGAAGACAGCCTTGCCCATTCGTTGTCGTATTGACTATGGCTGTTTTCAATCTACAATGACAGAGTTACGAGTAATTGGGACAGAGACCTATGACCCTCAAAATCTAAAATATTTACTCTCTGGCTCTTTTACAGAAAGTTTGCTCACCTCTGTTCCAACACATCAGTCCATTTTACAAGCAGAATTTTTTTTCAGGGCTTTAACATACATAGAACTTTGTAAGAATGCTATTGTAATATGTTCAATTGTAACTGTACTGTGTTCAATAATTCTTAATTGAATATTTAACGATGTTCAATTATGTGTTGTAGAAAAAAGAAAAAGAGATGGGGTGAATGAAACTTGGAAGAAGTGTTATAAAAACTTAGTGAGTAGGCAAGGAGCTTGGGTGATATGGGCAAAATGTAAAGATGTGTTAAGTATAGAGAATAAGGAAGTTAGTAACCTTGTAGACAGAATGAATGGGAGGTATGAGGAAAAGGATGTAAGAGACAGCAGTGCTACTTATAGAGGAAGGGGTAAAAGGAGTAGGTAAGCCTTAAATATGAAGAAGGACCTGATCATGCTTCCCCTGCAGATACAGTTATGTCAACCCCAAATTGGCCACCCACTGGTTACAACCATTATGGCATCATTCTGGTTCCACCTGTCTTCTGCCCTGAAAATATGGATAAAAGCCATGGCTGCCCATCAAAGTAACTGGCGAGCTACAGGGTGGCCAGGCAAAGTTGCCACAGCATGTCTTCGATAAGCTCCTTCTATGGGCTGAGCCCTTGTTCAACTTCAACTCTTAATTCTAGAAACCACGCCATCATTATTCTTCCAGCTGATGTGGCTGAGACAGGACACATCCATAACCTGTGGCCCTTCTGCCTTCTTACACCCTGTCCTGAATATGCTAACCCCCATTTCTTCCCCTTCTGAGCTCAGAGTCCCCTGCCTTCACATCAGTTCTCTCCATGGTCATGATAGAGAACACAGTTAGCAAAATGGCAGCCTGTGGGCTGAATCCAATCTGTACATGTGCTTTGGCTTGCACAGTAAGTTTTATTTTATTTTAAAAATTTGTTGCTACCAATTTAAGTCTTTTTAATTGGGAAATTTCTTATAAAAGATTTCTGGCATTTGTTTTTTTTTAATTTAAATTTTGAATAATCTATGGCATCGCAATAACCAGCTTTAATGGGGTGGGGCTACCCCGGTATATAGGGCTGGGGCTCCTTAGTTTGCCACAGGGCCACCCAGCCATCTTCACACACTGACCTTGTGGGCTGGCTCATGAGGCATCTGGATCTGTGACCAGTGGCAGAGTGAAGAGCACAGGCTTGGAGCCAGACAGTTGCAGACTCTGTCTTGGCCCTGTGTCCTAGAGCTTTACAGGTACAATTTTACATGTGTTGTGCCATCATTGGATTATTGTCCATCTCTCATCCCTGGTGTGAACTCCAGGGGGGCAGGGACTGTATTTGTCTTGCTCACCTCTGCTTTCTCAGCACCTGGCACAGTGCCTGGCACAGAGGAGATGCTCCCTTAATATCTACTGGGATGACGGCTATATGAAGGCACCAGCTTCTGTCACTCACCAGCTCCTGATGCCACACGTAGACCTGCTTTGCTTTGAAAATCCGTCTGATAGTGGGGGCAAGAAGAGAAGAAGGTGAAGCATCTTCAAAAGAGAAACAAACAAAATGCTCAGGATATTAGCTTTTCCATTTCTGCTTTTGCATGTCTAGGAAAAACCTACTGTCTTAGTGCAGGCTGCTGTCACAGAATGCTGTCACCTAGGTGGCTTAAACAGCAGACATTTATTTCTCATAGTTCTGGAGTCCAAGAAGTCCAAGGTCAACGTGCCAGCTGGTTGGATTCCTGGTGAAGGTCTTCTTCCTGGCTTGCATATGGTCACCTTCTCACTGTGTCCTTGCATGGCCTGTCCTCAGTATGTGCATTCAGGGAGAGACAAGGAGGTCGAGATCTCTCTCTCTCTTTCTTTTTATAAGAACAGCAATCCCATTCTGAAGACCCCACCCTCATGACCTCATTTAACCCTAACACCTCCCAAAGGCCTCATCACCAAAACCCATCACATTGGAGGTAACAGCTTCAACATATGAATTTTAGGGGCGGGAAACAATTCAGTCCATAACACAACTTAAGAGTTAGCTTTGAAACATTGCTTAGACCTGTGCTGCCCAATAGAGTAGGTGCATTTACAATTAATTAAAATTAAACAAAATTAAAAATTCAATTCCTCAGTTGCACTAACCACATTTCAGTGCTCAGTAGCCACCTGTGGCTAGGGGCTATCACGTTGCACAGCCACTCAGAGGATTTCCATCATCACAGAAGGGTCTGTTGGACAGCACTGCCTTAGCAAATTGCTGTTGAACTAAACTCCCTCCTGATCCCAAACTCATTCTCAATCTCTCCAGCTGTTTCCGCCTGTTACCTCCAGTGGCTTTTGGAGATAGGGGTGACCAAATCTAACTTGTTATGTAACTAGAGGAAAGACCCTCCATTTAAACTCTATACGTTCTAAATTCAGAAGACTTTAGCTCAAGCAAAAGGCAGCAAGCCTGCCAGCACACATGAAGGGGAGGGGAGAGTGACCCCCCAGGCTGGAGGTGTTGCACAGGGGCGAGAATGCTGACATGCATGGGGAAACTTCACCCACTTCATTGTGTGCAGAAGAGTTGCTGATTCACATTAGGGAACTCGGCCTCAGTCCAACAACCCATAGGATGCCAAGACTGGCTCCTGTCTTGACCGATGCAGTGAGATCAGGAAGATTTAGACTGCTCAAAACTGGCTGGGCTGGGACAGCCTGAAAGATGCCATCACCGGAGAGAAATAGGGAAATGACTCCATTTCACCATGAGGAGGCCACTGGGCTCCACTCTCAACTATGGCCACACCTATCACTCAAGTTCTCTGAAACATACCTCACTGATGAAATAAGCCAGAGGTGGGGGAACCCAAAGGAGGTGATCTGTGTGGTTCCCCAAGTCACCACTTAGCTTGTGATTTGCCCCATCTAGACATCTCGGGACCTGTGGTTCAGTTAAAATATGGAGCAAGACTGCAAGATGTGGGCATGAAGCCAGCCTTATACGTGTTTGTATGCTTCACAAGGTGTTTCAAAGAGAGTGTATATCAATTGTCCATATTGAAAAAGAATAAGGAGATTTCACATTAAATAGAGTTTTAGGGATCACTTTGAAAAATGGAAAGATGTGGTCTCCTTGGGATCCATTCTAGAGGGGCAGCAATGGGCTGAAGCCAAGTAACACCCCACTATCCCCAGCGTTGGTGGGGGGTTTAGTCTCTAATTTGCTACAGTTCCCACCACTCCCTATAACCCTATATCTAGCTCATGTCTCTCTTTTACATTACTGCTCGGCCCTGTACTATTTGAGTCTGAAATCCTGATTGAGAAGAACCACATCCTGGAGCAGGTTCAATCCATAGACTAGTAGAATCATTTTTGAAAAAGTAACATTTCTTTGTGATTTCAGATGTAAATATTTCTTTTCAGTTTGTCATTTTGTTTTCTTTTTTTTTGTTTGTTTGCTTGTTTTTTGTCATTTGTTTTGTTGTTTTGACTTCTGGTGTTCTTTGCCGTGCCAAAAAAGAAAAAAAAAATTCTGTAGTTGAACCTGTCAATCTTTTCATTTATGGATTTTGGATTTCTGAGTCCTGGTTAGAAAAGCCTTTTCCACTCCAAGGTTATAAAAAATTGTGCTTATTCTCGTTCTAGTATTTTTATGGTTTTATTTTTAACATTTAAACCGTCAATCCATTTGGATTTGTTTTCTGGTAGTAGGAATGGATACTTTTCTCCAGATGGCTAACTAGCTGTTCCAATGCCATTCATTCAATAGTTCATATTTTCCCACTGACTCAAGACATCACCTTCTCCACGTACTAAATGTGTGGGTCTCTCTCTGAGACCATTTGTTCTCCTCTATTGATCGGTGAGTGTATTCACACTAGAAGCATGTTGCTTTGATTATTGAAGCTTTATGATATGCTTAAATATTGGTATGCCTAGTACTTAATTGCTTTTCTTTTGCAAACTTTTAAAAGTCAAATCTCCTGGTTCACAGGAAAGGAAATACAAATCAGTCAAGGGTCTGAAAAGATGCTCAACCTCACTTGTGGGACAAGACTTAGAAATTACTACTGCCCTGAGACACCATTTCTTCACGCATCAGATTGGCAAAAACTTCAACCGTAAGATGACACTGGGTCGATGAGTTTTTGTGAAAACAGGTACTACTCCCAGACACTGCTGGGGGGAGTGTAAATGGGTAGAATCCCTATGGAGGGTAACTTGAAGATATCTACCAAATTTAAATATAGACTTGCCCCTTGACCCCAACTCCTACTTTTTGGAAATTTGCCCTTCAGATATACTTATAAAAAATAATATACATATAGGGGTTTTCATGACCATTTCGGAGGCAGTTGCAAAAGAGTAGAAACAGGCCAAATGGCCCCCAGTAAGGAACTGGCTCAATCATTTATAGCACATCATTCAATGCAATAATAGGCATCTATGAAAAAGAATGAAGAAGCTCTTTCTATATATTGACTTAGCAAGTTCTTTCCAAGGTATATAGCTAAATGAGGAAAACGAAGTGCAGAAGAGTGTGCATAGGATGTTATCTGTGAAAAGAATATAGACAAGTGTTTCTGCCATCATGTGATAATGCTTTCTTGAAAGGCCATGAGTTATGCAAACCTGTGCACTAAAATCAGAGAGCTTATGGGAAGAAGTAGGGTTACAGCTGACTGCCCCACAGCAATGCCACTTTGTAACCAGAGCATTAACCAAAGCAGTGACAATCCCAGTAAAAATGATAGCATGGTGAAAAAATAAAAATGTAAATAATAAACTGAGAAGCATTACATTAAATAGAGATCTTTGCTTTTAAAAGGAAGTGAAAGTATCTTGATGGAGGTGATGAAGAGATGATGGAGGTGCTGAATTATGGAAACAAGGGCAAAATGCATAAAAATTGGCAGGAATTGCAAAATTAGTTCTCCCAAAATAGAACATGTAACCAAACTGAGGAAGAGGAAGAAGATAGGGCATTCTGAGCAGAACTGTACTCATACCAGGCTTGCTGCATTTGCTTGTGTTTGGTATTTTACATTCAGCTGCTGTTAGCCCATGCTCTGGAAAAATTACAAATGAACCAATGCAGTGGAATTTTCACTTCTGGCCAAGACTGAGTAACAAGGTCTGGATTTACCCTCCCAGCTGAAACAGTTTGAAAACTAGGTTTCCAAGACATTGGGCCTTAGGCATGGACAGTGATCCTTGCAAGAGGAGAAACAGATGGTGAGCTGTATGATTGCCCCAGGATAGAGTTTCCAAGAAGGGAAAACCCAGGTGGAGGCCCGTGGTCTCTCTGAGCTGGGGAGATGGAGCTGCAAGTCAGCGGAGGCTAATGTGGCTGGAATTGGCAGAGCAGAACTCCCAGAAAAAGAAAGTTGTGCTGGGAGCGCTCTGGAGGTTTGCTCACAGTTCCCCTTGAGTGGCCACCTGAGAACTGATGAGCACATGGGTGTAAGGAAACTACCCAGGGCTGAGAGAGAACCACTGGAAAAGATCAGAAGCAACAAGCTTCAGAGCTCATAATGGAGCTGGGAATAGTTCCTGTTCCCACCTGCCAGAATTGCAGAACCTCACAATTCATGGGGCATTGGGTAGAATACTCAGAAGGGTTTGCCTCAGTAGTGGGAAAAATTTCTCCTGGACCAAACACTGCTCTGATCCCAACTGGCAAGGCTGAAAGCAAGACTCAAAAGCATTCAACAGTTTCTAAGTAACCTAACTGCATCCCAGAACAAAGCTCAAAAGTATTTATAGGAATATAAAAATATCCAGCATCTGACAAGGTAAAATTTATGTTTGGCATCCAATTGAAACTTATCAGGCATGCAGGGAAGCAGAAAAATATGATTTTCGACATGGAGAAAAATCAATGAAAATGAACCCAGAAATGACAGGAATGATAGAATTAGACACGGACATTAAAACGTTTACTACAACTGGATTCTATCTGTTCAAGAAGCCAGAAGAAAGATTGGACATGTTAAGTAGAGACATGGAAGTTATCAGAAAAAGACCCAGGCTGGGCATGGTGGCTCATGCCTGTACTAGCACTTTGGGAGGCTGAGGTGGGCAGACTGCCTGAGCTCAGGAGCTTGAGACCAGCCTGGCCAACATGGCAAAACCCCATCTCCACTTAATATACAAAAATTAGCCAGGAGTGGTGGTGAGCACCTGTAAGCCCAGCTACTCAGGTGGCTGAGGCATAAGAATCGCTTGAACCCTGGAGGCAGAGGTTGCAATGAGCCGAGATTACGCCACTGCACTCCAGCCTGGGTGACAGAGCAAGGCTCTGTCTTCAAAAAAAAAAAAAAAAAAAAAACACCCAAAATCAAACTTCTGGAGATGAAAATGATGTATGGGATGAAAAATGACATGGATGTAATTAGCAGCAGATCAGATACTACAGAAGAAAAGATTTATGAACTTGGAGTGGGAGGTAGTGGTGTGGAACATCAGACAAAAATTTGAAGAAATATTGGCTGAAAAATTTCCAAATTTGATGGAAATGATAAATCCACAGATCTAAGAGTCTCAATGAACACAGAGCACGAGAATCATAAAGAAAACTACATCAAGGCACGTAACAACAACAACAGTGATAGAGAAACCCTTAGAAGCAAATGAAACAATGCAACTTCCGAGTTATACTAACATAGTTTTCTTATTTATGAATCACGTCTGAACTAATTCTTGTAATAGTAACATACAATATAATAGACTGCTTATATTTTACTTATGTTTGCAAAAAGATGTTCTGGGTGGGTTCCCACGAAATTATTACAGTGGTTAATTGTTAGGGGTTTGGAAACGGGGTGGATGTAGCATGAGGGTAGAAGAAAGATTTCCACAGATGCCCGAACTAGGTAAATGTGTAACCTGTTTAAAAAATTCATGTGTCTTTTTTTTTTATTACAAAAGGAATATATCGGAGGGAGGGGAACTAAGGAGTGACGCTAATGGACATGGGGTTTCTTTGCGGGGTGACAAAAATGCTGTGGCATTAGATAGTGGTGATGGTTGCACAATTTTAGTGAATATACTAAAAACACTAAACTGAACACTTTAAAAAGGTGAAGTTTACCAGCCTATGCAACACAATGAAACCCCGTCTCTACAAAAAATAAACAAAATTAGCTGGGCATGGTGGCAGGCACCTGCTAGTCCCAGCTACTCGGAAGGCTGAGGCGGGAGAATCACTTGAGCCCAGGAGGCAGAGGTTGCAGTGAGCTGTCATCGCACCACTGCACTCCAGCCCGGGTGACAGAGACCCTGCCTCAAAAAAAAAAAAAAAAAAAAGGTGAAGTTTAGGATGTGAGTTATATCTCAGTTAAAAATTAAGGCTGAGCACAGTGGCTCATGCCTGTAATCCCAGCACTCTGGGGGGCTGAGGTGGGCGGATCACTTGAGGTAAGGAGTTCGAGACCAGCCTGACCAACGTGGTGAAACCCCATCTCTACTAAAAATACAAAAATTAGCCAGGTGTGGTGGCAGGCGCCTGTAATCCCAGCTACTTGGGAGACTGAGGCTAGAGAATTGCTTGAATCCAGGAGGCGGAGGTTGCAGTAAGCCGAGATCATGCCATTGTACTCCAGCCTGGACGACAAAGTGAGACTCCATCTCAACAAGAAACAATTTAATTAAAACACAGGAAAAAGAAAAACATACATGTTCATTGTTTAAAACAATAGAAATTCAAAGAACGTTCATAAAGGAAGGGTCCTAAAAGATCATGACATCCAGGGCTTCTCAGTGACCACAGAACGAGTTTGGACGGAGGGGCCCTCATCCCATCTGCCTGGGAAAATTGCCTCCTGAATTCTATTCCTGGAGAAGTACAAGGCACAACAGCCTGCAAAGGCTCTGAAAAGTCCTGTAGCAAAGATGTCTATTTTAACTTTGTGGCATGCACTATTGACTAAACGTATTTGGTATGTATGACCATGACCCGCCCCAACCCCTTTATTTTTTCCTGGAACTCTTGTTAGCACTAGAACTGTGGAACACAGATCATGAAGGCTTTGTGACTTGTCCAAGGTCACACAGTTTACTGGTGGTAGATTTCATGAATCTGACACAGAGACTTTCTAAATCCAACACAATCCAGTCTCGGAGGTCTCGAGCTGAGATCACTGAGTAACAAGTGCTTTTACTGAACTTTTAATTTCCTACACATCCCTGAATTGCACGATTCTATGTTGCTCCTGAGTGGCTGCTGGAGGGGTTCTAAGCTTCAGTCTTTATGTTCCCTGGCCCTTCATAAATGCAAAAAGAGTTTCCACTGGATAGGGATCCCACTGTTTTCTTGCCTTTTTTTTTTTTTTTTTTGAGATGGAGTCTCGCTTTGTCGCCTAGACTGGAGTGCAGTGGCGTGATCTCGGCTCACTGCAACCTCCACTACCCGGGTTCAAGCGATTCTCCTGCCTCAGCCTCCCAAGTAGCTGGAATTGCAGGTGTGTGCCACCACACCCGGCTAATTTTTGTATTTTAAGTAGAGATGGGGTTTTGCCATGTTGGCCAGGCTGGTCTTGAACTCCTGAGCTCAGATGATCCGCCCGCCTCAGCCTCCCAAAGGGCTGGGATTATAGGTATGAGCCACTGCACTTGGCCTGTTTTTAAGTCTCCCTACAACACAGAGTTCACTGGAAGGGGAGTTTATGTGGATGCAGACAGTCCCACAGTCTCAGATTAGTATTCCTCTTTTCTCTTACCCTGACCACTTACTAAAATTGAGAGTTCAGGAAATAGAAGCGAACTTGGAAAGAACATGGCCCATCAAACCTGAAGTGAGGCTAACAATGTCAATCATAATAACGATAATTAACGTTTAGAGAGCGTTAGTTTGTGCCAGGTGCGCTCTAAACACTTCACATACATTAACTCATTTAGTCATCATAGCACCCCACGAGTAAAGTACTCTTAGTGTCCCCATTTCATAGGGAAGGAAACTGGAGGACTGAGAAGTAACTGAGCTCAAGGTCACAGGGCTGGTTTGCAGCCGTATTTGGAGGTTAACTCAACCTGACTTCAGAGTCCCTGCTTTTAGTTGTTTTTAACTACCATGCTAAGGAAGGAATAACAGAGATAATAAAAAGAAAATCTAGCCTTTATGGATCTCATCTGTGGTGCCCATGAATCATGTTATTTAGTCTCCCAAAGCCTCATGTTGTCACCTCTCTCACTATGATACCAGTTTCACAGGTGAGGAAACTGAGGCACAGAGAAGTCCATGTGCTTCCCCAACTCATGCCATTGTGTGTGGGGTACTGCCAGGACTGACCACAGGCCAGGTCCAGAACTCTTAACAACTCTGTGGCACCAGAAACTTCTTATAACACACTCTGGAGATTTTTTTCCCCCTCTTTTTAATCTTTGTGGTTATTTCTGTGAATAGCAGTGTTTTACCAGAAGAAGCCAAAAAGAAAAAAAATCAAACCCATAAGAAACACACTTCAGCTATAAAAACCCCAGGGTGAACTTAAAATAAAGAAAATAAACAACTCTGCAAAGGCTGAACAAGAGCTGTGAACTTTTTTCTTTTACATTTATTGTATATTCCATGGAGGGGCAGTGTTATCCAAACAGATACAGATCTCAAACCAGGGCCTTACGGGGTGATGGCTGTGCTAAAGTTTTTGGAAGTTTATGAGATTAGCTAGAAGACCTAGTGGGAGGCATCCTGGCTTGTCTAAAGCTTGCTCTGTGATCTTCCGTAAGACACTCTGTTGCAGTGCCTCAGTTTACTCATCTGTAAAATGATGAGGTGAGCCCCAAGAGCATCCTTTTTTGCTTCTAAAAATTATATATTTTTTCTTTTTTTGAGACAGGGTCATGCTGTATTGCCCAGGCTGGAGTGCAGTGGGGTGATCATAGCTCACTGCAACCTTGAACTCCTGGGCTCAAGCAATCCTTCCACCTCAGCTTCCTGAGTAGCTGGAACTACAGGTGCACACCACCATGCCCAGCATTTTTTTTTTTTTTTTAAAGATAGGGTCTTGCTCTATTGCTCAGGCTGGAGTGCAGTGGCATGATCACGGCTTACTGCAGCATTGACCTCCCAGGCTGAAAAGTGATCCTCCTACCTCAACATATTGAGTAGCTGGGACTACAGGCATGCATCACCATGCCCAGATAATTTTTTTTTTTTTTGTAGAGATGGGTTTCACCAGGTTTCCCAGGCTGGTCTTGAACTCCTGGACTCAAGCAATAAATATACCTGCCTTGGTCTCCCAAAGTGCTGGGATTATGGGCCAAAATTATGGTTTAAATTCTTAGAAAGGAAAAAGACTCATGCTAGCTTCTCACCATGGGCCAATTTCACAAAATCAGCATTTTCAGGCCTAAAAGTTCATAAGCCTCAATCTTCTTTATTTTCTTCTTCCTCTGAGAAACTAAGCTCAACCAATGTCTTCCATTCTGAAATGCTCTCAGTAGTTCGAGAGTTTATTTCTCCTCTGGAACAACTCAGAAAAAAAAAAAGTTAATAGGAAGCACATGGGCATGGTGTGTGAGCGTTCTGTGTGTTTGTGTTTGAAAAAAATACTTAAGGAGGAATATGTCAGGCTTGCAAAATGCCTGGGCTGTCTCAAGAGCAGTTTATAGCCATTAGCATCAGACTGAAGGCAGTTAATTGGGACGAAGCCCAGCTGCTGCCGCTGCCCTTCTGTCATCTGGGCTGTGAGGAGGATAAGAAAATAACCTGGACGATTCCCATGGTAGGGCGAGAAGAGAGCTGGAGACGTTGGCTGGTGGGGATTGAGGTGGGGGGTGGGGCCCTAGGCTCACCCCTGAGAATCACCTTCTAGATGGATCTAAGAGAGTGTGAAGGGCAGGATGGCGTGAGGGTTATGTGCCTGGGCGACTGCCTGGCTCATTTCCCACTGCCATGGCCGTGTGACCTTGGGTAAGTGACTGAAACATTTTATGCCTCAGTTTCTCCACCTGTAAGATGAGGGCAGTGGCAGTGCTCATGTCACGGGGCTACTGGGGAGATTAAGCCGCATGTTTATGTGCAGACATTAGGACAGTTCCTGGAGTCCTGAAGGAGTCCAGGAAATCTCATCATTTAGAGGAAGTGGCACCAGAGAAACTGGAGTCTGAATCCCAGCTCTGAACACTTATTGGCTCTGCGGTTTCAGGCAAGTCACTTGCCCTCTCTGAGCCTCACTTTCACCATCTATGAAAGCAGGGCTTATGGTGCCCACCTCACGCGGTTGCTGTAAGAAGAAAGAATATTATTCTGCATATCCTGCTCTGGGGAGGATAGGATGAGGCTCCTCTGGAGTCCTTGAACACTGTGAGCCTTTTCCTGCCGCGGGGCCTTTGCTCTTGCGTTCCCGCTGCCTGTACGGCCCGGCCCAGCTCTGGCCCCTCCTGTGGCAGCCTCCTTTCCATCGGGAGGCCCCTGACCACCTGCTGAATGCCGATCACCACTCCTGGTCCATACCACTGCTCACGGTCCAGCATGCCACCATGTTTTTGTCTGTCACAGGCTTTATCAAAATCTATAATTATCTATCTACTTGTCAATTGATTACTGTCCATCTTTCTCCATGAGGAGATTGTCTTTGTGTGCTGCTGTGCCCTCAGTGCCTAGAAGGGTGCCAGGTGTCAAGCTGGTGCTCAACATACGGAATGAATGAATGAATGAATGAATGGGGGCCTCTCCTACATAACTTAGATCACTTATTGTGTGGCTGAGGGGGTGTCAAAATGGGATACGGGGACCGGGTCTCCATTTCAACCTCTGTGGCCTCAGAAGCCCTGAGGCAGTAAGTCCAGTTTCTATTTAAAGAGCTGGAAAAAAACTGGCTTGAGATGGACTCAAATACAAGTTGAAGTTCAGTACCTTCACACACCTCCTGTTATCAGGGCCGGTGCCATCATTCACTCCCCACTTGGAGAGATGGGTCTCAGGAGTTTACTCCCTTCAGTGGGCCTCAGAAAGGCCCGACTGGGGACACAGACGTGAGAGCAGAAGCAGAGGAGGCAGGAAAGTGCCGGGGTTACAGCGATGGGCTTTGCAGTGAGGCTGGGGGTTGGGATTCCACCAGGCCCCCAAGACATCTGACACAGTCCCTTTGCCATTATGCTTACAATAAAATCTAAAATCCTTGCCCTGGTGTTGGACAAATCAGTCATTCCTTCTATGCCTCAGTTTCCTCTTCTGTGAAATGGGAATAATACAGTACCGTTGCTTGAGAGCGTCATGAAGGTTGTATGAGAGAACCCACAGAGCATCACCTGGCACCTAGCATGTTTGGTCAAGGCTGGCTCATGGCATCACTGACAAACTTGGACACAGACCTTACCAGGAAGCTATTCTCAGGGCTGGGCATGAATGCTTATCACCTGCTTTCCCTACACACATACCTAAGATTATTTATTCTCCTTTCACAATTTTTTTTTCCTGAAATGCTGCCCTTGACAATCATTTTTATTACTTCCTTAATAAAAAATTAAAATAATAAAGATGAAGTGATAGTACTTCCAAGTAGTTGCTTTTAAAAGAAAAATACTATCAAAGCTGGGTACAGCAGCGCACAGCTGTGGTCCTAGATACTCAGGAGGCTGAGGTGGCAGAATCACTTGAGCCCAGTCTGGGCAACATAGCAAGACTCCATCTCAAAAAAAAGTACAATCACACATCAGCCCACCATCTTATCATTTTACCCTTTCAGACCCTTGATGGTAATTTTTAGCAGCTTATATAAAGGGAAACAGCAGAATGGGGATCCCCATAATTACAGCCACCAGCCCCCTGCTCCATGCATCAACTCCAGCATGCTCCCAAGGGGGCACCAGAACAGAGAAGGGTTCTTGGATGGTAAAAGAGTGGAGATGAGCATGGGAGAACCCAGTAAGCCAGTTCCTTATGGCAGGTGGGTGGAGGGTTACACAATGGAGTTCTTTCTTCCTTAAGGCCACCCTCTAGGGCTGCAGAGCCTTGATCCTCCTGCCTGGAATAACAGCTTCTTCACCCGACTGTCCAATATTTCCACCACCCGACATTTCTGAGTCTCTACAATAGACTTGCCTGTCCCATCACACTTAAAATACAAGCAAACTCCTTCCCATATCCCTCAAGGCCATGTGTGATTGCGCCTTGCTCTTTCTCCAAGATTCTCTCCTCCTACATGCCTTCTGACTTTGCTCCAGTCTCACTGGTCTCAGCTCTGTGCCTCCAATACATCCAGACATTTCCCTGCATGCACAGTTTGTACAGGCTGTTCCCTCTGCCTGGAATGCTCTTCCCTAAGATGTCTATGTGGCTGCTCTGCCTCACCCTTTGGGATTCTGCCCAATGTCATCTCTTCAAAGAGCCTTCCCTGGTGATTTGATCTAAAGTCACAAATCTCACCTTTCCTGACCTCCCAAGTGCTCATCACTCTTTATGCAAAGACCAGGTTTATTTGCCTTATTACATTCAACCCCTTCCCAAATCATCTGGCTTATTTGCCGACTTTATCGTTAGTCTCTCCCCACTGCCAGGTAACGACCATGAAAGGCAGATCTCGTATCTATTTTCTCCACTCCTCGAGATAGAGCCTGGCACATAGTAGGTGCTCAAAAAATCTGCTGAATGAATGAATGAATGGACACCCAACTTAGGTGGTCCTTAGAGATGGGCAGGAAGGGGCCACAGCGCCACACTGACCGTGCATCTGGTAGGTGTATGGGCTCTGTCCAGTGGGTGAGGTGCTGAAGCTGGAGCCATAGCTGAGGAATCCACTCTGGCCAGGGGAATGGTTCAAGCTGTCTTCTGTCTTGATGCCTTTGAAGGAAGAGGGGGAAAAAAAAGGACCAAGGACACATGATTAGGATGCGTCCTTGTCACCCACAAAAGAGCTACTGGGTCAAGACAGCATGCAATTTTATCAGCTTCCAAATGAGGAGTTGCAAACTGGTGGCTTGTCAGCCAAAGTGAGCCTATAGACATTTGACTTGGCCAGCATATTTTTAAGAAAAACTGAATTAGTTGATTTTGTTAAAAGTCAGGATATTTCATACAAAAAGCTGGACTTACGGCTTCTTTTTGAATGACAAGATGGTCTAGTAACACCATGTCTGCAACCCATGTGACCACAAGCTGCCCCTGTGGGCTCCCAATTCAGGTGTTTCCCAGGTCATGATAGATTCCATTCCATCTGCAGGACTTTGAGGCTGGTTTTAACGTGCTATTTTCTCATTGCAGTTGTGATTTGTTTTGGTACATCCTAGGACCCTATCAAAAGTGGGGAAGGGAAAGGCAGGCCAAGAAGGTCTCATATTTTGTACATGCCACCAGCTTCATGCTACCTGCCAGCTTGGTAGGTATGAAGGTCTCATATTTTGTACATGCCACCGTGAGCTTCATGCTACCTGCCAGCTTGGTAGGTATGCAAGCCTGCAGCCCACTACTCCACTGAGTAGTGCTGTGTATGGCTTAAATGTCCATTAGGATTTTGGGCAAAGGTGTGAAATGAACCACCCTTCCTCTGCAAAGATGATATCACTTAACTGTAAGACACTCTCCAATCTCACGGGGGGACCTGCTAATCCCAAGGCCACAGTTACAAATCTGCCTTCTGCTTCAGCAAAACTCGGCATGCTTACCTAAAGCATAGGTACTAATTCCATGAACAACTGGCTGAGAAAGGGACTGTGTTGAGGAGGAGAGGCTAACCATCATCAGCTCATTCACTTAATTTTTACTGAAAATGTAATGAATGCATTGTAGAAAATTCCAATAGTACAAAAGGCATAAAGCAAAGAGTCTCTTCCTATCCCTGACCTCAAACCCCAGCTCTTCTGCCTATAGGCAACCACGATTACCAGCTTTATGGAACACAATTCACTTCCAGACAGGTTCTGTGCATATGCAAACTTATGTATATAATATATATATGTAACGTATATATCTATTCCATCTTTTAAAATATAAACAGGAGTATTCTATAAATTCTGTTCTTCATTTTCTTCTTTTTCTTTTACTGCTTCACAATATGTGGTAATGATTATTCTTCATGAGCTTATAAAGTTCTTCCTTATTCTGTATTGATGGCTGTGTGACATTCTAATGTGTGGTTTCCTCATCATTTAACCAGTTTCCTATTCATTAACTTTTGGGTGGTTTTGAGATTTTATGACTGTAATTTAAGCTGCAGCAAATACACACATAACACACACACATGCAACAAATGTGTATATATACACACATATATACATGCAGAAAATATATTTAACATATAGATGTACCTATATGCATATACATATGTATTTGCTGCAGCTTATAGTCATCACACCACACACACACACACACACACACACACACACACACACACACATTTTGTGCACATGTGCAAGTCTATCTTTTAGGTAAATTCCCAGTAGCTGGAATCACTGAGTCCAGGGCAAGAACATCTTAAATCTTCTTGGATGTTGCTGAATGGTGCTCCCTAGATTGTAGGTGACATTCTCTCCAGTCACTGAGTGAGTCCTGCTTCTCCACAACCACATCAACTGTTATCAAACATTGCTTATCTCTGTCTATCTTATGGGTATAGAACAGTATCTCATTGCTGTTTAAAATTTCATTTCTTTCAAGAACATTTCTAGTTCTGCTGATGGTTTTTGTATTGAAATTTCCTCCTTCTTATCCTGTCAACCCCGTAAAATAAGAGAATGCTTAGTAAGGTAAAAACAGATAGATTGTGAGTCAGGAAATCTGGGCTGGAGTCCTAGATGGTTTGCTTCATTGACTGGTGACCTGGAAAGTTTCTCCTGCAACCCCAGGTTGGAGGCCTCCTTTCTTGTGAAATGATGGGTTGTTAGGAAATTAAAGTAAGAGGAAAGAATGAACATATAAAGGCTCTGAATGAAGTAATTAAAGAACACATCTCTTTTATCCTCACATCAATCCCACAAAACAGGCTATATATTACTTCCTTCATTTTAAAGATGTGGGAATTGAGATTGCCAATCCATTGGACTGGGGTCTAGCAATTGGCGGATAACTCTGAAGTCAAGGTTCCTTACCTTGATGCTTCTCAATAACAGGTGTGAAGGGGTTTTATGCCATCGATGGTGCCAGACTTTAGTAACAACAATGATGGCAGCAACAAGCAATATTTATACAGCACCTTCTTTTTGCTCAGTCCACTAGGAGTCGTTAACGTTGCATTGGGTACAGTCTGCCTCACTGTGCACCTAAAGTAAAATCTAAACTCTGCAGTGACCCCCAAGGCCCTGCATGGGCTCTGCCCACCCCTCCGACCTCACTGCCTTTCCTGGGCTCCTTCGCTCCCTCTGCCCAAGCCATATGCTCAGACACTCTGTTTTAGTGACGGGATGGAAAGCCAGAATCGGAAATATCACTGCTTGTTCAGCCAGTTCCCTGATGATGAACTCCAGGTTGATTCCAGTTTTTACTATCACAATCCAAGATGAAATGTACATACTTCCTCAAGCAATGTCAGAGTGTTTGTCTTGGTTGGATACAAGACAAAAGTTGCTGCCTCTAAGGGTACCTACATTGTCCATTTTAAATAGATGATACAGACAAACTGCAACCATGTCTTTGGACTCAAAGCCTTTGCATATGTTGCTTCCTCTGCCTGGAATCCACACCTCCCTCTTCTCTATCAGGCAAATGTTGTTTCCCTAGAAAGGTCTTCTATGACCTAAGTCAGCCCCGAGTAGCATGCAGTTCTCCTGCCTGGCACTCAACCCCATTCACTGTTGAACCTCTGCTCTCTGTTTAGGCTGGAGGCTCCAGGAGGGCGGGGCTGGTTCCCTCTTGTACCCTGCAGTCTCCCCATATGTGGCTCCCTGTCTTGCACATAGTAGGTGCTCAAAAATTGTCTGGTAAATGAATGACTATGAAAGAAAAGAAAATAAAGTTTTTCATCTCTTCTTTTGTTTGCTGAAGGGGTTGGATCATAAAATTCTAATCCATGAGAAAGAGAAGAGAATATGAAAATGGCAAAGGCGCACGAGGGCCTTCGTCCCCTAAGTCTGTTGTCCAGACTGTGGTCCATGCATCAGTTACAAGTTCAGAATGAGAAAGTCAGACACTGAGAAGTAAACATCCTGAAACTTTTGCAGCAACTTGGCATTGTTCTGACATCTAAGGCCATTTCTCCAGACTTGTATTTAGTATGTTTTTAAAACATTTTAATTTGGCCCAGTACGGTGGCTCACGCCTGTAATCCCAGCACTTTGGGAGGCTGAGGTGGGTGGATCACTTGAGGTCAGGAGTTCGAGATCAGCCTGGCTAACATGGCGAAACCCTGTCTCTACAAAAAATACAAAAATTAACTGGGTGTGGTGGTGCACACCTCTAATCCCAGCTACTCAGGAAGCTGAGGCATGAGAATTGCTTGAAACTAGAAGGTGGAGGTTGCAGTGAGCCAAGATCATGCCAATGCACTCCAGCCTGGGCTAAAGAGTGAGACTTCATCTCAAATAAATAAGTAAATAAAAATTTTAATTTGATTTTTCTGGTAATTCATTTTTACTAAAATATTAGTCCACAGTGGAATGGCAATTAAAAAGCAAAAACCCAAAAACTGGTCTTTTAAACCAGATAGAGAAACACTGCTCTAAGAGATTATGTTCAAAGGAAATCTGGTCACGGTTTGGCCTGGGGACAGACTGATCTCATCAGACCTGCTACTCCGCAGGCATCTCTGATAAGTATCTTCACAGCAAAGAGAAAGAGGCCTCCGAAAAGGTGCTCGTGAACTATCTGCAAGTTCCACTGGCTTCCACTCATGGAAGCACCAAAGTGAGCATGTGGATTTCAGAGAGGGTGTCAACAACAGACAGCCAATAAGCATTCATTCACTCATTCACAACTATTAGCTCAGCACCTGCAACAGGTCAGGAGATACAGATCTTGATGCTACAGATACTGTAGCGGTTGGAGCTTATATGCTAGTGGGAGGAGAATGACAGCAGAAAAACAAGTAAAAACACACAGCAGAGGAGAAGCATACAAAATACTTTTTGGGTAACACAAGAGACAACATGATTGGCTCCCTGACTCCCTGGCACACTCAGCGGCACACACTTTTCCCTGCTATCTTATGAACCTCACACTAACACAATTCTCCAAACATGATTAAATTTTTTGGACTCCATTTAGAGTCTTAAGGTGCTAAAAAGAAGAATGAAGCAGGGAAGGAGGTAGCAAAGTTGGTTAAGGGGAGTTGGGATTTGAAATTTCAAACAGAGTGATCCTGAAAGGTCCCTTGGAGGAGGAGGAAGAGGTCCCAGGGAGGAAGAGACATTTGAACAAAGACCTGAAGGAAGCAAAGGAGCAAGACTTGTGGACACCCGAAGGAATACCTGTCCAGGCAGAGGGAAGGCATGTGCAAAGGTCATCAGGCAGGAGTGTACTTGGTATGTTGGATGAACTAACAGCAAGGAGGCCAGTGAGGCTGGAGTGGGGTAAGGGTTGGGGAGAGGGTGAGTGATGAGGTCAGAAAGATCATCAAGGTGGGGACAGGGCAAAGATACTGCAGTGGAAAACCTTTGGCTTTGATCCTGAGAGGGGCCCTGGAGGGATCTGAGCAGAGGAGAGACAGGAGATGGTTCAAGTTTAAAATATCAACAGCCCCCTGAGCAGGTGCTCCGTGATGTGAATTTGGATCAGCCCATGGCACATGGCACAGCCCAGAGTACTCGTTTCCTGTCCTGGCTCTGTGGTATCACTGAGGCAGGTGCCCTCTGCTTTCCAAGCCTCAGTTTCCTCGTGACTACAATGAGGGTTTTGGACCAAATTAGTGCTTCCCCATCTTCAATGTTGTGCACCACTTGCTTGGTTTTCCCATACCCCAGCACCATCCATATAATGATTCATTTCATGTTATTTTTAAACATCAGGCCAGGCATGGTGGCTCATGTCTGCAATCCCAGCACTTTGGGATGCTGAGGCAGGCAGATCATTTGAGGCCAGGAGTTCAAGATCAGCCTGGGAAACATGGTGAAACCCTGTCTCTACTAAAAATACAAAAAATTAGCTGGGTGTGGTGGTGCACATATGTAATCCCAGCTATTCAGGAGGCTGAAGCAGGAGAATCACTTGAACGTGGGAGGCAGAGGTTGCAGTGAGCCGAGATCATGCCACTGCACTCCAACCTGGGAGACACAGCAAGACTACATCTCAAAAAAAAAAAAAAAATCAACTCAATTTTAAAACTATTTGCTTGCCTTAAGCAATAATGACCAAGAAATCACAGGTTCCATATTTTATATATATTATATTTATATTTGTACACATACACATATATATATGTAGATATAAATGCATATTAAAATAAATATGTAACTACTTTTTTTTTTGAGACAGGATTTCACTCTGTCACCCAGGCTGGAGTGCAGTGGCATGCTCACAGTTCACTGCAGCCTCGACCTCCCAGGCTCAAGTGATCCTCCCACCTCAGCCTCTCTAGTAGCTGGGAGCACGTGTGTGCCACCACGCCCAGTAGTTCTTGAGACTCAGCACCCGGAGGCTTTGAAGCTTTTATCTTCAGCCTCCTGGAACCTGAGCCCACCATGCCTGAAGAAACCCAGAGGAAGGGCCACATGAGAGAGAGGCCCCACTGGTGCCATCTAGGCAGCCCCAGCCCACCTGCTGCGAGCACAGCAGCATGAGAGGGACTGTGGGAGACCAGCAGCAGGCCCAACTGGCCAGCCCACAGAAATAATACGTCAGTGTTATTTTAAGCCACTAAGTTCTGGAGTGGCTTTTTACAAAGCCAGAGACAATGAAAATTCTTTGCCATTATCCAGGATAGTGAAGAATGCATATACCCCATGACCCAGAAATTCCTCTCATAGGTTTCCACCCCTGAGAAATGCACAAAGATGCTGATTGCAGCATCCTATGTAATGAGAAACAAACAAAGCCCTAAAAGACTGTCTAAAGAATGGGTAAGTAAGTTATGGTGCCATCAAGTAGTGGAATATTATACAGCAGTGAAAATGAATGAACTACAGCTACTTGTATGAACAGGGATACATTTTACAGACACAATGTTGGGTGGAAAAAGCAAGTTGCAAAAGAATGTGTACTAAAAGATGCAATGTAGGTAAAGTTTTAAAACATGCTTAAAATACTCTACATTAAAGGTCAGCAAACTCCAGCCCATAGGCCAAATGTCATCTGTTGTTCATTTTTGTAAATAAAGTTTTTTGAGACATAGACAGCCCATTCGTTTATGCTTTGTCTATGGCTGCTTTCATGCTACAATGGCAGAGTTGAGTGATTGAGATAGAGACTGTGTGGTCTGCTAAGACAAAAATATTTACTATGTGGCTCTTTATAGAAAAAGTTTGTTGATCTCTTCTACATAAAAAAATGCAGGGGAATGATAAACATGAAACTTGGGGGCACAGGAATCTTTGAGAGGAAAGGAAAGCCACCTCCCTTTATTTTTTAAATTGAATGGTCAGTTCATAGGTGTCATAGTATTACTCTATTATGTATGTCTTTAATATTGCATAATAAATTGAGAAAAAAATACTCAATACACTAACTGTCCTTGTCTCTAGTTTGCTCAATTGTGTTATTTCCTGCAGGTATTTAAACAAAGTAAATAGCACTATTTGCCAAGGAGCAATGTAAAAAGTTTCCTGACAAGATTCAACAAGGTTTGTCCAGACGATGAGCAAACACAGCTTGCTCAGGCACAGGCAGATGTAAAGGGAAACGGCTTTTCATCCACCTGTTATTGTTCAGTGACATGGACATTCTGTGTGTGTGTATGTGTGTGTGCGTGCACGCGTGTGTGTGTGGCAGCCTGGCTTCTACTGGGACAGGTGACATTTGTTGAGCATTTCTCTTGGGGTGGGCCCTGGTGAGGAAGCCCTTCATCTAGATCAGGGTCATGGACCAAATCTGGTCCACTGCCTGTTTGTGTAAATAAAGTTTTATTGGAACACAGACATACCCATTCGTTTACATTCAGTCTGGCTACTTTCACGCCACAATGGCAGAGCTGAGTAGTTGTAATAAAGACCATATGGATCACAAAGTAGAAAGTATTTACCACCTGGGCCTTTACAGAAGAAGATAGCCAACCCCTGGTGTAGATGATCTCATTTAATCCTCCCAGCAATCATGAGAGGGGTAGACTTAGTATTACTCCCATTGTATGAATGTGAAAACAGAGGTTTAGGGAGGGGAGGCTGCTCCCTCAGGGTCTTGCAGCCTGCAACAGGCAAGGGTGGGATGTGAATCTGGGCAGCAGAATTCCAGGACATGTGCTCTTATCATCTACTCTGTATCATCCAGGAGCAGACGCTCCAAAAGTAACTGAGACAGTAAAATAACTTTGCACCAAATTGATTTCCATCTGATGCCATGTTTTGTCTGGGAACAGGGCTAGTTTTCTCTTTTATGTGAAAAAGAATATGGCTTCATTTTTCTTGGCTGTCAGCCAAGCGGGGTAACTTATGTGTGATTGTATTCTAAGCCTTCTAGCACAGCAGGGGAAAAAAGTTAGAAAAGATGCCCACACCTGTTGGCCAAGGTCTGTCATAGGTAATCCCCCGGGATTTACAGAATGCACAGCCAGGCGTCGGAGCCCCGTGGGTGAGGGCTCGGGGTCCAGAGCCAGGCTGCCTGGGCTTAATTCCACCTCTGCCACCAACCAGCTGGGTGACCTTGGGTAAGTTATTTAACCTCTCTGAGTCTCTGTTTCTTTATCGCTCAAGGGAGGATAATGAGATGACCTTCCTCGTAGGGTTGAGGTGGGGATTAAAGGAATTAGTGGAAATAAACCAATGTGAGTGACAGGAAGTCAACGATGGTGACTATTACTAAGCCTGGACTGATGCCTCGACAGGACCTGTCAATTCTGCCTCTAGAGTTGCTCTTGATTCTGTCTACATGTGTCTGTCCGCTGCCATGGCCTCGCCCCAGGCCTCCAACATTTCCTGCTCCAGGCTTCATCCGTCTCCCAACGGGCCTTCCTGCTTCTCCTCCTGATCCCCTCTGAGCCAGCCTCACCACAGCAGCCAGTGTGATCTTTAAAACCTAGGCTGGGCATGGTAGCTCATGCCTGTCATTGTAGCACTTTGGGAAGCAGAGATAGGAGGATTGCTTGAGGTAAGAAGTTCAAGACCAGCCTGGGCAACAAAGTGAGACCCCCCACCCCCCGTCTCTACAAAAAAATAAAAAAAAATTAGCCAGGGGAGGTAGTGCGTGCCTGTAGTCCCAGCTACTCATGAGGGTGAGGGAGGAGGATTGCTTGAGCCTGGGAGGTGGAGGGTGCAGTGAGCTATGATTGCACCATGGCACTCCAGCCTGGAAGACAGAGCCAGACCCTGTCTCTAAAAATAATAAAAATAAGAATAAAATTAAAAAAAACCCACCTAAGTTGCATCCTATTACCCACTGCTTATAAACCCTCTAGTGGCTTCCAGTCTCACGTGGAACAGAACCCCAAATCTTTCCTGGGCCTCGGAGGCCCCGCCCACCTCATTCACCTCATCTCCCATTGTGCTCCAGCCATTAGTCTTCTCAGAATTGCCAAGTTCCTCCCCATTCCCAGGGCCTGCCCCTCTGCCTGGATGCTCTCCTGTCTGTGCCTGCACATGGCTATCTCTCAGTTCTCAGCTGAATTTCGCTCCTTATTTAAAAGGCCTTTCCCATCCCTAGAACCTAAAACAAGTCTTTGCTTCCTTTATGCCGTGCATCCTAATTTGAAATTACACATACAGATTTAAAAATCTGGGGCCAGGTACAGTGGCTCCCGCTTGTAGTCTCAGCTCCTTGGGAGGCCAAGGCAGTAGATCACTTGAGGCCAGGAATTTGAGACCTGCTTGGCCAACATGGCAAAACCTCATCTCTACAAAAAAATACAAAAAATTAGCAGGGCGCAGTAGCGTATGCCTGTAGTCTGAGCTATTTGGGAGGCTGAGGTGGGAGGATCACTTGAGCCTGTGATGTTGAGCTTGCGGTGAGCTGCGATGGTGCCACTGCACTCTGGCTGGACAACAGAGTGAGATGCTGTCTCAAAAAAAGAAAATTAAAAAAACTTTTTTTTCTATCTCTAGGCCAGAGTTTGCAAACTCAAGTGTCTTCATGGAAAAGGCAGATAATTCAAGGGAGTAACGTGGGCTGGGTGAGGACTGTGGCAAACTAAAGCTAAAAGGAAATGTCTGCAGGGCTTTTGTCCACATAGAGCCACTGACCCCTGATACCAAAACTGTGAGTCTAGTGCTGCCTGATCATCGGTTTTAGGCAGTAATCTCCATGAAGACAGGGCCCGCTCTGCTTTGTTGACCACTGTCTGCCCCACACATGACTCAATGTTGAATGAATGAATAAATGAATGAATGAATGAACAAACAAACAGGGCAGAGGTATGGAGGAAGAGGAGGGAGGAAAGAAATGTAAGAGTCAGCCTCTGCACTCAACTCAAGCAGGACCCCTCTAGGTGGGAAGATGAAACGAGCATATTAATTTTACAATTGAGGAAACTGAGGCCTGGAGAGGTCAGGGGCAGCGAAGTCAGGCAGGCAGGTCCCTGCCACCAACGCTACGTCCTTTCCACTGGATAGCCCGGATTTGGGTGGGCTGTAAAGTCACGTGGAGTGGCTATCTGTAGTTTCTTCCTGCCTCCTTCTCCTTTGTGAACCACCCCTGCCTCACCTTCAGATCAGTTGTTTTGGGTGAGGCTGACCTGACCCCTGGTCCTGCGGGTGGACATGTGGCCAAATATGGCCACCCACAGCACCTATCTTCTTGGATGGATGTGGGAGTCCAGTAGAGAAATTCCTGGGACTCTGCAGGAAGTCCTAGACAGGAGGGGCTCTCTTTTTGGGGGACACTGCAGCCTGAAACTGCCAGGGCTGTCTTTGCCACCACAGTGGGAGAGCCTGCCTGAGCCTGAGGCCCACAGAAAGGGAAGCAGAGGCTGAGTCCTGATATTATACCTTGAGGACCTGGACCCAGGCCTGCCTGAAGCCAGTGCCCTAGGTTTTTCCAGCTACATAGGCAATAAATTCCCCTGTTTCCTCCAGCTGATTAGCTTGGGTTTTTGTCACTTGCTACTAAAAGGGCTTTGGTTAAGATATCAGCTAGGAGGCGAGGGAATAGCATGACTCAAGGCCAGAGGCAAGGGCAGGTGGGCATGGATGGTGAGCCAGGTTCGCAAGTCTTCAGTTCTTAGCTGTAAGATGTGAACAGTCAAGGGCTGGAGGTCTGTTGTTTCTGCCCCGTCCTCCACCACATCCATTTCTCCTTCTTCTGATACTACCACTCTGTTTTCCTTTAAGAAAACCACCCCTCCTTCAAAGATAATCCATAGGCTTCAGCTTCCTTATCTCCATCACCCTGTTCTCCTTGCCTTGCTATAAGCATTGCCACATGGCCCAACTTGGGCCAATGAGGGCCAATATGGGATTCTGTTGGAACTTCTGGGAAAGATGAGCTCTCTTTCCACTGGGCATGCAGAGATAAAAGGATGCAAACCTTGAGTGGACAGGCACCATCTTTGCTGCCATGCAGGGAGAACTTGCTGGGAGCATCTGAAGATGGAAAGAGACTTACACCTCACGATGACGCTTTAGCACCTAGATCCAGTCATACCTGATGACAGCTGTATCCACAGATCTCTCGGTATGCAAATCATTCAGTCCCAATTTTCCCTAAACCAGCTTGGGTTCAATTTCCAATTCTTGCCATCAAAAGGGATCTTGATATTATAGGCTATAGAATTTGAACCATATTTAAAGTGTTACTCTTTTCCCTTTATCTCTAATCCAAAATCAGCTTGGTTGTGTCTATTAATCCACATTTAGCTGAGACAATAGTGCAGAACAAAGACCATGATTTGGGGACCTGAGGAGGAGAGTAAGGACTTGTTTACTACTCACTGTAGGAAGGGATTCCATAGGCTTGTGCTGGAGGTGGGTAAGCTGTATAGGGGGTAGCCTGCTGGATCCCCGCACTGTACTGCGTCTGGCCGTAGGCTGCCATGGCTGTGGAAGGCTGGCGGGGGAGGACACGTGGGCAAGATCTGTGTGGAAAGAGGGAAGATTAAATCTCCAGGCCCAGTCTGGCACCCCTTCTTCCTTATCTTGATATCAACACCCCCATTTTTCTTTGGGGTTCTACTCTTTCCAGAGCAGAGACAACATACATGTTCACCAAATCCCATTTTATTTTCCTCTGCCTGGGAAGCAGGAAGATTACATTTTCTGTCTCCTGTGCAGTCAGATTCAGCCGTGTGACTGGGTTCAGCCCCGTAGAATGTAAGCAGATATGCTGTAAGCCACTCGCAGGCCTGGCCAATGAACACATCCCCCGCAACCCTCCTGTCCTTTCTCCTCTTTTGATAGCAACTGTGGAGGGCACAGGTTGAGATGACAGAGCCATGATACGGAAACACCCTGGATCCCTGAGTCAGCTTGTGGAGGAGAGAGAGCTGCCTTGCAGGGTTTCACCCCATCCACACTGGACTTTATGTAAGAAACAAACCTTTGTTGTGTGAAGCCACTGAGATGTCGAGGTTTACTGATTACTGTAGCATAGCCTATCCTACCCCGATTGTCCTAATTTAGATACCTTCTCAATTGACTGCAGCTTTAACAGGGCTGTCAATCAAGATGTCCTGCTCTTAGCTAAGGGGTGGGGACATGATGCAAGATCATCCAATCAGACTCTGCCCTGGGAATTTAAATCCTCCATATTGCTTGAATCCTGAATCTGTCCCATTCTTAATCTCTCTCGAGGCCTGATTATTTCATTTATGTTGTGAGCTATTCCAGATATTCCCCCAAAAATGCTTTTAGACTTATATCAGCCAGAGTTGATTTCTGTTGCTTGCAACCAAAGACCACAAATGACTTCTCTACTCCATGGAGAACAACAGGTTCTATAATGGGCTAGGATGTACAGGGCTCCTTACTTAAGATATTTATACTATGGGTGCTGCCAAGCATTGTGTTTTTTACTAAGGGTTGGGAATTGTGTCACATGCACCTGGTATGTACATTATATCTCATGGATGCTCTTATCAAATCTCTGGGGTGGAGGCTCTTATCTCTCCTGGTTTAGAGATGAGGAAACCAAAACTCAGAGAGCTGAAAACACAGCTACAAAGTGGTAAATATAGAGCTTAAATGAAGGAGTCTGACTCCAGAGCCCATGCTTGGAACCATGAATCTGCTATTCCTCACAGGACTAGGATTCATCCAGCCCTGCAGATAGCAATAAATAAAGTCAAGGTCAGTTGTTCTAACACAAAGGGAGCAAAATGGTGGCCCAGGGGCCACATCCAATCCACAGATCCATGGATATAATTTCTTTGACCAGTGAAGTTATTTTTTTTCCTAATTTGAAATTGTTGTTAAAATTTGAAAACCAGGAGGTTACGTGCACAGATACACACACACATGCAGGCATGCACATAAACACACTCGCTTTGTCTTCCTTCTCCTGAAAAGCAGGTGCTTCAGCGTACCTGGGTCTGCACGCCTGTGTGGTGCTATCAGCTGGATTTGAGCAGCAGCCACCTCTTGAGACCGAATCACATCCTGTCTGCAACAATGCCTACAAGGGCCACTTCCCTTAGTGGTAAAGGTAGTCAATTCTCATGCCTACGTGCCAGGCACTGTCCTATTTACTTCATGTGAATTGGCTCATTTAAACTCCACCACAACTGTGATAAGCCTTGGAGGTAATTTTTGTTTCTATCCCCATTTTACAGGTAAGAAAACAGAGGCAGAGAGAGACTTAATAACACGCCACAAGCATACAGCAGATAGAGAATTTGAACCCTGGCTCCAGAGGCCACACCCTCAACCCCTCCACTATGCCACCCTCCCCCAGACACCACAACTATCATGTTTCTAACTGTCACAACTGGGTTAAGCGTACAGGTAAATGTTGATGAGATTCCCCAATCTGTATCTGATTCCATTTTGGTTACATCACTTTTGCTAAAGCCTGTTTGCTTCCAGAGTTCCTCTTCCACCTGAGGCCTCACAGCAGGTGAATGCAAAAGTTTATGGAATTATAAACAGATGTCCCTATGCCCTTCTTTCTTTTAGACTACTGCCACGATAAAGGGTTATTTGGGGGAACCTGCTGCAAAATGCATAAGAAACTCATTTGAGCTGGAGATGTCAGCCCCAGTCCTGGAAGGTGTCTCATCCATCAATATGGACTAGCTCTCCGGGGGCAGAGACTGCATCTCATCCATCTCTGAGTTTCTAGGGCTCAGTGTGGGGTTAGGTACTGAGGAGTGATGTGTGAATGGTAGAGGAGGAAGAAAGGATGCATGCACGCATATGTTCATTGCAGCACAATTTACAACAGCCAAGACATGGAATCATCCCAAATGCCCATCAATGATAGACTGGGTAAAGAAATTGTGGTACAGATACACCATAGAATACTATGCAGCCATAAAAAGGAACAAGATCATGTCCTTTGCAGGGATACAGATGAAGCTGGAAACCCTTATCCTCAGCAAACTAATGCAGGAACAGAAAACCAAACACTGCATGTTCTCACTTACAAGTGAGAGCTGAACAATGAGAACACATGGACACAGGGAGGGGTACAACACACACTGTGGCCTGTTAGGGAAGGGTAGGGGAGAGGGAGAGCATCAGGAAGAATAGCTAATGCATGTCGAATTTAATACCTAGGTGATGGGTTGACAGGTGCAGCAAACCACCATGGCACATGTTTACCTATGTAACAAACCTGCATGTTCTGCATGTGTATACTGGAACTTAAAATAAAGTAAAGAAATGATGAAAGGAGGGAGGGGAAAAGGGAGAGAGAGGTGGAGAGAAAAGGATGGGGGACGAAAGGGGAGGGAAGAGAGGAAGGGAAAGAGAAAAAGGGAGAGAAAAATAAGGATAGAAAGAAGGGAGCCTGTAATCCCAGCTACTTGGGAGGCTGAGGCAGAATTACTTGAACCTGGGAGGCAGAGGTTGCAGTGAGCTGAGATCACGCCACTGCACTCCAGCCTGGGTGACAGAGCAAGACTCTGTCTCGGAGAAAAAAAAAATAGAAGGGAGATTGAAAAGAAGGGAAAGGAAAGGAATGAGGAAAGGAGAAAGAAAGACAGTGGCAAAAAGGGAGGGAAAAATTAAGAAATTCCCTATGCATGGGAAAGCAGAGGAAGGGGAGAAAGAAAAGAATAAAAAAAAAAAAAAGAATGAAGAGAAGAAAGAAGAAAATAATAGCTAAGACTCTGAGGACACTCTGCTCCAGGCCCCATTCTAAGTGTGTTTTACCTGCTTTTGCTGGTTTCGTGGGGGCAGGCAGCATGACTGTCCCCCGCTCCCAGATGGGAGGGCTCAGGCCCAGGGAGGTGGAGTGACTTGCTCAAGCTCACTCAGCTAGGAAGTGCTACGGCTGGGATTCCTATCCAGGGAATCTGGCTCCAGGGCCCTCTCTCTTAACCTCTACCTTCCAAGAAAGAAGAAAAGGTGGGCATGTGAGCAGGAGACAAGTGAATGGCACTCACCTGGAGAAGAGCTGGGACACTCTCAGGGGGGCCGATTTGGTGATGCCTGCAGGAGAAAAAGAAAAATTGGAAGAGTTTTAGCGATTAGGGTGATGTTCTGCAGAGGTGGTGACTTCAGACACCACTTAAGCAGGAGCAGACTTGGAGGGGTGCTGCCCGCGGCTTTCTCCACCACAGATGCTTATCTGAGGCGCCACATCTCAGCACTCTTCTTCTTGAGGAGTTCGGAGCCCTTTCTGGGTGCACTTCGTCTCTGTGCAGTTAAGGAAAAATGACATCTAAAGAATCCATAGCACCTTGAAACATCAGAGTAGAGTCCATTTCTCCATCCATTGTACAGATGGAGAAACTGAGGCCAAAGAGACAGAAAGAATGTGCTTGAGCCAAGTCACATGACCAGGCAGCAGCACAACTAGGAAGTGAATCAAGCTGGTGCCATTTCCACTCCTGGATGGAAAACCGCTCCCTTCCCTGCCTCAAAAGCAATCCCCAAGAACCCCAGAATGGCAGACACAGGCTGGCTTTGCTCATCCAACCTCCATTTCCCTTCTTCTAATGACATGGCTTTGATGTTCCTCCCCTGCCTCCTCACTTCCAGTCCATGGAGTGCAGGTGCAGCTGGCCCCAACACTTTAGGGGAAGGAACCACTTCGATCATCTCCTAAGCTCCATCTAGGGTGGTGGAGCAGAGAGATGGATGACACCTGGGCTCCTGATGCAAGTACCTAACACCCAATCACTCAGCACACAATGTCCAATCATTGATGGGAGGCGATATGCAGGGGGTGACGAAAAGGTGACAGAGTTAAGCTGGGAGAGACGTTTGCCCGGGGATAATTTTACATAGGGACAGTTCACTGGGAAGTACTTTTGTGCTCCGTCATCTTGAACAATGCAACTCAATGTCCTCACTGCAGAGTCCTGGACAAATTCTAGATAATGTGTCTACTGATGGGAACAGCGTCAACCTGCCAATGCCCACTCCCTGTTCTGTAGGGCAGTGGCTGCGTCATCATCACAACCTAAGGCTGTGGAGCTCTGAGCCTGCCTCAGCCTCTGCGCTGGAGGCTCAGGAGACCAACGTGCACTTGCAACTCTGCCACTTCCTAGTTATGAGACTTCAGGCAAGTTCCTAGATCTCTGGGCCTCAGGGCTCCCCCCTGTGCAATGAGGATGAAAATACTTATCTTGCAAGGACAGGAAAGGATTAAATGAGATGATGCTGATAGCCATCATTTACCCAGTGCTTATTACGTGCCAAGCTCTCTTCTAAATTCTTTACCTGGATTAATTATTTTAATCCTCATAAGTACCCTGTGAGAAAGGTTCTATTCTCATCCTCAGATGAACAGCTGTAGGCACAGAGAGCTTAAGTAACTCACCCAGGGCCACACAGGAAGTACGGTGTGGATCTGTGATCTGAACCCAGGTGGTCTGGCTCCAGAGTCTGTCTTCTCAACCATGACACTACAGCTGACGATGACAGTCATTGTCATAAGAGCAGCTGGCATTCACTTAGAGGTTGACTATGTGCCAGGCCCTTGTTAACTGCTTATAGACAGGCTCTCATTGAGTCCTCACAACAGCGCTCTGAGCACGCGATGCCATTAACCCCGTTGTACAGATGAAGAAACCGGGGCTCCGAAGGTCAAGTGCCTTGTTCAAGTCACACAACCGTGGGCAAGGGAACTGGGACTTGAACCCAAAAGCTGTGTGAGTCCAAGGTCAACACTCTTAATGCCCTCCCCCTGGCTGAGCCAAATTCTGTTCAAGTCCCAAACCACTGGGGTTGGGGCGGGGGTGGTGGTCTTGAAGTTCATTTAGAGAGTCATAACTGGAATTAAGAAAAGGAGAATTGCCTATTTTATGATATACGATGGCAGCAGGTATTGCCCATAGTAAGAAGGAATTGTGTAACCCTTTTGTTGCAGGTCCAGGTGTGAGAATGTGTTGTGTGTGCATGCACGTGCATTCAACAATGCAGAAATATATTTCGCATCATGTATCACATTCAAAGAAAAGGATGGAACAACAGTAGCCGAATGTCAAGGAAAGCCCCTGGCACACAGTAGGTGCTCACTCAATGCTGATTTCCCTACCCTGGGTTTGCTCCTAGGCGGGGTGTCCTGTACCCCATCACTCCTTCTTCATCCTCCCACAGGGCTCAAGAATGAACTGTCTCATTCTGAAGCAGCCACAATCTCATTCCTCGTAAAAGCCCATGACTTGAGTGCATTTAGTACTGCATAAGTTACTGAATTAAACACTTTAAATGTTTTCTTTCATAAATATGTATATATTCATAAAAATCTAAATCTATGGGAACAACATTCCTATGGGCTCGAATTAACTTGGCATTCCATAAATTGGAGGCAAGCGTCTTTTCTGCCAATCTCCATGGCATGATTTGCATGTTTGCCTCACCCAGCTCCTTTTCAAGCTTCCACCCAGTTCCTCTGAATTGAGCAACCTGCCTTCCCCAGCAGACAGGTTCCCCTCCCCCACTACGCAGACCTGTAAATACTCTCCCTTTCCCACCCCAGCAACCTCAGGAAGACTGTGCAAGCGAGAAACAGGCATTTGTAAGTGCAAAGAGATTTTCCTTTGGCAATTGTGTGATTTTTGAAAAAACACAGGCTTTTTTCTGTTTTCTGCTGGTATCAATCGCATTTAACCTTTTCATCCCAGGACACCTGGAGGAATTGAGAAACTGGAGAGTGAGTGTATTAAACTCTATGTAGAGTGATCTTCTGCCTCCCTTTCTGCTTCCTTTCTCCATGGTTAGGGTGGTGTGGACTTCATTGATAATCCTTATCATAAACACACATGATAAGGCAGGGCTCTCTAAGCTCCTTCCCTCCTCTGGGAGCCTTGGATGGGACACTGTCAAGGGTGGAGATTCTCTGCTTTGGCACAGAGGTGGGCAGGGACTGCCCAAGAGCAGAGAACGCCTTTCTTCTTCTTATGCACTTGCTGGTGGTCCAGAGCCCTTAGTCCTCAGAGGTCATGTGGACCAGGAAGTCCACCCTGCAGTTGTTGTAGCCAAACATCATCACAGTACCAGGAAGTAGGCTTGACCAACTGGTGGTTGTGGGCAATGCCAGCCCCAGTGTGACAGGTGGAGAAGTGGGCATCACTGTTACAGTTGCAAGCGACAACGTGGTCTTCAGTGTAGCCCGGAATTTCTTTCAATGACCCCCCAGGTGCCCGCATCACATTTTCTTGATGTCACTGTGCTCAACAGCTTTTTCTAGATGGCAGGTCAGATCCTGGACAGACACACTGAGGGTGGGGACATAGGAGGCTGTGTCAGCAAGCTTCCTGTTCAGCTCAGGAATGACCTTGCCACAGCCTTGGCAGTGCCACTGAATACACTCTGAACAGTCCCATGGCCATCGCACCACAGCTTGCCAGATGGGCAGAGAGGGCACAGGCAGTGGTCATGAGTACTTTTATGATGCCATGGTTGTCATAGACCCTTCTGGGGGAACAAGCAGATGGCATGCTGGAAATCTAAAGGGAGTAGGTCACCCTCATCTCAAACACAGACCATCAGCACAAGGGACAGAATGATGCCCCTTTGATGCCATTCTTCAGATGAGCTCCAAGCATCTCTAGGGTGATGAAGGCAGCAATGCCCTCTTTGGGATCTGGTGTCTGGCAGATGGAGGTGGACTTCCCACTGATCATAGCTTTCTGTTCTCAACCTTGTTGCTGCCCTTGAACTTGCCGTGATGGATTCATATTGGACCATGTAGGCTATGAGGTCAAGGTCAATGGAGGAGTCATTGATGGCAACTTAGGTCCACTTTGCTGGTAGTGAAAGCAGCTCTAATGACCTGGCGCCCAACAGAACCAAATCTGTTTACTCTGAGCTTTGCCCCTTCTTCATCCTCCCCCAGGGCTTGAGAATGAACCCACAGGATGAAGGGGCTGTGGCTGATGCATAACGGGCCAGCTGGCTGCCAAGTAGGGAGGGTAGAGTGCCTCCTCTATTTCCTTCTGAATTGTAAACTCTGAGCCTCCTCTACTTCCCAAGCTTCCTATGGGTGAGGAGAGAGGGATCAGCTGAGCTCATTCATTCATTGCCAGGCATGAGTTCAGAACTGGGTTACAACAGTGAGTGTAATCCCCAGTGTTGGAGGAGGGGCCTGGTGGGAGGTGACTGAAGCATGGGGGTGTATTTTCCCCTGGCTTCATGTTCTCATGATAGTAAGTTCTATCCTGTTCTCATGATAGTGAGTAAGTTTTATCATGTTCTCACGTTAGTGAGTTCTCTGGGCTGAGCTGCCCAGACCTTTGCCCAGGTGCTGGCCTGGGGAACCACATGTCAGCTTCATCCTTCTCACCTTTAAGGCTTTTGTAGCCGTTCACACCCAGAACAACCTCTACCTGTGCGGAACAGAAATCCCGCTTTGTGGGGGGAAAGGGTGCTATTAATCCCATCGTGGCCTCCACAGGTAAAGAGCTTCCACTGATGGCAGTAGCTCACAAATGTCATAGTCTCGAGCCACTTTCTGGCGTATATTCAGACCACCTCTACTGCCACTTGGTACTAATTTGTTCTTTTTTTTTTTTGAGACCGAGTTTCGCACTTGCCACCCCCCTCTCTTCCTCCTGCTCCAGCCATGGAAAATGTGCCTGCTTCCCCTTCGCCTTCCACCATGACTGTAAGTTTCCTGAGGCCTCCTGAGCCAGGCTTCCTGTACAGCCTGCAGAACTGTAAGCCAATTAAATCTCTTTTCTTTAAAATTACCCAGTTTCAGGTATTTTTTTATGGCAGTGCGAGAACGGACTAATACAGTGAGCCAAGGCAGTCAGGGTCCCTGTCTTTATGGACCCGAAGCCTCCTGTCTAGTGAGTGAGATGGATGACAAACAATCACACAAATGAGTACTTAACTGCAATTATAACGAGGTGCAAAGGAAGCAATGGACATTTGAGACCAGTGCACCTGGAACCAGGATTCACCTGGGGATCTTGTTAAAACACAGGTTCTGATTGTTGGTCAAGGAAGCCTCCAGGTGATGCTGACGCTGCAGGTTCACAAACCACACTTTGAGGAGTAAGAGTTTAGACCACTGGCTAATACAAAACTACACAT
Source organism: Homo sapiens (assembly GCF_000001405.40). Lineage (NCBI taxonomy): Eukaryota > Metazoa > Chordata > Mammalia > Primates > Hominidae > Homo > Homo sapiens. The sequence continues at coordinate 46,996,369 of NC_000020.11, read as the reverse complement.
CACTAAGCATTATCACAATTTGGGGTTCATAAAAAGAAATCTCCATTCCAGAAGACACAAACTCAAGTGCATATTGGGGCCACAAAGACAATATAAATGTGCAAAGCAAAAGATCCAGTTTTAAGAGAGGAAATTAAAGCTTCAGTCTGTGCATACTGAGTGCATACTTATGTGCAATTGTGTATGTGAGTGACTGTGTGAAGCAACTTACCCGAGGATACACACCATGTTTCATTCATTCACGCAGTCAACAAGTGTTTATCATGCACCTACCGTAGGCCAAATCTACAACCCATTCTCATAATTTGTTGATGTTCTTTCCAAAGAAAACAGATAGGCTTAAGGGGTCAGATCCAAATTTAAATCTTGGCTGTGCTGCAATACAGCCATGAGACCTTGTGTCCTTCACCTCTTCCCTCTGAGTCTCAGTTTTCTCATCTGCAAATTGGGGCAATATCTTGCACATATGCAGATGGGGCAGGTACCTGGCAAATGGTTAAGTGCTCAGCACAGAGGAGCTATTATTAGCTTCCACTCTCCTGGGGGCCCTTGGTTAAGCCACTTAAATCCATGAGCACAATTTGAATGTTCACACTTTTTTCACCTCTCACTGGGAGGATTAAGAAGCTAATGATTCTGAAAGCAGCAACGGCTGTTATGTTGCCTAATTGGACCCCAGGGGCCGGCTTCTAAGGGATCCCCCAGTGAGATGAGACAATTTGTAGTGCCAGCGAGATGTCTCCAGGCAGGTCTCTGCTATAAAGGTAAATGTCTGTAAACTGTATCAGTTCATCTTCCTTGTGTGGGTGATTTAAATCACTCCCATACTAGGGACAGGGACAGCTGGAAAGACACCACACTAGGCATCCAGAAGTGGGTGCCCCAATTCTGACTGTCACTGAGAGGCTCTGTGACCATGAGCAAGCCCTTTGTCTCTTGCGGGAGGTGCCACTGAGGACAGAAAGGAATGAGGCTGCAAGTCCCAGACTGCGATGATTTTAGGGAGTCTATAAATACTCCCTCTTTGATTGAAATCGTTGCAAATTAATTTTATGTACATTAGAATCACAACAAGACCATCAAAGTCATAACGTTTCATTTCTGGAACTGGCTTAAGTCATCCTTTTAAAATGAATTTATTTCAAAGGAGTTGTTTTAAAGAAACAACAGGCCAGGCACGGTGGCTCATGCCTCTAATCCCAGCACTTTGGGAGGCTTAGGCGAGTGCATCACCTGAGGTCGGGAGTTCAAGACCAGCCTGGCCAACATGGTGAAACCCTGCCTCTACTAAAAATACAAAAATTAGCTGGGTGTGGTGGTGGGCACTTGTAATCCCAGCTACTCCGGAGGCTGAGGCAGGAGAATTGCTTGAACCTGGGAGGCAGAGGTTGCAGTGAGCCGAGATCGTGCCACTGCGCTCCAGCCTGGTTCGCAAGAGCGAAACTCGGTCTCAAAAAAAAAAAAGAACAAATTAGTACCAAGTGGCAGTAGAGGTGGTCTGAATATACGCCAGAAAGTGGCTCGAGACTATGACATTTGTGAGCTACTGCCATCAGTGGAAGCTCTTTACCTGTGGAGGCCACGATGGGATTAATAGCACCATTTCCTCCCACAAAGCGGGATTTCTGTTCTGCACAGGTAGAGGTTGTTCTGGGTGTGAACGGCTACAAAAGCCTTAAAGGTGAGAAGGATGAAGCTGACATGTGGTTCCCCAGGCCAGCACCTGGGCAAAGCTCTGGGCAGCTCAGCCTGGTTTGGATGAAATGAATCAAAACCCGTCAGCCCCGGGTTGGAACCGGTGAGACTGAAACTGAAAATGAGGTCTTGTCATGCCCAGGGCAGAGGAGGTGCAGGAAGTGAGAGCAGCTGACAGCCCAGCTTGTAGCGTAGGGTGGTGGTTTCACCTCTCCTTGGAAACAATGAGATTAGAGCATCAGTTTCTGAAAAATGCATGTGCATTTTAAAAGAAAAATTTTCCTCTATTCAGGGGAACTCCCCACCACCCCTTCCCAGAGACAGGATACAATCAATTCAAATCCATTTTTCCCTTGAATCATAAGGAATAATAGGTAATATTTCTCAAGTGGTTCCTACAAACAAACCAGGGTTACTGTGGCAAGGACTGCATGAGCATGATCTCTTTATTCTCCACAACAACGCAGTAAGGAAATTATTGTCATCAGTACGATGCAAATGTAGAAAATGAGGCAGGGGGAAGTGAAGGAAACTTTACTAAGGATTCAGAACCAATATCTCCCTAAAGTTATCTGGGTTCCTCAGCACCATTCTGTCTTCATCCACCTACCCCTTCACTCACCCAGAAATAATTTTTTAAGGATCTACCATGAGCCAGGCACTAAGTTGCATGCTAAACAGGAACAGAAATTTAAATATGCATATGTACATATGTTTGTATTAATATATGTAAAGTTTTTTGAGCACACTGCTGCCTCAGGGCCTTTGCACTTGCTGTCTTCTCTGTGCATACGGCTCTTGTTCTGTGTAGCCATGTGGCACCCTCCCTTACCTCCTACAGGTCTTAAGTGTTATCTTCTCAGGGACCTCTTTTCTAGCCACCCTAACAAAAACTGCAACCCTCCACTCTTGCATTCCTCATGCTCCTCCCCTGCCTTTTTCCTTCACAGCAAGCATCACTATGCAACGTGCTAAATACTTTGCTTCTTTATCGTCATTGTCAGCTTTTTGCTTTGTCAGCACCCTAGCGTGGGCTCCATGAGGATAGGGTTTTCTATGCTGTCTCCCTAGTACTTAAAACCATGCCAAGCACATGGCTGATTAAACATTTGTTCAATAAATGAATGAACAAATGAATGAAGGAAGGGGCAGTTCCTTTCATTAGGAAAGACCTCTCTGATGAGAACTGAGGGAGGGCTGGTCCTGCAGAGCCTGGGTGAAGACTGGTCCAGACAGAGGAAACAGCAGATGCAAAGGCTCGGAGGGCAGAATCATGCTTCTCAGTTAAAGCAAAGGAAAAGGGGCCAGGGGCTGGGCCCAAGGAGCAAAGGCAATAGGGACGGAGATGAGTTTGGGAGGCTTCCAGGGATAGACAAGTGGGGCCTGGTGGCCAAGGATAAGGAATTCAGATCTTGTTCTATACTTTTTAAGCACACTAAGTCCACTCCCTGTTTCAACTCATTTCATCCTCACATTGAGTCTGTGAGGTCGGTGGAATAATTACTCCCATTAAACAGATGGGGCAAATGGGTCTCAAGGAGGTTAGGCCACTAGCCAGGGTCCCACAGCTGGTAAGAAGCAGAGGTGGGAATGCAATGGAAGCCACTGGGGGGCTTCTTGGCTCCATGCTCCCTCCAGAATCCCCCTGAGTGCAGGTCCTGTGACTCATGACTCTTGGGGGTCCTCCTTTGAGTAGGACCTTTGAAGCCACCTAGTAAAGACTCTGTAATAGAAGGAATGGCCCAGGAGGAGGGAGAACAGTAGGCCAGGCAGGGGGAGAGGCATAATCCAGCACTTGGGGGTCATGCTCCAGGGTGGAATGTCCCCTGCAGAGTCTCTGGAGCTCACCACCTGCCCCATGAGAAAGAAAGTGTGTGTGTGTAACCTGACCTCACTGGCGCTACCTGTTCTGAATTTGGGAGCAACCTCTCTCTGCCTCATCGCTTCCACCCTCAAAGCCTTCACCATGGCAGCCAGATTGTTCCAGGGCAGTAGAAAGGGCACTGACAGCTCCAAGTCACAAAAAGGAGTGTGTCTGTGGATTTCACCACTGTGGGAGAATTGAAGATCCAGGGTCTGGAGACTCTTACAGCTTGGCAGAAAGTGAGTTAGAAGTGGTTTACAAGTGGGAACTCTGGAACCAGAGTGCCTGGGTTTGATTCTGGTGTGACTTTAACCTGGTTACGTAACTCCTCCATGCCCCAACTTCCATGTCTGTAAAATGGGCTCATAGCCTACCAGTTGTATAATAATTAAATGAGAAATAGTACAGAGTACTGATCAGGAGAATAAACTCTGAAGTCAGACTATCTAGGTTCAAATCTGGGCTATCACCTGTGCCATCTCAATCAAGCTGCTTAACCTCTCTGCATTTTGGTTTCCTCGTCTGTAAAATGGGGATAATAACAGTACCCACTTTTTAGAGTTGTGAAGATTAAATGAGTTAATAGAGCAATGCTGGGACACGACAAGTGCCGAGTGTTTGTTCTGATGGTGACAGGGAGGGAGGAGGAGAATGAATCTAGATTTATGTTGCTTTGAATAGTGCCTGGCAGAAAGTATGTGCTCATAACAATTAAGGACAAAAGGGAGAGGCGGGGATTCATCTACAGGACAGCAGCCTCTCAGCTCCTACTGGTGGCAGCCAGCGGGGAATGTGGGGGCCCAGGGTTGCTAAAGCTTTCAGCGTTTTTTTTTTTTTTTTTTGAGACGGAGTCTCACGTCTGTCGCCCAGGCTGGAGTGCAATGGTACGATCTCGGCTCACTGCAAACTCCACCTCTCAGGTTCAAGCAATTCTCCTGCCTCAGCTTCCCAAGTAGCTGGGATTACAGGTGTGTGCCACCACGCCTGTCTAATTTTTGCATTTTTAATAGAGACGAGGTTTCACCATGTTGGTTAGGCTGGTCTTGAACTCCTGACCTCGTGATCCGCCTGCCTTGGCCTCCCAAAGTGCTGGGATTACAGGTGTGAGCCACCGCTCCCAGCCAGCCTTCAGTCTTTTAAGATAAACCAGAACTCCAGATTTTTATGTGAATGCTCCCAATTTTTACAAATTCACTTTTACTTAAAACATAGTGTAAACCAAACAAAGACAAACTTCAGGGCCAGATGTGGCTGTGGGCTGCCCTGTGTGCAACCATGGTTTTGAATTTACTGTGGTTATTTGGTTCAGAGGAGAGTGACAATGGAATGGTACATTTAACCATGCACCATGCCCCCAAGGTGTGCCAGACACTTTACATCCCATCACCTCACTTCCTTCTTGCAATCAGCACCCTATGAAGTACGCCATTATGCCCCCATTTGACAGGTGAGAAAACTGAGGCTCAGAAAAGTTAAACAGTTTGCCTGAGATCATTTGGCTGAGAAGCAGTGGGCTGGGATTCCCCCCTGAGCAGCCTATGTCCTTTCCTGTTACTACGGGCTCTCAAATGAAGACAGTTGACTTGCGTCTCTACTTAAGTTGACTTGTGTCTCTATTTGGAAAGAAAATGATGAATGTCTTTGAACGGGGCTCAGTAAATTTTCTCAAACTCTCAAAGGCCCCTGGGCAGTTTACACGAATGGTCCAAAGTGCCAGGAAGAATGAGGGTATGTTCTTCACCATCCAGTTTTGGCATGAGAGCCCAAGCCACTGGTGGTACTTTCATCAGCGCAGTTCCAGCTCTGTAACCAGCATGCAAGGAGAAATGTCATTGTCTTGCTGACAGCAATAATTACTCATGGAAGCCTGGATTGGCTTCAAAGCCAATTCCTTGTGATGTTATATTCCACTAGATACGTGTCACTTTGGTTTTCCACGACAGTTACATAGCATTTGTGTCCCATGAGCTGGTGTCAAACAGATAATGAAGGAAAAACAACGAGGGGGTCTCAGGACAACAGCAGCAAATCCCAAAGCTGGCCAAAGAAAGGGTTAAGCCCAATGGTTAAACATAATAGCTTAATGCCTTTTGCTAACTCCAAGCTCTACCAGGAAGGCTGACAGATCTGAAACAGAACAAACAATAGCTGGAATTGTTCTAGTGAAAACTAGTTCGACTGCATCATTTGCCAATAGTTTTTTAAACAACTTTAATTCTTCTCTGCTTCCTTGACTCCAACCCGACCTGAAAGCAAGAGGCAGACGAGTTCTTGCCCTAATGTCAAACCCCTGTAAGCAAGACGCCTGCTTGGACAAGGGGATGGCAGAGCAGAGTAGAGAGGACAGAGCTCAGAGCCAGAAACAGACACTGCAAAACACATCCAAGGGCTGGGCCTGGGACACGCCCCAAAGTGACTATCATCCGTGGTGGTGTCAGCATTTCTTGGAATTGGAGACCAAGAAAGGAAGTTCAAGACACGAATGAGCACATTTTTACCTCTAACGATGAGACAGAGTTGTTAGAGATGTATGCCAAAGTTTTGGTTCAGAGGCAAGCATTTAAATGGCAGGGGGAGAAATTGTCCTAAGGACAGTACTTTGGAAAGGATGCGTGTCTGTTGCTTACGATATTCTCAGGGTGACCTAGGACCACCACACCTGTTGACCCAAACTCACAGCAGGAAGCCTACCTTGTCTGTCACTCAGAGTCCACACAGCAGCGTCAGCACGGTTAAACTTCAGTTTATCCAGACAATCGCTGTTTACAGTGAGGCTGGGTGAGATCACTAGTTCTACCATTTCCTTGTACCTGAAAGAAAACAAAGGGAAATATAATTTATTCATTAATTATGCATGCTTGCTAATGATTCCTATTTCTTTCCCTAAGAGTATAAATATTACAACTGATTACCTAAACCCAGACTTCTTATAAATTCTACATGATAAAAATTCACTCAACTTTTCATCAAAGGGAAATGAGAAATTAAAATGAAGTTCTTGCTCCCCGCTGGAGAATACACCCAGTTGATTAAAACATTCCCCTCCTTCTTGCTGTATTTTGCCATTAGAAAAATTATATTTTGGTCTCTCTTCAATGTCATATAAATGAGCCAGAGCAAACTAGGGCAACTTCCCAGCTGAGAAAGAGACAGACAGGCAGAGAGGGAGCGTTTGGATTTAGATTTCCAAAAGCCAGAGGCTTGGGGAGAACGTGGAGTTGACTGTGGTTAAGAGAGAAAAACAGGCCGGGTGTGGTGGCACATGCCTGTAATCCCAGCACTTTGGGACGCTGAGGCGGGTGGATCACGAGGTCAAGAGATCGAGACCATCCTGGCCAACATGGTGAAATGCCGTCTCTACTAACAAAAATATAAAAATTAGCTGGGCGTGGTGGCGTATGCCTGTAGTCCCAGCTACTCGGGAGGCTGAGGCAGGAGAATCGCTTGAACCCGGGAGGCAGAGGTTGCAGTGAGTCGAGACTGCGCCACTGCACTCCAGCCTCGCGACAGAATGAGACTCCATCTCCAAACAAACAAACACGGTACTACTTGCATGGACGGAGAAAAGCTCAAAAGGCGTAAGTGTCATTAACAACTCTCTAGGTGGCAACACTCAACAGCTCATCACTGTGGACCTGACCAAGAGAGAACATACTGGCTCCTGAATCACCCATGATTTTTATAATATGTTATGGGGGGCGGGCAGGGGAGAGTAGGGATGAGGTCTCCTTTGGTCTTTCTCATTTTTTAATTGAAAACATTTCTAATTCTTGCACCATGTTGGTAGTCACTCCTTCTAAATTCTGGCCAGGCATGGTGGCTCACACCTTCAGTTCCAGCACTTTGGGAGGCTGAGGCAGGCAGATCACTTGAGCCCAGGAGTTCAAGACCAGCCTAGGCAACATGGCAAAACCCCATCTCTACAAAAAAATACAACAAAGTTAGCTGGGCATGGTGGCACATGCCTGTAGTCCCAGCTACTCAAGAGGCTGAGGTGGGAGGATCACCTGAGCCAGGGTAGATGGAAGGTGCAGTGAGCTCTAATCGTGCCACTGCCTTCCAGCCTCTGTGACAGAGTGAGACCCTGTCTCAAAATAAATATTAATAAATTCCCACCCACTGGGTTTAGAAAATAAGGTTTCTGGTTAACGCACACACCACTGTACATGGCGTAGCAATTTTCCAAGGTCTGAACTACAACCAGTAACATTTAACCTGCAGTTGTCTTCAGAGAAAGGCTAAATTTATTGTGAGCACGTCGTTATCATAAGGTCATCCTTGGCAAGATCAGTTATTACTTGGTTAATGAAACACAACGTAGCGATCGCTGGTGTGGTGCTTATAAACTCAGATCCCATTGTAAAAAGGTTGCAAATTCACATCCCAGTGTGCTACCCACTACTTTGAGCAAGTTACCAAACTGCTCTAAGTCAAAAGTTTTCTCATCTGGAAAATGGTCACGGTGAAGATTTAAAAAGATGATTCATGTAAAAAAAAGCACTATTTTAATAGCAACTTAAATGCTTATTCAACATAAAGTTCAAAAATACAGCTGCCCCTCAGTATCCCAGGAGGGCTGTTTCCAGGACCCACCCCCGCCCCCCGCCATGGACACCAAAATTGGCAAGTGCTCAAGTACCTTATAAAAAATGGTAGAGTATTTGCATATAACCCACATACATCCTCCCATATACTTTAAATCATCTCTAGATTACTTATAATGTCCAACGCAATGTAAACACTATGTAAACAGTTGTTATATGCATTGTTTTAAAACATATATTATTTTTATTCTGTATTTTTTTTTTGCCCCATATATATATATATATATATATATATATATATAGAGAGAGAGAGAGAGAGAGAGAGAGAGAGAGAGAGAGAGAGAGAGAGACTTACTCTGTCTTCCAGGCTGGAGTACAGTGGTGCAATCTTGGCTCACTGCAACCTCTGCCTCCCAGGTTCAAGTGATTCTCCTACCTCAGCCTCCCGAGTAGCTGAGATTACAGGTGCACACCACCACACCCAGCTAATTTTTATATTTTTAGTAGAGACGGGGTTTTGCCATGTTGGCCAGGCTGGCCTTGAACTCCTGGCCTCAGGTGATCTGCCTGCCTCAGCCTCCCAAAGTGTTGGGATTACGGGTGTGAGCCACTGTGCTTGCCCCACTCCCCGAATATTTTTGATCTGTAGTTAACTGAATCCTTGAATTGGAACCAACTGTACTGTTAATGGACACAGATGCATTCCACAAAAACAAAATTACACTCAGGAATGATCAACACTGTTTTCAAGAGAATGGCTAACTCTGGGGGTAGGAGGGGATGTAATTTTGGAAGTGGCACCTGGGGGGCTCAGACTATGTAGTGCTTTAATTCAGGGGCTGACACTACCTATGGCCCGTAAGCCAAATCCAGCCCACAGCTGTTTTTGTGTGACCCAAGTCTGGAACGGCTTTCACATTTTTAAATGGTTGCAAAATAATCAAAAGAAGGATACTATTTCATAATATGTGAAAATGACACGAAATTCATATTTCAGTGTCCATAGGTAAAGTTTTATTGGAACACTGCCCTGCTCACTGGTTTACTATCCTGTCTGTGGTTACTTTCACACCACAGTGTTAAGCGGAGTAGTTTCAACAGAGACCGTGTGTGGCCTGCAGAGCCGAAGGTATTTAGTATCTGGCAGCAAAAGTTTGCCAACCCCTGTATCAGTTAAGCAGGATGCTGGGTACCCTACTTTTGTATGTTTTACCCATCTTTGTATGCCTGAAACACTTAATAATTTTTAAATAAGAAAGCCCTTATCTCAGGCTTGCACATAGGAAGTACTTTCTGTACATGGACTTTTTGATCTGATGACAGAATCCCACCCTGATATGGTTTGGACTTTGTCCCCTTCAACTCTCATGTTAAAATGTGACGTGATCCCCAGTGTTGTGGGGCTAGTGGGAGAGGTTTGGGTCATAGGGATGGATCCCTCATGAATGGCTTGGTGTCCTCTCCATGGTATGAGTGAGTTCTTGTTCTATTAGTTCACAGAAGAACTAGTTGTTTAAAAGAGTCGGGCATCTCTCTTGCGCCTTCTGTTACCGTGGGATGTGCCTGCTGGCCCTCCACCTTCCACTATGAGTAAAAGCTTCCCAAGGCCTCACCAGAAGCGGAACAGATACTGATGCCATGCTAGTACCACCTGCAGAACCGTGAGCCAAATAAATCTCTTTTTGAAATAAATTACTCAGTATCAGGTATTCCTTTACAGCAACGCAAAATGGGCTAATACACAAATCAGCTCTATTGTTTATATCTTTATATTGGAGAGAGATATATATATCTCTATATATCTAATGTATATATATACACATTAGATATATTATATATTATATATATAGATATTATATAGATCTATATATTATATATCGATATATAATACATAATATATAATATATCTAATGTGTATATATATACATTAGATATATAGAGATATTATATATAATATATAATATATACATTAGATATATAGAGATATATTATATATATATCTCCAGTGTTTATATAAATGTTGAGTCCTAAAATGTCCCCACGTATACATGCATCCTGGGTGCCTGTTTTCTTGTTTCTCAAATGCCACAGGCACTCCAGGATAGAGGCCTAGGTGTCTTGCTCCCTCTAATACATCAAAGCATATTGTATGGTGCTTAGCAAATGGTAGACATTGTATCTTTTATCTGGCTACAGGTGCCAGAAATTTGCATCTTATCTAAACTCATTCCCTTCATTCTTTTCGGTATGTGCAAATAATGAAAGGTTAAAAAAATAAACAATGAGGTTAAAAAATATCACTAGTTTCCAGATATCCAGATGCTATGAGAGTATTAGAAGCAGCAAATTGTTAGCCAACTGACCAAATGTGGTTAAAAACAAAATGAATTGTTTTCCCCACTCCCTAGGGTTTAAAAATATTTGAGGTAGTTGCCAATATTTAAAAATGAGACAATTTCACATAAAAATCTAGATTTTTGGCTTTTCTTGAAAATACAAGAGTATTGCCTTATTCTTGCATGGCAGCAACCAGCTGGCACTGAACAGTGGCGGCCCAATTAAGTCAAGGCATATGGGCTCCATTTTGTCACAGTCCCCACCACTCCCTACTCTCTTAAATTTGACCCTCTTTTTCCATTGGTATTTCCTCCTGGTCCCTATAGGCATTTGCATTTGAGAGCTATGTCATATGTATTATCAGAAAAGCCTGCTAAGGAAAGAGACGGCAGTGTGACACTTCTGGCCTCAGTCACGTAGCTTATTTACTTTACTGAGTGTTGCTGTCATCCTTAAGAGCTCTTACACATCCAAAACAGCATTTGTTGATTTTAAGCAGAGCAGGAATGTGTTTATGAGTCTGAACTCTGGGACAGAGTATTGCTACTAAGGCTTCTGGTGTATTCACCTTAGGCCCTTGCCTAAGGTTCTTGAAGGCCAAGCCAATGGGGAAATCATCTTTATTTCCTCCACAGCACTTAACACAGAATCTTGTTCATTCCATCATCCAGTTAGCATCTGTTGGAGGAAGGGAGGAAAGAAGGGGCAGAGGGAGAGAGAGACAGGGAGGAAGGAAATCTTATTTGAGCCATCACCTTCTTCCAACAAGATTTTTAAAAGTTCCCATTTATCCTTATTTTCCACCATGCCCTAGACAATGACTCTGACATATTAAATATGTAAATGTTTCCTTATAAATGATGCCATGTTGTTTTATGTGTGGCATGTGTTTTAATTTAATGAATAATGTGCACAATATCTCACTCTGTTTAGAAGGCTGTTTATTTTCAGTCTGCACTGATTTAAACATGTGTATGTTACTGGATGCATATCTAGCTTGTAGCTATAATTCTATACTGCACACCCACTCTATTGAATTTATGCATTGCCCTGGTGGTGAACAGCTAGGTAGCCTTTATCTCTCAGCCACCTTATAAACAATGCTGCAATGAACATCTCCATTCATCTTCATTTTTTAAAATGCAGTATCTCTCCCTATATATATGTATACACACACATTCCTAAAATGTATTTATAGCCAAGGTGGAGGATTTCTGTGTTATGGAGTATATGTGAACTGAACTTGAACAAGTACTAGCAGACTGTTCTTCATAACTCCTGTGCCATTCTAGATTCCACCAGAAGTACATAAGGGTTCCAGTTTCACAATTTCCTGCTAACACTTGGCACGGCCCCACTTTCTACTTTTTGCCAAACTGATGCATGGAAAGCAATAACTCATAGTTATTTTGATTTTCATTTCTAGGATTACTAGTGAGTTTGAGCATATATTCACATAATTGTGGGCCATATGAATGTTTGGAAATTGTCTGTTCAGATCTTTTATGCTTGCCCATTTTTCTACTGGGTTTTCTATTTTTTTTTTTTCTTACTGATTTGCTGGAGTGCATTACAGAGTCTAGGTATTCAATGTGTTTTTCGAATGCTGTAAATTTCTTCTCTTAGTCTTTCATTTGTCTGTTTTCTTTATTTCTATTATCTTTTGTAGAACAAAAAATCCTTACATATTTACCTAATAATTTCTTTTTGTAGGTGTAAAAATCCTTTCTCTATTCTTGGGATTTTAAAATTTGTCTACATGTTAAACTATTCACTTAGAATTTTACCTTTCATATTTAAGTCTTCAATTCATTTAGAGTCTGCCTTTTTATGTGGTTTAAAGTTTAATTTTTCTCCATATTGAAGAAAACAAAAATAAGCCATTTTTCCTAATATGTATTAAACTGTCCAACTGAGTGCACCTCCCAGCTACGACGGGATAGCTTGTATTTTTAGTCAACCTCACTATCATGATCAAAAATAACAGCTATAAAATATTGTCTTAAGGGATTGGAAGTCAACCAAGGCAGGTCCTGAGGGAACAAGATCCCAGAGAGATGAAAAACAGACCAAGTTTGACCTCTATCAATTTTCCCCTCAAGACACTTGCCAGTTTATAAGCAAAGAAGAAAAAAAGCAACAGCTTAGAGTTTTCCAGTCTTATGGGGCTGGGGAGAAAAAAACTGGAGTTCAGGATTACTAAAGTAGTTAGGACACAGGAGCAAAGATTGTAGAAATATGAGAACCACAGAGGTATGAGTCTCATATTGTTGAAAGTTATTAGCCTTGAGGCATTTGCTGATATCCAAGCTGGGTGCGGTGAGAGGCAGAGAAACCAAGCAAAAAGGGGGTAGCTATAAAGGCAAGAAATTAAGCAGAGCTTTTTTGCAGTTGCCTAATTACAGGAAGGCAAAAATTGGAATTCATGGCCAATAAGGATGAGGAGCCTTGAGAAACACTCAAAACTTTTAACTGGGACCCTAAAGGATTACTTCCTTGGAGTAACAGCAAACAAAATAGATCCTGCCTTGAGTCATCTCAATCTCATATTTGACCAAAGTGATTTGCCTCTACTATCATCAATAGCCAGCAGAAAAACTTTTCTTTTGGAGGAGATGTCATCTTCCAGAGTCTCCACAATGTTTTATACACAATAAAAAAATTACCAGGCATGCAAAAAGACAAAACCAAATGATCAAAAACCAAGACAAAAAACAAAAACAAAAACCTCACGAGATTCTGCTATTGAAGTTGTCAAACACGGAGTCCCTAGCAACTGTGATAATATAATAAAAAAATTGATTTAAGATGAGAATGCTGCTAAAAAAATCTAGGCTCTTTAAAAATGGAAATTACTGGTCAGGTGTGGTGGCTCACATCTGTAATCCCAGCACTTTGGGAGTCCAAGGCAGGTGGATCACCTGAAGCAGGAGTTTGAGACCAGCCTGGCCAACATGGTGAAACCCCACCTCTACTAAAAATACAAAAATTAGCCAGGTGTGGTGGCAGGTGCCTGTAATCTCAGCTACTTGGCAGGCTGAGGCAGGAGAATTGCTTGAACCCAGGAGGCGGAGGTTGCAGTGAGCCGAGATTGCACCATTGCACTCCAGCCTGGGTGACACAAGCAAAACTCTATCTCAAAAAAAAAAAAAAAGGAAATTACAGAACTGAGAAATGAAATAATTAAAATTAAGAACTCAATAGATCAGTTGAACTACAGACTGGATGTAGCAGATGAAAGAATTAGCAAACTGGAAGGTAAGTCAGTAAACAGATCTCAGGAATAAGGTTGAAAAACAGGTTTAAAAGAGCATAAAAGAAACATGGTACATGGTAAAAGATCTAGCACACATGTAATAGGAGCCACAGAAGGAGAGGAGAGAGAGAGCAAGTCAGAAACAATATTTAAAGAGAAACTGACAGAAGACCTTGCCAGATGGATGACAGATATCAAGTCATGGAATCAAGAAGTTCTGTGAATCCCAAAGATAAATACAGAGAAAAGCATTCCTGGGTATGTGATGGTTAAACTGCACATGTGCACAAATTAATCTTAAAAGCAGTCAGAGGGGGAATAAAAGACAATCTTTAAAGAAGGTATAATAAGACTGAGAAGCAGCTTCTCAGCAGAATTGATGGAAACCACAAAACAATGGAATTTCATCTGCCACTGTGGAATTCTATGCCAGCAAAAAAATACTTCAAAATGAAGACAAAATCAAAATGAAACAAACCAAAATTAAGATTGTTTCCCATCAGTAAACCTGCACTAAAAAAGAATATTCTGGAAACACGAAAATTCAGCAAAGATAAAGAACAACATAAAAGGGTAAATATGTGAGCAGGAGGATAGATAAATACAATTAACATGTTTTAAGGACCTTGCATTTTCTTGGAAATGGTAAAAGTACTAATTTATAGTAAACTTTTAGATATATCAAGAATGTATCCTATAATATTTAGGATAACCACTTAAAGAATAATAATAAATGTAAACATTTCATGTATGTTTATATTACATTAGTTACAGTAAATGCAAACAGAATAAATACAACACTTGAAAGACAAAGATCACCAGACTGACTTTAAAAACCTAACTACATGCTTATTACAAGAGACCCCTTTTAAATATAAAGACATACCAAGATTCAAAGCAAGGATTCAATAATATGAATACAACACAATACCCCAAATAGATTTTAAAATAAAAACCATTATTAGAGATTTACAGGGACATACAATAATGATAAAATAATCCACCAATATATGATAATTTAAAAGTTTATTTTTTCCAAAATTAATGTGCATGAAGAAAGGGACTTGACTGATTCTAGGGCTCTGTTAGACCTAGAATTAGATCTGCAAAATCTAAAATACCTATAGCAATTAAAATACCTATAGCAATCAAAACACACCATCCTTTGGAGGCAAATAAATGAACAGCACTAATAAAGCCAAAGCTACAGAAATATTAATCTTCACAAAGTAAACATGACCCTGACTTGAGAACCTGACAATTGTTCTTTCCTGCTGTCAGCTACAGCTACAGGCACTGGTGACTTGCAGAAGCAAACTATTAGCCACAGAGTATAGGAATGTGAACAAGCAACTCAAGGCAACTCAGTTTCCAGAGTTAGTAAAACCCTTCCAAAAATTCTAGTCATGGTTCTCATTTCCCAAGCACCTATTATACACCAGGCAATTTTCCTGATCACATTTACATGATCTCTTTTAATTCTCTCAACCACGCTGGGAGATAGAAGGATCTGTCCTGTATTTCCTCAAAGGCCGACTAAACACAGATTTAAGTCTGAGCAAAGTCTAGACACCAAGAAAACGTGAAATCATTCCTGTTTGGTGAACTTATCCTGTTCTGCCATGAGGATCTAAAAAGAAGCTTTTCAAATGTCAGCGCACTCCACCAATTGATGGATGGATAAAGAAAATGTGGTATGCATATACACTAGAATATTATTCAGCCATAAAAAACAATGAAATCCTGTCATTTGCAGCAACATGGATGGAACTGGAGGTCGTTATGTTAAGTGAAACAAGCCAAGGACAGAAAGACAAATATGGCATGTTCTCAATCACATGTGGGAGCTAAAAAAGTAGATCTCATGAAGATAGAGAGTAGACTGTGATTACTGAAGGCCAGGAAGGGTGGTGGGGAGGATGAAGAGAGGTTGATTAATGGGTACAAATATACAGTTAGAAGGAATAAGAGCTAGTGTTCAATAGAACAGTACGGTGACTATAATTAACAATAGTTTATCACACATTCAAAATAGCCAGAGTATAGAGTAATTTGAATGATGCTAACATAAAGAAAAGATACATATCTAAGGGGATGAAATCCCAATTATGCTGATTTGATCTGTATACATTATATGAACGTATCAAACAGTCACATGCACCCTGAAAATATGTCCATCTATTATGTATCAATAAAAAACAAAACTAAACAAAATTGTAAAAAAAATTTCAGCACAGCGAGTTTTTTGTCTTACGAACCACACCGTTTTATTATTGTATTGGAGGAGACAATGGAGGAGAGAGGCCAGTCTCTGGTGTTTGAGGCTGCTAAAGGTCTTAACCTGGCCCTAATTATATTGCTTAGTTTACAGATACTAGAAATAAAAACAGCTCACAGTTACAGAGCATTTACGCTGAGGCTTAAATCTCTCTGCATGCACTGGCTCGTTTCATCCTATGAAGTAGGTAGAGATAAGGAGACAGGTTCAGAGACTGACCTGGCTAGTCAGTGGTAGAGTCAGGATTCTCAACCAGGTGATCTGGCTCCAGATCTGTGCTCTTAACCACAGCTTGCAAATAGCTCTGGATCACAATTTCAACTCAGGGCCCATCCAGCTCTAAAGTCTACTAAGCTACCCAGTCAGAGCACCAGACGTGTTATCTGCTCCAGGGGTTCAAATCCCAGCTATGTCGTTATCAGCGGTGTAACCTTGGGCAAGTTATTTCACTTATCTGAGCCTCAGTTCTATAAGATGGAGAAAATAATACCCTCCCCGCCAGGTTATTCTGAGAAAAATGAGTCAGAGAAGGCACGAGTGAGTGGGTATTCAACAAAGGGCAGCTGAGATTATTTGCATGCACACAGACAAAGGCTTGAAACACACCATTCGTTTCATTCCAGGTAGACACTGGAAACTGTCATCAGGATCACCCGGAAACCACTGGTTCCTATTGTGGTTTGAGGGGCAGAGTTGAGCTCTGCTGCACTTTGGTGGGGAAGGCTTCCTTCACATTCTCCCCACTCTTCCCCACCTCACAATTACCTGAAATTGGAGACCAGCTTATTCTCTATGCAGGGGAAGGAAGAGAGAACTCAGACAGCCTTCAAGGAATCTGGGGTAGGAGAAAGACTTAGCTTCCCTTTCACGAAGGCAGGGAAGGGAAAGGAAGGAAAAGCATGGAATTCATTTACAAAAAAAAAAAATTCTTTCTTTGTTGCATTGTTGCAAAACCCTGATAGCCTGGCTACTTCAGAAGACAGCCTGAAGGAGCGGGAAGAAAGAGGCATTCAGGAACACCCTCCCTCTGGCCCCCTTGGCCTGCTGCTGCCTGCGGCTTGTGCCATTTGTTACCCTTGTCACCACCCCTGTCCCTGGGGACTGGGAAGAAGTGGGGGAGCCCGAGAGATGACAGCTGGAGGGTGGGGGCAGGGGCAGCTTCAAAGGCTGGGAGGGATCAAAAGCAGATGGAGGGTCCCAGGCGGGTGGGCCGCTCACCTTTCCACACCCCCGTGAGTACACCAGCTACCTTGGCTGAGGATGGTGGCCCTGTCTGTCAGATGCAGAGGACAGATGGCCAGTCGGCTAAGGGGACTTTGGAGAGGGTCACTCCCAGCATCCTTCACGGGCTGAGAAATCAAAGCCTGCTGACTTCAATCACAGGCTTCTGGACAGACAGCAGCTGTGGCCCAAACCTGGACGTCTCTGACAGCCTCCACCAGCCTCATTCAATTTCCATTCAAAATACATCTGTGAATCACAAACCATCTTGGCTTCCCCCATTTCGGGGGCAGTTGCTCAAACCAAAAGCTCAGGATTGCTCTTACTTCTCCCTCTCCTTCAATGCTCACGTCCAATCCATCTCCAGGCCTTATAAAGTTCACCTCCATGGCCATCGCCCAGGTCCAAGCCACCATCCTCTCTGCCCAGGAAGACCACGGCAGCCCCCCTGCCCACCTCCCTGGGGCCACCGGGGCCTCCCTCCAGTTTGTTCTCTGTGCAGCAAATGACAGCATAAATCTGAACCTGCCCGCCTCACCTCATCCTTGCTTATAACCTCTGACGGCTTTCCATTGCTCTTAAGATAAAGCAAAGAGTTCCGAACACAGCCTTGATCTGGCTTCTCCTTGTCCAATATCTGATTCCAGCACGCTGGCCTTTCTCTCGCTCCACACTCCCTCTTGCCACAGGGCCTTTGTACATGCTGTTCCCTCTGCCTGGAACTCCAGTCCCTCCTGCTCACCCTGCAGAGGCCTCAGTTCCGGCAGGATTTCCCCAGGCTCTCCCTGAGTAAGCGATTTCCCTCCTGCAGCTTTCACAGGCCCATGGCCCTCTATCACACACACCAGTCACTGTAACAGTTTTTACAGGTGTTTGTGAGTTATTTAATTTCCCTAGGTCTCCCCATGACTCTCAGTCCACGTGGCTTGGCTGGGACTGACCCTACTAACAAGCTCTGAGCCTGGCAATTAGCATCTCCCATTCCTCGGTCTACAGTGATTGGCTCCAGGGTGGTGGTCACGTGAGCCACCTGGGGCCAACGGGAGGCCCAAGATGAACTGCTGGAGAAGAGACGTTCTCTCCTGCTGCACACAAGCCCTGGAAGATGCCTACCTGGAGCCGTGGGCAGACCCTTGCCTGCGGGACTGCAGACTGCCTTTTGTTTTGATACAGGTATATCACGCCCCAGGTGTTCAGTGTGAAAAATTAGAGTAGGAATCAGCTGTGGGTCCAGCCAGTGAAATTCAGGTGCTGTTGTCACTTCAACAACTTTGGGGAAGAACTCCACAAGCCACAAGGAAGTGATCACAAATCCCTCCTCCTGTCCACACCTCCATCCTCCCCTACCCTGTCTCCCTTAACATGGGGAAGTGTCATTGAATAGAAGTTGTGGGGCAGGGCTGCAATGTGTTGGGAATCATCTCCCCAGATAAATAAGGCAAATTCAGTTTCCTTTGCAAAGGCTAGAAGGCAGATAAATGGATCAGGAACACAGCTGACACTAAAGCCATTCACTGATTCATTCATTGAGTCAGGCTGCCCATCATTTAGAATCACCGATGCTGTTTACATAGCACACCAAAGAGCAAAGCTGCTACTCCTTCACTAATTGATTTCATCTTTCCTCCCCTTCCCCTGTCCTTTAAGGGCCTTCAAAGAACCAGGGACTGTCTCAGACATTGAGGATACAGTGTCCAACCAGACAGACAAGTTCCTGCTCTCCTGAAGTTGGCATTTCAGAGTGGGATTTGCTATCCAGACTTAGTAGGAATTCCTCAACAGGTGACCCCAACTAGTCCACCTGTGCCTCCTCCTGCTGAGATAAGAACTGCATGGCCCTTTTTCTTTTAAAATAGAATTTTGGTTACCCAAATAACATCTAAAAATATTTGTAAATACATTTTAAAATTTCAGATAAGATTACAGCCACATTGGGGCACTACCTCCTACCAGATGTATCCACAATTAATAGGATAAATAGCTTATAAACACAAACACCCACACACCTTCATTAAAATATACAGTACTGTTTTTACAAATGTGTTTTGTGAATGTGTTGTTATCGCTATTGATCTTGTACATCTTGTTCCAGGATGTTTTTTCACTCTAATAATAAAATACCTTGGTGTTCATTCCATGCCATGACACAGAAATCTAGTTTATTCTTTCTCACTGCTGCATGGTATCTGCAGGTATGTCTATTCCACAGTTCACCTGTCCAGTCCTCAGGGGTTCCATGTTGTTGTTATGAGAACGAATTCCACATGACTGGAGCAGGTCTTCTTGGGTGCACGTGCCTGGAGTTCTCTAGAAGTGATACCCCAAGGAAAAACTGCTGGGCCCCCCAGTTTAAAACTGAAAAACCCGTTTGCATGTCGCTCCTCAGAGCGGTGAGTCCAATCTATATTCCCCACGGAATGTCCCATGTCTTCATCCCTTGTGCTGTTTTTACTCCCTGATTGGAAAGCTTTATCCAAAAACTCTCTTAGGGTCCGGGCATGGTGGCTCACGCCTGTAATCCCAACACTTTGGGAGGCCACGGTGGGTGGATCACGAGGTCATGAGATCGAGACCATCCTGGCTAACACGGTGAAACCCCGTCTCTACTAAAAATATAAAAAATTAGCCAGGCGTGGTGGCGGGCACCTGTAGTCCCAGCTACTCGGGAGGCTGAGGCAGGAGAATGGCGTGAACCCGGGAGGCGGAGTTTGCAGTGAGCCTAGATCGCACCACTGCACTCTAGCCTGGGTGACAGAGTGAGACTCCATTTCAAACAAAACAAAACCCAAAAACTCTCTTAGGAAGACATAAACAGTTATTCTATTTTTATAGATACAGGGCCTTGTTGTGTTGCCTAGCAAAATCCTGGTGTCCACCTCCTGGGCTCAAGCAATCCTCCCACCTCGGCCTCCTGAGTAGCTAGGGCTACAGGTGTGCACCATCACACCTGCCTAGTGTTTTCATTTTTATTTTTTTGTGGAGACAGGCATCTCACTTTGTTGCCCAGGCTGGTCTCCAACTCCTGGGTTCAAGTGATCCTCCTACTTCGGCCTCCCGAGGTGCAGGGATTACAGGCATGAGCCGCCGCACTCAGCTTACATAAGCAATTGCATAAGCAATATGCCTCCCCAGCAGCCTATTCAGAGCACCATCCTTCAGCCAAGCGGACTGAGTCCTAGGGAGTCCTATGACAAAAGGAAACCAGCTTGAGTCTTGAATCTCAATTCCAGACTAAATTCTCTCAACTATGCTTGATGAATTCTCATTCATATGAGCTTGGCATACAATAAAAAATAAAAACAGCTGGTGGGAAAGCTTTTACTCTACTTCCTCCTGGGTTCAAGTGATTCTCCTGACTCAGCCTCCCGAGTAGCTGGGATTACAGGTGCACAGAACCACGCCCGGCTAATTTTTGTATTTTCAGTAGAGATGGGGTTTTGCCATGTTGGCCAGGCTAGTCTCGAACACCTGACCTCAGGTGATCCACCCGCCTCAGCCTCCCAAAGTGCTAGGATTACAGGCATGAGCCACCTTGCCCAGCCTGTTTCCCTCATTCTTGATCGCATGTAAAACAAGGGCCCATCATTTGGTCAATCAACCCAATTTTGCTGTCCCTGGTATTTTTAAAAACTTTTTTCATTTTATTTGATTTTATGTATTTTATTTTTTAAGAGACTGGATTTCACTGTGTTGCCCAGGCTGGTCCTGAACTCCTGGGCTCCAGCAATCCTCCTGCTTTGGCCTCCCAAAGTGCTGGGATTATAGGCATAAGCCACTGTGCCCGGCCAAAACTTTTTATTTTGAGATAGTTTTAGATTCACAAAAAGTTGCAAAACATAGTACAGAAAGGTCCTGAGTACCCTTCACCCAATGTCTTCCACCCTGTGATTACATCTTACATAACCATAGTACAATGTCAAAGCCAGGAAACTGAGGTTGGTGCAGTGTGTGTGTAGCTCTGTGTCATTTTATCACACATGCAGCTCTGCGTAACCACCACGGCAATCTAGAGAACGATTCCATCACCACAAAGATCTCCCTGTGCTGCTCCTTCATAGGCACACCCACCCCAGACCCACCCGACCCAAAACCCTTAACTCCTGGCAACCACTAACCTGTTCTCCATCTCTAAAATGTCATTTTGAAAATGTTATATAAATGGAATCACGCAGTATGCAACCTCTTGAGATCAGCTTTTTAGAAAAACACATGATGCAAGTTCAGATGTCTGCATTTTACGATGCGTGTTCCAATATTCTCTAGGCCCACAAAAGGCAACCTTCAAAAAGGCACCCAACGTGCAGTGACAGACTCGGACAGGACCACACATGTTCTGCTTGATTCCTGGTTGGGTTCAGCAGGGCCCTGGAGCAAAATGTAGAACTTTATAAAATATGTCTCATGCAGAGCCATTAAAAAGAAAAAAAGAAAAGCCAAACCAAACCCACACCCCAACCCACAACCACCAAAACAAGGCACAAAGCAAAACACCAAGGACTCTTCCTGTAAGGGAAGAGTCCTTCCTGCCAAGGATGGCTGGACAACACGAAGTGCTTGAGGCCACTGGGGGAGTCCTGGAATCCTGGAGTCCTGGTATCCTACCAAGAGGCAGGCAAGAGATCCAGGGAGGAAAGAGAATCCTCAGGTTGCAGAGGCATTTTGCTTTCAGATACCACACCAGCAACATTACCCTTCACTGTTTACCTCTTCCTTTCCTTCATCCCAACCATAGCCCATTGCAATGACCTGGACCCAAGTGAGACCACTAAAACTGTGGTGAGCTTTGTTCTGAGTCTACAGAGCAAGGGCATTTTTACTGGGGGAAGAGAAACAGGCAGGAGAGAAATGTTGGAAAATGGGTAAGAGAAACTGAATATTGGAAACCAAATATGAGAATATCTTCACTTGGTCCAAATTATTTGTGCCCCCATGAAGCTCTGACCACCATGAAAGTGAAAATAATAGTAGTTCACGTAGACTAAGCACTGTCTATGAGCCAGACATTGTTTTAAGTGCCTTTCATATTTGAGTCCCCTTAATCTTCCCAATAGCCCCTATAGAACTTTAATCCCATTTTACTGATAAGGAAAGTGAGGACAGAAATTGAAGACATTTGCCTAAAATCAACGGTAAGTAGCAGAGATGGATTGAGAGCCCCGTGCTTTCAATGTTCCACTCTTCTGCCATCTGCCACTGACAGCAGCAGATGTCTTAAAATTAATCTTTTCTAATGACTGAGCTCCTCTAATTACATCATTACCCCGAAATTGAAAGAGCCATGCAGCGATTCATGAGTTTTTTTAAAAATGTTTTTATTCTTGTTTTGAGGTTGGCTGAATTTTATGCAATTTCATACGATGAGGGTTTTTTTTTTTTCCTCCTTCTCTTTTGGTCAGACGGCTTCATAGTGGGGCTAGAAGTTTTTTTAATGAAAAATTTCCAACATATACAAAAGCAGACAGAATAGTGGAATGAACTTCTGTGCACCCATTACTTAGACTCAACAATGTTCACGGTTTTTCCAAATGTGTCTCTTCTCAGAATTTTGGTTTGTTTACTTTTCTCTTTGCTGAAGTGTTTAAAACAAATTCAAACTTGAAGTCTCTTCTCTCCACCACACCTCATTTAAAACTATGGAGATTTTCTATTATCACATCTAACAAAATTCACACTCACTCCTTGTGTCATCGTGAACACAGTCCACATTCAATCTTCCCCAATTGTCTCAACATGCCTTTGTAAGGGTGGATTGTAAGATACGGAATCTAAACGAAGTCTGCACAGTAGATTTGCTTATTGTATCGCCTACATTTATTTAATCTAGAATAGCCTCCCCCTCCTTTTTATACAGACTCTTGATGTGTTGGAGAAACTAGGTTAGTTGTGTTGTAGAATATCTCACGTTCTGTATTTGTCTGTCTGCCTGTTCACGGTGTTGTTAATGCATTTCTCTTTTCATTGTATTTCCCATAAATTAGCTTGAAATGTGATTAGGTTCAGAGTAATTTGGGGGAGGGCAGCAATGCTCTGGAATTTGTGCTGGGCTCTCACCATTGCATCTCATCAGGAGTCCCAGGTGTGTCCCTCCTAGTGACACCACGAGGGCCCTTGTGTTCAGGTAGCACCACCTGCTTCCTCCATTATAAAGTTCCCCATTAACCTCCGATCTGATGGTTTCATCCACTAATGTTTGTGGCCTGAATCAATTCTTTCATTAGGAGTTTAGAAACTTTAAAATATTTATTTGGAAAGAAGAGAGATATTCCAGAATATTCCAATAATGTTAATACATTTGTTCAGCATTGACATTCTTGAAAGTTGCTGTCAAAATTCTTTCCTCATTGCACACTCCCAACCAGACTGTGAGGTAGGCAGAGCCGGCAGGAACCTGGTACAGTGGTGACTAAGCAGCTACCTCAGGTGCCCAGGTGCCTGAGTTCAAATCCTGGCTCTGCCACTTGCTAATGGTGTGGGATCTTCCTTGACTTCTCTGCTTCAACTTTCTCACTTGCCAGGTGGGGATAAAAAGGGTCCCCACCTCCTGGGGCTGCTGTGGGGATAAAATGACTTACTACTTGTGTAGTTCTGAGAGCAGAATAGGATACAGAGTAAGTGCTCTTCTCCATCCTTAAAAGTGAAGAAACTGGGAGGCCAAGAAATCAAGTAAGTTTCCTCAGGTCCCACAGCTAATGACAGGCAGAGCCGGAACAAGGTGCAGATCTCATTTCACCACATGACACTGTGCCAATGGAGTGTTTTTCCACATTCCATGTTTCCTAATTATTTTGAAAATGATTGCAAATAATTAGGAAAACTACCTTTTGGTCATAATGACTTGGAGTAATTAATACCCAAATGACCTAATATAACACTTAATCCAAAACCCTTCCCACCCTCTAATCGCACCTTCTGGAAGTTCTGTTCTTATAGCTTCTCCTGCAGGGACATTATCCTTTTTGCTGTTATTTAAACCTAGTGTGTTGGTTCCCACTTTATAGGTTTTGCACTTGCTGTTCCTTCTGCAACAAATCCTCTTCCACCTGTGGTGTTTTCTCAAACGTCACCTCCTCAGAGATTCCTTTCTTGATCATATTGTTAAACTCTTCCTACATCCCCCTAATCACCCCCTGCTTCCTATCCCATGATTGTGTTTTATTTGCCTTCTTAATTCTGATCACTATCTTAAAATATACTGCATATTTCTCTGTTCACTGTCAGAGGCTGGGGGCTTTGTCTGTCTTGTCACTCCTGTGTCCTTAGCATCTAATAAAGTAATTGTAATCAGCACTAAACAGTCAGGCAATGAGTACCAGCGAAATGAATATTGAAAAATGACACTACAGCCTCACAGTGTTACATACAAGGATCATGCATGCACCACTTATCAGAACATTTTTTATATTTAATTCTCTTTACAAAAGAGAAAATACACATGCTAATGGTAAAACAGTCAGAGCAACATATAATGTGAAAAGATAAGTTCCCCATAGTCCCACTGATCTGTGCTAATTATCATTCACAGTTTGAGTACACCGTGGTAGAGATTGTTAGGTGATCCCCAATATTCTTTCTCTTCTCTCTTCTACAAACAACTGATTCTTAGCAGGGCACTCAGCTACCCAGAATAAAGACTACATTTCCCAGGTTCCCTTGCAGTTAGGCTGTGGTCATGTGACTAAGCGCAGTCACTAGGGTGGAATCAAAAGTGATGCAAGTAACATGTAGGTTAGGTCCTTAAAGGAATGGGGTGGACCTTCCTCTTTTTCCCATTCCTATTGGATAGAACGTCATGTGATGGAGTGCCATCTTGGACAATGAGGAAAAGAGCAGCACCTTAAGGATGAGGAAACAAGTTGAAAGGAATCTGGGCTGCTGATGACTTTGCAGAGCAGAGCTGCTGCTCAGACTCTTAGATGAGAGAGAAATAAACTCCTAGGTTATTTATGCCACTGTTATTTAAGCTCTTTGTTACACAGAGCCAAATCTACATCTGTCTGTATTTTTCTATCTACTCACCATCTCTTATCTCCCACCAGATCTTCTTCAGTGCATTTACGTGTGTGTGCATGTGTGTGTGTGTGTGTGTGTGTGTGTAGCAACTTTATGGAGAATTTCAAAAACACTGCAAAAATACTCAGACTCATCTAATGAGCTTTCCTAAACTCATCACACAGCCCCAGCACTCATGGCCAGTCCTGCCCCATTTCCACTCCATCTATTTCCCCCGTCATAGTATTTTGAAGCAAACCCCATAATATCATTTCATTTGTCAATATTTCCGTGTAAGTCTCTCTCTAAAAAAAGACCCTTTTTTTGAAAACATAGCCACAATATTCCTTAACATTAAGGCACAAAATTCCTTAATATCACCAAAAACATAATGGTTTAACAAAAACTCTGTTGTGTTTGTTTTTATTTCCATTTAAAAATACATCCTGGACAGTTTTCGACATCAGTACACATGGAGCCGCCTGCTTCTTCTTCAATGTCTGCATAGTATTCCACTGAAATAATGTAGCAGAGTTTATTATTTAACCATCCCCCCACCAATGTACATCCAGGTTATTCACAGTTTGGGTTTTTTTACCCTATTTTAATCAATGATGAAACGAACGTCTCTCTATCTCAGAAATTCTCAGCCTTGGCACTATTGAGGTTTTTGGGCTGGGTGATTCTTTGTTGTACAGGGAATTGCAGGCTGTTTAGCAGCATCTCTGGCCCCTGTCCTCACCAGTTACCAGTAGCTGCCCTCTCCCCGAGTTGTAACAACTAAAAATGTCTCCAAACATTGCAAAATGTCCCCTGGGGTCAACATCAACCCTGGTTGAGAACCTCTCCTCTATTTTTATATACACTTAAACAAGCAGAAAACCCTAATTTCTATAGCAGAGGACAGTAGTGAAATGGAAACAGAGAAATTTTCAAAATGGTGGCTATTTGAGAAAAAGATGAATTCACATTCGCTCTGGATTTTAGGAAGTACTTTCACCGCGCTTCAGTCGCGCTTAACTATGGCAATCTGAGAACTGATTCTTCACCAAGAACTGCAGTCGGTGTCTGCAAATGTACCATATAAATCAAAGACCCTTTGAGTTGATCTATGTTTTAATATTATGCCTCAGGTCAGAAGATCCGACGGAAGAACATGAGATGCATTTTATAAAAGTAGCCTTAGAGATGGGAACATCGTAAGTTTTATGGTCTAGCACACTTTTAATTATAGGATTATGTTTCAGGGAACATGTGTGACCTCTGCATGCCCCTTCACCCCCTTACATTTAATAGTAAATTATATTATAATGATGTTTGTACACAAATGGTGGAGGGACTTCAGATTCTAAGTAAAGCCTAAACTCAACAGCCTGAAGCACATTCCCTTGCCCAGGTTTAACATCCAGCCAGAACCTGCTAAGAAAAATTAAATGAACCCCCAAAGAGTGCATTGTGGGGCTGAACCAAGCCAAGGGAATTAACTCCTAAAATAGATTTGAGGCTCCTGAGTTAGCTTAGTTCAGCTTTAGCTTCCAGTGCTGAAGTCTGGGATTTCTTGGGTAGTGAAACCAAAGCCATAGTAAAAACAAATAAAAAACAACAACAACAAGACACATAAGTAAACAAACAAAAACAAAAGAGGAGAAACAAAGACAGAGGAAGGCAGGGAAGAATGAAAGAAACAAGAGAAATCTATAAAAAAGTTATATAGCTAATCAAAGGGATTTAAGTCACTTATTCAGTCAACAAATACTACAGAGAACCTACTATGTGCCAGCACTGATTTAATTCCTGGCAATCGGCCGGGCACGGTGGCTCATGCCTGTAATCCCAGCACTTTGGGAGGCTGAGGCAGGAGGATGGCTTGAGCCCAGGAGGCGGAGGTTGCAGTGAGCCAAGATTGCATCACTGCACTCCAGTCTGGGTGACTAAGTGTCAAAAAAACAAACAAACAAAAAAAAAACCAAAAACAAAACACAAAAAACAAAAAAAAATTCCTGGCAATCCAGTAGCGGAGGAAGACAGATGGAGCCTCTGACTCCCAGAGCTAACACCCTGGTAGATTTCACCTTGGATCAAGGAATTCTCTTTTGCTGGTAAAAAAAATCCCAGCTAGCAGTTCCTGTTAGCTGAAAACAGACAAGAAAGAGCCGTGTAGGTCAAATCATCACACCGAGCAAGTGCTCATTATGCACTCAGCACTGTTAGCTGCTTTCCATACACTGGTTGATTTAATCCTTAAAATAACCCATGAGATACGTAATACTGTCCCCTCATTTTACAGAAGAGGAAAGAGAGGTTCAGAAACGTTAACCTGAACAAGGACACAGAGCGACCCAGGTGACTGGCAGGAAAACATCTTTTAGCGTAGAGGTTCTTAGTGGGGTCGGTGGGGGGCGCGGCGGGGTGGGATTTTGCTGCCCAGAGGACACCTGGCAATGTCTGGATATATTTTTGGTTATCACCAATGGGGAGGGTGCTATTGGCATCCGGTGGGTAGAAGTCAGGAATGCTACTAAAATCCCGTAACACACAGGACAGCTCCACAACAATCATCCAACCCAAAATGTCAAAAGTGCTGAGCATGAGAAACCTGTTTTAGAGGAATGATGTTCTGGGGGGTGGTGAAGGGGAGGGGAATGAGCTTTCCAAACCAACATGTTTAAACACGGAGGGGGCAGTATAGGGTGACGGTTAAAAGATACAGCCGCAACCCTTGGGCGTGAGTCCCTGCTCATCTGTACAATGGGGATAAGAAAGGCGCCAACCTCAGAGAGTTGCTGTGAGGATGACGTGAGACAAAGGGCTTTGAGGAACACCTGGAGCACAGTAAGTGCCAGGTAAATGTTTGCCATTCTTGGGTTCATCCCACACAATGCATGTTACAGTAAAAGGTGCAGATATGAATGATCACAATTGCTAAGATGTCTGGTGATGGCGGTTCAGGTGGGTTAACAAGATCAGGGCCCTAGATGGGCACCTTCGCCTGTCTCTTGTCCTCCCCCTAGGGTCACAGGACATCAGAAGCCACATTTCTAAGAAACACAACTGGACATGGCCCTACTCTAAGCAGGAAGGAAGAAAGTGGGAAAAGAGGCTCCATTCATGTGGCGCCTTCATTTTATCTCAGAGGAATATCTCCATCAGCATCCTCCAGCAGCCATCCCCCATATCTCATCCAGACCAATCACAAGGGGCTTGGTCTAACCACCCTTCATCTCCTTGGGCAGAGCCCATGGTCAGCCAGATAAGATCGAGCTTCTGTTGGCCTGCAAGGAGGGATGATGGCTGCTGTCTATGCCACCACCAGGGGTTGTCCTGGAGGCCTCCAATACACAAGGTCAAGCCAATCATCCCGATCTGTGATGTAACTGCAAGCAGCAGCTGTCTCTCCAAGTGCCAATTGTCATTGTGAGTGCAGCACTGCTGTGCACCAGGAGCCATGTGAGCTGCTTCACATGGCCTGGCTCCTGCTAACCTCTCCTGTTGCATCCCTTCCTACTCAACTCTCTGGTGATACCAGCATTTTACCTGGTATCCCTTAAAAGCAGCAAGCTCCTTGGCACCTTGGGGTCTGCTCACAGCTGTTCCCTCTGTCCTGAATGCTCATCCTTCCCCTTCACCCCACTTTAGGTTTCTGCATAAAAATCACAAAGTCACTGCTTCCAGGAAGCCTTCCCTGATACCATTACTGCTATCACCATCCTCCCTGACTGGATTAATTTCCACTGCACTCTGAACTTGTCAATCATGACATTTACTACCATTGGAATTAACAGCTGAGTATTTAATTGTATAATGCTTATCTCTCTCTTTAGACTCTAATCAGTAGCCATGAGCCACAGGTGACTTGAAATGTGGCTAGTTTAAATTGAGATGTGGGCCAGGTGCAGTGGCTCCAGCTTGTAATCCCAACACTTCGGGAGGCCGAGGTGGGCGGATCACTTGAGGTCAGCAGTTCGAGACCAGCCTGACCAACATGGTGAAACCCCATCTCAACTAAAAACAAAACAAAACAAAAATTAGCTGGATGTGGTGGTGTGTGCCTGTAGTCCCAGCTACTTGGGTGTCTGAGGCACGAGAATCACTTGAACCTTGGGAGGTGGACGTTGCAGTGAGCTGAGATTTCGTCACTGCACTCCAGCATGGGTGACAGAGTAAGACTCTGTCCCCAAAACAAAAACAAACACAAACAAACAAAAAACAAATTGAGATGTGTCCAAACACACACCAGATCTCAAAGACTTGATACAAAAAAAGTAAAATAATGCATTAGTAATCTTAAAAGTATGGATGATGTATTGAAATGATAATATTTTTTGACATCTTGAGTTAAATAAAATGTACTGTTTCACAGTTTTTTTTTTTGAGATGGAGTCTCGCTCTGTCGCCCAGGCTGGAGTGCAGTGGCACAATATGATACCGACTCACTGCAAGGTCCGCCTCCCAGGTTGACACCATTCTCCTGCCTCAGCCTCCTAAGTAGCTGGGACTACAGGCACCCACCACCATGCCCGGCTAATTTTTTTTGTATTTTGAGTAGAGACAGGGTTTCACCGTGTTAGCCAGGACGGTCTCGATGTCCTGACCTCGTGATCCGCCCACCTCGGCCTCCCAAAGTACTGGGATTACAGGTGTGAGCCACCGCGCCAGGCCTGCTGTTTTACATATTTTTTTTAACAAGGCTACTAGAAAATTTGCAGTTACATATGTGGCTCACACTGGTAAAGCATGTTATATTTTTCTCGGACAGTGTTGCTGGAGACCTTAACATGCTCCATGAGAACAGAGGCTGTAGCTAGATTGTTCCTGCTCTATCCCTGTGCTTAGAACAGCACCTGCCACAGAATATGTGATGAATAGTATTTTGCTGAATTAACAAATGAATGAACGGTATGCTGGGCACAGTGGCTCATCCCTGTAATCCCAGCACTTTGGGATGCGGAGGCGGCAGGATCACGTGAACCCAGGAGCTCAAGGCTATGATGCCACCACTGCACTCCAGCCTGAGTAACAGAGGGATATCCCATCCCAAAAAAGAAAAAGAAAAAAAGACTGTAAGAGGTTGCCTCGTTCATATCCTGGTTGTTAAGAACAGTTTATACTCATGCTGCATTTTAAAGTTCTCCAAAGAATCACCAGGTGCTACATTCATGGAATTTCAAGTTTTCACTTGCCAGTCCCAGCCGCCATGGGCACCAGCTTTCTCTCCAGACACTGGATTCCGTGAACACAGCCAGCTCTGCTGCCCTCTTAGCTGACTCCACACCCCAAGAGAGAAGACAGGGCTTGAGCGAAGCATCCGCGACAGCCAGGTAGCCAGAAGGTCCCACAAAAGTCAACAGACGTGGGCTCAGGAAGTTTGTCAACCTTGACCAGACAAACACATTCTAAAGGGCCACTCGTACGTGCAGGGAACAGCCCGGCGGACGGGAGCCAAGGCAAGCAAGGCTGCGCCAACCCCAGAGGAGTCAGGAGGCCAAGACTCAGAGCGTCTAGGAGGCTGAACAAGCGTGGGCCTGAACCAACCAGGTGGGGTCACCTGTCTCCAACCTACGCCCAGGCAAACAGTTCTGCACGCTGGGAAGAAGGCACGCTTAGGTCAGACTCAGGAGCTATGAGGCGTGAGGCCCAGGCCCTGGCACCTGGTGGCCACTGCGGGGCTGGGACCTTCCAGCTCTCTCAGAGGCTTCCCTCCAACCCCCCACCTTTGCCCAAGGCTGTGGATGGGTCTCTGTGCCCTGGGGTGCCTGGTGACTCTGGCGGCCTGCCTGGGCTGGAAGCTCTAACTTGGGAACACTGCTGGTGGGCAGACATGGAGAGAAGGGATTAAGGATTCGAAGAGCCAGAGAAAAACCTAACTTGACTGTTTAAAGCCCTTTTTACACTGGGCTGTAGTTGCTCAGTAGCAAGCTGGCTGTGGGTTTGAACTCCAGCCTTGGCCCTTGTATTCCTGTATGACCTTGAGCAGTGGGATCAATGGCTCATGCTTAGGGTTCACCAAGGTCGGGCTCAGTTCTAAGTACTGGACATAGAGCACCTAATTACAAGAGCCAGCGCTGGTACCACACTCCTGCGATGCAGGCAGTTAAGTGTCAGAGGCGGATTCGAACCCTGGCAGTTCCACCGTCTGTTCACAAGTTACGTGAATTTGAATCCAACTCTACAAGTTGGGCGTCTAGTGGCACAACTCACTCTCATTTATCTAGCACGTCCTAAGCTCCAGGCCCTTACTGCCCTGAATGTATTACTCACTGACCGTCCCTTACTAAATCCTCACGAGAGTACTCAGTGTATTATCCCCTAAATTCAAACCCAAGCAGCTTGGCTCCCACATGACTGCAGCAGATGCTGGGGCACACAGACTCTAGAGCCGCACTGCCCGGCTGGAGTGCCAGCTACACAGCTTGATGATCGCTGTGACCTTGGGCAAGTAACATCCTTTCTTGGTCTCAGTTTCCTCATCTGTGAAACGGGAATCCTAACAGTACTTACCAATGGGGTTGTTCTGAGGGCATTACATGAGTTTTGAAAGCATTTAGCAGAGTGTCTGGCAAACAGGAAGTGTTAAAATCAGAGTCTATTATCTGCCATGCCTGGGATACCTGCGTCACAGGACAGGTGACAAGTAGGTGGTCATCCCAGGGAGGGGTTGGAGGCAAAGCTTGAAATGTTGCCTTTCAACCTCCCAGGATCCTCCCATGTTGCAGACACGTGCATCCCTTCAACAGCCACCTGCGGACCTCTGTGTGCCAGGTGCTACTTGGTTCTCTTTGTCACACCCCAGTGACTGCCTCCAACAGCCTGCCAAGACGCCTCCCAGCCTCCACTGCCCACCTCCTCCAAATCTGTTCTCCACACTCCTGGAGTGAGATTTTTAAACATACATCTGACCTTGTCATGCCCCCCACTAAAACCTCTTTAATTGCTCCCCACTGCCCCTTGGGCTAAATTCCAAACTTTCACAGGGACTAAAAACAGTGGCTTTCGAATTCTTCAACCAAGACTCACAGTAAGAAACCTGTTTTGCAATGCAGTGCAGTGTACACCTTTATAAAACTTCAAATAAAAGTTTCAAAAAACCACACTGACCTCATGTGCAACACACTCTGGTATTTTCGATTCTATTACTTTTCTTCCTGCGATGCTGGCTGTGGCTCACCAAATTGATTTCATAACCCGCTGATGTGTTAAGATCTGCAGTCTGAGCCACAATGGCTCAAGAGCTCTAAGACCAAGGACCCGAAGCCTGTGGGCCTCATCTCTCTCTGTCTCCTCCTGGCAGCCCGTGTTCCCATCATGCTGAACATCCTGCACCATAGTACCTCTTGCCACTGGGACTTCGCATGTGCAGCTGCTTCTGCCTAGAGCACTTTTCCTGCTTGTTCGCCTGGCTTAGCCGAAGGCTACCTCCTCAGGGAGGCCAGCTGCCTGTCCTCACCACCACCCCCGGCCCACCTTCAGGTGTTCTTTGCACATCAGAACCACCTTGGGAGGTGTTTTTTTTGTTAAATATCAATGCTCAGGCTCCACTTCAGACCAAATGAATCAGACATTTCTGGGGATAAGGCCTGGACATTGTCATTAAAAACAATCCCCAGTGAGTATGGAAGACCCCTAGGTCTTGCACATGACCCTGTTTTATTTCCTCCAGAGCACTGAGACCATCTAAAGTTAGCTCATGTATTTATTTGTGTTTGATTGTCCTAGAATCTCAGCTCACCAGGGCAGGGACCTTGTCGGTTCTGTCTGCTGCTGTGTCCCCAGGGCTTGGCACGGTGCCTGGCACACAGCAGCTACTCAGTACATTTCTTTTTTGACGACTGACTGATGTGAGCATCTGCTCTACAGCAGGCCCTGTGGTGGGTTCAGAGACAGACCCAGCTTTTGCCTGCAGGAGGGATAAGAGAGGATGCTGACTTGATGAGGGCTCCCTAGGAGCAGACACTGAGACAAGGATTCCAGGGCAAGCAGTTTATTTGGGAGATGATCCTGAGAAACACCAGTAGGGGACTGGGGATGCGATAAGAGAAACAGAAGGAGCCGATACAGGGTGTGTCATCAAGCAAGTTACCACCATGGGCAACTGGGGCTTAGTCCTGCTGAGGCACTGTGCGAGTCAGTGTAGAAAACGCCACTTGCCGTCATCCCACGGGGTGGAGGGGTAGAGCGAGGGAGCAGTGGTATTTATACACCCACTCCTGTGAGGCACTGGCTGAAGGCTGGTGCCAGGGAACAGAGGCATTCACTCTGGTGCTTTGGACTTGCCACGCAGGCAGGCAAAGCAGGCTCTCTGGTGGTGAGAGAAGGCCCATGGGTAAAGGTACACAGGTGTTGGCAGCTAGAAACCCACAGTCCAGCTGTGCACTGAAGCAGTAAGAGTGGGGATGTGGGCAAGGCCCTGAGAGTGTCTGCTTCAGGCATGTAAAGGGAAAATCAGACTTTGCTGTTACGTGGTAGGATGCGACAAGGTAGTCAAGGCAATGAGGAGCCCAGAGGAAATCCTCACCCACTCTGCCTGAAGGAATCAGGGAAGGCTTCATGGAAGAGGCGACATATGATCTCACTGTGGAAGATGTACCAGGTTTTGTCAGGGATTAAGTAGACTGAGGAGAAAGCAACTTAGATTTCTTTATGCCCCTCTCTTTCTCC
The DNA here is from genome assembly GCF_000001405.40 of Homo sapiens. Lineage (NCBI taxonomy): Eukaryota > Metazoa > Chordata > Mammalia > Primates > Hominidae > Homo > Homo sapiens. The sequence goes on along the minus strand of NC_000020.11, from coordinate 46,962,530 downwards.
AGGGCTGAGGCAGGCACCTGGGCCTATGTGGAATGGCCCAATCTTTAAAAAAAAAACTTTTAATTGACACATAATAATTGTATATATTTATAGGGTACAGTGTGATATTTTGATACAGGTATACAATGTATTGGGGTAATTAGCATACCTATCACCTCAAACATTTATCATTTCTTTATGTTGGGGACATTCAAAATCTGCTCTGACTGGGCACGGTCGCTCATGCCTGTAATTCCAAAACTTTGGGAGGCAGAGAAAGGAGGATCGCTTGAGACCAAGAGTTCAAGACCAGCCTGGGCAACATAGCAAGACCCCATCTCTACAAAAATAAAAAATTAGCCAGGTGTGGTGGCATGTGCCTATAGTCCCAGCTACTCAGGAGGCTGAGGTGGGAGGATCACTTAAGCCCAGGAGGTTGAGGCTGTGGTGAGCCTTGATCGTGCTACTGCACTCCAGACTGGACAAACAGTGAGATCCTGTCTTAAAAAGAAAAAGAAAAGAAAGAAAGAAAGAAAATCTGCTTTTCTAGCTATTTGAAAATACATAGTCAATTGTTGTTAGTTGTAGTCATCCTATTATGGTATAGATCACTGGAACTTATTCCTCCTCTCTTGCTGTAATTTCATATCTGTTAAGCAGCCTCTGGTTCACCCCTGCACCATTCTCAGCCTCTAGTAACCACCAGTCTGCTTTCTGCTTCCATGAGATTAACTTTTTTAGCTTCCAACTATGAGTGAGAACATGTGGTATTTATCTTTCTGCTCCTCGCTTATTTTACTTAACACAATGTCCCTCAAGCTCATTCATGTTGCTGAGAATGGCAGGATTTGTTCCTTTTTATGGCTGAATAGTACTCCATTGTGTATATGTACCTACCACATTTTCTTTTTCCATTCATTGCTGATGGACACTTAGGTTGATTCCATATCTGGGCTATTGTGAATAGCGTTGCAATGAACATGAGAGTGCAGATATGTCCTCAACATTGATTTCCTTTCCTTTGGATAATACCCAGTAGTGGGATCGCTGGATCATATGGTAGCTATATTTTTAGTTTTCTTGAGAAACCTCCACATTGTTTTCCACAATAGTGCTAATTTACATTCCCACCAACAGGGTGTAAGAGTTCCCCTTTCTCAGCATCCTTGCCAGCATTTGTTATTTTATTTCTATTTTTTAAAATAAATTTATTTATTTATTTATTTGAGACAGAGTCTCGCTCTGTTGCCCAGGCTGGAGTGCAGTGGCATGATCTTGGCTCACTGTAACCTCCGTCTCCTGGGTTTAAGTGATTCTCCTACCTCAGTCTCCCAAATAGCTGGCACGCACCACCACGCCCGGCTAATTTTTGTATTTTTAGTAGAGACGGGGTTTCACTGTGTTGGGCAGGCTGGTCTCGAATTCCTAACTTCAGGTGACCCGCCTGCCTCGGCCTCCCAGAGTGCTGGGATTACAGGCATGAGCCACTGTGCTCGGCCTTATTTTGGTCTTTTTGATAATAGGACTGGCCTAATTATCAGCCAAACCTCCAGGAAACATGGTGGAGGTGGGGAGTCAGCCTTCTCAGAGAGCCTCCCAGGCACCTCCTGGGATGCCGGCTTGCTTTCTGGGGGCTGCAGAAATGCCCACTCGTTTACGTTCTTTGATGTGCTGCTGCTCCAGCAGGGAAGGGGCCCCACAGCTTGGATGGCAGGATGGTAGTTAGGGAAGGTCCTAGGGCAGGGGTTGAAAAGATTTACTGTAAACGGCCAGACGGTGAAGATTTCAGGCTTTGTGGGTCACGCTGTCTCTGCTGAACTACCGAACTTTGCGATTGAACTGTGAAAGCAGCTGCATATAAATGAATGGGATGACTGTGTTCTAATAAGACTTTATTTACAAAAATAGGCAGTGGATTGGATTTGGCCTATGAGACATGGTTTGCCTCCTCCCCTGCACTAGAGCAGAGGGTTTAAGAGCTGGACGACGGGAGCCCAGCCACACGACCTTGGGCAAGTCATAGAACCTTGCTGTGCCTCGGTTTCCTCATCCACCAATGGGAATCACAAAGGTTTCTAGTCCATAGCGCTGCTGGGATGATTAAGTAAATCAATTCATGTAAAGCCCCCCAGGCAGCACCCGGCACTCAGTAAATACATCAGTAAACTTAGCTGTTTTTATTATTACTATCTGGCATCAGACAGTCCTGAGATCAAATCCTGGCTGCTCCTCCTACTAGATGTGTCCCGTGGGTAAAGTGTCTCTCTAAGCCTTCATTTCCTCCACTGTAAAATGGGGATAATAATAGTGTCCGTGTCCATCTCCTAGGTTGCAGTGGCGTGAAATGAGTGAATACATGCCGAGTGCTTTGTTGGTGCATAGTAAGTGCTCACTTAATAGCCAAAGTCAGCATGATTCCTTCGAATAATGGATAGAAAAATAAAACAAAATTCAGGCATGACGTGGTGCCCTGAGCTCTGGCTGCCAGACCTAGCCTGAATCTGGCCAGTGTGGCCAGAGGGGCACTTAAAAAATCATTTTCTTTCAACCGTTTCCATGCAACCCCTTCTCGTGATTTCAGAAGGCCATGAAAAATCAGGCGACAGATTCCCATATTCCCCCCACGGCATGTCTCTGCTTTGGGAGTTCCTGCTGACTTCAGTGGCTACTTGGAGAGTTTCAGAGAGAAAAGATGAGCCCTGGCTGGCCGGCCAGGTGCAGGACAATGACAGGGATGCTTGGAGAATTTCAGAGAAAAGAGATGAGCCCTGGATGGCCAGCCAGGTGCAGGACAACGACGTGGGGGTTGGGAGAGGGTAAGAGAGAAGCTTTATTCTCTGTCAGTTTCATAAGCCAGATGGGGAGCAATTGAAGGAAAGTACGTGCGTGCGTGTGCGTGCGTGTGCGTGCATGTGTGCACGTTTGTGTGCGTATGTGTTGGGGGGATGCCAACGGCAGAGTGATGCAGGAGGAAGCTGAGGAGGATGCCGTGGGAGGCGGGAATGGAATAAAGTTCTGCAAAGGGACAGGGCCTCACTGCGATCAGCTAAAGCAGTAACAGAGGAGATTCTGCCCTTCACTCCACACCCCTGCCACAGAGAACACTTGGCAATGTCTGGAAACCTTTTTGATTGTCACAATTCCAGAGGGTAGAGGCCAGGGATACTGCTAAACTAATGCTACAATGCACAGCATCAGCCCCCACCCCCAACAAAGGAATGGTCCAGTCCCAAATCTCCACAGTGCCAAGGGGAGAGACTCTGAACTAAGGGGAAGGGCTCTATGTACACAATGACAGATGCAAATGCAACCAGAAAGGTCTTTGTGACTCAGTCAGGTCATTCTGCACATATTACTCATCCACTGCATATTTATTTCCTGAGCATCTACTCTGTGTTGGGTGGTTTCCAACAAATGAAGGTTCCTCAGACAGTGTGGCGATTCCTCAAAGTCCTAAAGACAGAAATAACATTTGACTCACAATCCCATTACTGGGTATATACCCAAAGGAATGGAAATCATCCTATTATAAAGGCACATACACGTGTATGTTCACTGCAACACTATTCACCATAGCAAAGACACAGAATCAACCTAAATGCCCATCAATGATATACTGGATAAAGAAAATGTGGTACGTATCCACCATGGAATACTATGCAACCATAATAAAGAACGAGATCACGTCCTTTGCAGGGACATGGATGGAGCTTGAGGCCATTACCCTTAGCAAACTATCACGGGAACAGAAAACCAAGTACTGCATGTTCTCACTTAATAGGTGCGAGCTAAGTGATGAGAATACATGGACACACAGAGGGGGACAGCAGACACTGGAGCCTATTGGAGGGTGGTGGTGGGAGGTGGGAGAGGCTCAGGAAAAATAACTAACGGGTACTTTATGGGTAACGAAATAATCTGTACTACAAACCTCCATGACGCAAGTTTGCCTATAGAACGAACCTGCACACGTACCCCTGAACTTAACAGTTTAAAAAAATGAGGGTTCCTCATGGACAAGTTGTCTCTCATTTCCATAATGCTACTATCTTCATACCAGCCATCAGTGAAAAACTATATAACATGTTCATGTTTTTTTTTCATAATTACACGTGAGCTCAGATTCATTTAAAAAATCACCAAACTTTATTGCAACCAGGCTCATTTTGTCTCCCTGCCTAAGTCATCCCCATCATGGCTCAGTTGGCGAGAAATGAGGGCATTTTCAAGGTTTGGTTAAAGTTTAGATTCTCTCTCAAAGGAGCAGGAGAGCCTGTGGGGAATGCTGGGCACAGGAACAACTTTGGAAAACTGTCCCCAGGCAGCAGCGTGGCAGGAGGCAGAGAGGGAGACACAGGCGCAGCTGAACCCATTTACCAGACTCGAGTTCTAGCTTAAGCAAAAAATGCCATCACTGCAAGCGAGGGTGTGATGGTGAGAATAAAGTGTTCCAGTGGATCAAGAGCTATTTCGGAGCCATGGTGATAAGTCTTAGCGATCAACTTTGATACAGCAGGGGAGGGATTGGGAAGAGGCCAGCAAGTCTTCCAGGCTTTCAGAGTGAACTCTGAGTGGATGGTAGAGCTCATGACCACTGGGAAGGCAGTTGGTAGGGAGAGCAGGGAATGTAGTTTGGGACAAATTGCAAGTTGAGAAGCTTATACATTTTATTCACAAGAGAGCCCTAGAACCCTCAGTGGATGCATTTCTTGTGGCTGCTGTAAGAAAGAAGCACAAACTTGGTGGCTTACAACAGAAATTTATCCTCTTGCAGTTCTGAAGGACAGAAGTCCAAACTCAGTATTGCTGGGCCACAATCCAGGTGTCTACAGGGCCATATTCCATCCAGAGGCTCCAGGTGAGAATCCATTTCAGCCTCTGGTGTCCACCAGCAAACCTTGATTTGTGGCTGCATCACTCCAAGCTTCAAGGCCAACATCTTCAAATCTCTGTCCTGTCTTCACATTGTCTTCGTGTGTGTGTGTGTGTGTGTGTGTGTGTGTGTGTGTGTGTGTGTGTGTGAAATCTCCTTCTGCCTCTCTCCTATAAGAACAACTGTGATCTCATTTGGGGCCAACCTGGATAATCCAAGATAATCCCCCATCTCAAGATCCTTAACTGAATCCCATCTGCAAAGTATTTTTGCCACATAAGGTGACATGTACAGTTTCCAGTGATAAGAACCTGACATCTTCCTGATATCTTATTCAGCCTGGTATTGACTAGTTTTTAGAGTGAAATTTTAGCAAGTGTGTATAATTGATAGGCTTGCCATTGATAGGCTATTAGAAGCAGTAAAGAAGGAGGAAGGGGTACAGTAACCCGCAGGGGTAAAGAGCTGACCAGAGGTCCCAAGGACATGACAGTATCATAGAATACTTAAAAAATACAAGCTTGCAATAGCAGAGGTGCATTTATTGAGTGCTTCCTACATACCAGGCCCTGTTGTAACTGCTTTACCTCAAGTAAGTCATTTAATTTTAGAGAAAGTGATATGGTTTGGCTCTGTGTCCCCACCCAAATCTCTCCCACCCCATATCATGGGAGGGACCCAGTGGGAGGTAATTAAATCATAGGGTTGGGTTTTTCCCATGCTGTTCTTGTGATAGTGAATAAGTCTCACAAGATCTGATGGTTTTATAAAGCAGAGTTTCCCTGCACATGCTCTCTTTTGCCTGCTGCCATGTAAGACATGCCTTTTGCCTTTCATGATTCTGAGGCCTGTGAGTCCACTAAACCTCTTTTTCTTTATAAGTTATCCAGTCTCAGGCATGTCTTTATTAGCAGCGTGAGAACAGACTAATACAGGCAGGGATGCTTATGTGCCCACCAAATCCAGATATTCTTCCTCCTGAACACAGATCTACGCTGCATTTCTCAGTCTCCTTGCAGTTAGGTCCAGCCAGTGACTGAGTTCCGGCTAATGGACCATGAGCAGAAGAGATGTGTGCAATGTGTAGGGCTGGCCATTAAGACCTTGGATACCAGACCCTTCCCTCTCTTTTCTCATCTACCTGCTGATTGGACTTGCCTCTGAGACACTATAGGGAGAAAGACCTATGCAATGGAAAGGACCTGGGCCCTTGGTTGACCACATGGAGGACACCCATCTACCAGGAACACTGTTACTGGTCCTTAGGTGAGAGATCCATTGTGACTGTGTTAAGCCCTGAGAATATAGGGTTTATTTGTTACAGCAGCTGACATTACCTTAACCAATACAGATCCTCTATCCATTCGATGGAATTTTATGCAGCTGTTAAAAACAATAAGTAGGGGTTATACCCATTGCTTTGGAAGCAATTCCATGAATATCACTGATGGGCAAAAAATCAGATGCTAAGCAGGTGTAATGTATTATTTTTAAAAAACAATCAGTGATTCTTCCTGCCACCTGCTCCCACAAAAAACCTAAACCAAACTAAACACCAAACCTGAATACATCTGTTTAGGAACACAAAAGTATGAAGAAAAATGTGGAAGACAAAAAGGTCAGGGGTTGGCAAGTTATAGCCTGAAGGCCAAATCTGGTGCACTTCCTGATTTTGTAAATAAAGTTTTATTGGAACACAGACACACCCACTTTGCTTACATATTGTCTAGGGCTGCTTTCATGTTATGATGACAGAACTGAGTAGTTGAAATGGAGATTGCATGGCCTGCAAAGCTATAAATATTTACTATCTGGCCCTTTACAGAAAAAGTTTGCCAATGCCTGTACTCAGTGATCAACATAGGAAAGATTAAGATTGTAACATATAAGCAACATGAACTACTATTAGTAACAAAGCAGATAAGATCTAGATGTACTAACAGTGAAAAAATGTCGAGATTATGAAAGTGGAGACTAGCAAATTGTGGTGTGTAAAATCTGATCCTCTTTTTGTAAAAAGAAAACTCTATGAATTTGTGGATGATTTTTATATTTATTAAAACATGTCTGCAAGGGTATATACCCAACAATTAACAGGGGTTATGTCAGAAAAGATCTATTTTTACTTTATATACTTCAGCATCATTTTATTGCTCTATGATAAGCATGTTAATTACTTTTGTAATTAAAAATGAAACCAAAAAAGGAAAAGAAAGTCACAAGAAACCTGAACCCCAAAGTGTGTAGAGGTTTCTGGTGAGGTGGCCTTTGTTCTTGAGTATAAAAGTGGTCCTTATATTTATTCAGATTCTCTAAGTGCCAGGTGTGAGGCCTGGCTGACACACAGTAGGTGCTCATTAAATAAATAATGACAGCTGGGCCCGGTGGGCCTGGTGGCTCACGCCTGTAATCCCAGCTACAGGCTGAGGCAGGGGAATTGCTTGAACCCAGGAGGCGGAGGCTGCGGTGAGCCGAGATCGCGCCATTGCACTCCAGCCTGGGCAACAAGAGTGAAACTCCATCTCAAAAAAAAAAAAAAATGACTGCATGAACGAGTGTGGAAGGAAATGAATAATGCAGCAAAAGAATGAAAAAGAAGAGAGAAGAGAATGAAAACCTGCCTTCCTCTGCTCACCCATCAAGCACCAGGAAATCAACTCAGGCTGAGAAAAGGCCTGCAGGACGTGCCGACATCCATTTTGACCTTACGAATGGCCAAAGATACTGATAGTGCTTCTTCCCTACTCCCAAAATCAAGGCAAATGACACACATGAAAAACCTCGAGTAAATTTTCTGCCAAAGATTTTCAGCTGCAGACCACCAACCCAGCTTCCCCTTGGCTCTGAGAATGCCTCGTAGTAAGAACTGACTGTTAGCAGAACCTATTTCCCTGGGGACGCAGCTCAGGGTTGACATGAACTCACAGTCTCGAGCAGAACGAAACTGTGAGGAGAGGTGGCTATCGGTGGCATCTCCTGGTGTTTGAGGAATGACGCACAGGGTTTCTTCACTTGCTCGGCTGAAAGGAAGGAGCATCTGTTTATGTTGTTGCTGCTGTTTTGACACTGGCCACTCATCGGCATGGTATTTGTGGAGAGAGGTGGCATAAAAACTGTATTAGTGTGTTCCCTCAAAGAGAGCGAGCTGCCAGGAGACTGCGTGCTACGCAAATCTTTTGTCCACAAACCACAAGTCAAAATGAGTTGGAATTTAGAGAGAAACACAGCTGTGTGGGTTGAGACATTGCTTCTTTACTGTAAGCTCCTAAATTTACCGATTTTATTTTTCTTATTTGCCCCCCTTCCTTCCTCCCTGTCTGTTTCCCTTCTTCCACAAATATTTATTGAACTTTTACTATGTGCCGATCGTTGTTCTAGGAGTGAGGCATGGAACAGCAAATTAAACAATGTCTCAGTCCCCCTGGAGATGATGCTCTAGTAGGGGTGACCTACAATAAACAGGAGGCGCTTAAATATTCATGACAGGGTGATCAGGGAAGGCCTCTCGGAGGAGGTGATATTTGAGCAGACCCCTGAAGTGGATGAGCAAGTGATGTGAAGAGGAGGTAGGAAAGAGCAACAGGACAGAGCAGCACATGCAAAGGCCCTGGGATGGAAATGAGCTGGATGTGTCTGAATGTCAGAAAGAAGAATCGTGTGGTTGGAACATGATGAGAAAGGGTCACAGGGAGAGAAGAACATGTCCAAGAAGTAGCCAAGGGCCAGCTCACACAGGGCCTTGTAGGCCCTGGGGAAGCTAAGTGTATTGGGAATTTGCTGGAAGGTTCTGAACAGGAGAGTGGCATGGTCATCCCAACGAGAGCTCCTTTGCTCCTACTTATTCACGCGATCTATGCCTATTCAAGGAAAGTTGGAAACCACAGAAAAGAAAAAGGAAAGAAAAATGCCACCCATGATCTTAGCATCTGTGCTGGTGGTTCTGAATGGCAGTGATTTTACTTCCCAGTGGACAGTTGGCAATGTCCAGAGACACTTCTGGTTGTCATAACTGGGGAGGGAGAGGAACTGGGGAGGGAGAGGCCAGGAATACTGCTAACCATCCTACAAGGCACAGGACAGCGCCATAAGGAAGAATTATCAGGCCCCAGTGTCCGTACATCTGTCCATACCGCTGATGTTCTCAAGGCCAACTCTAAACCTGTGTTTGGGGACATTTCTCCCACTTCCAACCCGGCTCATTCTAATCTACTTTCATTTTTAGTGTACATGAGCTCCTACCTAATCTTCTATGTTGATGCTTCCTTTCCACCGAACAGGAAAACATAACCATTCCCCAAGATTTTGTTCTAACACTACCTATGATGGTGTCACTTTCCTTAGCACTGAGGTTCCATAACCAGGTCCCATAACTCTTGGGTTAACCCGCGGAGTTCTCAAGCCCTCAGACCCCAGCATCCCCATGTGTAAAGTGGGGTTAACAGTACATCTGCCTCAGAGGGTAGTCATGAAGATGAAACGAATTAGAATATGTAAAGCATCAGTGACACACACTAAATATTATAGGAACATTTGCTATGATCACAACTCAAGTATCTCCCTTTCGTGTTTTCCAAGTTTTAATATTAGGAATAATGCTGTTAAAAGTATTTTTAAAGATAGATTTCCACGACTTCAAATATTGGGTCTCTCAGAGTGGGATGACATTTGAAAATTGAACTCTATGAGCTGTGCAAAACTGTCACAGGGTGAAATAGGAATGTTTCAGGAAGTCTCATTTTTCATGTGTTTAGATGTGCAACGACTCCTGATAGAGAGTTTCCCTGGGCAAAACACCTTCACTTTGCATCTTAAGATAATTGGGAATGCAACCTCTTACATAAAAGCATCCTTAGGGTGCCCTGCTTGGGATGCGGGGCTGATCTGGTATGAGGTTCTTATTTCAGCAAGCGTGGGCAACCCCTGCCCCGGGGAAGCCAGTGGGGCTGAACTCGCAGGCCTCAGCCTGCCAGGAAGAGCTCCAGGTGATGCCTCCAGGTGCGGGGTGGCCTGCGGAGGGGACCAGGCTTTACTTTTCCATTGTGTGCGGCCTCTGGACCAAACAGGAGCTCTAGCAAAATGCCCAACTCCCTCCTTATTCCGGTGGGTGCTTGCTCTGCCCTTCACTGTTCAGCAGAGGAACTAGAAAAGCACAGAGCTGCACAAAGGAGGTGCTCAACAAATCCTTGTTGAATGAATGAATGACTGATGAACAAACGGCCAAAGCTATTGATTCATCACACCGATTTCTAAAAGGAGGTTAAATGAGGCCAGCTTCTGGCTTGCTCAGAGTAAAATCTAAAGAGCCAAGCGCAACCCATGAGGCCCTGTCTGATCCCGCCCCTGACTTCTGGAGCTCAGATCCCGCCACCCTCCATCTCTCACACTGGCCTCCTAGTGGTGGTCCCTCAAGCCCCATCCCCCACCAAGCATGCTCTCCTTTCAGACATGCCCACGGCTCTCCCTGCCCCTCTCAGGCCTCTGCCAGAGAGACCTCCCTGACCACCCTACCTTAAGGAGGGTCCCTCACTACTCCTGCCCCATTGCTCGGCGGAGTTCTTCTCCATTGCATTTCTCACCCCCGGACACATTCATTACACACGTGCCTTTGTCTGTTTCTTGTCTGTCTCTACCCTCCAGAAACTATGATTCACAGAAAGAGAGACTTGTGGGCTTTCAACACCAATAGTCATGCCTGGTATAAGTAGGAGCATAATAAATATTTGTTAAGAGAGAGGAAGGAAGAGGGAGAGAGGGAAACTGACAATGTCAGGAGGTGGCAGAATTCTTCAGAGAGGCTCTGATGCTTCTGAATATTTCTCTGGGAACCCTGTTATCCCTGTTTCACAAATGAAGGAACTTAGGCTCTGAGAGGTTGAACTTGGCCCATCTGATCCTGAAATCCACACTCTCGCCCCCATCCTCTCCTGCCTGGGCCACAGATTAGTCACTTGAAGTTCAGATGACGAAAATTACCTGTATAAGGTCCCACAGCAGGTTAGTGGGGGAGCTGGGACAAGAATCTGAGTCCTCTGACGCCTGAGAGTGGTTTTATTACTCAGCTCCCTGGTGGCCCATGATGTAGAAGTGCATAGCCCGGTTGCCCTTCAGGGCTGTTGTGGGAACTTTGTTCTAATCCTCAGTGACTGGCACTCTTCTGCTTGTCCAGCAGACCCAGGATGTAGGTTATAACTGGTATCAACCAGAGTTTAGTTGCAGAGGGTAGAACCCACTACAGCTAGCTTAAGCAGGAAGGGGTTAATTCAGGCTAGCAAACGACTTAGAGAATTTCTGGGGAGGTTGGGGGCACAGACGCTAGGATAAGCTTTAGGGAATGCCAAAGCGACACCAGACAACTGGTTACTGCTACATGTGCTGTGACCAGAAAGCTGCTGGTTACAGAAAAAATCCCTCCATGATAGGCACCTTGTGGATATCTCTATCAGGAAACCATTCCACTAATGTGCCAGCCTCATGACCTTATCACACTTGCCAGAATCCTTACAAGCAACAAGGATGCCCTGTGCCCTGCGTGGCTGATGCTGTCACTACCTTGCCTAAATCCCTTCGGCAAATACCATTTCCATGAAAACCATCCAACTTCCAAACGGCAGCAAGTGCAATGTTTTACCTGAAGGCTCTTTCTGGCATATGTGGGGTATAAAGACCCCAGCTCCCTCACCCCTAAGGAGGGATTACTCAGCGGCACGTGTTATAAGCCCTTTCCCATCAGGGTGTAGCCTTAGATGCTCAGGGAGTAACCTGCTGGATCACACACCCTCTGTTACTTTCCTTCGCTTCATGCCTTCCTTCTTTATTCCCATTCTGGTGTTTCTTGGAGTCACCTCTTAAATGAACTATTGGCACTGGAGCCCTGATCTTGAGGTCAGCTTCTTGGGAACCCACACAAAGACACCATGCCTCTCAACACACATAAAGCTAGTGCCTGCTCGCTGGGGCCTCTGCTAAAGCTGTGCAGCAAGCCAAACTACTCCAGACTCTGCACAGTGACAGAAACAACCAACACGGCAGAGGCAATTTGAGTACGACCTCCGCCTTCTGAATTTCAAGGAAGCGCATGTGCCTGCTTAATGTTCCATTACTCCTAGAAACCTAGCTGCAAGGGAGTTTGGGCTTTCCTGCCCCTTGGTGGAGGAGCACCCAGAAGGAGGAGCAGGGAACAGATGCTGCAGAGTGACTCCTCATGATTTCCCCACAGCTCCAGCACCCCAAACCATGTGCAATCTTGGAAACTCAGTGCCCAGCCATGAGACCTCCAAACTCACAGGCATCATCAAGTCACAGACTCTTAGAATATCAGGGCTAGAAGGGTACTTGAGACTCCTTAGATTATTTTATGGTTGTGAAAATTGAGTCTCTGTCTGAGAGGGGAACATCGCTGCAAGGTCCCCCTGCAGATTAGTGGCAGCTGGGAAATAATAATTCAGTTCTCCCAGACTCTAGGAAAGTGATTATTTTTTATATCACTCAACTCCATGCTTCACTACATGTTATCCTGGGAGAAACCCTTGCCCTGTCCACCACCACCTTTAAACGAGCCTGGATTGATGGCTCTTTTGATTACTGGGAGCTTACTCTGTGCCAGGCACTGTGTTGAGCACTTTGCATGCACAGTGGAGAAAAACACAGGCTATGGAACCAGAATGCCAAGGTGCACACCCAGCTCCATAAATCACCTTGTGCAAGCACCTCAGCCTCTTTGTGTCATGCTATCCTTGTGCATCATAGATGCAAAATGATACTACCTACTTCATAGGGCAGTTGCAGGTGCAGAACTGGGGTTGGGACCCTTGCCAAAAGTCACACAGTGGGTAAGTGGCACAGCCAAGGGTTGCAACCAAAGCAATGTGCTTCCACTCTTAACCTCTGGGCTACACACAGACAGATACACACAAATCTTAAAATGCATACCAACCTAACAGCTACATAAAAGTATCAAGCTTTTAAGCCAATCTTGAGCAGTCCATCCATTCAATAAATATTTGGTGAGCACCTACTATGTGCCTTAGAGGGTGTGGCTCAGTTACCCCACCATCTAGCTCCATGTGCAGGCTGAGGTTAAACCCAAAACGTGGAGAAGAACAAAACAAGTCAAGAGTCAGAAAACAACTGAAATCCTGACTGCATCAGCAACCCTGATCCAGCTATACCTGAACTGAGCTCTGACCCTGGACTCTCAGTTCCTTGATCCCCTAAATTCTCTTTACTTGCTGAACCAGTTTGACTTGAGTTCTCTATTACTTTTACCTGAAAGTCTTGACTGTGAGACTAGGTTTGGCCTGACTTACTCTCACACTTAGCAGGACAGCTGTTAAAGTGTTAAACCCTCCCCACTCCCCAATCTCACTGTTAACTTCAGATTTTCCCATAAAAGGAACCGGCTCATGTATGTTTTGTATCATCTTATGAAGCACAATATAGTGTCTTTCTAAGAGGACTTAAAACATGGCCTCAACTGCCAATAGCATTTAAAGACCTTGCACTTGAGTAGGTCTTGGTATGTGGTGGCATGTCCCAGAGACACCATAGCCAAATGATCAAACACCCCATATTCTGGAGTCAGAGACTCTGCTCCAATCCCATCTCTACCAGTCTTGAGCTCCAAGACACTGGGCATATTCCTCTGAGCTGCAGTTTCCTCATCTGTACAATGCGAGTAACATTAGCACCCACCTCCTGCAATTTTTGAGAAAATTAAATGAGATAGTGCATGTATTTTCCCTGACACAATAAATAATAAATATATATGAAGAAAACAGATATACAATGACCTGGGTTTCCACAAGTATAGATTTCAACACTACATTTATGGAGCGATCATCTCAAGCTTGAATGAAGAACAGTGCTCTTAGAGAAGTGAACATAATACTTGTGTCTCTAAGTTTGGAACTGACAGTTACCTTGAAAGTAGGGTCAACCTTTTACGAATTAAACAATAATGTGTGCAGCTTTATTTTATTTTGTTTTTTTCCAGGCAACCTTACGAGAGAAACACAATAACGTATGCATCTTGAACAGAGTATTTATCACCAGAAAAACAGTTGGAGAGGATTTTCAGTGGCTTCTTTCAACAATGTTTACTCAGCACTAACCCTGTACTGGGCACCGAGGATACAGCTGATAAGAAATATTAGTCCCTCATCTTATGCAGCTTATCGTCACTTGGGGTTTTCAAACTATAGAGTCTCACCCATAGATGGGTTAATAAAATCAGTTTAGTGAGCTGTGACCAGTGTTTTTCAAAAAAGAAATAGAGTAGACCAGGGTTGGCAACCCACAGCCTATGAGCCAAACCCAGCCCACCGCCTGCTTTTATAAATAATGTTTTACTGGAACACAGATAAGCCCATTTGTTTACATGTTGTCTCTGACTGTTTTTACGTGACAACTGCTGCACTGAATAGTTGTGACAGAGATGGTATGGCCCGCAAAGCCAAAAATAGTTAGCATTTGGCCCTTTCCAGAAAAAGTTTGCCAACTCCTGGGATAGACTAATATGGTAGTAATTTTTTTCTTTTGTTTTCTTTTTTCTTTTTCTTTTTTTTTTTTTTGAGACAAGGTCTCACTCTGCTGCCCAGGCTGGAGTGCAGATCATAGCTCACCATGGCCTTGACCTCCTGGGCTCAAGCGATCCTCCCACATCAGCCTCCTGAGTGGCTGGGACTACAGGCATGCACCACCATGCAAGGCTAGTTTTAAAACTTTTTGTAGACATGAGGTCTCACTATGTTGCCTAAGCTGGTCTGGAACTCCTAGCTTTAAGAGATCCTCCCACCTTGGCCTCTAAAAGTGCTGGGATTATAGGCAGGAGACACCATGCCCAGCCATATGGTAGTTATCTTAATGCTGTTGACCAAATATCTCAGATTCACCTTCTGGGTCCACAGTAGGGCTGCACTTCTTCACTCTATTGAAAGTTATGGTCATGTGAGCTGCTTTGACCAAAGAAATATTCAAAGAAATGGTGAGTACCACTCTTGTCAGACACTTGGAGATCAGTGTGTGATGTTCTGCTCCTTCAGGATCCCCAGTGATCCAGGGCAAACGTGGAGCAGGAGCAATAAATAAATGTCTGTTGATTTAAGGCACTCAGATTTGGGGTTACTTGTTACCACAGCATCATCAAGCTGATCCTGACTGGTGTTCATAGAAAATACGAGAGCTTATCACATATAGTAAGGCAAGCATTGTTTCTTAAAACTTTCATTTCTGTATGTGTTTTGTGTGGTTTGTGTGTGTGGTGGGGACATCTGTGTGTATGCAGTTTATTGTATGTCATTACAGGGGTGACATATAAAATATGTCCTTTATGAGGATCACAGTCCAAAGTTGTTTAAAAACAGTGGTCTGGAACTTTGGAAAAAAAAAAAAACTTAGATTCCAGAGAATAACATCTAAAATATTTGAAAGACTAGACAAGAGAACCTGGGAGAAAAGTTCTAAGATGAGTTTGGGAGGGTTAGTAATGCTCTTCATGTACATGCAAAAAAAAGTCTGCTTCTCAGCCAGCCATTCCTCAACTCTTTAGAGTAGAGGTCAGCAAGCTTTTCTGTGAAGAGCTAGATGGGAAATATTTTAGGCTTTGGGGGCCAAGAGGTCTCTGACGCCACTTCTCAGCTCTGCTGTTGTAGTGGGAAAGCAGCCATAGATAACACAGAATGAATGGGTGTGGCTGCTTTCCAATAAAACTTTATTTACAAAACAGGCAACTGGCCAGGTTTGAGCTGTTGGCCTCAGTTTGCCAACTCACGCTCTAGGGGATCAAACAAAGAAGTAGAAACAGGCCAAAACTGCAGTAAGAAGAACTGACTCTTTAGATCTATGGAAGAACTAAAAGGGAGTTCGTAGAACAAAGCCCCATCATCTACGTTGGGTGGGTGGGGAGGGGGCAGTCAGTAAACTATGGCCCATGGGCCAAATTCTGGCTGCTGTCTGGTTTTGTATATAAAGTTTTATTCAGTTATATACTGTCTATGGCGGCTTTTATGTGATAAGAGCAGAGTTGAGTAGTTACAGCAGAGGCCCCCAAAGCCAAAAATATTTATGACATGGTCCTTTACAGAAAATGTTTGCTGACCGCTGGCCTATATGGCCTTACTCATACCCAGGCTCATGTTCAAATGATGGTAATCAGGGGCTTAGGGTGGACCCAGGGTCATGTCCAGAAAAGTTCTTAGAACAAAGGGAGCCCCTCGCACAATGATATTTTTAATAAAGTAAATAGGGCAACAGCCAAAAAAAGAATCAAAGTAACCCTTGGCCCTGCACCCTGGGGAGATTTTGACCGCAGTGATGCTCAAGAAATGAGTTCACAGCTAAAACGTGCTCCATAAATGTTAAAATAACAAGAACAATAAATGGCAATAAAACACAAAGCCATGTACCTCGTCTCCACGGGCAAGACCTCCTAGGGCTTTGAGCTTAGAAGTAGGGAGGGAAGCAGCCCTCCCGCTGATGGCCAGTCTTGGCAGAGGGTCCAGCAATCCTGCAGGGATCCAATGGGTGAGGTCCAGAGGAGGAAGAAGTTCAAATATAAACAGGCACTGGAGGAGGACAACCAAGGCCACTGAGACTCTAACCCCCACTGGGAAAGGGACCCAGATCCTGAGGTCAGTACTTATTCTCAAGACCCTCGAAGAGTGCTTAGGGTTTCAGACCCTCTTGGGTTGCGAGTGTGCTCTCATCCCAGGCACACCGGATCCCACATACCAAACTGCAAGCCAGCGTGAGACAGCTCAGTGTCTTCTGCACCGTGAGACCTTGCCAGGCCCACTGTCAACAGCTGATGGCTTGATTTGATTGTCCCAGTACCTCCACCTTCTGCAGCAAAGAGCCGCAGAAGGTCTGAAAAGCTTACCCAAGCACAAAATCATCATATCAAGAGCTTGTTACAAAAGCTGACTAGGCAGATAGGAGCAATGATGCATTCCCTTCCTGTAACACGCCCAGAAGGGCCCAGCAGGCCACAGAGGTGAAAGGCAGATTCCGTCTAAGATCATCAAACGCCCTAACGATGACCAGAGTCGAGTCATGAAAAGTCCAAACAAACCCAAGCTTCCCAAATCTCCAAAGAGCTCTGGGGAATGTGGATTCTGGTAATAGCATTTGTAGCAGCCTGCATTTCCGCAGGGCTCTGAGGGCTTAGCAAACACTAAGCAGCGCAACTGTGGGAACTCCATAGGCGGCCAGCAAATTCATTCCTTTTTCACAGGACAGAAACACCTGAGGTACAAGAGAGGCTGCTTAGGTTCCTGAGATGTTTTAGAGCTGGTTAAACACAGGGAATTTGGGCTTTCTAAAAATCGGTCAGTCTACTGTCCACTCTGGCTGAATGTGGCGAACTCTTAAAACAGCACTTACGAACTGCCAGGCACTGTCCTAAGTACTTTATACAAAAGCTCTCATTTAATCCACAATACCTCTGCTATGCAGGTATTATAATTATCCCCATTTTACAGATGAGGAAACTGAGGTCCAGCGAGGCTAAGGCTACCCAAATAAAGAAAGGACCTTCCTATTGCGAACTGCAACCTTTTTTTTTTTTCCAGACAAGGTCTCACTCTGTCACCCAGACTGTCACTCAGGCTGGAGTGGAGTGGCTTGATCTAGGCTCACTGCAACCTCTACCTCCCAGGCTCACGTGATCCTCCTGCTCCAGCCTCCTGAGTAGCTAGGACTACACGCAGGCACCACCGCGCCTGGCTAATTTTTGTATTTTTTGTAGAGACGGGGTTTTGCCATGTTGCCCAGGCTGGTCTCAAACTACTGGGCTCAAGAGATCCGCCCGCCTCGGCCTCACAAAGTGCTGGGATTGTAGGAATGAGCCACCAACATGTGGCCTCTTTTTAAAAAATCAAATGAATTGCCAGGAAAAAATAAATGTAGCATCTTCACCTTTTACACTCTTCTCCCTTTTTACTGGATACCTGTTCTTGGTATGAGCAGGCAGGGGCATGAATTAGGTAAGATGTGAGACATACACAAACATTTTCAAAACAGGAATTATATGCCAGGTCCTACTGGGGGCTTTGTAGCAAGGAGCTTGTTGAATCCTCTCAACAACACTATGGAGCGGGTGCTGTTTTTCTCATTTTGGAGAGGAAGGTGCTGAGGTTCAGAAAGTGCCCTGAAGATGCAGGGACACTGGTGGCTTGCATGCCCTGAGTGCTTGGTGTAGTGCCCAGCACCCACACACCTCACATCCTCCTCCTCACTGACTGCTCATCCGAACAATCTGAATAGACCCCTTTATTCCCACTGCCCAGGTGAGGAGACCGAGGCTGCACCTGCCCCGAAGCTACCGCAGCCCTTACGAACCCGCCCTGGAGTCAGGTGCCCACCACTGGAAGGGACTTTTGAGTATCTTGTCTCGAACCCTGACCCTTGCAATTGTCTCCCATCACCACAGGGATCTGCGCACGGGAGCACTGGTTGGCCAAAACAGGACCTGCTTGGCCAAAACAGGACCATGACATCCTCTCTTTCCTGGGAGCAGCCAGGCCCTCACCTGGCTCCCTCTGTCCTGGCCATTCCTGGGACTCCCCAGAGCCATCCAGGGGGAGCAGAGCAGGGAGGAGGATTTTACTTAAGCTGGGAGGTTGCTCAAGGTCTAGGGTTGGGAGGCTCCAGGCTAACCCTGGGAACTTTCAGCATCCACCCTGCTTGTTTTTGGCACAAGTCAGCTTCTTGCACTTGAGAGAAAAGGCATCTTTTTAATGAGAAAGAAAGGGGGAGAGAGAGGGAGAGATATAAAAGAAAAAGAGAGCGCAGGAAAAGATACAAGTGTGCAAAGGGTTTCAAGCCACAGAGAAGTTCTTTTACAGAACAGCATTTTGATGAATTATGCACAAATGAGGCAACAAAACATGGGGTAAGTTTCCCTTAAATTCTTACAGCTTTGGAGATGAGCAAGGCGGGAGCACGGAGGCTGAATCCAACCTAGCTTCCTTCTGCACGTTTTGCTGCCATCCTCTTTAGTTTGGGTATATGTCGTGCTTGAAATCCTTCAGGGAGAAACAGTTTCAGCTGGAAGAACTACATGCTACACACAGGCAAGCTGGCCTCCTGGGTGAACCCTCCTGCCCAAATCCCAGATCTGAGACTCCGAATGTTCCCTTGCTATGATATTCATTCAACATCCAACAGCAGTTCCCAGGGCCCCAGAGAGGCCCTCAGGCTGGCGTATTTCTCATTGATCTCACAACAACTCTGGGAGAGAGATACATTTTCTCCATGCCAGGAGAAGCTGAGACTTGCAGTGAGCAAGTTCATTTAGTCATTCAACAAACACAAGCACTTCCTTTTACTGGCACTATGCTGAAGCCAATACTCTACGTGAGGATGTCTATCGACATTACTGACATTCAGAGTGGATGGTCCTTTGTTGTTGGTGAGTGCTGGGGGCGGGGTGGGGGATGTCCTGTGCATCGTAGGATGTTTGGCAGCAACCCTGACCTCTACCCACTAGGCGCCCGCAGCACGCCTCCCCTCTAGATGTGACAGCCAAATGTCTACAGATGCTGTCAAATGTCCCCTCGGGGGCAGAGTCACTCCTGGTTGGGAATCACTGCTCTGCACCGATTAATTCAGAGAACCAGCCGGGAGCGCAGGCTCACGCCCATAATCCCAGCACTTTGGGAGGCCGAGGCGGGCAGATCACTTGAGGTCAGGAGTTTGAGAGCAGCCTGGCCAACATGGTGAAACTCCGTCTCTACTAAAAATACAAAAATTAGCCAGACGTGGTAGCACGTGTCTGTAATCCTAGCAACTCAGGAGGCTGAGACAGGAGAATCGCTTGAACCGGGGAGGAGGAGGTTGTAGTGAGCCGAGATCGTGCCATTGCACTCCAGCCTAGGCGACAGCAAGACTCCCTGTCAAAACAAACAAATAAACAAACAAAAAACAAAACAGAGAACCCTCCCAATGAGGCAGGTCTGTCAGTGTCCTCATTTCATAGATGATGGGACCTGGCTTGGTGAGGTTAAGTGGCTGGCCTTGCCCAAGTCACACAGGAGAGTCAGAGAAGGGACACAGATCCACTCCAGAGCCCAGCTGTGTGATCCCTCGAAAGCTGGGCCATGTGGGTAAGTCACATCTGCATAACTCTCTTTGGAGGCTTTTGAGGTGTTCCCTTTTAGGATGGCACCCACACTACACAACTACACAAAAATGTCTCTAAATGTGAGGAGACCTCTTGCCCCATTCCCCATCTTTTCTCTAAGAGAGTTTTCCCCCCCTAAAAATGGTACAACACAGCAATACCCTGTCTTTACAAAAAATACAAAAATTAGCTAGGGGTGGTGGTGCACACTTGTAGTCCCAACTACTCAGGAGGCTGAGGTGGGAAGATCACTTAAGCCCAGGAGGTCAAGGCTGCAGTGAGCTGTAATTGTACAACTGCACTCCAGCCTGGGTGACAGAGTGAGACTTTGTCTAAAGAAAAAAAGTAAAAAATAAAATAAAATAAAATAAAAAGGTATCTTTCCTTAGGTTGTCCACCACCCACTCCTTGGTGAGGAGGGCTAGTAACAGAAAACATGTTACTAATAAGAACTCAGTAACATTCGTTGCCAAGCACTTTTGTAAAATTCAGAACCCACGTCTAGGCCAGGCACAGGGGCTCACGTGTGTGACCTCAACACTTTGGGAGGCTGAGGCAAAAGGATCACTTGAACCCAGGAGTTTGAGACCAGCTGGGCGACATAGTGAGATCCCATCTCTGCAAAAAAATTTAAAAATTAGCTAGGTGGTGGCATGTGCCTGTAGTCTCAGCTGCTCAGGAGGCTGAGGTTGGAGAGTTCCTTGAGCCCAGGAGTTTGAGGCTACAGTGAGCTATAATGGCACCACTGCACTCCAGCCTGGATCACAGAGTGAGACTTTGTCTCAAGAAAAAAAAAAGAAAAAAGAACCCATGTCTATCATGTACCCGCCACCTGCTAAGCTCCAAAGGCCTTTATAATGTCTCATCTAACCCTCAGGACAAGCCTTTAAGATAAGGGCATGAGTATCTCCATGATACATGTGAGGAAACTGAGGCACAGAGAGGGAAGGTAACTTGCTCAACATCACACAGCAGGTAAATGTCAGAGCCTTTAACCACTCTGTTACTGCTTCTTTTAATAGTGTTTACTGAAGTCCAGGCACTTTACACATAGAAATGCATTGAATTTCTCACAGTAACCCTGTCAGATGGATATCATGCCCCTTAGTTTGCGGATTTTGAAACTGAGCCCCAGAAAGATGAAGGAGGCTATGAAAGGCCACACAGCTGAGGAGCAGAAGAGCCGGGAATCGACTTAGGAGTTTCGTTCTACTTCCGGTGGACTTAACACCCTCCTAGACCTTGAGGGAAACTGAAGGCACCTCATTACATCCTTCCAGCTCCTCTGTGAGGTGGGCTGTGCCCATTTTACAGAGGAGAGATGTGATAGGGTGCATGGCTCACCTGAGCTCAGGCAGCTCTTAGGGGCAAAGCCAGGATTTGAATGTGGGTCTGTGGGATTCCAAGACAGCCCTACCCATGGCACCATCCAGCACGGGGGTCCCCTAGTCAGCGTCCCCTGTCCAGCCTTCTCAGCCTATACGTCTCAACAGCCAGCAGGCTCGGGCTCTGGGAAGATGGGGCCTCTTGCACCTTTCCCACTGTTGATTTCATAGTTGCCTCCCCATTTATACCAAAGGAAAAAGTCAGAAATGGTGCTTGCAGGTGGCGAGACAGATGGAGTCAGGAGGCTAGGGGCCCGGCAGGCAAACCTTTCACCCCGGGGTCACTGGCCCCGTTCTGCGGGTTGCCCGTGGATGGCAAGCACTGTTCCCCTCTGACAGCTGTGGAGGTCTTGCTGGTGAGAGGCCTGGGGGTGCTCAGGCCTGGTCAGCAGGAGACAGCTGGCCATAGCCCCCGATGCCACCAGCTGCCTGGAGCTTTGGCCACCGCCCTGAGCTGGCCTGTCACCTTCCCTCCCGGAGCGCTGTGCTTGGTCCTGGCCACTCTCACAGAACAGAACATTTAACCCCTCAGGGACAAGAGGCCCACAGACCTGGGCCTTGGTCCTGGCTGCATGGGTGGCCTTTGTGCCTTTTCTTTGATATCCATATCATTTGGGTTTTGTATCTGTGGCATAGATATGTGGCCTCTGTAACTGCCGTCGTTGTTATCACTTACGTTTTATAAGCAACAGTAGCGTTGGCAGAGCAGTTAAGGATGCGGGCTCTGAATTCAGGCACCTGGGGTCTGAATCCTGGCTCTCCACACAGGACCAGAGTTACCTTGAGCAAATGATTTGACCTCTCTGGGCTTCTGTGTCCTTGTCTGCAAAACTGTCCATCACAATCCCCACCTCAAGGGCTGGGAGGACCTCAACTATTATGTGAGTTGATGTGTGAAAAGCACTTACAGCTATGCCTGGCACACAGTAAGTGCTCAATACATCTCAGCTGTTCTTATTATTGACTTGTGTTCCTGCACATTCTTTGTAGGAAGCCCACCTCTATTCATCTGCTTATGTTTTTAAATTTGAGTGAATCCTGGAAGGGCCAGATTGAGCCTTTCTTCCTCCATGAAGATTTCTGACATCCTCAGGTAGGCCTATTATATTTCTTGTGTATCTTTGCAAGATCCTCGCACGTAGTAGGTTTTTCATCTTAGAACTGCTATGAATGGCTACATTTTATTGAGCACTTACTATATGCTCAGTACTGTCCCTATGCTTAACATGCCCTATCTTATTTTACTCTCCCCTTATTTTATGTCTTAATAATATATCTGTTTCATAGATGAGTAAACTGAGGCTTAGAGAGGTTAAATGACTTAGCCAAGGTCACAGCAGTAATAAGTGGCATAACTGGAACTTCATGAACTTCCATGGATGAGCAAACCCGTTATGGAAGGTAGGAGGGCTGGAGATTTTGCTGTGTCATCTGTTAGACTCTTACAAATAGAGGAGACAAAACAACTCTAATTTCTAAGAATATCAGTCCTGCTTCCTCATAGCACACTTCTACTGCAAATTAGTTTCTGTGTTAAGGATTTACAGTAAGTCATTTTCTTTCCCTGGAAGATGCATGTATTAGTCAGGACCCTTTCTGTTGCAAATAACAAGAACTTTAGCTCAAATTGGCTTAAATAAAAAGGGGAACTTATTGACTCACATAACTGGAACCCCTAGGGGTAGTTAGCTTCAGACATAGCTTGATCAAGGGATTTTTGAAAAAAAATAAAAAAATAAAAATAAAGTCATTATCTCTCTTTGTCTCCCCTCCCCCCATCTCTATCACTCAGGTTTGCTTTCTACCACCTTGAGTTCATTCTCAGGAAGCCTCTCCTGCAAGCTGCTAGAAAAGATGGCTCCCAGTGTCTTTAATCTGACCCTACCAGCTCTGCAACCCTAGTGGTGAGATGGTGCCTTTTCCTTAACAGTCCCAGCTAAAATTCAGGAATTATTCTGATTGGCCCAGCTTCGGTCACATGCTGATCCCTGAACCAATCGCTGTCACCAGGGCAATGCTGAGTGTTCACTAGCTGGATCTGAGCCATAAGCCTACCCATGGCTGGGGCATCAGAATTGGCCCCTCCTGAACTAGGTGGACTGAGAGTGGGGAAGGAGTGTTTCCCAAAAGGGCAATCAACCTGTTCTTATGTCAAGAAAGTGGAATGGATCTAGACTGATTAAAAAAGACATTATTGAGACATCTGGGAGAATTTGAATACAGAGTGAATGTTAGGTAGTAGTACAGTATTAATGTGTGGTCATAGTACGGTTGTTTTGTAGGAGAATGTCCTCATCATTCAGAGAAACACACTGTGGTCACCAGCATCCAAGATACTCCAGTGGTCTCTGCCTCCCTGGTCTTCACACCCCCGTGTAGTCCCCTCCCACACAGTACCTGGGTTGGTCTGTGTGACCAATAGAATATGGCAGAAGTGATGGTATGTCACTCTGACATAAACACTGACATAAAACACTGTGGCATCCATCCAGGCTTCTTGCTCCCTCTCTTCCTCTCTTCCTCTCTCTCTCTCCACTTGCTTTCAGGGAAGTCAGCCAATGTGTCATGAGCAGCCCCAGCCCCATGAAGAGGCCTATGTGGGGAGGAACTGAGGCCTCCAATCAACAGCTACATGCATGAGCTCCACCATGCCTGATGTGAAGGCAGCCCCAGCTCACACTTTGATTATAGCCTCATGAGAGACCCTGAGTGGAGGACCAGCTCAGCTGCTCCCAGATTCCTGACCTACAGATATGATATAATAAATACTTGTTTTTTTATCTATTAAAGTTTGGGGTAACTTGTTATGCAGTAATAGATACTACTGCACATGCTGAAGTATTTTGGGGTGAAGAATCATCATGTTTGCAAGTAACTCTCATGGTTTCACAAAAATTTACAGAGAAAGGAAAGGGTAAAGAAAATGTGGGAAGCTTTAAACAATGACTACGTCAATGGCACAAATATATGATGTTCACTGTGCCATACTGGTACATTTTCTGTAGGTTTGAAATTTTCCAAATTAAAGAGCTGGGGAGAAAAAGAGAAGAGTACAAATTTTGGAGCTGAGCTGCCTCGATTTGAATCTGGACTTTATTTACCAGCTGTGTGTCCTTAGGGATACTTAACCTCTCTTTGCCTCAGTTTCTGCGTCTGTGCAATGGGGATAAGATAAGATCGATCTCATAGGATTGTGGTGAGTGGATTGATGTATACACAGCTCTTAAATCAGGGCCTGGCTCCCCATAGGATACACCTTTAATATGCCATGCTCTCTTTGAAACCCCTGAGCCTGGCACGCAGACCTGGCAAATAGTAAGCCCACAAGAAATATTTGTAGAATGAATGAATGAATGAGTTGATTTTCTAACCAGTGGTTTGCAAGCTTCTCTTGGTTTTGAAAAGTTCCTCTGTTAGCTAATGTGGCCGGAAAGGTCTCTCTGGAATTCAAGAATTCCAAATTGCCTTGCTGGAAGTACGTCCTGAAAGGTTGGATTTAAAAAGGACAAAAAAAAAAAAAAAAAAATCAAGGCATGATGAAATGTGTGCATTGGACTCTCAACCCAGAAAACCAAGGAGAAACAGACAATTATAGGTTTCTGTTGCAAACAACAGGGCCACTCTGTAGACTGGCTTTCCTGTGTGCCAGGCAGAAAATCGCCGCCAATCCTAAAACAAAAATCTGTACTATAAGATAATAGTAACTAACCCTTATTAAGTGTGTACACTGTTCCAGGCACTATCCTAAATGCATTACAGCTAGTAATTCATTTAATTTTTACAACAACCCAAAAGTGAGTACTCACTCTTCCCACTATACAGATGAGACACAGAGAAGTGAAGCAACTGGCTCAAGGACACACAGCTTAGGAAACTGTGATCTCAGGCAGTCTCAGAACAAATCCTTGTAAATTAAAAATGTATGACGATTATAAACTCCTTTTTCTCGATGAAGTTCCTCCCATAGATTCATGTACATGAGTTCAACTCCAATGCCCTAACTGCAGAGATTTTTTTTTCTTCTGAAATGTGAGCTAGATACGTCTGTACTTTTTATATACACAAAGGGATTTATTACTTTGCAGTCAAACTGCTTCAGAGCAGTGTTGTCTCTTTCTTCACAGGGCAAGGCTTATAGATTAAAAGCGCTCCCCATTCTGGCCGGCACTTAGCTGGGGCACTTAAAATCACTTTGGACTGCGCCCCGAGCTGACCTTTCCAAACTGCTTTCCAGGCATCACTGCTTCTGGGACCCGAGCGGGCTTGAACACAAGGGCTCTGCTCTTGTAAATGGAGCCACAAATTATTCCAGGCATGAGGCAGAAAAGAAATCCCCGAATCGCAAAACTAAAGTGCCAGCTGGGATGGCCTTCTGGGGAGTTACAGAACCGTCGAGGGAAAGCGGGGGACGGGACACCCCTCCGGTCAGCCTAGGAGAAACAGATCAGGGGAGGGGAGCCAGCCTCCTTCTCCTGTTCTGCTGGGAGAAGGGTTTGAGTCTGATGTCGTTTCACAATATTAATAACAGCAATATTTAATAACCACGTGTTCTGAGAGAAAGACACCTGCCTTTGTGGGAGGAAATGGTGGCCCTTTTATCCCCAAACCCAAATGCAGTCATTTTCCCTCTAAGTGTCTAATGGATAATGATGATGATTCTGAGAACAGCCATTTAATAAGGGCTATTTATTCATTTATTTTTATTGAGACGGATTCTTGCTCTGTCACCCAAGCTGGAGGGCCATGGCGTGATGTTGGCCCACTGCAACCTCTGCCTCCCGGGTTCAAGCGATTTTCCTGCGTCAGCCTTCCGAGTAGCTGGGACTACAAGCGTGTGCCACCACACCCAGCTAATTTTTGTATTTTTAGTACAGGCAGGGTTTTGCCATGTTAACCAGGATGGTCTTGAACTCCTGGCCTCAGGCGATCTGCCTGCCTAGGCCTCCCAAGTGCTGGGATTATAGGCGTGAACCACTGCACCTGGCCTAATAAGGCTTTTTTTAAATGTCATCATTAACCCCTCCTTGTTAATAACATACTATAGGCTGACCAGCCCTTATCCCAAATGCATGGGACTGGAAGTGTTTAGGATTTCAGACTTTTTCAGACTTTGGAATATTTGCATTATATATACACTCAGCAGTTGAGCACTCTGAATCTGAAAATCCAAAATCCAAAATGCTCCCGTGAGCACTGCCCTTGAGCCGCATGTCAGCACTCAAAAAGTTTCAGATTTTGGAGTATTTTGCATTTCAGATTTTCAGATTGCAGATGGTCAATCTAAACTACTACTACCGAATAATAATACTTATTATTATGATGTTGCAATATAATATAATCTATGTTATTATAACATATTATATTAATATAACGAACTATTGCAACATAATATTACAAATACATAATAATAATTATTTATTTGACATTTATTGAGAGTTTACTACGTGCCAGGAACTCTCCTCAGGACTTACCATGATTTATTTAATTCATATAACAGCCCTGTAAGCAGGTACTAATATTAGCCCCATTTTTTCCCATGAGGAGTCCAAGGCACAGAGAGGTGACGTCATGTGCACAAGGTCACATGGCCACTAAGTGGATTACCATTCCACTAAGGCACTTGCTATCATGGTGCCCAGTTTCCAAGAGAGGAAGATGAGTTTCAGGAGTGGATGTCCCTTGAAGACAGTCACAGTAACAATAGTAATTAATAACATCGTCATTTATTGAGCACTTCTTAGGCGCCAAACACTATCCCATTTAATCGTCATGACAACTCTGCAAAGTAGGTGCCAGCACAAAGTCATTTAACAGAGGAGACTGAGGCCCAGAGAGGTGCGGCAGGTCACACAGCCAGTGCATGGGACAGCAAGGATTCAAATCTAGGCTAATTCTGTTGGTGACAGCCTGTGCAAACAGATGCTACAAAAATGTTCCCAGCAGGCTGCCCTGGTGGAGCATCACACAAGAGCCTGGAGATCTGCTTCCTGCACTCACTCTACATAGCAAAGGTTTGGCCCTGAGTAGAGCTGATGCAGGGGAAATGTGCTCCACGCCCCAGCTAAGTCTTAGCCACTCCCGTCTAGACTGGTGCGCAACCTCCTCCCTCTCCCTGCCTCCAGACTCAGCGTCTCCAGTCTTGCTTCCTAGCACTACCCTAGGGTATGATTAGAATATAATCAGGGACTTTGCTTATTCACATAGTAGTTGCTCAGTAAATATGTGTTGGATGAATGAATTTAAAAATGCAAATCTAACCATAGCTCTTTCCTCTTTGAATCACTTGACATTCAAGGATTTCAATCATCTGGCCTCTGCTCAATCCTCCAACCTCAACCACCTACCCATCTCCTGGTCCAATTCCTTGTGATCCACTTCTCTCCCTCTGGGCCTTTGCTCATGCTGTTCTCTCTGCCAGAGATTCCCTTCCTCCCATTCTATTTCCCCTGTCCCATCCAATAAATTTCCACCCAGTGCACATAATCAAGTTTGAATGAACGGTCTTCTAGGTGGATCTAGTGGACATCTGTTGTCTGTACCTGCCCAGCATCCACCTCCTCTTCCCTAGCAGCATCCTCACTTTCCCTTGGAGAGCCTCTCCCGCTTCACCCTCCCTCCACATCCTTTGGATGGAGCTGATCACTTTCGCGTCCCACAGTGCTATTTGTGGAGGGATGTGCCCACGACCTAACTGGGCTAGTTTGAGTCAATCCTTGAATTCTGGGAGAGCTACTGGGAAAGAGGAGCCCTCTTTCTGCTGCCACTGCCAGTCCTCAGGATGATGAACACCTAGAAGGGCTGGGGACCACCACGACAAGGAAGCTGGCCAGGAGGAAGGTGACACAGAGGAAAACAGAGCCAAGAGACATGGGTGAGTGGGGACGGGGTGAGAGAGAGAGACTATGTTGATGTTGTTTGAGTGCCTGGATACAGCCATGCCTGCAGGTAGCATTTCAGTTTCATGAGCCAATTAAGTCTCTTTCTTTTGTTTGTTTCAACGGCTTTGACATTTCTGCCAATTGCCACCCAAAATGCTCTCATAAATGCAGACACTCCACTGTCAGTGCCTCCGAGCCATGCTTAGCTTTTTCAGAGATCTCAGAACACTTTGCTAATGATCAGTTGAAGCATCTCTGGCACTGTCACGTGAGGTCTTGAGAGCATGGGCTAAGCCTCACTTATCTCCAAATTCCCAGCAACCAGAACAGGGCCTGCTCCAGGCAGGGGTTTGTTAAATACTGTGGGGTAAATTCATTCATTCATCCAACACTTTTTAATTGAGCATATACAATGTGCCAGGCACTGTTCTAGGTGAGCACAAATGTCTTCCTGCCTCTCTCATTACTCTCTGGGCCCCGGTGACCTTGTGTATTTCTGCAAAAGCCCCATAGGCAAGACTAAAGCACAGTCCAACCCAAATCTTGACGGAAGGCCCTAGGATCCTGCGTGGGGTGCTGCAAGACAGCAGTCCTGTGAGGAGCTGTAGCACGGTCATTTCTCATCGGCCTCCCTCGTTCTAGTGAGACTTGGCGCTTTCCATCTTGCCCCACTTTGGTACAGATGAAGACTACAAAACCACTTAGCTGTGTCCAGAGTTGCTTCCTCAATAACAGAGTGACCCACCACTGATGCCATCTGTTGTCTGGCCCTTCCAGTTTGGGGTCACCCTGTGGGACTAGGATGTGGGAGCCAACACCAACCTGATCTTGCCCACTGTGAAGTAAGAACCCACCTACATCCATCTGGAGTGTTGTCTCCTTATGGGCCAGATCTGTGGAAGTGTGGCCAGCCGATCCAACAGCTGCCACCACGCTGCTGCTGAGGGCCTCTAGCCTCTTTGCACGGATGTTCTCCTCCTGCCCCAGCTGTCTAGGCCAGCTACCTGCCTGACCTGCCCTGAGCTCACATCGAGGGAGTCCTTACTACGTTCTCAGCAGGGAGCCAAGCACCTAGTCTGCCTTTTCTGGTTTAAATCTCAAATGATCTGATGAGGCAGGAATTAATCAGCCATTAGTATTCCACCTATAGGGGCAAAAACTGAGGTTCACAGGAAAGTAAGCCCCTTGTATTAGTCTGTTCTCACACAGCTATAAAGATATACCTGAGACAGTAATTTATAAATAAAGGAGGTTTAATTGACTCACAGTTCTGCGTGGCTGGGGAGGCCTCAGGAAACACAATCATGTTGGAAGGGAAAGGGGAAGCAAGACACATCTTACACAGTGGCAGGACAGAGAGGGGGTGGTCGTGGTGAGGGAGACTGCCAAACACTTTATTTTTTAATATTTTTTGAGACAGAGGCTCACTCTGTTGCTCAGCTGGAGTGCAGTGGCTCGATCTCGGCTCACTGCAACCTCTGCCTCCTGGGTTCAAGCGATTCTCCTGCCTCAGCCATCCACGTAGCTAGGAATACAGGCACCCGCCACCACGCCTGGCTGATTTTTTTTGTATTTTTACTAGAGACAGGGTTTCGCCACATTGGCCAGGCTGGTCTCGAACTCCTGACCTCAGATGATTCACCCACCTCCGCCTCCCAAAGTGCCGGGATTACAGGCTTGAGCCACCGCACCTGGCCAGTGCCAAACACTTTAACAGCATCAGCTCTCATGAACACTCACTCACTATCACCAGACCAGCATGGGAGAAAATGCCCCCAAGATCCAATCACCTCCCACCAGGTCCCTCCCTTGGCACATGGGAATTACAATTCAAGATGAGATTTGGGTGGGGACACAAAGCCAAACCATATCACCCCTCACCTACATCTAACAGAGCTGGGGTTTAAACTCTATTCCAGAGCCCACATCCTTTAAAGCCATGTACCACTTGGTGGGGGGAGCAGAGGTGGTGGCACTAGGCTTGGAGGATGGTGGCATTTAGCTATGCAGAGACTGGAAGGTGAGCATGACCATAAAAGAGGGTACGCCAGGTGGAGGAAGTAGACGGACTGAGCCTGGAGGTGCAAACCCGGGGATGGGGGGTGCACAATCATTCCATTTGGCTGATAAACGGGAGGCCAGAAAGCAGGCTTATTAGGCGGGGGGCGAGGTAGGTGGATGAAATGAAAAACAAACGACTTAATCTTGTCCCCACCCTCTGAAATTCCTGAGGGGTCCCCCGGCTAGGAGCGCTGGGCAGCTTAAGACGGTCCTGTGGCTTTTCTGGCTGCCGGGCTGGCACCCTGTGTAAATTTCAGGGGATACTAGATCACAGCGCTGAGGACACAGTGTTCAAGCTATTTGTGGCCACACGAATTAATCTCTTCCATGTGCAAAGACAGTTCCATAATTCTCCTGAGACTCCTATTGGTGGAGAAGGCAAATGCTTGATCAGCTTGGACGGCTTCTCCTCTGGACGCTCAAGCCAAATCCGGCTACTCCTGCAGCCCAGAGGGGATTGCTCAGTGGTCAGCGAAAATCCGACATGAATTACAACCCCTGGGCTTGACTGCAAAGAAGCAGAGTCAGCCACCCCAGAGATGGTGCCCTGAATGATGCCACTGGGGCCACTTCCAGGTCTGAGTATGTGAAATGGATTTAAAAACTTGCTCGTAAGAATGACAGCTCACATTTGTTGATGCTGAGTCTCTATCTGCCAGGCACTGCTTCGCTCACGTGATCTCATTTCATCCCCAAACAACCCTATGAGGAGGTATAATCATTAGTTCCATTTTACAGAGAAGAAAACTGAGAGCCAAAGAGGTTAAGTAACATGCCAGGGTTTCAGAGATAATAAGTGAAGGTGCTTGGTTCCAGAGCCTGTGCCATGTCGCCAGCGTACTTAAAAACAACAAACAAACAAACAAACAAAACATAATGAAACACCAGCCCCTCCTCTAAGACATTCACTGTGGTTAAAAAAGAGAAGATACAATCTATATTTTAGTGTTAGCCCAAGGTTAACTGGGCCGGGGTCTTCATTTGCTGCTTCTCTAAATTCAGTATTGAAAACACGTGGCACAGTTCTTAGCCCTGCTACTGACAATGATGTCAGCCTTCTCTCAGCCTCAGTGTCTTCATTTACAAAGTGGGCATCATGACAGCTAGCTGGCAGGGTGACTCAAGATAATATATATGACATGCCTAGTCATCTGAGGACAGTGGTTCTCAATTGGAGGTGAGTTTGACTCCCTGAGGGCACCTGACAATGTGTGGAGACGTTTTCGGTTATCACACTGGCACCTAATGGGTGCCAGCCTCCCACAACAGATAATGATCTGTTCCCAAATATCAGCAGGGCTGAAGCTGAGAGACCCTACGGTAGGCATTCCTAAGTGACGTTCTTGGTTAATATTATTTCTCAGAGTCATGGCGAAGACTAGATGGGCTGATATTTCCATAAGGTTCCTGGCACAGTGCCTGGCACAGAGTCAACGCGTCCAAACAGCTTGCTTCCTCCCATGTGGCCTCCCTCCCATCAAATCCAAATTGAGGGGAGAAAGGAACATAAGTGTCTCATGCAACTGTTTAATTATTTCTCTTTTAATGTGCAAGTGTGCCTTTTTTTAGTTTATGACAAGCTGCTGAATTCCTCAAGATGTTTGATCAAGAAACCTAACCAGGACCCCCTTTTTTGTCATCATCTCTCTTCCAGTTATCTTCTGGTGCTTTCTATAGCATTACCCCCACATCCCCCCATCCTCTTCCTCTCCTGAAGCCCCACAGAAGTCTCACCCTGGCAGAGGACAACTGAGCTTCGTGTATATGCATCTGGTTTGGATTCTCACGTCAAAAAAACCTGAAATTCACCCTGTCTGCACAGCAAAGTAAGTAACTTCACCTTTCTGAGCCTGTTTCCTCATCCCTAAGATGGGATTAATTAAAGGAAATAATATTATAAAAAGCCTTTAGCACAGAATCCAGTAAAGGGCAGCTATAATTATTACCTGTCTTTTATTTTTTAAAAGTTTTAGTGTTAACCAAAGGTCATATAGTACATGCATGTCATTTTAAAATTTATATACCAATGCAGAATTGATACTTATGCAAAATCTCACCTCCAGCCCTGTTCTTCAGGAGGACCACAGTCAACTTGTAACTGTTCCTCCTGGTAAGTAACTCTGCATCTCTAACTGGTATGCTGACATGGCCATTTCTTGATGTGTCAGTTTTAGGCTTGCTTTTACGCTCCTCCTATTCTGTTTCATCCAAATCAGAAACATATTTTCCTAGAATCACAAAATCTTAGCAATGGAAAAGACTTGGACATTATCTAATCCCAATATTTCCAGGCTTTTACAGAGGGGTCATTTTATAAAGAGCATTTGAACACCTAAGTTTAGGAAGGGTGTAGTCTCAAGGAACAGTCTTCTTGGATTAAAATCTCACTACTCAATTTTTTTTTTTTTAAGAGACAGTGTCTCACTATGTTGGCCAGGCTGGGCTCAAACAATCCTCTCACCTCGGTCTCTCAATGCACTAGGATTACAGATGTGAGCCACCGCACCCAGCCTCAGTCCTCTTTGCTCTCATTTCATCATGGATGAGTGTGAGAGCTGGCACAGAGCGGACCCTGCACAAGGCCCAGTGTTTATGAGCCTCTGCTCAAGTCCTGTGTCCTATCTTAAAGCTGGACTCCCTGTATCATCACCCGGGCTCTGCTTGCATGCTTCTGAGGACAGTCCACTCACTACTGCATGAGCCAACCTCCTCATAGTGCCAGAGGCTCTAAATGGTGTGAAGTTGAAACCATCCTTGCAATCTTTTATCATATGGCCCTAGTTCATCCCTGAGAACACAAATTTCCTCAAAAAAAAAGCCCCTTCTCAGTCCACAAGCTTTTTCTCCTGCCTCCCATCTTCCCGTGTTACTAGGGACTCATCCATCAATAGCCCTGTGCTCCCTCCAGCCTCAAGATGCAATTCTCCTGCTATAAACAGTTCCCAGTTCCTTCAGAGAAGCTTCCACAGGACTATAGCAGTTTAAATCCTTCCAAAGTTAGTTTTGTCTGCCCTCTCCTCCTTCCAGGTTTCAGGAAAAACTTTAAGTGAATTTTCTTTTCTTCTTTTTTTTTTTTTTTTTTTTGCACAACTTATTTGTGATGGCAAAGCACGTCTCCAGGGCTCTCCCACCCCACCGTTCCCTGAGCCTGCTCCAAACCCTCGGGAACAATGCTTCCATTTTGCTATTTTCTTGCAAGTTTCTCTCCTTATGATAGTCTGCCCTTGCTAAAAGTAGCTGTTGGCAGAAGGATCTGCATTTAAAGTAGCCTTAGTGGGAGACCGGGGCCAGAACACAATGTGCTCTTGTTGGAGGGGAGAATTTGCTTGTAGTTCAGAGGTAGAGGCCCCTAACATCGGCACAGCACCGCTTCCGGGCCACACAACCTTCTAGAACTCTGTCTGTATAGCAGTCCCTGAAAGCCACCCCATCTGCATCCTGACTCAGCAGATGAGGAAAGGGAGCTTCAACATGGGTGAGGTCAGCTTTCCGTGAGCAAATGTTACATCGACAATCCAAGCGTTGGTGATTTTGCACACCGGCACTGTGTGCCAGGCACCACACAGAAAAATAACTCTCATCTTTGCAACAGCTCCCGGAGGGCACAGAGTCCAGGGGGTGGTGATGGGCCCAGGCTCTGGCATCAAACAGACTTGGCTTCAACTTCTGTTTCTGGCATTTACTGGCTGCCTAAGATTTCTGGGCCTCTCTGAACCTCAGTCTCTTTGTCTATAAAATGGGGAAAACAGTACTTATCTTATAGGGCTCCAGTGAGGAAAAAATGAGACCTGTAAGGCACTCATCACAGCCTCTGATGCTCAGCAGGTGATTAATAAATAGTAGATGTCATTACTACTCTCCTCCCATTTATGTATGAGGAAAATAAGGTTCACGAAGCTTAAGAGTGGCCAAAGCAGTACTTGAAAGATCAGAGACACATGCTCACAGCAGACTTTGCTGAGGGTTTCAGGTTCCCATTTTTCCATTTATTCAAACTCACGTCCTGGAACTCACTGAACACAGTGATGAAGTCAGTAAAAGCAGTCTCTGAGCCAGACCACCTAGGTTCAAATCCCACCTCCTCCAGTGCAGAGCTGAGTAATGTAGGGCAAGACATTTACCCTTTATGTCTCTGTTCCTCACTTGTAAAGTGAGAATAATTACAATACCTACTTCACAGAGTTGCAGGGAGAGTAAATATAGTTGGAGAGCTTAAAACAGTGTCTGCAGCATAGTAAATGCTACATGAGTATTATCTGTTATTATTGTTTGTGATAATTCTAAGTGTTCTATTGATTCGGGTCACGGTTAGGGTTACTATGTGCACTTCACTGCATTACCTCACCCGATCCTCATACACCTTTGGAGACAGGTACTAGCGACTCGTATTTTATAGGTGACAAAACCTATAGGGTTAAAGAGCTGAGTGACCTGCCCAAGGTCACACGTTTAGTAAGAGGGCAGGGCATTGATATGGTTTGGCTGTGTCCCCACCCAAATCTCATCTTGAACTGTAGCTCCCATAATTCCCACGTGTTGTAGGAGGGGCCCAGTGGGAGATAGTTGAATCATCTGGGTGATTTCCTCCATACTGTTCTCGTGGTAGTGAATAAGTCTCACGAGATCTGATAGTTTTATAAGGGGTTTCCCCTTTTGATTGGCTCTCATTCTCTCTTGCATGCCGCCATGTAAGATGTGCCCTTTTGCCTTCTGCCATGATTGTGAGGCCTCCCCAGTCACATGGAACTGTGAGTCCATTAAACCTCTTTTTCTTTATAAATTACCTAGTCTCAGGTATGTATTTATTAGCAGCGTGAGAACAGATTAATACAGCCATGCTGTGAACTCAGCTCTGAAACTGCAACACGTAACCACTGCACCACACTACTTCCTCGCTGCTGCAGCGGGAGATCCCGGCGGGGCTCATATGTCACACTGTCCACTGAGCACTTGTTCTGCAAGGCCTTCTGCTCACCAGAGGTGACCTGGGTAATTTTCCTGACTGAGGGAAGGGGCATCTGTGATTTCCAATGTAAGCACACAGGGTCAGTTCTGCTCTTGTGCTGAAATGAATTTCAGACCTTCCTATGTGTTGGTAAACTCAACTTAGGGCAGACACGCCCAGCACGAGGCTACCTTCCCAAAGCACTTCTGGGCTCCCATCAAGGAAAATGACTGCCACTGAAGAATGGCCCATGTCCTTGCCCATGACACAGCACCCCATGCCTGCTGGGCCATCCTCTGTGGGCCACAAGCTGACCTGCATTTATTTATTAGTCTCAGGTACCCCATGGCACCTGCTTTCCCCCAGAATAACTAAGAAGGAGCAACCAGAGGAAAAGGAACCCAGGACATGCAGAGCAACGTGTGCAGCAACCAGTGAGCCCACGGCAACTCTGCTCCCACACCCAAGGTGTTGCATTTATTTTTAATTAGGCACGGCAGTCACATAATTCAAAAATTAAAATTATAAAGAGATATAGTGGAAAAGTCTCATTTCTATCCCTACCACCCTCCACAGCCACTTTCATTAGTGTGATGGTTAATTTTACATGTCAGCTTGATTGGCCACAGGGTGCCCAGATGAAACATTATTTCTAGGTATCCCTGTGAGGGTGTTTCTGGATGAGATGAGAATTTGAATCAGTGGACTCAGTAAAGTACATGGCCCTCCCCAAAGTGGGTGGGCA
Source organism: Homo sapiens (assembly GCF_000001405.40). Lineage (NCBI taxonomy): Eukaryota > Metazoa > Chordata > Mammalia > Primates > Hominidae > Homo > Homo sapiens. Next base: position 46,926,546 of record NC_000020.11, on the reverse strand, counting down.
CCATCCAATCCACTGAGGACATGAACAGAACAAAAGGAAGAAGAAGAAGGAATTTCTCCCTTCTTTTCCTGTCTCATTGCTTGAACTGGGACATCTCATCTCATCTTCCCCTGCCCTTGAACTGTGATTGATACCATTAGTTTCTTTGGTTCTCAGGTCTTTGAAATGGGACAGAATTACACCACTGGCTTGCCTGGGTCTCCAGGTTGCAAATGGCAGATCATGAGATTTCTCAGCCTCCATAATTGAATGACTGCATGAACCAATCCTTTATAATAAATCAACCCCCCTCTCTATATCACTGTATGTGTGTACGTATATATTTCCTATTTTTTTCTGTTTCTCTGGAAAAATCCTAATTAATAGTTAATTAGTCCTAATAATTAATTTCTTGCGTAGCCTTTCAAATTTTCTTTATGTAAACAGAAGCAAATGTGGATGTATATTCTTATTCACTCCGCACTTGCTTCTTAAACGAATAGTAGCATGCTATATTACCTCCTTTCAGTAATATTTTTCCAGGGGTTTTTATCAAATTGGTGCCTGGAAAGTATGGTCATTTTGTTTTACAGCTGCATAATTTTCCATTGCATGGAGATACCAAGTTATGTGACCAATTCTCTATTATCTGTGAGCACCTGGACAGTTCCCAAACTTCTGCTGTTACAAATAAGGCTGCAATAAACACTGAGTTACAAGTGCTACTTTGCACACATACAATTGCAGTAAATTCCTAGGAACAGATTGCTAGATTAAAGGAGGGTGCACTTGTAATCTGGATGGGCCACGCCAATCTGCCCTCCAAAAGGACCGTAGTGACACACACTCCTCCTAACAATAGATGAGAGTGTCTGTTTCCCCACAGCCTCACCAGCAGAGTATGTTCATAAACTTTGAAATTGTTCTCGATTTTATGGGTGGATTTTAATTGCATATCTCTTTTTTAAGTGAGATCGAACATATTTTCAAATATTTAAAAGTCATTTGTATTTCCTTTCCTGTGAATTGCCTGTTCATACCTTCCATCCATTTCTCTAATGGATTATTGTTACTGTTTTCTGATCAATTTCTAGGAACTCTCTTTCCTATGCCGGAGAAACCAGCCTCTTTTTTTGTCATATGAACTGCAAAGATTTCCCCCAGTTTGTCATTTATCTTTTGATTTTGCATATGGTATTTGCATTATGCTGAGGTGTTTTATTTTTACATAGGGCCAGTCATGAATCTTTTCTTTCCTAGCCCTTGAGTGCTTGAGTAAACTTCTGCTATGGATTGAATTGTGTTCCGCCAAAGGACATATTAAAGTTGTCACCCTCTGGCCTTATTTGGAAATAGGGTCATTGTGGATGTGATTAGTTAAGATGAGGTCATATTGGAGTTATATGGGTCCTCAATCCAATGTGACTGGTGTCCTTATAAAAAGCTGCATGAAGACATACAGGGACAAGGCCATGTGATGACAGAGGCAGAGATTGGGGTGACATGGCTACAAGCCAAAGAATGCCAAGGACGGATGGCCACCACCAAAGCCAGGAGGAGGTGAGGAAGAATTCTACCTAGGCTCAGGGAGAACGGCTCTGCTAACACCTTGCAGGCTCTCTGGAGACTTCCACCTCCGGAGAGAGTAAATTTCTGTTGTTTAAAGTCACCAAGTTTGCTGTACTTTTTTACATCAGTCCCAGGAAACTAACACAGCCTCCTTGGTCTGAGTTTCCAGTCTAACATTACCAAACTCATTCTTCCAAGTTCTGAAGATTAGGGAGGTGAAACATAATGGAAGCATCATGCATTGGTGATAGAGAAGGGTTTATTCTGGTTACTGCCTTAGAGGAAAGGAATTACCCACTTGGGGCTTTTTTTTTTTTTTTTTTTTTTTTGAGATGGAGTCTCGCTCTATTGGCCAGGCTGGAGTGCAGTGGCGCGATTTCGGCTCACTGCAAGCTCCGCCTCCTGGGTTCACGCCATTCTCCTGCCTCAGCCTCCTGAGTAGCTGGGACTACAGGCGCCCGCCACCACGCCTGGCTAATTTTTTGTATTTTTAGTACAGATGGGTTTTCACCGTGTTAGCCAGGATGGTCTCGATCTCCTGACCTCGCGATCCACCCACCTCGGCCTCCCAAAGTGCTGGGATTACAGGCGTGAGCCAGCGTGCCCGGCCTACACTTGGGGCCTTTCTGAATGATAGTGTTAAGAAAGCAGGGACCACAGACGGGAAAGTGTCACCTTGACCCAAACATTTTAAACTTGAGAGGAGTTTCCAGCTGCAGTGGCTGAAACTTTAGTCCTTCCCAGCCTCTGCCATCTCCATGTGCCACCCATACCGTGCACTGTCACCACCTTAATATTTTCTTTGAATTGACTCACTTCCTAAAACAAGTTAAAAATAAACTTAAATTAATATACCTAAAAAGGAACTTTTAAAAATCACAAATATAAATCACTGTCAAAAAATAGAAGATAACTAGAAAAATTAATATGAGGAATCCCCCATGAAAGATAGATCTTTCTAGAGGCCACTGCTTGCCTGATGACTCTCTTTGTTATACAAAGAGAATTAGCAAGTGTTTGGTGTTAAAAACCAAACCATCCAGCACCAACTTAAGATTCTCTTTTGGGCTTAATTAAAAGAGCTGAAAGTTAGCAAAATGAGATTTAAAAAAAATCACTAAGGCGTTCCATGTTTTGAGAAATACTGTTTTAGTAAACAAGAGTGCAGGTTTTGGAGAGAGGCTGACCTATGTGATGGCAGTACAAAGAATACTCACAGATCTTTTACCCAGATGCATCTGCTGTTAATGTTTCACCCATGTGCTTACCAATTCCCTCTCTCTCTCTCCACACACACACACACACCCAGCACACGTGTATTATTTTTCTTTTGTGCATCATTTCAGAGTTACATGCATAATGGCCTTTTACTCGTAAATATTCCAATGGTATTTCCCAAGAAAAATAACATTCTCTTATAGAATCTCCGGTTTATTACCCACTTCAATCACTTTAACACTGACACAATATTTTAACCAATCCATTCTCCACAGTACAATTTGTCAATTCACCAATAATTTCCTGTATCACATCTCCCCCTCTATCTAGAATCCAGTCTAGAACTGGGTACTGTATTTAGTTGTCCTATCCCTTCAGATTCCTTTGGTCTAGAACATTTCTTTTGTTTGTTTTTTAAGTCAGAGTCTCACTCTGTCACCCAGGCTGGAGTGCAGTGGCACGATCTTGGCTCACTGCAACCTCTGCCTCCCAGGTTCAAGCAATTCTCATGTCTCAGCCTCTGAGTAGCTGGTATTACAGGTGTCTGCCACCACGCCTGGCTAATTTGTATTTTTAGTAGAGACAGGGTTTCACCATGTTGCCCAGGCTGGTTTCAAACTCCTGGCCTCAAGTGATCCGCCCGCCTCAGCCTCCCAAAGTGCTTGGATTACAGGCACTAGCCACCGTGCCCGGCCTCATCTAGAACATTTCTTCAGTCTTTTTCTGTACTTTGCAACATCGGCATTTTTGAAGAAGAAGGTACCTTTTTTTGAAATGGAATGTTCCTCATTCTAGGTTTGTCTGCTCTTTTCTTATTAGATTCGGGTCATGCACCCTCCCAGAATACTGCATGGGTGATGCTGCGTCCTTCTCCGGACATCCTGTCTATCTGCCTCTCAGTGATGACATTGATACAGATCACCAATTTCTGCACTGCATAGTGACTATTATTTTCTCTTAAAATTTATAAGCCATCGTGAAGAGATCACTTAAGACCATGCAAAATGCTACTCCTTATCAACATCCCCACCCCAAATTCAGCATCTATTGATGATGATTCTTGACTGAACCAATCTTTATTATAGTGGTCGCAACATGGTGTGTTTCTTACCCAGCTCTCCCCCACAATTCTAGCTGGTCCTCGGCATTCGACTGTAAGCACAAAACCTCCCTCCTCCCTATTTACTTATTTACCTATTTATTAGTGGTATATATTCATAGGTTTGTATTTTTTCAATGGTTTATAATTCACTATTTGATGCTCTAATTGTCTCAGATGGAAGCCTGCTGTTGTTACATTTCAAAATTCACTGTTTACTTGAATATGAAACAATCGGTGCCCCTAGTAAAACATTTTGGAATGTACAGTAGAGTATACACAGTAAAAAACTAAGAATCTCCTTTTCCCCATTTCCTTTCCCCTGGGTAACTACAGTTAACTATTTCCTCTCTTATCTACCAGAGATTTTCTAGGCACCTAAAATTACCATTAGTGTAACTCTTCTGATTACTCTGTGATGTAGTTAAGAGTTTTCTCTGACCTTGCTTGGGTTGTTCATTAAATCAATTAGCACTCCTGTCCTCCGGGGTGATGATGTCCTGGGTATTAAAAACTGTTCTCCAAACTGAAAGCTGGTGAGGATGCTCCAAGTGGAAAATGCACTAGAACAGGTGTTAGGAAACGCAGGTTCCAGCCTCAACTTGCTTCCCTTCTCTTCTGTGCCTCAAATCCCTCTTCACTGAAATTAGGCCAGTGCTGTGTCTAGTAGACATGAGTCTGATTGCTATGAAAACACTTACAAGAGGGTTTCATACATGAAAGGGAGTTTTACTGTGATCAGAGGAAGCAGGGCAACTTAGTAAATGCAAAACCACCTGTATTAGTTTATAGCAATTGGGAGAAGACTCCATTCAAACTTCTTTAAGTAAAAAAGAAATAATGTATTGGCTAATATAAGGGAATAACACATGGTATCTAGCTTCAGGAACAGCTGGATCCAGGTGCTCAAATGAGGTCATTGGGAATCTTTTGCCCTCCATATCTTGTCTCTGTCTTCCTTTGAGTTGCCTTTAGTTTCAGGCAGGCTTCCCCTAAGCAAGATGGCTACATTCTATGAGTTTAGCAACCCAGAGAAAAGAGGGCATCATTCCTCAACAATTCCAGCAAAGTTCCCAGAATTGGGCCCCATTCAACCTGGGTCCAGTTCCTGTGCCTGAACCCTGAGGGCAGAGGCATAGCATGTTGTGACTGCCCATGGGGAGGTCACAGGTCTGCACTTAGAACTGGAGAGTGGGGTAATGGCCTGAAGGTGCAGTAGAAACGAGAAAGGAGAAGAAAGAAAAGAAAACCAGGAGATGAATGGATGCCAGCTGGGCAAGATAAGCATCACGTACTGCAGAGGACTACAAATGGACATGAGGAAAATAAATGTGGAGACTGTTTGTAAACTGTAATATACTATGCAAGCCTAAGAGGTTACCCTCCAGCCCTCAACAGGGCCTAGAATCCAGTCCCAAGGAAACATCTGTGCTTGCCTGGTCTCACCTACGAGGCTCCAAGCTCTCTGAGGCGAGGGCCGGCGCATTGCTGGCTCCAAGTCTCCACAGCCCTGTGTCAGCCTCCCCACTGAGAAGGCGCCCCTACTAAGAGCCAGCGGAGGTGTGGGCACAGCTAGAGTTCTGGCAGGGTTAGAGAAATGGCATCTACCCAGCCTCCAAGCCTGGAAGAAGAGACCGCAGGGTCAACAATGGGCAGACTTTCAGAGGTGACACCTCGCTCAACAGGGAGCTATGATTAGCAGTTAGATGAGGGGCATCTGAATTGGTTAAGAAAATGGAAAGGAAAGCTGCATTGTGCTGAAACCAAAAGAGGTGAGCAGAGCCCATGAAGAGATGCCGTACTAACCAAGGCCATCCTGGGTGGCACCAGTTTCTCCCAGAGAGATGATGAGTCCTGAGCTCCCTGGAAAATCAGTAAGGGCAGGCTCTGGCCCTCTGGAGAGGTCCCAGGACACATCCTTGAGATGTGGCTCTGGTTTTTGCATTTGTGTCCCTGGGGCCTGGAATGAGGGAGACACACTGGCCCCACCCCATGAAGGGGAAATGGTGAAGTGACTTGGAAAGAAGTCAGAGGGGAGCTCAGAGATTTCCCCAATGGACCTGATAAGATCTCCAGAGGAGCTTGAAGTTGTCTGATGATTCTCAGACTCTGGGATTCCACCAACTAGAAAATCTCCCTCCCGAAAAAAAGCAATACAAAGAAAAAAACTGGGAGAACCCACAAAAGGAGGCTGCCATTTTGATTTGTCCAGTGAAACATTTAAAAACAAAAAATGAGAAATTTTAGTCATAAAAAGATAACGTGTCACGTCCTCAAAATAGGAAGAAAATAAAAATAACAGACCATTTTTTAAATTGGAACAGTATACGGGCACACCTTGGAGATATCGTGGGCTTGGTTCCAGATCACCGCAATAAAGCAAATACAGGAAGACCTCGTTTTATTGCTTTGCTTTATTGTACTTTGCAGATACTGTTTTTTTTTTTAAACAAATTAAAGTTTTGTGGCAATCCTACATTGAGCAAGTTTATCAGTGTCATTTTCATGTCTCTGTGTCACAGTTTGGTAATTCTCTCAATATTTCAAAGTTTTTTCATTGCTATTATATCTGTTATGGAGATCTGTGATCAGTGATCTTTGATATTATTCATAATTGATTTGGGCACCACAAACTGTGCCCATATAAGATGGTGAACTTAATGTATAAATGTTCCATGTGTTCTGACCTCAACCAACTGTTCCCCTACCTCTCTCCCTCTGCTCAGGCCTCCCCATTCCGTGAAACACAAGAGTACTGAAACTGGGCCAATCCACAATCCAACAATGGCCTCTGAGTGCTCAAGTGAAAGGAAGAGTCGCATGGCTTTCACTTTAAATCAAAAGCTAGAAACGATTAAGCTTAGTGAGGAAGGCATGTCGAAAGCTGAGACAGGATGAAAGCTAGGCCTCTTGCAACAAATGTTTAGCCAAGTTGTGAATGCAAAGGAAAAATTTTTGAAGGAAATTAAAAGTGCTACTCCCGTGAACACACGAGTGATAAGAAAGCAAAACAGTCTTATTGCTGATACAGAGAAAGTCTGAGTGGTCTGGATAGAAGATCAAACCAACCACAACATTCCCATACACCAAAGGCTAATCCAGGGCAAGGCCCTAACTCTCTTCAATTCTATGAAAGCTGAGAGAAATGAGGAAGCTGCAGAAGAAAAGTTTGAAGCTACCAAGAGTTCAGGAGGTTTAAGGAAAGCAGCCATCTTTATAACATAAAAGTGCAAGGCGAAGCAGCAAGTGCTGATGGACAAACTGCAGCAAGTTATCCAGAAGATCTAGCTGGGATCAGTGATGAAGGTGGCTACACTAAGCAATATATTCTTAATGCAGACAAAACAGCATTCGATTGGAAGAAGATCCCATCTAGGGCTTTCATAGCTAGAGAGGAGAAGTCAATGGTTGACTTCACAGCCTCAAACGACAGGCTGAATCTCTTGTTAAGGGCCAATGCAGCTGATAACTTTAAGTTGAAGCCAATGCTCATTTACCATTCTGAAAATCCTAGGACCCTTAAGAATGATGTTAAATCTACTCTGCCTGTGCTCTATGAACAGAATAACATAAAGCCGGGATGACAGCATGTCTGCTTACAGCATGGTTTGCTGAACATTTTAGGCTCACTGTTGAGACCTGCTGCTCAGATAAAAAGGTTTCTTTTAAAATAATACTGCTCACAACAGTCCACGTGGTCACCCAAGAGCTCTCATGGAGATATACAAGGAGATAAATGTTGTCTTCACGCCCACTAACACAGCATCCATTCTGCAGCCCATGGATCAAGGAGTAATTTTGACTTTCAAATTTTATTATTTAAGAAATGCATTTCATAAGGCCATAGCTGTCATAGGTCATGATTCCTCTGATAGATTTGGGCAAAGTAAATTGAAAACCTTCTAGAAAAGATTCACCATTCTAAGATGCCATTAGGGACATTCGTGATTCACAGGAGGAGGTAAAAATATCAATATTAGCAGGAGTTTGGAAGAAGTTGATTCTGGCCCTCATCAATGACTTTGAGAGGTTCAAGATTTCAGTGGAGGAAGTCACTGCGGATGTGGTGGAAATAGGCCAGGTGCTGGTGGCTCACGTCTGTATCCCAGCACTTTGGGAGGCCAAGGTGGATGGATCGCCTGAGTGCGGGAGTTCGAGACCACTCTGGGTAACCTGGTGAAACCCGTCTCTACTAAACTAAAAAAAATAGCCGGGCGTGGTGACATGTGCCTGTAGTCCCAGTTACTCGGGAGGCTGAGGCATGAGAATTGCTTGAGCCCCAGAGGTAGAGGTTGCAGTGAGCCGAGATCGTGCCATTGCACATCAGCTTGGGCTACAGAGTGAGATTTGTTTTGTTTTTTGAGACGGAGTCTTGCTCTGTCGCCCAGGCTGGAGTGCACTGGCGCGATCTCGGCTCACTGCAAGCTCCGCCTCCTGGGTTCACGCCATTCTCCTGCCTCAGCCTCCTGAGTAGCTGGGACTACAGGCACCTGCCACCACGCCCGGCTAATTTTTTGTATTTTTTAGTAGAGATGGGGATTCAGCGTGTTAGCCAGGATGGTCTCGATCTCCTGACCTCAGGATCCGCCCACCTCGGCTTCCCAAAGTGCTGGGATTGTGGGCGTGAGCCACCACGCCCAGCCGAGAACTGACTCTAATTTTGAAAGATGTTCTGCTTTGGGTAAAATGCTATAAAACAGCATTGCATGCTACAGAGAAATGTTTCATAAAAGGAAGAGAATGGATTCATCAATGCAGCAAACTTCATGTTTGTCTTATTTTAAGAGATTGCCACAGCCACCCCAGCCTTCAGCAACCACCGCCCTGATCAGTGAGCAGCCTTCAACAATGGGGCAAGACCCTCCACCAGCAAAAAGACTACAACTCGCTAAAGGCTCAGACGATCATTAGCGTTTTTTAGCAATGAAGTATTTTTAAGTTAAGGTACATACATTCTTTTAGACATAATAATATTGCACACTTAGTGGCCTATGTACAGTAATAGTGTAAACATAACTTTCATACATACTGGGAAACCAAAAAATTCACGTGACTTGCTTTACTGCGATATTGGCTTTATTGTGGCGTTCTGGAACCAACCCCGCAGCATCTCCAAGGAATGCCTGTAGCTTTATGAAACTCTTCACATCCACTTCGCTTTCCTCATTTTGCAATGGGCCAGTGGTCATAGTCTGTCTGACCTGAGTCCCACGTATTGGTGTTTGGCAAAAAGGTTTGTGCAGCCTGAGAGTCATGCGTTCAAATCTTCGTTTTGCCATATCCTAGTTGCCAAATCTTAAGCAAGTCACTCTGACCCTCAGTTTCCTCATCTATAAAATGGGGACAGTAATTCCCCTCTTGGCAGGGAGTCTGTGCATGCATTCGCTGCTATTTCCTGAGCACTTCCTGCGTGCCTGGCACTCTGCTAGATGCTGGAAAGGCAACCTTGAAATGACATAAACAGTCCTAGTTGAAAAGAGACAAAATTATGCAAAAGCATATACGATTAAGTATTTAACAAGTTTAAGTGCTTTGAGGAAGTACAAGATGTTAGGAAGATTTTGACTCGGGGGGAGGCTGCCCACCTGACCACTCCTGCACATGGTAAGGATCAATTATTTGTGATTTTCTCACCTCCACAAACTATATCATTTAACATATTTTTTCTTTAAATGAACTCTTTTTCCTCCTTAAATAAACTGAGCCTTGTTCTAAGAAATACTACTAATTTATGTATTTTATAGGTTATCTCTCTATATATTTTTCCTAACAGAACCAAAATGAACACATCAGTAAATAAGGAAGGGTCCAAAGCTCACTTCGAACAGTAGAGAGATAATCTTCATATGAATGTCTGGCACACAGCAGGCCTCAAAGTGTGAGCCCCCTCTCTTCTGGCCATCTGCTCTGGGAAGAAAGTGAGCATCATTTGTAAAGCCTAGCACCCCGAGCTCTCCCCTCCAAAAGCCCCCCACTATATCCCAGAAGAAAGGAAAGTCAACCTTAACCTCAATCTCAACCCAGCTCACTGACGTGGCATTAGAGTTAAAACCAACTTGGCTTTGCACCTTGGCTTAAATGTATGGTAAAGCCCAGAAGTGCCAGTCCCAGAGCCAAAGAAAAACACTTTTGTCCAATTCTACTTGGTGCAAAGTCTATAAATCAAGAACCCATCACACATGCACACACACATAATACCTTCATACTCAGATACACACACACACAAACTCACACACTTAAGCACCTACACATATTCACACAGACTCTGACACACTCACCCACATTCATATACTCACACACAGCATACTTGTCCATGCACACCCACACACACTGCACAATACATTCACATATTCACATACACCCTTTCTCGAGCAGTTAAAGACCATTTCAACTTTTAAAAACTTCTTAATTTGGTTTAATAGCATTTCAAGTTTCACAGGAGGGGGGCAGATGTAGGTCAAATAAGTTTAATGCTGCCTTAAAAAAATAAGTGGAAACTATGGCCTTGGCACGCAGGGATGGCAAGTGTAACACTGGCAGAGAAGGGGAAGGTAACCTCAGAGAGTGAAGGGGCCAGCGATTTTCAACACTGACGTATTCTCTTTGCATATGAAATTCATAGAAATTTTTTGCTCTGCCACAAAGCAATCATGCTATGTACTATTAATGTTTAAACAAGTGGTCATTTCGGTTGATCTTTTGTTTCCTTCTTTTTGATAGAGACACAGTTTCAAGAAATACTTCACTTTTCTCTTAACTGCACCCCTATAGAACTGGGAGGGAAAGCGCCATGATGACAAGTGACATTGAGCCCCCAGGTCCGGGGGTACTAGAGGGAGGGGCGGGGACTGTGGTGAACTGATGAAGACATGCTCTGGCTAAAGGGAGTGGCCATGACTGAGACCCTCAATTGTCACCATGCAGGAATGCACAGCTCATTTGGCAGATCTCCCAATGGCCCCAGAGAAGCCAGAAATCTGGGTTTTTATATGGAATCTCCTAATTTTTAAATGCCGGCAACTCATTCAAATCAAAACAATCTCAGGCCAAAGAAAGCACATCTGTAGGGTAGAGGTGGCTGCAGCCTGCCCATTTGTGACCTCTGATGAAGAAGGAAGAAAGTGGGCCTGGAATCAAGAGATCTGGGGGTATCACCAAGGCTCTGAGACCAACTTCCCATGTGGGGCTCCTCCTTGGCCTGTCTGAGCCTCAGTTTCCCCACCTGTATAATGCAAAGGCTGGCCTAGATAACATCCACGTTCTGCCACCCAGGCCTCTCTGAAAAGCACTAAGTGGAAAGAATGGCGTATCCAGGCCATGAGAGGGGCATAATTTGACACCGTTTCAAAAACTGGGAATTCAACGAGAAATGTTTCTCTTCCCCGGCTGAGGTTTTTGGAGGCAGTGGGCGTGTTTTTTAAAAAAACACAACACACCAAGTCAGGAATTTCATCAGGAAAAAACGTGGCAGCCCCGAATGGGCTCACATCTGGGGATTTGCTTGTTGCGAGTACACACTGTTCTGCCTGCCACAGGCAACAGCTCGAAGCTAGAGACACTGCTATGAGGCTGATGTGGCTCCTTTGGGAGATGGGGAGCAGTAATTGCCCCAGACTGGCCTCCTGGTGAACACAGCAGAAACACGGACAGAGGCCTCCCATCTCCGGTAGAGAAAAGAAAAGGCCAAACTGCAAAGCTCTCAAGCACGATGTCCCACGCACGGCCCCCTGTCCCCATACTCCAGCTTTGAAGGCAGGTCAGCTTTTGCCTAAAACTGAACCCAACTTTCTAATTCCCTCTCTCAAACAATCATGGTCATGATTCCCTCTGTGTGCTGAGTGTGACGATGGGGCTGGCACAGTGCTAAGTGCCTCAGCCCATTATCTCCTTGAATCTGAGAGAGGAACTCTTCTTACTCCCTGATACGGTTTGGCTGCGTCCCCACCCAAATCTCATCTTGAATTATAGTTCCCATAATCCCCACGTGTCGTGGGAGGGACTAGGTGGAGATAATTGAATCACGGGGGTGGTTTCTCCCATCCTAGTCTCACAATAGTGAGTTAGTTCTCACAAGATTTGATGGTTTTATAAGAGGCTTCCCCCTTTCCTGGGCACTGATTCTCCTCCTTCCGGCCACCATATGAAGAAGGATGTGTTTGCTTCCCCTTCCGCCATGATTGTAAGTTTTCTGAGGCCTCCCCAGACATGCTGACCTGTGAGCCAATGAAACCTCTTTCCTTTATAAATTACCCAGTTGGGTATGTCTTTATTGGCAGTGTGAGAATGGAGTAATACACACCCACTCCACAGATGAGAAAACTGAGGCTCCCATGGAGAAGCCATCAAGCGGTAGAATCTGGATTTAAGCCTGTGTCCACAGAAAAATCAAAGCCTTTATGCCACTGACTCCTATTTTTTTAAGTGTGAGTTCTACTGTGGAATATTCATCTTCATGAGGTTAATCCAACAAATTTGTCAGGGAAAAATGTGGGTGACAGATCCACTGAGCAGACCTGATGTGTGTCCAGCGTTAACCGCTGGACAGCTCTTTAGGAACGAGGGAGAGGTCTCGGCTCCTAGGTGGTTTCTTCTGCAGAGTTCTCCTGTTGTCATTTCCTCAAAACGAAGAGGAGGAACGGGACTGAGAAAGCCAAGAAAACACAGTAGGACAGCAGAGTGGTAAAGGGGTGGGAGGCCTGGCCTGGCCATGTACCAGCAGGGCCACCTTGGGCATGCTGATTAACCTCAACTCTCTGTCACATCCTTTCCAAAATGGGCGTGATAAAATGGACAGAAGGAGATGATCATATATTCAAACACCTGGCTCAATGCCAGGTCCACACGAGGTGCTCCCATCTCCTTTCCCAACCTGCTCCTCCCTCCACTGTCCCCATTTCAGCAAAGGGCAGCTCCATCCTCCCAAATGCCCAGCCCAGAGGCCTTGGAGTCACCTTGGACTCCTCTCTTCATATCCCTTCCCAGAGCCAATCCCTCAGCAAATTCTATCGGCTCTATCTTAAAAGCATATCTAGAATCCAACTCTTCTCCCTGATCCTACTGCCACCACCCTGGTCCAAGTCACCGTCACCTCCCTGTCTGAACAGTCTCTTAACGGTTTTCCTGCCCCACCCTCTGACCCCTGCAGTCTGTTCTCTTGGCAGCCAGAGGAGTTCTGCTCTACTTAAGGCAGATCATGTCCTTCCTCTGCTCAGATCCCATTCCTCCAGGGACTCCCACCTCACTCAGCTTAGAAGTCAAAAATCTGACCCTGGCCTCAAACACCCTACATTATCTGCCCCTGGCTACTTCCCTAACTACATCTCCTGCCCCTCTCCTCTCACTCAGCTCCAGCCACAATGAACTCCTGGTCATTCCTGAACACACCAGGCACAACCCCACTCAGAGCTTCTGTGTGGGCTCTTCTGCCAGATAGTTTCAGGGAGGCCTTGCCTGCCAGTGATGTGCTGCAGCCAGCCTGTACCAGCCTGCAAGAAACAATTGTTAAATGTGCATGAATGTTGTGAACTCCTTGTTAAAATCACTGTTGGGCTGTAAGTGACCATGGTGGGAGTATTTACACCACTGTAAGTGGCAGAGGCTACAAATCAGGACCTTTAATTTCCAGAGAACCAGTTTACCAGCATGCCATCACAGTGGCCACCCTATTTAAAATTAAAATTAAGGCCGGGCGCGGTGGCTCACGCCTGTAATCCCAGCACTTTGGGAGGCCGAGGCGGGTGGATCATGAGGTCAGGAGATCGAGACCATCCTGGCTAACAAGGTGAAACCCCGTCTCTACTAAAAATACAAAAAATTAGCCGGGCGCGGTGGCGGGCGCCTGTAGTCCCAGCTACTCGGGAGGCTGAGGCAGGAGAATGGCGTGAACCCGGGAAGCGGAGCTTGCAGTGAGCCGAGATTGCGCCACTGCAGTCCGCAGTCCGGCCTGGGCGACAGAGCGAGACTCCGTCTCAAAAAAAAAGAAAAAAAAAAAAAATTAAAAATTCCTCTTCCCTGTTCTACCTCAATGTTTCCCATCAACCTCCCTCCCCTCTACTTACTTTTTCCCCATAGCAATGCCAAGACTGTCTTACTATTTGCTTTTTTATTGTCTATCTTCTTTCCCCCCTAAACAAAAGCTCCATGAGGGCAAGGACTTGTCAGTTTTGTACATAGCTGCTTGCCAAGTGCCTGGAACAGTGGCTGCCTCATAGAAGTGTTCAATAAATATGTGTTGAATGGATGAATGGCAGCTGTTACAGTTATCATGGGAAACCTTCACATGGATGGTATTTCAGACACTCGACAGGATTTGTAACACTAGGGGAAGGCCAAAAAGAAAAAAAAGTCTCACCTCGTACACAGTACTAGCCTAGGGAAAAATGAGATTCCTCCCTGAATATCCATGCCTTTGAGTTTCCATGGTAGACCACGGTTAGCAGTTGCGAACATGTAGTAGGCAACATTTTGAAACTCACTAAGCCTCAGCTCACAGAACCAGAGCTGGAGGAGACATAAGAGACATCCAGAGGTCATTTGGTCCTTCTGCTCACTCTCCAACAAGCCCAACCACTGCCCATGCTCCACCTTCTATTTGCAAGATTATTTATTGATACATAACAATTGTATGTATTTATGGGGGGTCCATGTGATATTCTGATACATGCATACAATGTGTGATGATCAAATCAGGGTATTTAGAATATCCGTCACCTCAAACATTTAACATTGCTTTGTGTTGGGAACATTTCAATCTTTTCTTCCAGCTATTTTGATATAGAACATATTGTTGACTACAGTCACCCTACTGTGCTTTTGAACACTAGAACTTTTCTTTCTATGTAGCTGTATGTTTCTACCCATTAGCCAGCTTCTCTTCATCACCCCCACCTTTCCAGCCACTGGGAACCCTCATTCTACTCTTTACCTCCACGAGATCGAGTTTTCCAGTTCCCACACACAAGTGGGAACATGAGATATTTGTGTTTCTGCATCTGGCTTATTTCACTTAACATAATGTCCTCCAGTTCCATCCATGCTACTTTCAAACTTTTTGCAAGTAGCATCCACCATGGCCTCACTCAGCTAAGAGTTAAGAAATTCTCCAAAGACTCTTTAAAATAGTTTAACCTCTCATTCAACACTGAATTCCTTCTATAACATCTCAAACAGGCAGTCATAAACAGCCTCAATGGTTGGCAAGTCCACTTAGGACTAAATCAAAAATCAGCCAACTCATAACCTCTACTGCCAATGCTGAGCCTGCCCGGGTGCCATGCAGAAGAACAGCTTTCCTCACTTATGGTAACTCTTTGTACCAACCTGGTGGTGAGCGCCTGGAGCACAGGGACCTATTTACTTCTAGATGGTGCATGATGTCCACATGGACATATTAAATGCCATCCTAGAGTATACAGAGTGGACACACACACACACACACACACACACACACAAATTATCCAGCTCCAAATCTTAATAGTGCCAAAGTTGAGAAACCCTGTGTTACCTGAAGACAGATGCTTTCTCTTTTTTGTAAATACCAAGGACCACCTTGGTTTACACTTCATTTTCATACTTCTAATGGAGATCTAGATATAGGAAAGATTTCTTTTCTGTCTTAAATCTACTCTAGGAGAGCCAACAGCATGGTCCCAACGGTAAATGGTAACTAACCTGAACCTCGGTGTTGGAGAGACTATAGGGAAAGGTGAGGACTTGGGTGAACTAACTTATCCACCTAAAAGGGACAGACAGTTCCCAGCCCCAGTCAACTGCGGTAATGTGGAAATGTGGGCACAGTGTTGACAGATCTTGTGATGTTTTGATGGGAGCCAGCAATCTACATTTTTGTGTGAAAGATCCAGATCTTCAAAGTTGGCTCCATTCTATTTTTTAAATGATCTGCAGACCAAACAAAACACATCTTGATTGCCAGTGTGCAACCTCTGTGTGTACCCGATGTTACTGCCATGCCCCTAGATGGAGCATGAGAAAGTTCAATACAGGCAGCAACGGGAGCAAAAGCTCAGAGCAGAAAAAGAAATCCAGGCTGACCATCAGGGGCCTGGGAATGCGTGCATTGCCAGGGTAACCCTTCTACTCCTAGTGATCCTGATTCATCTCTCACTTATCCTCTGAAGCCCAGCGCATGTCCTATGCTTGGCTGGAGTGCCTCAACTTTTGTACCAGAGACCATGAAAAGAGATGATAAGATGGTTTGGATGCGTGTCCACACCCAAGTCTCATGTTGAAATGGAATCTCCAGTGTTGTAGGTGGGGTCTGGTAGGAGGTGATTGGATCAAGGGGGATTGGATTTTCCCCTTTGGTGCTGTTCTTGTGACAGAGTTCTCATAAGACCTGGTTGTTTACAACAGTGTGGCACCTCCCGCCTCTTTCTCTCTTCCTCTTGCTCCACCATGTAAGTCGTGCCTGCTTCCTCTTCGTCTCCCACCATGATTGTAAGTTTCCTAAGGCCTCCCCAGAAGCTGAGCAGATGCCAGTAACATGCTTCCTGTACAGCCTGTGGAACTGTGAGCCAATTAAAACTCTTTTCTTTGCAAATTACCCAGTCTCAGGTATTTCTTTATAGCAGTGCAAGAACAGACAAATACAGATGACCCACCCTTAAGATGAACATCCTTACTTGAAATAAGTAAGACAAACACCCTTACTTGAAATAAAAGATAATCTTCCAGGCCCATGGGGAAGAGCATGTGGAGGGCAGAATAGTAGCAGGTCTTAAAAATACTGACCTAGTAAGAATGTTTGAGGAGAAAAGTAAAACATGCACACAAAGAGTATAACATCGTGCCTGGAAAAAGCACAAATTTCATAAGCAGCACTGTAGTCCAGGAGGAGAGGGGTGGAGAAGGCATACCTATAGGTACAATTTTGGGGGATATAAGGAACCAGTCCACCCACACTTCCAGAAAATGCTGCCGATTTCACTTTGGAAATCTACCTTTCTCTCACTCCATCCACAGCTCCACAGGTGGCACAGTACAGAATCCTCTTGAACAGAGAGACTGATTAAGAGATGGGCACATGACCTGCATCTGAGCTCTTGAACCAGCTGTACCTGAAACCAGCCCTCCTCGAACTTTTCATTTCCCAAGGCAATACATTTTCTTTTTTCTTAAACCAACTCAGAAGTAAGTTTTTTTGTCACTTACATCTGGAGCAATCTCCACAGCTAAGGCGACCACTGGCTGGGATTTTGCTTAAGCCCAGCTTTGGGGCTGGGGAGGCCGACGATGATTTCAGTATTGTCAATGTAGGCATCTCAGGTCTTAAAAAGCTCCTGGAGCTTTCCTTACTGCCTCCCACCTGCACCCCCATTGAATTACTCAACTTTCCAATCTCCTCTTGTAAAAGGCTTCAGAACCCACTTTCCCCCTTTTGTCTGTAGCCATTGGAAACTATCACCCCACTCCTTGCAATGGGAACAACATAAAAAGTTCTTTGCCATTCTAAACAGTGGCTGACAACCATTTATGAGACCTGCAAACATTTCACCACTCTTAAATCAACCCCAGATGACATAATAATCATCATCAAGAAACTAATGAAAACCCGAAGGAGGATAGATTTGGACCATCTTGCCTTTCCCCATGATGAGCGGAGATCAGGAAAAACTCCTGAGAAAGACATAATAATGAAGCAAGCTGATTGCTCCTTGGAAGAAGTCTCAGCCTCATCCCCATGAGATTCAAGTCCTACTTTTTCCTGGAAACAATTTTTAGCATCTCTTGGCATCCTTTCTGGTCAGGAATTGGTAAAAAAAAAAAAAAAAAAAAAAAAAAAAAAAAAAAAAGTGCGGGAGAGAGGCTTAGTGCCTTTTCACTGAAATTTGATTCCCAGGGTCTGTGTCGATGTTTGGGAGAGGGATCGTACACTATGAGCCTGGAGGTATATTTCTGGTGGTTCCTCATAGTGATTTTAAAAGCGGGACATTTCTCTTAAAAATTCAGATTTTGAAAAATCAGAACACCTAGCAACACGGAGACCATTCCTGAATGGCACCGGGTGGAGTCCCTGCTATTAGCATACCTACTCCACTAATTCTTACCTGTTTGGGTTCTCTGGGTATCTGCGGTTGCAGTCATTGATTTCAGATTTAGGCTCTATGTACTTTGAAAAATCATTTTTAAATTACGATAATTTTGACTCTGGACATGACTGATTGACGCAGAACGGCAGCTGGATTCTGAGCAAGGCCCTACCAGAACTGGCCTCATCTTCCCTGCCCTCCTTGTTCACTGGCTGCTCCCAATTCAGGACTTTTGTCCTTGCTACCGCTTCTTTCTAGAATGTTCTCCTACATTCCTTCAGCGCTGCATTCCTCTCGCCTCCCCTGGGCATGTTCTCGTCAGCTTCTCTTGACCTTTTTTCTCCATGGACTTATCATTTGATATTCTGCGTACCTTATATACATATGTGTTTATTTTCTCTCTCCTACTTAACTGTGGCTCCACAAGGAAGGAGACTTTGGTCATTTTTGTTCTTGACTGCATTCCCCACGTCCAGAGTAGGGCCTGGCACACAGCAGGTGCTCAATACATATTTTTGAATGAATGAATAAATAAGTGCCATTTCCATACTGAAGAGGAAATGGAAGCGGGAGGCACAGTGGAGGAGAATGGTGAATGGAAAACCCAGAAAGTCTGTGCACCTTGCCACTGAAAACCAGGTAGTTGCTTCTAGAGAAAAACACATTTTCCCCAATGTAAAGAAGGGAACAAGAAATAAAATGAAAATCATGAAACTAGAGCCTAGAGCTGATGTCAGAGTTTGCATAGACAGTCGCTCCAGGCACACTTTGTTTGTTTGTTTGTTTGTTTGTTTGTTTTCAGATGGAGTCTCCCTCTGTCACCCAGGCTGGCAGTGGCACCATCTCGGCTCACTGCAACCTCCACCTCCTGGGCTCAAGCAACTCTCCTGCCTCAGCCTCTCCAGTAGCTGGGACTACAGATGCGGGCCACCATACCTGGCTAATTGTTTTATTTTTAGTAGACATGGGATTTCACCATGTTGGCCAGGCTGGTCTCGAACTTCTGACTTCACGCAATCCGCCTGCCTTGGCTTCCCAAAGCGCTGGGGTTACGGGTGTGAGCCACTGCGCCTGGCCTCACGCTTGTTTTTATGTGTTCCTCTCCACCTCTGACCCATGCTACCCAAGATCCCTCACTCGTCTTGAAAGAGGGTGGGGAGTCCCCACTCTGCCACAGACTGGCCATGTGGCCATGGGCAAGACCCTCCCACAGGCTGCTGCTTCCTCACCTGGACAGATTCTAACATCAATGGCTTGTAGGCTGCCTGTTGAGGACTTAGCTCGGTAACTTCTCATGTGGAGACATGGAAAGCCGGTCTCTTTGGCTCAGTCTTAAGGCATCTGGAAAAACCTGAGCTATTTTCCAGCTTGAACCTCACAGCTCAGGCGGTTTTCCCTTCTTTTTCACTCCAAACTATACCAAACTGCATTTGTGCCCTGTAGGAAGATATGATTTCTAGACTTAATTTTTCTTCCACAGGTAATCAATAGCTTTTAACAATCACTGTGTGTGTCTCGTGGTCTTCAATGCATTTGTTATGCAGAGTCCGTTATTTTCATGTCATCAATGGGGAAACTGAGGCTGAGAGAGGTGAAGGAAGCCCAAGGCTAGTAAGTGGTAGACAGTGGATTTGAACGTGGAGAGACTGGCTTCTGTAGTGTACTGTACCCTAAAGATAATGGAATACGCAAATACATCCTTGTAAGAAACTGAAAAATTATAACTGAGATTTAACATCGCTTTCAGCCCCTTCTCATGCCTGTCCTTAATTAATTCATTGTGCAAGTAAGTGAGGGTCAAAGAGTTTAATTTTTTATGGTGGTTAAAGAATCAGGGAAGTCAGGGGTTATGAAGACAAACTCTAGAACCATACTCCCACATACAAAGCCTGGCTCTACCCCTGCACTTGCTGGGTGACCTTGAACAAGTCACTTGACCTCTCTGTGTCTTACTTTTCTCACTTAAACTGGGAATAGTAACAGTACTTTCATCGTAGAATTATTGCAAGGAATAAATGAGTTAATGCCTATAATCTTTCGGAACATATCCCGGCATAAAGTTAGCCCTCAGAGATTATTTTTTATCAACATTACAGTCATCCAAAGGTTAGTTATTCTTCTTTCAAAGATACAAGACACAGACTAGATGTGCCCGGACACTGATGTACTCTGAGATGACTTTACCAATGTCCCCGAGAGACTGCATTTGTTTCATTTTATTCCCCTGAAAGCAGCACAGCATTGCAATTCTGGTTAGTAAAAGGTTCTGGGTATTTGGGTGGAATTTGTCGTACGCAGCCTGCGGGGATGAGTTTTAAAACTAAAATGTTTTATTTTAAATGAATAGATCACAGGGAAAGCTTCACATCATCAGATTCGTGTTTCTGAAACTTCCCTCATGAACTCTGCCATGGCTGTGTGCCACTTTTGCTATCAATTACTTGATGGACTTGGTTTTTAAATCATTTTTGTCTTAAGCAGTAAAAAATTGTAAAACCATTTGTTTCAAATGCTTTTTATATCTTTTCCAAATGCATAATAAGATAGAGACAGAACTCTAAAGAAAAAAAATGTCCATGTACATTTCAAGTTAATGTGGAAAGGGTGCCCACATCATTAAAAAGAAGTCTGCCCTTCAGAGACTAACAGATTCTTCCAGAATGTCTAAAGTCCCCAAACGGTAGCTACCTGAAGAACAGTAAGGAATGTGCCTGGGGCAAGTAACTTTCATTTTCTCCCCTTTCTTTGAGTACTCCTGGGAATGGGTCCAATTCCACAGTACCCTAAGTATTCCACTGTCATTTTATTTAAGTCGTATAACAAATCCTATATAGAAGGTGTCTGCTCCATGGGCTGATGAGGAGATTGGGGCTCAGAGGGCTCTTGTGATCTGCCCGAAGACACACAGCAGGTTGGTGATAGAGGGGACCCCATACCCTCTCCAGGAGCTGCCCAGCCTCAGACAACTCTGTCTCATGGTCCCACACCATAGCCAAGGGCCTGGCCTGGTCTGAGGAGGAAGTCACTTCATTCCGGTTGGCAAGAAATGGCAGGGATTCTTGAAGGATTTCATCCAGAAAAGGATTTTGCAACCCACTTACGTTACTTTTTCCATGTGCTGTTCAAGAAAAAATCTACTGGTTCTCAATGGAATGTGGGGTAAAAGGCCACAGCAACTCAGGCTCATTGAGGATGAAGGATGCTATTGAAATGTAAGAATAGATCATAAATAACTGGTTGGTCAGGGGAGTCTCTCCAGTCCACCATGATTGTTTGTGACCTTGTTCCAGGAGGGCTGTGGGTCATGTGGTACAACAGGCCCATGCTTTGGGTCACACAGACCTGGAATGGAATGCCGCTGGGCAGTCACTCGATCTGTCCAAGTCTCAGTTTCCATGTTTGTTAAATGGACACATGTATATCATGTATTTTTTTTTTTTGAGAGGATTAAATGAGCTTTGTGAAAGTGTCTGTCACATAATAACTCCTGTGAGCCATTTTTATGTCTCCTTCTTCCCTCCTCCATTCTCCTCCCTGAATAGACTTTTTTTTAATTTATAACTCTCAGAGGCATACCTGTATACTTTAATTTTTCAAAGTCCCAGAACTCAGGGCAAGTTTCATTCATTAGGTAACAGCAGAAGATTAAAACATCCATGGGGAGAGCTAACCGTTCAGACTCCCACCACCACTTTATGCAGTAGGAGGACTGTCTCTATTTTGTGAATAGGGAAACTGAGGCAGAACTAGGACTTGAACCTAGGAATTTGGGCTCCCCATTCTGGATTCCCAGTGATACAATCCGCCATCTGTAAAACCTGGTGAAGACTACAATGTTACAACTTAGATTAGGTTTGCTCATATAGCATATCAGATCTGGAAGGTTCTGAGTGGGCACCATTCAAAGCCAGGGTTGGGAGGGGCCGTGCGTCTTTGGCAGGATCGAGTAGCAGGAGAAAAATGAGAAATATTTTGTTTTTCTTTTCCAATTCATTAAGGCTTGTTGAGGGGAGCAAGAACCTCATTTTTTTCCTTCCCATTACTTCCCTTTTATTTTAGGGGAAACATGCATTTCAAAGACTGCTCAATAGCAGCGTTGAAGTCTCAAGTTCAATCACAATGTCCCCATTGTGGCTGGGGGACTCCCTGGCCTTTAAGCTTGGGTTATAAAAATTTGGTCTGAGCCCAAAGTCTGGCTTTAATAGAATATTTTAATTTTGTGTAATGAATATTATTTTAAATCTGTTTGGCAGTTTTAAAATGTGTTCTTTTATTTTCAAATTAAAATTTACTAATGTTCAGTGCTTTCTTGGGGGTGGGGGTACAGCAAGAAATGGGGGTGGTAATAATACAAGCTACCATTTATTGAGTGCTTACTATGTGCCAAACACCCTGCTCTGTGCTCGGTGTGCCAGCCACTCTTTTAAGCCTCCCAACCACCCCAGGAACAGTTAACTGCTGTCTCCGATGTCTGGGACGTTGAGAGGGTCAGACCCCTGCTGGAGATGGCAGTCCGTGAGTGATGGACTGACTCAGGCTCAGGCCAGATCTGTCTGAGTCCAGGGCCTGTGCTATCGACCACTGCCCAACATTCTCTCGATACCTAAAATGACTCAACTGATCAATAGCTTATAGACACCGCACTGATCCAGTGCACTGTTCCCCATAATCTCAATAGCTAGCTCATTGAACATTGAATGGAGGCAGGCAGTGTAGCAAAGCTAAGTGTTTTCCATGTATCGCCTCATTTATATTCTCACAATGGCACTATGAAAAGTTATTTTATTATTGTTGTTACTATTATTATTATCATCCCAAAGAGTCTAAGTAATTTGCTTCAGGTCAAATTCATAAATAATAATAATAACTGTAGCTGACACTGATATAATTCATACCACTTGCCAGCCGTAGTTCCAAACACTTCATGTTTATTAACTCAATCTCCACGATAGCTTTCTGAGGAAGGTGCATTATTATTCACCCTGCTTTACAGACGAAGAAACTGAGGCACCGAAAAGTCTGGTAACTTACCCCCAAGTTAAACGCAGGAGTAGGTTAACACTGAGGGGAAGTGTAACCTGAGCAGCCTGGCTCCTGGACTCAAGCTCTTAATCTCGAGGCTGAAAGTCAGTACCCAGGCTGAGGTTTGGAAAGTCTGATTCTCTACATTCCTCCTCATTCTGCACAACGCATTGAGGGAAGCAGAGAGTTGCTGTCGGCCGAGTAAGCCTGGGGCACTGGTAAGTCCTATATGCCTAGTGCGGTTTCAGGTGCAGAAGCCGAGGCACTGCTCTTACTGAACCAGGCATAGCTTCTGTGGGTGAGGGTCTACAGACTGAGGTGTTGCTTCCATTCTGCTGCTCAAACATTAGAAAGCTCAAAAAGTCATGTCAACACCCTCTGCACCCTCAGGAAAGAAGAGGCCATGGGATACTGGTGAGAACACATTGGGATCCTCCTACCGGAGATGCTGGATTTGGTCCTTCTCACCTCTGGCTCTCCAGTAAACAGCCCAGAACACAGCTAAATAAGTGTTGTTAAGTAAATGGATGAAGGAATGAAGTCACTTGTAATTTTCCCCTATCACTGTGCAATGTGTCAAGCACATTGGAGGCACCTGATAAATAATAAATCATTGAAATGGTATACGAAATGTCCCAAGTGCATGTTATTTCTGGTCTACAAGGATTGTCTTGTCATATTGCAATAGCTTAGAGGTCAGCAAACTTTTTCTGTAAAGGGCCAGATAGTCTTTGCAGGCCGTATGGTCTTTGTAGTACGGCTGTTCAACCCTGCGGTTATAGGGCAAGAGCAGCTGTAAGCAATGACTTAGGCCACTAACTGCAGTGATGCTACGACCATTTCCATAGGTCCAGCTTGAAACATTCATTCATTTCTACAAGGGCAGATTCAAAATCTTGTGAGAATCTGCTGGCGTCTCTTACTTTCTCAACCTGATTTTTGTACCTAACCATCGATAAATATCCATAAGGCAATGCAAGTGGAAAAGGACTTTAAAATCTAGCTCTCCAGGGCAGACAGATGGAGAAAGGGAAGTTCTTGTTATACCACGGGAGCAGGCTGGACATCCTAGTGGTTAGGAATCAAAACTGGGTTTAATCCTGGCTCTGGCATAAGCCATGTGATCCTGGACAAGTTACTCTCCAGACTCAGTTTCCACATCTGTAAAATAGAAATAATAATAACAGCACGTTCCATCTACTGCCAT
Organism: Homo sapiens; assembly: GCF_000001405.40. Lineage (NCBI taxonomy): Eukaryota > Metazoa > Chordata > Mammalia > Primates > Hominidae > Homo > Homo sapiens. The sequence goes on along the minus strand of NC_000020.11, from coordinate 46,902,404 downwards.
TTGGAGACAAAACATATAAAGTATTTCCACAGCACAATGCCTGGGACATAATAAATATTCAATAAATAATAAGTGTTCAATAAAACCTGTGATTCCCAAACAAGTCTTACAACTCTGTGTTTTCTTAAAAACAAAAGAAAATCCCCAAAACTAATTCACTAAAAATAAGCACAAAGGAATGACAGCAAGGCTACAGGAAGACATTTCCAAAATCGGGTCCCAAGGTGTTAGAAAAATTGTCCACTCTAGATCAAACCTCTAGCAAACCCCCAACCTCTCTGTGCTTCCCCCTCAAAAAAAGCCTGATTCTATGTCCTTTTATCAGTTTGTCTTTCTTGTGGGTGCCTGAGCAATGCTGAGACATTTTGAGCGTTTTAGACATTTGCTGAGTTTAAGGCATTCTTTCTCCCCTCCTACCGGTCTTCTCTCCACACCCCAGCCATTAACTCCTCCAGGGAGTATGGTCTGTTTAGCAAGAGGAGAGCACTGGACAGCTTGGGCCCATCGCAGACCGGAGGTGAATCATCTTCGGGGCTCCATTCTTTTTCATGTCTGGACGGGGCTAAAACTCTGTTGACAACACAGGCACAAGTCACAACTTGTTATACCACGTGACACCTTCCGAGCAGCGGAGGCTTCCCTCTACTCTAGGAGTCACACAAAAGGCCAAAGGTGCACGATTCTCCTCGGGGCTCCTTCCTCTCCGCTCCCTTCCCAACCAAGAAGGACACGCAGAACTTTGCTGGAGAGATCAATGTTTCTAGAACACCCTGAAACAAAAGTCCTGATATGTGCAAATAATACACACCCACAAAAGAAAATAACCTCTTTGCGCTGACACCCTGCCTCTCCGAAGAGGACGTTTTCTCCCTACTTGGAATTTCCATCAGCACCTGGGTTGGTACCAAACTCAGGACGTGGTGGACACGCTCTCTGACTCTGTATTTCAGGAAGCTGCCAATCAATAGAGATTTAAAGGTGAGTACTTATACCTTGCATCTTAAATGCTAGAAAACATAGTGGGAACAAAAAATTGTTTTGGAAACCATGAATACCTTAACCACAAAGTGACTATAGGAAGGGAATGGGAGGTGAAGAAACTGACCAGAAGGAACATTTTCATTTCATTTTATTTTCAGCTTCTGACTTCCGCATATCCGAATACCAGGTAGGAAACATCTGCTTTGGAGTAAGAGAAGGCCCCAGTACCTGCTTTTTCTCCGGAACCGTGAGAGGGAGCCATGGGGAGGAGACCAGAATTTCAGCCTTCCTATCTCCCTTTACCACAAGGACGCCTTGAGGACCCAAGTCAAATTGAGATCTTTCAACCACGGGCTCGGAAACCCGCTTTCTGTGTCCACTTCAACCAAACACGTCTAACAGGCAGGAATTTAGAGGTGGCCAAGGTAACGAGAACTAGTGGTTTTCACCCTGTTTGGTGACCTTCATAGGGCTTATTTATGCACTTCAAGCGCATGACCTAATACATGTTGGTTTGGCTTCTCTTCTCGTAATAGCAGCCTGTAAAAAGCTTTTGAGAATTCCCCGTGTTTTCTCATTTTGGGTCAAGAAAATAAAATCGATATCTAAGTAACCTTAAAAAAATGGCCTGCACAATCTAAAAATTTGGAATGTTTCCACTAGGACTAAGGATATCTCTGAAAGCCTCAAAGATCATCAAAATGAAGTCCAACATTTGCTGTTTTTAAGGTGAGATATTTGGTAACGGAGTATGAGAGAACTGGCTAAGGGGGCTTTTTGACATAAGTCAAACAATGACATTTAAAACTCACGTAAAAGCAATTACTGTGTGGAATTTTTCTGTGTTTTTCTCATTTCTTAAACAGAAGTGTATATGTTTTCAGCATAGCTTCTTGCTGTAATTTTCTTTCTTGACAAACCCACATCTTACCATGAAACCCAAAGTATGCATGCTGCAGAAACAATAATGGTTGAAACAGACCCGGCTGTCTCTGGCATGATTTTTCTTTACAAAATTAAAATGTCTTTTGGCTAATACACGTGTATTTCAGTTATGAAAGGCCATTCTTGGGAGATGAATAGAAAAGAAAGGGGAACTGACAGATTTAGCTGACGCGAGACAAAAGTAAGTTGCCATATACAGTAGTCAAACCCTCCAGTTCCTCATTCTTTGGGGAAAAATATGTTGATTTTATCATTTTTCCTTTAGTTACATTAGCAGAGAGTTGACAATTCTCCTCTGAATGACTGCAAGTAGATACGTTCGTATCTATTACATCTGGGAACACAGACTTTTAAAAAATGTAACTTTACTAGATACTCAAAAGGAAAAAAGAAGAAGAAAGTGCAATGCCATTGAAATTACACACATTTTCATGTTACTGACACAACACTATTGATACCAAATGACAAAAGAGTTTCTAACCTCTATTACATACTTTGTTCATTTTTAAAGATGTTTAAATTGGCATTGCGGCGCGTCTAAGTTCCTGTTTTAGATTTCTGCATATATCTGAAGGCAGAGGCAGACTTTTCAAAAATGCACGAGCAGGCACAACTGTGTTCTGACTACTATCATCCAAAGGCGATGACAGCGCTGACGAAGCCCCTGGATCCTGCCAAAGTTTGTCCCAAAGACGAGTCTCTCAGCCCCCACTGACCCGCAGCCTGCTGGTTCCAGATTCAGGCAACCAGTGGCCTCCCTTAACGTTCAAAGAGGCAAAGATAAATCATTCCAGCTACCTGACTCTCGGCACCACCTGTTCCAAATTATTCTTTGCTCTCCAAATGTTTAAAATCTAACCCGAAACAACACCCACCCATAGCGATCCAGCACCTTCCGGTAAACTTGACTTGGGCTGCGCCTACCGTAATGTTTTAGGGCCTCTCCACTGCCGGTAAATTTATTGACTCTTTTTAGGACCTGAAATGCGTAGTGTTAGTATCGAAGGAATAAATCAAATTAGCCCTTAAATAAACCGTCATTTTCCTTTACAGAACCATACCCAACCGGTTAAGGGTCATGGCTCACAGAGGTTTGTATTTGTGTTCCTGAATATTTAATATGATTTTGTTTCCCCATTTCAAACGACAGTGGCAAAAAACGTCAGGGCAGGTTCAGAAAATAACTGTGTTCTGTGCATTTAAAACCATCCAAATTCAGCATCTTCCTCCAAAGGAAATGATAGCAGAAATGTTTTGAGCCAAAGCTTGTATTGCACATGGATAAGGCATACTTTGCAGAGAAGCAAAAGCGTAGATTTCATTTTCACTCAGTCTGGCCCTGTGTCGGTCATTTGACCTGCGACTCAGTTTCCTTGTTAACAAAGTTGAAATAATGATAATAATACTCAAGGGGTTGCGGCAAGAATCCACTTTAAAAATACACGTGAAGAGCTGACTGCAGGCCTGGTATACCAGTTCTCAATAAACAGCAGCTATTTTCATCATTACTATTAAACAGAAGGGTATAATTTGCAAGTCAGAGAAATGACAAAGGAACTCAATAGGATGAAAATGAACAAAAAGAAATATGCACTAAAAATGAATGTATAAGCCTGTGGCTTCCTTCATGCCTTTTCCTCTAAATACACCTGGCAGGTACCTTAAAACTGATTTTAAATCACACGCCGTAAAGAACAAGGTCTTGCCCCTCTGATTCATTTACAATAACACAAGTGGGTCTGCAGCCTCAGTTACTGTCACTTCAAGTATTTACCACCTGACGGAGGGGGTGTTTATCCTCCTCCGACTAGAAAAGGGTGTTAGTCAAACACCATTAGGCCAGTTACGATCTTCAAACAGTGAAAACGAAGCATTGTCTCCAGCGAATTCTCTGCTAATTGTTTTCTTACCAGAATCTTCTTTTTGTTTTGTATGTTTAGGACTGTTTGAACTGCCACAAATGATAGTGGGGAGAAGTGGGCCATTCAGGAAGCTGTTATGACATTGGGGGATGGAGATCAGGGAAGAGGGTTGGGAGTGAGTGAAGAATTGTGGTGTGTGTGTGTGTGTGTGTGTGTGTGTGTTTTCTGTCAACAGGCTGTGTTTTCTTAACTCTGGGATTAATTCTTTGTAAAGAGATTCCTTTTGAGCACAGTCTACCAACTCCTTTTTCAGAACAGTTAGCTAAAAAAAACAAAAACAAAAACAACCAAAAAAAAAAAAAACCAACACAAAAACCCAAAAAACCCGGTTCCTTCCACCAACAAAACCCAGTCTTAGTCAGAAAGTCCAGCCTTTGGAGGTAACAGACTAACCAACTCCTTCACCCTCACAAACCTCACAGATAAGGGGAACCACATCATTAGGCGAATTCTCCCTTTATCAAAAGTCTCTGGGGGAGCAGGTTCTCCTCTCTCCCAAGGAATTTATGTCAGGCCAGGCAGTCTTTCTTTTCATTTTGTGCCCAGGTGGGAAGCAGTTAAGTTTTTTACACTGCCCCGCACGTGACACCAATCCTTCTCCCCAAGCCTTTGCACACACACACACAGCATACACCTAAGACCTGAAGACACTGCCTAATACTTATAATTGATTCTCCCCCAAGCATCTTTGTATGAAGGAGGCCTGCCCAGCAAAGACAAAACTCTACCCCAGTCGCAACTTCCACTCCTCCGCTCTGCGATCATGTGCGTGGATACTTAGGAAAGGCATGTGTCTAAAGAAGGCACCTCCACTCCCTTCATTTTCTCCTGACAGCCACAGGCTCTCTTCTCTCTCTGCCCAGAAAGGCATCTGTCATAAGCGGCTGGGAACCTCACTTATTCACCATTACGGCCTGCGATTTTATTATACAAGGAGTTTACTGCTGGCCTAATTAGTTTCAAACTGGGCATTCCAGCTGAGGACACCTAAAAAACATCTGGTGGAAGGAGAGAGAATGAGTCCTCGCTCTGAGCTGGTTACGGTTGGATTTCTGCATAACTCTGCTCTCTTGCGCCCGATGCAAGTTGTCTTTGGAAAAGTAACTGAAAAAATAAGGAAACGGTTTCTTCTTTGTGGGAAAGGAGTCATCTTGTCACGGAGGATCCAACAACGTCTTAAAGTGGACGTGCTTGGACTGTGTATATTTTTTCACAAACGGCTGGGGTCTCCATAGCTTGCTCACCCTAATTCAAAATGTACTTAGCTACACCACAGAGCCTTTTTGCTGAGGGCTTTTCCATTCTCCCAACAGCAGCTAGCATTTTATCAATTTATCCATCTGGAACAAGGTTTGCAATCTCTTACACGCAATTTAAAGCAGAAGTAATACCACATATTTGAAACAGCGTGTCTTGGGCGTTTTTGCCAAATGGTAATCCTATAACAAGTCAACAAATCATACCTCTTTATGATGTGTTTAATGCAAAACAAAAGACATGAAAAGAAGATTCTAAAACTTACGTGATGAAAACTTTTTAAAAAAATCCTAAAGTATTGAGATACACATCTTTTTATTTTATTTTATATTTCCTTTAGTTTTTCTGATATTGGGGAAGTGATTTGTGTGTTTATAGAGTATTCTCATACACATGGTCACAACACCAGGTGAGCTATTTTAAGACAGAAAAGAAAAATGCCAATTCCTTTCAGATAAAATAGTGAATGATATTGTGAAGCTGAAGTTACAAGAGAATGGGGACATATAAACTGCTTTAAAGTAAAAAAAAGTTCAGGCTCTTTTGCATCTAACCACATTGGTCTTTTCACAATGGCAAAAGTTAAGAGTTTGCTACGAAGGCAAGGAGATTTTTTTTAATACAAACACAATTTAATGCTTAGTCAAAAGCAAGATTCAAACCACTATCATTTGTTATTTGTTATATAAATTATAGAAGAACTTACCCAAGTGTGAGAGTGTCTAAATGCAAAGATATGTAAAGGATGAAGGGGCTTAAGGTGATGAAGAAAGACAAGTGGAAAAAATGAACATTTATTTATCGAGTAAAATTGTGAAAGATTCTTTCACAAAGATTATTTTGAAAAAGAGGTTCTCTCCTCCCACTCTTTCTTTGTGTACCTCTTTTTTTTTTTGTAAGCAGGATGGTTACATGTGTATGTTAGTTGCTAACAAATGGGTCATAGTCTGGTAAGGTGCTTACTAGTTCTGTATCTATTATGGTCACAGACATTTCACTCAATCAAGAAACGGCTCATGAAATTAATAGATTCGGTTTGAAATACAATTGTCCACTGGTTATAATTTCCTTTGTAAGGGATCTCCCTAACTCAAACATAATTCAGTGCTCAAATTCTTACATGATGTTTGTAAATCATCCTCCTGCCCCTCCGCCCTCGCTAACAGCTAGATTCCAATGTTCAGCTCTTCCACTGCACCTCGTAATTAAAAGGTACCTCTTACCGGGGTGATTTATACCTCCACGTTATATTTTAAAAAGTAATTGAAGATTACATAGCATTTCGGGGAAGGGGAAAGAAAAGAAAAGGGTATCCATAAAAACGCAGCATCGGTCTTGCTTTTTAAAAAGAATTCAGACCGCGGCAGGGTGCACGCTGTCAACTCTCAGCCTCGGCTTCGGGGAAGCAGGAACCTCGCACTGCAAAAGGCGCTTCCAGTTCAACAGCTGAGAAAAGCGCACTGAGTCTTTTGCGATAGGAGTACGTTCACCAGTCACGCTTTCCTAGTATTCCTTGAGCTTATAAACTATTTATTGCTGGGGGGGAGGCAGGCAGGAATATATTGAAGGAGCCTGGGCCAGCACGGCCGTTTAACCTCCAGACTTCATGACTAAAAAACAATTCCATTTCCCACTTTCTCCCATTACAACGAAATCCTTGCCGCCTTCTAAACACCCTTCGGATGTAAACTTTTCTAAGTTTCAACTCTACCCGCAGCAGGCGCCAGGATTCCCTGCCCCGGTTCAAAGCCCCAGACCTGAACCAGAGCGGGCCGAGCGCAAACGGACTTTTGAAAAGAAATATATCAATAGCTAGAAGGCAAAGTCTCAGCGGGCCGTTCCAGCCCCAAGCCGGGATTCCAGCGGTTGGCTCTGCTTCTTGGTTATCCCATAAACACTACCTGAGGGCTTGAGTTTGCGGACTGGGGGAGCGCCCCTTATCGCGAACCGCCGGGACCATAATCGAACAAAACGCCAAGGACCCAGCCGCGTCTACACCGCCTGCGCGCCATGCACTTGTCCCGCGCGCGGGAGAGCAAACTTCAGGGTCGTTGCCCCAAAGCGCATGGGGAAACTGGGGCCCCGAGCCTGGGAGAGCCTTTCCAGAGGGGGGCTCTGCTGCTGTCCCCTCTGCCCTTGTGCCTTCCTGGCCCTGGGAGGCCCGTGCGCCCCAGAACGTCCCGACAGCTGCGGAGGCCCCGCTTGGCGAGTGCCAGAAAGAGGCGCAGGGCGAGGGGGTCCCGGTGAACAACTCCCCCCGCCCGGCGAATCCCGGCGGGCGGCCTGGGGTGGGCGCCGCTGGCGGTACTCACCGCGCGCAGTGGAGAGGGCGCCCCGACGCGGTGCGGGCGGGCGGGCGGGCCGGTGCGGGTCCGACGAGGCCGGGCTGACTGCGGCGGGCACGTTGCTGTCTCTGCCGTTGCCGCTGCCTCCGCCTCCTGGGCTGCCGCGGCTGCTGCCTGCGCCGGGAGGACCGGCCCCTTCTCCTCCCTGGGCCGGGCCCTCCCTCTGCCCCCGCCCGGGTCCCCGCGCCGCTGCGTGGGCGCGTGGGGGCGCCGAGGCGCGACGCTGGGCTACGCGGGCGCACACACCCGGCGGCTGGACGCAGGGCGCGGGGCTCTGGCCCAGCACGTGCCGCCGCGCCGCTTCCTGAGCCTGCAGCCGAGCAGAGCGCGCTCACTCTCGCCGGTCCTGGAGGCCAGGGCCCAGCCTCCTCCCCACCCACCGACACCCCGCACCTCCTCCCTCCCCGGGGCAGCACATCCTCCCTGCAACCCAGGCATGACCCCTGTGAAAGGAACGACGGCTCGGAGAGGACCTCAATAGTGACACTAACATTCGTTCACTCAACCACCCATTCATTCATTCAAAATATATTGAGCATCTACTGTGCCAGGTACCACTCCTGAGAGACTCAGCTAGAACAAGACAGACTAGTTTTCTGCCCTCCCGGAACTTGCATTCACATGGAGAGGCAAACCATAAACAAATAACCAAGTAAAGAAGCAAGACAGTTTCAGAAAGTTAGAGTTACAGGGAGAAAAATAATATATGTATCTGCTGTTGGGGAGTGGAGGAGAGGCGGTAATTTTAGCTAGAGCAGTCAGGGAAGACCTCTCTGAGGAGGTGACATCTGAATTATGAGGAAGTGCCATTGGTGTGGTATTTAGGTGAGAACGGTTCAGGGGTCTCCCCTATGTTTCACCCATTTTACAGCTAAGGAAACTGAGGTCTCAAGAGCTTAACTGGTTTAGTGAAAGTGAGAGGTATAGCCCCCTCCACCTACATGCCCAAATCAAGGCACCCCACTTACTCCATCCTCTCATAGCCACCCCCCTTTTAGTCTCCCTGGCAATGAACTGTGTTAATTGGAGTCTATGCAGCCTTTCCTAGCCCGTCACCCACTCTCTAATGTCTATGAATTCCACCGTGGGACACCCAGGATGCTTCAATCCAAAAGCAATATCAACCACTGTCATTTCTTAAGTGCAGTAAAAGACAGGGCACCCAGGTGAATTTGAATTTCAGAGAAACGAGGAATCAGTTGCAGTATATGTCTTATGCGATTGGTTGTACGTACTTATATTTAAAAAGTATTTCTTTTGTCTCCGAAATTCCAATGTAACCGGGGGTCCTATATTTTTATTTGCAACCTTAAGCTCATCCAATGCCCAACTCTTCCTTATCTCATGTAATCCCCAAGAGAGACCCCAAGGTAGCTGCTGTCAGCACACTCATTTCACAAATGAGCAGGTCCAAGCTCAAAGAAGGCAGAAAGTGGCTGAGCCAGGAATGAAATTCAGGCCTGGCTGACTCCAAAGCCGTTGCTCTTGAGCCGTAACAGTCTTCAATTCCAGTTGTAAGTTTACAGGAGCTGATGAAGGTTAAGTTCTTGGGCCCCTGACTTGCTTGGACCCCTTTCTAAGGGGACTTAGAAAAGTGTTCAGATGGTGGCTTGTTGATGTAAAGTTTACAAAAGTCCTTTGCTTTGGACATTTGGCTGCAGGCCGTAGACACCGCTGTCTTTCCACTCCGATTCCCCACCCCCAACTTGCCCTTGAGTAGGGTGGTGTCAGGTGGCTGCTGGCATTTTGGAGGAAAGTTGAGTTGGGAATTTTGTGATGTTTGTGGTAATTTTCAGCTTCTTAAAATTTGAATTTGTTGTGATTTCTTTTCTTAATTTAAAGAAATAATCATTTTCTTATCTAATCTTGGACTCATAATTTTGTACTCTTTTTCTTGAATAGGGGCTGCAAATTATACATGTATCAGGCCTCACCATTCCCAGACCCACCTCTGGTCATAGCTTACTCCGCTTTCTACTCCCCAAACTTCAGACAGAAGCAAATGTATTCAGTAAACATGGTTGTTCTCTTCTCTGGGCCTGCCGCAGTAGGCTTGGAGATGGCTCTGCTTCTGTCTTCTAGAGGCAGAATGTACATATGTACTTGGCCTTGATTTTCTCATCACTAAAGTGAAAATAACAGTACTCATCTTATACTATTATTGTGAAAATTCATGGAGCTCATGCTCATAAAACACTTTCTACTATGACTGCAGCTGGCACTAGCAATTGCTCAACAAATATTATTACTGTACACACAGCTTCACTTCCCATAGTATCTTTGCTAAGTGCTCCAAGTCATTATAAATTGAGCATCTTAATGACCTTCAGAGGTGTTTAATTTGTCTTGGCCTGTGAACCTTAATTTTTTTTTCCTAAAGGAATAGACTGGAATAGGAAATATCAAGTGAATTGTATGCAGTAAGAATATATATACATACCTATACATATATAGTTACATATATACATATGATCCCCTATATATAGTTAAATGTATACATATGGTCCCCAATTTATGATGGTTTCACTTAATGATTTTTTTGACTTTATGACGATGTGAAAGTGATGTGTATTCAGTAGAAACCACAATTGAGATACCCATACAACCATTCTATTTTTCACTTTCAGCAAAATATTTGATAAATTTCATGAGATATTCAAAACTGTATTATAAAATAGGCTTTGTATTAGATGATTTTGCCCAACTGCGAGGTAATGCAAGTGTTCTGAGTGCATTTAAGGTAGGTTAGGCTGAGCTATGATGTTCAGTAGGTTAGGCGTATTAAATGCATTTTGAACTTAGGATATTTTCAATTTACAATGGAGAGATATATATGTATATATGTATACGTATATCATATATACGTATACATACATACATATATATATACACACATGTATCTGTATCTATATCTATATCCATATCTATATCTATATCTTTGGTCAGGATGTGAAATGTTTCTTCCTGTGGCTCATGGGGAAAAATCTTGAACACTTGTTAACCAAAGGTACCCTATAGAATGCAAAGGGTTAATCTATTTCCTTCATACCATTTTATTCCTTCCCCAGAATCTGGCCCATTATTTCATAAATTACAGACACACCCCAACGACCCTGAGAGATAAGCAGGAGGCAGGTGCTTATTAATTTTATTTTTCCTTCTCTTAGCGCTGTGATTCTCAACTCTGGGTGCACAGAATCTCCAGGGAGAGCTTTTAAAAATCTCCATGCTGAGTCCCCATCCTAGACCAATTAAACCAGACTCTGGGGTGGAACTGTGGCATCTGCCTTTTTTTTTTTTTTTTTTTTTTTGAGAAGGAGCCTTACTCTGTCGCCCAGGCTGGAGTGCAATGGTGTGATCTTGGCTCACTGCAACCTTCACCTCCTGGATTCAAGCAATTCTCCTGCCTCAGCCTCCCAAGTAGCTGGGATTACAGGCATGTGCCACCACGCCCAGCTAAGTTTTGTATTTTTAGTGGAGACAAGGTTTCTTCATGTTGGCCAGGCTGCTCTTGAACTCCTGACCTCAGGTGACCCACCCATCTTGGCCTCCCAAAGTGCTAGGATTACAGGCGTGAGCCACTGTGCTTGGCCGGCATCATCCTTTTTTAAAGCTCCCTAGGTGATTCCAATATACAGCAGAGGAAGAGAATCCCTATCTTTGGGAGAGTGAGACCTTGACCACAGAGTCACAGCAGATGAGCAGAAGCTGATAGGACTTAAGCCCCCAATGCTAATTCAAGACCCTGAAAATTCAGCCACCTTCCTATGTAGAAGCACCCCCTTTCTGTCTCTTTCTTCCCTTGCTATCTCTTTGTTAAGTATTTGTCCTCATTTGATAACAACCAGCAAAATGATCCCAAACAAAATTTGAAAGTGCTAAGCCATACAGCAGATTCTTTGTGGTGTAGTCCACAGTCATGCCTACCTTGGAGTAAAACACATTTCCCCCACTCCAGTCTTCCAAGTAAATGCCCTCTAAAGCCAGAAAAACACATTAATTTTGAAAACTATGAACCTCACAATATATCCAATGTATGTATATTCATTGTAGGATATGTATATACATATCCTACAAACACACATGTGAATTCTACAAATCATGCCTTTTTTCTAAACATATTCCTTTCCCACCTGCAAAGGTCACCTCTACAGAAAAAGCATTCAATTTTTTAAAATACATTCACTTAAACCTTGGCTCTTTCCAAAAAGGATTTGAGGCAACATATAAAACCATATATATGGCAGCAGAATAAAGAAAACAAGAAAAGCAGACAACAGGGAAACAGGAAAGAAAACAAAAGAAAGTCAAGGTAAGGTTTGCACACAAAATGTGAGCTAGAAGGTCCTGGACACTTGTCAGTGGAGAACTGAGAATTAGATGCTGAGCTTCCAGGCAGCCACTGCAAGGACAGAAATGTGATCAGTTACATCAGTGGCTTTCAAACTTTCCTTTGTTTAAAATCTAGTATGTATAGAAGTTCAGTATGGAAAAAGGAGGTGAGGGTTCCCAGCCACAGCCTTATGCCTCACCCCTTTCTCCTGTAGGTATGTGTAAAGGTCTTGAAGGAACCCCCAAAGCTCTGCAGAGTCAAGATTAAGAATCATGGATTTCAAAGTGCTCCATAGTGTTCATGATTCTTTTTTTTTTTTTTTTCCTGAGGCAGAGTTTCACTCTCGTTGCCCAGGCTAGAGTGCAGTGATGCAATCTCGGCTCACTGCAACCTCTGCCTCCTGGGATCAAGCGATTCTCTTGCCTCAGCCTCCCGAGTACCTGGGATTACAGGCATGCACCACCATGACCAGTTAATTTTTGTATTTTTAGTAGAGGCGGGGTTTCTCCATGTTGGTCAGGCTGGTCTCGAACTCCCAACCTCAGGTGATCCGCCTGCCTCGGCCTCCCAAAGTGCTGGGATTACAGGCGTGAGCCACTGTGCCCAGCCAGTGTTCATGATTCTTAATTCTTCTATGAGAAAGAAACCAAATGACTTGGGCAAATCAGAGTTTTGCCTGATATTGATACAGGAGAGAAATTTTCTCATGAGTCTTTACAAAAAAGGCAGTTTATGATACAGTGTGTATGTGGGGATGGGCAGGGGCTTTTTGCAAACATTAAAAAAAAAAAAAGAGAGAGAGAGAGACAGAGAGAGAGAAATCTCACGTCCTTCCTAACCCAAGCAGACAAATACAGGGATGCTTCAAATGTCTCTTCAGTAAGTAGTTTTCCAATAAAATGACTTTGTTTTTAATACTCAAACTTCATAGAAGGCACATTTCTCACAATTATCAGATGAATATTTACAAAGAAAAACTGATATTTGTATCCCCCAAATTAGAGTTAGCATCTCCATCAAAACACCATGCAGGAAAAGCAGCATGTCAACTACCACTGAGAGAACATCAGAATCACATTTAGAAAAGTACACTAAGGAGCAATGAAAGGGACATGCAATCAGATGTGGCTGTGTTGCCACAGACAAACCAATTATTTGTTGAAAACTTTCCTGATGATTTGGTGATCAGGAAGCTATGTTTGAAACATTTTACTGCTTTGATACTTACTGGTAGACATGTGCTGTGGTTTGAATGTGTCCCCTCCAAAATTCAGGAGTTGAAACTTAATGGCCAATGTGATGGAATTAAGAAGTGAGTCCTGGCTGGGCGAGGTGGCTCACGCCTGTAATCCCAGCACTTTGGGAGGCTGAGGTGGGCGCATCACGAGGTCAGGAGATTGAGACCATCCTGGCTAATACGGTGAAACCCCATCTCTACTAAAAAATACAAAAATTAGCCAGGTGTGGTGGCGGGCGCCAGTAGTCCCAGCTACTCTGGAGGCTGAGGCAGGAGAAAAGGGTGAACCCGGGCGGCGGAGCTTGCAGAGAGCCGAGATTGTGCCACTGCACTCCAGCCTGGGTGACAGAGCAAGACTTCGTCTCAAAAAAAAAAAAAGAAAAGAAAAAAAGTGAGTCCTTGAAGAGGTGATTAGGTCATGAGGGTTCCTCCCTTGTGAATGAGATTCAGGTCCTTCTTAAATAAATAGAGGCTTGCTTCAACTTCTCCTTTGGAGGACACACCAACAAGGCACCATGTTGCAAGCAAACAGCAGCTCTCACCAGACTACCAAACCTGCCGGCACCTTGATCTTGAACTTTTCATCCTCCAGAACCATAAGAAATAAGTTTCTGTTCTTTATAAAATACCAGAATCTCAGGTATTTTGTTATGGCAGAGCAAACAGACTAAGACAGCATTTTAAGTGCTTAGCTCTATTTTAAGAGAGTGAGCTGAGATCTTGCCACTGCACTCCAGCCTGGGCAACAGAGTGAGACTCTGTCTCAAAAAAACAAACAAACAAACAAACAAAAGATAAATTAGACTTCATCAAAGTTAAAAACTTTTTTGCTGCAGAGAACATTATCAAGAAAGTGGGCCAGCACTTGGGGAGGCCAAGGCAGGAGGATCTCTTGAGCCCAGGATCTTGAAGAAGTGATTAGGCCATGAGGATTGGGGTGTTGGGGGCTTGGGTTGACCTGTCATGCATTATAATGTTTCCCATTTAAAACAATGGGAAATCAACTCTTGGGTGCATTTTCTGGCAGAGCATCAGAATTTCAGGATCACCAGTGTTCGGTGGGAGATGTTAATTCACTCATGTGAAGAGGGACCTTTGAGACACCCAGGCATGCTGCTCTTTATGCCTGCACTACCCCTTCCTGACATAGTCCTATGGTTTTCACCCTCACTCCATTCAGGTCTCTGCTCAAATGCCTCTACCCCAGAGAGACCCTGACCACCCTGTTTAAAACAGCATTCTCCTCTAACTGTTCTTCCTCTGTGACCTCCTCACCCAGCTCCACGCTGGCCCTCTCAGCTAAGCACAAGAATCTCTACACCTCCTGGCCATTTCCTTCCAAGATCTGTCACTTTTTGCATTCTCTTTTCCCAGGAGAGTAAAAACAAATAGAATGAAGCCAGAAGGCTTTTTAATACATTTGTCTTGTCTTTTTGCTGGCTTTTAGCTGGATATAATGTCTTGGATGGTGAATGGAGTCAACTGATCTCAGCGTGCATCGGTGGAATTATCTCGGAAGCAAGGACTGAGAGACATCAGAGATCCCCAGAACCCCAACAGATATTGTTCTAAATTCTAGAAGATTTTGTGGTCCTGAAGACGTAAGGAGTACCTGAAGAGACTATAGGAGTCCCTCAAGGTCAGAGGTCTAGAGACCTTTTGAGAGTGGGACACTTTTGAGAGCAAAAGGAGCATTAATAACAAAGCATAAACTAAGATTGTCCCCAGCAAACTGGGACAGATGGTCTCTCTGCCTGGAACCACCTTTGCAAAATTATGACTGAGACAGTGAAAGAGATCCAACTTAACCATCTTGCTTCTAACCTCCAATTCTGTTATAAGGAATCTCTGTTATAAGGAATCTATCCTTGTAACAGAATCTATAACAGATATAAGAAAATGTCTCTGATATATGTGATAGATTTCTGCCAATCTATGGCTTGCCTTTTATTTTCTCAATTTTGTCTTTTGAAGAACGAAAGTTTTAAATTTTGATGTCGTCCAGTTTATCAATATTTTATTTCATGGTTTGTACTTTTTGTGTTCGAAGAAACCTTTGCCTACCCCGAGGTTGCAATGATTTCTTCTGGAAGTTTTATAATTTTTTTTTTTTTGAGACAGAGTCTGGTTCGTTTGCCCAGGCTGGAGTGCAGTGGCGCGATCTCGGCTCACTGCAATCTCTGCCTCCCGGGCTCCCAGGTTCAAGTGATTCTCCTGCCTCAGCCTCCTGAGTAGCTGAGATTACACCTACACATATTATATACACACATATAAGGAATCTATATTATAAGGAATCTATCCATATAACAGAATCTATAACAGATATATGAAGATGTGTCTGATACATGTGTTGTACATGTTCTGAGTATCAAAGACATGTGATGTATCAGACATATCTTCTGAATCTATAAGGAATCTATAACAGATCTATGAGGAACTTTTACAACTCAACAATTAAGAAGACAATTAACTCAATTTTTAAAATGGGCAAAGATTTCAAACCAGCACTTCAAAAAGATGATATACAAATGGTCAATAGGCACATAAAGAAATGCTCAACATTAATAATCAAGGAAATGCAAATTAAACTCTAATAAAATGTCACCGTGTATTCAATATATTGGCTAACAAAAAGATTGACCAGACCAAGTGCTGGCAAGATGTAGAGTAGCTAGAACTCTCATTCATTGCTGGTGGGAATGTCAAATGGTGTAACCACTTTACAAAACAGTTTGGCAGTTTCTTAAAAAGTTGCACATCCCTCTGTCATCTGACACACCTATTTGACACCCAACAGGAAGGAAAACACAAATCCGCACAAAGACTTGACTTGTATACGATTGTTAACAGCAAGTTTGTTTGTAACAGCCCAAATCTAAAAACAGTCTAAATGTCCATCAGCAGGTAAATGAATAAACAAATTGTGGTATATCCATGCAATAAATGACTATTAAATTATAAAAAAGAATGAACTATTGATACACATATAACACAGATGGATGTCAAAACCATGATGTTGAGTGAAAAAGGCAGAACCTTCCCTACCAAAAAAGAATCATGATTCCATTTATGTAAAAATTTTTTTTTTTTTTTTTTTTTTGAGACAAGGTCTCACTCTGTCACCCAGGCTGGAGTGCAGTGGTGTGATCTCAGGATCTGAGCTCACTGCAACCTCTGCCTTTTGGGTTCCAGCAATTCTCCCACCTCAGCCTCCCGAGTAGCAGGGGCTACAGGCTTGCACCACCACACCCGGCTAATTTTTGTATGTTTTGTAGGGACAGGTTTCACTATGTTGGCCAGGCTGGTCTTGAATTTCTGACATCAGGAGATCTGTTCACCTCAGCCTCCCAAAGTGCTGGGATTACATATGTGAGCCACCATGCCTGGCCCATTTATGTAAACTTCTTAAACATGTAAACTAATGTATAGTGACACAAAGCAAATCAATGGTCCCCTGTGGGTGGGAGTGAAGGGAAGAATGGATTACAGAGAGGCACAGAGAAACCAGTGGGGGTGACGGAAAAGTCCAGTGTCTTGATTGCGGTGATGGTTTCATGGTGCATGTGTCAAAAATGGTAAAAAAATTTAACACTTTAAGTATTTCCAGTTTATTGTACTTCAATTATATGGTGAATACAAATATGAAAATATTGTGATATGGCCATGTGAGTTTCTTCATTAATGCACTAAATAACAGGATCTAGCAGCAAGCTAATTTTAAAGTTAGTGCTGCCTAGAAAAGGTATTTTGAGATACAACAACCATAATGTGATATAAAAATCACCTGTAATCCCAGCACTTTGAGAGGCCGAGGCGGGTGGATCACCTGAGGTCAGGAGTTGGAGGACAGCCTGGCCAATGTGGCAAAACTCTAGCTCTACAAAAAATACAAAAAAAAAAAAAAAATAGCTGGACATGGTGGCACACACCTGTAATTCCAGCTACTCGGGAAGCTGAGGCAGGAGAATCGCTTGAACCTGGGAGGTAGAGGTTGCAGCGAGCCAAGATTGCGCCCCTGCACTCCAGCCTGGGTGACAGAGCAAGATTCCGTCTCAAAAACAAACAAACAAACAAACAAAACAAAACCTGTCATTTCTATTGGTGAGAGAGTCACAGGTCCTGGTAACACAATTGTGGTTTGTTGTTTATGTTCATATGTGAAGAGAATGCCAAATTTCAGTTAGAGGTTGGTGAGAATAGAGATACTTTTTTTCCATCCAAGTTCACGAACCCCCTTAATTCTATTCACAAACCCCAGGTTAAAAAGTCTAGTTGGAAGCAACCTTGAGTACCCAGAAATATGATAATCTCCCAGGAGGGAAGCATCTTTAAACTCCAGGAATATTTAAAGTTATTTATAGGAATGTCCTCCATGGGAAAGTGATTTTATCTGTAAGCATGTGTAACAGAGATAAGATTCAGAAATAAACATGGACATATTTGACAAATTCAGCATCATCACTGAATTACTATTCTTTTTGTTAAAAAGGAATAATTTATATTTAACAATTTACATACTTTAAGAGCCTTATGTTTAGGAGGCTTCGGTCTATAAGAACAACATGTTGGTCAAACTTGTTAATCGTAATTTAAAATGGAATCAAACCATTGCTTAAATGTGCCATTTTAAAGCAGAAATCTTACTAAGCTAACATGTACCCACTGGAACATTTAAGAGTTTAAGATTTGTAGAAATGTGATTTATTAGACTTATAAGTACTTACTTGGGAAAGCAGAAGTGTTGGACAGTTGAAGTACTTGAAAACAAAGTCCAGAATATCAAATTTAGAAATGCAGTTTAAAGTATTTGAAAGCATTTAAATGTTAAATGTTTGAAGGCTACGTTTATAAATGAGACCAAATATTAATCAATGACGTTCTCAAACACAGTGACTGATTTTTGTTATTCTATTCTTATAAATGGAATCACAGATTTGAAAAGGAAACATTAAAATTCAAGAGGAAAACAAGGTTTGGTAAATTGCAACTTTAGTCATTCAAAATTATTTCCTAGAATGTGTGTACAGCTTATTCTGTATACAAAACCACCCAAACTCACACATGACAGTGTGGATGATTGAAAATGAACAAACACGGGACATTCGGGGTCCTTCCCTCCTCCTGTGTTTATTTTTGACTTAAGCAGCCTGAGCGTCCCTCCTGTCCCCTGTCTGGGCCTCTGCCAGTGAGGAATTAGCCACAAACACAAGAAAATTCTTTTCAGTGACCTAAGAAGATGAAAGGTCATTCATTATACTGGGCTTAGGAACAAATTTAAAATACTGAACCACTTAATTTTTCAAAACAGAGGAATCTAAACAAATGCTCAACTGGTGAACAAATGTGCATTCATTGCCAAAACCCCAGTTGGTTTGGACAGCATTTTTTCCCCGGTTCCTTCAGCAGAACTGAATCCCTTGGCCTGCCCTCTCCAACAGCGTAGACAAATCCCAAAGGGGGAAAAATAGCTGTACCGTAAGCATTTTTTAGCAACCTACAACATTAATGGCAGTTAAATACCAACATGCAAACTTACCTTCTTACAAGATTATTGGGAAGATCAAACAAAATAATCTTTTTATGATCTCCCAAATTGGAATGATTTCTTCCTTTACCTAGAATTCTCTTTCAGCATTCAGTGACTGAATTAATGAAGGTATCAGTTTGACCACTGTGACAGAAAGACATCTTTAATAAGTGGCTTTTATATTGCTCTGGTTTGAGTGTTTGTCCCCTCCAAAACTCATGTTGAAACTCGATCCCATGTAAATATTCAGAAGACTAGGTTGGGGGCAGTGGCTCATGCCTATAATCCCAACACTTTGGGAGACCAAGGTGGGAGGATCACTTGAGCCCAGGAGTTTGAGACCAGCCTGGGGAACATAGCAAGACCCTGCCTCTCCAAAAAATAATAAAAACAATTAGCCAAGTATCGTGTTGCCTGTGTGTAGTACCAGCTACTTGGGAGACCGAGGAGGGACGATCACTTGAGCCTACTGTACTACAGCCTGGGCAACAGAGCCAGACCTTATCTCTTAAAAAAAAAAAAAAGAAAAAGAAAAATTCAGAGGACTATTTGAAATAACTTGTACATTAAAAAGATCTGGAAAAGCATATATTTTAGAAAAGAAAACATATATACATATAAAATATATATTTCAAAAGAAAACAATTATATATTCAATATGTAGTATATATAATACTATATAGTATAATATCCTGCTCTACTGTTATACATATACTATATAATACTATAATATATATAGTATTACATAGCATAATATGCTATATAACTATATAATTATACAGCATGTTATGCTATGTAATACTATACTATTATAGTATTATATAGTTATATAGTATATTATACTATATAATACTGTACTATTATACTATTAAATACTATACTATTACAGTATAGTATATATGTGTATACTATATAGTATTACATATTATATGATATATTATTGATATACCAGTTATTTTGCAGAATGCCCCTCATTTAGATTAATCTGACATTCTCTCATTTTTAGATTCAGGTTATGCGTCTTTGGCGAGAAGACCATTGAAGTGATGCTGCGTTCTTCATAGCACATGTTTTCAATTTGTTCCCTTAATGGTGACATTAACTCTGATTCTAGTTAAGGTGGTGTCTGCCAGGCTTCTCCACTATCAAGTTACTCTTTCTTCCTTTGTAATTAAAAAGTGTTTTGTGTGGCCAGTAGGAGCCTCTTCCTGCTGGCTTCCGTGTCCTCTTGCCATGTCCCCATCATTCTTTGATTACTTCCTTCTTTTTTGGCTGAACAGGTACTCAGGTTTGTCTTCTACTCATCTTGCCCTGGATCTGGAATTAGCTGTTTCTCCAAAAATCTCCAGTTCTTTTTAGCAGAAAATAATTTTTAGAAACTGGCCAGGTGTGGCGGCTCATGCCTGTAATCCCAGCACTTTGGGAGGCCAAGGTGAGAGGATCGCTTGAGCCCAGGAGTTTGAGACCAGCCTAGGCAACAAAACAAGACTCCATCTTTACAAAAAATAAGCTAATTAGCTGGGTGTGATGGTGCATACCTGTAGTCCCAGCTACATGGGAAGCTGAGGTAGGATTGCTTGAGTCCAGGAGATTGAGGCTGCAGTGAGCTGTGTTTGTGCCACTGCACTCCAGCCTGAATGACAGAGTGAAACCTTGTCTAAATAAATAAATAAATAAAATAATTTTTAGAAGACAAGGTCCAGGTGCTAAGTGTGTTCATTTTTCCTACTGTGCGGCCACTCTCAGGATCTCTCCGTGGACAGAGCTAGGTGCATGCAGATGTACAGACACATATATGCAGGCATACACTTACATCAATATTTATTTCTGAATCAATTTAAATATATTGAAAATCATGAGTTTATACCAGGACTGGCACATAATTTTCAGGGTCCAGTACAAAATGAAAATATGGGGGACCTTGTTCAAAAAGCAGGAATGAAGAGCCAATAAAGGTACTAAAATACAAGCTCTTCACTTACCTCCACGGTCTCCCTCTGGATTTGTCACAGTGGTTTTTATTGCTGTTTCGCATCGTGCATGAGGATACTCCTGGGGTGAAGGCAGAGACTCACAGGTGCCCAGGGACTCTACGCTGGGACTCAGAGCAAGTGTAGCCTACCAGCTGCAGTCTCTCCTGCCAGTCACCAGACTGATGTGCTGTGTCCCTGCTGGGGCAAGAAAATGAAGCAAAGCATCCACTCTTCCCCTCGACCCACTCCTCTAACCCATAGCAGGTGGGCATCCTCAGGGGTATTGCAACCTCTGAGCCAGGACACGGCTAAGTACCTGGATTGTGGGTGGGCGTGGTATAGATGTGCTCGCTGTAGGCACTGAAGGCAGAAGATGACAGTGGTTGCTGGGTGGGGAGGGGAACAAGGAGGCTGAGAGGGGTCTGAGGAACTGTGGGAATTGAGAAAGGTGGCTGAGACCCTGATCCTGGGGAGGCAGGGAGATGGTGGGACATGGGACCGCTGCTGAGCTCAGACTCCAAGTCTTTGTGCATGCTGCACTGTCCCATGAGACTTGACTTACGAAATACAAATTCAAAGATTAAGTTATTAAGAATTTCAAGACAGTGATGGTGCAGCATGAACACCTGAGTGTATGACATGACACGGGGCCATATGCAAATGCACTGATCACACGTCCATGAAGTCAGCCCTGGCTTAGACCGATAGTGCAATACCAATCCAACGCTTCAGGGTTCACTCTGTTTTCTCCCTTTACATAATTAGTACTGCTTTTTCCAAACGTGAGAAAGCTGGATCCTTGAGATATTTACTAATTTGCTCATTGCCCCTGTTTGCAATCCATCCTCCATTCAGAAGCTGACCTCACACCCTGCTGGGGTTCTGGCACCTTGTCCAGGAGCTGCCACCCACCAGCAGGCATACCCACCTCCTCACTCTCAGGCAATGGGCACCCACCCTGCGCAGGATACCATCCCTGCAAAGCCACCCTCCTCACTCCCTAGGACTCTGACTCCCCTGCCAGGCTCCACTCCTGCTTCTCCTGTGGGGAAGCCACCTCCTGCCTGGGGTGTCAGGTTTTCTGTGTTGGACACTGCCCCCCATGGGTGCTTATCATTTTTTGAATGGCTTTTGCATTGAATTGATCAGGAATGGAAGAGAAAAGAAGAAAGGCAAAGGGGAAAGGGAAAAAAATGGCAGAGGAAGAGCCCCAAATGATTTTTCAAAGGTGACAAGCTGGTTCTATAATTCATCCGAAGGAGGAAATATCTGACAAGGACATTTTAAAAATGAATAACAAATTACCTGACCAGATATCAAGATAGATAGGGGAGCTATGATAATTAAAATGGAAAAGTGTTGGCGTAAAGAGACCAAATAGGCCAGGCATGGTGGCTCACTCTTGTAATCTCAGCACTTTGGGAGGCTGAGGCGGGTGGGTCACCTGAGGTTAGGAGTCAGAGACCAGCCTGGCCAACATGGCGAAACCCCATCTCTACTAAAGATACAAAAATTAGCTGGGTGTGGTGGCACATGCCTGTAGTCCCAGTTACTCGGGAGGCTGGGGCAGGAGAATCACTTGAACCCAGAAGGCAGAGGTTGCAGTGAGCCAAGATTGTGCCAGTGCACTCCAGCCTGGGTGACAGAGCGAGACTCCATCTCGAGGAAAAAAAAAAAAAGAGAGATGAATAGAGCAATGTACTAGAATATGAGTCTAGGAGTATGCACGTATTTATGCACATCTGTTTTGCTTAGTTGGGGAAGGCATGGATTATTCAATGCTGTTGGAACAATTGGCTCTCCTGGGAAAGGTTAATTCTTACCCCACCTCAGTCATAAAAACAAACTCCATGTGGAATAAACAGTACACATTTTAAAAAAGAAAGAAGACCTAAAGACACTAGGAGAAAGCGTGGAACTATTTCTGTAACACGAGAGTGGGGAGGCCTCCTCTGAGCAAGATCAAGCAGCAACAACTGAAACGAATCAGACAGCCAAAAAATCCAAATCCATAATGAAAGAGATTGATAAGTGTGACTACAAAAGGTTTAAAACTTTTTTCATAGCAAATTATCTCAGAAACTAAATTAAAAGACAAGGGAGACCAGGTGCAGTGGCTCACGCTGTAATCCCAGCACTTTGGGAGGCCGAGGGAGGTGCATTGTTCTAGCCCAGGAGTTCGAGACCAGCCTGGGCAACATGGTGAAGCCCTGTCTCTACCCAAAATACAAAAATTAGCCAGGCGTGGTGGCTTATGCCTGCAGTCCCAGCTACTTGGGAGGCTGAGGTAAGAGGATGGCTTGAGCCCAGGAAATCAAGGGTGCAGTGAGCTGCGATTATGATTGTGCCACTGCACTCTAGCCTGCATGTCCAAGTGAATCCTACAAAAACAAAACAAAACAAAACAAAAAAAACCACACAAGGAACAACTTAGAAGAAGCAGTTGCTAAATTTAAACAGCTAAACTATTTCTTTATTATTATTATTATTATTATTATTTTTACATATGGGGTGTCAATCTGTTGTCCAGGCTAGAGTGCAATGGCAGGATCATAGCTCACTGCAGCCTTCCACTCCTGGCCTCGAACGATCCTCCCACTTCAGCCTCCCAAAGTGCTGAGACTACAGGCATAAGCCACCACACCTAACTCCACATAAACTGCTAATAACTCAGGACACATTTATCAAGAATTCTTACAAATCAATAGGGAAGACAGACAACCCAGTATAACAGTGAACAGAGTAAGAACATGCAGTTAATAAACCATGAAATAGAACTGACCAATAAGCATTAAGCAAGGTGTTCAGCCTGCTTAAATATTAGGAATGGCTAAAATAAAACACACCAAAATATCCTTTTGTACCTGCAGATTGATAAACAGGAAAAGGTGAATAATAACAGATTTGTGTGCAATTGTGAGGAAATGGATTTGCCCATCAAGTATTGGGAGATATGTAAATCGTTCAACCTTTTTTTAATGGGAAGATTCAACAATAATAATATATGTATGTATTTACATATATTATATTTTAAATTTATATATTTATAAATGTATTCATATGAAAAAGAGACAGAGTGATCGTTATATATACATATACATATATATACATATATATATATGTGTGTATATATATATGTATATATATGGAGAAAGAGAGAGAAAAAGAGAAAAAGTCAATACCAGTGGTTCCTTACAGGGAAGAAGCTTGATATCACAGAAAGGGCCAAAGGAAACTTGTTCCTGGCTTTATCACTAACTTGATCTGTGACTATTTCCATTTCTGATTCTCAGTTGTTCACACGTTAAACAAAAGGGTTGAGCTAAAAATTCTCTCTGTTAAAATTCTATAATTTGATAAATTTTGCAATAGTCCTTCCAAATAAATTTTGTATTAATTTTCTGTTGTGGTGTGGCAAATCACCACACACTAAGTAGCTTAAAACAACACACATTTAGTATCTCACAGTTGTCATGAGTCAGGAGCACTGGCATGGCTTAACTGGGTCCTTCTGCTTGGGGTCTTACCAGAAGGCAATCGGGATAGGGCCAGGCTGCATTCTCCAGGGAAGAACACATTTCAAAGCTCAGGTAGGTTGCTGGCACACTTTGTTTCCTCGTTTCACCTTTTCCTGTTTACCAGTCTGCAGGTACAAAAGGTGGTTGTATGTCTGAGGGCCCTGCTTCTTCATGGCCGTCAGCTGGAGGCTGCCCTCAGACCCTGGATGCCACCTGCCAATGCCACTTGGTCCTCCCTATAAGCAACTCACAACATGGCTGTTTGCTTTTTCAAGGCCAGAATCTCTCTCTTACTCTAATGCAAGATTATTTCATACACACACACACACACACACACACACACACACACACCACACACACACACACACACACGTAAGATTATATATTAAAAAGTCTGGCACCTGTAGTCCCAGCTACTCAAGAGGCTGAGGTGGGAGGACTGCTTGAGCCCAGGAGTTGGAGTCCAACCTGGGCAACATAGTGAGACCCTGTCCCTAAATATTAAAAAAATCACATATATAACATTTTACATTGTATATACATACACTCATAGGTGTGACATCCTATTGTCTTTGCCAAATTCTATTGGCCAGAAGCAAGTCAGAAGTGTCACCCACGCTTGAGAAGAAGGAATTATCCAGGACATTAATATTAACATCTTTTGTTTTTGTTTTTGTTGTTTTGAGACAGGGTCTTGCTTTGTCACCCAGTCTGGAGGGCAGTGGCGTGATTGTGGCTCACTGCAGTCTCTGCCTCCTGGGCTCAAGCGATCCTCCCACATCAGCCTCCTGTCTTCCACCTCACCCTCCTGAGTAGCTGGGACTACAGGGGCACACCAGCACATCCAGCTAATTTTTAAAATTTTTTGTAGAGATGGGATCTCACTATGTTGCCCAGGCTGATCTTGAATTCTTGGGCTCAAGAGATCCTCCTACCTCAGCCTCCCAAAGTGTCGGGATTACAGGCATGAGCTACACGCCTGGCCAACACCAGCATCTTTGAATGCTGCCTGCCACAAAATCTCTAAGTTGTACTTATTAAAAGCCAATCCTTTATTTTTGTATTGATAAAATTATTTTGGCAGGGGAGGAAAGGAGATTTACCAGGAAGGTAAAATTTCAGTTTTGAAATGAAGTTTTGCAGCAAAGAAATGAAAAACTTAACTATAAGAGTTTTTATGATTCACAGCCTGCTATATACACTAATTTGAAATCATCCCTTCAAGCCATAGTGCACTGAAAAATACATATTTAAAGAGCATGTGAAATTGAATCACCTCTAGACAATTATTTTGAAACATTAATTCCTGCCTGATTATTTTTAAAAATCAAGTCCATTGTTTAGATTCCATTTTTTCCATAATTTTCTGTGCAAATATATTAAAAATTGAGGCCCTGGGTGAGTCTGGAATGCTTGGAGGGCAAAGTTAAGTTTGAAGGATCAAATTTTTAAAAGGGTCCCTTTTGAAATGTGCACGTAGGCAGCGATTATTTGCATGAAATCATGTGAAGCAAAGAGGATAGGAATTAACCTGATATTGTTTCATAAATACGGCAAAGTCAACCAAGACGCAGGCCCAGCTAATGGAGATGGGTGAGAGAAAGAGGAAGAGAGGGTTATGAGTCTTCACATGGCTGCTAAGTGTTAGCATTGAGTGGAACTTCCACTGTGATTATTCAGGGCTCCTCATCAGGTGCTGGATCTGCAGTGTTGGGATGGAAATTTGTACCCCATCCACACAGATGGGCATCTTCCCATCCCAAGACAATGCTGGGCCCTGTTACAGAGAAAAACCGATCAGCAAAGGCTTTCGTAAGCTGGCCTAAAGAAATGTTTGTGGGGGAAAAAGGTCTTAGCTGTTCTTTTCCACCTCTCCCAACAAATAGATGATTTGCCACAACAGTTAAAACAAATGTTTCTGTTAGGGAACCACTTCCCAGGCAAATAAACATCTTCGGCAGAAGTAAATATAAAGGTGTGAGGACAGGGCAAAATGAAGAACTTTCCAGCAATTGTTGCCAATGAAGTTGAAATGTAGTTAATGCATTGAAGTCTTCTGAAGCAATGGGTCACAAACTGGTTTCGTGGGAGATTTGTTTATGCAGCATAGTGTTTCAAAAATGATTTTTAAGAAATAAATGCCATCATTAATAATATGGAAATTTTATATAATATCTGGATTCCTGACTTCTAAAAAATGTGGGAGAACTGTCAACACTACAACACTAGGCTTATATTTCTGCCTAAATGGAATCAGCTGGCTGCAGCTGAGTAGGGGCTATATCTCTAGTTCACCCCAGTCTCCACCACTCCTTATTGTCTCACACCTGGCCCCTGTCACTCATTTATCTTTACTCCCTAGCCCCCATAAGAATTTGAGTGTACAGCCCTAAATTTGATGCATATCTGAGTTTTCAACTTGGAGAGAATCAAGTCTAACCCTCTGATTTTACAAATAGGGAAACTGAGACAATCACACAATTAGGAAGGGGATGAACAGAAGCTGGCTCTCAGTCTCCTGACTTCTAAGCAATTCCTCTTTCTTCTGTGACCCTACCTCTATTTCTCCACATTTATTATCAGAAGTTGAAATTCTCTAAATTTCTTTTCAACTATGTGACCAACATGTACTATTAACTTTTATTCTTTTCCTGGAGGAATCTTGATTGTCTGGCATCTATTTTAGCAGAAAGTCTTTTCCGAGGCTTTTTAGCTACCCCAATTGGAATTCATAATTTAGGGGAGTATTGCCAAGGTAGAGTAAGTCGGATTATCCACTGACACCAAAGAAGACAACATAAGCCCTTTCACTTCTGAGTATTATTTTAATCTAAAATAAAGCAAAAGACATTAAGCTTTACTGAGATTTACTATTCCAGTGGGCCGTGGTGCCCCCTCTGATTGTGTGTCACAAGTCTTGGGGCTTTCAAGGTGTTTGAGACATCCAGAAGGAAGAGCTGGAGTTTTCCAATGGTGAGAGGTTGTAAACAAAACATTTTACCTCATTCATTTACTTCTGTGATGCGCTGAAGTTACATCAGTTAACTGATGCTACTTAGAAATGACTGGTCTACCCTCTCCATTCTAAAGACAGCTTTTCATTTCCCCTCCACATTTTTGGAATACCTTTCACATTGGCAGGCGGAAGTCAGTAGAGCAGCAGCCCTTGAAATGGGTTTTTGGATTTTGGAAGGAGCTGAGAACGTTTCCCTTTCCCAGTTCCCCAAAGCAAATCATCTCCTATTGGTAGATCTGAACTTTCAGATTCACACCCAACTGAGCATTCACTGGATCAGTCAGCACCGTGGACTCTACCTGGGAGAGTATAAATCCTGGGGCACCATCTTATTGCAAGCTAGGAGCTGCCTAGAGACCTTGCAAGAAGAGTTCAAATGAGAGTTTGCTGGACACTTGCATGAGATAAGAAAAGGCTCATCAAATGACCTTCAGAGGTGGCTGCACACGGAGAGGAGGCAATTGAAAGACAACAGCAGGTGACAAGCCTGTCCCAATCAATTTGTAGGACCCAGGGCAAGAGTACAAAAGGTCCACTTACCATATGACTAAATATCAAAATATTCAATAAAATATGTGCTAGCTTTCTCCTTTTGCAAACATGGCTTCACAGTGACCTGGTGAGCCAGGCTCAGATTCAGAACTCTTTAGAATCTGGCCCATAGCCCACTTCCCTTTTGTATTCCATCTCCAGCTCCATCCTACATCATGAAGGTCTTGTGCACAAGTGTTTGTACTTGCCAGCTCATGTCCAAGCCTTCTGACCACCCTTTGGCTTCTCCTTGGACTGCAGGGTGTGTACATGGGGGATGTAATCTGCTCTTAGGAGGACAGAGGATAGCCCTGGGGAAGAGTCTCCCACAGCTCTGGGAGAAAATTCCAGGATCTTAGGGTGCATGGTCTGGGAGATTGGATGTGGGCTGTGGATAGGCACAGTCCCTTAGCCTTGTTGACTCTGACCCCATGGAGAGGGCACAGCCAGGGAGGACCAGATGACAACTTTGTGGCCATGCTACATTGAATAGAACCAACCCTTCCCAAATGGAAATGGACAAGTGGCCAAAGAGATTCCTTGGGAGGAGGTGGCAAGAATAATGCACAGGTCAGGAAGAAGGCGCCATTCATGTTCCTCTAAGTGCAAATGCTTGGTCAGCCACATACTCACTCAGGGCCTTCAAAGTAAAGGTGACACTTCTAAAAATGAGAGGACATGATTGCTTTTTAAAAGAAACTTGGGCTATGGAGAGAACATTTCTTTCTTCCTTCCTTCCTTCTTTCTTTACTTTTCTTTTTTTTTTTTGAGACAGAGTTTTGCTCTTGTCACCCAGGTCAGAGATCAATGGTATGATCTCAGCTCACTGCAACTTCCGCCTCCCAGGTTCAAGTGATTCTCCTGCCTCAGCCTCCCAAGTAGCTGGGATTACAGGCGCCCACCACCATGCCCAGCTAATTTTTGTATTTTTTGTAGAGACGGTGTTTCACCACGTTGGCCAGGCTGATCTTGAACTCCTGACCTCAGGTGATCTGCCTGCCTCGGCCTCCCAAAGTGCTGAGACTGCAGGCATGAGCCACCGCACCCAGCCTGGAGAAAACATTTTAAAAACAGATGTTTGGAAATATTCTTGTTAAGGAATTATTGTTGACATATTTACATTATTCAAAATTATGTAAATTCTCTATATAAATGCTTTAATATGCACACACTTTAAAGTCCTGGAAACCAAATTTTCTAATATAACTTAAAATTATCTCAACCTAGCATTTCAGTGTCAGTGAATTTTAAACTCATGCTAAAAGTGCAAAAATTCAACACTTTTTAATTAGTTTTCAACAACAGCTTAACCTCAGGGAAGATAAAAATAACTAGACAAATTTCAACAAAAACCTTTGCAAAATTGCTATATGGAATTGGAAGATGAACAGCATTTTTAAAAATAGGTATAGCAAGTGATACCCTTCATCCAGTTGGAAGATATAGCTCTATGAGGTTAGTTTTTCATTTATGACAATCATAAAAATCAAGTATTGATATAAACCATACTGCACAATTTCAAACCATATAAAATAAACCAAAAATTTAAAAATAATAAAGGATATTCGATATCCAAACAACAATAATCCTTAAGTGAGAGTAAGGAAATTTTTTACATCACTGAGTAAATTTTTTCAAAGTATCACTTATTTCTTCTTTATCACTTCCTCTTTACAGCTGTCCTTTTATATGCTTTACCACCTACATAATAGGTTAATATCATGGTAAATGTATATAATTAGCAAGTAAATGCATAAACATTAGAGGAATTGTTTCAAAATATTTTCCTAATATGTGTGCCTGATCAGAAGTTTGCAGACCATTGATTTAGGGGAGAATGAGACCCTGGATAAAACCAAAAATGGCGCTTTTGACGTCGACACTTTGGCTAGTCAATCCAAGAATAGATGCCTTATTCGTTTTCCTCTAAGACCTTTCCAAGTAAATTCTGCTATCTGTTTCCGGGGGTGGAGGGGCGGGGTCGTGAGTCTGTTCCATTCAGCAGTCAGTTCAAATAAATTCTGTCATCTGCTTCATCTGCTTCCGGGGGTGGAGGGGCGGAGTCATGAGTCCCTTCCATTCAGCACTCAGGAGCACTCTTGGTTTCTGTTTTGTAATCAGAGTAGTACAGTTTGCTTTTGTTTAAACTCTTGTTTTCAGGACTGATTTGCAGAATCCTCTTTATTCAGTCCCAAATAGAGAATTCACTGATGAGGGCAAGAGACAGAGAAAGCCACTGGGCAGCGGTGAGCGTGTGGGTGCTCCATGAGTAAGTGCTTGATAACAGATGTAAAGAAGCTTGCAGCAATGCTTGCTATGAAGCTCGCAGCAATGCTTGCTATTGTTTACAGAATGCTTATCCAGCACTGCGCTGAGGACTTGATGGATGCTTAATCTGCATACCATCCTTACACAGTAAGAACTGGTATTCAGTCCAATTTTTAATTTTGTATTTTGAAATAATTTCAGACTTTCAGAAAAGTTGCAGGAATAGTACAGAGCTTTCTTATTTACCCTTCACTCAGCTTCCCCAGTCTTAACAACTTATATAACCATGGCACAAACATTAATCCAAGAAAATTAACGTTGGTGCAATACTACTAACTAAACTACAGACATTATTCATATTTCATCAGCTTTTCCACTCATGTCCTTTTTCTGTACCATAATCCAATCCAGGATTTCACTTTGCGTTGAGATGTTTTGTCCCTTAGTGTCCCCTAGTCTGTGACAACTTATCTGCCTTCTTTGTTTTTCATGACCTTGACTCTTGGGATAAGTAGTGGTCAGTTATCTTGTAGAATGTCTTGCAGTTTGGGCTAGTCTGATGTTTTCTCATGATTAGATTTGCGTTGAGCATTTTTTGGCAAGAAGTGATATTGTATCCTCAGGTAATCACATGAAGGGCTACATGATGCCAATATTTCTTATTACTGGTAGTGTTAACCTTGATCACTTGGTTAAGGTGGCATCTACTGGGTGTCTCTTGCGTAAAGTTACTTGGTTGTCTTTTGTAATGAATAAATATCTTGGAGGTGATACTTTGAGACTACATGAATTTCCTGTTAATCCACAAACTTTCACCCACTAATCTCAGCATTCACGGGTGGATCTTGCCTGCAGCAATTATTACTGTGGTGTTTGCCTACCAGGATTCACCCCTATTTCATAGATGAGGTAAATGAGGCTCATAGAGCTGAAGTGACTTGTCCAAGGTCCAATTCCACATCCCTCCTCTACTCAGAATCTGGCCATGGCTCTCATCTCCCTCAAGGGAAAGGCCTTGCCAAATGGAAATGGACAAGTGGACAAAGAGATTCCTTGGGAGGAAGAATGCACAGGTCAGGAAGAAGGCGCCATTAATGTTCCTCTAATTGCAAGGGCTTGGTCAGCCACATACTTACTCAGGGCCTTCAAAGTAAAGGTGATACTTTTAAAAATGAGAGAACATGATTGCTTTTTAAAAGAAACTTGGGCTATGAAGAGAACAGGGAGTTTGTGTGTTTTATTTATTGCTGTATCCTCAGTGTGTAGGATAGTGCTGAGCACATAGTAGACACTCAATTAACTGTTGTTGAATGAATGAATAAACTTTGGAACATGTTCAACCACATGAAAGACTTAGGAAGCCTCACCTCCTTTGTAAGGAATAGAAAAACACAACTCGAACTGACTTTTCTCTCGAGGGAGGTTAGAGGGTCTCCTAACTAACTGTAAGGCCAGAGGAGAGTCAGGCCATGGAGGATGTTTTCAGGACTCTGGCTTGCTTTCTCTGTGGTCCTGTCTGCTTTCTGGGTCTTCTGTCTGATGGCCCGTTCTTGGGCTTCTTCCTCAAGAATCTCTGGAATCATCTCTTTCCCCTTGGGCTCTACTTTGCCTACTGAGCTTTACTCTTAGGGGGGACCTCGCCATGTGGTGGCCCCTGGGCCACTGTAGGCTCATGTTACCCTCATGGCTAGTGCTTCCAACAAAAAAGAGGGCTTCTGTTTCCCAAAATTTCCAACAAAATGCTGGGTTTCGGTCTCACTGGCTCAGGTTGCACTGAATGCCTATCCCTGAACCAATTGCTATGGACAGAGGGATCAAATTCTCTGATCAATCAGGTCTGGGTTATGTGCTCATTCTTGGTAGGGGGACAGTATTATCCCCCAACCACATGGATTGAAACCTGGTGAAAGGAGTTTCAGAAGGAAAAGTGGGAAATGGAAAGGGGGCATATAGGCTGCCTGGGCAAAATTATTACCATTCTACACCTAAAATTTTATATACCCTCCCTAATCACAACCACTCAGATTCTGCTTCTTTAGGTCTGAGGACGGGTCCAGGCATCTGTATTTTTAGGAAGCATGCCAAGGGGATTTTGATTTATAGCCAAGATTGGGAATGACTGGCTTTATGGAATTTGCTCTAACCTCCCTGGAGAAAAAAGGGTCCATTTCACAAACATGGTTCTAAAGTTTCTCTGTTGAAAGGCATGAACAGGAGTTTACATCCATTATGTTGAAGATTGTGGTAGAAGTCATCTGTTGCTTTGTGTGCTTGGAATTCTTCCTTCCTTATCCATAGGGGCTGTCAATTTCATGGCCCTGCCTCTCCTACCTCAGGGGTGACCACGTGACTCCAGATGACTAATCAGAGCAAGTCATCTCCCTGGTTATAGTGATTGGTTGAAGAATAGACACATGACTAAAGCCAGGCCAATAAGAGTCCTTTCTGGGGCTTTGGGTAGAGCTGCCCAGGAGGTGTTGCTCTATTTACTTTGAGAACACAAGTGTAAGAACCATGTGAGCTCAGAACTGTTGACAACAGTGTTTATCTCAAAGTGGGAAGATGCCTGCCTGACAATAAAACCAACCTAAAGGAAAGTAGAGCTTAGAGATGGTGAGAGATGGTACTAGGATGTTGTGTTGGTGCCCTGGATTCAGCTGTGACCCAGGCTGGTACAATCATTGGACTTTTCAGTTGCATGGGTCAACACATTTTCTTAGTTTTGTTTAAGTCATTGAGTTGTATTTCCATAATAAGAAACCAGAGGAGTCCTAATTAACTTGAATGTGAACTACAACCACCTCAACTTTAAGACCTGTTGATGAGGTAAAGACTCGCATAAGAGTTGCCTTTTGAAGTAGGGAGGATAAACAATCCTATGCATTAATGCAAATATCACATGCATATCGACATGCATATTGAGTACCTTCCACGTATAAGACATGGAGTGAGGTACTACAGAGCAATTTAGGAGCATCCAACAGATAAATAAGATATGGTCCTGCTCTTGAAGCCCATAAAGTCCTGTGCAGGAGCTCTCAAACTTGTGGTGCATAAAAGTCACCTGGGGAACTTACTACAGCACAGAGTCCTGAGTCTCAGTTCCAGACATTGAGTCAATAAGTCTGAGGTAGAGCCCAAGAATCTGGGCTTTGATAAGCCTTCCCTAGCCCTCCCCTTGCAAGTAATTCAAAAGACACTTTGAAGTCGATCTTGTGGGAGAAATGGGCAGAATAAGAGGAGAGCAAAAATGAGGCAAAAACAAACTTTGAAGAAATAATAGCTGAACATGTCTCAAATTTTATGAAAGACACAAATTCACAGACGCAGGATGCTCCATGAACACCAAGAAGAGTAAAGATGGCAAAGGTCATGCTGAAGTTGGACTCAAGAAAACATCTTGAAAACAACAAGAAAAAAACAACATATTATGTATAAGGGAACAATAATTTGATTAACGGCTGATACCTCATGAGAAACTACAGAGGACAGAAGAAAGCGGAACATCTTTAAAATGTTGAAAGAAAAAAATCCTGTCAACCCAGAATTCTATATCCAATGAAAATATTCTTCAAGGGAGAAGGATATTATCAGATAAAAGAAAGTGAAGAGAATTTGTTTTAGCAGACCTGTGCTATAAGAAATACTAAAGGAAGCTAAAGAGAAATGACACTAAATGAAAACTTAATGCCTCAGAAAAGAATGAAAATCACTGCAGATGTTAAATAGCTGGATAAATAAGAAAGACTATGTTTTTGCTTTTTCCCTTTTTTTTTTTTTAAAAAAATACATATGACTGTTTAAAAAAATTGTAACTCTTCGGTTTATAATGTATGTTGACTGAAAACGTATAACAATTATAACATAAAATATGGGAGAGTGTGGACCTATACAGTATTTCTACATTTTACATGATATTTCAACATTTTATGTGAAGTAGTACAAGACTAATTGTAAGTGGACTATGGAAAGCTAGGGATATATATATTGTAATTCCTAAAGCAACCACTAAAAAAATGCAAAGAAGTATAGCTAAAAGTTAATAGCAAAATTAAAATGCAATTATAAAACCAATAGTTTTGGGCTGGATTATCCCACCCCCTCCTTCAAAATTCATTTGTTGAAGTCCTAAACTCCAGTACCTCACGATATGACTTGTGTCCTTATAAGAAAATGAAATTTGGACACAGATGGGTACAGAAGAAAGAGCATGTAAAGACACAGGGAGAAGACGGCCATCCAAAGAGAGATGCCTCAGAAAAAAACAGCCTTGCTGACACCTTGATCTTGTACTTCTAGCCTCCAGAATTATGAGAAAATAAACTTTCACTGTTTAAGCCACCTCAGTCCATGATCGTTTGTTATGGCAGTCCTAGCAAACTAATACATTAATTGATACTTTTATAAAGTCGAGGGAAGGTAATAGAATAACAAAAATTGAGAGGAGATTAATTGAAAACAAACAATAATATGGCAGGCTGAAACCAAATCATATGACTAATTACATTAAATGGTAATGAAGTAAATGCTCTAATTAAAAGGCAGAGATTTTCAGATAAGAAACCAAGAACCAAGATGCCCTATCTATAAGAGATGCACTTTACAAATAAAGACACAAATAGGTTGAGCATAAAAGGATGGAAAAAACATATACATGATGCAAACAATAAGCATAAGAAGGCAGGACTGACTATACTAACATGAGATAAAATAGATTTCAAGTTAAAAAAAGAGGCACATTTCAAAATGATAGAAGGATGACTTCAATAGAAAGATACGACAATCATAAATGTGTAAGTGCCTAATAACAGAGCTTCAAAATAAATGGAGTGAAATTTGACAAAATGAGTTCATGTCCTTTGCAGGGTCATGGGTGGAGCTGGAAGCCATCATTCTCAGCAAACTAACATAGGAACAGAAAACCAAACACCTCATGTTCTCGCTCATAAGTGGGAATTGAACAATGGGAACACATGGACACAGGGAGGGTAACATCACACACCAGGGCCTGTCAGGGGGTGAGGGGTAAAGGGAGGAGAGCATCAGGACAAATACCTAATGCATGCGGGGCTTAAAACCTAGATGATGGGTTGATAGGTGCAGCAAACCACCATGGCACATATATACCTATGTAACAAACCTGCACATTCTGTACATGTATCCCAGAACTTAAAGTAAAATAATAAAAAAAGATAAGCTTTGGCTAAAATGATCACTTTATGGTCATATCCTAAAAACTTTCCCCACATATTAGGAACAAAGTAATGCTTTTTGCTTTCACCACTTCTATTCAGCATATAACAGTAGGCTCACACTTGTAGTAAATGGATTTTTGACACAGGTACCAAGGAAATACAATGGGAAAGGATAGCAACTTCAAAAATGGTGCTGGAAGATCTGGGTATGTATATGAGAAAACAAAAGCAAAACCAAACAAAACCACACACATTATGCATAAAAATAACTCAAGGTGAATCATAGATCTAAACGTAAGAGCTGAAATGATAAAACTTCTGGGAGAAATCATAGGTAAAAATCTTTGTGATCTGGAGTTAAGCAAAGAGGACTTAGCTCATTAAAAAGTGCAAATCAGAAAGGAACAAATTAATGAAATGGACTTCATAAAAATTAAAAACTTTTGCTCTTTGAATCACAAAGAAAATGAAAAGGTAACCCGTATCCTGGAAGACAATATTTTCAAAACGTATATGACAAAATGTATTTAGAATATATGAAGAATTGTTACAGAGGCTGGGTGCAGTGGCTCACACCTGTAATCCCAGCACTTTGGGAGGCGGAGGTGGGAGGATTGCTTGAGCCCAGGAAGTTTGAGACCAACCTCGGCAACATGGTGAAACCCTATCTCTACCGAAAATACAAAAATTAGCTGGGTTTAGTGGCAGTCGCCTGAAGTCCCAGCTACTCAGGAGGCTGAGGTGAGAAGATTGCTTGAGCCCGAGGAAGTTGAGGCTGCAGTGAGCCAAGTTCATGCCACTGCACTCAGCCTGGATGACAAAGCAAGATCCTGTCTCAAAAAAAAAAAAAAAAAAAATCTTACAAATCAATAACGTGAGGACAAACCAACTAAAAATGGGAAACACAGACATACCAATTCTTTTTAAGGATGTAAAATAATGCTGTCTGTAGTCACCAGGGAAATGCAAATTAACACCACAATGAGATAACACACTAGGATGGCTAAAATGAAAAAGACTGACAATACCAAGTATTGGCAAGAATATCGAGCTACCAGAGCTCACACATAATTCTGAGGCAGCTGCAAAGTGGTCCAGCCACTATAGACGGAAAAATTTGACAGTTTCTTGTAAAGTCAAACAGACACTTATCATACAACCCCATCATTCTACTCCTAGGAATTTATCCAAGAGAAAGAAAAACTATATCCGCACAAAGACTCCTCCTCAAATGTTCATTGCAGCCTTGTTCATAAGAGCTCCAAACCGGAAGCAACTGAAATGGTATTCATTTTTATTGCTGAGTAGTATTCTATGGTATGGATATCACAAAATGTCCATCAACCTTTGGACATTTTGTGATAAATGTACCATAGAATACTACTCGCAATAAAAATGAATAGCAGAGATATATCGCCTGCATGGATATGTCTCAAGAACAATATGCTAAGTGAAAGAAGACAAACATAAAAGACAAATACTATGATCCAATGAATATGAAATTCTAGGAAAAATAAAATCATAGTGACAAAGAGATCAGAGGTGCCTGGGTCTGGAGGTTACAGGAAGGACTGAATGCAAAGGCGGGATATGACAGAACTTTTTAGGGGGATAAAAAGGTTTTTTTGTTGTTGTTGTTATTTTTTTTTTTTTGAGAAGGAGTCTCGCTTTGTTGTCCAGGCTGGAGTGCAGTGGCACTATCTTGGCTCACTGCAAGCTGTGCCTCCTAGATTCACGCCATCCTTCTGCTTCAGCCTCCCGAGTAGCTGGGACTACAGGCACCCGCCACCATGCCCGGCTAATTTTTTGTGTTTTTAGTAGAGACGGGGTTTCACTATGTTAGCCAGGATGGTCTTGATCTCCTGACCTCATGATCCGCCTGCCTCGGCCTCCCAAAGTGCTGGGATTACAGGCATGAGCCACTGCGCCTGACCAAAAAGGTTTTTTAATTATGGTAGTGATTACATGACTACAAATCATCGCCAAAACTCATGAAAATATACATGTAAAATGGGTGAATTTTGTTGCATGTAAATATACATCAACAATAAAAAAGAAAAACTTTAAAAACCTCCCTTTTCTATGTAAGCTAATTAAACACTAATTATTTTATATTTAAAAATTAGGTAATTTAGCCACCTGAAGCTAAGAATTGGATAGGAGCGCTTAGAGAAACTCTCCTAAGGCATTCTGGACCTTAGTGAGTGTGTAAGGCTGTAGCTCTCCAAGTCTTAAGGGTGGGTGGCATGGCAGAGAGACAGCTCTAGAGGCTCAGAAACTCTGGAAAGGTCCTGGAACGTGAAGAGAACTCCCCAGCAACTGAAAACTTTATGAGGGCTGTAAAGAAGACAAATCTTGGCCAGGCGCAGTGACTCAAGCCTGTTATCCCAGCACTTTGGGAGGCCGAGATGGGTGGATCATTTGAGGTCAGGAGTTCGAGACCAGCCTGGCCAACGTGGTGAAACCATGTCTCTACTAAAAATACAAAAATTAGCCAGACATGGTTGTGTGTGTCTGTAATCCCAGCTATTAGGGAGGCTGAGGCAAGAGAATCGTTTGAACCCAGGAAGTGGAGATTGCAGTGAGCCGAGATGACACCACTGCCTTCCAGCCTGGGTGACAGAGTGAGACTCCGTCTAACAAAAAAAAAAATAAATAAATAAATAAAAATTAAAAAAAAAGAAAAAACAAACAAACAAACAAAATCCCGAAATCTCCCATAGTGTAGAATATTGTTGAAATGACAATAAGATCTCCAGAATCTCAACAGGGCTCAGAGCCCAAAGTCCTGACCTATCCTCAACATATTTAAAACCAATGGTGAACTGAATGAAGCTAAGACTGCAATAAAGCCCAGACACGGTTCAACTAACATCAGAGAGACTAAGACCCCTTTCCACTCCAGCAGTGGATAGAAGAAAAAACATGCCCTTTTCTAGAGGCAAAAATTGGTTATTTTTTTCTCTACTGTTCTTTTATACAAAATGTCGATATATAGAAGAAAATTATATGACATATGAAAAAGCAAGGGAAAAAAGTTAAAACATAACACATTAAATGAAAACAGATCCAGCAATGTCTCAGAAGTGAGCATTATCACACAACAATGCTGAAGGTTACAGCAGAAAAGGTGGACAGTATGCATGAAGAGACGGTTAAGACATATAAACTCTAAAAAGAACCAAAAAGAGTTGCTTCTGCTCAGCAGGTCTCCTGTGGAGTAGGGTTGTAGGCAGCCATCTTGCTCAGCTGGATGGCATGATCCTGAAGACTCACTTCCATAAGGATTGGCAGCAGTGTGTGGCTACTTGGTTCAACCAGCTGGCCTGGAAGATCTGCAGACTCAAATCCAGGCAAGCAAAAGCATGCCCTGCATCTGGACCCATCCAGCCCGTAGTAAGATGCCCCACAGTAAGGTATCACACCAAAGTATGAGCTGGCAGGTCCTTCAGCTTGGAAGAGTTAAAGGTGGCTGGCATCCATAAGAAGGTAGACTGGACCATTGGCATCTCTATGGATCCAAGAAGGTGGAACAAGTCCACTGGGTCCCCGGTATCCAATGTGCAATGGC
This sequence comes from Homo sapiens, assembly GCF_000001405.40. NCBI lineage: Eukaryota > Metazoa > Chordata > Mammalia > Primates > Hominidae > Homo > Homo sapiens. The sequence goes on along the minus strand of NC_000020.11, from coordinate 46,863,785 downwards.
TGAAGGAGTACTGCTGTAAGCTTATCCTCTTTGCCAGGAAGTCCTTGGGCCCCAAAAAGGGAGACAGTTCTGTGAAGAGTTCAAATTGGCCACCCAACTGACAAGACCACTAATGCCCATACGGAATTTCTACAAGAAGGAGAAAACCAGAGCCATCATTGAGGAAGAGAAGAACGTCATAGTATTTGCCAGTCTTCACATGGCCCACACCAATGCCCAAATGAAAATGCTAGAAATTTAAAAAATACAATATCAGCAATGAAGAGTTTGTCAGATATACTTAACTGAAAGCTGAGCAGAGCCAAGGTAAACATAAGTGAACCTGAAGATACGTAAAGAAAAAATATCTAAACTGAAACACAAAGAGAGAAAAACTCAGAGACCCTAGAGACCCCAGAAGTTGAGGAGAGAGTGAATGTGTGAGAAGAAATATTTAAAGAGAAAATAGCTAATTTTTCTCCCCAAATTAATGAAAGATATTAACCCAAAGGTTTAAGAAGCTTAGTGAGCCCCCAGCAAAATAAACACAAAGAAAACTACATGTAGGTCCATCAGAGTTAAATTGCTAAAAACCAAAGATAAAGAGCAAATCTTCAAAGCAACTAGAGAAAAAAGGACACATTGCATACAGGAGAAAAATAACACAAGTAATACCTAATACTGTACCACTGGAGAACAAAAGTCAGTGAAATGTTAAAAGTGGATCATCTTAAAAGTGCTTAAATTTAAAAAGAAAGTCTACCAACCTAGAATTCTACCTCCAGTAAAAACAGGTTTCAAAAAGGAAAGTCAAATAAAGACATTTTCAGATAAAAAAAAGCTGAGATACTGTATCTCCAAAAGATCTGCACTAGCCAAAAGAAACACTAAAAGAAAATCTTTTCAGACCGAGGGAAAATGATACATGATGGAGCACCAGAAAGTTTCAATATTCAGATAAATGTAAAATATCTTTTTAAATGTCCTTATTTTATATAATTTTTTAAAAGTTCATTGAATATTTAAAAAATAGCAAGATATTGTGGAGTTGATATCATATATACAAGTACACACGTATAAAAGGAATTATGGTGTAAATTTATTATACTGAAGGTAAAATAGTTTAATATTATTAGAAAATAGATTTAGATACCTTAAAATGTATATTGTGGATCAGTCACTGAAAATAACACAAAGAAATATAATTAAAGTCAATAGTAGAAATAAAAGAGAAAGCCAAAAAATATGTGCTTTACCCAAAAGAATGTAGAGGAGGAGGAACAAAGAACAAATGAGATGAACAGAAAACAAATACCAAGGTAGTAGATTTAAAGCCCATCATATCAATAACCACATTAAAAGTAAATGAACTAACCACTCCAGTTAAAAGGTAGAGATTGTTATACTGGATTCAGAAAACAAGATTCAATATAATTTGTTCACAAGACACACTTTAATTATAAAGACAGACAGACAAGTAGGAAAGGACATATACTAACATAAGATGATGAAAGCTGATATGGCAATATTAGTATCACACAAAATATACTTCAAGGCAAAGAGCACAATGACAGTGCTCTAGTCTTGAGTGAATATTTCACAATAAAAGGGTAAATTAATCAAGAAGATGTAACAATCACTTCTTAGCCCATTGGCTGAGATCAAGTGAAGAAGATATAACAATCCCAAATGAGTAGGCTCCTGACAATAGAGCTGTGAAATACATGGAACAAAAATTGACAGAATGAAAGGGAGAAATAGACAAATCCACAATCATGCCAGATATTTTAACACAGTCATTCAGTAATCGATAGAAAAACTGGACAAAAAAGTCGATAAGGAAGTAGATGATGTCAAAAACATCAACCAATTTGACCTAACTGACATTTATAGAACAAACACTCAACAACTGCAAACTACATATCTTTTCAAGTGCACATAGAACATTCACAAAAATGAACTCTATGCTGGGCCATAAAACAAAAGTCTCAAAAAATATCAAAAGATTAGTTTACATAGAATATATTCTCTTACCACCAAGGTATTAAATTACAAATCAATTACAAAAAGATATCCATACAACACCAAAATATTCCACAATTAAGAAACATACTTTTAAATTAGTCATGAGACAAATAATAAATAACAAGAGATATTTGAAAATATTCTTAAATGAGTGATAATGAACACCATACTTCTGAGATTTGCTAAAAAATGTTTACAGAGAAATTTATAGCTTGAAATGAATTAGAAATTATATTATAAAAGGGATAAAATCAGTCATTTAAACACCTAACTTAAGAAACTAATAAAACAGGAGCCAATAAAACCAAAGAATATACAAGAAACTTTAAAAATAAGAGCAGAAATAAATGAAGTAGTAAGCAAATAATTGAGAAAATGGACATAATCAAAAGTTTATAAAGAGACAAACCTGCAAGACCAATCAAGAAATCTTGAAAGAAAACACAAATTGTCAATATTAGAAATGAAAGCAAGGACATCAGAATTATCCGGCAGATATTAATGTGATATTTGATCAACTTTATGTTAATACATTTGACAACTTATATGAAATGGAAAAATTTATTGTAAAATGCAAGTTAACAAAAATGACACAAGAAAACTAGAAAACCTTAATAGCTCCAAGCTACAAGAAAATTGGATTCATAGTCAAAAGCACTTTAAAGAAAAGTGCCCAGATGGTTTCGCAGGTGAATTTCATCAAACAATTAAGGAAGAAATAATACAAATGATTCACAAAGTCTTTCAGAAAACAGAGGAGGAGAAAATACTTCCCAACTCATTTTATGGGGCTAGTATTACCTGATCCCAAAGGAGAAAATGATATCACAAGAAAAGAAAATTACAGAACAGTATTCCTCATAAAGATGCAAATCCTTAATAAAATTTTTCAAATTAAATCAAGTAATATACAAAAAAGATAACATATCATGCCCTAATGGGGATTGACTTGGGAATGTAAAAGTAAATTTCACATTAGAAAAATCAATGCAATTTGCCACATTAACAGAATCAAGGAGAAAATTCATATGATCACCTCAATATATGTAAAAGTCATCTGGCTATTCAACGCTCATCCATGATAAAAACTCTCAGCAAACTAGGAATAGAAGGAAACTCCTGAGTCTAATAAAGGGCATCTATCTATGGAAAACCTACAACATTCACCACACTTTGTGGCGAAAGACTGAATGCTTTCCTCTGTGACTGGGAACAAGGCAAAGATATCCCTTCTTACTACTTCTAATCAGCATCATATGAGATGCCCTAAGCAATGGAATAAGACAATAAAAAGAAGAACAAAAAGGCATAGAGATTGGAAAGGAAGAAGGGAAACTGTTGTTCTTATAAGTAACAATTGTTTACATGGAAAATTTTATGGAATCTATAAAGGAGCTACTAAGACTAAAATGAAAACTTAGCAAGTTTAAAGGATAAAAGTCAATATAGAAAAATATACTAGCAACCAACAATTGAAAAATAAAAATTTAAAATACTATTTATAATAGTATAAAAAAATAAAGTATCTAAAAATAAGCCTAACAGATTTGTGAGAGGTCTACCCTTAAAACTATAAAGAAGTTAAAGAAGATCTAATTAAATAGAGAGAAATATACAATATTCATGGATTGGAACACTCTATATTGTTAAGTTGTTTATTCTTCCTAAATTGATCTATAGAGTAAACACAATTCTTATCAAAATTGCAGCAGTCCTTTTTGGAGAAACTGAGAGACAAAATTGCAACAGTCCTTTTTGGAGAAACTGAGAGACTGATTCTACAACTTACATGGGAATACAAAGGCTCTAGAATAACTAAGACAATCTGGAGGAAGAATGCTGGAGAACTTACACTGGTTTTAAGATTTAATGTAAAGAAAACTATGGTAACCAAGACAGTATAGTATTGGCATAAGGATAGCTAAATAGATTAATGAAACAAAATAGAAGATCCAGAAATAGAGTCACACTTTTATGGTCAATCAATTTTTTACCAAATTGCCAAGTCAGTTCAATGGAGGAAAATAACATCTTTTTGACAAGTGGTGCCAGAACAATTGAACATCTGTATGGAAGAAACAAATGGAACCTTGAGCTCTATCTCACTCCACACACAAAACTGAATTCCAGCTACATCATAGACCTTAATGCAAAACCCGTAACCATAATGCTTCTGGAAGAAAACCTTGGGGAGGAGGGAAAATGATTTCTTGAGAGCTTGTTTGGAGGCTTTAGTAGGGGAGCACAACTACTCATATACCCTTGACCGAAGAATGGTCCTCCTCTATGAGGGATGGCCATGCTCTTCGACTGAGTGTGCAGCTTCAGGAGGGACACACATGGAGTGGTGAGGGAAGAAGGGGACACTTGCCTAGCCAGCCAGATCAGCTGAATCAACCCTGCCAATCAATGAGGTGACAGATTTCACAGCCAGATCACTCTCACATCTGGGAAAATAATTTCTTGTGCAGGACATGAAAAGCGCTAATTGTATTTTAAAAATAGATACGTTGAGGCTGGGCGTGGTCGCTCACGCCTGTAATCCTAGCACTTTGGGAGGCTGAGGCGGGTGGATCATGAGGTCAGGAGATCGAGACCATCCTAGCTAACACGGTGAAACCCCGTCTCTACTAAAAATACAAAAAATTAGCCAGGCGTGGTGGCAGTCACCTGTAGTCCCAGCTACTCAGGAAGCTGAGGCAGGAGAATGGCGTGAACCCGGAAGGTGGAGCTTGCAGTGAGTCGAGATCACACCATGACACTCCAGCCTGGGCGACAGAGTGAGACTTTTCTCAAAAAAAAAAAAAAAAAAATACATTGAAATACATCAAAATTTAAAATTTGTGTTTATTTGTAATACCCCCAAACTAGAAACAACTTCAAATGGCCATCAACAGATTAATGGATAAAAAATGGTGGTACACCCATTAAGTGGAATGCTATTCAGCACAAAGGAATGAACTATTGACACACACATGGTTGAAATTAGGTGGAGTAAAAGATGCCAGATACAAAATAGTAATCTGTATGATTACATTTATGTGAAAATCTAGAATAGGCAAAACTCATCTTTGATGATAGAAATAGTGGTTGGCTGGGGTTGGGGGACATTGACTGAAAGAAGCATGGGAGAACTTTCCAGATGGGGCCTTAGAAATGTTCTATATCTTATTTAGGTGCTGGTTAGTTATGTGTATATAAATGTAAAAGTTCGTTGAACAGAGCATTTAAGAACTGTGCATTTGATTACATAAATATATATCAATATAAATCATGCCTTAAAGTTTAAAACCTATAAAACAGGTAGCATTATATATCATTTTCAAGGTGAAGAAACTGAGGCTTAGAGAGGTTAGGTAATTTGCCCAAGATCCCACAGTTAGGAAGTGGTAAGGGTGGGACACAAATCCTAACTTTCCTGAAACCCAAACCACTGCCCATGTACTTATGTTTCCTGCCGCTTCTCTCTTCCAGTATAAATAAAAGCATAAATAAGTGGCCAAATCCCTTAAATCCAAGGGTATGTTTATTTTATTTTACTATTTTATTTTTTTTTTAGAGATGAGGTCTCACTCTGTCACCCAGACTGCAGTAAAGTGACACGACCTTAACTCACTGCATCCTCAAACTCCTGGGTTCAAGCGATCCTCCTGCCTCAGCCTCCCAAATAGCTGGGACTACACCAGCATGCCCAGTCAAATTTTTAATTTTTTTTTGGAGAGAGGATCTCTCTGTGTTGCCCAAGCTGGTCTCAGACTCCTGGGTTGAAGTGATCCTCCTGCCTAGGTAGGCCCCAAAGTGCTGAGATTTCGAGCATAAACCACCACATCTAGCCTCCAAGGGTATTTAATATATCTGCATTTGGATATAACGTGCATCAAGATTGATCTCAGGGGAAATTACTTGGACTTTACAGGCCCTATATTTTGATGCATTTTATTCTAATAAGGTTAATTTCTAAATTTTTGTAACTGAAGGAAAAGTGCACATTAGCCATCAGAACTCCATCTGGGGATCAGAAACAAAACAAAACAAAACTAATTCTGGCAAAGCAGCCACCAATACTTTTGGAATATCAAACCAGGTGGCTCCCAACTTGAGCTGAATGCACTCAGACATAACCCTTGGCTAAGTCCAGAGTCTGCCAACCGATCTGTTATGCCTCCTCTGGCCTCACCTTTCCACATCTGGCTCCTGTGCGTCCAGGAAGAATTGTTCAGAGAGAACCAAATAAAACAATTGCACATGATGTTTTAGACACAAAGATGCAGCACACAGAAATTATCCTCGCTCACTCCCTTAGGTGTTGCTAAAAGGGTATCACCTGTATTAATTTTGCCCTTTAGCATGTTTATGATCTAGCAAAGAAAACTTCTTTCCTTTTGTCCTCTCTACACCACTTCTCCCTGACAAAGATTATGAAATGGGGAGATTTGGACCCCATAGGATGTGCTGGGAATGCACTCCAGTTTGGAGAAAGAACTTCCGGTACTTGATTCCTTGTAAGCTAGCAACAGCTGGCATTTGTGAGATTTACTCATCAAATGGTAAGAAACGCCCCTATAAGAGCTGAAATTCAGGACTCAGCAATGTGTGATTCTCAAAAGGATCAAGGAAATGCGCCTCAAACTATAAATCTGAAATCCAGAGTCCTGTGAAGAGTGAATTACCTTCCACAATGCTAGAGGAAGGGAACTTTTTCAGGCACAGTGAAAAATCCACATAGCAAAAGCTGGAAACAAAGGAAGCAGGAAAAGAAAATGCACAAACACCCACAAACAGAAAGCCTCTTGTTTTATCTTCATGACAGAAGTCAAACCAAACGTGTCAGTTGTAACAATACATCCAAGCAATGGATATTAAAAATAAACTTTTCAAAGACTCTTTAATAACAAGGAAAGAAACACTTAATTTAATAGTAAGCCAAATAGCAAGCAATACACTTTTAAAAAAAGAAAGACTTTTCTCTATGGTTAGAAGAAAATAAGAAAATATACCAAAATATTTAATAGTGTTTATCTCCAGGTAGTGAGATTTTGGATGATGTCCATTTTCTTCTTTGAAACATTGTGTAATTTCCAAGAATTCTACAATAAGTCTGCATTTGCAATACTTTTGGCCTCAAGGTAATGGAAAGTCAGACCATTGGTGCCTTCAAGCATGAGGCTATTTATGTTCATTTATAAGAAGTCTGAAGGTTAGTGGCCTCAGGGCTGGTCTGGCCCCTCAACAGGGTCATCAAGGACCCAGGCTCTTCTGTTTTTCTGCTCCATCCTCTTCATTGTGTTGGCCGTTGTCGTCAGGCTGCTTGTCTCATGAACATAGAATGGCTGCCATAGCTCCTGGCATCATGGTCTCATTCAAAGACAAGAATGATATGTGCGACCAGGACTGGGGCAGAACTTCAGTCTTGCTTTTTATCAGGATACAAAACTCCTTCCTAAAAGTTTCCACATCAAACTTATTTTGCTTTTTTTTTTTAATTTTTATTTTTGAGATGCAGTGTTGTTCTGTCGCCCAGGCTGGAGTGCAGTGGCGAGATCTCAGCTCTCTGCAACCTCCGTCTCCCAGGTTCAACCCATTCTCATGCCTCAGCCTCCCAAGTAGCTGCAATTACAGGCATGCACCACCATGCCAGCTAATTTTTGTGTTTTCATTAGAGACAGCGTTCAACCATGTTGGCCAGGCTGGTCTCGAACTTCTGACCTCAAGTGATCCACCCACCTCAGCCTCTCAGTGTTGGGATTACAGGCGTGAGCCACCATGCCCAGCCTATTTTTACTTTTAATTGGCCATAGCTAGATCACATGACTACCCTATACATCTTCCCTGAGATCAGGAGAATTCTGGCCAATACATAAACAAAAATGGGTTATGTTGGTAGAGAAGAAGAAGGAATTGCTTCAGACACTTACAGAGTCTGCCCCAAGTGGTAATGAAAAGGGCAGAATACAAATAGTAAGCTGGGAGATGTTTCTCATAGATAGACAGAGAGATGTGTAGATTCACGCCTCTCCTCTGAACCCCCTCATCTAAGTACGTGTGAATGCGTATTGCCAAAAGAAGACTGGAAGGAAAGTCATTAAAATGTTATAGTGTTTTCCAGGGTAGGGAGATTTGGGGACATGTTAATTTTCTTTTCTTTCTTTATATATATATATATACACACACATATATATATACATCTGTAATTTTCACGGTCTCTATGATGAGCATAATTCCAAAATTAATTTTTTAATTAGAAAAAAATCTTAATTTAAGACAGCCCTGAGATTGGTGGTTTTATTGTCACCTCTTTATACCTCCTGTACATCTAAATCTTATAAATACACTGCGGAGTGCAGGGTTTTATACATATTATTTCCTTTAATCCTCACAAAAGCCTTATGAGGTTGATACCATTATTGGTCCCATTTTTCATGTAAGGAAACAAAAGCTCAGAGAAGTTAAGTCCAAGCCAGGATTCAAACCAGTCCGTCTGATTCCAAAGCCTGAACTCCTAATCACAGCACTGTCCCATAATGTAATCTTTATACTGGTAACTTCCTTATTCCCATTCCTGTTTTTTTTTTATAATTTTGCTACTTAAATATGCAAGTGTACAGAATGTATAATACATGTTCCATGTTTCAGAAACACTTTATAAATGATATTATCCAATACGTATCTTTCTGAAACTTGCTTTTTATATTTGACACTGATTTTGAGACATGTCTCTCTTGATACATGGTCCTTCTTCTCTGCCATTTAATGTTCATTTACGTACAATGGTATACTTTTTCCATTCTCCTGGACATTCAGAGTCTCCTCCCACTCTCAGTTTTTTGCGATTATAAACAACGCTGCAATGAACATCTTCATGCAGGTGTCCTGGGACCCATGTAGAAGACAGAACTAGGAATGGAGCTGCTGGGTCCTGGATACAAGATAATGACAGGCTGATCTTCTACCAGTGGCTTGTGACAACTGCTCTTAGTCCACATGCTTGTGAATATTTTGTACTGTCAAATAAATTATTTTATATTATTGAGTAACATTAGAATTAAAAGATAATCTCAAAGTTAAAAAAAACCCACAAAATTCTTACCTTTGAAAATATTCGGGGTTTATTACATCATTGAATGATGCCCCTAATCAGGCTGAGAGCTTGTTGAAGTAGGCAGTTTTGGAAAATCTTACATATAATAAAATGTGCACATTTAAAGTTACAGTTCGATGAGGTTTGTTTGTTTGTTTGTTTGTTTGTTTTGAGACAGTCTTGCTCTGTCCCTCAGGCTGGAGTACAGTGGCACGGTCTTGGCTCACTGCAACCTCCGCCTCCCAGGTTGAATACATTATCCTGCCTCAGCATCCCAAGTAGCTGGGACTACAGGCGTGTGCCACCAAGTCCGGATAATTTTTTTTGTATTTTTAGTAGAGATGAGGTTTCACCATGTTCACCAGGCTGGTCTTGAACTCCTGACCTCAGGCAATTCACCTGCCTTCGCCACCCAAAGTGCTAGGATTATAGGCATGAACCATGGTGCCCGGCCTTTGTTTTTTTTTTCTTTTTTTTGAGACAGAGTTTCACTCTTGTTGCCCAGGGTGGAGCACAATGGCACGGCTGGTCTCAAACTCCTGGCCTCAGGTGACCTGCCTGCCTCGGCATCCCAAAGTGCTGTAATTACAGGCGTGGGCCACCACGCCCAGCCAGTTCGATGACTTTTGACAAATGCCTACATCTGCGAAAACACCACCACGCTTAAGATACAGAACATTTACCTTAGCTCAGAAAGAACCTGCGCTTCTCTCAGCCAATCCTTACTGCCATTCCTAGTCCCCAGAAATCATGGTCTGGGTTCTGTCACTACAGCTTGGGTTTGTCATTTCTAGAACTTCATAGAAAAGGAATCACACAGTATCTACTCTCGTGGGCCTGACTTTTTCAGTTCAGGATGCTTTTGAGACTCATACATGTTATTGCATGGATCCGAAGTTCTTTCCTTTTCATGGCTGAGTGGTATTCCATTGTGTGGATATACAGCTGTCCCCCTTTATCTGCAGTCTCAGTTACCCGACGTCAACTGAGGTCCAAAAATACTAAATGGAAAATCCCAGAAATAAACAGTTTCTAAGTTTTAAATTGCACGTTGCTCTGTGTAGTGTGATAGAAATCTCACGCCGCCCTGCTCCTTCCCGTCCAGGTTGCGAATCATCCCTTTGTCCAACGTGTCCACGCTGTAGACACTACCTGCCCATTAGTCACTTAGCAGCTGTGTTGGTTATCAGATCTACTGTCGCAGTAATGCCGTGCTTATTTTCAAAGAACCCTTATTTTACTTCGTGATGGCCCCAAAGCATAAGGGGTAGTAGTGATGACAACAATTCAGATAGGCAGAAGAGAAGCCAGAAAGTGCTTCCTTTAAGTAAAAATGTGAAAGTTCTTGACTTAGGAAGAAAAGGAAAAAAAATCGTGTGCCGAGATTGCTAAGATCTATGATAAGGATGGATCTTCGATATGTGAAATGGTGAACATTATATTATTATAATTGTTCTATTTTATTATCCATTATTGTTATCTTACTGTGCCTAATTTATAAATTAAACTTTATCATAGGTGTGTATAGGAAAACACAGTGTATATAGGGTTCAGGACTGACTGAGGTTTCAGGCATCTGCTGAGGGTCTTGGAATGTATCCCCCAGGGATCAGATGGGACTCCTTTGCCACAGTGAGGGTGAGCTTGTCCATTGACTAGGTGATGGACATCGGGCTTGTTCTACTTTTTGACTACTATGAATCATGCTGCTATGAACATTTCATGGGCAAGTCTTTGGGTGGATGTATGTTTTCATTTCTTTTGGGTAAATATTTAGAAACAAAATCGCTGCATCATCAGGGAGAGGTGTGTTTAAAACAAAGACTTTGTAACATCTATCCTAGTAGTTGCATGGCCTGGCACAGGATGTGCCTGGCCTCTGGTGGGTAGACAAGTGAAATCTTCCTGAAGTGAGAGGAGAGAGGGAAGAAAACTTGGAAGAAAGGTGGAAGGAAGAAATGAAGGAAGAAAAAGGACAGTGAGAGGGAGGAATACGGATTTTCATCTAATAGGAGGAATGTCTAATAGGAGACATTCTAAGAGAATTATTCAAAGCTGAAATGAACCCCCTTGAAAGGTTTTAAACAGAAGCTGGATGACCATTTGGTTGGGGTATGTTGAGAGAAAGAGTCCTCAAATGGTGCCTGAGCTAAAGAATGCTTAAGATCCCTTTCACCCACGTGCCCCTGAACAGCTGACTCATCACTTTTACAGATGTGTGGCCAGAGTGAGCGATGAAGCCTCAGGGAGAGCCACATGTCATTTGATTGCAGTTTTGATTGTGGGCATGGAACCCCACTCTTGGCCATCTCCAGAAAAGGAGACTTTGTAGGACATCAGGACTCACGGAATTGTCAGGAAGGCTGTAGAGCCAGGGAGAGAAACAGGCAGCACCAAGGAATGAGCTCACCTGTGTTTCAGTCTTTTGGTCACTCTGAGCTCAAATTCCACAGAGGAAGCCCCAGGTCATCCTAGCTTGGGTCACTCCCATGTCCTCTCCCAGCCCAGAGGAAGGTCACACCTCAGTAACAACCCCCTGTGGTCCCTAAGATGCATGCAATAGGGGAAAGAAGTTCCGGAATTCTTGAATTGGATATGGGAGGAGATGGTAGAAAATCATTCATTCATTCATTCATTCATTCATTCAGAAAAATGTTTATATTTGTGCCTCCTGGAAGCCACGCTTTGTGATGGCCAACTGGCCAGACAAGCCCCAGCTGCTGAGACCTGTGGCTCAGTTTGTCCCCACCTCAAGGCTGGCAGAGGAGTGCAGTGGATGCCAGACAGACAGACTCGGGCTGGAGTCCCGGCTCCACTCCTCTCTAGCTATGTGACTTTGGGCCTCTCTGAGCCTGTTTTCTCATCTTCAAGATGGAAATAAGAAGCCCTTCTTCCCAGAGAGAATCCATTTTTTGTGGGGGCTGAGGCTTACACAATTTTAGAGTCCCTTATAAGAATAAAGATAGGAATAGGTCTTACTGGCCGGACACGGTGGCTCACACTTGTAATCCCAGCACTTTGGGAGGCCAGGGTGGGCAGATCATCTGAGGTCAGGAGTTCAAGACCAGGATGGACAACATGGTGAAACACCATCTTTACAAAAATACAAAAATTAGCCAGGCATGGTGGTGCACACCTGTAGTCCCAGCTACTCTGGAGGCTGAGGCAGGAGAATTGCTTGAACCTGGAGGCGGAGGTTGCAGTGAGCAGAGACTGTGCCACTGCACTCTAGCCTGGGAGATAGAGCGAGACTCCGTCTTGAAAAAAAAAGAAGAAATAGACCGTACTTTTGCAATTATTACAGTACATGCCTTTGTGAGCTTATTTCTGGGGCCCTTCCAGAGCTTTGGAAGAGGCAGTGAAAGTGAAGACCCTGACACTTAAATTTCAGCAGCCTTATGGTAAATCAATCTTCGCCAACTCACAACATTTTTCTTTATTTTTTAAATTATGCAATGAAATAATGCCTGTAAAGAACTAAGTGCCACGCCCTACCATAGGTGGTAATTTCTGAAAGCCAGGCACTGTTTATAGCACTTGATATATATTAACGTATTTAATCCTCACAGTGAATTTATGAGGTAGAGGCTCTAATTGAATGCTCCATTTCACAGATTAGAAAATCGAGGCCCAGAGAGTGAAGTGATCCTTGCCCTGTCTCCCTACTTGTGACTGACTGATCTGGCAGTCTGGCTCCAGGGTCTCTATTCTGAACCACCGACCTTTATGACTCTTGTTGAAAGGCAGGGGTTTTTATTACCCTTTCTTGAATATCACAGGCATGCTCATTGCACGAACGTCTCTGTAAGGAAAATGAGACCTTTATCCTGTAATGTAGGTGAAAGCCCCTTTGGAACCCCAGAAGCCTGTTTTCTGAAGATCGCACTCCTGGTGAAAGAACGCTTTTCTCCCCCAGGGAGGTTGTGTGAAAACACTACCCTCAGAACACATGTTACACACGACCTGCTTGCCAGAGCCCCGCTTCCCTGACATCACACGGCGAACTCTGAACTCAATTAACTTCCGCCTCCACTTTATATTATCCCTAATGGGAAAACCGGGGACAAATCCAGTTGTACTTTTCCGTGTAACTTAACTACACGTAGAAACAGACTTGCAGACATTGATTTATGAGCGGAACTGAGGCTTGCCCTGTATGGTTTTTTTCCAGGGCAGGATTTGTCCTGCACTGGAGGACAGCTGTGGCCTTCCTGCTGGGTGAGGGCTGAGGCTGCTGAAGGGTTAACTCTGCTCATTCTCTCAAAGCCTCAGGCTTGAGGCTGTTGGTCAGTAGGTGCTACAAGAAGCCTATTTCAAAAAATTGTAGCCACTGGTGTTCAGTGACCCTTGGTACAAGCAGCCACTTCTTTCAACTAAGGAATGAAATCACTTGAGTGAATTGCAGCAAAGAACATGATGACCCAAAGGCCATCTTGTCCTGGAAAAGCATCTCTGGGCTGTTATACTAATTGGAGGAGCACGTATTACCTGAACAAGTTTCAATGGAAACTGTGATTTGCTAAATTACATGGTTTGCTTTGACGGGGTTACTTTAAGGACTGATCTTGAAAATTAATGCCTCTTCCTTCTCTCCCCACTTCCCATAATGCTGTTAACTCATCAAAAGTGAGGGCGATTTAGAATCTTCAGTCTCCTTCTTAAAGCCCTGAAATGGCTTCTCACTGTGCTTGGGATAAAGGCTGATCCCTAACGTGGTTAAGAGGCCTCATCTGACCTGCCTCCTGCCGCCTTCCAGATTCATCCCTCTACTCCACACTCAGATGCTGCACATCGCATCCTGAACTTCTCCTCGGATGCATCACAGCTTCTCTGCCTGGTACCCTCCTTTGCTTCCTTCTTCCAAGCAGAGATCAAGTTTTTTCATCTCCCTTTTCCTGGCCTGGCATAGTTCCCTCTTTTCCTGGTAAAAGCACCTCAGTCTCCTTGGGAGTCTGCTCTATCCGCATACTGTGGGTGGGTATGACCAAGCTATGGGGTCGAACAGAATCAAGCCTGGGCAAAGCAGAGTCAACCTCAGGACTTTTGCTGGCACTATTGTGAGGTGCCTTTCTATGGAGGTTTTAAGCAGACAGGATGTCAGCCTGGAACTGCACAGGAATGTCTTTGCCACCATGAATGTCTTTGCCACCATGAATGTGTACCCTGATTGAAATGAAGCTGCAGAGAGGCATGCAGACTCAAGAGATAGAGATGGATTCCTAATGACATCACTCAAGCGCCTAGATCCAGCCATTCCTGAAGCAAACAACTCTGGGACTTTCCAGTTACGTGAGCCAATGTATTTCAGTTACATGAACACATGTGTATTTCTCTGTTTGTTTAAAGCAACTTGAGCTAGGTTTCTGTCAATTGCAACTGAACGCTTCCTGAAGAATACACTTTCCCTTTTATTTCGTTAACTTTTGTTTATCCTTCAGGTATCAGCCTAGAGTCCTCCCTGATTCCCAAATCTGGGTTGGGTCCCTCCTCTGTGCATTCACAGAACCCTCTGTTTTCCACATATTAGCACTTAAACCACTGCACTGTCATTTTCTGTTTGCTTCTTTGATTCTCTGCCTACACTCTGAGCCACAAGCACAAGTCTTCCTGTGGTAATTACCACTGTGCCTATGTCTGCGAATGGTGCATAGTAGGCTGTTAGTAATTTTCATTGATTAGACCAATTAGTTAACGAAAATTACTGAACCTATATATAGTGGGCTACATCTATCAATTTTGAGAAATTAAGAGTAAATGTCTGAATCACTGTGTTAAAGAATTCTGTGATTGAATCCAGATTCATCAAGAAAGAAAAAAGATCTGATTGATTAGTAATGCCTGCTATGGGTCTGGGAATGGAGAGTTATGGTATGTGTGCCACATGCTCACCATCTTTGGTGTCTATTACCACTGAATTCCTTGTTCTCTGTTTGTTCCATGAGTGAATATCTTATCTCTTCAATTAGATTGTAATCTCCTTGAAGGTATGGACCAGATCTTTGACTTTTCAAGCATTACTGTTTTCTCTGCATCAGATATCTAAGTGCTTGGTAAACATTTGCTGGCAGACAGGGCTATGTTCTTTCAAAGTGAAAAACTGGAGACTTCACAGCTGTAACCTTCCAATCAGCCCCACCATTTCTCCATGGCCCAATGAGGGAAGAGCCAGGATTTGCTCCTTTCATTTTCTGTATTAGGAAAGACAAAGAGGCATATAGCCACCTTTCCCTACTGTTTCCACTTAATGTTCATGCTATTTCATGGCATTCAGCGACATAACTCTTCCAATCAAAGAGTTGCAATGTTCCCTAAGCATGAAATAAACAACAGCCTTCAAGAATTCCTGGGAATGGCCAGGTGCCGTGGATCACGCCCGTAATCCCAGCACTTTAGGAGGCTGAGGCGGGCGGATCATGAGGTCAGGGGTCAAGACCATCCTGGCTAACACGGTGAAACCCCATCTCTACTAAAAATAGAAAAAATTAGCCGGGCGTGGTGGCGGGCACCTGTAGTCCCAGCTACTCAGGAGGCTGAGGCAGGAGAATGGCGTGAACCCGGAAGGCGGAGCTTGCAGTGAGCCAAGATTGCGCCACTGCACTCCAGCCCAGGCGACAGAGCGAGACTCCGTCTCGAAAAAAAAAAAAAAGAATTCCTGGGAATGACATCAGTGAGTGAGCTGGATAATGTAGGTTGGCTCTCAGCTCTACTTACCCACACTCAACTCTTCTTTACTGCTAGGGCTTTTGGAAAGCTGCTAACCACATTTCCTAGATACCTGTGCACTGACATTTGGTAGGTTCTACCAATGGGAGACATTAGTGGGATAATGGAAGGTGCAAGAAAGGAGAAGCCATTTCTCCAGCTCCTGGCGATGCTTCTGTCAGTATGACAGCGGCACCATCAACAGCACCAGCAGTGGTGGCAAGGCAGGGCGGGTGGTGCTGGGGGAGTGGCGTGTGGCTTCCAATCCTGTTCAGAAAGCTTGTTCCCATCAGCAGTACCCTCAGAGGCAGCGTACCTGTGGACTCACCTCAAAAACTTTGTCTAGTGAGAATTAATGAACCACAGCTGCATGAAACAACATGGAAAAATCTTAGAAATATGATGCTGAGTTTAAAAAGCACCTGTCTCTTTAAACTGTGTACAATATGATATCATTTTTACAAAGCCCCCACAGAAGCAAAATTTTACCGAATATTGCTTAGGGATGCATATGTATTTGACAAAACTATAAAAGAAAAAGCTGAACTGAAAGCACAAAATTGAGAATCATGGTCCCCTTGGGGCAGGGTGGTGGGGGAGGCAGAGTGATGGGAGAGAGAGGATGGAGTCAGTGGTATTAATATTTGGGAGTTTAAGTTGGGTGCTGGGTTCACAGGTTTTTGATTTATTATTGTGATTTATAACATATCTGACATAATTTTTATATGAATCAAATATTTTAGGGGCCAGCAAACTGCAGTTCATTGGCCAAATCCAGCCTGTAGCCCATGTTTGTACAACCCACGAGCTAACAATGGTTTTTACATTTTGAAATGGTTGAAAAAAATAAAAAGACATTTCATGATGCATAAACATAATACGAAATTCAAATTTCACTGCCAATAAAGTCTTATTAGAACATACACATTTGTTTACAAATGTCTGTGGCTGTGTTTGCACCATAGCAGCACAACTGAGTTTTCACAACAGAAACCCTATAGTCTGGAAAACATATAACATTGACAGTTTGGCCCTTTATGGAAAAACGTACTGACCCTTTCACTATTACGTTAAAGAATTTTTTTTAAAAACTATCTTTAAAAATGAGTCTGGCCGGGTGCGGAGGCTCACGCCTGTAATCCCAGCATTTTGGGAGGCCGAGGTGGGTGAATCACGAGGTCAGGAGATTGAGACCAGCCTGGCTAATACGGTGAAACCCCAGCTCTACTAAAAATACAAAACATTAGCCGGCCGTGGTGGCGGGCGCCTGTAGTCCCAGCTACTCGGGAGGCTGAGGCAGGAGAATGGTGTGAACCCGGGAGGTGGAGCTTGCAGTGAGCTGAGATTGTGCCACTGCACTCCAGCCTGGGTGACAGAGCGAGACTCCGTCTAAAAAAAAAAAAGAGTCTAATCTAGTGATTCAAATAGTTCTTCCAGGTGATGCTCAGCCTGTGGGTCAATTGGGTCTCCTATTTCTGTGTCCGCTCTGCCAAAATGACCTCCGTGGGTTTGGGGGTGGTTGAGCTCGGGTGACCTGGGTGGCCTGAAGGCAAGATGTCTTTGCACCTGCAGCTTGTCCTGCTATCATGGATCCTCAAGTTGCTGCTCACCTCTGTGGTGGAAGCTGATGGCTAACTGGACTTCTGCTCTTCAGCTCAGCCAGAACTTGACCACTGGCTCCCTCTCTCCTTAGCTTTGGGACTCTTTGAGCCAACCCTCTTCCCCCAAGTGGCTGCCACACCCTCCACCAGCCTCTGGCCTGGGCAGTCTATCTTCCACCACAGGTTCTGCAAAGGGTCATGCTGCCCTCACCACCACAGGCCCTGATATGGTTTGAATCTGTGTCCCACCCAAATCTCATGTAAAATTGTAATCCCCAATGTTGAAGGTGGGGCCTGGTAGGAGGTGATTGGATCACAAGCCTGGATTTCCCTCTTGGTGCTGTTCTCATGATAGTGAGTGAGTTCTCGTGAGATCTGGTTGTTTAAAACTGTGTAGCACCTCCTCTTTCTCTCCTGCTCCAGCCATGTAAGACATGCCTGCTTTCCCTTCACCTTCTACCATCACTGTAAGCTTCCTGAGGCCTCCCCAGAAGCCGAGCAGATGCCAGCCTCATGCTTCCTCTATAACCTGCAGAACTGTGAGCCAATTAAACCCCTTTTCTTTATATATTACTCAGTCTCAGGTATTTCTTTTCTTTTTTTTTTTTTTTTTTGAGATGGAGTCTCGCTCTGTCACCCAGGCTGGAGTGCAGTGGCGCGATCTCGGCTCACTGCAAACTTTGCCTCCCGGGTTCACACCATTCTCCTGCCTCAGCCTCCCGAGTAGCTGGGACTACAGGTACCCACCACCGCACCCGGCTAATTTTTTGTATTTTTAGTAGAGACGGGGTTTCACCGTGTTAACCAGGATGGTCTCGATCTCCTGACCTCGTGATCCACCCTCCTCGGCCTCCCAAAGTGCTGGGATTACAGGCATGAACCACCGCGCCCAGCCAGGTATTTCTTTATAGTCGTGTGAGAACGGATTAATGCAGGCCCCATGCTAGAGAGTACTAGATTTCAATTTAGCCACCTTCTGAGTCCCACCTTCTGAAGCCATGGGAACTGTCAGGTGGCATCCTTACAGCACAGGAACCAGGAATAGCAGGGGAAAGCAGGAAACCAAGGCCACGCTCGGTCTCATCAACTTGCCTCTCCAAGTTCACTTCCATGTCACTGCTCCTGGGTGTGGTCAAATCAGCCAGAGAGAAGGATCCAGAGCCTTCGGTGGTGATCAAGGTGTGGAGAACTCCTCTTTCCTCGGGCTCCCCCGCCTCTGTCTGATGCAATCGCCGCATCTCCTGGCCAAAACCCCTATCTCCTGGCCAATAGCCAAGGTGGGAAGTTAAGACACAAACACATGCCTGCTTTTCTTTCCTCGTCTCAGTCAGGTGAGTGATTGCCACCACCATGTGACAATAAGTCTCAAGGCGGGGATCCAAGGAAGGAAGCTGCACATAGAACAAGATTTAAAGGGTGAAATTAAAATGTACCTGTGTATTAGACGGTTCTTGCATTGCTACAAAGAAGTATCTGATACTGGGCAATTCACACGCAAAAAAGAGGTTTAACTGACGCACAGTTCTGCAGTCTGTACAGGAAGCGTAGCAGCATCATCTTCTGAGGAGGCCTCAGGAAGCCTCCAATCATAACAGAAGGCAAAGGGGAAGAAGGCATGTCACATGGTAAACAAAGGAGCCAGAGAAAGAGTTGGGGGGAGGTACAGGACACTTTTAAATGACCAGATCCCATGAGAACTCACTCTCACGAAGACAGTACCAAGCCATGAGAAATCCACCCCCAAGGCCCAAATGCCTCCTACTAGGCCCTACCTCCAACATTGGGGATTAAAATTCAACATGAGATTTGGGCAGGGACAAATAGCCAAACTATATCAACCTGTTTCTGCAGGGAATTGCAGACGGGAGAGACTCTGTTGTACGAAAATGAGAGATACCATTGTCTTGGCCCAGTGGAACCTTGACCTCTTGCCCCAATCACTTTTTTTTTTTTTTTTTTTTTGAGACGGAGTCTTGCTCTGTTGCCCAAGCTGGAGTGCAATGGTGCTATCTCGGCTCACTGCAATCTCTGCCTCCTGGGTTCAAGTGATTCCCCCACTTAGCCTCCTGAGTAGCTGGGATTACAGGCACCCGCCATCATGCCCGACTAATTTTTGTATTTTTGCAGAGACGGGGTTTCACCGTGTTGGCCAGGCTGGTCTTGAACTCCTGACCTCACGTGATCCCAATCACTTTTCATTCATTATCCTGTACCTGCTGAGGCTGGGCTGCATTTTTGGATTTTACATTCCATAAAACACCCTTGACTTCCCTGTAACAAATCCCTTTGTTTTGTTTAGAGGTGCCCCATTGCAATTTTAAGTTTCTCTTACCTTCAGTGAAGAGCCTACCTAATCCAGCCCAGCTCTCAAAGAATTCTGAAATACATTCATATCTTTGAGTAGCCTTCTTGGTTGGGGGAGGGGAGAAAAATTCTTCCCAAGCAAGTATTTCACTGTTGATTATGTCTTTAAACACCCTCCCCTCCCCAAACACATTTACTCAGACAGTCCAAAAATGAAAATCAGCTTCTTTTCTTCATCCTCGGTGCTTCAAGGGTGTTGAATGATTTAAAGTAGACAGTCTGGGAGAAATAATGAAGCAGATTAAAGTGTATTTACTCAATGGACTAACACACAGAAGGATGAAAGACAAACAAGAAACTTGGCTCATGATAGCAAGTAACGTAGCATCCACTGTTTTTACAGATTCTGCCGTGCACAGGATCTGGCCATGTTTTTTACACACCTTAGCTCATCTAATCCCAACACTGGGATCTGGTTATTATTAGTCCTATTATACAGATGAGGGAACTGAGGCAGAAAGATGTTCTACAATTTGCACAAATAGACCCTACAACTAGGGCTAGAATGTCCAAAATTGGAACCCAGGCTCCCCTGATACTAAGCCCTCAGCCCCTCATCACAGAGCTATATTGCATATGGGTATAGGATACCAGAGGCCTGCAAACTGTGACCCTGGGCCACCTGTTTTTGTAAGAATTTTCCTTTGTCCACAGCCACACCCATTCATTAATGTACCATCTCTGGATGCTGTTGTGCTACAGTGACAGACAAGCAGTGCCACAGAAACCATACAGCCTGCAAAGCCTCAAATATTTCCTATTTGGCCCTCCACAGGAAAAGTTTGCTGACCCTTGGTACATGCAATATTTTGTGAAGCGTAAAAAAGCAAACTCCAAAACTGTAAGTATATCGTATCCCTCTACCCCCATAACAATAACATAACACTGCTAATGGTTAAACAAGACTAGAAAGAAATATGTATATGTTTAAGCAAATAGATTAAAGATGTACTTTTTTTTTTCTGAAGGATGGGGAGTTGTTCTAAAGTAGTTCTACTAATAAACTCTAAATTAAAAAGTTAATTGATTGAATATTTTAAAAACCGCGATCAAAATCAGAACATCTCTGTTTTGAATGGTGTTTACCAGACACTGAAACCCAGCCCTTCTGAGAGATCAGCCAGCTCTTTTTTGTGTTGTTGTTGTTTTTAGAATTTTTTATTATGGTAAAATATACATAATAGGCCAGGTGTGGTGGCTTACGCCTGTAATCCCAGCATTTTGGGAAGCCGAGGTGGGCAGATCACTTGAAGCCAGGAGTTCGAGACCAGCCTGGCCAACATGGTGAAACCCAATCTCTACTAAAAATACAAAAATTAACCCGGCTTTGTGGCGCATGCCTGTAATCCCAGCTACTCAGGAGGCTGAGGTGAGAGAATTGCTTGAACCTGGGAGAGGGAGGTTGCAGTAGCTGAGATCGTGCCACTTCGAGATTGAGATCACTCTAGACTGGATGACAGAACAAGACTCTGTATCAGAAAAAAAAAAAATATATATATATATATATATATATAATTGCCATTTTAATAATTTTTCGATGTAGAATTCAGCAGTATTAAGTATACCCACATTGTTGTACAGCCATCACTACTATCCATCTTCAGAACTTTTTCATCTTCCCAAACTGAAACTCCATAATTATTAAGTAATAACTCCTCATTTTCCTCTTCCCCAGCCCCTGGTAACTGCCACCCTACTTTCTGTCTCTATGAATTTGACTATTCTATGTACCCCATGTAAGTGCAATCACACAATATTTGTCTTTTTGTGTCTGGCTTAACAGAATATCTTCAAGTTTCAGCTATAATGTAGCATGTACCAGAATTTGGTTCCTTAGTAAGGCTCAAGAATATTCTAGTGTCTGTGTGTACTGCATTTTAAACATCCATTCAGTGGTCCATAGCCCTTTTGGTTGTTTCCATCTTTTGGCTCTTGTAAGTAATGCTGTAGTAACATGGGTATACCAATATCTGCTGGAATCTTTCCTTTCAACCCTTTTAGGTATAAACCCAAGAGTTATATTTTCTAATTTTTAAAACTCTTTGTTGAAATATACAGAATGGTACCCAGATCATAAGGGTACAGCTTAATAAATTGTCTTTCAGGTAACACATCCTTCTAAGCAGAAGGCAGATCAAAAGGCAGAACATGGACCAGCACTTCAAGCCAGATCTTACTAACTTGTTAGGACAGAGAAGAATTCGGGGCGATTCAAAGGAAAAGTTATTACAAATTGTGGGAAACACTCAGGGCAAAATCTTCTGTCCTCTGGGAAATTTGGAAACTTTTATTGCCTTGAAATTAGGTTATTTGAGTTTCCCAAGTATAACCTGGGAGCAGGGCTGCAGCATGAAGGTTCAGGAGGACAGATGGGCAAGACGGCCCCAAAGGGTTTTTTGGATGCTTCCTTCTTAACCTGTATCTCTGGAGCTTGGGAGGAGTTGTAGGTATGTACAGAGAGATCAACATAAGCGAAGTTCTTGAGAACACAGATTGCGTTCCTGATGGGAAGTGATGTCTCTATTGCTGCATTAAAAAAAAAAGGGTGGGGGAAATGGTAGGACTTTTTTGCTTAGTTTGTCAGGAGAAATAAGTAGGGTCATGTGGGTAAGATGCCCAGAGCAAAGTCTGGTGCAGATATTTCTTTTTATCAATTTTGAACTTTGATACCAATCTCCAGTCGGAAACTGAGGTGAGCAACAAATTCCACATTCCTTAATGTTCTGTAAATCAGGGTGTCCTAAAGCATAGGATGCTAAAATGATTTTAGAGGCCAAGGTAGGAGGATCACTTAAGTCCAGGAGTTCAAGACCAGCCTGGGCAGGACAGCAAGACCCTGTTTCTATATTAAAAATTAAAAAACAAAAAGTAAAAAAGATTTTAGGTGAGAGCAGTACATGGACCTGAGGTTGTATAGCATTGACTCACATGGACAGAAATTCTTTCCCCTTCCATCCTCCTTCAGTCCTTCAAAGAAAAAGTCTCCCTAGACTGCTAGCCTCTCTTTAGCATCTCTCTAACACCCCCATCTTTTTGTAAGAGAGAGGGTGGGCCTCAGGGAGACAAAAGAACACAGCTAGAGCTTCAAAACATTGCTTGGCTCTCATCAAATATCATTTTTACGGTTACTTCTGTTTAAGGCAATTAATACCAGTTTTCCATTTTTATTAGTGGAATCAAATTTCCTTAAAAATAACTTTACCTAAATGAAAAAGTCATATGGATTTAAAGAAAATATGAACTAAATGTTAGAACAGTTGGTTTGTTCTCATAAAGTCTCAAGTATATGAGGTAGTGTGTGGTTATGGTAAAAATCTTGAAGCTAGGGCTGCCAGACTTAGCAAATAAAAAATACAAGACACCCTGTTAAATCTGAATTGTAGATAAACAACAAATAATTGTTTAGTATAAGAATGTCCAAAATACTGGAAAGGTGGGGGTGGTCAGGAGAAAAGACAGGCTGAACAGCTGGGTATTTTGCATTTATCTGGCAACTCTACTTGCAGGGAGTTTGCAAACAATTGAAATTTGGAAATGCTCTACTAAATCTACCTTCTTACTAGTCTGAGCCCTGAACCACTGTCATGGTTGGGGCTCATTGGGCCCCTACTTTTGGGCTGTACCAAGATTTTCAGTTCTGCAGTTTTAGGCAGTACCAGTCAATGGTACTCACTGGTGACCCAGGAGAAGCCCATTGTCCCAGTCCACAGGGCCCCTTCAGATGCGGTAGCTCTGATGTCCCCTTCCGTGCCTGGGACAGGAAACCGTGGCTGAGACAAGAAACTAAAGTTACTAGGGCAAGGTGGTGGGGTGCAGCCTGCAATGAGCCCTAATATATCCTGCCAGAGAACAGGGAGTAACAACCGCATCCCCCAGCCCTGCCTGCTTCAGGGCTCCAGAACCCACAGAACTCACTGCTCTTTACCCAATTCAGGGAAATTTCTTCTCAGTGTAGGAAAACCTCAGTCTTCTGCAAATGACTATGGCTTTGGGAAATAGAAGCCGGGAAGCCCTGACACAAAAGTCTCCAGAAACAACGGCCCACAAAGCCTGATCCCCAGTTGAACAGAAGGGAAAGGTAATGGAGCACAGGAAGGACAGAAGTCAATATCTGAGGCAGCCAACCTTCCAGAGACAACTGACCTTGGTTCCATCTCCAGCCACCACCAAATAACAACCACATGGAAACTCTCTCTCACATTAAAGCAGGGTGCAGCTTTTCCCGCAGTGTCCAGCTGTCCAAGGTGTCTGTTTGGATGTGCCTGTCTTTTTTTTTTTTTTTTTTTTCTGAAATGGAGTCTCACTCTGTCGCCTGGGCTGGAGTGCAGTGGCGTGATCTCGGATTACTGCAACCTCTGCCTCTCGAGTTCAAGCGATTCTCCTGCCTCAGCCTCCCAAGTAGCTGGGATTACAGGCGTACGCCACCACGCCTGGCTAATTTTTTTGTTTTTAGTAGAGACGGGGTCTCACCATGTTGGCCAGGCTGGTCTCGAACTCCTGACCTCAAATGATCAACCCACCTTGGCCTCCCAAAGTATTGGGATTACAGGTGTGAGCCACCGCACCTGGCCGTGTCTGCCTGCCATTATCTCATGGGAACAAGGGCTCAGGAGCCAGGTCACCTGGGCTTGGATCCCAGCTCCATCATTTCTTAGCTGAATGACATTTGAAAAGTTCTTAACCTCTCTAGGACTCAGTTTCCTCACCTGTAAAACATGGTTCCAACCTTGTAGACTTGCTTATGGTAAGTGGGTTTCTTTTCTTTTTTCTTTTTTTTCAGAGACATTGTCTTGCTTTATCAGTCAGGCTTATTTTAGCTCACTGCAGCCTTGAACTCCTGGGTTCAAGCGATCCTCCCAACTCAGCTTCCTGACAGACTGAGATTACAGATGCCTACCATCATGGCTGGCTCACATTTTATTTTTCATAGAGGCAGAGTCTTGCTTTGTTTCCTAGGCTGGTCTTGAACTCCCGGCCTCAAGTGATCCTCCTGCCTTGGCCTCCCAAAGTGTTGGGATTGCGGGTATGAACAACCGCTCCCAGCCATGATGAGTGTTAAATGAATTAGCACAATTACGGAACTTAGAACAGTGCCTGGTCTGTGCCTAAGCACTCTATTTGTGTTAACTGTGCCAAAATACTGTTAGATCACCTTTCCAGGGGCCCAGATATTTTACTCAATATATTGAGGCCTATTAACAATAAACACATGTAATTTTTTTATAGCTTGCAAGTATGTTCACATCTAGTCAATTGGTTAGTGTGCAAAATAACTCTACTAGATGGGGACTGCTATTCCCATTTCACAGATGAGGAGCATGAGGCTAAGAAAGGTATATTCGTTATCTGTCATTGTGTACAAATCACAAAACAATGATTTCTTCTTTCTCATGATTCTAAAGGTTGGCTGGGCAGTTTCTCTGCTGGTTTTGCTGAGGCTCACTCATGTAGCTGCACAAAGTTGGGAGACTGGCTGGGGCTGAAAAGGCCCTAATAGCCTCTCCCTCATGTCTGGCTGGTTGTTGACTAGGGATTGCTTCCACTCTCCTCCACAGAATGTCTCATTCCCCAGGAGGCTGCACCAGCTGCCTTCTATGGTAGTCTGGAGTTTCCAAGAAGGTGAAAGCAGAAGCTTCAAACCTCTTAAGACTCAAGCTCTGGAACTCACACACTGGCATTTCTACTACATAATATTGGTTAAATCAAGTCAGAAGATCAAGCCCAGAATCAAAAGGCTGGGGAAATAGAACCCACCTCTGGAGGGGAGGAGCTTCAGGGTTACCTCGCAAAGGGGCGTGCTTACTGGATGGGAGGGATGTGTACTCATTAAGCAATCTATCAGGAGAGGTGAGGTGAGCTCTTTTGACTGGGGCCCCCTGCAACAAAGAGGTAGAGAGGAGCATAAAAGCAGGAAGCAGGCAGAGTCAGGGGAAAATACTTTAAAGAAGAGGCAGAGGCTTGTGCCTGGGTTACAGTTCTGAAAGACATATTGGGTGTAATTTTGTAACCAGACCAGGTGTTTTGCCCTAGTTTAGATGCCTGTGTACAATCCCTGCTCTCAGGCTAGGGTCCCAGTGGAGTGGGGCGATATCCCCTGGGCTCCACTTTGTCTTTGCCTGGCCTGAGAAGACCCCTTTAATTCCTTTCTTTCTTCTTCTTTTTTTTCTTTTGAGACAGAGTGTCGCTCTGTTGCCCAGGCTAGAGTGCAGTGGCACAATCTTGGCTCACGGCAAACTCTGCCTCCTGGGTCCAAGCTATTCTGCTTCAGCCTTCTGAGTAGCTGGGATTACAGGAGCGTGCCGCACCCCACCCACCCAGCTAATTTCTGTATTTTTTGTAGAGCCGGGGTTTTTCCATGTTGCCCAGGCTTGTCTCGAACTCCTTACCTCAAGTGATCCGCCTGCCTCGGCCTCCCAAACTGTTGGGGTTACAGGCATGAGCCACTGCGCCCGGCCTCTTTTAATTTCTTGAGAAGCAATAACATGTTAATGTTCAAATTGCCTTTTAGTGAAAAGTTTTCCTTCCCTCAGCAACCTTTAGCCATTCAGCAATCACTTCTGGAACTTTGGATATAATTTCTACTACAACGGCTCTCAGGGTTTACTTTCCCTGCATTCCGGGCTGTGTCCCTGTCATCTAGTTAACATCTCCCATTGGGTGTCCAAATGGTCATTTCAAACTCCACACAGCCCAAGTTAACTCATGGTCACACACACACACACACTCACTCACACATACTCATACTCACACTCACATAAACACACACTTTCACACTCACACACACGCATACTCACACATGCATGAGTGCGCACACACACACTCCTCCCTTGGTCTTCCTCTTAATAAAAGCCAACTCTTTCAGTGACTCAGACTAAACACTTTGCCATCATTCTTGGCTCCTCCCTTTTCCCCACACTCACATCACTTTAATCCACCATCCAATCCTGGCCTTCTTACCACTCCCAGGACCCCCACCCTGACCCGAGCCAGCATAATCGCTCACATGGCTTATCGGATACAGTCCTCACTCTTCCCCCACTATCATCCATTTTCAACTCAGCTTTCTGAGGGATCCTATTCAAGGTGAGAAAGAACATGCTGTTTCTTTGCCCAGAACCCCCCAACTGCTTCTGGTGTTATTCAGAATAAAAATCCAAAGTCCTGACAATGGAGAACGAGCCTCAAATGATCTTTCTTTCCCTACTCCCATCACCTCCCTGAACTCATCTTGTTCTGCTCCCTCCTTGCTGCCCCTCAGACACTTAAGGAGGGTCACTCTTATCTCTAGATCCTCATCCTTCCTGTCCCCTCTGCCTGAATGCTCCTCCCCCATAAGATGACCCCGCATAAAAGCTATGCCCAGCGACGATCGTTCCCTGGGGGAATTTGAAATTGAAACTAAGACCATTGATCAGTTGGGAACAGTTAAAATTATGATTCTGAAATTGTTCAATTCAGTCTTGAATGAAAGTAAATTTGTGATCAGAAGCCATGCATTTTAATAGCATGTTAAGAGAAAGAAATGTAGAATTGTTGACCCAAGTATTTCAAACTACAAAGCCCTGTGCCAACCATTACATTTGATTATCGAAATATGGGTGAAAACTGTTGAGTGTTTACAAGTCAGACTTTGAAAACTAAAATATAAATATAAGCTGGGTAGATGGATTTTTTCTATCAGAAAAAAATTATGCATATTCTACAACTTGTCCTCATAAAATTTAATTCAACGGTATATTTTTAAAATGCAAACTTGAGTTTGAATTTACAAATCAGCCTCTTAATATTTAACTCAATGACAATGACTTCATTGATCTTCCTAGTCTCTTGGACTTAGCAGGGGAAACCTGCTTTTTTCCCATGTGTTAATTACAAAGCTAGTAAAAGTAAATTATGGCTAAAACATGAGTACTTAAAACAATCTCAACTTTTCCTACCATGCTTAGTAGCATCAGTAGAGGAGGTACAAAGAGGAGGTGAGATGATGGGAGTGGTGTCTGAGTGGCCACTCCTTCCCTTCCTGTCCCCATGAAGATGGGTAAATGCAGCCAGAAACAAAATAGATTCACACCCAGATGGACTTGGGTTCAAATCCCTGCTCCTGCACTTTCCAAATACGGAAAGTGAGACCCTATCTCAAAAAAAAAAAGAAGTTGACATTTATTAAGAGGAAGACAAGGTCATTGCCCTTTCTCTCAGCCTTTCTTTCCTCATCTGTAGAAGAAAAAAAAAAGGTCCTTATTTCAAGATTGTAGTGAGCCATGAGATCATGCCCACAAAGTGTTTATTTAGCAGAGAGTATGGGACAGAGTTATTGGGGTCTTTCTCCTGAGGTCATCTGGTGTTACCTCAGATGTCTTTGATCCTTGAAAACTCTCAGAGCCCAAAGGAGCAGTGAGTCCTCAACACTGGCTGAGTCACTTGCCCAAGGTCACAGACAGTGGGTGGCAGAGCGGCCAATTTGAATCCACATTTGCCTGACTCCATTGAGTGTTCATTCCAGAACATGAGTATTTCTGGAACTTAACCCCTTGGGAACTACCTTCATCTCACACTTTTTGCCAGATATACACACCACCTGTGATATTATTTTCTTAAGTATTTCTTTACAGCAACTCATTTGATTATTGCAATAAACTTACTTAAATAAGAAATGTTACATCTCTACTTAAGATGATGGAAACGTAGCATCATTGCCACACGTAAATAGCAACTGTAACATTTTATATATGTACATATGTATAAATATATATTGATTCATATATATGAATCCATATTCTTATTTCATATTCTTATAATCCATATTCTTATTCATATATATGATATATATGAACCCATAAATATATATTATATATATAGACACATAAAAAAACCCTGTTTTGGATTCATATATATATATATATTCATAAATATGTATATATAATACTTAAGTATATATGATACTTAAGAAAAATATATATGTATATATATATGAATCCAAAACAGGGTTTTTAATATGTGTACATACATTTGGATTTACATATCAAATATATATTTGAATTCATATATGAGTATACATATCAAATATATATGATACCTAAATCTAATATATATGAATTTGGATATCATATGTATTGGATTTATATATATACTCATAGATATAAATATATATACTATATATATATATAAATCCTCTCTCTCTCTCTCTCTCTCTCTCTCTCTCTCTCTATATATATATATATATATATATATATATATATATATATATATATATATTTGAATCCAAAACAGTGTTTTGGAGCCCACTGAGACGTTGCTGACTGCTGAGAGCTCTGAACTTCAGGCTTTGTCTGTCCCGATTACCAAGGGAGATTAGCAAATATTAGAGAATGTTAAAGAGACCCTATTCACCAAGTGAGACTTCCTCCTCGTTGTAATCAGAGTAGCTAAAAGACAACTGAACAGGGATTATTAATGTTATTTAATGTTGATGTTAATATACTATTGTTGTTTAATATCATATGCATATGCAGTATGCAACCAAAACATTGTTTCCCATACCACTAGGAGAGAATGCCCCACATTTTGCTAAACATTGTCTTATCCTGAGAAATCTCCATAAAAGGTCTTCTATTATACTGTTTTCAAAATCTTCTGACCACAGCCTATAATAACAAATACATACCCACATTCACATTCATATTTATATCTACACCTATATCTACATCCTTCTCTGTATCTGGAACAATGTATAACAAAAATATTTATGGTGATATGCACAGTCTTTACTAAGAGTCTGTGCTTTGCACGCTGATTTTTCCTTTCCTTTTCTCTCTTTTTTTCTTTGTGTTTTTTAGAGATGGGGTTTCAATCTTTGGCCTAGGCTGGAGTGCAGTGGTACAATCGTGGCTCACTGCAACCTCGACCTACCAGGCTCAAGCGATGCTCCCACCTCAGCCTCCGGAGTAGCTGGCACTACAGGCACACGCCACCGCCTTGCCTCGCCAAATTTTTGTTTTCTGTTTTGTAGAGACAGGGTCTTACTGTGTTGCCCAGACTGGTCTTGAACTCCTGGGCTCAAGACCTCCTGCCTTGACCTCCTAATTTCTTTTCCTTTCCTATCCTTATCTATTTAATTTTTTAAAATGTTAACAAGTACCAGTAAAGTAAATACTAAAGTTATACCAAAAAGTCAGTGATGG
This sequence comes from Homo sapiens, assembly GCF_000001405.40. Classification (NCBI taxonomy): domain Eukaryota; kingdom Metazoa; phylum Chordata; class Mammalia; order Primates; family Hominidae; genus Homo; species Homo sapiens. Next base: position 46,833,855 of record NC_000020.11, on the reverse strand, counting down.
ATGAAAGAGAAGAAGGCTTACGTGGAGACAGACAAAGATTGAGATAGAGACAGAGATAGTAAGTTATCAAAAAAGGGAGAGAAAGAGATAGAGATGAGAGAGAGACAGAGAAAACCTGGTGCCTCTAAATAGCCTTAGACAGTAATTCTCAAAATAATCTGTGGGGCCCTTCAGGGAATCCATGAGATCAAAGCTATTTTTGTTTTGATATAACAAAAGATGTGATTTGCCTTTTCAAACTCTCATCTCTCACAAGTGCGCAGTGGGGTTTTCCAGAGGCTTCATGACATGTGGTGATGTCATCCTCCTGATATTAACATGTAATGGGTTTGTTCTTGTTCTTTTCACGTGAATGAATGAATAAATAGTTTTAAAATTTCTCAGGGTAAATTCCTATTATGGTAAAAAGCAACAGACAAAAGCCACATAAACAAAAACTCTTTGAGGTCTTCTATAATTTTTAAGAGCGTCAAGCAGGTAATGAGGCCAAAGGCCTTGAGAACGCCTTCCCTAAAAATGACCTATTGCATTCATGAATGAAGAAGTAAATTGCGTTGCAAGTTCAGGGAGAGAAATAAAACTGTTGTTGAGCCATGGTTTTCGGGGAAGATTTCTCATGGTTGAGGTAGAGCTCCACCTGGGTATTGAAAATGCAGATGAGTTTGCTTGGCCATGGGAAGGAAGGTGTTCCAGGAGGGCGGCTCAACACTCGCAAAGGGCAGGCGGTGGGAGGGAATGGGGTGAGGCGAATTGGGGTAGTGAGGATCCCAGCCCGGCTTGAATGGAAGGTAAAGCTTAGAGGAGAGATTCTGGGATCTGTGTTGATGACACTCCCATCCCTCAGTGGTCTCTGAAGCCAACTTAGAGGCCCCATTGGCCAGAGAACCAAATAGTTTGGTTTGCACTCCCAGAATGCTCCCTCCCCTGCTCCTGGGAGCTGGGACCTCACCCATGGGTCCCCCATGGGGTGGGAGTCCGTAGTCAACCACAGAGCTGAGCAAAATCTAAACTGTTTCTTTTCTTTGGAAGGCCTCTAGAAACAGGAAGAAAGGCTGTTTTCTAGGATTTGCCAAGAGTTAAGTCATTCCTCACTGATACAAACAATTTCTCCAGTTACTCTTTGGGGCCCAGGAACATTCATGAACTGTGCAGGGTCTGAACTCTTCAACTCTGAACTTCAGTCCCCTGGGTCATCTGCTGGGGCTGGGGCACAGCTCTCTGGCCCTGCCTGGGTTTTAGAGACATGGCCAAGCCACAGAGTGGGCGAGACAAGGCCTCCTCCACGGAGTCCTCAGAGAAATTCTCACCCAGAGCTATGGTGGGGGGTAGGCTGAGTTCAGTCTTTCTCCTGAGTTAGCTCACTGGATGCCAGGTTTCCAGATGCACGTAGCCAGGCACTTCATAGGTGAGGTTATGCACGGGTGTAGAGGCAAAGAGAGTGCATGAAGTCAGGAAAGCAATATGTATTGAATTCGATATGATGTGCCATTCCCTGTCCTGAGCACTTTGCATGTATTATCTCACTTAATTCTCATAACCACCTGTAGAACGTAGTTAGTGGTTAACAACAGTGTCTCCGGAGCCATCTGCCTGAGTTTGTGTCCTGGTTCTGCCATGTGGCAGATCATATTTTGCAGGATGGCTGCAACAATATCTTCCATTCCATGTGCTCTTCTGCAATGGAGCCTCCTTCCGTCTAGAGTTGGGGTCTATGTCCCCTTCTTTTGAATCTGGGTGACTTGCTTGTAACCAGTGGAATGTGGCAGAAGTTAACTATGGGACTTCCAAGGCTAGGTCAGAAAAGGCAGTGCTGTTCCCTTTTGTTTGCTGGAACATTCTTGCTGGAGTTTAAGCCATCATGTAAGAAGTGCCCTGAGGCTTCCATGTTGTGAGGAAGCCCAAGCACATGGAGAGGCTGTGGCCAGATGGGGAGGCCGTGTGTAGGTGATCTGGTCAGTTGGCAGTCCCAGCTGAGTTTAGTGTTAGAGTCATCTTTTTTCAGGTGCCAGATTTGTGAGTGATTTTTAGATTCTTGCTGTTGACTCATCTCTAGCCTTCAAGTCTTCTCATGTGAGGTCCCAGACACTGCAGAGCACAGAGAAGCCATCCCCGCTATGTCCCTTCTGAATCCCCAACTCATAGTAAACTTGAGGACAATGGAATGGTTGTTTCATGTCACTAAGTTTGGTGTAGTTTTTATACAGAAATAATAACTAAAGTGTGCCACTGCTGTGTGACCTTGGGCGAGTTACTTTACCTTTCTGAGTCTGGGGTTGCTGATCAGGAAAATGAAGATGATTATGTACACTCCAGAGAGATCTGGGGACAGTTAGACTAGACAACGAAACTCAGTTCTTAGTACAGTACCGGGTGCACAGTCAAGTGTTCAATAAAGTTTTTATTGTTGTTTGTTGAAGTCTCCTTGATAAATAGATATAAGGATAGGAAAGAAATTGCATTCTATCCCATAGTTCCTTCCTTCTGCTCTGCTCCAGTGCTGGGGCCAGAGAGGGAAGGTAAATAAGTTAAATATGCCTCTTTCTTTCTTATCTCTCTCTCTCTCTTCCTCAGTCTTGCTCTGTCACCCAGGCTGGAGTGCAATGGTGTGATGGCTTACTATAACCTCCAACTCCTGGACTCAAGTGATCCTCTCACCTCTGTCTCCCTAGTAGCTGGGACCACAGGCATGCACCACCACACCCTGCTAATTTTTAAAATATTTTTTAGACATAGGGCCTCACCATGTTGGCCAGGCTGGTCTCAAACTCCTGGCCTCAGGCGATCCCTCTGCCTCAGCCTCTGAAAGTGCTGGGATTACAGGTGTGGGCTGCCATACCCGGCTATGTTAATTGTTAATATGCAGAAATGTGGCTCCAGTGTCATTAGGTCTTCGAATTTTTCAAGAGAGCCATAAGTCCATATTTTATGTGAAATTTCCAGATTCTTAAAAAAAAGTTTAGTGGTTCAAATAAGCATATCAGTGAGCCACTTTGAGGTGTCGGCTTTAGTGACAGTGTGGTTCTGGGTTACCCGCTATGTTCAGGGCCAGTGGGAGACAAGGTCCCTGTTTCCCACTAGTGCCCCTCTAAGACACTACCCATCCCTGCTGTGACATTTGCCACACTTCCGATTCTATGTGGGCCCCACTGGGCAATTCCAAACCACCTGTTTAGATCACAGTTTCTCAACCTTCTATAATCTTTTAAAATTTATTACTCTCCTAAGGAGGTTTTTTAGGCTTTTTTTTTTTTCTTAATCACCTCCCACCATGAAATCTTAATCCACAAATATTTTGTATATCTCTTTAGGTACTGAATGTATATCTGTACTTCAGACATAAAATAATGTGATTTTTTTTTACCCCAATTGTGCATACTCAGTGTGTGTGTGTGGCAGGGGCAGAGGGAGTATGGCCCCCAAGGGGTTAAAAGCTGATTCTTGGGGCCATAAAAACACACATATTCTTTTTATATATAAAACACAGATATACATTTCATAAAATGAGATAGAGTATATCTGTGGTATTAAAATTTCATGGGGGAGGAGGTGGAACTAAGGGAAAAAAAGTCTTATAAGACTTCTTAGGCTGGGCACGGTAGCTCACCCCTGTAATCCCAGCACATTGGGAGACTGAGGCAGAAGTATCACTTGAGGCCAGGAGTTTGAAACCCGCCTGGCTAACGTGGTGAGACCCTGTCTCTAATAAAAATACAAAAATTATCAGGGCATGGTGGTGCATGCCTGCAGTCCCAGCTACTCGGGAGGCTGAGGCAGGAGAATTGCTTGAACCCAGCAGGTGGAGGTTGCAGTGAGCTGAGATGGCACCACTGCACTCCAGCCTGGGCGACAGAGTGAGATTTCGTCTAAAAAAAAAAAAAGGAAGCCCCAAATATTCAAAGCATTTTATTTATGCTAAAAATAATACATTCAAGTGGTTCAAAATTCAAACAGTAGGCTCTTTTTACTCTCTATCATCCTACTCCATCCCTCAACTAAGTAACTATTCCCCCTCCCCAGAGACAATATTGTTACCAGTTTCTTGGGAATCTGTTATTTTCCTGTTGTTGCTGTAACAAACTGCCACAAATTTAGTAGCTTAAAACAACCCACATTTCTTTTTCTTTTTCTTTTTTTTTTTTTTGAGACGAGTCTTGCTCTTTTGCCCAGGCTGGACTGCAGTGGCAGCATCTCGGCTCACTGCAACCTCCACTGCCTGGGTTCAAGTGATTCTCCTGTCTCAGCCTCCCAAGTAGCTGGGATTACAGGCACCTGCCACCATGCCCAGTTAATTTTTGTATTTTTAGTAGAGACGGGGTTTCGCCATGTTGGCCAGGCTGGTCTCAAACTCCTGACCTCAGGTAATCCACCCGCCTCAGCCTCCCAAAGTGCTAGGATTACAGGCACGAGCCACCGCACCCGGACTATTATTTTTCAGTTCTGTAGGTTAGACGTCTGACTTGGGTCTCACCGACTAAAATCAAGGTGTCATCGGAGCTGTGCTCCTTTGTGGAAGCCCGGTGAAGGACCCATTTCCTTCTCTTTCCCAGTCTCTAGAGTCCACCTGTGTTCCTCCTCATAACCTGCTTCCATCTTCAAAGCCAGCCCTGGCCAACTGAGTCTTCTTCACGTTGCCTCCCTCTGACATTCTCTTCTACCTCCGTTTTCCATATATCCTTCCAGTTACCCTTGTGATTACACTGAGCCCAACCTACATAACCCAGGATAATCTCCTGATCTGCAGGTCAACTGATTACCAACCTTAATTCCATCTGCAACCTTAATTCCTCCTTGCCATAAAACCTAACATTTTCAAAGGCTCCAGGGATCAGGACACGGATATCTTTAGGGGGCTGTTAACTCTGCCTGCATCGCATCAGCAGATAATCTGTACATACAAATAAGTATTTTCATTTAAACCCTAATAAAAAGCAGTACTGTAAACTCAAATGTGGTACATACCTAATTTTAACCTACTGGAATGTATAGCCTATTAACTGCCTTGGATCATGACCATCATTTATTTTTAAGGAAATAGAATGCATAGCACATAATAAAACTAAGTATTGCTTCATGAAACTTTTGTTTCAGTCTTTTGTGGGTGAGTGCATATGTGTGAACTGTGTCATGATATAAAAAGTATTTTTTACTATGAGTCACAGTAAAAAATGTTGGGAAGTTATTATTATATAGTTTAGTGGTTATATGAGGTTTTTCTGGGGTTAGACTGTCTGGCTCCATTGCTTACTGGCTGTGTGTCCTTGAATAACTGACTTAATCTTTCTGAGCCTCAGTCTCCTTGTCTGTAAAATGGAGACAACGACCGTAGCCCACTTTCTAGGGTTTATGGGAACATTGCATGGGCTGAAATGTGCTAAGTGCTTAGCACACTGCTTGGCAGTCACAGGCATGTGTTATTATCTTTGCTTTTATTATCCTTATTATTCTTTTAAAGGCATGGAGAGGATGAGATTTTCAGTGGAGAAAGAACCAAGGTTACGTAGGGATTTTTGGACAAACAGGAAGTGTGGGCTCTGCTCAGAGAAGTGCAAATGAATTTGTAATCTGAGAGGGGCTGATCATCAACCCATCAGAATCCTCCAAATATGAGCACAGATTAGTTTATGTTATTCATTCAGTAGGTCAGTAAGTATTTATGGAGTTCCACTGTGTGTCAGGCTTGTTCAGGGCACGGTGAGGATATGGCTGGAAACCAGCACGACATGTCTTTGTCCTCGTGGTGTGCACAGTCTAGAGGTGTTCAGGCACTCAAAAGGTGGGTCATTACAGGTGTGTTGGGGGATATTAAAGAGAAGTACAGAACAGTAAGAGCAGACAAAACGGAGGATTCTGGTGTACCGGGTGGGGGGTACCCAGGGAATTCCCCGTGGAGATGTATTTGGCCAGCTGTCTGCATGATGAGTAGGGGTTACAAGGGTCAAGGGCTTTGGGGTGAGGAGGAGAGCTTTGGGTGGATGACAGGACATGTGCAGACTTTGGCGTGAGAGGCCATGTACCCTGAGGTGGGGATTGAAGCAGGTTCAGTGTGTCCTGAGGAACTTGAAGGAGGAAGACGTCCAACAGGAGCTGAGAGCATGGGACTCGGGACAGGGGAGTGTTAAGAGTGGGGACAGAGAAAAGAGGCTGAGGTCTTCTGGGACCTTGATGGGGGGAATGTAGCATTAAGACTCTGAGGATTCGGGAAGAAGACCTCCCAAAACACAGTAAAACTTGAGAGCTGCTTTAGGAAGGCATCCCAGAGTTTAGGGCAGGGGGCGGCTATTCAGAACAGCAGGCCATGGGGCTGCAGATTGAAGTCCTGGAAGAAAAAATGAGAAGGAGGCCCCTGGTCAGCTTTGGACCAGCTACCCAAGACGTTCCAGGTTCTGCGTGCAGTACATTCTGGAAAAATTCTGAAGGCTCCCCAACGTCAAGATCTGTGGGAAAGAACTAAAGCTAAAGTTTCATTAGGATGAATGTCAAAGTCAGCCTGTGGGGTTATTCATTTATTCAACAAGTGTTTATCAAATGCTGCTTTAAAGTCAGAGAGGCCTGGGTTCAAATCAGGAGTCTGTCACCTATTAAGTTCCTAAGAAATGTTTACTATGTGCCTCAGTTTCCCAACCTGTAACTTGAGGATGGCAATACCTACCATCCCCAATACCTAAGGGGGCGGGAAGCATTAATGTTAAGAAGGGACTTACCACATTGTAGGATCCCAGGAACTGTATGTTCTGGATTCTAGACTAGACTTAGAGGACACAGAAATGAAAAAGCCAGGTTTCTGGCCTCAAGTAGCTGCAGTATTTGGGAGAAGACAGACAAGAGAAGAGATAATTTCTGTATACCAGGATTAGGGACCTGGTAATGGAAACATTGGAGGCTATGGAAACAGAGAGGGGATCTCTGGGTCAAAAAATCAACTATCAATGAATTCATAGGTTACTCTTCAGAGTTACTTGGGTCCCTGTGAGTTATAAGTGATAGAAACTCAACTAAAACGGATATGTAGTGGTTCATACAACAGATAAATCCAGAGGTAAGGGCTTCAGGCCTGGCTGGATCTAGGTGCTTAATCCTAAGGACTTGCTCTCACTCTATCTCTCTGATCTGTTTACCTCTGCATTGACTTTATTCTCAGGTAGGCTTGTGGTGGGAAGATGCTTCTGGTAGCTCCAGACTTATTTCCTGCCGGCCTAACCCCTCCAGTGGAAAGAGAGCTTTTCTTTCCCTAATAAATCCAGACAAATTCCAAGCATTGAGTCTCATTGCATTGGCTGAGTCATGTGTCCATCCCTGAAATGCTCCCTGGGGCCAGGGGAATAAACTATGCTGATTGGACCTGCCTGAGTCACATGCTCAGCCTTAGAGCCAGAGTAGGAGGGCGTCTGGGCAGGGTTCAGGCCCACAGAATCTCATGGCTCTGCTATCCTCTGTTAGTTTTACTCTGAGGGATACTGTCATCAAGAGGTGGAAAATATACCCTCCTGTTTGTTCTTCTGCTTTCCAAAGAGGAGAAAAGACAGTGCTGCTTGAGTGATTTATCAAAGTGGAGGAGGGGCACATACGCCGGTAATAGGAACAGCACAAAGTAACTGAGAGGTAGAGTTTCAGGGTGCTGAAGTATAGAAGAATACAAGAAATTGATAATAAGTGTTATCAATGGCTAAATACTGCCTGCCCACATCTGATATTTGTTAGAGTTATGAGGGAAGATTGATATGTCTGCTTGGGTTATGCTTCTTTAAATGAAACATTGATTGTTAAATACAGGGGCTCATGGATGTGTATGAGTTACATATAAATTTAAAATTCTTCTCCCAGTTTCTTTTTTTTAACTTTTATGTTCGGGGGTACATGTGCTTGTCACATAGGTGAACACATGTCACGGGGGTTTGTTGTACATATTATTTCAACACCAAGGTATTAAGCCCAGTACCCAATAGTTTCTTTTCTGCTCCTGTCCCTCCTCCCATCTTCCCCCCCCAAGTAGATCCCAGTGTCTGTTGTTTCCTTCTCTGTGTGCATAATTTCTTACCATTTAGCTCCCACTTATGAGTGAGAACATGTGGTATTTGGTTTTCTGTTCCTGCATTAGTTTGCTAAGGATAATAGCCTCCAGCACCATCTATATTTCCACCAAAGATACAATCTTGTTATTTTTTATGGCTGCAGAGTATTTCATGGCATATCTGTACCACATTTCCTTTATCCAGTCTGTCATTGATGAGCATTTAGGTTGATTTCATGTCTTCACTATTGTGAACAGTGCTGCAATGAACATTCACGTGCTGTGTCTTTATGGTAGAATGCTTTATATTCCTCTGGGTATATACCCAATAGTGGGATTGCTGGATTGAATGGTAGTTCTACTTTTAGCTCTTTGAGGAATTGCCATACTGTTTTACACAAGGGTTGAACTAATTTACACTCCTACCAACAGTGTACAAGTGTTCCCTTTTCTCTGCAAACTCGCCAGTGTCTGTTATTTTTTGCTTTTTTAATAATAGCCATTCTGACTGGTGTGAGATGGTATCTCATTGTAGTTTTGATTTGCATTTTTCTAATGATCAGAGATGTTGAGCTTTTTTTCATATGCTTGTCGGCCACCTGTATGTCTTCTTTTGAGAAATGTCTGTTCATGTCCTTTGCCCACTTTTTAATGGGGTTGTTTGTTTTTCTCTTGTAAATTTAAGTTCCTTGTAGATGCTGTATATTAGAACTTTGTCAGATGCATAATTTGCAAATATTTTCTCTCATTCTGTAGGTTGTCTGTTTATCCTGTTGATAATTTCTTTGCTATGCAGAGGCTCTTAAGTTTAATTAGATCCCACCTGTCAATTTTTGCTTTTGTTGTGATTGCTTTTGGTATCTTTGTTATGAAATCTTCACCCATTCCTATGTCCAGGATGGTATTGCCTTGGTTTCTTCCAGGGTTTTTTATAGTTTTGGGTTTTACATTTAAGTCTTTAATCCATCTTGAGTTGATTTTTGCGTGTGGTGTAAAGAAGGGGTCCAGCTTCAATCTTCTGTATATGGCTAGCCAGTTACCCAGCACCATTTATTGAATAGGGAGTCTTCTCCACATTGTTTGTTTTTACCAGCTTTGTGAAGCCTTATTTCTGGACTCTATTCTGTTCCATTGGTCTATGTATCTGTTTTTGTACCAGTGCCATGCTGTTTTATTTACTGTAGCCCTGTAGTATAGTTTGAAATCACATGATGCCTCCAGTTTTGTTCTTTTTGCTTAGGATTGCCTTGGCTATTCAGGCTCTTTTTTGGTTCCATATGAATTTTAAAATAGTTTTTTCTAGTTCTGTGAAGAATGTCATTGGTAGTTTGATAGGAATAGCACTGAATCTGTAAATCACTTTCGGCAGTATAGCCATTTTAATGATATTGATTCTTCCTATCCATGAACATAGATGTTTTTCCATCTATGCATCTATATGTCTTCTTTAATTTCTTTGAGTAGTGTTTTATCCTTCTTATTATAGAGCTCTCTCACCTTCCTGGTTAGCTGTATTCACAAGTATTTTATTCTTTTTGTGGCTTTTGTGAATGGGATTGCCCTCCTGATTTGGCTCTCAGTTTAGCTGTTGTTGGTGTATAAGAATGCTAGTGATTTTTGTACATTTATTTTGTATCCTTCAACTTTGCTGAAGTTGTTCATCAGCTGGAGGAGTTTTGGGCCATCTCTCAGTTTCTTATCCCAAGCCATGTGCTTCCACTAGGGCATTTATAGGGGAGAAGACTAACAACAAACTAGCAAATATAATAACATAAGACAAATTGAATACAAATAAAATAAATAAAGCATGTGCGATGCTCAGGTAGAGAGGCACATGTGCCTGTGGGGGCAAAGAGTCTGGGCTGGGTGACGTGTGTGGTGAATATTGTAATGGCTCATTTTACGTGCCAACTTGACTGGGCCAGGGGTGCCTAGATATTTGATCAAACATTATTCTGGGTGTTTCTGTGAGGAAGTTTTGAATGAAGTTACATTTAAATCTGTAGACTGAGCAAAGCAGATGGCCCTCCCTAATGTGGGTAGGCCCCATCCAATCAGTGGAGGGTCTCAATAGAATAAAAAAGGCTGACTCTCTCTGAAATAAGAGAGAATTCCTCACGCCTGACTGCGTTTGAACTTGGACATTGGCTTTTTCCTGCCTTTGGACTTGAACTGAAGTGTCGGCTCCTCCTGGATCATGAGCCTGCCGGCCTTTGGACTGGAACTACACCATTGGCTCTCTCCTCTTGGGCCTGCAGCTTGTAACTCAATTTGCAGATCTGGGGACTTGCCAGGCTTTATAATCACATGAGCCTATATTTATAACTCCTATTGGTTCTGTTCCTCTGGAGAGCCCTGAGTAATACCACTAACACCACTGAGGTCTTAATGTGTGTCAGGAGTTGTGCTGGGTGCTTTATAGGCTTTTTCTTATTTTTTACTACATCACTACCCTGGGAGTGAGGCATGTTCTTATTCACAGATAAGAACTGGAGGCTCACCAAGGTCAGTAAATGATTTGCCGATGTCCCTGGCTGGTGAGCAGCAGAACTGACATTTGACTCCAAATTCCCTTCCTAACTTGCCATACGGGAAGCAAAAAGCCAAACGCTGGGAGTAAAAAACCAAAGTCGGTTCTTTGCAGGGGGAAAATGACCTAGATAAATCCCTTGTGAGGAAAAATAAAGGAAATCATGTGCGTCAGTATGAGAGAGGATATATAATTACAAATATAGAAAGGAGTAACATAATTATAAGAAAAAAGTTGCGGAACTTCAAAGCAAACCATGGAAAATGTAGGGAATATAAGCGATCTTTAAGCAAAACATAAACGGTCAAAATTGACTCAAGAAGAGGTGAGAAATAGAAAAAGACAGCTAACCAGAAGAAGGAGCGAAACATTATTAAACGTTTACCAAGATGGGCTGGGCATGATGGCTCGTGCCTATAATCCCAGCACTTTGGGAGGCCGAGGCAGGAGGATTGTTTGAGGCCAGGAGTTTGAGACCAGCCTGAGCAATATAAGGGGGCTCTGTCTCCATAAAACAAACAACCAAAATAAATAAACTGGGCACAGATGTGTGCCTGTAGTCCTAGCTACTTGGGAGGCTGAGCGGGAAGGATTGCTTGAGCTCGGGAGTTTTAGGCTGCCATGAATTATGCTCACATCACTGAACTCCAGCCTGGGCAGCAGAGCAAGGCTCTGTCTCCAAAACAAAACAATAACAACAAACAAACTGACAAACAAAATTTACCAAAATATTATTTAAAGTGCTTCAGTCTACAAAACTTGATGCAAAGTTCCTCAAATCATTTATCCAAAACAAAGAACAACCTTAATGCTAAGGTTTGTCATTCCTAATACAATTAGGAAAACTAATTGTTCACTTATGAATAAAGATCATGTTCACTTATGAATAAAGATGCTAAAAATCTCAATAAAGTGTCAGCGAATATAATTCAGCGGCATATTAAAAGAATAATATATTATGAGCAAATAACATGTGTTTCAGGGAGGCAAGAATGGCTCATCATTTAAAAAGCTGGCAGAATTCATTACGTCAGCAAAGTAAGTGAGAAAAGCCAGATTTTATATTTGAAAAATGCTGGAGCAGCGTTTGATAAAATTCTACAGCTGTTTCTAGAAAGAAGGTACATGAATAAAATAAAAATATGTAGTACAAGCTAACCGTAGACATACTATTAGATTGGTGCAAAAGTAATTGCAGTTCTTGTCATTACTTTTAATGGAAAAGATCACAATTACTTTTGCACCAACCTAGTATTTTACTGTGAAACATGAATCAGGCCCAATAAAATAAGAAATAAGACAGGATGGCTATCGTCTACACTGTCCTTTCAAAGTTTGTAGCTAATACGATTATATAAGGAAATAAAATAAGTAGTATAAATATTCAAAATTATTCTTTTTTGCAGATGATATAATTGTAAACATAGAAAATTCAAAAGAACCTACTTACAAAATAGTATTCACATGAGTTTTTGATCTTTGTAAATGGCAATTTATAGATTGCTTGAATATGTACTAAATATGAAGACACCAGTAACTTTCTTTTTATTAGGACTAGTCAGTTAGGCATGAACACAGAAAAATATTTCATTTATAACAGTGATCAAAACTATAAAATACAAAGGAATTTAACAAGAAAATTACAAGACCCATATGGAAATGATTGTAAGATTTAATTAGAGAATAAAAAACAAAAGCCTAAATAAAAGGAATATGTGGAAAGACATGTACTTTCAAATTTCAAATTTGAAAAAGACATTAGATTTTTAAAATTTTATATCGTTTGAAATTTGTGAAATTTTGAGTTTCATAAAATTTCGATCTTTCCCAAATTAATTTTTCAATTGTATAAAATTCCAATCCTTACCTCAGTGAGGTTTTTTTCTGGATGTGGATAAAAATCACGAAGAAATTTTTTAAAATGAAGACTTGGGTGGGGTGGAAAATGATCTTGGGCTGGACGTTTCTATCTGTCTCTGCCCTTCTCTACCCTGCCCCAAAGCTGGCCCCTGTGACTGCGTCCCCAGCTCTCTCGTCCTCTTATACCTGGTTGGATTTGGGCAGTGGGAGGTACTGTAAGGAATAGGGGGGCAGAAGATCAAGTCAGAATGTTTCCTCCCCAGCTCCTTCCCTGGGGGGTTACAATGAATTGCCTGTTTCCTACTGAAGACCACAGTCCCTGGCAGACAGCCCTCTCCATAGAACTCTGCTCCCCAGATTCCAGAAAACGCTTCCTCCCAGAGGTGTGCTAGTAACTGCTGAATGGCAAGCTCTGAAAAAAAGGGGGGCATGAACCTCTGATGTACAGCATTTGCCCATTTCCTTGGTGTAAGTATTCCCACCATGGCTGATTTCAAGCTACTAACGTGAAGTTGCGTGTTGCTAACAACTGGCTCCTGCCAGCTAGTGTGAGCCACCTTCAGCACACCCTAGGGACAGCTCCCCCTGTCACTGGCCCTGGTGTACTGCCCTACTCCTTGTTTGCTTCCATAAAGCTTGCCCATCCCTTCTTTGTTGTACCACTTGAGTAGACGGTTTGCTTCCTGCTAGGACCCTAGCTGAGGAGTTACTAGAAAGTTAGTTCAAAGAAAAGGACAGAAGAACAAATAGATTAATAGGACATTATAGGTACTCCATAAATTAATCTGAGTATATTTGGGAAATTTATGTATACATATTTATATGTATAAATTTATGTATGTATATATATTTTTAATATATATAGGTGGCGTTTAAATTCAACAGAAACAGACTGCTTCATTAACAAATGGTATCATTAATAAGAAGGTAGGTTAAACTCTACCTCATGCTATTGTATATACCAAAATAATTCTAGATGGATCAATATCTAAATGAAGGAATACAACTATAACCTTTGAATAATGCTTCAGAGAATATTTATATGTACTCAGAGTCACCTTGGGGGGGGATTTGGAACAAAAAAATGATAGGCAAAGATATAATGTCCCTAATCTACAGAGAGCTCCTAGAAATTGACAAGAAAAAGATAAACATTTAAATAGCAAAATGGACAAAGTGTGTTCACAGAACGACGTATACGCATGAAAATATTTGTAACCTTGCTCATGGTCAAAAAAATCTAGATGGTAATAGAGTATTTTGTACTCCTTTATTGATAAAAATTGGGAAGATTGGCAATACCCCGGGTTGGTGAAGATGGGAAGGAACTGTCATACATTCCTGATGAAATGTGAATTGCTACAATGATTCTTGATGTATTGTTAAAAAGTATTGTTAAATTAAAAGTGTTGTGAAAGTGTTATTAAATTTAAAACGCTTGACTAATTTTTGTATTTTTAGTAGTGACAGAGTTTCTTTTTCTTTCTTTCTTTCTTTCTTTTTTTTTTTTGAGACAGAGTCTCGCTCTGTTGCCCAGGCTGGAGTGCAGTGGCACAATCTCGGCTCACTGCAACCTCTGCCTCCTGGGTTCATGCCATTCTCCTGCCTCAGCCTCCTGAGTAGCTGAGATTACAGGCACATACCACCATGCCTGGCTAATTTTTGTATTTTTAGTAGAGACGGGGTTTCACCATGTTGGTCAGGCTGGTCTCAAACTCCTGACCTCATTATCTACCCGCCTCTGCCTCCTAAAGTGCTGGGATTACAGGCGTGAGCCACCATGCCCAACTGAGAAGGAGTTTCACCATACTGGCCATGCTGGTCTCAAACTCCTGACCTCAAGTGATCTGCCCGCACTCCAGCCTGGACGACAGAGTGAGACTTTGCCTCAAGGATAAATAAATAAATAAATGAATACACAAAACGCTTGGAACCTTTGACCCAGAAGTCTCACATTTGGAAATCCATCCTACATAAACAAAAAGATCAATATGGGATATATGACCAAGGATACTTATTGCAGCATTTATTATATAGACAAAAATTTAGGACCATCTGAATGTCGTGATGGACATAGCGTAACAATTTGAGAAATTATATTGTATTCATATCATGACTTCTCTGTTGTAGTTTGAATTAGATCAATATATGTCTACAATGTATATGATTAATCAGATTTTGGAAAGGGTGAGAAACTTATTTATGTGACTATTTGTTGGCATTTATTTGTACAAGCATGGAGGAAAAAAAGCGTATGGGAAGATTCTGACCCAACTATTAAAGCTTCAGGTGTGAATTGTTGTTTTAACTAATCTCTGTTGATTGATTTGTTTCAAACAACGTGGATTTCTTTTATTGCTAGGAAGAAAAATACAATTATATGTACAGACACGCTTACACACATACATATGTTAAAAACAAACTTGAAATAAGTGTTGCATAAACTTCCAATGTGTAAATGTAGTATATTGCATTTAGCCAATTTTCTACTGTTAGACATTTAATTGATTTGCAAATTTTTACTTTTATAAACAATAGCACAATAGATTATCTTTGCCCATATATCTTTGCATGTGTCATCTATTCATTCAAATTATCATTCAATTTTGTGACTGTTATATACCAGGTGAGGGGAAGACAGCCCCCATCGGATTGCCATTCGTGTTGTGAGGCACAATTTAATATATAACTAAATATTTATAAATACTATGTCCAGCAGTGAAGAATAATAAAAGTGGGTAAGAAAAAGAGGGCAATGGGAGAGAAGGAGCAGGAGTTTGCTCTTTTAGATAAGCTGGTCAAGGAAAACCTTGATGACAGGGTGACATTGGAGCAGAGACCTGAAGGAAGACAGGGAGTGAGAGCAGTGTTCAAATACCTAAAGAAGAAAATAGTCCATAGTCTTACTAACCAGAGATTTTTTTTTTTTTTTTTTTTTGAGACAGAGTCTTGCTCTGTCACTCAGGCTGGAGTGCAGGCGTGATCTCGGTTCAATGAATGCAACCTCTGCCTCGGGGGTTCAAATGATTCTCTGCCTCAGCCTCCCGAGTAGCTGGGATTACAGGCGCCCACCACCATGCCTGGCTAATTTTTGTATTTTTAGTAGAGATGGGGTTTCATCATGTTGGCCAGGCTGGTCTCAAACTCCTGACCTCAGGTAATCCACCTGCCTCGGCCTCTCAAAGTTTTGGGATTACAGGCATGAGCCACCACGCCCGGCCACTTCTATGTAACATTTTGATGTTTTCTTTTCAGTTATTTTCTATGCAGTTATTTTTTTAAAAAAACTTAAAATTACAATAATGCAGTATATAAATTTTTATATTTTTTCTCTCCTTCCCTTGGACTTTATATTATATTTTTTGTGCTCTAAATATATCTTTCTGATTATTTCCTTAGGATGATTTCCTGAGAGTGACATTGCAGATTCAAAGGACATGCCCTTTTAACATTTTGATAGTCACCCTCCAGAAATATTGTACTCTTTTACCTTCCCACCAGCAGTATAGAAGACTTCCTATTTCTGCACATTTTTGCCAACACTGTGTATGGGCTCTTTAAAATTTTTGTCATTCTCACCATTACTGTTTTTACATAAAAAAGGAAACAAACTTTATGGTTGCTTTCCTTCTTTTTTTCGGTTATTTGTAGAAGTTAATAACCCCTTCATTCCCTGCAAAAGAAAAATACAGACAAATTTAGGAAATCATTTCTTTCTTCTGGCAACAAATATTCAGAGCTTCCTTTGTGCCTGGCATTGTGTTCCTGCAGATGGGGTCATAGACTGGCAGTGCTAAGAGAGAACAGAGAGATCTGGTACAACTCCTTAGTTTTGCAGATGAAAAACTGGAAGCCCAGAGTCCACTGATTTGCCCAAGTCACGTGGTGAATTAGTTGAAGATCTGGGACTTGGATCTCAATGCTCTCTTTACTATAAAACACTGCTTCAAAAAACAAAACAATGATCACTGTGGACTACTTAACTGGAAAATTATGATTTGGTGGGGGTGTGGGCGTGGGTTGGAAGTGAGGTTGGAGGGAGGGAAAGCAGTTGAGTCAAACCTCAGTAGCTGTGGGGACCAGGCTCTGTGGTGCAGAGGGATGGCTGCAAATGTGACATTCTGCAGTTGATCCCCAGAGTTTGGGGAGAAAAGTAAATGTCAGGAAATTGGCTCTGTTGGCTGTCTTCGTCATTCTGAACCTCTCACCCTACTCCTTTCCCCCTCCCCAGACCCATTTCAGAAATCCGGTCCCATTTTTCTTGCCTCTGACCCTGGTGGCTGAAGTTTCTCTCAGTATCATAAAACCTGGGGTTGTAAAATTCATATTGTAACTTTAAGAGCCACATCTGTTTTAATCATTTTTTTTCCTGTTTAAAGAACACAACGGGATTTTAATGGCGGTAATAAAATGGAAAAGTTGAAGGAAATTATCACAGATTTGTAAAGCTATAACGCAGGTTCCTGGGCTCATGTGAGCAGTCAAATTACAAAGAAGTAACCCAATTGCTTTTATTGCAGGCAGATCTCTGGTTTAAGCATTTCTCTGTTTAATCTATCGATGAGGATTAGCATTTTATTCACTTCAGTGCTCATAATAGCCTTGGTACATATTACCCGATAGGCCAGATTGGTGGGAATCGTGAATCTCAGAGATGCAGAGAAATCCAGAGAAATAGCATGAGGCAAAAAAATATTGGGTCTTTCAGGTCAGACAGATCTGGTTATAATCCTGAGTCCACCATGTTATCTGGATATGTGGCTTTAGGTAAAGTCCTACTTTCTCTAAACTTTGCCTTCTTTTTTTTTTTTTAAAGGTAATGATATAAAAGCAAGTTTTGCAGTGAACTTATATAAGGAAATCACTCAGCGTGAAGCCAGGCAAACAGTAGGTGCTTACTAAATGGTCACTGTCATCTGGTTCTCCTTCGGATGAGTAAGCTATTTGAAGCAGCCACTGGTGCTGCTCCTTCTCCATCCTCTTGTACTGTCTTCCTCTCACCAAAAACGCTTACTGCAAACACCTGCACTTCTCCACCTGAGGCACTTTTTCTGGCCCTGGGAGCATGCTTGGCCCATGTTCAGAGCAAGCCAGAAGTGCTGTTGGGTTAATACCCCAGAAGCAGCCCTCAACCAATCAATTCGAGGGTGGAGGATAAATACCTCCACTCCCTCTCCCCACAGGTGGGATCACTCTGAGGCACATATTTTGTGCTGCCTCCCCAAGCACCCCAGTGAGATTAAGCTCTATTTGCTCACGCTGAAAACCTGCTTGGTGATATACTCTGTATTGCTTTCCTTTTCTTCTGCGTCTTACGTACAAGAAGAAAGAGATGAGGAGGAGTAGGTGAGGGATAGCAAATGGTCCCTAGATGCTCTAGTGACTTTTAATTGCCAGTATCTGCATCTTTACCTGGGTTTTTTTCCCTGAAACTGGAAGGACTTGCTGCTGGCTGGAAGAAGTGCCCACGATTTAACACTGCACACTCCTCCCCAGTACATCTCAACCAATGACTCTCAGGAGTTAGCGTATCAATATCCCAGCTCCCTCGAAGTGTAGACGGAATAATTCTGAGCTGTGTGCTTTGCACTCTTTCCCAGAGTTTGTTGGAGGGATGAAGCTGTCTGTGGTCACCTGTTGTGGTGGCTGACTTGATAAGGCACACTGTATCTGCTGACTTTTCTCCTCTGTCTTCTTCAATGCTTCTCCTTGAACCGTCACCTCTCATCTCTTAAATAAGCTACGTACCCTTGAATCCCTTTCTCAGTGATTGCTTTCAGGAAAACTGAAATTTGAGACATCTCTGATATTTGAGTGATGACGAGAAGTCAGGTATGAAAAGAATTGGGTAAGAGTGGAATAAAAATGGTGCATAGATGTTTTTATTTATTTATTTTTTTGTGCGATGCCACTTTGTGAGATGTGGAAGATATAGGGGAAATGGGAAGGAACTGAAGATCAGAGGGTCATTGTTAAGAGCACGGACTCTGGAGCCAGACCCTTGGGTACATGTCCCAGCACTGCCATTTAACATCTGCAGGAACTTAGGCAAGCCACTGAGTCCCTTAATGCCTCGATTTCTTTATCTGTAAAATGAAACTAAAAGCTGTACTTCAGAGGGTCGTGATGAGGACTGAGTGAGTTACAATATGTAAAGCACTTATAACAGTGCCTTGTGCAGTAAACACTATTATTATTATTACTAGTGGTTTTGTTATTAGTATTACTGCTTTAGACATGTTAAGATTGAGATGCCTATTGACATCCAATTATATCTGGCCCAAGTGCTCCCAAGTCTCTGGGGACAATGTGGTGAGATAATAACAGACATGAAAGAGTCTTGGAAACTCTTTGTTTACCCGTCTGTCTGCCCCTTTGAGCTCCAGAGACCATGACTAACTCGCCTCGGTCCCAGGCTTTGACTCAGGGCTGATCAGAGCAGTGACTCAGGGTAGCCACTGAGGATGTAAATAAAGGAAGGAATGGAGCAGGTCTTGCTGGCCACAGGTAAGGGAACATTCATGAGATTATTTCTGCAGGGGTCCCAGATCTAGTCCATCGAGGAGCTGCTGTCATTGCCCCAAGGCAGCTCTAGAGTTTTTAGAGTTTGTCTACCCCAGAGTTAAAAGGTTTTCCTGAGAATGAAGTGCTGGGGCTTTGCAGATCTGAGATAAGGCAGCTCTTAGAGTCTGCAGTAACCTGAGCTGCCCAGGCTTGGCAGAGGCATCTGGGAAGCTCTCACAAGAAAGGGAGGACAGAAAGCCAGCCCAGGTAGGCATACCAGCTCCTGGCTCCTCCCAGATGAAGGCCCAAATGTGGGGATAATGACCCTCTGCTGAGCAGCTTAATCCCAAAAGGTGCTTGAAAAAATGGAGCCTGCTGTCAGTGGAAGCATCAATTGGTGCCACCCTCTGCAAAGGCAAATTAACGATACCAGCACCTTGTTGAGTCATTTTGAAGCCTGAGGCCAAAGGGAAAATGTGCAGCCTTCATATATATGACTTTAAAAAATTATTAATATTATTATTATTATTTGAGACGGAGTCTCACTCTGTCACCCAGGTTGGAGTGCAGTGGCGCGATCTCAGCTCACTGCAACCTCTGCCACCCGAGTTCAAGTGATTCTCCTGCCTCCGCCTCCTGAGTAGCTGTGATTATAGCCACTTGCCACCACGCCCGGCTAATTTTTTTTTTTTTTTTTTTTTTTTTTTAGTAGAGACGGGGTTTCACCATGTTGGTCAGGCTGGTCCTGAACTCCTGACTTCATGATCCGCCCCCACCTTGGCCTCCCAAAGTTCTAGGATTACAGGCATGAGCCACTGCACCCAGCCTTATTATTATTATTATTATTATTATTATCATTGAGACAGGATCTCACTGTGTCACCTAGGCTGGAGTTCAGTGGCTCGATCTTAGCTCACTGAAGCCTCGAGCTCCCAGGCTCAAGCGATCCTCCTGCCTCAGCCTCCTGAGTAGCTGGAACTACAGACATTCGCAACCATGCCCGGCTAGCCTCATACATATAAATAATCTATTTTTTCACAGTTAAATTCTTTCCAGGAGTAGATTTTGAAAATATTAGCGATGAGTTTGCTTCCATTAAACCCAGCAAAGTAAAATTGATACAAATTCTGTTTGGGGTATAAATAAAATAAAACATAAGTAATGCTGTGAGTTTTAATACACTTACTTCTAACTTTTCAGTGTATATTTTTCAACTACTTCAACGATTTGGGAGAAAATTACCATTAAAGAATACATTAAAATATGTATATGAAGGCACGTTTTTCCTTTGGCCACAGGCTCAACAAAGCCAGTATGACACTGTCAGATGCTGTCTTTAAAACGTTGATATTTTGCTCATTATGGATGGTTTTTAGCATTAATTTTGATTTTTAAAAATATTGCATTAAGATACAATTTATCTTGATTACTGAGTTTTTGGGGCATCCTCTTAAATTTTGTGCCTGAATGCTTCACTCACCTCACCCTACTTCTGATCCTGCTTGTGCCAGACCATAAGGGGCCTTATCCAGCAGATACCACCCCTCAGGCTTGACGTTAGGGGAACTGTCACACAAAAGAGTGTGTTCAAGAGTGCTCACCGCAGCATGGGAAACCAGTCCAGTCCTTCTTAGAAGACGGCTGCTTACATGGAGCCATACGGTGGCATATTCTACAGCCGTTAAAAAGAATATTATTTCAAATTTTCCAACACATAAAAACATCTAAGACATATTAAGGAAGAAAGTTACAAAACCACACCTATAATGAAGCTCATATTTCTATTTGCACTGTTGGAAATGTTTTGTATTAATCTCACAACTTTCCTACAAGGCTATAGATGAGGAAACTGGGGTCCAGAGAAGTTAAGTAGTTTTCCCAGGGACACACAGCAGGGAAACAAGAGCCAGGTTTTTTAGTGCAGGAAGTCTAGCTCCAGACTCCAAGGTTTCAGCCTCTAAGTGAAACTTCTTCTATTTGATTCTGGAATCTATATTTACGCATAGATCTATCTGTATTTATTTATTATACATATAGTGTAGAAAAAATCATGGGGCAGCCAGGTGCGGTGGCTCACACCTGTAATCTCAGCACTTTGGGAGGCCGAGGCGAGTGGATCACTTGCAGCCAGGAGTTCGAGACCACCCTGGCCAACATTCTACTAAAAATATAAAAATTAGCCAGGCGTGGTGGCAGGAGCCTGTAATCTCAGCTACTCAGGAGGCTGAGGCAGGAGAACCGCTTGAACCCAGGAGGTGGAGGTTGCAGTGAGCCGAGATTGTGCCACTGCACTCCAGCCTGGGCGACAGAGTGAGACTCTGTCTCAAAAAAAAAAAAAAAAAAAAAAAAAAGAGAAAAAGAAAAAAAAATCATGGGGCAAGACACAAAACTGTTATCAATGGTGATCTCAGGTAGAGGTGAAATTATAGAGTAGTTTAGCTTTTAATCTTACATAATTGGATAAAATGTGGATTCTTAACAGTGAATAGTATGTATTACTTGTATAATAAGAAATAATAAAAAATACTTACTACAGGTGTTTGCTGTTTGCCAGCACCTAGGCTAGGCAGTTTCACACATTGTCTCATTTAACTCCTGCAACAGCTCTCTTATTACACCATTCTACAGATGAGAAAACTGATGTTGGCAAGGGTAAAGTGACCTGATCAAGCTCAAAAGAGATGACACCAGAGCTCAAACTCAGATTCCCCAAATTAAGATTACACTGGATGTGCGGCAGTGGCTCATAGCTGTAATCCCAGCACTTTGGGAGGCCCAGACAGGAGGATTGCTTGAGTCCAGGAGTTCAAGACCAGCCTGGGCAACATAGAGAGAACCTGCGCCTACAAAAATAAAAAACCCAGCTACTTGGGAGGCTGAGGTGGGAGGATCACTTGAGCCTGGGAGGTAGAGGCTGCAGTGAGCTGTGATTGCGCCACTGCACTCCAGCCTGGGTGACAGAGGGAGACCCTACCTAACAACAACAACAACAACCAAAAGTTACACTCAACACATCCCTCTTCCCGACTTGCTTTTCTTTAGTATATTTTTAATGGTTGAGTCCGTGCCCTGCAGAATCGCAGCACACGTTTTCTAGTCAATCCCCTATCGCTGGGCATTTAGGTTACCAAGCTACTATCCAAAAAAGACTCCCTCCTTTCGAAACGAGAAGGACTAGGGCATGGCTGGGTCCCGCTGCCCCTGGTCATTTTCTCGATGGCCTCTTCCCTACAGGTTCCTAGTTCCGACAGGAACCGCCTTGCGGTGAGGGGGCCCTGCTCTCTTCCCGCCTCCCAGTCCCCGGAGGAGACTTTGGTGCCTGCTGTCCGCCCCCCGGCGCCATCTGCGCCGCGCAGGTGTGCCCGGCCCCCTGTCCAACCTGGGGGCTGCGAACACTGGGCCGATTGTGGCCCCCGCGAGCCCGGCGGGCAGCTGCGCCCGAGCTGCCATCTGCGAGCGCGGCTCTGGTGGGGGGAGACAGGGGGCGGCGCGGGGAGGAGCCGGGACGCACCCTAGCTGGGCCCCATTCAAGCGCTGCCAAGGCCTAATTGATGAGAAATGGCCCCGAGCAGGTGCGAACCTGTCTGCCGAGGCGGCGGGGCGGAGGGCGGGGGCCCGGGGGGTGGGGGCGGCTGCTTCGCGGGGAGCGCAGCTGTCGAGGGGTCATTACTGTGGCGGCCTCCCTGGGGCTTTCCAGCCTGGGGCTTGGATGGGGTTGGAGAGACAGCGCGAGGGGGAAAGGTGGGGGCGAGGGGCGGGGAGGGGGGAGCCCCCTAACCCCTTTGTCGCACCCCAGGGTCTCCACTGGCCAGGACCTTAGAGCGCCAGGGGGCCCCTTAGATCCTGTCATCGCTCTCATTGGAGAAGACGGTGGCCAGGGAAGACCAGCCCCGCACCCAGGAACACCCAGCTAGAGGCAGCTCCACCAGTGACTCCCAGTCCAGGGCTGTCCCCACGAGGCTCTCAGTTGTGGGGAGCCAGTCTTTCCACCTCTTTTTTTTGTTTGTTTTCCGTTGCTCCGGTTACGGACATATCGGGTTGGTGCAAAAGTAATATGCGGTTTTTGCCATTACTTTTCATGGCAAAACTCGCAATTACTTTTGCACCAACCTAACAAAAAATAGCAGGGTTTTGAAATGTTAGGCTGTTTTACATGTTTACGTGGACTGCATCGACCTCTCAACAACTCTCCACCTAAGAAAAAAAAAAATCAAGGCGCAATAAAATTGTGCTTTTGCCTAAGATGTTTATAGGACAAGTTCGTGCAATTAGAGCTGCCTAGAGCCCTGCCGAAAGAGTGTGTGGCTGCAGGGGGTGCCATCAGTCTCCTCTCTGTACATGGTGAACCTACTGTGTCTCAGAAGCTCCTCAGTCCTTGAGACTGAGAAGAGAGCTCATTGAGATGTAATTTCCAAAGGCCCAATTTGAGGCCTTTCTCAGCAGTGAAACTCCAGGATAAGGGGTCCTCCAGGTCCCATACTTCGCCTCTCAAAACACCTTCTCACTCACTGCCCCAGAGGCTGTTGGACTGAACTCCCCTTCTTAGTGTCAGACACTTTGCCAAGCCTTCACCTGCCGCAGCATCCACTGTAGCAGCCAGAGTGATCTTTGCAAAATCAAAATTGGAGCTCATCCCTCGGTGGTGAAGACTCTCCGATAATTTCCTATTCCTAAAGAATAAAATGTTGATCCCCACCATGGCCTATGGCCCTAAGCGATCTCCCTGGAGGGAGACTTCTCTGCCCTCATTCCATACTCCTGTCTCCCTAGAGCAGGCAGATCGTGCCATGTTCCGGCAGCATTTGACAAACAGGTGCGAACTATGTACCAGACACGCCTCTAGGCTCTTAGGAAAGAGCAGTGAACAAAATAGACAAAAATTTCTTCTTCATGGGCTGGCGTTCTAGTGGGGGAGACAGACAAGAAACAGACAAACGATTAAAATATATACTGTGACTGAATCTCAGGCCTTCAAAATCATCATAGTTGCATTTTTCCCTCGGGCCCTTCCCACACGCTATTCCTGCTGCCAGCAACATCATTCCCCAGAAAGCCCCAGGCTTGGAATCTTCAGATCATTGTTCAATGTTGCCTTCTCAGGGGTGCCTTTCCTTGCCATGCTATTTAAAATCATGGTTCATGCTGGAATTAGCTATTCATTTTATTCAGCTTTGACTCCATAGTGCCCATTCCCATCTAACATAGTACATATTGGTTTGTTTTTGTTAGCTCTACGAAATATTTGTGTTAAGTACACCGCTTAACTGCATTTTCCAGCATCCCTTGAAACTGGGCGTGACCCTGTCATCGAGTTCTGAAAATGGTAGAAGTGATGGACGCCACCTTTTGTCTTGGGCTACAAAACCTCCTGCAGGATCCTCCATACTTGCTCTCCTCCCTTGTCACCTGTGGGTGCAGAGGATCTGGGAGAGAGCCCCTGAGGCCCTGGATTAGGTGTTTTTTTTGTTGGTGTTTTTTTGTTGTTGTTTTTTTGTTTGTTTTTTGACAGTCTTGCTCTGTTACCCAGGCTGGAGTGCACTGGTGTGATCTTGGCTC
The DNA here is from genome assembly GCF_000001405.40 of Homo sapiens. Lineage (NCBI taxonomy): Eukaryota > Metazoa > Chordata > Mammalia > Primates > Hominidae > Homo > Homo sapiens. Next base: position 46,809,397 of record NC_000020.11, on the reverse strand, counting down.
ACTGCAACCTCTGTCTCCCAGCTTCAAGCGATTCCCCTGCCTCAGCCTCCCGAGTAGCTGGGACTATAAGCGTGCGCCACCACACCTGGCTAATTTTTGTATTTTTAGTAGAGACGGGGTTTCACCCTGCTGGCCAGGCTGGTCTCAAACTCCTGAATTCAGGTGATCCGCCTGGCTCAGCCTCCCAAAAGGCTGGGATTACAGGTGTGAGCCACCGCACCCGGCCAGATTAGGGTTTTTTAACCTGGGCTTTCTAACCTGGGATCAGTCCTGAGACCCCCCTACAGAGATCTGTGGCTAAAAGGCAGAGGGGGAATCTCTGAATTTGGATCTTTAAAATATTGTGTCTTTATTTTTACTCACCTTGAATTGAAAATTATCATTTTCTTCAATAATGAATGTAGCCAACAAGCCACAATGGTGGCAGCAAGGCCTGTGACTTTTTCCCTAGAAACCATAAATGCCTTCATATTACATGACAGTTGCTGCAAATGTCTCAAAAATACTGTTAACTGCAAACTTTTCCTGTAAAGACACAGATAGTAAATATTTTAGGCCATACAGTTTCTGTTGGAACGATTTGATTCTGCTGTTGTAGAACAAACACAGCCACAGACATTATACAAATAAATGACTATGGTTGTGTGCCAATAAAACTTGAAAAAAACAGGTGGCATGTTTACCCAATTTGGCCCATCTGTAGTAGTTTGCTGACCATAGATTTACACTCATTACTACTTTGAAATTACAGTAATTATCAGATCTGCCACTAGGTCTTGTTATTTAATGTGTTAAAAAGAAGAATTCATATTACTAAGTGATGAATTGAGAAAAATACTGGATAATTATGTTTCAATATAATTGGTATTCTTCATAGTCCTAGGTGTTTTATTTTTTAATGACAATTGAAGGATTTTAAAATACTATCACACAAAGAGGTCCAGAAGCACGCAATGGGTTAAGAATGCCAGGCTCACGACGGCAGAGCCATTGAATGGAAGAACTCGTAGGGTCCCTCGGGCCCTTACCTGCCAACCTGCAGTGGGCTGTGATGTGAATGAGAAATAAACTTTTTCTTCCTTTTAAAATTAAACAGCTGAGATTCAAGGCTTGTTGGTGGCAGCAGCTGGCTCATCCTAATACTTTCCAGGGAATGTCACCTCTGGGAGGCTAGGACTTTGGCTTGTTCATTGTCATATCCCCAGGGCCTAGCGCAGAGCCTGGCACTCAGTTCACAGCAGCTGTGATGAAAGGGGTGAGTGAGGAACGCTCCAGCTCCACTCAGTTTCTGGGCCAACCTGTAGCATCTTATTGAGCCCGAGGGACCCACAGGGGAAATTTGGATGGGGGCAGGGAGAAGCTAAGTTGGTGATAGGGGAATTTCAGGTGGGCAGCCAGCGGCAACCTCGGCTGTGTCAGCATTGATGGGGAGGGGCTAAAGGACGAGCCTCTAAAGGAGTTCTTTCCCAGGGCAATGGGGGGTGGCTGTGACCCCCACTGCCCTCAATAAAATCCCTTCATCTTCATCTTGAATCTCTATGTTGAACGATGGAGTGGAGCTCTGATCTACAGGACAGACCTCTGTCTCATTGTTATGGATGGAATACAGTGCCTGGCAAAGTCAAGACTTCTGCAAAGTGAGGACCTGGTGACCTTTCTCCACTTCTGGGCTCAGGATTTATTTCATCCCTTGAAACTCCGCTTCCCTTCTCTCCTTGCCCTGTTCCCTTCTCCTCCCCCTGTTCTCTCCCTCCTGCTTCCCCATCCACCCTTACACACCAAGAACCAGCCTGCAGTCTGTTTTCTCCTTCCTCTGTCCCTTCCCCCAGGGCTCTCCATTTTGTCCCTTCTTACCTGGCTCAAGTTACTGACCCTTTCTCTACCTACATTTTCTCAACTGTAAAATGGGGGTGGTAGTAACAGTTCCTTCCTTGCAGGGTTGACGTGAGGATGAAATCACCAGGACTTAGCTATGACACAAAGGCAGAGATCAATACATGCAAACTCCAGTTGTTCAAGTATGTATAGGAAAAAATAGAAGTGACACATCAATGCCCCAATTTCAAGGGCATTACTGCTTAGGATGAGGCTGAATTTTTAAAAATAAATCTATTGGAAGGAGAACATTAAGTGGATGGTAAAACATTAATGAAGTGGTTTGTGGATATGAAAATCACCATGAAGTTGAGAAATAGGTTGAAGTCTGGGCAACTCCTGGGTGGGAGAAAAACCTGTCTGCAGAGCATTTGCTTCCAGAGCCTGCAGGTGATGGATAAAAGCAGCCTTAAGGGGAGTCATAATGGTGGGATTTTTAGGCATGAAGGGTGGTCTTTCCTTTATTAAACCACTGAGGCCTAGGCCTGCTCTCCTTAATGGTCATGAAAGATGAGAACATGGTTAACCCCCCTGTGGTGAGTTAAATAGTGTCTTCCCCAAAAGATATGTCCAGGTCCTAACCCTGGTACCTGTGAATGTGACCGTAATTGGAATAAGGGTCTTTGCAGACATAATTAAGGTAAGGGTCTCAAGATGAGATCATCCTGGATTAGTGTGGGCCCTAAATCCAATGACCAGCCTCCTTAAAAGAGAACAAGAAGAAGACGCACAGAGACACGGAGAGAAGGCCACGTGCAGATGGAGGCAGAGATGGGAGTGATGTGGTCACAGCCAAGGAACACTAGGAGCTCCCAGCAGCTGGAAGAGGCCAGAAAGGAGCCTCCTGTAGAAACTTTAGAGGGCGTGGCCCTGCTGAAACCTTGATTTTGGAGTTCTGGCCACCAGAACTGTGAGAGAACACGTTTCTGTTGTTTTAACCCTTCAACTCTGTGGTTAATTGCCGCAGTTCAGGTGGGCAGTGGCCTTAAGAAACACAACACCAAAAAAGCTCTGTTTGTTCTCTCTCTTTTTGGAACTCTGGCCTGGCCAGGGGTTGCATGGGGTTGCAGGAGAGGAAGCTCACAATCTGGACCCACTTGGAGGCAGATTTACTGGGAAGTTTATAAAGTTTAAGCTTCAGGGCCCATCACCTGCCCAGGGACATTCCAAAGCCCTGGGAAGGGCCCTAACGCTATGTTCACATGTTTGTGAAATTTGTAAAAATCAAGGCACATGTTTGTGAAATTTGTAAAAGCAAGATATTTGAATGGCAGCCCATTAAGACCACTGTTTCTTTCTGCTAACAAAAACAAACCAATATGTACTATGTTAGATGGCAATGGGCACTACGGAGTCACAGCTGAATAAAATGAATTTTGTCTTTTGACTTTCCCAGCCTAACTTTTTATTACTAATTTTGTCTTTTGACTTTCCCTGCACTTTCCCTTGCACGGAGTGGTGCTGGGGTGGCCGCGGGCGCTGTTGGGGTCTGGTCAAAGCGGGGTTTGGTTGGGATTGCATTCACTTTGGCTACCACGACATATTGTATGTGGCTTGCAGTTGTCTCTATGGGTAAATCATTGCTGTCCTTCAAGTGTGAGAATGGAATTCTAGAAAATGCCACCTGCCCGCTCTGATCCCGATGAAGCATCACAGCACAGAGATGTCATTGACAAACTGGTTGAGAAGAGTTACCAACGCATCAGGTATTTTAGGTTAGTTGCTGTGCTTAGAAGACTTGAAATGCCTTAAAATGTTTTAGCTCATGTAGGAAAGAAACTTGATAGTGGTTTCCCCAAATTTGACAACTGCCCTGTAAATGTGTGTGCTGTCAGCTGAATTATGTGTTCCTCCCCCAAATTTATATGTTGAAGTCCTAACCCTAGTGTCTTAGAATGTGACTGTATTTGGAGATAGGGAGGGTCTTTAAAGATTAAGTGTAAATCAGGTCATATTGGTGGGCCCTAATCCAATATGACCGGTGTCCTTAAGAAGAGGAAATCAGGACACAGAAATGCACAGAGGGAAGGCTGTGTGAAGAGGAGACGGCCATCTACAGACCAAGGAGGGGGCCTCAGAAGAAACCAACTCTGCCAGCACCTTGATCATAGGCCTCCAGCCTCCAGCACTGTAAGAAAATAAATTCCTATTTCTTAAGGCACACAGGCTGTGTTACTTCGTAGTGACAGCCCTGACAGGTTACAAAGCCAAAAGAAACTTCTAAATGGTCAGACTTTTCTTTTCCTTTTTTTTCTTTCTTTTTTTTTTCTGATCAACTTTCTAAAGAAAAGAATGAGTTACCTTTCTTTTCTCTCTGCTCTCTGTAGAAAATGATATTGATGAGAAAAGACAATCAAAGAGTCTGGCCAAAAGGGAAAATGACAATCAAGTTTTTTCCTACAGGAGCTAAAACATTCAGGCCATTTCAAATTTTGTTGTGAAGTAAGTAACTAGTTTTTTTTTTTGATCTTTTTTTTTTTTTTTTTGAGATGGAGTCTTGCTCTGTCGCCCAGGCTCGAGTGCAGTGGTGTAATCTCGGCTCACTGCAACTTCCACCTCTTGGGTTCAAGAGATTCGCTCTTGCCTCAGCCTCCCAAGTAGCTGGGATTACAGGCACGTGCCTCCATAACCAGCTAATTTTTCTGTTTCTAGTAGAGATGGGGTTTCACCATGTTGTCTAGGCTGGTCTTGAACTCCTGACCTCAGGTGATCCGCCTACCTTGGCCTCCCAATGTGCTGAGATTATAGGTGTGAGTAGCTAGTCTTAAATACTCACTAAATTGATGACACTTCAAGCAGGCCAGACAATTAGTTAATTAATAAAAATATTGTGTTGTTTTTATGGGATTTTGTGGGTTTTGCCATAACAAAGTAATTGGTTGTTATTTAGCTTTTCTAGATAAATGTTTACTTTCATGCCTAACTTTTTATTACTAATTTTGTCTTTTGCAAGATGATGCCTCAGAATAAACTTCAGGCCCGAGATTGAATCTAGCCCCTTTCATTCCTCTCCATCTGTCCCTAGCAGGTCACCATTCTGGGAGTAACTTCACCCCGCAGAGGAGCCAGTGCTCGCCTCCAGTCACTCCCAGCCTCTCCTCTTTGGACTCTTTTTTCCTGGGAGGTGAGTGTTGAGTGCAGATGGGAAAGATGTATAATTGATGAGCCTCCAAGCCTGGCTGGGCTGAAGAGGTCAATTAATTATTAAATACAGACTCAATGGGAAGAAATTTCATTATGGGGTCACTTAATTAAGTAGCAGGCCAGAGGGACATTTGAGATGAGATTTCAAGGACTCTTGTTTCTGAGTTTGCTTTTGGGCCAAGTCTGAGGGTATGAACAAAAAAGAAGTGACCCTTAAACCTGAAGCATTTGAGTGAGTCCGTCCTCCTCCTCCTCCCTTCCCTGCCCCCGACTTTCCTCCCTTCCTCCTTTGCCTTTCTCCCCCTCCTTCTCTTCCTTCTGCCCTTCCTTCCTGCCTTCCTTTCTTTTCTCTCTTCCTCCTAACCTCTTCATTCCTTCATTTATTTCACATATATTTATGGAGTATCTTCCATGAACCGGGCATCCGCGTAAACACTCGGGTTGCAGTGGTGACAAAACAGCTTAATTCTGGCAGAGGAGACAAGCAACAGCCAAGTAAAGGACCAAATGCCCAAGAAGCCATCGCCCAGGTGGCTGCTGTGCTGAGCTGCAGAGCAGACTGACGGTTGCATCGAGAGGGGCTTGCCAAGGAGGTCCCTATGAGGGGGTAACACTTGAGCTGAGTCCTGAGGCATGAGAAGGAAACAATCCGGCAGTTCGGCAGAAGGACACTCTAGGCAGAGGGAACAACAGCAAGTGCACAGGACAAGCTAGTGTGTTCCCAGAATAGCCAGGAAGCTGGTGTGGCTGGAACACAGTCAGGGAGGGGAAGCATGGTAAGATATGAGTTTGAAGAAGTGGGCAGTTGCCTAACAGATGATTGACGGACAGGGCTTTTTTTTTTTCCCACAGGCCCTGGGAGAAGCTCTCTGCCACTCACTGTATTATCACTGAAGCTCTCTACCACTCACTGTATTATCACTGAAGCTCTCTACCACTCACTCACCAATGCATGCTGCATGTTCAGCGGTATGGGATGGAAATCCAACTCAAGCTGTCTCATTCAAATAGGGGATTTTATTGAGCCACGTAGTTGAAACAAACAGGTAATTGGGCTTCAGCCATGGCTGAATCCAGTAGCTCAATGATGATGTAATGAAGTTTTGACTCTTTCCCTTTATCTCTCTCTCTCTCAACTCTGTCTCCCATTTCAGGGAGTTTCAGGCTATACTCTGCAAGCTTAGAAATCTTAGCAAAAGAGAACACCTCTTCCTAAAGAGTTACAGCTAATGTGCTAGTTCAACATTTTATCAAATGGCCTGGGTCAGCTGCCCACTGCTGAACCAATTGCTGTGGCTGGGAGTGTGGATACTCTGATCAGCCAGGACTGGACTTGGGGAGAGACGGAGCTTCACAGAGTAGAAGTGGGGGAGGGGTGGACCCCAGACAAAAACTATGGTGCCATGGCCAGAAGAGGGAATGGATTCTGGGCAGACGTAAACAACAGATGTTCACTTTACCTCTTGGACAGTCTGTCTCTTTTTCTTTGCTGGCAAAGGCTGTTGTTTTGAAGAATCCATCATGAGGCATTATCCCATCTTAACAGTGGGCATGCGTGAACTGCAGGCATTGACATAAATCTTGATCATACAGGATTAGCAGGCACGAGCTTTGAGTCAGAAAGGCTGCATGAAAAATTGGGAAACGCTCAGGCTCTGAGGCCCAACTAAATGGAATTCAAGGTGAAGAGCTTTGAAATGGACAAAGAGAGAAATTGCATGTTAACAACAGGAAAACCCCATGAAAGAAAGCCTTGAATATTAGTCTACCTAACAAGGGAAACTCAAAATGCAAAAGGTAATAAAAAAAGGATGAAAAATTTTCTGTTGGGAGGATAGTCTGATGCAGCCATTCTAAAGAACAGCAGGCACTGTTGAATCTAATTAAGTACATGTAAAAGTATGGGACCCCGCCATTCCTCTTCTGGATATCAACCCCAGATGAGTTATCATTAGAGTGCATAAGAAGACCTGTACAATGATGATCATTCTAGCATTAGTGGTGGTGGTGAGGGGAGAGAACTTACGTGGAAGTCCACCACAAGGAGGATGCACTCTGGGAGCTCTGAGCAGCGTTAGAACAATGGATGAGACACGCACATTGCAACATGCGTGGATTCTAAGAACACAGTGCAGAGTGCAAGAAGCAAAAGATATACGGCACAATACCATTTATATAAGATAAAAATACATGTGCACACAAGACAATGCAAATCACATATGAATGCCTGCAAGTTGGAAATATGTAATATATTACATGCATTAGAATGGCTGCCTATGAATGGGAAAGGAAAGAAAGTAGGGAAAGGGAATGAAAGGGAATCAACCAATTAATCAATCTCTCGAGATTGGACCAATGATGATGTGCCAGGACCCGAGGAGTAGGATTAACTCGTCATTCTGCCCTGGAGATTAAATAAAGAGAGAGAGAGAGGGAGACATTGACAGATCCTCAATGATAAGTGGGAAACAAACACACTGTTTCAAACAGGAGTCTGTTTGGCTTCAGGTAACACTATCAGACCACTGGTGGCTTAAATAATAAAGGTCTTGCCCCACATAAGAAGAAATCTGGAGGACACAGCTGCTGGCATTGGTTCAGTGGCTCAATTTTGTCAGATGTGATGTCACAGTGTTTTAGTCTCTTGGCTTGTCTTTCCAGCTTCTTGCCTCATGGTTGCAAGGCGGCTGCTATAACTCCAAACATCACACCTGATGTCGAGGCAGAAAGAAAGCAGGAGGAAATGAAGAGTAATGACAGTTGTAAGTAAACCGTTTGTCAGGAAAGCACATGTTTTTCCAGCCCTCCCCCATCTGACTTTCCCTGAAAGACCCATTGACTAGTGACTCACTCTGTGCCTTTCAGGTACGAGTGAAGCAACAGACTGCAAAGACAGGCTCAGATCAGTGATGAGCTAGCCAGCTGTCACTCAGAGTGGGGAACATTGCTCAACTAACAAGACCCACCAGCAAGGAAGAACGGGGGTCGTAGCTCACACTGCAGACTGGACACTATTCTAAGCACCTTACACATTGCCCTGTTTACGTTTTACAGTTTTAAAGGTGGTCCCCATTATTGATCCCATTGTAAACTGGGGGTACTGAGGGATCGAGATAAGTCAGTGTCTTCCCCAAGGGCACACAGCTCGCAAATGTCAACCCAGGGCTCAAGCGTAGGCAGCACGGCACCAGAGCTGCTGCTCAGAACCCCTGGGCTGCAGGTGCACAGCACACTGTGCCCTCCGCATCTGAGAAATGACAAGCTCAAAAGTGACCAGCAGGAGTAGAAGATATGGGGGACTTGTATAGCACAATTAACATGCTGGATCATTACATATATGTGTACATGCCTCCACCCCCTCAACCTATCCATGCAAACAGTAACGGGGCTCATCTTTAGAGCGGTTGCAAAAAGGAATTGGGCTAAGACGTGCAAAGCACTGAGAACAGTGTCCAGTCTGTGGTACATGCTATGTCCCCTGTTCTTCCTTACAGAGGAGTATACACACACAACCACAAAGTTGTCAACTGTGTTAATTACTTGTTAATTGTATATATAATAATGTTAATTGTATATGTGTTTGTGTATATCTACATATACATGTAGAGAGAACAAAGGCAATATATGTTTATTGCAAAAAAAAACCAACCACAATTTAGGTGACTTTTTGGGTAGAGTTTGGTCTGCATCAGGCACTGGGGAGGGGACGGTGAGGGACCCAGGCACTGTCCAGAGTCAGCTGTCCCTGGGCTCCACACAGACTCCCCAAGAAGGACACCTGCCAACTCTGCCAGTCCAGAGAGTGTATACACTGTCCAGGCTACTGCAGAGCCAGCGGGGCTGGTGGCATTTTGTTTCCAGTTCTGCACTTTCTAAATTAGAAAACCAGTACACATTCATTATAAAAAACCAAACATACAACAAAGCCCATGGAGAAGTAGAAGGTGCAAATGAAGTTCCCTCCATCCCTTCCGTCTCTCTCTCTCTCTTTTTCTATAAGACCGTCTTTCAAGGACATCCCTTCTCCTACCTCCCTTGGGTAGTGATTATTGACAGTTTGATGTTTGCTTCTAAACGAGTCTCCATGCCTGTATATCCATGGGTAATTTGACTTTTTCTAGCTAATGAGATCACACTCTGTGTGTGTGTCAGGACCTCTCAGGAAACAGATGGCACAGTCAGCCTGGGTAATACAGGGAGTTTAATGAATGTAATATTTACAGAGCTGTGGGTAGCCAGTGGGAAGGCTGTAAGAATGGTGCAGTGGGCCTGGGGAACCAACAAGGGTGCAGAGTGGAGAGAGCCTTCTGTGGAGACACGGTGAAGCCTCGGTGCCTGGCAGGGGCCAGCAAAGGGGGATAAAGCCCTCACTGTGCACCTGTCTCCTGCTGGGGCTTCCCCCTAGTTGAACCTACAGGAAGCTGGAGGAAGGGGAGCTTAACTTCCATGAGCCAGCTTCCAGGCTGGACTTGGAGGAGGCAGCAGAAGACAGCCATATTGCACTGTAAGCCCCGCCTAGGTCTCAGTGAGACCCTTCTTCTCTACTTGATCTGCATGGAGATCAGCAGGACTAATCTCATCATGCTCATCGTGCTGACATCCGTCACCCCTGGAAGCCCAAACCCTGCTCCCCACTGTTCCCAAGACCCTCATCTCCACCTGATACCCTCCCTTTCCCCCTTTCCTGTTTTCCTTTTCTCCACAGCACTTATCAACCATCTGGCATGTTATTTCTTTAAGTTTTTTGTTTGTCTTCCTTGACTCTAGCAGATATTTTTGTCTTCTTTGTTCCCTGTTAAGTCCCAAATATTTAGAACACTGCCTGGCACATAGTAGGTGCTCAATAAATAACAAAGTATCCAAGAACGTGAAAGTCAGCCCATACAGCCCTCTGATGATTTTAAATTGCCACATAGTATCTCACAATACTGGGAAGACTACGGCAAGTGTAGCCATTCCCTTACAATTTAGCTTTTAGGTAGGTTCCAATTTTCCCCCAGGACAGACAATGCAGTAGGAAACACCCTCTATATGCATCTTTTCCTCACACTTAAGTGAATATTTCCATGGGATAAAGTCCTAGAAATGGAAGGATAGTGTCAGAGATGCTGCACAGTTTGATAGACGCTGTGATGTCTTTGAGTTCACATGGAGTGAAGAGCTGAGCCTTCCTTTGTGCCAGGTGTGTTTTGATGCTGAGGCAGTGTTCTACATCTGCTGCATATCCAGCACTCATGCTGTGGGGGAGACAGCAGGATCTACGTCAGGCTCCATCTTTGATGAGTCTGGCGTCTAGCTGAGGAGGCAGGCATTCCCAGAGCGTTCTCCTCTCCTCAGAGCTGGCTCAGGGATGGTCAGGGTGATGGGAACCCAGAGAGGACAGAAGTCCCAGGGGCTGGGGAGGTTGGGATGACTCCTGGGTGAAGGGGCCACTAATGAGCTTCATTAATTTGAGGACAATTTATTGAGCACCTGCTATGTGCCGAGTATCATTCTAGGTGCTGAGAATACAGCATCATATAAGTTAGAAATGGTGCCTGTTCTCACAGACAAAACATTGTATAAGGGGAGGAAAGTGGTAGTCAAGTAAAGAAATGAAGAAAATAGAACAGGATGGTGCCAGGGTGGCTGATAGGGTGGGCTGGCTACGTTGACAGGAGTGCTCAGGAAGCCTTTGAGAAGGTGGCATTTGAGCAAAGATATGAATGACGAGGAGTAAGCCATGACAAGGTCTGAGGACAGAGGGTTCCTGGGTGAGGGAGGAGGCGGCAAATTCTGCAGCTGTGAGGTGGGACTGAATTTGCAGCGATTAGGGAGAGGAGGTGGGAGCCCATGTGACTGGAGTGGGCTGAGAGAGAGGCAGGAGGCAGGAGGTGAGGTTAGTAAGACCCCCTGGAACCAGGCAGTACAGGGCTCGAGAGGCCATTGCCAGGAATTCGGATTTTCTCCTAAACACAACGATTCATCATTGGTGGATTTGAAGCAGGTTAGGGCCCTGATCTGATTTCTATTTTAGCAGATCCCTCTGGCTGCTGTATGGAGAGTGGCTTGAAAAGGTGGCAAGACCAGAAACAAGACCAGTGAAGAGGCAATTGCACTAATTTAGAAATGATGGTGGCTTAGATAAGAGCAGTGGCCATGAAGGTGCTGAAAAGTGGATGAGATAGATATATTTTATTTTTTTAATTTTACTTTTCTTTCTTTTCTTATTTTTTTGAGACAGGGTCTTGCTCTGTTGCCCAGGATGGAGGGCAGTGGCAATCATAGCTCACTGCAGCCTTGACCCCCTGGGTTCAAGTGATCCTCCCACCTCAGCCTCCCAAGTAGGTGGGACTACAGGTGTGTGCTACCCCACCCAGTTAATTTTAAATTTTTTTTTGTAGAGACAGGGTTTTGCTATGTGGCCTAGGCTGGTCTTGAACTCCCAGGTTCAAGTGATCCTCTCACCTTGGCCTCCCAAAGTGCTGGGATTACAGGCATGGACCACTGTGCCTAGTCGATATATTTTTAATGAAGAACCCACAGGGTTTACTGCTAGAAAGATGTGAGGTATGAGGGAAAGAAAGGAAATAAGAATCGCCTTGAGATTATGGAACTGGGTACTGGTCAGATATCCTAGGTTTGGGGGCGAATACAGAGGAAGGCTGAATCAAGAGAGCAGTTTCTCTAAATGGGAAGGGTTATCTGCAGCTTGGCAAACCTTTATCTGCATAAACATCTTCACCCAGACTTGTCCCCCGACAAAGGCTTAAGAGGGATTGAGGCTGGGCAGAGAACACCCCCAAGCCTCTGGGTCATACTCTGAGGATGGTTTACCATGTTGCTTCTCAGTGGTGAAACTGACAAGGTCAGGTGCATAGATGCTGTAAATATTAGAAGAGACACATTCGAAATGACAGGCATAACCAAACCAGAAAATCCTCATTTCTAACCAGATACGTTAAGTATCTGTTTTTCGTCTCCGCCCCAAAGATGTGCACAGCTGTCTGGCATTTGTGGACCAGCTCAGGTTGCTTAACTCCCACCTGCCTTGCTGGGGTCAGGCCTCTTTAGTGAACTTGGATGTTCGCTGCTGCTATAAGCAGCTTAGGTCTGCAGGACCAGCAAGAGACTTCTGGTGGGAAGGAGAGGGGGCCTGGGTTTTTTAAAGGGACACTGGAAGGGGAATCCTATTGACCTGGGTTCCAAAGCACACCAAGCACCCAATGCAATCTGATGGGGGACAGTGGAAAGACTTTTCCTCTTTTCTCCAGCAAGCTGAAGAAGTGGAGTCAGATCAGCAAAGGTGGATTTTGGGGTGGGAAGTAATTGGAAGAGCAAGGAATTTTTTTATTCATCTGATTTGTTTTGTTGGTAGAAACCATAAGAAGAGAAAAAGGAAATAATTCTCAATGTCAGACACTGTTGGTCAAGTTGACTACCCAACAGCCATTCCCTCTTCTTTGCTCATATAATCCTGATTTTTGTTCCCAGGTACTGAATCTAGACCCTTGAGGTGAGTCAGTCAATCCCAGCCAATCTGAGCCACTCAGTCTTTCTTGGACAGTGATTAGACTAGGGGTGAATATGTGACCCAGCATGTGTCACTCGCCATATTTTTCTCTGAGAGAGAAAGAGGGAAAGGGAGAAGGAGAAGGGGAGAAAAAAGGAGACAGAAAGCCAGATTTTTTTTTGTTTGTTTGGAATGATGAGTGTGATGTCTGGAGCTGTGACAACCATATTGCAACCAGGAGGAGAAACCCCAAAAGAATCAAAGAGGCACTCAGTCACACCTGTAATCCCAGCACTTTGGGAGGCCGAGGCGGGTGGATCACAAGGTCAGGAGATCAAGACCATCCTGGCTAACGAGACCATCCTGGCTAACATGGTGAAACCCCGTCTCTACTAAAAATACAAAAAATTAGCCGGGAGCGGTGACGGGCACCTGTAGTCCCAGCTACTCGGGAGGCTGAGGCAGGAGAATGATGTGAACCCAGGAGGCGGAGCTTGCAGTGAGCTGAGATAGTGCCGCTGCACTCTGGCCTGGGTGAAAGAGCGAGACTCTGTCTCAAAAACAAAAACAAAAAAGAGGCACTCAGAGTCTATACATTGCTGAGCTACTGAATCAACCCTGAAACTGCTTCCATTTAGACCAAGGTTTCTCAACCTCAGCACTATTGACATTTTGGACCAGATAATTGTTGTGGGAAGCTGTTTTCTTCATCGTAGAATGTTGAGCAGTATCTCTGGTTTCTACCCACTAGATGCCAGTAGCACCCACATTTCACTCATGACAATAACAAAAATATCTCCAGACTTTGTCAAACATCCCTTGGTGTGGCAAATCATACCTGGTTGGGGACCACCGCTCTAGAAATCTTGTTAAATGATATAATTGTGTCTCTACTAACTGCTATGATGAATAACTTCTGTACCAAAGTTGTGGCCCCCAAACTGGGAAGCACAAGATAGTCCTTTGGGGCACGGGAAGAAAATATCAAAAATTCGATTTACATTTCTTATCTAATAAATAAGAAATTAAGCCTAATTTATATTTATTAATAATAGATTGTCAGGGGCACCCTCACTTTGTCAGAATCTACGCAACACAAACCTACCCAAGGCATCTGAGGCTCGGAGGAACATCACACCTCATGGGAGGTTGGCAGTGGTGTCCACTCGTGTGTGTTTGTTTTCAGACCCTGCACCGTACATGTGCCCAATTACGAGGATTTACAGCTTACATCATCTAACTATAACCACCAATAGGTTTCTCAATGGGGCTGTCATTGGCCGTTTGGATGAAACAATTTGTCAGTGTGCTGACAGTCCATGCATTGCAGGACATTGACCATCTCTGGTCAGTGCCCACTGAATTCCAGTTATGGCCACCACTCATCATGGCAACCAAAAGCAAGATAAGGGAGGGGGAGACAACACACATTTGTTACACCCCAAGCACTGAGCCAAGCATCGTGATATATACAGTACATGTGTATGTGTATGTACATGTATATTTTTATTTATTTATTTATTTAGAGACAGAATTTTGCTCTGTTTCCTAGGCTGGAGTGCAGTGGTGTCATCATAGCTCACTGTAGCCTCCAACTCCCGGGCTCAAGTGATCCTCCTGTCTCAACCTCCTGAGTAGCTGGGACTATAGGCATGCGTCACCCAGCTAATTTATGTATTTTTTGTAGAGACGGGGTTTTGCTGTGTTGCCCAGACTCATCTTGAACTCCAGGGCTCCTGTGATTCTCTCACCTCAGCCTCCCAAAGTGCTGGGATTGCAGCCACGACGCCTAGCCCTACATGTATATTATATACGTAATGTAATGCGTGTATGTCCGTATGCATATGTATATATGTATATTACCTCCGTCCTCAGGACAGCTCTGAAAAGTGGGTAACCCTATTAGTTATTGACTGCTGCAAACAAATCACCACAAATTTAGCAGCTTGGAACAACGCTTGTCTACGATCTCACAGTTTCTGTTGGTCAGGAGTTGGTGCACCGTTCCTCGCTAACTGCCTTCCCCAGCACACCTGCCTCCTTACTGCAGCTCATCTCTTCAAAACCAGCCAGGGAGAGGGAGACCCATAAAATAGGTGCAGTGCTACATCTCCTGCACCGTCATCACATAAGCACCTCCATAACCCTCAGTCACACACCTCCCACCAACTTGGTGCATTCTACCGCCTAGAAGCAGGTTGCAGGTTGCACCCACGCTGCAGAAAAAGGGATGGCAAGGGCCATGAGCACCAAGAGAAGCCGCCTTAACCACCTGTCCACGCAGGGCTAAAGGCTGTGCAGTGCCCGAGTGGTAGAGTTCAGATGCAGCCGTGGCCTGTCTGATGTAGAGCTGGTGTTACCTCCCTTGTCCCTGTGCTGGGTGGCATGCATGTAAGCTGGGCCAAGGAGGAAGGAGAGACCTTCCTGTGGGGTGAGGAGACGTCACTGCGGGTGTAGGGGCTCAGGGAATAAATGGAGGGAGGCTGAAGGCATGAGAGCAGCTGGAGAAGGCAGGCTGGGCAGTGTGCTGGGAGGTGAGAACTCAAGGGCAGGCCAAAGTCATCGGGACTCCAATGCCCAGGTCCGAGCTCCAGAATCACACGGAGCCCTCATCTTCCTTCGCTCACATCTGGCAGAGACTGAATCATTCATTCACTCATTCATGTTTTTGTTCATGTGTTCATTTATTCTAACATTTATTGAACATTAATTATATGTCCTACTGGCTGTTCTAGGGGCTGGGGATGTCATAGGGAACAGAGCACCATTCAATCTCTCAGGGACCTTCCATCTCAGCGAGGCAAACAATAAATACAGCAGATAATTGGTCAGGGGATGACAGTGCCATGAAGAAGCAAAGTAGGGTGGGGAGATGGAAGGCTGTGGTGGGGCTTTACTGCATGTTCTTATGGGTGGTCAGAGGGATCTTCTTGACAGGGTGACATTTGAGAAGCTGGGGAGAGTGCAGGTGCCATGGACTGGGACAGGGAAAATGTGGAAGGGAAGCAAGTCTGCAAGTGGAAAACTAATAATTTATTTTCAGCTGTGTTAATTTGAGATGTTTATTAGACGTCTAGTAGAGATGTGGAGCAGGCAATTGGAAACAGAAGTCTGCAGAGACATGTACTCCCCTGCAGTGATTCCCCAACAGATCGCTCCTCTCTCCCCAGAGCCTCCGTAATGCTGTTCCTCCTGTCTGTGGTGCTGTCCCTCCAGGTTATTCACCAGGGCTCAGGTTCAATGTGGCCTTCTCAGGGAGATCCTACCATCCTGGCCAGCCTCAGGCACCCACCTTGCAAACATTCAGAGCTCCTGTTCATCTTGGAGCCCGAGCCCGTGCCACAATTGAAATTAAACAATTACATTTGTGATTCTGTTTCTTGCTTGTTCCTCCCATTCCCCTTCTCAGACTTCCAGCTCCATAAAGACAAGAACTGTGTGTATCTAAATCATCACTCCATTGGCAACACTTTATGTTGTAGGTATTCAGGCTGATGGAATGAATGAATGACTGCATTTGTTCATTCATTCGTTTATTCACCTGGCAGATATTGACAGCTCCCACCTGTGCCCCCTTGGTCTTTACCCCAGTGCACCCCAGCCTGACTTCTAGCCAGCAGCACCTGCATCCCTTTGCCTGCGGGCTTTCACAGGACTCTGAGATGAGCCCTGCTGTGCCTATGGAGGTCAGGAAGCACCTGGAAAGAATGCCTCCTCCTTTCCAGGGAGCAACCCGGAGTGGTCACTCATGACTGAGGGAGTTTGAAAATAAATACACCAGCTATTTCACTGCCCAGATGGGGTAGCTTCGAGATGTGTCACCCAGCTACAGAGTCACCCAGAGGGCCCCAGTGGGACTAAGCTCCAGCTGCTTGATGGCACCCTGCATGGGCTGCCTTCCTTCCCCACATCACTTGCCCTCTCCTATACTGATATTTCCTGCACCTCCCAAATAAACTTCTTGAGCTTGAATCCCGGTCTCAGGGTCTGCTTCTGGGGAGACCCAACCAAAGACACTCAACAATTATTTTCTAAACACCAGTTTGGAGCTGGACCTGGTTCTGACCTCCAGAAACATAGAAGTATCCAGGCCCCTCTTACTCTTTTTCCTCCGGTTGGGGTGGACAGATCATCAACAAGCACGCCAGATGCAACTGACAAGAAAATGATCAGATAATGCTGATGCCATGGAGGAAATGAGTAGAGTGAAAATTTAGATGTCTGAGGGGCAAAGTGCATCTTAGACAAGGTGGTCAACAAGGCCTTCTCTGAGGTGGTGACGTCTGACCCAGAGCTGAAGGACGAGAAGCAGGTAGCCATGGGAAGCTCTGAAGGAAGGGTGCTCTAGGCAGAGGGAACAGCAAGGGCAAAGGCTGGGGGCGGGCTTGCAGGGGCAGGAAGGAGGGAGGTGACAGAGAGAGGCTGCAGGGGCCACAATGAATAAATGAATGAACAAGTAAATGAATGAGTGAATTAGCAGATAATGTAAAACTTCGGTCATTGGAGAGGGGGGGATCGTGGGCAGATATGTCCCAGCCCCTGAAGGGAGAGGAGGATCCTCTGTCTATCATGGCATCAATGACCGATCAGAGAGGCTACAGCTGGCTCAGGAATGCTGCTTGTAATGTTAATAACCATTTAGAGGTTGGAAGGCAGGGAAGGGAGCCAGATAAGGTGAGGCGGGAGGGGAGCCCCGACTGCCTGCCCCACCATGGCCTCAGGATCTGACAGCACCTGTCACCAGGAAATCACACGAGATTGGCCCGAGGGATAAAAATCTGGTTGGATTTTTAGGTGCTTAGGGCCAAGCAGAGTGGGTGGGTGGGTAGGACTTGCCTGGCTGGCCCTGCCACACTCAGGTTCCTTGTAGGGGGAAGAGAAGCCTCTACTATGGAATGGGGAATGCCCAGAGGCTGCTGGCCAGTGTGCAGGAGCCCCGCCACTCCCAGGTGCAGGTGGGGTGTCAGTGAGGGCTTGTTTGCTGAGTGAATCTACCTGTGGATTTGTGGGAAAGCCTCCTATGTGCCTGGGCCTCAGCACTACCACTAGAGGCACGCTTTAGGATTCGAAGCACTCCTTCCAGAAGTCTCTACAAATACACAAAAGTGTTACCCAGAAAAGAGTAGTGCATTGGTGCCTGCCAAAACCTTAGTCCAGATGTTTCTTTAGTTGCCAGTGGAACCCATGAGGGGATAGGACACAGGGCAGATATATTTAAATATGCTTGGGTATTTTTTACAAAATAAATAAATAAGCTGAAGTCATGTCTTTAGTGTTACCTGGACTTGTGGTTGTAAGAGTAAAACCACAATTCAAACAGACTTAAACAAAAGAGGAATTTATTAAGAGTTTTTTGTAGTTTTAAAAAATGTGGTAAGATATACATAATAAAATTTACCGTTTTAACCATTTTTCAATGCACAATTGTTTCAGTGGTACTAAGTTCATCTACGGTATTGTGTAGCCATCACCACCACCCATCTCCAGATGGATGCAGTTTCATCATCCCACACAAAAACGCTGTACCCATTCAACAACCACTCTCCATCCCTGTAGGGATTGACTGGATTTTATAGTGCAAAAGCTCAGAAGGATTGGCCGGCTCCAGGTACCACTTGCTGCAAATGCTCACATGATTTCATCTTTCAGGGCCGCCTCCCCTGGGACCCTCATGGGATTTTCCTTTGTGGTGTCAAGATGACTGACTCACTGATATGATTTGGATGTCTGTCCCACCCAAATCTCCTGTTGCAATGCAATCCCCAGTGTTGGAGGTGGGGCCTGGCGGGAGGTGACTGGACCATGGGGTGCGGGGTTTCTCACGAATGGTTTGGCACCATCCCCTTCGTGCTGTCCTCATGATAGTGAGTGAGTTCTCGAAAGATCTGACTGTTTGAAAGAATGCAGGCCCTCCTCTTGCTCTCTCTCTTGTTCCCTATGTGGCCATGTGAGATGCCTGCTCCCCCTTCACCTTCCACCATGATTGGAAGCTTCCTGAGGCCCCACCAGAAGCAGATGCTGGCACTATGCGTCCCGTACAGTCTGCAGAACCATGAGACAATTAAACTTCTTTTCTTATAAATTACCCACCTTAGGTATTCCTTTATAGCAATGCAAGAATGGCCTAATGCACTGACCTTCGGCCTGACACCCTCACAACATCAAGTCCAGAGAGGAAGAGACTCTAACACCTTTGCTCGTGTGGAAAGCAAAAGCCATGGTTTCCCCTGAATTGGCTTGATTGGCTTGGCTGAAGCCATAGGACTCCCCTGAACCAGTCACTAGGGCCAGGGACACTGATTGCCTGGTCAGCTTATGGACTGCGAGTTGGGGAGGTAAATTGCTGCAGGAAACTTAGGGCTCTCCTATATGGTGAAAGTGTGCTGGGTTCCAAAAATAGCAGCTGCTCACTATACCCTGTGCCTGGAGCCATCTTTCTGGTGTGAGCAGATGTGTCAAGCCAGGCCAATGAGTGTCGTCTCAGAATATTTGCTGCAGTGATATGAACTCGGGTTGCTAAGCTAATTGGATAAATGCCCAATGCTACTCAAGGCCACCATGCAAAGAAGGTCTCCAGAGGTCTAAAGCCAATACAAAGGCAAACAGTTGAGAGATGGAGAAGGACCCGTCCTGATGGACATGCATTCAGTTTAAGTCACTGAGTCCAGCCAAGCTTGAAGCTAGTTCTACTTCTGGAAATGCATTACCCAGAAGTTATATAAGCCAACAAATACACTTTTTGGCTTCAGCCAGTTTGAGGTTTTATATTTTTGTTACTTGTTACCCAAAGAAGATGAATGATAGTTCATGATCACAAATCAGTAAAGAAGCATGAAACTAGATGATTTCTAAACTCCCCTCTAGCCAAACATTCTAAAAAGACTTCCCAACAGCAAAGAATTTTATGTGACCTGGGTTATCTTGTCAAGCCAGTGAGATTCTACTGAAGTTACCAACTTTGGTCAGCACCCGCACTCCCACCTCCTGGTCTGCCTTTCTGTCCTGCCACACTCCAGGGAAGGAGGATGGGGAATTCCGGAGGAGGGCAGCAGTGGCTGCAGCAGGGCGCTCTGGTAAGATGACACAGAGCAGAGCCAGGAAAAGGTGAGAGAGGAAGCCATGAGAGACTCTCATCAGGGATGAACCTGCTGTGTTCAGGGAGCACCACGGAGCCCGTGCGGCTGGAGGAGAGAGGACGAAGGCGAAGGCGGTACCATAAGGTCAGAAGGGAAGTGGGGCAGCCACAGACTGTGTAGGGACCCTGGACCACTGGAAAGGCTTTGGGTATTGTTATGAGTCATATTAATGTGATGTTCAGAGTTACCTCCCCGTCACCAAACACTCACATACCCTAACTCCCACAGGCCCATATACACACATTCACACCCACATTGGCCTGTA
Source organism: Homo sapiens (assembly GCF_000001405.40). Lineage (NCBI taxonomy): Eukaryota > Metazoa > Chordata > Mammalia > Primates > Hominidae > Homo > Homo sapiens. The sequence goes on along the minus strand of NC_000020.11, from coordinate 46,789,485 downwards.
TGCACATAAACACACACCTGCACACCCACACGCTCACATCCAATAAACACACACCTACACACCCACACGCCCACATCCAATAAACACACACCTGCACACCCACCACACCCACATCCAATAAACACACACCTGCACACCCACACGCTCACATCCAATAAACACACACCTACACACCCACACACCCACATCCAATAAACACACACCTGCACACCCGCCACACCCACATCCAATAAACACACACCTGCACACCCACACACTCACATCCAATAAACACACACCTGCACACCCACACGCTCACAGCCAATAAACACACACCCACACACCCACACACTCACATCCAATAAACACACACCTGCACACCCACACGCTCACAGCCAATAAACACACACCTGCACACCCACACGCTCACAGCCAATAAACACACCTGCACACCCACCCACACACATCCAATAAACACACACGTGCACACCCACACACCCACATCCAATAAACACACACCTGCACACCCAGACGCCCACATCCAATAAACACACACCTGCACACCCACACACTCACATCCAATAAACACACACCTGCACACCCACACGCTCACAGCCAATAAACACACACCTGCACACCCACACGCTCACATCCAATAAACACACACCTCCATATCCAGGCATCCAGGCATTTCCTCACACTGCACATGGACCTCCAAACCTTTGCCTGACACATAAACTCTAATACTTACGTTCTCTCTGACATGTACTCACGCACACATGCACACACACACGCACAGTCGCAAACACACACGTGCACATTCGCACGTGCTCATTTTTTCACTCACATGTTCACACACATGTGTCTACCTACGTGCACACACTTTCAATGTAGGCAGTCCCTGTCAGATCCCCGTCCCACAGGCCTGATGCTCCTTACACACACACATACACACACACGCTGCACACACCATCACACACACTTCCAGGCATCTGTGCACATCCTCAGCCACAAACAGCCCCAGTCTGCACACCTCCCTCTCCCCTGCAGTTTTTTCCTGGGGATTCTTCGTCACAGCGTTGAGACAGACATTTGAAAATCATCCTGCCGGTTCATTATTTCAGGGAAAGCTGGGGGCGGGGAGATTTATTAAATTTGGAAGGGCTGCTTCTCTGGAGAAACTTTCTGAAGAAGGAGAAAAAAAAGAACCCTTGACTGATGATAGAAAGCCAGGCTTAGAGCAAGGGATTACGGGGATCAGCCGAGGTCATCTTGCCGCTTTCATTAACCCTATAGTTTATTTTTTTCATCTCCTTCTTGACAAGTACGTGGGAGACTGACAGCCACAGCCGCTGGCCGCCAACGCCCTCCCTGAAAGCTGAGTTCCTTGTGAAGTCCCCATGGGGGCTGCAGTTGGGAGGAGACCTGGAATCTTGCCAGCTCTGCCTCTGTAGGAGGGTGCCTACTGTCCCCCAAAATTCAGAATGTGAGCTTATTTGGAAATAGGATCTTTGCAGGCATAATTATCTAAGGATCTTGAAATGAAGTCACCCTGAAGATAGGATGGGTCCTAAATCCAATGACTGATGTCTTTATAAGAGGAGGGAGAGGGACGCAGAGACACAGAGAAGGCCCCGTAAAGATGGAGGCAGACAGAGGTGCAGCCACAAGCCAGGGATCTCCTGCCGTTGGAAGAGGCAAGCAATGAATTCTCCCCCAGAGCCTTGCAGGGGAGTGTGGCCCTGCCCATACCTTGATCTGGGATTTCTGACCTTCAGAACTGTGAGAGGAGAAATTTCTATTGTTTTGGCAGGAATTTATGGCACCAAGATTGTGGCAATTTGTCATGACGGCCCTAAGCAATGACTATAGGCTCTAGTTGGTTGGATGGACGTGGGCAAGTCCTTCCCTCCGCTGGTCCTTAATTTGCTCACCTGTAAAAGGAGAGGCTCTTGGATATCAATTTTTTAACTAATGTGTTGGGCATCTCCTGGCGCCTGGCATTTGACACACTGCAGGAAGTCGAGGAAAGAGAAATCCCTGCCCCTGTGAAGGTGACCTCCCAGAAGGTGGAAGCAAATATTAAATGCAAAAATAAGTGCAGCACCTGGTATGTCAGGACATGACAGGTGAAGAAAGGCCTTACTGAGAAGGTGATATGTGAGCCAGGGCAGGAGGGGGGCAGTCACGTTCTGGGTGGGTGGCTGGGCAAGCACACAGGCCCGGAGGGAGGGTACGTCTGTACCTGGTGTGATGGGAACAGCAGTGAGAGTGGAATGGAAGGAGAGAAGGGGAGAGTGGGTAAATGGTTTCCAAGTGCCTTTCAGGGCTCGATTTATTTTATTTATTTATTTTTTTGAGATGGAGTCTTGCTCTGTCACCCAGGCTGGAGTGCAGTGCGATCTCGGCTCACTGCAACCTCCGCCTCCTGGGTTTAAGTGATTCTCCTGCCACAGCCTCCCCAGTAGCTCGGATTACAGGCACCTGCCACCATGCCCAGCTAATTTTTGTGTTTTTAGTAGAGACGGGTTTCACCATGTTGGCCAGGCTGGTCCCGAACTCCTGACCTCAAGTGATCTGCCCACCTCGGGAATTACAGGCATGAACCACCACGCCTGACCTCAGGGTTGGATTTCTAGAAGTCTCTGCTTTCATCTATTTGGTATAGCCAAACTTGGATTGGGTACATCATGGGAAATTCACACAAATCATGAGTTGTTTATACGTTTGGCTTCTCTCAGGGAGGGAAGCCTGGTGAGAATACACAGGCCTCCTGGCAGCTCCCCCCGAAGAATGACTCTAACAGAGGGCAGTAATCTGGTAAGGGGAAGTAGTGTGGACTCTGACCACTGAGGTTGGCAGAGACCTAAGACTCTTACACATTCATTAGTCTGTGAGCCTCAGTTCCTCTCCTTTCCCCAGAGGTAAGTGTCCTCTCCCGGCCACTTTCCCTGGCAGAGCCATGCTGGAGGATCGAATGCAAGTGCTTAATTTCTCTTGGCTCCAGAGCACACTGATGATGCTTCGTGTAAAGGGAAGGACATTGGGTTTGGCCTCATGTGGACCTGGGACCAATACCCAACTGGGAATACTGGGCTTCAGCTCTCAGCTCCCCCATTTGCTATCCATGGGACCCTGGGCAGACATTGAATCGCTCTGTGCCTCAGTTTCCTTCTCTGTTGATGGGGTAATGATGTAACCTCCATCTGGGGTTGTTGTGAGGCTCAGATAGGGCTCTAGGGCTATCGGCCAGGATTACTGTGATTGCCTTGGTTGCTGCAAGACGCTGTCCAGTCGCCATTCCTTTGCAGTCACAGCCACGTGGGTGTGAGGAAGGGAAACAGACATCCACATGAAGCCCTCTGTAGCCTCGTGGAGCAGAGCAGGCAGTTATACCACCACAGGGGCCCAGCCGCCTGCTCCAGACTCCAGGGACACTGAGGGTAGGGTGGAGTGGGGTTGGGGGCAGTTGAGGTGGGGGTGAAGCCTCAAGGACCCATCTGCTGGATTATTTTTTAAAAAGCTCACCTGGACTGTTTGTTTATTTGTTTGTTTATTTATTTATTTTTTGAGATGGAGTCGCTCTCTCTTGCCCAGGCTGGAGTGCAGTGGCATGATCTCGGCTCACTGCAATCTCCGCCTTCCAGGTTCAAGCTATTTTCCTGCCTCAGCCTCCCAAGTAGCTGGGATTACAGGTGTGCACCACCATGCCTGGCTAATTTTTGTATTTTCAATAGAGACAGGGTTTCACCATGTTGGCCAGGCTGATCTCGAACTCCTGACCTCATCACCTGGATCGTTTAAATATTTTTACGCTGAGAATGTATCACTATAGCATCACTTAGTAACTATTGACTGAGCACCTACTAGGTGCCAGGCCCCGTTCTTACTGCTGGAGCCACAGCAGCAAGCGTGAACAAGCCCCCGGTGGCTCCTGGAGCCTAGCGAGGGAGACAGGAAAAGCAAATCAACAGACGATGAAATACGTCGTCTAGTAGCAGGTAGTGAGAAGTGCCGTGAAGGAAAACGAGACAAGAGAAAAGACACAGAAGCGCGAGGCAGAGGGGAGGCAGCAGATATTCTAGACCTGGCCATCAGGGAGAGCATCTCTGAGGAGGGACATCTGAACAGAGTGAGCCAGCCGCGGAGATATTTAAGGAAAGGGCTCTCCAGGTGATGGAACCAGCAACTGCAGAGACCCGGGGGCAGGACTGTTCTTGCCTGGTTGGAGGAAGAGCGAGCAGGCCAGTGGGGTTGCAGCAAAGAGGGTGCTGGGAGGTGTGGTAGGAAATGAGGTCTCAGAGAGAGCTGGGGTCAGCTCAGGTGTTAAATCGTAAGGCCGTAATTTTGAAGAGTAATCTTCAAGAAAGTTATCAGTAGAGACATTTCTGAGCTTGTCTTTCGAACCCCCAACTTGTGTCTTCCTTTCTGGCCTCTGACGCATCTCTCCAAGCCCCCTCCCTCCTAATACCCGATCCCCACCGCAGCTCCTTCCACAGTTCTCTGGGAAGAGCTGGCTTGCTTTGGCATAGACATGGCCTCCAGCTCAGCTGACCGGAAGGAGTCACCTCCAGTTTCAATTTCAAGTGAAATCGGATCCACCCAAGCTGGGCATTTCCTGTGGTCAGATGAATAAACTCAGGAGAAGGAAGCTGCAGAGGCCGCTGAGGGCAAAGACAGACGGGGGTCTGGTGAAACGGGACAGGGTCGGGTGCAGGAGGTCCCCCAAACCTTCCCACACAGAGAGAAACTGGGGCAGCAAAGAGGCCCTGCTCAGGTTCCAAACCTGCCACGTGTCTCCCCCAAGGCCCACCTCCCTCCCTCAGGTCACCAGGACACTGAGACGGGAGGACATCTGGAGCCCATTAGGATGGCATCAGTCCACACAGAGATGTTTTGACTGGACCCTTGGATGGGATTTCTTGTACATTAACGGTGTTTATTTTCCAATAAAGATTCTTAAGACAAGATTGCAGCCCTGGCCTCTTCTGAGGGGACGACCAGCCAGAAAGCCTGATCCTGTGACCCAGGGGTCCTTGGGTCTCCCGGGGGGGCAGGGGAAGCTTCTAGACAGGGTATATCACCTTGTAGACAGTCAGAACCCAAGGTCCCTCTCATGAGACATGTAAACAGGTCAAAACCTCAGTTCGTACTCCACATATAGAAAAATGTAATTTCCCTGATTTTTTAATAGTAATAATATTCATAACAGGCCAGGCACAGTGGCTCATGCCTGTAATCTCACACTTTGGGAGGCTGAGGCAGCCGGATCACTTGAGGTCAGGAGTTCAAGACCAGTCTGGCCAACATGGTGAAACCCCAACTCTACTAAAAAATACAAAAATTAGCGGGGAATGGTGGTGTGCACCTGTAGTCCCAGCTACTTGGGAGACTGAGGCAGAAGAATTGCTTGAACTTGGGAGGCAGAGGGTTCCTCCACTCCAGCCTGGGAGACAGGGTAAAAAAAAAAATTGAAACAGTAGCCAACACTTACTGTGTTAGGAAATGTTGTCTGACTGGTAACTGGGGTGGGGTGGATGGAACGAGGATGGCTCAGTAGGGTCAATGGACAAAAGCGCTTTGGTTTATTTGGAGCCCTAGAAGTCATGGCAAAGACCTTAGGATTGATGCTGATTGGAGATGGGAAGCCATTGATGCTGATTGCAGATGGGATGCTGACTGTAGAGGGGTGAGGGGTTAAAGAGCAGAGGAGTGGCAGAGATGACTTCCATTTTTAAAGGATTATTATGGCTGCCCAGGGCTAATAGACCTTGGGAACCATGGAGAGCAGGTTGTGATTAGAAAGACCAGGCAGGAGGCCACTGTCATGGCCCAGAGAGGGGACAACGATGGCTTGGAGTGGGGTGGTGGTAGTGGCGGGTGATGAAAAGCAGACAGAGGTGTGAGTGTGCCTGGAGACATCCGGAGCACAGCACTGTGTCCAGAGCATGGGGAGAGCCGTGAAGAGGTAGCAGAAGACCAGAAGACAGGTGGCTGTAGGCACAGGTGTGTGCTCCAAGCAGTCTGGCCCTCACCAAAGTCCTCACCCCACAGCTTGGAAGGGAGCAGTTGAATATGATTAATATCTGTGAGCCGAGGGCAACAAGGATCCAGCAGAGAATCTCTGGATCTGCAGGTGCCCTGAGGATGGGAACCCCACAGCTACTGTGTGGACAGTGACTGAGGACCAAAGCATGACAGATGGCCAAGTCACCCCAAGGCCAGCCCCCACCCACTTCCTTCAAATACTTGGCACTGCATGAACTCAGAATTCACCCATGGAAAGTGCAGGAGCCTCAACTCGATGAAACTAAGATTTCAACATTCCCCAAAAATGGAGACTCAAATTGCCCTGGAGAAATACAGAGAGGTTCGTTTCCTGCCTGCCTATGTTTGTGGAATGATATTTGGGTACTATTTCCATCTCTCTAGATTGGAACCTCATGCCTAGTTTATTTCCTGTTGCAGGGGTTGAAAACTTTTTTTTTTTGAGACAGAATTTCACTCTTGTTGCCCAGGCTGGAGTGCAGTGGTGCGATCTCAGCTCACTGCAACCTCCGCCTCCCGGGTTCAAGCAATTCTCCTGCCTCAGCCTCCCGAGTAGCTGGGATTACAGGCGCCTGCCACCACATCTGGCTAATTTTTTGTATTTTTAGTAGAGACAGGGTTTCATCTTGTTGGCCAGGCTGGTCTCGAACTCCTGACCTCAGGTGATCCACCCGCCTCATCCTCCCAAACTGCCGGGATTACAGGCATGAGCCACCGTGCCTGGCCAGCAAACTTTTTGCAAAGAGCCAGAGGGTAAACATTTTAGGCTTTGCAGGCCAAGGTAAGAGTTAGGCTCCTGCAACTATTCAACACTGCCACTGTAATGCAAAAGCAGCCCTGGACAATACATAAACAAATAGACAGGGCTGTGTTTCAATAAAATTTATTTGCAAAGACAGGTGGTGGATCCCAAGGTCTCTCCAGTGTTTACCATGAGATCTTGGATGTGATATGGGATCAAGAAATATTTGCTAACCTGATGAATGGTTCCTGCTGCTCACCAGCTTGGAGGCCTTGAGCGGGTCCCTTCTCTGAACTTCCATTTTTTTCATTGGTAAGATAGAGAGACTGGGCCAAATGAGCTTTGATATTCTATGAAGGTGAGCTATGGTTTGAGAATTTCAAGGTATTGACAGTATTCCTGTATTATTTTCTTATCTTACAAAGGCATGGTGTGGGTGCATGTGGTGCAAGGATTTATAAGTTTTCTTGGTCCTCTTCTTTGATTAAACTTTATATAGCTATTCCATTATCTAAAACAGGGGTCCCCAGTGCCTGGGTCAGAGCCTGGTACCAGTCGTATTACCACCTGAGCTCCGCCTCCTGACAAGTCAGCTGCGGCATTAGATCCTCATAGGAGTTCGAACCCTATCGTGAACTGCGCATGATGGAGATCTAGGTTGTGCACTCCTTATGAGAATTTAATGTCTGATGATCTGTTACTGTCTCCCATCACCCCCAGATGGGACCATCTAGTTGCAGGAAAACAAGCTCGGGCTCCCACTGATTCTACATTATGGTGAGTTGTATAATTATTTCATTATATATTACAATCTAATAATAATAGAAATAAAGTGAACCGTAAAGGTAATGCGCTTGAATCATCCTGAAACCATTCCCTGCCCCCATCTGTGGAAAAACTGTGTTCCACCAAACCAGTCCTTCATGCCAAAAAGGCTGGGGACCGTTGGTCTCAAAGGTCTCATCATGAACTACTGTGGGTCTCTGATCTTCCCAGTTCACCAGGGGAAGCCTGGCCTCCCTTCCCTCCTGTCCCCTGGTCTGTCTTCCACAGCAACCGCATTATCAGGACTCTTCCTATAAATGACAGGAACTTAAACTGGCTGTGGCATAAAGCAAATTTTTTAGTTTATGAAACTAAAAAGGCCATGCTTTTTATTATGGCTTCTAGCACATTCCAGTGGGAAACCCCAAGGAGCCCAAGATCTCTAAATTTATTTATTTATTATTATTTTTTCTTAGACAAAGTCTTGCTTTGCCACCAGGGCTGGAGTGCAGTGGCTTGATCTTAACTCACTCTGACCTCTGCCTCCCAGGTTCAAATGATTCTCCTGCCTCAGCCTCTCAAGTGCTGGGATTACAGGTGCGCGCCACCACGCTTGGCTAATTTTTGTATTTTTAGTAGAGATGGGGTTTCACCATGTTGGCCAGGCTGCTCTCGAACTCCTGACCTCAGGTAATCCACCTGCCTCAGCCTCCCAAAGTGCTGGGATTACAGGCGTGAGCCACCACACCCGGCCCAAGATCTCTAAATTTGAACCTGGGCTTCCAGGTATTTTAGTCAAGGTAGGAAGATAAAAAAACATGTTTAGCTTTGTTTATAACTTTTAAATATTAGACACATGGTACGTCGGGCTCCATTTATACTCTTGTCCTGGGGCCCAGAGATGAACTGGATGTGAGTGAGCTGGCCTTGCCAACCGTGGGAGGACAAGAGGGAGGATCCTGACAGCTCTGCCACACGCTGGCCCTGGAGTAGGTGGCTCAGCCATGCTCTCCAAAATGGGACTCAAAATAAAATCTAAGTCACAGGGTTAATGTGAAAAGCGAGTGAGATAATGTGTGCAAACGTGCTTTGAGAAATCCTATACAACGATAAGGAATTATTATTATTACTGGAATTGATTAGACGCAGACATGGTTTCATCACCCTCCTGAGAGATGGTGCCTGGAACCCAGAGGATTCTGGGAAACGTCTGACTGAAGGTGAATAGAGAAGGGCTGTGTGCAGACGTGAGATCAAGCAATGGGCTTAACGTGGTGGGAAATCTTAGGAGCTCCGTAAATATTTAGCTTGTCAACTAGACGTCAGCTGAGATCTACCTGTGCTACAAGCTTCCTGAAAACGCAAGCCGCGCGCCCGGGTATCTAGCCCGAAGCCCTCTTGGGCAGTGCCACCCCATGGAAAAGGGGGAATGGTCCTCTCCATCCTGCCCTCCCCCATTCCTGGGAAATCATGATCTAGAAAGAGGCTCAGAGCAGTGCCCAGAGGTGTGTGGAGAAGAGTCCAGAATCCAGGGGTGTTCAATCTTTTGGCTTCCCTGGGCCACATTGGAAGAAGAAGAATTGCCTTGAGCCACACATAAAACACACTAACACTAATGATATCTGATGAGCTTTTAAAAAATTGCAAATATAAATCTCATAATGTTTTAAGAAAGTTTACGAATTTGTGATGGGCCACATTCAAAGCTGTCCTAGACCACAGGTTGGAGAAGCTTGGTATAGACAGAAGGAAAGAGATACAGATACAGATGGAGGAGGTGGAGGGAAGAGGAGAGAAGAGGGTTGCAAGAGAGAGCCGAGTGGAGATTCCTAGCATTTCAGAGTTGAAAGAGAATCCACAGATTCTGCCCAACCTCCCAGGAAGTGGAAGCTCAGAGAGGTCAAGCACCCTGCCAAAGGTCACACAGCCAAGCATTAGCCTCAGAAAAGAAAGATGAGCTACCAAGCAGGGGCGGTCTGTTGCAAGTGAGGGATGGGACCAGTTAGATGACTGCACAAGCTACCCCAAACAGACCCCCACCCAGCGGGGTAAGCCCTAAGCAAGGCGGGGGGTGGGTGGTGATGGCATGGTCAGGAACAAGGTGGGGACTAACATTTACTGAGCACCCACGATGTGCCAACCTCCATGCTGGGCACTTTTCTTACTGACCAAGTATCGTCCTTGGATTATTCTTGGTTCACAAACTCAGGTGTTTTTTGTTTTGTTTTGTTTTTATTAAGCACTTTCTTTTGGTCTCCAAGCCATGTGTCAAGTCAGTGAACTGCTGGGGAGGCCAAACTCAGTCCTTCTTGGGGTTCCCAACCAATGCTTGTGCGAATATCCTGGGTAGCCCAAGCCATGGGAGTGGTGGGCGGGGGCACTGTTATCAGTGCAAAGTCCCTACATAATGGGTTGTCTAGTTCCCACATGTTCCCTCCAGGACAGGAGGCCCCAATCATTCATGCTGTGTTTAAAGCACAAAACCTTGGGTGGGTTCAGGGGCCCCCATGGCTGAGGACTAAATTTCCCAGGTGCAGCACAGAGCCATCAGCTCTGAGGGACAGCTGTCAAGAGCACAGAATCTGGAGCCAGACTATGGGTTCAAATCACAGCTCTACCACTAGTTAACTGTGCAAACCTGGCAACTGGCTTAACCTCTCTGTGCCTAACTATGAAGTGGAGATTAAACGTGATGGTGAGGATTAAATGAGCAAAACCAAGTCAGGTGCTTAGAACAGGGCCTGGCACACAGTATGCATTCAATAAATGACAACCATTACCACCAAGTTTCTCCTTCTTTCTTTCTTTCTTTCTTTCTTTCTTTCTTTCTTTCTTTCTTTCTTTCTTTCTTTCTTTCTTTCTCCTCGGCCTCAAAGGCTCTCTTTTCTCTCCTTTCTCTCTGTGACACCTAGCAATGGGCTGTCCCTCTGGGCTAATAACGATAAGGATACAGTGCTGCTGGGAGGATGCAGGCCGTGAAGCCAGTGGAGGGCTCTGCACAGCATTTCGTATCTGTTTCTATCATTTTTATATTTATTATAATCACCAGTCTGAGTCTCATTAGCCCCAGAATTAGGCCCAGAAGCATCTATTTGTAGTAAATGGGAAAGTGCACAGCAAAAGCACAGGAAAATGAGGTGTAAGACCCCAATGCCTGGTGCAGAGGAGGAAGAGGGAGGGAGCTGGATGTTCAGCTCTCCTGGCCTCCTGGAGTCAGCTCTGGCCTTTGCAGGAAGAGGGAGGGAGGCAGATGTTCAGCTCTCCCGGCCTCCTGGAGTCAGCTCTGGCCTTTGCAGGTCTCTGGCCCCTCTGACCGCAGCTGACCTTGCTTCTTGCCAATATAGACCCTCTGGCTTGGCTGCCCTTCACATCTCTCTGACCTTTCCCCCCTGTGACCGCCCCACCTTGGCCTGCTGCTTCTCACTTGACCAAGGTCTTCAATGACCTTGGCCAAACTTCTTTAGCCAAGCCAGGTTCCAGGTCCCAGTGCCATCACACTCATTTGGCAGGTCAGAACACCCAGGCCCCATGAGGAACTGTGACTTTCCCTGGGCCACAATGTGAGGTGGGGACAGATCCAGGATGCGGGTTTCCTGACCTTCAGCCTCTTGCTGCTTACACCGGCAAGACTGGCTGTTCGGGTTGATTGACAAGCACACAATCTAGACCAGCAGCTCTCAGCCGGGGGTGATTATGCCTCGGAGAGAACATTTGACAACGTCTCAAGACATCTTTGGTCATCATCACTGGAGGTATGGGGCTGCCACTGGTGTCTTGTGAGTAGAATCTGGGAATGTTGCTAATGATCCTGTAAAGCACAGGACAGCCCCCACCCCCGACTACAAAGAATTAGCTAGCCTCAAACAACAATCAGTTGAGACCCTGGGCTAGATTCACATGCAGCGTTAAGCCTTGGATAAATTATTTAACTGGTTCTTCTGTGAAATAATGATAACGCTACTGAGCGCATAGAACTTGGAGAGGATCTAATGACCTAAGGCATGAGAGAGCTGAACGTCGTGTCTGGTGGAAAGCGAGTTTTCGCTCATAAATGGGGGAGGAGGTGAGCGCGTGGGCTATTGTGCCAGCAGGGATGGCTGCTGACAGCGTCCCATATCTAAACTCCAGAAAGTGCCGGGGAGGACCACAATCTTCAAAACCAAGCTGAAGTGGCACACTTGTGTCTAAAGGAATTTTGAGTTTCTTTCCCCCTCCCTGCCATTGGCATTTGAGAATTCGAGTGTTAATTTCAAAGAAGAAACTGCATTACCTGTTCTCCATGCAGATCTGAGCCTCCATTTTAATTTGCCTTCATTATCTCTTTCTCTTATTAAGAATGGTAAATCTGTTTTGTGTTTTCATTATTCCATTAGCTCGAGGAAGCTCATCAGTAATGTGGGGAGCTGCCAACATAAATAGCACAATTTTCATACAAGCGAGGCAATAATTGACTTAAATCGCTATTCTGCGGAGGCTGAGGTTCACAATTAGAGAAAGCAGTGTGATTTGAAAACGAGTTACAGTTGATTGGATTTTAGGGGAAACCAGGTTTGGAATGTGTTAATTGCATTCCGCCTAAACACCAGGTCTAAATGAAGCAGCCAGAGATTTAGGTAAATAACAAAATCTTCTCCAGATATGGCCCCAAATTGCTTAATAGGATGGGAGAGATCTGATTAAGATGGGGAACTAATGGCCTCACTGTATTTCTGGGGTGACAGGCTGAAACTCTCATCTTGGAAACTCCTCGAGATAAGCGAGTGACCAACTTCAATCTGTTTTTCAATCTGGTCTGGCTGAGTTTTGGGATCAAATGTCAATGGTACCTCCTTCCTGGGCCTCTTTTCCTGTCCCACCCTACAAATGGTCCATCAACAAATCCTGTGGGCTCTAATCTTAAAAAGCATCCCGAATCTGGTGTCCACTGCCACCACCGTCTCTCACCTGAACTACTGCGGTCACCTTCTCATTGGTCTCCTGGTTCTGTCCTTGCCTGGGGAGCCTCTTCTCTGTACAGCAGCTAGAGAATCCTGTTAGAACCTAAGTGGAACTATGTCCTGCCTCTGCTCAAAACCTGGCTGGGCACGGCGGCTCATGCCTGTAATCCCAGGACTCTGGGAGGCTGAGGTGGGAGGATCACTGGAGCCCAGGAGTTCAAGACCAGCCTGGGAAACATTGTGAGACCCTGTCTCTAAAGAAAACAATAAAAAAAAAAATTAGCTGGGTGTGGTAGTGCATGCCTGTAGTACTACTCAGGAGGCTGAGTGGGGAGGATGGCTTGAACCCAGGAGTTCAAGGCTGCAGTGAGCTATGATTGCCCCATTGCACTCCAGCCTGGGCAACACAGTGAGACCCTATATCTGAAAACAAACAAACAAACAAACAAAAAACCCTCCAGTGGCTTCCATCTCATTCCAGGAAAAGCGGAGTCTTTCTGATGGCTTGTAAGACCATCTTGACCTGCCCATAAACTTGTTGAACCCGTCACTCACCAGGGATGCCCAGGGTCCTTCATGGTTGGCTTGATTCTGTTTCCATCCCATCTCTCAGTATTTTCTCCTCCCATCTCTCAGTATTTCTCCAGCCACCTGGAATTACTTAAAGACCCCTGATGGTTCCAGGCTCGGCCTTGTCACAGAACCTTTGTGTGTACTGTCCCCACCTCATTCACTGGCTTAGTTTCTAAGCTTCCCTGAGATCTTACTTGTTTTATGCCCCCTTCCTTCTCCAATCCTTCTTTTTAAGGTTTCCAGGAATGCAGAGAAAAAAGCAAAAACTAGTGGAAACTGTTACTTCATGTGACTAATTCCCCCACCCCCCAGGTTTCTGGACTTTTCTCCTCCTCCCCTAGCTGCACAGATGAAGTGGGAACAGATATATTAATACTTATATCCAATGACTATGCTTCCTGGTCACAGTTGATTGGTCCAAAGTGGACCAATCAGAGTCCTTCCCTGGGAATGTGGAATGTGACGTAAAGATTTGAATCTTGGTCTCACTTCACTTTTATGTTTCTCTCTCTCTCTCTCAATCTTTTGCATAATCTCTTTATACATAATTTTACATGAAGGAATACATGTAATGATGTGCATTCCTTATTCCCTTATTCCTATTTCCTCACTCTTTTATCTACATTATCCCTGTGGCCCAGTGCTAGAGACCCAGGTTAACAACCCAGCATGTGTTCTTTCAAACTATTTTTATTTGTGCTTATATTTGCATCTGTGTTTTTATGTGATACATATGTATAGACTCACAAATATACGCGAATTAATTGGGATTTTTCCATCAGTCTTTGTTTTATAAAAATGGGATTCTATTTTACACTCTTTTCTACATTCTATTCTTTTTTCTTATTCAAAAATATCTCATAGAAATGTCTCCAAGCCAACGAATAAAGCTTTAACTTATTCTGGCAAATAAATGGTAGCATTTATTTGCAAATAAATAGCACAAGAAAGGATGGCTATTATTCTGTGAGTAAAAGCAGAGAAAGTGGGTCCGAAGATGGAGGGAAGAGAGCAGAGACCCAGAGAGGAAGACTGAGAGAAGCCACAGAGATAGGTGCCCTCTGAGTCAAGCTGGCATAAAGCCAACTGGCCTCGCAGCCTCAGGGCTCCAGGACACCCCACGCCTTCTTTATAAGAAAGTGGCCCTGTAGGGGTTTCAGGCAATGTGGTGGGTATCAGTTGGTTGTAACTAACAGGTCTTAACTAACGCAGGTGAATCTGCAATGGTGCTTTATATGGCTATTTGGGCACTTTATGGACCTTGGGGAATGAAGGTAGGGTTAGTCAAATTCCTCTGTCGGCCGGGGGTGGTGACTCACACCTGTAATCCCAGCACTTTGGGAGGTTGAGACAGGAGGATCATTTGAGCCCAGGAGTTTGAGACCAGCCGGGTCAACATAGTGAGACCTCATCTCCACAAAAAATTAAACAATTAGGCAGGTATGGTGACACACTCCTGTAATTCCAGGTACTCGGGAGGCTGAGGTGGGAGGATTGCTTGAGCCCCGGAGGTGGAGGCTGCAGTGAACTATGATCATGCCACTGTACTCTAGCCTGGGCAACAGAGTGAGATCCTGTCTCAAAAAAAAAAAAAAAATCCTTTCAATGACATATTGTCATAATTGGTTCAGACAAGCTCTAACCCTTGGTTGATTTGTTCATTCATGTGTTAATTCTATTTTATTCCATCCTTTGCTTCCAACTCCTGCCACTGTCAGCTGCCCAGATGTGTTTTCTTTTTCTTTTATTTTGTATGATTCGGGATAACATATGCGAGCATTTTTGTATGTGTGTGTGTTTTAAGTGTGCCACATTATGTGATAGACTCCCTCTTTTGTTTATGTGTGTGTGTTTGTTTTGTTTTTCATCTTGGGAGCAACCCACAGCTGTGCTCGTGTTTATAAATCTATTTAGTTCCTCTAATCTCCATTCCCCATTCACCTGCTTCCCCCTGGCACGCTTGAGTTATCCTTTTGTTTGTAGGCAGTTTGCAAAATACCTATAATTGCTTTGTGTGCATCTATTTTACCTTATGTAAAATGGCATTGAGCTGTGTTGTCAAGACCTCTCTGTACTGCTGTGCACACATCTGGGGCACTGCTTGTAACCATCCCATAAGATGCTTAGTGCACACCTGGCACATTTTACTTATGGTCAAAGAATGACTCTGAAACATTTAGCTAGTTATCTGCATGCTGTTTAGCTCTGACATGAAGAAGACTCATGTTCCTAGATTGTTTCAAGCAACAAAGGCAAAAACAGAATTTTGAGAGCAAAGAGGTCAGTTTGAAAAATTCAGTTTGAGTTGTTGACTAGAGGAGATGAGGAAGCTAATTTGGCCGTGTATGGGTTTGTTTTTGTGTTTTGAGATGGGGTCTCACTCTTGTTAGCAGTAGTAGTTATCTGTACGGGTCTGCAGCAACCTCAGTTCTTGCCTCCTCAGAAGACAGAATTCGACCGAGGCGCAGAAGGCAGAAGGAGCGGCTGAGGCAAGTTTTAGAGCAGGAGTGAAAGTTTATTAAAAAGCCTCAGAGCAGGAATGAAAGAAAGGGAAGTGCACTTGGAAGAGGGCCAAGCGGGCAACTCGAGAGACCAAGTGTGCGACCTGACCTCTTGACTTGGGGTTTGATATGGTGGCAAGCCTCAGGGGTCCTGCGTTCCTTCTCACCACTCCTGAGATCTTATTGGGAAGCCTCTGGCCACCCATTTCAGGTGTTTTCTATCTATTAAGGGACTGCCTTTCCCTCATGCCAGCTGTGGCCAATTATTACTTTAGAAAGCCAGTTAACAACTGCCTGACCGTCACCTGATGGTTGCGTGACACTCCTGGTGTGTGTTGAGGAGGATCCTCTCCTGCCCTGCTCATACCTGACCAGCTACCTACTATAACGCTCCAGCCCCCAGGCTGGAATGCAGGGGTTCTCACTGCAGCCTGGAACATCTGGGCTCGAGTGATCCTCCCACCTCAGCCTTCTGAGTAGCTGGGGCTACAGGTGCATGCTACCATGTCTGTTTAATTCTCTTTTTTGTAGAGATGGGGTATCACCGTATTGTCCAGGCTGGTCTCAAACTCTTGGCCTCAAGCGATCCTCCTGCCTCAGCCCCCTAAAGTGCTGGGGTTACAGGTGTGAACCATCGCGCCCAGCCTGGATTTTCCAAAAACCTGCAGAGTATGAGTGTGGGGCGGTCACGATGCCTCTGAGCAATGAGCAAGAGCATCTCTCCGCCAGCTTTTCCACCTGCGGTGTCCAGGTGGGCCCATTCTTCCTAAGAACTTCTCCCACCATCAAAGGGAGGGACTCCCAGGGTGCCTGCAGCTCTCACCACCCCCAACCATGTTGCGATGAACATCCACACCTGTAGGTCCTATGCAAGGATCTCTAGGCTGTGAATTCTCAATGGGGGTGATACAGCCCCCTGGCGGGCGAGAACTGATTCTTAACGCGTCGGAATACTCTTTGTTTAAAATTGTGGCAGAATACACATAAAATAAAATTGACCATTTTAGCCATTTTAAAATGTGCAGCTCAGTGGCATTGAGTACATTCACATTCTTGTGCAACTGTCACCACTGTCCATCCACAGAAGTCTTTTCTACCCATCAAACACTAACTCCACATTCCCCGCCCTCCCAGACGCTGGCAACCACCACTCTACTTTCTATCTCTAGAATTCTGACTACGCTAGGTACATCATACAATATTCTACAAATACTGTAGAATCACACAATATTTGTCTTTTGGGGACTGGCTAATTTCACTTAGTATAGTGTCCTCGGGATGCATCCATGTTGTAGCATGTGCCACAATTTCCTTCCTTCTTAAGGCTGAATAATATTCCACACTATGTACAATAGCACATTCTGTTTATCTATTCATACTATTCATATCCATCAATGGACACTTAAAAATCTTACTTTTTTTTTTTTGAGACAGTCTCTCTGTAGCCCAGGCTGGAGTGCAGTGCTGCAATCCCAGCTCAGTGCAACCTCCACTTCCTGGGTTCAAACAATTCTCCTGTCTCAGCCTCCCGAGTAGCTGGAATTACAGGTGCACACCATCACACCCAGCTAATTTTTGTATTTTTAGTAGAGACAGCGTTTCACCATATTGGTCAGGCTGGTCTTGAACTCCTGACCTCAGGTGATCCACTCTCCTCGGCCTCCCAAAGTGCTGGGATTACAGGCGTGAGCTGCCATACCCAGCCAAATCTTACCTTTTTTATGTATAAAGCACACATATACCTACAGCACACAAACAGATATGTATGCAATATCTCTATAGTTCTAAAATTTCATTAAAGGGGGAATTAGAAAAAAAAAATCTTAAAAGGCTCCTTAAGGGATAATGACTGTTGACGCTGTGGACCGGATAATTCTCACTGTGGAGCTGTCCCGTGCATTGGACAATGTTTAGCAGCACCCTGAGCTTCCACCCACTGGATGCCAGTAGCACCTCCTTCCCAGCTGTGACAAACAAAAATGTCCCCAAGCATTGCCATGTGTCCCTAGGGGTGCAAGATCACCAAGGTTGAGAACTGCTGCTCTGGGCCCTGCCCCAGAGGGTGGGCTGCCTGTTGAGAGCCTGTGCATTGTCACTTTCTCTGAGTGCTGCCTGGTGGCTCTCCTGAGGGGCCATCCTTTTACCAGCAGTGCCCAAGCATTTCCGTGGGGGAGAAAGTTTCATGGTGGAGCCTGGGCTAAAGCATGGGGTGGCCCTGAAATGAGCCAGAGGAGGACAAGAAGCCTGCCAAGTTCAGCACAAAGGCCCAGGGTTTCTTGGCACAGAGTCCTGGTGGCCTCTGGGTTACCTTACCCAGCAGTGTGATCAGAGATGACCAACACCCTGACCCTGTTCGTTCCTGGGCGTCAGGCTCCAGAGGGCACCTTGAATGGACAAAGCTCAGGTGTTTACTTCTAACAATACTCCTGTCACTCCTCCCAGCCACTTCCCCACCTTTCCTGAGCACGTCCCCCACCCGACACCCCCAAGTCTTTGTATGTATTCATTCCTCTAATTGACAGGTATTTATTGAGCAACTACTAGATGCCAAGTACAGTGTTGTGCTCTGAGATACGATCGTGAATAGGGCTGGCCAGCTCCCCATCCCAGCCTCACCCAGGAGCTTTCAGAAGGCTGAGGTGCTCTCAGGTCTGCACCCCCTCCAGCCTGGGGTGTCAGCAATCCTGGAGAAGGGACACCTAAGCTGAAACCTCAAGGGTGAGTCCAACCTGTTTCTATCAGCTTTGGATAACAGCAACGATTACAATAATGCTGGTCCCTGAACTTACCACGTGCCAGCCACTGCTTCCAGCCCCTCTCCAGTGGGTCCCTGCCCATTCCTGGGCATCAGGAACTGGAGGACAAGCCAGGACCCTCAGCAGCTTCTAAAGCTGTGCATCATCCGCCCTTGCTCTTACTTCTCCCTGACCTCACCTTCCAGCACTTCTGCTGACTCACTTTATTCCAGCCACACTGACATCCTGACAGATCTTTCCAACACAGCAGGCATACTTCTGCTGCAGGGACTTCGTCTGTGCTGTTCTGGTCACCTGGAATATACTTTTCCTCACCTTCCTCAGGTGACTGTTCAAATGTCACCTTCTTGTCATTCTACTTGCCATTATAGTCCTTCTCCCTGCCGGGTCCCACCTGGAAGCACTGCTTTATTTTTCTCCTTCCCACTGAGCACCATCCCCCATTTCCTGTATTTTATATTTTCATCTTGTCCGTTTGTCTGTCTCTTGTTTGTCTGTCTCTCCCTATGATATGGTTTGGCTCATCTTGAACTGTAGCTCCCACAATTCCTATGTGTTGTGGGAGGGACCCAGTGGGAGGTGATTGAATCATGGGGGCGGGTCTTTCCTGTGCTGTTCTTGTGATAGTAATTAAGTCTCGTGAGATGTGATGGTTTTACCAAGGGGCGTTCCCTGCACATGCTCTCTTGCCCACCACCATGTAAAAAGTCCTTTTGCTTTTCCTTCATCTTCCGCCATGATTGTGAGGCCTCCCTAGTCATGTGGAACTGTGAGTCCATTAAACCTCTTTCCTTTATAAATTACCCAGTCTTGGGTATGTCTTTATTAGCAGCATGAGGATGGACTAATACACCCCATTAGAAAGTAAATTCCTTGAGGGCTGGGATTCATCTGCCATGTTCAGTGCTGTACTCCCAGCATTTGCAACCAAGCCTGGCACATAGTAAGTGCTCAAGAAATATGTGTTGGATTGGCTGGGCATGGTGGCTCACAGCTATAATCCCAACATTGGGAGGCCAAGGCAGCGAATTGCTTGAGCTCAGGAGTTCAAGACCAGTCTGGGCAACATGGTGAAACCCCATCTCTACAAAAAATACAAAAATTAGCCAGGCATGGTGGTGCACACACCTGTAGTCCCAGCTACTCAGGAGGCTGAGGTGAGAAGATCCCTTTAGTCCGGGAGGTGGAGGTTGTAGTGAGATCACGCCACTGAACTCCAGCCTGGGTGACAGAGCCAGACCCTATCTAAAACAAACAAACAAACAAACAAACAAAACTGTTGCATTATTGAACTGCATATACTCCTCCCAAAAGCCCTACGAGTTTGATCAAAACCACCTGGAGAGCCTGTGAAAACAGATTCTGAATCAGTGAGGCTGGGGCTGGGTTCGAGATTCTGTGGTTCTACAAGTTCTCAGGGGATGCTGATGCTCCTGGCCCTAGGCCACACTCTGAGCAGCAAGGACTTAGTGGCTGTGACCACCGTCCGCTTTACAGATAGTGAAATAGCCCACACAGGTTAATGACATTGCTAAAGGCACTGGCTTTAAGGAACGAGGATGAGTTTGAAGTCTGTCAGGCTCCCACAGCTGATGTTGATGACAGTGACCACCCTACTGTATTGCAGACTCCAAGGCTGAAGCATCCTTCAGGTGCTTGCAAAACTGAACTCTCTCTAAGTTTTCCAAGAGAGAAGATCATGGATACCAACTCAGGGGCTCTGTGACCAACTTTGGAGGCCTGTCCTGCAGTGCAGCTCCCAGTCTGACCACAGATCCTAGGACCTCAAACTGTCTTCCTCCATGTGCCCTCCACGTCTCTCTTGTGCTGGGATTTGCGTGTGTGTTGGGAACCATTCAGAATGCTTTCTTGGCATGTTGACAATGAAGGGAGCTCTCTCTGGGCCAAAGCTTGCACTGGGTGAGTGGGAGCTGGTAAACTTGATAAGCCAATTGGGAGGAAATTTGCAGCATCATCTCATTAGAAGGTCAAGGGCATGCTCTCACGCTTACCTGCCCCCAGAGCTCTAGAGGAAAGCCCAGAGAGGAGGGCAGAGGTGGTCATTTTATCCAGAGCCTTCTAATTCCTTGGTTCCATCTGAACTCAATATCGCAGAGATGGACTCTTGGACACGCTCTCATATTGCCTCTCAGCTCTTTACCAGGGGCTAATTACAGAGGCTGCTATTCCCAAATCTAACTAACCTTGCCCACGATCAAAGCACAGTCTCTCTCTCCCCAGGCTGATCTATATAACGGCGACCTTGCTGCCCCAGCTCAGTGCAGCCGCCAAGCTCATGGCCATCTCCGCATCTCCATTTCCTCGGTACTGACTGCCCTCTGAGCTGTGCCCCCGCCCGAGAACCCACTCCTAGTTCTGGTTTCTCTCACAAGCAGCCCCATAAAGGCTGGTGAGGCCACATCTGGAAGGCTTGAGAGGCTGTCATAAACTCCATGTTTACCAGGGCTGGGCAGGTAACGTCAATGAGGAAGAGGAGTCGATGGGAGGGGGTACCTGAAAAGGCCTCGAAGGCTGCAAAGCTCTTCCCAAGTGGTTAAAAGTGATCCTGAGAGAAGAAGGCAAGCCCCGTGTGGCCAGGGAGCCCCCACCATTTTTTGTTTGTTTGTTTTGCTTTGTTTTCCAGCAAAGCCAAAATTTTAGAATTTTTTGCATTAACTCTCCCAATGGTTAAAGGTTGCAAACTAATTTGAAAGGATTTTTAAGCACTGCACAGACCACGAGGCATGTGTGATGGCCTAATTCAACCAACAGGGCCACCGGTTTGCAGTCTCACCTTAGAAAACTGAGGACAGAGTAAATGTGCATGAATGGGGGTCTCTATCAGCCAGGATCTGAGGAAGATATGGGGACACAGCTAAACAGAGTCACTGGAAGGGATTTTCTATTTACAAAGTATGGGCAGGGTGGAGGAAAGCCATGGGGACGGTGCCTCTGACACAGAGGTGCTCCTGGAATGACAGCCACGTGGAGGGGGCCACCTCACAGAGCCATGACTTGGGCTGAGGGAGGCAGCCATCACAGGTAGCTCTGCAGGCCAGGGACAGGGAATAAATTTCTACTTTGCATCGTATCTCCTCCCATCCTGCTAAAGGTCACTATCGGCCAAACGCAACCAGAGCACACCCACCCATGGGAGCCTGTTGGTGGAGCCCATGCAGGTGAGCCTCTTGGGCAGAAAGCAGGGTGGGGAAAAGTGAGGAGGTGGAAGGAAGGCATTGGCACAAGACCCCATGCCATGGTCACACCTGGCAGTGACCACGCCATCAAGTCTACCACTCTTGGCCAAATGAATGGAGGCCTCCATGTCCGTGTCACCTCTCAGCATTTCATATCATTTACTCTCATCTAACCATCACGTTCTTGTCCTCTAGACAATGCTGTGTCTTCCTGGCCATAGCCTTGGATCTTTTTGACCTGCATTTTGATTTTTAAAGGATATAGAAATAGAAATGAGGCTTGATGTCTGATATCCTGAGTTAGAATGTTGGCTCTGCGTGTGATGCTAGGTGAATCAGTTAGCCTCTCTGAGCCTCAATTTCCACTTCTGCAACAAGAATAGGGAAGGATAGTGATTTGTCCCTTGTAAGGTTGCTAAAGGCTTAGAGATGAGGGTCATATAGTACTGGTACAATGCCTGGTACTTTACAGACACGGAGCCATAACCTTGGGCCGAGGGTTGTAAAATAATAGCATATGTTGATGATGTATGTTGATGCTATTATTTTTAATGCTGTTCCTAATTATCCTCCTTATCTGCTCCAATTTATATCTTGGTTAATACCATCTCTCTTTAACCCAGACTCCCACTTGGCTCCCCCTAGTGGTCAGGTTGCTTCTCTTCCAGTGTGCTCTGGAGTCCTTTCTCCCTGGAATGCTGGCCTAAACTAGAGGGCAGGTGCACGCCAGCCCACCCAGCTGCACTCTGACCTCACTTTCAAGACAAAACTATCTTCCTAGCAATTACTCACTTTGCTAATCTGACACTGATTCCCTGGGCTCCCACTTGCATAAATCTCCCTGATTTTGACCCAAATAAGGAATCTGAAATCCAGTAGAGTATTGGGCATGATGTTTCTTCTGTGTTATTTATTATTGTGAAAAATTGGAAACAACCTCAATGTAGGAGAATAGGGGATGGGCTGAGTAGATGAAAGGATGCCCTGATGGCAGATAATGCAGCTGTTAGAGATATTTATGAAGTGTTTAGAGTGATGTAGAAAATGAGTACAATATAATTATGCAGGATTAAAATTATTTTCACAGGTATGATTGGAGCTGCGTATAGGAAAGTTGCCTCTGTGCACATTACACATGTATAAATTCAGCTATATTCGTTTTTAAAAAGAAACAAGAGAGAAAAAAAATCACTTAAACAGTGCAGGCAGTTCCTCTAGTTTAATGACTATTTGTCACTTGTTGAGTGTGAAGTGGGTGGTGTGAATCTGGAGGCCTTCACGGAGTCCTACCTCTCCTGAGAGCATCTCTTTCTGCCAAACAACTCTGGTGTTTCGAGACATGTAATTTCCATGCTACATACCTCCCAAATGCAAACCAACTACTCTATGTACAGACAAAACCATTCAAGAGCAATATAAGAGGTTTTCATGGGCATTTTTGCAGCTTTCTCCATAGGCATTTATCTTTATAGCCTAACCCAGTGTATGGGGAACTCCACTGTAGAAATAAAAACGGAAGCCTATATATAGAAAAAGATAAGAAGCAAATGCACCAAATACTACCAAAGGCTGAATATGAAGAAGTGGGAGTGATTTTTTTTCTGCCCTCTTCTTCTAGTCATTGAATTTTTTATTGAGCATCTACTATGTTCCAGATGCTATTTTATTCACTGAAGATAAAACAGTGAATTATAAAATGCAAAACGAATTGGCAGGTGGAGACAGATGATGAACATCTAACTAAGTGAAATATACATCAGGCTGGGGTTGATGTGTGCTTAGGAGAACAAAATCAAGCCAGGCAGGAGACAGGAAGTGCCAGGTTGCAGGTGCAGGTGTGGGTGGGGAAGGCCTTACTGAGAAAAAGATGCTCGAGCAAAGATTGGGAGGAGAGGAGAGAGTGAGAATGTTTGGGGGAAGAAGGTTTCAGGCAAGGGGAACAGCAAATGAAGGGTGCACAGAAAACAGCTAGGGGCCGTTGTGGCTGGAGCAGAGCCAGGGGCAGTGGCCGGCTGTGCTTTCTCTAGTGAGAGTCTGTCACTTGTATAATGGAAGTCAAAGCTTTTTATTATCTTTACAGGAAAATAAAATGGGGGGTGAAAGGGAAAAATCATCTTTTTTTCTCGCCTACGCGAAGCTGACAGTTTTCCTCTCTTTGCCCAGTTTCGCATCTGCACAAGGCTGGCCTCCTGCAGGCAACCCTTCAAGGCTGCCCTTTCCTGGGTCATCGTATGTTCAGCGTGAGAGATGCCATTCCAAAGGTTCAGAGCCGTGTGGCCTGTGGACTTGGGGGTGGGGGACACACCCCCTCCTTCCCTCAACCTCCCTCCCACCGCCTGCTGCCAAGGGCCGCCAAGAGAAATGTGGGCAAACCACACGGACCACCCCAGGCCTCCCAAGGGCACTTGGGGGTGATGCCAGCCCCAGGAAGGAGTCCTC
This sequence comes from Homo sapiens, assembly GCF_000001405.40. Classification (NCBI taxonomy): domain Eukaryota; kingdom Metazoa; phylum Chordata; class Mammalia; order Primates; family Hominidae; genus Homo; species Homo sapiens. The sequence goes on along the minus strand of NC_000020.11, from coordinate 46,765,548 downwards.
AATAAAGATCCAAGGTGCTAACAAGAAGATGTCAATCCATTAACTCCACTTGAAGGGAAGAAAAAAAATGTCAATTACTGGTAATGTGAAACAAAAGAGTGGGAAATCGCAAATGACAGTCTTTTTAAGACGGCCCTAGGGCCACTTCCAGCTGACCCTGTGCATTAACCAAGCAGGGAGATTTTTTTCCTTGGCTGCTCCCTCCTGCGTCCCTAATAGCATAAAATAAAAAGATTTTAGATAAGATTTCATTCTGTGAATCAATTGGCAAACCACACTGGGCTTCACGGGGCATTCTGGTCTCAATCTAATGGAAATTATTATTTTTTAAAACGGGAATATCAATACTAAATTGGATCCTATAGCAGACAGCATATACAAAGGTTTTATATCAGCTGGCTTCTCTGGCTTCCACGGAGCTTTGCTTAACCCAGTACCTGCCAGCATCCCAGGGAAAGGATGAGAGAATGCGGTGGGAGAAAAATATCCCAAATCCTTGTTGTGACAGAATAGCCAGAAAGTTCTGGCCCCTCGCTGGTTTTCCTGGTTTTCCACGTTGGTCTTTGTTCTGTTCCTCAGATACCAAGCTCACCCCAGGACCTCTGTGCCTGCAGCTACTTGTGCCTGGAATGCTTCCCTTCATTTCCCTGCTCTTGGCTTTCCCCTCTGCAGAGGACAACTCTCCAGTTAAAAATCACTTGCTCAGGGAAGGTGGGTTTGACCTCAACCCTGTCCTGTTATTCACGCTGCCAGCATCCTTCGCAACCCATTGCAACTGTAATTACATATTAATTTATTTCATGTTTCTGCTACTTCTGCATAGATAGGGGGACATCCATGTATTAGTTCATTGCAATGTCCACTTTGGCGGCGGCCAGTTTTTCTAATCAGGAATGCGTTCTCTGGAGGTGATTGTCAAAAAGATCACGCTCCAGAGGTGGCATCTTCAATGGCACCACTAGCTTTATGCCAGGTCAACCCCAGAGGCTTCACTAACTGGCCCAAGGAACTTTCGACATAAGTGGTCACGGGCGGAAGTCAGGACTGATGCTTGGCAAAGTGGACGTGAGACATGCGTCGTTTTCAGTGGCAGCAGTGCTTTCCAAGATAAGTGGATGGGGGAATGTGTCAGAGCTGCTCCCGGCCCTTGCAGGAGCCGCAGGGTTTAAGAATCTAGGGCTGCACCGTCTCATGTGTAGCCACAAGTCACACTGTGGTTATCTTGACTTCAATTTCAATTAACTAAAATTCAATGGATACTTCAGCTCCTCAGTCACACTAGCGGCATTTCAAGGGCTCCATTGGCACATGTGGCTGGTGACTACCACATGGCACAGCACAGAGTAGAACATTCCATTACCATAGAGAGTGCTATTGGCCAGAGTTGCTCTAGGGGATGGCACCCTGGGTTTGATCCCTAAAAGGCCCAAGTCCTGACCACCATGGATGCTGGACAAATTCTACTGCTGCAATACTGTGGCCTTTGCCCCAGGGAGCCTCTTAAGCAAAGCATTTTCTGAGTCTCAGTTGGGCCTGAGATCTGGCAGTCCAGGAGCTTCCAGACTGGCTTGTGGAGCTGTTTTCCTCTGCTTGTTAATAAATTGTGGTTGGATGTGGTCTGAGAGGTGCCTTCATCAAAACCTGGATGCCAGCTACCAGCTGCTCCATTTATTCTTGTAGTTATTTAACAAATATTTATTGAGCATCTACTATGTGCCAGATGCCTTTTTGAGTGTCGGGACACAGCAGAGCACAATGCAGACAAGTCCTTGCTCTCATGCAGATTGCATTTTGTGGTACGGGTGGGTGGGACAGACACCCTGGAAACAAACTAATTAGATGTTGTCGGAGAGCAATAAACATTATGAAGAAAATCAGGCAGCGTGCCAGGATAGAGGGCAGCTTGGCGGGGGAGGAGTGAGCACTTGATGGAACAGAGGGGCCATCCACAGCAAAATCACTGTCCATGATGCTGGAATTCCAGCATTCCAAGGTTCTCTACTATCCTTAGATTCCCAGATCTCCAGATGTCTACACTGGAAGAAAGTTCCACTGGAAGTAGAAGCTCCTTTGCCTGGCTCTTCTACTAACTTCCCATGTGACCTTAGCAAGGTCATTGGCCCAGCTTGGGTCTCCCTCCATTTCCCCATGTGTAAATTGCAGGCTTTGGACCTGCTGATTTTCAAACTGTGAGCTGTGACCCCTTAAGTGACTTATGAAGTCAAGTTGAAAAGTGGCAACTGTCATTTTTTAAAGGAAAGGAAATAGAACCAACAGAAAATAACAGAGTACATTGCACGGAGGAAGGTATGGTTTCCTGTAACTTTCACGTGTGTGTGTACGTGGTGTGCACAGGTACTGGGTCGCTATGTCAACTGTATTTCTTCTTGTGAGCTGCTGTCAAAAGATCGGAAAGCTCTGCTCTGGATCACCTTCTGTGCCTTCTGATTTGAACGTACTCCGAATCTATTGTTGTTAACCCGTGGGACCAGACAATTTAACAACATACTCACGAACAGAGTGGAAATTGAATCAGGGAGTGTGCTCTGAGCAGACATCACTTACATTTTTATTATTCCCAATATGCAAAAATCACATTAAGGCTACATTTAAAAACCTGTAATATTGCATGGAGGCCTGGTATTTCCTGGGGATCTGTTCTGACACTTCCACTCACCATGGTCTGAAACTCCAAAATCCCACCTTGAGAGCGCAACCTCTCCATCTCCCTTCACTCCCGTTCTCTCTCTCCATGGGTTCTTCTTATTGTTCCCATTCATTCATTCGTTCATTCACTCATTCATTGAGCATCTATTTCTTGAGTGCCTGCTATGGGCCAAACACTATTTTGGGTGCTGGGAACAAAGTGAGGAGACCCCATTCTCATGGAGCTCATGGTTGGGTGGGTGAGGGGCATGTTTGATGGGGGGTGAGACAGACGAACAAGAGGGCAAATTGGTGACAACTTTCAGTGGTGATGGAAGCCATGAAATAAACAGGAAGATGGAAGAGAGGATGCTGAGAGAGCAGCCGGCTTAGCCGTTAACCCTGGGCTTTCTCAGAGTGACTTGAGGACAGACGCTATAAGCTGCTTGCTGTGTCTGGCACCCATGGGCCCTCTCTAAGTGCATGCTAGACCAGGTAGACCTTGGGACCCCAGAGGACCTCAACATGAGGCTCAGGCACATGGTTCCCAGCACTGAAATTCCACATTCCTGCACCCAGATAAATGGTTAGACCCATTTGAGAAAGAGCCCAGTGGTCCCTACTAATCAATAAACCAAGGAGTTGGCCCTTCTGGCCTCAACACTCAAAGAAGGCTCTGCCCAAAGGTACTGAGAACCAGAATATCTCTGCGGATAGAGTCTCTGGGGCTTGTGAAAGCCCAGATCGCAGGGTCCACCCCAGCACCTATGGTTCCCTGTCTTTCCGTGTACCACATCCTTGGGGTGTTCCAACCTGCCTTTCCAGCAAGGTGCTGGTGTGTGCGGAAGCTGCTGGTCTGAGAATCACATAGCAATGCTGACCTGGAGGCTGGTTGGTTGGAGGCAGGGCCTGACACGGAGGGCAGGAGACAGAGCCTGGCAGGCCTAGCAGCAGTGCAGTCCAGATATCTTGACCACTTTTGCTGGGTCTCTTGTCTCCCAGGAGCTTCTTGGTCACTTACTATGAACCAAATGCTCAGCGAGGGCTGGGGGTCCTTGCCTTCGGGAGCCACTGGAGTTTAAGCCAGTGCTGGGGAGTTTGACACACAGGGCTGCTGAGACTGTCTCATGGAGGACTAGTGTCCCCGGTGGCTCAGCATGGCCTCATCTCTCCAGTGGGGCTCAGCTTCCAGCAGGCACCAGCACCCCTAGGAAAGTGGGACCCCGAGCGTCCTGGGGAATTGCCTTTGGAGCTGGGTCCTTTCACAGACAGCCGCCATCTGTCGGGAAGGAGGGAGCTGGGTCGCGGGAGAGTGTGGTATATGGTTGTTAAAATTGATCACTAAGCCTGAAAGATTGAGTTCAAATCCCAATCTCCTCACTTCCTGGTTGTATGACCTTTTGAAGTTCACTTAACCTCTGTGAGCCTCAGTTTCCTCATCTGTAACGCTGGGAAACAATAGCCAGTATTTTCAGTGTTAGCCATCCTTTTATGGGTCATTGACTGTGCCAGGCTCTGGTGTTGGGCACACAGCAGGGAACAAAACAGACCAACAGGCTGCTCTTGGGAGACTGCTTTCTAGTAGGGGAGAGAGGACTTTTTTTTTAATAAGAAGAATAAATTATATGGCATATTCAAAGGAGATAAGTGCTACGAATATGGGAAACGTTAGAGAATGAGCAGCCCAGTTTCTTCAACAAACACACTGCAAGGAGAAAAACAGAAGAAGGGGGAACCCATAGATTTAAAAAGACCTAAGGAACAGCTCAGCTGTCATAAACAACCTCGTTTAGATCCTAGTTTGAACAAATGAAGGCGAAAATGAATTGAGAGAATGAGGGACATCTGAACGTGGACTGGAATTCTGGTAACACTAAGGAATGACTGGTAATGTTTGAAGTCAGGATAATGGTATTGAGGTTACGCTGGAAGAAAATCCTGATTTTGGTGACATTCACAAAATGTAAACAGATGAAATGAGGTGGTGCCCAGATCTGTTTCAAAACCATCCAGTGGGGAGGAAATCAGTGAAGCCAGATGGACCGTACACGGGGCTGGGGGGTGAGTGTGTGGGGTTGATCTTACTGTTCTCTCCACTTTTGTTTGGATTGACAATAAAACATTTACAGAGAAATCAAAGTCTTGCTCTGGCTTCTCATGTCACTCAGAGTAAAGCGTGGTCCTCTCAGTGTCCCCCACAGCCCTGTGAGGTCTGCTCCCCAACTTCCTCTTTATCCTCCCCACCCCTCGCCATCCCTGCTCACCCAGCACTCACCGATTGACCTTCTCGCACCTCCTGAGCCACCCAGGCTCGCCCCCTGGGGGCCTTTGCACCTGCTGTTCTCTCTCCCCTCCCCCGCAGCTGCCCTCATGCCTCGCTCCCTCCAAAAATTCAAGCCTCTGTTCAAATGTCACCTCTCAGTGACACCTTCCCTGAGCATCCCGCTTAAAATCCAAACCCCATTTAGTGCCCTCCTCCGGGTTCCCTGCTTTCATTTCTCCATGGCACTTCTGCCCTTATCATAGACTGTACTGCAGCGTTTACCGATTATTTTGTTTGTCACCCTCACTGGAATGTCACCTCCATGATGACGGGGATTTTTGTGTTTTTATTCCCAACTACATCCTTTGCATCTAGAAAGATGACTGGCACATAGTGGGTGCTCAAAAAATTCCGTTGAATGGATGAATAAATGCAGACACAGACACTGATGAAGGTCTTACGATAAAGGAATACCCTGAAAGGCTTGCGGAGGGTCCCTGGACAATGGGATCATGGGGAACCACTATTCCCTTTGTACTTATTTATATTTTTACACATGTTTCTATAATGACTAGTAATTATTTTTGCAATCTGAAAGAGCAAACAAACAATGATATTTTAAATAAAATGCAAGGGGTTCCCATTTTTATTAGAATGAAATTGAGTCCTTATCCTCCTTTGGTACTGTCCCTCTTTATCCTCACTAATGAAAGAGAAGCAGAAAGTGCTCCTTCCTCCCACATGCTGAATGCTAGGCTCTGGGAAAAGCAGGTGTATTAGTCTGTTCTCATCCTGCTATAAAGAAGTACCCGAGACTGGGTAATTTATAAAGAAAGAGGTTTAATTGACTCACAGTTCTGCATAGCTGAGGAGGTCTCAGGAGACTTACAATCATGGCGGAAGGGGAAGCAGGCATGTTTTACATGGTGGCAGGAGAAACAGCGAGACTCTGAAGGAGAAACTGTCAAACACTTATAGAACCATCAGATCTTGTGAGAACTCACTCACTATCATGAGAACAGCATGGGAAAAACCGCTGCCATGATCCAATCACCTCACTCCATTGACACATGGGGATTATAATTCGAGATGAGATTTGGATGGAGACACAGAGCCAAATCATATCAAGGGGGGAGCAGGGGCAGCAGGCTTAAGTGTCATCCTTCCTTCTCTGCTGCCGTATATGGCGCCACCACCTGCCCAAAGGCCCAGGAAGGAGACTTGTAGGCATCTGAGACCACTCATGTTCCTCATGTCCCATGTTCCACCCCTCACCCTGTCCTGGGGGGATCTTTATCCAAAATAGGCCTTTCCCCTTTCTCATGTGAACTTCCAGCGTGCCAGGAGTGTCCCTGCAGCTCCTGCAGCCTCCTGGTGGTCATCCAGGTCCCCATCCAAATGTCCCCTACTTTGAGAGGCCCCCCCAGGGACACAGCCCAGATCTCTCACTCCATCACTGTGCATTGCCCCATCTGAAATGACCCTGGATGGGGTCCATCTCCCCCAGACAGAGCACACACCCAGTTGATCTCCTTGCTTGTCACAGCTTCCCACACATGGGGGCTCAAAACACATCTGCTGAATGGATGTGTGCTGATGTGGTTTGGAGGTTTGTCCCCTCCAAATCTCATGTTGAAATGTGATTCCCGTGCTGGAGGTGGGCACTGTGGGAGGTGATTAAATCCTGGGGGTGAGTCCCTCAGGAAAAGTTTAGTGCCACCCCCTTGGCGATGAGCGACTTCTCCCTCAGTTCATGCCACATCTGGTGGTTTAAGAGCCTGGGACGCCCCCCTTTTGCTCCCTCTCTCACCATGTGATGCACCTGCCCCTCCTTTGCCTTCCGCCATGATTGGAAGCTTCCTGAGGCCTCCCCAGAAACAGATGCCTGTGCCATGCTTGTATAATCTGCAGAACCACCAGCCAATGAAACCTCTCTTCTCTGTAAATTACCTAGCCTCAGGTATTTCTTTACAGAAATTGAAAAACGGCCTAATACACAAGCCCTGACTCCGCAGCGGTGACCAGGGACTGAGGATGACATGGGCTTGTCAGACAAAGGGAAAAGCTTCTGATAGAATGTTATGTGAAAATCCAGGCTGCAAAATCATGTGTACTGGCTGATGGCCCCTGTGTTGGAAAGCAAAACAAAACAGAATAAAAAATGTCAACAAAGTTGTCTGGGGAAAAAGGAAGAAACTATTCACTATTTAAATGTTCAACTGTCCCAGGAGGTGGGATTCTGGGCAATGTAGGTTTCTTTGTTCTGCTTTTTTGGGCTTTCCGCAGTTTTCTTTAAGGCACACCTACTCCCTTTACGATGAAAAAAGTGGTACATAGGAGGCAAAGGAACCCTCGCGCCCTCTGCTGTTCATCATTTGCTACTGCAATGCCCCTCCCAGGATCTGCCGGAAGTGCTGTGTGGGGGTGACAGGTGTTCCCCCCCACCCCCTAAATTTCAAAGCAGGCTTTTCCTGTATCAGAAACGGATGTCAAAGGGAATCATGACAGACTCTCCCATCCCCCGGGAGTCTTTCCAAATTCCCCTCAGTCCCCTCATCCTCTGCGGAAGGCCCCCAGAGCTCCATTCCCACACCCAGGTCAACTCCCCCTGCGTCCCTGTCCCTCCTAACTCCTTTCCCCGTCCCTTGATGAGCTCTAGGAGTGGGAGGTGCATGAGGACAGCAGAGTCAGGCCTCTGGGTTGAAATCCTGTGTGTCCTTGGACATGTCACTTAGCTGCACAGGACCTCAGTCTCCTCATCCATATAATGGGACAGTGAGGAGCCAGGTTTTCTCAGCCTCAGCACTGCTGACATCCCACCCGGATCGATGTTTGTTACGTGGGCTTGTCTTGTGCATTGTAGAAAGTTTAGCAGCATCCGTGGCCTCCACCCACTAAATGTCAGCAGGACCCCTCCTGCCTAGGGCCGACAGCCAAAACGGTCTCCAGACATTGCTGAGTGTCTCCTGGGGCACAAACTCACCCCAGGTGAGACCACTGCAAGCCTCGTTTCTGTCAGTCATTACACTTTGCATCGTGCTACAGTTTTCTGCGGTTAGAAGGTGCTCAGAAAATACCAACTGAAGGAGAATTTAGGGATAATCTGCTCTGAAAACAAAAAAGAGGAAGAAGGAAGAGCAGGGATTGAAAGGGAGGCCTGATGCTCTCGTCCCCCGCGTCCTCCACCCCAGCTAGCTGCTGCCTGCAGGCGAGGTCAGTTACATCTTGGCCCCATCAATGTCCCCCTGCCCTTGCCTGAGCAGGCCTCAGGCTGCAGAGTTGGGACGGGCCTCCCAGGCCCCCTTCGTGCTGGGCCTGTTGTGCTTGGCCCTGCCTGCGGTCTCCACCGAGAGGAGAACGTACTCAATTAACCTACAAAAAACAATAGCAAAAAGGGTCAGAGTGATTGTGAAAAAGAAAAGGTGCTGAAAGATTCTGGCAAACAGGCCCCCAGTGGGGGTGGACAAGGGCAGCCAAAGAGTTTGGCTAAAGTGGGAGAAAACTCAGCAGCGTGGGGGCACTGGTGTCCCCTTGAGGGGACAAGGTCAGCTAGGAAAACAGACTTACTCCATTCCTTGGCCTGTGGGCCTCCCATTTTTGAGTGTGGAGGCAAGGAAAACACAGCTGGAGCCAGGTCTCCTGGGTTCCCTACGCTGGGGTGGAGGGGGGCACAGAGAGCCTCAGGAAGTGTTTGCAGCATTGCGGGTCTTGCTGGCGTGGGGGCAGATTCTTACCTCCTCAGTTCCTGGAGGGAGAAGATCTTTATATCCCCAAAGCCTACAGCTCAAGGAATCAGCGATTAGCATAGTGGAGGGTTCTGCTAGGCAGTCTCTCTGTGTGGCTGGAGCTGAGGCCCCTGCCCTATGGCCCTCCCCTGGGGAGAGTGGCCTCTACTGTTAGCAATGATCCTCAGGTACTAAGGGCCAGGCACTGTACCAAGCACTCTATACATTTTACCCTAATTCATCCTTCCGATCCCACTGTGTGATAGCCTCTAGTTATCTGTTTATGTGCACATAGTAGGTATGCATATTTTTGTGTACCTACTATGTGCATATTTGTTGAGCACCTACCAGTGCCAGGTTCTATCCTTGGTGGTGGAAATTCAATGATGAGAAAAAACATGTGGGAATGCAGAACAGCTGTCAGGCTCCTCCATCACCAGTGGTAATGTAAAATGGTGCAACCACTCTGAAAAACGGCATGGCAGTTTCTCGTGACGTTAAACACACACTTACATGATCCCGCAATCCCGCTCCTGGTGTGTAACCTACAGAAATGAAAACCTTTGTTCATGCAAAATCTAGTACATGCAGGGTTAGAGCAGCTTATTCCCAATCACCAAGAACTAGAAACAATCCAAATGTCCCTCGCCTGGGGAATGGATTGACAAGTGGCTCATTCATAGGATAAATTACGAGTCAGCAATAAAAAGAAACAGACGATTGATGGATGCAACAACATGGATGAATCTCAGAAGCATTCTGCTGCAAGAAAGAAGCCCGTCCCCAAAGGCTGCAAGCTGTGTGTCTTTTATATGACACATATTAAATAGAAAAGGCAGAACTACAGAGGAGAGACCAGATCCATGATTGACATCGGGCAGGGTGGCAAAAGGGCCTCACTATCCAGAAGTTGCTTGAAGATATTTTTGGAGATGATGGAACTGTTCTGTGTCTTGATTTTGGTGATGGTTGCATGACTGTGCATTTATCAAAGCTCACAGAACTGTACTCCAAAAAGTGAATGTTACCGTATGTAAATTAAACATAAATTTAAAAAAAGAAAAACAGATATGAACCTTGCTTTTGTGGAAATTACGTTCCAATACATGGAGAGGAAATAAACAAATAGGCAAACAAATATACACTTAGTGAGGTGGGATATGGAGAAAAAAAAGGGACAGAAGAAGTTGGGTGGGGTGGAAATCTAGGTGAGCAATCAGGATGGGCCTCACTGAGGAGGTGACATTTGAGCAGAGGTCAGAAGGAAGCAAAAGAAGGAGCCATGTGGATACCTGGAGAAGATGGTTCCAGGCAGAAGGAAGGAGCTTGCTTGGTGTGTTTAAGGAACAGCAAGGAGGCCACGGCAGCTGGAGCACAGTGGGGAGTGCGGGGAGCTGAAATGGGGCAGAAGGTACCAGGAAGCCAGATCTCCAAGAGCTTTGAAGGCCATGGTAGAGTTTCAGTTCTTGCTCTGAGTGAGTGAGGTGAGAGCTCTGGGAGCCGAGCAGAGGAAGGCAGTGATGTACTTACTTATTTTAGCAATTGATCTGGTGCTGTGTGTGAGGCACAGACTGTCAGGGGTGAGGTGGAGTCAGGGACCAGCAAGGAGGCAGCTGCCACGGCCCAGGCGGGAAGCAATGCAGGCCTGGACCAGTGTGGTAGTGATGGAGGTGATGAGAAGTGGTCTCGCTGTGCATACAATTGAAGGTAGAACCCACAGGTTTTTCAGACCAATTGAAGGTAAGGCTTGTGTGAACGAGAGTTCTCGAGGGTAACTCCAGTATTTGGGGCTCAACTTCTGGAAGAATGGAGCTGTCATGTACAAAGATGGGAAAAGTGGCTGGAGAAACAGATTTGAGGAGAAAACCAGGAGTTCTTTTATTATCCTCAATTTAGCAATGAAGCAGCTCAGGCCCAAAGAGATTGACTCCCTCGTGCAAAGTCACCCAGCCAGTGTGGGATGCAGATGAAACTGGAAACAGGTCTGCCTAACCCCTGAGCTCTGTCCCTTCTGCAGGCTCCTACTCTAGACCAAGAAATGGCTGGGCTCAATGATACTCAAACTGTGGCCCCCTGAGCTTGTTAGAAATGCAAATTCCTGCGTTCCACCCAAGGGGGCATTTGACATGTGCCTGTGTTGTTTGCATGGGCTTTGACTGCAAGTAATCTGTCATCTAAAAGAGGTGAAACTGCAAGTTTCCTAGAAAGTATGTCATATAATCAGAAGTCCTGAATTTGGGCTGGGCGCCGTAGCTCACACTTGTAAAACCAGCACTTTGGGAGGCTGAGGCAAGTGAATCCCTGGAGGTCAGGAGTTCGAGACCAGCCTGGCCAACCTGGTGAAACCCCGTCTCTACTAAAAATACAAAAATTAACTGGGCGTGGTGGTGGGCGCCTGTAATCCCAGCTACTAAGGAGGCTGAGGCAGGAGAATCGCTTGGGCCAGGGAGGCAGAGGCTGCAGTGAGCCGAGATTACACCACTGCACTCCAGCCTGGGTGACAGAGCAAGACTCCATCTCAAAAAAAAAAAAAAAAAGAAAGTAAAGAAAAAGAAATCTTGAATTTGATAATTCCAGGATTAATGGAATTAACCACCAATTGAGCTGGTTAATTTGGCAACTCGATTATGTCAGACACAAAGATGGGGGTCTCTACAATTCCCTTGGTCTTTCCCTTGTGGTCACAAGATGGCTGCTGCAGCTCCAAACGTTCTGACAACATCCAAAGATAAGACCAACAGGAGAGAAGTTTCTCAAGTGTCTCTATCTTATCACACACACACAAAAACTCTGTTTCAGAAGCTCCCAGGAGACATCCACTTGTGTCTCTGTGGCCAGAACCAGGGCATCTGCCTGCCTATAAAGCAATTGCTGGCGGAAAGGAATGACTTAGCCCAATCGCAATGGATGCCCTGGGGCTGGGGCTGAAGCATCTCTCCATTGGGCACATTGTCATCCGCCGTGCATGGAACACATTGGGCACTCTCTTAGCCAAGAAGGGGAGCTGGCTTTCCAGTAGACCAGCAATCTGTCTGCCGCAGCCCTCTGCATATGCTTTTGTGTATTATCTTATGAGTATATGTATAACCTTATCGAATAAGCTTATACCCAAATCACGGAGAAGCACCGCCAGAACTGATAGCAGAAGGGGTCAGAAAGAAATTATTAAGCTTGGGTCCTTCTTTTTCTTTTCTTTTTTTTTTTTTTTTTGACACGGAGTCTCGCTCTGTCACCCAGGCTGGAGTGCAGTGGTGCTATCTCCGCTCACTGCAGCTTCCGCCTCCAGGGTTCAAGCAATTCTCCTGCCTCAGCCTCCTGAGTAGCTGGGATTACAGGCGCGCGCCGCCACGCCCGGCTAATTTGTGTATTTTTAGTAGAGACGGGGTTTCACCATGTTGGCCAGGCTGGTCTCAAACTCCTGACCTCGTGATCCACCCGCCTCAGCCTCCCAAAGTGCTGGGAATACAGGCGTGAGCCACCGCGCCCGGCCAAGCTTGGGTCCTTCTATCAGACCATATAAGTTACTGTTTTAAAATAAATCCCACCATCTCTGCCTGGCACTGTTAGGTTGCCGTGTATATGAGGCAGAGGGGTGAGTTGTAAAATTTAACCTTGTGAGAGTGACTTCAATCTTGGTGATTGTTTGAGGCTTTCTTTTCCTTCTCTCTCTCTCTTCTTTCCAGTTCTTCACTCTAGAAAGTAGTTCGGGCTTCTTTTGATCTCTGAGAGACCCTGCTTAATCTCACGATAGCCCTGCAGGTGGGTTTGATTGTTTCTGCTGCACAGATGAGAACACAGGTCCGGGTGCAGCAGGGGCTCCCCGGGCCAGTCCTCCGGCTCAGCCAGCTCTCTCCTCTAAGGACTTGCAAAGAGTGGACGCTCACCCTGATTCCACTATGGAGCACTCAGGAAGGGAGTCCTGGTATTTCATTGACAAGGCTGGCAGACTGGACCAAGTTGGAACTAAGACTTGCCCTTGTCACCCACACGGGACCCCCAAGACTTTTTCCCCCATCTCCTGTACACACTCAAAATTACAGCCTCCACGAACTGCTATGAAAACACTTTTTAAATAGATGCCTGGCGCGCCCTCGTGTGTCTCCATGGTGTAATAACACCGTAAGGTTTTCAAAACAGCTTAAAAAATAACAATAATGATGGCTGCTGATACAGCTGATACATATTGAGCACTGATGTGCCAAGCAATGTATAAAGAAATGTAAATGCACAGTTTCGGCTTTGATATAAAAATTTTTCTTCTGAAGAAACTATATATGATCATGGTAAAAAAAAAATCACACAGGGCACAAAGGTTTACAGCAAAGTTATCTTCTCCCACTCTGTCCCGCCTGATGTGAATGGTGCACACTAATGTTGGGCAGTGCATAACCTGTCCAACCTTTCACCGTAACACTGATATGGGTCCATGTGCAAATGTATCTGTGAGATACATTCTTAGACTTGGAATTGCATGTGTATGCAGCCCTCTCCAGGGGGCACTTAGTACCACTTTGAATCATTGCACTGGCACTACTTGCATTGGCAGATGTTTTCCCCATTATTTCCTTCACTCGATAAACTACTATTAAGCACCTACTGGATACAGGGCACTTGGTTTCAAGGTTCTCTTTGCTGGTAGCATGAAGGCAGACATGAGTTCAGACCTTACATCCCATTCTCTCAGCAATCCAGTACGAAGAGTTTTTCTTAAGAAATTTAAAAATTAGTCCCAGAATCCAGTATCACTGGCTTTGGTTGGCTTAGCTTTGGCCACGCCCTCATTCCTGAACCAATCATTGTTGCTGGGATGGTGGGGGTGGGGTGCTCTTATTGGTTAACTAGGAGATGGGTGGGGTCCCTGAGGAGCAGATCCGTAAGAGCTATCAGCTTAGAGGCGAATGGAAGTGGATGGCGTCCAAGCAACAGATGCCCGCTTCTGTGACTCCACCCCTTACGGAAAGTCTATGGGACTCTCTGAAATGTATGAGTGATACTGTTAGAAAGCGGCAAGAAAATGAAAAGAAAACGTGGATGTTTTCCATATTTGAGTTGATGCAGGCTGGAGACAACAGCTGCCAGAGCTGCAAGGCAGAACACCCTGAGAAGTGGAACCGGAGGATCCAGGCGCCTGTTGAAGGGATAAATGAGAGCCGTGGCGTGTGGATGGGACTCTTTCTGTCTTCCGTTTGGCTGAAGCTCCAAACGCCAGGAGTAACCCAGTGGGTAGCAAGCACCCTTCCCTCCACCTCTGCAGGAATTGCAAAAAGCAATGGTAAAAAAATTGGTTTGTGATCCTTACCCCAGTGCTCAAGGAGGTTGGAGAAGCTGAAAGAGAGGACTGGTTTTGATATGGTTTGGATTTGTGTCCCCACCCAAATCTCATGTCAAATGGTAATCCCCAGTGTTGGAGGAGGGACTGGTGGGAGGTGATTGGATCATGGGGGCGAATTTCCCCTTGCTGTTCTCGTGATAGTGAGTGAGTTCTCATCAGATCTGATTGCTTAGAAGTGTGTAGTGCTGGCCGGGTGCGGTGGCTCACGCCTGTAATCCCAGCACTTTGGGAGGCCAAGGCGGGCAGATCATGAGATCAGGAGATAGAGACCATCCTGGCCAACATGGTGAAACCCCGTCTCTACTAAAAATATAAAAATTAGCTGGGCGTGGTGGCGTGTGCCTGTAGTCTCAGCTGCTTGGGAGGCTGAGGCAGGAGAATAGCTTGAACCTGGGAGGCGGAGGTTGCAGTGAGCCGAGATCGTGCCACTGCACTCCAGCCTGGCGACAGAGCAAGACTCCATCTCAAAAAAAAAAAAAAAAAAAAAAAAAAGAAGTGTGTAGTGCCTCCCACCTCTCTCTCTTCCTCCTGCCCCAGCCATGTGAACACATTCCTTCTTTCCCTTTGCCTTGCTCCGTGAGTGTAAGTTTCCTGAGGCCTCCTCAGCCATGCTTCCTGTATAGCCTGCAGAACTGTGGGCCAGTTAAACCTCTTTTCTTTGTAAATTACCCAGTCTCAGGTATTTTTTTTAGCAGTGCGAGAACGAAGGGACTAATACAGGTTTGGAGACACGTCTTTGGAGAAACTATTGATACTTGGCGTCCTGTGGCATTTCCTTGCCATTAGCACCTCCAACGTTATGCTGGAGAAAAAGCCGTTCCAACTCTTCACCGAACGCCGAGTCAGAGAGATGTGGGGAAACCACCGAAAGAGCTTGCCCTGTGTCTTCTGGACAGACTAGTGCCAAACCCATGCCTGGAAATGGGTAGAAGTTAGGGACCATGGCCGCTCAGCCTCTGCAGGAAAATGGATTACTGCATCAGGAATGATGACTTTAGAGAAGGCCAAAGGTGTAAGTTTCTTCCAGCAGGTTCTGAACCTCCAGAGGCAGCTGGCCTGGGGTTATTTGGGATTCCCAGTGCAGGACTGCCTGAAAATGTGAGGCGCCCAAATGGGGCTGCTGGACCACAGGATGCCCAGGACCTGCAGGCACACTCAAGAGTGGCCTGCCAGAGGAGACACATTGCCTGCCTCCCAGGAAGCAAATTTGGAGGTTGCCAGTGGGAGAATTGCCAAGAACCGCCATCCCTCCCCTGGGACACACAAGCTAAGGAAAGAAGGAATTGGCCCTCTAAGTCCAGAAAGCACAAGATCACATCATCACAACACCAGCCAAGTAAAACATCCCTGCTCCTCACCTCTTCAGAGCCCAAGGGGGCTGGGGAGGAGAAGAAATGAGAGTGGAGGAGGAAAGAGGTTTAATATGAATGAAGTTTGGAGTTTTGACATGACTCGACATTCTAATGACTTCATTTAGACTGTTGCTACACTCAGAAGTGACTTGGAGACATTTTATTTTTATAATCATCACCATATTGTTATTGGTCATGATCTAAGGGTGAGGAGAAGGGCTAAAGGATCGGCCCAATGGATCATTCGGGGAAAGTAAAGAACTATCCCACCAGTTGTGTTTGAATGGGCAGTGAGAGGGAAAATCAAGTTGCTACTTGCACCCCTCTAACTCCCAACTTCCACTCTTTCAACATACCAGACATGAAAGCTGAGTAAATGACCTCAAAGGTACAGCGATGACAGGGTGTGGTGGTGGTAGTTCTTGGTTTCCTACATTGCATCTTCAAATCGGGTTTTAGAATGGATGACACTGGAAGGCTAGAAATCTCAGGTACTGACATGTGGGCTGGTTTATAATTGTCTTCAAAAATTCACCCACAATAGGATCAGACAAGTTAGTATGGCCATAGGTGCTACAATGGGAGAAAGTTTTAAATGCTGTTCAGATCGGAAGACATGGGTCAAAAAGATCAAGAAGAGTTGACATGAGGCAAACATTTTATATCTCCATTCAAGAGCTACCTGATGAGGTTTCACCCATCAGGGATACAATGAGAATTTACTGGGCGCCTAGCACTGTGCAGACACAATTCAAGCAAAAGGCAACCAACTCTGGCATCCAAGTGCAGGCCAGCAGCCAAGTTCTTCCTCCTTATGAGCTGACATCTGATTGACAGATGGCCCCAGAGAAAGCTTCTTGGATCATATCTCAGTAACCACTGGCCCAGCCTGTCAAATCCAGAGATTTAAGATGGCATAGCACCTTAAATCTGGAAGAACTTAGCAACTTTATAATGTCAAATCCAGGGGGAAAATACGCACACAGAGAAACCAGAAAAGCATAGAATGGTGGGGAGAAAGAAAGAAAGAAAATGAAAACACTGTTTCCATCGGCAGAATTAGCCTTTGCCAGGAAAACTGCAATGTTGTCTTGGTAGGCACATAATTCATTTTTCTACATGTTCAGAAGTAAAGAAAAAGCCAGACCCAAAAAGCCAGACCCTGGGGGAAATCGTGGATACTGTTTGTAACTTTGGCAAAGACAATATATTTGTGAACTCAGCCTCATGTGAAATGCTTGATAATCTCAAAAAGTAAATGCCACAGCGTGTCGTATACTGTGTGGTCTCAATGATGTGAGAATGTCTATATATCCCAATACCTGTCCTCGTTTCTAACTAGCTTGATTTATTGTCATAGACAAAAGAGTAGGTGAATGAATATATACCAAAATGTTGTTAGTAACTGGTAGGACATGGGCAGTTTTTATTTTTAATCTTTATAGTTTTCAGTATTTTCTAAAGTACTAAAAATTATTTTTATTTTTTTCTTTCACTGTCATAGCCCTTTCATTATAGAAGCAAGACATGAATGAGAATTCACAGAAACACATAGACAGTATAGAATGTTCTAAGTGGGGAGCTAGTCTTTCCTGTTCTTCCAACTGCCTTGAGATTGCCACTGTCAGAAATCTTGCTTTCTATTTTTCAGGCTGTTTTCTTTTCCTTTTTTTCTTTCTTTTTCTTTTTTTTCTTTTTCTTTTTTTTTTTTTGAGACAGAGTCTCACTCTATCACCTAGGCTGGAGTGCAATGGCGCGATCTTGGCTCACTTCAACCTCCACCTCCCGAGTTCAAGGGATTCTCCTACCTCAGCCTCGCGAGTAGCTGAGATTACAGGCGCCCACCACCACACCCTGCTAATTTTTGTGTTTTTAGTAGAGACGGGGTTTCACCACTTTGGCCAGGCTGGTCTCGAACTCCTGACCTCAGGTGATCCACCCGCCTTGGCCTCCCAAAGTGTTAGGATTACAGGCGTGAGCCACCACGCCCGGCCCAGAGACTGTTTCTATGAAACATTTATATCAGGAGTGAAAAGCCCTGGTAATGTGTAGCAAACAGGAGAGTTCAAGCGGCATGGAAAGGGAGTGGCTGTGACTCTGTGCCATCTGGTGGCTCTATTGCAGAATGCAGGCCCTGTCACCCAGGCTGGAATGCAGTGGTACAATCATAACCAGATCATTTTCAAGAGAAGCCAGAAATACCAAGTTATCTGCGAAATATTCCGAATTTCAAAGGTTGGCAACTAACTAAAAAGTTTTAAAAGTAATGTCTGGAACAAATAAAAACACCTGAGGGCCAGCATCCAAAGAATTGAGGCCTCTGCTTTAAGAAATAGATGTAGAGTGTTGTATTAATGATCAATTTCCAGGGATGAGATGAGGAATTTTGTTCATATACATTCCCTCCACTGCCCCTTATTCCTTTCAGCTCCTTGCTTTTATTAGTTAGATTATTACTAATTCTCCTACCAGTGGCCTTAATGACTTTATGTAATATATTTAAACTCCATTTTTCAATTCTATCAACTTTTTACAGCATCTACAATGAAAAAGGAAGAAAATCCTTCTTTTACCTGTTTGGTGCTAATGATTATGCTTTATTATTATTGTATGTTTGCAGCGTTCCAGGCACTTTACATTCACTCATTCATTCATTTATTCAACAAATATTAATTGTCTACTTATGTGCCAAGCACTTTTCTAGACACCGGGAGTACAGCAGTAAACAAAACAGGCAAAACGTCCTGCCCTTGGGGAAGGAATATTGTAGCAAGGGATATAGATATTAAATGAACAAGCAACATAGCTGTATCATATGTTAGATGGTGGTAAAGGGTCAAGGAGAAGCAATAAAGCAAGAAAGAAATGTGCAGTATGTGTGTGTGCATGCATGCATTTGCAGGGGTGTGTGTGTACATATTAAGTGTGTGCATGTGTATGAGCTCATGTGAGTGTGACATTTTAGCTGGGGTAGCCAGGAAAAGCCTTCCAGAGCAGATAACTCTTGAATAACTCTTGATGGAAGAGAGTGAGCCATACAAGTATGAGGCGTGGGCACATTCCTAACCAACGACACAGAAAGAGCTAAGGACGCCAGGCAGGGCGTGGCTGGTGTGTTGGAGGGACTGGGAAAAGATAGGCTAACTGAGCAAGGAGGATAATGGGAAAAGATGAGATTGGAGGAAAAGGCTGGGCTGTTCTTTGGGGGCCTGAGAGTTTCTGATAAGGAACCCTCTGAGTAAGAGGGGGAGCCGTGGGGAGACCATCTCAGAAGAGTCACATGAACTGACTTGGGTTTTAAAAGCCCCTTATGGCTGCTGCATGGAAGATAGATAGGGGGCAAGGAGCAAAGTAACGAGACCTGTTAGAAAGTAGTGGCATCCTCAATCTAGGGAGTGATGGTGATGATGGTGATGGAGGAGATGATGAGAAAGGTCAAATTCTGCAGAGCCTGCAGGATTTGCTAACAGATTGGATGTGGGAGTGCAAAAGAGGAGTTAGGGGTGACTGCGAGGTTTGTTTTTGTTGGTTTATAGTTTTGCTTATTTTTTAAAGACAGGGTCTCTCTCTGTCATCCAGGCTGCAATGCAGTGGTACAATCACAGCTCGCTGCTGCCTCAGACTCCTGGGCTCAAGCAATCCTGCCTCAGACTCCTGGGCTCAAGCAATCCTGCCTCAGCCTTCCAAGTAGCTAGGATCACAGGTGTGCACCTGTGATCTAATTAATCATGCCTGGCTAATTTTTTTTTTTTTTGATAGAGACAGAGTCTCACTATGTTCTCCAGGCTGGTCTCAAACTTCTGGCCTTAGGCAATCCTCCCACCTTGGCTTCTCAAAGTGCTGAGATTACAGGTGTGAGCCACTGTGTCTGGCCCTCCAAAGTTTTTGATCTGAACAATTGGAAGGATAGGATTGCCTTTTCACTATCTTCCTATGTAGGTAACTTGATCTGTCATCAGAGAAA
This sequence comes from Homo sapiens, assembly GCF_000001405.40. Classification (NCBI taxonomy): domain Eukaryota; kingdom Metazoa; phylum Chordata; class Mammalia; order Primates; family Hominidae; genus Homo; species Homo sapiens. Next base: position 46,746,266 of record NC_000020.11, on the reverse strand, counting down.
AGAGATTACACGGGTATATACAAAAATATTGTTAACAATTATGTCTGTGTGGTAGGTCATAGGTGATGTTATCTTTCTTTATGTTTTTCAATATTTTTCATTTTTGAATATAAAAACTGGATTACTATTATTATTTTTTAAAATTTGGGGCTTTCAGGCATGACAAGGCTATACTCAATGGACCAGGTAAAAACACTCTCTACCTTGTTGGATTCTGTATTAGTCAGCATCTGCTGCATGACAAACAACCCCAGGCTCTTTTTTTTCTTTTTTTTTGAGACAGAGTCTTACTCTGTTGCTCAGGCTAGAGTGCAGTGGCGTGATCTGGACTCACTGTAACCTCCGCCTCCCAGGTTCAAGAGATTCTCATGCCTCAGCCTTCCAAGTACATGGGACTACAGGCGTGTGCCATCACACCCCACTAATTTTTGTATTTTTAGTTAAGATGGTGTTTCATCTTGTTGTCCAGGCTGGTCTTGAACTCCTGGCCCCAAGTGATCTGTCCACCTCGGCCTCCCAAACTGAGATTACAGGCATGAGCCACTGCACCTGGCCTCCCAGGCTCTTAATTAGTGTTTCTTTCTCGCTTTCTGAGATGTGAGTTGGCTGGAGCAGCCCTGGTTCAGGCTACTGGTAGGGTTCAGATCTATTCCAGGTTTTTCATTCTAGGACCTGGGCTCTAGATGTCTCTGTGATCATTAAACTCTTTCCCTGCTTCATCTCTGCTGTTTCGGTGTAATGGGTCTGTTACTGCACAGTGGGTATACGAATCTGTTGGTCCTATAACAATAGTATCCAGACAATAATCACTGTTTGGCATTAGGTCTAGCTTTGGCTTTTGAAAAGTCAAAAAGAGAAATACTCACTTTATAGTTACTTCTGGCGCGCCTAACACTATGTGACATCAGAGATTCTATAGTCATGTGGGCTTCTATCAATCTAATCAAAAAACAAACAAAGCATGTTATTCACCGTCAAGAGGTAACTTGGAGGTTTTATTTTTTTAATCTCTTTATTGCTTTAGATATTGAAATTCTATTGATCAGCTTAAGGATCCATGTAATATTTATTTTGCTGAAGAGGAAGCTTTGGGGATCATATCTCGGTAACCAACAACCCAACCTGTCAAACCAGGAGAGGCAGGATGGCATCAGTCCCAAATCTGGAAGAATTTAGCAACTTCATTGTGCACCAAATTCAGTGGAAACACACACACACACACACTATGAAAGCCGTGATTTAATATGCAAAAACAGTTGCTAAAAATGCAAATATTTCAACAAAAGAGAATTCATGTGACTATTAAGAGAGTATGTTAACTAGATAATCTTGGAAGACCTAAATTGGGTCAACAAACGTTTTGATTTTAATACAATTTTAATACAAAGCAAAACTAAATAAATTAGAGTTTACTATAATGTGGAAATGGGCAATAATGTTTTGGTGTGCCACCCTTCAAAATGTTAAACAGAATCATTTTTAAGAACTGAATTTTATTTGTTATTTAATTTCATTTAGAATAGGAGACTTTCAACCTAATATAACCTACCTGGGAATGTTTCTCATCTCATGAGAATCAATTAAAAGCAGAATGTCAGCTTTTCCAGTTAAACATTTCATTAGGAGGAAAAACTCCAAAAGCACGTGCCAAAGCATCCACGATAAATCATTTTCTATCCTTGGATGAGACCCAGCATGTGAGGGTCTGGAAATGCTTTCAGAGGGTGTCTGAAAATGTTGTGTCTCACGTCAAAATGCCATCCTCCTCCTCCTCTGCCACAGATGGAAAAAATATTTACACTGGAAAGTAAAATGAACAAATATGGAAACTGAGTCTGGCCCTGGGACAGCGGGAGCTAGGGACAGCCCTGGGTGGGGTAGGAAGCCCTGCTTCTGGGGGAAAGGTGTTGGTGGATCCCCGCCCTGTGGTTGCATTGCCCTTCGCAGCTGGGAAAGAGCTTTCCTACCCAGTATCTCAGTGAATCTGCCCGGCAGCCCTTTGGGGTGGGGGCTGCTGCTGCCCACATCTTACAGTTAAGGAAACTGAGGCTCAGAGAGGTTAAATCCCCTGCCAGAGTTCACAAAACTAGCTAAGTAGCTGCAGCAGAATCAAACCCAGGTCTCCTGACTGCACCTTCTGAACCCTTCCTCTTGGCCAGGCCACCCCCTCTCTACGCGCTCCGTCTGCACCCCCATCCCTCCCTCCTGTAGCTCCTCTCGCAGTTCAGTTTTGTGCCCGAGAACCCCATGATCCTCGATCAGGTCATGACCAAGACCACAAATAAAACCCCTGGTGAACACGAGGGCAGGGCCACACTGCAGGGCACCAGCCGGAGTGACAGCCTGTCTGGCTCGGTAGTGACTAGTGACTCCCCCATCTGGGGGGGTGTGCAAGCGGAGCTGGACACAGGATGCAGTGTGGCCACGGGAAATGTGCAGAGTGATTTCCAGCATCTCTTTCCTCTTCTCTTGCCAACTTGCCTTATGGTGTCCACTTCTTCCCCACTCAGCCATAGGGTCTGGGGTGATTGGCCCCTGTACTGGGTTGAACAGTGTCATAAACTTCATGTCTACCTGGCCCCTGTGAATGTGACTTTATTTGGAAATAAGATTTTGGCAGATGTAATCAAGTCACACTGGATTCGGGTGGGCCCTCCATCCAATGACTTGGGTCTTTATAAGAAGAGGGAAATGTAACACAGAGACACAGAGGAGACACACGGCGGGAGGAAGGCCACATGAGGGTGGAGGCAGAGATTTGGACTGAGGCAGCTGCCAGCCAGGGAATACCAAGAACTGCAGGCAACCACTAGAAACTGGATGAGGCGAGGAAGGATTCTTCCCTGGAGTCTTCAGAGGGAGCTGCTGACACCTTGATTTCAGATTTCTCAGGTCCAGAACAGTGTGAGAATAAACTTCGGTTGTGTTAAGCCACCCAGTGTGTGTTGCTATGTGAATGCAGGCCTAGGAAGCCAACACAAGCCCCACCTCCAGCAGCTCGAGTTAAGCCCGTCTGCATCTCCCAGCGCCCTGCTCCCCATGAGTGGGTCTGGAGAGGCACATTTAACCCACAGAGAGCCAGTGGGATGCTAGAACTATGTGGTGGGGCTTGGGGGAGAAGGAAACCCTCTCTCCTCCTCTATGTGAACCTGGAAGGGCATAGCCAGAGTTGCTGCTGGAAGAAGAGAGATTTTGTGATAGGAAAAGACTGAGAACAGAGGCAAAAGGAAATATCATCATCCTAGTCCTGGATCAAGCTGAGCCTGTCTGAAACCAGGACTAACTATGACGTTTTTAGTCCAGAACAAATGGGTTCCCGGGTAACTTAAGTCTGCTTGGTTTCCGTTTCTGTCGAAAAGTTTTCTAAGTAATGCAGGGAGTCAAGTATTGGATGAGTGTGTGGTCCAAACAGCCTTGATGGTCTTTTTTTTCTTCACCCATGCCTTTTAACCATATAAATTAATGAACCTAGACATGTATTTCGAATGCTTCTGGCATTCCCTACATTCCACTCCTAAAGAGGGCAGATAATTGAGAAGGTGCCATTACAAACACATATTCAGGGCTTTCCAGTTAATCCTAGTTGATCCTGAATCCTAGAAGCGATTGAGATGTAGGAAAAAATAAAAATCACTCCTACGCAGAAAAATCGATTCAGGTGCCCTGACATTTCCCCCTGATGCGGTTTTGGAGGAAATCTCCTGCCCAAGGTAGGAGGCCACAGGTGCTTTCAACAAAGCCTGCCCTGTGACTAACCCCTTCTGAGCGCCAAGATTTGGCTCTTCCAGCTGGATCCTGAAGTGGCCAGTGGAGGGAGGAAGAGAGGACAAGGGGGAGAACTCAGGCTGAGCCTCCAGGGACAGGAGGACACTCAGTTTGCAGCTGACCTCCCATCCTCTGTCCTAGCACCTCTCTGGCCAGCAAGGGGCTCATCCAGGCTGATTTAATGTTAAGGACTTCTTTTAAGAAAAAACAAACTACACATATAAAATTAAGTATGGACATGAATATTTATTTAAAGTGATAAAAGGAATCATGGTAAGTTGGAAATGTTAAAAAGGTGGCAAATGCCACAAGCACCTGAAAATCAAAATAAGTGATAAATCATCCTCATCCTCATCATCACCATCATCACCATCATCACCATCATCATCACCGGCCTGACCCACCTCTATTACACCTGTTTTACTCCATTTTTGGCTGCAGATTCTCTCATAACAGTTTCATAAGATTCTTTTCTACAGTGACAATAAAAAGGTAATTTAATCTTTTCTTTAGGCATGTTCACTTGATTGATTGATTGATTGATTTGTGATGGAGTCTCGCTCTGTCGTCCAGGCTGCAGTGCAGTGGCATGATCTTGGCTCACTCCAATCTCCACCTCCTGGGTGCAAGTGATTCTCCTGCCTCAGCCTCCTGAGTAGCTGGGATTACAGGTGTGTGCCACTATACCCGGCTAATTTTTATATTTTTAATAGAGACAGGTTTTCATCATGTTGGCCAGGCTAGTCTCGAACTCCTGACCTCAAGTGATCTGCCTGCCTCGGCTCCCAAAGTGCTGGGATTACAGGCGTGAGCCTGATGAAAACCCGTCTCTACTCATTCTTCCCCCTCCCTGCTACCAAATGCCAGGACTCCTAACCCAACCAGAAGCTGAGCATGGGGCAGCCCATTGATGGAGCCCAAACAAGTCAACCTGCTGACACAGAGCAGGTAGAGGTTGAATTTGTTGGAGCAAATAAATGAGAATTACTGGCTCAAATCCTCATTCCCAATCAAACTATTTTTGGAAAGGAGGATTGGATGGAGAAAAAGGATGGAAAGGAGAGGTGGAAGAATTTTAATTTGAATTCTAGTACACAGACAATCAAAATAATTAGAAGGCAAAATAAGTATCATGGAGGAAATTAACAAGGGACTTGGAATGGTCCAACGGAAAGTGAGGTTGGTGATTCAGGAGACAGAGAAGCTCACCAAGGTGTAATGTGAGGATGGTATCTCCCCAGCAGTCCAGGTAAGAGGATGGTCCCACGGTAGAAGGATGCAGGATAGAGCAGAGAAAATGGACAGGTCTGTAATTTTGATAGTGGCCCCCTGTATTGGTCAGGCTGTTTGGTTGCAAGTAACAGACACATAAAATAGCAGTGGCTTAAACGAGATAGAAGGTATTTCTCTTTCACGTAATAGTCCCGGCTAATGTGGCAGCCCTGCTCTGTGATGTCAGCAGGGATCCAGGCTTCTTATAGCTTGATGCCCTGCCATCCCTAGGATGTTGTCCTTGTCTGCATGACCCCAGATGATTTCCTAACACACCTCTATTTCAGTCAACAAGAACAGAAGATGGAAAAAGGAAAGGACACTTCCATTCCATCTGAGGCTATGCATTAGTAAAGTCTCAGGCTAAGGCGCTGTAACAAAAGGGACCCTAACATAAGTTGGCTGGAATAAGGTAGTTGATTCCTCTTTCATATAACAGTCCAGTAGAAGGTGTTGAAACAGGGCCACTAGATACATTAGTTCATGAAGGTATCCATGGATCCAGCCACCTTCCATCTTGTTCCACCGTCCCCTTGTCTTTGTCTTCATGGTGAAAGCTGACCACCATATACCCACCCTGGCCTGCAGAAAGGGGAAAATGCATGTTGATTTCATGCAAACATCTTCCCTTTAAGGAAATGACCCAGAAGATGCCACATTGCTACTGCTCACATCCCATTGGCCAGAACTTAGTCACATGGCCCTCTTGCTGCAAGGGACGCTGGGAAAAGTCATCTTTAGCTAGATGGCCATGTATCCAGCTAAAACAAAGGGATTTCTATTATTAAAAAGAAACAAGGGAGAATAAATTTCCAAGGACAGCTAGTCTTCTCTGCCATAGGGCTTGCCTGGAGCACATCACTTGTGTTCCCTCACATCAGACTGAACTTGGTCACATGGCCCCACCTGGCTGCAAAGGAGCCTGGGAAATGCGGTGTTTGGTCTGGGCAGCCATGTTCCCAGCGAAACATCAGAGGCTCTGTTACTATGCCTAAAAGAGATGAAGATATCAGGGAACATACCTCTCCTGAGAACTTCTGTTCATTCAATGAAGTATGAGGCAGGGTTAGCAGCTGAGAGTGAGGGAGATGAAAGAGACAGGACAGTTTCAGTCAAGGAGACCATATCAAATCGCTGAATTGTGGAGCAGGAATGTGTGCCATGAGAGGGTTTGGAGGGTGAGTCTGAGGTTTGAGCTCATGGACTTTAAGTGAAACCTGTTTGTCAGGTTGTGTGACTTCTCTCCTGCAACATTCACAGCCCACGTGCAAGCAGAGAAGATGGGTGTGTAAATTGATCTGAGATTAGCATTACCAAGTGCACAAGGGGGTGTTTGCAAAGGATGGATTATAAGGTTGGGCTATGGGATCTTGGATGGACAAGAAGGAAAGTGAAGGCAGGAAGAGGTTCATAGATTCTGGGAAAGGGGTGAGGTCAGGGGTTAGCATTTAGAGGTCAGAGGTCTTCATGAGATCAGAGAATTGTGGTTATGAGACAGTATTAAGGTATTAGCAGAAATGTAAGGATGCGGTGACCAGGAAATAGGATGTTTGAAATACAGCCTTGAAAGAGTGGTGTTTGAGGCTGAGCTCATCAGGGTGTATGAAGTAAAATGAAACATAGGCTTCTAGGATTTCACAGTCCAGGAACTGGGAGAGGCCAGACCGGTGAAGGGTAACCCATGAGGATGTTATTTACTTCTTCCTGGAAGGACATTGGCTGCAGGGACTTCACTCTACTCTAAACTAGTTCCATGCTGAAGGTCAATGCTTCTTTCTAGGAGGGTCTGACATGAGAAAGTAACAAGAGGTCAACTTTCTCTCGGTGCTTGTGACTTCCTTGGTATTCTCACCTTAAAGCTGTATTTACCAGAGTCAGAAGCATAATACCAGTAGCACTGGAAATGATTTTAGGTGGTTCACAAACACCATATAAATATGATGAATTGCATTGTTGTTCTTTCAATCCAGACAAAGAGAAAGTCTTCAGTTGTTGCTACTATGTCCTGAACACCTCTCTCACACCCGCTAAGCTCCCCTTTTCATTACAGAGCAGACCTTAGGTTCAGAATCTTCAGTAGATAACAATGGCTGGTGAGGGTTTACTGAATCTGTTGCTTTCATAGTATTTTATTGTTTTCTTCCTATTTCTGCAGTTGATATTCACTTTGTGTGTTCACCAACATCCAATGACTATTTTATAGCATCAAGTCAGATCATGTCAGTCCACTGCTCACACCCCTTCAGGGCTTCCCAACACATCTGGAATAAAATCTGAGGGATTTCCATGGTCTGGAAGACCCTTCATAGTCAGACCCGTGCTAAGCTCAGCCTCCTCTTCTTCCATCATTCTACCCTTTGCTCACACCCCCTTAATGTTCCTCTGATATGCCAAACTTAGTCTCACCTTGGGGCCTCTGCACGTGCTGTGCCGTGCCATCTGCCTGGGATGCTTTCACCCAATCATCCCATGGCTCACTCTAACCCTTCATGCAGGTCTCTGCTCAGATGCCAGCACCTCAAAGAGGCTCTTCCTGACTGCCCTAGCGACTCTAGCTAACATGGCATGAAAGCATCTGCATCTGAACCTCACCCAATTTCTCTTTAGCTTTGTAACTTTTGTTAGCACTCACACTAATTAACTTCTCTCTACCTACTTGCTTTTCCCTCCTTCTCTCCTTCCTTCCTTGTTTCATTCATTTTTTCTTTTCTTCCTTCCTTTTTCCTTTCCTCCCTCCCTTCCTCCCCATCTCTTGTTTAGAATTTATCTCCTTTACTAGAGCTCCATGAGGACAGGGACCTTGTCGTGTTCACTGCTGTGACCCCAGGGTCTAGAACAGTGACTGGCATATATAAGACACTCAATAAATATGCATTTGAAGGAAAAATAGGTTAACATAGTTTCCTTTTAAAATACATTTATTTAAGTGGAATAGCAAATAAATGTGAAGAAAAGCATTCAGCAAGAAGTCTGTGTAGTACAATCTGGCAAATAACCAAAGGTGCTAAGTGATGGGCATATTTTATTAAAGGACTGTGCACAAGACTGAGGTTTGGGAACTGCTTCCCTGAAGCGATTCTGGAGTTACTTGCGGGAAGGAGAAGAATTTCCCAGTGCTCTCCCTGCAGACCAATGAACAGACTGTCTCTCTCCTCTGGTTGGTGCTAAAGATCTTTGAGCATTGGCCAGGTGTGGTGGCTCATGCCAGTAATCCCAGCACTTTCGGAGGCCGAAGTGGGAGAACTGCTTGAGCCCAGGAATTCGAGACCAGCCTGAGAAACATGGGGAGACTCCATTTCTACAAAAAATTTAAAAATTAGCCAGGCTTTGTGGTGCATGCCTGTAGTCCCAGCTACTTGGGAGGATGAGGTGAGAGGTTCGCTTGAGCTCCAGAGTTTCAGGTTGCTGTGAGCCAAGATCACACCACTGTACTCCAACCTGGGCAACAGAGCAAGCCCTGTCAAAAACAAACAAACAAACAAAAAACCCTCCTAACTGAGCACCTAGTTGGTGTCCCCCAAATTTTTAGCTTTCTTTAATGCCCCCTTCTCCCCTTCCAGACTACCACCTGGTCTTTGGCCTCATTATCCTTACCTAAAGCCAGATGGCCCTGGAGGCTGTTGGGACAGTTAGCCATTTAGGAGCACCCACTATGAACCCTGCACTAAGTGACTGACATGTGTCATTTCTGAAGAGTTAAGTAGTGTCATCCCCATAATAGAGATGAACAACTCCCCAAGTCACGCACCTAATTGTGCCAGTATAAGATGCTTGAGGTGTGGACTATTTTCATTCCCTCCAGGTGTCTTATACTTCAGGTTCAGTAATAGCCCCTTCACTCACCCAATTCAAGTGCTTGGGTATTCAGTTTGCTTGGCATTTTATTTTTCAAAAACTGTGATTCTTTTTTTTTTTGAGACAGAGTCTCGCTCTGTCACTCTGGCTGGAGTGCGGTGGCACAATCTCGGGTCACTGTGACCTCTGCCTCCTGGGTTCAAGCAATTCTCTGCCTCAGCCTCCCAAGTGGCCGGGACTACAGGTGAGTGTCATCATACCCAGCTAATCTTTTTATTTTTAGTAGAGACAGGACTTCACCATGTTGACCAGGCTTGTTTCGAACTCCTGGCCTAAAGTGATCCACCTGCCTCGGCCTCCCAAAGCACTGGGATTATAGGTGTAGGCTACCAAGCCCGGCCCAAAAGCCATGATTCTTTAAGGAGATTAAGCCAAGTGCCTCAAATATGCAGAAGAAAGGAATGTCTCAGAGGGAAAAACATAGAGATTAGAGGCACAGACTGAGGTCTGTGATCTAGCCACGGAGTATTTTGTTTAACTTCCAAGCTATTTTTAAGTTTGGAATCAACTGCCAAAACTTAAAAATCAATAAAATTTGCACCAAAGTGTGAATTTCTGGAATTTGTTGAAAACACAGACGGCCATGCCACATTGGGCCCACATTCCTACATGGCAGCCACCAGTTGGAATTGAGGGTCACATGGCAGCCACCAGTTGGAATTGAGGGTCAGTCACCCTTATAGACAGACCCTGTGTTTCCCCATTTCCACAGACCCCACTACTCCCTAATGTCTTAAATGGCTTCACTCATTTATATTCCCTACCTGAACCCCAAGTTTATAACCTGGAGCAAGAAAGTGGAGAATTCACCCTAGGACTAGGAGAGCATTCTTCCAGGCTGATAGGAGAGGAAAGGAGAATTGAGTGAGGTTTATGGGTCCCTGGAGAGAGAAGAGATCTGAAGGGGCCACAAGCACAGCTCTAAGCAGTAGTGTGCTGGTAAATGTTTAACAACAGCTCTCCAGGGAAGAAAAGTGTGTGTGTGTGTAAATTTTACTATGATAAAAGATATGTTTGTTGCACACAATTTACAAATAATAACAAACTCTTTATTGTAAATACTCTTTATTGTAAATATTCTATCCTAAATTCCATATAGCCAATTAATTCTTACAGAATCTTTTGTTAATTTTTGTGTGTATAAATTTTACAGAGATAAAGGGTATGTTTGTTGCACACAACTTACAAATAATAATAAACTCTTTATTGTAAATATTCTTTATTGTAAATATTCTTTATCCTAAATTCCATATAGACAATTGATTCTTACAGAATATTTTGTTAATATTTTTTTTTTTGCCAAACCTTGTATCCAAAGTCAACTATCACTGCGATTTGGCCATGATTTGACAAAATTAGACTACAAATAAAAATCCCTGATAACTGTACAGCTAGGCACTGAAGAATGGGTATAGGTTCGGCATGAATGCTGGTTGAAATTTTTGTTTACACTAGTGAGGAAGACAAAAGTAAAACAATGAAAATGAATGTCAGAACTCCTTCTTAAATGATTTGAGCAGCTGTCAGCTGAAACGGATGACAGTGTTCAACTACTGGAAGAATAATCCCTCCATTTTTTGGTGCTATACACCATGTATTGGCTACAAACAAGACATACTTTAAAGTTTAATTTGCATTACTGACATTTTATCCAGCATGTTCTGAAGTCTAGAAAATCAACAAACAATAAATCAAGCCCTGATGTGTAGTCCTCTCTAATCTTTGTGATACAAAAACACTCCCCACAGCCAGTTAAGCAACCAAAGACTAACATGATGTCATTGAGTGGGGAATCAGGAAGAGATGCGCGGTGTCTCCCCTAGGTCTCCATAAGAGTTACTATGTAGAAATAGCCTCAAAAGCACAGATAATAGTAACAGGTAGTAAAATTAAGTAATGAATTTTGAGTATAATTTTTTTGTTTTAATGTAATTTACTTAATTATAAATTTAAATCATTTAATTTTTTATAATGGCTGTGTTTACCAACTTGTAAAAATCCTGAAAATGTAGCAACCAGCTCTCACAAGCTTGGCAAAGCCAGCTCCAGCACATCACTGGATACAAGGGAAGCATCTAGAATGGAGAAGATAGGAGAACTCGAGAGGCCAGAGTCCTTGGGGGCTCTGCCAGCACCCATATGTGCACGCATGGATGACAAAGCATCCAGCACCTAGGATCTATTTTAGCTCTTCATTCTCCCCAGCATCTGGGAGCTTCTTGTCAGTCCCTTCCTTACATGATCTGCAGTCATAGCTACTTGCTCAGTCCCCCATCTGATTCACCCTGACCCTTTACAGGGTCCAAAGGAGGGACCTGGGTAATGAGGATAAGTAGAAATTTCCCAGGCCCTGGACCAGCTGGGGACCCTCCTGAAAGGAAACAGGGTCTAAATATACCCCTGGGACATAATTATCCCCATTCTGCAGATGAGGAAACTGAGGTTCAGGGAGTTGTTATTTACTCAAGTTCAAGGGCTGCCAAGAGGCAAAGGCAATATTGACAAGCAGGTTTGTTGGCCTCCAAACCCATCTCCTTTCCGCAAAGCCATCCTGCACCATCCTGGAGACAGCTCCTAGACCAGCATTTAGAATTCCAGCTCACTGGAGTCAGGAGAAATCTTAAGAATGACCTGGTACAGGCTTCCCATTATACAAATGGGGAAACTGAGGCCCGTGGTCATTCCTACAGCAATGACACCAGCAGACCAAGGACTAGAACTGAGGCCTCCCGTCAAAGAGTCAGAGTTGCTGGTGAAGGATAAATATTCTGGGTAAGAGAATTAGAGGGGTCAATAAAACTCAGATAAAAGAGTCAAAAGGCCTGTAATCCTAGCACTCTGGGAGGCTGAGGTGGGTGGATCACTTGAGCTCAGGAGTTCACGACCAGCCTGGCCAACACAGTGAAACCCCATCTCTGCTAAAAATAAATTAGCTGGGTATGGTTGCATGCGCCTGTAGTCCCAGCTGCTTAGGAGGCTGAGGCACAAGAATCGCTTGAACTCAGGAGGTGGAGGTTGCAGTGAGCCAAGATCAGGCCAGCCTGGGCAACAGAATGAGACTCCACCTCAAAAAAAAAAAATGATAAGAGTAAAAAAAGAGACTTCCCCCTTCCGAAAATGTCCCAGCCAGTTGAAAAAAGAGATTAGAAAAGATGATATCCTCATTTGGATTTAGGGGTGATATCGGGAGAGACTTCCTGCCAGGATTGGTACCCTTGAGATTCTTTGAGAAAAGTCCATGGTGCAACAAAGACTTCATAGAATATTCTTCTTATAAATACTGCAGAGATGTGCAAGTCAATGGGGAAACTGAGGCATGAAGCTAGATCCTCAGGAACCTTCAGGGCCTGAGACTCAAAATGAAGAGTTGGGCATTCTCAGACTTTCATCCTTTTTACCCCAGCAAAAGCAGACCACCTTTGGGGGCAGGGGCCACTCCCAAAAGACCAGCTGGAACTTGTGCTCTGGGGCCTAGGAAGCAGGATGCTGGAGATGGTCTGCCAAAGCCACAGTTCCAGAATTTCCAGGCAGACGGATTCCTCAGGAGGCCGCAGAGATCTCGATGCGGCTGTACGGGATGCCAGTGGAGTTCTGCCTGTGGCCAAAGCTCAGGGTGAACCTGTCAGACAAAGAATGCGTGGGATCAGGGGGTGGCAGGGCCTGGGGCCGTCCCTGGGGAGTGGACCTTCCACTGGGGTTCCCACCACCCAATCCCACCTTCACTCCTACCATGACCCTTCCTGCCTCCTGCCTTATTACAAATGTCCACCTTCTCTCACCTGGACCCCCTAGCAGCTCCTCCCTGGTCTCCCTGGGTCTTCCCTGGCCTCCTATAGCCCCTTGTCACCATTGCATCTACAATGACCTTCCTAAACGCAAAAATCTGTCACTCTCCACTGATATGGTTTGGATCTGTGTCCCCACCAAAATCTCATGTTCAATTGTAATTCCGTGTTGGAGGTGGGGCCTGATGGGAGGTGATTGGATCATGGGGGCAGCTTCTCATGAATGGTTTAACACCATCCCTTTTGGTAGTGTCCTTGAGATGGTGAGTTCGTTCTCATGAAATCTGGTGATTTAAAAGTGTGCAGCACCACCCCCTGCTCCCGCCATGGAAGATGTGCTGGCTGCCCTTCGCCTTCCGCCATGATCGTAAGTTTCCTGAGGCCTCCCTGGAAGCTAAGCAGACAACAGCATCATTCTTCCTGTACAGAGTGCAGAACTGTGAGCCAATTAAACCTCTTTTCTTTATAAATTACCCAGTATTTCTTCATAGCAATGTGAGAATGGACTAATACATCTGCTCAGAAGGAGACCATCATCATGCTCAGCCTAACATCCCATCTTCTCACCATGGCTGCCCTCCCCCACACCAACCCCTCCAGTCCCATTTGCTCATCACGCCTTGGCCACATAGGCCTCCTGTCTCTCCCTTCAAAACTCCTAACTTGTTTCCACCTCCGGGCCTTTGCTCTTGCTGTTCCCTCCACCTAGAACATTTCTTCCAGCTCTTGAAACTGTTTCTTCTGCTTGAACATTTCTTCCAGCTCTAGAAACCATTGACTTTTTCTTGTAATTCCAGTCTCAGCTCAGAGCAGCCTTCCTTGAGCATCATTCATTCAGCCAGAGATATGATTAAAGATGACAGTGCCAGGCACTGTTCTAGGCCCTGGAAACAGGGCAGTGAGTGAAACCGATACACAAAAATATCACCGTGCTTGTTGAAAATTCCTGATACACTTGTAACACAAATGCACCCATAGCTGTTTGCACCCTAGCTAAAGAAACTATCCATTTCCCAAATCTGCTGTTCACCCCCTGGTAGGTTAACCTGCCTTATTTTCTTCATGATATAAAAACTCTGAATTATCTTATTTGTGCATTTTTGAGTTTTGTAGTCTATCTCTCTCCTATACATTAAAATGTAACTTCCTTCTAAGTCCAGAGACAGGGTCTCTCCCGGTCATGGGTCTGTCCCCAGAGCCTACTACAGTGCCCGGCACTTGAAAATATTTGCTGAAAGTTGAATGAATCGATTCCTGAGAAACTGGGATAAAACAGGAATTTTTGAATTTTTTTTGTTATATCCCCTGAGGGATTGGTAAAGGTCTCTTTTGAGCAGAAATAACCTGATAAGAAGGCAAAATAAACAACATTTCGGCAACCAATTGCCATTGATTGATGTAAGACGATTTGAGCCCCTTGTATTACTAATGTGTCCTTAAAGCAGGTAGAGGAGCTGGATCCATAAGATGTAGGTCCCCATTTCCAACAAGCACATCTGAGGCACAGGGATGCAGAATAAGTCAGCCCTACAGCAGTGGGTGACGGCTCTACCGGCATCTGCCTCCCATTTTTGGGGAACGTGGCATGTGGCTTGACTGGACTGTCAATCAAGGATCTCTGCCCTATCCTGGCTAAGTTAGGGGTTAGGAGGTGGGCACATAAACCAGCCTTGGCCAATCAGACTTTCTCCTGGGACCATGGCTCTTGTATGGAGGACACAGGAGTGAAAATAGTTGCTGCTGAAAAGACTATCCCATTAGTTCCTGCTGTCAAAATCCCTGGACATGCCCTGGTCCCTGTGTTCCTAAAGTCGAGTTTCTCTCTCTCTCTGTGGCCTCTGATATCAAGAGCCCCCTGAACTCTAGGGACAGAGATGATAAAACACAGACCTGCCTCTGGACTCCACAAAAACCCCTAACTTCCTGTCTTCTCCAGAGTCATAGCAGACCCAGCCTCCAGTCCCCAAGGGCTGGCCTTGGCTCCCCCCATGTAACCCCAGGTCCAGGCTGACACCCCGCAGCTGCAGTCACATCCTGCCTTACCCCAAAGCTGGCTCCCACCAGCGTTTCTGCCTCCGTTGCTTTTTATCCCAGAGGATGGATTTGGAATCTTCTCCCAAGAAAACCAGTGTGGCAGAGATGCCAGGCAGCTGTCTAGTAACAGAACCCTCGATTTTTAGCTGGGCACATGGCTGCCCAGATTGAAGACCACATTTCTTGGCCTCCCCTGCATATAGGTGTAGCCAAGTTCTATGGAAAGTCATGTGGGTGGAAGTGACCTTGAGGACTGTGCCCACCCCTTCCCCTCCCCCATCCTCTGGCAGGTATGTGGGGGTGCACCTCCTTAGGCCATGCAGGAAAGGTGATATGGAAGAGGTGGCAGAGCAACAAGACAGAAGGAGCCTGGGACCCTACATGAGCTCATGGCATGCTGCATCCACCCAACCCTGGACCCCCAACCGACATTTGGACGACTTCAAGCAGCCAAATCGATTTCCTAACTAATACAGCTGGGTTGCTGAGGCGCCTGCCGAAACTGCAGAAGGTTCCACTCAACAAAGTAGGAGAGAACATTCTGGGGTGGGGAGGACTGGGTCACAGGTTCTTACATTAGGATCCAGATTGGGGTGGGGCTTAGCAGCCAGTGCAGGGATGCTAGTCAATAATAGAATGATTTTTTAAAACGTTTTATGACTTCCCAGAAACAGAATGGGCAGTCAGGAGCTGGTGACTATCACCTGCTTTTAAGAGGTAACTGGGGATATTTGCCAAGGATGCTTAGGACTGTAGCACTTTGAAGTTCCTTCTGAAGCTCCCATTTCACTCTTCTTTTATTTGAACAGCCTAAGGTCTCATGATGCTAAGATTCTGAACTCCCCTCAATAACCTGAAGACCTGATGTGATCCTACCCATCTGGCCTGTCTGACCCTCCACGCTCTTCCCTTCCTCCCTCTGTTCCAGGCACACTGGCTTCCTTGTTGTTCCTTGCACATGCCAGATACATGCCCACCTCAGGGCCTTTGCACTTGCTGTTCCTTCTGCTTAGAATGCTCCTCCCCTCATCATTACGTGGGTGCCTCCTTCTCACTAACTTAAATTCCACCTCCTCTGAGACGACTTCCCTCCCTCACCACCCACTCTACTTCAGCCACAACCCCTTTCTTCTTTGTTCCTCCTGTGTCAACCTGGCCCTCTCAACATATTTTGCTCTGCTTCATTTTCTCCTAATTACTCATCACCAACTAAAACGCTCTTGTTTATGCATTTGTTGGCTTCCCTCCCCCATCAAATGGAAGCTCTTGAGGACAGGCACTTTGTCTTCCTTAATCTCAGCATGTTTCCTAAGGCTCTGAACACTGTCTGGCACAGAGTAAGGACTTAATAAATAGCCACGGAATGAATGCATGAAGCCCACAAGCGTTTTGCGTGCAATGTTTAAAGGCCATAGTTATGATATTTTGCTACTCCAAGGTCCTGTGACTCTAAGATAGTTTATGGTTTTAAGATTCTACTCTTCTAGCCTCCTGTGATTCCATAATCAAATGATTTTTAAATCCCCATGAGCTGGGTCTTAAAGTCAAATGAAAAGGCACTGTAGGGAGACACAAAACAACTCAAGGAAAACAGTTTGTGTGTGACCGGACAAAACTCATAGTGCCGGCCGGGCGCGGTGGCTCACGCTTGTAATCTCAGCACTTTGGGAGGCCGAGGCGGGCGGATCACGAGGTCAGGAGATCGAGACCACGGTGAAACCCCGTCTCTACTAAAAATACAAAAAATTAGCCGGGCGTGGTGGCGGGCGCCTGTAGTCCCAGCTACTCGGAGAGGCTGAGGCAGGAGAATGGCGTGAACCCGGGAGGCGGAGCTTGCAGTGAGCCGAGATGGCGCCACTGCACTCCAGCCTGGGCAACAGAGCGAGACTCCATCTCAAAAAAAAAAAAAAAAAAAAAAAAAAAAAAAAAACTCATAGTGCCCAGGCAATAAGGAAGACAGGAGGAATGCCCGCTTGCAAAAGGAAAGCACAAAGACTAAAATCCTGAAGCTGTGTGCTTGGGGTGTGCTACAGCTCTTCCCCCAGACCCACCCTGTCAGCTTCCTACCGTCTCTTCTGGAACTGCTGGTCTATCTCTGCCAACGACTGGCCTTTTGTTTCAGGAACAAATAAATAGATGAAGCCCAGGCCGAGGACAGCGGTCAGTCCGTAGAGCAGGAAGGTCCAGGACAAGCCGATGGTGCCTGGAAACAGGAGGGCGGGAGTGTAGGCCCAGGACCAAGCACTCTGGCCCCGCAGCCTGGGCCAACTGGTAGGTTCTAGGTCAGGCATGGAAAGTCAGTTCACTCAAAGCAAATGTTCCCGTTGGTCAATTTGCAGAGTGACCAATAAGCTGTCAGTGAAGTACCTTAAAGCGGAAATCTCGCTGATTGTCTCAAAGGCGGGGATGAGCCAGGACGCAAGTCCACAAGCACAGAGACAAAGGCAACTTGTGTTTATGGGAAAGGCCCCTCACCCACATCTAGAGCACTATCCCGTGGAGCACGCTTGGGCTCCGAAAGCCTGGCCTGAGGGATCGTGGATCCAGCTGAGTGGCCAAACAGCTGCATGGACACGGCCTTGGCAAATCTCAGTTTGAAAAAAAAAAAATCCTTAGAAATTTCATGAATTGGGCTTGGTGCAGTGGTTCATGCCTGTAATCTCAGCACTTTGGGAGGCCAAAGTGGGAGGATCACTTGAGCTCAGGAGTTCAAGACCAGCCTGGGCAACATGGTGAAACCCTGTCTCTACTAAAAATAAAAAATAAAAAAATTAGCTGGGCATGGTGGCACACACCTGTAGCCCCAGCTACTCGGGAGGCTGAGGCTGGAGGATTGTTTGAGCCCCGGAGGTCAAGGCTGCAGTGAGCCGAGATCATGCCACTGCACTCCACCCTGCACTCAGGGCGACAGAGTGAGACCCTGTTTCAAAAAAAAAAAAAAAAAAAAAAAACACACCCAGAAATTCCATGAATCGGTCATTCAGTGAATTGATCATTCAGAGAATTGAGTTTCAGCCAGTTTGACCTGTGACTGGTTTGGGAGAGAGGACAAAAGCCACAGTTCAGTCCCAGAGTCAGCCTCCTCCTAGAGCCTCCGGTGGGTCTCAGAACCAGCAGCCAAGATGGGAATGACCCTGAGTCATTTGATGTCATTCATCCCAAGACAGAGAAGAGGCTGTGGAGGAAGGATCTTTGTCAAGGTGGAAGACAAATTATGTTTTGGAAGCCATTCTCACCTCTGACAGCCACGTCCATACCTCCTTTAGGCAGCCTCCCATGACCAGCTGGACCTATCGCCAGCAGGGAGAGCAATGGGCTGGAAGGCAGTGGGGCTGGTTCTAGTCTTTTGACTCCCTGGCTGGACGGGGTAAGGATGTATTTTCCCATCTGTGAAATGGGGATGATATATGACACAATTCTAATAAATTCCTTCCTTCCTTCCTCCCTCCCTCCCTTCCTTCCTCCCTTCCTTGTTTCTCTCCTTCTTTCTCCTCTCTCACTCATTTACTCCACACAAAGGGAAATGCTTGAAGACTGAGGCTGCAGGGAGAAGCTTGGATTCCCTAAGACTGGGGTTGGAAGACAGCCATGATAGGGGGGGTTCTTCCACTGGGGTTTCCCACAGCACTGCCCCCCAGCCTCCCAAGTTGGCTGCACCTTTGGGAAGGAAACTCTTGGCCATAGGGAATAGGAAAATAACTGAACCCTAAGAACTGTGCCTTGGGGACCACAGTGAAGGAGCCTGTGTACTCTGGCCCAGATGAGCAATACCCACTGAAGACCAGGGCCTGGAGCCATGAGCATCTCAGCATCTCAGAGTCATTCCCTGGTGTTCTGGGCCCACATCATTTCCACCCCATCCCACCACACCTCAGAATGGGTTTCAATGCTAGGGAGGAAGAGATGATGTCACCCAAACTTGATTTGAGAAAAACTTCCAGGCCAGACACGGTGGCTCATGCCCGTAATCCCAGCACTTTGGGATTACAGGTGGATCACTTGAGGTCAGGAGTTCAAGACCAGCCTGGCCAACCTGGTGAAACCCTGTCTTTACAAAAAATACAAAAATTAGCCGGGCGTGGTGGCGGGTGCCTGTAGTCCCAGCTACTCGGGAGACTGAGGCAGGAGAATAGTTTGAACCCGGGAGGTGGAGGTTGCAGTGAGCTGAGATTGTGCCACTGCACTCCAGCCTGGGTGACAGAGCAAGATTCCATCTCAAAAAAAATTAAAAATTAAAAAGAAAAGAAAAGCCAAGAAAAACTTCCACCTGGCAGGTGTCATGAACCAGTTTAAGCCAGTTTGGAGCAAATAAACATTGCTACTCTTACTCCTGCCGGTTGACCTCAGATGACCTCTCACCAGTACTGGGTGTAGACCATCACCCATTAGCTGGCCTGGGGAGTTTTACAGTGCATATGAGGGTCCTGGATGTCGTCTTGGACATTTGATGATGTTTCTGCACAGAATAATAGTTCTGCAGCTAATACATAGGAAAATCCAAAAATTTCTGCTTTAGAGTAGGGAGCTTGGGCCACAGAAAAAAAACGGACTTGTCTGGGAAGGACTCACCAATGAGATCGAGGAAGGAGAGGCTGATGAAGAGGTTGGCCGCCCAGTTGAAGCTGTTGCAGAAGGCGAAGGCTCTTCCTCGTATCTCCACAGGGTAGATCTCGCTGAGGACAAGCCAGGTCACTAGGGTGGGAGAGCAGGAGGGCTCCTGGGCTGTGGTGGGACCTGGGGCCTGGCACCATCAGGTCAAACATGCAGCCTCTCAACAATGGGATTTTCTAGTGTCAGGCTCCTGATACTAAACTCCCACTCCCATTCTGCTATAAGAATTACAGTAGAGTCTCAGTTTGCTGAAGACTGAGAGGTTTTCTGAGACATGAGACTTTCAATGCCGAGATGGGAACAGTCTTGGACGAACTGGGATGATTGGTTTTCACGCTATTCATTAAATTCCTTCCAGTTGTGAGCTATCCGGGCTTTAAGGGACCTGAAGCTCAAATGACTTGGGGAGGCTTTTAAGGAATACAAATTACAAACATAAAATTAGGCACTGGCCCTGGGAGGAGCAACTGCAGGTAAGTGAGGGGCCCTGAGGCTTCATGGTCAACCCACCTCTAGTGCCCCACTGACACCCTGCCAGGTCATCAGGGTGGGAAGTCCCCAAACTTCCCCCTAGGAGGGGTAGAAGTCTCCAGAGTCACCTGCAAGAAAACTCCACTTACCTGGCCCAAACCCAAAGGAGAAGGCACTGACAAAGACCATCAGGCACAGCAGTGCGGTCCAGCGCAGCAGTGCATGCCCCCGAGCGGGCAGAGGGGGCCCAGGGAGGGCAGAGCTCAGGGCCAGCCGAGGAGGGGCTGAGGGGTCTCCAGATCTGGGATGGGGCTTGGTTTTCTTAGCAGTGGACAAGATTGGCTCCCTTTGGTCCTCATTGGTCCTTGGAATGGGAGGTAGAGAGGAGTCCTGCAGCAGGCCAGAGTCTCCAGGGAGGCCTGTCTGCCCGGTGGCATTGGGCACAGCCAGACAGCTTGGGCCTGAGTCCATGGGCACGGCAAAGCTGACGAGGCCTATGCCACTGACGGACAGGGCCATGAGGGCACAGCCAGCTAGCAACAGAGCCCTGCGGCCTGCACGGTCCACCAGCCCCATGGCGGTCAGGGTAGCTGCCACCTTCACTGCGCCAAGCCCCACAGAGGCCAGCACGGCTGAGGATCCCCCATGGAAACCAACGGAGCTGAAGATGGTGGAGGCATAGCACAGCACGTTGGGCTGCCCTGTTAGTTGCTGGAAGAGCACCAGCCCCAGGCCCACTGTGGTCCGGCCTCGCATGTTATCGCGTGCCCTGAAGAGGTCCAGAAAGGAGTACCGTGGCCTCCCCGGGCCCAGCTTGGGGGCCTCACCTCCCTGGAGTGGGATGAGGTCCTTGTGTGTTGCAGTCTCATCTGTACCAGCAGGGAGGAAGAGGAGGCTGAGGGATTGCAGGACAGCAGGTGCAGTGGCCCAGCCGAACATGTGCCTCCATCCCCAGGGGGTACCAGCCAGTGCATAGTTGAGGGCATAGGAGAGCAGGATGCCCACGGTGATGCCTGCCTCATAGAGGGACACCAGCACTCCCCGCTGCCGTGGCCCCACCAGCTCTGACACGTAGATACAGCAAGCCATGGAGGAGAGGGAAATGGCGAAGCCAACCACAGCGCGGCCCAGGACCAGCCAGGCCAGGGAACCAGCCAGGCCCAGGGTCAGGCTGCCTGCCAGCAGCACCAAGTTGCTCCCGAGGATGGCTTGCTTCCTGCCATAGCAGTCAATGAGGAAGCCACCAACCAGGGAGGCGAGGAGAGCCCCCAGGAGCAGGCTGCCCACCAGGAACTCCTGCTCCAAGCAGCTTAGCCCAAAGTCAAGCTGCAGTGGCAGCAGGGCACCTGATATGACTGCCAGTTCATAACCAAAGGTCAGGCCACCCAGCAAAGACACAGAGGCACACAAAGGCAGGACAGGTGGGGAGTGGCCTAAAAAACAAAAGTGAGAGGGACAGAGTTAGAATGGTTCCTTGTCATACCATCCATCCATTCAACCTTCCCTCCATCTGTCAACACCTTCATTTATCCATCCATCTACTCCATCTATTCAACCATCCATTCAAACCATCCATCCATCCATCCATCCATCCATCCGTCCATCCATCCACTCCATCAATTCAACCATCCATCCATCCATCCATCCATCCATCCATCCATCCATCCTTCCATCTGTCCATCCATCCACTCCATCAATTCAACCATCCATCCATTCATCCTCCATCCATCTACTCCATCTGTTCAACCACCCATTCAACCATTCACTGATCCATCTATCCATCTATCCATCCACTCCAACCATCCATCCATCCATCCATCCATCCATCCATCCATCCATCCATCCAACCACCATCCATCTACACCATCTGTTCAATCATCCATTTAACTATCCATCCATTCTTCCATCCACTCCATCTATTCAACCACCCATCCATCCATCTATGCATCCTCCATCCATTCATCTACTTCATCCATCCAAATATTCATCCATCTGCATGTCCATTTATCTATACCTTAATTCACCCAACCATCCATCAATTTGTTGATCAGTCTATCTACAAATCCATCCATTCATCCACCCATCTCTGTATTTCATCCCTTTGTATACTCATCCACACATCAGTCCATCCATCCATCCATCTATCCATCCATCTAAATTTATTTATCTGGCATTTACAACATGCCAGGAAGTGCTCTTAGGGCTGGAATACAGATGTGTTGTCCAGGATCTAAAGTTCTAGAAGAAATAGGAAGATGATAAATAAGTATATAATTTCAGATAGTGAAGATGTCATAAAAAATGAAGCAGGGAAGGAGAATTAAGGTTGATGGAGTAGTACTATTTTAAGGCCTCTCTGAAGAGCAAAAATTTGAGCAGAGATTTGAGTGACATGAAAGTCCCAGGAAAATCTGGGAGAAGAACATCCTAGACAGAGTGAACACAAAGTACAGAGGCCCTGAGGTAGGACAGTTCTTGGTGTTTGAACAACTATGGATATTAATGGTTAGTACTTATATGGCCCTTACTAAATGCCAGAATCTGTTTTAAGAGCTTTATATGTATTTTCTCATTTAATTGTTACAGCTACCCTATAACATATCATCCTCCAAAGTGCAGAGAAGTTAAGAAACTTTCTCATGGTCACATAACAAGTAAGTTGTAGAGATGATGTGGCTAAAGTGAGGACCTTTAATCACTGAGGTAATCAGACAGGAGGCCAGAGGCTGAAGCCCAGTGAGTGAGAGTGATGGGAGATGATGAGGCAGGAGAAATAGGCAGGGGCCAGATCATGTGGGGCTTTGCAAGTCAAGAGGACAATGAGGAATGTCATTCTCAGTGGTTGGAAGCCTTTGCTGGCTTCAGCCAGGAATGAGGTGATCTACTTTTATTTTTCATTTTTTATGAGTCCCAACAGGAAACAAATCGGTCATCTATTTTTAATTTTTAAAATATTGCTCTTGCTGTTGTATGGAGATGCTAAATGAGGTGAATGTGGCCCAATCAATGTCCATTCACCCCTTTTTCTTTGGTATCAGGACTACATCCAGCTAAAAGACTACATTTCCCACCTTTCCCACAGCTATTGGTGGCTACTAAGATGGAAGAGGGAGTTTTTTTGGTGGGACATTGAAAAAAGCTCTCCAAGAAGAGGGTGAGGAGGGAAACAGCTGGCTAGATCTTTTTTGCCCTTTTTTCTAGCTCCCTTACCTCTTGCCTGGAATGCAGGTGTGATGACTGGAGCTTCAGCAGCCATCTTGGAACATGATGGGGGGTAACCATGAGGATGCAAGCTACACACCGACATAGTAGGATGGAAATATAGAAGAAGAATGGGTCCCTGATGGCAGTAAGCCTACCATACCAACAATGGATTGTCAATCTCCATATATTTTTATGTGCTAAGAAGAAAATCCCAACAATTTCTGACTTAGTGAAACTATGCTATTTCCAGTTTCTATTCCTAGCAGTGAAACCAAAGAGCAAGAGCAAACCCAGGTTGGAAGGCTAGTACAAGGGTCCAGGTAAGAGTGCTAACGAAAACTAAGAAGAAATGCTATATAGCAGGGAGCTGCCAGTTAAGATCAATGAGGAACACGGGCTGCATGTGAGACAACAAAGAATGGTGGGGATTGCCAAACTGGAGAGTTCATGCCTCATCTAAAGTCACAACACAGCTCCAGGTATTGTTAACACACCGACTGTATAATCTCAGGCAAATTATTAGAAGAGTAACTGCCATTTCATGACTGATCCCTATGTGCCAGGCATAGTGTGAGAAACTTTAAACGCATCATTTCATGTAATCCTCACAACTGTAGGAAAACACCCTGTTGCATGGCCAGAGTGAGGCCATCTTGAAGTGAAACCACCATGATGATGGATATTTGGGCCCCACATACCAAGTTGTTCTACAGTAAGTTCTTTAAAAATGCCTGTAGCATAGATAACCCTTCATAAAGATGCTTATCCAGCCTCTCCAGTGGTCACAAGTCTTGGCAAGAAAGTCTGAAGACATGATCAGCTGCACATGTTTTATGCTAAAAGCTTGATATATTAAGAATACTTTCTGGAGGTCAGGTATGGGAATCCACGGTCTTGTGGCTACCTGAGATATGGCTCCTGTTTTTATGTCCCTGTGAAATTTCTTTCTGCAAGACTGGATTTGTCAGCCTCTTTCTTTGGCCTCTCAGCTCCTCAGCCTTCAGAGGTAGGTTTGCATAGACCTGCTCACCATGGAACAGTAACCTCACGAGTTAGGTATTACTAATATCTCCATGTCACAGATAAGGAAATTGGAAAACAGGAAGGTCAAGAACTGCCAGATCTGGTTTTTTTTTTAAAGAGAAACCATAAATCCAGATTTTTATAAACTATTTTCTGATTTTTAAATGCTGTTCCAAGAATATATAAAAATATTCTTTGAGTCAGACAAAACACATCTCAGAGTGCAACCCATAGGTACCAGTTTTCAACTGCTTCCACATGGAAACAAATCTTCAAGGAATACAAGCCTCTGGGTGTAGTAAACATTTGTTACTTCTTCTGTCTGCCTGGAATCTTTTCCTTTGAGGAAGAGCCCCTTCCCCACTGATGGGGTTACCAGTCACATGTACTCTCCACCCACACATAGGGATGAGCAAGTGGGTCTCAGGGAATTGCTATACATAGACAAGAAAAAAGAACTACATTTTTTGAGAATTTCAAGTTACAGAAACAAAATAGTCATTGGTCATGCTGTGCAGAAGGCCTTTATGAAAATGAAACCAACACAGATGAGAGCAGAGCCAAAAGATAACAAGAAATAGATCCCAATATTATTGCATGAACCCATGGATCTAGCAGTGCCTGAAGCTTACCCAATCCACTGGGCTCTCGTTACATGAGCCAACCAATACTCTTTGTTCTTTTAGTCAGATTGAGTTGGTTTCTGTAAATTATAATTTAAAAGCTCCCAATTAGTACACTGAGCAACAGAATTTCCAGACTCATGGAAAAACCTGCAATGTCTCTCTCTCTCTTTTTTTTTTTTTTTTGCTAATTGAGGGATTTGTAGGGCCCCCAAGTCATTTTTACACATATATAGTAGTGAGGACAGGACAATAATTTAGAGATTTGCAAAACAAGGTTCTTTTCTGTTTTGGTAACTAACTTGCAGTGTGACACCAGGCCAGTCACTTGCCCTTTTTGGGCTGTGGGAGCTGGTCTCTAAAGATGGCTCCCAATGAGTCATGCCTCCTGGTGTTATGCCTTTATGTGGTTCCCTCTCACACTGAATCTGAGTAGCTCTGTGACTAGTTTTAACCACCAGAATATGGCTACCATGACACTGTTCAGTCCTGGGTCTAAACCTTGAGCAATTTCCACATTTTATGTTTTTTTGGGGAGCCCCAAGC
This sequence comes from Homo sapiens, assembly GCF_000001405.40. Taxonomy (NCBI): domain Eukaryota; kingdom Metazoa; phylum Chordata; class Mammalia; order Primates; family Hominidae; genus Homo; species Homo sapiens. The sequence continues at coordinate 46,721,077 of NC_000020.11, read as the reverse complement.
CACTCTGTAAGAAATCTGGCTACACTGTCACATGGAAAAACTGTGTGGAGAGACCCTTAGGCAACAGACAGGGGCCTCCAGATGATTCCAACCACAGCTGCAGAAGAACCACCCAGCTGAGCCCATTCAACCCAGAGAACTAGTAGATATAAGATGATTATTATTAGAAGATGCTAAGTCTTGGAGTGTTTTGTTAAACAGCAATAGATAACTTGAATATAAAATAAGGAAATCTATAAAATGAGGAAATGTTACTAGATCAGTCTCTTCCAAAGGGCTCCTGACACATTAATGAAAGATGTTACAACATCTGTGTGTTAAAAATACCAATATATAAAGCATCCATTCAAACATTTTTCTCCTTTAAAATGGAATAAAGATTCCTGAGTACATGACGAGCGAGCACAAGGGTCAGTTTGTGGGAATCAGGAAAGCACGCCATGACCCAACTACTTCATTACTTAGGAAATACCAAACTGCACAATAATTCTGACTTCCGTATCTTACAATGTGAGGTTTTTAGTCCTAGATTAGTTTAATTTATATCCAAATGGACCATTGGCTAAAGATGAAAAATGAAAAGGGTAGTAAAGGAGGAGCTCAAAAATAATAATTCTGAAAAATTCTTCCTAAATCCAAAGAAATTAGTGTTTCAATATTCCCATTTTATGAATGAACAAACTAGTGAAGAAGGTACAAAATCCTTGGCTGAATGTAAGAATGTGAGAGGCTTTTTGTCTTGCTTTGTTTTGTTTTTGGTAGATCTGTTTTCTTGCCATTTGCTTCTTTTCCCCTTCCAGTCCTCATGAATCCAGTGATCCGAGAGCTGTGGTTATTAAAGACATTCTTAAGCTTCTTTCTTGTGTATCTGTGCATACCTCATCTCACTCTGTGCCCCTCTCAGCTGCACTTGAACCAAGGTACTTCTGATCTCTCAGTGTCAGTTTGCTCATGTGTAAAATGGGGACAATAATACCCACCTTGTTTGCTTTCAGAGCCAGTGGGAAGATAAAATGAAACAATGGATGCTGTTCCTCTAAGTTGTTATATGATCTGCTGTGTTGACAGCTTAGCACAGTGTAAAGCAATGAGGACTAGGACTGAAAAGGCCTGAGTACCAGTCTTAGCACTGCCACTTGCTCTGTGCCACCCTGGGCAAGCTGCTTCTTCTCTTTGAACTCGTTTCCTCACCTGTAAAACAGGGCTAATAAATCCTTTCTCACTGGCTCTTGGAAGAGTTCAGTAGAGAAAGGAGGCTCAGGAAGTATGCTCAAGGAGAAGTACCATGATTGCTGTTACCACCTGTAGCAGTCCTGCCCAATGCCAGACTTGATTAAGAAAACACAAATTTGATGTCATCTCCTGCTCCACTTCTGATATGATTTGGCTGTGTCCCCACCCAAATCTCATCTTAAATTGTAGCTCCCATAATTCCCTCATGTTGTGGAAGGGACCCAGTGGGAGATAATTGAGTCATGGGGGTGGTTCCCCCATACTGTTTCGTGGTAGTGAATAAGTCTCACAAGATCTGATGGTTTTATAAGGGGAATCCCTTTCACGTGGCTTTCATTCTTTCTTGCCTGCCGCCATGTAAAGTGCCTTTCACCTTCCACCATGATTTTGAGGCCTCCCCAGACACATGGAACTGTGAGTTCATTAAACCTCTTTTTCTTTATAAACTACCCAGTCTCAGGTATGTCTTTATCAGCAGCATGAAAACAGACTAATACACCTTCAAAACATAACCCTTCAACAGCTGGTGCTAAGAGAATAAGAGGAAGAAGACGCTGACTCCATTTCACTCTTTGCTGCAGATCTAGTGCAAAGGGAACAGGCCAAATAGCAAAACTAAGCCTGTTGGTTCCTGGCATTGCAGACAAGCATTTTTTTTTTCCAACCATGGCTTTTTCATTCAGAGAGAAAAAAAAAACAACCAGTAACAACAACACCCCCCTCCGCCCAAATATACATGGAGAAACTTAAAATACACAGCTAAAGCCGAATGTGGTAGCTCATGCCTGTAATCTCATCGCTTTGGGAGGCCAAAGCAGGAGGATCACTTGAGGCCAGGAGTTTGAGGCCAGCCTGCACAACATAGTGAGACACCACCTCTACAGAAAAATTTTCTTTAAAAATTAGCTGGGTGTGGTGGTGCATACCTGTAGTTCCAGCTAATCAGGAGGCTGAGGCAGAAGGATTGCTTGAGCCCAGGAGGTCGAGGCTGCAGTGAGCTATGATCACACCACTGCATCCCAGCCTGGGTGACAGAGCAAGGCCCTATCTTTAAAAAATAAAATAAAATATAAAATATACATCTAAATTACTTGGCATAAAGAAGAAACAAAATAGAAATAACCACCTACTGAATGAGAATAAATAAAATAAAGATTAAAAATCTTGAATAATTGAGGATAAAAATAACTGAGAATAAAAATTGTAATAAATAATGAAATGAGAATAAAAGGCCCACATAAAAAATGGGCCTGTGGGATGTGGTCAAAGAGATAATCAAGTGAAAATTATATTTTATCAGGAACCCCAAAAGAACCTGAGAGTAAATTAATTAAGTCTTTGTGTGAAGAAGCTAGGAAAATTAGAACAAAATGAACCCAAAGAGCAAGTGGAATTAGTGAATATGAAAACAGATGTTAAGGGAATGGAAAAACGACAAGAAGAGGATAGTTGATCGCTAAAACTCAAGTTGGTTCCTTGACATGGATAAGAAAACAGATAATGCTTTGGTAAGCATAAATAAGGAGAAAAGACAGAAATCCAAACAACACAGGGAATAATGAAGGCGCCATAAGAACAGACACAGGAAAAAGAAAGCTCAAAGCATTTTCTTTCTTTTTTTTTTCTAAGATGAGGTCTCGTTCCGTCACTCAGGCTGGAGTGCAGTGGCACCATATGGCTCACTGCCTCTGCCTCCCGGGCTCAAGTGATCCTCCTGCCTTAGCTTTCCAAGCAGCTGGGACTATAGACATGCACCACCATGCCAGGCTAACTTTTTGATTTTTTTGAAGAGGTGGGGTCTCACTACATTGCCCAGGCTGGTCTCGAACTCCTGGGCTCAAGTGATCTTCCTGCCTAGGCCTCCCAAAGTGTTGGGATTACAGGCGTGAGTCACCATGCATGGCAGTCAAGGTATTTTCAACAGCTGTAGTTAGATTTAGCCTTTCTCAACTCACATTGTCTCCTCCTTCTGAAACCTGTTCACCCCAGAGGCACCTACATTTAGACAGTGAGCGCTCCCTCCTCAGTGTCTGCATTTTCAAAGCACTTTAACCCAACAGGTTAGATCTGTAACCATTTGTCATGTGTTCCTTGTGAAAGCAGTATACAGCTGGATGATTTCAGATGCAATCTGACTGTCTTCTTTTAAAAGGTGAACTTGGCCGTGTGTGGTGGCTCGCACCTATAATCCCAGCACTTTGGAAGGCCAAAGCAGGTGGATCACCTGTGGTCAGGAGTTCGAGAACAGCCTGGCCAACATGGCAAAACCCATCTCTACTAAAAATACAAAAATTAGCCTGGCGTGGTGGTGGGCGCCTGTAATCCCAGCTATCAAGGAGGCTGAGGTGGGAGAATCAATTAAACCCAGGAGGCGGAGGTTGTAGTGAACCGAGATTGCACCACTGCACTCCAGCCTGGGCGACAGAGCAAGACTCCATCTCAAAAATAAATAAATAAATAAAAAGGTGAACTGGTCCACATTTATTACAATGACTGATACAATTGAAATTGCTTCTGCCATTTATCTTTTTGTCTTCTATTTACTGTGCTATCAGGATATTTCTTTTTACCTCCATTTCTGCTTTTGATGGATCAATTATGGGGTGGGTTTTTTTTCCATTTTTTCCCGCACTGATCTGAGTGTTACATTTTCTATGTTTTCCTTTCTTCTTAGAGCAGCACTATCTGACAGCATTTTCTGCAATGACAGAAATTTCTATAACCATGCTGTGCAATATGATAGTCACTAGCCAACCACATGTAGAAAATGAGCCCTTGAAATGTGGCTAACGGGATGCAGGAAATAATTTCTTTTCTTTTTTTTTAGACAGTCTTACTCTGTTTCCCAGGCTGGAGCGCAGTGGCGTAATTCCGGCTCACTGCAACCTCCATCTCCTGGGTTCTAGCAATTCTCCTGCCTCAGCCTCCCGAGTAGCTGGGACTACAGGCATGTACCACTAAGCCTGGCTAATTTTTATATTTTTAGTAGAGACCGGGTTTCACCATGTTGGCCAGGCTGGTCTCGAACTCCTGACCTCTGGTGATCCGCCCGCCTCAGTCTCCCAAAATGCTGAGATTACTTACAGGTATGAGCCACCATGCCCAGCCTGAATTTTTTATTTTATTTTATTTTATTTATATTAGTGTACATATAAAAATAACCACATATGGATGCTGGCTACCCTATTGGCAGCACAGTTGCACAGATTACTCTTAATTTTTAATTCACACACTTAAATTTATATATTTCTGGAAGCATCTAGAATAATCCAGCAGTATCTATGTCATGCACCCCCACCCTGGACCTGACAAGGACATCTGCAATATTATAGCCAGATGTATGGAGAGTTTCTCTGGACTAGACATTGCTTTGAGTTTAAAAACACATTTATGGCCAGGTGTGGTGGCTCACGCCTGTAATCCCAACACTTTGGGAGGCTGAGGCGGGCGGATCACTTGAGGCCAGGAGTTCAAGAGCAGCCTGGCCAACATGATGAGAACCCATCTCAACTAAAAATACAAAAATCAGCCGGGTGTGTGGCATGCACCTGTAATCCCAGCTACTCGGGAGGCTGAGGTGGGAGAATCATTTGAATCCGGGAAGGTGGAGGTTGCAGTGAGCCGAGATCGTGCCACTGCACTCCAGCCTGGACAACAGAGCAAGATCCTGTCTCAAAAAAAAAAAAAAAAAGTTCTCACCCCAACGTTATGAGGTAGGCTCTTGTATTATTTACGAATGAATAAAGTGATCATCAGGGGGGTAAAGCAACTCACTTAAGGTCAAAAGTAGTAAGTGCAACCTGGGCAACATAGCAAGATCCTGTCTCTATACAAAAGGTTTAAAAATTAGCCAGGCAGGGTGGTGGGCACCTGTAGTCCCAGCTACTCTAGGGGTTGAAGTGTGAGGATCGCTTGAGCCCAGGAGTTTGAGGTTACAGTGAGCTATGATCGTGACACTGCACTCCAGCTTGGGTGACAGACTGAGACCCTGACTCTAAAATAAAAAAACAAAAAAAGTTGTAAGCAGCTGAGGATAGAATGAAAGCCAGGCTGTCTGGGTCCACAGTCCCTACTCTTGACTGCTCCATTATAAAACCTTGGTGAAATGTGATTTCACTCTGTTCTCTTGCTTGGGTCCCTTCTTAGCTTTGTTAGGCAGTTTTTGTGCAGAAGGAGGAGTTCCATGGGTGAAGGAATCATTCTCCACCCCCACTTCTGCTCATCCCTCTCCCCTGCCACTCCTACCTTCCAAGGAAACGAGCCCTTGCCACTCCCTGGCTGGCCTGTCCTTCCTGTTCCTCACCACTAGTAAACATCCTGGAAGATGCTGCTCAGATCCTGCTCTGTCTTCGCCCCCCTTTGCCCCTCCTCCCTCATTCCTGAGGCTTTTTCCCAGAAAGCAAGGTCCTTCCAGGCCATGTGAAGCAATCGAGGTGAAAGCCCAGGATTTGTTTGCCATTTCCTGGGTTCCTCTTGCAGCGAAAGGGAACCCAGCCAAAGGGCTCACAGCTTCCACCCACAGGTTCCACTGGAAAACACATCAGTGCAGGTTCAGTTGAAATGGACAATAAGGCCAATGGACAATAGAAACAAACAAACAAACAAACAAACGTGAAATAAAACAGTAATAATAACAGCTATCATGTATGGAGACCTCCTCTGTGTGAAGACTTTATGTTCCTTCCCTCAATTCATCCTCATAACAACCCTAGGTGAGACTGCTACAATTATTCCATCTTACAGATGTGGAGGTTAAGGCTCAGAGTGTTCTCACAGCTAGGAAGCAACAGGATCAGGATGGAAATGCTGACCTGCCTGCCTCCCAAACCCATGTCCTTAAGAGCTCCGCTGCACTGACCTCCCAGCAAGAAGAGTCAATCAGAGATAGGTGCGGTGGGAGGAAACTGGGGTGCAGGAGGCAGAGGTGGAGGGGAAAGAGCTCTCAGGAAAACCCCAAGGGATAAAGCATGGTGAAATGATACTGTGGCATGGGACTGTAGATATAAAGGAGGACCTCAAAGGAGTTGGAGCCATTAGGAAGACGAGGAAGAACATTCCCTTTCCATGGTTCCCATCACCTGAGTCAGTCCCACCACCTTAGCATGACAGGCAAGGCCCTTCATGGGCTGGCCTAACTCCTCAGCCACTTCGCCTCCTCCCGGACTCTGTCGCCACAGCCCCGCCCCACACACCTTGCCAACATGTTTGTTCCCGGCACATACTGTATGCTTTCATGCCGCTCCACCACTGCACGTGCTGGGCCTCCTACGTGCACTGTCCTTGTTCCCCAAGGAAAGGGTCCCCTTGTTCCTCTACTCTCCCTCTTCAGTCCCAGGTCCTGTGCCACCTCCCCAAGGAGCCTCCAGGTATACACATCTGTTATTTGGCATCCGCTCCTCATCTTCCGTTGCAGGGAGCCGCCCCTTTTCCTTGTCTCACAGTCTCCTGGTTTGGGTGGAGATGACTGCCCCCACCTCCACCCTCAGTGCCCAGCCCCAGGGTGGTGTCCATGATCCAGATCCAATCAATCAGCAAATTCCTGGGCCCTAGGCAGAGGTGAATACCACGTGGGTGAACCTGGGCCAGTGAGAGTCGGACCGGGTGTGTTTGCTCACCAGGGGTGCCAAGCTGGTGTTTTACTTGCCTGGAGCCACTGGGGGCCATCTTCCCCAATGAAGGATTCCTGACAACACTGTATGAGCCCCTAGATCCAACTGCACCTGAAGCCATAGACTTCAGTGACCCATAAATACTCATTGCCAATTTCTGGATTTTCTGAAGGTTGGCCTGTCATTTTTTTTTTAATCTCAGTACCCAAGTACCCTTCCTATCAGCAGACAGTGATGTTTGCTTAGTGCCTTTCAGTGGAAAAGTTTGAGGGAGTTCCTGACCAATTCCCATGCATCTTCCTCAACTCTCCACTGTACTCTTTTTCCTTCACACTGCAAGTTCCTTTATGAGTCTTCCATATTCAACTAAGGAGGGCAGGGATAGAGACTGACTCGTCCTGAGCCTCCGGGGCCCCAGCCCTGCCCTGACACCCAAGAGGAACCCAGTGAAGTTTCTGCTGAATGAACAAATGACTGGGTAGAGGACCAGGGCTATTTCACCTCATGACATTTCTAGGGCTGTGTCAGATACCTCTGAACCTAAACTAATTCTACACAGCAGCCAGAAGGATTCTGGGAAAACCTAAGTCAGGCCTCGTCACTCTTCCACTAGGAGCCCTCCAAGGCTCCTATTTCAGTCTAAGAAAAGCCAACGTCCTCACCGTGGCCTTCAAGACTCTGCAGGATCTGCCCCCTCTCACTGGGCTCCAGTCACACTGGTTCCTTGCTGCTACTCTCACTCCAAGCACGTCCCAACTCAAAGCTTGGTACCTGCCAGCCTCTCTGCCTGGGAAGTCCTGTCCCTCCATGCCAACAGTTCCTTCCTTCCTCCCTTCTGATCTTTGCTGAAACATCCCCTTCTCGGTGAGGCTGTCCCTGGCCTTCTACCTAAAATTCAACCTCCCTGTAGCATCTAGCACTTTGTATTCCCTTCTCCACTTGTTTTTTCTGCGTGGCACTTCTCATCTTCCAAAATAACTACATATTTTACATATTTATTGGTCTCCCTGACCTGAAAGTCAGCCTCAAGGGAACAGGAGTGGTTTGTTTCTTCTCAGCTGTCTCCCTGAGGCCAAGGACAGTTACTCAGCACTCAATCAATAATATTTGTTAAACAAATGAATGATTGAGTGAATGAATGAAAAACCAAATGAACTGTGGGGATGTAGGAAATCCAGAAAGAAAGGATCTTGGCTCATGAACATCTGAAAGGTCCAGGGCCTGGAAGTGGCCATGGACAGGAAGCAGAGCAAAGCCTCGTCCTCAAATTAAGATGTCTTAGGCTGGGCTCGGTGGCTCATGCCTATAATCCCAATACTTTGGGAGGCTAAGGCAAGTGGATCACTTGAGTTCATGAGTTCAAGATCAGCCTGGGTAACACGGTGAAACCCCATCTCTACCAAAAAATACAAAAATGAGCCAGGAATAGTGGTGTGCACCTGTAATTCCAGCTACTTGGGAGGCTGAGGTGGGAGGATGGCTTGAGCCTGGGAGGCAGAGGTTGCAGTGAGCCGAGACTGTACCACTGCACTCTAGCCTAGATGACAGAGCCAGACTTTGTCAAAAAAAAAAAAAAAAAAAAAAGAAAGAAAGAAGACAGAAAGAAAGAAAGAGAAAAAAAGAAAAGAAAGAAAATTAAGGAGAACACATTAAGACGGCTTGACCTAAGTTTAGCAAGTGTGCATCCTTTCTATTAATAACCTGCCTAACATAGGCTGTAGTGAAGATGTCCCACACTGGAGGAAATCCCTTAATCCTCTAAGCCCCTCGCTGTGGAGGGCACAGCTTCCCCGGGACAGGGTCAGGGGGCAGGGGGAGGGGGGAGAACCCTGGTTTGGGATGCAAGTATCTCCAGCTGCAAGTCCTAGGCCTCCCGTTGGTGACACTAGAGTAGTGTCTCAACCAGAGGTCACAGAGCACTGGGTCCCTCCTGCACCAGAGACCTGCTGTGGCTTTCCCTGAAGCTCCAGGGAGAAGCCAGATGTGAAATTGAACTGTATGAATATCCTCTTGCAGATGGCCGGCTTCCAAATGTCCCAGCAATTGCAGCCACAGCTGATACTTGGAGTACCCACTATAGCCAGCCACTCTCCTAAGGGGCAGTATCTGTACCAGCTGGCTTAATCCCTAGACAATCCTATGACAATCACTATTGTCATTCCCATTTTACAGAAATAACCACCACACTGAGAGGTGAAGACATTTCCCCAAGGTGGCACAGTTTGTAAGTCACATAGCAGGAACTTGAACTCGGGCAGTCTGACTCCAGAATCCCAATATTGGGTGCAATATAAAATAAAAACTCACATTCACTCACCATTTACCAGATATAGGTGATGAGCCGAGCACTGTAATTCATTTTTTCACATCATTCTCATGGCTACCCTGTGATAAGGGTATTTGATAGTGACCAGAGAAGTTGGCAGACTCTCCCAGGTCAAAGTGGAATGGTGGAACAAAGTGAGAGGAATTGGGTCTAGAACCCAGTTCTGCCCCCAGAGGCTATAAAGAGAGCCCAATCCCTGGTCCCTGCTGTGTAAGAATTCTGGGGAGGACAGAGACCCGCAGCCATGACTTATGCCTCCCCCAGCACTAACACCCAGCCCTCGCTCTGCCCATAGAAGGCACTCAGCAAATGGCTGTTGGGTTGATTTAGCAGGAATAGGAGGTGCAGGAACAAGGGGCTAGGGCTAAGCTGAGTGTCCTTAAGAAGACCTTGACCTCTCTGGGCCTCATTTTTTTCTCAGGCTCTGGGGCACTGTGCTGTGGGGGTTAAGAGGATGGACTCTCCTGTCAGAGCCGGAACTGGTCACCAGTTTTACCATTAATCCACCATGACAGGCCACGTGGTGCAGTGGTTAGGAATGCAGACTGGAGTCAGAATGCTGGGGCTCCTTCCCAGCTTCTCCTCTCCATAGCTGTGTGACCTTGGGGAACTCACCTCACCTCTCTGGGCTTCCCCATCTACAAATGGGATATTAATGCCTACCTTCTATGCTTACCTACATCATAGCCAGTGTTAGCGACTGTGATTCTCCACAGAACGACTCAGAGCAAACTTTGAGAAGTTAATTCAGGGCCGGGCGCGGAGGCTCACGCCTGTAATCCCAAGCCGAGGCAGCCGGATCACGAGGTCAGGAGATCAAGACATCCTGGCCAACATGGTGAAACCCACTCTCTACTAAAAATACAAAAATTAGCTGGGCGTGGTGGTGTATGCCTGTAATCCCAGCTACTTGGGAGGCTGAGGCAGGAGAATTGCTTGAACCAGGGAGCTGGAGGTTGCAGTGAGCGGGATCACGCCACTGCACTCCAGCCTGGCGACAGAGTGATCATCTCAAAAAAAAGAAAAAAAAAAGAAAAGATAATTCAGGTCACGGCCCCGCTCCAGCTTAAAACCCTTCTCCAGCTTGCCGTGGCATTTGCAATAAAATCTGAACTTCTCACCACGGCTTACAAAGCCCTGCACACCTCTCTGCCATCCCTTTGACCTCAGTGCCCTGCCCGCTGTGCTCTGGCCATCCTGGCCTGGGCCACACAAACTCATTCCTGCCTGAGGGCCTTTGCACTGTTGCTGCCACCTGGAAGCTCTTTCTCCAGATCTCAGCAAGACCCGCTTCTGAGGAAGTTCTCAGCTCCAAAACGTCCTACTCCAGAAAACCCACCCTGACCACCTACCCAAGGAACCCACGCCCTTGGCCTTCACGCCACCCCATTTTATGGGTTCCACAACACCTTATCTCTCTCTGAAGTTATTCATAAACGTGTTTACCCAGCTGCTCAATCAGAATGCCACCTCCATGAGAGAGAGGTTTATTGTCTATTTTGTTCATTGCTGAAGCTCTAACCCCTATATCAATGTCTGGCACGTAGTAGGTGCTCACTCAAGAATCAACGACTGATCCTTCGAGGCTTCTGAATGCAGAGAGAAAAATAGAGCCCTAGTCCCGAGTGGCAACAAAGCCATTCCCCACGCGTCCCACCCCAATGCTGTGTTAGAATCTCCTTCTCTGTCCCCTCTCTGCAGAATCACGTCCAGAGGAGGGGGTTCGTCTGTTTTGTTCGCAGTTTCGTTCGCGACAGCGTCCCCAGGCCCACAACAGCGCCTGGGGCACAACCGCGCTCAGCGAATCGATGAACTGCTTTGCTTCTTTCGGAGCCTCCATTTCTTCATCTGCAGACCAGGAACAGCTGCACTTGCCTGGGGCTGTCGGATCAGGGCGCCCGGGAGAGTGCCTGGGCCCGAGTGGGCGCTGCAGCAAGTGAGGGGCCACTTTTCCGGGGCAGAAAGGAAGATGGAAGGAAGCGCGACCGAGCCCCGTCCCAGCCCCCGCCGCAGGCCTGCAGTCTCGGGCTGGCCACCCGAGAGGCGGTATCCGGCCGGGGCGGCCCTGGGGGAGCCAGGGGGCGCGCACTCTTAGGGGAGCGTGGGGGCGGTGTCTACACCCTGGGAAGGGGTCGGGCTTCCAGCAGGCAGCGCCCGATCGGGACTTACCCATGGCGAGCGGGACTCGGCGGCGTGCTGGGGGCGCTGAGGGGCCGGGCGCGCATCCCCCGCCGGAGTCCCCAACGCCGCTGCCGCCGGACAAACTTTCCGGCCCGCCCCCGCCTCTGTCCCTCCTGCCCTGCCCTCCCGCGCGCAGCGCCGCCAACGCCACGTCGGCCAGCCAGGCCCCGAGGCCTGGAGGCGGGACGGAGGGGAGCCCAGGACCGCCCCCGGCCGCCCCAGGCCTGGCAAGGACCCCCTCCCTCGCCCACTGTCCTCCCGGGGGCCCCCACCCGCCATCTCCCGGGTCCCCTTCGTTGGTAGTCCTCCCCTGGGGGGGACACACCAGCAAGCCATCCTCCCTGGTAGAAGACCCCACACGCACTGTCTTCCCCTGGCCTCTTTGCAGGGAAGAGGTGCCCCAATCACTGGTCCACACTTGTCTGGCCTCCCCAGCGTGCGCACACACACAACACACACAACACACACATCTACACCGAGTGAGACACTCGCGCATACCCACTGGAGCCGCTCACTCTCTCATGGATTCATCCCTCATTCACTCCACGCTTGGGTTTGGACACCACCACATACCAGGCACTACGCTAGGCTTGGGATGGGCCGAAGAACAAAACAGAACAGGTCTTTTGTTTACCTTCTAGGAGGGGAAGAGTTTACATTCTAGGAGGGGAAGACGAAAAAGAAGTAACTAAAGGATCCTGAGAAATATCAGCTAGTGATAAAGACTAGGCAGAAAGTTAAACTACGGTGGTGGGTTAGGCAGACACAGGTGGCTGCTTTAGCTTGCTGATCTGAGAAGAGGATATCTGAGCAGAGATCCGGCATTCCCCGCAGGGGGAACAGCAAAGGCAAAGGCCCCGGGGTGGGAAGGAGCTTATGGGGTACAAAAAACGCAGAAATGAAGCCAGAGTGTCTGGAGCAGAGGAGAAGACAGGGAGAGAGGAGGGAGATGGGAGCTAAGGGAGGGGCTTTGGTGGGCCAGGGTCAGGAATGTAGATTTCAACCCCATCAGCAGGACAGATAACTGGGGAGTTCTAACTGGTTAAGGGCCAGAATACTCAGCCTTCCCACCTGGGAGGCTGTTGCAAGGTGAGAAGTTGGTTTGGGCTCATGTCACTGTGGTGAGGTTGGAGAAAAGTAGGCAGATCACATATATATGCTCCGTAAGAACTTACAGACTGGAAGAGGGGCAGCTTGTGGCTGGGAAAGGAGATCCAGAGTTCTGTCTTGGCTGTGTGACATTTGAGGTGCTCAGCAGGCATCCACGTGGAAATAGGTGGGCAGTTGGCTATGAGCCTGGGATTCAGGAAAGGGGTAGGCTGGGGACACTGCCACTAATGCTCACTCAGGCAAAAATGCACGTACAAGCCCAGCACTCACATGGGCGCAGCCTTATCCAGCCTCTCAATACGTGTTCACAGATAGGCACCTTTGCATGTGCACCAGTGGCTGTACCCTCACCAGTCAAAGTCACAGCGACCCCTACCGTACAGGTGGATACACAGGCATTCTTCCATGCTGAAGGCACAAGCAGGTATCTCAGCAAAGATGACAGCATCCATAAGACCTCTGAACCAGGGGATCCTTGCACAGTTTCAAAAATAATAATAGCTGGGGCAGTTTGAAAACATGGCTCCAGAATTCGTTGTTCCTTCCCTTGAAATAAAAGTGGGCTTGTGACTGGTTTGATCAGTAGCCTGCAGAGTGACACTGTGTAACTTCTGAGGCTGGGTCACTGGAATACTGGTGCCTGGATCCCTGAGCCTTCATATAAAAAGTCTGATTACACTGAGACCCTCCTGGTATTCGTGGCCTAGTGGCATCCTCTTCTCTTCTAGATGTCACTAGAAGTATCACTTAGCAACGTCTAATGAATAGAAGACGGCAAATATGGTGGATGTCATTTTCGGATTAGGTTATAAATGATTTCTGTGTTGTTCAGTTTCGAGATCTCTCACTTGTTTGCTCTGATGAAGCAATTGAGCTGCCATGTTTTGAGCTTCCCAATGGAGAGGCCCACATGGAGCGAAGCTATTGAATCACATAGCTAATGCCTCCAGGCAATAACCAGTGAGGGACTAAAGCCCTTAAATCAACAGCCCCTAAGGAGCTAAATCTGGCCAACAAGCTTGTGGTGAGCTTGGACGTGAATCTTCCCTCAGCCTAGCCTGGAGGTGACTCTAGTCCTGGCTGACACCTTGATTTCAACCTTGCAAGATTCTGAGCTCTTGCTCAGAGCTAGAATTTAGCTATGCTAAATTCTTTATCCTAGAAGACATGAGATAATAAATGTTTGTTTCTTTAAGCCACTAAATTTGGGGAATAATTTGTTATACAGTGATAAATAACGAATACACATTTCATTATTGTTCATTATCTTGATTAGAAAAAGGAGATGGATCATCTCCAGGAGAAAGTAGAGATTAGGTTATATCTACATGGACACTAGGAGGCTTATCACCCTTGGCCTTGAATCTCTCCTCTGACCCTTGAACAGTTAACCATCAGAAGCTGAGAAATCGGTGAGGATGGTATCTAACTTTAATTTAATGTGATCTTAAGGGACTGAAAATGCCTTTGCAAAGATTAGAGAGCAAGAGAAATCTGGCATGGTTGACTCCATCTTGACTCTGACCTCACCGGCTACCTGTCTTTGCTTATTTCTGGGTATAGGCCAAGCCAACCACGAGAGGAGTTTAGTTTATATTTTAACTTTGAAGCAAGGATGATAATAATCACTCCCTAAAACTAACCCCCTCCTTGCTCAGGGACTGAAGCTACCTTTGTAAAATTAATGAAAGTCCATGAGGTTAGGATTATGGGATGGGCCTGAATTATGCTAAAATGCAGGTGTAGTTTTGGTAATTCCTTACTGCTCAGGAGTCATGTGGCCAGAGGTCACAAGATTTGTAATTTCCCCAATTGCTCCTGTAGATAACATCACTATTGTAGAACCTAAGATTCATCTTTTGAGATGTTTTTCATACTTTCACATCCTGGCAACCAACTGACCCCGCCTGGACTAAAGATTCATGAGTGGACTGGTCCTGTGGCTCCCATCTAGAGGCAGACTCAGTGCACGGGGCTGTTTTCCATATCTCGATGATTTCACCCCCCCAACCAATCAGCAGCACCCATTCCCTATCCCCCTGCTCACCAAAGTATTTATAAAAACCCTGGTTTCTGAAGTTTTCAGAAAGACTGATTTGAGGAATAACTCCACCTAGCCCACTTGGCTAGCTCTGCATTAATAAAACTCTTTCTCTACTGCAATACTGCAGTCTCAGTGAACTGGTTTTGTCTGTGCAGCGAGCAGGAAGAACCCATTCAGCAATTATAGGACTTTGCTGAAAAGCCCTTCTCACCAATGTCTGTCTCTTAAGTGTTGTAAACCTCTCACTCACTATTTTAAAAGCCTATTCATTAGCTTGGGGTCCATCATGGAAAAAGGAGTTTCTCTGATTTAAAAAAAAAATTCCCTTAAAAAGCCACTTTAATAAACTTCCTTTTATAGATGGCCTCAGAACCCAAGTTGATTTCTTGGGGAGTGACACAGAATTTAGATAAAATACAGGATAAAATACAGGATGCCCAGTTAAATGTGAATTTCAGATAAACATGGGACATAATTTTACTACAAAATTATTTGATGTCTATCTGAAATTCGCGTTTAACTGGGCATACTATTTGTTGCTGTTTTTGCTAAATCTGGCAACCTTACCAGCCATTGTTTTGGACTAAGCTCCTGCACTAGTCCCCAACAGAACAGACTGAAAATCAAAATGGAGTCACCCATGCTAGAGTTCCAGGTCACTGAACCTAAGCTAAGTTGTTATCTGACCTTTCCAGAAATCAGGAGAGAGACAAGCAGCCAGCTTAAATCTTCAATCAGTGTGATGATGAAGTTCCCTCTGCTTTCATCCTTACACAAAAAAGGTAGCCTGAAGTAACCTGATGTTAACCAGTTATTTTTCTATTGCTCTAAAGTAACTAATATACTTTTTGTTCTTTGTTTCTGCTTTCTTCAGTCCTTCTCTGTCTTTATAAAGCCAACCTCTGCTTCTCAGCTTACTGGAACATTTATTCTATTTGATGAAACGAAGTGTTGCCCAATTTTAGAATTGTAAATAAAGCCAACTGAGATCTTTAAACTTGTGATTTTGTCTTTCGACACAGCTAATGAGGAACAGACCAGGAACAACTACACTTCCCTGGGACTGTCGGGATGGATCAGAAGAGGCAGGATGAAGACAGCAAGACCCAGAAGGAGGCTTCAGCTGTGAATCATGTAGCAGGGCATGGAGCTTAAACTCAGCTGTCGGCAACCCTGAAGTTTAGCAGGAGTGAGGAGGGGAGGGCACGATGGAGGGTTGGATTAGGGCTGAGAAAGGGAGTATAACTTGCACATTTAGAGTTTGTTTTGTAAGTGGATTCTGCTTTGAGATTTTATTTTGTATTTTTTGCGATGGAGTCTCACTATGTTGCCCAGGCTGGAGTGCAGTGGCTATTCACAGGCATGAGGATAGTGCCCTTCAGCCTCTAACTCCTGACTCAAGTGATCCTCCTGCCTCAGTCTTCTGAGTAGCAAAGACTATAGGCATGTGCCGCCATGAAATTGTCCTCATAGGGTTAACTAGAATTACATGCTGGGTTCTGGGCAGAAACATAGTTATAATTAAGCATTAATTTGGCTGCCCTTTGGCCCACTTCCTTGTAACTGAAAGTCATGTGGCACTAGATACTGCCATTTGCATCCCCATTGTTCCTACAGATAGGATTTCTGACCTTTGCATCATAAGGCTTTTTGTTTAGGAATTGCTTAAGATGTTCTTCAGATCCTGAATTCCAGTGGACCGGCAGACACCAACCAGTTTGAAGACCCCCACAGAGGAACTGAATCAGCCTAAGAACGAAATTTCTTTATCTCCCTGTCCTGTGACTTCACTCTGCATTCTTCAACCAAACGACGATCCCTATACCTCAGCCCACTCCAAAACCCTTAAAATCCCAAGGCTGAAACTCCTCCAGGAGGTGGATTTGAGGTTTCCTTCTGTCTCCTCATTCAGCTGCCCTAAGATTTTTTTTAACTCTTTCTCTGCCGCAACCCTCTGTATTGGTGTATTGACTTGCCCTGCTTCAAGCAACAGACCTGTTATAGTCACAACCACACCCAGCTTACTTTGAGATCTTTTTTCTTTTTCTTTTCTTTTTTTTTTTTTTTGAGACAAAGTCTCACTCTGTCACCTAGGCTGCAGTGCAGTGGCACGATCTTGGCTCACTGCAGCCTCCGCCTCCCAGGTTCAAGAGATTCTCGTGCCTCAACCTCCCAAGTAGCTGGGATTACAGAGGCCTGCCACCGCGCCTGGCTAATTTTTGTATTTTTAGTAGAGACTGGGTTTCACAATGTTGCAGTCTGGTCTCGGATTCCTGGCCTCAAGTGATCTGCCCGCCTCAGCCTCCCAAAGTGCTGGAATTACAGGTGTGAGCCACCACACCCGGCCACTGTGAGATCTTAATTACTGTTTTTCTCTGTCTTCTCATTTACCATTTATAACCCCCTTCCAACTCTCTCTATATCTCTTCTTTGCATATTTCTATCTGTTGTACTTATCACCATCTGATACACTGTATATCTTTTTTTAAAGACAGAAACAAAAATGGAGCTCTTTATTAAAATAGCAATATATGACACATTAAAGAACATCATATGTTAAAAATAATACATATTTGGAACAAAACTCAAAAACCTAGTTACATTTTGGTATCTTTCTAGATAAGCAGTTGTTTTTTTCTTCATTTCTTTATATATGTGTGTGTGTGTGTGTGTATATATATATATATATATATATATATATAAGCTTTATTGAACTATTAAAAGAAAAACTTTGGACCAATTAAATTTAACAGAGTTTAATGGAGCAGAGGATAATTTGTGAATTGGGCAGCCCCCCGAACCAGAATAGGTGTTACCACATGGTTGGAGAGGATTTATGGACACAAAAAGGAAAGTGACATAGAGAAAACGGAAGTGAGGTACAGAAACAATTGGATTGGTTACAGCTTGGCATTTGTCTTATTTGAACACAGTTTGAACAGTTGGCCACCACTGATTGGCCAAAACTTGGTGACTGGTGCAAGGGTAAGTTGTAGTCTGTTTACACATCTAGTTAGGTCATGGTTCATCACGTACAGGGAAACCTTTAGGCTGAACTAGAAATAGGTAAGGAGGCAGCTTCAGGCTAAACTTAATTTAACAGAAGCACAGTTGGCATATGATAAGCTGCTCATACTTAAAGTGTATAGTTTGACAAATTTTCACACATTTACACCTGTGAAACCATCACGTGAAACCATCATCACAATTAAGATAAGGAACATATCTATTATCCTTAACACATTATATCTCTCATTTATTTGTTTACTCTGTCTTCTCCCTTAAAATGAAGCTCTATGAGTGGGATTTTTTTTTTTTTGGAGACAAGATCTCGCTCTGTTGCCGAGGCTGGAGTACAGTAGAGCAATCACAGCTCACTGCAGCCTTGACCACCCCAAGCCCAAGTGATCCTCTCACCTCAGCCTCCCAAGTAGCTGGGACTATAAGCGTGTGCCACCACATTGGGCTAATTTTTTTATATTTTCTGTAGAAATGGGGCTTTGCCACATTGCCCTGTCTGGTCTCAAATTCCTGGGCTCAAGGAATTTGCCTCGGCCTCCCAAAATGCTGGGATTACAGGCATGAGTCATCGCACCTGGTCAGGAATTTTTTTAAATCTCCCTT
Organism: Homo sapiens; assembly: GCF_000001405.40. NCBI lineage: Eukaryota > Metazoa > Chordata > Mammalia > Primates > Hominidae > Homo > Homo sapiens. The sequence continues at coordinate 46,702,950 of NC_000020.11, read as the reverse complement.
TTTCTCTTCTGTATCCCAGTGTTTTGGTTCAGGATAAACATCTAGAATTACACCTAGCACATACTAGTTGCTAAATCATAATTGTTGAAGGATTTTACCTTCCTCTTGTTCACCCAAGCAGCCAGCTTACAAGACTGCCTGTTTTTTGTTCCCCAAACTCTAACCTTAAAAAGAACTTAGATTAGAGGCTGCAAATTCATACGCCTACAGGGCCCACTGAGGTGTTATAAGTGAGGGAAGTGAGCCGGGCATAAGGCAGTGCGGAGTGGTGAGGACTGTGGCAAGCTGAAGGCTGTTCATTCAGGGCGGAAGTCAGCAGACTACAATCAGCTGACTGTTTTGTCTATAAAGTTTTATTCGAACACAGTCATGCCTGTGCATTTCCATATTGTCCATGGTTGCCTTTGCACTACAACAGCAAAGTTGAGTAGTTGTAACAGACATGATGGTATGGCCCACAGTGCTTTAAATATTTACTATCTGGCCTTTCAGAAAAAGTTTGACAACCACAGGTCGAGACTCTCAGGGCGCCAGATGGGGTGGCTCATGCCTGTAATCCTAGCACTTTGGGAGGCCGAGGTGGGTGGATCGCTTTGAGCTCAGGGGTTGGAGACCAGCCTGAGCAACATGGCAAAACCCTGTCTCTATAAAAAATACAAAAATGAGCCGGGCATGGTGGCTTGTGCCTGGGATCCCAGCTACTCAGGGGGCTGAGGCTGAAGGATCACTTGAGCCAGGAAGTGGAGGTTGCAGTGTACTGAGATTGCACCACTGCACTCCAGCCTAGGTGATAGAGCGAAACCCTGCCCCCACCCCCCACCCCCCACCCCCACCCTTGCCAAAAAAAAAAAGGACTAACAGGGACAGCTGGGTGGAGCTCAGCAGGCTGGCTAGGTAGGAATGTGGACCTGATGCTAATATTTTTCATTATAGGAAACGTGAACTTTCCTGATTTTTTTTTTAATGAAGCAGGAGATATTATGTTTTAAAAACAAGGTGTTAGCAAACCGGACACAACCCAAAGGACACCAGAATCCATATCAAGTTAACTGGCTAGGACACAGACAACCTCAACAAAGCTTCCCCTGTGTCCCATGTCCTACATCCTGCCCAGAGTAGCAGAGCACCTCTAAACCTGACTCAGTCATTGGGAAGGCTGATGTTGGGCCAAACAGATTCCATTTGCCCCACGGTATTCGTCATGGTTAACTGTTGCCACAAAATTGCTACACAACAAATAAACAGAACAACAACAAAAGATTCCCACAAAACCTCAGGGGCATAGAAAAATATGTATTTATTTCCCAGGATCTGTGCTCTTCTCTCCCATGTCTGCTATTTGGCTGATTCTCTCGTTGGTCTGCAAATCATCTCTGCTCCACATCTCTCATCCTGGCAGTCAGGATGCTTTCAGTTGCAAGTTACAGAGACCTAACTCAAAGCAGCTTAAGAAAAAAATATATTTGTTGGTTAACATATATTTTAAAATTCTGCTTCAGGCATGGCCGGATCCAGGGTTAAATGATTTCATCAGATCTCTGTAATTCTCTGCTTCTTCTATTTTGGGTTCCCTCTCAGGCAGGTTTACTGGGTAGTCCCAGACTCACATCCTCACAGTTTATTTTCCTTGGTATAAAGAGAGCTTGTCTTTTCAAAGAGCTCTCTCCAAAGTCTCAGAATTGAGTCTCATTGGCCAGGCTGGGAGCCGGTGGAGTATGCTAATGAGTCAGTTCTGATTCACATGGAAGAGGAGTGGTTTACTGATTCAATTACTTCATGAATAATTAATGAGATTCATGAACAATTAATTTTATGAATGAATAAATTCATTCATTCTTACATTTAATTATTAATTCAACAGGTATATATTGAGTATTTATTATGCTGATAACTTATCTAAGTGCTGGGAACCGAGAAATGATCAAAACAGAGAAAAACTCTTGTCTCCATGGAGCTTACATTCAATAAAGGGAGACAGACGACAGATTTTACATTTTTTACATATTTTACAATATGTAAAATACAATACAATACAAGATAAATACGTAAATTGTATAAGGTACCAGATAATGATAAACAGTATGGAGAAAAATAAAGCAGGGAAAGAGGATCAAAGTTGCAAGAGGAATGGCAGTGTGCCAATTCCTAATCAGGTGGTTTGGGAAGTCCTCAATGAGAAGGTGACACTTGGGAAAAGACCTGAATGAGGTGAGAGAATGGGCAGAAGGATACCTGTGGGATCAGCATTCCAAGCAGAGGAAACAGCACGCGCCAGAGCCCTGAGGCAGGAGTGTGTCTGAGGAAGAGCAGGGAGGCCAGGATGGCTGGAGCAGAATGAGGGGAAGAGAGATAGGAGACGAGGGCAGAGGTGACGAGCGATACGCAGGGCTTTTGGGGACTTCTGCAAGACTATGTGACCCAGGCCTTCTGTCTCCTAGTGCATTGCTCCTTGCTCCTCTCCAAACAACCTTTTCTCTATATGACTTTCTCCTTTTACTCCTTCCTTCACCCCTGTGGCTCAAGGATGGTGACAGCTCCACGGTTACCCTCTCTGGGGTACTGCACTATCCCTTCCCTTCTGGTTCCCAAATACTAGGCTTGAACCATTGCAAATAGTCCTTTATCCCTGCTCTGCCTGCTCCACTGTCACTGAACGCTACTCAGCTGACTTGAAACAATCACAGATTTGTCCCCTAGTAGTGCCTTAGTTTGTAAAACCTTCACGTGATTGATCAAATTTGAATTCCGTAAGAACTCATGAGTCCTGTATAATTAATCTGAGGAAGCCTCCCCTGTGTCCCGTGTTTTATCATTTTCTCTGTTTTGATCATTTCTCTGTTCCCAGCATTTAGATAAGTGAGGAAACTGAGGCTCGGAAAGGATAAACCAGGTTTCTCAACCTCAGCACTATTGACATTTTGGACTGAAAGACTGTTGTAGGAAGATGCTCTGTACTGTAGGATGTTTAGCAGCATCGCTGGCTTCTTCGCACTAGAGGGCAGCACACTCCCTGCTCCTCGCATTGCCAAATATTCCCTGGGAGGCAAAATCTCTTCCGTTTGAGAACCACTGGGTTAAATGTATGCGTGTAGCATGATGGTTACGGATATAAGCATAGGTACTGCATGAAATTTATTGGAAGTGTCTTTAAAGCCAGCCAGAATGCAGTCATGATTGACAGAGCTCCAGCAGCCATTTTGTGCCATGAGACCTTGAGAGTAGAAACTGAACCCAGCAGAGCAACCCCACAGCAGCAATCTGGGTTCCTAACTCCGTGATGTACCACTTCAGGCCTGGCCCCACTGTCTCTGTACTTCAAAGATAAACTGCTAGATTGTTTGAGTCACTGCTATTGTGAGTCTTTCTGTTATTCACAAATGAACCAAATCATTTCTAGTATGTTTCAACAGTAATGGGATAAAGATGTAGTTTTTAAAAATCATCATTAAAAATATATTATCCCACTACACTCATATAAAGGGAAATCTAATGTTCTGGAGCTGGATTCTAGGAGTAGGGTGGATGGAGGAGGCTGAAATTTCTCCTAATCACTTCTTGCTTTTTTTCCCTGTACTCTTGCCTAATTCCCTATCACTGCTCGTCTTCATGCCTGTAATAGTTGTCCGATTTTTCTTACAACTTTGGAGTCGTGCACTAGGCAATGTATGTGGTTATATTTATTGGAGGTTTGCAGTGATGGAGGCTTGTTATCACCCAGAACAGTGCCGAAATTTTCTTTTAATTTAAAATTCAACATTACAACATTACAATTCTAAACATGTATCATCTTCTTCCCACAACAAGAAATTCTGGCCTGCTGACCTGTAGTGAGCATCCCGGACTTTTGCCTGCCTGACATTCATTATACCTTCTCCTGGTAAGACCACTCAGATTTTCCTTTGGGGAGCCACACCTTCTTCACTCTCCATGTGAATTCCAATGGGGCTGGCTCCACCTCCCCTTTCCACATGACCAGATCTGGCCAATCAGTCTTTTCCATTGCTTTGTCTACAGTAGTGTGTTCAGAAACAGTTATGTGACCCAAGGCAGACCAATGAAAATTGATCCTGGATTTTTGCTAGAACTGTTGGGGGAAAATAGTGTAGCAGGCAAAATAACAATCCACAAAGACGTTCCTATTCTCATCTCTGGAGACTGTGAATATATTAGGCCACATGGCAAAGGGGAATTCAGGTTGCAGATAGAATTAAAGTTGTGAGGCCGGGTGCGGTGGTGGCTCACGCCTATAATCCCAGCACTCTGGGATGCCGAGGTGGGTAGATCACTTGAGGTCAGGAGTTCAAGACCACCCTGGCCAACATGGCGAAACCCCGTCTGTACTAAAAATACAAAAATTAGCTAGGCATGGTGGCACACGTCTGTCATCTCAGCTACTCGGGAGGCTGGGGCAGGAGAATTGCTTGAATCTGGGAGGCGGAGTTTGCAGTGAACAGAGATCAGGCCACTGCACTCCAGCCTGGGTGGCAGAGTAAGTTAAGACTTCATCTCAAAAAAATAAAGTTGCTAGCCAGCAGATTTTGGAAAGATTATCCTGGATTAGCCGGGTGGGCCTAATGTAATCACAAGGATCCTTAAAAGTAGAAGGAGGCAGGAGAGAGAGCTGGGGAGATGGCAGCCTGAGAAGGCGATATGGTTTGGATGTGTGTTCCCTCCAAATCTCATGTTGAAATATGACCCCTAATGTTGCAGGAGGGGCCTAATGGGAAGTATTTGGGTCATGGGGGCAGATCTCTCATGAATGGCTTGGTGCCTTCTGCATGTTCATGAGTGAGTTCTTGCTCTATTAGTCCATGTGAGATCTGGTTGTTCAAAGAGCCCACTGGCACCTCCTCCCTTCTCTCTTGCTCCCTCTCTCACCATGTGGCACGTCTGCTCCCCTTTCACCTTCTGCCATGATTGCAAGCTTCCTGAGGCCTCACCAGAAGCAGATGTGGTGTTGTGCTTCCTCTACAGCCTGCAGAACCATGAGCCAAAATAAACCTCTTTTCTCTATAAACCACCCAGCCTCAGGTATTCTTTATAGCAACACAGAGTGTCCTTACACAGAAGGAATTGACCGGATGTTGCTGGCCTTGAAGACAGAGAAAGGGGGCTATCAGACAAGGAATGTGGGCAGCTTTTAGACATTAGAAAAGCAGGTAAACAGATTCTATCCCTAAAGCCCCCAGAAAGGAACACAGCCCTGCTGACACTCCAATTTCACCCCAGTGAGACCCATTTCAGACTTCTGATCTCTAGAACTGTAAGATAATAAATGTCATTTAAGGCTGGGCATGGTGGCTCATGCCTGTAATCCCAACACTTTGGGAGGACAAGGTGGGCAGATTGCTTGAGTCCAGGAGTTTGAGACCTGGCCAACAGGGCGAAACCCAATCTCTACTAAAAATACAACAAATCAGCAGGGCGTGGTGGCTCACACATGTAGTCCTATAGTCCCAGCTACTCGGGAGGTTTCAGCAGAAGGATTGCTTGGGCTTGTAGGGGGGAGTTGAAGCTGCAGTGAGCCCTGATCATGCCACTGCACTCCAGCCTGGATGACAGAGTGAGACCCTGTCTCAAAAAAAAAAAAATGTCACTTAAGCTACTAAGTGTGTGGCAATTCGTTGCAGCAGCAATGAGAAACCAGTGCAGAAGGGTCTGTTCTTTCTGCTGGGGTTGCTGGGCTGGTTGATGTGGAGCTCATCATGAGAAAGGGAGCACTCCTGGAGATAAAGCCATTGAAGATGAAAGCAATGTTGAGAGGCAGCCAGATACATCCTGTGAGCCCCTGGGTCCAGCTGCACCTAAAATAAATTTCTTTTTGTGGTTAAGCTTGTTTCTGTCATTTGCAGCCACCATGGCGATGAATAATGCAAAATGTATCCCCATTGGGCAGTCACTGGCAGTGCTATGCTCAGTCCCCTGGATGCCTTGCCCTTCACTGCACATGGCTGACAGTCAAGCCGGCATCTGCATTTGGGCTCTCTCTGCCCCTGCTCTGCTGCTTTGTGGCAGGCCAGGAGCACAGAGAAAGTAACATCTCTTGGGAACAACCCTCAGTCAACGACTGCTGTCTAAGTACCCAGGTCCCTTGCCCCTTGGGTCTGAGGCCTGAGTCATCTACACTGGCTTCTGTTCCCCAGTGGGATTCAGCTCTAGTTGCCCAGAGTGGAAATGGGCTCACCTTTCACTGACTGCCTTCCTGTCCTTACCTCACTCCTCTCCTGGTGTTTCTTGATATTACAGTTGTCTGGGAATTGGAGACCAGCCTGGGCAACATAGTAAGACACCCATCTTTATAAAAAAATACAAAAATTAGCTAGGTGTGGTGGCTCATGCCTGAAGTCTTAGCTACTCAGGAGGCTGAGGCCAGAGAATCGCTTGAGACCAGGAGGTTGGAGGCTGCAGTGAGCTGAGATCATGCCACTGCACTCCAGCCTGGGTGACAGAGTGAGACCCTGTTTCTTAAAAAAGAAAGAAAGAAAAAAAGCAGAGACCAAGTAGAAGGGGGAGTTTCACGGGAGATAAGTTTGGAAGTGGATGCAGGGATCTTATGCAGGGCCTCCTGGGCTGAATTAAGGATTGGATCTTTATCCTAAGTGCAGTGGGGAGCCACTGAAAGGCTTTAAATTGAGTTTCCTGCCACAGAAGCCAGAACCAGTCTGACCATAGCAAGCCTGGGTCTTGTAAATATGTTTTCATGCAGATTTCTAAGGCAGAGGCTCAGATGAATTTGGTAACCATAGAGACAACTACGTGGACACTAACAATTATGATAATGAAGCCACAAACTTGGGAAACTGGGAGTTATAAATAGAATTGGTTCTGGGTAGGCTTTGAGTAGTCTGGGCTGATGAAAGGTGCTAGAAACCACATTATGCCAACATAAAGGATCTTATGTTTGAAAAAGCGACCTGCCTCGTGTGTGAATGAAACCTAAGGACTGCAGAGCCCAAGGCATTGGTGTCATAGCAACCCTCAGACCAAAGGGCTTTTCTTTGGTATTTCAAACAGGGCCCCAGTGACTAGTGGGTGGAAGGAAGGAAAATGAACAAATGAAGAGTGTCTGCTATCCACCAGGCACCCTTATGTTGAACATCTTGTTTAATTTTTATAAGCACTTGCCAAAGTAGAACTAATTATCCCCATTCTGAAGATGATTAAACTGAAATACAGAAAAATGATGTTGGTGGGCGTCACAGTGTGCCAGCCATTTGTGGCTGCCTTTCCAATAGCTATGCCCAGCTCGCTTGCTCGTTGCTTATAGAACACATCTCCATCTTCAAAGGCTGAAGATGCCAGATCCTCACTTTTCCAGCTTCCTCTGTAGCTAAGCCAAAGGCACATGGGCCAACTATGACCGATGCCCTTTATGGGAAGTGTGATGGGGAGAGAAGAGGCTTCAGCAAAGGATTTTCTCCCAAATAAAGAAAACTATACAGGAGGTACTGCCCCTCTTCTTGAACCAAATGTTTTTGTGTCTTCAGATAATGTGTGGAACTTTGATAGCCATCTTGAGATCATAAGGTGACAAGGATAAGGACCAAAACAACATGCTGAGGCTGGTGGAAAAGAATGAAAGGACCCCATGTCCTTGGTATCTAATGACAGCTGGGACCTTCCATCTCTTGAAATTATTTATTTATTTATTGAGATGGAGTTTTGCTCTTGTTGTGCAGGCTGGAGTGCAATGGTGTGATCGTGGCTCACTGCAACCTCTGCCTCCTGGGTTCAAGTGATTCTCCTGCCTCAGCCTCCTGAGTAGCTGGGACTACAGGCGCATGCCACTATGCTCAGCAAATTTTTTGCATTTTTAGTAGAGACAGGGTTTAGCTATGTTGGCCAGGCTGGTCTCCAACTCCTTACCTCAGGTGATCCACTTGCCTCAGCCTCCCAAAGTGCTGGGATTACAGGCGTGAGCCACTGCACCCAGCCACACCTCTTGAAATTTTGGGAGATAATAAATGAACTTATTGTTTATGCCAATTAAGCTAATTAGTTGACTGATGTTACTTGCAGTTTAAAATATCAAAACCATTGCAGTCTATTAATTGTCCCCCAATATCATTCCTCCCCTCCTTCCTTTTAGTAATAATCACCCAGGGTTTTAGCTGAATTCGTGTCCGCCCTGCTAAAGAATACATTTCCCAGCTTCCTTTGCATCTTCCATGTGACTAAGTTCTGGCCAATAGGATGAGAGTGGAAGTGACATGTGCAACTTTGGGCCAAGTTCTTAGCTGGTTGATCTCTTTTTCCTGGTTGTCATCACCCTTTTTGCTGAGTGGAGAGGGCAACAAGTGGAGTAGACTCAGAGGAGGAAGCAATAAGTTGAGAATAACAGATCTGGATGTTTCATAAGCAAGAAATAAATCTCTCTCATATTTAAGCCAGTATTTGTAGGTTACTTTGTTATAGCAGTTTATTTTGTTTCCTAGCTAATTAATACAGTTACAACACACCTCCACTCAGTGGTGGTACAAGTCAGGGTTCTTGTTGCAAGCCACACAAGGATGGGGCAAAGGAGAGGCTTCTGTAGTGGGAGGTGGTTTCTGTGTTCCCCGAGACACCACACAATGGGAAGCCCCTTCCCCCACAAGGAGCAGTGGTTGGATACTGGGGGTCCAGTTTTAATTGTCATCATACTAAACACTCCATAATAATAATAGCTTCCATTTCGAAGTGCATATCATGTGCCCAGCACGGTTCTATGTGTTTTACCTTGTTACACATTTAATCATCACAAAAACCCTACAAGATGAATATTATCTACAATCTTCTTTTACAGATGAGGAAACTAAAGCACAGAGAGGTTAAATAACTCACTCTTACTCAAACATGTCAAGCACACTTCCTCTCTGGGGCCTCTCCTGTCTGGAAAGATCTTCCCCCAGGAATCCATTCACAGGGTTCAAATGTCACCTTTTCGTTGACACCTTCTCAACCACTTTATTTAAAATTAGGCCCGGCATGGTAGCTCAGATGTGTAATCCCAGAAGTTTGGGAGGGAGGCCGAGGCAACAGGATCACTTGAGGCCAGGAGTTCGTAACCAGCCTGCACTACATAGGGAGACCCCATCTCTACAAAAAATGGTAACAATTGGCTGGGGGTGGTGGCACATGCTTGTGGTCCCAGCTACTCAGAAGGCTAAGGTAGGAGGATTGATTGCTTGAGCCCCAGCAGGTTGCATCACTGCACTGCAGCCTGGGCAACAAAGCAAGACCCTGTCTCAATAAAAATAAAAATAAAAAATAAAATAAAATAAAATTGCATCACTCCCTCCCACCCCCACTCTACTACACATAGGGTAACCATATATTGTATCATCCAAACTAGAATGCTTTTGAGAGTAAAAAGGGGACACTAGCCTGGGCGCAGTGGCTCACGCCTGTAATCCCAGCACTTTGGGAGGCCGAGGCAGGTGGATCACTTGAGGTCAGGAGTTTGAGACCAGCCTATCCAACACGGTGAAACCCCATCTCTACTAAAAATACAAAAAAATTAGTTGGGCATGGTGGCATACACCTATAGTCCCAGCTACTCAGGAGGCTGAGGCCTGAGAATCACTTGAACCTGGGAGGTTGAGGTTGCAGTGAGCCAAGATCATGCCACTGCACTCCAGCCTGGGCAACAGAGTGAGACTCCTTCTCAAAAAAAAGGCGGGGGCACTAATAATAGTTATGCCAGGGCAACAGGCAAAAACTGGGGCTGTCCCTGGCAAGCCCAGATGCACGTCATCCTTCCCATCCCCCTTCCTGCTGGATTTATCTCCTGCTAGCCCCTGTCAATGACACATTTTCCTTATTTGTTTATTGCTGGTTTCCACCCACTAGAATGTAAACTCCATGAGGGCAGTAATAATTATTCTCTATTTTGTTTACAGCTCTGTCCCCAGGGCCTAGCACAGTACCTGGCCTATAGTAGTCACTCAATAAATATTTATTAAATTAATTGGTGAATAAATCACTGAATGGGCATCTGGTGCTGGTGGGTGGGAAGTGAAGAAGAGGCCATAGGTTCTCTTTCAGGCTCAGAAAGGGCTAAAAAGTAGACCCCTCCCTCCCCTTTACTGCTTGGCTGTTCTACCCAGAGCTCAGCTGCATATTTTGCAGCCAGAGGTCAAGGCCCCAAAGGGCCATGCTTGGTGTAGTCACCCCAGGCTCACAGCACCTCTCCTCCAGCAAGAGAAATCCTTTGGGACCAGGCCACTGTCCTTGTTCTTTCAGCTCCCAGCCTGTCCCCAGTGCCAACCTGCCAGCAGCCATGTGGAGCTGCTGGTCCTTGTCCAACCCAATCCTACCCTGTGTCTGTTCTCACTGCCTGGAACCTGAGCACCCTCCCTCTCCACCCCCTGACTGAGCGTTCCAGCACCTGAGAATCTCAATGAAGATGAAGATATGGGAAAATGAGACATGAATTTGACTGAAGCATAAATAGGCACAAAACTTTGGGAGGGTAGTTTGGCTGAGGAGTCGAGTTTCAAAGTGCTTGTCACCTACAACCCAGCAATATCACCTGTAGAAAGATGTCCTCAGAAACATTCATGTGTGCAAAGATGGCTGGATAAGCCTGCTCACTGCAGCACTGTTTATAAGAGACAACAAAACAAAAAAAAATGAAACAAAACTGGAGAAGTAACATTGTTAAAATGTCCTACAGATTCCATGTAATTCTTATCAATATTCCAATGACATTTTTGTAGAAATAAAAAATTCTAAAATTTATATAGAATCATAATAGACTCCATATAGTCAAAGCAATCTTGAGCAAAAAGAACAAAGCTGGAGGCATCATATTGCCTGACTTCAAAATATACTACAAAGTTATTGTAATCAAAACAGCATGTCACTGGCATAAAAACAGGCACATAGACCAATGGAACAGAATAGAGAGCCCAGAAATAAATCCACGCACTATAGTCAATTGAGTTTCATCAAACATGCCAAGAACGCGTAATGGAGAAAGGACAGTCTTTTCTATAAATGGTGTTGGGACAACTGGATATTCATGTGAAAGAATTTAGACTCTTATCTTACATCATATGCAAAAATCAACTCAAAATGGATTAGACTTAAATGTAAGAGCCAAAACTATAAAACTCTTATAAGAAAACAGGGACAAAATGTCATGGCATTGGCCTGAGCAACGATTTTTTGTGTAGGACTCTCAAAACACAGGCAGCAAAAGTGAAAATAGACAAATGGAATTGCATCAAACTAAAACGTTTCTGCACAGTCAAGAAAAAAGAAAAAAAAAGAGTGAAAAGACAAACTACAGAATGGGAGAAAATTTTTGCAAACCATACATCTGATGAGGGGTTAATATCCAAATATATAAGGAATACAATCCAATAGTAAGAAAGGACAAAACCTGAATTAAAAGTAGGCAAAAGATCCAAAGAAATCTTTCTCAAAAGAAGACATAAAAATGGACAACGGGTATATTAAAAAAAAATGCTCAACATCACTAATCATCAGCGAAATGCAAATTAAACCCACAATGAGATATCACCTCTGACCTGTTAGAATCGCTATTTTAAAACATAAGAAAGATAATAAGTGTTGGCAAGGATGTGGAGAAAAGGGAACCGTTGCACCCTGTTGATAGGAATGTAAATTAGTACAGACATTATGGACAACAGTATGGAGGTTCTTCAAAAAAAATAAAAATAGAACTACCTTATGATCCAGCAACCCTACTACTGGGTACATATCCAAAGGAAACAAAATCAGTATATTGAAGAGATGTCTGCAGTCCCATGTTAATTGCAGCATCATTCACAATTCTCAATCTGAGTGTCCATCACTAAATGAATGGATAAAAATATGGTACATTTATATACACAATGGGATACTATTCAGCCTTTAAAAAGAATGGAATGCTGTCATTTACAGCAACATGGATGGAACAGGAGGATATTGTGTTAAATGAAATAAGCTAGGCACAGAAAGACAAATATCCCATGATCTCACTTATATGAGGAAGGTAAGAAAAGTTGAACTCATGCAAGCAGAGTAGAATGGTGGTTACCAGGCGGTGGGGTAGGGGGAGGGAGATAGGGAGGATTTTGAGAAGTTGGTCAAAGGATACAAAATTTCAGTTAGATAGGAGGAAACATTCATGAAATCTATTGCACGACATGGTGACTATAGATAATAACAATGGGTTGTATTCTTGAAAAATGCTAAGATAATAGATTTTAAGTGTCCTCACCCCCGAAATGATCAGTATGTTAGGTAACGTTAACTAGCTGGATTTAGCCATTCCACAATGTATACATATTTCAAAACATGTTACTTACGATAAACACGTACAATTTTTACTTTTCCTTATGTACGTCTTCATCTGGCTGTTCATTTTTATCTTTTATACTATCTTTTATAATAAACTGGCAATAGTAAGTAAAGTGTTTTCCTGAGAAACAACAAACTGGAAACAACTGTTTAGCAACAAGAAACTGCCTGACCAGGTAGAAGGACGTGGTAGCTCTGTATGTATTGATATGGAATATAGTCTGAGATAAATTGTTTAGGAAAATGAAAAGCAAGTTGCCAAAGAACCCACAGTATGATGTCATTTATGTTGGAAAAAACGCCACAACGATGTGTGAGTGTGCACACTGAATGAAAGAAAATTCTGGAAAGAAACTAACGGCCAGCAGTGTCACAAGGGGGATAGGTAGTTTATTTATTTATGTGTGCGTGTGCAAAGTTCCGTATTGTAAGAATTTGCTACAGCCTGTGTTATTATAAGCTTTGTAATGAAACAGGTAGAAACTGAAAAAGTTTAATTATTCCCAATTCAGTTTAGGTTCTGTCTCCGGAAGACTTTCCCGGATTCCCCAGCCCCCACTCCCCACCCCATCTTACCACCCCCTCTGCCAGCTCTGAGTCTCAATTTTCTTTTCTGTAAGGATTTTCATCATTTAACCTTATTTCTTCTGAATGCACTAAATGGTAGTTATCCTAGCACTTAAGAGGATGTCGGAAACATGGTTCATTGTCTGACCCTTCCGACTCTGACTTGTATGAGCACATTTTGGGGGGAATGTAGGAGTCAGGGGAAGAGGAGTTCCAAAAAGAGACTACTAGAGGGTACAGCTGTCCCGGAAGAGACTTCTGAAGAGAGCAAAGCGCGTCCGACGTTTTTCTCGAGAGGCGCCGAAGTTTTCCGGAAAGAGACGACCAACTGAGAGGTGGGCCCCCAAAGCCGGCTGCGAGAGTCACCGAAGATTTCCGGAGAGCCAAGGAGTCGGGAAGAGCCACTTACTGAGCGTTGCCGAACGTGTACGGAGATAGCCGAAGAGGCGGAAGGCGGGGCCACAAGAGCCCTTCCTGCAGGGAACCTCAGGCTTCAGAGAGCCGAAAAGTTGGGAGGCGTAACCACTTACAGGCCGGAAGTGTCCGGGGTGGACGCATTCGGGTAGCCGAAGAAGTCCCAGGATTGCCGAAGAAGTCCCAGGATTTCCGAAGCGAGCCGAAGCATCGCGACAGTTTTCAGAGACAGCTGATCGGTTGGAGCTGTTGCGCCGAGCAGTCATGGCGGCGGCCAGAGCTACTACGCCGGCCGATGGCGAGGAGCCCGCCCCGGAGGCTGAGGCTCTGGCCGCAGCCCGGGAGCGGAGCAGCCGCTTCTTGAGCGGCCTGGAGCTGGTGAAGCAGGGTGCCGAGGCGCGCGTGTTCCGTGGCCGCTTCCAGGGCCGCGCGGCGGTGATCAAGCACCGCTTCCCCAAGGGCTACCGGCACCCGGCGCTGGAGGCGCGGCTTGGCAGACGGCGGACGGTGCAGGAGGCCCGGGCGCTCCTCCGCTGTCGCCGCGCTGGTAAGGTGGGCCGGGATCCCGGCGTGGGCGGCCCCGAGGCTCTGGGGCCTGGGCGGGTGAGGGACTCCCCTGCGCTCCGAAGCTGGATTTCCCTCAGTTTCTCCTTCTGTGCCTTCTGCGGTGTCCGGCCTTTCGGAAATGTTATTCTTTCATCCCTTTTTTCATTCGTTAAGTCTTAAGAAACCACGTGGCCATGCAGCGTCAAGCTTTTGTCCTGAGGCCGTTCTGCCTGGTTCAAATCTGGGATCTGTCATTATTGCTCAATGTTGAACATGTTTAACTTCCCTGAGCCTTGGTTTCCCCATTTGACTCGTTTCAATTTTCGATCATTATCTTTCCATTTATTAGTTTTAAGAAACATGTAATGACAAGTACTTGCCCCACTGGAGCCAGGCTCCCTGGGTTGAAATACTAACTCTGCTGCTTGTGTAGCCTTTCAACAAGTTATTTAGCCTCTCAGCCTCGGTTTTCTCACCTGTAAAATGGGAGACATAGTAGCAGTATCCATGTCATAGGGATGTTGTGACCATTAGAGGAGGTATGTGTGTCACGTATTATGTTCAAATGTGTGCCTGGCACATAGTGCCCAATAAATGTTGGATTTCATTAAATTGCCTATTTTTTCATTAAACATCATTGTGCGCCAGCACCATAAACTTTGTCCTCAGATGAGAAAGTGACACTCAGAGAGAAGTAACTTGCCCAAGGTTACACGGTTACTAAGTGGCCGGTCCAGGCCCTCAGCTCCTTATGCCTCTGACTCAGAAGCCCTGGCTTTTTACTTTTACGCTTCTTGCCTTTCTTTTATCAGTATTTTTTAGGTACCAGTGGGTACCAGGACATTGTTAAGTGCTGGGAGATCTGGGTGGGGGATATTCAGTAGCCAACAAGCGGACACATTGCTGCCCTTTCAGAGACTTAAGATTTCATGAAGTTATTTGTGTATTCATATTTCTGTTTTCAGCCTCATGATCTGTTTCGTTAAGCAGAGATTGTATTATAGCTGGCTTGTTTATTGCTGTATCCCCATTGATAACATCTCTCAGTTTCTAGAAAAGTATACTGAGCCTGGTTGACTTTCAGTAAAGATTCATTGAGTTTATTGGAGCTATTGTTCCTTGTATAGTAGCAGAAACTGAGGCTTAGAGAAGTTAATGTAATTTTAAGATTAGATTAGACAACTAATAAGAAAAGCAGCTGGGATTTGAACCCTGTCCTCTCTGACTACGAAGATGAACCTCGAAGCTAGCACACTGCTTGGCCTCCTGTTTGTGTCCTCATCAGTAGAAACTGCTCTGACTGGGCTGTGCCTTGCTCTTTGTTTTTGTTTTTTGAGACAGTGTCTCACTTTGTCACCCAGGCTGGAGTGGTGCAGTGGCACAATCTCAGCTCACTGCAACTTACGCTCCCTGAGTTCAAGCTATTCTCCTGCCTCAGCCTCCCGAGTAGCTGGGACTACAGGCGTGAGCCACCACACCTGGCTAATTTTTGTATTTTTAGTAGAGATGGGGGTCTCGAACTTCTGACCTCAAGTGATCCGCCTGCCTCCGCCTCCCAAAGTGCTGGGATTACAGGCATGAGCCACCACACCCGGCCTTTGTTTTGTTTGTTTTTTAGAGAGTGAGTGTGACAAATGAAGTCCAGTGAGAAAGGGTGGTTTGGAAGGGAGGAGGAAGCTATGGCCTCCTCAGTTTAGCTGTGGGGTGTTCCCAGGCATAGTCCTGCAGTGGGCATGAGCAGGGGAATATTCCAGATGAGTTCAGTTGTACCATTTCCTGTAGCATTCCTCAATAGTCCTGAAATAAGTAGATATAGATGGAAAAACTGGCTTAATCTTTGAAAATTAAGTTTACCCGTTAAAAAAAATCCAACCCAATAACCACTTATGTCTTGATTTCAGGAATATCTGCCCCAGTTGTCTTTTTTGTGGACTATGCTTCCAACTGCTTATATATGGAAGAAATTGAAGGCTCAGTGACTGTTCGAGATTATATTCAGTCCACTATGGAGACTGAAAAAACTCCCCAGGGTCTCTCCAACTTAGCCAAGACAATTGGGCAGGTTTTGGCTCGAATGCACGATGAAGACCTCATTCATGGTGATCTCACCACCTCCAACATGCTCCTGAAACCCCCCCTGGAACAGCTGAACATTGTGCTCATAGACTTTGGGCTGAGTTTCATTTCAGCACTTCCAGAGGATAAGGGAGTAGACCTCTATGTCCTGGAGAAGGCCTTCCTCAGTACCCATCCCAACACTGAAACTGTGTTTGAAGCCTTTCTGAAGAGCTACTCCACCTCCTCCAAAAAGGCCAGGCCAGTGCTAAAAAAATTAGATGAAGTGCGCCTGAGAGGAAGAAAGAGGTCCATGGTTGGGTAGAAGAATGTGTATGACAACCACACACAGTGAAGCTCTTTTTTCAAAGTAAATTTGAAGAAATGCTACAAGTATGAGATGAGATCTAAGTAAAGGTGTTAAGATATTTTTAAGTGGTATGTGATCGTGTCATTATCATCTGCACTTCACTCAAGAGCTTACTATGTGTCTAAGTCATGTTCTAGGCAGAATTGGGTATTTAAAGTAAATTGAGGACAGGCTTCTCCCAGATTGTGACATGTATATCTCAGATACATGGGTGTGGCATTGAACCACATAATGAGAACATTATTCTCTTTTTAGTCCTTGTGAGACAAGGATGAAGTCTCAGTTGCTGATACTCGCTGAGCTTACTGGCCCTCTAACCCAGTGTTTTTTTTTGTTGTTGTTGTGTACATGTTATATTTATTTTGAAACCAGTTTAATGGGATACAACCAGCATTTTAAAAAATGAAATAGAATACAGCATGGAAAATATCAGTGTATTGTTTTATGAAACTTTCACGTGTATATATAGACCAAGGATATGTGCTGAGTTTTGATGTCAAATATATTTCTCTTTCAGGGTCATGATCAAAAAATGAAAAGTCTGCTTAACTCCAATTTCTCTTTTAAAAAAGCAGACTTACAGCTTTCAGGCAACTGAAATTCATGTTAACATGTTTTTATTTTTATTGCTTTGTATTTTTGTGGTTACCTTCTAAGACAAGTGATTGATCTAAAGTTCCTTTTAAGTTTATACCGCTAAACAAACTGAGTTGATTTCTATCACAGGCAGTAAGTAGGTAGAGCAAAAATGGTGAAGTGACTTGTGAAGACTGAAGTTTGATGAAGTCTGGTTTAAGGCACAGGTAAACTGAGTGTGGATGCAAAAGTACCAGGAGCTAGCTTTTAACCTTGCCCAGCCTCAGTTTCTTTTCTTAGAAGAAGCTATGTTTGGGTGGGAAGGGAAGAGAGGGATAAGAAAATACCTTTCTTCCTTGTAAACTCCAATCAACAAACATATTTTGAGTGCCTTTTGTGTTCCTTGGCACCCTGTTGGGTATTGGGTACTTGGCACCCTGTTGGGTATTGGGTACAATGGTGAGCCAGACAGACACAGCGCCTGTCCTTTTGTAAGAATATTTATTTTTATAAAAAAGTATAAAGTATACAGTGGGATGTTTTGATATACATTATGAAATGATTGCTACAGCTGAGCTAATTAACACCCATCACCTCACATAGTTACTGTCTTGTTTCTTAATATGGACATTTGCAGCTATGAATTTCCCTCTGCACACTGTTGTCATCACACACTCTCAGTTTTGGTATTTTGTGTTTTTGTTTTCATTCATCTCAAAGTATTTTCTAATTTCCCTTGTGATTTCTTCTTTGACCCCTTGATTGTTTAGAAATCTGTTAATTTCCACACATTTGTAAATGTTCCAATTTTTCTTTTGTTATTGCCAGCTTCATTCCATTGTGTTCAGAGATGATACAGTCAGTGCCTGTTCTTATGAAGCAAACATTCTATAATAGTAGGACCAGTACCCTGTCTGTTTCATTCACCACAGTCAGCATGCCCCAAGTGCCCAGCATGGGGCGGATGGCCAGGAATGAGTGAAAACTTCCCTTCCTGGGTAGTTGTGACTAGTAGAGAGGAAAAATAATATAATTGCCTGCTTACTGCATGCCAGGCATTGGGCTGGGAATTTTTATATTGGATCTAAAATAACTCTTAAGTTAGGCATTATCCCCATTTTATAGATGGAGAAACTGGCCCCAAAAGGTGGGAACTTGTCCAAGACGTCACAGGTAGCAAGAGGTACTTTTACCTGGCTCCAAATCTGTGTTCTTTCCACTGACAAATGAGATATGGGATATGGTGCATCTTTACAGTACTATAATAAGTATTGGCGTATAACATTATTTTCAAGGAACTCCAAGGGCCACAGGAGCTGACAGGTTTTTCAATTAATATTCCCAACATGAATGAGATGCCTCATTCCTCAGTTTCCTCACGTGTACTATAAGGCTAGTACCTGCTTTGTTGGGGTATGGTTGGCTCGTGTGCATTAAGTCAACAAATCCCTAGTTGATAGGGTTTGGCTGTGTCCCCATCCAAATCTCATCTTGAATTGTTCCCGTAATCCCCACGTGACATGGGAGGGACCCAGTGGGAGGTAATTTAATCCTCGGGGCGGCTACCTCCGTGCTGTTCTCGTGATAGCGAGTGAGTTCTCACGAGATCTGATGGTTTTATAAGGGGCTTTTCCCTCTTGTTCGGCACTTCCTGCTGCCACGTGGAGAAGGGTGTGTTTGTTTCCCCATCTGCCATGATTATAAGTTTTCTGAGGCATCCCCAGCCATGCTGAACTGTGAGTTATTAAACTTTTCCTTTATAAATTACCCGGTCTCGGGTATGTCTTTATCAGCAGTGTGAGAACGGACTAATACACTAGTACTCACTATGCGCCGGGCACTGGAGATCTAATAGAGGGGAACATGAAGCTTACTTTCCTGGGGAACATAAGACAGTTTCAGACAGTGATGAGTGAAGATGTGAAGGAAAACCAGAAACACAGGAGATGAAGAGAGTATATCCCAGGCAGGCTGTGGCGTGCGAAGTTGGCGAAGAAGAAACATCCCCGACAGCAAGGCTGGTGTGGCCGGCATTAGTGAGCAAGGGGGAGGAGCAGAACATGAGATGGGAGAGGCGGGGCCGGATCCTGCAGGGCCCTGTTACAAGGTTGGGTTTTGTTCTTAATGGGACTCAGGGTTTTTAACAGGGTGATACCTGATTGTTTTGAAAGGGTTGCATTGGTTGCTGGCAGAAAACCATAGAGGGCAAGAGTGGAAGCAAGAAACCTGGAAGTGAAAAGGCGACCGAAACCAGCTGGTCCAGTAAAAACAGTAGCCAGGGTGGAAGCTGTGGCGAGCATGCTCCAACTGCTTGGCACAGGACCTGGCAGCCACTGAGGCAGGGAACGCGGTGGAGAAGCAGGCTTGTCTGGGGGTAACACCCGAGGCTCGTTGTCTCATGGTCACGGAGATCAAGGACAGGGACCCACAAAGAGTGAGGTGAAGAGCAGAAATTTAATAGTTGAAAGAAAGAGAATAGCGCTCTGCTACAAGAGGGGTCCTGGAAAAATGGGTTGCTGGATCTGCAGTGAAATGCAAGGGAGTTTTATAGATGAGCTGGTGAGGAGGTGCTGTCTGATCTACATAGGGTGTGAAAAACTGGTTGGACCCAGGTGTGCCATTGGCACAGGGTATGAATCTCGGCACCCCCACCCCAGTCTTTTATTATGCAGGCGAGTTCTCTGCCTGAGCTGTGCCATGTTGCCCATTTCTTTATTACTGTACACGTGGTAAAAGAAAAGGGAAGATGGAGCCTCGTGTTAGACATGCCTGGCCCCCAGTTAGCCCTTCTCTATTGGCACAGCTACCAGCATTCCCCCGTGCAAGCTTCCAGCTTCCTTATCTATGTTTGCAGCTGGATTTTTCAGGCTGCTCTTTGTTAGAAAAGAAATGATTTCTGGGGCTGCTTTTTTGTTAGAAGGGAAATTCCGCCGAGGACTCTTTTGCCCTGAATATCTGCCTAAATAATTTCTATCTCCGGTATCAGTGGCCAGTAGCAGTGGGGGTAGCCGCAGCTGTCAGGAAGCAGTAATGATCTTTGCAAGTATCAAGAGGGAGAGTGGCAGATATTGGAGACTGGAGAAACGTCACAAATGCCCCCAGGAGGAGAATCGTCCATCTGCACACTTAGCCCTTGGCCCACAGTGGGAAATAAAGGGTTAACAAATGTTCCTAGGTGAACAGTGGATTCCTTTCCTAGTTCCTCTCACAAAGGGCTAAGGAACCCTCTGCACTTTCAGATCCCTTGACGTCCACCGGGGAGCTGCAGGTGCTTTGCAGTGCTGAGCCAACAGCACTAGCAGTTTTGTGTGAATCCCCAGCTAAACCCAACCAGATGAGGATTATAATCTCCATTTTATGGTGGAGGAAACACTGGGCAATAGGAAATATGTCCTAGGGTCACAATAAGTGACAGAGCTGGGATTCAGACCCATGCTTTTAACAACAGCAGCTGACTTTATAGAGTTACGTTCTTTCCATGCATTAACCCATTTTACAGAAGAAGCAAATGAGACACAGAGAAATTAAGTCCTGCCCCAGGCCACTCAGTTAGTAAATGGCAGAACCAGGGAAATGTGATATGACACCGAGATGCGACCAACACTTGACACAGGCCCACATTCCTGGAACATTTAAAAGTGCTTTTGTGGCCAGTCCATGGGGCCAAGAGAGGTAGTTCCAGAGTAGAGTTGCTTTAAAGCTGGCATAGTGAGTGCTCCAAACAAGCTGTGTTCTTATTGTTGGATGAGCTGAGCTGACCACGCCCACACCACGTGCTACCTTAGGGGTTGGGAACATCTACATTAGCGAAGGCATGCAGGGCATAATCTCTGATTTAACTGCAAGAATCCACCATATTCCTGACCCTGGTTCCAATAAAACTTTATTTACAAATCAGACAGTCGGCCCGTGGGCGATAGTTTGCCAATTTGATTTTTAAAACCATCCCATTAAGATATTTTTTGGATTATTGAGTTTTTGGATGCCTCCTTAAATTTGTGCCTCACTTGCTTCACCCTAGTCCTAACCCAGCTGTCACTGACTGCCAGAGCCCTGATGGAGGAGCCCATGTTCTTACAAGGGTCTGCACCTGCTGTGGTTTGAATGTGTTCCCCGTATTTCATGTGTTGGAAACTGAATGCCCAACTTAGCAGTATTGAAAGATGGGGCCTTTAAGAGGTGATTGGATCCTAAGGCCTCTGCCCTCATGAATTGATTAATCCACGTGTGGACTAATAGATTAATGGGTTATTATGAGAGCAGGACTGGTGGCTTTATAAGAGGAAGAGAGACCTGAGCTAGCACACCCAGCCCCCTTGTCACATGATGCCATGTGCCGCCTCAGGTCTCTGTAGAGTCCCCACCTTCAAGAAGGCTGTGCCCCCACCAGATGTGCCCCCTCGACCTTGTATTCCTCCATAACAGTAAGAAATAAACTCCTTTTCTTTATAAATTACCCAGTTTTAAGTATTCTGTTAAAAGCAATAGAAAACAAATGAATGCAGCCTGAACCTCTTGGGGAACTAGGAGTCTTCCCTTGCGTCCTTTAATTCTAGGCACCGCAATTTCAATGGACTGTGCACTTTTCTGCCACCAGGGGTCGTAAGTTACTGTCATTCTTGGTGCGAACAGGTAAACCTCCCTTCACTTTCTCTCTTCTCTTCCTCCTCCCTCCTCCCTCCTTCCCCTCTTTCTTCCTCCCTTTCTTTTCTCCCCTTCTCCTTCCTCTACTTCCATCTTTTCTTCCCAAGTCCATGCCCCTCTCTCCCTCCCTCCTTTCCTTGAACGTGTTCATTTATTCACTCAACGCCACCTTAGCTGAGCACCTAAGTGTAGCAGGCACTGTGCTAATTATGCACCATGTAATGAGGGAGACGGACGTGAGGATGTCTAGTTCCTTCCAGTCTTAATGTTTTCATCCATTCTCTCTTCACTCACTCCTTCACTGGGTACTTAGTGAGCACATGGGCTGCGTCTGGCTCTTCTGAAGAAGCTGCAGGGATGACAAGGTCCAGCCGCGGCCTGGGAGGCCCTTGTCCTGGCCCCTTCCGTTCTTCCTTACTCAGCAGCCCAGGGGACCCTTTTAAAGCCAGAACATGCCACTTCTCTATTCACAAATGTGCTGGCTTCCCAGCCCATGTCTCCTTGTTTACCAGGTGCATGGCCTAGGATCCCCTCCTTGTACCTCTCTGAGCCTCAGTGTCCTCATCTGTAAAATGGACTCACAGTGGTGCTGCATGGTGGAGTTGCTGTGAGTATTGTCACTGGTCAGGATCCCCAGGAAGCAGACTCAGATACAGTTGAGCTGCCCTTGGGATCAACATCCACAGCATGGAGGACACAGGAGATGGCAGAGGACACAGGAGAGGGCAGAGTACACAGGAGCGGGCAGAGGGAGAACTGGAGCTGAGACCCAGCAGCAGCTTCAGTCAATTCTGCGGGAGCTCTGCAGTTGAAATGGCTCTTCAGAGATGTCACAAGATGGCCTGAGATGGCCAGGACTTTGCAGTCTCACATTATGCAGTCGTTGGGGGTGTCACGCCTGGAAGGGACACGAGCTCTGGCAAGGCCACTCTCTGCCTACTGTGAGTTGATCCCTGGAGGAGCTGACCACAGGAGCTGACTGCTGACCACTCTCCCTGCCTCTGGGGCAATAGGTGCTTCCTTAAGGGATCTGGGTCGCACATCCATGTCCACCACAAGCATCCATATAAGGAGGTACGTGGAGCAGTTGGAGCACTACCACAGTGCATGGCACATGGTGACAATGAGCAATATCATTATCGTGATGTCATTTAAGTGGCTACTATTTTTAGAGAACAGCAAACAGGTGATTATAATACAGCTCCATTTGTTCCCCTTATAAGCTAAGGGTAGACAAGACGCACTTTCCCACCTTGCCAGGCTGCCATTCCAAAGCTTCTGAATCAAAGGTCTGAGACTGGCCTGAGAATCTGCATTGCTAACAACTTCCCAGGTGATGCTGAGGCTGCTGTTCTGAAAACTCCTACCTGAAGGAAAATCAAAGTATGTCATCAGAAAAATAGGAAATGGATGCTGAGAGGGCAAGAAACAAAATACCATCTGCCATACCCATTTTACAGATGGGGGAGTAGAGGCTCAGAGGTGCTAAGCAACTTTCCCAGAGTCATCAGCCTGTAAATGGTAGAAATTGTGCCAGGCATTATTGCCTACCAAAAGTCACCCTCTTTTTTTTTTTTTTTGAGACAGAGTCTCACTCTGTCACTCAGGCTGGAGTGTAGTAGTGTGATTTCGGCTCATCACAACCTCCACCTCCCAGGTTCAAGCAATTCTCCCACCTCAGCCTCCCCAGTAGCTGGGATCACAGGTGCCCACCACCACGCCCAGCTAATTTTTGAATTTTTAGTGAAGACGGGGATATCACCATATTGGCCAAGCTGGTCTCAAAGTCCCGCCTCAAATGATCCACCTGCCTTGGCCTCCCAAAATGCTGGGATTACAGGCGTGAGCCCATCCCCCACCCCCTTTTTTTTTTTGAGACGGAGTCTCGCTCTGTCGCCCAGGCTAGAGTGCAGTGGCTTGATCTTGGCTCACTGCAAGCTTCACCTCCTGGGTTCACGCCATTCTCCTGCCTCAGCCTTTCAAGTAGCTGGGACTACAGGCGCCCGCCACCACGCCCGGCGAATTTTTGTATTTTTTAGTAGAGACGGGGTTTCACCGTGTTAGCCAGGATGGTCTCAATTTTTGTATTTGTTAGTAGAGACAGGATTTTGACATGTTGGCCAGGCTAGTCTCGAACTCCTGACCTCAAGTGATCTGCCTGCCTCGGCCTCCCAAAGTGCTGGGATTATAGGCATGAGCCATGGCACCCGGCCTACCCTTCTTATTCCTTTTGGACAGAATCCCAATTAGTCTAGATATTTTTAGGCGAAGATAGCTTCATCTCAGGAAAGGTCAGATCGGTTCCTGATTAGGAATGGGCATGTGTATTAGGCCTTTTGCATTGCTGTAAAGAAACACCTGAGGCTGGGTAATTTATAGGGAAAAGAGGCTTAATTGGCTTACAGTTCTGCAGGCTGTACAAGCATGGCTCCAGCATCTGCTTCTGGTGAGGGCCTCAGGAAGCTTCCGATCATGGTGGAAGGCAAAGGGGGAGCAGGCAGTGTCCCATGGTGAAAGCAGGAACAAGAGAGAGAAGGGGAGGAGCCGGGCTCCTTTAAACAACTGGCTGTCTTGTGAACTAACAGAGCCAGGGCTCACTCAGAGATTACCACAGAGAGGGCACCAAGCCATTCACGAGGGATCTGCCGCCATGATCCAGTACCTCCCACCAGCCCCACCTCCTACACTGGAGGTCACATTTCAACCTGAGATTTGGAGGGGACAAACCTCCAAACCGTGTCAGCATGTGACCCTTTTCTGGCCAATAAGATACAAGAGCAAATCTGGGAAGATTGCTTCTGTGGAAGATTTTGCTTCTCCTAGAAGGTGAGAAGATGTAAGAATTCTCTCCCTGCTCTGACACCAGCACATCCCCATCAACAATGTCTGCTTTTCAATGCAATGGCAATAACCGGAGGTTCAGCAGCAATCTGGAGGCCATGAGGCCACCCCTGATGGTAAAGAGTCAATGAGAGGAAGATGTTGAGGTAGAGGGATGGGCAGAGTGTGAGTCTGTTCTTAGTGACCTCAGACCTCACTTTCTGGACTTATTATATGCACAGGTAAACGTCTCCAAAGCTGAAGCTACCATAAATCAGATTTTCCATCACTTGAAGCCAAAAGCATTCCTAACCAACACAGATAGAGACCCCAGGCCGCCAAAGCCATACTTGTTCATAGCATCTTGCTGCCTTTTACTGTCAGGTTAGAGCCTCTCTATTTAGATCAAAGTGAAGGAGACAGACTAACTCCAGCCCCTTCTTACCAAGGCCTGGGAGGTGAGAACCCGGCACTGAGACCCAGCCTATTCAAGGCCTGGCCAAAGTCTGCCACCAACTCCTTCTGTGAGTTTGGGGAAAATTCTAGACTTCCCTGGGCCTCAGTTTCTCCACCTGTAAAGTGGAAGATTTGATCTAGGTCCAGTGGGTGGCTGTAACTGTAGGCAGTTTTCTTGGGTTCACATAATGTTTGCTTTTTAGTTGCCAATGTTAAACAATTTCATATGCCAATGTTAAACAATTTCAAACATACATATGGATTGTTTCATATGTAAAAATCTAGACATCTGGCTTCTCTGGAAACATCGTCAGGAGATCTTGCCACACGGGACCCTGTTCTAACACCTCTTCTTTTAGAGGGGCCTGTGCTTTCCAATTTGCCCCAGTCTCCACTGCTCCCTATTGCTCTTTGGCTCTGAGTCACTGTTTGTCATCACGCTGGTCCCGTTGTTCTTCTTACAGAGGTAAGAGGAGAGTGAGATATGTCTTACTCCTCTTGTTACTTGTCCCTGAGAGCATTGAATTTGCAACCTTTAGATAAGATGGCATGTATCTTCCCCAGGGCCTCACGGGCATCCCAAAACTCAACAGGTCCCAAAACAAACCCCTGGTTTCACCCATAGTCTCTGCCCCCATCACAAGTTTCCCATCTTAGTAAATGGCAGCCCCAGGAATCCAGAACTTCACCCCAAACCTGGGGGCTCTCTTTGACTCCTGTCTTTCACCAGCTCCCCTCGCCCCCATTCGATCCAGCAAAAGATCCTGCCAGCTTTACTTTCAAAATATAATTAAAAGGTTGGGAGCGTGGCTGCCCTTGGGGGAGGGGCAGTGATTTGGAGGGGGCTTCTGGGGACTTCTAGGGGGATGGACAAGTTCTATTTCTTGAGCTTGATGCTGGTTATGTGGGTGGATTGGGTTTGTAAAACTTCATGAAACTGCAGGCATGTTTATATGTGTACTTTTCAGTATTTATGTTGTACTTCAATAAAAAGCTGTGAGGCCAGGTGGTGGCTTGTGCTTGTAATGCCAGCACTTTGGAATGCCGAGGTGGGCGGATCACCTGAGGTCAGGAGTTCAAGTCCAGTCTGGCCAACATGGCGAAACCCTGTCTCTACTAAAAACACAAAAATTAGCCAGGCATGATGGTGGGCGCCTGTAATCCCAGCTACTTGGGAGGCTGAGACAGGAGAATCGCTTGAACCCAGGAGATGGGGGTTGCAGTGAGCCGAGATCGCCACTGCACTCCAGCCTGGACAGGGTGAGACTCTGTCTCAAAAAAAGAAAAGAAGCTGATGAATTTGGAACTACTCTCCGTTCCCCCTCCTGGCCACCCTGGCGTAGGCCATGTGATCTTTTGCCTGAACCCCTGCAGTTGCCTCTCATGGTTCTCCCCACTTCTGCCGTCGTCCCCACTGTTTCCACGCAGCCCAGGAATTCTATTAAATCTCAGTTCAGATCTGCCAGGCAAGGTGGTGCATGCCTGTAGTCCCAGCGACTGGGGAGGCTGAGGCGGGAAGGATCTCCTGGGCCCAGGAGTTCAAGGCTGCAGTGAGCTGTGATTGCACCACTGCACTCCAGCCTGGATGACACAGTTTAGTTTTAGTTAAAAACAAAATTAAACAAACTAAAGAAAAAGAAAAGAAAAGAAAAAAAGGGGCCGGGCGCAGTGGCTCGTGCCTGTAATCCTAACAATTTGGGAGGCTGAGGTGGGCGGATTGCCTGAGCTCAGGAGTTCGAGACCAGCCTGGGCAACACGGTGAAACCTTGTCTCTACTAAAAAAAAAAAAAAAAAAAAAAAGAGTTGAGAGAGTGGCTGCCCTTGGTGAAGGGGCAGTGATTTGGAGGGGGCTTCTGGGGACTTCTCGGGGGATGGACAAGTTCTATTTCTTGAGCTTGATGCTGGTTATGTGGGTGGATTGGGTTTGTAAAATTTCATGAAACTGCAGGCATGTTTATATGGGTACTTTTCAGTATTTATGTGGTACTTCAATAAAAAGCTGTGAGGCCAGGTGGTGGCTTGTGTCTGTAATGCCAGCACTTTGGAAGGCCGAGGTGGGTAGATCACCTGAGGTCAGGAGTTTAAGACCAGTCTGGCCAACATGGCGAAACCCTGTCTCTACTAAAAACACAAAAATTAGCCGGGCATGATGGCGGGTGCCTGTAATCTCAGCTACTTGGGAGGCTGAGATAGGAGAATCGCTTGAACCCAGGATGTGGAGGTTGCAGTGAGCCGAGATCGCCACTGCACTCCAGCCTGGACAGGGTGAGACTCTGTCTCAAAAAAAGAAAAGAAGCTGATGAATTTGGAACTACTCTCCGTTCCCCCTCCTGACCACCCTGGCGTAGGCCATGTGATCTTTTGCCTGAACCCCTGCAGTTGCCTCTCATGGTTCTCCCCACTTCTGCCGTCGTCCCCACTGTTTCCACACAGCCCAGGAATTCTATTAAATCTCAGTTCAGATCTGCCAGGCAAGGTGGTGCATGCCTGTAGTCCCAGCGACTGGGGAGGCTGAGGCGGGAAGGATCTCCTGGGCCCAGGAGTTCAAGGCTGCAGTGAGCTGTGATTGCACCACTGCACTCCAGCCTGGATGACACAGTTTAGTTTTAGTTAAAAACAAAATTAAACAAACTAAAAAAAAAAAAAGAAAGAAAGAAAAAAAAAGGGGCCGGGCATGGTTGCTCGTGCCTGTAATCCTAACACTTTGGGAGGCTGAGGTGGGCAGATTGCCTGAGCTCAGAAGTTCGAGACCAGCCTGAGCAACACGGTGAAACCTTGTCTCTACTGAAAAAAAAAAAAAAAAAAAGAAAAAAAATTAGCTGGGCGTGGCAGCATGCGCCTGTAGTCCCAGCTACTTGGGAGGCTGAGGCAGGAGAATTGCTTGAACCTGGGAGGCAGAGGTTGCAGTGAGATGAGATTGCGCCACTGCACTCTAGCCTGGGTGACAGAGTGAGACTCCATCTCCTAAAAACAAAAAAGAAAAGAAAAGAAAAAAAGGAAAACCACTCCACTTCCCCCCACCAACCCCAACACTCCCCATTCTGACCCCTCTGCTGTTCCTCTCCCCACTATTCCCCTGGGTCAGCCACACTGGGCTCCTTGCTGTTCTTCCAACATGCCAGCCTTGCGCACATCTCAGGGCCTTCATAGCAGCTGTTCCCTTTCCCTGAAACACTTTTCCCACTGATCGCCACATGGCTGCCTCCCTCATTTCCTTCAGGTCTCTACCAAATGCCACTTTGTCTGGGAAGCCCCCACAGCACCCTCATCCCAGCCCCATCGACTGCCCAGCTTCATTCCTGTCAAGCGCATCATGGCCCCCCACAGCCTCTGTATTCACTTGCTCATTTGTTTGCTGTCTGTGGCCCCCTCTAGAATTGGGGCTCTGGGCAGGGAGCTCTGTTTGGTTCACTGCTCTAGCCCTAATTTCTACCATGGTGCCTGGGATTTAGTAGGTGCTCCTTAGGTATTTTGAATTGAATTGAATTCTCTCTTCCAAACCTAGCCTGCCTGTTGGAAAGAAAATCAAGGATCCATGTGAGCCTTCCTCTGATTCCTTCCACTCCTCCAAACAAACACACACACACACACACACACACACACACACGCGCGCGCGCGCGCGCACTCCCCACCTACCCACTGTCTCCCCTGCTGGAGGCAAAACAGAGTATAGTCCTGGCCTGAGGTTTGGAACAAAAAACAGAACACTGGGGGTCTGCTGCCGATCAAAGGCCTCTCCGTGTTTGTAAACCTTGACTCTCTGCCTGGGATGGAGGAGGCCAGGGGATGGCCCAGAACCCAGGGTTAGTCAACGATCCAGGCCAGGAAGGCCCAGGCCTGCCCCCTTCCCCATAGTGAGGAAAGGCCCCACAAGGCCAAACTGTTTGACTTCCCCCTCCAGGGGAAAGAAGGGGGAACTAATCCCCCCTCCAGTCTGAGGGCTCTCTGCTGGGACCTGCATCAAAGCCAATATTGTTCTTGGAGCTGCAGAGACCTCAAACAAAATGTCACACTGAGAGATGTTGACGGGGTATGGGGGTCAGGGTGCGGAGGTGGAGGGGAGGGGAACCGAAAGTCCCTTCTGTGGAGGGAAGAATGGAATTTGGTGCCAAGATTCCCCTCATACTCTCTCCCACTGCCTACCTTATTTTTCTTCATAGCACTAAGTTCCACGTGACATGCTGTGTATTTCACACATGTATCTTATCACAGAGCTACTAAAATGAAAACTCTGTGAGAGCAAAACTGGTGTCTGATTTGATCACTGTTGTATCCCCAGCACCCAGAATGATGCCTGGTATACAATAGGTGCTCAATTAATCCTTGCTGAATGAACAATAGTCATGATTTTGACTGATATTCCTAACAGTAAGACCCAATGATGTAGAGCGTGTTTCATCCTTCAATATTTATTGCTCCTCTCCATGTTCCAGGCACTGGGAGTGTGGCAGGGGGCAATTGGGACTCCCTTGTTCCCCTGGAGTTTAACCTAGTGGTAAACACTTTCAGACGACGAATCATGCTATTTGGGGATTTTGTACAGGGTGAGTGACGTGAACTTGAGGAAGGCTGCGTTTCCTTAGATCAGGAGGTCGGGGGTGGGGACCCTCTGAGGAGGTGACATTTGAGCTGAGGACTGAGTGAGTAGAAGGAACCAGTCATGGTGATGGTGGCGGGAGCTTGGGGAGGGTGCACAGGGAGATCCAGGCAGACTGAGCATTTGTAAAAGCAGAGAACTTGCTATGCTCAAGGAGCAGAAAGAAGGCTGCAAAGAGGACAGCCCCCAGCAATGGAAGGGAATGGGGGAAGGGTTGAAGGACCAGGCAGGACCTGATCGTTCATGTAAATGCCTAGCACTGTGCTTGGCACACAGCAAGCCTCCATAACTGGGCTGATGACCATAGTTAATATATTTATTCATACCTCACATAGCGTGTTATTTCCCAATTAGAAATCATACTTCCCTGTAATTAGGGGTTGATAGGTACCTGGTCCTGTGCTAAACGAATAAATGGGAACAGCCCTTAGAACAGCACCTGGCTTTTCATTCTCTGAGACTTATCATAAACCTATGATGTAGTTGTTTTTATTATCTACATTTTCCACAAGGCCATGGAGGCTCAGAGGGGTGATATGAGCCCACCAGGTGCACAGTTTCAGTGTTAAACATCTGCTGCTTGACAAACTATCCCCCAAACTTAAACAATAATCATGCAATAATACATCATGATTTTGTGGGGCAAGAATTAGAGTGGGGCTCAGCTGGGTGATTCTTCTGTTCTCCGTGGCATCGAGGAATGCACTCAGGGTCACTCAGCCATTCAGATGAACTCATCTGGGGGGCCTAAGACAGCTTCATTCATGTGTCTTGTGCCTTGATAGGGCTGGCTGGAAGTCTGGGCTCAGCTGTCAACCAGAGCAGATACTCATGGCCTCTCCAGCATGACAGCCTCAGGGCAGTAGTCCAGGTCTCCAAGGACAAGTGTTCTAGAAATCAGGCAGAAGCTGTGTGGCCTTATTCATGCCCTGGAAGCCGTATCGGGTCACTTCCACGGTAAGCTGTTGGTCAAAGCAGTCAGAAGCTCACCTAGGTTCATCAGGAGGGGGAATAGGCCCTGCCTCCCAGTGGAAAGGGTGTCACAGGATTTGTGGCTATGTTTTATAACCACATATGGACTGGCATTTGAACTGCCTACCCCACTAGATGGGAAGCCGCATGAAGGAGGGATGCTGCCTGCCTCATTTCATGTCAGATCCCCAGTGTTCAGCACAGTGCCTGGCACAGGTTTGAATTCAGTAAATGTTTGCTGAATGAATAAATGAATAGATGATTCCAAAATCCATACTCCTGTTGCCATGGGCTCAGCAGAGCTTGGGTATGAATGACTACTGCTCGGTGCAGCACCAGGAACCCCAGGAATGCTGATAGCCCAGCCTTCTGGTGAGGGTTACCAAATGTTGGGATTTGCACATCAATTCAATTCAACCCATCTCATATTTATTTCCCACTCATGTGCCAGGCAGTAGAGAGGCAGCTGTGTCTGAGCAGGCATGGCCTCTGCCTATGGGAAGCTCAAAGCCACGCTTTCCTTCTCTTCACATGAGTTGGCTTGAAGTCTGGTGGAAGGACCCCTGGACTGGGAACTGGCCATAATTCAGACCCTGACTCTCTGGATGGTATTGGAACAGACACTGTGACCCTCTGTTTGTTGACCTGTTTAGTGGGACAGGTGTATCAGATTGGATGACTATGAAAAAGCCCCTCTAGCTAGTGGGAGTCATAGACATGTGCAGCTCAGATTCCCCTTCAAACTGGGACTTGCTGCCCAGCCATTATTAGCTCTTTTGGGGACTGCCTCAGTTTTCAAGTAGAAGTAATGCTCTTCTCAGGGAGGCCCTCAGCTCAGAGACTGGTTGAGTCAGATGCCGGTACAAGTATCTACCCACCTGGTGCAAGACTCCTCCAATGGGTGAGCTTTGCTCTGGGCTCTCCATTGTGCTGGCAGAGACTTTGTCTTGCCTGAATGCTGCCTGGTGGCTCCCTCTGCCCAATCCTGCTTCTCCCTGTTCCTTTTCCTTTTCACAGGTGTTATTCCCAATAAATCTTATGCATTCCTAACCCCCTGTTTCCTAGAGAACCCACACTGTGATTTGGTTCTACATATGAACTCTGTCTTATTTATCTTTTTTTTTTAATGAGGATTACAGACATATACTCTAACATTCAAAGGGTTGAAAAACACTGTGTTGTAGGCTGGGTTTTCAAGGACTTGGAGACGAGTGTGCAGGAAATTTATTAGGACATGCCTTTGGGATCCACCCCCATGGAAGGGAAGGGAAGGAAACAAATATAGGGTGAAGGGAGATGTTGAGCAGAAATGCAACCTTCACAGAGGACTTGACCAATTGCATGAGTGCTCTGAAGGGGGATGGCCCCTCAAAGTTGTCCCAAATTGGGGTGAGGAGGCTGGGAACTTGTATTCCCGCTTCAGTCACTAACTGGATGTCAGCCACTCTGGGAAGGAAACATGACCTTGGCTAAAGTGGCACTGTTTGCTGAGGCAATTATCAAATGGGCTCATAGCCAAGGATTGACTACTGGAAGCATTCCAAGCAGATAAAGATTTTTGTTCCTAAAGGGGCACTGGGCAGTGCATTCCAACATTCATAGCAGAGTATGATGTGCAAATAAGTCTTCCGCTTGCTCATGTCCCCAACATAACTTTAGTCACACATAACTGAAAACATAGACACATAAGGCTCAACATATTAGGTTTTCTGCTGCCTTGTAAATAAAGTACAGAGGTGGTTCCATGAATTCATGAAGGATCCCAACTCCCATCTTTCTGCTTTTCCATCCTTAGTGTGTACCTTTCATTTTCAAGGTTGGTTCATGTTGGTTTCTGTATTAAATCACCTCACAAGTTGCAACAACATTATTTTGTTATTTCTCATAATTCCATGATTGACTGGGCTCAGTTGGGTGGTTCTTCTGCTCCACATGGTGCAGCTGAGATCACTTAGGGGGCTGCATTTAGTGGGAGCTCTGCTGGGGCTGAGACATCCAAAATAGCTTCCTGTCTTTCAGGGCCCCTCTCTATGGAGTCTTTCATCATTTAGTAGTCTAGTCCATGCTTCTTTATGGTGTGACATTGGCTGCCAAGAGGGAGTGTTTAAAGAAGACAAGCCCTAATGTGCAAGTGGTTATTAAGTCTTTGTTTGCATCACATTTGCTGATGTCCCATTGGCCAAAGCAAGTTACATGGCCAAGCCCAGAGTCAGTGTGGGAGGGGACTACACAAGGGTGTGAATACCAGGAGGCATGGGTCTGTGGAGGCCACCAATACATCCCTTACACTTCCTGATCAACGATGGCTGCTGGAGCTCAAGCCATGAGTCAGGAAGGAAAAAGGGAGAGGAAAGAAAAAAGGGTATGCTCCTTTAAAGACACGGTCCTAAATGTCCCACATAACAACTTCTACTCACTTCCCATTGGCCAGATCTTAATCCTATAGATACACCAACTGTAGGGAAGCCTGAGAATTGTTTTTAAAGCTGCTCATGTATTCCAGGGAAGTGGCACTAAGGTCCAAAGGAAGCTACATATGGGTGGTCCCTGCTACACCAGCCTCCCAAGCCTCCCAGTGCACCTTCTAGGAGACAAGCAAGGTAATCAATTTTTTATTTATCCTTCTGCATTGTTAAGTATGCATGTATTTTTTTTCTTTCTTTACACACTGGCCAGCATGAAGTTTTATATGGATTTCTATACAGATACTTCTTAACTTACGATGATGTTACCCCTCAATAAACCCATTGTAAGTTGAAAATATCCTAAGTTAAAAGGCACTTAATACTCTCAATAAATCCATTGTAAAGTTGAAAAATTCTAAGTCTAACCATCAAAAATCAGGAAATGTCTGTATAATGGTCTTAGCACAGTGCTTGGACAACAATTTTATAAATTGTAGGCATTGCCCCTCAAAAATGGTATTTATTATTTATACAAATAGTAGTACAATAAAATTATGAGTACCTTGAGTCACATTCTCTAATTTGCCTTGGGTGCCAGTGGTCAGACCCACCCAGCTCATGTGGTCTCTTGCCAATAGCTCCCATCAACCTGAGGTTTTTC
This sequence comes from Homo sapiens, assembly GCF_000001405.40. Classification (NCBI taxonomy): domain Eukaryota; kingdom Metazoa; phylum Chordata; class Mammalia; order Primates; family Hominidae; genus Homo; species Homo sapiens. Next base: position 46,669,576 of record NC_000020.11, on the reverse strand, counting down.
TAACTTTGCCCTAAGGTGAGCATGATGGCAGGCTTGGGAACAGTCTAGTTGAGGGTTAGCAACACAGACTTTGGAGTCAGAAGACACATCTCTGAGTTTTAGTCTCTTCCTCTGTAATGAAGGTAATCACACCCATCTGGAAGGGTGGTTGTAAAAATAAAATGAGAAAAGCTGAGGAAGCACTTAGCATAGTGTGTGGGGCATAGTAAGTGCTCAGTCAATGGTATGGGATGCCTTGATGAAAGGACTCGACCTGTCTCTCTGACAGTCTTTAAAAGAAGTTAAGCAGGGCGGGGGGTCCACGAGGGGGGTGGAACACAAGATTTCTCCTTTAGCTGAAGTGTGTCTCTGGATTTCAGGTCATGTGTTATATTCCTTCACTCAACACATATAATAACTTCTTGATCTTCTGATGACTCCAACAAGAAAAAGAGTTCAGTATTTGTGTGGGGATATGGGAGTAGCAGTGTGTATCATTGGGATTTCAGCTCTATTTCAGCTGTGTGACCTGGGACAAATGTCTTAATCCCTCTGAGTCTCAGTTTCCTTATCTGTCCAATGAACATACCTAGTAAGGAATGAAAATTAATGTTGGTCAAGCCATCCATTGACTGTGGAAGTTCTTTAAGAATTCCCTTCCACAGTCTACTGAACAGTATATCTCAACAATAGGCTTAAAATATTCAGTAAAACATGCTGTAAACAGATGTACTGTCATCTAGACTTTGTTGCTCCATTTATAGCGCATAAGCAGCTTAGATTTAGCATAATTCTTGTGGGCCTTCAGATTTTCAGAATGGCAAATGAGCAGAACTTCAACTTAGAGTTACCAGCTGCATTATGCCCTAACCAGAGGTCAACTTGATGGCATCTTCTTCCAAAAGAAGAGTATTTCATCTATGTTGAAAATCTGTTGTTCAGTGTAGTCATCTTCATCAATGACCTTAGCTTGATCTTCTGGTTAACTTGGTGTAGCTTCTACATCATCACTTGCTGTTTCACTTGCACTTTTATGTTATGCAGATGGCTTCTTTCCTTAAACTCATGAACTCAGCTAACTTCAAACTTTTCTTCTGCAGCTTCCTCACCTCTCTCAGTCTTCACAGAATTAATGAGAGTTAGGGTCTTGCTCTGGATTAGGCTTTGGCTTGGGAATGTTGTGGCTGGTTTGATCTTCTATGTTAGACTACTAAAACTTTCTCCCTATCAGGAATAAGGCTGTTTTGCTTTCTTATCATCCATGTGTTCATTGGAGTAGCACTTTTAATTTCCTTCCAGAACTTTTCCTTTACACTCACAAGTTGGCTAACTGTTTGGCACAAGAGGCCTAGTTTTTGGCCTGTGTTGGCTTTCGACGTGCCTTCCTCACTAAGTGTAACCATTTCTAGCTTTTGATTTTAAAGTGAGAGATGTATGACTCTTTCTTTCACTTGAATACTTTGAGGCCATTGAAGGATTATTAGTTGGACTAATTTCAATAGTATTGTATCTCAGGGAATAGGGAGGCCTGAGGAGAGGGAGAGAGATTGGGGAATAGCCAGTCAGTGGAGCAATCAGAATACACACAATATTTATCCACTAAATTTGCCGTCTTATATGGGCACAGTTCATGGCACCTCAAAACAATTACAATAGTAACTTCAAAGATCACTGATCACAGATCAGCATAACAGATATAATCATAAAAAAAGTTTGAAATTGTGCAAGATTACCAAAATGTGACCTAGAAACATGAAGTGAGCACATGCTGTTGGAAAAATGATGCCAAGAGAATTGCTCACTGTAGGGTTGTCACAAAAATGCAATATCTGTAAAACACAATGAGACAAGATATGCCTGTACACATTATAGTTCTCGTTTCAGATGAGGAAACTCAGTTTGAGTGAAACCTCCTGCCCAGCAACGAGCAAGTGGCCCAGCCAGAATTTGAATGTAGCTTTGTCTAATGCATGGGTGATAGACTCACACAAGTAATGCATGGATTTTATAAGGATGGAATGAGTTAAGACAGGTAAAGTACTGAAAACGGAGCCTGGCAAATAGTAAGGTGTGGTATATGGGCTTGCTAATATTAATATTGTTATGATGATGGCTACATTTGGGCCACCAGATTGAAACCTCTGCTCTAATGCTAAATATTGTACTCTTAATCTCTTAGCTGGTTCTGGAACAGGGAATCCAACCCAGGCCCACCGGTAAAATATGCCCTGGTCCCAGCTGCCTCCACTCAGACTTTGGGGCATGGACCAGAGTTCCTTTGATGTCAATGAATCCAATTCTCTAGAAATACCTTTTCCAGTTTGGAGTACCCCATCCTCCCATGCCCAGACCTTGAAGGTCCAAAGTGCTCCCTGGAGGGCCTTTGTCCCTCCATACACTGTTGTCTGGAGCCTTTGATGAAGCCGGTTATTGGGCTGGCTCAGGATCAAGTCCCAACCTGAAAGGTCATGGGAGACAGTTTCATCATAGCTTGGAATGGGTCCGTTGGGAAATAACTTGCCCTCGGTGTTTATAGGAACAGCATCAGCATGATCTGGATAGGAAGTGAGTGCCACACCCCTTCCTGGGTCTTTCTCTTGCTATCTCGTAGTCTCCCAAATTTCAGATTTTGGCCTCAAATTTTTGGAATTTTGCCATTGTCACGTACTCCCTGCACTCCAAGTTACTTGGCATTTTTCTTTGAGTTGCTTTACATTGTAAACTTAAATAGATATAAGTTAAACAGAGAGCTTTCTAAAAAAGTCATAGGCTTTAATAAAAAAATGAAAATCACAGCCAGGTGTGATGGCTCATGCCTGTAATCCCAACGCTTTGAGAGGCCGAGGCAGGAGGGTCGCTTGAGCCCAGGAGTTCGAGACCAGCCTGGGCAACATAGCAAGACTCTATCTCTACAAAAAATTTAAAAATTAGCCAGGCATGGTGGTGTGCGCCTGTAGTTACAGCTACTCAGGATGCTGAAGTGGGAGGATTGCTTAAGCCAGGGAAGTCAAGGCTGCAGTGAGCCGTGATCACACGACTGCACTCCAGCCTGGGTAACAGAGTGAGACCCTGTCTCAAAGCAACAACAACAACAACAACAACAACAACAACAACAACAACAACAAAGCAACAAAACCAAAACCAAAACAAAAAATCACTCTCTTTCAGTCAAAAGTAGTTATAAGAATAAATAAAATAAAAATAAAACAATATTGCCTGGCTCAGCAAGAGCCCAATGTTTCTGACTCCAAACCCTTTTCTGTCTGTTACAAAGGAAGATTTATAGGTGATGAGGTCTTAAAGGGATACTGACACCCAACTGAGACTCTCTCCACGGTATAATGAGGAGTTGAAGAAAAGTGACACAGGATAACTTTCACTTTCTGTGACTCAATGTTATTTAAATGCCTGACATAAAATTATCTGTGTTTCCTCACTAGTATTCCTCTCACACTTTGAGAAATATTCCACCATCTCACATTTGATCCCAGTACCAGTTCCTCTCTCTCATAGCCTCATCAGAGTTTCAGCAAGACCTACCAGCTCTGCTGGCAAAGTATATCCAGAATTGAATCCTTTCCTACCACCTCTGCTGTTACTACTCTGGTCCAAGCCACCATTGTCTTAGCCTGAGTTATCTTTGAAATAAAAAGCACACGCAGTAGGATGGCTATCATAAAAAAGGTAAATAATAGCAAGTGCTGGGAAGATGTAGAGAAACTGGAACCCGCATACACTGCTGGTGGGATTGTGAAATAGTGCAGACACCTTGGAAAACAGTTGGGCAGTTCCTCAAAAGGTTAGACATAGAGTTACCATATGACCCAGAAATTCCACTCCTAGGTATGTACCTAAGAGAAATATAAACATGTCCAAAAACTTGTACACTAAAGGTCAAGGCAGCATTATTCATAATAGCCAGAAAGTTCAAACGGTCCAAATGTGTATTAACTGATGATTGAATAATAAAGTAGGATACACCCATACAATGAAATATTATTCAGCAATAAAAAGAAATGTAGTACCAATGCGTGCTGTGACAGAGATGAATCTTGAAAGCATTATGTTAAGTCAGAGAAGCCAGACACAAAAGGACCACATATTATATGATTCCATTTATATGAAATGTCCAGAGTAGGCAAATCTATACAGACAGAAAGTATCTTAGTAGTTGCCTGGGACTGGGGAGGTTGTGGGGAGATAGGGAGTGACTGTTAGTGGGCATGAGATTTCCCTTTGGGGTGATGAAAATGTGTTAAATTGATTGTAGTGATGGTTGCATTGTGAGTGTCCTGAAAAATCATTACATTACACATACTTTTTTTTTTTTTTGAGACAGTGTCTCATTCTATTGCCCAGGCTGGAGTGCAGTGATGCAAACACCACTCTCTGAAGCCTTGACATCCTGGGCTCAAGTGATCCTCCTGTCTTAGCCTACCAAGTAGCTGGGACTACAGGCACACACCACCATGCTTGGCTAATTGACATATTCACTTTTAAACAGGTGAATTATATGCTATATGAACTATATCTCAGTAACACTGACTTAAAAAAAAAATGAAAGCAGAATATGCCACTCTGCTTAAATCTCTACAATGGCTGCCCTTGTCACTGAGTGTGAAAATCCCTACTTGGGCTTTCAGGATCCTACTTTGAGTCCTTGCTGGCTGGCTGTGACCTTGTCTCTGCACTCCAGTTCCTTGATGATGCTAAGACCTGTCATGTTGCCTGCTGCCTCAAAGCCATTGCGTTTGACTTCTCTTTCTTCCTGGAATGCTTCCTTTGTATACCCAGAAGTTCATGTGTTCACTTTCTTTAGGTCTTGGTTTAACTTAGGGTCCTCTTCATGGACAGCTTCCCTGACCACCTTATCTACAACAGCACCTCCAAAGCACCACTCTCAACTTCCCTTTGCTGCTTCCTTGTGTTTTCTTCCCAGATTTGTCATATTTTCATCTTTTGATTATAATACATTTTACTCATTTATTTATTATTTGCACCTGCCATCATTTAAGTTCCATGAGGTCAGGGATTTTAATTTTTTAGTCTTATTCATTAGTGTATATACAGCCTGGTATATGGTTGCCATATAGCAAATATTGAGTAAAACACATGGTGAAAGGTATGTCTGATTAATCCCAAGTTTGCTAATGAGCAAAACCAAGTCTGGTAGGTATTCAAATATTATTAATAGTTAAGTAAACATTGACAAGGCATCTAACATAGACCAATGCCCAGGCCCCAAAGCTGTTGGGTGTCAAGATTCTGTACTAACTCAGGAGGGTCGCTTCAGCCTTTAGACGTGATGTGATAAAAAGCCAGTTCACATTTCCCAGGTTTCACCAGAATCTGGCAAAGGATGAATTAGATTTTTAGGGACAGTGGTTCTCAATCCAAGCTACCCTTTAGAATCTGCTTGGAGCTTAAAAAAAATCCTGATGCCCAAGCCACACCCTAGACAATGAAATCAGACTCTGAGGATGGAGCATCAGCACTTTTAATGCTCCTCAGGTGATTCCAATGTGCAGCCGGGGTTGAGAACCACATGCTAGAAGTTTAAAGAAGTGCATGTAGCACCCTTGTTATCTGAGGGGAATGAGTGTTGGGAAACAGCCTCTTGAGTGAATACACTCACATTGTCGACAACTCCTTTAATATTACTACTTTCAGGGATTTGGTGCATGAAGGATACTCACTGCTACTTTGTTCAATGCTCAGTATTAAAGTCATATTGCCCAGATCTAATAAACACCTATACTAGAGTTATTACAGTGTAGTGGTTGGTTACGCATGTGGACTCTGCAGTGAAATTGCTTGGGTTTGAATCCCCACTCAGTAGCTGTGTGTCCTTGGATAAGTTACTCAATTTCCCTGTACCTCAGTTTCCTCCTCTGCAAAATGGGAATATAATAGAACCTATTTCATAGGGTTATTTAAATGTTCAATGAATTAAATCATGTAAAGCTCTTAGAATAGGACCTGAACTGGAGTAAACACGTAGTGAGTGTGGCCATTATTATTCACGAATAAATAAGCTGGAAAGCCAACATTCCTTGCATTTGACATAGATCACAAACTTGATTAAATTCCCTTGAACAATATAAACTGCAATTACAAATCTTGGTAAAGCCCCCCAACTTTTTTTTTTTTTTTGAAACAGGGTCTCGATCTGTCACCCAGGCTGGAGTGTAGTGGCACAATTATAGCTCATTGTACCCTTCGCCTCCTGGGCTTAATCAATCCTCCCACTTCAGCCTCTCGAGTAGCTGAGACTACAGGCGTGCACCACCATGGCCTGCTAATTTTGTAATTTTTTTGTAGAGACAGGGTCTCACTATGTTGCCCAGGCTGATCTCAAACTCCTGAGCTCAAACGGTCCTCCTGCCTCAGTCTCCCAGAGTGCTGAAATTACAGGTGTGAGCCACTGCACCCAGCTAGGGTGATTCTTTTTTATTTTATTTTATTTATTTTAAAACAGCGATGATATCTCACTATGTTGCCCAGGCTGATATCAAACTTCTGGTCTCAAGCAATCCTACCTCGGCCTCCCAAAGTGCTGGGATTACAGGTGTGACACACCATGCCCAGCCCCCAAGCAGATTATTTCAAATGGTTCAAGCATATTAAACAGCAGACCAAATATACACAAATTCATTGCTGATAAGACTTATAAATTCATATCTTCACACCAAGGTCAGTTACAAAAGTGCTGAACTCATATAATTTACTTTGTTTCTTATTTATATTTTCAGAACTTTGCAAGGTTCTAATTTTTACCCCTTCCTAGATACAACAACAAAGAAAAAATTCTTCATGAGCATTTGGTAATCTCACCCAATTCAAAAGCAAAAGAGTGCTGTCTCAAACATGCCATGCCTATAGGAGCTGAGTTACCAACTGGCTGACTTCTCATCAGAACATTTTGGATCTTGTTGTATATTTCAAGATGATTCAGGTTCATCTTGAATGATCCAGAGTGTTTGAGCAGTGTGCTTAGTTCCTTTTTGTAATATAACCTTTCCCTGCTATAGCAGGTGCTTACTTCCTTTTTGTAATATCGTTTTCGTCTGCTATATCGGGTACCCATAAGTCTCTGTATTCTACTTGGAGTTTAATCTTGAAAGACTTGAGTTTTTCCCCCAAATGAAATATTCTTTGACTTTCACATGGTAGGCAGGAATGACCCAATGGTCCTGGTATTTTGATAGACTACAACAATGTCTGATGGCATTATTAGAAACATGTTTTTGTTATTATTTTTTTGGAAAGAGTTCCACTTCTGGTTCTAGTATAGGAAATGATAAGAGACTGTTGCTCCCACTCTAACACCACCCCATCAAAATAGGCTTTATTAGCTATAAAATCATAGTTTTAAAAACTTCATGGAAAGCTGAGGACACAAAGAAACCTAAAGGAGCTAACCTCCAGGAGGAAATGCCAAGATCATAATGGGGGAGAAGAGACTCATAGCTGCTCCAAATCCTAACACAACTGCTGGAGAAAGAGGAGACTGCCATGGATGGGCAGGAAGAAACCAGCTAAATTTTCAATAACATGAGAGCTTCTGTGTAGCTTATAATGGAGATAAACTCTACTCACTGAATAGGTCTGAATCTGCCCACCAAGTCTTACCATGGGATTTATCAAGTGCGGGATATTACACCAAAACAGGTGATAAAAGGAGGGATAAGAAGGATTCCCCTGAAAGCAAGGGGCCTCTCTTAAGTATAAGACACTCTCAAAAGTAGGCACAGGGGAACAGGTCAGGAGAACAGACAGAAAACCTGAGGTAGAAGAATTGAGAGATTCCCTCCCCTCCCAGGCATGCCTGGCTTTTGACTATCAGAAGCTTATAGTGAAAAGACACCCCTACCAGTCATTCCAGACCTTCAAAATGTGTAGAACCATAGCCCTCCAAAGGCCAGATGAACAACAACTAGGCTGAAAAAATCCTCCCAGGTGCAGGAAATGGGGGGCAGGATTTGAGAACAAAGAGAACTCACCAATGACCAAAAAGCCCCATGGCAACTTGGCTCTACACAAGAGAGAGAACTCCCAACATTCCCAAACTGGGTAACTCTTCTGGGAAGCAAAGGCAGATTCCTAAAATCTCACCAGTGCTCCGGTCTCAGATCTGCTGAAGGAAAAGTTCTAAATCTACCCTCAAAACATTTGGAGCCAGTGATGAACTGAAACAATCTAAAACTGCACCAAAGCTGAAATCCAGTTCAACCACAGGTAAGACTGGTTAACTCCATACTACGGGTAAAACCGATTAACTCCATACTGCAGGTAAGACTGGTTAATTCCATACTCTATCGGTTTTACAGGAAAAGGGGAGTACCCCCTTCTGGAGGTAAATATTATTTACTTCATTCTCTACTGTTCTTTCTTACAAAAATGTCAACAATGCGTTCAAAGATTAGCAACCACACAGACAATAATAAAATGTGACAGTCATTAAAGAAAAGTATTAATAGAAGCAGATTCAGATTTGGCCTAGATTCTGGAATTCCCAGAGACTTAAAAAATCTACAACAAAATTCTAAAAATGAAAGAATCTAAAGAACAACATGCATAAACAAATGGAAAACTTCAGCAGAGACCTGGAAACTATTAAAAGAACTAGTGAAAATTATAGAGATGAAAAATACTACATCAGAAATGAAGACTTAGATCTATAAGAGACTGGGCACAACAAAGACAGGAATCACTAAAGACAGGTAATAGAAAATGCCTGTTTGAAACACGTAGAGAAGGAAAAGTGAAAAAAATAAAGAACAAAGAGTCTGAAATTTGTAAGATGATACCAAATGCTCTAACATAAATGTTACTGGAATTCTAGAAGGAAAGGAGAGAGAGAATGGGGCAAAAGAGGTATTTGAAGAGATAATGACGGGAAATATACCAAAATTGATGAAAGACATCAATGCACAGATCCAAGCAGCTCAGCAAACTCCGAGTAAATAAATATAAGGGAAACACTACACCTAAACGTTTCAGTCAAACTGCTGAAAAGTGAAAGATAAAGAGATCTTACAAGTAGCCAGAATAAAAATGGGGCATTACTTACAGGGGAACAATGATATGAATGGTGGCTAATTTCTTACCAGACATTACTTACAGGGGATCAATGATATGAATGGTGGCTAATCTCTTACCAGAAACAATAGAAACTTGAACACAATGGAATGAGATCTTTAAGTACTAAAGGAAAAAAAATTGTCAATCTAGACTTCTATATCTGGTGAAAGTAACTTCAAAAACAAAAGCAAAAATAAAGATACTTTCAGATAAACAGAAGCTGAGAGAATTTCCTTTCAACAAGCCAGCACTATAAGAAATGGTAAAAGAAATGCTAGCACCTGAAAGAGAAATGATCCTGGATCTGCAGGAAGAAGTGAAGAGATAGGGTAAATATTTGGGAAAATATGAAATACTTTTTAAAGTACATTTATCTTTTATTTATATAATTTATACATGTCTTTTAAAGACTATTGATTGTTTATAAAATTAAAACAATATGTTGTGTAATTCAAACAGTGGTGTTCTGGTAAATGTTTAACAATTGGCTGCTGGAAGAAAAGCCCTTATTTATAGAATTTTATTAATTTCATGGTGTAAATATTCTTGCTATGGGTGATTTCATGCTACCATCAGTTCTACAGCTGGCTCACAAATTTTCTGAAAGAGTAACAGTCATTTCTCATAAGCTAGCATGAGTTATCTTCAGCACATACTTGGGTTTATAGAATACACAAATTTAAAAAGACAATAAAAGTACAAAGGAAGAGAAGAGGGTGGTAAATGGAATTTTTTTACATTATTTCCATTATTGTAAGGCTTTCTTTCTTTGTTTTTTCTTTTTTTTTTTGGGGGGGGGGGATAGGGTCTCACTCTGTCACCCAGGCTGGAGTGCAGTACTGTGATCTCAGCTCACTGCAACCTCCACCTCCCCGGGCTCGAGCTATCCTCCCACCTCAGCCTCCCCGGTAGCTGGGACTACAGATGCCTGCAACTACGCTCAGCTAATTTTTGTATTTTTTGTAGAGATGAGGTTTCACCATGTTGGCCAGGCTGGTCTCAAACTCCTGAACTCAAGCAACACCCTCCTCAGCCTCCCAGATTGCTGGGATTACAAGCATGAGCAACCATACTTGGCCACCATTATTGTAAGGCTCTTATATTGTTCCTAAAATAATATATCATTGTGCAAAGGTAGACTGTGATAAAGATGCATATCATAATCTCTAGAGAAACCACTAAAATAATAAAACAGAAAAAAGCTAAAAAATTAATAGAGGAAATAAAATGCACCAAAATATAATCAGTTGATACAAAAGAAAGCAAGAGAGGAGGAAGAGAGGAACAAAGAACAAATAAGATAAATAGAAAACTAATAGCAAAATAAGACACTTAAATCCAACCAGATAAATAATTATATTAGATGTAAATTGATTAGACATTCCAATTAAAATATCAGAGAATGTTAGACTAGATAAAAAAGCAGAGTTCATCAATACACTGTATAGAATAAACACATTGTACATATAGAAACAGGTTGACAGTTTAAAAAAAGTGGAAAAGATATACAATACAAACTTTGAGCATAAGAAAACTATTGTGGCTATTTAAATATCAGATAAAGTGGACTTCAACACAAAGGGCATCTATGGTGATAAAGAGAGAGATTTTAGAATGATAGAAAGGTGAATCCACCAATAAAGACATAACAATCTTAAGTGTGTTCACATTTAATAACAGAGCTTCAAAATCTATGAAGTGAAAATTGACAGAACTAAAGTGAGAAATAGACAAATCCATAATTGAATTGGAGACTTTAAGAATCTAAATTTGAAGAACACGATCAGCCAACTTGATCCAATGAATATTTTTTATCGCTAAATATACTCAATCACTTTTAAAAAACAATTTATTTAAAAAATTAGAGACAGGATCTCACCGTGTTGCCCAGGCTGGTCTCGAACTCCTGGGCTCAAGCAGTCCTCCTGCCTTGGCCTCCCAAAGTGCTGGGATTACAGGTGTGAGCCACCACACCTGACCTCAATGCACTTCTGTTCTGGCTTTATTGAGGTATAACTATATATAATAAAATTCACCTATTTTAAATGATCAGTTTGATGGAATTTAATAATTATATACAACTGTATTACCACCACCACAGTCAGCAGAACACATCTATCACCCTATACATTTCCTCATGCTGTTTCCAGTTGATCCTGTCTTTTGACCCCCATTGCTTGGCAATCACTATATGGTTTCTATAATTGAAGTTTGCCTCTTTTAACTCTTCATATAGATATAATTATGCAGAATGTAGTTTTTTTTATGTTCAGCTTCTTTCATATAGCATAATGGGTTTTTTTTTGATATTTATTTAGAGTGTTGCATGTATCAGTATTCCAAAGTAACTACCACCCAGCAGCAACAAGGACACCACCCTCCCGCAGTGTCAATGGAAGCCACATGGGGAGCAAAGACAAGGCACTCCTACTCCTCTAGCCAGGGAGGTATCAGGAGAGGGCTGATGGGAGCTAGAACTCCCAGCACTCCCCAGCAGTAATGAACCCCCCTGAGATGGTTTTGATGTTTGTCCTGTCCAAATCTCATATTGAAATACAATCCCTAATGTTGGAGGTGGGGCCTGGTGGGAAGTGTTTGGGTCATGGGGTTGGATCCGTGCTGTCCTTGAGATATGAGTTCTCAGGAAATCTGGTTGTTTAAAAGTGTGTGGCACCTCCCCCCAGCGCCTTGCTCCTGCTCTGGACATGTGACCTGCCTGCTCCTGGTTCGCCTTCTGCCACGAGTAAAAGCTCCCCAAGGCCTCCCCAGAAGCTGAGCAGATGACAGCGCCATGTTTCATGTACAACCTTGCAGAACGATGAGCTCATTAAACCTCTTTTCTTTATAAATTACTCAGCCTCACATATTTCTTTATAGCAATGCAGAAACGGCCTAACAACTCCCCCCACCTCAGATATTAATGGAGGATGAGGTGGGGAACTGGACTTCTACTTTCGTCTTGTAGTAATGAGGTGACATCCCCATTTCCTTTGCAAGAGCACTGAAAGAAGTCAGCAAAAACAAGTTTTAAATAAGAGCCAAAATCTCGTAATACAGTACCCAAAATGTCCAGGTTCCAAACGAAAGTCACTTGTTGTATAAGACAAGTGGAAGGTCTCACACTGACTTTTTTTTTTTTTTGAGACATTTTCGCACTCTGTCATCCAGGCTGGAATGCAGTGGTGCGATCTCGGCTCACTGTAACTTCTGCCTCCCGGGTTCAAATGATTTTCGTGCCTCAGCCTCCTGAGTAGCTGGGATTACAAGCATGCCATCACACCCAGCTACTTCCTGGAGGTAGAAGCCCTATCTTACAAGCTCAGTGCTCTCTGATGATGTCCCGGATCATGATAAAAGTTTTTTTTCAAACTTTTTCTCAAAAGCTTTTTTTGTTGGTTTGTTAGTAGAGATGAGGTTTTGCCATGTTGACCAGGCTGGTCAAACTGACTTTTGATGCTTAATATTAAGATGACAGTGATGTGTCACACTGGAAACAAACGAAAAAAGTAGAAAACCTCAGCAAAGAAACAGAAGACTTAGCAAAGTAATAGAAGGTACAAAGAAGAATCAAATGAAAATTGTATAACTGAAGAATATTATACAACGGATGGGTTCAACAGCAAATGGAGAAGGCAGAAGGATCAGTGAACCGGGACATGGAACAATGGAAATTACCCACTGTGAACAACAGAGAGAGAATAGACTGAAAAGGTAAATAGAGCTGCAGGGACAGGGGGAACTACAGCAAAAGAGCTAACATCTGTATCACTGAAATTATGCAAGGAGAGGAGAAAGAAAGTGGGACATAAAATTATTCAAAGAAATAATGGCTGAAAACTTCCCAAATTTGGCTATATATATAATAATAGGTAGTATATATCATATACAGTATAATATATACACTATAGTATATATCATATACAGTATAATATATGTACTGTATAGTATATATCATATACAGTATAATATATGTACTGTATAGTATATATCATATACAGTATAATATATACTGTATAGTATATCATATACAGTATAATATATACTGTATAGTATATCATATACAGTATAATATATACTGTATAGTATATCATATACAGTATAATATATACTGTATAGTATATCATATACAGTATAATATATACTGTATAGTATATCATATACAGTATAATATATACTGTATAGTATATCATATACAGTATAATATATACTGTATAGTATATTATATACAGTATAATATATACTGTACAGTCTATATAAGTATACAGTATAATATATACTGTACAGTCTACATCACATACAGTATTATATATACTGTGCAGTCTATATTATATACAATATAATACAGACTGTACAGTCTATTACATACAGTATAATATAGACTGTGTGGTATATTATATACAGTATAATATAGACTGTACAGTATATATAATATATATGTATATATAGTATACTGTAGTATATGTATATATAGTATACTGTAGTATATGTATATATACTGTATATATAGTATATGTAGTATACATATATACATATATACATACATATATACATATATGTATACTGTATATATATACTGTAGTATATTATATACGTATATATAATATACTGTACAGTATATATATTATATACAGTATAATATATACTGTACAGTATATATATTATATACAGTATAATATATACTGTATAGTATATATAGTATATACAGTATTATATATTATATATACTGAAGGCATATATATACTATTTTCTTTTGTATAAAATATATATATAGTATATATATATTATTTTCTTTTGTATAAAAGCAGGGACTCAGACAGATACTCTTTGTACACCCATGTTTATAGCTGCATTACTCACAATAGCCGAAAGGTAGAAACAACCCAATGTCTATCAACAAATGAATGGATAAACATGATATGGTATATCCATACAATGGAATATTATTGTGTAGTATATCTGTATTTTTGTATAGTATATATAATATATACTATATAAAAATATATATTATATATATACCACACACACACACATATATATACATGTTGGCTCTCTGAGGCCTCCCCAGAAGCCGAGCAGATGCCAGCACCATGCTTCCTGTAAAGCCTGCATAACCATGAGCTAATTAAACCTCTTTTGGCTTATATATACATATATGTATATTTGGTATATATATATATGAATGAACATATCTATGTGTATATATGTGTGTGTATATATGTGTATATATGTGTATATATGTGTATACATATGTGTATATACGTGTGTATATATATGTGTATATATGTATGTGTATATTATAAATCTACAGACCCAAGAAGCTGAGTGAACTCCAAATATTGCTAGGGTAAACCAAGGAAATCCACACCAAGACATATCATGGCCAAACTTCTCAAAACATAAGACAAAAAAAAGAAATCTTGGAAAATATTTATTCAAGAGAAAGAGAAATGAACCTTACCTATGGAGAAGAAATAACTCAAATGATATCAGATTTTTCACCAGAGACCATGGAGGCCAGAAAGTAGGTGCATAGCATTTCTCAAGTGCTCAAAGAAAATAACAGAATTCTATGTCCACCAAAAATAAGAACCAAGGGGAAATCAAGACCTTCTCAGATGTTGGAAAACTAAGAGAATTTGTTGCCTGCAGACCTGGTCTCAAAGAATGATTAAAGGAAGTTCTTGGCCAGGCATGGTGGCTCATGCCTATAATCCCAACAATTTGTGTTGCCTAGGCCGGTGGATCACCTGAGGTCAAGAGTTTGAGACCAGCCTGGCCAACATGGTGTAAACCCGTCTCTACTAAAAATACAAAAAATTAGCCGGGTGTGATGGTGGGTGCCTGTAATCCCAGCTACTCAGGAGGCTGAGGCAGGAGAATCACTTGAACCTGGAAGGCGGAGGTTGCAGTGAGCTGAGATGGCGCCATTGCACTCTAGTCTGGGCAACAAGAGCAAAACTCCATGTCAACAAGAAAAAAAAATTATACCTGATAGCTGAAGGAAAAGTTAAAACACTGATGTGGTTCTAAATGTATGTAGAGAAAATATTGAAAGAAGTATTTTAAACTGGGTAAGGCAAAGGGGCATGAAGTAAGGTTTCTATGCTTTGCTGGAATTGGTTAAATGGCAATACCAGTGGATTATAACTTATAAGTTATGTACATGCAATGTAATACCTAGAGCAATTACTGAAAAAAGCCATGCAAGTGACAAAAACCAAAATGCTAAAAAAATGGACCAAGGCCCTGGATAGACATTTCTCCAAACAAGATACGCAGATGGCCAATAAACACATGGAAAGATGTTCAACATCAATAATCATTAGAGAAACGCACATCAGAATCACAGTGGGATACCACTTCACACCTATTAGGATGGCTATTATTTAAAAAAATCACAGAAAATAAGTGTTGGTGAGGATGTGGTGAAACTGGAACCCTTGCACATCGTGGGAATGTAAAATAGTGCAGCCTCTGTGAAAAACAGTATGGCCATTTCTCAATAATAATTTTCAAAAAGCGCAGAATTACCTTATGATCCAGCAGTTCCACTTCTGGGTATATACCCAGAACTGAAAGCAGGGACTCAGACAGATACTCTTTGTACACCTATGTTTATAGCTGCATTACTCACAATAGCCAAACGGTAGAAACAACCCAATGTCTATCAACAAATGAATGGATAAACACGATATAGTATATCCATACAATGGAATATTATTCAGCCTTAAAAAGGAATTATGACACATGCTACAACATGGGTGAGCCTTAAGGACACAAAGCTAATCACAAAAGGATAAATATTCCATGATACCGCTTGTATGAGCTATCCAGATTAATCAAATTTATAGAGACAGAAAGCAGAATGATGGTTTCCAGAGGCTGTGGGAGGAGAGAATGAAGTTATTTTGTAATGAATACAGTGTTTCAAAACTGTAAAACTTCTGACAAGCTTGTCCAACCTGCCTTATTTTGTTGTTGTTCTTTTTTTGTTTGTTTGTTTGTTTTAAGCTTTTAGCAGCCTGAAGCCATGGTTTTTAGTTTCTGTCTCTAGTGATGAGTGGAAAAGAGGGATGAGGAAGGGGCTTTACTGGCCCAACCAGAAACAGAAACTAAGAACCCATGACTGTATTCTCTTCCTTGGACACTTCTGTGAGAACAAAGCAAACTAAACATACGAGAAACTCTTTGGGGTCTAAGGCTATGCAGAGAGCTTAACCCGATCATCCAAAGGAAAAATTTGATAAATTTAACTACATCAAAATTAGAAATGTTTGCTTGGTGATATATAGTTAAGAGGCTGAAAAGACAAGCTACAGACGGGGAGAAATATTTGCAAACAGCGTAACTGGCAAAGAACTGACATCTAGAATTTGCAAAGAACTTTCAAAACTCAACTGTAAAAAACCAAATAATACAAGTAGAAAACAGGCAAATGACAGGAAAAGATAGTTCACCAAAGAGGATATAGAGATGGCAAATTAGCATGTGAAAAGATGTTAAACATCACTAGCCATTAGGGAAATAGAAATTAAAACCACAATGAGCTATTACTATGTCCCTGTCAGAATGGTTAAAATAAAATAAACAGTGACAACACCAAATGTTGGCAAAGATGTGGAGAAACTGGATGATTCATACATTGTTGATGGAAGTGCAAAATAGTACAATCACTTTGGAAGACAGGTTGACAGTGTCTTAAAAAGCTAAGCATTGCAAATACTGGGCAACCCAACAGTTGCACTCCTGTATGGTTACCTGAGAATAATCAGAAGTGAATAGAAGTGACTCACCCCCCTTAAAAAAAAATAAGAATAACGGCCGGGCGTGGTGACGCACACCTGTAATCCCAGAACTTTGGGAGGCCCGAGATGGGCGGATCATGAGGCCAGGAGTTCGAGACCAGCCTGGCCAAAATGGTGAAACCCCATCTCTACTAAAAATACAAAAAAAAAAAAAAAAAAAATTAGCCAGATATGGTGGCACACGCCTGTAATCCCAGCTACTCAGAAGAATTGCTTGAACCCGGGAGGCAGAGGTTGCAGTGATCCGAGATCGCTCCACTGCTCCCCAGCCCAGCCTGGGTTACAGAGTGAGACTACATCTCAAAAAAAAGAAAAAAAAACCCAAAAATAAGAATAACTCATCAGCAGCAATAACTCTCATTGAGCACCTGCTCTGCCAGACACTGCGCTAATCACATTACATGTGTTATCTCATTTAAACTTCCTAACAACCTTCTTGTCTGGTGTAGACTATTTTTAAAAATTTAACTTTTAAGTTCAGGGGTACATGTGCAGATTTGTTGTATAGGTAAACTTGTGTCATGGGGATTTGTTGCACAGATTATTTCGTCATCCAGGTATTAAGCCTAGTGCCCATTAGTTATTTTTCCTGATCCTCTGTCTCCTCCCACCCTCCAGCCTCCCATAGGCTTCAGTGTCAGTTGTTCCCCTCTATGTGTCCATGTGTTCTCATCATTTAGCTCCCGCTTATAAGTGAAAACATGCGGCATTTGGTTTTCTGTTCCTGTGTTAGTTTGCTAAGGATAATGGCCTCCAGCTCCATCCATGTTCCCGCAAAAAACATGATGTCCTTCTTTTTTGTGACTGCATAGTATTCCATGGTGTAGACTATTATTATCACCACTCCACTTTCAGGCTCAGAGGCTGTTGTTGAAGGCCACGCAGTGAGTAAGTGGCCGTGCCAGGATTTGAACCCGGGTAATAGGAGTACGCGCCTTAATCCTCGCCTTGTCATCCTCAGCCATCTCACAGGCGAGTAAACAGAGGCGAGGAGAGGATAAGCCAGCTGCCCCAGGCCACATTGCTGGGAAGCCAAGAGGCAAGGCCACACTGCCCTGCGGCTGGGGTCCCGTTTGCTAATTCTAGTGCCTAACTTTCTCCAACGTTCCCGGGCCTCTTTCACCCGGTCCCAGGGGCGCAGGCACCACCCTTTTCCTCCAGGAGGAGCAGGGAGAGGGCGGGTTCCCCAGCGCAGTCCCCTCCCCGACCCTCCCCCAGGCTTTAAGCCGGCGCCGGGGCCAGGCGGGGCAGTCCCGGGCCGGCCCGTACCGCCAGGCGATCGCGCTGATGGCGGCGCTGGCAGCAGCGGCCAAGAAGGTGTGGAGCGCGCGGCGGCTGCTGGTGCTGCTGTTCACGCCGCTCGCGCTGCTGCCGGTGGTCTTCGCCCTCCCGCCCAAGGTAACGCCTCCTCCGCCTGTGCGCCCCCGGTCAACCACAGGCGGGATCCTCTTCTCCCAAGCCTCCAAGTTGGGAGACCGCTGAGGTCCCAGTGTAGACAGGCTCCACCAGACCCCCTCGCCTTCCCTCCCTTGCACCTGCCGCGGACCGCTGTGAACGCTCCTAACGCCTCTTCCCTCTTCCCAGCTGCTCCTTAGAGCTTGAGTCCCACCCTGCCTTCTGGATCTCACTTCCATGGGAATAATTTCGTTTCGTTTCAGTGACAGGTTCTCGCCGGTCACCCAGGCTGGAGTGCAGTGATGTGATCATAGCTCACTGCAGCCTCCAACTCCTGGACTTAAGCGATCCTCCTTCCGCAGCCTCCCTAGTGGCTAGAACTACAGGTGCATGCCCAGCTAATTTTTTTTTAATAGAGATAGGGTCTCACTATGTTGTCCAGGCTGGTCTGGAACTCCTGGACTCAAGCAATTCTCCCACCTTGGTCTCCCATATACTGGGATTACAGACGTGAACCACTGTGCCTAGCAGAATTCTTTCTTTCCTGAGCTCTAATTCTGTGCTTGGTGCTGTATTGCACATTTCACGCGACAGTCACAATGAACACTTACTGGGTGCCAAGCTGTGTGACATGGTGCAAGTCACTTAACCTCTCTGAACTTCAGTTTACTCATGTGTAAAAATGGGAGAAATGATAGTGCCCACCCATAGGGCAGCGGTGAATATCAATGAGGCAATATATGTAAATCTCTTATAACTAAACCTTGTACAGAATAAATGCCCAATAAGCAGTGACTGGTCTTTTTCTGCACCAGGTCCTTACGTGATGAGGACGGTAAGATTCATGAGTGCTTACTACGGGTGAGGATTTGCCTTTTGTGTATCACTTTATTTAATCATTTCAACGCGTCTCAGAGGGGAAAGATTATTTGACCCATTTTCCAGAGGAGAAAACCAAGGCTCGGGGAGAGAAAGTGACTTGCTCAGAGTCACACAGCAAGTGACTATGTCGGTATTCAGTCCCCGGCTTGTCAGAATCCAGAACCCTAGCTGTTTTCAGTCTCCCCAAGGAAGTAACCCCTGTAAGATCAAAGGCCGCAGGTGGAGTTCAGGAGTCATAACTGAAATCAACACTAGTGGGGGCTGGAAGGAGATGGTACCACAGGTCCCTTTTGGGTTCTTCACCTGTGCCCTGCCCAGCCCAGCCAGGGCATCATGAGAGGGCACTGGGCTTGTAAGATAAGGCTTCTACCTCCAGGAAGTTGCTTCACCATCTCTCAGTGAGGTATTAAATGTTCACAAAAATAAAAGTAAAGAGGAGGTATAATTTAGTGGTGCATTACCCAGCACCGATCAGCTGAGACCAGGGAGCTTCTCCTGGAAGAAGGAGCCCTCCTTGGGCACATGGAGTAAGAAGGTGACACCAGTGGTTCCAAGGAGACCCAGGGCTAACACACAGCAAGTTCATTAGTGTGGAATTATCTAAGCTATTAGACTTTCTCGACGTGGAAGAGAAAAACACAATAAATGATGGAAGAAGGATGAGGTCACCTTTGCAAAACTCAGCCCACCCCAGGCCACTTTCTGACCTGTGGATCTTAAGATCTTGGACCAATCTCCTTTCCTCTTTGGGTTTTGCTTCCCTGTAAGTGGAGCGATTACACCGCTAGCTTCTGGGATTGATGTGAGAGGTTGAGTAAGGCTTTGTGAAACATCTTTGGTGGAAGTGTGGGTGGCTGAGCCTTGACTGATTGCTGTCTGCGAGGCCATAGGCAGAGCTCTCTGGCAAGAAGAGATAAAACACAAGGTCTCTATTCTCTCAGTAGGGGTCCCGACAGCTTCTCTCTGCTCTGTTCTCTAGCAAGAACATGAACCCAGGAGCAGATCCAAGGGTTAAGGGGCGGGGAGCATTTACTACTTGAGGGGGACTCTTGAAGAAAATGAATACAGATTTACAAATACAGGATTCGGTACGAGGCTTGGGAGAGGTCTGAAGCTTGAGCTTCACAAAGGATCCTCTTCCTATCTGAACTCCAACATGCACAACTGAATGGAAAGCAGGGAGAGATAACAGGGAGAGCCCCTGGGATGTAACTAATCCCTTATGATGGTGCTAAGCCTGATGAAGAAGGTGTTTTATTGAGTGCTTAGCTCTTACCATGTGCTAGGGGCCATGCTAGGAGCTTGTCAGGCTTGTCCCATGTAATGCCCACAACAACCAGAGAGGCAGCTGTTATTTGCATCCCTATTTGACAGGTGAAGAAACGGAAACTCAGCGGGGTTAGGTGACTTGCCTAAGGTTACACAGCTGCTGCAAAGCCAGAATGCAGAGTCTGTACTCCTTTATGTGTGTGTGTGTGTGTGTGTGTGTATGTGTGTGTGTGTGTGTGTGTGTGTGAGAGAGAGAGAGAGATAGGGTCTTGCTCTGTAACACAGGCTGGAGTGCAGTGGCACGATCTTGGCTCACTGCAACCTCCACCTCCCAGGCTTAAGCCATCCTCCTGCCTCAGCCTCCCAAGTAGCTGGGACTATCAGCTCCTGTCACCACACCCGGCTAATTTTTATATTTTTAGTAGAGACGGGGTTTCACTATGTCACCCAGGCTGGTCTCAAACTCCTAGACTCAAGCGATCCACCAGCCTCGGCTACGCAAAGTGCTGGGATTACAGGCAAGAGTCTGTACTTCTTTCTAACTGCTGTGCCTTACATGCTCTTCTTAGTTATAATTCAATACAAACCACCCCTTTGTTCCCTACAGTTCCCTTGTGGGGACCCTTTATATGGCTCTAGATGTCACTGCCTCTTTAAGTGGTTGATGAACCAGGGCCTCCTCCCAGGAGGCAGGCCTGGCTCTTTGGAGGACCTTCGCCTCCCTCAAAATCTCTGTTGGCATACCTGAAGCCTCCTCTCCCATATAACAATATTTATATGATTGTCATTATTAGATTCTCTGACATTAAGAACAGACGTGTTTCTCAATTTCATATACAATGCGAATAAGAAGTATCCTTAGAAAACATCATCATCTTTATTGATCTGGGACACACATTTAATCCATTTCCCATTTAGAAAAAAAAAAAGTGCAGCTCACTGCCAGTGCAGTATTCTCGGTGCAAAACGGGACATGGGTTAAAGCAAGCACAGTAGGTTTGTTATGCACATGGAGCTTCAAGACAATTCTGGTCATCTTCACCAGTCACTCCCTGTGAGAGCCTCCCCAAACAGAGGCTGGTGGACTAACTTCAAAACATGCTTGCTGGGCAATTCAAGACAGGCGTCCTCAGCGTCCACTCCAACATCAGATTGTCACTTCTCAGCCTCTTCCACATGGATATTCTGGCGCCATGAATGCAGGTTGTATTGTATACATGGATCACTAACAACTTGCGAAACTGCAGATATCACATCAGGAAAGAAGTTGGAGATGTTCAGTTATTTGTCATTTACCAGGCAGTGTGGAGTAGGAGACAACCCCTCTTTGGGGCCTGGGTTTCCAGCTTGATGACATCTGTCCACTGCTGCTTTGCTGTTCTAGGAGTCTGTGTGTTAAGAGGGTTGGTTTTCATGCACCTGTTCCTGGTGACTGGTGAGCTTGTCTTCGGGGAGGCTGGAGTCAATCTGCAGAGCAGAGCTGGAAGGAACAATTCTTACATTATGTCCTCTGGCTCAGAAATGCTGTCAGCAGGGATGAAAAGGAGTGGGATGAGCTCTGGAATGCATGGCTGCCGCTTCCAGCACCACTGGGGATCCTAGCTCTTGCTATGAAGAGTGCTGGGGGCTCAGGAAGTTGGGATGCTACCCCAGGGACTACATCAACGTTTTCCAAGAATGGCCATCCTGCGAGTTAGAGGTTTGGGGAGTGATCTTAGCTAGTGGGCACAGATGGGACTCTTATTAATAAAACAGGCTTACAAATAAGCTCCAGCCCCACTTGTTTGCAGAGAAGCCTTACCCCCTTTCCTGCCTTATGCCCCCTGAGAGCAAATTAAATGATACTGACCACCTGTCCAAGAGGAGTTCTTAACACTGGGGACTCACAGGTGACTCTAAAGATGCTCTGAGAAGGAAGAGTTTGGGGATGCTCTCGGCAAGGCTGCTACAGAGTGTTGTGCAAGCTGTGCACTGCACAAGGTGCTTGAGGAGGCAAGTAAGGCTGAACCAGCCTGCATTCCACATGCCAAGCTGTGCACCCTGGTGCACAGCTGGATCCACCTGAGGAAGGGCCTTTTATTCTAATTTGCACAAAGGTGTCACGGTGGCCAACAGCAGACTTACTCTGGGATAGAGATATTTGGGGGGGATGGTAGTACACCTGTAAGGTCAGAGGCCCCCTTTCTTGCATTTGCCTAATTTGTGGGCAGGTAGATGACCAGGAAGATGGTCCTTTCATTCCCAGTTTTGAGGCTTTGGAATCAGAACTGCATTCGCATTCCACATACTTGCTGGGCAAGTCATTTTCTATTTCTGGCCTTGGTTTCTTCATTTATAACACAGCCATAATATTATATTCTTTCCCAGTTATTTTCTGGCCACAGTGAGTTAATACATTGTGCCTGTACTATAAATTCTTAGTTTTTTATTTAATGCTGAAAATATGTTTTAGTTCTCCTATTTTGCAGATGATGAAACTGAGGCTCAGAGAAGTTAAATGTTGGAGAGAACATGGGCTTTAGAGTTGAGAAAACCTGGATTTGTGTCTGGCTCTGAAGAGGGGAGCCTGGGCTGGAAACCTTGAATTTCTGAGGCTGAGTCTCATTTGTGAAGTGAGGAGGACTCACACCCTCTCATTCTGTTACGAGAATTAGGGGAAGATACAGGAGGTGTCCAGAGTGGTGCTCAGCATATAGTGGGAGTTTATAATTAGAGCAATAGCCACAGATTTTCTCACATTTACAAAATGCTGTTTTACATGCATCTCAAATTTCAGCTCATTTACTCTTCACATCAGATGTAGGAAGTTCAAACAAAAATTATCCCCATTTTTAGAGATGAGGAAAGTGAGGCACAGAGAGGTTAAATTCCAAGGTCACACAGCTACTAAACACTACTTCGGTCACTCCTCCTCCTTCTCTCTTAGTCCTGGATTTTGGAAGTGAGAGCGGCCAGGAAGTGAGAGAGGCCCTTGAGTTTTCCCCAACAGAGGTTTTCCAGAAAAAAACTGCAAGTCCAGCTCTGCGGATTGAGCACCTTCTCTGGCCAGACACTGCCTGCTGATTTTACCTTCTATCATCTCATTTGAGCCTCAGGGAGCTCAGACAGGGAGTTTTCCCCCATGCACCCCAGAATGGAGTGAATCTGGTTTGGTTTCCATCATCCAAATACCACTCACATCATTTTTGCCAGAGTCCCTTACCACTCAATATTATTTACTTAATTACATTCCTGTTATTCTTTTTACATTAATGTCTTACTGCCCTCTCCTTTTAAAAAAACTTAAATGCAATGACTTTAAAAGGAGATTTTCTGTGGGTATCATGTATGGAAAACCAGGATCATCACTGATGATTAGGAGAAGAAAACTAGCAATTGATAGGTAAATATTTAACGCTGATTAATACTGGGTACATACTGCCTGGTTGAAGCTATGGGCCTGCGATCTGCCCTCTCTTTGTTGCAAGGGGAGGGATATCATCAAGTGAGGCATTAAAGACAAACTAGTACCAAACTGAGACTTTGTTTTGGAAATAATGAGAAGGAAAGAAGGATTAGAAGGGAGGTAACCTCATTGTTCCACCCAAAGTCTTCTGGAGTTGGCTTTTTATGCTTCAAGAAATACTGGACCCATAGCCTGGAAGCGTGTCTTGTCTGGGGATGCTGAGGTTGACTGATAGCCCCAGCTCCTCAATTTCCTCATCTGTACATGGATGGCCTTCTTGCCACCATGAAGCTTGGTGAGCTGTTAAGTAAAGGAAATCTCGGGCATGTGGCTGGCTGAATAGTGACCCACCAAAGGTGTCGGTGTCCTAATCCCCTGAACCAGTGAATGTTACTTTCTATGGAAAAAAGGGACTTTCCAGGTGTGATTAGGTAAAGGATCTTGAAACAGGGAGATTATTGTGCAGTATCCAGGTGGACCTGATGTAATCCACAGGCGGCTTTCTGAGAGGCAGGCAGGAGAAGTTGAAATCGGAAGGTAATAGGATGATGGAAGCAGAGGGAGAAAAAGCAATGTGATGTGGGGCTGTGAGCTGAGGAATGCAGGTGGCCTCCAGAAGCTGGAACAGGCAAGGCATGGATTCTCTCTCCTGGAGCTTCCAGGAGGAACCAGCCTGGCCAACACCTTGACTTTAGCCTAGTGAAAATGATTTCAGAATTCTGGCCTCCAAAACTCTAAAAGAATACATTTGTGTTTCTTAAGCCACTCCATTTGGGGTCATTTGTTACAGCAGCAAGAAAAGATGAATACATGGCAAAACCACCCCACCAGACTGGTTCTCCCAGGAGCGGCTGGGAAGTTTAGCCCCATGTCTCCCTCTGAATTTTGATGCATCAATTGTCCATAATTCCCAGATGGGTCCCATCATGTGGGCCCCATGTTCCTGGGATGCAAACCCTGGTGTTCAGGAGAGAGCCTGGCTTGGTCAAAAAGGTTCCAGGCTTTGGATTCATTTGGATATGAATTCATCTCTAGCCTCTGCCCTGATGAGCAGTGTGATGCAGGAAGAGTGTCTTCACCTCTCTGAACCCAGTTCCCCAGCTGAAAAATGGAAATGTCCACAGTCCTTTCTTCACAGGATTTTACAATGAATAAATAAGTTCATACATGCAAAATGTGTGTCTCAGAGGACATGTACATTTTATTTTATTTTTTTGGCAATTTAACCTTTACACATGCTTTTCTGGTTGGGATCTTTGAAATTGATTTGGAAAAAAAAATGGGAGATGCTGGTAGCATTTGGTGCAAAGGACTATGTTGAAATGGTCAGTCCCGTGCCTCAGTTTTCTCATCTGGAGATTGGGTCTAATCATCGTTCAACCTCATACTGCTGTGGGGAGGAAATGGGTTCATATGTTTGAGGCACTTACTGGAGTGCTGGCTTATAGTTAGCACTTAGTAACTGTCAGCTATTAATATTACAGTTGCCATCGTAAACTGGTGCTCATTCTAGTTTAACCCCCACAAAAAGGAAACTGAGGCCCAGAAAAGGAAGTGAATTTTCCAAAGGCTTCAGTGAGGGGCAGGGCGGAGATGAGCACTTCCATCCCCCTCTCCAGGGAGTACCCTGTCTTAGGCATTGGTCATCAATGTTTTTATTTTAATTAATTAATTATTTTTGAGACAGGGTCTTCCTCTGTTGCCCAGGCTGGTGTGCAGTGGCATGATCCCGGCTCACTACAACTTCTGCCTCCTGGGCTCAAGTGATCCTCTCACATCAGTCTCCCAAGTGGCTGGGACTACAAGCACACGTCACCACGCCTGGCTAATTTTTGTATTTTTTGTAGAGATGGAGTCATGCCACTCAACTGGTCTCAAACTCCTGGGCTCAAGCTATCCGCCCCTCTCAGCCTCCTAAAATTCTGGGATTACAGGCACGAGCAACTGTATCTGGCCTCATCAATGTTTTATGCTAAAGACATTTCATTTAATCTCTTGACAGCTAACTTCTAGATGACAGGTGAGGGGGGTCAGAGGTCAAGTTCACTTATTTCTATTCAGATCGTAGCTAGCTCTCAACAAAGGTTAAGGACAGCTCATGTTTACTGTATGTTTATTAGGAGTTCTGGTCCCCGTTTCCTTGCTGATCCATCTTCCAACCCCACTCCACCTCTCATGCCCTCTGCTCCCAGCGCTCTGGCTTTCTTACTGCTCCTTAAATATCCCAAGCTTGCTCTCATCCCAGGACCTTTGCACTTGCAGCCCCCTCGTTCTGAACCTCTGTTCTCCCAGATGTCCGCAAGTCTTGCTCCTTCCCTTCATTGATCTCCGTTCAGATCTTACCTCCGAAAAGGCCGTCCCTGCCCCTATCTTTAGACCCTATCTAAAATAGAAAATGAAAAATCCTTTACACTCCATTCTGCCTTATTTTTCTTCACGGTCTTTATCACTACCTGGCAACGTATTATGTTTTAATTATGTATCTGCTGGTGCATTATCTATATTAACCCCCTTCCCCCCTTCCCACCCATGGGGTATAAGCTCACAAGGGCAGGGATATTTTTTTTTTTGTCCTGCTTACCATTGTATCTTTGGTGCCAGCCCCGTGCCTGGCACATAGTAGGTGCTCATAAGTATGTCTCGAATAAGTGAAAGAAAGAATGCCAGTTGTGTGCTAAGTTCTTGGCATGCATTTTCTCATTAATCCTCACCATGACCCCAAGAAGGAGCTACTACGATTCTCTCCATTTGCCCAATGAAGAGCCCACGTGCAGACAGGAGGAGACCCCTGCCCACATTAGGCTGGCAGATGGCGGCAGATGGCGGCAGATGGTTCTCAGGCTGACTTCCAGACTCCTGCTGTCGCCTATCTCCCCTGGCCCTTTGCCTCCTGCAGAAAGTTGCTGACCCTGGACACTCCGGGAATAATCAGAGGCTAATTCGAGAGCCAGGTTGGCAATCCAGGGACAGGGACAGGCTGTGACTCACCGTAAAGCTCTGGGGTCAGGCTGACAAGCTGGGAAGGCTTCTTGTCTCTGGTTGGCTTTGCGCTTGGACTGGATGTGGTAAGATGAAGAGAGGAAGGAAGGGTGCTCCTGGGGAATGGGAAGCGCAAGAGGCCAGGAGCAGGAAGAGTCCTGAGCAGGGGGAGAGGGCAAGGAGTCATCTTCCCAACTCTAGATGCAGACTTCCAGTGCACAGCGACCCAGGAGGGCAGAAACTGGCAAAAGCAACCATAGACTGAGCACCTACTAAGCGCCAGGTGTTATGCTGGGTACTTCACATGCATTGCAGCCAATGCTTAGAACATCCAGACAAGGGAGGCCTATGAGGAGGCACCGAGGGTCAGCACAGTGCAGTGTTGTAGCCCAAGGTCCCCAGCTGGTGAGTAGAATTTAAAATGACACCCATGCTCACAGCTGTGGCCCCAGGGCCCTGTGTCATCCAGCTCCTGCCCACCTGTCCCCTTGTGTCTGTTTTAATGGTAATGGAATTTGTTTTATTTGGGTATGATAAACACACAGACACAGAAATCAGCATTATCAAAGAAGTTTTTATACTCAGATGGCCCTAGAAGCAGGAGGCATACCATGCCACACAGGGCCACACAGGGGAGCAGCAGGGTCTGTCGGGAGGCAGAGGGAATAAGAGGAAACGTGGGCATGAGCCTTTACTGTGGGCAATATGTTCGGGCAAGGCAGGGTGTGCAGGTTTAGGACTGGCTAGTTAGTTTGAATCATTTCAGTGGGTCTGGGGGCATAGGGGCTTCCCCTAGTTGTCTTGTACCTGGCTCTGGGGTGATTAGGGCAGGTGGATTCATGTGAGATCCCTCAAAAAGAGGTGGTAGGGAGTATGGGGTCTCGATTGGTTGTTTCACATATGAAGGAATGCTTGCAGGCTAGTAGTTTATTCTTTCTAGGAATTTGCTAGCCCTGGGAAGGGGCAGTCCCTCCAGGGTCTCAGAGCCTCAAATACAGAAATTAGAAAACCTGATTTTACAACTTCCCCTGCCCTTGTCTTTTCTCACTGTGCCCCAGCCTCATGTGCCTTCTTTTGGTTCTTCAAAGCTGCCAAGCTTGCTCCTGCCTCAGGCCCTTTGCACTTGCTTCCCTGGACCATTCTTGCCCCAGATCTTCCACAGCTGGGTGCTTCTGGTCATTTAGGCCTTGGCTCCAATGGTACCTCCTCCTAGAAGTCCTCCTGCTTCTCAAGCACACCTGCCCTCTTCATCCCACAAATCACTCTCTAAAACAGCCTTCTGTTTTATTCCTTCATGGCATTCATCCTGATCTGAAATGATCATTTCTTTGTCTAGTGTCTGCCTCTCCCCCTTGGCTGTGAGTGACCTAAGAGCAGGTTTATGCTTATAGTGTGCTCTATGGCAGCCCTGTACCCAGAGTAGTGCCTGACACATAGTAGGTGCTCAGTGAAAAAGTATTCATTCCATGAATTTGGATTTGAACACAAGTTCTGATTTCAGAACCTGTACGGGGTCTAAAACCCCAGACTGCTTCCTGGTTTGCGTAACGTTTGAGCAGGAATCAGGGTTTCCAGCCCTTTCTATTTTGAGCTGGGAAGACTGAGGCCCAGAAGGGGACTGGAGAGACTTTGCTAACCTCTCCCAGCCTAGTGGACCCAGATCCCTCATCTGTGCCCCTCCATGCTCTCCCTACCCGGTTTGACCCATTGCCCCATCCCTCAAGTGGGCACATAGACCCGCTGACCCCAGAACAATTCCTCTGAGGTCCAGCCAACTTTCCACTTTCCCGGAGCTCCTGCCAGGTGTGTAAACAGGCTGGCGTGACTTCCAGTGATGCAGCAGGGAGCAAGATCGTGTTTCCTGACCCAACTCAACAGGACAGTGCTCTCTGGACTGATGAGCAGAATTCTCTGACACCGCCAGACCTTGAAGACACGAAGTCAGCACCCTAGCTAGGGGCAGACCTGGCCCGGGCCTGGAACAAGTCAGACACGTGTGTCCAAACTGCTTTTTTCAGCTGAGATGCACTGGGGACTTGGGAAGAGCCACATGAGGTCACACCACTTCCCGGCAAGTGATTTCCCTCCCCTGAGCCTCAATTTATTCATCTGCAAAGTGGGCATAATGATACCTGCTGGGAAGGCTCAAAGGTGCTGACACGCAGTAGGTGCTTAATAAAGGATTGCTGCTGTTGCTATTATCTGCAGAGAGTCCAGACTCTCTGCTCTTTTTGTTTGTCCTTGAAATTCACACGAAGAGGGACAGCCATGGGAAGGTGCCTGTGGTGCTGGTAGGAGCACCCATAGGCAGAACACAACAGTGAGCCCCAGCTAGAAAAAGACATTGGAGCAGAGCCGGGGAGGCCAGCAAGCCCCTGCCCTGCCGGTCAACCTGGTGAAGTCCCTTCCCCACCCTTTTAGCTCTACTCTCCTGCAGGACCTTACCAGCCCTCTGCGCAGAGAGAGGACTTCGATTTCCACTGTACTCAGCTCCCCTACAAGAAAGTGCCGACACCTGGGAGGCTGTAGGAAGTGACCTCAGCTTTGTTGATGTCCTGGGCCACATCACATGCCTTATTCTTGCACTCTCCTCTGTCCCCCGAGGAGACTTCAAAAGAGCCACAGCCAGCACCTCTAGCATCTACTAAGTGCCAGGCATGGTTCTAAGCACTCATGATATGCTTGTGAGCTTTTTTATGTTCACTGTGGCTCTGTGGGCTGGTGTGTTATTACTGACATTTGCAGACGAAGAAACTGAGGCACCGAGTGGTTCCCTCACTTGCCCAAGCTCCCACAGCTGGGAAGTGGCCGAGGTAAGATTCAAACCTCACCATTCTGGCTCCAGGGTCTGTGTTCTCAGCCATGCAGTATGACCCAGAGGTGATGGACCCATTTTACAGATGAGGAAGTTGAGGCTCAGAGAGATTAAGCCATTTGCCCAGCATCTCATAGCCATTGACAAAATAGTGGGGTTGGCACTTGAGCCTAGGTCTGCCTCATTGGAAACCCAAACTCTTTTGTGGTTCAGTGGAGGCCATCAGGGAAGGGAGCGATTGTGCTGGATGGGGAAGGTGGGACATCAAGACAGGCTTCCCAGAGGACAGTGATGTCATCCAGACACTGGAGTGGGAGTTTGGAAATCTCAGAGGGCTTTCTGAAGATTGGAGTTTATGGAGACAAGAACTAACACAAGTGATCAGGCAGTGGAGGGAGGAGCTTGGGTTCGGCTGCTTGGTTCCAACTCTGGTTTTTTGTTTTTTTGTTTTTTTGGTTTTTTTCTGAGACAGAGTCTCACTCTGTTGCCCAGGCTGGAGTGCAGTGGCACGATCTCAGCTCACTGCAACCTCCGCCTCCCAGGTTTAAGCAATTCTGCCTCAGCCTCCCGAGTAGCTGGGATTACAGGCACCTGCCACCACGCCAGGCTAATTTTTGTATTTTTAGTAGAAACGGGGTTTCACCATGTTGGCCAGTCTGGTCTCGAACTCTTGACCTCAGGTGATCTGCCCCTCACCCCCACCCCCCTGCCCTTAACCTCCCAAAGTGCTAGGATTACAGGCGTGAGCCACCATGCCTGGCCCCAGTCCTGGCTTTTTAACCAACTGTGTGACCTTGGGCCAGTTACTTAACCTCTTCGTGCTTCAGTTTCTTCATCTGTGAAATGGGTATGATAATAATAGATGATGTTTGTAGAGAGCTAAAAAAACATTGGCTACCTTCAGGGACAAAGCACCTACTGTGTCGCAGGCCTTAGAGGATATGCTTTAAATCAGTGAGTCTTCCAGCAAATTTGCTCCCAGGAGACATGTGGCAATGTCTGGAGGCAATTTTGATTCTCACAGTGGGAGTAGGGTGCTACTGGCATCTGATGGGTAGAGGCCAGCGATGCTGCTAAACACCCTCCCATGCACAGGACAGCCCCCCACAGAGAATCCTCAGGCCCCAAATGTCCGCGGTGCCAAGGCTGAGAACCGCTGCCCCAAATGCATTAGTTCCTTTGATCTCTCTGACACGTGGAGGCAGGCATGGTCCAGAGTCCCATTTTGCTGATGAGGAAACTGAGGCCTAAAGAGGGGCATGCTAGCCTGTGAGCACACAGCCTGGAGGCAGAGGGCCTGGCAGGAAGGAGAGGATTTGGAAATGCAGGGCATTCCAGGCACGAGAAAGGCACTCCTGCCCTCAGGGCCTCTCAGAGGCCAGCTCCAGGCTTCACTGGACGGAGCTGACGGCCCCTCTGTCCGCAGCAGTCAGGACAGCCGCCTTTCCCTTGCTAGGGAAATAACAAAAGAGGCCCTTGTTCGCCGCCGCCCACGGCCCCGCTTCTCTCCTGGGTTTTACCATGCCTCCTGCACCTTTCTCTCTTGACAAGCTGAAAGTGCTGGCTCTGGGGGCCTAGGGGTGAGGGGCAGAGCAAAGGAACATTCTTCCAGCTCTTTTTATTAACCAATCCCTGCCCCAGCCTGTGGCCCCGCTCAGAATTCTCTGGAAAGGGCTGGAACCAGTCAGCAAAACTTCTCATGGTGCCTGAGTTGGGCGTTTTACACCACAGAGTGCCCAGCCGCAGGTATGGGCTCCTCACTGGGCAGCCAGTCCTGCTCTGCCAGTGTCTGGGACCAGAATCGTGGGACATCCAGGCCTGGGGAGTCCTGCCAAGGCCTGGCTCTCACCTTTCTTTGGGGTTGATAGGGGAGACTGAGGCCTGTTCTGAGAGGACATTCTCACCCCCACTAAACCAGACATCAACCGCTTCCTGCTCCTGACTTTTTTCTTGATATGGAACCTGTACTTCTCCAGACCCTGGCTTTCCCTTCCTAGAGAAGGAGCCTGCCTCACCTGGGGTGGTATGTCCCCCTGAATCACCTCCTGGGGGATGGAGGAGGAGGGACAGCACCATGAGAGCATGAACCCTAGCACCAGCCTTCCTGGACTCCAGCTTTGCTCTCCCACTTCCTAGCTGTGTGACCTTGGGCAAGTTACTTAGCCTCTCTGTGCCTCAGTCTCCTCCTCTGTAAAATGAAAATACTGATCGGGCCTAACTCATAGGAATGTTGTGATGATGGGTTCACATGCCCAGAGTACTTAGGGGTGTATCTGGCCCAGAACAGGTGCTAGGTCAATGTTTGCTATTGTCAGTAGTAGTCGTAGTGGTATTGTTTGCCTTACAAATGACCTCTTGGCCCTGGGGTCTGGAAGGGCATTATAGGGGATGAGGTTTGTTCTTGAATCCTCTTGACCTCCTCCCTTTACTCACTGTGTGGGTTCTTGGGTTCTCTGAGCCTCCATTTCCTCCTGTATAAAATGGAATAAAGCTCATCTCCTAGGGGCTGCTGGGAAGATTAACTGAGATGATGCTTATTCAGAGAAAAATCTCAGTGAGAGTTCCCTTGTCATTCTTATTCTTGGCCAAAATCCCGAAGTCCCAGATGCCTGAGAAGCGAGGGACTGTGAGCAGTGGAGGCGCATTGTCAAAAGGGGCTTGGAAACAGGCCGGGCCTTTCCAGCAGGGCCGGCTTCCCCCAGGACCAGCTTCCCCTTCACTCACTGGTTTCCCAACTGCGCCCCCTCCCAGGATGCCTGGGGCAGGACCAGCTGGACCCAGGTGGAGCTGGGATGATGGTAAACATAAGAGAATTGAAAATGTCAGGCCGGGCGCGGTGGCTCACGCCTGTAATCCTAGCACTTTGGGAGGCTGAGGTGGGCAGATCACAAGGTCAGGAGATCGAGACCAACCTGGTCAACATGGTGAAATCCCATCTCTACTAAAAATACAAAAATTAGCCAGGCGTGGTGGTGGGCGCCTATAATCCCAGCTACTCAGGAGACTAAGGCAGGAGAATCACTGGAACCCAGGAGGCGGAGGCTGCAGTGAGCTGAGATCACGCCAGTGCACTCCAGCCTGGGTGACAGAGTCTGTCTCAAAAAAAAAAGAAAAAAAGAAAAAAAAAATGTCAAGGGTGGGCCAGAGCCCAGGGCCCAAGAAGCAGTGGGAGCACAGAATGTGGGCTCGGATGATCCAGGACAGAGCCAAGATTGGCCAAGAACTTCCCTGCAGGTGAAAGCCAGGCACTTCCCTTGCCAGCCTCGGTTTTCTCATCTGTCCTACAGGCCCACCAGCCTCATGGGGCTGTGATGAGGAGCCAGGGGAACCAGGTGCTTTGTAAAACAAAAAAGTGCCCTCCAAATAGTGAGAGGTTAATAGGGACCTTGTCCATCTTGTCCACCAATGCACAACAGGTGCTTAATCCACGTGTCCTGAATGATTATGGAATCAAAAGGGATATTTCCTCAGTGTTCCCTGTGTGCCAGGTGCTACCCACAAGTGACTAATACAATCAGTCAAAAAATTTCAATTGAGTACCTTCTAGGTACCAGCTACTATTCTAGGGGGACATGGCAGACAGTCACAGTGAACCGGACAGTCACAAATCCTTTCAGCTATGCAGCTGACATTCTAGCGAGGGATAAATAAGCAAGATCTATAGTATTGTTGGCAGAAAGGG
This sequence comes from Homo sapiens, assembly GCF_000001405.40. Taxonomy (NCBI): domain Eukaryota; kingdom Metazoa; phylum Chordata; class Mammalia; order Primates; family Hominidae; genus Homo; species Homo sapiens. The sequence continues at coordinate 46,636,241 of NC_000020.11, read as the reverse complement.
GTCCCAGTGCAGACCCCAAGAAAGGGTCCTTGGATCTTGTGCAAGTAAGGATTCGGGGTGAGTCCACAGAGTAAAGTGAATTTATGAGAGAAGTGAAAAAACAAAAGAATGGCTACTCCACAGGCAGAGCAGTGGCATAGGCTGCTCAACTGAGCATACTTGTGGTTATTTCTCGATCATCTGCTAAACAAGGGGTGGATTATTCATGAGTTTTCTGGGAAATGGGTGGGAAGTTCCTGAAACTGAGGGTTCCTCCCCTTTTTAGACCATATAGGGTAACTTCTGGATGCTGCCACGGCATTGATAAGCTGTCATGGTGCTGGTGGGAGTGTCTTTTAGCATGCTAATGCATTAGAATTAGCATATAATGAGCAGTGAGGACAACTAGAGGTCGCTTTCCTTGCCATCTTGGTTTTGGCCAGCTTCTTTGCTGCATCCTGTTTCATGAATTGGATCTTTGTGACCTGTATCTTGTGAAACCAGTCCTGCTGACCTCCTATCTCATTCTGTGACTTAGGCTGCCTAACTTCCTGGGAATGCAGCCCAGCAGGTCTCAGCCTCATTCTCCCCAGCTCCTGTTCAAGATGGAGTCACTCTGGTTCAAACGCCTCTGACAGTAGGTCCCATGATGATAACTGCTATGGAGAACAAAAGCAGGGTAGGGAGGGAGTTGGGGATGAGAGTAGTGCAATTGTAGAGTCCGGAAGGTGTCCTGGAAAAGGGAGCATTGAACACATACCAAAAGGAGGTGACATTTGAGCAAAGACCTGAAGAAGGTGAAGGAGCAAGCCCTGAGCATCTATAAAGGAAGAGCATTCCAGGCATAGGGAACAGCAAGTGCAAAAGTCACTTTGCATGGACGCGGCTGTGCTTCTTGGCCTCGGTAGAGGGTTTCTCTTGGGTTCTCTCTCATCTAACCAGGCTGGGTCCTTTCCCTGGGCCTGCCGTGTGTGCTTCAAATTCCTTTCCCTTTGGGTCCCATATATATGTGGTACCTGGAATCATTACCTTTATCTCCAAATGATAGACCCAAAGTGGTTTACAGATCATTGGGAATAACGTTCTAACATAAAGAAGGGTGGGAGCATGGCAAGTGTCCAAGAAACAGCAAGTGGTCTTCCTTGGTTCTCATAACAGCCTTTTCCAGGAGACTGATCCTTGGTCCCCTGGTCACAGAAAAACTAAAATGAAGAGCCCAGATGGGATTTAAAGGCTCGTCCCACCCCAGTGCCTTCGGGCAGGGTTTCACTTCACCTGGAGAAAGGCCTCCCATTAGCACCAGCTGCAAAGGTGCGGGAGAGGATGACAGGGGAAAAGGGACATAGAGGGGGCCTGAGGGGAGCTTTTGGTGCACCCCACCATGCCGCTCCATGATGGGAGATGAAGGAACCAGCTGGACAGTTGGGAAGACTGAGGCAAAGAGAGAGGACGGAGCTGCCCAAGGTCACACCATGAATCAGCTTATTTTCTCAGAACAACGTGTTCTACCCTCCTCAGGCTGAGTGAGGCCACCAGGAGCTCCTGCATCCAGGGCACACCCCCACAACCACCCTCCTGTCTGGCTCGTGAATGATTAGTGAGGCCTGGGCAGCCACAGGGTGTGAGCCACCGCAGGAACGTTTTTAATGAATGGCTCCAAGAACTTGAACTTGTCACAACATCCACTAATGAGTCCAGGGGTCTAACAGAGTCCACTGTAGGGGAGGGGTTGGGGGCGGGGCTCAGGCATCTCCTGGGGCAGGTTTGCTGCCCTTTCTGTTTCCCCCATTGAGTCTTGTGCCCAGATGGACACAGATGGCCCCTAGCTGCTGTCTCAGAGTGTTTTGGGGCATGGGACAAGGTAAGAGGGAGCCTCGGTTGGCAACCAGAAGCAAGACTTCCCGGTGGCCTCAACTACTTCCATCTGCATCACCTCTGGATTAATCCTCCATGCCTCAGTCTCTCCCTCTGGAAAGTGGGCACACGAAAATCAGTTCTGCTCACCCTCAAGACTGAATTAGCCCCCCAGAGAGGATATGAAAATGCCTATCAAGCACCTTCTGTTGAGTGCCTGTCCTTTCATTTCCTCTACTAGAACCTACCAGAGCCTGGGAAGAGCTGAAGACACAATTACTGTAAAGGGCTTTAATCAGCACTCACACATAGTAAGTGCTCAGTAAATGCTGGCTGCTCCCTCCACTATAATCTTCATCGCTGAGCCGTGGGGATAGGGCCCATAAGATCAGGACTAGGGCCCTGGGCTAGACCACCATGGTAGGATCGTGGCTCCATCCCTTGCTAGATGTACACACATGGGCAGAGAAGTTGCCAAACCTCTGTGTGCTTTATCATTTCTAAACAGGGTCACTGGGACACACAGGCGAGCTAATGCACCCCAAAAAGCATGGCTTGGTGCCTAAGCATAGTAAGCCCTCAATCGATAGTTGCTTTGTTCTTCTTGTCTATGGTTTGCATTGAGGCAGAGGGCCTTGAGCAAGTCACTTGAGTTCTCTGAGCTACAATAAACCAAGCCACCCATAAACAGTAGTTATTGCTGCCTCTCAGGGCAGTGGGTAGAGTTTAACAAGGGAATTGCCAAACAGTGTCTGGTGTGTAGTAAGGGCTCAACATGTGTAGCTATCTCAGATAGCAGTGGTATGGCACTGAGGCCATGAGGGAGAGTTGCCCCAGAGGCTGGGGGAGAAATGCCCATATTGCAGGACTGTCAAAGCATAGCCATGTCCACCTGCCTTTTGATCTCCCCTGGGCATTCTCTGAGGATGGCCTAATATGCATCCGAAATTACGGATGGAGACAGGGAGGCTCCAAAAAGCCAATGAGTCAGCCTGAAGCTGGTGGCTTATAAGTGGTGGAGCTGAGATTTGCACCCAAGCTATGTGACTCCTAGTGGCCTTGTTCCCCTGAGCCTTCACCTGCCTGATTTAACCTCCTCTTTCCAAGTGGAGGTCTCATGCCAATGTGCTTCTTGGCCTTGGCAGAAAGGGTTTCTCTTGGGTTCTGTCTCTTCTTTCCAGGTTGGGTCCTTTCCCTGGGCCTGCTCTGTGTGCTCCAAATTTCTTTCCCTTTGGGGTCCGTATATATGTGGGAACTGGAATTGTTACCTTCATCCCCAAATGGTGGACGTGAAGTAGCTTATGGATCATTGGGATGAACCTTCTAACATAAAGAGGGCAAGGAATGTAACAAAATAACAGCTGCCAGTAGTAGGTAACATTAAATATGTAAATCTCCAGATAGATAGATGATAGATAGATAGATGATAGATACATAAACAGATAGATAGATAGATAGATAGATAGATAGATAGATAGATAGATAGATAGATAGATATATCTATCTATCTATCTATCTATCTATCTATCTATCTATCTATCTATTGAAAGAGAGAAAAGGAGAGAGGAAGGAAGGGAGAGAGAGAGTGAGAGGAAGAAAGAGAGAGAGAGAGATAGAGATTACTCTGGGCTATATGTTGCACCCAGCCTTTTACCTACGTGAACTTATTTAATCCTTCCAACAATAACTCTATGAGGTTGAAATTCTTATCATCATTATTATCATCACCCTCATTTTACAGAAAACCAAGGAACAAAGTTAAGTCATCTGCTCTGGAAGCTATAGACTTCCAGGATTGGAACCCAGACAATCTGGCACTGGATGCCAAGCTCATAACCCATAGGCTTCTCTGCTTCTTGGCATCAGGTCCGGATTATAACCCCCAGGTCCCAGCTCCCTGTCCATGGCTCTTTCCCCTGATCCTGGCAGCTTTTTTTTTTTTTCCCCCTTGGGGGCTGGCCTTCTTCCAGGCAATGTCCCACCATGGTGATTCTGTGAGGCCGTCATTCCCATGTTATCCATGAGTGAACTGACGCTCGGAGTGAGGAAGCGACACCAGTCCTGAGTGCCTGAGCCATGATGCTTCAAACACTATGTAGCTCCAGAGGGTCTGGCACTTCGCAGGCTCAGTCCTGGGCAACGGGATACCATGAGGTTTAAGGCTTGCTTCTGCCTTGCTGGAGTGCAAAGTTCAGCACTTCATAGCCCCAGCCCTGGACACTCCTGAGAAGTGGGACTCTCGTAGGCAGCAGGAGGGCACTGCTGTGGGCAGCTGGTCTCAGTCCTGTCCCCAAAGTGTGGGCCAGCCAGCTCTCTGCCTGGCACAGAGCTACCAGTATCTGCCAAGAGCCTGGTCACTGCCCAGTGCCCTGACAAAAATGCCAGCTGCAGCCCAGCAGGGAGCTGGGGCAGGGGGAAGGGGACAGTGGTGGTGGAGGCAGTGTCCTGAAAATTCCTGCCCCAGGGTCCTGGAGAACAGACCACTTCTCTTTCTTTCCTTTCCTACACAAAGAGGGCAAGTTGGGGGGCAGTAGGAAAAAAGTTGCCTTGTGTATGCCTGGAAATCATTCCCCAGCTCAAAAATTAACCACCTGACATGGCATTTTTTTCTCTCTCTCTCCACCCGTCTCTCACCCCTGCGCGTTTTGCTTGCAGGCTTTAATCCCTGTGGTCGTGTATTGGCTAAGCCTGAGAAGCTGGGATTTCTTTGGTGGGGGGATTATAAGGCTTCCTATAAGAAAGCCAGACCTTGGAGATTATGTATGGGTTGGGTGGGTGTGAGCGGGGCTGAGTTGGGGACCAAGGCTAGGACTAGGGTGGCCACATGAGGCATTTGGAGAGCAAGATTGAAGGAGGAGCTCACTCAGGGTCACGCGTGAGCCTCGCCCACATGGCAGCCCTGCTCCCAACTCCTGCTGCATGATAAAGCCCAGGGCACAATGGTCTTTCAATGAACTAAGAGAAAGCATGGCCTTAACTTGCACAATCTACCTCTGACTCACTGTGTGACCTCAGGGAAGCCACTTTCCTTCTTGGGACAACCACTTCCTCCATTGTATGTACTAAAAGTTAGATTAGACCAGGGTTTCTCCACTTTGTTCAGCACTGTGGACATTGACCCTATTGGAACAAATAATTCTTTATTGTAGGGGGCTGTTCTGGACACTGCAGGATGTTTAGCAGCATCTCTGTCCTGTACTCACTAGATGCCAGGAGCACCCTCCACCAGTCGTGAGACTAAAACGTGTCCCCTGGGGGACAGAATCACCCCCTGTCGAGAACCACTGGATTAAATGATCTCAGCTTCATTCTGACTCTCATATTTTAAGTACAGTATTTTTGAAGCCCAGCTTTATGAAATTGATCTAATTGTACTATTAATAACAATGTTATTTAATACAACATAACAATATATCATATGTATTGAGCTACTGTATGTATCAATCACTGGGTCAGTGGTTACCTTATATTAATAACCATCTCTCCAAGGGAGATGGTATGATCATATGTCTACAGCACACAAGGAAACTGAAGGTAAACAGAGTTAACAAGCCCAGGTTCAACAGCTAGAATGTGGAAGAATCGGGTCTTTAATTCAGGCTCCTTTAATTCCAAATCCCATATTGTTTCAACTGTGCATATTTGTTGTAGAAAGATTAGAAAATACAGATATGCAAAAGAAAACAGCACTTTCTGATCACAGAATTACTAGGTGGGAGGCACTTATGGTTTAAGTTAGTAGAACAAAGACTTTTATTCCATTCACCTTTCTGAAGCACTCTGAAAACAACCACAAAAGCAACAAAAGGAGAAGAATATGCCATCTTTGATGAAAGAAGGAAAGACCACAATCCCACCTCGCCAGCATATGAAGAAGAGCTGACAATGGCAGGAAACTTTGACCAAACTGCAGAAGGAAATCAAGAGTGGCGCATGCTTCTGCACATCGTGGGCAGGACGAGGAGTTCTGAAGTGTTTTTGAACTCTGACACTTCCTAATACTGGCAAAGCCTGGAGCATGCATGTCAGAGAAGGGAGAGTTCCTGAGATGTATGTGACAGTACAGCATTCAGATGAACTGATTGAGGAGGCTCCAAGACGCTTGTCATGAAGCGGGATGTTGGAATGGCACATGGGAGAGAGATTGTGGATAGTGATCACCTGTATGGCTGTAAAGGTTCTAGTTTTCTCTCTCTGTCAGTCAAACAAACATAAATGCTAAAGAGACACCAAAGAACTGTGACCGTCTTGGGTCTTCGCATTGAGTAAGGGGCTCCCCCTTGCTTAGAGGAGAGGCATGTTCTGGGTCCATGTTGATGAGAAAGCATTCTGAGATAGTCAACAGAGCCAATGCTTAGATACCTGTGGGCCAGCCCCTTTCCCCACACTTTCCTCCAACAAAGAACCGGTCTTAAAAGAATGACCGCAATTCTGTAATAAGTAGCCAACATGAGATCTGCCAAAAAGAGAGCATGAGAAATAAAAAGGGAAGAAACATAAAATAGAAAGGAGAAAAACAGAATAAATACTAGAAGATTTGTGTTATGAAGTGGGAGAAACTATCGGACAGATATTTTTCGGTGAAATGTATTTTAAAAATTGCCTGCCTACAACAAATCTCAAAATAAGAAACAAAAAGGGCAAAGAAGAGAGATTAAGAAGCAGAAGGGGGTGAAAAAACAGCACTCAGGAAGTAAGTGGAAGAGAAAAATAAAGCTATTCTGTTATAAAGGCTGTATCAGACAGAGCAAAATGGGGAAATATTAAAAACATAATCAGAGACATGATATACAGGCTAAAAAAGATTGAACAAAATGAAGTGGAAAAGTAAGAAAGGATGGATGAAAAACAATTAGTATGGAAGACAAAGGAAATCCAACATCAGCATAATTGGTGTTCCTGAAGAAAAAAATAAAATGGAAAACAATATTGGAATCTTTAATAGAAGAACATTTCTCCAAAACTAAAACATATGCAGGTTGAAAGAGCTTACTGTCTTCCAGAAACAGCTTATGGACACTCATCAACACCAAGACAAATTGTGGTAACATTAATGGACTTGAAGCTTAATTAAAAAACCTTATGGATATCCAGGCAAAAAATTCAAGTGAGCTATAAGGGGTGGGAGAAATCAGGCTGGACTCAAATTTCTGCAATAATTAAATATCTGCTAATTCTCAGAGAAAGAACATGTAACCCAATAATTTTACAGATATATCACTTGTGTATTCAGAGGATGCCTTCTTTTTTAAAATATGTGCATATTTGTTGTTGAAGTTTGGAAAATAGAGCATATAAGAAAGAAATCCAAATTTATTCATAATATCATCCCTAAGATAGAAATGTCAATCACACACTTCAAAATGCTTTCACAGACATTTGTCCTAATGGAATCCTCTGTGATGTAGACATCCCAATATTATTATTCCCAATTAGAAGATGAACTAATTTAGGCTCAGTGTGTTCAGTGATTTTCTGCAAAAATTCAGCAGCAAAACCACCTATCCCCAGGCTTCCTGGCCCTTGGGCCTGAGTTCTCTAGAACAGTCTGTCCTATAAAACTTTCTGTGATGATGGAGATGTTCCATATCTGCTCTGTTCAGAATGGTGGACCCTAGTCCCATGTGGCTGTTGAGCACCTGAAATGTGGCTAGTGTTACTAAGAAACTGGAATTTTAAATTTTGTTTGATGTTAATGAACTTGAACTTAAATTCCACATGTGACCCAGGGCTCCACTGTTTAGACAGGCCAGCACTAGAGAGTTGCTTGGTATTCTTTCCCCTTCAAAGGCAGCTGACCACTTTCCATTTCAGCCATCCTCCCAACCTCATCCATATCAAGTTCACCCAGAATCTGGCCTCTAGGGTCAGCCTTGATCATTAGGACTAGCCTCCTTCCCTGTGGCACCTGTCTTCTCCAGATGCAGACTCCGTTAGGCCTTGCCGTCAGTTCCTTCAACCCTAGAGATTTTAGCTGAGTCCCACTGGCTTCTGACGGCAGAGGGAGTAGGCTGGGAGCTAAGCAATGTTTTACCCGAAGCTGCTACTCCTTCTTCCCTGGGCCCGCTCAGCAAGATTCTCCCTCCCAAAATGGAGCCTCTGGACAGAAACAAGTGGCAAGAAAGCAAACTGCTCACCCTGGCTTGACCCAGAAAATAAGTCTGCAAAATCAGACACCTCTCCCAACCTCTGAACTCCAGAAGTTAAAATTGAAAGGAGCAGTGCCTCGGGATCATGTGGCCCCACACTCCTTCCTACCTGAATCTGCCCTTGAAGATCCGAGGGAAGCCTCTATTTTGCAAACACACAGAATGAACCTCAGTGTGGCCACGTGGCTGGTGTGAGTTCATGAAACAGGAGGCCCAGAGGCAGAGGTTGACCAGAGCTGCTGTTGGGTGGAGTAAAATCATGGATCCACCTGGACTCCCCTCTATGATTCCACTATTTCAAACGGACCAGGGCTGGGAGTGATGAGATCTACTCTTAGGCTCTGCATGGTCCTGAAGACACTACACCTCCTCTCCAGACCTCAGTTTATATCTGTAAAATGGGGATTTTAAAATGGAGCAGGGGTTTTCAGTACAGAGTCCGGTGATCCCTACTAATCTGTCAACATCTTGACATTACATTCAGTATTGCGTATGTGTGGGCACATATACAATATGTCGGTTTTTCATTAATTACCGCAGGGGTCCATCCTTCTACCAATTCAAATCACTTAGATGAGAGGTCATAAATTGGTGACTATAGGTTGAATACCACCTGCAGATGTAGTTTTTTTTTTGATTGGCCCACAGTTTCCTTTTAATGAGCAAATCTTTTAAAACTGAGATTTCACATAGAAGCAAAATTTCAAGCTTCTCTTGAAATCAGGAGAGCTGGCATCACGGGACCCACATTCCTGCATCACAACAATCAGAGGAGCTGAGCAGCAGTGGTTGTCCTCGTGGTAGGGGAGGCCCCTGTGTTCCCCACTTCACCACAGTCCCCGCCCCTCCCTATTGCACTCATGACACTGAAGTCCAGTGCCAGCTGTAAGTTACTGTTAAGCTTGGGAACTTTTATCCCCTGCTAAAATAATAGTTTTCTATATCCACAGCACTATTGGAAGTGCAAATCAGACTTGAGAAAACGTGACTTTTCTTACACCAGCCCATATTACTCATTAAATTGTCCCCTGCATATGAGTTTGAAATGCCTGAAATGACTTTATATCATTTATTCATTCTTTTAACAAATACCTGTTGAGGCACTGAGAATAGAGGCGAACAAAGACAGAAAAGGCCCTGTTTGCATGGTGCTCCTGGTCTGCAGGGAGGCGAGAGAGAGATAATAAGTGAATGAACAAAAAATAAACTTCAGCTAGTGATAAGTGGCTCCACAAGAATGAAGCCAGATAATGTGCAGCAGACCACAATGAACAGTGTGATCAGAGATGGACTTCCTGGAGGGGAGACCTTTGAAGTGAGGGCTGAACAGCAAGGAGCCAGCCAGCCAGAGATAGAAGGGGGTGCGTGGGGTCAAGAGGGCCAGGCAGAGGGAACAGCAGGTGCAAAGACCTGGACGGGGGAAAAGGCCTGGCCTGCTTGTTCTGAGAGCCCACCACTTAGCATTTTACAGGCCTCAGTGCTCTAGTCCCTGCCTCCAAGTCCCCTGGGAGATTTTTGCTCTCTGGAAGTTAGTTTTGTTCTTAAGTCCTGGCAGAGTGGGAAGGTCAGGGGATGAGGGGCAGCAGCACTTCTTACTAATTCTCCACCAGATGTCTGGCATACAGCTGGCAAATCTGAATCCATTTGCCCACAGGAAGCTCAGCTGAGGCAGGGCAGGCATTTGGGGGTCACTCTGGCTCTGCTCCAGTCCCTCTCCAGCAAGGTAATAAAACACACTCTTGACCTACTTGCTGCCAAAACCCCAAGTGGGCCAAGGATTGACTTCCCAACTCCTGCCATTTCCCTTGGGTCACCTCTCCAGCTGACATGTGCTGTATCTGGAGTCATTCCTTCACAGAAAGCTGAGTTGACATCCTGACAGGAGCATCCAGAGAGACAGGAGAAAGAGGGAGGGAGAGAAAGGGAGGGGGAGTGAGAGAGGAAGAAGAGAGAGGGAGGAGGAGAGAGAGAAAGGGAGGAGGAGGGAGAGAGAGAAAGGGAGGAGAGAGAGGAAGGAAAGAGAAAAGGAGGGGGAGGGAGAGAGAGGACAGACAGAGGGAGTGGGAAGAAGGAGGGAGGGAGAGGAGAGAAAAAGAAGGGGGGAGAGAGAGACAGAGAGACAGAGAGAGAGAGAGACAGAGAGAGAGAGAGAGAGAGAGAGAATACAGCTTTGACAGCAACCTTTGCAGCCAGAATTTAAACAACTTTCCTACCATTTATATCATGTACAGAATGAATACATCGCACAAAAGGACTCACAGGATGTCACCTCCAAAGCAGATGTATTCTAGTGTTCACAACAACTTTTTCCATAGTAGCCCCAAACTGGAAATAATACAAATGTCCACCAGCAGGAAAATGTACAAATAAATTCTCATCTATTCACAGAATGGAATACTACTCAGCAGCAAAAAAGAATAGGCTACTGATACACACAACTGCGTGGAGGAATCTCACAGACATCACGCTGAGCAAAACAGCCAGACACACTTCAAGCTCATTCTTGTTGGTAAAATTAAAATTAAAAGACAGCCAGAGACAGAAGTACATCCTGTATGATTCCATTATATCCCAGAACAGGCAAAAACCAATCTATAGTGATAGAAATTGCAGCACTGTTTTGGAGAGGATGTGGGAATTGACCTGAAAGGGGCATGTAGGAACTTTCTGGGGAGATGTAAATGTCCTATATCTTGGTTGGGATGGTGGCTATATGAATATGACCATTTGTCAGAACTTTTATTTTATGTAAATTATAGCTCAATGAGCTATTTTTTAAAAGTCATGTTTATTTTTCTCTCCAGCTAGTGCTCTAAAATATTTTCAGTGGGGAAGTTCTTTTCCTATTACTTGGACAAAAACCCCTGCAGACACATGCCTTTTCCTATCACTCTTGAGATGTAATTAAAATCCTCCAATTACTTTAATACACAAACATGGTCTCAATTCAGAAATTAGAATGGTCAGTTCCAGGTGATCATCAGAATGTGGAACTTGATTTGAAGTGAAATCCTTTCCCCTCCCCTTCCTGAGGGCTCTACAGGCTGGAAGCTGGGAGAGAAAGAGGAAAGAGAGATTATTGTCTCCTGAGTTCCCCTTTACGGTTTCATCTCTTCTTCCTTATTTTCTTAAGCAAGGTTTGTGACAGCCACAGTGAAAGAAGCCAGGGGGCAGGAAAAGACAAGGAGCCTAGCAGGTGCATGACTCCTGCCCCTCAGCTTCCCTTTACAGCAGACCCTTCTCTTGTGAGCATTACAGAGTCGGGAGACTAGAGGATCTCCCCCTTCTCAGAACACTTCACAGCCCTTCCCTTGGGTTTTTTTTCCCCTGGCTGCTCCCCCTCTAGTTCCTGGTTTCCTATATATGGGAACTCCCTTAGGGGTCCTATATCACTTAGAAGCAGACCTCTTAGGCAGGATTTTAAAGAGGACCTGGGCTGAAATTCTCACTTCAGAACCACATCTGGTCTTTAGAAATACTTGGGCTTTCCCTCCTCACATCTTTGGAATGTTGGTCCAGCTAGGGTTGAGGGATAAAACACAGGGTGCTAAGTTCACTTTGAATTTCAGATGAACAAGGAGTCATTTTTAAACTATAAGTATATCCCAAATAGTGCATGGGATATACTTATGCTAAACAATTTTGCTGCTATCCATCCTAATACTGATTGGATATTTGGGAATAGCTTGTCTAGCTCTCTCCATCTCCCCCTTGTGTAATAGCATAATGCTATGAGCAGCTTGCCTTGTGTCTACCCAGCAGGCTGTCCACTACTTTCATCTCTGTGACCCTGGTCAGGCTACTTATTCACTCTGTGCTTCAGTTGCATTATCTGCTAAATGGAGATAATCATGGAACCTCCTGCATAGGGCTGTTGTGACAATCACAATTAAACTGAGATAATACACAGGTACAGTTGTTTGGGCAGTGTCTGCCACATAGCAAATTCTCAATAGGTATTGACTGTTATTAGTATTATTATGGTGATAGTGATTGTTGTTGCTATTGCATGAAGAGAGGAAGAACTAGAGCCTCCAGATAGGTTATTTTCTGGAGAAAGGAGCCAGAACTAGAAGGATGGGGTTCCTGTGAATGAGGAATTGGCAAGGAACAGGATGGTTATTATTAGCATGCCTTGTGGGAGACAGTGAGGCAGAGATGGGGAGTCATGGAGGGGCAGAGATGGCAAGGAGCCAGGAAGCTTGAGAGAGGTTCTCTTGGCCTAGGAACGAGAGAGATTTTCAGGCATGCTAGAGAATAGAGAGGATGTAGGCATTTGACAAGAACACCCACGGATTGTGCAGAAATACATAGTGATAAAGAGAAAACTCTGGTCAGACCACCTGGGTTCAAATCCTGACTGCCTCAGCAGCTATGGGCAAGTTACTTGACTTTTCCTGTTTGCCTCCATGTCCCATCAGTAAAATAGAGCTAATAATATCTGCCTCAAAGGATTGTTTTGAAAATAAAATGAGTTCACAAATGCAATTACTTGGAAATTAATTGCTTGCTAATTAATTGCTAGCGATCGTTATACTTTGAGTCCCTTAAATGTTTAAAAGAGAAGAGTTTAAAAATTAGAATTCCTGTTTAGACTACACAGTTTGTAAGCTGCAACACTACCCTGGGACTGAATTACCTGGGACACAGCATTGTATGCATGACCTAAATAGACATCTTTTTATAATTTCCCCCAAAACAGAGGGGGAAAGTAATAGTACCTTCCTGAATCCAGGTGTGTCAGTGTATGCCTGTCATCCCAGCTACTTGGGAGGCTGAGATGGGAGGTTCACTTGAGCCCAGGAATTCAAGACCAGCCTGGGCAACATAGTTAGACCTTGGTTCAAAAAAAGATAGAGAGGAAAGGAAAAGAAAAGATTGTTAGGGGCATTACATGAGTTAATACATAGAAGACGCCTGAAACTTAGAGAATACTCAAAAAATGTTGGTGATTGTGATTGTCATTATACTGTAGTTATTCTTCTGCATAGAGATGTGAAGCTGCATAGAAAAGGAAACTCTCACCAGAGCTCCTGAGAATTGAAATTTTCCAGGTGACTGCATGTCACTGTTCTCAACCATTGTATTCCATTTTCTTTTCTTTTAATGCCCTTGTCAGGATCACCCAGGTAACAGGGTTATCCTGTCCTCATAAAATGAATTGGGAAGTGTTCCCTTTTTCTCTGCTCTCTGAAAGAGTTTGTGCAAGATGGTATTATTTATTCCTTCAATGTTTGGTAGAATTACCATTGAAGCCAGAAGGGCTTGGAGCTTTTTCGTGGGGAGGTTTTTAATGATTGATTCAGTTTCTTCAATAGACACTGAAATATTCAACTTTTTAATTTCTTTTTCTGATAGTTGAGAAAGGTATGTTTTTATCAGGAAGTTCCTCTGGTTACTTGAAATCATCAAAGTTATTGGTAAAAAGTTGTTCAAACTATCCCTTTGTATCCCTTTGATATTGTAAGATCTGAGTCATGTCTTTTTAAAATTCTTGTCATCTATTAAGTTCTGACCTTAGAGTGTCCCTAGCAGGGAAGCTATATTGCCTTCTTAAATTTGTAACTTTGTTGCTATTCATGAGTATCAGACACACACACACACACACACACACACACACACACACACACACACACACGCACACACCACACACCAATTCCTGTTGAGTTAGAGGAGCAAATTTGCAAGAATCCCCTACTGCTCCAGAAATCTGCCCTCATATTTTAAAGTACAATAGGCAAATAAATGCTCAAGTGCCTGCTGGACAAAGGGGAGGCTCTGACCTTAGGAATCTGCAAAAGCTTTTATTGTCTGAGATTTAGTTTAAATAGCTCTTCCTAAGAAAACTGTTCCCTGCTATCTTTCTTTGTCCTCTGAGTTAAGTTAATTACTTTCCCCTAGGTGTCCCTAGCTTACTGAGAACCACATGTTGATCCCATTGTAGTTATTTGAGCCGGCATCCACCTGCTTGATCCCTAGACTCTGAGATCCTCAAGGGCAGATGTTCACTTACTCATCTCTACCTCCTGAACTTCCAGCATGGTGGCCAGCAAAGAGTCAGGGTCACAATCTATTTATTCTTTCACTCATTCCACACTCCCTGAAACCAACTCCATCAATGTGTTGGGGACTGTGCCAAGTTCTGGGGACACAGACGTGAACAAGATAAAAGCAATGGGGTCCGTCTTCTCAGGGAACTTTCTTAGTAGTCGAGGAGACAGAGTCAGTAAATCATTTTGAATGGATGAACCTTTGCAGGTTACAATTTGGCACCATTTACCACCCTATTTTCCATGGAGCATAAGTTGTGGAGGATTTTAAGAAATATTTCAATCCGTGGTCAAACGTATTTTGGAAACTTTGGGTTAGATAAGGTCAAATAAATATATGTACTACATGATTTGTTAGCACTTTCAGTGTACCAATTATGAATTTTTAGCGGAGCGGTAGGGAGAACAGTTCCTGAAAAACTTATTTGATTTTAGAACCATTTCTTGGGAAGATATCATGTGACATTGGATGTGATGTGCCGGGAAGTTCCACACAGAGATTGCTTAAGACCTCCTGGGTTGCCCCTAGCAGCTGACTCAGCTGCCAGTTATTCTGTCCGTGCAGAATGTACTCAGTGTATTTTTCTGGATTTGGAGCCACAACTTTTTTTTATTCCAGAACCATCTATAAGATGAGAGGACTTCAAAAAGTTCATGAAAAAATGGAATTAAAAGACAAAAATAAAAATACAAACTTTGTTTCTCAACATAAGCTCCATCAAGTTATAGACACTTTTGTAATGATGATACCAGCTATTTAATCCATCCTTAAGAAACTAAGAGTCTGCGGAACTTAATCATGTCAATGCCATCTTTGTTTTACATTATTAACTGAAGAAAAATGGGTGCTCTTTAAAGATTTTTAAAGATTAGGAACAAAAAGAAGTCAGAAGAAACCATATCAGGACCATAAGACAGATGCCTAATGATTCCCCATTAAAACTCTCACAAAACTGTCCTTGTTTGATGAGAGGAAGGAGCAGGAGCATTGCTGTGGTGAAGGACTCTCTGGGGAAGCTTTCCCTAGCATTTTTCTGCTAAAGCTTTGGCTAACCCTCATAAAACTCTCATAATGAGCAGATGTTATTGTTCTTTGGCCCTCCAGAAAGTCAATTAGGAAAATGCCTTGAGCATCCCCCCAAAAATGTTGCCATGACCTTTGCTATTGACCAGTTCACTTTTGCTTTGACCGGACCACTTCCAACTCTTGATGGCCATTGCCTTGATTGTGCTTTGTCTTCAGGATTGTACTGGCAAAGCCATGTTTCATCTCCTGTTACAATTCTTAGAAGAAATGCTTCAGGATCTTGATCCCATTTGTTTAAAATTTCCATTGACAGTTCTGCTCTTGTCTACAGCTGATCTCGGTGCAGTGGTCTTGGTACCCATCAAGTGGAAAGTTTGCCCAGCTTTAATTTTCCAGTCAGAATTGTGTATGCTGAACCAGTTGAGATGTCTGTGGTGTTGGCTATTGTTTCTGCTGTTAATTGTTGGTCCTTTTCAATTAGGGCATGAACAAGATGAATTTTTTTTTCCTTGCAGATCCATGTGGATGCTCTGCCACTGCAGGCCTCATCTTCAACATAGTCTCATCCCTTCTAAAACAAATTATCCATTTGTAAACTAGAATTTCTTTGTAGCATTGTCCCCATAAACTGTTCATAAAGTGTCAATTATTTCATTATTCTTCCATCCAAACTTCATCATCAATTTGATATTTGTTTTTGCTTCAGTTTTAGCAGAATTCATGTTGCTCTGATAGGGGCTGTTTTCGAACTATCCTTTTTAGTGCCTCAAACTAGATTCTGTTCAGACATGTGATAATAAGTTAGTATGAGTTTATTTTGGTGCAAAAATTTGAAACCCATGCATAGTTTTTAAATAATACATACT
The DNA here is from genome assembly GCF_000001405.40 of Homo sapiens. Lineage (NCBI taxonomy): Eukaryota > Metazoa > Chordata > Mammalia > Primates > Hominidae > Homo > Homo sapiens. The sequence continues at coordinate 46,620,316 of NC_000020.11, read as the reverse complement.
TTTCATGAACTTTTTGAAGATCCCTTGTCTTAACCTCTCTGTGCCTCAATTTTCTCATTTGCTAAATGTAAATGAAAATAATACTAACCTTCCTTTCATAAGGTTGTTTAATGAACAAATAGACATAACATACTTAGAACAGTCCCAGGCACATAGTAACATTCAATAAATGTTCTTATTTTTTCCATCACTGTGTGACAGAGATATTCTGAATTTTGCAATAGCAAGGATGAAAGCACACACATTAAGTTCTATTAAAATGTCAGGTATTATTTATTGTTAGGAGGATGGAGAAGGTGAGTGTTTTAGTCAGGAGTCTGAGTTGCAAATGACAGAAACTTGAATCACAGGGACATTAAGTCACCTATCCAAGGTCACGAAAGTCATGGTGTAATCAAGCTATAGTTCAAATCCAGGAAGTCTTGCAACAAGCCCATGTTCTTAACCGCTGTGCTGTTCTGCTCTTCTGTGAACCGAGTGCTGTGAGAGCATAGATATTGGAACTGACCAGGACTTTAGGGTGGGGGTCACAGGATAAAAATGGCCTTTACAAGATGAGTCATAATTCACTAGATGAAGAAGCAGAAGAATGTTCCTGGCAAAAGGAAAAGCATGTGCAAAGGCCCAGAGAATGACAAGCAGCGTAGACTGCTGAGAGAACTGTGTCCAAGATAACAGAGAAAGTGGGGAATGTGGGAAGCCTGTACTGGGACACACTGATAAGCTTTGAATGCCATGACTGTGAGTCTGGGGGCCATGGGGAGCCAGAGGAGGTGTTTGAGCAGGGGAGTGACATAATCTGAAGTGCATTTTAGAAGTATTCCTTTGACTGCTTATGTGGAGGATTCATGAAGACAAGTGCAAAAGTTGAGAAATAGTCTCAGTGAAAGCTGATGAAGTTTGACCTTAGTCAAGGGCAGTGCAGATGGAGAGGAGAGACCTAAAGACTCAGGCTCTAATGACAGAGCTTGGACTCTATTGTATCAGATCATGCCTGGGACCTCTCTCAACTGGGTTTGGCTCAGATAAACCCCAAATCCAGCTGGAGGACATGAGCCTTTTTTTGACTCAAATACAAAAGAGGCTTCCAGCATAGGCAAGAAGGCAGTCCCTCTCCTTCTCTGTGCCAAACACCTCTCAAATCCTAGCTCGGAAAGATGTCACCCTGTCTGAGAAGGCTTCTGTCTTAGATTGGGTCTTCAGAAGGACCCTGAGACAACAATTTGACTGCAAGGAATTTGGGGGCAGTGGAGAAGGGAAACAGTGAAGAGCATGGAAGAAATACAAGTGTGCCAATGAAGAGGTTACTACCAGCAGCAGTGACTCAGCCTTACTGGGGACTTCTGGGAAATGGTATTCGACATGCCTCAGTTATCCCACTGAAAGGCAACTGAAGTTCGTGGCTAGGAGCTACTCCTGGAGTGTTATTTCTTGGCAGTCTTGGCCAAGTGTGCTTCTGAAACCGGAGAAATCTGAAGACGTCACTGGTGTGAACAGGAATGATGGGCACTGAAGCGAGAGACGGAGGACTGTCTTAGTCCATTTGGGCTACTATAACAAAATACCTTAGACTGGGTGATATTTAAACAATAGAAATATATTGCTTACAGTTCTGGGGGCTGTGAAGTTCAAGATCAAGGCACTGGCAGATTCAGTGCCTGGTGGGGCCTTGCTCTTTGCTTCAAAGACAGTGCCTTATTGCTGTGTCCTCACATGGCAGAAGGAAGGCTCTTAGGCCCTTTTTATGAGGAAACTAATCCTATTAGTGAGGGCAGAGCCCTCACGACCTAATCACCTCCCAAAGTCCCTGCCTCTTATTACCACTACAATGGGGATGAGGATTCCATGTATGAATCTGGGGGGACAGAAACACTGAGACCATAGCAAGGAGGTGCTGAGGTGTCTGCCCTTCTCAGACCCCACTGGCTGACACAGCTGCCTTTCACCTTTGCTCCATAGCTCACTGTCTTAAACTCTGTTTTAGCCCTTGTCTCTCTGGGAGGTGAATGATTTGTCTTCATGTCTGTCTCCTTGAGCAGTGGAAGCATATGAACCAAGGATGGGCTAGGCACCAAACCTTGAATGCCTAGTAGAGGGGTGGACTACAGTCTAGGAATCTAGGACCAGGGATGGGCTGGGCACCAAACCTTGAATGCCAAGTAGCGGTGTGGACTACAGTCTAGGGGTCTAGGTGTCTCATAATAGACCTAAGATGAAAGTGAAACATCTTATAGTCATATCATTTTCAAAACGCAAAGATGAGGATTGTCTGAAGGGGTCCAAGAGTTAATTTATGGTATGTCTGGGCTTCTGTGGGAATTTGAGACTATAATCTCCACCGAGGACTCATATTTACAAATTGGGATACCTGTTGGTCTGGTGAGTGGTACACAGAACAGGATACATGGGGCATTCCTTCTTGGGTCAGCAGGAAGATTTGATAGAAAGTAATTGTATATTTTTAAAAGCACGAATTCATTGTGGAGCAGGATACCAAGCATGGGTGGAAGAAAGTCAGTTTTGCGCAGAATGTGATGCAGATTTCCTGGCCCAGGGGGTGATACATGGATGTTCTTCTGCCTGGAGGCCCACAGTGGTGTGCTGCAGCCAGCTTATGCTGGCTTGGGAAATGTGCTTGTCAAATTTTTAGGAATTCTAATAGCCAGTTATTAAATACAGACCTTAATACACACACACACACACACACGCACACACACACACACACACAAGTTTTTCAGAGAGCCAATTGTTCAACATTTACCAACACACATCTGTTGTTTGAGGGATATTTGGCAGAAAGAGCCTGGGAAGGTGATTTGGGTTTGAGAAGCACTGTAGTTTTTTTTTGTTTGGTTTTTAGAGACCAGGTTTCACTGTGTTGCCCAGGCTGGACTTGAACTCCTGGCCTCAAGCAATCATCTTCCCTAAGCCTCCCAAGTACCTGGGACTATAGGCACCTGACTAAGAACTGTTTATTGGTTGGCATGGCCAGATTTACTTGTTAAAAATTTAGGCTATGTCTTAGTCATTTTCCTTGTACCAGCTTCCAGCCCAGGGCATAAAATGTGGTCAGGAATAAAGTTTGCTAAATGGATGGATGAATGAATGATAGCTTGGATCAAGCTTTTTCTCTAAGTTGTAGAAACATGTTTTCATCATTCAACAGATATTTTGAGTGCCTACAATGTGCCAGGAACTGTTCTTGGCACTGGGAACACAATCCCTGCTCTCCTAGAGCTTGCATTCTAATAGAGGAGAAAACATATAAAGCTATAAAATCTGCTTTCAGGTGGTAACCGGTTACATAAAAGAACATGAAGCAGGATAATGGGCTGGAGACAGAGTTTCATGCTGCTTTTGTACCAGGAGCCAAGACTCAAGAGGAGAGGTGGCTCCATCTCTCCAAAGTTGTATGTCTTCAGGAAGGCCCCTTTGGCTCTCTGAGCTGTGGAAACCGATTGTTCCCAGCTGATATTCAGGTTCCCAGCCTAAGAAGGCTGAGGTGGCCTTGGCCAAGTCTGAAGCCTTTGGTACACTGGCTCCCCAGGTGGTTACTAAAGCTCTGTAGGCAGAATGTTGGGATTCCAGGAGCTTCTCTAAACAGGGTGCTGTTTATTGTGCCACTGCTTCCCCACATCCTTGTTTGCTGTGCTGTATACCTGGGACGGGCCTGCCCTCTATCTCTGTGGAATTCTGGGATGATGCCCTTTGGCTCCAAGCACACATTGAGGCTTTTCCAACAAAAGGGTCTCAGCTTCTTGTTGGGGGAGCTTTGGGGTTCTGGAAACGGCTCTGACATCCACCTGCTGACTCATTCTTCCCCTCTCTGGTCCCAGTCTCCACATCTGTAGAGCCAGGGAAATGATAGGGGCTTGGTGATGATCTGATGATCTGCCATTGAATCCCCAAATCGGGGAGGTTTAGGGGCTGCCAGGATAGGTGGAAGGGAGGGAGAGAACAGAGAAGCCCATCGACAGCTCTTTTTCTCACTTCTCCAGAAGAGTGCCTTTTTTTCTGATTTTTACATTCAAAGTTTGTCTGTTTTATATACTGAGATTCAACATACAATTTTGCTTGAACAAAGGGCTGGGGGTTATAAGTATTTATGGACTCTGGTCTTGTGATTCTCAAAGATATCTTACCTCTGAGATGCAGGATCTGCCTCATTTGAGAAACTGAAAGGATGATGACAAATCAAAACTTAGAGAATTTTTGGTTGTGGAGTTTGATTCTGTATTATTCTTTTTGCTTTCAACCTTTAGTGTGTGTGTCCAATAACCTGGGTTCTTGGGATATTCATTCCAAGTTGAGTTAATTTGTTTTGCAGTTGTTCTTCTCTGGCCCCCAGGAAATAAATTTTAGGTATCCTGAAGGATAACTTTGTATTAACTGTGGCAGCTTATTTAATTTTTTCTCTAAAACAATGTATCTTAAGTCAATAGGAAAATAGGATGTGCTGTACAGAAATTCTCCCAGCGGGAGACTTTTTGCACATCTATAAATTTCATGAATGAATGTGAGCACTGATAGAAAAGCTAAGGGACTTGGGAATCTGGACATTTTCCAATGTAGGGTGTATTAAGCAGAGTCTCGGGATGTGTTTTTCAAGGTATGGAAATTGGTGACAGTGTGTCTCCCCCATCTCAGTAAATGACAACCCCACCTTCCCTGAGACCAACAACTTGGAATTGCCCTTGGTTTCTCTCTTTGCCTCACATATCACAACAGATCTATCAGCCAAGCTGTCAGACGTGATCTTGGAAATTGATCGAGAATTCAACTACTTCTCACTACCTACAACTGCCAGCAATGGGCCCTGGTGGCCGGTGTCTGTTGCCTGGATTGTTGTCACAGTTGTCTGATGGGTCTCCGTGGTCCCTCCCTGGCCTCCCTGTAAGATGGATTAACTAATCATAGCATCCCCCACGTAACCTGATACCTGTCCTGTTTCGCTGAGGATATGTTCTATGAGGGTGGCTCTTAGGATGGTGCGCTGTTTGATGTCCTATGGACATGGAATAAAGTTAACAAAACTTACTATAAAGTAAGAGCCATAAGATGGCTCCAGACAGGACCAAATCCAAGAAAAAGTTCATGTTTCCTAGAATATGCAAGATCGTTGCCTTGAAAGGACATAAGAAAGCAAGGGCAGGGCAGGAATAGTTTCATTCCAACAGTGATCATGCAAATAATAGGACATTAAGTATTATGAATCCTGTGGGACACGGATGCATCAGATGTGAAGTCATTGTCATTATCACTCTCATTATGAGAACAGGTGTGTAGTTTGACAGGTTTTGACAAATGTGCACACCAATGTAGCTACCACTCCAATCTAGGTATAGAACATTGCCATCAGCCCAAAAGTTTCCTCTGTGCTCCTCTGCAACCCCTACCTATGCCCCCACAACATAGACCTTCCACCCTAGCCTTGGCAACCACTGATTAGATTTAAATTACTTTGTCTGCCTTTCATTGGGTCTAATATTTAGCTGAGAACAGCAGCAGGGCACTTGTATGAAGGTCTGGCTGTGGAGGTAGATTGCTTTGGTCTACCCTGGTCTGCACAGCCATTACCTTGCTAACCACCTCCTTGCACCTCAGTTTCCTAATCCATCAAATGGGGGTAATAATCATACCTACATCACTAGGATTTTGTTAGGAATAAATAGCACCTGGTACTTAATAGCCCAACAGATGTCAGCTGTTGTTATTGTTTATGGAGTATGCATTATGTGTTGGGCATTGCACTAAGTACCGTGTAAGGATGTGGCAGTTGCTCCCTGTCCCAACTCCACACCCCCACTGGTGCTCACCATTTCCGCACACACTAGTAGCTTCCTACTGCCTCTGAGATGGACTGCGGGAGTATTTCCCCTGGCTGCAGGAGCATGCTCAGTCTGCACATAAGGATGCCGGAAGTGCTGAAAGTTAATGCTCCCAGTATCAGCCCTCAACCAATGATGGCCAGGAGTTGGCAGATAAATGCTCCAACTTCCTTGCCTCCAGTTGAGACAACTCTAAGGCATGATATGCCCTGTCCCCCAGGGTTCCCCATCAGAATTGAGCTTCAGGTGTCCACAGTGGTAACCTTCTCATGGGACATACACTGAAGCATGGTCTGCCCTGTCCCCATCAGAATTGAGATCCAGGTGTCCACAGTGGTAACCTTCTCATGGGACACTCTCTGGATTGGCTTCCTTCTGTTTCATTTCCCCATTGTCCTTCCAGAACCTCCTGGGATCCTCTATCAAGTAAACTATTTTCATTCTCGTCTTTATCTCTAAGACAACAATGTATTTCATTTCATTCTCAAACAGTCCTATGAGGTGAACCAAAATAGCTTCCTCATTTTATAATTGAGCAAAATGAGGCTTAGAAAGGTGATGCCACCTGCTTTAAGTCAACGCCTTAGGCACACACCTGCTCCACTGCTGCCCTGAGAACAAGCCGGGGCAGGCCCTGCCGCAGGCCTCCTTCCCCCTCTGCCCCCAGCCCAGGCCTCCTTCCCCCTCTGCCCTGAGCCCTGGGCCTCCTTCCCCTTCTGCCCCGAGCCCCGCTGACCCTCTGAGCATGCATCTCCTCCTGCAGGAAGGCCGCTGCTTGTTTGTCATCCTGCTCATGGCGGTGTACTGGTGCACGGAGGCCCTGCCGCTCTCAGTGACGGCGCTGCTGCCCATCGTCCTCTTCCCCTTCATGGGCATCTTGCCCTCCAACAAGGTCTGCCCCCAGTACTTCCTCGACACCAACTTCCTCTTCCTCAGTGGGCTGATCATGGCCAGCGCCATTGAGGAGTGGAACCTGCACCGGCGAATCGCCCTCAAGATCCTGATGCTTGTTGGAGTCCAGCCGGCCAGGTAAGAACAGGTAATGGTTCCAGCCCTACAGCGGAGAGGCAGAGGGACCACACCTCTGGAGCCTATACCTGCTCTTCTTGATTTACTCGTCCAGGCCAAGAAACTCATCGGTTCCCACCATTTATTTATTTATTTATTTATTTATTTATTTATTTATTTCTCTACTATTTAGCAAGCACCTGCTGCATGCTAGACACAGCACTAGGCCCATCATGGGCAGCTGTTCTCAAAGGTGCAGAAGAATCACCTGGGAACATGAGCTGCTGACCCCCAGGCCCCACCCCCAGGGATTCCAGTCCCATAGTTTTGGAGGGGGCCACACTGACAGTTTGACCCTGACTGCTCAGGGCTGAATCCCAGGTGACCTGCTCTGAAAAATAACTTAACCTCTGTCTGCCTGTGAAATAGTGATGTAGTGGCACCCACCTCATAGAGTTTAGTGAGGATTAGATGAGCAAATGCAGGCAAATCCCCTGGACCTGAGCAGGCAATGCTGGCTGTTAGCATTCTTGTTTGCTATTTACCTGCCTAGATGATGAAGATCAGGTGGGAGTTGAAGGTGGGGGGATGCAGAGGATGTGGGAAGATGGGCTTGAAGGGAAAGGGAGGCAGGGTTACAATCCTAAAGAGCCTCGGGCACTCTGGCTAGGATTTGGACTTTTATTCTTAGAGAATTGGGTGGCCTTTAAAATAGGGGTTTTATTTTCATCTTATTTTTTGTTCCATAAACCCTTTTGGCAATTTGGTGAATCTTAAGGATCTTCCCAGAATAATGTTTTTAAATGCATAATGCACAACAGAGTTTGAAACAACAGCTACAGCAAAATGCAATTATCTAATTTTTTTTTTTTTGAACACAGACACCTGTGCCCTGGTACAGGTAGGTACTGTTTTATTAACACCGCAAACGGCAAGACCGAGTGATAGGCCTAATCACACCCATAATGTTGAGCAGTTTTGAGTGTCGATGATATTTCAAGATGTCTGCAGTGATTATAATGTCATATAAAAATATCAGGGATCTTGCCGGGCGCAGTGTAATCCCAGCCTGTAATCCCAGCACTTTGGGAGGCTGAGGCAGGTGGATTGCTTGAGGCCAGGAGTTCAAGACCAGCCTGGCTAACATGGTAAAACCCCTGTCTCTACCAAAAATACAAAAAATTCACTGGGCGTGGTGGCGCATGCCTGTGATCCCAGCTACTCAGAAAGCTGAGGTGGGCGGATCGCTTGAACCCAGGAGGCGGATGTTGCAGTGAGCCAAGATCACGCCACTCACTGTACTCCAACCTCAGTAACAGTGAGACCCTGTCTCAAAAAAAAAAAAAAAAAAAAAAAGCAAAGAGAGAGAGAAAGAGAGAAAGAAAGAAAAGAAAAGACAGAAAGAAAAAAAAGAAAGAGAAAATGTCAGGGATTTTTTTTTGGGTGACAGAGCCTCAGGCACTGCTCATACACCTCAACTTTGTTGCCTGTTTATCCCTGAAGGAAATGCTTAATTTGATTAGATGTTAGCAAAATGAGGATACACATTTTCTCCCAATCCAGTTCTGAATTATATCCATAGACTTATAAATCTGTGCTTTAAAGGGTTCTAAGCTGAGGAATGACATGGCCAGATTTGCATTTTATTTCAAATACGTCTCATTTCCTTCAGATTTGCATTTTTTAAAGATTCGTCTTAGCTGCCTTGTAGAGGTCAGACAGGAGGGTACGGGCATGAGAAGCTGATACATCCCAGTTAGAAGGCCATTTAGAGTGTCCCGACAAGAGACAGTAGCAGCTTGGACTAGGAGGTGGCAGTGGAGATGAACAGATTGGATAGATTTGAGAGTAATTTGGGTGATAAAATTGACACAGGGGAGGGCGTAGGAAAAGAAGGTTCTGGATGACTCCTAGGTTTCTAGCATTATCTCTGTGCCATCTGCTCTGCTAGGCTCTGTAGCTGCGCCTCCTCCTGGAGGAGCTGCCAGTCCTGTGGGACAGACTCCATCTATGGAACTAATTCCAATGCCAAGTGGAATTTGATCTCCAAGGGGCACATCATGGTGTGAGAGCCCACATGAGAGGTAGGGAGATAGGGGGAAACTTCCTGGAGGAGGTCACATTTGAGCTTGACTTTGAATAATGAGTAGGGCTGCTCTTAAACATATTCTAAAATTACAATAATTAAAACAGTAAGACACAAGTCTGGAAACAGATTTTTGAAACAGAATAAATCTATAGGAAACCCAAATCCGAAGGAAGGATTTTCCAATAAATGGTGAGAGTTGGGATAATTGGTTTCTTCTATTAAAAAATTTACATCTTACTTTGTACTATGCATCTAAGTAAATTCCAGGTGGATTCAGAGTTCAATATAAAGAGAAAAAATCCTGATACTTAGATTCTGTTGGTGGGAATGGACCAAGCAAAGGCAGGGAGGCAGGGGAGTAAAGGTGTTGGGTGCGGGTGAGAAGTTCAGCAGAGTCGCAGCAGGGAGTAGCTGGTAAGAGGAGGGGAAAAGAGGGAGGAAGCTGAGAAGGCCATGAGGGAAAGATAGTGGAGTGTCTTGGTGCCCCGGCAACTTTATTCTGAAATGGGTATCATTGAGGATTTGAGGGCAAGAAAGAGAAAACGTCAGGCTTGGGATGTCTTTATAACCTGGGTACCTATGGACAGTTCACTTAAACACACTGAACCACAGTTTTCTTAGATCTAAAATAAACCTGGTGAGTGGATTTGGTTTCTGCTTTGAGTCTCAAGTTTCCATCTGTAAAATGGATGGATTGTATTCCTCAGGGATGGCAAACTGGGACCAGAGGATCTCCTGGGCCCTGGGTTCTGGATTTGCCTCTAATGCCATCTGCTCTGCAGGCTCATCCTGGGGATGATGGTGACCACCTCGTTCTTGTCCATGTGGCTGAGCAACACCGCCTCCACTGCCATGATGCTTCCCATTGCCAATGCCATCCTGAAAAGTCTCTTTGGCCAGAAGGAGGTTCGAAAGGACCCCAGCCAGGAGAGTGAAGAGAACACAGGTGAGGCTGTGCTAAGGGATTGGGGCCAAATCCACCAGGATTTGGAAGTGGGAATGGGATGTCCAAAGGATGTTAGGGAAGGCCAAGGGCATGCACACTTATTGAGCACCTACTATGCGTCAGGTGTTTTAGTTATGACAATGACTGATAATTAGATAAGAAATCATGGTACCTTGGTTGTTTAAAATTTGCATTTATTAAGCACATACTGTATACTGAGCAGTGAGTTGAACTCTTTACATACATTATCTTCCTTAACTCTCAAAACAGCTCTATGAAGTAAGTACTATAATTAAACCTTGTTTTACAGCATTCAAAGAGATGCTCAGCATCACCAGTACTCAGAGAAATGCAAATTGAAACAATAACATTTTAATCAATGAGACAGGCAGAAATAAGGAAGCTGATGAATCCCCATGTTGACAGGAATAGGGGCCACAGGAACTTTCGTGTACTGCTAGAAAGAGTGTGGACTGGGTTAGAGTTTCTTAAGGATCTTGTGCAAGGATTTAATCACATTAAATGTGTTTATACTCTGTAACCCAGCAGTTTTGCTCCCAGACACCAAAGGAATTCTCCTATAGGTCCAGGAGGGAACGCACATAGTGATATTCACTGTAGCGCTCTCTGTGGTGTGGGAAGTTGGTGGCTACATGCACTTTATTGCTAGTACAGGCAAAGGCAAATATGGTGGATACATGCCATTGAGCATTATGCTCCTTTTAAAAGAGAGAAGAATTAGTGAACCATGTACTTCTATAAATGGATCTCATAGAGCAGTTATGATTGGAGGTAAAAACCAGAATGAGATCTAGAATACAACCTCAATATGTAAGCTGAAAATACACATGAACGACAAAAGATTTTGTAAGCAATGTATGATGAAAAGCTACACATTAAACATATCAGAATGGTTGCTATGGAAAGGGTGAGAGTGGGAAATGGGGAGAGAAAGGACTAAAAAGACCCAATCAATTATAGGAAAGAGAGGCTTTGTGAAGTAAATAGTGATAACGTATTATGAACGGAGGGATTTGATTCCCTCAATCCTCTGAAATTATGTTCTTAATAAAACAAAACATACACAGCCATTGTATTTTTAGGTGACTACATACAGTCTCCAAGAGGGAAATGATTTTCCCAAATTACACAGTGAAGTTAAAGAAGTCCAGGATCAATTCAGAGGCACAATGACGTCATGATTTTTCATTGGCAACTCTGGTTCCCCTGGTCTTATGGTTGCAAAGTGGCTGCCACATCATGTCACTTTAAAATGTCTTACTTTTAATTTACATAACTGTATTTTAAAAGGAAGATTTGAATTGATACATATGTGGGCAGAAATGGCTAGTTTAACCCCGGCATTGATTCTTCCTTTGTTCTTTTAGGAATAGAACCCAATACTTTCCTCTCTGAGGAAAGGCTGAAACTTCAAGCTCCCCTTGTGATAAGACTTGGTCAGATAACTGAGTCTGGTCAATGGAATATGAGTGGAAATGATGTGTGCAACTTCCGGGTTCTGTCCTTCCTGCCGGGTGGAATGTGAATATGATGGCACCTGGGACCCAAAGACAGGAGCCACATCTTGAGAGATAGATGGCAGATCTGCCCCTGTGGCTTTGGATCATTTACCTCAGTGAACACAACAAGCATTATCCATGAAACCATAGGTTTTGTGTGCTAGTTCTAGTTTTTAAAATATGAATTAAATTAAATACGTATCTGTTAAAACTTAAATGTTGATCCGTGTACCATCTAAGTTAATCTCACTGACAGTCACATGAGTATTTCCCCGTCATACACTAAGGGGTCCTGCTTATTTTATTTTCACAGCAACCCTGAACACTAGAAATGATTATATGTACTTTACAGATGAAGTTTGGAGAGGTGAGATGATGTGTTGAGGATCATAGCATTGGCAAAGTGGCAGAGTCAGCTCTATGCAACGGCAGAGTCTTCCACGAGGAAGTGAAGAGAAGCTTTATAGCATGGATTAACAAACTTTGTCTATAAATGACCAAATAGTAAATACTGCAGGCTTTGTGGGCCACTCTGTTGCAACTACTCAACGCTGCCCTTGCAGTGAGAAAGCAGCCACAGATAAAACAAACAAGCAGGCGTGGCAATGTGACAAAAAAATTGTATTTATGGGTGCTGAAATTAAAATTTCATATAATTTTTGTATCAGGAAATATTCTTCCATAGATGTTTTTCAACCATTTGAAAATGTAGAAGCCATTCCTAGTTGGCAGGCCACACAAAAACAGGCGGTGGGCTGGATTGGGGCTGCATATTGTAGGTCACTGACCCCTGCTGTACAATATTGGCTTTCTTGATTTTCAAACTGTTTCCCTTAAGAGAACTGCCTGATGGTCACCCTGGGGTGGCAGCAAGCACCTGGGACTCTGCCCTTTTCCCCATTTCAACCCTAGTTAGACTCACTTTATTCATTTTGTACACTGGGCCTCTAAGCAATAATAACCAATGTTTACTGTGCACTTAGTTTATGCGCGGACTCTTAGGTGGACCTCATATCTGAATGAGACGGAGCAAGCATCGACCTCATTTACAGAAATGGAAATTGAGGAAGGAATTAAAAAGAGTCCTCCCACCCCCCGTTACGCAGTTTCCAAACTGTGGCTCTGGTATTTTGAATCCGGGCTGGCTGACTTCAGAGCCTACATTCTCAGGCTCCATTATTCTGCCTCCCACATGAGACTTTTTCCAAAGTGGTCAAGCAAATGATTGAAAGCCAAGTCCCTCATTGTGAGAATGAAAAATCTGAGACTCAGGAAGGGGAAGGGACTTGCCCAAGGCCACACACAGTGGTGGCCATGCATTGAAGTCCAGAGCCTTTTCCTATGCTGCAGGATGTCAAGAGGGAGGGGATCCTGGGGGTTGGGATAGATACCTACCTTTACAGGCCATGGGATCAGGGAGGAGCAGGAATTGGTTAATGATCAGCTTCTAAGACCTAAAACAAGGCTAATTCCAGTACAAAGAGAGCTATTCCCTTTCATCCAGTTCTGAGCTTTGACCAGGTGGCAGGAGGCGAGGACAGGGGTGGAGGGAGTAGAGATTCTGCCAGTGGGCTAGGAGAGGCACAAGGAAGTTCCTAGGAGCTATAGGTTCATGAAGGACATCTGTAGCACCAGCAGCAACCATAATCATCATGTGAGCTGAGCTCCCATTTTCTGAGTAACCACCACATGCAGATACCATGCTAATTTTTTTATACTCATTAGCTCATCTGATCTTCATAATTGTACTAGGAGGTAATGATGCCCATTTTATAGATGAGGAAACTGAGGCTCAGAGAAGCAAAATGATTTGCCCAAAGTAACACGATGATTTGCTGAGCTCTGTCAGAATCCAGAATCTGTGCTTATAAGCACCTTGCCATGGTGCCTGGTACAGAGGAGGCAGAACCTAGGGCAGGGTGGGGCTATCTGGATAAGACTCCAGAGGTCCTCAGACTTGGAGGGCAGCGCTGTTGCCTTTCTCCAGTTCCTTTGCTCAGTTCTGTGCCCTGCACTTCCTGGGGGACCCAGGGGCCATGTGAGTGATGGCTTCGCCAATGTCCCCCTGCATGCACGCTCTCATTAGGTCCTCCACCACAGCCCTGTGGGGAGGCACTATTAGCATGCCTGTTTTACAGATGAGGAAACTGAAGCTCACAGCCATGATAGGCCCAATGTTCCTTGGCCAGTAAGGGGCCCACCTGGATTTTGTTTTTGTTTTTTAGAGACAGGGTCTTCCTCTGTCTCCTAGGCTGGAGTGCAGTGGTGCATTCAGCTCGCTGCAGCCTCAAACTCCCAGGCTCAAGTGATCCTCTAGCCTCGGCCTCCCAAAGCACTGGGCTTACAGGCGTGAGCCACCATATCTGGCCTTCCACCTGGCTTTTGAATCTAAACTCTTTCCCCTCCTTTTCTCTGTCCATAGAAAGCTAACTTGCCATCTACATCTTTATTTTATAGGAAGGCCCAGGATGCCACCCTTCACAACACAAGGGTCTTTAATGTTGAGTGAAGCGTGGTGCTCATCCATATGCTAACCAACCTTCTGCAACTTTCCTCATCTATAAAACAAGGACACTGCCTCTTACGTGAGAAACGAGAGCCAGGTACATAGGAAGTGGTTAATATATGGCAGTTGTATTAAAAACTACCTATGAGACTTCCAGGCATTGGAGGCACAGGTAATAAGACCTCCTACCTCGTTCCACCTTGGTGTTTCCCCTCCTACTTGAGCGGGATTGATTTGCTTCCTGGTTTATAATCTGTCTCCTCCACAGGTTCCAAGCTCCGTGAAGGGCCTATCAGTCTTTCTCATTGTTGTGAATCTTCACTGGTGCAGTCTTGTGCACCTAAGACACTGTTGGTACATAGTAGATGTTCAATAAATGTGTGGAATTAATGAATACACAAATAGACCATTGAACTAACTGTTCTATGTCTCAGTTTCCTCAAACCTAAAACAGGGATAATAATCCTTACTACTTAGGCTGACATGAGTGCTAAGTGAGTAAATGGATATAAACCTGCTTAACTTGGGGGCTTTTGACCTTCCCTGGATTGCCGTTTACCTAATTTGACACAAGAACTCTTTCCTGAGGGCCCTCTTCGTGTCAAATTTTAAGAACATCTTAGTCATACCAGGGAGGCTAGACTAGAGTTATCAGTTTCACGTCAGACCTGCTAAAGTGACAGGTGGGTGCCTTGGAGATGGACCGAGGTTCAGGGGATGGGAGATCCAAAGTTCTGGGTATAATCCTGACTCTGCCACTGACCCATTGGGTCCTCTTGATCCCAATTTAGCCCACCTCTCTAGGCCTCAGTTTCCCCAGTTGTGAAGAGGAAGGTAATAAACTTTGCATAGCTCTGTAAGGCTGCTTGGAGACAGCTGTAAGATTATAAATGTGAAAGTTCTCCATCCCCTGGCCTGACACAAACTCAAGGATTTGTATGATGTGAATAAGACCCTACAGAAGCATCAAGCTTCTAATCAACTGGCAATTTCTGGACCCAGAGAAGTCTCTCTGGGGACTTTGCTCCACTGGCCTGTTTCCATGTGGTCTCTTGGGCCACTGAGGTCACAGGAAGCACAGGGGTGGATCCTGTGTAAATGCCTAAGAGCTCTGCTCAGCACCAGGTTTTCCAGTTTCATCTTCATGACTTTATCATCATCATCATCAGAAAATAATGCCTGATATTAACTTTTCTTACATTACTAATCTCCATAAGGAAAAAGCAAAACTCCCTCCTTCCTGATCTTATATGATAAAGCTAATTACTGTTTAGAGTTCTGTGTGTACGAATACCCTTCACTGCCTTATTTATAGCACATACAATCTCTTATCAGGGCTCTTCAACTCAGATGCAGAGCAAACGGGGCCAGGCGAGGGCTGTGGCAAACTGGTGAGCTCAGTTTCCCTATCTGTAACCTCAGACAAGTTGCTGTCCACCCTGGCTGCATAAAGGAATCACCTGCACAGCACCCAGGTGGGAAGAGGGTAGAGCGAGCTAGCGATGGTGGGGACTGGGGGTCACCAAGTCAGAGTTCTTACTGTCTGGCCATCCCCTGGGGAGCAACTTTGCCCCCAACCTTAGTGTGCTATTAATAGTCCCTCGCTTCCTACTTCAGTGCCCTGGACCCTGGCCTCGTGCATGGCTTGTGGACCTGTTCCCAGCACTCGTGCTCAGGGGCCCTCATCCCTATGGCCCAGGGCAGCTGATTCAACTTTCATCTTCAGGCCCCTGCAGGGGGTCAACAGGGCCAGCTCCAGGCACAGGAAAAATGACACAGCCAGCCACCATGGAATCCTGTTCCCTCATGGTACCAACGGTGTACCACGAGAGCGGCCCGTGGTGTGGAAGGGACTTCCCCAAACCACGGGGCGAGACAAGGAATGTCCACATGGCTGTGTATGTGGCCTGACTTCCATGTGAAGGAAAATCCCATGTAAAAAAGAAAAAAAATCAAACTTTTTTTGTGTCTTGCTTGGGTTCCTTGAAGAGTGTCAATGGCCTTCACCAAAGACCCCAGGAATACCCTAGTAATGAAACAAGCTGAGTTATCATTTACTACAGCAGTGAGGGGGCGGGGCACACATGCCATGAGCTACCCTGATTATTTCAGGAAGGGGGTGTTAAAAGGAACCCAGGACAGGATCTGGACTGGAGGCTGGGCACTGAGAGAGACCAGAGGCAATTCTGAGCTGGGTAAGGAAGGAGCAGTCACTCATTTAGCAAGAGAGGGGGATGTTGGGATTTTGAGGGTGACACAGCCACCTTGCCCTTAGACAAGATGATGGAGAATGAAGTGACCAGGCTCTGAGTGTCAGAATCATTCCCTATGCTCTGTTTTCTTCTTTCTCTATGGTAACCCATATTTACTGAACATTTGCTAGTACTCAGCTTCCTGTTAAATTCTTTCTGTCTTTTTTTTTTTTTTTTGAGATGGCGTCTTGCTCTGTCACCCAAGATGGAGTGCAGTGGCATGATCACGGTTCACTGCAGCCTTGACCTCCCTAGATCAAGCAATCCTCCCACCTCAGCCTCTCAAGAGCTGGGACTACCCAGCTCTGTTGAAGTCTTTATATCAAGATTGACAAAGCATGGCCCTCCACATCCAGCCTACTGCTTGTTTTTTTACAGCCTGGGAGCTAAGAATAGTTTTCATATTTTTAAGTGATTGAAATAAATCAAAAGCAGAAAAATATTTTGTGACATGAAAAATTATATGATATTCAAATTTCAGCCCAGGCGTGGTAGTTCACTTCTGTAATCCCAGCACTTTGGGAGGCCGAGGTGAGAGGATCGCTTGAGCCCCAGAGTTAGAGACCAGCCTGGGCAACATAGCAAGACCTTCTTTTTTACCAAAAAAAAAAAAAAAAATACAACAATTAGCTGGGCATGGTGGCACATGCCTGTGGTCCCAGCTACTTGGGAGGCTGAGGTGGGAGGATCACTTGAGCCTGGTATGTCGAGGCTGTTGTGAGCTGTGATCGTGCCACTGCCCTCCAGCCTGGGCAACAGAACGAGATCCTATCTCAAAACAAAAATTTTTTTGATGTCCCCCAAATAAAAGTTTAGCCACACTCAAGCATTGATGTTGTCTGTGGCTGATTTTCTGCCCCTATGGCAGAGATGTTGTTATGACAGAGACCTCATGGCCCCCCAAAACCTAAAATGTTTACTATCTGGCTTTTTACAGAAGTTTGTTGATCCTTGCTTTTAATAAGTTAACTCTTTTTTTTTTTTGAGACGAAATTTTGCTCTTGTTGCCCAGGCTGGAGTGGTGTGCAATGGTGCTATCTCAGCTCACCGTAACCTCCACCTCCTGGGTTCAAGCAATTCTCCTGCCTCAGCCTCCTGAGTAGCTGGGATTACAGGCATGCGCCACCATGCCTGGCTAATTTTGTATTTTTAGTGGAGACGGGGTTTCTCCATGTTGGTCAGGCTGGTCTCAAACTCCCGACCTCAGGTGATCTGCCCACCTCGGCTTCCCAAAGTGCTGGGATTACAGGCGTGAGTCACCACACCTGGCAGTAGATTAACTCTTTAATCCTCTTAACAATCCTAGAATGGTTACTTCCATTTTATCATTAAAGAACTGAGGTATAGGGAGATTAAGGGATATACCCTAACCAGGGTTTCTCAACTTCATTACCAATGACATTTGGGTGGGATAATTCTTTGCTGGGGTGGGCTGACCTGTGTATTGCAGGATGTTTAGCAGCATTTCTGGTCTCTAACTAATAGACGCCAGTAGTACTTTGCCCTTCCACCCAAGCTGTGATAACCAAAAATGCCCCCAGACATTGCCCAACATCTCTTGGGTACAGAATTGGCCCTCGCTGGGAACTACTGACCTAAAGTCACATTGTAAGTGATGGAGCTAGGATTTGAACCCAAGGCTGATGTGTTTGGCTACCAGCCACACACCCAACTCCCAGAGGTGAGTTATTTTACTCTTGGTGGTGGTTCCAGCTGCAGGAACATTTAATTCATTCTAATTTTCTTTTCTCCAAAACACTGTCAAAGGCTGCTGGGGAGTCTGGTCTATCAAGCAGAGAAATAACTTTATTATTTTTGTGTGTTTGTTTTAAGAGACAAGGTCTTTCTCTGTCACCCAAGGTGGAGTGCAGTAGCATGATCATACCTCACTGCAGCCTCCAACTCCTGGGCTCAACAGATCCTCCACCTCAGCCTCTGGAGTGGTTGGGACTACAGGCATGCACCACCACACCCAGCTAATTTTTTGGAGAATGTTTTTTAGAGATGTGGTCTCACTATCTGGCTCAGGCTAGTTTCAAACTCTCGGCTCAAGCAATCCTCCTGCCTTAGCCTCCTGAGTAGCTGGGATTATAGGCATGAACCACCACACTTGACCAGAGAAATAACTTTAAAAACAAAGTTAGCTCCTGTCCTGAGCCTCCTCTGCTCAAATGCTACTCTAGTTCCTACCTGACTCAGAGGAGAAGCCACAGTCCTTCCTGTGAGCTCTGAGATCCCTGCATGATCCCACCCACTTCCTACCACCTCCACCCCCTGCCACTTCTCTTACCTTGCCTCCTCTTACTCTTCTCCTCCCTCTGGCCCCTGCAGCTCCACTGGCCTCCCCTTTGCTTCCTGGGTGTGCTCCCACCCCAGGGCCTTTGCACCTGCTCTTTCTTGCCCCAGATGTTTGCTTGGCTCATCCCCTCACCTTCAGGTCTTGGTTCAAAGTCAAATTTTCCTTCTCCATCAGACTTTCTTTGAGCCTTGAAGAAGGTGTCTCACCCCAGGATGCCTGGCTCCTTCCCTGCCTTGTTCTTTTGCATGGCATGCATCTTCATTTGACATACTGCGTATATTACTTAGTCGTGTGTGGTCTGTCTCCCCCACCAGAAGATCAGCTCCATGAGGACATGGACTTTCATCTTTTGTCACTCAGCACCAGGTACATGACAGGTGCTCCATAGCGATTTGCTGAGGGATCAGTTGGCTAGGGTTCATGTGCCCCAGTTTTGGCTCTGGGTTCCAAGTTGCACCAAGCTCTTATCTCAAAAGAACTGAAACACATCCACCACTTATTACTCTCAGGGTCTGTATGGTTACCAGCCAAATCCAGCCATCATCATCTTAGCTGGAAAATGCAACAGATCCAGAACTGGACTCTCAGCTTCCATTTTTGCCCCTTTCCCTACGTCCATTCTCTCGGACCAGGCCCAGAGTTGTTTATAAAATGTAAATCATATCGTCTTGGGCATTAAATCCTGCAGGGGGTCCCCTTCCCTGATTTAGTTCCCGTTGGCCTTTGCCCACTCCGTCCCCACCCCCATCTCCCCTAGGCCTTTCCTATACACCTCTTTCCCAGCACATGGGCTTCCTCAGTTCTTCATCTCAGCCAAGCACCTCCTTACTGCCGGGCCTTTGCACTTGCTGTTCCTGTTTCCTTGCACCCTTTTCCCAGGGCTCTTCATAGGATGGATTCCATTTTATCCTTGAGGTCTCAGACCCGAGGCCATCAGCACACAGTGTCTTCTCTGTTGAAGGGAGAGCCCACCTACTCCCCTCTCCACTTTCCAGTCACATTACCCAGTTCTATTTCCTCCATACATTTGTCCCTACCTAAAATTTTCTTTATTCATTTATTTCCTGCCTCCCCTTCTAGAGTATGACCTCCATGGAAGCCAGGGGCCTTGTTCTATATTGTTCACAGAGTACCCTGAGAACATAGTCAATAGCACATAGTAGGTGCTCAATAAATACTTTTTGGATGAATGAATGAATGGACAATTGGGGTCGTCCAACCCATTGATGACTCATTACCATTCATAGCTGGCCTTTCACAACTTTGGCAATGGCTGCTCAGGTAAGCCTAAGCTTGAGTTATGGGTTGTCAAGCAGCCCTGCAGCTAAACCCCTGCCAACAGGCCTGGGCACATCTTCACATATGGATGGTAGGACAGGAGGATAGAATGCTGAATGACCTTTCTTTTCTTTTTCCTTTCCTTTTCCTTCCTTCCTTCCTTCCTTTCCTTCCTTCCTTCCTCCTTTCTTTCTTTCTTTCCCTCCCTTTCCTTTCCCTTCCTTTTCTTTCCTTTCCTTTCTTTTCCTTTCCTTCCTTCCTTCCTTTCCTTCCTTCCCTCTTTCTTTCTTTCTTTCTTTCCCTCCCTTTCCTTTCCTTTCCTTTCCTTTCCTTCCTTCCTCCATCTCTCTCTCCCTCCCTCCCTCCCCCTCTCTCCCTTCCTCTCTCTCCCTTCCTCCCTCTCTTCCTCTCTCTCTCTGTCTTTGTCTTTTGATTCAGTGAGTAGTATAGGATCCTTGGCAAAGAAAGCATTCTTGACTGACTTCACAAGATTTGGGACACTCCTGTTCCATTCGCTACATTACATTAAAGACATCATGCTCTTTCCTCCTAGCTGCTGTGCGGAGAAACGGCCTACACACTGTGCCCACGGAGATGCAGTTTCTCGCCAGCACAGAAGCGTAAGTTACTGGTGAAATTCATAGAGGACCCAGTGCTTGATTCAAGGAGATGATGAACAAGAATTCAATGCTGCAAACCATTTTCCTCCCATCCCTGAATTTTTCTCCAAATGACCTAATGCCTGAGTTTCCACCATTCATCTCTGTGGCTTAAACATTAACCTCAACAGCCTCATTTAAAAAAAAATGCAGACATGGAAAGGGTAGGGCAGCACATTAAATCCCTAAAGATCTGGTGAGGTTGAGGATCACAGGTACTTTCCTCTTGAAAGAAGAGACCCAAAAAAGCAAGATAGCACAAACTGCATGACAGTCAAGGAGGAGAGGGTTGCAGGCAGGGTTAACAGTCCATACAGACAAAAAAATTCCTTATAAAACAATAACAGCCCTTCACCCTACATGACTTACAAAGCATCTTCACATTGATGTTGAAATCGCATTTAGTCTACAGTATCCTTTGCATTATGGCAGTGTAGTTAAGATCATGGGATTTGGAGTCACAAACACCTGACTTCGAACTCTGGCTCTGCTCCATACTGGCTGTGTGAGACAATGAGATAATGTAGACAGAGCAGGTTGGCTGGACCTTACACGTCCAGATGTTAGCACTTGTTATTATGACATTGTGATCTCAATTTAACAGTGATGACACAACAGGGAGCCAAGCGATCTGCTCAAGGCAGTGCTGGGCATTGATCCGGTCTATTTCATTCATTCACTAATATTTATTGGGAGCTTACGATGAGCCAGGCACTATTCTAAGGATGGAGATACAGCAAGGAAAAGACAGAAAGCCCAGCCCTTATGGGCTTACATTCTAGTGGCAAGAAATGGATAAGTGAATGTAATCCATGGTGTGTTGGGTGGTTGATAAGCTTCAGAGGGAGATCAAAGCAGGAAAAGGGTGGGGGAGGCGAGCTGGTAATTGGGAAGGGGCAGTTTGAATATGGGTGGTCAGGGAAGTCATCACAAGAAGATCGTCCTTGAGCAAATCTCTGCAAGAGGTGGGGAGTGGTGGGGGAATCCATGGGAAGAGTGTTCTCAGCGTGTGGACCAGCACGTGCAAAGCTCCTGAGAGGTCAAAGAACAGCCAGGAAGCCAGTGTGGCTGGAGCCGAGTGAATGAGTGAGCACATGGTAGGAGGTGGGGTCTGAGAGTTGGCTTCGGGGGGGAGAGAGTGATGGTGGAGGACAGAGCATGTGGGACATCATGAGCCATAGATATAACCTTGATTTTGAATGAGATGGGAGCTGATGGAGATTTTAGCAGGAGAGGGGCATGACCTTATGCCTGTTTCATCCCACAGCCTGTGCTCCCTCTTGGCACCATGTTTGGGGGCTTTGAGTCCAACTTTGAGACATGAGTTCTGTGATTGGTTCAGCCACTCATGACTGTGTGGCCTGGAAATATGCTTTAAACATCTGCCTGTGCAGTGCTTGCACTGGGTCTGTTGCAAAACCCAGTCCTCACCCTCTAGAAGCCTACATCTGTTGGATGCAAACCCCTTCCCTTCTCTGGGCCTCAGTTTCCTCACCTGAACAAAAAAGTGTTTGCTCTAGATAAACTCTAGGGCCCTTTCTGCTTTTTCTCTTTTCGATACTCAGGATGGTTAGGGTCCCCAGGTCTGAGGGAGGCCACAGTTCTGGACCAGGCCTGCCACTCCTAAGAAGTCAGACCATGACGGTAGTTTCCACCTGCTTCTGGTCTTTGCCTTCCTGTCATACTGGAAATCAGCTACTCAGACCCCAGCTCATGTCCACATTGCCCTCTGGGGAAGGAGTCCCTTATGTAGTGATTCAGGCCAGAGGGTATTTGAATTATCTTTCCTTCTTTAAGTAAATATTTTTTCATTTTAATTTCCACTTTAATTTAAAAAAATTGATTTGTTACACAGAACACTTTTTTAAAAATCTTAATTTATCTTTTTTTCAGATTCATTGAAGTATAATTGACAAATAAAAATTATATATATTTAAGATATACAATGTAATGTTTTGATATATGGGCACATTGTGAAATGACTACCACAGTCAAGCTCATTAACATATCTATCAGTGCTACAGCAATTCTCAGTTTCATTCGCTTAGAAACAATTTACAATTGCATATGTCAAAAAATACTCTTGAAATAAAAGATAAATGCATTTAACATCTCACTTCCAGAGGTAGATTATAACAGTTAAATGAATACCATTCTAGACTATTTCTTGACAGACAGCTGTATACATAGATGCATTTTTACCGCGGTGGCTTATGCCTGTAATCCCAGTACTTTGGGAGGCCAAGGCGGGCAGATTACCTGAGGTGAGGAGTTCGAGACCAGCCAGGCCAACATGGTGAAACCCTGTCTCTACTAAAAATACAAAAATTAGCTGGGCATGGTGGTGGGCACCTATAATCTCAGTTACTCGGGAGGCTGAGGCAGGAGAATCGCTTGAACCCGGGAGGCAGAGGTAGCAGTGAGCCGAGATCATGCCATTGCACTCTAGCCTGGGTGACAAGAGTGAAGCTCTGTCTCAAAAATGAAAAATAAAAATAAATAATAAAATAAAACATAAATTGATAATTCTATGTACGCTGTTTTGTAACCTGCTATTTCACATTTTTTTCTTCATTTCAGTCTGTTTCCAAATACCTATTTTATTTAATGGAGAATAGCGGACATCATTTCATCTCAATAATGCCAACATTATGATCTTTTACTTATGTACTTAGTAATTCTTAATTTCATTATTTCCCAAAACTCTTTAACTGTACAAGAAAAACAACCCAGAAAATAAAAAAGGAAAATAATATGTAATTCCACTCCTGGGAAAGGTATCAAAACAACTTGCATATATTTCTAGACTTTAAATATTCTTATATTCATGAAACATAGCCATTTCTTTATTTTTATTTATTACTTATTAATTTTTTTTAGAGACAGGGTCTCACTCTGTCACCCAGGCTGGAGGGCAGTGGGGCAATCAAAGTTCACTACAGCCTCAAACTTTTGGGCTCAATCAACCCTCCTGCCTCAGCCTCCCGAGTAGCTGGGACTATAGGTGCGTGCCACCATGCCCAGCTGATTTTTAAATTTTTTTTATAGAGATGGGATCTCACTATATTGCCCAGGCTGGTCTCAAACTCCTTTCCTCAAGCAATCCTTTTGCCTTGGTCTCCCAAAGTGTTGGAGTTACAGGAGTGAGCCACCACGCCCAGCTGCAACATAAGTATTTATAAAATAAAAAACTAAATAGTACTGTGACATGCCTTTTCACTATAGTTTATGACTGGACAGCTCTCATCTTAGTAAGCATCCATTTAATAGCTGCATTGGTGTTCCATTCAGGAAGAGAGTCATCTTTATTATCAGCCCCTTTTTGATGGGCATTTAGACTGTCCTTCATTTAAATTATATTTAATGGCATGGTGAATTCCCTTGTACCCACACCTGAGACACTTGTCTATTCCTTTAGGATACATTCTTAGAGTAGAACATCTGAGCTGAAGAGTTGCACCTTGTTACGGGTTTTTGATACCTGTGCCAAATTACCTTCTAGAAAGATCACTTAGCTCCCCAACTCCCAGGCAGTCTGTGGCCTGTTCTCCATGTATTCTGAATGGCTTCTCTTTGGATTTGTTTAAAGCAAAGACCACCCTGGGGAGACAGAGGTTCCACTGGATCTGCCGGCTGACTCCAGGAAGGAGGATGAATATCGTCGGAACATCTGGAAGGGCTTCCTCATCTCCATCCCCTACTCAGCCAGTATTGGGGGCACAGCCACACTCACGGGCACAGCCCCTAACCTCATCCTGCTTGGCCAGCTCAAGAGGTGAAAGCGAGAGTCCCCACCGGCGGGGAGGGTTCTGCTCCTCCCCTCCTCTTCCCTCCTTCATTCAACATCCAGGGAATGTGTATTGAGGGCCTTCTCTGGGCCAGGCTCTGGGAACACAGCAATGCACAAAATCCAGTGAGATCCCTGCCCTTGGGGAACTTCCATTCTGGCGGGAGAGACAGGCAATAAGTGAAAAAGCAAATGAATATAAAATATATCTGTGTGATAAGTTAGGAAAAAAATACAGCAGGGAAAGAGGGTAGAAGTGAGGAGAGTGGGGTGCTAGTTTATGTAGGTTGGTCAAGGACACCCGTTCTCTCTGATGGGCTGACATTTGAGCAGAGACCTAGAAGGGAATGAGCCATGTGGACACAGGAGGGAAAGGCATTGCCGACAGTGGGGAGTAGCTCCTACAGGGCTTGGAGGTGGAGCTGTTCCTGGGGAGGTTCAGGGACCAGCAAGAAAACCAGGGAGACGAAGAGCCTGGGGCGAAGGGAAGGTGAGAAGACAAAAGGTTATAGCGGTAAGTGTTGTCTAAGGACTCCAGCTTTTCCTCCAAGTGAGATGGGGGTCATTGGAAAGGTCACAGCAGAGGAGTGATCCAGCGGGAGGCATGGGTCTGTGGCCGTCATGGCCCAAGAGAAGCCTTCCAACCATAAGCAGGGTCCCCCAGTGGAGTGGGCTCTGCTGGGAGCTAAAGTCTCCCCACCCCTGGAAGTGGTCAGCAGTGACTGGGTGGCCGGTCAGGGCACGAGGATAAAAGAAAGATGTTCCTGCTTTATAACTTTTTAATAAACTTTCACTCCTGCTCTAAAAAAAAGAAAAGAAAAGAGAAAAGAGAAAAGAAAAGATGTTCCAACTGCACAACGTGCCGCTCCCATTATTCTAAACCTCTGGTTTCTAAGCTTTTAAAACTTCAGTATTTCAAGATTCTGTCTTTAAGACTTTTAGGTTCCAGGATTCCGAGGCAGGGTTTCTAAGATTCCTTGCAGTGGAGATGTAGCATAGGTTCATTTGATTTACATAAATGCAAATGTAAGCATTTGGCCAACAAAGGACACCAAATAGTATTTGATATTCAACGTGGCTGCAAATACTAGCTGACTTCTTTACCTGTTGGCCAACCAAAGAATCAAAAACCTGTGGGGATGAATAAAGGGAGGCCCTGCTGATCTCCCCGAGAGAGGTTTGCTATGTGTGCAACCCTCAGTAACATACATGTGAGTCATTATAGGTATTTTCACAAGAGATTTTAGTACACCCATGTTTGGCCACATGTGCTGATTTTAAAACCTTAACCCCTGAGTGAGATGAATTGCCAATACATTCTCAGCTTCCAAAATGCTTTGATTTTAAGATTTGATGATGGAAACCAGTGATTGTCAACCATGCACTGGGAGAGGTGAAAAAAAAAAAAAAGAAGTTGTGGGTGTATTTCACCAATTGATTTAAGCCCACTGAGTTTTACTGCAAACCTTAGATGTCTTTTTATCACTATCCTTTAAACAAGGCTGGCTGTGCCTTCTGGTTTTAGCTCAGTGACAGAAAAACCAGAAGCAAAGATGGTCCTGCTTCAGGTGTGGGGAGGATCTAGGCTCAGCCCTTTAGCGTTCTGCCAAGGGGGAAGGTAGGCATTTGGTATGAGGGTTTGCCAGGACCCATCCCCAGGGCTGGACAGGAAGATGTGGGCTCTGGGGATGGAGAGCAGAGCCTAGGTTGGGGATGGAGAGAATTGGAGGGGAGCAGTTGTTGTCAAAGCGTTTACAGGCTGCCTGCCTGCCCTGATGTGAGTAGGACTTTGTTCCAACCTGAAATGAAATTGGGGAAATTATATTTTTTATATGTCTATTTCATATTTATATTTTCTAAAATATATCTTATGTATGTTTAAGTATGTAATATATATTATATTAACATATAATACATAAAATATATAATATTAACATATATACAGTAAAAATATCAAATGTGGGATTTCAAGTAAATTTCATGCAAATCTTATGCAACACAAGGGCTCAAATGCAGACCCTCTGGTGTAGGAAGAGGGGATTTAAAAGGAATGCTAGGTAATATGTGATTTTGATTCTCCAGCTGAGAACAGGAGAAGCCTGGGGAGAGGAGAAGTGATTGCCCTGAGTGGTCCTTTGGCCCTTGTTGCCAAAATACATTTTATTGGTTTATTCTGATTATAAAATGATATTGGCACACTAAAGAACATTTGGAAAATGTAGAAAAAGAAGTTTGAAATACCTCCAATCCCACTGTCGATATTTTAACAGACTTTCTTCTAGACTTTTCTATGTCCATATATTAAATGTGTATATATTTAACGTTTTTGCCACTATGCTCTTAATACAGTTTTATAGTCTGATTTTATTATTAAAATTTTTTAGAAAACATAATTTTTAGTGACTATGTATTGTCTTATTTTGGGTGTACATGCTTTAATCATAAGCATTGATTGTTTTCATTTTATAATAATTATTATTTTGCTATTACAAATTATGTAACTGACCACACACTTGCTGATATTTTAATATTTTTAAAACAATATTTTTATTTTGTCTAATTATAGAGGTATACTTATTCATTGTAGAAAATACAGGTAGAGAAAAAGGAGGAAATAAAAACCTCTTAGAATCCCACTATATAGAGTTTATTAATATTTTTGTTTGCTTATTTGTTATACAATAACTGTTAAGGTTTTGGTTTATTATTTACCTAGAAATGTCCGTGAGTATCCACATACTTTTGTATACATCATTCTATAACTTACTTTTCCTCTTTTCAATCTAGCACTTATATTCCTGACCACATTTCTGGTTGTTTTTTTAAAGTTTATTTCTAGTAGTAGAATTTCTGGGTAAAAGGATATGCACATTTTTAAGACTCTTACTGCATTTTACCAAATTCCTCTCCAGAAAAGAATATTCTGACGAACAAACATCAAGAATCTGCCTGTTTTTCCACATCTTCACCAGCACTGAGTGTTATTGCCCTTCATCTTTTCAGGCTTGATGATGTCTTAATAAAACTGAGATTGGACACCGTTCAGCAGAGAAAGAACTCATCGACATCACCATTGCCTGGACAAAATGCCCAGGGTCTTTGAGCATATGTAATAAGGAGGGCAAAGGTTTCAGCCTGCAGATGTGTTATATGTGACTCCCACATTCATTAAAACATTTTCATGAATTGTCAACATTTAAACATCACATAATTTCAAGTAAAACCCAAACCTGGGCTTACTGGCCCTGCACTCTTGCATGGCAACCATGGGGAAGCAAATAGCAGCTGAGCCCTTTAATGAGCAGGGCTCTCTTCAATTCACCATGGCCCAGCCTGGCCTGTTTCACTCACTCAGGTACCTGTCTGGCCTCCAGGGGGCAGAGATTTTGACTGTAGGGCACCCATTGGTCCCACTAGGTCAGAAGCCAGCAGCCTCCAAAGAAGAGGAAAAAAGGGTGCTTCTATTAGAATTGGTGGAAAACACTGTTCCCAAGACTTCCATGGGACCCTCTCATTCCTCCTCCCCGCTGCTACTAGTACTGCCTGGTCCCCTCTCCCACTCCCAAAATGGGCATGGCTGCCCTTGGCCTGTTCTCATCTCCCGCTGTTCTCCAGTTTCTTTCCGCAGTGTGACGTGGTGAATTTCGGCTCCTGGTTCATTTTCGCCTTCCCTCTTATGCTGTTGTTCCTGTTGGCAGGCTGGCTCTGGATCTCCTTCCTGTACGGGGGACTGAGCTTCAGGTACCTCTCATTTTCTTTTTGGCAATAGAGTGGGGAAGCAGGGAATGGCGTTTCTAACCTCAGTATCTGCCTATGAAAACTGAGGATGATTGTTATTTCATGTTGTATTCTCATTTCTTTCTTTTATGTATGTATGTATGTAGGTATGTATATATGTATGTATGTATGTATGTATGTATGCATTTAGTTTTACAGACAGGGTCTTGCTCTGCTGCCCAGGCTGGAGTGCAGTGGTGCGATCATAGCACATTGCAGCCTCAATCTCCCAGGTTCAGTGTTCCTCTGGCCTCAGCCTCCCAAGTAGCTGAGACTACAGGCAAGTGCCACTGTGCCTGGTTAAATTTTTTTTTTTAATTTTTTGTAGAGACAGAGTCTCACTATATTGCCCAGGCTTGTCTCAAACTTCTGGCCTCAAGTGATCCTTCTTGTCTTGGCCTCTCAAAGCTCTGGGGTTATAGGTGTGAGCCACCGTGCTAGCCATATCCTCATTTCTTGACCTCCCAGGGATGTGAGGATTAAGTGAGAGGTGTGACCTGCCTGCCACACACAGACCCTCTGTTGATGTCACATATTATTCATAATTATTAATAGTATTGTCTTTAAATAAGGTAAACACTCTTGACCAGAGAAGAGGGGAGTGCACGATTTCCCATTTTATGGGGCCCTGATACAGAAGATAATTTGGGGTGGCATGAGGACAAAATACTAAATAACACCAAATCATATTATGGGAAATATGTCTTTATCAACTCTCATCACTCAGTCTACTTACGTTGAGGAGAAAGTCTCAGTTGGGTGCTAAAGAAACCTTAATATCTAACATTTCCAAATCAACCTCTAAACGAAGAAAGAGCAAGCTTCAGACCCAGAGACTTGAGCCAGAAATGATAACTAGCCAAAATATAATACTGGCACTTTGTTTTCCTATATTTATTTTGCTTACTTCAATTACTTTTTAATATGGCTACCTTAATTTGGATAGGCAATACATACATATGCTTCTCAAAAATCAAAACAGCGCTAAGAGGTATGCAGTGAGAACCCCTCTTCCCAACCATGGGCCTCTTCTGCCACGATATCCTCCCAAACAAGCATCCACTTTTATTGGTTTCTTGTGTAACCTTCCAGAGTTTTCTTAAGCAAATATGAGCAGACATAGATATCTTTTTCTAGTGACTGGCCTCCGTGACAGATTTTTGTTTGTTTGTTTATTTATTTATTTATTTATTTATTTATTTAGACAAAGTCTCATTCTGTCACCCAGGCTGGAGTGCAGTGGCACCATGTCGGAGTGCAACCTCCACCTCCCAGGTTCAGGCCATTCTCCTGCCTCAGCCTCCAGAGTAGCTGGGACTACAGGCTCTTGCCACCTTGCCCAGCTAATTTTTTGTGCCTTTTTTTTTTTTTGGTAGAGAGAGGGGTTTACTCTGTTGGCCAGGCTGGTCTCAAACCTCAAGTGATCCACCCACCTCGGCCCCCCAAACAGCTGGGATTACAGGCATGAGCCACCCAAGCCCAGCTGTTTTTTAATTTTTATTTTATTATTTTTTTCTCTTTTACCTTGCAGCTGTAGCTCAAAGGAAGCAAGCATTTTTATAAGATACATTTCCAGAAGTGGGATTTCTGGATCAGAGAATAAACACATTTTTATTTTAATAGATATTATCAAATCATTCTTCATAAAAATCGTACATGTTTCCTCTCCCATGAACAATGTATGAGAGTGTCTGCTTCCTTGCAGCAAAGTGGATTTTTGCCAATCTGATAAGAGAAAAATAACTTGTGTTTATTTTATGAACAGTAATTTTGGGCAACTTTTCATAGGTTTGGAAGCATATGAAAAGTTTGTTCATAGGTATTTTCTTTCCTGTGAATTGTGAAACTGTGTGTTCATATTTTTATACATTTTTTTCAAATGGGTTTTTGGTCTTGTTCTTACTAGTTTCTGGTATGCTTTATATTTTAGAAAGATGAGTGCTTATTCTACAATAGAAGCTACATTTTTTTTCCTGATTTGTCTTTTGGCTTTGCTTATGGTGCTTTTCTCCCTGCAGAATTGTTTTAATTTTTTTTTCAATCTTTTCTCATATGGTTTCTGAAATTTCAGTTACAGTTTAGAAAGGTTTTCCTAATACAGGACTTATAAAAGAATAATCATATGTTTTCTTCTAGTATTATTATTTTTTTTTACATTTAAACCTCTAATCTATTTGGAGTTCATCCTTATGGTACAGTGTGAAGTTTGGATTCAACTTCACTTTTTTTTGTCCCAAATGGTCACCCAGTGTCCTAACACCATTTATGGACACACAACATTTTACTATTTTGATGAAGTCAAATTTATCTATCTTTGATGGCTTGTGTTTTTGACGTAATATTGAAGAAACTGTTGCCTATTCCAAGGGCATGAAAATTTACCACTGCCCTTTCTTCTGAGAGGTTTATGGTTTTAACTCTAACCATATTATTCCAAGGCACATGAAAATTTACCCCTGCCTTTTCTTCTGAGAGTGTTATGGCTTTAGCTCTAACATTTAGGTCTTCAATCCATTTTGGGTTTAATTTTGTATTTGGTGTGAGGTAGGGGTCCAGATTCATTCTTTTCCACATGGCTGTCCAGTTTTCCTAGCACCATTTGTTGAAAGGCTATTCCTTCCCCCACTATTCAGTCTTGGTACGCCTGTCAAAAATCAACTGGCCATAGATGGATGGGTTTATTTCTGGGCTCTCAACTCTGTTCCATTGATCTATATGTCTGATACCATTTACTGAATAGCCCATCTTTTCCACACCAATCTGAGATAGCAATTTTATTATAGACTAAATTCCCATTTGTGATTGAGTCTGTGTCTAGACTTTCTGTTTTGTTCCATTGATTCCTGTGTTTATTCATGTGCCTGTTTGACCCACTCATGGATTTTAAGCCTGGAAGTCATATCATCAGATTCACATTTTCAAAGATCAACCAGGCTATACGTGGGGAGAACAACTGTAGCAAAGGAAGACAGTTGCAGGGAGACAAGCTATCAGGCAGTTGCAGCCTCCCGGACAGAGAGGATGTGGCTTGGTCAGGTGGTGGTGCTTGTTGTAGGTGAGAAGTTAGTTATACCTGCAGTGGCCACTCCTAATCTCCCACTTTCTGTTTCAGGGGCTGGAGGAAGAATAAATCTGAGATAAGAACCAATGCAGAAGATAGGGCTCGAGCTGTAATTCGGGAAGAATACCAGAACCTGGGGCCCATCAAGTATGTGGGGGCCCTTGGGTTAAGGAAAGAGCTGAGTATTAAACGCTCAGGAGAGCTTCCTCCTGGCCTGGCCTTGGGCCCATGGGGGCTGAGCTCCAGGGGAATTCCAGGACCCGTGGCGTGGGAGCCTAGAGATGGAGGATGGGAGGTGGTTTACACAGTCAACCTCTTGCCGTGGTGCTGGGGTAGAAACCTGAGGACCAAAAAGCCCCTCAGAGTGTACTTACAGTGGGATCTGCTACCTTCCACCCAAGGCACCGTTTCCCTCCCGGTACGCAGAATACCTGACACTATCTCAGGTGACTTCCGGGACCTTGTTTAATGCACATTTCCATATGGTGAAAATAACGGGTTCAGTAGGCCTGTGTTCAAGGACCAGCTGTGCCACTCATGTCCTGTGTGGCTTTGGTCATGGCACTAACCCTCTCTGGGCCCTGCTCTCCAGTCTGTGAAATGGGTACATTGGGTAACTGTCTCCTCCAACTCTTGGGGATCCTCTCTTTCCACCTTCATCCACCCTCTCTCCAGGTCTGTCCCCTCTCTGTGTCTTCTCCTTTCGGTGTAGACAGACTGTGTGTTTTTCTGTCTCTCTCTCTCTCTGTATGAATGCTCCTCTTTCTCTTTGCCTACTGCATTTCTGTCTGTTTCTCTTCCTCTCTGCTTTTCGGACTCTGTCTCTGTTTCTCACTTTCTTGATTTTCCGTAGGACCCTGGTAAACTCCTGGTGATAATGAAACACGCGATTTCGGGGAGGGGGTGGCTTGAGGCTCAGGAAGGATCCTGAGGGATCGTGGAAGTCCTAGGACAGGAATCATTTACAGTCCATTGGCACCCCTCCCCTCACTCTGGGCACTCCCTGGGGAGTGGATGACTTCAGCTTTCTCAGAGGCAGAGCCCGGGCCCAGTCACTCCCAGTGGGCAGCTGCCTGAGCCTGTGCCTGCTGCGGTCTGCCTGAAACCCGGGGTCACCATCATGCCTGCATGTCTGTGCCACAGGTTTGCCGAACAGGCTGTTTTCATCCTTTTCTGCATGTTTGCCATCCTCCTCTTCACCCGGGACCCGAAGTTCATCCCTGGCTGGGCCAGCCTCTTCAATCCTGGGTGAGACTCTGGGGACCCACAGGGAGGAGTCCAACAGGGAGGATTCTGGGCTGGGCCACCTGGAGCTGGAGAGGCGGCAGTGCAGCTGGGGAGACACGCATCCAAGTTTCCATCTTTTGTCCCATATGATTATTAATAGGTCCCTCTTTCACTCTCAAAAGAGTTTAGGTTTGGGTGATAAAATATGACTTCTCATGTGTTGGGAGCTCTGGATTTGGAGTCAGACTAAACTGGGTTAGAATTCTAGCTCTGCCACTTACGAGCTGTGTGACTGAGCAAATCGTTCATTCATTCAATCAACATTGATTGAGAACCTATTATGTGCTAAGCTGGATGCTGGATGCTGGGACACAGACAAAAGCAAGTAGTTAGACAACAAAACAACTGCATTGCAATGAGTGCTATGAAGGAAAGACTGAGAGGGTTATGCTATAAAATAATAGAGCAGGGGCATTGACTTTGGACAGTTCTGGGAAGAGCCAAAGCTTAGGAAGACTGCAGATGAAAGCAGTGGAGATGCCCTGGGAATGTCTACTGAAGCCTGAGTCAGAACAAACGTAGCATGTTTGAGAAAATGAGAAAAGCCCAGTGGGAGCGAGGCCTGGTGGGAAGGAAGGAAAGCGGGTGAGGAAAGGTAGGGGAGGGCCAGATCAGAGTGTCTTTTCGGGCATGTTATGCATTTTGGTTTGTTTTTTTTCTGTGAGCAGTGGGCAGCCATTGGAGGGTTGTAAGGTACTCAACCTCTCTGTGCCTCAGTTTCCTAATCTGTAAAATGATATTATACTAGTACGTTTTTCATTGACTTGTTGTAAAGGTAAATGAGTTAATACATGTCAAGTGATTAAAATGGCTCATAAAAAGAACTCAATAGTTGTTAGCTATATTCATTAGGAAATGGGTAGTGGGGGCAAAAATATAGACGAGGAGAATAGTTAGGAGCTATAACATCATCTAGATGGCCCGTGTCTTTTTGGGCCAAATCTGGCCCGCCATTTGATTTTGAATGATTTTTACATTTTTTAAATGGCTGCGGAAAAATCAAAAGACAACGTCTTGTAATACACGAAAATTATATGAAATTCAAATTTCAGTGTCTGCAAATAAAGTTTTATTGACACACAGCCACACCTATTCAATTACATATTGTCTATGGCTGCTTTCATACTCCAATGTCAAATGTGAGTCCAGACAAACACCATGTGGCCTGCAAAGCCAAAATACTTACTGTGTGGCTTTTTACAGGAGACATTTGCTGACCCCTGGTCTGGGGGATGGCTTGAGTGAGGGTGGTAGCAATGGCAATGTAGCAGTCAAGATATCATTCAAAGTTAAATGTGGGACTTGTGCTGGGTTGGATTGGGGGGTGTGAATGAAAGGAGTACCTGCATGGATGGTGGTTAATTGGAGAAGAATATTTTTTAGGGGGCTGGGAATGGCTTATTCATAATTCTATTTTGGACTTGGTTTAGACTTGTCAAGCTCAATAGGCAGTTAGATATGCAAGACTGGAGCTTAGAGGAGATGTTTAGGTTGCAGACATAAATCTGGGAGTCATTGTATAAATTTGGGAGTTAAATCCGTAGGAATCAATGGGCTCAGCTATGGAAAGTGTTTAAGTAGAGTATAGACCATGAGGAACCCCAGCACTTGGGAGCTGGGGAAAGGAAAATGAATTTACCAGAGAAACAGAGAGATGGTGAGTGAGGTAGAAGGAAAACTTAGAGCTATGGACCAGCAAAAGCCAAGAGAGGGGAGTGTTTTAAGAAGCGTGAGTGGGCACTGTGTCAAATTCTGGTGTGAGTGGGAACATGATTAAATAGAGATGTATCTGCTGGATTTGGTGAAATCTGATTATTTCAGTTAGCCCCATCCAAGAGAGATATAATGTGAGCCACATATGTATTTTAAATTTTTTGGTAGCTATATTAAAAAAGTGAAAAACAGATGAAACTAATATGAATAATATATTTTATGTATAAATTATTAGTGAGATATTTTGCATTCTTTTTTTCATGTGAAATCATCAAAATCTGGTGTGTGCTTTACATTTAAAGCACATGTCAGTTTGGTCTTGCCACATTTCAAGTGCCCACTAGCCCACATGTGGCTTGTGGCTACCATACTGGGCAGTGCACAATCCAGATATCTCACCTTCTGGGCCTCAACCTCTTCCCTGGTAAAATGGGTGACATAAATTCTGATCTCCTGAAGGTTGTTATAAGCAAGAAACAATATAATTTCATGAAGCCATGAAGCTCTTGTTGCTCTTACCATTTTTTTATTTTTCTAAAATGTAGATGCTTTATTTTTTTCAGATGCAAAATGGGCATTATAAGCATTTCAACAATACAGAAAATGTGAAGATCAGCTAAATCTCAGTCTCTAATTCTGATATACATCTTTCCTGACTTTTAAACAATGCCTATCTGAGAACTGTTCTACATTGTGATCACGCTGTTATCGGACTGCATACATTTGTCAAGACTTGTTAAACTATACCCTTAAAATGGGTGCATTTTATTGCATGTTAATTATACCTCAATGAAACATATGCCAATTGGCTTTTAGAACCCTATTAAAAGAAGATTTTTTTAACAGAAATGTGATCACGTCAACATATTATTTGTAATCCGCTTTTTAATTTTGTATTGAATTTCAAAAGTTATGCATACTCATAAAAATTCAAACAATGCTGAATTGAAAAAGGAAAAGTTAGTGGCTCTTTATCCACTTTATGTCCCACTGCCCAGAGATCATCACCATGAGCAGTTTGGTGTATGACATTCCAGATACGCACACATATCTTCATACATACACACATACAAATATGTATACATATAACAAAAGACTGTAAAATATAATAATATGATCATGGACAACTTGCCATTTGGACTTACTCCATTCTTTTTTTTTAATTTTATTTTCTTGGACTCAGGTCACAAATTTATTCTTTTAAAACACTGCATAGTACTCTACAGAATGGGAGCACTTTGATTTATTTAACCAATTCCTTATTGGATTGTGTTCAATGCTTCAAATCAAAACTTTCAAAATAAAATTTACAGGGTGTCTTGGTTGTGTTTCTATGTCAATACATAGATTGACGTTATCTTTTATCTTTTTTTAAACAGATGCAGTGTACTTCATAATATGAATGGAACACAATTTCTTTAAACATGTGTCTATCAAAAATCTTCCAATTTTTTTTTACTCTTATCAGTAATGAACATCGTTGCACATAATCTGTGTACAAAAGTACGACTGTTTCTCAAGGTTAAATTCCTAGAAGGAGGATAACTGGATCAAAGGGTATTTACATGTAAAATTGGAAACATGTTGCCAAATGCCCCAGGAGGTTAAACTGGTTTATTCTTTCACTAAGGGCATATGTTCCCAACACCCTCACCAGTTTTACTCTCCTTTTCAAGTCTTGCCTGTTGGCAAATGAATGGTATACCATTAGTGTTTTGATCTGCATTTCTCTGATGATAGTGATATTGACCATCTCTTCCAACTTCTTGTCTGTTTGAATACTCTCCTTTCCAAATGTGTGAGTGGAAAGAGCTTTGGTTAGCAGTGAGCTCTAGGCTTTGTTGAACTTGGAGCCAGAACAATCTGAGTTTCAGGCCAGGGTCTACAGAATGGGAGCACTTCAATTTATTTAACCAATTCCTTATTGAATTGTGTCCAATGCTGCAAATAAAAACTTTAAAAATACAATTTACAGGGTATCTTGGTTGTATTTGTATGTCAGTTTAACAAAATGACTTGCTCAGGGTCTGCCCTTGAACAAGTTGTTTCTGCTCTTTGACCCTCTGATTCTCCACCTGAAATGGAAAGTGCCTGCCCCGAGGGCTTAATGTGCGCAAAACTCCCCTAAAGGACACATTGTGGATGCTTGAAACGTGACAGTTAGGTTTTGAGGGGCCAAGAGGCTGGGTCAATCTGGGTTCCACTGGTGTGAGTGGGCTGTATCTCAATGCAGTGAGCTGCCCATCCCAGGAGGGATTCAAGCACAAGCTGAACAAAGACAGGGCTCTTACAGGAGTCCCGGTGAGGGTGATTTATAGGGGTTCCAAGGACTCCAATATTCTGCGGCCCTCGGATTCTCCCCTCTTTGGTCAAGTCCCTCTTCGTAGGGTCCTTGAGTTGGGAAGATAAGCATTTGCTTGAGCCCAAGCAGCATCTAAATGCCCCCAGGGAGCTGTGAATGAAGAGCTTTGCACCATGCTGAGCGCACTGAAGGACAGAATCCAGTGGCCCAGCCTCCAACAATGGCCCCTTCACAGCAGGCCTAATTCCCTTCCACAAATCCTCCTTTACAATTCTGCCAAACCTCGGCCCGCTGAGATGCCCATGGTCACGTGATTTGGGGCCTTCTCATTGTAGGTTTCTTTCTGATGCTGTCACCGGCGTGGCTATTGTCACCATCTTGTTCTTCTTCCCGTCCCAAAGGCCCTCTCTCAAGTGGTGGTTTGACTTCAAAGGTAAGGTGGTCAAGGCTGGGGTCTCGGTGGGCTCAGTGAGGACTGCGGCATGGAGTGTGGTCATCAAGGGCCTGGAGCCCCCCACTGCACTAACCACGTGGTCCTTCCTGCTTCTCCTTTCACTGTCTGAGCCATTGCCTTGTCTGGGGACTGAGGGCTGCCCCAGGTGGTAGTCCAGGACAGGGGTTAGCAACTACAGTCTTCAGACCAAATCCAGCCTGCTATCTGTTTTTGAACAGCCTGTGAGCTAAGCACAGTTTTCAGATTTTTAAATGGTTGAAAAAAAAACCAAAAGAAAAACATTTTACTACATGTGAAAGTTACATGAAATCTAAATTTCAGTGTCCATGTATCAAATTTTGCTTTCCCCTAAGGAATTTGTGGAAATTTATTTTCTTTAGTTATATAAGTACCTACACAATAGCCTCAATTTTGCCTCTTGGCCCACAAAAGCAAAAAATGTTTATTTTTCTTGTCCTTTGCAGAAAAATGACCCCTTGGCCCAAAGCAGGAGTTGCACCTTGGTTGCCCAGGGAGCCACACATGGAAAACACAAGCTGGGTTTCAACCGTATAGGAAGTGTTGGGGACTGAGGAAAAACTGCCTAAAGGCATTCAGATTCCATTTTTAAAAAATCACTGAGTACCTCTAACCAAAATGTTGTAGACTGTGGCCTTCAGATTGCCAGCTTGCGACTCCCTCCGGTGTCCAGCAGATGTCTACCAGAAGGTGACGCCAACACCTGAGGCTGCCACCTGGGTCAGTTGGATGAGCTCCTCCGGAGTCAGGAAATAGGGACTATAATCAAACTATTTTCTATTGTTGAGAAAAATAGTGTCACTCAGGATAGCCCCAGCCATGGAAGAGTCAGGGTTTGAGTGTGGGGAGTATAGTGTATGTGTCCTGTAGGAAGATGAGGATTTTGCAAGCTCCATAAACAGTTCTTTCTTTCTTCTTCTTCTTTTTTTTTTAATGGGGTCTCACTCTGTCACCCAGGCTGGGGTGCAGTAGCACCATCACAGCTCAGCGCAGTCTCGAACTCTTGGGCTCCAGTGAACCTCCCACCTCAGACTCCCAAGAAGCTGGGATTACAGGTGTGAGCCACCTCGCTTGGCTAATTTAAAAAAAAAAAAAAATTGTAGCAGGCTGGGCATGGTAGCTCACACCTGTAATCCCAGCACTTTGGGAGGCTGAGGCGGGTGGATTGCTTGAGTCCAGGAGTTTGAGACCAGCCTGGCAACATGGAGAAACCCCATCTCTACAAAAAATTAAAAAATAAAAAAAATAGCTGGGCGTGGTGAGGCATTCCTGGTAGTCCCAGCTACTTGGAAGGCTGAGGTGGGTGAATTGAGCCTGGCAGGTCAAAGCTGCAGTGAGCTGTGATGGCACCCACTGCACTCCAGCCTGGGTGACAGAGTGAAACCCTGTCTCAAAAAAATTTTTTTTGTAGGAACAGGGGTCTTGCTACATTACCCAGGCTGGTCTTGAACTCCTAGCCTCAAGTGACCCTCCCGTCTCTGCCTTCTGAAATGTTGGGACTACAGGTATGAGCCACCATGTGCGACCCATAGACAGTTCCTGTAGCATAGCTGGACCTCAGGGAGGCTGGAACTGGGTCTAAGGAGGCTTAGCTGTGGGCCTGCGTACTCTGCAGTTGAACAGGATTCAGTTTTTCTCCATCTCTGCTTCTTTTCCAGTCAGTCTTCCAAATGGCTGTTCTCATCATTCCCTCTGTATACAATTTCTTAACCTTTTCCTGGTTTCTGCTGCTTATTAGGTTTTGCACCTTTATAGTTTCTGCTTCATTTTAGTCTCTACTTTTGTTCCCTTATAGTGTCTGATCCCCGTGGCTTCTGCCAACTCCACTTCCTCATGTTTTCTATTCCCTGTGGCATCGCCCCTCATACTTTCTGCTCCTTCCTAGCTTCTTCCCCCTGGTGGCAGCCACTTCCTCATGGTGCCCATCTGATGCCTTGAGCCTCTGCTTCCCTGGAGCCTTTGTGTCCTCACAGTATCTGTTTCCTCCTGGCTTCTGCTTCCTCACCCAACTTCAGCCCAGTCATGCCCCTGTGTGTCATACAGCCTCTCTGTTCATTCTTTCACCTTCAGGTGTCACTTCTCTTTGCCCAGTGGGTCTCTGTTTCCCATTGCTGCATCTGAGAGTAAGAGTCGGGTTGGTCCAGCTTGTTCTTCTTGGGCAGATCTCCTTCCACAAGGCTACTTCACAGCCTCGTAGATCCCTGGCCTGCCTATGGATCAGCTGCCCTTGGTCAGGTGCCCATCCATGGTTCTGGCACCTGGGGTTGAACTCACAATGCCCAGGGCTTTCTCTCAGCTGGGCCCATGGGGAAGGCGCTATTGTTGCAGGGCAGGCGAGCCCCCAAATTGGGGCTTAGTCTGGGAGGGTTCTTGGCTTCTTCACCCAGGAAGGAATTCCAGGGCAAGCCAGTGGTTTTAGACAGCAACTTTTATTGACACAGCAGTGCACAGCAGCAGCAGAGGTTCTGCTTCTTGTGGAGTGGGGCTACCCCATAGGCAGTGTGCCCAGAGTAGTAGCTCAGAGGCAGTGCTGCAGTCATATTTATATGCACTTTTAATTATATGCAAATTAAGGGGTAGTTTATGCAGAAATTTCTAGGATAAGGGTGTTAACTTTTAGGTTGTTGAATCATTGCCATGAAAAGGGATGGTAACTTCTGGGTGTTGCCATGGCAATGGTAGATTGACATGGTATACTGGTGGGTGTGTCTTATGGAAAGCTGCTTCCGCCCAGGACCTGTTTTAGCTGGTCCTCAATTTGGTCTGGTTCCCAAGCCCCAACCCTGGAGTGAGTCCTGCCTCCTACCTCACTATGACATAGATGACTGGCATCTCAGCTCTGCTACTAATTTTCTGGGTGACCTCAGGGAAGGTCCTATATTGTCTGAGCCTTACTTTCTCACTTAGAAAATGAGGGAGTCCCTTAGATGCCTTCCACCTCTGGCTTTTACTGGCTTTATAGATCAGGGGTTACAATTGAGTTTGTAACTCAACTGCCTACAAGGAGGTAACACTTATTTTATATATTGTATATATTTATATGTTTTATAAATATATAATCTATTTTATATATTATATATATTTATATATATTTGACCTATATTTTTCTCCAGATGGAAGGTAACATTTGTATACAGCAGATTGGGTACAGGAATATGTGTCTCAAGAAACACATGGCCCTCCTTGTGAATCTTTCCTTTCCCATTTTTGAAACAGAAAGCAGTTTCCTTATTATACAAAGGGAGAC
Organism: Homo sapiens; assembly: GCF_000001405.40. Classification (NCBI taxonomy): domain Eukaryota; kingdom Metazoa; phylum Chordata; class Mammalia; order Primates; family Hominidae; genus Homo; species Homo sapiens. Next base: position 46,580,285 of record NC_000020.11, on the reverse strand, counting down.
AACAGCTGAGATCAGTAAGAAGTGGTGAGAGGCTGGGCGCAGTGGCTCACACCTGTAATCCCAGCACTCTGGGAGGCTTAGGTGGGTGGATCACCTGAGGTCACGAGTCTAAGAGCAGCCTGGCCAACATGGCGAAACCCTGTCTCTACTAAAAATACAAAAATTATCAGGGTGTGGTGGCACATACCTGTAACCCCAGCTACTTGGGAGGCTGAGGCAGAAGAATTGCTTGAACCCGGTTGCAGTGAGCCGAGATCACGCCACTGCACTCCAGGCTGGTTGAAAGAGTAAGACTCTGTCTCAAAAAAAAAAAAGTAGTGATGAGTGCCTCAGTCTCGTGGCAAGGCAGGGTCTGTGGAAAATTGGTGAGCCAATCCCCACTTAAATTAAAGGGGACGGATATTACTTAGCTTCCACTGATTGTGCCCATGCAGGAGAACAGAACTAGTTTAGTCAGATTTGCTGATTTTTCAAAAGAAGCCAAAAATCTAGATTTTTATGTGGAATCTCCCTGGTTTTAAATATTGGCAACTCATTCAAGTTGAAAAACAAATACTATGTGGGCCAACAACAGTAGCACTAAAACATGTGTGTTAAGTCTGGTCCATGGAATGCCAATGTGTGCCCTTAGCCCAGGGGTCTTTGAACTGGAGTTTCCAGCATTTCCCAGTGGGTGGGGAGGGAACTCCATGAGCACTGCCTGTCCTTTGGCCACCAGTGACCCTGTGCAGACTTGGCTGATGTGATACTTTCTGGTATTTAACACTAAAGACTTTTGTGGAGTCTTATATTTTGGTCAGTAAGTTTCCATAGAGAGAAAGTGACTTGTTTAAGGTCACCCTGCTCATTAAAAAGAGTCAGGGCCAGGTGTGGTGGCTCACACCTCTAGTCCCAGTACTTTGGAAGGCTGAGGTGGGAGGATTGCTTGAGGTCAGGAGTTCAAGAAGAGCCTGGGCCACATAACAAGAGCCTGTCTCCAGAAATTTAAGAAATTAGCCTGTGTGGTGGCACACACCTGTAGTTCCAGCTACTCGGGAGGCTGAGGCAGGAAGATTGAGGAGTTCAAGGTTGCAGTGAGCTGTGATGTTGCCACTGCACTCCAGCCTGGGCAACAGAGTGAGACCCTGTCTCAAGAAAAAAAAGAAAAATCGAGGGGGAGAGAGAGACAAAGAGACAAAGGGAAAGAGAGAGACAGGACATAGAACCAGGCATTCAAGCCAGCCTTGATTTTCTTCTTATACTCACCCCACTATTCTTTTGTGGGTCTGAGTTGCACTTGCATTTCTCACCCTTTGTGGTCATTCAAATATTGATTGAGTACCTACTATGTGCTTGTGGTGGAAAAGTAGTTGATGATGATGATGATGATGATGATGATGACGACGACGACGACTTCTCTTTCCTCTTTGCCAACTAGCTGTTCCTCTAGGGATCTTCGTGACTCACTCCATCACTTCATTCAGGGCTCTGTCCAAATGCCACCTCCTGAGAAACCTTCCCTCACTACACCATCTAGAAAAGCGTCTTCCTGTGTTACTCTTTATTCCTTTACCTTATTTTATTTTTCTTCATAGCACATGAAATTTCTTGGCATTATTTATTTATTTTTTAAGACAGGGTCTTGCTCTGTTGCCCAGGCTGGAGTGCAGCCACACAATCTCAGCTCACTGCAACTTCTGCCTCCCGGGTTCAAGCGATTCTCATGCCTCAACCTCCCAAGTAGCTGGGATTATAGGCACCCACCACCATGCCTGGCTAATTTTTGTATTTTCAGTAGAGATGGGGTTTCACCATGTTGGCCAGGCTGATCTTGAACTCCTGACCTCAGGTGACCCGCCCACCTTGTCCTCCCAAAGTGCTGGAATTACAGGCGTGAACCACCATGCCCGGCCAGTATATTTATTTGTTTATCACCTGACTTCCCCCCTGGAATATAAGTTCTCCAAGGAGACAAATTTTCTCTGTTTTGACCATTTCTGTATCCTGAGAGCCCAGAAGAGTGTTTGACACATGGCAGGTACTCAATATATATTTGCTAAATAAATAGCCAAGGACTGACCGGGCGTGGTGGCTCACGCCTGTAATCCCAGCACTTTGGGAGGCCGAGGCGGGCGGATCATGAGGTCAGGAGATCGAGACCATCCTGGAGAACACGGTGAAACCCCGTCTCTACTAAAAAAAAATACACAAAATTAGGCGGAGTTTGCAGTGAGCCGAGATCGCACCACTGCACTCCAGCCTGGGCGACAGAGACGAGACTCCATCTCAAAAAAAATAAATAAATAAAAATAAAAAATAAATAAATAGCCAGGGACTTGCTCTGGGCAAAGCCCTGGGATGAGTCCTTTGCACAGTGGGACCATTTCTTCTTTCCAGTAAGTCTCCGAGGGAAGTGCTGTTAGCCCATTTTGCAGAAGAGGAAATCGAGGCTCAGAAAGGTAGTGACACTGGCCCAAATCACACAGTTGGGGCACAGCAGAGCTAGGATTCAAGTCTAGTTCAAAGCTTGTGCCTTCAGCTACTGCTGTAGACAGTCGGCTGGTATCAGGTTGAGCTGCAGTGGGAAATCCACATAGTCAGAGATTGTGCTTATGAGAAATAGCAGCAAAGGCATGGTTGGATGGGAAAACAATAAAACCCATGGTAGCTAACATTAACTGAGCACTTGGCATGTGACAGACAGTCTGATACGCACTCGCCATTTAATCTGCATTACATGGGACCCTGCTCAAGGCTTTCTTCCTTCCCCAGTCCCATCCACCCTTACCTGCTGCGTGGGGCAAGTCGCTTCACTTTTTCAGACTTCTTGTACTTCTTTAATGAAACGACATTTTATCATCTGAAGGCATAGGGCTGGGCCACCTGCCATGTCTGGTTACCTCATCCAGTTCTGGGCTTAAGTGTATGTTGCATTTGGCCCAAGAATCCCCTCAAGGTATATGACACCTGCATTGCATGTAGATACCATGGGCTGCATGCACCTGTGGGCTACATACACCTGTGGGCTGCATACACTTGTGGACTGATACATCTTTGGGCTGCATACACCTGTAGGTTGCATACGCCTGTGGGCTTCATACATCTGTGGGCTGCATACACCTGTGGGCTTCATACGTCTGTAGACTGCATACACCTGTGGGCTTCATACACCTGCGGGCTGCATACACCTGTAGGTTGCATACACCTGTGGGCTTCATACATCTGTGGGCTTCATACGTCTGTAGACTGCATACACCTGTGGGCTTCATACACCTGCGGGCTGCATACACCTGTGGGTTGCATGCACCTGTGGACTGCATGCACCTGTGGACTGCATACACCTGTGGATTGCATACACCTGTGGGCTGCATACACTTGTGGACTGCATGCTTGCTGGTAGAAGGATTTTATTAAGTAGCTTTTATTATCTTTATTTCCTGACTATAAAATCTTGTTTTAGGTAGACCACTGTGTAACGTTTGGAAAAAGCTCAAAAGGAGAAGCAAAATTTCCATAACTGCTTGACCAGGAAGTGTCCTGGGAGATGGTAAACTGCCTTAAAGGAGTCAGACCCATCCTCCCTGCTTCCCTGGTCACAGCCTGCCAAGAAAAGTCCTATTTCAGGAGTGATTACCCTGCACCAGGCATGGGTCTAAGTGTGTCATGTACATTATTTGACAAATATTTACGGAGTTACCATCAGGTGTCAGGCACTGTTCTAGACCCTGTGGATGCAACTATCAGCTAACTGGAAATGCCTCATCTCCCTGCAGATGCATCATTGTCCTGGTTCGTGTTCACAGGGACTCCCCGGTTCTGTAACTGTGCCATGTGCCGGCTGAGGAAATGGGGCTCAGGGAGGCAAAGTCACTTGTCAAGGGCATGCAGTAAGCCAAGACTGAGGAAGGTCTGTCTCCAAGCCTATGCCCCCAACCCAGGGATGTCACACTACCAGCCACGTGCCAGGTCCAACCCACCACCTGCTTTTGTAAATAGAGTTTTATTTACAACCATGCCCACACGTTTAGGTATGGTCTCTGGCTGTTTTCATGCTACAACGACGGAGTAGTGACAACAGAGACTGTGTGGCCTGCAAAGCCTCAATGATTCACTCGCTAACCCCCTGCAGAAAGTTTGTTGACTCCCCCGCCCACTGTCCTCACCACTGCAGCGCTGCCACTTGCGAGGAAATAAAAATCATCCCATCATTTCGGGGCTCAAAAATACCCTTTGTTTCTATTTTTCTAAATTTCCTTCCTCTTTTTCTTTCCTCTCTGTACATGTTCCAGTACAAAGAAAGCCTTTTCTCTTATAAATGAGGGTAAAAATAGCACTTGTGCCCAAGGGCTGTTGGGAGAGTTAAGTGATGTCCTGCATGTGGAGTTTCCAAAAACTCCCAAGCTGTGGGAACCATGACAATTATTTTCACTGGGAATAGAGCAGCTCCACCTATCATGATGCCTGTGCACTCTCTCCCTAAAGCTCCAAGTCAAATGCTGGATCCACACTTTGGCTTCCTGGGGACCCCTGAGTGTCCCCGGTAAGATGGGGCTCAGGGCTGGTGGCCTCTGCCTCAGGCTGAGCGGCCCTGAGTGTGTGCTGAATCCCTCTCTCTGCCCAGCTCCCAACACAGAGACAGAGCCCTTGCTGACCTGGAAGAAGGCCCAGGAGACAGTGCCCTGGAACATCATCCTTCTCCTGGGAGGGGGCTTCGCCATGGCCAAAGGCTGTGAGGTAAGACCCCCTGGCTCCCCCAACCAGCAGGAACAGTGGGAGGCAGGTGTGGGCGGGTCCCAGTGCTGGCTGCAGCACCAGGATCAGAGCAGGTGAGCTGCACGGGCCCTGGGGGCACAGCCAGTTTCCTCACTTGCCAAACTGAGATGATCATAGTTCATTCCTGGTGCTACAGAGAAAGAGAGGAATGAGTTATGGCCTGGATCCTTAAGGAGCTCATGATGGGCAAAATATTAATATAATACTAATACTAATAATACTAGGACTCGAGGGCTCTGTGACTTCAGAGGGATAACAACATATTGCGCTCACCCAATGCCAGACACTGTTCAACATGCTTGTGGAGGTGGAAGGATGGCTTCAGGCCAGGAGTCCAAGATCAGCCTGGGCAATATAGTGAGACCCTCTCTCTTTTTTTCTCTCTCTTTTTTTGAGACAGAGTTTCACTCTGTCACCCAGGTTGGAGTGCAGTGGTGCCAACACAGCTCACTGCAGCCTCAGCCTGCCGGGCTTAATCAATTCTCTCACCTCAGCCTCCCAAGTAGCTGGGACTGCAGGGATGCCTCCCCATGCCCAGCTAATTTTCTTTTGTATTTTTTTTTTGTAGAGATGGGGTTAAAAAAATTAGCCAGGTGTGGTGGTCCTAGGCTGGAGTACAGTGGAGTCATGATCATAATACTGTACTCCAGCCTGGGTGACAGAGCGAGACCTCATCTCTAAGAAAAAAAAAAAAGAAAAAGAAAAAAACATGCTTTACACGTTAACTCATCTAAACCTCCCAACAAAGCTAGAAGGTAGATACCATTCTTATGCCCATTCTCTAGATAAAGAACTTGAGACACAGAGAGATACAGTACCTTACCTAATGTCACACAGCTATGGAGTCAGGATTAGAATCCAGGCAGTTCGGCTCTAGAGTCTATGCTCTTAACCACTCTCATATAAGTCCTAGATAGTAATATTAATTAGTTCATGGATGTTATTATTAATGTTATTCCAGAGGGCTTTGTGAGCTCAGAAGTCAGGGCTGGGACCAGGGTGGGGCAAATGAGGCACACGGAGTGCAGAATTGCAGGGAGTGCTCACTCTCCGGGGCGTGCAAGTGCGGGTCAGCCAGCCCAGCTCAGAGGCAGTGCAACGTCAGCATCCAGCATCTGTCACCACAGATTATCTCACTGAATCGCCACACCAGCCCTAAGAGTTGGGTAATGTTTTTATGCCTCTTTTACAGATAGGAAAACTGAGACATGAAAAATTAAGCAACTCTCTTAAATTCTTACAATTGCATTCCGCTTGGGAGCTGGGGTTCAAACTCTCCCTGATTTCAGAGTCCGGGCTCCAAATTGTTCACTCTAGAATTTTGCACATGCCAGCCATTGTTTGAAGTGCTTCGTGAATCGAATATGACTCAGTCGATCTTTATAAACACCACTGAATCAGCTACTATCACTGTCTCCATTTTAAAGATGAGGAATCGGAGGCAAAAGGAGGCTAAATAGCTCGCCTACGTTTGCACAGCCAGGAGATGGTAGAGCCAGGATCTGAAGCCAAAGGTCAGGTGGCTGAGCTCCGTCTCACCCCTGAACGCCTTGTAAACCGAGGCGTTAAAAACCACAGCCAATTAAGAGTCAATCTGAAATTAAGGTTAAGGGAAGCTGAAATTACTTCTTTTACTGCTTCTGTTGTTAATTCAATTTTAATTTTCAGTTTCAAATGAAGTTACAATGTTGGACGCCTGTTAACTGTGTACACTGGGCAGAAGCCCAGGCTTGGGAATCTCAGTACCTGGTCAATCTAGGCTCTACCACTCCTTGCTGGGACACGTCAGGCAGGTTTCTTAACCTCTCTGGGTTCCTATTTTTCTCATCCATAGATTGAGGCTCAAAGTTCTTACTCTACAGGGTTGTTGGAAAAAATTAAAGAATAACTGCCCAATACATATAGCCGATAAGAAGTGCTAAAAACTGCATGTACACCAGCTCATAAATCCTCATGTCATGGTTTCTACAGGTTGGGCTTTCAGGAAGCAGACTCTGGGATGGAGATTCGGAAGCACGGGCTTCATTAGGTTGTGCCCTTGGGGTCACTGTGGAAGGGAGAGGAAGGAAGCAGGAGAGTGCAGAGGGAGAAATGCAGCTGGAGGCAGTCCCAGCCCCACAGGAGCACTGGAGCTGAGATGACCTTTAGAGGCAGTCCGAGTAATCAGAGATAGCCAGGCCCTTGTATCCCAGCATCCATCTGTCTGGGGACACAAGCTGCCCCAGGTGCAGGTATGACCTCAAGTGAGGCCGCTTTTGGGGTCTGAGACAGCCGACTGCACTCCCTTAGCTGGGGCAACAAGATCTCCACTGATGGGGATCTGGGTGGCACATTCAGGCTCTCTACATAGCTGCTCATTTTTAAATAAAATATGTTTTACTTTATTAATTAAAAAACACATAAATAACGATACAGACTTCAAAGGGAACAAAGGAATAGATGAGCAAAAGTACTGTTATTTGTCTCCATTTTAGGAATCGTGAGACACAGAGAGGTTAAGTAACTGGTTCTGGGTAACACAGCTCATTAGTAGCAGAGGTAAGATTTGAACTCATGTCTATCTGACTTATGCTATTGCCTCCTGCTGGGGGTGTCTTAGGGAAGGCTTCCTGAAGGAAGTGGCATGTTATCCAGATCTTGAAGAAGCTTGCAGTACGATGGAACCAGACCATCTGGATTGGAATCACAGATTTCCCACTTCTTAGGTGTATGATCTTTGTCAAGTTACTAAACCTCTCTGGGCCTCAGTTTCCTCATCTGTAAAATTGGAATCACAACGGCACCCACCTGGTAAAGTTGCCATGATCATTAAGTGAGTCAATATATGCAGAGAAATGAGAACACAGCCCAGCACAGTTGGTTATTATGGTTAGATACTGAGGAAAAGGAAAATCAAAATCAAGAATCATGTGGAGGTTCGTGGCTTGAGCAACTTGGTGGAAATGGTGCCATTTACCTCAGTGATCTGAGCCCAGCCTGGCCTAGAGGAAGGAGGCTGGATGAGATGACCCTGATCCAGAGGTTTCCCTAAGCTCCAGAAGTGGTGTGGGGAGCACTGGCTCTCAGTGGAGGCTGGGCTGCGGGACGCTGGGCATGCTGAGAGGCCACCCTGGCTCTGAGCCCAGCCCTGGGCAGCTGGCCGGAGTTTCTCTTCAACAGGGGCTTTGTGTAGTAGCTGTTCCTTTCCCCAGCCTCTGCCGTACCATCCTCTCCCCAGGCAGCCGCAGCCTGGCCCAGGAGCGACCAGAATGCTTATGGCACATCCTGGTTCCTGGCCCCTGCCCCACACTCTCATCAGAACACAGCCTGGCAGCCTCCTGAGGATCGGAGGTCCCTGGATGCAATCCAGGGTGAGCCTGGGTGTGTGGGCTCCCAGCGCTCATTCTGAAGGGCAGGAAGTAGTGCTTACTCTGAGCCTCAGCAACTCACTTAAGCCCACTTAGGGTCCTCACTACAGTTTTCTCCTGCCACAAAACCGTATAGTCATGACTCTGCATAGACTTAAAGTCAAGTCCAAGGTTTCCCTTGGCCAACACAGAAAGCTGTATGGGACAATGTAGGTCTCAACATTGGCACCTACCTCTCTTCCCTCCTAACACCCCTCCAGTCTCCTTGGCCCCTTCCTCAGCCACATCAGACTCACATGCACCCCACAGCCTTTGCATCTTCCCTTTCTCTGTTGAATTTTCATCCTGAGAGCTCTGAGTCCTCACTCTTCAGGTCTCAGTCCCTCAGAAATGCCCTCCCAAGCCCCCACATCTAGAATAGCCTCCCACCCCAGTCCCTCTTCCTCTCATGACCCTGCCTATTCCTATATACCACATCTACCCCCCAAATGATCCTGTGGGCATGTTTATTGATTGTGTCTCTTACTAGAATGGAAGCTCCATGAGGGCAGGCAGAGACCATGTCTGTCTTACCCACCACTGTTCTAGGCACCTAGAAGACACCGGGTGCGTAATGGTGCTTAACACATCATTGTTGCTATGACCTACAAGATGGGCTGCTTTGAGAATTGCTAACATAATGTATGGAAAGTACCCAGAAGAGTGGTGATATACCCTGGGTGCTCAAACCAGGAGCCACACTCATCTTCACTATTATTATTACTGTTATTATTGCATTAATTCATTGAGGAAAGGTTGATCTTATTCTGTTGCCACAACAAACTTACTTACAAATATGTTGCGGTGATAGAGGTAAGGAGAAAATGTGTATTCTCCCCATTCCTCATTTTCTGCCAGAAGTCTGTCATCTTTATTATTGACATAGTTTGGCTGTGTCCCCACCCAAATCTCATCCTGAATTGTGTAGTTCCCATTATCCCCACATGTCATGGGACCTGGTGGGAAGTAATTTAATCGTGGGGGCGGTTACCCTTATGCTGTTCTTGTGACAATGAGTGAGTTCTCAAGAGATCTGATGATTTTTTGTAAGGGGCTTTTCCCCCTTCTGCTCGGCACTTCTTGCTGCCACCATGTGAAGAAGGACGTGTTTGCTTCCACTTCCACCATGATTGTAAGTTTCCTAAGGCCTCCCCAGCCATGCTGAATTGTGAGTCAATTAAGCCTCTTTCCTTTATAAATTACCCACACCCGGGTATGTTTTTATTAGCAGAGCGAGAATGGACTAATACAATTATTATTACCCTCATTTTATCGGACAGACAAGCCTAATGACATGACTAAGATCCAGATTCTGAATCTTACTAGGGCACGTCATATTATTTATTTGGGCAAATCACTGAGCTTTTTTATGCTTCAGTTTCTTCAACCATAAAATGGAGATAATTGTACAGATGGTTCCTGACTTCACAACGATTCGACATACGATTTTTCAACTTTGCAATGGTGAAAGAGTGATATGCATTCAATAGAAAGGGTACTTAGAATCTTGAATTTTGATCTTTTCCCAGGCTGTGATATGTGGTGGGACACTCTCTTGTAGATGCTGAGCAATTATAAGGGTAAACAACAGATATTCTACAGTGTATAGCATTGCCAGATGATTTTGCCCAAATGTAGGCTAATGTCAGTGTCCTGAGCGCATTTAAGGTAGGCTGGGCTAAGTTATGATGTGAACAGGTAGGTTAGGTGTATTACATGCATTTTCTACTTCAATATTCTCAATTCGTGATGGGCTTATTGAGACATAACTCCACTGTAAGTCAAGGAGCATCTGTAGTCTGTATTCCATGAGGTTGCTATGAAGATTAAGTAATATTTACAAATTACTTAGAAGAGTGCCCAGCACAGAGTAAGCACTATGTTGCTTTGTTAAATTAAATGATAGATCATATTCAGTGCTTACTAAGTACAGAGAGTGTTTCGTGTGCACTTATTTAATCCTTACTGCAATCGCTTAAAGAAATCAAGGAACAGAGATGTTAATTAATTTGCCCAAAGTCACACAGCTTGTAAATGGTGCAGTGGTTTGAATGTTTATACATGTACATAAAGCCTTGTCTTTTTTCCTTCCTTTAATCAAATTCGCTGGTCTCTTTACCTAGGAATTATTATACAAAGTTGTATGCACACAGCCGAGCCCGTTGTGTTTTACAAAGCCTTTTAAAAGATTTTCAAGGGTATTTTGGCCACAGGAGTTTTTGACTTCAAATATTGAACTTATGCCATAACAAACCCCCTTATAAGATGCTCCTCTACTGTATATCAAAGACACCAAGAAGAGAGGACCTGGTTGAAGTAAGAAAACAGGAGGAAGAGGGAAACATCACTGTACCAACTCCATCTCCCCACCTCCCATTTTTGCAAGGTGGCCTTGGGTACTTCTGGTCATCTTCAAGGCCACTAAGGAACATAATTTGACAACCACTGTGCTGGGTGATTTCTGAGTTCCATCACTTCAGGCATCTTGTGACTTCATGCTACTGGTTATGGCAGGCGCTAACCAAGCGCCCAGCCACTTTCCTAGGCCCTTTATAGATTCACTCCTTTTCTCCCAACAATAACCTTCTGGGACAGGCACTATCATTATCCCTCGTTTACAGATAAGGAAATTTTAGCACAGAGAGGTTAAGTGACTTGCCTAGGAAGTTAAGTGACAGCTAGAAAAGATTAAGCTGGGAAGCAAACTCAGTCTGACTCCAGAGCCCCTTCTCTTCACCTTCTGGCCATGCCACCTCTGACCTTGGCTGTTGCTGGTCCCTGGAGTCCCTGGGAATACTGTGGGGCTGTGTGTTTCCAAGGAAACAAAGCTTCCAATTCCTAAGAATATGGGAAAGAGTCTGGGGCATGGTGGCTCATGTCTGTAATCCCAGCACTTTGGGAGGCCTAGGCAGGAGGATCGCTTAAGCCCAGAGGTTCAAACCAGCCTGGGCAACATAGTAAGACCCTGTCTCTACAAAAAAAAACACTTAAAAAAATTTAGCCAAACATGGTGTTGTGTGCCTGTAGCCTTAGCTACTCAGGACACTGAGGTGGGAGGCTTGCTTGAACCCAGGAGATAGAGGCTGCAGTGAGCTATAATTGTGTCACTGCACTCCAGCCTGGGTGACAATGTGAGGCTCTGTCTCAAAAAAATAAATAAAATAAAATGGGAAAGGGCAGGTGAAGTCCCTTTAGAGTCCCCAGTAGAACCCTACGCAACAGGCGTTTTCCTCTCTTAGGAAGCTGCCAGACCTCCCTCCAGCGCTGGAGCTGTGCCAAGGCCTGTGTGGCTGCGAGGATGCTGGCTGGAAGCCCGGTCACTCAGAGGCCCAGCTACGGGGCAGCTCCTGGCTTCTCACTTGCCCGAGTCATTAATATTCCCTCTCTCTAGCCCCTCTCCCTTTAATTGCGCACAGAGCTGTCAGGTCAGACTCTTTGCCAGAGCTGTGGCCTATGGGAAAAACCAGAGGTCCCATTTTCTCCCTGCAGCACTCCTTGCAGCCAGGTTAGGGGCTGTGGCCTCCACGCTGCCACTTACCGTATTCCCCAGGCTAGCAGACAAACTGCAGGTGTACCAGAAACACCTTAGTTTCATGAGGACTCTTCTGGGGACAAATATTTTTAAGCATTTATTATTCTTACATTGAAGGTAACTTTTAAGTCAAATTGTAGGGGCAAGTGTACTATTTTATTTATGTAAAAACTGTATGCTCTATTCTATTTTTTTTTTTTTTTTTTTTTTTTTTGAGATGGAGTCTCGCTCTCTCTGTCACCCAGACTGGAGTGCGGTGGCGTGATCTCAGCTCACTGCAACCTCCGCTTCCCTGGTTTAAGTGATTATCCTGCCTCAGCCTCCTGGGTAGCTAGGATTACAGGCGTGCACCACCACGCCTGGCTAATTTTTGTATTTTTTTTTAGTAGAGATGGGGTTTCACCATGTTAGCCAGTCTGATCTCGCACTCCTGACCTCAAGCGACCTGCCCACCTTGGCCTCTAAAAGTGCTGGGTTACAGGCGTGAGCCACCATGCCTGGCCCTGTATGCTGTCTTCTAGAATCGATTATGAAATTTTTAAGTTCTGAGTAAGCAGGGACTTTTCTATTAAAAGTAAAAATATATATATAAAGTGTCTTTGGTATACTGGATTGATAAAAGGGCTATGGTAGCAATACATTGGATTCTGAATGTTAATGGACTAACCCAGCTCTGCCCTAGATCAGCTCCAAAACCTACAGCTTTGTTCTAGGTCTAAGCAAACGGTGGCTTTATTGTGATCTTGCTGCATCACAGTTGCACCAGGGGACAGCATTGAGCATATTTTGACATCCTCAGCTTTGCCGTTTTGTGGTTATAATGATGTGTTGGGTCAGTTATTTAAGGATGCATTTGATGGTGAGAGGACAGAGGTGCGGAAGAGTATTCTAGATGTTATACACTGGTAAATAGGGTAGCTTCTGGAGAAGTCAGCAGAGAGAGCACCCAAATAATTCTGCAGCACTGACAGGCGAGTGGAGTCTCGGTGAACTTCTCTACCCGTCTCTGCCCTGGAGGACTGGAGTCAGCACTGGGCATTGCTCTTAATTTACAGACAAGGTGACAGACTGGTGGGTCCAGAGGAAGATGCTGATTTGCGGGGAGCTTTGCAGAATCACACATCTTATGGAGGTAGATGGGTGTCTCAGGCACTACTTTTAGGGATCCTGGGCAAGTCACAAAAACTTTTTCAGGCTGAAGTTCCTCCTCAGTAAAACAGGAACCAATATTTACCTTTTGGGATGGTTGGGAGGAGTCAAGGAGCTAATGCCTGCAGGTGCCTGGTCCCCTGTAAAGCCTCAATAATGGTGATTCTTACGACAATGAATAATAATGCAACGTTAATATTTGTAGTATTATCATTGTAGTAATTATCCTTATTACTGTATGTGTGTATATATACAAATACATATATATATGTAGCTTTTGAGACAGAGTTTCTGTCGCCCAGGCTGGAGTGCAGTGGCGTGAGGTTGGCTCATTGAAACCTCTCCCTCCCAGGTTCAAGCGATTCTCATGCCTTAGTCTCCCGAGTAGCTAGGATTACAGGCACACATGTGATTTTTGCATTTTTAGTAGAGGCAGGGTTTCGCCAGGTTGGCTGGCCTGGTCTCGAACTCCTGACCTCAAGTGATCCGCCTACCTCAGCCTCCCAAAGTGCTGGGATTACAGGCGTATAAATACCATTATTATTGATAATTACATTGATTGTGTTGTAGTTGATGTATATCTGATACGTGTTTTATATATGATATATAGTAAGTCTTGTATATATATTTCATACATATTAATATATTATTAAATAATAATTATAAAAATAATGAATATTTTATATAAGTAACTATTATGATTTGGGTAATTAATAACCTTCACTGGAGGGATGAGAAGTTTTACTACTGAGGGTCTGGTTTGATTTCCCTTTCCCACTTAAATCGGTGCTTAGGGGTGCTAGAACCAAATGGATTATTGGAGACCCAGGGGTTTGGGTCCCTGGCCTGTATGAGATAGAGTGGAGAGCAGTTCGAGAAGTAGAGAGGCTGCTGGCTCAGATGTGTGACCTTGGCTCGAATGTGTGACATTGGACACGTCACCTCCCCTCTCTGCACCTCAGTCTCCCCATCTGGGAAGGGGTATGGTCGTCATTGTTGTGATCTATCCTAACCCTCTCTGGGGGGCGGCAGCTGGGGATGGGCTGGGGTATGAAGGAATGCCTTTCCCTCCGCAGGAATCGGGGCTGTCTGTATGGATTGGTGGGCAGCTGCACCCCCTGGAGAATGTGCCCCCCGCCCTGGCTGTGCTGCTCATCACTGTGGTCATCGCCTTCTTCACTGAGTTTGCCAGCAACACGGCGACCATCATCATCTTCCTGCCGGTCCTGGCAGAGCTGGTGAGGGTCCTTCTGGGGAAGAGGGGAGCACCCCTCCCCCAACACACATTCAGAAATCTTCCCCCGCCAAGGGACCTTCACTGGGGGCCACAGTTGCCATTGCTGTCTTCCAAAATACATGAACGTATCAGAACCACAGTACAATTTTTTTAAATACTGGATGTTTTCCTTCAAAAAATGTATACATAGAGTAAATATTTTCAAAGTGCTCCCAATTCTCTCTTCTGGGAAAATTAACCCATGGTGACATGGAGAGTTTTCTAGAACAGGTAAATTACCAATTTTGGATGAAGAAGAAGTAGAAAATCTGAGTAAACAAATGGCCATAGGAGAAATTCTAATGGAAGCAAAGCAGTAGCCTCCCTCTAAAGCAGGGGTTTCAACACTGTTGATAGTTGGGGCTGGATCATTCTCTGTATGGGGCTGATCCGTGCACTACAGGGTGTGTAGTGGCATCCCTGGGCTCTGCTCACTAGAGACAAGTGGCGCCTCCCTAAATCATGACAATCCAAATGTCTCCTAGCATTCCCAAATATCCCCGTCAGGGGAACAAATCCTTCCCCCTACCCAGCTGATGACTCCTGGGCTAAAAATCACCAGCCCCAGGCCGGGCTCTGCCACTCATGCCTGTAATCCCAGCACTTTTGGAGGCTGAAGCAGGCAGATTGCTTGAGCTCAGGAGTTTCAGACTAGCCTGGGCAACATGGTGAGACCCCATCTCTGCAAAAAATACAAAAAGTAGCCAGGCTTAGTGGCAGGTGCCTGGGCAACAGACCCAGATCCAGATCCTGTCTCAAAACAAAAACAAAAACAAAATCACCAGCCCCAGGTGGTTTGCTGGGTGAGAGCTAGCAGATTTGCAAGGAACAGAGAGTTCCCAACTCACCCAAACTGTTCACCAGCATAGAAAAATAGACATGGCCACTCAATTTATAGCTAGCAAAACCCTGGCCCCAAAACCAGGTAAGGAGAGCAAGGGAAGAGAAAGCTATAATTCAATCTCCTGTAAAAAGAAATGCAAATAGCAAAATGAAACCATGACAGAATGAAAAGAACAATATACACATGATCAGGTAGCTTTTATACTAGGAGTTTTAAAAAGGAAACTATCAATATAGTTTTATATTTAAACAGATTAAAGACCAGACCATGTAATTACCTTAATGTAACCCACGCTGATAAAATTAAATCAATGATGCAAGTAAATGCTTTGTATGCAAACAGTGATGCCCCAGCACACATACCTGCAGCACCTTGTCTTTGGTTTCTGTCTGCTTATTTTATGCATCAATTTATCTGTGTTAGCACACAGATATACACTGTGTTATTTTTCAATGACGGGAGAATATTCCATTATAAATGGACAGTTGTTGGTTTATTTAAGCAATCTCTCTGCCCAATGGAAATATAGGTATTTCCAGACTTTGCTGTTACTCAACAATGACGTGTCACCTGAGCCTTGTCTATGCATTCATTGATTACATCTAGAGAAATTCCTGTGACTGAGATTCCTGGGTCAAAGAGCATGTACGTTTAAAATGTCGTTAGAGATGAGGAAATTGCCCTCCAAAGTGGCTCACCATTTTATAGCAGTATGGGGTGGGAGTCCTCAGAGGGACCTGGTCACTGAGAGAAATGAGAGTATTATAGGGGGTATGGGGACGGAGACGGAGCATAGAACCCAGCCAGGTCTGTAAGGGGCAGCTTTTGCTGGAAAAGACACTTGTAAATGACACATTCTTGTAAACTTTGCTTATCATCAAAATCAAAAAACATTTTACATGCAAGGGGGTGATTTTAGAGCTTTTTGAGAAAATAAATATGCTTTGGGTTGCAAAAATTCCCTAGAAGGCCCAAAAATATCCTATTTAAGTAAAACGCCATAAAAGTGATCAGTATGAATTGTAGGCAGGAGAGGTGACAAACTGGTGGCCCACTAGCTGAGGCCAGCTCATAGGGGGGTTTGATACACACAGTCTTAGAAATTTGGAAGAGCTGCCAACAGATGCTCTCATGAGCTCTCTTTCTCACTGAAATCCAGGGATGCCCCCAACAAGAGGTATCCAGAGGCCAACTCTGGGTTGAGATTGTTTGGCTGAGGGAAGGAGCAGGCAGAGGAAGTATTTTAAAGCCCTGGTTCTCAGTGTACAGTCCTTAGACCAGCAGCACCGGGGGAACACGTCAGGAATGCAGATTCTTGGATCCCACCCCAGACTTGCTGAATCAGCAATTCTGGGTGAGGTGGGGCCAGCCATGTGGGCTTTAACCAGCCCTCCAAGTGCTTTTCTGCACTCTCACATTGGAGAAGGAGTGTTCTAGGTACACCACCCCAGCCCATCCCTGATCAAACCACAGTGTGGCCCTTGAATGTCACTAACCCTGGGAATGTTCTCTCCACCTCTCTCTCGATCTGGTTCTCTTCTTACCTGCTTGTCTCTGTTTCTGCCTGTGCATGTGTCTTTCTGACTGCCTTTCTCTCTCTGTCTCTCTAACTCTCTCTTCTCACTTGTCCCTGTTGTTCTCTGCCACTCTGCCAATCTCTATGGATGTCTTTGTCTCTCTGTCTCTACGTCTTTGTGTCCCTCTTTCCAACTGCCTCTCTCTCTCTCTCTCCCTCTTGCTGTGGTCGCTCTGCGTTGGTCTCTCTCCGGGTCTCTCCCACCTTTTCCTGGCCCAGGCCATCCGCCTGAGAGTGCACCCCCTGTATCTGATGATTCCGGGCACAGTCGGCTGCTCCTTTGCCTTCATGCTCCCGGTCTCAACGCCCCCCAACTCCATCGCCTTCGCCTCTGGACACTTGCTGGTCAAAGACATGGTGAGTCTGGGCATTTCCCAGCAGAGGCCCCGGGATGTGGGTGGGCCGCAAGGGGGCGGGCAAGGCCTCTATGCAGGACTCCTGCACGCTGACCCCACTCCCCAGTCTCTGAATAGATCTTTCTGAGTGGGACCAGGAACATACATTTAGCAGAGACTCTGGGATGATTCCTGCACTTAGACAATCTCAGGAAACACTGCCTTAGTGACTACTTTCCAAAATTTGCTCCAGAGGCAAGGAACTTCCCCTTCCCTCTGGACCCCACTTCGTGCCCAGAATCTTCGGGGGAGAGAAGCAGCAGACACACCCTAGGACTCAGGGGTGGGCCTCAGTGCTCAGCCAGCTGGGAAGGAGACAGAAGCGGAGGACTGTAGCAGTGGGAGGACCCCACCAGCTTTCAGCAGGGCCCAGCCATTGGCAATATGTTCCCTCCCCCGGAAGGTCCCTGCTGAACCAGCTCCTCCCTTCCCGCTCCTGACTCCTGCGGCCTTTTCCCTCTCCACTGGCTTTGCAAATAACCCTTCCAAAGCTGTCAAAGCCAAGACGGGCGACCTGCTTAACCAATCGCGATGCAGGCCCTCCAGGCACAAGACCCCTGCAGGACACATGGGGAGAGAGAGCGAGAGTGAGAGCGAGGCAGAAAGGGAGACACAGAGCAAACAGAGAAGAGACGAGACAGAGACTCATTGATTTGTTCGTTCATTACAGCACTATTTACTGAGTGCATTCTATGTTCCAGCCACTGGGGGCACTGCAGAGTGGGAGAGACACCGATCCGCCTCCTAGGAGGCTGCTTTCTATTGGTGGAGACAGACGTGAACAAGTTCAGCAGATTTTCCTAAATTATGTAAAATTTCAATATTGCTAGGTGCTCAGAAGGAAATAAAACATGAGGAAGTGTAAGAGGACGGGGGAGAGGGGTGGCAGGGAAGCCCTCTCCAGGAAGGTGACATGGGAGCTGATGATCATGGGAAGCCGCCAGCCTCACAGAGAAAAAGGGGAAGAGCAGTCCCAATGGAGGGCACAGCAGGTACAAAGGCCTGGAAGAGAGGAATAGCAGCGAGTGCTCCAGAAATTCAGGGCCAGGAGGCTGGGGTGGCTGCAGTGGAGTTGGAGAAGGATGAGGTTGGAGACACGAGGTCAGGGAACAGCGGGGACAGGACAGACTTGGTATCTTATTCAAACCACAGTGGGGACCCTCGGTAAGCAGGGCAATGATGTGATTTCACTTCTGTCTGTAGAAGATCATTTTGGCTGCTGGCTGGAGTGAATCGTTAGGGTGGGAGGGACAAGTGTGGAAGCAGGGAGGCTACTTAGAGAAAAAGACTGAGAGGGCAGCAATGCAAACAGCATAGATTTGGAGAATAAAGACAGCCAGAGAAATGGAGAGTCCCCAAGAGGTAGAGACTTGCAAGAGATGTGGAGGGGTACAAGGGGCACCCCCGGTCAGCCAGTCCCGGGCAGGGATGGCCCACCTGCAGGTTCGCTCCTGAGAGTAATGAGTTAGGTGTTAATGAAGTAGCTAACATGGGACCAGCAGGAATTTTGAGCCCTGGCAAAGGGAGACCCAATCCTCCCCCAGTTTCCCCAACATGTCGGCCCGACTCCCTCTAATCCTCCGAAGGTGCCAGGGCTTCCACCTCTGTGCCCTTAGAAGAGAGGCAGGACAGCACACGCAGTATGTCCCCCACCCGTCCGTGGTAATATTTATTTAACACCTTTACTAAATCAGCTTGACATTAAAAAAAAAAAACAAAAAAAAACTTGAATAAGAATATTCCAGAAGAAATGTTTCCAGTGCATCCATCAATGGAAAACCGGTATTATTAATATATGCCATGGCCAGTAAACCTAAAAATAAATGCAAAGCGGCAAAAACAAAAGAATTAAGCTCTCCCTGATAGCAGCTGCCTGGAGAAGGTTCTGGGCCTCTCCTTGTTAAAAGGGCAACTGACAGGAGCAGAGAAGTGCTGAAGCCATGGTGGCCCCTGTGAACCCCAAAAATCTGAGACAGGTCTCAGTAAATTTAGGAAGTTTATTTTGCCTAAGTTAAGGACATACGCCTGTGACACAGCTTCAGGAGGTCCTGACGACATGCACCCAAGGTGGGTGGAGCACAGCTTGATTTTATACATTTTAGGGAGGCATGAGACATCAATCAACATATGTAAGATGAACATTGGTTTGGTCCGGAAAGGCGGGACAACTCAAAGAGGGCAGGGGGCTACCAGGTCATAGGTATATAAGAGACAAATGGTTGCATTATTTTGAGTCTCTGATGAGCCTTTCCAAAGAAGGCAATCAGATATGCATTCAACTCAGTGAGCAGAGGGATGACTGAATAGAATGGGAGACAGGTTGGCCCTAAGTAGTTCCCAGTTTGACTTTTCTCTTTAGCTTAGTAATTTGGGGGCCCCAAGATTTATTTTCCTATCACACCCCTAAGAGAGACTTTCTCTGGGAGGAATAGACAGAAAGAGAATTAGAAAGGAAGTAACTGTCTCACCATGTGATTCAGCCTGGGCTATGTGAAGGCGGGGCAGCCAGAAGACCCAGGTGGGAAAACAAGGATTTTCAGCCCAAGGTGGACTGAATGGTCCAAGAGGCCAGCCAGGGTAGGGAGCAGATGGGCACATTCTCCACCGACAGAAGAAAAATGCTTCCCAATGGACAAGGGTAGTCTTGACTAGGACTACCTGACTGGACTGGACCTGAAGTGTGTGTGTGTACCTATGTGTACATATGTGTGTTCCTACATGCATGCGTGTGTGTGTGCATGCGTGTGTGTATATGTGTGTGGGATGGGGGTGTTTAGTGATCAGACAAGATTATTTTCAAGTTAGGTGACCTTGGACAAGTCAACTTCTCTAGGTCTCATTTTTCTCTTCTATAAAATGGGGATTAATAAGAATGACCTTTGTAAGGTTGCTTTCTGGGTTAAACAGCATAACCCTGTGACAACTGCGTAGCACACAGTGCCTGGAACCTAGAGGCCATCAATGAATGGGGACACTTGCAGCTCTTTGAGTGACAGCCTAGGGTAGTGTAAAGATTGAAGGGTCCCAGGCATTTACCGACCTGGGTCTGTGTCCTGGCTCCATCACTTCCTGGCTGTGCGATCTTGGGTGAGTGACTTCCTGTCTCTGAGTCTGAATGTTTCCATCTGTATGGTGGGTCAGGTGCTGACCCCTCCCTCTGTCTGGGCTCTATTTCAGGTGCGGACAGGCCTCCTGATGAACCTGATGGGTGTCCTGCTGCTCAGTTTGGCTATGAATACCTGGGCACAGACCATCTTCCAGCTGGGCACCTTCCCGGACTGGGCTGATATGTACTCGGTCAATGTCACAGCATTGCCACCCACCTTGGCCAATGACACATTTCGGACCCTCTGAGTCCCCCTGGAGGACTCCCTTGAGGCTGAACCCTCTCAAAGGGCTGTCACCATCACCTGCTGCTAGGACACTACAAAACAATCAAATAATTCTTTTCTGTAATCCAATATGCAGCAAGCAAGGGTGACCTCCAGTGGCCCACTCAAGTCCATGAGCCATTATCTAGGATACTTTCTCTCTCTTTCATGCAGTTCAAAGCCCAGGTATCTCTCAGATCTGCTGCCTGAGAAATAAGCTCCTTTATCAGTTAGCTGTTTTATCATTAGGATACAAGACAGCCCAGTGTCATCAACAGTGAGCAAATCTGGCATGGTGTTTGTCTCGTACAGTTGGGATAGGAGGCCATTCATTCCCATGGGCACAGCTAACATTATCCCCCAGTGATTACTTTCGATTACACTGAAGAGACCACCTTGTCTTTAAAGATCACTTTCCTGGGCTGCAATGTTCCAACCCAGTTGTTCCAGCTGTTCACAACCAGTGTGTGATTTTGCTTAGTTGGTGCCCATTCTGCACCAGTTGTTTTACCCCTGCCGATAACCAGCAGTCAGAGATTCTTTTTTAATCCTTGGAGACAGGGAAAGGGACAGATAGCTTTCCAAGGACATGAGACTGTGCAAAGCCTCTTTGCTGTTTCTCTGGGCTCCTGAGCATACCAGGGGAAGTTCTAGAAACCGCAGCTGACATCTCGACCCAAGAGATTTAGGATTCTCCTGTTTCATCTGGGTCAGTTTGGCCATAATTCTGGGGTCAGGCCAGGCCTGGGTCCTGCCCTCCCATGGGGTGACTCATGACCCCTCCAGCCAGGACTCTCCTACATGTGGCCCCCATAGGCCTCTGTGGCTGCAAGGCGGTCAGTTGCTGCTTGTCCCAGCAGGTGGCCTTGATCTCTCCATGCCCCACCTTAAGTGGTAAGCATGTTTAATTATCAAAGGCCCCATTTGTCAGGGGTGAGAGAAAAGTCAAAAGATAAATTGGGGCCTTGTAAAAGGCCAGGGTAAAATGTCTCAGGCAAGCAAAAGATTGTCCCCTTCTGCATATGGGTAAAACTGAGACGTCCCCGTGAGCCCGAGGCTGGAAGTGGTGTCTGCCTTCAAGGGTTAATCCCTCTTTGTTCCAAGCAGAAGCATTCTGGCATCCCAGTGAAGAGCTCAGGCCCTCAGGAAGTGTCTGCTGAATGGAATGGCCCAGCATTAGCCCAGTATTGGAAAAGACACCAGCCCAGGGGCCCTGACTCGTCACACTTCCCTTTCCTAAGCCTCTGAGGGTGGAGATTCCCCTAGGAGCGCTTGGCCAGCTGGGAAGGCAGCGCCCAGCTGCACTTGTTGTTGATACAGCATAAGTGAATCATGGGCATTTCCCTGAGAGCAGTGGGAGAGGCCCTCTGAGTTGGAAGTTGAGCTCCACCTCCTTTCCAAGTGAGCACTCAGTGTTGAATCACAGTTACAACCCACTGGGGCTGGTGGGAGATGCGTTGTATGGGACTGGAAGCAAGAGGTTCATTCAAAGAGAAACTCATGGGATTTGTAACCAGATGAATCATGATTTCTAAGACTTCTGATCAAAAATACTGTGAAATAAAGAATGTTAATCAACTTTGGACCTGGAGATGATTTGCCTTTCTGAACATAAGAGAGCTTCAAAGCCCCAAATTCCTGGGCTGGGGATTCCACAGAGTTGACCTCTCTGATTTTCTACTGCTCTTCCCTCCCCTCTCCAGCTACATACTCTGCCTCAGGGCCTTCGCATGTGCTGTTCCCTCTGCCTAGAACACTCTCTCCCAAGTATATGTCTGGTTCCCCGACTCACTTTATTCAAGTCCCTGCTCAGGTGTCACCTTCCCTGAGAGGCTTCCCTGACCTCCTGTCTAAAATGTCACCCTCATTACTCTCCACCCCCTTACTCTGCTATAATTTCTCCTTAATAGGACACTGTATAACTTATTTTCTTATTATCTTCTTCTCCCTCTAGAATATAAATTTATGAAAATACAAATGTTATTTTTTTTACTGCTGTAACTCCAGTTCCTAGAACAATTTCCAGCACATAGCAAGTGTTCAGTAAATATTTGCTGCTTGAATCTGCTCCAGAATTAACAAGAAAGCCATCTCTTCCTCTGATCTGGGGTCTGTTTTGTTCATTACTTTGTTCACTCCTTCTTCCATTTATTCATTCAATAAACATTTATTGGGAACCTGTCATGTTCTGGTTCATTGTCCCGCCCACATGGAACTTACAAGCTGGCAGGGGAGACAGGCAATAGAAACATAAACAAGTCATGTGTCATGATGCCGGCTAAGAAGAAAATGACCAAGATGTTAAACTGACTCAGAGGCTACTTTAGCCAGGGTGGACGGAGAGGACTTCTCTGAGCAGGTGGCACTAGATTGAGACCTGAAGGAGTCAGCCAGATGCTCATGGCAATGTGGGAGGAAGGGAGAAGGTGGGAGCGATGGGGAGTCTCTGGGGAGAACATTCCAGGCAAGGGGACTGCAAGTGCAGAGTTTCAGATGAGCAGATTGCTTCACTTAGTTGGGTGCTCTGAGCTGGAACTTTGTGGCATTTGGAAATCTAGAGTCTGCCTCTTCTGGCTGGTTACCAGGTGTCTCTGCAGCTTTCCTGAGAAGGCATTCTAGCTTGCTCTGACCGGATGTTACTCAGTCCTTGAAGCCTGAAGGGCTTTGCCATTCTTAGTGAAAAAGATCTGCAGGCAGAAGGCGGCAGCACCATTACGGTACGCTCATGGCAGCATAGGAACAAGGAGATGGCAGGGCTGGTACAGAGTCATTGGAATACACCAAGGGCTCATGTCCAGAAGATATGAGAAGCACCCCAACTCAGAAAAGACAAGACAAACAAAACCAAACCAAACCTTGTTTTTGTTACCTGTGGCCACATAACAAGCCATCCTCAAACTTAGAACTTTGAAACAGCAATTTCTCGGCTCACGTTTCTGCATTTGGACAGAGCTCTGCAGGGATGGCATTGTCTCTGCCCCGTGAGCTGGGAGTTTTGCTAGGGCTGGAAGGTCTGCAATGGCCGCTGACACTTCAGGGTCTCTCTTCACGTAGCTTCTCCAGGAGTCTATCCTTGACCTCTTTACATGATAGTGGCCTTCAAGAGCAACAAAAACCGAAGCTAAAAGGCCTCTAAGGGCAGGATGTGGAAGTCTAAGAACGTCAATTCTGCCAAATTCTATTGGTCAAAGTAGCCCACAGGACTGGCCTGGTTCAAGGGGAAGGAAATAGACTCCAGCCCTTGATGGTAGGGGCGGCATCCACCAGGGACAGTGGGCTGCCGTGTTTGGAAGCCATTTACCATAGCCCCCAAGAAAAAAGTGGACAAAAGGTACGAAATGTCATCCTGAAAAGAGATATCTACATGGCCAACAGGATTATGAAGAGATACCCAAACCTATGTGTTTATAATTTGCAGGGAAATGCAAATTAAAATAAATTCAACAACATGCCAATCAGACTGGGAAAAATAAGAAAAGTGGACAATAAGTCCTGGTAGGATATAAGGAAACAGAAATCCTGTCAGCCCGGCCAGCATCTTGGCAGTAATTAGGGGTATTCATTATCTGTATTTCCTATGACCCAGAAAACTACCTCATGGGTCCTAAGGAGACAGTGTCAAAGGATATTTGTGCCACGGTTGTTTGAGGCCACCTAGGTGATCATCACCGGGAGAGTATTGAAATAAAATATAAAGGAAATCCACCAAGGAAAACACAGGAACACACAGAAGTGATGAACTACAGGTACACATAGTGACAGATTACACACAGACATATTCCAATATGAGTGCCAAACAGATATAGAGTCAAGTAGGTGGAGAAATAGAGGTGGTGATGGTATCGTAAAAAGGAGAAGAAATAAAAATCACTAAACAAGGAGTTCAATAAGCCTCATTGGAATCCTGGCTCCATCTCTAACATGCTGTGTGACCTTGAGCAGATCTCTTTACTATTTTTTTTTTTGAGACTGGATCTTGCTCTGTAGCCCAGGCTGGAGTGTGGGGTGCAATTATAGCTCACCGTAACCTTGAACTCCTGGGCTCAAGTGATCCTCCCACCTTAGCCTACTGAGTAAAAAGGACTACAGGTGTGCACCACCATACCTGGCTTATTTTCTAATTTTTTTTGCGCAGACAGGGTCTTGCTATGTTGCCTAGGCTGGTCTCAAACTCCTGGCCTCAAGCAGTCCTCCTGCTTTTGCCTCCCAAAGCACAGGGATTATAGGCACGAGCCACTGCACCTGGCCTACTATTTTGGATTTCGATTTTTTCATCTGAGAAATGAGAGCACGTAGGTGGGGTCTCAAGAGGAAATAGAAAGTATACAAACTAGCTAATTTGTAGAGAGTTTAGTAAAAGGTCAAGTTACAAGGTCAGCAGAGAGTAGGGGGACCACAGGAAAATTGTGGGACCCCAGTGCTGAGAAATCAGGGAGTGAAGAGTAGAGGAGCACCTCCCAGCCCAAGGCCTCAAGGGAGCAAGCTTCCTGATGGGATCTGGGTCCAGGGATGCAGCTGGCTCTTGGTGACTGCAGGAAGGAGGGGGCTCTTCCTCTCCTCTATCCCTCAGCTCTCCTTCTGGGGAGTCAGGGCTCCCTAGAGAAACCAACAAACAGGGTGTGTGTGTGTGTGTGTGTGTGTGTGTGTGTGTGTGTGTGTGTGTGTGTGTCTTATCAAGACAGAAGGAGAAAGATTTCTTTTAGGAATTGGCTCACACCATTGTGGAGGCTTAGCAAGTCCAAAATCTGATGGGGAGACCAGGAGGCTGGAGAGCCAAGAAAGTGCTGCAGTTGGAACCTGAAGGCTATCTGCTGCAGAGCGTCCTCTTGCTCAGGAAGGGTCAGTCTGTTGCAATATTCAGGCCTCCCACTGATGGATGAGACCCATTCACATTCTGAAGGGTGATCCACCCTACTCAAAACCCACTTATTCAAATGTTAATCTCATCTCAAAACATACTCACGGAAACATCAAGAGTGATGCATAGCTAAATCCCTGGGCACCATGGCTCAGCCAAGTTGACACATGAAATTTTATGTGTTGCACCAACACCAGCCAGAATGCAAGGAGGGCTTTGATGCAGCCTGTCCAGGTCCACCTCCCGGGTGCAGGGCAGGGAGGAGGAGCATGGGGAGGGGTCTGGAGAAACAAGCTTTGAGAAGAGTAAGGCACAAAGGGTTGACACATCAGAGCTTGCAATCTGGTGCCAGCCCTCAGCCAGGTTTTGTTTGTCCTCTCCCCAATGAGTTTGGTTTTTTAAGTTTAGTTTTTTTGAGACAGGGTCTCGCTTTGTGGCCCAGGCTGGAGTGCACTGGCCTGGTGTGATCTCAGCTCACTGCAACCTCCATGTCCCAGGCTCAGGTGATCCTCCCACCTCAGCCTCTGGAGTAGCTGGAAGTGCACAACATCACTATCATGCCCACCTAATTTTTCTATTTTTAGTAGAGTCGGGGTTTTTCCATTTGCCCAGGCTGATCTTAGACTCCTGAGCCTCAAGTGATCCACCTGCCTCGGCCTCCCAAAGTGCTGATATTACAAGCGTGAGCCACTGTGCCAGACCCCTGATGAATTTTAAATTATTATTTGCTAGTCATTAAAATTCAGGAGATTTCACATAAAAATCTGGATTTCTGCTTCTCTTGGAAAGGAAAATACCAGATCTAGCAATATGAGACCCTCTTTGGCATCTGGCAACAATTGTTTGGAGCTGAGTAGTATGTGGAGGAAATCATAAGTTGGAACGTAAACATTAATTAGCCTCAGTCCCCACCACTCTTTAATGACTTACACTGGCTCTCCTCTGTCAACTCTGTCACTTTCCTGGCTTGTGAAAGCATTTGAATCTATGACCCTTGAATTGCATGATCTGGGAGGTCCATTTCAGCATTAGCGGTCACGGGTTCTAATGGCCTAGAGCAGCACTACCCACTGACCTTTCTGTAATGATGGAAATGGTCTATAGCTGCCCTGTGTGACACAGTAGCCACTTGCTATGTGTGGCTACTGAACATTTGTAATGTGGCTAGTTCAAATTGAGATTTGTTATAAGTAGAAAATTGTAATATGAGAAAATAAATGTAAAACATCCTGTCAATTTTTTATATTATTTACATGTTAAAAGGATATTTGTGATATGTTACATTGACTAAAATATTTTATTAAAATTGATTTCTGTTTTTAAAAATTCGATTTTTTAAATTTAAAAAATGTTATATATCAACTTGACTGGGCCATAGTGCCCAGATATTTGGTCAAGCATTATTCTGGATATTTCTGTGAGGGTGTTTTTAGATGAGACTAACATTTGAATCAGTGGACTTTGAGTAGGGTTACCAGAAAAGTTTAAATTATGCATACGGTTCGAGTTGGTGGCTCACATACTGTTGCTATTGGATAGCACCAGCAATATAGGAAGATTTTGGCTGCTTCTCTGTATTCTCAAACTATCTGGACAGTGGCAACGTTGAAGAAGGCTAAAGAATTCAGTGACTCTAATTATTCTGTGCAGCTGGGCACAGTAGCTCACGCCTGTAATCCCAGCGCTTTGGGAGGCTGAGGTGGGCAGATTACTTGAGCCTAGGAGTTTGAGACCATCCTGGGCAACAAGGCAAAAGTCCATCTCTACTGAAAATAATACTCTATGGGTCTCTGATTCTGATCCCAGACCAGGCTCTCCAGGAAGATCTGAAGGCTTACCTCTTCCTCTTCCTCTTCTGTCTTATGGCTCTGAATCCTCCACCCACAAATTCCCCTCAACAAAGCTGATTCTATTTTTGATGATTCAGAAGCCCCTTCCGGATGTTGTGGGCCTTGAGGTCAGGCCAGCCTTATATAGACAGAGGTAACTGCCTACATGTACCGAGAAAAGCCAAAAATATATTTTGCCTGTTCACTCCCTATGCCCCCATGCTCCCAAATCTTACATATCCACCAGAGGCCTTCCGGAAACAAACTGCCTGGTCCTTATCCAACCAGCTCCCTAGTGCCTGTGCAGAAACTGGGCAAATGCTGGTGGCTGGCTTCTAGGACTCTTTCTGTCTGACCAGCACAATGCCCTGAAGTTTGCTATGTGATGGGATCCAGGCCAGGGTGGCCTGGTGAGCATCAGAAGTCTCAACAATCAGATGTGAGCAGACAGGGGCTCACTTGGCAGAACTGTCATCCCAGGTAGGAGGAAACAGGGCATGAGCATTTACCTATTGTTTACTGAACACTCTATATGCATTATCTCATTGAATCCTCAAACAGTCCTTAAAGTAGGTACTGTATTACCCTCATTATAGCAGAGGATGCACAACTTCAGAGAGGGACAGTGTCTTGCCCAAGGTCACACAGCACAGTAAGTGGTAAAGCTGGCATTTGAGTTCAGGTCTGCTGCCTCCAGTCCAGGGCCCCTGCAGTTTGGGGGGAATAGCTAGACATCTCCTTGCAGCCAGACAGCTAACAGCAGGCCTGACTAAGGCCTCCTGCGGAAGGTGAAAATTGATGCTCCTCATGCTGGCTTTGGCCCATAGACCTGTTAAGATTGGTCTGCATGGTAGTCTTTCATTTAAAAAAAAAAAAGCTGACATTTACATTAAAAAGAGAATGACTGGCGTCTTTAGAAAAGCTGGAAAATCTGGTCATGGTGGGCCTCGTTTTCAAGGGGCTTTGACCCTCAACTGGAGATGAATAACAGCTGACCAGACAGGAGGGAGTGGGGGGGGCTACACTTTGTAGCTCACTGCTATTTGCATTCATCCTGCTTTGTTCATGAGCTAAGCAGCGTGGCCCCTGTGGGTACACAAGTTTGCTGCTGCTAGTCTGCCTCATGTACTTAGTTCTTTGCAGACCTGGTAGCTGGCCTAACATCCTGCAGGGGTGCACTGTCTGGGAAGTGTGTTAGGCCCTCTGAGGGTTCTGGCCACAGGTATTCCATTCAATCGCTGTGTAACTATAAGAACGTCACTTCCCCTATCCAGGCCGCAGGACATTCCCCTTCAGGCCTGAGAGTGACCCAGGCAACATGTCCTTATAAGGGAAAGTGGCTGTGCCCCTACTGGTCCATCCCACAGAGGGGGAGCCTGGGGGGCTCAGGGGAGGCCTGCTGGGAGTGATGGGGTACAGAGATGCTGGAGAGGTGTCTGCATTCCAGGTAGGAACTGGCTTTCAGGACAGCCTGAAAGCAGACCTGCAGGGCACTAACTGCAGAGGGTGTGCGTGGGGAATTTACATTATTGAGTACCTACTATTTGCAGTACCAGCTGTACTATGAAGTAATCACGAGGTCTGTGAATTATCCCCTCCACAGCAGCAGAGCCCAGTGGCTAACTGGTATACCCTGAAGCCAGCCCGCTGGTTAGAAATCACGGCAGTACCATTAATAGCTGAGTGGCGTGGTTGGCGACGTAGCTCTCTGAGTCTCAGTTTTCTGAGCTGAAGAATGAAAATAACATCTTTACCATAAAGGGATGTTCAAAGTAAGTGTTCAGTGAATTTGAAGAGAAATTGTTTAGAAGAATGCCTGATACATAGTAAGTGCTCAATAAATGTTAACTGTTATTTTCATTAACTATTTTTTTTTGAGACGGAGTCTCGCTCTGTGCCCAGGCTGGAGTGCAGTGACGTGATCTCAGCTCACTGCAACCTTGTCTCCTAGGTTCAAGTGATTCTCCTGCCTCAGCCTCCCGAGTATCTGGAACTACAGGTATGCACCACCACAAACCAGATAATTTTTGTATTTTTAGTAGAGACAGGGTTTCACCATGTTGGTCAGGCTGATCTCAAACTCCTGACCTCAGGTGATCCACCCCCCTCAGCCTCCCAGAGTGCTGGGATTACAGATGTGAGCCACTGTGCCCAGCCTCATTAAACTTTTTTTAAGGGGAGAAAACCAGCAGAGAGATATGAGGTCACCTGCCCAAGGTCTCATAGCTAGGGAGGGACAGAGCTGAGATTTGAAGCGAGGTACAAGTCAGGCTAAAGACAGGAAGGGGGCTGGGGAAGGAGACCAGAGCCACTGCTCCCAGTACTTGGCAGGGGTCTGATTATCACCTGTGAGTCCCAAGAGCAGGGATCAGGCTCCCCTTGGGGCACACAACTATGGAGTGGGAGGGAAAGGGAAGCTGTATGGTTTCTCTGTGCCTCAGTTTCCTTCTCTGTAAAATGGGGCTAATTCTACCTTCCTGCTACCAAGATTAGAGACATCGCTTGGAAAAGGCTGTCTTTTCCTCTTCCCACACCTTCCACCCGCTCTTGCTTGTGGGCAGAGGATGAGGCAGCTTGCCCAACCCTCTGGGAGGTGGGCCCCGAAAAGGGCGGGACAAGGCAGCCAGGAGAGCTTCATTAAAGAGTGGAAAAGCAGAAGTGGCAGGGATTCCCAAGTCCCAGCGATTCCCCCACTTCCTCTCCACCTGCCACAGCTGCCAGCGACCGCCCGCCTGAAACCACTGCCATTTGGACAGCATGCCAGGCCACCCAGGAGCAGCTGAGCAACTTGTCAAGACCGGGTAGGTCTGGGGACTTTGGACACTGAGGGCTACAGGTGAGAAAACAGTCAGCCATTGGGGGTGATGGATATGAACCCAAATCTTCAGCTCTGCCATTCCTTGGCTATGTGACCTTAGGCAAATCCTCAGTTCTCTGTGAGCCTCAGTTCCCCATCTGTGAAATGGAAGTAATAATGACATCTACAAGACTGTTGCCAGAATTGAATGAGAAAACACATGCTTAGTACTTGGCACCTGCTTGGCTCAGAGGAAGCACTCACTAAACAGCAGCTAGTTTCCTTGCCATTTTCAATACCCCGTGCAGGAATTGTCATCCAATATGACTTAGGACTGGCTTTCAATCCTTAAAATTGTTTTTATTATTAGCTATTATTCCAAAAGCTACTGTGTTCCAAATATTAATTATATAGTAGAAGGGGGTGTTTAGTCCCAAATTCAAATGCCTTCGGGAGCTGGGAAGGGGTTGCACCTGTGGAAGGCCACCTGGGTGTGCAGACGGACCCGTTCATTGATCAGCAGGATGCAGTCTGCAGGGCTGCTCCCCTGTCAAAGGTGGGTAGTGGATACTCAGCTCCAGCTACCTGTTGCAAAGGTGGGAGCTCTAACCCAGATCTTCTTATCTCTCAAGAAAAGCTGGAAACCCAGATTTTAATGTGAAACTTCCTTATTTCCAAATGGGGGCAGCTTACACACACACACACACACACAGAGTGGGCCACAATAAGGCACATTTGCATATGATTCAGCCTTTAGGGCTTCAAGGTTGTGACCTTCACTCCAGCCCCACAGGCCTCACTGCATCTCAGCTTCCCACTGTTCTGGTTCTCCCAACTCCCTATTTCCCGATGGTCAGAGCACAGGACCTTTGCACACGCTGTTCCTTCTGTCAGGGATGTCCAACTCCCTTCTTCACCCACAAACTGACACTTGTCCTTCCACCCCCAGCTGGAATGTCACCTCTTCCAGGGAGCCTTCCTGACTCCCAGGTAAAACTGGGTCACTCTCCATCTATCCCACCCCAGTCCAGGCCCAGGCATACTATGCTCAGAATTCTTTGTTAATGAACTTAAACTCTAATGGTCTATTTAAGTCTCCTCAATTAGACTGTGAACTCCTTTAGTGGGACCAGGACTTAATTCATCTTTGTGTCCACAGGGGTCAGCACAGAGCCTGGGCACAGAGGAGAC
Source organism: Homo sapiens (assembly GCF_000001405.40). NCBI lineage: Eukaryota > Metazoa > Chordata > Mammalia > Primates > Hominidae > Homo > Homo sapiens. Next base: position 46,549,329 of record NC_000020.11, on the reverse strand, counting down.
TCGAGTGAAACATTTACATCGTTGACATAAGTATCATCAGAGTAACAAGTGGTGCAGTTTTATAGGATCCCTCTTCTGTGCCAGACCCTGTGTAAACTTCTTTACATGGATTATTTCATTTTATTGTCCCAGAAGCCCTGTGACAAAGGTTTCTGTATTAGTCAGGACTCATTGAGTTGCAAGTGACAGATTGATCTTACACTGCCTGTAGAAAAACAGACATCTCCTAGTGTGTGGTCCGGCATAGATTTCGGCTTCAGGCATTTCTGGATCCAGGTCCTCCAACAAGGCCACTGGGACTCTCTGTCTGTTTCCTAACACTGTTTTCCTTGTGTTGCCTTCATCCCAGGCCGACTCATACTACATGGTGGTCCCCAAGGCTTGAGGCATCTTCCTACCAGCTTAGCTCTCAAGGCAACAAAGGGCAGTTTTTTTGTCGTTGCAGCAAAATCCTGAGGAAAGCTCTATTGGTCCATCTCCGGTCAGGTGCAATCCCTGCACCAGTCACGGTGGCCAGGGGATCAGAGGTACTTGGATCAACTAGACCCAGTCACATGCTTATCCTTCAAGCTGTTGATGGTGGAGCAAGTCAGCAGCTTTGCCTGTAACCAACACAGTGACAGCCTCCCCACCACCCTCCCTGCCCTTTATAACCATATTCCCGTATAACCTTTCTGCCTGCTCTCACTTAAGATAATGTATGATCTCCAACCTCAAGTGGGCCTCAGTGTTGCCCAGCACATATGTTATTGCCCCAGTTCGTTTGTTCTCCCACTTTCCTGGGCAACCATTTTGTACTTTCTTCTTCCTCTTCAAGCATCCATCACCTCCGCCAGCATCTTACCTTCTCTGCTGACCTTGCTTCCTGCCAACCTGAGCAAACAGAAGCAATCGGTCATGCTACTCTTAATGAATAGTTTTGGAGCACTCACAACATGGCAGACACTATTGTAGGCACTTGGGACATATCAGTGACCAAAACGGACAAAGTCCCTGCTCCGGTGGAGTTGACTCTAGTGGTAGGTAATAGCTGATGTGATACTTACCATGTGCCAGAAACAAAGTGACCCCAGGAGGTGCATACTTTTATTGCACCATTTTACAGATGAGACAGCTGAGACACAGAAAGGTTGTGATATGTACCCAAGTTCACATAGCTGGCAAGTGGTGGAGCAGAAATTTGAGCCCAGGCAGTCCAGAGGTCATGCCCTTAACATTACTCTGCTCTGCGTATATCAGAGGATACTTTTCACAGGTGCATACACGCTGCCTGTTCATTCGCCATCATCTGTACCTATTTCCTCTGCTTTCCCACCTGCTATTAAGGATGAACGACCCCTGCTCTATTCTAAGACCAGCCCCACCTTGCATGTTCTCAGTCTCACTCTCTGCCTCCACCCCTACAGGTGTCACTCCAGGGAGTCTCCCCTTTGTCAATGTCTCCCCTCTCGATGAGATCTCCCACCTGCAAACATGCTATAGATTTCCTCCCTTTACATGAATTCTCTTGGTCCAATTTCCCATAGCTACCAGCCACTGCTTCATCTCCCTGCTGTTTTAGTGTAGAAATTACCGGAAAGAGTTGTCTGTATCTGTGTTTCCTATTCTTCTCCTTCCCGTCTCTCCTGGACCCAGTCTAGTTGGATTTTGGCCCCAAAAGCCACCGAACTCTCCCTGCCAAGGTCAACAGTGACCTCTAAGCGGCTAATAGGCATTGCTCAGTCCTCATCATTCTTGACCTGTTGGCTGCATTTGACGTACTTGATCACTCCTTTCTCCTTGAAACATTTTGTTTATTTGGCTTCCTAAGCACCACATTGGTTTCTCAGTCTCTTTTGCTGGTTCCTCCTTATCTAAGAGCCCCTAACCTTGGAGCGCCTTGAGGCATGTCCTTGGATGTCTTTCCTCCCCAGTGACACACTCTCTTGAGGAATCTCATGGTGCACATGGCTTTAGGTAGGGATATAAAGTTGGGAGACATCTAATAATCAGACTCCCAATGTTATAACTCCAGCCTGACCTCCCCTCTGAATTCCTGACTTCTATTTCCAACCACGTCGTCAAAAGCTCCACGGAATGGCTCAACTGAATCTCAAATTTAAGAGTTCTGAACTGAATTCCTCCTCTCTCCCCCTCCACTCAAACCTGTTTTGACCACAGAGTTCTCATCTCAGGAAATGACACCTTGGTGCTTCCAGTTGCTCAGACACAAAAGCACCTCGTCATCCTTGACTCCCCTCTTTCTCTCACACCCCACAACCAATCAGCCTCTGCAAATCTTGTTGACTCTGCCAACAAAATGTGTTCAGAATCCAAGCTTTCCTTACTACTCCTCTGCCATCGCTCTTAACATAGTGCAAGCCCCACGAAGGTAGGGACTTCTGTTTTTTTCATTCCTGTTTCTCCAATGGTTAACACAAAGTCGTTGCTTGATAAACACTTGTTGAATGAATAAATATAAGGATGATAGAATATAAAAGTCCCTCACAGGCCAACTAGTTCACCCTCCTCACCCCTAAATTATAGAGGAGACCCTGAAGTTCAGAAAGAATAGAAGGTCCAGAATCATACAGCAAGCCACCAAGACTATTAATTCAAGTGAAATCGTTTCTCTTCTTCTCTCTCCTCTTACTCATTCTCTCTCTTTCACCTGTGCTTCTCGCTCCATGACTCTTTCATTCTCTTGGGCCAGTTGCCTTCACAAAACTGTAATAATGGACTCAAACAGGGCAGACTTTCATCCTCACATCCTCAGGTACTGCATGGGAATTGGGCTCTTCCCTGACAGTTCCAGCGAGAGTAATCCTGGGGAAGGCTCTGATTGGTTCAGCTTGTGTCACGTGGGTATACAGTGACTTACTCTGATTGGTCCACCTGGGTAACTACAAGGGTGGAGTCTGTTAGCAGAGCCTGGTGATGGGTATGTGGGGCAGGGGCAGTGGACAGACACCCACCCACCCACCTCCTGATAGAGATGCCCTTCAATTTCCTTGTGTGCAGGTGGAGGTCCTGGCACTTGGGGTTCTGGAAGGCCCTTGCCCCACTGCAGGCTGCCTGGGACGCCTTCTCCCAGCCTGTTCCAGCCAGCTGTGGCCAGCTGCTGACCCAGCTCCTCCTGTGTGCCTCCCTGGCTGCTGCTGCTGCAGGTCTGGTTTATCACTGGCTGGCATCCTTGCTGCTTTATCCTCCTGGACCTTCAGCCATGGTTGCCACTGTCTGTGGCCTCCTGGTCTTCCTGAGCCTGGGCCTGGTACCCCCAGTCCGCTGCCTGTTTGCACTCAGCGTGCCCACCCTGGGTATGGAGCAGGGCCGCCGGCTGCTCCTGTCCTACAGCACTGCCACCCTGGCCATTGCTGTGGTGCCCAACGTCCTGGCCAACGTGGGTGCGGCCGGGCAGGTGCTGAGGTGTGTCACCGAGGGCTCCCTGGAGAGTCTCCTCAATACCACTCACCAGCTGCATGCAGCATCCAGGGCTCTGGGCCCCACAGGCCAGGCAGGCAGCCGGGGCCTGACATTTGAGGCCCAGGACAATGGCTCTGCCTTCTACCTTCACATGCTCAGGGTCACTCAGCAGGTCCTGGAGGATTTCTCTGGCCTGGAGTCCCTGGCCCGGGCAGCAGCGCTAGGGACCCAGCGAGTGGTCACAGGGCTGTTTATGTTGGGCCTCCTGGTGGAGTCGGCATGGTACCTCCATTGCTACCTGACAGACCTGCGGTTTGACAATATCTACGCCACTCAACAGCTGACCCAGCGGTTGGCACAGGCCCAGGCTACACACCTCCTGGCCCCTCCACCCACCTGGCTGCTCCAGGCGGCTCAGCTGAGGCTGTCACAGGAGGAGCTGTTGAGTTGTCTTCTAAGGCTGGGGCTGCTTGCCCTGCTCCTCGTGGCCACGGCTGTGGCGGTGGCCACAGACCATGTAGCCTTCCTCCTGGCACAGGCTACTGTGGACTGGGCTCAGAAGTTGCCAACTGTGCCCATCACGCTCACGGTCAAGTATGATGTAAGTGTGATGATGGGAAAAGGGAAGGGAGTCATTGTTTTGAGGGCAGGGGGAGAATCTGTTAAACCCTTGACTTGTGATGAAATTTGACTTGCCTCCAAGAAACAGCCCTTGAATCATCCATGGGGCCCCATACCATGGGCAGAGGGACTCATCGGATACCCACAACAGCTCTAGGAAGTGGTTTCTATTTTCACTTCCTATTGCAGTTGAGGATGCTGAAACCCAGACACCTTAAAATAACTTGCATCCAAGGTCACCCTTCACAAGTGGCAGCTTGTCCTAGCCTCATTTTCCACATTTGTACAAATTGAATCGATCCTCCTAATCCTAAAAGGCTATTGTGTCTTACAATGTGGTATTGTCTTAAAGTACCTAGTAAGCTCCATGGCACATAAGAGATTATTTAATAAAGAGTGGCTATTATTAATAGCTTACATCTGTCTATGTCAGACTGGAGGAGGACTTTGGAATGGCCTTGATCAGGAGGCATCCAACTATAGCCTTCAGGACAAATCCAATGGCTTCTTGGTTTTGTAAATAAAGCTTTTTTAGAACACAGCCATGCCATTTGTCAATATATTGTCTGTGGCTGCCCTACAAAGGCAAAGTTGAGTAATTGCAACAGAGACTGTATGTCCTGCAAAGCCTGAAATATTTGCTATTTTAATAGTGATATAGAAAATATTTACTATCGACTTATAATCGGATATATTACTATCAGATCAAGAGTTGTGTTTTTCGATCCTTTCTTTTGCCACGGATCTTTTTATTTTTAATTTTTAGTAGTGAGGTCTCACACAAAAGTCCATTGCATAAAACATATCAAAGTGTCAAACTTCGAGCTAATAATATTAACAGTTTATATTTATCAAGTACTTATTACATATTAAGAAAGTGCTTTTCAGACTGCACAAAATCAATTTAATCAATTTAAGGAGTCATAAATAGTGTTTTTAATGAAATAGAATCAACTGGAAAATTATAAGATTACATCTTAGGCAATAAGGGAGTGTATGGTTTTTGAATATTTTCTTCAATTACAAAACAATCTCTGCTTTGAAGGTACTGTAAAATGCATTTCTTTTCTTTCCTTTTTTGAGACAGGGTTTCACTCTGTTGCCCATGCCAGAATGCAGTGGTGCAGTGGTGCAATCACAGCTCACTGTAACCTTGACCTCCTGGCTCAAACGAGCCTCCCACTTCACCTACCTCTGCCTTCCAAGTAGCTGAGACTACAGGCATGCACCACCACCACCCAGTTAATTTTTAATATTTTTTTTAGAGATGGTGTCCCACTATGTGGCTCAGGCTGGTCTCAGACTCCTGGGCTCAAGCATTCCTCTCACCTCAGCCTCCCAAAGTGTTGGGATTACAGGCATAAGCCACCATGCCTGGCCTGTAAAATGCATTTCTTACCATAGGTCACAGTAAAGAAATGTGTCAGGCAATGTTCTAAGCATGTTCCCTGATTTACTCATTTTCACCAAATCTCAGATAGTCATCAATTGCAAGTCACACCATTACTTTATGTATCCTTAGGGCAGAAAATGCTACCAATTCAACCTTGACACAATGCTTTCTTATCATTTAGAATTTTTATTGTATTTGTATAAAATAGTTCACTTATTATTTAACATAGGTTTATTTTGCCATATCTTTCTCGCGTATACATAAAAAGAAAAATAGGGGGCTGGGCATGGAGGCTCATGCCTATCTATAATCCCAGCACTTTGGGAGGCCGAGGTGGGTGGATCACCTGAGGTCAGGAGTTCAAGACCAGCCTGGCCAACAACATGGTGAAACCCCATCTCTACTGAAAATACAAAAATTAGCCAGGCATGGTGGTGTGTGCCTGTAATCCCAGCTACTCAGGAGGCTGAGGTGAGATAATCGCTTGAACCTGGGAGGCAAAGTTTGCAGTGAATTGAGATTGCTCCACTGCACTCCAACCTGAGCCAGCAAGACTCCAAAAAAAAAAAAAGGAAGAAACGAAGAAAGAAAGAAAGAAAGAAAGAAAGGAAAGAGAAAGAGAGAAAGAAAGAGAAAGAGAGAAAGAAAAGAAAGAAGGAAAGAAAGAAAGAAAGAAAGAAAAAGAAAGGAAGGAAGGAAGAAAGAAAAAAGGAAGGAATGAGAGAGAGAGGGAGGGACGAAGGAAGGAAGGGAGGAAGGAAGGAAGGGAGGGAGGGGAAGTAATCTGATGGTTTTCCTAAAACATTCAATCTGACTTTTCTGAATGACTCTGGCCGAGGAGTCAGTCTCTGAGGCTTTTCCTCCAATATCATTCTCTGTGCCTTCCAGAGCCCCGGTGATGCCCCACCATTGTTTCCAGCATTTTCTTGCAAGCTGCGGGCCCTCACTCAGCAAGTTTTGAGGCTGGCACTCTCTGATCCTCTGGGAAAGCATAAATTGTACAGGCCCACTCATTGCTTTCACATTATTTCATCTTTTCTGAAAGCTTTGGGAGTTTCTCCTGCATTCATTTGAACCATTTGGGGTGTGGCAAGCTATCCTTCTGCACCTGGGTTAGTGCAGAATCCAACCCAGGTTGGTTCCAAAGTTCAAATGGTGAACTTCTTTCTTCCCTGCCTCTCTAGATACCATTCTTCCTCACCTGGACATACCTATGGAAACTGCAGGGCCCAGTGCTTATAAGCAGGACATAGGGACCCACCTTGGCTGAGACTGATCCCTGAGTTGGCAACATGTAACCCATGTGTGGCTTTGGGCTTCCCATCTTTTTTTTTTTTTTGAGACAGAGTCTTGCTGTGTTGCCCAGTCTGGAGTGCAGTGGTGTAATCTCACTGCACCCTCCCCTCTCGGGCTCAAGCTATTCTCCTGCCTCAGCCTCCTGAGAAGCTGGGATTACAGGCACGTGCCAACACACCCAGCTAATTTTTTGTATTTTTAGTAGAGACGGGATTTCACCGTGTTAGCCAAGCTGGTCTCGAACTCCTGACTTCAAGTGATCCACCCGCCTCGGCCTCCCAGAATGCTGGGATTACAGGCGTGAGCCACTGCGCCTGGCCACTTCCCATCTTTTAAATTAGGCTCCTCCTGGGCTCGACCCATAGAATTGTGTATATTGGATGGAATAGGACATCTAAAGTATTCAGTAAGGACTCAGCAAGGAGCAAACATCCATAGACAATTTGTTTTCTCTAAAATATTCTGCTCAAAGATACTAACCTTAGTAACATTTGTATGGTGATTTTTATTTGGCAAAAGAACCTGTTTCAGACTCCTAGTCTCATTGGGTCCTCCTCAAACCCTGGGAAACGGGTTATTTCTGTAACCATTTTGCAGATGAAGGCAGGGAAAGCTGGACAAGCCTCTCCTAGAGGTGGGGAGTGGCCAGAGAGGCCCTCAGTTGACCCTGCCTTTTTCTCCTTTCCCAAGGTGGCATACACTGTCCTGGGCTTCATCCCTTTCCTCTTCAACCAGCTGGCTCCGGAGAGCCCCTTCCTCTCCGTCCACAGCTCCTACCAATGGGAGCTCCGCCTCACCTCCGCCCGCTGCCCACTGCTACCCGCCCGGCGTCCCCGCGCAGCTGCCCCGCTGGCCGCGGGGGCCCTGCAGCTCCTGGCGGGCTCCACGGTGCTCCTGGAGGCCTACGCCCGCCGCCTGCGGCATGCCATCGCCGCTTCCTTCTTCACAGCCCAGGAGGCGAGGAGGGTCCGCCACCTGCACGCCCGGCTCCAGCGAAGACACGACAGGCACCAAGGCCAGCAGCTGCCCCTAGGGGATCCTTCTTGCGTCCCCACACCCAGACCTGCCTGCAAGCCTCCGGCATGGATAGACTACAGGCTGGATGCCTTAAGAACCGAGAGCAGTGAGGGAGAAGGGAAAGAGCTTTGGAGTTGCAGAGACCTGAGTTGTAACCTTGGTCCTGTGCCGCCTCCCTGTGTGACCTTGGGTAAGTCACTTCACCTCTCTGAGCCTCGGTTTCTACATCTGCATAACGACAGCATATTTACCATTGATGTGACCTACTTCCCACGCAGGGATGTGGTCAGGATGGAAGGAAATACTGGGCATGATAGGCCTGGATAACCGGTAAAGAACCATGCAAAGGCGAAGACAAGGAGTGCAGAGAGAGCTCATGGTTCCTCCAGGCTGGTTGGCGATCAGGCTCATCTCATCTGCACCAACTGCTCTACTTGTTAGATGGAGACCTTGCATCATGAATTTCTCGAAATGCTCCTGGAACTTATTTATATGCCTCAAAATCCTCTAAACTCATTTATAGTAACCCATAGTTTTAATTTTATAAATAAACGTATTTATTAAATCTTAGATTACGTTATTCCTCTGCCTCAAATTCCTTCAGGGCCTTTCCATTGCCAGGATTAGATTTTGCCAAATTAAAATATAGGACACTCAGTTCAACTTGAATTTCAGATAAACAACAAATACTTGTTTAATTAAAAACTTAAATGAAATTTAGCAGAGTATAACTGAGCAAAGAACATAGTCCCTGGAGGCAGAATAGGTTCAGAGCAACTCTGGGGGGTGCAACATCGTCAGATAATATTTATGGACAGAAAAAGGAAAGAGATGTACAGAAAACACACGTGAGGTACAGAAACAGCTGGATTGGTTACAGCTTGGCATTTGCCTTATTTGCACACAGTTTGAACAGTTGGCTACCTTTGGTTGAAACACAGTGATTGGTACAAGAGTAGGTTACACTCTGTTTACACATCCAGGAAGGTTGTAGTTCACTATGTATGGAGAAACCTTTAGGACAAACTTAAAATATGTAAGGAGGCAGCCTTAAGCTAAAATTAATTTAACAATGGCATTATTATCGTCCTTCTTCTAGAGGAGAAGAAACAGATTCAGAGAGGTTAAGTATTTTGCCCAAAGTCACTCAGCCAATAAGCCGCAGAGCCAGGATTTAAACCCAAGTAGTCTAGCTGCCATGGTTTATGAACTTAACTGGTCTCTCAAATAAAAGTAAAATCCCCTTTGACAACCACACTCAAGTCAGTTTGCCTTCTTTGGCTCCACAATCATAACCAAGATTGTCAGTTGGTAGGTACTCTTCAATTATTTTTCTATACATACATGTGTGTGTAAATAGAGTACAGAAATATGTAATATTGTTTGTTGCGTTTTAAACAACATGATACCATATATATAGCTCTGCAAATTGTTTTTTTCATTCAACAATATGCCATGGCCCTACTTTTTATTGTTAAAGAGAATTGATATGTCATTAGTTATTTAGCAGTTACCCCATTAGTAGATGGTTAGGTGGTGTCTAGTTTTTGCTATTATAAAAAATGTTGTAATGAACATCTTTGTGCATGGCTTCTTGTTTACATCAGAAGCTTTCCTTAGAACAGATATAGAACTCCTAAATTACATGGGCTACTTTCAAGATTTTAGTTTTTAGATGTCTGTTAGTTGGTATGGTGCACAGACATCTAAAATAGCCGCCAATGATCCCCACCTCCTGGTATTCATGCCCTTGTGTGATCCCTTCTCCTTGAATGGAGCAGGACCTTGACTTTCTTCTAGCTAATCAAATGTGACAAAGGTGATGGGATGTCATTTCTGTGATTAAGTTACATGTAATCATAATTTCCATCTTGCTAGCAAACTTTCTCTGTTGCTTTCTGCTTGGCTTGCGTGCTTTGATAAAGCAAAATGCTATGTTGGTGAGGCCCATATAGAAGAAACGGCAGGCCCCAGAAATGTATTCTGCCAACAGCCTTCTAAGTGAGTTTGGAAGTGGATCCTTCCCCAGTTGGGTCTTCACTTAGGACTCGAGACCTACCTGGCTGACGCCTTGATTGTAACCAGCCAGAGACCCTAAAGCAGAAGACTCAGCTAAACCATATCTGGGCTCCTGACCCACAGAAACTGAGATAAGAAATGTATGTTGTTTTAAACCACTACATTTGTGGTCATTTGCTATGCATAGGTAACAATAGAGCTGAGATTCCCCAGAAGTCAACCCTGAGACAAGAATTTATGCGCAGTTAGTTTAACTGGGAGGTGATTCCTGGAAGCACCAGTAGGGGAGTAGGGAAATGAGAGAAGACAGGAAGAAAAGCCTATACAGGTTGCATTATCAAACAGGTAGCTGCTGTGGGTGACTGAGGCTCAGTCTCTCTGGGCACCTCTGCAAATTAGTGTAGAATCTGTACCAGAGTTGTCCCCCAAGAGTGAGGCAGGAAACCCGGGTATTTATTCCCCAACACTCAGCACAGAACACTTCTGTGACCAAAACATATGGGGGTGTTCCTCAACTCCAAACCATTCTCTAGCCTACGCCAACTGCATATCCTGTAATTCAATTCAATTCTGACATTATCGACCTGAAGGTAAGAGTATGATCCCACGGGTTAAGGGATCAGTCCCACAAGACTGCCCCCACTTCAAGTGCTAATCACAAGTAGTAGGTTGTCACCTACACTTCTAACTGACCAACTATAAATTGGGGTTCCCATGACTCCCTCCTCGGGTTTGATAGTTTTCTGTAATGGTACAGAGAACTCAGGGGCATGCTTATTTACACTTACTCACTTATTAGAAAGGATATTACAAAGAACACCAATGAACAGCCAGATGGATGAGATGCACAAGGCAAAGTATGAGGGAAGGAGCATGGTGGTTCCATGCACTCTAGGAGCATGCCATCCTCCAGGAACCCCTATGTGTTCAGCAACTCAAGCTCCCCAAGCCCCGTAGTTCAGGGATTTTTATGGAGGCTTCATCACATAGGCATGATCAATTATTAACTCAATCCCCAGCCCCTCTCTCATCCCAGGAGGATGAGGGTTGCTGAAAGTTCAAAGCCTCTAATCATGGCTTGGTCTTTCCAGTGATACTTCCATTACCCAGGAAACTTCAAGGGATTGAGAAGCTCTGTGTCAGACTCTCCTATCACCCCAGAAATTACAAAGGTCTCAGGAGCTTTGTGTCAGGATCCATGGTCAAAGACCAAATATTAGAACAAAAGGTTCTCCTAGCACCCATATCTACAGGAGTTATAGGAGCTCTATGTTAGGAGCAGGGGGTATAAACCAATATGTATCTTATTATTTCACACACTGGCTGCAGGATGCTCCTGGAGCTATAACTCCCTTGGCACTTCCAGCCTGCCCTGTGTTTGGGACAGAGAGAAAATGCTTTCAGGTGCAGAGTCACACGGGCTTACAGGAGAGTAACCTGCTGCCTGTAGGAGAACTGCAATTGCCAAGAGGATGTGGGTGGGGCTCCAACAGCATCTTCTCCCCGCTATATGCTGGAGAGAATATAAGACTGGGAGTAGGAAAGGTCTGTGTTCCACTAAGTCCAGGTCCTACCACTTAGTAACTATGTGATATTGAAGAAGTCACCAGGTCTTCCTGAGCCTCAGGTTCCCTTCCCCCTCAGTGGGTATAGAAGAACCTTCCTCATCCATGCTGGGTAATCATGAGAAGCACGTCTCGACCGATCCTTACTTGGTTTCCACTAACATTTGATTCATTTCTTCAGCAAATATTCATTGAGCATCTACTTTGTGTCAATCCCCTTGCTAAGCTCTTCCAATACCATTTATGCAAGCTCTGTAGAGAGCTCTGTAGAGAGCTTGCATGCTAGATGAGAGACTGGCAGCAAACAAGCTAAAAAAATAAGTAAACAAGATCACTTCATGTCTAGATAGGTAATAGGAAGAGGATGGGGAGCAATCTTAGGTGGGGTGGCCAGGAAAGGCCTCTCTGGGGAGATGTCCTGTGAACTGAGACATGAAGAACGAGAGGAGCCAACCATGCAATGGAAGAGGAATGAACATTCCAGGCATAAGAAACTGCACAAATGTGGTGTTTTTAAAGGACAGAAAAGAGCACATAGGAGTTGCTAGACTGCTTGTCTGAGGCCCCGACTCCTTTCAGGAGCTTCTCACCAGACTACCTGTGGCTGCCATGCCTAAGGAAAGAGAAAAAGTGAAGGTTGATTCCAGGCCTGCTGATAACCCCACACTTAGTCTCAGGATCTTACTCTCTGGACAGGAAGAGAAGAACATAGGGCTGGGACCCCTGCATGGTGGCTCTTCCTTCCCCCTTCTATCCTAATAACCCTCTGGGGTGGGCAAATGAGTATCAACATGCCCGTTTCACAGATGAGAATGGTTCAGAGAGGATTGCGGTTTTGGCCTAGAGTCGTAGTGGTAAATATAACCTTTCTCCTATCCAAGGAAGAGTCCTAGGCTTCCAAACAAGTGAGATGGGGAAGGAGCCCTAATTTCCCATGTCGGGGGCAGAGGAGTCAGCCCTGGGGCCTCCCAGTTGGAGATCTTGAGTTGTCTAAGAACTTGGAAACTTAGCAGTGTTAGGCGCCTGCTGCTGGCTGCCACGGGACCATCCTAGGGAGGAGGGCCAAGGGGGAAAGGAACCAGGTGAATGAAGTCCCCTGTTGCCCCACCTCACTCCTCACCTGAAAATGAGTTCCAAGTCTGGGTTCCAATCCCCACGCCAGCACTTGCTGGCTATGGCAACAATGTCAGCACGTTCCTCAGCTGCTCTGCATCTGAGCTTTTCCAAGTGTGAGCTGCAGGTCCTGATGCCTAAGTCCGAGCGTGGCTGAGTCAAGTCCCAGAAGAGTGGGGGTAGTGAGCATTGGAAAGGATCGGAGAAGAATGACCCTTGTTTATTGGCACACTTTATAAGTATTCTTAAAACAGCTTTATTGAGCTATAATTAACATATAATAAAATCCCCCCATTGTAATTACACAGTTTGATAATTTTTAGTGAATTTTAGTGTGGTGCAACCATCACTACATTCCATTTTAAGGACATTTATATGATCCTAAAATGTTCTTTTATACCTATTTCCATTTCTCCTCTTCCATTACTCCCAACCCAAGGCAACCACTGATCGCTTTCTGTATCTACAGATTTGCTTTTTCTGGACATTTCATATAAATGGAATCCTACAATAGGCAGTCTTTTGTGTCAGGATTCTTTCACTTATCACAATGTTTTTGAGGTTTCTTCATGTTATAGCACGTGCCAGTCGATTGTCTCTTTTTAGTGCTGAGTAGTATTCCATTGTATGGATATGCTACAATTTATCTATTCACCAGTTGTTGGACATTTGGAGCTATTATCAATAATGCTGCTGTGGACATTCACATACAAGTCTTTGTGTGGACATATGTTTTCATTTCTCTTGGATAGATATCTAGGTGTGAAATCTCTGAGTAGTGGGGAAAGTGTATGTTTAATTTTTTAAGAAATTGTGAGACTGTTTTCCAAAGCGGCTGTTCCATTTTTCATGTCCACCAGCAGTGTGTGAGGGTTCCAGTTTTTCCATATCTTTGCCAACATTCGATATGATCATTCTTTTAAATTATAGCAATTCTGGTGGATGTTTTCATATGCATTTCCCTAATGACTAATAATATGAACAACTTTTATGTGCTTAATATCTATTCTTTGGTGAAATATCTACCCAAATACTTACCCAATTTTCAATTAGGTTGTTTGCTTATTTTTGAGTTTTAAGTGTTCTTTACATATTCTGGATATGAATCCTTCAACAAATACATTATTTGCAAATATTTTCTCCTAGTCTGTGGCTTGTCATTTGGTTTTCTTGGTGGTGTCTTTCAAAGAACAGAAGTGTTAATTTTGATAAACTCTATTATTTTTTTCTCTTGTAGATTGTTCTATTGCTGCTCATCTAAGAAATCTTTGCCTAACCTAAGGTCTTGAAGATTTTTCTTTTATAAGTTTTTTTTTTTAAAGACAGTCTCACCATGTTGCACAGGCTGGAGTTCAATGGCTATTCACAGGCATGATCATAGCACACTACAGCCTTGAACTCCCAGCCTCAAGTGATTCTCCTGACTCAGCCTCCCCAGTAGCTGGGACTACAGACATGTGGCACCACACCCAGCTATTTAAGTTTCACAGTTTTAGCTCTTAATTTTCTGTCCAGGCTCCATTTTGAGTTAATTGTTGTATATGATATAAATAAGAGTCTAAGTTTTTGTTTGTTTTTTATATATGGATACCTGATTCATCAAACACAGTTTGTTGAGAAAAACCTCATTAAATTGCCTTTACATATTTGTCACAAATAAAGTAACCATAAATGTAGAGATTTATTTCTGGAATCTCTATTCTGTTCCATTGATCAAATTCTCTATCCTTAAGTCAATATCACACTGTGATGATTGCTATAGCTTTATTTTAAGCATCTTATTAGCTATGTGAACATAAGTTGCTATGCTTCTCTGAGTCTCACTTCCTTGTTTTAAGAATGAAATAATAACAGATTCTACCACTTAGATTTATCATGTGGTAGAACATTAATTCATTTATGTTCAACCTCACAATAAAAACAAAGTCATTATGTTATGGGGTCTTTGGGTTGTTGCTTTTCTGGCCAGTAACCTCTGTGGCCCATGGTGCCTTTGCCCAAGTTCTTGTCTTGCATCCAGGAAGAATGAGGTATGCAGACAAGTGGAGGGTGAGCAAGATGAAGAGGAGCTTTATTGAGTGTTAGAACAGCTCAGAGGAGACCTACAGTGTATAGCTACTCTCTGTAGGCAGTTTGTTCCCACGTCTGCAGCTCTCAGCAGAGAAGAGGCTCTGGAGTGGGTAGCTCCTCTCTGCAGTGGTCATCCCTTCCTCTCAGTCCTCTCCCTGCTCTGGCTGAGCCCAGGGCTTTTATAAACCTCAGAAGGATGGAAGTGCCTGTGCATTGGTCCATTAGTGTCCATGCCAGGGCCAGAAAAGGCACCACAAGTCCCCACTCTGGTCCACAGGACTGGCAGCCTGGCCCCCAGACTCCAGGCCCTGCCTGGCCTGAAGGTGAAGCATTACCAGGGACCTGTCCTCCTCCTCCCAGGAATCCATCTGCTTCCTGCTGTCTTCATGGTACCAGGCAGACTTTGCTCTGAGATCTAAGTGGCTGCCGACAGCAGAGAGAAGCCAGGCAGCAGGAGCAGGCACTCCTGAGCCTGTGAGGGCACGGGGCCTTACCAGGCCCCCAAGAATGCATGGATGCCTGAGTCTTCAGTCATAGTTTGGATGGCTGCAGCTACCCCCAGGACGGCATGGATATCCCTGCCCATGGAGCAGAAGGCCTGGGTCTGCAGCGGCAAGTTGGGTGGCTGCAGCTGTGCCTGGGGAGCTCCTGCCCCAACTTGGAGGGGGCAGGGCTCCTGTTTGTCCCCAGCTCCGGCAGGCTCCTCTGAGCCTATGGCACTGGGAGCATCTCCCTGCTGCAGCCAGCATGATAGCAATGGCAGGCCATCCGGAGCGGCCACTACCGTCAATTATTTCTTCCATTTTGCAGATTAAAAAAATTGAGATCCATGGAGAATGAAGCCAACTGGGCCAAGTTCAGTGAAGTGAAGTGGCCTTTGGCCTTTCTTTTTTGCTACCCACAGCAACCCCTCTCTTTATGAGGTTGGGACAACCTCCCACAAGAAAAGCTAAGAATGCCAATTTCTCACTTTCCCAGACCTTCTTGCAGCTAGGCAGAGAGGCCTCACATAGGCCCCAGGGATTGCATCAATCAATCCAACTTCCAAGTTCATGGGAACTAATGTCTAGCATTTCTAACATTCATTCCATAGACATCTGCTGAGCCCCTTCTATAGCCAGGCTCTGTGCTAAGTTCTTTGCAAGCATGACATGCACATAACAACTCTAAATGGTAGAATCTGTTATTATTCCAATTCTTAAGACAAGGAAGTAAGGCTCAGAGAAACAAAGCAACTTGTGTTCACACAGCTAGTAAGTTAAAATTAAGATTTAACCCAGAACTCCAGACCCATGTATTTCTCATTACACCACACCTCAGTGACTCATTACACAGGAGGAAAATATCAAGATCATTCTTACTCTCTCACTTGTTCTTTTGAAAATTTTCAAAAATATACAAAAAAAGAGAGAATTATAATGAATCTGATGTAATCATTGCTGGCTTACATGGCTATTTCAAGATGCTTAAAAGAAATATTTATTTTTAAACTGCCAATATCCAACAACAGCATAGGCTTAAAATCGGTTATTTTCAACTCAATGGAATGAAAACATACAGCAGAAAAACTATTAATGAGCTAGAGCTACATGTAACAACATGGATGAATTTCACAAATGTTTTTTGAAGCAAGTTTTAGAAAAATAGAGTGTGATTCCATTTACAAAAAGTTTAAAATAATTTTTAACAATGCCATATATGTATGTATAGTTATATAATCCAGAGGCATGTATACATGTAGTGAAAGTATAAAGAAATGCTTGGAAATAATAAGCACCAAACTTAGTTTAGTGATTATCTTTTGTCAAGAAGAAAAGGGTGAGATCGGGAATGAGGGATGAGTTTCAAGCCTTCATTAGCACCGTGTTAGTTAAGAAGTTGTGGGGTAGGTATGTGGGTGTCTGTTTTACTATACTTTATATATTTTTGTCTACCATATTTATTGCATGATTTTTAGGTAATGCATGACAAACTAAGTAGCCAATCATAGGAGAATGCATCATCAAATTATCATTTATTTCATTTGTTCTCAGCCTTGACTGCACCTTGGAATCACCTGAAGAGTCAAAAACAAAAACAAAACAACAACAACACTGAAACTCAGTACCGTCCATCTGGGACGTTGATGTACGTGGTTTGGGGTGCAGCCTGGGCATCAGGATGTTTAAAATCATGTGATTATAACATGCAGCCAAGATTGAGAACTACCACTGCAGAACAGCTGAAATGATATCATCTGGGTTACATGTACCAATACAGATAAAGCTTTAAAAAATGCCATGCTGAGGCCAGGCGCGGTGGCTTATGCCTGTAATCCCAGCACTATGGGAGGCCAAGAAGGGTAGATCACGAGGTCAGGAGATCGAGACCATCCTGGCTAACACGGTGAAACCCCGTCTCTACTAAAAACACAAAAAATTTAGCCGGGTGTAGTGGTGGGCGCCTGTAGTCCCAGGTACTTGGGAGGCTGAGGCAGGAGAATGGCGTGAACCTAGGAGGCGGAGTTTGCAGTGAGCTGAGATCGTGCCACTGCACTCCAGCCTGGGTGACTGAGTGAGACTCTGTCTCAAAAAAAAAAAAAAAAAATACCATGCTGAGAGAAAAGTCAGTTGCCAAAGGATATATACAGTATGATGGCTTTTATAGAAAATGTAAGAGCATGCAATATGATATATATATATATATATATATATATATATATATATATATATATATATATATATATATATTATGGATACACACAAAATTTTTTTGTTAAAAAGCATGAGAATTAAAAATCCCAAGTTCAGAGTGCTGTTTAGCTCTGGGGAGGGAAGATGATGGCTAGGGCTGGGATGAGATTGGGAATTGAGATTGGAGACTCAGCTCCAGGTGATGGCTATCCGAGTTCCTTCTAGGATGTTGATTCCCCCAAACAGTGCAATAACAGATGCTCTGCAGCAAACACAGATCTAATGTAGGACAGCTCTTTTTCTTCACAGCAGCTGAAGTTCCCTCCCCACCCCACCCCACCCCATCCCAGCCGTCATGCGCAGTTTCCCTCTGGCCCCAGTCCTGTGTCAGGCTGCAAGCACTGTGCTTCCCCGGGAAGATGGATGTTTCCCCTCCTGAGAGGAAACTGGCTTGGACCCTAGATCGGGGCCAAGTTTGGGACAAGCCGTTGGGAATCACAGCTTCTCAGCAAGGCCAAACGACTTTTCTTGCATAGTGTCCTCTTTCCACAGTGTAGTTGCTCCCCAGGTGGAAGGAGAAACTGTTTGAGATCAAGGAGACCTGATATTACCTGGCTATGTGATATTAAGTAAACCCCTCTCCTCTCTGAGCCTCAGTTTCCCTATCTATATCATGAGGAGGTTGGTATGTAGGAAATGTAAGTCCCTCTCTAGCTTCAAGAGCTGAATCATGATTGGTTTAAAATAGTGCTTCTCAATCCTAGTACTTACTAGAATAATCTGGGGTATTTTTTTAAAAAATAGTGACACCTGGGCCTATTCCTGGTAATTCTGATTTAGTTAATCCAGAGTAGGGCCCAGGCATCTATATCTTTGTAAAGCTCTTCATGGCTGGGTATGGTGGATCACGCTTGTAATCCCAGCACTTTGGGAGGATGAGGTGGGAGGATTGTTTGAGACCAGGAGTTCAAGACCAGCCTGGGCAACATAGTGAGACCTGATATCTATTTTTTAGAAAGTAAAAATTAGCCCCGTGTAGTGGTGCATGCCTATAGTCCCAGCGACTCAGGAGGCTGAGGCAGAAGGATCGCTTGAGCCCAGGAGTTTGAGGATGCAGTGAGCTATGATTGCACAACTGCATTCCAGCCTAGATGACAGAGAGAGACCCTGTCTCTAAGAGAAAAATTAAAAATAAGATAGAAGCCCCTCCGGTGATTGTAATGTACAGCCAGGGCTGAGGGCCAGTGGTCTAGGACAATCAAGGCGTCCCAATGGCCTTTGCAGGAAACTCTTTTTCCCAGCCTCTTCTGCATCTGGGAGTAATCATGTGATGCAATTCTGACCAATGTGATGCAAGGATGTCTCCTGGGGGCTGCTGGAAAGTCTTCTGCTACCTGACAATGAGGTAGACGTGGAAGGTGCTCTTTCTAGCATCGACCTCTTGCCCCTTCATCCTGTCTTGAGCATGGTTGAGCACAGGGACTTGCCTTTGGAGCTGCAGCAACTGTCTTGGGATGAGCCTAAGAATGAAAAGCCAACACACTGAGGATGACAGAGCAGAAAGACAGGGAAGTCCTGGGTGCTTGATGAAGATGTTCACTGCTGCTTTCCTCTCAGAATCACCTACCTCCTGGCCTCTTTCCATGTGAGAAAATGAAGTAACTTTATGCCATAGCAACTTTCAGTCAGTTAATTTACTTGCTCGCCTTGATTGATAAAGTCAGACAATTCTTTGCTCCCATAGAAAGCATATTCCAAAGAGAGGAGCAATGTTTGAATGCAGGAAAGTGCTGACACCTCCTACTCTGCCTGAAATTTTCTGCCAAAAATGCCCATACTAGGGCCTCAAAGGGCAATCCTGCCCCATGAGGCCTCCTCAGGCTTTCTAAACCCTATTGATGTCTTCCTTTCTCCACACCTGACTTGTCCTAGGCTCCATTAAAGGGAAGGAAAACAAAACCAAAATATCCATAAACTGGGGGTGGGTGCAGGGAGCAAGATATTTCTAATCTTTTCTCTATTACAGGCTCACCTTGTTGCAGGATGAGTGTGCTTGGTTATCTCTTGCTGGGTAGCACACTGCCCCAAAGCACAGAGACTCAAGGCAATGATTTATTATTATCTTTCACAGTTCTGTGGGTTGACTGGGCTTGGCTGGGTGGTTCTCACTTGGGGTTTCTCATATGGGAACAAACAGAGAATGTCAGGGACTGGAGCCCTTTAAAGGCATGACTGGGCTGGTCACCCCTGATAGCCTCTATACTTACAGTGTCTGGGCCCCAGAACTCTTTCACACGGCCTGAACACAGTAGACTGAACATCTTGCACGGCAACTTGGGACTCTGACAGTCGGGAGCAAAAGCTGCCAGGCCAGCTCAGGGCTACACCTTGATCTCCTGGGGGCTGCTGGGAAGTGACAATTCTGTCACTTGCAATCAAAGAATCCTGAATCCATAACAGAGAAGAAGGGGAAGTGGAGAGCACAGCATCCTTATTAGATATGGCTTCCACCAAAGGAGTCCCAGGGCCCACCCAGATTCAAGGGAGTAGAAACATAGACCTACCTCTTGACTAGCAGTGGCAAGGTCAAGATCACATTGCAAAAGAGCATGTGAGGTGCATCTTTGGAGCATCCTTGGAAAAGGTGATCTGCTACAGAGGAGCAGGAGGAGTCAAGTGAAGGCTTTGGCTTTCAAAGATCAGGAGCTTTTCTGAACTTAGCTGTGAAGGGCTGGGTGGAGGAGGCTGTCCATCTGTTTGCATTCTCCAGAAGCCACTCCAGGAAGAAGGGGAAGGAGGAATGGAAATAATATTGTATAAAGTGGCAATTTTATTTTGAGTCAGCCTGAGCTGGATTCAAATCCTAGCTCATACACTGAGAACTGTGTGAATTTGAGGTATCACATCATCTCTCAGGGACTTTGTCACTTCATTGTTTATCTAAATGAAGCCAAGGGAGTAGAGCTATCTGTAAAACTGCAATATGTCTAGGCCCATGGTAAATGTCTGTGGAAGGAAAGAATATCCTAGTGAGTGAATAAATGACTGTGTGAGTAAACAAGTCAATGACGATCTTGTTCATTTCAGCATTCCCAGAGTCCAGCATGCTCAGTGCATGTTTGTTCAATGACTGAGTGAATGGAGACCCTCTGAGCACAGCACAGCTTCTGTTTATTCCCAGCCAGGTGTTGCCTCCATTCCCACCCTAGGAATCACATGCCATGGACTGGGGGCATTTGGGCTGGGCCCTGAGCTGAGGAAACTGTGATTTTAGGAGAAGCTGACCTGACTCTCAAACATCAGGCTACTGACAGCAACTACCCTAGGAAAGGATCCAGTGGCTGACATTGGTGATTTGCCAGCTGCTGTCATCAAGGGGAAACAGATTTCCCAGTGACTCTAACTCCATGCCCACCTGGGAGAATAGTATGTCTGTTCTGCTTGGAGCCAAAATGGGTGGCAACTTCTGGCTCCTTATGTCACTTCTAGGGTTATCTTGGATGACAACTGTTGATCCCAGGAATGGGGAGGGAGGCAAGGGCAGGGGCAGAAATAAGGAAGAGAGGGCATTTGAGGTGAGTAAAACCTAGTTAGGTGACTGTTAGCCACATGAAGACTTAGGTGAACAGTTCCCAAACTTGAGTCATTAGTGTATTATTGTCTTTAATATTTTTGTTTTCTACTGTATACCATTTTTACTATTACAAATGTATTCTTTTAAAATTGATATTCTTTGCATTCTTAAGTACATTTAACTTTAGCTACATGCTAAAACTGGAGCTGCACCAGGCTGTGCTGAGATGAATTTCCATCTGCCATAAGTACTTCATGGCACACCAGGACTGGTGAGGCTGGGGCCAGGGACAGATACCCTCTACATGGTCACTGGACAAGTGGGCAGAAGCAGCACAAGGATTCTCTTCCCTCCTCAACCCTTATCACACACAATCCCCCACCAACTGCAAGCTGGCAAAGAGGGAAGAGATCCTGTCACGCATAGCACAGCCTGTAGGAAAACAGGCACTGTCCATGCTTCATCACATAGACATGTCTGAGGCTACCCCTTTCCTTCATCCCAGCTGGTTTGGTCAAAAGCTAATCAAACTCATCATTCCCCTCCTCCAGGACATCCTCCCTGCACATACACTGCACACAGTGTTGTGCAAGGAAAAGAGCACGAGCTTTGGAATCTATTGCATTAATATGAAAGTTACAGCTCCCAGTTCAGTCACTTACCAGCTTTGTGACTTTGGACAATCCATGTCACTTTCTGAGTCCCATTTTTTTCATTTACAAGATGGGGATCAGAAAGATACTTTTCTAGTGGACCTCTGTTATTTTTGTCTGCCCAGCATACTTTCCCACTTCTTGTAACATCATTCAATGTTTCCGCAGAGGAACCACTATTCCACCAATACCTGTTTCATGTAACTCTGATGCCCAATCCCAGGACCTTGTCATTTCCTGTCCATAGGTCTGACCAACCACAGTTCCCCACAGGGCTTGAGCTTCTTGCTCAAGCCAGAAGGCTAGGGCATAGAAGCTAAGGGGGTGCACACTCTTGCATGAACCTGAAGCCCCAGGTGCCTTACTCGTAAGGAGCCACTCACTCAGGGGGTCATGAAATGCATTCAAGAATGACTGCCTCATTAAACTTTGCACTGAGGTACCTGAGTCACCCCACCCTAATCCTAGCACTGGTTCCCCATTTCCCTGGATAGCATCACTGGTCTAACCCAAATCAGCCCAGTTAGTGACCTTTATTGGGATAGTATATAGGTGCTGGGAGGGAGAATTTATCTCTTCCTCCATAGACTGCAAAGTAATAAAGTTGTAACCCCAGAACTGCTGGCAGTTGTGTCCCCTTCACACGTAGAAAGCTTGCAACAGGAGAGAATAAAGCCAGACAGAGATGACACTGGGAATTCTGACAACCTTGTTTGAATTCCTGGATCCAGTTTTTCCCAGAGCCTGCTTTACCCTTGTCCTTCCTAGTTATATGAGCTAATTTGCTTTGTTCAATCTGACTTGTGTTTCTGTCACTTGCAATAAAAGAAGCCTGAATAATTAAACCTAACTCACAGAATTGCATTGCTTGAATCTACTTTCCCTCTTATAGATATTGATTTGGGGCCAGGTGTGGTGGCTCACCCCTGTAATCCCAGCACTTTGGGAGGCCAAAACAGACAGATCACCTGAGGTCAGGAGTTCAAGACCAGCCTGGACCACACGGTGAAATCCTGTCTCTACTAAAAATACAAAAATTAGCCGGATGTGGTGGCAGGTGCCTGTAATCCCAGCTATTCAGGAGACTGAGGCAGGAGAATCGCTTGAACCCTGGAGGTGGAGGTTGCAGTGAGCCGAGATCGTGCCACTGCACTCCAGCCTGGGTGACAGAGCAAGACTCCATCTCAAAAAAAAAAAAAAATTGATTTGGTTTCCTGAAGGTTTCCTTAGTTTAAGACTAAGATTTGGGGCTGGAGTGTGGGAACTTAGGATATAACACAAGGGGTTAGGGTATAACAGACAAGAAGGGGAAGTGGAGAGCCTTTTAACATTGTGAATAAAAAGCACAGGAAACAGAAAGAGTGAGAGAGATTTGGAGGGAGCAAGACTAGTGAAGATGCTGTCTAGATTCTTAAGAAGAGACCAAGGCCGGGCACGGTGGCTCAAGCCTGTAATCCCAGCACTTTGGGAGGCCGAGGTGGGGAGATCACCTGAGGTCAGGAGTTCGAGACCAGCCTGACCAACATGGCGAAACCCCGTCTCTATGAAAAATACAAAAATTAGCCAGGCATGGTGGTTGGCACCTGTAATCCCAACTACTCGGGAGGCTGAAGCAGGAAAATTGCTTGAACCCGGGAGGTGGAGGTTGCAGTGAGCCAAGATTGTGCCATTGGACTCCAGCCTGGGCAACAAAAAAAAAGAAAAAGAAAAAAAAAAGAAGACACCAGCATTTTCAGTTATCTGTAACTCAGCCCAATGGGTAGAAGGTGATGCTAGAAATTCTGATAGAAAACTCAGGTGTAATGGGGAGAACTCATGTGTGGTATACACTGATGGTTGCCTAATCAACACCATTACCTGCCCCACCCCCAAATTATTTCTTGATGGCTTCCCATTGTGGAGGTTGGAGATTCCTGGTTCTCACTCTTCTGGCTTCTCTTGCAGCTGGGGATTGGGTATGTGCCCCAATCCTGGCCAATGGAGCCTACAGGAAATCTTCCAGAAGGGCTTCTGGAAAAAGATTTTTCTTCCTGATAAAGAGACATATAAAGAGAAATGGTCCTTGGTGTCTTTAAACATGGTTTCATGTCAATATGATGCTTGGAACTGTGGCAGCCATCTTGTAATCATGAGAAGACAGGTTTGAGGGCAAACATTAACAAGCTAAGGATGGACGAGGGAAAGATGAGAAGAGTCTGAGTGTTTGATAATATAATTTACTGGCTCAGCCAGTTCTGCTGTTGCCTACTTCAGACTCCTTGTTAAGCTGAGATAGTAAGTTTCCCCCCTCCTTTTCAAAATAAATTTTTAAATTTTAGAATAGTTTTACATTTTTGAAAAATTGTGAAGATAGTGGAAAGAGCTCCTATATACCCCACACCCAGCTTCTTGTATTATTAATATCTTACATTTATGTTACATTGTTATAATTAACAAACCAACATTAATACATTATTATTTGATAAAGCCCACACTTTATTCAGGTTCCTTTGGTTTTGATCTAATGTCCTTTTTCTGTCCCAGGATTCTGTCCAGGGTGCCACATTACATTTAGTTATCACATCTCCTTAGGATCCTCTTGGCAGTGACAGTTTCTCTGACTTGCCTTATTTTTGATCATCTGGACAATTTTGAGGCATACTGCTCAGGTAGATTCTCCCTCAATGGGGATCTGTCTGATGTTTTTCTTGTGATTAGACTGGGGTTATGGATCTTTTTGAGGAAGATCACAGAGGTAAACTCCTCCACAGACTGCAAAGCAATAAGGTTGTAACCCCATAAAGGGAGAGACTTTATTCTCAATACATCATATCAAGGGTGCATATTATCACCATGACTTACCACTGCTGATGTAGCCTTCATCTCCTAGCTGAGGGAGTGTTTGCCAGAAGCTTCCTTCACTGTGAAGCTAATCTTTTCCTTCCTTGCCTTCCTCTTTGGGAGGAAGTCACTAGATACTGCCTACATTAAGAGGTGGGGAGTAATGCTTTACCTCCTTGAGGGAGAAGTAGCTACATAAATGATTTGAAATTCTGCAAATATGATTTGTCTATTCTCCCCTCATTTATTTATTATTGAGTCACTTATTTTTTATCTGTATGGGCTCATGATATTTATTTCATACTTTGGATTATAATCTAATACCACTTTATTTTGTTACCGAATTGCTCTAGCTTTGACCATTGTGTGCTCTTTCAGTTGGCAGGGGATGGGGGATAAAGGGTTCTTATATCCAAGGCCTATAGTAGGGACTACTGAAATGCAGACCAAATAGGGGTCCCAGCAAGCCCTCAGGGGATCTGAAGCACTTGCAAGACCTGAAATTGAAGCTTTGTCAGCAAGGAGATATTGCTGAACTTCTCTGAAAACAACTGCTGTGCCTTTCTCCTGCTGAAAGAAAAACCAGAAGTTAAACCAATGATCGATGCCAGTAGTGGTGAAATTTTTTCTTATTTTTTTCTCTAATGCCTTTGTAAACTGAATCCTATAGTATATTAATAGATTCAAATCTTTTATAAGTTCATTTATAGATATTCTGTGAAGGGGAGTTTCCTCTCCCAAACTGGACTGAAGCTGGGACAGGAGACAGGGAAGATGCCCAATGGACTAAATAAGCCAGCTCAGGAATTAAGCAAAGCAATGAAGGAAGAGTTGCCCCAACAAGGTCAGGTAGTGGAGGGGAAATGAGTACCTAGGAGGAATGACTTGAGACCTTGTACACAAAAGCCATGAGGTGGCTTTATCAAGCACTAACCTTAAATTCAGCACCAGGGGTGAAGGACAGCTACCCTGAGTTCTACTGAGATTTCTTCTGGCCCTAAATTAAGGCTGATCTTCCAGGTCAGGGCTTCTCCACAAATCAAACCTTATTTTCCAGCTGATTGTGTAATATCTCAACCCCAATAACTGAATTAGAATTAATCTCTTTTCTGTCTCTTCCCTTATTAATAGGACCTCATCCCAAATTGTCTTTATTTCTCCCTTGCATCAAAGTTAGTATAGCGTAATTGCATAATAGTTATGAGCTTGGGCTCTGGACTCAGACAGCCTGTGTTTAAATAAAAACTCTGTGGCTTCCTAGTGGTGTAACCCTGTGCAAATTTCCGTTTTTGACCATTGTGAGTCTTTGCTTGATCAGTTCATTTAACAAATATTTGTTAAGTTCCTCCAATATATAAAGGACATGTCTGGGTCTTGGGTATACAGCTGTGCTTCTTATATAAGCTGCACTCTCTTGGGATGAAACAGGCAGCACACACATACTCAAAAAATCCATAAAATAATTTCAAAGTGATAAATATTATAAAGAAAATTAAAGAAGACATTGTGGTACAGAGTAACTTAAGGGAGAGACTTTAGCTGGAATACTTGGAGGAGCCATCTTTGAAGAGATGAGATTTGAGTGGAGATCTGAAGGGATGAGATGGAACCAGCCATCTATCGAGTCAGAATAAGAGAGTTCCAGGTACAGGGTAGCAAGTACGCAAGCTCTGAGGTAGGAAGGACCATGTCATGTGTTTTAGTTTCCTAGAGATGATGTAACAAATTAACACAAACTGAATGGCTTGAAACAACAGGAGTTAATTCTTTTGCTGTCCTGGAGGATCGAAGTCCAAAGTCAAGCTGTCAGTAGGGCCATGCTTCCTCGAAAGCCTCTATAAGCATTCTTATCATACCCCACTAGGCAAGGGCCCAACTGAAGGGACATCCGTATCATATCCTGCTGGGCAAAAGTCCAAGGAAAACCCTATTCACATCCCACTGGAGAAAGGGCCAGACTACCTGATCATAAGCACATCTTTTCAATATCCTGTTGGGCAGCAAGCCATACTGCCCAGACCCCTCCTCCCCATACCTATAAGTACCCCAGCCTGTAATCAGCAGAGGGCTCTGGCATTAAGCTGGTCCCCTACTTCTGCAGGTTTTTGCAATATACCTATGTTGCTGTTGAGCCACCCTCTGTGTGTGTGCGTGTCTTTCTTTAACCCTCGCCTTCCCTTCAAAACCTAACAGGAAGCTCTGAGAGCAGGGACCCTGTTGGCATCATCTTTGAAGTGCCTACGATGCCCAGCTGAGCTACAAGAATTCTCTAACTCTGAGATTCTTCTCCAACTGCCTACTGGCATTTGGACCCAGATGGCAAACCCAACATGGCCAACCTGAATTCTTCCTCCTCCCAGACCACTTCCATCCCCCTCCTACACCTAACCCCCTGGGTCATCCCAGATCTCCTGCCCCCTCCACCCCTCACATCGAATCAGTTACTTCCTTCTCCATGACCATTGCGTGCTGGGCCATTGTCTCAGTCTCCTCTTTGGTCTGCTTGCCTCCAGCCTCTCCCACTCTCCTCCCTTTCCCCACACACTGCCCACAACATCCAAGGGCACCTGTCAGGTAGTCATTGTGTGCATGAGCTTCAGGGTAAAACTAGACCTGAAGTGAATACTTACCCCACCACTCTCTAACAGTGTGGTCACAGGCAAGTTATTTATTAGAGTGACAACTTGTCCCTGTTTGCCCAGGACTGCCCCACTTCTAGCATTGAAAGACCCAAGTCTTGGGAAAATTCTATTTCTATTTCTATTTATAAATTATTGGATGTATATTTATATTTAACGTAAGCTTAGTTTACATATTTGTGAAATAGGATCTATAGTATTACTTAACATGTAGCATTGTTCTGAGGATTAACTGTTATAAGAGGTAGAAACTGCTTGCTTGTAGCAAGCCTAAAATGCATTTCATTCTATTCTTTCACAATACTTCCCCCCATTTGGAATTCTATAGCTGTCTGTAATCATCTACATACTGTGGTCTTTCTCACCAGATTCTGAGTAGGCAGTGACCATGCATGACTGGCTTCTTCACCGCTGAGTCCTCTAATCTAATACCATGCCTGGCACATAGTAGGTACCCCCAAAATATTTGTTGGATGAATAAATGAATGGATAATGAATAAAGACTAGTTTTAATCTTAATACCCAAGACCTTTTGCTGAAATCTGGTTCCTTGAGAAAGTTTTGAGGCACAGATTGTGACTTTTTGGAGTTCTCCGGTTGCTAGCAACAGAAAGCATCTCTGGCGAACTAAATCAAAAGGGAATTTGATTTCTATTGGAGTTGGAAAACAAAAAAAGAAAAGAACCAGGGAGAACTCTGGAGATCCATGTAGCTGGAGCTAATGGGCAGTTGCTTCACAGCATTCATGTCAGTATGAACAGGATGAACATTCTACTCAGGATTCAAAATCAAATCCATGATATGCTTGGTTCAGACAATGTGCTTGTATCTAGACCAGGAGCACAATGGGCAACTTGGACCATCTTTCAAGGGCTGTTATTGACAGTTGTACAGGTTGGGCACTCCTCAATTCCAGTAGGCACCACTCATCACAGTCTGAATGGATGGATTCTCTGGAGTTATGCAGTGCACAGCCTATGAGAGTGTATACAGGAGACCTGAGTGGTGGTGGTATAGTTCCCCAAAGGAAAATTGAAGTGTTTGTTATGAGAAAAAGGAGGACCAGAAGAAAAAACAACACGTCCACCACAAATGAATTGACTCGAGTTAACAGCTGTGGGAGGTTGACATTATTTGATGTATCAGCAAGAGCTAGGCCTTCCCAGGCCTTCCTCAGCACTTGCTATCAGCCAGGCCTTCTTTACCTTGCAGCCACAGACACTGAGCCTTCACAGCGAGGTCGCCTGACAAAGCAACAACAAAGTCAGTCTGACAACCACTGGCCTGTGCCAATGCTGCCACTTAGTGGCCTTCATGGAAACCACACTATCCAGTGTGGGCTTGCCAGTCTGCCTTCTTCTTACCTTGTCCCTCTCCCTCCATTCCTTCCCTCCCCTCCCCTCCTCTGCCCTGCCCTCCCCTTCCCTCCTGCAATGCTGGAACTCCTCCTTCTTTGGTTTGGTAGTAAACCCTACCTATACCTTTCTTTTGGCTTGGAATTCCTCTCCTTGATCACTATTTGACCATCTTTATTGGTTATTGGTGTAAAGCAACATCATTTATTATTATTATCTGTCATGATTCTGAAGGTTCACTTATAGGCGGTCCACACTCAGGCAGGTGGTGGCTGGGGATGGAGTCCTCTTGAAGGCTTTCTTATTCACATGTCTGTTGGCTAGGACCTTAGCTGGGAATTTTACCCACAATGTCCACACATGGCCTCCTCATGTAGCCTGGGCTTCCTCATGGCATGGCGTCCAGGTCCCAAGAGTGAGCATCCTCAAACAGAGAGCTGGGCGGAGACTGTATTGCCTTTTATGCCCAGGCCTTGTTAGTCACGTGGCCTCACTTCCACCATATCCTTTTAGTTGAGGCAGTCATGAAGGTCTATCCAGGTTTCAGGGGAGGGGACATAGAGTCCACCTTTTGATGGGGGAGTGATGCAGTAAGAAGAGAAAGTAGGATGGGAGATATTGTAATGGGCATCTTTGGAAAATACAACATGCTTCACCATAACAAACAAGGCCCAACTAGCCAGCCATGTCATTCATAGGCCTGACTGGAGCTCAAACCTGGCAAACTGCACCACACTCTCTGGCCTCTGCACATACTGTTCCTTCTGACCAGAGGAATCCTCTTCACCCTTGGCTGCCAATTCTAATCTATCAGATCCACACTGAATGTTCGCTTCCTCCTGGAGGCTACTTCTGAACCCACTGTCCAGGGTGAGCAGCCATCTCCTCTCTGCCCACAGTACTTGTTCTTATCTCCCTCATAGCACTCATTGCACCTGTCCTGCAAAGGGCTAAACTCTACTTAGACAGGATCTTGCCTCAGGTGCCATTTCCATTTCACTGGCTCACCTCCCATCAACATTAGCTTTCAGGAGGTTTGAATTCACAATCCCCACAGTTGGTCCTCCTCTCACCAAAGGTGATGTGGGACAGCTGAGCCCCCAAAGTGGGGCTTAACCTACGAGTGTTCTTGCCTTCACCCAGGAAAGAACTCAAAGGTGAGCTGGTGGTATCAGAAAACAATCTTTCATTCAACAGTACTGCTCCTTGCAGAGCAGGGCTAACTCATAGGCAGTATGCCCTGAGTCAGCAAACTATAGACTCTTGGTAACTATTTATACTCATGTAAACCCACTTTCAATTACATGTAAATTAAGGAGTGGATCAATGCAAATTGAGGGGCAGGTTATTTATAGCTTTCTAGAAAATGAGTGGTAACTTCTGGGCCATTGCCATGGCATTTTAAAACTGTCATGGCACTATGGGAGTATCTTACGCTATGAGCAATGAGGGCAGCCAGGGATCACATTTGTCCCCATCTGCTGGTTCCTGCTGGTTTCTTCACTTGATCCTGTCTGGATCAGATCCTGTTTTGATCAGCAGGGTTGTGACCAGAAAACAAGCCCTGTTGGTCTTCTACCTCAGAGAGAGGTGGGATTTGAAGCTCTGTGGAAATAAGAGTCATTCCGGATTCTGAATGACCCTGATAAGAAAAGAAGGAATCAGGGGCCAGGCCCCTGAAAGCTGGGCTGGCAGGACTCACAAGGGGCAGGATGGTGTGTGTGACAAAATTGTTTTGGGTACCAGGGACCTTGCAACAGGGAGAGGTTGTGATACCTCCAGACTCAGAGAGACCTCCAGTGTGGGAAGCAAGTCTTTCTCCTCCTCATTTACTTTAGCTCTGGAACACCTTATAATTCTCTTCGCCTCACACTATGCTTCAAGTGTTCTTCCCCTTCCTCCTCTGCACCACCCTTTGGAGCACTGTCCAAATATCTCTTCCCAGAAGAAGCGCTCTCTAACCCACAGACATTGTCTACTCCTGTATTATGTGAATTTCTCCTTTGTAGCCTTTACTACATTTTAAATTAAATAATCTTTTGCAGTATCAGGTTTTTTTGTATATCTCATCAACTAAAATGTAGATTTGAGTGGAGGTCACTAAAAAAAAGCTTGCAGGGAAATCTAGAACCTTAAATTCTTTTTTTTTTTTTTTTATGAGAGGAAGTCTCACTCTGTCACCCAGGCTGAGTGCAGTGGTGTGACCTCAGCTCACTGCAATCTCTGCCTCCTGGGTTCGAGCGATTGTCCTGTCTCAGCCTCCCAAGTAGCTGGGATTACAGGTGCCCACCACCACGCCTGGCTAATTTTTATATTTTTAGTAGAGACAGGGTTTTACCACGTTGGCCAGGCTGGTCTAGAACTCCTGACCTCAGGTGATCCACCTGCCTCAGGCTCCCAAAATGCTGAGATTATAGGTGTGAGCCACTGCACCCAGCCTTAAATTCTTATATTGACTGTGTCTAACTGAAGATGTTAAAATAAGAACAGGATAATTTAAAAAATCTATTTATTAATTAATTAATTTATTTATTCTGAGACCAGCTTATGAGACTGGATAATTTTTGTATTTTTGGTAGAGACAGGGTTTCACCATGTTGCCAGGGCTGGTCTCCAACTCCTGGGCTCAAGTGATCCACCCACCTCAGCCTCCCAAAGTGCTGGGATTACAGGTGTGAGCCATGTGCCCAGCAAAGAACAGAATAATTTTTTAATGATGAGGAAGAACATAATGCAGATAAAAGGAAGCAATCAATGAAATAGCAAAAAGAAACAATAGAAAGGATTAACCAAACCAAAAGCTAATTTTTTTTAAGTATTAACACAGCCTCCTGCTGTTTGGCCGGGTTCCTAACAGGCCACAGACCACTTCACACATCCTTATAAAGCTCAGGTGCAAGCACACTGACACCTGGATTACAGCAAAAGACCCTGAAGCACAGACAGAACCCATCTGAACCATGCCCAGATAGTCAATGTAGCTGGTATGCTAAATAGCACATCTTAAGAAATAATTTTTAAGTAGCAAATTTTAGTCTTCCACCACTCTTTAAACTTTTTTGAGGGAATCTCCCACTGGATAAAAACTCAGCAGAATCCAAGGTTTTCTGCTTCCTTTGAGGATAGACAGACCTGCAGTCATTTACCATAAACATAGTATCTATTTAGTAATTAGAATACCAGGACCTAGATATTGACCCTACAATCTTCATCCAAAGTGAATAAATGAAGATTACTTCAACTCTCTAATCTTCAAGTCAATCTTCATTTGCTTCCTCTTCCGGCTGAAACAGAAATACTAGGAAGAGAGAGGGCAGGGTACAGTGTAAGATGTCATGTACATGTTATGTAAAATGCATACAGTGCCTGGGTTATAGAGTTTATTTGGGAGGTGATTCCAGGAAGCAGGGATGAGAGACTGGAGATAATGAGATAAAGAAGGAGAAACGCCAATGTAAGCAGGTGAAAGTAAGGTCCCTGCTATGGACAACAGGGATTTGATTCTTCCAATAACTCTGAGAAGCATATGGAATGCTCCCAGAATTGTCTCCTGGAGGACTAAATGTTAAGACATTTGTTCATCATTATTTCCAGTGGAACTGTCTGCCACCTCCAAGACCCAAGATCTCTATCCCAACAAAGTTAGGAACCGGGCCGCACAGCAAGAGGTAAGCAGCAGGCAAGAGAGCACTACTGCCTGAGCTCCGCCTCCTGTAAGATCAGCGGTAGCATTAGACCTCATACAAGTGGGAACCCTATTGTGAACTGCGCACGTGAGGGATGTAGGTTGTACACTCCTTACGATAATCTAATGCCCCCCAACCCTGTCCATGGAAAAATTGTCTTCCATGTAACTGGTCCCTGGTGCCATAAAGTCTGGGGACCACTGCTCTATGGGATCAATTAATCCTACCATACAAGGCATCAGCCTAAAACAGCCATCCTGATAGAAGTATGATATTGCTTAGTAAAGGCTCAGCTAAGGCAGAGGTTTTGGAATGACACCCTAAGAGTTTTGGGTGTTGTCCACCAGGATGTAGCTTATGTATGGAACCAGTGGCTGATATATGCTATTGTATCCTCAAGTGGCTGGAAACGAAGTGATGACAGTAGAATTAACCTGTTTCATCATCACTCCCACTTTCTGAATTTGTGCTTTCCATCCCTGTAACTTTTATTATTTATTTATTTATTGAGAGTCTCGCTCTGTCACCCAGGCTTGAAGAATTGGAAATTTTGTTTATTTAATAAAATTTCTGTTAAAATAGTGGCAAATTTTGGTGCTTTCTTTGCTTTTTTTTGGTTTCCCTTCACAGAGTATTTAAAATACATCCAGAAAATCTTAGAAAAAGCAGATTAATGTTAATATGTATGAAATTTCTTTAATTTGTAAAAAGTTAAATTCTGGTTCCTTGCAGGAACATGTATAGACAAGAGGTATGTAAGAATTTAGATGACATTGCAAAGCAGTGGGCAAAAAATGATGTTTTCAATAAATCATATCAAGACAAGTAGTTATATCTGAAAAAATATGAAAATTATATTTGTAATTCAAATATTACATCAAATAAATTAAAAATGGCTACTTATATTCTATCTTCACCTTCACATTGCTGGTAGACATTTGGTTGCTTCCCTCCACCTTTTTAAAAGTTATTATGATTGGCTGGGCGTGGTGGCTCACGCCTATAATCGCAGCACTTTAGGAGGCTGAGGTGGGCAGGTCACTTGAGGTCAGGAGTTCCCAATATGGTGAAATCCCGTCTCTACTAAAAATACGAAAATTAGCCGGGCATGGTGGCGGGCACCTGTAATCCCAGCTTTTTGGGAGGCTGAGACAGGAGAATCACTTGAACCCAGGAGGTGGAGGTTACAGTGAGCCAAGATTGCACCATTGCACTCCAGCCTGGGCATTGCAGCAAGACTCCATCTACAAAAAAAAAGATTATGATTAAAATCATTACGAGGAACATTCTTGATATGCATCTTTTTGTACTGATTTAATTATTTGATTAAGATGTTCCTAGAAGCTGAGTTGCTGGAATAAAGGACATGCAATCTTCAATTTTGGTACAGAATGTCTACTAGAAATGTCATAGGAATTATACTCCCACCCAACCTGTCTGGGAACAAATATTTTTTCCAAATTCATGCCAATACTTTATTATTCCGTTTAATCTTTGCCAAATTAGTCTGCCAAAAAAGTACGTAATCAAAAACTTTTTGCATTTCTTTGCTCTAGAGTATTATTGGCCATTACCTCATATGTATAGTTATGGCTCTTTTACAATTCTTCTATATTAATTGTCTTATTCATGTTCTTTTTTCATTTTTTAAACAAATTTGAATCCTCATCTTTACTGATTTCTAAGAGCTGTTAATAAATTGAGTCTATTTCCAATCCTTCTCATATATATGAAACCACTTTATTTTCTCCATTTATTTCTTTTTAAATCTATTTTTTTCTGAAGCAAGATTTTTTCAATTTTTCATAGCCAAATTGATCAATACTTTTCTCTACAGTGTCACTTTTACATGGCAATGAAAATAAGATAGAAAAATGTTCCCAATTAC
This sequence comes from Homo sapiens, assembly GCF_000001405.40. Taxonomy (NCBI): domain Eukaryota; kingdom Metazoa; phylum Chordata; class Mammalia; order Primates; family Hominidae; genus Homo; species Homo sapiens. The sequence goes on along the minus strand of NC_000020.11, from coordinate 46,515,546 downwards.
AAAAGTAGCAAAACATTTGAGACTATCTAAACTTGAATGAATAGAAATATATTCAATTTTCTTGATGACTAGGAAACTTTGCTTTAATAAATTTCAGTAAAAGAGCTTCCCTAGCAAGTAATGCAAAAATCACTTAGTCTGTGAGTTTGCTTTTAACATTTCAAATTATATGTCAATGTGAAATATATTGATTATAATGTGTGAGATGGGAATCTTAGTTTTTTACTCCAAATGGTTAGTGAGTTGTCCCACATCACTTTTTCAATAATCTATTTAACAATAAGCCTTTCTCAATGATTTGAAATGGCAGCTTTTCATATTATATTCTTGGAAATCATCTTTTGTTGGTGCTTAGCTAGCTATTGCTGTGTAACAAACCACCCAAAACTTAGAGGCTTAAAATAATAAAATTCATTATTTCTTGTAGTCTGTATGTTTACTGGCATCAGCTATATGATTTCATCTGGAGCTGAAGTCATCCAGGAACTTCACTGGCCTAGAATGTTCACTCATATGTCTGATGTCTCTAGGCAAGGATGACTGGAAGGCTGGGATAGCTGCATTGCTAGGAAAGATGGGCCTCTCTTTTTCCATGTGGTCTCAGGGCCTCTCACTTCCTACTTCTCCTGGTTTCTCCACTTGGTCTAACAGGTTAACTGCATGTCTTACACAGCGTCTAAGGACTCTTCAAAGGGCAAAGCTGAAGCTGCCAGGACTTTGTATGGCTTATTTCTGGAACTGGCACAGTGTGACTTCTGACGCATTCTTTTGGTTAAAGAGAGTCACAGAGTCAGTCAAAGTCAACGTGGGAGGGAAATATACAAGCCTGGAATACTGGGAAGTTTAGTTCATTGGGGGCCATCTTTGAAGACTAGCTACCACCAGTCGCTAATTGTTCTTTTCTGGAATTGAATAATAATACATTATAACTTTGTCAGAAACTTTCATGCCTTCCAATGAGTAAAGTTTTATAAAGTTCTATTTATTCAATATGTATACAATTCATATACAGTCATGCATAATATAAGAATGTTCCAGTCAACGATGTACTGCATATACAACTGTGGTCTCATAAGATTACAATACTGTACGTTTACTGCACCTTCCCTATGTTTAGATATGTTTACATACACAAATACCATTGTGTTACCATTGCATATGGTATTCAGGACAGTGACATGCCACACAGGCCTGTAGCCTAGGAGAAATAGGCTATACCATACAGCCTAGGTGTGTAGTAGACTATATTGTCTAGATTTGTGTAAGAACCCTCCATGATGTTCACACAAAGACGAGATTGCCTAAAGACACATTTCTCAGAGTGTATCCCCATCGTTAAACCATGCATGATTGTATGTATTTTCCTTGTGGATGTAAAACTATTTTCTATATTACTCACAATGTATATGAGATAATTCGTGGTATTAAAGTATATTAACTATATTGCTAATTTAAAAAATAACAAATTACTAGACCTATATGAGTTCCTCTTTGTAAAGCTGTCAGAAGAATGTGCACCTAATGTTAAACTCGGATATCTCTGGGAATTGGGGTTACGGCTAATAGTTCATTTTCTTCAGAGATATTCTGATTTATTTTCAACCTTCACGTATTGAAAGCCAGCAATGATTTTGTATCCTGTTTGGGAGAAATTTTCTGCAGGTCGTTAGTATTATATTCTGCTGGAATATCTTTAGCAGTCATTTTCATTTCGCAGAATTTTCCTTTCTCATCTATAGACTTCGGTGAAACGGATATGAAACTTTACTTTTCGTATTGATGATTCACAGCAGTCACCTAAACTCTGTAGTTAAAGCAGAAGCTCCTCAAAGATCCCTCAGGGTAGGGCGGTGGCCGCGACGCCTTCTGGGGACTGTGGTCCGGAAAGCCGGCGGGGGGCCCGGGAGAGCCCCGGGAAAGGCGGCCCGGGGGCCTTTCTGCGCATGTGCTGTTCCTGTTTTTTACCTGGACGCCCTTCCGGTTCGCCAGGCTCTTCCGGGTGAGGGTCCTGCAGCCCGTGAATCCCTGGTCCCGCCGAGACTTGGACCTGGTGCGAACTGGAGGCGAAGCGGGTGCACCCACAACCTATAGGAAGGGCTGGCGGCGAGCTCTGAGCACTCGGGCGTCGGAGGGAACGGTGGGGCCGGGCGGAGCGGGCCTCGGGTCTGCGGAGGGTGGACGCGCGCTCTCCCTGTCTTTGGAGGGAGGGTTTCCTGTGGTCGGGAGGCGAGGCAGCCAGGGCAGGATTGGGCTCCTGACCTGCAGGCCACGGGCGAGCTCTCTCTAGGGCCCTGATTTGCCCGAAGAAGGCGCTTGGTGAAGGTGAAAGGTTTACGCATCCAAGTAGCTAGAACCTCTTTCCAGAACTTCTGCTGATGCACTTAGTCTTGCAGCCATTGATTATTATAGCTCAGCAAAGTTCAGTTCAACTTTCGGAAGAAGGATGTGAGCTGGAATGGGCAGGGTCAAGATTTGACAGGAAAAGACACTTCACTGGAGGTATCTGCGAGAGTCCTGGGTTGGAGGGAAGGAGTACTGGTTATAAATAAGGAAATGATGTCTTCATCACTTCCTAAACACATACATGTCATTCCCTACCATCTCCACCCTCTGTTTATTCAGAGCTGCACCAACCATGTTCATCACCTCACCTGGGATTTACTGAGTTTACCCCTTACAGAGCTACACGATAGGGGTAAAGGAAAGACTAAAAACCAATTTATCTTATATTAAAATTACGACTTAGTAAATATTTTTTTCAGTAATGCAGTTTGCTAGTGACAGATCCAATAACTGAATTCTGGTCCTTTGAGTACCAGGTCAGGGCTTTTGTCATCTACCACATTTACGTTACCTACCACAAGAAGTTTCTTAGTAAAAGGTCCTCTTGTGAAACTGCAGCTAAGGGAAACCAAACTGTCAAAAAGACAAACACCTTAAAGCACTTTCATTCATTCTCTCTGGATTCTGTCATCTCAAGTGGCTAAACACATTAGTAGGAAAACAGGTAAGTGACATAATATCATTTTCCTATTCCAAGAAATCTTTTAATCCTAGAGTCCATTTTAATGCCAAAATAGTGTTCCAGGCTTTGTATATACTAACTTTCGTTGACCTAGTCTCCTATTAATTGGACTCAGACGTTTTCAATTTTTTTCAAAGGAGGCATAGATTGACAGTAATTCAGTAGAAAACATTTGTTGACACTCACTCAGTAAGAAAAGCTCTATGAGACCATTCTAGAACTATAAATGGACAAGTGAACGTTTCCTCAACATGTTGCTTCCTGAACCAGACTGGTCAAAGGGCCATGTTTTTAAATGGGTGTGTGGCTTTGTAGGTAATTGTAGAGCTGCTGTGTGAGCCAAATCGCTCATGATTCCATTCGCCATTCTTCCTTACCCAGCTCTGCTTTCAACACTCTTGGCCCTTTCTCAAGAGAACATGAAAATGAAAAAATTTCAGGTAAGTTGCTCAGGGATTTACTTCTCACATTATACAGTGAATTTCAAGAGGTTTAGAGTAGTTTGCAGATGAAACGAAATGTATAAAATTCAGCATCAGAGAAGAGTATTCGATCAATACTGGAAAAGTGGACATAGATATACAGAAATCATATATTCCTATAGAGTTACTCAAATGGTTCCAGAAAGGCCCAGACAATATGAGATAGCCCTTACACTGGATTTTTGTGTGGTTTTCCCATCATTTATATCTAAAAATTTTCTTGGATGATCTTTGAGTAAGTGAAGTAGAGACAGTTCTGCCAAAAACAGCTGAGAAAGAAATGGTATGGGTTTCCTGTGACTTCTATACCCAGGCAGAGCACAGTAATTACAGGGAACCAATCCAGTGTCATCCGAACAGGCAGCATTCTGATGGTTCTCTGTGATGTCTATGATCCAGTGATAAGACCTAGAATAAATGGATAAAACCTATAACAAATAAAATAGTGTTCCTCAAATAATGCCCCATAACTTTATTTCAGCTATACTTATAAAACAAGTTCTAGAGGGAACAATTCAATATTATATTCTGTAGGTAAAACTTCTTCATGTGCCTGTCTCATTTCAACCCACTTGATACAGTCTGGTGTCTGCCCCCACCACTCTGATGGATCTGTTCTGGAAAAATTTAGCAGTAACCTAAATATTTTCAAACCCAATGAGTATCTTTCAGTTCATACTTTACCAAACTCTTTGTTGCATTTGACAGTATGACTGCCCCCTCCCTAATAGGCACCTCTGATAATGTCTGTGGTATCACTCACATGATTCTCTTTGTAGCTCTGTAATCATGTCTTTTTTTTTTTTTTTTAATTGAGATGAGGTCTCACTATGTTGCCCAGGCTGGTCTCGAACTCCTGGGTTCAAGTGATCCTCCCACCTTGGCCTCCCAAAGTGCACTGATTACAGCTGTGAGCTGCCACACCCAGCTTGTAATCATGTCTTCTTTATATCTTTTATACAATCTTTTGTTTCATGAACATTGCTATGCCATTGTTAGCCCATTATTCTTTCTGATTTTTTTTCATGCCCTTTGTGGTTTTAACTTGTGAGTCTTTATGCTCTGAGGTATTTCTGCCTCTGAGGACCTCAGCTTGAGATTCTTGCTGAACATCTCTGTAAGGATGTCCAGAAGGCACATGGAGTCCTCATATCCAACATGGAAATAATACTTACAACTTGCTCAATGTGCTGCTGCTTCTTTTTTCCCTATCAGTGCTGCTTCCATCTGACCAGCGAGACAAGCCAGAAAATGAAGGCCATCTTTTTTTTTTTTTTTTTTTGAAATGGGCTCTCACTCTATCACCCAGGCTGGAGTGCAGTGGCACGATCTCAGCTCACTGCAAACTCTGCCTCCCGGGTTCACACCATTCTCCTGCCTCAGCCTCCCAGGTTCACACCATTCTCCTGCCTCAGCCTCCCGAGTAGCTGGGACTACAGGCACCCGCCACCACGCCTGGCTAATTTTTTGTATTTTTTAGTAGAGACGGGGTTTCGCCATGTTAGCCAGGATGGTCTCAATCTCCTGACCTCGTGATCCTCCTGCCTCGGCCTCACTAAGTGCTGGGATTACAGGCGTGAGCCATCGCGCCCGGCCTGAAGTCCATCTTAATTCTCCTTTTCCTCACGTCCTACCATACCTGTTTGTCGAGCTTGCTAATGTTGTCACATAAACATTTCTTGAATTTGTCCTTTCACTTCCATCTCCTCCTCTCCTGCCTCAGTTTCTCGTGGGTTGTCATAATATTAGTAGCTTTCTCAGCAGTCTGCTTGGCCCCTTCCTCTTCCCACCTCAAGGCTGTTCTTCACACTGACCAATTCCTCCAAAATGCCAACGTGATCATGTCTTAATACAGAAATGACTTAAGAGGTTCCACGCCACTTGCAGAATACAAGTTCAGCATCCTTGGTATGACCTGTAAGGCTATGTATGTCATGACCGTTTCCTGCCTCTTCTCAGTTCCTACCACTCTGGACCTTTCATTCAACAACTGTATATTGATCAAACAATTGTGTGTGATACGCTATGCTAGATGGTCTACATTCAGCTTGAATGAAGGAGATACTGTCTCTGTCCTCATGGAGCTCATGTGCTAGTGAAAGAGAAAGATATTACACAAGCAATTCAAACTGTGCTGAGGTGGTTCTCAACTCTGCCAGACCCATATCTTTTTACAGAACATACTTTCTTAGGAGCTATATTGGGATGCAAACCTTCCATATTCTGCCATCCCCTTTATCTCTCTTAGTTAATGCCACCCACCCACACCAGGCTGCCTCCTGTTTTAGACTTGGATGAAACCACACACCATGAGGTGTGGTACCAGCTTCCTGAGGGGCCAGATGGTGGAGCCAGATGATGCAACCTGGAAGTGTGCGCAAGTTAACTCACCGTGGGTGAACCTTGAATGAAGGGAAATGGAAAATGAGAAGGAGGTGGGCAGATGAATTCCCCATCCTTTCTCTATTCTGTGCACTATTTCAAGGTTAGTTTCTCCTGGTGGTCCTCCCAGAGATGTCCCATGTGCTGACCCACGTGCTGACCCCATGCTCCTGCTGAGGAAACTTGCCCCTCTTTGGGGCTTGTAGTGAGTTGGTGGGCAGCATGCTAATGCCTCTCATATCTCATTGTTTACATCCTTTCTTTCCTCCCTTCCTTACTTCCCTCACCCTCACTACCCCGGCTTGGAGTTCCCAGATGGAATGATGCAGACCAAGTCCTTGCCTTAGGATCTGTTTTCTAGAAATCCCAACTAAAAGCCATCCTCCCTTTATCCTATTTTGGAGATCATAGATAATACAACTTACTTGTGTAATTTTTAAAAAAATCAATAGAACTCGAATATAGAGGAAAAATAAAAAAGTAATTAAAAATGATATGTATCTTAATATAGACTTGCCCAGATAAAACTATAGTAAAAGAAGAGGAGTCTGGTGTTTATACAGATTACTTTTAGGTTAAATTTCTATGAACGTGATAATTACAAGTTCTCACTGATATGGGACTGATGTGTCATGATTCAAATACTGTACATAGCATTGCCATTTGTGATATTTTTCAAGAGTGAAAATCCCTGAAGTTCCAGTTCAAATCAAATACAAATTGTGCTTGATGTATCCACTATTACATTGAAGAAAATTTAATATACATAAAAAATATATAAAAATACTATGTGTTCAAGTGCCAAATGGAATAAGGTTCTAGGCTCAGATCATTATAAACAGGATTTTTCGTTTATATGAATATTTAAGATTAGAAAGTTATACAGGACTTGGGACATTTCTTTCCTGTAGGAGAAGGTCCTGCATGTTGCAGTGTCTCTACCATCCTTCCTTCCCTCTCCTTCCACCAAATGCCAACAGCATCCCACAGAACCCTGACAGGCAAAAATGTCTCCGCAGATGTGCCACATGCCCCTGATGGAAGGGACCACCCACATTGAGCCCCTCTGAAGAACGATGGTGGTCTGCATTTAGTCTCCTGAACATGCCCCAAATTTTACACTCTTGCTTTTAACCGTGTTTCTACTGTTTGCTCCTTGACTTTCTACCCCTTTTCTGCCTACATTGTGAACATAGCCAGGAGCCATCTCGTCACAGGACCCATTCCTGTCCTCATATTCTTTGTCCACAGACTATGTGTTTACAGAGCAATGCTGGCCCTCTTCTTTGCATTACATGTAGGGTCTGGTCATTATCTGTCTACCTCACAAGTAAGACTATTAGCCTTTAAAGGTGTAGGCACATGTCCTCAGTAGCCATATCCCTGCTCATAGTAGTACTCATCATTTCTTTTTTTGGGTAATCTTGTTTTGTGTGAAATGGTGAACTCTCCTCTGCTCTGAATGGATCATCATTCTACTTACAGTATTGCTTGCAGAATGGACCTGAGTCACCGGGAGAATCGAGTTTCTTTTTCTTTTGTCATAAGCACCTTTCAGTTTCTCACAAAGTGAACACATTTCACTGTTCTTACTTTGGACTTTCTGCTATGAAGTGCACTGGGTCTGCCTGAGCAAGTACAGAACTTTCTAGTGAGGGCTCTTCCCTGGCACTCTTTCTCCCTGGCGTTTTGTTTCTAATATTTTTGCCAGTCATTCTTTCTAGTCATTAAGACCTTATATGTCTATTGTTGTGCCTATAATTATGAGATACTCTTTATCTTCAGGAAGCTTATAGGTCCTTCAGAGGAAGTAATTCATGGAAGAAATAAAATGGATAATGTAACTACTTCTGGTTTAAGAGACAGTTAAGTGGTGATAGCGGGAAAGGCCTCATTAAATTACCTAATAAAATTTGTCAGTAGAAAGATGTATAGCAGATCAAAGAAAAGAAAGACGGGTGACCTAGGATGGTCATGTGGGTGAGGTGAGACATACAGCAGGCCAAAGCCCAGGTGTCTGCAGAGGTGGAGGCAGCATGCCTATTTTTTACTGCTTTATTTTTAAATACGAAGAATGAGAAAAATCATACACAAAATACCTGTGTTTCCTTCACCTCGCTTCCCCTGATCTTTCAAAACTATATTATAGTGATCAGAACCAGGAAATTCACATGAATACAGTATTATTATCTATCGTATTCAAATTCTGCTTATTATTTTCCATAATATCCTTTTTCAGTTCAAGGATCCAACCTAGGAACCCAGGTTGTGTTAAATGTCCTGTCTCCTTAGCCTCTTGCAACCCACGATGGTCCTTCTTTGTCACTTACAACCTTGACACTTTGCTGGCTAGTTATTTTGCAGGGTTCATCCTAGCCTTTTCTTTATTTCCTTTCCCCTTCCCCTTCCCTTTCCCTTGTTTTTCCTTTGTTTTCTTTTCCTTGTCTTTCCTCCCTCCCTTCATTTCTCCTTTCTTTTCCTTTCCTCTTTCTTTTCTTTCTTTCCTTTTTACTTACTTAAGCTTATTTAACTTACTTAATTTTTGAAACTGGGTTTTGCTCTGTTACCCAGGCTGGAGTGCAGTGGTGCAATCATAGCTCACTAAAGTCTTGACCTCCTCAGCTCAAGCAATCCTCCTGCCTTAGCCTTCCAAGTAGCTGGGACTACAGGCATGTGCCACCACTCCTGGCAAAAAAAAAAAAATTTTTTTGAGAGATGGGGTCTCACTATGTTGCCTAGGCTGGTCTTGAACTCCTGAGTTCAAGCGATCCTCCCACCTCAGCCTCCCGAAGTGCTGTGATTACAGGCATGAGGCACCACGCCTGGCCTACCATAGTTCTAAGAATCAAAACCGTATAGAAAGATATTTTAGAGAAGTGTCACTCCTTCTCATCTCTTCTACTCTGTTCCCATCCGTCCATTCTTTCCGTCTGTCTCCACCTCTCCCCTGAATGTAACCAGTTTCATGAGTTTCTGGTGTATCCTTTCCATAATTTTTTTTCACATGTAGTGGTTACATGTGGGTTTTTTTGTTTTTTTGAGATGAGGTCTTGCACTGTCACCCAGGCTGCTGGAGTACAGTGGCACAATCTGAGCTCACTGCAACCTCTGACTCCCAGACTCAAGTGATCCTCTTGCCTCAGCCACCCGAGTAGCACATGCCACCATGCCTGGCTAATTTTTTTTTATTTTTTTGTAGAGATGGGGTTTTGCCGTGTTGCCCAGACTGATCTTGAGCTTCTGAGCTCCAGCGATCAGCCTACCTCAACCTCTCAGAGTGCTGGGATTATAGGTGTGCGCCACCACACCTGGCCATGTGTGTTTTCTTACATCTCCTTTCTTACATAAAAGGTAATATATTATAGATATTCTTTAATACTTTGCTTTTTTCACTTCATATCAGTTCATGGAGACCTTCCTCATTATTTATGCTTTCAAATATTGCTTCTGATCACTGTGGTATCTCTCCTGTGAGCTCCAGAACCATATATCAAACTGCCAGCTAGATATCTGTACTTCTTTACTCAACAGACACTTCAAGCACAGCATGGTAAAGATCAGTGCCTTCATTTCCTATGCTCGATTCTCTTTTTTGTTTTGTTTTCCTAATCTCCACATATACTACTAGCGTCAGCCCAGCTGATCATGTGAAATAATATGCACATTACATCTACTGCACATCAAGTAGTGGTCAACTCTCCTTGCCTCCCGTTATGTAGGACTGATTCTCTCCTTCCCATTTCCCAGGAACTACCTGTGCTCATGTCCTGTAGTAGTGTCTTAGTTTTCTTCCCTTCTAATTTGACCTTTAAGCCAGTTTCCATTTTTCTAGAGTAGGGGACAGCAAATGTTTTCTTTAGAGGACAAGGTCAAAATTTTTGGCTTTGCTGGCCCTGTGGTCTCTGTTGGATTTCCTTGGCACAGCTGTTGTGACATGAAAGCAGTCATAGACTGTGTGTAACAAATGAGCGTGACCACGTTTGGCTCCCAGTGGCCTAGATTTTGCCCACGGACTGAAGTTTGCCAACTCTTATGCTCTAGAGCATTGTTTCAAAATACACATTTGGTCACAAATCTCCAGTCCTTGCTTACAAATAACTCTTTATGGATTTCCATTATTTATAACAGTGATCTCCAAAGTGGAGGATAGGGAGCACCCCAGCAATTCACTGGACTTCTATTCTTGTATTTCAGCCAAAAGAATGAAAAAATAATTAAGCTTTATTGATATTAGTGTATAGCTGGAACTCACTTGGAAATATACTACAATTCCTAAGTAAATGTACGTTAGCGTATATGCAAGAATGTTTTACTGATGTGCCGTACTATCTAAATTTCAAGACTACTAATTAGAGAAAAGAGTTCCTCTATTCTCTGACCTCTGTCCCGCTCCTCACTAACCTTTCCTGTGGAGAGATTGTAGTTCTCGAACTCCCCATATGTGTTTTGTGTCTGTGTATATTCTTAATGGCTACAGTCCTATAAAACATACTGTTTATATTTCAGGACTAAAATTATTATGCTCTCAAGGAAGGGGTAACAAAAATGGAGCAAGCTTTCTTCTTTTGTGATCACCCTTCATCTTGTGTATATGTCCAGCATTGCTCTTTAAAGATGTACATTTCTATTTTTGTCACCCTGTCAGAATGTATGCTCCTAAAGAGTAAGATTAGTATTTTATGTGATTAGTAATCCAGGCAATTGGAATAGCTCCAGGACATGGTATAAGCTCAGCACATTTTTAAAATTCATTTTAAAAAATGAACACAGTGACAGATTTTTAATTTTCTGCCCTCCCACAATTACATCTCTCTATAGCTTTCCATTAGCCATGGCAGTGGTCTTCTTATAGTTTATGTTACCATACATTTGATATCACTCAATTTTGGTCACCCAAGATTAAACATTTTCTTTCAGATACCAGTTTCATTCCAGGACCTGACTGTGAACTTCACCCAAGAGGAATGGCAGCAACTGGACCCTGCTCAGAGGCTCCTGTACAGGGATGTGATGCTGGAGAACTACAGCAACTTGGTCTCTGTGGGTAAGGACTATTTCCCTGTACAACTCCCAAGAGCATACATTTCTTCTGTGTTACAAAAACATGTTGATTTCTAGAATTTATTTAGCCCTGAGCATCAGGGGAGCAAGAAGATTAAACCCTTTTAGACAGTAGAAGTTTGTGTATGTATTCACTGCCCTTCCCCTACCCTTCACCAAAATGTTCTAGCTTTACTGAGCTATTGCTGGGCATCTTCATTGCACAGCTTCTGAAGCTGTACTTTCTTCATTCTTCAGAGTCTCTGATGTCCAAAGATCTTGGTCCAAGTTCTGTAATTTCCCATTAACAGGGTATCATGTTAGCAAACCAGATGTGATTTTCAAATTGGAGCAAGGAGAAGAGCCATGGATAGTGGAGGAATTCTCAAATCAGAACTACCCAGGTAAGTAAATGATAACTGAGCAGGTGGAACCAATGGAAATGAGAGTTCCATGGTGGTCGGTGGTAATAGTTGGCATCGTAATGTTTTTCATGAATTTCTTTTTGTTGGCCCAGACCTTTAGAAGTGATTGAGGTTGATTAACTGTCATGCTATGGACATCTGAAACATTCTCCCCAAATAAATAATTGAAATTTATAAAGATGTTTGCCATTAAGTTACCTATCCCCAAAATTCAAGTTCTTCTTTTATCACACCTTAAACTTTATTTCTGTAGCATTCTTTGTTGCCTCCCTTGCCCCACCCACCATTGTCATAGGCTTGGTTTATATTTCAGACATTCAGAGATCTGTCATGATCTTTTTAATTGTCTTCCATTTTTCTCTACGTCACTTAACAGAAATAACACGGTTTCCCTTTCCATTCTACGCTTCACCAGGATCCGGAGTAGGGTGAGGCAAACAAGGTGCCTGGCATGCAAAATTTAGGAAGACACTCAACTCTCAGGATTGCACAGGTGCCCTGGGTATCCTGCTTGCCTTCCTCTAGTCCCAGCTCTACTCAGCCCACAATCTTACTTCCCTTTGCACTGTACAAATTCGAGAGTTCCATGTCACTGCAAAAATTTCAGATTTACCTCTTCCTTCTTGTGTGTTTTGATAATAACTGACCATCTTTCTGATATCTGTTGTACCTGGTCTCACTGTATGACTATCTTTCTCTAAGTGCTTACTTGACTCTTGTCTGTTTTATTCAACACTCCATCAGCCACACTTCCAGCATACTTTGTGTACTATTCCTTGTGACTATTTACTTTTTCCACTCAATGTTTAGTAGTATTTGTAAAGTGTCAAAGGTACTTGTATTCTTTGCTAGTTTCCTCTTCCTTTCCCCCTGTTAAATAGTGGCTGGTATGGATGGATTTGCTTTTTTGTATTTTTTGTTTCTGTATTTCTTCAAATCAACCAAGTAAGAGATATTTGCACTTGAAATTTGTTTAATCTTGGAAGGCTTGGCCTGAAGTCTAACCCCTAAAACAATGCATTTCTAAGGAATTCTCATTTCATAGCAAACATATAAAGGCTCACCAATTACCGTTAATTGTGTTCCTTTTTCTAGACATTGATGATGCCTTAGAGAAGAACAAGGAAATCCAAGATAAACATTTGACACAAACTGTATTCTTCAGCAACAAAACACTGATTACAGAAAGAGAGAATGTATTTGGGAAAACACTTAATCTGGGCATGAATAGTGTTCCCTCAAGAAAAATGCCCTATAAATGTAATCCAGGAGGAAACAGTTTGAAAACTAATTCAGAAGTAATTGTTGCAAAGAAAAGCAAAGAAAACAGAAAGATTCCTGATGGATACAGTGGATTTGGGAAGCATGAGAAAAGTCATTTGGGAATGAAAAAATACAGATACAATCCAATGAGGAAAGCCAGCAATCAAAACGAAAATCTTATTCTGCACCAGAACATTCAGATTTTGAAACAACCGTTTGACTATAATAAATGTGGGAAAACCTTCTTCAAGAGGGCAATTCTCATTACACAAAAGGGGAGACAGACTGAAAGGAAACCAAATGAATGTAATGAATGTAGGAAAACCTTTTCTAAGAGATCTACCCTCATTGTACATCAGAGAATTCATACAGGGGAGAAACCGTATGTTTGTAGTGATTGTAGGAAAACTTTTCGTGTGAAGACAAGCCTCACTCGACACCGAAGAATTCATACTGGAGAGAGACCCTATGAATGCAGTGAATGCAGGAAAACCTTCATTGACAAATCTGCCCTTATTGTACACCAGAAAATTCATGGAGGGGAGAAATCCTATGAGTGTAATGAATGTGGAAAGACCTTTTTTCGGAAGTCAGCCCTGGCTGAACATTTCAGGTCACACACAGGGGAGAAGCCTTACGAATGCAAGGAATGTGGAAATGCCTTCAGCAAGAAATCGTATCTTGTTGTACATCAAAGAACTCACAGAGGAGAGAAGCCAAATGAATGTAAGGAATGTGGGAAAACCTTCTTCTGTCAGTCAGCCCTTACTGCGCATCAGAGAATTCACACAGGGGAAAAACCCTATGAATGTAGTGAATGTGAGAAAACCTTCTTTTGTCAATCTGCCCTCAATGTGCATCGAAGAAGTCATACAGGAGAGAAGCCCTATGAATGCAGTCAATGTGGAAAATTTTTATGTACGAAATCAGCCCTCATTGCACATCAGATAACTCATAGAGGAAAGAAGTCTTATGAATGTAATGAATGTGGGAAATTTTTCTGCCATAAGTCAACACTCACTATACATCAGAGAACACACACAGGAGAGAAACATGGTGTGTTTAATAAATGTGGTAGAATCTCCATTGTGAAGTCAAACTGCAGTCAGTGTAAGAGAATGAACACAAAGGAGAATCTTTATGAGTGTAGTGAACATGGGCATGCCGTCAGCAAAAACTCACACCTCATTGTACATCAGAGAACTATATGGGAGAGACCATATGAATGCAATGAATGTGGGAGAACCTACTGCAGGAAGTCAGCCCTGACTCACCATCAGAGAACACACACAGGACAGAGACCCTATGAGTGTAATGAATGTGGGAAAACCTTCTGTCAGAAGTTCTCCTTTGTTGAACATCAGCGAACTCACACTGGGGAGAAACCATATGAATGTAATGAATGTGGGAAATCCTTCTGCCATAAGTCAGCCTTCAGAGTCCATAGAAGAATTCACACAGGAGAGAAACCATATGAATGTAATCAATGTGGGAAAACCTACCGTCGCCTGTGGACTCTCACTGAACATCAGAAAATACACACAGGAGAGAAACCTTATGAATGTAACAAATGTGAGAAAACATTTCGCCACAAATCAAACTTTCTTTTACATCAGAAATCCCACAAGGAATAAGTTCCAACAAAGTAATAAATTCCAACAAAGCAACAAATCAAATAACTTACACAATGCTAAACTGTGAGTATGTATAGAGGAGTAAAATCTTATAAATGTAATGAATATGGAAAATTTTTCTGCCATAAGTCAACCCTCAATGTAACATCAGAGAAATCATGTAGGAAAGAAATAATTTGTTTAATAAATGTATTATTCATTGTGAACTATGAAAATATTCAACAGCAATTCAAAGGTTATGCCAAATGTGCCTCCCTTTTAAAATAATGAAACAAACATTGTTTAAGTTAAATTGTTACTTGGTTCCTCCCCACAGTGTTACTTGATAGTGTATGTTACGAGGTGTGAGGATCTGACCTTCATTTCAAATCAATACCATTGTTTGATAGTTGAGTAAGTTACAGTTTCTCAATTTATGGTGTATTTTCAGATTTGGCAGATTTTTTGTTGTCTGCTAACTCCATAGTCTTCTAGTAGTGGACTGTATACCTTTATCTGCAAAGGTGACAACTCAGGAGAACTAACCATTGTACTCTATGCACCCATGGTAATTATACCCCAGGTGAGCATTTTGTAAAGCTGAGCCAGTGAAAGCCCTTCCTAAGACCTTTCTAATGGAAGATAGGCACAGGATAACTAGTTCATGATCCTGAAGCTTTCAGCTAAGTCAAGAAGACGGCAATTGCAGTAGGAAAAACATGGGAAAATAAGCATTCTTGAACAACAAAGAGAATTTGGATGATGGTTGAATCCAAAAAGTGTTTATTTCTCTGGTTTTAGTATTCTGTAATATCCACTCAACCCCATCTACCAGTGGTTTATGTCAATTAGTATGTTTTCAAAAATCTCTTGGATTTCCTAATCAACATGTTCATTAGAGGTATTGTTTAGAAGTCACTGATCAAATTCTGAGAACAAAAGGCGCCTGGGATGCTGATTAGGATTACATTATATGGATATATATGATGAGGTAGGATTGCCACTTTTATGGGGTTATTGGGAAATGTTTACCTTTCAAGTTCTGATTTCCATGAGTGGGATTTTCCCTATACCCATTCCTAGCTTCTCTGCCACATTATGCATTCTGCCCCAGGCATGAGGAAGTGGGCTTATCTAGTTGGTAAGATAGTGATGGGTAACTGGGTTTGCTCAGCTGAACTCCCTCTTCATTGTGGGCTGACCTGCAAGTATAATTTCTTGTCACAGATATTGCCTGTGATTGGTAAATTGGTCTAATTCTGTCATTCAGCTAATTGGCCCATTAGCTGAATGGTCACACTAAGTTGCATCCTCCAACTCAATTTGATCAGTAATAAAAGTTTCATCCTGCCCCCTGTCTGCTACTTAATTTTTTATCGTTTAGATGGGGGGAAATTGTGCTATTTATTTGGGGCCCTTCAGAGAACCCAATATGAACATGATTTATCTATTTATTCAGTTTTTATGTCCTTCAGGACAGATAAATGTATGTATACACACATATACATGTGTTAATATATGTAAGTATATACATATGTTTAAATGTATGTGTATGTGTATACTGATCTTGCTCTTTTCCTGTGAAATGTATTAATAGTCACTTCAAAGATTTGGTTGCTATTGTGAAAGAAATTAAGTTACCTTTCACTTTGAAACTAATAGAGTAAAGAAAAACAAAAATACCTAATTTTTGTGCCAAATTTGTCTAAATTTATCTCTTAATGTTGGAACAATTTTTTCAAATCTTACGGAAAATGTAAATTCACAAGTCCAAGAAGTTTAATGAACCCCAAGCAGGATAAAAATGAAGAGCACAATAAGACACCAAATTTCAAGACATAAAGAAATCAAAACTAGTTTAATAAAGATTATCTTAAAAGTAGCCAAAGAACAAAGACATGATATAGAGGGTGTATTCATCTCCTAGGGCTGCCGTAACACAGTACCTCAAACTGGATGTTCTAGAACAACAGATACATCTCATAGTTCTGGAGACCAGAAGTCAGGTTGGGGTGTTGGCAGGGCTATACTCTCTTCTGAAGGATCTGTTCCAGGCCTCTTCCCTAGCTTCTGATAATTCTGTAGCTTGTGGCAGCATAACTTCACATGGCATTCTTTTTTTTTTTTTTTTTTTTTTTTTTTTGAGACGGAGTCTCGCTCTGTCGCCCAGGCTGGAGTGCAGTGGCAGGATCTCGGCTCACTGCAAGCTCCGCCTCCCGGGTTCACACCATTCTCCTGCCTCAGCCTCCCAAGTAGCTGGGACTACAGGCGCCCGCCACTACGCCCGGCTAATTTTTTGTATTTTTAGTAGAGACGGGGTTTCACCGTTTTAGCCGGGATGGTCTCGATCTCCTGACCTCGTGATCCGCCCGCCTCGGCCTCCCAAAGTGCTGGGATTACAGGCGTGAGCCACCGCGCCCGGCCCTTCACATGGCATTCTAAGTGTGCATGTTTGTGTCCAGATTTCCCCTTGTTATAAGGATACCAGTCATTGGATTAAGGGCCTGCCCTCCTCCAGTATGACTGCATCTTAAATAATTACATCTGCAACAATCCTATTTCCAAATAAGGTCACATTCTGAGGTACTTGGGTATAGGAATTCAACACACATTTTGGGGAGACAATTCAACCCCATAACAGGTTAATGTATTATTTATTGTTGTGTAACAAATTATCCCCAAAATTAGCAACTTAAAACAGTAAACATTTACTATCTCATTGTTTTTGTGGTTTAGGAATTGTAGAGTAACTTGGCTAGGTGGTTCAGGCTCAAGGTCTTTGAGGTTGCTGTCAAGATGTTGACCAGGGATGCAGTCATGTAAAGACTTGACGGGGCTGAAAGATCCACTTCTACCATGGCTCTCTCCCACAGCTGTTAGCAGGAGACCTCAGTTCTTCATCACATGGACCTCTCCATAGGGTTTCTTGAGTTCCTCACAACGTGGCAGCCGGCATTGATTCCTCAGAATGAGTGATCCAAAGCCACAGTTTCCCTTATAACCTAGCTTTGGAAAACTATCACTTTCACTGTACTTAATTGGTCACACAGACCAACCTTGATATGTTGCGGAAGGGTATCACACAGGAGCCTGAGTACCAGGAGGTAGAGACCTCTGGAGCCATCTCACAGGCTAGCTACCAGAGGCAACCACCATAAGAATGCAGTGGTTTCAAGAAAGGTGAGAGGAGACGCGCTGAAAACAGTTAATACAAACAACCCTTTCAAGAAGTCGTACTAAAGGCAAGAGAAATGGCATTGTAGCTCGAGAGTAAAGTGTAGTCAAAGGAGGCTTCTTTCTAGAGATAGAGATAAATGCATGTTTATACACTTAAGGGAAATGTTCCATAGACGGGGAAATCTTGGAATAATGTTCTGCATAGGTGAGATAGGTCGGAATCTATGTGTAAGGGGGAAAGGTAGCCTTTTTAAGAAAATAGGCAATGGTCATGCCATGCTGGCTCACACATATGGGTTGATGTGACAGAAGTTTGTGAATTTATTTTAGAATTGTTTCTATTTTTCAATGAAATGGGGAATAAGATTATATGAGAGAATGAGAGAGTTTTATAAATTGGTGTTATTGATATGACACATTTAGTTTCAGTTTTGCCAGATTATTTTATCTTCCCATTTGTCTTTCACTACAGTGTTGTGGAGCATTTGTATTTTTGTTCTGTCAGTTACTAATATACTGATATCTTTATATAATGCCTTAATATCCCTGTTATTTGCAGGGAATAAGGGGGAAGATAGTATATTAGTTTCTTACTGTCAGTCAATAATGAAATTAGTTGGTAATCTCTTCTTCCCTCTTCTCTTCCTGTTCACCTGGAGTCTAATTTAAAAGATAGCTTATTCTTTAAGATGGACATATCAGTCTCTGAATTATTATATGTTAACGGTTTGCCTATGGACTTTATGTATATTTGAAGATCAGTCTGACTGGTTAGAAAATCTCCAGCTAACTTTCTTTGCATATCCTAAAACACATTGTTCCATCGTATCTAGACCAAGTGTTATTCTTCAGAAGCCTGATGCTCCTGGATACTCTGTCCCTCCAGAACCACTGTCTACCCCACTCCTCATGCTTGGGGCAGACCTCTATGAACTGCATCAGCTGAGGTCTCTTGCCATCAGGTGTCTGGTTGAGACCTTATTTGTGGCCCTCTTCCGCAGCTAGAGCTATTCCCAGATCCCAAAAGTCATTTCCTTCCTGCATCACTTAGAGTTCAATCAGAGCAGCAGAGCCATATGTATGTTCTGTAGATGACAAATTTGTTATCAAGATTTGACTCCAGGCTATTACGGGAAGGCTGTTATGTGACTGTCCTCATGGCTGATGCTGGTACTTTAATTCTGCAGGCCAAGCAAGTAGTGAAAGTGAACACTAAGAGAATAAAGACAAGCTGGAACCCACAGACAAAGCTGTGGCAGTTTTTACTGTCTTCTACCTAAACGATGTGGGTGTCCTACAGAGGTTGGTGCCATTTGTGGTGTTGCTAAGCACACACCTAGCCCAGGAGCTGAAAGAGCTGGAGGAGATCCTGGGGAAAGGAGAGCAGCCACAGGCTCATCTACTGAGCCATGCCAACAAGAACCAGCAGGTAAGAAATGTGTCGGGTGCAGAAGCCTTGCTAAGCATAAAAGCAAGATGATTGCTCCTCTGCGAGCACCCTCCAGATCTCACGCCAAAATGTCGTCTGTGACCCACCCTCACTGGAAACATACAGGGAAGGGAGTTCTAGGGAACATAGAATCAGCTAAGCCAAAGTGACAGATTTCAAAGGCACCACCCTCCTGCTTTCCCTTCAGGGCTAAGGATGGTAAATCCCTTGTTGGTTTCCCACAACCCTTCCCACACTTTTGTAAAGAGTCTCTTCATTCAATTTTCTTTCACTCCTTTCAAATGAGCTATTTCTTGATGGGACTGATTCTGTAAGTGGTACCAGAAATGGCCCCAGGAAACAGATCCTCAAAATGAAAATGAGATTCTGGGGAGTGGAAGAGGCCATGCAGCAGCACCTCACCTTTGGAAACAAAGCTGACACTGTTACAGCATGCCTTAGGAAAGACTGGTAATCAGGTTTGGGCCTGGCAGTACAGCTAGTGCGTCATGGAGACCGTATAATGAAAATGGGCTTTCTTCGAAGGAGCAGCTTGACATATAGGTGAACAATTTCTGGGTCTCCTAGGCAGAAGTATGACTTATGGGATTATATTGGGAATTCATAGCACCTTACTCAACTTTGAGACTTAAGCCAATTCCTAGACCTGAAGTGGCTTCAGGAAGACCTTTTAAGAAGGTTCCTGCAATGTAGCCATAGAAGCATCATGCAGATCTTCCTCCAGACCTTCCCAGGGGTATCTGTGGTCATTTACCACCGTGGCCATGCATGAGGGAGAAGGACATACCCAGACCTCCATGGGGATTTGGATATTGGCTTTGATTATATGAATTCTTGCTGTTCCCAAGCACTACAGTGGCCTATGATCAGAGTGGAGACTTATGAAGGTCGGGAGATAGATGAGTCTGGGCCTGAATCCAACTCCCAGAGGGTTTGCTTCTGCCAGTGGAAACACACGTGCATCCCATGGTTATTTCCTCAGTCCCAGAATGCACAGTGGAGACAGACTTAGTGGCAGAATCCTCATATTGGTTCCCTGACAATGGAGAAAATACTCTTATACCCCATGATAATTTAAAAGTTATCCAGGCCAGATATGTTTTAGGTCAAAAGGTGGGGGATAAGAGATAGGTCTCTGCATCAAATCACTGGCTAGTATTGTTTATATGAGGTACATGGATCATATTCTGTGCTGACTCCAATTTTGCATTCTATGGAAGTTATCTTCAGAGATAATTTAATCTTTAAAAGGGTTAAAGCATTTATTCAACAGCCAGTTGTCTTGTGTCCCCTCTTATGAAGTCAGTGATTGAACTTAGGACCCACCCTAATCTAGTATGATTTGATCTTGATTACATCTTCAAAATGATCCTAGTTTTAAATAGGGTCACATTAATGAGCACCGGCAGTTAAAACCTCAACATACCTTTAGGGAGGGATTCCATTCAATCCACAAACGCTCTGTTAGATTTATATCTCCTCAAATATGTGAGAATGAAAATATAAGGAATTATTAAATGCAAAAGATGCATCATTTACATTGGTGTGCAGATGATATTTTGAGCCTAAATTGAAGTATTTAACTTCTCTCTCCATCTGTTATTTTTGCTTAAACAATAGAACTGTTATGTGATTTTAATATTAAAACCCCAATGAAAATATAAAACTTTCTGCTGAAACTTTCCAATGAGAATGTTATGA
Source organism: Homo sapiens (assembly GCF_000001405.40). Lineage (NCBI taxonomy): Eukaryota > Metazoa > Chordata > Mammalia > Primates > Hominidae > Homo > Homo sapiens. The sequence continues at coordinate 46,494,988 of NC_000020.11, read as the reverse complement.
ATAGCCTAACATTTACATGATGGCTATTCTTTTATCTTTTTTACAAAACTGGAGACATTGGGTTTAGGAATTAGTGACAGCGCCTAGGAAATATGGCAGAGATACAAAGAAGAAAGTGTTAGATGTCAATGAAAAATTTTTGAGTTTAGTGATGGTGAATTTGGGATATGAGGCTTTTCAGAACAAGTTGTTCTGGTGTGTCCTAGGAAACTTTTCTCACTCTAGACTTTAGAGTTAGCAGTTTGACCTGATAGGAGCTGTGTTGGAAAGTCTTCGTGTATTTGAAACATATGAAATGGCTCCTGTTTAACTTTAACCCAGGATATTAAGGACCAAAATTAGGGATGACAGGTCCCATGTATAATTTTTGTCTTTATCCCAATAGCCACTCCCATTTTTATAATATTCATAACAATATTTTCTTTGTACTGAGCTAAATTATTTCAGTTGCATTTTTGGCTTATATTTAACTTGAGATCTATAAAACTGATGTGTCTGTTATTTGTAAAAAGTGAGCTATATATACACATACACCTTTCCTTAGAGATATAAACGTACTGATGCCTCAACACACAAGTAATGAGGCAGATGGAAAGGAAGCACACCTGGGGATTATACAACACTTGAGCTCTGTGGCAGCTCCTGTCATATCTGAGAAAGCAAAGAAAGGTGAGAGCATGAAGAAACTGAATAGTGTCTATGGATTGAGGCCAATCCTAACTATGCCCATCCCACTTGGCTAAACACAGGCAAGTTGCCACCGACGTTTATGAGAACAAATTTGGGAAAGTAATTCGACTTCTATACAAGGCTCAAATGTATTCAGTATTACATGCTAGTGTTAGCATATACTAGAAAGCTTAGCATTTAAGACATACAACAAGAAATCAATTTCAAATAACATAATATTCCCAGTAATAGGTTCTCCATATTCTGAATCTAAAGCCTAGAATTGTTGCAATTTTTCCATTTCTTCTTGATTCTCTAGAAACATATAAGAATGGTGCAAACTATTCAGGGAGGCTGGGTGTCTTAGTTATATCCACTTATTTTTTGGCTTTGAGACAGTCTCGCTCTGTCACCCAGGCTGGAGTGCAGTGGCATGATCTCTGCTCACTGCAACCTCTGCCTCCTGGGTTCAAGTGATTCTCATGCCTCAGCCTCCCTAGTAGCTGGGATTAAAGGCGCACGCCACCATACCATGCTAATTTTTGTGTTTTTACTACAAAGGCACCACGCTCCTGCTTTCCCTTCAGGGCTAGGGATGGTAAATCCCTTGTTGGTTTCCCACAACCCTTTCCACACTTTTGTAAAGAGTCTCTTCATTCAATTTTCTTTCACTTATTTCAAATGAGCTATTTCTTAATGGGACAGACAGGGTTTCACCATGTTGGCCAGGCTGGTCTCAAACTCTTGACCTCAAGTGATCCACCCACCTCAGTCTCCCAAAGTGCTGGGATTACAGGCGTGAGCCACTGCGCCCGACCATTTAGACAAGACAGCAGAAACCATCTTGACCACAGACCCAAGACCTTTGGATTTCTCATGTTACCCCTCCTAACTCTTTACCCTTTAGTTCAGATCCATGATCAGCTTTTTGCTTTTCACTGTCTACTAGCAAAAGTTCTCCAAAACTTCTAATTCACCCAGAAGAGATGGCTTTTGTTTTCCTTACTTACGCTTAAATTAGGGTTGCATCATCTAGCCTATAAAAGTTTGCATCTTTAGATAGCTGCCTCTATTTGTTAATCCAGTGAAAGTAGATTATGGACAAACAGCAAAATGAATGTTCACTGTAGCCTTCTAGCTGCCTCTTAGCTTATCACTGCTTACCACAGGAAATGCCTTATCCAATTTCAAATTTAGTTGAATACATTTAACAGTTTTTTTTTTTTTTTCTAAAGACAGAGTCTCACCCTGTCACCCAGGCTGGAGTGCAATGGCACGATCTCAGCTCACTGCAACTTCCGCCTCTGGGGTTCAAGTGATTCTCCTGTCTCAGCCTCCCAAGTAGCTGGGATTACAGGTGTGCACCACCACGCCCTGCTAATTTTTTTTTTTCTATGTTTAGGAGAGATGGGGTTTCACTATGTTGACCAGGCTGGTCTGGAACTCTTGACCTCATGAACCACCTGCCTTGGCCAAAGATTCAAGTCAGTGCAATAAAAAAAGTACATTTCTGATCACATCTCCATTTCTTCAACATTTACATATTTATATTTCCAAGATACTCCATACAGCATGAATCCACGAAGAATTAGGCTTCGACTAAGATTCTTTCTACATTGATCTCGAGTTTAGCAAAGGGTAAGTCATCTCTAAATATCCTTCTTCACCTTCCTCTTTTTTTAGGGTTTCTTTTTATTGTGAGTTATCTGATGTCGAGAAAGCTTTGAGTTTAAGCTAAAAGCTTTTCCACATTGATTACATACAAAGTGTTTCTCTCCTGTATGGATTTTCTTGTGTTTACTAAGATTTGAATTATTGTTAAAACATTTTCCACATTCACCACATTCATAGGGTTTCTCTCCAGTATGAATTTTTTTATGTTGATTAAGTTTCCAGTTAAGGCGAAAGGTCTTTCCACATTCATTACATGTAAAGGGCCTCCCTATAGAATGGGTTTTCTGATGTTTAGTAAAGTTTGACTGATATTTAAAGGCTTTTTCACAAGTTGTACATTGGTAAGGTCTCTCTCCTGTATGAGTTCCTTTATGTTGTGTTAGATCTGACAGACGGACAAAGGTTTTTTTACAACTACTGCAAATAAAAGGTTTCCTTCCAGTATGGATTTGTTGGTGGCGAGCAAGATCCATGCGCTGGGCAAAGGCTTTCTTACATTCATTACATGGAAAGGGCTTCTCTCCAGCATGAGTTTTCTGATGTTTGTTAAGATTTGAGACGCTTTTAGAGGAGTTTTCCTTTTTATTGTGAGTTCTCTGATGTCGAGAAAGCTTTGAGTTTAAGCTAAAAGCTTTTCCACATTGATTACATACAAAGTGTTTCTCTCCTGTATGGATTTTCTTGTGTTTATTAAGATTTGAATTATTGTTAAAACGCTTTCCACATTCACCACATTCATAGGGTTTCTCTCCAGTATGAATTTTTTTATGTTGGTTAAGTTCCCAGTTAAGGCGATAGGTCTTTCCACATTCATTACATGCAAAGGGCCTCCCTATAGAATGAGTTTTCTGATGTTTAGTAAAGTTTGACCGATATTTAAAGGCTTTTTCACAAGTCGTACATTGGTAAGGTCTCTCTCCCGTATGAGTTCCTTTATGTTGTGTTAGATCTGACAGACGGACAAAGGTCTTTTTACAACTACTGCAAATAAAAGACTTCTTTCCGGTATGGATTTGTTGGTGGCGAGCAAGATCCGTGCGCTGGGCAAAGGTTTTTTTACATTCATTACATGAAAAGGGCTTCTCTCCAGTATGAGTTTTCTGATGTTTATTAAGATTTGAGATGCTTTTAAAGGATTTCTCACAAACATCACACTTGTGGGGTTTCTCTCCTGTATGAGTTCTTTGATGTAGAATAAATTTGGAGTACGGATTGAATTCCTTTTTGCAATAATTACATGTATAATATTTCTTTCTAGTATGAATTAATAGATGTTGAGTTTTTTCTGAGAAACGGTGAAAGGTTTTTCCACAAAAGTTACAGGAAAAGGGCTTCCTTTGAGTATGAGTTTTTTGATGCCGAGTCAGGTTTACTCTGTTGCCAACATGAAATCTCTGATGTATAGAGAGGGATGAGAGAAACCTAAAGGCCTTTTGACATACATCACATTTGTATGGCTTCAGTCCACTGTGCATGCTCTGATGTTGAATAACCTTTGAAGGTCTGTTAAAAGTTTCACCACATTGGTTACATTCAAAGTGTTTATATAGTGTACATATTCTCTGGAGCATTGTAAATGATGAGCGATGCCTAAAGCCCCTTGTATTTTCACCATATTCGTGGGTTTCCCCTACCTTATGGATTTTCTGATGTCCAGTAAGTTGTGACACATGCCCAAAAGCCATGCCACAGTCATCACATTCATAATGCTGGACAAAAGTACGATGTGTTCGGTATTCTCCATGGTGAAAGCTTTGTCTGAAGGCATTCCCAGATTCATTGAGGGCACGAAACGTTGCCAATGCTGGTTGACATGCTAGTAGGAAAACAATATGAGAAAAAAAATCAGAACTGGACACTGCAACATACATCAAGTTAATTAGGAAAGCGAGGGAAAGAAGAGTGCAGTGACTGGAGACTTTAGAGGGGTAGGATGAGAAGTAGGAGTTTGTGGAGGTGGAGAGGCAGAGAATTGTTTCTCCACGTACAAGAATGATTTAAGTGATCAACAGTGGCCATTGAATTTTTTTCTATTTCTTTAAACTTGAAATAATTATACTTGTGATTGTAAAAATGGCTGAATGAAATTTTAATAACCAAAACAGAAAAGCTTAAAGAACCTAAAAAGAATCACGTGAAATCCTAAGCATGGATTAAAGTTTTGTTTCCATTAAGGCCCTTTAAAATATTTCTGTGTGGTATAGCAATTTGTGAAAGTGATTACACTTTAAATATTTTCCTTTGAACATCAGAATTGGGGATACTTATGAGTAAATACACATCTGTCTTATCAATTTGATATTGAATGTTTTACTGTGCGACAGGGTCATTATTGATTGGGCCGATGCTCTATTTGGATATTTGAGTTGTACTTATTTTTGTTGTTGCTAAGAACATTAAGAACAATCTTAAATCTACATCTTTGTTAATTTGAAATATATTCTAGTATCGATTCTTAGAAATGAGAGTTCCCAATTATATTTTTGGTATATACATGCACTGCACTGAAGTTCTTATATTGCATGAACACACCATTATTTTCCAGTATCTTGATAACCCTAGACTATCAAACTTACCTTTATATAAAACTGTGGTGTCATGAGTTCTAGCACTTTTTTTGTAATAAAAACATCTAGAAACTGGTTAACTGCAGAAAGAAATTTGAGCATTCCTACACACATACGAATTATAGATTGAGCATTTCTATATACATACAAAATATAGTAGATATGTTAATACAGACAAAAAAATCTGCCACTGATAAGATGGAGAACCAGCACAGGTTTCTGTTATCTTCTTCATTCTAGTCTGAGATGCTACTGAAGTGCTTAGAAAAATGTATAGATATAGTGGAATATTTATAAATATACATGAGTAATATTTTCAAAAACATAAATATTTCAACATGGGACAGAATCAGTGGTAATAAAAGGGACAAAGTGGGAACAGTTGGTTTGAAGATATGGTTTTTAATTTTTTTTTTTTTTTTTTTTTTTGAGAGAGTCTGTCACCCAGGCTGGAGTGCAATGGCATGATCTTGGCTCATTTCAAGCCCCGCTTCCCAGGCTCAAGTGATTCTCCTGCCTCAGCCTCTCGAGTAGCTGGCCATGCCATCACATCCAGCTAATTTTTGTATTTTTAGTAGAGACGGGTTTCACTATGTTGGCCAGGCTGGTCTCAAACTTCTGACCTCAAGTGGCCTGACCGCCTCAGCCTCCCAAAGTGGTGGGGTTACAGGTATGAGTCACCACACCCACCCTGAAGATATGTTTAAATGAACTTAATGGTTGGCATTTATAGCAAAATTACATAGCCAAAGATGAAATAGCAGGTTGGAGAATTCTTTTAGAGGGAAGGAACTGGAGAAATAGAATATATAAAAGAGAAGTCAGGATTAAAAGAAAGTACTACCATCCATTAAATGTGAGTCCTATTAAAAATGTGTAGAAGATTTACCAACTTCATCATGTTGGTACTGGGCATCTGGGCAACTAGAGTCTCTGAAATAGAGGGGGAAGGGGGTCGGGGGCAGGGACGAGAAAAATATTTGAAGAAATAATGGGCAAAAAATTCTCAAACACAGTAAAAGCTATAAACTCACAGATCCAAGAAGCGCAAATCACACAATAAGAAACATGAAGAGAATTACACTCAGACACATTATAAAGAAATTGTTCAAAGCCAGTGATAAAGAGAAAACTGTAAAAGCAACCAGAGGGGGGAAAAAGACGTTATGTACATGGCACAGAGACAAAGATGACATCAGATTTCTCACTGGAAACACTGCAAGCATAAAAGATAATGGAACAAAATATTTAAGGTACTAAAAAAAAAAAAAAAACTATTAACTAGAATTCTATGCCCAGCATATGGCTTTCAAAAATGAAGACAAACAAAAGACCTTTCCAGAAATACAGAGAATGAAAGAATTCATTACTAGCAGAGTTGCGCTACAAGTAATTTTAAAGGAAGTCCTGCAGGGCAGAAGAAAAGGGATGCCAGATGGGAATTTGGCCCTACACCAAGGAATGAAAAGCAACTGAAATGTAACTGGTAAATATGTATGGGTTTATTACTATTACTTAAATCTCTTTAAAAGATTGACTGATTAAACACAAATAATGTATTGTGGGGCTTATAACGTGAAAGTAAAATGTATGACAGCAACGCCATAAAGGCAGGTGGAGATAAATTATGGTATTTATATATATATATATATATATATAAAATAAGAGCTACAGTATAATTCTTACACTCTACATGAAGGAGTATACTATCGCTTGCAGGTAGATTGTGATAAGTTAAAGACAGATACCATAAACTCAAATCCCAACACAACCACTAAAATAGAGTTACAGCTAATAAGCCAATAAAGGTGATAAAATAGAATCCTAAAAAAAAAAAATCAATCCAAAATAGGGTAAGGATAATAAAGCAGAATAAAGGAGAAAAGGGGGAAGAACAGATATGACAAATAGAAATCTATTTGATTTAGGCTCAAGCCTAACCATATCAATAATCACAGTAAATGTAAAAATAAAAACACAAGATTTCACAACCTGAGCACTATTTACCTTTGTATCAGAGAATTCTTTGTTATGGGGGCTGTCGCATGCATGTAGGATCTTGGCATCCCTGGCTGTTACACCCTAGATGCCAGCAGCATGCCTACATACCCAGTTACTACCACCAAAAAGATCACCCAGACATTGCCAGGTGCCCTTAGAGGGCAAGATCTTCCCTTCTCCCCATTGAGACCCAGTGGTATAAGCACCTCAACGAAAAGGTGGAGATTATCAAGCTTATATGAGAAAGTAAAACCAAATTATTTGCTAACTACAAGAAACTCACTTTAGAGACACAATTGGTTAGAAAGTAGACGTTAGGAAAATACATACCATGCTAACAGTTAAAAGAAAGCTAGAATAGCTATGTTAATATCAGACAAAATACATTTTAGAGTAATAAGTATTTCCAGGGATAAAGAAGTTTATTTCATAAGGATAAGGAATTAACAGAGCATAATTCTAGGTGTTTTTGCACCCACAGAGCTTCAAAATACTTGAAGCAAGATTATCAGTGAAAGAATACACTCCAAGAATATGAAACTAATTTTAAATAAAAGAACCCACTATGATGGATAACTAGAAAACCACACTGCTATAATAAAAAAGAATATTATACTCATCCAGAACAGACAAATACACGAATGGAATAAAAGAAATTTCAGAAGATGATTTCTATAGATGTATAGTACTGATGGCTTGTGTGTAAGGATGGCATCATAAGTCAGTGAGGACAGGATGGATGCTTTGGTGGGTGGTATTGTAAAAACTGACTCATTGTTCAGAGAAAATGGGGCTGGTTGTCCATTATGCCATATACAAATATAGACAGATTAAAATGTGAATTTTAAACCCGTAATGCTGATAGGAGAATGTCTTTGTGGTCTAGGATGCAGTGGGCTTCTTAAACAACAACAAAAAGACAATAAGCAAATGCTGTAAGTCAAACATGCTATGGATGTGATAAAAAACGAAGGATTTCTGATCAAGAGAAGCCCCAGAGTCAACAGGCAAATGACAGATTGACAGGAGTAACCGTACATTTTAAACCAAAAAATACCTTATATATAACATGAAATATATTCAATTCCACAAAGAAAAGAAAAAAAATTAGAAAATGAGCAAAGAACATGAAGAAGCAATTCAAAAAAGCTGAATAGTGAGTGGATGACGAGAATATCATGTGAGCTTCATCTTACTATTAGGGAAATGAGAATTAAAACAAGGAGACAAAACTACCAAAATGGAGCCAACTAAAATGCAAATGTTAGCAAGCAGTGGTGAGATGCAGGAAAGACAAGTAATGTGGGTGGAGTGTAAAATTCACAGATGTCCAGAAAGTAATCTGGGTACGTTTTGTCAAACTATAATATGCCCTGTGACCCAGAAAATTGTTATACATTCTAAAGGGAGCATGTGAGATTTGGGTCAGAAGGAATTGTAGAGATTTAGGATTTTTTTTCCTTAAAACTGGCTGTGTGATGGATGCATGTTAAAGAATATTATATGGCACTAAAAAGACATGTAGATATAACAAGTAAAGATTTCAGAAACAGCCAAGTAGAAAGGTAAGAAGTGAGATTTGTGCAGCATGCTGTTTAAATAAGAGTGCAGCCATATATAAAATCGTGCATATTTTACAATTAGTATATGCATTTTTATTTTTTTAGACAGAGTTTCACTCTGTTGCCCAGGCTGGAGTGCAGTGACACGATCTTGGCTCACTGTAACCTCTGCCTCCCAGGTTCAAGCGATTCTCCTGCCTCAGCCTCCCAAGTAGCTGGGACTACAGGCATGTGCCACCACACCCAGCTATTTAACAACATAGAAAAGATATTAGACCAGCTGTCTAGCACATAATGACATAATGAATTATAAATGAAGGTTATACAAAATAACGATGGAATCTTGACTAGAGCAACAGTGACAATTGATTGACTCAATTTTTGTATCCAATTTCCAACCCTCCCACTACCACATTGCCAGCCCTAAACAGGATACATGGTTTTATTCAAATATGTCACAAAACAAAGTAAACAGATTTGTGTTCTAAAGCCACAAGGCGGCAGTGGAGAGATCCGAAAAACATCTTGCAGTAAATGTGAAAGTGACTATAACTTCATAGAAAAATGTTCAGAGGTGCATAAAAAATGAAAGTTTAAGGGAGAGAAAAGAAGTATTTTGGGGGTAGGAGAGGAGTTTGGACCAAGTTATTAAGTATTTAAAGAATAAACAGGGTTATTTGGAATTCTTGTGAACAATTCTTATAAAATCTTTAATAAGTGGATTCCAGTCCACTTTCCAAAATGCCCATAGCTTAAATGAATTTGGTATTTTACTCTTTAGATAAAATGATACTCCAGACCGAAATTCATCATCATCTAACCCAGCTTTTTATCCCCTGACTTTTAGGAGCCTATGAATGAGCTGCCTTCCCTGATGTCAGCACTGAAACTCGAGAAACAAGTTTCTCTGAAATCTCTGGATCATCTTACATTCTGGCGAGTTCTACCTTCTGTTAATGAAGGTAGTCGTCTCTTTCCAACTAGATGGTAAATTTGTTTTCCTGATTTGTCATTCTCTAAACTAATAACCTGAAGAGAAAATCAGTCTCTCTCCAGAATTTTCTTAAAAAAAAAAACAAAAAAAACCTTCTGTGACACTTTTCCGAGCTAACCCATTCATTCATTGTAATCACTGACAAGTTTTTTGACCTATTCAGCTATTCATCCTTTTATCCATTTGGGTAGTAACTTAAATTCCAAACTTTTCCCAGCACACCGTTTACTGTCCTAAGACTAGAATTATAACAAAAAGGGTACAGGGAGAGTGATAAACGTGGGGTAAAGATTCCTTTGGAAACTCATGGACAGAAGCCCAGGGGAAAGCTCTTCTCCTGTCACCTCCTGGTGGGGGTTGGAGGGGGAGTGTCCAGGTTACTCTGAGTTGAGGTGTGAGCTGTGATGACTTCCATCTGCTTGTTACCTGGGCAGGGATCACCTGTCACCTCTCTCTCCATCATCCAGGGCTCCTTCCCTTGCTTCAAAGAGGACATCACGTGTGCCTTATAAGTCCAGTTTCCTAAGAAAAATAAATGATCTTGACCATGCTGTGGTTATTACAGAATTTAGACCCACATTTTTAGTGATGAGGAATCTCATTAACATCTCAATCTTCCCAGAACCTCTAAAGCAGTGTTTTTGTATAAAAAACCATCTTCATTTTAAACCATTCCCCAGCTGTTTCTTAGGCATATGACAGCCTCAGACTATAGTTTTGGAGAATGGTGTGATGATTTTGAGGACAGTGGGGAATAGGAAGCTTGTATCATCCCAAGATGAAAATGTCTTCTCTTAACACAGAGCTACGATGCTTTACTGAAGAATATGAAGTTAGAAAATTCAACTGGCATTTTCAGGGAGTGTTGCAGATATTTGCACAGAAGGAGAAAATTCTCCCATGGGCAGTTGTGAACTAACAAGACCTTCCTTACCCAAAGACGCAAGGTATTTACAGTTATCCAGCATCACATCTTTATACAGGTTTCTCTGTTCAGGAGTCAGATGATCCCACTCTTCTGGTGAGAAGACCACGGCCACATCTCTAAATCTCACCAACTCCTGAAATAACAATTTATACTTTATATGTATACATGCCTCCACGTGGCCTCTGGTAGATATCTTTCAAATTGGGCATTCTAGGGAATCACACAGGATATAAGGATACATTAGAATATGTGACCAAAAGCTATAATAGAAAGTGCAGACAATAAAAGTATGATTTACTCTTGTAGAGTTTAGGAAGACAAAATTACTTATGATAAAGTAACAGCTAAGGAAACATACATTTGGTGTTCATGCTTGGCTGAGTCAGTGGGGTAGAGCTACCATCTGTGGGATTATGACCAAATACCTCTAAGTCAGAATCCCACCCAAGCAGAATGATAAGGGAATTCGTCCTGCCTGACTGCATGGGATGGGACATCGGTTTTTTGCTGATTCAGACTGAAACTGGAGCATCAGCTCTTCTTGAGTCTTGAACCTACTGGGTTTTGGACCAGTATTATAAATCAGTCAAAACTAAAGATTTGACAGAGTCTCTCAATATGAACAGTCAAAAGTTCTTTGCAAGTAATACTAGAACCATGTCAGGTCTCCCAAGTATATACATAAATTCAATAGTATCTCCATTTAAAAAATCCATTAAGATTATTTTATAAACTGTGATAAACAGATACATGATTTTCACACAAGGGAAAAATGTGACAGACTAGTTTTTTACATGAAAAGTTAATGAAGGTCTTGTTCTTGCCAGGGTGCAGAGTCAAGTTGTAGTAATTCAAGTGGGTTAGGAATGTCATCAGCACAGATGAAGAGATCAAAGAAAGAGAGCCCAGAAACAGATGCAAATATGGGAATGTTTACTGCCTAAAAAAGATGACCTGCAAGTCTGTTGGGAAACAATTCAATGAATACTGAGGCAATAACTGAATATCCCTTAGTAGGGGGAGAGCAAGATCCCTCCCTGACTATGAGACTATGTTCCAGATGAAATAAAAGATAATTATTAAAACTATTAAAATGTTAGAAAATGAGGATTTTCAGACTTACAATAGAAAAATGTCTTAAAGACTCAAGTGCCAGATAAAAGAAAATAATAAAATCGACCTTATAAAGGAGAAAAATCTCTGTGAAAAAATAAAAGGGACACAGAAAAAACTTAAATTAGTATGTTGTATAACCAACAAGGAACTCATTCAGAATTTATACAGATCAATAAGAAAAAAAAATAGAAGCTGCAGACTAGACAAATGCCTAAAGTATATGAATGAAAAGTTCACTGAAGAAAGCATACAAATGATCAATAAGTGGACAAACTCTTCTCAATTAAATGCGCATTATATTAGCAGCAAGTCTTGCTTGTTTTGGCGAGACAGTCACAACATTTAAAACCTGGATACTATCCAGTGTTTTTAAGGGATGTAACCAAGCCATCAATCACACTGATTTGTGGACTTCAAAGTCAGCATAGTACTTTTGAAGCATGACTTGACAGTATCTCACATGGTTAAAGGTGCATGCCCTTGACTCAGAAATTCTAAGTCTAGATAGCTTTCTTAAAGTTTAAGAATATGTAGAGACTTCATGGCAACATTGTGTCTACCACTGAAATACTGCAAACATAGAGATCTATAAACAGGAGAAAGGTCCAAAAACAGGACAATTCACACTGTAGAACACGTTGCAGATGTTGAGAATAAGGGCCATCTATGCGTGCTGCTACGGAAACATCTCCAAAATAAATTACAAAACTTAAAAATTTACAGAATATAGACATATTCCCCTGTGTCATTGATGGGCCATGGGAAAGTGGAGATGTTACTTTACATATCTATACACAATAGATCTTTTTTAATTGATATTTTATTGATATAAAAAAAGATCTATTGTGTAAAAAACTAAAGACAGTGGTTGAGTAGGGTTAATGATTAAAAAGGTCTTTAAAAAATTATTCATCTGCATTGTTAAAAAGATCATACATTGATAGATTTCTTATATAATTTGAAAAATTAAAAATTACAGAAGTAAAATTTAACTCAGGTCTGCCTGATTGAGGGATGAAAATGTCTTCACAGACTTCATTTTAAAAGATGTTTTGGTAAATTCGTTTATGATTCAATGGAATTCTAGCTATTATATTTGGACATTGTTATTTGATGCCACAATTAAATCAGCCTGTCCTCTAATGGAAACGTGATCTCCATCATTTACTCAGTTCTTCTAAACATTGGGCCCTAAATATGTGGATTAGTGAGAGGCTAATGTTTCTTACTGCTGCCATAACAAATTACCACCAACTTCATGGCTTAAAACAACACAAATTTATAATCTTACAGTTGTGGAGTTCAGAAGTACAATATGGGTTAGCAGTGCTGTGTCCCTGCTGCAGGCTCTAGGAAGAATCTGATTCCTCAACTTTTCTAGAAACCACCTGCATTCCTTGGCTCGTGGCCAGCCCTATCCTGTCTTCAAAGCCAACAACATAGCATCCCCCTGCCTGTTTCTTACAGAGACCCAGTGATTACATTTCAGGCCCACCCAGACAACCCAGGAGAAACCCCCCATCTGAAGATCCTCAACTTAATGACACCTGCAAAGTCCCTTTTACCATGTAAGGTAACACATTCACAGCTTCCAGGGACTAGGATGGGGACATTTTGCAATGGGTGGGGGAGATTGTTCATTCTACCACAATGTGTATCTGGCCTTCTATTTTCTTCTGTTTACCCATCAACGTATTATCATTTCTATATTATTTTAATTAGCATAGTTTGATGTGTTGGATTTTAAGTCTGTCAGGACGAGTGCCCTTTTGTTACCCAGAAATATGGTGGCATCCCTCCACCTTCATCCCATCCACCTGACTGCCTGTGCCCTGCTCCAGCTCTCCCATAGATTTGAGAGCAAGTTAAGCCATTGCTCCCTGCGCTGCCAACACATGCAAGCTGTCCAACTTCAAACTGAACTCACTATCCCCAGGGACTCCTATTCTTCAGCTTAAAAGTTTTCAAACAAATTCATGCCTAGAAGACCTGTGCTAATGACTCCTCTTGGTCAGTCAGTCCTTGAGTAGTTTGTTGAATGAATCCTAAATCTTGGGTCAGTCGTTGAGCAGTTTGTTGAATGAATACTAAATCTTGGGTCAGACCTTGAGCAGTTTGTTGAATGAATACTAAATCTTGGGTCACTAAAGAAAGCTTCTGGGTTATTTAGGTCCCCTCTGTTGCCTCTCTGACTGTCACCTCATCACCAGAATGGGGAGCTGCATCCTTGTGGAACAAATGCAAAATGTCTTTAGCCCTGTAAATTGGTATTTTAGGAAGGAAATCAGAAGTAAGCAGTTCACCTGTGATATCACCTCTAGAAATGACCGAGCCATTTTCCTTTTCATTCTTCACCTCCTGTTCTCAGGGAACACAGACTCCTGAGAAGCCACACCTTAAAATTGAGGACAGAAGCATGTGAGAACAGGTACTCCAACCCCTACCCCCAACCACACACACAGAGGAAACCAGGAATCCATAACAGCGTACCAACCTTGGCTTTCAGGTTCTTTCTCCTCCTGGGCCCTCAAGAGAGCCCACGGGTATGCTGCAGCAGCTGGGATTTTGGATACTGGGGTCTCTCCCTATGTGTCAAAGTGTGAGACTCTACTTTCCATTTCTGCCTTGAACAAAACTTTCCCTGCCACCCAGTGAAACAGAGCTTGAACTCACCTTCTCAGAAAGATCAACTCCGATACAGCTAGCAAGCCCAGCATGCATCTGAGCCTACCTATATGGAACTTAGATCATCACACCCAGAACCTTCTCATTTCCTAATCAAGCCCAGCTCACTACCTGCAGGATTCAGCTCTTTTGGTCCTGATTATAGTGGGAACAGGAAGGATTGGGGAATGCAGGATTGTCACATCAAGGCTTAGGCTGAAAATTCCCCAGTGCTCTTTATTCATGCCTCCTATGTACCCCAGGAATGATGTCATATAACACACACCCAGATAGGTTTGTGCCACTCTTTCCACTTCAATCTCTGAGATAAGGGGCCTCACCTGGTGCCTCCCACCCCCATGAGGCAGCTGCATGGAGGAGGAGAGGCAGTTTGGCGCTTTCAGCAGCGGGACGGCGTAAAGTAGCATCTCCACTTTCCCATGGCCCATCAGTGACATGGGGGAATCCAGTGTGTGCTGCTTGTCCCAGAAAGGGGTTGGGAATGATAGGAGGGTATGGAAAGCAGAACAATTGCCCCCCAAACATGTCCACATCCTAACCCCCAGAACCTGTGAGTATGTGACCTTACTTGGCAAATGTGTGATTAATAATTGTGAACAAAAAACCCAAACTCTGTAAAATATTTAAAGGAGTTTATTCTAAGCCAATATGAGTGACCATGGCTCCAGGAAGAGCCTCAGGGGGTCCTGAGAAAGGGTGCCCAAGGAGGTCAGATTACAGTTTGGTTTTATATAGTTTAGGGAGACAAGTTACAGGCAAAGACATAGATCAATACATGTAAGGAATATATTGATTTGGCCTGGAAAGGTGAGACATCTCAAAGAGTGGGGGAGCTTACAGGTCATAGATGGATTCAAAAATTATCTGATTGGCAATTGTTTGAAAGAGTTAAACTATTTGAAATCAGTAGAAAGAAATGCTTTGGTTAAGGTAAGCGGGTGGGGAGAGTTGTGGAAGCCAAGGTTCTTATTATGTAGATGAAGCCTCCAGGTAGCAGGCTTCAGTGGGAATAGATGGTAAATGTGTCTTTTCATACCTTAAAGGTGTCAGACTCTTAGTTAATCTCTCCTAGATCCCAGAAAGACTGGGCTGCATTAATGGAGGTTCTCTACAGATGTAGAATTTTCCCCACACAAGACAGCTTTGCAGGGCCATTTCAAAGTGTCAGAGAAATGTATTTTGGGGTAAAATACTTTGATTTCCTTCAGGGTCTGATATCTGTCATGTGATGCTACACTAGAGTCAGGATGGAATTTGATCTCTTATTGCCACAGAGTCTGTTTTGTCAGTCTTGTGATCTCTATTTTAGTGTTAATGCTGGTCAGTTGTGCTGAACTCCAAAAGGGAGAGGGTATAACGAGGTGTGTCCAACCTCCCTTCCCATGATGATTGTGAATTTCATTTTTCAGGTTTCTCTTGGCTCTGTTCAGTCTGTTGGGGGGCCTGGGATTTTTGTTTTGGCTTACAGAATCCTGAGTTGGGACAATTATCCTGGATTATCCGGGTGGGTCTGATATAATCAAAAGGGTCCTTAAAAGAGGGAGGCAAGAAAATCAGATAATAAAAGACAGGTAGGAGCCTCCAGAAGCAAGAAAAGGCAAGGAGACAGGTTCCCCCCTAGAGCCTTCAGAAAGAGCACAGTCTCTCCAGCACCTTGATTTTAGCCCCATGAGACCTGCTTTGGACTTCTAACCTCCAGACCTCTAAGAAAAGTTTTTATTTTGAGCCACTAAGTTTGCAGGCATTTGTTCCAGCAGCAATAAATAACTGATACAGAGGGCCAGAGACTGAGGGTGGCCAGGGATGGGGTGAGGTGAGCACAGGGTGAGGACATCTGGACCAGAGGCCTTGTAGGAGGACAGTGGGCCCAGATGCTCACTTGCATCCAAAGGCCAGGGGGACCAAATGACCCCAGCAGGGGATGCAGCAGGACTGAAGCCTAAACCAAAGACCCAACGGGGTGAAATGCCCCTACAGAAGCCAGCAGGGCCCAGCCACCAGCACCCAGACCTGACACATATTCCCTTGCTCCTTCATTTTTTGTTAAGTGTTCCCCTGCACAAAGACTATGTAAACCAAAAATAAAATTCTAAGCCCTCCAACCACTGCAATGGACCTCTCCTCTCAGCAAAGTAAATTCCGAAGTTAACCTGAAAAACTAGTTCAGGCCATGATGGGAAGTGGGGTCGGACATGCCTCATTATACCCTCCTCCCTTTTGAAATTACTGAGAGAACAGACTCTCTAAGTCTGATAAGAATAATTTATAATGTATTCTCTCTAAAGCCAGCTACCTGGAGACTTTGCCTGCATGATAAAAACTTGGTCTTCACAACCCCTTAGCCCAGACGTTCCTTTCCATTGATTCTAAGTCTTTAGGTAATAACTTAATCCTTTCAACCAATTGCCAGTCAGAAAGTATTTGAATCTGCTTATGACCTGGAAGCCCTTGCCTTCCAGTTGTCCCACCTTTCCAGACTGAACCAGTGTACATCTTTTTTGTACTGATTAATGTCTTTTGTGTCCCTAAAATGTATAAAACCAAGTTGTAGCCTGACCACCTTAGGCACATGTGTTTGGGATCTCCTGAAGGCTGTGTTGTGGGCCATTGGTCACTCATATTTGGCTCAGAATAAATCTCTTCAAATGTTTTACAGGGTTTGACTCTTTTCATTGACAACTATAATTCTGAGACAAAATCAGAGGAAAGGGAGAGAGAGTGCTTGAGAGGAGAGAATGTACCAGAGAGCACATGTGAATGTTGAAATCAGATAATTTAATTTCTCAATCAAATGACTATTTCAGAATAGTCTGTTTTAAACATGAAGATGTGAAATGACCTTGGAGTGGTATGATTATGTTTTCTACCATCATTTGTAGCCCAGTTATACCGAAAGATATTTACATTTTTGCATACACTGTGGCTATTTTAGCAAGCTGCAGGAAGATACTGAGTGCTAAGCATGTCCATATTCATGATCTCATTAACTGACACAGCCACCCTAGAGGGAATTATTCTATTGCAATCTTCTTATTTTGGGGTTGAGAAAAGGGAGGATTAGAAAAATAAGCAATTTTGCCCACAGTAACACAGCTGGTGAGGGATAGCACTGAGCTCCATCCTCAAATCCATCTAACTCTAAAAGACCAGGCTCTCGGCCAGCCATGGCGGCTCATACCTGTAATCCTAGCACTTTACAGGGCTGAGGCAGGAGGATTTCCTGAGGCCAGAAGTCTGAGACCATCCTGGGCAACATAGCAAGACCTTGTCTCTACAAACACTTTTAAAATTCCAGGTATGGTGGCATGTGCCTATAGTCCAGGCTACTTGGGAGGCTGAGGTGAGAAGATCACTTGAGCCCCACCATTTGAGGCAGCAGTGAGCTATGATCACATCACTGCACTCCAGCCTGGGCAATAAAGCAAGATCCTGTCACGTGAAAAAAAAAAACCAAAAAACAAAAAAACAGGCTGTTAGGCTCTTTGATGACATAAACCTAGCCAAAGTGTGGATTCCTAAAAAGGTGCCTTCCTCACCTGCTGCATTTACTTATCCAGCCTCATCAACCACCAATTCCCTGTACTCTCCTATTTTTCACATTTTAATCTGTGCAATTATCTTTGTGTTATTCTCTCTCCTAGACTCTGTTTATGGAAGCAGAAGCTGTACCTTTTATCTCTTTGTATTCAAAGCCTTTAGCTCTAGTGTCCAGCACTTAATATGCCGGAAAACAGGCATTATTTTGAGAGTCTCCTATCACGCATCCACTGTACCAGCATGAATTATTTTATTTCAGTATCTTGAAATCCCATCGGTGTATGGGATTATTTTATTATCTCATTTCAATGAGTAGAAAATGCAAACATTATTTTTCTAAGATCACATGGTGAGACCGTTTGAATCCTGATAGGATATATCCCAAAGTTGTCTGAACCCAGGACTGGACGTCTTAACATTGCCATAAAATTCTCCATCATTATAACTTATGGAAAGGCAGAAACCATGATAAATGCTTAATATAAACAAGCTTTATCAGCTTGGATAGTCGCCTAACCTTTATGTGACTCATCTTTAAAATGAAGGCATTGGGTTCTTTCACACTTTTTTGTCAGCAGCATAATACAAGTATATGGTTCTGCAGGTATAACCTGAGACTGCACATATAAAAAAGAAAGACATTAAATCTAACTTCTATTTTGTATAATTGACATTTGTATTGAGATAATTGTAGGTTGACATGCAGTTGCAAGAAAAAATAGAGCCCTCATATACCCTTTACCCAGTTTTGCCTAATGGTAACATCTTGCAAAATGATAGTACAATATCAAAACCAGGATATTGAGGTTGATAAAATTCTCCGATCTTATTCATATTTCCTTAGCTTTACTTCATTTGTATGTGTGTGTTAATTCTATACAGTTTTATCACATGTAGGTTCTAGTATTCACCACCATTGTCATGTTACAGAACACTGTCATCACCTCCAGGATCTCTGGTGTTACCCACATTAACTTCTTCAATAACCACACCCACTGCCTCCCCAGTCTCTCTCCTGTCCCAGGTAACTACTAATCTCTTCTCCATTTCTAAAATATTATCGTTTCAAGAATGTTATATAAATATTATCATGCAGTATATAACTTCTGGGATTGGTTTTTATCATCAACATAATTCCCTGGAGATTCATCCAAGTCACTATATGTATTGATAATTTGCTTCTTGTTATTGCTGAATAGTATTCCGTGGTATGGATGTATGCCATTTGTTTAAAAGGCATCTGAGCTGCTTCCTGTTTGGGGCTATTACAAATGAAGCTACTATGAAAATTAGTGTATAGGTTCTTGTGCTAACATATGTTTTTATTTTCTGGGATAAATGCCCATTAGTAAAATTGCCAGGTTGTAGAGGAATTGCACATAAGAAACTGCCAAACTATTTTCCAGAGTGATTGTACCATTTTACATTCCCACCAGCAATGTATGAGTGATCCAGTCTCACCACATCCTGGCCAGCATGTAGTGGTGTTACTGTTTTTTATTTTAGCCATTTTGATAGGCATGTAGTGATATCACACTGTGGTTTTAATTTGCATTTCCTTACTGGCTAATGATGTTGAACACTTTTCATGTGCTTATTTTCCATCTGTATATCCTTGTCATTGAAATGTCCTTTCATGTCTTTTTCCCACTTTCTAATTGGATTTTTTTTTCTTTTTTTGCTGTTGAGTTTCGAGAGGTCTTTGTATATATTAGATACCAACCCTTCGTCAAATGTGTAGTTTGTAAATACGTTCTCCCACTTTGTAGTTTGTCATTTCATTCTCTTCACTTGTCTTTCACAGAGCAAAAGTTTTTAATTTTGATGAGGTCTAATTTATAAATATCTTCTTTTATGGATCATGTTTTTGTTTCCAGTCTAAAGATTTTTATTTTTTCCTAAAAGTTTTATAGTTTTACATTTATGTCCATGATTCATTTTGAGTTCGTTTTTGTATAAAATTTGAGGTTTAAGTCAAGGTTTGGTTTTTTATGTCTATGGATGCCCAATTGCTCCAGCACCATTTGCTGAAAAGGTTAGTTTTTATTTTTAAAATGAATGATTTTGTGATTTACTCCATATTTATATTTTTCATAGAATAGTAATGGCTTTTATTATGTGACATTAAGTACAATTTATCCTCCAAGGAGATATGCCAAGTAAATCCTGTGGTTTCCTTTACTTGTTGGAATAGACCCACAGTTTCCTTAGGGCATGTAAATCACAGGGTGAGAATAAGTACTGGATGATACTGGAAGCTCCTGTCAACTTTGATAATCTATCTGTGCCTCTGTTTCTGTTCCTTTCTGTCCCTTCACCCCCTCTTCTCTTCTCTCTGTCTCTCTCACTAAACTACCATTTATTGATGGGGGTTATCATAGCTCCTAATTTAACCAAGGTGATAGAAGCTTATGCCAATTGGTGAAATTATTTGCACCCTGATTTGCCCCCAAAGAGCAATACATTATGCAATTATTGTATCTATTGAAGACTTTGTCTGTTTAGCATTTTGCTCTTTATACTTCACATACTTTACACTTAGTCTTAACAATAATTCTTTGTTCTAGATTTGCTTTAGCCCCAACATGCAAAGGGAGAATTTGAGCAAAAAGACTTCAAGGCATCTTGCAGAGGTGGTAGGCCTCTATATAAGACTTTAAACTCCTACAGATGTGGATTTGGATCAGCATGATCTGATTATTCTGGCTATTGACTCCTCATCGGTCTACATGGTGGCCATACATTCTGGATATAGGTGAGTATATACATATATATAATTGTTTACTGATGTTACAATATATTCAAATTCTTCTCCCTAGTTAGCAATGTGTGGTTCAGTGTGCTTTGACTCTGATTTCCATTTTTTTTTTTTTTTTGAGATACGGTCTCACTCTGTTGCCCCAGCTGGAATGCAGTGGCATGGTCTTGGCTCACTGCAACCTCCACCTCCCACCTCCCGGGTTCAAGTGATTCTCCTGCCTCAGCCTCCCAAGTAGCTGGGATTACAGGCACATGCCACCACACTCAGCTAATTTTTGTATTTTTAGTAGAGACGGGGTTTCGCCATGTCAGCCAGGCTGGTCTCGAATTCCTGACCTCGTGATCCACCCACCTCAGCCTCCCAAAGTGCTGGGATTACAGGCGTGAGCCACAGCGCCCGGCCTTGACTCTGATTTTCACAAGACTCACCAGTGCATTTAGCATCCCTCAGAAGAAGTAATTGATGAGCTTAAGATCTGGAGAGTGCACAGCCAATTCCACGTGGCCATATCACCCAATCCATCTTTGAAAATTAATCATCAAACCAGTCCCTCTGCATTCTGGCATAATGGGGTCACATACAATCCCAATATACAATCACGTACAATCTCACTTTGGGTGACCTTCCCCTACCCTGTCAAGTGCAGGTATTAATTGATTATAAAACATGCTCACATAAAGTAAATATTTACTCATGTTTCCCAACTTTATAGCCACCCTGTACATTTGTAACTGGTTTGTCTTCCTCACTAGAATGTACACTCCATGAGGGAGCAGGATTTGTCTATCTTGTTCATTGATGAATAAATCCTTAGCAGCTAGGAGTCTGTATTTAGATAATATGTTCTCCATTTTTAAATGCATGATTGAAATCTGGGAAAGTGAGGACAGGAGGGGATGAAGAATAAATGATCTTGAATGGGATTGTTATCAAACTGAAGGAAATAAAAGGATAGTTTGAACTGAATCATAAGAAAGAACTGTCTATCAAGGTATAGTTAGAGCAGTTCTTAAGGAGAAGTTTATCATCTTACATGCATACAACTGAAAAGAATACAAGAAAAAATTAATAATGAAGCACTTATCTCAAGATGTTGGAACAGCAAAACAAAGTATAAACAAAGAAATACCAAATAGCAATCTGAAATAGAAACCATACAATGCAAGGAAGCAACAAAGTCAAAATTCAGTTATTAAAAAGACTAATAAAATTAACACTAATGAAACTTACTTAGAACAGAAAAGGTACAAATAATGAATATTGGAATACGAGGGTAGCCTGATAAACAGAAGAAATGAATCTTTTCAAATAAAAATAAGATTTACAAATGATGCATACATTTAAAATGTTATAAAAGAGAGGGATGAACAATTTATGCCAATAAAAGTGGACCAAATAAATAAACTTTTAGAAAATAAAAGGTACTAAAATTGACTAACTGATGCAGAAAGAGATAGAAAATATGAATAGGTCTACAACTACCAAAAGAATTAAATCAGTTGCTTTGGCTGAGGTGTCAACCCCGACTTCTCTGTTTCTAATATATCCACATCTAGTAATCAACAAATCCTGTCAGATTACCTGCCAAATATATTAAGAATTTGACCTCTTCCCATGATTTCACTGACACAACTCTGGTCCAAGCCACCGTCGTCTCTCATCTGGATTCCTGCTTCTACCCTTGCCCCCGTGCAGTCAGGGCAATCCCTGCCCTTAAGACAGAGCCACTCACTGCTCTCAAGTATTCTGGTGGCCCCCACATGACCCAGATTAAAAGCCTAAATCTTCACTCTTCCTTATGAGACCCTACCTACCTGACCTATTCTCCTGTTAACCCTTTATCCCTCTTCTTTTTCAGCTTCAGTAGCCTTCTTACCAATCCTTGAACACAAGGAGCTATTTAGGCCGTCCTAGAGTTTTTACACTTTGTGATTTCTCTGCCTGGGAGACCCTTCCTCCTGGAATCCACATGGCTATTTTTCTGGCTTTCTTAAAATATCGACTTAAAAGCTATCTTCTCAGGCCTTCCTTGGCCACTCAGTCTAAAATGTTAACCTCCTGCCATTTCATATTTCTTCTCCCTACTGTATATGTTTTTCTCTACTACACATCACCATTTAACTTACTATGTATTTTATTTATTGATATGGTTTATTATCTGTTTCCTCATTAGAATGGGGAACTTTATAAGGGGAGAGCTTTTTGCATATGTTCACTGCTGTCTCCTCAGGGTCTAGAACAGCAAGGAGGCCACCATAGCTGGACTATATTCCGCAAGGGGTGGAGTAGCAGGGGAGAAAGTCAAAAGAGTTAACAGGAAACAGATCATTTAGGGCCTCATAAGTCAAAGTGAGGACTTTGGCTATTATGCTGGAAAGACATGAGTGGACACTTGGAGGGCTTAGGAAAACTGAAGACCTAAATAAATGTAGTGATTACTATGTCCATGAATTAGAAAACTAAATATTGTAAAGATGTCAAGATTTGACAAGTTAATTGATAAATTCAATGCAATCCCTGTCAAAATCCTAGCAAGCTTTTTTGTGGAAATTGATGTTAACATTACAATGTACCTAGAAATGCAAATGGCCAAGAATAGCCCAGCCAATCTTGAAGAACAAAGTTAAGAGACTTATACTACCAGATATTAAGACTTATTTTAAAATTACAGTAATTAAGTATGGTGTTGGCATAAGAACAGATAATTAAAGGAAAGAAACAAAATATAGAACCCAGAAATAAACCTATATAGCTTATGAAAAAAGCCATACTGCAGAGCAGTGGGGAAGGAATGATCTTTTCAATAGATGGTGTTGAGTCATGTGGGAAATTATATGAGAAAGAAAGAAATCTACCTTTCACCGTATACTTAAATAAATCCCATGTGAATTTATCTCTAATTGTGAAAAGTAAAACAAAGCATTAGGTGATATAATAGGACAATATTTTCATGAATTTGAAGTAGGAAAAGGTGTCTTAAATAGGACAAAACCACATTAACCAGAAAGGAAAAGATTGATAAATTTGACTACATTAAAATTAAGAACTCCTGTTCCTCAAAAGACACCATTAAAAGAGTGAAAGAGGCAAGCCAAAGAATGGAAGAAGGTATTGGTAATAAATATACCTGACACAGTATTCTTATACTGTATATACACAAAACCTTTTTGAATTGATAGCAGACAACCCAATTTTAAAAATGGGCAAAATACTTGAACAGGCACGTCACACACACCCAATATCAAAATGGACAATAGGTATAGAAAAGGTGCTCAGCCTCATCAGTAATTATGAGAAATCGAATCCCAAAATGACATAGTACCACACAACCACCTAAAATTAAAAGGATTGGCTAAAACTAAAATGATTGACAATACCAAGTTTTGGCAAGAATGTGGAACAACTGGAATCACACACATTGTTGGTGAAGAGTGTATTTTTACAATTTCCAGAAAGAAAATATTTTAGCATTATCTACTAAAATTGAAGATATCTGTACCCTATAACTTAGCAATTACAGTCTTAGGTAATATCTTATGGAAATTCATGCTTTTGTTCACCAGAATTTGTGTACAAGAATGTTCATAGCAGCACTATAATGTCTATAAACTGGAAAAATTCAAACATCCATTAGAAGTAGAATGGATAATTATATGGCAGTGTACTCATATACTGAAATATTGTACAGTAATAAAAATAACATGCTAAACATGATAGCATGAACAAATGTCACAAACATAGACACAAGGGAACTTATAAAGTGTTTTTCCATTTATCTGGACTTCAAGTAACAGGCAAAGCTAAAATAGAGTGTTTACAGATGCGTAAAATGGAGTGTTTATGAATGCATGCTTGGGTGGTTAAAGTGTAAAGAAGAGATAGAATATAATTAGCATAAAAATATAGTGTTTATCTTTGGACCTGTCTCAACCCACTCTGTCCCTCGCGTTCCTCTCTGATAAAATGGCTACAGTGATTCCCACCTGCAGTATACCTTGAGATTGTGTTCTAGACTCCATTGGCCATAAGGCATCCCTCCTGCCTCTCCCACAGAAAGCCTCACATCTCAGGGTAGTTTCCTTCAGCTGAAATCACTAGCAATTTGGTCACCTCAATGGAGCACACAAAGGAAGGAGACAACCAAGACCTGGAATCAGTGCTTGCTTCACTTGAAGGGCCATTTGGGTGGAAGGCAAAGTAGGAGGAGGAAAGATGGAGCCAATAAGGGGTGGTGGGAGATCTCCTAGTGGGAGGGAATTGGCAGCCAGCCAGGGGACCTAGGCTTCAGCCTCAGCTCATAAAAATTATTGTAGGGCCTTGAAAAACTCACTGTCCCTCTTTGGCCCTAGTTTCTTTCTCTGTAAAATGAGAGAAGTTAAAATTAACTGTCTTTTATGGAGCACCTATTTTTTATTAGGTGGGTATTGTCCTAGGAGCTCTGGGAGCTCTACTATTTTAAATACAAAAGCCTGAGTGGGATGAATCTTGTCCCTATTTTAAGGGTAGCAATTGTGAGTATGAGATATGAGAAGTCACCAGCCAAGGGAAAAGACAGCTTAGAATTCTCCAACCCATTCATAATATGGTTAAGCAAGTGTGGTACTGTAGTGTGATGGGTCCCCCATCAGTTTGCTTAAGGGTGTATGTCTGCTGCCTGAACCCTGAAGGCGAGCCAATGAGCCAAGGTCATGGTGCCCAGCCAAGGAGCAGGTGTCCCTGTGAACCCAAGCATCCCAGAGGGTATCTAAGAATCTACAAGAAAACAGTCTCATTGCACACACAGTCGGCAAAGAGCCAGAAAATTTGCTTAAAAGTAGCTTAGGGGCCAGGCGCAGTGGCACACGTCTGTAATCCCAGCACTTTGGGAGGCTGAAGTGGGCGGATCACGAGGTCAGGAGATCGAGACCATCCTGGCTAACATGGTGAAACCCCGTCTCTACTAAAAAATACAAAAAAAAAATAGCCCAGTGTGGTGGTGGGCACCTGTAGTCTCAGCTACTCAGGAGGCTGAGGCAGGAGAATGGCGTGAACCTGGGAGGCGGAGCTTGCAGTGAGCCAAGATCACTCCACCGCACTCCAGCCTGGGCGACAGAGCGAGACTCCGTCTCAAAAAAAAAAAAAAAAGGAGCATAGGGCTGGGAGGCGGGGTGGATCTCTAAAGGTGTCCTGCTACCGTCCGGGAGTGCCTCATATGTAAGTCCTAATAAACTCATCTACTTGCCAAACTGGACTTGCCTAACTCACTTTTTGGTCTCTTGGCTCCCTCCCAGTTTGGGGGATAGTTTTCAATTATGATTCTGGGTTTTTCTTATTACAGGTATAGTGTTGTCTACTGATACCATTATTTTCACATGGTCAGTTTTTAATTATATATCAAATAAAATGAGTACATGTTTTTGTTGATAAAAAAAGTAAAATATTAGCAATAAGTCCCATTTAAGTTGATCTTCTCTAGAGAAATCAGTACTGTCATCAGGTCAGCGTGTATTGTTCTTGACTTTCTTTCCAAGTATTTACATCTATACATTTCAAATGAAACTATAGAAAATACCTAGTACAGTGCCACCTATAGTACAGGAATTTCAATTATACAAATTTGAAATGATACCAAAGAATGATCATATTAGTAATTATGTCTCATATTGAGGTAGGAGGTGAGATTCGACTCCAGAGGCAGGTCAGACTGCAGACCATGTTAAAGACTAGCTAAAACAGGGAAGAAGCAAAAGCCCCTCTCCATAAGACATGCCCACCCGTGAGTGCCATGTCAGTTTACCGTTGCCATGGCAACACTGGAAGTTACAGCCTCTTTCCATGGCAACAGCCTGACAACCTGGAGATTACCACCCTTTTTCTAAATATCTCTGCATAATCTGCCTGTTAATTTGCATATATTTAAAAGTGGGTATAGGCCCGGGGGTGTAGCTCACGCCCGTAATCCCAACACTTACGGAGGCTGAGGCGGGTGAATCACCTGAGGTCAGGAGTTCAAGACCAGCCTGGTCAACATGGTGAAACCCTGTCTCTACAAAAATACCAAAAAAAAAAAAAAATTAGCCAGTCATGATGGCGGGTGCCTGTAATCTCAGCTACTCAGGAGGCTGAGGTGGGAGAATCACTTGAACCTGGGGGTTGAGGTTGCAGTGAGCCGAGGTTGCACCATTGCACTCCAGCCTGGGCGACAGAGCGAGACTCCGTCTCAAAAAAAAAAAAAATGTGGGTGTAAACACAACTGCGGAAGTGTCCCTGAGCTGCTACTCTGGACACACCACCTATCGGGGAGCCCCACTCTACAAGCAGTATTTCTGCTGCTGTCGTGCACCGCCGCCTCAGTAAAAGTTACTGTCCAACACCACCAGGTCACCAAAAACTGTCCCAGGCTAAGCCCTAATCTGGGGGCTTGCCTGCCCTACATCAATATTAGGTACAAATTTCAATATCATACAGATCTCCCAAAGTTTCCAAAATTTGTGAGGAGTCATATCACTTATAAGCAGTAAAGAACACTAATTGTTCTTTGGTTATGTCAGTAACACTTGGCCATATCACTTTAGCATTAAAAACTAAAATAGACCCATTTAACAATCAAATCCATGACTACTAGTGTCCTGTGATGAACACATTGTTACTAATGCTTTAGAATATTCTAAATGATTATGTAACGTGGATCGCTAACATTTGCTTTTATTAAAATGTTAAGTATTTTAATTACTACACCAGTCTCATCCAAATATTCATTAAATAGTAGAGCTTTTAGAGGGTTTTAAAAAAATTCATGAAGATCAATTACTTTGAAGTGGAAATTAGATGTTATAAGATACTACAAAAACGCTTAGACAAACACCACAATGCACTGTGCAGTTAATTTAGTGGAGAAGACTCAATACAACATCAGAGCTAAAGCTGAGAAAATTAAAAAGGCAGCATTAGCGTACATATATTCCACAAAGGATGTAAATCTATGCCCCTGAGAATGCCTCCTCTCCATTCCATGTCTACTCCTAGGGGGATATTAGTGTTGAATGACACAGGTTTTGAATTTTCCTAGGCCTTTTGTAAACAAAATCCTGGCATAGACTGTACTATTGTTACGTGTGAGGGTGAAGCAGATTTTTAATTTTTCTTTTGGTTCAATTTTTTTCCCTGTATTTGGTATTTACATATATTTTAAACCCTTAGGAAATATGCGTTATTTTTCCCAAAAAATGCCTTATTTTTGTGTGGAAAGTGCATTTTATTTAAAAATATTGTAAACTCCAGCCATATCATTTAGAATATCCCTACATTGTATATTTTTTCTTTTATATTCTTGCCAGCAGGAAGACACCTGCATTATAATTTTTAATGGGTACCTAACATCTCACCTTATAGATTCCTACAAGTTATTTTATCCTTTTTTCACATTTAGATTTTTTACAGTGTATTGCTGTTAACATGAACTGTGAGAAATATACCTACACACATATTTTGGACAACTATTTCCTTAGGTCACATTAATAGAAATAGAATTAGTCTATTAAAGTGCATGCTCATTTTAAATCTTGGTGTGGAGTGGCCTCCAACAAACATGATTTGTTTTAGAAATTATATTCAAAAAAGTTATGAGAATTAACATTTTCCCAAACTGATACCCATCCTAGATATCATTTTTCTTTATAATCTGCCAACTTTATATAAAGGCCAAAAAGTGTATTTAAACATTTACATTTTTGGCCAGTTGTAGTGGCTCATGCCTGTAATCCCAGCACTTTGGGAGGCTGAGGTGGACAGATCACCTGAAGTCAGGAGTTCAAGACCAGCTTGGCCAAAATGGCAAAACCCCGTTTCTACTAAAAATACAAAAATTAGCCAGGTGCGATGGTGCGTACCTGTAATCTCAGCTACTCGGGAGGCTGAGGCAGGAGAATTGCATGAACCCAGGAGGCAGAGGTTGTAATGAGCTTAGATGGAGCAACTGCACTCAAGTCTGGGCAACGGAGCGAGACTCTGTCTCAAAAAATAAAATAAATAAATAAATAAATAAACATTTGCATTTTTAATTTGTAATTTATGGGCTGTTTTCACATATTTATTCTTCATTTGCATTTCCCTTTTATTACCTACCCTTCATATTCATAGATCATTTTTATGGTAGTGTAATCTTCTTATAAATGTGTAAGAGATAATTAAATGAAGTCAACAAACCGTTTCATATACTTAACAAATGTATTTTCTAAGTGTGTTTTTACTTGTTTTTATCTAAAAGCAAGATTTTAAATTTGTTTAGAGTAAAATTTGGCAGTCATTTCTTTTGTGGCCACTGCCTTTGATGGCTTGGTATTCTTACCTAGAGATTAGATAAGAAAATTTTTTTATATTATCTCTATATTCCTATTGGTTTACTGTTAAAAATGTTGAGCCAAAAGTCTACATGAAATTTATAGGGTATATGTGCTAGACGGATAATCTTCCTCTCTCCCATCAACACCTCTAGTTTCCTAACATGAATTCCCCCTCTTCCCCAGAAATTCCATCTTTTTCATATTCTAATTTTTTTTTTTTTAGACGGAGTTTCGCTCTGTCGCTCAGGCTGGAGTAAGTGGCACGATCTTGGCTCACTGCAAGCTCCACCTCCTGGATACATGCCATTCTCCCGCCTCAGGTTCCTGAGTAGCTGGGACTACAGGCGCTCGCCACCACGCCCGGCTAATTTCTTTTGTATTTTAGTGGAGACGGGGTTTCACCGTGTTAGCCAGGATGTTCTCAATCTCCTGACCTCATGATCCACCCACCTCAGCCTCCCAAAGTGCTGGGACAGGCTGGAGTGCAGTGGCACGATCATAGCTCACTACAGCCTTGACCACTCAGACTCACGTGATCCTCCTACCTCAGCTTCCCAAGTAGCTGGGACTACAGGTGTGCACCACCATGCCCAGCTAATTTTTTCTAGTGTTTTTTGTTTGTTTGTTTGTTTTGGTTTTTTAGAGATGGGGTTATATTATGTTGCCCAGGATGGTCTCAAACTCCTGGTCTCAAGTGATCCTGCTGCCTTGGCTTCCCAAAGCACTGGGATTACAGGCCTGAGCCACCGTGCTGGCTGGAGCTTACTGTTTTAAAGTTATTATTATCATATCATCATCGGCAGAAAAGAAACAATTGATATAAAAGTATATTGGCCTACATATCATCTTAACCATGGGATCAGTTAATTTTACCAAAAATGGGTATGTGGGATAAACAGTAACAGTGGAGGCTGCAGCTCCCAGAACAACAGCCACAATATCAGGAGCAGGACCTGCAGCAGCAGCTATCCCACCCCATCCCACAGTCACCACCCCCATCCCTGGGGACGGGAAGAAGGAGTGGCAGTAGCTGCAGCAACAGCTGAACTAAACAGGTCACCTGCTGGTATTTTGTGCATGGGATTTGTAAGGAAGGACATAACTGTCGCTACTTGCATTCCCTCTCTGACAGTCCACATGGCGTAGTGGGCAAGTATTTTCAGCGACGGTACTGTGTTTATGGAGGCCGCTGCAGATGTGAACACAGCAAGCCACTGAAACGAACAAGCAACTGCTACAGATCTAACTACAAAATCATCCCTTGCTGCTTCCTTAAGTCTCTCATTCATAGTTGGACCGCTTGTGGAAATGAATACAGGCGAAGCTGAGTCAGACTCAAACTTTGCAACTGTAGGAGTGGGTTCAGAGGACTGGGTAGATGCTGTTGAGTTTGTTCCTGGGCAACTCTACTGCAGCGTACACTGCCCCTTTCTGCAGTGACCAAGGGAGAATCAGAGAAAGAGCAAACAGCTGTGATAACAAGCTGCTTTGCCCCTAGGCTGCAGTGGGAGAGATGGAAATGGGTAGAACTGTGTGTATCTCCACAGAGAGTCATGTGATCATGTAAGCTGCAGGTCCTACCTCCAATGGATGCTGCCCAGAGACCACAGCATATAAAAATCTTGTCCTGAGGCCCATGAGAAGGAAACGGAGCTCTCATTTGCTGTGCAGTGCAGCAAGGATACGATGTGTGGGATCTGCATGGAGGTGGTCTGTGAGAAAGCCAGCCCCAGTGAGCGTGGCTTTGGGATCCTCTCCAGCTGCAGCCACGCCTACTGTCTCAAGTATATTCACAAGTGGAAGGGCACTAAGCTATTTGAGAGCAAGATCATAGTGTCCTACCCAGAATGCCGGATCACATCTAACTTTGTCATTCCCAGTGAGTACCAGGCGGGAGAAAGAAGAGAAGCAGAAACTCATCCAGAAAGTCAAGGAGGCAATGAGCAGCCAGGCGTGCAGGGATTTTGATGAAGGACAGGGGAGCTGCCCATCTTGGGGGATGTGTTTTTACAAGCAGGTATTCCCTGATGGCCATAGAAAGGATACACAGAGACAGGCAAACAGATACTGGGCCCAGTGAAGGAACCACTTCTCGGAGCTCATTGAGGAAAGAGAGAACAATGACCCCTTTGACAACAATGAAGAAGAGGTTGTCACCTTTGAGCTGGGTGAGATGTTGCTTATGCTTTTGGCAGATGGGGACGATGAACTGACAGACTTTGAAAATGAGTGGGACTTGTTCCATGATGATCTGGAAGATTTTTATGACTTGGCTCAGTAGCCACCTTGCGTGGCATGTGAACTGGCCTGCTGACCTCAGACAGCAGCAGTCCCCTGTGGTGGTGTGACAGTGCCCATGTTTCTCTCCTAGGCAGGCCTATCAACTCCAGGTGCTGTCTTAATAATTTTTACCTAGGGCCTGTCTTCTCAATCTGTGACCTTTCCCCAAGGAGTGTGTTATTTTCTCTGTGGAAAAAAGTTTCAAAAATAAATCCTGAAGTTAGTGTTTTGTAACATGAATTTAACAGTCAGACAGTTCGTGTAGGTGTGTTGTGTCATCTGTTTTCAACCAGATTGTGTTTATGGACTTTGCACGCTCATTTTGAGGACCCTGGGTTTGAAAGTAAAAGCTGCGGCCCTGCTTTGGGGTCCAAGGATAGGAGTGATGGGTGAAGGGATATGCGCTTCTAAAGAGCCTTCTGCTCCAACACAGGATGTGGATCCTTGACGTTTCTGCTGAAATCTGCACATCTGTGTTTTTATATCTGTTCCCTACCCTGTAATTCCCACCCTGTCCAACTTGCTCTGTGGTTTTGGTCTCTTGCTTAATTGTACACAAGTAATACTACTGGGTAACCAGAACCAGTTGTGAATGTGTTGAGATTTCTACTGTGTGTTTTGTTTGTTGTTTGTTTATTTTAGATGGAGTCTCACTCTGCCACCCAGGCTCCCTGGCTGGAGTACAGTCACACGATCTCGGCTCACTGCAACCTCCCCCTCCTAGGTTCAAGCGATTCTCCTGCCTCAGCCTCCCAAGTAGCTGGGACTGCAGGCATGCACCACCATGCCTGGCTAATTTTTGTATTTTTGGTAGAGACAGGGTTTCGCCATGTTGGCCAGGCTGGTCTTGAACTCCTGACCTCAGCTGATCCTCCCACCTTGACCTCCCAAAGTGCTGGGATTACAAGCGTGAGCCACCGTGCCCGGCCCTACCATGTTTTGAATGATAGGAAAATTGAGAAAGAATGTAAATAAAAGATAGAGGGGCATAAAATCAATGCAGAGTTGCAAGTTGACTCCCAAGAGCTTGGTGTGTGTGAGTGTGAGTATGTGATAAGCCTCTCATCCCTGCATAGATGCAGTATTCTTAGCCTTAGTAGAGAAACTTGGTTTAGTGGTTTAAGCCTTCTGTGGCAGATAGATTTTAAAGGACAAAGCAGTATATTGGTAGTTGTTAATATAGCAGTGCTAGCTCTGCCTGTCTATATAAAGAAAGAAATGGGGTTAGCCATAGAGTTAAAACTATCTGGTTATCCTACATATTAACACAAACTGGGGCTTGGATACAGAATTGTATTTACTGTTTACAATCTAGGCTTTCTAGTCCAGGCACTTTTTGAAAAACCTTTGTCACCATTCGAGGTGTTTTGTTGTTGAGTTTTTTGTGTTTGTTTTTGTGGGTATTTGCGTAATTCCACTTCTGATCTTTCAGGTAGACAGATGTGATTCAAAACTACATTCTAAGGTGTTTACTGTAGTGGAGTAATTGGCCTACAGTAATAAGTCACACTTTTCTGCTAAAGGGGAGGAGACGGTAATCCCAGAGACAAGCTAAGTTATTAAAAGAATTTCTATTGGAAATTTTGCCTTTGTGCTTTGTTGCTCTGTTTCCTGAAAATAACTTGGACCTGCTCCTGGTCTACCATTTTGTTCCTTGGATCCCACTCATTCTTTAACTTTAAGAAAAAAACAAGTAATTGTTGCTGTTTGGTTTTGAAGGGAAGGTGAGGGTTAAAGAAAGACACACAGAGAGAGTGGGGCTCAACAGCAACACAGGCATATTGCAAAAACCTGCAGAGTTGGGGGATCAGCTTAAAGCCAGAGTCTACCACCACTTACAGGCTGGGGTACTTATAGGTATGGGCAGGAGGGGTCTGGGCCATCTGGCTTACTGCCTGGCAGGATATTGATAAGATGTACCTGTGGTCAAGCAGTTTGGCCCTTTTTCCAGTGGGATGTGATAAGATGTTCCTTGGACCTTTGTTCAGCAGGGTATGATAGGGATGTCTCTTCAGTTGGGCCCTTGCCCGGCAGGGTATGATAGGAATATTTCTCATGACCCGAACCCCCGTGGAGTGTTTCACTTTGACCAAGGTCTGCGAAATGGCACGGGGCTTACAAAATGGTGCAGTTTGGACTAACAGTTGCCAAAGTCTCTGTATTTTGCAGCCGCCCTTTTGTAAGAAGTACATTTCCCAGGTAAAACAAAAAAAATTTTTACGGATGATGCTTTTCAGTATCTTTATGGAGTATGACCACAATGCACCAATTTAATATTGGAAAATGCCTATTCTTCATGGGTATAGATAATTTCATAGCAGGTATTCAGAAGAGTATTTTGTAATTCTTCTAACAGTGTTTTATTAAATTCTTTATTTTTCTATTACCATTTTAGTTTTGCATTTCTTAGTTTCAATTTATTATGTTATTCATTAAATAAGCTTTTAATTATTTACCATTACTTCATATGGTGTCATGCTTTTTTTTTTTTGAGACGGAGTCTAGCTCTGTGGCCCAGGCTAGAGTGCAGTGGCGTGATCTCGGCTCACTGCAAGATCCGCCTCCTGGGTTCATGCCATTCTCCTGCCTCAGCCTCCCCAGTAGTGGGGACTACAGGCACCTGCCACCAAGCCCAGCTAATTTTTTGTATTTTTAGTAGAGACGGGGTTTCTCCGTGTTAGCCGGGATGGTCTCAATCTCCTGACCTCGTGATCAGCCCGCCTCGACCTCCCAAAGTGCTGGGATTACAGGCGTGAGCCACAGCACCCGGCCTGGTGTCATGCTTTAGCAGTTATTCACATGAAGTAAAATTATGCTGTAAATATACATTTGTATAATATCCATTTCTTAGTCAGAAGACCTGCCTCTGTCTACTGCCAATTGGTGTGTGTTTTGGTTTGCTGGTGGAAAAATACTCTTTCAGAGCTCTTCTGAGTTTACGTAGTGTTGAGTGGCTTGTTCCTAGGGTGTTTGAAAGTAGGCTTCCCTTTAAATAATTTGAAAAGTAATCATCTTTTATTTAAAAACTGTATTCAGTTTGTATTCCTATACGTGTGTAAACTTTGAGAACTTTTTATCTCTTCAGTATGTGTTAATTTTAGTGTAAAAGTCATCATCCAACTTGAGTCAATACAAAGTCTGTGGTACTTTATATCTTTTGGCTACCTGTGCTAGATTTGTGATCAAGGAATTGTTACCAAAAGGGTAGATTAATAAAGGAGACTTGTGCGAAATTTTTTTTTTACCAAAAATGGGATAAACTGACATCATCCCACTGACCTAGCATGATATACCAAGAAGAACACAATATTCCTTATATAGGATTCCTGCCAAGAAATGTATAACCTGAATCAAATTATCAGGAAACACTCAGACAAACCCAAATAAAGGAACATTCTTCAAAAAAACTGATGCGTCCTCTTCAAAATTAACAATGTCTTGAAAGACAGAGAAAGGCCAAGGAACTAGATTAAAGTGGTCTAAATGATATGGCAACTCTGCGTAAAAATGATCCTCAATTGAACCCCGGATCAGAAAAAAAATTATAAAGGATATTATTAGAACAATTAGTAAAATTTGAATATGGTCTAGATTTTAGATAATAATATTATATCTGTTTAAGTTCTTGGATTTGATAATTGTGGTTATGTTTAAACAATTTTGATAATTGTAGTTATGTTTAAAAATTTTTGATAATTGTGGTTATGTTTTTAAAAAGCCCTTGTTCTAGGTGATATATGCTAAAGTTTTAGGGGTGACAGTTCATATTTGTAACTTACCCTCAAATGGTGATGAGGATGAGGAGAGAAACAGAAGGTGGGGAGGCAGATATTTGCTGTTGATGAATCTGAGTAAATGGTTTACAGATGATCCGAATGAATCATCCCTGAAACTTTTCTGTAAGTTTAAAATATTTCAAAATAAAAAGTGTAAAAGGGTAAGAAAATTATTAACAACATGTTCAATGAAAAGACCCAAATCACTCATTGAGATTTTGGGGTCCCATTTCAATATCATCTAACATTGGCCATGGTCATCTCTGGAAGGGGAGATTCTGAGTGTGCTTCTTAGATGAAATTTTCCTTTGATTTATGTGTATTTGCCATTATGTGAGGCTTTTACTTTTGAAATCCAGTTTCAGGTGGAGGTAATATTTGCATTCTGCGGAAAAAGCTTTCTGGTCGTGGTTATTAATCTTTTACTTATTGCTTTGCTTTATTTTCTATAAATATTCCACTATGTTGCTTGGCTTTCATTAATTTTGTTTTCAGATGTGCAGTTGACAAACTCCTTTCCTTCTCACGGTAGCTTTGCCTCTGAAGTGACACTGATTGTAAGTGGAGTGCATGCAAATCTCCTACCTGGTGGGTTATGAGGAACTAGGGCTCCAAATAAAAGTAAAGATGACTTTGGACCACAAATCCCCCAACTTGCCAAGTAAGCCAGAAACTCTTCAGACGTTCCTTAAGGAAGGGGGCGCGGAGACTTGTGGGAAACGGAGTCTGGAAGTTGATGGATCGCCCCGGCAGGGCCCCGGGAACCGGTCTTTGGCAGCCCCGTCTGCGCATGTGCAGACTTCCTCCTTGTTCCTTACTCCTGTCTCTGATCAGCGTGGAGCCTCCGCGTCTACGCGTAACTCAGCGACCAGGTGCTGCACTAACGATGCGCTCCGCAGGTGAGAGCCTAGCTTGGAGGGTTGCTTTGCGGGGCTTGGGGTAGGTTTGTGTTCACAGCCTGTGGAAGCAAAAACTTGCGCAAATCCCACGCGGGTTGAGACCCTCTGGCACTTGTTCCCGAGTCTGCCCTGCATCTGTCCGTCTAGAAAGCAAGTGACGGAGGAGGAGGTCCGCTGCGGATCTGCAGGTGCCACGAAGAAGATAAGGGCGGAGGGAACAGGTTTCCTGATCAGAATAAAGGGCTCCGGGAAAAGGCATTCACATGTTAAAAGAGCTGTTTCCAGAAGCTCCTCTAACTCGCAGGTGCCCTGGGCAACCATTCATCAGCTGGTCAAACCCACTACTCCAGCGGGGATGAGAACAATTCTTACAAAGTTTACTTTATGCTGTACTATCATTCCTACCTTAGCAAGCCTTATTGCAGATGCAGAGCCTGAGTTTGAAAGTAAGACGAGTTCACATCCTAGGTCTGTCACTGGCTCTCCATGAACACAGTGATGAACCTAAACTCTAAGACTCAATTTCCCCATCTGTAAAATGAAGTTATTTCTAAAACCTGCTTCAGGGTCGTTCTGAGTGTTGAATAAGAGAGCACCTCTAAAGCACTCCGCACAGGTCCTGACATTTTCTAAGCACTCTGGAAATGCGGCCTGCCTTTCCCACTGTTCTTTTCACTCGGTGTGTCATTTGATTCTCAAAGACCCCCTGTAAAGTCGGTGTTACCCACCCTATTTTAACTGAGAAGAAAACCAAGACTCTGGAGGTGAAGTCACATGGCTAGCAAGTGAAGGATCTGGGATGCAAGCCTCAGTTTTATTTCCAAATCGCATGCTTCACAGCACTTAGCAGAGTGGCATGTCTCTATGGGCCAACCGGAGTGTGTAAGGACTGAGCCTTCCCTTAAGGATCTTGGAGATTTCTTGGTATCTCTGCAGAACCCTGGGGGTACTGTGTAACTGAGGCCTCTGGGAAACTCAAGGTCCATCTGTTTGTGCCCTCCACAGTTCTCAGGTTCCCAAGGGAGATTTGCAGGCAGTGGTTTTCAAACTCGCATGCATCCGTATCACCTGAAGGGCCTGTTAAACCCCACCCCACGACTGGGCCCCACACCCAGCGTTTCTGATTCAGTAGGTCTGGGGAGAGCCCCAAGGATTTGCCTTTCTATTTAGTTCCCAGGTGATGCTGATGCTGCCAGTCCAGGGTCCACACTGAAAGCCTCTGTTGTAGGAGATAGTGAACTCCAAGAGAGAGTTGGAACCGGCTGAAGGTCCCAGTTATCTGAATTTATTCCCTCTCTCCCCAGCCAGGGTCACCCTGCTCCTGTGAGGAGGGGACGCCAGAAGCAGGAATCTCGCCTGGGAGGTTCCCACCCTCTGATAAAACGCACACAGCTGCACCAAGGACGTCTGGGAAAACAGGCAAGTCTGTAAGCGCTTGCTCTTGAAGCAATTCCCGATTCTTCCGCCCTGAATAACTCATCATGTCGGAGGTTGCCAAGAACCGTCGGTCAACGAAGGTGTGGGCCAGCTGTCACAGGACAGAGGTGAGCTGGGCTGAGGATGGCGAGCTGGACTGAGGATGGTGGGCAGGAGGCCGGCTGCGGGGGAGGAGGAACTCCCAGGTGAGTACCTGGTGCGCATGACGGGGAAGATACTATCACCACTCCTCTCGGAAACTCCTCCCATGCCCCTAATTCTTCAACCCCTCTTCCTAGATTTCTGCAGAGCCCTCAAACCCCACCCATCTCCACATCTGGAATTTAGGGACATGCTACCCACTACCTACTCTTGACTTTATAGGAGTACGGGGAAGCTTTTCAGCGGTTATGTAATTGTGCCTCATTTTAAAAGTGAAAAATATTAACACAGTGCTCAAGTGAATGGATCTGGGGCCGGATTGCCCGGGTTCAAAGCCCAGCTCCACCACATTGCTCAGTCTTCCCCTCGCTTTCCTATTCTATGAAATGGAAGTCATAATAGTAGCTATGCTTGGCTTTATTTTAAAGGTTAAATGAAGGAAGACATACAAAGTACTTAGAACAAGTCCTGTTATATAGTAACTACTATACAAGTATTGTCAGTATTTTTTTTTTGAGACGGAGTCTCGCAGTGTTGCCCGGGCAACACTATGAAGGAGAGAAACACTATGAATGTAATGAATTTGGAAAATTTAGCAAGAAATCAAACTTTACCCAACATCAAAGAATGTACACAGGAGAAAAACCTGATGAGTGTAAAGAAAATGAGAAAGCCTTGAAGAAGTTATACCATACTCAAAATGAGAGAACTCATGCAGGAGAGAAAGTCTATGATTGTAAGAAATGTGGGAAATTCTTTCATGAAAAAGCATGCCTTACTCAACATCAGAGAACCCACACAACAGGAAAACCCAGCAAGTGTAATGATAGTGAAAGAGTCTTGAAGGAATCTTGCCTCACTCCCAATCAGAGAATTAAAACAAGATTAAAACAAGAGAGAAAAACTGTAAAGGTAATAAATGTGAGAAACCTTTCTTTGAGAAGTTGAAACACACTCAACATCAGAGAAGGCACTTGGGGAAAAAAAATAATGGGCGTAATGAAAGTGGGGTGCCTCAAGTAGGAAGTCACAACTTACACAAAGCCAGAGAGCTCACAAAAAAAGAGAAAACCTATGACTGCAATAAATGTGGAGAAAGCTTCTGTAAGAAAACAGATCTCAGATAGCATCAGAGCACACACACACGGAAGAAAACCCTATGAATGTAATGAATGTGAAAAATCCTTCTTTGTGAAGTCCAACTACGCTGAACATCAGAGAACTCACACAGGAGAAAAACCATATGAATGTAATGAACGTGGAAAGTCCTTCTGCCAGAAATCAGCCCTCACAGTACATCGGAGAACTCACATGGGAGAGAAACTATATAAATGCAATGAATGTGAGAAAACCTTCTGTGTGAAATCAAACCTTACTCAACATTGAAGGACTCACACACGGTGAGAAACCCTATAAATGTAATGAGTGCTGGAGATCTTTCTATGTGAAATCCAACCTTGTCGTGCATCAGAGAACTCAGGAGAAAAATCCTACAGATGTCCTGAGTGTGGGAAAACCTTCTATGAAAAGTCAGCCCTCACAAAACATGAGCGAATTCACACAGGGGAAAAACCCTATGAATGTAATGAATGTAGAAAAACCTTCAGCCAGAGGTCAGCCCTCACCAAACATCAAAGGAAAACACACAAGAAGAAAACTATTATCAACACCCTCCATGTGCAGAAACCTGCATCTTCAAGGCAAATTTGTCAAACATCAGCAAAATCATAGGGCAGAAACACTAAGGTATTAATACATGTAGGAAAGTATTTGTTTGTAGGTTATAACGAATAGGAATTAGAAAATTAACATAGGAGTGAAACCACATGAATGCTTTGAACATGTGAAAGCTTTCAGCAAGTATTCAGAGCTGTGGAGGAAAAATTAATTTTAAGGTATATGAATGCAAAATGTTCTTGTGCATAAAATGTTTAGGTAGAAGTCATCTTTCAGATGTAATAGCAGAGTAATTAAAGAAAAGATTAGAAAATGACTTGTTCTTAATAGAATGTGAAACATGATCCTTTTGTAAAACTATGAATTATTTAAGTCATTGACACGATAGCGTTGAATATGTGTGAAGATTTCCTGAAGTATATTGGGCTATATATAGTTACATAGGATACGAGTGTGCTGTATAACATAAATTATGTGTATGTTGGATTTACACATGGGAACACAACAATACAATATATTTTATAAGTGAAAATTGAACGGTCACATAACCTGTGGTCCATCAATTCCAATTCTAGATACATACCATAAAACAATAATTCTCAACTGGACTTCCTAAAGTGTGTTTGGAAATCTGTTGTTTTGATTGTCACATCATTGACATGCTACAGGCTCTGGGTAGATGGGAGGCCAGAGATGCTAATTTCCCTACAATGTATCAGTGAAAGGACAGGAAATAGTCTTATCCAGAATACCAGTAGTTTCACCACACAAAAAAATTGCCTTACAGAAACTCTTGCACATCTGCACCCACAAATTTGTACAAGAATGTTCACTGCAACATTGCAATAGTTTTTGTAAAAAAAAAATTTAAAGAAAATATCCAAATGTTGATTACCAATAAACTAAATTAATAAATGTTGGCATAGTCATATGGTAGAAATAATATACATCAATGAAAATGAATAAAACTCTGTTAAACACATCAACATGGTTATATCTTAAAGTGATGTTGAATTTAAAAAAGGGAAAAATATAGATACTCTGTTATGTTATTTATATAAAGTTCAAAAGCAAACCAAGAATACATTGTTCAGGGATACATATGTAAGTAGTAAATTTAGAAAAGAAAGCAAATCAATGATTAACACAAAATCTACAATATCAGTTACATTTTAGGAGGAAGGAGGGACTTACATTCAGGGAGAGAAAAGAGAGCCTTCATGGTTCTTAAATGGGTTATTTTTATTTATATAATGTATATGCATATTTATATCCATATGAATATCTGTTAATAGAATATCTGATTTTCCAGAAAAGTCTTAATGCATTAGAACATTAACAAAGGTGATGTTTTGTAGTAAGAATTGCAGCTAAGTTTTTTTTACATTTATCTGTTTTTCTGTAGTTCAAGTCTCTTTAATGACTTTTTACAAGTATCCATACCAGTAGTCATTTAGGCCTACCCTTGATTTTCTTGATTGTCTTTTTCCATTTGTTTCCTAGTAGAATTTCTCCTAAATTTTTTTAAATGATAAAGTGAACACTGACCAAGATAGAAAAAGTAAGGAAAGTGGAAAAGAAAAGTACAATAGACTTTAAACAAGTAAAAATGAAAAAGAATCAATAAATGTTATCACAAATAATATGAACAAATTGAATTCCTACATCAAAGACAGAGGTAGTTTAACAGTGAGTTAGAAAACTAAATCCAACTATGTATGGCTTGTAAAAAAATGTACCTAAAACCAGGTGACAAAGGGAGTTTGAAATTTAAGGGATGATAAAAATAGATCCAGGTTTTTTTAAACATTTATCCACTAAAGTGTGACAACATAAGGGTAGTCCTGTGATTACCTTGTTTAACCAAACTTCCACAGAGTTGTAGTCTAGGGGATAGGATGGATGTTAAAAGCTGTGGCAGGGTCTGCTGATAGCCCTGCAGTAGCCATGGTTCCCTTCTTCCTTTAATAGTAGAACTCCCCAGTGAATTCTGGCAGGGCATATGGCCACCCAACTAGACTCTACATTTCCTGTCCTACTTTGCTACCAGAAAAAAACAGGAAGGAAATGGCACCTACCTGTCCATTGTAACTCTCACATGGATTATTTGGAGAGTGTAGACATTTATTTCCGATGGATTTAGTGATAATTTATCCTCCTTTGAATAACAACAAAAAGCTGAAGGCCATCAAATATACAATAGTAAGGGATTGGCTAAAGAAATTATCACACATCCAAAGGGCAGAATATCTTGCTATTTGTCGATAATAGAAAACTCTGCTATAGCAGAGTTTACTACATGCCAAGCACTATTCTAGGATATATATACATATATATATCTATGTAGAGATAGATGGATATAGATAAGACGAAACGGTTATTTAATCCTCATAACAACCTATGAAGTAGATACTGTTATCCCTGTTTTACAGATGGGTAGACCAAAGCACAGAGGTTAATTTGCCCAAGGTCATATACCTAGTAAGACATGGAGCCAGGATTTGAGTCTAGGAAGTCTGGCCCCAGAGGCCGTGCTCCTAACCATTAGCTTCTTCAAAAATGATCTTGTAGGGGAAAATCCACTGATAGGAAAATATGTTCATGTTATGTTTCTTTTCTCTCTGCAGCTAATATTTCTAACCTTTCATGGTCTTGAGAATCCACAGGAAACTGGAAAGGGCAGGGCAGGGAAGGAGCTTTCAGGCACGTCTGTCTCTTTTATTGATGGTGCTCTCTTCATCATCATTTCTAGTGAGAAACCTTTAAAGATATCTTATTTTGATTTTATTTGGAATGATGAACAGCACACTGAGAATGGGGCAACTTCTAATCTTGACATTGCCTCTAACCAACTGTGTGACCTAGTCTAGCCCAGTTTTATTAATCTTTAAATTGAGGAGGCATATTTAGATAATACTATAATGCCTTTCCATTTTTATCGTTCTGAACTTTGTATGTCAATCTATAGGGCAATCAGCACATCCTTAGAAGCCAAAGACAATGATGGATATAATATGAGTGTAGGGCCAGCTCAGATCAGGAAAGAATGAGTGGAAAATAAAGCATGTGTCTTCAGAGAATGTCTTTAGAGAAGGTTGAGATTGAATTTTCTCAGCTGGGCCTGCTGACTCTCTCCTGTCTTGAGTGTACCCTCACAGACATCCAATAAGCCTTTTATTGTGGAGTCTGCCCCCTGCCAAGCCCCTCAGCTTAGCTCCCTCCTTTGAGAAGTGCCCTGAAACGTCCATTGGCACACAACCCAAGTTGTCTCTGCATGGGGTAA
This sequence comes from Homo sapiens, assembly GCF_000001405.40. Lineage (NCBI taxonomy): Eukaryota > Metazoa > Chordata > Mammalia > Primates > Hominidae > Homo > Homo sapiens. The sequence continues at coordinate 46,452,680 of NC_000020.11, read as the reverse complement.
CACCATGCAAATTTTGCACACTCTGAACAGAAGGATCAAGAATTGTTTATAGCCCAGCTCCTTGCCTGGGGCTTTTCCACCCCTGCCTAGAGCTCTGGTGTGAGGTCTCACTGAATTTCTATTCCAGGAGTCTTGTCCTCCTAACACACAAGATCCATTGCATTCACATGGAGTCAGTATCTGAGCTCCAAGCACAGCTTCACTTTAGACAGGACCTCTCACCTGATAACCAATATTTGTCGCTGATAGTACACATTGGCCCCTGAATCTCACACTGGCTTCTGGTAAACTCAAACCAGGGGTGCTAGGAACAAATACAGGCCAGAGAGTACATAAGCCATCCTGAAGCTGCAGAAATACAGTGTCCTCCCAAACACCAAAGAAACATCAAGAAATCCTGGGCCTAGGAGGCTGGAGTCCATTTTTCTTCAGCATTTATTTCTTGTGGAGTCATTAAGATCATTTCATGGGGCTGAGTGCTGTGAAGAATTCAAAGACAGTTAACATCCAAGTCTGGGTTTTTGGCAATATGGCGTATTGGCGAAGCACAACACGGGATGGAAAGCAGTTCTGGGATTTAAAACCCCAGCACTTCCGCCACCTACCTGTTAATGTTGGATGACTGGCTTCACTTCTCTGAGCATCCATTTTCTTATTAAAATAAAGATGACATAAAATAATAAGATATCAGTACTAACCTCACAATAAACATGTTCATTGGTACACTTAATTAAAAGAACCTAGCAAAGTATCTTGCATAATAGAAGCAATGGCTTTTATTAGGATCTTGTTATGTGCAAGCAAAGGTATGCATGCCATATCACATTTAATCTCCAAAACAGGCCTACAAGATAAGTTCTCTTTCCATGCTCATCTTAAAGATGAGGAAAACAAGGCTGATAGATATTCCTTAAAATTACTGGAGTTAGGCCAGGCGCGGTGGCTCACTCTTGTAATCCCAGCACTTTGGGAGACTGAAGCGGGCGGATCACCTAGGTCAGGAGTTCGAGACCAGCCTGGCCAACATGGTGAAACCCCGTCTCTACTAAAAATACAAAAATTAGCCAGGCATGATGGCGCATGCCTGTAATCCCAGCTACTCAGGAGGCTGAGACAGGAGAATCACTTGAACCTGGGAGGTGGAGGTTGCAGTGAGCCGATGTCATGCCATTGCACTCCAGCCTGGGCAACAGAGCGAGACTCCATCTCAAAAAAAATTACTGGAGTTATAGAGAAGCCCAGATCCCATAGAGACCCTGACTTGCACACAGGTCTCTGGCATCTACATTTCTGACCTTCGTTACATCAGTTTGCACTCTCCTTGCCTCTTCCAAATCAGCACAAAATATTAATGCTCTTCCTAGTTGCTCTCAAGGAACTTACCTCTTAGAGTACCAGGCTGCATGCTGGCCAGGCTATACTTGGCAAGAGCAGAGTTTCTAGAATCATCTCTTGTGCACTTTGATGCACATTCCTGGCCTCCCATCCAGCACCCTGTTCCAGAGAAGGAAGCAAATGCCCACTCTCCAGCCCTGGACCCAGCAGATAGGAAACCAAGGCCTTCTCTTGCCTGCCATTCCCTTGAGACCAAGTCTAGGACAGTCTGGGAGCACTTAATACGATTCCTCAGTGTGTTGTTTCTACCTTACAGGAGCACAAGTCAATTCCACCTGACATTCTCCCCCTTCCACCCCCAATCTCTATGCAAATGTCCTTTTCAAGGCACTTTCAGTTTGGTTCCTAGGACCAATACTTTGGATGGACAAAGATGTGGAGTCTCCCCCATAAGGCTGTAGACAGAGCAAGAGCAACCTCTTTCCCTAAAATGGAACTGTATGTGTGCAGGAGGAGCTACTAAACATCTGTCCCTGGTGACTTCCTCTGGGCAATGCAAGACCGCATTTCCCATAAATTTCTGTGGCACCTTTATTTGTGATTATGCAAGAGTTTCTGCTTTATTGGGTACACTGAATGCTTGCTCTCAAAGGTAATTTTTTTCATCCCCATAAATGCATGATTCTTTCAGTACCCACAGAGATTATAATAAGAAATAGTTTGAACACAATCTGTGTGTGTGTGTGTGTGTGTGTGTGTGTGTGTGTGTGTAAAATCTGGAAGTCACCCCAAGATATAAATCAATTTCATCTATTAATATACATGAGACACTTAAATAAAACTCTAGGAAATAGAATCCAACAAGGTACTGAAAGAATAATAACCATAATCAGTAGCATTTCTTTTGGGAATGCAAAAAAACAACAAAAACAATCATTCAAAAGGAAAGCATTGGTCACCTTTGGAGGATGCTTTGAAAACCGGAAAATAAAGGGAAAGAATCATGAATACTGCCTTTCCTGTATGAACCGTTCCTCAGAGTAACCAAATAATTGTGAGGGGAATGTTTCTCTTGCCAGAAGTATTACAACCAGCAAATGAAGAAATCATGTTAAAATAAGTATATTACCATTGTGTAATCCCTAATGCATTAGTGGAGCTGGGCAATGATCATCAACAGCTGCTAACGTTAAAAAAAAAAAGCGGGAGGCCAGGCACAGTGGCTCACACCTGTAATCCTAGCACTTTGGGAGGCCAAGGCAGGCAAATCACTTGAGGCCGGGAGTTCAAGACAAGCCCGGGCAACATGGCGAAATACTGTCTCTACTAAAAATACAAAAAAATTAGCTGGGCGTGGTGGTGCACACCTGTGGTCTCAGCTGCTTGAGAAGCTGAGGTGAGAGAACCACCTGAACCCAGGAAGTCAAGGCTGCTGTAAGCCAAGGCCACTGTACTCCAGCCTTGGCTACAGATGTCTCAGAAACAATTGTCTCAAAAAACATGGGGGAAGCAACAATAATTACCTACCTTCTGATGAAAGAATGTACCACCATATATTCATGTTCAAAACTTGCATCTAAATCTGATCAAGGCCAGGTGTGGTGGTTCACACCTGTAATCCCAGCATTTTGGGAGACAGGTGGGCAGATCACCTGAGGTCAGGAGTTCGAGACCAGCCTGGCCAACATGGCAAAACCCCATCTCTACCAAAAATACAAAAATTAGCCGGGTGTGGTGGCACATGCCTGTAATCCCAGCTACTCAGGAGGCTGAGGCTGGAGGATCACTTGAATCTGGGAGGCAGAGGTTGCAGTGAGCCAAGGTCATACCACTGCAACTCCAGCCTGGGCGACAGAGCGAGACTCCATCATGAATAAATAAATAAAGCTAATCAAGCCTCTGGTACCAATGTACATGAAATGGCAGGAACAAAGGAACATGTTGCATGACTTCTCAGAGATGCAATCAGCAAGCCTAGGTGTGGGGAAGTAGGACAAAGGATCTGGTTCCCTAACAAATAAAAAGCGGAACAGGAGAAGCAACTGAATAATATATAGATTTTAAAGCCTAAGAGATCTTTACACATTCTGATACAAGGAAGAGGAGCTTTATTCCCTCCCCTTGAGTATGGGCTGCACTTGGTGACTTATATTTGGTGAATAGAGTATGGAAAGAGGAAAATAGTACCTTCATAGTGAAGAGACCTGGCAGACACTACCAGAACCAAGTGATAAGGTTAATGACACCAGTGACAAGTCATGTGGATATCATATGCTCCCTGATATGAAGTGATTAGAAGGATACATCACCTCCATGACATTCTTTCCCAAAATGCATAACTCTAGCCTAATCATGAGAAAACATCAGACAGACCCAAATTGAGGGATATTCTACAAAATACTTGACCAGTACTTTTCAAAAGTTTATAGAAACTGCAATCATTATGTATGAAAATTATATTTAAAAAAATAAAATGTGTGTAGGACATATGCACCTGACAATTAAGGAGATGGTTGTATGTAGGCTACTGCAATAGAGAGAATGTTCATTAATTAGAAACATGTTTAAAAAAGACTTGGGGTTTTATAACACAAGGGAGTCATTAAGGGAAGGGCGGTCTAAGCCATATAGGGAAGGCGTGTTTTTTGCAATTAACCATTTCCTGAAACACACAAGAGTGGAGCATTTCTTATCCATTCCTATTTTCCTGGAGCAAAGAGCTCAGGTAAAGTTGAATGTATCCATTCAAAAGAAGAAACAACACTGCACTCCAGCCTGGTGACAGAGCGAGACTCTGTCAAAAAAAAAAAAAAAAAAAAGAAAAGAAGAAGAAGAAGAAGAGGAAGAGGAAGAGGAAGAAAGAAGAGAAGAAAAAGAAACAAATGTCAGATAATCTCACCTCCCACAAATAATAACATTTAATATGGTTGTTTTTCAAATCTGGAATTATTAAAGAACTATGTCTTATGATTATCCCTTCACTCAGCAATATACTTTTATAATGTAACTGTCTCAAATGTCTGTAAGACTCAGGAAAATAAGCTCCCATTCAGAAGCACAGTAAACATAAATATATCTAGGATATAAACAGGCAATTTACAGAATGAGAACTCTCAAAAGCTAACACTCATATGAGAGGTGCTCACAAATGTTAATAATCCCAGAAATGCAAATTGATGCAAGAATGAGATATAATTTTACACCTATTATATTGGCAAATATTAGGAAGTTCAGTAAAACTGAGTGTTGCGGGGGTATGAGGGTACAGCAACCTCATGCACTGACCTCCTAATTGGACAAATTGAGGAATCCCACAGTGAGTACGGCTTAATGGAAGACAGGCTCCAGCTTCCACCAGGGATGCTGCAGAATGCTGTACATTTCCTTTCCACACCTGCTGACAGGCAGGGCTGGGCACACTCCCTGCGACTGGCCACTTAGGTGAGCCTCCCTAAGACTTTGAATCAGGGGCTAAAGGTACAAAGACCCGAGAAAAGTTAGCGATTCTTCTCAGAAGAAGCAATGGACTCCAGCGCCCAGCAGTATGACTTTGGGTGTCCAGTGGTGTTTGTGCCTGTGGCAGAGTCCTCCCAGGACTGCTTCCGTGCATGCCTTATCAGTGTTCTTCTCAGCTTGGAGACCCTGGGTCCCCATCCAGCAGTGCTTGGTTCTTTAGCTTTCAGGAAGATAGAGCAGACACGCTTCTCCCTATTCCTCCCAGTAAGGACAACTAAAAACTCTGAACATTTGGGAAACTTTCAGCCATTATTTCTTTGAATACCTTTTCAGCCTTGTCTTCTTTCTCTTCTCCTTCTGCAAGTTCGATGACACAAACACTGGACCCTGTGATAGTCTCACAGGTCCCTGAAGCTCCATTCATTTTTTTCCATTTATTTTCTCTCTGTTTTTCAGTCTGGGTGATTTCTCTAGTTATAGTTGTCAGTGCAGTGATTTTTTTTTCCTCTGTCTCCTCTATTGGCTATTGAGCCCATCCATTTATTTTGATTATTGTATTTTTTCAGTAGATTTAGTTTGTATGTAAAGCAAGTATAAAAATATTCTGAAAAGTTGAGAAAAGAAGGCAGACCAGCTAGGAAACTTGGGACCGCATAGTGCATTCTCCTGGCTTTCATTTTGCCTCATATATCCCAGACTTAGAACTGAAGAAGCTCGCGACCTGGAAATTCTAGTGTTTGAGATGGGGGGAAAAGCCCCATCAAAAGCCTACTCCCTCTATACAAAGCAAAAACAAAACAGAAAGCAGAAAATGGGCAGCCTTACGAGACAGAAAACCTTGAGACAATAACCTCTCTACTCCAGCCGAACACCACAGAAAGACTGTGGCCCTACCCACACTCACACAAGCAAAGGCAGAGGTGGAGATCCTAGAATTCCACCCACACCAGGCTGTAAAGAGGCACCCCAACTCTCCCCATGGGCTCCCTGCAATATCAGTGAAGACAGTGGGGGAGTCTGGACTTCCACTCCCATCCAGCAGTCATGAGGTGCCCCTCTCTGCTCTGCTGGGGCAGTGTACCAGAAAACCCAGAGGGGGATCAGGACTTTCACCACCAACTAGTGGTAATGAGGCCACCACCCCTTGTGTCAGTGGAGGCCCCTTGGGGAGCAGTCATGAGCCGCCCCACCCAACTGTCCCCCAAGTCAGGGAGGTCTTAGTAGAGGCCTAGGGAGAAGCTGGAATTCCCATTCCCACAACCAGTAATAAGGAGAGAAAAGAAAGAGGGTGAAACGGAATGAAACATCAAGGATGAAATGGGATATCACTACAGGCTCTGTGTACATCAGAAGGATAGTAGGGGAATACTACAAACAACTCTACCCACATAAATTTGACAGCTTAAATTAAACAGGCCAATTCCTCAAAAACTACAACTCACCCAGTATGAAATGGAATTTTAAAAGTTGAATTTGTAATTTTAAAACTAAAATTTAAAAACAGCTCCTAGACCAGGAGAGTTCACTGGACAATTCTACCAAAAGTTTAAAAAAGAATTAACACTAATTCTACAAAATCTCTTCCAGAAAATTGAAGATGAGAGTAGACTTTCCCATTTATTTTATGAAGCTAGTACTAAATCTGATACTCAAACCAAAAAAAAAAGATAGTACAAAAAACAAAAGACTAATATCATGAATATAGATGCAACATTTTTTTAAATTAGCAAGTAGAATTCAACAATGTAAAAAAAAGTATACACAATGACGAAGTTGAGGGCGGCTTGCCCTGGCCTGTAGGTGCCCCTTGCTGTGAGCAGCCTGGGTGCCATGTGCAGTGGCAGGAGGCAGATGGGCTCCTGGGCAGAAGGGGGCAGGTCCCCAGTGAGGCCCCACCTTCAGGCCAGGGAGGGCCTGAAGGCTGGCGTCGGGCTGCCAGCCCCACAGACCAGAGTGGGAGCTTGTGGTGCCTTTTCTGGGCCTGCCCATGGACCAGTTGGCATACACTTTCCCCCCTCTGAAGCCCATAATACCCCTGCGCTCAACCAGAGCTGAGCAGACATTAGGATGACCAACAGCAGAGAGGAGCTACCCACTCCAGGGCCTCCTCTCTGCTGAGAGCTGCAGAGACAATGTGACCACCTGCATGCAAAGAGGAGCTTCCCACTCCAGGGCCTCCTCTTTGCTAGGAGCTGAACACTCATCAGGACACCCTGGCTGTGGAAAGGAGCTACCCACTGCGGGTTTCCTCCAAACTGTTCTGTCGCTCAGTAAAGCTCCTTTTCATCTTGCTCACCCTCCACTTGTCTGGGTACCTCATTCTTCCTGGTTATAGGACAAGAACTTGGGACCCATTGAATGGTAGGGCTAAAAGAGCTGTAACACAAACAGGGTTGAAACATGCCCCTTGCTCACTACATTGAGGGTGAAGAGAAAGAAAGAATAGCTATGGCCCTTCGGGAAGCCCAGACCTGGGAGCTCCCCAAGCCAGGGCTATGACTCTTTCTTGGGAGCCCTGTGGTTCCTGGCATCTCCAAGCCTCCAGGCACCACTTTGTTCCCCAGTACCAGCTGTGGAAGCTGCGTGCAGTGTGCCTGGCTCAGCCACAGCCTCACAGAGGACTAGTGCCTGTGCCAGCACCTGGAGCTGCCCACCCCACTGCAGCAGCTGACATGTCTGACTGCACAGTGGCCAGACCCCACGCTCACTCACACACCCCTTGCCACTCCATGCCTGACTTGCCTTTGGCAGACATGGGGTCCAGGCTGGTAGCATGAGCTGAGCACAGCCTGCCAGGCCGAGTGGGCGGAATGAGCCCAGTGAGCCCAAACAAAACTTGGGCAAAGGCACCACTGGCCACAGAGGTTTCTGGCCAGAAAAGCAACACCCCAAAGATCTTGTAACACAGCGAAGCTTACTGCAGGAATGCAGGGCAGTTTTACTATTCACAAATCAGTCAACATAATCCAACATACTAACTGGATACAAAAGAAAATTGATCTTACCAATCAATACAGAAAAAGCATTTCACAAAATACCCATTCATGGTTTTAAAAATGCTCAGAAAAAGAGAAATAGAGGGAATTTGTCCTAACTTGTTAAAGAGCATCTATAACAACTCCACAGCCAGCATCATACTTAACAGTGAAAGACTGAATGGTTGTACCCCTGAGAAGAGGAAAAGGGCAAGGATGACTGCTCTTACCATTATTGTTAAACAGTGTTAGAAGTTCTACCCAATGCAATAAGGTAAGAAAAGGAAATAAAAGGCATACAGATCAGAAAGGTAGTAATAAAACTGTCCCTATTCGTGGATAACATGCTTATCAAAGTAGGAAATCTCAAAGATCTACCAAAAATAAAACAAAAAACAGAAACTCCTAGAGCTGATAAGTGACTTCAGCTAGACTGCAGGAATATGTTGTATTTCTTTATACCAGCAAGGAACACATGGGCACTGAAACTTAAAATACAGTAGCACTTACAATTTATCAAAAACCAAAGTACTTAAATTTAAATCCAACAAAACATGTATGGGGCTTGCATGCTGAGAACTACTCAGGTTTAAATTGTAAGAGATAAAACTTTCAGAAAAAAAAAACAGAAAATATTTGGGATCTAGATAGTGAGGCAAAGAACTACAAAATGCTGATGAAAGAAATTTCAAAAATCTAAAAAAATGGATGAACATACTTATTTATGGATTAGAAGACTTAATATGGTAAAGCTGTCAATTCTTCCCAAGTTGATATAAGGATTTAATGCAATTCTTATTGTTACAGGGTAACTGAGTTCTACTGTAACACCTAATTGGGAAAAAAGGCAAGCAGGTTTTATTCCTGGCCAGGAATGGAGGAGGGAGCTCTTTCTCTAAAGACTCCTTCTCCCTGAGATATGAGAAGCTGGGGGATTTTAAGGAGTTAGATGTGGGGCAGGGAGGTACGTAAACATGTATGGGGAGGAACTCCAGATGTGCAGGTGCAGATCATGAACATGCTTCTTCATATAATGTATATTCAGAAAATGGCAGCAATTATCTTCTATGGGTGAGGTTTTAGCATTATGATGATATGTTAATGATCTAAAGGTAACACGGGGTCGCTGGTTCAGGTTTGTCCCGGTTTCACACAGGCCTTATCTTCCTCTGATAATTGGCAAAGGGTCCTGCAGCTCCCGGGCCATCTGGAGTTCTTTTAAGCAAGCTTACCTATAGATAAAGAAATAGAAAAAATTTAAGAAAAAAAATGAGTTTTTTCAGTTATCTACTGTTTAAGAAAATAATGAGCTTTTTCGGCTGTATCTCTGGGGCTGCCCTAGTAACACTATCAAAATCTCAGCAGGATTTTTTGTAGATACAGGCAACATCATCTGAAAGTTTGTATGGAAAGGCAAAGGCACTGGAATAGCTAACATAATTTTGAAAAAGAATAATAAAATGGGAGGAATCGGTTTCCAGTAATCAAGACTATGTGGTATTGGAGGATGGATAGACACATAGATCAATGGAATATAACAAAGAATCCAGAAATAGACCCACACAAATATGTCCAACTGACATTTTACAAAAGTGCAAAAGCAATTCAGTGGACAAAGGATAGTCTTTTCAACAAAAAAGGTGGTGCTGGAACAGTAAGACATCTATGAGCAAAAAAAGAAAAAAGAAGGAAGAAGAAGAAAGAAAAGAAAGAGAGAAAGAACAGAACTTCACCCTAGGTCTCACACCTTACATTAAAATTAACTTGAAATCAATCTCAGATTTAAATTATAAGAGATAAAACTTTCAAAAAAAATAAGAGAAAATATTTGGGATCTAGATAGTGAGGCAAAGAATTGACAACAAAAGCACAATCCATAAAAGGAAACATTGAACTTCATCAAATTAAAATTTTTGTGCTTCAGAAGACCTTGCTACAAGGATGAAAAGACAAGCTACACACTGGGAGAAAATATTTGCAAACCATTCATATAACAAAGAACTAGTACCTAAAATGTACCAGTACTTTGTTGTATAAATGGTTTGCAAATATTATTATATATCCTCTGATATAAGGAATTCTCAAACCTTAACAGAAAAAAAAAATCAAATTAGAAAATGGGCAAAAGACATTTTATCAAAAAAGATATATAGATAGTAAGTAAGCACATGAAAAGATGTTTAACATCCATTAGAGAAGTGCAAATTAAAAACACAATGAGCTATAACTGCATCCCCATCAGAATGACTAAAATAAAAAATAGTGACAACACCAAATGCTGGTGAGGATGTGGAGAAACGAGACCATCGTACATTGCTAATGAAAATGTAAAATGGTACCGCCACTCTGGAAAACAGTTTGACAATTTCTTTAAAAACTACGCAACTACAACCATAAGAACCAGCAATTTCAATCTTGGGCATTTATCCCAGAGAAATGAAAATTTGTGTTCACTCTAAAAAATAGACATGGATGTACCTAACAGCTTTATTTGTAATAACCCAAAACTGAAAACAATCTAGATGCCCTTCACTGGGTTAAACAAACTGTGGTGCGTGGATACCATAGAATGCCACTCAGTGATCAAAAGGAATGAGCTACTGATACATGCAACAGCCTGGATGAATCGCCAGAGAATTGTGCTGAGTCAAAAAAGTTACATACTGTATTGGTGCTCAAGGGCTCAGGAGGGTCTCCAGATGCCAGTAAGGCCCCAGCTCCAGCTGGTGTCCAGATTATTGGCACCATCACAAGAAAGAGCTCAGGGATGAGTCAGAATAAGGCCAAAGGCAAGAAGCTTTTATTGCAAATTGAAAGTACACACTTAAGAGAGAAGTGTGAGCCTGCTTGAGAGAATAAGTCACAAGTAATGGAGTTTGGGTGTCTAATTTTATGAGTGTTTCTTTAATTAAGGGGTGGAATATCCTGGAAAAGGAGGGGATTTCAGGGATACACCCCCCCACTCCAGTTATTACCCTCTTTCTGCCTTACTTGGTTTTGCCTGGAAGAGTCATGGACATTGTCACCCTGACCAGAGTTTTAGCCATTTTCTTTCCCTTATTTTGGGTTTTCTGTTATGCCATGGTTTCTTTGCCTAGTTCTTGTTTCTTTGACTGATTCCTTCCTTCCTTCCTTCTTTCCTTCCTTTCTTTCTTTCTTTCTCCCTCTCTTTCTTTCTTTCTTTCTTTCTTTCTTTCTTTCTTTCTTTCTTTCTTTCTTTCTTTCTCTCTCTCTCTTTCTTTCTTTCTTTCTTTCTTCTCTTTCCTTCCTTTTTTTTTTTTAAACAGAATCTCACTCTGTTGCCCAGGCTGGAGTGCAGTGGCATGATCTCAGCTCACTGCAACTGCCGCCTCACAGGTTCAAGCGATTCTCCTGCCTCAGCCTCCTGAGTAGCTGAGACTACAGGTACCCACCACCACGCCCGGCTAATTTTTGTATTTTTAGTAGGGGCAGGGGTTTCATCATGTTGGCCAGGCTGGTCTCGAACCCCTGACCTCAAGTGATCTGTCCGCCTCTGCCCCCAAAGTGCTGGGATTACAGGCATAAGCCACCGCACCCTGCCTTTGGCTAGTTCTTTTTTGAGTTTTTCCATCCTCCTGCGACCACCCAGTGCTGTTCCCATCTCAGTATCATTCTGTTTATATAGCATTCTTGAAATGACAAAATTTTACAAATGGAGAACAGATAAGTTGTTGCAGGAGCTAAAGAGGGGGTGTGATTGGAAGGAAGGGAGGGTGGCTACAACAGGGCACCATGAGGGATGCTGGTGCTGATTGACATGTTCTGTATCCTGACTGTATCATTGTCAATATCTTGGCTGTGATATTGTTTTGCAAGATGTTACCACTGGAGCATACTGGGTTAAGGGTACACAGGATCTCCCTGTATCATTTCATACAAATGCATGTGAATCTACAATTATCTAAAAATGAAATTTAATATATTAAAAAGGGATCTTGGCAATGATCCACGCACAATGTGGGTTAGCTGTTACTACTGGGATGGAGAAGGGAAGAGGAAAAGAAAAGAAATAAATCACCTACAGCACTGAGGCATCTACCTTATGTTTGTAGTGAATACAGATTTTCAAAATCATGGCCCCCCAAAATGACTTTCCACAACATGACTTTCCTTTTTATCACTGAGTGGTATTCCCCAGTGCGTGTGCACCACTTCGTTTAACCAACCATTTGCCCAGTGAAGGACATCTAGATTGTTTCAGTTTTGGCTGTTACAAATAAAGCTGCTATGGACACTCATGTCCATCTTTTGGAGTGAACATAAATTTTCATTTCTCTGGGATACATGTCTAGGAGTGCAATTGGTGTGGTATTTTCCATTATTCCTTTAAATCTGTACAATAGGGCTAGCCCTCGCCCTGCACCTGGATGGGACCTCAGGCAGGCAGTCCCCATAACCTCTATGATTGCTCTTAGGTAATAAACAACTAGTAGCTAGTTATGCAAGCAGCTGCATGTCTGACTCTGCATCCTCATTCTGCTTTATGAAGAAGGCCTAATCTAGTCCCATACTGATAAACTAAATCAAATTCAGAGACTTCTGAGTCTTTTCAGATGGAGAACTCAGACACAGTCAGAATTGTTTTTTCTCCTTTCACCTCCTCCTCTTTAGGATGAATGCTGAACTTGGGGGACGGAGGGGTGCACAGATGCACTGCTGAGGCAGTGGTGGGGAGAGAATGCTGTTTCTCCATCCCATCTTGGTAGAGATTGTCTCAATAATTATCTTGCCTCCTGCTCCTGGGAGAAACTGGTCCTTGGCACTGGTGTTGCATGGGGTTCCATGGATACTACTCGCGTGGACCCTAGGCACTGACTTAGTGCACCTTAGCCCACTAGGGTGCTCATCCATGGCGAGGAACCACATCACCCACTGCTTCCCAGCAAGGCTGTCCCAGCCATGTCCTGACCAAACATGACTCATGGTACTCATGGTATAAAATTATAAAGCAGCTTTATTTTTATTTTCCACTGTCCCTTTAAATCTGTTCTATAGGGCTAGTTCTTCCCTTGCCCCTGGATGAGACCTCAGGCTGTCTTCATAATGTCTCCGGTTGCTCACAGGTAATAAACAACTAGCAGCTAGTCACGCAGGCCCCTGTACACTGAGTGAGGAGACCTCCGTGTGTTTCCTGTGTCACTGCTTGCTCCCTAGGGGAGAGACTGGCTTATTTGCTGCTTGCCACAGTGTTTGCTGCTTTCTCAAAGTATGCTGAACCTTTGGCCTTGAGTTCCACAGCTTCACGGCAGCCCATGGAGTGGGTAGCATCCATCCGAGCCCATGGCGTCGCCTGTGGGACCTGAGGGCAGGGAAACCAGCGCAGCTCTGCAGATGCACATGCTGCTTGCTGCGCTTGGAGTGAGAAACTGTCTTGCTCTCATCCGTTGCCTGCCTTGGGGACCTCTAGAGCCATGGCAGGTTTACTCCTGGCCATCCTCAGTGAGCCTGGGGCTCTTTCCTAACACCCTGTCTACACTGCACCAAGAGGAAGGAGCAGCTCCCTAGGGGAACCAACCCTCCTGAGCCATGCGAGTTAGACTCACAGGACCCTGGTTCCAATTCCTCATGTGTGGTTTAGTCTTACCTGAGTATCTCTTTCTTTTATTTCCAACTTTTATTTTAAGTTCAGGGGTACAGGTGCAGGATGTGCAGGTTTGTTACATAGGTAAATATGTGCCGTGGTGGTTTGCTGCATAGAGCATCCCATCACCCAGGTATTAAGCCCATCATCCATTAGCTATTCTTCCTGATGCTCTCCTTCTTCCCACCTCTGCCCTTTGACCCCCACCCCAGTGTGTGTTTTTCCCCTCCATGCGTCCATGTGTTCTCATCACTTAGCTTCCACTTATAAGTGAGAACATGCAGTATTTGGTTTTCTGTTCCTGCGTTAGTTTGCTAAGGATAATGGCCTCCAGCTCCATCCATGTCCCTGCAAAGGACAGGATCTTGTTCCTTTTTATGGCTACATAATCCATGGTGTATATGTACCACATTTTCTTTAACCTCTACAATTGATGGGAATTTACTGGGGAAGCATCAAGATTTTCTTCTGCCACTTCTGCCTCTGTTTCTACAGAGCCTCAGTTTTTTTCTCAGTCTTTGTGGAACAGCCCTTTGCAAAAAGCCAGCACCGCAAGACTTAACCCAAGTCATTCTCACTCCTCTTCTGCTCCAACTTCTAGGAGAAAAGGGAAATCATCAGGTGATAATGCCCTAAATATCCCAAACTTCTACCCTACTCCTACCTGCCCCTCATCTTCCTTTCTGTCTCAGAGGCCAGGGAGGGGACTCCCCTCTAAAGCCAGTAAGAACCTGGCTTGGGAACTCCAGAGGAGGGGACTGTGGGCTTTGGAGTCAGAGAAAAGTGACTCTGAATGCCATTGTGACTTCTCACCACTGTGTGGTTCTGACCCAGTTATTAAACTTTGCTGGGCCACAAACCCAAGCCTAGCTCTCAGTGCACGGCCTGTGATGGATGCTGGGCAAACAGCTGCTAAATGAATGGGCTGCATTCAATTTATTGGAGGATGTTCCTGAAATGCCCAGCAGAGAGCTCTAGTTGCACAGAAAAGACTCTGCCACTTCTCTGCCTGGGTTGAAAGCTCTCTGCCTGCCAACCCCTTTGCCTCATTTCGGGCTCCCATTTTCATGAACCTACATCAATGCATAGCTCTGGCGAAACACTTTTTTGCAGTTATGTGTGTCACTACGCTTCCATCAAAGAGTCAAATCAGATAGCTTTACATTTTCATTACAATACTGCTTTTTCCCTGCCTACTTGGATTTTTTTCTGATGGGAATAAGTCATGATTTCTCAACAGGTCAAGAGAGCCCCCACAGGAATGAACATTGGTTCTTAGGATGCCCCCAACATCTTAGCTGTTACGTCTATTTGTGGCCCTCCAGGAGACCACAGTACGTAAACAGACACACAGTATATCTGCAGTATTTTATATATATATATATATTTTTTTTTTTTTTTTTTTTTTTTGAGACAGAGTCTCGCTCTGTCACCCAGGCTGGAGTGCAGCAGCGCCATCTTAGCTCACTGCAAGCTCCGCCTCCCAGGTTCATGCCATTCTCCTGCCTCAGCCTCCCAAGTAGCTGCAACTACAGGCACCCGCCACCACGCCCAGCTAATTTTTTGTATTTTTAGTAGAGACAGGGTTTCACCGTGTTAGCCAGGATGGTCTCGATCTCCTGACCTCATGATCCACCCACCTCGGCCTCCCAAAGTGCTGGGATTACAGGCGTGAGCCACCACACCTGGCCAGTATTATATTTTCATGGGGAGGTGGACAATTAAAAAAAAATGTAAAATGGTTCCTTGGAGGAGCTATAAGTTTAAAAATAAGCGTTGAGCAACACTGAAATGAGGGAAGATGAATCAAGAGAAGATACCATCATTGTCACACACTTGGAGTTAGGGACACATAAGTCTTTCCTGGAACGTGGGGTACGCATGACACTGTCCAACCTCAGCAGTTCTAACTGCAGGTCCTGTCATTGTTTAAAACATCCCACGCACCTCACCCCCACCCCAGGGAGAACTTAAGTTCCAGTGCTCTGCTCTCATCAACCCCAGAGTTTCCTCTTGCTCCTTCATACTCCCTCCCTCCCATCCCCCAATCCCCAAGGAACCACTGATCTGTTTTGTGTCACTCTAGATTAGTGAGCATTTTCTAGAGGGTGTTATATAAGTGGAATCATAGCCCAATTTATTCTTTCATTCACTTGGTGGATATTTGGGTTGTGTCCAGCTTGGGGCTGTCGTGAATAAAGCTGCTATGACTATGAATGTATAAGTTTTTGTATGGACATATGTGCTCACTTCTCTTTTTTTATTATTGGTTTTTTAGAGACAGGATCTCACTCTGTTGCCCAGGCAGGAACGCAGTGATGGGGTCACAGCTCACTGCAGCCTCAACCTCCAGGGCTCAAATGATCCTCCTACCTCAGCCTCCCAAGTAGCTGGAACTACGGGTGTAGATCACCACATCTGATTAATTTTTTAAAATTATTTCTCTTGAGTGAGTACCTAGGAGTAGAATCACTGGGTTTTATGGCAAGCGTTTGTTTGACTTTTTAACAAAGGGGCTGATTAAAGTCTCTTTCCCCAGGCAGTGGGGCCTCTCTGGGGGAGGGAGCCACTTTCTGTAATTCAAAAGGATTCTTTCCTAGGAAGACTTCTTAAGAGATGTCAAATATTCATATCCATCCTTCAGAGAGCAGGGAGTTGACAACCACATCCAGTTAGGCCAAGACAATTTTCTGGAACATCTCTCCAGAGGATGGAAAACACATATTACATATGTAATCTCTGGCATGACAGAATATATTTGCTATAATATAAAAATGTGAAAAATACATTAAAGTATTGTAGGAGAGGAAAAATTTTACCTTACCCTTTTAGAGTTCTTTTCTAACTGGGCCTGAAAATGAAATTGACATGAGACAGATCAACAGGAGAAAAGCACACACAGTTATTTAATGCAAGTTTTACCTGCACAGGAGCCTTCATAAGGAAACAAAGGCCCAAAGACGCTGTTAGAGATGAATGCTTATAAACTGAAATGGACAAAGTATCATAAGTCATGAAAGTGGGACGAGGCAAAGGTACTGGGGCTAGGGTCATTGATCAGGTGGAGAAGTGACTAGGAAGATAGGAATTAGTTGAACCGGGTCTGTGTGTAAAGGTTTCCCACGACCTCACCTTCCTGTCCTTGATAAGAATGTTACTTTCTTTCTGTTAAAGGGAGGGCATCTTTCACATGGGAATTTTATGTCCTGCTTTTAAGTAACAGAAGGAAGATCAAGGCAATCTTCTTGTACCTGCTGTTTTTCAAGTGCCTTTAACTCAAAATAGTCACTATGCCAGAGTGGCATATTTTTAACTCCTTCAGTATAAAGAATAAAGTTAGGCAGGGCGTGGTGGCTCATGTCTGTAATCCCAGCACTTTGGGAGGCCGAGGCAGGTAGATACCCTGAGGTCAGGAGTTTGAGACCAGCCTGGGCAACATGGTGAAATCCCGCCTCTACTAAAAATACAAAAATTAGCCAAGCATGGTGGTGTGCATCTGTAGTCCCAGCTACTTGGGAGGCTGAGGCAGGAGAATCACTTGAACCAAGGAGGCAGAGGTTGCAGTGAGTTGAGATCGTGCCACTGCACTCCAGCCTGGGCAACAGAGTGAAACTCTGTCTTAAAAAACAAACAAACAAAAAAGGATAAAGTTAAATGGCCCATAATATTGCCACAGAGAGGTAGGTATGGCTGACAGTCTGCTGTATGCCTAGAGAGTCTTTTTCTTGTGCATATTATACATAGAAATGTCTGACCACTAAGATACACATTTTCTACAATTTAACATTCCTGGTCAGGTAGTTGAGGGTGATCACTCCTCAAAAAAAAGTCACACTCCTTCACTTAGTTTCCAGACCAGAACCAGTTTTAGTGTTTAAAGCACATGAATTGAAGGAGAGGCTGGCTTCCTAGGAGGACCCTGTGATGCCATGACAGATGGCCACACGCTGGAGAAAGAGGAACACTCAAACATCGAGAACTATTGGCACAGGGTCCAGATTGACATTTACCCAGGAACCCAAAGCATCATCGTAGCCTCCCTATTAAATCGAGGGCATATGAAGGGCAGGAAATAAATGGGATCCTGGCCGAAGTCTGGGTTACAGCGGGTTCACTAGACCCATGGGCCAACCCCATGGCCATCTCCCCAGTCCCCAATTGGAATAGACATGTTGGCAATTGGCACAGCTCCCATGCTGGTCCCTTGGCCCATGGGGTAGGAGCTATCAGAGTAAAGAAGACCAGTGGAAGCCTCTGAAATAGCCCCCAACACCCCAACCCAACCAAATGAGTACACTTTTTAAAATGTCACATCCATCCAAAGAGGAATATTAGAGACCAGAGCCATCCTTAAAAACCTAAATGATGCTGAGGTGGCAGTCCACTCATAGCTTGTGTAATTCACCAGTCTTGCCCCTGCAAAACCCAGACATATTCTGGAGGATAACAGTGGACTACTGCAAACTCTGCCAAACAGTGGCCTCAATGCAGCTTCTGTGCCATGTGTGGTACCTCTGCTAGAGCAGATGAGCACAGCCTTGGGCACCTGGCATGCAGCCATCAATGCAGCTAATGTGTTCTTTTCCATCCCTATCAAAAAAACAGTATCAGAAGCAGTTCACATTTGGTGGAGTGGACAACAGTACACATACACAGTCTTTCCCAGGGGTTATCTCAACTGTTTGGTGCTGTCATGACATAATATGAAGAGGCCTGAACTGGCTGGACATCCACAGAATATCACACTGGTCCCCTCTATTGATGACATATGCTAATTGGACCGGGTGAAGTGGCTAGAACATGTAGGACTTGGTAAGACACAAGCACTTCAGAGGGTACAAGACTAAACTCTTCAAAAGTGCAAGGACTTCCAAATAGGTTAAAAAATTGAGTTCCATGTTCTGAAGCATGCTAGAACGTTCCCTCAAAAGTAAGGGCAAAACTTTTCTATCTTTCATCTCCCATCACCACCAAGAAGAAAGTGCCATGCCTATAGACTTCTTTGGGTTCTAGAGGCAGCACATTCCAAACATGAGAATACTGCTCTGATCCAAATATCTGGTAAAAGGAAAAGCTGCTGCCTTTGAGAGGCACCAAGAGTAGAAAAGAGCTCTGCAGCAGGTCCAGCCTGCAAAGCAGGTATCCTTGAAGCTTTGGCCACATGACCTAGCAGGCCCTATGGTATTAGAGATATTGGTGGTCAGAAAAGACATTGAATAAAGTATATGGCAAGTCTCACTGGGAAAATCACAACTCAGATCCCCAGGGTTCTGGAGCAAGTCATGTCATCTGCATCAGAGAATTACACACTCTTTGATATATAGCTCTGTATTAGAGTTATCCAGAGAGACAGAATCAATAGGATCAATCTTTCTAGATCAATAAATCAATTTAGAAAGAGATAGATGTATTAAGGGAATTGGCTCACATGCTCATGGAGGCTGAGAAGTCCCACAACAGGCCTTCTGCTGGAACTGCTGGGTTGCTAGTAGCATGGCTGCCCAAAAGCCTCAGAACCAGGAAGTTGCTGATATAATTATTAGTCTGAGGCCAAAGGCTTGAGGATCCAGGGGGCTGCTGTTGTAAGTCCAGAGACTGCTGTTAAGTCCAGAGTCTGGAAAGCCTGGAGAGCCTGGAGTTCCGATGTCCAAAGGCAGGAGAAAAAAGTGTGTTCCAGCTCCAGGAGAGAGAAGAAGAGAGGGAGGGAGAGAGAGAGAGAGAGAGAAAATTGTTTTGTTTTGTTTTGTTTCTGCCTTTTTTGTTCTATGCGGGTGCCAGCTGATTGGATGGTGCCTGCCCATAATGAGGGCAGATCTCCTCCTCTCAGTCCACAAAGTCCCAGGCCACTGTCCTCTGGAAACACCCTCACGGACACACCCAGAAGTGATGCTTTACAAGTTCTCTAGCTATTCCTTAACCCAGTCCGGTTGACACCTAAAATTAACCATCACAAGCTCCTGAGGGCTACTTGGCCCCGGAGGGAGGGAACACCCGATCACGGGAAAGCAAACGATTGTGCAGCCAAAACTATCCACAATGAGTCAGATATTTGTCAGATCAACCAAGTCATAAGATCAGGTGGGCCCAGCAGCATGCCAGAATAGAAGTGGGACATGGAGGATTGAGCAGAAGGAGGACCAGATGGCATAAGCGAGCTGCGTGAGCAGGTAACCAGACCCCCATCTCATCCACCTGTTGTCTTGCTCTCAGCTCATACTGATGGCTGCATGGGGTGGAGAGAAGGGTCCTTTATGACCAGCCAACAGAGGAGGAAGGAGCCTGAGCTTGGTATATGGATCAGGTGCCCAGTTTTGATGGTAAATGGACACGTACATCCATCATGGCCTCATACATGAGAGGCATGGTGACCAAGAAGGGCTCAGATCGCTTAGGAATGAAGGTTGGGGTCACACCATCAGGTAAGCTACCAAGCCCAGCAGAGGTGCTGAGGGTGAGGGAAGCTGGAAAAGGGTAGAGGTTTTCTGAGCAGCTGCCTATATCGGCAGCTCTCTGCTGCAAGGAAAATTAAATTTCTTACATATTTAAACCACTGTAAGTTGGGTTTCTGTTACACCAATTCTGACTGATATAGTATTTCTAACAACAGCATATGGCTGGTTTTTGTTCTTCAATCCTATTTAATGAACTTTGAGTTTTAATGGGAGAATTCGGCTCATTTGAGGTTTGTGTAAACCTGGATATAATTTATTTCATTTCTTCCATTTTAACTCAGGTTCACTATTTATTTTACTTTGTCCTTTCTCTCTTTTTCTTGTTTTTGATGGCTTGGTAACATGGCCATTTATTAGATTTTTTTTTTCTTGTAGATTTTTTTCTTTTAGATTTTCTTATAGATTCTTATAGGTTTCTTAGAGAAGCGCTATACTTTTCCATGCCATGAGTGGTTATCTGTATTTTTTTCACATTCAGAATAAAATACACAATTGCAATTATATAATCCTCCATTATGTGAGAAAAGCATCTATTTCCCCACATTAAAGAGACCTATTTGTAGTATTTTTCTATATCCTCAGCCCGCAAAGATATTGAAACACTTTTACCTTCCATCTTCTTCCACCCCTTCCCTAAATACTAGGCTGAGATCCTTCAGGACTTACAGTCTGACATTACTATTAGTCTTTCTTTTAGGATTCCTCTTCTCTCAGAAATCTGTAGATATACTTACAGCATAGTTTGCTTCCACGGATGCAGATGAGAAGTCAAATGACATCTCATTGTTTCTTTGTAAGTTACTTATTTTCCCTCTCTAGAAATGAGTAAGCTTTTATATTAACACTTGAGATTTCAGTCATTGTTTTCAGGACATGGCTAAAGATGAGTATTATTTTGTGTAAGTTCTGTTTGGAATTCAGTGGGTCCTTCAAATCTCAGATCAAGTCTTTATTGGAAAATTTTCAAGGACAATTTCCTCTATTATTTGTTTAATTATTGCCTGTCTTCCATCTGCTTTATTTTACAAATTTCTATTATCCTAATAATAATAATTCCAACATAGAATAATCCAAATATGCAAGTATTTGATTGCCTGCATCATTTCCTCAAACTGTTTATTTCACCTCATAATTTTCCTCTCTTTGCATTTTTGATTTGTGTTTTGTTTCATTACTCCATTTGGCATTCTAGGTCAGGTTTCAACAGTGACTCTGCAATCCTTTGATTCATCTCTTGAAATTTTTAGTCTGAAAATGAGATTCTTTAGATCCAGAACATGTGTGTGTGTGCATGTGTGTGTGTGTGCATGTGTGTGTGTGCATGCGTGTGTGCGTGTGCATGCATGTGTGTATGTGTGCATGCATGTGTGTGCGCGTGTGTGCATGCGTGTGTGTATGCGTGCGTTTATGCACACTGTATTTGTGGTTCCTTACGTGTTGTTGTTATCATTGTTTTTGGTTCAGGCTGTCCTCTCTCTCCCCCAGAAGGTTTGTAGCTGTTGTTCTCTGCAATATGCTGGTTCTTTCACTTTCTCACTTCTGGGTCCCCCAGGATGGGTTGGTATTTTCCTTTGCTGACCCACTGGGGCCCATGTTCAGCTGCTGGGGATCTAGAGCAAGGCCAGTCTCTCGAGTAATGGATGTTGCAACAGTCTTTGACTTGCTGGGTCCGCTGGCAAGTGGTTGGTCCCAAAAGGTCTCCCTCTGCCCGCTAGTCTCTTCAGCTGCAAAGACTGGCATTTTCCCAGTTGAGGAGAGGATTTAGCACTTTTGTTCTCCCCCACAGCTTTGTATGAGCTGGAACAATGAGACCATAGAGTGCTCACGGGGGCAGCTGCAGCCTCTCCCTTGGGAGGTCCTTGGATTTCCGTAGGTCAAGTGTTCCCGATTTCACTTTTCTTCTGACCATTACTCCTGGGCTCTGCACCTCCAGTCCCCGGGCTGTCGTGGGGCTCAGAAGCAGAAACTTGCTCTGCCAACTCCCTTCTTCTGGACCCCAGAGATGCACTAGATCTCTAAACCCCAGAAGCTGCTTGGCTCACAAAAGGTTCAGTAGCTGGTTTTAAATTGAAGGATGAAGGCAGCACAGATGTATTCAACAACCATCCCCGCAGAATTCTCAGAGGAAATTCCACTATATTCTAAATGGCAGAAATGTGTTCACAGACCACAATGCAATAAAACTAGAAATCGCCAAAGAATAGCCAAACAAACAAAAACCTCATTACCAACAAAACCCCTATAGACATGAATATTCAAAACCTACTCTTTTAACTATCTATTGGGTTCAAAAGAAAAATTAAAGTAGAAATTATAAATTATTTCTAATGAATAACAATGAGGGCACAAAAAATAAAAAATCTGTGAACTATGACCGAAGAAGCATTCAAAGGAAGATATACAGGCATATCTCAGAGATAATGCAACTTCAGTATCAGACCACTACAATAAAGCTAATATTGCAATTAAGTGAGTCATATGAATTTTTTGGTTTCCCAGTGCATATAAAAGTTATGTTTCCTCTATACTGTCATCAATTAAGTGGGCA
The DNA here is from genome assembly GCF_000001405.40 of Homo sapiens. NCBI lineage: Eukaryota > Metazoa > Chordata > Mammalia > Primates > Hominidae > Homo > Homo sapiens. Next base: position 46,430,312 of record NC_000020.11, on the reverse strand, counting down.
ATAGCATTATGTCTATAAATGTACATACCTTAATTTTAAAATACTTTATTGCTAAAAAATATTGATGATCATCTGAGCTTTCAGTGAGTCGTAATCTTTTTGCTGGTGGGAGGGTCTTACCTCAGTGTTGATGGCTACTGACTGATGTGAGTGGTAGTTTGCTGAAGTTCGGGGTGACTGTGGCAATTTCTTAAAATAAAACAACAATGAAGTTGGCTGCATCAATCAACTCTTCCTTTCATGAAAGCTTTCTTTGTAGCATGTGATGCTGTTTGATAGCATTTATCCCACAGTAGAACGTTCAAAATTGGAGTCAATCCTCTCAAACCCTGCAGTTGCTTTATCAACTAAATTTATGTAATATTCTAAATCCTTTGTCGTCATTTTAACGATGTTGATAGACTCTTCCCCAGAAGTAGTTGCCATCTCAATAAATTGCTCTCTTTGAGCATTCATAAAAAGTAACTCCACACTCATTAAAGTCTTCTCATGAGATTGCAGCAGTTCAGGCACACCTTCAGGCTCCACTTCTAATTCTAGTTGTCTTGCTATTTCTATCACATCTGCAGTTACTTCCTCCACCGAAGCCTTGAGTCTCTCAAAGTTATCCATAAAAGTTGGAATCAACTTCTTCTAAATTATTATTAATGTTGATATTTTGACCTCTTCTCCTGAATCACAAGCATTCTTGATGTAATCTAGAATAGTAAGTTCTTTCTAGGAGGTTTTCAATGTATTTTTCCCAGACCTATCAGAGGAATTACTATTTATGGCAGCTATAGCCTTACAAAATGTATTTCTTAAATAATAAGACTTGAAAGTCAAAGTTACTCTTTGATCCATGGGCTACAGAATGGATACTGTGTTAGCAGGGATAGGAACAACATTTGTCTCCTTGTACATCTTCATCAGAGTTTCTGAGTGACCTGGTGTTTTGTCGATGAGCAGTAATATTTTGAAAGGAATCTTTTTTATTCTGAGCACAGTTCTCAACAGTGGGCTTAAAATAATCAGTAAACCTTGCTATAAGCAGATGTGCTGTCATCCAGGCTTTGTTGTTACATTTATGGAGCACAGGCCAAAGAGATGTAACATAATTCTAAAGGGCTCTAAGACTTGAGAAATGGGAAATATGCATTGGCTTCAACTTAAAGTCACCAACTACCTTAGCTACTAACAAGAGAGTCAGCCTATCATTTGAAGCTTTGAAGCCAAGCATTGACTTCTCTCTATCTGCGAAAGTCCTTAATGGCATCATCTCCCAATAGAAGGCTGTTTTGTCTACATTGAAGATCTGTTTTTTAGTGTAGCCACCTTCATCAGTGATCTTAGCTAGATCTTCTGGAGAACTTGCTGCAGCTTCTCCATCAGCACTTGCTGCTTCACTTTGCATTTTTATGCTATAGAGATGGCTTCTTTCCTTAACCCTCATAAACCAACCTCTGATAACTTCAAACTTTTCTTCTGCAGCTTCTTCACCTCTCTGTCTTCATAGAATTGAAGAGAGTTAGGGGCTTGCTCTGGATTCGGTTTCGGTTTATGGGAATGTTGCAGCTGGTTTGATCTTCTATCCAGACCACTCAAACTTTCTCTGTATCAGCAATAAGGCTCTTTTGTTTTCTTATCATTCATGTGTTCTGAATTAGCACTTTTAATTTCCTTCAAGAAGTTTTTCTTTGCATTCACCACTTGGCTGTTTGGTGCAAGATGCCTAGCTTTTGACCTTTCTTGGCTTTCAACATGCCTCCCTCACTAAGCTTAATCATTTCTCTTTTTTTAATTTTAACTTTTAATTTTTGTGGAGACATAGTAGTTATGTATATTTATGGGCTGCATAAGATATTTTGATACTAGCATACAATGTGTAATAATCACATCAGGATAAACCAGGTATCCATCACCTCAAGCATTTTTCCTTTGTGTTACAAACAATCCAATTGTACTCTTTGTTGCTTTTAAATGTACAATTAAATTATTATTGACTGTCATCACCCTGTTATGCTGTCAAATATCAGGTGTTACTCATTCTTTCTATTTTTTTGGACCCATTAACCATCCTCACTCCCCTACCCCTCTCCCAATTACCCTTCCCAGCCTCTGGTAACCATCCTTTGACTCTCTATCTCCATGAGTTCAATTCTTTTAATTTTTAGCTCCCACAAATAAGTGAGAAGATGCCAAGTTTGTCTTTCTGTTCCTGGCCTATTTCACTTAATGCACTGACTGCCAGTTCCATCTACGTCATTGCAAATGACAGGATCTCGTTCATTCTTATGACTGAATAGTACTCCATTGTATAAATCAACCACGTTTTCTTTATCAATTCATCGTTGATGGACACTAGGTTGTTTCTAAATCTTGGCTATTGTGAATAGTGCTTCAATAAACATGGGAATGCAGATATGTCTTCAATATACTGATTTCCATTTTTTTGTGTATATACCTGGCAGTGGGATTGCTGGATCATATGGTAGCTCTATTTTTAGTTTTTTTAGGAACCTCTGAATTGTTCTAATTTACGTTCCCACCAACAGTGTATGAGGGTTCTCCTTTTTCCACATCCTCACCAGCACTTGTTATTGTCTGTCTTTTGGATAAATACCATTTTAACTGGGGTGAGATGATGCTTCATTATAGTTTTGACTTGCATTTATCTGATGATCAGTGATGTTGAGCACCTTTTCATACACCTGCTTCTCATTTGTATGTCCTCTTTTGAAAAATGTCTATTCATCAGATCTTTTGCCCATTTTTAAATTAGATTATTAGATTTTGTTCCTATAGAGTTATTTGAGCTCCTTATATATTTTGGTTATTGATCCCTTGTCATGTGGATAGTTTGCAAGTATTTTCATCCATTCTGTGGGTTGTCTTTTCATGTTGTTGTTTCTTTCACTGGGCAGAAGCTTTTTAACTTAATGTGACCCATTTGTCCATTTTTGCTTTAGTTACTTGTGCTTGTGGGGATCATTTCTAGCCTTTGATTTAAAATGAGATATGTGCAACACTTCCTTTCACTTGAACACACAGAAGCCATTGTAGGGTCATTAATTGGCCTAATTTCAATATTCTGTGTCTCAGGGAATAGGGAGGCCCAAGGAGAGAAGTATAGAGATAAGGGAACAGCTGGTAAGTGGAGCATTCAGAACACATATAATATTTATGGATCAAGTTCACTGTCATATGGGCACATTCGTACCCCAAAACAATTAAAATAGTAACACCAGAGATTACTGATCACAAATCACCGTAACAGATACAATCATCGTGAAAAAGTTTGAAATATTGTGAGAATTACCAAAATGTGACATAGAGACATGAAGTGAGGACATGGTGTTAGAAAAAAATGGTGGAGTTGCTCTATGCAGTGTTGCCACAATTCTTCAATTTATAAAAACACAATAGCTGGAAAGTGCAATAAAACCAGGTATGCCTGTACAGATTTAAATAATTGTATTAGAAAAACAAAACAAAGGTTTAAAAATAATGAAGAGGTCCCAGGTAAAGATACAGATTGAATATACAAGCCTAATTTTGTTCCCACTGAAACACCTATTAAAAATAGAGGAAAGGGATTTTGTTTTCACCTTGATATTTTGTAAATGTCAAATCCTCAGAAAAGGCAGAAGAATGCTACAATAAACATCCGTATATGAATCATCCAGATTCACCAGTTGTTAAGATGTTACCACACTTGCTTTATCTCTGTCTCCTTTTTATACATATATGCATACACATTTTTCCAGAATAATTTGAAAATAAATTACCCATGTTATGACTCTTCACTCTTAAGTATACATCCCCTAAGAATAAGGACAACCTCCAATTGTCATAAACTGGCCTCCGTAGAAGGAAGACTCAGAGATGTGCATGCAGGAAATTTATTAAGGCGAGCTCTTGGGATCAACATCTTGGAAAGGGAAGGAAGAAGGATCAGGCAAAGTGAGGAAGTGGACTGTGATACAGATTCAATAAAAGCAACAGCCATCTCCTTGAGGAGCTTTGAAGCTGTAATGGCACTTCAGGGTTGTCCCAAGTTGGAGTGAGGGGAGCTGGGGCTTTGTGCCTTCATGTCCACCAGTAATAAGGCATGAACTGTCTTGGGAGAGGGCGTGACCTTGGGTAAGCCTGGACTCTTCAACCCAGGCACTTCCAGAAAAGAGCTGATATCTGATGGCTATTTGCTGGCAACACTGCCAGCAGCTATAGAAATAAGTCCTTCACTCTTGAGGGGGAATCTGGGCAGTACACCAAGTGTCCACTACAGTCTGCCCGTTTGCCACACAGAGCCACTTTTTCACTTAGGTGCCAGGAGCTACAACTCCAGGATTCCCGTGGGCATCTTTCCTGGGAGAAACTTAAAAGGAGGGTTAGAGGGAGACACTACCAACCCAGCCAGTGCAGCTGGTCTCAGGGCCACAACGGATATTCTTGCTCAGTGTGTTCAGGATCCAAAAATTAGTTTTGATCTGGAAACAAACAAAAAGTTTGAGTAGCAATATCCACATCACATGGGTTGGATTTTAGGAATAAAATTCCAAACTGGATAAAGAGGGATATTATTACTACAAAATTTAAGAAGAGGATTTAATGAGCATAAAACTTTATGCACCAAACGACATAGCAAATAAATATAGAAAGCAAAAAAGTATTAGAAATATAAAGAGAGCCTCATAAAAATACAATTTCGATGGGAGACTTCAACATGTCTATTTCAAAGTCAGTAGCTCTAATAGGAAAAATGGATGCGTAGAAGGATTAAAAATAGAATCAGCAAACTCAAATAAGTATTTCTTCAACTACTGAATATAGATTTTTATGCATACATGGAGTATTTACCAAAATTTATTTCCTATTGGGTCATAAGGAAAATCTTGAAAAATTAAATAAATTAGGTATTTTATAGGCTATCTTTTCCATTCATCATCCAATAAAAAGAGAAGTAAATAATTTAAAATATTACCAAAATATGCTACTGATTTGGAAATTAAGTGTAAGAAATACAGTGTTAGGTAACCGTTGGATCAAAGGAAATAAAAAATAAAATTACAAATTATCTGGAAAACAATGGAAAGGAGACCTCGTCATTCAAAAGCTAATGGAAGACAGAAAAAGCTGCAGTCAATGGAAGTTGTATAGGCTTAAGTAACTTTGTCAATAAATGAACTTAATACTTGTATATGACTCAGTTTATGTATTGCTACAGATCCATAGCAACCCTGTACCCCACGCTTCCTCCTCTGACATCAACCATTGCCCTGCTTCAGTGAACATCACATAGGTCTTACCATGTAAACCAGGTACCAAACTTTAATGTGCCTACAGATCACCTAGGAATCTTGTTAAAATGCAGATTCTGCTTCAGTAGGTCTGGAGGGGAGCCTGAGAATTTGCAATTTTTTTTAAGACAGGGTCTTGCTCTGTCACCCAGGATAGACTGCACTGTTGGAATAATAGCTCAGCTCACTGCAGATGCACACCACTGAGCCTGGCTAATTTTTTTGTCTTTGTAGAGGCAGGGCCTCACTATGTTGTGCAGGCTGGTCTTGAACTCTGAGCTCAAGCGATCTTCCTGCCTTGGCCTGCAAAGTGCTGGGATTACAGGTGTAAGCCACCACAGCTGGCTGAGAATTTGCACTTCTAAAATGCTCCCAGGTTCTTCTGCTGCTACTGGTCCCCTACACACACACGCACACACACACACACACACACACAAACTTTAAGTAGCAAGGCTATACATCATCACCCAAAAGCAATCAGACTGACAGAAATGGCCTCTCCAAGGTTTAGTTAAGGTACCAGCTTGGAGACGACACCTTTTGGGGATGAGGTGCTTTCCTCCAGAATATGGTACATACACTGAATTAATGGCCAATATACAGTGTGATATCCCCAGGAGCAAAGGACTGGAAGTAAGATTAGCCTCTCAAACCAGCTGGCCATTTGGGGCCATTTTGGTCATTCATGCCAGTTGACTAGCAGATAAAGAAAGAATGGTTTTACCTGCTGAGATAATCCACCCTGTAACATGAGGAGCTGGGGTAACTGCTACACAATGAGAATCCAGGGAATCCCTGGGCATCTCTTAGGACTTCCATGCAAAGGACAGTCCTAAATTCCTTGCAGCAACTACAGTTAGACAAGAGCAAGGGCTCAGATCCCTCAGATCCCTTGAGGAGGAAGGTCTGAGTCACTCCACCAGGAAGCAACCCATTTCAGTTGCATAATAGCCAAGAGGGAGGGAAATCCAGAATAGGTAGCAGAGGAGGAAGACAATGAATTGGAATTACTATCCTGGAACAGGTTACAGCAGCAAAAACTGTACTTGGTTTGCCAACCCTCTAAAATTGCCAGAAGCTGCAACAAGTCACCACCTTGGAGGACTGACTTGCATCTCTCCCCTAGGAGACGAAATGAAGGCATCGTTCTTATATGTGCTCCAGATATTATAAGAGGGTGAAAGTAGGTCTGAATGGTGCAAAGTGGAATGTACCAGACTTGGTATGCACTGCCGTAGATCTCTCTGTGATATCTTCTCCCTAAGCCCTATACTCACCAACCTCAGGCCTAAACCCCTTGCCTTCAATCCTAGATAGAAGAGAGCTACAGGGGACAGCAAGCTAGTCCCTGGTCATGGAACGAGGTCCATGCCTCTGCCATTGACTACACTATAGATGGAGAATCCCCACAGTGGCACTGTCAGAAAAGGAGAGACAAGCTACTACCTGCACTAGCTAGATTGGTCTGGAAGGCTCTGGCTTCCCCGGCTGCTGTCTGGAGAGACCAGGTAATACAGCCTGAATGTGCTGGAGGGTTAATGCCCTGTGGGGGAGACTTTGAGCCACAGGGGATGAGACAAGAGACAGGAAGGAGCCGTGGTTAAATTCTACTCACTTTCTCCTCCTGAGGATGTTCCAAGACAGGGTAGTTCATACAACTTCTCTGAAGATCTGAAGATGTACTGTGAGTCCAAGCAGTTAGCTTCATTAATTACAAAACTCGGGTCCTCTCAGTAATGCCTCTTATCTTTGCACTTCTCCTTCTTGCCTCATTTTTCCCTCAATCTGGTTTCTCTGAGGTTGCACTCCCCAGTGAGGTGTTGGCATACAAACTTGCCAAAGGTTCTGTTTTCTAGAGAATCCAGGCTAAAACAATATTCTTGAGAAATAGAAAAAGGACAAGAAAATTAGCTGGGGGAAGGGGAAACTCATTAAGATGGAAGATAATATTTTAGAAATAGTAAGGGGAAATACCAGGAAAAAATAAATCCAAAATCTATGTCTTTAAGGAAAAAAAATCCCAGTATATCAGTCAGGATTCTATATTGCAAGCAACAGAAGCTGATTTGGATGATTAAGCAGAAAGCAAATTTATTAAAAAGATATTGAGTAGCTCATAGTATTTTTTTTTTTTTTGAGAAGGAGTATCACTCTATTGCCCGGGTTGGAGGAGAGTGGCGTGATTTCAGCTCACTGCAAGCCTCTGCCTCCCAGGTTCAAGCGATTCTCCTGCTTCAGCCACCCGAGTAGCTGGGACTACAGGCACACATCACCACGCCTGACCAATTTTTGTGGGCTTCACCATGTTGGTCAGGCTGGTCTCAAACTCCTGACCTCAAGTGATCCGCCCACCTCAGCCTCCCAAAATGCTGGGATTATAGGAGTGAGCCATCATGCCTGGCCAAGTAGCTCACAGTATTATCGGGAGGGCTGAAAAGTCAGATTCAAGGTTAAGCAATGCCCAAAGTATACCCAGTGCTGGCCTGATAAAGAAACTGCCACTGCTGTCACCACCCACCAAAGGCAGGGCCTTGACCTCGCAACCTCTTCTGGAACCGCCACCATCAAAGCTGGTTGCATGTGCCACCTGCGCCTATGGAAATAAAAACTCCATGCAGAATTTGATCCCTCATGTAACTGACTTCCAATTCATTCTACAAACGTCAAATATGCATATCTTAACTGTGAGAGAGATTGGGAATTTGAGGTCTAACTCCTACCCTGGAGAGGTGAAACTCATGATTGTGAATTTCTCCCAACAGAAAAGGGCTATTCAAAGATGATGGCAAGTGATGAATAAGACAGATGTCTACTATGAGACATAAAATAGATATACCCCTCATGAGGCAGATAAAAGATAAGTGAAAGAGAGCAAAAATGTTTAAGAAATAGCTCTGGCGCAACTGATCATCTGAAATAGAGCTGTCCAATAGAAATATAATGTAAGCTACGCATGTAATTAAAATGTCTTTTTTTTTTTTTGAGACAGGGTCTTGTTCTGTCACCCAAGCTAGAGTGCTGTGTCTCTAACATGGCTCACTGCAGCCTCAACCTCCCAGCATCAAGCGATCTTCCTGCCTCAGCCTCCCATGTAGGTGGGACCACTGGCATATATCGCCATGCCTGGTTAATTTTTTTAAAAAATTTTTTAAAGATTGGATCTCACTGTGTTGTCCAGGCTTGTCTCAAACTCCTGGGCTCAAGCAATCCTCCCACCTCAGCCTCCCAAAGTGCTGAGATTACAGGCGTGAGGCACCATGCCTGGCCTAAAATTTTTCTAGTAGCCACATTAAGAAGTAAAAAGAAATATACAGTTAATTTACATAAATATTTTATTTATTCTAATGCATCCAAAACATTCACATTTCAACATATGATCAATATAAAAGTTATAAATTAGACATTTTACAGTCTTTGTTTTCCATACTGAGTCTTGGAAATCAGTGTATATTTTAGACTTACAGCCCATTCCAGTTCTGAAGAGTAATATTTCAAGTGCTCAATAGCCGCAAGTGGCTATGGCTACTGTATTGGACATTGCAGAGACAAAAGAAATAAAATTGGGACTTTATTTTATGTCATTTAGACAGAAATGAGCTCCAGATGAATTAAAGACTTAAATCTAAAAAACTGAAACCATTTTAGAAGAAAACATGTGACATTACATCAACCTAGTACTTGATGAGATCTTTCCATTTATTTGCAAATCAGATGGCAGATAAAGGGTTAATACCTATGTGCGTATCAGAATAAAAATGGTATCAGCATAAAAATGATCAAAAGCTATCCTAGACAATTCCCAGAAGAACAAGTCCAAATGTTGAATAAATGTAAAAAGATGTTCGGTCTCCCTAAGAGTTAAGGAAATGTAAATTACACAACAATGAGTTATCACTTTACTCACATCAGACTAGCAAATTGGGAACATGATAACACCTACTACAGGCTGGAAAGGGACACTCTTCACCACATCGCCAGCAGCTGTGACCTTGTTGGAGAGCAATCTGGCAACGTATATCAAAAGAAAACAACTCCACACATTCTTTCACCCGGCAATCCCACGCATGGGAATTCTTCCCATAGAAATAAAAACACCAGAATATATGTGTCTATGGATGTTCACATCAACAGTGATCATGATTGCAATGGGAGGAAAAAACCTGAAAACAATGTGAATGCCCATAGACAGTAGAATTATTGAGTAAATTGCAGTACATTTATATCATGACATAATGCAGCCATTTAACAAGAATAACTGAAACCTCTGTCTACTGACTGGAGAGCACTTCCATCTTCCATTTCTGAAAGATGCAGAGAAATTTATAAACTGTGGTTCTATTTTTGTAAGCTATAGGAAGAGAAATCTACATATATATGTATATATTTAGATATGATTTTATGAGCATGAAGAAAGATATAGATGGATACAGTCACTCTGCTAGCAATGTTACCTGGGAAGAGGAGAAGCAGGCAGCATCATTGGACAGAAAAGAAGAAATAAAAGGTTAAAAGGAAAAAAAGCTATTATTTCAAGTCAGGACGATTTTTATAAAGTTATCATGTGTGTTTGAAAAAGGCAAACATTTATCTCTATATAAATTTATTTGATTAAACTTGGTGGGCTGGGTGCAGTGGCTCATGTCTGTGATTTCAGCTCTTTGGGAGGCCGAGGTGGGTAAATCGCTTGAGTTCAGGAGTTTGAGACCAGCCTAGGCAACATGGTGAAACCCCATTTCTACCAAAAATACAAAAATTAGCCAGGCATGGTGGTGTGCACTTGTGGTCCCAGCTACTTGGGAGGCTGAGATGAGAGGACTGCTGGAGCCTGGGAAGTTGAGGCTGCAGTGAGCTGAGATGGCACCACTGCACTCCAGCTTGGGTGATAGAACAATAGTAATAAATAAATAGTAAATAAATAAATAAAATAAATAATAAATAAATAAATAAAATAAATAGTAAATAAATAAAATAGTAAATAAAATAGTAATAAATAAATAAATAGTAATAATATTAATAATAAAACCTTGTGGATCATGGTACTAGATCTTTGTTTCTTACTTGATTTTTGACTACTTGTTCTATAGATTTCTAAAGGTAATGTTTCCCACGAAGTCATGGATTTGTTTTCTCCTTATAATTCTGTTTTTGTATTACAAATTTCAATCCTATGTTACTAGGCACACACAAGCATAAGGCTAAACTGATTAGTAGATTGAGTATTTTATCACTATGAAATATTATTTTTTGTCTTTTTGAGTAACAATGATTATTTTTTCTTAAAATCCGTTCTGTCAAATGATAAGATTGCTTGTACCACTTGCTTTCCTTTTCCTGGCATTTTCCCAGTTACCTTTTCCAACTCTTTATTTTCAACCTTTCTATATTACTGTGTTTTACTGTCTCTTATACAAAAACACACGGTTTGACTCTTTTTAAACCCAATTCGAAAGTCACTGTCTTTTAGCAGCGAATTTGATATAGTCATATTTCTTATGGTTACTGATATATTTGCACATTTTCTACCAATTTACCTTGTGCTTTCTATTTTATATGCTGTTTTTGTGTTTCTTTTTCATCCCTGATCTTTGGTTAGCTGCTAGCATTTTACTTGTTCCCAACTAACTTTTCTTCTAATGACTTGAAAAGTATATGTTTAGTTTCTGTATCTTTGTATTTTTGTATACATAGTTGCACATATTATTAATTGACATCCAGAGCTAATTGTATAAATAAAATGAAGCTCCTAGCATGCTTTTACTTCTCTCTCTTACCTCCTTTCCAGACTTCATAACTCTCCATCCTGAGTTATCTCAGATTTTAGTTTATTATTATAGGTTTATTGTTATAATTTATTTAGACTTAAAAGTAAACTTTACTGATTTTCTTGCTCACCTGTGCTTCTTATATCCCTTTTTTTTTCCTAGATTTATTTTCTCTTTGAATATATTTTCTACACCATGGTTTCTCAACCAGAGGTGATACAGCACCCCCTCCAAATGTGGGGCTGCTGTGTATTGTCACGGGGAGGAGAAATGCTACTGGCATTTAATGGATGATGGTCAAGGACACTAAGTAACCTGCAATGTGTGGATCAGTCTTACACAATAAAGAATTGTTCCACCCCAAATGCCAGTGGTACCCTGTTGAGAAAGGTTACTCTATGTGGACAGTGAATTATAAACTTTTTGAATCTGTTTGTGTGTCTTAAAATGTCTTTATGATGTCCTCACATTCACTTGCAGTTTGGCTGGTTAAAGAATGTTAAAAGAACACTTCAAATTAAACTTAATGGAGTTTAATTGAGCAAGAAGAAAAAACAATTCACAAGTCGGGGAGCCTCCAGAACTGCAGTAGATTCAGAGAGACTTCAGGGATGCCTCATGATCAGAACAAATTTATAGACAAAAAAAGGAAAGTGACACACAGAAATTGGAAGTGAAGTAAAGAAACAGGCCGGGCGCGGTGGCTCACGCCTGTAATCCCAGCACTTTGGGAGGCCGAGGCGGGCGGATCACGAGGTCAGGAGATCGAGACCATCCTGGCTAACACGGTGAAACCCCGTCTCTACTAAAAAATAGAAAAAATTAGCTGGGCGTGGTGGTGGGCGCCTGTAGTCCCAGCTACCTGGGAGCCTGAGGCAGGAGAATGGCGTGAACCCGGGAGGCGGAGCTTGCAGTAAGCCGAGATCGCGCCGTGGCACTCCAGCCTGGGGGACAGAGCGAGACTCCGTCTCAAAAAAAAAGAAAGAAAAAGAAACAGCTAGATTGGTTACAGGTTGGCTTTGACTTATCTGAACACAGTTGGAACACGGAGCAGCGTATGAGTGATTGGAGTATGGCTGCTGGGATTGGCCACGACTCAGCTACTGTTACAGATGCATACTCCTAAGCTAGGTTTTCAATCTTGTCTATTAAGTTAGGTTATGGTTAGTCCACAAGTATGGAGTCCTTCTCAGGCCATATTTAGTTCACTTTAACAAGAATCATAAGTTCACAAGTATTTTCACCAGAAAACTTTAAACATGTTATTCTGTTTTCTCACTTACTATGTTGCAAATGTAAAGTCTGGTATCAATCTTCTTATTCCATCCTGCCTAATTTTTTTTCACTCTGAAAACATTCAGAGTTTCCTCCTTATCCTTAATGTCCTGAAATTTCATCATGATTTACTTACATTTCAGTGTTTTTACATTCTTCCTGTAAATATTCACTGGTTCCTCTCAATGTGAGTATTTCCAATTTCTAAGAAATTGTCTTAAATTTTTGCCTTGTTTTAGGCACTCTCCTTCCTTAATTTTCTTCTCTCCTCTAATTCACATTAAGCAGATAGTGGAACTTTTACATCTGTCATTCATGTCTCATAACATTTTGTTCATTCTACCCATCTATTTATTGTTTTGCACTGCATTCCGGGAGAATTACTTAGCATGATATTCTGATTCACTGATATACTCTTCAATCCATTTTGCTATTCAACCCATCTATTGAGATTTTTATTTCAAGAATAATTTTTTTAATTTCTAAAACCTCGATGCATTTTTTATTTTTTTAAAATATGAATACAGTAGGCTCTGCCATTTGTCCAAGGTATATAATGATACTTATTCCATAGTCTGGTTCTATTTGCTCTCTGTTTCCTCAGGTGTAAGTTCTTTGGTTTGTTGTTTTTGATGTTACTGTTTCATGTGTTGGGTTTTCCAAATATCTGGTGACTCTTGGCTATGTTTTTATTTTGAAGTTTAAAATTTCTTGTCAGCCTATCTGAAAGTGCTTTATCTGTTCACCACAGTCTAACTCCAGGGATAGAATATAAATTTGTTTTCTGGACTTGGAGACCTCTGTTTCTCAACCTGCTCACCCAGGACACAGTTTTGCATTCAGACTTACTGCTGCCATCTGCGGGGAGACACTTATGTAACTTACTATTTAGCCAAAGCAGGGTGGATGGGAGGGAGCTGGTCACCATGCCTGACGGCTTCTATTGCACTGCTCCAAATCAATCCCCTATGTCCCCAACCTCTTTGCTCTAGGTATGTACCACCCTTGAAATGACACCCATTAGTTACTGCCTTGGTGTGTTTGAGGCTTTTTTCACTTCTCTTTAATCTCATCTTTTGTAGTTTCTAAACCACTGGAGACATATGCCTTCCTGATTTTCCATATGGTTTTGGAACACACATACACACACACACACACACACACACACACATTTCTGTTATTTCTAGATATTTAGGGGTGGGGCGAGGCTGCCATTAAGTGTCCCATCTGCCATCTTGACCCAATCATCCGTAGATCACTTTTATGAGAAAAAAATGATAATAGCTACTCCTGGGACCTGCCTCTGTTTCAAAACAGCTGTTTCTGCTGTGACTTGGTGCCCTCTGGCTGCTCCTCCTTTTCTTCCAACAGAATTTACAGTAAAGCCAGGCCTGCCTTTGTGGGAAGGCAGCCATAGTAGAAAGACTGACGTAGCATAAAGAGCATGACAGAGGGGACAGAGCAGAGGCTGTGGAGTCAGATAGGCCATTTGCTAGCTCTGTGACCCTGAGCAGTGGTTGCACTAGCAGAAATAGTAGTGCTAATCTATTAAGTAACAAGCATACATTGAGTATCTGCTATGTCCCAGGCAATATGCTATATGAACTGTATTCCCTGATGCATCCTGCAGGTAGGATTATTATTGTCCCTGTTGTACAAGTGAGAAAAGAGGCCAGAGGGGTGAGTCTCAACCTCATCATCTGTTAAACAGGAATGATAAGACCTACACTCAGTTTCATTATGGCAGTTAGCGTTAACATAATGCCAGGCATGTGTTGCACACTAAATACCTATTTGCCGAATAGACAAAAGTGATATAATATATGTAAAATACCTGGCACATACATAGTAGGTATTCATTAAGTGGAAGCATATTACCATTATTATCATTATCCTTATTATTAGCATTCACTGAGATAATGACATTCAAGGATTTTATGTTCTTGGTTTCAACTATGTAAGAACGCCACCACCCCTCCCACCTTCAGATCTATGACATGGACTGATTTATAACTTTGCTGAGGCACGAATTTGAACTACAAGTAGCAAGGCTGGTGAGTGGGCGTGGAAATGTGCCCAGCATCTGTCTTCCAAAATGGGTTTATGTTTTTAATATATGACACCAGTTAACCCTCACCACTACCCCAAAAGGCAAATATCATTATTCCAGTTTTATAGGATGATAAACCTGAAGAAATTGCAAGCTATGGTCACAGGGCAATGGTTTAGGACTCCAGGCTAAGCAGTTGGATGGACGGACGTGGTTCTTTGTGACTCCAGAAACGAACTCTCTGGGCCTCAGTTTCTTCTTCTGTAAAATGGACCTTACAGTGACTCTTTTGTCAACTCAGTTGGAATTCTACTCATCACTCATGCTTCAATGCCTAGTACAAATGCCTTGTGCCACTTCTAAGGATTAGAACCATTCAGGCTGAACTGTCCCCACATGTCCCCACATTCCGCCACTTCCTCCGGCCCTTCATTCACCAAAAGCATCACATGTTGCTAAGAATCAGCTGATTGTACATGCGTCTGCTCCCACAACCAAACGGAAAGCAACTTAAGAGAAGCACTTGAGGTGACAATGAGATGAGTCCCCCAAATTTTAGAAATGAGGCTGACGTCTGATAATTAAACACTTTGTAAAAACGGGATAGAAACAGAGAAATATAATGTCCCCTGTTCCCGTTATTAAGCTGCTGGCTCTCAGCTCCAAACCTACCTTTCCATACCCTGGTCTGTGGTGCTGGAGCTGGAATTCTGAAAAACTGCACTTCTGCTTCACCAGCAGCTCTCTTAGTCTCTGCTAATGGGAGTGCTCAAGGGAGCTACAAGTCTAGAAGAGGAAAAGGCTTTGCTCTTTCCTGTTTGCTTTTTGTGGAATTGTTTTGAGCATCACTTATTCACCTTGGCAACAGCGGTGCAGTGTCTTCTTATAACACCAGCTGAGTCCAGTTTGCAAGTTTCTTCAAAACTTGCAGACCAGATTCTAAGTCTTAATAATTTCAATGTCTTTTCTTTGTTTCTTTCAGCCCTAGAGGTGGTAGATGCTTTCTGCAGTCGCTACCCCCATGAGACCTTAGAGTTCTTTTGATCCTTTCCAGAGACCTACTTAACAACTTTATACCTGGTTAACAATTCTTTATATTGACTTATGTCTGTTCAAATAACTGGTGTGGTTTCTCTCTCCTGACTCAACCCCGAATGACACATTCCCTTGAAGGGGCAGAACATCCCGAGACAAGATGCAACGGTACACCTAAATAAAGACATAAAATCTTCAAAGAAAGATAATGTCCTTCAGAAAAGGGTTTGTCAGCCATAGGCGCCTGGCCCAGGGAGGGTCAGAGAATAAACCCCAGGATGACATCCTCAGCAGTGACAAGAGAACAGACCACCACCATCCATAGCCTGGATGACTGTAAAGACTCCTGCTATAGACTGGATAACTGCTTCATGTGCCCCCTACCCTCCACCCCACTGCCCATTCATATGTTGAAAACTAATCCCCAATGTGATTGTATTTAGAGTGGGGCTTTTAGGATGTGATTAGGTCATGAGTGTGGAACCTTCATGAATGGGATTGGTGCCCTTAAAAAAAGAGACTTCAGAGAGCTCCTTTCCCCTTCTGCCACGTGAAGACACAGTGAGAAGATGGCCATCTGTGAACTAATAAGGCAGCCCTCATTAGACATCAAATCTGATGACACTTTGATCTTGGACTTCCCAGCCCCTAGAACTGTAAGAAATAAATATTTGTTGTTTATAAGCCACCCAGCCTGCGGTATTTTGTTGTAGCAGCCTGATCAGCCTAAGGCAACCTCTACTGGAGGATAAAACCACCCCTTAGTGTCTGCAACCAGCTGCATTTCTTGCTTCTTTAAGCACAGGAGCCCTTCAATGGTCAGGTATAGTCTGGATGAGCAAAACAAACTGTTAATCTTATATAGGTTTGGGGAATAATTTGTTTGGGGATGAGTTTGGTTTCCAAGCAGAGAGAGGGGTGACACCAGCCTGAGAAACATACTCACTGCAGTGAATCTGGGGCAGCTTGGCTGATTCTCAAAGCACAGACTATCACTGATTGGTTGGTTTCAGATGCAGATTCAGTGAGATGAGTTGCCATTAACCTATTAGGCTTAAGACCAGTTCTGGTGGTTACTCATTACTAAGGCCATAGAACAATCAGTCTTTTCCTATGAGGGTGGGGGCTTTTTAATATTCACATCCCACTCGGACTCCTTGCTTCCATCTTCGTATTCTACAAGCTAGTCTCAACACAATCTGGTCACAGCAACCAACTAGATATTTTTCAAAACTTAAATCAGATTTTGTCATTCCCCTGTTTGCAAGCTTCCAATGGATTCCTATTATACACAGAATAAAACTAACCCTCTCCACAGCAGGGCCAACAAGGCCCTTAGTAGTAGCTGCCTGCCTTCTCCTTAACCCTTCTCTTCTCTTCTCTTCTCTTCTCTTCTCTTCTCTTCTCTTCTCTTCTCTTCTCTTCTTCTCTTCTCTCTGCTTTTGTAATCCAACCACCCAGTTGAAGTCATGATTTTTTTTTTCTGTTCCTTCTACCTGGAACACCCCACCTTTCACTTCTTACCTGGAAAACTCCTATTCATCTACCAGGTCTCAATAGAATCATCACCTCCACAGGGAGGACCTCCATGACTACGCTCTCCTCCTGCTTTGATTGTTGGAATGTAGGGAGGTGAGCCTAACCATTTTCCTATTACATTTATCACAGTTTATAGTCACACTGATATGTTTGTTTGCTTCTTTATATGCTGTCTGTCTCCCCTGTATCACTGTGAATGCCAGGAGGACAGGGACCATGTTTGTTTTGATCACTAACATACAGCCACTAGCTAGCAGACACAGAGCACTCAACAGATGTTTGTGGAAAGAATAGATAGACGATCATATGTAGAGGTCTTCCTAGATAAACCAGAGCCTCATCTCATGGTCACTTCCCGCAGCCAGCCCTCCACAGCCAGGCCTTCACTTCCTCTATCATGGCTGCCTCAACTTTTCAACAAATGGGCAGCTGCTCTGGACAAACTGAGCCAGTTCTGTAGAACTGAGTGTAGACACTCAGGGAGGTGTCTAGTGAAGCAAAGTGACCATACACCGGTTAAGGAACCCCCAAACCCGCCCCAGGCTCTGGGTTCCAGGACTCAGCTACAATTGAAGAGGATGAACACAATGGATGGTGAGACAGGGTCGGGAGTCAGCAAGACTAGCTCATTCTCCCCACCCCAACAACCCCCCCCCCACACACACACACACACATCTGTTCAGGCCATTAAGACCAACTCTCATTGACTGAATACCTCTCTGAAGTAGAAGCAGGAACTTTACTTGCTTTTCTTTGTGTAACCCCTGCACCAGACCCATGAGTTAGTTCCTACTATTACCCCAGGACCCACAGTAAGGATGGCAGTATTCAGCCAGCATAGCCACACCAACTGTTAAAATATTGAAATTCTTCCATATTCATTGGTAAATAGTAGCTGCCTCAAACCACTCTTCCCCAGCAACGCTGACCTCATCTTCCACCTCCAATGCCCCACATTCCAGTAAGTAAAAGGGTTAAAGCCTTGGATATACTGTGGGGGAGGCAGAGGGACTGTCTCCTGGGACCCTGGGGGGTGGGAGGGGGTGCTGTCTGTTCTGATCTGTCAGTACTGGTGCCTCCCTGGGTGCTGAATGTTTTGCATTGTTCATTAGGACTGTCTGCTTTGTTGTAGCCAAACAAAATGTTGTACTATTGTAATGTTGTTACTATTGGACAAGCAGATCCCAGGGGCCAACCTGAGCACTGGCTGGGGGCTTGTCTCTGGTTCAGACAGATGCAGGGGATTCTAAGGCCAGCCACCCAGCGAGTCTACAGCCTCCCTGAGCTTGAATACAAAAAGCAGCAAACTCACCACCAAGTCCCAGCCTGGTTACCATTTTCAGAAGCACTGAGCCCTTGCTGTGTGTCTGCTCTGAGTGAGGTTCTGTACAAGGAGACTTGCCAGGGGGCACTCCAGACCCAAAGAAGGGCAACATGGTCATTTCCAGGGCACAGACCTGGAAGGTCAGAGTCCACTTGTTCAAGCCTCTGATCTGCCACTTAATAGCGGTACAGCAAATGACCTAATCTCTCTGTCAGCTTCCTCGTGTGAAAAATCGAAGTCCTAACAATAATTCCTAATTCAGGGGGTCAGGGTAAAGGTTAAGTTAGATGCAGTATGTAAAGTCCTTAGGAGTAAATAAATTAATGTAAAATCCTTAAACAGCCCCTGATCCCCACCCCAATGTTATATTGCTAAGTGGCAGCTATTATTTGTATTTACTGTGTGCATTAGAAATTTTGCAAATCTCAGCCAGCTGCAGTGGCTCATGCCTGTAATCCCAAAACTTTGGGAGGCTAAGGCAGGAGGATCACTTGAGCCCAGGAGTTCGAGACCAGCCTGGGCAACATAGTGAGGCCCCCATCTCTACAAAAAACTTTAAAATTACCGGGGCATGGTGGCGCGCACCTGTAGTCACAGCTACTCGGGAGGCTGAGGCAGGAGGATCGCTTGAGCCCAGGAGGTTGAGGCTACAGTGAGCCATGACTGCGCCGCTGCACTCCAGCCTGGGCGACAGAGTGAGACGCTGTCTCAAAAAAAAAGAAATGAAAATTTTCAAATCTCATTGTTTCCCCAATGCCCCCCCCCACACACACACACACAAATTTTCAAATCTCATTGCTTCCCCAATTACACACACACACACACACACACACACACACACACACACACACACGCCCCCCCCCCCCCCCGGCTTGCTTGATGTTGGAAGGTGGCTTCCGATGCCAGCAGAGGGCGCTGGTCTCCCGCAGGCGGCTTGAGCACGCCTTCCAGGGGCTGACAGCCACTGCTCACCAAGAGTCCGGCCCCTTCCTGGGCTCCACTCACACAAATACATCATAACCACGTCCCTCACCCCCCAGTTCCTGGAAGAACGATCTTCGAAAATTAAGTTATTGTGAGTTATGTGAACCCCTAGCCTGCAAGCGCTGGTGCTAGACTGGCTGTCTGCCTCCTGCCCTTTTGCTTCCCGTTTCAAGAACCAAGTCACCATGAATTTTCTTAATGATACTTTATTCGCCTGTTTTAGCCATTTTTCTTCTCTTTCTATCTGAGGCAGAGAGTGGTCTTAATGGAGACAGCGCGCTATTGCAGAAAAGACAGAGGCCTTGAAATTAAATAGAGCCGGGTTTAAATACTGGCTTCACCACTCAACCAGGTAACCGTGGGCAAATGTCTAAAGTCTCTGTGCCTCAGTTTCCTCGTTTGTAAAATAAAGGTGATAGCAGTATGTGCTTCGTAGAAACATGAGGATCAAATGAGATAAATCATGTAAAGACCTTAATACATAGTCTCATCTATATCCAGGATTAATAAGTGTGAAAAAAATGAAGAATTAAATACGCAGTGGAATGCTGTTTCCACTGAGTGGTGTAAACAGAAAGTCGGACTGACTGAGTACCAGCCAGGCTGAGGTGCCTTAGCAAGCTTTTCACATCTCTAATCTTCAATCTTTCTCATCTGCAAAATGGGCACACTAATCTGCCATAGAAAGTTGACAGTTTTAAGTGTGGTAATGTGTATAACAGCCTCCGGTATAACTCTTGGCACATAGTAAACCCATGATAAATGCTAGTTCTATTTCCTTTAGCAGATAAATGAAGGTTTTGACATTTATGAGCTACCATGTAAAAATCCTTTTGGGACGGGCACAGTGGCTTACGCCTGTAATCCCAGCACTTTGGGAGGCCAAGGTGGGCAGATCACTTGAGGTCAGGAGTTCGAGACCAGCCTGGCCAACATGGTGAAACCCCGTCTCTAATAAAAATACAAAAAAAAAAAAATTAGCCTGGTGTGGCAGCAGATACCTGTAATCCCAGCTACTTGGGAGGCTGAGGCAGGAGAATTACTTGAACCTAGTGGGTGGAAGTTGTGGTGAGCCGAGATCACGCCACTGCACTTCAGCCTAGGCAACAGAGCAAGACTCCATCTCAAAAAAAAACCAAAAAAGCCTTTTGTTGTGGTGGCAGGGATTGTATTTGACAATAATTCTATGTGAGAAGGGCCATGATTAATCTGTAACTGTTTAGAAAGATTTAAGTATAAGTCAAGTTCATAGAGACCTTCCATTTACCCATAGGTCATTTTTGTTTACTCAGTGATGCAACCATTATTTTACATGGTCAAAATAAGATATTGACCCCATATTATGTACTATAATAGATATGTTCTAGGTAGCAGAGATACAGCTATGATCAAGACAGTCAAGATCTCTGCCATCATGGAGCTTACAACTAATGGGGAAGTCAGAAAACAAAACAAAGTAATATGACATGCAGTGCTAGGGAGAAGACTAGAGCAAGTTAAGGGAAGAGAAGGGTGGAGCGGCTGGATGATAGGAGACAGTGCTGTCAGGGAAGACTTGGAAGAGGAGATAACAGAGCATGGCCTGAATAAAGTGAAGATGGAAGCCATGTGATGAGCTGGGGGAAGAGCATTCCAGGAGAGGGAACAGCAAGTGCAAAGGCACAGAGATGAGAAGAAACTGTGTGTTCACAGAATGGGAAATTAGTATGTAAGACTCAAACAGTAAGTTAGGGCGAGAGTAGGAATAGATTAAGTCTGAGAAGTAAAGTGCCAGATCATCTAGGGTCTTGTAGACCGTGGTAAAGATTTTGTCTCTAAGCTTCCCACCACTCTAAAGATGGGCCATATTTGCCCAGTGTGGTGGCTGATACCTGTGATCCCAGCACTTTGGGAGGCTGAGGCAGGCAGATCACTTGAAGTCAGGAGTTCAAGACCAGCCTGGCCAACATGGTGAAACCCCGTCTCTACTAAAAATACAAAAATTAGCCAGGTGTGGTGGTGCACACCTGTAGTCCCAGCTACTTGGGAGGCTGAGGCAGGAGAACCTCTTGAAACTGGGAGGCGGAGGTTGCAGTGAACCAAGATCATGCTGCTGTGCTCCAGCCCGAGTGACAGAGGGAGACTCTGTCTCAAAAACAAAAAACAAAAGTCAAATGGATTAGAGAACTGAGAGGGGTAGATAATTCACTCACACAATAAGTACTTATGGAAGGCCTACTATAATTTTAAAATTTTATAATTTACAATTTATTGAGCACTTAAATGCAGACATTTTGCTAACTGTTGTATATTTACAGTGATCTCATTTCTCACAACAATCCATTAAGGCTGGTACTGTTATTCTCCCCATTGTACACATGAGGAGACAGGCTCAGAGAGATCTAGTAACTTACCCAGGGACAAACAGCTGGTAAATAGCACAAAGGTCTGCAAGGTTACAAAGCTCAGAATCTCTACTATCCTCTCCCACGTGCCAGACACAATTGCATTTGTGTAATCATGACATTCAGCTGCAGGTACTCCTCCTATTTGATTCCAGCCTGAAAACACGGCACCTGAACCTAGTTGCCCACTGGGAGCAGCTGAGGTGGAGGAAGAGGGATCTGGAACTCTGCACTTCTGTGCAGTCTTGGTGGAGCTGTCCATCAAGTTGCCCGCCCTCCTTAGCTAAAGTGTGGACATGTTACCTGAGCTCCGCCAATCGAACCCTTGCTCCAGGGACTTTGACTCATCAAAGAAAACTCTGGTCAAGAAAGGGAAGAAAAACATGGAATTGATTCACTTGCCTGCCTAAACTCTCAAAGCATCTCCACTTTCTGTCCTTTTCTAAGCCTGATTCTCCAGCTTCCTGTTACCTCTGTGAGTTAAACACTAGCCTGCCAATAAAATCTTTTTTGGGTAAAGTTAGCCAGAATTGATTCCTAAGACTGGCAATCAAAGAACCTGCACTGGCAATATCAGGAAAAAAAAATGACACAGTCTTGTAAAGCTCTCAAGTGAGTGATTCATTCCTTGGATAAATGTGTTATTAAGCAGAGCCAGGACTAGGATGAAGCAAACTGAGGCACCCAGGGTACAAAATTTAAGCCTTTCTTCCTCAGTGTTGTGTGAGTGCAGGGTTGGCTCAAACAGCCCTCCCTGCTATCAAAGTTAATAATAAAAGGAACGGAGAAGATCATTTCGCTTTCACATAAGAGTATGAAGTGAGTGTCCCAAGTAGGCAGGTAGCATTTGGCACCTCCTGTGCTGTAGCTCTGTTCCCTAGCACGTCGTCATCATCATCACAAGGTCAAGGCTGGGTCCAGCCAGTGAGAAGGAGAAAGAGTAACTCCTGCCAGAGTTTTAGCAATGTTAGCTATGGCTAAGCCTCAACCTCCCCAAGCCTCACTTTATTCACCTGTAAAATAGGACTAACAAAAATCATCTTTAATTCCAAGATGTTTCGAGGATCAAATGAAACAACGTATGTAAAACTGCTTTGCAGACTGCGCAGTGGCCTACAAGTGGTAGTCACTACATCGTCTCTTTGCTGAGTATCAGTTTCTTTATCTGCAAAGGGACAGCTGAATACACACCTCCCAGGATTGTTGTAAGAATCTGCTAGACAAACGATTAAAGTATAAACTTTGGAATCCAACAGGCATAGGTTGGCATCTTGCTCTGCCCCTCACCAGCTGTAAGATCTCGGACCCTCTCTGAGCCTCAGTTTCCTCATCTGCAGCGAAGGGATCACGGTGCTCCCTCCATCACACGGCTGCTGTGAGCATGAAGAGAGACAGCAGGAGTGAGTCCTTGGCGCGGTGCCCGGCCTTGTTCCGATCCGCAGGTGCAGTGACGAATGCCACCTCCCACGGATCCCTTCCAACAGCACAGCTGAGTTGTACCCTTCTGCCTCTGCTCAGCGCCCACGGTCAGCCCTGGGTGCCGGTATAATTAGCTCCAACTCGGTGGTGAGCAGCGCGGCTGCTCACAGCCTCTGACACGACTGTCACCTCCCACTCAGTTCCCCAAACCACAGCTATCCCCACTGTTGAGTGTGCGGTAAGTGCCCGCTGGGCACAGGGCGGAGTGCCACCAGAGGCCCGCTTAGAGCTCACAACCTATGATTTGACACAGCGAGCAAAAGCCTTTTCCTTCACTCTAGGACTGCATACCAAAAAGAAAAAAAAGTTTGGGGGAAAAAGAAAGCTGCCTCTTGGGTTAGCTGGGAAATTACCTTCCTTCAGACCCTGTAGCCCGCAGGGGAATGGCGTCCTGTTTCTTTAAGAGGCCTCCACTAGGGGGGCGGGGACGGCCGGCGTTTTTCCCCTCTACCGGCAGCTGTGCCCGCCCCTTCTTGAGTGACAGACAAGCAACCTAATTGAAGAAAGAGACTTCAGCGTGACGGCGAGTCGGAGCAATAGAAGCCGGGCCCGGCCTGTGCGGGGCGGGGTCCCAAGAAGGCGGGGCGGGCGGAGGCTGGAGGAGCCGCCGAGCGGAGACCCGGGAGCAGGAGCTGGGCCTAGGTCTGCGCCCTGGTGAGTGAGGGGCGCCCTGGGGGTCGGGGCGCGGCAGGCGGTGGAGAGGGGCCCGGCCCGAAAGACGCAGGGAAGAGAGGCCGGGCCGAGCGTTGCGGCTAGCGTCTGCTCCGGAGGCTGAGGGGCTGAGAGGGCGGGCCTGGGCTGGACCGCGCCGGCTCGTCAGGCCCCCGAGGGGTGGCGGCCCTGCCGGGGCCTTAGGAAGGGAGGAGAGACCGGGTCCTGGACCCAGAAGGGGCGTCGCGTGGCGGAAGAGGGCGGGCCAGGCAGTCAGGCACGGGGGCTGGGCTGGGCAGCGGTCGGAGGGAGAAGGAGGGAGGCGTTGGGTGGGAAGATCGGGGAGGGGCGGCAAGGAGAGGGCTGGGAAGAAGCCGGAGAGCGCTCGGGGCGGGCCCGCACGAGTTGAAAGCCCGGGGTCATGCTCAACCTGGACCCGGCTGCCCGCGTCCACCAGTCCGCCCCGTGGATCCTGCTGGCTCAGTAGCACCCCGGTGCATGTACTTTCCACCTCCTGCGCTCACCCTTGAGTTCAGGCCCCTCTCGCTTCCTGCCTGGGCAGTTGCAGTGTGTTAACTGGTCTGCCCTGCGCAGGCACAGGGGCCCTTCTCCTGTCGGCCTTGCACCGTGCCCAGAGAAACCTTTCCTTTTTTTTTGAAACCTTTCCGAGACGGAGTCTCGCTCTGCCGCCCAGGCTGGAGTGCAATGGCGCGATCTCGGCTCACAGCAACCTCCGCCTCCCAGGTTCCAGCTATTCTCCTGCCTCAGCCTCCCAAGTAGCTGGGATTACGGGCGCCTGCCACCACGCCCAGCTAATTTTTGTATTTTTAGTAGAGACGGGGTTTCACCGTGTTAGGCTGGTCTCGAACTCCTGACCTCAAGTGATCCGCCCGTCTCGGCCTCCCAGAGTGCTGGGATTACAGGCGTGAGCCACCGCGCCCAGCCGAGAAATGCAGAGCAGATCTGGATGCTTAGGGCATGAAACTGGCCCGGCGTCCCACCCCTTTGTAGGGTCAGATCCAGAACCTCACCCAGGCCCTGGAGATCCGGTCCCGCTGACCTCTCCCAAGTCTGTCTACTCGTCCGTCCGCTTGCTCAGTGCTCTCCACACACTGGCCTCTTTCTGTTCCTTCTACATCCCAAGCTCCTGCCTTCCTTGGGGCCTTTTATTTAGTATTCCTCCTCCCTGGTCTGCTCTTCCTCCCCTGGCTTAGTCTTGTAAACTCTTCTTCATCCTTCAGATCTCCGCTTAAGCATCACTTCTGCAGGGGAGGCATCCCTGTCCCTG
Organism: Homo sapiens; assembly: GCF_000001405.40. Lineage (NCBI taxonomy): Eukaryota > Metazoa > Chordata > Mammalia > Primates > Hominidae > Homo > Homo sapiens. The sequence continues at coordinate 46,405,262 of NC_000020.11, read as the reverse complement.
ACTTTTCGACCAGTACCCCACGTTTATCACCCTGGGTACTTGTCCTTAACAACACTTGCACAACTGCAATTTTACATTTATTTACAAAAGTATTGATATTTCTCTGTCCATCCCACCAGATTGTAAGGTCCACGAAGAAGATAGTGTCGGTTTTGCTTCATGTAGTATCTCTAGCATCTCACACAGGGCCAGGCAATATAAATATTTACCAAATAAATAGATGCAGGGTTTGAATTTGGCAAGAGGAAGGGGATGTGAATCGTGGTCACTGATGTCCTACCTGCAGGGGAATGAAACTGACATTTGGAATGCTTTTTGTGTGCCAGGCTCTATGCTAGAGTGATGCTGCTGTCTAATAGAAATGTAATGTGAGCCATAGATATAATTTTAAATTTTCTAGTAGCCACATTAAAAAATGGAACAGCTGAAATTATTTTAGTAATATATTTAACACAATATATTCCAAAATTATATTATTATAACATAATCAATATTAAAACATTATTAATGGGATATTTTACGTTCTTGTTTTTTGTACTAAGTTTTTGAAACCTGGTTTGTATTTTACACAGAGGGCAGCCTGTGCCACTTTTCAAGTGCTTAGTAACCACCTATGGCCAGGGATTGTGGTATTGGGCTGTACAGTGTCACACACTTTGTATACCCTCTAGAGTCTTTTGAGATAACTGTTGTTATCTGCACTTTACTGATATCGATAGTGAAGCTTCTAAAAGAGGTTGCCTGCCGGGGATAATTCTAGAGTTTGTAAGTGGAGGAGGTGAGATTAGGACCTCTATCTGTTCATCTTCAGTCTGGTCTTTCTATATATCTGATGTGGACTCTAGGAGGTGCAAAGGAAGTTTGAGGGTACAGGAAGTCAGGACCAAACTTCTTTAAAAACTTCAGTGTACAGCATATTCTAGCTTGTTCTGTGCTCAGATAATGTGTCCAGATGTAGCAGTACCACCTGCCAAGGTGGCTCAGCAAGAAGCATATTTGATGCAGTTGAAGAAAACCCTGCAAGGCAAGTCCTTTGACCTGGTCACCATACCTCGGCCCAGCCTGGACTAAGTCTGGTCCCAGGACCTGGATAGAAAAAAACACATACCATGCAGCATCTCAGAGGTGCTGAGAATACTAGGCTTGAGTTTATAGCCTGGCTTTTCTATTTTTTTTTTGAGATGGAGTTTTACTCTTGTCGCCCAGGCTGGAGTGCAATGGTGCCATCTCGGCTAACTGCAACCTCCACCTCCCACGTTCAAGCGATTCTTGTGCCTCAGCCTCCTGAGTGGCTGGGATTACAGGTGCCTGCCACCGTGCCCGGCTGATTTTTGTATTTTTAGTAGAGACGGGGTTTCACCATGTTGGCCAGGCTGGTATTGAACTCCTGATCTCAAGTGACCCGCCCACCTCAGCCTCCCAAAGTTCTGAGATTACAGGCGTGAGCCACGGCGCCCGGCCTACAGCCCCAGTTCAGCAATTGCTCACTGAGTATCTACCACGTGACCAGCACTGTTGTAAGCCATTTTTGGTGATTGGGCGGTGTATGTCATAGCCTTCATCTTCAGGATGCTTCAGGTATACTTGGAAAGACAAGACTGGATCACATAAAATGACTAGATGGTATGCAAGGCATCATGAGGTGTAATGAAGAGCCAGAATCAGTATGGGCTGGAGGCTGCAAAGTGGCTGTCTTGGCCAAGCTGCATGATGTGTTTTTAAAAATGTTGGATTTAAACTCCTCTAGGCAAGGTGGTACTTTGCAGTGTTACAGACCCTACATGGAGGCTGCTTGTTTTATTTACTTACCTGCTTGGCTGCCCAAGACATTTGAATTTATAACCCTATTAGGCATGCTATGCTGGTTTCATGTGAGTCACTAGAAAATATTTGTTGAGCACTTCTTATTTGCCAGGCATTGTATTAGCTGCTGCTTTGGAACTGATCATAACATTTTCCAAAGTTCTTCCACTGGGAAATAGTAATAATAATAGTGGAACACCAACAAATGCTTTGCCTTTTGTATTGACTTTCCTCCCGGACTGCCTTCACATATGCTCTCTTATTTTGTCAACAATACACAACATACCTGCCTAGCAGGTAGGGCTTACTGTGTTGGGGAAACGTGGTTTCAGAGCTTTTGCAGTTTCTTCAGGTTCACACGGTTAGAATTCTGCTATTATGCTTAGTGCTTTATTATCCCACTTGATGCTCACAACAGCTTTACGGGGTAGAGTTGATGCTAATCCCCATTTTACAGGTAAGAAAATCGTTAGTGCTAAGATCCAAGTTCAGGCCTTTCCCACTCCAGAACACAGCTCCTAACTTGTTAAGCTACACTTCCTCACTAGAAGGCCAAAGTTGGAAGAAAGCTCAAAAACATCTAGTCCAGCCCCCGATGTAGATCAGGACCTGAGGTCCAGAAAGGCTTGTGTTTGTGGCAAAGCTGTGCTGCAGGAGGAGGACTAAACCAGAAGTGGGGGCCTAGGCCTTCTTTTGTCCCTAACTGGTGGCATGGCCTTGCCAGCTTCTCTGGACTTCAGTTCCCTTATTTATGTAATGAAAGGGCTTGGCCTGATTTTACACTGAGAACAATGCTGTGCTGTTATGGTCAGTATTGAAGGAGTTCACAGCCCGAGATTTTAGTTGTAACCCAGGACTCTTCCCAGCACACCACACTCCCTCCCTACCCAAGCTCCATCTCCTTGTGCAATCACGGTTTTCTAAAGTTTAATTCTGAAGTTCATCTGTATTTTCCATCTCAGTTTCTGTTTCCTCTCATTTCCAAAAACTGAGGTAAGTGGTTTGTAAACACTGACTTTTTGTAAATTCATCTCTTCAGTCATTGTGGTTAGGGATTTGGAAAGTTCTAGGCAATTAATAATCCTCAGTCAGTAGTGTTTTCACTCTCTTCTGAAGGCATTTAGGTCTGGAGGCACCCTGGAGGGAATTTTCCTGTGGAATTCTGTGGACACAGCTATGTGGCAGGCAGTGTGCTGCAAACTGGGGGAAGAGTAGATGGGGGAATAGACTTAGGCTTCATGAGTCCTTGCCCTCAGGTTGTCAACTCTCCTGGAGCTGTGGGTCAACCCTGAGCATCTGAGAGTTTATAAATGACCTGGGGTGTGTGTTGATGGTGCACAACCAGAGTTGAGAACCACTGTTTCTCGGACCTTATCTGATCTAGAGCCTATGTCCCAGACTTGAACATGCACTTGAACCACCTCAGGATCTTGTTTGAAGGCAGATTCTGATTGGGTGGGTCTGGGCTCCCAGGGATACTGCCGCTGCTGGTATGCACATCACACCTATCGTAGCCAGGGAAGAGACTGCACATAGAGAATTATAAATCAGTAGGATCAGGAAGGTATGTACAGAAGACTGGGATCACAGATGAGGCTGCAATTAATTTTCCCTGAGGTGAGAGGATTAGGAAAGCCACATAGAAGAGTGATTATCTTAGCTGGGCCTTGAAGGTTGAGTTGAAGTTTGCCAGCTGGACAAGGAAGAGGAAATAATAGCACAAGCAAACATACAGACTCAGAAGAGCATGGTTTTTCAGGGAACAGGTGGTCTGGTGAGAACATGGCATCTGCAAAAGCGAATCTGAAAGCCAGTTCCACCACAGAGCCACGGTGGAACTGGAGTAAGTTGAATGCTCTGCTAAGGAGCTTACTTAAGCACTATTCTTTAAGTATAGGAACACTACAGAAGGTGTCTGTGCAGGATAAGAGAAGACCCAGGCCATTCTTACAGCAGGAATCAAGATGAAGAAACCCAAATAGTTCCCCTGCCCCCACACCCCTTCTCACCACACCTTTGCCTCTATGTAAGTTTGTGGCTTTTTACCATGTGTGAATGAGTCCTGTGTCTAACATACTTCAACAAAAAGGGGAAACCTCAGCTGCTGTTGGTATGGTGGTCCTTCCCAGGGCTTCCAGCAGTAAACATAAGAACCTTAATCTCTGCCAGTCAAATCCTCCCTTTTCTGTACCTCAGAGTCTGATCGTCATTCAGTGGACTGAACTAAGGGAAGTTGAATCACTTCTCAGATGAGAAGATTTCAGAGGGGGAAGCCTTTATAGAGATTGTGTTCTCGATTAGAAAGGGCGTGACTCCAACTTGCCTTCTTGATGAGGTTGCATTCTGTTGCAGGAAACATAAACCAAACTTACCCATGCCTCCTTCACCAAATCAAAAGCCAAATAACTGAACAAAAAGTACACATCCGTTCTTATCCTGAAAGGAATAGGGGGAAGGAGGGGAGCTGGAAACCTGGCATTCTTCATCCCAAATTCCTTACTAATAGGAGGAGATCATCTTTCACTTCATTCCTTAAGATTCGGTTTCCAATCCTGCTCTCAGAATCCAGCTCCGTGAAGCAGCAGTCACTGCATGGGTGATTGATAAAGCTCCATGGGGCTTCTGTAACAGTGCTGATTTTATAAGCACACCTTCTAGAAGCCACTTAGAGACTGCTCCATTGGAGACACTAATGTTCCTATTTTTCTCTACTTTTCCCAGCTCTGTGTTTGAAAAACTGGCCTTTCATTCTTATGACTTATAGTAAAATTGTCATCAGGTCAGTGTGTGCCTGTCTCCTGTTTTGTAGCATTTTGAGTTTTCCAAATCATCCTTATATCTGTAATGCTTAAAGAGGAGTGGAAGGTAGAAGGGTGGGGAGTTGTTTAATCCGGAAGGGGCCCTCTGGGCCTGGATATGGAACTACAGCTCCCTTATGCTGGTGGTTTGCAATTGAGCTACAGTACTGCTGAGTGGCGGAGCAAGAGGCTATTTATAACCCTGAGAATTTTGCAATGTTACTGAATTCCTTTGACCTAATTTCTACTTCCTTTCTAGAATGAAAATGAAGGGAGTAAGCAAACACGTGCTGGAAGGGTTCCCTATAAGGAGATCCTTTATCCTGGGAATATTATCTGGAGAACAGAATTATTTCTAGTCTCCTATCTCCTGATGTTTCTTTTCGATAGGGAGAAAAGCAGAGGGAGGTTTTCCTCTTTCTTTCAACTAGAGTTAGGGGTGCTAACCCTGATTTTTCAGTAAGACTTATTCTAATGTTTGATATGAAAACAACAGTTTTTTATTTTATTTTTATTTTTTAATAGAGACAGGATCTCACTTTGTCACCCAGGCTAGAGTTCAGTGACATGATCATAGTTCACTGCAGCCTCGAACTCCTGGGCTCAAGCAACTCTCCTGCCTCAGCCTCCTGAGTAGCTAGGGACTACAGGCACACGCCACCATGCCCAGCTAATTTTTATTTTTTGTAGAGAAATGTCTCGAACTCCTGGCCTGAAGTGATCCTCCTGCCTTGACCTCCCAAAGCATTGGGATTACAGGTGTGAGCCACTGCGCCCAGCCAAAACAAACTGTTAAACAATGGAAATACTGTGTAGTTAGAGGGTATTGGGACGCAGAGGGAACACCAGACAGCCTGCACAGTTCATGCCTGTCCCTGTCTGTTTGGAGCCAGCCTGGTTCACAGGAGTGGAAGAAATCAGAGCCATTGGGTTTAAGCAGACACAGGTGCTTACTGAGCCTTCACTGGACACCAAGTGCTGTGCTAGGTTATGAGACTGCAGAGTTATACCTGTTCTGGAGGAGGAGCTAGTGGAGATGTGTAAATATGTAACTGTAATAGAGTATGACAAAATCGTACTCATTAACGGAAGTATGAACAGGATGCTGTGAGAACACAGAGGCCCCTGTCCTATTTACTTTTGCCAGGGAAAGTAGAGAAAGCTAAGACTAGTACAAGGAGGAGGTAACATCCGAACTAGGCTCTGATGCTTGAATAGGAGCTCTTCTGACAGTCAGTAGGAGGAAGAGAATGTGCAAAGGTACAGAAGAATTGAAAGAACATGGCCTGCCTTATAGAAATAGCCCGTAGTCCAGGATGGCTAGATTGTAAAGGACCAAATAGCACACGAGGGAGTGTGGCCCACCTGTAGACAGTGGAGAGCTGTCTTCTGTTACAATGGTGAGTTCTTGCTGTGAAGGTTTCTTAGCCTCAGTGTGCTTTGGTTTCAGATACACAAACCAGAAATCTCCACAAAGCACCTGCTGCGGGTCAGGTGCAGAGCCACCTGCTTTCTCATGGCTTTCCAGCAACACCAGACAACCTGGTATCAAATTCTGGCTGTGCCACTTGCTAGCTATGTGACACTGAGCCTTCTACTTAACTCCTCTGTGCCTCCATTTTCTTATCTCTAAGGTGGGGATAATAACATACCACACAGCATTGCTGTGTGGATTAAATGAATTAATATATGTAAAGCCCTTAAAATAGTGCCTTAGCATTATGTAATTGCTAGCTAATGTCATCATCTAAGGAAGTATTATATAGAGCGATGAGAACTCGCTTTGGAGTCCTAAGACCTAGGCTTGAGACCCAGTTCTGATGTGTTGGGTTGATTTAGTTTTATTTCTTTTCCCTCCCTTCATTTTTTTTCTTTCCTTCCTTCTTTTAGGAGGGAGGTGTAGAAAGAGGTACATGGAGAACAAGTTTGTCAATCCGTCTGAACTTCAGTTGCCTTACCTGTAAGGTAGGAATGTTTTTCAGAGTTCTTATGAGCATCAACTATAATAATGATATAGAAGTGAGCAATCAACTATAAAGAGGCTACCTGGGCTGGGCACAGTGGCTCACGCCTGTAATCCCAGCACTTTGAGAGGCCGAGGCAGATGGATCACCTGAGGTCAGGAGTTCAAGACCAGCCTGGCCAACATGGTGAAACCCCGTCTCTACTAAAAATACAAAAATTAGCTGGGCGTGGTGGTGAGTATCTGTAATTCCAGCTACTCAGGAAGCTGAGGCAGGAGAATCGCTTGAACCCAGGAGACAGAGGTTGAAGTGAGCTGAAATCATGCCATTGCACTTCAGCCTAGGCGACAAGAGCAAGACTCCATCTTTTAAAAAAAATTTAAAAAAATAAAAATAAAGAGGCTACCTGTACGTTACTACTAGATATATGATTACTATGAAGTTACCATATAACCGATCTGTTTCAAACAAATCAGACTTATCTAGTGGGTAAGAGCAAACCCATGGGTTTTGCTCTCATTAATTCAGCCATTGTTAATTAAGTGCTTACCCAGTACCATCATCATATGCTAGTGATGCTGCTGTCTGCTCAGACCTCCGTTTTAGAGTTCCTGCAGAGCTTGGGGGCAGCTGTGGTCTTAGGCGTATTAGTTGCAATGAGTAGAAACATAGACTAGCTTAATTTATAGGAGTTTTATTGGCAGGATACAGTGGACTTTCAGGTACCCCGAGCATAGGAAGTAATAGCCACATAATCTGGAAAGTTAGCAGGTAATGGCTTTTCCATCTCTTTCTGATTTCTGGCCTCAGTTCATTTAGATATTTATGGATTCCTCCTGCAGAATCACTTCCTCTGAAAGGCTCTTGGTTTTTTATTCTCCATATCTTTGGCTCGTACGGATCTTTGGCTTGCCATGGTATTCGCTCTGAAGCTTACTATGATCTTACTTCTCCAGGGTCATTATCACCCAGTTCCCTTAGTCTGTGTCTTTTATTTGTTTGTATGTATGTATGTGTGTATTTATTTATGATGGAGTCTCATTCCGTCGCCCAGGCTGGAGCGTAATGGTGCAATCTGTGCTCACTGAAACCTCCGCCTCCTGGGTTCAAGCTGTCCTCCCTGCCTCAGTCTCCCGAGTAGTTGGGATTACAGGCGCCCACCATCATGCCTGGCTACTTTTTGTATTTTTACTAGAGACGGGGTTTTGCCATGTTGGCCAGGGTGGTCTCAAACTCCTGACCTCAGGCGATCCACCCACCTTGGCCTCCCAAAGTGCTGCGATTATAGACATGAGCCACCACGCCCAGCCAGTCTCTGTCTTTTAAATTCAAGAGAAAGAACTGGAATAGTTCAGCTAAAGTTGGGTATTCACTTTAGTCCCATCAGCTATGGCAGGGTTGTGGAGAGTGTCATTCAGTTCAGAGAGGCTGCCTGGGCTTTGTGGGAAGGACAGAGTCACTGAGAATGGGGGCTTATTAATATCTTTCAAATAGTTTGGTGGTTGCAAATCTCCATGCTTTAAAATGTATACGAATTTTTGAACAGCCGAGAATCATTCAGGGCTAACTTTAATAAAGAGAGAGTCAATCTAGGATATGTCATATGGGGTCAAGAGAAAATAATAGCTATAACCTAATGAGCTTTAGCTTAATCTCCAAAGACGGCGTTCAGAAAGGAGTTAAAAATCATGGGGTTTGTTTCTTAGCAGCACCATCGAAATTAAGGAAGGGTGTAACTTCATTTGGTAAGGACTTTAAAATGGGCATCCTCACTTGGATTTTTTAAATTCCACTTAAGAATCATGGACTTTTAGACTTAGAAGGCACCTGAGACATGCTTTAGTTCTACACTCACATCTTTCAATAGAAGAAAACTGAGATTTGGTTAAAGGGCCATGTATACATTGTGAAAGACCTAGGATTGGGTCCTGAGGCCTTTGGTTCTAAATCCAGTCACTTGTTTCAGCAGGGACAATTATCCCAGCCCAGTGTTCTTTCTGTTGTACCTTCTGTGCCTGCTTATTTTAAAAATAAGAAGAAGCCAAACTAAACAAATGATCTAAAAAGTCATATCGTATAGTTCCATTTATATGAAGTACAAAACCAGGCAAAACTCATGGATGATGATAAGTCAGAAATTCCCCTTTAAAGGACTGGAAGGATTGACGGGAAGAGGAAGTATGAAGTAATTTTCTAGGGTGATGAAAATGTTCAGTGTCTCGTTTTGAGTGCTGGTTACAGGGAGATGCATGTGTATATTTATATGATGTATATTTATATATACAAACATATGTACCCTTAAGCCCTCTGCATTTTATTGTATGTAAATTATATCTCAGTTTTTAAAATTGACCTCACAACCGTGCAGTCCTGTCTACTAATTGCAGCAGCTTTGCCGATAAGGATAAGGATGCATCTCTAAGCATCCAGAGATTGATGGCGCCACCCCTAGAACAAGAACTCCCTGTCTTGCTGTAACTGGAGCAGAGCATTTTCCCCAGAAATTATGCAGATAGGGCCAGTTTCTTTTCTGAGGTTTGTCGTGTGTCTAGGCACATAAAAATTACATGTGAAAAATTCTGCCATGAGCTGCAGAAGTTATGGAAGCCTTGGGGGCCATAAGGCCAACCCACTTCAATCCCTTTAGGCTGCGTTTAATTGCAGTGGACAGAAGTTGAGGCTGGCTCAAAGGAAAAGGGGAAAGCATTGGCCGAAGCCAGTCCAAGTTCTGTCAACCGTTATGACTTACTAGCTGGGTGACCTTGGGCACTTAACAAAACACTGAGCTTTAGTTGTGCCATCTTCAAATGGAGGTGATAATCCTGTTCTGCCTAATTCGTGGGGCTGCTGGGAGGACACAATAAAATAAGTGAAAGCACTTGGAAAACTAGTTCCTTTACATTGTCATGTTCTGGAAATGCTGGCTTTTTATGACAGTAGACTTCTGAAGCATCCCATTCTGACTAGGAAATGGTCATGAAAGCATCCCTCTTTCTGAGGCCGATGGGCTTGTGGGGGACAGGACTTTTACTCCTTTTCATCTAAGAGGTTTATACTTACCAGGCTGTGAGAACTGACATCTGTGTTTGGGCTGAAAAATTGATAGCATACATGCATAATAGCCTCGCGACAGCTATGCTTTGTACGCCAGGAGAGGCAGGTGGTCCCCATTAGCGAGGCATGAATTGTGGGTGAATGGCTAAACCTGGAGGATGCAGAAAGGTCTTTTTCATTAAGAGAGGGGCCTCTCCTGAACTTGTAGGCAAGGAGTGTAAATATACATTGAAATAATCCATCAGCCAAGTGACTTCCCTTCGTCAGACCTTGGAGAGAGAATGCTTTAGTTACTGCTTGGAATACCAGTAAGCTATCAGAGTTGCCTAGGATACCAGTCACATGGGCCCATCTTCCAGACTTGCTCAGGATGATTTATTTTCCTTTATTTTGGAGAGAAGTGGGGGAGGGGGTCAGAGGTACTTGCAAAGCCTTGTCCTTATAAGAGGGGCCCTTGTGTGAGGATATCCTTACCTCTCTCCACTTGAGTTGTCAGCCGCCCTTGCCCTTGGCAGTAGGGACGAAAATAGCATTTCCTGTCCCAGTTATCTTCCCCATTTTCTGATGTCGTCCCACACAGAGGAGGCTTTGCATTGTGTCCTTTGAGGGGAAAGGGGTGGCATCGATGAGTGGGGAGGAAGCAAGAGAGCATGTAGCTGGGCCCTGCTGATGCTGGGATCTTCCTAGGATGACTGCAGAAAGAAGTAGCCTGGCTCCTCCAGCTAACCACTCAACCAAGAAAAGGCTGTCTATTCTTATCTGTCTCGGAGCATATGCTTCTCTCCTCCCAAGGTCTCAAGACAGGAATTTGCAGTAAATACATTCCTCTACCACTGAGTCTTCTTGACTCTTAAACTGAAGTGCCACATTGGCATATCTTGCTACTGGCTGATCTATGGATGATAGATAGTTTGTCCCATTTCTTCTTGCTGATTTAATCTCAAGAGACAAAATCCTAAGCAGAAGTTGTGGTATGATCTAGAAAAATTCAAACCAGGTAGTTTCATGTGTTACTTTATGCAGTGTCTGTCTTCAAACTCTTCAAAACATGTAACAAGAGTGAAAAATGAAGAAATACTCTTTTTCCACCTTTCTGATTCTTTCTCCCCAGGCAGCCGTGTCTGTGTTTTTGTCTCGCAGAATTAGAGCCCATTGGGAACGATGCCACCACCGTCAGACATTGTCAAAGTGGCCATTGAGTGGCCAGGTGCTAACGCCCAGCTCCTTGAAATCGACCAGGTATGCTCCTGAAGTGAGAAGCAGTGGTTCAAGGAAAGGCACCTGGGGAGTGCATGGCAGAGGACATCTTGAGGGATGGGGACCACCGGCATCAAGAGTAAGAACGAGCAACAGGAAGGCTAAGCTTTGGGCCTGGCCCACCCTAGGGAAGGTCGGTCACCATGGCTTGGGAGAGGCTTCCTCTTCAACAAAAGCTGTTAGGAAAGAAGTTCATTCTCATGCCCCAGCTTGACCCTGCTTGGCAGGCCTCTTGTCAGAACCTTGGCATGAGTAGGATGTTGCTGCTGTTGAAGGCTTTCTCTCTCTCTCTTTCAGAAACGGCCCCTGGCATCCATTATCAAGGAAGTTTGTGATGGGTAGGTTGAAATGGACCTCGTTTTCAACAGTGGCAGCTCCGACTGAAAGAGCACTCCTACACCTTGAGGGGAGTTCTGGGAAGGATCTCCAGTTAGGCAGGTCCTCAGCATGGGGGTCTTGGGAATCATTGTCTTGGGAAGGAAGTACAGTTGACAACCATACCCCTAAGACGTTTATACTTCTTAATTTTTTCCTTAAAGTCTAGCATTGCCCTATTGAGGTAGGATCTGAGACCCCTCCTCAGTTCTGCACACCTCCTATTGTGGTGCTCATCTTTACAAAAGGCTGAGGCCATGATTTTTTCAACATGACAACCTAAAGCTTTGTTTCCACTGTATTCCAAATAGGCCACCCAATCCCTTGAGCAACTCTTTTGAAAATTACTTATGAGCAGCTTCTGAACAAGAGAGTGGCCAAGTGGGATATACTGTTTTTCTCTTGCATAGGTGGTCGTTGCCAAACCCAGAGTATTATACCCTCCGTTATGCAGATGGTCCTCAGCTGTACATCACCGAACAGGTTAGTACAGGGAGAGGCAAAATCAATATGGGCCTTGCTTGGAATTAAACGACCCAAGGAGACGGCACTATTTATCTTCACTCAGCATCCAGGTAGCTTCCATGTGTTGGGTAAAGAGTCACTCTCCGGACAGACTGGGAAACACCAGCCCTTGTTCTTCCCTAGTGGCTAGAAAAAGGTGGCTTTTACTTCCTGAGTGCCCAGGGTGCTAGAGGAGGATCTTAGAAATTCTTTGCCAAGGAATAAGCAGGAGAAGAGGGCCCGACTGAAGATCCTCAGTTACATCTACTGTAAAAAAGACAAAACATTATTGTTGATTCAACTTGCTTGTACCACTTTAACATTTTATCTTAGTTACTTTTTTTGTTTATTTTTCACTACCCAGACTCGCAGTGACATTAAGAATGGGACAATCTTACAACTGGCTATCTCCCCGGTAGGTATTCTTTCTTCCTTAGGAGTTTATTCATGTCACAAACAAATATGAGCACCTACCATGGGCCAGACTCTGTTCTAGAAATAAGTACTCTGGAGATAAGAAAGTCAGTCTTTTTGTATCAGGAAATAGTACAGGAAAATAAGTCTGTCTTGGTTCTCACCACCTAGTGGGGAGTAAACAAATGCAATAGAAGGCCTGTCTCAAGGGTCTTGAGAGAAAGTTGCTTAGGGAGCTGTGGGAACTCACAAAGGGGACCACCTAACTCAGCCTGGAGATTTCCAGAAAGTCTTGCCAGAGAAGGCGTCACTTAGCTCAGATGTTAAAGGATGAGCAAGAATTAGCTAGAGAAATAAGAAAAGGAAAAGTATTCCAGTCAGAGAAATCAGCATATGCCAAGGCACAGAGGTATGCTGTGTTTGGGAAAAGCAGGAGTGCTGGGTGGCTGGAGGCTTGTAGCAGTCATTGAGAAGCCAGATATTCAAGGTTCCTTGATGGCCTACTCGTAGGTTTCAACTCTGTCCAGAAGGAAACTGGGGACATTGAAGAATTTTAAGCAGGAAGATATGTTATGTTTAGATTTTAAGTTTTAGAAAGATCACTTTAGTGACCATGTGGAAGATGGGCCTTAAGAAGAAGGTTGGTGGTAGTAGGAACCTTTGAAGAGGCTAATAAGGAATGTTAACAGCCCAGTGAAGGCAAGTGGTAATGGAGATGAAAGGATGGATATGAAGAGTATCTAGGAGGTAAGCTTTATGAGTATGGTGATATGCTAGATGTGGAAGGAAAGGGGAGAATGGAGGATGACCCTGATTTGTGCAAGAGCAGCCCTTAAAGGTCACTAAGGAAGCAACCAGAAGGGTAGAAAGAACACCAAGAAGGTGAAGTGACTGAGGAGCTTTGGGCAGGGAGAGTGTCAGGACTGAGGAGAGTATGGTCTGCAATTTTTAATAAGCAGAGAGATTTAGTAAACTGAGAGCAGAAAAGCTGTCTAATGACTTGGGAGGTTAGAGGACACTGGTGATACTCACAAAAAAGTTATGGTGGGGAGGCCAGGTGGCCACACTGAAGTGGTCAAGTAAAAGAAAGGTAAAACAGTGAGGACTTTGAGTCTACTGCTGTATCAAGAAGCTTGGTTTTAAAAGAAAACACAGAGAAGGTGATAATGCGAAGGGGACGTGGAGTCAAAAAGATGTGCTTTTTAAAAGCAGGTAAAGCATTCATGTGTTTCACAAATCAAAAATTTTCACAGAGATGTAGCAAAAGGTCTCCCCGCAACTCCTGTCCCCATCTGCCCAGTTCCCCACCTTTCTGACCCTTCGTGTTGGTTGTTTCTGTTGCAATTTTTTATGTGCCCTTAAGAATGTGTTCAGATGGAAGAGAGGAAGGTTGAAGGTGCAGGAAAGCAGGTAATCAATAGAACAGGACCTTACTGGACCAGGAGAGGAAGGACTCAAAGCCCAGGTAGAGGGAATCACTTTGACTGCTAGGCCCATGAAGAAGACAGCCAATATGGTTGCACCTTTGGTTACATTTGTAGAAGGGCAGCCAGAAAATTAAGGGCATGATGGCACTTCTTTTCTTGGTGCAGAGAGAGACTGGTTCATCTGAGAGGAGGGGAGGTATGAAGTGATATCAGCCAGCGTTTACTGAATGCCTATATTTTGCTAAATACTTTGTGTAATTAAATCATCTAATCTTTACAGACATCCCATGAGATAGGTACTCTTGATAGCCCCATTCTGTAGGCAAGGAAACTGAGGGTTAGAGAGGTTAAATTACTTGCCACTTGTCACACAGCTAATAAAGTAGCCAAGCCCGCTCTCAGACCCAGGTCTGTCTGACTCTAGGCCCATATTCCTCCCATCATGTTCTTCTGCCTCCCCCTCTTCTCCTGAACTCTTCTCATCTTAAGGACTTCATTCTTCCCTCCTAAGCTCTGGTAATTTAATATGACAGTCTGGGAGTTACTCACTTTTATGGAAGTGCCGACACATTTCACAGACCTCTTGCACAGTGTAGTTGACTTTCCCAGAAGCACATCTCTCTGGAGCGGGAGGCAGCAGCCCAGAAATGCTGTCTCAGGAGGAAAATTGACATTTGGAGTTGGAGGTTTCTAAGTGGGATGCAGACCAGTGCTCTTCAGATTGTTCTATGCTATGACCTTTTCCCGTGGCGCACATTTTCTCCACTGTAGAGATAGCGAGGGCTTCTGTATTGCAGAGAGCACTGTGCTTTGAAGGGCCAGCTTTGTAATAGTAAAAGAGGAGAGGCAAAGGGGAGAGGGCCAGCAGGCCTGACTCCTTGGCGGCAGCAGGAATTGGGCTCCAGTCACTTGCTTAACACTGAGAAAAAGGAAAGAAGACAGGTGTGTTTTTGTTCTTAAGTCTCTTGCTTTCTAGTGGAGAACATTAAATTAACACCCAAAAAACAGAGAATGATGAAACAATAAATTGTGAGGCACTATGTAGTAATGAGCTCAGCGGAAGGAAAGCCCAGTGAATACTAGAGGAGGGATTTTAGCCGCAGCTTGCAGAAAAGGAGGCAGGCATCCTGCTAGGAAAAGTTCATGTGCTAGGAGGAGGTTTTGTCTTCACCAGCCTTCATTTTCAAAAAACAATTGGGAAATTGTTTCTGGCTCCTTGATGTTCTTAAAGTTTCCCCAGAACTGTCACTTTGAGGAACAATCATATGGATTCTAAGAGAAAGTTTTTAAAAAATTGCCAGGCTTTTCACATTTTAGGATTAAAAGGGACCTTAGAGGACATCAGATTAAATTCTTCACCCAATGCAAGAATCCCTTCTACAGCGTCTTTGACAGGTGGTTGTCCAGATTCTCCTTGATTGCTTCTGCTGACAGGGAGCTTAATACCTCAAGAGAAACCTCTTCTGCTGTCTAACAGTTTTATAAATTTTATTTTATTTTATTTTATTTTTTTTGAGATGGAGTCTCACTCTGTTGCCCAGGCTGGAGTGCAGTGGCATGATCTTGGCTCACTGCAGCCTCCACCTCCTGGGTTCAAGCAATTTTCCTGCCTCAGCCTCCTGAGTAGCTGGGATTACAGGCGCATGCCACCATGCCCAGCTAATTTTTGTGTTTTTAGTAGAGACGGGGTTTCATCATGTTGGTCAGGTTGGTCTCGAACTCCTGACCTCGTGATCTGCCCGCCTTGGCCTCCCAAAGTGCTGGGATTACAGGTGTAAGCCACTGTACCTGACCAATTTTATTTTCTTTTTTATTTTTGAGAGAGAGTCTTGCTCTGTTACCCGGGCTGCAGTGCAGTGGTGCAGTCCTAGCTCACTGCAACCTTGAATTCCTGGGCTCAAGCAGTCTTCCCACCTCAGCCTCCTGAGTAGCTAGGACTACAGGTGTGCACCACCACACCTGGCTCATTTTAAAAAATTTTTTGGGAGTCAGGGTGTCACTCTGTTGGCCAGGCTGGTGTCTAACTCCTGGCTTCAAGCAATCCTGCCTTGGCCTTTCAAAGCCTTGGGATTACATGCATGAGCCACGCACCCAGCAAGACAGCTTAAATAGAAAACCTTCCTCTATTAAACCAGTATCTGTTTCTCTGTGACTTACCATCGTTAGTGGGCCTCCCAGATGCCTCCAGTATTCCCTTGGTAGGAATTTTTTAAATCCATAGGCCAAAGCGGTACAGAAAAGATGCAGATAACTACAGATTGGTTTTGGCATACTAATAACTCCCTGATTGATTCCACAAACATTTATTTAGCAACTCCTAAGCTGTGTGAAAAAACTAGTTCTGCCTCAGGTTTGGATGTCCACAGAAGGGCCTCTGTGAGCTATCCACAGAGTAGTAACCTGCTCCAAGGAGCAGATGGCACATATCTTGTCCCTGGCCTCCTAGTCCCGGGCTGCACGCCAGCTGATGGAGAGGACCCAGTCATCCAACATGGAGACCCGGCTGGATGCCATGAAGGAGCTGGCCAAGCTCTCTGCCGACGTGACTTTCGCTACTGAGTTCATCAACATGGATGGCATCATTGTGCTGACAAGGCTCGTGGAAAGTGGAACCAAGCTCTTGTCCCAGTGAGTATGACTAAGGTCTCGTTCCAAGGACTTCGACGATTTACTACATCCCACAGGGCATCCTAGTCTCATTTCCCTTGAGTCAAATAAGGAGTTTATTGAATACCACCTGTGTGCAGAGCAGTGTGCCAAGCACTAGAGTCCATACCAAGATATATAATTCCATATTGTGATTCTAAATCGTGTAGTCTATTTGGGCTCTCACAAATTAAATAACAGTACAAAACAGTACTGTGCCAAGTGAGCAGTGAAAATAGGGGCTAGAGAAGTCAGGAGGAGAGCAGTCACGTCGTGACAGACCTGTTAATTGCTGGAAATGTTTGGTTTGATGAGGGTTAGTGAGCAGATGGTCCAGTATCTCCCAGGTGTCTGTTTGTAATCATCCCCTGCTCCTCCCTCTTCAGTCACCTCCCAGCCCATACACACACACACACACACACACACACGCCTTCCTTTGTGTTTACCACAGGTGTCAACCTACCCATTCACCATCTCCCTGCCACACTTTTGCACAGGGAGGAGGAGACCAGAACTTTGTGATACCCACAAGCATCTTCATCATACCCCAGAGTTCACATGCATGCGGTGGGCAGCTGTGCCTTGTGAGCAGCAGTCAGTAAACAGGTGCTTGGAGCCTAACCTGCCAAAGAGGGAGTCAGAAATCTTCTCAGCCCATAGATCAACTATTGAAATTGTTAGCCAAATCGAGTAACTAATCATAGATATTTGTTTTACATATTGGATCTTCCAGCTGTATTGAAGTCCTGAAGCCTTCAGCTGCCATCAGCACTGACATAGTTCTACAGTCTCCCAAGGGTACAGGGTTAGACTGGCCTTAGTTTCACTCTCTTCAGCCTGAGGATAATAATAGCTACCTTGCAGTATTATTGTGAGAAGTATTGTTAATGAGAATGTGTCTGAACATGCTTTGTAAATAGGAATATCATCTGTTAATTCTAGAGCACTGTACAGATGTATAAAGGATTAAATGTATAAGGAGAAGAGAAAAAAGAGAAAACATTTTAATCCTTATTCTCTACCAGCACTAGAATAAGAGCTTTGCATACATCATCATCTTGTCGTCTCCACAACCCTGTGAGGTTAACGCTGTGAGACTAACTTGATTTTACAGAGGAAGAAATTGAATTTTGAAAAGATAAAATTTGCTTGGTTAGTAAGGTGGACAGGAACTGAACCCATCTCTTGCACTCTACTGCCTCTTGGCCCAAAGGTTAACATGGCACTTACACTTCCTTAGGTTCTCCCAACAGGTGTTGGAGTTTGACAAAGGTCCAATGTCTTCTTTGGTCTTGGGAAATAGATAAGTGATTCTGTGTCCCTGGGATGAAGCATATGGAGAAGGAAGATCTAATTACCCAGCAACATTTTTTTTTTTTTTTTTTTTTGCAGCGATAGATACCTGGGCTGAATCTGCTCTACACTGGCTAGGTGTGCACACAGGCACTTACAGTTACAGTTGCATCGACTGATTTCCCATGGGGTGTTCACATTAAAATTCATCTTTTTTGTGGCTGCCCTCACACCTGTGTTTCCCGATCTGAATCTTTGTCTATTTTGTGTGTGTGTTGCACGTGTCTCAGCTACAGTGAGATGCTGGCATTCACCCTGACTGCCTTCCTAGAGCTCATGGACCATGGCATTGTCTCCTGGGACATGGTTTCAATCACCTTTATTAAGCAGGTGAGGCCTCCAACATTCTGTCTTTCTCTCCTCCCTCAGCTGCCAGTTCACAAGGCTTAAGGGGAGATACAGGCAATATCGCCATTCTGGTGAGATCAGCTTTATATTCCCTGGGGCCAGATTTTTCATCCTCAAGCTCTAGTCTTCTGTGGCTTCTGAAAGATTTGCATTTTGTTATATTCTCAGGGCCTGCACTGAGATGGAACTGGACCGTCAGAACTAAATATGATCAAAGTAGAATTAGATTGTCAGTGAGACTGGGGATAAAGCCAGCCAGTCAACCAGTACTAGCCCTGAGTCTTTTGACCGACTTCCTGAGCTCTCTCTTCTTTTTGTATATATATAAAAAAAATTTGCATTTCATTTGTAAATTTGCCTTCTATTTACAAATCTGCAAGGTAGCCTGTTTGGATTGTCAGACTAAGTTCAGTGGGTAGGAGAGGGTACTTCTGGTTTTACCCTCCTTTCTTTTACACAAAGGAGCAGTGTCAATTCAGAATACTGAACTAAAACCAATGAATAATATTGTATCTGCTGCCCTAGAACTTCAGCTATCATTGGCTTAGGACATTGGGACTCCCCGACACTGGACACAAGTGAAATGACCATGTGTCAAGGATATTATAATGGGGACTGAGAAGAAGGATTAGAGTAAAAGGCTTCAAGGTCCTTTCTACCTCTCAAAGTCTAAGTGTGTTTAGGGGGAGTGTGTGTCAGGGGAGGTACATGGAGATAAAATGAGATCCCAGTATCAGTAAAATCCTCTGCTTTTTTATACCCCACTTTCTCAAACTGGAACCCTTATTTTGATAAAAAGAATTAAGCTTTTAGATTTTGAGGAAACACAATTAAGTGGATACTATAATCTGAGATTAAGGTATCCATGCCAAGGGAATCCCTGGCACATTGGCCAGGGTAGCCGTAAACCAGATACCACTATCCACCTAGCAACAGCTGCCCAAATGTGAAGCAGAGAGAGCTTCAAGGGCTAGCATCAGATGCTAAGCTTCTATCTTTCTTGGGCCCTGAGCTTCTCAATTGATGTGCCATCTCTGGGTCTAGATTGCAGGGTATGTGAGCCAGCCCATGGTGGACGTGTCAATCCTTCAGAGGTCCCTGGCCATCCTGGAGAGCATGGTCTTGAACAGCCAGAGTCTGTACCAGAAGATAGCCGAGGAAATCACCGTGGGACAGCTCATCTCACACCTCCAGGTGTGAGTAAAAAACCCTACACCTCCCTCCCTTCACTTGTCTGTCCTCTTTTCTCCTCTTATTTTAAGTCTTCCAATCCTACTCTCCTTTGCTTATATTCCAAGCTGTTGGTTGGCTTCTTCATTCATCACCTCTTCCACACTCCTGCCAGAATTTCTCCCATCATTCAGACTTGATCATGTCATGCTCCTGCCCAAAATCCTCTGTAACTCTCTCTGCCCCTTAGGTTAAAATGAAGATTTTCCCAGTCTTCCCATACCAGGGTGGTACCAGGCAAAATTAGATGCTTTCTCACATGGGCCCAGTAGTCTCTGTACCTATGATAATTATATAAAATACTGGATTTTTATTATCTGTTGCCCATTTTGAACATAGAGCCCCCTTGAAACAGAGACCAATCATTGTTGTATCCCCTGTTTTGATTTAAGTAGAGGCTCAATTAGTGCTTGTTGAATGAATGCTCACTGAACCGACGATGCACTGTGGGTGATTTGTAAGAAATATCACACAGGTGTGAGTTTGGAATATCAGTTCAAATCCAGGCTCTTCTGCATACTAGGTCTCTGCCATCAGCAAGTAACCTAGTCTCTTCTGGCCTCAGTTTCTTCATCTCTAGAATAGGTTAATCACCTTCACCTCTCACACTGTGAGGATCAAAGGAGATTTTAAAAAGGTCCAGCATAGAGGCCAACCTGGGTTAGGTATTCAGTAAATTCAGGGGCTTTTTTCCTTTGTTTGTTTGTTAAGACTCTTATCACATCCTAAAACATTTTACCAGATACTGAGACCATATGACAAATGAACCCATTGGAGCAATGTTTCTCCCGTCTCCGCTGTTTTTACCTCACTTCCAACCAACCTACACCATGTAAGGAAGCTGGACTTTGCAAAACAGTGGTGGCACTCCTGTTGATTCTCTTCTGACTGTTGTTCACTTCTGTTTTTTAGACATTGTCAGAATGTTGCCAGAATCCCCCACCAGTTCGAGGGGAAGTCATAGCTCCCAGATTTGGGAGTTTATAGTGGCCCTGTCTTCACTCAGCTATGCTCCCAACTTGTTTTTCCCCACTAATCCAAGTAAAAAGAAAGCACAATTATTTCTTTGCAACTCTGATTTCTCCTTGTCACTTTTAAGGAATTTTCAGCCTCAGCTTTCTTTGCTTTTCTTTTTTGAGACAGGGTCTCACTCTGCCGTCCAAGCTGGAGCGCAGTGGCATGATCATAACTCACTGCAGGCTCAAGCGATCCTCCCCATCTCAGCCTCCCGAGTAGCTGGAATCACAGGCACACTCCACAACACCTGGCTAGTTTTTTTTTTTTTTTTATTTTTGTAGAGACAGGGTCTCGCTGTGTTGTCCAGGCTGGTCTCAAACTGTTGGGCTCAAGCAGTCCTCCCACCCCAGCCTCCTGAGTAGCTGGGACTACAGGTGTGAGTCACCATGCCTGGTCTAGCCTCAGCTTTCATACCCAGCGAGCCACCAAGGTTGATTAAGGTGAGAGGGACATTATAAACTCCAGATAGAGAATTCTGATTTTCCTGTAACCTCACATCTACTTCTCTGGTTTTTTTTTTTGTCTCTGAATTCAGAGTGGCCCCAGTTGCCTCCCTAGGGATGATAGGGGAACATGGCATTTCATAGGAGCCAATACTTTCAGCCCACAGCTGTCACCAGAACTTATATGCTTTCCTTTTTGGGCTGAGGGATACTTAGTGCCCTCTGTTAGACTCCCTGGGTACCATGTGACTAACCAGGAAGCCCATCAGACCCTCTGGAAAGACAGCCACAGAATGCACCCAAGACATGGCAGGTGGAGATGTCAAGTACCAGGATTGTAAGATTCCAGAGAATGATTGTAGTTATTTTGTTTGTTCATAATAAAATAAGTTTATAGTCAAAGACTTTAAAAATACAGAAAAACGCAAAATTATTTGCCCATTATCTCACCTCCAGACATACCCACTGTTAAACATTAAATTGAATGTCCCTTCAGTATTTTTATGCATATTTTTAACAAAATCGGGATCTCATTATATATACTATGTGTACCTTGATTTTTTTTAACTGAATAATACACCTTGAACATTTCTCCATGTCAAAGATTTTTCTAAAAGGGTAGTTCTAAGTCTTTTTTGCAACCTAGACACCTTTGAAAATCTGGTAACAAGTATATACTCTCACCAGTTTGGAAAAAATACCACTTAGTTGGCAAACTACATAGAATAATTTCTGTATCATTCCTGGGGTTCACAAATACTCTAAGCTCATCCCTGAATCCCAGGTTAAGAATCTTTACCCTAAAACATGACTTTTAATAACTACTTAAGATTCTCATATGTATAAATGTTGGCTAATGTGACCATTTGGATTACTTTCCATTCTTTTTTAAGTAGTACTTTAATGAAACGCCTTGTCAGTAAATCTTGCATAGCTCTCTGATTACTGTCTTAGGATAAATTCCTATTAGTGAAATTGCTGGGTCAAGAGCATGCCCACTTTGAATGCTTTTGAGACTGAGCTCCAGATCATTATTTGCTTATAATCTGTGAGTGATTGTTTTAAACCATTTCTAAGCATCATCTTGCTGTTCAGTCTTCTAATCTCCCTCTCTCTTCTTTCTCCATTGACACAGCTCCAACCAGGAGATTCAGACCTACGCCATTGCACTGATTAATGCACTTTTTCTGAAGGCTCCTGAGGACAAACGACAGGTCTGTGGCTGCCTTTTCACATTTTTCATCTGGGCTCTTCTGAGATAATTCTCACCCCATGCACTCTTTGCTATGCAGAGAGCACAAATCCAGCAATTTTCCCAAGAGTTCTTCCTCTTAGCTGTCTGGTCTGGAGCCCAGGAGGGTGGCTTTGCTAAGGAAGACCCAGGGAAGACCTATGAGGGGAAACCAGCTGGGTCTTAGATGAGAGCAGGGCCCTTCAAACTTTTTCCTCTAAAGGGCCAGAGAATAAATATGTTTGACTTTATGGGCCATATGGTCTATGTGATAGCTACTCAACCTTGCCATTGTAGCCAAAAGCAGCCTCGGCCAGTAGGTAAATGAATGGGTATGGCTGTCTTCCAATAAAATCTTATTTACAAAAACAGGCAACAGGCCTAATATGGCCATAGTTTGCCAACTCCTGGGTTACAGAATCAAGAATAAGGAAGAGGAGACCCTGTGGCTACCCTGAGTCCAAGGAGTCCAATATGAATGGGATTTCACACTAAATCTTAGGTTTAAAGGTTCTCTGATGGAGATTCTAAACATCTTCCTTCCCCTGTTCATTAACTGTGACATTATGCAGATAGCTCTGCCTCTGTGAACCTTAGTTTCCTCACCTGTCACATGGGAGCAACAACATCTGCCTTGTTTACCTCACAAGGATGTCTGAGGAAAAACAAGATCCCTGTTTCACAAATAAGGAAACTAAGAATCAGCTGGGTGGTGGAACAAACACTGACCTAAGAGCCGAGGGGCCTGGGACTAAGTATTCTCCCTGCTGCTGGCTGGACAAGTGTTTGTAACCTCTTTTTGGGTCTCAGTTTCTCTTTCTGTAAAATGAAAGGGCCAGTTTAAATGATCTCTGACAGCCCTTCCAATACTAACATTCTAGATTTCTCTGAGAAAAGCCCAAGTGGTGTTAAAAGTAAGACATTTTAGTTCTCTGACAATCTCATGGGCTCAGTAAGATGAAATTCAAGTGGGATCATGTATGTACCCAGCTCTTGGTAGATTCTAGAGGGAAGACCAGAAGCATCTGTGGTTCTGTCTGTCCTTGTCTTTCTTGGATGGCTTGGCTCTGTTAATCTGCCTTCCCGGTCCTTGTTTGAATGTAAGCTGAAAGCTCATTCCGTCTGCTTCTCTCTGTGCTTTTGCTTTCTGCCGGCAGGACAAGCACCTTAATCCTCTAGACCTGCCTGTCACTGTAAGTAGCACTGCCATGTGGAAAGGGCCCCAGCTCTTGCAGGTGGGGAAGTCAAAGCTAGGCAAGAATCTCATGGTCTGATCTAGATGTTCAGGGCATGCCAAGACCCAGGGAAAGGTTGTGTGCTGTGAATCTCCTTTGTCAGGACACTTAGGGAAGTACTGCAGATTAGAGTCACAGAAAGGATTAAGGGGGTACCTGCCCCAGGGAGTGTGGCCCCAGCCTTCCTTTATAACTTGCCTTTGCATGGGTCTGTAGTTCAACTAGGGCAGACCAGACTCAGAA
Organism: Homo sapiens; assembly: GCF_000001405.40. Taxonomy (NCBI): domain Eukaryota; kingdom Metazoa; phylum Chordata; class Mammalia; order Primates; family Hominidae; genus Homo; species Homo sapiens. Next base: position 46,381,920 of record NC_000020.11, on the reverse strand, counting down.
ACAGCTCGTAACTTTGATCTAGACAATACCATGGATGCGTCACCTTCTTACTTGCTTTAGTGGAAGAGAAAAGGTATCCGTGCCCTTTTTGGACTCTTACTAGACCGTGGGAATCCGAAAAGGTTTAGACAATCGACAAAAGGGAATTTGGATGCTCATTTCTTCATTATAGGGAGCTTTAGAGAGGTCAGCTTTGCGAGGAGATGAAAGGGGATAAGTGCCTCCCCCTGACACCACAGAGAAGCTTTTGGTCTAAGACCTTTATATTCTAGCTGCAGACCACTGTCAATTACCCACCTTATGAGTTGTCCACAGCAAGATTTAATCTCAGTCGACCTCCTATAGTTACCAGAGAAGTTTCTAGGCCACTGTCCTCCTCTGCTAGCCAGTATGTATTCAGAGAATGCAAAGTAAAATTTAATGTTCCTGGCAGCATTAGCCATTTGGAATATGGCTAGAAATCCAGAAGTGTGACAGAGGGGCCTTTCAGCTCTGAGAAAAATGACACAGAGCTCACAGATACTACTCCATAGGAGAGGTGTGACAGCTCCCTCAGGCCCACTGATTTAGGATTCTCTATAAAATTAAATGAAGGCAGCAGTTTAGAAAATGAAGTCATGGTAATTAACATCAGTAAGAAGTGATGGTCGACACTGGAAGGAGGAGACAAGAATTATGAAAAGCTGTCAGAAAAATTAAAGGCATTGTAATCTGGGACCATTTTGTTTATGGGAAAATAGCTTCACATCTCAGTAGCTCCTCAGGGTATCACAGTGTCACAACACAGAATAATCACTGATGTTCTTTTTGATGAAGCCGACTCCTTAGCAGTGATTAAATTATCACTGTAGTCACTTCAGAAATAAATGTATATAATATGTCTTTAAAAGATTTGCATAAGAATGGTCAAAATAATGATTCTGAGAGAACCCTTAAAGCTTTGCTCCCTGGAAGATTCATTTATGTAGGAAACTTGATTTCCTGGGTGGGCTAAATAAATAAAGCATAACTATCAAAGTCTGGATCAAATATTATAAAAAAGGTGAGCCTGTTATAAAAAATTACCCAAAACACCAGACTCATTGTTCTCTAAGCCAGTTAGAACGGAATCCTAGACTACTTACTGTTGTAGAGCGTCCAGACCCCAGCCGTCTGCTGTAGGGTGGGAGGGGGTTGCTGGACCAAAGCCCTTCCTTGTTTGGAGTCAGTGCTTCACTAGAGTTCCTTCTAGCCTTAGCAGTGGGGTCTACCTGGCACGATGCATGTGGCTTAGAAACCATCACACTGCTCTGTGTCCATGTGCAATGTCCTTGTGACACAAGCGTCTCATCTTCAAGCAGTCCTCATCTCTCTTTGAAGACAGTGGAGTTGATTGTGCCATTAGGAAAGGAAATCCTATTTGAATTAATTTGCACTCACAAAAATAGGGAATGTTGCAGAGTGTAAAATACATCTGATGGTCAGTGGATTTTCGTTCATTCACCCACTTTTCATTTGGGAGGAAAAAAATTTAAGAAAGCAAAAAAGGCCCAGAATTTTGACATCACCTTCCTCTCGATAGTAGTCACAGGTGTGTGCCTGCCACCCTGCCTTATATTTGCTTATTTTCCTCCACAGGATATGGCAAATGCATTTGCACAGAAGCATCTCCGGTCTATAATCCTGAATGTGAGTTCCTGGAACATGCTGTATTTTATTACTATTAACAACAATTATTACTGTTATTGTTAATATATTATTATTGAAATTATTAATGAGTGAGGAGGACACACAGAGGAACCTTATCAATAGGTAAATACCTCTTGAACTGAATAGCTTTTTCCCGCGATCCTCTGTGAGCAGAGTTGCCTCTAGGCAGCCATCTCACCAGCAATTGCAGTGCGTCCAGGGAGGGACCAAGGCCAGCTCTACTGTTTGTTGCCCTGCAACTCCAGAATTTTTATCCAGAGGGAATATGTTAAAATAGGCACAAAGGGGGAAAATAACTCATCCAACTGACACTGATTAAAAATCTGAATTGTGTAGGGCACTGACAGAACTAAGTAAGCAAGTGTATTTGCTCTCAAAGACCTTCTGGCCTGGTAGGAAAGACTAGTGATCATAGTGGGGTGTGATCTGGGTTTGTGGTCTAGGAAAGGATGGAGGAGGAACAGTGATTTCTGCCTTGAAGAAGAGTGTTTCCGGAAACTTTTAGAGGAATGTCTTCAGGTGACCCTTAGAGGATGAGTAGGCAGACCGGGAATAACAGGAATTTCAGTCAGAGGGCAGCCAGAACCCAGAAGGAGTGTGTGATTAGGCACAGAGCAAGGAGCAAGTAGATGAGGAGGCTAGAGAGGTAGCGAGGACCAGATCAGGAAAGGTTAGTCTCATTCCTAAGGACAGCTGAGGGCATTTAATTGAGCTTGTGAAGTAACCAGATTTGCATTTTAGAAAGAGCACATGAAAGACATGTGTTTGCTAAGGGGTACCTGAGGGAGGAGAGCAGAGCAGGAGCTGGCAGGGGGATCTGGAAAGAGGTATAAATCCCTGTTACCACCTGTGGGGTGGAGTAGGGCTGATGTTGGGAGGTGGGGCCGGTGGGAGTGGAGGAGGAGAGCCAAGGATCTGAATTAAAAGGAGGCAACTTTGGCCGGACGTGGTGGCTCACACCTGTAATCCCAGCATTTTGGGAGGCTGAGGCGGGTGGATTGCCTGAGGTCAGGAGTTCGAGACCAGCCTGACCGACATGGTGAAACCTTGTCTTTACTAAAAATACAAAAATTAGCCGGGCGTGGTGATAGGCGCCTGTAATCCCAGCTACTCAGGAGGCTGAGGCAGGAGAATTGCTTGAAACCCGGGAGGTGGAGGTTGCAGTGAGCCGAGACCAGGCCATTGCGCTCTAGCCTGGACAACAAGAGCGAAACTCTGTCTCAAAAAAAAAGGAGGCAACTTTATCAACTGTCAGAAACAAGGGAAACCTGGGAGACCACAGTGAAGGGAATAAAATGAAAAATTAGAAGTCAAGTTTAAGACTTAAGCTAAACATGGACTTTGGAGTCTGCCATTTTCCAATCTTTGATCTTGAGCATTTCACATAACTTCTCTGGACTTCAGTTTGCTCATCTGGATATGAGGACTAAGTGAGCTAATATAATACTGTGCTTAGCAGGGTGTCTGGCACTCAGTAAGCACTTTGCTCGTATTGGCAGAACAGGATGCAGAGGTGATAGGATTGAAGAAGTAAGCTCTGAGCACTTGTGAAGCTGAGCAGTCAGCTGCTCTAAAATGCAGAGTCTGCCAGACTTCACCTTGCAGAACCAGCTTCTCCCTGCTGGCTGCTTCCCTGGTCACACCCAGCTACCAGCCTGGCAGGAGGGGCCCCAAGCCCACAAGTGACAGGAGTACACAGGTTCCCACACATTCCTGCCTACACTCCTGAGCAGCTGTCCTGGTCACCCTCTTCTGCATGTGTGGGGATGAGTGCGCCCTTCTGAAGGAAATTTAATTATGTTTGAGACTTACTATTTAATCGGGTTAGAAGTTCAACTCATTTCTGGACAAACCTTGTGAACAAGTAAAGATTTCACTATAGAAGGCAGTTCAGCATCAGGACTCAGGACTTAAGTGGCCTGGCAGGAAATGGCTAATGCATGGTCACTGAAGTCCAGGGATTTCACTGAGTCAAGCCAGAGAACTAAGACCCTGAGATACTTGACAGTCAAGTGAGACTTCAGGTAAAACCTCAAACTGTCACTCATCAGACTGGAGCTGTACTTCTTTAAGCCATTGATGCTAGGATAATTAATTACCTTCCTGCCCTGATGTTTCTTAAGTTGGAGAAAGAGAATTAAAGAGAATGAAAATCAGAATCACATTAACTTCCACCTCTATTCAAAGCTGTTTTATAAATTAGGGAGAAGAGTGAGGAGAGAGGAATAGGATAGACGAAGGTAGAGAGAGGGAGCAGTGGAGAAGAAAACCTCAGAGTGAGGCAAAGGAAGAGGTGTGAAGGGGAAAAGAAGTGGCGATGGCAGGGAAGAGCCCCTGGCCATGAGAGAGACTGGGGGGAGTGGGAAGGAAGGGAAGTTATGGGGCAGGGGGCACAGAGCAGAGAACAAGAGAGTAAGGCTAGAGAGATGAAAGAAACAGTGAGACTGAGCTAAGAAGAGCGATCTCACGCTTAAGAGACAGAGGGCGTGCCTGTGACAGGGCGGGAGCTACAGGACTGGACATGATCACCGATTCAGGGGGAGGGAGGGATGCAGGCAGAGGCCTAACTCCAGCATGTTAGCATGTGCTATGGAAGTGCTGTCCACAATGGTGGCCACCAGTCATGTGTAGTACTTTAAATAAGTCTGTTGTGGCTGAGGACCTAATTTGTAATTTTAATTTCATTTTAAATTTAAATATCCGTATGTGGCTCATGGCTGCTGTATTAGGAAGTGTAGATCTAGAGAAACAGCTAGAAAAAGGAGAGAGCACTGGAGTCACAGTAGGGGAAGAGGTCTAGAGCAGGACCGTCCAGTGGACATAGAACCCAAACCATGCACATGATTTTAAACATTTTAGTAGCAGCATGAAAAAGGAATAGGGACATTAAGTTCAATAATATATTTTATTCAGCCCATGATATCGAAAACGTTACCATTTCAACAAGTAATAAATATGAAATATTATTAATAAGACATTTTACATTTTCTTTTTTCCTACTAAGGCTTCAAGATCCGGTATGCATTTACACTCACAGCACCTCTCAGTTTGGCCTAACATTTCATGGGCCTGGGGGCTACCAAACTGGACCTCACAGGTCTAAAGAGATTGATCTAGAGTCAGAGCAAACTCTAGGGAGAGCTGATCCAAAGTTAGAAGGAGCTTTAAAAAGATACTGAGTCAGATACCTCTCTAAAGTCAGAGCGCTCTAGAGCATTGCTATTCAGTAGAACTCTGTTAATGGAAGTGTTCCGTATCTGCATTGCTGTAGCCGCTAGCCACGGTGACTACTAAGCACTTAAAATGTGGCTGGTGCAACTAAGGAACCAAATTTTCAACTTAAATTTGTTTTAACTGATTTAAATGCAAATAGCTGCATATGGCTAGTGGCTGCTATACTGGACAGCACAGCCCTAGAGACAGAGCTACTGAGTAGGGAAATTGAAGGACATAGTGGTGGTACATGTGGAAAATGGAGGAGAGCCTCATTTGGGCAAGAAAGAACCAAGAGGGACAGGATTCATAATGGTGGGTGAGACAGAGGGAGTGACAAATACAAGGGAGCAAGAAGGGAAGCAGGATATTGTGGGAGTGAGGACAGGATGGTGAGAGACAGGAATGTAATCAAGGGTTGATCAGCTAGGACAGACCGAGGGAGACATAGCATGCAAGAGAAAGACAGAGACAGAACATGAGACAGGACCAGGGGACCTAAAGTGGGGTGTGGGCATCAGAGGGACAAAGGAGGAGGTGATGAACCGACAGGGGAATGTGGGGGCACAGAGACAGTGGGGAGGGAGAGTCAGGAGGGAGAGGGACATGGTGTGGGCGGCACAGGGAGCAGGGACAGAGTGATAGGAGAGAGGAGAGGACAAGTGAGAGGAAGGAAGGAAGGAGAGGGCCGTGGGAGGGAGCTGGTAGGAGAGTGAACTGTTCCTCCTTTGTGTTGCTATCTCAGTATCATTGAAAGAAAATGGCCTTTCCCAAAGCCTCTCTGCTGGGTGAAGCCATCCAAAACATTTTATTTTTCTAAGGGAAAAACAACTCTGCCTCCATGCACACCATCTATTGTTTTGCATTTAGTAGGCCTGTGAAATGCCTGATTGGAGGAAGGTCCAGCCCCCAATGTTCTGTATCATAGCCTTGATGGAGTAGCCTCCCCCATTTCTGGTGTGGTTGGGTATAGCCCCTGCCTTCACTCTGCTTCCCCTGCCCAGGGGAATGCAGAGGAAGGGATGGCGCCTTTCAGGCCTGCAGTGAGTCATCTCTGCCTGAACCAAGCCCATTCATGCTCCATCGCCTTCTAGAATATGAAGTCCTCGTGTGTGGGAGGAAAGCTCTGTTCCCTTCCCAACATACATTCCTTTTCCTTAGCATGGATGTGGCCCTTCATTAAAAGAGATCAGTTCAGTCCCCTGCTCCCTGCCTGTGCTTTTTCTAGCATGTGATCCGAGGGAACCGCCCCATCAAAACTGAGATGGCCCATCAGCTATATGTCCTTCAAGTCCTAACCTTTAACCTTCTGGAAGAAAGGATGATGACCAAGATGGACCCCAATGACCAGGTAGGTGCTAAGTGGGGCAGCTGTTTTCTCATGGCTGTGGTGCAGTCCAGCCTTAGTCTATGTGCCAGGCACTGTGCTTGGTCTTTGTCTGCAGAAGTAGTTTGCATCTGCCCTAGAAAATCTAGCATGATCTGCACCATGAGCCAAGCCCATTTCTGTCCTGCTGTGGTAGAGGTGATGCCTCCTAAGGGATTGATTGGGGCCAAAGTTTGGCCCAGAAAAGCCTGACCCACTGTTTCTTTTCCTTGCTCCCTTGGTTAGCCGATTCACCTGCTGACTGTCTGTTTCACCTCGCAGGCTCAAAGGGACATCATATTTGAACTGAGGAGGATTGCATTTGACGCAGAGTCTGATCCTAGCAATGCCCCTGGGAGTGGGACCGAAAAACGCAAAGCCATGTACACAAAGGACTACAAAATGCTGGGATTTACCGTAAGTACCTCAGAGCATAGACGGTGGTAGGCCCTCTCCCCTGATGGGAAGTCAATGGTCCCACCCAGACAGAGCTCTGACAACCAACCCCATGGTGGCCCTGGAATAGATGACAGTTAGGAAGCTGGTGGAGCTTTAATGCTTGCTTTGCTTTGTTGATGGTGAGTCTGTGAGTTTATGTGCAAAGTTTGGCCCTGTGAAACGAATCCATCTGTAGGGGGGTTGCGGTCAGCTAGAGTGGGTAGAGAGGGGACCTGTCCTCTTACCCAAACTGCTAGGTTCTTTGCAAAGCTAGTGTGAATATTTTGTGATAGAGTAGGGCTTGAGGATGGGGTTAACTGGAAGAAGTATTTCTTGCGTACCTACTCAGTGTGCAGCAGCATGTGAAGTAGGTTCTGGGATGCATGGTGAGGCAGCCACCGTCCAGCACTCAAGAGCTCACAGTTCAGTGGTGGTGATGGGTGTGAAAAGAGCTAGGACAGAGGTGGGTGCTGAGTGGTAGCAGCATCAAGAGGAGAGGCGAGAGGGCATCCCCTCAGGTCCCTGCATACACGGAGACTGCCGCATCTCAAATTGGGTGTCTTTATTTCTCTAGAACCACATCAATCCAGCCATGGACTTTACCCAGACTCCTCCTGGAATGCTGGCCTTGGACAACATGCTGTACTTGGCTAAAGTCCACCAGGACACCTACATCCGGGTAAAGGCAGGGGAGCTGGCCTTCTCAGTCCTGGTGCCACATCTCCTGCCTTCCTCCTTCATCTCCCTAATCCTCCCTTTCTCTTCCCCCGACAGATTGTCTTGGAGAACAGTAGCCGGGAAGACAAACATGAATGCCCCTTTGGCCGCAGTGCCATTGAGCTCACCAAAATGCTCTGTGAAATCCTGCAGGTTGGGGAACTACGTAAGTCTCTGCAGCTCCCTCTTCTTCAGCCATTCCTTGTCATCAAGAGCTCAGTGAGACTCAAAATTATAAACAGTTACATGTCAGTGGGGTCGGGCGTGGTGGTTCACACCTGTAATCTCAGCACTTTGGGAGACTGAGGCAGGAGGATCACTTGAGCCCAGGAGTCCAAAACCAGTCTGGGCAACATAGTGAGACCCCATCTCTAAAAAAAAAAAAAAAAAAAAAAAAAACCAAAAATTAGCCAACTGGTAGTGCATGCCTCTGGTCCCAACTACTCAGGAAGCTGAGGCAGGAGGATCACTGTGTCAGGAGGTCAAGGCTATGGTGAGCATAGTCATGCCACTGCATTCCAGCCTGGGCGACAGAGTGAGACTCTATCTTAAAAAAAAAAAAAAAAAAAAGATGTCAGTGGGACTAGACAACCTTAGGTGGGTTTTTAATTTTGTTTTTTGTTTTAAATCACTGCATCAGCTGATAATTCCATCTTATCCTTATTTATGGGAATCATGGTTGTTGCTTTGTTTGAACTGGCAATTTGAATCATATTCCAAAGCTACCCCATGCCTGTGGGTAAGGGCTGGCTGAGTCTGTAACAGGGTAGAGGGAAGGCAAGAAAATGCACCCTGGAGAAGAAAGCTAAGGACGTGAGAAACGCCCATCCCACGCTCCCTGTTAATTGCGCGCCTTAGGCTGCTTTTGTTCCTCGGGACTTTGGTGCAAAGTTTCCAGACATGAGCTCCCAGGCCCTTGTGGACAGAGGCTTCATCTTCTCCCTGTTTTTTCACTTCCACAGCAAATGAAGGACGCAATGACTACCACCCGATGTTCTTTACCCATGACCGAGCCTTTGAAGAGCTCTTTGGAATCTGCATCCAGCTGTTGAACAAGACCTGGAAGGAGATGAGGGCAACAGCAGAGGACTTCAACAAGGTCAGTGTCTCCGGGCTGCTCTGAGGCCCACGGGAGGAGACCATCACACGACAGCCTTTGACAGCTGGCTGGCACCTGGAGAATCCCTGAGCTGGAAAAGCAGCTTGGTCTGCAGAACTGAGTCACAAGACTGAGGCACTGGGGAGCCTCAGCCCCATCTGGTTGTTGCTCCCTCTGTGACCTTGAGCTTGTCTTCCACTTGGTGCCGTAGGCCCTCATTTGTCCATTGAAGTTAGCACCTGTCCCTCCCGTCCTCCAGAGAGGTCAGGAGGATAAGCATTAGAAGACTCACTGTGGTTTATTGAGTGCTTACTGTGCAGGTACTGCTGTAGTTTTGTGAACTGGGAAGGTTAGGAGAGAAGAGTGGACTGGCATGATGTGCACACCCTGGGTACTTAATCGATAGTTATCCCTCGGTGCTTTCAGTCCTCACTCTATGCAGAGCACTGTTGTGCCAGGCCCTCAAAAGCTGATCATCTAGGGGTCGAGTGTTTTGAAGTTGATCATCTCATCATAAAAAATTTGGAAAGTATAAAGAATAAAAAGTTACCTGTATTTACACCATCCAGTGACAAACATTTTTGTTTTCCTCTAGTCTTTTTTATCCCCTACAGGTTTTTCCTTCATTAGCAAGATCATACTGCGCATGCAGTGTGGTATCCTGTTGTTTTCTTTAATAGTTGTTTTAAGGGGACCAATGCATTTTTTTAAAACACCACAGCGTGCCAGAACTGCGCTTGCCTTTCTATTCTTTTGTTTGTTTTTTTGAGACAGAGTTTCACTCTTGTCACCCAGGCTGGAGTGCAGTGGCACTGTCTCGGCTCACTGCAACCTCCACCTCCGAGGTTGAAGTGATCCTTCTACTTCAGCCTCCTGAGTAGCTGGGACTACAGGCGTGAGCCACCACACCTGGCTAATTTTTGTATTTTTAGTAGAGACGGGGTTTCACCATGTTGGCCAGGCTGGTCTCAAACTCCTGACCTCAGGTGATCCGCCTGCCTCAGCCTCCCAAAGCATGAGCTACTGCAACCGGCTGGTATCTCATATTCTTTATGGCAACACCTATCAGGAGATGTGTCTTCCTTTCTCTCGGTTTAGAGATGAGTAGATGCACACCTAAGGATGTTAAGTGACTTGCTGAAGGGACAGAGTCAAGATGTGAACCCATTTCTTTCTGACTACAAAAATCCATGCTCATTTCCCCCACACCATTGACCAATTGAAATATATGGGAAATAAAGCATCTATCAGTGTCAGTCATGTGACCTGAATAACCATCTAAGAAGGTATACCTTACTCACCCAGCAGATGTCTGTAGTGCCTGCCCTGCTCAAGACCCTGGGGCAGGAAAGAGCCTTGGTGCTCCATAATAGGCCTGTCCATTTCTCAAGAGTAGTGGTGTGAGTTGGCTGGGTTCTTCTCCTCTTAGGTTATGCAAGTCGTCCGAGAGCAAATCACTCGAGCTTTGCCCTCCAAACCCAACTCTTTGGATCAGTTCAAGAGCAAATTGCGTAGCCTGAGTTACTCTGAGATTCTACGACTGCGCCAGTCTGAGAGGATGAGTCAGGATGACTTCCAGTCCCCGCCAATTGTGTAAGTTCCATCTCAGGGGAGGCTGGCGGGGGAGGTGGCTGCCAGCTCTGCTTTCCTTCCAGAGCTCCACTGTCCCCATGACCTTCCGCTCACTCCAGTGTGTGTCCACCCCAGGGAGCTGAGGGAGAAGATCCAGCCCGAGATCCTTGAGCTGATCAAGCAGCAGCGCCTGAACCGGCTCTGTGAGGGCAGCAGCTTCCGAAAGATTGGGAACCGCCGAAGGCAAGGTGAGAGGAGACGGGGCAATCCTTGGTGCCGGGAAGAGCCTGCCTGGATGGCCCCTTTTGTGCCCAGGCCTTTCCCAGTACTGTCGTTGCTCACCTGTTTGGCTTCCCTTGTGTTCCAGAACGGTTCTGGTACTGCCGGTTGGCACTGAACCACAAGGTCCTTCACTATGGTGACTTGGATGACAACCCACAAGGGGAGGTGACATTTGAATCCCTGCAGGAGAAAAGTAGGTTCATTTCTCTGTTGATGTGTCATGGTTGCTGGACTTGTCAGGAGACAGGAGTTCTAGTCCAGCTGTTTGTAGCTGATCATCTGGGCTTGTACCTGTTACCTCTCTGGACCTGTTTCCTTATCTGTCAGCGATTTCCTCTACCTGGCCTACTCGGTGGGGTGGTTTGGAGAAACAATGAGTTCACAGGTGTGAATGTATTGTGTAGACTGTAAAGGGTGGTACATGACTAAGTCGAAAGGCAGTAGTTAAGAGGAGAAGCTGTGAAGCCAGACTGCCCACATTCAAATCCTGGCTTTGCTCCTAATTAACTTGAATTCTAATTAATTGCAAGTTCTCCCCTCTGCCTTGGTTTCTTCTCCTGTAAAGTGGGAATAATAGCCACACTTTCCTCCTAAGAGGATTGCATGAGTAATGTATGCAAAGCACTTAGAAGAGTGGTTGGCAGGTAGTCAGCATAACTGTTAGCAGCTGCCACTGCTGTTGGCGATGATGGCATCATCATCGCCATTATTGTGAAGGAGAGGGGAAGGGAGTCACCAAGGTCCCGTTCCTTGGGGATATAAATCCAAGAGCCCTGAAGTGACCCTCAGTTAGCTTTGACACAGCCTCACTGGGCTGTGGTCTACAGGAGTGACCAAGACGGAGGGAACAGTACAAGGCCATCCTCCCCACCACCCTCACTGAGCTCATACAGCAGCCCTTGGAGTTTGGGGCTGAGGCTTCCTATGCATCTGCCCCAGTACCTCCCTTCCAGCACTGATGTAGGCACTGACCAGCTTGCAGCATGAACTTCCAGAGACTAATTCCCATCATTTATCAGTTCCTGTTGCAGACATTAAGGCCATTGTCACTGGGAAAGATTGTCCCCACATGAAAGAGAAAAGTGCTCTGAAACAGAACAAGGTGAGTAGAGAGGCCAGTTTGAGTAGCTGGCCCAGTGATACTTGGAGAGTGCCATTGGTGGTGGTTTTTTCCAGGTGCATTCTTGGCATCTTCCCCTCTCTATTCCTGAATGTTTTATTAAGAATTTTGAACATACACAAAAATAGATGGAACCTCTGTATACACATCACCCAGACTCAGCAACCATGGCCAGTTCTGCCCATCCACTTGTTTCTCTCCTTTATCGCTTTGAAGAAAGTCCCAAGTATCACACTGTTTCATCTGTAAATATTTAGTGTACATCGTATAGTGTATAACATTGCCACCAGTCCATTAGCACACATAACAGGAAATGAAAGTAGTTATTTCAGATCAAATATTCCACTGATGGTGACTTTCTACCAATTGTCTTATAAATGTCATAATTTCTCTACAGATATATAAATGTTTATATGGATACACACACACACACACACACACACACACACACACACACACACACCCCCATACCCATCTTGTCTAAACCAGAGTCTAAGACTGGTCTTTTAAGTTTCTTAATTCATAAGTTCCCCCGCCCCCCCATCCCCCACCATCTTTTCCTTTGCAGTTTATTAGCTGAAGAACCAGATTGCTTGTTTGGTAGTTTCCTAGCATCTGAATTTTGCTGATTGTTTCCCCGTGGTACAGTTTAACTTGTTCCTCTGTCCCAGATCTGTACATTGGAAGAGGGATCTAGAGGTTTGATCCAGTTCAGGTTTAACTTTTTTCCTGGCCAGTGTCATCAGTGGTATTATGTTCTATCAAGAGGCACATAACGTCTGGTGGTCTCTCCTTTTGTGATAATTAGCAGACTGTTGAAGCTCAGTGCCTCATTCCATCAGTCAACTAAGGTTTGCAAACTCATGATATTTTGATGCAGTCATTGCTTTTCATTTATGAGCTGAACCATGAAACTTGCCCTTATCTACTATTGGTTTCCCAGTGGTACAGTTTATATAGGAAACGAGAATAAATGCTGATTCTTCTTTTATGTACTTACTTTCAAAATAATGAGTTAGTTCCTTGGTATCATGCAACAGTGACCAATTTTGTGTGTGTGTGTGTTTTGTTTTGTTTTTTAATTGTTAAGACATTCCTATGCCAAATACAGCACGATAGAAGTTGTTAGTCATCTTGGTAATATAAAAACTTTTAGGATAACTTACAGTCATGGATCGTGACCTTCCAGGGTTCTGAGTGTTGAAAATGACTTTTTTCCAATCTTAAAAATATCACAACATCTTTGATGTGACTTGGGCAGGGAGTGGGTAAGTTAAGGTTGATTTATGCTGGGCCTCATCTCCAGCCACACTTGTGGCCGCCTAGGAGCATTGATGACATTCATCTGAATCAGCATGTTTGGTGATGATGCCGAGTCACTAGGACTTTGGCCAAGATCTTGATGTGCAGACCCCAGGCTGTTCCATCGCTCTAATTTAAACCCTTTCTCCTTCAGGAGGTGTTGGAATTGGCCTTCTCCATCCTGTATGACCCTGATGAGACCTTAAACTTCATCGCACCTAATAAATATGAGGTGAGCAGTGTGGCGCTGCCTTAGACAACAGAGCTATTTCTGTAACTCTTCAGTTGGTGGCAGGAATGAGCAAAACAGGAAAGTCCCCTGTGGTGGGTGGCTGCAGTGTATATTGAAGCCTAGGAAGGCTTTGAGAAGAAGGTGGCATTTCAATAGGATGGGAATGTCTCAAAGGAGGAGCTGTGGTTGGGGGGGCACCCAGATGAAGCAGCAGGTATCATTACATAATGCTGGACCTGAGGTTCCTCCAGGCGCATTGGGTGGCTGCCAAGGATCTGTCACACTCTGGATTGTTTATCTGTGAGCTGGGCTCTCCACATTACTCTTCAGCAGCAGCCATAGGTTGTCATTACAAAGATAAGGTCAACTAGGAATGAGTCATTTACCTGGGACTGGGAAAATTCTCCCCTTTTCAGTTTCTCTGTGGTCAGCTACCCAAGAGAACTTGACAGATCCTTCCTCCTAGGGGCTCCTGGTCACATGTTGTAATGGATCCAGTGTGGACTTTGAAGCCAGATGGAACTGGTCCTTCTGACAAGGGCCCTGTAGTTCCATCTGCAGCACTGGAAGATACTAGATATTAAATGAGTGATTGCATTTGAGACCCTATGTGCCTGGTGAGCTCTGAGAGCCATCACTGGGAACTAGAGGTGGGACTTCTGGCAGAGGAGACACTTGGGCAGGGCCTGAGCTGCCGCTAGTGGAATTTGGTTGAGAGGAAATGAAGAACAAGCAAGTGGGGAACCAGGTGAGCAACGGTGTGGAAAAAGGAAAATGGCAGCAGAGGAAGCAGGAAGAGTCAGGGAGCGGTGGGATCAGAAGGCTTCCTGGTCACCCCCTCTTAGCATGAGACCCACCAGTTCCATTTCTTTAGTATTTACTCTTTAATATGTATTGACTGGATTATTTTTAATTTTGTTTTCGGGGGGGCGGGGCACAAAATTGAGATCCCACAGTGACTTCTGTTTGTGTCTTGCTTCTTTTCACCTAATACATATTTCCCTTCTCTCGCTTCTGATTTTGGGTAACTTCAGGTAGATGATGCCCCAGTACTCAGATCTCATTTTGCTGTATTCGTTTATTGCATTTTTAGGTTCTCCTTCATATTATTGTAAGGAGTTGTAATATAAAACCCCTTATAAAAACCAGATCTCTTGAGAAAGTGAAGGATCACCTCCTAATTTATCTTTGCTATCATTCCAAATCAGTTTTGCCTATACTGATTAGTTCCAAAAGGAACTGTTGTGAGCCCCATCAGAAAAGAGACCTTGGCAGGATCTCCTGCTGACCAGGGGTCACGATGTGACATTTTGCAACTTGCTCCCCACAGTACTGCATCTGGATTGATGGCCTCAGTGCCCTTCTGGGGAAGGACATGTCCAGTGAGCTGACCAAGAGTGACCTGGACACCCTGCTGAGCATGGAGATGAAGCTGCGGCTCCTGGACCTGGAGAACATCCAGATTCCCGAAGCCCCACCCCCCATCCCCAAGGAGCCCAGCAGCTATGACTTTGTCTATCACTATGGCTGAGCCTGGAGCCAGAAACGACGGTACCCAGGAGAAGGGATTTTGGGCCCAGGAGAAACACTTACATTCTGGTGCCTTGTCTTTTGCTTGTACAGAATCTGTAGTGATTTTGGTGGCCAGTAAATGCCAGCCATTTCTCAAACCCACCTCGGACCACCCAGAGTTTCCTCTTGGTCCCTGTCTACTAAGAGTCATGAAGGCAGGGTGCTCTGCCCACTCCATCACCATGAAGCCTGGGATTGGGCCACGAGGAACAAACAGCAGATGCCCTTGCCTTCCAGTCCAAGAAACTGCTTCTTGAAATGGATTTAACAACAGCCACTCACCTTTTCCTCCTGAGCCTGCTCTCTGATCAGCTGGATCCCCACGTGAGCAACAGCTGGCCCAGGAAAGGCTGCCTGCAGAGGACAGGTGTGTTGGGCGTGTTGAGAGCCTTGAAGTGACTACCTGTATCTTAGATCTGAGTACAAGCCTGAGGCTTTTGCTTTTGTCTTTTTTGATGAGGGCTCACTCCAGCTTCATATGGTGCCAAGACGTTGCTGCTTCTGAGGTTGGCTCTAACATCTCTGGTCTTTAGAGCCACCAGATCTCTCTGGCCCATACAGATATCAGAGCAGACGGAAATTTCTCCCTGCAAGCGCTCAGTCTCATCCCAGCAAGTCAAAGACCTCCTGGCCAAGTCCTGCCCTCTTAAGTCTCCAGGAACGCTGCAGGGAAAACCCAGCTGAGGCCTGGGCCTAGACTGTGGTGAGGTCACTAGATTCTACTGCTCTTCCCCCACATTAATACCTTTTCCTTCCTCAGAGAGAAATCTCCCCTAACCTGAATTGCAGCCCCCTCCAGTTTGCTTTCCTTTGGCCTTCCAGACCCCAGGAAGTTGGCCTTCCCTTCCTAGTGCTATGGTTTCTGCCATTGGCCATGATTTCAGGGAGCTGGCTGAGGCCGGCTGAGGCCACACCTGTGCCAGTGGGGCTTCCCTGGTGCTGCAGCACTTGTAAACCACACACACAGCCTCTCTCCCTGGACATACGTTAGCACATTGGCATTCAGTATTGGTGGCCTGGCATGGTAGGTACTACCCAATGAAGAGTGTACTATATATTTTCATTACTATAGGCCATACTTATACAGACGTGTATATATATTTATATAAGATCTACCTATCTTAGGATGGAACCTTGGGGAAAAATAAAATTGAGGGGAAGTAAAAAGTATGTAACACTTCCAGTTGTGAGCCAAGATTGTAACCAGAGAGCAGCCAGGAGCTTCCTGTCAGTAACCATGTTTTCAATAAATACTCTTTCATGTACAAACTGTGGTTCCTGTTAACAGCTGTTTGTCTGTACTTGCCCCCTGCCCAATGGTGAAGATTTCACCTTGACAAGACTTGATCTCCATGTATCTGGGAGACTCTGGAGAGCTCCAGCTGGAGCCCTTAGTCACCTTCCAAGAGTCCCTTCCTCCTCATCATTCGCTCCTCCCACACATACACACACACAGACACACACCTGCTGGTTAAGAGTGTTCACAGATTGCTGCACTGGGACGAAGCGTTTTCTGCTCAACCCTGCTGGGTACAGCAAGGTAAGGCATACTGTACACCCCCATGAACACATCCTCCCTCTTCTCCCTGCCAGGGACACAGCCAGGGAACAGCTCGAGTACTTGTGCCTTACAAAGAAGACACGCTCTTTACCCTGTGTGTTGCCTGTGCATAGTGCCCAGCCTTCCAGCTGGTGTTTTAGGCTGTTGCTCCAAACCTTGGCCTTGGTAGCTGGGAGACTTAAATGAGGGTGGTGATGAAAATAGATCTCTTGCCTCTGAGAGAGAAGGGTGTGAGGACAGGCTCTTTCAAAAGGCATAGAAAGTGCATGCAATACAAGCCTGAGGACTGAATAAAGCCAAGACCTTGGGCAGTGATGGGTACCATTGTAGGTGCTTGGTAAGCACTGAATGAACTAATGCCTGCATGATGCCAGCTGGCGGCGGTGACAGCCGCAGTTTGCATAAAACACTGCTTACACTCTGGCCTTGAGCCTTCTGTTCAGAGGGGCCAGGGATCCCAGCTGAGTCACTTGTAAGGATCCATGTTTGCAGCTGGTCTTACTGCCAGAGAGCCCAGGAGGAGGCTAGAGGAGGGCGAAAGGCACAAAACTGGGTCTGAATGTGCAACCCTAGCTTGCCCTGGCCTAATGTTCTTGACTGCAAATGCTGCCCTTTTAATCCATCCCGCAAGATGAAGAAAATCTGAACTCCCTAGGCTGGCATTTTGGGGCCACTGCAACCTGCCTCTTGGCTACTTTAACCACCACAGTTACAAACAACCTGTGAGCCCCAGGCACGGCTGGAGCTTTCTCACCCTCCTTTAGGATTCTCCCATTTCCTCTATCTGGGATGCTCTCTCCCTACTCAACCTATTGAAGTTGAGATAATTCTTAGAAAGTTTCATACAGAAAATATTTCACAAATGTTTCGTATTACTTCTGGATCGCCCAAGTTTTAAGTTGTAATGGCCCCAGCTGGCCTGAGCTCCCAGAAGAAAAAGCCCATGAGATACTTATCTTCGTGGTTCATTCCATGGTTGCCCAGCATTAGACTGGACATAAGAAAAACAATTTGTTCAGTAAAAGTAAACAAGTTACCATTTTTTGGATGCTCACTGTATGCAGAACACTAGCAGGCACCGGGGTTCCAAAGCAAGCCCCTGATTGAGCGCGGGAGAGACGCAGACAATTACACGGCTGTGCTCTGAGCCTGAGGGACTTCGCGGAGGACAAAACTACGCTGTACCTCAGAAAGACCAGACCACCTCAGAACCCGACCACAACAGACGCCCCGCCCCCGTGCTGCCCCGCCCCGCCTTTTCGCCCCGGCTCCGCCCAGCCCCTGGGTAGCTTCCGGCGGAAGTTACCGCCCGTGCCGCGGTTCGGCGGCGGCATCCGGCCTCGCACTTCCGGTGGGGAGATTCCGGCCTGGAGCTCCCAGGGCCGAGGTGAGTGGGTGTGCGGCCGGCCTCCCGGCGCACTCCCAGAGGCTGGGGGGCCGGGGCTGGAGAAGGGAAGCGGGCTCCCCACCCGGGATCTGCGCGGGTTGACATGGGGCACGCCACGCCCCTGCCCCTCCCCGGGCCTCAGTTTCGCCGTCTGTGGAGGGGGCAGGGGTCTCCAAG
The DNA here is from genome assembly GCF_000001405.40 of Homo sapiens. Taxonomy (NCBI): domain Eukaryota; kingdom Metazoa; phylum Chordata; class Mammalia; order Primates; family Hominidae; genus Homo; species Homo sapiens. Next base: position 46,364,193 of record NC_000020.11, on the reverse strand, counting down.
CGCCCTCCTGCAAGGCACCTGCCGGACGCCGGCTCATCTGGTATTTCCTGAGCACCTGCGACGTCCTGGGTGCGGGACCCGGGCCGGAATCGGACACGGCCCTGCCCTCTGAGGGGCTGCTTCCCGCGGTGGGATTGGGGCGGGCAGTAAACACGTGAGCAAACAAGGAAACGTCAGAGGTGGGAGTGCCACGAGGATTGGGAGGGGTGGGGCATTGGAGAAAGTATTCAGCCAAGCGGAGGTCTGCGGAAGGGAGCTGAAGGCAGGAAGAGCAGCAAGTAAAGAAAAACACAGGTTTGATGTGTTTGACACGTGGCAGGGGGCCGCTGTGGCGGGTGCTGGGACCAGTGGCAGAAGAATGAGGTTACAGAGGCCTTCCTTGTGGACCAGGCTGAGGAGCTGGGCTTAGCCTTAGGGCATGATCTGTTTCGTGTGCCATCTCTCTGGCTGCTTTATAGATTCCAGGCCTTAGGGGCGAAAGAGGAAACAGGGAGACCAGTTAGACCAGTGGCAGTCAGCAGGTGAAAGATAATTGTGGCTTAGACTGTGGTAGTGGGAATGGAGAGGAAGAGAAGTAGAGGGGTCAAGAAGTGTATTGAAAGTGGAACTGACAGGGCAGGATTTGAGAAATGACAGAAATAAGTGGTCAAAGATGACTTCATCATAGATTTTTGGTTTTGGCTTAAGTAACCAAGTGTATTATGCTGGCATTTACTAAATGACTTTGGGATAGATTGGGAGCGTGAGAAATAATTACGAAATCTTCTTAGGGCATCTTAAGTTTTAGATATTTGGAGTGCAGCTACCAAATAGGCAGTTAGATATATGAGTCTGATACAGAAAAGGTCAGGGCTGATGTAAAGAATTTAGAAATCATTGGCAAGTGGATTGGGTAGGATGAGATTATGTAGGGTAAGATTTAAGAGAGAAGAGAAGCCAGGTTCCAAGCTTTAGGCACCCAATTTTTATAGATTGAGTTGACAAGAAGGTGCCAGCAAAAAAGACCAATAAGGAGTCCAGAAAAGCAGAAGAAAAACCAGGAGAATGTGGTATCGTGGCACCCAAGAGAAGGTTTTTTCTAGGAGGAGGAAGTGATCCATTGTGTAAGGTAAGAATAGAGACTAAGCCGGCCCGGCACGGTGGCTCACGCCTGTAATCCCAGAACTTTGGGAGGCCAAGGCGGGCAGATCACCTGAGGCCGGGAGTTCGAGACCAGCCTGACCAACATGGAGAAACCCTGTCTCCACTAAAAATACAAAATTAGCCGGGCATGGTGGCACATGCCTGTATTCCCAGCTCCTCGGGAGCCTGAGGCGGGAGAATCACTTGAACCCGTGAGGCGGAGTTTGCGGTGAGCCGAGATCACGCCATTGCACTCCAGCCTTGAAACTCCATCTCAAAACAACAACAACAACAAAAAGAATAGAGACTAAGCCTTCGAAGGGGCAGCAGGGAGGAGGGTGTGGTGACTCATTGGAGCAGTGGAGATGGGCTGAAGTGAGAGCAGGGGGTGAAGGAGTTGGACTGGCAGTGCGGGGTCCTCTGGGGAAGTTTCACTGTTAAGGGGACCAGGAGGGGAGTAAGCCTCTACCATGAGCCAGCATTTAATGCTGTACCTGATGCCACTTTACAGTTGGAGAAACTGAGTCCAGAGGTCAAGTAACTTAGGGTCACACAGTAGTGAGTAGGGACACCAGGATTTGATTCTCAGTGTCTAACTCCAAAGCCCACACTCTTAAGCACTAAACCATGCTGCCCAAGTTACAGTTAGGAAGATGGAGGGAAGCAGGTGTGCCAGTGATGCACCAGCCAGCCTTACCTTGATGTGACTGCTGCCCCCAGCTAAGCTGCTCTCTGTGGAAAGTGGGGCAGAATATGGACTTTCCTTCCTGAGCAAATGAGATTTCAAAAAGAGTTGTTTACTCCTTTAAATCTTGTTTCCCTTATAAAATAAGGGTGGGGACCTTTTCAGTTTCACGTCTGTGTCTCCAGTGGTGGGCCTACAGGAGTGCTTGATAAATGCTCATTAAGTGCCTAGATGATCTCCAGGGACCCTTCTAGCTGAGATTTGGCTTTGTGTTTGGGCATAGGTGACCTTCTGAATCCCAATAAGAAAATAAGTTAAATTTGAGACAGTGCTTCTTGTAGGCGGGGTAGCCATAGGGACTTATTGGAGGCAGGGGAACTGGGCCAGGTCTGTGAAGGAAGGTCAGCATTTGAACAGTGGAGGGAGGGTGTTGCGGTGTTGCAGTGCTGCAGCAGGAAATGCAGCAAAAGCAGGAGCTGCAAGAAGTTGGTTAACAGAAGAGTGAACAGACTTCCCTGGCTTGGAAGCCACAGGAGGAGCCATGAGGGAAGAGTGCTCAGAAGAAAGCTCTGTTAGTGCCAGCATGTCCTGTGAGTGCCTGTCACAGGACAGGGTCAGCAGTGGTTCTCAACAGGGAGCAGGTTTGATCCTCAGGTGACATATGGCAGTGTCTAGAGACATTTCTTGGGTATCACAACTTGGGATGGGGGGAAGGATGTGACAGGTGTCTGGTGGGTATGGGCCAGGGATGTTGCTAAACATCCTGCCATGTAGAGGATGGGTCTTCTCACAAAGAATTATCTGTCCCCAAACAGCAGTAACGCCCAGGTTGAGAAACCCTGGCGTAGAGGAAACAGTGTGGGTTTTGAGATCTGTAGACGTATGTTTGAGGCCCATGCGCCCTCTTTGTTGGAGGAGCCTGATGGTGGTGGTTGCAGGAGAAGTAGAGAGAACCGTGTAGGAGACTCCTGCAGTCATTTGGGGAGAGGATGGTGGCTGAGATGGTAGTGGTGGAGTTCAGGACATGTGCTCATATTTGGGATATTTCTGAAGATAGAGCTGACGGTATTTATTGATTGAATGTGGGCTAAGGGGAAGAGAGGAATCAGATGAGCCTAAGGCTTTTGGCCTGAGCAACTAGGAGAGTAGTGGAGCCATTTGCTGGGATGGGAAGTAGGAAGAGGAGCAGGCTTGGATGAAATGGGGGTGTGGAAAACACGAGTCAGTTTCAGACACTCTAGATGTGAGTGAGATGCCTGATATTAGATATCTAAGGGAAGAAGAGGTTAGGTAGGCATTGGATATTCTTCTGGAGTTCACATGAATCAGAGCCGGGGCATATATTGGGAAGACATCAGCTTACAGAAGGCATTTGAAGGAATGAGAATGCATTAGGTCAGGTAGGAGTCTCAACTCATTGGATCTGACACCTCTTTTTTATTACAAATATTTTGTAACAGTCCCTTTTATTACCCTAAAATGAAACATATGATTAATAAAAACTGCCTACACATAATTTTTTAAAAATCAACAAATGCAGCCGGGCGCGGTGGCTCACGCCTGTAATCCCAGCACTTTGGGAGGCAAGGCGGGCGGATCACCTGAGGTTGGGAGTTCAAGACCAGCCTGACCAACATGGAGAAACCCCATCTCTACTAAAAATATAAAAAATTAGCCGGGTGTGGTGGTGCATGCCTGTAATCAGTCCCAGCTACTAGGGAGCCTGAGGCAGGAGAATCGCTTGAACCTGGGAGGCGGAGCTTGTGGTGAGCCGAGATTATACCATTGCACTCCAGCCTGGGCAACAGGAGCGAAACTTCGTCTCAAAAAAAAAATAAAATAAAATATAAATAACCATGCCCTATAACATAAAAGGAAAGTAATTGATAGTAAAACAAAATATGTTTCAATATGTAAGTTTCTGGGCACAATAGTGCTGGAAGTTGCAGTGAAGCTGTCCCTTCTGTGTGGACCCTCTAGGAGTGTGATGGCCACAGACACAGACTGACACAGCCGTGTTGTGTCGCACCTCGAAAACCACTAGTGCCATTGCTGTAGATGATGTGGTTTTTCCAGAATGGACACTTTTGGTGCCATTTTGAGACCAATTTTGACCATTTTCAGTCTCCCTTCATTGTACATAGGCGTCTTATTCTTGGAAGTGTTAGTTCACAGCAGAACCATGGAAACACTGCACTGTGTTTACATGTAAACAGAGTTACATTCTAGGTTCAGATAATTATAAGCTAATCTTTCACCTATATGGATGTCAAAGTCGTGCGGGATGCAGAGCAGTAATTGGCTATGTGGACTGCCCCTTCTTTATCCCTGCTTACTGAACGCCAGGAGCATATCCCCAAAATACCGCCACAGGTTTCCAAAGCTCCTCTGAAGACAACTGTAGCCCCAGAGATTCATTTGGACACAGCCAGCTCCCTGTTTGCCCCGGGGAGGGGAAATAGTAACAAGAGTTCCAGAGTGCAGAATGGAATGTAACTGCTCCCTTCAGAAATGTTGGGGTGGGAGATGGAGAATGTGTCTGATCGTGAAGCCTAGGAAGGCTTCGAGAAGAAGGTGGCGTTTCAATAGGATGGGAATGTCTCAAAGGAGGATCTGTGGTTGAGGGGGGCACCCAGATGAAGCAGCAGGTATCATCACATAACACTGGACCTGAGGCTCCTCCAGGCACAGACAGGTCTACCCGGCATGCTCCGGGCACTCATCAGGGTTGGCTGGATTGACAGGGAGGCTGGGAGTGGTTTCATTTGGCAATACCGTAAGGCAGGCTCTGCTTCCAGGGAGTAGTGGTTACAGCCTGGTCTTACAGTGTTCCAGCCGTTAGAGTGTTGGTTTCCTTCTCCATTTTTAACCCCTAAAGACCAGACCAGTCCCCTGAAAATCGCATGCCTGCTCTCTGTCAGTCATCAAACCAGACGGAGAACTTAAAGTACACCAGCTGTGCGTAAGGCCAGTGTGGTCTTACTGGTCCCTATCTTTGTGCCGCTCGTAGCCTCTCAGGGGACAGACATTACTCAAATCACACCCTGCACAAGTGCTATGAAAGAGAAGTAGGAGAGCCGTGAAAGCAACATGTATCTCAGGGGACTGATTCAGGGGATGGGGTGGGGTTCCCTGAAGAAGTGACCTCTGAGCTGAAGATAGGTAGGATTGATGAAGGACTGAAGGGTGGGTGCAGTGTTCGTTCATTTCCTTCAGACAACGGGAAGAAAGCTGGTGTGTTTGGGGAGCTGAAAGGCGCCCAGTGGGGCCAGGTCCTGGAGAGCCTGTGGCTGAGACTGGGAAGACCAGCAGGGCCAGATGAGGCCATGGGAGCCGAAAGAAGGGTGCTGGTCTTTATCAGAAAAGCACTGGAAGCTGCTGAAGGGTTTTAAGCAGTGGCCTGACATGATCAGTTTGTGTTTTAAAAGGTCACTTTGGTGGCAGTTCATGGAGAATAGCTTGAGGTGACAAGACAGCAGACACGACGTGGGTCTCTGGGACTGCCTGTGCCGTTGTGGGCAGCCCCTCCAGAGCCCTGAGTCACGCAGCCTTCAGAGGCACCCATGGCTACGAGAAGCACAGTCTCTGCCTGAGGCTCCAGAGCGGCCCTTTTTCCCCAGCAGCAGACCTTGGGACCTGTGAGCGCTGCATCCAATTAACCATGGGAAGGGTCAGCACCAGCCACCAGCCCCTTAGGTGAGGACTCTGCCTGGGGCTCTGCTGATGGTTCCGAATCATGGAGCTGCAGAGAGCTCCTCCAGCCTGGAGACGTTCTTGGTGAAAGCTGTGGTCTAACTCCACCGGCTCTTCCTGCACATTGTATTCAAGAGGGGTGCCTGCCCCCGCTGACTCAGGAGCTCCGGTGCTGCAGCCGCCACGAATGGGGAGGTGGGCCCTCGATGTGGCCTTTTTGTGGAAGGCGGTGTTGACCCTGGGGCTGGTGCTTCTCTACTACTGCTTCTCCATCGGCATCACCTTCTACAACAAGTGGCTGACAAAGGTACCAGGAGGCCTTGCTGGGGCGGGGTGCTGGGATGAAGGTGGCCAGAGCCATGGCTACGGTGCCCTTCATGTTTAACAGGAAGGCACAAGCTTCAACCAGTCTAACTGGAAGCCAGTCACGGCTGGGCTGGAACAGGGCCCTCCAAGCCTGCCGTGCCAGGGTTCCCCTTCAGTGTTTGGATCCAGGGAAACCAAGGAGAGCGGGGGGTGTGAAGGGATGAGCTGGGGAAACTGGGGCTCAAGCAGCAGCTATTTACCCCACTAGAGAAGTATTTCAATATTTTAATAAGTGATACAACGTAGTGGGCCGCAGTGGCTCTCACTTGGGCATAGGCCGTGAGGAAGGCTGGGCAGGTAGCTCACAGGTGTGTTGAAATGGTGGAGACAGCACCAGGCTAGGATTGAGTCTCTTGGCTGCCACCTGTCTTCGTGACCTAAGAGTCTGTCATTCCAAGCGATGATACCGTAACTAAGGGCCCTACACACATAGCAAGGTCCTCATGAACCACCGAATGAGCCCCACTCCAGCAGAGGGGCGAAGAGGAAGAGGGAGCCGGTGGGGGGCAGGCTGTCTAAACCAAGCCGGGGTGTCTGCTTTGGGCTCCATACAGAGCTTCCATTTCCCCCTCTTCATGACGATGCTGCACCTGGCCGTGATCTTCCTCTTCTCCGCCCTGTCCAGGGCGCTGGTTCAGTGCTCCAGCCACAGGGCCCGTGTGGTGCTGAGCTGGGCCGACTACCTCAGAAGAGTGGCTCCCACAGGTAGGTGGGGGACCTCAGTGAGGGCAGAGCAGGAAGAGGGGCTGGGGAACCATAGGATGAGAACAAGAGAGACACCCGCATGTCTGGAAGCCAAGTCCCTCCCCTCTTCCTGCACTGTTCCTCCTCTGCCCTCTTGACCTGGCCTCCCACCACCCACGCTGCTGCCTCTTGTGCACTGCGTGCCTTCCCACTGCCCCACCACACACCCACAAAACCCCCCCTGCACCTGCGGCCCCGCAGCTCCCTCTCCTGCCAGCAGACACCGAGCCTGGAGTGCAGCCCTCAGGCCTGGAGATAAGTGGTGAGCAGGCAGGGTCCCTGCCCTCGCAGGGCTGTGACACGGACATGGAGGGCACTACGGAGCCCAGGGAGGGGACCAACCCAAGGCCGGGGCCCATGGCTGGTAGAGGAAGATTTCCTAGGCCAGGTGCCAAGTAGGCAGAGCCCTGAAGGATGCGTGGGACTGGTTGGCCCTGGGAGGAGGGGCCCTCGTGGCCCGAGGGAGATTTAGTGCCAGCTGTGGGGTCTGGAAGGGAACTCAAAGTGTTTCAGGATACTGAGAACCCGGTGCTGGCCAGAGGAAGTGGGAAAAATGAGAACTGAGAGGGTGGGCAGGGGTCATGTCCTGGAGGCCGGATTCCCCGTGGAGGAGTTTGTGTTCCATCCTGAGGGAAAAGGGTTTCCAGTAAGGGATCAACCAGATCAGGTTAATACCTCCGCTCAGGGGGCTCGCCGGAGTGTTTGTGGAAACCATACCGGCCCAGCCAGTTGGAATGGGCCCCAGCCCTAATGCTAGAGCAGCCCCCGACCTTTGGGGGCCAGATATTAACCCTTTAGTTGCTGGTGGAAAAGAAGGCCCAAGGGCCCCACAGGAGGCACCGGGATGGTTCAGAAGTGGGGGACACTCAGGTGCCTCAGGGTACCAGCCCACCCCAGCAGAGTGTGGACCTCCCAAGCTGTCCTGTGGGTGCCTGTGTCTTCACAGCTCTGGCGACGGCGCTTGACGTGGGCTTGTCCAACTGGAGCTTCCTGTATGTCACCGTCTCGCTGTGAGTACTGGCCATGCCCTGCTGCCTCCCTTCAGGCTGAAGCTGTCTGTCTGTCCAGCGGGGTGTCTGCACACCCGGCTGCTAGGCCAGCCACTCCACCACTCTGGGACCAGCCCTTGCTCTCTCAGCCTCTCCCTGGCACCCAGCAGCTCTCCGGGAAGTCGCCAGCCTCTTCCGTAAGCCCAGCGCAGAGGAGATGCTGTGCCCACCTGCCAGGCAGCGTGGGGAAGCCAGGGAGCTCTCCCAGAACCCCATCATCAGAGCAGGGGAAGGCAGGCTGCAAGGCCACAGACAGGTGGCCACTGGTGGGTGGTACACGCAGCCGCAGCAGAGCCCTATGTGGCCTGGGGGCTACACAAGAGTTTCTTCTTCCCTCTGATGTTTTGCTTCAGAGAGCACTGTTCCTGCCTTCTTGTCCTCCTACTTCTCATCCTTCCTTCCCGCTCCTGGGCTCTGCCGAGGGTTAGGTAAAGAACAGGACTCAGGGAGCTCAACGTCAGACCTGTAACCTCTTCTCTCTGGTGATAACCAGAGGCCTCTTAGTCAGAGATTCCTTCTGATTAAAGGTCGCTTATCACTCAGATGACAGCCCAGCTCTGTTTGGTCATTTCGCTCAGTGATTTGTGCTCCTGCTCCTTTCTCGGTGATGGGTCTGAGCCCTGAGCTCCAGCAGTGCATTGTGGGTAATTTTGCTTCCAGGTACACAATGACCAAATCCTCAGCTGTCCTCTTCATCTTGATCTTCTCTCTGATCTTCAAGCTGGAGGAGCTGGTGAGGCCCCAGCGTCTCTTGTGTCCTTCCTGCCCCCACAGATGCTAAGAATAAAGTGGGAGTCTGAGCAGTGGCTTGTCCTGCTGTGTGACAGAGGAGACAAGCCCAGTCCAGGTGGCAGTAGATCCCTTTCTGAGAAGGGACCTAGACATGGGCAATACTCAGAATATTTAGAAACCAGTGTGGCAGGGTAATGACCAAAGGTGAAAGCACTGCAGGATGAGGGTCCCAGCAGAGCTGGGTCTAGGAAGCACCCTGCTGTGGGAGGCAGTAGCCCTGTGTGTTAGGCCCAGGGAGGAGGTGGGACCACTTGGGGGCCTAGGACAGCCGTCAGTGTGGCAGAGCAAGCAGGGCTGTTGGCATACCAGCTGACCGTCAGCCCTACATGCTGACATTGGTGGGCAAGGACTGTCCAGGACCCCCTGGGATGGAGCTGAAGGGTGGAAGGATTTCTTGCCCCAGGGGCAGCCAAGATGGCTGCTGACCCCAGGCTCCAAATGTGATGAACCCTTGACCCTCAAGACCCCCGAGTTAGCTGCCACTGCTCCCCATCCTACCAGCGCGCGGCACTGGTCCTGGTGGTCCTCCTCATCGCCGGGGGTCTCTTCATGTTCACCTACAAGTCCACACAGTTCAACGTGGAGGGCTTCGCCTTGGTGCTGGGGGCCTCGTTCATCGGTGGCATTCGCTGGACCCTCACCCAGATGCTCCTGCAGAAGGCTGAACTCGGTGAGCACGTGCCACTCATCCTCCAGAGAGAGGAACCCCGGCACAGGCAGGGCGGAGGCAGGGCAGGGCCGGACCAGACCTGATGGTGCCTGTCCCCCGCCCTGCAGGCCTCCAGAATCCCATCGACACCATGTTCCACCTGCAGCCACTCATGTTCCTGGGGCTCTTCCCTCTCTTTGCTGTATTTGAAGGTACGTTGGGCCTTCCCTCTCAAGGGCACCTCAGTGCAGCAGACCACAGATCCTCGCCCTGAGCCCAACACAGTGGTAGCTGCAGAGATTATTGAGATCAAAGATGCAGTCCCTCCCCTGGAAGCGCATGGTTTGGGGTCCAGCATGATAAACGCTACAGAGAAAGCACATATAAAATTCAGGGAACAGTAACAGTAAGTGTGCACAGAGCCCTGAAAGTGCACCAGGGCTGTTCTGATCTTTTTAAACATAGGAACTCATTTCATCCTTCCAAAAACCTGGTGTGGCAGTACTATTATTATCCCCCATTTTGCAGGTAGAACAAAATGAGGCCCAGAGAAGTAAAGATAACTTGCCCAAGGTCCCATAGCTCGTAAATGAGCCAGAATTTGAAGCCAGCAGCCTGGCTCCAAGTGGTCCAGCCCTACTCTTAACCACCCTATCTTGCCTCTAAGGAATGGGGAATCAGGGATTGTTCCAAGATGCTGGAGTAATCAGGCAAGTCAGAAAGGCTTCCCAGGCCGTGGTTTGGAGGGTGAGTGGGATTTTGGCAGGCTGCAGGGAGCAAGGCATCTCGGAAGTAGGAATAGGAGGTTCAGCCATGTCCAGGAATATAACCTGGGGATGTGTGTTCAAGGAGTGTGGGCCACGCAGGATCAGCAGAGGGTGGGCTTCCAGAGCTGGGGGCTGAAGACCAGGAGCCAGCACACAGGAGCCTGGGGACATGGTCAGTTGTTCCTCCACTGTCGTCCTCCAGGGATGAGGAGAGCCCTGGAGAACTGTGTAGGCTGGGAGGTGTGACGCCACCTTCCTTTCTTTGATGTTTTGGGATTAGCCTTTGTCCCCTTTCTGTTTATCCTTCCTCCCAGAGTCCCGTCTGTAATGCCCTCAGGGTCATTACAGAAAATTCTGTCCCACATCCATTTAAGTTTCAAGCAGTGAAGCGTCTTGAACCTCCCCAAGAAAATTATTCTGAAGCCCCGTTGTCCAGGAAACTTCTGTTCAGGGCCTCGTTTTTTTTCCTTCTTTAAAATCTCTCCCCACTCCTTCATTATGCCCCCTTGTACCAAACGCCACACTCTCCCTCCCCTCCCGTGTGTTTACACCATGCCCCATCTCTGCAAAACCTCATCTGAAAGCCCCTGGTAGTCGTCACTTGGCAAAGCTGCATGGATTTAGCTCCTTTAATCTTTTCTGGTAAATTAATCCCCCAAGCGCCTTCATTACTTATGCTGCTCTTCCCCGAATTCCCTTCAATTTGCCGACGCCTTTGCAGTTCTGCTGAGCCCAGCACCAAACAAGATGTCCTACACTGTGAGGCTGTTTTGCCTGGGGGGACTGTCACTCGGCATTTCTTTGGTGCTTCCCTCCAAAAATCTCAAAATACTCGTCCAGCTTCCAGCTACCACAGTTGTCTCTTGTGCCCAGTTCTGGGCCCCCCTTCACCCTGTGCTAATACACCACGAGGACTTTCGTGTGGGAGGGACGCCGGGAGTCATTCTTCCAGATGGACAGTGTTGGAGGGACCATGACTCCTCCGAAAGTCTAAGCTGAATTTGGGGTAGGGGGTGTGCATGCCTGTGTTTCTGGAGCAAGGGGCCATGTGTTTGCATTTTCTTTTTGGGAAATGTTCATCAAGTGATACCACGGGTTGGAGAAATACCAGTCTGGTCCCAGGCCTCTCATTTTATCAGTAAGGAAACTGAGGTCCAGAAAGGGGACACATCTCAGCCCAAGTCCCACAGCTCTGTACTAGCAAGACCTAGATTAAAATGAACGTTTGTAGGGATAGAATTTTGTCCCTGTTTGTAGGTGAACTGGCTGAAATGTAGACCAAGGAGTTCCCTGAGTGGGCTGGGGCACTGTTGGTCCTTCGTCACTTGGTAGCCGCCCTACCTTCTTTAGCCCAGTAGTTACCACAGCTCCAAAGACCCCATGAAGTCAGCAGCCATGAGCCCCTCCCCACAGACCAGTAAGGGAATACTGTCCAAAGGTGCAGGGCACTTCCATCCGTCTTTCCATGCAGGGCCACCCCCCTCTACTTCACCCCAGAGGCTCAGACGAGCCCTCCCCATCATTCCGCTAGGATCCCCATCATCCCACTAGGATCTCCATCATCCCGCTAGGATCTCCTTCATCCCACTGGGATCTCCTTCATCCCGCTAGGATCCCATCATCATCCCACTAGGATCCCCATCATTCCACTAGGATCCCATCGTCATCCCGCTAGGATCCCATCGTCATCCCGCTAGGATCCCATCGTCATCCCGCTAGGATCCCATCATCATCCCGCTAGGATCCCATCATCCCGCTAGGATCCCCATCATCCCGCTAGGATCCCATCATCCTGCTAGGATCCCCATCATCCCGCTAGGGTCCCATCATCCCGCTAGGATCCGCATCATCCTGCTAGGATCTGGCTTGTATTGCCCCCAGGCGCTCTGGCAGCCATCACTGCTTCCCTGGTTTCCCCAGGTCTCAGGCCATCTGTGTGGGATCACTTTATACCTTCCATGCTTTTTCTCTGGGCTGCAGACAGTTAGCAGGTCTCAGTAAGAACTCACTACTACAGTGGAAGATCTTGTGTGGTTGGCATTGGGCTGGCCAAGGCAGCCCAGGACCCGGCCTCCCACTCTCTCTCCCTGTTGCTTTCAGGTCTCCATTTGTCCACATCTGAGAAAATCTTCCGTTTCCAGGACACAGGGCTGCTCCTGCGGGTACTTGGGAGCCTCTTCCTTGGCGGGATTCTCGCCTTTGGTTTGGGCTTCTCTGAGTTCCTCCTGGTCTCCAGAACCTCCAGCCTCACTCTCTCCATTGCCGGCATTTTTAAGGTACAGACTCGGGCGTGATGCCAGTCCTGTCTTAGAGAGGGAGCCCCCAGGGGTTTCTCACCAGCAGCTTCAGTCCCAGCTCCTGCACCCCAGGGCCCTGCAGAGAAGAGAAGGAAGTGCCCCATTAGGTGCCAGGCACTTTGCTGAGTGCTGTGCTGGCCCCTCCTTCTGCCTTGACCACAGCCCTGTGAGAGGGTATGATCACTCCCATCCCACAGACAGGGACACAGATGGAGAGCCGCCCCTCCCCAAGGGCACAGCAGGGGCCTCAAAGCCAGCTCTGACTCTGCTAGGCCTGGAATGCATTCACATTTTACCTTGACTGCCAACTCTGGCACTGGGCAGTGGCCTGGAGCCACAGGTTGAACAGCCCCTATCCAGACTCATCAGGAAAGAGTTCCGTGATTGACTGGCGGTGTCCTCCAAGGCCATGGCCAGGGCTAGTGAGACCCTGAGAAAGCACCCCTGTGGCCAGCCTTGCTGTACCTCTGCCTCGCAGGCCTGTCCTTCCCTCTCATACCTCTTCTCACTTCTCCTTCTCCCTCCCACACATTTCAACAGTCCTCCCTGTTCAGGGGCAGGGAGGGACTTTTCTCTTTGGCCAGGCACACACCAGTGTTGAAGCAGTGTTGCCTAAACCCAGAAATGCAGGCCTGTCCAAGGGTCTTCTGGTGGCCAGCCGCATGCTGAGGCATGGCTGTGGTTCTTGGATGAACGGCCTTGCCAGTCCTGTTTGGAGTCTCTGTTTATAGAGAGCCCCGGGACCAGTTGTGTCTTCAGTCCGGGGTAACACAGCATTCTCACACATAGGCTCAGGGCTCTCTTCTGTGGCTGCCTTCTGGGGCAGCCGTCCTTTATCCTTGTGGATAAGGCGCGATCTGGACACCCTGGTCCCCAGCCTGGGATCTGGTTTGCCTCTTTTATTCCTGACAGAATTCCATGACAAGCACCTCCTTTGTTGCATCTCACAAAAGGAGGCTGGCGGGACAGCGCCGCAAGCCGGCCGGGTCCCCTGACCTCTCTGCCTGCCTGGGCCCAGGATTTCAGTAAGATCTTGATCTGCCCACCTGAGTGTACCTAGTGCCCCCACCTTCCACCCTCCTGGTCAAGCAGCCAAATCTGCCTGTTGATCATGCTCCCTCCTGCTTCTCTGCCCCCAGGAAGTCTGCACTTTGCTGTTGGCAGCTCATCTGCTGGGCGATCAGATCAGCCTCCTGAACTGGCTGGGCTTCGCCCTCTGCCTCTCGGGAATATCCCTCCACGTTGCCCTCAAAGCCCTGCATTCCAGAGGTAACCCAGAGTCCCTTCCAGAAGCCTCTGTTTTCTGTTCTTCTCCCTGTGACTCTTAGTGATTCTGATGCAGGAAGTGTGCCCGGTGGCTCTGCTGCCGTCACTCCTCTAGGAAGATGTGGGGGTCATCTCCAGAGTGGGTGGGTGGGGCCTGGGTGACTCAGCACACATGCAAATCAGAGCAAACCAAGAAAACCACGACTGGGCCTGTAACTGTGGTCTCTCTCTATCCCAAGGTGATGGTGGCCCCAAGGCCTTGAAGGGGCTGGGCTCCAGCCCCGACCTGGAGCTGCTGCTCCGGAGCAGCCAGCGGGAGGAAGGTGACAATGAGGAGGAGGAGTACTTTGTGGCCCAGGGGCAGCAGTGACCAGCCAGGGCAAATGGCTTAGAAGCAGGCCACTCCCCAGCCTGCTGCCAGCACTCACTGTGCTCAAGCCGCCAGGGCTCATCATGGTAGCTGGGAGCTGTGGACGGGAGTCACCAGGTGGTGGGGCCAAGCCAGGGACTCATGACTTTTGCCCCTCCCTTCAGAGCCTGGTCACACAAGGGGCGAGCACCAGGCCAGCCTGGGACTGGCCAGAGCTGGGCCCAAGCTGCGCTGGAATCGCAGCAGGAGAGGGGAGTGGGCTGGTTCTTCCCACCACTTCCCAGGCTCTGACAGCCGAGACTCATTTCCAAGGCACAGCAGCTTTCTAAAGGGACTGAGTTTGGACTGGGTTTTGGACCTCCAGGGGCTGGAGCTTCATCACCTGGGCAGTGTCTTTTCTCAGAGAGCAGGTTTCTTTATAGTTTGGAAATAAATGGTTCACGGTCCACTGGCCGCCTTGTGTTGCTGGAGACGTGGGGGCAGGGAGGGGACAGTGTGGGCCTGGCCTCTCCTTTCCTTTCCCTGCCTGGAGCCTTCTTCAAATGTCTGGTCTTAAGCCAGGCCTCCTTCATTTTCTCGCTCCTGTTAGAACACCAGTCCCCTCCCCAGTGGGGCCCCACTGCACCTGCTGGCAGGAAATAAATGAATGTTTACTGAGTACTGCATTCTGGAGACCTTACATGTTTTCACAGCCTAGTTTGAATACTGGCTTTGTCACTAGCTGTGTGACCCTAAGCAAATGACCTAACCTGTCTGTGCCGTAGTTTTTTAATCTGTGAAATGGGGATAATGTCTATCTCAGAGTCCTTTTGAAGATTGAGTCATTATTAGTAACAGATTAAATGTTATATAAGCATTTCTTTTAATCCTTTTAACAACTAAGAGACTAAAGCCTGGAAAAGATAAAGAGCTGCTTAAGTGGCCGGGCTGAGGTTCACATCCAAGTCTGTGTACGTCTGTGTGTGCACGTGCTGCACGTGACATCCACACAGCCTCCTGGAACTTCATGGGCCCCTGGGGCTTGGGCTTTCCACTCCTCCTTGGCCAAGTCCCACGTCTTCTCTAGACTGCAGGCCTCTCTCAAATGAGGAAGGGAGGGGGCAAGACCCCAGCTCTGATGTGCTGTGGACTGAGTCTACTCCTGTAAACTGGTTCCCGGGCCATGGGAGACCCCCCCGGCCCTTGGGGACAAAGCTTTCCAGGCGAAGTGCTCCTAGGCACTCACAGCAGGTGGCGCCATTGCACCACACTGGCTCCCAGAGCCCAGCTGCCCTGCCACGGCTATCCAGACACCGGCAGAAAAGGGGTGCTTGGAAGAGGACAGTGGGTATCCATGGGTGGGGACAAGGATAGGGCTTGTTCTAAAATTGTTTCCATCAGGTTGGAGTCACTAAAGCTCGTTCGGTTAAGCCCAGGAGAACTTTAATACTTTAAAAATGGGTCTGCAAACTTCCTGTAAAGGGCCAGATAGTAAATATTTGGGGTTTGGGGACCATATGGCGTCTGTTGCAGCTACTCTGCCATCGTAGCACAAAAGCAGCCATAGATGACACAGACCCAGGGTGTGGCTGTCCCAGTGAAACCCCATTTACAAAAGTAGGATCCAGCTTGCTGGCTGAAGTTTACCAGCAGGAGAACCCTCAAGAATTCTCGAGTCCAACTTCCACTTCTGCAGCAGGAGACTGAAGCCAGGAGGGGGCGGTGACTAGCCCGAGGCCCTCAGAGCCTCCGTGCTCAGGAGTCAGACCGAGATCTGCCTCTAATTCAGATTCCCAGCACAGACTCAGCAGGCGGAGGTGGAGCACCAAGGGCGCTTGGAAGCGGCCTCTTATCTGGCTCCTGCACCTCTGCCCCCCTTGGATTCCGCAAGCTCAGAGGCCAAGATTAAAGGAGGCTCGTGCTCCAGCTGGATGATGTGGGAAGAGCCAGCCAAGGAGGGGGGCCAGGGCCTCCTCCGTCTTAGAGGCTGCTTGGGATGCAGGCTGCTTGGGCGGCAGGGGGAGTCTGCCAGAGCCCCGCTGGCTCAGGTGGATGAGAGCTTCCTGTCTGCTCCCCCACTGCCCGCCTCCCAGCACAGGGAGCAAGCGTTGCTGTCTGGTGCAGTAATTACAAGGTGCAGAGCGGGGGCCCTTACCTCGCACATGTTGGGTTCAATGACAGCCCTTCATTTAGCAGCAATTACCAGCTGAACCTAAAGGAGGGCTCCCTCTCCTCCCCCACCCAGCCCACCCAATCGCCTGGCCTCCCAGGCCAGACAGCGTCCACCTCGGCATTGAGCCCTAGAACCACCCATGCTGTCTGCAGCCATTGCATCTCAGGGCTGCAGCATCACCATGGCAACGCGGTGCTTGCACAGGTTGAGGGGAAGCTGAGGATGTGACTTGTCTCTCCAAGGCTGTGGTGTCTGTCCCCACACAGCCCCAGCTCCGAGGCTTCTGCAGAAGGGGCGGAGAGAGGACTGACCTGCAGGTTCGAGTTTCAAGTGCTTACCTGCCCACCACCTCTCCCAGGGGCCCACAGTGGAAGGAAGGTTAATGGCTCCAATATGTGAGGACGTCCACAGTTGGTGTTGTGGTGGCGGTGAGAATGGGCTGCAGTTTGCCTGTGGGAGGGACCTGAGCCATCAGGCAGGGCCCGGCATACCTTCATCTTCACTCCGGTACCCTTTTCTGCCTTGAGGGCTCAAGGGATTGTCTCCATCTGTTTCTGCTTTATCCTGCTGTGAAAAACCTGAAAATCCCAGTGGCTTGAGAGTAGTTACATGGCACCAAGAGAATTCTCCTCATGGTACTTGCTGCAGCTTCCTGCATCACACACTAGTGATGGACTGAGGGTGGGGACTCCCAGGCCATCCATTTAGGTCGACAGCATTCAGTGAGTACTGGCTACATGGCAGACACTGCCGGACTTGGGGACAGAGACATTCATTTTTGGAGTCAGCCTTCCTCCCAGCCCAGGAAAGTGATGAGGCAGTGGGCTGGGGAATGGGGAAGAAAGAACAGAAAAGACCGTTCACTGGGCACCATCTAGGCCTTTGCCATAGGTTATTTAATCTGTAACAGCCCGGTGCAGTAAGGACTGATTGTATTTCTTTCCTAGCTGTGGAAACTAAGTTCCAAGTGGTTAAGCATAACGATGGCTAAGGATACAACCTGCAGACGCCGTAGAGTGAGAGACGTGTCTCTCTTTGCTGTGATTAGCTGCGTGCTTTTGGACACGTTGCTGATCTTCTCCGAGCCTGTTTCCTTGTCTCTACAGAAGGAATAATAATACATACACCTGAAGGAAGCTACTGTGAAGGTGAAATAAAATAATGTAGGTAAAGCACACAGTGCTCGGCTCATAGTCATCACCACTCAGGAAATGGAGCAGGAAGGACGTCACATAACTCGCCCAGATGAGAGGAGGAGCCAGCGTTGGAGCTCTGGCCTTCCAAGATCCCCATCTCTGCTGCAGTGTCTGGTACTGAGCATGCACTTAACAGATGCTTTTTTTTTTTTTTTTTTGACATGGAGTTTTTGCTCTTATTGCCCAGGCTGGAGTGCAATGGCACGATCTTGGCTCGCTGCAACCTCCACCTCCCGGGTTCAAGTGATTCTCCTGTCTCAGCTTCCCAAGTAGCTGGGATTACAGGCACCCACCACCATGCCTGGCTAATTTTTTGTATGTTTAGTACAGGGAGCTCTAAAGCTGAGATGCCTTTCAGAGTTGTCCCAAGTTGGGGTGAGAGGTTCATGGCTTTACGCCACAGCATTTTTTGTATTTTTAGTATTTTGTATTTTTGTATTTCAGTACATGTTGGCCAGGCCGGTCTTGAACTCCTGACCTCAGGTAATCCACCTGCCTTGACCTCCCAAAGTGCTGGGATTACAGGTGTGAGCCATCGCACCCGGCCCAGATGCTTGTTTTTTGAAGGAATTTCCACTAGCGGAAACTAAAGTGGGGATTTTACAGGTTCTAACTTCCAAATGACTTGCCCTGTAAGAAGGGGCTGCTCCCTCCCACCACCGCCCATTCCTGCCAGCCTCCGGTCTCCCAGCCATCCCATGGAGTTTTCACCCTAACTGCACAGCCCTGACATCAGCCACGTCCCTTCACCCCTGCTTTGTAGTAACCAATTAGCTTAACGTCTGTTCCCATGGTTATTTAGTTTCGTTGGCAACTAACATACTTCCCAGAAACAGGCCAGCATCTCCCAGTCCCACCACCATCCTGCTGGTGGGGCCGTCCTCTTCTGGATGTCAGATGAGAACTCTCCTGCTGGGGAACAACAGAAGGACAGAACATAGAACCAGAGGAAAATGCATTCAAATGCATTCCATCAGTGTTTCTGGACAGTCTACAATGTGCCCTGGCCGGTGATCGCTGCTGGAGATATCGAAGTCATTAAAACATGGTCTCTGTCCTCAAGGAACTTCTGTAGGGCTTTTTATTTTATTTTATTTTATTTTATTTTATTTTATTTTATTTATTAGAGATGGGGTCTTCCTCTGTCTTCCAGGGTGGAGTGCAGTGGCACAATCATAGCTTACTGCTACCTTGACCTCCTGGGCTCAAGTGATCCTCCCACCTTAGCCTCCTGAGTTGCTGGGACTGCAGGCTTGTGCCACCATGCCTGGCTTCTGCAGGGCTTTTTAATCCAGTGGATTCCCTGGGAATTAGATTCAGAGATGGAGATTAGAGTGCAGGACATTTATTAGAAAGTGGTCTTGGAAAAATTACCTGTGGAAAGGAGAAGGCGGCAGGTTAGGGCAGAGGGGAAGTTGAGCTTCAAGGCAGTCCTACCAAAAGCCTCAGCCAACCCCATGGGGAACTCTAAAGCTGAGATACCTTTCAGAGTTGTCCCGAGTTGGGGTGAGAGGCTCATGGCCTTACACCACAGCATTGACCTGTCATTGGAAGTGAGCCTGCCCCTGGAAGGAGATGTGACTTTGGGTAAGGCAGTTTCTTCAAGACAAACCCCAAAGAAGGATGACTGCCGGACTCCCAGCAACTGAGGAAATAAGTCCTTCACTCCCAACCGGAGACCTGAACACCACATCACAGTGTCTACCACAACCAGGGTCCACAGTCTGGCTTCAGGGATGACCAGGGATCTCTGAAGAGGAAAGCAGCATCCAGCATGTGTGTGCATTTACATGTTTTTCTGGGAGACAGTGTCCTTGACCCCCAAAAGATTAAGAATCATTGGTCTATGGAAAGCCAGACTCATTCAAAACCGTGTGATCAGAGATGTACATGGTAGTTGTTCAACAAATATAAAAGGACGGATGGATGGATAATCGATGGATGGGTTGGTGGATGGCTGGATGGGTGGATGGACAGTTAGGTAGATGGATGGAGGGGTAGATGGATGAAGGATGGATGGATGGATGGATGGAGAGATGGATAATGGATGGATAGATGGATAGGTTGATGGATGGATGGGTAGATATATGATGGATGGATGAATGGGTGGGTGGATGGATGGATGGATGGATGATGGATGAATGGATGGTAGATGGATAGGTGGATGGATGGGTAGATGGATGATGGATGGATGGTGGATGGACAGATGCCATAATAGTTGAATGTATGGGAGCCACAGGAAAGGGAGCAACCGTCTGGGTCAGGAGGAGAGCAGACTTCCAGGAAGAGCTGACCCTTTTGAATTGAGTCTTGAAGACTAAATAGAAGTTTGCTAAGCAGACAAAAGAGGCGTACCTTGCAAGGGGAAAGCAGATGCGAAGGTGCAGAGATGTGCGTGAGCTTGAGGTTGGTGTGTTTGGCTGCTGTAACAATTTGTTCACCCGTGGCTGGCCAGAGGTGCACATGGGGAAAGAGGAGGGGGAGCGGGGCTACTGATCCATCTTTGAAAAGAGGAGGTATCCTGATAGGATTGTTCCATCATGTTATTTTGAACAAGTAAGTAGATCCTCTCCCCGCCCCCTAACAGTCAACAGTGGTATCTCTAGCATGAGGAGGGGGAAGAGGGAGGTCCTAAAATAATTTCATGCGAGTAAAGAGCATTGGGTCATTTACCACATCCTTTTCCATGCTTGAGCTCCTTAGTCCTGCAATCCACCCTGGGAAGCTGTTGGTTCTGAACAGCCCTGCTTTCCAGATATGAAACAGGCTCAGAGAGGCCAAGTGACTTGCCCAAGGTCACTCAGCTCTTTAGCCACCAAGCAGACAGCCCTATAGCCCAGCAGGGGCTTACACCTCCCAGAGCTCAGCAGCCCTGTGGTTGGGATGGCAGGCAGCCTCACTACCCTCCTGAGATTAGGTTACTCTGGCTAGGGACAGAAAAGGTGGCCCACTGTAGGGGGCCCAGGGCCTGGCGGCATCCTGCTGGCAATATTTTGCTTTGCGAGGAATCCCCCACTGAGCCCAAGCCTCCCATCCTGTTCCTGGGCTGCCCCATGAATTAAACATGCCCCCATGGTTAACTCAGTAATGCTTTTATTAATAGTTAATTACTCAACGTGCACTGGGGAAATGAGACTCACTCAGGCCTCGTAAATTAAGGCAGTGATCTCGTGAAGGAAGCCAATGGGAGTTCATTACCCCAGCCCCTTCCGACATTGTACCTCTGGGCTTGCCATTTAGCGGTGCTAAACGAGATGCGCTGGCGGGGGCAGGAAGGGGGGACGCGGGGACAGGAGCCTTCTGCAGGGGGAGGTGGGAACTGGAGGATGAGTGTCCACCAGTTTCCTGGGAGAGAAAGGGCCCTAGGAGATGGGGCGGAAGCATCAGCTAGGAAATGTGATCCCTGCACCTTGGCAGCTTGTCATCTGCCTGTGTTTCCTGTCACTGCTAGGGACTCGGCACAACCTCCAGGGATTCCCAGATGGGGCAAGGCCATCTGTCTCAGGTGTGGGACTCCCTCACCCCGTCTGGGCCTGGAACCGGCCCTGCCCCAGCCTCTGCTGGTGGCGTCCCCCCTCGTGCAGCCCTTCAAGCCCTGGGTAGGGAAGAGCAGATCCCTCCTCAGAGTCCAGGGCCCTGGCCTCCCCTACCCCTGCTCTCTCATTTCACAAATGTCGAGACTTCCCCTTCTAGTTTTTGTTGTGTCTGAAGCCAATTTCCCATCCTGACTGTGCTGCCGAGCTGGATAAGGGGCTTGCGCTAACCTGGTTTCGTTTTTCTAAATTTACCTTTCTCCCAGGTTTTGTTTCCCAGGAGACAGAATCCCCTCTATTTATCTTCCTAGGAGAAGACAGCCAATGTCCGCTTTGAACCTACTATGTGCCAGGACCTGTCCCTGTGGGTTATGTTCGTTGGCTTTAGTTTCTAGCCATGTGACTCCACCTCCCGGGGTGTCTGTTTCTTCATCTGAAAATGGAGATGATCATAGGACCTGAGTCTGGAGTCACTGTGATGATTAAACGGAGTGGTTAGACACTGCCCAAAACATGTCAGCTCTCTCTACGGGGCAGCTGTCATTACTTGCTTCTTCACAACAGTGCTGCCAGCTGGAGACCGTCCCCATTCTACAGATAAGCAAAGTGAGGATTTAAATACCTTCTTTGAACTTGCCTAAGGACACACAACCCAGAACTTCATGTTGCCAAAGTTTATCATGTTCCTTCCTTAGAGGCGAAGTGGGGCACCGATCCCCACTCTAGGAGGGCACACTGGCCAAGCCTGGGAGCCAGGAGAGATCTGCCCATCTGTCCTTGAGTCACAGGGTCTCACCAAGGCAGTGTAGGATGAGACGCAAGGCCCTGCAGTTGGGCTGGCCCAGGTCCAAATCCTGCCATACCCACTGGTCATCACTTTAACCCCTGGAACCTCAGTTTCCACTTCTGGAGGAATGGGCTTGAGGTAGCACCTGGCTCCGTGGGCGGCCATCAGGGCTTCCGTTTGGAAGTGCCTGACATCTCGTAGTCAGCTTTCAGAGCTCTCTGCACCTGGGCTGCTTTATCTGTAACTGGGGATAACAAAAAACGTCTCTTGCTGGATTGTGGAAGACCCTACAGAGATAAAGGGCACCAATCTGCCTTTTGAGCAGGCAAATGTAAAACAGGTGAGCTGCTGGTGCAGAGGTCAAGGCCCCTCAAAAACAGTTTAGCAGAGCTGCTGGGGGTTAAACACTGCCTGGGTGGATGAGGTGACTGCTGGCTTGATGAGGGCTCTCATGGGTCCGTGATGCAGAGGGTTGGGGACGGATCACCACCCAATGTCCTCCTCAGCTCCCAGCTGCTTTGCCAGGCAGAGGTCAGCCTCTCAGCTGTGACTCCCCAGGACTGCCAGAGCCACAAGCGGGCAAGAAGTCTGGGGTGGGAGATTGAAGCCTCCCCGGTTAGGGAGCACAAGTCGTGAAGGAGTGCGGCTCGGGGTTCATATATAATATGTAGCATCAGATTTAAATGTCACTGCTGCAGGCGGCTGACCCGGGTCCAACACAATGGGCCGCAAGGGGCAGCGCCACCGCCTCTTCATCTTCCTGGCGGTAGCTGACCAAAGGGAGGGAGATTTGGTTTCTTAAAAAACTAAACAGTTGTTGAGCACTCTGGCGTTGCCTGGGCAACAACTGAGGGGGAGAGAGAAGCATCTTATTGTTTAAAGTTATTCTTGCTCGATTTCAAAGGGCTGCTCTGAAAAGACCACATTCTCCAAGCAGCGTGGCTGGTCCTCTCCGCCGTCCCCGCCATGCCATCCCAGCTCCTGCCCTCCCTCAGCCCCCATCCCCACTTCCCAGCCTGAGGCTGCAAAAGGGGTTGTAGCTGTGCTGGACATCAGGGCGCTGGAGACAGCCTCCCTCATGCGCTCTGTGCGTTCATCCGCAGGGCAAGCAGAAACACAGAGACAACACGCCGTGCTACTGCAGCCACCCCCGACCTGGACATGTGGGCACAGGGGCACTGTGGTGCTTGGTGACTTAGGGGTCAGCTCAGCACAAGTGCCTGAACTTGGGAGTGGGCAGGGAGGGACGGGGGTGTCTCCATCATGTATGTTCCAAATGTGAACATCTTGGTTTTCAAGCCCAGACGGGGGCAAGGAGAAGGTGGCCGTGTCAGGTCATTACTCAGGGGCAGTGGCTGAGTGCAGCCCCATGATCCCTCAAGAGCATGCCAAGTGGCCTGTTGTCTGCACCCCTCTGCCCCTCCTGCAACGCTGTATTGGAATTGTTTATTCATCTCTCTTACCCACGAGACTGTTAGCTCCCTGACAGCAGGGCTGCGTCTATTCATCTCTGTGTATTCTAACAAGCTGCCTCAAATCCTTTCAGGAGCAAGGCAAATTCTGAAGATCCGAATGAGATGTACATATATTGTTAATTAAAAACATTTAGAGGGTGAAAACATACACATGATACAGAATTCAGAAGATTCAAAAGGAATAAAAACCCATGTGTCCTGGTGCTGAGTTTCCCTCCATAGGGGCACTCCTAGTTCCCAGCATCTGGTGGATTCTTCTAGAGATATTCTGCTTATATAGACACAGATGGGCCTAAAATAAGATATATTGGCCGAGTGCGGTGGCTCACGCCTGTAATCCCAGCACTTTGGGAGGCCGAGGCAGGTTGATCACTTGAGGTCAGGAGTTCAAGACCAGCCTGGCCAATATGGCAAAACCCCCGTCTCTACTAAAAAATACAAAAATTAGCTGGGTGTGGTGGCACACGCCTGTAACCCAGCTACTGAGGAGGCTGAGGCAAGAGAATTGCTTGAACCTGGGAGGCAGAGGCTGCAGTGAGCCAAGATCAAACCATTGCACTCCAGCCTTGGCAACAGAGTGAGACTCAAAAAAAAAATATGTTATTCATACCTCCAGCCCCCCATCTAGCACGGGGCCCAGTGCATAGTAGGTGCTCAATAAAAGCATGTTGAATGGATGCATGCCCAGATGAACAGAAGTGGATGAAGGATGGGTGGGTGGGAGGGTCAGTGGTAGATGGGTAAATAGACGCAGCTCTTAAACTATTAGTTCTCTTTTCTTTTTTTTTTGAGATGGAGTCTCGCTCTTTTGCCCAGGCTGGACTGCAGTGGCGCTATCTCTGCTCACTGCAACCTCCGCCTCCCGGGTTCATGCCATTCTCCTGCCTCAGCCTCCCGAGTAGCTGGGACTACAGGTGCCCGCCACCACGCCCAGCTAATTTTTTGTATTTTTAGTAGAGATGGGATTTCACCGTGTTAGCCAGGATGGTCTCGATCTCCTGACCTCGGATCTGCCCGCCTCAGCCTCCCAAAGTGCTGGGATTACAGGTGTGAGCCACCGCCCCCGGCCTATTAGTTCTCTTTTCTTACAGATATATGGATTCCCCGAAAAGAAATTACTTGAGACAAAGACGGCAGACCCGGAATTAGACACAATGAGTCTGGGGGGCTATGTTATTCTGAGGGAGATGTCCAATAAGCAGTTAAATTTGTAGTTGTACCCGGTGGGAATTTTATTCTACTGCTAATAACAAAACCTAATTAGAATTTTTTGACTCCATAAAGCCCCACCTTGATATCAAGAATATCAGGGTCAAGGTCACTGTGATTTCCTCATGGTCCCAAAATGCTTTTGGGGAAAGTGACCTTCAACCATCCTGTTCATGTTCCAGGGAGGAAAAAGAGGGGCAAAAGAAGGAGTCAGCTTCCTATAAAAAGCCTGTTCCTGGAAACCCCACCAGATGACAGCTCCAGTATCTCCAAAGCAACCCGTCACTGCAGAGGAGGCTGGGAGAATTGGCCTCTGAGCTGGGCACATTGCTCCCCCAGGTAATATTGGGGGCTATTAGTAAGGAAATGGAAAAAGAGGAGGCTACTAGCAGTTTTTGCCACATGGGTGAAGAATCCAGGGAGAGAGCTGGCTGGAGGATGGAGATGGCAGGAAAGCGAGTTCCAGGAGTGGCATAAGCCAAAGCAGAAGGGTGAAAGTTAATGGCTCTTTTAGTTCCTCATAAGCTCTGCAGGCTCCAGTCTCAAGATGCATCCTGAATGGGGCCACTTCTCCAGTCTCAGCCTGCTCCAAGCCACGTGATCTTTCACTGGATGCTGCAGACCCCTAGCTCCTGGTCTTCCTGCTTCCCCTCCTACCCACTACTCAGTGCCCCATTCTCTGCCCCACAGCCAAAGGGATCCTTCTAATTGAGAAATCTGAATGCATCACGCCTGACTCAGAACCCTTCCGTAGCATCCCACCTTGCTGGGAATACAATCCCGAGTCCTCACCAAAGCCAGACCTTACATCATGTGTGGTCCATGCGCCTCTCTGTCTTCTCCCTTCGCTGGTCACTTTGTTCCAGCCACCTTGGCCTCATTGTTCCTTCTTACCCCAGAGCCCTTAGACTTGCTGTTCCCTCTGCCTGCAATGAATTTGACTCAAATCTTCGCATGGCAGCTCCTTTGCCCACTTTATGTTGCTGATCAAATACCACCTCCCCGGAGAGGCTTCCTTGACCACTCCAGCTAAAAACCCGCCCCTCCTCCCCATCCATCTCCACTCCAGGAGTTAATGCATCTGGGGCCATGGACCCCTTGGCCCTGGTGAAGCCCTTCTCAGAATAATGATTTTAAAGGCATAGACGAAAATACATAGATTTATCAAGGCAGCCAATTATATAGAAATCGTTTTCAAAATATTTACAAAACAAATGAGTGATACAGTACTAGATGCACTTCTTTATTAATGCATTAAATAACAAGATCTCGTGGCAGTTCTATTAACCACAACAATTTTGAAGCAGTGATGAGTGTCAATGATGTTTCAAAATGTATGCAACAACTGTAATGTGATAGGAAATATCTGATTTCTGTTGGTGACAAAGTCACAGGCACTGCTAATACTACCGTGGTATGTTGCCAACATTTATAATTGAAGAAAAATGCGATATTTTAGTTACAGGTTAGTGAGATAAAAATATAATTTTTTTCCTCCTCTAACTTCACTGACCCCCTGAATTCTATCTCTAGATGCCTTGGGGCAGGGGGAGGGTCTGGTTCTTTTTTTTTTTTTTTTATAAGTCCCTTTCACTACCCAACATCATACATTTATTCGTCAACTTGCTTTCTGTCAATTTTTCCCAGAAGAGCAGAGATTTTATCTGTTCTGTTCTCTGCTGTATTTTCAGGACCTAGAACATCTGCCAGGCACATAGTTGATCAACAAATATTTTTTAAATAAATGAATAAGCAATAGAGGAGGCTGGAAAGACAGGGAGGCTTGAGGCAGATGCGAGGGGCCTTGAAAGCCAAGCACAGGAGCTCGGCTGTGACTGGTGGTGATGGACTCACCCTGGGAGGGGACGCCAGCCTGGGAGAGGTCACTGTGCCCAGGGCAGCCAGGCTAATAGGTGGCGTGACTGGGGGCGTGAGCAGACTGGCTGTGACCACCTTCCAAAGGCAGCTTTCAGAGGGAGGCCCAGGCACACACGAGTCCCTGCATCAGCTGTGGATGTCGGCAGCCACTCCACTCCCTGCTCTCCCCGCTCCTCCTCTGGTCCCTTGGAGGTCAAGCAGAAACTTGGAGAAGCCAGGCTTACAGCCCTGTCATCATTCTTCAGCGTTTCCCAGGCAGTAATAGTGTGCCAGGCACCAAGGGCAGGGCCCACGGGGCTCTGGGGAAGGAGAGCCCCAGAGGTCATGATGCACCGCGGGGACGTCTCCACGGCAGCTATTGCAGACAGACCCAGTGTGTTGGACCCAGGAGCCACAGGTCACCCCTCCCCAACTGGGGCTGGATATTCAGGGCCACGAAGGAGAAGCCAGGGAAATAGCCAGCTTCTGGGATCAGACCCACTTGGGTGGAATTTCAGCTTGGCTGCTTGTTTACTAATTGCATGCGGTTGAGCAGGTCACATAACCACTCCAAGCCTTGGTCTCCTTTTTTTTTTCCTCGAGACAGGGTGTCACTCTGTCTCCCATGCTAGAGTGCAGTGGCGCAATCTTGACCCACTGCAGCCTCAACTTCCAGGGCTTAAGCGATCCTTCCACTCAGCCTCCCAGGTAGCTGGGACTACAGGCATGCACCACCAGGCCTGCCTAATTTTGTAGCTTTTTGTAGAGCCAGGGTCTCCCTATGTTGCCCAGGCCGGTCTATAACTCCTGGACTCAAGTGATCCTCCTACCTGAGCTTTCCAAAGCACTGGGATTACAGGTGTGAGCCACCGCGCCCAGCTCAGTGTCCCTTTCTAAAATGAGAGTGGTTTTTTCTACATCATAGATTTTGGGTGAGGATTTAATGTGGGAAAATAACAGATCTAAAGCAGCCAGCTCAATGCCAGATGCATGGTAGATGCTCAACAAATGGTTGCCCTTGTCCTTGTGAAAATAGCAAAATGACTTGACAAGGAGGCCAGTAGTCCTCTGAAGCCAGCATCCCTGCATAACCTGCCTCAACACCCTGCCCAAAACGGAGTAGGGGGAGAATAAGGTGGTAACCTGGGAGCCAATAAGCTGGGAATGAAGAGAAAAGACATGTTTTGGAACCATGTCTGGATTCAAATCCCAAGCTCTGCAGTTTACAGCTGTGTGACCTCAGGTAAACCACATCACCTCTCTGAACCTCACTTTTCTTTTTCATAAAACAAAGGTAATCCCTTCTTCTCACAGTGCTGTGAGGGTTACTGGACAAGTGTGCACAGAATGTGTGAAAGACCTCTGGGACAGGCCCTGACCCGAGGTCAGCACTCAGTCAACAGCAGCTTGGAATACGTGATCACAGCCCAGCCCAGAGAGGGAACCAAGGAGGATACAGATCATAGGATTAATCCCTTGCATTTGTCAAGTGTTTCACACTGTGGAAGGAGCACTCACTCACAACCGTCTTTGCATCTGAGCCTCACTTCAGCACTTTAGGAATGAGAGGATGGAGAGTTTTTAACTTTTAAGTTCAGGGGTTACAAGTGCAGATTTGTTGTATAGGTAAACCCATGTCTTGAGGGTTTGTTGTACAGATTATTTTGTCACCCAGATACTAAGCCTAGCACCTATTAGTTATTTTCCCCTGCTCCTGTCCCTCCTCCCACCCTCCACCCTCCAACAGGCCCCAGTATGTGTTGTTCCCCCTTTGGGTCCATGTGTTCTCATCATTTAGCTCCCACTTGTAAGTAAGAACATGCAGTATTTGGTTTTCTGGTCCTGCGTTAGTCTGCTAAGGATGATGGCCTTCAGTTCCATCCGTATCTCTGCAAAGGACATGATCTCGTTCCTTTTTTATGGCTGAAGTACCGAGAGTTTAATTTTTTTTTTTTTTTTTTTTTTGAGACGGAGTTTCACTCTGCTGCTCAGGCTGGAGTGCAGTGGAGCGATCTTGGCTCACTGCAACCTCCGTCTCCCGGGTTCAAGCGATTCTCCTGCCTCAGCCTCCCAAGGAGCTAGGATTACAAGTGTGCACCACCATGCCCGGCTAATTTTTGTATTTTTAGTAGAGACGGAGTTTCACCATGTTGGCCAGGCTAGTTTCGAACTCCTGACCTCAGGTGATTCACCCGCCTTGGCCTCCCAAAGTGCTGGGATTACAGGCGTGAGCCACCATATCTGGTCCTTGATCTACATTTGACAAAAGAGACACAGAGCTGTGGTGGCACTGGACTCTCAGAAGCAATCTGCTCAAAGGTCACCAGCCAGTAAGGTTTGGGGCAGGATATGAAGCCAATTATCTCCTTTCCTGTCTCTTTTCAAAATAGACACTCATTCATTCACTCAAGAGATGGTCCCAAGCTAAGCCCCAGGGAACTGGCAATAAATAAGGTAGACATAGCACCTGCCCTCAAGGAACTTCGAGTCCCGTGGACTCAGGATGCTCCCCCCACACTTCACCGATTTGAAGGGAGACCTATTTTTGCTAGATTTTCCTTCAAAGAAGGAAGGCAAGATCTAGCAATCTTGCCCACTCGCAATCTTGCATCACTTGCCCAAGGTCACTCAGCATCAGATCTAGATGACAGATAGGGAAGTGCCTTGAGTCTAGAGTTATGGCCAGGAATAGGAGCGTTCTCTGTCCTTGGGGATGACATCCACTCACTAATAAGCCCAGAGATAGACACTAGGATCCCAGGATGAATAAGAGTCCTAAAATGAAGGATTCCACAGCCAAATGCACTGGGAAAAGCTACACCATCTCCACCCCTCCCTGCAAGTCTGCTGCTCCTGAACACACTGTAGGCTCTCTGAAAATTTCTACAGAAAGAAACCACTTAACTCGATGTTTCTCAAATGTACTTGACCATGTGAACCTTTTTTTCCAGCCACACCTACTGAATTTGGAGTATGATAGGCAGAGGAAAGAACACAGGCTCTGGATGGGATCAAACTGTCAAGATATTAAAACACAGAGGAGGGAAGGTCACTTGCCCAGGTCACTCAGCATCAGATCTAGAGCCTGGGTCTCCATGCTGTTGCTAACATGAGAAGATCCTTAAGGATATTCTGCCTGGCCTCCTCTCTCAGAGAGGTGGCCCTGACAACCTGCTATGTGGTAGTTCATTCTGGAGCTGCTGATTCCTTCCTAGCCTTTGTGCAAATTAAAAGAAGGTACCACCTTCTTCTGGGCCAACAAAATCCCATGTCAGAGCACATGGATTGCAAAAGTGTAGTATGGGCTGGATTTCAGCCCCCACTTGCCCCCTTAGCCAAGCACCCTGGTGCAGGACACAACCTGTGCAACTGTACATGGCCACCCTTATTAGCCCTTTCCTCATTCCTCCTCACTCATTCTACCCTTGGCCACTTCACGTGAGGGGCGCCCTCCCCTCAGTGCTGGGCTGAGGCTGGTGTGGGAACAGCCCAGTTGTTGGGGCTGTACTTCCAAACCCCAAAGCAGCATCAGCCAAAGGTGCTGACTCAGCAAACCTTAATTTATCTCACAGGCCAGGGGTGCGCGTGAAGCAATTAGTGAAATAATGGTTATGTCGCACTAAAAATTATTTATAGAGTCACCGTGCACACAGCTGTGATTAAATTAGACAACCAGGGGGACTTTAACTGCTGGCGGAACCAGCATCCCAGGCCCGGGCTGCAGCTGGCTGGGGGTGGGGCAGGGTCATGCTTCTGGTCTGCTCACCCACTCCAGGCAGCTGAGCCAACCCTGACCCAGGCCAGGACATAGGGGGTCTACCTGGGCAGGGGTCTTGGGAGGAATCCCTGTCCCAGAGAGTCTGCGCTGCCAGGAGCCCTGAAAATAAACAAGTAGGGGGCTTTCACACATTCAAGGCTGAGCGGCAGGAAGTTTGTTCACGTGGAGCCTTCCGCAGCCCTTCACGAGTGAAAGAGACGTGGACTGAGAACCAGAAAAGGTGGTCCCGGAGCTCCGCGGGCTTGGTGTTGACTCCAACAGTGGCCCCCGAGAGCCCAGATCCCAGCTGGAAACCATAGATCGGTGAAGCCCTCTCATTTTACAGTTGGTGAAACAAAAGGCCAGGGATTTCCTCTCTCTTGTTCCTCCAGCAGACATCAGGAGACCTTTGATCCAGCTGGGATCCTGGATGAACTCTTTCCCCTCTCTGGACCTCAGTGTATCCCCCTGAAAAGTAAAGTGTTGCACAGGCAACAGATATTGATCAAGCACCTATTGCCAACTGGATACTGTTCTGTGTTTATATTTATTGCCTTATTCAAGTTTGCTTATATTCTTCTTTAGCTCCTCACAACATTCCTATAAAGTACGTATTATTGTTGCCACTTTACAGATGGAGAATCTGAGGTTCAGAGAGGTGAAGATATTTGCCCACAGTCACACAGCAAGTGAAGCAGAGCCGTTTTTCTAAAGGCCCATCAGACTGTAATGATAGAACATTGTGGTACACTGGGCTGAGATGCTGCAAAACGAAAACAGAACTTCCTTTGCACCGGCTTCTGGGCAGGACACTTGAGATGCCTCATTTCATTTCATTAGCAGCCCCTCAGGGGTAGATGTGGAAGCTGAGTCACAGAGTGGTTCAAGCCCCCTGTGATTGGCAGGGCTTATTTTTATCAGCAAGACCTGAGCTAAGGAGCTCCAAAGGGGTTGCAAATGGAGCTGCCCACAGGGGCCCAGCAAGTACCAAAAACAGACCTGGATGGTGGCTGTGGCCATCTGGACTCCCTTGCAAGCTCTGCCTTCAAATCCATCTGTTACCATGATGCAGCCCCAAGTTCAGGCCACCCACGTCTAGAGCACAAACCTTTGCCCAAAGACCAGAGCTACCTGTGTGATTTCAGGATTCTCCCTGGGAGCTGATGGTACCAGCTGCTCCGAGAAGTGGCAGCCGGGCGGAGAGTGTGGGTGGCAGTCAGGAAGCCCTCAGGGCACTGGCTTCTGGCCTGGCTCATCTGCCAAACCTGGGCCCTGCAAGCCTGGCACTCCCATCTAAGCTAAAGATAGTTTCAGACCATTTCACAAGAGTCGCAAGCCCAATCACCTTTTTACAGCCAGGGCATCTTCTTGCACCTCCCTGGCCCTGCCTCTAAACAAGCCCCTAGAGGCTCAGAGGAGTGGAGTGACTGGGCAGGGCCTCGAGGCTCAAGGCTCCCCCAGCCCCCTCCCCTCCCCTCTTCCAGCACCTTCCCCGATGCCTCCCTCATGCTCTGCTGTGAACAGGCGGGTCCCTCTCTCCAATCACAATTCTGCTGGCAAAGGGGATGAAGCTTGCTCTCCAGATGCCTCCTGCCCAGTGGCATCTGATCCAGGACCCTACAGGAGGAGGGCTAGAGGAGGAGAGGCCAGAGGATTGGGAGGAGCTGGCTGACCCTGGCGCCCTATCTCCCAGCAGGTATTTCCCGGGGAGTAACCTCTTACCCCACAAGACGCATCCTCCCCCTCCTTATTCCCCTGCCCCTGCCCAACATGGCTCCTCATTCAAACCAGGGCTGGCCTCTAGGTGCTCCCAGGTATGCGTGGGGCCTGGGTCGGCCCTGAGTCCCGCTGCTGCCTCTGGCCACTTAGCATGCAGTCCTTGTTTGCGACTGCAGCAACCAAATGAGATTAGCTTGCCTGCTCCAGCAGGTCCCCACTTGCCACCACCCACGGCCCTGCACAGCCACCAGCTGTTCTGGGAGCCTCCCACAGCCCCAGCCTGCCATCTCACCCCCATCACAGTTGGGCCAGTGAGGGGAAGGTAGGGAGAGGGTAAACAATCCTGCCCGGCTTTGTAGCCCCCAGATCCACCACCGCTCCCCACCAGGCCTTCTGGAGTCAGCAGTGGGGGGTAGGGATGCAGAGGGAGACAAACAGGATTCGGGATCCATCCTTGCTTGTATTCCTGGTCAGTTCTCCTCATGCCTGTAATCCCAGCACTCTGGGAGGCGCAGGCAGGAGGATCACTTGAAGCCAAGACTTTGATCTTGAGGCCAGGAGTTTGAGATCAGCCTGCACAACACAGTGGGACCTCGTCTCTACAAAGTTTAAAAATTAGCCAGGCGAGGTGGCACGTGCCTGTAATTCCAGCTACTTGGGAGGCTGAGGCTGGAGGATTACTTGAGCCTGGGAGGTCAAGGCTGCAGTAAGCTGTGATCACACCACTGCACTCCAGCTAGGGCGACAGAGCAACACCTTGTCTCAATAAAACAAAAAGGAAAAACCAAAACAAACAAAGAAAACTTCCTGGTGGGGAGCAAATCAGGAGGGCCTGGCTGGCTTCACCTAGACTGCCCCTCCTGTTGAATCCCCAGCCCAGCTGCCCTCCCTCCTCTGCCCCTGCGGGCCACAGGGGAGCCAGCAGAAGGGCCTGGCTCAGCCCGAGGCCTCCCTGCAACCCTCCCAGCCAGTGAAGGGTGTGGCTGGAAAAGGGGCCCAGTCCAGCCCAAGGAGTGTCCAGGGCCTGTGCAGGAGACTGGCAGGAAGAAAGTTTTCAAGAAAGCTGAGCTCCAAACCAGGCGACCGGAGAGGCGAGAAACCCCTTTGATGTCAGGACTCAGGTGTAGGTGTCTCGTAGAGGATTCCCGTGTTCCTGCTGACAGTCACAGCTGCCTCCCTGACTGTGGTCCTGGCTCGCCTGTGTCCTCCAGCAGCTTCTTTCTCTGACCACCATGCCCCCATCCCTCCCAGGTCTGTATCCCACAGACCCCCTGCCCAGACAGCACTAAAATCCTCTCGAGGCCACCCCGAGGCTCCTTTCCTAGCTGGGCTCCCACCGAGCTGCTGCCCAGCACACACCTCTCCTCACCTCTCCTCATACTCCCTGCCTGTCTCCTTCCCCTCCTTCCCCTACTCCCCCGACCTTCGAAGCCCAGGCTGCGGCTCCCGCACTGCACCCTCACCTCACACTTCAGCCCTGCACACATCAACTTGCGCTTCTCTCTACACGCACTTGCTGTGTAGCTTCGGGCAAATCACTGAACCACTTTGAGCCTCACTTTCCCCATCTGTAAAATGGGAGTGATCCCTACTTCTCTCAAGGGCAGATGTATGGCTCAAATTAGATCACAGCTGTGCATGTCCATCTGAATTTAGAACAGTCCGAGGGATTATTCATCGGGTTTGACGGCTTCTCCTGGGCTTGTAGATTTCGGCATGGGTCTTTGTCCCGGCCACACAGATGCTGCTCAGCATGGTTCATTTGGAGCAGACATGGCCCCTTCCATAGTGGACAGGGATCCCTTCCAGCCTCTGGCCACAGGCAGATGAAGGGAGCTGCTGCATGCAAAGGCAGGAGGGTGTGGATTAGGAGCCATCACGGGAAATGGCTTTCTTATCACGACACAACCGGTATTGCCAGGGCCAACTCTGGAAATTGAATTGCTCCCCCACTCCATGCCCCCTCAATACCTCTTCCCTCTGCTTCCTGCTCCCTCCCTAGCCCCATCCCCCATGACAGGGAGAGACCCAGAGACAGCGATGCAGGACAGAGCAAGTAGAGGGGGCAGTGGGGGTGCTCAGAGACTGAGGCAGAGATTGGGGCACCAGGAGGCAAGGGCAGGTTTGGCAAAATGCCAAAGGCAGGGCAGGGATGGGGCCACAGAGGGGGCCACTCAGGAATTCAGTAGACAGGGGGTGCCACCCTCCCCGTGGAATTCCCCACCACCCCACACCCGCCAGGCCAGAGCTTTGGCCAGCCAGGTTGGTGTCATCTCCTCTCTGTTGGCCCCTCTCCAGCTCCCACCTTGGCGCCTCTGCAGGGCCCGGGAAGGACCCTGATGGCCAGGGCAGAACCCTGGGCTGGCGCCCACGGGTGCTTGGATGTAGTCCCAGTGAGTTCCTGGCAGAGCCAGTCTGCAGGTGGTGGGGAGCAGGCCCAGTGGCCGGGGGCAGCCAGCTGTGTAATCAGGCGGGTTCTCACCACAGCCAGCCCAAGGGAGGAGGCGCACAGGGAGGGGCAGAGGGGGGGCCCAGCCCACCTGCCTCCAGCTCCCCTGGCAGCCCAACCTAGAGTCTCTCGGGGTAAACTCAGAGTCCAGGAGGCTCAGGAGGAGCTGCCGGAGGCTGTGCGGAGGCCTAGGACCCCATGAGTAGACCTCCAGCCAGCCCAGCCCCCAGGCCAGATGCAAAATCAGGAGCTAAAGGGTGCTGCCTCCCAGCCTGGCATGGTCCTGCCTCCCCTTCCCAACCCAGCATCTTGGTGTATAGCCTAAAAGTCTCAGACCCTCTCATGAACTGACCCCTGCCGTCAGCCTTTAGACTCTCAGCCCAGAAGTAGCCCCTTCCCTTAGACCCCTCTCTTCTCAGCCCCAGCTCACCCATCTCCCACCATGTGCCCATCCATGACTAGCCTGGTGCTCAGGAGCCGCAGCAGCCAGGGAGCCCGGCATGGGGGCACTGCAGCCCCAGGACCACGTGGCTTCTTCTCTACTCAGCCCACCCTGCCCAAACACATAAACTCTCTCTCTCTCTCTCTCACTCATTCACAATGTATTGCTGAATCTCAAGTTCATATGTTATGAGCTCCAGGGACCTCTTAATTCAACCTCCATTTACAGGTGGGGAAACCGAAGCCCAAGACAGAATGGACTTGTCCAAAGTCACCTGACAAGGGAATCCCTCTAAGCCCCAGCCAGCCCTTCCCTCCAAGGGTGCCCTCCCCTGGGAGTCCCCCTCTGGCCTCAGGACTCTCTCTGCCCAGACTTTGTGGGTTCTCCTGGCCTCTGCACTCACCTGCACCTCCCAGACCTGGCCAATTGCAGGGCCCCAAAGTTAATAAATCAAGGTGACTTTGGGGACAAGATTCAGCCTCTTTCTCCCTTGTCCCTCCCATTTGCATAATCCTGGCTGGCAATATGATAATGATGTTTGTTAAAGACAGAGCACAATAAATTAATACCGTTAAGTTGTTGCTGCAAAATGCAAAGCAGGTAATTTACTGCCAGCGAGGAACGGAGCCTTTAAACTGTAATGGATTAACTTTCCCAGCAGCAAATATGTCCCCCGAGGGAGGGAGGCAGGTGGGTGGGCTGGGTTGATGATAGGGGGGCCTGCCTGCTTCCCAGGGTTGGGCCAAGTGTCCAAGCCAAGATCTTAGGCCTGCACCTATGTCAGCCCCTCTCCATTGTACATAAGGGGAAACTGAGTCTTGTGCAAGACAGGGAGCTATGGAAGGCCACAGCAGGGCTGTGGTGGTGACCTGCCGGCTTTGTATGACAGCCCATTACCCTCTAGAGGAGGGGGCTGCAGATGCCTCATTTGCACACCTACTCTGGAACGCTCAGGAGGAGCTCCTGTTACAGACCCTGAACCTCCTCTTCCTTGAGGGGGACTAGTGATGTCCTCCCCAGAATCCCCCAGGCCCAAGAGAGGCCTCAGCTGCAGAGTCAGTCCTAGCCCAAGGAGGGAAGGATCCTGGGTTTTGTTAGGACTGAGAGGAGGGGAGTGGGAAGGGGAAGCGGGGGCGTGCCAAGAATGGGGTTAGACCTTGCCCTGATGCCCTCGGATACTGGGAGGGAGGGGCTGTGGAAGGAGGAGAGGAATGGGTCTCTCGAGAGGAAAGGTGAATTCTATGGTTGACGGGGAGGGGAGTGGGATGGCGGCAGCGGGGAAGGTGGGTGGGCAATGGGAGGCTGGGAGTAGGAGCGGCTGGCAGGCCTAAGGAGAAACTCAGGCACTGGCCCAGGGCCCCTCAGGGGCACCTCCTCCACTGGGGCTCAGACAGCTCCTTGGGTCCCTAGGAGAATTGCCGCAGCCCCAGCCCAGGGCGGGCCGGCAGGCGGGTCTCAGGGACCCCAGCGGAATTCTAATTTCTCATTTATCTCTGCAGCTTCTCCTGCGATATTAAAGGGGCGATGCTCTGCAGTTGGCTCCCAGGCTAATTGGATTTGGGCCTCCTCTCACTCCCTGGTGAGGGAGGGGGATGTGGCAGCCTTGATGGGGGAGGGGATGTTTGAGGACTTGGGCTGAGGCTGTGGTCCAAGGCCAGACTCCTAGGCTACAGTCCTGACCATCATGTGGCCTTCCCAAGCCTCTGCCCCTCTCCGGGCCCCGCATTCCCTCACCTGAGATGATGATAATGATATTAATAATATTAGTAATAAAAACAACAACCATGATTTGCATAGCATTTCCTAGACATAGACACTGTTCTTAGTGCTATTCAGGACAGCACTCCTCACCCCCTCATCCTAACAACAGCCCAGTGCATTAAGTATGATTACGTTCATTGCACAGACGAGTAAACTGAGGCATGGAGGGGTTAAGTAAGTTGCTCAGAGTCCAGACAGCACCCACAGTGAATGTCTTTCAGGTTTGTGAGGGGCCTAGAATCCCAACTTTAAAAACCCCGTTACGCTCAAATAGGCCTAAGGTGGGGGTGTTACTGCCTGCACCCATTTCACCGATGGGGAAACTGAGGTCTGACCCAGACATATTTTTAGCTTTAATTTTCTGTAGCTCCCACCAAGGGCTCCCTTCCTTCTCCTCCACCCCAGGGCCCAGGGTGTTTCCAGGGTAGAAGGCTGGGGCTTCAGAGGGCGCATTCAGTGCAAGTGTCTGAGGTGGGGCAGGGGAACTTGCTCCCAACACCTGCCTTTCCTCCATCGGCCCTGCCTTTCTCCTTCTCTGAGCGGAGGCCTCTGTCCCAGCATCCTCCAGGCCTGCTGGGGTCCCTTGTCCCACACTGCTCACCTGGAGGGAGGACCTCACCTCCTTAGCACAAATTAATTCCCACATGTGCCCCAGATGCAAACCACACAGCTCTGCAAGTCCACAGTGGAATAATGGAGAGGGGAGGAGGCCGTACATGGAAGCCTGTTTCCCAGTGACCCTAGAGACCGGCCCTTTACGCATGTTGCCTCATGTCATCTTCATGATAGACATGGCTCCAATGCCCATTTTACAAAGAAACAGAGGCTCCCGTGGAATGTTTCAGGCCAGGCCACACGGCAAGGACCTGATTGAGCTGAGATTCAAACCCAGGTTTATCTTGATCCAGAACCTGAGCTCTGGATACATCCTCCTGTGCAAGAGAGAAGTTGAGACTCCTTTGGAAGTTCAGTATCAGAGGGCCTGGAACTGGAACCCAGGATGACTACAGTGGAAGGAGCCCTGCACTGGGAACCGGTAGACCTGGGTTTCGATGTCTACCTGGCCCCAAACTCACTGTGTAGTCCTGGGTGAGTCACTTGGCTTCTCTGAGCTCAAAGGCAAAATGCAGAAACCACCGTGCCTACCTTATGGGGCTATTGTAAGTATTACAGGAAGTACAAGTAAAGCACTTATCACAGTGCCTGACACGTAATAGGTACTCAACCCAGGCTAGCCATCATTCTGTGGATGTATTCATGCTCACCTCCCAAGACTGCTGGGATAGCACCCGGGCAGAGCTTTGTTCTGTGTCATGGTCTCAGAGATTGCCAGAGCTAGAAGCATTGAGCACAATACCCTTGTCTTTCAAATGGGGAAACTGAGGCAAAGGGTTTCAACAAGTGAGTGGCAGGGCAAGGACTCAGCTCCAAGTGCCCTGGTGGCCTCCCTGCTCAGCAAAGATGACAGTTCTCCTTCCAGTCTCCTTTTGCCCTGGGTGTCTGCATCTGTCTGTCCAGGCGTCCCTCCCTGAGAGGCCAGCTGGATGGCTGACCCCTGCAGCTCTTTCCAGTCCAGCCGCTGGCAGGAACCAGCCAGAATAAATGCAAAGAGACCCCCTCTGGAGGCTGTTCTTGCCGTGTCCCCCGTCCAAATGTTAATTTTGCCAGGGCCTTGATAAATCTTCCTGTCGTCTCCATCCGCTGGAGACATAGATTTCATCTTATTGAAAGGTGACACTACTGCCCTTTGGTACCAGCTATCAATTTCAGGTGGCAATCAGAGTGGAGAGCAACAAAGAATCAGGCCCCATTAACTCCCCTTCTGCCACCGAATCCTACCTTTAAATCTTTTGGGGCCATCCTACTTGAGATGTCTGCTTCACCTGCCCTTCCAAAAAGGTGTCAGGACCTCATCTTTAGCCTTTCAGGGCATGCCTGGTTGAGTTCCTTTCTCAGGCCTCCAGAGCCACTTTGCTTCCCAGTGGGCAGACTGAAAGAGTCAGGAAATTAATGTCCAGCTCTTAACTGATGACTATTTGAAGCCAGAGTATAAGTACCCCAGCTCCTCCCTCACCCTTTGCTGGGGAATGGGAGTGGATTGCTCTGTGATGTGAGTCCTATTCTCCCTCCCAGAATTCCCCAGCAGAGTTGAGCTCCAGTTGCCCACAGTAGTAACAGGCTTGATAAAGCACCCGGTATTGGTTGCCTGCCTTTCCTGTATCACTTTCCCACTGTCCTACTGGTGCTTCCTGGGATCATTTCCCAAATAAATTACTTGCCCTTGAATCCATTTCTCAGGGTCTACTCTGGAACCCAAACTGTGGGAACACTGAAGATTTTTTAGCATCTCAAGATGGAATGCACTCCACTCAGCAGTGGAGATACAAGAGGCCTGACGTGTATTGATTGCCCACGACATGGCAGGAATCATGTGTTTTGGCTGCTAGATCAGTTTTTCATTCATGCTGCCAGACAGCTCTGGGAGGACTTGCCCCAGTTTTACAGATGAAGAAACATGCTCAGAGAGGTGAAGCGACTTACCCAAGGCCACACAGCCAGCAAACAAAAGTCAATATCCAAACCCAGGGAGCACACTGTCTTATCCACTCCATTCTACCACCTCTAGACAGGGGCATGAAATGGAGCCAGGGCTCACTTCCAGGTACAATCAGCAGTGCAGATGGGTAAATTTCTCCTGAGGGCATACTATGAGGCAGGCAGCCTTCTGCAAGGTGCTAAGGACAGCGCAATGAAAAGACGCAGTTCCTGTTCTCAAAGGGGCTGGAAGTGGTGGGGGAGATAGACCTGTGAAAGACTGTATGGCTGGGACCTCTCTCAGAGTGCACTGCAGCCTCTTCCCTGCAAAATCCCATCTTACAATCATGGGACATTCCTGCAGGGGGCAGCTGAGAGGTTGTCTATTTCAACACATTATTATATGGAGGCCACCGAGGTCTCAAGAGAGGCATTCACCCACAGTTGTACTCCATGGCCAGGGCTCTTGTGTTTGAACTCAGCTGAGGATTTCTGCAACAGAGCCACAGGTTTCCTCAGGCTCACAAGCAATTCTGAAAACTCAGAAGTCTCTAAATTAAAACAAAAAACAAACAAACAAAAAAACACCTTGCAACATAAAACATTTAAACTTCTATATGCCCTAAGGAAAACTTAATAATTATACAGACTTAAAATATTTGCATATCACAGGTAAAGGGTTAATACCCTTAATATACAAAGAGCTTTTGCCAATCAATAAGAGAAAAACAACCAGAAAAATGGACAAAAGATAGCAGCAGAAGATGCCTGTGTAAGGCGTTAATGCAAGACCTCTGGACTTCCGAGGATCCGGAGGGTGGTAAAACTGTTATTACTTGTTAAATAAATGCTTATTCATTATTAAAAAATCCATTTGGACTGCGGGTCGCATGCTACTGCTTGTTAAATCTGTTAAAGTGCTGGGAGGACTCCCAGATGCCTTATTTACAGTTACGATGACAGAGAAAAGTGGCCGAATGCCAGAGCCACAAGCCTGTTGTGGGATCCACTTCTTGCTCCCTCTGCCTGTCCTGTGCCTGTGGTCCCTCAGTCCCAAACAAAGTGGCCTTAGAGCCAAATTGCCCCTGCAGCCTGGGTAAGGCTGACTAAAGAGGAGTTTGGCCAAGGGTCAGAATGCATAGGCTCGGATCCCTTATGTGACCTCCACTCCCATCTCTATAAATCAGTTTCCCCATCTATAAAATGGGTAGGTTGGCACCACCGATATTGGAGGTCACTGCCACACCGACAGGCTAGCATTCCAGGGTGGGGGGTGGGGGTGTAGGCAGTGGTGGGAGGAGATTTGGCACCTACTACCCTGTCCCCACCTTTACACCTAGGGCAACGGCTGACCTCATTGACTGGAACTCAAGTAAGGAGCCCTTTTAAGCAACAAAGATTTCACCTTACAGATGAAAAGTCAGAAGCCCAGAGAAGAGCGGGCACCCACTTAAAGTTGCCCAGCCCTGTCAGGACCAGAGCCTGGGACTCAGGTTCCTTCCCTTCCTCCTTAGAAGGGAAGCAGAGAGGCCAGAGGCAGATCCAGAGCCTGGATTTTGCCGTTGCTGGGAAGCTTTCTCTGCCTCCTTGCACTCAGCGCCGCCTCTCTCCTCCTTGACTCCATGGAGACCCCCCACCCTCAGGGCCAGAGGCACCTTGCAGCAGGCGAAACTTGTCAGCCCAGCAGGGTCCTTCTGGTCCTCCCAGCCAGCCAGACTCCTCATCTCTGCTCTGAAGACAGCCTCTGGCCATGAGTGAGCAATGCTGTGCTCCACGTGCTCCACGCCACCTGATGCTCGCTGTTGGAGACACGTCCTTCCAGGTGAAGCATGGCCCTGTCAGGGAGTCACTGGGAGGGGCACCCGAGTAGCAGGGAACACCTGCTGTCTTTCCTTACCCTGGGTTTTATGTCCCTTATCTTTTGACCCTCCTTCCATTGCTGCCCGGGGTAGAGGGGTCGGTGTGTGCCCCGTGACGGCAAGGGGGAGACCAGGATTTGGGGCCAATTCTGCCACTTGCTGTGTGACTCTAGGCAAGCCACGTCACCTCTCTGAGTCTCTCCATAACCAGGGCTGTTTTAAGGAAACAATTAGATAATAAATGAAAGATATTAGCACGGTGCCTAGGACCTAGGCAGAGGTCGATAAAGAGTAGCTCTTATTGTTATCTGAAAAATGGGATTAATAATATCTAGCCTAGGACTCTTGGAAGGGATAATGACATAATGCATCTGAAACATATGGCAACATGGCAGGGGCTCCTTCAGTGACCATGCTGGGGTGAGGTGACTCCGAAACAGGGACATTCAGCTCATTTTAGGGCAAGGGGCCTATTCTCGTGGCTCCAAATGCTCACCAGGGTCATGGCCCCCTCATCAGCTCCCACTTGGGGCTGACTCTGGCCCCAGCCAGCCTTAGGGTGTTGTCCAAGCTGGAGATGCCAGCCTCGAGGGTGGGTGGGAGCCAGGGACCCAGGAAGACACACATGATCAATACTAAGCCAATCTCTTACAAGATTCCCCCGGCCTCTGGTATCCAATTGTAAAGAAAATCACTCCGCACACTAGGGAGATGTGAAAAATGCCGCAGATTACAGTTTGGGATGTTCTGAGTCAGAGTGAGTGAGTCCGGGATTGTTTCCTGCAGTAAATAATTCATTCACTTTAAATTTCGTGGTTTTTTTTTCTCACCAGCTCCCTCCCCGCCACCTCTGTCTCACTGCCTCTCCTGCCAGCTCCCTCTCAAGTCCACTCTCCACCCGGGAGGCTCCCATCCCTACCTAGGTCCAGGCAACCCCAAACCACCAAGGAGCTAATAATACAAATGTTTTGAGTCTGTTAATGACACTAATCGTCTTTTGCTGCTAATTAGTAATGCTGCCAAGGAACACTTCCTTGTTAATGAGGCCAAGGGCCACCCAGGCAGGAAAGCCTAGTTGGGAAAGGTTGCAACTGAGCTGGGAGCCAGGCAGGAGCCAGGCAGGCGGGCACCAAGGAGGCCTCTGGCAAGACCAAGGGCAGTCTGGCTGGTGATGGCTCCTACTCCGGACCCTGTCCTCTGCCTCACATGCTACATCACCCAGAGAGGATGGCTTGAGTGGGAGGCTGGAACCCGGCCAGGGGGCAGGTGAGTGGAGGCCAGGGAAAGAGATCTGGCTAGCGGTGGCCCCTTCACTCCCATCATAGACACTGCCAGGCCCCAGATCAAAAGCATGGAACAACTCCAATCTGAGTGCCAGTTCTAAGACCCATGGCTCAAATATGCTAATGGTGGGCACCTATGTGGAATCTCTTAGTACACAGTAATGGAATGTCTGGCAGATAACTGTTCAACAAGTAGACCCTGGGGAGGTGCTGGGCCCCCAAACGCAGATCAGATTCTGCCTTGATCTCCAGGAACTCCTGGCTTGGTGGAGGGAGACAGACAATAATGGCCAACATTTATTGATCACTTACTATGTGCTGGGCACTGAGCCAAGAACTCATGCCCACTGCTTCATTTATTCCTCCCCAAATCCCCATGAGGTGGGTATTTGAGTGGTTTGGAGCGTTTTTGTTTGTTTTTATTTTTCTGATAGGTACTCTTTCTATTTCCATTGTACAGATGAGAAATAGAAGGCCCAGAAAGGTCAAATAACTGGTCCAAGAGTGCAGTACAGCAGAATCAGTATGTGAATTCAGGCACCTGGATCTAAAGCCAGCTCTTTGAACCCAAGCCCTTTAACAGAGAAGTAAGAAGACGGTTTCAATTCAGTGTGCTCTAGTCTGCAATAGGAGAGGTTTGGGGGTTGTAGTCCTGGGTGATGAGTGAGGCTTCCAGGAGGGGGTGAGGTCTGGGTCTTGAGGGGTGCATAGGAGTTAGCTGGGGGAAGTAGGAGGGAAAGTAGAAAGGAATTCCAAAAGATGGGGCACTGTGAGCAAAGCAGGGCAGCACTCAGGTGGTCTAGCGATATCTGAGGGTAAGGAGTGCAGTGAGAACAGGGAGATATCATGCTGGGGAGCCCAGGAGAGGGGATGGAACTGCACTGAGGGCCATGAAGATCTGTACATGGAGAGCCCCAGAGAAGACCTGACTTCAGGATGCTCTCTCTGGACTACAGGATAAAGGGAATTGTGTGAGAGAGAGACAAGGGAGACTGGTGATAAAGCAGGAAAGGGCTGGCCAGGGATTGTGCTTGGGCCATGTGCTACTGGGATGGAAGGGGAGCAAGCAAAAGGTGATGGATTGAAGGTGGAAGCAGGATGGAGGAGTCCAGGAAGGCCACAGCAGCCTCCCAGGCAGATGCAAGGAGGGCCACCTTTCTTCTCCGACTCAGGGAACCACGCTAGGCCTCTCGGGATGGGGACACAGCCTGCCTATTCAATCCCAGCTTGAGTTGCAGGGGGCCCAGACACCAGAAGCTGATAAGGCAAGAAGTGTCCCCAGCCTGAAAGGACCCCTGGCCAACTACATCTTCTCCCATGGCAACTAAAACCCACTATTTCAATTTCATTCCCTTGGATTAAGTGTTGCCTGTTCTCTGGTAGGGAGATCATATTATGCCATGAACTCTTCGTAGACAGCATTGAGGACTCAAATTACATATCATTGTTTTCAGGGGCAGCTTTCTGGGGTTCCCCTAGACAGAATAAATTGTTCCTTCCTCTGTGGTCCCAGAGTGCCTCATATGTATGCACAGCCCTGATGATACTGGAGTAAGGATTTTTCTGTCTGTCTTCTGCATTAACCTGGGAGCTCCTGGAGCAAGATAATGGAGCAAGATCACAAGAGATCCTTTGTTTTATATGTGTTCTTGCAAATGAGCATGATTTTGTATAAATGCAATTTTTTCGTATGTATCTCCCCTCCTAGACTATGAGCCCTCTGAAAGTGGTCACTTGTCTTATTTTATATTGTTTTATTTTATTTCAATTATCACAAAGTAACATTGACTTTCTTTGGGCGCATAGTTCTATAAATTTCAACACACATATAAATTCATATAAGCACCATCTGAATGCACATTTAATTCAAATAGATGGTATTATGCCATAGATCCCAGTTGGTTCCTCGCTCCTTTCATCTCATGTTTTAAAGATCCGTCCATGGCCATCTCTACACTTGTCTAACAGTTGCCAGGACCTCTGCAGGGTGTGTCTCCCATGTCTTCCTGTACGCTCCCCCAGGGAGGAGAGGTGGGTTGCCTCCAACTCCCCTCAACACAGCATGGGCACAAGAATCCTCAGACTTGTTCCTCCCAGTCATGCTGAGAATTTCACTGAAATTTACACCCAGGAGCAGAATCTCTGGGACATAGGGTCAGCATATAAATAATGATCTCTAAATGCCACGTCACTCACAAAAGTGTCCTGGCCCATCTTGGAGGATGACCCATGACAGGCTAGGTGGAGCCAGCACACGTCACTAGGGCTGTGCCAGGTGTTCAAATGCTGACATCTTTCCATTCTGATGGGCAAATAGGTGGTTGCCTGTGTAGAGTTTCCCAAGGGCTCAGCCCACCTCCTTGACACCCAGCTCTGCCCCAGAACACCTGACTCTTCCCAGGATCCAGCAACTAATGGGTTACAAGTGGCCCAGCAGGGCCTCCAGGGTCTTGCTCCAATGGCCATTATTAACTGTTACACATTCGAATATCGTCCTTGTCCATGCCCTGTGCAGGGGAACAAGGCAGAGAGGA
Organism: Homo sapiens; assembly: GCF_000001405.40. Taxonomy (NCBI): domain Eukaryota; kingdom Metazoa; phylum Chordata; class Mammalia; order Primates; family Hominidae; genus Homo; species Homo sapiens. The sequence goes on along the minus strand of NC_000020.11, from coordinate 46,319,845 downwards.
GCTCAGAGGTTGAGGTTCAAGTCTTCTTCAGCAGGTCTTGGCAAGCCCCCTCCCCTTGCTGGATTCCCACAACACGAGATCAGCACTTGCCAGACTTTCCTGAAACATGCTTCCATAGCCTCTTAGCCACTCTGGGAGCTGGGAAGTGGTTCTCCTCATTTGACAGAGGAAGAAAGAAGAAACAGGCCCAGAGAGCGGAGGTGACTCGCCCAAGGTCACCCAGTGAGCAAGGAACAGAGCTGTGACCCAAGAGATTGAACCCCAGCACACTCCTGCTTTGAAGGTCCCCGTGCCACACCACAGCACATGCATAAAATGCACCGACTCCCACTTCAGACCTCTCCTATGCATGAGTAGAGGAGGGATGAACAGAATTGGCACTGACTAGTTGGCACAATGCTAGATTTTGTAGACATTTAATTAAACACTTACTAATTTTGATTTTGCAGTTTTCTTTTTGTATTTTGGAGCTTATCTTTTCTTTTTTCCTTTTCACATCTTGAACTTTTCCATAGGCCCTTGACAACTGCCTGAATGCTGCCTGCAGTACTGGGCCAATCTGTCTCTCTGTCTCAGTCTTGGGACTTTTGGACACCCCTAGGCTGTGGCCAATCTGGGGAGAAGGGAGCACAGAGGTCAGTTAGCTGAGGTGCTCCCCTTAAGGACTCCAGGTCTGCCTCTGAGACTCAACATCCCCAAAGAAGAAGGTTTCCCAACGCAGGAGGTCCGTGCTCTGGCACATTCCAGGAGCTCAGCACAGAGAGAGTCTCAGGCCCAACAGCTGGGGTGGGAACAGCGCATTCATGGGGGAGGCTGGAAGTTATTGGTGAATGTTTTTAAAAGGTGGGGAGGTGGGGAAAAGTGGGGACCTGGAATGCCAGGATTCCAGGCTTAGAGACTTGGTCCAAATTAATAATGGCGCCAACGATACCTACCTCTGTTAAGCACCTACTGGATGCCAAGCACCATACTCTTATCTTGTTTAATCTTCATGACATCTGTGGGATGCAAGCAGGGCAGATAAACAAAATATTTAACCCTCAGTTCAGCACGTAGGATCAATCAGAACCACTGAGGCTGCAGCAGGTCCTCACGGCCGCCAGAGGAGTCAACCTTTAGTTTTTGGACCTTGGCAAGAGGAGGTGTCCGTAGGTGAAATGGGAGCAGGAGAGAACATTTGGTCCATGGGCTGGCCAGGACAAAAGTATTGCAATATTTTTTTGTGTGTGACAGAGTCTCGCTCTGTCACCCAGGCTGGAGTGCAGTGGCATGATCTTGGCTCACTGCAGCCTCTGTCTCCTGGGTTCAAGAGATTCTCCTGCTTAAGCCTCCTGAGTAGCTGGGATTACAGGTGCCTGCCACGATGCCTGGCTTTTTTTTTTTTTTTTAATTTTTAGTAGAGACGGGGTTTCACCATGTTGGCCAGGCTGGTCTCAAAATCCTGACCTCAAATGATCTGCTCGCCTCGGCCTCCCAAAGTGCTGGGTTTAAAGGCATGAGCCACCATGCCCGGCCCCATACTGCAATATTTTAACAAGCCCGGCTGAATATTGCTTCAGGTCATAGGCACTACTACCACCTGCTCCATTTTACAGTCAAAGAAACTGAGGCTCAGAGAGGTGCCACCCTAGTGGGGAGGTGCTACCTGAATTCAAACCTAGGCTGGGCTCACTCCAGGGCCTGCACCTTGAACCATTAGGCTTCTGATGTTTAGCTACCTTGTCCCAGTCCCAGGCACTCACATTCTGGCTACTTTCTCTTCTCCACAAAGGTTTCCCTGCAGTTGCCAGACTCAAAGGACCAACGGCAGCTCAGACAGAAGGAAGGGAAGGGTTAATTGGGCCACAGCCCAGGGCAGGCACAGCACCGCTCTTGGGCATGGCAGCCTCTGGCACCTGCCCTGGCCTTTCATCTCCACAGGCTCCAGGTGAGAGAAGCCAGAGCCAGACCTGCCAGGGACCCAGCAGCGTGGCTTCCCTTTGATTCCCGTGGAGCCCAGAATCAAAAGCAGGCGGCAGTGGCCAGTGCCCCAGGGTCCCCCCGGATGGCAGCCCCATGTGCCCTTTTCCCTTAACCACCAGCCTGGCCTGAGCCTCTGCAAGGTGAGGCTGGTGGGGGGCCCAACCTGCCGGATTCTCAGGGGACAGGCCAGAGCCAGAGAGGGGCTGAGGGAGGTTCCAGAGCAGAGGGGAAGGAGAGACAGCAGTGCAAGGCATGGGCTCAGGCCCAGGACCAGCTGTGGGGCACGGGGGGAGTTCCAGGAGGCTGGAGGAGGAAGAGAGTGGGCTCAGAAAAGCACAGAGCTTGGCCATGGCCCTTCCCGGAGGCACCCCTCGTGGGGTTCAGGTCGCGAGGTGAGAGCTGCGGGGGGCCGGTGAGAAAAAGCAGCAAATTTAAAAGGAATTAGTCAGGAGGAGGTGACAGGCCCGTTCTGAAGCAAGATGAATGGGTTTCAGTTGGCGAAAATGATTCTAATTTATAATCTGCTTCTTGCTGCCGCTCGCCAATTAATTCTCTATAGATACATAAATAGGCCGCATGTTTGCTTTGCTTCAAACGTAATAAACATTACACTCTGTCCCCTTCTTTTGTGCCGGTTCCTGTCACGGCATTAGTCCCCACAGCTAATTCCTCACACCTGTCTTTGCCGCTCAAGGGAGCGGGGCTGAGTGGGGAGGAAGTGCCCAGCTCCAGGAAACTCGAGGCACCAGGAGATAAATTGCTGATCCAAAAGCTGCCGACACCCACAGCGAGCCCGGGCTCCCCACTCAGGAGACGCCCAGGCGGCGAGGGAGGGAGGGAGGCACAGGGGAGTCCCTCCATCTTCCTTTTGAGACTCCTGTGTCACACTCTTTGGGACCATCTTCCTAATCCTAATGAGAGATGGAGGGAGGGGTAGGATGCCTTGTCCCATCTGTGGCCTCAGCCCACTGGGTTCCAGACACACCAGGCCCATTCTGCTTCCAGCTTTTGCACTTGCCATTCCCTCTACCCTAGGGAGCCACCTCCTTTATGTCTTTTTTTTTTTCTGAGATGAGAGTCTCACTCTGCCGCCCAGGCTGGAGTACAGTGGTGGAATCTCTGCCTCTTGGGTTCAAGCGATTCTCCTGCCACAGCGCCCCGAGTAGCTGGGATTATAGGCACACGCCACCATGCCTGGCTAATTTTGTATTTTTATAGAGACAGGGTTTCACCATGTTGGCCAAGCTGGTCTCGAACTCCTGACCTCAATGTGACTCACCTGCCTCGGCCTTCCAAAGTGCTGGGATTACAGGTGTGAGCCACCACACCTGGCATTCTTTGCATCTTTCTTTATGTTTCCCCTTCCCAGTGAGTTATTTCCCTGACTCCCCCGCCACTTCCTAAAACTGACACCCCCTCTTCAACTCTCCCCGTGCTCCTTTCCAGCTTTTAATTTTTCCTTGGTACCATCACCCTCTGACATTCTATTTATTCTGTGAATTTATCTTGTTTATTTTCCTCCCCAACTGGGATGTAGGAGCCCATGAGTCATCCCCACATTTGGTCCTGTATTCTCAGTGCTTGCCACATAGTAGATGCTCATTAATATTTGTTGAATGAATGAATGAGGTGGGGAGGGGGTGGGAGGGAGCAGCAGATGGGACCCACAGATTGAAATGACACCTCACTCCTGCTTGTCATCTCATCTGACCCCTGAGAGATGGCAAAACTGAGGCCAGGGGAGGCGAGACTTGCCCAAGGTGACACAGCGAGTTAGTGGCAGGGCTGGTACTAGGATCCCAGTCCTTGGCCTTTCTCTAAGGCAGCTCAGGCCAGGAATACACCTGCCAAACATCCTGCCAGGTGAGGTGTTGAGGCAACTGAAATTCAGGCAGGTGACATGACTTGCCCAAGGTCACACTCATTTAGTCACTGAAATGATTGAGTACCTACTATGTGCCAGGCAAGGTTCTAGGAGATGAGGATGTAGCAGCAATCAGGACAGAAAAGATCTCTGCCCTCCCAGAACTCACATCCTAGAGAGAGAAATGGGCATTGGGTGAGTTAATAAATAAATGTAAATGTTAGGAAGGGGTAACAGCTCAGAAGTTAAAGCAGGGTGAAAAGATTGGGTGATGTCACAGCAAGATGGAATAGGGGTGAAGTGCCATTTGCCGTGGGGTGGTCAGGGATGTTCTCTGTAAACAGGTAACAGCTGAGCAGGAGCGCCACTGACAAGAAGGAGACAACCTTGCGAGCACAGAGCAGGACCGGGATTTCCACTTGGATCTGTCTGCTCCAAAGTGTGTATTTTTCTCCACGAAAAATGAGCATTCCTGGCAGTAAGGAGCACTATCGGGTGAAGGAAGAAGCACTCAGCTCTGAGTGGGTGAGGTATGAGTTGAAGTCTGAAGCCTTGGTGAGAGAGAACAGACAGCAAGGGATGGAGCAGAGGCTGCTCAGCCAGAGACCACATGGGCAAAGGCCTGGAGGTGGAAGGCCTGGAGGTAGGAATGAGACCTTCAGGCAGAGGTGAGCTGGCTCTGGGGGAAGCAGGGAGCAAGCCCTGATTTGTATTGTTTATCATTTCTTTTTTGTGGTGTAAATATTCTCAACCTGGCCAATTTCAAGGGCTTGCCAACCTGGCTTGCAAAATTCCTGGAAAAAGACTCTAACAACTGGCTTTGATAAGCCAGCACAAACCAGTTCCAGCACATCACTGCTTCAGGTGTCAACAAGAGAAAGGCCAGGCAGCATCCACACAGGGAAGACGCAAGACAGGGCTTGGAAAATTACGTGTGGAGCAGAGAATCCTGGACCCCGGAAGGGCTCTTGGTCATCATGAAATCTTCCCCCACCTCTCCTCCTTTATTTTATGCAATAGAAAACCCAGGCCAAGAAAAGAAAGAACTAGAGACCTGCCCAAAACACAGAGAGAGTTGAGGTCGGAGCCACAGCCGGAAGATCTTAGGCTTCTCAGGATACCTAGCACTTTCTCCGTGGCATCCAACTGCCTGTTCCTAAGAAGTCGTCATCTGTGATGGCCCCATCAGGCATGAGAGTCAAGGGCTGTGCTACCCATGAGGGGCAGGAGGAGGGAAGAAAACAGGGACATGTGTTCCAGGTCCAGTGGAGTGCAGAGGTGGGACAGCTTCATGCCACCT